>NC_000019.10:10060000-15060000 GCF_000001405.40 Homo sapiens | reverse complement strand
CAACCTCCGCCTCCCAGGTTCAAGCGATTTTCCTGCCTTAGCCTCTCAAGTAGCTGGTATTACAGGCGCCCACCAACATACCTGGCTAATTTTTGTATTTTTAGTAGAGACGGGGTTTCACCATGTTGGCCAGGCTGGTCTTGAACTCCCACCCTCAAGTGATCCACCCGCCTTAGCCTCCCTAAGTGCTGGGATTACAGGTGTGAGCCACCATGCCCAGCCTGTTTTTAATTTCTTTAGGAATCTCCATAGTGTTTTCCACAATGGCTGCACCATTCTATTTTCCACCAACAAAGGTTCCCTTTTCTCCACACCCTCACCAACGCTTATCTCCTATCTTTTTGATAATAGCCATCCCAACAGGTGTGAGGTGATACGTCATTGACATCAAAATTAGTATTGATAGCAAAATTGGAATTTTTGGAAAGATATTAGGATAGGGGTTGTCAAACCTTCTCTGTAAGGGGCCAAATAGTAAATAGTTTCAGCTTTGTGGGCCATATGCTGTCTGTTCTAACTACTCAACTCTACCATTGTAGGTTGAAGGCAGCCGTAGCCAGTATGTAAGTGAATAAACATGCCTGTGTGCCAGCAAAGCTTTGTTGATAAAAACAAACTGCAGACTGGATCTGGTGAGTGAGACACAGTTTTCTGACCCTCATGTTTGGAGACTCCCAGAATCATTGGGTGTTTGGACCGCAGGTTGGCATGTAAGTAAGTGTATAGAGCTCAGTGCATGCATCACCCCAGATCTCTTGGCCCTTCGAACCCACCCCTGTGTTGGCCACTTGGTTTTCCATCTCCATGGATAAAACCCCGGTTACTGCCATGGCTAGATTCCTGGGTGTACCACATAAAATGACCATAGACGATTGACTTCCTAAGGTGGAGGTTCAAATGGATCAGGAATGATGTACTTATGCCAGTAGACAGGTGTCAGCTTCCCAAGTGCTCAGAGGAGAAAGGCTTTGAGGTAACACTTGAGTTCATTAGGAAAAATAGGTGTGATTGATTAGTCATGTCTGCCATGGGCACCAGGCTAGAGAGATGGCACACTTGCTAAATGTCTTTGATGCTGTAACTAGCCCACCTCCAATGTCCCTTATAGTTCTGAAAAGTGACATTTTTCTGTCTGCATACTTCCTTGGAAACATTCTGGAGATGGAACAATTATGTAAAAGATAGCCATTCAGCATGAAAGTGTGGCCTGTAACTTTACAAATTCCCAACACGTCTGTTTTTGTGAAAGAGACAGGAGCTCGGTGTGGTGGGTCACATCTGTAATCTCAGCACTTTGGGAGGCCAAGGCAAGAGGATTGCTTGAGACCAGGACTGTGAGACCAGCCTCGGCAACATAGCAAGACCCAATCTCTACCGAAAAATAAGAAAATTAGCCAGGTGTGGTGATGCACACCTGTAGTCCCAGCTACATGAGAGGCTGAGGTGGGAGGATTGCTTGAGCCCAGGAGGTCGAGGGTGCAGTGAGCTATGATGGTGCCACTGTACTCCAGCCTGGGTGGCAGAGCAAGATCTCATCTCTTAAAGAAAAAAAAAAGGAAAGAAGACACAGGCTGAAGCTCCTGATTCTCCATTCATGATAGACACACCTGGGAGGAAGCCAGCCACTGGGAAAAAAGAAATTAAATCCATAACTCCTTTTGTATCAGCCTCACTGTTTCAGCACAGAACAAAGATTTCAACACTTTCTTTCAAAGTTTGACAACTGTTTATTGAACACTCATTATGCAGATTAAGGGCTTGTTCCCTGCCCTCCAGAAGTGGTCATTTCCAGCATCTAATCCTGGGTGAGAGGGAAGGATCAATCAGAAAAAAGAGAGGAAATGGCTTTCTGGAAAAAGTAGGGGTGGGAGGTAGTGGAAGAGGGGTAAAGGGAGAGGGAGGGCCCTCCAGCTTGGGGGAAATGGTGATAGCAAAGGCTTAGAGGCAAGGGTGAGTAAGAAGACATTAGCCTTTTTGAAAGAGTGAATTCATGGTGGAAGAGATGGGAGATGGGTTTAGCTAAGTGCTGGTAGATGGCAAAATTGGAAGGGTGTGAGAGATCCTGATGTGCGGTTTGACTTTGGTCTTTATTTGATTGATTGATTTATTTTGGAGACCGGATCTCACTGTCTCACCTAGAGCTGGGATGCACTGGCATGATCATAGCTCCTTGCAGCCTCAAACTCCTGGGCTCAAGTCATCCTCCCACCTCAGCCTCCTGAGTAGCTGGGACTACAGGCATGTGCCACCATACCCAGTTAATTAATTTTTTTTTTTAGAGACAGGGTCTTGCTGTGTTGCCCAGGCTGGTCTCTTAACTCCTGGCCTCAAGTGATCCTCCCGCTTCAGACTCTCAAAGTCGGGAATACAGGTGTGAGCCACTGTCCAGTACCCTGGTCTTTAAATAATATGGTATGTTGTGTCTTCTTGAGTGTTCCAGGGAGATCACTGTTATAGATGGTATGGAGGACACATGAAAAGTGGGATGGAAAAGCAGAGAGGCAAGGGAGGAAGTTGGTTGCAAAGATGCAGATATGAGAAGCTGAGGACTTGAGCCTGGACAGTAACATGTCAGGGAAGAGAAGACCGGCATGAAAGTTGTTTCAAAATCAGGCTGGACTGGGCATGGTGTCTGGTGGCATATGAAGGATGCAAGAAGAGAGGGGTCATAGATTGACTGCAGAAATCTGAACCTGGGATCTGAGGTTGAGGATACCAGGGAACGCTTGGAGGAGTAACCGGGAAGAAAAGCCCTGAGTTTTTAGTGACGCTGGATGTGCCCGTAGGTTACTTGAGCAGGAAAGGTCAAAGCTGGGGATGGAGAGATACAGGCTGTAGAGTTGGAAGATAGTGAAGCCGATCTGACTTCCAGCCTGGTGCTGCAAGGTTACCTGGAGGTAACCTTGGCTGGTGGTTATTGAAAATTTCTAGAAACTTCCAGAAAGCTCCTACCTTGGAGATAGGGAAAATTTTTATTAGTCATCTTCACTAATTAGAAAAGTTTTCAGATGGATCAGGATTTAGCAGGTTGTGGAAAAGAGGCTGGGCTGGAAGTCAAACCTTGTCCTTGCCTCTGTCTTACTGTATTGCATTTGACAAATTATTTAACCTCTCTGGTTATGAGAGGTTAAATATTATGTTGTCTGCAAAATAGCAAGGTGACAACAGGGAATTTGCCATAGCTCCAACACGCTCTCATTTAGAGTAATTGAATGCAAGAATAGTTGAATAGATGGATTTTCTTGGAGAGAGGGCAGAGTCCAGGGTTTCAGGGGAGGGGTGTTAGGAGGAAGAGATCCAGAAAGGAGGAGACAACTTTATTATCTAGAGAGGCCATGAGCTAGGAAGAGAACGGAGTTAGGACACCAACTTGCCAGCCAAGGAGGAGTGGTTTTGGAGAGAAAGAATGGTTCTTACCTTACTAACTCTCCAGGGTAAAGGAAAGAACTGGAAGTTGGGAATGCATTGGCCTCAGGAGGAGGTTTGACCTCCAAGTGAGATGCAGGAGCCAGCAGAGGTTGGATTGGGGTAGGAGGGGATGAGTGGGCTTTGGTTTGTCTATGGAAAATCTTGAGCTTTATCCAGTTTCTGCTTCATGGGAGAAAGAAGACCACAGGAACAGAAAGTGGGATAAGTGAATGCACTCTTAGGTCTCTTCGGTTGCATTAATAAAGATAGAAAGTCCAGCCTGAGGGAGGTGATGTTAATGTTGCCACCATGCCTTGTGCTAAGTTTTGGCTGGCTTGCTCTAATAAGGACAGGAGGACCTGCATGAAGGGTGTGATGGAAAAGAAACTGGGTGCCATTTGGCCTTGGGAACAGAAGATCTTGGGGAGAGGTAAGAGCTGCCTCTAAATTTCTGTGAGACAGAAAGAATGCTGGAAGGAAAGCTCCTCCTGGTCTTTCTACTTCTACTGCAGATACAGCCGTTTCCGGAGGGTGCTTTGGATTTCAGGGTTCGTTTTCCTTGCTTTTCCTTCTTGAACCAGCTCTGCTTCTGCCATCCGCCGGGTCACCTGCAGCAACAGGTGTGGTGAGCTTGGAGGAGTCAGTGTCATGGACTTATGGGGGGAGGGTTAGGGAACGGGGCAGGTGGGTATTCTTGTCCTAAGATGAGAGACCGTTGTGGCCTCTTCCTATACCATAGTTTGTATGGAATCCTTGGCTGGGCATTTTTTAAATAATTTGCAATAAAAACATATAAACATTAAAAGAAAACAGTTTGCCCAAACATTGTTTATATCCAAGGGGGATTTGTTTATAGAAATTTATCTCCCATACTGTGGCTTTTAAGAGTCCCTGCATTTGGGAAAGTTGTTGGAAAGTGGGCTTCTTAGTTTCTGTATTGAGATCTGGCTTGGATTTGGAGCTGAGGGAAATGGAGAGGGGTTAGGAGGAGGCTCAGCCCCCTCCGCCTGCACCCTTCTTGGCCTGGGCGGTGGTCCCAGCTACCTTTTGTCAACTCACCTCTGTCAGAAGTTCCAAGATATGTCCTTTCCTCTTCGTGAACACATCCACCAGGGTCTGGATAAAGCATGAGCCTTTCTGATCATGTCGGTAGGCGATGTATCCTGGGAATTCCAGAGAGGTGGGTTCGGGGGAGCTTCAGAGGGTAGGTAGAGGGGATCCTGGAAGGGCGTGGGTCCTGGAGGAGAGGTTCAGGAGTTGGGAGTGGCAGGAGAGGGGGAAGAGCAGAGGGATCCCTGGGCCAGCTGGGAGCTCATACCCTCTACCGTGGAATAAACGTGCAAGGCATCTGTGTATGTTGGGATGGTTTGTGGGCTGTCTTTGATGACCATCACAATCTCATCTCCACCTACTGTTTCACCGGGGTCCCTTTGTTCTGAAACAACAAGAAGAGGAGGAGGCAAAGTCAGAGAGAAAGGTAAGGAAAGGGGCTGGGCAGGGTGGCTCACACCTGTATTCCCAGTGTTTTGGGGGGCTGAAGCAGGAGGATCACTTGAACCTGGGAGCTTGAGGCTGCAGTGAGCCATGATTGCACCACTACACTCTAGCCTGGGAGACAGAGCGAGATGTCGCCTCTTAAAAAGAAAGGTAAGGGCTGGGCACGGTGGCTCACACCTGTAATCCCAGCACTTTGGGAGGCTGAGGAAGGCAGATCACCTGAGGTCAGGAGTTTGAGACCAGCCTGACCAACATGGTCAAATCCCATCTCTACTAAAAATACAAAAATTAGCCAGGCATGGTGGCTTGCACCTGTAATCCCAGCTACTTGGGAGGCTGAGGCAGAAGAATTGCTTGAACCTGGGAGGTGGGGGTTGCAGTGAGCCAAGATTGTGCCATCGCACTCCAGCCTGGGTGACAGAGCAAGACTCCGTCTAAAAAAAAAAAAAAAAAAAGGATGCTTTTGTGGTATGCCATGTGCAGTGGGGCTTTTTAATTTAATTTAACTTTTTAGAGACAGGGGCTTGCTTTGTTGCCCAGGCTGGAGTGCAATGGTGTAATCATAGCTCACTGCAGCCTCTTAACTCCTGGGCTCAAGTGATCCTCCTACTTCAGCCTCCTGAGTAGCTAGGACCACAGGCCCATGCCACCATGCCCTTGGCTAATCTTTAATATTTTTCATAGAGCTGGGTTCTTGTTACATTGCTCGACGCTAGTCTTGAACTCCTGGCCTCAAAAAATCTTCCCGCCTGGGCCTCCCAAAGTACTGGAATTACAGGCATGAGCCATGGTGCCTGGCTTCAGCTGGGGCTTTGGATCTGGGACTGGCTTGGATAAAAACACAGACTTGGTTGGGCATGGTGGGAGGCTGAGGCAGGAGGATTGCTTGAGCTCAGGAGTTTGAGACCAGCCTGGGCAACATAATCAGACCCTGTCTACAAAAATTAGCCTGACATAGTGGCGGGAGCCTGTAGTCTCAGCTACTCAGGAGGCTGAGGCAGGAGGACGGCTGGAGCCTGGGAGATGGAGATTGCAGTGAGTTGAGATTCCGCCACTGCATTCCAGCCTGGGTGCTGTCTCAAAAAACAAAACAGAAACAACAAACCACAGACTCTGTGCTCTTGGATCTGTCCCCACCTCCTCGACAGGCCTGTATGATGTACACCTTGGGCTTAGCTCGCAGGGCCTGGCAGTTCTTGTTGTTCAGGGCCTCGAAGAGATTCTCCAGCTTGACCATCTCCCCATCTTCTCCCTTGAGGAAGCCTTCCCTCCCGTGAGCCATGAGTACCACGAAGGCACAACTGACGGGATCTTCCCGGGAATCGATGGCCTGCTGGAATTTTTCCAGCTCTTCCTGGAATTGCTGGAGTGAGAGGAAGAACCAGACTCAGCTGGGTCCCCATAGCCTACACTTCCAACCTAGTACCTTTCCCCCAAACAGGCCTGGAGTAGGCACCCCAATACCTCGGCAGTGGGGTCTCTTTTCATGGTGCTTTCGAATCTCAGCTGCCGAAACATGTGTTCCAGAGCATCCAGGTCTTCTTCGGAACCTTCCCGGGCTTTGGTGACACACAGTATTAGGGCCAGGCGGGCACCTGACATATCATATTTCTCCTGGGGCCAAGAGAAGACAGAAATCAGCATGGAGAGGTTCAAGGAGAAGCAGATGTAGTCAAAAGAGGCATGCAGGCTGGGTGTGGTGGCTCATGCCTGTGATCCCAGCACTTTGGGAGGCCGAGGTGGGAGGATTGCTTGAGCCCAAGAGTTCGAGACCAGCCTGGGCAACATAGTGAGACTCTGTCTCTACAAAAAATGAAAAATATAGCTGGGTGTGCTGCTGTGCATCTGTGGTCCCAGCTACTTTGGAGGCTGAAGTGGGAGGATAGCTTGAGCCTGGGAAGTTGAGGCTGCAGTGAACTATGATCTTGTCACTGCACTCCAGCCTGGGCAATAAGTGAGACCCTGTCTCAAAAATGAACAAACAAAACAAGAGAGGCTTGGGCTTAGGGTTGCCAGGTATAATAGAAGATGCTCAGGTACACTTAAATTTCAAATAAAAACCAAATACCTTTTTAGTATAAGTATATCCCAAATATTGCATGGGATATACTTATACTACATAATTATTTGTTGTTGATGTGAAATTCAAATTGAATTGGGTGTCCTTTATTTTTAGTTCCCAAATACAGCAACCCAACCTGGGGTCCAGCTCTTTTCTAGCTTGGTATGAACTTGGGGGAAGTCACTGCTCCCATCTGAGCCTCAGTTTCCAAATATAGACAATGAGTGTGTGTGTGATTTTGAAGATCCCTTCCAGTTGTCGTATTTTGTGGATTTGCAGGTCTCCTCATCCTCCCCAAGAGTGTTCTGAGCATTCCTCTATTACCTCCTCACTTGCAGAGGTCTCAGAGTTTCTGAAGCTAATACTGAGATCCCGTCTGAGGAAGAAGAATATTGGGGGTCAACAGTTCTTTCCAGAACAGAAGCAGCGTACTGAGCACCCCAGTGGTAAGAACTTCATCTTTTAAAAAATCAACATGAAATTGTTTATTGCAGGACTTCTCAGAACCTTTAATGTGTTGAGAAGAACTTGATCTTTGGAGACAGAGGTAGCTGTGTTTGACTGCCCCCACCACCCAACCCAACTTCGGTTCCATCTCTGAGTCTTTTTTTGCTGTTTGATTGACTACAAAGTACCTCCTAGCTCTGAGTTCAGATCATGATTTTTTCAGTCCCTCCACTCTTTCCAAAACATTAAAATCCTCACCTTCCTTCTCCCCAGATGATCACCCTCCCCTCAACCTGCACCCAGCCTACCTCTTCCAAAGACCGCGGATTGCTCATTTCTCCTTTGGTTGTGAGTCCCGGCTCTCAGCACCCTTGTCTGATCCTTGGAGTCAAGAGAAGATAGGTTAAAGTTCTCTAAAGGGAGGCCGAGGGGCTCAGGGGACAAACTGGCTTATGTATCTGGATTTTTGAGACCAAATAGCACTCAAGTGGTGGGGATTTGGTCTGTGGACAGATCTGGGCAATAGATGATAATCCATGAAGTAGTAATATATCACCCCTAGAATGACAATTTCACGATGTCTTCCATTTCTGGATGTCTTCTTCAGAACTGCTGAGCCTACCCCACAATGTCCCCCACTCCGCCCCCAAAAACTTCCTGTGTCTCCCGTGGGTCATTCACCAGCTTCTGGTGGACTGAACTTCCCCTGAAAGCCCTGGAATGAGGAGCAGGGCAAGTGACCCATGTGTTTGCCTCTTCTACCTAGGAGATGACGGGCTGGGGAAGCCATCTCAAAGAGATGCCTTGGAGGAGTGTTTAAAAGGAGAATGTCATCGAAGTGGGGAATGCAACTTTGATATTATCTCACTGGGTCTCCAATACGAAGGGGTCAATCCACCTCCCTTGCTCTTCCTTGAGTCTGAATGTCTGTCCACATTCTCCATTCTCATCTCTGAGTCCTGTTCTCTTCTCTGGCTGCACAGACAGACTTTTGTCATACTCTTGGCATTTCCCCATCTCTTTGCCTTTTCCTACACTTTCTCCTCAGTAGGGAATGCTTTTTGCTTTTTTTTTTTTTTTTTTTGAGACAGAATCTCACTCTGTCACCCAGGCTGTCTGGGGTGCAGTGGCATGATCTCGGCTCACTGCAACCTCTGCCTCCTGGGTTCAAGTGATGATCCTGCCTCAGCCTCCCGAGTAGCTGGGACTACAGGTATGCGCCACCATGCCTGGCTAATTTTATTGTATTTTTAGTAGAGACGGGATTTCACTGTGTTAGCCAGGATGGTCTTGATCTCCTGACCTCATGATCTGCCCACCTCAGCCTCCCAAAGTGCTGGGATTATAGATGTGAGCCACTGCACCCCACCGGGAATGCTTTTTTTTTTTCTATCTAGATCCTTCTCTGACAATTTTGGTGGCATAATATCTGCTATGCCTTCCCCCATCAACCATCCATTCATCTATGTTTTTATCCATCTATCTATCCAGTCACCCATCAATTCATTCATCTATCCATCTACCATCTATCCATTAATTCATCATCTATCCATCCATTCACCCACTCACCCTTCCATCTATTCATCTGTCCATCTACTTATCTATTAATCAGTCATCCCATCCACCCATCCTTCCACCCGCACATCTATCTAGTCATCCATCAATCCAATTTAACATCCATCCTTTTATTCATCAACCCATCCACCAATTTATCTTTCCACTTACCTATCTATCCACTCATCCATCCATCCATCCACCCACTCACACATCTATTCATCCGTCTGTCTACCCATCTATTAATCAGTCATCCCATATACCCATTCATTCTTCCATCAACCCATTTATCTACCCATCCATCTATCTATCCATCCACTTATTCATCCAACCACTCATTCATTCATCCATCCATCCATCCATTCATCCATTATCTCTCTCTGTCTTCCATCCCTCCATCTATTCTATCTTCCAACTATCCCTCCATCTAGCCCTCCTTCTATCCATTCCTTCATCCATCATCTCTATCTTCCATCTATCCATCCACCTATTTACTTATCCATCTACCCACCCACCCATCCATCCATCCATCCATCAATCCATCCACCCACCCACCCACCTACCCAGCAAATATTTTCTGGGTATCTATTATGTGTTATGCACTTAGAATCCATTAAGTAAGACAGACATGCTCCCTGACTTTCTGTCCTTCTGTAGCTCTAGTCTGTGACAGAAATGAATATTAAATCTCTCTCTCTCTCTCTCTCTCTCACACACACACACTCACACACACACACAGCAAGTGCTGTGACGAAAGAGGAGCCAAAGATTGTGAGGGAGGAAGTGGAAGGAGCATAGCCCTGGAGCCAGAACCGAATCCTGCCTCAGTCCCTTCCCAGCTGTGTGACCTTCGGCATCTCACTCTCCTCTCTGAGACTCGATTTTCCCATCCGCAAAGGACCTGGGGAGAGCTCTAGGTGCTTAACAGCAATGGTGACCCAGGTAGGTTTTAGGATCCCTCTTGACCTCCTGGAACTTTCCTCTTCCTTCTCTGGACTCTCACAGCTCTGCTTGCTCCTACTTGAATTACAGCAGTGTTTTTGATTCTTACTCTCATGGCTGAACTGGCAGCTCAGTTTTCAGGACTGAAAGCCTGACTTCATTATCTCTGTCTCCATCATGGCCAACAGTGTGGCAGGGAGCACAGAGGTGGTGTTGGAGAGAATTTGCTGAGTAAACAAATAAGAAAAAAATGAACAGATGAAAAGAAAGAGGGGATGGATGGAAATTTCTTCCATTCTGCCAAAACTGGCCAGAGCATTAATTCATGAAGGGAGAGGGAGCGTATGTGTGTATGTGCGTGTGTGTGTGTGTGTGTGTGTGTGTGTGTGTGTGAGAGAGAGAGAGAGAGAGAGAGAGAGAGGCTAATATCCACCAAATCACTTACCAACTCTAGAGGCAGCTGTTCCTCAAGGCCAAGTTCAATCTCACTACTCTCCTAGTTGCCAATACTGAGCTGGGCACCGAGGAGGAGTCAGGCCCACGTACTGATCTTGGAGAAGGGGCTGACAGTGTGGAATCTCCCGGGGTTTCTCCTGAGAAGCCTGGTCTATGAATCGGGTGGCACAATCACCTGGCCCTTTATTGTCGGTGAGTTTTCTGTCACTCAAGAAACCTCATGACACACCCTTGGCACACAGCTGTGGTGTGGAAATGGAGCCAACGCCAATGGGATGAGTGATCGCAAGGCTGAGGGGACTCCCTCTGGCAAAGGTGGCCTAGGCAGAGAGTCTAAATGAGTCAGATGTCTGTGCCAGCCCAGCCACAACCTCTCCCAACCCCCATCCCATAGCCAGCCCATCTGGTTATTACCATCATCATTATGCCTAGTTTATTCATCTCACCTTCCACTGTGTAGATAACACCGACTTCACTTAGTTATTATCTCATCGAGTCTTCAAGAGTCTAGACAGATCAGTATTTTTGCTCCCATTTTGCAGATGGAGAAACTGAGGCTCATAGAGGTGAAATGACTGCCCAAGGTCAGCAATTGGCACAGTTGGCATTCAACCCTATAAGGGGTGAGGTGTGGTGGGTCACGTCTGTAGTCCCAGCGCTTTGGGAGGCCAAGGCAGGAGGATCGCTTGAGGTGAGGAGTTTGAGACCAGCCGGGGCATAGTGAGACCCTGTCACTAAAATAATAATAATAATAAAAATGATGGCATATACCTATAGTCCTAGCTACTCAGGAGGCTGAGGTAGGAGGCTGGCTTGAGCCTAGGAGTTTGAGGCTGCAGCGAGCTAAGATTGTGCCTCTGCACTCCAGCCTGGGTGACAGAGCAAGACTCTGTCTTAAATATAAAAACAAACAAACAACCCCTAAAATGTTCCAGCCCAGTTGCCTTAACTGATGCATCATGATGATTCCTCTCTTCCTCCTCCTCTTATTATTTTTCAGCCATTTTGTTTCATTTTATTTCTTATGTTAATAGTGAAACCAAAGGCGAACCTGATTAAGCCCTCCAGACTTAATCTGCCTTGCGTTTAATTGCTTACTTACTTTTAATTGCTTACTTATAGTTGATCTTAAAAGCGCCACTAGCAAGTCACGTAGCCAAATAATGCATAACTAAACTCCCACTGGCTTCCTTACAGATAACATTTTTGTCTGTGGGACACTATAGTAATGGGTGCTTAAAGTTGTTTTTCAGGAACTAGGTAGGAGGCAGCTCTTGTTTAGTTTAAGCCAGTGGAGATCACTGACCCTTCAACTGCACCTATGTGGGTAGCTGATATCAGAGGGCCGTAAACTCCACCTTCAGATCATGCTAAATGCTATTTTTTGCACAAATGTCCTATCTAAAGCCATGTAGCTCAACCATGCTTGCTCAGAAATTCTGATTACCTCACCTTCCCTACCTGCCAGTCACCTTTCTCCGTACTTTAGATCACCCCGTTTTCTATCCCATAAGCACCCTCAAACCCTATTTTTGGGGAGGAGAATTTGAGACCTGTTTTACCACCTCGTCGCTTAATTGCCTCATGAACGAACTCTTCCTCTTCTGCAAAATCTGTCATTACATTGATTGGCTTGCTGCACAGAGGAAGAACAAACTCGGTTCGATAGCAACAGCTTAAATGAGATATAATTTACGTATTATACAATTCACCCACCTGAAGTGTGCAATCCAGTGGGTTTCAATATATTCACAGTGATGCAACCATTGCGTCAGTTCATTTTGGAACATTTTGTTTTTTCTTTTTTCGGAGATAAGATCTGTCACCCAGGCTGGAGTGCAGTGGAGCGATCACAGCTCACTGCAGCTTAAAACTCCTGGGCTTATTCGATCCTTCCACCTCAGCCTCCTGGGCAGCTGGGACTACAGGTGTGCACGTACATGCCTTGCTACTTTTTTCCTCAAGATTTTTTGTAGAGACAAAGTCTTGCTGTGTTGCCCAGGCTGGTCTCGAACTTCTGGCCTCAAGGGATCCTCCCCACTCGGCCTCCCAAAGTGTGAGATTACAGGCGCGGGCCACCACACCTGGCTCATTTTAGAACATTTTTATCACCCCCCAAAAGAATCCCAGTACCCTTTAGCTATCACTCCCAATCTCTCCATACATCCCAGCCTTAGGCAACCACTAGCCGAGTTTCTGTCTCTGCAGGTTTCCCTGTTCTGGATATTTCACAGAAATAGAATCATACACTATGTGATTTTTGTGTCTGGCTTCTTTCATTCAGCATGATGTTTTCAAGAACAGTATTGCAGGGATGTTGGTTTGTTGTCTCCTGTTTCATTTTGTTTTGGTTTTTAGAGAGCCAAGTGTTAGATGTCTTTCAGCAAACCATTGCAGACACTCCCATTCCAATTCCTTCCCCTAAGATCCAGCCTTCTTAGCTGACCAGATCCTATAAATCAATGAGATTTCAAGGAGGAGGAAGATAGCATCCACATGGTAGCATATATTAGAACTTCATCCCTTTTTCTGACTGAATAATAGTCCATTGTACAGATATACCTCATTTTGTTTATTTATTCATCTGTGGAGGAACATTTCAGTTGTGTTAGGCTTTTGGCTATTTGAAGGATGCTGTTATACATATTTATGTACAAGTTTTATGTGGATTTTTTTTTGAGACAGGGTCTCACTAAGTTGCCCAGGCTGGAGTGCAATGGTATGATCTCAACTCACTACAACCTCTGCTTCCCGGACTCAAGCAATTCTCCAGCCGCAGCCTCCCCAGTAGCTGGGACTACAGGCGTGCACCACCATGCCAGGCTAATTTTTTGTGTGTTTTTTGTAGAAACTGGGTTTTGCCATGTTGCCCAGCTGTTGTTAAACTCCTGAGCTGAAAACGATCCACCTGCCTGGGCCTCCCAAAGTGCTGGGATTACAGGCGTGAGCCACCACGCTTAGCCTGATGCATGTTTTAATTCCATTCCTAGTAGTGCAACTTTCTAGCAATACAGAAATGTTTTTTTTAGCAAAACTGGCCTGTTCTCATCCTTCCAATTCTTCCCTTTGCTTCCAGGTAGCCCAGGCACAAGACTGAGCAATTTCCCTTCAGTGCCTATTGCCGCATTGACTTACACACATTCGCAGTGTTAGTTACATAGGTGGGCCCGTTCTACAAAATTGTCCTGTTACTTGCCTTGTTCACCGAATTATGTCTGGGTCATCTTTCCATGTTAGCACATATGGAACAAACTCAATTTTTTTGTGTTCTTTAAACAACTATTGAGAATAACCTATGTGAAGAAAAGTGCGCGACTCTTTTTTTTTCTTTCTTTTTTTTTTTTTGAGACGGAGTCTCGCTCTGTCACCCAGGCTGGAGTGCAGTGGCGTGATCTTGGCTCACTGCAACCTCTGCCTTCCGGGTTCATGCCATTCTCCTGCCTCAGCCTCGCGAGTTGCTGGGATTACAGGCACTCACTACCACACCTGGCCAATTTTTGTATTTTTAGTGGAGATGGGGTTTCACCATGTTGGTCAGGCCTGTCTCGAACTCCTGACCTCGTGATCTGTCCCTCTTGGCCTCCCAAAGTGCTGGGATTACAGGCATGAGCCACCGCACCCGGCCTAGTGCACAACTCTTAAATGTGCAGCTTGATAATTTTTTTCAAACTGAACATATCCACGTGACCGACAATTCAGTGGTGCTATTGAATCAATTCTGCAATGGCATAAAAAGTACACACTTTTCACTAAAAGAGAAACAAAACCCAGGAAAACACCAAATTAAACTGGACATAACATCCTACACTTACCCCATGCCAAAATTTTAGCTAAAGCATGCTTTTGCTGTCTTCTTCCTCCTTGAAATCTCATTGTTTGACAGGGTCTGGTCCGTTAAGAAAGTTGGATCTTAGGGGAATCAGTCAGGACTCGGAGTGTTTGCAATGATGTGTTGGAAGATGTCTAACACTTCGCTCTCTAAAAACAAGACAAAATGAAGCCAAAAAACCACAACAAATCAACATCCCCCAATACTATTCAGCCATAAAAAGAATGAAATCCTGTCATTTGTGGTAACATGGATGGAACTGGAGGACAGTATGTTAGGTGAAATAAGCTAGAAACAGAAAGTTAAACAGCACATGTTCTCATTCATGTGTGGAAGCTAAATAAGTTGATTTTGTAAAAGCAAAAAGTGGAACAGAGGATGTTAGAGGCTGGGAATGGTAGGGGGAAGAGAGGATAGGGAGAGATTTGTTAAAGGATACAAAATTACAGCTAGTGCTGTTCACAACAGCAAAAACATGGAATCAACCTAGGCGCCCATCAACAGTGGACTGGATAAAGAAAAGTGTTATATATATATGTGTGTGTGTGTGTGTGTGTGTATGTGTGTATATGGTGTATATATATATGGTGTGTGTATATATACCATGGAATACTATGCAGCCATAGAAAATAACAAAATCATGGCTGGTTGCGTGGCTCATGCCTGTAATCCCAGCACTTTGGGAGGCCGAGGTGGGTGGATCACCTGAGGTCAGGAGTTTGACAACAGCCTGGCCAACATGGTGAAACCTCATCTCTACTAAAAATACAAAAATTAGCCAGGCGTGGTGGCGCATGCCTGTAATCCCAGCTACTGGGGAGGCTGAGGCAGGAGAATTGCTTGAACCCAGGAGGCAGAGGCTACAGTGAGCCAAGACCGTGCCACTGCACTCCAGCCTGGGCGATAGAGCAACACTCTGCCTCAAAAAAAAAAAAAAAAAAAAGAAAGAAAAAAGAAAAGAAAAGGAAAGAAAACAACAAAATGATGTCGTTTGCAGCAAAATGGATGCAGCTGGAGGCCATTATCCTAAGTGAATTAATGCAGGAACAGAAAACCAACCACCACATGTTCTCACTTATAAGTGGGAGCAAAACATTGACTACTCGTGGACATGAAGATGGAAACAATAGACACTGGTGACTACTAGAGGGAGGAGGGCAGGAGAGGGGGTGAGGGTTGAAAAACTACCTACTGTGTCCTGTGCTCACTACTTGAGTGATGGGATCATTCATACAGCAAACCTTAGCATCATGTAGTGTAGCCACTGATATGGTCTGGCTCTGTGTCCCTACTCAAATCTCATCTTGAATTGTAATCTGAATTGTAATCCCCAGGTTTGGGGGAGGGACATCGTGGGAGGTGATTGGATCATGGGGCCAGTTGTCCCATGCTGTTCTCGTGATAGTGAGTGAGCTGTCCTGAAATCTCATGATTTTATAAGGGGCTTTTCCCACTTTGCTCTTCACTTCTCTCTCCTGCTACCACGTAAGACGTGCTTCTTCCCCTTCTGCCATGATTGTAAGTTTCCTGAGGCCTCCCCGGCCATGGGGAACTGTAAGTCAATTAAACCTCTTTCCTTTATAAGTTACCCAGTCTTGGGTATTTCTTTATAGAGTATAAAAATGGATTAATAAACTCATGTAACAAATATGCACATGTACCACCGAATTTAAAATAAAAATTGAAAAAGAAAGATAAAGGTAACTTCAAAATGGTAGAAACATTTTATGGCATTTTTACTTGCCCTTGTCCCCCGCTCTATCTCCCCACCAAAAAATACAGCTAGGTAGGAAGAATAAGTTCTAGTGTTCTACAGCACTGTAGGGTAACTACAGTAAACAATAATATATTACATAGTTTCAAACAGCTAGAAGGAGAATATTGCATGCTCCCAACACAAAGAAATGATAAGTGTTTGAGATGATTGACATGTCAATTACCCTGATCTGATTACTGTATGTCATATGCCTCAAAACATCACTATGTACTCCATGAATATGTACAATTATTATGTGTCAATTAAAAAATAAAGAGGATGGCCAGGCGTGGTGGCTCACATCTGTAATCCCAGCACTTTGGGAGGCCGAGGCCAGCGGATCATTGGAGGTCAGAGTCTGACACCAGCCTGACCAACATGATAAAACGCCATCTCTACTAAAAATACAAAAATGTGCCAGGTGTGGTGGTATGCATCTGTAATCCCAGCTACTTGGGAGGCTGAGGCAGGAGAATTGCTTGAACCTGGTAGACAGAGGCTGCAGTGAGCCAAGATTGCACCATTGCACTCCAGCCTGGGCGACAAAAGCAAAACTCCGTTAAAAAAAAAAAAAAAAAAAGGAAGGAAAATGAAAAAACCTCCCAAACAATAAAAAGCAAAAAATGTCCTCATTTGTAATGTTGCTAATTTCCATGATGTATTCACTCTTGCTGTAGCTGATTTCAAGTTACAAACATGGCATCACTGAATGCAGAGTTGGGAAGAACTAGCCTTGGATTAGCCCAGGATTGAAAGGGCATTTCTGAGGCAGCCCCTGCCCCTGTGTGGAGGCAGGTGGGTTTAGACTGCCCAGTTCTTGGGTTGAAGGCTGTGCTTGAGTGTTTCATTTGGAACCAGGCACACAGTGAGGGCCCAAGAAGGAAGAACTGGGTGGATGAGTGTACTGGGATGCCCAGTTTAGTTTTGTCTCCTAAAATGGAGGTTGGCAGAGATGGTTCCTCATGAATTTCTCCTCAGTCCAATGATGATGAAATGTCGGGAGATCCTGTCTCCTCTGATGAGACACATATTTACACAGTATCAGTATGTGAGAGAATGCGTCACCATGGGCTGGAGTACTTGTGAGTTAACTAATTAAGTAATTAAATTGATTAATTATATTAATCAGAGTTATCTGGCAACTGGCTGGTCCAAGAAAGGCAACCTGGTGTAAGGACTCCATGGAGGAATGCATGCATTGACTCCCAAAGTGGTTACATGGTTACAAGTTGGCTTCATAGAGGAGGTATATGTCACCTGAGACTTGAGGAATGAGTAGGTGCTTTTCAGGTGGGCATGTGGGAGAGGTAGCCAGTGCAGAGGGGTCCCAACATGGGGAAATAGCAGAGGTGAATGAGTGAGCTTGGTGAATGCAAGGCACCATGTCTGTTTCCACATGGCCAGAGAATAAAGTGTAAGAGACAGTGGTGGTGAGAGTTAGTCCAGGTGGTGAGAGGTGAGTTCAGGTGATGGGAGATGAGTCTAGGTGATGGGAGATGAGTCTAGGTGGTGAGAGATGAGTCTAGGTGGTGAGAAGTGATTCCAGGTGGTGAGAAGTGATTCCACGTTGTGAGAGATGAGTCCGAGTGGTGCGAGGTGAATCTAGGTGGTGAGAGATGAGTCTAGGTGTTGAGAGGTTAGTCCAGGTGAAAGGTGAGTCCAGATGGTGAGATATGAGTCCAGGGTGTGAGAGGTGAGTCTAGGGGGTGAGAGGTGAGTCCAAGTGGTGGGAGGTAAGTCCAGGTGAGAGGTGAGTCCCGGTGTTAAGAGGTGACTCCAGGTGAGAGATGAGTCCAGAAGGTGAGAGATGAGGTGAGTCCAGGTGGGCTAGTCCAGGTGTTGAGAAGTGAGTACAGCTGGTGAGAGATGAGTTCAGGTGAGAGATGAGTTCAGTTGAGATGTGAGTCCAGGTGGTAAGAGATGAGTCCAGTGAGAGGTGAGTCCAGTTGGTGAGAGGTGAGTCCAGGTGGTGAGAGGTGAATCCAGGTGGTGAGAGGTGAGTCCAGGTGGTAAGAGATCAGTTCAGTTGAGTTGTGAGTCCAGGTTGTGAGAGATGAGTTCAGTTGAGATGTGAGTCCAGGTGGTGAGAGGTGAGTCCAGGTAGTGAGAGATGAGTCCAGGTGGTGAGATATGAGCCCAGGTGGGTGAGTCCAGCTGGTGAGAGATGAGTACAGGTAATAAGGGATGAGTCTAGTTGGTGAGAGGTGAGTCCAGGGGGTGAGAGATAAGTCTAGGTGATGAGAGGTGAGTCCAGATGGGTGAATCCAGGAGGTGACAGTGAGTCCAGGTGGTGAGATGTGAGTTCTGGTGGTGAGAGGTGAGCCCAGTGATGAGAGGAGAGTCCCTTTGTTGAGAGATGAGTCCTGGTGATGGGAAGTGAGTCCAAATGGTGAGAGGTGATTCCAGGAAAGGGTGAGATCATGAAGGGGCTTGAAGTCACTTTAAGGGAGTCTGAATTTGGTTGGGTTGTAGGGTTACCAACCGTCCTGGTTTGCCCAGATCTGCAGAGTTTTCTGGCATGTGGGGATTTCACTGCTAAGAAGCCAGGGAAGTCCTAGGCAAAGTGAATAAGGTGGTCCCTGATCCAAATAGGCAATGGGGAGCCATTGAGGAATTCAGAGCTGGAGAGTGACACAAGGACTCTTGGTTGTTAAAAGACTCATAGGTGGGAATTGAACAATGAGAACACATGGACACAGGAAGGGGAACATCACACACTGGGGCCAGTTGTGGGGTGGGGGAGGGGGGAGGGAGGGGGGAGGGATAGCATTAGGAGATATACCTAATGTTAAATGATGAGTTAATGGGTGCAGCACACCAACATGGCACATATATATATATGTAACAAACCTGCACGTTGTGCACATGTACCCTAAAACTTAAAGTAAAATAAACAAAAAAACAAAAAAGATTAATCAGATCTCAAGTAAAACGAAGCTTCTGGAGGAAGCTTCTGCTGAACGCTTCATGGACCAGGTGGTTCCAAATTACTGTGGCTGCCTGCACTTCTCCTGGGAAGTCATTTTACTCTTATAAATCTCCTTTGATATCTTCTTTCTCCCAAAGACAGTCAGCCAGTGAGAGTGTGAGCCATGCATGTTGTGTTTACGCAGCACCCAGCATGACACATGAAAAATGTTCAATGTGCATTGGGAGCAAAGGCCTGAAGTTGTCAGAATTGATGCTTCTGCCCCTTCACTCTACAGATGCTCTACAGATATAAACTGGAAATAATACCACGTCCTTCCTTAAGAATACAGTATGAGCCAGGAGTGGTGTAGTCCCAGCTACTTAGGAGGCTGAGGTGGGAGGATTGCTTGAGCCCAGGAATTTGAGGCTGCAATGAGCTATGATTGCACCACTGCTGCACTCCAGCCTGGGCAACAGAACAAGACCCTGTCTCTCAAAAAAAAAAAAAAAAAAACAAAAGAACATAATATGAAATTTTGTATGCTTTGATCAGTATCTCCCTATTACCTGCCCCAGCCCCTGGCAACCACCATTCTACCTCTCGACTTTCACGAGTCGGACTTTTTTAGATCTCATGTATAAGTGAGATCATGCAGTATTTGTTTTTCTGTGTCTGGATTATTTCACTTACCGTAATGTTCTCTCTAAATTCATCCATGTGGCAAATGACAGAATTTCCTCCTTTTAAAGGCTGAATAGTATTTGACCTGTGATCCCAGCTACTCCAGCCTGGGCGACAGGCTGGATTTTTTGTGTGTGTTTTTGTGTTTTTAGTAGAAATGGGGTTATTTTTGAGGCTAATTTTTGTATTTTTAGTAGAGATGGGGTTTCACCATGTTTGCCAGGCTGCTCATGAACTCCTGACCTCAGGCGATCTGCCCGCCTCAGCTTTATTTTTTAATTTTTTACTAGAGGCAGGTGTCTTTCTATGTTGTTATTATTTTTAAATGGCACATAATAATTGTATGTATTTATGGAGTACAGCGATATTTTGATGCATATAAACAATGTACAATGATCGAATCAGGGTGATTAGAGTATCCATCATCTCAAACATATATAATTTCTTTGTGTTGAGAACATTCAACATCTTCTCCTTTAGCCATTTGAAAATATACAATAAATTATTGTTAGCTATGGTCACCCCACAGTGCTTTAGAGCACTAGAACTTATATGTTTTTGAGATCTAAGATTTGTACAGCATGGTGACTATAGTTAATAATATTGTACATTTCAAAATTGCTGAAAGAGTAGATTTTCTTTTTCCTTTTTCTTTGAGATGGAGTTTCGCTCTTGTCACCCAGGCTGGAGTGCAATGGCGCAGTCTTGGCTCACTGCAACCTCCGTCTCCTAGGTTCAAGTGATTCTCCTGCTTCAGCCTCCCAAGTAGCTGGGATTACAGGTGCCCGCCACCATGCCTGGCTATATTTTTTCAATTTTTAAACATTAAATTTTTTTTGGTGATATCTAGACTTCAAAAAAGAGTAGATTTTAAATATTCTTATTAGAGGAAAAAAAAGGAGAGATGATATGTTTACTAGCTTGGTTTATTCATTCCACAATATAGACATATGTGAAAACACCACATTGTACCTCATAAATATATACAATTATTATTTGTCAATTTAAAAATTGACAAATTCAAAAAAAGAAATAAAATACTATTATTCATTAAAATAAAAATACTATTACTCATTTAAAAAAGCAGCAATGGGCCGAGTGCAATGGCTCACTCCTGTAATCCCAGCACTTTGGGAGGCTGAGGCGGATGGATCACGAGGTCAGGAGTTTGAAACCAGCCTGGCCAATATGGTGAAACCACATCTCTACTAAAAATACAAAAATTACCCAGGCGTGGTGGCACATGCCTGTAGTCCCAGCTACTCGGGAGGCTGAGGCAGAAGAATCCCTTGAACCTGGGAGGTGGAGGTTGCAGTGAGCCGAGATTGTGCCATTGTACTTCAGCCTGGGCTACAGAACGAGACTCCGTCTCAAAAACAAAAAACAAAACAAAACAAAACCAAAACACAAAACCAGCAATGGCATCTTAAGCCTGAAAGTCAATGTGGGTGAGGGCTCCCCGTCTCCAAGCAGCCCAAATCTCTTGGGTTGTTTTGCAGAAGAGCAAGTGCATATGTTTCACTGAACATGCTCATGCTTCCTAGGCATGATTTTCCTGAGAGTTCACAGTCGTGGTGAATATCTTCTGCCTTCACACACCATCAGAGAATGGCCATGTATCTAAATTGTTCATGCTTGCCCCCTGGGCACATCCATGAATTCATCTTCTTAGCCACAGTGCTGTTTCTCTGCCTGGAGTCCATATTCGCATCTATGTCACCAGCCCATGCTTCTCTCTGAATCTCAGGTCCTGACCTCTGGGGCCCCCTTTGCTTTTGTTGGGAGTTAAAGAAGTGAAAGCTCATCACAGTGTTGAAAGGAGGTGGTGTTGCTCAAAGATCTTTGGCAACTTTTCATCATTCTGGGCTTCCTTGGGGGGTAAACAATCCATGGGCCAGCGACAAGATGAGACAGCATCTTGTCAGGCAGGATTTTGTTCTCCACAATCTGGGAAGACATCCAAGCACCCCAGGTGTTCCTTCCCTTCCTGAAAGTATGAAAGTTTTGCAAGCCATTGAGCTTGCAATGCAATGGAGAGCCCAGCTGTGCAGCTGTAATTTCTCAAGCAATCCCCAAGATAATTCTTTATTTTTTTTACTTCATCTGATTTTTTATGTTCCTTCTGGGTGTCTGTTGCCATGTGCACGCACAATTAAAAAATTCGAATACGTTTAGTAGTAGCAGTCATACCAGCAGTAGTAGTTGTTGTTGTATTGGGATGAAAATCTTGATTGCATTTGCAACTATTCTTGCAACTCAGCTCTGTGAAGAAGGGGGGTTGATTTATCATCAAGGCAAGGAATGCATATCACACATGTCACTTTTCAAAACAAAATTTATATAAAGTATACACGGAAGCTGTCAGTCAATACAGAATACCTATATTTCAGGTGCGATACGTATTCTTTTACTGACCTTCGCTTACCTAAGTCACAGGATTGAGAGATGCTCTTCATTCACTTAGAGCATTTTTTTTTCTTTTTCATAGACAAGGGGTCTTGCTGTGTTGCCCAGGCTGCTCTCGAACTCCTCCTGGGCTCAAGCAATCCTCCCACCTCGGCTTCTCAAAGAGAGCTGGGATTACAAGAGTGAGGACTTAGAGCATTTTAAGCATAGAAATGCTAATCCCGACAACAGCTGTGCAACTGCATGGAGAAAAGTGAGGTTTAAGAATAGTTAAATAACTTGGCTCCCAAGCGTTGCAGCTGGGCTCTGACAGCAGCTCTCTGGAACTCCCAAGTCTTCTTATTTCCCTTCCTTTATGGCCCAAGGATGGGATCCATGAAAAAGAAATGAAGGAAATGTTTGGCTACTCTCTAGGTCCATCCTGAGAAGCTCACATGAGTTTGGCAGAATGAATGAGTTTGTCAAAGCTGCTCTGGGGGAACTGAAGCAGGTTTGGTAACAAAGGCAGTTCTCCCTCTCTCACCTTAGCATGCAAGGCTGCACATCTGCGTTCTCTGATGTGGTGCATCTTTTGACCATTTATATATTGCTTCTATCCCTACCAAGTCGCTATAGATTGTGTGTGTGTGCACGTGCGTGTGTGTGGTGTGAGGGGTGCAGGTGGAAGAGATGCAAATGCAAGTGAGGAATTTTCATTCTGTGGCAAACAGATAATTGAATGGAAGGCACAACAGCACAACGGTAAAAATGTATCCTTTGAAATCAGACTTTCTGGGTTGGATTCCTGACCCTAGTGACTCAAATTCTGAATTATGTAACCTTTTGGTGGCTGAGTTTCCTTATTTGTAAAGAAGCGATAGTAATATCCACTTTACTGGAGTGTGATGAGGGGTTAATGTATCTAAAACACTTGGAAGAGTTTCTGTCATCTAGGAAGCATTCTATTTTACTCCCTAAATACTTCTTGACTTCATCCTTTTCTCTCCAACATCCCTTTCTGTGCCCTAGTTGAGATGTCCAATATCTGTGACCTGGGGAGCAGATGTAGACTCCTAATAAATCCCTACTAGCTGGTTGTGTGACCTGGAAAGGCCCACGTCACACCCCAGGACAACCGCCTCTTTAGTGTCCACAAGGAGGTTGTCTCTGGTCAGCCGGCTGGTGTTTTGGAAGCTGCGTGGTGTGTGTGTTGCAGATCTTTTTCATGATGAAGGTGGAGGAAAGGAGGTGGCCATAAACCGATACTATCCATAAGCTGGGCCAAGTCTTCAGGGAGGACCTGGTTCACACCACCGTGGGATGAGATGACCTAATAGCAATTAATGATGCCTGTAATCACTGAGGTGTTAATGAGGCAGGAGATGAAGACAGAGGAATAATTATTGTGTGTTAGTTCCACGAACAAGCAGAAATGGCAACGGTGGTTACTCTTGCAATGAACAGTCACAAACATGTTTCTGTGTTCAAGAAAGGGGTGAGGAAAGAGATAGGAAAGAACGAGTGAGAGAATCCCAGAGAGTATGTGAAAGGGTGCTTGGGTAGAAAATGATAGCTGGAAGAGAGGTTTCAGCAGAATTGCCTGCCCCAGGCCCTTTCTCCACAGAACGATGAAATGAAAGTCCACTGTGGTCAACAACGTATCAACTGATGGGGCATTGTGAATCTAAGGGAATCTATTGATGAGATGTAGAGGCCTTCTAGAACCTGAAAGGCCAGAAGTGGAAAATGTCTATGTGAAATCAGACCCCCAAAAGACTGACCTCGAGAAGGTCTCCTCCTCTCCTTCCCTCCCTCTCTCCCTCCCTCCCTCCCTCCCTTCTTTCCTTCCTTTTTTCCTTCTCTCTTCCTTTCTCCTCTTCTTTCCTTCCTTCATTCTCTCCCTCCCTTTCTCCTTTCTCCCTTTTTTCCTTCTTCCCTCTTCCTTCCTTCCCTCCTTCCCTCCTTCTTCCTCTCCTTTCCTTCCCTGCCTCCTTCCTTTCTTCCCTCCTGCCTCCTCCCTCCCTTTCTTCCTTCCTTCCTTTTTTCCTTTCTCCTCTCCTTCCTTCATTTCTTCTTTCCTTCCTTCTCTCCTCTTTCCCTCCATCCTTCTCTTCCTCCCTCCTTCCTTGCTTTCTTTCTTCCCTCCTCTCTTCCTCTCTTCCTTTTCTTTTCTTTCCTTTTCCCTCCCTCCCTCCTTCCTTTCTTCCTTCATTCTCTCCTCCTCTCCTTCCTTCCTTCCTTCCCTCCCTCCCTCCTTCTCCTCTCTTCCTCCTTCCTCTTTTTTTTCTTCCTTCTCTCTCCCTTTCTTCCCTCCTTCCTGCTAACATTTATTGTCTTCCTACTATGCCCCAGGGTGTGGCAGATATAGTGGAAAAAATGCTGTCATGGACCTTAAGTTTACTGGGGGGAGACAATCATTAGCAAAACAGTCACGTGAATGAATATGTATTTGAAAGCTGAGATAAGCACACAGAAGGAGAGAAGCCGGTTCTTTGAGAACATAAAGGAACCTGCCACGGCTCCACTACTAAGACTTCCTGGAGGAGGAGACATGCTTGAGTGAGAATTTTCTGGGCAAAGGTGTAGGACCAAGGGGGAGTGAGAAAGGGTGGCCCAGGTATAGAACAAACATGAACAAAATCCCTGTAGCTGGAGAGGAGGCCAATGGGAAGGGTGATGGGGGAATGGCCGCCCCAATTTTTTTTCTCTCGCTCTGTTGCCCAGGCTGGAGTGCAGTGGTGCAATCTCGGCTCACTGCAACCTCTGCCTCCTGGGTTTAAGCGATTCTCGTGCCTCAGCCTCCCTAGTAGCTGGGATTACAGGTACCCGCCATGACTCTGGGCTAATTTTTTTTTTGTAATTTTAGTAGAGACAGAGTTTTGCCATGTTGGCCAGGCTGGTTTCGAGCTCCTGGCCTCAAGTGATCCATCCACCTTGGTCTCCCAAAGTGCTGGGAGATTACAGGTATGAGCCACCAAGCCCAGGGGATGGCCCAAGATTTGAATGGAGAAAGGCAGGAGCCAGCCCTGCAGGCCTCTGTCCTCAAGCAAGTCTTTTCTCCAAACAGAATGGAATCGAACTTCTCCACATTGGCCTCCAATCACTACAGGTGGTAGTGTCAGAACCGAAGGAGATAAGTACATTCAAGACTGCTCAAATCAGACCCAGAGAAGACTTTCCTCAATGTATAAGGCTTCGATTAGGCCAGGCACTTTGCAAGTGCCCCAGAGTGGGGAAACCTCTTTAAGAATCTGTGGATAAAGACTGGGTACCCAGGATTGCTGTCTGACAGTACAAGAGTCCTTGAGTCTTCAAGTATACTGATGCATTGCAGAATTTTTCATCAATGAGAATGAGATTTCTGTTGGAAGAATGTGACTTTCCAGCAAGGAGGATATACAGAAAAAGAGGGGTCCCAAGTGAAATAAATATGAAGGAAAAAGGCATCCAGATGACATTCAAAGAGGAATCTGATTTGCAACATTGAGCCCCTAGCCACCTCTCCAGCCTCATCCACCACCATCTTAAAAATATCTTCAACTTCCCAAACACATCACATGCTTTCCCGCCTGCTCCAGGGCCGTTGCACAGGCTGTTATGCTTTCCTGAGTCTTCCCCACTTTCTCTTTTTTACCTGACTGATGTCCATTCATACTTCAGATGTCAGCTTTAATGTCAGCTTTCTTAGGGACGTCCCTGACCTGCTTTCTCTTCCACTGGGTAAGATCTCCTTCATTTTTATGCATCAATCACACCTGGCCTTCCTCCTTTTGATCCTTTGTTTTTTTTTTGTGAGATGGAGTCTTGGTTGGTCACCCAGGCTGGAGTGTAGTGGTGCCATCTCAGCTCACTGCAACCTCTGCCTCCCAAGTTCAAGTGATTTTCCCACTTCTGCCTCCTGAGTAGCTGGGACTACAGGCATACAGGCGTGCACCACCGTGCCTGGCTAATTTTTATAATTTTAGTAGAGACAGGGTGTCACCATTTTGGCCAGGCTGGTATTGAACTACTGACCTCGTTATTCACCCGCCTCAGCCTCCCAAAGTGCCGGGATTACAGGCATGAGCCACTGTGCCTGGCCCTCCTTTGATCCTTTTAATGACTCAGGTCAATATTTGTCCTCTCTGTTGATGGAGCACTCACTCACTGTCTGCTAGGCGCTGTAGTAAGCACTTTAAGGAACACTATCTCATTTAATTCTCACAGCCCTGCAAGATAAGAATCTTTATTATAACAAATATATATGGGGGAAACTGAGGCACAGAGAGTTTAAATAGTTTGGCCAAGGTCTCTCAATTAATAATCACCCGCATCACAATTTGAACCGATAGCTGACTCCAGAATCCACATTCTCTAATATTTCCTGCAGCACAGAGGGAGGAGGGGTAAGGCTGGACAAGTATGCAGGGACTTTTCAGAGCAAGATGGCTCTGCTCTTCCTAGCCCCCTCTGGCACTCAGAACTTACCCTGTAAAACAAGGATCACTGGCCAGGCGCGGTGGCTCACGCCTGTAATCCGAGCACTTTGGGAGGCTGAGGCAGGAGAATCGCTTGAACTTGGGAGGCTGAGGCAGGCAGATCACCCCCTTTTGGGTCTTACCAAACAGAGATACAATGCTTTGCAGGGACATATGGTTAGGTCAGTAGATGACTCCAGTGATGAACTGGGGAAGGTGGGAGGAGAGAGCTGCTTAGTGGTCCATGGTTATGCCTCTGGAGGTGGAGAGGCAAAGGGGACCCTGGACTTCTACTAACACAATGTCGGAACTGAAAGAAATAATCCGCCCCCTCCTGACCCCATATATTACTTATAAGCTTGGAAGTCTTACAGAATATAAGTAACTGGGCTGGGTGCGGTGGCTCATGCCTGTAATCCCAGCACTTTGGGAGGCCAAGGCAGGTGGATTACGTGGGGTCAGGAGTTTGAGACCAGCCTGGCCAACATGGCCAAACCCCCTCTCTACTAAAACTACAAAAAATAGCTGGGTGTGGTGGCAGGCACCTGTAATCCTAGCTATTTGGGAGGCTGAGGCAGGAGAATCGCTTGAACTTGGGAAGCAGAGGTTGCATGAGCTGAAATCGTGCCACTGCACTCCAGCCTGGGTGACAGAGTGAGACTCTGTCTCAAAGAAATATATGCATATATATACGCATATATATATATATACACACACACACACACACACACATATGTAACTGACTTAAGAAATAGAATTATATTTTTTTTCTTTCATGCAGAAATACAGATAGATAGCTCAGAGCTGGAATGGAGGCTCAGTAATCACCAGGGAGCCAAACTTTCTCTATTTTGTTGCTCTGCTTGCCTGAACATACATCTTTACCATGTAACCCAAAGTGGTTGCTTCAGCTCCTATCATCACATCCTATGTTCTAGTTGGGAAGAAAGAGGAAAGGGGAAGGGGAAAGAAGTATGCTCCTTTCCCTTAAAGGAATTGCTGGAATATTTCACATATCCCTTCTACTCTCATTTAGTTGGCCAGAATATAGTTCCATAGCCACAACGGGTCTCAATGGCTTCTCCATGCCCTCTCAGCCTATCCTTAGCCAAGATATGCCTCCTCAAGGATCTAGCAGTGTCCTGCTTCCTTCATGTCAAAGCCACAAGCCTCATGGTTTGCTTTCTCAGTCTACAGCTCTAGAGGATGAATGGAGTTGTGAAGAGAGCACTGAGAATGGAGTCGGGGACCTCAATTTTAGCCCTGAGCTGCTACAAACTCAGTGAAAGACCTAAATGAAATTGCTTCTCCTATCTGGGTTTCAGCAGCTTCATTTGTAAAATGAGGTGATTGGGCCCTTTCCCATTTCTAGGTTCTAGAACGTGAGTCACCATCCTCTGCAGAATTCCATCAACTAAATACTTTGTTGGGACTGAAAGTCTTGTCCCTACTTCATTCATGGTCAACCTGATCCCTAGATCACTCAACTCTTCATTCCATCTTTCAAGCATTTCCTCAAGTCTGCAGCCTCAAGTATTCTTTGTTAATGGATGAAGAGTGTCACGAAAACCTCAAGTTTCCCCCAAATCCATACTGCATCTAGTGGCAGAGTTATATAAATATGAGTTTGGCATATGGCCACCAAGCTAAAGATTATGTCTCCCAGGCTCCTTTGCAACTACAGGTAGCCATGTGACTAAGTACTGGACAATAGGAAGTGAGCAGAAGTTGTATGTACAACTTCCAGGTCATGCCCTTAAAGGGGAGGAACATGTCTTTTCCTTCTTCCTTCCTCCTTCCTTCTCCCTGCTGACCACAGGCATGAGGAGGGGTGCTGGGACAGTTATTTTGGAATACAATGTGGAAGCTATAGCAAATTAATCATCTTACCTGCCACCATGTAAGATGTCCCTCCCATGACACATGGGAAGTGTGGGACCTACAAATCAAGATGAGATTTGGGTGGGGACACAGCCAAACCATATCACAACACATTTGGACTTGATGGAGAGAGCTGCTCATTCCCCCAGATATCCTAGAGTTTTAGGTGGAAGAAATACTTGATGATGAGACCTCGGAGTGTCCCTATAGATGGAAAGAAGAATGCACTGAAATAACCAATCCCAATATGCTGCTGTCTCTACTTCCAGGCTTTGTTCAAGAGTTTTTGACTTTGAAGATGATTCTGAGTTATCTTATTTTGGTGTGGGGTTTCTCAACCATGATACAATGGACATTTTCAACTGAAGACTTCTTTGTCATGGCAGGAAGCTGCCCTGTCCACTGTGGGATATTTCAGAGGATCCCTGGCCTCTACCCAATAGATGCCAGCAAGATATTCCATCCCCAGTTGTGACAACCAAAAATGTCTCCAGACATTGCCACATGTCCCTAAGAGTAGTGGGAGAATCGCCTGGTCAAGAAACACTACTTTAGGCCGGGTGCAGTGGCTCACACCTGTAATCCCAGCACCTTGGGAGGCCAAGGCGGGAGGATCACTTTAGGTCAGGAGTTCGAGACCACCCTGGCCAACATGGTAAAACCCTGTCTCTACTAAAAATATAAAAATTAGCTGGGCATGGTGGCGCATGCCTGTAATCCCAGCTACTCGGGAGGCTGAGGCAGGAGAATCGCTTGAACCTGGGAGGCGGAGGTTGCAGTGAGCTGAGATCACACCACTGCACCCCAGCTTGGGTGACAGAGCGAGACTCTGTCTCAAAAAAACAAAACAAAACAAAACAAAACAAAACAAAACACCCACTGTTTTAGTCCTGTATGAGGCTCCCTGAAAAATTATAGCCCGTGCTTGATTGCTTCTTGGCCAGGGAACTCACTGCTTTGCAAAGCATGGCCTCCATGGTTAGAAGCAGTAAGGTCTTTCTTAGAGTGAAATAAGGAGTGACTGGTGATGGGCACAGGGTCTCCTTTTTGGGGGGATGTAAATACCTTGGAACTAGATAGAGGCGTTGGTTGCACAACAATTGTGAATTTACCAAATGCCACTAACTTTAAGATGGCTCATTTTATGTGAATGTCATTTTGATAAACAAAAGGAGCATAAACCATGTGTGGAGACCTCCCCCCATGCCAGGCCCTGAACTAAATGAAAAACCCCATTGTCTTTTTTTTATTATATTTTAAGTTTTAGGGTACATGTGCACAACGTGCAGGTTAGTTACATATGTATACATGGGCCATGTTGGTGTGCTGCACCCAGTAACTCGTCATTTAACATTAGGTATATCTCCAAATGCTATCCCTCCCCCCTCCCCTCACCCCACAACAGGCCCCGGTGTGTGATGTTCCCCTTCCTGTGTCCATGTGTTCTCATTGTTCAATTCCCACCTATGAGTGAGAACATGTGGTGTTTGGTTCTTTGTCCTTGCGATAGTTTGCTGAGAATAATGGTTTCCAGCTTCATCCATGTAAAGGATTATAAATCATGCTGCTATAAAGACATATGCACATGTATGTTTATTGCAGCAGTATTCACAATAGCAAAGACTTGGAACCAACCCAGCCAACGCATGTCCAACAATGATAGACTGGATTAAGAAAATGTGGCACATATACACCATGGAATACTATGCAAAAACCCCATTGCCTTAACGGATCCTCCCAGCAACTTGATGAGAGAGATACCTTTATCATCCAGTTTTATTTATTTTTTTATTTTATCTTATTTATTTATTTTTTTTGAGACGGAGTCTAGCTCTGTCGCCCAGGCTCGAGTGCAGTGGTGCAATCTCCACTCACTGCAACCTCCACCTCCCAGGTTCAAACTATCCTCCTGCCTCAGCCTCCTGAGTAGCTGAGATTACAGGTGCCCGCCACCACATCTGGCTACTTTTGTATTTTTAGTAGAGATGGGGTTTCACTACATTAGTCAGGCTGGTCTCAAACTCCTGACCTCAGGTGATCCACCTGCCTCGGCCTCCCAAAGTGTTGGGATTACAGGCTCACTGAGCCACCGTGCCCCGCCCATCCACAGTTTTATAGGTCACGAAAACAGAGGGTCAGAGAGGTTGAGCAAGTTGCCCGAGGTAACACAGCTCTAAAGGGTCAAGCCCAGGTCTGCATCTCTCCCACAGCGGATGCTGTGCTGCTTGCTTCCCATGTCAGTTTCTCACTTTCCAGGAAAATTGGAAAGAGAATAAGGAAGACAGCAAAGCATGGTGAACTGGATGATTACGAAGGGAACTTTCCAGGTCTAAAGTGGAAAATTAAATAAGGCAATGCACACAGTAACACTCTGCAAACTTTATCTGTTTATTTGTTCATGTATTCACTTAAATATTTACCCAATGTCGGCCTGGAACAGTGGCTCACACCTGTAATTCCAGCACTTTGGGAGGCCTAGGCAGGCGGATCACCTGATGTCAGGAGTTCGAGACCAGCCTGGCCAACACGGCGAAACCCCGTCTCTAACAAAAACACAAAAATTAGCTGGGTGTGGTGGCGCATGCCTGTAATCCCAGCTATTCTGGAGGCTGAGGCAGGAGAATCGCTTGAACCCAGGAGGCAGAGGTTGCAGTGAGTGGAGATCGTGCCATTGCACTCCAGCCTGGGCAACAAGAGTGAAAATCTGTCTCAAAAAATAAAAAATAAATAAATTAAATAAGTAAAATAAATACATGAATGAGAGGAATGTGCCCAATATTTTAAGGGGAAGTTGTAGGGCCAAATTTTGGGTTTTATGGGCCTGAGGCACATTTACCTTTGTGAGTTCCTTCTTCCATCAAAAAATAAATACGTAAAACTTTATTGATGTAGCTTATATGAGGTACCTAGAACAGTCAAAGTCATATACAGAAAGTGGTATCTATGGTATCAGTGGTTGACAGGGGCTGGGGGATGCGGAGGAGGAAAGGAGCGGTTATTATTTAAAGGGTATAGACTTTCTGTTTTGCAAGATTTAAAGAGTTCTGGAGATGGATGGTGGTGAAGGTTGCACAATACTGTGAGGGTACTTAATGCTGCTGAACTGAACACTTAAAAATGGTTAAGAGGGTAAATTTTGTTGTGTGTAGTTTACCACAATGAAAAAAATGCTGAAAAGGCAAGGTGCAGTGGCTCACGCTTCTAATCTCAGCACTCTGGGAGGCCAACGTGGGAGGATCACTTGAAGCCAGGAGTTCGAGACCAGCCTGGGCAACAGAGAAAGACCCCATCGCTCCAAAAAAATACAAAAATTAGCCAGATATGGGGGCATGCACCTGTCGTCCCAGCTACTCAGGAGGCCGAGACAGGAGGCTCACTTGAGCTCAGGAGTTTGAAGCTGCAGTGAGCTATGATTATGCCACTGCACTCCAGTCTGGGTGTCAGAGTGAGACCCTGTCTCAAAAACCCCCCAAAACTCCCAAAATGTGAAAAACACCCCTACATTAGTATAGAGATGAATATAAATTGTGTATCACATAAATAACATACAATGCAGTATGTCATATATTTATTATTATATTCATATTTTTCTTCTGATTTAAAAAGAAACTACAGGTCGGGCACAGTGGCTCACACCTGTAATCCCAGCACTTTGAGAGGCCAAGGTGGGCAGATCACCTGAAGTCAGGAGTTTGAGACCAGCCTGATCAACATGGTGAAACCCCGTCTCTACTAAATACAAAAATTAGCTGGGTGTGGTGACGGCTGCCTGTAATCCCAGTTACTTGGGAGGCTGAGGCAGGAGAATCGCTTGAACCTGGGAGGCGGAGGTTGCAATGAGCTGAGATTGCACTGCTGCACTCCAGCCTGGGCGACAGAGCAAGACTCTGTCTCAAAAAAAAAGAAAGAAATTACAATAAAAATATTTTTTGTGGGCTCTCTCATTAGTGTTTACTATGCCCAATGCAGAAGTCAGCCCTGGGAAACCAGCAACAGCAGGCAATGCATTTCAAGCATTGGTGTGCATTGGACCCTCCTAGAAAGCTCATGAGCAATGCGGATTTTTGTGCTTTGCCTTCTGAGATTCTGATTCCGTAGGTCTGGAGTGTGACCCTGGAACCTGGTGCACGTAGGTGTTCTCATGCAGGTGATACCTGATCATTGTTTGAGGGGTATGGGAGGACTTTTTTTTTTTTTTTTAGATAGAATCTTGCTTTGTCACCCAGGCTGGAGTGCAGTGGTGTGATCACAGCTCACTGCAGCCTCAGACTCCTGGGCTCAAGCAATCCTCTTGCCTCAGCCTCCCAAGTAGCTGGGACTATAGGCATGGGCCACTATGCCCAACTAATTTTGTAAACTTTTTTTGTAGAGATGAGGGTCTCACCGTGTTTCCCAGGCTTGTCTCAACCTTCTGGGCTCAAGCAATCCTTCTAAGTCAGCCTCCCAAAGTGCTGAGATTACAGGTGTGAGCCACTGTGTCCAGCCAGGAGGACTTTTGGGGGGTAAGGGGACTCCCTACAGTTTTTTTTTTTTTGAGATGGAGTCTTGCTCTGTTGGCCATGCTGGAGTGCAGTGGTGTGATCTCAGCTCACTGCAACCTCTGCCTCCTGGGTTCAAGCCCGCCTCAGCCTGCTGAGTAGTTGGGACTACAGGCATGTGCCAACATGTGCAGCTAATTTTTGCATTTTTTAAAGTAAAGACAGGGTTTCACCATGCTGGCCAGGCTGGTCTTGAACTCCTGACCTCAAATGATCTGCCAGCCTTGGCCTCCCAAAGTGCTGGGATTACAGGCATGAGCCACCGCGCCTGCCCTGCCTACAATTTTTACAGCCCACACTTAGCCCCTTACTTGCTGGGTGGTGGCATCTATACATTTTGTACTGCTTTGGGCCTATTTCTTCATCTCTAAGGTTGGGATAATGACACCCACCTCATGGTGTCGTGGAGAAGCTTGCTGGGTGCACAGGACTCACATCTAGGGCAGCAGCTGAAATCTCAGCTCTGAGGCAATGGGGGGAATTGTGCAAATGCTGTTTGGGGACATTGTGTGAGCTGAGGTCACAAACTGGGGCGGTGACAGCAAGGTGAGGGTGGCAGGCTGCAAACCCCAGGGCAAGACATTGCTTGCAAGGGGAGCATTTGCCTCCTATGCAAGATTTCTGGGCATCAAGATGGGCAAAGGTGAGGGTAAAGGGATAATTCCCAGCTCCGGGAAGGACCTGCGTGAAGGTCAAAAGTCAGCAGGGTGGTTCGGCCCATCGGGGACACTGGCCAATGGACAGAGAGGTGGGTAGGGGCATTTCACGGCGTCTACACTGCAGCATCACAGAGTTACATGCTCCCATCTGCTAACAGCCCTTTCCCTTCAGACCCACAGGTGGAAAAGGCTCCCCGCAATCACTGGCATGTGGATATTATGCTAGCTATCCTTTGAGGTTTCCCTACTAGCTGCCCACACCTTTGCAAACACAGTTAATTCCTGTTATTTGCGGTAATGGTCCATAAAGCCACCACGCACACTGAATCAGTGAACGCTGAACCATGGCTCATGGGGAAATACAGGATTAGGTTTCTGTGAGCCTGTGGTCACAGCCCTTTTGTCAACGAATCAAGACATAACCTTGTTTTAGGTGTTTCTATTTAAAGAGACCTTATTTGGCCGGGTGCGGTGGCTCATGCCTGTAATCCCAGCACTTTGGGAGGCCGAGGCGGGTGGTTGGAAGTTAACTTGAGGTCGGAAGTTCGAGAGCAGCCTGGCCAACATAGTGAAACCCTGTCTCTACTAAAAATACAAAAATCAGCTGGGTGTGGCGGTGTGTGTATGTAATTCCAGCTACTTGGGAAGCTGAGGCAGGAGAATCGTTTGAACACAGGAGGCGGAGGTTGCAATGAGCCAAAATTGCACCACTGCACTCCAGCCTGGGCAAAAAGAGTGAGACTCTGTCTCAAAAAAAAAAAAAAAGACACCTTATTTAATATATGTGATGCATTCATGCACATGGAGGTCACGGCCACAGCACTATAATGCATGCCTGAATGAAGCTTATCTAACGCATGTATTTTTCCCCTAAGACACATTTCAGCCTTCTTGTGCTCAGGGACAGTAGACAGCACTTCAGCACTAACCCCTGGAAGTCATTTTAAACAGCAAAAACCACCAACAAAATGCACAAAAATGCAAAAAAAAAAAAAAAAAAAAAAGAGAGAGAGAGACAGAGATGCTAAATAGGCTACCACAAGGACACTTGTTTATGGTAAGAGAGCTGGCACAAAAAGGCAGCATCACCTTCTTTGCCCTCAGAGGGGCAGTGTGAACATCAGGTGGCTAAAAATGTTTTCACGGCTCTGTGCATGCCTGCAAATGATTGTGAAAGCACTACAAGTACTGATTTTGAAGTGACAAATAAATTTCGGTAAGTGAATTAGCAAGTAAATTTGGGGATAATGAGGATCAACTGTGGTCTCTTAAACTTCTTTCTCTCTCTCTCTCTTTTTTTTTTTTTTTTTTTTGAGACAGAGTCTCACTCTGTCACCCAGGCTGGAGTGCAGTGGGGCGATCTCAGCTCACTACAACCTCCACCTCTGGGATTCAAGCGATTCTCCTGCCTCAGCCTTCCTAAGTAGCTGGGACTACAGGCTCCCGCCACCATGCCTGGCTAATTTTTGTATTTTTAGTAGAGGTAGAGTTTCACCATGTTGGCCAGGCTGGTCTTGAACGTCTGACCTCAAATGATCCGCCTGCCTCGGCCTCCCTAAGTACTGGGATTACAGGTGTGAGCCACCGCACCTGGCCCTTAAACTTCTTGCAAATGGAGTGTGCTGTTTCTTGTTGATATCCTGATTGGTACTGGGAAGAAGTGCTTGAAGAAGAATAGTTTATGTGGGAGTCTGAGCCCCAGGGAGACTGGGGGCCTGTAACCCCCAAGCTGTAGAGTCTGTCTTGACATAAGGGAGCTGGCTGTGACACACAATGCTTCTGAGTCAGACCAATGGAGCCGATCCCCAGCTGAACTCCTACCCAGGTCTGTCATCCTGGGCAGATGGCTCTCTTTTTTGCCCATGCGTTTTTCTGTCCAGTGGCCATAATTGACCCAATCTCCATTCTCTTGTTTTGGGGACTCATTCAGATCCTGGTCCCTGCTTGAGATGTGGAGCATGACAGGTTGAAATCTTGCTTTACCCATCTCTGGCTGTGTAACCCTGGGAAAATGAGAAGAAAAATGAGCTTCATTTTCTTCTCTGCTAAACGTTGGTGCTTAGGTCCATACAATTGGCTGGCTTTGCCAAAAGGATACCAACATTTGTGAAGGCCATTCTCAGCATATACACTGTGAGCTCCACGACGGAGGGACACATCCTTGCTGTATCCCTGGCGCCTCACACAGCCTCTGACACAGAGCAGTTGCTTAGGAGATACCTGTGGCTGTAATGCACATTCTTTCTGTATGTGTGCAACACCCTGGATCTTCCTGGGAAGAGCAGATAAGAATCACAGCTCAGTGTGAGGGGTCCTGTGATGGCGGGGTGTCCAAGAGCCTACTGGAAAAGCAGAAGGACCTGAACCAGAGCCACACCCAAATGGATGACATTAGCTGCACTGGATCAACCTGTGACCTCCCTGAGAGTGGGGACCACATCAGCCCTGCTCACTGCTTTATTCTCAGTGCTGGGCTCAGGACCAGACACCACATGGGGTAGGACAGAGCAGAGCTCCTAGAAGTTCCACTTAGAGTGCAGGCTCTTGAGTCTGGAATGAAAATTCCAGTTTTGCTACTTCCTGTGTGACCCTGGGCAAGCTGCACAGCCTCTCTGTGCCTGTTTCCTCAACTGTAAAATGGAGATGCCAATAATAACAGCTCAGGTGCCTTGAGGATATACTATGCAGCCACCATACTATAGGGCTTTCATGCATGAACTCATCTGTCCTCACAGCCACCAATTTTTTTTTTTTGAGGCGGAGTCTCGCTCTTGTCACCCAGGCTGGAGTGCAGTGGCTTGATCTCAGCTCACTGCAACCTCCGCCTCCTGGGTTCAAGCGATTCTCCTGTCTCAGCCTCCCTAGTAGCTGGGATTACAGGTGCGCACCACCAGGCCCAGCTAATTTTTGTATTTTTAGTAGAGACAGGGTTTCATCATGTTGGCCAGGCTGGTCTCGAACTCCTGACCTCAGGTGATCCGCCTGCTTCCGCCTCCCAAAGTGCCGGGATTACAGGCGTGAGCCACCGCGCCCCGCCTACAACCACCATTTGAAGTGGGTGCTGTCATGCTCCTCATTTTACAGGTTGGAGAGACCAAGGCCAGAGAGGGACAGTGACTTGTCCAAGGCCACACAGCTTGAAACTGGGAAGCTGGAATTTAAATCCCAGCCATCTGGCACCCAAATCCATCCTATTAACTACCAGGATATGCGCTTATAACGTGTCCTAGGGTAAGTGGTTGACATACAGTAGGTGCCTAATACATGATAATTATTGTTATTTTTAATTATAATTCTCCTAGAGGGTGCTTGGAGGGAGGGTGCGTCAGGGGAGAGGGAGGGCCATGGGGCTGTGTCTGCTCTCCGAGGTCCCAGCCAGCATCCAATCAGCTGGCTGGGGCGGGGGACGCTGGGGTCACTAGGGGTCCGCGCTGCTCTTGCTGCGCGGCGGCGGCGTGCGCGGGTCCCAGTCCTTAACCAGGCGCTGCGCCTGCTCGTAGCACACGTGCGGTTGCCGCTGGCGCAGGCGCAGGCGCACCACGTTGCCGTCCACCTCATGCCCGATGTTCTTGCAGTTGAGGCCCCAGCTGAGGTTCTTGTGCGTGGCGAGCAGCTCGTCCAGGTTCTTTTCCAGGTACGTGATGTGGCACTGCAGCTTGTCGGTGCCCTGGATAGGGAGCAGGGCAGACCCGTGAGCCAGAGCAGATGGCTACCTGGCGTGGGAAGGCACACCTGCGCCAGGTGTGTGTGTAAGGAACACAGCTGAGGAGGGGAACACATCTGAATGGGCCAGGTGTGCCTGGAAAAAAAAAAAACCGCGACAGGGCAGGCTGAGGGAGGGGAATGCATCTAGTCAAGATGTGTAGGAAGGATCCTCCTTAGGAAGGGTACTTAATAATAACAGCTCAGGGCCGGACGCGGTGGCTCACACCTGTAATCCCAGCACTTTGGGAGGCCGAGGCGGGCGGATCACCTGAGGTCAGGAGTTCAAGACTAGCCTGGCCAACATAGCAGAACTCTGTCTCTACTAAAAATACAAAAATTAGCCGGGTGTGGTGGCGCGCACCTGTAATCCCAGCTACTCAGGAGGCTGAGGCAGGAGAATCGCTTGAACCCGGGAGGTGAAGGTTGCAGTGAGCCAAGATTGCACCACTGCACTCCAGCCTGGGCGACAGAGCGAGAGTCTGTCTCAAATAATAATAACAATAATAGTTAATAATAACAGCTGGGCAGCTTTAAGGGTATTCTATGCAGGTGCCATGCTACACACCTTTCATGCATGAACTCATCTGTCCTCACCACCACCATTTGAAGTGGGTGCTGACGTGCTCCTCATTTTACAGGTTAGAGAGACTAAGGCCAGAGCTGGACAGTGAGGGTGTGTGTGAGGGGGGAGGACAGGGGTTGAGGGGACTTATTTGAGCCAGTACCCACTGAAGCCCCCGCCAGTACCCACTTCAGTACCCAGTGAAGCCCCCGCCTCCCCACTTCGTGGCAGGAGTTGAAGGACAGGCCGACTTGGGTGAGAGGGGGATCATACCTGGTCCAGATGTGCTTGAGGAAGGAGCCTTACCATTGGCGGGGCTGGGCCTAGAGGGGTACGGGGGAGGGGGTTTACCTGTGCGAGGCGCGCAGCCTCCGGGAGTTGGGTGCCCACGTGTCTCTGGTACATGCGAACCAGGGGTCTGTCCAGCTTTTCTGCGGTCTCCAGGTGAACTTTCGACAGAGGACCCTGGTGGGGTGCGGTGTGCAAGCGCATTGAAACCCAGCCTCCAGCCACCGGCACCCCTGCCTCCACCCCCGAAGGCTCTCACCCCGAACCGTACCTTGATGAGACCGTGGGTGGTGTACAACTCTTGGTTATATTTCGTACACCGGAGGATAGTTCCCCTCATCAGTCCTAACGTCATATTTAATCTTTCCTGGGGGCAGGGAAGCGCAGGGGGATCACGCTGGCTCCCAGTCCGCGTCTCCTCCCCTGTCCCACCCTGGCCCGCAGCCGCAGGTAATGCGCTCACCTTCAGCTCCAAGGTCTCGCTCGCCTTCTGCGCCAGCGAGGCACACACACGGTCGCTTATCTGCAGCTGTTGCTCCCGGACGTCCACCTCGTTCTTTGCCATTTCTACCAAGGTGTCCTTGGACTCGACCAACAACCGCTTGGCTTCGTTTAGCGCCAAGGCGCACGCTGCAAATGCCCAGGATGCGCGTGGGGGTGCCAAGTCCTCCGTTCCCAGAGCCCCTGTCCCTCTCTCTATTCTCAGGTGGTGGTGGGCCCTGGGCGAGGGGGTTTTATTGAGGAACTGGGTGAAAGTCCAGGGGGCGCGGGGGATAGTGTAAGAAGCGTCTTGGGTTGGTTTCCTTAGAAGCAGAGCCTGTAACCTGTAATCCCAGCACTTTGGGAGGCTGAGGCGGGTGGATCACCTGAGGTCAGGAGTTCGAGACCAGCCTGGCCAACATGGTGAAACACCCGCCTCTACTAAAAATACAAAAATTAGCCGGGCGTGGTGGTGGGCGCCTGTAATCCCAGCTGCTCAGGAGGCCGAGGCAGGAGAATCACTTGAACCTGGGAGGCGGAGGTTGCAGTGAGCTGAGATCAGGCCATTGCACTCCAGCCTGGGTGACAGAGCAAGACTCCATCTCAAAGGAAAAAAAAAAAAAGCAGAGCCTGTGAATGACTGAGTCCTCAGCGAGTGTGGGCAGGAGAGTGCAGGGGGAAAAGCTGAGTGACAATGTGTGCTCAGCATGATAGGCTTTCAGTCCTCCCATTGACTCTAGGGCTATTTCCCAGGAAAGGGACAGCTAAGTGGGCGACGGGCTGCACTGACAGTCAAGGGGATCTGGGTGGGCACCAATACGACCCAGTACAGTGGACTCCTACCTGGGTTATAGGTGCCCACAGGGTCTGGAGGAGGCGTTTTCTGACCCTGTGTGCGTGGAGTGGGGGCTCGGGAGAGGTTCACCCATGAGTGGCGTCTGGCCTGCTCCAGAACCTTGTCCAGAGGCTGGTTCATGAGGTCCACGGCTTGGAGCCGCTCCTTGAAGCAGAAGTTCAGAGTGTCTCGGCAGGAGGCCAGGGTCTGGGTGGGGAGGGGAGGAGAAGACAGAGTGAGAACTGGGAGGTTGAGGGAAGTGGATGCAAGTGATTTCTCTGCTGCAGGCTTGAGCCTTATAGGCTGTAAAGCATTTCTACCTCTAAACGGAAACTGACACTCTCATTTTTTTTTTTTTTTGAGACAAAATCTTGCTCTGTCATCCAGGCTGGAGTGCAGTGGTGCCACCATAGCTCTCTAGAGCCTCAACATCCTGGGCTCAAGTAATCCTCCTGCCTAAGCCTCCTGAGTAGCTGGGACTACAGGAGTAAAGCACCATGCCTTGCTATTTTTAAAACTTTTTGTGAAGAAGGGGTCTGACTATGTTGTCTAGGCTGGTCTTGAACTCCTGGCTTCAAGCTATCCTCCTCCTTTGACCTTCCAAAGTGTTGGAATTACAGGTGTGAGGCAGTGTGCCTAATTTTTTTTTTTTTTTGATACTGGTAAAGGTTTTTACTTATGGGTATATATATATTATTTTTTTTTGTTTTGAGACACATGTTGCACAGGTTGTAGTGCAGTGGTGGAATCGTAACTCACTGCAGCCTCAACCTCCTGGGCTCAAGCGATCCTCTTGCCTCAGCCTCCTGAGACAGCTAATTTGTATTATTTATTTATTTTTTTGTAAAGACAGGGTCTCACTATGTTGCCTAGGCTGGTCTCAAACTCCTAGGCTCAAGCAATCTTCCTGCCTCAGCCTCCCAAAGTTTTAGGATTGCAGGCATGAGCCACTGTGCCTGGCCTGGAAATATTTTTTGATTTAACTTATTTCCCCAATGTTCCAGATAAATATTTTCTTTCACAAAATCTTTTTTAGGAGAGACATGTCTACATCTTATGAAAAAATGATTCTTTTTCCTCCTTTGACTCACATCACACCACCCCTCAAGGTTTACTTTATTATTTTACTTAAATTTTTGTTTTTAATTGAAAAATAATAATTGTATATATTTATGGCATGCAATGTGATGCTTTGATTTGTGTATGCAATGTGGAAGGATGTTATCAAACTAATTAACATATCCATCGTCTCACATACTTATCATTTTTTTGTAGTAAGTTCATTTAAAACGTATTCTTTTCCACTTAATTTTCCCAGCTTTATTGAGGTATAATTGATAAATAAAAATTGTATTTATTTAAAGTGTACAACTTGATGTTTTGACCTATAAACACACTGTGAAAAAATCACTGCATTCAGGCTGGGTGTGGTGGCTCATGCCTGTAATTCCAGCACTTTGGGAGGCCAAGATGGGAGGATCGCTTGAGCCTAGGAGTTCAAGACCAGCCTGGGCCACATGGTGAAACTCCATCTCTACAAAAAAGCAAAAAATTAGCAAGGTGTGATGATTCACGTCTGTAATTCCAGCTACTCAGGAGGCTGAGGTGGGGGGGTCACCTGAGCCCAGGAGGTTGAGGCTGCAGTGAGCCATGATTGCACCACTGCACTGTAGCCTGGGCAACAGAGTGAGATCCTGTCTCAAAACAAAAACAAAAACAACCATGAACAGTACAGTTTCCTCAATAGCCATTACAGATAAACACATGGATGAGTTGGTGGTGCTGAATAGATATTCCTGCAAACGTGGCTTTTAGAGAAGGGAAGGTGTGTTAAGGTATGGGAACGTGGAAATAAGAGTCAAGGGTCAGGCAATTCTGCTTACATTTTTCCCAGGTGATGGGTGTTCACTTGGATGTCAGGTAATCCAGGGAAGTTATATATATATACATATTTTGAGATAGGGTCTCACTCAGTCTCCCAGGCTGGAGTGCAGTGGCATGATCACAGCTCACAGCAGCCTGGACATCCTGTGCTCAAGCGATCCTCCCACCTCAGCCTCCCAAGTAGCTGGGACACCAGACACATGCCACCACACTGGCTAATTATTTTTTTTTAATTTTTGTAGGGACGCGGTCTTACTATGTTGTCCAGGCTTGTCTCAAACTCCTGGGCTCAAGCAATCCACCCACCTTGGGCTCTCAAAATGCTGGAATTACAGGCGCGAGCTGCTGTGCCCAGCTAGAGAAATGTCTTAAAATCACTTTTTTATTCACAAAGTTGTCTTCTGTTTATGGTACTGTGCATAATAATCAGGTAAAAGTGAGTCTGCTCACTTCCAGACAGATCATGCAATGGTGCGATCTTGGCTCACTGAAACCTCTGCCTCCCGGGTTCAAAGGATTCTCCTGCTTCAGCCTCATGAGTAGCTAGGATTACAGGCATGTGCCATCACACCTAGCTAATTTTTGTATTTTTTAGTAGAGACAGGATTTTGCTATGTTGGCCAGGCTGGTCTGAAACTTCTGACCTCAGGTGATCCACCCGCCTCAGCCTCCCAAAGTGCTGGGATATGGATTGGTTCTGAGAAATTGGTTTCCTTCCTCACTCCATTCTTGACCCTTTCCTGTTCTTTTATTTTGAGACAGAGTGATGCTATGTTGCTCAGGCTAGTGTTGAACTCCTGGGCTCAAGTGATCCTCCTGCCTCAGCCTCCCAAAGTATTGGAATTACAGGTGTGAGCCACCACACCCGGCCCCTTTCCAGCTCTTGTTTGTGTTCTTGGGAAGAAGCAATTCCTAAGTTGAAGCTCAGACATCTCCTGCCTCCTTACCCAGTTCAGAAGCCTTCAGTGACTCTTTGGGGGTGGGGTGAGGGGAGCAGTAAGAGACAGCAACAGCTTCCCTGTGCTGGGTGTCAATTGCTTGGTTTCTGTGCCTGGCTCTGTTCTGGCACCCTGAGAAAAGAGCCTGTCTCATGCATTTCCCCACTGTAACATGGAGAGCTGGCACTCACTATACCCACATCTTGATCTTCCTGTGTCACCCCCTTGATTCTCAACTGGCACTCATCCCATCCCCACCTCTAGCCTTGAAGTCTCCCTTCCTCTGCTCTGATCAATATTAAGAGACTGCTATTCTCTGAGTTCCCCCCTCCCACCAGGCTGTGTCTCATCTGGACAGCATCCCGCCATCGAAATCTTACTTCCTCCACAATAAAATGAAGCATATCATATTCCTTTGATATTTGCAATTATTTGAGAGTTATATCAAAACAAGTCATTTGCACATATATACACCCTTATAAACACTCTCCATCAAGATATAAAATATTTCCATCATGCCATACATTTCTCTGGCTCCCCTTTCCTCTGTCCCTCCCTGACCCCCTCTAGTAAGCTGACTTGGAGACTAGTTTTACCTGTTTTAGTCCTTCCTTCCTTCATTCATTTACAGAATCTTGCTCTGTCTCCCAGGCTGGATTGCAGTGGCATGATCCTGGCTCACTGTGGCCTCAAACTCCTGGGCTCAAGAGATCCTCTCAGCTCAGCCTCCTAAATAGCTAGGACTACAGGTGCATGCTAACCATGCCCAGTTATTTTTAAACATTTTTGTAGAGATGATATCTTGCTATGCTGTGCAAGCTGGCCTCAAATTCCTGGCCTCAAACTCCTGGCCTCAAGCAACTCTCCTGCTTGGGCCTCCCAAAGTGCTGGGATAACAGATGTGAGCCGCTGCACCCAGCCGAGTTTTGCCTGTTGTTAAGGAGTTGATAAATTTCCATCCTATGGATGGCAGACCTGTTTTTGTAAGTAAAATTTTATTGAAACACAGTCATGCCCATTCATATGCATATCATTTCTCGTTGTTTCCATGGCACACTGGCCAAGTTGAGTAGTTGTGACAGAAACTGCACAGCACACAAGGCTGAAAGCATTTACTAACTGTACCTTGAGGAAAACCCTTGCTGAATCTAAAACTTCATATAAATGGAATCCTACAGAGTGTACACTTTATGTCCAGCTTCTTTCTCTGAATATGGTATCTTTGGGATTTATTCATTTGGTTAAAAAGCAGACTTAAAAAGTCTTTTGTTCATGAATTCAAATATTAATTAAACCCCTACTGATGCCAGGCGATGTGCCAGGTGGTGGGGATACAGTGACCAGCAAGACAGCAGTCCAGGCCGGGCGCAGTGGCTCATGCCTGTAATCCTAGCACTTTGGGAGGCCGAGGCAGGTGGTCACGAGGTCAGGAGTTTGAGACCAGCCTGGCGCACATGGTGAAACCACGTCTCTACTAAAAATACAAAAATTAGCCGGGTGTGCTGGCAGGCACCTGTAATCCCAGCTACTCGGGAGGCTGAGGTCGGAGAATTGCTTGAACTCGGAAGGCAGAGGTTGCAGTGAGCTGCGATCACGCCACGCCACTGCACTCCAGCCTGGGCAATAGAGCCAACTCAAAAAAAAAAAAAAAAAAAAAAAAGGACAGCTGTCCAGTTCAGCACCACGGACAGCGTTCCACCAGTCCCTGAGTCTCCTACCTCGTCCACACCCTCGACCCTCAGCCTGTCCCTTCTTCTCCCCTCCTCCCCACCCCCCAGTCAACACATCCTTACTGAGTTTTGCTACATGAAATATAATTTAGTACTGTATCTGCCTTCAAGGTCCAATGCTTATTCAAATGCAGTTTAGCTGAGGAGCCTGCCTGGAGTCAACATGAGCAAGTTGACATATGCAGATAAGATGCAGTGGACTAGAGAAATGGGTATCTAGAGGGGCATGTAGATCAAGAGAGGTGGGCTTTTTATTGTAGTAAAATAGATATGACATAACATGTTTCTATTTTAACCTTGCTAAGTGTACAGTTTAGTGGCATTAAGTGTATTCGTACAACCATCATCTCCAGTAAGCTGACTTGGAGATTAATTTTACCTGTTCTGTTCCTTCCCTCCTTCCTTCATTCATTTATATAGAATCTTGCTCTGTCTTCCAGGCTGGATTGCAATCCACCTCCAGAATTTTTCATCATCCCAACAGATCTGTACCCATGAAAGAATAATTCTCCCTTTGTTCACTGGTGACAATGAGCCAAGAGAGAAGGAAATGTTGATGGTGCAGGAGAAGGGTGGAAGGGTGGAATTATAGGATTGACAGAGGAAAAATGAGAGAGGTTCCCTTTGGTGGTTTTCATTGAAATCACCGTAGAGCAAGGAAGGCACAGGGAGCTGGAGAGGACTAAAGGAAGAGAAGTTATGAAATCACTTGCCCAGCAGGTCAGCAAGTCTTCTAGAGACTTAAGGCGAGGTATCTGGGAAAGGTTTGAGTGCCAATTTGAGGTTTGACTTCATGATTTTAAGTTGAAACAAATCTGATTGGTGGTAAGTATTTTTCTCCAGCAATATTCAGACTAGGTCCTGCCAAGCAGCCTGTCTCTGTTTCTATCTATATCTGTCCTTTCCCACCTCTCTCTCTCACTCTCACAGAGACAGGGTCTTCCTCTGTTACCCAGACTGGAGCGCAGAGGTATGATCATGGCTCACTGCAGCCTTGAACTCCTGGATTCAAGCAATCCTCCTCCCTCAGCCTCCTGAATAGGGACTGCAGGCACTTGCAACTGTGCCTGGCTAGTTTTATTTTATTTTAAAATATAGATGAGGGCTTGCTATGTTGCTCAGACTGGTCTTGAACTTCTGGCCTCAAGAAGCAATCCTCCTGCCTTGGCCTCCCAAAGTACTGAGATTATGGGCATGATCCATTTCCCTCTTTATAGCCCTTTGCTCCCACGTCCATCCTCAGGGGCTTCTCCCTTCTCTGCCTCCGACTTCCTGGAAGGATATTTCAGGAATCATCAGATTTAAAGGAATATGACAGCGGCCAGAAGATATGCAGTATTCCGATTCAGCACCACGGACAGCGTTTCAGCAGCCCCCGCCCCCCGCCCCCCCACTGAGTCTCCTGCCTCGTCCACACCCTCGTCCCCCAGCCTGTCCCTTCTTCTCCCCTCCTCCCCACTCCCCAGTCAACACAACCTTACTGAGCTTTGCTACGTGAAATATAATTTAGTACTATATCTGCCTTCAAGGTCCAATGCTTTTTTAAATGTAGTCTAGCTGAGGAGATCTATACATAAAAGCAAGGAAAGTTCAACAACAATAAAAGACTTCAATCTCACAATAGGAAATAAAACAAGTTCCCAGCCTGTATTTTCTTTGAATGCCTTTAGAATGTTAACTCTTCAAGGACAAGGCTAGTTCTTTCTCAGTCACCACTTTATCTATGATGCCAAGCCTGGTGCCTGGGAAGCAGGTACCAGATTAGTATTTATCAAAAGGATGAGTCGAAAGCACACAAATTTCCAGCGAACCTTAACAGGTCCAAAAGGCCCCCTGAAGTCTGGCTGCTCTTCCCCCTTAATTTGTGCCCTCATGAAGAAGTTCTCATTGCAAGTGCGAAGGATGCAGCGAGAGATCAAGTCTGGCTGAAGCTGGAGCACGTGTTAGAGTGCAAAGAGCTAGACTCTAGTCACTTGGGCTGAAACCACAGCGCTTTCACTGATGGCTTTGCTTATTAGGTGAGGTCTCTCTCTGGGTCTCAATTTTCCCATCTCTATTGAGGAAATCATAGTTTCTGCCTCACAGGACAGCCTTAAGGAGTGGATTCAATGACTGCGCAGGGTTTGGTACAGAGTGGTTGTTCGTTGTTATTCTGAGACCCAACGTCATCTCCCATGACCTCCCTTTTTCCATTTCACAAAGCAAAATGCAGTGAATATCTGGTCAGTGTGGCTTGAAGGAATTGCTATTGTGACAGTCCCCAGGTCAGAGTGGTTTGTCCATTAGGCAGCCAGGGATCCCCCTCCAGCCCCCGTAACTTGTCCACAGGCACCCCTAACCTTGAGTAGGACCTCTGATTTTTCCATATCTCTCTCCATTTTCCTCTTCATGCTTTTCAGCTCCTCTTTCTCCCATGTAAGCATACTGTCAGCTTTGTCAGGGACCTAGAAAACGAGGAGAGAATCCCTCACATCGTTAAGAAAGGGCTGGGAAGAGATTCCTCTTTCCAGGGTGGTAGAGGGTTTGCCAGCCTCATAAACTCTGAGTTTGAAGGATGAAGTTGAGGGTACTCTCATCCTTTGGGTGGGGTGTCTCACTCTTTGAGAAGGTTTGATCTTTTCAGTGGGCTCTCTGACTTGGCGGGTCTTGCTCTCTGGAGCTTGAGGTTGGGGGCGTCTCTCTTTTACAGATAGGAGCCCAGGGGGCTGAGATGAAGGTGTCTCAACTTGGGGGAGGGTTGTTCTCACCCCCTGAGGCTGGGAGCTGGGCACCCCTTCCTCAGTGATGGTCTTATCTCCTCTCCCTGGCTACAGGTGGAGGGATCATATCATACGGATGATGAGGGTTTACGTTTTTGGAGTCTTAATATTTGGATCTGGGGGCTGAGGGTAGGAATCCCATTCTGTGGGTGGGGTCTCATCTCTCCCCCGGGAGGCAGGAATTTTTGTACCTTTTGGGGTGGGGATTTGAGATTTCACTTTAAGGGGAAGATTTCACCAGGACTGGTACTAGAAGTCTTACTCTTTCTCCCTGGATGGGAGCTTAACCTTTGGGTGTGAGGGTTGGGAGTCTGAAGTCTCTCTCTGTAGGGAGGACTTCTTCCTTTCACCACAGACGAGGCCTGGGGGTGGAGATTTTCACTTCCTGAAGCCAGGGGAATTGGGTTTTATTTAACATTCTGGGGGGGAGTTTCACCTGGGTTGGGACAAGGGTATCAGCCGCTCTCCTCAGCTGGGAGTTGGGAGTGTGTTTTCACTAGGACTGGGGCACTGAGGGTCTCACATCTATGGAAGGGTCTTACCCTCTGGGCCTAGGGTCTAGGTGGATGATTTTATGCCTGGGCTGAGGGCTGTGGGTTTTACTTTTTGGGGAGATTTTCAAGGAGTCTGAATCAGGGGCTGCACCCTCTCTCCCTGGCTGGGAGATTTGGATAATTTTCTCCTCTGGGGCAGGGAAGCTGAGGATCTCATCTCCTTGGGCAGGGCTCACTCTTTGGGTCTTGGGGGCTTAGGCATCTCTTCCTGGGCCTGTATCCATCATCTTTTTTTGTTTGTTTGTTTTTGAGTCTCACTATCTCCTAGGCTGAAGTGTAGTGGCCCTATCATATTTCACTACAGCCTTGAACTCCTGAGCTCAAACAATCCTGCTTCAGCCTCCTAAGTAGCTGGGACTAGAGGCATGCACCACCATGCCTGACTATTTTTTTTAAACTTTGGTGCAGAGAGGGTCTTGCTGTGTTGTCCAGGCTGGCCTCAAACTCCTGGCCTCAAGCAATCCTCCTGCCTTGGTGTCCTGAAGTGCTGGGATTACAAGCACAAACTACCAAACTTGGCTAATTTACCTGCAATTTTTGGAGAGATGGGATCTCACTGTGTTGCCCATGCTGGTTTGCGGTTGGCCTGATTATAGCTTACTGCAGCCTCAAACTCTTGGGCTTAAGCAATCCTCCTGCCTCAGCCTCCAAGTAGCTGGGACCATAAGTGCATGCCACCATGCTGGGCCACTAAAAATTTTTTTTTTTTTGTAGAGACGGGGTCTCACTATGTTGCTCAGGCTGGTCTCCAACTCCTGGCCTCAAGCAATCCTCCCGCATCGGCATCCCAAAATGCTGGGATTACAGGTGTGCACCAACACACCCAGCTAACTTTTTAAAATTTTTGGTAGAGACAGGTTCTCACCTGTCACCCAGGCTGGAACACAGTGGTGCCATCATAGTTCACTGCAACCTGGAAGGCCTGGACTCAAGCGGTCCTCACACCAAGGCCTCCCAAAGTGCTGGGATTACAGGCGTGAGCTACTGCATCTGGCCCTCATCTTCTTGTGCCCTTATTCACCGGAGTTGGGTGTTCTCTCTATGGAAATATTTTTTTTTTTTTTTTTTGAGATGGAGTTTTGCTCTTGTTGCCCAGGCTGGAGTGCAATGGCACGATCTCGGCTCACTGCAACCTCTGCCTCCCGGGTTCAAGTGATTCTCCTGCCTCAGCCTCCCAAGTAGCTGAGATTACAGGCATGCGCCACCAGGCCCGGCTAATTTTGTATTTTTAGTAGAGACGGGGGTTTCACCATGTTGGTCAGGCTGGTCTCGAATTCCTGACCTCAGGTGATCAACCAGCCTTGGCCTCCCAAAGTATGGAAAGGATTTCCCCGGGGCTGGACACCGCATAGCGGAGGCCTCAGTCTTTGCAGTTAGGCTGGGGTTGGGCGTGGGGGAGGGTCCCACCTTCTCAGACTTGGGCCTGTAGCCCCGCAGCTTGACGCTCTGCTGGTTAATAAGCAGACCCTTGCGCACTTCGCTGAGCCTGTGGTCGGTGACCTCGCGCTGGCGCAGCAGCTGTCGCACCCGCCCGTTAATCTGGTGCTGCGCGCGGCCGAGGCGGGCGGCGGTGAGGCGCGCTCCACGCGCGTGCGCGTGCACCACCTCGGTGGTCTGCAGGGCGCGCGCTTTGCGGTGCAAGGGTAGCGGCAGGCGGGCGTACCAGGCGGGCGGCTTCATCTTGCCCTTCCACAGCGTGACGCCCTCGCCTGGCGGCGGCTTCTCCAAGGTGCCGCCGCCTTTGATCATCTCCACGCGGAAGCGCCAGGGCTGGATGTAGGCGGCGCGGCCGAGGTGGTGGGCCACGTTCGGGTCCAGCACGCTGTCCTTGGGCTGCCACATGGTCACCGCCTCCTGCCCGCAGCGATCGGTCAGAATGTGCGCGGTCCTCGCCATGGCCTGAGCTGCCTCGCGCCATGCTGGGGCCCCAACGCGTGTGTCCTGGCTGCGCTCAGCCGGGGGTACCAACACGCGCATGGTCCCTGCTTGGTCTCTCGGCCTGGCCGGGAACCCTAGGCGGAGCGGAAGGGACCCCAAAGACACACAACTCTTTCCTGGCCTGTAGAGACAGTGTACTGAGAGCGCCCGTCACCATAGCGATGGGCGCAACAAGGGAGGTGGAATTCCAGAGGTGGGGGGAGGAGTAGGATGGAGTCTTTGCTTTGGAACTTGGCCTAAGTGCACTGGCATCCTGACTCCTTGAGAAAGAGCCCATCTAGCATCCTTCTCGCCGTTGCTTCCAGCAACATGGCCCTTCTTCCAGCTTTAGGATGTCCTAAGCGCTTCCAGCTGTCCAGGTCACACTCTGTCGCATGTCGGTAAGCATGGAAGAAGGGCCAGGCTTCTCACCAGGCATTCCTCTCGCCGTTACCTTCCAGCACATGGCCCTTCTTTCAGCTTCAGGGTGTCCGAAGCGCCTTCACACTTGGAAGCTTGGGACTTGCTGTTCCCACAGGTAGAATACTCCCATGGCTGGCCACTTTGCAGTCTTCAGATTTTTGCTGGCTGGGTTCTTGGTGTCCTTGACTACCCAAAAGTAGCTTTTTTAGTCTTACGTTTTCTTTTCTTTTCTTTTCTCTCTCTCTCTTTCTTTTTTCTTTCTTTCTTTTTTTTTTTTTTCATAGAGTCTTGCACTGTCGTCTGGGCTGGAGTGCAGTGGTGCGAGCTGGGCTCACTGCAATCTTCACCTCTCGGGTTCAAGAGATTCTCCTGCCTCAGTCTCCTGAGTAGCTGGGCTTACAGGCGCCCACCACCATGCCCAGCTAATTTTTTGCATTTTTTTTTTTTAGTAGAGACGGGGTTTCGCCATGTTGGCCAGGCTGGTCTCGAACTCCTGACCTCGTGATTCTCCTGCCTCGGCCTCCCAAAGTGCTGGCATTACAGGCGTGAGCCACCACGCCTGGCTTAGTCTTACATTTTCTTTCGTGTCTTCATAGCACTCACCGCTATCTGAAATTATCTTATTCATTTATTGGTTTACTTTTTAACTTTTGGGCATCTCTCACCTGCCCTAGAAGAATTAAGAGCCTTTAAAAAAAATTTATTTTTATGGATTTGGGATACAAGTGCAGTTTTGCTACATGGATATATTTTCTAGTGGTGAAGACTAGGCTTTTAGTGCAATCATCACCCAAATAGTGTACATTGTAGCCAATAGGTAGTACTGTATCCCTCACCCCCTTCTCACCCTCCTACCTACGGGAGCCTCCAATGTCTGTTTTCCACTCTGTTTGTCCATGTGTACCCATGGTTTAGCTTCCACTTAGAAGTGAGAACATGAGTTTTTTTGACTTTCTATTTCTCGGTCATTTCACTTAAGATAATGGCCTCTAGTTCCCTCCATGTTGCTGCAGAAGACAAGATTTCACTGTTTTTTATGGCTAAGTATTCCACGGCATATATATGTGATATATATCTGCTATATATAGAGCACATACATGTGACATATATGCTATATATATGTGCCATGTAGATAGGATATCTATGTGATATATATGTTATCTAGAGAGCATATATATGATATTTATAGATATATAGATATCTATGTGATATATATGCTATTTAGATAGCATATCTATGTGATAGATATGCTATATATAGGGCATATGTATTTGGTATAGATATGCTATATATATGCTGTCTAGATAGCATATCTATGTGATATATATATGCTATCTAGATATATGATAGATATGCTATTTATAGGGCATTTGTATCCGATATATATATGCTATCTAGATAGCATATCTATGTGATCTGTGTAGATAGCATATATGTATATTTTATATATATATGTTTATATATTTGAGACAAGATCTCACTCCAATTTCCCAGGCTGAAGTGCAGTGGCATGATCTCGGCTCACTGCAACCTCTGCCTCCCAGGCTCAGCTGATTCCATCACCTTGGCCTCCTGAATAGCTGAAATTACAGGTGCCTGCCTGTAAAAAAAAAAAAAACGCGAATTATTTTTGTTTTTTTAGTGGAGGTGGGGTTTTTGCCATGTTACCCAGGTTGGTTTCAAACTCTTGGACTCAAGCAATTCGACTTCCTTGACCTCCCAAAATGCTGAGATTACAGGGGGAAATCACCGCACCCAGCTTGTATACCATATTTTAACATCCAATCATCTGCTAATGGACACATAAGTTGATTCCATAACTTTGCTATAGTGAATAGTGCTGCCATAAACATGTAAGTGTGGATGTCTTTTTAATATAATGATTTCTCTTCCTTTAGGTATATACTCAGCAGTGGGATTGCTGGATCAAAGGGCAGTTCTATTTTTAGTTCTTTGAGAAATTGCCATCTGTTTCCCTAGAGGTTGTACTAATTTGCATCCCCACCAACAGTGTATAAGCTTTCCCTTTTCTCTGCATCCTTGCCAACCTCTGTTTTTTTTTCTTTTTACTTTTAAAATAATAGATATTCTGTATATATATATCTCTCTTTTTCTAAAGAGACTGAGCCCCACTTTGTGGCCCAGGCTGGAGTGCAGTGGGGGGATCATGGTTCACTGCAGCCTCCAACTCCTGATATCAAGCCATCCTTCTGCCTCAGTCTCCCAAAAAGCGAGGACTATAGGCGCACGCCACCACACTTGGCTAATTTTTAAATTTTGTGTAAAGACAGAGTCTTGCTAACATTGCCCAGGCTGGTCTCAGACTCCTGGGCTCAAGCAGTCCTCCCACCTCAGCCTCCCAAAATGGTGAGATTATAAGCCTGAGCCACTGCACCCAGACTCATTGTGTGTGTGTGGTTGGTTTTTTTTTGGGGGGGGGGCAGACTTTTGATCTTGTTTCCCAAGCTGGAGTGCAGTGGCATGATCTCGACTCACTGCAACCTCTGCTTCCTGGGTTCAAGCGATTCTTCTGCCTCAGCCTCCCGGGTAGCTGGGATTACAGGTGCGTGTCACCACACCCGGCTAATTTTTGTATTTTTAGTAGAAATGGGGTTTCACCATGTTAGCCAGGCTGGTCTCAAAGTCCTGACCTCAGATGATCCACCCGTCTCGCCCCCACAAAGTGCTGGGACCACAGGTATGAGCCACCGTGCCCGGCCTCTCATTGTGATTTTAATTGGCATTTCTCTGATGATTGACTCTAAGAGCCTCTAGAACAGGAAGCATGCTAGTCTTGTATCCTCAGTGTCTGTATAGTTCATAGCACATAGTGGGTCCTTAATACACATAGGATAAAGAAACGGATGGAATCAATCACATGCTATGATCATCTTACTTGATTTTTTTTTGTGAGATGAAATTTTCATAAATACAATGAATGATTTTAAGGTGCACAATTCAGAGGCATTAACACCTTCACAGTGTGGTGCAATCACCACTTGTATCGAATTCTAGAACACTTCACCAATCCCCAAATAAAACCTCATCCCCACGAGCGCTCACTCTCATTCCCCTGTCCCCTCAGCTCCTGGTAACCACTCATCTGCTCCCTGTCTCTGTAGATTTGCCTGTTCTGGACATTTCATGTCAATGGAGTCTCACACTATGTGGCCTTTTGTATCTGGTTTCTCTCACTCAGCATCGTGTTTTCCAGATTTGTCCATGTTGTAGCACGGATCAGTGCTTCTGTCCTTTTCATGGCTGAATCATATTCCATTGCATTTATATACCATAACTTTGTTTATCCATCTGACCAATGATGGACATTTGTTTTTCACTTGTGAGCTTCATGAGGGCATTGACCTCGCCTCTCCTATTTACCATTGTATTCCACTACCGAGCACCCAGCACAGATAGTGGCTCATGGCAAGCACTCAATACGTACTTATTAGAGGAATACGTAAGTGGAAGAATCAATACATGTTTTATTTTTATTTTATTTTATTTTTTCAGACAGGATCACACTCTGTCACCCAGGCTGGAGTGCAGTAGCACGATCATGGCTCACTGCAGCCTCAACCTCCTGGACTCAAGGGATCCTCTCACTCTCAGCCTCCTAAGTATCTAGGACTACGGGCATGTGCCACCATGCATAGCTTATTTTTAAATTTTCTTTTCTTTTCTTTTTCTTTTTTTTTTTTTGTAGAGACAGGGTCTTGCTATCTTTCCCTGGCTGGTCTTGGTCTCCTGGCCTTAAGTAATTCTCCTGCCTCGGCCTACAAAGGTGCTGGGATTACAGGCATGAGCCACCGTGCCTGTCCAAATATTTTCGTATTGAGTGAATGAGAGGTGCGACAGTCAAGAAAGAATGAATGACCCTGGGTTTGTAATCAAGGGATCATTCAGTAATGGGGGGTGGGGGGAATAAGATGGGCAACCAGCGACTCCCACGCCAGCCATCCTGGAGACCCGCCGTTATGTTCTTTAGGGCCACTAGCAAGAAATGGGGCCAGATAACCTTTGGCGATGGAGGCTTGGGAATATGGGGTTAGCACAGTCATTTGCTGCTGGGACCAGTGGTATCTGGTTCAACAAATTTTCATGAGCATCAGGAGGATATTATGGTCTGTATTCTGGATCCAGATGAACTAGGATTCAAATTATGATTCTGCCACTTGCTGTCTACGTGATCTCGAGCAATTCACTTAACATCTCTGTGCCTGCGTTGCCCCATCTGTCAACTCAGGTAATAGGATTGTGGCATGGAGACAATGAGTTAATATGAATGAAGTGCTTAGCACCATGGCTGACACCTAGTAAGCATTATGTAAGTGTTTACTTTTGACTTTTATTAATAGAATGAATCCATGAATGAGCTATTTCAAAACCAGAAGAGGTCCAGAGAGGGTTTCACAAAGAACCAGGGAGACACCTCATGTGAGATGACCTGCACACAACCATCTACCTTTGCTTTGTTCATGAAGTACGTCCACCTTCCCAACCAGGGGATCTCATTTGGGTAGGCTTGCTGCCTGGTGTATGAAGCACCTCTGTTGGGCAGAACTTGTACCAAGCTACCTGAGAGACGCTTAGGAAGCTTCCTCATGCCAGATCTGCATGTGAGGATTTTGGCTTCCACATGGCTCTCTGGTGAAATGCATTAGGGCTATGCAGGCTGTTACATTCTGGCTTTTTATTAGTTTAACACGCTGACACCAACACGCTGCTAGTATATGATACTATTATCTAAGCATTGAAATTGGTGCAGACCATTGCTTAATCAGACCAACTTCTCATTTCCATCTCCCAATCCCAGTTTCCATTCTCTATATCAACTTCCAAAAACTCACTGCTAGCTCCTGGCTTTGATGACCCATTTTGGACACTTCTCTAGCCTGATATGTATTTGAAGAACAGGTGAGTTATCTGGTTTTTTTGTTTTTTTGTTTTTGTGAGAAGGAGTTTCACTCTTGTTGCCCAGGCTGGAGTGCAGTGGCGCGATCTCGGTTCACTGCAACCTACGCCTCCCAGGTTCAAGTGATTCTCCTGCCTCAGCCTTCTGAGTAGCTGGGATTACAGATGCCCACCACCACGCCCAGCTAATTTTTTGTATTTTTAGTAGAACAATTTGTTCACCATTGTTGGCCAGGCTATTCGTGAACTCCTGACCGCCACCGTGCCCTGCTTTTTTTTTTTTTTTTTTGAGACAGGGTCTTGCTTTGTCACCCAGAGTAGAGTACAGTGGTACCATCATGGCTCACTGCAACTTTGAACTCCTGGGCTTAAACAATCCTCCTGCCTCAGCCTCCTGGGTAGCTGGCCCTATGGGCATGTGCTACCATGCCTGGCTAATTTAAAAATGTTTTTGTAGAGACACGATCTTGCTATGTTGCCCAGGCTAGTCTCAAACTCCTGGACTCAAACAATCCTCCCGCCTTGGCCTACCAAAGCTCTGGGGTTTCAGATGTGAGCAACTGTGCCTGGCCTGTCTGGAAGGAACCATTCATTGCTGGGCTGGGATTAGCTCTCATTTTCCAAGTGATTCACCTGCGTGTGTCTGAACAGAAACAGTGATGTTCAAAAAATCTACAGAAACATTATGTACACAAGACCGAGGACTAGGAAAATTTTTCAGTACTCTCCAAGCCTAAATACCTCTCTTAAACTAACAAATAAGCTATGAAAGCAAGGTATGCACCTTGTATAAAATGTATAAAATATGGGAAACATAATGAAATGAATAAGAATCTTTTTTTTTTTTCTGGAGACAGAGTCTCACTCTGTCACCCAGGCTGAAATGAAGTGGCACAATCTTGGCTCACTAAAGCCTCCAACTCCTGGTCTCAAGAGATCTCTTGCTTCAGCCTCCTGAATAGCTGGAACTACAGGTGCATGCCATCACAATTGACTTTTTTTTTTTTTTGTAGAGGTGAGGTCTTGCTATGTTGCCCAGTCTGGGTCTTGAACTCCTGGCTTCAAGCCATCCTCCTGCCTCACCCTCTCAAAGTGCTGGGATTATGGCCACAAGCCACCATGGCCAGCCTTATTTTTTGTTTTACTATCCAGAGATACTTATTCTGAACTTGATCTTGATTTCACTCTAACCATTTCCACATTCATTCCCCCACCATGCCTCTGTGTGTGTGTGTGTATGTGTGCATGCATATACACAACTATACATATTTCCCTTCTCCCAATATACTGAAGCCCAAATACTTCTAACTCAGGCCAATAGGGAGTTATATTTCTTTGTGAAATTAGCTCTCTGATTTTTATTTATTTTATTTATGCATTATTAATTTTTTTAGAGACAGAGTCTTGCTCTGTTGCTCACGCTGGAGTGCAGTGGTGTGATCTTGGCTCACTGCAACCTCCTCCTCCTGGGTTCAAGCAATTCTCCTGCCTCAGCCTGCTGAGTAGCTGGGACTACAGGGGCCCACCACCACGCCCAGCTAATTTTTTGTATTTTAATAGAGATGGGGTTTCTCCATGTTGCCCAGGTTGGTCTCGAGCTCCTGAGCTCAGGCAATCCACCCGGCTTGGCCTCCCAAAGTGCTAGGATTACAGGCATGAACCACCACACCTGGCAGCTCTCTTGATTTTTATAATAAAGAACACTTTATAGAAATTCCTTTTTGCAACTTTGCTGGGGCCACCTGTTCTATATACTGATTCATGCAATGTAGGGAGCAGAATTCTGCTTTTGGGCGAAATCGAGTGAAATTGCAGAATGGATGAAGAAGGAGCACCTTCTAAAACTTCTAGCCTTTTTTCTTTTCTTTTCTTTCTTTTTTTTTTTTTTGGCATTACATGGAGATGCCCTTCGCTGTGAAATCTTGGCAGGTAATTATCAGAGACCCCTTTTTAGGTTCCCCGATGTCTTCCCTTCTGGGACACCAGGTTCTACTTTTAGTAGGTGCCCCTCTTTCTCTTGGAGATAATCACATCAATTGGTCTCTCATTCCAGGGGGATATGACCTAGAATCTGTTTTGTCTTTGAGAAATGAGGTCGCTTTTCTGGTGGAGGTGTCAGGAGATGGTGGGAAGCCCCAGGCTGGGAGAGGAGGTGCTTCCTGGTTCTTCCCTGTCATCTCCTGCAAAGGCAGTGACCTTGCTGGTCAGTGAGTGACAAGGACCTGTGTCTATGGCTGTACCCCTGGTCAGTCCCTCAAAATGACTCAGGCAGGCCAGGCACGGTGGCTTATGCCTGTAATCCCAGCACTTTGGGAGGCTGAGGTAGGCAGATCAGTTGAGGCCAGGAGTTCGAGACCAGCCTGGCCAACATGGTGAAACCCCATCTGTACAAAAATGCAAAAATTAGCTGGGCGTGGTGGCACATGCCTGTAATCCCAGCTACTCAAGAGGCTGAGTCATGAGAATCGCTTGAACCCGGGGGGCGGAGGTTGCAGTGAGCTGAGATTGTGCCACTGTGCTCTAGCCTGGGTGAGACAGAGACTCTATTACAAAAAACAAAATAACAACAACAACAACAACAACATCCCACAAAAAACAAAAAGACAAAAATGAAAAACACAAACCGAAAACAAACAAACAAACAAACAAACAAACAAAAATAATGGCTCAGGCATCCATCATCAACGTCTTCCTGCAATGGACAAATTCCAGTTTCTTTTCTATCCTGCTCAACTTGACCTCCTGGTAGCTTTGAAATTGTCAGCCCTCTGTGACTTGAATCCCCTCCCCTGTGCTCTTTCACATGTTTTCTTTTTCACCTCTACTCTGTGTTCTTTACTAGCTGGTTGTCCGCCATCCACCCCTCAAATATGATGGATTTCTTTTTCAGCTGGGTTAGGCATCTTCAGATGGCCCTGAATGGTCCTCACCTCCTGATCCTCATGCCCTGTGTAATCCCTTGAGTGTGGGCTGGACCTGATGTGTCACTTGTAACCAACAGCCTATGGCAAACATGATAGATGCTGCTTCTGAGATTAGGTTACAAAGCGATCATGGCTTCTGTTCTGCTCTCTCTTGCTTGCTCTTTCACTTGCTCACTCTGAAGAAATCCAAGCCAGGCATGGTGGCTCATGCCTATAATTCCAGCACTTTGGGAGGCTGAGGTAGGAGGATTGCTTGAAGCCAGGAGTTTGAGGCTAGCCTGGGCAACATAGCAAGACCCTGTTTCTTAAAAACAAAAAACAAAACAAAACAAAAAACCCAACCCAAACCAAACCAAACAAAACAAAAAACAGCTGGATGTGGTGGTGCATATCTGGAATCTGAGCTACTCAAGAGGCTGGGGTGGGAGGATCGCTTGAGCCCAGGAGATGGAGGCTGCAGTGAGCTATGATCGCACCACTGCACTCCAGCCTGGGTAACACAGCAAGATCCTGTCTCAAAACAAAATAAAACAATAATAAAATAAAATAAAAGAGAAATAGCGTGTGCATCAGGTTTTCATTCTCCATTCACTTCTCATTCCTCACTTTTTACTTGGAAAATCTTTTTCTCATTAGTGAATTTGGGTATTAATAGTTAGGTTAGGGCCAGGTGTGGTGGCTCACTACTGTAATCCCAGCACTTTGGGAGACTGAGGCGGATGAATTGCTTAAGCCCAGGAGTTTGAGACCAATCTGGGCAACATGGTAAACCCTGGCTCTACAAAAAATGGAAAAATTAGCAGGGCATTATGGTGTGTGCCTGTGGTTCCAGCTACTCTGGAGGCTGAAGAAGGAGAATCACCTGAGCCAAGGGAGGTCGAGGCTGCAATGAGCCCTGATTGTGCCACTGCACTCCAGCCTGAGTGACAGAGTGAGACCCTGTCTCAAGAAAATAAGAAGGTTAGGAAGACTGTGGCTTTACAACCAATAGGTGGGTTCAGTGAAGTGAACCTCAGGTTTAGAATGGCATCCAAGTTCCTTACCAGAATCTACAGAATCCCAATTTCTTACCATCTGGCCCCATCCCACCTTTCCTTCCATCTCCCACCTCTCTGTCCAAAGATCATAAAGGATCAGTCATGATGTGCTCACCATCCGTGTTTATTCTCATAGTCTTTGCATTTGTTTTTCCCCTCTCTGAAATGTTCTTATTCTGCATTTTTATATGGCTTTCTCCCTTTCTTGCTTTGGGTCTCTGTTCAAATATTATCTCTTAAAGAACTCTTCTCTGACCACTCGGTTTGAGGTCTCACACCACCGGGCTATACGCCATCCCTCCTCCCCTCGTAGCTCTTGTCAGATTGTAATTCTTTTCCTTCCCTCTCTAGAATGTCAGCTCCTTGGTGGGCATCTCATTTGTCTTAGTTATTACTGAATAACTAAGTTCCCAGCCCAGTTTGGGAACAAACTGGAACAAAGTAGACCCTTAATATTTGTTCGCTGAGTGACATAATGATGGCTGCTCTGTCATGCTAAAACATACTCCATGTGTGTGGACCAACCAAGGACTTTCTTCTGCTTCTGCTATGAACATTCCTGTTCTAGCTGTTCAACCTTCAAACATCTTTTCTGTTTGTGGGATAACCCAAATTAGGTGGGAAGAAGAACTGTTGAAAGGGCTTATCTACTGTTATGGGTTGAATTGTGCCTCTCAGAAAAAGATATGTTGGAGTCCTCCCCTGTGGTACATGTGAATGTGATGTTATTTGGAATTAGGGTCATTGCAGATGTAAGTAAGGTAAGGTGGTACTGGAGTGGGTTGGATCCTACTGGTGTCCTTATGACAAGTTGGCCATGTGTATAAGAGAACAGAGATGCATGGGGACAATGCCGTGTGAAAACATGATGATCAGCAAAGGAAATGGCATCAGTATGTCAAGGAGATATTTGCACTCCCCATGTTTATTGCAGCACTGTTCACAGTAGCCAAGATATGGAATGAACCTGAGTCCATCCGGTTGGATAAAGAAAATGTGGCACATATACACAATAGAATACTATTTAGCCATTAGAAAGAAGGAAATCCTGTCATTTGCAACAACCTGGATGAAGCTGGAGGACATTAGGCTAAATGAAATAACCCAGGCACAAAGACAAATACTGCATCTTCTCACTTATATGTGGAAGGTAAAAAAGACAAACTGATAGAAACAGAATAAAATGGTGGTTGCCAGAGGCTAGGATTGGGGGCAATTGGGGAGATGTTGGTCAGAAGACACAAAATTTTAGCTAGAAGAGAAGAATAAGTTCAACAGATCTGTTATACATCGTGGCAACTATAGTTAATAACAGTATATTGCATAGAGATTTTCCTCAACTTATGATAAGGTTACATCCTGATAAACCCATCATAAGTTGAAAATATCATAAGTCAAAATGCATTTAATACATATAACCTACTGAACACCATAGCTTAGCCTCATCTACCTTAAACATGCGCAGAACACTTACATTAGCCTAGAGTTGAGCAAAATCATCTAACACAAAACCTATTTTTCATTGTTCAATTCCCACATGGACACAGGAAGGGGAACCTCACACACCGGGGCCTGTTGTGGGGTGGGGGGGAGGGGGAAGAGATAGCATTAGGAGACATACCTAATGTTAAATGACGAGTTACTGGGTGCAGCACACCAACATAGCACATGTATATATATGTAACAAACCAGCATGTTGTGCACATGTACCCTAAAACTTAAAGTATAATAATAAAAAACAAAAAAACCTATTTTATAATAAAATGTTGACTATCTCATGTAATTTATTGACTATTGTATTGAAGGTGAAAACAAGAATGATTGTGTGGCTACTCAAAGGATGGTTTCTACTTTGCCCCACGGTAGAGTAAAAAAATCACAAGTTGAACCATTGTAAGTTGGAGACTGTGTGTACTTGAAAATTGCTGAAAGAGATTTGCAGTGTTCTCACCACAAAAAAATGATAAGTATGTGAGATAATGCATGTAAACCAAGAAGTATCTCAGATGAGTCTCAATCAGTTTAGAAGTTTATTTTGCCAAGGTTATTGACAGGCCTGTGACACAGGAGAGGTCCTGATGACATGTGCCCAAGGTCTTTAAGCTACAGCTTGGTTTTATACATTTTAGGCAGACAAGAGACATCAGTCAATACATGTTAAGTGTACATTGGGTCGACTCAGAAAGACGGGACAACTTGAGGTGGGTAGGAGTTGGGGGGCTTCCAGGTCATAGGTGGATTCAAAGATTTTCCAATTGGCAATTGGTTGAAAGAGTTTATATAAAGACCTGGAATCCATAGAAGAGAGTGTCTGGGTTAAAATAAGGGGTTGTGGAGACCAAGGTTCTTATTTTGCAGATGAAGCCACCAGGTAGCAGGCTTCAGAGAGAGTAGATTATAAATGTTTCTTGGCCGGGCATGGTGGCTCACGCCTGTAATCCCAGCACTTTGGGAGGCTGAGGCAGGTGAATCACGAGGTCAGGAGATTGAGACCATCATGGCTAACACGATGAAACCCCGTCTCTACTAAAAATACAAAAAAATTAGCCAGGTGTGGTGGCGGGCACCTGTAGTCCCAGCTACTCGGGAGGCTGAGGCAGGAGAATGGCGTGAACCCAGGAGGCGGAGGCTGCAGTGAGCCGAGATAGTGCCACTGCACTCCAGCCTGGGTGACAGAGCAAGACTCCATTAAAAATAAATAAATAAATAAATAAATAAATAAATAAATAAATGTTTCTTATCAGACTTAAAAAGGTTCTAGACCCAGTTAATTCTCTCCTGGATCAGGGAGAAGACCTGGAAAGGAGAAGGGATGCTCCAAAAAGTGTAGATTTTCCTCACAAGAGACAGCTTTGCAGAGCCATTTCAAAATATGTCAAAGAAATACATTTTAGAGTAAAATATCTCAATTTCTTTCAGGACCTGCTATCTGTCATGTGATGCTATACTAAAGTAATTTGGAATTTGGTGTCTTATTGCTACAAAAAGTCTTAAGATCTCTGCTTTTTTTGTTGTTGTTGTTTATTTTTTTGTTTTGTTTGTTTTTTGAGACAGAGTCTCACTCTGTTGCCCAGGCTGGAGTACAGTGGCATGATCTTGGCTCGCTGCAACCTCTCCCTGCTGGGTTCAAGTGATTCTCCTGCCTCAGCCACCTGAATATCTGGGATTACAGGCATGTGCTACAATGACTGGCTAATTTTTGTATTTTTAGAAGAGACAGGGTTTCACCATGTTGGCCAGGCTGGTCTTGAACTCCCACCCTCAAGTGATCTGCCCACCTTGGCCTCCCAAAGTGCTGGGATTACAGGGGTGAGCCATCACACCTGGCCAAGATCTCTGTTTTAATGTTAATGCTGGCCAGCTATGCCTGAATTCCAAAGGGAAGAGAGCTTAATGAGGCATGTCTGATTCCGTCTTTCTATCATGGCCTGAACTAGTTTTTCAGGTTAATTTTGGAATGCCCTTGGCCAAGAGGGGTCCATTCAGATGGTTGGTAGGGCATAGAATTTTATTTTTAGTTTACATGCATATGTTAATAGCTTGATTTATTCATTCCATAGTGCATACACACACACACACACACAAACATCATATTGTACATCATAAATATATGCAATTTTTACTTGTCAATTAAAAAAAAAGACATGAAGATTGGAGTAGAGGATATACAAGCCAAGAAATGCCCAGGATTCTTGGCAACTATGAGAAACTAGAATGAGGCAAGGGAAGATTCTCCTCCAGAGCTTTGGAAGGAGCACAGCCCTACCAACACCTTGATTTCAGACTTCTGCCTTCCAAGACTGTGTGAGAATAAATTCCTGTGGCTTTCAACCAGACAATTTGCTGTGATTTGTTATGGCAGCCCTAGAAAACTAATATAATGGCTTCTGCTCCTTTAGCTGAGGGTCCCCTGCCTATTCCTGGCCTGTCTCTGTGTGGCATTGCCTATCACAGGTAGGTGCACCGGGGAAGCATCTCAAATAGCAGAGCAAGGGAGAAGCAGCCACTTGCTCTCTTGGCTGTCTGAAGCTCATCTTCTAATATCCTGGTTTCCCGCCTTAATCTGCCCCAATGCTGCCATTTTCTGGGGATTCTTTTAAGCTATGAACCCCAAATATCTGAGACAATTATCAGTCAATTTAGGAAGTTTATTTTGCCAAAGTTAAAAATGAGTGCCTGTGATACATCCTCAGGAGGTCCTGATGACATGCCCTCAAGGTGGTCTGGGCACAGCTTGGTTTTATACATTTTAGAGAGACACGAGACATCAGTAAATATCTGTAAGAAGTACATTGGTTCCATCCAGAAAGGTGGAACAACTCAAAGTAGGGAGGAGGCTTCCAGGTCATAGGTAGGTAAGAGACAAATGGTTGCATTCTTTTGAGTTTCTGATTCGCCTTTCCAAAGGAGGCAAGCAGATATGCATTTATCTCAGTGAGCAGAGGGATGACTGAGTTTTGTCTGTCCTTTGCCTGCAAGGAAATTCCTTGTGAGGGAGATATGTAGCTCTTTTATCTTAGTAGCTATCTTTTTTAGGAATAGAATCGGAGGCATGTTTGCCCTAAGTAGTTCCCAGCTTGACTTTTCCCTTTGGCTTAGTGATTTCTGGGTCCCAAGATTTATTTTCCTTTCACACCCCACCAGATCCTCCAAGGAAGGGAGCCCACTGATATCCACAAAAATCCACCACCTGGGGTGCAGAGCAAGTTGGAGGGGTGCATCCTTTCTACCTCCTGGAGAAGGATGGAGAGTAGACTTGGGGGCCCACTAGAAAATCTTTCTTTCCTAATGGCTTGATTGATTGATTGATCGAGTGACTTGGCAAATGTTTATTGAGCATCTGCTCTGTGTCAGGCACCAGGCTAAGAGCCAGGAGAGTGGAGCAGTAAGATGAAGTTTCTCTTCTCTCCTGGAGCTTGTCAGTCAGTGGGAAAAATGAAAAACTAAAATAAACCATCAAAATCATGTCAGATAGAAGTAACGGCTTAAGGTACAATGAGAGGAAGAAGAAGAAGAGGAAGAAGAACAAGAAGAAGAAGAAGAAGAAGAAGAAGAAGAAAGAGGAGGAGGAGAGGGAGGAGGAGGAGGAGGAAAGAAAGAAGGGGAAGGAGAAGGAGGAGGAGGAGAACAAACTGACCAATTGGCAGGATTCTAATGTATATATTTCTAAGTGTACAGTTCAGTGGCATTAAGTACAATCCCATTGTTGTGCAACCATTACCTTCATCCGTCTTCCCCAGATGAAACTCAGTGCCCATCAAACAATAACTCCCCATTCTCCTTGCAACTCTGCAGTCCCTGGTAACCAATGTTCTACTTTTTGTCTTTGCTTTGGCTATTCTATGTATCTCATATAAGTTGAATCATACAATACTTGTCCTTTTGCATTTGGCTTCTTTCACTTAGCCCACTGTCCTCAAGGTTTATTCATGTAGCAGGTAGGCATGATTCTAATTTTGAAGTAAGACAAATATCTCCACCTGGAAAGCAGTTCACCAACAATTTAGTGTTGATTATAAATAGGATTTGGTTGAATTTTTTCTACCGTGTTTCCTTCTATTCTTTCTGCATTTTTCAGATTTTCTGCAATGAACATAAATTACCTTGATAGTAAAAAAAATCTTTAAGATCTTTAAAATGGACACCCCCTTTTCCTTCCCTCTCTCTTCTTCATCAATGATATTGCTGTCTAATGTTCTTTTCCGGGGTAACCTAGCTCCTGGATCTACCAGTGATCTACCATCTCTCTTCTTCTATGAGGTCAACTGAGGACACTTCTACTACTATACTTTACTTTTTTAATGTCAAATTGTATTTTTGTTCACACTTAAGCAACTATTGATGCCAACATTGGGGATCTGGACTTTTAATATATGTTTTAATTAAAAATTTAAAAATTGACACAAATTGTATCTGTATATCATGTATAGCATAACGTTTTATCGTATATATATATTGTGGAATGACTAAATCTAGTCAATTAACATATGCATTCCCTCATATAGTTATCATTTTTGTGGTGAAGCATTTGCATCTGTTCGCTTCGCATTTTTTGAGAATAGGGTAACCATGCTGTACAATAGATCTCTTGAACTTTTTTCTCCTATCTAACTGAAATTTGGCATCCTTTGACCAACATCTCCTCAACCACCCAAGGCTATGGTATGGTAACCACTGTTCTACTTTCTTTTTCTTCCCTTCCCTTCCCTTCCCTTCCCTTTTCTTTCTTTCTTTCTTTCTTTCTTTTTTTTTTTTTTTTTTGGAGATGGAGTTTCACTCTTGTTGCCCAGGCTGGAGTGCTGTGGTATGATCTCGGCTCACTGCAACCTCCACCTCCAGGGTTCAAGCAATTCTCCTACCTCAGCCTCCCAAGTAGCTGGGATTACAGGCATGTGCCACCATGCCTAGCTAATTTTTGTATTATTAGTAGAGACGGAGTTTCGCCATATTGGCCAGGCTGGTCTCGAACTCCTGACCTCAGGTGATCCACCCGTCTTGGCCTCCCAAAGTGCTGGGATTACAGGTGTGAGCCACCACACTCGGCCACTCTACTCTCTTTTTCTATGAGTTCAACATTTTAGGATTCCACATATGAGTGAGATCATGCAGTGTTTGTCTTTCTGTATCTGGCTTATTTCCTGTAATATCATGTTCTCCGAGTTCATCCATGTGGTTGCAAATGGCAGGATTTCCTTATTTTTTTTGTGGCTGAATACTATCCCATTGTGATTATACTTTACTACCTGCCTGCTTATTTTTCTTCTTCCTCTTCTAAATACATATCAAGAGGGAAGTCTGAACAGAAAGAAACTCAGGATGGCGCACCCAAACTTTTTAAGCAATAGAAAGGCAAGGGGGTTTGCCCTAAGCAGCTCCCAGCTTGACTTTTCCCTTTGGCTTAGTGATTTTGGGGTCCCCAAATTTATTTTACTTTCACAAAGCCAACCCCACCAGATTCTCCAAGGCAGGCAGCCCATTGATAGCCACAAAAATCCACCTTCTGGGGTGCAGAGCAAGTCGGAGGGTTGCATTCTCTCTAACCCCTGGAGAAAGATGGAGGGTAGACTGGGCAGTTTGAGGGGAGTTGGGTCAAGGTGTGGTAGGGGGTAAAGAAACCATACAGGATTGCAGAATCCATGCAGTTACGTGGAGCAGTCAGCATCTGGGGGTTATTACCACTCCTGGGCAGATGCAGAGAGGGGAGGGAGCTGTTACTACTGGAACCTAGAGGGGGCTGCCAGCCAGGACCTTGTGCTCTGCAGTCTAGGGCCAATCTGCAGGGGGGATGCAGGGAGGCACCCCAGGAAATAAATACTCTGGCCTCACCCTCTTTCATCCCTCTTGCCTCCTGTAAGGGCTTCCCATTGCTTGAAGCCAACCAGAAGACAGAGGACAAGGCTTCTTGTTGGTTTGATCCATGAACCTGGACACAGAACAAGGGGAGGACAGATGGAGAACATCCCTGGAGGCCATCTTGAAGGTCTCCAGCATCATTTCGTGTGGAGCCCTAAGGAGTTAAAAGAAAACTTAAAGAATGGGCTTATCTGGGGTTGAGAGAAGCAAATGTTCTGAGAAATGGGGTCAACTGCAAAAGGCCCGCTAGCTTCTAGTGCTCAGCTCACAGCCCGCCTGCACCCAAGCATTCTGTTGCAAGTGCTCAGCTCACAGCCCACCTGCACCCAAGCATCTTATCTACAAGCTTTCAGCTCACAGCCCATCTGCACACAAGCATCTTGTTTGCAAGCACTCAGCTCACTGCCCACCTGCACCCAACCATCCTGTCTGCAAGCACTCAGCTGAAGGAGCACCACCTTATAAAACTTTCCCTCCAGCCCCTGACTCTTTTCAGACAGCAGACAACCTTCCTTCTGCTGTCTTACCCATTGCATCCTTGCAATGCATGTCCTCCTTTCTTTAATACATCTGCCTTTTAAAACTCACTCTTGTCTTGGTAAATTCCTTTACCCCTTGCATGCAGGCCTCAAACAGTTGTTGACCATGACATCTCTCACTAAGACAGAGTTGCCAGGGTGGCACCAGGCCTCCCCTCCCAGTACAATGCCGGGCAGAAAGCACATGTTAATAAATGTTGATGAAATAGCCAGGAATGAGAAGGAGATTGATTTTTTTAAATTATAAAATACACATAACATAAAATTGACCATTTGAAAGTTGACGGTTCAGTGACTTTAGTACATTTGCAGTGCTGTGCTACCGTCAGCATTATCAAGTTTGACTACAGCTTTCACCCCCCCAGAAGGAAACCCTCTACCCATCATCAGCAGTCACTCACCATTGCCCCCCGACTCCAGCCCTGGGCAACCACTAATTGGATGTCTATCTTTATGGATTTACCTGTGCTGGGTATTTTATATAAATATAAGTGCAGACTGAATTTGGGAGGGGGTATCCTGAATCCCTCAGTTCTGACTTTCCCTTTTTTACCTCCCCTGAAATTCTACTTTTAGACAATTCGCTTGCATATCAGGCCACTCTGGTAATGAAAGACAGGGGATCAGGACGGGGAGACCTGGTCCTCCTCCCACCTCCTCTGCTCCCTCTGGGGCCCTGGGAACGGTGGGGAAGCTGTTAGCCGATAATGAGACTCCCTCTCCTTTAATGACTCTGGGGGCTGCGGGGATGCCTCAGGCTAGCTCTGCCCTAATTAATTAATAGGGAGCGTTTCCCACAGAGGAATTAGCCTCAATTCCTCGGTCTCAGACTCTTCTTGGCTCAGCTCGTGTTCAAGCTCCACCTTGCAGCTGGGGCAGTCGTCTGGGACAGCCCGGGGTGCTCCGTCTGCACTGCCCTGCCCTCCTAATGCTAGGGCCAGAGTTGGAGCCTTTGGTCAGAGTGGACCTGGGGTGGCTGGAGGTTTGAGCCAGACAGATGTGGGCTCCAATCTAACCCTGCTCATTTTTTTTTTTTTTGAGACAGAGTCTTGCTCTGTAGCCCAAGATGGAGTGCAGTGGCATGATCTTGGCTCACTGCAAACTCCACCTCCTGAGTTCAAGCGATTCTCCTGCCTCAGCCTCCTGAGTAGCTGGGATTACAGGTGCGCACCACCTGTCTGCCTGCCTCGGCCTCCCAAAGTGCTGGGATTACAGGCGTGAGCCACTACACCCGGCCGTGACCCTGCTCTTTATTAATTCTGAGGCCTGCTGCTTAACCTCTTTGAGACCCTTCTTATCTGTAAAAGGGAGCTGGCAGCCTTTACTGTTGAGAGAGCAAGAGACTCACAAGGCCACAGTGAGGTTGAGATACCAGTCAGTCCCACATACAAAATATCAGGTAGCACCAAAAAACCGGCGACTAAGCTAAATAATACTCCAATGTCAATAATTAAAAACAACTCATGAAATTAATGCAAACAATCCATGGTTAACCCAAATAGCAGAATGTTCAAGATAGAATCAGTAAGAGTGCTGAACTGAGCCACACAGGAGCCTGAAAAGCAGAAGGCACTGGGCGCGTTGGCTCACGCCTGTAATCCCAGCACTTTGGGAGGCTGAGGCGGGTGGATCACCTAAGGTCAGGAGTTCAAGACCAGCCTGCCCAACATGGTGAAACCCCGTCTCTACTAAAAATACAAAAATTAGCTGGACGTGGTGGTAGGCACCTGTAATCCCAGCTACTCGGGAGGCTGAGGCAGGAGAATCACTAGAACCCGGGAGGCGGAGATTGCAGTGAGCCAAGATCACGCCACTGCGTGACAGAGCAAGACTCCCTCTAGAAAAAAAAAAAAAAGAAAAAAGCAGAAGGAAAAGTAGGAACTTTGGTCCTGTCTTGATTTAACATGTTGATCTATTTGTTCATTGTGGATTTTTTTGCATTCATTTTGATTTCTAAAAAGATTTCATTGAAATATTGTTTCTCTTTAATACCGAGGTTTTTTTGGTACTCCTTTACTTTTGTTTTATTGAAGTGAAATTTGTGTAATGTAAAATTGTCTTTTTTTTTTTTTTTGACACAGAGTCTCCCTCTGTCACCCAGGCTGGAGTGCAGTGGCGATATCTCGGCTCACTGCAACATCCTCCTCCCGGGTTCAAGCAATTCTCTTCCTCAGCCTCCTGAGTAGCTGGGATTACATGTGCGCATCACCACACCCAGCTAATTTTTGTATTTTTGGTAGAGATGGGGTTTCACCATGCTGGCCAGGGGGCTTGAACTCCTGACCTCTAGTGATCTATCCACCTTGGCCTCCCAAAGTGCTGGGATTACAGGTATGAGCCACCGCACCTAGTCAAATTAACCCTTTTAAAGAGTACAATTCCCAGTGTCCTGTAACTATCACCTCTATCTAGGTCCAGAACATTTCAATCGCCCCAAAAGGAAGTCTATACCCTTTAGCATCACTCATCATTTCTCCCGCCTGCAGCCCCTGGCAACCACGAATCTGCTTTCCAAATCTAGGATAGGATTTGCCTATTCTGGACATTTCATATAAATAGAATTATATACACTTATGTGGCCTTTTGTATCCGGCTTCTCTCACTCAGCATTATGTTTTTTAAGGTGTGTTTTAAAAATATTTTTATTTTAAAATTTTATTTAAATGACAGATAAAATTGTGTGTATTTGTTGTGTACAGCATGATGTTTTGAAATATACACACACACATTGTGGAATGGCTAAATCTAGCTCATCAATATGTGCATTGCCTTCCAAAGTTCACTTTTATGGTAAGAACATTTACAATCTACTCTCTTAGCATTTGTCTAGAATACACTGTATTGTTATTAACTAGAGTCACCATGTTGTACAACAGATCTCTTGAAATTATTCGTTTTTTTTTTTTTTTGTTTTGTTTTGTTTTTTGAGACAGAGTCTCACTCTTGTTGCCCAGGCTGGAGTGCAGTGGTATGATCTTGGCTCACTGCAACCTCCGCCTCCCAAGTTCAAGAGATTCTCCTGCCTCAGCTTCCTAAGTAGCTGCGATTATAGGTGTGCGCCACCACTCCTGGCTAATTTTGTATTTTTACTAGAGACAGGGTTTCACCACGTTGGTCAGGCTGGTCTCGAACTCCTGACCTCAGGTGATCCGCCTGCCTCGGCTTCCCAAAGTGCTGGGACTACAGGCATGAGCCACTGCACCCAGCCAAAATTATTCCTCTTTACCAACTGAAATTCGGTATCCTTTGACCAACATCTCCCCAATCCTCCAACTTGAGTCTCTGGTAATCATCATTTTATTCTCTGCTGTTATGAGTTCAATTGTTTTTAGATTCCACATGTAAGTGAGATCATGGTATTTGTCTTTCAGTGCCTGGCTTATTTCACCCAACATAATGTTCTCCAGGTTCATCAAAAGGAAATCCTGTCATTTGTTCATGTTGTCATAAATGACAGGATTTTCTTTTCTTACAACTGCATAGCATAGTACATTTAAAAATCCATTTCTCGGTGGACACTTAGGTTGCTTCCATATCTTGACTGTTGTGAATAACATTGCAATGAGCATGGGGGTGCAGATATCTCTTTGAGACACTGATTTCATTTCCTTTAGATATACATATCCAGTAGTGGGACTGCAGGATCATATGGTAATTCTATTTTAACTTTTTGAGAAACCTCCACACTGTTCTTCTATTTTTTCGAGACAGAGTCTTGCTCTGTTGCCCAGGCTGGAGTGCAGTGGCATGAACTTGGCTCACTGCAACCTCCACCTCCTGGGTTCAAGTGAATCTCCTGCTTCAGCCTCCCCAGTAGCTGGGATTACAGGTGCGCACCACCACGCCACGCTGATTTTTGTATGTTTAGTACAGATGGGTTTTCACCATGTTGGCCAGGCTGGTCTCGAACTCCTAACCTCAGGTGATCCACACCCCACCCCCCGCCACCCCACTCAGCCTCCCAAAGTTTTGAAATTACAGGCATGAGCCACTGTGCCCAGCCTCCATACTGTTTTTGTTTTGTTTTGTTTTTTATAATGGCTGTACTAATTTACATTCCCACCAACAGAGCACATGGGTTGTCTTTTCTCCGAATTCCCCTGACCACTTATCTTTTTTCTTTAAAAAAAATTTTTGGCCGGGCACGGTGGCTCACGCCTGTAATTCCACACTTTGGGAGGCCGAGGTGGGCGGATCACCTGAGGTCGGGAGTTCAAGACCAGCCTGACCAACATGGAGAAACCCCGTCTCTACTAAAAATACAAAATTAGCCAGGCGTGGTGGTGCATGCCTGTAATTCAAGCTACTCGGGAGGCCGAGGCAGGAGAATTGCTTGAACCCAGGAGGTGGAGGTTGCAGTGAGCCGAGATCACGCCATTGCACTCCAGCCTGGGCAACCAGAGTGAAACTCCTCCTTAAAAAATTTTTTTTAAAATAGATTTTGGGGGTTCAGTGCAGTTTTGATACATGGATATATTGAATACTCTTAAAGTCTAGGCTTTTAGTGTAGCCATCACCCAAATAATGTGTATTGTACCTAACAGGTAGTGTCTCATCCCTCAGCCCCCGACCCTCCCACCTTTTGGAGTTGCCGGTGTCTGTAAAACCATGGGTACCCATCGTTTAGCTCCCATTTGTGAGAACATTTGGTATTTGACTTTCTTCCTTCTTTTTTTAAAGACAGGATCTTGCTCTGTTGCTCAGGCTGGAGTGCAGTGGCACGATCATGGCTCACTGCAGCCTTGAGCTCCTCAGTTCAAGTGATCCTCCCACCTCTGCCTCCTGAGTAGCTAGGACTACAGGTGTGCACCACCACACCCAGGTAATTATTATTATTTTTTGTAGAGATGGGATCTTGCTATGCTGCCCAGGCTGGTCGTCTCCTACTCCTGAGCTCAAGGGATCCTCCCTCCTCAGCCTCCCACAGTGTTGGGATTACAGGCGTGAGCCACCACACCAGCTAGTATTTGACTTTCTGTTTCTGAGTTATTTCGCTTAAGATAATGGCCTCCAGCTCCATCCAAGTTGTTGCAACAGACATGATTTCATTCTTTTTTAATGGCTGAGTAGTATTCTATGGTGTATATTCTGACAGGTATTAGGTGATATCTCATTGTGGTTTTAATTTGCATTTCCCTGATGATTAATTATATTCAGCATTTTTTCTTTCATGAACCTGTTGGCCATTTTGTATGTCTTCTTTTAAGAAATGTCTGTTCAAGTCCTTTGCCCATTTTCTAATTGGGTTATTTGTTTTCTGAACATAAGGTTTCACAGAGCAGAAGCACCATCATCTTGGACAAACACAGCTACTTTAAGTTCCAGCTCCTTTTCTAGCCTCATGCATTTTAGGGAGATCACTTCTCTTCTAACTACAAGAAGACAGAAAGAGCAGACCATAAAACACAAATAAGACAGCTGGGGCACAGAGGGAGGTGGGGAGAAAGTCTCTTGGTTAACTGCCAAACTTCACCCTCATACAACGGGCCCCAGTAAAACAGTGGGCCTTAATAAACACATTCCTTTCCCTTCAGGTGCACTAAGATAGGGAAGCTAACAGCAGACTTGGGGAATATGCCAGAAGGCTCTCCACCTCCTGGGTTCAAGAAATTCTCCTGCCTCAGCCTCCTGAGTAGTTGGGATTACAGGTGTGCACCACCACGCCCGGCTGATTTTTGTATTGTTAGTATACATCTGTGGTCTCAGCTACTTGGGAGGCTGAGGCAGTAGGATTGCTTGAGCCCAGGAATTCAAAGCTGCAGTAAACTATGATTGCCCTACTGCACTTCAGCCTGGGCAACAGAGTCAGATCCTGTCTCAAAAAACCAAACCAAAACAAATAAAAAAGCCAAAACCGAAAAGGCAGGCTCTGCTGGACTAGGCTCCCTGAGTTGCTTTGCAAATGCTTTCTAGCTGGGCATGGTTTGAGTCTGAGCTGCTGTGGAACATACTGGGGGAGACTCATGATGTACTTGCTGGGCTTCAAACAGCACAGGCATATTCTGCTCAGAGTCTCTGCATTTGCTGTTCCCGCTACCTGGATTGCTCTTCCTGTAGTCATCCTCCCTGCTCACTTCCTTATCTGCTTTGCGTCTTTGCTCAAATATCACCTGCGCACTCGGACATTCACTAACTGCTTAATGAAGACTGTGACTCTCTCCTCACCCTCCATATATTCTTTTCCTGATTATAATTATTATTTTTAATTAAAAAAAATTTTTTTTTTCCGAGACAGAGTCTTGCTCTGTCGCTCAGGCTGGAGTGCAGTGGTGCGATCTCAGCTCACTGCAACCTCTGCCTCCTGGGGTTCAAGCAATTCTTCTGCCTCAGCCTCCCGAGTAGCTGGGATTACAGGTGTGCACCACCATGCCTGGCTAATTTTTGTATTTTCAGTAGAGACGGTATTTCGCCATGTTGGTCAGGCTGGTCTCGATCTCCTGACCTCATGATCCGCTCACCTCGGCTTCCCAAAGTGCTGGGATTACAGGTGTGAGCCACCGCATCCAGCCCTCATTATTGTTTTTTCCCCATAGGACTTATCACCATCTGACAATGGTTTGCAAAGTGTAGCCTGCAAATCCCCAGGTGTGGCAGCCTTGAGACCATTCAGGGGGTCTGCAAGGTCAAAATGATTTTAATAATCATTCTAAGATATTATTTGCCTTTTTTCACTGTGTTAGTCTATGCACTCATGGAGCAAAAGTAAGGGCGAGTAACAGTGTCTATCATGTAAGCGTGAATCAACGCAGCAGCACCAAACTGTACTAGGGGTCATTATATTCTTCATTGCCACACACTCATGGTTTTAACAAAAGCCAGTTTCAGGCCAGGTACAGTGACTCATGCCTGTAATTCCAGCACCTTGGGAGGCCGAGGCAGGAGGATCACTTGAGTCCAGGAGTTTGAGACCCAGTCTCTACAAAAAAGTAGAGGAAAAATTAGCCAGACCTGGTGGCGCACACCTGTATTCCCAGCTACTCAAGAGGCTGAGGTGGAAGCATCACTTGAGCCCAGGATGTCAAGGCTACAGTGAGCTATGATTGCACCACTGCACTCCAGCCTGGGTGACAGAGGGAGACCCTGTCTTAAAAAAAAAAAAAGCCAGTTTCATTTAGGCTTGTACTTGATAAAGCAATACAATTATTCATTTTATTAAATCCTTTTTTTTTTTTTGAGACGGAGTTCACTCTTGCCGCCCAGGCTGGAGTGCAATGGTGCAATCTCGGCTCACTGCAAACCTCTACCTCCCAGGTTCAAGCAATTCTCCTCCCTCAGCCTCCATAGTAGCTGAGATTACAGGCACCCCCCACCATGCTGGGCTAATTTTTTTTTGTATTTTTAGTAGAGACGGGGTTTCACCATGTTGGCCAGGCTGGTCTTGAACTTCTGACCTTAGGTGATCCACTCACTTTGGCCTCCCAAAGTGCTGGGATTACAGGCATGAGCCACTGTGTCTGGCCCATTTTATTAAATCTTGACTCTTGAGTATATGTCTTTTTAATATTCTGTGTGATGCAACGGGAAGTATGGATAAAAAATTTTTCTACACACAGAAGTATCATGGTAGCTGTCTCCAAGACAAAAAAAAAAAAAATTACTGCTTGTGTGAGTGTTTGAATTGCAAGCTGAACCAGCTACTTTTTTTCATGGAATTCCATTTTTAGACAGACAAACCTCAGCTATTCTGACATGGTGTATTAGTCTGTGTGTGTGTCTGTTGTTGTTTTTTTTCTTTTTTGAGACAGAGTCTCGCTCTGCTGCCCAGGCTGGAGTGCAGTGGTGTGATCTCGGCTCACTGCAACCTCCACCTCCTGGGTTCAAACAATTCTTCTGCCTCAGCCTCCTGAGTAGCTGAGTGGTATGCACCACCATGCCCAGCTAATTTTTGTATTGTAAGTAGAGATGGATTTTTGCCATATTGGACAGGCTGGCCTCAAACTCCTGGCCTCAAACGATCCTCCCTCCTTGGCCTCCCAAAGGCTGGGATTATAGGCGTGAGCCAAGTGCCCGGCCAGACTGTTTGCATTGCTATAAAGGAATATCTGAGACTGGGTAATTTATAAAGAAAAGTGCTTTATTTTGGCTCACAGTTCTGCAGGCTGTACAGGAAGCATGGCACTGGCATCTGTTTCTGGTGAGGGCCTCAGGCAGCTTCCAGTCATGGTGGAAGGTGAAGGGGAGCAGAAATGTCAAATGGTGAGAGACAGCAAGAAAGAGAGAGGGAGGAGGTGTCAGGCTCTTTTAAACAGCGAGCTTTCCCATGAACTCATAGAGTGAGAACTCACTCATTACCAGGAGAATGGCAGCAAGCCATTCACAAAAAATCCACCCCCGTGACCAAAACACCTCCTACTAGGCCTGCCTCCAACACTGGAGGTCACATTTCAACATGAGATTTGGAGGGGACAGAACATCCAAACCACATCAAAGGAGGTTTGACAGACATTTTTGCAAAAATGAAAGAAATATATCTGTCACTTCAAGGAAAATGATTCACAGTCATTATTGTCAATGATAAAATTTGCACTTTTTACGCCTGTAATCCCAGCACTTCGGGAGGCCGATGCGGGCGGATCACCTAAGGTCAGGAGTTCAAGACCAGCCTGGCCAACACGGTGAAACCCCGTCTCTACTAAAAATACAAAAATTAGCCAGGCATGGTGGCACGCACCTGTAATCCCAGCTACTCAGGAGGCTGAGGCAGGAGAATTGTTTGAACCCAGGAGGTGGAGGTTGCAGTGAGCCGAGATCACACCACTGCACTCCAGCCTGGGCAGCAGAGCGAGACTCTATCTAAACAAACAAACAAAAAAATTGCACTTTTGAGTGAAAATTATAATTTTTAAAAATTTGTATTCACGACTCTGAGAACTTCCCAACACTTTAAAACTTTCCATGAGATCAGTGATGATATTAACAAACATGACTTTTTGCTATTGCATAATGAAATGTGTTAATATGTAGCAGATCTGTAACTAGTGAGCTAACATTTTTCAAATGACGAATGCATGAGGTTTCAAAATCATGCATGGTTAAAAGACGAGCTTAATGGATTTTAATATTAACAGAATGCAAGAATTCACGGACAGGGTTTCCAATTCTGCATTGCAACTGTTCTTGAAGAAACTAAAATATGTAGCATTTTGGTGTCGTCTCAAAGAATAGACACAGTTACCTGAAAAGCTGATTAAAATAATCTTCCCTTTTCAACTGCCTGTCTGTGTAAGACTGAATTTTTTTCATGTATTTCAACCAAAACAATATACCATTACAGATTCAATGCAGAAGCAGATACAGTTGATTTTCATGATTCATGGTAGTTATATTCTATGAAGTTGCTTTTTTTTTTGTTTTTTATTTTAGAGATGGAGCTTTGCTCTTGTTGCCCAGGCTGGAGGGCAATGGCACGATCTCGGCTCACCACAATGGTGCGATGTCAGCTCACTGCAACTTCCGCCTCCTGGGTTCAAGTGATTCTCCTGCCTCAGCCTCCCAAGTAGCTGTGACTACAGGCAAGCGCCACCATACCTGGCTAATTTTGTATTTTTAGTAGAGACGGGGTTTCTCCATATTTGTCAGGCTGGTCTCAAACTCCTGACCTCAGATGATCCGCCCGCCTCAGCCTCCCAAACTGCTGAGATTACAGGCATGAGCCACCGCACCCAGCCCTATAAAGTTGCTTTGAACACTGAAGTAGCAAATACTAAATCACTGCTTCCAGGGGGAAGTACAAGATTTAGTTTCTGTAAGCACCTGGTCACAACATTTTTGTCAACTGATATATACTTTGTTTTATTTGTGTTTTTGTTTAAAGACTCCATATTTAATATATGTTGCTGATTCATTAACATTGAGCTCATGGCCAACAGTACTAGAAGTTATGTCTGAGCATAGCTTACCTAACATACATATTGTCTCTGTAAGGCACGTCACAGCCTTACAGCCTTACAGCCTTTTTTTTTTTTTTTTTTTTTTTGGTGTTGTTGTTCTTGTTGTTGTTGTTTTTTAGAGCTAAAATCTTGCTCTGTCGCCCAGGCAGGAGTGCAGTGGTACGATCATAGGTCACTGCAGCATCAACCTTCCAGGCTCAAGCGATCCTCCCGCCTCAGCCTCCTGAGTAGCTGGGACCACAGGCACGCCCCCCATACCTGGCTCATTTTAAAATTTTTTGTGGAGATGGGGGAGTCTCAATATGTTGCTCAGGCTGGTCTCAAACTCCTGGGCTCAAGTAATCCTCCTGTCTTGGCTTCCCAAAGCGCGGCTGGGATTGCAAGTGTGAGCCACCACACCCAGCTACCCCACAACCTTCTAGAGCTTAGAAACACACTGAGCACTTCAGCTTAGAAACGCTAGACAGCACTTCAGCAAAGTGCTCAGGACCATTTTAAACAGCGAAATCAACAAAAAACATGAAAGTTAGAAAAGTATGGCACTAAACAGGCCACAAATAGGATGCTTGTTCACTGTATGAGCTGAAACAAGATAACAGAGCATGGTTCTTTTGCACCTCAGCTACAAATGTTCACGCCGTGCAGCTCAAAATGTTAATCTCTCTGCAAATGACCCAGAAAAATGTCAGAATCTCCGCAAGTATTAATTTTGGGGTCACAAATACATGTTAGTGAGTGAGTGACTTTGCAAATACAGAATCCGTGAATAATGAAAATCAACTGTATAAAAATTCCGTTTCCTTTTGATGAAGGTAGCCATTAAAGCAATTTGAAAAAGTGTAAAACAATGTCACTCTTCTTTTTTTGTTCTTGTTTTGGAAAATACAGTTATTTTTCGTAAAAATATGCTATTTTATGTTAACATGTAGTAGGTTTATTTTTGTTATGTTAAAATGAATAAATGTTGAAACACTTTTTCAGTTTTAATTTCTGATACTGTAAAGATCAATAGCTATAACCTATATAAAGAAAAGCTCTTTGGGATCTCCCAGGATCTTTTTAAATTAAGACACAGTTTCTGAGAACAGTTTTAGATTTACATAAAAAATGAAAAGATAGTACAGACAGCTCCCATATGCTCCCTTGACTTAGTTTCACTTGTTATTAATATATTTCATTAGTATGGCACATTTGTATAATTACCATATTGTAATATTGATATATTATTATATTGATACATTATTAACAAAATGTTATTGTTACAGATAACTTTTTTTGAAACAGAGTCTTACCCTGTTGCCCAGGCTGGAGTGCAGTGGCACGACCTTGGCTCACTGCAAACTCTGCCTCCGGGGTTCAAGTAATTCTCTTGCCTCAGCCTCCCGAGTAGCTGGGATTACAGGCACCCGCCACCATGCCTGGCTAATTTTATATTTTTAGTAGATACGGGGTTTCACCAGGTTGGCCAGGCTGGTCTCGAACTCCTGACCTCTAGTGATTTGCCCACCTCGGCCTTCCAAAGGGCTGGGATTACAGGTGTGTGCCACCATGCCCGGCCAATATGGATACATTATTATTAGCGAAAGCCCATACTCTATTCAGATTTCCTAATTTTTTCCTTATATCCTTTTTCTTTTCTAGGATCTCACATTACGTTTTGTTGTCATATCTTCTTAGACTCCTCTCGGCTGTGACAGTTTCTCAGACATTCCTTGTTTTCTCATTTTTAAATTTTATTTTTTTTTTTAGAGACAGGGTCTCGCTCTGTTGCCCAGGCTGGAGTGCTGTGGCACAATCATAGTTCACTGCAAACTCAACCTCTTGGACTCAAGCGGTCCCAGATTCAACCTCTTGGACTCAAGCGGTCCTCCTGCATCAGCCTCCTGAGTATCTGGGACTACAGGCACCTGCCACCAAACCCTGCTCCACATGTTCCTTAATTTTTAATGACTGTTTTGAAGAGGACTGCGCAGGTAGATTATCGGATGCCTCTCTATTGAAATTAGTCTGATGTTTTTCTCATGCTTAGGCTTGAGTTATGGTTTCTTTGGGATCCTCCCTGATTGTTACGGGTGTAAAGGGCTTGCAAGGCCAATTGCCAGGGAACAACTGCTATTTTATTTACTTATTATTTTGCGTGACAGACCGAGGGCTCTGTTGTCTTCGCTGCTGAGTCTCCAGCCTCTAGCACATCCAAGTGCACAGTAAGTATTTGTGGAGTGAATGACCGTAAGAGGCAGGAGTTCAGGGGCAGCTCTAGGTTCAAGAAGGATGCAGAATCGTCTAAGCACAGTGAGTGACTGAAGCAGCGGAGTGAGAAGGCTGCAGAGAGGGGTTGCCAATGTGGTCCAGGGGAATCTGACATCTAGGACAGAGATTCAGCCTTAGCCATACATTGGGGAGCATTCAAATATACTGATGCCTGGGTCCCACTTCCAGGTATGCTGATGTGCTTGGTATAGGGTGTGGCTTGGGCATCAGATATCTTTTCTTTTCTTTCCTTTTTTTTTTTTTAGACAAGGTCTTGCTCTGTTGTCCAGGCTGAAGTGCAGTGGCACAATCATAGCTCACTGTAACCTCAAATTCCTAAGCTCAAGTGACCCTCCTGCCTCAGCCTCCTGAGTAACTGGGACTACAGGTGTGTGCCCAGCTAATTTTTTGATTTTTTTTTTTTAAATAGAGACAGAGTCTTGCTATGTTGCCCAGGCTGATCTTGAACTCCTGGGCTCAAGTGATCCTCTCTCCTTGGCGTCCCAATGTGCTGGGATTACATGCATGGGCCACTATGTCAGGCTGGCTTCAGAATTTTTAAAACCTCTCCAGGTAGTTTTAAAATACAGCTAAGTTTGAGAATCACCTATCTAGGAGTTGTTGCAAAGAAGCAGAGCCAGGGCGATGCATGCAAAGAATTAGAATTGGGGCATCTGTTTCCTGGCTGTGTGACCTTGGACAAGTTATTGAACCTTTCTGAGCACCTGTCCCCGCCCTGAAAATAGAGGAAGTGATATATACTTTATAGGAGTGTGTAGATTAAATATAAGTATTAATAAAAGAGCCTGCCTAGTTCAGGAGGTCGCCATCAACACTTCATCAACAACAACAACAATAATAAAAAACATTGAACGTGCACTGACTTTTTTTTTTTTTTTTTGACGGAGTCTCGCTCTGTCACCCAGGCTGGAGAGCAGTGGTGCGATCTCGGCTCACTGCAACCTCCGCCTCCTGTGTTCAAGTGATCCTCCCGCCTCGGCCTCCCAAAGTGCTGGGATTACAGGCGTGAGCCACCGTGCCCAGCCTGCACTGAGTTTTTATTCATACGACAGACCTGATGCTCAGATCTTTAAATGGCATTAGCTCTCAGGAGAGGCAGAAGATGTGGGAAGCAACCAAGTCATTGCCTTTCGAGAAGAAAAGTCGAGTGCACCTTGCCTGGTGTGCTCTAAAGACAGCAAAGAATAATATTAATTACAATAGGAACGACATTATCCATCTCCCATTTGCCCAGTGCTTCGCGCTGGCACGGAGCATTTCCAGCCTCACGCGCTTTAATTTTCTCAGCTTTAATTTTCTGTGGGGTCGGCCAAGCCATCTTCCTTGTTTAGCGGAGGAAGCCAGGCTCAGAGAGGGAGAGGAGTTGGCCCAAGGGCACACAGCAGCCAAGTGGCCAAGGCCGGAAGGTGCACCCGCAAGGAGAAGGGGGCAGCGGAGCCCTCTCCCTGGCTGTTGTTACTGGGACACTAGAGCCGCGCCTTCCCCAGGCCTCCGCCGAGGCTGCTGGAGCGGGTCCCGCGGTGCCAGGGCCTGTTCCCCGCGCTCCGCCAGGGATGCTGGGGCCTCCGAGGGCTCCGGAGGCGGTTTAGGGGGCGGGGGCGCGGAGGCGCGGCTCCGAGCAGGGGGCGGGGGCTGGATGCCGGAGAGGCCACTCACCCCCGCCCACCCCCAGTCCCCCTCCCTTCGCAAGCACGCTGTCCCCCTTCTCCCACACGGCTGCGGAGCCTGGGCTGGGCGCGGGGGAGGCGGAGGGCATCGCGGAGGGGATCCCGCCCCCTCCCCCGGCCGCTCGGTGCCCCCACACCCACGTGAGCGCAGGGCCGGCCCGGATCCCTCCCGCAGCATAGCGCGTCCCGGCTCCGCGCCGGTGCCTCCACGGTCCGGTCCCCGCGCCGGTGCTGCACAGTCCCTGGCGGGTCCCCGCGGCCCCGGCCGGGCGCTTCGCCGGGCTCCGGCTCCTGCATCCGGGCGCAGCGCGCAGGCCGAGGCGCGGGCAGGCCGCCCCCGCCGCTCCGGACGCCGGTGAGTGGGGACTCCGCGGCTCGGCGCGGGGACTCGGTGTGGCTGCGGCGCGGAGGTTGCGGGCAGGTGGGGGATCCGAGGCGCTGGGGTCAGGCGTGTGGGGCGCTCCCTGCGCCCACGTCCCCACTTCTCCGCCGCCCTTTGTCTCTGAGCTCCTGCTTGCCCCTTAGAGCCGTTGCCACCGCTTTTCTCCTGGTCGTTCTGGTGAGTTTCCTATCCCCTTAGTTATCCCCGGGTCTCCCTGCCCGTCTCCCCACCTCCCCAACCCGTGGCCTCCGCACACAGGCACGTTTCCAGCACCGAGCCCGATGCCTTGTGCATTTATAGGGCTCGGTTGCCTTCTCTGTCAGAGGGCTTATTTCACCAATTTCAGATGTATCTGATGTGGCTGAGGCTGCAGAGGGTCTGGGCATTAGTGTGTGTGTGTGTGTGTGTGTGTGTGTGTGTGTGTGTGTGTGTGTGACAGAGAGAGAGAGAGACTGAATTTGTGAGTGGGATCGCCGTCCTGAACAGGTGTGTGGAGCTGAATGTTTAAATGTGAGGATGATTTTGAAAGTCTGAAGTTTGTGTTTTGTGCCCTAAAGAGTGTGTGTGTGTGTGTTTCTGTGTGTAGGTAGGAATTGTATGGCTGTCACTGCCTCTGTAAGATTTAATTCATGAAGGGTAGTTGTGCAGAGCCACGAAGGTGTGTGTGGTTGTGTGCCTGAGGGTGTACATGAATGTGTATGTGTGTGTGCAGAATTGTATGACTGCATGCCTGGAATTGCATTTCTGAAGGTGTGGGTGGTTGCGTGCCTGAGGGTGTACATGAATGTGGCAAGTGTATGTGTGAGTGTGTCTGTGTGCAGAATTGTACAACTGTGTGCCTGGAATTGCATTTCTGAAGGTGTGTGGTTGTGTGCCTGAGGGTGTACATGAATGTGGGAAGTGTGTGTGTGTAGGGATTGTATGACTGCATGCATGGAGCTGCATTTCTGAAGGTTTGTGTGGGTGTGTGTGTGGTTGCATGTCTGAAGAGTTTGCATGTGACTGTGTCTGTCTGGGGTTGTGGATATGTCAATTGCATACAAGAGGTTTTCGAGGTTATGTGTGCGTGTGTGTGTCTGAGTGTGTGTGATGTACTTGGTTTCCATGCCGTCTCTCTCTTCCCTCACTCACTCCTCTGGCTAGCATAGCATTGACATAAAATGTACAGAAAGCATTTTCAGTTTGCTCACTGTAGCTTGCTTTAGTTTTAGGGATGTAAGAGGCTCCGAGAAGCAGCCCACACATCTCATCAGATCTAAGTGTCTAGAGGTCGGGAGAACCAAGTGGGAAAGACCCACCCTCACCCCTCACCCTGTAGAAACTGGGAACACTAGAAGGGACATTTTCTGAGCAGGAAACCCAAGAGGTAGGTCCAAAAGAAAGCCTAGACCCAGGAAAGCCTAGAAAAGAGAGAGCCCAGGGTGGGGGAGAAGAGAGAGACCCAGAGAGGCCCAAGTGGAGTCTAAGATCACATTTCAAGTCAAACATTTTTTAAAACTAGTATTATTATTAATTGACAATCATGATGGTATATACTTATAAGTGATGCAGACAGGACTGAGAAAAATTGATAGTAAGACATTCTCACACTGTAGCATTTTACTCTATTCTTAATTTTGTGTGAGTTAGGTTTCTGCTTTTTATCAACCACAGTTGGCAACTATTTTATGGTCATCAGGTGCTAAGATGCTGTTTTCTTTTCTTTTAGACAGGGTTTTACGCTGTCACCCAAGTTGGAGTGCAGTGGTACGATCATAGCTCATTGCAGCCTCAAACTCCTGGGTTCAAGCGATCCTCCTGCTTTAGCCTCTTGAGTGGCTAGGACTACAGGCACAGGCCACCGTGCCTGGCTAATTTTTAATTTTTAAAAAAGAGACAGGGTCTGGCTATGTTGCCCAGGCTGGCCATGAACTCCTGGGCTCAAGCGGTTCTCCAGCCTTCACCTCCCAAAGTGTTGGGATTGCAGGCATGAGCCACTGCGTCTGGCCCACAGATGCTAAGTGCTGTCTGCTCTTCTCCAGGGGTCAGCAAATTTTTTCAGCAAATGGCCCAAGAGTAAACATTTTGAGCTTTGTGGCCCGTACAATCTCTGTCCCAACAACTCAACTCAGGCATTGTAGCTTGAAAGCAGCTGTAGACAATAGGTAATGCATGAGTGTGGCTGTGTGCCAATAAAACTTTATTTACAAAAACAAGCAGTAGGCTGAATTTGACTAGCAGACCATAGTTTGTCAATACCGTATTATGTCTTGTAAGGAAGAGAAAGGAACCGGACAAAACTCTAGCCTCGGGAGTTTTCCTGACTGTTCAGATCTTAGCTGAATGATCTCCCTTGGTATCTACAGGCAACTTCCTGCTGTGGCTTAGGGACTGGAAACATAATATCCCAGAGGGATTCCCTGTGTAGTCTGTGGTTCACTCTTTGGGATTTTTTTTTTTTTTTTTTTTCACAGCAAGGAGAAGCAGCATTGTGGTTTCAGGAGATGGGTCCATTTGGAGCAGGATCCTAAGTGGGGCTTGGCATTGGGAATTTGGATTAGCTCTAGAGGACGCAGGATCTGGAAAATCAGGGCAGATTTCCCATCCCTTGGATATGGTGGGGAGTTGAGGAGGGCAAGGAAGATCCCAGAAAAGCCAGTGGCAGCAAAACACAAAGGCCAGGGACCTACGTACTGGTAAAACTGAGACCTCCAAGAAACCTGCAGCTCGACCTGGTTGAATTCAGGTACTGGGGGTGTGGCTGGGGTGCGGGTGAGAAAAAATATCAGGGAGCCTTGATCCCTTAGGAAGTAGATGGGGGGCAGCCGGGCGCTGTGGCTCATACCTGTAATCCCAGCACTTTGGGAGGCCGAGGTGGGTGAATCACCTGAGGTCAGGAGTTCGAGACCAGCCTGGCCAACAGTGAAACCCCGTCTCTACTAAAAATACAAAAATACTAAAAATAAGTAAACATGTGGTATTACACTTTGCTTCTGAATTATTGCACTTAAGAGAATGGCCTCCAGTTGTATGTGTGTTGCTGTAAAAGACACTTTATTATGGCTGATTACTATTCCATGATATACATAATGAAACATAGATAAAATACTGTAATCAACAATGTAGCAAGAAAATGTGATATTGATATAAATGTGATACAGATCTATTTATCTATAATATGATAAACTTATCTATATCACATTTTCTTTAATCGTCCATTGGTGGACACTTAGGTTGATTCCATATCTAGGCGATTGCGAATATTGCTGTGATGAAACATGCCAGTGCAGATATCCTTTTGATACAATGATTTGTTTTCCTTGGGGTGGATATTCAGTAGGGAGGTTTCTGGATGGGATGGAGTTCTTTGAGAAATCTCCATACTGTTGTCCTTTCCACTGGGTAGATCGAAAGGGAGCCCATGGGAGAGGGAGCCTAAGAGTGGGTCTAGAAGGAAGAACAGAATTCTCAGTATGCCTGGAAGAAGGGCACCACCCTTTCTTGGTTATGAGAACAGTGTAGGTTAGGAGGTATAGTACCTATAGCACACAGTGCTTTTAGGGACCCACAGAAAAGTCCCCTTCCCTTTCCTTCCCTTCCCCCTTCCCTTTCCTTCCCTTCCCTTCCCTTCCCTTTCCTTCCCTTCCCTTCCCTTCCCTTTGTCCCCTTCCCTTCCCTTCCCTTTGTCCCCTTCCCTTCCCTTCCGTTCCCTTCCCTCCTTTCTTTCTTTTTTTTTTTTCCTTTTTTTTTTTTTTTGACAAAGTCTGGCTTTGTCACCCAGGCTGGAGTACAGTGGTGCAATCTTGGCTCACTGCAACCTCTGCCTCCTGGGTTCAAAGCGATTCTCCTGCCTCAGCCTCTGGAGTAGCTGGGATTACAGGCGTGTGACACATCCAGCTAATTTTTGTATTTTTCATAGAGATGGGGTTTCGCCATGTTGGCCAGGCTGGTCTCGAACTCCTGACCTCAAGTGATCTGCCCACCTCGGCCTTCCAAATTGCTGGGATTACAGATGTGAGCCACTGCGCCCTGGCCGTTTTCATTTTTTTTGCTTCCCTTTTATTTTGAGTTGATACAAAATACTTGTACATATTGATGGGATACAGTGACATTTCGATACATGCATACAATGCGTAAAGATCAAATCAGGGTAATTAGCACATCCATCATCTCAAACATTGATCATTTCTTAATGTGTGAATGCTCAGAACCTTCTCTACTGGCTTTTTGGAAAATATAGAATAAATGATCATTAACCATAGTCCCTCTACGGTGCTGCAGAACACCAGAACTCATTCTTTCTATCTAGCTGTAGTTTTGTATCTGTTAACCAACCTCTCCCCATCCTCTCCTCCCGCCTACCCTTCCCAGCCTCTAATACAATTCTACTATTTCCCTGATGTTTTCATCTCTTTCAAAATCAGAAGACAGAAACAAGCATTTAGGTGAAAGAATGTTATAATGTAGAATATTAACATATTCATTTTAATTTTTAATTTTTTTAGGGTGGGTGCGGTGTCTCATGCCTACAATCCCAGCACTTTTGGAGGCTGAGGTGGGAGGATCACTTGAGCCCAGGAGTTGGAGGCTGCAGTGAGCTGCACTCCTGCCTGGTTGACAGAGCGACATTCTGTCTCAGGTCTTGAACTCCTGGGCTCAGGTGATCCTCCCCACTCAGCCACCCAAGTAGCTGGGATTACAGGCATGAGCCACAGCAGCTGGCTCAATTTTTAAAATTGAGGGGAATTCACATAACACAAAAGCAACCATTTGAAAACATATAATTCAATAGCATCTAGTATTTTCATTATGTTGTGCAATAATTGTCACCTCTATCTCGTTCTGAAATAACATATTTTTCTTTATATGAATGCAGTTGTGAAATAGAATTTTAATGTAGGCTTTTTTTTAATGAAGGAAGGGGTGCACAAAGAGAAAAGTTCCTCAGGCCCATGAAAATCACAATTTCTGAGCCGCCCTGTACACGTGAGGTGTTTAGTTGGTAGACAGATGGGCAAGTTTTAATTTTTATATGCATTTTATTTAATGTTGATGAAAAATATAATTCACATTTCAAGTAGGGGTCTAAAGTTTCCATTTTAGATACATTTTTAATTTTAATTTTAAAAGTATTTATTTATTTTTATTTTGAGACAGAGTCTCACTCTGTCGTCCAGGCTGGAGTGCTGTGGTGCGATCTCGGTTCACTGCAACCTCCACCTCCTGGATTCAAGTGATTCTCTTGCCTCAGCCTCCCGAGTAGTTGGGACTACAGGCACCTGCCACCACGCCTGGGTAATTTTTGTATTTTTAGTAGAGGCGGTGTTTCACTGTGTTGGCCAGGCTGGTCTCGAACTCCTGAGCTCAAGTGATCTGCCCGCTTCGGCCTCCCAAAGTGCTGGGATTATAGGCGTGAGCCACCACGCCTGGTTCGGTACTGTTTTTTAGGTAAGTGAATAAGGACACATGGATATGGCCAAATATAAAGAGGAGACGCAAAAGCCTGCAGTTTGGGAAACATCAGTACAGTGCCTGCCACCCCAGAGGGGCTCATGAACATCACACTGTGGCCAAGAATCATTATCATTTCATTCCCAAGGGACTCCCCGCTCTCCTGACTCCCCGCTCTCCCTGTTGCTCACCTGGGCATTCAGGCAGAATAGCTGCATTTACTGGGCACCTGCTGTTTGCCAGGCACCTGCTGATTTTGTCCTTGTGAAAAGCCTCCAGGCTGGACACAAAACCGTCCTAATTTGGGGGACTAGCCTCCGGGTGCTTTGTCTAGGGCTCCGTATGCAGCTGGCACTTCACAAAGGCTTGTTAATTTCCCTTGAGCCACTGGGGCAGCCCCCAGAGGCTTGTGATGATCTCAGTGAAATAAGAGTGGGCTGGAGTCAGGGTGTGTCAAAAAGGTCCATTATTTTTGTGGTTTCCTCCTCTTCCCAGCCATTCTCAGGAATGATTCTGGAGACTTGACGTTTTCCTGCCAAGACCTGTCCTTAGAACCGGGCACATCGCAACAGACTTACCTTCCCCCTCCCCTGCCATTTTGTTTTTAGTTATATTTTTATTTACTTGTTGTTCTTAGAGACAGGGCTGTGCTCTGTCACTCAGGCTGGAGTGCAGTGGTGCAGTCACAGCTCACTGCAGCCTCAAACTTCTGGGCTCAAGCGATCCTCTTGCCTTGGCCTTAGAAAGTGTTGGGATTACAGGTGTGGGCCACTGCGCCTGGCCTTTGTGCTTTTTTGGAGGGGTGGAGGTCTCACTATCTTGCTCAGGCTGGGAAGATCATAGATCACTGTAACCTTGAACTCTTGGGCTCAAGTGATCCTCCTGCCTCAGCCTCCCAAATATTTAGGACTACCACCCCTAGCTGCCCAGGCCAGTCTTGAACTCCTGGGCGCAAGTGATTCTCCTGCCTCTGCCTCCCAAAGTGCTGGGATTACAGGCGTGAGCCAAAACACCCAGCCACCCCCGCCTTCTGAGAGTCCTCAGGAAGCGCTCATTACCCTTCGCAGCCTTCGCCATCTGCCCACGCCGGCCTTCTGTCCTGGCCCTCACCAGCCCCAGGCTTCTCTGTTTCCCGCAGATAGACCATGAGCAGCCATGGCAACAGCCTGTTCCTGCGGGAGAGCGGCCAGCGGCTGGGCCGGGTGGGCTGGCTGCAGCGGCTGCAGGAAAGCCTGCAGCAGAGAGCACTGCGCACGCGCCTGCGCCTGCAGACCATGACCCTCGAGCACGTGCTGCGCTTCCTGCGCCGAAACGCCTTCATTCTGCTGACGGTCAGCGCCGTGGTCATTGGTGAGCTCTGCCTCTTGGAGGGCGGGGACTTCAGGGAAAGGCGGGGACTTCAGGGAAATTCCTGGCCTCTACACATCTCTTTGCTGCACCCCTTCATTCTCACCTGCACACACGTCCCAGTCCCACCAGTCACCCTCAACCCCCCACATAAAGACACACCACACAGATGAATACACATGTGTGCAAACACAACTGTGTGTGCACACAATGTTACATGCATATCCATGTGTACACACACACTCACATATATACATATACAATGTACAAACACTTTACTATGCACACACACATATGCGTGCATTGAACTTATAGGTGCAAACACAAACATGCACACTTGTGCATGTATGTTGGAACTTATAAACACATTCACATCTCTACATGCATTCTCTTGAGTACACGTGCACACACTTATGAGCTTAAGAACACGTACACTCCCATGTTTGAAAATAGTAAGATACACACAAATCACACCTATAGATGTCCAGGAAAACACCTGTGCAGATTCATGTGTATATGCCCCTGTATACAGACACCTATACCTGTTCACAAGTGAATGTCTACCGTCACATATCCTGGATATATACACACACATTTACACATTTACATTTGCACAGACACGGACACACATTTACACAATATCAATATGGTAACCCATACATGCATACATTTCTACAATGTCTGCACACATCAGTGCACACACAAATACACACACTCATAGGATATTTCTCTCCCTCACTCCCACCCTTGCCCTACCCTTCTTGGGATGGATGGACCCTGCCTGGGGCTGAGCGACCCAGACTTCAGTCCATGGACCCCTTCTTTTGGCCCTAGGGGTCAGCCTGGCCTTTGCCCTGCGCCCATATCAGCTCACCTACCGCCAGATCAAGTACTTCTCTTTTCCTGGAGAGCTTCTGATGAGGATGCTGCAGATGCTGGTGTTACCTCTCATTGTCTCCAGCCTGGTCACAGGTGAGAGAGCCCAGGCCAGTGTTGGCCTCCAAGACCCGTCTAGAGCCTCAGCTTGAACCCAGAGCCAAGGCCATCCCAAGCATGGGACCACTTCCTTGACGCGGCACCTCAAACATGGAGCCTGTGTCTGGTCCAGCGTCCTTGGCCAAACAAAGCCCAGGTCCCAATCGGTCCCAGGTTCCAGACCCCATATGACCCCACACCACTCATCTCAGTAGGCTTCCTGTCCTTTTCCTTGGAGGTAAAATGCCAGCCTGCAAGGGGCTTAGTATCACAAAGAAGTGAGAGAAAGTCTTGGAAGGGCAACCAGGGAGGGTGGCTGGGCTATGGTATGGATGTGCAGGGAGTGGGGTGTCGATTAAGGTGTGGAAGGTGAGTGAGATGGAGGTGACAGCTTAGTGGGTAGAGGGTGGGATGGGAGTATGGTTGGCTTATGCAGGGGTCCACAAACTTTTGCTTTAGAGGGCTGGATAGTAAACATTTTCAGCTTCAAGGGCCATATGGTCTCTTTTGCAACTAGGGTTGACCCTTGAACAATTTGGGTGTTAGGGGCACCAACCCCCACACAGTAAAAAATCCACATATAACTGTTTTGTTTTCTTTTGTTTTTAACAAAATCTTGCTCTGTTACCAGGCTGGGGTGCAGTGGCACCATCTTGGCTCACTGCAATCTCCACCTCCCAGGTTCAAGCAATTCCTCCACTTCAGCCTCCCGAGTAGCTGGGACTACAGGCACGCACCAACACGCCCAGCTAATTTTTTGTATTTTAGTAGAGTTGGGGTTTCACCATATTGGTCAGGATGATATCGATTTCCTGACCTCATGATCTGCGCACCTCGGCCTCCCAAAGTGCTGGGATAGCAGGCATGAGCCACCACGCCCGGCTCACATGTAACTTTTGACTCCCGAAAAGCTTAACTACTAATAGCCTACTATTGACTGGAAGCCTTACAGAGAGCATAAACAGTTGACTAACTCATATTTTGTATGCTGTAAGTATTATATACTATATTCTTTTTTTTTTTGAGACAGAGTGTCGCTCCGTTGCCCAGGCTGGAGTGCAGTGGCACAATCTCCGCTCACTGCAAGCACCGCCTCCTGGGTTCATGCCATTCTCCTGCCTCAGCCTCCTGAGTAGCTGGAACTACAGGCACCCGCCACCATGCCCGGCTAATTTTTTGTATTTTTAGTAGAGACAGGGTTTCACCGTGCTAGCCAGGATGGTCTCGATCTCCTGACCTCGTGATCCGCCCGCCTTGGCCTCCCAAAGTGCTGGGATTACAGGTGTGAGCCACCCCGCCCGGCCATTATACTATATTCTTAAAGTACAGTAAGCTAGAGAATAGAATGTTATTAAGAAAATCAGGCCAGGTGAGGTGACTTATGCCTGTAATCACAGTGCTTTGGGAGGTTGAGGCAGGAGAATTGCTTGAGCCCAGGAGTTCGAGATCAGCCTGGGCAACACAGTGAGACTCCATCTCTATATAAAATAAAAAAAATCAGCAGGATATGGTGATACATGCCCATAGTCCTAGCTACTCGAGAGGCTGAAGCAGGAGGATCACTTGAACCCAGGAGGCTGCAGCGAGCTGTGATGGCACCACTGCACTCTAGCCTGAGCAACAGGGTGAGACCCTGTCTATTAAAAAAATGATAAGGAAGAGAAATGTTATCTACTATTAATTGAGTGGAAGTGGATCATCATAAAGATCTTCATCCCCTTTGTCTTCATGTTGAGTAGGCTGAGGAAGAAGAAGAGGAGGGCTTGTCTTGCTGTCTCAGGGGTGGCACAGGCAGAAGAAACTCCATGCATAAGTGTACTCGAGCAGTTGAAACCCATGCTGTTCAAGGGTCAATTGTACTCGATTCTGCCATTGCAGCACAGAAGCAGCCATAGACAATATGAGAACAAATGGGCATGGTTGTGTTCCAATAAAACTTTATTTACAAAAGCAGGCAGAGGGCCGGATTTGGCATGAGTAGCAGTTTGCCAATCCCTGGATTTGGGGATGGGGAAGAAGAAAAAGGCATGAAGAAATGGCTTCTTAGGTTGGGTTTCCTAGAAGCAGAGCCTGACTGAGATGGGGATATCTGCACAGGTGATTTATTGCGGGATAGCTCTCAAGAGAAACTCGCAAGGAAGTGAAGGAAGTGGGACAGGGCTGGGAAACCAGTGAAGCAAAGATGTGGGTTTCAAAAGAAGGCTGGCCTCTCAGCCTCATCTCATGGGGAGCTCTGGAGTGTGAGCAGAACCACAGAATTGAATCCCTCCCCAGCTCTACTGCCACCTGAATCAAAGGAGTTGGCCATTGTGAATCCCTGCACAGTCATTCTTTGGCTCTAGGTCTCCCCTGGGGTTTCTATGGGCAAGGCAGCTCCCATTTTGCTGAGGGCAATTCTCAGGAGAAGTGGGCAGCCTGAGCTATTGTACTCAGTGCTCTCGGGGCTGAAGGATCAGCAGATTGGCTTGGGAAAGGGTGTAGGAGTGGAGCACCAAGAATATGTGCCACAAAGGGTGCGCCGTGAGGTGGGTTGGAGGAAGGTGTGATTTTGGGATTAATAGTGGGATGACAAGTGGAATGAAAGTTAGGTTATGGGCCAGGCGCAGTGGCTCATGCCTGTAATCCCAGCACTTTGGAAGGCTGAGGTGAGTGGATCGTCTGAGTTCAGGAGTTCGAGACCAGCCTGGCCAACATGGTGAAACCCCGTCTCTACTAAAAATACAAAAATTAGCTGGGCATGGTGGCAGGTGCCTGTAATCCCAGCCACTCGGAAGGCTGAGGCAGCAGAATTGTTTGAACTGGGGAGATGGAGGTTGTACTGAGCTGAGATCGCACCATTGCACTCCAGTCTGGGCGAAGGAGAGTCCGTCTCAAAAAAAAAATAGTTAGGTTATGGTGCAAAACAAGAGAAAACAAGACTCAATAGAGGATGGGGTGAAAGTGTGGAAAAGGTGGCTTGGAGTAGAGGGAAGGCAGTAGGATAGTGGAGTGCTGCTTGGGATAAGGGTTGGGATGGCGTGTGAGGGTGTGTATTTGGAAAATTAGAAGTAGAAAGATGGTGGTGCGGGTGAATGGGTAATGGGTGGGTTTTGGGGTGGGCTATAGGAAAAGGGATGCTTGGTGGGTCGGCTGTTGAGTTGGTGATATGGGGAGGGTGGAACGGATGCTAGGAGAGCTGGCGTTGGGTATGCATGGAGCTGCGGGGGCCACATCATCTGTCCTTCAGGTATGGCATCCCTGGACAACAAGGCCACGGGGCGGATGGGGATGCGGGCAGCTGTGTACTACATGGTGACCACCATCATCGCGGTCTTCATCGGCATCCTCATGGTCACCATCATCCATCCCGGGAAGGGCTCCAAGGAGGGGCTGCACCGGGAGGGCCGGATCGAGACCATCCCCACAGCTGATGCCTTCATGGACCTGATCAGGTGTGCCAACCTAAAAAACCACAATATACACATTTGAAAAAGGAGACTTTATTTATTGTAAAAGATTATAGCCTGCAAAGAGGTCATCCCACAGGCTGGGAAGCATGCGTCCGGTCAAGAGCAGAGACGGGCACTTCTAAGGAGGAGGGGTTGGAGTAGGAGCTTTATGCTGAATGGGTTGGCTAAACATGCATATTCAACAGGTTACAGGAGGAGCTATGAATATTCATGTAGGTGGCCCTGATGCATGCATATTGAAGAAAGTTGCATGTAACATATGACCCCATGTCCACTTTGGGGTGGATACTTAACATTTACTTAACATTTAAATGTATCACATTTAGGCTTTATACATCAAAAGGTCTTTTCAGGACACGAAGGTACCCAAATGCACAGCCTCTGTCAATGAGCCAGAACCAGCCCATGGTCAGTGGTGTTATCAGGAGAAAGTTACTGAAATCAGTCTCTTGTCCAATCAAAGCTGTAGTTATGGCTGGTGGAACAGGGGCCCCATTAGTCCTTGTCTGTGAGCTGATGAGTTGTAATTATTTTAATATTGCTTATCATAAGACTAGTGTTTGTTTAACTCCTAGAGAAAAAGAAGAACCTTTTGACAGCTAGAACACAATTTATTCTTTGAGCGTAGGGTCCATGACTTAACCCCTGCGTGGCATGGTCTTAGATCCTCCTTATAATTTGGTATCTTATTGCCCCAAAGAGCCTGTTCTATCAGTCTTATGATTTCTGTTTTAATTTAATGCATTAATAACATTAATGTGGGTTAGTTGTTGTGTCTAGATTATAAAAGGGAGAGAGTGTAAGGAGGCGTGTCTGACCTCCTGTCCCATCATGGCCAGGAACTCAGTTTTAAAGTTGTTCTGGGGTCCACTTGGCCACAAGAGAGTCTGTTCAGCTGTTGGTGGTGGTGGTGGCTTAGGTGTTACTTTTAGTTTACAGGTGACTGTACTCATTTTGATATGATTTCTGACTCTACTTGCAACAACTCATACTGAAGGAGAGACAAAGGGGACAGGCTCCCGCAGCCTGGACATAGCAGCACCCATAGTATCCACTTGTGGTACCCAATTTCTGCCCTGGAGCCTTGTATATATTCTCCAACAGCAGCTGCTGCTAGAATATGATCTTAGGATATGACCCTTAAGGTGGGGTCAGAACAGCTGGTATTTGCCTAAGCATCATTGGAGGGTGAATGATTCTCTTAGAGCAGCATGATTTTTTAATTTATATTTTATTTTATTTTTTACTTTAAGTTCTGGGATACATGTGCAGAACGTGCAGGTTTCTTACATAAGTATACATGCGCCATGGTGGTTTGCAGCACCTATCAACCCGTCATCTAGGTTTTAAGCCCCGCATGCATTAGGTATTTGTCCTAATGCTCCCCCTCCCTTTGCCCCCACAGCCCCCAAAAGGCCCCAGGGTGTGATGTTCCCTTCCCTGTGTCCATGTATTCTCATTGTTCAACTCCCACTTATGAGTGAGAACATGCAGTGTTTAGTTTTCTGTTTCTATGTCAGTTTGCTGAGAATGATGGCTTCCAGCTTCATCCACGTCCCTGCAAAGGACATGAACTCATTCTTTTTTATGGCTGCATAGTATTTGCATGGCATATATGTGCCATATTTTCTTTATCCAGTCTATCACTGATGGGCATTTGGGTCAGTTCCAAGTCTTTGCTATTGTAAATAGAAGCAGCACGATTTTTTAAAAAATTAACTAAATTTTTGATTTTTTATTTTTATTATTAAAAAATATTTTTGCTATTAATAGTTGCCTTTACTCTTTTAATTGTTTTTATTTTTATTTTTGCACTCCATTGCCCAGGCTGGAGTGCAGTGGCATGAGCTTGGCTCACTGCAACCTCCGCCTCCAGGGTTCTGTTGTGCCTCAGCCTCCAGAGTAGCTGGAATTACAGGTGCACGCCACCACACTGGACTAATTTTTGTATTTTTAGTGGAGACAGGGTTTCACCGTGTTGGCCAGGCTGGTCTTGAACTGCTGACCTCAAGTAATCTACCTGCCTCAGCCTCTTAAACTGCTGAGATTACAGACGTGAGCCACTGTGCCCGGCCTATGAAAAATTTTTTAATTTTTAATTTCAATAGCTTTTGGGGAGCAAGTGTTTCTTTGTTACATGGATGAATTATATAGTGGAGAATTCTGAGATTTTAGTGCATCCGTCCCACTAGTAGTGTACATTGTACCTAATGTGCAGCTTTTAATTTCTAACTACTCTCCCCGCCTCCCGCTTCTGAGTTTCTAAAGTCCATTATATCACTCTGTATGTTTCTGCATACTCATAGCTTAGTTCCCACTTATAAGTGAGAAATACTGTATGTGGTTTTCCATTCCTGAATTACTTCACTTAGAATAATGGCCCCCAGCTCCAACCATGCCAAAGACATTATTTCTTTCTTTTTTTTTTTTTTTTTGAAACAGAGTCTCACTCTGTCGCCCAGGCTGGAGTGCAGTGGCATGATCTCAGCTCACTGCAACCTCTGCCTTTCGGGTTCAAGCGATTCTCCTGTGTCAGCCTCCTGAGTAGCTGGGATTAGAGGTGCCTGCCACCATGCCCAGCTAATTTTTGTATTTTTAGTAGAGACAGCGTTTCATCATGTTGGCCAGGCTGGTCTCAAACTCCTGGCCTCGAGTGATCCACTCATCTCAGCCTTCCAAAGTGCTGGGATTACAGGTGTAAGCCACTGCACCCAGCCTATTTCATTCTTTTTCATGGCTGAGTAGTATTCCATGGTGTACATATATCATGTGTTCTTTATGCACTCATCAGTTGATGGGCACTTAGGTTGGTTCCATTTCTTTGCAACTGTGAATTGTACTGTGATAAACATATGTGTGCAGGTGTCTTTTTGATATAGTGACTTCTTTTCCTTTGAGTAGATACCCAGTAGTGGGATTGCTAGGTGGAATGGTAGATCTACTTTTAGTTCTTTAAGAAATCTCTCAGCCAGGCGCAGTGGCTCACGCCTGTAGTCCCAGTACTTTGGGAGGCTGAGGCAGGCAGATCATGAGGTCAGGAGATTGAGACCATCCTGCCTAACATGGTGAAACCCTGTCTCTACTAAAAATACAAAAAATTAGCCAGGCGTGGTGGTGGGCAACTTTAATCCCAGCTACTTGGGAGGCTGAGGCAGGAGAATTGCTTGAACCCGGGAGGTGGAGGTTGCAGTGAGCCGAGATCGCACCACTGCACTCCAGCCTGGGCGACAGAGCAAGACTCCATCTAAAAAAAAAAAAAAAGAAATCTCCATACTGTTTTCCATAGAGGTTGTACTAATTTACATCCCCACCAGCAGTGTGTAAGTGTCCCCTTTCCCCCACATCAATGCCAACATCTATAGTTTTTTGACTCTTTAATGATGGCTGTTCTAGCTGGGGTTAAGGTGGTTATCTCATTGTGGTTTTAATTTTAATTAAAGCAGCAAGATTTTTGCCACACAGAATCAAGGCTAGCCATGGTTCTACCTTAATCATGGGCCTAGACGAAACCTAAAGTTAAAAGGGTTTAAGAGTTTTCTGTGGTTTTTTGAGGCATCACTGACACATGTGTGTTTGAATTAAAGTCCTTGAGGTGATGTAGGGCTCTGGCCACATGCTCAGACAGACCTGGATTTGAGGGCCATCTGCACCTCTTAGCAGCTCTGTGGCTCCGGGTAGCTTACATCAATTCTCTGGGCTGTGGTTTCTTTCTATGTGAAAGGCGGCATTCAATAGGACTCATGTCTAGGGTTATTGTAGTGTTTTAATCAGATGATAGTAAGATGCTTGCTCAGTGCCCAGCCTAGAGGAAGCATTCATATGTTGGCTGCACTATTGTTGTTCTTGGTGTTAGTATTACTGTTATCACCCTAGATGCCCTTCCATGGTCTAACCACTTTCCTTCTTCTCATGTTTTTCTGCAGAAATATGTTTCCACCAAACCTTGTGGAGGCCTGCTTCAAACAGGTCAGGGGGAAGTACACAGTTTGATCAAGGAGATTCGGAGGGTGGTGGGAGCTTGGGGCTGAAGGGATGGTCCAAGGGCAAGAGGCGGGAGGAAGGGCCTGACAGAGCAATGGGCAGGGGTTCTTGAGGAGTCTAGGAGAAAGGATGTATTTTCCATGGTGATCTGGGGGGGTTAGGGAGAAGCACTTAGGTCCGAGAATGGTGGATCAGGCTTGTAATCCCAGCACTTAGGGAGGCCAAGGTGGGAGGATCACTTGAGGCCAAAAGTTCAAGACCAGCCTGGGCAACAGAATGAGACTCTCTGTCTTTCAAAAAAAAAAAAAGATTAAAAAAAAATTAGCTGGACACGCCTGTCTCAGCTACTTGGGAGGCTGAGGTGGGAGGATTGCTTGAACCCAGGAGATCAAGGCTCCAGTGGTCACACCACTGCACTCCAACATGGGTGACAGAGCAAGACCCCATATCAAAAAAAGAAAAAAAAAAAAAAGAGGACTTAGGCCAAGGACTTCCTGAGCACAGGGCTAGAGGAGGCAACAAGGCTGGTGTAGAGATTCCAGAAATTTTGACCACAGATGGTTGAGGGGAGAGGCCCTCAACTCTGGTTAAGCATTGCTCAGGGAGCTTGTGAAAAATTCAGAATCTATACTACTTCCACACATTGGTTGTTCACTTCCTCATTCATTTATTCAGGCACTTATTCTTCAAAAAATATTTTTAATTTATTTATGTTCAAATTCACACAAAGATTATATGTATTTATGAGGTATGATGATGTTTTGAAATATGTCTGCATTGTGGAGTGGCTCAATCAAGCTTATTAACATATCAATTACCTTATATACTTAACATTTTTTGAGATAAAGACACTTAAAATCTACCCTTCTGGTGATTTTCAAATACACAATACATTGTTATTAGCTATAGTCACCATGTTGTATAATAGAGCTCTTGAACTTATTGCTCTTGTCTAGCTGAAATTTTGTGTCCTTTTACCAACATCTCCCCAATTTCCCTGCTCCCCAGTCCCTGGTAAGCACTATTCTATTTTCTGCTTCTATGAGTCCAACTCTTTTAAATTTCACATATAAGTGAGAGCATGCAATATTTGTCTTTCTGTGCCTGGTTTATTTCACGTAGCACAGTGTTTTCCAGGTTCAACCCTCTTGTCACAAATGACAGGATCCCCTCCTTTTTCAAGGCTGAATAGTATTTCATTGTATATGTATACCACATGTTCTGTATCCATTCATTCACTGATGGATACTTAGGTTGATTTCATATCTTGGCTATTGTGAATAGTACTGCAATAAACATGGGAGAGCAGATATCTCTTTGAGATACTGATTTCATTTCCTTTGGATATATACAGTAGTGGGATTGCTGGTCCTATGGTAGTTCAATTTTTTTTTGTTTTTTTGAGATGGAGTCTCACTCTGTCGCCAGGTTGGAGTGCAGTGGCACCATCTCAGCTCACTGCAACCTCCGCCTCCCAGGTTCAAGCGATTCTCCTGCCTCAGCCTCCCAAGTGGCTGGGACTACAGGCACGCACTGCCACACCCAGCTAATTTTTGTATTTTTAGTAGAGACAGGGTTTCACCATGTTGGCCAGGATGGTCTCAAACTCCTGACCTCATGATCCGCCTGCCTCGACCTTCCAAAGTGCTGGGATTACAGGCGTGAGCCATGCCCGGCCGGTAGTTCTATTTTTAATTTTTTGAGGAAGCTCCATATGATTTTTCATAATGGGTTTACTGATTCATTCGCTCATTCTTCCATGCACTATTCAAGTCATTCATTCACTCATTCAGATCTGCTGAATGAGTGATAGTCGATAATGAGTGATAATCGATAATGAAGATCTTATCGATCTTCCAGGGTGTGGGAACTGGGAATCAGTGGTCTCAAGGAATTTCTCCAGGCGATTCTAATGCATCCGCTGAATTGAATCTGGGCGCAATCTCTCTCTATTTCAGTTCAAGACGCAGTACAGCACGAGGGTGGTAACCAGGACCATGGTGAGGACAGAGAACGGGTCTGAGCCGGGTGCCTCCATGCCTCCTCCATTCTCAGTGGAGAACGGAACCAGCTTCCTGGAAAATGTCACTCGGGCCTTGGGTACCCTGCAGGAGATGCTGAGCTTTGAGGAGACTGTACCCGTGCCTGGCTCCGCCAATGGCATCAACGCCCTGGGCCTCGTGGTCTTCTCTGTGGCCTTTGGGCTGGTCATTGGTGGCATGAAACACAAGGGCAGAGTCCTCAGGGACTTCTTCGACAGCCTCAATGAGGCTATTATGAGGCTGGTGGGCATCATTATCTGGTGAGTCCTGGTCTGTGCCCACGGGATGGTGGAGCCAGAGCTGGGAAGTCAGGCTGTGGGGAAGCTGCCGAAGGGCTTGCTGGGGACTTTTGGTCATTCATTTACGTATTGGGTGATTCACTTACCCACTCACCAACTCATTCATTCATGTCTTTCTGGGATGATTTCATCACTAGTTGACTTCCTTGTTCATCTGTTCATTCATTCATTCTTCTATGCATTGGTTAGTTCATGGAATATCTCACTCTTTCATTCATTCATGTCCTTCTGCAATGATTCATTCACTGCTTTGTTCATCTGTTCATTCACTCATTCTTCTATGCATTGATGAAATCACTCATTCAGTGATTTATTCATCTATACTCATGCTTCAATGCATTGATTTACTCATTTCCTCATGCATTTATTCATTCATCTATGCATTGGTTAAATCACTGGCCAACTCACTAACTCATTCATTCATTCACACTTTTCTGCAATGATTTGTTCACTTGTTCACTCCCTTGCTTATCTGTTCATTCACTCATTCTTCAATACATTGACCAAGCCATTCACTGACATTTATTCAGCTACATTTATTCTTTCATGCATTGGTTTCTGGATTTATTTGGTCATTCATTTATTTATTTTGCAAAATTAATGTATTTTTAATTGACAAATAAAAACTGTATATATTTTCATGTGCAACATAATGTTTTGAAATATCTCTACATTGTGGAATGGTTCAGTTGAGCTAACTAACATAGACGTTACCTCACATGCTTATTTTTTTGTGGTGAGAACACTTAAGATCTAGGCAGGGTGTGGTGGCTCATGCCTATAATCTCAGCACTTTGGGAGGCCAAGGTGGGAGAATCACTTGAGCCCAGGAATTTGAGACCAGCCTGGGCAACATGACAAGACCACAAAAAATACAAAAAAAATTAGCTGGGTGTGGTGGCATGCAGCTGTAGTCCCAGCTGCTTGGGAGGCTGAGGCGGGAGGACAGATTGAGCCTGGGATGTAGAGGCTGCAGTGAGTTGTGGTTGCCTGGGTGACAGAATGAGACCCAGTCTCAAAAAAAAAAAAAAAGGGAGAGACCACTTAAAATCTACTCTCTTTGTGATTTGCAAGTACACAATACATTGTTTTTAACTATACCTACCATGTTGTCCAATAGATCTCTTGAACTTATTTCTCCTATTTAACTGAAATTTTGTACCCTTGATCAACATCTCCCCAATCTCCCTTTCCTGCGAGTCCCTGGTAACCACCATTTTACTCCCTGCTTCTGTGAGTTTGATTGTTTAGATTCCACAGATAAGTGAGATCATGTGGTATTTGTCTTTCTGTGTCTTGGTTATTTCAATTAGCATAATGTCCTCCAGGTTCATCTGTGTTGTCACAAGTGACAGGGATTTATTCATCTCCTATGCATTGGTTAGTTACTATTCATTCATTCATACCTTTCTGCAGTGATTTATTCACCCATTTACTTCCCCATGTATCTCTTCATTCACCAATTTATTCACTTATTCATTCTCATTTTTCTATCGGTTCATTCATTTTCTTATTCATCTATTCATTCTTCCATGCATCAGTTAACTCACTCATGTATTCATTCACTCGTAAATTTATTTACAAACTCATCCATGCATTAGTTAAATCATTGATGGATTCATCTGTTTATTTACTCAGTTAAGTCATTTATTCATTCTAATTCATTCTTGGACTCACTCATTCATCTATGCATTTGTTATTCTTTCATTCATTTATTCAAGTATTCTCTTCATTCACTCATTTGTTCACGTATTTGTTCACTCAGCTACTAACTTGTTTCATTTGCTTATTTCCTTACTTATTCATCCAGTTGTTAATCCCTTCCTTCCTTCCTTCCTTCCATCATTCCTTCTCTAGATTCCTTTATTACTTCAGAAATATCTTTATTCACTCAGCAGGCATTTTCCCAGGCAGACTTTGTCTTGACCTCTGGAGTACAGAGATACAGTGCACTCATACCTTGTCCTCAACAAGCTCACAAAATCTTAGGGGAGACAGACACATTGTAGATCAATATAACACAAGGTGGTAGGTTCTGTAGTAAAGGAACATTTAAAAAATGTTGGGAACTTGGAGAAGGAAGCAGTGAGTAGAGGGGTACGCAGTGAATGCTTCCTGAAGAGGGAGTCATGAAGAAGGTCACCTGTTAACTGCGTCTTGACAGGTGAGTAGGACTTCAACTGGACAGTGAGAGGGGAGACGTATTTCAGGCAGAGAGAAGAGAACATGCAAAGCTTGAAGGTACCTAAGTTGTTTGGAGAATGGTGGGGCATTCAGGAAGGTGAGAGCATGGGGTAAGTTGGGAGTGGTGGTGGAAGATATTAACAAGGCTGTCAGATCCCAAATGGGAGAAGACTTTGTACATCATCCCAAACAATTGGAAAGTTGTATAGTGTCATATGTAAAATGTTTATTTAGAAACAGAATGCTTGTTCCCCAGTGCCATAAAGAAATAGCACTCAAACATAAATTTAATTATCTCAGCAAGGCAATTTTTACTTCTGCAGAAAGGGTGTTCATCACAGATGGAACAATGGCAAGAGCACACCTGAACAAAGGAGGGAAGAAGCAATTTTTATCCCTTATGCAGTTTGTCCCTGCTACTGTGTCTGTCTCCATTGGCTGGAGCCAGACTTTACAATCTAAACTAAATCCCGACTGGCTAATAATTTAAAACTTTTCTAAATAGGTAAAAGCAATGGAAAACAGAGGAAAAGAGGAAGTTGCTTACAAAAGGACTTAGAAAAGTAATAACATTCCCAAATAAGGAAGGGGTATAGGCTGCAAGCTGGGACATGCCTGTGAGCACATCCAGCACAGATATCTTGGTTAAAGTACAAGGACGTAGAATGTACTATGTGCCTGTGAGCGTGTCTAACACCTACATAGGATAGGGCTTAACAAAGAGTTATTAGCATAAAGTAAGGAGGCTTGAAGGAAGTTAGTCTTTAAAAGAAACTATTTTTAACACTTAAGATTTATTCTTTAACAAGAAGGGAAACTTTGAAGACGAACTTTTACTTTCTTCATATAAGGAACTTGAGGCCAAGTTGAGGGCCTGGAAAAGCATCTGAAAGGAATGGGAGTGGGGAGCTTATTAAGGATAAGCAGAGAGTTAACAAGGAATAATGAAGGCTCAGCTGAATTGGGAACAATGAATTTATAGCAGTGTCATTGGCATGATTGGGTGAAATGTCCAGATGTGCCAGGTGGCTGAGTGTAGGGGGTAAGAAATCATGCACAATTAATCTTGGGCTGAGGAATTTTGCAGGGGATGAGGTGGAAGGATGGAGGTGAGGAAGTTGAGAGAGGGATTACTCAGAGTAAGCATAGAGGTGGATCTAGTCATGTTGACTTGGAGAAGACTCAGCAACTACTCCCCAGGGCTAACTCTGAGCCCAGTTTGGAGAACACAGATGTGACTGGAGAAGCCCCGTGCATCCTCATTTTTGACTCAAGCTATTGTACCACCTTCCCAAGAGGTCCCCACCTCCTCCAACACATCCACGATGAATGTGAGCCAAAGTAGATTTCAAATTTTTTTTTTTTTTTGAGATGCAGTCTGGCTCTGTCGCCCAAGCTGGAGTGCAGTGATGTGATCTCAGCTCACTGCAACCTCTGCCTCCTGGGTTCAAGTGATTCTTCTGCCTCAGCCTCCCGAGTAGCTGGGACTACAGGTGTGCACTACCACACCTGACTAATTTTTTTATTTTTAATAGAGATGGGATTTCACCATGTTGGCCAGGCTGGTCTCGAACTCCTGACCTCAAGTGATCTGCCCTCCTCGGCCTCCCAAAGTGCTGGGATTACAGGCATGAGCCACCATGCCCAGCCATAAACTTCAATTTCTAAAGAAAGAGGAGTAGCCATTGAAGCCTCGAAATGAGATGATGGTGCCAATGGCAGAAACTCACTCGATTGACCCGTGGGCTGGATTATGGGGGGAAACAGGTGAGCCCCTGATGAACTTGCTTCTTTCATCTTCTCTATTCTCCTTTTTACTCAATACTCCAGCCACATTGGTCTTCTCTCTGGTCCTCCAGCACTCCTAGTGCATGCCCATCTCAGAGTCTGCATTGTGCCTGCAATGATTTCTTCCAGATACACAGGGTACCTTCTCATCATGCAAGTCTCAGCTTAAATGTCACCTCTTCAGAAAAGCCCTCTCTGACCATCTGCTCAGAAGCAGTCCCATCCAGTGACTCTCCTTTGCTGTTATCACCACTTGAAGTTTGCAATTAGTGCATTTCTATGTGTACCTCCTGCTTTCCCCATTAGAATGTGTCTTAGTTCATGTCAGCTGCTGTAACAAAAATACCATAGACATTGTGGCTTAAAGAACAAAAATGTATTTCGCACAGCTCTGGAGGGTGGGAAGTCTAAGTTCAAGGCACCCACAGATTCCATGTCTGGTGAGGGCTGTCTTCTGGTTCATGGAAGGCGTCTTCTTGCTGTGTCTTCGAATGACAGAAGGGTGGAGGGAGCTCTCTGGTGTGTCTTTTATATGGGCACTAATTCCATTCATGATGGCTCTACCCTCATGACCTAATCACCTCCCAATACTATCCCATTGGGGGTTAGGATCTCAAGATATGAATTTGGTTGGAGTGGGGAGGGGACATAAACATTTAGTCCATAACAGAATGTAAGTGCTTTGAGGACGAGAGCCATGTGCCTGGTACTCAGTAGGTACTCAGTCAATATCTGTGGAATGAATGAATACATCGGTGATTTTGATAGGACAAGTGGTTTGAGAGGGAAATGCTTAGGCTGGTGAATGAGTGATAACAGGCACTGATAGGGAAGAGAATAGGGGCATACACATTTCAAATGTGGAACAAACAGTTGGGGGCAGAAGATAAGGGAAGCTTAGAAGGCCAGAGACAGGGAATGTCTTGGCAATGTCTAAGGAAGGAAACTGAAGGTAGTGATTATTTGGGGCAGGATTGAGAGAGCTTGAATGGGGAGTAGGTACAGGAGAGACCTGAAAGCTTGTATATCCTGGAGTTGTAGGAACTTTTCTACCATGGTGGGGAGATGTGGAAGAGCAGGAGGAGGAGGAGGTGGGCTTCATTCATGGGGCCCGGTGGCATTCATTAGTGTACGGGGAAGACTGGGATGGAGTAGGGTGCCGTATCATGGGTATTGTGTGGCTCCAGGGCCCTATATGGGCAAAGCCTTGGGGATGCCACCTTCAGACCTGCAAGGGAGGTCAGGAGGGAGCCCTGACAGGTATGTGGCTCCCTCACACAGGTATGCACCTGTGGGCATCCTGTTCCTGATTGCTGGGAAGATTCTGGAGATGGAAGACATGGCCGTCCTGGGGGGTCAGCTGGGCATGTACACCCTGACCGTCATCGTGGGCCTGTTCCTCCATGCCGGCATTGTCCTTCCCCTCATCTACTTCCTCGTCACTCACCGGAACCCCTTCCCCTTCATTGGGGGCATGCTACAAGCCCTCATCACCGCTATGGGCACGTCTTCCAGGTATGGCCTTGCTCCCCACCCCAGCACCATTCCTGGTTGCACTTCTTGTCCTTCATGTCCTCTCCTAAGGCACCTGCCCTCTCCATTCCTTAAACACCTCTTCTGAGTCGTCCAACAATGTCCAGGGCTCATAATGTCAACACCTGGGGTCCAGTCATTGTCCTGGGCTGGCTCTCCTGGTCTCCTTTTCTCCTTTCCTGTTTTTTAACTTTCTGTGGAGGAGAACCAGGTACCAGTTTTGAGGTTAAGAGGGAAGGTTCCAGGATGCCCCATGAGCTCAGTCATTTCCTAGCTCAGAGGGTGTCATCTCCACTTGTGAGATGGTGTCTGGGAGATCTCTTGGCTGCTGCTTCTTCCTTCTCCTCCTCCTTCTTCTTCCCCTTCATCCTCTTCCTCCTTTTTCTTCTTCCTCCTCTTCCTCCTCCTCTTCTTCTTTTGTAGTTTTAGGGGATTAATTAAGAGCATCATCCCAATTCAAAAACAAATTTGAAAAGTAGCACAACAGCCAAAAAGATGGAAGAATTTTTTTTTTCTTTTTTTTGAGACAGAGTCTCACTCTGTCACCCAGGCTGGAGTGCAGTGGTGTAATCCTGGCTCACTGCAAGCTCCGCCTCTTAGGTTCAAGTGATTCTCCTGCCTCAGCCTCCCAAGTAGCTGGGACTACAGGCATGCACCACCACACCTGGCTAATTTTTGTATTTTTAGTAGAGATGGGGTTTTGCCATGTTAGCCAGGCTGGTCTCGAACACCTGGCCTCATGTGATCTGCCCACCTTGGCCTCTCAAAGTGCTGGGATTACATGTGTAAGCCGCCACGCCCGGCCAAAAATATCTTTTTTTTCTTTTTCTTTTTCGTTTGACATGAGGCCTCACTCTATCACCCAGGCTAGAGTGCAGTGGTGTGATCTCCACTCACTGCAACCTCCACTTCCCAGGCTCAAGTGATCCTCCCACCTCAGCCTCCCAAGTAGCTGGAATCACAGGTGCCTGATTCCAGTCCTCCCGGCTAATTTTTTAGCCCTCCCGGCTAAGTTTTTTTTGTTGTTGTTGTTGTTTTTGGTAGAGACGGGGTTTTGCCATGTTGGCTATGGCTTGTCTTGAACTCCTGAGCTCAAGTGATCTGCCCGTCTCGCTCTCCCAAAGTGCTGTGATTACAGGCACGAACCACTGCACCTGATCAAAAATATAATTTTTAAAATTGCCCATAACGCTGGTCAGGGAATGTGCCTCTTGGTCTATGGCTAGGTAAGACTGATGTCACTGTATCCTAGAATTAAACTCACATAGTCACCGCTGAGCTGGACACCCAGAGACTCTCTTATGAGTCCAGGATTCCAACCGTATGATGTAAAGCTGACCACAGAACACACGCCTTGTGGACAGACTTACCCCAAATGAGATGCCCACTTCTTTGACTAAACTCGCCAATCAATTAGGTCACTTTTCTCCGATAAGACATGGCGGGTAGATGGATAGAGAAAGTTAGCACAGCTGAGGTCAATGCTGGTGCAAACAGGGGAGTCTGGAGTAGGGGCCCTCCCTGAAGTCAGCAGACCTTTGGTCCTGTCCTTTTTGGAAATGGATAGGTAGAACGAACTACTGCCATAAACTAGTGTGTAGTCATTGGCCTTAGCTATTGGCTTTAAGTGGGTGAAGAGATCTTCAGCTTGGGAGACCCTCATTGCTGTTTTCTTCCTGTATCATGAGGAGTTGCTCCTTTCCTTTGTACAGTTATCAGCCTCTGAAATGTTATACCCTTGTCTTCTGCATCTTGAGGAGCCCCCCACCTGGCCTGCTCAATGTTCTCAAGGGGAACGCTCCTTGGGCTCATTTCTGCCCAGGCCACGCCCAGCCCATGCCCTGCTCTGAGCCCCGCCCTGCCTTGCCACGCCCTATTCTCAGCTCTTCCTCACCTGGCCACGTCCTGCTCTGAGCCCCGCCTCACCTACTCCTCCCCTGTTCTCAGCCCCGCCCATGTGACCCAGCCCTACCCATTCTCAGCCGTACCCCACTAGGTCACGCCCTGTTCCCCAGCCTTTCTTCGGCCACGCCCCATTCTCTGCCCTGCCCCACTAGGCCACACCCTGTTCCCAGCCCCGCCCCCACCAGGCCACGCCCCATCCTCAGTCCTGGGCTCTTTCCCCCAGCTCGGCAACGCTGCCCATCACCTTCCGCTGCCTGGAGGAGGGCCTGGGTGTGGACCGCCGCATCACCAGGTTCGTCCTGCCCGTGGGCGCCACGGTCAACATGGATGGCACTGCCCTCTACGAGGCCCTGGCTGCCATCTTCATTGCTCAAGTTAACAACTACGAGCTCAACCTGGGTCAGATCACAACCATCAGGTGAGGGGGCTTGGGTAGGACCTGCCAGCAGGTGAGACTTAAGCGGTCATCAGCTTGGCTGGGAGGGTTGGGGAGGGAGGAGGGGGCCTCAGCTGGAGCTCAGAGGAGCCCACGGATGTTGGAAGCGGGATGTGGGAAGAGCCCAATGCCGGATGAGGTAGGTGAAAGGTAAAGTTGCCACCTGAGGCTGTCAGGAGCTGCCAAGACGTTCCTGTCAGTTTCCCTCTCACGTGGGAGATCCATTTGTCCAGTGTTTTCCAAAGCATGGCTGGTGCATCCTGATAACCCGAGGTTCTTGTATATAGATTCTTATATTTGTAGGCTCTATACATTTATTTATTCCTGTATTTATAGGTCCCATCATCCAGTGGTTCCAACTTAGTCATTATAAAAATAACAGTGAACATTGTCATCTCCTTCAGGTCTTCAGCGTTACTTTTTCAGGGAAGCCCTGTTTAAAATGGCATATCGGGTCTTGCTAAGGAGGCACTGTTTCCCCGTGTAGTACTATCTCCATATAGTATGAATTTTAGTTATTCATTTTGTTTATTGCCTGCTTCCCATACTAGAATGTAAGCTCTGTCAGGCGCGGTGGCTCACACCTGTAATTCTGGCACTTTGGGAGGCCGAGGTGGGTGGATCAGGAGTTCGAGGTGGTCAGGAGTTCGAGACCAGCCTGGCCAACATGGTGAAACCCCATCTCTACTAAAAATTAACCAGGCGTTGTGGCATGTGCCTGTGGTCCCAGCTACTCAGGAGGTTAAGGTGGGATTGAGTAGTGAGTTGCAGTGAGCTGAGATAACACCACTGCACTTCAGCCTGGGAGAGAGAGAGAGGAGGCGAGGCAGGGGCAAGGTGAGGCGAGGAGGGGAGGGGCGGGGTGGGTGGGGATCGAGGTGAGGCGAGGCGAGGCGAGGCATCAAGCAGTATTTTTCTCTCTGTGTCTGGCTTGGGTATTTAATTTAAAATGCCTTGGGGAGCTGATCTCTTCCCTTCTCTCTGTCCTTTTCCTCTCTCTTCCTCATCGCCTTCTTCCCTCCATCTGCTCCCCATGTTCTCCCTCCCCCTGCAGCATCACGGCCACAGCAGCCAGTGTTGGGGCTGCTGGCATCCCCCAGGCGGGTCTGGTCACCATGGTCATTGTGCTTACGTCGGTCGGCTTGCCCACGGAAGACATCACGCTCATCATTGCCGTGGACTGGTTCCTGTGAGTGTTCTCTAGGCTGGACCCTGGTGCTCCTGCTTCTGCACACACTGCTTTCCCCTGCAACGTCCTCGACCTGTGGACTTTTATTCCAGCAAAGATGCAGTGGTCCAGAATTTTCAAGTGAAAAGGAGGCCTTGGAGAGGCCTCCAATCCATGGCCTCTGGACCCCAAATCCCACAGTTATCTTTGGGAAGTAGGGTTGGAGACAAGCAATGGGGGCTTTACCTATCAGGCAGAAAAACTCCTCTTTTACCTGTTTTATGTAGAAGTCACCAAAAGGTGATCCAGGCCGGGTGCGGTGTCTCTACTAAAAATACAAACAAACAAAAAACAAAATTAGCTGGGCGTGGTGGCACGTGCCTGTAATCCCAGCTGCTCAGGAGGCTGAGGTGGGAGAATCGCTTGAACCTGGGAGGTGGAGGTAGCAGTGAGATGAGATTGCCTCCTGGGTTCACGCCATTCTCCTGCCTCAGCCTCCCAAGTAGCTGGGATTACAGGCGCCCGCCACCATGCCTGGCTAATTTTTTGGTTTTTTGTATTTTCAGTAGAGATGGGGTTTCACCATGTTAGCCAGGATGGTCTCGATCTCCTGACCTCGTGATCCACCTGCCTCAGCCTCCCAAAGTGCTGGGATTTGTTATTTTTTTTTTTTTTGAGATTATGTTTTGCTGTGTTGCCCAGGCTGGCCTTGAACTCCTTAGCTTAAGCAATCCTCTTGCTTCAGCCTCCCAAGTAGTTGGGACTACAGATGTGAGCTGCTACTCCCAGCTGCAAATATATATTTAAATCTCAATTTTTAAAAACAGGAGGTTTACGGGTAGGACACAGTGACATGTGCCTGTAATTCCAGCACTTTGCGAGGCCAAAGCAGGTGGATTGCTTGAGTTCAGGAGTTCAAGACCAGCCTGGGCAACATGGCAAGTCCCATCTCTACAAAAAATACAAAAATTAGCTGGGTGTGGTGGCGCACCTGTAGTCCCAGCTGCTTGGGAGGCTGAGGTGGGAGGAACTCTTGAACCTGGGAGGTTGAGGCTGCAGTGAGTCAAGATCACATGACTGTACTCCAGCCTGTGTGACAGAGCAACACTCTGTTTCAAAAACACAAAAACAGGCCGGGTGTGGTGGCTCACGCCTGTAATCCCAGCACTTTGGGAGGCCGAGGTGGGCAGATCACCTGAGGTCAGGAGTTCAAGACCAGCCTGGCCAACATGGTGAAACCCCATCTCTACTAAAAATATCAAAAATTAGCCGGGCCTAGTGGTGGGCGCCTATAATCTCAGCTACTCAGGAGGCTGAGACAGGAGAATCGCTTGAACCTGGGAGGTGGAGGTTGCAGTGAGCCGAGATCGCACCACTGCACTCCAGCCTGGGCAACAGGAGTGAAACACCATCTCAAAAAACAAAAACAAAAACAAAAACCAGCAACAACAACAAAACCAGGAGGTTTACATTAAAGGAAGCCTGGACTTTCATTCCCACATGGGAGCTGTCAGCTGAGCCTGAGTTCCAATTTTATAATCTTCAGCCTGCCCTAGTCTACACCTGTATTGACTCAGGCCTGCCCTGGTTTACCATTCCGGATTCTATGTGCTTTTCAGTTCATAACCCTTAATCGTCTGCATGAGATGTTCATTTTTTTCTTTTCTTTCTTTTTTTTTTTTTTTTTTTTTTTTTGTGAGACAGAGTCTTGCTCTGTCACCCAAGCTGGAGTGCAGTGGCTCGATCTCAGCTCACTGCAACCTCTGCCTCCCAGGTTCAAGTGATTCTCCTGCCTCAGCCTCCCGAGTAGCTGGGATTACTACTGGGCATGCCACCATGCCCAGCTAATTTTTTTTTTTTTTTTTTTTTTGTATTTTTAGTAGAGACAGGGTTTCACTATGTTGGTCAGGCCGGTCTCCAACTCCTGACCTTGTGATCCGCCCGCCTTGTGCTGGGATTATAAGCATGAGCCACCACGCCCTGCCTCATTTTCTTTTTTTTTGAGAGACAGGGTCTTGTTCTGTCATCTAGGCTGGAGTGGAGTGGCATGATCATAGCTCACTGCAGCCTTGACGTTCTGGGCTCAAGTGACCCTGCCATCTCAGCCTCCCAAGTAGCTGGGACTACAGGCACATGCTACCATCCCAGGCTGTGTTTTAAAGTTATTCTATGTAGAGACGGGGTCTTGCTATGTTGCCCAGGCTGGTCTTGAACTCCTGGTCTCAAGCAATTCTTCTGCCTGTCAGCCTCCCAAAGTGCTGGGATCATATCTTTTTAATGATATGATCTTTTTTCTGTAAACCACACCCAGCCTCATTTTTTAAAAAATATCACATCTAAGATCAAACATGAACATCTCAGACCTGGTCCATCCTGTTTGTTAGTAGGAGAAACAGGGCAGAGAGGGGGAAGAACCTGCTTGGGGACATGTGGTCATGGATTGTACTGCAATGGGAGCCCTCTGACTCCCTGGCACAGGGACCCCCCTCTGCTGCACCCTCTTTCTGTGAAGCTTTTCAAGCCCCCATTAATGGCAGCTTCTTTCTCCCCTGTACCAGTGACCGGCTTCGCACAATGACCAACGTACTGGGGGACTCAATTGGAGCGGCCGTCATCGAGCACTTGTCTCAGCGGGAGCTGGAGCTTCAGGAAGCTGAGCTTACCCTCCCCAGCCTGGGGAAACCCTACAAGTCCCTCATGGCACAGGAGAAGGGGGCATCCCGGGGACGGGGAGGCAACGAGAGTGCTATGTGAGGGGCCTCCAGCTCTGCCCCCCCAGAGAGGAGGGAAGGGGGCTGGGGAGGGGAGTCCTGGTGACACATCTGTTGCCCAACTGACCGTGGGCTGAACACACGTTCTGCTTGACTCATTTAGGGGGGAGGGAAAAGTGAAATAAAGGAGCAGGAATGAAAGGTATATAAGGTCTCTGTTTCTCTCTGAGCATATGCTGAGGGCTTGAAGGACGGCGTGAGCAAGGGAGGGGAAGAAACGTTTCTCCTAGGTTTGGGGAGAAGGGAAGCTTCAGCTTCAACAAGAAGAGTGGTCAACTCATGTTTCTCACATTCTCAAAGAGTGGCGGAAGAAGAAGGTAAAGAAAAACCATTATTTCTCCTGATAAAACAATATCCATGGTCTCTGTGTCAGGGGTCCCCCAAGACCACCTTTAGGTTCAGCAATTCACTAGAAAGGCCCATAGAATTCAGGGTTGGGCGTGGTGGCTCCCGCCTGTAATCCCAGCACTTTGGAAGGCTGAGGCGGGCAGATCATGAGGTCAGGAGATCGAGACCAGCCTGGCCAACATGGGGAAACCCAGTCTCTACTAAAATACAAAAAATTAGCCAGGCGTGGTGGCAGGCGCCTGTAGTCTCAGCTACTCAGGAGGCTGAGGCAGGAGAATCACTTGAACCCGGGAGGCGGAGGTTGCAGTGAGCTGAGATTGGCGCCACTGCACTCCAGCCTGGTAACAGAGTGAGACTCTGTTTCAAAAAAAAGGAAAGACTCATAGAATTCAAGACAGGCGTGGTGATTCACACCTACAATCCCAGCACTTTCAGAGGCCAAGGCAGGAGGATTGCTTGAGTCCAGGAGTTTGAAACCAGTCTCAAAAAATAATAATAATAATAAAATAAAATAAAAAGACTCGTAGAACTCAGAAAAGCTATCATACTCACAGTTATGGTTTATTACAGTGAAGGGTAAAGATTAAAATCAGCAAAAGCAAAGGTGCATGGGACAGAGTCCAGGAGAGACCAGATGTGAGTTTTCAGTTCAGTAGAAATGCCCCTCGCAGGGCCGTTTTCAGTTCAGTAGAAAGCAATTATATCTCCCAGTAATGAGATATATATATATATATACACACACACACACACACACACAAGTATATATATACACGTATATATATACACACGTATATATACACACACACATATATATATACACTATATATACACGTATATATATACACACGTGTATATATATATACACACACGTGTATATATATATATATATATATGTATATATATATATATATATATATTTTTTTTTTTTCAGACAGAGTCTCTTTCTGTCACCCAGGCTTGAGTACAGTGGCAAGATCTCGGCTCACTGCAACCTTCACCTCTCAGGTTCAAGCAATTCTCCTGCCTCAGTCTCCAGAGTAGCTGAGATTATAGGTGCCCACCACCACGCCTGGCTAATTTTTGTATTTGTAGTAGAGACGGGAGTTTTGCCATGTTGGTCAGGCTGGTCTCAAACTCCTGACCTCAAGTGATCCGCAGCCCTGGCCTCCCAAAGTGCTGGGATTACGGGCGGATCACCTGAGGTCAGGAGTTCGAGACCAGCCTGGCCAACATGGTGAAACCCTGTCTCTACTGAAAATACAAAAATGAGCCGGGTGTGGTGGTGGCCACCTGTAATCCCAGCTACTCAGGAGGCTGAGACAGGAAGAATCGCTTGAACCCAGGAGGTGGAGGTTGCAGTGGGCTGAGATTGCGCCACTGCACTCCTGCCTGAGCTACAGAGCCAGACCCCATCTCAAAAAAAAAGATAAATAAATCAAACAGAACAACAACAACAATAAAAAACCACTTTTGGACTGTTTTGTAATAACGGGTAGCTTAAATAAATTGTACAGCTGTACAAAAATGTTTTTTCTTTATATTCTTATTCTATATGGTTTTTTTTTTCTGTTTAAAAAATTTGTAACATACGCATTATCCTAGGCCTACACAGGGTCAGGATCATCAGTATTACTGTCTTCTACCTTCACATCTTGTCCCACTGGAAGGTCTTCAGGGGCAATACCACGCACGGAGTTGCCATCTCCTGTATTAACAATGCCTTCTTTTAGAATATCTTCTGAAGGACATGCTTGAGGCTGTTTTATGGTTAACTTTTTCTTTTAATAAGTAGAAGGAGTAACCTTTAAAATAGTGATAAAAAAGTATAATATAGTAAGTACACACATCAGTAACATAGTCGTTTATTTTCATTGTCAAGTATTCTGCACTATATACATAATTGTATGTGCTTGCCTTTTATACAGCAGGTGGAACAGTAGATTTGTTGACACAAACGTGTGAGTAATGTGTTGCATTCTGAAGTACAGTGACTATGAAGTCATTAGGCTGTAGAAAATTTTCAGCTCCGGGCCAGGCGCAGTGGCTCACACCTGTAATCCCAGCACTTTGGGAGGCCAAGGCAGGTGGATCATGAGGTCAAGAGTTGGAGAGCAGCCTGGCCAACACGGTGAAACCTCGTCTCTACTCAGAATACAAAAATTAGCCAAGCATGGTGGTGGGCATCTGTAATCCCAGCTATTCCGGAGGCTGAGGAAAGACAATTGCTTGAACCCAGGAGGCGGAGGTTGCAGTGAGCTGAGATTGTGCCACTGCACTCCAGCCTGGGCGACAGAGCAAGACTCTGTCTCGAAAAAAGAAAAAAAAAAAAAGAAAAGAAAATTTTCAGCTCCATTATAATCTTATGGGTTTACCATAATATATGTGGTCTGTCTTAGGCCAAAACATCATCATGTGGGGCATGACTGTATACCAATGCTGCTGGATAATGAAAAACAAATTCAGTAAAATAAGCTACTATATTATAGAAGTGACATTAAAATCAATGAGGGGGCCGGCCGTGGTGGCTCTCGCCTATAATCCCAGCACTTTTTGGGAGGCTGAGGCGGGTGGATCACCCGAGGTCAGGAGTTAGAGACCAGCCTGGCCAACATGGTGAAACCCCGTCTTTACTAAAAATACAACAATTAGCTGAGTGTGGTGGCGGGCGCCTGTAATCCCAGCTACTTGGGAGGCTGAGGCAGGAGAATCACTTGAACCCGGGAGGCAGAAGTTGCAGTGAGCTGAGATTGCGCCATTGCATTCCAGCCTGGGTGACAAGAGTGAAACTCCACCTCAAAAAAAAAAAAAAAAAAAAAAAAAAGAAAAGGAAAAAGAAAAAAAATCAATTTTTTGATTGAGGGAAGGAAGGACGTTAAAAATGGTACTTGGATAATTGGTTATTAATTGGGGAGCAAAATCAACTTAAATTCCTATCTTAACATCAACCACCATAATAGAATGAAGTTGGAGGAAAAATGTCAAATAGCAGCAGAATTCTAGAAAAAAAGATAGATTAACCCTCTGAGCAGAAATCCAGATGGAAGAAAGAGAAAAGAAGAGAACTGAGAAGATAACTGATGGACTCAAACATATTAAACAGCTGCAAGTAAAACAATAAAGATAATAAAAGATGAATGGAAAGCTGTGGAAATATTTAATAAATACATACATAAAAGAGATGTCTTTTATACACTCTCATGTTTGTTTCAGCACTATTCACAATAGCTAAGATTTGGAATCCAACTAAGTGTTCATCAACAGATGAATGGATAAAGAAAATGTGTTACATATACACAATGGAGCACTATTCAGTCATAAAAATTAATGAGAGATCCTATCATTTACAACAACATGGGTGGAGCTGGAGGATATGATGTTAAATGAAATAAGCTAGGCGGCCGGGCTTGGTGGCTCACGCCTATAATCCCAGCACTTTGGGAGGCAGAGGCGGGCAGATCACCTGAGGTCAGGAGTTCAAGACCAGCCTGGTCAATATGATGAAACCTGGTCTCTACGAAAAATAAAAAAATTAGCCGGACGTGGTGGTGGCTGCCTGTAATCCCAGCTACTCGGGAGGCTGAGGCAGATAGAATGGCTTGAACCCGGGAGGTGGGGGTTGCAGTGAGCCGAGATCGCACCATTGCACTCTAACCTGGGTGCCAAGAGCAAAAGTCCGTCTCAAAAAAAAAAAAGCAAAACCCAAACAACAACAACAAAAGAAATAAGCCAGGCACAGAAAAACACATTACATGTTCTCACTTGTATGTGGGAGCTAAAAAAAACTGAACTCATGGAAACAGAGTAGAATGATGGTTACCAGAAGCTAGGAGGGGCAGTAAGGAGGGAGGGAGGATAAAGAAGGGATAGTTAATGACTACAAAACTACAGTTAGAAGGAACAAAATCTAGTATTTGGTAGCACAACAGGGTGACTATAGTTAACAATAATTTATCGTATATTTCAAAATAACTAAAAAAGTGGAATTGGAATGTTAATAACGCAAAGAAATGATAAATACTTGAAGCGATAGATACCCCAATTACATTGATTTGATCAGTATATATTGTATGTGTAAAAATTTCATATGTGGCTGGGCGCGGTGGCTCACGCCTGTAATCCTAGCACTTTGGGAGGCTGAGGCGGGCGGATCACGAGGTCAGGAGATCGAGAACATCCTGGCTAACACAGTGAAACCCCGTTTCTACTAAAAATACAAAAAGTTAGCTGGGCGTGGTGGTGGGTGCCTGTAGTCCCAGCTACTCAGGAGGCTGAGGCAGGAGAATGGCGTGAACCCGGGAGGCGGAGCTTGCAGTGAGCCGAGATTGCGCCACTGCACTCCAGCCTGGGCGACAGAGCAAGACTCTGCCTCAAAAAAAAAAAAAAAAAAAAAAAATTTATGTGTACCCCATAAATATGTACAGCTATTGTGTATCCATAATGATTAAGAATAAAAATTTAAAAACTAAGTGAACTAGAATTTTAAAAAGTCTAAGATTAGATCAATGGAGGTAAACTCAAAATTTAGTAAAAATTAATGCAAGTAAATCACTACACAATGTATACATATATCAAATCATTATACACCTTGAATAAGTACAATGTTTATTAGTCAATTATTCCTCAGTAAAGCTGGAAAAAAGAGTTACTATAAAAACATCGAACACCAAAAGATCGAGCACAAAAATGTGCTCATTTTAATGAACAATCAAAGGAAGTCAAATTAAAATATCAAAGGAAAAAATAAATCTTACTCTTGGGTTTCATTTATTTCTGAGGCTGCAGCCCCCAGACACAGAATATTTCTTGGTTGGGGAGCATAATTCCAGAAGTAAGAATTTATGTCAGAGAATTCCTGGTTCCTTTGAGGTTTAACTATATTATTAGAAGGTTTGACTAGAGGTAACTGTCATGGGTGAGTGGCGACTGTCTGGGGCTGGTGGTGTGGAAGATAAGAAGAATTTACCAACACAGTTGTAGGTAAAGAAAGGCAGATTTATTGGAGAAAGTATGAAAATACATTGCAAGGAAGCAATGGGCAGGCCAGCAATGGAGGAGTTGATTGCTAAGGACAAAAGCTTGCTGGGGATTTTATAAGACAGTGCTTGTGCTGTGTGCTGAGGAGGGCTTTGTACAGTATTGATAACGCCAAGGTTGCACTGAGCTAACTTGCAATTTTTGTATCAGCTGAGGGTCTGGTGATAGCTGAGTGCAGGAAGATTGTGAGTGTTTTGCACAGGAGGGCTTTGTGTCTGGGACCATGAAGAAAGGCAGACTTCTATCTGCTTCTTTTTGCTTTCCCTTGGTCTTGCCAGCCTGACTCCTTTTCCCTAATTAGGACTCCACAGCAACACAACATAATGCCTGGGAGAGCTGTCTGATTCATACAGCCCTGCATTTGAACCTTGTCGCTACATTCATTACTTTGAGCTAATTACCTACTTACCATAAGCTCTTACGTTTTTATTTGTAAATTTGAGAAATAATACTAATCACATAAAAGAGTTATTGGAAAAATTAAATGAGGTAATGTATATAAAGCTCTTAAACTGTGCTGGTATATAAAGTGTTATTAATATCAACATCAATAACCTTGAATTTTGTTTCTAGCTCAACAACTTAATTAATTATTATTATTATTTAGAAACAGAGTCTCACTCTGTCACCCAGGCTGGAGTACAGTGGCATAATCACAGCTCACTACAGCCTTAACCTCCTGGGTTCAAGCCATCCTCCCGCCTCAGCTTCCTGAGTAGCTGAAACTACAGGCATGCAGCACCATGCCTGGCCAAAACCTCTCATCAGATTAATCAATTTGTATTTTTCTGGTCCAGATCTTATTTTATATTTAACCATCCACCCATCTATTTTTCTACTCCATTTGACAGATATCATGTAAACATGAACTCCTTACCAATAACTGTGCTAGGCATTGTGATTGCAAAAATCGGTGAGACATTGCTCTGAAATTCAAGGAACCCATATTGTGAAAGAGTAGAAAAGTTAAGTAAAGTTGGTGTGACTGAAAGGAAAGTGAATCAGATAAAAAAAGGAGGAAACTCTTTGAGTTATTTTTATTCACGTAACCTCAAAAAACATCTCTGTAAATGAGTTTCCAGGGCAACAAGTCCAAAATAGGGACATATCTCATCGCTTCTGAGGGTATATATTTAACATGTAAGATTTGATACATATATTTTTAACTCAAATCAGGCCGGGCATAGTGGCTCATGCCTGTAATCCCAGCACTTTGGGAAGCTGAGGCAGGCAGATCACTTGAGGTCAGAAGTTCGAGACCAGCCTAGCCAACATGGTGAAACTCTGTCTCTATTAAAAATACAAAAATTAGCCAGACATGGTGGTGCATGCCTGTAGTTCCAGCTACTCAGAAGGCTGAGGCAGGGGAATTGCTTCAACCCGGGAGGTGGAGGTTGCAGTGAGCTGAGATGGCGCCACTGCACTCCAGCCAGGGCGACAGAGGGAGACTGTCTCAAAAACACAAACAAAAACAAAAAACAAAACAAAAAACAAAAACAAAAAACAAAATCCAAATCATTACTAAAGATAACAGAGAAAACACCAGGTTGTATTCATACAAAGTTAAGATTACTGGTTAGAAAGTCAAAAAGGGTGATCCTATATAACTTTATTAGCAGTAGCAAGGGCAGGAAACGTTCCAAAGGAAGATGCAAGGGAAGAGATGCTTTAATATGTATAAAAGAAGGCAGGGTGCGGTGGCTCATTGCCTGTAATCCCAGCACTTTGGGAGGCCAAGGCGGGCAGATTACCTGAGGTCAGGAGTTCCAGACCAGCCTGACTAACATGGCAAAACCCCATCTCTACTAAAAATACAAAAACTAGCTGGGCATGGTGGCGGGTGCCTGTAATCCCAGCTACTCAGGAGGCTGAGGCAGGAGAACCACTTGAACCCGGGAGGCGGCAGTTGCAGTGAGCCGAGATCGCACCATTGCACTGCAGCCTGGGTGACAGAGTGAGACTCCTTCTTGAAAAAAAAAAAAAGAAGTGGCTGGGCACGGTGGCTCATGCCTGTAATCCCAGCACTTTGGGAGGCCGAGGCAGGTGGATCATGAGGTCAGGAGTTCGAGACCAGCCTGACTAACATGGTGACACCCCATCTCTACTAAAAATAAAAACAATTGGCCGGGAATTGGGGCGCATGCCTGTAATCCCAGCTGCTAAGGAGGCTGAGGCAGGAGAATTGCTTGAACCTGGGAGGCGGAGGTTGCAGTGAGCCGAGATCACGCCATTGCACTCCAGCCTGGGCGACAGAGCAAGACTCCGTCTCAAAAAAATGCATAAAAACAGAAGTTGAAATATTGGCTGAAAGAGGCCAGTCTGGCCTCAGTATTGTGTTCACTGCAATTCATGAGAGCTTAGCAATGGTCCCCTCTTTGAGAGACGTTGCCCTGAGGAGGAGTCTCCCCAGTGACCCCTTCATGTCCTTGTTCCTCAGGCTGTAGATGAAGGGGTTCAGCATGGGGGTGACCATGGTGTACATCACCGAGGCTGCCAGACTTGTCCTAGAAGGTGGTGTAACTGCAGAACTGAGATAGACCCCAAGGCCAGTGCCATAGAACAAGCTGACCACTGAGAGGTGGGAACCACAGGTGGAAAAGGCTTTGTGCTGGCCTCTGGCAGATACTCTTAGGACGGAGGAGAAAATCTGAGAATAAGAGAATAGGATTCCACAGAGAGGAAAAACACCCAGGACAATGGTCACAAAATACATCACGATGTTATTGATGAAGGTGTCAGAACAGGCCAGCTTCAGGACTTCGGAAGGATCACAAAAAAAGTGCGGAATTTCCATATTTGTGCAGAAGGACAGCCTCAAAATGGTCAAGGTCTCAAGCAAGGAACCCATGACACTGATGCACCAGGACCCCAGAACCAGCAGTCCACAGAGCCGGGGGTTCATGATGACCGTGTAGTGCAGGGGGTAACAGATGGCCACGAAGCGGTCATAGGCCGTCATGGTCAGGAGCAAATTGTCCAGGCATCCAAATGCAATGAAAAAAAATATCTGAGTGAGGCAGCCTGCAAAAGTGATCATTTTGCTTTGTGTTTGGATATTCACCAGCATCTTTGGGACAGTCGTGGATGTGAAACAGATGTCAGCAAAGGACAGGTTGGAGAGGAAGAAGTACATGGGGGTGTGGAGGTGGGAGTCTGAACTGATGGTCAGGATGATGAGCAGGTTTCCGATGATGGTAACCAGGTACATGGAGAGGAACAGCCCATGGAGGAGAAGCTGCATGTCAGAGTCCTCTGCGAATCCCAGGAGGAGAAAGTTTCCAACTTCTGTTTGGTTTCCTCTTTCCATGGGGCCGCTGGGTTTGCCGAGAAGGAGGAAAAAAAACAGCCACACAAAATTTACTCCAAATAAGCATTCCCCAGAATGACTGCAATATCCTTTATTCAAACCCAGGGAACTCAAGAAATCATGCATTTTGGCTAATTATTGGATTTCTTTGCCGACAAGTTACAGTTACCATCGCTACCTGGAGAAGTCATCTCTACATCATTGGTCCTTAAACTGTGGTTCCTGGAACAGCCCCATCAGCATCACCTGGGAACTCATTAGACATGTGCCTTATCATGCCCACCTGACCGACTGAATCTGATACTCTGGGTATGGAGCCAGCATTCTGGTTTAGTTTTTGTTTGAGATGGAGTCTCGCTCTTTCGCCCAGGCTAGAGTGCAGTGGCAGAGTCTTGGCTCACTGCAACCTCTGCCTCCCGGGTTCAAGTGATTCTCCTGCCTCAGCCTCCAGAGTAGCTGGTATTACAGGCATGTACCACCACGCCCAGCTAATTTTTGTAGTTTTAGTAGAGACAGGGTTTCACCATGTTGGTCAGGCTGGTCTCGAACTCCTGACCTCGTGATCCTCCTGCGTTGGCCTCCCAAAGTGCTGGGATTACAGGCATGAGCCACCACGCCTGGCCTTTTAATTTTAATTAATTAATTTTTTTTTTTTGAGACAGAGTCTCACCCTGTTGCCCAGGCTGGAGTGCAGTGGTGCAATCTCAGCTCACTGCAACCTCTGGCTCCCAGGTTCAAGCAATTCTCATGCCTCAGCCTCCTGAGTAGCTGGCACTACAGGCGCGCACCACCACGCTGAGGTAATTTTTTTTTTTTTTTGTATTTTTAGGAGAGACACGGTTTCTCCATGTTGGCCAGACTGGTCTCAAACTCCTGACCTCAGATGATCCGCCCGCCTCAGCCTCCCAAAGTGCTGGTATTACAGGCATGAGCCACCGTGCCTGGCCTGCATTCTGGGTTTTAACAAGCCCTCTAGGGAATTCTGATGCACACTCAAGTTTGAGGACTATTGCTTCAGCGCTTGCCTGTATCCCTAAGCAATCCTTCCCACCGCAGCATCCCTGGTGGCTGCTCTTGCCCTTTCTGCCTAAGGCATGGGGATTAGGAAATCAGGCAATGAGAATTCCCTAATTCTAGGCAGATTGTCAATCCTCAGAAGGCTTTTTCTTCTATTGTGCTGCATTCCTGTAATTTATTTTTCATTTTGTTTTAGAGACAAGGTCTGGCTCTGTTGCCCAGGCTGGAGTGCAGTGGCGCCATCCTAGCTCACTGCAGTCTCGAACTTCTGGGCTCAAGTGATCCTCCTGCCTCAGCCTCCCAAGTAGCTGGGATTACAGGTGCAAGCCACTGTGCCCAGTTGTAATGTCTACATGTTAAATCCTCTGGATCTTGGATGCCCCTTCTGCTAAAAAATAATAACCACTGTTTTTAATCATCATTGTTTACATTTCATTTATATTATCAATCTCCCTAGCTAAACTCAACAAAAATGGAACTTTGAAATAGAAAAGCCCTAGAGTTTCTAGATATAGAATTAAATTTTATCCCCATTTTCCATCATCTGATTCCATCAGATCAAAATATTCTGCCATACAGAAATGGCTCTTTAAAACTTGTCCATGTTGGACATTTACTTACTTTCTAAGTTTTCTTAAAGACAAAGAAAGTTTTTGATTAACTATAGTTTTATATTTTTTATATTTTCTTCTCTTAGGTTAATCTGTAAATGGCCTTTCTCAGTTGTTGTTGTTTTTTTTTTTAATTAAGACATTTCCGGCCGGGCGCGGTGGCTCACGCCTGTAATCCCAGCACTTTCGGAGGCCAAGGTGGGCGGATCACGAGGTCAGGAGTTCGAGATAAGCCTGGCCAACATGGTGAAACTCCGTCTCTAATAAAAATACAAAAATTAGCTGGGCGTGGTGGCACACACCTGTAGTCCCAGCTACTAGGGAGGCTGAGGCAGAAGAATTGCTTGAACCCAGGAGGCGGAGGTTGCAGTGAGCCGAGATCACGCCACTGCACTCCAGCCTGGGCAACAAAGCGAGACTCTGTCTCAAAAAACAACAACAACAACAACAACAAAAACATTAAGACATTTTCTTGTTCACACTCTTATAAATAGATAATTTTAAATGGTCATCTGTGCCATGACAGCAAGCAGGGTATCAAATCTTTTGTTCCATATTTTTAATTGTCTATCTTCAAAATATACTTAAACATTGAGTTGAGAAATTTGCTTAGTATTGTTTCTTTCATAATTTTATTTCTGATGTGCCAGTTTATCCTCCCAGATGAGCTTTAGAATCCTCTAGCCATGTTGCAAGAAAAATACCATTGGAATTTTATTGGAGATTACATTAAAGTTATCAATTAATTTGGAGAGAAATTGACATCTTTATTATGTTCAAATTCTCATTCCAGTAGCAGAAATGTTCCTCTGCATATTTTAATCCTTTTTTGGGTAGACATTTTTGTTCACGTGTTAAAAATACACATATAGATTATGTTAATTTCTTAATATTTTAATGTAATACCCCCCCACATAACATCTCTGCTATTGGTATTATATTAGGAAGTCATTTGCTTTTTTTGTATTGAAGAGGTGCCATATTCTTTTTCTGGGTTTTCTTCTTAGTTTCATGTTTTTCTCTAAAATTCATCTATTTTCTCCAAATAATACTAATTAATAACACCTATTTCTCTTTTAGGTCTTATTGCATTGGTTTGAAATTTTAGAATCCTTTTAAAATTTATGGTAGGAGTTGGCATTCTTCTTTTTCTTCTTCTTTTTTAAATAGAATAACCCTAGAGTTTTGTAATTTAATATGATGTTCACTGTGATTTAGAATGTGTAATTTTTATCACGTTAACTTGCATTTTTTATTTCTGGATACTTGAGTGTGTTTAAAATTTTTTTTTTATTTTTTTAAGTTGTGTGGGTAAGTGTATATCTCTATGAGTTACATGACATATTTTGATTCAGGCATGCAATGCGTATAGTAATCACATCATGGAAAATGCAGCATCCATTCCCTCAAGCATTTATCCTCTGTGTTGCAAACAATCAAATTATATTCTTTTTGTTATTTTAAAATGTGCAATTAAATTGATTTTGACTGTACTCACCCTGTTGTGCTAGCAAATACTAGGTCTTATTTATTATTTCTCTTTTTAAAACTTATTATTAATTTTTGTGGGTACGTAATAGGTGTATGTATTTATGGGGTACATGAGATGTTTTGATACAGGCATGCAATGCATAAGAATCACATCATGGAGAATGGGGCATCCATCCTCTCAAACATTTATCCTTTGTGTTACAAGCAATCCAATTATAATCCTTTAGTTTTTTGTTTGTTTGTTTTGTGGTTTTTTTTTTTTTTTTTTTTTAAGATGAAGTTTCACTCTTGTTGCCTAGGCTGAAGTGCAATGGCACCATCTTGGCTCACTGCAACCTCCGCCTCCCGGGTTCAAGCGATTCTCCTGCCTCAGCCTCCCAAGTAGCTGGGATTATAGGCATGTGCCACCATTCCTGGCTAATTTTGTATTTTTAGTAGAGACGGGGTTTCACCATGTTGGTCAGGCTGGTCTTGAACTCCTGATCTCAGGTGATCCACCCACCTCAGGCTCCCAAAGTGCTGGGATTACAGGTGTGAGCCATCTTCCCTGGCCTCCTTTAGTTATTTTAAATAGTGTTTTTTAAAGGTATAAATAAGTGTTTAATGATTAATTATTTAGAAAAAATAATGTCAAATCCCATCTCTGTAGTCCCAAATACATTTCAAACAGACAAGAGACTACATAAGCTATCTGAAGAAAACATAGATAAACATATAGATTATATAAATTTATACATGGATAGATATAATCTTTGAAAGTACAAATTCTTTCTGAATAATTCACCTTTGATAGAAAAAGAGATCAGCAACTAGAACCATAAATTGAAAAATTCTGAATGAGAAAATGTGCCTTGCAGAAAGTTAGAATGCAAAAAAAAAATTTATGTAACTGACAAAAGTTAATATCTTTATAAAGACAATTATAAATCATTGAAATATTAATGCACTGATGGGGAAAATAAATAGAATATTAAAGGTTCATAAAATGAACTGTAAAAGGATAATAAATGTTTGAGAAAATGTTTTATTTTTACTGTTAATCTAAAAAAGTAAAATTAACAATAACATACCCCTTTCACTGAGGGAATTAAAATGTCTGTATGAAAGAAGAGTAAGAATGCAAAATTTCGGTTGGGGGCGGTGGCTCATGCCTGTAATCCCAGCACTTTGGGAGGCCAAGGCGGGCGGATCACGACGTCAAGAGATCGAGACCATCCTGGCCAATATGGTGAAACTCCGTCTCTACTGAAAATACAAAAATTAGCTGGGCATGGTTGCACGTGCCTGTAATCCCAGCTACTCCCAGCTACTCGGAAGGCTGAGAGAGAATGGCTTGAACACAGGAGGCGGAGGTTGCAGTGAGCCGAGATCGCGCCACTGTACTCCAATCTAGTCTGGCGACAGAGTGAGACTCCATCTAGGGGGAAAAAAAAATTCCATCATGTGGAAAGAAAACATTTCAGATACTGCTATGAAAAGACATTTGGTCTCCTTTTCTGAGCTAGAGAAATGAACTCAGCCTATGGATCTCTTAAACTATACACATATTGGCACCAAAAGAAAAAAAAGATCCATAACAACATACCCCAAAGTATGAAGAGGGATCATCTTTGAGTGTTAACATTAATTTTGATTTTTAGATTCCTTTTTTAGCATATTGTTTGAAAATTGCAAATGAATACATGTGTAGCCTATCCTCAAGAAATAAAAACTTAAAAATTTGAAGATATTGTCAATACAAGTGTTATAAAATCAATATTGTAAAATTTGATTTTGTTAAAAATTATCACAAAATATTTAACATTCTGTTAAAACAGAAAGGAGTAGCTAATAAAGATCAAAGCAGAATTAATGAACTAAAAAGAAGAAATATTCTGGAACTGAAAAATAAATTCCAGAGCGAATTCTTTGGCAACCACAAACGAATAGAAAAAATTAGAAGTGTAACAAAAGGGATACAAAGAGGGAGAAAGAGCAGAAAGGCCTAAAACCAAGAATGAGAAAAAAATGAACACAGAGATAAGGAAACACTCAACTTTGCAAGATAATGTCATTTATAACGCCATGTTAAAAATGTGAAAATCCCCAAGAAATGAATTTATTTCTGGAAAAACATAAGTGCCCAAAGTTGATTCGGGATGGAGGAAAACAGATCAATAACTAAGGAAGGAATTAAATAAACAGAACTTACTTCCAAAAATGCCCTGGTGAGGCTGTGTGGCAGGAACAACAGGAGAATTCTCCTTTAAGAATTAAAAAGGAAAAGTATGTTTATTATTAGTAATTATTTGTCAGTGCCCTGGAAGTTTCAACCAATGCAATACAAGGAGAAAAAGAAATGAGACCTATATTAAAAAGGCAACATAACTTTGTTTTCGGATGATGGATTGGCTGTGGATGATGGATTGGCTGTGGATGATGGATTGGCTGTGGATGATGGATTGGTAGCTGAAAACTTATTCTTTTTTTTTTCTTTTTTTCTCTTTTTGAGACAGAGCCTTGCTCTTCTCCCAGGCTGGAGTGCAGTGGCATGATCTCGGCTCACTGCAACCTCCACCTCCTGGGTTCAAGTGATTCTCCTGCCTCAGCCTCCTGAGTAGCTGAGATTACAGGTGCACGCCAACACGCCCAGCTAATTTTTGTATTTTTAGTAGGGATGGGGTTTCACTATGTTGGTCAGGCTGGTCTTGAACTGCTGACCTTGTGATCCGCCCACCTCAGCCTCCCAAAGTGCTGGTATTACAGGCGTGAGCCACCACACCCAGCCTGAAAACTTATTTTAACTGAGCATGATTTTAATAAGGCAGCTGAAACAAAACAAATCTGTAAAAAGCAGTAGCCATTCTAAGGTGGCATTCAGAGGGACATTCAGAATGTTTTTCAACCATTGCTTTTACCTAGTTCCCATAGGAATAGGTAAGGGAATTATGGGAACTCTGTACTCTCTTTGTAACTACTCTGTAAATCCAAATTATTCAAAAATAAAAATTAACAAAAAATTGAGTCCAAGGAAAAATAAAAGTAGCATTCATATGTACAGTTGAATCTCTTAAAAATACATCTCCATCATTTCAAACATTAACAAGCATGGATGCTGGTGAGGTTGTGGAGAAAAGGGAACAGCTTATACACTGTTGAAGGGAGTGTAAATTAGTTCAACCACTGTGGAAGTCAGTGTGGTTATTCCTCAAAGATTTAAAGATAGAAATACCATTTGGTCCAGCAATCCCATTACTGCGTATATACCCAAAGGAATATAAATCCTTCTTTTATAAAGACACATGCATGAGTATGTTCATTGCAACACTATTCACAATAGCAAAGACATGGAATCAACCTAAATACCCATCAATGATAGACTGGATAAAGAAAATGTGGCACATATACACCATGGAATACTAGGCAGCCATAGCAAAAAACAAGACCATGTCCTTTGCAGGGACATGGATGGAGCTGGGGGCCATTATCCTTAGCAAACTAACACAGGAACAGAAAACCAAATATCACATGTTCTCACTTATAAGTGGGAGCTAAATGATGAGAACACATGGGCACACAGAGGGAAACAACACACACTGGGGCCTATTGGAGGGTGGAGTAGGGGAGGAGGGAGTGGATCAGGAAGAATAACTAATGGGTACTAGGCTTAACACCTGGGTGATGACATAATCTGTACAACAAACCCTCATGACACACATTTACCTATATAACAAAACTGCACATGTACCCTTGAACTTAAAAGTTAAAAAGAAATTTAAAAAAATCCAAGAATATAAAATTCCTGGAACAGGGACTGGAAACTTGTAAATACTCAACAAATAAAAGTAATAATAGCTAAAATCTATTAAGGACTTTTGCATGTCAAGCACTTGTCAAATATTTTATATGTCTTAGTTCATTTGACCATCATCACAATTTTTTTGATTTAATGAATGAAAATGTGTTTATAATAATGCACTAATAATAATTAACATGAGTAGGTGTTCACTAGATCTTGGAGACTATTAAAAAATTATGCATGATCTTTAATTTAATCCTTTTTTTTTTTTTTTTTGAGATGGAGTCTCGCTTTGTTGCCCAGGCTGGAGTGCAGTGGCCCAATCTCCGCTCACCGTAAGCTCCTCCTCCCAGGTTCATGCCGTTCTCCTGCCTCAGCCTCCCGTGTAGCTGGGACTACAGGCGCCCGCCACCATGCCCGGCTAATTTTCTGTGTATTTTTAGTAGAGACGGGGTTTCACCATGTTAGCCAGGATGGTCACGATCTCTGGAACTCGTGATCCGCCTGCCTCGGCCTCCCAAAGTGATGGGATTACAGGCGTGAGCCACCGCGCCCAGCCAATTTAATCCTCATTTTAATTTAAAATATTTATTATAGTTATTTAAAAAATTGATACATAATAATTGTATATACTTATGGGGTACATGGGCTATTTTGATATATGCATACAATATATAATGATCACAGCAGAGTAATTAGCATATCCATCACCTCAAACATTTATCATTTATTTGTGTTGGGAACATTTCAAATCTCTTCTTGCTATTTTGAAATATACAATAAATTATTGTTAACTATAGACCCCTACTGTGCTGTCAAACACTAGAAAGTATTCCTTCTAACTGTGTTTTTATGCCCATGAGTCAATCTCACCTCATCACCCCACACCCTTCCCACTCTCTGATAACTATCATTCTACATTCTACCTCCATGAGATCAACATGTTTTAGCTCTCACATATGAGTGAGAATATGCAATATTTGTCTTTCTGTGCCTGGCTTATTTCACTTAGCATAATGACCCCCAGTCTCATCCCTGTTGCAGCAACTGGCAGGATTTCATTCTGAATAGTATTCCTTCGTTTAGGTACCACATTTTCTTTATCCATTCATCTAGTGATGAACACTTAGGTTGATTCCATATCTCGGATATTGTGAATAGCACTGCAATAAACATGGAAGTACAGATATTTCTTTGATATACAGATTTCCAGGCTGGGCATGGTGGCTCACACCTGTAATCTCAGCACTTTGGGAAGACGAGGTGGGTGGATCACCTGAGGTCAGTAGTTCAAGACAAGCCTGGCCAACATGGAGAAAGCCCATCTCTACTAAAAATACAAAAATCAGCTGGGTGTGGTGGCGGGTGCCTGCAATCCCAGCTACTCAGGAGGCTGAGGCAAGAGGATCACTTGAACCTGGGAGGTGGGGGCTGCAGTGAGCTGAGATCACGCCACTTCACTCCAGCTGGGGTGACAGAGCAAAACTCCGTCTCAAAAAACCAAAAACCCAAAACCAAAAAACCAACAACCAAAAACAAAAACGATATATGGATTTCCTTTCTTTTGAATATATACGCAGCAGTGGGATTAGTGGATCATAGGGTAGATCTAATTTAATTCTCATCTTAACCCCATGAAATGGATATGACTATTATACTCATTTTACAGATATGGAGACTGAGACACAGAAATATTAAGTAAACTAATGTCAGAAGATGTATGCAATGGGCTTGCGAGTGCTAACTATGAAATCTCAGGGAATGTTTCTTAAGTGAATGAATGAATGAGTAACTGAGTAAGATATTATGGGTAAACAACATAGGAGCATCTTTGATACAGGAGAATGGAAGCATTTTTATTATTTTTTCTTTTTCTTTTTTGTTTTTCTTATTTTATTTCTTGGAAGCACTTTAAATGGCTCCAGAAAAACAGCTAAGATGGCTGGGTAAGAAACTTTTGAGAGATACTAGAAGCTAACACGTCAATTTTTATTAGGAAGGCGAAAGAGCCTCAGAATTTGGTCCTGGAAGAGAGAGGAAGACACCTGAGAGGGAGCTAAGAGGAAGAGCTAAGAGAGACACAGGAATTCATTGTGCAGGATGCTTTAAGTGAATGGACTGTCCTCACCACACTGTCCCCATTTACACCGCCAAAGTTCTTCCTTTGAGAGCTCTGCCTGCCTCCATACCTGTTCCCCACCTCAGATGCTCCAGGGCATTGCTGAGCCTCTAGTTCCCTAGGTCCTTTCTTCCCTGGGTGATGGAGGTTCAACTCAGCTTCAGGGATGGACGGAGATGTGGCCTTGGGCATAAGTCCTCTGAAAGTCGAACTCCCTGCTTCCTGGAACATTTGAGCAGTAAGTAACAGGTGTAAGGGGCATATTTACTATCAGACTTAGAGGTTGAATTCTCATGAATGCTCATTAAATTAATCACTCCGTTCTAACTCTATTCTCTAAGCAATTTCATTCCCATGAGTGAGGGAGCCAAAATAGAAACACTTTTTTCTGCTAGTTTTGTATTCTTGGGAGCATCTTGGATACCAGGTATGGGAATCCCTTACTCTGGGGCTCTTTGCTTATGATACTCTTTTCTGCCTGATGTGGCTTCCATTGTTTATTGTCCTCCCCAGTGATGGTTTCCTCAACATTTTATTTTTTTATTTTTATCTATTTATTTTTGAGACAGAGTCTTGCTCTGTCGCTCAGGCTGGAGTGCAGTGGCACAATCCCGGCTCACTGCAACCTCCGCCTCCCGGGTTCAAGCAATTATCCTGCCTCGGCCTCCCGAGTAGCTAGGACTACAGGCACCCACCACCATGCCAGGCTAATTTTTGTATTTTCAGTAGAGACGGGGTTTTGCCACGTTGGCCAGGCTGGTCTCAAACTCCTGACGTCAAGCGATCCACTGGCCTCAGCCCCTCAAAGTGCTGGGATTACAGGTGAGAGCCACCGCGCCTGGCCTCAACATTTTAGATGGAGTTTCTTTGCGCACGAGCAGGCAGGTTTTGTTTTTTTGTTTTTTAAAAAGACCTTTGAGTCCTGAGCAACTTAACTTGGAGTTGTGGACAGGGACCACACACAACTCTGAACAAAACCATTCCAATGACTTTGCCACAAGTTCTATTCTTACTATTGAAGGTGCAATATAGAGAAAGTTCCAGGTACGCGAAGAGAAGATGAGAGGTGGTTTGCCTGGCTGTCCAGGCAGGACCCTGCAGGTATCTACACTTTTACAGGTTCAAAACAAGTCCATTGGATGCTGCTTGTTATTCCATTCCAGAGAATATAGACCGTCTTTAACAATTCACAAAGGACTAATTTTTTTTTCATTTTTTTTTTTTGGTAGAGATGGGGTCTTGCTATGTTGGCCAGGCTGGTCTCAAACACCTTGTAGCAGGCTAGGTCCTACTAAAGCAGACCTCTCTAACAACTGTTTCAGCACTGACTGAGTGGTTAAGTTAAATATTAAAAACTGATAGGGCCAGTGCCTTTATACAAAGGCTGGAATGTAAAAAAAAAAGGCTACCCAGAGCTTTGCCTAGGCCTTTCCTGGGCCCTGAAACGTGAGAAGATAATGAAGGAATTCTTAACAGGACCCATTTAGGATTAAACAAGTTTTATTGGGGGTCTGAAGAAACTCCCCAGGCCTCCACAAACAAGTTTGTTGGGGGTCTGAAGGAACTCCCTAAACCTCCATGATTTAGCAGGAGACAAGATAAGGGTAATCACCCCAGCACCTGGACCCATTTAGATTAAGTGAATTTACTGAGGCTCCAGAGGAAGGTCTTCAGGACTCAGATCTTAGTTATAGATTAAAAGAAGTTAATCACTTATGTATTTAGATGAATGCACACTTACACATAGACATATAGCTTAGAAGGTATATAAACTCTGGAAGACTTTGTAATTTTTGAGTTGATCCAGTGGTAATTTCCAGGCCTTCTCCCTGTAACCAGTTACAGAAATAAAAACTCTTTTCCTCCCTAGTTCATCTGCATCTCATTAATGGGCCATGAGAATAAGCAGCCTGACCCTTGCTTTGGTCTGGGAACAACCTGGGCTCAAGTGATCCTCCTGCCTCAACCTCCCAAAATGCTGACATTTTAGGCATGAGCCACTATGCATGGCTAGGACTGATTTTTAAAGCCCAAATAAAATACCATTAAAACAGTTCCAGAAAATAAGAATAGTGAGACACAGCATCCCCTCTGAGTGACAATTTTCTGCCTGAAGGAATAATCAACAAGATGAGATCTTTCTCACCAGATGGGAAGACCTACTATAGGGTTTACAATGCTCATGTGTTCAAGTGATGAAACATTCATCTGGTCAGTGCCTTATTCCTGGGCGAACCTCTCACTTTTCTTCTTTATAGTAAGTCATTCCTTATTTGCAGGGGATTGGTTTCAGGACACCCTGCATATAACAAAATCCACTGATGCTGAAGTCCCTTATATAAAATGGCATAGTATTTGCATATTAGCTATGCACATTCTCCTGTATACTTTAAATCATTTCTAGAGTACTTATAATACTGAACACAGTGTAAATGCTCTGTAAATAGTTGTTATACTTTATTTAAAAATTTGTATTATTTTTATTGTTGTATTGTGATTTTTAATTTTTTTAAAAAACAATTATATATTTATTTATATATTTTAAATAAAAAGAAAGAAATGGAGATATATGAACTTTCTGACAAAGAATTCAAAAATAATTGTTTTAAGGAAGTGCAGCAAACTTTAAGAAAATACAGAGAAACAATTCACCAAAATCAGAAAGACAATAAATGAACAAAATTTGAAATTTAACAGAGAGATTGAAATTATAAAAAAACTCTAGAAATTCTCAAGATGAAAAATACAATGAATGAAATGAAAAATGCAATCTAGAGTGTCAACAGCAGGATTGATAAAGCAGAAGAAATAAAGCAGAAGAAATAATCTATGAACTTGAAGACAGATTATTAGAAAACATACACTCAGAGGAGAAAAACAGAATAAAAAGGAGTGAAGAAAACTTATGGGATTTTATGGGGCAGCATAAGGAGGGTAAATATTTGAATTAACAGGAATCAAGAAAGAGAAGGAATGAACAAAGAGACAGAAAGCTTATCAAAAAAATAACTGAAAACTTTCCAACTTTCAGGAAAGATATAAATATCCAGATATCAACAGAATAATCTTTGATCATGAGGACTGAAAAGAATTTAGATTATAAAAGATGTAAAGGAATTGATGATCAAGTAAATACACATATTGTTCAATCATCTGTATTTTGTGTTATGATTACATTTGTTAAAGGGGGAAATATTTTTTGGACAATGTAAGTAGTCATATTTGTAGGTAACACTAGAATTTTCAAATAGAAACAGCAAGATGATACAATAAAATAATATAGACCATGACACCAAATCTTTCACTCAGATCAACAAACCTCATTACACATGAATAACAAGCTTCCACACTTCAATGAGTAGATGTACATCATTGAAAACAAACCTTCCATAGAAATTTAGTACATAATTGAAAATGTTACTCTATCATATTTAACGTCATCTCTAACTCTAAGTCCATGTAAAGCCAATTGATTTTTGCCAGTTTGTCTTTCTGTGTAGACTATGCTTGGAGCATTTATTTGATGAGCAACTTTTGACTAAGTACTCAGTGCCAGTAAATATAGTAGAATTCATGAATACTGAGTTCAAGAAGAGAACAGGATCCTAATGGGAGTGAAAAATCCCATAACCAGCTATAAAATACCCTAGTATGTTTAAGTCTACATTATCAGGAAGATCAATTAAGGTAGTGATACAGAAATGAATGACAAACACAAAAAGTGAAAAACCATAGCCTCAGAAATTCTTCTCCAATAAAATTACATAAATGGCCTCAGTGCCAAGCGTAGTTTATTCCATAGGAATAGTACAACTCATCACCCTATGAGGCAAATGGGAATCTCCAAATTGTTTCTGACCCAAGGTTGGGAATAACTTTGAGAAAGGAGGAAAACAAGGGGAAAATCTGTTGAATATTAGAGAGAGAGGAAAGCTTAATAATAGGAGTTGCTTAAATTTGATGAAGCAGTTGAGATAAAAGAAATGGAAACTTCAGGAAATAAATAGAGCAATTTCCAGCCCGGCGCAGTGGCTCACGCCTGTAATCCCAGCACTTTGGGAGGCAGAGGCGGTTGGATCACGAGGTCAGGAGATCAAGACCATCCTGGCTAACATAGTGAAACCCCGTCTCTACTGAAAATACAAGAAATTAGCCGGGTGCGGTGGTGGGTGCCTGTAGTCCCAGCTACTCGGGAGGCTGAGGCAGCAGAATAGCATGAACCCAGGAGGTGGAGCTTGCAGTGAGCGGAGATGGCGCCACTGCACTCTGGCCTGGGCAGCAGAGCAAAACTCTGTCTCAAAAAAAAAAAAAAAAAAAAAAAAGAGCAGTTTCCACTTCCATGATCTGATTAAACAACAGCAATATCTGGCTCTGAGGCTTTGAGCCTTGCAATCATGGATATAGCTTCAGCCCTAGGACAACTGGCCCTTTTCTAGTTTCCCTCCCAAAGAATTCTTCAGAGCCCTCTTTATGTCCTTATTCCTCAGGCTGTAGATGAAGGGGTTCAGCATGGGGGTGACCACAGTGTACCTCACTGAGGCTATTGCACCTGAGTGTGAGTTGTGGGATGCAGCCGAGCTAAGGTACACTCCTAGGCTTGTACAGTAAAACAAGGAGACAACTGAGAGGTGAGACGGACAGGTGGAAAATGCCTTATACTTCCCTTGAGCTGATGAGATTGCACATATGGAGGAAACTATCTTAGAGTAAGAGTAAAGGATCCCAGCGAGACATCCCCCCACCCAGCAGCACAGCTGCCAGATACATCACCATGTCATTAAGAAAGGTGTCAGAACAGGCAAGGTGGATGACCTGATTAAGTTCACAGAAAAAGTGGGGGATTTCCAACTCTCTGCATAAGGACAACTGCAGCACCATTAAGCTATGTAATAAGGAATGCAAGACACTTGTGATCCAGGATACCAGAACCAGCAATCCACAGAGTTGAGGGTTCATGATGACCGTGTAGTACAGGGGGTGACAGATGGCCACAAACCGGTCATAGGCCATCACAGTCAGGAGGAAGCTGTCCAATCCTACAAAATGTATGAAAAAGTACATCTGGGTGATGCAGCCTGCAGAGGTGATGACTTTGCTCTGTGCCTGGATATTCACCAGCATCTTTGGGACCCTGGTGGAGGCAAAACAGATGTCTACAAAGGACAGGTTGGAGAGAAAGAAGTACATGGAGGTGTGGAGGTGGGAGCATAAAATGATAACCAGGATGATAAGCAAGTTTCCAAATACAATGATGAGGTACATGGATAAGAACACTCCAAAGAGAAATCGTTATGCTCTGGTTTCTCTTCAAATTGTATAAATCTTTTGCCTTTTACCAAAGAGAAATCGTTGCAGTCTGGGTTCTTCTGAAAATCCCAGAAGTCGAAATTCTGAAATTCGTGTATCATTCTCTGGTTCCATGTGGTAGAGGTGACTATAAAAAAAAAAAAAAGAGAGAGAGAGAAAATACATGACATAAGCATGCTTTTTTCACCCATCAGAAAAGCTATTATTTATATCCTACAGTCAGCAAGTTAATTTCTATATTTTGTGTGTGAATCTGGTCTACTTTATGAGATCTCCCATCCCATCTCTGCTTAGGAATTCCTTTCCCATGATGCTCAACTTTTCCCCAAATGGTCATTTATTTAAAAACTTTGCCGGGTGCGGTGGCTCACACCTGTAATCCCAGCACTTTGGGAGGCAGAGGTGGGCGGGTCACCTGAGGTCGGGAGTTCAAGACCAGCCTGACCAACATGGAGAAAACCCATCTCTACTAAAAATACAAAGTTAGCCGGATGTGGTGGTGCGTGCCCGTAATCCCAGCTACTCGGGAGGTTGAGGCAGGAGAATCATTTGAACCTGAGAGGCAGAGGTTGCAGGGAGCCAAGATGGCGCCATTGCACTCCATCCAGCCTGGGCTACAAGAGCAAAACTCCATCTCAAACAAAACAAAACAAAACAAAACAAAAACCAATACTTTAATGATAAATTCTTTCATGGATTTGAGGAATTTAAATTGAGTGTTGTCAACGTTCCAGGCTCTGTCTAGACAATGAGTGAACAGTGCTGAAAAACAAAAGTTCCTACAGTGAAGTATGGAGAAGAATACAAGTAAATCATATACTGTGTCAGATGGTAACCAGGGCTAGCAAGAAAAAGAAAGAAGGTAAAAAGGCGAGGGTGGATAGAGGATGTTAATTTTCCTAGGTGTCCAGAGAATACTAGCAGTCAAGGTGATAGGTGCCCATCAATAGTGGATTGGACAAAGAAACTGTGGTACTTATACACCATGGAATACTAGGCAGCCATAAAAAAGAATGAAATCATGTCCTTTCCAGCTACATGGATGAAGCTAGAGGCCGTTATTCTGAGCGACCTAATGCAAGAACAGAAAACCAAATATCGCATGTTCTCACTTATAAATGGTAGCTAAACATCGAATATACGTGAACACAAAGATGGGAACAATTGACACTGGAGACCGCTGGACAGAGGATGGAGGGAGGGGGATGTGAGCTGAAGAACCATCTGTTGGGTCCTATGCTTACCTCCTGAGTGATGGGATTGTTAGGACCCGAAGCCTCAGCATCACACAATTTACCCGTGTAACAAACCTGCACATGTACCCTTTAATCTGTAAGAAAAGCTGAAATTTTTAAAAAGAGAAATGAGACCTCAAGGAAGACAGGGCGGGAGCCATGAGGATATCTGGGAATGTGTGTGCCCAGCAGAAAGAATGGCCGGTGCAAAGGTGTAGAGGAAGGTTTCAGATGTTCAAGGCCAACGAGGAAGCCAGTGTGGCAGGGAAATCTGTGAGAGGTAAGTGATGGGAGATGGTGTCAGAAGATGTTGCACTATGAGGTGACTTCATTGCTGCTGAAGCTTCAAAATACAAGAAGTCCCTCTGCCCAGATTTTGTTTGGTTTGGTTTGGTTTTGAGACAGAGTCTCACTCTGTCGGCCAGGCTGGAGTGCAGTGGCATGATGTGGGTTCACTGCAACCTCCACCTCCTGGGTTCAAGAGATTCTCCTGCCTCAGCCTCCCAAGTAGCTGAGACTACAGGTGCCTGCTACCATGCCCTGCTAAGATTTATATTTTTTGGTAGAGATGGGGCTTCACCATGTTGGCCAGGCTGGTCTCAAACTCCTGACCTCAAGTGATCCTTTTGTCTCGGCCTCCCAAAGTGCTGGGATTACAGGCGTGAGCCACCACGCCCAGGCTTGTCCTGATGTTTTCTATTTGCACTTTAATAAATTGGCTCCATGTCCCATGAATTGAAATGCATCCTTTGTTTATTTCCATATGCTGCCTTGCGTGCTGACCTCTGTATTCTGAGTCACCTTTTGGAATATATTGAGTCCAGGTCCCTTTACTTTTTTTTTTTTTTTTTTTTTTTTTGAGACGGAGTCTCGCTCTGTTGCCCAGGCTGGAGTTCAGTGGCGCGATCTCGGCTCACTGCAACTTCCGCCTCCCAGGTTCACACCATTCTCCTGACTCAGCCTCCCAAGTAGCTGGGACTACAGGCGCCCGCCACCACGCCCGGCTAATTTTTTTGCATTTTTAGTAGAGGCAGGGTTTCACCATGTTAGCCGGGATGGTCTCGATCTCCTGACCTCGTGATCTGCCTGCCTCGGCCTCCCAAAGTACTGGGACTACAGGCGTGAGCCACTGCGTCCCTCTACTCTTAAAAGGGATATCTCTACCTCATTTGTATGTCATATTCTTTTATGCCTAGGTCTTTGCAACTTTAATTATTTATCCATGTTGAAAACATTAAATTATTGCTACTTCATATCTTGTTTCAGTTAATTAGCAAGGCTCCTTTCAATTCTGTTTAATGATGTTATTTTGAAATCACTCTCCCCACTAAAGACAGACACACATATGCACAATTAGTACAGACACACACACAGGCACACACTTGAAGCTGAATGAGGACTCCTGGGACTGTGTTTATAGCAAGCTGTTCTCACCTCCAGTCACACCATTAATATTAGAGAGGAATGGAAATGAAGCAAGCTTTCAATATCAGATTATCTTTCCATTTTTTTGTATGGTCATGTTCTGTCTTCTGTTTAAAAAAACATAAAAAATTATAAAAATACAACAATTTTGCTTGATAAACATACAGAGGATAATTAAATAAAACCCAAGGGGGGAAAATCTAATAACCTCAGATAATTCCTGGGAGACTAGGAAGAAGAAATAGCTTGCTTGAATGAATTAATGGCATTCGCAGTGACCTGGATGAGATTGGAGACAATTATTCTTTTTTTTTTTTTTGAGACAAAGTCTCCCTCTTTTCCCCCAGGCTGGAGTGCAATGGCATGATCTCAGCTCACTGCAACCTCCACCTCCCACGTTCAAGTGATTCTCATGTCTTAGCCTCCTGAGTAGCTGGGATTACAGGCACCTGCCACCACGCCCGGCTAATTTTTATAGTTTTAGTAGAGATGGGGTTTCACCCTGTTGACCAGGCTGGTCTCGAACTCCTGACCGAAGGTGATCTGCCCGCCTCAGCCTCCCAAAGTGCTGGGATTACAGGCATGCGCCACTGCGCCCAGCTGGAGACAATTATTCTAAGTGAAGTAACTCAGGAATGGAAAACCAAACATTGTATGTTCTCACTCATAAGTAGGAGCTAAGTTATGAGGATGCAAAGGCATAAGAATGACTCAATGGACTTTGGGGACTCAGGAGGAAAGGGTGGGAAGGGGGTGAGGGATAAAAGACTACAAATTATGTGCAGTGTATACTGCTTGGGTGATGGGTGCACCAAAATCTCACAAATCACCACTAAAGAACTTACTCATAAAAAAAAAGAACTTACTCATGTAACCAAACACCACCTGTTCCCCAGTAACCCATGGAAATAAAAAAAAAAAAAAAATTAAGAAAAAGAAAAAAGAGAAAAGTTTCCTTGGTTACAGCCATACTCCAGCTCCCAATATGTCTCCTTGATACTCAGCCAAAATAATAGAATATAAAAAACAAATCTGTCCAAAAGATAGAAGTCATGAAATCTTTTTGGGGTCAAGACACTTAGAGATTGAACATACCCATGGAAAGAATGGGCAAAGGAAATAAACCAACAGCTCAACCAAGAACAACCAAATTTGGGCATTTTTAATATATGAAACAGTAAAAAACTTGTTTTTCCTGTAGCCTATTTCATATTGATTTGGAAAATTGGTTTTTATATGGTCCGACAGAAGATGAAGAGGTGGGCACCTTTTCTCAGAGTTTCACTCTTGTTGCCCAGGCTGGAGTGCAATGGCGCCGTCTCGGCTCACTGCAACCTCCATCTCCCGGGTTCAAGTGATTCTCCTGCCTCAGCCTCCTGAGTAGCCGGGATTACAGGCGCCTGCCAGCACGCTCAGCTAATTTTGTATTTTTAGCAGAGATGGAGTTTCGCCACGTTGGTCAGGCTGGTTTCAAACTCTTGACCTCAAGTGATCCACCCGCCTCGACCTCCCAAAGTGCTGGGATTATAGGCATGAGCCACTGCGCCGGCCGGCAATCTATTCTTTGCTATTTTTTTGGGGGTTTTGGATTTTGATCTCTTTATTTACAATCCCACGGGCACGCTCTAGTTCTGGTTCTGGTCTTTTTGCAACATGCAAAGGCTTCGCTGATATTATTACGTAAAATTCTGTGCACACTGTGACAAGTCCTTTTACACTGAAATGCCTTCTTCATGCAATTAATCCCTGAGGACATCGTGTCATACACACATTTATTTCATTGTATTCTGTCTTCACCATTCTCATGCCAAATATAAATGAGTGGGGACTTAACTTGCTTTGTTCACTTTTGTGTTTTCACAAATGTATGTGAATACATGTGCATCGTATAGAAACACGTTTTAAGAAAATGAGAAGTAATGAGATGAAAAGAATGGCAAGAGAATAAAATCAGTTTAAATATAGTGGTTTCAAAATAACAATATATTAAATAAAATCAAAAGAAGCATCAGTAATGAACCGAAACGAGACACGAAATAGCAGTAATTTAATGATTTCAATGTGGATAAATATAGTCGCAAAGACCTACGCATAAGAGAATATAACATACAACTGAGGTAGAAATATTCCTTTTAAGAATAAAGGGATCTAGACTCAATATATTCCAAAAGATGACTCAGAATACAGAGGTCAGAACACAAGGCAGCATATGAAAATAAACAGGAGATGCATTTCAATTCATGGGACATCTTTGGAGCCAATTTATTAAAGTACAAACATAAAACACCAGGACAAGGCTGGGTGTGGTGGCTCATGCCTCTAATTCCAGCACTTTGGGAGACCAAGGCAGAAGCATCACTTGAGATCAGGAGTTCAAGACTAGCCTGGCCAACATGGAGAAACCCCGTCTCTACCAAAAAATACAAAAATTAGACAGGCGTGGTGGCGCATGCCTGTAATCCCAGCTGCTTGGGAGGCTGAGACAGGAGAATCGCTTGAACCTGGGAGACGGAGGTTGCAGTGAGCCAAGATCATGCCACTGCACTCCAGCTTGGGTAACAGAACGAGACTCTGTCTCAAAAAAGAAAACAAACAAAACAAAACAAAACACAGACCTAGTCACAAGAGAATATACTGTATAATTGAGCGACAGATATCTAAATTTATAGTTTTATCTTACGTAAAGAAACATGGATCAAATATGTTTATAAAAGATAAAGGTGATCTTTAGTCAAATGAAGAAGAAGAATGCCTTCCAAATGATGGTCAAAGACAGTGTGACTTGTAGAAATAGATTGAACGACAAAAGGACAAAGGTGCAATTACAAATAACACAGACAAAAATAAATTGGAAACGTATTAAAGGCCATTTATTTACTCAAATGATGCAGAAGAACTTTGTATGTTTATAAAAGCAATCAGGGGAACACAGTATGACAGATAGATTTGATCACACAAAACTTACAAACTTTCATATATCTACACATGTATAGATGCGTCTATACGTACATAAAATATGCAGTACATCTATATGTACATAACATAACCAAATGTTAAACAGCAAAGGTGGTGGTATATACTCAAATATACCCCACCTTAACTCCAATTCCTTTTATTGTTTTGTGAGATAAGGTCTGGCTCTGTCGCCCAGGCTGGAGTGCAGTGGCATGATCTCAGCTCACTGCAACCTCTGCCTCCTGGGCTCAAGCCATCCTCCCACCTTAGCCTCCCAGTAGCTGGGATTGCACGTGCATGCCACCATGCCTGGCTAATTTTTGTGTTTATTTTTGTAGAAATGGGATTTCACTACGTTGCCCAGGCTGGTCTCGTACTCCTGAGCTCCAGCAATCTGCCCACCTCAGCCTCCCAAAGTGCTGGGATTATGGGCATTAGCCACCCTGCCTGGCCTAAAACTCCAGTTCTTATGTTTGAAAGAATGCAATCAAAAACAGAAATAAAGACACTGCAAACAAACCCACTCCACGAAAGCAAAGCACTCACACAGACAATTTGCAATTGAGAAAGTAAATGTCTAACAAACCCACAAATATATTCAGACTCAGCAGTGAAGAAATAATCGCAAATAAAGCTCATTAGTGCACCCATTTCCACCTATCCAATGTATACTTTTTCCATCTGACTACCTAGCATGAAGGGAGACTACTGCAAAACGTATGCCTCATGAACTACTGTTGTAAGGTAGCATTAGCAAACAATCCACTGGTCTGGATCTTTCTCACCAGTGTGGAAGCATGCTCAAATATACTCCATCTTAAAAACAAAAGAGTCCAGGCACGGTGGCTCATGCCTGTAATCCCAGCACTTTGGGAGGTCGAGGCAGGCAGATCACAAGGTCAGGAGTTCAAGACCATCCTGGCTAACACGGTGAAACCCGTCTCTACTAAAATACAAAAAATTAGCTGGGCGTGGTGGCAGGCGCCTGTAGTCTCAGCTACTCAGGAGGCTGAGGTAGGAGAATCGCTTGAACCTGGGAAGTGGAGGTTGCAGTGAGCCGAGATCTCCCCACTGCACTCCAGCCTGGGCGACAGAGCCAGATTCCTTCTCAAAAAAAAAAAAAAAGAGAGAATGCGCTCACATCAGTGTGTATCCCTCCCGAGCCAATACCCTATTTGTCTGCTTCCGAAAATTGTAGAGATTCGTGGACATTTGTTCTGCTTCTACTGGAACCACTCTATGCCTACAGTTTCCTCTTCTCATTATGCTTCCATCACTTAAATATCAACAGCGAGCAGTATATTGCTGAGGTCAATGTTCATGTCTCTTTTTAGCGTCATAAACGAAAACCTGAATTAATTAAGCAGACAAGCAAAAAAAAAAAAAAAAACCCCACTGCAATCTCTGGGCTCTGGACTAGGCTGAACTGACTCTCAAGTGACCTCGGGTAAATATTCTCTGTTTCTATTCTCTCTGAAGCTTTTCTGAAGTAGCTACTGGGCTCTCCGACTCACCTGGATGGGATCTCTCAGAGGAAAGTCTCTGTGTGGGAATTCAAATTCTTCTCTGAATGGTTGATGGTGGAGACTGAAACTCTGTCGCCAGACAAGACAGCAGGAAGGAGTCAAGCACTGGTCCCTGAGGTAGACCTAGCACTCCAGAATAAATAATCACATGTGTCCCTTCCAGCCCAAGGTTGTACACGCTGAGGGACAACAGTGATATTTATAGCTCTCTGTATCTGCTTGTTGGGCACATAGCTTATTATTCAGACCCCCAGCACATCATTTTCCTGTGGGACATTGCTTTGCACAGAAAGGAAACTTTTCTTGCAGATTCTTTGCCTTCAAGAGTCCAAGTTAAAAGTTAGGTGCATCATGAGAACACATAGACACAGGGAGGGGAACATCACACACTGGGGCCTGTCAGGGGGTGGGGGACAAGGGAAGGGAGAGCATTAGGACAAATACCTAATGCATTCGGGGCTTAAAACCTAGATGATGGGTTGATAGGGGCAGCAAACGACATGGCACATGTATACCTATGTAACCAAACTGCATGCTCTGCACATGTATCCCAGAACTTAAAGTAAAATAAAATAAAATAAAATAAAAAGAGTCAGGCGCATCTAGTCTTTATTATTCCTTCTCCATGAACTCTTCTGCTTTCCAGAGGTCTAACCTCCCATCACCTTGTCCCAACCCTGAGAGAAAGTTTCCCCAAAACTCAAAAACTGAAGAACCTTCCCTGACTAGGTTTCTTGGACTTCCAAAGCATTGACATGGTGGGCACAGCCCTCACCCCTGATACCTCCAGAAAACTGTTATTGTTTTCTTCAACAAGGGAGAGAACTATATTCCTTTGATATAAAATCATAGATACCGTACTCCTTGGCTTCATAACACTTTTGATGAAAAAATGAGGAGATCCGCTTGTGACACAAGTCAAGAGCTGTCCTCGTCCTTCATTTATAAACCATTTATTAGGCCCACGGTGGCTCACGCCTGTAAACCTGGGACTTTGGGAGGCTGAGGCGGGTGGATCACTTGAGGTCGGAAGTTCAAGACAAGCCTGACCAACATGGTGAAACCCTGTCTCTACGAAAAATACAATCCATCATTTCCCAGAGTATCCTGTGTCTTTTTCTTGTTTTGTTTTGGTGTTAAGAACACTTAACACGATGTATTAGTCTATTCTCACACTGCTAATAAAGACATACCTGAGACTGGGTAATTTATAAAGGAAAGAGGTTTAATGGACTTACAGTCCCACATGGCTGGGGAGGCCTCACAATCATGGCGGAAGGCGAATAAAAAGCAAAGTCACATCTTACATGGCAGCAAGCAAGAGAGCTTGTGCAAGGGAACTCTCATTTATAAAACCGTCAGATCTCATGAGATTTATTCACTACCATGAGAACAGTATGGGGGAAACCGCCCCCATGGTTCAATTATCCCCACCTGGCCCCACTCTTGATGACACATGGGGATTATTACAATTCAAGGTGAGATTTGGGTGGGGACACAGCCAAACCATATCAAGGACCAAGGCTGTGGACCCATGTAAGAGTCAGGTATAAGTACCTCAGCCTCCCAAGTAGCGGGGACTACAGGCACCCGCCACCACACCTGGCTAAGTTTTGTATTTTTAGTAGAGACGGGGTTTCACCATGTTGGCCAGGCAGGTCTTGAACTCCTGACCTTGTGATCCACCCACCTTGGCCTCCCAAAGTGCTAGGATTACAGGCGTGAGCCACTGCACCCAGCCTGCAATTTTTGTTCTATTCCTGCCCAGGGAGTGTGGTAGGCACCATGGACACTGGGCTGAATAGAGCACAGGATCCTAATGAGAAGAATGAAATGCCACGATGAGCTGTAAACACACTAATGTGTTAAGGTTTACATTGTCAAGTAGAGCAGTCAAGTAGTGATAGAGCAAAGAATGGTGGACTCAGAAAAGAAAAACTGTGGTCTCAGATATTTATCTACAATAAAATTACATGAATGAGGCTGGGTGCAGTGGCTCATGCCTGTAATCCCAGCACTTTGGGAGGCCAAGGCGGGCGGATCTCTGAGGTCAGGAGTTTGAGACCAGCCTGGTCAACATGGTGAAACCCCGTCTCTACTAAAAGTACAAAAAATTAGCCGGGCGTGATGGCAGGCACCTGAATCCAGCTACTCCGGAGACTGAGGCAGAAGAATTGCTTGAACCTGGGAGGTGGGGGTTGCAGTGAGCCAAGGTGGCACCATTGCACTCCAACCTGGGTGACAAGAGCGAAACTGTCTCAAAAAAAAAGAAAAAGATTACATTAATGACTTTATAGTTGCCAAGTGTAATTTATTCTTTGGGCTAACACAGCTCACAACTCTATGAGACTAATAGGAATCTCCACTTTGTTTCTGACCTTAGTTTGGGAATAACTTTGGAAAAGTAGGAAAATGACAAAAACAAAACAAAACAAACAAAACAAAACACTGTTGGATATCAAGGAGCAGTTTTCCACAGAAAAGTGTAAATTCTATAGAATAGTGGCAATCAAAGAAATTGAAACTCCAGCTAATAAATAGAAGAGACAAGTCCTACTTCCAGAATCTGGTTCACAAATCACAATTTCTCAGTCCAAGGCTTAGAGCTCTGGGATCACTGTCACTTCCTGAAGAATGGCACTACCCTGATGAATTGATTCAGAGCTCTCTTTATGTCTTTATTCCTCAGACTGCAGATGAAGGGGTTCAGCATGGGGGTGACCACAGTGTACATCACTGAAGCTGCAGCACCTGAGTGAGAGTTTTGGGTAGGAGCAGAACTAAAGTACACCCCTAGGCTCCTACCATAAAATAAGGAGACAACTGAGAGATGAGATGCACAGGTGGAAAATGCCTTGTACTTCCCCTGAGCTGATGAGATTGCACGTATGGAGAAAACTATCTTACAGTACAAGTACAGGATCCCAGCGAGGGGAACTCCACCCAGTGGCCCTACTGCAAAATACATCGCCATGTCATTAAGAAAGGTATCAGAACCGGCAAGGCGGATGACCTGATTAAGTTCATAGACAAAATGTGGAATTTGGAAATCTGTGCAGAAGGGCAGTGACAGCACCATCAAGCTATGTAATGAGGAATCCAGATCACTGATAATCCAGAATGCCAGAACCAGCAGTCCACAGAGCCAGGGGCTCATGATGATCCAGGATGCCAGAACCAGCAGTCCACAGAACCAGGGGCTCATGATGACCATGTAGTGCAGGGGGTGACAGATGGCCACAAACTGGTCATAGGCCATCACGGTCAGGAGTAAGCTGTCCAGTGCTTCTAAGAGTACAAAAAAGCACATCTGGGTGATGCAGCCTGCATAAGTGATGACTCTGCTCTGTGTCTGGATGTTTACGAGCATCTTTGGGATTGTAGTAGAGATGAAACAGATGTCCGCAAAGGACAGGTTGGAGAGGAAGAAGTACATGGGGTGTGGAGGTGGGAGTCTGAGATTGTGGCCAGGATGATGAGCAGATTCCCAAGCACAGTGACCAGGTACATGGAGAAGAACAGCCCAAAGAGGAAGGGCTGCAATTCTGGTTTATCTGAAAGTCCCAGAAGAAGAAATTCTGAAATCTGTGTATCATTCCCTGGTTCTATGTGATTGATAATGACTTTCAAAATGAGAGAAAAAGAACTTGATGAAAGCGTGCATTACAAACCTATCAGAAATGCTGTCATTTATATTCTACGGTCAATAACTTAATTTTTAAAATACATTTTATTTCTTTTTAAGTTGACAGAATTGTTTGTATTTGCTGTGTATGATGTTTTGAAGTATATTTACATTGTGGATTGGCTAAATCTTGTCAATTAATATTAATTAATATCACCTCACATAGTCATCATTTTTGTGGTGAAAACACTCTACATCCACTCTCTTAGGATTTTTCACAAATACAATGTATTACCATTGACTAGAGTCAACATACTGTACAATAGATCTCTTGAACTTTTTTTTAGTTTAACTGTAATTTTGTATTCATTGACCATCATCTTGCCAACAACCCCCCTCCCCCAATTCTCCCAGGCTCTGGTAACCTCCATTTTACAAGAAGTTAATTTCTACATTTTGCGTGTGAATCTAGCCTCTGTTAGGGCATCCCTTTGACAACCCTGGTTAGGAATTCTTGTCCCACTCACAGTCTTTCCCTGAGTGCATGAACTCTGCAGTATTCATGAGAAAATTTTTAGGCATTTGAGGACTATAAAGTGAATTCTGAAGTGTTACAAATACTGTCTGGACATTGAATAATTAGTTCTATAAAACAAAAGTCACTACAGGCTGGGTGGGGTGGCTCACACGTGTAATCCCAGCATTTTGGGAGGCCGAGGTGGGTGGATCACCTGACATCAGGAGCTCGAGACCAGCCTGACCAATATGGTGAATTCTCATCTCTACAAAAAATACAAAAAAAAAAAAAAAAAAAAAAAAAATATATATATATATATATATATATATATATATATAGCTGGATGTGGTGGCACGCGCCTGTAGTCCCAGCTACTCTGGAGGTTGAGGCGGGAGAATTGCTTGAACCTGGGAGGTGGAGGTTGCAGTGAGCCAAGATCATGCCACTGCACTTCAGCCTGGGTGACAGAGCGAGACTCCGGAAAAAAAAAAAAAGTTGCTGCAAATCAGTGACAGAGAAAGAATACAAACAAACAAGAGAAATACCATATGGTGTCACCATATGGTATCCGATGGTGACAAACCCTTTGAAGAGGAAAAAAGAAATAAGAAGGAAAGTGTGGACGGGGTGGGTTTTTTTTGTTTTTTTTTTTTTACTATTTTTTTACTGGTCATTGATGCAATACCAGCAGACCAGGTGACAAATGAACAGAGACCATAGTGAAGGCAGGGCAGAAGTCACCATGTGGCCCGCAGAAGTGTGTGCAAGGCAGAAGGAAGGATTAATGAGAGACTCAGAGGAATGTGCTTCTTGCACATGTTCAAGGCCAGCAAGGAAGCCAGTGTAGCAGGGGAATGAGCAAAAGGAGAGGGATGAGAGATGGTTTCAGGGGATGTTGGGGAAAGAGCTGACTTTGAAGTGGCTGAAATTGAAGACACAAGGAGTCCCTCTGACCAGATGTTGTTGCATTGGCACTTTGCTAATTTGGCTGCAAACAGTGTCACATGAATTGCAATGCATTTCTTCTTTGTTTGCTACTGTTACTGTTGCCTTGAGTTCTGGCCTCTGTGTGATGAGTTACCTTTTGGAACATAGAGCCAAAGCTCCCTTTCTCTGAAACCTCCTCTCACTCTAAAGGCATGCGTGCATGCATGTACACACACACACACACACACACACAATGTATACACACATGGAGCATACCATGACCCCCTGGGTCTATGTTACACCAATATTCTTTTGTGCTCAATCATACTACTAGAAAGGAGTGGGTACCAGGCAAGTTGTCAATATCAATTAATTTTTCTCTTGAGAGAAAACAGAAATGATATCTAGAAATTCCACTTTGGAAATCTCGATGCACAAGTAGCCTTGAGCTCCATTTTAGTATGGCTATTTTCTGCCTTGTGTTTAAAGAAATAGAAAATAATCTTCTCAATAAACACACAGAGAGAAAAATTATGTGGATATTATGGGAGGGAAATGGTCTAAAAGTCTCAGGTGATCTACAAGGGACCATAAGAAAGAAAAATCATTATTAGTTGTGGAGATATTTTGAGTCCCACTATATCCCCTTGATACTCAGCAAAAATTATAAATGACAAAGGAAATTTACCAAATGACATACGTAATTATGTTTTCTCTGTGTCAAGACACCTACAGCTTGAGAATGCCAATAAAAAATGAGCAAATGAAATAAACCAACAATTCATTTTTTTTGTTTGTTTGTTTTTTACAAAAACAGTAGAAGACTTGTTGTTTCTTGTGCTTATTTAATATGTTTTAAATCAAGGGGTTTTTATATGGTCTGATAGTAGGTGAGGCAGCCCCCTTCTCACTTTTCTTGTGTGGCATCTTTCCTTTGTGGTTTGTGGTCTTCTGTTTTGACAGATTCCGCTGGCCCCATTTAGTCCTGGTTCTGGTCTTCATCTAACATGCAATGGCCTCTCCAGACCACACTCTATAAAATCCCACATAGATGATGATAATTTTAACCATTTGCAATGAATGAAATCCTACATTGTCTTATATGCACATTTATAGCATTGTACTCTGCTCTAATCATTATAATGCAAGATCCACACAGGTACAACTTCTCCTGTTGTGTTTACCTTTGTATTTTCACAAAGATATACAAATATGTGTGTTTTATATACCAACAATTTAAAGCAAGAAGATAGGAAATAAAAAGAATGTTAGGGGAATAAAGCCAGGGTAAATACAATAATTTCAAAAGCTGTATTAAATAAAATTGTATGGATCATCAAAAATTAACTGAAGCAAGATATAAAATAATAATTTAATGATATCAAATGAATTCGTTATTTATTTGGCAACATCCTAGATATAAAATTACATAATATATAGCATTCCTAGAATGTTCTGACACATAGCAGATGCTATTTGTTGAATGATCAGGAAATAAGTCTCAATATATATGAATATTTAACATATGCAAGATTGTATTTCAATTTATTTGGATCATTGAGTGACAGCTGCTATAAATGGCCATCCACCTGGAGACAATTAGTTCGCCCACTCTCTCATGGCCTATAAAGAATTAGCAGGTTTAAAGACCTCAGTATAAAAGTAAAAAATGCATGTGTTGGATACAGTGAATTCTAGATTTGTCTTCAAAGAATCAGTATGTCAATATGTTCAGTTCTCTGTCCTCCATTTTAAAGTTTAACTTCCTTGTAGTTTCAGTAAACACCTTTTCCACCAGTTTTAATCAGTAGTTCACATCTGTTCCCCTGGTCACCTGCTCTGTCCTGACTCAACCTGGTCACCTGCTTTGACCTGAGTCACCCCGGTCACCCACTCTGACCTAAGTCACCTTTAGTTACCTGTTGTGTAACCATCTTTCCCGCCAAACTGCTCACCACGCCATTCTGGCTCTTACCCCTGCTCTCTTTAAAATAGTCACTCGGAATTAGCTCAGACTGTGCGGTCCAACTCTAGCCAACAGGGGAACGACACAGCAGTAGGGGCTATGTGGGTCAGGAATAAAAACCCCTTCCCCTCCCTTGTTCAGGTGTGCTCTCACCATTACTCCATCTGCGAGTTGTACCCTTTTATAGAAGTAAAAATTGCCTTGCTGAGAAAATAAATTGATGTTCAAATGCTATTTCTTTGGTGGCACTGAAAATGTATTTATAACACACATACACACACACACAAAATCTATGTGTAGGGAAAACATCTTAACAAAGGCAAGAAACAGAAGCAAGATTAGTATGTAGTTAGCTAAATAAGAAAAAGTATACCCTTGCAAGTCCATGAAGAAGCAATACAATTTAAAAATCACTTGAAATGTGGCAAATTATAGAAAAATGGGCATATAATAATAAGTAGGTAAAAACGATGATCATATATATGACTGTCTGCTCAAGCCCAGGAATAGTTTAAGACAACAAGAAATCTCTATCACAACCATCAGCCTGGGGAAAAGCTTCAACAGCTGCCACCTTGAGAGGGGTTGGATGTTTAAAAGAGGCAGCAAAGGGGGACTCTAATTTTCCTGGCAGAAATGTGAAGTGTTACAGGGTCTTGGGGAAGCAATCTAGATGCAGCTATAAATATTAGTAATACAGATATTCATTAACTCAAGTTTCTCAGTCCCAGCACTACTGAAATACTGGGCTGCATCACTTACTGTGCTGGGGTCTGTCCTGTTCATTGTACTATTTAACAGCTTCCTTGTTCTTTACTGACCCTCCCCAGGCAAGTCATTGCTCAATGTCAGTTGGCAGACAAAGCCACCACAGTGAGAACCACAGACTTAACATAAATGTTTGAAAGTACTTTTAGAAGATTTGTATAATAGAAAAGGAAAGGGGAAAAAATATGAAAAAATTACACTATTATATAGAGTATTAGTGATATGCATAGGATAGTATTCATGCATTTGCATAAACTGTAGTATTCGTGCATTTGCATAAAATGTATGTGTGCATAGTATAGAAAAAGAATGTTCACAGAAACTGGCCTGGTGCAGTGGCTCACGCCTGTAATCCCAGCACTTTGGGAGGCCGAGGTGGGTGGATCATGAGGTCAGCAATTCGAGACCAGCCTGGCCAACATGGTGAAACCCCATCTCTACTAAAAATACAAAAATTAGCTAGGCGTGGTGTTGGATGCCTGTAATCCCAGCTACTCGGGAGGCTGAGGCATGAGAATCGCTTGAATCTGGGAGGCGGAGGTTGCAGTGAGCTGAGATAGCGCCACTGCACTCTAGCCTGGGCGACAGGGCAAGACTCTGTCTCAGAAAAAAAAAAAAGTAGGAGCAGGTTTGATTTAAAAGCATGGTTACTACTTATCTGATTTCATCATGCTTTAGCCAGAACAATTAGAAATCTCATACTTATAACACAGGTTAAGAGCTGTTATTTCATCCTTCATATGTATCTAAGGTTATAATTTCATATGACATAAATATGGGAAGATTCAAATATGTTTATGAGAGATAAAAGTGGTCTTGAGTCAGATGATAAAGAATGATTTTCAAATGATGGCCAAAGGAGATGCAACTTCTAGACAGAGGTCAAATTCAAAAAGCCAAAAGGTGCAATAAAGCATGACAGAGCTATGAAAGCAAGTTGGAAATGTAATCCATAAAAGGATATTTATCTGGCAAAATGATACAGAGCTTTCTGCATTTACAAAGCAACGAGGGGACACACTATGACCAATGGATGGATTTGGCTACATCAGCTTTATAAACTGATGTCAGGAGATTGAGACCATCCTGGCTAACATGGTGAAACCCTGTCTCTACTAAAAATACAAAACATTAGCAGGGCGTGGTGGCACGTGCCTGTCATCCCAGCTACTCGAGCCGAGATCGCGACACGGCACTCCAGCTTGGGTGACAGGGTGAGACTCCATCTCAAAAAAAAGAAAAAACAAAAAAAAGACCTTTCACACATTCCTCTCAAATGCACTGATACATATATAAAAGAATGACATGACAAATGCCAACATCGGTGAAAACAACTCCAATTTTTATTTCAAAAATGCAATAAAAATAGGAATAAGAACATTACAAACCCATCATACAAAAGCAAAGAACAAGGCTGGGCATGGTGGCTCACTCCTGGAATCCCACACTTTGGAAGGCTGAGGTGGGCAGATCACTTGAGGTCAGAAGTTTGAGACCAGCCTGGGCAACATGGTGAAACCCCGTCTTTACTAACAACACAAAAATAAGCTGAGTGTGGTGGCATGAGCCTGTAATACCAGCTACTCAGGAGGCTGAGGCAGGAGAATCGCTTGAACACAGGAGGCAGAGGCTGCAGTGAGCAGAGATCATGTCACTGCACTCCGGCCTGGGCAACACAGTGAGACCCTGTCTCAAAAACAAAACAAAACAAAAACAAAAACAGAAAACAAAACAAAAACAAAAGCAAAGAACATGCACAGATAATTTGCAATAGAGTTGGTAAATGTCTAACAAACACAGAAATATATTTAGCCTCACAAGTGAGGAGAGAATTGCAAAGTTAGTGTTGTTAGTATATCACTTTTCATTTACTGAATAACTTCTAAACTTTCATTTGAATGAACAGCATGAGAGAAGACACTGCAAGATGTTTGTCTCATAAACTGCTGTGGTCAGGTAGCATTTGGAAGCAATTCATTGGTTTAGACCTTTCTCATCAATGTGAAAACATCCTCAAATATGTCTCTTCTTAAACCTAAAAAAGGCACGCCCTCACTTCAGTGTATCTCCCTTCACAGCTAATAGCCTAGTTCTCTTCTCCATTTAATTGCAAAAATGCTAGGGCAAATGTTCTACTTTTACTGGAGCCACTTTAAATCTCCCATGTCCCCTTCCAACTGGGCTTCCGTTACCCTTACTTAACTTTCAATAATCACTCTTCAATTCTGAGCTCAATATTCACTTTTCTTTTTAGTATCATAAACAAATACATGAATAAATGAATCAAGCAAGCAGACAAATGATCGCAGAAGTTTCTCTGCTCAGGGCTAGTCTAGACTGGCTCTCAGGTGACCTCAGGTCCATGGTCATAGCTGCCATTCTCTCTGACCCTTTCCTATGGTACCTACTGGTACCGCCTCAGCCTCCCGAGTAGCTGAGATTACTGGAGCACATTACCACGCCCCAGCTAATTTTTGTATTTTTAGTAGACGGTGGTGGGCTTCACCATGTTGGCAAGGCTGGTCTCGAACTCCTGACCTCAGGTGATTCAACTGCCTTGTCCTCCCAAAGTGCTGGGATTACAGGTGTGAGCCACCGCACCTGGCCTAAGAAGTAGATTTTAAGTGTTCTCAACAGAAAAAAAAAAAAAAAAAAACAAAAAAAACCTAGGTAAGGTCAAGTGTATAGTAGTTAGCTACATTTCCTACGGTACCTACTGGTACCAGCTGAGGCTATTGGACTCACCTTGCTGAGTTTTCTGAAAGGAAGGCCTCCATGAGGAGGTGCAAATTCCTCCCTGGATTGTTGATGATGGAGACGGAAGCTGTCCTGAGACCAGACAGCAGCAGAAAGCAAAGCATCAGTCCCCAAGTCGGAGGACTCCAAAAGAAACAAGCATGTCCCATTCAGGCCAAGGTTGCATTTGCTGAGGGCCAACGCAGAGGAGATATTTAGAGCTTTGTATATCTGTTCATTTGGCACATTTCCTCCTGTTATTCCAACCCTGACCACTCACATCCCCATAGGACATTGCCTGGCACTGAAAGATATATGTGTGTGTATATAGTATATAGTGTGTGTGTGTGTATATATATAGATATATATATTTATTTATTTATATTTATATATTTTTGTTTATATATATTTATATATATTTTTGTATATATATATATATATATATATATATATATATATATATATATATATATTTGTTCCTGCATCCTCTGTTCCCAAGACACCTGATTAAACATGAGGTGCATCCAGCCTTTATTTCTCCTTCTCTATCGACTGGCCTGAGTTCCAGAGTTCTAACCTCCTCTTATATTACCATAACCCTGAGGGAACATTTTCTCCAAAGTCGAAACAAAGGAAGCTGTTTTGGCTAGGTCCCTTAGATCTACAAAGCATTGACTTTTGCTGGGAGCACAGCCCTTGATATCTCTGGAAAATTGCTATTCCCCTCTTCAGCAAGAGGTGAACTGTGTTCTCTTGATTTAAAAGCGTGGTTACTACTTGTCTGATTGCATCATGCTTTAGCCAGAACAATGAGACATTTCATACTTATAACCCAGGTTAAGAACTATTATTTTATCCTCCAAGTATAAAACATTTGGTAATTATGAGATATATTAAGACCCTTTTATGCAAGCTGCCCTGAGATTAGCACCTTATAAGGATCATCTTAAGTTTACAAAGTTATTTATTTATTTTTAAAATTGACAGATACAATTTTATGTATTTATTGTGTACAGCATGATGTTTTGAAGTATATATACATTGTGGAATGATTAAAGCTAGCTAACTACTATACACATTACCTCACCTAGTTTGTGTGTGTGTGTGTGTGTGTGTGTGTGTGTGTGTGGTGAGAACACTTAAAATCTACTGTCTTAGGCCAGGTGCTGTGGGTCACGCCTGTAATCCCAGCACTTTGGGAGGCCAAGGCGGGTGAATCACCTGAGGTCAGGAGTTCGAGACGAGCCTGACCAATATGGTGAAACCCCCCTCTCTACTAAAAATACAAAAATTAGCTGGGCGTGGTGGTGGGTGCCTGTAATCCCAGCTACTCGGTAGGCTGAGGCGGGGGAATCACTTGAACCTGGGAGGCAGATGTCACAGTGAGCCGAGATCGTGCCATCGCACTCCAGCCTGACCAACAAGAGCAAAATTCTGTCTCAAAACAAACAAAAACCTACTGTCTTAGCGTTTTTCAAGAATACAATATATCATCATCAAATAGTCAGTGTGCTTTACAACAGATCTCTTCAATTTATTTCTCCTAAGTGCAATTGTGTATCCTTCAACAAAAAACTTCATACCCCTTCTCCCTCAACTGCCCCAGCCTCTAGTAACCACCATTCTAATTGATATTTCTATCGGATCGACTTTTAAAATTCCACATATGAATGAGACCATGAGGAATTTGTCTTTCTGTGTCTGGTTTATTTCACTTAACACAGTGTTCTCCAGGTTCATCCATATCGTCACAAATGATAAGATTTCCTTCTTTTTTGGGCTGAACAGCATTCCACTGTCTATGTATATTACTTCTAAAAGTCCATTCATTGATGGACACTTTGACTTCATACCTTGGCTATTGTGAATAGTGTAGCTTATCAGGCCGGGCACGGTGGCTCACGCCTGTAATCCCAGCACTTTGGGTGGCCAAGGCGGATGGATTACCTGAGGTCAGGAGTTTGGGAACAGCCTGGCCAAAATGGAGAAACCCCGTCTCTACTAAAAATAGAAAAATTAGCTGGGCGTGGTGGCACACACCTATAATCCCAGCTACTCAGGAGGCTGAGGCAGGAGAATCACTTGAACCCGGGGGATGGAAGTAGCAGTGAGCTGAGATCACGCCACTTCATTCCAGCCTGGGTGAAAGAGTGAAACTCCATCTCAAAAAAAAAAAAAAGAGTGAATAGTGCAGATATCTCTTTGATACACTCTTTTCATTTTTTTTTTTTGATTAATGCCCAGTAGTAGAATTGTTGGATTATGTGGTAGTTGCATTTTTATTTTTTTGAGGAATTTCCATCCTGTTTCTCATAATAAGTGTACTAAATTTCACTCCAGCAACAATGTACAAGAGCTTCTCTTTCTTAGCCAGGCCTGGTGGCTTATAGATATAATCCCAGCAACTGGATAGACTGAGGCGGGAGGCTGCTTGAGGCCAGACTGAGAGTAGCCTGGACAACATAATGAGACTTCTTTTCTAAAAAAAATTGTTTTAATTAGCTGGGTGTGGTGGTGCATGACTGCAGTCCAAGCTACTCAGGAGGTTGACGTTGAAGGATTGCTTCAGCCCAGTTGAAGGTTGCAGTGAGCTATGATTGAGCCACTGCATTCCAGCCTGGGTGACACAGTGTGGTCCTGTCTCTTGTTAAAAAAGAAAAAGAAAAAGACTTCCTTTTTCTCCGCATCCTTGTTAGCATTTGTTCGTTTTGATCCTTTTTTTTTTTTTTTTTTTTTTGAGATGGAATCTGGCTCTGTCACCCTGGCTGGAGAGCAGTGGCATGATCTCAGCTCACTGCAACCTCTGCTTCCTGAGTTCAAGCGATTCTTGTGCCTCAGCCTCCCGAGTAGCTGGGATTACAGGCATGCACCACCACGCCTGGCTAATTTTTGTATTTTTAGTAGAGACAGGTTTCACCATGCTGACCAGGCTGGTCTCGAACTCCTGACCTCAAGCGATCTGCCTGCCTCAGCCTTCCAAAGTGCCGGGATTAGAGGTATTAGCCACCGTGCCTGGCCAAGATCTAATATTTAATAACACAACAAGGGGATTGTAGTCAACAATAATTTATTGTATATTTTGAAATAATTAAAGGAGTGGAATTGGAATGTTTCTAACACAAGGGATTGATAAATGCTTGAGGCAATGGATACCCCAGTTATCCTGATGTGATTGATATGAATCATATAGCTGTATTAAAACATCCCATGTACTCCAGAAATATACATGCCTTCTATGTACCCACAATAAAAATGACAATTTTTAAAAATAGCAATAATAAATTTAAAAATGCAAAAAAATTACTTGCCTAGATCAATGCCATGAATTTCCCTTATGTTTTATTCTATGAATCTCATAGTTTTGAGCCTTTCATTTATGTCTTTTTTTCTATTTTAAAATTATTTTTCTATGTAGTGACAGATAGGGATCTAATTCCATTTCTCTTGAATGTGGATATCCAGTTTTCCTACCACCATTTATTGAAGAGCTTGTCTTTTTCCAATGTGTGTTCTTGGCACCTTTGTCAAAAATGAGTTGGCTGTAAATGCATGAATTTATTTCTGGGTTTACTCTTCTGTTCCATTGGTCTATGTGTATGCTTTTTGATGATGAAAGGAATAAGTTCTACAGTTAGATGAAAGGAATAAGATCTACTGTTCCACAGCACAATAGAATGACTATACTTAATAATTTATTATATATTTCCAAATAGCTAGAAGAGAAGATACGAGTGTTTCCAATACAAAGAAATGATAAATGTTTGAGAGGGCAGGTATGCCAGTTACCCATATTTGATCATTATGCGTTGTATGCTTATATCAAAGTATCACATGTACCCCATAAATATGTGCAACTATTATGTATTTATAAAAAATTTTTAAAAATTTAGAATGACTTTATAGGCTTTTCAAGGTCCAACAGCAGGTACAGAGTAGATGCAAAACTCCAAACTTTTTTTTGTGATGATAGATGTTTCACATTACAAAACAGGTAAATGAGAGGTGGAAGAGCAACATCAGTCTCATCTCATCACCAGTGATAACCATTCATTTAAGAACAAAAATGAGACATGCCAAGTTTTTTACATACATTGCTTTGCATTTACTACAATTTACACATGTCTTTCACAATTGCATCTTTAACCGCCCCCCGCTTTTGTTGGACTTTGTGTGATTCCTTTTGTGAAGTGTGGGTTTATTCCCTTTCTTCATTTTCTCTTGGGGTCTTCAATCTGTAAGATGTCTTGACCCTATAAAGATATCACTTTTATTAATTATGAATTATTCTGGGCATCGGGGTCTATAACCAGGATTGAACATTGCCAGAAACGAGGAAGCTGTTTTCGTCACAGTCTCTCATCAACCACCTGTGTACATCATGCCTATTTCATGCATCTCTTTGTTTATTCAGCAAATTCTCATGTATTTTGTTAAATACCAGGCACAAAGTGATGATATAAAATGGAGCCCCACATTTACATGTGCATGGGAAGCTTTTGGGCTGGAATTTGCTGCCCTGTTTACGTCCTTAGGGGGCCACATTAATAGAGGGCTCAGAACCACATGGGGAGACGAGGCTGTCAGTGTCTTGAAGTTTCAACAGCAGCAGGGAGACCACCTGGTTCCTCAATACTCCTGACACCATCTCTGATCACTCTCCCTCCTTCTCATTGCCCTCAACACGCTGGCTTCTATTTGAGCCTTGATTTTCCGAAACAAGCACCTTCCTCAGGCCTTTGCATTAGTCATTCCCTCTGTCAGGCACAGACTTCGCCAAATATCCTCTGGGCTCCCAACCGCCTCTTCCTTGAGGTCTCTGTTCAAATGTCACCTTGTCTGCTGGTCTTGCCTGTACACTCATAAAAAATAGCAACCCCTCTCCATTCTCTTTAATGTGCTTTCATTTTCTTCTAAGCACCATCTAACGCAACAGATGATGATGTCTTTATCAGCTCATTGTCTTTCTCCATCATTGGATAGTAAGGTTATCAGTTTCTCTGCACCCTACACTCATTACCTAGACAGTTCCTGGAACATGGTCAGCATACAATCAATATTACACAAGTGCGTAGAAGAATTTCTCATTAAAGAATATACAACCTCTTAGGGAAAGGTTGAGAATAGCACAAGAATTTTCAATCAGAGACAGCTCTGAGGAGCACAGAAACTGGGAAAAGTTCCATACACAAAATATAGAAATTAATGTCTTGGCTGCAAAATATAACTGGTTGTCTTTCAACAATGTGAGTGATGCCCTTTTGAGTAAAAATTGGTCATGTTCTCTTTCTCTGACTGGTAGTCACCTCAACCACATGGAACCAGAGAATGGTACGAGGATTTTAGGATTTCTTCTTCTGGGACTTTCAGAGGAACCAGAATTGCAGCCCGTTATGTTTGGACTCTTCCTCTCCATGTATCTGACAACTGTGTTTGGAAACCTGCTCATCATCCTGGCCATCTGCTCTGGTTCCCACCTCCACACCCCCATGTACTTCTTCCTCTCTAACCTGTCCTTTGTAGACATCTGTGTTACCTCCACCACAGTCCCAAAGACACTGTCAAACATCCGGACACAGAGTAAAGTCATCACCTATGCAGGTTGCATCACCCAGATGTACTTTTTTGTACTCTTTATAGTGTTGGACAGCTTACTCTTGACCGTGATGGCCTATGACCAGTTTGTGGCCATCTGTCACCCCCTGCACTACACGGTCATCGTGAACCCTCGGCTCTGTGGACTGCTGGTTCTGGCGTCCTGGATCATGAGTGCCCTGAATTCCTTGATAGAAAGCTTAATGGTGTTGCCACTGCTCTTTTGTACAGACTTGAAAATCCCCCACTTTTTCTGTGAACTTAATCAGATAATCCGCAGTGCCTGTTCTGACACCTTTCTTAATGACATGGTGATGTATTTGTCAGCTGTGCTTCTAGGTAGGGGATGTTTCACTGGGATCCTGTACTCTTACTTTAAGACAGTTTCCTCCATACGTGCAATCTCATCAGCTCAGGGGAAGTACAAGGCATTTTCCACCTGTGCATCGCACCTCTCAGTTGTCTCCTTATTTTATTGTATGAGCCTTGGGGTGTACCTTAGTGCTGCTGCAACCCACAACTCACTCTCAAGTGCAACAGCCTCTGATGTACACTGTGGTCACCCCCATGCTGAACCCCTTCATCTACAGTCTGAGGAATAAAGACATAAAGGGGGCTCTAAAACAATTCTTCAGAAGGAAGAAATAAAATGAGCATCTTTCAAGAAGTACATGTGATTTCAAAGCTCTAACCGAACTCAAACATTGTGATTCACGAATCAGATCATGGAAGGAGGGAAAGAGAATGTTCTGCTTCTATTCAGTTTCTAGAGTTTTAATTTCCTTGTTCTCAAGTGCTGTGTCAGACTTATGCTATTTCTTTAGAAAGCTTTCTGCTCTGATATCCAACTTACTTTTTGTTTGTCATTTTCCTAATTTCCCATAGTTATTTCCAAACTAGGGTAAAACACTTTTGGAGATTCCTATTTGTCTAATACACTAGAGAGTTGTATCAGTCCTAAAAAATCAATTGCACTTGGCAAATGTAAGGTCATTGGTATAATCATATTATAGATGAATATCTGAGATCACAGTTTTTTACTTCTGAGTCCTTCATTTCTTACTACCTTTACTGTTCTTCCTGATTATGTAAACTTGACCATGCTGGTGTGTTTATAATCATCATGGCATTTTATTCTCCTCATTAGGATCCTGTCTGCTATCCAGCTCAGTGTCTACACTGCCTACTATATTCCCTGGTAAAGAGGAGGAAGGCGAATATTACTTATAACATACATGTTCCTAGTGTAGTCTACACAGAAAGACACATTTGCATGAATCAATTGACTTCATATGGCCTCAGATTCAGAGACGACCTTAAATATGATGGACTAAAATTTTCAGTCATGCAGTGATTATCGTGGAAGATTTGTTTTTGATGGTGTGTGATATGGTTTGTCTGTGTCTCCACCCAAATCTCACCTTGATTGTAGCTCCCATAATTTCCTTGTGTCATGGGAGGGACCCGGTGGGAGGTAATTGAATCATTGGGGCAGGTCTTTCCCATGCTGTTCACATGGCAGTGAATAAGTCTCATGAGATCTGATGGTTTTATAAAGGGGAGTTCCCCTGCATATGCTCTCTTGCCCGCCGCCATGCAAGACATGCCTTTGGCCTTCTGCTGTGATTGTGAGGCCTCCCCAGCCACGTGGAACTGTGAGTCCATTAAACTTCTTTTTCTTTATAAATTACCCAGTCTTGGGTATGTCTTTATCAGCAGTGTGAAAACGGACTAATACAACTCATTAAAGGGTGGAAGCTTGTTGTCCATGGGTAATGAGGTTTGTTCATTTAGGTAAAGGATTTGGTGTCATGATCTACATTATTTGATTGCATCATCTTTCTGTTTCTGATTAAAAGTTTCCAGTGCTACAAATATGACTTCTTGCATTGTTCTAAAACTATCACTCCCTTTAATAAATTATGTCACAAGCATTAAACTGGAGGTAAGTGAAGGATATGTGTATTTACTGTATCATCACTTGCTTTATCTCTTTTATACTCCAAACTCTCTAATGATGACTCACATAAGAGCTTGAATTTCTTCCCAGTATTGCATGTGAGATTAGAGACTTGAGATTCCAGGTTGCAATTTGTTTCAGCAAAAATATACATGTCCTGCCAAACTCTTCTGGTTACCTAGAGGAAATCTAAAAGTAGTCATCCTATGATACAGTTATGTGAAGTAAATATAAATATCCATATAATTATGAACACTGCTTTCTGATATCAGAAAAAGCACCAAAAAAAAAGAGCCAACAGAATATTCTGTATACAGTGAATCCAATAAAAAACTAAAAAACAAAAGGATCTGACACCTAAAAAAAGATAATTCTGAATATCTTTAGTTATGTTGCTTTGATTATTGTATCAGTAATCTAATGTTGTGTAACAAAACATCCCAATAATAAATGATTTAAAGTCATGCTTTTAAAAAATCACATCAGAGTCTACATTGTGGAAGTTTTCTCATTGGGGATTAGGACATATATATCCTGGACAAGACAAAAATATTCAGCCATAGGACTATCCAAGCTTAATTAGCTCTTGAATGTTGGGCAGTAAGGACAATCTTTTTTTAACTTTTATTTTAGGTTCAGGGGTACATGTGCAGGTTTGCTATATAAGCCAACTGTTTGTTGTGAGGGTTTGGTGTACAGAGTATTTTGTCACCCGCTTAATAAGCATACCTGATACATAGTTTTTTTTATCCTAACCCTCCTACCACCCTCAACACTCAAGGAGGCCCCAGTATCTGTTGTTCCCCTCTTTGTGTCCATGTGTTCTCATTATTTAGCTCCCACTTGTAAATGAGAATATGTGGTATTTGGTTTTCTGTTCCTACGTTAGTTTGCTAAGAATTATGGCCTCCAGCTCCAACCACGTTGTTGCAAAGGACACAGTCTCATTCTTTTTGATGACTCTGTAGTATTCTATGTTGTATAGTACCACATCTTCTTTATTCGGTCTACTATTGATGGACATTCAGGTTGATTCCATGTCTTTGCTATTGTGAATAGTGCTGTGATGAACATATGTATGCATATGTCTTTATAGTAGAATGATTTACATTCCTTTGGGTATATATCCAATAATAGAATTTCTGAGTGAAGTGGTAATCCTGTTTTAAGGTCTTTGAGAACTGTGAAACTGCTTTCCACAATGGCTGAACTAATCTACATTCCCAAAAGCAGTGTGGAAGTATTTCCTTTTCTCCAGACTCTCACCAGCATTTGTTATTATTGGACTTTTAAATAATAGAGCAAGGACAATTTGAAAGAGGAAGAGCAACAGAAGTGGTGTCATCTCACAATGCCTCTTACAGCTTCTTCTCACAGATTGAACATCTCATGACCACTCACATCCTATCAGACAAAGAATGTCTCAATCATCGTAGGTGTTACACTTCTCCCAGTTGAGGCATCATCAAAATCCAGAGCCAAAGGTGGAGAAGACTGATCCTCCTAAAGGCAACATAGAAAGGCAACACAAAAATACAGAAAGAGGTGTCTAATTATCTAAGAGTTAATAAATAAGTGGAAAATAATTATCTACTGGGAGAAAAACAGACATGCAAGCATTTTATACTTCAGTATACATTAAATATGTATGAATTACATGCTATCACCTAGAAGCCAGGAAGATAAGATTTCCATGAAGAGTTGGAGGAGCTCCTAGAAGATTAGGTGGATAATTTGATACACTAAGAAACATCAGCTTTACAGATATTCTCAAAAGTAGAAGATAGTTAAAGAGTCAGACATATCTACTGTGAGTATTTGGAGCCAGCATGAGGGTGACAGAGACAATGATGAATGATTTTATGTCAACAAAGCATAGAATGATAGACTCTCAGGCACTCTCCTCCTTGTGCAGGGCCCTGGAAGGAGGTCTCCCTTCATGATCACAACTTGCTGTCTCCTCAAAGCAGGACAGTGCTAGACTGTAGCAAGAAACCTTTCTGGTGTCACAATGAGCAGAGTAACTGGGAAACTAGGACATGGTCCAAATATCTGCTATCCATTGAACACCTGCTCTGCGCCAAGTAACTTCCAATGGGCTTTGAAGTCTTACTCCTTCTCACCTAAACTTCATAAGGTAAGTGGAACTTCTAGAAGTTTCATTTCCTGTCATTCCGTAAGTGTTCAAGACTTACGCGTAAGTAAACTCGATTATGCAAAAGCTGAGCTACCGAGTCCAACATTTGACCTCCTAAACCAGACATGAGGAGCAGGGTAGGATTCTTGGTAGAAAAAGCCTCAAAATATGTATACCTGCCTTTAACACTGACCACAGCCTCGATCCCCAAAGAGTGTTCCGCAGAACAGGATGAATAGCATCAACACCAACAGGAAAACTGTCAAAAGTATAAAATGTTGGGACCAGTCCTAGATGTCTGAAATTAGAATCGACATTTGAACAAGAACCCTAGGTGATTCATATATACAGTGAAATTAGGGAAGTTCTGGACTGGAATAGTCTCAGCCTCCCCAGTGTCCACATTTGTTTGCATTAATTCTTTCTGCTGTGGGCTGTCCTGTGCATTGTAGGTTGTTGGGCAGCTTCCCCGGCTTCAATCTACAATGTGCCAGTAAGTAGCACTTCCCCACATGTGACAACCAAAAGTGTATCCAAACATTTCCTAATATTCCTGGAGCACAAACACCCCTGGTTGAAAATCAGCAACCTGGCCCGGTACGGTGGCTCATGCCTGTAGTCCTAGCGCTTTGGGAGGCTGAGGTGGGTGGATCATTTGAGGTCAGGAGTTGGAGACCAGTCTACCCAACATGGTGAAACCCTGTCTCTTCTAAAAATACAAAAATTACCCAGGCATGGTGGCACATGCCTGTAATCCTAGCTACCCTGGAGGCTGAGGCAGGAAAACTACTTTAACCCAGGAGGCAGAGATTTCAGTGAGCAGAGATCGCACCATTGCACTCCAGCCTGGGTGACAAGAGTGAAACTCTGTCTCAAAAAAAAAAAAAAAAGAAAGAAAATAGAAAAGAAAAAAGTAAAGAAAAGAAAAGTCAGTAACCTAGATGTGACAACTGGAAACATTTGGATGGCATTCTGATCAAATCCCTTCCCTTACTTGGTTCATAACTTTGGGCAGGTCACTAACTCACCTTAACCAAAATCCTAAAAGTGCAGAAAGAGGCGTCTAATCGTTGGACCTCATAGAACAAAGATGTATAAAAATGAGACACATTACATGTGATATTAAATGAGACAAACCATATAAGATTTTAACTTATTCCATGATGTCTACAAAGGTTTAAGTATATCTCTTATGATTACCAAATGTTTTATAAAGGAAGGACTGAATGATAAGTTGTACTTTGATGCTTGTGTGTTTACAAGCAAGAAACTGCTCATTGCTTTGTCAAAAGCATCAGGAAGCCAAGGACTGTAGTAAATACCCGTGGCTTTATGACAAATAAACACAGTTCTCTCCCTTTTGATGAGGAAAGAGCGTTGGTCTGGAGATGTCGGCAGCTGTGTTCCAACCACAAGTCAATGATTTGAATATCCAAGGGATCTAGTAAAGACCATGTACTCAGCCTTACACTTTGGATAACATTTTAATTGAGGGCTGTGAAAAGGTGCAATGGCACTTAGACCTCTGGAAGGTACAGAGTTCAAAGAGAAGGAGTAATGAAGACTGGATTCACATGACTTCTAACTTGATTCTCTTGGGAACAGAGAATCAGCAGGAAATTGTTCTTTCTTTCCACATCAGTGTTCCACAGGGAAATCAGGTGCTCCAGGCTTAGAGTAGCAACAGGGAAATATATCTCGCTAGCAGATATTAGGAGCTGTAAATATTTCATCTGCTATTGTCTCTGGGATTAGACAACCCTGGGCTGGATGGGATGTGGTTGATTCTTTTGTAGTCCTAAGTCTGGCTGTGTGGCTGATGCTTAACTCTTCCCTTCTGTCTGTCTGGAGACAGAGCTTCAGTCTGCATCATCAACTACCCAGGGAGGAATTTCAACTTCCACACAGAGACCTTCATCTCTGAGACCCCATACAGGTGCGTCTGAGACCCCAGAAAGTACTGCAGGAAATGTTCAAAGAGAATGGAAGCCAAGAATGTTTACCTGAGGTCACCTAGTATCAAGCCAGGTGAGAGATTCATGTGTGTTTGTTTGCCTGGTTGACTAATTTATAATTTATTTATTTTATATGTTAAAATGTGTCTGTAAGACTCAGCAATGCAGGGATTGTTGTTGACAATTAATTGAGGGATATGGAGGTTCAATTGGATGAGATTGAAGAAGGAATGGAAGACATAAAGTGGTTCCAGTGAAGTTAGAACCTAGGAGGTTTGCAGTTAAAGAAGTAGGAAAGGGGCCAGGCACGGTGACCCACACCTGTAATCCCAGCAGTTTGGGAGGTCGAGGCAGGCGGATCACCTGAGGTCAGGAGTTCGAGACCAATCTGACCAACATGGTGAAACCCCATCTTCTACTAAAAATACAAAATTGGCTGGGTGTGGTGACACACACCTGTAGTCCCAGCTACTTGAAAGGCTGAGGCAGGAGAATCGCTTGAACCCAGGAGGTGGAGGTTGCAGTTAGCTGAGATCATGCCGTGGGCACAACAGAGAAACTCTGTCTCAAAAACAAACAAACACACAAAAAAAGAAGTAGGAGAGTAGAATGTAGAATATTAGGTGTGGGTGGATGTGCAATGAATTGAGGGTTTATTTTTAAAATTAAGATGAGTGTATTGGAGCATGTTTCTGTATTCATTAGAAAGATCTAGACCAACGGGCTGCTTACAAATACTACCTTGCAACAGTAGTTCACAAGACAGACATTTCACAGTATCTTCTCTCTCTTGCTAAATATTCACCTGAATAAAATAAATGTTATTTTATCGTCAAAATGGGAACACTAAAGAGTTTTTACTTGCCATGACTTTCTTTTTTTTCTGCTTTTTTTTTATTATTATACTTTAAGTTTTAGGGTACATGTGCACAACGTGTAGGTTTGTTACATATGTATACATGTGCCATGTTGGTGTGCTGCACCCATTAACTCGTCATTTAGCATTAGGTATATCTCCTAATGCTCTCCCCGCCCCCCACCCCCACCCAACAACAGTCCCCGGTGTGTGATGTTCCCCTTCCTGTGTCCATGTGTTCTCATTGTTCAGTTCCCACCTATGAGTGAGAACATGAGGTGTTTGGGTTTTTGTCCTTGCAATAGTGGAAGTCGGTGTGGCGATTCCTTAGGGATCTAGAACTAGAAATACCATTTGACCCAGCCATCCCATTACTGGGTATATACCCAAAGGATTATAAATCATGCTGCTATAAAGACATGTGCACATGTATGTTTATTGTGGCACTATTCACAATAGCAAAGACTTGGAACCAAGCCAAATGTCCAACAATGATAGACTGGATTAAGAAAATGTGGCACATACACACCATGGAATACTATGCAGCCATAAAAAATGATGAGTTCATGTCCTTTGTAGGGACATGGATGAAGCTGGAAACCATCATTCTCAGCAAACTATCGCAAAGACTTTCTTATTTATGTATTTATTTATTTTACTTTAAGTTCTGGGATACATGTGCTGAACATGCAGGTTTGTTACAGAGGTATACATGTGCCATGGTGGTTTGCTGCACGTATCAACCTGTCATCTAAGTTTTAAGCCTCGCTTTCTGTTGAGTCTGAGTATACTCTACCTGAGGGTTTAGTAGCTTTCATTTTCTCCATTGCAAATTGTGCACGTTCTATGCTTTTATATTCTGGTTTCTGAGGTTTTTTATACTATTATGTTGATTGCATTCTTTCAAACAATGGATTGGAAGATTTTTTTTCCTGCTAACTTTACTGAATAACATTTAATTTTTTTGTGTAGGTAAAGATGTATGGTTAAGGAAGTATGCAAAATTACATTATTTTGCCAAAGGAATCATGAAGCCAAGCAATACAGAACTCATGGTTTTCTATCAAGAGAACACAGTTCACTCCCTTGCTGAAGAGGGGAAGAGTCATTCTCTGGAGATATCAATGTCTGTGTTCCCATCACAGTCAATGCTCTGCAGATCCAAGGGATCTAATCAAAGACAGGCTCCTCAGTTTAGACTGTGGAGAAAAACCTTCCCCCAGGGTTGGGATACAGTGTTAACAGATTACATTTCTGGAAGGCAAGCAGGTCCATAGTGAAGAAGTAATAAAACTGGATTCACCTCTCTTTTAATCTGGTGCCTTGGATACAGAAAATGCAAGAAAAATAAAAAAGTTCCACGCAGAGCAATGTCTCATAGGGACACGATGTGCTCAAGGCTGGAGTAACAGGAGGAAGTTTGCCTGATGAGCAGGTACACAAAGCTGTAAATTTCTCCCCTGCTACTGTTCCTCAGCACATGCTACCTTGGGCTTGATGGGACATGCTTTCCTTTTGGAGTCCTAATCTGGCTGCTTATCATCTGATTAAACCTCACATCTATCTCCCCTAAACATTTGAAGCTTTATATGTTTATATAATACGAAATTATAACCTTAGATACTGTTTCCTCCCCACATTTTAAACATTTTCCTGTGATATTCTTCAATTTCCAAGAGGCGATTTCACAGTGAATTAGTGGTGCATCTTTATGTCAGTAAATTATTACTGTCATATTTTTCTATAAGGATTTTTCAGACTTTCTTTCTATGTTGATTCATGCAGCTGTTTTGAAATAACTATTCTTTTTTAATTTTAATTTTTAGTTCTGGGGTACATGTGCAGGATGTGCAGGTTTGTTAGGTAGTAAACGTATGCCATGATGGTTTGCTGCACCTATGAACCCATCACCTAGGTATCAAGCTCAGCATACATTAGGTATTTTTCCTAATGCTCTCCCTCCCACCACCCCCCCCGCCAGCAGACCTCAGTGTGTGTTGTTCCCCTCCATGTGTCCATGCATTCTCATTGTTCAGCTCCCACTGATAAGTGAGAATGTGTGGTGGTTGGTTTTCTGTTCCTATGTTAGTTTGCTGAGGATAATGGTTTCTGGCTTTATTGATGTCCCTGCAAAGGACATACACCATGGAATACTATGCAGCCATAAAATGAAATAACTGTTCTTAACCTAATAGCATCCTCACTTATATTCTATTCTCCATAAGATTTTAGTTCCTCATAAACCTTCTCTTTACACAAAGGTTTATACAAAGGTTGAGTAGTATGTTATGCATAACACATGTGCTTTTTATATTTGACTATAGGTTTTTTTGTTTGTTTGTTTGTTTTAAGGCTCATCTTCCCTTGTCCTTTCTCAGTTGATAAAAGGTATGGAAATATTTTGTGATTTTTATGTTAAAAATCGGTTCTTACCCAGGGGTGGTTTTGTCTCCCAGGGGACATTGAGCAATGACTGGGTTGGCTGTCACCCTGGGGAGGGTCAGTAGAGAACAGGGAAGCTGATAAACATCGTACAATGCACAGGACAGACCCCAGCACAATAAATAAGCTGGCCCAGAAGTTCCTTTTGTATTTCCTTTTTGAATAGTTGATTTTTATCATTTGCTCATTTTTTTTTCCATGGGGATTCTCAATCTATCAGTATCTTGACACAGAAAAGATATCACCATGTTTGATATTTGGTAAATTTCCCTTTGTCTTTTCTGATTTTTGCTGGGCCTCAGGGATATAAGAGGAGTTGGAATGTTTTCAAAACTAAGGAAGCCTTTTCTTCCTTAAGGTCTCTGAGGGACTATGTGAGCTTATTAGATTATTTTTCCCTTCAGTTCCAATCGATTTTCTCTCTCTGCCTCTCGGTTTTTTGTTTGTTTGTTTGTTTTTGAGACAGAGTCTCGCTTTGTCACGCAGGCTGGAGTGCAGTGGCGCTCGAGGTTCCATATGCATGAGAAGTTTTCAAACTGGAAATTCTAGGTACCATATCTGTATCTTCTTGGGGAAAGATAATTTGATATTAACAGCTTGCCTGGTATCCATTCCTTTCTAATACTGTGAGTGGGATGAGAAGCGTGAGGGGGTAACATGGCCCCAGGAAGCCATGGCTGCCTGTGTGGGTGCGTTCTCTGTGTGTGTGTGCACGTGTGTGGGTGCACAACTTTAGAGTGAGCACAGGTTTCAGAGATAGGGAACCTGATCTCTATATTTCAAAAGGTAACCCATCAGATAAAGGCCACATCTCAGGAAAATATCAGTAAACAGAATGAGCATGCATTGCAGTTCATGAAACACCTTTGCAGCCAAATTAAAGGCATCAGTATCTGGACAGAGGGACTCTTTGTGTCTTCAAATTTCAGCAGCTATGAGGACACTTCCTTCCCTAACATCCTCCGACAGCCCTCGCCTCTTGCTCATTCCCCGGCCACACTGTCTTCTTCGCAGTCCTCAAATATCTGAAAGAAGCACATTCCTCGGGGTCTTTCATTGATCATTTTGCTCCATTGCACAAACTTCTGCAGGGAACGTAGTGCCCTCCACCCTGTCTTCATTATGGGCTCTCTTCATTTGTCACCTTCTCTGCTGGTCCTGCCTGAACACCCTGGAAAATCTATTACCCCATCCACTCTTTCCTTCTAACCTCCTTCTTCATAGGATGCATCACCATCTGATATTGAGGATGGCATTTTAAAAACATACTTGTATTTTTCATTCATCATTAAATTGTAGGAAGTTATTTATTTATTTATTATTTTATTTTATTATTATTTTTTAAAGACAGGGTCTCACTCTGTTGCCCAGGCTGGAGTGCAGTGGCATGATCTCGGCTCACTACAATCTCCACCTCCTGGGTTCAAGTGATTCTCATGCCTTAGCCTCCCAAGTAGCTGGGATTACAGGCATGCGCCAGCACGCCCGGCTAATTTTTTTTGTATTTTTAGCTGAGACCGGTTTTTGCCATGTTGGCCAGGCTGGTCTCGAACTCCTGACTTCAGGTGATCCGTCCACCTTGGCCTCCGCGAGTGATGAGATTACAGGCGTGAGCCACTGCAGCCAGCCCATATTAACTTCTTGACTGTAGAATATAAGTGAGAATATTTCTGATATGTTTGTAATGCATGCTTGTGTCATGTTCTCTTTCTCTCTCTTTTGGAAGTCACATCAACAAGATGAAACCAGGGAATGAGACACAAATTTCACAATTCCTTCTCCTGGGACTTTCAGAGGAACCAGAATTGCAGCCCTTCCTCTTTGGGCTATTTCTGTCCATGTACCTGGTCACCGTGCTCGGGAACCTGCTCATCATCCTGGCCACAATCTCAGACTCCCACCTCCACACCCCCATGTACTTCTTCCTCTCCAACCTGTCCTTTGCAGACATCTGTTTTGTGTCTACCACTGTCCCAAAGATGCTGGTGAACATCCAGACACAGAGCAGAGTCATCACCTATGCAGACTGCATCACCCAGATGTGCTTTTTTATACTCTTTGTAGTGTTGGACAGCTTACTCCTGACTGTGATGGCCTATGACCGGTTTGTGGCCATCTGTCACCCCCTGCACTACACAGTCATTATGAACTCCTGGCTCTGTGGACTGCTGGTTCTGGTGTCCTGGATCGTGAGCATCCTATATTCTCTGTTACAAAGCATAATGGCATTGCAGCTGTCCTTCTGTACAGAATTGAAAATCCCTCATTTTTTCTGTGAACTTAATCAGGTCATCCACCTTGCCTGTTCCGACACTTTTATTAATGACATGATGATGAATTTTACAAGTGTGCTGCTGGGTGGGGGATGCCTCGCTGGAATATTTTACTTACTTTAAGATACTTTGTTGCATATGTTCGATCTCATCAGCTCAGGGGATGAATAAAGCACTTTCCACCTGTGCATCTCACCTCTCAGTTGTCTCCTTATTTTATTGTACAGGCGTAGGTGTGTACCTTAGTTCTGCTGCAACCCATAACTCACTCTCAAATGCTGCAGCCTCGGTGATGTACACTGTGGTCACCTCCATGCTGAACCCCTTCATCTACAGCCTGAGGAATAAAGACATAAACAGAGCTCTGAATCGATTCTTCAGAGAGCAGAAACAGGAGGGCCATTTTCCAGAAGTTCTTGAGATTTCAGAGCTCTAAATCCCCTAGCCAGAAATTATGATTCATGGATCAGATTGTGAAAGTAGAATTTTCTCCTAGTATTTATATTCTGGACTTTAGATTTCTTTAACCTTGACGACATTAGAAAATTTACACTTTTTCTTAATAAAGCTTTCTGCTCTGATATGCAACTGTTTTTGTCCTCTGTCATTTTTCTAAAATTACATCCAAACTAGGTCCAGAAACAAATGGAAGTTTTTCTCATACAGGGGTGAGTTATATTCATCCCAAAGAATTAACTACGCTTGGCAACTGTAAGGTCATTAATATAATTTTATGGTAGATGAATATCTGAGCCCACAGTTTTCTATTTCTGAGTCTGTTATTTCCTTTTCTATGAAAACCTTAGCTGTTCTTCCTGAAAATGTCAACTTGAACATACTGCTGAGGTCTTAGCAATGCACCAACATGTAACAGTCTCTCGCCTGAGATAAAACCCAGAGTTCTTCGTCCTACCTCCAAGAACATTAAGGAGCGTGGACACAAAGATGAGGTTGGAGGGAAAAGAAGAAAGCTCTCGGCCAGCAGAGAGGGGGTCCTGAATGGGAAGCCCCCTATGAGGCCCGTTCTGAGGTTTTTATGGACTGGAAAGGGGAAGCAATGTGTTTAGTCTGCAGGCTGTCTTGGAGAACGCTGACTCAGCTTGGCTCAGGATCTTGGCCTGGGACCTTTCAGAAAGCTTGGCCCAGGACCTTTGCCCAGGATCAATCAGGGGCTGAATTCATAGAGACCAGACTTATAGTCCAAAACAAGGGAAGTAGAGTGCCCACCGGAACCCACCAGAGCCCACTGCGTCCATGCCCACGAAGGGAGAAAAAGCTTTTTCCTGGGAGGCCACTGACTATACAAAGGACAAAGGCATTTCTATGCCAGGCCTTGTTTCTTATCTGAGTGAGCCAGAGGTTTGTGAAAGTTTTTATCTAAATGAGCCAGGAGTTTTCCTATCTGTGCAGCCGTGGGCATGTCTCCAGACACAATCCCCTATGCTTCTTCCCTTATTGGTGCCGGCAGCTTCATTTTTTTTCCCCAGGCTTTTTTTTTATATTATATGGAGATGAGGCACTGACCCATGAGTCAAAGGCTCTCCAGGAATCCTTATCTTGCTATCTACCTAAGGCAAGCTAACTAACTCCTTTCAATACTAGTGTGTTTTACAGCTAGGCAAGGGATTTTACTCGCCTCACTGGGGTCCTATGCTCTATTTCAGCTCAACGTCAACAGTGCCTATATTTTCTGATAAAGATAAAGAGTAGGTAGGAAAATACAGCTTATCAAATACATGTTTTAGATACAGTTTACAAAGAAAGGCACATTTTTATGTGTCAGTTGACCTCATACATCCTTAGTCACAGATGATGTTAAATGTGATGGAATAAAATGATCAGTCATGCACTGAATGACTATAGAATATTTGTTTTTGATGATGTACATCTGGTCCTGGAAGTGTGGAGATTTGGTGTCCATGTGTAATCAGGTTTCTTCATCTGAGTGAAGGATTTGGTGTCATGGTCTGTATTATTTCAATGTACCATCTTGCTTTTCCTCTTAAAATTTTCTACTGCTCCCTACGAATATGACTCCTTGCATTATTCTAAAAATATCTCCTCCTTTAAAAACTGTCTCATAAGCATTAAAGTGTAGGTAAGTGAACAATATGTGTATTAAATTTATCATAATTTGCTTTGTTCCTTTAATAGTCTCTTTGGTCCTCATGGTCAAATAATGACTCACACAAGACATTGAATTTCTGCCCAATATTGCCTCTGTCAATAGACACTTGTGAATTAGAGTCACAATTTATCCCTGCAAAAACCTATATGTCCTTTCAACTTCTCCTGGTTATCCCGAAGGCAATCTAAAAGTTGCCTCACTTTAATACAGTTATCTGAAATAAACACGAGTAACCAGGTGATCACAAATGTTTTCTTGAAATATCAGAACAACTGTGAAAAAAGAAGAGGCAGAAGATTATTCTGAATGTCACTAGTTCTGTTTGCATTGATTAATGTATCAGTAAGCTACTGCTGTGTAACAAGCCATCTCAATAATAAATGGTTTAATATCATGCTTTTTCATCCTGTAGGAGTTTATGATAGAGAAGTTTTTACATTGGGAATTAGAACTTAAGCGTTTTTTAAGGAAATAAAAATATTCAGTTCATAGGACTGCCCAAATCTAGTTGGTTCTTGAATTTTGGATAGCAAGGACACTTTGAGAGAGGAAGATTAAGAGAAGTGGTGGAATCTCACAGTGCCTCTTACAGTTTCTTCACAGGCATTAAATATGTCATGACTGCTCACAGTCTGTTAGACAAATCATGTCACATGTTCAAGATGTGCATCAACCGTTTTAGGGATACACACTCCTCCCAAGTGAATTATTGTCAAGACCCAGAGCCAAAGGTGGAAAAGCACCATCCACCTATAGACAATAGGGGAGGTAATAAATGAATGAAAAATAAAATGATCTACCTGAGGGAGAAACAGACATGTGTGGGCTGCTAGCCACCCAGGTGCCAAGGCAAGAGACCGAGGGCACAAGCTGTTCCAATATAATAAAGAAAATATATAAAATAAGAATAGTTATACTAGAAGTAGATTATAGATATCATTATATATGAATATCATTAATCATTAGTTTGTACATTACTCTTTATTCCAATATTATAATAATCTTTGCTCTACAATTATAACCTAGGAAAAACCAGGCCATACAGAGATAGGAGCTGAAGGGGCATGGTGAGAAGTGACCAGAAGACAAGAGTGTGAGCCCTCTGTCACGCCCAGATAGGGCCACTAGAGGGCTCCTTGGCCTAGCGGTAGCATCAGTGTCTAGGGAAGGCACCCATTACTTAGCAGACCGGGAGAGGGAGTCTCCCTTTCCCCGGGGGAGTTAGAGAAGACTCTGCTCCACCACCTCTTGTGGAAGGCCTGACATCAGTCAGGCCCGCCGGCAGCCATCCGGAGGCCTGTCTCCCTGTGATGCTGTGCTTCAGCGGTCATGCCCGTGTTTCACTTTCATGTTCCACCCTGTACACCTGGCTCTGCCTTCTAGATAGCAATAACAGAATTAGTGAAAATACTAAAAGTCTTTGAAATGCATAGAAGAAATAATGGCTCTCTCTCTCTCTCTCTCTCTCTGCCCTGACTGCCAAACAGGGAAGGGCCCTCTGTCCGGTGGACACGTGACTCATGTGACCTTATCAATCACTGGAGATGACTCACACTCCTTACCCTGCCCTTTTTGCCTTGTATCCAATAAAAAACAGTGCAGCCAGGCATTCGGGACCACTACCAGTCTCCGCATCTTGGTGGTAGTGTTCCCCCAGGCCCAGCTGTCTTTTCTTCTCTTTGTCTTGTCTCTTTATTTCTACAATCTATTGTCTCCACACACGAGGAGAAAAACCCACAGACCCTGTAGGGCTGGTCCCTACAGACATGAAAGTCTTTCATACTTCTGTTGAAATTAAATGTGTATAAATTTTATCTACAGTTTTCTCCATGTCTATTTTTGTATTTTTACCACATGCTATACTCTGGCAATGAGGAAGATAAGATTTCTATTAATAGTTGGAGTTTCCAGAAGAGCTGGAGAAATAAATTGACGCAACAAGAATTATCAGAATTACAGATATTCCCAAGATTAAAAGATAGCAGAGCAGGTTATAAGAGTCTAAAAATGAACATACTCATGCATGTATCTTGGTAATAGAATGATTTCTATTCCTTTGGATATTTACCCAGTAGTGGCATTGCTGGATCAAATGGTATTTCTGGTTCTAGATCTTTGAGGAATCACTACACTGTCTTCCACACTGGTTGAACTAATTTGCATTCCCACTAACAGTGTAAAAACATTCTTATTTCTCTGCAACCTTGCCAGCATCTGTTTCTTGACTTTTTAATCATTGCCATTCTGACTGGCATGAGATGGTATCTCATTGTGGTTTTGATTTGCATTTCTATAATGATCAATGATATTGAGCTTTTTTTCATATGTTTGTTGGCCACAGGAATGTCTTCTTTTGAGAAGTGTCTGTTCATGTCAAAGACATAGAATCAACCCAAATGCCCACCAGTGATAGACTGGATAAAGAAAATGTGGTACATATACCCCATGAAATACTATGCAGCCATAAAAAGGAACAAGTTCATGTCTTTTGCAGGAACGTGGATGAAGCTGGAAGCCATTACCCTCAGCAAACTAACGCAGAAACAGAAAATCAAATACCACATGCACTCACTTATAAGTGGGACCTGATCAATGAGAACATATAGACATAAGGAGGGGAACAACACACACTGAGCCCTGTTGGGGGGTGGGGTGGGGGGGAGGGAGAACCTTAGGAAAACTAGCTAATGCCTGTGGGGCTTAATACCTAGGTGATGGATTGATAGGTGCAGCAAACCACCATGGCACACGTTTACCTATGTAGCAAACCTGCACATCCTGCATATGTACCCCAGAACATAAAATAAAATAAAAGGAGTCTAAACATTTTTAATGTGAATTTTTGGAGCCAGGCAGAGGAGGACAGAGAAGATGTCCCTGAGTATAATAAAGCAGACGTGGAAGGACACTCATGCAATCTCCTCCCCGTGTGGACCCCTGGAAGCAGGTGTCCCTTCATGATCACAAATTTCTGTCTCCGAGAAGCAAGGCATGTCCTTTCCCAAGAAACTTTTCCAGAATCACAAACTTTTCCTACTCTTTGCAGGGATGAATGTATTTCTGCAGACTGTGATGGCCTATGACCACTTTGTGGCCATCTGTCACCCCCTGCACTACAGGGTCATCATGAATCCTGGGATCTTTGGACTGTGGGTTCTGGTGTCCTGGAGCATGAGTGCCCTGAATTCCTCACTGCAAAGCAGAATGTGTTGCAGCTGTCCTTCTGCACAAACTTGGAAATCCCCCCATTTTTTTCTGTGAACTTAATCAGTTGATCCTGCTTGCCTGTTCTAACACTTTTTTTTTTTTTTTTAGTGAGATGGAGTTTTGTTCTTATTACCCAGGCTGGAGAGAAATGGCGCCATATTGGCTCACTGCAACCTCCACCTCCCGGGTTCAAGCAATTCTCCTGCCTCAGCCTCCTGCATAGCTGGGATTACAGGCAACTGCCACCACACCCGGCTAATGTTTTTGCACTCCAGCTCAGGTGATACAACAAGACTCCATCTCAAAAAAATATATATATGAAATTCTAATGTTTTGGCAAAAGCAACATGAAGCCAAGAAATGTAGTACCCATGGTTTTATATGAACAGAACACAGTTCATCTCCTTGCAAAGGTAAATTGCCATTTTCTGGATATGTCAAGAGCTGAGTTTCCATCACAAGCCAGTGCTTTGGAGACTCAAGGGACCTAGTCAAGACAGGTTCCTCAGTTTAGACTTTGGAGGAAATTTTCACTGAAGGCTGGGAGAAGGTGCTAGGAGAATGGGACTCTGGAAGCCAAGGAAGTCCACGGGGAAGGAGTAATAAAGCCTGGATACACCTCACTTTTAACATAGTGTCTTGGGAATAGACGATACAGAAAAAAAAAACAACAATGACATTTGTTTCAGTGCAGGGCAACGTCCCCCAGGAAACTGATGTGTTCAGAGTTGGAATAACAGGAGGAAAGGTATCTAATCAGCAGATATACGAAGCCATAAATATCTCCTCTGCTGCAGTCCCTCAGCATATGCAACCTTGGGCTGGAAATGACATGGTGGTTTCATTTGGAGTCCTTAGTCTGGCTCAAGTATAGATGATGCTTCAACTTTTCCTGATGCCTTGTCTTGAGACAGAGATTCCATCTCCACCATCAACCTGCTAGAGAGGAATTTACACTTCTCCATGGAGACCTTCCTTTCAGAAAACTCAGTAGGGTAAGTCCCAGAGCCCAGTGGGTACTGTAGGAAAGGTCAGGAAGAACAAGAGCCGTGAATATTAACCTGAGGTCACCTGAGAGCCAATCATTTCCTCCAGCTTTGTTCCTTTTGCTTAGAAATGTCTTGGCTATACGGGCTATTTTTTGGTTCTATATGAAATTTAAAGTAGTTTTTGTAACTCTGTAAAGAAAGTCAATGTTAGCTTGATGGGGATAGCATTGAATCTATAAATTACTTTGGGCAGTATGGCCATTTTCAAGATATTGATTCTTCCTTTCCATGAGCATGGAATGTTTTTCCATTTGTTTGTGTCCTCTCTTATTTCCTTGAGCTGTGGTTTGTAGTTCTCCTTGAAGAAGTCCTTCACATCCCTTGTAGGTTATATTCCTAGGTATTTTATTCTCTTTGTAGCAATTGTGAATGGGAGTTCACTCATGATTTGGCTCTCTGTCTATTATTGCTGTATAGGAATGCTTGTGATTTTTGCACATTGATTTTGTATCCTGAGATTTTGCTGAAGTTGCTTATCAGCTTAAGGAGATTTTGGGCTGAGACGATGGGGTTTCCTAAATATACAATCATGTCATCTGCAAACAGAGACAATTTGACTTCCTCTCTTTGTATTTGAATACCCTTTACTTCCTTCTCTTGCCTGATTGCCCTGGCCAGAACTTCCAACACTATGTTGAATAGGAGTGGTGAGAGAGGGCACACTTGTCTTGTGCCAGTTTTCAAAGGGAATGCTTCCAGCTTTTGCCTATTCAGTATGATATTGGCTGTGGGTATGTCATAAATAGCTCTGATTATTTTGAGTTATGTTCCATCAATACCTAGTTTACTGAGAGTTTTTAGCATGAAGGGGAGTTGAATTTTATCGGAGGACTTTTCTGCATCTATTGAGATAATCATGTAGTTTTTGTCATTGGTTCTATTTATGTGATGGATTACATTTATTGATTTGCATATGTTGAACCAGCCTGGCATCCCAGGGATGAAGCCGACTTGATGATGCTGGATAAGCTTTTTGATGTGCTGCTGGATTCAGTTTGCCAGTATTTTACTGAGGATTTTCACATTGATGTTCATCAGGGATATTGGCCTGAAATTTTCTCTTTTTTTGTTGTGTCTCTGCCAGGTTTTGGTATCAGGATGATGCTGGCCTCATAAATTGAGCTGGGGAGGAGTCCCTCTTTTTCCATTGTTTGAAATCGTTTCAGAAGGAGTGATACCAGGTCCTCTCTGTACCTCCGGCAGAATTCAGCTGTGAAACTGACTGGTCCTGGGCCTCTTTTTGGTTGGTAGGCTATTAATTACTGCCTCAATTTCAGAACTTGTTATTGGTCTATTTAGGGATTTGACTTCTTCCTGGTTTAGTCTTGAGAGGGTGTATGTGTCCAGGAATTTATCCATTTCTTCTAGATTTTCTAGCTTATTTGCATAGAGGTGTTTATAGTATTCTCTGATGGGAGTTTGTATTTCTTTGGGATCGTTAACTTTTTTGGTTTACTTTTTAGAGCCTGGTTCTCACTATGATGCCCCGGCTGTTCTCAAAATCCTGGCTTCAGGTGACCTCCCTACTCAGCCTCCCAAAGCACTGGGATTACAGCTGTGATCCAATTATATTGCCCTCCTCATTGACTGTTAATGAAATATTTAAGGAAACATTTTTGGTCATAAAAAGTTTTAACTTTTATTTACCTAAAAATATGTCTACTTTCTTAGTTTTTTTTCTTGCGTTAGTTAAAATACTTTGTCTACACTAAGATCTTATATGTAGTTATCTATGTATTCGTCTAACATATATTGCTGACTTTTACACTGAGGTCTTTAAATCTGCTAATTCTTTGTAAAATGTGAGTCGGGAGACACACTTCATTTTCTCCCAGGTAGATAGCTATTTATTTCTGCTTTTATTCAACAATCTGGTCTTTTGCAACTAAATTGGATTGCAATCTTGTCATATTTTAATACCCATATATACTAGGACTTACTTCCTGACTTATTCAATAAGTCGAGAGTATCTTCTATGTGCCAGAACATTTTAGAAACATTGTGTATTATATAATTTTATGTCTAGGTCTTTGCCAATAAACTAAATCATTTGATATCATTAAATTATTCTTATTGTTTATCTTGGCTTGGTTAACGTTTTATGTACCATAACATTTAAAAAATATAGTTGTTTGGAAATCACTACATTTACCCTGGCTTTAATCCCATAACATTCTTTTTATTTTATCACGTCTCATTGCTTTAATTTTTTTCTACATAATACAGACATACTCATACACCTTTGTGAAAATACAAACTTAAAGCAGGGAAGTTCCTGCTCATTTGACTCATGCATTATAACAGAGAAGACAAAGTAAAATGTAACAAATGTGTCTATGACACAATGTCCTCAAGGATGAAATCATATGGAGAATTTCATTCTGCAGAAAAGGAGACAGTTATCATAGTGTGTGCAGGATTTTTTTCTTTTTTTTTTTCTTTTTTTGAGACAGAGTTTCGCTCTTGTTGCCCAGGCTGGAGTGCAATGGCACAATCTCAGCTCACTGCAACCTCCGCCTCCCAGGTTCAAGCGATTCTCCTACCTCAGCCCCCCGAGTAGCTGGGATTACAGCCACCTGCCTCCACACCTGGCTAATTTTTGTATTTTTAGTACAGACGGGGCTTCGCCACATAGGCCAGGCTGGTCTCGAACTCCTGACCACAATTGATCTACCCACCTCAGCCTCCCAAAGTGCTGGAATTAGAGGCGTGAGCCACGGTGCCCAGCCAGGATTCAATAGTATGGTCTAGGAAGGACATTGCATGTTACAGGAAGACCAGAACCAGAACTAGTGCAATTCCATAGGACTGTCAAAAAGAGTTCAAATCCCAAAGACCCTGAATAATTAAAGAAGAGATGCCACATGAATAATTAAAGAAGAGAAATGAGAAGGCTGTCTCACATGCTATCAGACCATTTCTGAATTCTCGTGGGGAAAGATAATTTGAAATTGACAACTTGCCTGGTATTCGTTTCTTTCTAACAGTGTAACCAGGGTGAGAAAAGCACAAGAGTAACATGGCTCCAGGGAGCTACAGTGTGCTGCGTGCATGTAGGCAATGTGTGTGTGTGTGCGTGCGCGCACGCACCTTTAGCATAAAAGCAGGTTGCAGAGAAAGGGGATTTGGGCTCTGTATTCCAAAAGGTATCTCATAATAGAAAAGCCAGAAGTCAAAGACACGGCGGGAAAAAAAGAGGGGATGCATTACACATACTGAGATGCCTTCGCAGGCAAATTAATAAAATGCAAATGCAACAGCATCTGGTCAGACGGACTCCTTGTGTCTTTAAGTTTCAGCAGCTTCAAGGCCACCTCATCCCACAACATCTTCTGAAACCATCTCTCATCACTCTCTTCCTGTACATTCCCCTGACACACTGGCTTCCTTGAGCACCTTGAACATCTGAAAGAAGCACATTCTGTGAAGTCTTCCACTGAGCCTTCCTTCCCCTTGCACAGACTCCAGCAAGGGACATGATGACTCTCGCCCTGTCTTCATTCTGCTCTCTGTTCAGTTTTTAGCTTGTCTGCTGATCTTGTCTGTACACCTATTAAAAGTAACACTTTTTATCCTTTTTATTCATAGGACTAATCACCAACTGACATAGTATATATGTATTTGTTCCCGTTATTTGATTGTAGGGACTCTGTTTTATAGCACCATTGACTCATTATCTATACAGTACCCTGAACATCAACTCATTTTTTATTCCACAAATGCATGAATGATTTTTCTCTTTAATGATACTGTAGAATACATGCCCTCAGGGAAAGGCTGAGAGAGAGAGAGAGAGAGAGCGAGAGAGCGTGGTCTAGGAATTCCTAATCAGAGATGGCAAGGAGATCTTCTAACAGGGACCAGATTTACACACAAAACATAGAAAACAGCTTCTTGTAGAATGGAGATTACTAGAGGCCAGGGCAATTGGTATGGAGGCTTGAGGTGATGTCAGTCAAGGGATACAAGATGATAATTAGATAGAAGGAATAACTTCAAAATATTTATTTTACAGCATGGTGAATATAGTTCATGATGATATATTGAATTATTGGAAAATGCCAAGAAAATGGATGTTAAGTGTTCTCGCCACAAGAATGATGACTATATGAGGTAATACTAATGTTAATTGGCTAGATTTAGCCAATCCACAATGTAAATATACTTCCACATGTGATGTTATACATGATAAATGCATACCATTTTATCTGTCACCATAGAAATAAATAATTTTTAAAGGAAAAATAAGTTCTTGACTCCGGAGTATAAATGAGAGAATTTCTGATAGGTTTGTAATGCATAATTACATTGTCATATTCTCTCTCTTTTTGGTAGTCACATTGAAAAGATGCAACCAAGCCTGGGCACAATGGCTTATGCCTATAATCTCAGCACTTTTGTAGGCTGAAGTGGGAGGATCGCATGAGTCCAGGAGGTTCAGACCAGCGTTGGCAACAGAGTGAGAGACCCTGTCTATGTTAATAAATAAATAAATAAATAAATAAATAAATAAATAAATAGAAAAAAAAAGATGGAACCAGAGAATGACACAGGGATTTCAGAATTTGTTCTTCTGGGACTTTCTGAGGAACCAGAATTGCAGCCCTTCCTCTTTGGGCTGTTTCTGTCCATGTACCTGGTCACTGTGCTCGGGAATCTGCTCATCATCCTGGCCACAATCTCAGACTCCCACCTCCACACCCCCATGTACTTCTTCCTCTCCAACCTGTCCTTTGCAGACATCTGTTTCATCTCCACTACAATCCCAAAGATGCTCATTAACATCCAGACACAGAGCAGAGTCATCACCTATGCAGGCTGCATCACCCAGATGTGCTTTTTTGTACTTTTTGGAGGGTTAGACAGCTTACTCCTGGCTGTGATGGCCTATGATCGGTTTGTGGCCATCTGTCATCCTCTGCACTACACAGTCATCATGAACCCTCGGCTCTGTGGACTCCTGGTTCTGGCATCCTGGATGATTGCTGCCCTGAATTCCTTGTCACAAAGCTTAATGGTATTGTGGCTGTCCTTCTGCACAGACTTGGAAATCCCCCACTTTTTCTGTGAACTTAATCAGGTCATCCACCTTGCCTGTTCTGACACCTTTCTTAATGACATGGGGATGTATTTTGCAGCAGGGCTGCTGGCTGGTGGTCCCCTTGTGGGGATCCTTTGCTCTTACTCTAAGATAGTTTCCTCCATACGTGCAATCTCATCAGCTCAGGGGAAGTACAAGGCATTTTCCACCTGTGCATCACACCTCTCAGTTGTCTCTTTATTTTGTTGTACGGGCCTAGGTGTGTACCTTACTTCTGCTGCAACCCACAACTCACACACAAGTGCAACAGCCTCAGTGATGTACACTGTGGCCACCCCCATGCTGAACCCCTTTATCTACAGTCTGAGGAATAAAGACATAAAGAGGGCTCTGAAAATGTCCTTCAGAGGAAAGCAATAAAAGGGCCATTTTTCAAGAAATAACTGTGATTTCAGAGCTTTAAGTCTCATACTCAGAAATTGTGATTCACGAATCAGGTTGTGAAAGTGGAATTTGCTCCTTCTATTTTTTCTCAGAGTTTCAATTTCTTTGATCTCAACTGACATAGAATTTAATGTATTCCTTTATAAAGCTTTCCGCTCTCTGATATCCAATCTTTTTTTTTTTTTTTTTTTTGTCATTTTCCTACTTTCCCAATGTTTTTCCCAAACTAGGGTCAGAAACAAGGTGGAGATTCCTATTTTTCTCCTACACTTGTGGGTTGCATTAGTCCTGCAGAATCAATTGCACCTGGCAGCCATAAGGTCATTAATATAATTTTATTTTAGATAAATATCTGAGAAGACAGTTTTTCACTTTGAGCTTATTCCTTTCTCCACCACCACCTTAAGTGTTCTTCCTGGTCATGTAAACTTTACCCCACACGAGTGTGCATTTTAGCTCATCATGGCATTTATTTTTTTAGATGGAGTCTCGCTCTGTCACCCAGGCTGAAGTGCAGTGGCATCATCTCAGCTCACTGCAACCTCTGCCTCCTGGGTTCAAGCAATTCTCCTGCCTCAGCCTCCCAAGGAGCTGGGATTACAGGCATGTACCACCATGCCCGGCTAATTTTTGTATTTTTAGTAGGGAAGGGGTTTCACCATGTTGGCCAGGCTGGTCTCGAACTCCTACCCTCAGGGGATCCGCCTGCCTCGGCCCCCCAAAGTGCTGTCATCATGGCATTTTATCCTACTCATTAGGGTCCTGTCCTCTATTCAGTTCAGTGTCCACCGTGCCTGCTCAATTCCCTGGAAAGAGTAAGAAGGTAAAAATTTCCTATCAAGTGCAGGCACGGTGGCTCAGGCCTGTAATCCCAGCACTTTGGGAGGCCAAGGCGGGCGGATCACCTGAGGTAGGGAGTTGGAGACCAGGCTGACCAACAGGGAGAAACCCCGTCTCTACCAAAAATACAAAATTAGCTGGGCGTGGTGGCGCATGCCTGTAATCCCAGCTACGCAGGAGACTGAGGCAGGAGAATGGTTTGAACCCGGGAGACGGAGGTTGCAGTGAGCCGAGATCACAGCATTGCCCTCCAGTCTGGGCAACAAGAGCGAAACTCCATCTCAAAAAAAAAAAAATTGCCTATCAAATTCACACTTCAAGTGTAGTCTGCACAGAAAAATAAATTTGTGTGAATCAATTGATTTCATCTGGACTTAGATTACAAAAACACCTGAAAGAATATGGATTAAAAAATTTATTCATAACTGAAAGAATAAATGCTTAATGGGGTGGGTACCCCATTCACCATGATGTGATTATTATATAACGCATGCCTGTATCAAAACATCTCATGTACCCCATAAGTATATACATCTACTATGTACCCACAAAAATATAAAAGAAAAAAAGATGGAGTAAAATTTTTGGCCCGGCATGGTGGCTCACGCCTGTAATCCCAGAACTTTGGGAGGCTGAGGCAAGTGGATTACCTGAAGTCAGGAGTTCAAGACCAGGCTGGCCAACATGGTGAAACCCTGTCTCTACTAAAAATGCAAAAATTAGCCGGGCATGGTGGCACATGCCTGTAATCCCAGCTACTCAGGAGGCTGAGGCAGGAGAATCACTTGAACCTGGGAGGTGGAGGTTGCAGTGAGCTGAGATCACACCACTGCACTCCAGCCTGGGTGACAGAGACTCCATCTCAAAAAAAAAAATCAGTCATACATTGAATTGCATTGGGAGATTTGATCTGATGATATACATCTACTTATAGAGGCTTGGTGCCCATTTGTAATGAGGTTTGTTAGTCCAAGGGAAGGATTTGGAATCACAGTCTATGTAATTTCATTATATCATTTTACTGTTTCTGCTTAAAAATTTACAGTGCTACACACAAATAAGACTCCTTCTGTTGTCCTGCTTAAAATCTTCCTTTTAAAATATTGTGTCTTAGCCATTAAAATGTAGGTAAGTGAACAATGTGTGTATTTAACTTATCATCAGTTCATTTGTCTCTTTTATACTCTAACTCTCTTCAACCCTTATAATCAAATGATGACTCACAAAGGAACCTGAATTTCTAACCAGCATTGGCTTGGAGAATAGAGACTTGTGAATCAGAATCACAATTTATATCTACAAATACATACACGTTCTTTCAAAATATTCTAGCTCCCTAGAAGGGAATCTAATAGGTAGTCTCATTTTTTATACAGTTATCTGAAATAAACATGAATGCTGCCTTTAAATATCAGAACAAATGTCCAAAAATAAGAGGCATTAAATTATTCTGAATTCTTTTGTTCTGCTTGCATTGATTGTATCATTAAGCTACTGCTGCATAACAAGGTATACTAATAGAAAAAGGTTTAATGACATGCTTTTATTTCCACATAGGGAGCTATACTAAAGAAGATTTTATAATAAGGATTAATACATATGAATACTGGAGGAGACAAAAACATTGAGTCCACAGGACCATCCAAATCTAGTTCGTTTTTTCAATTTTGGACATGGTGAATGGAGAGGAAGATCAGTAGAAGTGGTGGGATCTCACAATAACTCTTATTTCTTCTTAATACTGAACATCTCATGACTGCTCAAATCCTGATAGAAAAAGCAGTCTTATGTTCAAGCTCAATGTCAACCATTTCAGGGACATAGATTCTTCCCAAATGAGGTATCATCAAGACCCAGAGCCAAGGATGGAGAATGACAATTGTCATAAAGACAATAGAGGACTCAATAAATAAGTAAAAAATAAAAATTATCTATCTGGGGGTGAAACAGACATGCAAATATTGTGCACTTCTGTTAACATTAAGTGTTTATGAATTACATTCTATAGACTTTCAACAAGTAAGATAAGATTTCTATGAAGACTTGGAGGAGTTCCCAGAAGAGCTAGAGGATTAATATGATCCACCAAGAAACATCAGCTTTATAGATATTCCTAAGAGAAGAAGATAGTAGAACAGCTTGAAAGAGTCTAAAAATTCCTTAATATGACTATTTGGAGGGAACATAAGAGTAACACAGATGATGTCCCTGAATTCAACAAAGTATAGAATGATGGCCTCTCAAGTTCTCTTCTCCCTATACAGGGCCTTAGGTAGAAGTCCTCCTTCATGATCACAACTTGCTGCCTCCCAGGAGCAGGGCAATGCTAGACTCACTTCCTGTCCCCAAACACCATTCTGGTGTCACCATGAGCCTAGGAAATGGGGAGTTGGAACCTAGTCACTATAGCTGCTCTCCATTGAACAGCTCCTCTGTGCCAAGGAATTTCCAGTGAGCTTTAAACTGTTATTGCTGTTCATATCCTTCCCCCACTTTTTGATGGAGTTATTTGTTTTTTTCTTGCAAATTTGTTTAAGTTCCTTGTAGACTCTGGATATTAGACCTTTGTCAGGTGGATAGATTGCAAAAATGTTCTCCTGTTCTGTAGGTTGCCTGTTCAATCTGATGATAGTTTCTTTTGCTGTGCAGAAGCTCTTTAGTTTAATTAGATCCTATTTGTCCATTTTGGCTTTTGTTACCATTGCTTTTGTTGTTTCAGTCATGAAGTCTTGGACCATGCCTATGTCCTGAAACTGGAAACCATCATCCTCAGCAAACTAACACAGGAACAGAAAACCAGACACCACATGTTCTCACTCATAGGTAGGAGTTGAACAGTAAGAACACATGGACACAGGGAGGGGAACATCATACACTGGGGACTGTTGGCAGGGTTGGGGAGGAAAGGGGAGGGGGAGCATTAGGACAAATACTTAATGCATGCGGGGCTTAAAACCTAGATGACGGGTTGATAGGTGCTGCAAACCACCATGGCACATGTATACCTATGTGTAACAAATCTGCATGTTCTGCACATGTATCCCAGAACTTAAAGTAAAATTTTAAAAAACTGTTACTTACTTCTCACATAAATTCTACAAGGTGGGTGGAATTTCTAAAAGTTTTTTATCCTACTGTGAGGGAAGTACTCAAGAGGCTTGTATAAACTTGTTTCTGCAGAAGCTGAGCCACTGAGGGAAACATTTGACCTCCTAAAGGCAGACATGAGGTATGTGGTACGATTCTTGGTGAAAAAGGTTTAAAAGTAGTTTTCTTTGACTCTAACACTGGATCCTCAAAGAGTGCTTCACAGAACAGAATGAACAGCATCACCATCAACAGGGAAACAGCCACAAATGCACAACGTTTCTGCCTACCCTCAATGTCCCAAATCAGAATCTGCATTTGAACAAGGTCCCAAATGAATTATAAAAACTTTCAATTTGAGTATATTCTTTTCCAAAACATTCTCTCAACCTCTCCAAGGTTAACATGTTTATGGATACTTCTGGTGTAGACTGTTCTGTGCATTGTGAGATGTTGAACAGCAATCCCTGGCTTTAATCCACTAGGTTCCAGTAGCACCTCCCTAGGTGACAACAACAAAAAATGTATCCAGACATTTCCAAGTGTCTCATGGAAGGACAATCATCCCTGGTTGAGAACCACTGACCGAGACTGTGAGAACTGGAAACCGTTTTTTTTGTTTTGTTTTGTATTGTATTGTTTTGTTTTGTTTTGTTTTGAGACCAAGTCTCGCTCTGTCACCCAGGCTGGAGTGCAGTGGTGTGATCTTGGCTCACTGCAACCTCTGCCTCCTGGGTTCAAGCGATTCTCCTGCCTCAGCCTCCCGAGTAGCTGGGACTACAGGCACCTGCCACCACGCCCAACTAATTTTTTGTATTTTTATTAGAGATGGGGTTTCACCATATTGGCCAGGCTGGTCTCGAGCTCCTGACCTCGTGATCCACCCACCTCGGCCTCCCAAAGTGCTGGGATGAGCCACCGCCTGCAGCCAAGAACTAGAAACATCTTGATGGAGTTCCAATCAAAGCTCATCCTTCCCTCAGTTCATAACACTGGGCAGATCACTTAACCCTTCTTAGCCCCAATTCTACAAATGTAGAAAGAGGCTCCTCGTAGCATGGGAATGTGCAAAAATGAGACACATTACATGTGACATTAAATGAGACAAACCATGTAAGATTCCAACTTCAGTCCATGGTGCATAAAATGTGTAATTATATCTCTTGCAATAGCCAAATGTTTCATAAATTAAGGATTAAATGACAACACTTTCTTGTGTATACAAGCATGAAACTCCTAATTGTTTTGTCGATAGCATCAGGAAGCCAAGGATTATACTAACTATCAATGGTTTTATAGCAAATGAACACATTATCTCCATTGTTGGAGAGGGAATTGCAATTTTCTGGAGATGTCAATAAAACTATGTTCTTACCAGAAGTCAATACGTTGAGTTTCCAAGGGCCCTGGTGAAGACATATTCTTCGTCTTAATCTTTGGAGACAATTTTAACTCAAGTTTCAGCAAAAGTGCTAAGGAGGCTAGACCATCGTCAGGTGGGAGATTTCACAGAGAAGTAATGAAGTCTGGATTCACCTGACTTCTAGCCTGATCTCTTTGGAACAGAATCAGCAGAAAAATGTTTCTTCTTTTCCAGACCTGTGTCCAACGAAAAATCAGGTGCTCATGCAACTCATAATTGCAAAAATATGGAACCAACCTAAATGCCCACCAAACAATGAGTGGCTAAAGAAATTGTTATATACACACACACACCGTGGGACACTACTCAGCCATGAAAAGGATGAATTGATGGCATTCGTAGCAATCTGGATGGAAATTGAAGACCATTATTTTAAGTGAAGTAACTCAGGAATGGAAAACCAAACATCATAGGTTCTCACTCATGAGTGGGAGCTAAGCTACGAGGATGCAGAGGCATAAGAATGATACAATGGATTTTGGGGACTTGGGGAAAGGGTGGGAGGGGGATGGGGAATAAAAGACTATCCATGGGGTACAGCGTACACTGCTCAGGTGATGAGTGCACCAAAATCTCAGAAATCACCACTAAAGGCCGGGCGCGGTGGCTCATGCCTGTAATCCCTGCACTTTTGGAGGCCGAGGCGGGCAGATCACGAGGTCAGGAGATCGAGACCATCCTGGCTAACAGGGTGAAACCCCGTCTCTACTAAAAATACAAAAAATTAGCCGAGCGTGGTGGTGGGCGCCTGTAGTCCCGGCTACTAAGGAGGCTGAGGCGGAAGAATGGCGTGAACCCGGGAGGTGGAGCTTGCAGAGAGCTGAGATCGCGCCACTGCACTCCAGCCTGGGCGACAGAGCGAGACTCTGTCTCAAAAAAAAAAAAGAAATCACTAAAGAACTTATTCATGTAACCAAACAATACCTGTTCCCCAAAAAACTATTTAAATAACTTTTTTAAAAGTCAACAGATGAAAAAAGATTAGGTGCTCATGGATTGGAGTGAAAAAAGGGAAATTTGTCTGATGCATAGATACAGGGAATTGTAAAAATCTATTTCATCTGCTATTGTCCTTAAGACTGTAACAGCTTCGGACTGGATGTGATGTGAATGGTTTGTAGACATATGTCTGGCTAAGGTGCTGATGTTTCACTTCTTCTTACTGTCTTGTCTGGGGACAGAGCTTCATTCTCCATTATCAGCATCCAGGGAGGAGCTCAGACTTCCATATGGAGACCTTCCTCTCTGAGACCCCATACAGGTGAGTCCGCCCAGTAGGTACTGCAGAAAATGTTCAGAGGCAATATAAGTCAAGAATATTTACCTAGTGTTACCTGAAAGCCAAACTAGCCTAAGTCAAGCTGAGAGATTGATGTGTGTTTGTTTGCCTGGTTGACTAATTTATATTTAATATAGTTAATATGTTAAAAAGAGAAGTGTTTGTCATACTAAGCAATGCAGGGATCATTGCTGACAACTAAGTGATAATAAAGGAAGTTGATTTGGATGAGATTGAAGAAGGAATGGAAGACAAAAAGTGGTTCCAGTAAATTACAACACATACTAGAAATTTTGCAGTGAAAGAAGCAGGATAGTAGAATATTTGGTGTGGAATGATGTGCAATGAATTGAGAGACTTTGGAACAAATTTTAAGAGAGGCGTATTTGAGCATGTTTCTGTGCTTAACTGCAAAGATCCACACCAATGGATTACTTGTAAATTCCATCTTGCAACAGCAGTTCACAAGACATACATTTCATAGTCTCTTCTTTCATGTTGGATATTCACATGAAAAATAAATGTTATACAATAGGTCAAAATGAGAATACTAAAGAGTTTTTGCTTGCAATTATTTTCTTCTTCTGGTGAGGCTGGATTTGTTTGCTTTTTATTTTCTCTATTGCAAATTATGCAAGTTCCCTGCTTTCATGTTCTGACGTCTGAATGTTTTCATTCTTTTGACTGCATTCTTTCAAACAAGAAATTGTAGCTTTTTCACCAACTTTGCTGAATAATGTTTAATTTTTATGTATGTAGAGGTGTATATCAGGAAAATGTGTGAAAGTTTATAAGCGTTGTGTGCTCAAATCTGTTTGTCATAATTTGTTCCCACCTCTCCAATTGTTTTTTGACTTAGAAAATTCTTCTGCATCATTGCTAGAAATATATCATCCTTCATAAGTATTTCCATCTTATTTCACATCTGTTTTTGCTTATTGCTTCCTTTTGTAATTAGATCTATTTTTATTTTTAATTTAATGTTTTAATTTCTGTTTTGATTGACAAAAATCATTGCATTCTTGTGGGGTGCAGTAAGATGTTATTTTATTTTTATTTCTATTTTTATTTTTTATTATACTTCAAGTTCTGGGATACATGTGCAGAACACGTAGGTTTGTTACATAGGTATACACGTGCCATGGTGGTTTGCTGCACCCATCAAGCCGTCATCATCTGCATTAGGCTATCCCTCCGCTAGCCCTCCACCCACCGACAGGCCCCGGTGTGTGATGTTCCCCTCCTTGTGTCCGTGTGTTCTCATTGTTCAACTCCCACTTGTGAGTGAGAACATGCAGTGTTTGGTTTTCTAGCAATCCCATTACTGGGTATATACCCAAAGGATTATAAATCATTCTACTATAAAGACACATGCACACGTATGTTTATTGCAGCACTGTTCACGATAGCAAAGACTTGGAACCAACCCAAATGCCCGTCAATGGTAGACTGGATAAAGTAAATGTGGCACCTATACACCATAGAATACTATGCAGCCATAAAAAAGGATGAGTTCATGTCCTTTGCAGGGACATGGATGAAGCTGGAAACCATCATTCTCAGCAAACTAACACAGGATAAGATGTTATTTTATATGTATTCATTGTAGAATGATTAAAGGAACCTAATTAATGTATCGGTCACTTCATACACTTATCATGTCTTTGTGGTTGAGAACATTTAAAATCTATGATACTAGCACTTTGGAAATATATAATACATTATTCTCAACTAAAGTCATCATGCTGTGCAATAGATTACTAGAACCCATTCTTGCTAACTTTATATCCTTTATCTAATGTCTCCGCTTTCTGCATCCACCCCACCCCATACTCCAGTCCCTGGTAACCACTGCCTTACTCCTCTCTATCCCTATGAGTTTGATTATTTAGATTCTGCATATAAATGAGAATATGCAGATCTATATTTTAAAGCAGTAATCTACTGCCATCTTGTGGAAGATACTCTTTTGCACTCACAACCTACAATTGAATACAAACTAAAATTACATTCAACTTAAGATCTTTTTCGTAAGCATATTTGGATCCATTTATACTTAGATAGGAATGAAATTATGGCTTTAAATACTGTTTCTTCTACTGCTAAAAAAAGCGTATTTTAATTTTTTTACTTTTAAGTTCAGGGGTACATGTGCAGTTTTGTTACATAGGTAAACACGTGTCATGGGGGTTTATTGTACAGATTATTTCATCACCCAGGTATTAAGCCTAGTACCCATTAGTTATCTTTCCTGATCTCCCTCCTCCCACCCTCCACCCTCCAGTTGGCCCCAGTGTGTTTTTCCCTTCTCTGTGTCCGTGTGTTCTCATGATTTAGCTCCCACTTGTAAGTGAGAACATCTGGTATTTGATTTTCTGTTCCTGTGTTAGTTTGCTAAGGATAATGGCCTCTAACTCCAACCATGTTGCTGCAAAGGACATGATCTTGTTCTTTTTTATGGCTGCATAGTATTCCATGGTATATATGTACCACATTTTCTTTATCCAGTCTATCATTCATGGGCATCTAGGTTGACTCCATGTCTTTGCTATTTTGAATAGTGTTGCAATGACTATACGTGTGCATGTGTCTTTATAATAGAATGATTTATATTCCTATGGGTATATACCCAGGAATGGGATTGCTGGGTTGAAGGATATTTCTGTCTTTAGATCTCTGAGGAATTGCCACACTGTCTTCCACAATGGTTGAGCATTTATTTGCAGATGTTTGCCACTTTAATTTTGAATTTCTGACTCACGTCAGTAATTTATTTCATATCTTTTCTTTCATAAGTTTGTTTTAGATTTTCATTATTCAAATCTTACCTGGTATCCATTTCCTTTCTAATGCTGTAATTGGTGTTGAGAAGGGCATGGGAGTAACATGCACCCAGGAAGCCACAGCAGATGTGTATGTGTGTTCCGTATATATGTGTGTATGTGTCTATGTGTGTGTGTGTGTTTATGTGTGTGTGTGTGTGTATGATGCTTCAGAGTGAGAAGAAGTTTCAGACAAAGAGATCCTGAGTTACATATTCCAAATGACAACACAAAATATGAACGTCAGATGTGTATATGTGTTCCGTGTGTATGTGTGTGTGTGTGTTTCTTTAGGGTGAGAAGTTTCAGACAAAGAGAACCTGGGCTATGTATTCCAAAAGATAACTCATCATATGAACATCAGAACTCAAGGCCACAGCAGGAAACAAAGAGGAAGTTCATTGCAATTCATGGGGCGCCTTTGCAACCAAATTAATAAAGTGCAAATGCAACATCTGGACAGAAGGACTCCTTGTGTCTTCAGGTTTCAGCAGCTTCCAGGCCAACTCCTTCCTCAATATCCTCTGAAACCATCTCTCATTCCTCTCCTCTTGCTTGTTTGCCTGCCACACTGGCTTACTTGTTGGACTTGAACATCTGAAAGAAGAACACGCCTCAGGGTCTTTCATTGTCGTTCCTTCTGCCTTGCATACGCTTCTGCAAGGAACATGGTGACTCCACCCTGTCTTCATTGTGGTCTCTGTTCAGTTGTCACCTTGTCTACTGGTCTTACCTGACCACCCAATAAAAAATAACACTCCATCCACATTCTCCTTCTTACCTCTTTCTTCTTTTGTTTTATAACATCACACATTCATTTTCTGGACAGTGCCTGGAATATGCCAAAATCCACTTTATATTCCTCAAATGCATGAAAGATTTTCTCATTAAAACTTTAGAATACATGCTCTCTGCCAAGGACTGAAGGTAGAACATGTATTCCTGATTAATATTGTCAAAATTGGCCAGGTGCGGTGGCTCATGCCTATAATCCCAGGATTTGGGGAGGGCAAGGCAGGCAGATCACCTGAGGTCAGGAGTTTGAGACCAGCCTGGCAAACGTGGCAAAACCCCATCTCTACTAAAAATACAAAAACTATCCAGGCAAGGTGGCGGATGCCTGTGTCCCAGCTACTCAGGAGGCTGAGGCACAAGAATCACTTGAACCTGGGAGGTGGAGGTTGCAGTGAGTGGGGATCGTGCCACTGGCCTTCAGTCTGGCAACAGAGTGAGACTTTGTCTCAAAAAGTAAATAAATAACTAAATAACAATATTATCAAAATGCCCATAATACCCAAAGTGATCAAAAGACACAGTGCAATCCCTGTCAAAATACCAATGACATTCTTCACAGAAATACAAAAAAAATTGTATAATACATATGGAACCATCCAAGACCCTACATGGCTAAAACAATGTTGAACCAAAAGAACAAAGCTGGAGACATCACACTATCTGACTTCAAACTATATTATGAAGCTATTGTACCTAAACCAGCTTCGTGCTGGCATAAAAACATACACATGGGCCAAAGGAACAGAGACGAAAACCCATAAATAAACACATATTTACAGCCAACTGATTTTAGACAAAAGTGCCAAGAACACATATTGGTGAAAGGACAGTCTTTTTAATGAATGCTACTGGGAAAACTGGATATCCACATTCAGAAAAAGGAAACTAGATTCCTTTTCTTGCTATATACAAAAATTAACTTTAAATGAAATAAATATTTAAATGGAATACCAAAAACTATGAAACTACTAGAAGAAAATACATGGGATAAGCTTCATAAAATTAGCCAAGGTAAAGATTTTTCAAAATAAAACTTCAAAAGCATAGATTACAAAAGTAAAAATAGATGAATGGGATGACATCAAACTAAAAAATCTTCTGCACAGCAAAGGAGATAATTGACAGATCCAAGAGAAAAGCTGTACAATGAGAGACAATATTTCCAAACTAAACATCTGAAAAATGGTTATCTAGAATGTATTTTAAAACTCAATAGTGGGAAAAAATAATCTGATTAATAAATAGGCAACGACCTGAGGACACTTTTTTCAAAAGAAGACATACAAGTATACAATGGTCCATGAAAAGTGCTCAAAGTCACGAATTATCAGGGAAATGCAAATTGAATCCACAATGAGATACCACGTCATCCCAGCTAACAGGGCTATTATCAAAAGACAGGAAAAATAACAAATGCTGACAACGATATGGAGAAAGGGGAAATCTTATACATTGTTCATGGAATGTAAATTAGTATAGCCATTATGGAAAACAGTATGTACGTTCCTCAAAAAGTTAAAAATAGAATGCGACTCAGGGATCCCACTAGGTATTTATCCAATGGAAATGACAATAGTGTATTAAACAGATATCTGCACTTTCCTGTTTATTGCAGTGTCACAATAGCCAAGATATGAAGTCAATCTAAGTGTACCTTAGTGGATGAATGGATATTAAAATGTGGCATATGTACATAATGGAATACTATACAGCCCTGTGTAAGAAGGAAATACTGTGATTTGCAACAAAATGAAAGAACCTAGAGAGCATTATGTTAAGTGAAATATTCTAGGCACAGAAACACAAATATCACATGATCTTAATCATATGGAATATAAAAAAGTTGATCTCATAGAATTATAGAGTAGAACAGTGGCTACCAGAGGCTACAGCTGTTGTGGGAGGAGGAGTGGGGAAATGTTTGTCAAAGGATACAAAATTGCAGCCAGAAAAAATACGTTCAGCAGATCTATAGTATAGCATGAAGATTTTATATTTAAGGATGATATATGGTGTTTCTGGAAAATGTTAAGAGAGTGGATGTTAAGTGTTTTCACTACAAAAATGATAACTATGTGAGGTAAAACATATATCCATTAGCTAGACCTAACCATTCTGTAATGTATATATACCTCAAAATGTGATGTTTTTTGTGATAAATACAATTTTATCTGTCAATTTAAATAAATAAATTTTGAAAAATTAAATTAAATAATCTTTAGAAGGTGCTATTCTCAGGGCAACTTGCATGAAAAGAGCCAAATATATCTCTTAAGAGTAACCAGATGTTTTATACATGAAGAATTAAATGACAGCTCTTAACCTTTTTAAGAAGTACAAAATTTCTCATTGTTTTGGCAAAAGCATCATGATTTCAAGAAATGTAGGACTCACGGTTTTATATCAGAACAGAGTTCACCCCCTTGTTAAAGAGGAAAATAGCGATAATTCTGGAGATATCAAGGGCTGTGTTCCCATCACAAGTGAATACCTTGGAGATGCAAGGAACATAGTTAAGACAAGTTCCTTAGTTTAGACTTAGGAGAAAACCTTCCCTCGGGAATGAGGAATAGAGTAAGGCATTAGGAGGTTAGAACTCTGGAAGGCAAACAAGTCCATGGAGAAGGAATAATAAAGACTGGATTCACTGCAGGCTTAATATGGTGTCTTGGGAATAGAGAATACAGGGAAAAAATCAATTCAGAGCAGGGTAAAATCCCAAAGGAAAATGATCTGCTCAGGGTTGGAATAACAAGAGGAAATGCACCTAATGTGCAAATCTGTAAGTACCCCCTTGGCTGTTGTCACTTAGCATATGCAACCTTGGGCTGGATGGGACATGCTTGTGTTTTTTGGAGTCTAAATCTGCTGGCTTGGGCACCGATGCTTTCCTTTCTCCTACTGTCTTGTCTCGGGACAGAGCTTCCATCTCCACCAACAACCATTCAGGGAGGAATTCACACTTCCACATGGAGGCTTTTCTTTCAGAAAACCAGTCAAGGTAAGTCAAAGAGTCCAGTAGGTACTGCGGGAAAGGGTCAGGGAGAATGGGAGCTGTGAACGTGAACCTAAGGCTACCTGAGAGCCAAACCAACCAGTGCTAGAGTGGAGAGATTGTTGTGGTTGTTTGCTAACTTGCCTGACTAATTAATTGATTCAGGTATTTACTTAGGATACTAAAAAGAGACATGAACATTGAATTCAGCATTGGAGGATGATTGTTGACAATGAAGTAATAGTAATAGAAGCCCAATTAGAAGAGGAAATGAGATGATTAAAGTGGCTCCAGTAAAAGTAGCATCCGTGCCCAAGGATCTTTACAATTAAGTGAAGATGAAAAATAGGGTACTACTGTAATAGTTAAAGAAACATGAAAAGCAGCTCAACGGTTGAAGACAGGTTTATTTTGGAGAACAAACCTGAGAGGGGCTTCTGGCTGAGTTAGGTCAGAGGTACTCTCTTTCTTTTTTTTTTTTTTTTTTTTTGAGACGGAGTCTCACACTGTTGCCCGGGCTGAAGTGCAGTGGTGCAATCTCAGCTCACTGCAACCTCTGCCTCCCAAGTTCAAGTGATTCTCCTGCCTCCACCTCCCAAGTAGCTGGGACTACAGGTGCCTGCCACCACGCCCAGCTAATTTTTTGTATTTTTAGTAGAGACAGGGTTTCACTATGTTGACCAGGCTGGTCTCAAACTCCTGACCTCATGATCTGCTTGCCTCAGCCTCCCAAAGTGCTGGGATTACAGATGTAAGCCACTGTGCCAGCCAAGGCACTCTCTTACAGACTAAGAGTTTTTAAGGGTTCAAGGCGGGAGAGCTTATCACCGGCTTGGAATGTTTCTGTGCCTCTTTGTCTTGCTTACCTGGAGAGAGAGTTTTTGTGTCTGTTCCCGTACATCTTCTTGCAGCTGCAGGCATACCCCCCAAGTCTGCTTTTAGCTTCCCTATCTTAGTGCACCTAAAGGGAAAGGAATGTGCTTATTAGAGCCCACTGTTTTTCTGGGGCCCACTGTGTGAGTGCCAGGTTTGGTGGTTACCCAAGAGACTTTCCCCCTCCCTCTATGCCCGAGCTGTCTTATCTGTGTTTTACTGTCTGCTCTTTCTGGCTGCTTGTTGTTAGAAGAGAAGTGATTTTCTTAAGATGCATGAGGTTAGAAAAGGAGCTGGAACTTAAAGTGGCGGTTGTCCAAGATGATGGTGCTCCTGCTCTGTCAATTACCTGTGGAGAGATATACACTGAAGAGAGGGATTTGTTTGTCTGTTCGTTTGTTTGTTTTTAAGAAGGGGCATATTTGACTGTCTTTCCATATTGGTGAGAAAGATCCAGACCAATGAATTCCTTTCAAAAACTACCTGACAACAGCAGTCATGAGGTATACATTTTGTAGTATCTTCTCTCATGCTAAGTATTCAAATGAAATCAAAAACTTATTTAATGGGTGAAAAAGTGAAATACTAACAAACTTTGCCACTTTTTTTTACTAGTGAAGCTAAATATATCTGTGTATTTGTTAGACATTTACAGCTATTGCAAACTGTACATGAACTTTCCTTTTGTAAAATGGGTTTGTAATATTTTTAATCCTGTTTTATTTCATTTATCAAAATATAAGACTTGGAGTTCTTCATCAATTTTGGCATATGTCTTTTATTACTGTTATGTAACTTTCAATGTATTTGAGGGAAATGTGTGAAAGCTTAGAAGTATTGTGTAGCCAAATCCATTGATCATAGTGTGCTCCCCTCCTTGCTACATAAATGTAGAAAGTTCTTCTGCAACATTTGGACAAATAAATTGCCTTTTATGCATGCATTTCCAACTTGTTTTCTCTCTTATTTTTTATTGTGCTTTTTGGCTTTTTGTATTAGATCTCTTCTTAGAAGTTGCATTACCTTTGACCATCATTTGGTGATCATTATTTATCATCTGACTAAAGACCACCTTTCTCATAAATATTGGAATCCTTATATCATTATATAATATGAAACCATAACCTTAGATACTACTTCTTCCCATGCTTGTAATCCCAGCAGTTTGGGATGCCGAGGCGGGTGAATCACCTAAGGTCAGGAGTTTGAGACCTTCCTGGCCAACATGGTGAAACCCAGTCTTGACTAAAAATACAAAAATTAGCCAGGCATGGTGGCGTGCGCCTGTAATCCTAGCTACTTGGGAGGCTGAGATAGGAGAATCGCTTGAACCTGGGAGGCGGAGGTTGCAGTGAGCCAGCATCACGCCATTGCACCCCAGCCTGGGCATAAAGATTAAAACTCTAACTCAAAAAAATAAAAATAAAAAATAAAATAAAACGTAGCTTCTTCACTGTAGAATATGTATGACAGCATTTCTGGTAAGTTTGTAATGCATGTTTTTCTCATGTTCTGTTCTTTCTTGTGTGTTTTTTTGTTTGTTTGTTTGTTTTTGGTAGAAACATCAACCAGGTGAAAGCAGGGAATGAGACACAAATTTCAGAATTTCTTCTTCTAGGATTTTCAGAGAAACAAGAATTGCAGCCCTTCCTCTTTGGGCTGTTCCTGTCCATGTACCTGGTCACTGTGCTCGGGAACCTGCTCATCATCCTGGCCGCAATCTCAGACTCCTGCCTCCACACCCCCATGTACTTCTTTCTCTCCAACCTGTCCTTCGTAGATATCTGTTTTGCCTCCACCATGGTCCCAAAGATGTTGGTGAACATCCAGACACAGAGCAAAGTCATTACCTATGCAGGTTGCATCACCCAGATGTGCTTTTTTGTACTCTTTATAGTGTTGGACAGCTTACTCCTGACCGTGATGGCCTATGACCAGTTTGTGGCCATCTGTCACCCCCTGCACTACACGGTCATCATGAGCCCTCAGCTCTGTGGACTGCTGGTTCTGGTGTCCTGGATCATGAGTGTCCTAAACTCCATGTTACAAAGCTTAGTGACATTGCAGTTGTCCTTCTGCACAGACTTGGAAATCCCTCACTTTTTCTGTGAACTTAATGAGATGATCCACCTTGCCTGTTCTGACACCTTTGTGAACAACATGGTGATGCATTTTGCAGCTGTGCTGCTGGACGGTGGTCCTCTCGTTGGGATCCTTTATTCTTACTGTAGGATAGTTTCCTCCATACGTGCAATCTCGTCAACTCAGGGGAAGTACAAGGCACTTTCCACCTGTGCATCTCACCTCTCAGTTGTCTCCATATTTTATGGTACGGGGCTAGGGGTGTACCTTAGCTCTACTATGACCCAAAACTTACACTCAACTGCTGTCGCCTCGGTGATGTACACTGTGGTCACCCCCATGCTCAACCCCTTCATTTACAGTCTGAGGAATAAAGACATAAAGGGGGCTCTGACACAATTCTTCAGAGGGAAACAATAAAAGAGCCATTTTTCGGCTGGGCACAGTGGCTCAAGCCTGTAATCCCAGCACTTTGGGAGGCAGAGGTGGGCAGATCATGAGGTCAGGAGTTCAAGACCAGCCTGGCCAACATGGTGAAACCCCCATCTCTACTAAAAATACAAAAATTAGCTGGGCGTAGTGGCATGCGCCTGTAGTCCCAGCCACTCAGGAGGTTGAGGCAGGAGAATCGCTTGAACCCATGAGGCAAGGTTGCAGTGAGCTGAGATCATGCCACTGCACTCCAGCCTGGGAGACAGAGTGAGACTCTGTCTCAAAATTTAAAAAAAAAAAAATTTTTTTAAAAGAGCCATTTTTCAAGAAGGGTCTGTGATTCCAGAGCTGTAAGCCCCAGACCCAAACATTGTGATTTATTAGTCAGATTGTGAAAACAGAAGTGGTTCCTTCTGTTAATTTTTTGGGATTTGTATGATCTTAACTGCTTTGTAAAATGTATGCCTTTTCTTTAAAAGCTTTCAGCTCTCAAACAGCCAACAGTTTTTTTGTCCTTTGTCATTTTCCAACTTTTGCAAAGTTATTCCCAGACTAGGGTCAGAAACAAGGTGGAGATTCCTATCCGTCTCATGCAGTAATGAGTTGTGTTAGCCCAAATAATTAAGAATGGCCACTCTAAGGTCATTAATATAATTTTACTGTGGATGCCTAGCTGAGACCACAGGTTTTCATTTTTCCATTTGTTATTTCTTTCTCTGTCACTGCCTTAACTGGTCCTCCTCACAATGTAAATTTTAATATACTAGTGTGTTTTATAGCTACTCCTGGAATTTTATTCTCTTCCTTAGGATCCTGTCTTCTATTCTGCTTGGTGTCTACAGTGCCCTCTATATTCCCTGGTAAAAAGAAGGAGGACAAAAATTGCTTATTTTTTATTTTTTTATTTTATTGATTGGTTGATTGATTTTTGAGACAGAGTCTCGCTCTGTCTCCCAGGCTGGAGTGCAGTGGCGTGATCTTGGCTCACTGCAAGCTCCACCTCCCGGGTTCACGTCATTCTCCTGCCTCAGCCTCCCGAGTAGCTGGGACTACAGGCGCCCGCCACTACGCCCGGCTAATTTTTTGTATTTTTAGTACAGACGAGGTTTCACTGTGTTAGCCAGGATGGTCTCGATCTCCTGACCTCGTGACCCACCCACCTCGGCCTCCCAAAGTGCTGGGATTAAAAATTGCTTATAAAATACATGTTCCAAGTGTAAACTAAACAGAAAGACAAGTGAGCATACATAAATTGACTTCATCTGGCCTTAAGACTCAGCAATTACCTTCAATATGACAGAATAAAACTTTCAGTCACATATGGAATTACTGTGGAACATTTGAAGCATACAAGCTTAGTGTCCATGTGTAATGAAGTTTGTGCATCTGAGAGATTTGGTGTCATAGTCCATATAATTTTATTGTATTAGCTTCCTCATTTTACTTAAAATTTTCCAGTGCTACCTATAAATACGACTCCTTCCATTGTACTAACAAATATCTTCCCCTTTAAAAATTGTGTCATAAACATTAAAGTGCAGATAAGTGAACAATATGTGTGCTTCATTTATCAGCAGTTGCTTTATATATTTTATACTCTGAACTCTCTTCAACTCTCACGATCAAAGGAATACACACACATGAACTTGGATTTCTGCCTATTATTGCCTCTGGGAATAGAAACTTGTGTGAACCAAGGTCACAATTCATTCCTTCAAAAACATATATGTCCTTGCAAGCTTTCCTGGCTGCCTAGAAAAAAAGGAAACAATACTCTCGTTTTAATACAATTATCTGACATAAGCATCAATATCCAGGTAATCATTAATGCTGCCTCAAATATAAGAACCAATGTTAAAAACTAAGAAGCATTAGAATATTTTGAATGTCTTTAGATCTGTTTGCACTGTTTATTGTATCAGTAAGCTACTGCTGCATAATAAGCCATCCCATTAGTCAACGGTTTAATGTCCTGCTTTTTTATCACATAGGAGTTTATGTTGGGAAAGTTTTTCATTGGGATTAGGACATAGGGATTTTGAAGAGGACAAAATATTCCATCCATGCGACTATCCAAATCTAGTTAGTTTTTGAATTTTGAATAGGAAGGACAGTTTGACAGAGGAAGATCAAGAGAAGTGGTGGAAACTCACAAGGCCTCTTACAACTTCTTCATAGACATTGGACTTCTCATGAATGCGCACATTCTTTCAGACAAAGCACATCACATATCTATGCTCCACATCAACCACTGTAGGGATATACATGCCTCCCAATTGAGGTATTAGCAAAGCCCCGAGCCAAAGGTGGAGAAACACAATATTCCCAAAGACAATAGGGGAGTTAATAAATAAGTAAAAATTAAATTTACTGGCATGAGAAACAGACTTGCAAGAATTTCATACTTATGTCCACATTAAATGTTAATGAATGATGTGCTATAAACTTGCAATAAAGTAAGTGTTCTATGAAGAATTAAAGGAGTTCTTATAAGACTTCCTACAAGAATTGAAGGAGTAATTTGATGAACTAAAGACATAGTCAAGAAGAGCTGACATATCCATTGAGCATCTGCTCTGTGCAAGGTAATCTCCAATGAGCTTCAAAATATTGCTTACTTCTCACATAAACTCCATAAGTAGATGGAATTTTTTTTTGAGACAGAGTCTCACTGTGTCACCCAGGCTGGAGTGCAGTGGCACGATCTTGGCTCACTGCAACCTCTGCCTCCTGAGCTCAAGTGATTCTCCTGCCTCAGCCTCCCAGGTAGCTGGGACTACAGGCACGTGCCACCACGCCCAGCTAATTTTTGTATTTTTAATAGAGACTGGGTTTCACCATATTGGCCAGGCTGGTCTTAAACTCCTGACCTTGTGATCCACCCACCTCAGCCTTCCAAAGTGCTGAGATTACAGACGTGAGCCACAGCGCCCAGCCAGTAGATGGAATTTCTAAAGGTTTCATTTTCTTTCATGAGAGAAGCACACAAGAGGCACATGCAATCTTTATTTATGCAAAAGCTGACCTGCCCAGTCCAACACTGACCACCTGAAGTCAAATATGAGGTGTGTGGTAGGATTCTTGCTGGAGAAGATCTCGAAGTACTAATTGACTCTAACACTGGACCATAGCCTTGATCCTCAAAGAGTGAACCACCCAACAGGTCAGGGAGCATCAACATCAACGGGGAAACCATTACACATGTAGAATGTCTGGACCTATCCTAGAGGCCCCATATGAGAATCTACATTTGAACAAGATCCCTAATTGAATCATACACACATTGAAGTTGGACATATTCTGGACAGAATAGCCTTTCAACCTCTCTAGTGTTAACATTTTTACTGCTTAACTTTCTGTAGTGTGGGCTGTCCCGTTAGTTGTAGGATGTTGAGAAACATCTCTGGATTATTTTTCATAATCACTTGAAAAAATATTATTTCATAGGTCAAATTAGGATTACTCAAGAGTTTTTAATTGCAATTATTTCCTTTCTGCTGAGGCTGAGTATACAGCATTTGTTGGTTTGTTAGCCATTTACTTTCTCTATTGCAGATTTTGCAGGTTCTTTGCTTTTATGTTCTAGAGTGTGAGTGTTTTTATTCTTTTGATTGCATTCATTCAAATGAAGAATTAGAGATTTTTCACCAAGTTTGCTGAATAATAGTTAATTTTTTATGTATGTATAGATGTACATCAAGGGATTGTGTAAAAAAAAAAAAAAATATATATATATATATATATATACAGGATGAAGAAAAGAAAGTTTATAAACTTTGTTTTATAAACTTTGTCAAATCTCTCAGTTGGTCCTATCATGAACCCACACTCTCCAATTTTTCTTAACTTAGAAAATTCTTCTGCATCTTTAGTAGAAGTAAATCATATGTATTTCCACCTTATTTTATAACCCTTTTTCCTTATAGCTACCTTTTTGTCTTTTTTGATGAGATCTTTTAAAATTTAGTTTTAAATTTAATTTTTGATGGACCAATAGTAACTGTATATATTTATGAGGTACAACGTGATGTTATGATATATGTATACACTGTTGAATGATTAAGTGGAGCTAATTAACCTATCCATCACCTCACATATCTATCATTTGTTTGTGGAAAGAACATTTAAAATTTAATATTTTAGCAATTTTGAAATATATAGTACATTATTCTCAACAATAGTCACCATGTTGTGCAATGGAGCACTAGAAATTATTCCTCCTGTCCAGCTGAAACTTTATAGCCTTTGACTAACATTTTCCTTTTTGTATCGACCCTGTCCTCACCCCTATCCTCTGGTAATGTCCATTCTACTCTATACTTCTATGAGTTTTAATTTTTTATATCCCAGGTATATGTGAGAACACAAAGACTTATTTTTTTAATATTAGTCTTCTTCTGCTATTTTATGGAACAAGTTCAAGCAGAAGGAGATAAATGTATGAAGACATTGAGCATTGAAGCTCTGGCTTCTGGTGAAGCTGAAAGTCAAGGTCAACTTGGTCAACTTATGGAAGATTGATGTGGGTTGGGGTAGGGCAGTGTGAAGGTATCAGAGTCAAGCCTTGTGTTTGAAGCTGTAGAATTTCAGCTTCTTTCTCCCATGGGGAATCACAGGGTGGGCATTTAAGCCAGAGTGTTAGGTGATCAGCTGTGAAATATAGATTTTTCTGGATCAATGAGAATATGGGTATATAGAGATGCCAGCCTCAGAAGCCTGGAAGAAATCATGAGGAACTAAAACAGGACCATTGAATTGGGTAACCGGGTGATAGAGAAAAAAGGGAGACTTTTGAGAGCCAGAAGGAAAAATATCAGCCTCACTTCATCACTGGTGATAACTATTCATTCACTAACAGGAAGGAACAATGTAAAGCACCTTACACAGATTGATTACATCTCCCATCTCAGGAGGATAGATGCTGCTATCTCACTATTTAGAAAAACATATTAACATTTTGAATGGTCTTGTTGATTCTCCAAGTTCAGACAGCTGATTCAAGGTAGCTCTGACATTCCAAACCTGTTTTCTTCTGATTTCAGAAGTTTTGCATTTATTATTTTTTACAAAACTATGTTACCATTGCATCTGGTTAAAAAAAACAACTCACTATTGTTGCATTTTTTATGTTTTCTTTGGTGAATTCTGGGCTTATTCCCTTCACTCATTTTTCTCATGGGGTATTCAATCTGTAAGGTGTCTTGACACTCTAAATAGACCATGTTTTGTTCATTATTAATTTTTCTTGGCTTCACAGGTATTTAACCAGGCTTGGGGTGCTGCTAGAAATGAGGAAGCTTTCTGCATCACGATCTCTCATTGACCACTTGTACCTATCAGATCTTTTACCCTCTCATGCCTATTTCATTCATCTCTCTCTGTTTATTCAACAGATGTTTTTGTTTTGTTAAATACAGAGCACAAAATGGTTGCAACCTCCACTGCCATGTTCAAGAGATTCTCCTGCCTCAGCCTCCCGAGTAGCTGGGACTACAGGTGTGTGCCACCATGCCCAGCTACTTTTTGTATTTTTAGTAGAGACAGGGTTTCGCCATGTCAGCCAGGCTGGTCTCGAACTCCTGACCTTGGGTGATCTGCCCATCTCAGCCTCCCAAAGTGTTGGAATTACAGGTGGGAGCCACCATGCCTGGCCGGATAGGTAAGCAAATGCTGGTGAGGATGTGGAGAAAAGAGAACCCTCGTACATTGTTTGTGGGAATGTAAATTAGTACAACTACTATGGAGGACAGTTTGGAGGCTCCTCAAAATACTAAAAAAAAGAGCTACCATATGATCCAGTAATCCCACTGCTGGGTGTATACCCAAAAGAAAGGAAATCATAATATCAAAGAGACATCTGCATCCTCATGTTTGTTGCAGCAACATTCACAATAGCCAAGATTTGGAAGCAACCTCAGTGTCCATCAACAAATGAATGAATAAAGAAAATGTGGTACTTACAAACAATGGAGTACCATCCAGCCATAAAAAATAAAGAGATCCTGTCATTTGCAACAGCACAGATGAAACTGGAGGTCATTGTGTTAAGTAAAATAATCCAGGCACAGAAAGATAAACATCACAAGTTTTCACTTTTTGTGGCATCTAAAAATCAAAACAATTGAACTCATGGTCATAGAGAGTAGAAGGATGGTTACTGGCCAGGCACAGCAGCTCACACCTGTAATCCCAGCACTTTGGGAGACTGAGGCGGGCGGATCACTTGAGGTCAGGAGACCAGCCTGACCAACATGGTGAAATGCTGTCTCCACTAAAAATACAAAAATTACCCAGGCATGATGATGCGCACCTGTAATACCAGCTACTAGGGAGGCTGAGGCACGAGAATCGCTTGAACCCAGGAGGCAGAGATTGCAGTGACCCAAGATTGCACCACTGCATTCCAGCCTGGGCAACAGAGTGAGATTACATCTCAAAAAAACAAAAACAAAAAACAAACAAAACACACACACACACACAAAAAGGGATGGTTACCAGAGGCTGGGAAGGTAAGTGAGTGATATGGGAAAGGTGGAGATGGTTAATGGGTCAAAAAAAATAGAAAAAAATGAATAAGACTATTTGATAGCACAACAGGGTGATGACCTATGGTCAGTAGTAATTTAGTTGTACATTTTTAAATACTTTAAAGGCTATAATTGGATTGTTTGTAACACAAAGAATGAATGCTTGAAGGAATGGGTACCCCCTTCTCCATGATGTGATAATTGTGCATTGCATGGCAGTTTCAAAATATTTCATGTACCCTGTAGTAATATACACACTTACTACGTACCCAAAAAAAAATTAAAAATTGAAAAATAAAAACAAGGCCCCTCTTCCCACCTTCTTCAAGAGATCCATGTAATAACACCCATAGGCTCAAAATCAATGATGGGAAAAGACCTATCACACAAATGGAAAACAAAAGAGAGCAGGGGTCATTATTCTTGTATCAGATAAAAAAGAATTTAAACCAACAATAGTCAAAAAGGAGGACGAAGGGCCAGGCGCGGTGGCTCACGCCTGTAATCCCAGCACTTTGGCAGGCCAAGGCGGGCGGATCACGAGGTCAGGAGATAGAGACCATCTTGGCTAACATGGTGAAACCCCGTCTCTACCAAAAATACAAAAAATTAGCCGGACGTGGTGGTGGGCACCTGTAGTCCCAGCTACTAGGCAGGCTGAAGCAGGAGAATGGTGTGAACCCGGGAGGCGGAGCTTGCAGGGAGCCGAGATGGCACCACTGCACTCCAGCCTGGGCGATAGAGCGAGACTCTGTCTCAAAAAAAAAAAAAAAAAAAAAGGAGGATGAGGAAAGGCATTACATGATGATAAAACGTTCAATGTTCAATTCATAAAAAGATTTAACTATCCAAATATATACCTACCCAACATCGAAGCCCCAGATTCTTCACAAAGCCACTGCTTCTAGACCGAGGAAGAGACATAAACGGCAACACGATAATAGTGTTGCAAATACTGCTATATGAGAGATCAAGATGAGCTGTAGTCAGATGATAAAGAAGAATGATTTTTTTCTTTTCCTTTTTTTTTTTTTTTTTTTCCGAGATGAAGTTTCACTCTTGCTGCCCAGGCTGGAATGCATTGGCGTGATCTTGGCTCACTGCAACCTCTGTCTCCTGGGTTCAAGCGATTCCCCTGCCTCAGCCTCCCGAGTAGGATTACAGGCACCTGGGATTACAGGCACCTGCCACCATGCCCAGCTAATTATTGTATTTTTAGTAAAGACAGAGTTTCACCATGTTGGCCAGGCTGGTCCCAAACTCCTGACCTCAGGTGATCCACCCATCTCCCAAAGTGTTGGGATTACAGGCATGAGCCACCACACCCGGCCTAAGAATGATTTTTAAATGATAGCCAAAGGTGATGTGATGCAACTTCCAGAAAGAGATCTAATACAAAAAGCCAAAAGTCACAATAAAGAAGAATGAACTGATAAAATCAGGTTGGAAATGTGTGTATAACATGAGATTAACTTAGCCAAACATCTACATTTATAAAGCAAAAAGGGCAACATGCAAGTATGTTCATAAAGCGACACCCCATGCCAGCATTAGACAGATCATTGAAGCAGAAAACTAAACTTTAGAGATCCAAAGGACCTCTTCACAAGTGCCTCAGTTTAGACTTTGGAGAAAACTTTCACTCCAGGTTGGGTTCAGGTTTCAGACAGGTCTCTGGAAGATAAGCAAGTCCATATAGAAAAAGTAACAAAGGCTGGAGTGGGCTGGGTATGGTGGCTCACACCTGTAATCCCAGCACTTTGGGAGGCCGAGGCGGGTGGATCACATGAGGTCAGGAGTTCGAGACCAGCCTGGCCAACATGGTGAAACCCCATCTCTACTAAAAATATAAAAATTAGCCAGGCATGGTGGCGCACACCTGTAGTCCCAGCTACTTGGGAGGCTGAGGCAGGAGAATTGCTTGAACCCGGGAGGTGGAGGTTACAGTGAGCCAAGATCGTGCCACTGCACTGCAGCCTGGGTGACAGAGCAAAACTCTGTCTCAAAAAAAAAAAAGACTGGATTGACCTGATGTTTACCCTAATGTCTTGGGAACAGAGTATGCAAGAAAAAAAAAAATTCTTTCAGTGCAGAGCAATGTCCCACAGGGACATCGTGTGCTGAGGGTGGGAATAACAAGAGGGAAATGTGCCTAATGAGCAGATACACAAATCCGTAAATATCTCCGCTGTCACTGTCCCTCAGCATATGCTACCTTGGACTGGATGGGACATGCTTGTTTCTTTTGGAGTCCTCAATCTGGCTCGAGTACTGATGCCTGACCTTCTCCTGCTGTCTTGTCTCAAGACAGAGCTTCAGTTTCCATCATCAACCATCCAGGGAGGAATTCATACATCCACATGGACGACACCTTCCTTCCAGAAAATCCATCAGGGTGAGTCCAAGTGCGCAGTAGGTACTACAGGAAAGGCTCCGGGAAAATGAGAGCCATGAATATAGACCTGAAGTCCCCTGAGAGCCAATACAGCCAAGCCCAGAGCAGAGAGATTGCTTTGGTTGTTTGCTTGCTTGAGTCATTAATTGATTGATGTATTTATTTGTGATGCTAAAAAGAAATGGATGTTGAACTCAGCAATGGAGGATAATAGTTGACAATTAGTAGTAACGGAAATGGAAGTCCCATTAGAAGAGGAAATGGGGGAAGCCTAATTAAAAGAGTAAAAGTAGAACATTTGCCCAGGGATCTTTGCAATTAAGTCGAGAAGAGAAATAGGACATTAGTTGTGGAGGTATATACACTGAAGTGAGGGCATTTCTTTTTTATTTTAAGAAGGAGCGGGCCAGGCACAGTGGCTTATGCCTGTAATCACAGCACTTTGGGAGGCTGACGCGAAGGAATCACAAGGTCAGGAGTTCAAGACCAGCCTGGCCAATATGGTGAAACCCTGTTTCCACTAAAAAAAAAAAAAAAAAAAAAAAGCCCCGCATGGTGGCACATGCCTGTAATCCCAGCTACTCAGGAGGCTGAGGCAGGAGAATCTCTTGAACCCAGGAGGCAGAGGGTGCAGTGAGCCGAGATCACGCCACTGCACTCCAGCCTGGGCGACAGAGTAAGACTCCAACAACAACAACAAAAAAAGACAGATACCAGAACTCCAGAACTCAAGGCAAATGAAGAAAATGAAGAGGGGATGCATTTCACTTCATGGGATACCTTTGCAACCAAATTCATACAGGGCAAATGCATCGACATCTGGACAGAGGGCCTCCTTGTGCCTTCCAGTTTCAGCAGCTGTCAGGCCATCTCCTCCCTCAGCATCCTCTGACACCATCTCTCATCCCTCTCATCTTGCTCATTCTCCTGCCACATTGGCTTCCTTGTTGGCCTTGAATATCTGAAAGAAGCACATTTCTCAGTATGCTTTATTGATCCTTCCTTCCACCTTGCACACACTTCTGCACATTCATACCGGGTCTTCATTATGGTCTCTGCTCAGTTGCCACCTTGTCTGCTGGTCTAGCCTGAACACCCAGTAAAAATGATGCCTCATCCATGCTTTTCTTCTTATCTTCTTTCTTTTTCTTCATAAGATTTGTTACCATCTGACATAGTATATGGTATTTTAAAAGTTTACTTATATTATTTCTCCATCATTAGATTGTTGAGGCCTTGGTTTTATGGCACCATTCACTCATCGTCTAAATTCCTGGAATATGTCAAAATTCAATTTACTTTATTAAAGTGCATGAAAAATTTTCTTCTTAAAACTATAGAATACATGCCCTCAGGGAAAGGCTGAGAGTAAGAAGGAACTCCAAATTAGAGATGCAAGGGGATCCCCAACAGGAATCAGATTCACACACAAAATATAGAAATTAACTTCTTGTAAAATGAAGGTTATGAGAAGCTGAGGAGGTTGGGGACAAAGAAAGTTGGGAAGATGTTGGTCAAAGAATAGAAAATGAGAGTTAATGAGAAGGAATTCATTCGAGAGGTCTATTGTACATCATGGTAACTATAGTTCATGAAGATATTTTGTAATTTCAAAAATGGCAAAAGTGGATGTTAAGTGTTCTCTCCACGAAAATGATAATTTTGTGAGATAACGCAGATTTTAATTAGCTACAAATGGCCATTCACTTTGTACTTATACTTAAACATATTATGTTGTACATGATAAATAGATGCAACTTTATCTGTAATTTTATAAATACATATTTTAGAAAAAGAAATTAACTTCTTGTCTGAAGAATATAAATGACAACATTTATATTGTTAGGATTGTAAGGCATGCTTGTGTCATATTCTCCTTCTCTTTTTTTGGTAGTCACATCAACAAGATGAAACCAGGGAATGATACACGAATTTCAGAATTTCTTCTTCTAGGACTTTCAGCAGAACCAGAATTGCAGCCCTTCTTCTTTGGGCTGTTCCTGTCCATGTACCTGGTCACCGTGCTCGGGAACCTGCTCATCATCCTGGCCACAATCTCAGACTCCCACCTCCACACCCCCATGTACTTCTTCCTCTCCAACCTGTCCTTTGCAGATATCAGTTTTGTGTCTACCACTGTCCCGAAGATGCTGGTGAATATCCAGACGCAGAGCAGAGTCATCACCTATGCAGGCTGCATCACCCAGATGTGCTTTTTCCTACTATTTGCAGTGTTGGACAGCCTTCTCCTAGCTGTGATGGCCTATGATCGGTTTGTGGCCATCTGTCATCCTCTGTACTACACAATCATCATGAACCCTCAGTTCTATAGACTGGATTCTTAGTGTCCTGAATTCTCTGTTACAAAGCTTAATGGTGTTGCCACTGCCCTTCTATACAGACATAGCAATCCCCCACTTTTTCTGTGAACTTAATCAGATAATCTGCATTGCCTGTTCTGACACCTTTCTTAATGACATCATGATATATTGTGCAACTGTGCTGCTGGGCGGTGGTCCCCTCACTGGAATCCTTTACTCTTACTCTAAGATAGTTTCCTCCATACGTGCAATCTCATCAGCTCAGGGGAAGTACAAGGCATTTTCCACCTGTGCATCTCACCTCTCAGTTGTCTCCTTGTTTTATGGTACAAGCCTAGGAATGTACCTTAGTTCTGCTGCAACCCACAACTCACCCTCAAGTGCAACAGCCTCAGTGATGTACACTGTGGTCACCCCCATGCTGAACCCCTTTATCTACAGTCTGAGGAATAAAGACCTAAAGGATGCTCTGAAACGCTTCTTCAGAAGGAAGCAATAAAAGGACTCTTCTTCAATTAATGCCTGTGATTTCAGAGCTCTAATTCCCAGAGATAGAAATCATGATTCATTAATGAGATTGTGGAAGTAGAAGTTACTCCTTCTGTTATCTACCTGGAGTTTCCATTTCTTTGATTCCAACTGCTTTATAAAGTTTATGATTTTCCTTTAAAAAGTTTTCTGCTCTCAAGTATCCAACAGTTTTCTTTCCTTTGTCATTTTCCCACTTTCCCAAAGTTATCCCCAAAGTAGGGTTGGAAATAAGGTGGAGGCCAGGCACAGGGGTTCACCCCTGTAATCCCAGCACACTGGGAGGCTGAGGCAGGTGGATCACTTCAGGTCAGGAGTTCGAGACCAGCCTGACCAACATTGCAAAACCCCGTCTCTATTAAAATACAAAAATTAGCCGGACATGGTGGTGGGTACCTGTAATCCCAGCTACTCAGGAGGCTGAGACAGGAGAATCGCTTGAATCCAGGAGGCGGAGTTGCAGTGAGCTGAGATCACATCACGGCACTCCAGCTTGGGAGACAGAGCAAGACTCCATCTCAAGAAAAAAACCAACAACAACAACGATAAAAAAAAAAAAGTACAGTGAGATTTCGTCTTACCCAAATTAGAATGGATATTATTAAAAAGAAAAAAAAACAGTTGCTGGGAAGGATAAGGAGAAAAGGGAACTCTTATACACAGTTGGTTAGAATGTAAATTAGTAGATCCTTTATGGAAAATAATATGGAGATTTCTCAAAAAACTAAAATAGAACTACCATCTGATGCAGCAATCCCACTACTGGATCTATAACCATAGGAAAAGAAATCAGTGTATCAAAAAGATACGTGCATTTGCATGTTTATTGCAACACTATTCACAATAGTTCAGATATGGAATCAACCAAAGTGTCCATCAGTGCACAAATAGATAAAGAAAATGCAGTACATATACACAATTGAATACTATTCAGCCATAAAAAAGAATAAAATTATGACATTTGCAGCAACATGGATGGGACTGGAAGCTGCTATGTTAAGTGAAATAAGCCAGGCACAGAAAGAAAATAATGCTTGTTCTTATTCATATGAAGGAGCTAAAGAAGTTGACCTCATGGAGACAGAGAATAGAATTGTAGATACAAGAGATATAGAAATTTGAAAAAAGAGGGGGAAATTGAGGTGGAAGTTTTGTTGCAGATACCCTGAGTGTATGATTGAGAAGAGATTGGAGTCAGGAGAGAATCCAGGGTACCCAGTAGGGGCCGCATGAAATGATGTACAAGAAGAAACGCCAGCATTCTTTTCAGTGGCAGACAGGACTGTCTCCACATGTGCAGGAAAAACAACCAACTTCTTCATATGTACAGAAAAAACAACCAACTTTTCTTCTTCCAGTCACCCTATGATACTTTTTAGATTTTTCTGTATGTGAGCCATTCTCCTATGGAGGTCTTCCAATTTGTCAAGACTTTATGTGTCTGTGTGTGTGTGTGTGTCTGTGTATGTTTGTATGTTTCTGTGTCTGTGTGTGTGTAGCCCCATCAAAAAAGTAAGAATGTACAATAACTGCTTATTAGAAAGTACACATGTAATATAACTGATTTTGATCCCCATGTAGATCTTGTATACATATGACAGGTTACTAATATTATAAAATTTATCGGAATAGTATAGCAAGTTATGGATTGCAATCAATTGCAATTAACAGAACATCAAATGAAAATTGTAACTCTTAATTTGCTAAGTGATACACAATATAAAAAGCTGTAAATTGTGACCTCCAAACCATAAAATGGGTCAGGAGTGAGGGGTGGAATAAAAATGTTGAGTTTAGATATGTGGTCAATGTTATCAGCAAACTACAGATCCAACAAAGTGTTCATATGCAGAATTATGTCCAGAATATCCTGAATCCAAGATGTGAAATCAATCAACGTGTCCATCAATGAATGAATGGATTTTAAAATATTATATAATTTCGTTATGTATTATACACACACACACAATAGAATACTATTCAGCCATAAACAAGAAGGAAATTCTGTCATTTGAGACAACATGGTTGAGTCTGGAGAACATTATGTTAAGTGAAATAAGACAGTCACAGAAAGACAAATACCATCTGATCTCACTCATATGAAATTGAAACAAGTCGATCTCACAGAATTATTGAGTAGAATGGTGGTTACCAGAGGCTGGGGCAGTTGCAGCGTGAGGAGTGGGGAGATGTTTGTCCAAGGATACACAATTGTAGTTAGGAGGAATACATTCAAGAGATCTATTGTACAGCAAGGTGACTATATTTAATGATGACATATTGTATTCTTGAAAAATGCCAGCCGGATCACGAGGTCAAGAGATCGAGACCATCCTGGCCAACATGGTGAAACCCCATCTTCACTAAAAATACAAAAATTAGCCGGGTGTGGTGGTGGGTGCCTGTAATCCCAGCTACTCGGGAGACTGAAGCAAGGAGAATCGCTTGAACCCTGGAGGTGGAGGTTGCAGTGAGCCAAGATCGTGCCACTGTACCCCAGCCTGGCAACAGAGCAAGACTCTGTCTCAAAAAAAAAAAAAGAGAAGAAGAAAGAAGAAGAAGAAGAAGAAGAAGAAGAAGAAGAAGAAGAAGAAGAAGAAGAAGAAGAAGAAGAAGAAGAAGAAGAAGAAGAAGAAGAAAAGAAGAGGAAGAAAAGAAAAATGCCAAAGGTGGATTTAAAGGAATCTCACTACGAATATGATAGCTACATGAGATAATGCATATATTAATTAGCTAGATTTAACCATTCCACAATGTATATATACTTCAAAGCATCATGTTGGACACCATAAATATATACAATTATATCTGTCCATTTAAATAAATAAATACTTTTTTTAAAAAATTAATGAGATCACTCTTATAAGGTGCTAATCTAAGGGTAACTTGCATGAAAAGATGTAAATGTATCTCTTACAATTATCAAATGTTTTATAAATGAAGGATTAAATGACGGCTCTTAACCTGTGTTCTTACCACAAGTCAATGCTTTGGAGACTCAAGGGGCTTAGTCAAGAAAGATTCCTCAGTTTAAACTTCGGAGGAAACTTTCCCTCAGGGTTGGAGGGAAGTGATGGGAGGTTAGACCTTTGGAAGGCAGACAAATCCATGGAGAAGGAATAATAACGACTCGATTCGCCTGATGTTTAATCTGATGTCTTGGGAACTGAGTATGCAAGAAAAAAATTTCTTTCCATGAAGAGCAATGTCCCACAGGGACTGAATGTGATCAGGGGTTGAATAACAGGAGGAAATGTCTCCAATGAGCAGGCATATGAAGCTGTAAATTTCTCCGCTGCAGGTGTCCCTCAGCATATGCAACCTTGGGCTGGATGGGACATCCTTGTTTCTTTCGGAGTCTATATCTGCTGGCTCAGGGGTACTGATTCTTTCCTTTCTCCTACTGTCTTGTCTTGGGACACAGCCTCAGTCTCCACCATCAACCATCCAGGGAGGAATTTGCACTTCTAGATTGAGACCTTCATTTCAGAAAACCCAACAGGGTGAGTCCAATAGGTACCGTAGGAAAGGATCAGGGAGATTGCAAGTTGTGAACATAGACCCGAGATCTCGAAAGAGCCAATCCTAGCTGCAACAGAGTGGAGACGCTGCTGTGGGTATTTGCTTGGTGAATGAATTGATTCATATCTTCATTTATGAAGCTAAGAAGAGAAGTGCATCTTGAACTCAGCAATGGAGAATGATAGCCGACAATCAAGTAAGGGTAATAAAAGCCCAATTAGAAGAGAAAATGTGGGGTCTAAAGTAGTTCCAGTGAAAGCAGAACATCTGCCCAAGCATCACTGCAATTAAGTGGGAAAGAGAAGTAGGGTATTAGCTATGGGGGATACGAAAGGAAGTGAGGGCATTTTTTTTTTTTTAGACAGAGTCTTACTCTGTCGCCCAGGCTGGAGTGCAGTGGCACAATCTTGGCTCACTGCAACCTCTGCCTCCCGGATTCAAGCAATTCTCCTGCCTCAGCCTCCCAAGTAGCTGGGATTACAGGTGCTCACCACCACACCCAGCTAAATTTGGTATTTTTAGTAGAGACAGGGTTTCACCATGTTGGCCAGGATGGTCTCAATCTCTTAACCTCGTGATCCACCCACCTCGGCCTCCCAAAGTGCTGGGATTACAGGCATGAGCCACCTGGCCCCGCCAATTTTTCATTTTTAAGAAGGGCATATTTGGTCCGGCGTGGTGGCTCACGCCTGTAGTCCCAGCACTTTGGGAGGCCGAGGTAGGCGGATCACAAGGTCGGGAGATCGAGACCATCCTAGCTAACACAGTGAAACCCCATATCTACTAAAAATACAAAAAACAAATTAGCCTGGCGTGGTGGCGGGCGCTTGTAGTCCCAGCTACTCGGGAGGCTGAGGCAGGAGGATGGCGTCAACCCGGGAGGTGGAGCTTGCATTGAGCCGAGATCGCGCCACTGCACTCCAGCCTGGGCGACAGAGCGAGACTCCATCTCAAAAAAATAAAAATAAATAAAAATAGAAGGGCATATTTGAGTTTGTTTCCATATTGATGAGAAAGATCCAGACCAATAAATTTTTTCCAACTACTACCTGGCAACAGCAGTTTATGAAACGTACAGTTTTCAGCTGCTTTTCTTATGCTAGGTATTCAAATGAATTAAAATTTTATTTAAGAGTTGAAAACTGGTATATTAATGGCCTTTACTTTGCAATTTTTCCTTACTGGTAAGACTGACTACATCTGTGTTTGTCAGACATTTATCACTCTGTTGGAAATTATCTATGAAAATTCTTGGCTTTTGTATGATGGATTCAAAGTGATTTTATTCGTGTTTTTTATTACATTCTTTAACATATAAGCTTTGGAGTTTTTGCCAATTTTGGCATTTGTCATTTAGTTCTTTTATGTGAGTTATTACACAAGGAATGTTCTTATATGTACTTTTTTCTTAGCTGTTTTATGTTCTTTTGTGTAAGTTTCAATGTATTTGAGAGGACAGTGTGCAAGTTTAAAAAGCTTGTGTAGCCAAATCCATCCATCGGTCACATTGTGTCTCCCTAATTGCCTTATAAATGTAGAAAGTTCTTCTGCATCTTTTGGCTGAATAAATCACCTTCTATATATAAATTTCCAACTTCTTTTCACATCTCTGTCATTCCTTATTGTGCCTTTTAGCTTTTTGTATTCAATCCATATCTAGAAGTTGTGTCACATTTATATCTGTCATAAACATGCTTGAATCCTTACATCTTTATATAAGATCAAATTATAACCTTAGACACTACTTCCTTTTCCTTTTTTTTTTTTTTTTGAGATGGAGTCTCGCTCTGTCACCCAGGCTGGAGTGCAGTGACGCGATCTCAGATCACTGCAACCTCCACCTCCTGGGTTCAAGTGACTCTCCTGCCTCAGCCTCCCGAGTAGCTGGGATTACAGGCACCAACCACCACACGCAGATAATTTTAAAAGACTTCCTGTCATATTCTTTAGTTTCCATGACTGGTAGTTTAATCTTAAATTTGTAACCCATTTTGATGTTATTAAATTATTACTATTTTATGTGATTATATTAAAATTTTTTCAGATTTTCATTCTATGTTGCTTTAGACAGTTGTTTTGAAACCACTGTGCTTAACCTAATTGCATTTTAACTGTCATTCCTTGTTGTATAAGTTCGTTTCTTTTAAAACTTCTCTTTCTATATTATGCACACTTTTGTATTCATACAACACTTATACAAACACGTAGACAAAATCCTATGCATATCACAAATATGCTATATTTTAGTGCAGTTGTTTTTAGCTTGTCTTCTCCTTTCCTTTCCTATCCTATAAATGCTACAAAAACATTTTGGAATTTTTTCTTTAAGACGGAGTCTTGCTCTTGTCACCCAGGCTGGAGTGCAATGGTGCGATCTCGGCTTACTGCAACCTCCGCCTCCCGGGTTGAAGCGATTCTCCTGCCTCAGCCTCCCGAAGTAGCTGGGATTACAGGTGCATGCCACCATGCCAGGCTAATTTTGGTATTTTTAGTAGAGATGGGGTTTCACCGTGTTGGTCAGGCTGGTCTTGACTCCTAACCTCCTGATCCGCTCGCTTCGGCCTCCCACATTTTGGAATTTTTATGTTAAAATTGTCGTTCTCACTTGAGTGGGTGGCATGATTTTGTCCCCCAGGGGACATTGAGCAATGACATATTTGGCTTTCACCCTGTAAAGGTCAGCAGACAACAGGGACAGACCCCACCACAATGAATAATGTGGCTTAGAATTTAAGTAGTGCTGAGATTGAGAAAACGAGTGAATGAATATCTGTATTTTTAGTATTTATAGCTGTATCCAGGTGTATCACTTCACATTTATGCCAGCAAAATTAGAGTTTCCCTTCTCTCCCTGTTTGTAAGTTCCAACCCTACTCAATGTGGTAGCTCCTTAAGTTTTTTCCCAGGCTGATGCGTGTGACAGAGATTTCTTGTTGCCTTAAATTATTGCTTGGTTTAAGCAAAATTCATATATATCACCACCATTTTCACTTGTCTTTTTTTTTTGAGATGGAGTCTTGCTCTGTTGCCCAGGCTGGAGTCCAGGGGCGCAATCTCAACTCACCACAGCCTCCGCCTTCCAGGTTCAAGCAATCCTCCTGCCTCAGCCTCCCCAGTAGCTGGGATTACAGGCGCCCACCACCACGCCCAGCTAATTTTTGTATTTTTAGTAGAGACAGGGTGTCACCATGTTGGTCAGGCTAGTCTCAAACTCCTGACCTCAGGCGGTCCGCCTGCCTCAGCCTCCCAAAGTGCTGGGATTACAGGCGTGAGCCACCGTGCCTGGCCTCCATTCCTTCTTAATAGTGAGACTAGGGGTGAGAAGAGCAGAGGAGTAACACAGCCCTAGGAGGCCACGATGTGATGCACATGTGTATGCATTGTGTGTGTGTGTGTGTGTGTGTGTGTGTTTGTGTGTGTGTGTGTGTGCACCTCTAGGGCGAGAGGAATTTTCAGAGAAAAAGAACCTGGGACCAATATATTCCAAAAGGCAACTTGTAATTAAAAGACCAGAAGTTGGCCTGGCATGGTGGCTTACGCCTATAATCCCAGCACTTTGGGAGGCCGAGGTGGGCAGATCCCCTGAGGTCAGGAGTTTGAGACCAGCCTGACCAACATGGCGAAACTCCATCTCTACTAAAAATACAAAAATTAGCCGGGTGTGGTAGCAGGCGCCTATAATCCCAGCTACTCAGGGGGCTGAGGCAGGAGAATCACTTGAGCCCAGGAGGCAGAGGTTGCAGTGAGCCAAGATCGCACTGCTGCACTCCAGCCTGGGTGACAGAGTGAGACTCCATCTCAAAAAAAAAAAAAAAACACAGAACTCAAGGCAACAGTGAAAAACAAAGAGGAGATGCATTTCAAATAATGGGACACCTTTGCAACCAAATTACCAAAGTGCAAATGCAACAACATCAGGACCGAGGAACTCCTTGTGTTATCAAATTTCAGCATTTAGGAGGTCACCTCATTCCTCATCATCCTCTGACACCATCTCCCATCCCTCTCTTCTTGCTCATTCTCTCGCTACACTGGATTCCTTGTTAGCCTTGAACATCTGCCAGAAGCACATTCCTCAGCGTCTTTCATTGATCTTTCCTTCTGCCTGGCACACACTTCTGCAGGGAAGGTGGTCACTCTGACCCTGTCTTCTGTTCCATTGTCACCTTGTCTGCTGGTCTTACAGGAAAGCAAAGTAAAAACTAACACCTCATCCATGTTTTCTTTTTTGCCTTCTTTCTTTACTTTGTAGGAGCTGTCACGCCCTGATGTAGTATAGGATCTGTCGTCATCTGACATAGTATAGGATCTATCATCATCTGACATAGCATGTGGTATTTTACAAATTTACTTGTATTTTCTCTGTGTTTAGAGCATAGGGACTTCTGGAGGGGTTTTTTAAATTATTCTTTAAGTGCTGGGATACATGTGCAGAATGTGCAGTTTGGTTACATAGGTACATATGTGCCATGGTGGTTTGCTGCACCCATCAACCTGTCATCTAGGTTTTAAGCCCCGCATGCATTAGGTGTTTGTTCTAATACTCTCCCTCCCCTTATCCCGTACCCCCGACAGTCCCCAGTGTGTGATGTTCCCCTCCCTGTGTCCATGTGTTCTCATTGTTCGACTCCCACTTATAAGTGAGAACATGTGGTGTTTGGTTTTCTGTTCCATTCTCAGCAAACTAACACAAGGACTTCTGTTTTATAGCACCACTTACTCACTGTCTAGACAGCATCTGGAACATGTCGAAATTCACTTGATATTCCCCAAATGCATGAAAGATTTTTCTCCCTAAACTTGTAGAGTAGATGCCCTCAGAGAAAGGCTGAGAGTGGGAAGGAATTCAGAGATGGCAAGGGGATCTCCTAACGGGGACCAGATTCACAAACAATATAGAAATTAACTTCTTGTAGAATGGAGGCTGGGGGAAGTGGAGTGGGGAAAGTTAGAAAGATGTTGGCCAATAGACACAAAATTCCAGTTAGACAGGAGGAATAACTTCAAAAGATGTGCTGCACAGCATAGTGACAACAGTTCACCGTGATACACTGTATTCTCAAAAGACACTAAAAGGGTGAATGTCAAGTGTTCTCCTCACAAAAATGATGACAAGGTGACGTCATGTAGATGCTAATTAGCTAGATTTTGCCATTCCACAATGTATTTGTACTTCAACACATCATGTTTTAAGTCCTTTGAGAAATCACCAAACTGCTTTCCACAGGGGCTGAACTAATTACATTCCCACCAGCAGTGTATAAGTTTTCCCTTTTCTCCACAACCTCAGCAGTGTGTGCTATTTTTTGACTTTTCAATTATAGCCATTCTGACTAGTGTAAGATGGTATCTCACTGTGGTTTTAATTTGCATTTATGTAATGATTAGGGACGTTGAGCATTTTTTAATATGCTTGTTGGCCGCATGTATGTCTTTTCCTGAAGTGTCTGCTCGTGTCCTTTGCCCACATTTTAATGGGGTTGTTTGTTTTTTGCTTGTTAATTTGTTTAAGTTTCTTATAGATTCTGATATTAGACCCTTGGCAATTTCTCAAAGAATTTAAAACAGAACAACCATTTGACCTACCAATCCCATTACTAGGTATATACCCAAAGAAATATAAATTGTTCTACCATAAGGACACATCCACACTTATATTCATCACAGCACTATTCACAATTACAAAGACATAGAATCAACCTAGACGCCCATCAACGGTAGACTGGATAAAGAAAATATGGTACATATATACCATGGAATATTACGAAGCCATAATAAAGAACAAGATAATGTCCTTCGCAGCAACATGGGTGTAGCTAAAAGCCATTATTCTAAGCAAACTAATGCAGGAACAAGAAACCAAATACCATATGTTCTTACTAATAATTGGGAGCTAAACATTGAGTGCACGTGAACACAAAGAAGAGAATAGTCCAGGTACATGGCTCATGCCTGTAATCCCAGCACTTTGGGAGGCTGAGGCAGGCGGATCACCTGAGGTCAGGAGTTCAAGACCAGCCTAGCCAACATGGCAAAACTCTGTCTCTACTAAAAATACAAAAATTAGATGGGCGTGGTGGTGCCTACCTGTAATCCCAGCTACTCGGGAAGTTGAGGCACAAGATTCGCTTGAACAAAGAGACAGAGGTTGCAATGAGTTAAGACTGCACCACTGCACTCCAGCTTGGGTGACAGAGCGAGACTCCATCTCAAAAAAGAAAACAAGAGAATAGATACTGGGACCTATTTGAGGGTGGAAGGTGGGAGGAGAGTAAGGATCGAACACCTATTACGTACTATGGTTATTACTGGGTATTGAAATAACCTATACACTAAACCCCCATGACATGTTACCTGTTTTACAAACCTGCATATGTAACCCTGAAACTAAATAAAACTTTTAAAAACACATCATGTTATATGTGATAAATACATATAATTTTATCTGTCAACTTAAAAATAATTTTTTAAGAAAAAGATATTAACTTCTTGACTGTGGAATATAAATGATAACATTTCTGATAGTTTTGGAATGCATGTTTGTTTCATGTTCTTTCACTCTCTCTCTCTCTCTCTCTCTCTCTCTGGTAGTCACATCACAAGATGAAATCATGGAACAATACAATAATTTTAGAATTTCTTCTCCTGGGAATTTCAGAGGAACCAGAATTGCAGGCCTTCCTCTTTGGGCTGTTCCTGTCCATGTACCTGGTCACTGTGCTCGGGAACCTGCTCATCATCCTGGCCACAATCTCAGACTCCCACCTCCACACCCCCATGTACTTCTTCCTCTCCAACCTGTCCTTCGTAGACATCTGTTTTGTCTCTACCACTGTCCCGAAGATGCTGGTGAACATCCAGACACACAACAAAGTCATCACCTATGCAGGCTGCATCACCCAGATGTGCTTTTTCTTACTCTTTGTAGGATTGGATAACTTCCTTCTGACCGTGATGGCCTATGACCGGTTTGTGGCCATCTGTCACCCTCTGCACTACATGGTCATTATGAACCCTCAACTCTGTGGACTGCTGGTTCTGGCATCCTGGATCATGAGTGTTCTGAATTCCATGTTACAAAGCTTAATGGTGTTGCCACTGCCCTTTTGTACACACATGGAAATCCCTCATTTTTTCTGTGAAATTAATCAGGTGGTCCACCTTGCCTGTTCTGACACCTTTCTTAATGACATAGTGATGTATTTTGCAGTAGCGCTGCTGGGCGGTGGTCCCCTCACTGGGATCCTGTACTCTTACTCTAAGATAGTTTCCTCCATACGTGCAATCTCATCAGCTCAGGGGAAGTATAAGGCATTTTCCACCTGTGCATCTCACCTCTCAGTTGTCTCCTTATTTTATGGTACATGCTTAGGGGTGTACCTTAGTTCTGCTGCCACCCACAATTCACACACAGGTGCTGCAGCCTCAGTGATGTACACTGTGGTCACCCCCATGCTGAACCCCTTCATCTACAGTCTGAGGAATAAACACATAAAGGGTGCTATGAAAACATTCTTCAGAGGAAAGCAATAGAAAGGCTATTTTTCAAGAAAGGCCTGTGACTTCAGAGCTCTAAGCCCCAGAGCCAGAAATGGTGATTTGTTAATAAGATGGTGGAAGGAAGACTTGCCCCTTCCATTTATTTCCTGGAGTTTAAACTTCTTTGTTCCTCAACTACTTTATAGAGCTTACACTGTTCTTCTTAGAGTCAGAGATGACCTTAAATATGACGGAATATAATTTTCAATCATACATGAAATAACTATGGAATATTTGTTTTCGTTGGGGTACATCTACTCATTGAAGTAGAGGAGCCTGGTGTCCACGCGTCACTAGGTTTGTTCATCTGAGTGAAGGATTGAGTGCCATGGTGTATGTAATGTCCTTGCATCACTCTGCTACTTCTGCCTAATGTTTTCCAGTGCTGCCTACAAATATGACTCCTTCCATTGTCCTAACATCTCTTCCTTAAAAATGTCATAAGCATCAAAGTGTTGACAAGTGAACAATATATGTATTTACTTTATCTTCAGTTGTTTTGTCTCTTTTATACTCTAAACACTCTTCAACTCTCATGATCAAAGGATGACTCACACAAGAGCTCGAATTTCTACCCAGTGTTGCCTCTGGGAATAGAGACTTGTGATTGAAGGTCACAGTTCTTTCCTTCAAAAACATATGTGTTATTCCATGAAAGGACTATATATGCAAAGCAGTTCCCAAGTGCAGAAGGATCTGAGAAGTCAAAGGACAAGGCAGACAAGCCAGTTTGTTGGGTAGGGTAATTTACCAGGTAAACTTACAGACAGAAGCATGGTCTTAGGTGGCCGCAGGAAAAGTGGATCTCCACACCTCCACCACCCCAGACCTGGGGCTTATATCTTGGAGGAAACATTATATGTGCTCTGGAAGGAATGTGTAAGCAGCTACAGGCATCGCAGCCTATGATGTATGGAAGAACACCAAGGGTTGTTTTGGAGGAAAGGCAAAAATTACAGTGAACACGTATTTCTATAAAAAGAGTAATCCATCAACTAGACATTTTTGGAGGCTTTTCTGGACTCAGCGTTACTCAAAAGTAACCTGGTGGATTAGCATGTGAAAAAAAGTCAGTGTTTTCCCAACATATTTACTTTCAACCTCTCCTAGCTACCTGAAGAAAATCTAATAGGCAGTCTCATTTTAATACAGTTATCTGAAATAAATATGAATAACCAGGTAATCATAAATATTTCCTTCAAATAACAGAACAAAGGTCCAGAACAAAGAAACATCAGATTATTCTGAATCTCTTTAGTTGTGTTTGCATTGATTATTGTATCAGTAAGCTACTACTGCATAACAAGTCATCCTAATAGTGAATGGTTTAATGTCATGCTATTTTTTAATCACATAGGAGGCAATGTTGGAGAAGTTTTAACTTTGGGGACTTGGGACATACGAATTTTGGAAGGGACAAAAATATTCAGTCCATAGGGCTATCCAAATCAAGTTCTTGACCTTTGGACAGCAAGGACAATTTGAGAGAAGAAGCTCAAGAAAAGTGATGGAATCTCTTTTTTTTTTTTGAGATGGAATCTTGCTGTGTCACCCAGGCTGGAGTGCAGTGGTGCAATCGCGGCTCACTGCAAGCTCCGCCTCCTGGGTTCACGCCTTTCTCCTGCCTCGGCGTCCAGAGTAGCTGGGATGACAGGCACCCGCCACCACGCCTGGCTAATTTTTTTTGTATTTTTAGTACAGATGAGGTTTCACCATGTTAGCCAGGGTAGTCTCGATCTCCTGACCTCATGATCCACCCACCTCAGCCTCCCAAAGTGTTGGGACTACAGGCGTGAGCCACCGTGCCTAGCCAAGTGATGGAATCTCTTACAGCTTCTTCTCAGGCATTGGACATTTCAGGACTATTCACATTTAGCTGAAGTCACATGTCCAAGTTCAGTGTCAACTATTGAAGAGCTATGTTCTCCTTACAATTGAGGCACCCTTAAGACCCAGAGTCCATAGTGGTGATTTACAGTCCTCCTACAGAGAATAGAGGAGTTAATAAATAATTGTAAAAAAAAAAATTATCCTAGAAAGAAACAGACACGCAAGAACTTCATACTTCTGTTGGCAGCAAACATTTGTGAATTACATGCTGTGGAGGTGGAACAAAAAGGATGAGAAAATTTATAGAAATAATTTGATGCAACAAGAAATAGCAGCTTTGCAAATATTCCCAAGAGCAGAACAAGTAAAGTGGATTGAAAGAGTCTAAAAATTCTTGCTGTGGTTATTTGGAGTCAGCATTAGAGGGTCAGAGGCAGGCCCAGGTGCGGTGGCTCACGCTTATAATCCCAGCACTTTGGGAGGCCAAGGCAGGCGGATCACCTGAGATCAGGAGTTCGAGACCAGCCTGGCCAACATAGTGAAACCCCGTCTCTACTAAAAATACAAAAAATTAGCCGGGCGTGGTGGCACAAGCCTGTAATCCCAGCTATTTGGGAGGCGGAGGCAAGAGAATTGCTTGAACCTAGGAGGTGGAGGTTGCAGTGAACCGAGATTGTGCCACTGCACTCCAGCCTGGGCAACAGAGGAAAACTCAGTCTCAAAAAGAATAGGGTCAGAGGCTACATCCTTGAATATAACAAAGCATGGAATGGTGGATTCCCCACATTCTGACCCCTCCTTGAGTCCCTGGGATGAGGTCTCCCTTCAAGATCACAACTAGCTGTATTCCAGGAACAGGAACAGGGTAACACTAGACTCACATCCTCTCGCAAGAGACATTTCTGGTGTCACAGTGAGCTAAGTAAATGCAAAACTGAGACAATAACAATAGCTGCTATTGATCGAACAATTATTCTGTTCCAGTAACTTTCCAAGCATTAAAATATTGCTTACTTTTCACAATAACTTCATAGGATCGATGAAATTTCCAGAACTTATAGATAAGAAATGAAAGTTCTAAAAGTTTCATTTCCTATCATGAGGGATTTACTCAAGAGACACATGTAAACTTGTATATGCAGAAGCTAAATGTGAGTTTGTTTTCTGCTACTATAGCAGAATGCCTGAGACTGGGCAATTTATAATGAACAGAGATGTATTTGGCTAATGGTGAAGTGGCATCGTTTGTCTGGGGAAATACTCAAGGTTCATTGTCCTGCTCTAAGGAAAATGAAGACGCAGATGCACGAGGTGTGGATTTAATAGTGGAAAGTTTAATACATGAAAGAAACAAGAAAAAAGCTCCCTTATGTAGATGGAGGCGGGTTCCAAACAGATCTCCCTGTTGCCCATGGGATTCGGTTGGTTTTATAGAGGGGCTTGAGGAGGTGGGGTCTGATTTACATAGGGCCCAGGGGATTGGTTGGACCAAGTGTGTCATTTACATAGCCTGCAAAGAGGCTGGCCATCCCACCCCAATTGTTTATTATGCAGATGGGGTTTTTACCTGGCCAGTGCCATGACACCATCTTGTCTGCTCCTTACAGTGCACGTGGCTGGCAGAGAAGGGAAGATGGAGCCACCATCTTGAAAACGTCTAGTCCTTAGTTTCTGCCAGCATTCACCCATGCAAACTCCCAGCTTGCTTATCTATGTCTGCAGCTCAACTTTACAGGCTGCTCTTTGTTAGAAAATGATTTGAGGCTGCTTTTCATTAAAAGAGAAAAGCCTTACTGAGGACTCTCATGCCCTTGCTATCTGCCTAAGTAATTCCTTCTTAACTCCTATATCAGGAGGCACCTAGTGGGAGCTAACCGAATCGTGGGGGCAGTTTTCCCCATACTTTTCTCATGGTACTAAATAAGTCTCATGAGAGCTGATGGTTTTATAAGGGGTTTCCCTTTTCACTTGATTCTTATTCTCGCTTTGCCTGCTGCCATGTAAGACATGCCTTTTGCCTTCCACCATGATTGTGAGGCCTCCCCAGCCATGTGGAACTGTGAGTCCAGAGTCCATTAAACCTCTTTCCTTTATAAATTACCAAGTCTTGGGTATGTCTTTATCAGCAGCGTGAAAACGGACTAATACACATGTAGAATCTCTGGACCCCATCCTAGACCTGATAAATTAGAATCCACATTTGAACAAGATCCAGAAGCAATTCATATAAACTTTGAAGCTGGAGATGTTCTGGTCTAGAATAGTGTTTGCAGCTTCCTCCATGTTAACATTTGTGCTGGATTATCATTTGTGGTGGGGGTATCATTTGCATTGTTGGATCTTGAACAGCATTCTCAACCTCAACCCCCAGGTGCCAGTAACATCTTCCTAGTTGTGACAACTAAAGTTTTCTCAGATATTTTCAAGTGTCCTTTGGTGGCAAAATCATCCCTGCTTTTTGTTTCTTTGTTTTTGTTTTTTTGAGATGGAGTTTTGCTCTGTCACCCAGGCTTGAGTAATGTCAGCTCACTGCAACCTCTGCCTCCCGGGTTCAAGTGATTCTCCTGCCTCAGCCTCCTGAGTAGCTGGGACTACAGGCGTATGCCACCATGCCCAGGTAATTTTTACATTTTTAGTAGAGACGGGGTCTCACCGTGTTGGCCAGGCTGGTCTCGAACTCCGGCCTCAGGTTATCTGCCTGCCTTAGCCTCCCAAAGTGCTGGGATTACAAGTGTGAGCCACCACATGCAGCCTCATTCCTGTTTTTAAACTACTGGCCTCAAGCATGAGAACTGAAAACATCATGAAGGAGTTTCAACCATTCATCCCTTTCTTGGTTTATAATGTTGAGCAGATCACTGAATCTTTCTGAGCCCCATTACTGCATACGTAGAATGATGCTCATGACAGTACCGACCACATAAAATAAACATTTATAAACATTAGATAAAATAATCCTTATAAGGTGCCATTCTCAGGACAATGTGCATAAAAGGGTCTAAATATATCTCTTGTAATTGGTACACATTTTATCAATGAAGAACTAAAAGACAGTTCTTAATTTGTCTGACAAGCATTAAATTACAAATTGTTTTGGTGAAAACATCATGAAGCCAAGGAGTACAGCCAAGCCATGATTTATATCAAAGGAACACAGTACTCCCTCTAGTTGAAGAATGAGATGGAAATTTTCAGATGTTGGGCCAGGCACAGTGGCTCACGCCTGTAATCCCAGCACTTTGGGAGGCCAAGGCGGGTGGATGACCTGAGGTCAGGAGTTCGAGACCAGCCTGGCCAACATGACAAAACCCCTTCTCTACTAAAAATATAAAAATTAGCTGGGCATGGGGGTGAGCACCTGTAGTTCCAGCTACTCGGGAGGCTGAGGCAGAAGAATCACTTGAACCCAGGAGGCGGAGGTTGCAGTGAGCTGAGATCACACCACTGCACTCCAGCCTGGGTGACACAGTGAGACTCCGTCTCAAAAAAAAAAGAGAAATTTTCTTATGGTATCAGAGGCTGTATTCCCACAATAAGTCGATGCTTTGGAGATTTAAGGGGAGTAGGCAAGATGGGTTTCTCAGTCTTAGATGTGAAGAAAACTTTGTCTCAGGATTGGGACAGTTGTTACAAAGTTAGACTTCTGGAAGAAAGGAGAGTTCATGTTGAAAGAGTAAGAAAGACTGGTTCATCCAGTCTCTTGGGAACAGAGAATCTGCAGGATTTTTTTTCTTTCTGTGCAAAACAATGTCCCACAGGGACATAATGTACTCAGGGTTTCAAATAACAAGAAGAAATGTGCCTATTGAGCAGATGTGGGAAGCTATAAATATTTCATCTGCTGTTGTCCCTCAGGCACCCCTGGGTTGAATGGAATATCATTGTTTCTTTTGAAGTCCTAAGTCTAGCTCAGAGACAGATGCTTGACTCTTTCCTGCTGCCTAGTCTGCTGAGCAGAGCTTCAGTCTCCACCATCAATCATCCAGTGAGGAATTTGCACTTACACAAGGAACTCTTCCTCGGAGAGATCCCCTCCTGGTGAGTTGGAGAGCCCAGTGGGAACTGCAGGAAAACAATAGATGGAATAGATGCAGAGAATATTTACCTGAGATCACCTGAGAGCCAGTCCAGCCTAGCCCAGAGCCAAGATATTGCTGCGGTTATTTGCTTGGTTGATTAATTAACTAAGTAATGTCTCGTTTTATGATGCAAAAAAAGAAAAGTGAACACTGAACTAGGCAATGCAAGGGTGACGACTATTGACATTTAGTGAAGGTCACAGAAGCCCAATTAGAAGGAATAGGAGGTGTAAAATGATTTTTGTAAAAGTACAACATACATCTTTGTAATTAAGGGGAGTAGAGAAATCGTGTATTGGCTGTGGAGGGATATACAGTCATGTAAAGACATTTCCTTTTTACTTTTAAAATGGAGCATATTTCAGTTTGATTCTATGCCCGTGAGAAAAATCCAGATGAACGGATTGCTTGCAAATACCATTTTGCAACAGCAGTTCATAATGCGTATATTTTGCAGGATTTTCTCTTACGCTAGGTATTCAGATAATACAAAATATTTAATAGGTGAGAGACTATGTACTAATGAGCTGTACTTGCATTTATTTCCTCACTTGCGTGGCTGAATATATTTGTGTGTTGTTTAGGCCTGTGATTTGATGCTTCTAAACAACTCACAGTGTATAGGATAGACTTTATCAAAGAGAGTGATCTAGCCCAGAATATCAATAGTGCTGAGATTGAGAAACACTGTGGCGAGGAATATCTGCTGGCTTCCTGGTTTTTGGAGTTTTGTTGTTTGTTTGTTTTTTCTTTGAGACAGAGCCTCACTCTGTCGTGCAAGCCTCTGTCCATGCTACTACTGGAATGCAGTAGCATGATCTCAGCTCACTGCTGCCTCAACCTCCTTGGCTCCGGTGATCCTCCCACCTCAGTCTCCCAAGTAGCTGGAACTACTGGTGTGCACCACCATGCTAGGCTAATTTTTGTATTTCTTTTGTAGAGATGGAGTTTCACCACGTTGTCCAGGCTGGTCTCGAACTCCTGGGCTCAAGCAATTTACTTGCCTCAGCCTCCCAAAGTGCTAGGATTGCAGACGTGTGCCACCACGCCCAGCCTGTATGTGTTTTTAATATTTTATCTGTCTGGAGATTGTTTCCACAAGACATTATGACACTTATTTCTGTCACCAAAATTAGAGTACCCGTTTGCCATCTGTTTAAAAATTCCAACACAAATCTATGACAGCTGAGAAAGTTCCCCACTCCATCCCCGCTCAGGCTGATGGACGTGAGATTTCTTACTGTTTTCTTAAAATATTACTGACTTTGAGCAAATATTCATATATTTGATCAAGATCTTGATTGCCTTATGTTTACTATATGCCCATTTTTATACAGTTACCAGCGTTTAAAATTATTTTTTTCAATGATTCTTTTTCAGTTGACTTTTGGGGAAATTTATTAGCCATAAAAAGTTTAAAATATTCTTTAGTTAAATATATACCTATCATCTTACTTCTGCAATTATTGCCTTAGTTAAGGTGATTTGCCCACCCACAGATTTCATATGTAGTTTCCCTGTTTTCATGGAAAAGGCATTGTTTACTTTTTTTTTGAGACGGAGTCTCGCCCTGTCAACCAGGATGGAATGCAGTGGTGCGATCTTGGCTCACTGCAACCTTCGCTTCCTGGATCCAAGCGATTCTCCCACCTCAGCCTCCTGAGTAGCTTGGACTGCAGGCAAGTGCCACCATACCCATCTAATTTTTGTATTTTTGGTAGAGATGGCGTTTCGCCATATTGCCCAGGCTGGTCTTGAACTCCCGACCTCAAGTGATCCACCCACCTGGACCTTCCAAACTGCTGGGATTACAGGCATGAGCCACCGTACCTGGCCGATATTGAAGTTTTTAATTCCTCTGACTTTGTGTAAGATGTGTGAGGTAGGTGACCAATTTTATTTATTCCAGACAAATAGCTGTTTATGACAGCATTTATTTAAATATCCAATCCTTTCTAACTAAATTGAAATACAAGCTTGCTGTATATTAAATGCCCATGTATACTGAGAACAAAGTCCTGATTCATTCAGCAAATAATAACTGAGCATCTGCTCTGTGCAAGAGTTTTTTATGAACAGTGTATGCCATATTCTTTTATATCTAGATTTTTGCCAATTTATTAATTTATGTTGATATGATTAAATTATTATTATAGCATGTCAGTTAATTTTCAATACTTCAACAATTTTATTCACTACAGTTGATTATATTTAACCTGGTTTTATTCTCCTGCCATTCTTTCTAATTTTATAATTCTTTTTTTAATAATGCATACATCGTCACATCTTTTTATGAAAATATGAAGGTAGCCAGGCACTGTGGCTCAGGCCTGTAATCCCAACACTTTGGGAGGCCGAGGTGGGTGGATCACGGGGTCAGGAGATCGAGACCATCCTGGCCAACATGGTGAAACCCCGACTCTATTAAAAATACAAAAATTAGCCAGGTGTTGTGGCTCATGACTGTAATCCCAGCTACTTGGGAGGTTGAGGCAGGAGAATCGCTTGAACCCAGGAGGCGGAGGTTGCCAGTCAGCCGAGATCGCGCCACTGCACTCCAGCCTGGTGACAGAGCAAGGCTCCATTAAAAAAAAAAAAGAAAAGAAAAAAGAAAGAAAGAGAGAGAGAAGGAAGGAAGGGAGGGAGGGAGGGAAGGAGGGAAAAAAATACATAAGTGAACATCCATGGTAACATCCCTGCTCATTTTGACCTTGTGCTATAATGGTGAAAATACAGTAGAATTAAATAAAGGTGCATGATGCAATGTCATAAGGTGTAAATCAAATAAAGAATATTTCTTAGTGTAAAATAATAGAATTGTCAGGCCAAGCGAGGTGACTCATGCCTATAATTCCAGCACTTTGGGAGGCCCAGCTGGGAGGATCACATGAAGCCAAGAGTTTGAGACCAGCCTGGGCAACAAAACAAGACCCTGTCTCTACAAAGCATGAACAAAATTAGCTAGGTATGGTGACACATGCCTTTCGTCCCAGTCATTCAAGAAGCTGAGGCATGAGTATTATATAAGCCCAGAAATTTGAGGCTGCAGTGAGCTATGATTGCACCACTGCACTCCATCTTTAGCAAGAGAGTAAGACCCTATCTCAACAATGAATAAATAGAATACAACAGAATAGAATAGAATAGTCATGACGTGTGCAAAATTTAATATGTAATATGGTCTGGGCAGGCATTTTCATGTTGGACAAAGACCAGAAACAAGCTCATTGGATTTGTCAAAAAAGTGATCAAAATTCAAAGTCCACAAGTAGCAAAAAAAAAATAAAATAGGCCAGGCGCGGTGGCTCACGCCTGTAATCCCAGCACTTTGGGAGGCCGAGGCAGGCGGATCACGAGGTCAGGAGATCGAGACCATCCTGGCTAACATGGTGAAACCCCATCTCTACTAAAAATACAAAAATTAGCCGGGCACAGTGGCGGGCACCTGTAATGCCAGCTACTCAGGAGGCTGAGGCAGGAGAATGGCGTGAACCCGGGAGGCTGAGCTTGCAGTGAGCCAATATTGCACCATTGCACTCCAACCTGGGCGACAGAGCGAGACTCTGTCTCAAAAAAATAATAATAAAATAATAAAATAAAATAAAGGCCACACAGGAAATACAAGAAAAGTGAGAAAGGGACTGCTTCATCCACTCTCAATTCATATAAAAACCAATTGATCAAGTAAATATGGAATAGGCACAGAAAAAAATGAGTCTTTTACTGTTTCATATAAAAATGCCCAAATCTTGTCATTGTTTGTATGTTTCTTTTTGTGAATTGTTGGCTTATTCTCTTTGCTCCATTTTTCTATTAGGATATGCGATCTGTACCTTTGTTGCCAAAAAAGGTATCATTAGTTTTTGTCATGGGTAGCAGCTATCTGGGGCCGGCATCATGTAGGCAGTAAGAATTTACCAAGACAGTTGTAGATAAAGAAAGGCAAATTTAATTAGAGAAAGGATAATAATACATTGCAAGGGTGCAATGGGCAGGTTAGCAAGAAAGGAGCTGACTGCAAGGAGGCAAAGGCTTGCTGGGGATTTTATAGGATAGTGCTTGTGCTGCGAGCTGAAGAGGGCTTTGTGCGGTACTGATAATGCCAAGGTTGCAGTGAGCTAACTTGCATTTTTCCATCAGCTGAGGGTCAGGTGATAAGACGGGTGCAGGAAGATTGTGAGTCATTGGCACACGAGGGTTGTGTGTCCTGGACCATGAAGAAAGGCAGACTTAGAGCTTATCTATCTTCTCTTTTTGTTTTTCCCTGCTTCAGCCAGCCTGACTCCATTTCCCTAATTAGGACTCCACAGTCTTGTCTTTTGGATAACTTTATTTACTTATTTCTAGTTCCAAAAGGAAAGCTAAAACTTTAATAATCATTAAAACCGACATAATTAAATACTATTGTTAAATTAAAAACCATGAAGTCAATAAAGATGTCAGAATTCTTTATTTTTGATCTTTTATTTATTTTGCCAGGCATCGAGGAGATACAATGGAAGCTGAAATGTAACCATAACCAGGGTCGCTTTTATTTTCCATCCTATAAGATCCCCAGCAAGCCTTTGTCTCCTTGGAGTCAGTTCCTTTCTTGCTAACCTACCCGTTGCACCCTTGCAATGTATTTTTGTCCTTTTGCTGAGGGATTACCTGAGTTTATTAGACTTTTTCCTTACTGGGGTCTGTTTAATTTCTCTCACTCTGTTTATTGAACAGCTCTTTTATGTTTCTTTAAACACAGGGCTGAAAACAGTCATACCAAAATGGAAGTCCAAGTTTACATGTGTATACAGACTTGTGAACTGGAATTTCTTGTACCAATTCTACATTCTGTAGGGAAAAAAGAATCTGATATTAAAAGCTTTCCTTGAGCCAAATGCAGTAGCTCATGCCTGTAATTCCAGCACTTTGGGAGGCCAAAGTGGAAGGTTCACTTGAGGCCAGGAGTTCAAGACCAGCCTGGGCAACATAGGCAGACCTGGTCTCCACAAAAAATGTAGAAATCAGCCAAGGGTGGCGGCACATGGCTGTGGTCCCAACTACTTGGGAGGCTGAGGCAGGAGGATGGCTTGAGCCTGGGTGGTTGAAGCTGCAGTGAGCTATGATCACACCACTGCACTCCTGCCTGGGCCCTCTTCGGCCAGTGTGCTGCATGTGTATATGTGTGTGTGAGTGAGTGTGTGGCTGCATGTCTTTGGAGTGACAGCAGGTTTCAGAGCAAGAGGGACCTGGCCTCAATATATTTTATTATAAAGGAGACCAATGAAACAGAGGCCAGAACCCAAGACACCAGAAGGAAATAAAGAGGGGATGCATTTCAATTGATGTGACACCTTTCTAGTCCAGTTAATAAAGTGCAGGTGCAACAGCATCTAGACAGATGGACACTTTGTCCCTTGATGTTTTGACAGCCAGGTCCCCTTATTCTGCAACATCCTCTGACACCATGTCCCATCACTCTCCGTCTTACTGATTCCCTGGCCACACTGGCTTCTGTGTTGGACTTGAACATCTGAAAGAAGCACGTCCCAACCAGGTGCAGTGGCTCATGCCTATAATCCCAGCACTTTGGGAGGCCGAGGTGAGCGGATCACCTGAGGTTGGGAGTTCAAGACCAGCCTGACCAACATGGAGAAACCCCGTCTCTACTAAAAATACAAAATTAGCTGGGCGTGGTGGTGCATGCCTGTAATCCCAGCTACTCGGGAGGCTGAGGCAGGAGAATCGCTTGAACCTGGGAGGTGGAGGTTGCAGTGATCTGAGATTGCGCCACTGCGCTCCAGCCCGGCAACAGAGCGAGACTCTGTCTCAAAAAAGAAAACAAGAAAGAAGCACATCCCTCAAAGTTTTTGTACTGCCATTCCTCCTGCCAGGCACCCACTTCAACAGATAACTTCATGAATCTTGCCCTGTCTTCCTTGAGATCTTTTTTCAAACATCACCTTGTTTGCAGGTCTTGAATAATAATCAGCAAACAAACAAACAAAAAACAAAAGAAACACTTCATACCCTCCCTCCTTTTTACCTGCTTTGTTTATTTTCCAAGCGCCTGTTCCCATCTGACATATTATGTGATTGTTTAATTTGTTTATATTCGATTGTTTAATTTGTTTATATTCTTTCTTCATCATTAGATTGTAGGGACTTTTGTTTCTCAGCATTGTTCACTCATTATCTAGACAGTGACAAGAACATGGTCAACATTCAATTTATATTCCTCAAATTCATAGAAGAAGTTCTCATTCTTTTTTTTTTTTTTTTTTTTTTTTTTTTTGAGATGGAGTCTCGCTCTGTCACCAGGCTGGAGTGCAGTGGCATGATCTCAGCTCACTGCAACTTCTGCCTCCCGGGGTCAAGAGATTCTCCTTGCCTCAGCCTCCCAAGTAGCTGGGACTACAGGCGCATGCCACTACACCAGGCTAATTTTTGTATTTTTACTAGAGACAGGGTTTCACCATGTTGGCCAGGATGGTCTCAACCTCTTGACCTCGTGATCCGCCTGCTTTGACCTCCCAAAGTGCTGGGGTTACAGGCATAAGCCACCGTGCCCAGCCAGAAGTTCTTATTCTAACTGCAGAATGTACGCTGTCTTCAGTTAAGGCTGAGAGTGGGAAGGAGTTCCTAATCAGAGATGACATGGAGATCCCTTAAAGAGAACCAGATTCATACACAAAATGTAAGATAATTTATTGGCTATAAAATATAAATGATGGTATTTCTGAAAGGTTAGCAATGCATGCCTGTCTCGTTTCCCTCTTTCTCTCTCTCTCTCTGATAGTCACTTCAATCAAATGGAACCAGGAAATGATACACAAATTTCAGAATTTCTTCTTCTGGGATTTTCACAAGAACCTGGACTGCAACCCTTCCTCTTTGGGCTGTTCCTGTCCATGTACCTGGTCACTGTGCTCGGGAACCTGCTCATCATCCTGGCCACAATCTCAGACTCCCACCTCCACACCCCCATGTACTTCTTCCTCTCCAACCTGTCCTTTGCTGACATTTGTGTTACTTCCACCACCATTCCAAAAATGCTGATGAACATCCAGACACAGAACAAAGTCATCACCTACATAGCCTGCCTCATGCAGATGTATTTTTTCATACTCTTTGCTGGATTTGAAAACTTCCTCCTGTCCGTGATGGCCTATGACCGGTTTGTGGCCATCTGTCACCCCCTGCACTACATGGTCATTATGAACCCTCACCTCTGTGGACTGCTGGTTCTAGCATCCTGGACCATGAGTGCTCTGTATTCCTTGCTACAAATCTTAATGGTAGTACGGCTGTCCTTCTGCACAGCCTTAGAAATCCCCCACTTTTTCTGTGAACTTAATCAGGTCATCCAACTTGCTTGTTCTGATAGCTTTCTTAATCACATGGTGATATATTTTACAGTTGCGCTGCTGGGTGGAGGTCCCCTGACTGGGATCCTTTACTCTTACTCTAAGATAATTTCTTCCATACATGCAATCTCATCAGCTCAGGGGAAGTACAAGGCATTTTCCACCTGTGCATCTCACCTCTCAGTTGTCTCCTTATTTTATGGTGCAATCCTAGGGGTGTACCTTAGTTCTGCTGCCACCCGCAACTCACACTCAAGTGCAACAGCCTCAGTGATGTACACTGTGGTCACCCCCATGCTGAACCCCTTTATCTATAGTCTGAGGAATAAAGACATAAAGAGGGCTCTGGGAATACATTTGTTGTGGGGAACAATGAAAGGGCAATTTTTCAAGAAGTGCCCATGATTGCAGGGCTCTAAGCTTCAGAGGTAGTAACTGTCATTCTTCAATCAGATAGTGGAAATAGAACTTGCTCCTTCTATTAATACTTATTATATTTCTGGGAGTTTCAATTTGTTGTGATTTCAACTGGTCTTGTAGAATTTAAGCAACTCCTTTTATTAAGCTTTCTGCTCTCTGATATCCAACAGTTTTTTCTCTTTGTTGTTTTCCTACTTTCTCAAGGTTATTTCCGACTTTGGATCAGAAACACTTTGGAGATTTCCATTTGTCTCATACAGGGAAGAGTTGTATGTCTCCTGTGGCATAGACTACACTTGGCAATTGGGGTAATTGATGTAAATTTATAGTGGAATATGACCTGAGACCACAATTTGTTCACTTTTGTATTCTTCAGTCCTATGTCTGTCTCTACCTTCAATGCTCCTCCTGATAATGTAGACCTGAACATACTTGTGTATTTTGCAGCTGGTCATGAGATTGTGTTGTCCTCATTAGGACATCATGTCTTTGTCAGTGCCATGTCCACAGTATCTGCCATACTCCCTGGCATAGTACGGTAAGGCAAAAATTGTTTATCAAAAATATGTTCCGAGTGCAATGCCCACTGAAAGACAAACTTGCATATGTTGATTAACTTAATATGGACTTACAGTCAGAGATGACCTTAAATATGATGGAGTAAAATTGTCAATCATACATTGAATTGCTATGGAAGACTTGTTTTTATGATGTGCATGGACTCATTGAAGTATGGAAGCTTAGTGCCCATATATAAGTTTATTTATTGGAGTGATGGATTTGGTGCCATGGTCTATAATGTTTCATGCATCCATACTTCTGTTTTTGCTTCAAAATTTTTAGTGCTCCCTACAAATACGAATCCTTCTATCCCACTAACCAAAATACCTCCTTCATTATAAAATTTTGTCGTAAACATTAAAGTGCAGGTCAGTGAACAATATTCAATGTATCATCAATTTATTCATCTCTTTTATGCTCTAAATTCTCTTAAATACTCATGATTAAAGAATGACTCACACAAAACCTTGAGCTTCTCCCCAGTCATGCCTCTGGGAATGGGGAATTGTGATTCAGGTGAAAAGGGTGACTCACACCAAACCTTTAACTTATCCCGTTATGTCTCTGGGAATGGAAAATTGTGATTCAGGTGCACAAATTATTCCTGCAAAAAACATACATCTCATTCTAACCTCTCCAGATCACCTAGATGGGGAATCTCAACAGTAGTCTTTTTTTTAATACAGTTATCTGAATTATACATGAGTATCCAGGGAATCATGAATGCTTCCAAGTATTAGAACAAATGCCAAAATAAGAAGCAGCAGACTATTCTGAATGTCCTCAGTCCTATTTGCAATGCTTATTGTATCAGTAAGCTATTGCTGAATAACAAGTCATCTCATAGTAAATGGTTTAAGATGATGCTTTTCTTGTCTCATAGGGAGTCTACGTTGGGGGTGTCTTCTGGTCTCTGCTGTCCTCCTCATGAAGCTGTAGTCAGCTGTGAGTCAACAGTAGGGCTTTGCTGATCTTGCCCGAGTTCTCTTACATTTGGAGGCTTGTTGGCTGTGGGCTGACCTAGGGTGGCCACAGTTGGGACAGCTTGCCAACTGTCTTAACATGGCTTTACATGTCCTCTCCTCCTAAAGCTGGCTGGCCTGGACTTGTTTGCATGGCAGAGGCAGAGTTACAGGAGAGAGCAACAGAAACATGCCAAGTTCCCTTGAGGGACACTCAATTCCACCATATTCTTTTGGCTAAAGCAAATGAAAAGATCCTGAGTCCATCGCCTCAAATAGTTACCTTTTTTGGTGGAAAGAGCACCTAAACTCTACTCTTAGAAAATTCACAGTGTACAGTATAATATTTTTAACTATAGTCGTCATAGTGTACATTAGATGTCTAGGCTTATTCATCCTACATAACCACAACTCTGTACGTTTTGACCCACATTTTCCCATTCCCCACTCCTCCCATTCTCACCCCTCCATAACCAGAATTGTACTCTCTATTTCTATGTATTTTACATTTTAAGCACAAGATCTCAATCTGTCACCCAGACTGAAGTAGAGTGGTGTGATGGTAGCTCACTGAAGCCTCGATCTCCCAGGCTGAAGCCATCCTCTTGCCTCAGCCTCCTGAGTAGCTGGAACCACAGGCTCACACCACCATGCCTGGCTCACTTGTTCATATTTTTAGTAGAGATGACATCTTGCTCTGTTGCCCAGGATGGTCTCAAATTCCTGAGTTCAAATGGTGATCCCATCTTGACCTCCCAAAATGCTGGGATTACAGGCATGAACCACCACCACACCTGGTCAGTATTTGACATTGTTTAGATTCCACATATAAGTGAAATAATGTAGCATTTTTTATTCCTCTCTCTGGCTTATTTCATGAGCATAATATCCACTTATACACTGTTGGTGGGAATGTAAATTAGTCCAGCCACTGTGGGAAGCGGTTTGGAGATTTCTCAAAAAACTGAGTTGAACTACCATTTGACCCAGAAATCCCATTATTGAGTATATAGCCAAAGGAAAATAAATCATCCTGCCAAAAGGACTCATTCACCCATATGTTCACTGTGGTGCTATTCACAATAGCAAAGACATGGAATCATTGCAGGTGCTCATCAATGGTGTATTGGATAAAGAAAATGTAGTATGTACACACCAGGGAATACTATGCAGCCATAAAAAAGAAAAAAACATGTCCTTTGTAGCTACATGGAGAGAACTCAAGGCCATTATCCTAAGTGAACTAATGCAGAAACAGAAAACCAAATACTTCATGTTCTCGCTTATAAGTGCGAGCTAAACATTGGGTACACACGGACATAAAGTTGGGATCAACAGACACTGGAGACTACTATAGTGGGGAGAAAGGGAGTAGGAAAAGGGCTGAAAAACTACCTCTTGGGTACTCACTACCTGGGTGATGGGTTCAGCCATACCCCAAACTTTAGTGTCACACAATATATCTTTGTAACAAACCTACACATATACCCCATGATTCTAAAATAAAAGTTGAAAAAGAAAGTTACCTCTTTGTTCTCTTTGGTTTCAAGGGATTCATGAATGCAGAGCCCCATCAACTCCCAGAGCTAAATAATTTAGGATCCTGTCCCTTGGGTGAAAGCCATAAAAGTTAGGGAGCTCCATGTATGGATACACTTATTATCTAGAAAATCTGGGGACTTTGTTTTATTATTCATGTGAATCAGAGGGGAAAAGGTAAATGGAAAGCACACTGTATTGGGGCACATTGACCAATGGAAAAGAATACAGAGCCCAGAAATAAATCCATGAATTTACAGCCAATTTTTATTTTTGACAAATTGCCAAAAAAAAAAAAAGCACAATAGTGAGAGTACCATCTCTTCAATAAACGGTGCTGGGAAAACTGGATATCCATATGCAGAAGAATGAAATTAGACCCTCATTTCACACCATATACAAAAATTAAATGAAAATAGGTTAAAGACTCAAACACGGATGAAACTAGAGGCCATTATCTTAAGTGAAATAACTCAGAAATAGTCAAATACTGCATGTTCTCACTTACAAGTGGGAGCTAAATAATGTGGACACATAAATATAGAATGTGGAATAATAGACATTGGAGACCCAGAAGGGTGGGAAGATGAGAGGGGGTTAGGACTGATAAATTACTTAATGGGTACAATGTACACTATTTGGGTGATGGTTACACTAAAAGCCCAGACTTCACCACTAGGCAAAATACCCATGTAACAAAACTGCACTTACACCCCTTAAATTTACACAAATTTTATTTATTTTTTATTTTTTTAGACGGAGTCTTGCTCTGTCGCCCAGACTGGAGTGCAGTGGCACAACCTTGGCTCACCACAACCTCCACCTCCCAAGTTCAAGCAATCCTTTTGCCTCAGCCTCCCGAGTAGCTGGGATTACAGGCACATGCCACCACGCCCACCTAATTTTTTATTTTTAGTAGAGATGGGGTTTCGCCATGTTTGCCAGGCTGGTCTCGAACTCTAGACCTCAAGTGATCTGACCGTCTCAGCCTCCCAAAGTGCTGGGATTACAGGCATGAACCACTGCACCCAACCAATTTACGCAAATTTTTAAAAACATTTAAGGATAACACCTGAAGCTATAAACCTTCCAGAATAAAATATAGGCAGAAAGCAGTAGTCTGGGCAATGGTTTTAAAATATACCCCTCAAAACACAGGCAACGAAAGTGAAAATAGACAAGTGGGATTACATCAAATTAAAAACCTTCTGCACAGCAAAGAAAACAATCAACAGAGAGGCAACCTATGGAAGGAGAGAAAACATTTGCAAACCACACATATGATAAGGGGTTAATATCCCAATATAGAAGAAACTCAACATCAAGGAAACAAGTAACCCAGTTTAAAAAAAAAAAAATAGGCAGAGGACATGAAGAGACATGTCTCAATAGAAGACATACAGCTGGCCAACAGGTACATGAAAAAATGCTCAACATCACTGATTATCAGAGAAATGTACATTATAACCACAATGAGATGTCACCTCAAACCTGTTAGGACGGCTATTATAAAAAAGGCAGGTGGCTGGGTGCGGTGGCTCATGCCTGTAATCCCAGCACTTTGGGAGGCTGAGGCGGGTGGATCACGAGGTCAAGAGTTGAAGACCAGCCTGGCCAAGACGGTGAAACCCCATCTCTACTAAAAATACAAAAATTAGCCGGCGCAGTGGCGGGCACCTGTAATGCCAGCTACTCAGGAGGCTGAGGCAGGAGAATTGCTTGAACTTGGGTGGTGGAGGTTGCAGTGAGCTGAGATCGCACCACTGCACTCTAGCCTGGGCGACAGAGCGAGACTCCATCTCAAAAAAAAAAAAAAAAAAAAAAAAAAAAAGACAGGAGATAAGTGCTGATGAGGATCTGGAGAAAAGGGAGCCCATGTACCTTTTTGGTGGAAACTTAAGGTAGTACAAGCATTATAGAAAATAGTTGGGGGTTCTCCAAAAAACTAAAAATAGAACTACCATATGTGTATAATCCCATGACTGCATATATAGCCAAAGGAAATGAAATCAGTATGTTGAAGAGATATCTGCACTTCCGCATTCGTTGCAACACTATTTACAAAAGCCAACATATGGAGTCAACCTCAGTGTCCGCCAAAGAATGAATAGATCAAGAATACGTGGTGCATATCCACAATAGAACACCACTCAGCCTTTAAAAAGAAGGAAATCCTGTCATTTGTGACCACACGGATGAACCTGGAGGACATTACATTAAATGATAAGCCAGGCACAGTGAAACAAATTCTGCACACTCGTACATGGGGAATCTTAAAATGATAATGAACTCATAGAAGTAGAAAGAAGAATGGTGACAATGGTGAGGGACATTTTGTGTTGTCCCAGCAATTGCTGATGAGGAAATAAAAGATACAGGGAGATGCTAACACAGGTGTGGAGGACACACTAGGAGAATGTTGTCCATATTCTGAGATTGGGACTGATTGAGGGGTTGTGCTATGGTACGTAAGATTTAAATAGCATAGAATGAATAAAATGCAGAAGAAAATATTCAAGCACATCATATATGATAAGGGTACCTACAAACTAGTTTCATGATACTCTTTCTTCAGCCACCTGTGTGTGTATATTTGCATGTGCAGGCATGCTGGCTCATGATGTAAAAGGTATTTCTTACTTTCAGACACAAAGAGTGTGGAATCCACTGCAGTAAAGGCGGAATAGTTTTGTTTTGTTTTTTGTTTTTTGTTTTTAAGGCAAGTTCCTGGGAAATGCAGCCTGAATGAAGAGCTCAAGAGAAGAGCCACACTGTTGGGAGAACAGGTAGCCAGCGTAGAACTGACATTATCTCCGGACTCCAGGGCCCATACCCTGAGCAGAATTTCATTGATCCACTTGCCTCATTACAGAATTCACATCAGACCCCTGATCTAATTGTTATTCCTGTATCTATTCCATATTTATGGACCACACATGTTTTGTTTTTGTTTTTATTTTTGCTTTGAGACAGAGTTTCACTCTTGTCACCCAGGCTGGAGTGCAATGGCGCGATCTCAGCTCACAGCAACCTCCACCTCCCAGGTTCAAACGATTCTCCTGCCTCAGCCTCCCAAGTAGCTGGGATTACAGGCACCTGCCACTACACCCAGCTAATTTTTGTATTTTTAGTAGAGACAGGGTTTCACCATGTTGGCCAGGCAGGTCTCGTGATCCACCCACCTCAGCCTCCCAAAGTGCTGGGATTACAGGTGTGAGCCACCATGCCCGGCCCACACATGTTTTTATATGGTCCAGTAGTAGATGAGGCAGGCCTTTCTCTCACTTTTCCTTGTGGGATCTGTTCTTTGTAATTCCCAGGTATTGAGTTTTTCCCTCTTTTCTGACAAATCCAGTGGGCACTCTCTAGTCCAATTCCGTTCCTCGTGCAAGATGCAAAGACCTCCCCAGACCATACTTTAGAAAATCCTGCCCCTGCCACGACAATCTATCATTTTTCTTCATATGACTTACCTCTGGGGACTTTATGTCAGACACACATTTATTCCATTGTTTTCTGCCCTTTCCATTACAAGGTAAGATCTAAATTAGCAGGGATTTCACCTGCTTTCTTCACTGTTGTGGTTTCACAAAAAGTTGTACGTCTACATAGGAACACTTTTTTTTTTCCTGTGTGATTTTTTTTCTTTAAGGTCTGGGATACATGTGCAGAACGTGCAGGTTTGTTACATAGCTATACATGTGCCATGGTGGTTTGCTGCACCTGTCAACCCGTCATCTAGGTTTTAAGCCCCTCATGCATTAGGTATTTGTCCTAATGATCTCCCTCCCCTTGCCCCCGACCCCCCAACAGGCCCCCATGTGTGATGTTCCCCTCCCCATGTCCATGTATTTTCATTGAGAAACACATTTTTTTAAATTAAGAACTTATTAAACAAAAGGAATGGCTGGGAAAATAAAGCTTGGTTAAATAAGGTGGATTCAAAACAACCACATTGAACAAAACTGAATAAAATTCTAAAATAAATGATCTATCCCGGCGCAGTGGCTCATGCCTGTAATCCCAGCACTTTGGGAGGCCAAGGTGGGCAGATCAACCTGAGGCCAGGAGTTTGAGACCAGCCTGACTGCCATGGTAAAACCCTGTCTCTACTACAAATACAAAAAATTAGCTGGGCAGAGTGGCGGCGCATGCCTGTAATCCCAGCTACTCGGGAGGCTGAGGCACAAGAATCACTTGAACCCAAGAGGTTGAGGCTGCAGTGAGCTGAAATTGTGCCACTGCACTCCAGGCTGGGTGACAGAGCGAGACTGTATCTCTAAATAAATAAATAAACGCATAAAAATAAAATAAATGATCAAAGAAAAAGATAGAAAATAACCATTAATCACATCAACATGGGTTTCGAATTTGAGATTAAGTTGACAAAAACTTGGAAATGAAAGAATATAAAAATATACTTTCTTAAAGCAGTGGAAGAAAACAACAGTATGTAAAGTTATGATTTCATCTTATACAAACTGAAATGGATTAAAATATGCTTACATGAAGAATACACAGGAAATCTCAACGTGGGTATAAGAATATGTTCCACATAGTGGCAAAAGATAACCACTATTTTTAAAAGTAGTTCTGATTAATTGGAAACGTGGAATCAACCTAAATGCCCATCAACAATAGACTGGTTAAAGAAAATGTAGTACATATACACCCTGGAATACTATGCAGCCATATAAAGGAATAAGATCATGTCCTTTGCAGGGATGTGGCTGGAGCTGAAAGCCATTATCCTCAGCAAACTGACCCAGGAACAGAAAACCAAATACCACATGTTCCCACTTATAACTGGGAGCTGAAGAGTGAGAACACGGGGACACAGGGAGGGGAACGACACACACTGGAGCCTGTCAGGGGGTGGGGGTGAGGGGAAGGAGAGCATTAAAAAAAATAGCTAATGCATGCTGGGCTTAATACCTAGGTGATGGGTTGATGGGTGCAGCAAACCACCATGGCACATGTTTACCTATGTAACAAACCTGCATATCCTGCACATGTACCCCCGAAATTAAAATAAAATTTTAAATTTAAAAAAAATAGATCTGATTGCAAAAAAGAAAAAAGAAAGGTGGCAATAAAGAAAAAAGATGTGGACACAGGAAGGGGAATATCACACACCGGGGACTGTTATGGGGCAGGGGGAGGGGGGAGATATACCTAATGCTAAATGACGAGTTAATAGGTGCAGCACGCCAACATGGCACATGTGTACATATGTAACCAACCTGCGTGTTGTGCACATGTACCCTAAAACTTAAAGTATAATAAAAAAGAAAGAAAAAAATGTGTGAAATAAGGTGGAAATACATATAAAAGGTGATTTATTGCGATGAAATATGTAGAAAGCTTTTTAAACTCTCTAAACTATCTAAAATGCAACAGAAGGGAGATACACAGTGTGACCCACTGATAGACCTGACCGCACAAAACTGATAAACTTTAACGCATTCACCCCAAGCGCATCTATAAATACAAAAAGAACTAAATGGCAAACAACAACGTTGGTGAAAAAACGTTCACCAACTCCCATTCTTATGTTTGAAAAAAATGCAATCAAATACAGGAATGAAAACACTGCAAACTCGCTATACAAAAGCAAAGATCTCGCAAAGACTGTTTGCAATAGAAACAGGAACTATCTAACAAACCCACTAATCGATTAAGCCTCACAAGTAAGGAAGTAATTGCAAAGTAAAGCTTGCTATCATACCCCTTTTCACTTATTAAATAAACATATTTTTTTCATCTGGATAACCCGCATGAGAAAAGATACTTTAAAATGTATGACTTATCAGCCGGGCGCGGTGGCTCACGCCTGTAATCCCAGCACTTTGGGAGGCAGAGACGGGCGGATCACGAGGTCAGGAGATCGAGACCATCCTGGGTTACACGGTGAAACCCCATCTCTACTAAAAAATTCAAAAAAATTAGCCGGGCGTAGTGGCGGGCAACTGTAGTCGCAGCTACTCGGGAGGCTGAGGCAAGAGAACGCCGTGAACCTGGGAGGCGGAGCTTGCAGTGAGCCGAGATCGTGCCACTACTGCGCTCCAGTCTAGGGGACAGAGCGAGACTCCGTCTCAAAAATAAATAAATAAATAAATAAATAAATAAATAAATAAATAAAATAAATAAAATGTATGACTTATTAACTGCTGTGGCAAGGTAGCATTTGCAAATAATACATTGGTGTGATCTTTTTAATGGATACAGGAACATACTCAAAATACACCCAATATTAAAAATATTTTAAAAGCCCTCACTTTGCTGCATATCCTTTACACTTAATACTCAGTTTTTTTTCTCTCTTACCTGCAAAACTCCTTGACTATGAACTGATGTTACCAGCACCACTTTTTAGCTCCCATTCCTTCTTCAGTCTTACCAATTGGAATTCCATTCCCACCACTTAATTGTCAGCAGTGGTCTCTGCATTGCTGAGTCTAACAGACACTGCTCTTTTTAGCATACTAAATAGATTGATTATGAAATAATCAGTCAACTAAGCAAACAAACATAGCAACCTCTTGGCGCTGGCCTAAGTTGGATTGGCTCTCAGGTGACTTCAGGTAAACATTCCCAGCTTCCGTTCTCTCTGAACCTTTCCCATGAAACCTGCTGAGGGCTCCTGGGCTCACCTGGATGGGGTCTCAGAGAAGAGGATCTCCAGATGGAAGTCTGAATTTTACCCTGAATGGTTGATGATAGAGGATGAAGCTCTGTCCCCAGACGAGACAGCAGGAAAGAGTGAGGCATAGGTCCTCTAGCCAGATTTATGTTCTACATAGCGGCAAAAGATGACCACTATTTTTTAAAGTAGATCCATTAATTGGAGTGAAAACATGGACTCGACCTAAATGCCCATCAACAACAGACTGGTTGAAGAAAACGTGGTACATATACACCATGGAATACTATGCAGCCATAAAAAGGAATGAGATCATGTCCTGTGCAGAGTCTTAACAATTGAACTTCCATTCCCACCTGGAATGGGCTGAAGGGTCCCATTCAGCCCAGTCCCCAGTCTGGGACTCAGATTAGCTAGCCTACTTTTGGGGTATGATAGCAAGCTTTACTTTGCAATTATTTCCTTGTGAGGGTTAATCTATTAGTGGGTTTGTTAGACATTTTTTTTCTCTATTGTATTCTCTGAGGGCCACAGCTCCCTGTATCTGCTCATTAGGCACCTCCCCTCTTACTGCTGGAACTTACTAACCCGTAAGTGTCTGATTTCTCTGTGGACTCCTGTCTGGACAGTAAGGAAATTTTTCCTGCTCATTCTCTGTTCCCAAGAGACCATGTTAGACATTAGGTGAACCCAATTATTTATTTATTTGATTAATTTTTACTCCTTCTCCAATAACTCACCTGCCTTCCAGATATCTAACCTCCTAGCACCTTCTATTAGTCAGGCTTCTCTAGAGGGACAGAACTAATAGGATAGATATATATATGAAGTGGAGTTTATTAAGGAGTATTGACTCACATTATCGCAAGGTGAAGTCCCACAATAGATCGTCTTCAAGCTGAGCAGAAAGGAAGACAATCTGAGTCCCACAACCTCAAAATTAGGGAAGCCAATAGTGCAGCCTTCAGTCTGCGGCTGAAGGCCCAAGAACCTCTGGTAAACCACTGCTGTAAGTCCAAGAGTCCAAAAGCTGAAGAACTTGAGGTCTGATGTTCGAGGGCAGGAAGCATTCACCATGGGAGAAAGACGAAAGCTGGAAGACTCAGCAAGTCGGCTCCTTCCAATTTCTTCTGCCTGCTCTATTCTAGCCACACTGGCAGCTGATTAGATGGTGCCCACACGGATTGAGGGTGGGTCTGCCTCCTTCAGTTCACTGACTCAAATGTTAATCTTTTTTGGCAACACCCTCACAGACACACCCAGGATCAATACTTTGCATCCTTCAGTTTAATCAAGTTGACACTCAGTATTAACCATCACACACCTTATCACTCCTTTCTTTAACTTTTTAAAAGAATTTTTGTGGGTATATAGTAGATATATACACTTATGGGGTACGCTCCTTTCACTGAAAGTTTCCTCTAAAGTCAGAGACTCAGCAGAACATGGCGGCTCATGTCTGTAATCCCAACATTTTGGGAGGCCAAGTGGGGTGGATTACTTAAGCCCAGGAGTTCAAGACCAGCCTGGGCAACATAGCAAGACCCCATCTCTACAAAACATTTTTTCAAAATTAACTGGGCATGGTGGCATGTTCCTGTAGTCCCAGCTACCTGGGAGGTTGAGGTGGGAGGATCGTTTGAGCTGGGGAGGTAGAGGCTGCAGTGAGCCATGATTGCACCACTGTACGCCTGCCTGGGCAACAGAGCAAGACCTTGTCTCAACACACACACACCCAGACACAGACACACACACACACACACACACACACACACACGCACAAACTCAGAGACTCAAGGAAACTCTCTTGATTAGGTCCTTAGGATCATCAAAAAGCATTGACTTGCGGTGGGGACACAGCCCTTGATATCTCCAGAAAATTGTTTTTCCCTTCTAAACTAAGGGAAACATGTTTATGTGGCTATGTTAACTTTTAAACCCCCCACAATTTATAAATTTAGAAAAGGAAAGGAGACTTTATTTCTTGTAAAGGGTTACAGCCTGCAAGATGGCAATCCCACAGAGTGGGAAGCATAGCCTCTAGCCAATACCAGAGAGACAGGCATTTCTAAGGAGGAGGGGTTGGGGTAAGAGCTAAGAGCTTTATGCTCAATGGGTTGGCTAGACATACATATTCAACAGGTTATAGGAGGAGATATGAATATTCATGAAGCTGGCCCTGGTGCATGTGTATGAAACAAACACTCATGCAACATACAACCCATGCCCACTTTGGAGTGGAGACTTTAACATTTAAATGTATTACAAGTAGACCCTATCCCTCAAAAGTTCTTTTCAGAACAGAAAAGCACGCAAGTGAGCAGCCTCTGTAGACGAGCCAGAGCCAGTCCACAGTCAGTGGTCTTATCAGGAGAAAGTTGCCCAATCAGTCTCTTGCCCAATCAAAGCTGTAGTTATGGCTGCTGGAATAGGGGCTGGGGGTCAGTTAGTATCTGGTGGAGCTGCAAATTGTTTTAATATTGCTTACCCTGAGTCCAGAGCTTGTTTAGCTGCTAGAGAAAAATAAAAACCATTTGGCAGGTAGAACATAAATTATTCTTTAAGGGTAGGGTGTGTGACTTAATGCTTGCCGGGCATGGCGTTAGGCCCTGCTTATAATTGGGTATCTTATTGCCGCAAGAAGTCTGTTCTGCCAGTCTCATGGTCTCTATTTTATTAATGCTGGTTGGTTGTTGTGTAGTGAACCATGAAAAGGAAGGGGTATAACGAGGTGTGTTTGACCTCTCGTCCCGTCATGGCTGGAAGTGAAGTTTTAAAAGTTTTTCTGGGATTCCTTTGGCCAAGAGGAGGTCCGTTCAGTTAAGGAGCATTTTCCCGGCCAGGCATGGTGGCTTACGCCTGTAATCCCAGCACTTTGGGAGGCCGAGGCAGGTGGATCACCTGAGGTCAGGAGTTCGAGACCAGCCTGGCCAGCATGGTGAAACCCCCGTCTCTACTAAAAATACAAAAATTAGCTGGGCATGGTGGTGGGTGCCTTTAATCCCAGCTACTCAGGAGACTGAGGCAGGAGAATCTCTTGAACCCGGGAGGTGGAGGTTGCAGTGAGCCGAGATCGCACCATTGCACTCCAGCCTGGGCAACAAGAATGAAACTCTGTCTCAAAAAAAAAATACATAAATAAAGGAGCATTTTCCATATTCCTGTTGGCCATTTTGTATATCTATCCAGGTTCTTTGTCCATTTTTTAATATCAGGATATATGTTTTATTGCTATTGAGCTGTTTGGGTTCCTTATATATTTTGGATATGAATCCCTTATCAGATGGATGGTTTGTGAATGTTTCCTGCCAACCCATAGGTTGTCTTTTCACTCTGCTCATTGCTTTTCTTTGCCATTCAGAAGTTTTTAGTTTGATGTAATCTCATTTTACATTTTGTCTCCTTTTGTCGCCTGTGCTTCTGGGGTCATTTCCCAAAAATTATTGCCCAGACCAATGTCATGCAGTCTTTCCACTATGTTTTCATCTAGTAGCTCTATAGTTTCAGGTCTAATGTTTAAGTCTTTAATCCATTTTGAGTGAATTTTGTATATGGTGTGAAATAGGATCCAATTTCATTCTTACACATGTGGATATCAAGTTTTCCCAATGGCATTTATTAAAGAGACTGACCTAACCTAAGTCCTGTTGGTCATGGTGTACAATATGGTATGGCTCAGTGTCCCTACCCAAATCTCATCTCAAATTGTAATCCCCATGTGTCAAGGAAGGGGCCTGGTGGGAGGTGATTGGGTCATGGGGGCAGATTTCCCCCTTGCTGTGCTTGTGATAGTGAGTGAGTTTTCACAAGATCTGGCTGTTTGATAAGTGTCTGGCACGCCCCCCTTCTCTCTCTCTGCCTCTCTTTCCTGCTGCCTTGTGAAGACGTGTCTTGCTTCCCCTCCATTACTGTAAGTTTCCTGAGGCCTCCCCAGTCATAAGGACCTGTGAGGCAATTAAACCTTTTTTGTTTATAAATTACCCAGTATCGGGTAGTATCTTTTTTTTGATACGGAGTCTCACTCTGTCGCTGGGGCTGGAGTGCAGTGGCACAATCTTGGCTCACTGCAAGCTCCACCTCCTGGGTTCATGCCATTCTCCTGCCTCAGCCTCCCGAGTAGCTGGGACTACAGGCGCCCGCCACCATGCCTGGCTAATTTTTTGTATTTTTAGTAGAGACAGGGTTTCACCGAGTTAGATCAGGATGGTCTCAATCTCCTGACCTTGTGATCCGCCCACCTCAGCCTCCCAAAGTGCTGGGATTACAGGTGTGAGCCACTGCGCCTGGCAGGGTGGTATCTTTATAGCAGTATGAAAATGGACTAATACAGTGTATAATTATTTTTGTATATTTTGGATTTAATTTGTTAATTTTGTAATTTTGTTGAGAATTTCTGCATCTGTGTTCATATGGTATATTGGTTTGAAGATTTCCTTTCTTGTAAATGTTTTCTGGTTTGGACACTCGGATAATTTTTTTTTTTTTTTTTGAGATGGAATCTTGCTGTGTCGCCCAAGCTGGAGTGCTGGAGTGCAGTGGTGCAACCTTGGCTCACTGCAACCTCCGCCTCCCAGGTTTAAGTGATTCTCCTGCCTCAGCCTCCCAAGTAGCTGGGACTACAGGCGTGCACCACTTTGCCTGGCTAATTTTTTGTATATTTAGTAGAGATGGGGTTTCACCATGCTGGCAAGGCCGGTCTTGAACTCCTGACCTCAAGTGATCCACCCGCCTCGGCCTCCCAAAGTGCTGGGATTACAGGTATGAGCCACCATGCCCAGCCATCACCAGGATAACTTTTGCCTCATAAAATGAGTTAGGAAGTGTTCCCTCTAATTCTATATTATGGTGTAGCAGGACGAGCCGCAAACAAAACCCCTCAGACACCGAGATAGTGAAGGGAGTGGCTTTAATCAGCTGGGAGCATCGGCAGGCTAGCGTCTTAAAATCCATGCTCCCCGAGTGAGAAATTCCTGTCCCTTTTAAGGGCTCACAACTCTAAGGATTTCACATGAAAGGGTCATGATTGATTTGAGCAAGCAGGGGGTACGTGACAGGGGATGCATGCACTGGTGGCCAGAGTGGAACAGAACAGAGCAGGGAGTTTCAAAATGTTCTTTTATACAATGTCTGGAATCTATGGATAACATCGGTTTCTAAGTCATGAGTTGATTTTTAACTACTATGTTTAGGCCAGGCAGGCCCAGGCCTGGTTTTGGGCCTGGCACCGGGCTGCCTGTCTTTGATTTCACTTCTTTGTTTTTTCTTAAAACAGGTACTGAGTATAAAACAATATAAAACAATATGAGAGGGTCTCTCTCTTCCCTCAATGGAAGAGATTATAGAAAGCATGCCAGCTCTAAGTGTAGCCCCTAAGAGACCTTGCATATTTCTGCTGAGCAGTAAAGTCTCTGCTATTTCAATAAGAGCATGCCCTTGCTAATCCACTGACAAGACATATGGAGTAGAACCATCCCAGCCTGTCCACAGCATGAAGCAGAGCTGCCCCAGTCACTGCAGCAAAGACTGAACAACACACACCAGGAAGCTCAATAAAAAGCACCTACACCCCATAGGTCCACAGTAGTAAATAACTTAGTGCAGGGGTCCCCAACCCCTGGGCCACAGACCAGTACTGGTCCACAGCCTGTTAGGAGCTAGGCCGCACGGGAGGAGGTGAGCAGCAGGTGAGCAAGTGAAGCTTCATCTGTATTTACAGCTTGCATAATAAAAGATTAGAGTATGGTGGATAGTCTGACAGTCCTTTTAATAGGTGAATTACAGTAGCAGAAATGAAGCCATATTTAACTTTTCTTTAAATTTTAGTGTCCTCTGTGATTATCAGCTCCCTGTATCTGAATCTACCCTCTAAGCTGGGGGTCAGCAAACTACTGCCCACAGGCCAAATCCTACCCACAGCCTCTTTGTAAAAAGGCTTTATTTGAGCACAGTAAGTTTGGTGAGTTGAATGTTGGCCCCCCTAAAGGATAAGCTCACATCCTCACCCCTAGTGCCAGTGAATGTAGCCTTATTTGGATGAAGAGTCTTTACAGATACAATTAGGCATCCTGAGATGAGATCATCCTGGATTATCCAGGTGGACCTTAAATTCAATGACACAGTGTCTTTATAAGCGACATGCACAGGAGAAAACACACACAGGTGCAGAGGAAACCAAATGACACAGACAGAGGAGATTGAAATGACGCAGCTGCAAGGTCAGGAACACCTGGAGCCATAGAGCATGGAAAAGCCGAGGAACAGAATCACCGTTAGAGACTCTGGAGGAAGCCTGGCCCTTCTTGCACCTTGATTTTGGACTTCTGGACTCCAGAACTATAAGAGAATACATTCCTGTTGTTTTCAGCCACCCAGTTTGTGGTTACATGTGACAGCAGCCACAGGAGGCTAATACAAACAGCCATGCCCATTAGTGTCAGTATTGCATACACCTGCATTCACAGCAATGGCAGAGTTAAGTATTGTGACAGAGAACATAGGACCCAAAAAGCCTAAAATATGTACCACTGAGCCCTTTACAAAAATGTTTGCCAGTGCATGCTCTTAGTCACTGTCAGGTGCTGATTATTTTTTATCCAAATTCCTTCCCATTGGGAAGAAATGCTCCAAATAACATACATAGAAATATAGCCCAAAAAATTAGATCATGTGGATTAAAAATATGAATGTGTTTAGCCCAGATGAAGAAACCGAATAACTGAACTCAGAGAAACTGAGACAAGAAAACGCTAACTCTGCAGCCAAAATGAGCCTTTTTTACTCTCTACCAAGGGAAATGGCCCATTAATTTTTCTCCAGAATCTGTCTCCAGTGTCCAGAATAGAAGCCAGGACAAAGCTGCAGTTAAGAGCTCATTTCGGGCCTGGCGCCATGGCTCACGCCTGTAATCCCAGCACTTTGGGAGGCTGAGGCGGGCGGATCATGAGGTCAGGAGATTGAGACCATCCTGACTAACATGGTGAAACGCTATCTCCACTATAAAAAAAAAAAAAAAAAATTAGCCGGGCATGGTGGCGGGCGCCTGTAGTCCCAGCTACTCGGGAGGCTGAGGCAGGAGAATGGTGTGAACCCGGGAGGTGGAGCTTGCAGTGAGCCAAGATTGCGCCACTGCACTCCAGCCTGGGCGACAGAGCAAGACTCCATCTCAAAAACAAAAAACAAAAAAAAAAAACTCATTTTGGTTGAATGTGGTTAGGGGACAAAACCATATGTCTAAGTCTAACACTGGAAACCGAGTGTCCCTCAGAAACTTGGAGATTCATGAGGTGGTTCCTGAGATGTGCCCTGGAAGAGGGGTCATTTCCAGTGTTGGGGGAAGGATGTTCATTCTAAGGGAGATGAAAACCATCGAATAGAAAGGAATATGTGTCTAGTCCCAAAGGTGAGCCCACGGGGAATGAACTGGCAGAAACACTTTTTATTTATATTGCTTGGCCTCCAAGGAGCTGAACTGCTTGGAGAATTGAGCAACAATAAAACAACTTATTTAATGAGGAGCCCTGAGAATTCAGCCTCCGGTTCTCCATAAACTGTAAATTCTCCCTTTGCAGAACCCACCTGCAGTTCACCAGCCCCAGACCAAGAGCACCTTCTCTATGCCTCTCTGAAATGTCCATCCACTCCAGAGAACCAGCCCCTGACACCCACCCCCTTGCCCTGCCTGCACCGATTGTGCAAGGAGGGAAGGTCAACAGAGCCAAGTCCATTGAGGGATATCAAGAGAAGCCAGAGTAAACCCGTAAGTACTGTGGGAAAGTTTTGTGGAGGGAAGAAAAGCTTTTATTAACCAAGTCTTCTGGGAAACAGCCAGAAATGATGAGATGGTGAAAGAGGATTGATTCAAAGTCCTGAGCAGTTTGTGTCCCTCGCTCTGAAGGGGATTCTTGCAGCCGGTCCTCTCTCTGTTCTTGCTTCCAATCTCTGTTTCTTCTTGCTTCCAATCTCTGTTTCTTCTTGCTTTCAATCTCTGTTTCTTCTTGCTTTCAATCTCTGTTTCTTCTTGCTTCCAATCTCTGTTTCTTCTTGCTTTCAATCTATGTTTCTTCTTGCTTTCAATCTCTGTTTCTTCTTGCTTTCAATCTGTTTCTTGCTCTCCATTACTGTTTCTTCTTGCTTTCAATCTCTGTTTCTTGCTTTCAATCTGGCACAATTCCAGGGCCACTCTCTTCCTGCAGCCGGATCTGACCTTCCTTTACGTATGTGCAAGCCTCAGGATTCGGCTCTATTTCAACTTTACCATCTCCTCGTATTTATGAAGCATTGTGAGTGAGAAAGGCCCTGACTTGGAGTTGGGCAGGTGTGAGTTTTACTTCAGCGTTTTCCCTCTAGAACCTGACCCCAGAGATGTTTCTTACATTCTGTGGATCAATCCCTCATCAGCACAACAGTGAGTTTAAGGAGATCTCAGAGAATGCTTTTGAAAGTAGAGATACAATGGGTCAAATTCAGGGCTGAGTGTCACTCGAAACACACCATTGATTTATTTGTTCATTTACATAACATGTTCCAAAAGAATTTCAAGAAACCTACTCAATATGCAAAACAAAGAAAAATATCTTAAATGTATATGACAAAGGAAATATTGTAACAGAAGTAAAAAAAGGGGGGCATACAACGAGGTGCATAATTACAGAAGTAATCAAAATATATTTCACCAAATGTTACATAGTAGCCCAAATTGGGCCCCGATATGACTCTATGAGTTCTAACGAGGACAAAGCATTCTGTGCTGTTAGGTTGAAATGTGTCTACATAAATGGAAAAACTTTTATTTTACAGATGTAATGAATGCAAGTACGTTTGTGTTACATAGATACATTGCATAGTGGTGAAGTCTGGACTATTAGTGTAACCATCACTCAAATAGTGTACATTGTACCCAATAGGTAATTTCTCAAACCTCATCCCTCCCACCCTCCCACTTTTTGGAGTCTCCAATGCCTACTATTATTCCATTATCTATGCCCATGGTATACATTGTTTGGCTTCTGCTTATAAGTGAAAACATATGGTATTTGATTTTCTGTTTCCAAGTTATTTTACTTAGGATAATGGCCTCCAGTTCCATCCATGTTGCTGCACAAGACATGAATTCATTCTTTTTATGGCTGAGTAGTATTCCGTTGGCTGTATATATACCACATTTTATTTATCCAATCATACATTGGTGGACACTTAAGTTGATTCTATGACTTGGCTATTGTGAATAGTGCTGTGATAAACGTATTAGTTCAGGTGTCTTTTGTGTAATGATTTCTTTTCTTTGGGGTATATACCCACTAGTGGGATTGCTGGATTGAATGGTAGTCCTACTTTTAGTTCTTTGGGAAATCTCCATACTGTTTTCCATAGAGACTGAATTAATTTGCGTTCCCACCAACAGCACATAAGCAGTCCCTTTTCTCTGCATCCTCACCAACATCTGTTGTTGTTTTTTTTTTTTTTATTTCTTTAAAATAACCATTCTGACTGGTGTAAGATGGTATCTCATCGTGGTTTTAATTTGCATTTATCTGATGATTACACCAGTCAGAATGGTTTATTATTAAAGAAATAAAAAAATATGTTGGTGAGGATGTAGAGAAATTTTTGAGCAATTTTTCATGTTTGTTGACTGCTTCTAAAGACTGTTTGTTTGTTTTTTTTTTTGAGACTGAGTCTCGCTCTATCACCCAGGCTGGAGTGCAGTGGCACAATCTCGGCTCACTGCAAGCTCCGCCTCCTGGGTTCACGCCATTCTCCTTCCTCAGCCTCCTGAGTAGCTGGGACTACAGGCACCCACCACTATGCCCAGCTGAATTTTTGTATTTTTAGTAGAGACAGGGTTTCACCGTGTTAGCCAGGATGGTCTCAGTCTCCTGACCTCGTGATCCACCACTGTTTTAATTCAATCAGGAGTTAATGTGTCTCCTCCCTAAAAGAATGGGTCACCATGATCACTCTGTGCTAACCTGAGGCACAAGGGTTTACTCTATCTCTCTGCTGCCCCATCTTTAATGTGTTGTTTTCCAAGATATATCAGCTAAGGGAATTCCAGTGTCATGTGCAAATCCCAGGCAAGAAAGAGATGAACAGAGGGGAAGGATTCTAAAGAGGATTCCAGGATTCCCATCAAATAAATTCCTATGCTTCAACTCTCCATGATTTTGCAATAGAGAGTGGAAAATATAGTATCTTAGCTGGACACATGACCACTTCCAAATATAATTGAGTTCTATTAATAACAAAAAAAGAATGGATATATTGGGTAGGCAATCTCTGGCACAATGATCAATTACAAGATTAGCAGGATCCATAACATTAAAACAAAAAAGTGCTTAATAGAAGCATGGCCATCCCTACATGAACAGACACTTCTCAAAAGGAGACATTTATGCGGCCAACAAACATGAAAAAAAGCTCAACATCACTGATCATTAGAGAAATGCAAATCAAAACCACAATGAGATACCATCTCATGCCAGTCAGAATGGCAATTATTAAAAAGTTAAGAAATAACAGATGCTGGCAAGACTGTGGAGAAATAGGAATGTTTTTACACTGTTGGTGGTAACCTATATTAGTTCAACCATTGTGGAAGACAATGTGGCAATTCCTCAAGGATCTAGAACCAGAAATACCATTTGGCCCAGCAATCCCATTACTGGGTATATACCTAAAGGAATATAATTCATCCTATTATAAATATACATCCACACATATGTTTATTGCAGCACTATTCACAATATCAAAGACATGGAATCAACCCAAATGCCCATCGATGATAGACTGGATAAACAAAATTTTGTGCATATACACCACAGAATACTACGCAGCCATAAAAAGGGACAAGACCATGTCCTTTGCAGGGACATGGATGAAGCTGGAAGCCATCATCCTCAGCAAACTAACACAGGAATGGAAAACCAAACACCTCATGTTCTCACTCATAAGTGGGATCTGAACAATGAGAATGCATGGACACAGGGAGGGGAACAACACATACTGACGCCTGTCAGTGGGAGTTGGCAGAGGGAGCGCATCAGGATAAATAGCTAATGCATGCAGGGCTGAATACCTAGGTGATGGGTTGACAGGTGCAGCAAACCACCATGGCACACATTTACCTGTGTAACAAATCTGCATGTCCTGTACATGTATCCTGGAACTTAAAATAAAACTTAGCAACATGGCCATTCCTGACATGAAGGCATAAAATACATTAATGACTGTTTCTCTTAAAGCAGTCACATTGTGTGATGGAAGGAGCAATGTTTCCAGCCAATTCCCTTGAAGGAATCCAAAAACACATTTTTAGATTCTTGAAATGTTCCTTAATGTAGGCTAAAGACCTCACACACAGTAACAGCCACACAGCAGTAGAGGGGAGCCAAGGACACTAGGTATTGCCCAGGTATTCAGGAGCCCTGAAAAAAATAGCAGTAAACCTTGTCTTGAGTTAAAGCACATCTCATTGAGTGACAAGAACATTTAGACTCTAAATAGTACAGACTTATTGTATAATACCATCATAGTTAGAGGACAATTTTCTGTATTATTAACATTAATTTGGTGTCTCCAATTAACAAGTCACCATCTGGTCTTACTTTGATGTCCAAATTACATTTTTGGATTGACTCATATCAGTATATGTCCCAGAACTGTTGTAATTTTTAGATAGCAGTCTTATATAAATGGGATAATAAAAATAGCTGGTCCCTCTCAAAGTTTGTGACTTAAAAATGTTATTACTAGATCCCTAATGGATGGTCACATGTGGAAGGTAGAAAAAGAAAACCCAATGAAGCTGGTCATTCAGATTATTTTTTGTCACACAGAAATAATTTCCCAGGCCGGGCATGGTGGCTCACGCCTATAATCCCAGCACTTTGGGAGGCCGAGAAAAGTGGATCGCTTGAGGTCAGGAGTTCGAGACCAGCCTGGGCACATGGCAAAACTCTGTCTCTACTAAAAATACAAAACAAGGCCGGCTGTGGTGGCACATGCCTTTTATCCCAGCTACTCAGGAGGCTGAGGCAGGAGAATCACTTGAACCCAGTAGGCGGAGGTTGCAGTGAGCTGTGATCATACCACTGCACTCCAGCCTGGGTGACAGAGTGAGATTCTGTCTAAAAAAAAAAAAAAAAAAAAAAAAAAAATTATTTTCCTGTTTCTTGGGTCCTGCCTCAGTGGACCATCATGGGAGACATGAAGATGCTCCAGGGATGGTCCTAGATTACAGAAGGCACCAGGGTCTCAATGAGCCTTGAATCAATGTGCATCTCATTCCCCTTGAGTGTGAGGAAGCTCTAGCCCCAAGAACTCTCAGATTTTTTTTTGCAGGCAGGAGGAGTACAGACTGGGGACCTTCTTTGGGCATTCTGCAGCGTAGTGATCAAAGCTGAACAAGAAATGTTCCTTCTAACCCCCGTGCTTGTGAATTCAAACATTGAGGCCATATACATAGCAGAGGAATTTAATAGGAATTCAATAGGCAATCAAACTTCCTATCTATCTAGATCCACTAGCTTCTGGGTGTGACGGTGCATTCTTGTAGTCTCAGCTACTTTGGAGGCTGACATGTGAGGATTGCTTGAGCCCAGGAGGTCAAGGCTACAGTGAGTCATGATTGCACCACTGCACTCCAGCCTGGGCAACAAAACAAGACCTTGTCTCAAAAAAAAATTATTGAGATGAAATTAATATAACATAAATTAACCAGTTACTTGAAAGCAAGCAATTGAGTGCCATTCACTACATTCTGTGTTTTGCGCAACCACCATCTCTATCTAGTTTCAAAACATTTCCATTACTCCTAAATAAAACCACTTACACATTACAGTAGCACTTTATCCTCATCCCCTACCCCCGCTCCCCAGTCCCTGCGACTCGTTATCCTGCGACTCGTTTATGTATTGTGGCTATTTCATGTAAATGAGATTGCATGTAAACGAAGAAGCCCAGGCATTGAGCCTCAGTAAAGGCTTCCTTGGGGTCAGGTTCTACTAATTAATTATTCTTTCCTTTGCTATACTTTCTTGTTTCATTGCATGTCTCATAATATTTCATTACAACTAAATATTTTGAATATTATAGTGTGGCGACTCTGGAAATCAAATTTTCTCTCCTCCTTGGGGTTTATGGTTGCTGCTTTTTGTAATTTGCAGTTGTTTACTTGCCTAATGAGTCTTCTAATTTTATAAAGATTGCATATTTGTCCAGTGTGTGGTTGCTGAAGTCTCTAGGCTGTTAGCTTAATGGCCAGAGAGTGATTTGATAAGAGATTTCCTTAAACAGTGGAGCCCAAAACCAAAATCTCCCAACCTTTGCAGTTTGGCTCTGTATGTGCTTTCAGACAGGCCTTTACCACTCAGCTGAGCATTTTTCAACTCCAGCCTTTGCCTTAACTTCCTACTTGCACAGAGCTTGAATATCAGCTACAGGTGAGAGGTCAGGGCCTTCTAGATGTTTACTTAGCATGCAATCCTGGGTAGGACACCTATGTATCCTACATTCCCAGGAATCTTTCTGATATAGGAGTTAAAAAGAAATATTTAGGCCAGGCACGGTGGTTCACGCCTGTAATCCCAGCACTTTCGGAGGCCGAGGCAGGTGGATCACGAGATCAGGAGATCAAGACCATCATGGCTAACACGGTGAAACCCCGTCTCTACTAAAAATACAAAAAATTAGCTGGGCTTTGTGGCACGCGCCTGTAGTCCCAGCTACTCAGGAGGCTGAGGCAGGAGAATCACTTGAACCCAGGAGGCAGAGGTTGAAGTGAGCCGAGATCGCGCCACTGCACTCCAGCCTGGGCGACACAGCGACACTCCGTCTCAAAAAAAAAAAATTATTATTATTATTATTATTTAGGTAGATAGGGAGGGTAAGGAAGTCCTTGGTAAGGTTTCCCTTTTAATAAAAAGCAGCCCCCAAATAATTTCTTTTCTAACAAAAAGCAGCCTGTAAAATCAAGCTGCAGATATAGATAATCAAGCTGGAACCCTGCACGGGTGAATGCTGGCAGCTGTGACAAATAGGAAAAGGCTGTCTGGGAGCCAGGCATGTTCAACATGGTGACTCCATCTTCCCTTTTCCTTGCAAACCACGTGTACAGTAAGGAGAAGACAACATGGCAGCGACCCGCAAAGACCCCATCTGCATAATAGAAGATTAGGATGGAGCAGCCAGCTTCCTCCGGACTATGTAAACGTCACACCTGGTCCAACCAATCTTTTCTTTTTTTTTTTTTTTTTTTGGAGACATAGTCTCCCTCTATCACCCAGGCTGGAGTGCAGTGGTGTGATCTCGGCTCACTGCAACCTCCATCTCCCAGTTTCAAGTGACTCTTGTGCCTCAGGCTCCCAAGTAGCTGGGATTACAGATGCGCACCACCACACCCAGCTAATTTTTGTATTTTTAGTAGAGACGGGGTTTCACCATGTTGGCCAGGCTGGTCTTGAACTCCTGACCTCAGGTGATCCACCTGCCTCAGCCTCCCAAAGTGCTGAGATTACAGGCGTGAGCCACGACGCCTGGCCCCAACCAATCTTTGGGCCCTATTTAAATCAAACACTGCCTCCTCAAGCCAGTCTATAAAATCCAGTGTACTTTGCTGCCAGCAGGAAGTCCCACTCAGGCACGTTCTCCTTTCTCTTTCTTTTGCCTATTAAACCTCTGCTTCTAAACCCACTTTTTGGGTGTCTGCGTACTCAATTTCCTTGGCGTGAGATGAGGAACCTTGGGTATTTACCCCAGACAACGACAGAGCTTCACCTCTACATTCCCAGGAATACGTGAGAAATTTTCAAAGTCATATGTCCCAAATATCTCACTCCACAGCCTTTCTTCCAAGACATGTCAGCGTGTCCATCATTTACCACTACTCATATGCTTTTCCCCAGACACTTGTGGATAGTTCATTTGTCTTTAAATGTTTTCAACAATCTCCTTTGAGAGAGGTTTCAAGGTAGGTAAAGGTAAGCTCCTTGTGTTATTCCTTCAGCAGTCCATTGGAATTATTATCTTTCTTTAATTATTATTTGGAGACAGAGTTTCACTCTTGTCACCCAGGCTGGAGTGCAGTGGTACAATCTCGGCTCACTGCAACCTCCGCCTCCCAGGTTCAAGCGATTCTCCTGCCTCAGCCTCCCAAGTAGCTGGGATTACAGGCGTGTGCCACCACGCCCAGCTCATTTTTGTGTTATTAGTAGAGACGGGGTTTCACCATGTCGCCCAGGCTGGTCTCGAACTCCTGACCTCAGGTGATCCACCCGCCTCAGTCTCCCAAAGTGCTGGGATTACAGGCGTGAGCCACCACGCCCGGCCCATTGGACATATTAAAACAGAACATTGCCATACATTTCCGCTATCTTCAGCACCAGGAACTGGTGGGACTGTGGGGTTGTCATATTCAGCAATGCCACTGAGCCAAGAAAGATGGTGGGAAAATGATAAATTGCCACAAAGCTGTCCAACCTGGTTTCAGTCACCTTTTTTAAAAAATTAAGGATTCACTTTGTTGCTCTAAACCTTTGACTGTTTTCCAGATTCCTGACTGATATGGTTTGGCTCTGTGTCCCCACCCAAATCTCATCTCGAATTATAATCCCCAAGGTTGAGGGAGGGGCCTGGTGGGAGGTGATTGGATCACAGGGGCAGTTTCTAATGGTTTAGCACCATTCCCCTAGTGCTGTCTTGTGATGGGATTCTCATGAAATCTGGTTGTTTAAAAGTATGGTGCTACCGCCTTAGCGCGCGCTCTCTCTCTCTCTGCTGCCATGTGAAAAAGGATGCTTGCTTCCTCTTCCCCTTCCACCATAATTGTAAGTTTCCTGAGGCCTCCCAAGTCATACAGAACTGTGAATCAACTAAACCACTTTCTTCATAAATTACCCAGTCTCGGGTAGTTCTTTACAGCAGCGTGAGAATGGACTAATACACTGATCAAGTTGATTATGACAGCTGCCACGGTATTATCTATGTTTCTGTGAAGTATTGGTACTTTGGAGTTCTCTACCTAAAATTCAAAATATATCCTAAAATCGCATTAATTTAATACGCAGTACCTATAAAATTTTTTAACCATATTTTACCAAAATATTTTTTTAAAGCATAATGTCTGACTGGCTTTCCAGTGACAGAACAGAAACTCACAAAACGAACATGTAAAATAATGTAACATATGATCACATAAACAATGCAAATTATTGTAAACATGTCAGATGTTTGCACTGAAAAAATGAAACATTGGCTTTATAAACAAAGGTTGGAATAGCTGAGAACAATGTGTGAAAAGTATCAACTCCATGCAGATAGCAGGGGGAAAAAGCATAGTTATTGAGCTCCTGTTTTGCATGCATATTAGGTAATGAGGAATGAGGGAAGACATGGAGGAGAACAAAGGTGAGAAGAGCTGAGAACTAGAAGCTGTAAGTGTCCAAGACCATTGCTACTCAAATATTAATGAAGCTGCTACATTGTCTGGAGTATATACCCTGGGGTTCATTGGCATGCACTAGGAAAATTTAGAACACGGACACACACGAGGAGTTCAGAGGCGGAGGTTTAATAGGGAGAAGAGAAGAAAAAGAGAAACACCTCTCTCCATAGAGAAAAGGGTCTCCGAGAGGAAAGGACAGGCTGGTGGTGAATGCGCAGAGTTTAATAGTCCCCTTTGAGGAGGCAGTGTCTGATTTACATCAGGCTCACAGATTGGTTCCATCAGGTATGACATTTTCATAGTGCTCAGGGAAGGCTGGTGGCCCCACCCTAATCTTACTTTGCAATTGGACTTTCCAGTTGATCTGCGCCATCTTGTCTGCTCGTGGCTGACAAAGAGAAGGGAAGATGGAGCCACCATCTTGAAAACTTCTAGTCCTTAGTTCCTGCCGGCATTCACCCGTGCAAGCTCCCAGCTTGTTTGTGTCTGCAGCTCGCCTTTACAGGATGCTCTTTGTTAGAAAATGATTTGGGGCTGCTTTTCATTAAAAAGAAAAGCCTCACTGAGGACTCCCATAACCTTACTATCTGCGTAAGTGATTTTTTCTTAACTCCTATATCACTAATATGCATGTGAAACCCTTGGTGATATTGTTAAAATGTAGATTCTGAATCCGTAGGTCTGACCAGGGATTCTGCATTTAAAGAAACTCTTGTTGATCTTGTTGGTTCATGGACAACACTTTGAGAAGCCAGGCTATAGAGGGTACAAGTATTATGGAACTAACACTACATTTCCAGATCCCGATGGTAGCAAAGAAAAGGATGGAAGAATTTCAGATGCCCCAGAAAAAGACAGCAAGAAAAAGGCAATCTTTTGTTAATTGATTCCTTCACTTAAAATTAAATGTAACCAAATTTCCATGTTGCCAGTGTGTTGATAATTGACTGTTGCTTTTTTCTCTCTTGTGGCAGTTATTTTATCCCCATGGAAACAGGAAATCAAACACATGCCCAAGAATTTCTCCTCCTGGGATTTTCAGCAACGTCAGAGATTCAGTTCATTCTCTTTGGGCTGTTCCTCTCCATGTACCTAGTCACTTTCACCGGGAACCTGCTCATCATCCTGGCCATATGCTCAGACTCCCACCTCCACACCCCCATGTACTTCTTCCTCTCCAACCTGTCTTTTGCTGACCTCTGTTTTACCTCCACGACTGTCCCAAAGATGTTACTGAATATACTGACACAGAACAAATTCATAACATATGCAGGCTGTCTCAGTCAGATTTTTTTTTTCACTTCATTTGGATGCCTGGACAATTTACTCTTGACCGTGATGGCCTATGACCGCTTCGTGGCCGTCTGTCACCCCCTGCACTATACGGTCATCATGAACCCCCAGCTCTGTGGACTGCTGGTTCTGGGGTCCTGGTGCATCAGTGTCATGGGTTCCCTGCTCGAGACCTTGACTGTTTTGAGGCTGTCCTTCTGCACCGAAATGGAAATTCCACACTTTTTTTGTGATCTACTTGAAGTCCTGAAGCTCGCCTGTTCTGACACCTTCATTAATAACGTGGTGATATACTTTGCAACTGGCGTCCTGGGTGTGATTTCCTTCACTGGAATATTTTTCTCTTACTATAAAATTGTTTTCTCTATACTGAGGATTTCCTCAGCTGGGAGAAAGCACAAAGCGTTTTCCACCTGTGGTTCCCACCTCTCAGTGGTCACCTTGTTCTATGGCACGGGCTTTGGGGTCTATCTCAGTTCTGCAGCCACACCATCTTCTAGGACAAGTCTGGTGGCCTCAGTGATGTACACCATGGTCACCCCCATGCTGAACCCCTTCATCTACAGCCTGAGGAACACGGACATGAAGAGGGCCCTGGGGAGACTCCTCAGTAGGGCAACATTTTTTAATGGTGACATCACTGCAGGACTTTCATAAGTAGCAAGGCTTGGACCATTGGGAGGCACTTTTGGTGGTTCTTGAATGTATCCAAACATCAATGTATTCTCTTTTAGTTCTGGAATTACCATATCTTATCGTGTCTTTGATACAGGAGCTAGAAAGAAATTATTTAGGTAGATAGGGAGGGCCACAGAGTCCTTGGCAAGGTTTCCCCGTTAACAAAAAGCAGCCCTCAAAATCATTTCTTTTCTAACAAAGAACAGCCTGAAAAATCGAGCTGCAGACATAGATAAGCAAGCTGGAAGCTTGCATGAGTGAATGCCGGCTGCTGCGCCAATAGAAAAGGGCTAGCTGGGGACCAGTCATGTTCAACATGGAGGCTCCCTCTTCCTTTTCTTTGTCAACCATGTGTACAGCAAAGGAACAGGCAACATGGGGCTGCCCAGGTAAAGAACCCATCTGTATAATAAAAGATTAGGGTGGGGCAGCCAGCTTCTCCACATGCTATGCAAATGGCACACCTGATCCAACCAATCTTTTATGGCCTATGTAAATCAGACAACACCTCCTCAAGCTAGTTTATAAAACCCTGTGCATTTCACCATGGAACTGGCAACCCATTTTCTCTGGGACCCCTCTCTGCACATAGAGCTCTTCTCTTTCTCTCACCTATTAAACTTCTGCTCTTAACCTCACTCTGGTGTGTCCGCATCCCAGTCTTCTTCCATGGCTGTGGGACAACAAACCTCAGGTGTTACCCCAGACAACTATGCTGCTTCATCTTGATTTTGACAATTTTTGAAGACGGTGTATTAACTTTCTAGGGCATCTGTAACAATGTGCCACAAATTGGGTGAGTTAAACAATAGCAATTGATTGTCTCACATTTCTGTAGACTATGACGCCTGAAATCAAGTTGTTGGCAGGGCTGGTTCCACTTGAAGGCTGTGAGAAAGATTCTGTTCCATGCCTTACCCCTAGCTTCTGCCGGTTGCTGGCAGTCTTTGGCTTTCCTTGACAATATAGAAGCATCACCCCAATCTCTGCTTTCATCTTCAGGTGATGTTCTCCCTCTAGGTGTGTCTGTGTCCAAATTTCCCCTTCTTATATGGACAACATTCAGATTAGAGGCCAACTCTACTCCACTATGGACCTCATCTTAGCTTAACTAATTACATTCACCGCAGCCCTATTTCTAACTGAGGGCTTTAATGTAACATATGATCACATAAGCAATGCAAACTATTGTGAACATCTCAGATATTTGCAATGAAAAAACTAAACATTGGCTTCACAAAGGTCAGAATAGCTGAGACCACATTCTGAAGTTTTGGCGGTAAGGACTTCAACATATGAATTTGTAGAGAATGAAAATTCAACCCATAAAAGACAGTTTCATCAAGACTAGCTTTAAATGCAAAGAATGACCAGCATCCCAAATTGCCCATTTCTGTTTTTTTTTGTTTTTTTGCAAATAAAATTTTATTGGCATATAGCCACACCCACTTGTGTACATATTATCTGTGGCTGCTTTCATGTTACAAGAGCAGATATGAGTAACTGCCACAGAAATCATCTGACCTGGAAAACCTACCTAAAATATTTACTCTCTGGCCTTTTTCACTGTGAAGGTTTGCTGACCCCTGAATTAAAACATTGCTCTCACTTCATCTCGTCTAAGTTAGATTTTTTTTTTTTTTTTTTTTTTTGAGATGGAGTCTTGCTTTCTCACCCAGGCTAGAGTGCAGTGGCGCAATCTCGGCTCCCTGCAAGCTCCGCCTCCCGAGTTCATGCCATTCTCCCACCTCAACCTCCCGAATAGCTGGGACCACAGGCACATGCCACCACACCCAGCTGATTTTGTTTTTGTATTTTTAGTAGAGACGGGGTTTCACTGTGTTAGCCATGATGGTCTCAATCTCCTGACCTCGTGATCCGCCTGCTTCAGCCTCCCCAAGTTCTGGGATTACAAGCATGAGCCACAGCACCCAGCCTAAGTTAGATTTTTTTTAAGCATCTCAGCATACCATTAAAATTTTCTAATGTACATGAAATTCTTTGCAAAACTGCATTCTTATTACTGTGTAATTAGAAGGGTTTTGTTCTATACATAGAATGCTAACTCAAACAATAAGTGATCCTTTCCTAGTAATCTAAATATTAATTCTCATGATGGGTGGGACCTTCATACCCCCTCTGTGTAGCAAAATCTCTGACATAGAAGGAAAGTGTGGTAAATTCTTGTTGAATAGGTAAACCTAAACTAGTATATGCAAATCTTGAAAAAATAAGTAGAATTAACAAAGCTGTGAAGCTAGAAAAACTTTCAGCTACTCTGTAGTTAAGTCTCACAGAGATTTTGAGTAACACCCTTATGTGAAGTCGCCATTGTAAGATTATGTCATTATTCACCATCACGCACATGTTAAAGCTAATTCAGTGCCGTCGTCTTCCAGGGGAGTGATGTAGAACAGGAAAGACTGAATGAATGGTCAACTTTTCATGTAACTCACTCAATTAGTGGAAACGGTCCTTCCATTTCTTTGTCTTTTTTTTTTTTTTTTTTTTTGAGATGGAGTCTCACTCTGTTGCCAAGCTGGAGTGGGGAGTGCAGTGGCACGATCTCAGCTCACCGCAACCTCCACCTCCCGGATTCAAGTGATTCTCCTGCCTCAACCTCCTGAGTAGCTGGGACTATACGCACGTGCCACCACGCCCAGCTGATTTTTGTATTTTTAGTAGAGACAGAGTTTCACCATGTTGGCCAGGATGGTCTTGATCACTTGACCTTGTGATCTGCCTGCCTCAGCCTCCCAAAGTGCTAGGATTACAGGCGTGAGCCACTGCAACCGGCCTGGTCCTTCCATTTCTAATTGAGGAGAGTGATGCTGAAACTGCCTTTGCAAAAAATCATCGCTGAGAACATTATGACGGTGAAAGTGGTCTGACCTAACTAACTCCATCTTGCCTCTAACCTCCAAGCTGTCCTTGCTCATTCCTGGGCTCTAACTTTGGGAGAAACTTAGTTTATAGTTTAACTTTGAAACAAAGACGGTAACAGCCCTTTCCCAAAACCAATTCCCTTCCTGCTGGGAGACTAGACTGCCTTCGTAGGACTAACATATTAGCCACAAGATCAGAAACTATGGTTTAAAAGTCACGCAGTTGGCCGGGCGCGGTGGCTCACGCCTGTAACCTGAGCACTTTGGGAGGCCGAGGCGGGTGGATCACAAGGTGAGGAGATCGAGACCATCCTGGCTGACATGGTGAAACCCCGTCTCTACTAAAAATACAAAAAAATTAGACGGGCGTGGTGGTGGGCACCTGTTGTCCCAGCTACTCTGGAGGCCGAGGCAGGAGAATGGCGTGAACCAGGGAGGCAGAGCTTGCAGTGAGCCGAGATTGTGCCACTACATTCCAGCCTGGGCGACAGAGCGAGACTCTGTCTCAAAAAAAAAAAAAAAAAAAAAGAAAAGAAAAAAGAAAGTCACGCAGCTGGAGACTGCAAGATTCTGAACCTCCCCAAATTGCTTCTGGGGACAACATCACTATTGTAAAACCTAAGATTGGTGCTTGAGCTACTTTGCAGACCCTGTACTCCATTGCTCAGCTGGCACCACCCAGACTGATTAACTCATCTGGTCTTGTGGCCCCTCCCAGGAACTGACTCAGCACAAAAGGACAGCTTTGACTTCCTATGATTTCATCTCTAACCCAATCAATCAGCACTCCCCACTTCCCAACTCCTACCCACCAAATTATTCTTTAAAACCCCAATCCCCAGATTTTCAGGGAGACTAATTTGAGTAATAATAAAACTGCGGTCTCCTGTACAGCTGGCTCTACATGAATTTAAACTCTATTGCAATTCTCCTGTCTTGATAAAGCAGCTCTGTCTAGGCAGCAGGCAAGGTGAACCCATTGGGCAGTTACAATGGTGCAATCAACTCTATTGTTGGACAGCTCCCAGCATTAGAGATTGAAAAATCTGAGTCAAAATTGCCTTCCCTATAACGTCTATGATTAGTTATTTTGAAGGAATCGATCAATTTTCAACACTCTTCCATGAAACCACTAGTCATTTCTTAGACAAAAGGTTTATTCCTGTCTTCACCCTTACGAGTTTTCTATACTCCTTAGAAGGTGGAATGAGTTCCTTTGTCAACAACTCCTCTTCCACTGACATTCTATATTCACTCAGTTCTATCACTGCTGCTTCTAAATTGTGAGACACAAGAATGCACCCAACACTCCAGGCATTTACTGATGAGCACTGAGCATGCTTCCTTGAATAATCTGCAGCCCCAGGCCAATGTGCATGTGTCTGTGTTGTAAGCCACAAGACACATATTAAACATTAATTAGTAAAGTTGGATAAATAGAAAAGGTCAGCGTTAGGGGGTGGGCGGGGCTGAGAGAGTGGGAGAATTGTCAAAAGAGTAGAAGAGTTTCATGGAAGAAATGTTGGGAAGTGAAATGTCAGGATAATTAAATGAGTGACCATCAGATGTGGCTACTAGTAGATCACCAGGGATATAAACAGGTACCAGTTGGTTGGTGTTAAAGCTGAAACCCAGATTGGCTCCTCCTCATCTTCTCAAGTTCTCAGTGCTGCAACATTCCATGATTTCGTCTTCTAGCCTCTTCTTTTCCCTACCTGTCCTCACTTTTCCCTATCTGTCTCTCACCATGTGTCTCTCTAGTTAATGTCATGCTGTCTCATAGACTTAAGATCATATATGGAGGCTAAAGAATCCAAAATGCGTATCTTCAGACAAGATGACTCCAGATTCATAGACCCAACTGCCTCTTAGACAACTCCACTTGGAAGCTTAACACACATTTCAAACCTGACATGCCCAAAATCTTAATCCTAATTACTCCCAGCCTTCTCCACTCACAATCTTCCCATCTATGTACATGGCAAAACTCCATTATTCCAGCATCTCAAGTCAGAATCCCTTGAGTTGTACTTAACTTCTTTCTCTCTCTCTCTGTCTCTCTCTCTCTCTCGATTGTATATAAATGGAATCATACACTATTTTGACTTTGTGAGTGGCTTCTTTCACTTAGCTTAATGCTTTCAAGGTTCATCCATGTTGTAGCATGTATTGGTATTTCATTATCTATTTTGCCAAATAGTACTCCATTGTATAGATAGACTATATTTTGATATCCACTCATCAATATGAGAGACACTTCAGTTTTTCCACTTTTGGACTATTATGAATATTCTTATAAACGCTTGTGTACAATTTTTTTTTTTTTTTGAGACAGAGTTTCACTCGTTGCCCAGGCTGGAGTGCAATGGCGCCTTCTTGGCTCACTGCAACCTCCACCTCTCAGGTTCAAGCAATTCTCCTGACTCAGCCTCCCTAGTAGCTGGGATTACAGGCACCCACCACCACACCTGGCTAATTTTTTTGTATTTTTAGTAAGACGGGTTTCACTATGTTGGCCAGGTTGGTCTCGAACTCCTGGCCTCAGGTGGTAGGCCCGCCTCAGCCTCCCAAAGTGCTGGGATTACAGGCGTGAGCCACCATGCCCAGCCTTGTGTACAAATTTTTGTGTAGACATATGTTTCCATTTCTCTTGAATATATGCCTCGGAGTAGAATTACTGGGTTGTATGGTAATGCTATGTTTAACATATTGAGGAACTGCCAAAATATTTTTCTTAGTGACTGCACCATTTTCATCTCCACCAACAATGTAGGAGTGTTCCAATTTCCCCATATTCTCATCAAAACTTGTTAATTGCTTGTCTTTTGTTTTATTTTAGCCATTCCAACAGATGTGGAGTGGTAACTCGGTGTGGTTTTAATTTGCATTCCCTAATGACTTATGATAAGACTCTTTACAAATGTATATTGACCATTTGCATATCTTCTTTGGGGAAATATCTATTCAAATTATTTGCCCATTTTTAATTGGGTTATTTGAATTTTATTGTTAAGTTGTAAAAGTTCTATGTATGTTCTGGATATAAGTCTCTTGCCAGATGATTTTGATGCATAAACATTTTTAATTTTGATGCAGTCCTATTTATCTAATTTTGTATTTTGTCATTTGTGCTTTGGATACCATATCTAAAAATCCACTGCCTAAACCAAGGTCAAAAAGATTTACTTCTGGTTTTTTTTCTACAAGTTTTACAGTTTTAGCTCTTACTTTTAGGCCTATGATCCATGTGGAGTTGGTTATTTAATGCAGTGTGAGGTAGGGGCTTAACTTCATTCTTTTTTTTTTTTTTTTACACATATTGAGCCATTTTAATAAAAAAAGCTAGTCCAAAAAAGGGTCTCATTCTATAAAGATTAAATCATTTCCAAATCACAGTGAAACGAACTTAATTAACCAATTTTGTTTTCTACTATATGCCTTAGAGATACCTCACTAAAATTTCGTATCTGATACAACAGAATAACATTTGCAGAATGTAATATTGTAGTGACAGTACTGAGGTTCATTGTTACAGACTATTAAATGGTTACATCTTAATTATTTATACAGAATATTGGTCCAATAACATTAAAATAGAGAACAGCATCTGGAAATTTATCTCATTCAATGTTCGGAGATAAAAGAGTTAAACATCCTTTCCATTATTTTCTGCAGTAAGTCCTTGTTCACAATGAAATCTGATGGCAATTAAATTCTGGCATTTTCCCCAGCTACTGTATGAAGAGGATGCTGAAGGCCATTACTATACAGCATACTTCAACATAAGGACTCTTCCGTTCACCAATTCTGGCACACTTCCAAAATATACCCAACAATCCAGTTTTATTTCTGTCCAGGAGGCTGGGTGCCAAGGATCGAATATAAGCACAGGTACATATAAGCAGCAAGATTACAGTCAATAGACTCTGAATATTGAAAATGGCAGACATAGCGAGGCCGGCGATGCCACAGCCACATCACCCTTCCAGGCCCCAAGCAGAAGCTTAACTTCATTCTTTTGCATGCTGAAATACAGTTGTCCCAGAAACATTTCTTAAATAGACCATTCTTTCTCCCCAGTGAATTGTCTTCACATCCTTGTTGAAAATCTATAGACCATAAATGTAAGAGTTTATTTCTGTACTCTTGATTCTATTTCATCGGGCTATATGTCTAATCCTTATGCCCATACCACACTGTCTTGATTACTGTAGCTTTGTAGTAAGTTTTAAAATCAGGAAATGTGAGTCTTCAAGTTGGTTCTTCTTTTCCAAGATTCTTTGACTATTGTGAATCCTCTACCATTCCACATAAATTTTAGGGTCATCCTGTCAATTTACGCAAAAAAGTTAACTGGGCTTGTGGTAGGGACTATGTTAAATTCATCATGTTGGGGAGTACTTCTATCTTATGAATACTAAGCCTCCCAATTCATGAACATGGGATGTCTTTCCATTTCTTTAGATCTTTAACTTCTTCCAACAATGTTTCATAATTTTCAATGTACAAGCCTTGTACTTCTTTATACAGTAGTATTTGTACATCTTCTTTCACAGGATAATTATAATGAGCAGCTAAACCAGATGATCCTGTCTCCTGGAAAATGAGGACAATATTGAACTGTCATTCACTGAGCCAGGAGTATCTTAAAAATGCTTTTTCATGTTTGTTACAAATAACTTTTCATGGCACCATTATAAAAGAAAATTTCCAGGAAATGTTTGACACTCATTTGCTGTAGAATTTAGGTGTTCTGATCCGTAGAGCATGCTCAGCTAACTCCCATTGCAGGTAAGGTGCTATGGCCCAATTTCACACATACTTTGGATTAAGTCCTCTGCTTCAACCTCCTTTTCTAAAAAGATCTTCCTCAAGTTGAAAATATATAACCAGGAAAACCAGCCTTAACAGACTTTCTTAAAATAGCATAAGAGAGGAAATTATTGTTCAGTCCAGGACCTTCATGTAAAGCAAACAACTGATCTCAATTGCCCAGCACTTTCCTGGTTTAGTACAAAAAGCCCCAATCCCAGAAAAACATCTCAGTTACAGGAAAACCAGGTCACCTGAGCTCCCTACCTGCATGCCCCATGTTCTTCACTCTCCTTTTCTAAAGAGTCACTAATTTAATTCATTCAACAAATATATTTTTATTACTCACCAAGTGCAGCACACAGATCAATAAAGATTCAATTCCTGCCTTTACAGAGCTTACAGATAATTTTTTAATGTTTCCTGGCTAGAGTAAAATCAGAACTTTGTAAATAGAATCTCTTCACTCTTCCATTTTATAAACTGAGCTATGGAAGTAGGCATATATTTCTACTGCACATTTTGTAAAATGTATTTATAGATAACGTTATTTCATCCTCGGCATGATACCTAAATCCAGAGCAGTTCCACCTAAAATAATATTCCCTCTGGGCTCCCACTGACCAAATTCATACCGATTGGAACATCAAGGAAAATGACTTTAAATTATTATAACCTATTAAATAAAAAATATCCATGAGTTCATAGTGATACATAAAATACCAGCCAATAAATGTAGAAGATATGATAGAATTAGAAAATCATGATTTTTCAATATCCAGTAAATGACCACTAAAAATGTTGCATATTGGAGAACAGGGTATCCCTACAGTGCCAAAGAATCATCTCACAAATTACTGATTAATTACAAGTGCCAAAGTGTACATTTACAATGTGGAGATCTGATAGTCACTATCTGAACTCAGTCTCAGGCTTAACATTATCAATACAGGGGCAACCTGACATTATATATCTCCTGATAAGACATGAAGTTACAAAATCATGTTTGTGGCAAATAAAGAATTATTGACAAATCAGCCTAATCTTAATCTAATCTAGTCTTTAGACTGAAGGTTGGCAAACTACAACATGCAGACCAAATTCACCCTGCTGCTTGTTTTTACAAATATGGTTTTATTGGAACATGGCTACACTTATTCACTGATGTATTATTGACAGCTGCTTTCAACCTACAATGTCAGAGTTGAGTTGTTGTAACAGAGACTATAAGGCCACAAAACCAAAAAAAAAAAAAAAATTACTATCTGACTCTTTATAGAAAAAGTTTGGTGGCCCCGTTCTTCTAGATCTAACCTTCAATCTACATGAAATATGAGGGACAGAAGAAGTTAAGTGACATGATGAGGAAACAAACTGGCAAATCCAGAACATGAGACATTCAACAAGAAAATTGACCTAGACTCTTCTAAAGTCATTATCATGAAAAAAGTGGCCAGTAGCTACTCTAGATTAAGACACAAAACCAGAAAAACAATCAAATTCAATATCAGTTTTGGTGGAAACTCTAGTTCAAATATATAGTATAAAAGATATTTTGGAGTCAAGCGGGATAATTTGACTATGCATTACATATTAAAAGTTATTGTGAAATTATTTATTCCTTTGGGTGTAATAATAGTATCATGGTTATATAAAGAACATTCTTATTCTTAGAATTTGTTGAAGAATTATTTAAGACAGAAGTGCTGGCCGGGCACGGTGGCTCACACCTGTAATCCCAGCACTTGGGGAGGCCGAGGTGGGTGGATCACCTGAGGTCAGGAGTTTGACACCAGCCTGACGAACATGGAGAAACCCTGTCTCTACTAAAAATACAAAATTAGCCAGGTGTGGTGGCACACGCCTGTAATCCCAGCTACTCAGGAGGCTGAGGCAGGAGAATCGCTTGAACCCGGGAGGCGGAGGTTGCAGTGAGCTGAGATCGGGCCATTGCACTCCAGCCTGGGCAACAAGAGCGAAACTCTGCTGCAAAAAAAAAAAAAAGATGGAAGTGCCATGATATCTGCCACTGACTACCAATGTTTTGTATGTGTAAATCTGTGTATATAGAGAGAGATGTTTTCTAGGGTGCCACTATAATAATATTGTTCCATCTCTATGGATGATATATGAGTGTTTATTGTATCAATCTTCTGAATTTTTTCTATGTTTTAAAATTATAAATAAAAGTGTCAGGAAAGCAAATGCATTAATTAGTTCTTAATTCATTAAGGGTATACTCTCATGAATTCCTAGACATCCAGATCAAATGCTTTTTTCTCTGCACAAAGTTAATTTTGTCAATAGATGTTTTATAAAACTGTGAATATGTATGGCTATAAGGTGATGGATTTAAAATCTAAAAATTAAAAATAAAATTATTAAAACGTTAGGAAAAAATGGAGGGGATCTCTACTTCTGCCTAGAAAATAGAAAATGAAAATGAGTATGGCTCCAAACCCAAGAATAAGAAAATCCAAATAAACTACAAAACCATTAATTTTCTTGAACCCATTAGAGAACAGAGGTAATGGGACAAGAAAGTAGCCTGAAACCAAAGGAAAGACAGGAGTGTCTAAAGAGAGACCATAAGGAGTAGTGGCGAACCTAAGGCAGAGCACAAAAGGAAGTTATCTGGGTGTCAATACAAGTGACTAAGAAGAATTCATCTAAATTTTTAATGAATTTAATAGCCCCAAGAGTGGTCACTGATGAAAGTATTAGAACTCTGCAGGAGTGCAAAGAATGTGGAGAGACTCTCTCTGAAATGCAGCTACATAGGGAAGAGCCACAGCTGAAGGTAGAACAACTATGAGACAAACAAACCCTCTTGCAAAGAGAGCCCTCACCCCAACACAAGACACCAAAGTAACACTCAAATAAACTGAAGCCTGGGGTTCACTGATTACAGACAGACTTAACCTGATTCCAGACAGACTTAACCTCCCACAAAAATAGCTTAGGAGAAATAATATAAAGATGTGCTCATTTCCAGTCATAAATAATACCTCATTGTCAGCTGCCCTACACAAATTGTCCAGCATTCAATCAAAAATTATGAAACACGGGCCAGCCACGGTGGTTTACACCTGTAATCCCAGCACTTTGGGAGGCCGAGGCAGGCAGATCACCTGTCAGGAGTTCAAGACCAGCCTGGCCAACATGGCGAAACCCTGTCTCTACTAAAAATCCAAAAAATTAGACGGCGTGATGATGTGCACCTGTAGTCGCAGCTACTTGGAAGGCTGAGGCAGGAAAATTGCTTGAACCCAGGAAGTGGAGGTTGCAATGAGCCAAGATCACACCACTGCACTCCAGCCTGGGCACAGAGTGAGACTCCGTCTCGAAAAACATTATGAAGCACAAGCAAAAGCAAGAAAACACAAACCACAGAGAAATCAGCAGAAACCAGACTTAGAAATAAACTAATAGGGAATTTAAAATAACTATAATTGGGCCAGGCGCAGTGGCTCACACCTGTAATCCCAACACTTTGGGAGGTCAAGGCAGGCGGATCACGAGATCAAGAGATCCAGACCATCCTGGCAAACATGGTGAAACCCCGTCTCTACTAAAAATACAAAAATTAGCTGTGCATGGTGGCACGCGCCTGTAGGCCCAGCTACTCAGGAGGCTGAGGCAGGAGAGTCGCTTGAACCTGGGAGGCCGAGGTTGCAGTGAGCCAAGATCCTGCCACTGCACTTCAGCCTGGCGACAGAGAGAGACTCTGTCTCAAAAAAATAAACTATAATTAATTTTTTTTAACTCTAGTGCAATTCTAGTTTATTGCATTCTCTTATCAAAACTCCTGAACCACGGGACACTGGCGCCACTCTGGCTGGTCCCTCCCAGCTCACAGTAGTCTCCCTCATTCTCTGACTCCCTCCAATTCCTTTCCAAGCTCTGCATTCTTCCAATTTCTCATACTTACTCTCATAGAACTCCTATTTCCTGGGCGCTCAGAACCACCAACATCCCAGCCCTAGATCCCTGAGTCCTATTCCTGGATTTCTGCAGGCCCCCGCACTGGGACCTCAATTTCGCTCCCTGCAAATGTGTGGTCTCTGACTTCCGGTATCGGAAGCAAGGATTTCCGGTTCCCACGCTCCTGTTGACAAAAACTTCCCGTTTTCGTTTTTTGAGGTTGGGCAACAGCACTATGAGAGGCCGAGGCAGGCAGATCACTTGAGGTCAGGAGTTCGAGACCAGCCTGGCCAACATGGTAAAACCCTGTCTCTACCAAAAATGCAAAAAATTAGCTGGGCATGGTGGCACGCGCTTGCAATCCCCGCTACTCAGGAGTCTGAGGCAGGAGATCGCTTGAACCCAGGAGGCGGAAGTTGCAGTGAGCCAAGATCCTGCCACTGCACTCCAGCTTGGGTGACAGAGACCCTGTCTCAAAAAAAAAAAAAAAAAAAAAAACCAAGCAAACAAACAATCAAAAAAAAAAAACGAGCTGACTCTGGACTCACGCAGGCCTGGTGTCTCCGATCCCAGCCTTGCCATTTTCTGGCTCTATGAACCTGGGTGAGCCGCATCGCCTTCCTGAGCCTCAGTTTCCCCATCTGTAAAACAGGGATTCACCCATTCACTGTTCCACAAATGTGCACCCAGGACCCACTGACACCAAGCGCTGCGCCCAGCTCTAACCTATATAAAGTTAAGGCAGAACACGAACATGGTTAAGTGCGTTCACCCCTCCCCCAGGCATGGAGCTGCTGAACTAGTTTTAGGAATGGGGAAATCAGAGCATGCGTGGACAGAGGGAGGACCACAGAGTGGACCACCCCCACTCTTCTCAGATTCCCCTCATTTGACCAAAAAGCCCGTCTACCAGGAGGTGGGACCCCAAGCAGGGTGCCCGGGCTTGGCATCCTAATCCGGGCCAGGAACTGACCCCAGCAGCCAGACAGGGGAGGGGGCTAAAGCTTGGGTTTTCCCACCTCCGGCTTCCCGCCGCTGCAGCGCGTGGAGCCAGCGCCATCTGTGGGCCGCCAAGGGGAGGTGCGTGCGACTGCCGGGGAAGTGGATGGTCGCCCCCGTTTCTCCCCGATCCGGGCGCCTCAGGCCCCCCAGGAGTTTCGGAAACAGCTCTCATCTCTTAAATTATCCTCCACATCCCACTTTTCCCAGTTGTCATTTCCCAGCTAGAACTCATCGTTCATGTATTATTTATGCACATTTATTGAGCAGCTACTGTGTGTATTGAGCAAACCTAGAGCATTGCTGTAGGTTTCGAGTACAGAGAAGAAACAGAACAGGCCTGGCTCGGGCCTGTAACCCCAGCCACTCAGGAGGCTGAGGCAGGAGGATCACTTGAGCCCAGGAGGTGGAGGCTGCAGTGAGCCATGAAGGCAACACCACACTCCAGCCTGGGCAACAGAGCAAGACCCTGTCTCTAAAAGTAAGAAGAGGCCAGGTGCAGTGTCTCGGCCAGGCACAGTGGTCACGCCTGTAATTCCAGCACTTTGGGAGGCCGAGGCGGGTGGATCACCTGAGATCAGCAGTTCGGGACCAGCCTGGCCAACATGGTGAAACCCCCTCTCTACTAAAAATACAAAAATTAGCCAGGCGTGGTGGCAGGCGCCTGTAATCCCAGCTACTCAGGGGGCTGAGGCAGGAGAATTGCTTGAAAACGGGGAGGCAGGGGGCGGGGGCAGAGGTTGAACCGAGATCGTGTCACTGCACTCCAGCCTGGGTGACAGAGCAAGACTCTGTCTCAAAAAACAAAATAATTAAAAGATAAAAAAAAATTCTGAGGGAAAGGTATTCCAGGTGGCGAAAACAGCACATGCAAAGGCCCTGAGGCTGGACTGGGCCTGGTATATTTGTTTGGGGAATAGTGAGGAAGGTGCTGTGGCTGGAGCCAAGTGAATGAGGGGAAGAGAGCTGGAGGTGACAGGGCAAATCACACAGCCAAGCCTTGTGGGCCTTGGGGAAGACTGGATTTTACTGGGTAAGGTGGGAGCCATAGAGGGTGCTCAAGGAGAGGAAGAGCTTGGTCTGAACGGATTCAGATGCTCACAGGAAGAACAGACGGCCAGACCAACAAGACAGCTGTCACAGATACAGGAAGAGATATTATATCTCCCTGCGGTTGGTTTTGTTGCTTTTTCCCATGACTCATGGGGAGAGGAACCAGTGGGGCGAGGAGCTGGGAGGACAGGCCACCCCAGACTTCCCCTTCCCAGGAGTCGGGGAGCCCCCACCCCACCATGTCCCAGGACACACTCGGGCAGGGCTGCCAGGAGTGTTTGTGTTTCACCCTCTCTAGATGGGTGGAAATGAGGTGTGGCTGGGGAGGTGGTGGGGTGGCCAGGAGGGAAGCTGGGTCCCGGAGAGGCAGGACCCGTGAAGGCATCGGGGAAGGGGGTGCCCCCTCTGAGAAGGCACAGGGGTCTTGCTGTCTCCTTTCTCTATTTGAGTATCAAAGGCCTGCTCAAGCCCGAAGCTAAAGGGAAGGTCAAGGGTGTGGGGGCGTCAGGCTGTGGGTGGCTGGGTTTAGTCACAGCTGTGACTGCACTGCCGGTAAGGACCCTGGAGGCTGGACGTCAGCCCTGCCAGGGTTGGGCAACATCCTGTTGGGGAAGTCTCTTCTAGTTATGGTTTTCGCTTTTCCAGCCCTACTCTGACCCTAGTGGGAGAATTACAGGCAGGGGAGCACAGGATGAACGCGCGCGTTACCAGAAACAGAAATAATCCCCTTTAAATTTTCCCAAGAATAGGATATACACATGCAAAAAATAATAATAATAATGAAAGAACTTAGACCCTACGTCATAACCATACACAAAAAGTAACTATATGAGGCCAGGTGCGGTGCTTCACGCCTGTAATCCCAGCACTTTGGGATGCCGAGGCAAGGGAATCACCTGAGATTAAGAGTTTGAGACCAGCCTGACCAACATGGTGAAACCCTGTCTTTACTAAAAATACACACACACACACACACAAAAATAGCCAGGGGTGGTGGCACACACCTGTAATCTCGGCTACTCGGGAGGCGAGGCAGGAGAGTAGCTTGAACTCAGGAGGTGGAGGTTGCAGTGAGCCAAGATCACGCCACTGCACTCCAGCCTGGGTGACAGAGAGAGACTCCATCTCAAAAAAATTAAATTAAATTAAATTTAAAAATAAACATAAGTATCCGTTTGAGTGTCTGCCTTCAGTTTTCTCAGGTGTATACCCAGGAGCAGAATGGCTGGATCACAGGGTCACTCTGCAAGTAACTTTTTGAGGAGCCGCAAACTGTTTTCTATGCCTGGAAAGAAGTGAAAGGGAGACCTCCATCCGAGGGACAGAGCCCTGGGGATGGGTTGATTCTCATCAATGCTTTCCCATCGTTTCTTTCTGGTACTGGCTGGGACCGTCAGTGCCATCCATGGCCCTAATTCTCGGGAACCCACAAGCCCACAACAGAAGAGGCCCAGAGGCATGCGGAGGGGTTGACCCGGGTGGGCACCCAGCCTGAATAAGCCCCCTTCCTCCCCTGGCCTTCCCCACCCATCGAAAGTCAAGGGAAGGATTCTGAGACCCCCATCCTCACAGTGCCCCCCAGAAGCCTGACCCCATCCTTATCGGGACATCGGCACCACCCTGCTCAGAAGATTTTGCAAAATGGGGAAGACACTGAGAGCTGCAAGAAGGTGATAAAAATGCCACCAAATGTCACACAGCGTTCCCAGCTCAGGGCTTCTTGTTGGCTGCCACCAGTTCCCCACCCCCACAGCCACCCCTGAGCTGTTCCCCTCCCCCACCCTACTCTCTCCTTTGCTTCCTCTAATCGCTTCTCCTTAAAACCTTTACACATTTTAAAATTCTTTTTTAAATATTTGTATAGAGCCTCAGGTTTATATAATTCATGAAACAATGTAATTCTTGGGACCATCGGTCTATCCATGATCAGCTTTATTTTACTTACTTATTTTCTGAGACAGAGTCTCACTCTGTGGCCCAGGCTGGAGTACAGTGGCGAGAGCTCACTGCAACCTTGAACTCCTGGGCTCAAGAGATCCTCCCACCTCAGCCCCGTGAGTAGCTGGGATTCCAGGCACATGCCATCACTCCTGGCTAATTTTTGCATTTTTTGGTAGAGATGGAGTTTTACCATGTTGCCCAGGCTGGTCTCGATCCCCTGGGCTCAAGGGATCCTCCCGCCTCGGCCTCCAAAAGTGCTGAGATCACAGGCATGAGCCACTCTGCCTGGCCGATTTTATCTTCCTTGATACAAACTCTTTTCAGAATTCTCTTTGTTTTTGCTTTGGTCCCTGATAAAATCACATGTGAATATAACCGCAAAACACCACATGCCTGCATTACATGGCGTTACGTTAAACAACCATCATTTTGGCTGGGCGCAGTGACTCATGCCCGTCTCTACTAAAAATACAAAAAAATTAGCCTGGCGTGGTGGTGTGCACCTGTAATCCCAGCCACTTGGGAGGCTGAGGCAGGAGAATGGCTTGAACGCGGGGGGCGGAGGTTGCAGTGAGCCGAGATTGTGCCACTGCACTCCTGCCTGGGCGACAGAGCAAGAGACTCTGTCTCAAGAAAACAAAACAAAACAGCCATCATTTTAGGAAACATTCATATGTGGAAACTACTATGTGTATTGTTCACAATTTGCGGGAATAAAGAACTTTGCTTTGCAAAAAATATGTAAATTAAAAAATAAAAGGGAAGGAAGGCATACCCATGAGCCTCCCTCATCACCAAGAACTGAGACATGACCTTGTTCCCATGCTCCCATCTTTATCTTGCTGATTACCACCACTCTGAATATTCTTTGCACCTTATTCCTTTGCTCAGTTACTTATTTTTTTATTTTATTTATTTTTGAGACAGGGTCTTGCTCTGTCACCCAGGCTGGAGTGCAGTGGTATGATCACAGCTCACTGCCACCTCGAATTCCTGGGCTCAAGCCATCCTCCCACTTCAGCCTCCTGAGTAGCTGGGACCACAGGTGCGAGTCACCACACCTGGCGAATTTTTTATTTTTATTGTAGAGATGGAGGTCTCATTATGTTGCCCAGGATGGTCTCGAACTCCTGGGCTCAAGCAATCCTCCCGTCTCAGCATCCCCAAGTAGCTGGGATTACGAGCATGAACCACTGCGCCCGGCCCAGCCTTGTTTATTTTTATTTATTTATTTATATTTATGTATTTTTATTTTATTTTATTTTATTTAGACGGAGTCTCACTCTTGTCTCCCAGGCTGGAGTGCAGTGGCGCAATCTCAGCTCACTGCAGCCTCTGCCTCCCGGGTTCAAGTGATTCTCTTGCTTCAGCCTCCCAAGTAGCTGGGATTACAGGCACCCACCACCATACCCGGCTAATTTTTGTACTTTTAGTACAGACGGGGTTTCACCATGTTGGCCAGGCTGGTCTTGAACTCCTGACCTCAGGTGATCTGCCCACCTCGGCCTCTCTGGGATTACAGGCATGAGCCACCGCGCCCGGCAGCCTTGATTATTTTTTAAAGTCTTCTTGCATATGTTTGTATCCTGAAACCAAATCTTTTATTATCTTTGTATCTCAGCTTTTTTGCAAGGTGGCTTTTTCCTATGGGGCTTTGGAGACTTTTTCAAGATTCTAGTATGGAATCTGTCATGCTGCAATTTAAGATTTTTTTCTCCTGACTTCACTCAGTTTTTAAATTTAAAAAAGGAGTGTGGCTAGGCATGGTGGCATGCACCTGTAACCCCAGCATTTTGGGAGGCTGAGGTGGGCGGATCACTTGAGGGTCAGGAGATCGAGACCAGCCTGGCCAACATGGTGAAACCCCGTCTCTACTAAAAAATTAGCTGGGCGTGGTGGTGTGTGCCTGTAATCCCAGCTTCTAGGGAGGCTGAGGCAGGAGAATTGCTTGAAGCTGGGAGGCGGAGGTTGCAGTGAGCCGAGATCTCGCCACTGCACTCTAGCCTGGGTAACAGGGCAAGATTCCGTCCCCCTCACACACACACAAAAAAAGTGAAAAGTTAGCCAGGCATGGCAACATATGCCTGTAGTCCCAGCTACTTGGTAGGCTGAGGCAGGAGGATCACATAAGCCCAGGACGTGCAGGTTGCCTGAAGCCATAATTGTGCCACCGCCACTGTGCTCCAGCGTGGGCAACAGAGACCCTGTCTCTAAAATAATAACAATAAATTATACTAATATAATTAATAATACCATTATTATTGTTGGTTGGATAATCTTGGGTTGCTTCTTTTTTTTTTTTTTTTTTTTTTGAAACGGAGTCTGGCTCTATCGCCCAGGCTGGAGTGCAATAACGCGATCTCAGCTCACTGCAACCTACATCTCCTGGGCTCAAGCAATTCTCCTGCTTCAGCCTCCCAAGCAGCTGGGATTACAGGTAATCTTGGGTTACTTCTTAGCTGAGCAACCTGGGGCCAGGGGCCCCAAACCCCCAGGTTCCAGTTCCCCTTTTGACAAATGAGGACCATGTTCGCACCCCCCATCATTGCAGAGGTTGTCCAGAAGCTGCAAAATAGGTCAGCAGGACTGAGACTTCTGGACAAAGAGAAGGCGGAGAAACATAGGCAGACACCCCGGCAGGGACCAGATCAGCGAGGCTGAAGGAGGCTTCCTTTAGCTGGGCGGCAGCGGAGTGGAGTGGCAGGAGTACTACTAATTTGCATGGTTTACCATATAGGGCCCCACTCAGCACAGGCTCTGTGCTGGTGCTCTGCAGAGAAAAAGACAAAAGTCACTCAGGGGGCTGACAGCCTAATGCGGCTCGAGGGCAGATGGTTGCTAGGGAAGAAGGGAGATGGTGAGAAGTATTGGAGAGACTCAAGAAAGCCGCCAGGAATGGTGACTCACGCCTGTAATCCCAACGCTTTGGGAGGCTGAGGCGCGTGGATCATTTGAGGACAGGAGTTCGAGACCAGCCTGGCCAACATGGTGAAACCCTGTCTCCACTAAAAATACAAAAATTATCTAGATGCGATGGCAGGTGCCTATAATCCCAGCTACTCGGGAGGCTGAGGCAGGAGAATTGCTTGAACCCGGGAGGCAGAGATTGCAGTGAGACGAGATAGCACCACTGCACTCCGGCTTGGGTGACAGAGCAAGACTTCGTCTCAGAAAAAAGTAATAATAAATAATAATAATAATAATAAAATAAAAATTTAAAAAGAATGTTTCAGGCCGGGCATTGTGGTTCACGCCTGTAATCCCAGCACTTTTGGGATGCCAAGGCAGGCAGATCACTTGAGGCCAGAAGTTCGAGACCAGCCTGACCAACATAGCGAAACTCCATCTCTGCTAGAAATACAAAAATTAGCCAGGCGTGGTGGCTTGCACCTGTAATTCCAGATACTTGGGAGGCTGAGGCAGGAGAATCTCTTGAACCCAGGAGGCAGAGGTTGCTGTGAGCTGAGATCACATCACCACACTCCAGCCTGGGTGACAGAGCGAGACTCTGTCTCAAAATAAATAAATGAATGAACAAATAAATAAAATAAAATAAAAATACAAAAATTAGCCAGGTGTGGTGGTGGGCACCTGTAGTCCGAGCTACTCTGGAGGCTGAGGCAGGAGAATCGCTTGAACCCGGGAGGCGGAGGTTGCAGTGAGTCGAGATGGCGCCACTGTACTCCAACCTGGGCAACACCAGAGTCTGTCTCTAAAATACAGTAAAATAAAATTAAATTAAGAAGAGTCGATGATCACCATGAAGGGGTGTAGGGACAATCCCTGGCATCAGGAAGTGCCACTACCTCCCTGAGATTCTGCAGACGCCAGCTGTCTGACCTGCCCGTCTGATCTGCAGAGAAGGGACGTTGAGCCCTGGGGTTCTAGCTGGAGTTTCTGGCTTTCTGAGAAAAAAAAGGCAAAATCCCTCCAGACCTGGTCTGGCCCTCTCTCCTTCCAGCTTCTGCTGGTGTTCACTCCCCTCCCCCACAGCCCAGGCCACCCCCACAGGAGCCCGGGACAGGAAGGGGTAAATTCTAGGACTGTGGATGTTTGATTATTCCCAGGACAATAGTTCTCTGACTTCAGTCATTAGTGACTTTTTTCTCCATCGCTGCAATCTCCCCCTTTGAACAACTGAACTATATTTTCCTTAGCATTCATCACTTCTGCATCTTGAATTTACTCATGTAACAAGGAGACTTGATTTCGGCATCCTCACTGAAAAACCCTCCTCATTGCCCCAGATAGTAGGGAAACCTAAAAATAAATATAAATATGAGGAACACAAAACCAAGTCCTTGAATTCTGGCTGGATACAGACACCTGCTAAGCCTCAGGGTCACGGAGGCGCTAAAGACATGTTAGTGCCCAGTGGAGACTTTCCCCTGGGCTCATCGCAGGGACTCCAGGGCTGGGCTGCCGGCCTGTGGATCTGAGTCTCAGCTGGGTGAGTCACTTGTGCCTCAGTTTCCTCCTCTGTCAAATGGGAATGACAACATCATTGCAGATGTTTTAAGGAGTAAATGAGTTAATATAGATTAAAAAAAAAAAGCACTTAGGACCAGACCTGGTACAAATTAAGTGCTCCATAAATAATAGCATTTTCTTGGCAGGATAGCGAGATCTCGTCTCTACAAAAAAAAAAAACACTTAAGGAGAAAACTAGCCAGACGTGATGGTGCACAGCTGTAGTCCCAGCTCCTCAGGAGGCTGAGGCAGGAGGATCCCTTGAGCCCTGAAGTTTGAGGCTGCAGTGAGCTGTGATGGTGACCCTGCACTCCAGCCTGGGTGACAGAGTAAGATCTCTTAAAAATATATATAGCGTTTTAAAAAATGATTACGTACCTCAAGAGACAAGCTAATCATATGATTTATCCAGAAAGGAAAGAACCCTCCTATCACATGATTCTCTGTTGATTAACGAAGTGCCCAGGGGCCTCTGAAATATAAGTTTCCCACAGGAGGAAACTGGCTTAGAAAGACCAGAAAGATCCGGGGGGTCTGCTCTGTGCGGTGAAGCTTCTCTTCTTGGCACCTGCCTGGCATCGGAAGAGGGCCCCTTCTCCCTCCCTGGGCTTTTATGTGGACACTGTAATGCCTCAGTTTTCTTTCTTTCTTTTTGTTTTTGACACAGGGTCTCACTCTATCACCCAAGCTGGAGTGCAGTGGCACCATCTTAGCTCACCGCAGCCTCAAACTCCCCAGCTCGGGTGATTCTTCCTGCCTCAGCCTCCTGAGTAGTAGCAGCTGGGACCACAGACGTCTGCCACCAAGCCCAGGTAATTTTTTTTCTTTTTGAAGAAACAGAGCTTTGCCATGTTGCCCAGGCTGGTCTCAAACTCCTGAGCTCAAGCGATCCTCCTGCCTCGGCCTCCCAGAGTGCTGGGATCACAGGTGTGGAGAAATAGGAACGCTTTTACACTGTTGGTGGGAATGTAAATTAGTTCAACCATTGTGGAAGATAGTGTGGTGATTTCTCAAGGATCCAGAACTAGAAATACCATTTGACTCAGCGATCCCATTGCTGGGTATATACCCAAAGGATTATAAATCATGCTACTATAAAGACATATGCACATGTATGTTTATTGCGGTACTATTCACAATAGCAAAGACCTGGAATCAACCCAAATGTCCATCAATGATAGACTGGATTAAGAAAGTGTGGCACATATACACCAGGGAATACTATGCAGCTATAAAAAAGGATGAGTTCATGTCCTTTGCAGGGACACAGATGAAGCTGAAAACCATCATTCTCAGCAAACTAACACAGAAACAGAAAACCAAACACCACATGTTCTCACTCATAGGTGGGAACTGAGCAATGAGAACACCTGGACACAGGGCGGGAAACATCACACACTGGGGCCTGTCGGGGGGTGGGGGCCTGGGGGAGGGATTGCATTAGGAGAAATACCTAATGTAAATGACGAGTTGATAGGTGCAGCAAGCCAACATGGCACATGTATGCCTATGTATCAAACCTGCTCGTTGTGCACATGTACCCTAGAACTTAAAGTCTAAAAAATTTAATTAATTAATTAATTAATTAATTTAAAAAGAAAGAAAGAAACCGAGCTTCGCCATGTTGCCCAGGCTGGTCTCAAACTCCTGAGCTCAAGCGATCCTCCTGCCTCGCCCTCCCAGAGTGCTGGGATCACAGGCGTGAGCCTCTGTACCTGGCCTCAGTTTCCTCATCTGGAAAACAGCAGGGGAAGATACTGCCAGCTGGGACGCAGGCTCTGCCAACTCTGGCATGCCAAAGCTCTGGGCACAGGGTGAGCCCTACCAAAGTGGGAGCCCAGAGCTATTTCTGACAAGGCCCCTGCGTGCCTGCCCAGGGAAGAGCCAAGTGGCCCCAGGCGAGACCGCCCCGCCCGGCTGCCACACCTTCCCCTGCACAGCAGCCAGCCTGGAACACACAGAGGCCAGAGGGTTGGTCAGAGCCACATGGTGGAAACTCCAGCAGAGGGATTTTTAAAGCAGGTTGCACTTCATTCTTGCTGAGCGAGTACACGTGTGTGTGTGTGTGTGTGTGTGTGTGTGTGTGTGTGTGCAGCGCCCCTGGTTCTGTGTTTTTATTGTGCTTTCCTGCTGGCTTCCAGCTGCACCGCCAGTTCCGGGGAGGGCCCTGGGCCAGCGGCTGTCCGCCCCCCCTCCTTTATAAAGTCCTGGCCTCGGGACAGCCCGCACAGCTGCCCAGCCTGCGGAGACGGGACAGCCCTGTCCCACTCACTCTTTCCCCTGCTGCTCCTGCCGGCAGCTCAGCTGGAACCATGGGAGGCCGCGTCTTTCTCGTCTTTCTCGGTAAGTACTTTGGGGCCCCGCTGGGGGTGGTAGCGAGGAAGCTCCAGCGGGACCCCTTGGATGCGTCTGAGAAACGGGAGGCGCCGCTGGTGTCTGTGGGGCCGGCGATGGAGAAAGCCACATGGTCAAGCAGGCACTCACGGGCACACGGCGAGAGGGGCTGGTGGTGCTTGGGCACCCCCACACCCCGGCAGGAACTCCAGGGTGCTCTCGGAGCCTGCTACCCTGCCCGGAGGGATCCTCAAGCTTTCTACTGGAGCCAGTTTGGCATCTGCTCCATAAGAGGGGAAACTGAGGCACGGGGGAAGGAAAGGGGCAAAAAGTGAGTGCTAGGACCCCAGAGCCACTGCTCTTAATATAGCGCATAGAAAGACATGGGCGGGGGGCGGGGAAAATAGAGGCCAGGACTTCTCCACTGCAGGGTACCCCCAGCTTCTCCCTTCTTTCTCTCTCTCTCTCTGTCTTTCTCCTTCTGTCTCTCTTTCAGTCTCTCTATCTCCCTAATCTCCGTTTTCTCTCTACCTCTGCCTCTTTGTCTCTCTCTCTGGTGAACAACAAGGAGATCCCTAGGTCCCCATCTCTAAAGCCCCTGGTGACCTGAGGAGGGTCCCCCAGGACATGCCTTGGAAAGGGGAACTTCCTGAGTGCTGGGAACCGCAGCGCCACATGCACCCCAACAGGCGGCCACAGCGTTTTCCTGTGGGAGGGGCGCCCGGGGTGAAATATCACCACTGGGTTTCAGGATGGGCCGCCAGGGCTGGCGGCGGTTGTGGTGTGTGTGCACCTGTGTCCCTGAGGAAGCATGCGGTTCCAGGGCATCTTAGAGCCTGGGGGATCCAGCGCCATCATTTTTTTTTTTTTTTTTCTGAGGCGGAGCCTTGCTCTGTCGCCCAGGCTGGAGTGCAGTGGCACGATCTCAGCTTGCTGCAACCTCCGCCTCCTGGGTTCAAGCGATTCTCCTGCCTCAATCTCCCAAGTAGTTGGGTAACAGGAGTCTGCCACCACGCCCAGCTAATGTTTTGTATTTTTAGTAGAGACGGGGTTTCACCATATTGGGCAGGCTGGTCTCGAACTCCCGACCTCAGATGATCTGCCCACCTTGGCCTCCCAAAGTGCTGGGATTACAGTCCCGAGCCACCGTGCCTGACCATGCCTTCATTTTTATCTAAAGAAATGAAGATGGCAGTAAATGCTCAGGCACACCAGACAGCCCCCAAGTCAGAAGAGCGGCAGCTGGAGCTGAGACCCCCACCAGGCTCATGGCCCTTTCCTACTCCTCAGTTCCTTAAACCCCACCCCCAAGCCAAGCTAGGGAGGCTGAGGCAGGAGGATCGCTTGAGGCCAGGAGTTCAAGATCAGCCTGGGCAACAGAGCAAGACTCTGTCTCTAAAATAACTTTTTAAATTATTTTTAATTTTTTTGGCCAGGCGTGATGGCTCATGCCTGTAATCCCAGCACTTTGAGAGGCCAAGGCGGGCAGATCACCTGAGGTTAGGAGTTCAAGACCAGCCTGGCCAACATGGTGAAACCCCATCTCTACTTAAGAAATACAAAAATTAGCTGGGCATGGTGGGTCATGCCTGTAGTCCCAGCCACTCAAGAGGCTGAGGCAGGAGAACCGCTTGAACCCAGGAGGTGGAGATTGCAGTGAGCCAAGATTGCACCACTGCATTCCAGCCTGGGCAACAAAGGGAGACTCCATCTCAAAAAAAAATAAATAATAAAAATAAATAAATCATTTTAAAATTTTTGAGCTGGGAGCCGTGGCTCACACCTGTAATCCTAGCACTTTGGGAGGCCAAGGCCGGCAGATCACCTGAGGTCAGGAGTTCGAGACCAGCCTGGCCAATATGGTGAAACCCCATCTCACTAAAAATACAAAAAATTAGCCAGGCACCATGGTGGGTGCCTGTAGTCCCAGCTATTTGGGAGGTTGAGGCAGGAGAATTGCTTGAACCCAGGAGGTAGAGATTGCAATTAGCCGAGATCGCACCATTGCACTTCAGCCTGGGCGACAGAGCAAGACCCTGTCTCAAAAAGAAAGAAAGAAAATTTAAAATATGGCGGTACTCACCTGTGGTCCCAGCTACTCGGGAGGGTGAGGCAGGGGGATCGCTTGAGCCTAGGAATTGGAGGCTGCAGTGAGCTATAATCGCATCACTGCACCCCAGCCTGGGTGACCCAGAGAGACCCTGTGTCAAACAAAACAAAACAAAACCCACCCCCATGAGGACAGGGTGACAGACTCTCTGGCTTTGAGCATCCGAGTGGGACGTGACATCTGCTCACTCTGTTTGAACGATGGGCAGGATCTGAGCCTGAGAGGGGTCAGCATCCTCCTCCCACAAAGTGCATCACCCTTACGCCTCCTTTCCCACCCTGGGATCCCCTCTGACCCCCTTTCCTTTCTCTGTTGCAGCATTCTGTGTCTGGCTGACTCTGCCGGGAGCTGAAACCCAGGACTCCAGGGGTGAGTCTGCTGGGAAGCAGAAAGCACAGTCCACAGCCAGAGCCTGGGGAGGGTCCTGGACCCCCGCCCAGCCCCCTTCAGCCCAGGGAAAGAGAGGGCTCGTGCACGGGAAACTCAGCGCTCTGCCCCATCTCCCCCAGTGCCCCCTTTTTGTGTATTCCCTTACCCCTCACCTTCTGACCGTGCTCCCTGCTCTTGCAGGCTGTGCCCGGTGGTGCCCTCAGGACTCCTCGTGTGTCAATGCCACCGCCTGTCGCTGCAATCCAGGGTTCAGCTCTTTTTCTGAGATCATCACCACCCCCATGGAGACTTGTGACGGTACAGAGGCTTGAGGGCAGCGCAGGGGACATCTGCGATTATGAGGCATAGCCCAGTGCCAGTGGGGGACAGAGGTTGTTGTGAGGGGCCACAGCCTTACCTTCCAGACTATCATCATGGCCAGAGAAAAGAGAAAGAGGGCAGGTGTGGTGGCTCCCAGCACTTTGGGAGGCAGAGGCGGGTGGATCATTTGAGGCCAGGAATTCAAGACCAGCCTGGGCAACATGGTGAGACCCTGTCTCTACAAAAAATACACAAAATAGCCGCGCATGGTGGCACACATCTGGAGTCCCAGCTACTCAGAAGACTGAGGCGGGAGGATTGTTTGAGCCCAGGAGTTTGAGGTTGCAGTGAGCTATGATTGCACCATTGCACTCTAGCCTGGGCAACAGAGTGAGATCCTGTCTCAGGAAAAAGAAAGAAACAAAGAAAGAGGCCAGGTGTGGTGGCTCATGCCTGTAATCCCAGCACTTTGGGAGGGATTGTCTGGGCAACAGGAGCAAGACCCCATCTCAAAAAAAAAAAAAAAAGACAGAAAGAGAGAAGGAGAGAAAGAAAAGAGAAGAAAAGAAAAAGAGAGAGAGGGAGGGAGGGAAAGAAAAAGGAAAGGAGGGAGGGAGGGAGGGAGGAAAGAAGGAAGGAAGGAAGGGAGGAAAAAGGAAAAAATATGAAGGGGGAGAAGTAAGAAGTGAATAGGCATGGCTTCCTGGAGAGAGAGAAGCTGCGTGCTCAGGAATCTGGAGTCTGTGCCTCAGTTTACCGTTAAGACTGGGAAGGGGGTACATTCTGGCCATAGGTTTTTTTTTCTCCCTTATTTTTCTTTTTTCTTTTTTTTTTTGTTTTTTTTTTTTTTTTTTGAGATGGAGTCTCACTCTGTCGCTCAGGCTGAGGAGTGCAGTGGCGCGATCTCGGCTCACCGCAACCTCCACCTCCCAGGTTCAAGCGATTCTTCTGCCTCAGCCTCCCGAGTAGCTGGGATTACAGGCATGCACCACCATGCCCGGCTAGTTTTTGTATTTTTAGTAGAGATGGGGTTTTGCCCTGTTGGCAGGCTGGTCTCGAACTCCTGACCTCAAGTGATCTGCCGGCCTCGGCCTCCCAAAGTGCTGGGATTACAGGTATGAGCCACTGCACCCGGCTGCCATGGGGTTTAAATTTCTACAAAAAGACTGGGGATGGGGATATGGCGCTTCCTGTCCATCCCCCACCTCAGCACTGTCCACTGTGTCCAAATCTAGGATGCCAGCCAGAGAACTGAGATCAAGTGTGGTCTTCAGGAATGGCCTGCTCCAGCTGCAGCATAGCCTGTGCAGTGCAACTTGAGATCCTTTCCAAAAGATACTAAGCAGCAGGCCCCATGTTGGGGAGTCAGGACGGGGGTCTCTGCCCTGACGGAACTCACATCTTTGGGAGATGACCTCCTGTCCTGTTGTGTTCCAGACATCAACGAGTGTGCAACACTGTCGAAAGTGTCATGCGGAAAATTCTCGGACTGCTGGAACACAGAGGGGAGCTACGACTGCGTGTGCAGCCCAGGATATGAGCCTGTTTCTGGGGCAAAAACATTCAAGAATGAGAGCGAGAACACGTGTCAAGGTAAGAACCACCCCACATCCTCCATCACCACTGTCCATGAGGTTTGGGGTCACCAGAGCTGTTTCTGCAGCATCCAGGGAGCAGGTACCCAAGTATAGGTTCAGTTCCTGGAGTCTGAGATGAGACAGGTGTGCATGTACCTGTTTCGCCAGCCCAGAGAGGCAGCGTGGTGTGAAGGCCAAGGGAAAACTCTGGGACCAGCTACCTGGGCCCAAATCCTGGCTTTGCCACCTGTTACCTAAATGATATTACCAACATCACTACTGCTCTTAGAGCCTTGGTTTACCCATCTATAAAATGAGGATGATAATAATGGCCTACTCCTATGCCTTCTAGGAGGACCAAGGAAAGAATAGGTGCTTCTAACAGAGCCCAGCACACAGCAGGTGCTACAGGCATCTTCATTCTTTAAACGTTATTATGCACTGTAATCCCAGCACTTTGGGAGGCCGAGGCGGATGGATCACGGGGTCAGGAGATCGAGACTATCCTGGCCAACATGGTGAAACCCTGTCTCTACTAAAAGTACGAAAATTAGCCGGGTGCAGTGGTGGGTGCCTGTAATCCCAGCTACTCAGGAGGCTGAGGCAGGAGAATCACTTGAACCAGGGAGTCGGAGGTTTCAGTGAGCGGAGATCGTGCCACTGCACTCCAGCCTGGTGACAGTGCAAGACTCCATCTAAAATAAATAAATAAATAAATAAATAAATAAATAAATAAGCAATGGATGCCTTTTAGGAGTTGTTCAGACAAGCTGGGCTCCTGTGGGGCCACACTCCTGGCTGGCACTCAGAAGAAATCTATTTCGACACAGCCTGCCTCATCCCTTGCCATGGTCTTATTCCACACTGCAGCTCCAGCCCATGAGAAGCCAGGCCCCCATGCATCACTCTGCTTTGCCTTCTTTCCAGTGGGAACTAGTTGGGTGCGGGAGGGAGCTTCAGACATCTGCAAGGCCAGATGGGAACCAGTAGCAGGTGGACAGAGAAGGGAGATTAACACAGAGTACACAGAGTGGGAAGGGAAGGTGAGCAAAGGCAGGAAATGAAGAAGCTGAGGCTGAGCCAAGGGTCCCAGGGGACATTAAGGGGGTTCAGCAGACCTGCCCTGCTGTAAAGAGAAAAGTGGCAGTGCTCCTGTTCCCAGCCCTGTCCCTCCTGTTCTCCCTGCAGTCAGTAGAGCCTCCCTGGTGGGAGGAAAGTGAGGACAGAGCAGAGGTGTACGTTCTGAGAGCACGCAGCTGCATAGAGCCCAGCAGGGGGGCTGGTTCACAGGGGTCCCCTGTGAACAGATGCTACATTGCATGCACATATCTTGACCAAAGGACAGAGCCTTCCTGTGAATTAGAAAAAGGACTCTCCGGGCCAGGCACAGTGGCTCACGCCTGTAATCCCAGCACTTTGGGAGGCTGAGGCGGGTGGATCACCTGAGGTCAGGAGTTCAAGACCAGCCTGACAAACATAGTGAAACCCCATCTCTACTAAAAAATACAAAAGTTAGCCAGGCATAGTGGTGAGCACCTGTAATCCCAGCTACTCAGGAGGCTGAGGCAGGAGAATCACCTGAACCCAGAGGCAGAGGTTGCAGTGAGCCAGGATCTCAATATTGCACTCCAGCCTGGGTGACAGAGCAAGACTTTGTCTCAAAAAAAAAAAAAAAAAAAAAAAAAAAAGAAAAGAAAGAAACAAAAAGAAAAAGAGAAACAGAAAAGCCTCTCCTCTCCAGGTAGACACAGCCCCATTTGGGGAATGGAGAGGTTTTCAGCCTCTGCTCACCGCCTTGGCTGGGCATCCATATGTAGTCAGCAACCTACACAACTGTACGTGGTGGTCATGGGTCCTTGTCAGTGAGAGCCTCTGTTTTAGTCTATGTTGTGTTGCTATAAAGGAATACATGAGGCTGGATCATGTATAAAGAAAAGAAGCTGATTTGGCTCATGGTTCTGCAGGCCATGTAAGACACATGGCTCCAGCATCTGCTTCTGGTGAGGGCCTTAGGGAGCTTCCACTCTTGGCAGACGGGAAAGGGGAAGCTGGCATCCCATGGCAAGAGGAAGGAAGCAAGAGAGAAGGGAGGAGATACCAGGCTTTTTCCAACAAGCAGTTTTCATGGGAACTAACAAGGCGAGAACTCACTCATGACCCAAGGACAGCACCGAGATGTTCATGAGGGATCTGCACTCAGGACCCAAACACCTCCCACGAGGCTCCATCTCCAACACTGGGGATCACATTTCAACGTGAGATTTGGAGGGGACAAATATCCAAACTGTATCACCGCATGCACAGGTGGTGTTTGTAATTATTGAGGAGGTGTGTTGCCATGTTAGAAACAGGCCAGCACTGGCCGGGCGCAGTGGCTCATGCCTGTAATCCTAGCACTTTGGGAGGCCGAGGTGGGCGGATCACAAGGTCAGGAGATCGAGACCATCCTGGCTAACATGGTGAAACCCCGTCTCTACTACAAATACAAAAAAATTAGCTGGGCGTGGTGGTGGGTGCCTGTAGTCCCAGCTAATCAGAGACTGAGGCAGGAGAATGGCATGAACCTGGGAGGCGGAGCTTGCAGTAAGCCGAGATGGCACCACTGCACTCCAGCCTGGACGACAGAGCGAGACTCCGTCTCCAAAAAAAAGAAAAGAAAAGGAGAGAAGAGAAGAGAGAAAAGAAAAGAGGCCAACACTGAGAGAGGGGGCTTAGTTGGTGGATAGGCAGAGACACAGATGAGCAGGAATGAAGTGGGAGAGGGCTCTCATGGACCCCATCCGCACAGAACAGCCTGCTAGTTCGGAGCAGGACCTGCCTCTTGAAGCCTCAGCTCAGGGAAGGGCTCCGTGGGGCCCTGTCTGCATCCCCCTCACCCCTCAGCATTCTTGTTTTTTTTGTCTACCTGGTGTCACAGGCCTCATAGGCAGGAGACCTGGGGCCACTCCCTCAGCTCCTTGCCCCACTTACTCCAGGCATCACAGGGCCGTCCCAAACACCTGGTCACCTGTCGCTATCCAAACCTCAAGGTTCAGAACCCTCCACAGAGGGTCACTTCCAAAAGCTCAGAACATCCCCCTGCCCATCTGGCATCTTATTTGTTTGTTTTGTTTTGTTTTATTAGTAAAGATGGGGGGGGGGTGTCTCACCATGTTGTCCAGGCTGGTCTCGAACTCCTGGCCTCAAGTGATCCGCCCGTCTCAGCCTCCCAAAGTGCTGGGATTGCAGGCGTGAGCCACCATGTCCGACCTGGTATCTTATTTGTACAAAACAAAAAGGGGGCTGGCACTCAGGATATTCGATGAGCTCACTGCGTGGTGCATTCCAGCGCAGTATCCATTCTCTCTGCTATCATCAGCGACTGCCAGGATGAGACAGTCTCCACACAGCTCTGCTCACCTGGAACTCTCTCTGATCCCCCAGCTCATCATGGACCCAGGCACCCTGTCCAGAAATGAAGGAGGAGGGAGATTTGAAGGCAGGGCCACTGTCCCCAGTCGAACCTGCCACTGGCCAACAACCCCACCTGGAGAAGATGCCTCGTGGAGCCCTGACCTCTTTTTCTGCCACTCAGTCTCTGTCCCTTTCACTGAGCGAGACTGCCCTGACCCTTCCTGATAGTTTTGGTCCACCTGAGTGCACTGGAGGATGTTGTGGCTAACGGTGGGCACAGTGACATGGACTCCCCATACTTGGAGAGTTGAGTGAATGGAAGAGGCACTAGTGTGGACCCAATGGCAAGAGAGGTTAACATCAGGGCCATTGCTCCAAGCCTGATCCTCTCCCAGGAGGTCAACCCAGATCCCATGGGAGTGGAACCATTCAGAAATAGGTCTGTGTCCCTGGTGGAATGCCAAGAGATGAGATGACAGATACACCTCCATCTTTGCCCATCAGCATCTGTGCCCCTCTCCAGCCACTAAACCTTCACCCAGGGCCAGTCTTTCTCAGCTATGGATTCTCACTACATCCTGCCATTTCCAAGACACCTTCCTGAGGATCAAAAAAAGGCACCTTCACAGCCCTGGGGCAACCCAGCTGTATGTCGGTCCCCACTGTCCACCCTGGCCTGGGACCCACTGTCCAGGCAGCCCTGGCCTATGCAGCACCAGACTCATGCTCCCCTGGGGACTGGCTCAGGGGCCAGTCTTGGTCCATGTGCCTGGAGCTGGGCTCTCAGAGCTAGTGTGGATGGGAGAGCACCATCCTGCTAGGGCCACCGGGATTCTGATAACTCAGCCAGTGAGCAGCTGTCCTGGGGAAATCAAGGCCACCAGAAGCAGATGCTGGAGCCATGCATCTTACACAGCCTGCAGAACCATGAGCCAAATAAACTTCTTTTCTTGCAACACAAAACGGACTAAACCAGAGGGTTCTCACTGAGAAGGACCCATGACCACCATGTACAGTTGCATAGGCTGCTGACTGCATATGGATGCCCAGCCAAGAGGGTGAGCAGAAGCTGAAAACCTGCCTACTCTCCATTCCTCAAATATGACTGTGACTACTTGAAGAGGAGATGCCTTTTTCCAATTCACAGGAAGGCTCTGTCCTTTGGCCCAGGACTGCCACTGGGAACCAAGACAGGTCCTACCTGGGCAAGCAGCATGCCCCCTGCACTTGGTCCCAAGAAAATCCCACCCTGACCTTTGTCCTGAATCCTCAGGCTGGGACATCCCTGCCCCAGCTGGGAGCTGCCCAGGGAGGCAGGGGAGATGGGGAGGACTCAGATGCTTCCAGCCATATCTGAACAACAGAAGGCCTGGGCCACCATGCTCACCATGGGACACCTCTGTGTGGATTAGAAAAGGGAGGAGATGGCCAGGCATGGTGGCTCATGCCTGCAATCCCAGCACTTTGGGAGGCCGAGGTGGGCTGATCACGAGGTCAGGAGATCAAGACCATCCTGGCTAACACGGTGAAACCCCGTCTAATACTAAAAATACAAAAAATTAGCCGGGCATGGTGGCGGGCGCCTGTAGTCCCAGCTATTCGGGAGGCTGAGGCAGGAGAATGGCGTGAACCCGGGAGGCGGAGGTTGCAGTGAGTTGAGATCAGGCAATTGCACTCCAGCCTGGGTGACAGAGCAAGACTCCGTCTCAAAAAAAAAAAAAAGAAAGAAAGAAAAGAAAAGGGAGCAGACAGTGGTGCCTTCCAGATGCTTCCGTGCCAGGAAACATGGCGGACCCTCAGCCCCGAAAGCTGCTCACAGCTACGGGCATTCTTCACCCTCTCCTTCCTCTTGCAGATGTGGACGAATGTCAGCAGAACCCAAGGCTCTGTAAAAGCTACGGCACCTGCGTCAACACCCTCGGCAGCTACACGTGCCAGTGCCTGCCTGGCTTCAAGCTCAAACCTGAGGACCCGAAGCTCTGCACAGGTAGAGGCCCCAGGAAGACGCTGTGAGGCTGGACGGGAGCTGGGGATGGAGCTGAGTCAGGTCCTCCAAAGCAGCCGAGGAGGAGGGAGAAGATCCGCAGGTTCCCACAAGGTCAAGGACCTGCTAAGCCCCTGCCTAAGGATTCACCTCCCAGGAAGGACTCGCCACACGGCAGGGAGGCGGCAGGGCCTTCAGGGCTTGGAGTGCCCTTGTGGGCCCCCAGACCTCACCCCTTCCTCATCTGTCACGTGCGAGTGGAAGAAGGTGTCACTTCCAGTTCTAAGAAGGGGAACCTCCACCATAGTGAGGGAGGGAGCAGGAGAGAGATTTTAGTCAGAAAGTCCAGCTCCCATGACTCAGTTTCCCTTTTGGTTTCACCTCCTATAAACTGGGGACCATGGTCCCTGCTGTGCCCATCTGGTAGGAAGACCATCATAAGATGCTTTGAAGGTGAAGTTGAAGGTCACCAAGTGGTGGCACGTGCAATAATGGTCTTCAGTCTGAGGCAATGAAAAGATAGGGGAGTGGGTGCAGTGAGTGGAGGGCAGGCCCAGGCTGGTCAGGGACAGGGTTTGACCCTCTGGCTTTGTCCTCAGATGTGAATGAATGCACCTCCGGACAAAACCCATGCCACAGCTCCACCCACTGCCTCAACAACGTGGGCAGCTATCAGTGCCGCTGCCGCCCGGGCTGGCAACCGATTCCGGGGTCCCCCAATGGCCCAAACAATACCGTCTGTGAAGGTCGAGAGCTCAGATCCCACGTTCCCAGAGACCCACAAACATCTGATCACATGTTCAACGGCGCCCACACAAACCAAGCAGAATGAGCGCTGGAGGCGCCCGACTGTGTCAGGCGTTCATTCTTCTGAGGCTAGATGAGAAAAGAGCAAGGGTCCTGCGGAAGGAGCTGGGGTACTGAGGGGGGAGGCTCAGGGGGACCCCAGGCAACAGCTGATGACTCACTGGGAGGAAGGCGTTTCACCATATTCATAACCTGCTCATCTGCACGGGGCCCACCTGCTGTGCCCAGGCCTCTCCACGCTTCCATAACCCAGCGTCCACCTCTCCAAGGGGGGCACTAATGCCGGGAGGAACGAGCTGGGGGCACAGACAGGAGACAGGACCCTCTCCAGGCTGGGACAGGACCTGACCCCCTTCTTCCTGTCCTCAGATGTGGACGAGTGCAGCTCCGGGCAGCATCAGTGTGACAGCTCCACCGTCTGCTTCAACACCGTGGGTTCATACAGCTGCCGCTGCCGCCCAGGCTGGAAGCCCAGACACGGAATCCCGAATAACCAAAAGGACACTGTCTGTGAAGGTATGACCTGGCCCTAGAAGCTCCCCACCCCCAGCACACACACTGACACGCTCCCGCCTAATGAGCCGCTTGTCTTGTTCCCTACAGATATGACTTTCTCCACCTGGACCCCGCCCCCTGGAGTCCACAGCCAGGTGAGTGGCCCCCACAGGGACGAGGCGGCGGGAACTCCATCCACACAGCACTGCATCCGTCTCCTTGTTCTAAACTTCCCACCCGCCGTCCAGGCTCTCTGACCCCCACATCTCCTCTCTCTGCAGACGCTTTCCCGATTCTTCGACAAAGTCCAGGACCTGGGCAGAGACTACAAGCCAGGCTTGGCCAATAACACCATCCAGGTAAGGACAGGACCCAGGGCAAGGGGGCGAGGCAGGAAGGTGGCTGCATCCCACAGAGGCCTGGGGCAGTTTGGGTCTGGGAGGGGACAGGACCCAATGCAGTGGGTGCTGGTCTGACTCCCAGCATCTTTCAGGGCTGGTGGAAGCTAATGGACACCCAAGTGCACTTAATATCTTTCCTCTTGCTTTCCCTGGACTTTGGGTTTAGGTCAGCATTGATATTGCACAGAAGTGTTGGCCTCTGAGGGGCCATAACCAGAGTCAAGGATCACCTAGGGAATCCCATCCAATGTCATTTTTTTTTTAGACGGAGTCTCACTCTGTCGCCAGTCCAGAGTTTAGTGGCCCGATCTCAGCTCACTGCAGTCTCTGCCTCCCGGGTTCAAGCGATTCTCCTCCCTCAGCCCCCTGAGTAGCTAGGATTACAGGCACACGCCACCACGCCCGGCTAATTTTTGTATTTTTAGTAGAGACGGGGTTTCACCATGTTGGCCAGGATGGTCTCGATCTCCTGACCTTGTGACCCACCCTCATCGGCCTCCCAAAGTGCTGGAATTAGAGGCGTGAGCCACCGCGCCCAGCCGCCAATGCCATCTTCATCCCCCAGATAGACAGTCTCTAGGATCTGTTCCCTGGGGCTGAGCGGTTGGAGTCTTCATGCGGGCCCTCTGGCCCATGGCTCACTAGGTCTGTGTCCACATCCCTCCAGAGCATCTTACAGGCGCTGGATGAGCTGCTGGAGGCCCCTGGGGACCTGGAGACCCTGCCCCGCTTACAGCAGCACTGTGTGGCCAGTCACCTGCTGGATGGCCTAGAGGATGTCCTCAGAGGCCTGAGCAAGAACCTTTCCAATGGGCTGTTGAACTTCAGTTATCCTGCAGGCACAGGTAGGTCCCTGGGTCTGCCCCAGACTCCAGCTCTGCATGTTTTCTGTCTCCTTCCTTTCCCAGTCCCACCAGAGCCAAGTGACCACACCTGTATATCAGTGTTACTCTCATCGACAAACTAAAATAAGAGATTAAAAAGAAATACATACCAGTCTGGACAAGATGGCAATACTCAATCTCTACAAAAAAAAAAAAATCTTTTAAATTAGACAGATGTGATGGCACAACTGTGGCCCCAGCTAGTTGGGAGGCTGAGGTGAGAGGATCGCTTGAGCCCAGGAGGTTGAGTCTGCAGTGAACTATGATTGCATCACTGTACTCCAGCCTGGTTCACAGGGCAAGACCCCATCTCAAAAAAGAGAAGACGAAGAGGAGGAGGAGGAAGAAGAAGAAGAAGAGAAGGAGGAGGAGGTGAAGAGGAGGAGGAGGATAAAGAGGAAGAAAAAGGAGGAAGAGGGCAGGAGGGGGAGGACAGAAGGAGGAGGACAGGAGGAGAGGAGGGGAGGAGGAAGAGGAGGAAAGAGGATGGGAGGAGGAGGACAAGAGGAAGAGGACGGGAGGAGGAGGACAGGATGGGGAGGAGAGGAGGAGGAGAGAAGGAGGAGGAGAGGAGGAAGAGGAGGAATGGAGAAAGAGAGGAGGAGGAGAAAAGGAGGAGGAGAGGAGGAGGAGGAGAGGAGAAGGAGGAGGAATGGAGGAGGAGAGGAGGCAGAGGAAGATAGGAGGAGGAGAAGGAGAAGAGGAGGAGAAGAGAAGGAGGAGAGGAGGAGGAGACGAGAAAGAGCGGAGGAGAGGAGGAGAGGAGGAGGAGCACAGGAGGAGGAGGAGAGGAGTAGAGGAAGAAGGAAGAATAGAAAGAAGGAAAGGAAAGGAAAAAGAAATGCATAAATAACATGCATTTTCATTGTAATATGAATTATCAGCAGTAAATAATTATGATGAAGAATTTAAAATAACAAAATAGAAATCACTTCAAAAGAGAACAATTTATTTAATTTGGAATACTATAAATTAATATCATTTGATCTCTAAGTATGATTTCTTTCTTGTTTGTTTTTGTTTGTTTTGTTTTGTTTTGTTTTGTTTTTTTGAGACAGAGTCTCACTCTGTCGCCCAGGCTGGAGAGCAGTGACGTGATCTCGGCTCACTGCAAGCTCCGCCTCCTGGGTTGACAGCATTCTCCTGTCTCAGCCTCCCGAGTAGCTGGGACTACAGGTGCCCGCCACCACGCCCAGCTAATTTTTTGTATTTTTAGTAGAGACGGGGTTGCACCGTGTTAGCCAGGATGGTCTCTCGATCTCCTGACCTTGTGCATAATCCACTTGCCTCGGCTTCCCAAAGTGCTGGGATTACAGGCGTGAGCCACCACGCCCGGCCTGCATAATAATTTTTAAAGCATGAAAATGCATATAGCATTAATTTTATTAAGATAAAATTCACATAACATCAAGTTCACCACTTTAAAGTGTCTGTTTCACGTGGGGCGTGCCTGTAATGCCAGGCGCTCACACCTGTAATCCTAGCACTTTGGGAGGCTGAAATGGGTGGATCACTTGAGGTCAGGAGTTCAAATCCAGCCTGGCCAACATAGTGAAACCCCATCTCTACTGAAAATACAAAAATTAGACAGGCGTGGTGGTGCACACCTGTAATCCTAGCTACTCAAGAGGCTGAGGCAGGAGAATCACTTGAGCTTGGGAGGCAGAGGTTGCAGTGAGCCAAGTTTGCACCACTGCACTCCAGACTACGTGAGACAGAGTGCCACTCCATCTCAAACAAAAAAATTAAAATTAAAAATAAAAATAAGAAAAAATTTTAAAAGCGTGTGTTTCGGTAGAATCTAGTATATTCAGAAAGTTATACAACCGTCACCTCTATTTCTAAAATGCTTGCATCAGCCCAAAAGTGAACACTGCACATGGTAAGCAACCACTCCTCATTCCTCCCTTCCTCCAACCCATGGCAGCCGCTAATCTGCTTTCTGTTTCCATGGATTTTCCTAATCAGGATATCTCACATAAATGGAATCATACAATATGTGACCATCTAGTCTAGCTCCTTTCACCTAGCATAATGGTTTTGAGGTTCATGCATGCCATAGCATTTATCAATATTTCATTCTTTTTCATGGCTGAATACTATTCTATTGTATGAATACATCACTTTTTTTTTTTTTATCCATCCATCCATTGATGGACATTTGGGTTGTTTCCACCTTTTGGCTGTTGACAAAAAGAGTCAAACTCTGTAAAATATTTGAAGAGATTTATTGTGAGCTAAATATGAATGTATGACTGACCATGGCCCGTGACACAGCCCTCAGGAGCCCCTGAGAACATATTCCCAAGTGAAGTGGTGTTGTTTTCTGGGGTAATACCTGAGGTTCATTGCCTCATGCCAAGAAAATTAAGGACACAGACACACACCAGGAGTGAGTTTATGAGTGGAGGTTTAATAGGCAAAAGAAAGAGAAAGGAGAACAACTCTCTCTCTTGTGAGAGAAAGGAATGCCCAAATGGGACTTCCCACCCATGCCAGAGGGCACCGGATTTTATAGACAGGCTTGAGGAGGCAGTGTCTAATTTACATAGGGCCCAAAGATTGGTTGGAACAGGTGTGACGTTTACATAAGGTGCAGGGAAGCTGGCTGCCCCACCCTAATCTTATTATGCAAATGGAGTCTTCGCCAGCTCCTTACTGTATACGTGGTTGGCAAAGAGATGGGAAGATGGAGCCGCCATTTTCAACATGCCTAGTCCCAGGTGGCCTTTTCCTATTGGCACAGCTGCCAGCATTCACCTGTGCAGGCTTCCAGCTTGCTTGCCTATGTCTGCAGCTCGATTTTACAGGCTGCTCTTTGTTAGAAAAAAAAAAAATGATATAGGGGCTGATTTTCATTAAAAGGAAAGACTTACCCAGGACTTCCTTACCCACACTCTCTGCCTAAATAATTCCTTTTTAACTTCTATATCACAAGGTAGTCGTGGTACAGCTTGTTGTGATTGTTGTTGTTGTTGTCTTCTGTTGGAGACAGAGTCTTGCTCTGTCAACCAGGCTGGAGTGCAGTGGTGCGATCCTGGCTCACTGTAGACTCCACCTCCCGGGTTCAAGCGATTCTCCTGCCTCAGCCTCCCAAGTAGCTGGGACTACAGGCGCCCGCCACCACGCCCGGCTAATTATTTTGTGTGTTTTCAGTAAAGACAGGGTTTCGCCATGTTAACCAGGATGGTCTTGATGTCCTGACCTCGTGATCCGCCTGCCTCGGCCTCCCAAAGTGCTGGGATTACAGGCGTGAGACACCACGCCTGCCCCCGCAACTTGGTTTTATACATTTTAGGGGGACATGAGACATCAATCAAATATGTTTAAGCTATACATTGGTTCAGTCCAGAAATGCAGGACAATTTGAAGTGGAGGTGTGGGGCGGGTGCTTCCAGATTATAGGTAGATTTAAGCTTTTCTGATTGGCAGTTGGTTGAAGGAGTTATTATCCATAGAAAAGAATGTCTGGAATACGATAAGGGGCTGTAAAGGCTGAAGTTGTATCATCCAGATGAACTCTTCAGGTATCAGGCTTCAGAGAGAATAGATGGTAAATGTTCCTTATTAAGCTTCAGGTCTGTGTTATGTTAAATGCTGGTCAGCTTTTCCTCAACTCCAAAAGGGAGGAGGGCATGACACATGTCAGACCCCCCACTTCCCACCATAGCCTGAACTAGTCTTTCCAGTTAAATTTAGAGTGCCCTGGCCAAAAAGGAAGTCCATTCAGATGGTTTTGAGGGGGGCGGGAGAGGACTTCGAATTTTTTTTTTTTGTTTAGATGGCTGGTGTGAATAGTGCTCTTATGAATATTAGTGGACACATTTTGGGTTGAATAACTGTCTTCAGTTCTTTGGGGTATATACTAAGGAGTGGAATTGCTGGGTGATATGGTAATTCTATGTTCAGCTTTTGGAGGAACCACCAAACTTTTTCCAAAGCAGCTGCATCATTCTAATTCCCCACCAGAAACATACACGGGTTATCCTCTCCACACCTTCAGCAAAACTTGTTACTTCCGTTTTCTTTTGTTCTGTTTTTAATTGCTTTTATTGATACATAAATCTTACATATTTATGGGTACATGTGATACTTTGTTGCTTGCCTAGAATGTGTAACGATCAAGTCAGGGTATCTCAGGTATCCACCACTTTGAGTACTTATCATTTGTATGTGTTGGGAACAATTGAAGTCCTCTTTTGTAACTACTTTGAAATACATCATACAGTCTTGTTAATTATAGTCACTCTGCTCTGCTGTCAAACAATAGAACTTGGGCCGGGCACGGTGGCTCACGCCTGTAATCCCAGCACTTTGGGAGGCCGAGGTGGGAGGATCACGAGGTCAGGAGATCGACACCATCCTGGCTAACAGGGTGAAACCCCATCTCTACTAAAAATACAAAAAATTAGCCAGGCGTGGTGGCGGGTGCCTGTAGTCCCAGCTACTCGGGAGACTGAGGCAGGAGAATGGCGTGAACCTGGGAGGCGAAGCTTGCAGTGAGCCAAGATGGTGCCACTGCACTCCAGCCTGGGTGACAGAGTGAGACTCCGTCTCAAAAAAAAAAAAAAAAAAAAATCTGCTTAATAAGCGGAGAGGTGGCTGGCTTGGTGGCTCACACCCGTAATCCTAGCACTTTGGGAGGTCAAGGCAGGCAGATCACCTGACATCAGGAGTTTGAGCCCAGCCTGGCCAATATGGTGAAACCCTGGCTATTAAAAATACAAAAATTAGCTGGGCTTAGTGACACGTGCCTGTAATCCCAGCTACCTGGGAAGCTGAGGCAGGAGATTCGCTGGAACCCAGGAGGCAGAGGCTGCAGTGAGCTGAGATCGTGCCACTGCACTCCAGCCTGGGTGACAGAGTGAGACTCCGTCTAAAAAAAAAAAATATATATATATATATGTATAACTTATACTTTTTGTCTAACTGTATGTCTCTACCTGTTAACTCACCTCTCTTCATCCCAGTGATACAGGAGTGAAAAAGAAATTATTTAGGCAGTTAGCAAGGGTCAGAGAGTCCTCAGTAAGGTTTCCCTTTTAATAAAAACCAGCCCCCAAATCATTTCTTTTCTAATAACGAGCAGCCTGAAAATTCGAGCTGCAGACATAGAAAAGCAAGCTGGAAGCTTGCACGGGTGAATGCCGGCAGCTGTGCCAATAGGAAAAGGTTACCTGGGGGCCCGACATGTTCAACGTGGGGGCTCCCTCTTCCTTTATCTTTGTCAACCACGTGTACAGTACAGAAGCAGGCAACGTGGAGCCAGCCAGGTAGAGAATCCATTTGCATAATAAAAGATTAGGCTGGGGCAGCCAGTTTCTTCATGCTGTATGTAAATGGCTCACCTGTTCAGACCAATCTTTAAGCCTTATGTAAATCGGACACCGCCTACCCAAGCTCATCTATAAAACTTCGTGCATTTCACCACGCAACCGGAAGACCCACTTGGGAGCCCCTGTCTCTCTGCAGGAGAGGGAGTTATTCTCTTTTTCCTTTTTTTTTTTTTGAGACGGAGTCGTGCTGTGTCCCGCAGACTGCAGTGCAGGGGCGCGATCTCGGCTCACTGCAAGCTCCGCCTCCCGGGGTCACGCCATTCTCCTGCCTCAGCCTCCGGAGTAGCTGGGACTACAGGCGCCCACCACCATGCCCAGCTAATTTTTTTGTATTTTTAGTAGAGACGGGGTTTCACCGTGTTATCCAGGTTGGTCTCGATCTCCTGACCTCGTGATCCTCCCGCCTCAGCCTCCCAAAGTGCTGGGATTACAGGCGTGAGCCACTGCGCCCAGCCAGAGCTATTCTTTTTTTCTTTCGCCTATTAAATCTCCACTCTTAAACTAACTTCTTATGTGTCCACATCCTCAATTTCCCTGGTGTGAAACAGTGAAACTTGGGTATTTACACCACTTCACTAGTGAGATGATACCTCATTGTGGTTTTGATTTGCCCTTCCCTGATAACTAATGATGTTTAACATCTTTTCATGTGTTTGCTCACCATTTGCATGTCATTTTTGGAGAAATGTCTATTCAAATCCTTTGCCTATTTTTAATTGTGCTGTTTGTCTTTTGGTTGTCCAGTTGTAAGCATTCTTTAAACATTCTGATAGTAGATCATCTGAGATGAATGATTTGCAAAATATTTTCTCCCGTTCTGTAGATTGTCTTTTCATTTTCTTGTCTTTTCACTTTAATGAATAGAAGTTTTAAATCTTGAAGACATTTATTTTATCTAATTTTTCTTTTGTTGCATGTGCAATTGGTGTCATATTTAAGAATTCATTGACAGGGGGTGGTGGCTCACGCCTGTAATCCCAGCACTTTGGAAGGCCAATGTGGGCGGATCACCTGAGGTCAGGAGTTTGAGACCAGCCTGGCCAACAAGGCGAAACCCTGTCCTTACTAAAAATAAAAATAAAAATAATTAACCAGATGTGTTGGCACATGACTGTAATCCTAGCTACTCAGGAGGCTGAGGCAGGAGAATTGCTTGAACCTGGGACACGGAGGTTGCAGTGAGCTGAGATTGTGCCACTACACTCCAGCCTGGATGACAGAGCAAGACTCTGTCCCAAAAATAAAAATAAAAAAAGAATTCATTACCGCATCCAAGACCAGGAAGATTTACCCCTGTTTCCTCCTAAGTGTTCTAGTTTTAGCTTCTAAGCTTAGGTCACTGGCTTATTTTGAGTTAATTTTTGTTTGTTGTGTGAGGGTAGGGTTAAAACTTCCTTATTTTCATGTTACTATCCAGTAATCCCAGCACTATTTGTTGAAGAGATTATTCTTTCCCCCATTGTATAGTCTTGGCACCCCTTGTTGAGAATCAACTGACCATAAGATGGATGGGTTTATTCCTGGACTCTCAATTCTATTCTGTTGTGTCCTTATGCCAGTATTACTGTCAGTTTGTAGTAAGTTTTGGAATCAGGTAGTGTGAATTCTCCAACCTTCTTGTTCTTCTTCAAGATTGTTTTTGGGTATTTGGATTCCTTACAACACCATATGAATTTTAAGATGAACTTTTCTTATTCTGCAAAGTAATAATAGGCTAAAATATTGATAGGGATTGCATTGAGTCTCTAGACCACTTTGGGGGAGTATTGTTATCTTAACAATAGAAAGTCTTCCAATCCATGAACATAGGCTGTCTTTCCATTTAGAGAGGGCCTTTTATTTCTTTCAAACACTTTTGTAGGCCAGAAGCAGTGGCTCACGCCCAATATTGTCAGAGGCCACCAAGGTGGGAGAATTGCTTGAGCCCAGGAGTTCAAGCCCAGCCTTGGAAATATACTGAAACATGATCTCCACAAAAAATTTAAAAATTAGCTGGCTGTGGTAGTGAGCACCTGTAGTGCCAGCTACTTGGGAGGCTGAGGTGGAAGGATTGGTTGAGCCCAGGAGACTGCAGTGAGCTATGATCATGCCACTGCACTCTAGCCTGACCAACAGGTGAGAATTTGTCTCAAAAAAAAAAAAATACTCAAAAAACTTTCCTATAAGTCTTGAGTCTCCTTCGTAAAATGTATTCCTAACATTTTTGCTGAAAATTTTTGCATCTATGTCCATAAGAAATATTGGTCTATAATTTTATTTTCTTGTGATGTCTTCATCTGGTTTTGTTATCAGAGCAATATTAGACTCATAAAATTACTTAAATAGTGTTTCCTCCTCTTCCATATTTTTAAAAAGGTAAAAGATTCATGTTCATTCTTTCTTAAGCTATTGGTAGAACTCACCAGTGAAGTCATCTGGTCTGGGCTGTTAGTTTTGAGAGGTTTTGATTACTGATTTAATCTGTTATAGGTCTGTTCAGATCTTCTATTTCTTCTTGAGTTGATTTCAGTGGTTTGTGTGTCACTAGGAATGTGTCCATTTCATCTAGGTTACCTACTTTGTAGATATACAGTTGCTCACACTATTCTCTTCCGATATTTTGTAACTTCAGACTATATATGTATATAGTATATATATTAAGTCATAGTATATCAACCACTGCAGGCACGATTCCTAACCTAACCCCCCTTATGTAATTCCCACAACTCATAGAATTGTCCCTGGAGGTGCAGAAGCAAGTAGACAGGAGTGTCACCTTGAGACAGAATCAGGCAGTGATGCAGCTCGACTGGAATCAGGCACAGAAATCTGGTGACCCAGGTAATGGCTGAGATGGGGAGGTGGTCAGTGAAGCTTCATGGTGGGAAAAGATGCCCAAGAATGTGAAAAATAAGAAATTTAAAGATTAAAGGGAAGTGTGGGATGTTTGGAGTGGGGCTGTAAGAGGAGAGTCCAGCTGAGGAGGAACGGACCTTGTTGGGGACCCTGAGATATTAACCGTGGCCTTGTCCTGCAGGATGTGATACACATAGAACTAAAGATTGAAGGAAAGTGTGGGAGGGGTGAAGCCAAAGGAAGGTAGCCCATCTGAGTAGAAAGTTCTGTGCAGGGCAGAGGAACTCTGGTGTGGACCCAGAGATTCAACCTACTCCAAGATTCAACCTTGGCCTCGCCCTGCAGGCCCTTCTGTGGTGGGCCTTGTCTCCATTCCAGGGATGGGCAAGTTGCTGGCTGAGGCCCCTCTGGTCCTGGAACCTGAGAAGCAGATGCTTCTGCATGAGACACACCAGGGCTTGCTGCAGGACGGCTCCCCCATCCTGCTCTCAGATGTGATCTCTGCCTTTCTGAGCAACAACGACACCCAAAACCTCAGCTCCCCAGTTACCTTCACCTTCTCCCACCGTGTGAGTGCTGGTGGAGTTGGTTGGTGGGTGAATAGTCTGAGTCCGGGCATAGCCTTGCTGCTCAGCTCAGCCCTGGGGCTCAGGGGTCTCTGTTATGGGTACATTATCTCCCCAGGAAAGTCAGTCCTTCCCAAGCCGGCTTTGGGTAAGCATTTCTGAGCATCCGACCCACCAGCTCACACCTGTGTTCTTTTTTTTATTGAGACAGAGTCTCGCTGTGTCAGCCAGGCTGGAGTGCAGTGGCACGATCTCAGCTCACTGCAGTCTCCGCCTCCCAGGTTCGAGCGATTCTCCTGCCTCAGCCTCCCTAATAGCTGGGACTACAGGTGTGTGCTACCACGCCCAGCTAATTTTTGTATTTTTTTTTTTTTTTTTTTTTTTTAGTAGAGATGGGGTTTCACCATGTTGGCCAGGCTGGTCTCAAACTCCTGACCTCAAGTGATCCACCTGCTTCAGCCTCCCAAAGTGCTGGGATTACAGGCGTGAGCCACCATGCCCAGCCCACACCTGTGTTCTGTTCCTGCAGTCAGTGATCCCGAGACAGAAGGTGCTCTGTGTCTTCTGGGAGCATGGCCAGAATGGATGTGGTCACTGGGCCACCACAGGCTGCAGCACAATAGGCACCAGAGACACCAGCACCATCTGCCGTTGCACCCACCTGAGCAGCTTTGCCGTCCTCATGGCCCACTACGATGTGCAGGTGAGACCCTTAGGAGGGGATGCACTCTGCATTTATTGCCGTGTAACAAATCCCCAGAGACGTAGCAGCCTTTTAAAAAAATATATGCATTATCTCACAGCTCTGGGTCAGCAAGCTGGCATAGCAAGATGGCTTTTCTGCTCAGGGTCTTACAAGACTGAAATCATCATGTCACCCCACCCCCAGGGCTGCCATTTCATCTGAGACTTGAGGTCCTTCTCCAAGCTCCCTGGTTGCTGGCAGAATTCAGTTTCTTGTGATTGTAGGACTGAAGTCTCACTTTCTTAGCTGTCAGGAAGGCATCACATTCAGTTCCTAGAGGCCACTCATATCCCTTCTCACATGACCCTCTGGCAAACTTCTAGCATTCCTATCTGGAGGACAAGGAAAAAAATTTCCTCACGCAGAATCCCTCTTAAGCTTTGTATTAGTCGAGGTTCTCTAGAGGGACAGAACTAATGGAATAGATAGATAGATAGATAGATAGATAGATAGATAGATAGATAGATAGATAATTTCTGCCTGCTTATATTCTAGCCACGCTGGCAGCTGATTAGATGGTGCCCACCCAGATTAAGAGTGGATCTGCCTTTCCCAACCCACTGACTCAAATATATACATATATAGAGATATATAGAGAGAGATCTATATATATAGATAGATATAGATATATATAAAGGGGAGTTTATTAGGTATTAACTCACATGATCACAAGGTCCCACGATAGGCCGTCTGCAGGCTGAGGAGCAAGGAGAGCCAGTCCGAGTCCCAGAACTGAAGAACTTGGAGTCTGATGTTCAAGGGCAGGAAGCATCCAGCACAGGAGAAAGATGTAGGCTGGGAGGCTAGGCCAGTCTCTCTTTTCACATTTTTCTGCCTGCTTATATTCTAGCCACGCTGGCAGCTGATTAGACAGTGCCCACCCAGATTAAGAGTGGATCTGCCTTTCCCAGTCCACTGACTCAAATGTTAATTTCCTTTGGCAACACCCTGATAGACACACCCAGGATCAATACTTTGTATCCTTCAATCCAATCAAGTTGACACCCAGTATTAACCGTCACAAGTTTTGAATCTGATTCTCCAGGAAGAGCCCAGAGCTTATAAAGACTCATCTGATTAGGTCTGGCCCACCCAGGGTAAACTCTGCCTTTTTTTTTTTTTTAGACAGGGTCTCTGTCACCCAGGCTGGAGTGCAGTGGCACAGTCATAGCTCACTGCAGCCTTGACCTTCTGGGTTCAAGGGATCCTCCTGCCTCAGCCTCCTGAGTAGCTGGGACTACAGGCATGCACCACCATGCCCGGCTAATTTTTGTATTTTTACTAGAGATGGGGTTTCACCAAGTTGGCCAGGCTGGTCTCGAACTCCTTACCTCAAGTAATCCACCCGCCTCGGCCTCCCAAAGTGCTGGTATTACAGGCAGGAACCACCACACCTCGCCCACCTGACTTTCTTATCTCATCACTTAGAGTAGATCCAAGGGACATCATCATCATATCCTGCGGGAGAAAGGGCCAAACCACCCTTTTGTTTTCCATGACAGGAACATCTTATCAATATCCTCCCAGGCAGCAAGCCATACCGCCCAGCCCCTCCCGCCCAGACCTGTAATTACCCCAGCCTGTAAGCGGCAGTGGGTTCTGGCACGAAGCTAGCTCCCCCCTCCACAAGTCTCCTGCTGGACATAAACCTGCATTGCTGTAGAGCTGCCAACTCTCTGTCTTTCTTTAACTCTCACTTTCCCTTCAAAACCTAACGGGCCCACACCTGGAATCTCTGTGCTTTGGGAGGCTGAAACGGGAGGATCACTTGAGCCCAGGAATTCGAGACCAGCCTGTGCAACACAGAAAGACCCTGTCTCTACAAAAATAAAAAAAAAATTAGGACGGGTGTGGTGGCTCACGACTGTAATCCCAGCACTTTGGGAGGCCGAGGCGGGTGGATCATGAGGTCAGGAGTTCAAGACCAGCCTGGCCAACATGGTGTGACCCTGTCTCTACTAAAAGTATAAAAATTAGCCTGGCATGGAGGCACGTGCCTGTAATCCCAACTACTTGGGAGGCTGAGACACGAGAATCGCTTGAACCGAGGAGACAGAGGCTGCAGTGAGCAGAGATCGCACCACTGCACTCCAGCCTGGGCGACAGAGCAAGACTGTCAAAAAAAAAAATTAGCAGGGCATGGTGCCATACATGACTATAATGCACACCCGTTGTCACCTACATGACTACGCCTGTATTCCTAGCCACCCATGAGGCTCGGGTGACACCTTCGCAAATTAAATTAAATTGGTGACATCTTCACAAATTTACCTGGCTCCCTCATTCTTGAATGTGCTATGCCAAAGTAAAAATTTTAAATGGTGGTGGGGTCATTACCCCAGAGCAGGAAAGCATCACTGTGAACTCTTCTTTTCCGGGTCCCAGGAGGAGGATCCCGTGCTGACTGTCATCACCTACATGGGGCTGAGCGTCTCTCTGCTGTGCCTCCTCCTGGCGGCCCTCACTTTTCTCCTGTGTAAAGCCATCCAGAACACCAGCACCTCACTGCATCTGCAGCTCTCGCTCTGCCTCTTCCTGGCCCACCTCCTCTTCCTCGTGGCAATTGATCAAACCGGACACAAGGTATTGACAGCGGTGTTCCAGAGGGCTCCCTTCCTTGACGCAGGACACGCTGGCTCATGGAATGATGCGGCATTTGATTCCTTAATATAATAGCCCGGCTGGGCGTGGTGGCTCATGCCTGTAATCCCAGCACTTTGGGAGACTGAGGTGGGCGGATCACCTCAGGTCGGGAGTTTGAGACCAGCCTGACCAACATGGAGAAACCCCGTCTCTACTAAAAATACAAAATTAGCCAGGCATGGTGGCGCATACCTGTAATCCCAGTTACTCAGGAGGCTGAGGCAAGAGAATCTCTTGAACCCAGGAGGTGGAGGTTGTGGTAAGCCGAGATCGCACCATTGCATGCCAGCCTGGGCAACAAGAGTGAAATTCCGTCTCAAAAAAAAAAAAAAAAAAATATATATATATATATATATGTGTGTGTGTGTGTGTGTGTATACGTATATATACACGTATATATATATAGGCCCTTGAGTCCTGGGGAATATTAGAAGAGAACACCACCAATTTCCCATTGCCTGACTCAACTACACAGCAAATATTCTCTATAATGCCATCAAATATCTCAGAATTCTCCCCAACAACATGGTACAGGAGAAGCCATGGGCCACACTCAAATCTGATCGCCGCTCTGGGCGTCTTTTACTTCTCCGCCAGGTGCTGTGCTCCATCATCGCCGGTACCTTGCACTATCTCTACCTGGCCACCTTGACCTGGATGCTGCTGGAGGCCCTGTACCTCTTCCTCACTGCACGGAACCTGACGGTGGTCAACTACTCAAGCATCAACAGATTCATGAAGAAGCTCATGTTCCCTGTGGGCTACGGAGTCCCAGCTGTGACAGTGGCCATTTCTGCAGCCTCCAGGCCTCACCTTTATGGAACACCTTCCCGGTTAGTGCAAATTCTCACAATCCTTATCTTCTCCGGCATAACCATGGCCATTGCTAGAACCTAGATAGCATTTTTATGACACCTGCTTTTAATTAGATCAGTAGGGATTTTAGGCTCTATTGGTTGGATTACACTGCAGCTCCTTATTCTTAGCTATTGAGTTTATTTCAATTACATTTCAAGCTAGGCATTGTAGAAGAGGGTTTTCGGAAATTTTCTGAATGAAATAAAGGGCAAGCCTTTGGAAAGCACGAATAGGACAAAGACACTATGTCATAATCCCTAGGGCATCTTTCTGCTAGAAGATTATAATAATTAAGGAGGGTCAGGCTCAGTGGCTCGCACCTGGAATCCCTGTGCTTTGGGAGGCTGACACAGGAGGATCACTTGAGCCCAGGATCTTGAGACCAGCCTGGGCAACACAGCAAGACCCCTTCTTTACAAAATTTAAAAAATTAGCAGGGCCTACTGGCACACACCTGTAGTCCTAGCTACTCAGGAGGCTGAGGTGGGAGGATCGCTTGAGCCCAGGAGTTCGAAGTTGCAGTGAGCTATGATTGCACCACTGCACTCCAGCCTGAGCAAGAGAGAAAGACCTTGTCTCTAAAAAATAATAATAATAGTTAGGGATAATGCATTTAAATCTGTCTCACTGAAATAGTAAGAATGAAATCAAAGTGCTCAAGACAGCATTTTTTAAAAATCTAACCTACTTTATCTAAATCTTTTAGGATACTCCAATTTTTCATTTGAAAAAGTAGACCTGATTTGAATAACTAAAATAATTGATATTGTCATAGTTAAGATTTATGAGATGCTTACTTTGTGCCAGGTACTTTTCTAGCTAGTTTGTTTGTTTGTTTGTTTGCCAATTGCACTGGTTGAAACCTCCAGGACACTGTTGACTAGAACAGCAGACAATTTTGTCTTGCTCCTGTACTTAGGGAGAAAGCATTGACTCTGTCCTCATTAATGTATGATGTTAGCTGAGGATTTTTCATAGATACCCTTTTTCAGGTTAAAGAAATTCTTTTCTATTCCTCATGTGTTCGGTATTTTGATGAAGAAAGAGTGTTTGATTTTGTCAAATGCTTTTCCGAAGCATATAATTTTTAATTATATGGGGTAAAAATTATATGATCACATAATTAGATAATCATATAATTATATAATTATATTAGATTATTTTATATGTAATTTTTATATAAATATATATCTATGTAATTTATATATTAATATTATATAACTATAAATAATTATATAACATAGCTATAAATAATTATGTAACTATGAATAATTACATAACATAGCTATAAATAATTATGTAACTATGAATAATTACATAACATAGCTATAAATAATTATGTAACTATGAATAATTACATAACATAGCTATAAATAATTATGTAACTATGAATAATTACATAACATAGCTATAAATAATTATGTAACTATGAATAATTACATAACATAGCTATAAATAATTATGTAACTATGAATAATTACATAACATAGCTATAAATAATTATGTAACTATGAATAATTACATAACATAGCTATAAATAATTATGTAACTATGAATACATAACATAGCTATAAATAATTATGTAACTATGAATAATTACATAACACAGCTATAAATAATTATGTAACTATGAATAATTACATAACATAGCTATAAATAATTATGTAACTATGAATAATTACATAACATAGCTATAAATAATTATGTAACTATAAATAATTACATAACATAGCTATAAATAATTATATAACTATAAATAATTACATAACATAGCTATAAATAATTATGTAACTATAAATAATTATATAACATAGCTATAAATAATTATATAACTATAAATAATTACATAACATAACTATAAATAATTATATAACCATAAATAATTATATTACATAACTATAAATAATTATATTACATAACTAAATAATTATATTACATAACTAATTATATTACATAACTATAAATAATTATATTACATAACTATAAATAATTATATAACTATAAATAATTATATTATATAACTATAAATAATATGATCACATTAAATTGTATAATCATATATTATCATATCATTATAATTATATTATATATGTATATATCATATATAATTACATATAATTATATAAGCATAATTATATGCTTCCTTAATTCTTTATTTTATTAATACACATATTAATAGAATAAAGGATTAAAATTATATGATCACATTATAATTATATGGTTATATAATTATATGGTTATATATGATTAATTATTTACCTTTGAGTCCTGGGGAATATTATATGGTTATATATGGCTAATTATATGGTTATATAATTATAATGTGATCTTATAATTATATGATTACATAATTATATAACTATAATGTGATCATATAACTTTAATCCTTTATTCTATTAATATGTGTATTACATTGATGGATGATTAGATGTTAAACTAGCCTTACATTCCTGGGATAATTACCACCTGGTCAGGGTATATAATCCTTTTAATATGTTGCAGGACTTGGTCGGCTAGTATTTTTTTGAGGATTTTTGCATTCATTTTCATAAGGGATTTTGGTCTGCAGTTTTCTTTTCTTGTGATGTCTATTTCTGGGTTTGGTGTCAGAGTAACACTGGCCTCGTAGAAGATTTGGAAAGTGCTTCCTCTTTTTCCGTTTTTGGTTTTGTGAACTATTAACACTAATCCTCCAAAAGTTAACCATAGAGCTACCATATGACCCAGGTATATACCCAAAACAAATGAAAACGATGTCCACAAAAAAACTTGTACATGATGCAGCCATAAAGAATAAGGAGATCGGCCGGGTGCGGTGGCTCACACCTGGAATCCCAGCACTTTGGGAGGCCGAGGCGAGCAGATCACAAGGTCAAGAGATTGAGACCATCCTGGCCAACATGGTGAAACCCCGTCTCTACTAAAAATACAAAAGTTAGCTGGGCGTGGTCGTGGGTGCCTGTAATCCCAGCTACTTGGGAGGCTGAGGCACAAGAATCGCTTGAACCTGGGAGGTGGAGTTTGCAGTGAGCCAAGATGGCTCCATTGCACTTCAGCCTGGCCACAGAGCGAGACTCCATCTCAAAAAAATAAAATAACAAGATCATGTCCTTTGCAGCAATATGGATGGAGCTGGAGGCCATTATTCTAAGTGAATTAATGCAGGAACAGAAAATCAAATACCGCATGTTCTCACTTATAAGTAGGAGCTAAACATTGGGTACCCATGGACACAAACAAGGAAACTTCAGACACCGAAGCCTGCTTGAGGGTGGAGAGTGGGAGGAGGGCGAGGATAAATAAACGACCTATAGAGTACTGTGCTGATGACCAGGGTGACGAAATAATCTGTACACCAAACCGCCGCAACATGCATTTTACCTACATAACAAACCTACAAAATGTACCTCTGAACCTAAAATAAACGTTTAGAAAAATGTTGTACATGAATGCTCATAGAAGCAGTATTTAGAATAGTCAAAAATTGGAAACAATGCCTATCACTGATGAATGAATAAACAAAACGTAATATATCCACAATGAAATGTTATTCAGCCATAAAAAGGAACGTTAAGAGACCATTCAGTCATTATTTATTTATTTAGAAACACTCTGTCACCCAGGCTGGAGTGCAGTGGTGCCATCTTGGCTCACTGCAACCTCTGCTCTCTGCTTCCTGGGTTCAAGCAATTCTCATGCCTCAGCCTCCCGAGTAGCTGAGATTACAGGCATGCGCCACCACACGCAGCTCATTTTTTGTGTGTTTTTAGTAGAGAAAGGATTTCACCACACTGGGCAAGCTGGTCTCAAACTCCTGATATCAAATGATCCACCCGCCTCGGCTCCCAAAGTGCTGGGATTACAGGTGTGAACCACTGCACCTGGCCTCATTCAGCCATTTTAAAATGCTGCAATATAGGTCTTGCTCTGTTGCCCAGGCTGGAGTGCAGTAGTGCAATCACAGCTCACTGCAGTCTCGACCTCCTGGACTCAAGCGATCCTCCCACCTCAGTCTCCCAAGTAACTGGGAATACAGGTGTGAGCCACCACACCCGGCTATTTTTTTATTTTTTGTAGAAATGGGGTCTTGCTATGTTGCTCAGGCTGGTCTCAAGCTCTTGGTCTCAAGCAATCCTCCCACCTCGGCCTCCCAAAGTCCTGGTGTGAGCCACTGTGCCTGGCACAACCTTCCATTTTTGTTTCATTGTTTGAATGTGTCTGATTGTGTGTATCTTCCTTGAGTTGAAATTTTGGGGATCTAAGACCGTGTTCATTTTCTCCACCACTGTATCTTCAGAGCCAACCACAGACCCTATCACTAAAGAAACACTTAATATTGTTGACGTAGGAAGGAAGTGAGGAAGTGGTGAGGAGGGATGGAATAGATTTACATAACTGTTCCATATCTCCAAAAACTGATGCATTTTTTTTAATCTCTCTTTTTTCAGCTGCTGGCTCCAACCAGAAAAGGGATTTATATGGGGCTTCCTTGGACCTGTCTGCGCCATCTTCTCTGTGAGTGACATCATCTGAGCATCCTCGCTGCCCCGCTGAGGGTCATTAGAAAAACAAGATAATAAAGATGGTGACAAGAGCAGGAATGTCCCCTGGGTTGTCATGGGTTGGGTTAGGTTTCCTAAGACCACTCTTGAATCTTCAAACTCAACACTGTTACTCAATATTTAAGAAAAAGACTTACGTGTATAATTCATATTAGACAGGCTAGGATGAAGAGATAATGGGCTTCAGGCCCGGTGTGGTGGCTCACGCCTGTAATCCCAGCACTTTGGGAGGCCGAGGCAGGCAGATCACTTGAGGTCAGGAGTTCAAGACCAGCCTGGCCAACATGGTGAAACCCTGTCTCTACTAAAAATACAAAAATTAGCCAGGCGTGGTGGTGGGTGCCTGTACTCGGGAGGCTGAGACAGGAGAATCGCTCGAACCCGGGAGGCAGAGGTGGCAGTGAGCTGAGATTGCACCGCCACACTCCAGCCTGGGCAACAGAGCAAGACCCTGTCTGAAAAAAAAAAAAAAAGAGATAACAGGTTTCAAAATCTATTCAACAAATCTTCTGTGGTTTTCTGAAGGTGAATTTAGTTCTCTTTCTGGTGACTCTCTGGATTTTGAAAAACAGACTCTCCTCCCTCAATAGTGAAGTGTCCACCCTCCGGAACACAAGGTAAGATGGAGAAGGGGGTGATAACCACACAGACATGTATGGTTCCCAAGAGCCAAGCCATGTGCCTCAGCAGCCACTGAGGTCCCTTCTCAGGGTCTTTTGAAGGGACCCAGAAAAAACAGACGCAGCCATCCTTCTATGGCAGCCATCACAGATTCAGTGGTATCCTGTTGAGACCCCATGCAACATGTTTTGTCCATGTCTAATCTCAGTTTGTGAATCCCAGAGCAACAGGAAGAATCTTCATTGACTGGTAAATGGTATATATACAAAATAGGATACGATTCGATCACAAAACAGAATGAAACCATGTCATTTGCAGCAACATGGATGAAACTGGAGGTCACTCTCTTAAGTGAAATAAGCCAGGCACAAAAAGACAAATACCACAGGTTGTCACTTACATAGAGAGGAGCCGAAGAAGCTGATCTTGTGGAGGCAGAAAGTAGAATGATAAAAGTTAGCCGGGCATGGTGGCAGGCACCTGTAGTCCCAGCTACTCGGGAGGCTGAGGCAGGAGAACCGCTTGAACCCAGGAGGCGGAGGTTGCGGTGAGCCGAGATCACACCACTGCACTCCAGCCTGGGCAATAGAGTGAGACTCTGCCTCAAAAACTAAAAATAAAAATAAAGTAGAATGATAGATTCCAGAGTCTGGAAAGGGTATGTGAGTGGGCAAGGCGATGAAGAGAGGTTGGTTAATGGGTACAACATACAGTCAGATAGAAGGAATAAGTTATAATATTGGATGGCAGAGTAGGGTGACTCTAGTTCACAATATGTTGTATATTTCAAAATAGCTAGAGGGGAGAATTTGAAGTGTTCCCAACACATACAAATGGTAGACACGCGAAGTGACGGATACCCCAAATACTCTGACTTAATCATGACACACTCTATGCATGTTAACAAAATATCACATATGTCCCCACAAAGATGTACAAACATTACGAATCAATAAACTAAAAGGTTAAAAACTTCTTTGGACTTTTGTCAGCAGTCCTATAACAAAAGCACAAAGAAGGCCGGGCATGGTGGCTCATGCCTGTAATCCCAGCACTTTGGGAAGCTGAGGGGCGGGGGCAGATCACAAGGTCAGGAGTTCGAGACCAGCCTGGCCAAAGAGACCAGCCTGACCAACGTGGTGAAACCCCGTCTCTACTAAAAATACAAAAATTAGCTGGGCGTGGTGGCGGGTGCCTGTAATCCCAGCTACTCCAGAGGCTGAGGCAGGAGAATTGTTTGAACCTGAGAGGCAGAGGTTGCAGTGAGCCGAGATTGCGCCACTGCACTCCAGCCTAGGTGACAGAGCAAGACTCCAACTCAAAAAAAAAAGTGCAAAGAACACGTACATTTTCTTGCCTGTTCCCACAGCCCAGTCTGCACCTTCATACCGTACCCTCAGTTCAGGCTCCTCATCACTTCTCATGCAATCCTCCCTCTGGGAAAATCCTAATCAACATTAAATCCTTTACGGGGGCCAGGCATGGTGGCTCACGCCTGTAATCCTAACACTTTGGGAGGCCGAGGTAGGCGGATCACTTGAGGTCATGAGTTCAAGACCAGCCTGGCCAACATGGTGAAACCCCATCTCTACTAAAAATACAAAAATTAGCCAGGCATGGTGGTGGGCGTCTATAATCCCAGCTACTCAGGAGGCTGAGGTGGGAGAGTCACTTCACCTGGGAGGCAGAGGTTGCAGTGAGCCAAGATCACGCCACTGCACTCCAGCCTGGGTGACAGAGGGAGATTCCATCTCAAAAAAATAAATAAATAAAAATAAAAATAATTCCTCTACAGGGTTTGAGCAGTTTGTTGTTCCAGGCACCCTTGTGCAAAATTAATGAACTTTCTTCTAGATTCCTATCATTATCCTTTCCAAATTTTGTGTGTCATGCCTGGTTGTATTGGTGATTTGAAGAGACTGTGTAGTTCATGAACACAGAAATCTCTTTGCATATTCAAAAATAATCCTTTTTTTTTTTTTGAGACAGAGTCTCGCTCTGTCACTCCCAGGCTGGAGTGCAGTGGCTCTATCTCGACTCACTGCAACCTCCGCCTCCTGAGTTCAAGCAATTCTACTGCCCCAGCCTCCTGAGTAGCTGGGATTACAGGCGCCCCCCCGACCACACCTGGCTAATTTTTGTATTTTTTTAGTAGAGACCAGGTTTCACCATGTTGGTCGGGCTGGTCTCGAACTCCTGACCTCAGGTGATCTGCCTGCCTTGGCCCCCCAAAGTGCTGGGATTACAGGCATGAGCCACCGTGGCCAACCCCAGGTGGCATTTCTACTGTGGGCTATAGTTGACAGTAAATATCTAAGCTGACCACAGCCCAGTCTGAGAAATCATCTACAGGGGAGGGCAGGGGACTCCATGGGCACAGATGAAATAGCCTTGATTCTCTTTCTCTGGGTGCATCACCAGCCTCCTTTCTTACTCAATCCAGGATGCTGGCATTTAAAGCGACAGCTCAGCTGTTCATCCTGGGCTGCACGTGGTGTCTGGGCATCTTGCAGGTGGGTCCGGCTGCCCGGGTCATGGCCTACCTCTTCACCATCATCAACAGCCTGCAGGGTGTCTTCATCTTCCTGGTGTACTGCCTCCTCAGCCAGCAGGTACCACTGCCCAGCTCCCACCCAGGACTCTTCCTGTCCTCACTGCTCTCTGTGAGCTGACCCAGTACACACTTTGCCTCTGCAGGTCCGGGAGCAATATGGGAAATGGTCCAAAGGGATCAGGAAATTGAAAACTGAGTCTGAGATGCACACACTCTCCAGCAGTGCTAAGGCTGACACCTCCAAACCCAGCACGGTAAGATCACGCATTGCTCCAGAGCACTTCACTAACCGACCCACCTGAGGAGCATGTGCCTATCACACAAGGAAACCTGGGAATACAGCAGGCAATGCCCTAGAAAGGCTCGCATCTGAGTACGCCTTGACTCATTAACCATTAGCAATGATCTCAGTTTAAATGTTTTTTTTTAATCAGTCATAGCCTGTCATCCCAGCATCACTGTCATCCCAGCATTTGGGAGGCCTAGGCAAGAGGATCACCTGAGGCCAGGAGTGCAAGATGACCCTGGGCAACATAGCAAGATCCCATCTCTACAAAAAATAAAAATAAAAATTAGCCAGACATGGTGGCATACACCTGTAGTCCCAGCTACTCCTCGGGAGGCTGAGGTGGGACAATCACTTGAGCCCAGTAGGTTGAGGCTGTAGTGAGCCATGATCATGCCACTGCACTCCAGCCCAGGCAACAGAGTGAGACCCTATCCCAAAAATTAAAAAAAAAAAAAAAATCCTTGGCTCTTACTCCTTAGGGAACTGTGCTTAGTTTGACTCTCACACACAAACACTCCTATTGGACACCTACTATGTGCCATGCATGGTTAACTAAATGAGCAGGAATTGATCTGAAGCAGTGATGCACATTCTACCTAGAAGCATTTACCCTATCCCTTTCCTCTACATACAAGTCTATCTCACAGTCACTTGGCACCACCACCCAATAAGGCAAGCATGGGAGGAAATGCTGTACATATTTATGAATTAAACAGAAATAAGTGTTAACTGGGATTTAGGCTTTCTTAACAAGTCTGCCTCTACCAACTACCACTTAGTAGTGGGTAGTGGGCAGTGCCTCTACTCAGCACCCTCTACCCACTGCAAAACTCAGAAAGAAAAGCAGTAATGGGGCCAGCGATGGTGGCTCATGCCTGTAATCCCAGCACTTTAGGAGGCTGAGGCAGGACAACTGCTTGAGGCCAAGAGTTCAAGACTAGCCTGAGCAACCCAGTGACACCTCGTCCCTATAAAGCATTTAAAAATTAGCTGAGGGTGGTTGTGTGCATCTGTAGTCCCAGCAACTCAGGAAGCTGAGGTGAGAGGATCACTTGAGCCCAGGAGTTTGAGGCTGCAGTGAGCTATGATTGTGCCACTGCATTTCAGCCTGGATGACAGCAAGACCTCTTCTCTAGAAAATAATACAAATAACAAAATTAAATAAATAAAGTTTTAAAAACACACTGGGCAACCTGGGAATCAGCGGGTGATGCCCTAAGAGGGTTCACATTTGAGCGACTCCTTGACTCATTAACCATTAGCAATGATCTCAGTTTAAATGCTTTTTTATAAATCAGCCAGGAACAGTGGTTCAAGCTTGTAATGCCAGCACTCTGGGAGGCCAAAGCAGGAAGATCACTTGAGCCCGGGACAACTTGGGGATCACTTGAAGCCATATTATCCTATGCCTCAATGGCATGGGATAATTCATGACATTGATGACTAATAACCAACATTTATTAATGTAGACATACAAAGTTCTGTTGTATTTTTCTCACCTCTTCTTCCATCTTCTCCAGATTATATGTGTAATTCTAACCCCATTTCACTGATGAGCAAAGTAAGACTACTTGGATTTGTGTCAAATGTACAGAGTCTCGGCCAGGCACAGTGACTCATGCCTGTAATCCCAGCACTTTGGGAGGCCGAGGCAGGTGGATCACAAAGTCAGGAGATCGAGACCATCCTGGCTAACACGGTGAAACCCCATCTCTACTAAAAATACAAAAAAAAAAAAAAAATAGCCAGGCGTGGTGGTGGGCGACTGTAGTCCCAGCTACTCGGGAGGCTGTGGCAGGAGAATGGTGTGAACCCAGGAGGCAGAGCTGGCAGTGAGCCGAGATCGCGCCAATGCACTCCAGCCTGGGCAACAGAACGAGACTCTGTCTCAAAAAAAAAAAAAAAAAAAAAAGAAATGTACAGAGTCTCTTCAGCCAGTGAGATTTAGGCCTCTTGAGTCTTGCTTCACATTTAAAGAGCCCATTCAGGGCCAGGCACCGTGGCTCATACCTATAATCTTAGCACTTCAGGAGGCCAAGGCAAGCAAATCACCTGAGGCCAGGAGTTCGAGACCAGCCTGGCCAACATGGCAAAACTCCATCTTTACTAAAAATACATAAATTAGCCAGGCATGGTGGTGCACACCTATAATCCCAGCTACTCAGGAGGCTGAGGCACAAGAATTGCTTGAGCCGGGGAGGTAAAAGTTGTGGTGAGCCAAGATTGCCCCATGCCACTGTACTCCACCCTGGGCAACACAGCAATACTCTGCCAAAAAAAAAAAAAAAAAAAACAGCCTATTCAGCCTGGGCAATGTAACGAGACCCCATCTCTATAAAAAAGTTTTAAAAATTCGCTGGGCGTGGTGGCACATGCCTGTAGTCCCAGCTACTTGGGAGGCGAGAGGATCGCTTGAGCCCAGGAGTTGGAGACCAACCTGTGCAACATGGCAAAATCCCATCTCTACACAAAATATAAAAACTAGCTGGGCATGGTGGTGCATGCCTATAATCCCAGCTGCTTGGGAGGCTGAGGCAGGAGGATCACTTGAGCCCAGGAGTTCAAGGCCACGGTGAGCTACGATTATGCCACTGCACTACAGCCTGGGTGACAGAGCAAGACCCCTTGTGTAAAGTAAATACATAAATAATAAATTTTTTAAAGTCTTGAAAAGAAGCCCACCATGCTGCCAGGCACTTTTTCCACATTTGCATTTCTCTCATTACCTTTTTCCTTTTTTATTTTTCTTTTTTTTTTTTTTTTGAGACGGAGTTTCGCTCTTATTACCCAGGCTGGAGTACAATGGTGCTATCTCAGCTCACCGCAACCTCCGCCTCCTGGGTTAAAGCGATTCTCCTGCCTCCACCTCCCAAGTAGCTGGGATTACAGGCATGTGCCACCAAGCCTGGCTAATTTTGTATTTTTACTAGAGACGGGATTTCTCCATGTTGGTCAGGTTGGTCTCAAATTCCCGACCTCAGGTGATCTGCCCGCCTCAGCCTCCCAAAGTACTAGGATTACAAGCGTGAGCCACCACACCTGGCCTCATTACCTTTTTCATCCAACCTGCACAATCCCTGTTTCCAACACAGGATCTTCTATTTCCTTTTCTGTTCTCACTAAATGCCCTCACCACCTATGTCACACACACACACACACACAAATCCAAGTCATCATGATGACACATTGTAAACTCCATGCTCTCAATCATACAACCAAACATGACCATCCACCTTCCACATTCCCATATTATTGACTGTCCATCCTCTTTTTTTTTTTTTAGACAGAGTCTCACTCGCTCTGTCACCCAGGCTGGAGTGCAGTGACACCATCTGGGCTCACTGCAAACTCTGCCTCCAGGGTTCAAGTGATTCTCGTGCCTCAGCCTCCCGAGTAGCTAGGATTACAGGCACCCGCCACCACGCCTGGCTAATTTTTGTATTTTTAGTAGAGACAGGGTTTCACCATGTTGGCCAGGCTAGTCTTGAACTCCTGGCCTCAAGCCATCTGCCCGCCTTGGCCTCCCAAAGTGCTGGGATTACAGACGTGAGCCACTGCGCCCAGTCCATCCCTGTCTTTGACTCTCCTACAGCCTTCATACTTTATAAAGACCTTGATGATTACATTGGGTTCACCAAGACAATCCAGGGCAATTTTCCCATCTCAAGATCCTTTTCATAACCGTATCTACAAAGTCTCTTTCTCCATGTCAGGTAGCATTTACAGGTTCTGGGGATTAGGGATGTGAACCTCTTTGGGGGGTCATTATTCTGTCTCTCATACCCATATAGTTTGGGTTTACCTATTGTAGAATCATCAAAACCTGCCTCATATTGTAGATATTTGCATAAATATTTATCACCCTTTCACCCCACACAGCCACTAGAAATGATATATACACATTGAAGAAAGGAAACATGTACTTTTGTGTAGGGAATTAGAGTTAGGTCATCAGATAGCCAACAAAGGCTTCTGAAATTTAAGGTGTGTGATCAGATATTTCTACCAGCTACTGACAAAGGACCAAGAAAATCCATTGCATTACTTAATGTCATTTTATCTTCTACTGTTTCCTAAAACTTGTTATCTCTGGTGTTTGAAAATGTATGTGCCTTGGCCGGACACGCTGGCTCACACCTGTAATCCCAACACTTTGGGAGGCCAAGGCGGGCAGAGCACTTGAGGTCAGGAGTTCGAGACCAGCCTGGCCAACATGGCAAGACCCCACCTCTACTAAAAACACAAAAACTAGCCAGGCATGGTGGTGGATGCTTGTAATTCCAGCTACTTGGGAGGCTGAGGCACAAGAATCACTCGAACCCAGGAGGCAGAGGTTGCAGTAAAGCCAAGATCGAGCCACTGCACTCCAGCCTGGGTGACAGAGTGAGACTATGTCTCAAAAAAAAAAAAAAAAAGAAAAGAAAAGAAAAGAAAATGTGTGTCTTGCTCTTATTCTGCAGTCTCTGCCATGGCTTTCTGCAGTCTTGTTTCATAAAAACAAAATGTCTTGTGATCACTACTGAATAATCTCCTGAAGCACAATATTTATTAATCTCTTGAGCACATATTAATTATGCATTAAATACTAACTATATAAGCAAGTGAAGCTGACCATCTCGAACCATAGAAATTACACTGAGTTTCCTATGAACCTAGGAATAAATAACTCATATTGGAGATGGAAAAGATATGGAAAAAAGGAATTCAGGCTGGGCGCAGTGGCTCACGCTTGTAATCCCAGCACTTTGGGAGGCCGAGGCAGGCAGATCACTTTAGCTCAGGACTTCAAGACCAGCCTGGGTAACATGGCAAAATTCCGTTTCTACAAAAAGTATAAAAATTAGCCAGGCATGGTGGTGCATGCCTGTAGTCCCAGCTACCGGGAGGCTAAGATTGGAGTATTGCTTGAGCCCAGGAGGTCAAGTATCCAGTGAGCTATGATCCCATCACTGCACTCCAGCCTGGGCAACAAAGCAAGACCCCTGTCTCAGGGGAAAAAAAAGGAATTCAGTGCTTTTTCCTTTAAATCTTATGTGGTTAACAATAGATAACACTTCTAACATTTCATTAATTTCCCACCTGGCTTCTTTTATGACTCCACATTTAAAGCAACATTACACAAACCCTGGAGCTCCGAGGTCAAGACATACATTTGGAAACAGATAGATCTTTTTAAATGTTTTTTAATTGATCCATAATAGACGTACATAGTTTCTAGGTACATGTGATCATTTGCTACACTCATATAAGCAAATCAGGGTAACTAAGATATCTATCACCTTAAATACTTATCTTTTCTTTGTACTAATAACATTCAAATTATTCTCTTCTAGCTAGTTTGAAATGTATGGTAGATTAATGTTAACTATAATCACCCTACTTCAGATACAACTTTTTTTTTTTTTTTTGAGAGGGAGTTTTACTCTGTCGCCCAGACTGGAGTACAGTGGCACCATCTTGGCTCACTGTGACCCCCACCTCCCAGATTCAAGCGATTCTCCTGCCTCAGCCTCCCGAGTAGCTGGGACTACAGGCGCCTGCCACCAAGCCCAGCTAATTGATTATTATTATTACTACTGTATTCTAGTAGAGACAGGGTTTCACCATGTTGGCCAGGCTGGTCTCAAACTCCTGACCTCAAGTGATCTGCCCGCCTCGGCCTCCCAAAGTGCTGGGATTACAGGTGTGAGTCACCACACCTGGCCCAGATAGATACTTTACTGCAACACATTTACTTCCTCTTAACTTTGGTAACTTGGGGTTTAGGAGGCATACAAAGATGGGGCTTCTGAGAAAGAACAGGATGGAGCAAAATGAAAGCTGATATGGCCTTTTGATGTTGCCCTGACAAATACATATGGTAAGAAAACCTTATGATTAAAGACTTCTTGGCCAGGCATGGTGGCTCACACCTAGAATTCCAGCATTTTTGGGAGGTTGAGATGGGAGGATCACTTGAGCCCAGAAGTTCAACAGCAGCTTGGGCTATACAGTGAGACCCCATCTCTACAAAAAATTAAAATTAAAAAATGAGACAGGAGTGGTGGCACATGCCTGTAGTTGCAGCTACTCGGGAGGCTGAGGCAGGAGGATCACTTGAACCTGGGAGTTGGAGGTTGCAGTGAGCAGAGATGGTGCCACTGCACTCCAGACTGGGTGACAGAGCAAGGCCCTGTCTCTAAAAAGAAAAAAAAAAAAAAGACTTCTTAAATTTCTTTTTTTTAATAAATTTTATTGTGTATACACACAATTGAGGTTTAACCCATGAAGTTATGGGATACATATAGATAATAAAATGGTTATCTATATGTGAAGCAAATTAATATATCTATCATCTCACATAGTTACTTATTTTTGTGGCACAAGCAGCTATAATCTACTTATTTAACTAATTTCTTATTTCTTTTTCAAAATGGAAATTATAGGTTTTCTTTCTATAGTCATATATATTTCTAAATATATATATATTTCTAAATATATAGATATTAAATATATATATTTCTAAATATATAGATATTAAATATCTATATATTTCTAAATATATAGATATTAAATATCTATATATTTCTAAATATCTATATATTTCTAAATATCTATACTTCTAAATATCTATATTTCTAAATATCTATATATTTCTAAATATCTATATTTCTAAATATCTATATATTTCTAAATATCTATATATTTCTAAATATCTATATATTTCTAAATATATATATTTAGAAATATCTATGTATTTCTAAATATCTATATATTTCTAAATATCTATATACTTCTAAATATATCTATGTTTCTAAATATATTTAGAAATATATATATATTTCAGGCCAGCTCAGTGGCTCACACCTGTAATCCCAGCACTTTGGGAGGCTGAGGCAGGCAGATCACCTGAGGTCAGGAGTTCAAGGCCAGCCTGGCCTACGTGGTGAAACCCTGTCTCTACTAAAAATACAAAATTAGCCGGGTGTGGTGGCACATGCCTCTAATCCTGGCTACTCTGGAGGCTGAGACAGGAGAATTGCTTGAACCTGGGAGGCGGGGGTTACAGTGAGTCGAGGCTGCGCCATTGCACTCCAGCCCAGGCAACAAGAGTGAAACTCTGTCTCAACAACAAAATACATACATATATATATATTTCAGGTTAACTAGAAAAATCTTCTGAATAAGATCTTCCCTCTTTGCCCGTGGAAAATCTGAACAATCTTTGAGCCATCTAGAGGGGAAAGAAAAGACTTTGTTCTGTGTGTTTCAAGAAATTCACCATGTCAGCAATATGAAGGATGTTATGGAAGGCGTGCTAGGCATTCAATTCCTGCAGAAACCGGAAATCTTCCATGCCCTGCAATGTGCTCATCAAACTCTCAGCATATGGACGGCCAGCTGTGGCCCATATCTTGGTCACTCTGAAGCACAATATTTATGAAGCTATAGAACGTTAAGACCTCTTTCACAGCCTCTCCTTCCTACAAAGACTCCTCCAAATCTTAAAATGAAGCAGGAAAACGAGCCTAAGAGGACTTTCATACCGACAACATCTGAAAGGACTAGAATGTTCACACCACGATCTGGATTTCTTAATTTTTTGTTTTTGTTTTTGTTGTTCTCTAGTTCTACGGGTTTGATTATTTAGTCATGTGAAAAATATTGATTACTCACACATAGATCAAGAGAGACACGGCTCCTGCCTTCATGGAGCTTTTAGGGGAAAATGAAGTGGCTCTTGCAGCTAGAGTTGACTCAGAAGCCGAAATTCCTAGAAATCAGGTTTCTACTGCTAGGCAATTGAAGTATAAACTATTTTATAAACACTGTCTTCTTTCGTCTTCACACCAACATGCAGAAAAGTTTCTAATCTCAGATCGGGGATGTGCAACAAATTCCATTTCAAAGGAATGACCTGCAAAACTCCTAAATATTCCAAGCAAATGCCCTTAACCCTGTCTGTTATCTGCTTTCCTTGAACAGAAATTCTACATGACCATAAAACCTCGAAGATGGGTATGGCACAGTTCATGCCCTGTAATCCTAGCACTTTGGGAGGGTGAGGCAGGAGGATGGCTCAAGCCCAGGAGTTTGAGACCAGTGTGGGCAACAGAGTGAGAACCATCTCTACCCAAAAAAAAAATTAAAAATTAGCCAAGCATGGTGATGATATAGGAGTTAAGGAGAAATCATTTAGGCAAATAGCAAGGGTAGGAAGTCCTCAGTAAGGTTTTCCATTTAATGAAAAGCAGCCCCCAAAATCATTTTCTTTTCTAACAAAGAACAGCCTGTAAAATCGAGCTGCAGACATAGACAAGCAAGCTGGAAGCTTCCACGGGTGAATGCCGGCAGCTGTGCCAATAGGAAAAAGCTACCTAGACTAGGCATGTCCAAAATGGCGGCTCCAAGTTCCCTTCTCTTTGCCAGCCATGTGTACAGTAAAAAGCAGGCAACATAGTGTCAGCCAAAGCTCATTTGCATAATAAGATTAGGGTGGGGTGGCCAGCTCACATAGGGGTAGGCCCTAGGTAAATCAGACACCGCCTTCTCAAGCCTGTCTATAAAATCTGGTACACTATGACGAGGGTCAGATTTCCCATTCAGACGCCCCTCTCCCATGCAAGAGAAAGAGCTGTTCTCCTTTCTCTTTCTTTTGCCTATTAAACCTCTGCTCCTGGCCAGGCACAGTGGCTCACGCCTATAATCCCAGCACTTTGGGAGGCTGAGGTGGTCAGATCACCTAAGGTCAGGAGTTCAAGACCAGCCTGGTCAACATGGTGAAATCTTGTCTCTAGTAAAAATACAAAAATATATGAAATCTCACATAGATGATAATATTAAGTTCCAAAAGCAACTCAACCTGGTAGATTCTAATTTTTTTTGAGGCAGGGTCTTGCTTTGTCACCCATGCTGGAGTACAATGGCACAAACACTGCTCACTGCAGCCTCGACCTCCCAAGGCCTAAGCAATCCTCCTGCCTCAGTCCCCCTCCAGGTATTTGAAACTACAGGTGTGTACCACCACACCGGGCTAATTTTTGTATTTTTTGTAGAGACGTGGGTCTCACTATGCTGCCCAGGCTCAGGTCTTAATCTCCTGAGCTCAGGCAATCCGCAGGCCTCAGCCTCCCTAAGTGCGGGGATTACAGGCTTGAGCCACTGCACCTAGCCTCTATTTGTTTTACAAAAGAGAAATTGAGATCCTGAATGTTAAGTGACTTGCCTGAGGCCATCCCACTAACAGGAGCCAGGGTTAGGATTCAAACCCCATCCAACTGGTCCCAGAGCTGGAGCTTCTTGCACTGCCCTACACTACCTACCATCTCCATCCTCTGGGCACCTTTTTATAAGAACCAAAACATTACAGAGCATTGCTTTGTCAACTCAGCTGGGAACATTTCCCAGTGCAACTCACATTTTTCACTGCTCTGTGCCTGTCCGTATAAGCTCAATGAGTATTGATTTAGGGGCTTTGGAGAACTTTGAATGCTACCCCCCAAGTAACCATTGTTGGCAACCTGGTACCTCTACTTTTAGCCATTTCTCCTTCTCTATAAATAGTGCAGAAGTAACCCACTTGGTAACAGGCATCCTTGCCAAGCCTCCACCACTAGGTCAGTGTAAGAATTAAAGAAAGAGGAAAGAAACACAAAAAGTGGCTTGATGGTTAAGACAGGTTTATTTTAGAGAAAACACACCTGAGAGGGGCTGCTGGCTGAATTAGGTTAGAGTCTTTTCTACAGACTAAGAGTGTTTAAGGATTTAGGGTGGGAGAGTTTCTTAGAGGCTTGGACTGCTTCTGTGTTTTTTTTGTTGTGCTTATATGGGAGGGAGAGTGGTGTGTTTGCTTTTATACATTTTTCTGCAGCTGTAGGCATACCCCCCAAGTCTGCTTTTAGCTTCCCTATTTTAGTGCACCTGGAGGGAAAGGAATGTGCTTATTAAGGCCCACTGTTTTACTGGGGCCCATTGTATGAGGGTGAAGTTTGGCAGTTACCCAAGAGACTTTTCCTCCACCTTCCTCTGTGCCCGAGCTGTTTTATCTGCATTTTACTGTCTGCTTTTTTTGGCTGCTTATAGTTTTTAAAAAAGTAATTTCCTTAAATCCAGAAGGCTAAAAATGAAGCTGAAACTTAAAGTGGCGGTGTTTGTCCAAAATAACGGGGCTCCTGCTCTGCCAGTCAGTACCCTCAAGTCACTCCTGATCCTCAACCTCCATGCCTAAGGCTGGTTCAAGAGACCACATAATATCTGCCTTTTATTACATACATGATGGGTGCATGGGATTCTGCGTGCCCTTTGCTTGATATAGACTGCTAAGGTGAGATGGGGAATATCAGAGTCAGCTGCTGCTTGAGGAAGCAGAACACACAGCTGGAGGCTTGGAACATGTGGGTCCCTATGAGTGTAGAGCCCATATCCCCATAGAGTCTACCTAGAGCAGGGGTCGCCAAATGTTTTCTTAAAGAGCCTGATAGTGTATATGTTAGGCTTTGTGAGCCAGGTATTTACAGCAACTCAATTCTACCACTGTGGTATGAAAACAGCTATAGACAATCATAAATGAATGATCATGGCTATGTTTTAATAAAACTTTACAGACACTGAACTTGAACTTCCATTGTGATATGAAAACAGCTATAGACAATCATAAATGAATGATCATGGCTATGTTTTAATAAAACTTTATGGACACTGAGCTTGAACTTCATATATCAGTCATGTGACACAAAATATCATTCTTCTTTTTATTTGTTTTCACCCATTTGAAAAATGTAAAAACTATTCTTAGCTGTACAGAAACAGATGGTGGGTCAGATTTGACTCACTGCCCATAGTTTCCAGACCATGATGTTCAGGTTCATGGAAGCACTTCACTCTACACTAATTTATTCATCCATTCATCACATATGTGATGAGCACATACAGACACACCTCAGAGATATTGCAGGCTCCACTCCAGATCACCACAATAATGTGAATATTGCAATAAAGCAAGTCATACACATTTTTTGGTTTCCCAGTGTGCATAAAAGTATGCTTACCCTATACTGTAATGTGTGCAATAGCATTATGTCTTTTTTTTAATGTACATACTTTAATTTAAAAATAGTTTATTCCTAAAAAATGCTCAAGCAGGGACACAAAGTGAGCACATGCTGTTGGGAAAATGGCACCTACAGACTTGCTCGACACAGGGCTGCCATAAACGTTCAATTTGTAAAAAATGCAATATCTGTGAAGGGCAATGAAATGAGGTATTCCTATACTCTCGTGCAAGGCATAATGCTAAATTGAGAGAAACTAAAACATATAAGACAGACATGATCCTACATCCAGGAATATTGATGATTTGTAAGATGGAAAATGAGGAGGAAGGAAAGGTGCAGTGCAATGGACTCTGTGGTCTGGGGGACACACAGCCCCTTTAAGGACATGGCAGAAGTGAAACACAGACGAGGTTGGGGAAGGAAGGTCAGAGGAAACTCTAGGGTCAGCTGATGGCAGCATCCATTTGCCCCCATATCTTCACTTTTTAAATTTATTAAGTCCATTCTCTTTATTTATGATGGAAATAATGTTAATTTGCTCATGGGTTGTGTTTGAATATTAAGTAAGAAAATAAAGATTAAGCTCTGGTATGTAGTAAGAAACCCAAAGATAAACAAGAGTTAAGGGGCAAGTAGGCAGCAGAGTTTCCCATCTCATTTCTCCAGAATTATATCATCCAGTTTGAAACATGAAATACGGCTTTAAGGTAGAGTTTGGCTTCTCAGCTGGATTTTAAGTACAAGACCACGCCCACCAAAGACAGCAGACAAAGGAGCTAGGGTACACGTTTGAAGAACCCTCTCCCTCCAGCTCTCCACCGTGGGGGTCCACTGTGAGCAGTTTCCCTGGCTGTTTTCCCCCTTTCTGCATCTAACAGTCATTGCACGGCTGGGGAAACAAAGACCCACACAGGCCTTAGTCTCCTTGCGGGGAACCTACAATCCGGAAGCCAGAAGTATGTGACTAAGCTCCCGGAAGCCGGAAGTTAAGGAGCCCGGATGTCACGGAACTGGAAGTTTGAAAGTCCAAGGCCACTGACCTGCAAGCTTCAGAATCTGCAGATTTGGAGTCTTCAAGCCCCAGTAGTGATCCTTTGATATCCAGAGGTTGGATTCTAGCGATCTGAACATGCAAGAGAGTACTGGATGTGGAAATTCTTCCAAATTAGTTGGGTGGCTGAAAAGGGAATTATAAGGAGGAAGAATGAGGGAAAGAGAAGAGAAATTGAATGAATAAAGGGGCCAATCCTTGGGGGGAGGGGGCAGGAGGGGCGGTGCTTGAGACCAGGGCAGCATGTAAGGGACTGCCTATGAATGTCCTAAATATCTGCTATTTAGGGCATTCTGGGATGGGAGTTTGAAAGACTGATGGTGGTGTGTTTTGCAGCCACATGAATGCAGCTGGAACCATCATCCTAAGTGAATTAACTTAGAAAACCAAATACCGCATGTTCTCACCTGTAAGAGAGAGCTAAATATTGGGTACACGTGAACATAAAGATGGGAGCATTAGACAATGGGGACTACTAGATGGAGGAGGGAGGGAGGAGGGCAAGGGTTGAAAAACTACCTATCAGGTACTATGCTCACTAACTGGATTCATTTGTACCCCAAACCTCAGCATCATGCAATATACTCTTGTAACAAACCTAAACGTGTACCCTCAGAATCTAAAAATAAAAGTTGAAATTAAAAAAATCACTGTTGATAGACATTTGGGTTGTTCCCAGTTTGGGTTATTACAAACTGCTTTGCTAGCTTTAACTTTTTTTAAATAATAAACTCTTAAATTTACAGTGCAAGAAATACAGAAAGAGAGAGGAAGACAAAGAAAAAGAAAGGAGATAGAGAAAGGAAAAGCAAAGAAAGAAAAAGAAAAAAGTGAAAGAAAGAGAGGAAGGGAGGAAGGAAAGAAGGAAGGAAGGACAGACTGATGGTGGGATAAGAGAGAAGGGGCTGGGAAGAACTAAGTGGAACATTCTGAAAATGAAGACAGTGGCCGGGCACGGTGGTTCACACCTGTAATCCCAGCACTTTGGGAGACTGAGGCAGGCAGATCACCTGAGGTCAGGAGTTCAAGACCAGCCTGACCAACATGGTGAAACCCCATCTCTACTAAAAATACAAAAATTAACCAGGCATGGTCACGGGCACCTGTAATCCCAGCTACTCAGGAGGCTGCGAGGCAGAAGAATCACTTGAACCTGGGAGGCAGAGGTTGCAGTGAGCAGAGATTGTGCCATTGTACTCCAGCCTGGGTGACAGAGCGAGACTCCATCTCAAAAAATAAAAAATAAAAATAACTCTCTTCTCTCTATTTTCCTTCAATAAATTCTCTTTTTGGCTAAAGTAGTCATTTTAGCCAAAATCTTTCTCTCAAGACAACAAAGAACTGAGGATTTCTGCCCTTTCCAGTATACAACTAGCAGGGATCCCACTGGCATTTTTCTTTGGACAGATAAAATTGGATGTATTTATCAAGAGCAACATGATGTTTAATGGATGTATACATTGGGGAATAACCAGATCTAGCAAATTAATGTATGCCTCGTCTCATATAGTTATTATTTGGTGGTGAGAACAATTTACATCCACTCTCTTAGCATTTTTTAAGAATATAATTTATTATTAACTATAGTCACCATGCTCTACAATTGATCTCCTGAACTTCTTCCTCCTGTCTAACTGAAATTTGTATCCCACCGGGCGCAGTGGTTCACACCATAATCCCAGCACTTTGGGAGGCTGGGGTGGGCAGATCGCTTCAGCCCAAGAGTTCAAGCCCAGCCTGGGCAAAATGGAGAAACCCTAACTCTACAAAAAATATTAGCCAGGCATGGTGGTGCATGCCTGTGGTCCCAGCTACTCTGGAGGCTGAGGAGGAAGGATCACTTGAGCCCAGTAGTTTGAGGCTGCAGTGAGCTGTGACCACACCACTGCACTCCAACCTGAACAACAATTAGACCCTGTCTCAAAAAACAAAAAAAAAAAGTGTATCGTTTGACCAACATCTCCCCAACCCAAGCTACTGGCATTTAGTTAATAGTCCAGGGATGCTGCTCAACAGTCTTCAGTGCATAGGGCAGTTCCTACAGCAAAGAATTATCTGGCCAATAAGGTCACAGTTGAGAAACCCTGACTGTAGGATGCAATGAATCTCTCGGTTTCTCTTCAAAGGTTCAGTCTGTTAACTTCCTTGTCTCTATGCCTCCCTGCCCCAAGTTACTATAAACAGCCTTCCCGTCGGCACTAATCAATAACTCACATCTGTTCCCTCGGTCACGCATTCTGCACCCGTTCCACCCCTCAAAACCACACACATACCCTTCAAAACTGCACGTCCCACCATTGTAACTCACGTCCCCTTCCCCCTTCTTTATTTGAGAGAAATATTCGCAAGTAGCCAATCGGGTCAGCTTACATTGTGCCGACCCCAGCCCATGGGGGAAGGACATGGAGGCAGGGATTGCGTTAAGGATATAAAACCCCCCTGGCCTCCTTTGTTCTCTGTGCTCTTGGATCTTGATTGACGTGGGTGGCACCCTTCTGCAGAAGTAAACTGCCTTGCTGAGAGAACTTTTGCCTCAGTGCTGGTTTCACTTTGCAGCACCCAGCATTTATTGCTAGAGCATTTTTATATTCAACATGACCTAAGGTGTAAAGGGATTCACATGGAAGTTTTTGCCATTTTCTTCATCCTTTCCATTGTCGTCATAGGTCACTCATTCCCAGGTCTAGAGAAAGTTTGATGCAGTAACTGTTGTTTGAGATGAGTGGCTTCACCTGCTCATCTTTCTATTGAATACATTTATAAGTGATGTGCTTCAAGAAATTCTTCAAAGCTAAACATAAGACAAAGTTTCTACATATCCTAGCAAGATAACATGACCATTTAAAAACTGATATGAAGCTACAGAAGAGACCTCAGGGATGAGAGGAGAAGACCACCCCCACAACTTCAGCCAGACCTCAGAGAAACAGACTGTCATCACACCCTAGCATAAGAAGAGACACTAAGCAGCGAGGTTTCTGTCTTCAGCCTGTAGATAGAAAAAATATTCGAAGAATTATCTCATGCCTTTACCAAGTCTCAGCTCAAATTTTGCAGCTTGAGTATTCTGAAAAAAAAATTTTTTTTTGAGACGGAGTCTCGCTCTGTCGCCCAGGCTGGAGTGCAGTGGCACAATCTCGGCTCACTGCAAGCTCCGCTTCCCAGGCTCACGCCATTCTCCTGCCTCAGCCTCCCGAGTAGTTGGGACTACAGGCGCCCACCACCACACCCGGCTAATTTTCAGTAGAGATGGGGTTTCACCGTGTTAGCCAGGATGGTCTCGATCTCCTGACCTCGTGATCCACCTGTCTCAGCCTCCCAAAGTGCTGGGATTACAGGCGTGAGCCACCGCACCTGGCCAAATATATTTTTAAGTACTGGAAATTTTTATAAACTCTGAATTCCAAGGTAAGATAGCTCAGTTTACTTTATAAAGGTGTACCTGCATGCATGTATACATAAGCCATTGATTTTCCACCATTGTGGGCAAGAGGGTATAAGGTGAGACTTAACATTAAATGGGATTAAAGGAAATGATTAGGATACTGGGACTCTTAAGTTTGTAAATCACTGCCTCAGATATTTGGTTATATTTAACTAATAGGTACATGATATAGTTTGGATGTTTGTCCCCTCCAAATCTCACACTGAAATGTAATCCCCAGTGCTGGAGGTGGGGCCTGGTGGGAGGTGTTGGATCATGGGGGCAAATCGCTCATGAATGGTTTAGTAATCCCTTTGCTGTAAGTCAGTTCTTGCTCTGGTAGTTCACACCAGATCAGGTTGTTTAAAAGAGTATGGAACGTCTCTACTCTGTCTCTTGCTCCTGGTCTCACTATGTGATGTGCCTGCTCCCGCTTTGCTTTCTGCTGTGATTACAAGCTTCCTGAGGCCCTCACCAGAAGACAAGCAGATGTTGGTACCATGTTTGTGCAGCCTGCAAAACAGTGAGCCAATTAAACCTCTTTTCTTGGGCCGGGCTTGGTGGCTCACACCTGTAATCCCAGCATTTTGGGAGGCCAAGGCGGGCGGATCACAAGGTCAGGAGATCGAGACCATCCTGGCTAGCACGGTGAAACCCTGTCTCTACTAAAAATACAAAAAAATTAGCCAGGCGTGGTGGCGGACACCTGTAGTCCCAGCTGCTCAGGAGGCTGAAGTGAGAGAATGGTGTGAACCCAGGAGGCGGAGCTTGTAGTGAGCCAAGATTGCGCCACTGCACTGTCTGGGCAACAAAGCAAGACTCCACCTCAAAAAAAAAAAAAAAAAAAAAAAAGCCTCTTTTCTTTATAAATTACCCAGCCTCAGGTATTCCTTTATAGCAACGCAAGAACAGGCTAATACAGAAAATTTCTGAAAATGTGAAAGCAGCTTTAGAACTGTGTAACAGGCAGAAGTTGGAAGAGTTTGGAGGGCTCAGAAGGAAGAAGGAATATGAGAGAAAGTTTGGAACTTCTTGGAGACTGGTTAAAGGGTTGTGACCAAAATACTGGTAGAGATATGGACAGTGAAGGTCAGGCTGAGGAGGTCTCAGATGAGGAACTTACTGGGAACTGGAGCAAAGGTCAGCCTTGTTATTCCCTGGCAAAGGACCTGGCAGCATTGCGTCTATGTCCTAAGGCTTTCGGGAAGTTTGAACTTAATAGTAATGACTTAGAGAGTGTCTGGTGGGAGAAATTTCTAAGCAGCAAAGTGTTCAAGGAGAGGCACGGCTGCTTCTAACAGCTTACAGTCAGATGTGGGAGCAAAGGAATTAAAGTTGAACATTATATTTAAAAAGGGAAGCAGAGCATAAAAACTTGGAAAATTCTCAACCTGGCCATGCGGTAAAGAAGGAAAGAGCATTTTCGGGGGAAGAATTTAAGAGGGCTGCAGAACCACCACTTGCTGAAGAGACTAACGTGACTAAAAGGGAGCCAAGTGCTAAGATCCAAGACAAAAGGAAAAAGGCTTTGAAGGCATTTCGGGGATCTTCCAGGCCACCTCTCCCATCACAAACCCAGAAGCCTAGGAGAAAAGAATGATTTAGCGGGCCAGTTCCAGGGCCCCGCTGCCCTGTGCAGCCTTTGGACACCATTCTCCACGTTCCAGCCACTCAAGGCTCCAGCCTTGGCTCAAAGGGGCCCAGGTATAGCTTGGGTTGCAGCTCTGCAGGTTGCAAGCTGTAAGCTTTGGTGGTTCCAGGTAGTATTAAGCCTGCAGATGCTCAGATTGCAAGCATGAAGGAGGCTTAGTGGCTTCCACCTAGATTTCAAAGGATGTATGGAAAAGCCACGGTGCCCAGGAAGGAGACTGACATTGGGGCATAGCTCCCACAGAGGAACTCTATTAGGATTGGATTCCCCCGTACCCCCACAAGAATCCCTACCAGGGCACTGCCTAGTGGAGCTGGAGGGCCACCTCCCTCCAGACCCCAGAATGGTAGATTCACTGGCAGCTTGTGCCCTCTGCCTGAAAAACCTGCAGGCACTCAACTCCAACCCATAAGAGCAGCCATGGGGGTTGCACCCTGCAAAGCCACAGGGCTGGAGCTGCCCAAAGCCTTGAGATCCCATATCTTGCACTAGTGTGTCTTGACGCAGGACATGGAGTCAAAGGAGATTTTGGAGCTTTAAGATTTAATGACTGCTCTTCTGGGTTTACAACTTGCATGAGGTCTGTTGCCTTTTTCTTTTGGCCTGTGTCTCCCTTTTGAAATGAGAATGTTTAACCAGTGCCCATACCACCATCTTCTCTTGGAAGTAAATAACATGTCTTTGATTTCACAGGCTCACGGGGAAGGAATTCATCTTCAGATGAGACTTTTGACTTGGGACTTGGGACTTTTGATTGAGTTGATGGTGGAACAACTTATGACTTTGGGGAGGTATTTAGAAGGGATGATTGTATTTTGCAATTTGAGAAGGTATTGAGATTTAAGGGGCAGGGGCAGAATAATATAGTTTAGATGTTTGTCTCCTCCAAATCTCTTGTTGAAATGTAATCCCCAATATTGGAGATGGGGACTGGTGGGACGTATTCGGATCATGGGGGCAAATCCCTCATGAATGGCTTAGTGTCATCCCCATGGTGCTGTCAGTTCTCACTCTAGTAGTTCATGCGAGATCTGGTTGTTTAAAAGAGCATGCAATCTCCCCTGCCTGCTCGCTCCCATTCTCATCATGTGATGTTCCTGCTCCTGCTTCACTTTTTGCCATGATTGTGAGCTTCCTGAGGCCCTCGCCAGAAGCTGAGCAGAGGCTGGTGCCATGCTTGTAGAGCCTGCAGAACCGTGAGCCCGTTAAACCTCTTTTCTTTATAAATTACCCAGTCTCAGGTATTCCTTTTTAGTAATGCAAAAACAGACTAACACAGTACATCTCTCCCTAAAAGTGCTTGGTATTTGCCTACATTTATGAAGAACATAGCATTAAATACAGCACCAAATAGGTGCTCAATATTTTCACGGAAAGAATTAATGCACATGTGTAAGAATCAAGCAGCACAGTCACCTAATGAGGAATAGCCAAATTTTTAAACAAAGTTTTTCTTTTTGAGACAAAATTTCACTCTTGTTGCCCAGGCTGGAGTGCAATGGCATGATGTCGGCTCACTGCAACCTCCGCCTCCTGGGTTCAAGCAATTCTCCTGCCTCAGCCTCCAGAGTAGCTGGGATTACAGGCTCCCGCCACCACACCCAACTAATTTTTGTATTTTTAGTAGAGATGGAGCTTCACCATGTTGGCCAGGCTGGTCTCGAGCCCCTGACCTCAGGTGATCCACCCGCCTCGGCCTCCCAAAGTGCTGGGATTACAGGTGTGAGCCACTGCGCCCGGCTTAAACAAACTTTTTAATGGAGAAAATGTCATCCAATAAATCAACCAAGTGTGACCCATCCTCGTGTGAGCCATCCTAGAACATCACCCACTGTGGACCAGGTTGCCAGTGTTATAACCATGTGCTCCCCAAGTGAATCAGTAAGAGAAGCTATGTGGGGAAGAGCAATGTATGATCTTACTGTGCTAGGTTTGAAGGCATCAGGCACAGCCCTTCTAAAGTGTGTGTATTTCTCAGACCTAGCTCTTCTCATTCTGATCTTTTTGAACCATTTCTTGTTTTGTCCCCAGACCTGCTAGAGGCAAAGCATCTTCTGGGTCAGCTCATTAAGATAGGCAAGGACAAGAAGAGTCTTGAGTGGGACCTAGACAGTGGCACCTGTTGACTGAAAAGGCAGTACACCAAAAGATGGAGACACCCTGCAGGGTGTTGATGATGGTGAAGAGATAGGCAAGAGCATAGCAACTGGGCCCACCTGCAGAATGCCCAAACACCAGGTGCAGCCCAAGATGAACAGCTGATCTGTCACCTTGAATGTCAGCATCCTGGATTGGATGAGAAAAGAGGCCCATAATATACCCATAATAACAAAGGCTATTTCATCTCCATCCCATGGATATCTCTGCCCTCTCCTGTTGGTCATTTCTCACACTTGAGTTTTGATCAACCTAGATCTTTACTGTTGATAATTCCCCACAAAAGAAATGCCATTTGGATCCAGGAAAGCATTTTAACTTGGACCAAGGAGAGTAGTGACACTTCATAATATGGGTTGCAAAAGAAGTGTGATGATCAACACAAAAAAACAGTTGCATTTCTATGCACTAACAATGAACAACCCAAAAAGGAAATTGAGAAAACAAATCCATTTACAACAGCATTAAAAACAATAAAATACTTTGGAATTAACTTAACCAATGAGATGAAGAACCTGTACACTGAAAGCTAAAAAGCATTGCTGAAAGAACTTAAAAGAGACACAAATAGACATACTATGTTCACGGGCTGAATGACTTAATATTTTTGCAGAAACAGAAAAATATCCATCCTAAAACTCATATGAAATCTCAAGAATACCAAACCAAGAAGTCAAAACCATCTTGAAAAAGAACAGAGTTGGAGGTCTCACACCACACTTATTTCAAAATTTATTGTAAAACTACAGTAATCAACACAATACGGTAATGGCATAAAGATAAGACATATAGACCAATGGAATCGAGGAGGGAGCCCAGAAATAAAACCTCACATTTATAGTCAAATGAATTTTGACAAGGGTGCCAAGACCATTCAATGGGGAAAGGACAGTCTTCAACAAATGGTGCTGGGAAAACTGGATATGCACATGCAAAAGAATGAAGTTGGACTCTTTTCTTACTCCATATATAAAAATTAACTTGGCTGGGCATGGTGGCTCACACCTGTAATCCCAGCACTTTGGGAGGCTAAGGCAGGCAGATCACAAGGTCAGGAGATCAAGACCATCCTGGCTAACATGGTGAAACCCCATCTCTACTAAAAATACAAAAAAATTAGCCAGGCATGGTGGTATGCGCCTGTAGTCCCAGCTACTCAGGAGGCTGAGGCAGGAGAATCACTTGAACCGGGGAGGCGGAGGTTGCGGTAAGCCAAGATTGCGCCATTGCACTCCAGCCTGGGCAACACAGCAAGACTCCGTCTCAAAAACACAAAAACGAACAAACAAACAAACAGAAATTAACTCATAATACATCAAAGACCTAAATGCAAGAGCTGAAACAATAAGACTCTTAGAAGAAAACATAGGGGGTAAGCCTCACGACATTAGATTTGCAATGATTTTTTGGATATGACATCTAAAGAAAACAAAAAATATCTATAAGTTGGACTACACCAAAATCTTAGACTTCTGCATATCAAAGGATACAATTAATAAAGTAAAAAGGTAACCCCTAGAATGGGAGAAAATATTTGCAAATCATATATCTGATAAGGGGTTAATATTCAGAATATATAAAGAACTTCCACAACTCAACAACAACAAAAAACTAATTTAAAAATGGTCAAAGGACTTAGACATTTTTCCACAGATGACATACAAATGGTCACAACTAAGAAGGAAAAGCCCAACGTGTGTTCTTCCAGCCTCTGCTTCTGTCATGTTTGTCAACACTCCATTGGCCAAAGAAAGTCACATGACCAAGCTCGTCTTCAAGGTTTGGAGAAATAAACTCCACCTCTTGATAGGAGGAGCTGCAAAGTCACATGGAAAAGACATATACATAGAGGGATAGAAGAAGTCATTGTGGCAACCATCTACCACTGCATCATTACTTATCAAGAATATGCAAATTAAACCTAAGAAACTGCTGCATACCCACTAATGTAGCTCAAATTAATTTGCGTGACAGTACCACATGTTGCCAAGGATGTGAAGCAATGAAACTTTCATTCATTGATGTACAAATTGAGGTGTAAATGGTTTCAACCACATTGAAAAACTGTCTGGCAAGATCTACTAAAGCTAAAGATAGGTCTCCTCCAAAATCCAGTAATTCCATTCCTACATTTATACTCAAGAGAAATGAATACCTATGTCCACAGTATGACTTAACAAGAACATTCACAGCAGCTTTATTCATAACAATAAAACCTGCAGGATTATTCACAATAGCCAAGATATGGAATCAACCTAACTGTCCATCGGTGGATGAATGGATAAAGAAAATGTGGTATATCTACACAATGGAATACTATTCAGCCTTGATGAGGAAGGAAATTCTGTCATTTGTGATAACATGGATGAACCTGGAGGACAGAACTCAAATGTTTGTAAACAGAATAGAATTTTTAAATTGTGGTATATTCAGACTATGGACTATTACACAGCAATTAAAAAGCATAAACTACTGATAATACAACATAGATAAATCTCAATGACACTATATTAAGTGAAGAAAACAGACACAAGAGGGCTGTTTATGGTTCCATTTACATGAACAGGAAAAACAAATCTATGGTGATAGACATCAGAATAGTGATAACCTTTGAGGATGAGGTGGGGCCCAAGGGAAATTTCTGGGACGATAAAATATTTTGATGGAGACCGTGGTGGGTATAGACATATACAAAATTCACCAAGGTGTACCCTAAGATTTATTAACGTTTATGTAAGTTATACCTAAGAGAACTTTAAAACCAAAAAAAAAAAAAAAAAAAAAAAAAGAACAAGTAAAAATGGAGACTAGTCCCCTGGGTCTGCCACTGTAGAGAGAGTCAGGCCTGTCACATGCCACCCAGATGACTTTGATAGCCCACCTTAACTTGCTGGGCCTCAGCTTCCTCATCTGGGAATTGGGGATAACAGTACATACCTCAAAGTGTCAGTGTGAGGACTAAATTAAAAGATGCAAAGCTTCAGGCAGTGGCTACTATCTATTAATAGTAAACTCTAAATAAGTATTTACTATCATTACAATGAATGGTTGAATGTTCAGTAATAGGGAAAAGGATGATCACTTTATAAGAATAAAAGTAACAATTTGTTGGAAATGTAAAAAATGTCAGTATCTATATTTAATTTCATTGCTTCAAAACATATATATGTATGTATATACATAAATTTAAAAACTGACAGAATGACAAAGATTTTTCAGCAATACATAATCATGGTGGGAGAGTTTAACATACCTCTCTCAATAAATGCTAGATCACAGATCAACATTTATAAATGTGTAGATGGTTTTTAAACACATTTGCTTGATCTAGCAGACATTTGTAGAATACAATACATTGATTTCAACCATCCATGAAGCATTTATAAAAACTGACATATACTAAGTGCATCAGTTAGGAATTATATTCAGGTGAAATAAACCTCCCACCAAAAACAAAAACAAACAAAAGAAAACTGTACCAGTAAGAAGTGCATATTTTTCATGTATGGGACATCCAGAAATAAATAGTCCAGGGCTGCTGCAATCACATAAATATGCCAATTCTATTAAATCTATCCTAAATATTTTTTAGATTACAGAAGCAAGATGGTTATGACTTCCGGCCACCCTCTTCTTAGCTTGCGGCTTTTACCCTTATGGTCACAGGAGGGCTCCTCTAGGTCTAGAAATCATGTCTACTTGTCCAAAAGGCAAGAAGTGGAGAGATGTGGCTACATGAAACCATCCCTGAACACAATATCTTCCCCAGAGTCACATCCAGTGACTTCTCATATTCATACTAGCCAGGACCGGAGGAAATGGCCTGCCCTTGCTTGCAAGAAGGGCTGGGAGATGGAAGCTTTTTTTTATTATTATTATTTTTGAGACAGAGTTTCACTCTGTTGCCCAGGCTGGAGTGCAGTGGCGCAATCTCGGCTCACTGCAACCTCTGCCTCCTGGGTTCAAAGAATTCTCCTGCCTCAGCCTCCCAAGTAGCTGGGATTACAGGTGCATGCCACCAAACTTGGCTAATTTTTATATTTTTAGTAGAGAGGGGATTTCACCATGTTGGCCAGGCTGATCTCGAACTCCTGACCTCAGGTGATCCCCCAGCCTCAGCCTCCCAAAGTGCTGGGATTAGAGGCATGAGCCACCGTGCCCAGCCGGGAGATGGAAGCTTTTTAATAGTGCACACTGCCAATCTGAACAGAAAACCCAGGTTCTTTTCTAAGGAGGAAGGGGTAATTTGGGTTGGCAGCTAGAAGAATAAGCCACACCAGACCTAATAGCAAATCTCAGCAAATACCTATGACTCAGTAACAAAGAGGCCACATACTCTTCTCACCATGTAATTAAATTAGAAACCAACAACAAAAAGGCAACTAAGAAATAGCCATATAACATGCAGGAACCTTCCAGAGAGATAGAAACATTCTATATCTGGAATGGGGTGGTGGTTACATGCATGTATGCATCTGTCAAACTCATCCAACTGTACACTTCAGATGTATGCATTTCACTATAAGTCATTATACCTCTATGAAAATATATCCACATATTAGTTTTGAAAAATCTAATTCCAAATAATAGATGGGTCAAAGAATAAACGATAATGGAGGTTAAGACAATACTTACAATTAAACCAAAATGAAAATATTATACATTGAAACACAGGATGCAGCTAAAGGAGTATTACGAGGGAAAGTCATAGCCCCATGTGTTTATATTTTTACAAAATGGAAGTTAATTAGCAAGGGGCCCACAGTATGGATGAGACATGGATAAAGGCAGGCTGCCATTCCTAATGGTCTCTCTTCCCACATGGGTTCTTTTGTGTACAGTGAGTGAGGAGCTGTGCCTGAAGGCTTTCTCACACTGATTACATTGATAGGGTCTCCCGGCACTGTGTGTTCTCACATGTACAATAAGATGTGAAGACTGACCAAAGGCTCGCCCGCATTCCTGGCATGCATAGGGCTTCTTGCCACTGTGAGTCCTTGCATGTTTCCTGAGGGATGAGGGCTCACTGAAGGCTCGCCCACATTCCTGGCACACATAGGGCTTCTCTCCAGTGTGAGTTCGCATGTGACTCTTCAGGGTTGAAAGACGACTCAAGACCTGACCGCAAGTCGCGCACTCATACAGTTTCTCCCCTGTGTGTATCCTCTTGTGCACGTTCAGATGAGTGCTCGTCCGGAAGGGCTTGCCACACTGGTTGCATTCATATGGTTTCTCTCTGGTATGGGTTCGCAGATGTGTCTTCAGTGAAGAGTGTTCCCTGAAGGCTTTCCCACACTGGCTGCATTCAAAGGGCTTCTCTCCAGTGTGAGTTCTCACGTGGCTCCTGAGGGATGATGGCTGATTGAAGGCTTTCCCACAATCTTTACACTCGTAGGGCTTCTCTCCTGTGTGGTTTCTCTGGTGCAAAATCAGGTTAAAGTTCCTCGTGAAGGTTTTCCCACACTGACTACATTCAAATGGCTTCTCTCCGGTATGGGTTCTCATGTGTCGCCGGAGATTCGAGGAATATTTGAAGGCTTGCCCACATTCTTGACAGTCAAAGCACTTCTCTGCAGTATGAGTCTTCTCATGCCTGATAAGGTCAGAGCTGTATCTGAAGGATTTTTCACATTTGTTACATGCATAGGATTTATCCCCACTACGGATTTTCTCGGGCACAATTAGGTGGGCACTCTGGAAGAAGGAATTTCTAATCTCTTGACATTCACAGGATGCCTCTCCAGCATGAATTCTCTGGTACTGGAAAAGTGGTTCAATGCTGTTAAAAGGTTTCTCAAGTTCATTATATTTATAGAGTTTTTCTCCAGGCTGAGGTTGCTCCTGTCGATGAAGGAAAATGTGAAGACCAAAGGCCTTATTAGATTCACAGATATTCTCCCCTATGTGAAATGAATGTAAGAAAAAGACAGTTCTATATCTGATACTTTTACCATTTATGGAGTCCATACCATTTCTATCCAGAGTTCCTTCAAGTGGAATAGGGTGGATACTCTGTTGCAAAGAGCTATCTTTTCATTATTTTCATGCAGCTTCTTAGATGCAGAATTTTTCCAATTTGTGTAAGGCTAAATTAAGTCTTAAACACTTTGTATGTGTCATATCTGTGAAAATGCTTACTTGTACGAACATGATCTACATTTAGTTTTCCACCAATTCATGACATTCACGGACTCTCTCCCAAGAAACTGCTTCCTTCTGGGTAAACACTTCTTGCCTCGAATCGCTCTTGGCTCTTGGGCTGCTTTTCTAACTTACGGTTAACCCCAGACTCATCCTACTATAGAGAACCATGAATAATCCCTGGTGAGCCTTACCCCTTTCACATCAATGGACAGGATCTCTGTAAAAGTATCTTGGCTAGGAATTGCCTCTTGGGGTTGACACTGAGGTTCTGAAATGAATTAGGGAAGAAAAAGTTAAGCACACAGAGAAAGAAACTGTGGGATCAAGGTCACCTCAAAAGTAGGCAAGGCACATGTGGACTTTTTTTCCCAAATACTGGTCCTATGTACGGGAAGAAATTGCAATGAGAAGGAATGCATCTAAAAGTTAAGGAAAATTTTAAGGTGTGTGGCTAGATGAGAAGTTATGTAATCAGAGGAACATGGGAAGGAAATAGTAGGTAATTTACCAAAAAAGGATTCTACAAAGATTGTGACTAATGTTGAGGAAAAATATTAGCAAGAATGTACAGTGGGGAGGAAATGGATAAAATATACACATGGAAATATTAAATATGAAGAGAAAGTAGGACAGATCTTTCTAGGAGATGAATGCAAAGTTTTAGAGATTAAAAAGGAAAGGGAAAAAGGAAAGAAGGTGGCATTTAATAAGGGAGCTCAACCAAACAGGCTTCTCAGTCAAAGGTATGAATAGGTTGCCCTGATAAGACAGTTTCCAAACTGGACACTCCCCTTACTGACCAGAGCTGATGCTCACCTGATCTGCCTGGGCTCACCTGCACAGGTGTCTGAGAGGACGCCCCTGTCAGTGGTCCACTGCTCTCCTCTTTCTTCCAAATAAGACAACGCATTGGGTTTGCACAGTTGATCAGCTGCTCATGAGAAAAAAACACATGTTGTGCGAGGACTGTGCCATGCCCTGACACCAGGGCCGATATTCTCAAGTCTTTAGGGGCTCTAGAGATGGGAGTGGCAAAATGCATGTGCCTAAATTCTGATGGCCACAGCCAAACTCTTCCACTGAGCAACTAAATACAAGTTCCCTCACTAGGTCTCAGAGGACACTGAGGCTCTCCGGTCTACAAAACCAAGGGCCTAGCTAAGGAATACCTTTGAGAAGCCCAAAAACTTTTAGTCACAGAAAGACAGGGCAGTAAAAAGATCTTCATTCCATAGAAAGGCCAGTAAGTAGACTGGAAGCTCATGAAGGTGGGAATTATCTTTTTTTTCACCACTAGGTTTCCCAGACTTGCACAATTTCTAGAGCTTATGGTTGGTACATAAATGTGATGAAAAGGCAAAGCCTTGGCCAGGCACAGTGGCTCATGTCTGCAATCCCAGCACATTGTGGGGCTGAGGCAGGTGAATCACTTGAGCCCAGAAGTTCGAGACCAGTCTGGGAAACATGGCAAAACTCCATCTCTACAAAAAAATACAAAAATTAGCCAGGTGTGATGATGCACCCTGTGGTCCCAGCTACTCGGGAGGCTGGGGTGGGAGGATCACCTGAGCCCAGGAAGCGGAGGTTGCAGTGAGCCAAGGTCACGCCATCACACTCCAGCCTAGGCAACAGAGCAAGACTCTGTCTCAAAAAAAAAAAAGGAAAGAAAAGATGAAGCTGCCTTACCCACAGAGGCCAGGTTCCTGTAGTTCTCCAGCATCACATCTCTATACAGGCTCCTCTGAGTAGAGTCCAGAAACACCCATTCTTCTGGGGTGAACACCACAGCCACATCTGCAAAGGTGACTGGTTCCTAAAACACACATCCATCCCGGCTCAGCCAGGGACCACCCCCACCAGTACGCCAGAGGATGCTGGAGGCTGGCAAGCCTGGGGAAGGGAAAACCCAGGCAGAGGACTTTCAGACAGGGTTCTGAGATCCCGCAGAATCTGGCCCTTAGCTCAGGACTCTGAACTAGAACTCCTCTCTCTACTCTCCACTCCTTAAGTAAGAACAGCAAGAGGCAATAACTAATGTTGCAAGTCCTCGACCTCTGGACAGGACTTATCTATTGACAAGGAGCCAGGAAGCTCTTACAGATTTGTCCCCCTTCTAGCTCCAGGGTCCAGCAGACCTGAGCATGGTACAGGCAAGAGGGAACTATCTGGAAAATGACTCAACTCTTTGTTCAGTGAGACCATGAAGACCACAAAATGAGGACAGCTGACATCCTTGCTTTGTTTTCCCTCCTGGTGCTCAGCAGCCTGGGGAGGGTCTGAATGAGGTGGTGGGATCATGGCCCATGCTCCCTTGCTGACACCCACTGCAAGAGGCCCAGTCCCTGAAAGCATGGAGACCAACCCTATGAGATGATCCAGACAGGTCACAGGAAGAAGGTAAGTCCAGCCTTTGGGCACAGCAGTGTTCTTTTAGAACAAGAAGTTCTTACCTACCTGTGAACAGGCGGTTGGCAGCCCAGGAGCCATAGCTTCTTCCTCCACTTTGTCCTCCTGAAGCCAGGCAGGGTCACGTGCAGGCACAGCTAGGGGAGAAGGGAAGAGGCATGAGGGTTGGTGCCTGGCCTACTGGGCACACTCACAGGCCCCAAGTCTGCCCACCCTGGCTGTGAGTGATCACATGTGTACACACACACATGCACACACTCACAGGGACACACACATGCAGACACATATCTGCAAGCTCTTGCACACGCATGCATGCAATCACATGCACACACGTACACAGACATGCACACATATACACACAAACACGCACACATATACACAGTTACATACCACATGCACCTGTTCATATATATAACATATACACACAGACCAGCACACAAAGAGACATATAGACGTGCACACACACACACACACACACACGCACGCCTTCATTCCATATCCCAAGAGCCATAGACTCCATAATTCACCAGGAGACTCCAAAGCTCCTGCAGCCCCCACCACTGTCCCGACTCAGCTTTGGGACAGCTTTTCCTCCCCGGCTGCCTGGCCCCTTTCTCTGCCCCTCTACACTGCAGGGCTAGTGGTGCTCCAGGACTTACCACAAATCAAGGGCAGATAAACCACAACCAACCTGCAAGTCTGCCTTAAAAAGAAACTTCCTTCCCACCTGCCTTCAAATCAACACCACTCCTCGCTCTGCACCAGGCATCCTCCTTCTGGCCTATGACAGACAAGCAAGCAACTCCCAGATCATCCCTCATCCCCTGCATCCTCACCTCTCCCTCCCGATGGGACCTTTCCCCTCACTTTTTTTAAACCTGACCCACACCCAATCCCTGACCCCACATGTGTTTTCTGCAGCTGCCGTAACAAAGTATCACAAACTGAGTGGCTTAAAACCACAGAAATGTATCCTCTCGCAGTTTTAGAGACGAGGAGTCCAAAGTTAAGCTCAGCAGGGCCACGCCTCCTCTGACGCTCTGAGAAGAGTCCTTCCTTGCCCCTCCCTGGCTTCTGGTGGCGGCCATCGACACTTGGGGCTCCTTGGCTTGTGGATGCATCACTCCAATGTCTGCCTCCACCGTCGCACGGTCCCCTCCCTGCGTGTCTGTCTTCACGTGGCGTCTTCCTCTTCTCATAAGGACACAGTCATGTTGGATTGGGGCCCAACCTTGTGACCTCCTAACTTGGTTACAGCTGCAAAGACCCTATTTCCAATAAGGCCACATTCACAGGGTTAGGACTTCAGCATGTCTTTTTGGAGGGGCACAATTCAAGCCATAACACCCCACTTTTCCCTTGGGCTACCTCTATCTCTTCATTCCCTATCATGGGCTATCTACCCTCTGTGCCCACTTCCTCCCCTCCCACTTGCTTCCCATCTCCACCGTTCCAAGGGCTGGCACCACCCTGGAATCACCAGTGACCTCCATCCGTGCTGGGAAATCCCACTGATGTGTGCTCATCATCCAATCTCTCCTGGGTTTGTTGTTGTTTTGAGCCAGAGTCTTGCTCTGTCACCCAGGCTGGAGTGCAGTGGCACAATCACAGCTCACTGCAGCCTCAAACTCCTGGGCCCAAGTGATCCTCCCACTTCAGCCTCCCAAGTAGCTGAGACTACACGTGTGCACCACCACACCCTGTTAATTTTTTTTTTATTTTTTTAGAGATGGGGGTCTCACTATGTTGCCCAGGCTAGCCTTGAATTCCTAGCCTCAAGCGATCCTCCCACCTCAGCCTCCTGAGTAGCCAGGATTATAGCTGCAAGCCACTGCACCTAGCCAATCCCTCCTTCTTGTAGCCCACCCAGCCTGTGATCAGTGATCACAACCCCAGCCTCCTCTTTTTCCTGTAAGAGCTTCTTCTCCAACATGTTGCTGGCGTCCACAGGTTGCAGGCCCTCCTCTTCGTGTCTCCCTCAATTCTCTCTGCCTTGGTGTGCAACCTCACCCATTCTCTGGGTGTCAATTCCCAAACTTCATGATGAAGCCCAAATCTCCAGGCTGACTCTCACATCTGAACACCAGACCATGTATCCAACCATTGGCTCAAATCTTTCTGCCCATCTAAGGGAACAGGAATAGAAGGTACCCAAAATGAGGTCCAGAGGTCAGAGCTTCCAACCATAGAGGATTTGTTCCAGGCCTGGAAACCTCATAGCATTTGCCCTGATGGGTTTTAAACTTGCTCAGGACCCATGACCCCTTTTTCTCCTTTTGAAATGGGAATGTCTATCCTTTGCTTGCCCCATCACCGTATTTTGGAAGCAGATCACTTGCTTTCTGATTTCTCACAGGTTCGCAGATGGAGAGGAATTTTGCCCCACAATGGACCACACTCTGAGTCTCCCTCATACCTGCTGTAGATGACTGACATGAAGAGTTGTGGGATTCTCATCAGATGAGATGAAACTTTGAGTTGATGGTGCTTAGATGAGATTTTGCACTTAGAGTTGACGCTGGAATGGATTAAAACTTTGGGACCACGTGAGTGTATTTTGCATGTGGAAAGGACATGAATTTGGGGGGACTAGAGAACAGACTGCTATGGTTTGAACTGTGAACCCCCCAAAAAAGAGAAGTCCTAACCCCCAGTACTTCAAAATGTGACCTTATTTGGAAATAGGATTGTTGCAGATGTAATGAGTTGAGACGACAGGAGAATAGGGTAGGCCCTTAATCCAATATGATGGTTCTCCTAACAGAAGAGACAGAGACAGATACACAGAGGTGACACAGCCATGAGGCAACACAGGCAGAGACGGGAGGGCTGCATCCACAAGCCAAGGAGCACCAAGGGCTGCAGGCCACTGTTAGAAAGCAGGTGGCAGGATCCTCCCCCCCGAGCCATCAGAGGGAGCACGGCCCTGTCGACACCTTAATTTCGGACTTTTGGTATCCTAAATTGTGAAAGAGAAATTTCTGTTACAAAAAAACTAGGCCAGGCACAGTGGCTCACACCTGTAATCCCAGCACTTTGGGAGGCAGAGGCCAGCATTATCATTTGAGGTCAGGAGTTTGAGACCAGCCTGGCCAACATGACGAAACCCCGTCTCTACTAAAAATACAAAAATTAGCTGGGCGTGGTGGCACACATCTGTAGTCCCAGCCACTCGGGAGGCTGAGGCACGAGAATCACGTGAACCTAGGAGATGGAGTTTGCAGTGAGCCAAGATTGCACCACTGCACTCCAGCCTGGGCAACGGAGCAAGACTATGTCTTAAAAAAAAAAAACACTCATCACCGTCCTCCCAAAGCCTGCTCTCCCTAACCATGTCCTCAATCTCAGGAAGTGCTGCCCCTGTCTTTGATCAGAAATCTCACCCCTCTCTGACACTCTACAGATCCCAGCAACTAATCAGAATAAATAGTGATGACGTCTCTACATGGCGGTACTCACCCCCAAGCCCCTCTCCCACCCATTCCCGCTACAGCCAACACCTACATAGAGCCTTTTCTTTTTGGATCCACTGAAACGTCGCCCTCAGAGTGCCCCATCCTGAGGTCTCCTCCCCTGTAGAAAGAGCCCCTTCTCTCCTTTTCTCTGATAGGACCCCTTCCCTTTCTTCGCAGCCCTTACCCATCTGTAACCAGCTATGTATTGCTGCCATGAGTGTTTCTTTTCTGTCATCCTCACTGGATTGGAAGCTTTGTAAGAATAAGCCTGGGTGCCTTTCACCATCCTGTCCCCGATACCTTACTTGGCACAAAAATGCTCCATGTCATTGGTAAATGAATACATGAACCACCAAATCAACTCAACCTCCTCAATATAAATGTTTTATATGCATTATTACTATAATTTTTTTGAGACAGGGTCTTGCTCTCTCACCCAGGCTGGACTAGCTCACTGCAGCCTTCAATTCCTGGGCTCAAGTGATTCTCCCTCCTCAGCCTCCTGAGTAGCGAGACCACAGGTGCACACAACCATGCCTGGCTAATTTTCTTATTTTGTAGAGATGGGGTCTCGCTATGTTGCCCAGGCTGGTCTCCAACTCCTGGCCTCAAGAAGTCCTCCCACCTCAGCCTCCCAAAGTGCTGGCCTCTATGTGTTTTAAATCATTCCTCACTTCCCTACTGTGCAGAAAGGCGTTAACCCAGCAGGCCTGGATGGGCTCCTTAATGAGATGTGTTTGCAAGGTTGGCCCTTGGGTGGAGTCTGGGAACTTGGATTTCAGGAAGGTTCCCGCCCCCCTAACTGGTAAGAGAAACTCGCTCCACTTAAACTGCTTGTACAAACAATGCAGTTTATGTTGAACACCTGCTTTCCTTCTGAAAGTCTGGAATTTAGGGACTGTTTGTTTCCTCCAAAACTCACACCAAAACGTTAATCCCCAGTGTCGGAGGCGGGACTTGGGGGCAGATCCCTCAAGAATTGATTAACGCTCTCCCTCAGAGAGAAGGAGTACTCTTCTACTACTTTCCAAGGAAGCTGGTTGTTAAAAAGAGCCTGGCACCTTTCCCCCTTCCCTTCCCTTCCCTCCCCCACTGCCCCCGCTCCTGCTTCCTCCCTCACCATGTGATCTCCGCACACTGGCTTCCCTTCCCCTTCTGACCTAAGTGGAAGCAGCCTGAGGCCCTCGCCAGGAGCAGATGTTGGTGCCGTGCTTCTTGTACAGCCCACAGAACCATGAGTCAGATACACTTCTTTTATTTACTTTTATTTATTTTTTTATTTTTTAAGAAGGAAATCTCACTCTGTCGCCCAGGCTGGAGTGCAGTGGCGCAATCTTGGTTCACTGCAACCTCCGCCTTCCGGGTTCAAGCAATTCTCCTGCCTCAACCTCCCAAGTAGCTGGGATTACAGACATGCACCACCATGCTCGGCTAATTTTTACATTTTTAGTAGAGACAGGGTTTCGCCATGTTGGCCAGGCTGGTCTCAAACTCCCAGCCTCAAGTGATCTACCCACCTTGGCCTCCCAAAGTGCTGGGATTACAGGCATGAGCCACCACACCTGGCACCCCCTTTGCTGATTCTGCTTCATATCCACTTCTGGTAATAAATCACAGCCACGAGTACGACATCTCCTGTGAGTCCTCCTAGTGGATCATCAAGACTGGGGTGGTCTTGGGGGAACCCAGCACACCTCCTCCACACTCAACCCCCAAGTCTAGACCAGCACCATTCTACTCCTAATGGCCTCCACCTACCACTGCTTTCCTCCCTGAGCCCACGCTCCTCACAGGTGGGCTGGGGGGTGCGGTTCTGTTAAAACCACAGGTGCATTGCACCACTCACCTAAACACGTCACTGGCTCCCAGCGGGCTTAGAACATGGGCCAAGGTTCTTTTCCTGCACTTCCAAGCCCTGAACAATCTGGAAGCTGCTTCTTCTTCAGTCAGCTCACACCACTCTCTCTCCACTTCTCCCTGCTGCCTTCACACCATCTTCCATGGGCCCTGGATGCAACCAGTTCTCTGCTCCATGGGGAATTTTATCAATGTTGTTCCTAAGCCTGATATCCTCTCTCCGAACCTCCTGACAGCCCAACAGCTGACCAAGCTAAATGTTATAGTATTTATCATGGTCTAGGTCAGGGTTTGACCCCCAGGGGACATTTGGCAATGTCTGGTGTTGAGCTGTCGAGCTGTCATTCCAAAATACCATGCGCTAGGTGACTTAACAGAAATTTGCTGCTAACAGTTCTGGATGCTGGAAGTTTGAGATCAGGATGCCAGCATGGTTGGTTCCTGGTGAGGGCTCCCTTCCTGGCTTGCAGATGGCTGCCTTCTGGCTGTGTCCTCACATGGGCGAGAGAGCTCTGGTGTCTCTTCCTCTTCTTGTAAGGGCATGAGTTCTGTTGGTTCAGGGCTTCACCCTTATGACCTTATTTAACCTTTATCACCTCCTTAGAGGTCCCATTTCCAATGGCACCTTCGGGGGAGACAATAGGGCTTCAACATGAACTTGGAGAAGGGGAGCACAATTCAGTCTGCAGCATCTAGAGACATTTTAGCTTTTCATGACTAGGGGGTATGTGGCTGTTATGAGCTGAATTGTATTACCTCAAAAATTCATATCTTGAAGTCTTAACCCCTAGTATCTTATCTCACCCCTGGTAACCATATTTGAACATAGAGTCTTTAGAGGTAATTAAATTAAAATGATGTCAGTAGGGCGGGCCCTAGCCCAATATGACTGGTGTACTCACAAGACGTATTAGTCTGCTTTGCACTGCTATAAAGAACTACCTGAGACTGGGGAATTTATAAAGAAAAGAGGTTTAATTGGCTCCTGGTTCCACAGGTTGTACAGGACGCATGGCTGGGGAGGACTCGAGAAACTTACAATCATGGCGGAAGGCAAAGGGGAAGCAGGCACGTGCTACATGGCTGGAGCAGGAGGAAGAGAGTGAAGGGGGAGGTGCTACACACTTTTAAACAACCAGATCTCGTGAGAACTCACTCACTATCAAGAGAACAGCAAGGGGGAAGTCCACCCCCATGATCCAGTCACCTCCCACCAAGCCCTTCCTCCAACACTGGAGATTACAATTTGACATGAGATTTAGGTGGGGACACAAATCCAAACCCTATCACAAGAAGACGACATTTGGACACAGACATGGACAGAGGGAAGATGATGTGAAGATATAGAGAGAAGATGGCCATCTACACACCAAGGAGAGGCTTCAAAAGGAACCAACACTGCCAACACCTTGCTCTCGAGCTTCTGGCCTCCAGAACGGTGAGACAATATATTTTTGCTGTTTAATCCACCCAGCTGGTGGAACTTTGATATGGCAGCCCTAGCAAACTCATAGAGGAAAAGTGCTCGTAGCATCTAGTGAGTTGAGGCCAGGGATGCTGCTCAGCATCCTATAATGCACAGGACGGCCCACAGCTGAGAGTGAACAGGCCCATTATCAGCAGTGCTGCAGTAGCCCATTATCAGCAGTGCTGCAGTTGAGAAACCCTGGCCTAAGCTTAAATATCCATCCTTTCCCAGAACTCTCCCGTCCCCTGAGATGAAGTCCTTGTATAACACACTTCCACTGGACTCTGTTATTCATTTCGAACTCTGACCACCCAGCTGACCGTGAGCTCCACGGAGGAGGGGTCGGTGTTTTCTTTGTGACTGTTTCCTGGTCCCCATCTCACCATCGGATGACAGTAGTGGTGTTACCCGCTTCAAGAAGTAACAAAATAGGTCAGGCACGGTGGCTCACACCTGTGGTCCCAGCACTTTGGGAGGCCGAGGTGGGCGGATCACCTGAAGTCAAGAGTTCGAGACCAGCTTGGCCAACATGGTGAAACCCCGTCTTTACTAAAAATACAAAAATTAGCCGGGCATGGTAGCGCACCCCTGTAATCCCAGCTACTCGGGAGGCTGAGGCAGGAAAATCGCTTGAACCCGGGAGGCAGAGGTTGCAGTGAGCCGAGATCGTGCCACTGCACTCCAGCCCAGGTGACAGAGCGAGATGCTGTCTCAATTAAAATAAAATAAAAAAAGAAGAAGTAACAAAATAGAGCCTGGCCCAGAAGACTTACCAAAAATATACTGAAGAGCAACACAAGACTTAGATCTAAGAATTGTTCCCTGTCAAGAAGAAAACAGAGATTCCAGACACAAGAGTGGATGGCACTTTTAAGAAACAAAGTTTATGGCCGGGCGCGGTGGCTCACGCCTGTAATCCCAGCACTTTGGGAGGCCGAGGCGGGCGGATCACGAGGTCAGGAGATCGAGACCATCCTGGCTAACACGGTGAAACCCCGTCTCTACTAAAAATACAAAAAATTAGCCGGGCGTGGTGGTGGGCGCCTGTAATCCCAGCTACTCGGGAGGCTGAGGCAGGAGAATGGCATGAACCCAAGAGGCGGAGCTTGCAGTGAGCCGGGATAGTGCCACTGCAGTCCAGCTTGGGCGAAAGAGTGAGACTCCGTCTCAAAAAAAAAAAAAAAAAAAAGAAACAAAGCTTATTATTCTTACTAGAAGGCCAACTAGAAGAAAACAAACACCTTACTGTTAAAGTTAAAATGTTATTTGTCTTCTAGAATTAATTTCTTCCCCACTTCTCAGGAGAAGTGGCTTTGAACCTATTTCTTTAGAGACAGGGACTCATTCTGTCACCCAGGCTGCAAAGTGCAATAAAGCGACTGTAGTTCACATCAGCCCTGACCTCCTGGGCTCAAGCGATCCTCCTGCCTCAGCCTCTTAAGTAGCTGGGACTTGAGAGGCACCATGCACAGCTAATTTTTTTTTTTTTTTTTTTTTTAGAAATAGGGGTCTCACCATGTTACCCAAGCTGGTCTTGAACTCCTGGCCTCAAGCAATCCTCCCGCCTAGGCCTTGCAAAGCACTGGGATTAAAGGCATGAGCCACTGCAACCGGCCTGAACCTCATTTATAAAAACACAGTTAAAACACAGGCCATTTCTAGTAAATTCAATCATAATTTTTCAAAATCAACATTATCGTGTAGTCAAGAATTTCATGTTGCCCAAAGAGAGGTCTGGCCTTTGCTGTGGTTGAGTGAGCCCTCTCTTTCTTAAAGATCTGTCACTGGAAGTGCCCTCCCACTTAAACACACAAATAATGAGAGAGGCCTTCTGTATCCTCTCTATGGTGCCACGGCAGTGCCTGCAGTCAGAGGAAATGCAGGCAGGATAGGATACAAGTTCCTGGACAGAACACAAGGACAGCAGGGCCCTCTGGCCACGTGTTCCACGCAGCACTCACTCACCAGAATCCCTGGCCACCCATGGGTTGCGGTGGCCCAGAGTAGGCACTGGTATCACCACCCTCTGAATCTGCATAGCGGCCTTCAGTCCCTGGACAGAGTGACAGGGGTCACAGATTAGAGTCAAGAAGCTGAGGGGGCCACTCACACCTGCTCACCCCAAATGAACGTGCATATTTGATCCTGCTTTGGGGAACATATTAATAAAAGAAGAGAGAGACCCATTTACCTTGTCAGGATTTACCCAATCCTTAAATACAAAGCTAATCACTGTGATCCAAAATGGCCTGGAGAGAGGGCACCCAGGCAGGGGCTGGGGAAGGTGGCACCCTCCAAGGAGGCTCCAGAAGTCAGGGAAAAGCTGGGAAAAAAGTGGGGAGTGGATGGCCAGGAGGTTGAGGGGTGGAGGGAAGATGGAGTTTGGAGGTGGACCTGCGTGAATGCGGAGCAGGCAGTCAGTGAGTTTTTCTGGGAGGAAGACCTCTCCTTGGAGTAGGATGTGGTCTCTTCTCTGCTGGCAGCTGCTCGCTCAGGAAACACGTCTGACCTGACTTGCACTTCTAAGGGATCCCTCTGGCCTCTGTGTCCAGGGTGGAGCCCAGGTGCCTGTCAGGAGCAGAACTGGAGTCCAGGAGAACTAACGGTGGCTCTGGGCAGGATGGCAGCAGCAGGGACAGGAGAGGCAGCTGGAGGTGGGTTACATTTTGGAAATAACGCTAGCAGGACTTGGTGGTGGATGGGAGGTTGGGGGGTACATGCAGCAGGTCCCTCGGGGGAGGGAACAGGGCAGGGACGAGTGGGAAGAGGCCTTTTCTCCTCATGCAGGGCTCAGGACGTGCCTTACAGCAGCAGTCACCAACCTTTTTGGCACCAGGGACCAGTTTCATGGAAGACAATTTTTCCACAAAGCAGGGTAGGGGTATGGTTTTAGCATGAAACTGTTCCACCTCAATTATCAGGCATTAGTTAGATTCTCATAAGGAGCCTGCAGCCTAGATCCCTCGCATGCACAGTTCACAATAGGATCAGCTGCTGCTGATCCGACAGGAGGCGGAGCTCAGGCATGGATGCTCGCCGCTCACCTCCTGCTCTGCAGCCTGGTTCCTAACAAGCTAGGGGCTAGTACTGGTCCACGGCCTGGGGGTTAGGGACCCTTGCCTTACGGCATCTCTCTCCCATTCTCTCTCTGCCTTGGTAAGGACACGCAGGGCCCTGAGCCAAGAGGTCCTCACTTCCCTGAGCCTGGATGCTCCCTTGCCCAGCCCTCAGGTCATAGGACCTGCCAGTTCCTGTCAGTTTCGAGGTTATGGAAGCAGTGGGGCTGGGGTGGAAGGACAGGAAGAAAAAAGGCTGGACCAGGAAAGGCAGGGCCTACAGTCCAACAACCAGACCCTCCCCCAGGACCCGCCCTGGAGCCCGCCATCACCCTGGGGACAAGTATATTCAACACAGAAACAGACTCCACCACCCCAAGCCCACAGCCTGGGCCTCCTACAGGCCCCAAACACCCTCCTTTCCCTCCCCTCCCCCAATTTACAGACAACCCACACCCCAGGCCTTCCTGACTGCACCTGGTGCCATCACAGTGAACCTCTCCCAGGCTTACCGTGCATCCCAGAGACCAAGGCGGCTCCTGGAGAGCTGGCCGGTCCTCTCGAGTCAATGGTGTCTCCCTCTCTTCTATGGAGGGCACCAGCTGCATCCTCAGGAACAGCCCCGGCCCCTGGCAAAAGACAAGAGGGTGCTGAGCAGGACAGAGTTGGCACCACAGCTGTTCTCAGCCCGAGAGACCTTTGGTTTGGGGCTTAGGGCTGCCAGAAGTCAAGGCAAATGGGGATGGGTGCAGTGGCTCATGCCCATAATCCCAGCACTTTGGGAGGCTGAGGTGAAGAATTGCTTGAGGCCAGGAGTTCAAGAGCAGCCTGGCCAACATGGCGAAGCCCCATTGATATGGTTTGGCTCTGTCCCCATCAAAATCTCATCTTGGATTCCCACGTGTTGTGGGAGGGACCCAGTGGGAGGTAACTGATTCATGGGGACAGGTCTTTCCCATGATTGTTCTCGTGATAATGAGTAAGTCTCACGAGATCTGATGGTTATTATAAGGGGAGTTTCCCTGCACAAGGTCTCTTTACTTGCTGCCATCCATGTAAGACGTGACTTGTTCCTCCTTGCCTTCTGCCATGATTGTGAGGCTTCCCTGGCCACATGGAACTGTAAGTCCAATTAAACCTTTCTCTTTTGTAAATTGCCCAGTCTCGGGTATGTCTTTATCAGCAGTGTGAACACAGACTAATACACCCATCTCTACTAAAAATACAAAAATTAGCCAAGTGTGGTAGTGTACATCTAAGCTCCCAGCTGTTTAGGAGGCTGAAGCATGAGAATCACTTGAACCTGGGAGGCAGAAGTTGCAGTGAGCTGAGATCACAACACTGCACTCCAGCCTGGACGACAGAGCGAGATTGTGTCTTAAAAAAAAAGTCAGGGTACACAGGTCTGACATCTGGTAGCCTCAGACCTAGTAACTACTCCCCACCTACGGCAGTCACCAGCTACCACCGAGGGTCTCGAGGCTTGAACACACTGCAGATACAAAGACAGACCTGAGGTTAGGACAGAGCCCCTGAAGAGGCTATGAGACATTTCACTATAGAAAGGTGTGGCACAGAGGGATGGCCGTGTGAAGAGGCAGCAGGAGGGTGGCCACCTGCAAGCCAAGGAGAGAGTCCTCAGGAGAACCCAGCCCTGCCGCCACCTTGATCTTGGGCTTCCAGCCTCCATAAGGGTGAGAAAATAAGTTTCTGCTGTTTAAGTCACCCAAAAACCAAAAAAGAAAGCAAGGTCGGGAGATCTTGGTTCTGAACAGGAATGCTGTCCTTGTCCACAGGGCATCCATCATTCACAGGGCCAAACTGCCTGCCAACTTCATCTCCAAATCCCGTGACCCACAGCCCACATGCCGTACCAGCTCCTTATCTCACTCTCACCCAGCCAATATTTCCCCTGCCCTAAATCAACCAGGGACAGCACCTATCCCCCAAGGTCCACTAAAATTATTCAAACTGACAAATCCTGAGTGGTTTACCCTGTGGAAACTCCAAGAAAGGCTCTGGCCTGGGCTATCCCCTCGCTCCTTTCTGCCTCCAGGCTGACCTTGGTGCTTCCCTGTGTGGACCTGTGTGGCATGGTGTGCCCTGTCCTCCCAGGAAATACAAGTAATCAAAATTTTCCAATGACATTGGCCTCTCTGTGTCATAAATCAAAATCCCACGGGTACATTTTGAGACAAATGTTTCCATCAGAATCATTTTGACACAGGTCACTCAACTTAAAGAAACTGTTTTTAGGCGTTCTGCCTATTTGTCGAACAAATATGTACTGGGCTGATATGGTCTGGCTGTGTCCCCACCCAAATCTCATCTTGAATTGTAGTTCCCATAATCCCCGTATGTCATGGGAGGGACCCGGTGGGAGGTAATTGAATCATGGAGGCAGTTACCCCCATGCTGCTGTTCTCGAAATAGTGAGTGAGTTCTCACAAGATCTGATGGTTTTTTTTTTTTTTTTTTTTGAGACGGAGTCTTGCTGTCGCCCAGGCTGGAGTGCAGTGGCGCGATCTCGGCTCACTGCAAGCTCCGCCCCCTGGGGTTCACGCCATTCTCCTGCCTCAGCCTCCCAAGTAGCTGGGACTACAGGCGCCCGCCACCACGCCCGGCTAATTTTTTGTATTTTTAGTAGAGACGGGGTTTCACCATGTTAGCCAGGATGGTCTCGATCTCCTGACCTCATGATCCGCCCGCCTCGGCCTCCCAAAGTGCTGGGATTACAGGTGTGAGCCACCACGCCCGGCCACGATCTGATGGTTTTATAAGGGGTTTTTCCCCCTTTTGTTTATACTTCTCCTTGCTGCCCACCATGTGAAGGATGTGTTTGCGTCCCCTGCCGCCATGTTGTAAGTTTCCTGAGGCCTCCCCAGCCATGCTGAACTGTGAGTCAATTAAACCTGCATCCTTTATAGATGACCCAACTCGGGTATCTCTTTATCAGCAGGGTGAGAACAGACTAAGACATGGGCACTGCTAGTGCAGGCCCTGCGGATGCAGCAGAGGATGAAAGCAGCAACACTGCAGCCTCAAGGAGCCAGGTGTCTGCAGAAGAGGCAGCTGTGGGGTGGGCCTGGGACAGAAGAAGGGCTGAGCCTGGAGAGGCCTGTTCCTCAGCCTCCCTTGGGGAGTTTTATTTTTCTTTTTTTGAGACAGAATCCTGCTCCGTCACCCAGGCTGGAGAGCAGTGGTGCAAACACATGGCTCACTGCAGCCTTGAATTCCTGGGCTCAAGCAATTTTCTCGCCTTAGCCTCCCAAGTAGCTGAACTACAGGTGCACACCACCACACCTAGCCATGACTAATTTTTGTATGTTTTGCAGAGATGGGTTCTTGCTATATTGCCCAGGCTGGTTTCAAAATCCTGGGCTCCAGTGGTCCTCCCACCTCAGCTTCCGGAGTTGCTGGGATTCTGGGGTGAGGCCCTGTGCCTGGCTTCCTTGGGACTCTTCTAAGAGCAGTTTCCCACCCTCCTCTTCACTGGTCCCTCTGCTGGACCAGCCGACCAAAGAGAGGGAGGCCATGGGGACTCAATCTGTCCCTGGCCATCAGCACTTTTTCCCATGTGACAGGGAGGTCTCGGAGCCACCATACAGGGTCTCAATGATTGTGACAAGGCACAATGATGCCTGGCATGGCCTGGAAGGGCTACCTAAAGGGTCAGCACCATCAACCCAGCAGCAGGTTGTATGATCGTCAGGCAGTAGAACCTGACAGCTGAGACTGTGGTCTCTGCGGTTAGGTCTGGGTTCAACTCCTAGCTCCAAACCCACCTCTACTACTCACGGGCTGGATGTCTTCAGGGATGAACTCCTCAGCTTCTCTAAACGTGTGTCCATAGGTGGACCTCCTCTGCCCACTCAGAATAGTCTGTGACCGCCTGTTTCCTGGGGCTCTGATGTAACAAGAGCCCCATGCCTGCCACTCTCAGCACCCATTATGGAGGGGCTTGCTGGGCTGGGTGTGGAGTTCTGTGGAGGGCACTGGAGCCCTGTACTGAAAGGAGAGAGCCCACAGAAACAAAGAGGGCACCGGGCCCTCGTTGCTCATTCTCCCTCCCTCTCTCCTTTCTTCACATGGGGTCCACCTGCTGAGCAAGAGAGACATGGAGGTGGAGGATGGGAACTGGAGATGCCTTCTGCAACACCTTATCCATTCCTTCCTTCATTCAACAAGCACTGGGGGCTACATGACACACAGAATGCCCTGCAATGGGAGCCTGCACAACACAGCAAGACTTCGTCTCCAAAACAATTTTTTAAAATCAGCCAGGTGTAGTGGTGCGTGCCTGTAGTCCCAGCTACTCGGGAGGAGGCTGAGGCAGGAAGAGCACTTGAGCTAATAAGTTCAAAGCTACAGGGAGCTATGATCGTGCCAGTGCACTCCTGCCTAGGTGACAGAACAAGACCCCATATCTATTTAAAAAGAAAAGAAAGAAAAAAGGATGTTCTGTAATGAGGCTTACCGCAACCACCACATCGGATGAGGAACCTGCAATCCAGCAGCCCTGATAAGACATTCTCAGAAGTCAAGGTCTCAAAACCCAAGCACCTGATCCCAAGGAGCTACTGGAGGGTGTTCTCCACCAAAACAAGAGTGTAAACCAAGGGCGAGGAGGGCCTGGGGAGTGAGGAGGGCTGTCAGCTGCCCAGGGGTCTGTTGCAGCCAGGCAGGTTGTGAGTTTTGGCTGATCTGCAGCCCACACCAAGCTGCACAGGGTTGAGGCTTCTCTGTGTTCCAGAAGCTTCCCTGGCAAAGAAGTTGAATGTGGGTCTCTAAAACCGAGGCCACTGCACCCCATCCACTGTGTGGGGCATCCCTGACGCTCTGATGCTGACACCCATCCATGACACAGGGGAAGGGGCACTGACTGAGGGATCCCGGGGTTCTCACTGACCCTGGGACTAATACGCCCCACTTGGGGGTGAGGCTGAGCTCTGTGCCTCCTTCTAACCAAACCCTAACTCTAACTTTCACCAATACTCAGGAATGGGAACTCAAACTTTGGAAGGTCCTCTTGTTTGAGGCGGAGGAAATTCAGGGCCAAAGGGGGGATGGTGGGGACTCCGTGTATATTTTCTCCTGTACTATTAATGTACAAGCTCATATGGAAGGCTTTTTCCACACTGAAAAGGGCTTCCTTCCAGTGTGGGATCTAGACTGGTCTCCTAAGAAGAAAAGGATGCCCAACAACTTTCCCACATTCTTTCCAATCAAAGTGGCCTCTGTCTTGCCAGTTCTCTCACCCACATCCAGGTTACAGCTCCTCCAGAAACATTTCCTGCCTCCTTTCAACTCATCAGGAGCCTTTTCTCCAGGTGGAGCTTGCTCCTGACAAGAGGTGAGTAATGGCTGGGCCCACTGGCTCACACCTGTAGTCCCAGCTACTTGGGTGGCTGAGGTGGGAGGAACACATGAGGCCAGGAGTTCGAGATCATCCTGGGCAACATAGCAAGACCCCATCTCTAAGAAAAAAAAAAAGAAAGAAAAAGAAAAAAATTAGCTGGGCATGGTGACTCAGGCCTGTGGTCCCAGGTACTCGGGAGGCTGAGGTAGAAGGATCGCTTGAGCCCAGGAGTTTGAGGCTGCAGTGAGCCATGAACATGCCACTGCATTCCAGCCTGTGTGGCAGAGCAAGACCCTGTCTTTTAAAAACCAAAAAAAGAGGTGAATGATGGTGGAAAGCTCGCCAATATCTGTGCCAGTGCCCAGGGGTCCTCCCCACCGGGAGCATATTCTCAGCATTTTCAAGCCATGCCTTGTTTAGACAGCTGGAGTTCGTCGAGTGTGTTGCCAGCTCTACCACAGGGCTGCCTCCTATTCACAATGGGGCTTCTCTACCAGGAGGGGTTTTTCTGACAGTTGCTGAGGAGGAAGTCGTATTTCGCACGCTCAATGTCTGACTCACATTTATTAAAATGTTTCCTTCAGGAAACCTTCTAGAAAAAAAGAATCTTGAGGCAGGCAGATCACTTGAGGCCAGGAGTTCGAGACCAGCCTGGCCAACACAGTGAAACCCTGTCTCTACCAAAAAATACAAAAATTAGCCAGACGTGGTGGTGCACGCCTGCAGTCCCAACTACTCGGGAGGCTGAAGCAGGAAAATCACTCGATCCTGGGAGGTGGAGGCTGAAATGAGCCGAGATCATGCCACTGCACTCCAGCCTGGGTGACAGAACAAGACTCTGTCTCAAAAAAAAAAAAAGTCTTGAGCAACAGTCTGGGTTTGCCCAAATTCAGAAGTCACAGGCACTCCCCTCAGACACTGTTTCCCTTCCAAGAGACACCCATGCTGCTAACATCTCCCTGGCTCTGGTCCTGTATTTCCACCTCACGTGTTCCTCAACTTCTCCCATGCTGGGAGCCGGGGAAAACCCCGTGCATCTTACCATTTGCATGTCCCTGGAGGATGCTTCTTCCAAAAGATCCTGCATAGAAGGCAACTCTTCGGGTTTAAGTTGAGATTCCCAGGCTGAAATGAATGGGAGAAAAAATGAACTCCTTTCAGAAAGAAATAGTGACATTAATTGAAAATATATATTCACATATATATGTGAATATATATACACACTATACACACATAGGCTTTTTCTTTTAATGTTGAATATAAATATTCAAATTTTAATACCGAATACATATATTCAAGTTGAGATTTCCAGTCTGAAATGAATTGGGAAAAAATAAACTCCTTTCAAAAAGAAATAGTGGCATAAAATTGAAAATATATATGTGTGTATATATATATATATATATATATATATATATATATATCTATATTTGTGTGTGTGTACACACATACATGTTTTTTGTTTTTTGTTTTTTGTTTTTTTTGAGACAGAGTCTTGCTCTTTCGCCCAGGCTGGAGTGCAGTGGCGCAATCTTGGCTCACTGCAACCTCTGCCTCCTGAGTTCAAGCAATTCTCTGCCTCAGCCTCCCAAGTAGTTGGGATTACAGGTACCCGCCACCACGTCTGGCTAATTTTTTTTGTATTTTTAGTAGAGACAGGATTTCACCATCTTGGCCAGGCTGGTCTTGAACTCCTGACCTTGTGATCCACCCACCTCAGCCTCCCAAAGTGCTGGGATTACAGGCATGAGCCACATGTTTTCTTTACTTTTTATTTTTGAGATAGGGTCTCACTCTGTCACCCAGGCTGGAGTGCAGTGGTGCGATCTTGGCTCACTGCAACCTCCACCTCCCAGGTTCAAGCAATTCTTGTGCCTCAGCCTCCCAAGTAGCTGGGATTACAGGCATGCACCACCATGCCCAGCTAATTTTTTTTTTTTTTTTTTTTTTGAGACGGAGTCTCACTCTGTCGCCCAGGCTGGAGTACAATGGCATGATCTCGGCTCACTGCAACCTCCGCCTCCCAGGTTCAAGTGATTCTAGTGTCTCAACCTCCTGAGTAGCTGGGATTACAGGCGCGCACCACCATGTCAGGCTAATTTTTGTATTTTTAGTAGAGACAGGGTTTCACCATGTTGGGCCAGGCTGGTCTCGAACTCCTGACCTGAAGTGATCCACCCAAAGTGCCGGGACTGCAGGCATGAGCCACCATGCCCAGCCCAGCTTTTAATACTGACCTTAGACTTGGGAAGATCCTGAAAGGGAAGACAGCATCTGTATGTAGGGCTATGTGTGGACTCTGGCAGTCATAGGAATGAGGGGAAAATGAGAGGCAATTTCCTAGCTAAGAATTCTATGAGGACTGAGACTATTTCCAGAAAGCAGATGTTATTAGAAAAAAGAGTAAGAAAGAACTAGACAAAGAACATACATAAAAAGGTTAAATTTAAAGAGGAATTGGATGACAAGTATGGGCGAGAATGTGGATAAATCAAAACTCTCATCTCCGCTGGTGGGAATGTAAAATGGTGTACCTGTGTTGGAAAGTGGTACGACAGTTGCTCAAGAAGTTAAGCATAGCATTACCATATGAGCCAGCAATTCTGCTCCTCAGTATATACCTAAGAGAATTAAGTACATGTCTACATAAATCTTGTACACAAGGCCAGGCACGGTGGCGCACGCCTGTAATCCCACCACTCTGGGAGGCCAAGGTGGGAGGATCACCCAAGCCCAGGAGTTCAAGACCAGCCTGGGCAACATAGGAAGAATGGTCTCTAGAAAAAAATTTAAAATTAGCCAGGCATGAGGGCATGCACCTGTGGTCCCAGCTATTCAAGAGACTGAGGTGGGAGGATTGCTTGAGCCCAAAAGGCTGAGGCTGCAGTGACCTATGATTGCACCACTGCACTCCAGCCTGGGCGACAGAACAAGACCCTATCTCAAAAAAAAAAAAAAAAAAAAAAGAAAAGAAAAAAGAAATATTGTACACAAACATTCACAGCAACATTATTCACAATAGCTAAAAAGTAGAAACAATCCAACTGTCTATCAACTGATGAACAAATAATCAAAATATAGCTTATCCATACAATGTATATTATTCAGCCTTAAAAAAGGAATTAAGTTCTGATTCATGCTACAACATGGATGGATCTGGAAAACATAAAGCTAAGTGAAAGAAGACAGATACTGCTGTAGTTTAAGTGTGTCCTCCACAGTTCATGGGTTGGAAGCAATTCCCATACAACAGTATTGAGAGCTGGAACTTTAAAAGGTGATTAGGTGGCCGGGCACAATGGCTCACGCCTGTAATCCCAGCATTTTGTGAGGCTGAGGTGGGTGGACCACGAGATGAGGAGTTCTCGACCAGCCTGACCAACACAGTGAAACCCCATCTCTACTAAAAATACAAAAATTAGCCGGGTGTGGTGGTGTGCACCTGTAGTCCCAGCTACTCAGGAGACTCAGGCAGGAGAATCGCTTGAACCCAGGACGCAGAGGTTGCAGTGAGCCGAGATCGTACCACTGCACTCCAGCCTGGGTGACAGGGCGAGACTCTGTCCCAAAAAAAAAAAAAAAAAAAAAAAAAGGTGATTAGGTCACGAGGAATCTGCCCTGTGATTACTTCAGAAGGGGGTTAGTTATCTCAAGAGTGGCCTTGCTGTAAAAACCAGTCTGGGCCTCTCTTGTTCTCTTGCAACATGATCTCGTCCACCATGTTATGATGCTGCAAGAAGGCCCTTACCAGATGCAGCCCCTCAGCCTTAGACTTCCCAGCCTCCAGAACCAGGAGTCAAATAAACTTCTATTGTTTATAAACTACCCAGTCTAACTTACTTGCAACACAAAACTATTATACTAAGCCGGATACCAAAGGCTACTTATGATACGATTTCCATATACAAATGTCTATATAGGACAATCCATAGAGACAGAAAGCAGATTAGTGGCTGCCAGGGGCTGAGGGAGGGGTAATGGGGAGTAACTGCCCATGGGGACAGGGTTTCTACTTGGCGTGATGAAAATGTTCTGGAATTGGGTAGTGGTGATGTTTACACAAGGTTGTGAACCACTGAACTGCACACTTTAAAGGGGTGAATTTCATGGTGTGTGACTTATAGCTCTAATTTTTGCTTTGTTTTGTTTTTTGGAGACAGAGTCTCGCTCTATCCCCCAGGCTGGAGTGCAGTGATGCAATCTTGGCTCACTGCAACTTCTACCTCCCAGGTTCAAGCAATTCTCATGCCTCAGCCTCCCAAGTAGCTGGGATTACAGGTGTGCACCATCACATCCGGCTAATTTTTGGTAGAGATGGGGTTTTGCCATGTTGGCCAGGCTGGTCTCGAACTCCTGACCTCAGGTGATCCACCAGCCTCGGCCTCCCAAAGTGCTGGGATTACATGCAAGAGCCACCACACCTGGCCCTCTAATTTTTTAAGAGAAATTAGAACAAATCTTTTTCTGAAACCAAAGGAAAGTAGGAGAGGAGGGCTAGAAAGTGAAAATAGAAGAGAAGCTAAAGGAACTTGAGAAACCTCACTCCGAATGGCCTTCGATGTCCCCTCAGAACAAAGGGCCTTTGAAAATGCTCTTGACACTTCCCAAGGCACACCACCCAACCAGGGGGGTCGGGGGATCCACAGCCTGCCTGGTACTCACCAACACCTGTGGCACGGAGAATCCCTCGTTCTGTTGCCTTTGGCTCTGCTCTTTGCCCCAGCTGGGAGACACAACTGGGTTTGCATGGTGGAGTTCCTGCACATGAAGAAAGACACAGGCACTGAGAGAGAGAGGGCTTGCAGGGGAAAACAAACTCTTGTTTCTCAACTCAAACTCTCCTTCAGCTTCAATATGGGCTTCAGATTCTCTGGGCTGAGCAAGTGTGATGGGTAGCAAAGGGATCTTGCCCAATAGCTAATGAACTCAGGACCCAACCCACAAACACCCTCCCCTCTGCCCCAAGGGGCTGAGGCTGTCTCACCTCAGAAGCCTGGGGCCAAATTCAAGGAGACCCAAACAGGGCCTTACTACAGAGGGAAAGAAGTCAATGCAACAGATGAAGCTTTGTCATCCTGTGGACGCTAAGTGCCACAAAGCCTAAGCCACGTCTGTCTTCTTCACATGGCAGGCGCTTAAGAAGCATTTAGTGCCTGCGTACAGGAAGGAGCCAGGTGACGCCAGCCTTACCCCTGGAGGCCAGGGTCCTGCACTGGTCAAGCATCCTGTATTTGCACAGGCTCCTCCGTGCGCTGTCCAGCAATGCCCACTCCTGGATGAACTCCACGGCCACATCCTCAAAGGTGACGGATTCCTAAAACAGCACACACATTCTGGCTCGGCAAATACCACCCCCACCACTGAGCAGAACGACTGGTTATCACTGGAGAAGAGAAAATGTTCAGACACAGCAGGCATGGAAAATCCAGCCTAAAGCCTATTTTTGTAAATAATGTTTTCTTGGCACACAGCCACGTGCATTTATTTACAATGCATCAATGGCTGTTTTGAGGCCACAACGGCAGAACTGAATAGTTGTGACAGAGATCACATGGGCCACCAAGCTGAAATGTTTACTTTCTTTTAACATTTGGATAAATCCTAAAGTGTAAAGTTATGGCTCTCTGTGTAACTCCACTGACTTGTGATGGCAGAGCCTGTCCCTCCCTGCTTAGAGAGTTTTTCCTAAACTCCTTATTACAAATTGGCACAGCATCACAAATTTGGGATTGAAAGCTTAATTTCTGTGAAGTCCCTGGGATCCCCCAAGACTTACGTCCTTAATTATATACTTGTGAAAGTAGGACTTCCATTGCATCTGAGAGTCTTTTTCTTTTTTTCTTTTTTTTTTTTGAGACAGTCTTGCTCTGTCGTCCAGGCTGGAGTGCAGTGGCGCCATCTCGGCTCACTGCAACCTTCACCTCCTGGGTTCAAGCGATTTTCCTACCTCAGCCTCCCAAGTAGCTGGGATTACAGGCACGTGCCACACACCCAGCTAACTTTTTGTATTTTTAGTAGAGACAGAGTTTCACCATGTTGGCCAGGCTGGTCTTGAACTCCCAGCCTCAAGTGATCTGCCCGCCTCGGCCTCCCAAAGTGCTGGGATTACAGGCATGAGCCACCACGCCCGGCCTCATCTGAGAATCCTTTTAATTGCAGAATTCTTCAGAGCAGTGCTGTCCAACAGACATCACTCTCTGATGATGGGAATGTTCCATGCCTGTGCTTTCCAGAAAGGGGCTACCAGCACATGTGGCTGTTGAGCACTTGGGCAATGTGACTGGGGCGACTGAGAAACTGAGCGCTTAAACTTTTTAATTTTTTTTTTTTTTTTTTTTTTTTTAGAGACAAGGTTTTACTCTGTAGCTTAGGCTGGAGTGCAGGGTCACAATCCTAGCTCAATGCAGCCTCAATCTCCTGGGCTCAAGCTATCCTCCCACCTCAACCTCCCAAGTAGCTGCGATTCCAGGCACACACAACCATGCCCGGCTAAATGTACTGAATCTTAATTAATTTAAGCTGAATTTATATTTCTATGGCCACATGTGTTTTCAATAGGTCTCACCAGGGATGACAAGGATGGCCCTGGAGGAGCTCCGCTCAGAGCCCCAGGGTCTGCTGTGGGACTCTTCTTCCATGCCACCTCTAGAGGTCAGGCACAGAAGGAAGTCCCTAGGTCCCCTAGGGCAGGGATGAGGATGCTCCTCACTCACCCTTCCCTTTCTTCCTCAGTTGGGGACGGAAGTGGCGAGAGAGAAGACAGGGCCCAGAGGACATAGTTATCCTACATATCCACCCCTTCAGCCACAGGAGCCCCCAGTTTCCTCACCATGACACTGGAGCCAGGGTTTGAGGTCTCAGTCGGTGTTCTCCCTGCAATAAAGGAGACACTGAGGTAAAAGAAGGGGTGAGGACGGAAGCAGAGCATTTTGGGGGATCTCCAGCAGAGTGGTCACAATCAAAACCCTTACAGGACATTTATCTCCATAAGCAACATGTTGGCCCCCAAGGCACCTTTCAAACAACAGCCTCTAGTGACTGCTACTGACTCTTCCCATGTCATCAAAGGAACATTTTAACTTCTAGCTTCCCTCAAAATACTTCTAAGATCTTCTACTTTTCCTCCACTGCCCATATGAAGGTGTGATTTGATATTTATTTCTTAAACGATTTTGGCCTCTCTCTCTCCAACTGTGATGTAAACCTTTTTTTTTGAGTCTCACTCTGTTGCTCAGGCTGGAGGCCAAGGTGGGTGGATCACTTGAGGTCAGGAATTTGAAACCAGCCTGGCCAATATGGTGAAACCCCATCTCTACTAAAAATACAAAAATTAGCTGGGCATGGTGGCAAACGCCTGTAATCCCAGCTGCTCGGGAGGGAGGCTGAGGCAGTAGAGTTGCTTGAACCCAGGAGGCGGAGGTTACAGTGAACTGAGATCGTGCCACGGCATTGCAGCCTGGGCAACAGACTAAGACTCCATGTCAAGAAAAAAAAAAAAAGAATAAGGTCCAGGTCAAGCACGGTGGCTCATGCCTATAATCCCAGCACTTTGGAAGGCCGAGGCAGGTGGATCACTTGGGGTCAGGAGTTCAAGACCAGCCTGGCCAACATGGTGAAACCCCATCTCTACTTAAAATACAAAAATTAGCTGGGCATGGTGGCACACACCTGTAATCCCAGCTACTCAGGAAGCTGAGGCCAGAAAATCGCTGGAACCCGGGAGGTGGAGGCTGCAGTGAGCCCAGATCCCACACTGCACTCCAGCCTGGGTGACAGAGCAAGACTCTGTCTGAAAGAAAAAAAATAAATAAAAAGAAGATCCAATGCTAACCATGATCTTCAGGGACCTGCCTCCCTCTCTCACCTGGCTCATCCATTCAGTACTTTATTTTCTCTACTTTAGCTTTCTCTACCTGTTCTCAGCTCCTGGAACACAGCAGGCTTCGTACTGCCTGAAAGACTGTACATCTGGAATGTTCTCTCAAGTTTCCTCCGCTACCCCACTCCACAGCTAGACCCCTTGTTTAGCTACGTACAACTCATCTTGAAGGTTCAAACATTTGTTCCTTTTCAGATGTGTTTCCTGACATCCTCCCCAAGTTCTCCTGTTCCACGTTCTCATATTGCCTTTGGCACTATTAATTTACCAATATTATTAGCTAGAATAAAGCCTCCACAGGGGCAAGCACTGTAACTATTTCAGTCCCACTGTTTCCCCATGTACAGGGTCCAATTCATTGAGGGCACCCCAGTGAAAATATGCCAAATAATCAACACTCCTCAAGAATGACTCAGTATAGCTAGCCTAAGAAGGAATATGCCCACGCACACACAAAACACAGTATGAGGCCAGGTATGGTTGCTCACGCCTATAATCCCAGCACTTTGGGAGGCCGAGGCGGGTGGATCACCTGAGGTCAGGAGTTCCAGACCAGCCTGGCCAACATGGTGAAACCCCGTCTCTACTAAAAATACAAAAATTAGCCGGGCATGGTGGCGGGCGCCTATAATCACAGCTGCCTGGGAAGCTGAGGCACGAGAATTGCTTGAACCCAGGAGGCAGAAGCTGCAGTGAGCCGAGATTGTGCCACTGCACTCCAGCCTGGGTGATGAAGTGAGACTCTGTCTCAAAAAAAAAAAAAAAAAAGACAATATGACACCATAAAAATCAAATATAAGAATAACTTAAAGTGCCTGTCTTTCATAAGACATAATCACACAAGTTTCAGGTACCTTTAAGAAACAATATTAATTCTTTTTAAAAAGGCAAGGCAAGCGCATATATTCTTTGTGGAAACAAACACCTCACTCGTAAAACTGAAATCTGATGCATGATTTTCCTCTGGAGTTAATTTTTTCCTGATTTCTCAGTAGACACGAGCTTTAACCCCATTATTAAAAAAGACATCCCACTTATGGCCAACTCAATTTGAATTTCCAGTATTAACAAAGTTTATATCGTCTTTTCCCTGAAGTTCCATTAGTTTTGAAGCTCTGTGATTCACATGCTTGGGGGAAGGACTGGAGCCAACTTGAAAAGATCTGAATAACAGTCTTAGGTTTTCTTGATAATAATATTTGTGAAATAACTGAGAAACGGCTTTTCTTAACCTAACAGTGAGAAACTTGATGCCCACAGCAGAAGTAAAAGTCGTCTCAAACATAGAAAATAAAGAAAAACAAAAACAAAAAAAATTAAGAACTCCTCCTTTTGTTGTTGTTTTTGTTTTTGAGATGGAGTCTTGCTCTGTCACCCAGGCTGGAGTGCAGTGGCACAATCTCAGCTCACTGCAACCTCCGCCTCTGGGGTTCAAGCGATTCTCCTGCCTCAGCCTCCCGAGTAGTTGGGATTACAGGCGCCCACCACTACGCTCGGCTAATTTGTGTATTTTTAGTAAAGACAGGGTTTCACCATGTTGGCCAGGCTGGTCTCAAACTCCTGACCTCAGGTGATCCACCCGCCTCGGCCTCCCAAAGTGCTGGGATTATAGGAGTGAGCCACCAAGCCTGGCCAAAAGCTTTCTTATGAGAAAGAAAAAAAAGAAGAAAGAAAAAGTTATGGAAAAGGAAGAGATGCAAAGCCAAGCTAACAGATATTAAGCTAAAAGACTTCAAATTGTCAGTCTCCAAAAGAAATCTCTCGTCATCTAATTCATTCCTTAATGGAGGATGCATTCAATTTTTTAAGTAAATTTGGCCAATCAATTAAACCAGTTTGCACATGTGGACCCAGACCTCACTTTCCAGTTGCAAAGCTAGATAATATTAAGTATCATATCAAATAAAACGTGAATTACTAATTCGCAGTTATCTTGCATACTGTAGGCAAGGTAGGGCCGTCTTTATGCACTTTCCCTAAAAATTGGGAAGGACAGGTGAGAGCTGGGGCCGGTGTCACCACATTTCTGAGCTGTGGGACCTGGACTGTTTGGGATTTCCCTTTTGACAGGATGACAGCCCTGTCTGCCCGGACGGGGGGTACCTGAGAGCGAGAGACCGGGCGGCGGGCGCCCAGATGCGAGGCCCTGACTGTGTGGGCCTCACGCCGGCCACCGGCTGATCGCAGGGAGGAAACCCCTCACACAGGCGGAGCTGTTCTAGGCCCTCCAGTCCCTCCCCGCGCCAGCCGAGCCCTCCCCGCCCTCCCCGCCCTCCCGAGGGGCCGGGCCACACCTGCAAGCCAGCCGGAGACACTCCCACCGTGCCGTGCCGCACCGCGCCGCGCCGCGCAGCACAGCTCAGCCGCCGTCGGCCGCCGCCGCGCGCACTTCCGCTTCCGGTCTCGGGGCCGCCGGGAACGGAAGTGGCTGTGGCTCAGGCTGTTGTGGCCAGGGTAGCCTTAGGCGGCGGCAGAGAAACTAACGTCTTCTTTAGCCTCCAAGGAGAAATTCTAGTATTCTTACCCGGGGGATGAGGTTAGGCTCTGGAGTGGGGTCCCACAGAGCATGGAGGGTGGTGCTGGGGGCGGAGCCTATGTCCGAGAGACAGGGATAGGGGTGGGGCTTAGGTCCCGGGGCAAAAGTGGGGCGGGGCCTGTGCGCGGGGGCGGGGTGGAGTGTGGCTTGCCCTCCGATGGCTGATGGGCGGGGCTTGCACCCCAATGGCGGAGTGGGCGGGGCCTTGGTTTGCAGGGTGGTAGTAGGGGCGGGTCGTGCGCCTCAGGGGCAAAAATGGGGCGGGGCTTGTGCTTGGGGTGGGAATGGGAGCTGAACTTGCATTCGGAAGGCGGGATGAGGGGACCTGGGCTTCAAGGGTTGAGAGGGGCACACCCGACCCCTCCCCGGGTCTCTTTAGGGATGCTCAATATTTAACTTACCCTTTTCTCCTTCCTTTTCCCCAACCCCTTCCACCTTTATCCATGGGCTTAATCCAATCCCCTACAAAAATATACCCATACTTAAGATTGTTTTTGTATATTTTTATACGGCTGACCCTTAGGCAACGGGAGTTGGGGCGCCACCCTGTGCAGTGGAAAATTCACTTCTTTTGACTCCCCCAAAACCTACCTACTAATAGACTACTGTTAACCAGAAGCTTTACCAATAACATAAAGTTAGTTAACACATATTTTGTATATTATATGCCATATTCTTAAAATAAACTAAGCTCAGAGAAAAGAAAGTGTTATTAAGAAAATCATGAAGAAGAGAAAATATATTTACTCTTCGTTACGTGGAAGTGATCGTAAAGATCATAAATAAACGTCTTCATCGTCAGCTTCACCCTGAGTAGGCTGAGGAAAGGGAGGGGTTTGTCTTGCTGTCCCAAGGAGGACAAAGGTAGAAAAAAATCTACCTATAAGGGGATAGCCACAGTTCAAACCCTTGGTGTTCACGGGTCAACTAACTGTCTTTATTCTAAAAATAGGACGATGTATTTTTGTTTCTTCTACAGCTTGCCCTTCTCACTAAAAATAAGATGTGTGAATCTAAGACATAGATCTGACTTTTTAAAAACTATTTATTATGTAGTATACATAGTACATACCTATGGGAAAAGTTCAAACGGGAGGCTCACTCTATTCCTAAATTTTCCTCCCCTGAAACAACCACTGTCACTAGTTCCCTGGTATTCTTTATATATCAAGCACATGTGCAGTCATGCACCACATAACAAGGTTTTGGTCAACCACGAAACACATACACAGTTGTGATCCCATAAGGTTATAATGGAGCTGAAAATTTCTTATCACCTAGTGATGTTGTAACTGTCACAATGTTGCAGTGCAACACATTACTCACATTTAAAAAGGTTTTAAAAATATGAAAAGACCGGGCGCGGTGGCTTACGCCTGCAATCCCAAGACTTTGGAGGCCGACGCTGGTGGATCACTTGAGGTCAGGAGTTCGAGACCAGCCTGGCCAACATGATGAAACCCCCAGTCTCTACTAGTAATACAAAAATTAGCTGGGCATGGTGGCATGCGCCTGTAATCCCAGCTATTCGGGAGGCTGAGGCAGGAGAATTGCTTGAACCCAGGAGGTGGAGGGTGCAGTGACCCAAGGTCTTGCCATTGCACTCCAGCCTGTGCAACAAGAGCAAAACTCCATCTCAAAAAAAAAAATGAAAAATAGCTTATAGAATAAGGATATAAAGAAAGAAAATACCTTTATGCAGTACAATTTATCTGTGTTTTAAGCTAAATGTTCTTACAAAGAAGTTGGGCCGGGCGGGGTGGCTCATGCATGTAATCACAGCACACTTTGGGAGGCCAAGGCAGGAGGATCGCTTGAGTCCAGGAGTTCCAGATGACCAGCCTGGGCCACATAGCAAGACACTGTCTCTAAAAATAAAAATAAAAGAAATGTATCATTTAAAAAACAAAATGTACAAAGGTTCAGTTATTTCAGATAAATAAGTTTTGGAGATCTAATGTACAGCATGGTGACTGTAGTTAACAGGAACATATTATGTACTTGAAATGTGCTAAGAGGGTAGGTCTTACGTGTTCTTACCACCAAAAAAAAAAAAGCAAATATGTGAGGCGATGGATGTGCTAATTGCTTCATTATTTCACTGTATGTATATCAAAACATCAAGTTGTACACCTTAAATATATACAATTTTTATTTGTCAACTATAACTCAACAAAGCCAGGAGTAAGAAAGGAGTCAGTGGCCAAGCATGGTGGCTCACGCCTGTAATCCCAGCACTTTGGGAGGCTGAGGCAGGTGGATCACCTGAGGTCAGGAGTTCAAGACCAGCCTGGCCAACATGGTGAAACCCCGTCTCTATTAAAAATACAAAAATTAGCCGGGCATGATGGCAGGCGCCTGTAATCCCAGCTACCCGGGAGGGTGATGCAGGAGAATCACTTGAACCTGGGAAGCAGATGTTGCAGTGAGCCGAGATCGCACCATTGCAATCCAGCCTGGGCAATAGAGCTAGACTCCGTTTCAAAAAAAAAGAAGTGAGAACATCCAGTATTTGGTCTGCTGTTCCTGTGTTAGTTTGCTAAGGATAATGGCCTCCAGTGCATCCATGTCCCTGCAAATAACATGAGCTGATTCTTTTTTACATCTGCATAGTGTTCTATGGTGTGCATGTACATTTTCTTTATATCGCCTGCTATTGATGGGCATTTAGGTTAGTTCCGCATCTTTGCTATTGTGAGTAATGCTGCAACGAACTTACATGCGCATGTGTCTTTATGATAGAATGATTTATATTTCTTTGGGTAGATACTCAGTAACGAGATTGCTGGGCCAAATAGTATTTCTGTTTTTAGGTCTTTGAGGAATCGCCACGCTGTTTTCCATTGTTAACCCCATTTTAAATGTGAGAAAGTAAACACTGAGTAAAATGAATCAACCTGACATGAAATCACCGAGCACAGAGACCACATATCTTAAACGTTTGTCGGATGGATGGATGGGTTCACAAATGCATGAGTGAATAAATATCATGATCAGGCTTCCTAACTCTAATTCTCATGCACTTGTCACTAAATTTAGCTTACTGACTTAATGAGTATCTTTGGGCCTGAATGTCCCAGAATAATAAAGATACAATAATAGATTTAAGGTGATGTAAAAAAGAACAAGTTAATATCTCTGTAGGATTTGCCTTAACTCCTCATACCCGGAAAATTTAGACCTTCATCCATACTTCAACCCAGCTTCTTAAAGCCCAGCATTTGAAGCTACTTTGGATTTCTTTTTCTTTAATCTTACCAGAAGATGGCACTATAATGTAAAGACTAAGCCCTCTGAGCTGGGCGCGGTGGCTCACACCTGTAATCCCAGTGCTTTGGGAGGCCAAGGCAGGAGGATCACTTGAGGCCAGAAGTGCAAGACCAGCCTGGGCAATATAGAAAGACTCTATCTCAATTTCAAAAAGAAATTAAGCACTCTGAAATAGGACTCAATCATCATTATTATCATCATCATCAATAAAGTAATATTGATAATGGGGATCTTATTTGTGTCTTACTGTAAATCAAGCATTATATTTTTAAATCTCATCTCAGGATAAAACCAGAAAGTGTTAGGAAACTTGAATTATTTCTTCTTTTGTGTTGATGACATAACCAAATAAGGGAGGAATTTGGTTAGGTCGCAATCCCTGGGAGGAGGGTAGGTCCTCATGATTTGCTGGGGTGCTCTTGGGAGAGAGGGAGTAAGGAAAGCAGGGTAGGAAGGAAAGGAAGGAGTTGAACAAAGATGTGGGCTCAGCTGGAGTCAAGCTTCAACCTAATCTCATAGGGAGCTCTGGAGTATGAGACACAGAACTGGTCCCATTCTACTTTGAGGAAAGGAGCTGGCATTTTGTACCCCCATCTTGGATAGCCATTGGCTGCAAGATGCCTCCTAAGGGTGGGGGATCATAACCTCCCAGAGCAACTCCTGTTCAGCTGAGGCAGCAATTATCTGAAGGAGGCATAAAATTAGTCATTCAAAATTTAAGCTATTGGGGCTGGACACAGTTGGTTCATGCCTGTAATACCGACATTTTGGGAGGCCTAGGTGGGAGGATCACTTGAGGCCAGGAGTTGTAGGCCAGCCTGGGCCACGTACCAAGGTCTCTGTCTCTACAAAAAAAAAAAAAAAAATTTAATTAGGCATAGTGGCATATGCCTGTTGTCCCAGCTACTCAGGAGGCTAAGGTGGGAGGATCGATTTGAGTCCAGGGGTTCAAGGCTTCAGTGAGCCATGATCACACCACTGCACTCCAGCCTGGGTGACAGTGAGAATCCATCTCCAAATAAAAAGAAAATTAAGCTGTTGGAACTCAATTAAATTATTTAGGGCCTTAAAGGAATGTGAATTACAGGGCCCGAGTCACGTAACAGGCAGCTCAAACCCAGGAAGCCATAGCTTTTGTTTCTCTGATTACAGATTAAACCTTTTCCTTTACTGGCACTGTTTTGTAAAATGTTACAGGTGGTTGAAGAGCCAGGGAAGACCCTTCCTTCTCTGCTGTTGACTTTCAGTAAAAAATAACTTCCCTTTTCCCTTTCTCACATAAGGACTTCATGGCTATTACACTGCCTTTAGAGGGAATGTTAAATACACACTTTTAAATTGGAAAGAAAATGAAAAGCAGCTACAACAAAAAGAAAACAAATCACACAGAAAAAAAACTGCAACTAATTAATTTGTTATAACTCATAAACCAGCCTTGTATAGAAAATGTAATCCTGTTAAATTTCTTTGTCTTCCTATACAAGCAAGAACTTAGCTTCTAACTTCAGAGCATTGACTCCATTTCTCTAGAGTTTGTGCATCCCAGAGTGGCTGTTCATGGATTTTCTCTTGAATAAGCTCTTTAAAACTGGAATCTGGTGCTTTTGATTATTTCAGGTTGATATATCAGACAGCCGTGACTGATAGCAACTAATATACAACAGCTGGGGGATGAGTCCCTACAGAACAATCCATTTGTTCCTTAGGGCAAAGAAATACTTTCTTGACATTAATAAAATTTGATTTTATTTCTCATGGAAATAGTTCTAGAAAATAAACCAGAAAACGGGATCTGGGTGAGGGATCAACAGCATCCTCTCTGTAGGGATCGACACTTAAATAAATTCAACCTGACTACCAAGCTGGCTGCCATGATCATCTTTGAGCCTGTCGAGAATTAAACATTACTGCCAGGCACGATGGCTCACACCTGTAATCCCAGCACTTTAGGAAGCCGAGGTGGGTGGATCACTAGAGGTCAGGAGTTCGAGACCAGCCTGGCCAACATGGTGAAACCCCGTCTCTATTAAAAATACAAAAATTAGCTGGGCATGGTAGCGGGCACCTGTAATCCCAGCTACTCAGGAGGCTGAGGCAGGAGAGGCGCTTGAAACTGGGAGGCAGAGGATGCAGTGAGCTGAGAATCGCACCACTGCACTCCAGCCAGGGTGACAGAGTGAGACTCCGTCTCAAAATATAAAAAAAGAATTAAGCATTACTTGCACCAAAGAATATGAAGTTCCAGTTAAACAGGAGGAATGAGTTTTCAAGATCTATTGCCCAGCAAGGTGCCAATAGTTAATAATTCATTGTATATTTGAAAATTGTTTTAAAAAATACATTTTGGCCAGGCGCAGTCACTCATGCCTGTATTCCCAGCACTTTGGGAAGCCGAGGTGGGAGGAGGGCTTGAGCTCTGGAGTTGGAGACCAGCCTAGGCAACATGGCAAGACCCCATCTCCAATATATATATATATATATATATATATATATGCCAGGCATGGTGGCATGCCCCTGTAGTCCCAGCTACTCAGGAGGCTGGAGCAAGAGGACCGCTTGATCCCAGGAGTTCGAGGCTGCAGTGAGCTATGATCACATCACTGCACTCCAACCTGGGCAACAGAGCAAGACCCTGTCTCTAAAAAAAAAATATATATATATATATATATATATATTTACTTATTTAATATTCTCACTACAACAAAATATATAAGTATGTGAAGTAATGAATGTGTTAATTCACTTGGTAAAATCATTCCACATGTATACATATATCAACACATTACATAGTACCCCATCAATATATACAATTCTTATTTTTTCAATGAGAAATAACAACAGAAATTGAAAAAAAGAATCATGTGGAAGCTGCTCACCCCCATATTTATCATGTGATGTTGCAACACGGCTAATGAGAATTGTTATTTTGAACACTTTAAAATGAAGAGGAAGTGACATTCATACTCTGTGTAGCAACGTTTGAGGCAGTGGGTGAGCATGACCCAGATAAAGGTTTGAGCAATGCAGTTGATGCTCCTGGAGCTCCACCCAGTTGCTCTTCATGGTTGCATTCATTCATTTACCTGTGAGGTTTGGCTTGCACCCACGCCCAGGGCAGCCACAGCCAATGATTGATTGACATAAGGGCCTTGTATAAGGGCCCTGCCTCAAGATGGATCAACTCCATGGTGCACAGTCCAGAGCTCCCCATGGGATTAGGCTGAGGCTAGACTCTTGCTAAGACTACCTCCTTGTTCAGCTCCTTCCTCTGTCCTATCCTTCTTCAGTTCTCTTCTTCTAGGAGTAACCCCTCTGTAAGAAATCACATGCATTATAACCCCTACCCCCAAAGTCATGGGCATCCCAACCTCTATGCCTCAAAAATCATGTGCATCCCACTCCCTGCACCCAAGAAAAAAAAAATCATGTACATTTTAACCCTTATCCCTCCAACAAATCAAATGCATCCTAAACCCTGCCCCCCAGCAAATCTTGTGCATTATAAACCCCACCCAAAAATCATGTGCATTATGAAAGCTGCACTCCACTCAAAATTCGGTAAATTCTATTTTTTTTGCGGGGGGGAGGGAGCTTGTGTTGCCCAGGCTGGAGTGCAACAGCGCAATCTTGGTTTACCACAACCTCCGCCTCCCAGGTTCAAGTGATTCTCCTGCCTCAGCCTCCCGAGTAGCTGGGATTACAGATGCCCACCACCAGGCCTGGCTAATTTTTTGTATTTTTATTAGAGACAGGGTTTCGCCATCTTGCCCAAACTGGTCTTGAACTCCTGACCTCATGATCCACCCACCTTGGCTTCCCAAAGTGCTGGGATTACAGGTGTGAGCCACGGAGCCTGGCCAATTCGGTGCATTCTAATCCTCATCCCCCAAACAAATCAAGTGCATCCCAACCCTTACCCCCAACAAATCATGTGCATTACAAACCCTACCCCCAAAAAATCACATGCATCCCAACCTCTATCCCCCCAAAAAAGCATGTGCATATCAGTCTCTATCCCCCCAAAAATCACATGCATCCCAACCTGTATCCCCCAAAACCTCAAGAATCCCAACCTCTAACTCCCCAAAAATCATGTGCATTCCAACCTCTATCCCCCTAAAAAACCATGTGCATCCCAGCCTCTATCCCACACCAAAAATAATTTGCATCTCAATCTCTATCCTCACCAAAATCACAAGCATCCCAACCTCCATCACCCAAGATGAAAAGTTGAGTGTGTGACTAAGTGGATGGATGAGTGCATAAATGGGTTGGTGGATGAAAAGAAGAATAGGTCGGTGAGTGAACGGATGAAAGGTAGATGGCTGGGTGAGTGGATGGATGGATGGATGCATGGATGCATGATGGATGGATGGATTGATGATGGATGGATGGATGGATAAATGGATAGATGCATGGATGGATGCATGGATGGATGCATGGAAGGATGGAAAGGGCTATTCAGGGACATCTATGAGGTGAACCTGTGAGAAACTCTCAGAGATAACTGAGAACACACTTTTAGATTTCCAGCAAGAAAGCCCCTGGAATATTATACCACAATAATTTGGTTACGAAAAGGAATTATAATCTCATTTGTCATCACAGTTGGAAAACATTTGATTTATTCTCAGGTGCCCCACTAAGCAATGTTAGGATGGCAGAGAACTAGCAATGGCCTCTGGCTCTCTCATGGGTTCTTTGAATAAATCCTACATCACAGTACTCCTGATGGTCCAGAGAACAATACCATGCAAAGCTGGGTTCTCAAACTTAAGCATGTATCAGAATTACTTGGAAGGTCTGTTAAAAAACACTCACTGGGCTCTATCTCAACATTTCTGATTCAGCAGGTCTGGATATGGTCCAAGAATCCGCATTATTTATTTATTTATTTATTTGTTTGAGATGAAGTCTCACTGTGTCCCCAGGCTGGAGTGTAGTGGTGTGATCTCAGCTCACTGCAACCTCCACCTCCCAGGTTCAAGCGATTCTCCTGCCTCAGCCTCCTGAGTAGCTGGGATTACAGGTGCCCACCACCACTCCTGCCTAATTTTTGTATTTTTAGTAGAGACAGGGTTTCACCATGTTGGCCAGGACGGTCTCGATCTCTCGACCTTGTGATCTGCCCACCTTGACCTCCCAAAGTGCTGGGACTACCGGCATAAGCCACCACACCAGGCCCAAGAATCTGCATTTCTAACAAATTCCCAGACAATATTGATGCAACTGATCTGGGGACCACATCTTGAGAACTACTGACATAGAGAAACATGGAAATTGAAACATGGGCACCAATGACTGTGCTGAAAGTAATTTAGAAGATTCTGAATATGAAGAAGCTTCAAGAACATCTTAACAAATTTAGTTCCCGCTGCTAGTTTCTTTTGTATGCATGCAACAGAGCCATGCATGATAAATATTCATTTCTAAATAAATCTATTATAGCTCATTCAAGAATAAAATAAAAATTTATAAAGAATAATAAAGCATTGTATCATAGTTTAATGGTTAGGTGTAGTGGTACATAAAATAATGGTGTACCTTTATTTATTTATTTATTTTTGAGGTGGAGTCTCACTCTGTCACCCAGGCTGGAGTACAGTGGCACCATCTTGGCTCACTGCAACCTCAGCCTCCTGAGTTCAAACGATCCTTCTGCCTCAGCCTCCTGAGTAGTTGGGATTACAGGTGCGTGCCACCACGCCTGGCTACTTTTTTGTACTTTTAGTAGAGATGGGGTTTCGCCATGTTGGCCAGGCTGGTCTCAAACTCCTGGCCTCAAGTGATCCGCCCACCTCAGCCTCCCAAAGTGCTGGGATTACAGTCATGAGCCACCGCACCCGGCCAATGGTGTACCTTAAAATTAATAATGCTTTAGATTTGATGAAATAGGATATGAACAGAGAAATGAGAGAAGCTAACTCTATCTTAGAGGCAGGGAAGGGCACAGTGGAGAGTATAAACCAAAAGTAACTGAGACAGGTCTCAATCAATTTAGAAGCTTATTTTGCTAGGGTCAAGAACATGCCTGGAAGAAAGGAACACAGAAAAACATACTATCATCTGTTTGTTTCTCCAAAGATAATTTTGAGGGCTTCAATATTTAAGGGGGAAAAGCAGACTGGAGGGGAAAGAGGGAGAGTTTGGTCACATTACTGAACCAATGTGTTGCCAGAGATAAAAGGAGCAGGTGGGGGACTAGTCAATGATGTATTCACCTTGTGCTCAGTAAATCGGCACTTTATGTAAGATAAAATGAATATACAGTAGCTACCTGTGAAGATATCTGGCCTTTTATCTGTAGCTGTCTGCTTGACTCCGCTTTCAGCTTAATTTTATTCCTGAATTGGAGTCCTGAGACTTTATTTTCCTTTCACAAGAGTTTATCATGGAAGGACATGCAAAAGAATGCCACTTGAAGGACGTGGCCAGGAGTAGAGTGGCAAGAAAGAAAAAGAAAGGGCATTCCAGGTGGGGCACAGTGGGTCACACCTGTAATCCCAGCACTTTGGGAGGCCAAGGCAGGCAGATCACTTGAGACCAGGAGTTTGAGACCAGCCTGACCAACGTGAGGAAATTCCATCTCTACTAAAAATACAAAAATTAGCCAGGCATGGTGGCGGGTACCTATAGTCCCAGTTACTCAGGAGGCTAAGGCAGGAGAATTGCTTGAACCCGGGGAGCGGAGATTGCAGTGAGCCAAGATCATGTCACTGTACTCCAGCCTGGGTGACAGAGTGAGACTTTGTCTCAAAAAAAAAAAAAAATGGGGGGGCATTCCAGGTTGAGAGAATCACATGTACAAAGGCATGAAAGGCTACAAATAGAATGTGGAGTTTAGGGAAACAGAAAATGTATCAGGGAAGGTGGAAAGGCTGAAGCAGAAGGGTAGGAAATGAGGCTGGAGAAGTGGAGTGGGACCAGAGTGGGGTGAGATTTATGCACCTACTAAGTAAGTGCATTTAGCCTGTGAAATATTCACAGGGTTGTGAGGCAGAGGTGTGATGGGCCCAGAATCATCTTTCAGAAAACTGTCCTGACTGCACGGTGGAGGATGGGACAGAAGGACAACGAGTTACGAGACTATTGCAGTTATCCCAGATCAGAGATGCCTGCAGAAAAGAGAGGTTGAGTAACTTTCCCAAAGTCACACAGCTAATCAGTGGCAGAGCCAGGATTTGAACCCAGGGATTCTGACTCTGCAGCCAACATTCTGTAATAGCATAACTACTGAGTTAAGCCATTCTTGCATTGTTACAAAGGAATATCCAAGGCTGGGTAATTGATAAAGAAGTGTTTTAACTGGCCCGTGGTTCCGCAGGCTTTACAGGAAGCTGACATCTGCTTGGTTTCTGGGAAGGCCTGGGAAGCTTCCAATCATAGCAGAAGGTGAAGGGAAAGTAGGTGTCTCATGGTGAGGGCAGGAGCAAGAGAGAAGAGGGGAGGAGTCACACACTTTTAAACAACCAGATCTCATGAGAACTCACTCACTATCATGAGGACAGCACCGAGGAAATGGCACTAAACCAGCCATCAAAAATCCACCCCCATAATCCAATCACCTCCCACCAGGCCGCACCTCCAACACTGGGGATTACATTTCAAGATGAGAGTTAGAGGGAACAACATCCAAACTATGTGAACCACTTTGGCCTGACCATTAGGTAGCACCACCTGTCTCTCTTGATCAACTCTTGCCTCTACAACCCCACCCCTAGACGATCACTAGGGAGAAAGATCAGGAAGCCTCACTGCATGCATGCTGGGACAGTAGGATGTTGAGAGCCCAACAAACCTACTACGTACGTTCATGGCCTTGACAATCCCAATAGCCAGCTAATTCCACCATGCTCCAAACACCCAGGGAGGTCTCTTGATCATCTTGCTTTGCTCATACTTTTTTCTCCAACTGTCTTTACAGGTGACTTCACTTGCTGTCTCCACTTCTTCCCCTCGCGCTTTTTCCTCAATCCACATAATTCTGGCTTGAACCATTATAACAACAACCTCCACCACCTTCCCTACCATTATTGGCATCACCACCATCTTTACCTCCACTATCAACATAACCACCACCGCCACTATTTTCACTCCCATCTTCATCACCACTGCTATCACAGCCTTCATCACCATCACAACAGTCACCTTCACTACAACTGTCACCATCAATCACCATCATCACCACCATCTCTGAAAACATCACTGTGATGTTACCACCACCATTGCTACTACCACCGTCGTCACTTTCGTCACCTTCAGCCCCATCGCAACCATCATCATCACCACCATCATCACTTCCGTCATCACCACCACGACCTCTACCACCACCATCGCTACTGCCACTACCATGATGACCACCATCACCACTGCAACCATTCTATCACCATCATCATCACCACCACAACCGTTATTATCATCATCATCATCACCATGTTAGATATGAGTTCTAAATTTATTTTCAAAGAATTAATATGTCAGTATGTTCAATTCTTTGCCTTCTACTTTTAAACTTAACTTCCTCGTAAAGCAGCTTTTTCGATTACCTACTCCACCCTGACTCATTCTGATCACCTGCTCCACCCTAACTCATTCCGATTACCTGCTACCTGCTCTGCCCTGACTCCCGCCAAAGCACTCACCCCGTCATTCTCTTTAAATTAGCCAATCGGCATTAGTTTAGCCTGCGCGGTCTAATCCTAGCCAATAGGGGAACGACACAGCAGCAGGGGCCACCTGAGTCAGGGATAAGAACCCCTTCCCCTCCCATGTCCGAATGTGCGCTCGCCACTGTTCCATCTGTAAGGGCACACCCTTCTATATTGAAGTAACTTGCCTTGCTGAGAATTAAAAGGAAAATTTTATATTCAAGTGCTATTTCTTTCACGTCACCGAAACTTTATATATAACAACCACCACCACAACCGCTATCATCAGCATCAGCATCATCACCACCACCACCACCTTCACTACTGTAATTGTTCATGCTAAGAATACAAACAACCCCCTTGCAGCTCTCTCCTGTGGGTGTCTTTCAGTCTTAATTCAGTGTGATCTCTTTCCTTTACCTCCATAATACCATACTCCATTCATTTCCCACCCCCACCCCTCATCTCTCTGGCCATTCTCGTCCTGTCTCCTCTATTAGCTGCCTCTCCATTCCTTTATTTTTTTTAATTTTTTTCTATTGCCTTTGCACAAATTAACATTGCCTGAGTTTTTAAATGAATTACTCAGGGTTCTTTTTCCACTCTATAATCTCTCCCTAAATGATTTAATCCATGACCGTGTCTTCAGTTGCCACCAGGGCTACTTTCTTGCAGTGGTTTTTTTGTTTGTTTGCCTGTTTGTTTGTTCCTTTTTGTTCCTGTTGTATCTAGTGATACAAGAGCTAAAAAGATATTATTCAGGCAACTGGTGAGGGTAAGAGAGTCCTCAGTAAGGCTTCCCTGTTAACAAAAAGCAGCCCCAAAATCATTTCTTTTCGTCTTTACCTCCACTACCAATATAACCACCACCTTTGCTATTTTCACCCCATCATTATCACCACTGCTATCACAGCCTTCGTCACCATCACCACAACAATCACCTTCACTGCAGCTGTCACCTTCAATCACCATCATCACCACCATCTCTGAAAATATCACCATAATGTAACCATCACCATCGCTACTACCATCACCGTCACTTTCATCATCTTCACCATCATCGCAACCATCGTCATCATCACCATCATCCCTTCCTTCATCGTCACCACCACCACCTATAGCTCCACCATCACTCCTGCCACTACCATGATTACCACCATCACCACCACAACCGTTATTATCACCATCATCATCATCACCACCACGACAAAGAGCAGTCTGCAAAATCGAGCTACAAACATAAATAAGCAAGCTGGAAGTTTGCAAAGGTAAATGCAGCGGCTGTGCCAATAGGAAAAGGCTTCCTGGGGGCAGGCATGTTCAACATGGAGGTTCCCTCTTCCCTTTTTTTTTTTTTTTTTTTTTTTTGAGACAGAGTCTCGCTCTTTCGCCCAGGCCAGACTGCAGTGGCGCTATCTCGGGTCACTGCAAGCCCCGCCTTCCGGGTTCACGCCATTCTCCTGCCTCAGCCTCCCGAGTAGCTGGGACTACAGGCGCCCGCCACCGCGCCCGGCTAATTTTTTGTATTTTTAGTAGAGACGGGGTTTCACCATGTTCCCTTTTCTTTATCACCACGTGTGCAGTAAAAAAGCAGGCAACATAGTGCCAGCCAGGTAGAGACCCCATCTGCATAGTAAAAGATGAGGATGGGGCGGCCAGCTTCTTTGCGTGCTATGCAAACAGCACACCCAGTCCGACCAATCTCTCGGTTCCTGTGTAAATCAGACAGCTCCTCCTCAAGCTCGGCTATAAAACCCCATGTATTTCACCACGAGACCAGAAGACTCACTTGGGAGCCCCTCTCTCTCTGCAGGATAGAGCTTTTCTCTTTTTTCTCTTCTCTTGCCTGTTAAACTTCTGCTCTGAAACTCACTTTTTTTTTTTTTTTTTTAGATGAAGTCTCACTCTGTCACCCAGGCTGGAAGGAACTGGCGCAATCTTCGCTCACGGCAACCTCTGCCTCCCGGGTTCAAACAATTCTCCCGCTTCAGCCTTCCGAGTAGCTGGGATTACAGGCATGCGCCACCATGCCCAGCTAATTTTTGTATTTTTAGTACAGACAGGGTTTCACCATGTTGGCTTGGCTGGTCTTGAACTCCTGACCTCAGGTGATCCGCCCGTCTCAGCCTCCCAAAGTGCTGGGATTACAAGGGTGAGCCACAGTGCTCGGCCTTAAATTCACTTCTTGTGCATCCGCATCCTTGATTTACTTGGCATGAGAGGATGAACCCCAGACAACAACACTGCTTCAGTAGGAAGTCTGGTGTTTTAAGTCTAATGAAGAGCTTCAGAAGAGTTTTAAGCAGGGGAGCCGGGTGCAGTGGCTCACACCGGTAATCTCAACACTGGGAGACTGAGGCAGAAGGATTGCTTGAGCCCAGAAATTCAAGACAAGCCTGGGCTACAAAGCGAGGCCCTGTCTCTCTTCAAAAAAAAAAATAAAAACTAAAAAAAATTAGCCAGGCGTGGTGGCATGCACCTGTAGTCCTAACGATTCAGAGGACTGAGGTGGGAGGATCGCTGGAGCCCAGGAGTTTGAGGTTGCAGTGAGCTATGATTGTGCCACGGCACTCCAGCCTGGGTAACAGAGCAAGACCCACATAAATAAATAAATAAATATTTGCTGGAGGAAGGGTAGATTTACAGACTTTTTCTCCCAAGTCCTGTGACTGGTTAGGGTTGGTCCAAATAACCAAATAATGTATTACCTTCTATGAGACTTTGGGACTCTTAACTTCTTATGGCTCAGCAATCATAACCAGTAAGTATCATCTACTGGGGGAAGAGAAAGATATGTTAAAATGACTCCTCTGGAAACTTCAGATACCAACACAGACACCCTAAAATCTGGTTTACTCACCTCAAAGCCACAGGCTTATTTAAGATTTATTTTGGCCCCAAAGGCACTTCCTAATCCTCAGACAATGTGATGTAACTTTCAGGGCATTTCCTCGTTAGGGTTTACCAACTCAATCATCCCAAAGGTGATCAACAATAGCTAGGCAGAAAAGGTACAGCAAATAAACGAAAAGCAGAACCATGAGTCTGATGGCGAAAGAGGGGAAGCAGTTTGCTTTTCTGATAGCAATTTCATGAGTCAGCTGACCTAAGATACATACTTCAATTCTCATGGGATTTCTTGAGCTAGGAAAGGTGGTTGGCTTACGGCACAGTAGAGAGCTTCCAGGGCTGGCTGGCGTGGGATACCCGTACCACAGAAATGCAGGGACCATTGCTTCTTCCAGGTATGTGTGACTGTAACAATGACTGAGGCTTAACCTATCCCCCAGTCAGGGACCACTTGGTTCAACAATTGGTTATTTTCTCCTCCTCTTTCTTCTGCTCTGAACACTCTCACCTTTTCCCTTTGGAGTGTGGTTTCCTTCCTGACTACCCTATTCAAAGTATGCTCTCGAATATCCCTAAAATGTTCCTATCCAATCTAGTAGCTTGGTTTTTTGTTTGTTTTGTTTGTTTGTTTTGTTTTGTTTTTTGAGACAGAATCTCACTCTGTCACCCAGGTTGGAGTGCAGTGGCGCAATCTTGACTCACTGAAACCTCTGCCTCCCGGGTTCAAGTGATTCTCCTGCCTCAGCCTCCTGAGTAGCTGGGATTACAGGCACACATCACCACACCTGGCTAATTTTTGTATTTTTAGTAGAGATGGGGTTTCACCATGTTGCCCTGGCTGGTCTCGAACTCCTGACCTCAGGTGATCCACCCGCCTCAGCCTGCCAAAGTGCTAGGATTACAGGCATGAGCCACCGCACCCGGTCTCTAATACGTTGTTCATCTTCCTCTTGGCAAGTTTTGTTTTCTAATTGATGTCTTCTCCTTCTTGATAACTTCTGCAAACTAGCCCTGCCCTGACTTTTTTCCTTTTTCTCTTGCTATTCTTTCTTCTCCCTCCTTTATCATTTTCCTGTGACAAGAAAATAAATGATAATTTTATTATTAATTTTAGAGGTCATTATATTAAGTGAAATAACTCAAACACCAAAAGACAAATGCCTCATGTTCTTGTTTATCAGTGGGAGCTAAATAATGTGGACACATGGACATAGAGAGTAGAATGATAGACGATGAAGACTGGGAAGGCTGAGGGAGTAGAAGGACAGTGGAAAATAAGAAGTTACCTAATGGTTACAATGTACATCATTTGGATGGTGGATACTCTAAAAGCCCTGACTTCACCACTATGAAATCTATGCGTGTAACAAAATTACACTTGTATCCCATAAATTTATACAAAGAAAATAATGATAACCAACATTTTTGAAAACTCACTATGCACCTTACATGTATTAATCTGTTGCATCATCAGTATGCTCATGGGGTATCCTCATCTTACAGATAAGAAAACTGGGGCACAGGTTATGTTATTTGTCCAACATCACACAGCTAGTAAATAAGAGAGCTGGGATTTGAATCCAAACCATCTGTCTCCAGATCTTTGCTATAATGCTCCTCCCACAGGATCCTTACTGGGATCTTCTGTTTTTCTACTCCCTCTCCCTATGGGAATCTCCTAATTCCATGGCTTCAACCACCATCTCTGTACGGATGAAATCCCATCCATCTTTCCAGCTCCAGATGAATTAACAATATTGATAGTCCCAATATCAATCAAAGCTTACATTTATTAAGCAGCTACTTTAGCCTGGCATTAGGCTTAAATTGCTTTACATTGTCACATAGCATCTGCACATTACAGATAAGAAATTGCATCATAGAGAGGTTCTGTGAATTTCTCAAAGCCTCACAGCTATTCTGCTGCAGAGGCAGCTGATAGGCTGTAAATTCTATCAAAATAATACAAGCTACACTTAAATCCTAATGCCATGTCTCCCTCACCTTTGCAACCCCTAGCATAGCATCTTATATATAAGAGGTGTTTCAGTATATGTGGAATCAAATGTGAAAGAAGCCTGCCTTTTTGCAACTGGAGACAGAGTCCTCCACACTTCTGAGGTGGATTATTAGTGAATTTTGGTTATCCAGGAACTTTTAGCCCATATCACTGGATGGTACAGGCAAGGGTGATGATATGAGCATTGGGTCAAGAATTAGGATTCCAGGGTTGGGCATGGAGGCTCATACCTATAATCCCAAAGCTTTGGAAGGCAAGGCGGGAAGATTGCTTGAGCCAGGAGTTCAAGACCAGACTGAGCAACATAGCAAGACTCTGTCTCCAAGAAACATTAAAAAAAAAAATTAGCCAGTCATGGTGGCACACACCTGCAGTCCCAGCTACCCTGGAGGCTGAGGTGGGAGGATCGCTTGAGCTCAGGAGTTCAAGGTTACAATGAGCTGTGATTGCATCACTGCACTCCAGCCTGAGCAACAGAGCTCAAATGATAATATAGGCAGCAAGCTAGAGCAATTAGGCAAAAAGAGAGAAAGAAAAAGCATCCAAATGGGAAAGGAGGAAGTCAGATGGTGACAGAGGCAGCCAGTATCAGTGGAGGACTTCCTGCCTGACATTGTGCTCTACACAGTCCCTCATTTAGGTCATCTCCAAAACCCCACAAAGTAGGTCATACTGCCACCCTATTTCACATAAGGAAGCTTAGAGAAGTTAAACAACTTACCCAAATTTGCCCAACTAGTGTGCCAGCCACTTAACCCCAGGGGACCTGTTTCCTCATCTACAAAATAAGTCAGTGGATGATTTCTAAAGTTTCTTAGAACTCTGGGATTCTGACACACCGATGACTCTTCAGAAACCCTAACTTAAGACCTTTGCCCAAATTAGTGAGTACAGGCTTGCTGGTTAGACTAAAGACTAGTCTTAAGGAAACATGATGGTCCCCCAGACTGCCTGAGTTTTAGGAACAGGGTAACACTATTCAGCCATATGGTTTATCAGTTGGCCCTGTGAGCTAGTCATCATTTGGGCAGGCGTAAGGTTTGTGTGGCTGCTACACATTCATGTATATACAAAAGAAGAAAGTGCCTCACGCATATAATGCCAACACTTTGGGAGGCCACAGAAGGAGGATCACTTGAGGCCAACAGTTCAAGACCAGCTCGGTCAACACAGCAAGACCCAATCTCTACCAAAAAAATTTTTTTTAATTGGCCACAAGTGGTATCTCATGCATGTAGCCCAGGAGTTCAAGGCTACAGTGAGGTATGATTGCACCACTGCACTCCAACCGGGGCAACAGAAAAAGAACCTGCCTCAAAAAAATAAAAATAAAAATAAAAAATGTAGAAGGAAGGGGACTTTAAAGGAAACATCAGCCTGACATTAAGCCCAGCTGAGAATATTCAAAATGTTCTGTGAATGCAATTGCATAAGTAACTGATCACAAACCAGACCTGGCATCTTCTTGGGGGAAGGGTGAGAATTACAGGAAGAAAAATAACAGTCCCCCCAGAGACATCCACATCCTAATCCCTGGAACCTGTTAATATGTTACCTTACATGGTAAAAGAAACTTTGCAGATGTTGATTAAGATAAGAATCTTAATATGGGGGTAGTACCCTGAATTTTCCAGGGGGCCTAATATAATAATCACAAAGGTCCTCTTAAGAGGGAGGTGGAAGATCAGGAAGACGAGAAGATGCTGTGCTGCTGGATTTAAAGAAGGAGGAAGGGTCCGTGAGCCAAGAAATGCAGGCAGCTTCTAGAAGCTGGAAAAGGCAAGGAGACAGATTCTCCCCTAGAGCTTCCAAAAGAAACCAGCCCTACTAACATTCTTGATTTTAGCCTATAGAGGCTGATTTAAGACTTCTGACTTCCAGACCTGTAAGAGAATAATAAATCAGTGTTGTTTTAAGCCACTACAGTCATGGTAATTTGTGATAGCAGCAATTGGAAACTCAAGAGAGAGATCCAGAAGGATTTAGATTGCTGCCATTACCTCTCCTGAAGAGTCACACAGTTAGCCCCCAGGGCCTCTTCTCCAAAATCCTACAATTGGTCTGCACTGCCCTAAATGACCAAGTCACATACCACTCTCTACGGGACTTTGAGGCTCCAGTCAGATCTGGTGAGTGGCATCTGCCGGGGGAAAAAAGGACAAGTCACTGTCACAATAAACATGCCAACCTACAGTGTCTACAATCTGAACAGCACTTCCATGCAGGTAGTGCCCTGTGGGATTTCTGAAGGAGAGGCTATGTGGTGTAATGGGTTATCAGCTAGAACCCAGAACCCGTGTTTAACCTCAGCTCTGCCACTGACTAGCCCCAGTGAATGGAGCAAGTTACTTACCTTCTCTGTGCCTCCATTTCTTAATCTGAAAAGCAGAGATGATGCTAATAGCACTTTCCTGCTAAAGTCGTTGCAAAGCTGAAGTGACAGAAAAAAAGCAGTCCATCTGTCCAGCATCTTTAGGTCTTTGCAGAAGCAGGAACATGACTGATGACATCATCGGATGTTGGAAAGGCATGGGGAAGAGCAAAGGGCTCTTTACCAGCCACAATAGAGCCAGCCTGAGCAGACAATTTTCCAAAAAGGTGGAAATAATATCCCCCATCAAAAATGTGTTTCTAGAACCTTGCTGGTCTCTCATAAGGAGGAAGAATTTGATTCTTCTCCACTTGAATCTGAATGAGCTTGTAACTTGCTTGTAACCAAGGGAATATGATGGAAGTAGAGCCAGGTGACTTTCAGGGATGAGTGTCAAGAGGAAATGCAGCCTCATCAGCTGGGACACTCATGCTTAGAGCTTAGATGTTCCATTAAAGCAGCTTGCTTCAGGTCTCCATGTTTGAAGGAAGCCCAAACAAGCCCAACACCCTGAGACAACAGGTGAAGGGACAATGCCCAGCTAGTTCTCAGCCGTTGCAGCCCCATCCACTAACTGACTATAATCATATGAGACCATCAAGCTAGAACCGCCCAGCTGAGCCCTTCCCAGATTCTTGACCCACAGAAACCAAGAGTGATAACAAAACAAACATTTTTTTTCTTAGATTCAAGATGTACATGTGCTTGTATGTTATATGGATATTACATGCATAATGGTGGAGACTGGGTTTCTGATGTACCCATCACCCAAACATTAAACATTGTACCGAATAGGTAATTTTTCAACCCTCACCACCCCACATCCTCCCCTTTTTTAGTGGCTTAAAACAACATTTTTGTTGAGTTTGGAGATCTCTTAAAGAACTAAAGATAGAACTACTGTTGGACCCAGAAATCCCGCTACTGGGTATCTACCCAAAAAAATAATAATAGTCATTGGGCTGGGCAGAGTGGCTCATGCCCGTAATCCCGGCACTTTGGGAGGCTGAGGTGGGTGGATCACTTGAGGTCAGGGGTTCAAGACCAGCCTAGCCAACATGGTGAAACCCACCTCTCTACTAAAAGTACAAAAATTAGCCAGGTGTGGTAGTGAGTGCCTGTAATCCAAGCTACTCGGGAGGCTAAGGCAGGAGAATCGATTGAACCTGGGAGGTGGAGGTTGTGGTGAGCCAAGATCGCGCCACTGCACTCCCGCCTGAGTGACAGAAAGAGACTCTGTCTCAAAAAAAGAAAAAAAATAATAATCATTATATCAAAGCGACACCTGCACTCATATGTCTATGGCAGCACTATTCACAATAGCCAAGTCATGGCTATTGCAAAGTCCCCAGAGTCTATTGTCTCCATCTTCATGTCCAGGTCTGCCCACTGCTTAGCTCCCACATATAAGTGAGAACATACAATATTTGATTTTCTGCTTCTGAGTGAGTTCACTTAGGATAATGTCCTCCAGCTCCATCCATGTTGCTGCTAAGGGCATGATTTCATTCTTTCTTATGGCTGCATAGTATTCCATGGTGCATATATGGCATATTTTCTTTATCTAGTCAACTGTTGGTGGACACTTAGGTTGGCTCCGTGACTTGCCTATTGTGAATAATGCTGCTGTAAATGTATGAGTGCAGGTGTCTTTTTTATATAATGATTTCTTTTCCTTTGGGTAGATATCCAGTAGTGGGATTGCTGGGTCCAACAGTGGTCCTATTTTTAGTTATTTGAGAGATCTCCATACTCAACAAAAATGTAGCTTTAAGCCACTACATTTTTGTAATTTGTTACACAGTGATAGATAACTGATACACAGTCCTTGGGGCATTTCTTGGAATCTCTCCTCAATTGTTTCATGTCTCTCCCTTCTGTTTCCCATCTATTCCAGGCCTCTGCTTTCTGCTGAGCCTCTTTGGAGCTGTGACTCAGAAAACCAAAAGTGAGTGCTCAGAGCCAGAACAGAGAACTTGTGGACCAAGGGCTGGACCTGGAGCCACTCATGGTCTCCAGTGGGCTGGAGAAAAGTGCCTGTTCTGAGAGCAATATTTGGGAAGGCTTGCTCCTGTGTTTCATTATTTGTTTGCTTAATTTATCATTATATCAAATATGGATAGCCTTTTATTTATCGTTTTGTTTGATTTTTAATTTGTCTGTTTTTGCTAACCACAGTGAGTACAAAGTGGAGATAGAACAGAAAATAAAACACACAAAGTCTCATGAAGCAGACATTCTAGTGGGGAGAGACAAAGGAATGCTAATCATTATCATTCTGATTATAAACAAGTCAACCAATAATGAACAAGGTCATTTCTGTTTAACGTTATTCCCCTGGGACTCTCTCTCTAGATTCACAAGTACCTCTTGAATCTAAGAGAAAAAAAAAAAGTTTGTCTGGTTATCACTCTTGGTTTCTGTGGGTTAAGAATCTGGGAGGGGCTCAGGTCTAGGGTGGAACCTGAGAGTCTCTTTTTTTCTTCTTCTTCTTTTTTTGAGACAGAGTCTCACTCTGTCACCCAGGCTGGAGTGCAGTGGTGCCATCTCGGCTCACTGCAACCTCCACGTCCTGGGTTCAAACGAATCTCATGCCTCAGCCTCCCGAGTAGCTGGGACTAAAGACACGTGCCACTGTGGGCTAATTTTTGCATTTTTTGTAGAGACTGGGTTTCACCATGACACCCAGGCTGGTCTCCAACTCCTGGCCTCAAACAGTCTGCCCACCTCAACCTCCCAAATTGCTGGGATTACAGGCATGAGCCACCATGCCCAGCCTGGAGTGAGTGTTTAGTGGGTACAGAGTTTCAGTTTTACAAGATGAAAACAGTTATGGAGATGGTTCCACAACATTATGAAGGTATTAAATTCCACCGAACTGTACACCTAGTAATGGCTAAGATCGTAAATTTATTTTTTTTATTATACTTTAAGTTCTAGGGTACATGTGCACAACGTGCAGGTTTGTTACATAGGTATACATGTGCCATATTTGTTTGCTGCACCCATCAACTCGACATTTACATTAAGTATTTCTCCTAATGCTATCCCTCCCCACGCCCCCCACCCCCTGGGTGTGATGTTCCCCACCCTGTGTCCAAATGTTCTCGTTGTTCAACTCCCAACTATGAGTGAGAACATGCGGTGTTTGGTTTTCTGTCCTTCTGATAGTTTGCTGAGAATGATGGTTTCCAGCTTCATCTATGTCCCTGCAAAGGACATGAACTCATCATTTTTTATGGCTGCATAGTATTCCCTGGTGTATACATGCCACATTTTCTTAATCCAGTCTATCACTGATGGACATTTGGGTTGTTTCCAAGTCTTTGCTATTGTGAATAGTGCTGCACTAAGATGGTAAATTTCATATTATGTGCATGTTACCAAATTTAAAAAAAAAAAAAACAGAAAAGAAGACATTCATGGAAAAGAAGACATTCATGAGCAAGGTAGATTTTACTGGCCCATTCACAGGAAGGATGGAAGGGTATTTGCATTACAGGGCATGCCACATTTCACTCCAAAAAATTTCCGTCTGCTCCAAGTCTCACTTCATAGCCACCAGCAGCCACATTTCCTCTCTGCCAAGCCTCCCCCAGACAACAGCAAGTCCCATTCCCAGAGTTCTGGAGGCCATAAGCAGCCTGACTGAGGTCACCATGTTGGAAGGAAGACCAAACTAGCCCACACCCTGACACTACATGAAGGGACAACCTGCGCCCACCCTACTCCAGTACGACCTCATCTTAACTTGATTACATCTGTACAGACCCTGTTTCCAAATGAAGTCATATCCTGAGGTTCTGGGTGGACATGAATTTTAGGAGGACACTATTTAAACCAGTATACTCAGTATGGTAAGGTATTAAGTCCTGGAAAAGATTAAGAATAGACTTTCAGAGCTCACTCTGAACTAAGCAGAACCTGAACAGGAAGGGAAGAGATAGGAAAGAAATGAGTGGCAGAGGGTACCACCTCTCCCTGTCCCCCCAGGAGAATTGTGCATACTTAGTGGGTGACTATTTTGCTCCACTGAGTACAATACCACCTCTTCTATATACAAATGGCCAACAGGCCAGGCACGGTGGCTCACGCCTGTAATCCCAGCACTCGGGGAGGCCGAGGCAGGTGGATCACTTGAAGTCAGGAGCTTGAGACCAGCTTGGCCAACATGGTGAAACCCCATCTCTACCAAAAATACAAAAATTATCCAGGTGTGATGGTGTGCATCTGTAACCCTAGCTACTCGGGAGGCTGAGACAGGAGAATCACTTGAACCCAGGAGGTGGAGGCTGCAGTGAGCTGAGATCACACCTCTGCACTCCAGCCTGGGCGACAGAGCGAGACTCTGTCTTTAAAAAAAAAAAAAAATAGGCCAAGAAACATGAAAAAATGCTCAACATCACTAATTATAAGGGAAATGCAAATCGAAATCACAATGCAATACCACCTTACTCCTGCAAGAATGGCCATAATAAAAAAATAATAGATGTTGGCTTTGATGTAGTGAAAAGGGAACACTTTACACTATTGGTGGGAATTAAAACTAGTACAACCACTGTGGAAAACATTGTGGAAATTCCTTAAAGAACTAAAAGTAGCTCTACCATTTGATCCGGGAATCCCACTACTGGGTATCTATCCAGAGGAAAAGAAGCATTGTACAAAAAACATACTTGCACAAGCATGTTTATAGCAGTACAAATCACAATTGCAAAAATATGGAACCAGTTCAAATGCCCATCAATCAACACGTGGATAAAGAAAACACTATATATATATATATATATATATATATATATATATATATATACACATATGTGTGTATATGCAATATATATGTGTATAAATATATAATTTATATCTTATATAATTATATATTATGTTGTATATTATATTATAATATACAAATTATGTAACATATTATTTTATTTTTATCCAAAAATAAAATTCCAAAGGCTAGGCATGGTGGCTAACACCTGTAATCCCAGTGCTTTGGGAGGCCAGGGCAGGTGGATCACTTGAGCCCAGGAGTTAGAGAACAGCCTAGGCAACATAGCAAGAACCCCATCTCTACAAAAAAATTTTTTTAATTAGCTGGGCATTTTGGCAGATGCCTGTAATCTCAACTACTCAGAAGGCTGAGGTAGGAGGATCGCTTGAGCCCAGGAGGTTGAGGCTGCAGTGAGCTATGATCTGCCACTGCATGCCAGCCTGGACAATAGAGCGAGACCTTATCTCTTAAAAAATAAAGTAAAATAAAACAAAATCCAAAATGCATTAAGACTTGCGTGCACGGTCAATTGCACCCTTGTTTCAGTAGCATATTTGGGACTGTCCATCCCCGGGATGGAATACTGCAATGCCTTTTAAAATAATGAGGTTGCAGCTGGGCGCAGTAGCTCACGCCTGTAATCCCAGCACTTTGAGAGGCCGAGGCAGGCGGATCACGAGGTCAGGAGATCAAGACCAACCTGGCTAACACCGTGAAACCCCCGCCTCTACTAAAAATACAAAAATTAGCCGGGCGTGGTGGCGGGCACCTCTAGTCCCAGCTACTCAGGAGGCTGAGGCAGGAGAATGGCATGAACCCAGGAGGCGGAGCTTGCAGTGAGCCGATATCACACCACTGCACTCCGGCCTGGGCAACAGAGCGAGACTCTGTCTCAAAAAAAAAAAAAAAAAAAAAAAAAATGAGGTTGCTCCACATGTGAAGCTGTGGAAAAAATTCTCAGGCAAAATTTTACATGAAAACCAAAGAACAGAGCAGTATGTGTAATATGTTCCTATAACGTAAAGAAAAATGATGCACATATGTGTGTATATGGATTGGTATTTTTCTGAAAAGTATACAATAAGCAGTAGACAGCTCAGAATCTGGGGTAATAAGAGACTTATTGTTGGATTTTTTTTCAATTCTGTGAATTTATCATTTTCATAAGTAATGAAGCCTAAAGAAAAAATACCTTAACATATACCACGATCAGAATCTCCCTCCCATGGTACCATACAAATTCAAATTTTTTTGTCCTTTTGTTTTAGAGACAGAGCCTCACTCTGTCGCCGAGGCTGCAGTGTAATGACATGACCACGACTCACTGCAGCCTCAAACTCCTGGGCTCAAGCAATCCTCCCGCTTCAGCCTCCAGAGTAGCTGGGACTACAGGCACATGCCACCATGACTGGCTAATTTTTAAATTATTTTTTATAGCAATAGTGTCTTGCTATGTTACCCAGGCTGCTCTCCAACTCCTAGCCTCAAGGAATCCTCCTACCTGGGCCTCCCAAAGCACTGGAATTACAGATGTCAACAGGCGTGCTCACCATGCCTCTCACCGTGGTGCGATCACAATGGCGCGATCTCGGCTCACTGCAACCTCCACCTCCCGGATTCAAGCCATTCTCCTGCCTCAGCCCCCTGAGTAGCTGGGATTACAGGCATGTGCCACTACGCCTGGCTAATTTTGTATTTTCAGTAGAGATGGGGTTTCACCATGTTGGTCAGGCTGGTCTCAAACTCCTGACCTCAGGTGATCCACCCGCCTCAGCCTCCCAAAGTGCTGGAATTACAGGCACCTGCCACCACACCCGGCTAATTTTTGTATTTTTTAGTAGAGACGGGGTTTCACCATGTGAAAATCCTCACCAGGCGGAGTGAGCCACCACGCCTGGCCACTCTAATTTTTTAACGTGCTTAGATCTCACAAGAGGAAAAGGCACAGGCTTCCTCAGCCTTGAGAGGCCCTGCCCAGAGGCGAGGCCTCATTATTATTATTATTTACATATATAATATGTCAGGGGAGTGGGGGGCTGGGGGAGGGATAGCATTAGGAGAAATACCTAATGTAAATGGGTGCAGCAAACCAACGTGGCACGTGTATACCTATGTAACAAATATATATATTTGTTTTGAAATGGAGTCTCCCTCTGTCACCCAGGCTGGAGTGCAGTGGCACAATCTCGGCTCACTGCAATCTCCGCCTCACAGGTTCAAACAATTCTCCTGCCTCAGCCTCCTGAGTAGCTAGGATTATAGGCATGCACCACCACGCCTGGCTATTTTTGGTATTTTTAGTAGAAATGGGGTTTCAGTATGTTGGCCAGGCTGCTCTTGAACTCCTGACCTCAGGTGATCAAGAGGCAGGGCCTAATTATAACAGGAGAGTTTGTGACCCCAGTCCATTTAACCTGCCTCTCTTCTCCCTGCAGCTTCCTGTGCTAAGTGCCCCCCAAATGCTTCCTGTGTCAATAACACTCACTGCACCTGCAACCATGGATATACTTCTGGATCTGGGCAGAAACTATTCACATTCCCCTTGGAGACATGTAACGGTAAAGAAGTATTATTATTTTTTATTATTATTATTTTATTATCATTATTATTAGAGACAGGGTCTTGCTCTGTTGCCCAGGCTGGACTGCTGTGGCATGATCAAAGCTCACCGCAAGCTGGACACAGTTGCTCAAGCCTGTAATCCCAGCACTTGGGGAGGCCTAGGTGGGCAGATCACTTGAGGTCAGGAGTTCGAGACCAGTCTGGCCAACATGACAAAACCCCATCTCTACTAAAAATACAAAAATTTGCCGGGCATGGTGTGGGGCGCTTATAATCTCAGCTACTCAAGAGGCTGAGGCATGAGAATAGCTTGAACCTGGGAGGCAGAGGTTGCAGTGAGCCGAGATTGCACCACTGCACTCCAGCCTGGGCAACAGATCGAGACTCTGATCAAAATAAATAAAAACACTCACTGCAGCCTCCAACTCCTGGGATCAAGCCTCTCAAGTGGCTGCAACTACAGGCGTGCCACCATGCCCAGCTAATTTTTTTTTTTTTTTTTTTTTTTTTGTAGAGATGGATTGTTACTATATTGTCCCGGCTGGTCTCAAACTCCTGAGCTCAAGCAATCCTCCCGCCTCGGCCTCCCAAAGTGCTGGGATTACAGGCGTGAACCCTGCACCTGGCCAGGGATAATTTGCAAGTTATCCAGAAGCAGGAGCAAAAGGGAGGCAAAATGGGGGCTGTTTTGGAAACTTGGCCGTTCATTTAAGATAGTTTCTTGTTTCAGCCAGGCATGGTGGCTCGCGCCTGTAATCCCAGTTCTTTGGGAAGCCAAGGCAGGTGGATCACCTGAGGTCAGGAGTTTGAGACCAGCCTGGCCAACATAGTGAAACCCCGTGTCTACTAAAAATACAAAAATCAGCCGGGCGTGGTGGTGCATGCCTGCAATCCCAGTTACTCGGGAGGCTGAGGCAGGAGAATCGCTTGAACTCAGGAGGCAGAAGTTGCAGTGAACCCAGATCCTGCCATTGCACTCCAGCATGGATGACAGAGCAAGACTCCGTCTCAAAAAGAAAAGATAGTTTCTTGTTTCATTTCGCGACTGCCCTCTCAGTGTTTCCTGGGATCCCCTCCCAAATAAAGTACTTATATTCTCGTCTCATTGTCTGCTTCCTGGAGAACCCCACCAAAGTCAATGAAGAAAGCGAAAAACCAAGATAACCATTACCTAAACTGATTTGTCTCGGAAAGCCAGGACAGACCATGGGGGAAAGAGCACAACTCCTGACACATAGTAGCTGCTCAATAAATCTTTGCTGAATGAATGACCCAATTGCTTCTTTGTGTTCCAGACATTAATGAATGTACACCACCCTATAGTGTATATTGTGGATTTAACGCTGTGTGTTACAATGTCGAAGGAAGTTTCTACTGTCAATGTGTCCCAGGATATAGACTGCATTCTGGGAATGAACAATTCAGTAATTCCAATGAGAACACCTGTCAGGGTAAGAACATTTTTGTCCTCCTGCCTTCCTTCCTCTGTTGTTGTTTTTTTGTTTGTTTGTTTTGTTTTGTTTTGTTTTGAGACAGAGTCTCGCTCTGTAGCCCAGGCTGGAGTGCAGTGGCTGAAACCTCCGCCTCCCGGGCTCAAGCGATTCTCCTGTCTCAGCCTCCCAAGTAGCTGAGATTACAGACGTGCACCACGACGCCCAGCTAATTTTTCTTGATCCACGCTCCTCATCCTCCCAAAGTGCTGGGACTTTTTACAGGCGGCAGTCCTTCCTCATTTTTTATTGAATCTAACATCAGAAAAGACGTATTTGTTGTGGGACCAGGATGTGGTTTTTATTTTCTGCAGGGAACTACAAGGAAAGAAGGAAGTTCAAGTTGAGGGAAATAAGGGGGTGAGAAAGGGAACTATAGTTTGGAGATGGAGGATGTGACAAGGTGGTGATTGAGACCACATTCTTTGAATTGCAAGGAAGAGAAACTCACTCAGGCTAACAGGCCAAAAAATGGGTTTATGAAAACGATGCGTAGCCATGCCCTGCAAGGACAGGAATGCAGCTGGGCTTCTGGAATTAACTAAAACTGGGAACTCAACACCCCCAGGGTGCATCTCCTAGTCCCTGTCTCTAATCATCTTTGGATCTGCTCCTTCCTTCTCTTTCACTGCAGGCTGGCTTTCTCTGCTTCCTAGACCACAGGACAGAAAATATGACCACCGGCTGGGAGGGGTGGCTCACGCCTGTAATCCCAATACTTTGGGAGGCCAAGGCGGGTAGATCACTCGAGACCGGGAGTTCAAGACCAGCATGGCCAACATGGCGAAACCCCATTTCTACTAAAAATACAAAAATTAGCTGGGTGTGGTGGCGGGTGCCTGTAATCCCAGCTTCTCAGGAGGGTGAAGCACAAGAATTGCTTGATCCTGGGAAGCAGAGGTGGCAGTGAGACAAGATCCCGCCACTGCACCCCAGCCTGGGTGACAGAGTGAAACTCTGTCTCAAAAAAAAAAAAAAAAAAAAAAGGAAATATGACCACCAACCCGCTCCAGATCTTACCATTTTTTTTGCCCCAACCAACCAAAGAGAGATCAGTTGACTCTCTCTCTGAGACCCCATTGCAAATTCTTTGGGAATGAATACATTGGCCCAGTTTGAGCCCCATGTGCACCCGTGGATCCGTGTCCAGGGAGAGATACTGTGTCATGTAAACATGACCACTCCCATGGAAAACATGGATGGGAAAGTCTATATGAGAAAAGAGATGAGACTTGGTAGACCACCCATGAGGTATTGACTACCGTAGGGATAATAAGAGAGAAACTTTTTTTTTTTTTAAGAGATGGGGTCTCACTCTGTCACCCAGGCTGGAGTACAGTGGCACAATCATTGCACACTGCAGCCTTGAACTTCCAGGCTCAATCCTCCCACCTCAGCCTCCTGAGTGGCTGAGATTATAGGTATGAGCCACCATACCTGGCTAATTTATTCATTTTTTGTAGAGATGGGGTTCTCACTATGTCGCCCAGGCTGATCTCAAACTCCTGGTCTCAAGCGATCCTTCTGCCTTGGCCTCCCAAAGTGCTGGGATTATAGGCATAAGCCACAGCACTCAGCCATAAATCTGTCTTTTACTAAGCAATGCGCACCTCTATTGACAGTGTAGAAGCAGACTGTGATTCTACCTGGGTTCTGATGTTAATCTCTTAAACTTGTCTTATTTTACAAAAAAGGAAAATGCCTTTGGTTGTTTTCCTAATGTTAAGAGGTCTGCACCGTCCTTTTATAAAGACTGAGCCCATTTGGGGTTCGTTATTACCAAGGCTGGCAGCTCTAAGCAACAGACACCCCCACCCAATGATAAAGTGTGCAGCTTTGGTTCAAAAGGGCAGTTTTCTACAATAAATACGGTTTCCTATAACAAACATATTCTAGACTCAGGGTTGTAAGTCAAAGTTCTTGAACTCTTAAGATAAAATGTTCAGTATTAAAACAAAGCTGTTTGTGCTTTTAAGCAAATAGACTGAGCTGAAAACCAAAATTTAGAATAAGTACAGATTTAACCTCAGCATGATGATAAAAGATATGTAAACATTTGCTAGACTTTCCTTGTCTTTTTTTTTTTTTTTTTTTTTTTTTTCAGAGGCAGAGTCTCGCTCTGTCTCCCAGGCTGGAGTGCAGTGGTGTCATTTCAGCTCACTGCAACCTTTGCCTCCTAGGTTCAAGAGATTCTCCTGCCTCAGCCTCCCGAGTAGCTGGGATTACAGGCACCCGCCAACATGCCCAGCTAATTTTTGTATTTTTAGTAGAGACAGGGTTTTGCCATGTTGGCCAGGCTGGTCTCGAATGCCTAGGCTCATATGATCCTCCTGCCTCAGCCTCCCAAGCAGCTGGGACTACAGGTGCACCCTTCCTCAAATTTCTAAAGCAGAGATGTCCTCACTAAGCACAGAAACCAACACAAAAGTCTTCATTAACAGCTGATGACCAGACACTGATGCTTCTGTTTCGGTTATCATTCCCAGCCAGGCTGACTTTAAACACAAGAGGCTTCTAATTTTCTGTTTTCTCGGACATTTCAGTTCTAATTTCCAGTCAAGATGGAATAAAAGAATTTGGAGGCCAGGCACGGTGGCTCGCGCCTGTAATCCTTGCATTTTAGGAGGCCAAGGCGGGTGGATTGCCTGAGGTCAGGAATTTGAGATCAGCCTGGCCAACATGGCGAAACCCCATCTCTACAAAAAATACAAAAAAAAAAAATTTAGCCAGGTCTGGTGGTACACACCTACAGTCCCAGCTACTTGGGGGACTGAGGTGGAGGATTGCTTGAGCCCAGGACATTGAGATTGCAGTGAGCCAAGATTGTGCCACTGCACTCCAGCCTAGGCAGCAGAATGAGACCCTATCTAAAAAAAAAAAGGGAAAAAAAAAGCCAGGTGCGATGGCTCATGCCTGTAATCCCAGCCCTTTGGGAGGCCGAGGCAGGCGGATCATGAGGTCAAGAGTTTGAGATCAGCCTGGCCAACGTGGTGAAACCCCATCTCTACTAAAAATACAAAAATTAGCCATGCCTGGAGGTGCGTGCCTGTAATCCCAGCTACTCAGGAGGCTGAGGCAGGAGAATCACTTGAACCCAGGAGGTGAAGGTTGCAGTGAGCCTAGGTCGCACCATTGCACTCCAGCCTGGGCAACAGAGTGAGACTCTGTCTCAAAATAAAAATAAAAAATAAAAAATTTTTTAAATAAAATTTAAAATTTTTTAAAAATCAACAAACAGCAGATAAAGACTATGAATTCAGGCTTTTACCTTCTAGGTGCAAAGTTGCTCACCCCATTACTTACCCCACCTGCCCACCCCTCTGCCTGGTCACTCTCAGTTCCAATAGTAACTCCATCATGATGTCTTTTGCAGACACCACCTCCTCAAAGACAACCGAGGGCAGGAAAGAGGTGAGTGGAGGCTGATCCCCAGACCCTTCCCAGGTAACAAACATCAGTAACAAATATTTACAAAGCCCAAAGTGAGCAAATGGGGATGGATTTAGGGCAAAATATATATTATATATACATATATAATGTATTATTTAGGACAAAGAATATGTTATATATAAATACATAATATATTATTACCATATAATATCATATTACTACACAATAGTACATATTCATATATTATATACAATTATATATTATGCATAATTGTGGTATGTATACATATATCTATAGATAGATAGATACAGATATACCATTAGGTATACCACTATATATGTATCATTATCCAGCTCACTATAGATATATCACTATATATACAGTTGAACAACACACATTTGAACTGCGGGGATCCACTTACACGAGGACATTTTTCAACCAAATGTGAATCAAAACTACAGTATTGCCGGGCTTGGCGTGGTGGCTCACGCCTGTAATCCCAGCACTTTGGGAGGCCGAGGTAGGCATGTTACTTGAGGTCAGGAGTTCGAGACCAGCCTGGCCAACATGGTGAAACTTCATCTCTACTAAAAAATACAAAAATTAGCCAGGTATGATGGCACATGCCTGCAATCCCAGCAACCCCAGAGGCTGAGGCAGGAGAATCACTTGAATCCAGGAGGCGGAGGTTGCGGTGAGTGGAGATGTTGCCACTGCACTCCAGCCTGGGTGACAGAGCAAGACTCCGTCTCAAAAAACAAAACAAAACAAACAAACAAACAAAAAAATATATATATATATATGTATATATAGGCAGGATGCAAAACTCACAAAGAGGAAGGACTGACTTTTCATGAGTGAGTTCCATGGGTCTTGAGTATGCATGGATTGGATTTGAGCATATATGGACGATCCTGGAACCAATGCCATGCGTATACCAAGAGGGCTCTGTATCTGTATCTACTTATATATATATATAGATATAGGTATAGATAGACACACACAGTGTGCATGTACGTACATACATATGACAGTGTGTGAGTGTGTGTGTATGAGCGTGTGTGTGTTGCCATCTAAAGACAGGAATCTATCCCAGACCAAGAAAGACAGGCCAAGAGAGAGTATATTAAGGCCTGCTGCACTGCTGCAAAAGACATCCAAGTATCCAATGGTATCCATTATTGTCTCCGGCCAACTGACGGCATTTATATAAATATGTGATTACATCATGTAATCAATCCCTAGACTGTGAGCTTTTTGAGGAAGGGAATAAGACCAACCCCAAATTAGGAGTTCAAGGAATGATCACTGAAGTAATGAACAAATAAAGAATCAAGTAATCAGGCCGGGCATGGCGGCTAATGCCTGTAATCCCAGCACTTTGGGAGGTGGGTGGATCACCCGAGGTCAGAAGTTCAAGACCAGCCTGGCCAACATGATGAAACCCCCATGTCTACAAAAAACACAAAAATTAGCCGGGCATGGGGGCGCATGCCTGTAATCCCAGCTACTCAGGAGGCTGAAGCAGGAGAATCACTTGAACCCAGGAGGCAGAGGTTGCAGTGAGCTGAGATCACGTCACTGCACTCCAGCCTGGGCAACAGAGTAAGACTCCATCTCAAAAATAAATAAATAAATACACAATGATATAGGAGTTAAGAAGAAATTACTTAGGCAGATGGTGAGGGTACGGAAGTCCTCAGTGAGGTTTTCCTTTTAATGAAGAGCAGCCCCAAATTTTCTTTTCTAACAAAGAGCAGCCTGTAAAATCAAGCTGCGGACATAGACAAGCAAGCTGGAAGCTTATGGGTCAATGCCAGCAGCTGTGCCAATAGGAAAAGGCTGCCTGGGACTAGACATGATCAAAATGGCAGCTCCATCTTCCCTTCTCTTTGCCAGTCACGTGTACAGTAAGGAGCAGACAAGATGGTACTGGCCAAGTGGGTAGGGCAACCAGCCTTCCCCGAGCAGTAAGTAAATGTCGCACCTGGCCCAACCAATCTGTGGGCCCTACATAATTCAGACACCGCCTCCTCAGCCTGACTATAAAATCTAGTGCCTGAATATAAAATCTAGTCGGTGGGCAGGATTTTGCTTTCTTTCGGGCATCCCTCTCTCTCGCAAGGGAGAGAGCTGTTCTACTTTCTTTTTTTTTTTTCTTTTCTTTTTTTTTTTTTTTTGAGATGGAGTCTCACTCTGTCACCCAGGCTGGAGTGCAGTGATGTGATCTCGGCTCACTACAACATCTGCCTCCTCTGCCTTCCAGGTTCAAGCGATTCTCCTGCCTCAGCATCCCAACTAGCTGGGATTACAGGCACGCGCCACCATGCCCGGCTAATTTTGTATTTTCAGTAGAGATGGGGTTTCACCATGTTGGTCAGACTGGTCTTGAACTCCTGACCTCAGATGATCCACCCCCCTCGGCCTTCCAAAGTTCTGGGATTACAGGCATGAGCCACCGCACCCTGCCCTCTTTTCTTTTTCTTTTGCCTATTAAACCTCCACTCCTAAACTCACTCCTCGTGTGTGTCCATGTCCTTCATCTTGGCGCAAGATGACAAACTCTGGGTATTTACCCCAGACAGTGACGCTGCTTCAATAGTGGCAACCACTCCCTTGTTGCGACAGTGACAACCGAAAATGTCTCCAGCCATCGCCACATGTGCCCTGTGGAGGGAGTAGCAGAATCACCCCCCCGTTGAGAACCACTGGTCTATTTCTAACAAACTTATCACTACCTTGTTGGCAAAAAACGTTAATAATAACTAACCCAATCAGGCACGGTGGCTCACTCCTATAATCCCATCACTTTGGAAGGCCAAGGCAGGAGAATCGTTTGAGCCCAGGAGTTCCAGACCAGCCTGGGCAACATAGCAAGACCCTGTCTATACAAAAAAAAAAATTAAAAAAATTAAGCAAGCATGGCGGTGTGCACCTGTAATCCCAGCTACTCAGGAGACTGAAGCATGAGAATCACTTGAACCCAGGAGCTGGAGGTTGCAGTGAGCCAAGATCCCACCACTGCACTCTAGCCTGGGCGACAGAGCAATACTCTGTCTCAAAAATAATAATAGTGACTCACCCTTACATAGCTTTTACCAGATACAGACACTGTCCTAAAAGAAGAGCATCTGTTAACTCATTTAATCCTCCAGAAAAACCCTTTGAGTTCCTTTTCCTGTCGTGGGGCACAGAGTGATTGAGTGACTTGCCCAAGGTCACAAAGCTGGGACATGATGAAGTGCCAGGATTTGAACGTGGTTCCTCCAGCTCCAGAGCCTGCTTTCTCATGCTTTCTACTGTTCTTTTGGATATGGGACTTACCAGATTACATTTTTAAAAAATGAAAATTCTTTATGTCTTCAAAGCTGCAAAAGATTGTGGACAAATTTGAGTCACTTCTCACCAATCAGACTTTATGGAGAACAGAAGGGAGACAAGAAATCTCATCCACAGCTACCACTATTCTCCGGGATGTGGAATCGAAAGTTCTAGAAACTGCCTTGAAAGATCCAGAACAAAAAGTCCTGAAAATCCAAAACGATAGTGTAGGTAAGACAATAATGAGGACTGATACACCCTGGGGACTGGTTAGCAGCTGGGATCTGGGTTAGGCAATTAGAAAAAAAAAATTGAATACACCACATGAGTCCCTTTATGTAAATTACAAAAATTTATATAAATTCTAGAAAACGCAAACTTATCTAGAGTGACAGGGAGGGGCAGGAGGGAGGGGTGGCAGAGGCATGAGAAAATCTGGGGAAACTATTAGGGGTGATGGAAATCTTCCTGCCTTGATTGTGGTGTTGATTTCAGAGGTGTGTGCACCCAACAAAACTCACCAGATTGTACACTTTAATATGTGCAGTTGGTTAGACATCAATTATACCTCAATAAAGTTGTTTATTCAGAAGATTGCCAATAGTTTCCAATCCCAGGTCTGGAATTTTCACTTAAATGTAGTTTGAGGACCAGGCATGATGGCTCACGACTGTATTCCCAGCACTTTGGGAGGCTGAGGCGGGAGGGTTAATTCAGCCCAGGAGCTCAAGACTGGCCTGGGCAACATAGCAAGACCCCCATCTCTTTAAAAAAAATTTAAAATTTGCCAGGTGCAGTGGCTTGTACCTGTGGTCTCAGCTACTTGGGAGGCTGAGGGAGAGGATGGCTTGAGTCCAGGAGTTTGAGGGTGCAGTGAACTATGATCATGCCATTGCCACTCCAACCTGGATGACAGAACAAGAACCTGTCTCATTAAAAAAAAAAAAAAAACAGGTTTTGGGCTGGGCATGGTGGCTTACACCTATAATCCCAGCACTTTGGGAGGCCAAGGTGGGTGGATCACTTGAGGCCAGTAGTTTGAGATCAGCCTGGGCAACATGGTGAAACTTAATCTTTACTAAAAATACAGAAATTAGCGGGGCGTGGTAGCTCATGACTGTAATCCCAGCTACTCCAGAGGCTGAGGTGGGAGAATCACTTGAACTGGGGAGGCAGAGGTTGCAGTGAGCCGAGATCACATCACTGCACTCCAGCCTGGGTGACAGAGCAAGACTCCATCTTAAATTAAAAAAAAAAAAAAAAAAAACACACACACAGCAGGCTTTGAAAAAGTCAGTGCCTATTCTTCTTGGAAAACTGGAATCTGGATACTTTGGTTCAAAATTAAACCATTTTCCAGATTGCAAGTAAATCTCATCTCTCCTGATTTTGCCACGTCCTAACTGTTTGATCTGAGACCAGTGCCCTCACCTCATTGGGCTTCATTCTCCTGTCAATAAAATGAGGATAATATTAGCTGGACATGGTGGTGTGCAAATGAGGTCCCAGCTACTTAGGAGGCTGAGGTGGGAGGATCGCTTGAGCCCAGGAGTTCGAGGCTGCAGTGAGCTGAGATTGCACCACTGCACTCCAGCCTGGACAACAGAGTGAGAGCCTGTCTCAAAAAAAAATTTTAATAGAGATAATGAAAGTGCATGTAATGCACCTAGGACTAGGATCCCTCAGAAGCTAAACGACTCAAACTTTTAAGAAAGAAGAAAAACTACGGTAGTAATTGCTATAATTATGATTATTCTATCTTTCCACTCTTTAATATTATGAAATATTGTCAAAATAGTGTCATTCTTTTTTACAGGAAACACATAGTTTAATGTAGAAAATATTAAATAATATAAAAACAAGTCAAATTGAGGTTTGATAAAAATGACAAAGAGTAACAAGCGATAATATAATGGATGATGAAATTAACATTGTGGGCAGGATGAGGTGGCTCATCCTGTAATCCTAGCACTTTTGGAGGCTAAGGCAGGCGGATCACTTGAGGTCAGGAGTTCGAGATCAGCCTGGCCAACATGGTGAAACCCTGTTTCTACTAAAAAAAATTAGCCAGGCGTGGTGGTGCATGCCTGTAATCCCAGCTACTTGTGAGGCTGAGGAAGGAGAATCGCTTGAACCCGGGGGACAGAGGTTGCAGTTAGCTGAGAGCAAGCCACTGCACTCCAGCCTGGGCAAAAGAGCAAGACTCCATCTCAAAAATAATAATAATAACAATAAATTCACTTACACTGAGCTCAAGAATTTCTATTCATTAAAACGTACTAAATGAATGAAACAGTAGGCCAAAAACATTAATACATAATTAGAGTAAATACTTGTAAACTTTTCAAAAACTGAGAGTCAATATTAGACAAACCAGTAGTAGTTTCTAGAATGTCATTAATGTCATTCTTTTTTTTTTTTTCTTTTTTTTTTTTTGAGATGGAGTCTCATTCTATTGCCCAGGCTGGAATGCAGTGGCATGATCTAGGTCACTGCAACCTCTGCCTCCTGGGTTCAAGCAATTCTCCTGCCTCAGCCTTCCTAGTAGCTGGGATTAAAGGTGCCTGCCACCATGACCAGCTAATTTTTGTGTATTAGTAGAATGGGATTTCACCATGTTGGCCAGGCTGGTCTTGAACTCCTGACCTCAAGCAATCAACTGGCCTCAGCCTGCAAAAGTGCTGGGAATTCAGGCATGAGCCACTGCACCCAGCCATAAAATAGTGTCATTCTTGATGTGCTGTTTTGTTGCTTGCTTCTTTTTTTTTTTAACCTTTTAATATGCACAAAAGGAAATAGGAGAATAAAATCCCTGATGCACCCATCACCCAATTCAACGATTTCCATCTCACAGCCAGTCTTGGGTTGTCTGTTTTTAAGATACATATTTTCATGAGCTTAACATTTTTTAGCTTTATTAAGGTGTAATTGATAAAGAAAATTGTATATATTTAAGGTGTACAATAGGATGACTTGATATACATATATACTGTGGAATGATCACCACAATCAAATTAGCTAACACATCCATCACTCACATGGTTACCTTTTTTCTCATGAGTTTTTCTTGATTGCAATTCATTTGTGACTTTATTTTTATTTGAAGCCCTGGTTCCCCACCACAGAGATATATCATCACTTATTTATTTATTTACTTACTTACTTATTTTTGAGACAGAGTCTCACTCCATCATCCAGGCTGGAGTACAGTGGCGTGATCTCAGCTCACTGCAACCTCTGCCTCCCCGGTTCAAACTATTCTCGTGCCTCAGCCTCCCAAGTAGCTGAGATTACAGGTGCACACCACCATGCCCAGATAATTTTTGTATTTTTAGTAGGGATGGGGTTTCACCATGTTGGCCAGGCTGGTCTTGAACTCCTGGCCTCAAGCAATCCACCTGCCATGGCCTCCCAAAGTGCTGGGATTACAAGCATGAGCCACTGTGCCCAGCCCATATCATCACTTATTTAATCAATCACCTCTTGTTGAACATCTAGATAATCCCCCATTTTCCACCATTATCATCTAAGCTGCTATGAACTTTCTTGTAGCTAAATCTGCCCTCCATCCACAATCGTTTTCTGAGAATAAACTCCTAGAAATAGAACTGTATCTTCAAAGGTGTATGCTAAGAGCTGTTAGTTAAGAACTTGGTTTCAGGAATTAGAGTCTTACCTAACTTCTGACTTCAGTTTCCTCATCTATAGAGTTGTCCCTGATGAAGTTATAGGTTTATAAGGTGACATGTGTAAGACTCTTAGCTCAGTGCCCGACACATCCTAGACATTCAGTATATGTGAGCCATTTATGTTGCTATGAACATTTTTTTTTTAGAGGCAGCATCTCACTGTGTTGCCTGGGCTCAAATTCCTGGGCCCAAGCAATCCTTCTGCCTCAGCCTCTTGAGTAGTTGGGACTACAGGCATGCACCACCATGTCCTGTTCCTATGCATATTTTTAAAGTTTCTTACAATATCACTAAGCCTGCCCATTGCTTTTCTTACCAGCTATTGAAACTCAAGCGATTACAGACAATTGCTCTGAAGAAAGAAAGACATTCAACTTGAACGTCCAAATGAACTCAATGGACATCCGTTGCAGTGACATCATCCAGGGAGACACACAAGGTATGCCTGATGGCTGCATTCAGAATCCTTCACACAGAGCCATGTCATTGTGTGAGTCATGGGGAAACAAGCCCACTGGGCTCTCCCCTCATGGGCTTTTTACCCTCAAACTACGATATTGGAGATTTTCCCTTTAAAAAAAAAAAAAAGACATTTTCCCAAAATGGAGGTTTTCTGTTATTCAGTATGGGAGGGACTTTGCAATTTGGGATGGTGGGGGAGTGCTGTTCTGCCTGTGTCCCGGTTTGGGTTCACCCAGAAGCAAACCCTGAAAGAAGTGTGAGAAGTTTCTTTGGGAGGTGATCCCCAGGAACAACAGTGGGTGTATTCATCAGTGTTCTCCAGAGAATCACAACTAAAGAGCTGAAGAGTGTAGGGTGTGGGGGGGTGTGGGAAGAGGGGAGAGAGAGAGAGAGAGAGAGAGAGAGAGAGAGAGAGAGAGAGAGAGAGAGAGATGGAGACAGAGAGCAAGAGATGAGAGAGATGGAGAGAAACAGATGTGGAGAGGCAGATGGGTAAAGAGAGATGGAGAGAAAGATGGGGAGAGAGGTGGAAAGAGAGACATGGGGAGAGACAGATGGGAAGAGAGAGATGGGGAGAGAAAGATGGAATTAGATGGGGAGAGAGATGTGGAAAGAGAGAGATGGGGAGAGCGATGGAAAGAGAGAGATGGGGACAGCGATGGAAAGAGAGAGAAGGGGAGAGAGATGGAAAGAGAGAAGGGAAGAGAGATGGAAAAAGATAGGGAAAGAGATGGAAAGAGAAAGATGAGAAAAGAGAGATGGGGAGAGTGGTGGAAAGACAGAGATGGGGAGAGAAATGGAAAGAGAGAGAAGGGAAGAGAGATGGAAAGAGAGAGATGGGGACAGAGATGGAGAGGAGAGAGATGCAAAGAGAGAGATGGGGGAGAGAGATAGGAAGAGAGGTGGAAAGAGAGAGATGAGTAGAGAGAGATGGAAAGAGAGAGATGAGGAGAGGGATGGAAAGAGAGAGATGGGGAGAGAGAGATCAAAAGCAAGAGATGGGGAGAGAGATGGGAAGAGAGGGATGGGGAGAGAGATGGAAAGAGAGAGATGGGGAGGGAGAGATGGAGAGAGAGATGGAAAGACAGAGATTGAAAGAGAGAGATGGGGAGAAAGAGATGGAGAGAGATGGAAAGAGAGAGATGGGGAGGGAGAGATGGAGAGAGAGATGGAAAGACAGAGATCGAAAGAGAGAGATGGGGAGAAAGAGATGGAGAGAGATGGAAAGAGAGAGATGGGGAGGGAGAGATGGAGAGAGAGATGGAAAGACAGAGATTGAAAGAGAGAGATGGGGAGAAAGAGATGGAGAGAGATGGAAAGAGAGAGATGGGGAGGGAGAGATGGAGAGAGAGATGGAAAGACAGAGATCGAAAGAGAGAGATGGGGAGAAAGAGATGGAGAGAGATGGAAAGAGAGAGATGGGGAGGGAGAGATGGAGAGAGAGATGGAAAGACAGAGATCGAAAGAGAGAGATGAGGAGAAAGAGATGGAGAGAGATGGAAAGAGAGAGATGGGGAGAAAGAGATGAAAAGAGGGATGGAGAGAGAGAGATGGAAAAAGAGAGATGGAGAGAGAGATCAAAAGAGAGAGATGGGGAAAAAGGTGGAAAGAGAGAGATGGGGAGAGAGAGATGAAATTAGAGAGATGGGGAGAGAGATGGAAAGAGAGAGATGGGGAGAGAGAGATGGAAAGAGAGATGGGGAGAGAGATGGAAAAAGAGAGATGGGCAGAGGGAGATCAAAAGCGAGAGATGGGAAGAGACAGATCAAAAGCGAGATGGAGAGATGGAAAGAAAGAGATGGGGAGAGAAAGATGGAAAGAGATAGATGGAAAGAGAGAGATGGGGAGAGAGAGATGAAAAGAGAGAGAGGGAGAGAGGTGGAAAGAGAGAGATGGGGAGAGAGATGGAAAGAGAGAGATGTGGAGAGAGAGACGGAATTCGAGAGATGGGGAGAGATGGGGAGAAAGATGGAAAGAGAGATAGGGAGAGAGAGATGGAATTAGAGAGATGGGGAGAGATATATGGAAAGAGAGAGATGTGGAAAGAGATCAAAAGAGAGATCGAAAGAGAGAGATGGGGAGAGAGAAATGGGGGAGAGAGATGGAAAGAGAGAGATGGGGAGAGAGAAGGAAAGAAAGAGATGAGGAGGGACGAGGAGAGTCATTTTAAAGAATTGGCTCACGTGACTATGGAAGGCCGACATGTCCAAAATCTGCAGGGTGGGCAGGCAGGCAGGAGACACAAGGTAGAACTGATAGTGCAGCTTGAATCCAAAGAGAGTCTGAGGCCAGAACTACCTCTTTCTCAGGAGACCTTAGTCTAGTTTCTCTTGAGGCCTTCAACTGATTGGATAAGGCCCACCCACATTATAGCAGGCAATCTGTTTTACTCAGTCTACTGATTTAAATATTAATCTCATCTTTAAAACACCTTCATGGCAACATCCATGCCTCATGTCTGGGGACCATGGCCTAACCAAGTGGACATGTAAAATGAACTATCACAGTAGGTAAGAGGCAAAGTAAGACAGGCAAGTAAAGGCAGCCAATGAGGTAGGTACCTGAGTGAGCAGCTTGCTGTTGGGGTACCTGGGGCTCAATCTCACTGAGCTGTCCCATTCGAGAAGAGGGAGCTAGGACGTCTGTCCATCTGCTCTGATCTATCATTGGTGGAGGGTTGCTCCGGGGGCTGAACTTTCAAGCTCTTCCAGCCTGTCCTCTGTGCAGGCCAAACACAAATTCACGCCCATGGAAGTTCCCAGGCAGAATCACCGATGCTTACAGCAGAATTAATCAGCATATTAAAGAAACCAAGAATGCCAGGGATTCGAGCCAGGGTGCCCACCGTACCTACAGCCTTTGTAGGAAGAAATAGATTATTATTCATTGTCTCAGTGTTACCAGACTTTGAAGTTTCCAGAAAATGCAAAAAGTGGGTTGTTTGTAGGAAAACATCTTTTTTTTTTTTTTTTTTGTCTTTGAGATGGAGTCTCACTCTGTCACCCAGACTGGAGTGCAGTGGCGTGATCGCAGCTTACTTCAGCCTCCGCCTCTTGGGTTCAAGCGATTCTCCAGCCTCAGCCTCCCAAGTAGCTGGGATTACAAGCATGTGCCACCACAACCAGCTAATCTTTGTATTTTTAGTAGAGACAGGGTTTCACCATGTTGACCAGGCTGGTCTTGAACTTCTGACCTCAAGTGATCCACCACCCCCTCAGCCTCCCAAAGTGCTGGGGTTACAGGTGTGAGCCACCATGCCCGGTGCCAGCACTCTGTTAAAACGAATCCTCCAGGGATCACAGGATTTAAGCTCCATCTGAGAACAACTCTTCTAAAAAACGGCAGACCGGGCATGGTGGCTCATGCCTGTAATCCCAGCACTTTGGGAGACCAAGACATGTGGATCACCTGAGGTCAGGAGTTTGAGACCAGCCTGGCCAACATAGTGAAACCCTATCTCTACTAAAAAGACAAAAAATTAGCCAGGCATGGTGGTGAGTGCCTGTAATCCCAGCTACTTGGGAGGCTGAGGCAGGAGAATCACTTGAACCCGGGAGGCGGAGGTTGCAGTGAGCCAAGATCACGCCACTGCACTCCAGCCTGGCTGGGCGACAAGAGCGAGACTCCGTCTCAAAAAAAAAAAAAAAAAAAGAAAGAAAAGAAAAGAAAAAAGATTCCATCTTTCTGTTTCCTCAGGTCCCAGTGCCATTGCCTTTATCTCATATTCTTCTCTTGGAAACATCATAAATGCAACTTTTTTTGAAGAGATGGATAAGAAAGATCAAGTGTATCTGAACTCTCAGGTTGTGAGTGCTGCTATTGGACCCAAAAGGAACGTGTCTCTCTCCAAGTCTGTGACGCTGACTTTCCAGCACGTGAAGGTGGGTCACAGGTATGATTTGAGCTTGTGGGTTCTCAAGGAGGCAGGCCAAACGATGTGTGTATCATCCCAGGCTGTGGTTCTAGACCCACTCTGTTCAGGGTCGTAGTCAGGAGCACCTGTCGCTATTGAGCATTTGAAATGTAGCTGGTCTGAATCGAGATTTTGAAGACAGTATTTCCAGATTTACATCTTGTAAATCAGCCTTTGAAGACTTAATAAGAAGAAAACAATTAGCTTGATTTAAACCAGGCAGGTTGGCATGCTCCTATACTTCCAGCTACTCGGGAGGCTGAGGCAAGAGGATTGCTTGAGCCCAGGAGTTGGAGGCTGCAGTGAGCTATGATTGCACCACTGCACTCCAGCCTGGGGCACAGAGCAAGACACTGTCGGAAGAAGAAGAAAAACAGTAAGGAGAAGAAGAAAAGAAACAAAGAAACAAAGAGGAAAGAAGGAAGGAAGGAAGGAAGGAAGGAAGGAAGGAAGGAGGGAGGGAGGGAGGGAGGGAGGGAGGGAGGGAGGAAGAGAGAGAGGGAAGTGACTGAGAATTTCCCCAAACCAATGTCAAACACCAAACCACAGATCCAGGAGTTTCAGAGAACCAATAAGAATAAATGCAAAAAAAAAAAAAAAAAGAATTAGCTAGATGTAATCATTCTACATGGTATGCAAATACAAGTATTATAAATCACACTGTATCCCATAAATATATACAATTATAATGTATAAATTAAAAATACATTTTTAAAAAGTAAATCAAAACAAAAAAAGAAAAGAAGAAAGGTCACACCTGTAATCCCAGCACTTTGGGAGGCCAAGGTGGGGGGATCATGAGGTCAAGTGATCAAGTGGCCAACTTCGTGAAACCCCATCTCTACTAAAAATACAAAAATTAGCTGGGCATGGTGGCACATGCCTGTAGTCCCAGCTACTTGGGAGGGTGAGGCAGGAGAATCTCTTGAACCCAGGAGGCGGAGGTTGCGGTGAGCCAAGATCGCGCCACTGCACTCCAGCCTGGCAACAGAGTCAGACTCCGTCTCAGAAAAAAAGAAAGAGAAGAAGAAAGGAATGTAAAATATCTCCTTGATAATATCTATGTTGATTATATTTATTAATTTATACTGATATATTTAAAAGATACTATGTTGGATATAGTGGGTTAAATAAAATTTATTATTAAAGTTAATTGATCTATATCTTTACCTTTTTTGAGAAAGGGTCTCATTCTGTTGTCCAGGCTGGAGTGCAGTTGCACAATCATAGCTCACTACAGCCTCGGACTCCTGGGCTCAAGGGACTCTCCCACTTCAGCTTCCCCAGCAGCTGGAACTACAGGTGTGTGCCACCACGCCCAACTAACTATTTTATTTTTGGTAGAGAGGGGGACTCATAATGTTGTCGAGGCTGGTCTCAAACTCCTGGCCTCAAGCAACCCTCCCACCTCAGCTTCTTAAAACCCTGAAATTATAGGTATGAACGACTTCATCCGACCTGTTTTTCTATTTTCTTTTTTTTTTTTCTTTTTTTGAGTCGGAGTCTCTGTCGCCCAGGCTGAAGTACAGTGGTGCGATCTCAGCTCACTGCAACCTCCGCCTCCCAGGCCCAAGCGATTCTCCTGCCTCAGCCTCCCAAGTAGCTGGGATTACGAGCAAGTGCCACCACACCTGGCTCATTTTTGTATTTTTAGTAGCGATGATGTCTGGCCATGTTGGACAAACTGGTCTCCAAGTCCTGACTTTAGGTGATCCACCCGCCTTGGCTTCCCAAAGTGCTGGGATTACAGTCATGAGCCACTGTGCCCGGCTTCAAAGGCTCATTTTATTCTCTCTCCTCATGACTTTTCTTTCCTATATCATGCCTCTCATTGCATAAGCAATTATTGTGTTGTAAGGGAGTAGAGACAAAATTGATTATACAACGACCAGGGACATTTGGCTTAGAGAGACTTTAGGGAAAAACATGAGAGCTTCAGACTCCACTGCTTTTTTTGGGTTTTTTTTTGTTTTTTTCCTCCCATGGTTGGGGCAAGGTTCTAAAACCAAAGAAATCTCTTGAAACTGTGGTTCCCAGGGAGCCTTTGCTTTATTTTATGTTACATAAAATCCCAAAAGAGCTGCGGTTATGGATCGGGGGTCCTGGTGGCCGCATAAAATAGAAATCAGGTACAGCGGCTCATGCCCATAACCACAGCCTCTTGGGAGGCCAAGGCAGGAGGATTGCTTGAGGCCAGGAGTTCAAGACCAGCCTGGGCAATATGTTGAAACCCCATCTCTACTAAAAATACAAAAGTTAGCTGGGCATGGTGGTACACACTTGTAGTTCTAGCTACTCTGGAGGCTGAGATGGGAGGATCGTTTGAGCCAGGGAGGTCAAGGTGGCAGTGAGCTGTGATTGCGTCACGGCACTCCAGCCTGGGTGACAGAATGAGACCCCGTCTCAAAAACAAACAAACAAAACAGAAATCACCTGAGTCACTCTTCACACAGGTGCCTTAGCAGGTGGCACCCTGGCATAGGCCAACACTGAGAACTGTCCCTCCTGAGGAAAAAGACAATGAGCTGGCCAGATGCAGTGGCTCATGCCTGTATGATCCCAGCACTTTGGGAGGCAAAGGCAGGAAGATTGCTTGAGTCCAGGAGTTCGAGACCAGCCTGGGCAGCACGGTTGACCCTGTCTCTACAAAAAATACAAAAATTAGCCTGGTGTGGTACTGCACGTCTGTAATCCCAGCTACTTGGGAGGCTGAGGCAGGAGAATCGCTTGAACCCAGGAAGCGGAGGTTGCAGTGAGCCGAGATTGAGCCACTGCACTCCAGCCTGAGTAACAAAGCAAGATTTTGTCTCCAAAAAAAAAAAAGAAAGAAAGAAAGACAAAGACAATGAGCCCTTTCTATTTTCTATTTTCAGATGACCCCCAGTACCAAAAAGGTCTTCTGTGTCTACTGGAAGAGCACAGGGCAGGGCAGCCAGTGGTCCAGGGATGGCTGCTTCCTGATACACGTGAACAAGAGTCACACCATGTGTAATTGCAGTCACCTGTCCAGCTTCGCTGTCCTGATGGCCCTGACCAGCCAGGTATGATGTATATGTTTTATTCTTCCAGCAAATACTTTCTGAGCCCCTACTAAGTGGTAATAAGTGCTATTAAAAAAAAAAAAAAAAACTGAAAAAAGGCCGAGCATGGTGACTCATGCCTTTAATCCCAGCACTTTGGGAGGCCAAGACGGGCAGATCACCTGAGGTCAAGAGTTTGAAACCAGCCTGGCCAACATGGCAAAAACCCATCTCTGCTAAAAATACAAAAATTCGCCAAACATAGTGGTACATGCCTGTAATCCCAGCTACTCAGGAGGCTGAGACAAGAGGATGGCTTGAACCTGGGAGGCAGAGGTTTCAGGGAGCTGAGAGCAAGCCATTGCACTCCAGCCTGGGTGATAGAGCAAGACTCCATCTCAAAAAAAAAAAAATCAACATGTGGAAAAGACGCAAGGTAAGAAGTCCAGGAGAAACCTGGTGCAAGCTTCCAGTGTCCTCTCCCAGGAAAGTCACACAGATGCAGTTCATTCTCCCAGCAATGACTTATGACAACGCATGTGAAGTGTTGTCAGCCAGGGAAGCTCACCAGAGCTTTGGTGTTCAGGGTGTGTATTGGGGGATCATTCACATAGGGATGCAATGCCTACATGGTTGACCTCAGTTGCTCAGACTATAGGACCCCAGGGCAAAGATATGATTACTGGGCCAGGCACAGTGGCTCACACCTGTAATCCCAGCACTTTGGGAGGCCGAGGCAGGCAGATCACGAGGTCAGGAGATCAAGACCATCCTGACCAACATGGTGAAACCCCATCTCTACTAAAAATACAAAAATTAGCCAGGTGTGGTGGCACACGCCTGTTGTCCCAGCTACGCAGGAGGCTGAGGCAGGAGAATTGCTTGAACCTGGGAGGCAGAGGTTGCAGCGAACCGAGATCACACCACTGAACTCCATCCTGGCGACAGAGCGAGACTCTGTCTAAAAAAAAAAAAAAAAAAAAACCATGATTACTATAAACCACATCATGAATGACTACTATTAAAAAGTCAAAAAATAACAGATGCTGGTGAGGTAGCAGAAAAAAAGGAACACACACTGTTGGTGGGGTTGTAAATTGGTTCAACCATTGTGGAAAGCAGCATGTCACTTTCTCAAAGAGCTGAAAACAGGACTACCATTCAACCCAGCAATCCTGTTACTGGGTATATACCCAAAGGAATATAAATCATTCTATCATAAAGACACATGCACATGTATGTTCACTGCAGCACTATTCACAATAGCAGAGACATAGAATCAACCTAAATGCCCATCAATGGTAGACTGGATAAAGAAAATGTGGTACATATGGAATACATACACCATGGAATACTATGCAGCCATAAAAAAGAATGAGATCATGTCCTTTGCAGGGACATGGATGGAGCTGGAGGCCATTATCCTTAGCAAACTAACACAGGAACAGAAAACCAAATACTCGTGTTCTCACTTATAAGTGGGAGCTACATGAGGAGACATATGGACACAAAGAGGGGAACAACAGACACAAAGAGGGTGGAGAGTGGGAGGAGGGAGAGGACCAGGAAAAATAACTAATGGGTACTAAGCTTAATACCTGGGTGATGAAATAATCTGTACAAGAGACCCCCGCGACAGGGGTTTACCTATGTAACAAACCTGCACATGTATCTCTGAACTTAAAAAAGTTTTTTAAATCCCTTCATTAGTATGAGCTCTCTGATCAAACTGGTACTGCATAGCACAAGCCCTCTGCATACAAAGACACTTTATTTTTTTTTTAGATACGGGGTCTCACTTGTTGCTCAGGTCGGTCTTGAACTCCTGGCCTCCAGCAATCCTCCCACCTCAGCTTCCCAAAGCATTGGGATTACAGGTGTGAGACACCATGGCCCAAAAATCACTTTGTAAAGATTGTGGTAAAATACACAGAACATAAAATTTACCATCTAAGCCATTTTTAAATGTATATACAGTTCAGTAAAGTACAATCATATCGTGCAATCATCAACCACCATCCATCTCCAGAACTCTTTCATCTTGCAATACTGAAACTCTTCACTCCTTAACCAACTCCCTATTCTCTCTCTCTCCTCTCCCCAGCTTCTGGTAACTGCCATTCTACTTTTTTTAGGGGAAAAAAATCATATGTCCAAACTCATCAAAGTGTATACATTTAATATGAGTAATTTTTGATACATTAAGTATACACCTCAATAAAGCTGAAAATAAAAAAGACAGTCTAGCAATCTATATTAGCAGTCTACATTAACAATCACATTAGCAGTCTGTATTAACAATCTACATTGGCAGTCTACATTAACAATCTACGTTAGCCATCTATATTAGCAGTGTATATTAGCAGTCTACATTAGCAATCTACATTAGCAGTCTAACGGTCCCACACTACCACTGGGCTTGGTGCCTGTGTCTAGGATGCCCCAGTTCAAGGAGGGAGCCATAATCCCAGTGCAGGAAAGCATCACTGTGAACTTTTTTTCTCGGTCCCAGGAGGAGGATCCCGTGCTGACTGTCATCACCTACGTGGGGCTGAGCGTCTCTCTGCTGTGCCTCCTCCTGGCGGCCCTCACTTTTCTCCTGTGTAAAGCCATCCGGAACACCAGCACCTCACTGCATCTGCAGCTCTCGCTCTGCCTCTTCCTGGCCCACCTCCTCTTCCTCGTGGGGATTGATCGAACTGAACCCAAGGTACTGACAGTGTCTCAGAGGATGCCCTTTCTGCCCCAAGGTACACTGAGCTCATGGAGCAATGCTGCACTAGATTCCTTAATAAAATGTCCTTGGGTCTGTAGAGGAGAAAAATATAATTTTCCCGCTACCCTTCTGAGATCGTAGCTGGGACCCATGTAACAAAAGACAGATAAGAGAAAAAGCAAACAGAAGTTCATTAACATATATTCATATTTCATATATACATGGGAGATACCCAGGTAACGAGGCATTCTCAAAGAGGTAGTTTAGAACGACAGCGTTTTTGACAAAGAATGATGAATTTTTGAAGAAGGGAAAAAGATCTTGGCTCTCTAGGGGCACAAATTATGGGAAGGCAAATATCTGGGAAATGAGTGATAGATAAAGGCTTACTAGTATCATTGGTTGTATTACTCCATTTTCAGGCTGCTGATAAAGATATACCCAAGACTGGGAAGAAAAAGAGGTTTAATTGGACTTGCAGTTCCACATGGCAGGGGAGGCCTCAGAATCATGGCGGGAGGCGAAAGGCACTTCTTACATGGTGGCTGCAAGAGAAAAAATGAGGAAGATCCAAAAGCAGAAACCCCTGATAAAACCATCAGATCTCGTGAAATTTATTTCCTACCACGAGAACAATATGGGGAAAACCGCCCCCATGATTCAAATTATCTCCCACCGGGTCCTCCCCACAACATTTGGGAATTATGGGAGTGCAATTCAAGATGAGATTTGGGTGGGGACACAGAGCCAAACCATATCATTGGTTTTGTAGATTCCTCTGGTGTTGGCTCCAGACCAATGAGGATCTAAAGTTGTCTCGGTGGCCGGGCACAGTGGCTCACACCTGTAATCCCAGCACTTTGGGGGACTGAGGTGGGCAGATCACCTGAGGTCAGGAGTTCAAGGCCAGCCTGGTCAACATGGCAAAACTCCGTCTCTACTAAAAATACAAAATATTAGCCCAGCGTGGTGATGAGCACCTGTAATCCCAGCTACTTGGGAGGCTGAGGCAGGAGAATTGCTTGAACCCGGGAGGCAGAGGCTGCAGTGAGCCAAGATTGCGCCATTGCACTCCAGCCTGGGCAACAAGAGCAAAACTCCATCTTAAATAAATAAATAAGTTGTCTTAGTGATCAACTTTTGTCCCCCCCATAGCAAGGGTAGGAGGGTAGAAGGAAGAGAATAGGTATGAGGAATGCCTTTGTAAACTAATGTCCTGGAATACTATTCAGCCTTCAGAAAAAGAAGGAAATCCTGCCATTTGTGATAACATGGATGAACCTGGAGATTGTTAAGCTGAGTGAAATAAGCAAGGCACAGAAAGACAAACAGTGCATGATCTCACTTATGTGTGGAATCTAAAATAGCCAAACTCATAAAACCAAAGAGGGGAATGGTTGTTAGCAGAGACTAAGGCAGCAGGGAAGGGGTTTAGGGAGATGTTGGTCAAAGGATACCAAATTTCAGCTAGACGGAAAGAATAAATACAAGAGAGCTATTGTACATCATGACTATAGTCAATAACAATATATTCTATATTGAAAAATTGCTAACAAAGTAGATTTTAAGTGTTCTCACCCCCCAAAAAAGACAAGTACAAAAACGTATGTCCTGCTTTTAGGCAAATAGGGGGAGGGCAGAGAGCTATTTTTGTATCTGCTTCTTCTCAACTGCCTTCAGTTTAAAATAATCCCTTGGGCCAGACACAGTGGCTGACACCTGCAATCCCTGCACACTGGGAGGCAATGGTGGAAAGATCACTTGAGGCCAGGCGTTTGAGGCCATCCTGGGCAATATAGTGAGACCTTGTCTCTACAAAAAAAACAAAAAAAATAACAAAATTAGCTGGACACAGTGGTGCACGTCTGTAGTCCCAGCTGCTTGGGAGGCTGAGGCAGGAAGATTGCTTGAACCCAGGAGTTCGAGGCTGCAGTGAGCTATGATTGCAACCACTGTACTCCAGCCTGGGTGACAGAGCAAGACCATGTCTCAAAAAAAAAAGAATCATAATCATAATAATAATCTCTTATGCTAAAGTGAAACTTTTTTCTAAATTTTATTTTTAATTGAAAAATAATAAATGTATAAAATTATGGGGTACAATGTGAAGTTTCCATAGACATACACATTATGAAATGACCAAACCAGGATAATAAACATATCTATCACTTCCATACTTATCATTTCTTTGTGGTGAAAACATTTAAAATTCACTCTTTTAGGACTGGGGTGGCGGTTCATGCTTGTAATACCAGCACTTTAGGAGGCCAAGGCGGGAGGATCACTTCAGCCCAGGAGTTGGAGACTGGCCTGGGCAACACAGTGAGACCCCGTCTCTGCAAAAATTAGTGGATATGGTGGCACACACTTGTAGTCCCAGCTACTAGGGAGGCTGAGGTGGGAGGATCACTTGAGCCTGAGAGTTCAAGGCTGCAGTGAGCTATGATTGTGCCACTGCACTCCAGCCTGGGTGACAGAGTGAGATCCTGTCACAAAGAAATAAAATAGAACAAAATCCACTCTTTTAGCAACTTCAAAATTCATAATATATTAACTATAGTCACCACGCAATACAGTAGGAGTAGAGAGTAGAATGGAGGTTCTCAGAGGTTGAGGGGGGAAGTGGATGAGGAAAGGAGACATAGCTCAAAGTATACAAAGTCTTAGTTTAAAAGGAGGGGTAAATTCTGGTGATCTGTTGCAAAGTGGCATAGGTGGAGGTGGCACATTCTGCTACCCTTTCAGTCCCAAGGGCAGGTTGAAGGGATTGGTGCCCAGGTGGCCAAAGCTATCCTTGACTATCAACTATCTATTTTTTTAAATATAATTGAGATGGGGTCTCACTAAGTTGCCCAGGCTGGTCTCAAACTCCTGGGCTCAAGCAATCCTCCCACCTCAGCCTCCCAAAGTGCTGAAATTACAGACATGAGCCACTGCATCCAGTTCCCCTTTACTTTTAGTGCCCTTGGTCTGATGTCAGGTGCTCTGAACCCAAAGCCAATGTCAAGGAGAGGTCCTAGGGCCATACTCCACCCTGACAACCCCTTCAGGCATCCCTTTCTCCTCCCCCAGGTGCTGTGCTCCATCATCGCCGGTGCTTTGCACTATCTCTACCTGGCCGCCTTCACCTGGATGCTGCTGGAGGGTGTGCACCTCTTCCTCACTGCACGGAACCTGACAGTGGTCAACTACTCAAGCATCAATAGACTCATGAAGTGGATCATGTTCCCAGTCGGCTATGGCGTTCCCGCTGTGACTGTGGCCATTTCTGCAGCCTCCTGGCCTCACCTTTATGGAACTGCTGATCGGTGAGCTTGAATCCCACCTTGTGTCATGGACAGTTTCCTAAGAAAGCTTTTGAGGGCAGCATTCATGATGATGGTGGGAATATACGTAACCAATGCACTCTACGTTCTCCTTTATAACAGCTCTAACCTCTTTCCCAACAAAGCAGGGTGAGATGGTGGTAAGAGTTTGCAAGGTTCTGGAAGTCTTATACAACCAACAGGTTCATATGCCCACTGCACAGTAACGTACCAATCCACCAAGACAGCAGGGTTTGCAGCAGAGAAAGAGCTTAATGAGGCCAGGTGTGGTGGCTCACACCTGTAATACCAACAATTTGGGAGGCCAACGTGGGAGGATCACTTGAGGCCAGGAGTTCAAGACCAGCCTGGGCAATATAGCAAGGCCCTCATCTCTACAAAAAATTAGCTGAGCACAGTGGCTCACACCTGTAATCCCAGCACTTTGGGAAGCCCAGACAGGAGGATCACTTGAGTTCACAACTTCAAGACCAGCCTGGGCAACATAGCAAGACCTTGTGTCTACTAAAGATTAAAAAAAAAAAAAATAGCCAAGCATGGTGGTTCACACCTGTAGTCCCAGCTACTCAAGAAGCTGAGATGGAAGGATTGCTTGAGCCCAGGAGTTCAAGGCTGCAGTGAGCTATGCTCAGGCCACTACATTCCAGCCTGGGTGACAGATCAAGACCTTGTCTCAAAAAAAAAAAAAAAAAAGAGCTTAAAAATCTCAGGGCGCCAAGCGAGAAGATGAGAGAAGACTCTCAAATCAATCTCCTCAAGGAGTTCGGGACTGGGACTTTTAAAGGGATCATGGAGGGTGTGGAGGCTGGAAAATGTGGGTCAGGGTACAGCAGACAAAATCATCAGGAGACGGAAACTGCCTTCTTTGGTGACTCAGCTCCTTCTGTGGTCCTTCAGAGCAGCTGAAGCCAGTAGTTTCACTGGTACACAGGACCTGAAAGAATATCTCAAGGGGAAACTTAATTTTTTTTGTTTTGTTTTTTTGTTTTATTGAGACAGAGTTTCGCTCTTGTTGCCCAGGCTGGAGTCCAATGGCACGGTCTTGGCTCACTGCAACCTCCACCTCCCGGGTTCAAGCGATTCTCCTGCCTCAGCCTCCCAAGTAACTGAGATTACAGGTGCCCACAACCACGCCCAGCTAATTTTTGTACTTTTAGTAGAGATGGGGTTTCACCATGTTGACCAGGCTGGTCTTGAACTCCTGACCTCAGGTGATCCATGCACCTCGGCCTCCCAAAGTGCTGAGATTACAGGTGTGAGCCACCACACCTGGCTGAAACTTCATGTTTTATAATATTTAAGTTGTTACCTATAGAGCAGTAAAGGGAAACTGTTATCTAGGATCTGTGTGATTCTAGGATAACAGGCACCAAACAGCTAGTAGGAAGCAGGTCAGAGAGCAAGCTGACCTGGCAGTGAATCCTGGATGTGCTGCAAGTTTGGCTTGTTTTCATTTCTCCCCGTTTTGTCTTCTCTGATTATTTTTATAAAGTTTATAGGGATGGCTTCAGAAGGAGAGGGTTTGGGGTGTTGTTCAAAAGACCATCAAGATGAATAAATAATAGAAAGAAGAGCTTTAAGGTCGGGCACGGTGACTCATGCCTGTAATCCCAGCGCTTTGGGAGGCCAAGGCGGGAGAATCGTTTGAGGCCAGGAGTGCGGGACCAGCCTGGCCCACATGTGAAAACCCATCTCTACTAAAAATACAAAAATTAGCCAGACGTGGTGGCACACACCTACTTAGGAAGCTGAAGCAGGAGAATCGCTTGAACCCGGGAGGTGGAAGTTGCAGTGAGCTGTGATTGTACCAACGCACCCCAACCTAAACGACAGAGTGAGACTCTGAAAAAAAAAAGAAAAAGGAAAGAAAAAAGAAAAGAAAAGAAAGAAAGAAAGAAAGAAAGAGGAAGGAAAGGAAAGGAAAGGAGGAAAGGAAGAAAGAAAGAAAGAAAGAAAGAAAGAAAGAAAGAAAGAAAGAAAGAAAGAAAGAAAGAAAGAAAGAAAGGGAAAGGAAAGGAAAGGAAAGGAAGGAAGGAAGGAAGGAAGGAAGGAAGGAAGGAAGGAAGGAAGGAAGAAAGAAAGAGAAAGAGAGAGAAAGGAGAGCTTTATTGGCAATACTGGTTTGCAAACCAAAAAAAGAAAGTCTCCAGGATGAACCAAAGGTGCTCCCTCTTTGAAAAGGGGAAGGACAAGTTAGGTTTTATGCCTCACTAGATCTGTATTACACAACAGAGTCATACACATTCAGGAGGTTTGGAAAAGCTGTACCTATTTAAGATGAGAGCAGAGTGTATGCACAATGGATAAACATATATATAACATATATCCCATGTTCACTTTGGGGCAGGATTTTAGCATTAAAATAAGATGGAAAAGCTGGGCGCAGTGACTCAAGCCTGTAATCCCAGCACTTTGGGAGGCTGAGGCGGGTGGATGACCTGAGGTCAGGAGTTCAAGACCAGCCTGGCCAACACAGTGAAACCCCGTCTCTACTAAAAAGACAAAAAATTAGCCGGGCGTGGTGGTGCGCGCCTGTAATCTCAGCTATTTGGGAGGCTGAGGCAGGAGAATCACTTGAACCCGGGAGGTGGAGGTTGCAGTGAGCTGAGATCACGCCATTGCACTCTCCAGCCTGGGCAACAAGAGCGAAACTCTGTCTCAAAAAAAAAAAAAAAAATGGAAGACCAGGCATGGTGGTTCACGCCTGTAACCCCAGCACTTTGGGAAGGCAAGGAGGAAGGATTGCTTGAGCCCAGAACTTCAAGACCAGGCTGGGCAACATAGCAAAACCCCATCTCTACCAAAAAAAAAAAATTGTTTTAATTAGCTGGACACGGTGGTGCATGCCTGTAGTCCCAGCTACTCAGGAGGCTGGGGCGGGAGGATCGCCTGAGCACAGGAGTTCAAGGTTGCAGTAAGTTGTGATAGAGCAACTGCACCACAGCCTGAGTGACAGAGCAAGATCCAACTCTAAAAAATATATAAATAAAATAAAATAAACAATGACGAGGAATGTGGCTCTACACCAAAAGTTGAACCAAAGGACACAAAGACAGTTTGTGCACAGCCTCTATAAACTAACTGAAACTGGCTTAAGATCCATAATTGCTTTGACTGGTTCCCTTTCCAGTCAGAGTTATAGTGGTCTGGATCGTATATCAGAGGTAGGAGGGAACTGATGGCTCGTATTGTTATGGAGTTTAGCAAGCGTGGGTTTTCTTGTAGCCGAGGAATTTAGACAGTTGCTTCACCAGCCAGGCCCTGAACCCCCGACCCATGGGTAACTTGGTTTCCTTAACCTTAGGATCCATGTTAGTGGATATAGAAGTGTCTATTTCAATCTCTCGGATCACAAGAGTTAGGTCCCAACTTTATTCTTCCTGTAATTTGAGCTCTCCAGTCTCAGTCCCCTCATTAGCGAGATGAGAATAATAGTTGTCCCCATTGTTCCAACCTCACAGTGCTGGTGTGAAAATTCAACAGGACTGTGCTCCTAAAATGCTTAACAGGACGCTGTTCCTCCTAGCTGTTTGGTGCCTATTATCCTAAATCACACCACAGTTACTAAAAAGCTTAAATTCTATAAAAACCCCAAAAATCTGGTAATGTCACAAAGCTGTGTCCACCCCAGCCAACAGAGATCAATCTAACTATATTAAATCACATACTTAAATTACAAATTAAACTCTCTGTACACATACCAATTTAAATATGTATCTCCAATTGTGTGTAATAGGTTCAATAAGGCTCTAAATGAAAATATATTTTGTATACTACTACTTCAAAATACCTTGAGCTATGAGTATTTTTTATGTTGCAGCATCCATTTTAATTTGAGCACGTAATTTGTTGTTTTCATTTTAATCATAAAAATAAGACAAGTTTGTTAAAATTTTCATAAAATTTTCATAAAATTTCATATATATATTGAAATATATAAAGTGAAAGTGGCTGTCACATGATGTGTGGATCAAAGTTGCAATCAAAATGTGTAATCAAAGCTGATTGTTGGCCGGGCGTGGTGGCTCACGCCTGTAATCCCAGCACTTTGGGAGGCCAAGGGGAGCAAATCACTTGAGGTCTGGAGTTCAAAACCAGCCTGGCCAACATGGCAAAACCCCATCTCTACTAAAAATGCAAAAATTAGCCGGGTGTGGTGGTGCACATCTGTAATCCCAGCTATTCAGGAGACTGAGGCAGGAGAATCACTTGAATCCAGGAGGCAGAGGTTGCAGTGAGCTGAGATCGCACCACTGCACTCCAACCTGGGCAACAGAGCAAGACCCTGTCTCAAAAAAAAAAAAAAAAAAGCTATTGTCATCAGCTGACTTTCTTTTTATTTTATTTTATTTTATTTTATTTTATTTTATTTTATTTTTTTTGAGACGGAGTCTCAGTCTGTCGCCCAGGCTGGAGTGCGGTGGCGCGATCTTGGCTCACTGCAAGCTCCGCTTACCGAGTTCACGCCATTCTCCTGCCTCAGCCTCCCGAATAGCTGGAACTACAGGTGCCCGCCACCACGCCCAGCTAATTTTTATATTTTTAGTAGAGATGGGGTTTCACCACGTTAGCCAGGATGGTCTCAAGCTCCTGACTTCGTGAGCCGCCCATCTCGGCCTCCCAAAGTGCTGGGATTACAGGCGTGAGCCACCGTGCCTGGCCTGTCATCAGCTGACTTTCAAGAGAAACTGGAAACAATTCTCTGGTAGGAAAAGAGACACTTTATGTTGATCTCACGCACTTTCTCTGATCTCTCTTTGTATCTCTTTTCCCACTGTTCCTAGATGCTGGCTCCACCTGGACCAGGGATTCATGTGGAGTTTCCTTGGCCCAGTCTGTGCCATTTTCTCTGTGAGTATGTGCCTTCGATGTTCCCAAACTAGGAAGAACCAAGAGAAGTGCTGGGTACAAGATGGTACAAGGGGCTTGCATTTCCACTGTTGGGTGGTTTGATTTTCCACCTGCTACCAATTCAGTCCCATGTACAAGAGGGTAGGACTCCTGTGTGCAATTTAAAGTGGACACCATACATTACTTTAACTTGCACTCTGCCTTGTTTGTGTTGGTCCTGCAGGCGAATTTAGTATTGTTTATCTTGGTCTTTTGGATTTTGAAAAGAAAACTTTCCTCCCTCAATAGTGAAGTGTCAACCATCCAGAACACAAGGTAGGATGTGACAAATGGTACTTCCTATTCCCTTTCCTTCTGCCAGTCCTTCCTACATATCCATACACACGTACATTCAACAGCCATGCTCCCAGGACTAGCAAGACCACTGTAATCTTCCACCATCACAGTTAATGAGAACCTGAGTTAGCTAGAATACAAGCTAAGCTGCTGTGATAAAGAAAAAATCTCAAAAAAAAAAAAGAATAAAATAGAAGTTTATTTCAGTCTCATGTTGCAACCCAGAAGTGACCAGTTCAGGGCTAATAAAGAAGCTCTGCTCCACACAGTGTTCCAGGGTCTCAGGTGCTTTCTACTTTGTTGCTCCACCATCCTCTAGAAGGATGTTGCCCTTGTCAATATCCCATCCATGGGAAGGAGGTAATATAGGAGTTGCAGTTGCCACATTTGCTCATATCCCATTGGCTGATCTTTGTCACATGATAACACCCAGCTGCAAGGGAGGCTGGGAAATGTAGTCTCTACCTTGACCATGTGCCTTGTTTTAAAACTCAAAGGGGAAGAGATCTAACACTAAAAGGAAGATGAAAAGGGAGAAAAACATTCGTTTCTGCCACACTACACAAGATACACACAGGAGTATATTTTTTATCAAAAGCAACCAACTCAAATTTGCTAATCCAACAGTTACTAAGAAGCTTAAATTATATAGAAACCCTAAAAATGAATCTGGTAATGTCACAAAGCTATGTCCACCCCAGCCAATAGAGATCAATCTAGCTATATTAAATCACATGCTTAAATTACAAATTAAACTCTCTGTACATATACCAATTTAAATGTTTATCTCCAATCGTGTGTGATAGGTTCAATAAGAATCTAGATTAAAAGATATCTTGTATAATATTTCAAAATATCTTGAGGTATGAGTATTTTTATGTTGCAGCATCCATTTTAATTTGAGCATGTAATTTGTTGTTTTCATTTTAATCATAAAAATAAGACAACTTTGTTACATTTTTTTATAGTCTTTTGAAATATATACAGTAAAAAATGAAAATGGCTGTCCCTCTTCCTGCTACTTCCACTTCCCAGGAAGCCAGAATTAACAGCCTGTATGATGTGTGAGATAAAATATGACATTTTCCCAGAGCTTTCTCTGTGCACTTTTAAGTAGAACAGACCGACACACACACAATAGGATCACACTATACAAACTGTTCCTCAATTAGCTTTCCTCACTGATGTAATATCCTTAATAATTAGGGATATATATAATGTATATATGCATGTAATATAGATATTATATGTGTATGTACACACATATACATACACATATAATATATTCTATACATATATAACACAATGTATATTTTTATATACACTATCACTATATATTGTGATTATATGTTGTGATAGTGTATATAAAATATATATGTACATATATATATTGTGTGTGTATATATGCCATAAATACTATAAATAGGATGGCCTCATATCTCAGCTTACCTGGAACAGTCTCAGTTTATGTCTGTCGACACAATGTAATTATTAATAGTATCCCTTTCATTTTTTATTATTATTTTTATTCTTATTGATATATAATATTTATATACATTTACAAAGTATTTGTGATATTTTGATTCATGCATAAAATGTGCAATGATCAAATCAGGGTATTTAAGGTACTCATCACCTCAAACATTTATCATTTCTTTCTGTTAGGAACAGTACACCTCCTTTTGATCACAAAAGCCTTCCTGTTTGAATAACAAATTATATGACCCCGGCCGGGTGGGGTGGCTCACACCTGTAATCCCAACACTTTGGGAGGCCGAGGCAGGTGGATTATTTGAGGTCAGTCGTTCGAGACCAGCCTGGCCAACATGGTGAAACCCCTTCTCTACTAAAAATACAAAGATTAGCTGGGTGTGGTGACGTGCCTGTAATCCCAGCTACTCGGGAGGCTGAGGCTGGAGAATCGCTTGAACCCATGAGCTGAGATCACACCACTGCACTCCAGCCTGGGCCACAGAGCGAGACTCCGTCTCAACAAAAAAAATTATATGACCCCTGTCTATAAATGATAAGAGTGAGAGAGAAAGCACCCAGGTTTTCAAATGCCTTATGCATGTCTGGTACTAACTTTGTCCCATACATTGTCCTAAATACTTTCCCATTAAAGTCTCATGTAATCTTTATAGCAACCCCACGAAATAGGACAATTATTAAGATAAGGGAACTGAGGCTGGGTGCAGTGGTTCACGCCTTTAATCCCAATACTTTGGGAGGCCAAGATGGGTGGATCTCTTGAGGTCAGGAGTTCAAGACCAGCCTGGTCAACATGGCGAAACCCCATCTCCACTAAAAATAACAAAAATTAGCAGGGCATGATGGTGCATGCCTGTAGTTAGTCCCAGCTACTGGGGAGGCTGAGGCAGGAGAATCACTTGAACCCTGGAGGTGGAGGTTGCAGTGAGTCGAGATCATGTCATTGTGCTCCAGCCTGGGCAACAGAGCAAGACTCCATCTCAAAAATAAAATAAAATAAAATAAAATAAAATAAGATGAGGGAGCTGAGTTGCAAGAAGGTAAAGCAGCTTTCACAAGATCACACAGGTAGCCAGTGCTGGCTTCCATTTAAACTCAGGTAGTCTAGCTCCAGAGTTCTTACTATTAACAGCTAACTAGAGGGGTGTTCATGCTCATTATTAGTTTTTTGACATCCTAATCTCTGACTTCCTCCTCCCAGGATGCTGGCTTTCAAAGCAACAGCTCAGCTCTTCATCCTGGGCTGCACATGGTGTCTGGGCTTGCTACAGGTGGGTCCAGCTGCCCAGGTCATGGCCTACCTCTTCACCATCATCAACAGCCTCCAAGGCTTCTTCATCTTCTTGGTCTACTGCCTCCTCAGCCAGCAGGTAAACACTGACCCCTTTCTTTGTTATTTAAACTTAAGAAAATTTTGGAAATGGAGTTCAATGGGGATTTAAGTTGACATTCTCTAAATGTTCCACATGAGATTATAATCCACCTGTAAACACTCTCTCTATTTTCTCTACTTTAAAAATGCTACTAGTTGTTAAGATACATCATTTATTAACACATTTCAGAATATAAATAATTGCTATGTCAAAAAAAAATCATGCCTTTTTCTCAGTTTTCCCACTCGTAATAGTCAGCTAATGCTGTGTAACAAACAACCTCAAAAAATCTCATTGGTTTAAACACAAATATTTGCTTTTCTTATTCTGGGGTCTACAGGTCTATTGGGGTTCACCTGATCTTAGCTGAGCTCAGCTTGCCTTTGCTCCAGGATGCAGATCAGATTTAGGCCTGCTCCTTGTGACTCATCCTGAGGCTTAAGCAGAAGGGGGAGCAACTCCCCAGCAAATATTCTTCTCCTAACAATGCTGAAATCACAAAGAGGCAGACCCTACTGGGCAAGGTCACTCAAGCCTGTGATTCTTCCTCTACTAATATCCCATTAGCCAAAGAAAGTCACACACCCAAGCCCAAAGTCAATGAGAAAAGAACACTCAACCCACCAAGAGACTAAGACAGAGTGTAATACAACTACAAAGGAGTGAATCGTGGAGATCAACAATGCAGCTAACACACCACTTCACATGAATTATTTTTTTTCCAACTACTATTTTATTTACATTACTACCTTAAGTTACATGGAAAAAAACACCCAAGCAGTTCTGCCCTATTTCAGAAAAAGTTTCCAATCGGCAGGGTGCAGTGGCTCACGCCTGTAATCCCAGCACTTTGGGAGGCCAGCACAGGGGGATCACTTGTGCTCAGGAGTTTGAGACCAGCCTGACGAACATGGCGAAACCCCATCTCTACTAAAAACTACAAAACAATTACCCGGGTATGATGGAGGCGCCTGTAATCCCAGCTGCTCGGGAGGCTAGGCAGGATAATCACTTGAACCCAGGAGGCAGAGGCTGCAGTGAGCCGAGATCGCACCACTGCACTCCAGCCTGGGCAACAGAGCAAGACTCCGTCTCAAAAAAAAAAGAGAAAAAGAAGAAGCTTCCAGTCAATACCAATTATATAGTGCCGGGATTACAGGTGTAAGCCACCATGCTGGACTGATTTATCTCTTTTTCTTCAAGACATATCAGATGATATCTGCCCCTTAAAGCTGTCACTGTCCCAAACTAGGTCACATTCCAGGATCACACAGCCTTCCTTGTAACACTGGCTGTCTGCAGGGGCAAACTCATAGATCCATCCCAGTCTGCTATTGCAGTTTTTGCAACTCACATCTCAAACCATGGAACAGCAGTGGGCATGATGAGGTCTTGAACTTCACTGTACTGCAGGTTAACTGCCTCGTTAAAGAGAAACTGGGGCCAGGCACAGTGACTCATGCCCATAATTCCAGTACTTCAGGAGGCTGAGGCAGGAGGCAGAACTCATCTCCACTTGGTTCACAGGCACCACTAGCAGAGTGTGTGTTTCATCGTCATCATCATCATTATTTATTTATTTATTTATTTATTTTTTGAGACAGATTCTTGCTCTGTCACCCAGGCTGGAGTACAGTAGCTCAATCTCGGCTCACTGCAACTGCCTCCCAGGTTCAAGCGATTCTTCGGCCTCCACCTCCCGAGTACCTGGGACTACAGGCGCATGCCACCATGCCTGGCTAATTTTTTTTTTTTTTTGTATTTTTAGTAGAGATGGGGTTTCACATGAGCATACGCAAAACACTTATATGTACTCTTCCCTTAGTTTATCTCAGTTTGTGAGGCATATCATAGCATCCAGTTTTTGTTATTCGTTTTTTTGTTGTTTTGTTTTTTGTTTTTTGTTTGAGACAGAGTTTGGCTCTTGTTGCCCAGGCTGGAGTGCAATGGCACGACCTCAGCCCACCACGACATCTGCCTCCCGGGTTCAAGTGATTATCCTGCCTCAGCCTCCTGAGTAGCTGGGATTACAGGTGCACACCTCCACACCCAGCTAATTTTGTGTTTTTAATAGAGACAGGGTTTCTCCATGTTGGTCAGGCTGGTCTCGAACTCCCGACCTCAGGTGATCTGCCTGCCTCAGCCTCCCAAAGTGCTGGGATTACAGGCGTGAGCCATCGTGCCTGGCCTAGCATCCAGTTTTTAAAGATATATATAGTTTTATTTCATATGGCTACTAAATTCAAAACACTTTATTTGTCTGCAACTGAACAGTAGTCTGTGTCCTCCAAGAAGATCCCTTACTAAGGGGTGCTCAGGGATAATCTGGACTGCACGCTGTCTCCACAATGGAACCCAGCCAAGCGTGGTGGCTCGTGCCTGTAATCCCAGCACTTTGGGAGGCCGAGGCAGGCAGATCATCTGAGGTCAGGAGTTCAAGACCAGCCTGGCCAACATGGTGAAAGCCCGTCTCTACTAAACAATACAAACATTAGCCGAGAGTGGTGGCACCTGCCTGTAATCCCAGCTACTAGGGAGGCTGAGGCTAGAGAATCACTTTAACCTGGCAGGCAGAGGTTGCAGTGAGCTGAGATCACACCATTGCATTCCAGCCTGAGCAACAGAGCGAGACTCCGTCTCAAAAAAAAACAAAAGAAACTACCCCAGAGGGTTTCATTTTGTTTATATAACGAGTATAAGCACTCATTGTTTGTGTTATTGTTATGTATTTATTTATATGTAGGTATGGGTGTTTATGGCATATCAGAATGGTTCTTACCAGGAGCAATTGTGTTCCCACCACGGGACAGTTAGCAATGTCTGGGGAAATGCTTGTCATTACTGGGGTGGGGGTTTCTACTGGCATCTAGTTGGTGGAGGTCAGGGATACCGCTAAATATCCTAAACAATGCACACAGGACAGCCCTCTCCAGCAAAACATGATCCAACCCAAGATGTCAACAGTGCCAAGGTTAGGATATCACGGTGTGGCAGATGCTGTCCACGGCCCTCTCATATCCCTTTGGCTTCTGTCTCTACATGCCTGGAGTTGCTTGTTGCAAACACCCATGACTGTGCCTGAAGGCTTCGTACTGCCCACAGGACACGCCTGGCCCATGCATAGGGCAAACTGGTGATGCCAAAGAGTAATGGCCCTTGAGACCGGCCATCAACCCATGACTGATGGGAGCTGGTGGATAAATACCCCAGCTCCCTCCTCCTTCAGGCAAGTTGACTCTAAGGTAGTTCCATGCTCTACCCCAGAGCTCCTGAATGGGGCTGAGCCCCAGATTCCCACAGTGGAAATAACCTTAATTATGCATTCTTTACCAGCTGCCTTCTCTTCCCTGTCCTGCTTCCTCATTGCCCTACTGGTGCTTCTTGGGATCACCCCTCAAATAAACTCCTTACACTTCCACCCTTGTTGCAGGGTCTGCTTCTGAGGTGCCCAAAACCAAGACACATTGAAGGGTACTACCAAAATATTATTGGTGATTTTCACTAGATTGAGGAATTATATGCAACTTCTATTTTCTTCCTTTTGCATATGCATATCTTATACATTTTCTATTTTTTCTTTTCTTTTCTTTTGTTTTTTTGAGATGAAGTGTTGCTCTGTCTCCCAGGCTGGAGTGCAGTGCCGTGATCTCAGCTCACTGCAACCTCTGCCTCCCAGGTTCAAGCAATTCTCCTACCTCAGCCTCTGGAGTAGCTGGGATTACAGTCATGAGCCACCACTCCCATCTAATTATTTTGTATTTTTAGTAGAGACAGGGTTTCACCGTGTTAGCCAGAATGGTCTCAATCTCCTGACCTCGTGATCCACCCGCCTCGGCCTCTCAAAGTGGTGGGATTACAGGTGTGAGCCACCACACCTGGCCATAAATTTTCTACAACAATTATATACCCTGTAATGAAAATGTTTACTGTGGTAAAACATATATAATATAAAATTTACCTTTTTAACCATTTTTAAGTGTACCATTAGTAGCATCACATTCGCAATGTGGTGCAACCATCACCAACATCCATCTCCGGAACTTTATTCATCTTCCCAAACTGAAACTCCATCCACATTAAACACTACCTCGCCACTCTCCTTCCCCCCAGGCCCTGGAAACCGCTCTTCTACTTTAGGTCTATATGGATTTGACTACTTTAGGTACCTCATATAAGTAGAATCATACAGTATGTGCCTTTTCATGACCAGCTTATTTCGCTTAGCCTGATGTCCTCAAGGTTCATCCGTGTGGTAGCATATGTGTCAGAATCTCCTTCCTTTATAAGACTGAGTAATATTCCATTGTACGAATAGACCATGTTTTGTGAAAATAAATAAATAATAATACATCTCTATCCTCTTCCTGACTCACCGACCTTTCTGCTGTTCACCAATGTTAGCAAAACCCATCCAGGTATTTCCTTTGATGTTCCAGGTCCAGAAACAATATCAAAAGTGGTTTAGAGAGATCGTAAAATCAAAATCTGAGTCTGAGACATACACACTTTCCAGCAAGATGGGTCCTGACTCAAAACCCAGTGAGGTAAGTGAAACATCTGAATTGTTCTAATGTTTTACATACTCCTCTCTTGACACTGCAAACTTCCTCTAGTTTGGGATTTTTTTGTTTGTTTGTTTTTGTTTTTGTTTTTTAAGTTCTGAGGTTACATGTGCAGGTTTGTTACATAGGTAAACGTGTGCCATGGTGGTTTGCTGCACCTATCAACCCATTACCTAGGTATTAAGCCCAGCATTAGCTGGGCATGGTGGCTCATGCCTGTAATCCCAGCATTTTGGGAGGCCAAGGTGGGTGCATCACCTGAGGTCAGGAGTTCAAGACCAGCCTGACCAACATGGTGAAACCCCATCTCTACTAAAAATACAAAAATTAGCCGGGTGTGGTGGTATGCACCTGTAGTCCCAGCTACTGGGGAGGCTGAGACAGGAAAATCACTTGAACCTGAGAGGCGGAGGTTGCAGTGAGCCAAGATCGCACCATTGCACTCCAGCCTGGGTGACAGAGCGAGACTCTGTCTAAAAAACAAACAAACAAACAAACAAAAACAGCACACATCGGCTCTTTTCCCTAATGCTCTCCCCCCTCCAACGTCCCCTAACAGGCCCCAGTGAGTGTTGTTCCCCTCCCTGTGTCCATGAGCTCTCATTGTTCAGCTCCCACTTACAAGTGAGAACATGCGGTGTTTGGTGTTCTGCTCCTGAGTTCGTTTGCTGAGCTTCCTCTAGTTTTTAATTTATATTTTCCTTTTTTTTTTTTTTTAAGAGACAGGGTCTTGCTCTGTCACCCAGGCTGGAGTGCAGTGGCGTGATCATAGCTTACTGCGGTTTCGACCTCCTGGGCTCAAGCAATCCTCCCATCTCAGCTTCCTGAGTAGCTGAGACCACAAGTGTGCACCACCATGCCCTACTAATTTTTTTTATAGAGAGAGAGATGGAGTCTCCCTATGTTGCCCAGGCTGGTCTTGATCTCCCAGCTCGAGCAGTCCTACCACCTCAGCCTCCCAAAGTGCTGAAATTACAGGTATGAGCCACCACACCCGGCCTATATTTTCCTTTTTCAAAGATATGCTCATGTTATTCAATTTCCACAATGTAAAATAATAATAATAAAAAGGAAGCCACAGGCCTGGCACAGTGGCTCACGCCTATAATCCCAACACTTTGGGAGGCCGAGGTGGGCAGATCACCTGAGGTTGGGAGTTCGAGACCAGCCTGACCAACATGGAGAAACCCCATCTCTACTAAAAATACAAAATTAGCTGGGCATGGTGGCACATGCCTGTAATCCCAGCTACTCGGGAGGCTGAAGCAGAAGAATCGCTTGAATCCGGGCAGCAGAGGTTGCAGTGAGCCGAGCTCGTGCCATTGCACTCCAGCCTGGGCAACAAGAGCGAAACCCTGTCTCAAAAAAAAAAAAAAAGGAAGCCAGGTGTGGTGGCGTTGTAGTCCTAGCTACTCGGGAGGCTAAGATGGGAGGATCGCTTGAGCCCAGGAGTTTGACACCAGCCTGGGAAACGTAGGGTAGCTTTGAGGAGCTAGTCTTAGTACAAACTTGCTTTCCTGGAGGGTATGAGGAAGAGTCCTTTTCCCGATAACCTGGTTTGAGTTCCTCATTCTTGTTATATTGTTCCTCAGTGACTCCTCTCTGCTCACTAACAGCACTTAAGCTGGTTTTCATATGTATTCTTGCTGTGTGAAGATGTATGGGTGAAACATATCATCAGAACCAATGCAATCTAACACAGACTCTCACTGGGGGAAATTTACAAGTGTAGGCATAGCAGAGTGATCATCTTCCCCCAAATGCCCACTGTCCATAAAGATGTGGATGTGGGCCCACAGAGTGACGGTACGCCATGGAACAGGCTCCAGGGGAGGGATTCTGCCCCAGCTGCTCTGCATAATTGCAGAGGATGGGTGCAGGGAATCATGGGACCTTTCTGGGGGAGGACATAGCCCTGTTAGAAAGATGATACTTCTGGAATCTGGTTGCTGGTATTCTGTTCTTCCATTGCACTAACTCAGGCTCAGTGCAACACAGAATGAGCTTTCTGCACTATGTGACATTTCGTTCCATATTTGGCTTTTTGAATAAATGACAGAATAGACATCTAAAAAGAGGCTGGGCATGGTGGCTCACACCTGTAATCCCAACACTTTGGGAGGCCAAGGTGGAAGGATCACTTAAGTCCAGGAGTTTTATTTTTTTTTTTTTTTATTTTTTTTTTTTTAAGTATTTTAGGCATATTTAATAAATAACTTCAGTAAATAGCACTGTAAAAAGTGAACTGTTAAAACTAAAGGCACTTAAAACAAGAATGTGACTAGTGTGAAACAAGATGGGCAACTCAAATGGTGAGAAGTAAACATACAGTGGTCTGTTATGGCACTAACTCAAAGTAAGACTCGCGTAGGTGAGAGCTGTTGCATAGCCACAGTATAACTTCACATGTTCATTAAAAAGGCAAATTGACCGCTAAAACTTCAAAGAAAAAGTACTCATAAAAAAAGTCTTACCCCAAAATTGCAAACAAATACATTAAAAGATTAGAAGAGGTGACAGAAAGCACCAGACATTAAACAAAATAAAAATAATAAAATAAATTCAACTCAAAAGGTCCCCATTCAGCAAATACTTTGTAAAGTATGGCCTGTATGTAAATAGTGCTAAATCAAGGACTTTTTAGCAAAAAATTGCTCGGTTCTTTTATCTAAGGCTTGAATTTGTAAAGTGAAGGCATAAAAGTTACCAAACATTAAGTAACTCTTAAAATGGCACACAGGTTTTAAAGCTATTGGTTTTTCCTTCCTAACTCTCTGAATTTTTCCCATGGCCTTTGTAGATCAACTATTTCAAACGTATTTTACACCAGCAACTCTCAACATACTTGTCTTTCAGATATGTCATCAGTCATGTCTAACAGGCAAATAGCAAAATAACAGATTTAAAACAATCCTTAACTAGCTAGCAGGACATTTACTTTGGATTCTGCATAACTGCAAACTGACATATTTGTAAAGCTAAAAATCAGTTTTAATACATGATTAACAGAAACTCTCATCATGCTCATTACTTTAACTATTGCCCTTTCAATCGCTATAGAAATATCACTTAATCCAATAAGCTTGATTTCAATAGTCCAGGAAGAAAAGGTCAAAAAGGCACAATGTGACCTTAGCTGACAAGAATAACCATCCTGTCTCAAGTCTTTTGTCAGTCCCTGGCATGAATTACAACATTATTTTCAAAATAATAAAACATTTTAAAAATTATACTAGTACTTGTGAAGCCAGCAACGGACAGATCTGCAATGGCCGGGGCATCTGCGAGTGTGGTGTCTGTAAGTGTACAGATCCGAAGTTTCAAGGGCAAACGTGTGAGATGTGTCAGACCTGCCTTGGTGTCTGTGCTGAGCATAAAGAATGTGTTCAGTGCAGAGCCTTCAATAAAGGAGAAAAGAAAGACACATGCACACAGGAATGTTCCTATTTTAACATTACCAAGGTAGAAAGTCGGGACAAATTACCCCAGCCGGTCCAACCTGATCCTGTGTCCCATTGTAAGGAGAAGGATGTTGACGACTGTTGGTTCTATTTTACGTATTCAGTGAATGGGAACAACGAGGTCATGGTTCATGTTGTGGAGAATCCAGAGTGTCCCACTGGTCCAGACATCATTCCAATTGTAGCTGGTGTGGTTGCTGGAATTGTTCTTATTGGCCTTGCATTACTGCTGATATGGAAGCTTTTAATGATAATTCATGACAGAAGGGAGTTTGCTAAATTTGAAAAGGAGAAAATGAATGCCAAATGGGACACGGGTGAAAATCCTATTTATAAGAGTGCCGTAACAACTGTGGTCAATCCGAAGTATGAGGGAAAATGAGTACTGCCCGTGCAAATCCCACAACACTGAATGCAAAGTAGCAATTTCCATAGTCACAGTTAGGTAGCTTTAGGGCAATATTGCCATGGTTTTACTCAAGTCCAGGAGTTTTAGACCAGCCTGGGCAACATAGTGAGAACCTGTCTCTTCTTTTCTTTTCACTTTTTTTTTTTTCTGAGACAGAGTCTCACTCTATCACCCAGGCTAGAATACAGTGGTGCAATCTCGGCTCACTGCAACCTCTGCCTCCTGGGTTCAAGCGATTCTCCTGCCTCAGCCTCCCCAGTAGCTGGGATTACATGCGCCCGCCACCACACCCGGCTAATTTTTTTGTATTTTTAGTAGAGATGGTGTTTCACCATGTTGGCCAGGCTGGTCTCGAACTCCTGATCTCAAGTGATCCGCCCGCCTCAGCTTCTCAAAGTGCTGAGATTACAGGTGTGAGCCACTGGGCATGGTGGCAGGTGCCTGTAATCCCAGCTACTCAGGAGACTGAGGCAAGAGAATCGCTTGAACCTGGGAGGCAAAGATTACGGTGAGCCGAGATCATGCCATTGCACTCCAGCCTGGGCGACAAGAATGAAACTCTGTCTCAAAAAAAAAATTTGATTAATATTAGGCTTAATTATTCTCAACAAGAGTAAAAGTGCCAACTGTTGACTGTGACCTATGAAAGGTTTCCCAGATAATCCAAAATAATTCCCAAAGCTGCCAGCATTCCAGTTATTGGTTCTCCACAATGAAATAAGGAAAATCGTTTAACATTGTGGAAATTGAATAATATGAGTGTATCTTTGGAAGGGGAAAATATCAAATATAACCTGGGCAGTATAGTGAGACCCTGTCTCTGCAGAAACATCAAAGAATTAACCAGGTGTAGTGGTGCATGCCTGTAGCCTGTAGTTTCAGCTATTTGGGAGGCTGAGGCAGGAGCATTGCTTAAGCCCGGGAGGCAGAGGTTGCAATGAGCCAAGATCAAGCCAAGATCAGGCCACTGCACTCCAGCCTGGGTGACAGAGCAAAACCCTGTCTCAAAAAAAAAAAAAAAAAAAAAAAAAAAAATATATATATATATATATATAATATATATATAAAATATATATATTCATATATAGTCATAATATATTCATATATTCATATATATTCATATGTACTCATAATATATTCATATATTCATATATACATGAATATACATATATATTCATATATACATGAATATACATATATATTCATATATACATGTATATATGAATCTCTCTTTAAGAAATACATTAGCTTTGGCCGGGCATGGTGGCTCATGCCAGTAATCCCAGCACTTTGGGAGAACAAGGTAGGAGGATCGCTTGAGGTCAGGAGTTTGAGACCTGCCTGGGCAACAAAATAAGACCCCATCTCTACAGAAAAATCTCCATGCTTTTATTTTTTAGGCACAGAGTTTGAGTAAAAAGCTAATGAAACTCTTTCTCTATGGACAAGTTTGACCTTGGGTTAACTTTCTAACTCTGTTCCCAAGAAACGTGATAAAGTTGGAAGATCAGATAGGTCGCCAGGCAATGTTGCCTATGGAAAAAGTCAAGCTTGACTTGTAAATTGCATCTAGATGGGAAATTCTATGAATGAACCATAAATACCAGGAAGGAAGATGTAACTTTGAACTTCTTGCCCACAACTCTTATAACTAGGCTAGGAAGCACTAACCTCATAGGCTTCTTCAGGAGATGTTGGTTCCTCTGTGGAGCTTGGGGCTGCTAAACCAAGCTGTAAGTTGTGGGGTGCAAAGAGAACATTTGTTGAGTACTACAGTGTGTCAGGCACTATGTTAGATAACAGGCATTCAAAGAGAAACAAAGCCAACAAGACTCTAACCTTTCTTCATAGACAAAAAAACATCCAGGGGGCTGAAATTCCAGAGTGTAATATGTCTGAAAATTTATCAAAAAGAAGAATTCTTCCTGCTGAATTTTTGATAAGTCTTCCCACTCTAAGCCAAAGAAGACCACATCTGCCCTAGGATTTTTAAATGCTAGGAGATCATGCCATCCTTGCCTGCTGGTTCAAACTGGGTTTAAATCACTCCTGCTGTTTTTCCATGTTGTTGATTTTGTCTGTTTACTTTATTTTACCCTTACATCCACCTTTAATCTAAACCTCTTTTATAGGGGGATGTTTTTCCAGGACAAGTGAAGAGAAAATATTAAAACTAGAATATTCAACTCCATATGGAAAATCATATCCATGGATCTCTTTGGCATTATGAAGAATGAAGCTAAGGAAAAGGGAATTCATTAAACATATCATCCTTGGAGAGGAAGTAATCAACCTTTACTTCCCAAGCTGTTTGTTCTCCACAATAGGCTCTCAACAAATGTGTGGTAAATTGCATTTCTCTTCACTATGGTGTATTCAGTCAATGCTTGTCCCTGGAAACCCAAAGCATGACCACTGCAAATATTTCCTTGACTTTTTGTAAATGAAGAGGTCCTTTTCCTCAAGTTCTTAGTCCCACTCATCCTAAACTTGCTCTTTTTTTAAGACAGAGTTTCACTCTGTCACCCAGGCTGGAGTGTAGTGGCATGATCGTAGCTCACTGCAGCCTCAAACTCCAGAGCTCAACTGGTTCTCCAGCCTCAGCTTCCCAAAGTGCTGGGATTACAGGCATGAGCCACTGCACCTGGCCATAAACTTGCTCTTTAAACTCACTCATTCCCTCAAACCATCAGCTTCCTACTGGCTTTACTTCCTTGCTAGATACAGGCTAATTTTTTTTTTTTTTTTTTTTTTTTTGAGATGGAGTTTCGCTCTTGTTGCCCAGGCTGGAGTGCAACGGCGTGAGTGCAACCTCTGCCTCCCGGGTTCAAGCGATTCTTCTGCCTCAGCCTCCCAAGTAGCTGGCGTTACAGGTATGGACCACCATGTCCGGCTAATTTTGTATTTTTAGTAGAGACAGGGTTTCTCCATGTTGGTCAGGCTGGTCTCGAACTCCCAGCCTCAGGTGATCCACCTGACTTGGCCTCCCAGAGTGCTGGGATTACAGGCATGAGCCACCGTGCCCGGCCCAGGCTAACTTATTTTCTTCTGAGACTGAGTCTCACTCTGTCACCCAGGCTGGAGTGCAGTGGTGAGATCTAGGCTCACTGCAACCTCTACCTCCTGGGTTCAAGCAATTCTCCTGCCTTAGCCTCCCGATAGCTGGGACTACAAGCACATGCCACCATGCCCAGCTAATTTTGTATTTTTAGTGGAGACAAGGTTTCACCATGTTGGCCAGGCTGATCTCAAACTCCTGACCTCAAGCAGCGATCCACCTGCCGGGGCCTCCCAAAGTGCTGGGATTACAGACACAAGCCATCGCGCCTGATGAGAGATTTTAAGTGTTCTCACCACAAAAAAAAGAAAAAAAAGTTATATGAGGTAATCGTATATTAATTAGCTTGACTTAGTCATTCCACGATGTAGATATATTTCAAAACATCCTGTTGTACATGATAAATATATATATTTTTGTCTATATAAAACAAATAAATAAATAAATGTTTAAAGTGTAAAAGAGCCTGGACTCTAAATTATGCTGTCCCTCCAAATAAAAGTTTATTTTGCAAAAAATAAAAAAATTAAAGAATGTAAGAAGATTCAAGTGCATGCCCAAAAGTTCTAGTTCTATGGAACTTAATAAAAAAGGAATACATTTAAGAAGATATTTTACTGGATGATTTTTATTTTTCTTTAGCACCTGTCTGCTATTGATGCTGGGTGATTTTTTTTTTAAGTCATCACTCTCAAAAGCCAAATTTGAGGCTTAGAAGACCACACAGGAGAAATAGCTCAAAGCACTGAGGAAAAAAGGCCAAAAGATTAAAATCTTGGAAGAATAAAAGGAAGACTGGGGTGTTTAATATGAGAATAATAGGAATTTTGGAAGAAAAGAGAGGACATGGCCGGGTGCAGTGGCTCACGCCTGTAATCCTAGCATTTTGGGAGGCCGAGGCAGGTGGATCACCTGAGGTCAGGAGTTCGAGACCAGCCTATCCAATGTGGTGAAACCCCATCTCTACTAAAAATGCAAATATTAGCCAGGCGTGGTGGCAGGGGCCTGTAATCCCAGCTACTTGGGAGGCTGAGGCAGGAGAATCACTTGAACCCAGGAGGCAGAGGTTGCAGTGAGTCAATATCATGCCATTGCACTCTAGTTTGGGTGACAGAGTAAGACTCCATCAAGAAAGAGAGAAAGAAAAGAAAGAAAGAAAGAAAGAAAGGAAGAAAGAAAGAAAGAAAGAAAGAAAGAAAGAAAGGGAGGGAGGGAGGGAGGGAAGCAAGGGGAAGAGAGAGAGGAAGAGAGAGAGAAAGAGAAAGAACGAAAAAGAAAGGAAGGAAGGAAGAAAGAAAAAAGAAAAGAAAAGAGAAAAGAAAAGAAGGAAGGAAAAGAGAGGACACATGTTCAGGCCCCTTCTATCCAAAAAGTCTCCCCTTAATCTGCTTTCCCTCTGCAATAGCCACTCTATCTCTCCTCCTCTTCACAGCCAAAATTCTAGAAAAAAAGGTGGGGTGTGGTGGCTCACACCTATAATCCCAGCACTTTGGGAGGCCAAGGCGGGTGGTTCACCTGAGGTCAGGAGTTCGAGACCAGCCTGACCAACATGGAGAAACACCCTCTCTACTAAAAATACGAAATTAGCCAGGCGTGGTGGCGCATGTCTGTAATCCCCAGCTACTCAGGAGGCTGAGGCAGGAGAATCACTTGAACCCGGGAGATGGAGGTTGCGGTGAGCCGAGATTGCGCCACTGCACTCCAGACTGGGCAACAAGAGCGAAATTCCATCTCAAAAAAAAAAAAAAAAAAATTCTAGAAAAAAGCTTGTTTCCACTGTGTTGTCTTCACTTGCTCCAACCTCCTCACTGTTCAACCACTGCAATCTAACTTCTGCTTGCAACACACCAAAGGATGAACCAATGTCCCAAATGCTTCCTCGGTGCAAAGTCCACTGGTTGTTTCTCAGTCTTACCAAACTTGACCGCTGGGTCAACATTTGACTCTGTTGATCATTTTTTTTCTTCTTGAAGCATTCTCTTCTCTTGGCTTCCCTGATGCCACACTATCCTCCTATAAGGATAGTCAATTCATTCTGGTTTACCCGGGACTTTCCCAGGTTTAGTACCAAAAGTCCCACAATCCAGGAGTCCCTCAGTCCCAGGCAAACCAGAACCATTTCACAAACTCATCTTTGATGATGACACTCATCCCATAGCATCATCATTTGAGTTCTCCCAAAAGCAAACTCTGAGATAAGGAGTTTAATGCATGCAGGTAGATTATTTTGGAGATGATCCCAGGAAACACCAACGGGGTGTGAAGAAATGAGGCAGGGCTGGGCACGGTGGCTCACACCTGTAATCCTAGCACTTTGGAAGGCCGAGATGGGCAGATCACGAGGAGTTCACGTGGAGATCACGAGGAGATCACAAGGGCAGAGGTCAGGAGTTCAAGACCAGCCTGGCCAATATGGTGACACCCCGTCTCTACTAAAAATACAAAAATTAGCCGGGTGTGGTGGCATAGGCCTGTAGTCCCAGCTACTCGGGAGGCTGAGGCAGAAGAATCACTTGAACCTGGGAGGCGGAGGTTACAGTGGGCGACAGAGCAAGACTCTGTTAAAAAAAAAAAAAAAAGTAAGGCAGAGAAAGAACAAGATGTGTTAAAAGATGTGTTATTGCTGGGAGCAGTGGCACACACCTGTAGTCTCAGATACTCTGGAGGCGAAGGCGGGAGGATTGCTTGAACCCAGGAGTTCAATGTTGCAGTGAGCTATGATTGCACCACTGCACTCTAGGTTGGGCAACACAGCGAGAACCTGTCTCTCTAATTTTTTTTTTTTTTTAGCAGAGTCTCTCTGTTGCCCAGGCTGGAGTGCAGTGGCATAATCTCAGCTCACTGTAACTTTCGCCTCCCGGGTTCAAGCAAATCTCCTGCCTCAGCCTCCTGAGTAGCTGGGATTACAGGCACGCACCACCACGCCCGGCTAATTTTTGTATTTTTTAGTAGAGATGGGGTTTCAACATGTTGCCCAGGCTGGTCTCGAACTCATGGCCTCAAGCGATCCACCTGCCTCGGCCTCCCAAAGTGCTGGGATTACAGGCGTGAGCCACCACACCTGGCCAGAGATGCTGTCTCTCTAAAAAAAATTTTTTTTAATTTTAAAAATTAACCAAAAATGTGTTAGTTGAGCAGGCTATCTCTCTAGGCAGGTGGAGCTTTACCCTAGTGGGGACTTTCAGGAGATAATGTGGAACATGCATCTCAGAGTCACCTCTCCCGAGGAACGAGGGAGCTGGGGTGGGAGATGGAAGTTGCAGTGAGCCAAGATCACACCACTGCACTCCAGCCTGGGCAACAGAGTGAGACTCCATCTCAAAAAAAAAAAAAAAAAAAAAAAGAAGGCAGCTGTAGAAAGAGATCAACAAACAGTGGGAGGCACAGATGGAATCTGAATCCCAGTTCTGCCATTTACCCACTAAATGACAATGGACAAGCCGTGAGACCCCACCTCTGGGCCTCAGTTTGCCCAGGTATAAAATGGGGTTGGTTAGCCAGGTGTAGTGGCACACACCTATAGCCACAGCTACTTGGGAGGCTGAGGTGGGAGGATCACTTGAGCCCAGGAGGTTGAGGCCACAATGAGCTGTGATTGCACCACTGCACTTCAGCCTGGGTGACAGAGTGAGACCCTGTCTTTAAAAAAAAAAAAAAATGGGGGCCGGGCACAGTGGCTCACACCTATAATCCCAGCACGCAGCACGTTGGGAGGCTAAGGCAGGCAGATCACTTGAAGCCAGGGGTTTGAGACCAGCCTGGCCAACATGGCAAAACCCCATCTCTAGTAAAAATACGAAAAAATTCACTGGGCATTACGGTGTACCTGTAATCCCAACTACTTGGGAGGCAGAGGCAGAAGAATGGCTTGAACCCAGGAGGCAAAGGTTGCAGTGAGCCGAGATCACACCACTGCACTCCAGCCTGGGAGACAGAGTGAGACTCTGCCCAAAAAAAAAAAAAGATTGGCGGGCGTTGGTAAATATTCCAACCTCACAAAGTCATGGTGAAGATTCAATGAGAGCCACTGCATTTATTTACCACACAATATATGTTTGATAAACCATGGTTATTATTTTTATCCAACTGTTGCTCCCCTGGACCTAAAGTGGTAAAAAGTGACCTCTTTCATATTTACCTCTCTGCAATTAGATAATCATGAGAGATGTGGAAGGGAGATAGGTTGGGACCAGTTCCACCAGGGGCCTCCTAGAGACGTGACCACAGACCCCTGCTTCCCCATTTCTCAATACGCATATCAGAAAACAACTTCCCTCTTCTGAAATGTGGGAACTTCCCCTGACCCCAGATAAAGTTGCTTGACATAACAGTCCCCTGGGTGGAGGGTTTACAACACGACACCCACCCACTCAGCAGGCTGCGGACAGTACAGGAGCTGGCTTTGGTAGTGATGCATCAGGGCAGCTGCAGAGGTGGGCAGAGGTGAGAAGAGAGGACAGACAGAACCAAAACTCAGTAGTGGGGTCGTGCCTGTGAAATGCCACTGCACTCCAGCCTGGGCCACGTCCTGAGAACCCATCTCTTAAAAATAAATAACGAGGCTGGGTGCAGTGGCTCACACCTGTAATCCCAGCACTTTGAGAGGCCAAGGCGGGTGGATCACTTGAGGTCAGGAGTTCGAGACCAGCCTGGCCAAAGTGGCGAAATGCCGTCTCTACTAATAATACAAAAATTAGCCGGATGTGGTGGCGCACACCTGTAATCCCAGCTACTCAGGAGGCTGAGGCACAAGAATCGCTTGTACCCAGGAGGAGGAGGTTGCAGTGAGCCGAGATCATGCCACTGTACTCCAGCCTGGGTGACAGAGTGACACTCCATCTCAAAAAAAATTTTTTTAATAACGAAATAAAAGAACAAGTAGATTTAAAACAAATCAAAGAAACAGGAAGTGAAATCAGCTCCGACCTCTCCCACCACCTGCTCTCCTCACAGTCTCCTTGCTATAAGCACCTGTTCTCAGACAAAACAGGAAAGATTCTGCTATTGATTAAGGGAGCTTATTGATCAATAAATTGATCGCAATCCTTGTATTTTAGGAGGCTGAAGCAGGAGGATTGTTTGAGACCAGGAGTTTAAGCCCAGTCTGGGCAACAAAGCAAGACCCCTGTCTATACAAAAAAAAAAAAAAATTAAAATTAGCTGGGTGTGGTGGGGGCACACCTGTAGTTCTAGTTATACAGGAGTCTGAGGACGGAGGATTTCTTGAGCTCAGGTGTTTGAGGCTTCAGTGAGCTATGATTACAACACTGCACTCCAGCCTGGGCGACAGAGTGAGACCTTGTCTCAAAAAATAAAATAAGGCCAGGCATGGTGGCTCACGCCTGTAATCTTAGCACTTTAGGGGGCTGAGGTGGGCGGATCACTTGAGGTCAGGAGTTCGAGACCAGCCTGGCCAACATGGCAAAGCCCTGTCTCTACTAAAAATACAAAAATTAGCCAGGCATGGTGGCACGTGCCTGAAATCCCAGCTATTCAGGAGGCTGAGGCAGAAGAACCAGTTAAACCTGGAAAGCAGAGGTTGCAGTGAGCCGAGATCACGCCGCTGCACTCCAGCCTGGGCAACAGAGCAAGACTCTGTCACAAAAAAAAAAAAAATAAATTGATTGGTTTGGAGAATGTCTACCCACCCTTGGATGCAATTCAGGGATTGTCCAAAGGGAATACTATGTTGAGTTATGCCTAGCTGGGAGTAGTACCAGCCCTCTAATTGGTATTTTTTGGTTGTCACATGGCCAGGGCAGGAGGGTCGGGTGGGGGTCACTCTGGCAGTTTGTGAATGTTATGGGCCAAATTGTGCCACCCCTCCCAAATGCATATGTTTAAATTCTAATTCCCAGGACCTCCTAATATGGCTGTATTTGGAGACAGGATCTTTAAAGTGGTCGTTGTAGGCCCAGCACAGTGGCTCATGCCTGTAATCCCAGCACTTTGGGGGACCAAGGTGGGCAGATTGCTTGAGCCTAGGAGTTCAAAACCAGTCTGGGCAACATGGTGAAACCCCGTTGCTACAAAAAATACAAGAATTAACCAGGCACGGTGGTGCACACCTGTAATCCCAGCTACTCAGGAGGCTGAGGCGGGAGGATGCTTAAGCCTGGGAGGTGGAAGTTGCAGTGAGCTGAGATCACACCACTGCACTCCAGCCTGAGTGACAGAGCGAGACCCTGTCTCAAAAACAAAAGAAGAGGAGGAGGAGATTAGGACCCAGACACACAGAAGGAGAACCAGGTGAAGACACAGGGAGAAGAGGATCATCTACAAGCCAAGACAGGAGGCCTCAGAAGAAATTAACCCTGCCAACACCTTGATCTTGGACATCCAGCCTCCGGAACTGTGAGAAAATGCATTCTGTTGCTGAAGCCACCCAGTCCTTTGTTATGGCAGCCCCAGCAAACTAACACACAGTAGACAAGGAACACCCAACATAGTGGCATTTTGAGAAGCACTAACATTGCAAGAGCTAATAGCCCAGGAAAGTCCACACAGAAGTAAAGTGAATTTTTATTTTTATTTATTTATTTGAGATGGAGTCTTGCTCTGTCACCCAGGCTGGAGTGCAGTGGCACAATCTCGGCTCACTGCAACCTCCGCCTCCTGGGTTCAAGCAATTCTCGTGCCTTAGTCTCCTGAGTAGCTGGGATTACAGGCACATGCCACCACGCCCAGCTAATTTTTTTGTATTTTTAGTAGAGATAGGATTTTACCATGTTGGCCAGGCTGGTCTCGAAATCCTGACCCCAGGTGATCAGCCCACCTCAGTCTCCCAGAGTGCTGGGATTACAGGCGTGAGCCACTGTGCCTGGCAAGTAAAGTGAATTATATCATCAAAGACGTTACAACCCACAGATAGCTCAAGGGCACGTGCTGGCAGATAGGTCCATCGTTGTCCTGTGTGGATATGACCAGGTTATGGCCTGCCTGGCCACACTATGTAGGGGTCTTGCTTTTCAGCTGGTATGCCTTTCTAGAAGTTCCATGGGCCAGCCAGGTGTGAGGGTGAACGCCTGTAGTCCCAGCTACTTGGGAGGCTGAGGCAGGAGGATCACTCGAGCCCAGGAGGCAGAGGGTGCAGTAAGCTATGATTGTGCCACTGCACTCCAGCCTGGGTAGTAGAATGAAACCCTATCTCAAAAAAAAAAAAAAAAAAAAAAAAGGATAGAAGTTCCACGGGCCAAGTCTTCTGGCAAAAGTCTGATTCTGCCACTTAGCTTGTGCAAACCTCACCCAAGACATTGAGAAAGTTGCTGGTCAAAAATAATTTTGATGGTTTCTGGGTTATTTGTGCTGTTTGAGACCAGGAAGGAAGCAGTGTCTGGAGAGGACGACATGGGGTGAATATAGAAGCTCTCCTGTCTTCTCCGCTGATGTTCTGTATTTTTAGGTTTGTAATTTGCAATGATGTGGGGACTACATGAGACCAGCCCACTTAATGTATTTCTGTGCGAGGCAGATCTAGAGGTCTAGCTCAAAGGGAAATTTTTCTGTCACCACTTTCAAAGCTTTTGTTTGGAAAAAAAAAAAAAAGGAAAAGATGGGGAAAGTAAAAATAAAAATAAAAATATCGGCCAGGTACGGTGACACATGCCTGTAATCCCAGCACTTTGGGAGGCCATCACGGAAGGATTGCTTGACCCCAGGAGTTTGAGACCAGCCTCGGCAACAGAGTGAGACCTCATCTCTATAAAAATAATAATAATAATTTTGAGCCAGGCACAGTGGCTCACACCTGTAATCCTCACAATTTGGGAAGCCCAAGTAGGAGGATCCATTGAGGCAAGGAGTTTGAGACTGGCCTGGGCAACATAGTGAGACTCCCTCTCTTTAAATGCTACAAAAAATTGGCCAGGCATGGTGGTGCGCATGTGTAGTCCCAGCTACTCAGGAGGCTGAGATGGGAGGATCACCTGAGCCCAGAAGTTTGAGGCTGCAGGAAAAGGAGCCCAGTCCCAGCTCTTTGTGGTTCACAGGCGCCAGGATATTTCATCCCAGGTTCAACACCAGCCCCAGGGTCCTCAGGGCTAGTATCACTTCCCAAGAGTCATGATCAGGAACTTAGTGAAGATCCTTTCAACCCCAGAAGTGGGAGACCTCCCACCACCAAGCTCTGAGCATCCTCCCAGCTCACCATCTACTAGGGCAAGCCCAAGTCCTCACTCTAGAAACAGCCTGACTTGCACCCCTGGGAACTTGCTGCATCCAGGGTGCCAATCCTGTTTGAGGCACATCTGTGTGTCCACTCACGAAGAGGCAAGGCCGTCCACGAAAGGGCAGGAGATTCTCATCTCAAAGAGACACTCAGATATGGACCCCCAGCCTCGGCCCTGGGCTTCAACAGGAACATTTCCGCTCACAAATCCAATACGTAGTTTTGTAGCAAGAGAGATCATTCCAGGTGCCACCTTTGTTCATGGTAGCACAGTCCTCATCGTGGATGTTATTGGGTTCCTCTGGCTCCCAGAAGCTGGATGGAGGAAAAAGTGGGCAGAGGGACAGGGATCTTTAGGGTGGTGAAACTCTTCTGTATAATACTGTAATGATGAATACCTGGCACTACGCATTTGGCAAAACCCATATTAGGCCGTGTGTGGAGCCTTACACCTGTAAGCCGGGCACAGTGAGCCACCGTGCCTGGCCCTTAATCAATTTCTGGTTTTGGGGGGTTTTTTGTTTTGTTTTGTTTTGTTTTGGAGACAGAGTCTCACTCTGTCGCTGAGGCTGGAGTGCAGTGGCGTGATCTCGGCTCACTGCAACCTCTGTCTCCTGGGTTCAAGCAATTCTCCTGCCTCAGCCTCCCAAGTAGCTGGGATTACAGGTGTCCACCACCACACCCGGCTAGTTTTTATATTTTTAGTAGAGACGGGGTTTCACCATGTTGGCCAGGCTGGTCTTGAACTCCTGACCTCAAGTGATCCGCCCGCCTCAGCCTCCCAAAGTGCTAGGATTACAGGCACGAGCCACCGTGCCTGGCCCCTTAATCAATTTCTGAATCTGGTCAGTTTCTGTCTTGTCTTCCAAGGACTCTTTCTTTTACAACCTCCCAACCCAACCTTCTAGGAATTGTTTAGATCATGTGGGCTCTTGCTTAAAGCAGGGCCTGATTCAGGGACTCGAGTGTGTAGGATTTATTAAAGGATGTTCTTAGGAGAGAGGTGAGGGAAGCTAGATGGAGAAGGGGAAGGAATTGAGCAGGAGCATGGACTCAGATGACTCTAGCCTCAGCCTGACCCCAACAGAGACCACTGGGATGTCAACAGCACCAGAGTCATCCCAACTTGTCACAAGGGGTCCAGGCTTCTCTTAGGCTGTCACCGGTTGTGAGCTGACCCCAGTGGAGTTGGGTAGTGTCTTAGGTGAGCAGGCTCCCATTCAGCTGAGAATAGCTTTGCGGAAAAAGCATTCCTGTGAGCCTTTAGCAGCCAATGTTCCGCCAGGTGCGGTGGCACACACCTGTAATCCCAGCACTTTGGGAGGCCAAGACGGGTAGATCACCTGAGGTCAGGATTTCGAGACCAGCCTGGCCAACATGTTGAAACCCCGTCTCTACTAAAACTACAAAAATTAACCAAGCATGGTGGCGGGCGCCTGTAATCCCAGCTACTTGGGAGACTAAGGCAGGAGAATCGCTTGAATCCAGGAGGCAGAAGTTGCAGTGAGCCAAGATTGTGCCACTGCACTACAGCTCGGGCCACAGAGTGAGACTCCGTCTCAAAAAAAAAAAAAAAAATTAGCCAGGCATGGTGGTGCGCACCTGTAATCCCAGCTACTCAATAGTCTGAGGTGGGAGAATCACTTGAGCCTGGGAGGCAGAGGTTGCATTGGGTCAAGACTGCACCACTGCACTTCAGCCTGGGCAACAGAGTGAGACTCTGTCTCAAAAAAAAAAAAAAAAAAAAAAATTCTTCCTCATCCTTCCACCCTCCCTTTTTTCTCCCAACCATTAGCCTGGAGAGCTTGATATATTTCAGCAGTTTTACGAAAAGACTGAGATGTTGCAATGGAGGAAATATTGAAGGTTCAGGGTCCAGACAGCCTGTCACCAAAAAATCACCCTGGTGCTGTCCCTGTCTGGCCAAGCCTGGGATGCTAGACACCCTATCAGCTTGGACTGCAAGGATGCCAAGCACACAGGGAAATGGGAATGACTGGGGGTGGTGTACCAAAATAATGAGCAATGCTACCTGTGCCACACACCCTGCAATCAGGGTCTCTAGGCCCCTTCTTTGCCAATGACAAATCCTTTAGTTGTTAGGTGATGTGGAAGTCCAAGGGGCAGCAGAAGGATTCTCAGGAGATTTAAGGCAATGGCAATTTACCAAACAGGACAGGAATTTTTCTGTGTTTAAAATTAGTAGAGGCCAGGTGTGGTGGCTCAAGCCTGTCATCCCAGCACTTTGGGAGGCTAAGGCGGGTGGATCGCTTGAGCTCAGAAGTTCAAAACCAGCCTGGGCAACACACTAAAACCCCATCTCTACTAAAAATACAAAAAATTAGCCAGGCATGGTGGTGTGTGACTGTGGTCCCAGGTACTCGGGAGGCTGAGGCAGGAGGATTACCAGAGCCTGGGAGGTTGAGGCTGCAGTGAGCCGAGATTGCACCACTGCACTCCAGCCTGGGTGACAGGGCGAGACTGTCTCAAAAAACTAAAATAAGGTTGGGCGCAGTGGCTCACCCCTGTAATCCCAACACTTTGGGAGGCCAAGGTGGGCAGATCACCTGAGGTCAGGAGTTCAAGACCAGCCTGGCCAACATGGTGAAACCCCATCTCTACAAAATTACAAAAATTAGCCAGGCACGACGGCGGGTGTCTGTAATCCCAGCTACTTGGGAGACTAAGGTGGAAGAATCAACCTCTACCTGGGAGACAGAGATTACAGTGAGCTGAGATCGCACCATTGCACTCCAGCCTGAGCGACAGCGAGACTCCGTCTCAAAGAATAAATAAATAAATAAATAAATAAATAAATAAATAAATAATAAAATAAAATAAAACAAGTAGAGCTGTACCAGTAAAAACCAGCTCCTGGCCGGGCGCGGTGGCTCACGCCTGTAATCCCAGCACTTTGGGAGGCCAAGGCGGGCAGATCACGAGGTCAGGAGATCAAGACCATCCTGGCTAACACGGTGAAACCCCGTCTCTACTAAAAATACAAAAAATTAGCCGGGCATGGTGATGGGCACCTGTAGTCCCAGCCACTCGGGAGGCTGAGGCAGAGAATACCTTGAACCTGGGAGGCGGAGCTTGCAGTGAGCTGAGATTGCGCCACTGCACTCCAGCCTGGGCGACAGAGCAAGACTCTGTCTCAAAAAAAAAAAAAGAAACAGCTCCTGACTCCTTCAACCATGTACTCCATCACCTTCTCCCCTCCCCATGGTCAGGGCCCACAGAGGAAGCAGAGAGACCCCAGGAAACCCAAGCACTTGCCTTAATGTCACAGGAGACCCATCCAGCCACCTCCAGTCCCCTTCCTGGGCCCTGTCATTCAGCCCCAGCCAGTACACCCGTGGAGAGCCATGGGCCTTGGCCACAAAATTCTGCAAATAAAAATTCCATTCAGCCAGCCATTCCTCTACATGACCCTCAGGGTGAGGACCTGCCCTGTGCCCTGTCCTACATATTTAGGGCTTGGGAACGTCACCTCCCACAACCCGTCCCCGTCCCCATGGTATGCAGAACAGGATCAATGTCTTCCTCCCACTGTAGCATGTGTGGTGGGAATAATCGTGCTACTTTTTCTCATGCAATCTGCGAACTGCTCCGTGCCTCAGTTTCCTCACCTGTAAAATGGGTTCACAGTAGCTACCTCCTGGTAGTGTTGTGAGGATTAACTTTTTTTTTTTTTTTTTTGAGAGGGAGTCTCGCTCTGTCACCCAGGCTGGAGTGCTGTGGTGCGATCTCAGCTCACTGCAGCTTCCACCTCCTGGGTTCAAGCGATTCTCCCGCCTCAACCTCCCGAGTAGCTGGGATTATAGCTACCCGCCACCACGCCCGGCTAATTTTTGTATTTTTTAGTAGAAACGGGCTTTCGCCATGTTGACCAGCCTGATCTCAAACTTCTGACCTCAGTTGATTCACCTGCCTCAGCCTCCCAAAGTGCTGGAATTACAGGCATGAGCTACCACATCCAGCCTAATTTTTTTTTTTTTTTTTTTGAGACAGGGTCTCACTCTGTCAACCAGACTGGAGTGCAGTGGTGTGATCATGGCTCACTGCATGTCCCAAAGGTCACTGTAAGTCTCCCAAAGATCTAGGATTACAGGCATGAGCCACTGTGCAGAGCCTCATACTGTGGACGTCTTAGTAGGTAGCATTATAACATTTAAGTGACATTTTTAGCAATAGTAACTGATTTTTTTTGGTTTCTCTTGCACTTTTGTGCTACTCGGTAGCCTTAATCTGCATCCAAACAACATAAGAATTCATTGTTCCAGGAAAAGAAGGAAGGAAGATGAAAAGTAGGTTTCCTAGCTTTGGTATTTCAAAAGCCCAGGCTTTTGACACGCTGCCTCATATCTGTAATCCCACCACTTTAGCCAAGGAGGGAGGATCGCTTGAGACTAGGAGTTCGAGATTAGTCTGGGCAACATACTGAGACCCCATATCTACAAAAATTTTTAAAAATTAGCCAGACGTGGTGGTGCGTGTCTATAGTCCCAGCTACTCAGGAGGCTGAGGTGGGAGGATCCCTTAAGCCCAGGAGTTCAAGGCTGCAGTGAGCTATGAATGCACCACTGCACTCCAGCCTGGGCAGCAGAGCAAGCCTCTGTCCCGGAAAAAAGTCAAAATCCCAGGTCTTTGGAAGAAAAGAAAGGACTTATGACAGAGATAAAAGATAGGGAAGAAAATATAGTTAGAAGCAACTCCTCTCCAAACAAATTGATGGTGAAAGAAATTAGACTGGTGGTTGCAAGTAGGGGGCAGGGAGGGATTAACTAGAAAAAGGATATGAAAAAACTTTCTAGGGTGGTGGAAAGATTATAAATATTGGTTAGTTTGACAGTTACACAGGTGTACGCATTTGTCAAAGTTCACTGAACATACATCAAAGATCTGTGCATTTTACTATATGCAAATCACATCTAACTCACCCAACTTACCACCAAACCAAGATTCCTTAAAATGTGGGGAGGTGGCCGGGCGCGGTGGCTCATGCCTGTAATCCCAGCACTTTGGGAGGCCAACACAGGTGGATCACCTGAGGTCAGGAGTTCGAGACCAGCTTGGCCAACGTGGCAAAACCCCATCTCTACTAAAAATACAAAAATTAGCCAGGCGTGGTGTCATGCCTGTATTCCCAGCTACTCGGGAGGCTGAGAGAGGAGAATTGCTTGAAACCAGGAGGTGGAGGTTGCAGTGAGCTGAGATCGCGACAGTGCACTCCAGCCTGGGCAACAAAAAGCGAAATCCCGTCTCAAAAAAAAAAATGTGGGGAGGTCAAAGTGCTGGGATTACAGGCGTGAGCCACCATGCCCAGCCCATTTTAGACTTTTTGACTGCCAGGTGATCTCAGTTAGCTAATGAGTTTAGAAAAAGTTATGATTTTGTAGTTATTCTGGCTATTGTTGCTGTTTGGGTGTGAGTAACACTCGCCCCAGCTTTCCACATCCTGGAATTCTTTGTGTTTTAAGAATTTTTTACTATAATCTATTTCATGTGTTCTACTATAGGCAATGCCAATTGATGTTTGCTTTTATTTATTTGCAGTTTTGATTTCTTCTTTAATCCAAAGTTATCTGGTGACTTTAAAAAAAAAATTTTTTTTTTGAGTCAGAGTCTTGCTTTGTCTCCCAGACTGGAATGCAGTGGTGTGATCCCAGCTCACTGCACCCTCCGCCTCGCAGGTTCAAGCGATTTTCCTGCCTCAGCCTCCTGAGTAGCTGGGATTACAGCCACGCGCCACCATGCCCAGCTCATTTTTGTATTTTTAGTAGAAACAGGGTTTCACCATGTTGGCCAGGCTGGTCTCAAACTCCTGACCTCAGGTGATCTGCCCACCTCGGCCTCGCAAAGTGCTGGGATTACAGTCGAGCCACTGCAGCCGGCCGACTTTAAACATTCTTAAGGTGATTGAAATTTTTGTAAAAGAAAATATTTCTGTCGTTATAGCATTGTGGTCAAAGAATGTGGGTAATAAAATTTCTGCTTTGATGGAAAAAAAAATGTGGGGAGGTAAAGTCACCATGGGAAGGAAATAATAAATGTGTAGACATGGCAGGCCCCAGAGAGAAGAATCTGGTATCTCATTTCCGGTGAGCTTTTCAGGTGATGGTAAAAACCCCAGATGGGTTTGGAGACTCTAAAAAGCAGAAGGGACCTGGGGACTATTTCCTGGGTAAAGCCCCAGGGAGGTGTCAGAAAATCAGAGAGCGGAAAGGTCTTCCTGTCCCATCAGACTAGATGGAGGCTTAGAAGGCCTCACAGTGTCTTAGACCCCAGAATGGGATAGGAGGAGCAGAAAGATCTCTTGTGCCCAAGAACAGCAGGAAAAGACCTCCAGGCCCAAAAGGCTTTGCTGATGGAAGAGTGGGATGCCTCAGGGGCAGCCTAGATGGCCCAAAGTCTGAGCCCCAGAAAACCAGAAGACTCTTTAACATTTAGAGAGTCCTTGCTATTTCTAGGCACCAAAATCAGAGCAGTTTAAGAAGAGGGAACTCATATGTCTTGGTCATCACTGGATCCCCAATATGTAGAATAGTCTCCAGCACATAGTAGGTGCTCAGGAAATGTTGGTTGAATTAATGAATTAAGAAGTGAGCTATGGGTTAGGGCACGGTGGCTCACTCCTGTAATCCCGGCACTTCGGGAGGTCAAGGGGAGCAGATCACTTGAGATCATTAGCTAGAGAGCAGCCTGGCCAACATGATGATACCCTAACTCTACTAAAAAAAAAAATACAAAACTTAGCTGGGAGTGGTGGCACGTGACTATAGTCCCAGTTACTTGGGAGGCTAAATCAGGAGGATTGCCTGAACCTGGGAGATGGAGGCTGCAGTGAGCCAAGATCATGCCACTGCACTCCAGCCTGGGCAACAGAGCAAGATCCCATCTCAAAAAAAAAGTGAGCTATACTACTTTGCACAGATTGTCTCATTGGATCCTTATCATGACTCACTGAAGCAAGTATTATCATTATGCCCATTTTGTAGATGAGAAAACTGAGGCACAGAGGGGTTAAGTAACCTTCCCAGGATCATTCAGTCTGTAGATGTCCCAGTAGATACCAGTTTGGAGTAAAGACAGCAAAGACCCGATGTGTGCTCCCTTCCACCTTGACCCCACAAAAGCTGTCCCCATTTAGAAGTAAAATGGGAGAACCCAATTGACTGAGAGTAAATGTACACCATTCTAGCAGAATGAGAACTCAAGAGAGAAACTAAAATGAGTAATTTAAAGGAAATGTAGTTGTATTTCTTGTGAAACTGAGTTAGGGAATATGATTTGCACCTGCCTCATTTACATTACCTAATTTAACTCCTTCAAAAGCCCTGTTTTGGCCAGCCACGGTGGCTTATGCCTGTAATCCCAGTACTTTGGGAGGCCAAGGCAGGTGGATCACCTGAGGTCAGGAGTTCGAGACCAATCTGGCCAACATGGAGAAACCCCATCTCTACCAAAAGTACAAAATTAGCCAGGCATGGTGGTGGGCGCCTGTAATCCCAGCTACTCGGGAGGTTGAGGCGGGAGAATCACTTGAACTCGGGAGGCAGAGGTTGCAGTGAGCCAAGATCATGCTGCTGCACTCCAGCCTGGGCAACACAGCAAGACTCCATCTCAAAAAAAAAAAACTGTTTAACTACTCATACAAATAATGCTATGAAACAGAGGGATAAAAAACAGAAGGGACACGACATACAGGAAAATAATAAGATGATAGACCTAAATCCAACCCAATCAGTAATTATATTAAATGTAAACGGTCTAAAAATACCAATTAGGCTGGGTACAGTGGCTCATGCCTGTAATCCCAGCACTTTGGGAGGTGAAGGCGGCAGATCACTTGAGGTCAGGAGTTCCAGACCAGCCTGGGCAACATAGCAAAACCTCATCTCTACAAAAAATGTTAAAAATTATCCAGGCATGGTGGCACACACCTGTTGTCCCAGCTACTTGGTGGGGAGCTGAGGTGGGATAATCACTTGAGCCCAGGAGGCCAAGGCTGCCATGAGCTGAGGCTGCGCCACTGCACTCCAGCCTGGGTGACAAAGTGAGACCCTGTCTCCAAAAATACATAAATAAGTAAATGAAAACACCAATTAAAAGCCAGAGATTATCAGATCAGATTTTAAAAATCCAAACCCAACTATATACTGTCTGGGAAAAAAAAAACATTTTAAATATAATGACATAAATAAATTAAAAATAAAATGAATAGAAAACATAGAGCCTAGGCAACATAGCAAGACCCTGTCTCTACAAAAGTAAAAATAATTTGCTGGGCCAGGCGCGGTGGCTCATGCCTGTAATCCCAGCACTTTGGGAGGCCGAGGCAGGCAGATCACCAGGTCAGGAGATCGAGACCATCCTGGCTAACACAGTGAAACCCCGTCTCTACTAAAAATACAAAAAATTAGCTGGGTGTGGTGGCGGGCGCCTGTAGTCCCAGCTACTCGGGAGGCTGAAGTGGGAAAATGGCGTGAACCCGGGAGTCAGAGCTTGCAGTGAGCCGAGATCGCGCCACTGCACTCCAGCCTGGGTGACAGAGCGAGACTCCATCTCAAAAAGTAATAATAATAATAATAATTTGCTGGGTACAGTGGCAAGTGCCTGGTTGTCCTAGCTACTCAGGAGGGTGAGGCGAAAGAATTGCTTGAGCCTAGGACTTTGAGGCTGCAACGAGCTATGATTATACCACTGCACTCCAGCTTGAGTGACAGAGTGAGACCTTGTCCCTGAAAAACAGAAAAAAGGAAACATAAACCATACTATAGTCCTATGTCTATGGTCAAGACCATGGACTTGAAAGCCGGCTACCTAGGCTTAAATCCCACTAGCTGTAAGTGACTCCAGGCAAGTTGCTTACATGTACTGGAACCTTGACTTCCTCACCTGTGAAGTACAGATGATACATATTGTGTACAAATAGTAATACTACCTAAATTGTAGTAGCAAATCATTAAAGCTATTTACCCATATTCCAATCCTCCTTCTGGTTGCACGGAGGTGAGACTTATTTCCCTACCACCTTAAAAGATAGGCGTGTACATGTGACTTTTGTGAGCAAAAGTAAATGGAAACTCTGACAGTCAATGTATGATTTCCCTCGTCTACTTTCACCATTGGACTATGGAGACTGTCTGTTACCGCAGCATAAAGTAACCCCTCCTAGCCCAGCGTGGTGGCTCACACCTATAATCCCCGCACTTTGGGAGGCAGAGGTGGGAGGATCACCTGAAGTCAGGAGTTCGAGAACAGCCTGGCCAACATGGAGAAACCTCATCTCTACTAATAATACAAAAGTTAGCCAGGCGTGGTGGCACATGCCTGCAATCCCAGCTACTCGGGAGACTGAGGCACTAGAATTGCTTGAACCCGGGAGGCAGAGGTTGCAGTGAGCCAAGATTGCACCACTGCACTCCAGCCTGGGTGACAGAGTGAGACTCCATCTCAAAAAAAAAAAAAAAAAAAAAAAAAAAAAGAAGGCCGAGCGTGGTGGCTCACGCCTGTAATCCCAGCACTTTGGGAGGCCGAGGCGGGCAGATCACGAGGTCAGGAGATCAAGACCATCCATCCTGGCTAACACAGTGAAACCCTGTCTCTACTAAAAATACAAAAACAAAATTAGCCGGGCGTGGTGGTGGGCACCTGTAGTCCCAGCTACTCAGGAGGCTGAGGCAGGAGAATGGCGTGAACCCGGGAGGCGGAGCTTACAGTGAGCCAAGATCCAGCCACTGCACTCCAGCCTGGGTGAAAGAGCGAGACTCCATCTCAAAAAAAAAAAAGAAAAGAAAAGAAATAAACTCTTCCGACTGGCATACTAATGTATAGGTTGTCGTGAGGATTGCATGTGTTAATGACTGTAAGATGTAAAGTATTTGGAATGCAACCTGAAACATAAAAAGTGCTACCTAACAGATATTAATTATTGTATTTTCATGTTAGAGATAAAACCGATACTTGAAATGTACAGAGGTTAAATCAACACAACCAGAATTTGAACTCAAAAACAAAGCATGTCTTCTTAACCTCTGCATGATACTACCTTAGGAAGAGCTTGCTGTTAAAGTTTTAGTAACTGAAAAGTAATTCTAATTTCTTGCCATCCAGGGAAGGGAGGGATGTGTGCATCCTGGAAGAGAAGCAGGCTGTCCCTGAAGGTTCTCAAAGGTTCAGTGGGAAGAACTCACGTGCTCAGCAAAGCTATTGATGATGACCAAGTGAGAGTAATTCTCCTGGCAGAACATCCGGGCCTCATCCCATGACTTGGTGCTTGGGGAGAAGTAGTAACACTTGCCCTCAAAGGGCAGCCAGCCTTCAGGACAGGTAATTCGGCGGCAGTCTGGGAACCAGACAGAATGCTGTCAGGATGGCCCCAGAACCTGAGCCATGTACATAGTATGCCATGTACAGTTGTGCAGGCTGTACACTGCTCAACTCCGGTGAGGGGGAGGGGCACCATTCACATAGACTGCACTGAGAATGACTTCAATGGAGTGATGTAATGTGCCAGCTCTGCCATGCCCCCCATCCCTGGGCAATTCCCCAAGTCTCACTTACCTAATAAGCCCCAAAGTTCCACCAGGGACTGGTTGGTGTCAGCTCTTACACGGGCAATGTCATGCTTCAGGCCAGCTAGCCCTGCCATGCCAGTCACTGTCAGAAGGGATGGGCTTGAGGGCTACAGACTGAGAACCCATCCTACCCATCCACCACGGACTGCAGACACATCAGAGAGAGAAGCAAGGGTTGTGTTCCCCACTGTGTCCACATTCCAGTGGGTCACGCTTGCGCTCAAAAACCACATGTACAGTGCTCAGAATCCGAGAATGGCTCAGAGGAGGGATCAATCCCGGGGATGTGGGGAAAAGTAGGGGTGGTGGGCACCCTGAAAGAAGTGGGTTTTAAAGGAAGAAAGTGATTCGATAACTGTGAGGTGAGGAAGAGGCACATTAGGCAGGGACTATCTTAAAAGCAAAGATGCAGGCTGCCCATGGTGGCTCACACCTGTAATCCCAGCACTTTGGGAGGCCGAGGTGGGCGGATCATCTGAGGTCAAGAGTTCAAGACCAGCCTGGCCAACATGGTAAAACCCTGTCTCTACTAAAAATACAAAAATTAGTTGGGCGTGGTGGTACATGCCTGTAATCCCAGCTACTCAGGAGGCTGAGGCAGGAGAATCACTTGAACCCGGAAGGCAGAGGTTGCAGTGAGCCAAGATCACACCACTGTGCTCCAGCCTGGGCAAGAGAGTGAGACTTCATCTCAAAAAAAAAAAAAAAAAAAAAAAAAAGCAAAGATACAGAGGCAAGTATGTTGTGGTGAGGCGGCAAAGCCTATAAGAGTGGAGGGAAAACTCAGAAAAGCTTGAGATCAAAGCAGAATGAGCTCAGATGCCTGGATCCTTTATTTTATTTTTTTTAGACACAGTCCTGCTCTGTCCCACAGGCTGGAGTGCAATCGTGGTTCACTGCAGCTTCAACCTCCTGGGCTCAAGTGATCCTCCCACCTCAGCCTCCTGAGTAGCTGGGACTACAGGTACATGACATCATGACTGGCTATTTTTTTAAAATTTGTTGTAGAAACAAGGTCTTGCTAGGCCGGGCGCAGTGGCTCATGCCCATAATCCCAGAACTTTGGGAGGCTGACGCAGATGGGTCACCTGAGGTCAGGAGTTCGAGACCAGCCTGGCCAACAGGGTGAAACCCCATCTCTACTAAAAATACAAAAAATTAGCCGGGAGTGGTGGCAGATGCCTGTAATCTGAGCTATTCAGGAGGCTGAGGCAGGACAATCACTTGAACCTGGGAGGGGGAGGTTGCAGTGAGCTGAGATCGCGCCACTGTACTCCGGCCTGGGCAACAAGAGCAAAATTCTGTCAAAAGAAAGAAAGCAAGAGAGAAAGAAAGTAAGAAGGAAGGAAAGAAGGAAGGAAGGAGAAAGAGGGAGAGAAGAAAGGAAGGAAGGAAGGAAGGAGAAGGGAAGGGAAGGAAGGAAGGAAGAAAGGAAGGAAAAAGAAAAAGAAAGAAAGAAAGAAAGAGATAGTGAGAGAGAGAGAGAGAGAGAGAAAGAAAGAACAAACAAACGAAAGAAAGTCTTGCTGTGCCCAGGCTGGTCTTGAACTCCTGGCCTCAAGGGATCCTCCCACCTTGGCCACCCAAAGTGCTAGGATTACAGACATGAGCCACTGTGCCCAGCCTAATATGTGGATCCTTGAATGCCAAGCTAAAGGTTTCACCTTGGACTCTGGACAATGAGAAGCCATTGATGGGTTTTGAGCTTGCTTGTTATGAAGCATAGGGTGAGGCAGTGTGGAATGGAGAAATATTCAGACTTTGGCAGTCATGATGAAGGCCAACCCAGGTCAAAAGATTCTTCTATAATTAACGTGTGTATTATCACTACTCCCCCACGAACTCTTCCCTTTTTCAACACTCGCTAGCTCAGTAGCTGGCCCTTCAGTTGGACAAAACAGAAACACAGGTTTTAGGCCAGGCACGAAACACTTCAGGAGGCTGCGGCAGGAGGAATACCTGAGGCCAGGAGTTTGAAACGAGCTTAGTCAACATAGTGAGACCTCTTCTATACAAAAAAAAAATTTTTTAACCAGCCGGGTGTGATGGCATGCGCCTATGTCCCAGCTACTCAAGAGGCTGAGGCAGGAGGATCTCTTGAGTGTGATCATGGCTCATGATCAACCTCAAACTCCCTGATTCAGGAGATCCTCCCACTTCGGCCTCTTGAGTAGTTGGGATGACAAGCACACACCACACACCACCACACCCGGCTAATTTTTTTTAGAGATGGAGCCTTGCTGTGTTGCCCAGTCGGGTCTCGAACTTCTGGCCTCAAGCAATCCTGCCTCAGCCTCCAAAAGTGCTGGGATTACAGGCATGTGCCACTGCACCTGGACCAGTGTGTATTTCATACTTAGTGCTCATCTCAGTTTGGACTGGCCACATTTCAAGTGTTCAACAGCCACATATGGCTTGTGGCCACCATATTGGATGGTGGAGGTCTGGACACATATACACATGCACACTTCACACAGTCAGACAAAGACTGTGTCTGACATGTTTACCATTTTAACCCCCTGGTACCTAGCACAGTGCCCAGCAAAGATGGGGATGAGGTTGGATCTTGGAGTTGGATCTGAGGATTGGGTTAGGGCTCAATAGGAGTGGCATGAAGGAATGACTGAAAGCACTCACTATTTGTTCGCCACGTCATCTGCTGAAAGCTTAACATTCTCAGTTCTTCCATCAACTCCTGGTCTATGAAGAAGAGTCCAAATTGAGCCCAGGTCCTCCTGTGCACCCTCCCCAATCTCTCCCCATGTCCCTTCCTGGCCCTACTCACACTTAATCAGGGTCACAGTGAGACCAAGGCAGCCCAGGAACAGGGAAGTCACCACCAGCAGACACAGGTACACCATCCACCTCTTCTGGCAGCAGCCAGGACCTCCAGACCTCTGATTGAGCCAGGGGACTGGAGTTGCTGGGGAGTGGGGATGGGAACAGAGAGACTGATACTGGGGCTTCAGAGAGTAAGGAAGAGACTCTTAAGTCTTTGTCCAAGAGCAGGGGGCAGAAGTCTGTAGTCATGACTGTTTCAGCAGATGAAGTCAGCAAGAGAGGGTTAGGGAGAGTGAACCCTGGGGAGGCTCAGGGTCTTTTTGATGCATTTACGGTGCGCTAAGCATCATGTTGCATCCTTCTCTTTTTCCTTCTTTCCTTCTTGAAACAAGGTTTCACTCTGTCATCCAGGCTGGAGGGCAGTGGCACAGTTATAGCTCACTGCAACCTCTAATGCCTGGGCTCAAGCAATCCTCCCACCTCACCCTTTCAAGTAGCTGGGTCTATAGATGTGTGCCACTAGGCCCAGCTAATTTATTTTATTTTTTTGCAGAGATGGGGGTCTCGCCATGTTGTCCAGGATGGTCTTGAACTCCTGGCATCAAGAGATCCTCCCTGCTTCAGCCTCCCAAAGTGCTGGGATTACAGGCGTAAGCCACTGTACCCAACCTACATCCTTCCTATCTTATTGGAGTCTCATCCTTATGATGTAGGTTATAAGCATTATTCCCATTTTGCAAGTGAGTAAACTGAGGCTTGGTGAGGTTAGGCATGACTTGGACACAGCTTTGTTCTTAATATCTATGATGCATCATCTTCTACTCTCCAGAAACCCCTGACCAAGTTGCTCCTAGGTCAAGGAAGCTTGTGGACCCCGGCTTCTAGAGCAGAGAACATTTCCCATATCTTATGCAAGCAGATACCTGAGTTTCTGGAGATCTGGCCTAGACTCAGAGAGGAGAAGCTTCTTTTTCTTTTTAAACATGGTCATCACCAACACCATCACTACCTCCACCATCACCACCATCATCTCTACCAACAACATTGTCATTGTCAACAATACCATCACTGCCTCTACTATCATCACCAACACCATCACCACCAACACCATCACTACCACCACTATCATCATCACCATCTCACTAACACCATCACTACCTTCATCATCACCACCACCACCATCACCAACAATACCATCACTACCTCCGCCCTGCATTACCACCATATCACTGTTTCCACCATCATTACCATCATCAATACCAACAACACCATCACTATCTCCACCATCACCACCATCATCAGTATCTCCACCATCACCATCAGCACACAACAACGCCATCACTACCTCTACCATCGTTACTACCACCAACCATCCTCTTCCTTTCCATCATCTCCTTCCTCATCCTTCCATCACAATCACCAACAGAACCATAAGTACATCATCATTATCAAAAACAAAACAACCACATAACTCTGGTCCTCAGAAGGACAAAAAAGAATACACGTTTGCAAACTCTGATGTCAAGGAATGGCTTTCTCACTTAGAGCAGCGCTCACTAGACTAACTCAGAACAGTGCAGCAGGTCCTGAAGGAGCAGCTTCTTAAAGGAGAAGTTCCTCTGACTCAGGGTCTCACTGTAGAGCCATAGGTCTCAATCAGATACACTAGCCACTGTCAGAGGGGAAATGGGAGGACACTTACCGGCCAGGGATGGCTGCAATGGAGAAGGCTCAAGATTCACAGCTGGGAGAAAGGGGGAGAGAGGTTTATTCAGAAGATGCCAAAGACTCTGTCTTCCAAGATCAACAACCTCTGTTTTGTTCTCTGGTCAGAATTTAGGGGGCTGGCTGTGGGCAGTGGCTCACGCCTGTAATTCCAGCACTGTCGGAGGCTGAGGCGGGTGGATCACCTGAGGTCAGGAGTTTGAGACCAGCCTGGCCAACATGGCAAAACCCCATCTCTATTAAAAATACAAAACTTAGCCAGGTGTGGTGGTTCGTGCCTGTAGTCCCAGCTACTCAGGAGGCTGAAGCAGGAGAATCACTTGAACCCAGGAGGCAGAGGTTGCAGTGAGCCAGTATCGCACCACTGCACTCCAGCCTGGATGACAGTGAGACTCTGTCTCAAAAAAAATAAATAAATAAAAATTGGGGGATTGAAAGGAAACATCCAGGTATCCCCTCTTAGGCATCTTAAAGGGTCTTCCCACTGCTCACCCAGTTGAGGAGGTGGACAGGTGACAGCGGCGAGGTCCAGGCCTAGAAGAGATGAGAAAGTCATTTCAAGAAGGGCTTCAGCCAGGTGAGCAGGAAGACTCCAACTGTCAGCTCTCACCTGTCATGTTCCGGGGCTTGCAAGGAAGTGGGGGTTTCTCTGTTTCCTTTGCTGAGGAGGGAGGAATGGTTGGTCAGGGCCAGAGCAGGGCAAAGCCAGCTCTGGGTCTCCTACACCCCCAGCCCCAACTCACCTGCCCTTGGAGGTCTTGGTGGAGCACTTGAACCTGGAGAAGAGAAGCTCAGGGTGAGGGCTGGGCTGAGGATGGGAATGCGCCAAGAGGAAGTGATGGAAACAGGGTTAGGATTGCAGTGGAGGATTGGAGATTAGGTTACAGACGGGGTTGGACGTAAGAATGCAATTGGGATTAGGGATGGAGATGGGATTAAGTAGGGTGACCAACGAACCTAGATTGCCTGGGTATCTCCCTATTTTATTTTATTTTTTATTTTATTTTATATTTTTTGAGACAGAGTCTTGCTCTGTTGCTCAGACTGGAGTGCAGTGGCGTGATCTCATCTCACTGAAACCTCCGCCCCCTGGGTTCAAGCAATTCTGCCTCAGCCCCCTCAGCTGGGATTACAGGCGTATGCTACCACGCCCAGCTAACTTTTATATTTTTAGTAGAGACAGGATTCCACCATGTTGGCCAGGCTGGTCTCGAACTCCTGACCTCAAGTGATCCACCCGCCTTGGCCTCCCAAAGTGCTGGGATTACAGGGCTGAGCCACCGTGCCCGGCCATGTTTTTGTTTGTTTGTTTGTTTGTTTGTTTGTTTTATGAGACAGAGTCTCTCTCTGTCTCCCAGGCTGGAGTTCAGTGGCGCGATCTTGGCTCACTGCAACCTCCGCCTCCCAGGTTCACGCCATTCTCCTGCCTCAGTCTCCCAAGTAGCTGGGACTACAGGTGCCCACCACCACACCCAGCTAATTTTTTGTATTTTTTTAATAGAGACGGGGTTTCACCGTGTTAGCTAGGATGGTCTCAATCTCCTGACCTCGTGATCCACCCGCCTCAGCCTCCCAAAGTGCTGGGATTACAGGCGTGAGCCACCGCACCCAGCCCGTGTTCTATTTTTTTAAAGACAGTGCCTTGCTCTGTCATCCAGACTGGAGTGCAGTGGTGCCATCATAGCTCACTGCACCCTTGAACTCCCGGGTTCTAGCAATCCTACCACCTCGGCCTCCTGAGAAGCTGGGACAACAGGCACACATCCCACAACTGGCTAATTTTTTTAATTTGAAAAAAAAAATGTTTTCATATAGCTGGGGGTTTCACTGTGTTACCCAGGATGGTCTCTTTTCTGGGGCTCCAGTGATGCTCCCACCTTGGCTTCCCAAAGTGCTAGAATTACAAGCATGAGCCACCACGCCTGGCCCAAACTTCCCTTTTTTTTTTTTTTTTTTTTTGGTAGAGATGGGCGTCTTGCTATATATTGCCCAAGCTGGTCTCGAACTCCTGGCCTCCAGTGAACTCATGGCTAAGTGATCCTCCCATCTTGGCCTCCCAAAGCAGTGGGACTACAGACACACACCACTGCAACCAGCCCAAACCTCCACTTTTATATCCTCTGATCAGATTCTTGTTGAACCCTGGGCTATGCCTTGGGTTTATTGAGATTCAAGATTAAATAAAGCCCTGGGCTTTGAGTGGTAATGAGAGGAGATTGAGGAGCCCACAGGCCACTCCCAGTTTCTCAAGCACCAGCTTTTATGACTCGGGGACTTTGCAGCCAACAATTCTCTCCTGTGCTTCTCTACTTAAGAAATGTCTGCTCGGCCAGGCGTGGTGGCTCACACCTGTAATCCCAGCACTTTGGGATGCCAAGGCAGGCGGATCACTTGAGGCCAGGAGTTTGAGACCATCCTGGCCAATATGGTGAAACCCTGGTCTCTACTAAAAATACAAAAGTTAACCAGGCATGGTAGCAGGCGCCTGCAATCCCAGCTAATCGGGAGGCTGAGGCAAAAGAATTGCTTGAACCCAGGAGGCGAGGTTGCAGTGAGCGGAGATTGTGCCACTGAACTCCAGCCTGGGTGACAGAGTGAAATTCCATCTCAAAAAAAAAGAAAAAAAGAAAGAAATGTCTACTCATCCCTCAAGTCCCACTCCAAAGTCCCTTCCTCTAATTGAGCTCTCAGTCCCCCAAGGATTTTGCCAATCTCCTGACCCTTCCTCTCTCAACCCTGCTCACCAAGGCTGTGTCCAAACCCGCCTCTGCCATCAGACTGACAGGTCCTCCTGGGCAGGGTGTGTGTTGCACAGTGCCTGGCATGGGCTGGATACAGAGGAGACTGACTGTGTGTCTACAATGCCCAGCCAATGCCTCCTGGAAACCCTGTTCCCTGTATTCCCCCAGGTCACACTCCAAAAAGTCCTCTTACCTGGCTTGGGAGGAAGGTCCTTGTAGGGAGGTGTTGAGTTCTCATAGTCATCATCCTCCTCCTCCTCCTCCATGGTCCCTTCCAGGGGAAAGGCAAGTCAGAGCCCAGCCATTCCCTCCTCCCTCCATCCCTCAAGCCCTGGTCTCTGCCTCAGCTGCCCCATGATGGGGATTCTGTACCCTGGATCTTGACCACACCTGGGCCCCAGCCCCAGCCTGGCCAGGGCCTTACCTGGTGGGTCTGGACACCCAGCGATAGTATACATGTTGTGCATGGCTACAGCTAACACCAGGAACATGACAAGTGGTAGCCAGGTCTTGTCCCTCCTACTCAGATGTCTAAGGCATCTGTCTGTTTCCCTTTCCTTTCAAAGTCAAGTACAGGCAAATCCATCTTGGGGGGAAGCCCCTGGACCTCACACAAACACACACACACACACACACACACACACACACACACATTTTTCTCCGGAGTTTGGATTCACACACGGAAGAAACAATGGGCCGGGAGTGGTGGCTCACATCTGTAATCCCAGCACTTTGGGAGGCTGAGGCTGGCAGGTTGCCTGAGTTTGGGAGTTCGAGATCAGCCTGGGCAACCAACATGGCGAAACCCCGTCTCTAACAAAAATACAAAAACTAGCCAGGCATGATGGTGCAAGCCTGTAATCCCAGCTACTTGTGAGGCTGAGGCAGGTGAATCACTTGAACTCAGGAGGTGGAGGTTGCAGTGAGCTGAGATCGCACCACTGCACTCCAACCTGAGTGACAGAGTGAGATTCTGTCTCAAAAAAAAAAAAAAAGAGGAAGGAGAAACAATGACAATAGCCCCCATTGCAGTGAGCCGAGATAGCGCCACTGCACTCCAGCCTGGGCAACACAGTGAGATTCTGTCTCAAAAAAAAGGGCCAGGCGCGGTGGCTCACGCCTGTAATCCCAGCACTTTGGGAGACTGAGGCAGTCAGATCACAAGGTCAGGAGATCGAGACTATCCTGGCTAACATGGTGAAACCCTGTCTCTACTAAAAATACAAAAAATTAGCCAGGCGTGGTGGCGGGCGCCTGTGGTCCCAGCTACTCAGGAGGCTGAGGCAGGAGAATGGCGTGAACCTGGGAGGCGGAGCTTGCAGTGAGCCGAGATCGCGCCACTGCACTCCAGCCTGGGCGACAGAGCAAAACTCTGTCTCAAAAAAAAAAAAAGAAGAAAAGGAAAAAGAAGAAACTATGACAACAGCCACACCCCTCCCCTCTCCCAGTTGAGCTCCCCTACAGAGCACCAAGTCCTGGGTGGAAGAGATGGATAAACTTCTTCCTGCAATCTAGACCAGAGAGACAATAAACCAGTAAAGAGACGCAGAAATAGGCTGGGCGCAGTGGCTCATGCCTATAATCCCAGCACTTTGGGAGGCCAAGGCAGGAGGATCGCTTGAGGCCAGGAGTTCAAGACCAGCCTGGGCAACATAGCAAGACCCTATCTCTGTAAAAAAAAAAAAAAAATTAGAAAAAACCATCCAGGCATGGTGGTGCACACCTGTAGTCCCAGCTATCGGGAGACTGAGGTGGGAGGATTGCTTGAGCTCAGGAGGTTGACACAGCAGTGAGCCATGATTGCACTACCACACTCCAGCCTGGGCAACAGAAGGAGACCCCACTCTTAAAGAAAAAAGAAAAGAGGCTGGGCATGGTGGCTCACGCCTGTAATCTCAGCACTTTGGGAGGCTGAGGCAGGCAGATCACCTGAGGTCGGGAGTTCGAGACCAGCCTGAGCAACATGGAGGAACCCCATCTTTTCTAAAAATACAAAATTAGCCGGGCACGGTGGCACATGCCTGTAATCCCGCTGCCAGGGAGACTGAGTCAGGAGAATCACTTGAACCCGGGAGGCAGAGGTTGCTGTCAGCCAAGATTGCACCATTGCACTCCGGCCTGGGCAGCAAGAGTGAAACTCCGTCTCAAGAAAAAAAAAAAAAAAAGTAAAGAAATTAAGAAACATTAAAATATGTTTTTATATAGACTAAGTATTACTGCTCTAAACCTAATAAAACAGAGCAATAGGGATAGGATAAAAGCTAATGTAGCGAGGTCATCAGGAAGTGCCTCCTGGAAGTGGTAACATTTGTAACAAGATGTTAAGGGGATAGGTGTTAAGTATTCCCCCACATTCCATGGTGAAGTACCAGGGCACTGGGTCAGTTATCTATGGCTGCACAACCAATTACCCCAAAACGCAGTGACTTAAAACAACCATAAGCATTTATTATCTCACAGTTTCTGTGGTTCAGGAATCTGAGAGCAGCTTAGCTGGGTAGTTCTAGCTTGAGATCTCTTGCGTGATTGTAGTCAAGATGTTGCCTGGGACTGCAAGTCATCTGCAGGCTTGACTGGGGCTAGAGGATCTGCTTCCAAGATGATGCACTCACATGGCTGTTGGTGGGAGGCCTCAGTTCCTTGCCATGTGAGCCTCTCCAAAGGGATGACTGGGCATCTTCACAACATGGCAGAGGCAAAGATAGAAGCCACCATGCTCCTATGATCTAGCCTCACAAGTCACAAAGGATGGTCTCCACTATACAGTATTCTATTTATCACATGGACCAGCTCTGAGTCGTTGTGGGAAGAGACTACACAAGGGCACGAATATGAGAACGTAAAGGTCACAGGGAACCCATCTTGAAGGCTGACTACCACAGTCATCTCTGCAGAACTTACAGGCCCTGAGAGTCATATGAGTCATATATGTAGACCCTGAGCTTCACATGTGAGGCTTTACAGACAGTGACTCATGCCTGTAACCCCAGCTACTCGGGAGGGTGTAGTAGGAGGATTGCTTGGACCCAAGAGCTCAAGGCTGCAGTGAGCTATGATTGCACCACTTCAGGGCAGCCTGGGTGACAAGCAAGACCCTGTCTCAAAAATATTTTTTTTAAATTCTCTGGTTTCCTCTCATAAAAACTAATGAGCAGACAATTCACAGTTCTCTTCTCTGTGTGTCTCTTTGAGGGTTTGATTGAAAGGGGAAGGGATGGAAGGGGATGGAGGGGATTTTAAAAAACAAAAACAGTTGCGTTTCAGGATGGGGATGAAGATGAGGTGAGGTTTGGATTAGAATTGGTGTTGGGATGGGGTGGGATGGGATGGAAAATGGGTTGGGGACAGGGATGGATGTGGGTAAGGTCATGATGTGGTTAGGATGAAGAACAGAGTCCTTGCCAGGTTTGGGAAGGGGGAAGGAGTCGAGGCTGGGCTATAGTAGAGAGGGTGATGAAGTTGGATTGGAGAGTGGATGCTGGGCTGCATGTGGATGTGGGGACAGGACTGTGCTTTTGGAGCAGACGTGGCCCTGAAGAAGGGAATGGGATTGGTTGGTCATATATGTAGACCCAGGGCTTGAGGGTCACATTAGGACCATAAATTGGAAATGGGGCAGTGAAACAACACAGCACAGGTCACCTCCTACCTCAGGCAAGTCCCACCATATTTCTGGACCTCCCAGGTGGCCCCACTCTGGACTCAGAGATGGGGGATATACAGCCTCAGCCCTCATAGAATGGCCCCTGTCTAAGGTCACCAGGACCAGGCCATCAGCATATCTCAGGGATTTTCTGTTTTGGGCCCCCAGGATCTCTCATGGCCTCAGGGTCCCTGGTGGCAGTAAACTCAGGAATACCTCAAAAACCTCCGGTTTCATTTTCTCTATTTTTTTAGAAGTGGGGTCGCGCTATGCTGCCCAAGCTGGAGTGCAGCGGCTACTCACAGGAGCAGTCGCACTACTGATCAGCTCGGGGGTGTCGAGTGGCTCTGTTTCCAACCTGGAAACCCCTCCTCAGACACCTTAGGCAACCTGGTGGTCCCTGCTCCCAAAACATCACCATATTGATGCCAAACTTAGTGCAGATGCCCAATCACATACTTCACAATAGCCCAGAACTCCTGGGCTCAAGCGATCCTCCTGACTCAGCCTCCCAAGTAGCTGGGACTACAGACATGTGCCACCACAAACGGTCCAAACCTCTACTTGTTTTTTTTTTTTTTTTGGCAGAGATGGGGTCTTGCTATGTTGCCCCGGCTGGTCTCAAACTCCTGTCCTCAAGCGATCCTCCCACCTCGGCCTCCCAAAGTATCAAGACTACAGATGCACACCACTGCAGCTGGCCCAAACCTCCACTTTAACAACCACTTATCAGTCTCCTGTTGGACCCTGTACCATGCCTTGGGTTTGTGATCCAAGTCTAAATAAAACCTGGGCTTTGGGTAGAAAGGTGAGGAGATTGGGAGCCCACAGTCCACTCCCAGTTTCTCAAGCACCAGCTTTTGTAACTCAGGGACTTTGCACCTAACAGTTCTCTCCTGGACTTCTCTTCTTAAGAAATGTCTACTCATCCCTCAAGTCTCACCCCAAAGTCCCTTCCTCTATTTGAGCCCTCAGTCCCCCAAGGATTTTGCCAATCTCCTGACCCCTCCTCTCTCACCCTGCTCACCAAGACTGTGCCCAATCCTGCCTCTGCCATCAGACTGACAGGTCCTCCTGGGCAGGGTGTGGGTTCCACAGTGCCCGGCATGGGCTGTGTAGAGAGGAGACTGACTGTGTGTCTACAATGCCCAACCAATGCCCACTGGAGACCCCGTTCCCTGTATTCCCCCAGGTCACACTCCAAAAAGTCCTCTTACCTGGCTTGGGAGGAAGGTCCTTGTAGGGAGGTGTTGAGTTCTCATAGTCATCATCCTCCTCCTCCTCCTCCATGGTCCCTTCCAGGGGAAAGGCAAGTCAGAGCCCAGCCATTCCCTCCTCCCTCCATCCCTCAAGCCCTGGTCTCTGCCTCAGCTGCCCCATGATGGGGATTCTGTACCCTGGATCTTGACCACACCTGGGCCCCAGCCCCAGCCTGGCCAGGGCCTTACCTGGTGGGTCTGGACACCCAGAGATAGAATACAGGTTGTGCATGGCTACCGCTAACACCAGGAACATGACAAGGGGTAGCCAGGTCTTGTCTCTCCTACTCAGATGTCTAAGGCATCTGTCTGTTTCCCTTTCCTTTCAAAGTCAAGTACAGGCAAATCCATCTTGGGGGGAAGCCCCCAGACCTCACACAAACACAAACACACACACACACACACACACACACACATCTTTCTCTGGAGTTTGGACTCACACATAGAAGAAACAATGGGCCGGGGGTGGTGGCTCACGTCTGTAATCCCAGCACTTTGGGAGGCTGAGGCTGGCAGGTCGCCTGAGTTTGGGAGTTCGAGATCAGCCTGGGCAACCAACGTGGTGAAACCCCGTCTCTACCAAAAATACAAAAACTAGCCGGGCGTGGTGGTGCCTGCCTGTAATCCCAGCTACTTGTGAGGCTGAGGCAGGTGAATCACTTGAACTCAGGAGGTGGAGGTTGCAGTGAGCTGAGATCATGCCACTGCACTCCAGCCTGAGTGACAGAGTGAGATTCTGTCTCAAAAAAAAAAAAAAAGAAAGAAAGAAAGAAAAAGAAGAAACAATGACAACAGCCACCCACCTCCCCGCTCCCAGTTGAGCTCCCCTACAGAGCACCAAGTTCTGGGTGGAAGAGATGGATAAACTTCTTCCTTCAATCTAGACCAGAGACACAATAAACCAGTAAAGAGACATAGAAATAGGCTGGGCGCAATGGCTCATGCCTATAATCCCAGCACTTTGGGAGGCCAAGGCAGGAGGATCGCTTGAGGCCAGGAGTTCAAGACCAGCCTGGGCAACATAGCAAGACCCTATCTCTGTAAAAAAAATTTAGAAAAAACCATCCAGGCATGGTGGTGCACACCAGTAGTCCCAGCTATCAGGAGGCTGAGGTGGGAGGATTGCTTGAGCTCAGGAGGTTGACACAGCAGTGAGCCATGATTGCACTACTACACTCCAGCCTGGGCAACAGAGGGAGACCCCACTCTTAAAAAAGTAGAAAAGAGGCTGGGCGTGGTGGCTCGTGCCTGTAATCTCAGCACTTTGGGAGGCCAAGGCAGGCAGATCACCTGAGGTCGGGAGTTCGAGACCAGCCTGACCAACATGGAGAAACCCCATCTTTTCTAAAAATACAAAATTAGCCGGGCACAGTGGCACATGCCTGTAATCCCGCTGCCAGGGAGGCTGAGTCAGGAGAATCACTTGAACCCGGGAGGCAGAGGTTGCTGTCAGCCAAGATTGCACCATTGCACTCCGGCCTGGGCAGCAAGAGTGAAACTCCGTCTCAAGAAAAAAAAAAAAAAAAAGTAAAGAAATTAAGAAACATTAAAATATGTTTTTATATAGACTAAGTATTACTGCTCTAAACCTAATAAAACAGAGCAATGGGATAGGATAAAAGCTAATGTAGAGAGGTCATCAGGAAGTACCTCCTGGAAGTGGTAACATTTGTAACAAGATGTTAAGGGGATAGGTGTTAAGTATTCCCCCACATTCCATGGTGAAGTACCAGGGCACTGGGTCAGTTATCTATGGCTGCACAACCAATTACCCCAAAACGCAGTGACTTAAAACAACCATAAGCATTTATTATCTCACAGTTTCTGTGGTTCAGGAATCTGAGAGCAGCTTAGCTGGGTAGTTCTAGCTTGAGATCTCTTGCGTGATTGTAGTCAAGATGTTGCCTGGGACTGCAAGTCATCTGCAGGCTTGACTGGGGCTAGAGGATCTGCTTCCAAGATGATGCACTCACATGGCTGTTGGTGGGAGGCCTCAGTTCCTTGCCATGTGAGCCTCTCCAAAGGGATGACTGGGCATCTTCACAACATGGCAGAGGCAAAGATAGAAGCCACCATGCTCCTATGATCTAGCCTCACAAGTCACAAAGGATGGTCTCCACTATACAGTATTCTATTTATCACATGGACCAGCTCTGAGTCATTGTGGGAAGAGACTACACAAGGGCACGAATATGAGAACGTAAGGGTCACAGGGAACCCATCTTGAAGGCTGACTACCACAGTCATCTCTGCAGAACTTACAGGCCCTGAGAGTCATATGAGTCATATATGTAGACCCTGAGCTTCACATGAGGCTTTACAGACAGTGACTCATGCCTGTAACCCCAGCTACTCGGGAGGGTGTAGTAGGAGGATTGCTTGGACCCAGGAGCTCAAGGCTGCAGTGAGCTATGATTGCACCACTTCAGGGCAGCCTGGGTGACAAGCAAGACCCTGTCTCAAAAATATTTTTTTTAAATTCTCTGGTTTCCTCTCATAAAAACTAATGAGCAGACAATTCACAGTTCTCTTCTCTGTGTGTCTCTTTGAGGGTTTGATTGAAAGGAGAAGGGATGGAAGGGGATGGAGGGGATTTTAAAAAACAAAAACAGTTGCGTTTCAGGATGGGGATGAAGATGAGGTGGGGTTTGGATTAGAATTGGTGTTGGGATGGGGTGGGATGGGATGGAAAATGGGTTGGGGACAGGGATGGATGTGGGTAAGGTCATGATGTGGTTAGGATGAAGAACAGAGTCCTTGCCAGGTTTGGGAATGGGGAAGGAGTCGAGGCTGGGCTATAGTAGAGAGGGTGATGAAGTTGGATTGGAGAGTGGATGCTGGGCTGCATGTGGATGTGGGGACAGGACTGTGCTTTTGGAGCAGACGTGGCCCTGAAGAAGGGAATGGGATTGGTTGGTCATATATGTAGACCCAGGGCTTGAGGGTCACATTAGGACCATAAATTGGAAATGGGGCAGTGAAACAACACAGCACAGGTCACCTCCTACCTCAGGCAAGTCCCACCATATTTCTGGACCTCCCAGGTGGCCCCACTTTGGACTCAGAGATGGGGGATATACAGCCTCAGCCCTCACAGAATGGCTCCTGTCTAAGGTCACCAGGACCAGGCCATCAGCATATCTCAGGGATTTTCTGTTTTGGGCCTCCGGGATCTCTCATGGCCTCAGGGTCCCTGGTGGCAGTAAACTCAGGAATACCTCAAAAACCTCCGGTTTCATTTTCTCTATTTTTTTAGAAGTGGAGTCGCGCTATGCTGCCCAAGCTGGAGTGCAGCGGCTACTCACAGGAGCAGTCGCACTACTGATCAGCTTGGGGGTGTCGAACTGCTCCGTTTCCAACCTGGAAACCCCTCCTCAGACACCTTAGGCAACCTGGTGGTCCCCTGCTCCCAAAACATCACCATATTGATGCCAAACTTAGTGCAGACGCCCGATCGCCTAGTTCACAATCGCCCAGAACTCCTGGGCTCAAGTGATCCTACTGACTCAGCCTCCCAAGTAGCTGGGACTACAGACATGTGCCACCACACACGGCCCAAACCTCTATTTTTTTTTTTTTTTGGCAGAGATAGGGTCTTGCTATGTTGCCCTGGCTGGTCTCAAATTCCTGTCCTCAAGCGATCCTCCCACCTTGACCTCCCAAAGTATCAAGACTACAGACGCACACCACTGCAGCTGGCCCAAACCTCCACTTTAACAACCACTTATCAGTCTCTTGTTGAACCCTGTGCTATGCCTTGGGTTTGAGATCCAAGTCTAAATAAAACCTGGGCTTTGGGTAGAAAGGTGAGGAGACTGGGAGCCCACAGTCCACTCCCAGTTTCTCAAGCACCAGCTTTTGTAACTCAGAGACTTTGCACCTAACTGTTCTCTCCTGGACTTCTCTTCTTAAGATATGTCTACTCATCCCTCAAGCCCCACCCCAAAGTCCCTTCCTCTATTTGAGCCCTCAGTCCCCCAAGGATTTTGCCAATCTCCTGACCCCTCCTCTCTCACCCTGCTCACCAAGACTGTGCCCAAACCCACCTCCGCCATCAGACTGACAGGTCGTCCTGGGCAGGGTGTGGGTTCCACAGTGCCCGGCATGGGCTGGATACAGAGGAGACTGACTATGTGTCTACAATGCCCAACCAATGCCCACTGGAGACCCCATTCCCTGTATTCCCCCAGGTCACACTCCAAAAAGTCCTCTTACCTGGCTTGGGAGGAAGGTCCTTGTAGGGAGGTGTTGAGTTCTCATAGTCATCATCCTCCTCCTCCTCCTCCATGGTCCCTTCCAGGGGAAAGGCAAGTCAGAGCCCAGCCATTCCCTCCTCCCTCCATCCCTCAAGCCCTGGTCTCTGCCTCAGCTGCCCCATGGTGGGGATTCTGTACCCTGGGTCCTGACCACACCTAGGCCCCAGCCCCAGCCTGGCCGGGGCCTTACCTGGTGGGTCCGGGTACCCAGTGATGGAATACAGATTATGCATGTCTAGCACAGGGAACCTGACAAGTGGCAGCCAGGGCTTGGCAACCTCTGCCCCCTGTCTCTCCGACTCAGGCGTCTGGGGGCTCTCTCAGTTCCCTTTTCCTTTCAAAGTCAAATACATGCAAATTCATTTTGACAGGAAGCCCTCAGACCTCACACGTGCTCACACAAACACACACACACACACACACACACATACACACAGAGCCTTTCTCCCCAGTTTGGATTCACGCACAGAAGGAATAATGACAACTGGCCTGGTGTGGTGGCTCTCGCCTGGAATCCCAGCACTTTTAGAGGCTGAGGTGGATGGATCACTTAAGGCCAGGAGTTCGAGACCAGGTTGGCCAACATGGTGAAACCCAGTCTCTACTAAAAATACAAAAATTAGCCAGGCGCAGTGGCAGGCGCCTGTAATCCCAGCTACTCAGGAGGCTGAGGCAGGAGAATCGCTTGAACCTGGGAGATGGAGGTTGCAGTTAGCCGAGATCACGCCACTGCACTCCAGCCTGAGTGACAGAGTGAGACTCTGTCTCAATAAATAAATAAATTAATTTTTTAAAAAACATTAAATATTAATTAATTAATTAAGGGTCTTGAGATGGATGGTTTATCCTGGATTACCTAGGTGGGCCTTAAATGGCTTTACAGGCCAGGCATCGTGGCTCACGCCTGTAATCCCAGCACTTTGGGAGGCCGAGACAGGCAGATCACGAGGTCAGGAGATCGAGACCATCCTGGCTTACACAGTGAAACTCCGTCTCCACTAAAAATACAAAAAATTAGCTGGGTGTGGTGGCGGGTGCCTGTGGTCCCAGCTACTCGGGAGGCTGAGGGAGGAGAATGGCGTGAACCCAGGAGGTGGAGCTTGCAGTGAGCCGAGATCGCACCACTGCACTCCAGCCTGGGTGACAGAGCGAGACTCCGTCTCAAAAAAAAAAAAAAATGGCATTACAAGGGTCCTCGTAGAAGGGAAACAGAAGGAGATTTGACACAAAAAAAAGGCAATGTGGTCACTAAAGTTATGCTGGCTTTGAAGATGCAAGAAGGAGCCATATGCTAAAGAATGCAACTGCAGAGGCTGGAAACAGCAAGAAAATGGATTCTCACGCTGCAGCCTCTTAAAGAAGCATGGCCCAGCCCATGAACACCTGGGTTTCAGCAGTGAGACTGATGTTGGTCTCCTGACTCCAGAACTATAAAATAATCTGGCCGGGTGCAGTGGCTCACACCTGTAATCCCAACACTTTGGGAGGCCGAGGTGGGTGGATCACGTGAGGTCAGGAGTTTAAGACCAGCTTGGCCAACATGGTGAAATCCCATCTCTACTAAAAATACAAAATTAGCCAGATATGGTGGCGCGCACCTGTAATCCCAGCTACTCAGGAGGCTGAGGCAGGAGAATCGTTTGAACTCGGGAGGTAGAGGTTGCAGTGAGCCGAGATCACATCATTGCACTCCTGCCTGGGCAACAAGAGTGAAACTCCATCTCAAAAAAATAAAATAAAATAATCCATATAATCCATTTCTGGCCAGGCGCGGTGGCTCACGCCTGTAATCCCAACACTTCGGGAGGCTCAGACAGGTGGATCACTTGAGGTCAGGCATTCGAGACCAGCCTGGCCAACATGATGAAATCCCATCTCTACTAAAGTTACAAAAAAAAAAAGAATAGCTGGACATGATAGCGGGCACCTGTAATGCCAGCTACTCGGGTGGCTGCGGCAGAAGAATCGCTTGAACCCGGGAGGCGGAGGCTGCAGTGAGCCAAGATCTCGCCACTGCATTCCAGCCTGGGCAAAAGAGCAGGACTCTATCTCAAAATAGTAACAATAATAATAATTATTATTTCTGTGGTTCCGAGTCACTCAATTTATGAGTAATTTGTTAGAGTCACTATAGGAAACTAATATGTACCCCAAGGGGCAAGACCCCAATTTCCCTTTGTAGAGGTTTTTACTAAAAGTAAGAGGAAATGCAACTCAGATTGGCTTCAACAACAAGGAACATTCATCAGGCCCATGGGGAACATTAGGTTGGGTTTCCATAACTGAGACTCAGAACAAGAGTGTCTCAAACAAAATAGAATGTATTTCTTACCTGACAGGCTCAGTATAAGCAAGTGAGAGCCTCTAACAAATGGAAAAACCTTCCCCCGCACCGCACGTGGGCAATGGGGTAGCCCCGGTCTTAATTGAGGTAGGAGGGCAGCAGCAGATTAACCTCCCTTTCCATTCAAAGCTGACTCTAGGGGCTGGGCTTTCCCCTCTTACATGGCCTGATGTCATAGAGCCTTCCCAGCCTGTAGGAGGGCAAACGTGACTGTACCCATTCCAACCTGTAGGAGGGCAAATGTGACTGTACCCATTCTAGAGATGGGAAAATGGAGACCTGTCTGAGAAGGAAGAAAGAGCCCGTCTGTTCAGCCAACATCTGCTAAGCACACACAAGCTAATCAGGCTCCAGATGGATGGGGGTGGGGAGCAGCTGCAAACAGACATAGGAGGATAGGAGAAGGGGAATAGTAACAGGGGGAGGGACAGGTCAATAGGTCAAAAAGACTGACGGTATATCTGCCCATCAAGAGCACTTTTTAGGCTGAGCATGGTGCCTCATGCCTATAATCCCAGCACTTTGGCAGGCCAAGGCAGGAGGATCTCTTGAGGCCAGGAGCTTGAGACCATCCTGGACAACAAAGTGAGACCCCAACTATACAGAAAAACAAAATTTTTTAGGCTGGGCACGGTGGCTCACGCCTGTAATCCCAGCACTTTGGGAGGCTGAGGTGGGCGGATCACCTGAGGTCAGGAGTTCGAGATCAGCCTGGCAAACATGGTGAAACCCTGTCTCTACTAAAAAATACAAAAATTAGCCGGGCGTGGTGGCAGGCGCCTTAATCCCAGCTACTTGGGAGGCAGAGGCAGGAGAATCATTTGAACCCAGGAGGCAGAGGTTGCAGTGAGCCGAGATCGAGCCATCACACTCAAGCCTGGGGGACAAGAACGAGACTTCTCTCAAAAAAAAAATTTTTTTTAATTAGCTGGGCATGGTGGTGCATGCCTGTAGATCCAGCTACTTGGGAGGCTGAGGTGGGAGGATCGCTTGAGCCCAGGAGATTGAGGATGCAGTGAGCTGTGATCATACCACTGTGCTCAAGCCTGGGCAACAGAGCAAAACTCTGTCTCAAAAAAAAAAAAAAAAAAAAAAAGCACTCTTAGAGGTAAGGGGACCTTCTTACAATAAAGGCTGGGTGGTCTCATGGTATAGGGGTGATAGCTACCTGGCCAATACCATCCCTCGGGACCTGGCACACAGTAGGTATTCAGGAACAGATGTTGGAATCCAGCCCCATTCACTGAAATAACAAGGCTATGAGCCCAGGCTGCTTCCAGCTCAGGCCCATTCTTGCTGTGTCACCTTGGGGGTGCAGAACAACATCTCTGAGCATTAGTCTCCTGATATGTCAAACAGGGATTCATTTGTTCATTCATTGATTCAACAGATAAGTACTGACCACCTACTCTGTGTTAGGCTCTAACACATAAGAACCGAAATACACTGGTGAACAACAACAAAAAATTTTACCCATGGGAGCAGCAACAGGGAGAAAGAGAGTGAATAAAATAAATAACTCAACTACATTAGAAGTTATGTTAGATAGTCACAAATAGAAAAAGAAGAAAAACACAGGTGCAGTGGTGTGAGCCTATAGTCCCAGCTACTCAGGAGGCTGAGATGGGAGGAGTCCTGGAGCCCAGGAGTTTGAGGCTGCAGTGCATTATGGTCACGCCTGTGAATAGCCACTGCACTCCAGCCTGGGCAACATAGTGAGACCCCATCTCTAAAAACAAGAAAAGAAAAAGAAGTAGATGGCCAGGCACAGTGGCTCATGCCTGTAATCCCAGCACTTTGGGAGGCCGAAGCCAGGGGATCACCTGAGGTCAGGAGTTTGAGGCCGGCCTGGCCAATACGGTGAAGCCCTGTCCCTACTAAAAATACGAAAATGAGCTGGGCGTGGTGGTGTGCACCTGTAATCCCAGCTACCACGGAGGCTGAGGCAGGACAATCGCTTGAACCTGCAAGGCAAAGGTTGCAGTGAGCCAAGATCGCACCACTGCACTCCAGCCTGGGTGACAGAAAGAAACTCCATCTCAAAAAAATAAAAATAAAAATAAAGTAGAAACAGAAAAAGAAGAAAAAGAAAGAAGGAGAAAGGAATCACATGTACATGGGGGATTGCAATAAAGAGGAGGATCAGGCTGGGCATGGTGACACACGCCTGGAATCCCAGCACTTTGGGAGGCTGAGGCAGGTGGATTACCTGAGGTCGGGAGTTCAAGAACAGCCTGACCAATATGATGAACAACCAGCCTGGGTAAGGTAGGGAGACCCTGCCTCTACAAAATTAATGAAATATCCCTCTGATATTTATCATATCACAGGGTTTACGCACTGTGATATTAATGAAAAAATTAACCAGGCATGTTGGTACACACCTATAGTCCTAGCTACTCAGGAGGCTGAGGTAGGAGGATCCCTTGAGCCCAGGAATTCAAGGCTGCAATGAGCTGTGATTGTGCCACTGCACTCTGGCGTGGGCAACAAAGTGAGACCCTGTCTCAAAAAAATAAAATAAAAATAAAATTCCAGACCATCCCTTCTCATCCACTCTGTCTGCCATTTTTCCCCTTAACCATTGTCACAGTCTTATCATATCTCACATTGCACATACCTCACTTCCTAATCTTGTTCTCTGCCTGTCTTCCACCTATTAGCAGCTCAACTCCATGAGGGCAGGGATTTGTGTCTGTCTTGTTCACTGCCTGCCACACGGTAGGTGCTCAATGAATGTTTGTTGAATGAGTGAGTGACCTCCTGCCTGCCAAGCCCTGTCTAAGGCCACCCCTAAAGCCCCGCCCCTCCAGGCTCTCTCATCCCTCCAATACCAGCCAGCCACTCTCAATGCACACAGCATCAAACGCTGGGTGTCAGTAGCACTCCTGCCTGGATTAAAGACAAGTGTTCTGTCTGCCCCATAAGCAGAAGCGGGGCTTGCCCTGGGAGTCTTCTGCTGAGGCCTCACTGACCTTGTTTTTCCTCCTTCCCTGAAACTGAATCCCCCAGAGCATCTGGTCTCCCAACCAGCAGACTGTGGCAAGGTGCAGACACCACTCAGAATTTCCTTCCCCACCTCAGGTCCCACGTGGGCCCTCTGAGGCTGCTCTGCTCACAGAGTGCGAATGCAGCCCCTTCTGGAGCAGACCAGATGGGGCAGGACAGGAGAGCAAGGGAAGGAAGAAAGGGGAGAGGCGGGGAACTGTGGCCAATAAACCGGGTCCTGGCCAGGTGCGGTGGCTCATGCCTGTAATCCCACCACTTTGGGAGGCCGAGGCGGGAAGATCACCTGAGGTCAGGAGTTCGAGATCAGCCTGGCCAACATGGTGAAATCCCATCTCTACTAAAAATACAAAAATTAGCCAGGAGTGGTGGCGGGCGCCTGTAATCCCAGCTACTCAGGGGGCTGAGGCAGGAGAATTGCTTGAACCCTGGAGGCCGAGATTGCAGTGAGCCGAGATCTCACCACTGCACTCCAGCCTGGGTGACAGAGCAAGACTCCGTCTCAAAGAAAAAAAAAAAAAAAACAGGTCCCCTGGGAGCGGTGGGCAAGGGACACAGGAAGGTCTCCTTGGTGGGTGGTTGATAAAGAAAAAAACAGGAAGGATACAGATGATGGGTGATGGAGGCCCCCACATGCTGCCTAAAATCACCCTCACCCAAATATTGATACAGGAGATAGAAAGACATTATTTAGGCAGCTAGTGAGGGTAAGAGAGTCCTTGTCAGAGCTTCCCTTTTAACAAAAAGCAGCCCAGGCTGGGCTCAGTGGCTCACGCCTGTAATCCCAACACTTTGGGAGGCGGAGGCAGGCGGATCACCTGAGGTCAGAAGTTCGAGACCAGCTTGACCAACATAGCGAAACCCCGTCTCTACTAAAAAAAAAAAATACATATATATATATATATATATATATATATATATATATATATATACACACACAAAAATACAAAAAATTAGCCAGGCATGGTAGCGGGTGCCTATAATCCCAGGTACTCAGGAGGCTGAGGCAGGAAAATCACTTGAACCCGGGAGGCGGAGGCTGCAGCAAGCCAAGATTGCGCCATTGCACTCCAGCCTGGGCAACAAGAGCAAAACTCCAGCTCAAAGAAAACAAACAAACACACAAAAAAAACAGCCCAAGAAATTATTTATTTTTAACAACGAGCATCCTGAGAAATTGAGCTGCAAACATAGATAAGCAAGCTGGAAGCTTGCATGAGAAAATGCCAGCAGCTGTGCCAATAGAAAAGGGCTACCTGAGGGCCAGGCATGTTCAACATGGAGTCTCCATCTTCCCTTTTATTATCACGTGTACAGTAAAAAATAAATAAATAGATAAAAAATAAACGGGCATGATGGTGCAGGCCAGGCAGAGAACCTACCTACATAATGAAAGATTAAGGTGGGGGGACTTCCAGAAATTCGCGCCCTATGCAAATGGCACACCTAGTCCTAAACAGTTTTTGCGCCCTATGCAAATAGCACACCTGGCCCAACCAATCTTTCAAGCCCTATGTAAATCAGACACTGCCTGCTCACCAAGCATCTATAAAACGCCCTGCATTTCACCTCAAAACCAGCAACCTGTTCAGGACCCCTCTCTCTGCAGCAGAGACAGGTATTCTTTCACCTGTTAAACTTTCACTCTTGGCCAGGCGCAGTAGCTCACGCCTGTAATCCCAGCACTTTGGAAGGCCGAGGCGGGTGGGTCATTTGAGGTCAGGAGGTCCTGGCCAGCGTGGTGAAACCTCATCTCTACTAAAAATACAAAAAATTAGCCAGGTGTGGTGGCACACACCTGTAATCTCAGCTACTCAGAGGCTGAGGCACGAGAATCACTTGAACCCAGGAGGCAGAGGTTGCAGTGATCTGAGATCCTGCCATTACACTCCAGCCTGGGCAACAGAGCAAGACTCCATCTCAAAAAATAAGTAAATAGGCCAGGAGGGTGACTCACACCTGTAATCCCAGCTACCTGGGAGGCTGAGACAGGAATTACTTGAACCCAGGAGGTGAAGGTTGCAGTGAACCGAGATTGTGCCACTGCACTCCGGCCTGGGTGACAGAGCAAGACTCCATCTCAAAAAAATAAATAAATAAATATAAACTTCCTCTCTTAACCTCACTCCTTGTGTGTCCACGTCCTTGATTTCCTCCGCTGTAAGACAACGAATCTCAGTTATCACCCCAGACAATGGCCCTTTCAGTATCATTCCCCCCAGGTCCCCAGTGCTCGGTAAGGCTAGGCCAGGCTGAACCATTTGAGTCCTGGAAGTTTAGAATGGAATGGGCCACATGCCTCCACGCCCAACCCCAGTCATCCCTGGCTTGAATCCCTTCAGCCTCTGGTGAAATGACTGGTCACAGTAGCCTCCTTTGTTTGGCTTTCTAGCGCCAGACTGTGACCTGGATGAAAGAAACAATAGTGAGCATGTATTGAGCACCTACTGGATGCCAGGCACTAAGCACTTTTGATGCAACCATCTGATTCTTCCACCTTCTCTATTTATTTATTCCTGTGTTTATTCAACAAATTATTTATTTTATTGTATTGTTCTGTATTTATTTTCAGAGACAGGGTCTTGCTCTGTTGACCAGGCTGGAGTGCAGTGGCATGATCATTGCTCACTGCAGCCTCAACCTCCTGGGCTCAAGCGATCCTCCCACTTCAGCCTCCCAAGTAGCTGGGACTACAGGTGCATGCCACCAGCCCGGCTAATTTTTTTATTTTTTTGTAGAGACAGGGGTCTCCCTATATTGCCCAGGCTGGTCTCAAAGTCCTGTTCTCAAGTGATCCTTCTGCCTCCGCCTCCCAAAGCCGTGTAATTACAGTCGTTAGCCACCGCACCCAGTCTATTCAACAAATATTTTCTAAGCATCTACTGCACGCCAGTTCTGTTCTAGGTGCAGTAATATGGCAGTGAACAAGACAGACAAAATTCCCTGCTTCACAGAGCTGAGTTGAGAGAAGAGACCAATAATAAACAAAATAAATAAGGCAAATGGATCGCAGTTTAAATGGTGCTAAGTGCGAAGGAGGAAAATAAAGGTCCAGCATGATGGCTCACGCCTGTAATCCCAGCACTTTGGGAGGCCAAGGCAGGTGGTTTGCTTGAGCCCAAGAGGTTGAGATCAGCCTGGGCAACATGGCAAAACCTCATCTCTACAAAAATACAAATATTAGCTGGGCGTAGTGGCACGCACGTGGAATCCCAGCTACTCGGGAGGCTGAGGCAGGAGGGTCGCCTGAGCCCAGGAGGCAGAGGCTGCAGTGAGCCGAGATCATGACACTGCACTCCAGCCTGGGTAATAGAGCAAGACCCTGTCTTGAAAAAATAAAAAAATAAAGCCAGGAAAGGGGTGGAATCCATCAGGAGGAGGGGAGCCCTCGCTGGCTGGGAACATTATGAGATAGGTATTACAAACCTCATCTTACAGATGAGTAAACTCAGTCTGCGAGAAATGAAGTCACTTCTGGGGGTCACACAGGGAAAGTGAGCTAGTACTGTAATTTGCCTCTCTGGACTCCCTTTGAGCTCTGACCTCTGGGTGAGCAGCTGAAGCACAGAGAAAGGAAGATTAAGGAGACACGCCCAGAACACGTCAGGGTTACTGGATGCAGCTGTGCAGGCTGTGCACGGCACAACTCCAGAAGCACCATTCATAGAGATCACAATGTGAATGCTGCCCCCTTGAGTCTAGAAGGGCACAAGAATCACAGATTAATGTGGTGGCCTGGAGATAGGGACAGGTCACACAGGTAGCCCTGGAAAGAAGGTCTCAGCTGGACGCAGTGGTTCAAGCCTGTAATCCCTGCACTTTGGGAGGCCGAAGCGGGTGGATCACCTGAGGTCAGGAGTTCAAGACCAGCCTAGCCAACATGATGAAACTCCGTCTCTACTAAAAATACAAAAAAATTATTTGGGAGGCCAAGGCGGGCGGATCACAAGGTCAGGAGATCAAGACTATCCTGGCTAACACGGTGAAACCCCGTCTCTACTAAAAATACAAAAAAAGTAGCCGGGCGTGGTGGCGGGCGCTTGTAGTCCCAGCTACTCGGCAGGCTGAGGCAGGAGAATGGCGTGAACCCGGGAGGCGGAGCTTGCAGTGAGCCGAGATTGCGCCACTGCACTCCAGCCTGGGCAACGGAGCAAGACTCCGTCTCAAAAAAAAAAAAAAAAAAATTAGCTGGCCGTGATGGCACCCACCTGTAATCCCAGCTACTTAGGAGGCTAAGGCAGGAGAATCGCTTGAAACCAGAAGGCGGAGGTTGCGGTGAGCCGAGATCACACCACTGCACTCCAGCCTGGGCAACAAGAGTGAAACTCTGTCTCAAAAAAAAAAAAAAAAAAGAAAGAAAAAGAAAAGTCTCTATTGCCAGTTGTCTATTCTCAATAGCTTGCTTTTTTCACTTAATATATCAGCAGCCACTTCCCCATGTCAACACATAAAGATCTAGTTGAGTAATTCTCCCAAAGCTGGTCACTAGACCAGCAACATCACATCACCTGGGAATTTTTATAGACAGGGTCTCACTCTGTTGCCTAGGCTGGAGTGCAGTGATGGGATCACGGCTCACTGCAGCCTGGAACTCCTGGGCTCAAGTTATCCTCCTGCCTCAGCCTCCCGAGTAGCTGGGACTACAAGCGTGCACCACCACACCCAGCTTTTTTTTTTTTTTTTTTTTTTGTAGAGATAGAGTCTCCCTATATTGCCCAGGCTGGTCTCAAACTCCTGAGTTCAGGCGATCCTCCCATCTCAGCTTCCCAAAGCTCTGAGATTACAGGTGTGAGCCACTGCCCTGGCCCATATTTTTTTTTTTCCATTAGACTGTTTTTCTGTTCCATTAGACTGTAAGCTTGAAAGACAGGAACCACGTCTGCCTTTCTGTCTGACCACTGGACCCAGCATACCATACAGTAGATGCCTAATACATGCTTTGTCAGACTGGGGAAAAATATATATTAGATATTAATATTAGATATTAATATATTTTAAAATTGTATAAAGATTGCATATATATATATAATTTATTTGAAATTTCAGCTTTAAATAATTGTTTTTGACCAGGCACAGTGGCTTACGCCCATAATCCCAACACTTTGAGAGGCTGAGGCGGGAGGATCCCTGGAGCCCAAGAGTTCAAGGTTGCAGTGAGCTATGATTGTGCCACTGTGCTCCAGCCTGGGCGACAGAATGAGACCCTATCTCAAAAAATAATAATATAATAATAACTGTATTTATGAATAACTTTTATTTAAATTAAATTTATCAAAATCTTTCTTGGACAGGCACTGTGGCTCATGCCCGTAATCCCAGCAATTTGGGAGGCTGAGGCGGGGGAATCACTTGAGGTCAGGGGTTCGAGACCAGCCTGGCCAACTGGCGAAACCCCGTCTCTACTAAAAATACAAAAATTAGCTGGGGGTGGTGGCGGGCGCCTGTAATCCCAGCTACTCAGGAGGCTGAGGCAAGAGAATTTGAGCCCAGGAGGTGGAGGCTGCAGTGAGCCGAGATCGCGCCAATACACTCCAGTCTGGGCGACAGGTACTGTGTCTCCAAAAACAAAAAATTCTTAAAGTGACTTTATGCAAAATTACATACATTAACGATATAATAGATATCGTGCCTTTTTTAAGAGAAATTTGAATGTTTTCAAAGAAAAAACTTTTTGGAAAATGATATGAAAAATAATTTTAATATGTGCTTTAGCCTCGGGCTACCAGAAGAGCCCCAGATAGGGTCGAGGGAGGCCTCAGTCCCACACCGTCCCCTTCTGCCCCGCCCAGATGGATTTCCAGGCTCAGGGAAGTCCCCTCTCGGGTCCAACCATATCCTGCGAAGAGACACAGCACCTGTCCCGCCTCCGCCTGTCCGCGAGGTGACGCCAGGCGGACCGGAGCGATCCTCTGGAGTCCTTCATCTCTATGATCTCCGCAGCTGCCTAAATGACCCGGAAGCTGTGTCTGACTGAGGGGTCAGTGGTTCCGGGTAGGAGCTAGGTGACCCTCGGCTGCTGCAGGGATCTGCAGCGACTGCAGCCATGGGGGCCCACCTGGTCCGGCGCTACCTGGGCGATGCCTCGGTGGAGCCCGACCCCCTGCAGATGCCAACCTTCCCGCCAGACTACGGCTTCCCCGAACGCAAGGAGCGCGGTGAGGCCCAGTGCGCAGGCGCAGCCAGAGGGCGTGGGGCGCGGGTGCCTGAACACCTGGCACCCCAGGGCTGGCACCCCAGGGCTGGGCTCTAACCTCAGGTGTTGTATCTGGGTTTGGGTCTAGACTAGGAGTCCACAGGACGTGCATGACCCCACCTCAGTGTGGAGGCGTTCCAGCCCAAGGGCACGGCTTGAGCAAAAGCCAGGGAGCAAAAGTGAGGCGACAAGTGGGGGTTCGGGCAGGAATGCGACGCGCAGAGCTGGGTCGAGTCTTTTTTTTTTTTCTTTTGAGACGGAGTCTCGCTTTTTCTTTCAGGCTGGAGTGCAGTGGCTTGGTCTCGATTCACTGGCAGCCTCCACCTCCCGGGTTCAAGCGATTCTCCTGCCTCAGCCTCGCGAGTAGCTGTGATTACAGATGTGTACCACCATGCCCAGCTACTTTTTTGTATTGTTAGTAGAGACGGGGTTTCTCCTTGTTGGCCAGGCTGCTCTTGAACTCCTGACCTCAAGTGATCCGCCCGCCTCGGCCTCCCCAAGTGCTGGGATCGCAGAAGTCAGTCACCACGCCCGGCCTCGGGCCAAGTCTTGGGGGACGTGGGGAGTCATGGGAGGGCAGGGACACGTTCATTGTACCCCCTTCCTGATGTCACTGCAATTGTGGGGTATGCACAAGGAAATAAGGAAGATTCGAGCTGCAAATACTGTCCTGCAAAGTGCTTTGTTTTGCTTTGAGACGGGATCTTGCTCTGTTGCCCAGGCTGAGTGTAGTGGCACAATCACAGCTCATTGCATCCTCGACCTCCTGGGCTCAAATGATCCTCCCGCCTCAGCCTCCCGAGTAGCTGGGACTACAGGAGCGCCCCAGGATGCCAGACTGATTTTTTATTTTTTGTAGAGTTGGGGGTCTTGCTGTGTTGCCCAGGCTGGTCTCAAACTCCTGGGCTCAAACGATCCTTCTGCCCAGCCTCCCAAAGTGCTGGGATTGAAGATGTGAGCCACTACGCCCAGGATGGTTTTTTGGTTCGTGTGTTTGTTTTTGCTTTTAATGTAGTAATATCACAGGCATACCGAGCACCAGCTCTGGGCCACGTCCCACATTAGGCACCGCGGATACAGCAGGGAACTGGAGGGATGCAGGCACTGTCTCCAGAGAACTCAGCACAGTGGGAAAGATTGTGGAATCAGGCAGAGCTGGGGGTGTCAAAGCAGGCTTCCAAGAGGCAGTGGCTGGAAACAAAGACGTGAAGGGTGGCCGGTCGTGGTGGCTCATGCCTGTAATCCCAGCACTTTGGGAGGCTAAGGCGGGCAGATCACCTGGGGTCAGGAGTTTGAGACCAGCCTGGCCAACATGGTGAAACACCATCTCTACTAAAAATATAAAAATTGAGGCCGGGCATGGTGTCTCACACCCATAATCCCAGCACTTTGGGAGGCCGAGGCGGGCAGATCACGAGGTCAGGGGATTGAGACCATCCTGGCCAATGTGGTGAAACCCTGTCTCTACTAAAAATACAAAAATTAGCCAGGGGCGTGGTGGTGCACACCTGTAGTCCCAGCTACTCAGGAGGCTGAGGCAGGAGAATCGCTTGAACCCAGGAGGCAGAGGTTATAGTGAGCCGAGATCACACCACTGCACTCCAGCCTGGGCGACAGAGCAAGACTCCATCTCAAAAACAAAATACAAAAATTAAGCCGGGCACGGTGGCTTATGCCTGTAATCCCAGCACTTTGGGAGGCCAAGGCCGGTGGATCACCTGAGGTCAGGAGTTTGAGACCAGCCTGGCCAACATGGTGAAACCCCGTCTCTACTCTACTAAAAATACAAAAATTAGCCAGGTGTGGTGGCGCATGCCTGTAATCCCAGCTGTCTGGGAGGCTGAGGCAGGAGAATTGGCTGGAACCCAGGAGGCAGAGGTTGCAGTGAACCAAGGTCAGGCCACCACACTCCAGCCTGGGTGACAGAGCGAGACTGTCTGAAAAAACAAAACAAAACAAAACAAAGATGTGAAGGGGCATGAGTAGGGGTTGACCAAAGAGAGGTGGCAGAGCCAAGCTTCTAAGCAGAGGAGGGACACAATCAGTTTTGGTTGGTCAAAAGGTCACACTGTCTACTGAGTGGGCGACAAGCTTGAGACAGAGACCTCTAAGCAGCCTGGATTTGAGAGAAAGTTGGGAGATGGTATAATCACTCCAGTGTCCACACTCCGGGTAGTCCTTCCGCCCCAGCTGAACCTGCAGTTCATTGGTCCGTCCACCTTCCTCCCACTGCCTCACATACCTTGCTTTCCCCAAGATCAGCTTTGCAAACGCTAGCAACCTGCTGCCCTTCTCTCTTGCTTACTCTGGATAAACTCACCTCTTTCCCTTCCTTGGTGCCTATCCCCGTGCAACTGAACATAATGGGGGGCGGGGAGATAAGAAAAAAACAGCTCTAAGCCAGGCAAAATGGCTCATGCCTGTAATCCCAACGGTTTGGGAGGCAAAGGCAGGAGGATTGCTCAAGGCCAGAAGTTCAAGAACAGCCTGGGCAACATAGCAAGGCCCTGTCTCTACAATTTTTTATTTTTATTTTTTAATTAGCTGGGTGTGGTGGCGCATTCCTGCAGTCCCTGCTGACCGGTCTCCCGATTGGTACTCCAGTGGACTCTTTATGGTGCCTGGCCTTTCTCTTACCTCCCGGATCCTTCACTCTCTCCCTCCCTCCTAGATCACTGTCCCCTGCCCTCTCTTTCCTCCTTTCCACCCCCTTTCAGCCAGTCACTTTGCTCACTGCAACATCTGCCTTCCCGGTTCAAGCGATTCTCCCGCCTCAGCCTCCCGAGTAGCTGGGATTACAGGTGCGTGCCACCACACCTGACTCATTTTTGTATTTTTAGTAGAGACAGGGTTTTACCATGTTGGCCAGGCTGATCTCGAACTTCTGACCTCAAGTGATCCACCTGCCTCGGCCTCCCAAAGTGCTGGGTTTACAGGCGTGAGCCACCGCGCCTGGCCCATATTTATTTATTTGTTTGTAGAGATGGGCTCTCGCTCTGTTGCTTAGGCTGGAGTGCAGTGGGGTGGTTATCACCCACTGCAGCCTCAAACTCCTGGGTTCAAGCGATCCTCCCGAGTAGCTCTGGATACTCCGTGTGCACTACCGTGCAAAGATAATTTTATTTTTTTCTGGACATGGGATCTTTCTGTGCTCCCCAGGCTGGTCTCCCTAATACTTAAGCACTGCCAGACACGCTGTGGTGCTCTGTCTTCTGTCTGTTCTGTGTCTCCCTCTGAGGGCAGGGACACTTGTGTGTTGTGTTGCCTGCTGTATCCCCACCACTAAGCACACAGTAGGCAGTCTAAAGTCCTTGCTGCTAGCTGATTATAAGTTCAAGACAAAAGAGGGAGGAGTCTAGGATTGCCACCTGGAGCTCCAAGTGCAGATAGGGAACAGCCAGGGGCTGCAGGTGATACCCAGGCCTGGGGCTCAAGCGAGGTGTGGGGTGGAGGGACCACATCGGGCTCATCTACATACGGGGCGGCAGCAGAGAAAAAGGCTCTCAGGCCGGGCACAGTGGCTCACACCTGTAATCCCAGCACTTTGGGAGGCCAAGGTGGGTGGATCACCTGAGGTCAGGAGTTCAAGACCAGCCTGACTAACATGGCGAAACCCCATCTCTACTAAAAATACAAAAATTAGTCGGGCATGGTGGCAGGCGCCTGTAGTTCCAGCTACTCAGGAAGCTGAGGCAGGAGAATTGCTTGAACCTGGGAGACAGGGGTTGCAGTGAGCTGAGATCTTGCCACTGCCCTCCAGCCTGGGTGACAGAGTGAGACTCCATCTCAAAAGAAAAGAAAAAGGCTCCCAGAACAAAGCGTAAGGTAAGGCAGCCATAGAGATGGGAGGAAACCTGGGGAGGAGGGATGTGGGAGGAGCCACAGGAAAGAAGGAAGCGGGAGGCTGGGGTCCTGGGCTGTTGGGTGGCCCTGTGAGAGCCCGTGTCTGGGCAGTGAGGGGGTAGGGCAGAAGCCAGGGAATGGGACAAGGGGCAGGAGAGGAGGACCTGGGCCTCAGTGGGATGAGAGAATCGCAGCTGGGAAGCAAAGGGGAGAGAAGCCAGCAGGGGACGACTGCCATTGAGATGTGAATATATCTCGTCTCACTTGCGCAGATGGGAAGGAGCTGGGACCGAGAAAGATGTGGTGGACGTCAGGAGGGCTAGGGAGGCTGGGTCTGAGGGAGGCGGTGGGGAACGAGTGCAGGATCGCCAGGCACAGGCTCCGGGGTGAGTGTCCAGGATTCCTCATGCTCCCATCGGCCCCCTCCTGAAGGTTGATTTGTCCGGAGTCAGGTTTGCTAGGTGAGTGGGGCACCGGGACCCAGATACTAGTCCAGCTGTCTTCTGAGCCCACGCCTAAGTACCTTACAGGTACTGTTAGCTCAGTGGATGCTCGGGTAACTTCCATGACCGGATGGTCAGTTCTGAGGCTGAGAGAGAGGCCACGCCGCCGGCCAGTGCAGAGCTGGGCCTTGGGTGGGTTGCAGACAAGAAAGGCTGGGAGTGCTGCCTGGAGCCCCAGGTGCAGGTGGAGGGGCTGAGGGTTACTCTGGGAGAAGGTGGATTCTGAACTCGGACTCTGGAGAGCGGGGCTGTAGAGAGCTGGGGACGGGCATCCCTGTGGGAGGGGAGGCAAGGATCCGGCACGGGATGTTGAGGTGCCTCAGGGTGATGGGGAGCCACCTTCTCCTGTCTGGCCCTTGGTGTCTGGAGTTGCCTTTGTGCAAATTAGAAAAGGAGGCCCCTTCAGGACAGTGCATCCGTCAAAGGCATCTGCCATCCACTGCCATCTGGATGTGAATGGGGGACACCCCAAGCCGTGCCTTCCTGAAGCCGTGTGCCTCGGTCCCCTGGGGATCCCCGGAATTGGGGTGGGGAGCCTCCAGCCTGGTTGAGCCCCGCCCACTCCCTGCAGAGATGGTGGCCACACAGCAGGAGATGATGGACGCGCAGCTGAGGCTCCAGCTGCGGGACTACTGCGCCCACCACCTCATCCGGCTGCTCAAGTGCAAGCGTGACAGCTTCCCCAACTTCCTGGCCTGCAAGCAGGAGCGGCACGACTGGGACTACTGCGAGCACCGCGAGTGAGCACCCCCACACCAGCCCCCAACACCCCGGCCCGCAACACCCCATACCCCCAGCCTTCCACACCCCTGGCCCACCCAAGCCCCCCACATGCCCAGCCCGCCCAAGCCCCCCTCCCACCCCCGCCAACACCCACAGCCTGCACCCCACCCAGGCCTGGCCCCTGGCAGGATGTGGCTCCAGAGGCCAGGGACCTGAACTGCCACTGAGGTTTCTAGCCGGGCCCCACCTTAGTCCCAGAGAGGGCTCTCTAGGGGCCTGTTTGATGGGGACAGGGCAGGTGGCTGAAGCCACCTAGGGGAGTGGCCAAGCCCAGGTTCCAGTGGGAAGCCCTGCCACCTGCGTGGGCAGACCCCAGACCCAAGCCACAGGCACTCGGACATGTCTTCTTCAGAGGCCTCCCCCACAGTGCTCTGGGACGGCCCCTCCGCTTCCCAGGGCTTGGGGGGCGTGTCCTGGCCAGGGACCCTGACAGCCCCTCTCGTGCTTTTCCCCCAGCTATGTGATGCGCATGAAGGAGTTTGAGCGGGAGCGGAGGCTGCTCCAGCGGAAGAAGCGGCGGGAGAAGAAGGCGGCAGAGTTGGCCAAAGGCCAGGGACCCGGGGAAGTGGACCCCAAGGTGGCCCTGTAGGGGGTGCACCCCCCACCCTATGGACCAGTCAAATAAAAGCCTTCAGGCCCCTCAACCAGAGTCCCCTCTTACTGCTCCGACGCGAGAGTGGGGAGAGAGTGAAGGGCAGTGTGGTGGTCCCCAACCCCGGAAAGAAACACACAGAGCCCGAGTCCGACTGGGGCAGGCGGGCTTTATTCCGGGTGCTGGAGAGCTGTGGGCCCCACTCCTCCCCCAGAATGCCACCGGGTTGAGGGGCTGAGCCTCAGCAGGGGTGAGCGCTCAGAGCAGGAAGGGGATGATGGGCATGCGCAGGGGCGGGTAGTCCCGGAACTCCTTCAGGTAGCTGCGGTGCTTGCCCTTGGCCCAGATGGTCATCTGGGTGAAGCCCACCAGGGAGAACAGGGCCACTGCAGGAAAGAACGGGCGTCAGGGAGGGGCTGCCGGCCCGGAGGGGCAGGGCCCCGCCGAGGGAGGGCGGCAGGCTCACCTGGGAGACACTGCGTCATGATGGCGAAACCGATCCAGGACCCCACCTGTGGGCAGGGGCGGAGAGTGAGCGTGGGCAGCCTCGCAACCCGTGTATGTGGCTGTCCTGGACTCAGCCAGCCACCTCCCGCCGCCCCTGCTTTCTGAGTCAGGGATGGGAACCCAATTCCAGCGGAGGCGGGGCTGTATACGGCGGAAGCCCAGCGGCACACGCCTCCCCGCCACCACAGCAGAGAGGCCGCGGTCTCCACCTCCCAATGCTCGCAGTGCAGGCGGCAAAAGCAGCTGCCCAGCCAGGCGCCCCATCCTAGGGGCTGGTCCCTCCACATGGGACCCCAAGTCCCAGGGCAGAGAGGGGTAAGGCAGCCCCTCACCTCGTAGGTGTAGTTGGGGCAGGACACCAGCAGGAAGAGCCACGTGAAGGGGTTCTTGGTGGGGTATGGGATCTTCCGCGTCTTGGACCCTGGCAGGCAGGACAGAAGGAGAAAGTCAGACCCCCTCACCCAGCCCAGCTGTCCCCCTGCCCCCAGCAGGCACTCACCAGCGGGCCGCAGGTCCCGCAGGGCCATGTGGATGGAGAAGTTGCCGAGCTGGCAGATCTGTCAGAGAAGCAGGATCAGCCTAGGGCCGCCCAGACTCCCCCGACCCCGTCCCCACACCCAGCCTCCTTACCACAAAGATGGCGAGCGCCAGTTTCACCTGCTGAGCTCCGTAGGCTGAAGAGGAAGCAGGGAGGGGAGCCCATGAGGGGAGGACCCGCTGGGTGGGGACCGTGGGGGAGGGAAGGATGGTCTGAGGCCACTTACTAGGGGGAGTGTAGAGAGGGTGATTGATGTAATAGGCCATCCACGCGGCGAAGCCCCAGTAGTAGGTGCAGTTCTGAAAGGGAGCAGGGCAGGGATGGGACTTGGGCCAGCACCGGACAAGGCAGATGCTGCCCATGTCTCATCCCGAGGGGCCTGGGAGCATGGTGGGAAAGGACAGGAGGGGCCTTGGGGCGGGGCTGGGGAGGATAGGCGGGGCCAAGGGGTGAGGCTAGGGCAGGGCTCTGTGAGGGCGTGGTGGACAGGAGGGGCCTAGGGGTGAAACTGGGGCGGGGCTCTGCAGGGGCGGGGCTGGGGGGATAGGCGGTGCCTAGGGGTGGGACTAGGGTGGATAGGCAGGCCTAGGGGCCCGACGGGGGCGGGGCTGGGGAGGACGGGCGGGGTCTAGAGGCTCTGCGAGGGCGGGGCTGGGGAGGTTAGGCGGGGCCTAGGGGTAGGGCTCTGCTGGGGCGTAGTGGCAGACAGGAAGGGCCTTGGGGTGGGGCTCGGTGGGGGCGGGGCGGGGTGGGGCAGAAAGGCGGGGCTTAGGGGTGAGGCGGGGACGGGCTCTCACCTTGAAGATGTTGCGCAAAGGCATAGTGCCATGGGAGAAGCGGTGCACGAAGAGCGTCTCCAGCAGGCGCTTGATGTAGTGGAATGAGTGACAGATGCAGGCGAGGCTGGTCGGGGGGAGCAGGCTCAGCTGGGGCTGGTCCGGCAGGTCTTCTGCCTTCCCCTACCCTCCTCCCACCTGCCCCACTTACTGCACCACTGTATGCCGACTGGACGTAAAGTCATATTTGTGGCCATAGATGAAGGGCACTCGGAAGTAGAAGAGCAGGTAGATGAAAAGGGGCCCCGCGTACTCTGTTAGGAAGACCTGAGAGTAGAGGGGGGCAAGATGAGTCACCCAACGTGGCTGACGGGAAAAGAGGCCGTGGGTAGGGTCAGGACTCACCGTCACCCAGCTGATCTGGGCCCCCAGGTCCCGGAAGTACAGTGTGGCCGTGGTGCCCACGGGCAGCTTCTGCAGAACATCCTCATCCTTCAGGGACTTGCCCTCTGCAGAGAGGCGGGCCAGGGCTCAGGGGCTACCCGGGCCTTCTCCCACTGCCACCCAGGAGCCCAGGGGGCGGGCCGAGTGGACAGCTGTACTCACTGGGGTCCAGGCGGAGGGACTGGCGGGCGGGGTACCACTGCGGATCTGCGGGGAGAACAGGGCAGTTACAGCCCACAGCCTGGCAGGGCTCAGCCGGTCCGCTGCCCAGCCACTGTGCCAGCTTCTCAGGGTTCCCAGGGTGCAAGGACCCCAGGACTCCACAGCTCCTCCCACCTGGGGGCAAACCCTCAGGCTTGTGCGGTTTCAGGACACAAGCCAGAAGAGCGCGGGCAGAAGCAGGATCTTGTCCTTCCCAGAGCCTAGCAAGGGCGTTCCTGCGGAGTGCCACGTGGAGGCGCCTGCCCCAGTCACGCCCCAGAAGCCTGGGCCACACTGGGGCATCTCTGCAGGCCCCTGGGAGAGGGGTGCAGGATGGGATCCCTCCCACCCTAAGGTCCCTGGTCAAAGGGGTTGCAGGGGCAGTGTGGCCGGGACTAGAACTCACGGGTCTTAGTGAAGAGGTTCTTGATCTCCGCAATGGTGGCGTGGGGCTCCACCTGGGGGAAGCACAGGCGCAGGGACGTCAGCTCTGCGGGGAGCCCAGACTCAGGATGGGGAGGTACTAAAGGGGATGGCAGGCTGGGGGTTGGGCTGTAGCTATGGGAAGGGGGAAGGGCTGGGGTCCAGGCCTCTGCCTGCAGTCAGGGAAGGACCACCGAGGGCCCTGCCAGTGCAGTGACAGCAGGGGTCTGGGGCTCCACTTTTACCCTCAGCCAGCAGGCCCCCAGCCCGGCTAGTGGCGGATTAAGCATGGGAAGGCAAGCCTGCTTCTCTGCCCCTCCTCTCCACTTCTCACCCATGACTCTCCCAGGAGCAAAGGCCCTCTGTCCTCCCCAGGGACAGCGCAAGCCCCTTCCCCCAGGCCCGGCCTCAGCAGGGGCAAGGCTCACTCCTCCACCGCCCTCCCAGGACCAAAATCCCCGCAGGGTCCACTGAGACTCCTGTGCCTCCATTTCCCCGCCACACCCAGGGGACATGGCTATCCACCCTACCCCAAGTGAGGGCATACCCCTCCATAGGGCAGGGGGTGGGGCACAAAGGGCCCCACTGGACAGCTCCTGGGCTATAAGGATTGGGGTCCCGGGCCCAGTGCCCTTGGCCCAGTGCAGCCCACGCCCCAGTCCTACCTTGTCCAAGAAACACAGCTTCTCCCTTGTCTTTGCGTCCAGAATCTCCACCTCGAAGAAGAGAACAGCCTTTTTAGGTTTCTTGGCCACCTTTGGGGGTGTGGGCCTGGGGAGCCCATTGAGGCCAGGGAGGAGGCCTGGGGTGGCCTCCCGGGCCAACAAGCTCAAGTTCAAGTCCATGCCGCCTGCCACCAGCCCTGCCACTCGGCTCTGCCCACGGTGGCCAGCAGCCCCAGCTGCCGGCCGTCAGCCCCCACCACCGACCTCCCCACGGGAAGCAGCCCTGGGCCGGGCAAGCGCGATCAAATTCTGCCGCGGTGCTGGAAAGGAGCCCGTGCCGGCCCTGGCACTGCCGACTTCTGTGCCAGATGTAACCCGAGTGGCAACCACAGCCACAGCCCAGCTAAATATAAAACCACCCCAGACTGCGCCCCCCAGGAGCCATGCCACAGACCTTCTCTGAGGGGGGCTTGGGAGTCTCCCCGGGGAGCCAGGCTGCCCTGAAAGCAGCTTTTGAGTGGTCACCTCAAAACCCTCAACGGCACCAGCACAGGGAAAGCCCCAGGGGCAGGCATGACAACACCTCCCAGCCCCCGCCCTGCACAGAGCCAGTGGCTAGAGGAGAGTGAGAGGCCAGCGGGCCGTGCAGGCCCCAGCCCGCAGCTCAGGCCTAGGGAGTTCACTGGGCTTGGAGAAATCCCAGCTATTTTGAGAATCCGCGAGACAGATCATCCATTTCCCCTTCTGAGCTGTAAGAGACACTTTGGATTATTTTCCTTGTGCATTTGTGTTACCAGGGAGGTGACAGATTCTGGAGTTATGGGTGCAGAGAGCCTCTCTCGAAGTGTGGAAAGGATCGGGGTGTGTGGAAGTTTTAGGCAACCGCCTCCAGCTTGGGCTGATGAGGTCTCCCCAACCTTCCTCCCCACCCACTTCTCACCTTATAGCCACCTGTGGGGCAGGCTTTCCACTGAGTCAGCCCAAACACTGCACCCTCACCCAGGACCTGCGCCCCACTAAAGCCCGGCGCTTCCTGCGTCCAAGAGCCAGGCCTGTGCCAGCCCCTGAGGTAGGAGTCTGGCCCAGCCCTCCCTGAGCCCCCAGGCCAGTGATGAACGATGGGGGTGCAGAGGGGCAGGGCTGGAGGGAGGCAGCCCCCGGGGATCTGACCCACCCTATGCAGGGGTCAGTGCAATCCTATTATACAGGGGTCGTGGCAAGCAGGCAGGCCTGATCCCAAGTCAGCCACCAGCCAGCAATTCTTGGGGGACCCTTCCTACCCACAGAAACCCAGCGGGGGCCCCCAGAGGCTGCCTGAGGAAAAGGAGCAGGACACAATGCTCAGAAACAAACCTCTGGGCTGGGGCCATCCCAGGGCAGGCCCACCCACCCAGAGCCCAGGGAGACCGGGCCACGGCAGCTAGGGCCCATCCTGAAGATGAGGGCACCACGGTCAAGCCAGAGAAGCTGGGTACCCCTCCTGCACATTCCCAACGACAGCGGGAGACAAGGGGGCTTGGTGGCCTGCACTCGGGAACCGTAACCAGCCCTGCCTTGTAGTCCCTGGGGGACCCCAGGCATGTCACCTCTCTCTAGGCCTCAGAAGGGGGCAGGTAGGAAGCAGACTACCTCCCAGGACTGTGACGGTCCCCTGAGACAATGCATGGGGTACACTAGGTGACCCCTGACAGATGGGAGGCACCCCATGGGATAGGAGGCATTGTTGCCCGTGGGTTTGGTTCAGATCCCCACTCCCCTGCTGGCCTGGCAGTCACCACAGCATGGGGGCCTATTTCCCCAGCCATGACACACTCGCCCCCACTTCCTGGACAGGAGGGTGGGAATGGGCCCAGCAGCCAGGAAATCCTGGCCCACGGGGCCTCCTGAGTCCCTGCTGTCAACTCCAGGCACTGCCTGGCCTTGTGGCCTCTAGGGGAAGGTTACTGAACTCCTCCAAGCCACAGCGATAACAAGGCCAAAGAGCTGGCACATGGAGGGGCCAGAAAAAAAGAGCTCGGTCACACCACGCAGGACGTTGGGCCCCACCAAGGGGATATGTAGGATAGGGACAGAGGACACGGGGCGGGATCCACGGGAAAGGGTTAGCACAGCAGGGCCCTGGGCGGGCACGGGGCCTGCCCTGTGGCTGCAGGTATATTAATAGTTCCTGGGCCCCAGGCAGGCAGTGCCCACATGCTTCCAAGCCCGTGTGGCCTGTAGGAAGGCAGCCTAGCGTCCACAGGGAGAGAAGGCCTCCGAGTTCCTGCTGAACCACTCAACAGCTTAAAATACAACCAGCCCCTCTCCCTGTCCAGCCAGCTGCTAGTGGGAGGGGTGAAATCGTACCCTGCTCCCCCCAACCTGGGCACCAAACCAGGGCCCAAGAGGGAGAGTACGGCCATCGGGGTCCCGGCTAGCTGCTGGGAGAGGACGCCGGGCTGCGGCAGGAGGGGGTAGCGAGAGAGGGGCCACGCTCACAGCTGCAGCAGTGGTGCCCAGGCCAGCCTGAGGCCCAAGGAGAGGAGACGCCCAAACCTGCAAGGAGGTAAGCCCGGGCTGCAAGGCAGCACCTAGGGGCCCCTACAGACAAGAAATGCCCAAGGCTAGGGCCACCTGGGCAGGATGAGTCCTCAGTGGGACGGCCGTCCGTCTCCCATTTCCTGCCCCAAATCCCCAGCTCGTCGGCCATCTCCTCCTAGAGAGAGGACTGAAAGGCTCTGGGGGGAGCAGGAGACCTCTCCATACTATTCTTGCAATTCCCTGTGTCTCTATAATTTTTTTTTTTTTTTGAGACAGAGTCTCACTCTGTCGCCCAGGTTGGAGTGCAGCAGTGCGATCTTGACTCACTGCAACCTCCGCCCCCCAGGTTCAAACGATTCTCCTGCCTCAGCCTCCAGAGTAGCTGGGATTACAGGCACACACCACCACATCCAGCTAATTTTTTGTATTTTAGGAGAGATGGGGTTTCACCATGTTGCCCAGGCTGGTCTCGAACTCCTGAGCTCAGGCAATCCACCACCTCGGCCTCCCAAAGTGCTAGGATTATAGGCGTGAGCCACCTGGCCCGGCCTATAATTATTTCTAAGTAAGAAAGTTAAATAAGATATTCCAGGTGGGGTAAAAGAAATAAGTTACGCTAGGAAACAAGCCAGACACAAAGGTCCCATATCTATGCAAAATACCCAGAGCAGACAGACAGAAAAGCAAATTGGAGGGGCCAGGGGCTGGGCGGGGGGAATGGGGAGTGGCTGCTGCTGGGTACCCGGTCTCCTTTCAGAGTGAGGAAAATGTTCTGGGACGAGACAGAGGTGGAGGCTGCACAATGATGCACGTGCACTCAATGCCACTGTTCACTTTTAAATGGTTAGTTTCATGTTACATGAATTTCACCTCAATAAATTATTGTTTAAAGGGGTGAGGGGTAACAAACAGGCCCCACATACCCATCAAAATAAAAACAGTCGGGTGGGAGGAGCAGGAGAGGTTCCCCACCCCTCAGAGGGAGGGCCTAATGTGAGACCTCATCGAGGGCTCCGCGCCCCACACCCCACTGCCACCCCAATCTCTGCTCTGTGCCTGCCACACACACACACGCCTGCCCAGGCCTGAGGCCAACAGGGGGCAGGGGCTCCCAGGGGAAGCCCAGGGCTGCAGAGGGTACAGGCAGCTGCTGAACAGAGCCCCAGGCAGGGGATCCTGAGCACAGACGGGGAGGTGGCAGGCTCTGGCCCCATCTCCAGGAGAAGCGGTGAGGCAGGGAGGACAGACAGGACCTTCTGAGGAAGCCCACGGAGCCACTCGGAGGGGCTGGGAGGGGCTGAGATGCTCTGGGTGGATGAAGGGATACCTGTGGGAGGGGGGCTACTGGTGTCAGCGAGGTCCCAGCACTGGCCACGGGCAAGGGGTGAGACCACATAGCCTCAGGCACGACGGGCAGGGAGAGGGCAGGAACGGGCAGACAGGCAGGCACTCTGGCCTGGGGCACAGGCTGGTGGCTCTGCCGGCCTGTGGCTCTGTGATGACAGTTCCACTAGCCTGAGAGGAATTCTCACCAGGAGGCCCAAGATTCCCGGGGCCCAGCCAACAGCAACTCGTCGCAGCACGAGGTCAGGGCAGAGCCAAGAGCCAGGACACACGGTGCGGCGTGAAGCGCACCCTGCAAGAGGGAGCAGGGGCGAGGTTTGTGCCTCCCAAGCCCAGAGGGGAGTGCCGCAAGCAACAGAGCCCGTCTTCACTGTCTTTGTGGTCATGAAGATATTACTAATGGGGGCAGGAGGAGTGAAAAGGGGGGCTCTCGTTGTCTAAGCACTTGTCACAGCTCCTGGGAACCCGCCCGCCTGGTGGGTGAACAACCCAGAGAAGCAGACCTGCCCATTTCCTGGCTGTGTGGCCCTGGGCAAGTTACCCAACCTCTCTGAACTTCCATCTACTCATGGCAAAGTGGGCTGTCCCCAGCTGCCATCTGACAGGGTTACCGTAATCATCCCCAGTTTAGGATAAATCTTATTAAGGATAAATATAGGCCGGGCGTGGTGGCTCACGCCTGTAATGCCAGCACTTTGGGAGGCCGAGGCGGGCGAATCACGAGGTCAGGAGATCGAGACCATCCTGGCTAACACGGTGAAACCCCATCTCTACTAAAAATACAAAAAATTAGCCGGGTGCGGTGGTGGGTGCCTGTAGTCCCAGCTACTCGGGAGGCTGAGGCAGGAGAATGGCGCGAACCCGGGAGGCAGAGCTTGCAGTGAACCGAGATCGCGCCACTGCACTCCAGCCTGGGCGACAGAGCAAGACTCCATCTCAAAAAAAAAGAATAAATATGATGACCGGGCACGGTGGCTCATGCCTGTAATCCTAGCACTTTGGGAGGCCAAGGTGGGCGGGTTACCTGAGGTCAGGAGTTCAAGACCAGCCTGGACAACATGGCGAAACCCCGTCTCTACCAAAGATACAAAAATTAGCCAGGCGTGGTGGTGCATGCCTGTAATCCCAGCTACTCAGGAGGCTGTGGCAGGAGAATTGCTTGAACCCAGGAGGAGGAGGTTGCAGTGAGCTGATATCGCACCACTGCACTCCAGCCTGGGAGACAGAGCAAGACTCCATCTCAAAATTTAAAAAAAGAATAAATATGATTAGGCGGGGCACTATGGCTCACACCTGTAATCCCAGCACTTTGGGAGGCCGAAGCAGGCAGATCACCTGAGGCCAGGAGTTCGAGACCAGCCTGCCCAACATGGTGAAACCCCGTCTCTAATAAAAATACAAAAATTAGCCAGGCATGGTGGTGTGTGCCTGTAATCCCAGCTACTCAGGAGGTTGAGTCAGGAGAATTGCTTGAACTCAGGACGGTGGAGGTTGCAGTGAGCTGAGTTTATGCCATTGCACTCCAGCCTGGGCGACACAGCAAGACCCTGTCTCAAAATAAATAAATAAATAAATAAATAAATAAATAAATAAATAAGATTAGACCAACACTAGCAGAACAGCCATGCCAGGTGCACAAGGGGGCCAAACCCTGGCAGGATCCACAGGCCCCTTCTCCTGGGACGCTGACCATGCTCTTGAAGGGGCCCATCCACAGGAAGCCAGGGCCAGAGAGCTGGTGCACTGATGCCTCGCCCAGCTGGTCACAGTGAACCCAAACCCTAACAATAGCGAGATACTTTCGGTGCAGAGGCCGAGCTGACCCGTCACCACCGGGATGACTGGCTGCAAGCGGCGGAGGCTGCGACGCTCCCCACTGCCCCCTTGTGGCCGCACAGACTTACTCCCGCCTGCTGGAAGGGCACCCGCAGCAGCCGGCTCAGGAACAGTCCCAAAGCCGATGTCAGGGACGGAGACAGCTCTGGTGCAGAATGGGACCTTAACCCTGGCCCTGCCACCAGCCAAGAGAGCTCAGGGAGCCTGCATTCATTTATCCATTCATTCATTCCTGACTCCCTCCTTCCCATACCCCAGGCACTGTTCCAGTTCCTGGGATATGGCAGTGAAAAAAACCAAGCCAGCCTCTGGGGTTCATGGGACCTGAATTCTAGCCTGTGCGTGCTGGGCAAGCAGGGGGTGGGGGCAGATAGCCATAGCATGTTTTGTCACCAAGAGTTGTGAACAAAACTAGAAGGTTGTGGGGGAGGTCACAATGTGGTTTTTTTTGTTTTTGTTTTTTTTTTGAGAGAGTCTCGCTGTCGCCCAGGCTGGAATGCAGTGGCGCGATCTCGGCTCACTGCAACCTCCAAGAGGATGGCCATTTGAGAGTGGTCAGAGAAGCCCTTTCTGAGAAAGTGGCGTGTGAACAAAGGCCAGTAGACAGTGGGGGAACCAGTGCAGTCCAGGCAGAGGGAACAGTAAGTGCCAAGGCCCTGAGGCTGGACCATACCTAGCGTGGCTGAGCAGGAAGGAGTCCTGTGTGGCCTGAGCAGAGTGAGTCAGGGAGAGAGTGGGAGGAGGTGAGGGCAGAAAGGTGATGTGGCGGTCTGTGCCACGGCTTTGTGGGCCACGGGGAGGACGTTAGCTTTTACTCTGAGTGAAGTGGCAGCCATAGAGGGTTCTTGAGCAGAGGAGGGATGAGACTTGGCTCAGGTTCAAGACTTGGCTTCCCCAGCTTTACCTGCTTGCCACTGCTGGGTGGAACAGACTGGAGGAGTGAGGGCAGAAGCTGGGAGCAAAGAGGGAGCTATAGAGAGGTGAAAAGTGGGCTGGGCGCAGTGGCTCACGCCTGGAATCCCAGCACTTTAGGAGGCTGAGACAGGATGATCACTTAAGCCCAGGAGTTCAAGACCAGCTTGGGCAAAATAGCAAGGCTCTGCCTCCACAAAAAGTATTTATAAAAATTAGCTGTGTCCACGCATGGTGACTCACACCTGTAATCCAAGCACTTTGGGAGGCTGAGGTGGGCAGATCACCTGAGGTCAGGAGTTCGAGACCAGCCTGGCCAACATGGTAAAACCCCGTGTAAAAACACAAAAATTAGCCAAGTGTGGTGGCACACACCTGTAATCCCAGCCACTTGGGAGGCTGAGGCACAAGAATCACTTAAACCCAGGAGATGGAGGTTGTGGTGAGCCAAGATTGCACCACTGCACTCCAGCCTGGGCAATAGAGTGAGGCTCTGTCTAAAAAAAAAAAAAAAAAAAAAAAAAAGAATAAATAAAAATACAAAAAAATTTGCTGGGCATGGCAGTGGGCACCTGTAATCCCAGCTACTCAGGAGGCTGAGGCAGGAGAATCGCTTGAACCCAGGAGGCAGAGGTTGCAGTGAGCCGAGATCACACCACTGCACTCCAGCCTGGGCCACAGAGCAAGACTCCATCTCAAAAAACAAAAATAAAAAATTAGCTGGGTGTGGTGACTCGCACCTATGGTCCTACCTACTCCTCAGGGGCTGTGACAGAAGGATCGCTTAAGCCTAGGAGTTCCAGGCTGCAGTGAGCCATGATTGATTACACTACGGCACCCCTGCCTGGGGGACAAAGCAAGACCCTGTCTCAAAAAAAAAAAAACAAGGCCAGGCGCAGTGGCTCACGCCTGTAATCCCAGCACTCTGGGAGGCGGACGTGGGCAGATCACAAGGTCAAGAGATCAAGACCAGCCAGGCTAACATGGTGAAACCCCATCTCTACTAAAAATACAAAAATTAGCTGGGCATGGTGGCACACGCCTGTAGTCCCAGCTACTCAGGAGGCTGAGGCAAGAGAATCGATTGAACCCAGGAGGCGGAGGTTGCAGTGAGCAGAGGTCAGGCCACTGCACTCCAACCTGGTGACAGAGTGAAACTCCATCTCAAAAAAAAAAAGCACAAGGCAGAGACAAGCAGTGAAATTCTGGACAGATGTGGAGGTGAAGAGTGGGTGTGGCCTGAGAGTGGAGTGGGTGTGGGGATGAGAGGTACAGGGAAGGAGGGAGGAGCAGGCACCACCTGAGCCAAGGCTGGAAGAGCTGAGCCTGCAATTCCTGCTCATCCCCTGGAGGCGCAGCCTGAAGGCCTGGCACACACAGCCATGCACAGAAGGCCTCTGGAGCTTCGGCTTCCCCAGCTTCACAAACAAGCCAAGACTGGTGCTTCCCAGTCCTCTCCCGGCTGTAAACAAGCAGGTTCAATGGCCTTGCTGGCGGCAGAGTCCACACCACAGGACCCAGCAAGGCACCTGCCTGCCCTCTCAGCCCCAGAAGAGGGGCAGACCCGGGCCAGAGCGGGAAGCTTGGATTCTGGGCCGGCCTCATCTCCCATGGCTTATGAACCTGAAACTTCTGTGTGTCCTAGGACGTGACCTGCCTAATGGTGATGAGTGAGAACAGCGACCAACAGTTATTTCACGTTCCCTGCCCGGGGCTGGAACTGCCACAGCTTCCCAGACATCTCTCCTGCAGCAGCCGGAGGGAGCAGGAGCCATTAGCTCCGTTTCACAGATGAAGAGGCCAAGATCTAAGCAGTAAATCCCAGAGCCCAGAAGACCACGCGTGCATGTTGAAAGCCAGGCCATACCCCACCACACATGGGCCTCCAGGGCCCCCTTGCAGAGCTGATGTGGTGCCGCACAGCCCACCTGTTGAGCTCAAAGCTCCGGCAGGCTCTCTCGGACCCCGCAGGGGACTGCACTTCCTGGTAGGAAGCATCTCCCGAGTCTGGGGCACAAGAGGCCTGGCTGGGGGTGCGAGCCCTGGTCAGTGCAACCAGGGCCCCAGGTAAAGACACAAAGGGCCTGACAGGTCCTGCAGCTGGCCAGCCAGGCACTCACCATCCCCGCGCCGGGCACAAGCGCTGCTGCACTCATCGCCTGAGCTCCCTGTCCAGCCAATGCCCAGCATAGAGGTCGGAGGCCTGGCCCGATCATGCCCAGAGCCACGCCGGCCACCTCGCCCCCATCACCTCGCCCCCATCACAAATGCAGAGACTCCGGCACATTCATCTGGACTCCGGCTCAGCGGCTCAGCCCTCTCGGCTCCCTTTCCTTCCCACTTCCAGAAATATCAAGTCAACCTGCTAATGCCAGGATGGCTGAGAAGACCTAGGGCTCAGCTGCCAGGAACCCTGCACAGGCCACACCTGCTCGGCCAGAAATACCACCTTCCCCAGTGGCCTCAGTGTATGACCTCGTTTCTCAGTGGCACCCGGGGGCGGCTGCACCAGCCTCCCCGAGGCGCCACAGTGGAAGCAGAATGTCACCCAGGGTGGGGAGGAAGGGCTGAGAGTGGCTGACCTCCCACTCCCAGGTCCCTGGACCGCTCTGCTCCTGTCTTCTACCTGTGCTGGCAAGACGAGAGGTGCCAGGGTCTCAATGCCAATGTCTCTGGGCTCTCGGATCCGAGGCCAGGGCCAGGTGCAGAGGCAGCGGTAGCCCGGGACCCGGAGAAGCTGGAGCTGCTGTTCCCATCCAGCAGAGCCCCGAGCGAGCAGGTAGCAATCCAGCCTTGGAAGATGGTCATCGGACGCACGAGCTCCTGGCTTGGGCGAGCAGCCACAGCCATTCATAGAGGATGAATATGGCACAAGACAAACACAGTGGGAAGTTGGAGAACCTGGGTCTCAGCCCTGGGCCTGCCCCCCATTCTCAGTGGTACCCACAGCCTACACCCATCCCTGCGGTTGTGCCCTCAGGGCCTCCGAGGAGCACTGGCCCACCCAGAGCGACGCTGATCTCGCCCGTTTCATTCAGACGTGACATCTATCAGATGCTCACCCTGTACCTAGGACTATGCTGAGACTGCCACCCAGGCCTCACCCAGGCCCTATAAGAAAAAGACTGGGCCGGGCGCAGTGGCTCACACCTGTAATCCCAGCACTTTGGGAGGCCGAGGCGGGTGGATCACGAGGTCAGGAGATCAAGACCATCCTGGCTAACACAGTGAAACCCCGTCTCTACTAAAAGTACAAAAAAAGTTAGCCGGGCATGGTGGCGGGTGCCTGTAGTCCCAGCTACTCGGGAGGCTGAGGCAGGAGAATGGCGTGAACCCGGGAGGCGGAGCTTGCAGTGAGCCAGAGATTGCGCCACTGCACTCCAGCCTGGGCGACAGAACGAGACTCCTCTCAAAAAAAAAGAAAAGAAAAGAAAAGAAAAAGACTGTGATGCCTGTTACGTGGCTTGGAAAACTGGGGCTTGGGAACGAGGAAGCCCTCGCCCAAGGTAAGTAGCCTGGAAGTGCCCATGTGAGTGTCCACCCAGCTTGCTCAGGCCCAAAGCTCCTACAATAAAATAATGCCTCCATCCTAGAGAGCAGGGCTATGTGCAACAGAGAAAGGAAAAGGCAGGCCGGGCACGGTGGCTCACGCCTATAATCCCAGCAGTTTGGGAGGCCAGACTGGGAGGATTGCTTGAGCCCGGGAGGTCAAGGCTGCAGTGACCTATCATTGCACCACTGCACTCCAGCCTGGGGGACAGAAGACACGCTATCTCAAAAAAAAAAAAAAAGAAAAAAGAAAGAAAGAAAGAAAGAAAAGAAAAAGGCCAGGCGCGGTGGCTCATGCCTGTAATCTCAGCACTTTGGGAGGCCAAGGTAGATGGACTGCTTGAGCCCAGGAGGTCAAGGCTGAGTTATGACTGCACCACTGACTGCACTCCAGCCTGGGCGACAGAGCGAGACTCCATCTCAAAAAAAAAAAAAGAGAGAAAGAGAGAGAGAGAGAGAGAGAGAGAGGGAGGGAGGGAGAGAGAGAGGGAGGGAGGGAGGGGGAGAGAGAGAGAGAGAAAGGAAAGAAAAAGAGGAAGAAAGGAAGAAATAAAGAAATAAGGGTAAAACCAAACAAAAGAAAAACAAAAACAAAAAAACAAAAAACCCACCACCCTGGATGCGATCCTCCAGCAGACACCAAGAACTGAGCCTCTCTGCCTGGCCTGAGGACCCAGCCCGCTGGCCTCTGCCCCACAGCCTCACACAGCCAGGCTGTACCAGAGCAAAAGGTCTATCAGCAACTCATACCACAGCGGGGCCCAGGCAGGGTTTACAGCTGTGGCAATGCCTCCTGCATGTTTTCCTGTCACTAGCTAAGACAGCCAATGGGCCTAGAAAAGCAGGGGCGCGTCCTCAATGCTGACTGAGAGGCACTGCCACAGGGGGCGGTGTCAGACCTGCCTTGCCTGTCTGCTTCTCCAACTAGTAAATGGGTGTGCCTGCAAGACCATCTAACACAGGGACTGCTTAGGAATTAGGGAATTCCTGCAGCCTGTGCAACATGTCAAAACTCCTTCTCTACACAAAATATAATAATTGGCCAGGTGCAGTGGCTCACGCCTGTAATCCCAGTACTCTGGGAGGCCGAGGTGGGTGGATCACCTGAGGTCAGGAGTTCGAGAGTAGCCTGGCCAACATGATGAAACCCTATCTCTACTAAAAATACAAAAAAATTAGCTGGGTGTGGTGGTGGGTGCCTGTAATCCCAGCTACTCAGGAGCCTGAGGCAGGAGAATCGTTATGAACCTGGGAGGTGGAGGTTGCAGTGAGCCGAGATCGCACCACTGCACTCCAGCCTGGGTGACAAAGCAAGACTCCATATCAAAAAAAGAAAAAAAAATAGTGTCTTTGCAGATATAATTAAGGATCTTAAGATGACATTATCCTGAATTTAAGGTGGACTTAATAAGAGAAAGGAGTGTCCTCATAAGTAAAAGGAGCGGCCGGGTGTGGTAGTTCATGCCTGTAATCCCAGTACTCTGGGAGGCCAAGGTGGGCAGATCATCTGAGGTCAGGAGTTCGACACCAGCCTGGCTAACATGGTGAAACCCTGTCTCTACAAAAATTAGCTGGGCATAGTGGTACGGGCCTGTAGTCCCAGCTACGGGGGAGGCTGAGACAGGAGAATCGCATGAACCCAGGAGGTGAAGGTTGCAGTGAGCTGAGATCACGCCACTATACTGCTGCATGTGCAACAGAGCAAGACTCCATCTAAAAAACAAACAAACCAAAAAACTGACACTCCTGGCCGCTGGGGCCAGCCCTCAAGGAGCTCCAGTGTAAAGGCCAAACACTCAACTCCCCAGGTCCCAGACCCCCAGGGGATGGTCCAGAACTGCATCCCTGCACCCACAGCTGGGTGGCAGTTGGGGACGACACCTGGGTCTCTCTCCAACTCAGGGCAGGAAGGCGCTGTCGGACCAGGAAGCTGGAAGGGGGCCAGAGGCTGAGCCCTGCAGATACAAACTGACTGGAGGAGCAGGAGGAGCTCATCCGGGCCAACCCCCGACTGCCCGAGTCCAGCAGACAGGTTAGTCCACCCCCATGAGCTCAGCTTGCCAAAGAGCCTAGACTGGGATCTACGTGGCAGGCTTTATACACGCGGCGGCAGCTAACACCACCCGCCCACTCACAACCAGCCAGGCACGGAGGCTCATCCTCAACACGAATCATCTCCTTTACAATGTATTCATCCTCTTTTGCAGGTAAGGAAACTGAGGCTCGTTTGTTCACTGACACATGCCAGGCCCTGTTAAGGACTGTGGGGTTCAGCTATAGAAGGAGAGACAAAAATCCCTGCTCGCATGGAACTCACATCTTGGCAAAGAAAGAGTGACAATGAAATAAATCGCTATATGTAATATGTTCAAAGGTGACGTGCGACATGGAAAGAAGAAAGAAAGGAAAGGGGACAGGGAGTGGCAGTTGAAGGGGGCAGGTGTATAGTTTATTTTTTTTATTTTTTTTTTTGAGACAGAGTCTCACTGTGTTGCCCAGGCTGGAGCGCAGTGGCACAATCTCGGCTCACTGCAACCTCCGCATGCCGAGTTCCAGTGATTCTCCTGCCTCAGCCTCCTGAGTAGCTGGGATTACGGGTGCATGCCACCATGCCCAGCTAATTTTTGTATTTTTAGTAGAGATGGGGTTTCACCATGTTGGTCAGGCTCGTCTCAAACTCCTGACCTCGTGATCTGCCCGCCTAAGCCTCCCTAAGTGCTGGGATTACAGGCGTGAGCCACTGCGCCTGGCCTACAGTATTTTATAAAGAGGCCAAAAGCTGAGTGCAGGTCAGGTACGCTGGCTCATGCCTGTAATCCCAGCACTTTGGGAGGCCAGGGCAGGAGGATCACTTGAGCCCAAGAGTTTGAGGCCAGGCTGGGCAACATAGTAAGACCCTTATCTCTACAAAAACTTTTAAAAACTTAGCCGGGTTAGGGGGCCAAGGAGGGCAGATCACAAGGTCTTCAAGACTAGGAGTTCAAGACTAGCCTGGCCAATATGGTGAAACCCCATCTCTATGACAAATACAAAAGTTAGCTGGGCATGGTGGCGCATGCCTGTAGTCCCAGCTCCTTGGGAGGCTGAGGCAGGAGAACTGCTTGAACCCGGGAGGCAGAGGTTGCAGTGAGCTGAGATCGCACCACTGCACCCCAGCCTGGCGACAGAGTGAGACTCCATCTCAAAAAAAAAAAAAAAAAAAAGTCCAATTAAAGGTTGTGGAAATAATTCTGTGAAGGTAATGATGGCTTAGACAAATGGGTCAGCAAACTACAGCCGATAGGGCAACTCTGGTCTACTGCCGGCTTTTGAACCGACTAAAAATGGCTTTAACTTTTGTTTTATCTTTTAAAAAATACATGACGTTTTTACCTTTTTAAGCGGATGGAAAAAAAAAATCAAAGAAACCTATTTCATGATATGTGAAAATTAAATTCAAATTTTGGTGTCCATAAATAGAGTTGTATTGAACACGCCATGCTCACTGGATGTCATCTGTGGCTGCCACAGTGGTATCACTGCTGCTGAGATGTCTGAGATGGTTGGATGCGGTGGCTCCCGCCTGTAATCACAGCACTTTGGGAGGCCAAAGTGAGCAGATCACTTGAAATCAGGAGTTTGAGACCAGCCTGGCCAACATGGTGAACCCGTCTCTACCAAAATACAAAAATTAGCCAGACGTGGTGATGCGTGCCTGTAATCCCAGCTACTTGGGAGGCTGAGACAGGAGAATTGCTTGAACCTGGGAAGCGGAGGTTGCAGTGAGTCGAGATCGCACCACCGCACTCCAGCCTGGGCGACAGTGCAAAACTCCGTCTCTAAAAGAAAAAAAAGAGACGACAGAGATGAGCAGTGCTGCAGAGACCCTTAGGCAAAGCCTAAGATCTTTGCTAGCTGGATTAAGTTTGCCAACCCCTGGCTTAGGCCTGGTAACGGCAGTGAGGCTGATGAGAAGTGGTTAAATTCTAGAATGCTGAGCTAAGGGATGTGCTGACATTTGGACATGAGGCATGAGAGAAAGAGCAGAGTCAAACAGCTTAGGGCCTGGGTAACAAACAGGCCGGAACTGCCACCAAGGGGGTGGGGAAATGCAGGTTCAAGAGGAAAAATCAGAAGCTCCATTTTGGACATGTAAAGTTTGAAATGCCCATTAGGCCCAGGCACAGTGGCTCACACCTGTAATCCCAGCACTTTGGGAGGCCGAGGGGGCGGATCATGAAGTCAGGAGATCGACACGATCCTGGCTAACACGGTGAAACCCCATCTCTACAAAAAATACAAAAAATTAGCTGGGCATGGTGGTGGGCGCCTGTAGTCCCAGCTACTTGGGAGGCTGAGGCAGAAGAATCGCTTGACCCAGGAGGCAGAGGTGGCAGTGAACTGAGATCACACCACTGCACTCCAGCCTGGGTGACAGAGCGAGACTCCGTCTCAAAAAAAAAAAAAAAAAAGAAATGCCCATTAAACACACACATGGTTGGGAGGCCAAGGCAGGAGGATCCCTCGAGGCCCAGAGTCCAAGACCCAAGACCCAAGACCAACCTGGGCAACATCGCAAGACCCCATTTCTACCAAAAAAAAACAAAAGTAGCCGGCTGTAGGTGGTATGCACCTGTAGTCCTAGCATAATCAGGAAGCTAAGGCAAGAGTATCACTTAAGCCCAGGAGGCCCAAGCTGCAGTGAACTATAATAGCACCATTGCACTCCAACCTGGGTGACAGAATGAGACCCTGACTCAAAAAAAAAAAAAAATATTAGGTACAGTGGCTCACACCTGTAATCCCAGAACTTTGGGAGGCCAAGGCAGGTGGATTACCTGAGGTCAGGAGTTTGAGACCATCCTAGCTAACATGGTGAAAACTCATCTCGACTGAAAATACAAAAAATTAGCCAGGTGTGGTGGCACATGCCTGTAGTCCCAGCTACTCTGGAGACTGAGGCACGAGAATCACTTGAACTTGGGAGGCAGAGGTTGCAGTGAGCAGAGTTCATGCCACTGCACTCCAGCCTGGGCAACAGACTGAGACTCTGTCTCAAAAAACATAAAATAAAATAAAATAAAATAAAATAGGCCAGGTACGGTGGCTCACGCCTGTAACTAATATTTTTACCCAAGCTTTAAGAGTTGCAAAAGATGTCATTTCTGGCCTACTGTCGGTATTAAAAATTTTACATAAACATTTACAGGACTCTGTTAAATCTATCTAGAGTCTAAATGCTTCAGTAATTTGAAACCTACCATTATCCCTTTAAAAAAAAATAAGAGGCTATGAATAAGCTCTTTAACATTGGCTCTCTTTTTGCTTTGACGTTGGTTTCTGTTTCCCTCCTTCATAGGATCTTATTATAATACATGTTTATGACTGAAGGTTAGCACTGATTACCCTATCATGTTGATCAAATTGAAATTTAATTTTTAGGCTGGGTGCAGTGGCTCATGCCTGTAATCCCAGCACTTTGGGAGGCCAAGGCGGGCAGATCAGATCACTTGAGGTCAGGAGTTTGAGACCAGCCTGGCCAACATAGTGAAACCCTGTTTCTACTAAAAATACTAAAGTTAGCTGGGCGTAGTGGTGTGCACCTGTAGTCCCAGCTACCTGGGAGGCTAAGGTGGGAGAATGGCTTGAACCCGCCCTCAGAGGTGGAGGTTGCAGCAAGCCAAGATCGCGACACGGCACTCCAGCCAGGGCAACAGAGCAAGACTCCGTCTTAAAAAAAGAAAAGAAAAAATAATGTTTAAGAAATATTTCAGTGACCAAAGGTTCTAAGCATAGAAAGAAAAATCCAGGCTAGACACGGTAGTGCATGCAGCCAGGCCAAGATAGTGAGAGCCCTGTTTCTGTAATAAATAAATAAAAAGAAAATTTCTGCAGGAGGTTGCTCACTACAACCTCTGCCTCCCGGGTTCAAGCAATTCTCCTGCCTCAGCCTCGCAAGTAGCCAGGATTACAGACACGTGCCACTGCACCTGGTTAATTTTTGTATTTTTAGTAGAAGAGGGGTTTCAGCATGTTGACCAGGCTGGTCTTGAACTCCTGACCTCAAGTGATCCGCCCACCTCAGCCTTCCAAAGTGCTGAAATTACAGGTGTGAGCCACTACACCTGGCCTAGGGTGGAGTTTTCTCAGAGCAAAAAAAAAAATCCCAAATCTAGAATTCCTTCTGAGTTAGATGCCCAAAAACTTTCAGTGTGATCTATGATCGGAAATGTCTGTAATGATTTCCCAGCTGAGTAGCCCCCAGCGCCGCCCCCATGATTTTTCTGAAAGCAGATTTGTGACCACCCCAGGTGCAGAAGGACTTGGTCCCCAGGGACGAGCTAGCATGGATCACTTCCTCACCTTCCAGGCAGGTCCCCCAAGAGTCAGTGGCATGGCGGGCGTGACCCAGCCAGGAAGGGAGATCAGGGTCCCAACTCCTAGTCCAGCCATGTCCTGGGGGCTCTATGTGGCCCAGAGGAGCTCTGATCAGGCCTTGGATGGAATACTGAGCCACTCAGCTCTGCCTGAGGGAGGCTGCGGTTACCTGCTGCGTTGTGACCCATTTCCGATGCTCCTCGGGGACAGCAGGAAGAAGCCAGGGAACCCACACAGCCCTTTCCCAAGCCGCAGCCCTTTCCCAAGCACAGCAGGGATGTACTTGTCACACGGAGACCTACAAAGGGCTCAACCGTGTGCAGGGGTGTCTGTCACTCCCAAAAACCTTTTCTGCTAACTGTGCAGTTTGCACTCGCCATGCACGCAACCAACACGGACTGTGCCCCTTGCTGCGTCGGGCCTGCCTGTGCCAGCTGCTGGGCTCAGTGATGAATGGCAGTCAGGCGGGTGTAACAAGAGCGTGCGGGCAGCGATCCAAGGGCCGGGATATGACAGTGCGCACGACTGAGAGAGGCTATCCCCCCCACCCCCTAGGCTTGCTGGTGCTCAAGGGGACATGAACAAAGCACCTATTACATAATACGGGGTCACGATGTACCAGGAGCTGTGGAGAGGAGACAGCGGTGCAGAGGGCCCAGAGGGCCACAGTGGGTGTGCCCGGGAGGACCCTGCTGAGGAAATGGGATTTCAGCTGAGGGCCAGCATGAGGCTCCCTGGCGGGGAATGCAAAGGCCCTGGGGTAGCACAGAGCTTTGGGGAAGCGGGTGACACCCGGAGGCTGGAACAGAGTAAATTTTAGGGGGAGCAGCTAAGCAGCAGGCTGGAGCAGAGCCAAGACAAGTGCTTTAGGTTTTACCCTTGAGCAATGAGGAATCGCTGGAATGCCACAGGCTGCTTTGGTTTCTTGAAGAATCATCTCTCTGCTGGGGACAGAGGAACAGTAAGGGAGCAAATGTGGCTTCAGAGACAGTGGTGAGAGGCTTAGAAACAACTCAGGGCAGAGACTCAGGTGCTTGGACCAGGGAGGGAACAGAGAAGGGAAGGAGTGAAAAGGACACCGCAGTTCCTAGATTCTGATGTGTCAATGGTTCAAAACAAGCCACGTGCTGGGCATGGTGGCTCTTGTCTGTAATCCCAGCACTTTGGGAAACAGAGGCAGGAGGATCACTGGAGCCCATGAGTTCAAGACCAGCTTAGGCAACACAGCAAGACCCCATCTCTACAGAAAATTTTCAAATTAGCCGGGCGTGATGGCATGCACCTGTGGTCTCAGCTACTTGGGAGGCCGGGGCACAAGAATCCCTTGAACCCAGGAGTTGGAGTTGCAGGGAGCCGTGATCGTGCCACTGCACTCCAGCATGGGCGACAGAGTGAGACCCTGTCTCAAAAAAAAAAAAAAAAGGAATGGCCAAACACCGCAGCAGCAAAAGATGAGCCCGGTTCATGGAAGAGCAGAACCCTCTGCTACTATCACCAAGGATATGCTATAAGCTCAGGACCCGCACTCAAAGCCAGACCTGCCAGTCCCATAGAATGGCCGCACACCCCGAGATCATGCAAGCATCCTCGTCCTGATCAGTTGCAGTGACTTTTGAGGGCAGGCATCAATTATGCGGCTGAACGGCTGAGCCTGTCCTGTGTGCTCCGTAAGACAGTGGCCTCTATCAAACATACACATACTCGTTCCACAAGTATCCAGAGACCCTCCCCAGGGCCAGGGGTTACAGGGGAGAGCCAGGGGCTTACACAAACATGCCTTATCAGAAGGTGCCAAGTGCTGTGTGGAGAACTCAAACATGAGGTGACAAGGTGATGAGTGTGGCCTGGGTGAGTCAGGGGCAGAGGCTTCTCGGAGGTATTTTGTCACATTCAGACCAAGACCACACAGCCAGCCTCTCCAGAAACCATCCCCACACCAGTATTTGGATAGGGATTCTCCAGCTCTGTCCTCTGTGGATCCCCCACCCCTGGCTGGGAGATTTTGTTAAACTATTCTCCAGGCCCGGCACGTTGGCTCACACCTGTAATCCTAGCACTTTGGGAGGCTGAGGCGGGAGGATCATTTGAGGTCAGGAGTTCGAGACCTGCCTGGCCAACATGGTGAAACCCTGTCTCTACTAAAAATACAAAAATAAGCCAGGTGTGGGGTGGTGCATGCCTGTAATCCCAGCTACTCAGGAGGCAGAGGCAGAATTGCTTGAACCTGGGAGGCAGAGGTTGCAATGAGCTGCGATCATACCACTGCACTCCAGCCTGGGCAACAAAGGGAGACTCTGTCTCAATTTAAAAATATATATATAGCCGGGCGCGGTGGCTCACGCCTGTAATCCCAGCACTTTGGGAGGCCGAGGCGGGAGGATCACGAGGTCAGGAGATCGAGACCATCCTGGCTAACACGGTGAAACCCCGTCTCTACTAAAAATACAAAAAATTAGCCGGGCGTGGTAGCGGGCGCCTGTAGTCCCAGCTACTCGGGAGGCTGAGGCAGGAGAATGGCGTGAACCCGGGAGACGGAGCTTGCAGTGAGCCTAGATCGCGCCACTGCACTCCAGCCTGGGCGACAGAGCGAGACTCCGTCTCAAAAAAAAAAAAAAAAAAAAAAAAAAAAAAAAAAAAATATATATATATATATATATATATATATATATTCTCTGAAACAAGTAGTATACAGGCAATACACTGTTTCCAACTATACATGTCTCCTCAGGAATTCCAGTATCTGCACACACACACACCCCCACCCCACCCTCTGCAATCCTCCAACCCCACCCAGCTCCTGAGAAACATTCATTCAGCAGCTCCACCCATCTGCCCACCTCCTGAGTTAGACACTTGAGGTGTCTGGGGAAACAGCTTCTCCCCACAAGGAGCCTGGAGGCTCAGCTCCGTGACTTCAGCCTGTTTCCAGATGTTTCCTGAAGCCCCAGGGCTTGTGTTAACTTCCCACCCCCACCCCCAACTTGGCACCCCACCCTGAGGACAAGCCCAGATCCCACGCTCTGGCCAGTGATCCCTGTTCACTTTCAAATGGAAAAAAAAAAAAAAAAGAATTTGGAAGGACCCAGGAGACTGCATAAAGCCCTGCATTCTCTCAGGCAGTCTGTGAATGGCTGGTGGGCTCTGCTTACGTAAGAGCCTGATTCGAGCAGGGACAGAGGCAGGGCCATGCCAGCCTGTCACTGTGACACAGCTACAGGGCCACAGAGAGGGCCTTTACACCTTGCAGGGCTGGGAAACACTCATGACCCACATGCAGCTAACCATGTAACTGGGGTGAGTCGCTCTGCTCCCAGTAAGCCCCACACGCAATCCACGGTACACTTCTCAGAATAAGGAACAAATGCTCTGTGCATTTTTATTACAAACACCATGGTGGGCAGGTGCAGTGCCTCAATGCCTCTAATCCCAACACTTTGGGAGGCCAAAGCGTGTAGATCACCTGAGGTCAGGAGTTCGAGACCACCCTAGCCAATATAGTAAAACAACATTTCTACTAAAAATAAAAAAATTAGCCGGGAGTGGTGGTGGATGCCTGTAATCCCAGCTACTCAGGAGGCTGAGGCAGGAGAATTGATTGAACCCGGGAGGCGGAGGTTGCAGTGAGCCGAGATTGCACCACTGCACTCCAGACTGGGCCACAAAAGCGAAACTCCATCTCAGAAAAAAAAAAAAAAAAAAAAAAAAAAAAACACTATGGCATGAGGGCCCCCTGAGGACTTAAAAATGAACTGCCCTCCAATAGGGAATCTTTTAGGTAAAATCAGTAGAATGTGGTCGGGCATGGTGTCTCACACCTGTAATCCCTGCACTTTGGGAGGTCAAGGCAGGAGGATCACTTGAGCCCAAGAGTTGGAGACCAGCCTGGGCAATATAGCAAGACCCCATCTCTACTAAAAACAATAATTCATAGGTAATTGAATAAAACAGAAAAGGGACTTTCATTGCCATCAAAATGAGGCAGGGCAGTGGCTCACGCCTGTAATCCCAGCATTCTGGAAGGCCGAGGTGGGCGGATCACTTGAGGTCAGGAGTTCGAAACCAGCCTGGCCAACATGTGAAACCCGGTCTACTACACATACAAAAAATACGCCAGGCGTGGTGGCACGTTAGCTGGTAATCCCAGCCAATCGGGAGGCTGAGGCAGGAGAATCGCTTGAACCCAGGAGGCGAAGGTTGCAGTGACCCAAGATTGTGCCATTGCACTCCAGCCTTGGTGACAAGAGTGAAACTCCATCTCAAAAAAAAAAAAAAAATGAAAAGAAGTCCACAGGTCTCTCTGGGTGGCTACAAAGCCCTGCCCTGTCAGCCTCATCCCTCAACGTGGGACATATGCAAACTCTGGGCTCCATGCCTCTGCACACACCACTCGGTTCCCTCTGCCTAGAACACCATTCTCCTCCCTGGCCCCAAAGACCTCGACCTTCAGGCCTTGGCTTAAATGAAAAGATCTTGAGGACAGAGAATGTGGTTCGTTCATCCCACGATTCTTAGCATTGATAAGAGGGAAAAAACATGTTGGAACAAATGAACTAATGAATAAGTGATGGACTGGAAAACAGAGGCAGGGTCCTATGACGGGAAAAGGCCTGGACCAGCAGGACCTGCCCACAACCTGTGCGGTGAGTGCCCAGTGTTGTCTCGGCAGCTTCCATCTCAGAAGGGCCGCTGTGCCAGGAGGGTTGAGATGATGGGGAACAGGACAGCCACGGGCAGGATGGACCCAGGGCTTGTGGCCAAGAGGCCAGAAGAAGCCAGTTGCCAGCCAGGCACGGTGGCATACACCTAGAATCCCAGAGCTTTGGGAGGCTGAGGCAGGAGATCACTTGAACCAAGGAGTTCAAGACCAGCCTGGGCAACACGGTGAGACTGCGTCTCTACCAAGAAAAATCCTTTAAAAATTAGCCAGGCACTGGCCGGGAACAGTGGCTCACACCTGTAATCCCAGCACTTCGGGAGGCCAAGTTGGGCAGATCACTTGAGCTCAGGAGTTCGAGATCAGCCTGGCCCACATGGTGAAACCCTGTCTCTACTAAAAATACCAAAATTAGCAGCGTGTGGCCTGTAGTCCCAGTTACTCCGGAGCCTGAGGCAAAAGAATGGCTTGAAACCGGAAAGCGGAAGTTGCAGTGAATCGAGATCACTCTACTGCACTCCAGCCTGGGCAAGAGCAAAACTCCAACTCAAACAAACAAACAAACAAAAAAAAGCAGCCAGACATAGTGATACACACCTGCAGTCCCAGCTACTTGGGAGGCCGAGGCCGGCAGATCACTTAAGATCAAGAGTTCGAGGCCATCCTGGCCAACATGGTGAAACCTTGCCTCTACTAAAAATACAAAAATTATGGCCAGGCACGGTGGCTCATGCCTGTAATCCCAGCACTTTGGGAGGCCCAGGCAGGTGGATCACTTGTGGTCAGGAGTTCAAGACCAGCCTGGCCAACACAATGAAACCCTGTCTGTACTAAAAATACAAAAATTAGTGGGGTGTGGTGGTGGGCACCAGTAATCCCAGCTACTCGGGAGGCTGAGGCAGGAGAATGCTTGAATCCCAGACGCAGAGGTTGCAGAGAGCCAAGATCGCACCACTGCACTCCAGTCTAGGTGACAGAGCACGACTCTGCCTCAAAAACACACATTTTTTAATAAATAAATAAAAATACAAAAATTAGCCAGGCACAGTGGCTCACGCCTGTAATCCCAACACTTTGGGAGGCTGAGGAGGGTGGATCACGAGGTCAGGAGATCGAGACCATCCTGGCTGACACAGTGAAACCCTGTCTCTAGTAAAAATAAAAAATAAAAAATAAATTAGCCAGGCGTGGTGGTGGGTGCCTGTACTCCCAGCTACTCGGGAGGCTGAGGCAGGAGAATGGCGTGAACCTGGGAGGTGGAGCTTGCAGTGAGCCGAGATCATGCCACTGCACTCCAGCCTGGGCGACAGAGCGAGACTCCGTCTCAAAAAAAAAAAAAATTAAATAAATTCAAAAATTAGCCAGGCATGGTGGCGGGTACCTGTAATCCCAGCTACTCAGGAGGCTGAGGCAGGAGAATCACTTGAACCCGGGAGGTGGAGGTTGCAGTGAGCCAAAATCCCACCACTGCACTCCAGCCTGGGCAACAGGGCAGGACTCCGTCTCAGAAAAAAAAAAAAAAAGAAAGAAAACACAACCCAAGCCCAGATGGGCTGCGAAGGAGATGAGTGGGGTGCCAGGGTGACAGGCAAGGGGTTGGACTTTAGATTGGATGGCCAAGGAAGGTCTCTCTGGGGGACATGGAAGCTGAGCGCTCGGTAACACGAAGGGCCAGGCATGAGGAAAGCAGAGGGAAGGGCATCCAGGGCCGAGGGAATAGCATGTGCTTAGGGCAGGAACGTGGTTTTGGGTATCTGTGAAAGACAGTAGCATAGTAACAACTGAGGAAAGCAGGGGACAGATGACAAGCCTCTGAGGGAAGGTTCTGAGCCATGGCACACTAAGATCCTCCCACTTACAGGCAAAAAGGCCTTCTGCCTGTGGCTCGGTGGGGAACAGTCAGCTAGGAGGGAGCAGGAACAGAAGCAGTGTGCTCCTAGGTGAGGCAGCTGTGACAGGCACCTGGTGGCCAGACTGTCTTCTAGCCTCCACTTCCTGGGATGATTCTTTGTCACAACAGGTTAAAAAGTGGGCTCTGAGTGTGGTGTGACTTCCCCAAGGGTCTTCCCATGAAGAAGGAAAGAGCTGATCATCTCAAAATGTGACTTGCAGCCAGGTGTGGTGGCTCACGCCTGTAATCCCAGTACTTTGGGAGGCCGAGGCAGGTGGATCACGAAGTCAGGAGATCGAGACCATCCTGGCTAACACGGTAAAACTTCGTCTCTACTAAAAATACAAAAAAAAAAAAAAAAAAAAAAAAAAATTAGCCGGGCGTGGTGGTGGGCGCCTGTAGTCCCAGCTACTCAGGAGGCTGAGGCAGGAGAATCGCATGAACCCGGGAGGCGGAGATTGCAGTGAGCCGAGATGGAGCCACTGAACTCCAGCCTGGGTGACGGAGCGAGACTCTGTCTCAAAAAAAAAAAAAAATGTGACTTGCATGGTGTGTGACATTATATCAAAACTGAGGCACTGGCATCTGGGCTTCTTCCTCCACCTTCTGGGCATATGATTTGACATCAGTCTGTCTCCTGGCGCCTGGTGGACCTTCTTCATTAAGTTTTGAAGCTTTTCTCAGCCAGGCGTGGTGGCTCATGCCTATAATCCCAGCACTTTGGGAGGCTGAGGCGGGTGGATCACGAGGTCAGGAGTTCAAGACCAGCCTGGCCAAGATGCTGAAACCCCGTCTCTACTAAAAATACAAAAATTAGCCAGGCATGGTGGCACGTGCCTGTAATCCCAGCTACTCGGGAGGCTGAGGCAGGACAATCACTTGAACCCAGGAGGCAGAGGTTGCAGTGAGCCAAGATTACGCCACTGCACTCCAGCCTGGTGACAGAGGAAGACTCTATCTCAAAAAAAAAAAAAAAGAAAAAAAAGAGTTTTGAGGCCTTCCAAAGAGGTCAGGTGCCAAAAGCATCTCAGGCAGCCCTGGGGATGCTGATCTGTCCTTACCTGCCTAACGTGGGTCCCTCTCCGCTTAAGGATTTTTACCCTGCCTGTGGGCCGCGAAGCATGCTGAGCACTTCACACTCCCCCACAGGCCCCCAGGTGTCGTTATCCTGGCCTCACAGGGTGACAAAACTGAAGCTTAGGTTAAGTCACTGTCCCAAGGACAGAGTGGGTGGCCTCCAAGTCCTTCACCACCACCACACACTTGATTCTTTCCCCAGTGCACGACCCACAGCAAAGCCCACTCTGGTTCTAGAAGAATCCCAGCTCTGCTAGCCACTAGCTGTGGACAAGTCGCTTCACTTTCTGTGCCTCAGTTTCTCCATCAGTCAAGTAGAGATAAGAACAGCATCTACGTCTTATGTTTAGTACACGATTTAGATATGTTACTAGATAAGAAGCACTCACACTGCCGGCGCAGTGGCTCACGCCTGTAATCCCAACACTTTGGGAGGCCAAGTTGGGCGGATCACCTGAGGTCAAGAGTTTCAGACCAGCCTGGCCAACATGGTGAAACCCCATCTCTACTAAAAATACAAAAACTAGCCAAGTGTGGTGGTGGGCACCTGTAATCCCAGCTACTCGGGAGACTAAGGCAGGAGAATCGCCTGAACCCGGGAGGCGGAGGTGCAGCGAGCCGAGATCACGCCATTGCACCCCAGCCTAGGGGACAAGAGCGAGACTTCGTCTCAAAAAAAAAAAAAAAAAAACACTGATAATTAAGCACTATATTCACCGTAATTTACTAGGAAGATTACTATATTCTGGCTGCCGCAGGAAATGTCCCAGGTATTAAAACATTCTCAGCTGCCACTATCAGTATCAGCAAGAAGGTGTTAAGACCCAGCCTGAACTTGACCAACTAGCTCAAGGTCTCTGGCCTTTCTCACGCAGCCAGGCTTGTCAATGAAAGTGCAGGATTCCCGACCAAACCCAACCACCTTATCAGAGTCGCAAGGCCTTTCCAAGCACCGCCCTCACTCAAGGCTGTCAACCCTCCTCTGTTCTCAGGAACCAGTTAGTCCAGAAGGCTTTGCTGGGCCCAGCTGGTGGAGCCTCTAAATCCACCTGGGTGCGGCTGAAACAGCTACTCCACCTGGCACACACCAAAGCCCACCACTCATCCCGTCCCACCTTCTTGTTACTCGGTCCCGCCTCCCCCTCCCTGGTCCCGCCTCCCCCTCCCTGGTCCCGCCTCCCCCATCCAGGCCCGCCGCTTCCTTCTTGCCCCGCCTCCTCCTCCTGAGCCCCACCTCCTCCCCCTCGGCCTCCCCTTCCCCCCCGGCCCCGCCTCTTCTTTCTCAGCCCTACCTCCTCATCCTCAGGAACCACCTCCTCCACCTCAGCCCTGCCCCCTCCTCCTCCTCAGGACATGCCTTTTCCTGCTAAACTCTGCCTCCTACTCCTTGGGACCCGCCTCCCCCTCCTCGACACCCCTCCCCGTCCTCAAGCCCCACCTCCTCCTCCTCGGCCCCGCCCCCTCCTCGGCCCCTCCTCCCCACATCTGCCCCGTGTCCAGAGGTCCAGAGGTGAGTAGGGCCGTACTACTTGTCAAATGTTAGCTGCTGCAAGGTGCTGCACCAAGCTGAGGCTTTCCAGGTATGTATCTGCTCATACGATGCTCACCAGACCAAGAAACCCTTGAAACGATAACCCTGGGAGGCAGGGACAATTATCCCAGTCAATATGAACATTGGGCAGGAGAGAGGAAGGGGCCTCAGCTGTAGCATTTGCCACTTTCCGTGATGTAAATACCCTACCTGTGACTTAGAGATGTCAGCCTGATATCCCTGAACACAGAGTTGGGAAGATGCACACCATCAGCCAATGTCAGCCGGGTCTCGCACACCCAGGTGTCATTTTATGGATTAAAAAGCTAGTTCAAGGCCAGCCGCTGTGGCTCACGCCTGTAATCCCAACACTCTGGGAGGCCAAGGTGGGAGAATCACTTAAGGTCAGGAGTTCAAGACCAGCCTGGCCAATATGGTGAAACCCCATCTCTACTAAAAATACAAAAATTAGCCGGGCGTGGTGGTGGGCGCCTGTAATCCCAGCTACTCAGGAGGCTGAGGCAGGAGAATCGCTTGAACCCAGGAGGCAGAGGTTGCAGTGAGCCTAGATGGCACCACTGCACTCCAGCCTGGGCAACAGAGGGGGACTCTGTCTCACGAAAAAAAAAAAAAAAAACTAGCTCGAGAAACTAAAGACCTTGCCCGTGGGCTCCAAACCTTGTCAGTGGCAGTTAAGCATATGAGCCTAGCACTGATCCAAAGCCCGTAAGCATTGCCACCTTCCCAGGAAGAGTATCAATCAATACTGCCCAACCCAAAGGGGAACTGGCCTGCAGCCCTGGAAAAGGCCTTGTTCTCTGGGTCTCAGGTCCCTCATCTGTAACTTTACAGAAGTTAAACCAGAAAAATTATCTCAAGCCTGGGGCTCTGAGATTCTGAGTGCCTACAGCAAAGAAATGGCCTAAGTACAAAGCTACAGCCAGGACAGAAGGGACTCCACCAGGAGAATCTGCCCAGTGAGTCACCATCTGCTCAAAGCAAGAAGCCTGCAGGAAAATCTGAAAAGCCTAAGATCCCCTCCAACCCCCTCAGGATCTTGGCCTGAGTCAGGCTAACATAGGAAAGGTCTTTATAGCTCACCACAGCTCAAGGCTCACCACTTTCCCTTTTTTTTTTTTTTTTTTTTTGAGACAGAGTCTCACTCTGTTGCCCAGGACCGGAATGCAGTGGTGCGATCTCAGCTCGTCCGCGACCTCCACCTCCCAGGTTCAAACGAATTCTCCTGCCTCAGTCTCTCGAGTACCTGGGATTACAGGAGTGCACCATGATGCCTGGCTAATTTATATATACATACATATATATATATATATATATATATATATATATATATATATATATATTTTTTTTTTTTTTTTTTTTTTTTTTTTTTTTTTTTTTGAGACGGAGTCTCGCTCTGTCGCCCAGGCTGGAGTGCAGTGGCGCGATCTCGGCTCACTGCAAGCTCCGCCTCCCGGGTCAAGCCATTCTCCTGCCTCAGCCTCCCAAGTAGCTGGGACTACAGGTACCCACCACCACACTCAGCTAACTTTTTCTATTTTTTAGTAGAGACGGGGTTTCACTGTGTTAGCCAGGATGGTCTCGATCTCCTGGCCTCGTGATTCACCCACCTCGGCCTCCCAAAGTGCTGGGATTACAGGCATGAGCCACTGCACCCGGCCAATTTTTATATTTTTAGTGGAGAGGGGGTTTCGCCATGTTGGCCAGGCTAGTCTTGAACTCCTGACCTCAGGTGATCCTCCTGCCTCAGCCTCCCAACGTGCTGGGATTACAGGCATGAACCACTGCACCCAGGCAAGGCTCATCACTCTCAATCCTGCCCTTACTGCAAGGGGCAGCCCATCCGATTTTAGGGCAGAGAAAGACCCTCTCCCAGCAGTCCACACTGACCCGCAGCACCTCGCCCTCCCTTCAGGGATGCTCTGTCCTCAGAACACAGCAGGAGAGCCACCAGCTGTCCTAGGGCAGCATCAGCAGAGAAGCCATCAGTGTGGACAAAACTGGAGTCTGACAAACCCAGGTTCAGCTCCCTGGCTTCCAGGCTCTGTGACCTTGACCAGCTTAGTTTACCTCTCTGAGCTTCAGTTGCATTATCTGTAAAGTAGAACAGTAGTTCCCATCTGATCAGGTGCTAATAAGACTCACCCCTGGGCAAGGTGCGGTGGCTCACACCTATAATCCCAGCACTTTGGGATGCCAAGGCAGGAGGATCGCTTGAGCCCAGGAGTTCGAGACCAGCCTGGACTAACATGGTGAAACCCCATCTCTACTAAAACTACAGAAATTAGCCGGGCATGGTGGCACCCACCTGTAATAACAGCTACTTGGGAGGCTGAGGCAGGAAAATCGCTTGAACCGGGGAGGTGGAGGTTGCAGTGAGGTGAGATCACATCACTGCACTCCAGCCTGGGTGACAGAGCGAGACTCTGTCACAAAAAAAAAAAAAAAAAAAAAAAAAAAAAAGGCCAGGCATGGTGGCTCACTCCTGTAATCCCAGCACCCTGGGAGGCCGAGGCGGGCGGATCATAAGGTCAGGAGATCGAGACCATCCTGGCTAACACGGTGAAACCTCATCTCTACTAAAAATACAAAAAATTAGCCAGGCATGGTGGCAGGCACCTGTAGTTCCAGCTACTCGGGAGGCTGAGGCAGGAGAATGGCGTGAACCCGGGAGGCGGAGCTTACAGTGAGCCAAGATGGAGCCACTGCACTCCAGCCTGGGCGAGAGTGCGAGACTCTGTGTAAAAAAAAAAAAAGAAAGAAAACACCCTAAATGTGGGTTATGGGGGACCCCAAGAGGCTCGCTTCTGGGTATTCAGCTGCGGGAAATGGGCAGTGACCTGGACTGCTGGAGGCTGAAGACAGACTGATTTTCTCAGGAATTAACAGGCTCAATTACAAGATGTAGTAGCTGTTTTTCCAGTTGCTGCTGGGCTCATTGCTTTGAGTCTCATCTGCAGTGGCAAAAACAGCAATAAAATAAAAAAATACATTAAAAAAATACTGTATCCTAGGATAAGCAGTTCGCTTACCGACCTAGCTCTGACCCCAAGACAATGCTAAGGCCTGCTCTGGTATTCTAAGAAGACGGCTTCAGCCAAGGCCTGGAGGTGACCCGTTCTAGAGAGAGGCTTCACCTCAATTAGGCCACAGAGTGGAAAACTTTTCCTCTCAGATCAGATGAGATTTGGCAGTGATATGAGGCTACTATGGAAACAGCCACCGATCTCCACTACTGCTGGGATCCCAACTGCCATGATAACAGTCCTCAACCAGACATTAATTTGTTGCGTGACAGTCAGCACGTCCTGCACCCCTCTGGGCATTACCTCTATCAGTTGTAAACTGCACTTCATAATCTCCAAGGTCTCTCCAGGGGCCAACCTTTCAGTGGACAACAGACTGCTTGAGGGTGGGAAGATGGATTTAGTCCCAAGCAGAAATAGATTTTTTTCTTTTTTTTTTTGAGACAGAGTCTCGTTCTTGTCACCCAGGCTGGAGTGCAGTGGTGCGATCTCAGCTCACTGCAACCTCCACCTCCCAGGTTGAAGTGATTCTCCTGCCTCAGCCTCCCAAGTACCTGGGATTTCAGGCGTGCGCCACCACACCCAGCTAATTTTTTATTTTTTGTAGAGACGGAGTTTCATCATGTTGGCCAGGCTGGTCTCAAACTCCTGACCTCACATGATTTGCCCACCTTGGTGTCCCAAAGTGCTGGGATTACAGGCATGAGCCACTGTGCCCAGCTGAAATATATCCTTTATTTATTTTTTTTAAAACAGAGTCTCGCTCTGTCACCCAGGCTGGAGTACAGTGGCGTGATCTCAGCTCATGGCAACTCCGCCTCCCAGCTTCAAGTGATTCTCATTCCTCAGCCTCGAAGCCAGTAGCTGGGACTACAAGCACGTGCCACCATACCCAGCTAATTTTTTTGTTTTTAGTAGAGACGAGGTTTCACCATGTTGACCAGGCTGGTCTCGAACTCCTGACTTCAAGTGATTCACCCGTCTCAGCCTCCCAAAGTGCTGGGATTACAGGCATGAGCCACCTCGCCCGGCCAGAAATATATTCTTTGATGTAGACAAACCTTTTCTCAAATTGCTTGTTAAGTGTGAGTGAAAGCATCCTTTCTATTTTTACTGACCTACAATACACACATGCAGTTAAACTAATCTGCTTGCTATGCAATCCGCTGGGCCGGGAAACAACTGCTTCTCCCACCCAGAAGCCCTGTAGCTATCGCCTCTATGGGTACTTGGCAAAGGTTGGCAGAGAATAACAAACAACACAGCAAAATAACAATTTATTTTTTCCTTCAAGGTCACTTTGAACAGTGAGTTTGAAGCTTCCCTTTTTTTTTTTTTTTTTTTTTTTGAGACAGACTCTCGCTCTGTCATCCAGGCTGGAGTACAGTGGCATGATCTCAGCTCACTGCAACCTCTGCCTCCAAGTAGCTGAGATTACAGGCGTGTGCCACAACACTCGGCTCACTTTTGTATTTTTAGTAGAGACAAGGTTTCTCCATGTTAGCCAGGCTGGTCTTGAACTCCTCACCTCAAGCGATCCGGCCACCTCAGCCTACCAAAGTGCTGGGATTACAGGCGTGAGCCACCATGCCTGGCCAAAGCTCCCCCTTCTTTCTGGGAGAGAAAAGGATTAAGTACGGTGGAGCATATTCTCCAGTCCAAGTCTTGGGCCTCAGGCTGTGCCCAGCTTCCTGGAACAAAAGCACGCACCCCCAGGGTGCTCAGAGGCCTACTTTATCTGACTGTTAACTAGCAAAACTAAACCAACTACATTTGCAAAATGCCATATGGATGTTCCAAACTGCATGTTTCAAGCTGGACATGGTAGCTTTTTTTTTTTTTTTTTTTTTTCTTCAAACAGGGTCTCTGTTGCCCAGGCTGGAGTGCAGTGGCCTGATTTTTGGGCTCACTGCAGCCTCAACCTCCTGGGCTCAAGCCATCCTCCTGCTTCAGCCTCCCGAGTAGCTGAGACTACAGTAGTGGGACTACAGGTTTAGATATAGAGTTTGAGAGGGGAATCCACATCAGAACTTCATTCTAGAATGAAAACTTAAATGACAGAGATTATTGAATACAAACCTCCTCATTCTTGATACCATGTCAAAAATTACAGGATTTGTGGGTTAAAGGCTTCTAAGGGGCTAGGCACCGTGGCTCATGCCTGTAATCCCAGCACTCTGGGAGGCCAAGGTGGGTGGATCACCTGAGGTCGGGAGTTCGAGACCAGCCTGACCAACATGGAGAAACCCTGTCTCTACTAAAAATACAAAATTAGCCGGGCATGGTGGCTCATGACTGTAATTCCGGCTACTCAGGAGGCTGGGGCAGGAGAATCACTTGAACCCGGGAGGTGGAGGTTGCGGTGAGCCAAGATCACGCCATTGCACTCCAGCGTACTCAACAAGAGCGAAACTCCGTCTCAAAAAAAGGCTTCAAAGGATTGTGGGTAAATTTCCAAAAATAGTAGCAATAAAGGGGGCAGGAGGCAGAGGTAGTAATATTCAACTTGTCAATAAAAACAAACAGCCGGGCGCACTAGCTCACACCTGTAATCCCAGTACTTTGGGAGGCCGAGGAGGGCAAATCACTTGAGGTCAAGAGTTTGAGGCCAGCCTGGTCAACATGGTGAAACCCCCATCTCTACTAAAAATACAAAAAATTAGCCGGGCATGGTGGCGGTCACCTGTAATCCCAGCTATTCAGGAGGCTGAGGCAGGAGAATCGCTTAAACCCAGGAGGCGGAGTTTGCAGTAGGCCGAGATCGCGCCATTGCACTCCAGCCCGGGCAATAAGACCGAAACTCTGTCTCCAAAAGAAAAAAAAAATCCTTCTACGTATCCAAGGTACCTAGAGTAGTCAATTCATTAAGACGGAATGGTGGCTGAGTAGAATGGTGGCTGCCAGAGGTGGAGGTGGAGAGGAATGGGGAGTTAGTATTTAACGTCTACAGCTTCTGTTTTCCAAGATGCAAAGAGTTCTGGAGATGGGTGGTGGTGATGGTTGCACAACAATGTGAATGTTCTTAATGCCACTGAACTGCACACTTAAAAATAGTCAAGATGGTAAATTTTATGTGTATTTTGCCAGAATTTTTTAAATTGGAGGGGAAGTGAGAAACAAGAAATCGCTCGACCTGCTATTTTTCATTTGAGGACCAGCATGGCATAGTGGCTAGGAACTAAGACCTTGGCGTCCTGAGTTCCCCTATCTGTTTTGCATTTACTAACTAGGGGCCTTTGAACAAGTCACTTTATATCTCTGAGACTTTATTCATCCTTACAAACAGGAATAATAATAGTTCTTATACAAGGTAACAGAATCTCACCAGCACAAGAGTAAGCACTTGCTAAATTGTTATTTTGAATTTTAATAACAAATTTTATTATTTGATGATAGTTACTTAAAAGTCAGCAATAATTCAGGGATAATTGGTTGAATTATTAATATTATATTATCACCTAGGGCGATAAGCACATCAGAAGACTTCGTTTTAAGGGAAAAAGAGACCCAAGTTAGGAGTCAGAAGACTTGGGCTTCAAGAGTGGCTGTGGGTGGGTATAAGATTTCTCCTTGGTGACACCCAAGGGTTGACGTAGATGACCTCTTTGATAACCAGAAAGCAAGATCAGCTTCGCTGCTCTGCGAAAGCCAGCCGTGGAGCTGCACCTCCCTCACCGCCTAAGTCTCCCGGGAACGTCCCGGGCGAGGGAAGGGGTCCAAAGGTCGTACACAAGAATACTGATAGCAAAGCCCCTTCCTACGCTGGTGACGGCGGCGTGGCGCAAGATTTGTGCAAGACTCCCTCGGATTGGGAGCAAGGGTCCCGCACCTTCGTGGCTCCCATGACAAAGTCTGCAACTCAGCCCGCTGGGGGAGCTGCAAGGAACCTGCAAGCGTCCCAGCCCCTGCAGAGACCCCCAAGAAAAAGTACCCCCAAAACAGCCTGGGTTGCAGATTTATAAATACTTCCTGCGCACATGCGCATTGGAATTTACGAGTGGCCCGGGGCGCAACGCTTGCCCACTGCGCCTGCGCCGTCTGGCTCTTCCTTCGGGGCACAGGACCAGAAAGTGGGGTCCCGTGGTCCCGCAAAGAAGGAAAAAGAATGGGTCAGCAGTGGCCACACGGCCCCTGTTTCTCGCTTCTTACCTCGTAATGCTTCATGGCTCCCTCCCACGGCGGCTACTGCTCCGCGGCTGCTGCTGCCTAACTGCGCGGCACAGCACAGGCTCCCTACAGCGCTCGCAACCGCAGCGATAGACTAAACGCGGCTCTGCGTCCGCCCCGCCCCTCCAGGCCGCGCGCGCCCCGTCGGCCAATCAGGGCACGAGGCGCCCACGTTCGCCCCTGCTCCTTGGGGCCGGTCCGAACCAAGACTAGGACTAGCACCAGGGGATTGACCAATCAACTTGCGAGACCAATCGAAGGGGGCGGAACGCCTGTAGGAGGGGCTAAAGAGAAGGGGCTTGACCATCCACCAATCCAAAGGAGGTCTCTGCCCCGCGCGTCCCTTTGCCACGCCCCCTGATGGCGTCGCTGTGGAAACCAAGGTAAGCGACGGTTAGGCCAGACGCGGGGGCGGGGTAAGAAGTTGAGTGACAGGCAAGGCAGCATCCACATGACAGGCGGCGCCGAAGGGGTAAATTCTGAGGTGGGCGGCCCCCGGGGTACACCGGGAACAGCAGGAGAGGGCTAGGGGCTGGGGTCGCGGGCTGCGGAGTCTGGTTGGCGAGGAGGTCACTATGGGAGGAGACTCTTGAGTGGGAGGGAAGGAAAGGCGAAACGGAGTCGCGAAAAGCTCCCCATTTGGGAACCCCCAACCTGCAAGAACCTTGAGCCCCAGCCCCATTCTGGGGTGGCTTCACTGCCGTTTTTAATGAAAGCCCCGCCCCACTTTGTTTTTCTGTTTTGTTTTGTTTTTGAAACAATCTCGTTCTGTCCCCCAGCTGGAGTGCAGTGGCGCAATGACGGCTCACGCAACCTCCGCCTCCCGGGTTCAAGCGATTCTCATGCCTCAGCCTCCCAAGTAGATGAGATTACAGGCACCCGCCACCACGCCCGACTAATTTTTGTATTTTTTTTAGTAGAGACGGGGTTTCCCCATGGTTGGCCAGGCTGGTCTTGAACTCCTGACCTCAGGTGATCCTCCCGCCTCAGCCTCCCAAAGTGCTAGGATTACAGGCCTGAGCCACCCCGCCCGGCCCCCCTCCACACTTTGCTCCGCCCTATGGACAGGGGAACTACATTGGTCTCTGCCTGACGTCCAGAATCGTGTCTAGTGGCTCCAATGGGGCCACTGAGCCCTTGAAATGGGGCTGGTCCAGGCCGGGAACGATGGCTCACACCTGTAATCCTAGCACCTTGGGAGGCCGAGGGGGGCAGATCACGAGGTGAGGAGTTCGAGACCAGCCTGGCAGATATGGTGAAACCTCATCGCTACTAAAAATACAAAAATTAGCCGGGCGTGGTGGTACACACCTGTAGTCCCAGCTAATCAGGAGGCTGAGGCAGAAGAATTGCTTGAACCCGGGAGGCGGAGGTTGCAGTGAGCCAAGATCTCGCCACTACACTCCAGCCTGAGCAACAGACCGTCTCAAAAAAAAAAAAAGAAAAAAGAAAAAGAAATGGGACTGGTCCAAATTGAGATGTGCTGTAAATGAAAAACACATAAATTTCTGGCCAGGCACGGTGGCTCACACCTGTAATCCCAGCACTTCGGGAGGCCAAGACAGGCAGATCACATGAGGTCAGGAATTCAAGACCAGCCTGGACAACGTGGTGAAACCCTGTCTCTACTAAAAATACAAAAATTAGCCAGGTGTAATGGTGGGCACCTGTAATCCCAGCTACTAGGGAGGCTGAGAATCGCTTGAACCCGGGAGGTGGAGGTTGCAGTGAGCCAAGATCGCACCACTGCACTCCAGCCTGGGCGACAGAGTGAGATTCTGTCTCAAAAAAAAAAGAAAAAAAAAGAAAAGACTTTTGACAGACAAAGGAACAGGCAGTACCTGGCACACTTCTTCACCTCCTCTCCTTACTCTTGTTTCCAGATCCTGCCCCTGAGCTTTCATGAGCTGTTGAACCATCTGGAATTCACAGGCCTGTCATGAGAGACACGATGAGAAGTCCTTAAAGGTAGATCACTGATTCACAGGGGAGCAGGCGGAGGCAAGGGTGAGTCAGTGCTTGGAACTCAGTCATCCAGATTTGGCTCTGGAAACTTCTGAAGCTGTAGCCTTTGGGGATCCCTGACTGCGAGTACAGGAAGCCAACGCTATGTGGTCTTCTGGAAACTCATTATCTTTTTCACTGGTGCTATCTGGGAAAAACAGATGAAAACCTGAAGGTGTTCTGTATGTGTGCTTTCAAAAGCAAGGATCTGGCCGGACGCAGTGGCTCAGGCCTGTAATCCCAGCACTTTGGGAGGCCGAGGCAGGAGGATCACCTGAGGTCAGGAGTTTGAGACCAGCTTGGCCAACATGGCGAAACCATCTCTACTAAAAGTACAAAAATTATCTGGGTGTGGTGGTGGGCACCTGTAATCACAGCTACTCAAGTAGCTGAGGCAGAAGAATCAGTTGAACCCAGGAGGCAGAGGTTGCAGTGAGCAGAGATCACACCACTGCACTCCAGCCTGGGTGACAAGAATGAAACTCCGTCTCAAAAAAAAAAAAAAAAAAAAAAAAAAAAAAAAAGCAGAGATATTTTTCTGGTGGCAGTTTGAGTTTTGAGGCCTTCTGTGTCATGACAGGCCTCACTCCCTGCCCTTCTTGGGTGCTGGGGGAGAGTATTTGCTTCCAGGCCACAAGTTAATTTTTTAGTAGAGATGGGATCTCATTATGTTGCCCAGGCTGCTCTGGAACTCCTGGCCTCAAGTGATCCTCCCTCCTCGGCCTCCCAAAGCGCTGGGATTACAGGCATGAGCCATCCCACTCGGCCTGAGACCACAGTTAAAATCCTATCAGATTGAGTTACCTGAGGTACTTGATTGTGAGGGGCCATGGGGATAGGGTTGAAACCCTAAGACCCATCCATGTGTTGCTCCTTCACCAGTTATGCAAATTTTCAACTTATTTAATGTGATCTGAAGAGGTGAGTCTTCCATCTCTGGGTTGCAGTTAGATAGGGCATGATGGTGTACAAGTAGGTGTCATTTTGAAGAGATTCCATACATATTCCCATAAACTCAGAACGTTTTGGAAATTCCCTTTTGAGACTGCTTTTCTGAGCCCCACACTTACTCAACAGGCACCAAATCATCCTCATGCACCTACTATGCTGCGTGTCAACCGGAACATACAAATAATTTCCACCCCCTCCTCACCCATAAGAAGCTGGCAGAAAGGCAAGATCCAGCCTCCAAAGTAGAATTCCTCTTTGTTTTTGAGGGGTGTTGCAGGCTTGAGGAACCCCTTGTTTGCCCATCTGGCTTCCGGTAACCAGGCTGTCAGCAGAAATGAAACCCACCCTTGGAATGAAGACTGGCCACTTTGTTCAAGCCACTGAGGACACTGTACTGTGGCCCCCTGACAGTGCCTGTCTGTAGGGACAGCTAGATCCTGCTGGTCCCTTCACAGTCCCAGCAGTGGCTGATTCACAATGGTGACTGGTAGATCTGTTGGGTCGTTGTTGAGCTGATGGTAACTAGCTCCTTTATTAAAGTAATTTCCAAGGGAGAAACTGCAAGAGACGGCCTAAGCTGCGGCAGCTTCCAAGGATGAGCTTTTCTGGACCTCAGGTTTGGGGGGAACCCGAGACCATTTGAATGCCAGAGATGTGATGTGTTTGGTAATGTCGTGTCTCACAAGCTCCTTTTGTATTTCCCATGGGCAGATCAGGTCGGATCTTGACTTTTTCCAGAACCTGGCTTGGCTGGTTTGGGTTGTGTATGAATGAGCTGGCTCGCTGGGTGTGTGAGGGGAGGTGAAGCTGGGACTAGACAAGCCAGGGCTCGTTAGCAAGTTTCTGCTGTGTCAGGAATCCCAGAGAGAGGTTTCCCAAGCCCTATCCTGTCTTGCCTGGGTTGTTTGGTTTTTCTCCTTCTTTTTTTTTTTTTCATTGAAGTGTAATTGACATGTAGTAAAATTCACCCATTTTAGTGTACAGCTCTGAACACATACGGTCATGCAACCACCACTACAATCAAGATACAGAGCATTTACACCAACCCAAAAAATTCTCCAAACTACTCCATTTGTTGCAGGTCCCAGCCCCTGGCAAGCATTCATCTGCTTTCTGTCCTGATACTTTTGCCTTTTCCAGAAGGTTGAGTGAAATGGAATCATGCAGCCTTTTGAGCCTGGCTTCTTTCACCCACATAATGCATATGAGGTTCATCTGTAATGTTGTTTTTTTGTATCCGTAGCTCATTCCTTTTTATAGCTGAATAGTATTCCATTGTGTGGATGGATCCCATTTGTTTATCCATTCATCCATTGAAGGACAGTTAGGGTTTAACTGCTGTTGGTAATAACTAATAAAGCCTCAGCAAACATTCGCTCATGAGACTCCATCTCAAAAAAAAAAACAAAAAAAGTAGATTTTACCCTGCTGGTGTTGCTATGTTGATGAAATTGAGAGGAGCCAGGAAATGAACATTATAATAGTATCTTTTTTATTTTTATTTTTGAGATGGAGTCTCGCTCTGTCACCCAGGCTGGAGTGCAGTGGCGCAATCTCGGCTCACTGCAACCTCCACCTTCTGGGTTCAAGCGATTCTCCTGCATCAGCCTCCCGAATAGCTGGGTTACAGGTGTGCACCACCATGCCCAGCTAATTTTTGTGTTTTTAGTACAGACGGAATTTCACCATGTTGGTCAGGATGGTCTCCATCTCTTGACCTTGTGATCCTCCCGCCTCGGCCTCCCAAAGTGCTGGGATTACAGGCATGAGCCACCGCACCCAGCCATGAATTTTTATATATGAACAAAGGTTTTCATTTCACATGGGTATCCCACTGGGAGTGGGATTGTTGGCTCATATGGCTATAGCGCTTTTTGAAGGTCTTTTTTTTTTGAGAACGAGTCTCGCTCTGTTGTCCAGGCTGGAGTGCAGTGGCACCATCTCGGCTCATTGCAACCTCCACCTCCTAGGTTCAAGTGATTCTCCTGCCTCAGCCTCCCAAATAGCTGGGATTACAGGTGCACGCCACCATGCCTGACTAATTTTTGCATTTTTAATAGAGATGGGGTTTCACCATGTTGGCCAGGCTGGTCTCGAACTCCTGACTTCAAGGGATCCACCTGCCTCAGCCTCCCAAAGTGCTGAGATTACAGGCATGAGCCACCGCACCCAGCCTTGAAGATCTTTTCCAAATTTATTTGGATTTTTATTTATTTTTGAGACAGGGTCTCACTGTCTCTCAGGCTAGTGTGCAGTGGCACACTCATAGCTCACTGCAGCTTGGAATTCCTGAGCTCAAGTGATCCTCCCACCTCAGCCTCCCAAGTAGCTGGCACGTGCCACCATGCCCAGCTTATTTCTTTGTCATTCTTTGCAGATATGGGGTCTCACTATGTGGGCCAGGCTGATCTGGAACTCCTGGGCTCAAGTGATCCTCCTGCCTTGGCCTCCAAAAGTGCTGGGATTACAGATGTGAGCCACCGCACCTGGCCTGAAGGTCTTTTTTTCAACAGGTGAAGAGCTGAAGACAGGAGTAATGCAATTTTCTTAAAATTAAGGCTTTATGATCATCTGAGTCACATTATACACAAGCTGAGTGTCTACTGTAAGCACTCAGTATGCTAAACACTTCAGCATTTTACTCTCTGGGTGACCCTGGGGAAGTCACATGACCTCTCAGAATCTCCATCTCCCCACCTGTAAAATGGGTGTAATGATAGCCCAACCTCATAGGGCTGTTGTGACAAGTATATGAGTTAATATTCATCGAGTACTTGGAACAGGCTTGGCCATGTCAGTGTTAGATGTTATTATAGGCCAGACATGGTGGCTTATGCCTGTAATCCCAACACTTGGGGAGGCCAAGGCCGGCGGATCACCTGAGCTCAGGTGTTCGAGACCAACCTGAGCAACATGGCAAAACCCCATCTCTACCAAAACCATAATACAAAAAATTAGCCGGGCATGGTGGCAGGCACCTGTGATCCCAACTACTCAGGAGGCTGGGGCAGGAGGATCATTTGAACCTGGGAGGTGGAGGTTGCAGTGAGCCAAGATTGTGCCACTGTGCTCCAGCATGGGTGACAGTGTGAGACCCCATCTCAAAAAAAAAAAAAAACAAAAACAAGGCCGGGTGTAGGGTTCAACCCTTGTAATCCCAGCACTTTGGGAGGCCAAGGTGGGTGGATCATGAGATCAGGAGTTCGAGATTAGCCTGGCCAACATGGTGAAACCCAGTCTCTACTAAAAATACAAAAATTAGCCAGGTGTGGTGGTAGGCACCTATAATCCCAGCTACTCAGGAGGCTGAGGCAGAGAATCGCTTGAACCCAGGAGGCGGAAGTTGCAGTGAGCTGAGATCACACCACTGCACTCCAGCCTGGGTGACAGAGTGAGACTCCATCTCAAAAATAAAAATAAAAATGTTATTATAATGTTCATTTCCTGTTCACTTCCTGTTCATTTCCTCTCAATTTCATCCACATAGCAACACCAGCAGCGTAAAATCTACTCTTTTCTTTTCTTTTCTTTTCGAGACAGAGTCTGGCTCTGTTGCCCAGGCTGGAGTACAGTGGCGTGATCTTGGCTCACTGCAACCTCCACCTCCCAGGTTCAAGCGATTCTCCTGCCTCAGCCTCCCGAGTAGCTGGGAGTATGGGCACATGCCACCATGCCCAGCTAATTTTTGTGTTTTTAGTAGAGACACCACGTTGGACAGGCTGGTCTCAAACTCCTGACCTCAAGTGATCCACCCGCCTCAGCTTCCCAAAGTGCTGGGATTACAGGCATGAGCCACCGCACCCGGCCTAATCTACTCTTATCTCCAATTTATGGAGGACAGACCTAATGCTCCCAGAGATCAAGCAGGCTGTGGAAGATCACACACGTAGGAAATAAGGAAACAGTTGGTCCAGGATTTGAACTAAAGCAACTGTCCTCAGACTCACTTGCATAGTTCCTGTATCAGTCAGGATTTTACCAAAGACACAGAGCCAGAGCCAGTAGGAGTGTGTGTGTGTGTGTGTGTGTGTGTGTGTGTGTGTGTGTGTGTGTGTCTGTGTGTGTGTCTGTGTTTGTGTGCAGAGATTTATTTCAAGGAATTGGCTTACATGCTTGTGGGGGCTGGCTAGACAACACCAAAATCTGCTGGGTGGGCTAGCAGGCTGGAAACTTAGGCAGGAGCTGATGCTTTTTCTGCCGGGAAACCTCAGTGTTTGCTTTCAGTGTTGGCTTTTTTTTTTTTTTTTTTTTCTTCGAGACAGAGTCTTGCTCTGTCACCAGGCTGGAGTGCAGCGGCCTGATCTTGGCTCACTGCAACCTCTGCCTCCTGGGTTCAAGTAATTCTCCTGCCTCAGCCTCCCAAAGTGCTGGGATTACAGGCGTGACCCACCACACCCGGCCTCAGTGTTGGCTTTTTAAAGTCTCTAGACTGATTGGATGAGGCCCGCTTACATCCTCACATCCTTGAGGGTCATGTCCTGTTTTTAAAGTCAAGCAACTGTAGACGTGCTAACCTAACCGCATCAACATAATAACTTCACAGCAACACCTAGATTAGTGTTTAGTTGAATAACTAGGTTCTAGAGCTTAGCCACGCTGACACAACAAACAACTATAACAGCTTTTCCAAGTTAAGAGCCCAATATCTGCTGAAGTTGACGCAGAGGCCATTTTTTCAGTAATATTCTGAAGTTCTCAGTGAGTGTTCAGGTCACAGTACCATGTCCATTAGGAGAGAGTTACTGGGTTTGTTTGTTTGTTTAATTTCCTGGCTCCTAGAACTGATTAAAAAAAAAAAAATTAAAACTTCCCGAACTGGCTGGGCGTGGTGGCTCACGCCTGTAATCCCAGCACCTTGGGAGATCAAGGCGTGTTGATCACCTGAGGTCAGGAGTTCAAGACCAGCCTGGCCAACATGGTGAAACCCCATCTCTACTAAAACTACAAAAATTAGCCAGGCATGGTCGCAAGCACCTGTAGTCCTAGCTACTTGGGAGGCTAAGGCAGGAGAATCACTTGAACCCAGGAGGCGGAGGTTGCAGTGAGCTGAGATCGTGCCACTGCACTCCAGCCTGGGCTACAAGAGTGAAACTCCATCTCAAAACAAACAAACAAAACTTCCTGAACATGACCCAGGCTTACTCAAGGAGGGGAGAGTTCCCAGCTCTAACACTGACCCCAAGCACAAAGACATCCCTTCCGCAGTGTTTTTAGCAAAATGTTCCCCTCCAGTGTGTCAAGAAACTTTTATTATTATTATTATTATTATTATTATTATTATTTTGAAACTCTCACTCTGTCACCCAGTCTGGAGCACAGTGGCACGATCTTGGCTCACTGCAACCTCTGCCTCTCGGGTTGAAGCGAGTCTCATGCCTCAGCCTCCAGCGTAGCTGGGATTACAGGCACCTGCCACCGCACCCGACTAATTTTTGTATTTTTAGTAGAGACGGGGTTTCACCACGTTGGCCAGACTGGTCTCGAACTCCTGACCTCAGGTGATCCACCTGCCTCAGCCTCCCAAAGTGCTGGGATTATAGGCGTTGAGTCACCGTGCCTGGCCTATGGCAAGAAACTTTAGAACAACCAGAAAGGCCCACCCAGAGCCATGTTAAAGCCTTTGGAGGCTGCTGCACTTGTAATTCTAAATTAAATTTATATTATAAAATACTAGTTTATAAAGTCACAAGCTCTGAGTTTTTCCCCATAATGCTCCTGATAGTTATTTATATAATTTTTTTATGGGGAGGTTCAGGATCTCACTGTCATCCAGGCTGGAGAGCAGTGGCACAATCATAGCTGACTGCAGCCTCAAATTCCTGGGCTCAAGCTATCCTCCTACCTTGGTCCACTGAGTAGCTGGGACTACAGGCTCACATCATTGCACCCGGCTAATTTTTTTTATTTTTAATTTTTTGTATAGATGGGGTCTCACTATGTTGCCCAGGCTGGAACTCCTGGCCTCAAAAGATCCTCCCACCTCACCTTCCCAGAATGCTGGGATGACAGGCGTGAGCCACTGTGCCCAGCCTAGTAACTTTTTAAAAAATATCAAGTTCTCTCTCCCCATAATTGCTTCAGGACCCCTGCTCAAGTATGGTTCTCGATGTCTAGGGAATTTCAGCCCCATCCTCCCGGGTTGTCCAGTTCTAGTCCAGAGTTCTTGCTGATGCAGTTACCTCAGAGATCATTGAGTGGGCCAAGAGAACCAGATCTGCCTGCTGGATGCTCCTGATAGTTATTTATGTAACTATCCGCCATGATGCTCCTGATAGTTATTTATGTAACTTTTTTATGGGGAGGCTGAGGGTCTCACTGTCACCCAGGCTGGAGTGCAGTGGCACAATCATAGCTGCCTGCAGCCTCAAATTCCTGGGCTCAAGAGATCCTCCCGCCTCAGGAGGCAGGAGGATGGTCTTCTTCTTCAGGAGTCCCTGTCTGCCCAGGGGCAGCTGTCACTGGAATCTTTTAGCTGCCAGGAATGAGGTGATGGCTGAAGAGCCCACCACTAAGAAAATGGTTAGTCACCCCTTTGACAATGCTTCCTTTGTGCCATGCCTGCTCTGAGCACTTTGCAAATGTTGACTCATATAAACTTCAAAGCCCTCATGATGTGGGCACAACTGCTATCCTCATTCCTCATTGTGCAGATGAGGAAGCTAAGGCCAGCAAAGGCCTAGTAACTAACCCAAGGTTACCCAGCCGGGAAATGCTGGAGCTGGGAATGAAGCCCAGCTGTCTGGTTCCAGAGCCAGTGTTACATGGCTCTGACCTCCCAGGCAGTTCTTCCAGGAACCTCCCCCACTTCCCTGGGCCCTTCCCAGGTGGAACCCCTTTCTGAGCCTCCTTTTCCCATCAGCTCTGTCCTTGACAGAGGCACCCCAGACTTTCAGAGCCAAACGCGATCGTGTTGCCTACAATTGAGGAAACAGAGGCCTTGAAAGGTGTGTGACACACCTATGTCCCCCCAAATTATAAAGGTAGTTGGGGAAGAAAAAGAAGCACGTGTGTAAGAACGGGGAATATTTATGAGGTTCTCACTGCGTTCCAGGCACTGGGGACCCAGTGCAGACAGGACCTGGCCCCTGCCCAGGTGGCGATGTCAGACTGGGAGGGAAGACACATTGAAAGCCAAGAGACAAGATAAATTTCAAATTTAGCGGCAAGTGATCTTGAGAGGGCAGTAAAGGGAAGAAGGCGGGACTGGGAGGACCTTGGGAGATGCGCTTCCGTCCAGATCCTCACCTTGCTTTAGGAGGTGAGAACAGAGGCAGTCTTCCGTCCCAAAATCCTTCTCCCCACGGTTGGGAGAATAGCGCTGGTGGGTTTTTTGTTCATTTTACTTTATTTTACTTATTTTATTTATTTATGAGACGGAGTCTCGCTCTGTTGCCGAGGCTGGAGTGCAACGGCCGGATCTCGGCTCACTGCAACCTCCGCCTCCCCGATTCAAGCTATTCTCAGGCCTCAATCTCCTGAGTAGCTGGGATTACAGGTTCGTGCCACCAACGCCCGGGTAATTTTTATATTTTTAGCAGAGATGGGGTTTCACCATGTTGGCCAGGCTGGTCTCGAACTCCTGACCTCAAGTGATCCGCCCGCCTCGGCCTCCCAAAATGCTGGGATTACAGGCGTGAGCCACCGCGCCCGGCCTGTTTGTTAATCTTAAATAGAAACGGAGTCTCCTTATGTTGCCTAGGCTGGTCTCCAACTCCTAGGCTCAAGAGATCCTCCTGTCTTGGCCTCAGGAAGTGATGGGATTACAGGCATGAGGCTCCGCGCCCGGCCTGATAGGTTCTCTTATTGCCATGTTGTAGATAGAAGGGGGCCCCTGGGTTAGGCAGACACAGGTTAGGTAGTTCGTCCGGCGTCACCGGGCGGGAGCCCACCGCAGGCCCCACGAGACAAGGGCGAGCAGGTTCATCGCCTCCCGGGGAAAGGACTGGGTAGTCCCAGGCCCCACCCCTTCCTGGAACAGCAAGTTCGCTGTGGGTCCCGACCTACTGACCCAGGCGGAGGGCGGGACGCAGGGTAGCTGGGGCCGCGTAGAGAGGGAAAGAAGGTCGCGATTGGCTCGTCCCGAAAGGTGGGCGGGGCCTCCTCCGACCTGTGCGCGCGCGCCGCGGGGAGGTGTTGCCGAGGGCGGAGCGGGAGGGGGCGTGGCCCCGCGCGGGCGGCCGTTGACGGCGAGGCCCCGCCCCGGATGTCGCGTGTCGCTGAAAGGGCGGCGGCGATTGGCCGGCGCCGCGGGGGCGGGCGGGGCGGAAGGTTCTGGAGGGGGCTGGCGGGCTCTGGAAGCTTCCGCCGGACGGGTATATAGAGTCCGGGACTGGTCGGCGGCGGAGCCGGGGGACGGCGACAGCGGGTCGGCGGGCCGCAGGAGGGGGTCATGGGTAAAGACTACTACCAGACGTTGGGCCTGGCCCGCGGCGCGTCGGACGAGGAGATCAAGCGGGCCTACCGCCGCCAGGCGCTGCGCTACCACCCGGACAAGAACAAGGAGCCCGGCGCCGAGGAGAAGTTCAAGGAGATCGCTGAGGCCTACGACGTGCTCAGCGACCCGCGCAAGCGCGAGATCTTCGACCGCTACGGGGAGGAAGGTGTGTGCTCGCGGCCAGGGGCGCGGCCCCGCCTTTTGACAGACAGGGAAACTGAGGCACGCTGGCCCCTCTCGGCGGCCCCCCGGGAAGGACGCCCCGGGCCGTGGGGCCGAGCTGCCCCGCCCTCCGGCCTCGCGGGCCTCCGCCCTCGGATTGGCGGCCGCGCGGTGGGAGGAGGAGCCTTGGCCCAGCCGCTCGGCCAGAAGCTTCTAGCATGTCTGGGGCTGCCCCTCCCCGGGCGCCTCCTCCCGCGGCCCCGAGCAGCCCCGGGGTGCGGTGCATGGGGGTGGGGGAGCCGGGGGTGACGACGGGGACGGCGCGGCGGAGCCCGCTGCGGACCCGGGCTCACCTGGGCTCGGCCGCCGGGGTCCGCGGGGCGGCGCCTCCGGCTCAGCTGCGGGGCGAGGGGTTGTGAATGCAGGAGCCGACCCCGTTCGTGGGCTTGGGGGCTGGGTTGGGATAATTCCCGGGAAGTGATGACCTGGCCCCGGCAGGGCACGCAGGAGGCAGCGGCCGCCCAGGTCCGGAGAGCGGGGCCGCCTCGGAGGGTAAGGAGAGCAGGGCTTTTTGTTCCTGTGCCCGTTGATGATTCAGGCTGGCTTCTGGGCTTGATCTGGAGCTGACTTTTTGTGCAAGGATGGTGGCAGTGAATGCTAATGTGTGAGGATTTAAAAACTCCCTATTTATTTTTGTTTTTTTTTTTCTTCTCTTCCTACGCACCATTAGCCCTAAAACGTTGAGAGTAAACACTTACCGAAAGCCGACCCTGGACCATGTGTCTTTAGCCATCTCTTGGTGATGTTGCCAGGAGGATGGGTCAGTCCAGGAGTGGCAGGGCCTAGGTGGCACCTGGAGGTGAACACCTAACCGCATGAGTCCTTTTCCACTGTCAGGCTACGCGGAAATACTGTTGGTAGGGGGGCGTCTCTGCTGTTGGCAGTGAGAGGTAGAAACTTGGGGTTCTTCCTTGCTCTCCCCTGACAGACAAAAAAGTTCCTCCCCCATGGCTTCCAAGCTGTTTCCCCCTGTAAGGGAAGCTCGAGAGAGAGTCTGCTGTTCAGCCATCTGACTGCTTCTAAATCTGCTTTTCAGGCCTAAAGGGGAGTGGCCCCAGTGGCGGTAGCGGCGGTGGTGCCAATGGTACCTCTTTCAGCTACACATTCCATGGAGACCCTCATGCCATGTTTGCTGAGTTCTTCGGTGGCAGAAATCCCTTTGACACCTTTTTTGGGCAGCGGAACGGGGAGGAAGGCATGGACATTGATGACCCATTCTCTGGCTTCCCTATGGGCATGGGTGGCTTCACCAACGTGAACTTTGGCCGCTCCCGCTCTGCCCAAGAGCCCGCCCGAAAGAAGCAAGATCCCCCAGTCACCCACGACCTTCGAGTCTCCCTTGAAGAGATCTACAGCGGCTGTACCAAGAAGATGAAAATCTCCCACAAGCGGCTAAACCCCGACGGAAAGAGCATTCGAAACGAAGACAAAATATTGACCATCGAAGTGAAGAAGGGGTGGAAAGAAGGAACCAAAATCACTTTCCCCAAGGAAGGAGACCAGACCTCCAACAACATTCCAGCTGATATCGTCTTTGTTTTAAAGGACAAGCCCCACAATATCTTTAAGAGAGATGGCTCTGATGTCATTTATCCTGCCAGGATCAGCCTCCGGGAGGTAAGGTGCCAGGTGGGGCGGTGTCTGTAGAGGGCGATGGCTGCTTTTTGAAGCAGTTTAGTATTTGCTGAACCAATGTGTTGGGGTGTGTGGTGCGTGCCAGGCTTGGGGCACAACAGTGAACAGGACTGACCAGGGCGCTGTTGTGGAGCTTTCGTGGTGGGGACGTGTAGATTTGGGGGCCAGGTCTTAGCTGCAGAGGCCTGATGGGTCTTATCTATGGCAGACGGCCTCTGGGCAAGAGCTGAGCCTCTTGAGCCAGCTTCCATCTAATGCTGTCCTTTTGCTTTTCAAGGCTCTGTGTGGCTGCACAGTGAACGTCCCCACTCTGGACGGCAGGACGATACCCGTCGTATTCAAAGATGTTATCAGGCCTGGCATGCGGCGAAAAGTTCCTGGAGAAGGCCTCCCCCTCCCCAAAACACCCGAGAAACGTGGGGACCTCATTATTGAGTTTGAAGTGATCTTCCCCGAAAGGATTCCCCAGACATCAAGAACCGTACTTGAGCAGGTTCTTCCAATATAGCTATCTGAGCTCCCCAAGGACTGACCAGGGACCTTTCCAGAGCTCAAGGATTTCTGGACCTTTCTACCAGTTGTGGACCATGAGAGGGTGGGAGGGCCCAGGGAGGGCTTTCGTACTGCTGAATGTTTTCCAGAGCATATATTACAATCTTTCAAAGTCGCACACTAGACTTCAGTGGTTTTTCGAGCTATAGGGCATCAGGTGGTGGGAACAGCAGGAAAAGGCATTCCAGTCTGCCCCACTGGGTCTGGCAGCCCTCCCGGGATGGGCCCACATCCACCTCCAGTCCCTGGCCAGGGGTGAGAGGCAGACCAGCAGATGGACTTGATCCCTCTGTGTCTTTTTGCTTCTGGCTGGTAGATAATGTCAACCTGCAGTCTTGATTCCCAGACCCTGTACACTCCTCCTTTTCTGTTGTGTGATCAGTTTGTGCTTTATTCTGTATTTGTCTCCCATGTCTTGCTCTTCTCCTGGAGAATTCTGTCTTCTCTTTGGCCATCTCAAATTGAGAACCTAAACTATTCCTGCAGAACTGCCTGGTTGGCGTCCACAAGCAATACCTCTCGTTCCAGCAGGACCAAGGGAGCCAGCCTCCAGTGAGTGACTCCAGCAAGTGCAGCCACCTCTCCCTTGATGGTCTGGGAGCCTGGCCTCAGCAAGGGGCCTTCCTGACCTCTGGCTCCAGTGAAGCTGAATGTCCTCACTTTGTGGGTCACACTCTTTACATTTCTGTAAGGCAATCTTGGCACACGTGGGGCTTACCAGTGGCCCAGGTAATTTTTTGTTTCATGGACTATGGACTCTTTCAAAGGGATCTGATCCTTTTGAATTTTGCACAGCCCTAGATACAATCCCTTTTGATAAAAGGGTCTTTGCTTCTGATTACAGGAGCACTGTGGAACGTCTGTAAATATGTTTTTATAATTCCATGTATAGTTGGTGTACACTCAAAACCTGTCCCCGGCAGCCAGTGCTCTCTGTATAGGGCCATAATGGAATTCTGAAGAAATCTTGGGGAGGGAAGGGGAGTTGGAACAAATGTCTGTTCCCTGGAGGCCAGTCCAGTGCTCAGACCTTTAGACTCATTGTAAGTTGCCACTGCCAACATGAGACCAAAGTGTGTGACTAGTCAATGAAGTGCGACAGCATTAAAGACTGATGCTAAACCTCAGGGGAGCGGTCCTGTGACTCTGTTTGAGGGTTCTGCTGGTTTTGGGGGTGGAGTGGGGAGCTGGGCATCCTTCCAAATTCAATCAAGGTGAGAGGGTGGGATGGGCAGGAGGCAAGTGCCCTGCAAGGGAAACGTAAGTCTCCCTTCCTCAGCCATAAGTGGGTTGGAGAACTTCTACCCAGACTCGGGGTCCAAAAAACCAGAGACCCAAGCACAGTGGCCTTGGGGATCATTTTTTGATGAAGGTTGGAGTCAAAGTAGCGGTGGGGAGAGGCAGGGTCTGGCTCCTAATTCTGCCTTTCTTCAGGGTCCCTGGCTTTTTCAGCAGACCTTGGCTCTGGGGCCAAGGGGCCAACCCAGGGTCTGGCCTCTTAATTCCTTATCACTCCTTCCCTGCTAGAACGGGCTGGGCGTCCTGAAGGCTGGCCAAACCGGAGCTCAAGGTCCTGCCCAGGACTAGCCCCACTGTAGAGAGGACCCATTTCCTGCCTTGGCTTTATTTGCAGGCTACTAAAGCTGCTTTTACTTTGTAACTTTCTTTAAAATAACTGGTTTTATTATAAAGTAATTGCTCAGGCTTAAAACAATGTATTGCTGCTTTGTTACAAAATGTTCTAAAGTGGAAACACTGTATATAGACCAGGAGCAGTGGCTCAGGCATGTAATCCCAGTACTTTGGGAGGCCAAGGTGGGTAGATCCCTTGAGCTCAGGAGTTTGAGACCAGCCTAGACAACATTGTGAAACCCCATCTCTACAAAATTTAAAAATTCAGCCGGAGAATGCAGCGTACACCTGTAGGGCCAGCTATTTATGGGACTGAGGCAGGAGGATCAATTGAGCCCAAGAGGTGGAGGCAGTAGCAAGCTGTGTTTGTGCCACTGCACTCCAACCTGGGTGACAAAGTGAGACCCTGTATCAAGAAAAAAAAACTAAAACACAGTATCCAAAAGTCAAACTGGGCCAGACGCAGTGGCTCACACCTGTAATCCCAGCACTTTGGGAGGCCAAGGCGGGCAGATCACCTGAGGTCAGGAGTTTCAGACCAGCCTGGCCAACATGGTGAAACCCCGTCTCTATTAAAACAAAAAGCCAGGCGTGGTGCACGTACCTGTAGTCCCATTTACTCAGGAGGCTGAGGCAGGAGAATCACTTGAACATGGGAGGCAGAGGTTGCAGTGAGCAAAGATCCCACCACTGCACTCCAGCCTGGGTGACAGAGCGAGGCTGTGTCTCACAAAAAAGTGTCAAGCTAAGAGTTGCTTTCCCTTCCCACTGAAACAGTTGAAGCGCTGAAAACAGGCTAGGGGCAGCCCTGCCAGTCCAGGAGAACTTTCTGCAATGACTAGAACGTTCTATATACCGTTTACTTAAACATCTTACAAATTCAATAAAATTAGAATCAGTTCCTCAGTCCTGCCACACTTCAGTTGCTTAGCAGCCACACATGTATGTGGCCAGTGGCAACTGTTGGACAAGTCAAGTCTAGAGGGCTTTTCCCTAAAGACATTGCAGGGGTGACTTTGAAGAGCAGCCACATTAAGCCAGGAGACGCCAGCCCAATCAGGAGGTGACCCTGGAATATCAAGAGCTAAGAGATGTTTACCAAAGTATCCCACACGCCAAGGTCACATTTATTGCGGAACTGACCTGACCTCATTGGTGACACAAATCCCAGGGCTGCCATCCCCACCCCCAAGTCTCCATTATACACCAAGTCCCTGTGAACTTCATACTGAAGTGTCACAAACATAAAGGTGCACGAAGCCTTGAGGTATATACAATTCTGGGAACTTCACAAAAAACACGGCCAAGCAACCTACCAGGTAGCAGTGTGAGGAGTGGGACGGTGGGATTTTGAGGGGAAAATCTTGGTGGTAAAAGGGCCCAAAGACCTTTCACACATGCATTTTTTTGCTCAAAGGCCACTACTTGGCTTGTCTATCTTGGCCGGATATCTGGTGCACCCACATGCAAACTTTTCCCAAAGTCTTGGGCTTGTTTTTTTTTTTTTTTTTTTTCAGACAGAGTCTCGCTCTATCCAAGCTGGAGCGCGGTGGTGCAATCTCGGCTCACTGCGATCTCCACCTTCCAGGTTCAAGCAATTCTCAGCCTTCCAAGTAGCTGAGATTACAGGCGTGCGCCACCACGCCAGGCTAATTTTTGTATTCTTAGTATAGAGATGGGGTTTCACCATGTTGGCCAGGCTGGCCTCAAACTCCTGACCTCAAGTGATCGGCGCCCCCTCGGCCTCACAAAGTGCTGGGATTACAGGTGTGAGCCACCGCACTCAGGATTTTTTTTTTAATTTCTTTTTTTGAAGACAGGATTTCACTCTGTTGTCCAGGCTGGAGTGCAGTGGTAGGATCATAGCTCACTGCAGCCTCAAACTCCTGGGCTCAAGCAATCCTCCCGCCTCTCAACCTCTTGAGTAGCTAGGACCACAGGCACTCCACACCACAACCAGCCAATTTGTCTAATTTTTGTAGAGATGATTTGTTGATATGTTAACTTTTTTGCGGGGAGGGGGATGGAGTCTTGCTCTGTTGCCTAGGCTGGAGTGCAGTGGTGCAATCTTGGCTCACTACAACCTCCACTTCCCGGGTTCAAGTGATTCTCCTGTCTCAGCCTCCTGAGTAGCTGGGACTACAGGCACATGACATCACGCCCAGCTAATTTTTGTATTTTTACTAGAGATGGGGTTTCATCATGTTGGTCGGGATGGTCTTGATCTCTTGACCTCGTGATGTGCCTGCTTTGGCCTCCCAAAGTGCTGGGATTACAGGCGTGAGCCACTTCTACCTTCCTTTTTTTTTTTTTTTTTTTTTAATTTTTTTTCCTGAGACGGAATCTTGCTCTTTTGCCCATGCTGGAGTGCAGTGGCGCAATCTCGGCTCACTGCAACCTCTGCCTCCTGGGTTCAAGCGATTCTCCTGCCTCAGCCTCCCGAGTAACTGGGATTACAGGCGTGTGCTACCATGCCTGGTTAATTTTTTATTTTTAGTAGAGACTGGGTTTCACCATGTTGGCCAGGCTGGTCTTGAACTCCTGACCTCAAGTGATCCACCTGCCTCGGCCTCCCAAAGTGCTGGGATGACAGGCGTGAACCTGCGCTGGCCGATATCTTGATATCTTGATATGTTGCTCTGGCCCCAAGCGATTCTCCCACCTTGGCCTCCCAAAGCTCTGGGATTATAGGCTCAGCCTTGGGCTTTCTTTAATGGATTTATTTCACTTTTCCATGCTGCATCTCTGATCAGGTCTCAGAGCTCCTTCCATGACAGGACGTGTGCAACTGACTCATTCTTTGACCCACCTGCATTACAATACCAGCAGTGTTTTTTTTTTATAATCATAGAACAGCACTCAATAGGTCCATTTGGCCTATGGTGAAAAGCCGAGTCCTCCCATCCTTCCCCTGGCCCTGAAGTTCCCCATCCTACTGCACCACTATAGACACTGGCATTGGCATCACAGATTTTTTTTTTTTTTTTTCCTTTTCTCATTTTTGAGACAGAGTCTCGGTCTGTCGCCAAGGCTGGAGTGCAGTGGTGCAATCTCGGCTCACTGCAACCTCTGCCTCCCAGGCTCAAACGACCCTCCTGGCTCAGCTTCCCTAGTAGCTGGGATTACAGGCGCGTACCACCACGCCCGGCTAATTTTTGTATTTTTAGTGGAGACAGGATTTCATCATGTTGGCCCAGGCTAGTCTCAAACTCCTGACCTCAAGTGATCCGCCCACCTCAGCCTCCCAAAGTGCTGGGATGACAGGCGTGAGTCACTGCACCCGGCCTTTTTTTCCTTTTTTAAAAAAACCATTTTTGTGCTTCCTCCAAGAGATGAGTCTGTGCTTACATAAGCATAAACACAATTTCTAAATTTTCAGTTTTATTTTTTGACTGTGTAATCACAATACAACACTGGAAAGGATACAGAGAGTGAAAGTCCTCCCTCCCACCCTACCATCCGATTCCACACCCCCGAACTGGATACGAATGTTCCCCGTCTCTCCTGCGCCTTTCCTGAGATGCTGCGGGGAATACATTTTTCTTTTTTTACACAAGGAGTACATACTGTACACTCCGCTTTTTTTTTTTTTTTTTCTCACACAAGATGCTGTGAACATAAAGAGCTTCCTCATTCCTGTGCTATTCCCCACCTTTATTCTGGCAGGTCCACCCAGCTGGGTGTGAAGATCTAAATTAGTGTTTGGCGACCCCTGACTCCTCTCACATCGTTCTTGCTTCCGGATTTGAGTCCCAGTTTGATTGCTTGCTTTTGTTTTTTTTCTTTTCTTTTCTTTTCTTTTCTTTCTTTTTTTTTTTTTTTTTTTTGACACGGAGTCTTGCCCTGTCACCCAGGCTGGAGTACAATGATGCAATCTCAGCTCACTGCAACCTCCGCCTCCCAAGTTCAAACAATTATCCTGCCTCAGCCTTCCGAGTAGTTGGGATTACAGGCACCCGCCACCACACCCAGCTAATTTTTGTATTTTTAGTAGAGATGGGGTTTCACCGTGTTGGTCAGGCTGGTCTCGAACTCCTGACCTCAGGTGATCCACCCTCCTAAAACGTTAGCTGAGCATTAGCCAGGTGTGGTGGCTCATGCTTGTAATCCCAGCTCTTTGGGAGGCCGAGGCGGATGGATCACTTGAGGTCAAGAGTTCAAGACCAGCCTGGCCAACGTGGTGAAACTCTGTCTCTACTAAAAATACAAAGCTGGGCGTGGTGGCAGGTGCCTGTAATCCCAGCTACTCAGGAGGCTGAGGCAGGAGAATCGCTTGAAACTGGGAGGTAGAGGCTGCAGTAAGCCCAGATCCCACCACTGCACACCAGCCTGGGTGACAGAGCAAGACTCTGTCTCGAAAAAAAAAAACAGAAGAAACGGGAAACAGAAGTGCAGCTCTCATAGAGATGCTGTGACATCTGGGTGAGTTAGTGCATTTAGGAAACAAAAGAACATAGCGATGAAGAACCCAGCTTCTGGGGTAGGGGGGTGCCAAGTCCAAGTTCTGCTCACCACATTTCCTCAAACAAATGACAAAACCTTTCAGAGCCTCAGTTTCTTCCCATGTATAACAGGACTAATCAAACATCGCAGCCCCTCCTTTCTCACTCTTCTGGAGCTAGAACTCAGACAGCTAATCCCTGAGAAGCGCTTTATCCAGGCCAGGAATAGAGCAAGTGTGAATAACATTAGCAAATATATCTAAAGCACTTGGCAGAAAACCTGCCCCAGGCCAGGCGGAGCAGGTCATGCCTGTAATCCCAGCACTATGGGAGACCACCATGGGTGGATCATTTGAGGTCAGGAGTTCGAGACCAGCCTGGCCAATGTGGTGAAACCCCATCTCTACTAAAAACTGAAACATTATATCTAAAAGTCAAGCTGGGCCGGGCACAGTGGCTCATGCCTGTAATCCCAGCACTTTGGGAGGCCAAGGCGGATGGCTCACCTGAGGTCAGGAGTTTCAGACCAGCCTGGCCAGCACAGTGAAACCCCGTCTCTACTAAAATTACAAAAATTCGCTGGGCATGGTGGCAGGCACCTGTAACCCCAGCTACTCCAGTGGCTGAGGCAGGAGAATTGCTTGAACCCAGGAGACAGAGGTTGCAGTGAGCTGAGATTGCCCCACTGCACTCCAGCCTTGGTGACAGAGTGAAACTCTGTCTCAAAAAAAAAAAAAAAGGAAAGAATAAAGGAAATCTCAATGCACCAAACTTCCACTAAATACTAAAAATGGGCCAGGCGCAGTGGCTCACGCCTGTAATCCCAGCACTTTGGGAGGCCGAGGTGGGTGGATCACCTGAGGTCAGCAGTTCGAGACCAGCCTGGACAACATGTTGAAACCCTGTCTCTACTAAAAATACAAAAATTAGCCAGGCGTGGTGGCAGGTGCCTGTAATCCCAATTACTCTGGAGGGTGAAGCAGGAGAATCGCTTGGACCTAGAAGGTGGAGGTTGCACTGAGCCAAGATTGTGCCACTGCACTCCAGCCTCGGTGACAGAGCAACACTCTGTCAAAAAAAAAGAAAGAAAGAAAGAAAGAAAAAAAAAACACCTAAAAATGGCACAACACAAACAAGAAGCATCTATCTATATTCTCTATTAAAATCTAGGCCTTGGCTGGGTACGGTGGCTTGCGCCTGTAATCCTAGAACTTTGGAAGGCTCAGCTGGGTGGATCACCTGAGGTCGAAATCTCGCCACTGCACTCCAGCCTGGGCGACAGAGTAAGACACTGTCTCAAAAAAAAAAAACAAAAAAACTAGGCCTTAAAGAGCATGCACTCATCTTCTCTCCCACAGACCTGAGAGCACTTTCTTTCTTTTTTTTTTTTTTTTTGAGAAGGAGTCTCACTCTGTCACCTAGGATGGAGTGCAGTGGCGCAATCTTGGCTCACTGCAACCTCTGCCCCCGAGGTTCAAGCGATTCTCCTGCCTCAGCCTCCTGGGTAGCTGGGATTACAGGTGCATGCTGCCACGCCCAGCTAATTTTTTATATTTTAGTAGAGACAGGGTTTCACCATGTTACCCAGGCTGGTCTCGAACTCTTGAGCTCAGGCAATCCACCCGCCTCAGCCTCACAAAGTGCTAGGATTACAGGCGTGAGCCACCCCTCCTGGCTGAAAGTACTTTCATAGTCTGTTGACATCACACTTGCCCAAGGGGAAGCAGAGGCTGATTTCTCAAACTCCCTGATTATTAGTTGAGACACCTTCCCTCTTTGTCAGTGGGGCAGGAGAGACAACGGCAGGAGAATACTAAAAAATGTCCCCCGCTTTGTGGCAACTGTGAGTTCCCTTGAGGTCACCAACTACATCCTAATAATCTGTATCACCAGTTGCCAGAGTGATGCTTGCCCCGGAACTGACCCTTTGAGTGTTTGTTAAGTGAGTAATTAAGTGACAAAGTAATTCAGACAAGAGGACCTGCAACATTTTTCCTACGATAGTTCATGTCATGGTATGTGCAGAGGAAGGATAACCCAGCCCTCGGGTCAGCTAGTAGTCCCCACCACCCTTGCCAGGGACCCCACCCCCATACCCCAATTCCTTCAGCTTTCCCACCAGGGAGAAGCAGATATTCAGTCCGGGAGAGCCCCTCTTTCCTGAGGGACCTGTTTCTTTTTTTCTTTTTCTTTTCTTTTTGTTTTTTTTTTTTTTTTTGAGACCGATACTTGCTCTGTCATCCAGGCTGGGGTGCAGTGGCATGATCTCAGCTCACTGCAACACCTACCTCCCAGATTCAAGCAATTCTCATGCCTCAGCCTCTTGAGTAGCTGCGACTACCGGCACCCACCATCACGCCCAGCTAATTTTTGTAATTTTAGTAGCAACGTGGTTTCACCATGTTGGCCAGGCTGGTCTCGAACTCCCGACCTCAGGTGATCTGCCTTACCTCGGCCTCCCAAAGTGCTGGGATTACAGGCGTGAGCCACCGCGCCTGGCATGGGGGACCTGTTTCTACTTCACAATCTGTAGACTAGTCTATGGGCACAGTTCCTGAGGGACACCTCAGTGCTAGGCTCAGGAGATGCGCCAAGCAGAAAACTTGGCCATCTGGCATAGGGGAGGGAGGATGGAGCTCGTGAAACTCACAGTCTCCTAGGAAACACACCTGTGGGTTTCCGTTTCCTAGGGCTGCCACAACAAACTGGGTGGCTTCAAACGACAAGTAATTTGTTGTTGGTGGTGGTGGTGTTGAGACAGAGTCTCACTCTGTCGCCCAGGCTGGAGTGCAGTGGCGCGATCTCAGCTCACTGCAGCACCCGCCTGCCAGGTTCAAGTGATTCTCCTGCTTCAGCCTCCCAAGTAGCTGGGATTACAGGCACACATCACCACGCCCAGCTAATATTTTGTATTTTTAGTAGGGATAGGGTTTCACCATATTAGCCAGGCTGGTGTCGAACTCCTGACCTCAGGTGATCTGCCCGCCTCGGCCTCCCAAAGTGCTGGGATGACAGGCATGAGCCACTGCACCCAGCTTGCTTGTTTGTTTTGAGACAGGATCTCACTCTGTTGCCCAGGCTGGAGTGCAATGGCACAATCAGGGCTTACTGTAGCCTCGATCTCTTGGGCTCAAGCGATCCTCCTATCTCAGCCTCCCAAGTAGCTGAGACCACAGGCATGCACCATCATGCCAGCGTAATTTTTAAATTTTTTGTAGAGACAGGGTCTCACTGTGTTGCCCAAGCTGGCCTCAAACTCCTGGGCTCAAGCAATTCTCCTGCGTTGGCTTCCCAAAGTGCTGGGATTACAAGCATGAGCCCCTGTACCTGGCATTAACAAGTGAGGACGGCTTTCTCCTGGCTTCTGGTGGTTTCAGCAATCCTTAGCCTCCTTGGGCTTGTAGCTGCATCGCTCCAATCTCTGCCGCTGCCGTCCCGTGGCCCTCCCCTCTGTGTGTCTTTGTGTCTTCTCCTTTTCCATCTCTTATAAGGACACCCATCATTGGATTTCGGGGCCAGCCACCCTAATCCAGGATGATCTCATCTCGAGATCCTCCACTGAATTACATCTTTGAAGACACTTACTCCAAGTCAAGTCACATTCACAGTTCTGGAATGTGGACATATATTTTAGGGTGGGGCATCATTCAACTCATTAAACTGACCGAGCCACTTCCCATAGCCCGCAGCGTGGAGGGGAAGACGCCTGGCAGGCCCTGGACACACAGGCCAAGGGACAGGAGCTTGTTAGGGCGCAGGGAGGGGCTCCTGGAGCCAAGGCCCGGGGAAGAGGCCCCTAGGCTGGAGATCTGGGAACCACTCCCCCACAGGGCCATCCACACACACACACACACACACACACAGGCCTGGTGTGACTGGAATCGAGAGAACAGGAGAGAGCAGGGCAGGGCGTGTCTAGGAATGAGACAGGCCAGGCCCTGCATTCCTGAGTTGGAAGAGAAATTGAGAGTTAGGAGGGACAAGGCCTGATTTGCTTTTACCAGGAAGACAGAGCTGGGACCTGGGTTGTTTGCCTTCATGGGGCCCCAACGTTCCCCAGGAATATTATGCTGGACATCAATGTAGCCAGGCGTGACACCTGAAAATAAAAAACACTTTGGCTCACAGGGGCAGGTTCTTTGGGGGCTCATGGCCTCCTGGGGGGAGGTCCTCCGTAGAGAAAGGAGGTGACCTGATTTGGGTGCTCACGGGCGCCCCCTGGCCTCTGTGCGGAGAACTGACCGTAGGGGTAAGGGCAGAGCGGGTGGACCAGGACCGAAGCCATTCACCGCACCACCAGGCAGGAGGTGATGGGGCTGGCTGGACCGGGAGAGGTCGGAGCAGGTGGGGCGAAAGTAGCCCAGGATTTTTTTTTTTTTTTTTTTTTTTTTGTCTTGAGACAGAGTCTCGCTCTGTCGCCCAGGCTGGAGTGCAGCGGCGCAATATCGGCTTGCTGCAACCTCGGTCTCGGGGGTTCACGTGATTCTCCTGCCTCAGTCTCCCGAGTATCTGGGAGTACAGGCATGTCCCACCACGCCCAGCTAATTTTTGTATTTTTAAGAGAGGTGGGGTTTCACTATGTTGGCCATGCTGGTCTCAATCTCCTGACCTCAGGCGATCCACCCACCTTGGCCTCCCAAAGTGCTGGGATTACAGGCATGAGCCACCGCACCTGGCTGATTTTTTTTTTTTTTTGGCTTTGTTTTGTTTTGTTTATTAGAGACAGGGTCTCATTCTATTGCCCAGCCTGGAGTGAAATGGTGCGATCATAGCTCACTGCAGCCTCGACCTCCTGGACTCAAGTCATCCTCTTACCTCAGCCTCCCAAGTAGCTGGGACCACAGGCACGCACCACCACACCCACCCAAGAATACATCTTGGGGCCGGGCACGGTGGCTCACACCTATAATTGCAGCACTTTGGGGGGCTGAGGAGGGCGGATCACTTGAGGTGAGGCGTTTAAGACCAGCCTGGCCAATACGATAAAACATCATCTCTACTAAAAATACAAAAATCACCCAACCAATCAGAGAGCTCACTAAAATGCTAATTAGGCAAAAACAGGAGGTAAAGAAATAGCCAATCATCTATCACCTGAGAGCACAGCGGGAGGGACAATGATCGGGATATAAATCCAGGCATTCAAGCCAGCAATGGCTACCCCCTTTGGGTCCCCTCCCTTTGAATGGGAGCTTTGTTTTCTCTCTATTAAATCTTGCAACTGCAAAAAAAAAAAAAGAAAAAAAAATCAGCGGGGCCTGGTGGTATGCACCCGTAATCCCAGCTACTTGGGAGGCTGAGGCTGAGAATCATTTGAAACTGGGAGGCCAAGTTTGCGGTGAGCTGAGATCGTGCCACTGCACTCCACTCCAGCCTGAGCGACATAGCCAGACTTTGTCTTTAAATATATGTATGTATGTATGTATGTATGTATGTATGTATGTATGTATGTATATCTTGGGCCAGAGATGAGATAGGTGGCTCCCTCCTGTAATCTCAGCTACTTGGGAGGAGGCTGAAGCAGGAGGTTGAGCCCAGGACTTCAAAATCAGCCTGGGCAACATGGCAAAACCCCATCTCTATGAAAAATACCAAAATTAGCTGGGTGTGGTAGGACACCCACTCGAGCCTAGGAGGTCAAGGCTACGGTGAGCTATGATGGCACCACTGCACTTCAGCCCGGATGACAGAGCGTGACCCTGTCTCAAAAAAAAAAAAAGAGAGAGAAGAAAAGAAAATATTGTGCCTATAAGAAAAGCTTTTTAAAAATATCTGATGTGTCTGTGAGTTTCACTGTCATTGCTTGCCCATTGGGATTTAAAAAAAGGAAAAGAACAGAAAAGAAAGTAGTGCTGATAGGACGTGCTGCTGACAGAGCTGGACTATGAGAGAAAGGTAGGAGTCGGCTGGGGCAGTGGCTTATGCCTGTAATCCCAGCACTTTGGGAGGCCAAGGCAGGAGGATCATTTGAGCTCAGTAGTTTGAAACCAGCCTTGGCAACATGGTAAAATCCCATCTCTACAAAAAATTAAAAATTAGCTGAGTGTAGTGGCCCGTACCTGTGGTCCCAGGTACTTGAGGGGCTGAGGTAGGAGGATTGCTTGAGCCCAGGATGTTGAGGTTGCAGGGAGTCATGATTTTGCCAGTGTATTCCAGCCTGAGTAACAAAGCAAGACTCTGTCAAGAAAGAAAAGAAGAGGAGAGGAGAGGGAAAAGAAAGGAAGGAAGAGGGAAAGGGAGGAAGGGAGGGAGGGAGGGGAAGGAAGAAGGAAAGGAAGTAAGAAAAAAAGGAAAGGAGAAGAGAAGAGAAGGAAGGAAGGAACGAAGGAAGGAAGGAAGGAGAGAAAGAGAGAAAAAAAGGAAGGAGAGAGAGGAAGGAAGGTAGGTAGTATTTAAGTCTTATTCCAAGGTTTGGGGCCTGATCAACTGAAAGAATTGCTATCACCATGCAGGGGAAGACAGGGTAAATGGCACATTTGGGGTGTCAATCAAGACCTCAATTCCAGATGGGTTCAGTTTGAGATGCCCTGAGATGTCCTTATAGAGAAAGCAAGACAGAGAAATACCTCAGGAGTTCAGGGAGAAGGGCTGGTGTGGTGTTTATCATCACCACTGTTGCCATTTGTTTCTCTTTGCTTCTGCAAAGACCCCTCTAGAAAACAGTGTGACCTGCAGAGCTGCTGGGTGTCACTTCCTAAAACCCAGCAGTCAAAGGCAGGTGTCAGGCCGGGCGCAGTGGTTCACGCCTGTAATCCCAGCACTTTGGGAGACTGAGGCAGGTGGATCACCTGAGGTCAGGGGTTCAAGACCCACATGGCAAAACCCTGTCTTTACTAAAAATACAAAAATTAGTCAGGCATGGTTTTGGGTGCCTGTAATCCCATCTACTCAGGAGCCTGAGGCGGGAGAATTGCTTGAACCTCCGGGAGGCAGAGGTTGCAGTGAGCCAAGATTGCGCCACTGCATTCCAGCCTGGGAGACAGAGCAAGACTTCTGTCTCAATTAAAAACAAACAAACAAACCAAAAAGGCAGGTGACAGTGCTGGGGCTGTAACCTGAGGCCACAGGACTCAGCCCTGCCTCCAGGATCACCTGGCTGGGGCTATGTCCCTTGGTGCTGTCCCTCCTGTCCCCCACATCTCAGTCCGCCCTGTCCCCAAAGTTGAAGAAAGTAGAACTCACTCCCTTGAGGGACGTCTCATGTCCTGGGGTTGGAGCTAAGATTCCACATCGATGAGTTACTGTGCATCTTTCAGCTCATGTCTCCCCTCTCTGAGCCTCAGTCTCCTCCTCTGTAGAGTGGGGGTGCTATCAGTCCCATCCCCAGGAGCTCAACATGATCCAGTGAAATTAGACATGAAAAGCGACCAGCACAGAGCCTGACACACAGCGAGGATCCAATACAGGTTTCTATTTCTATGGTGTGTCCATTATGACATATTGCGTCTATCTATGATTGTGCCCTCAGCACATTTTAGTAATGGCAGCTGGTATGCAGTAAGTGCTTACTATCTGCCTGGCACCATCGGGGCATTTGACATGGAATAGCCCATTTAATCCTAACATGCTGATAACCACCTAAGGAGGTGTGTACTATTATTTATTTTATTTTGTTTTTTTTGGAGACGGAGTCCCGCTCTGTCTCCCAGGCTGGAGTGCAGTGGGATGTTCTCAGCTCACTGCAACCTCCGCCTCCGGAATCAAGCTAACTGCGACCTCTGCCTCCCGAGAATCAAGTGACTCTCCTGCCTCAGCTTCCAGAATAGCTGGCATTACAGGTGCACGCCACCATGCCCAGCGAATTTATATATATATATATTATATATATATTTTTAGACGGAGTCTTGCTCTGTCACCTAGGCTGGAGTGCAGTGGCAGGCTCTCGCCTCACTGCAAGCTCCACCTCCCGGGTTCACGCCATTCTCCTGTCTCAGACTCCTAAGCTGGGACTACAGGCGCCTGCTACCACACCCGGCTAATTTTTTTATGTTTGGTAGAGACAGGGTTTCACCATGTTGGCCAGGATGGTCTCGATCTCCTGACCTCGTGATCCACCCGCCTCGGCCTCCCAAAGTGCTGGGATTATAGGTGTGAGCCACCACGCCTGGCCTGTATTTTTACTAGAGACAGAGTTTTGCCATGTTGGCCAGGCCGGTCCCAAAGTCCTGACCTCAGGTGATCCACTCACCTTGGCCTCCCAAAGTACTGGGATTGCAGGCATGAGCCGCCACACTCGGCCTTTTTTTTTGAGATGAGGTCTCACTTTGTCACCCAGGCTGTAGTGCAGTGGAGTAATCTCGGTTCACTGCAACCTCCACCTCCCAGGTTCAAGCGATTCTTGCGCCTCCTGAGTAGCTGGGATTACAGGTGCACACCACCATACCCGGCTGATTTTTGGCATTTTTAGTGGAGACAGGGTTTCTCCATGTTGGTCAGGCTGGTCTTGAACTCCTGGCCTCAAGTGATCCACCTGTCTCGGCCTCCCAAAGTGGTAGAATTACAGGTGTGAGCCACCACGCCCGGCTGGTGTGTATTATTATTATCTCCATTTTACAAATGAGGAGACCGAGGCACAGAAGAGGATGGGCTTCACACAAGGTCACAGAGCTGCTGAACAGCACAGGTTATGGAGAAAAAGAAGACCATTCTACCCCACAACCTCAGGTGGACTACGGATGGAATAAAGACTCAGGAAAAGTAACACCATAGAATGGGCCGGGCACAGTGGCTCATGCCTATAATCCCAGCACTTTGGGAGGCCAAGGTGGGCAGATCATGAGGTCAGGAGTTCGAAACCAGCCTGGCCAATATGGTGAAACCCTGTCTGTACTAAAAATACAAAAATATTAGCCAGGCGTGGTGGCATAGCCTGTAATCCCAGCTACTCGGGAGGCTGGGGCAGGAGAATTGCTTGAGCTCAGGAGGCAGAGGTTGCCGTGAGCCGTGATCACGCCACTGCACTCCAGCCTGGGCGACAGAGCAAGATTCTGTCTCAAAATAAATAAATAAATAAATAAATAAAATAACAAAACCAAAAAACGTAGAATGAAGAAATGAAAATGGGGCCAGGCGCAGTGACTCACGCCTGTAATCCCAGCACTTTGGGAGGCCAAAGTGGGCAGATCACGAGGTCAGGAGATCAAGACCATCCTGGCTAACACGGTGAAGCCCCGTCTCTACTAAAAATACAAAAAATTAGCCATACATGGTGGCGGGCGCCTCTAGTCCCAGCTACTCGGGAGGCTGAGGCAGGAGAATGGCATGAACCTGGGAGGCAGAGCTTGCAGTGAGCCAAGATCGTGCCACTGCACTCCAGCCTGGGAGACAGAGCGAGACTCCGTCTCAAAAAAAAAAAAAAAAAAGGAAACTGTGGAAGAGTCAGGTGCGGTGGCTCACTCATGCCTGCAATCCCAGCACTCTGGGAGGCCAAAGCGTGCGGATTACTTGAGGCCAGGAGTTCAAAACCAGTCTGGACAACATGGTGAAACCCGGTCTTCACTAAAAAATACAAAAAATTAGCTAGGCATGGTGACACATGCCTCTAATCCCAGCTACTCGGGAGGCTGAGGCGTGAGAATCGCTTGAGCCTGCGAGGTGGAGGTTGCAGTGAGTTGAGATCACATCACTGCACTCCAGCATGGGTGACAGAGTGAGACTCTGTTTCAAAAAAAAAATAAAGAAAATGTGGAAGTATAAGTTTGCCATATAGGGATGAAAAGGCCTTCTTTTGTTTTGTTTTGGGAGATAGGGTCTTGCTCAGTCACCCAGGCTAGAATGCAGTGGTGTGATCATAGCTTACTGTAGGCTTGAACTCCTGGGCTCAAGTGATCCTCCCACCTCAGCCTCCTGAGTAGCTGGGACTATAGTCCAGTGCCTCCTTTTCTGGCTAATTTTTATTATTTTTTGTAGAGACAGGGTCTCATTATGTTACCCAGGCTGGTCTTGAACTCCTGGTGTCAAGCAATCCACCTGCCTCAGCCTCCCAAAGTGCTGGGATTACAGGCATGAGCTAGTGTGCCCAGCCAAGCATTCTTAATATAACTTCACAGTGAGTTCTATTATATCAAAATTAAGAATTTCCCTCCAATGAAGGATATCATGGGTGAAGCAAATTTTCCCCTGACAGAGTGGGAGGACAAATATACAATGTGTAAAACTGCACCTAGGTCATCAGGAGAGTTACATGGTTTAATAAATAGGAAGTTCTTGGAATGATGCCTGGCACATAGGAAGCTGTAGCTCATAGCTCACTGTAGCCTCGACTCCTGGGCTCAAGTGATCCTCCTGCCTCAGCCTCCCGAGTAGCTGGGACTACAGGCACACAGCACCACACCCATTTTTGTAGAGATGGAGGTCTTGCTATGTTGCCTCGGCTAGTCTCGAACTCCTGCCCTCAAGGGATCCTTTCAGCCTCAGCCTCCAAGTCACTGGGATTAGAGGCTGCAGCCACTGCACTCAGCAAAACAATGATGTTCTAACGCACACAACCTTCCCTTCTGCATGTGTTAGCTGGCATTCAAGGATGGAATTTTTTTCTTTTTTCTGTTTTTTCTTTTTCTTTTTTTTTTTTTTTTTTTGAGACGGAGTCTCGTTCTGTTGCCCAGGCTGGAGGGCAGTGGCGCAATCTCGGCTCACTGCCAGCTCCGCCTCCCGGGTTCACACCATTCTCCTGCCTCAGCCTCCTGAGTAGCTGGGACTACAGGCGCCCACCATCACACCCAGCTAATTTTTGTATTTTTAGTAGAGACGAGGTTTCACCATGTTGGCCAGGCTGGTCTCGAACTCCTGACCTTGTGATCCGCCCGCCTCACCCTCCCAATGTGTTGGGATTACAGGCGTGAGCCATTGCACCCGGCCTCTTTTTTCTTTTAAAGGAACAGAGGTAGCGCTCACATCTAAGCTGCTCACCATTGGACTTCCCAGCCTCAGCTTTTAGGCATTCCTCTTGAGCTATAAAATCGGGAAGGAGGGCTGGGCATGGTGGCTCACACCTGTAATCCCAGCACTTTTGGGAGGCCAAAGAGGGAGGATGGCTTGAGCCCAGGAGTTCAAGACCAGCTCTGTGCAACATGGTGAGACCCTGTCTCTATCAAAAAACAAACAAATGGGCCTGGCACAGTGACTCATGCCTGTAATCCCAGCATTTTGAGAGGATGAGGCAGTTGGATCACTTGAGGCCAGGAGTTCGAGACCGGCCTGGCCAACAGGATGAAACCCTGTCTCTACTAAAAATACAAAACTAGCCAGATGTGGTGGCGGGTGCCTGTAATCCCAGCTAATCAGGAGGTTGAGGCAGGAGAATCGCTTGAACCTGGGAGGTGGAGGTTGCAGTGAGCCGAGATTGCGCCATTGCACTCCAGCCTGGGCAACAAGAGTGGAACTCTGTCTCAAAACAAACAAACAGACAAACAAAGGAATAGACTGCGTGCAGTGGCTCATGCCTGTAATCCCAGCATTTCAGGAGGACGAGGCAGGTGGATCACTTGAGGCCAGGAGTTCGAGACCAGCCTGGCCAACATGGCGAAACCCCGTCTCTTTTAAAAATACAAAAAATTTAGCCGAGCATGATGGCGCACGCTGTAATCCCAGCTACTCAGGAGACTGAGGCGTGAGAATTGCTCGAACCTGAGAAGCGGAGGTTGCAGTAAGCTGAGATTGCACCACTGCACTGCAGCCTGGGTGACAGAGTGAGGCTCCGTCTCAAAAAAACAAACAAACAAACAACAACAACAACAAAAATTAGCCAGGTGTGGTGGTACATGCCTGTGGTCCCAGCTACTCGGTAGGCTAAGATGGGAGGATTACTTGAGCCTAGGAGGTGGAGGTTGCAGTGAGCTGAGATCCTGCCACTGCATTCCAGCCTGGCCAACGGAGCTAGACACTGTCTCAAAAAAAAAAAAAAAAAAATTCAGAAAGGAGGTGCCCAGTGCTGCTCTGTGTCTTGAGCAATCCCACAATCCCATCACCCCTTCTCCGGGCACTTCCTCATCAGGAAACAGGAGCCAGTTGGAGTCTGGCTCAGGACTCTGCAGCCTCAGTCATGCTGTCCCCTGGGCTCAGCATCCCGTCCTCTCCAAGTGTGCAGGGGGCAGCTTAGATGCCAGGCTCAAGCAGGGCAGGCAGCACAGTCCCACAGAGGGTACTGGCCAGCCCAGGCAACTGATTGCTCAGTGGGATGGCAGAGGTCAGCAGAACAGGAAGGGACGGACAATAGCTGTGCCTGTTGCCTGGCCTGCCACAGCAATCTCGGTGTTTGCCAGCTGGGTGGGGCTGGCTAGGCAATCCTCAGCAGCAAAGCTCAAGGTTCCATCTCCCATTTTAGTTTGCCCCTCTGCAGGTCCTGGTGGGACTGATATGCACAACATCTCACCCTGGGAACTGCAAAGAACCAGTCTTTCTATGGAGCTTGAGCAGGGTCTCAGCACTTAGAGGCTTCCAGGAACTACAGTTCCCAGAACACACAGCATTCAGCCCCAGTTGCTGTCCAAGTGGCTGGGTTTGAACTAGAACAAGGAAATCTCACTTGTCCCGGGAACTGAGCGTCCTGGCCTGGTCCAGGTGCATTTGTGACTCTTGTTTCTTGGATCTGTGTCCACCTGATAAATCCCCCTTCCTTATAAACTACATGGTCTATTTGTCCACACAGGTTTGCTGAGAACCTGCCGTGTGGCAGCCTGAGGTGGGAGTGAGGGGTTGACAAGAGAGACTCAGCCTCCACCCTCACAGTCAGATGGAGGAGACAGATCTATGAAAGGCTGGCTGGGTACCTTCTGTGACCTAGCACATAAACAAACCAACAAGCAGATAAACTATCTCACCCTTGTCTTTCATTGCATCTTGCCTTTCCACACTGATTTACTAGCTCCCACGATATTGCAGTATCCTAAAGCGTGCTGTATCTCTCTGTCCGGCTTTTGCACGCTCTGTTACCTCTACCAGGAGCACATTCAGCTTATTCACTGACGCGTCTTCAGAGGTAGGACAGAGTCTGGCACGGAGCAGTCTGGCACATTAAATATTTGATGAGTGAGTGAACGAATGAATGAATGAATGCCTTTGTCCATTGTACAGCCCAGGAAGCAGGGAAACTCGGGACCCTCCCTATTCATCTCGATCCCCCGCCCGCCCCCAGAGATTGAATGCATCTTTTTATCCGCTCCGAGGATGGCCAGGCTGGGGCAGAGGAGGCCGGGCAGGGAACTGGGTTGGGGACTGCCATTGACCCCCACCCAGGTCTCCTAAACTGTCCGCTTTCCTGGACGTCGGAAGTTCGAATCCTTTCCCCGAAACCTGGCCTAGGTCACCTGACTCCCCCGCCCCTCACCACCCAGGGCACCCGAGACTGACACTCAGCCGACAGCACGTGGTTCAGGGGCCCCAGCTTCCTTCCCATTGGCCGCTTGTCTCCTTCCTCCCTCGCGATTGGCCGGGGCCCAGCTGCAGCTCCCCCCCCTCCTCAGCCCTCCGGTGGTACAGCCAGCCGCGGCTTAGGCGGGGCGGAACGGTCCACTGCTTCGCGGCGAGGGGAGGAGTCGGGAAGAGCCGGGCGAGGCGGAGGGATCCCTCTGGAATGTTTCCGTCGGGTCCACCCGAAGCGGAAGACGCGGATTGGCTGCGAGCACCGAGAGGCAGCCGCTGATTGGCCGGCCGCGGGCGTCGGCCCCGCCCCCCAGGCGCCGCTGCGGGAGAGGCCCGGTCTGGAGTTTGCGGAGGGCCGAGCCGGGTGCGCACGGGGAGGCGGAGGCAGCGGCGGCGGCGGCGGCGGCGGCGGCGGCGGCGGAGCAGGTGAGTGGCCTCTGCGAGAAGGATGTGTCTGCTCCGGGGGCCTCGGGGGTCGCGGGCCTGCGAGGATCCGGCCGATCCTGCAGGGTGGGGCCGGCGCCGTGGACGCGACTGGAGGTCTAGGCTGCGCGCGGGGATGCCGGAGGCCCCTTCCCAGGGGAAGCGGGGGTGGGGGGTGGTGGGGGCAGCTCCCTTCCTGCTGGCGGGCAGGGGACAAACGCCTCCCAACGCTGGGCTGGGGTTTCTGGGCTTGCCCCTCCCCCCGTCCCCCGGCTGGACTGTCCCCATCCCAGCGTGGACAGGCGCGGGGTCAGTGTTTCTGACCCTTTCCTGGGCACTTCCCCTGAGCTAACCGCGTCTGAACCCTCCAGGGCCTTGGGGGGGACGCAGTGAGGACCACGGTCTGAATAATAATCGTCATGAAAAACTCCACCTCAGCTAGCATTTATTGGAGAGCTTCCGTGTCAGGCATTTACCATGAGGATAATTGACTCTAAACACCTCATGGGAGGTGCTGTGCCTTCTTGTAAAAAAGGTGAGGCAGCCTACCCAGAGAGGTGGAGTGACTTGCCCAAGGTCACACAGCTAGTAACTGGCACATCTGGGACTGGAACTCATGCCCCAGGGTCCAGAACTGGAGTCACACCCACTAGACTGGATACCAATAACTCCACGGCTCAGTTGTTGCTGAGTAGCTCCGGCCCCCTACCCCTCCCACCCCCTACCCCGTACTCATCATCAGGGCCACACCTGCTGGTCTTTTGCTTTACCAGCCACTCAAACAGGAAGCTGCCCTCCTTTCCCTTCTCCCCAGAGCTGGAGAGGGCAGGTCTAACTACCTGGGTCCAGAGAAGAGAGTGGCGTCTGCAGGGGGCCAGGATGCTGGGGTCTGGGCCCACTGGGTTCCCCCCTGGCAACCTGGGCCGAGGCTGGGAAGTAGGCGTTCTCCCCGGAAACACCCAGGAGCCGGTTTTTCAAGAGTGAATCAGAGGCCTCTTTCCCTCCTTCTCTCCAAAGCAACACTGTGCTGGAACGGGGAGCCTGGGCGTGGTTTCCCCCTTCCCCTAGCTTCTGTGTGCTCCCAGGAACCCCCTTCCCCTCCTCCTGCTGGCCACACTGCTTCTGTGTGGCCGTGGGGTTGCTAAGTTTCAGGCCCTTCCCAGGATGAGGGGGTGAGGATGCTGAAATTCCAGCCCAAACACTCAATATCCGGGCTGAAGTGGCTCTTCATCTCTGTGTTCAGGTGTGAGGGGAGCCAGGGAAAGTGGGGAGCCTAGGACAGTTGGCAACCGCACAGCAGGCATGTTTAGGGGGCTGTTTCAAGGATGGGGAGCACAGAGAGCAATCAGAACGAGGACCTGAGACACATTCATTCACTCAGTCTACAAATATTTAGTGAGCACCTGCTACGTGCATGTGCTAGGCACTGTTCTTGGCACAGAAAATGCAACAGTGAACAAAACAAAATCCCTACTTTTGAGGAGTTGGCACTCTGAAAGGAAGGAAGCAGCCAACAAACAAGTTAGCAAGTAAATAAAGAAGATAATTTCAGATGGCACTAACTGCTATGAATAAAATATGAGCGGGTGGTACTGTAGAGAGTAGTTGTGGGCAAGGGGTGCCAGCCCAGCAAAGATCAGGCAAGGGGGCCCGGGCGCGGTGGCTCACGCCTGTAATCCCAGCACTTTGGGAGGCCGAGGCGGGTGGGTTGCTTGAGGTCAGGAGTTTGAGACCAGCCTGGCCAACATGGGGAAACCCTGTCTCTACTAAAAATACAAAAATTGGCTAGGGGCATGGCTCACCCCTGTAATCCCAGCACTTTGGGAGGCTGAGACAGGTGGGTCAAGAGGTCAGGAGTTTGAGACCAGCCTGATCAACATGGTGAAACCCCCTCTCTCCTAAAAATATGAAAATTAGCTGGGTGTGGTGGCGCACGCCTGTAAGCCCAGCTACTCAGGAGGCTGAGGCAGGAGAATCGCTTGAACCCGGGAGGCGGAGGTTGCAGTGAGCTGAGATCGTGCCACTGCACTCCAGCCTGGGCTACAGAGCGAGACTCCATCTCAAAAAAAAATAAAAATAGGCCAGGCGTGGTGGCTTATGCCTGTAATCCCAGCACTTTGGGAGGCCGAGGCAGGCAGATCACCTGAGGTCAGGAGTTCAAGACCAGCCTGACCAACATGGAGAAACCCTGTCTCTACTAAAAATATAAAATAAGCTGGGCGTGGTGGCACATGCCTGTAATCACAGCTACATGGGAGGCTGAGGCAGGAGAGAATCGCTTGAACCCGGTAGGCAGAGGTTGCGGTGAGCCAAGATCGCGCCATTGCACTCCAACCTGGGCAACAAGAATGAAACTCCGTCTCAAAAATAAATAAATAAATAAAAATAAACAAATACAAAATAAAAATACAAAAATTAGCCGGATGTGGTGGTGCGTGCCTGTAATCCCAGCTACTCAGGAGGCTAGGGCAGAAGAATCGTTTGAACCCAGGAGGTGGAGGTTGCAGTGAGCTGAGATGGCGCCACTGCACTCCAACCTGGGTGACAGAGCAAGACTCCATCTCGAAAAAAAAAAAAGAGAGAGAGATGGGCAAGGCCAAGGTCTTTAGGCTGGACCAAGTTTGGAATCACATGGTTGGAGCAGAAGATGAACCCAGAGCAGCGATTCTGCAGGGGTTTGTGGGTCACAGTAAGGAGATTGCAGTTTTTCTTCCAGAAGGTGGGAAACTGTTGTAAAGTTTCAGGCAGGGCAGTGATGCCATCTGGTTTACGTTTTAAAATAGAGACATGAAGTTAAATGACAGCCTGAAGCTGGAAGACAAGAGTTCTGCCAGGGCAGCATGCAATTAAGTTCATGGGCCTGAGCCATCTGTACCACAGGGGCAGTTCCAGCATGCTGGGGCAAGCCTGGGAGGCTTCATGGAGGAGTGGGCCTGGAGTAGGTATTGGCAGGCAGAGAGGGTTGGGATATTCCTGGGCAGGGCAGGGCAGAGGAGGAGACACCCATAGTAATGACAACAGCGTCCTTAAATGGAGTCTGAGGCAGAGTGTAGATGGGATACGTGGGTAATCTCTTTGGATTTCCACAACCACCTTGAGAGTGACAGGAATTCCACCCATTTTTCAGATGAAGAAACTGAGGCCCTGTGATGTGAAGTGACTTGCCCCCCAGCCACACAGCTGGTAAGTGGCAGGGGTGGGATTTGAACCCAGGCCACGAAGCCTCTTATGGCCGTGGCAGGCAGATTCATTACTCACTCACTTTCCTCACTGCTGTTAATGCCTCCTCACGGGTGGGGACACGGAAGCTGGCATGAACCAGGGCAGTGGGGTGGGCAGAGAGAGAGAGTAAGGAGGCTGGGAATTGGTGGTCAGGATGTAGGGATCTTGGGAAAAGGAGGAAGCTTGAATCTTGGTACAGATGGCAGTAGCAAGGCCGGGTGCAGTGGCTCACGCCTATAATCCCAGCACTTTGGGAGGCCGAGGCAGGTGGATCACGAGGTCAGGGGATCGAGACCATCCTGGCTAACATGATGAAACAGCGTCTCTACTAAAAATACAAACAATTAGCTGGGCATGGTGGCGGGCACCTGTAGTCCCAGCTACTCGGGAGGCTGAGGCAGGAGAATGGCGTGAACCCGGGAAGCAGAGCTTGCAGTGAGCTGAGATCGTGCCACTGCACTCCAGCCTGGGCAACAGAGCGAGACTCCGTCTCAAAAAAAAAAACAAAAGATGGCAGTAGCAGTAATTGTCACCAATATTTATGCAACCCTTATTGTGTGCCAGGACTGTTCCAAGCACATGCATGATTTCCTTGGAGCTCAGAGAGGTTAAGACCCTTGCCCAAAGTCACACAGCTATTAAGAGATGAAGCCAGGTTCCAGATTCATGTTTTTAGTTTCCTGCCTCCCAGTGCGTAGAGCTGGCGGAATTGGAGGGATGATGAGGGGTCTTTTCTTTTTTCTTTTTTTTGAGATGGAGCCTCACTCTGTCACCCAGGCTGGAGTGCAGTGGCACGATCTTGGCTCACTGCAAACTCCACCTCCCGGGTTCATGCCATTCTCCTGCCTCAGCCTTCCGAGTAGCTGGGACTGCAGGCGCCCGCCACCACGCCTGGCTAATTTTGAAAATATATGGCTGGGCGTGGTGGCTCATGCCCACCTCGGCCTCCCGGAGTGTTAGGATTACAGGCGAGAGCCACCACACCCGGCCGACACTGATTTTTCTTTCCAGCGAGGTCAGAGCCCGGGGAGGGGTCAGAGCAGAGACAAATGCGACATGACTTATGTTTTACAGGACCATTCTGGCTGCTGTCTGGACAAGAAGTCGTAGGGGGTGAGGGTGGAAGCTGGGAAACCCACAGGAGGCAACCACACTAGTTTAGGTAAGTGATCATGGAGATGGACCAGGTGAGATGAGAGGGTGTGTTAGGGGACAGACGAATGGATGCATGAACAAATGGATACATGAGACTAGGTGCAGGCTGGGTGCAGTGGCTCACACCTCTAATCCCAGCACTCTGGGAGGCCAAGGTGGGCGAATCACCTGAGGTCAGGAGTTCCAGACCAGCCTGGTCAACATGGAGAAACCCCATCTCTACTAAAAATACAAAAATTAGCCAGGTGTGGTGGCACGCACCTGTAATCCCAGCTACTCAGGAGGCTGAGGCAGGAGAATCGCTTGAACCTGGGAGGTGGAGGTTGCAGTGAGCCGAGATCGCGCCATTGCACTCCAGCCTGGGTGACAGAGTGAGAGTTCATCTCAAAAAAAAAAAAGATTGGATGCGGCCAAGCTGAATCCAGCATGGCCCCCTGGAAGAGACCATTGGATAGGAGGCACCAGGAAGTCCCTTTTACATAAGAAAATATAGGCTGAGCGCAGTGGCTCACACCAGCCTTCTTTGGCTCACACCATGTTGGCCAGGCTGGTCTCAAACTCCTGACCTCAGGTGATCCACCCGCCTCGGCCTCCCAAAGTGTTGGGATTACAGGCGGGAGCCACCGTCCCTGCACCCGGCCTAACTAATGTATTTTCTTTCTTTCTTTCTTTCTTTTTTTTTTTTTTTGAGATGGAGTCTCGCTCTGTCACCCAGGCTAGAGTGCAGTGGCATGATCTCGGCTCACTGCAAGCTCCGCCTCCCGAGTTCACGCCATTCTCCTGCCTCAGCCTCCCGAGTAGCTGGGACTACAGGTGTGTGCCACCACGCCCAGCTAATTTTTTTTGTATTTTTAGTAGAGACGGGGTTTCACTGTGTTAGCCAGGATGGTCTCGATCTCCTGACCTCGTGATCCACCCGCCTTGGACTCCCAAAGTGCTGGGATTACAGGCGTGAGCCACCACACCTGGCCTTTTTTTTCTTTTTGAGACAGAATTTCGCTCTTATTGCCCAGGCTGGAGTGCAATGGCACTGTCTCAGCTCACCTCAACCTCTGCCTCCCAGGTTCAAGCGATTCTCCTGCCTCAGCCTCCCTAGTAGCTGGGATTACAGGCATGTGCCACTACACCCAGCTAATTTTGTATTTTTAGTAGAGATGGGGTTTCTCCATGTTGGTCAGGCCAGTCTCGAACTCTCGACCTCAGGTGATCCGCCTGCCTCTGCCTCCCAAAGTGCTGGGATTACAGGCGTGAACCACCGTTCCTGGCCTAACTAATGTATTTTCTTTTTTTTCTTTTTGAGACTGAGTCTCTCTCTGTTGCCCAGGCTGGAGTGCAATGGCACGGTCTTGATTCACCGCAACCTCCACCTCCCAGGTTCAAGCAATTCTCCTGCCTCAGCCTCCCCAGTAGCTGGGATTACAGGTGCCCACCACCGTGCCTGGCCTAATTTTTTGTAATTTTAGTAGAGACGGGGTTTCACCATGTTGGCCAGGCTGGTCTTGAACTGCTGACCTCGTGATCCGCCCGCCTCGGCCTCCCAAAGTGCAGGGATTACAGGTGTGAGCCACTGCACCTGGCCAACTACTGTAAGTTCTGGAGAACTAATCCGGGCTCTTGAGAGCAAGCACTCATTGCTTCCAGAGCTACTTCAAGCCATTCAGGAGAGATCTGGCCCCATAACACAGACACCTCCCACTAGGCCCCACCTCCCAACACCGCACCACCACTTTGGGGATCAAATTTTAGCATGAGTTTCTTTTTTTTTTTTTTTCTCCTTGCCATGTTTCACATTTAATAAGATTCTGTCACTTTAATACATAAAACCCTTTGAAATCAATGTCAACCAGGAAAATTCATGTTAGAAAAAATTGGAATGAGAGCTAATATTGTATATTCAGAACATCTGAAAAAACATTTTTGACTATTACAAAAGTTTATTTAACAAAAAGTCTAATATGAAAATGTACATGACCTAATTTTTACATCATAGTAAAACAGGCCCTATGGAGAGAGGACATGGGTTTCTCTGCTGAACAGCCATTATTTATACTCATTCCAAGGCTTCTAACATGATGATACTATTTCCTCGTATTTCCACCATTCCAATATTTTTCTGTTGTCCACTAGTCGCCATCTCCACACATTCATCTATCACAAGGTTCATAAAGGGATCAAATCCCCGCAATATTCCTTGGACATGTCTGCCACCATTTAATTTCAATGAAAACTTCTTGTCCGTAAATTTTTTCAACTCAGGAGGGTGAGCTTTGCTCATGGTGTATACTCCATGGGCTCACAGATGCCTTGGAACAGAACGCACGGCTTCCCTCACGCTACCGCGGTAGGCCCAGCATCTTGTGCCTGGCGTCATCGACCTCGTTAGCCAATCGATTGTTCGAGCATGAGTTTCAATGGGGCAAACCTTATCCAAACCATAGCAGGCTGGGTGTGGTAGCTCATGCCTATAATCCCAGCACTTTGGAAGGCCAAGGCGGGAGGATTGCTTGAGCCCAGGAGTTCAGGACCAATCTGGGCAACGTAGTGAGACCCGTCTCTACAAAAAATAAAAATTAGCTGGGCATGGCTGTGAACACCTGTAGTCTCAGCTATTCAGGAGGTTGAGACAGGAGGATTGCTTGAGCCCAGGAATTTGAGGCTGTAGTGAGCTGTGATCACATCACTCCACTGCAGCCTGGACGACAGAGTGAGACCCCATTAAAAAAAAAAAATCAGGAAAACATAGCAACCTGTTACCTCCCTGCCCTCATGTTCTCACTATCCCCCCTTCACTCACTGTTCCAACCCCCCAGGCCTCCTCACTGTTCCTCAAACATGCCAATTGCATGCCCAGTTCAGGGCTTGGCTTTTCTTTCTTTTTTTTTTTTTTGTTTAGACCGAGTCTCGCTCTGTCGCCCAGGCTGGAGTGCAATGGCGTGATCTCAGCTCACTGCAACCTCAGCCTCAGGAGTAGCTGGGATTACAAGCATGCACCACTACGCCCAGCTAATTTTTGTGTTTTTAGTAGAGATGAGGTTTGCATGCACCACCATACCTGGCTAATTTTTGTATTTTTAGTAGAGACGGGGTTTCACCATGTTGGTCAGGCTGGCCTCAAACTCCTGACCTCATGATCCGCCTGCCTTGGCCTTCCAAAGTGCTGGGATTACAGGCATGAGCCACCGCGCCTGGCTAGGGCTTTTCTTTGTTTTTTTGAGATGGAGTCTCGGTTTGTCACCCAGGCTGGAGTGCAGTGGTGTGATCTCGGCTCACTGCAACCTCCGCCTCCTGCATTCAAGTGATTCTCCCACCTCAGCTTCCCGAGTAGCTGGGATCACAGGTGTGCACCACCACGCCCACCTGTGTATTGTATTTTTAGTAGAGATGGGGTTTTGCCATGTAGGCCAGGCTGGTCTCAAACTGCTGACCTCATGTGATCCGTCAACCTCAACCTCCCAAAGTGCTGGGATTACAGGCTTGAGCCACCATGCCCAGCCCCAGCTCAGGGCCTTTCTACTGGCTGTTCTCTCTACTTGGGACGTTCTTGCCCCAAATCATTGCATGAATGCTTCCTCCTGTGGTTCAGGTCTCAAGTTCAGCTTCACGTGCTCAGAGACGCCCTCACTGATCTTGTCTATAGAACTTGTCTTGCTTTGTCTCCATATCACTATTAAAAATTATATGAGGCTGGGCACAGTGGCTCATGCCTATAATCCCAGCTCGTTAGGAGTCCATGGCAGGAGGATTACTTGAGCCCAGGAGTTTGAGACCAGCCGGGACAACATAGCAAGACCCTGTCTCTAAAAAATAAAAATAAAAAAATTAGCAGGGCATGGTGGCAAGCACCTGTGGTCCCAGCTACTCAAGAGGCTGGGGCGGGAGGATCACTTGAGCCCAGGAGGGCAAGGGTGCAGTGAGCTCTGATTGCACCACTGCACCTCAGCCTTGGCAACACAGCAAGACTCTGTCAAAAAAAAAAAGGAAAATAAAGGAAAAAATTTATATTAGACATTTACACATTTCCCTGCTCCCTGTGCATTTCCTCTTCCGGACTGTCCACTTCTGGAGGTCATGTGCAGAGCCCCAGCTAGCCTATATAGCATCTGTGAGTGAATTAGAAAGACATCTCTTCGGCCGGGTGCAGTGACTCATGCCTGTAATCCCAGCACTTTGGGAGGCTGAGGCGAGCGAATCACGAGGTCAGGAGTTCGAGACCAGCCTGGCCAACGTAGTGAAACTCCGTCTCTACTAAAAACACAAAAAAAATTAGCCGGGCATGGTGGCGTGCACCTGTAGTCCCAGCTACCTGGGAGGCTGAGGCAGGAGAATTGCTGGAACCTGGGAGGCGGAGCTTGCAGTGAGCCAAGATTGCACCACTGCACTCCAGCCTGGGCAACACAGAACAGACTCTGTCTCAAAAAAAAAAAAAGAAAGAAAGAAAAAAAAGAAAAAAAGAAAGGCATCTCTTCCTCCTGGCAGACACCACACCAAGAAATATAGCTTGGCAGGCAGTGCACAGACCGAATTTCAGTCCTACTTGCCACCTTGGTCTAGTAATTTTGCACAGTACACAACTTGTGTAACTGAACATGGTGGCCCTAGTCAGGGATCTTGCTTTTTTTATTGAAGACAGTATCTAAAATGGTGCACAGAATACAGTAAGTACTAAAAAGAAAAAAAAAATTGTTTGAAGGGAGGGGAGAATGGAGAAAGAGAGAAATAAAGAAGCGGGCCGGGCGCGGTGGCTCATGCCTGTAATCCCAGCACTTCAAGAGGCTGAGGCGGGTGGATCACTTGAGGTCAGGAGTCTTCTGTAGTCACAGCTACTTGGGAGGTTGAGGCAGGTGAATCGCTTGAACCCAGGAGGCGGAGGTTGCAGTGAGCTGAGATCGCACCACTGCACTGCTGCTTGGGTGACAGAGCAAGACTCTGTCTCAAAAAAAAAAAAAAAAAGAAAGAAAGAAAGCAAGAAAGAAACAGAAAAAAAATGTATGTGGTGTAGAAAACAACCCCAAAAGTCTTAGTGGCTGAATTCAGCAAAGATTTGCTTTTTCTTCCTGCTACACTTCCATTGCGGCTCAGCAGGGGGCACCATTCACCGTAGTCATTCAGGGCCCGGCCTCATAGAGTCGCCACCATATCAAATGTGGCTCATCACCCTGCCTGGGAAAGATAGATCTCTGGAGGCTCCAGCACTTAAATGCCTCAGCCCAGAAATGTCATGTGCCACTTCCTCTCACAACCTATTTGCCAGAAATAATCATTTATCTGCCCAGTCACAAGGAGGCCAGGAAGTGCCATCCACCTGTTTGGTCCAAAGGGGGAGAGTCAGAAATTTTTTGCACACAGTGTTAGTGACTGTGGCTGAGAGGAAAATAGAAGCGTAGTCGCTTTCAGCCTCCATTTTCTCATCTGTTCAATGGGCATAATTGTAGCATAACGTGATCCCTGTGTTACAGTGTGGTGTGAGGGTTAAGGAAGGTCACAGGCCGGGCACGGTGGCCCATACCTGTCATGCCAGAGCTTTGGGAGGCCAAAAGCTCCTTGAAGCCAGGAGTTCCAGACCAGCCTGGGCAACAGAGAAAGATCACCTCCTTGCCAGGCGCAGTGGCTCACGCCTGTAATCCCAGCACTTTGGGAGGCCGAGGCAGGCGGATCATGAAGTCAGGAGATCGAGACCATCCTTGCTAACGTGGTGAAACCTCGTCTCTACTAAAAATACAAAAAATTAGCTGGGCATGGTGGCGGGCACTTGTAGTCCCAGCTACTCCGGAGCCTGAGACAGGAGAATGGCGTGAACCCTGGAGGTGGAGCTTGCAGTGAGCCGAGATCGCGCCACTGTACTCCAGCCTGGGTGACATAGTGAGACTCTGTCTCAAAAAAAGAAAAAAAAGAACTCCTTTCTCTCTCTCTCCCTCTCTCTGTCTCTCTCTCTCTCTCTCTCTCTCTCTCTCTCTCTCTCTATATATATATATATATATTTGTTTATTTATTTATTTATTTATTTTTTGAGACGGAGTCTATCTCTGTCACCCAGGCTGGAGTGAGTGCATTGGCACGATCTCTGCTCACTGCCAACCTTCGTCTCCTGGGTTCAAGCAATTCTCCTGCCTCAGCCTACCCAGTAGCTGGTACTACAGGCGTCTGCCACCATGCCCAGCTAAGTTTTGTACTTTTAGTAGAGATGTGGTTTCACCATGTTGGCCAGGCTGGTCTCGAACTCCTGACCTCAAGTGTTCTGCTCACAGCCTCCCAAAGTGCTGGGATTACAGATGTGAGCCATCGCACCAGGCCTACAATAAAATTTAAAAAAAAAATAGTCGGGTGTGATGGTACATGCCTGTAGTTCTAGCCACTTGGGAGGCTGAGAATGGAGGATGGCTTGAGCCCAGGAGGTTAAAGCTGCAGTGAGCCATTATCGTGATCACCCCACTGCACTCCAGCCTGGGGACAGAGCAATAAGAGACCCTGACTCTTTTATTTATTTATTTTTATTATTTTTTTTTGAGACTGAGTCTTGCTCTGTTGCCCAGGCTGGAGTGCAGTGGTGCAATCTCAGCTCACTGCAATCTCTGCCTCCCAGGTTCAAGCGATTCTCTCGTCTCAACCTCTCGAGTAGCTGGGATTACAGACGCCCGCCACCACGGCCAGCTAATTTTTGTATTTTTAGTAGAGACGGGGTCTCACCATGTTGGCCAGGCTGATCTCCAACTCGTGACCTCAGGTGATCTGCCCACCTCAGCCTCCCAAAGTGCTGGGATTACAGGCGGGCACTATGGCTCATTCCTGTACTCCCAGCACTTTTGAGAGGCCGAGGCAGGAGGATTGCTTGAGTCTAGGAGTTTGAGATCACTCTGGGCAACATATTGAGACCCCTCATCTCTGCAAAAAGTGTTTTTTGTTTTTTGTTTTTTGTTTTCTGTTTTTGAGATGGAGTGTCATTCTGTCACCCAGGCAATGGCACGGTCTCAGCTCACTGCAACCTCCGCCTCCCAGGTTTCAGGCAATTCTCCTGCCTCAGCCTCCTGAGTAGCTAAGACTACAGGCACATGCCACCACACCCGGCTAATTTTTGTGTTTTTTTGGTAGAGACAGGGTTTCACTATGTTGGCCAGGCTGGTCTTGAATTCCTGACCTCGTGATCCACCCGCCTCAGCCTCCCAAAGTGCTGGGATTACAGGCATGAGCCACCGCACCCGGCCTGCAAAAAGTTTTAAAACGTCAGCTGAGCATTAGGCACAGTGGTTCACGCTTTTAATCCCAGCGCTTTGGGAGGCTGAGGTGGGCGGATCACTTGAGGTCAGGAGTTCAAGACCAGCCTGGCCAACTTGGTGAAACCCCATCTCTACCAAAAATGTAGAAATTACCCCGGTGTGGTGGCACAGACATGTAATCCCAGCTTCTTGGGAGGCTGAGACAAGAGAATCGCTTGTACCCGGGAGGCAAGAGATTGCAGTGAGTGAGCTGAGATTGCACCACTGCACTCCAGCCTGGGCAACGGAGTGAGACTCAGTCTCAAAAAAAAAAAAAAAAAAAGAGTCAGGGTCTCTTCTTCAAGAATCACTTGAACCTGAGAGGCAGAGGTTGCAGTGAGTCAAGATCACACCGTTGCAATCCAGCCTAGGGGACAGAGTGAGACTCCATCTCAAAAAAATAAAATAAAGGTTAGCTGAGCTTCATGGCATGTGCCTATGGGCCCAGCTATTTGAGAGACTGAGGTGTGAGGATCCCTTGAGCCTGGGAGATCAAGGCTGCAGTGAGCTTTAATTATACCACTGCACTCCAGTCTAAGTGACAGAGCAAGACCCTGTCACAACAACAAATGAAACACACAAGGAAGGTCACAAAGCAATAATCCTAGCTGGTATTATTATTATTATTATTATTATTATTATTATTATTATTATTATTATTATTGAGACAGAGTCTTGCTCTTTTGCCCAGGGTGGAGTGCAGTGGTGTGATCTTGGCTCACTGCAACCTCTGCCTCCTGGGTTCAAGCAATTCTTATGCCTCACCCTCTTGAATCACTGAGATTACAGACATGCGCCACCATGCCTGGCTAATTTTTTTGTGTTTTTGGTAGGGATGGGATTTCGACATGTTGGTCAGGCATCTCGAACTCCTGACCTCAAGTGATCCTCCCGTCTCAGCCTCCCACAGTGCTGGGATTACAGGTGTGAGCTTTTTATTTTATTTTATTTTATTTATAGACGGAGCCTTAGTCTGTCACCCAGGCTAGAGTGCAGTGGTGCGATCTTGGGTCACCGCAACCTCCACCTCTCCAGTTCAAGCTATTCTTGTGCCTCAGCCTCCCAAGTAGCTGGGATTACAGGTGCACACCACCACACCCGGCTAATTTTTATATTTTTAGTAGAGGTGGGGTTTCACCATGTTGGCCAAGCTGGTTTCAAAGTTTTGACCTCAAGTGATCCGCCCACCTCAGCCTTCCGTAGTGGTGGGATTACAGGCGTGAGCCACCGCACCCAGCCCTATTATTACTTTTATATAAGTGTCCTGTCACTATACAAGAGATGAGGATTTCAACCGAGGCCAATTTGTTCTCTGAGTATTTCCTTGGGCCTGTATGGTTCGAGTAGTGTGGGAGGGGCACCCAAGGCCTCTGCCCAGGCCCTGAGCCCCACTTCCTGTCCTGCAGATCTTCTGGTGACCCCACTTCTCGCTGCTCATGCCGCTGGGACTGGGGCGGCGGAAAAAGGCGCCCCCTCTAGTGGAAAATGAGGAGGCTGAGCCAGGCCGTGGAGGGCTGGGCGTGGGGGAGCCAGGGCCTCTGGGCGGAGGTGGGTCGGGGGGCCCCCAAATGGGCTTGCCCCCCCCTCCCCCAGCCCTGCGGCCCCGCCTCGTGTTCCACACCCAGCTGGCCCATGGCAGTCCCACTGGCCGCATCGAGGGCTTCACCAACGTCAAGGAGCTGTATGGCAAGATCGCCGAGGCCTTCCGCCTGCCAACTGCCGAGGTATCCACTGGGGAGCCGGGCACCAGGGTCCCTGATGGTGGACCAGAGGTCTGGGCCTGCATCCTGTTCATGAGCTGGGGCTCAGATGCTGAAGCTGCAGATGCTGAGCCTGGGCCCCACTCAGTGGTGGGGGCCAATGGCCTGGGCTGGATGCTGAGTCCCCATGAGGCACTGGGAGGCTTGTGCCCCTGTGAATTGTGGGGAACTGGAGGCCAGGGCTGGATGCTGAGTTCCCATCAGGCACTGGGAGACCTGTGCCCCAGTGGATTGTGGGAGCTGATGGCCAGGGCTGCATGCTGACATCCCATCAGGCATTAGGAGGGGTGTACCCCCAGTAGATTGTGCAAGACTAGGGGTGGATGCTGAGTTCCCAACAGGCACTGAGAGACCTGAGCTCCAATGGACTGTGGGAGGCCAGGGCTGGATGGATTGATTGGATGGATGGATTGAGAGGCCTGCATCCCAGTCGATTGTGCAAAACTGACGACCAGGGCTGGACGCTGAGTTCCCATCAGGCGTTGGGAGGCCTGCACCCCAGTAGATTGTGGGGAGCTGATGGCCACAGTTAAATGCTGAGTTCCCATCAGACACTGAGAGGCCTGCACCTCTACAGACTGTGGGAGCTGATGGCCAGGGCTGGATGCTGAGTTCCTGTCAGGCATTGGGAGGCCAGTGCCCCATGAGATGGTGGAGGCTAGAGGCCAGATACGAGATGCACTTCTCCGTGATGCCTTGGAGAAACTCAACGCTGTGGGAGGCAGGCTTGCCTGGTGCCAAGCACTGTGGGGATAGATGGGAGGGGGTCAAGGAGGGCAATAGTGGGTTTGAGCAAGAAGTAGACGCAGGGGTCTCCCTAAGTGGGATGAGTTTCTGTGTCCTCCACAAGCATTTCCTGAGCACTCACTGTGTGCCAGGCTCCGTTCCCTGAAAGCAGCAATGAATTTTTTTTTTTTTTTTTTTTTTTTTTTTGAGATGGAGTCTTGCTCTGTCACCAGGCTGGAGTGCAGTGGCACGATCTTGGCTCTCTGCAACCTCCACCTCCTGGGTTCAAACCATTTTCCTGCCTCAGCCTCCCGAGTAGCTGGGATTACAGGCGCCCGCCACCAGACCCAGCTAATTTTTGTATTTTTAGTAGAGACAGGATTTCACCATGTTGGCCAGGTTGGTCTCGATCTCCTGACCTCGTGTTCTGCCCACCTCGGCCTCCCAAAGTGCTGGGATTACAGGCGTGAGCCACCGCACCTGGCACAGCAATGAATTTTTGCTAGGACCGAAATCCTAGCTGGGTACAGTGGTGCACACCTATAGTCCCAGCTACTTGGGAGGTTGAGATGGGGGGATCACTGGAGCTCAGGAGTTCCAGGCCAGCCTGGGCAACATAATGAGGCTCCCATCTCTAAAAAAAATTATTTTAACTATGTGGGTGTGGTGGCACGTGTCTGTGGTCCCAGCTACTCGGGAGACTGAGACAGGAGGATCACTTGAGCCCAGGAGTTGGAGACCAGCCTGTGCAACATAGTGAGACCCCATATCTCCACAAAAAATACAAAAATTAGCCAGGCATGGTGGCGAGCACCTGTAGTTCCAGCTACTTGGGAGGCTGAGGTGGGAGGATTGCCGGAATCTGGGAGGTTGTGGCTGCAGTGACTATGATGGCACCACTGCACTCCAGCCTGGGTGACAGAGCAAGACCCTGTCTCAAAAAGAGAAAGGAAAACTAAATCCTAGTCCTAGCAGAGCTGACACGCTAATGTGGGCCCTGCTGTGGCCCTGGCTCAGGCTCAGTGGGTGATGAGTTACTGGGATGGAATCCCCCTAGTCCTCTCCCAGCTCTCTCCCTTCGCCCTCCAGTGGTGATTAGAAAAGGGGGAGGGAGGGGGAAGAGGTTTCAGCGTCTCCCACCCCTGCAGGTGATGTTCTGCACCCTGAACACCCACAAAGTGGACATGGACAAGCTCCTGGGGGGCCAGATCGGGCTGGAGGACTTCATCTTCGCCCACGTGAAGGGGCAGCGCAAGGAGGTGGAGGTGTTCAAGTCGGAGGATGCACTCGGGCTCACCATCACGGACAACGGGGCTGGCTACGCCTTCATCAAGGTGCCTGGGGAGACGGGGCACCCCGGAGGCCTGGGAGTGAGGGTGGGCCATGGGACCCCGGAAACCAGGGCAGAGCCCCAAGGGCTGATGACTCCCCGCCCCCGCAGCGCATCAAGGAGGGCAGCGTGATCGACCACATCCACCTCATCAGCGTGGGCGACATGATCGAGGCCATTAACGGGCAGAGCCTGCTGGGCTGCCGGCACTACGAGGTGGCCCGGCTGCTCAAGGAGCTGCCCCGAGGCCGTACCTTCACGCTGAAGCTCACGGAGCCTCGCAAGGCCTTCGGTGAGGAGCCGCCCCCTGGACCTCCCCAGTGGCGCTGCTCGCATGGGCGCAGGCGGTGGTGCCGGGAGCGGCCAGCAGGTGGCGCCCAAGCCTGGCCTGCCGAAAGGGAAGGGGTTGCAGAAAGGGAAGGGGTTGCAGCTCCTCCCGACCCCAGACGGGGTGCTGGCCCTTGGCCCAGCCTGGGAGAAGGGCGGGGGCGAGGAGGAAGTTGCCCTCACACCTAGCTTCCAGGGGCCATTAGCCCAGCCAAGCGCCCTCAGCCCTGGCCAGCCCCCTATCCCCAACAGGCCAGGCTTGACTGCTCAGTGCCAGCCCCCCCACTTTTCCATCTGGCTTCACTAACTCTCAGGAATGGGCCCCAGGCCCCTGAGGTGGGGGTGGGGGACTAAATCACTTCCCTGGGCAGGTAGGGCTGGTCTGTGGCCCAGCAGCCATACCCCCTTGGCCAAGAGGAGACGGACTCAGGCAGCTGGAGACTCAGGCTGGGGTACACCTGCTTCCTGTCCCCCAGCCCCTGGGAGCAGAAGTGGCCCCTCCAGTCTCCCCTCCAGCATTTCCTATTCCTGGCCCCCAGCTGTTCCCCCTGCTCTGCCCCACATCCATGCCAGGCCTGAGTCAGGATTCCTGCCCTCCTGGGATCACCCCGGCCCCAGCCCCCAGAAACTTGCAGAAGCCTGGAGAAGTTTGGGGTGGTGGTGAAAGCCAGGAAGGACAAGTTCCTGCCCAGAACGTGCTAAAACCAAGCTTCCCCCACACTCACTCCTCTCCTGCCTCCCACAGACATGATCAGCCAGCGTTCAGCGGGTGGCCGCCCTGGCTCTGGCCCACAACTGGGCACTGGCCGAGGGACCCTGCGGCTCCGATCCCGGGGCCCCGCCACGGTGGAGGATCTGGTGAGTGCTCCAGCCGGACCCTATCTCCGGCATCCCTTCCCTTTCTTTTTTTTTTTTTTGAGACAGAGTCTCACTCTTGTCACCCAGGCTGGAGTGCAGTGGTGCAATCTCGGCTCACTGCAACCTCTGCCTCCCAGGTTCAAGCGATACTCCTGCCTCAGCCTCCCAAGTAGCTGGGATTACAGGTGCCCACCACCATGCCCAGCTGATTTTTGTATTTTTAGTAGAGATGGGGTTTCACCATGTTGGCCAGGCCAGGAGTTGGTCTCGAACTCCTGACATCAGGTGATCCAGCCTCCTTGGCCTCCCAAAGTGCTGGGATTATAGGCATGAGCCACCGCGCCCAGCCCTCCCTTCCTTTTCATAACCGGCAGCATTACCTGTTAGCTGAGGGGACTCTGGGCAGACAGCCTGGATTCTAGTCCACTTCTGCCACTTCCCAGCTCCCAGGGACCTTCCTTGGGCACATGGGCCGCAGTTTGCCCATCAGTAAAATGGGGATGAGCTGAACACCGATACCACCTTCTCAGGGTTGTCCTGAGGTCTAAATACGAATATATGTAAAGTGGTGACAATGGCAGTCCGTCCAATTACTATGTATATTCACATTGTTATGATGTCGCTGTCACCCCTCCCTGGCCCCCAGCCCTCTGCCTTTGAAGAGAAGGCCATTGAGAAGGTGGATGACCTGCTGGAGAGTTACATGGGTATCAGGGACACGGAGCTGGGTGAGTGAGGGCTGCCTGGGGGAGGGGGCATCTAGGTCTGCTGGGGGCCGAATCCACCCTGAGCCCCTTGGTCCCTGGTGTCATTTGTGCCTCCGTTCTGACCCCTCCCCCAATAGCGGCCACCATGGTGGAGCTGGGAAAGGACAAAAGGAACCCGGATGAGCTGGCCGAGGCCCTGGACGAACGGCTGGGTGACTTTGCCTTCCCTGACGAGTTCGTCTTTGACGTCTGGGGCGCCATTGGGGACGCCAAGGTCGGCCGCTACTAGGACTGCCCCCGGACCCTGCGATGATGACCCGGGCGCAACCTGGTGGGGGCCCCCAGCAGGGACACTGACGTCAGGACCCGAGCCTCCAGCCTGAGCCTAGCTCAGCAGCCCAAGGACGATGGTGAGGGGAGGTGGGGCCAGGCCCCCTGCCCCGCTCCAATCGGTACCATCCCCTCCCTGGTTCCCAGTCTGGCCGGGGTCCCCGGCCCCCCTGTGCCCTGTTCCCCACCTACCTCAGCTGGGTCAGGCACAGGGAGGGGAGGGATCAGCCAAATTGGGCGGCCACCCCCGCCTCCACCACTTTCCACCATCAGCTGCCAAACTGGTCCCTCTGTCTCCCTGGGGCCTTGGGTTCTGTTTGGGGGTCATGACCTTCCTAGTTTCCTGACGCAGGGAATACAGGGGAGAGGGTTGTCCTTCCCCCCAGCAAATGCAATAATGCCCTCACCCCTCCTGAGAGGAGCCCCCTCCCTGTGGAGCCTGTTACCTCCGCATTTGACACGAGTCTGCTGTGAACCCCGCAACCTCCTCCCCACCTCCCATCTCTCCTTCCAGGCCCATCCCTGGCCCAGAGCAGGAGGGAGGGAGGGACGATGGCGGTGGGTTTTTGTATCTGAATTTGCTGTCTTGAACATAAAGAATCTATCTGCTGTTGGACCTGTGTGGCTTCGGGGTGGGAGAGGGGGAAGATTGGGGCTGAGAAAGAATTCAGCAGCTGAAATCCATCTTCCGCAGGCTCCAAATTGAATTAGGAGCTGGCACCAAGCCACCTGCCCCCTCCCACTGTTCCTTCTGGCTGCAGGCCACCAGGCTTCCAGGCAGGGCCAGAGCTTCCTGGACTACTGAGGGTTCAAATCCTGCCCCCTCTCCCACAAGGCCTCCTACCCCCTGGAGCTTCACAAGGCTGCTGTCTGCAGCTGGTGACAACCCCCGGACCGTGGGGAGCACCAGGGCATTGAAACCTGGCTTGGAAATAGAAAGATGGAACCTCAGGCCTGCCAGAGCCCCACCCCTACACCGGGAGGTTGGGGGCAGGCGTGAGGCAGCCCCCACCCCACCCGGCCCAATGCTGGACACGCAGGCGTCCATGGGGCACCCTGCTTTGTCCTAGACATAAACCCAGCATACTTGTTTTGACAACCCACTCATCTTCGAGGATTGAGGGTGATCAGGGAAAGGCGGGGTGGGACCCTGGCCAGACCTGGAGGGAAGGGAAGGGATTGAAGCAAGGGGCGCTGGGCCAGAAGGCCCCACAGGAATGCTTGGGGGTGAGCCGAGAGGCTGTGGGGAAGTCCGAGGCCAGCTTGCAATCCTCGTTCCAAAAGGCGGGCGGGCACTGGGCCACCAGGAAGAGGGGAAGGGGGAAAAGGGGAAGACCCTGGGGGCTGGGTGTTGGTGGACAGACCCGGGTGGAGTCGGGGAGCCGCAGTCCTGGTGACTCAGGGCATCCCCGGGCACCTGTGGGCTCCTCAGGTGTCTGTGCTGGGAGCCGCTTGCGGTGGTGAAGGGGTGTGGCTATGTGTGTCTCGGGTGTTGGGTAGCACTGTGAGTCTATCAAGAGTGTTGATGGCTCGTGACGCAATGAGGGAGGGCTGTGTCGTGGGTAAGGGATGTGATAACCGGCTCTGTGTTCCAGGGCAATTGCAGGTGTAACTGGCAGTGTCTGGTGGTGGGGAGTGCAACGGAGTGACTGTGTCTTGGGGTGTCCCGGGGTGTGGGGGTGTGTGTCTTAGGGTGCTGTTTCTGGGGCAAGGAGGGGTGCTTGGCTAGGCCTTGGGGTGTTCAGGGGTGTCAGGGTATGTCTCGGGGTGTTGCTGTTTCCTGGGTGGGGGTGCTGGCTAGGTCTAGGGGTCTCTAGGGGTGCAGGTGTGTGTGTCTCAGGGCGTTGCTGTTTCTGGGTGAGGGTGGGGGTGGCCAGCTAGGTCTCTGGTGTCCAGCGGCGGGGGGTGTCACTTCTTGTGCCTTGGGTGTACGGAGTGTGCTGGTGGGGCCTGTCTGGGATTGTTGAGGGGTCATTGAAAGTCAAACAGAGTGTGGTCAGGGGCAGTTTTGGCAATAAGGAGTGTGTGTGCGTGTGTGTATCTCTCGGGGTGCCAAGTGAGACCCTATTTCCCAGCACTAAGGAGGGTGGTTCGGGTGATCATCTCAGAGGGCTGCATTTTGGGGTGTTGGGAGGGGCTGGAATTGAGGCAGTAACTCTGGGTGCGTCCCGGCGCTGGGGGTAAGACCCTGAGTTCAGGGATGTGGCGGCAGCAACCTGGCTGTGCTGAGATGGGGACAGGATGAAACTGAGTGGTAAGTGACAGGATTGTATGTCTTAGGGTGTGAGGCTGTGCCAGTGTGACCCTACTTCTCAGGGCAGGAGGCGAGTCTTTGTGTCTTAGGACGTGTGTCACAGGTGTCACTCAGCCCATCTTAAAGGAGCCAGTCACTGGGGAGAGTCCCCAGGTCGCCAGGCCTCCTGGTTCCCCTGCCCCCTTTCAGCCTCCTCCCAGGATATGACTCGCTGTGGCCCTAGCCGGGGCTTAAGCCCCTGTATAAATAGGCGGATCCCCTGGCCAGGCTGGGCCTGACCCAAGCTGGTCTACCCGAGGCCCTGCCCACCAGCACCCACCCCGACATCCACGAAGGCTTTGGCAGGGCAGGGGGGGCATTGCTGGCCCCACAGAATTGGAGTTAGCCTCTCTAGCTCCAAAGCCCCAGGGAGGGGGGCAGTGGCACCCCCTGCAGCTGCCCCAGCCCGCCCCAGACGACGCTCACATTTTCCAGTGTTTAGATTTTATCCGCTTTATTAATGAGGCAAGAGGCCCGATCCTGGGGGGGAAGGGGGCTGCTCCCGCCCTGCTGGGAGGAGGGGGTCACATGGGGCCAGACCAACTCCAGGGAGCCTCACTCCTCGTGGAGGGAGCCGCTGGGGCCCAGAGTGGCCCCCGCCCATTGCCAGGAGCAGAGAGGGGGGTCTCTGCCACTCCAGGCCCCCAGCGGGCGTGCGCGGGGTGGAGCGGCCCCTGGAGGCCAGCAAGGGCGGCGGGAGGAGCTGAGGAGCCGCCCCAGGAAGAGGGAGGGAGGAAGCGGCTTGCCGGAGAGCCAGGGCGCAGTGGGCGGCAGGGCTGAGCGGCCGGTGATGGGGACCCCACATCCCAGGCAGTGCCGGGTAAGGGGGTTGCACATGAGGGTCCCTGATTGGGGAGGAGGAGGGCATGAAGGGGTGGGGCCATGGCCACCTGCTGTCCGTCCTGTGTCCCCGGGCTCTTCTCCCTGATCTGTGCGTCCCTGTCTTACCGTCTGTCCATCCTCCCTTCCCATCTGGCCTGGTGGGCAGTTCCGCCCTTTCAGCCCTCACCACCAGGATATCAAAGAGTGGATGGTCGTGGGGCCGCCTCCAGGCCTCTGGGGCAGGGATATGGAGTGGAACCGTGGGCACCCAGGGTGAGGCAGAGGTGATCGGGGTAGGGCCTGGCGAGAGACCGCAGTGGAGCAGAGGCAGGTCCATGGGGCAGGGGCAGAGATGGGTCCATGGCACAGATGTGGCTGTGCCATGTGGGGTCAGAGATGGGTCCATGGGGGACAGGGACATGGCCGTGGGGAGAGATGTGCCCGTGGTGGTAGAGATGGGGCTGGGGCATCGAGGATGGGACTGGAGTAAAGCTGACATGGGGAAAGTCAGGTAGGGCCACAGTGGCAGAAATGGGTGAGAGCTATCAGATGGAGCCACAGGCCCCAGGAATTTGCTGGGTGTAAAAATGGAAGGTGGGGGTCGGAGGCACTGGCAGAGATGCCTGAGGGCGGGGCTGGGGGGAATCTTGCAGGAAACCATGAAGGGCAGAGAAAGGGCCAGTGGGGTTAGAGGGAGGCCCTGGAGCAGGAGATGGGGTGGTGAGAGGCAAAAGAGAGGGAGAAGGGTTTCCAAATGGAGTGGCCAGGTCATTTGGAGTTGCCCATGGCAACTGCCATGGGCAGAGGGGCCGCCTGAGAACGCCATGGAGTCAAACAGGCCCTGATGTTCTGAGATGGCACCGTGGGCTGGTCCCCGCCCGGGCCCAGCCAGCCTCACTCTGCCCTCCTCTCCTCTATCCAGCACCCCTGGCGCCTGACATGAGCCCTTGCGGGCCCCTCAACCTGAGCCTGGCGGGCGAGGCGACCACATGCGCGGCGCCCTGGGTCCCCAACACGTCGGCCGTGCCGCCGTCGGGCGCTTCGCCCGCGCTGCCCATCTTCTCCATGACGCTGGGCGCCGTGTCCAACCTGCTGGCGCTGGCGCTGCTGGCGCAGGCCGCGGGCCGCCTGCGACGCCGCCGCTCGGCCGCCACCTTCCTGCTGTTCGTGGCCAGCCTGCTGGCCACCGACCTGGCGGGCCACGTGATCCCGGGCGCGCTGGTGCTGCGTCTGTACACTGCGGGGCGCGCTCCGGCCGGCGGGGCCTGCCACTTCCTGGGCGGCTGCATGGTCTTCTTCGGCCTGTGCCCGCTGCTGCTGGGCTGTGGCATGGCCGTGGAGCGCTGCGTGGGCGTCACGCGGCCGCTGCTCCACGCCGCGCGGGTCTCGGTCGCCCGCGCGCGCCTGGCGCTGGCCGCGGTGGCCGCGGTGGCCTTGGCCGTGGCGCTGCTGCCGCTGGCGCGCGTGGGCCGCTATGAGCTGCAGTACCCGGGCACGTGGTGCTTCATCGGCCTGGGTCCCCCGGGCGGCTGGCGCCAGGCACTGCTTGCTGGCCTCTTCGCCAGCCTCGGCCTGGTCGCGCTCCTCGCCGCGCTGGTGTGCAACACGCTCAGCGGCCTGGCCCTGCTACGCGCCCGCTGGCGACGCCGCTCCCGACGGCCTCCCCCGGCCTCAGGCCCCGACAGCCGGCGTCGCTGGGGGGCGCACGGACCCCGCTCGGCCTCCGCCTCGTCCGCCTCGTCCATCGCTTCGGCCTCCACCTTCTTTGGCGGCTCTCGGAGCAGCGGCTCGGCACGCAGAGCTCGCGCCCACGACGTGGAGATGGTGGGCCAGCTTGTCGGTATCATGGTGGTGTCGTGCATCTGCTGGAGCCCAATGCTGGTGAGGGGCGCACCGGCCCCTCGAGCCACGCTCCTTCCCGCTCCCTCTCGGCACCCTCCCGCCCTTTGTCGTCCCAGGACACCTGGGGCCTCCATCCTGGACTCAACCAAGGCCCCGGCCCCTAGAGGCCCCACCTGCCCCGAAAGCCAGCATCGCCTTCTCCATCTGACCTCCCATCCTTCCTCCTAGCCCCCCTCTCCTCTTCCTTTTTGGGGTCTTTGTAGCGCACCCCGACCCACACAAGCCTCCTCTCCTGCCCCACCGTTATAAGTCGCCGCGCTTCATTCCCTAGTCCTTTCACCCAACCCCCTTGCTTTTCCTCTTTCCGGGACACCTGAGACTCCTCTACGGCCGGACCCCCACCCACTGAAGGTGTTTGTTTCTTTGCCCCCCTTTTTTTTCCGCATCCGTTTCTCATCTGGATCCCCATTTACCCTCCCTGCGACGGCTCGCCCCTCCTCCCAGGCTTTTACCTTCCAGCCACGCCCCCACCATCCCTGCGCCCCCCTGCGCCCGCGCCTGCTCTATAGCTCACACCGGCTTCCCCCGCAGGTGTTGGTGGCGCTGGCCGTCGGCGGCTGGAGCTCTACCTCCCTGCAGCGGCCACTGTTCCTGGCCGTGCGCCTTGCCTCCTGGAACCAGATCCTGGACCCTTGGGTGTACATCCTACTGCGCCAGGCCGTGCTGCGCCAACTGCTTCGCCTCTTGCCCCCGAGGGCCGGAGCCAAGGGCGGCCCCGCGGGGCTGGGCCTAACACCGAGCGCCTGGGAGGCCAGCTCGCTGCGCAGCTCCCGGCACAGCGGCCTCAGCCACTTCTAAGCACAACCAGAGGCCCAACGACTAAGCCAGCCCACCCTGGGCTGGGCCCAGGTGCGCGGCGCAGAGCCTTTGGGAATAAAAAGCCATTCTGCGAGCCCAGGCAGGACCGTGTGTCCCGTCGGGGCTTCGGCATCCACTGGGGCCGCGCGGGGGGCTGCAGGGACGCCGCGTGCGCCTCCAGGGTGGATGCAGTTCCGGGGCCTACCAGAAGAGGGCGCGGAGACACGGGGGCGCGGTTCTAGGAGGTTCGAGGGTGCCGGGCCCGTGGGCGCCAGAGCCGCAGGAGCAAGCGCACCGTGCGGGCGGCCGGGGCTGGGGCTCCGCTGGGAGCAGAGACAGAGGGTGTGTGGGGCGTTTCCTGACCTTGCCGCTGCCCTAACGGACTTCCGAAACCATTCTGCTCACTGCGGCTTTGAGCTCTTCCAATACAGCCCCAAAACCCTATCCCCAAACCATTTTGCCCCACGCCCCTGGGCGCCCCCCAACACAATCCCGACGCCCCCTCCCATCTCGGCTCACCCACGCTCCCCACCATAAGAACAGCCCCGAGTCCACGCCGCCCCTTGATCCTCTTCAGATGACACCCCCATCAGTCGAGACTCCCACGACCACCCAGCCACCTGCCCCGCAAACGTCCACACCTCCAAGCACGCCCCCACCCCCAATGACTGCACACAAGAAGACACGGAGGATGCAAGGATCCGGCAAATCCCAAAGGCCTTTTTAAAAACTAAGAGCTCTCGGGCAGGGGCAGGGGCAGGGGCAGGGGAGGGGGCTAGCAGCCCCCGGCCACGAAGTCGAAGTCCAGGAAGGCTGCCTGCTCCGCGGCTGTGAGGGGCCGCGCGTCGCGGGGCGGGCTCAGTGTGGGGGCCTCCCCGGTGAACTCCTCGTCGAAGTTGCTGACGTCGGTGCGGCCGGACAGCGTGGGCACAAAGGGCGGTGGCAGGCGCCGGGCCAACAGGGCTTCCCAGCCCAGAGTCTGCAGGGGAGGGAAGCGGAGGGGAGGGTCAGCCTGGAGGCTGAGGAGGGGGCGTGCTGCAGTGGGGACCAGTCCTGGGGCTCGGGGACCACGGAGAGGAGTGAGCATACAGAGGACAAGTGGGGTGGGGGGACTGGGGCTCAGGAGGGATCACCTGCGAGAGCCTGGTGGAGAAGCCGGATTAGGAAAAGTGGAGGCCCGGCGTGGTGGCTCAGGCCTGTAATCCCAGCACTTCGGGAGGCCGAGGCGGGAGGATCACTTGAGGCCAGGAGTTCAGGACCAGCCTGGCCAACATGGCGAAACCCCGTCTCTACTAAAAATACAAAAATTAGCCTGGTGTGGTGGAGTGGTGCACGCCTGTAATCCCAGGTACTCGGGAGGCTGAGGCAGGAGAACTGCATGAACCTGGGAGGCGGAGGTTGCAGTGAGCCGAGATTGAGCCACTGCACTCCAGCCTGGGCGACAGAGCGAGACCCTGGCTAAAAAAAAAAAAAAAAGGGAAAAGTGGAGATGTGGGATTAGGAGGGTCCTTGGGGGGAACAAAAGTGGAGGAGGGAAATGGGGGTGTCAAAGGAGGTGACGATGTTGCCCTGGAGGTGCAACGAGGCCCTTGAGGCGCAACGAGGCCCTTGAGGCAAAGCGGCTAGGCATGGGGGCCGTCTGCTGTGGGGTGATGAATCGGCCCTGGGGGAGGGCCGGGGTCACTGAGGTCCTTGTGGGGAATCTCACCCTGAAGAAGGGCTGTTTCTTCACATCTTCTGCATCTCTCTCGCTAGATCCCAGCCTCCGCTCTGGGTTCCTCCGAAGCAGCTTGGAGGAAGGAGCACTGTGTCAGGATCTGTCCCCTCCTGGGCCCCACTGCCCCTCCCCAGGCCCGCCCCACGTCGGGGGTCCTCACCCTTCTCATGATGCCGATGGCTTCGGCCGACAGGAAGCGGGGGTAGCGAACCTCGTCGTTGACGATGCTGTCGAAGACCTCCTCCTCATCATCCCCTGGGAATGGGGACTGGGGAGAGGGAGGCCCGGGGTGAACGAGGCCCCTCCTCTGGCTGCTCCAAACCCAGCCCGGCCTGAGCCCCACACTCTGCTGCAGCTCTTGGGTGCTGGCTTACTTGGGCAGGGAAATGCCCCATTTTATAGATGTGGAAACTGAGGCCAGGGAAGCAGAGCCAGCAGCCCTCAATCACACAACACATGGTGGAGGCAGACTTGGATCCCACCCTGGGCACGCGCAGGTTCCAATGAGATCCGAGACACACAGGGGCGGGGTCTCACCTCGCCAACCAGCATCTCGTAGAGCAGCACACCCAGTCCCCACCAGTCCACAGCTCGCGTGTACGACGTGTCCGTCAGCACCTCAGGGGCCAGGAACTCCGGGGTCCCACAGAATGTGCTGGTCCGGTCCCCATAGCCCATCCCTGGGGACAGCAAGGCCATGTGAGGTTATGGGGGCCAGAGGAGTCACTCAGCCCAATGTGGGGTTGTCCACACAGCCAGCCCTGTCCCAGGGTCAGGGTGGGGGGCACCCCGAATAGGGTTAGGGACCCCATTCCTTCCCCCTCCTTTGTCTAATCCAGAGGCCAGCCCCTCACCCTCCTTGCAGAGGCCAAAGTCTGCGATCTTGACGTAGCCCTCGGTGTCCAGGAGCAAATTGTCCAACTTCAGGTCCCTGTTGGGGGTTGGAGGGGTGGAAAGAGGGATGAGCGGGGGTCTGGGTCCTGTCCCCACAACGGGCAGTGTGCACATGCATGCACACACGCACACACCTGTAGACGATCTTGTGTTCGTGAAGAAACTGTAGGCCCAGCACCACGCAGGCGGAATAAAAGCTGCAGAGAGAGAGAGGCTGCTGAGAGGGGTGGGGCCACCCTGCAAGGAGGGAGGGTCACATAAGCCTGGCTTCCACATCCTCAAAAGCCCCCCAGTCTCCCCAAAGCTCTGGGAGGCTGAGGGAAGCAAGGCCTGAGGGTGGAGGGGTGAGAAGCAGGCTGCCAGCCTCTCGGGGGGACTAAGTGTCAGATGCTGTAGGGGAGGCAGGGGCCCGGGCTGGGGTCCAGGCTCACATGGCACGGGGCTCAGAGAACACGTCGCTGTGGATGTGCAGCATCAGGTCCCCACCGGCCGAGTACTCCATCACGAAGCACACGTGCTCCGGTGTCTGGAAACAGCCGAAGAGGTTCACCAGGAAGGGGTGTCCCGCACTGGTCACTGCCGCCAATATCCGCTTCTCACACATCAGGCTGGGGAGGGGTGGGGGATAGAAGTCAGAGACCATGGCCGCCACTTACTCCAGACTCCCAGATGGCAACCAAAGCCCATACAGAGGGAAGCAGAACTGAGAAACGTCATCTCAGCACCTGGATACAGCCATGCCTGAAGGTAGCACACTCCTGGACTTTTCAGATCCAGACCAATAAATTTCTTTACTTGTTTCAGTCTTTCTCAGTTGGGTTCCTGATTATCAAAAGGATGCTGGGAAGACCAGGCACAATCTCAGTGCCTGTACCGAATGTTTAGAGGGGTTAGGCACTGTGTAGAGAGCACCTGACAACCATGTGTGGAAGGCAATAGCATTCTGCTTCTCCACAACAAGAGGGGTTCTTTTTTTTTTTTTTTTTTTTTTTTGAGACAGAGTCAGGCTGGAGTGCAGTGGTGCGATCTTGGCTCACTGCAACCTCCGCCTCCTGGGTTCAAGCGATACTCCTGCCTCAGCCTCCCAAGTAGGTGGGACTACAGGCACCCGCCACCATGCCTGGCTGATTTTTGTATTTTTAGTAGAGACGGGGTTTCACCATGTTGGCCACACTGGTCTCGATGTCCTGACCTCAGATGATCTGCCCACCTCAGCCTCCCAAAGTGCTGGGATTACAGGCGTGAGCCACCATGCCCAGCCAAGAAGCTGAGGTTCTGAAGGGAGAAGTGACCTCCCCAGGATCTCCAAGCCCATGCTGCAGAATTGAGATTTGAACCCAGGAACCTGACCCTAAAGCAGAGGCAGTATGGTGGCACCACAAAGGGCACAGGCTTCAGAGCCTGAGTCTCTAGCTTTGAATCCTGGACCTGCTGCTTACTGGCTGTGTGACCTTGGGTAAATTGCTGAACCTCTCTGTGCCATCAGTATTTATCTTATAGGGCTACATGGAGGAACAAATGAATAACTTTCCTAAGAGCTATTATTATCTTGGTATTAGGCTAGTAGGTATTAGTGACTTTTTGTTTTGAGACAGGGTCTCACTGTGTTGCCCAGGCTGGAGTGCAGTGGCGCGATCTCAGCTCACTGCAACCTTGACCTACTGGGCTCAGGCGATCCTCCTATCTCAGCCTCATGAGTAGCTGGGGCTACAAGCATGTGCCACCACACCCAGCTAATTATTTTGTATTTTTTGTAAAGATGGGGGTGTCACCATGTTGCCCAGCCTGGTCTTGAAATTCTGAGCCCAAGTGATCCACCTGCCTCGGCCTCCCAGAGTGCTGGGATTACAGGTAAGAGCCACTGTGCCTGGCGTTAGTGACTACTATGAGTCACTCTCCCTGTAGCTCCAAGGAGAGAACTGCTCTGTCATTTCCCAAAAGAGAAGAAAGAGGTCCCCAGAGGACCACGGCAGGTCCCCACCTCTCCACCTCGTCTCGGGCCACAATGTCCCCTTTCTTCAGAGCCTTGATGGCGAACAGCTCCCCACTGGGCCGGAATTCGGAGAGGAGCACCTGGAACCACAGTGGGCAGGGGTGGTTTTAGCGGCCAGCCAGGGACCTGGGGGGTCTCCCAATTCCCTGCCCTCCACCTCACCTTCCCAAAATGACCCCGGCCCAGCACCGCCAGGAACTTGAAATCTTCGAGGGTCAGAGGTGACTTCCTCAGAGGGCTGTGGAGAGAGGCCACTGGTGAGAACAAGGACAGCGGGCAGGGGTGGTGGACAGGGGGCCAGGGAGTGGTGTCACCTGCACAGGGCGGGGCCTGGGGTCTCCTGGGTCTCCGAAGGCAGCTCGGGAGCAGTGGATTCCTGGATGGGGGAGCTCTGTGGCGGAGAGAGGAGGCCAGAGTAAGGGGAGTCAGAGATGCCCTCATAACCACAGCAGCCTCCGAGGCCCTGCAAGATCTGCCCCCGACCTCTCTGTCCTCACCTCTCCTCCCACGCAGCCCCTCACTCACTCTCCTCCAGCCACACGCCTGCACCACCATGGCTGGCTAATTTTTGTATTTTTAGTAGAGACGGGGTTTCACCATGTTGGCCAGGCTGGTCTGGAACTCCTGATCTCAGGTGATCCACCCGCCTCGGCCTCCCAAAGTGCCAGGATTACAGGCGTGAGCCACCATGCCCAACCTGAATTTTTTTTTTTAGAGACAGGGTCTTGCTCTGTCTTCCAGGATGGAGTGCAGGGGCGCAGTCATAGCTCAGTGCAGCCTCCAACTCTACCTCCGCCTCCTGAGTAGCTGGGACTAAAGGCATGCACCACCACGTCCAGCTCATTTTTTTTTTTTTTGAGATGGAGTTTCACTCTTGTTGCCCAGGCTGGAGTACAATGGTGTGATCTTCGCTCACTGCAACCTCCGCCTCCCGGATTCAAGTGATTCTCCTACCTCAGCCTCCCAAACAGCTGGGATTACAGGCATGCACCACTACGCCCGGCTAATTTTTTATATTTTTAGTAGAGATGGGGTTTCTCCATGTTGGTCAGGGTGGTCTTCAACTCCCGACCTGAGGTGATCCACCTGCCTCAGCCTCCCAAAGTGCTGGGATTACAGGCGTCAGCCACCGCGCCCGGCCTAATTTTTGTAGAGATGGGGTCTTGTTCTGTTCCTCAGGCTGGTCTCAAACTTCTGGCCTCAAGCGATCTTCTTCGTTCAGCTTCCTGAGTAGCTGGGACTACAAGTGCAAGCCATCATGCCTGGCTTGACAATGTCCATTTTTTATTATTATTTTTTTTATTTTTGAGACTGAGTCTCACTCTGTCGCCCAGGCTGGGGTACAGTGGTGTGATCTCAGCTCACTGCAACCTCCGCCTCCCAGATTCCAGCAATTCTCCTGCCTCAGCCTCCCAAGTAGCTGGGATTACAGGCGTGCGCCACCACGCCCGGCTAATTTTTGTATTTTTAGTAGAGATGGGATTTCACCATGTTAGCCAGGATAGTCTTGATCTCTTGACTCCAAAGTGCTGGGATTACAGGCGTGAGCCACCATGCCCAACCCATTACTTCTACTTTCTAAAAAATTAGATCTATAAAAAATTAGCCAGGTGTGGTGGTGCACGCCTGTAGTCCCAGTTACTTGGGAGGCTGAAGTGAGAGGATCACCTGAGCTCAGGAGGTCGAGGCTGCAGCGAGCCATGACTGCGCCACTGCACTCCACCCTGGATGGCAGAGCGAGACCCCGTTTCAAAAAAAAAAGATAAAAGATAAAATGCATTCAGGCTGGGTGCAGTAGCTCATACCTGTATCTCAGCAATTTGGGAGGCTGCAGAGGGGAGAACACTTGAGGTCAGGAGTTCAAGACCAGCCTGGCCAACATGGTGAAACCCCATCTCTACTAAAACCAAAAATTAGTTGGGCATGATGGCACATGCCTGTAGTCCCAGCTATTAGGGAGGCTGAGGCATGGGCATCTTTGAACCTGAGAGGCGGAGATTGGAGTGAGCTGAGATCACGCCACTGCATTCCAACGCCCATTCTGGGCGACAGAGTGAGACTCTGTCTCAAAATAAATAAATAAATAAAATGCATTCAGTGAGGTGGGCAAGAGGAACAGGTTACATATGCATCCACCCAGGAAACCATCAGCCAGCCTAGGAGTTGGCAAATGCTGGCTGGTGGGCCAGCCTGTTTTTATAGTTTGTAAGAGCTAAGAATGGCTTTCACTATTTTTTTTTTTTTTAAGAGATGCAGTGGCCGGGCATGGTGACTCACACCTATAATCCCAGCACTTTGGGAGGCTGAGGTGGGCAGATCATCTGAGGTCAGGAGTTCAAGACCAGCCTGGCCAACGAGGTGAAACCCCGTCTCTATTAAAAATACAAAAATTAGCTGGGTGTGGTGGGCACACACCTGTAGTCCCAGCTACTCGGGTGGTTGAGGCAGGAGAATCCCTTGAACCTGGGAGGCAGAGGTTGCAGTGAGCCTAGATCACGCCACTGCACTCCAGCCTGGGCAACAGAGTGAGACTCCATCTCAAAAAAAAAAAAAAAAGAGATGGAGTTTTGCCATGTTGTTCAGGCCAGACTCCAACTCCTGGGCTCAAGTCATCCTCCTGCCTCGGCCTCCCAAGTAGCTGGGACCACAGGTAAACTGATTTTTACATTTTTAAATCGTTGGGGGAATAAAAAAAAACAAAAAAAGGAATAATATTTCATTGCCCATGAAAGTTCTACAATGTTCAAACTTCCGCGTGTACTACCAATAAGGTTTTACTGGAATAGAGACACGCTTACAGTGTACATATATCGTCTGTGGCTGCTTTCAAACTACAAAGCAGACAGGGACTGTCTAGCCCACAAAGCCAAAAATATTGACTCTCTGGCCCTTTCTGGAAAACGCGTGCTGACCTCTGACCGAGATCAAGATAAGGAACATTTCCATCACCCGGCAGGTCCCCTTGTGGCTCCCAGCTTGCGGTAACCTCTGCCTAGAGAACAGCACTCTCTCGATCATTCTATCATTGACATGAGTTTTAAATATGCTCGTTTTGCAAAGTGGTACACTGAGGCACAGAGGTGAAGCGCAGAGCCAAGAGGTGGCACGGCAGGGGTGGGAACCCAGGGGGTCCAGCCGCTGAGCTCACAGTTTTATTTATTTTTATTTTTTGAGATGGAGTCGCTCTGTCGCCCAGGCTGGAGCGCAATTGGTATGATCTTGGCTTACTGCAACCTCCGCCTCTCAGGTTCAACTGATCCTCCTGCCCCAGTTGCCCGGGTAGCTGGGATTACAGGTGCCCACCACCGTACCCGGCTAATTCTTGTATTTTTATTAGAGACGGGGTTTCATTGTGTTGGCCAGGCTGGTCTTGAACTCCTGGCCTCAAGTGATCCACCCGCCTCAGCCTCCCAAAGTGCTGGGATTCCAGGTGTGAGCCACTGTGCCCAGCCTGTTTTGTTTTTTGAGATAGTATTTCGCTATGTTGCCCAGGCTGGAGTGCAGTGGCAGGATCATGGCTCACAGTGGCTCACTGTGTTGCCCAGGCTGGTCTCAAACTCCTGGGCTCCAGCAATCCTCCCATGTCAGCCTCCCAGAAGTGCTGAGATTATAGGCATGAGCAGTTTTTTAACCAGGATGGGGATCTGGGCACACGTTTTAACCAGCATAGAGATCTGGGCCCTGGTTCTGCCACAGACATGCTGCGTGGCTCCAGGGAAGTTCCTAGTGGTCTCTGAGCCTGGAGCAGGACCCCTGACGCTGCCCAGGCCAGGCCTACGGGGATAGAAGGGGGGACCCTCACCAGGCTCGATGGGCTGGAAGGAGGATCCCGCGAGCTCTTCTGAGGTGAGCTGTCCGAGTCAGTGCCGAGGTTCAGCTTCTCCACCGATATGTCACTGCAGCAGACGAGAGGAGGGTGTGTCTGGGACCCAGGACCCTCGCAGGCTTCAAGGGGCAGCCGGGACCATGGGGCCCTCCTTCCTTACCCCGTGGTCCGGGCCTCGGATCCTGGAGAAGCCCCAGGGCTAAAGGTGCCTGTGCCCGTGGCATTGGGGATGAGCCTCCGGAGCAGCCGCACCCACGTGGCGACATCGATGTTCATCTGCCTAGCACGCTGGAACGCCTTCCCTGGGGGGACGGGGCAGGCGTCACCCTCCATGACACTCCCAGGACCCCTGGCCTCTCCCCCAGGAAGCCTGGAGCACCCTCTCACCTTGCTGCTTGGAGAAAATTTTCTTCTGCCGTCGGAGCCGAGGAATCCTCTCAATGACAGGGTTGCGGAAGGTGACCTGGGGGAAGGGACCAAAATGTGAGGACCCTCTGCCCACCTGCAGGCAGACAGCTTGGTAAGGAAGCCCCTGGGAGCACAGGTGTGCGCGCCCAAGTGGGGTTCTGGTCACGTGGCATCAGATTCAACCCGAGTACCAGGTGACAATGAAGAGGTCATCGGTGCAACCCATGGCTCCCCTCCTGAAGGGACGTCTTGGAAAAGCAAGAAGCAAACAACCGGGTCCCTTTCTAGAGGTGGGGAGAGCATCTGACCCAACAAGACTGACAGACAGCGACTGCAAACGGACGCCACGCCATCCCACACCCCATTCCCCACATGTGCTCCCAGACCCCAGACCTGCAGTAGCAGCAACACCTGGGAACTTTCTAGAAACGCAGGTTTGACCTACTGAGCCAGAAACATGGAGTGGAGGAAGCGCGCGCATGCTCTCTCTCTCTCTCTATATATATATATATATACACACACACATATATATATATACACACATATATATATGCACATATGAGTAGTCCGATCTCGGCTCACTGCAGCCTCCACCTCCCGGGCTCAAGAGATCCTCCCACCTCAGCCTCCTGAGTAGCTGGGACTACAGGCACGCACCCCCATGCCTGGCAAATTGTTGTATTTTTGTAGAGACGGAGTTTCACCATGTTGGCCAGGCTGGTCCTGAACTCCTGGGCTCAAGCGATCTGCCCACTTTGGCCTCCCAAAGTGCTGGGATTACAGGCGCGAGCCACCGTGCCCGGCCCTAAAGCACTCAGTATTTCAACAAGCCCCCAGGCAATGCTGGTGCCCACCCATCTATGGAAGCCACCTGTCAAGTTGAATTCTCCCAACTCCAATACAACTTCTAGAAGGTGCTGAAGTCACAGAACTGCAGTGTCTGGTATGGTTGTCACATGTGGCGATTTAAATTAGTGAAAATGTCAGCGAAATTAAAACTTTGGTTCCCTGGTCACACTGGTCACACTTCAGATAGAGAACATTTCCATCTACAACAGAACTCAGCTACTGTGGGTGCATCGACAACAGAGCTGCAGAAAGTTCCTTTTTTCTTTGAGACTCTGTTGCCCAGGCTGGAGTGCAGTGGCGCAATCTGGGCTCACCACAACCTCCACCTCCCAGGCTCTAGAGATTCTCCTGCCTCAGTCTCCCGAGCAGCTGGGATTACAGGCACCCACCACCAAGCCCGGCTAATTTCTTTTTTTTTTTTTTTGAGACACAGTCTCACTCTGTTGCCCAGGCTGGAGTACAGTGGTGCGATCTTGGCTCACTACAACCTCCGCCTCCCAGGTTCAAGTGATTCTCCTGCCTCAGCCTCCCAAGTAACTGGGATTACAGGCGTGCGCCACCACACCTGGCTGATTTTTGTATTTTTAGTAGAGACTAGGTTTTTCCACGTTGGCCAGGCTGGTCTTGAACTCCTGACCTCAGGTGATCTGCCTGCCTACCCTCCCAAAGTGCTGGGATGACAGGCGTGAGCCACCGCACCCAGCCGAATTTTTGTATTTTTAGTAAAGACAGGGTTTCACCATGTTGGCCAGGCTGGTCTCAAACTCCTGACCTCAAATGATCCATCCGCCTCAGCCTCCCGAAGTATTGGGATTACAGGCGTGAGCCACAGCGCCCGGCCAGAGCTGCAGAAAAGTTCTATGGAAGAATGCTTCTGTATAGGCATAAAAACAAAATAGAATGCCACAGAGAGACCTTGAAGGCAAGGAGAAACGCTTTAGAATGTGTCCCCCAGGCCACCCACCATCACTTTCCATTTGGTTTGGGCTGTGTTCTGAATGGGAGAACAATTTTAAACCTCTGCCATCTGGAGTCAGCTCTTCTCCACGCCCCTTTCTTTCTTTCTTTTTTTTTTTTTTGAGACAGAGTTTCGCTGTTGTTGCCCAGGCTGGAGTGCAATGATGCGATCTCGGCTCACTGCAACCTTCATCTCCCAGGTTCAACTGATTCTCCTGCCTCAGCCTCCCGCGTAGCTGGGATTACAGGCGCCTGCTACCACACCCGGCTAATTTTTCTATTTTCAGTAGAGACGGGGTTTCACCATGTTGACCAGGCTAGTCTCGAACTCCTGACTTAGTGATCTGCCCGCCTCAGCCTCCCAAAGTGCTGGGATTACAGGTGTGAGCCACTGTGCCTGGCCCCGCCCCTTTCTTTCACTGGTGCTTGATGGTCAGACCAGGGGAGAACCTCTGCTTAGGGATATGGATATAGAGAGATGGATAAATAGACACAGAAAGAGACAGATATAGACGCAGGTAGATAGAGAGGGGCATGGACGGAAGGGTAGTTACAGATAGAGAAAGAGAGAGGGACTGATAGAGAAAGGGATTCATAGAAAGAGAAGGATGCATGGATAGATGGATGGATAGATAGATACAGCTATCGAGAGAAAAAGAGAGAGAGACACAGATAGATACAGAGAGGGATAGATAGAGACAGAGACAGGAATGGGTGGATATAAATAGAGATAGAGGAATATACAGAGATGGATGGATGGAGGGATGAGCATAGATAAGATAAATGGATGGATGGATAAGATGATAGATAGATAATATAGATGGATAGATAATATAGACAGATGGGTAGACGGAAAGATAGATTAGTTGATAGATAATATAGATGGATGGATAGATAGATATAGCTATATAGAGAAAAACAGAGGCACAGATAGATATAGAGAGGGATAGATAGAGATAGAGAGAGGAATGGGTAGATATATATACAGAGAAATATACAGGGATGGATAGATGGATGGATGATGCATACATAAGATTGATGGATAAGATGACTGACAGATAATAGAGACGGATGCATGGAAAAATAGATTGGTTGATAGATAATATATAGATAGAGATAGATAAATGGATAGATGGATTAGATAAATAGATGATATAGATACCTAATATAGATGGATACATAGATAAGACAGATAATATAGGTGTATCTATCAATGGATAGAGGATGCATTGATAAGATGGCTGGGCCGGGCGCGGTGGCTCACGCCGGTAATCCCAGCACTTTGGGAGGCCAAGGCGGGCAGATCACGAGGTCAGGAGATGGAGACCATCCTGGCTAACACGGTGGGTGAAACCCCGTCTCTACTAAAAATACAAAAAATTATCCGGGCGTGGTAGCGGGTGCCTGTAGTCCCAGCTACTCGGGAGGCTGAGGCAGGAGAATGGCATGAACCCGGGAAGCAGAGGTTGCAGTGAGCCAAGATCGCACCACTGCACTCCAGCCTGGGAGACAGCGAGACTCCATCTCAAAAAAAAAAAAAAAAAAAAAAGATGGATGGATGAATGCATAGACAGACAAAATGGATGGATGGACACGTAGGTGGGTAAATAATAGATAATATGTGTGTGTATACATATATAGGTAATCTATCATATATATATGTAAAATGGGGTACACATATAGGTTAGCGGAAGATTAAAAGAGTTTTTTAGGATAATTTGGCTAAATGAGGGGTCAAGTGCCCCTTCTCTGTGCCCCAGTTTCCTCCTCTGTCAAATTTGAGTAATAACAGTCCCTCTTTTGTTGGTTGGTTGTGAGAATTAATGAGTTCACGTCGCCAAAGTACTCGCTACAGAGCCTGGCTTATACTATGAGAACTCAGCTAGAAATGTCATTTAGACCAGGGGTTCCCGGCCAGGGAGCACTTGACAGTGTCTGGAGACCTCTGGGCTGTCAAAACTCAGGGGGAGGTGGTGCTACTGACATCCTGTAAGCAGTGGGGAGAGGTGCTACATCCTCTAGTATGCAGGACAGCCCCACCACAGAGGATGATGTGGCCCCAGATGTCAACAGTGCCAAGGGTAGGCCACCTCAATTCAGACCTTCACCCTCACACAGCTGTGGAAGGAATCACTTTCTCTTGACTGTGGCTCTGGTAGCAATCACCACGATATGTTGCCAGGTTTTGTATCTCTTTCCTGGTTGGAAGAAATTTTATAATTTATTTCCTTTTTTCTTTAAACATTTCTAAATTTGGAAATCAGCTTCTTCTTCTTCTTTTTTTTTTTTTTTAAGTATCTTGCCTCAGAACAAAACCAATCCCAGCTAAGGTCCTATCACTGATGTGGCTAATTAGAAGTGCTTTTCTTCTTCTTCTTCTTCTTTTTTTTTTTTTTTTGAGACAAGAGTCTCACTCTGTTGCCCAGGCTGGAGTGCAATGGCGTGATCTCAGCTCACTGCAACCTCTGTCTCCTGGGTTCAAGCAATTCTCCTGCCTCAGCCTCCCAAGTAGCTGGGATTACAGGTACCCACTATCATGCCCAGCTAATTTTTGTATTTTTAATAGAGATGGGGTTTCACCATGTTGGCCAGGCTAGTCTGGAACTCCTGGCCTCAAGTGATCCACCTGCCTCAGCCTCCCAAAGTGCTGGGATTACAGGCGTGAGCCACCACACCTGGCCAAGGTGTACTTTTCTATCAAGGTTCAGAGACAGATCTAAAATGTATCTTCCCCTTCTAGAATACACGGGTCTAAAACATACCTGCCACTTCTGAAAGAGCCTGATCTAAAACTATCTTTCTGTATTAAGAGAAACCATATCTAAAACATATCTTATGCTTCTAAAAGAGCCTGATCTAAAATGTATCTTCCCCTTCTAGAACAAGCAGATCTTTTTTTTTTTTGTGAGACTCCTGGGCGACAGAGTCTCACTCTGTCGCCCAGGCTGGAGTGCAGTGGTGGGATCTCAGCTCACTGCAGCCTCCGCCTCCTGGGTTCAAGCGATTCTCCTGTCTCAGCCTCCCAAGTAGCTGGGACTAAAGGCATGTGCCACGACGCCCAGCTAATTTTGTACTTTTAGTTGAGACGCGGTTTTACCATGTTGCCCAGGCTGGTCTCCCTGACCTCAGGTGATCCTCCTGCCTCAGCCTTCCGAAGTGCTGGGATTACAGGCATGAGCCACCACGCCCAGCCTAGAACAGGCAGATCAAAAGCCTATCTTCCCTTTCTAGAAGAGCCTGATCTAAAACATATCTTTCCCTTCTAGAAAAAAGCAGACCTAAAACGTCTCTTCCCCTTCTGGAAGAGCCTGACCTAAAACGTATCTTCTCCTTCTAGAAAAGGCAGAGTTAAAACATATCTTCCGTTTCTAGAAGAGCTGGATCTAAAATCTATTTTCCTCTTCTAGAAAAGCCTGACTTAAAACTTATCTTCCCCTTCTGGAAGAGCCAGACCTAAAACATATTTTCCCCTTCTAGGAAACTGGGAATGGGGCAGTGAGGGAGAAGAAGCATTTTCTCAGGGTCAGGTGTGGGCTATACCTCAGCCACCAGGCAGCCCTGGGGTTCCATGTCCAGCTGCACCTCATGCCTCTCATTGTCCAAGAAATCCTCCAACTTCAGGAATTTGAGGGCACACAGGCCCCGCTGGTCCCGCCAGAACACAGCCAACTCCAGTTCCCGTGCCTGGAGGGAGAGGAAGAGGGCCATCACTCAGGGTGCCAGAGGCATGGAACCCCTCCTCCTCTAGGCCCTGCTGTCCTCCAACGCAGCTCACCCTTTCCAGCTCCAGAGTGAAGCTCTGGTCCCAGGCATTGGGGCCACATGGCTTCCAAGACGTCTGCCCCACCACTGTGTTATCCAGCTTAAGCACAGTGCTGACTTCACCTGAAATGGGAGAGAGGGCCCAGTCAGAAAATGCTGGCAGTAGCCAGACAAGGTTGCTCATGCCTGTAATCCCGGCACTTTAGGAGGTTGAGGCAGGCGATCACTTGAGGCCAGGAGTTCAAGACCAGCCTGGCCATCATAGCGAAACCCCGTCTCTACTAAAAATACAAAAAATTAGCTGGGCGTGGTGGCACGCGCCTGTAATGCCAGCTACTCGGGAGGCTGAGGAAGGAGAATCACTTGAACCCAGGAGGCAGAGGTTGTAGTGAGCCAAGATCGTGCTACTGCGCTCCAGCCTGCGTGACACAGCAAGACTCGGTCGAAAAGAGAGAAGAGAAGAGAAGAGAAAATAAAAACGGCCAGGCACAGTGGCTCATGCCTGTAATCTCAACACTTTCGGAGGCTGAGGCAGGTGGATCACCTGAGGTCAGAAGTTTGAGACCAGCCTGACCAACATGGTGAAACCCCATGTCTACTAAAAATAAAAAATTACCCAGGCGTGGTTGCACATGCCTGTAATCCCAGTTACTCGGGAGGCTGAGGCAGGAGAATCCCTTGAACCCAGGAGGCAGAGGTTGCAGTGAGCCGAGATCACGCCACTGCACTCCAGCCTGGGCAACAAGAGTGAAGCTCCATCTCAAAAAAAAAAAAAAAGAAAAAAAAAAAAGAAAAAGAAAGAAAATCCTGGCAGAAAGGGGCATGTCTATTATCTTTTTCTTTTTTTTTTTTTTTTTCAGTAGAGATGAGTCTTGTTATGTTGCCCAGGCTGGTCTCAAACTCCTGGCCTCAAGTGATATTCTCCTGCCTCAGCCTCCCAAGTATCTGGGATTACAGGCATGAGCCACCAGGCCTAGCTGTCTGCTATCTTTTTAAAATGAATCCTCCCCTCCATAACTTTTCTCCCACTGTAAAGTTTTGCATTTGACATTGAAGCCTTTAATCCAGTTGATTTTTTTACATGGTGTGATGTGAGGCAGGGATCCAAATTCAATTTTATTCTACATGGAAGTCCCAGCCACATACTCCTAAGGATTTATTTATTCATTTATTTTTTGAGCCAGAGTCTCTCTCTGTCACCCAGGATGGAGTGCAGTGGCACAATCTCGGCTCACTGCAACTTCCACCTTCTGGGTTCAAACAATTCTCGTGCCTCAGCTTCCAAAGTAGCTCAGACTACAGGCGCACACCACCATGCCCAGCTAATTTTTGTGTTTTTAGTAGAGATGGGGTTTTGCCACGTTGGCCAGGATGGTCTTGAACTCCTGACCTCAAGTGATCACTGGTCTTGGCTTCTCAAAGTGCTGGGATTACAGGCGTGAGCCACCGCGCCCAGGCACTCCTGAGGATTTACCCTAGCCAAATGCATGTGGGTATACATCAGGAGATGCATTTATATAAAGTGTATGTAACAGTCCAAAATAGAGGCATCCCACAGTCCATTAACAGGAGAATTAATATTTTAAAACTGCTATACCATCTTAGTAGCTGAAGTACGAAATTGCTGATATTTAACTATTTTTTTGCTTTCAGAAAGAGGCAATTCGATATGGCTCAGTCTAACATAATGGATTACTAAACAGGAATAAATATGAATTAACTATAGCTTGTCACAACAAAATGGATGAGTCTACCAAAACAATGCTTTTTTTAGTTTGGTTTTGTTTTTTGCATTTTTTTGTAGGGTGGGGTTTCACCATGTTGCCCAGGCTGGGTTCAAATTCCTTGGCTCAAGCAATCCCTCCACCTCGGCCTCTCAAAGTGCTGGGATTACAGGCATGAGCCACTATGCCTAGCCCCTAAACAATGTTGAATGAAAGAAGCCATGTGATAGAATAGTCTGTATGAGCCTGTCAATATAAAGTTCTAATACCAGGCAAAATTAAACAAAAGTTTTTGGGGATGCAAACATGGGGTTCTACAACTACAAATTATAGCAAGGAAATGATAAAAGTCGGGAGAGTAGCCACCTCTATGGCAGAGGAAGGAGATGGAATTGTGGAGGAGACAAGAGGGGGCTTCTGGAGAGCTGGAAATATTCTATTTCTTTTCCTTTTTTTTTTTTTTTAAGATGGGGTCTCGCTCAGTTGCCCAGGCTGGAATGCAGTGGTGCAATCACAGCTCACTGTAGCCTTGACCTCCTGCGCTCAAGCAATCCTCCCACTTCAGCCTCCCAAGTAGCTGGGACCGCAGGCACAAGCCACCATGCCCACGCCTGGTTAATTTTTGGTTGGCTTGTCTTCTCTTTTTTTCCCTTTAGTTTTTTTTTCTGTGACACAGATTCAGGAGGGCCTGATGACATGTACCCCCAATTTTTTTTTTTTTTGAGACAGAGTCTTGCTCTGTCACCCAGGCTGGAGTGCAGTGGCGCGATCTCGGCTCACTGCAAGCTCTGCCTCCCAGGTTCATGCCACTCTCCTGCCTCAGCCTCCCGAGTAGCTGGGACTACAGGCGCCCACCACCACGCCTGGCTAATTGTTTGTATTTTTAGTAGAGTTGGGGTTTCACTGTGTTAGCCAGGATGGTCTCGATCTCCTGACCTTGTGATCCACCCGCTTCGGCCTCCCAAAGTGCTGGGATTACAGGCGTGAGCCACCACACCTGGCCATATGCCCCAATTTTTAAATTATTTGTAAAGACAAGGTCTTGCTATGTTGCCCAGGCTGGTCTTGAACTCCTGGGTTCAAGTGATCCTCCTACAAATACCAAAATGCTGGGATTCCAGGCATGAGCCGTGGCACCTGGCTGCCATATTCTATTTCCTAACGCAGGTGGTGGTAATATGGGTGTCTGCTCTCCTGTTACTCTTCTCCACACTCCCTTTTTTTTTTGTACATACGTATTAATTTTCTTTCTTTTTCCTTTTTTGCCATGAGATTACGAATCAAATTTTCTTTTAAAAAAATTATGGCCAACATGGTGAAACCCCATCTCCATAAAAATACAAAAATTAGCCGGGTGTGGTGGCGCACGCCTGTAATCCCACCAGCTATTTGGGTTGGCTGAGGCAAGAGAATCGCTCAAACCGAGGAGGCAGAGGTTGCAGTGAGCTGAGACGGTGCCACTGCACTCCAGCCTGGGCAGCAGAGGAGAATCTGTCTCAAGAAAAAAAAAATTATGGTAAAATACATGTAACATAAAATTTACCATCATAATCACTTTAAAGTGTCCATCCAGTTCAGTGGCATTAAGTACATTCACATTGCTGTGCAACCATTACCACCATCCATCTCCAGAACTTTCACCTTACAAAACTGAAACTCTGTCCACATTAAATAATAAACTCCCCATTCCCCCTCCCTCTACTCCCTGGCATCCATCATTCTACTTTCTGTCTCTATGAATCTAACTACTCTAGGAACCTCATATAACTGGAATCATACAATATTTGTCTTTTGGGGACTGGCTTATTTCACTTAGACTAATGTCCTCAAGATTCATCCGTGTTGCAGGATAAGACAGGATTCCTTTCCTTTTTTTTTTTTTTTTTTTTGAGACAGTGTTTCACTCTGTCACCCAGGCAGGAGTGCGGTGGCATGATCTTGGCTGACTGCAACGCCTGCCTCCTGGGCTCAAGCGGTTTTCCTACCTCAGCCTCCTGAGTAGCTGGGATTACAGGCATGTGCCACCACACCCGGCTAATTTTTGTATTTTTAATAGAGATGGGGTTTCACCATGTTGGCCAGGCTGGTCTCGAACCCCTGACCTCAAGTGATCCACCTGCCTCGGCCTCCCAAAGTGCTGGGATTACAGGCATGAGCCACTGCGCCTGGCAGGATTTCTTTCCTTTTTAAATCTGAGCAATGTTCCATTGCATGGCTGGCCCACGTTTTGTTTACCCATTCATCTATTGGTGGATCTGGGTTGCTTCCATTTTTGGCTTTCATAATGCTGCTATGAACACAGGTATACATATCTCTGAGACCCTTTTTTTTTTTTTTAAATATTTTTCTATCACTATTTTTAAAACTGACAAATAAAAATTATATATATTTATCATGCACAACATGTTGTTTTGAAATATGTATGCATTATGGAATGTCCGAGGCCCTGTTTTTAATTCTTTTGGGGATATGCCCAGAAGTAGCTTTGGATCATATGGTTACTCTTGTTTTTTTGTTTGTTTGTTTGTTTTGAGATGGAGTCTCATTCTGTCACCCAGGCTGGAGTGCAGTAGCATGATCTCTGCTCACTCCAACCTCTGCCTCCCGGATTCAAGCAATTCTCCTGCCTCAGCCTCCAGAGTAGCTGGGACTACAGGCGTGCACCACCACCAAGCCCGGTTAACTTTTGTATTTTTAGTAGAAATGGGGTTTCACCATGATGGCCAGGCTGGTCTTGAACTTCTGACCTCAGGTGATCCACCTACCTTGACCTCCCAAAGTGGTGGAATTACAGGTGTGAGCCATTGCGCCTGGACTGCTTACTCTGTTTTTACTTGTTTCAGGAACTGCCAATATTCCTTCCTCCCTCCCTCCCTCCCTCTCTCTCTCTTTCTTTCAGACAGAGTCTCGCTCTGTTGCCCAGGCTGGAGTGCAGTGGCTCGATCTAAGCTCACTGCAACTTCTGCCTCCTGGGTTCAAGCGATTCTCCTGCCTCAGCCTTCTGAGTAGCTGGGATTACAGACACACACCACCATGCCCAGCTAATTTTTGTATTTTTAGTAGAGACGGGGTTTTGCCATGATAGCCAGGCTGGTCTCGAACTCCTGACCTCAGGTGATCTGGCCCCCTCAGCCTCCCAAAGTGCTGGGATTACAGGTGTGAGCCACTGCACCCGGCCATGCCAATATATTTTCCATAGGGCTGCACCATTTTACATTCCCACCAACAGTGCACAAAGGTTCTGATTTCTCTCCACATCCTCACCAACACTTATTTTCTGTTTGTTTTGTTGGGTTTTTAAAATAGTATTAGTCATCCTAATGAATATGATATATTGGTTTCTTGTTTGGTTTTCCTTTCTTTTTAAATTTGTTTTATTTATTTATTATTATTATTATTATTTTGAGATGGAGTCTTGCTCTGTTGCACAGGCTGGAGTACGGTGGCACAATCGCGGCTCACTGCAACCTCCGCCTCCTGGGTTCAAGCAATTCTCTGCCTCAGCCTCCCGAGTAGCTGGGATTACAGGCACGCGCCGCCACGCCTGGCTAATTTTTTTGTATTTTTTGTAGAGATGGGGTTTCACCATGCTGGCCAGGCTGGTCTTGAACTCCTGACCTCGTGATCCACCCGCCTCGGCCTCCCCAAGTGCTGGGATTACAGGCGTGAGCCACCACGCCCAGCCTTTTTTTTAATCTAAATAAACTTGAAGTTTTTTTTCTTTTTTTTTAATTTAGAGACAGGGTCTCTCTGTCATCTAGGCTAGAGTGAAATGGCTCAATGATAGCTCACTGGGCTCAAGTGATCCTCCCACCTCTAGAACAGCTAGGACTACAGGTGTGGGCCACCACATCTGGCTAATTTTTACATTTTATTTTTTGTAGAGACAGGGTCTTGCTATGTTGCCCAGGCTGGTCTCAAACTCCTGGCCTCAAGTGATCCTCCTGTCTCAGCCTCCCAAAGTGCTGGGATTACAGGCATGAGCTGCTGCACCTGGCCTGTTTTTTTGTTTTTGTTGTTGTTTTCGTTCTCTTTTGAGGCAAAGTCTCACTCTGTCACCCAGGCTGGAGGGCAATGGCGTGATCATGGCTCACTGCAATTTCCACCTCCCGGGTTCAAGTAATTCTCCTGCCTAAGCCTCCCAAACAGCTGGGATTACAGGTGTGCACCACCATGCCCAGCTAAGTTGTATTTTTAAGTAGAGACAGTGTTTCACCATGTTGGCCAGGCTGGTCTCAAATTCCTGACCTCAAGTGATCCGTCCACCTTGGCTTCCCAAAGTGCTGGGATTACATGTGTGAGCCACCACACCCGACCCCTGGCTTATTTTTTAAAGGTTTACAAATATGGGGCATTCCAGGTCCCCAATGCCACCTCGTTTCTCAGGGCCCACGATGCCCACTCACTGGTGTTCTCGGCTTCTGCTTTGAGGCTGCTCCGGCCACTGAGGCTTCCGCTTCGGCTGTAAAGGCCCCGGGCTGGGCGGCTCAGGAAGGGGGGGCGGCTGTCTGGGGTCCCAGGTCCCCCCATTGAGGGGGTAGGGTTCCACGGGATGGTCTCTGGGAGGTCTCTGCAGCCCACCACTCGTACCTCCAGGGTCCCTGCAGGAGGGGAAAGCTCAGCAGGGGGCCACTTCTGGGGCAGGCTGAGCGGAGGGGACCACAGCGGGGAGGGGACACATCCAGACGCAGCCATGGTACAAGTGGGAGCCAGTGAGGGACAACCAGAATGGAGCATGGGGCATGAGGCCGGGATGTCCGTGCTGGGATAGGAGAATATGAGAGAAGCAGTCCTTCCAGGAGGGGCTCAGATGCGGGAGTTTAGGGGCAGAAGAGAGGCTCAGGGTACAGGCCGTAGGCTCAGGGTACAGGCCGTAGGCCCAGGCAAGCAGGAACAGGGTAGGACTAGGGGTTCTAGGGGAGGACTCGGTGGACAATCTGAGGTCTAAGATGGGCTAGGGGTCTACGGTGGGGCTGGTCTGGAGGGGTAGATGGCTGAGGGGTCTGTGGAAGGTGGGGCTGGCTGGTCTGCAGCAGGCGGGTAGGAGGCTCATGGCTGAGCGTTGTGAGGCCGAGGTGGGGCTGGGGAACAAGGGCTGGGAGAAAAATACTGGGCCAGGTGAAGAGAGATGGAGAAACTGAGGTGTGGGGGGGGTGGGCAAGAGCCCAGAATCAGAGGGCAAAGGAGGGGAGGAGACAGTGGTGGAATGGGAGTCCAGGGTTGGGGAGAGCGGAGATTGAAGTCGGGGGTCACAGGAATGGGGAAATGAGAGGAGTCGGAGGCCCAGGGCTGCAGGGGTGGGGTAGGGTCTCAGACCCACCTGTGAGCGGCGCGGGCTTGCACAGGGTGCTGTAGTGCGTGGCGGGAAAGGGCCCGGCCAGGCGGGTGCTGAAGGCAGCGGAGGAGGCCGCAGCGAGCTCTTCTCGCAGCAGCCGCCCCTTGGGGTGGTCGGCGGGCAGCTCCCCAAGTCTCCGCTCCAGAGCCTCCCGCAGCAGCCCCAGCTTCTGGTTGGATTCTGTTAATTTCTCCTGGGCCTGTGGTGGGAAGTGTGGGGGCTGGGGGCGGGACCAGGCTTGCCCCTTCCCAAGTGCAGGCCTAGGCCCCACCCCCAGGCTGAGTCTCACACTGAGCTCCTCCCTAGAGGGCTAAACCTCAAACCAACTTGGTCCCACCTCTGGGAAAACCAGGCCCCGCCCCTTGGAGAGGCCCCTCCCCTCACCGAGGGCCATTCCTGCCTGAAACCATGCCCCCTCGCTGAGGCCCCGCCCCTCACAGTTGCACTGTTCCTGCCTGATGCCCTGCCCCTCACAGTAGTCTACCCTGGCTGAGGCCCCACCCCTTATGAAGGTCCCACCCCCTTTGAGGCTCCACCCCTCACCGTGGGTGTTCCTGGTGAACTCCCCGCCGCTTGCTGAAGCACCGCCCCTTGCTGAAGCCCCGCCTCTAATGAAAGCTCCGCCCCTCACCTCGCTGACTGCCTTGCGGTCCGGGGCCTTGGCAGCGCTGAGCAGGCGCAGTACGTTCTTGGCACCCTCGGCCACCGCGTGCTCCACTCGGAAGTGGTGCCGCAGCTCTTCGATGCGCAGCTCCACAGCCCCCAGGTCAGGACTCCCTGTGAGCGTGGAATACAGGGCAGTGAGGCTAGCCTGCAGCGCCCCACCAACCTAGTCGCAGACACAGCCATTCGCAGGAACAGGCACGGGCCACAGACAAACCATCATGAAGATGCATCACGCTTCATCCAAGGGGCAGGCACAGTGACACTGTCGCACTGTCACCTGCAGGCAGCCACACTTCCACCCAGACTCTTTTATCCAAACACCATCACTCACAGGGCCAGTCCTAGGGAAAAAGTTACCCTGTTACAGGGGACAGTCTGAGCAATGACACACAGGCACACTGTCACCCCACGCTTACCGACACACACATTGTCACGGTCCCTCTTCACCTCCAGTGATTTGCACAGGGACAGACGCAGGCACATTGTGGCCCCCAGGGACAGCCACATTATCTAGATTCAGACACTGTCACCCAGGGGCTGTCACCCAAACAGACAGGAACATCTAAATCATAGGCCAAGCATGGCGGCTCAGGCCTGTAATCTCAGCACTTTCGGAGGCCAAGGCGGGTGGATTACCTGAGGTCAGGAGTTTGAGACCAGCCTGACCAACATGGTGAAACCCTCTCTACTAAAAATACAAAAATTAGCTGGGCACAGTGACGCATGCCTGTAATCCCAGCTACTGAGGAGGCTGAGGCAGGAGAATCACTTGAACCCCGGAGGCGGTGGTTGCAGTAAGCCAAGATTGCGCCATTGCTCTCCAGCCTGGGTGACAGAGTGAGACTCTAAGTCATTAAAAAAAAATAATAATACTGTCATACCCGTGTTGACACACCTCATTCCCCAATGAACAGTCACCAGGTTACACAGTCAACCAGGCATGGTGACACTCATGGACATCTGGACAACCACAGCATACTACATTTACACAGACGGTGTCAGTCACAAAGACACTGTTAAGAGACTCAATGTTTGTCTCCTACCAAATTCCTATGTTGAACCCCTAATCCCCAGTGGGATGGCACTTGGACTTCTCCAAGTGCCTTTGGGAGGTAATTAGGGTTAGAGGAGGTCATGGAGGGAGGGCCATCATGATGCGATTAGCGCGCTTATTGGAGGAGGAAGAAGCTGGGTGCAGTGGTCCACGCCTGTAATCCCAGCACTTTAGGAGGCTGAGGCAGGAGGATCACCTGAGGCCAGGAGTTTGAGACCAGCCTGGGCACCATAGAGAGACCTTGTCTCTACTAAAAATAAAAAATAAATTAGCGAGGCATGGTGGCGTGTGCCTGTAGTCCCAGCTATTAGAAGGCTGAACGAGGAGGATCACTTGAGCCCAGAAAGTCGAGGCTGCAGTGAGCTGTGATCACGCCACTGCACTCCAGCCTGGGTGACAGACCAAGACCCTGTCTCAAAAAACTAATAATGAAAAATAAGAAGAGGAAGAGACACTAAGGCTCTTTCTCCCTGTGAGGGAGCAGTAAGAAGGAAGCCATCTGTAAGCCAGGAAGAGCGCCCTCACCAGGAACCGACCATGCTGGTACCCTGATCTGGGACTGCCAGTCTCTGGAACTGTGAAAAACATAAATGTCTGTTGTTTAAGCCACTCAGCCTATGGGACTTTGTTATGGCGGCCCAAGGAGAGTAAGGCAGGCACTGTCGCACTGACACTGTCACACTGTCGCCCACAGGGACACATGGCATTACCACTTTGTCACCAGCGTAGGCACACTATCACCAGAGGAACACATACTCTGTCACAAAGATGTAGTCACCCTGCCACATAGAGACACTGTCATGAGTCAGACTCTGTTACACAGACACGGCCCTGTCATCTTGGGCACAGGGACACCATTATAGGGGCAGAGAAACACAGTCACAGACACAAATGCATTTATGCCCAAGCACAGGGTCAAGAAAAGGGGCACAGGCCAGGCATAGTGGCTCACGCCTATAATCTCAACACTTTGGGAGGGTAAGGCAGGAGGATCACTTGAGGTCAGGAGTTTGAGACCAGCCTGGGCAAGACCTAGTCTCTACAAAAAAAAAATTTCTTTTAATAAGCTGGGTGTGGTGGCACACGCCTATGGTCCCAGCTACTCAGCAGGATTGCTTGAGCCCAGAAGGTCAAGCCTGCAGTGAGTTATGATCGCGCCATTGCATTCCAGCCTGGGCAACAGAGCAAGACCCTGTCTAAACAAAAAAAGTGTGTCAGCCAGGCACGGTGGCTCATGCCTGTAATCCCAGCACTTTGGGAGGCCAAGGCAGGCGGATCACGAGGTCAGGAGATCGAGACCATCCTGGCTAACATGGTGAAACCCCGTCTCTACTAAAAATACAAAAAATTGGTAGGGCGTGGTGGCTCAAGTCTGTAATCCCAGCGCTTCAGGAGGCCAAGGCAGGCGGATCATGAGATCAGGAGATCGAGACCATCCTGGCTAACATGGTGAAACCCCGTCTCTACTAAAAATACAAAAAAATTAGCCAGGCGTGGTGGCAGGTGCCCGTAGTCCCAGCTACTTGGGAGGCTGAGGCAGGAGAATGGCATGAACCCAGGAGGCGGAGCTTTCAGTGAGCCGAGATCACACCACTGCACTCCAGCCTGGGCGACAGAGCAGGACTCCGTCTCAAAAAAAAATACAAAATTTAGCCGGGTGTGGTGGTGGGCGCCTATAGTCCCAGCTACTCAGGAGGCTGAGGCAGGAGAATGGCGTGAACCCGGGAGGCAGAGGTTGCAGTGAGCAGAGATTGTGCCACTGCATTCCAGCCTGGGCAACAGAGCGAGACTCCATCTAAAAAAAAAAACAAAAAAAAAAAGTGTGTCCCTGCAGTGTGTGTCAGTGCGACGGTGCACGTGATTGTGTGCCTGTACTGTGGATATCCACATGGACTTCACAGTGACTATGTGTGATGGTAGGATCACACATTCCTTTGTCTCTGGGTGTTGTCGCAAGGATGGGTGACTGGATGACTTTATTCCTAAAAGTCCCAGTGACTGATAAAGCGCCATGTGGCAGCAGGTCTAGGGGTGACAGTGAGACTGTGTGTTTTTTTGTGTGTGTTTTTTTGAGACAGAGTCTCACTCTGTTGCCCAGGCTGGAGTGCAGTGGGGCGACCTTGGGTTACTGCAACCTCCGCCTCCCGGATTCAAGTGATTCTCCTGCCTCAGCCTCCTGAGTAGCTGGGACTACAGCTGCGTGCCACCACGCCCAGCTGATTTTTGCATTTTTAGTAGAGACAGGGTTTCATCATGTTGGCCAGGCTGATCTCGAAATCCTGACCTCGAATGATCCGCCCGCCTCGGTTTCCAAAGTGCTGGGATTACAGGCGTCAGCCACTGCACCCAGCCGAGACTGTGTTTATAAGGCAACATACCTGTGACTATCAACTTCCTTGGAACTGTGTCTGTGTTATTGGTGTCCAGGTGAGTGACACATGTGGACACAGTGTGACTGTGAGTGTCTGACTCTCTGTGACCAAGTGCCAGGGTCATTATTCAGAATAGTCAGGCAGTCAAAAACATAGTAAATGAATGGGCGTGGCTGGGTACCAATAAAACTTTATTGACAAAAAAAAGACAATGGATAGATTTGGTCTGAAGGTGGTAATTTACCAACCCCTGATGTAATCCAAACTTTGCATGGGACAAAATGGGAAGCTCTGGCCCAGAGAGGGTCAGGAATGTGTTGAAGTCTCACAGTGGGTCACAGGACCCACCTCCCTGCCCCAGAAAGGGACTCATTATGGAGCTGGAGGCTGAGCCCTGCAAGGCGAGATGCAGGCTAAGCTGCCTGGAAGCAAGGGACTCACCTTGGGTGTCATCCGGGGCTGCCTGGTTCTCCAGCTGGCCGGCCTGCAGCGCCCGGCGGAGTTGCATGCGGATGATGTCAATCTTGGTCTTACTGTCCTGCAACATCTGCTGGGCTGTCAGCAGCAGCTTCCGGTCCTGGAGGCAGAGACAGTCTGAGAGAGGAAGGCTAGGTGGTTGGGGTCTAGCCACACCATGCAGGTCCTAGGTGACTGTGGCAGAGTGTTCACATGTGGATGTAACAACATGCATTTGCAGGCCAGGCACGGTGGCTCATGCCTGTAATCCCCGCACTTTGGGAGGCTGAGGCGGGTGGACTGCTGAGCTCAGGAGTTAAAGACCAGCCTGGGCAACATGGCAAGACCTTGTCTCCACAAAAAAATGCAAAAATTAGCTGGGCGTGGTGGTGTGCACCTGTGGTCCTAGCTACTCAGGGGGCTGAGGTGGGAAGATCACTCAAGCCCAGGAGTTGGAGGCTGCATTGAACTGAGATTGCATCACTGCCCTCCAGCCTGGGAAACAGAGCAAGACCCTGTCTCAAAATAAATAAATAAGTAAATAAATGTACTTCCATGCATTCCTGGATACAGTGGCATGATGTAGTCCATGGAGTCCTCAGCCTCCTGAGTAGCTGGGATTACAGGCGCCCACCACCATGCCCAGCTTTTTTTTTTTTTTTTTTGAGACATAATCTCGCTCTGTCACCCAGGCTGGAGTGCAGTGGTGTGATCTCAGCTCACTGCAACCTCTGCCTCCCAGGTTCAAGCGATTCTCCTGCCTCAGCCTCCCGAGTAGCTGGGATTACAGGCATGTGCCACCACGCCCGGCTAATTTTTGTATTTTTTTAGTAGAGCTCGGGTTTCACCATGTTGGCCATGCTGGTCTTGAACTCCTGACTTCAAGTGATCCGCCTGCCTCAGCCTCCCAAAGTGCTGGGATCCGCGCCTGGCCTACTCTATTCATTTTCACTGGGTCAGTATTACCCCCAGGGCGGGGGGCAGAAATTCTTAGGGGGTGAGAAACTCTTATTCTTTTTTTGTATAACGCTCAGATACATGTAAAAGATATACAATTGATCTAGGTTTTAAATTTTCATAGAATGGTGTTCAAATACTTGTACACAGGTGTTCATAGCAAAACTACTCACAATCGCTAAAAAGGTGGAAACAACCAAATGTCCACCAATTGATAAATGGGGCGCAGTGGCTCACATCCGTAATCCCAGCACTTTGGGAGGCCAAGGCAGGAGGAATGCTTGAGCCCAGGAGTTCGAGTCCAGCCTGGGCAACACAGACCCCTGTCTCAATAAAAATAAAAATAAATTAAATAAATAAAATAATGTTAGGCCAGGCAAGGTGGCTCACATCTGTAATCCCAGCACTTTGGGAGGCCAAGGTGGGCAGATCACCTGAGGTCAGGAGTTCGAGACTCGCCTGGCCAATATGGTGAAACTCCATCTCTACTAAAAATACAAAAATTAGCGGGACGTGGTGGCATGCGCCTGTAATCCCAGGTACTTGGGATGCTGAGGCACGAGAATCGCTTGAACCCAGGAGGCGGAGGTTGTAGTGAGCCGAGATCACGCCACTGCACTCCATCCTGGGCGACAGAGTGAGACTCTGTCTCAAAAAATAAATAAAATAGTGTCATTAAAAAAATCCATGCAGTCTGTCCTCCCATGTGACATTCACGTGGAAGGACATGCGCACACCAGCCTGTGGGTCTGGACATTAATCCTCTAGCTGTAGGTTGGCCTGTGCTTGTGGTGTCAGAATTTCTGGGTGTTGATAGAGACCTGTGTGTTCCTGGGACTGATTGGCAGGACGGGGGATGTGTGTGTGTCTGTGCACCAGTCTCTGGGTATGAATGTAAGAGTGTGTGTGTGTGTCCAGATGTGGCTGTGGTGGGATTCTCCATGTGTTGCTAGATGTTGTTACCACTGTGTGTCTCTAGATGTTATGACAGCATGTGTGTGTGTGTGTCTAGATGTTATGATGGTGTGTGTGTGTCAAGGTATGACATGACTGTGTGTGCTTGTAACAGGACACACCGTCAGCAGTGAGAGGCGGCATGTTGCCCTGACTGTGGATGGGCCTGAGGCTCTGCAGGGGACTGTGGGAGGAGGGGAGACAATTTGCCACGTCTGTCTGACATCACCCATAGTCATGCTTCCCATATGCCCCCATGAGCTGCCTGTGCCTTAGTCCTGACACCAAGTTACACCCATCAGCCAGTATGTCCCCAATCCAAAGGCTCCCAGCCTCCCATGGGGGCAGCTGTAGGCTGCACCCTATGCCCCCAGCCTGTGATCTGCTCACAGGCATGTGCATACATGTGCGGTGTGTGTGCAGATACACGGGTGGGTGTGTACGTGTGGGTGTGTACATGTGCATGTGCATTGCAAATGTGTATGCAGGTGCAGGTGCACAGGCAGGTGTGTGTGCATGTGCAGGTGTGTGTGCACATGGGGGGTGTATGTACACATGCTGGTATACACACATGTGGGTGTGTGCAAGTATGCATGCACGTGCAGCTGTGTGTGCACGTTCAAGGGTGTGTACACATGCAGGTGTGTGCACGTGTGGTGGGTGTATGCATATGTGTGTACACATTTGCAGGGGTGTGTACACATGTGGGTGAGCGTGTATGCACGCAGGTAGGTGTGTGCATGTACAGATGTGGGAGTACATGCCAGTGAGTGTGTGCACATACAGGTGTGGGTGCACACTTGAGTGGGTGTGTGTACACGTGGACAGGTGTGTACACATGCGGATGGGTGTGCACGTGTGGGGTGTGCATGCGCAGGTGTGGGTGCACATTTGAGTGGGCGTGTGCACACAGGGACACATGTGTACACATGCAGGTAGGTGTGCACATGTGGGTGGACTGTACGCACACAGGTGTGGTGTGTGTACACAGTGTGTGTGCACGTGCTGCCTCACCTTGGTGCTGCCATTGCTGTAGGTCTGGATCATGTTCTCCGCCCCCTGCTTCACCTTCAGCTCAATGGCCAACTGCTTCTCCAGGCCCGCCACGCGGCTCAGGTTGGTGGCCGAGCAGGTGGGGCCACCCGCACCAGGGGACTGGGGGCCATCTGGAGGCGACAGGTGGGAGAGAGTCACCACGCATCCTCACCTCGGCCTGCCTGGGAGGCTTCATCCTCAGCCCAGCCTGGGCATTGCCCCTGGGGCATGGAGGAGGGGGAGCTGGGGGCCAGCAGACAGGCAGGCAGGGGGACACCAGGGCCCAGCAGTCTACCCACCCACCCTCCCAGGGAAACCCCTCGGGGCTGGGGCAGAACCCAGGATGAATGAGTGCAGGCGAGCACCCAGGTGTGTTAGTGTGTCCTTGGTGCTGGGTCCACTGCATTTGAGAGGCCCATGAGTAACTACGTACATGGCTTGTGTGAGCCTATGGGTGTGGGAGTGGTGCCATCTGTGAGCTGCAGGGTGTTGGCATGGCTGAGTGTGTGTTTCCCTAGGTGTTAGTGTAACTCTGTGAGACGCCATGTGTTAGAATGACTGTCTGAGATTGTGGGTGTTGGGAGATGCTCTGCGTACATCTCTGACTGTTGCTACAACTGTGAGTTCAGATCTCCAGGTTGGTATGACTGAGTCTCCGGGTGTTGGCACATCCGGATGCATGTGTCTGCATGAGTCTCTGGAGAGTGGTGTGATGCTTGAGGGGACCCTGGGTGCAGAAATGACTGAGGCCGGGCGCAGTGGCTCACACCTATAATCCCAGCACTTTGGGAGGCCGAGGCAGGCGGATTGCTTGAAGTCAGGAGTTAAATACCACCCTGGCCAACATGGCAAAATCCCGTCTCTACTAAAAATGCAAAAATTAGCCAGGCGTGGTGGCTCATGCCTATAATCCCAGCTACTTGGGAGGCTGGAGCAGGAAAATCACTTGAACCTGGGAGGTGGAGGTTGCAGTGAGCCGAGATCGTGCTATTGCACTTCAGCCTGGGTGACAAGAGCAAAACTCTGTCCTTCCCCACCAAAAAAAATTCAAGCTGCTGAGTGAGGTGGCTCACACCTGTAATCCCAGCATTCTGGGAGGCACATCACCTGAGGTGGGTGGATCAGTTGAGGTCAGGAGTTTGAGACCAGCCTGGCCAACATGGTGAAATCCCATCTCTACTAAAAATACAAACATTAGCCGGGCGTGGTGGTGCAAGCCTATAGTCCCAGCTACTCAGGAGGCTGAGGCAGGAGAATCACTTGAACCTGGGAGGTGGAGGTTGCAGTGAGCTGAGATTGCACCACTGCTCTCCAGCCTGGGTGATGGAGCAAGACTCCATCTCAAAAAGAAAAAAAATGTTAAAACCAATAAAAATGTTTTAAATTAAAAAACAGGCTGGGTGCAATGGCTCACGCCTGTATTCCCAGCATTTGGGAGGCCAAAGCAGGAGGATCACTTGAAGCCAGGAGTTCTAGCCAAGCCCTGGCGGCATACCAAGACCCTTTCTCTACAAAAAAAAAAAAAAAAAAAAAAATTAAATTAGCCAGGCATGGTGGTGTATGCCTTTAGTCCCAGCTACTTGGAAGGCTGAGGTGGGAGGATTGTTTGAGCCCAGGAAATTGAGGCTATAGTGAGCTTTGATCACACCACTGTACTCCAGCCTGGGTGACAAGGCAAGATCCTGTCTCCAAACAAAAACAAAAATAAACAGTCTTTGGTTATCATCCATGTAACTGTGGGAGTTTCTGGGTATTCGTGTGACAGTGTGCACATCCTTGAGTGTTGCCTGGGGTGTTGGCGTGGCTGTGTCTGGAGGTATTCGTGTGACAGTATGTGCACCCTTGGGTGTTGCCTGGGTGTTGGTGTGGCTGTTTTTTTAGGTGTTTGTGTGACTGCATGCACATCCTTGAATGTTGCCTGGGTGTTGGCGTGGCTGTGTCTAGAGGTATTCATGTGACAGCATGCACGGTCTTGAGTGTTACCGGGTGCTGGTGTGGCTGTATGCACCTCTCTGGGTGTTGGTGGCTACGGGGGTCATGGCATGCATCTCCCTGGGGGTCCGTGGAGATGGGTTAACCTGGCTCTGGAGACCATGGGTGAGCCAGTGAGCAGTGGAATCCCTGGAGTCCCGCATCCCCAGAGGCATCCCAGCTCACCGTGGGTGGCCGCCGGGTCGGGAAGCACCACGTGGGCGTGCAGCTCCTGCAGCTGCTGGTGCAGCAGGTCGAGGCGGCGCGAGGAGCCCCGCAGCAGCAGCTCTACGGGGCCCAGGCTGCGGCCCAGGTCAGTGGTGGCCCGCCGCAGGTTCTCAGCACCCTCCTTCAGCTTCAGCTCCTTGCGGATTTCCCGCCGCAGCCGCTCCCGCTCCAGCTCCAGCTGCTGCTGTACCCCGGGGGCCGCCAGGTCTGCCCCGGCCAGGCCCAGCTGCTCTAGCAGGGACCAGCTGCGAGGCTCACTCTGCGGAGGACAGAACAGGGTCAGTGGAGCTAGGAGAACTCCAGGTGCAGACCACATGCAGCCAGCCTGGCCCAGCCTCTGCCCTGGACTGGGGCTCCCAAGACAGGGCCTGCTCTACCTCCTCTGACTCCCAAAACTGGAAGGTGACGAGGCCTTGCCACTGCTTCCTGACCTCCCCAAACTGGGAGGTCTCAAGAGCAGGGCCTTGTCACCCCCACCACCACAGCGTCCCCCACATTAAGGGGGTCTCAAGAATAAGATCTGTCTCCCTTCTGCTGCCTCCCCCAAACTAGAGGGTCCCAAGGGAAGATTCCTTCTTTTCTCTGCTGCTCCCCGAAACTAAGAGGGCCCAAGGGCAGGCCCTGTCTTCTCTCTGCTGTACCCCTAAAACTACAGGGTCCTGAGGACAGGCCCCATCTTCCCTCACTTGTACCCTGAAACTATGGCATCCCGAGGGCAGGCCTCATCTTTCCTTGGCTACACCCCCAAAACTAGGGTATCCCAAGGGCAGGCCAAGTCTTCTCTCTGCTGTACCCCCAAACTATGGGGTCTTGAAGACCCTCATCTGCTCTTCTCCTATGTTCAACAACTGGGACCCTAAAGAACAGAGCCCGGTCTCCTTCCTTCTGTCTCTCCCCAATCTGGGAGCCCCGAAGGGCACTGGATACTCTCATCCTCCAGAGAGAGAACTCTGAGGCCAGTGCCCCATCTCCTCTCCTTGTTCCCAAACTGAGAAGTACCCGGGGAAGGACTACTGGCCTGTGCCACTTGGGGCCCCCTTCTGCCTGCCCCCACAGGGACCCTGGACCCCACCTCCAGCTCCTGCTCCGAGGGGTTATTGGCCTCCGCCATCCTGGGTCCGGGCTGAGGGCCCCGCCCTCTTCCTGAACCTCAGCCCCACCAGGGCCTCTCGGCTGCCACTTCCTCTTTCCTGTCAACTCCCAGCACCCCTCGCGCGGGGCCAACTCCAGGGCATCTAAGGGACCTCCTGTTCCTCTAGATGAAACCCAGGGACAGTCCTTGCTCCCTGTCCCTAGAGAATGTCCAAGGTGCAGGCAGTTTGTACATTCACACACTCATGGTGTATCCATGAGGGGACGCAGGCTCCGAGGGCTGACTTGAGTGTGCACTAACTTTCAAATACATATGTGGATATGCACAGAACACAGGCTCACAAATGTTTGCACGCTTTCTTTTTCTTTCCTTTTTTTTTTTTTTTTTTTTTTTTTGAGACAGAGTCTCCCTTTGTGTTGCCCAGGCTGGAGTGCACTGGTGTGATCTTGGCTCACTGCAACCTCCGCCTCCCAGGTTCAAGCAATTCTCTTGCCTCAGCCTCCCAAGTAGCTGGGATTACAGGCATGTGCCGCCACGCCCAGCTAATTTTTGTATTTTTAGTAGAGACAGGGTTTCACCATGTTGGCCAGGCTGGTCTCGAACTCCTGACCTCAGGTGATCCGCCCCCCTCAGCCTCCCAAAGTGCTGGGATTACTGGACGTGAGCTACCGCGCCTGGCCTGTGTTTGCACAGTTATGGCTGCAGGTGTGTGCCTGCAACACAGGCTCACATGTGTGCACACTCCCATGCCTGTGTGTGTGGATGAAACAAAGATCCACACACAGGTGCACACTTCTACACCTGCAGGTGTGTGCCTGGAAAATGGGCTCACAGTGTACCCATTCCCATGCCTACCACATATGCACTTATTTGCAAACACATACAAGTGCTTATGAGCTTCCCTCTAGAACCCATACAAGACACACTCCCACCTGCCCGAGAGGGCATGGCCCACATGCTCATGCGTGTGCACATGCTCACACACATATGCACGCTCCCCGAGGCCCCTGCAGCACATCCATGCTCCCACAGACCTCCAGCCCTGCGACTACCTGCATATGTCCCTCCAGACTCTCCCAGCCACCCCTTGTCCCCGGCTTCCCCTTCAGGGTCAGAACAGCCACTTCTTCAGAGGTGAGGCCCCTTTCCTGCAGACGGGCCCTCCCAACTTCCTGCTTCCTCTCAGTCCAGTCGCCAACTGTTATTGACCATAGCTGAGAGGCCCGGGGTCCCAGCCAGCCCAGTGGCACCTCCCTCAGGCCAACACAATTAGGGGACAGCACTGGGGGACTGGGATAAGAATTTCCAAAACCAGGCCGGGCACGGTGCCTCACGCCTATAATCCCAGCATTTTGGGAGGCCGAGGTGGGTGGATCACCTGAGGTCGGGAGGTCGAGACCAGCCTGACCAACATGGAGAAACCCCGTCTCTACTGAAAAAAAAAAAAAAATACAAAATTAGTCGGGTTTGGTGGTGCATGCCTATAATCCCAGCTACTTGGGAGGCTGAAGCAGAATCACTTGAACCCAGGAGGCAGAGGTCGAGGTGAGCCAAGATCGTGCCATTGCACGCCAGAGCGAAACTCCGTCTCAAAAAAAAAAAGAATTTCCAATTTCCAAAATCACGCCGGGCGTGGTGGCTCACATCTGTAATCCCAGCACTTTGGGAGGATGAGCGAGGCAGATCACGTGAGGTCAGGAGTTCAAGACCAGCCTGGCCAACATGATGAAACCCCGTCTCTACTAAAAATATGAAAATTAGCCAGGCATGGTGGCACGTGCTTGTAATCCCAGCTGCTTGGGAGGCTAAGCATGAGAATCGCTTGAACCCAGGAGGTGGAGATTGCAGTGAGTCGAGATCACACCACTGCACTCCAGCCTGGGCGACAGAGTGAGACTCTATCTCAAAAAAAAAAAAAAAAAAAAAGAATGCCCCAAATCAGCAGCCTACAAAACCACTTGCTAAGCACACAGTAACATTCAAGAACAACTTATGATGGCATTACTTCCTGATAAGCTCATCATAAGTTGCAAATATCATAAGTCAAAAATGCATTTAATATATCTTACCTACCAAACATCATAGCTCACCCTGGCCTACCTTAAATGTGCTCAGAACACTTACCCAAGCCTATAGTTGGGCAAAAACGTCTAACACAAAGCTATTTTACAGTAAAGTTGAATATCTCATGTAACTTTTTTTCTTTTTTTTGAGACAGGGTCTTACTCTGTTGCCCAGGCTGGAGTGCAGTGGTGTGATCATGGCTCCCTGCAGTGTCTACCTCCTGGGCTCAAACAGTCCTCCCAGCTCAGCCTCCCGAGCAGCTGGGACTACAGGCATACGCCACCACACCTGGCTAATTTTTGTATTTTTCATAGACATGGGGTCTCACTATGTTGCCCAGGCTGATCTCGAACTCTTGGCCTCAAGTAATCCTCCTGCCTCGGCCTCCAAAAGTGCTGGGATTACAGGTGTGAGTCACTGCCCCGTGGCCAGGGCCTTGATTTAAAACAAGAGCACCCAGATTCCAAATGCTGGCTAGGAAATGGCCCCCTGGGGTTATCTCCTTCAGCTGGGAGCATCCATTTCACAGACAAGGAATGTTATCCTTGGCTCGTGACTGATCTCAAGCGCAGCTGCCCCCAGGGAGGAATGCCACAGACCAAGTGTATCACTCCCACCATCTTCCCAACCCTCACTACAAATCTTGAGCAGCTGCCAAGAACTCCCCACTTCACAGGTGAGGAAACTGAGGCTCAAGGAAGTCACAGTAGTATGTTTTGTTCGTTGGTTTGAGACAGAGTCTTGCTCTTTCGCCTAGGCTGGAGTGCAGTGGTGCAATCTCGGCTCACTGCAATCTCCACCTTCCGGGTTCAAGCAATTCCCCTGCCTCAGCCTCCTGAGTAGTTGGGACTACAGGCACGTGCCACTGCGCCTAGCTAATGTTTTGTATTTTTAGTAGAGACGGGGTTTCACATGTTGGCCAGGCTGGTCTCAAACTCCTGACTTCAAGCAATCAGCCAGCCTCGGCCTCCCAAAGTTCTGGGATTACAAGTGTGAGGCACTGTGCCTGGCCAGTAACAGTTTTCCATTGAGGGGAGATTTTCTCCCCATACCCGGGGACATGCGGCAACATCCGGAGACATTTTTGGTTGTCCTGACTGTGGGTAAGGAGGTGACTTCTATCAGGGTGAGGCCAGGGATGCCACTCAACGCCCTGCAGTGCACAGGACAGCCTCTACTGCAAAGAATGACCCAGCCCTGAATGTCAGTAGTGCTAAGGCTGAGAAGCCTACGGTTAAGGGTCATAGATTTGGCCAGGTGTGGTGGTTCACGTCTGTAATCCCAGCGCTTTGGGAGGCTGAGGCAGGAGCAGTGCTTGAGGTCAGGAATTGGAGATAAGTCTGGGCAACACAGCAAGACCTACAAAAATCTCTACAAAAAATAAAAAAGTATTGGCCAGGTGTGGTGGCTCTCTCTGCCTGTGATCCTAGCACTTTAGGAGGCCAAGGCCGGAGGACTGCTTGAGCTCAGGAGTTCGAGACCAGCCTGGGCAATAACGGTGAGACCCCATCTCTACAAAAAATGTAAGAATTAGCCAGGTGTGATGGCATGTGCCTGCAGTCTCAACTACTTGGGAGCCTGAGGTGGGAAGCTGGCTTGAGCCCAGGAGGCAGAGGTTCCAGTGAGCCGAGATCACACCATCACACTCCAGCCTGGCCAACAGAGCCAGGCTTTGTCTCAAAAAAGAAAAAAAGAGGCCAGGCGCGGTGGCTCATGCCTATAATCCCACCACTTTGGGAGGCCGAGGCAGGCAGATCACGAGGTCAGGAGATCTAGACCATCCTGGCTAACAAGGTGAAACCCTGTCTCTACTAAAAACACAAAAAAATCAGCCGGGCATGGTGGCGGGCGTTTGTAGTCCCAGCTACTTGGGAGGCTGAGGCAGGAGAATGGCGTGAACCCAGGAGGCAGAATTTGCAGTAAGCCGAGATCAAGCCACTGCACTCTAGCCTAGGCGACAGAGCGAGACTCCATCACAAAAAAAAAAGGAAAAGAAAAAAAGAAAGGCTGGGGGCAGTGGCTCACACCTGTAATCCCAGCACTTTGGGAGGCCTAGGCGGGCAGGTTACTTTGAGCTCAAGATTTCAAGACCAGCCTGGGCAACATGGCGAAACCCTGACTCTACTAAAAATACAAAAATTAGCCAGGCGTGGTGGTGTGCACCTGTAGTCCCAGCTACTCAGGAGGCTGGGGTGGGAGAACGGCTTGAGTCTAGGAGGCAGAGATCATGCCGCTGCACTCCAGCCTGGGTGACAGAGTGAGACCCCAGTCTCAATTTAAAAAAATAAAGAAAAAAAAATTAGCCAGGTGTGGTGGTGCATGCCTGTAGTCCTGTAGATCAGGTGTTTGAGGCTGCAGTGAACAAGAATCTCGTCACTGCATTCCAGCCTGGGTAACAGAGCGAGACCCTGTCTCTACAAAAGTAAAAGGAAATTAGCCAGGCATGTTGGTCTGTGCCTTTTGTCCCAGCTACTTGGGAGGCTGAGGCAGGAAGATCACTTGAGCCCCGGAAATTGGAAATCGAGGCTGCGGTGACATAGGATCGCACCACTGTACTCCAGCCTGGGTGACAGAGCAAGACTCTCTCCTCTAAAATAAATAAATATAAATCAGTAAATCAATCAATAAGGACACAGATTCACACCCTGAGCTGCTGACCAGGACGCTTACCAGTAACGACTTCACAGCAGCCCTGCCTGCCAAGTGCTGGCAAGGTCTCGGTCTCTCTCTCTCCCATGAACACCCTCTTAGTCCCATTTTTCCTAGGTCAGAACCGAGGCTCAGAGAGGCGAAGGCACTGGGCCCAGGACACACAGCGAGGAAGTGTCAGCGCTGGAATTTAAGCCCAGGCTCACCAAATACCACCCTCGCTCAGAAGGCCCCACCCCATCCCCAGCAGGCAGAGGGAGGACACAGCCAAGAGCGGGGCCAGCTCAACTGGGGAAGTCCAGGCAGAGAGGAGAGGTGGCCTCCCTCAGCCCCACCTCCAGCAGCTGAGGTCTGTAATGCACAGAGGGAGGGAGGCTGGGCTCCTGGGTTCTCCTCCCCTGAGTGACTCACTTCTACCCAAGGCACAGGGGTCACCTGAGGGCCAGCAAGGCAAACCCAGGACTCAGGGCCCTGGCCTGGCCTGTCCTATGGAGAACCCCTGCTCCTCCGCTGCCCACCATGGAGCGGAGACCTCAGACCCAGAGGACCTGCCTCCCATAATCCCCATCTTGCCAGAGCAGCCAGGGACCTAGACTCCCACATCCGGAGATTTCAATGCCTTGGGCGTTTCCGGAATCTGGACAGGACATCCGTTTGCAGGACACAGAACAGACAGGCACACGTTGGGACAGACAGAGGGACAGGGCAGCAGGCCCAAGCAACCATGAGAGAGGGATGACCAGGAGCGGGGAAGAGACTGGGGAGGAGATGGGAAGGGGGGACCAGGGCGTGGGTCCAGCCTCGTTGCAGGAATCACAGCCTGTCTGGGTCATGTGTGGGATGCGCCAAGCGCATGCATGCACCCGGGGATTCCTACACAGCCCTCCCTGGGCCGGGGGTAGAGGCAGGGACCCCGGCCCATCCCGGCCTTGAGGTCTGACCTTGTGTGATCGGCAACACCAGATACGCCCAGCTCCTCGGCAAGGCCGGCAGGCCATCAGCAGGACTGGGAAGGCGGGAGGGACCGGGGGTTACCGGGGAGACACAAAGGGGCCGGGGGCAGGTGCAGAAGGAGACGAGAACCCAGTTACACAACAACCACAGGACAATGAACTGGATGGTGAGGTGCTAATGGGGACACTGAGGCACAGACATTTCTCAGATTTGGGTCACTTGAACCAAAGAAGGTTGGCAGTCACCCTGGCCGTGCTTGTCACAGACGGGGAAGATGAGTCCAGGTCAGTGATCCCCACCAGGTGGCACAAGGGGAATCTGGCTGGGCGGGAGGCTGGTGCCAGTCACGTGTGTGTGTTAGCAGGGTGGGGGTGACCCAGCCATGCCCAGCCACCATGCAAAAAAGTAGGATTCTATATATGGGAGCATCCCTGGCCTGTTGACTGAGACACTCCCCACCCAGGAGAAGGTTCCACCTGACAGCCCAAGGGTGGGAGTGGGGGTCCCCATTCCCCCGACCTAATGCAGTGACTCGGGTACTTCCGCCAACAGGTGCCAATCTGGGTGGCGTCTGGAACATCATAAAGCTGTCTAGAGGCGGGGGTGGCTGGAGCTTTGTTATGCGGGGGAAGGGCACGGGCCGGGCCCAGCAGCCTCCTCCCCTCCCAGGGCACTGCGCCAGGCACGTGCCCCAGGTGGAGCGGCACCTGCCGGGTACCCAACCCTGGGGAGGGGGATGAGTTTGGGGGCGGACGAGAGGCACTGGGACGCCCAGCCAGCCACAGACACCCGAAGTAGAGCCTCCGCCGCGCCCCTTCTAGTTCTCCAGGAGAGGCCGAGTTTGAGGGTGTAGCAGGGGTTGCCTCCGGGATCGCCCCCAAACCAGCCCAGTCCACATCGCCACCTGCCGAGAAGGGGGCCTCGCTGGCTCCACAGTCCCGGCCCAGGGAGGGGGCGCCGGGCGCTCCGGAGGCCCCCGCCCTTGCCATCGTCACCCGAGTCCCGTTCCGGGGGCTGGGGGGGCTCCCCCGGCAGCGCGCGGGCGGGGTCCGCCGGCGCCGTCCGGTCGCCCCGGGACTCCAGACGCAGGTGCGCCTACCTGCACGGCGTCGCTGGCCATGTCCTCCTGCCGCCCGCCAGGGGTCCCCGCGCGGAGGGAGGGGCGGCCAGAGGAGCGCGCGTGCGCCCCGGGCGTGGCGGGGAGGGGGCGGGCGCGGCGCGACCCTCCCCGGCGCGCGGCCCGCTCCGGCCTGCTCGGCTCCCGCCTCGCCTGGCCAGGCCGCCGCGTCCCCGCGCCGCGCCCTCCGGCCCCAGCGGCCGCCGGGCCTGGTCACGTGACCCCGGAGGTCGGCGCCCGGGGAGGGGGCGGGGCCGAGGGGGGACGGGTTCCCAGAGGCCCCCGGGGCTGCGGGGTCCCGCCCGTCCGCCCCCTCGGTCTCCCGAGCCCGGAGCATCCCCATCGGCTCCCCACCTTTCCTCTTTCCGGGTCCCGAGACGACCGCACGCTGCCGAGGGGTCCCCCATTGGAGCGCGCGGGAACCCGAGGAGAACGGTTCCACGCGTTCAAGCCGAGAGCGGCGGAGGCCTTTGGGCCTCCCGGGACCCCTGAAAAAAACAAACAGAATAACCCCCCACCCCACCCTACCCCGGTGCATTTGCAAGCTCGGGACGCCTGCATCTGTGGTCCCCTATTCAAGGGCATGGAAGTTTCCCCGTTACCTGGAGACAAGCTCTGGGCGGATCTGCATTCAAATCCTAGCGCTTTACGCCTTGAGGGAGACAAACCCTTCCAGGCACCTCATCTGTGAAATGGGAATGATGCGCTCACCTCCTCGGTGTTGGTAAAATTCAATAAGACAGTGCAGGCCAAGAGCTGAGAACACACTAGACGCTCCATAAGTGTTAGCTGCTGTCACTTTTAATGTTATCGTAATTGTTTGTTTGTTGTTTTGCTATTTTTGGACGGAGTTTCGCTCTGTTGCCCATGCTGGAGTGCAGTGGCGCGATCTCGGCTCACTGCAACCTCCGCCTCCCGGATTCAAGTGATTCTTCTGCCTCAGCCTCCTGAGTAGCTGGGATTACAGGTGCCCACCACCATACCCGGCTAATTTTTGTATTTTTAGTAGAGACGGGGTTTCATCATATTGGCCAGGCTGGCCTCGAACTCCTGATCTCAGGTGATCCGCCCGCCTCGGTCTCCTAAAGTGCTGAGATTACACAGGCCTGAGCCACCGCGCCCAGCCTCTATTATCGTTATTGTTATTAAAAGAGGTTTGAATCCCAACTTGCTGTTCATCCTGGGGACCCCTGTGGCCTCTGAGTCTCAGTTTTCCCCGCTATAAAATGGGCATCGCCTTCTTTTTCGGGGCTGCTGCATGCAGATGGCGCTCCATAAATGCAGACTCGTGCCCAAGCGGAGAGTGGAGGCCTCTGCGGAATTTCTAGGGGATCTCCGGGGTCTGCAGAGCGTGCAGCTTTGTTCGTGGCCGCCGTCGGACCCTCACTCCTTCGGAAACCAGGCGAGGGAGCCAAACCTTGGTCTCCGGGGCTCCGGCAGGGAGCGCTCCCTGGCGGCGGTGCCTGCACATTGGCGCCCTTTGGGACCCGAGGAAGCGCCGTGGGCTGCGGGTACCTTGGTTACCCGTGGCTCTGCGTGGTTTCAGTCGTCCCAGAAACCAGGGCGCGATGTTTTCTCTCTTATTTTTTCCTCTGAGCAACTCTTTGGGAGATACTAACAACAGAAAGAGAGAAGGAGGAGAATTATGCTGATCCAGAACCCATCCAGCCGGGCATGGTGGCGCACGCCTGTAGTCCCAGCTACCAGGAGGCTGAGGCGGGAGGATCGCTTGAGCTCAAGAGGCCGAGAATGCATCACTGTGGGGAGAAATCATGATGCCCCTGCACTCCAGCCTGGGTGACAGAGCGAGACCCTGTCTAAAAAAAGAAAGAAAAAAAAAAACGGCTGGGTGCAGTGGCTCACCCCTGTAATCCCAGCCCTTTAGGAAGCCAAGGTGGGTGGTGGATGGATCACTGGAGGTCAGGAGTTCGAGACCAGCCTAGCCAATATGGTGAAACCCATCTCTGCTAAAAAATATAAAATTAGCTGAACGTGGTGGCGCATGCCTGTAATCCCAGCTACTCGGGTGGCTGAGGCAGGAGAATAGCTTGAACCCAAGAGGCGGAGATTGCAGTGAGCCGAGATCGTGCCATTGCACTCCAGCCTGAGCGACAGAGCAAGATTCCATCTAAAAAAAGAAAAAAGAGGGGGCCAGGTGTGGTGGCTCACGCCTGTAATCCCAGCACTTTGGGAAGCAGAGGCAGGCGGATCACGAGGTCAGGAGATTGAGACCATCCTGGCTAACATGGTGAAAGCGGCGGGCGCCTGTAGTCCCAGCTACTAGGGAGGCTGAGGCAGGAGAATGGCATGAACCCAGGAGGCGGAGCTTGCAGTGTGCCGAGATCGCGCCACTGCACTCCAGCCTGGGCGACAGAGCGAGACTCCCTCTCAAAAAAAAAAAAAAAAAGAGAAAGAAAACAACAACAACACACACACAAGCCCAGAATTCACCCACATTTCACCTTTCCACTTTGTCGCATCCAGTCCCTACCATCACTCACCTTAACCAGTAGTCACCTCTCTCCTGGTCTCCTGGTTTTGCCCTCGCCCCCACAGTCTGTTCCCACAACAGCCCAAGGGAGCAGTGAACACATGAGATGGGGTATGCCCCTCCTCTGTCTAGAACCCTCCATGGCTCCCAGCTCACTCAGGGAAAAAACTCAGGTCCTCCCCACAGCCCACGAAGCTCTGCACCATCAGTTCTTACTTCCTCCCATCTCTCCCCCTTGCTCACTCCTTCCAGCCACATGAGCCTTCTAACTGTTTCTCAAATGCTTGTTGATTGAATAAAAGAAAGAACTCTGTGGCTGGGCGCAGTGGCTCCCACCTGTAATCCCAGCAATTTAGGAGGTCAAGGGGGGTGAATCACTTGAGGCCAGGAATTCGAGACCAGCCTGGCCAACATGGTGAAACCCCATCTCTACTAAAAATTAAAAAATTAGCCAGGTGTGCTGGCGGGCATCTGTATATTCAGCTACTTGAGAGACTGAGGCAGGAGAATGGTTTGAACCTGGGAGGCGGAGGTTGCAGTGAGCCAAGATCGCACCCCTGCACACCCCCCTGGGTGATAGAGCAAGACTGTCAGAAAGAAAGAAAGAGAGAGAGAGAGAGAGAGAGAGAGAGAGAGGAAGGAAGGGAGGGAGGGGAAGGGAGAAAAAGAAAAGAGAAAAGAAAAGAACTCATGGCCAGGCATGGTGGCTCACGCCTGTCACCCCAGCACTTTGGGAGGCCCAGACGAGCAGATCACGAGGTCAGGAGATCGAGACCATCCTGTCTAACACGATGAAACCCCATCTCTACTAAAAATACAAAAAATTAGCCGGGCGTGGTGGCGGGCGCCTGTAGTCCCAGCTACTCGGGAGGCTGAGGCAGGAGAATGGCGTAAACCTGGGAGGCAGAGGTTGCAGTGAGCTGAGATCACGCCACTGCACTCCAGCCTGGGGGACAGAGCGAGACTCCAGCCTGGGGGACAGAGCGAGACTCCCTCTCAAAAAAAAAAAAAAAAAAAAAACAAAAAAAAACTCTGCAAGCTAGTTCTTTCATATTTATTTATTTATTTGTTTGTTTGTTTGTTTAGACAGAATTTCGCTCTCGTTGCCCAGGCTGAAGTGTGATGGCACGATCTCAACTGAACGCAACCTCTGCCTCCCTGATTCAAGCAATTCCCAGCCTTAGCCTCCTGAGTAGCTGGAATTACAGGCATGTACCACCACACCCGGCTAATTTTGTATTTTTAGCAGACATGGGGTTTCTCTACATTGGGCAGGCTGGTCTCGAACTCCTGACCTCAGGTGATCTGCCCACCTTGGCCTCCCAGAGTGCTGGGATTACAGGTGTGAGCCACCGCGCCCAGCCTGATATTTATTTATTTAGAGACAGGGTCTCACTCTGTCACTCAGGCTGGGGTGCAGTGGCGCCATCGCAGCTCACTGCAGCTTCCACCTTGCAGGTTTAAACGATCCTCCTGCCTCAGCCTCCCAGGTAGCTGGGACCACAGGTGTGCACCACCATGTCTGGCTAGTTTTTTCAAAAAATTTTTTTGTGTGTGTGTAGATACTGGATCTCGTAATATTGCCCAATCTGGTCTTGAACTCCTGGGCTCAAGCAATTCTTCTGCATTGGCCTCCTGAAATGCTGGGATTACAGGCATGAGCCATCAAGCTTGGCCCAAACTAGTTCTTTTGCTCCAGTTTTGCAGGTGAGTAAGCTGAGAAGTCCCTTACCCCAATCATCAAGCCAGGATGTCTATGGCCCTTTCCCTGAGAAACGAAGTAGCTCCCTCTAATTCTCCAGCCCACCCATTCTACAGATGAGGAGGACAAGGCAGAGTGAGGTTTCATGGGGGCCGAAGGATTGGGTTGTCTGGAACCACCTTGCACAGGGATGGGCCCTCCCTCCCCAACCTGTGAGGTCCCAGGCTGCCTCCCCAGATGGAGCTGGGGAAACCAGCCAAATTCTCGCTCCACCCTTCAGGCATTCATTTACTCAGTGAATATTTACAGAGACCCACTGGGGAATTTGGTGGCACTGGAGATAAAGTTGCAGTTCAGGCCTTTTTTTTTTTTTTGGAGACAAAGTCTCATTCTGTCACCCAGGCTAGAGTGCAGTGGGTGAGATCACAGCTCACTGCAGCGCAGCCTCAACCTCCCAGGTTCAAGTCATCCTCCCACCTCAGCCCCTTGAGTAGCTGGGACTGCAGGCATGCACTACCATGCCCAGCTAATTCTTTTTTTTTTTTTTTTTTTTTTTTTTTTGCAGAGATGAAGTCTCACTGTGTTGCCCAGGATGGTCTTGAACTCCTGGCCTCAAGTGATCCTCCCGCCTCGGCCTCCCAAACTGCTGGGATTACAGTTATGAGCCACCACGTCCAGCCACACTTTGTTTGCTAAAAGGGGAGACGTGGCCAGGTGTGGTGGCTCAAGCCTGTAATCCCAGCACTTTGGGAGGCCGAGGTGGGTGGATCACCTGAGATCAGGAGTTTGAGACCAGCCTGGCCAACATGGTGAAACCCCATCTGTACTAAAAATACAAAAAAAATTAGCTGGGTGTGGTGGTGAGTGCCTGTAGTCCCAGCTACTCAGGAGGCTAAGGCAGGAGAATCGCTTGAATCCGGGAGGTGGAGGTTGCAGCAAGCCAAGATTGCACCATTGCACTCCAGCCTGGGCAACAAGAGCAAGACTCCGTCTCAAAAAACAAACAAACAAACCAAGAAAGGGGGCGGGGAGACATAGCCAGGCATGGTGGCGCATGCCTGTAGTCCCAGCTACTCAGGAGGCTGAGGCACCAGAATTGCTTGAACCTGGGAGGCAGAGGTTGCAATGAGCCGAGATCGCACCACCGTACTCCAGACTGGGCAACAAAGCAAGACTCCGTCTCAAAAACAATAAAAATAAAAAAGGAGCGGGGTGGTGGTTGCTGGACACAGTGGCTCATGCCTGTAATCCCAGCACTTTGGGAAGCCGAGACAGGTGGATCACCTGAGGTCAGGAGTTTGAGACCATCCTGGCCAACATGGCAAAACTCCGCCTCTACGAAAAATACAAAAATTAGCCGGGTGTGGTGGTACACGCCTGTAATCCCAACTACTAGGGAAGCTGAGGTAGGAGATCGCTTGAACCCAGGAGGCAGAGGTTGCAGTGAGCCAAGATCATGCTACTGCACTCCAGCCTGGGAGACAGAGCAAGACAAAAAAAAAAAAAAAAAAAAAAAAAGTGTCAGGGGGAGAGACAAAGGACTAATTGTACAATCTCAACAAAATATGATAACTGCACCGGCACATCCTTGCAGCTGTTCTCACCCCTCTCTAATTCACTCTGGGGCCTTGGAAATCCTAAATCACACCATCACCATCCCTGCTTCTCCCTGCTAGAAAACGTGCCTGTGCCTGGTTTCCCAGCAGACTTAGGAAAAACTTCATACTCCTCACTTGGTCTACAAGGTGGTCTTGTCAGACTTCTCTGCCCACCTGTCCAAACACCTCACTCTCCTCACCCCCATCCAGCAACATTAGCCTTCACTATGTTCTTCAAATAGTCTCACCTTGGCCAGGCACAGTGGATCATGCCTGGAATCCCAGGACTTTGTGAGGCTGTGTCAGGTTGATCACCTTAGGTCAGGAGTTCGAGACCAGCTTGTCCAACATGGTGAAACCCCATCTCTACTGAAAATACAAAAAAAAATTAGCCAGCTGTGGTGGCAGATGCCTATAATCCCAGCTACTTGGGAGGTGGAGGCTTGAGAATCGCTTGAACCCAGGAGGTGGAGGTTGCAGTGAGCCAAGATTGTGCCACTGGGCTGTGCGTGCCTGTAATCCCAGCACTCTGGGAGGCAGAGGCAGGTGGATCACCTGAGGTGAGGAGTTGAAGACCAGCCTGACCAACATGGTGAAACCTGTCTTTATTAAATACAAAAAATTAGCTGGATGTGGTGGTGGGTGCCTGTAATCCCAGCTACTTGGGAGGCCAAGGCAGAAGAATTGCTTGAACCTGGGAGACGGAGGTTGCAGTGAGTCGAGATTGCACCAGTGCACTCCAGCCTGGGCAACAAGAGTGAAACTCCATCTAAAAAAATAAAAAAAATTAGCTGGGCGTGGTGGCCGGCACCTGGAATCCCAGCTACTCAGCAGGCTGAGGCAGGAGACTCGCTTGAACCAGGGAGGCGGAGGTTGTAGTGAGCTGAGATCATGCCATAGCACTCCAGCCTGGGTAATAGAACAAGACTCTCTCAGAAAAAAAAAAAAAAAAAAAAAAAGGCCAGCGATTGGCTCATGCCTGTAATCCCAACACTTTGGGAGGCTGAGGTGGGCGGGTCATGAGGTCAGGAGTTCGAGACCAGCCTGACCCACATAGTGAGACTCCATCTCTATGGAAAATACAAACATTAGTTGGGCGTGGTGGTGCTTGCCTGTAATCCCAGCTACTTGGGAGGCTGAGGCAGGAGAATAACTCAAACCTGGGAGGCAGAGATTGCAGTGAGCCAAGATCATGCCATTGCACTCCAGCCTGGGCAATAGAGTGAGACTCCACCTCAAAAAAAAAAAAAAAAAAAAAAAAAAGGCCAGGCGCGGTGGCTGACGCCTGTAATCCCAGTACTTTGAGAGGCCAAGGCAGGTGGATCACGAGGTCAGGAGTTCAAGACCAGCCTGGCCAAGATGGTGAAACCCCATCTCTACTAAAAATACAAAAATTATCTGGGTGTTGTGGTGGGCACCTGTAATCCCAGCTACTTGGGTGGCTGAGGCAGAGAACTGTTTGAACCCAGGAGGCAGAGGTTGCAGTGAGCCGAGACAGTGCCATGCACTCTGGCCTGGGTGATAGAGCAAGACTCCGTTTCAAATAAAAAACAAAAATCATGCTACTGCATTCCAGCCTGGGCAACAGAGTGAGACCAAAGAAACAAAAAAACAAACCACCTCCCACCGTCAAAAAAAAAACAAACAAAAACAAATAGTCTCACCTTACTTCCAACCACATGGCCCTTGCACTGGCTGTTATCTGTTCTGGAATGCTTTTCTATCACATCTTTCCAGGGCTGGCCCCTTTTGCTCATTTAGTTATCTGTTTAAATGTAACATCTTCTGAGCAATCTTCCTAGACCACACCGACGTCATTTCTGGCCCTTGGCCCTGTTTGATTATTTTGCATGTTACTCCTCCCTGAAATTGCACAGAGCCTGTGCTACGTCCGTCTTTGTGAAAGGAATGAGTGGGCACAGTATGAGGTATCAGGCGAAAGGTATCCCAGACTGCAAAGGCTGGAGGGGGTAGCTGTCGCACTTCAGAGGAAGCAGTCAGTGTAGGCTTCCCTGAAGGGCAGGTACTGGAGTAAACTTGGGAAAGACAAGCTAGAAAACTGCAAGGTAGGCTGGGCACGGTGGCTCACGCCTGTAATCCCAGCACTTTGGAAGGCCGAGGTGGGTGGATCACGAGGCCAGGAGATTGAGACCGTCCTGGCTAACACAGTGAAACCCCGTCTCTACTAAAAATACAAAAAAAGGCCAGGCGCGGTGGCTTATGCCTGTAATCCAAGCACTTTGGAAGGCCGAGACGGGAGGATCACAATGTCAGGAGTTGGAGAGCAGCCTGGCCAATATGGTGAAACCCTGTCTCTACCAAAAATATAAAAATTAGTCAGGCGTGGTGGTGGGCGCCTGTAGTCCCAGCTACTCGGGAGGCTGAGGCAGGAGAATCGCTTGAACCTGGGAGGCAGAGGTTGCAGTGAGCCGAAATCATGCCACTGCACTCCAGTCTGGGCGACAGAGCAAGACTCTCTCAAAAAAAAAAAAAAAAGGACTAAGCGTAGTGCCTCAGGCCTGTAGTCCCAGTACTTTGGGAGGCAGAGGTGGGAGGATTGCAGAGGACAGGAGTTCTAGACCAGCCTGGGCAGCATAGGGAGAGCATCATCTTTAGTTATTATTATTATTATTATTGAGACAAAATCTTGCTCTGTCACCCAGTTTGAAGTGTAATGGCACGATCTCGGCTCACTGCAACCTCTGCCTCCCAGGTTTAAGCAATTCTCCTGTCTCAGCCTCCTGAGTAGCTGGGATTACAGGCGTGTGCCACCGCGCCTGGCTAATTTTTTGTGTTTTTAGTAGAGATGGGGTTTCACCATGTTGGCCAGGCTGGTCTTGAGCTCCTGACCTCAAGTGATCCACCCACCTCAGCTTCCCAAAGTGCTGGGATTACAGGCAGGAGCCACTGGGCCCAGCTTCTAGTTATTTTTTAATGATACTAAAGAGAAAGAAAGGAACAAAATGATGCAGTCTGATACCATTTGTATCAAACACACACACACACACACACACACATATATATATAAAGTGAAAAAATGTATAAAGTAAAGGAGGCTGGGCGGGGTGGCTCATGCCTATAATCCTAGCACTTTGGGGAGGCAGAGGCGGGAAGATTGCTTGAGCTCAGGAGTTCCAGAGCAGCCTGGACAACATGGCAAAACCTCATTTCTTCTAAGAAATACAAAAATTAGTGGGCCAAGGAGGTGGAGGTTACAGTGAGCTGAGATCTCACCTGGCACTATGGCCCGAGTGAAAGCCAGACTGTTTATTTTTTTCTTTTTATTTATATCATGTAATTTTATTTTTTGAAACGGAGTCTCGCTCTGTCGCCCAGGCTGGAGTGCAGTGGTGTGATCTCAGCTCACTGCAGCCTCCACCTCCCAGGTTCACAAGATTATTCTGCCTCAGACAACTGAGTAGCTGGGATTACAGGTGCCTGCCACCATGCCCAGATAATTTTTGTAGTTTTAGTAGAGACGAGTTTTCTCCATTTTAGCCAGGCTGGTCTTGAACTCTTGACCTCAGGTGATTCACCCGCCTCGGTTCCCAAAGTGCTGGGATTACAGGCGTGAGCCACTGTGCCTGGCCCAGACCCTGTTTGAAAAAAAATAAAAATTAGTCGGGCATGGTGGCAGGTGCCTGTAATCCCAGCTACTCGGAAGGCTGAGGCAGAAGAATCGCTTAAACCCGAGAGGTGGTGGTTGCAGTTAGCCGAGATCGTGCCACTGCACTCCAGCCTGGGGAACAAGAGTGAAACTCCGTCTCAAAAAAAAAAAAAAAAAAAAAAAAAGTAAATGGGAAAAATAAAAAGGGAAATGAAAGGAAATTTATATGAAGTAGCTTTTTAGCTTTTTTTTTTTCCTTTGGTAGAGAAGAGGTCTCACCACATTGCCCAAGCTAGTCTTGAACTTCCTGCCTCAGCCTTCCAAAGTTCTGGGATTACATGTGTGAGCCACTACACCCAGTACCTTTTCTATGTTTTGATATGTATAGATATCCAAATACCTACCATTGTAACATCACAAAGAAGATGAAGGTAAAAACAACAAAACAAATACTTAGCATTGTGTTGCAATTGCCTACAGTATTCAGACAGTTACACACTGTCCGGGTTGGTAGCCTAGGAGCAGTAGGCTTTATATAGCAGGGGTCCCCACCCCCACCCCTCCCTGGCCTTGTGGCCTGTCAGGGACCAGGCCACACAGCAGGAGGTGAGTGATGGGTGAGCATTACCTACAGCCTGAGCTCTGCCTCCTCTCAGATCAGCAACAGCATTAGATTCTCATAGCAGCTCAACCCTATTGTGAACTGTGCATGTGAGGGATCGAGGTTGCCCATTCCTTATGAGAATCTAACTAATGCCTGATGATCTGAGGTGGAACAATTTCATCCCAGAACCATCCACCCTCCTTACGTCCATGGAAAAATTGTCTTCCATCATTCAGGTCCCTGGTGCCAAAAAGGTTGGGGACTGCTGGGCTATACCACATAGCCTACACGTGTAGTAGCCATACCATCTAGGTTTTTTTTTTGAGATGGAGTCTCACTCTGTTGCCCAGGCTGGAGTGCAATGGCAGGATCTCGGCTCATTGCAACCTCCGCCTCCTGGGTTCAAGTGATTCTCCTGCCTCAGCCTCCTGAGTAGCTGGTATTACAGGTGCGCACCACCATGCCCGGCTAATTTTTGTATTTTTAGTACAGACAGTGTTTCACCATGTTGGCCAGGCTGCTCTCGAACTCCTGACCTCGTGATCCACCCGCCTTGGCCTCCCAAAGTGCTGGGAATGAACCACCATGCCCAGACCCATCTAGGTTTATCTAAGTTCCCTTGTCTAGGTCAGTTTGCATTGCTATAGAGGAATACCTGAGTCTGGGTAATTTATAAAGAGGTTTATTTGGCTCACAGTTCTGCAGACTGTACCAGAAGCATGACACTAGCATTTGTTTCTGGGAGGGCCTCGGAAAGTTTCCAATCATAGTTGAAGGGGAAGGGGAGCAGGCATTCCATGGTGAGACAGGAAGGAAGCCAGACCGAGAGAGGATAGCAGTGCCGTGCTCTTTTAAACGATCAGCAATCTCATGAATAGAAGGAGAACTCACTTTACCATGGAAATGTCACTAAGCCATTCATGAGGGATCTACCCTTGTGACCAAAAAGACCTCCCACTAGGTCCCACATCCAACACTGCGGATCACCTGTCTGCCTGCCTGGCTTCCTTCCTTCGTTTCCCCTTCCTTCCTTCCTTCCTCTTTCTTCTTTATTTTTGTTTTATTCTTTTTCTTTTTTCTCTTTTTTTTTTGAGACGGAGTCTCACTCTTTCACCCAGGCCAGACTGCAGTGGCGCTATCTCAGCTCACTGCCAGCTCCACCTCCCAGGTTCACGCCATTCTCCTGCCTCAGCCTCTCAAGTAGCTGAGACTACAGGTGTCCGCCACCACGCCCAGCTAATTTTTTGTATTTTTAGTAGAGACGGGGTTTCACCGTGTTAGCCAGGATGGTCTCGATCTCCTGACCTCGTGATCTGCCCACCTCAGCTCCCAAAGTGCTGGGATTACAGACGTGAGCCACCGCACCTGGCCTCTTTCCTCTTTTTTTTTTTTTTTTTTTTTTTTGAGACAGTCTCACTCTGTCTCCCAGGCTGGAGTGCAGTGGCACAAACATGGCTCACTGCAGCCCCAACCTCCTGGGCTCAAGAAGGATCACATTTCAACATGAGATTTGGAGGGGACAAACATCCAAACTGTATCAAACTCCATGATGTTCATACAATGACAAGATTGCCTATGGAGACATTCCTCAACATGTCCGTGTCATTATGTGACCCCATGACTGTAATTCTTGTAAAGGTGGGTGCAGTAACTGTTCAGTACGACTGTTTTTCTTTAGGGCATTGTTTCTGTACTGGGAGGAAAGGAGTTGGAGTGAAGCACAGGTGACTTCAACTTTTTTTTTTTTTTTTTTTTGAGACAGAGTTTCGCTCTTGTTGCCCAGGCTGGAGTACAATAGTGCGATCTTGGCTCAACGCAACCTCCGCCTCCCAGGTTCAAGCGATTCTCCTGCCTCAGCCTCCCGAATAGCTGGGATTACAGGCATATGCCACCACGGCTGGCTAATTTTGTGTTTTTAGTAGAGACGAGGGTTCTCCATGTTGGTCAGGCTGGTCTCGAACTCCCAACCTCAGGTGATCTGCCCGCCTCAGCCTCCCAAAGTGCTGGCATTACAGGTGTGAGCCACCACACCCGGCCGTGACTTTGACTTTAATTACAATGTGTTATTCATTTATTTTAGAGACTGGGTCTCACTCTTTCACCCAGGCTGGAGTGCAGTGGTGCAATCATAGCTCACTGAAGCCTCAAACTCCTGGGCTCGAACAGTCCTCCTGCCTCAGCCTCCCGAGTAGCTGGGAGTACAGGTATCAACCACCATGCTTGGCTAATTTTTATTTTATTTTATTTTATTTTTTGTAGAGATGAGGTCTCACTATGTTGCCTAGGCTGGTCTTGAACTCCTGGCCTTAGGTGATCACTCTTGTTGCCCAGTCTGGAGTGCAATGGTGCGAACTCGGCTCACTGCAACCTCCACCTCCCAGGTTCAAGCGATTCTCCTGCCTCACCCTCCCGAGTAGCTGGGATTACAGGCATGCGCCACCACGCCCGGCTAATTTTGCATTTTTAGTACAGACGGGGTTTCTCCATGTTGTCAGGCTGGTCTCAAACTCCTGACCTCAAGTGAACCGCCCTCCTTGGTCTCCCAAAGTGCTGGGATTATAGGCAGGAGCCCTGGTGCCCGCTGATCCTTTCTTTACTTGGCATTTTCTTTTTCTTTTCTTTTCTTTTTTTTTTTTTGAGACGGAGTCTCGCTCTGTTGCCGAGGCTGGAGTGCAGTGGCGCGATCTCGGCTCACTGCAAGCTCCGCCTCCCGGGTTCACGCCATTCTCCTGCCTCAGCTTCCCGAGTAGCTGGGATTACAGGCGCCCGCCAACACGCCCGGCTAATTTTTCTATTTTTAGTAGAGACGGAGTTTCACCATGTTGGCCAGGATGGTCTCAAACTCCTGACCTCAGGTAATCCACCCACCTCGGCCTCCCAAAGTGCTGGGATTACAGGTGTCAGCCACCACGCTCGGCCTGCAAAACCCCACCTTTACCAAATTTTTAAAAATTAGCTGGGCATGATAGGTAACAAGAGTGACACCCTGAAGAAAGAAAGAAGAAAGTGGAGGGAAAGAGGGAGGAAGGATGATAGGAAAATAAATCTGCCAGGATCTAATAAAGCTTAGTGACCATGCCACCATGCCACTCCTAAGTATTTAAAAGAAATGAAAATTTATCTTCCCCAAAATACTCTTACAGTACAAGCTCTATTAACAGTGGCCAAAGACCGGAAACAATCAATTGGCCAAGAACAGGTGAGTGAAACTATATTGGCTACATTATAGTATAGCCACACAATGAAATACCACTCAGCAGTAAAAAATAACGAGCTGTTGATATCCCCACAACATGGACAACTCTCAAAAACACTTTGCTGCGGCCAGGCAGGGTGGCTCATGTAATCCCAGCACTTTGGGAGGCGGAGATGGGCAGATCACATGAGGCCAGGAGTTCGAGACCAGCCTGGCCAACATGGCGAAACCCCTCTCTACTAAAAATATGAAAATTAGCCAGGTGTGGTGGCGGGCGCCAGCAGTCCCAGCTACTCAGGAGGCTGAGGCAGGAGAATCGCTTGAACCCGAGAGGCGGAGGTTGTGGTGAGCAGAGATCGCGCCACTGCACTCCAGCCTAGGTGACAGAGCCAGACTCCGTCTCAAAAAAACAGCTTTGTTGAGCAAAAGTCAGACACAAAAGACAACCTATTGCATGCTTCTACTAACGTGAAAATCAAGGAGACAAAACTATCGTGGAGCGATAGAAATCCAAATACTGCAAAATGTTCTGTCCATTTGAGTCATTCCAAGCTCCCTATTCTTTTCAGAGCCTACACTGTGGAGGACCCCCAGGCCGCAGATTGATAGCAACTGGGACAGTTCTGGTTTCAGCGCCCAGCGCAGACGCCACTCTTCGAAAAGGTGGGGCACACGCCAAAACGCAATCATCCGGTCTTCAGTTATCAGTACTAAACATGGCGGCTCCCACCGAGCACCACACCCAGATCACGAGACCGCGCGCTGTCGGAGCCAGTCTGTCGGCTCACTGGGGCGCGCCTACTTTTAGATTGACCAATAAACGCGAGGCGTAAGGCACGCCCTCTTTCTTCCCGTCTCCGCCAATAATCTCCCGGTCCCTTCCACAGGACCCAATCACCGCTTCGGCCTCTCTTGAATGAAAAGGCAGCGGCCCAGTCAGCAGAGCAGCAGCCCGACGCAAGAGGCAGGAAGCGCAGCAACTCGTGTCTGAGCGCCCGGCGGAAAACCGAAGTTGGAAGTGTCTCTTAGCAGCGCGCGGAGAAGAACGGGGAGCCAGGTGAGCAGCGGATCCCGGGCGCGGGGCCGCGGTGTGGGGACGTCTGAACTGAGAGCGAGAGGACGAGGGGAGACGTTGGGATCTAAGGGGAGGGGGAGAAAGGGTCGCGAGACGGTGGGGGCGGGGCGGTTGGTGTGTCAGAGCGCTGTGTGTTGGCCGTTGGGCACCGGGGCGCATGCGCTAGGGGTGGGCCAGCCGTTGGCGCGCGGTGCTCGGGGCTCGGGGCCCGCTTCTCGGAGGGGCTGTCATGGCCTACGGCGCTCCGAGCCCCACTTGGAGTCTGTCAGTTCGTCCGAATAGACCCCGCGGCGGCCTGGGGCCATTTGGAGAGGGACGAGGGGGTGACGCCGGGGTCTGGGGCCTGGGTGGGAGAAGTTGGAGCTTTCAGTTGTCAGGGGTTTCTTTGGGTCCGAGGGACTTGATCCCTTTCCCAGTCTACCTTCTTCTTGGTCTACTTTTTACGGGATTCGGGATTCTGAGATTTAGAGCAAATAAGACTTTATTTTGGAAGGCCGGGCGCGGTGGCTCTTGTAATCTCAGTACTTTGGGAGAGACCAAGGAGGGCGGATCACTTGAGGTCAGGAGTTCGAGACCAGCCTGGCCAACATGGTGAAACCTCGTCTCTACTCAAAATACAAAAAAAAATCAGCCGAGCGTGGTGGCGAGCGCCTGTGGTCCCAGCTACTCGGGAGGCTGAGGCACGAGAATCGCTTGAACCCGGGAGGTGGAGGTTACAGTGAGCCGAGATCGCGACACTGCACTCCAGCCTGGGTGACAGAGCGAGATTCTGCCTCAAAAAAAACAGAATGAAAAAAAGATTTTCTTTTGGAAATAGGAGTCCCCAGGTGGGAATAAACTCCGGGGTGGAAAGCCTGCCTGGGGACACTTGAGGGTAACTGGGTACACGTGGCGTGTCTGGGTTGTGAGTTCCCCGCTGTCACCTTTCAAGTTCATGCGCTCCTGGCGCCTTAGCGGTCATGGCCACCCACTTTGGGCGGGGAAAACCCCGCCGGATCCTTTCCTGATCTAATCAGTTTTGAGCTTTAGATCCTGTCCAGCCCGGTTTCTCGAAAATTTTATCTTAGCAGATTCGGTTCACCCCAATTTATTTATCTCTCTCTCTCTTTTTTTTTTTTTTTTTTTTTTTTTGAGACAGAGCCTTGCTCTGTCGCCCAGGCTGGAGTGCAGTGACACTATCTCGGCTCACTGCAGCCTCCGTCTTCCGGGTTCAAGCAAGCACATCCGGCTAATTTTTGTATTTGTAGTAGAGACGGGGTTTCACCATGTTGCCCAGGCTTGTCTCTAATTCCCGACTTCAAGTGATCCGCCCGCTTCGCCTCCCAAAGTGCTGGGATTACAGGCATGAGCCACCACGCTGGGCCCCAATTTCTTTTTTTAAATTTATTTTTCTTGAGAAAGGGTCTCCCTCTGTCACCCAGGCTGGAATGCCATGGCGCCATCACTGGCAGCCTCGACCTCCTGGCTCAAGCGATCCTCCCGGCACAGCCTCCCAAGTAGCTGGGACTACAGGCCCATGCCACCACACCGGGCTAATTTTTTTCTTTTTTTAATTTCTACTTATTTATTTTTTAGCCTTTGCTACATAGAAGGTGCCCCTTGGGCTATGTGTTTTTTAAGTTTTTTTAAGTTTTAGGGTACATGTGCACAACGTGCAGGTTTGTTACATATGTATACATGTGCCATGTTGGTGTGCTGGACCCGTTAACTCGTCATTTGCATTAGGTATATCTCCTAATGCTGTCCCTCCCCCCTCCCCCCACCCACCCGGCTACTTTTTTAAAAATTGTTTTTGTATAGACGCGGTCTCGACTTATTGTCCAGGTTGGTCTCGAACTCCTGGGCTCAAGCCATCCTCCCACGCTGGCTTCTCAAAGTGCTGGGATTACAGAAGTGAGGCACCATGCCGGGCCTGCCCCAAATTTATTTCCCCACCAACAAAACAACTTTGCTTTATTTCCTTAAAATACACCATCTCTTGGCCACCTAGATTTGGAGCCCAGAATAGACTGTGGCTTTTCTCTACCCATGGATTGGTCAGGGGATGTTCCTGTCTTTTGGCATGTCCCACCCTTTCTTTCCTTACCTCACGCCCCTACCCTGGTTACTTCTCTTTTATTTGGTGACTGGTTTTCCCTGCTACTGGTCTTAACCTACCCCTTCATCGGAGGAGTAAGTTACAGTACTCTTGGGCAGATCCTGATTGAGTGGCTCAGCTCCAATCTAATTAGCAGTTCCCTATTGCTTAACAAGTACACAGGCCCAGGCTGGGCGTGGTGGGTGGCTCATTCCTGTAATCCCAGCACTTTGGGAGGCAGAGGCAGGAGGTTTGCTTGAGTCCAGGAGTTCACGACCAGCCTGGGAAACGTGGTGAAACACTGTCTCTACTAAAACAAAAATTAGCCAGGCGTGGTGGCATGCACCTGTAGTCCCAGCTACACAGGAAGCTGAGGTGGTGGACTCACTGGGCCTGGGAGGTCGAGGCTCCAGTGAGCTATGATTGCACCACTGCACTCCAGCCTGGGTGACAGAGCGAGACCCTGTCTCAAAAAACAAAAAAACAAACAAACAAACACATGCCCTGTGTGGCTGACCAGCTCTTCCAGCTTTGTCTTCTGCCCTGACGCCAGCCAGCTAGTCCTACTCTGCATACCCCAAAAGGCTCTGGTGCTTTTCGGACTGACCTTTCTTGGCTCCTGTTTTCCCTGCTGCCTGGGAAGTGACCCCTTCAGATTGCCTGTTTGAAGGGTCAGATAAAGAGACATGTTCAACTCTGCCTGAACGCCTTTATTCTAGTTCCATTTATTCAGCCATTGCTATGGAGTGCTTATTAGCTGTTCTCACAGGGCAGGGCTGACTGGAAGCGGTGCTGTTTTAGTTGGGGCTGTGAGGAAATGCCTTTCTGGAGCAAAGGAGGCCCAAAAGAAGTGGGGGATTTGTGACCCTTCCAGGCAGCAGGAACAGCAAGTGCAAAGGTGCTGAGGTGTGTTTGAGACACGGCAGCAAGGCTGGCGAGTGAGGGGCAATGGGGGAGATGAGGTATGAGTATAGAGGAGTCGGGTTAGGAGGGGCCCGGTAGGCTGGCTTTGTGAGGACTCGAGTTTTTTTCTAAGCACAGTAGGAACCCATTAAAAGTTTTGAGCAGAATAGTGATGTACTCTTAGGTTTGTTTTTTTTTTTGAGACAGAGTCTTGGTCTTGCTCTGTCGCCCAGGCTGGAGGGCCATGGTGTGATCTCGGCTCTCTGCAACCTCTGCCTCCTAGGTTCAAGTGATTCTCCTGCCTCCAAGTAGCTGGGATTACAGGTACCCGCCACCACACCCGGCACATTTTTGGTATTTTTAGTAGAGATGGGGTTTCACCATGTTGGTCAGGCTGGTCCTGGACTCCTGACCTCAGGTGGTCCGCCCGCCTAGGCCTCCCAAAGTGCTGGGATTACAGGTGTGAGCCACCGCGCCTGGCCGTGACTTAGTTTGATAGGGTCTTTCTGGCTGCTCTGGGGAGGGGCTGGGGGATGGCAACAGGGAAACCAGGGAGGAGGATATTGGCTTAATTCAGGCAAGAGATGATGGCACCTACATGTCCAGCTGACAGTGGTTAAGCAAAATGTAGTATGTTGGTGAGATGGAACATTAGGTGACCATGGAAAGAAATGAGGCCAGGTGTGGTGGCTCACACCTGTAATCCCAGCACTTTGGAAGGCTGAGGTGGGCGGATCGCCTGAGCCCACAAGTTGGAGATCAGCTTGGGCAACATGGTGAAACCCCATCTCTGTTACAAATACAAAAATTAGTGGTGGCGGGCGCATGTAGCTCCTGCTACTAGGGAGGCTGAGGTGGGAAGATCGCTTGATTGAGCCCGGGAGGCAGAGGTTGAAGTGAGCTTTGATTGGGCCACTGCACTCCAGCCTGGGCAACAGAGCAAGACCTTGTCTCAAAGAGGGGGGAAAAAAAAGGAAGGGAGTACTGATGATGTGGTAGAGCACACTGTGCTGAGTGAAAGAAGCCAGACACAAAATGTCACAAATTATAAGATTTCATTTATGTGAAATGTCCACAACAACAGGCAAATCCATAGAAACAGAAAGCAGATTAGTGGTTGCCCGGGGCTGGGGTGGGGTGTTTAGGGTATGGATACGTAAAGGGTACAGGAGCTTTTATTTCAAGGTGATGAAGTATTCTAAAATTGCACATGTGGTAGTGGTTGCACATGTCTGTGACTACACTAAAAACCACTGAATTATCTGCCTTAAGTGGTGAGTTGTATAGCATGTAAATATCTCTGTGAAGCTTTTCTTTTTTTTTTTTTTTTTTTTTAGGCTGGAGTGAAGCGTGATTTCAGCCCATCACAACCTCCGCCTCCCAGGTTTAAGCAATTTTTCTGCCTCAGCTTCCCGAGTAGCTGGGATTATAGGCGCCTGCCACCATGCCTGGCTAAATTTTTGTATTTTTAGTAGAGTTGGGGTTTCACCATGTTGGTCAGGCTGGTCTCGAACTCCTGACTTCAGGTGACCCACCCGCCTTGGTCTCTCAAAAGTGCTGGGATTACAGGCGTGAGCCACCGCGCGCAGCCTGTAAAGCTGTTCTAGTTAAAAATAATAATAAGGCCAGGCGCGGTGGCTCACACCTGTAATCCCAGCACTTTAGGAGGCTGAGGTGGGTAGATCATGAGGTCAGGAGTTTGAGACCAGCCTGACCAACATGGTGAAACCCTGTCTCTACGAAAACTACAAAAATTAGCTGGGCATGGTGGCAAGCACCTGTAATCCCAGATACTCAGGAGGCTGAGGCAGGAGAATCTTGAACCCTGGAGGTGGAGGTTGCAGTGAGCCGAGGTTGCGCCACTGCACTGCAGCCTGGGTGACAGCAAGACTTCATCTCAATAATAATAATAATAATAATAATAATAATAATAATAATAATAATAAAACAGGTGATAGCAGCTTGGGGCCAGCATGGTAGCATAGGTGAGAACTGGCCAGAGGGCCTTGGTGGGATTCACTGCCTCATGGACAGGGAGGTTGAGAGAGAGAAAACAGCCATTGAGACAATGGAATTGCTGTTTCTGAGCCGGGAATGAGTGACAGCGAGGCCAAAAGTGGCCTAGGATCCTCAGCATCCAGCCTCAGGAAGAATTGTAGCAGCTGTCACCCTCTGCTCCACCCCCCACTGGAGTCTGGGGTAGGGGAGGAGGACGAAAGACAATTGTCCTCATGTTTGGGTCCCTTGCACCCAGCAGGCACTTGGTATGCATTAGATTAATAAAGCAAAGAGGTAGGCAGACTTTGTATTAATTCCATTTTCCATCTTCTCAGCTTTATTTTTATTGGCCCAGGCCCAATAGGAGGCCTTTCATGAGAGCACTTAATTATTCCCCTGTGCAGACCACAGAGAGTGGGAGAAGCTGGGGCTGGACAGATACTGCTTGCTCTCTCGCAAACTCAGTTCCCACCAGCATCCTGGCAGCCCCACCCCTGGGATCTTTGGGCTCCTGCCCCATGAAAGCCCAGTGGGTTCCTTGGGGAGTGATAGGGAGGGGGCTTCTCTGGGCTGAGTAGTCTGAGGAGGTTCACTGGAGCTGAGGCTTGCGTGTGGAGAAGGAGGCATTTGTGCAGAGACCTGGGGGCAGAGCATTCCTGGCGGTGACAGCCAGGTTCAAAGGCTTGGGGCAGGGGCTCCAGGGGTCTGAGCAGCTGAACAAGGCTGGGGGTGGTGTGGGATGAGGTGAGCAGGGGTCAAACCAAGGGGATTGCCTGGCCTGTGGTGAGAGTTGGGATTTTAACTCTGTGAGCCATGGGAAGCCCTTGGAGGTGGAGGGTGTTCTGTCTGTGGGTGTGGCCAGAGGGGCATGGGGGAGAGATGGGGTAGCTTGGGGGTGGGGAGGTGGAGACAGGGCGAAGCTGCGAGGTGCAGCCCAGGTAGAGCTGATGGGCTCACTCATGGAAGGAGGCGGCAGAGAATGCCATTTGAATGAAGCTTCATCATCCTTCTGTGCCCACTCGCGGGACCCTGCCTCTCTCTCTTCTCAGCATCATGGCAGAACAGGATGTGGAAAACGATCTTTTGGATTACGATGAAGAGGAAGAGCCCCAGGCTCCTCAAGAGAGCACACCAGCTCCCCCTAAGAAAGACATCAAGGGATCCTACGTTTCCATCCACAGCTCTGGCTTCCGGGACTTTCTGCTGAAGCCGGAGCTCCTGCGGGCCATCGTGGACTGTGGCTTTGAGCATCCTTCTGAGGGTACGCCTTCTGGGTGTTATCCTCTTGCCCAGGTCCTCACCAAGACAAGACCAGCCCTGCCCGCCCAGAGCGGTGCCGCCTCCAGTTTGCCGTGGGTGAGGGAGGGGCCCGTCTGTCCCGCGGATCAGTTGTGCCCAGCGGGGCCTGTGGCTGCCCTCGGCAGTGGGGCGTTCTGCTTTGACCAGGCGGATACCCCAGCCCTGCAGGTGTCTGTGGCCTTGTCCGGACTCGGCCTCTTCTGATTGCCCTCACTGTGGGCCCCCGGTCAACTGGTGAGGATCCTGCACGGGGGTGCATCCAGGTTCTCGTCCCTCACGCTCTGCTTCTCCTGCAGTCCAGCATGAGTGCATTCCCCAGGCCATCCTGGGCATGGACGTCCTGTGCCAGGCCAAGTCCGGGATGGGCAAGACAGCGGTCTTCGTGCTGGCCACCCTACAGCAGATTGAGCCTGTCAACGGACAGGTGGGTGGGCTCCTCCCTTCCTGGCCCCACCCTGCCTGTGGCGGCGGAAGTAGAGTAGGCTGGATGGGGTGGCTCACACCTGTTAGCCCAGTGCTTTGGGAAGCTGAGGCTGGAGGATTGCTTGAGCCCAGGAAGTCGAGGCTGCAGTGTGCTATGATCACACCACTGCACTCCAGCCTGGGTGGCAGAGGTAGACTCCATCTCAAAAAATAATTAGTTATAACAAAAATTAGAAATTGCCAATAAGCCAAAATAACTGGAAAGTGCCCACAGTTTGCCCCTTGCCCCAGAGGCATCGTTGCTGTTTTGCCGTGCCACTTACCTAGAGAGTGTCCATCTGTGAAGGTTGGGTTGCCCCGAATATAGCTGTCACCACTGTCCTTGCTGTTAGGCCCTGGCTGTCTTCTCCCATTGTCTTGTGTGCCACTGTCCTGGGGAGACACTTCAGTGAATTCTGGTGTCTTGCTCCCGAGTCAGGCCAGGTGCACATCTTTGGGCTTCATATTGGCGCCCGTGCCCTCGTTATCTCAGAGCACATCCTGAAGGATGAAGGTGCTGTGGAGGGCTGTGGTGTGGTCCAGTGTCTGATGGCACGGGTGGGAAGACCGGGGCCGCCCGAGTGCCGAGATTCAGGAAATCCTTAGAGAGCCAGGTCCCATGTCACCCAGGCAGGCCAGGTCTAACCATTACATTATGCGGGCCATTTTCTGTTCCATTTTCTGTTTCTTATTGTGGGTCCTGGTGTTGGGAGACAGGTTTCAATAGCTGTGGGAGGGTATAGGGAGTGAGGGGTGGGGAAGGGCCGTGAGAAGTGGGAGGCATTTGGACCGGGCCTTCAAATGGCCTGTGATGTTGGGTGCAGTGTCAGGGGGACTGGGTTGGGTGGACTCTGGTGGGGAAGGGGTTTAGGACACTGCCTAAGGTAAGGCCCTCTTCTTATGCCACTTCCCAGGTGACGGTCCTGGTCATGTGCCACACGAGGGAGCTGGCCTTCCAGATCAGCAAGGAATATGAGCGCTTTTCCAAGTACATGCCCAGCGTCAAGGTGAGTCCCTCGGGCCAGACTGGACCAGGCGCCACTTGGTTTCTGCAGCTTTGTTAGCCTCGGCTCTGGCCCAGCCAGCATTTACCAAGCTTGGCAGGGGCAGCTGCCTTTGAGGTTTGCGGTGGTTTTTGCTCCTTAAAAGCCTGATGAATTATGCATGGCTCCCAGGGGCCTGCGCAGGTCCCAGCCTGGGGCTGCCTTTGAGTGGAGCCCCGGGAGGCTCTCAGGCCTGCCTTGGTCCCCTGAGGCCTCCTGTTCGCAGGTGCTGGGCCGTGCAGGTTGGGGCCTTGGGCCGTGTATCAGCATGGAGCGGTTTCCTCCTCATCCCCATAGGTGTCTGTGTTCTTCGGTGGTCTCTCCATCAAGAAGGATGAAGAAGTGTTGAAGAAGAACTGTCCCCATGTCGTGGTGGGGACCCCGGGCCGCATCCTGGCGCTCGTGCGGAATAGGAGCTTCAGCCTAAAGAATGTGAAGCACTTTGTGCTGGACGAGTGTGACAAGATGCTGGAGCAGCTGGGTGAGTCCTCTGCCCTTGCAGCCCCAGCTGAGAGTCAGTGACTAGGCGGGCCCCATAGCAGGCGGAAGGCTCTTGAGTGGGTTACATGGGCGGCCGGCAGGCGGGGCTCCTGTGGTGATCTTGGGGAAAGCTCTGCTGCTGGCAGAGGGATGTGCTGTTTCTGAGCCCGAGCCGAATGGGACCACGGGGCCCAAGCAAGCCCCCGTCCCTCCTGGACGTAAAGGCATGCACACATACCTCTGGGAGTATGAGGCTTCTGCCACCTGTTGGGTTGGTTCCAGGCCCCGCCTGCCCTCAGTGAGCCCCGACAGGGCCGGTGGGAGATGGGCTTGTGTCCTGGGAGGCAGCTGCAGCTCTCACCCCAGCGGCTGTCTCTGCCTCAGGCTCCCCTCCCTGAAGCGTGGCTCGAGGCGCACGGGCACGGCTGCTCCGCGCCAGCGTGTAAGTGGATTGCAGCTCCTCCCGCGCCTGCGCTCGCTGGCCACCCCCCAGCCCCTCAGGCACCAGGACTGGCCACTCCCGCGGCTCACTCTGCCCTCGTCACGGTGCCACTGGCTCCCTGGCACAGGTTGGGAGGGGTCTGGGTCTGGTCTGGGGTGGGGGTCCTGCATGGCAGACGCTCATGCCCACCCATGTCTTGCCCTCCCCACCTAGACATGCGGCGGGATGTGCAGGAGATCTTCCGCCTGACACCACACGAGAAGCAGTGCATGATGTTCAGCGCCACCCTGAGCAAGGACATCCGGCCTGTGTGCAGGAAGTTCATGCAGGATGTGAGTAGGGCGAGAGTGGCAGCTTTGGCCTTCCCCAGGGGCCTGGAGCCTGGGGCCCCAGGACACCCGCACGGCCCACATGGCACGGAGGATGCTGGGATGCTGGGAGCCGGCGGAGCCTCCTTTCCTCCCCTCGGTCTTGTCAAACTGGGAGTCAAGCTTGGTCCACACCTGAGTCGGGCCAGAGCTTACATCCAGCTTTTGAGCGATGTTTACTGAGGTCTGGTGCAGCAGGTCCTCTGGGAAGTGTCGCACAAAGGAGTCGCCCACTGGAAGGTTCTGGGCAGGCGAGATGCCCAGAGGTGATCCCTGCCCGCCCCTCCCACCTCCCTTCCCACACAGCCCATGGAGGTGTTTGTGGACGACGAGACCAAGCTCACGCTGCACGGCCTGCAGCAGTACTACGTCAAACTCAAAGACAGTGAGAAGAACCGCAAGCTCTTTGATCTCTTGGATGTGCTGGAGTTTAACCAGGTGATACTTCCATCAGCCTGTCCTGGGGCTCAGGACCTTCGGGAGGTCACTGGGCCACAGGGACTGTGTGGCCCTGACTGCCACTCCTTCCCTCAGGTGATAATCTTCGTCAAGTCAGTGCAGCGCTGCATGGCCCTGGCCCAGCTCCTCGTGGAGCAGAACTTCCCGGCCATCGCCATCCACCGGGGCATGGCCCAGGAGGAGCGGTGAGTGCGAGCCGCCCGCCAAGGCTGCAGGGAGCACCACCAGGAGCCCAGTGTCTGACGGCCTCCACTTGTTTCTCCTGCACCCCAGCCTGTCACGCTATCAGCAGTTCAAGGATTTCCAGCGGCGGATCCTGGTGGCCACCAATCTGTTTGGCCGGGGGATGGACATCGAGCGAGTCAACATCGTCTTTAACTACGACATGCCTGAGGACTCGGACACCTACCTGCACCGGGTGAGCAGCCTCACGGGCATGTTGCTTTCCCCTGGCGGTGGGGTGGGGCCCCAGCCCTGCTTTTCCTCAAGTCCTGAGGTAGTATCTGTGGCCTGACCCTGATCCTGTCTGCCTGCAGGTGGCCCGGGCGGGTCGCTTTGGCACCAAAGGCCTAGCCATCACTTTTGTGTCTGACGAGAATGATGCCAAAATCCTCAATGACGTCCAGGACCGGTTTGAAGTTAATGTGGCAGAACTTCCAGAGGAAATCGACATCTCCACATACAGTAAGTGCCTTGGGCAGGGCCAGGGGTCTGGGGCAGAGGGTTCCTCCCCCGGCCCTTCAGTTCACTGCATCTCATGTCTTACAGTCGAGCAGAGCCGGTAACCACCACGTGCCAGAGCCGCCCACCCGGAGCCGCCCGCATGCAGCTTCACCTCCCCTTTCCAGGCGCCACTGTTGAGAAGCTAGAGATTGTATGAGAATAAACTTGTTATTATGGAAGCCTGGCTCCCACCCCATCTATTTCTTGGTCATCTTGGCCTTTCACGGACACCCTGGGCCCGGCCTCTGAATCACCACCAGCAGGCAAGGCCATCTTCTGTATGCATGTGTTTAATTTTAAGTGTCAACACTGAAAAATTTTAACAGATAAAAACACATTACACAACGTCTACAACCTTCACAACAGTGAGAACCTCCTGCCCGGCCAGGCAGGGCAGGCCTCTGTACCGTGAGCCTCAGGCAGTGGCCCCAAGGGGCCTCGCCATGGGGCCTCTGACATCAGTCTTAGCTTAAGAGGGAAGCTGAGCCCCAGCGCCTAGTCTCTTCAGTTCTGCAGCAAAGACATGAGAGGAAAAGTCCAGGATGGGACAAGCGCCCTTAGTCTGTCCCGAGTACTGGCCACAGGTGCCAGGGCAACATGCTGCATTGCAGCCCTGGGCCAGCCCCTGTCCCCACCCTGGGTCACAAGGTGGAGCAGAGAGGCAGCCAGCAGCAGGACCAGTGGCTCCGACTCCACCCCACTGGGTGTCCTGGACTTTGGTGCCAGACTATAGCTGCCACTCCCTCCTGGTGGCACACGGGATCAGGGAGGGAGGGTGGAGGGAGTAGAGTGGTGGACGAAGGGAGGATGGATGGTCTTCGTGTACAAAGCTGCTGTGGCCACAGGAGCTGCTGGGCCGTCCAGAACCATGCGCCTTCATATGCCGGACTCTGATGCCCTGAGGGCCTGGAGAGGAGAGCCCAGAGGCCTGAGCCCCGCTAGCCCTGGTGCCTTCCTGCCCACACCCGCCCCAGGCGCAGCCCCTTACCCGGGTCTGATTGTGGCCAGTGCCAGACGTGGTGGAGGTGAATTCTGAGTACTTGCTCCCCCCAGCAACTAGGCAGGCCCACTTCCGGTATTCTTCCCGAACCTGCCGGCCCAGACACCAAGTCAGGGCAGGAGCAGGCCCTGGGACCATGCACGCTCCTCCCCATGCTCTGCCCTCAGCCCCACCTTCTTGGTGTTTTTGTGTTTGTCTTTTTTTTGAGATCGGGTCCCCCTGTCACCCAGGCTGGAGTGTAGTGGCACCATCATAGCTTACTGCAACCTTGAACTCCTGGGCCCAAGTGATCCTCTTGCCCCAGCCTCCTGAGAAGCTGAGATGGGTATTCAGCACACCCGGCTTTTTTTTTTTTTTTTGGAGACAAGTCTCACTGTCACCCAGGCTGGAGTGCAATGGTGCCATCTTGGCCCACTGCACTCCTGGTTCAAATGATTCTCCTGCCTCAGCCTCCCAAGTAGCTGGGACTACAGGCGTGTGCCACCATGCCTGGCTAATTTTTGTATTTTTAGTAGAGACAGGGTTTCACCATGTTGGCCAGGCTGGTCTTGAATTACTGACCTCAGGTGATCTGCCCACCTCGGCCTCCCAAACTGTTGGGATTACAGGCGCCTCACCCTGGCTATCTTTGAATTTTTTTGTAAAGACAGCATCTGGTTATGTTGCCCAGGCTGGTCTCCAACTTCTGGGCTCAAGCAATCCTCCCACCTCAGCCTCCCAAATAGGTGGGAGGATGACAGGCGTGCGCCACTGTGCCCAGGCCCCCACCTTCTTGTTGAGCAGGCAGTGCAGCAGGTAGAGGAAGGCGCCCTGCAGGCAGTTGAGGATGGTAAACACATAGGTCAGCACCAAGCTCCGATCGTCGAAGATGAACAGGCCAAAGACCCAGGTGCAGCCCAACAGGAAGAGCTGCGCGATGGCCGTGATGGTCAGCGCCCTGCGAGGAGCGGGGTTGCAGCGTGGGCCCCCACCTCACCTCCAGCTTCATGCCCCTCACCCCGGCCCCGCCTCCAAGTCCTTCCAGCCTCTCCTCTCACCTCGCCTTCTTTAATTTCTTCATGTCTGGATTGATTTCAGAAAACTTCTGAGTGAGCTTCCAGACGGTAGTCACGAAAATGACAGCATTGCACTGGGCAGGGAGCAGATTGTGGGTTAGAGGGCGAGAGCGATGGTCCAGCCGGGCCTGGGCCTGTGGCGCTCGGGCTTCGGTGGAGGGAGAGTGGGTACTTACCAAAATGATGAAGGTCACAGGTCCCAAGAAGCTCCAGAGGAAGCCCTGCTCAAAGTCCAACCAGCAGCTAGGAGGGAAGGGAGGGGTCCCATCAGTGCCCCAGGAAGCCAGGAGCGGAACGGAGGGCGGCCGGACATTGTGTGTGGCACTGCCTGTGAGCCCCAGGCCCAGCACCCCGCCTTCCTCCTGCCCCATCTCGCTGCACTCACTATCTGGGGCGGCCGTAGCCCTTGCTGTAGATGGCAGCCGAGACGCCCACGATGAGCAGGGGCACGCCATAGCCGATCAGGCAGAGCCAGCGCGTACTCAGGCCCTGGCCTTGGAACACGCGCACCACAAGAAAGTAGAGCTCCAGGCCTTCGAGGCTCATCCAGCAGAAGGCGGCCAGGAAACAGTAGTGCAGCAGCCCGGCCACCAGGCGGCAGCGCAGCCCCACCTGCGGGGCGGGGACGGAGGGGCGGAGCGACGTCAGCGCGGGGAGGGGCATGCGGCGCCAGAGCCAGTCGCCTGCCAGGTCCCGAGAGTGGGCGGGACCACAGCCGGAGGGTGGGCGGGTCTGGAGCGGGGGCCAGGTTTCCCCCCAGGGCCCACCCCCAACAACGCTCAGAAGCGAGCGGGCACTCGGGGTGTGGCCAGGCAGCTCCAAAGCCAGCGCCCTTTAAAGAGACAACCCGACCCCCCGGTGGGCGGGGCCAGATCCCGGACAGGGGCGGGGCCTCATGCCTCCAGGGCCCGCCTACCCGACTGAGCCCCGGGAGTGGGCGGGGCTAACCCCTCCCAGGCCTCCCTGACCCCAGAGCTCAGGAGGGAGCGGGGCGGGACCTCACCTGGCCGCCTTCGTTCTCGATGCCGGCCAGGAAGATGGTGGAGCCCACGAAGAGGCAGATGCAGAGGTGCAGGTGTATGGTGGTGCGCGAGCCCTGGATGGGCCGCACCAGCAGGAAAGTGAGGATGCACAGCAGCAGGCAGAAGAGTGACAGCGCCAGTCCCACCCTGGTGATCAGGGTCAGCTTCCAGTCCTAGGAGTGGCACCGGGTGCTCAGGGTTCCTTCAGGGCATGAGGCCTTCCTGCCCTCTTTGTGGTCCCTTTTCCCCCCCACACTTTGACGGGCCCACCTCTCTGACCTCCTCCCTTGTCCCTCCTAGATCTGGCCACACTTACCAGCTGGAAGGGGAGTCTAGGGATTTCACATTTTTGTGCTTGCTGGGCCTTTGGCCTGGACCACAGGCGCCCCCCTTCTCTGCCTGGTTAATTGCAGTTTTCGACAAGGCCCAGCTTAACGATGGATCCTACTGAAGTCACGTACAGAAAGTGGTGCTCCAGGCTGGGTGTGGTGGCTCATGCCTCTAATCCTAGCACTTTGAGAGGCTGAGGGGGGGCAGATCACCTGAGGTCAGGAGTTCGAGACCAGCCTGCCCAACATAGTGAAACCCCGCCTCTACTAAAAATACAAAAATTAGCGGTGCATGGTGGCATGCACCTGTAATCCCAGCTACTTGGGAGGCTGAGGCAGGAGAATCGCTTGAATCCGGAGGCGGGGGTTGCAGTGAGCCAAGATCACACTACTGCACTCCAGCCTAAGCGATAGAGCAAGACTCTGTCCAAAAGAAAAAAAAAAAGAGGCCGGGTGCGGTGGCTGACACCTGTAAGCCCAGCACTTCGGGAGGCCGAGGTGGGTGGATCACCTGAGGTCAGGAGTTTGAGACTAGCCTGGGCAACATGGTGAAACCCTGTCTCTACTAAAAATACCAAAAATTACTCAGGCATGGTGGTGCACGCCTGTAATCTCGGCTACTCGGGAGGCTAAGGCAGGAGAATCCCTTGAACCTCACTAGCTGAGATTGTGCCACCATACTCCAACCTGGGCGACAGAGACTCCGTCTCAAAAAAAAAAAAAAACGGGCAAGTGGTGCCCCCTTGGAATGCTCTCCATGGGGAGCTTTTAGTTGACATCTCACAACTGGTACGGGATGGACAGGCAGAGGAGCGGAGCTAGTGGCTGCACCCAGTGTATAGTTGCTGGGTTGTAGAGAAGAGGCCAAAGGAAGAGGCTGCGAAGGGTGTGACGTGGGGACACCTGGGCTGTGCAACCATGCAGATATATCTGAGCAACCAGTAGGGCTCCATGGAGAACTAGCTGCCTGTCTGGTTGCAGCTGGACCTCATTACCTGTGGGCACTTGAGGATGCCTCCAGCTACTTACCTCCACGTCATAATGAGCCATAAGGATCGCAAAGCTGCTCAGGTGGCTGCATTGGCAGGTGGTGCTGCCGTTCTTGCTGCCCAGCACCTGGCAGCCCTCGGTGGCCCAGTGCCCTCCCCTGTCGCTGTCACTCTTCCAGAAGGCACAGAGCAGCTCCTGCCGTGGCCCAGGCATCACGTCCTGTGGGCAGATGGGGGTGGTCAGAAAGGTTGGCCTGGAGCTCACTCTTAGGTCCTGGGCTTGGGCTGAGTCTAAGAGGGCTGCTTTTTACTAGATGAGTATTGACCGAGCGCCTACTGAATGTAACAGGTTTGGAGACACAGCAGTGAACAGGGCACACACAAGTACCTACCCTTGTGAGGTTGACATAAGAGTGGGAGAGGTGGCCAGGCATAGTGGCTCATGCCTGTAATCCCAGCACTTTGGGAGGCTGAGGCAGGCGGATCACCTGAGGTCAGGAGTTTGAGACCAGCCTGGCCAACATGGCGAAACCCCGTCTCCACTAAAAAATACAAAAATTAGCTGGGCCTGGTGGCAAGCACCTGTAAATCCCAGCTACTTGGGAGTCCTGGGCAGGAGAATCGCTTGAACCTGGGAGGTGGAGGTTGCACTGAGCCGAGAATGAGCCACTGCACTCCAGCCTGGATGACAAGAGTGAAACTCCATCTCAAAAAAAAAAAAAAAAAAAAAAAAAAAAAGTGGGAGAGGCAGATTATGACATAAACCTAACGAATAAGTAATGTAGATAGTGCATTAGAAGGTGGCCAGGGATGATGATGGCTCTTGCCTGTAAGTAATTCCAGGACTTTGGGAGGCCAAGGTGGGAGGATCGCTTGAGGCCAGGAGTTTGAGACCAGCTGTGGCAACATAGCGAGACCTCCATCTCCATTAATTTTTTTGTTTTTAATTAACTGGGCATAGTAGTGCACGCTTATAGTCCCAGCTACTCAGGAGGCTGAGGTGGGAGGATCACTGGAGCCCAGGAATTCTAGACCATCCTGGGAAAAATAGTGAGGTCCCCGTCTCTATCAAAAATAAAAAAATTAGCTGGGAGTGGTGGTGCATGCCTGTAGCCTCAGCTACTCAAAACTCTGAGGCTGGAGGAATGGTTGAGTTCAGGAGTTCGAGGTTGCAGTGAGCTATAATCGCGCCACTGCACTCCAGCCTGGGCCACAGAGTGAGACCCTCCTGTCTAAAAATATAAATAAATAAGAAAAGAAAGTCTGGGAGTGGTGGCTCACGCCTGTAATCGCAGTACTTTGAGAGGCCAAGGCGGGCAGATCACCTGAGGTCGGGAGTTTGAGACCAACCTGACCAACATGGAGAAACCCCGTCTCTACTAAAAATACAAAATCAGCGAGGTGTGGTGGCGCATGCCTGTAATCCCATCTACTTGGGAGGCTGAGGCAGGAGAATCACTTGAACCTGGGAGGCAGAGATTGCAGTGAGCCGAGAACGTGCCACTGCACTCCAGCCTGGACGACAGAGTGAGACTCTGTCTTAAAATAAATAAATTAATTAATTAAATTAAATAAATAAAGTAAGGAAATAAATAAGTAATGAGGTTGGGGAAGGCCCAAATCAGAAGGCCAGAAACATAAAAGACTGAGTCACGTCGGGAAAGAGCATCCCAGAGAGAGGCCCAGCATGTGCGAAGGCCCTGGGTTATCTTTGAGGAAGTGAGCAGAGTGAGCAGAGACCTTGGCAGGAGGGTCTCTTCCCGCCTCCCCATCGGAGGACTCAAGGTGGGAGAAGGCGAAAAGGATGGGGGAGTTGAGTTCCTTGGTGTTGTTGTGGCTCAGAAAGATGGAGTTGACGGCAGAGAGGCGTCTGAGTTGGACACCACGGATGCTGCTTTCATATATCTCCTCCAGTTCGGCTTGCTTCTTGGAATGCAGGTTCAAGGAGGCATTGGCCAGCAATGTCGTCATGTTCTGGATGGAGAGGATGCCCGCCACGGCGGGGCCTGGGGAACAGACACACTCGCTGCCTACTCCCGTTGTCCTCCTCCCATGCTCTATCCTCCCTCCCAAGATGACCCAGCTCAGGCTCAGCCAGTCCACCACGATGACGCCAGGAGCCCCTCCCGATGAGTCAGTTTCTAGTTGTTCCTTGTTTTTTTTTTTTTGAGACGGAGTTTCGCTCTTTCGCCCAGGCTGGAGTGCAGTGGCGTGATCTCAGCTCACTGCAACCTCCACTCCCCAGGTTCAAGCAATTCTTCTGTCTCAGCCTCCCAAGTAGCTGGGATTATAGGCACCTGCCACCACTCCCAGCTAATTTTTGTATTTTTAGTAGAGATGGGGTTTCACCATCTTGGCCAGGCTAGTTTTGAACTCCTGACCTCGGGTGATCCATCTACCTCAGCCTGCCAAAGTGCTAGGGTGCTAGGACTACAGGCATGAGCCACTGTGCCTGGACTTTTTTTTTTTTTTAAGACAGGGTCTCACTATGTCGTCCAGGCTGGAGTGCTTTGGCGTGATCATAGCTCACAGCAGCCTTGACCTCCCGGGCTCAATTGATCCTCTCGCTTCAGCCTCCTGAGTAACTGGGACTACAGGCACGTGCCACCACACCTGGCTAATTTTTGTATTTTTTGTAGAGACCGGGTTTCACCATGTTGCCCAGGCTGGTCTTGAACTTCTGAGCTCAAGCGATCTACCCACCTGGGCCTCCCAAAATGCTGGGATTGCAGGCGTGAGCCACCGCGCCCAGTCAGTTGTTCTATTCTGAACCTCACCCTGGCCCCATCCCAGCACCTCCATCTCTCTCCCACGGGCTCCCCCTCCAGACCACCGCTGCTACCTGGATCCTCGGCTCCAGCTGCCACAGCCCAATTCAGCTTCATGCGTGCGCTGCTCTGACCCATAGTGACGTTCTTGTCCCCCCGCTCCTGGATCATCAGGGTCAGCTCTGAGGGGAGAGGGGCAGTTGTGATTAGGGACCCCAGGTACCAGGTGGGGCCCAGGGTTGGGGCAGGGCAGGCCAGGCCAAGGCCTCACCTGTGTTCGAAGGGGAAATGTAGGTGAAGGGGCCTTTAGGCAGGCTCTTGGCCAGGATCCTCATGATATCTTCAAGGTTTGAGAGCAGCTGGGTGGCTATGAGGTGCCGGACAGGTGGCGCCAGGGCCTCTACGTCTCCAGGAGCTTCCATCAGTTCATCCACCAATTTGATGACATTCTAGGGGGTGGCGGGTGACAGAATCGCTGGAGCATCAGACCACAGGGGTTGCCTGAAGGACCTGGATGTCACCCCCTACCAGGGGACACACTGGAGACCCACAGGCACAAGGGAATCACTGAGATGATGCAGTAACCAGAAAACAAGCGACGGATTGAGTATTTGCCTGCATGCACGTATGAATCACAGCGCTTAACACTGGTTGGGCACGGGCTGCCTGCCAGGCTCTGTTTTGATTTCCTGTTCTTTTTTCTTTCTTTTTTTGAGACAGGGTCTCAGTCTGTTGCCCAGGCTTGAGTGCAGTGGCATAATCAGCTCACTGCAACCTCCACCTCCCAGACTCAAGCGATCCTCCCACCTCAGCTTTCTGAGTAGCTGGGACTACAGAAGCGTGCCACCACACCCGGCTAATTTTTGTAATTTTTTTTTTGTTTTGTTTTGAGATGGAGTTTCACTCTTGTCACCCAGGCTGGAGTGCAATGGCACGATCTCAGATCAAAACAAAAAAAGCAAAAAATCATTCCATGTTAAAGTGGTTAATACGTTGGATCTATTAGGTTAAATGCAATCTTAACTTTATTTATTTATTTATCTGAGACTAAGTCTCACTCTGTCTCCCAGGCTGGAGTGCAGTGGCGCGATCTTGGCTCACTGCAACCTCCGACTTCTGGGTTCAAGTGATTCTCCCGCCTCAGCCTCCCTAGTAGCTAGGACTACAGGTGCCCGCCACCATGCCCGGCTAATTTTTTTTGTTATTTTAGAGACGGGTTTTCACCATGTTGGCCAGGCTGGTCTTGAACTCCTGACCTCAGGCGATCTGCCTGCCTCAGCCTCCCAAAGTGCTGGGATTACAGACTTGAGCCACCATGCCCGGCCTGCAATCTTAACTTTAATTTAACTTTATTTTTACTTTATAAAGTGTAGTTATTAGACAACAGGCACGGTGGTGCACGCCTGTACTTCCAGTGCGTTTGGAGGCTGAGGTGGGAGGATCACTTGAACCCAGGATTCAAGACCAGCTTGGGCAACATAGCAAGGCCCCCATCTCTGCAAAAAATGAAAAAATGGCTGGGCGCGGTGGCTCACACCTGTAATCCCAGCACTTTGGGAGGCCAAGGTGGGTGGATCACGAGGTCAGGAGATCGAGACCATCCTGGCTAACATGGTGAAATCCCATCTCTACTAAAAAATGCAAAAAATTAGCTGGGCGTGGTGGTGGGCGCCTGTAGTCCCAGCTACTTGGGAGGCTGAGGCAGGAGAATGGCATGAACCCGGGAGGCGGAGCTTGCAGTGAGCCGAGATCGTGCCACTGCACTCCGGCCTGGGCGACAGAGCGAGACTCCGTCTCACAAAAAAGAAAAAAAAAAAATGAAAAAATTAGGCACAGTGGCTCACACCTGTAGTCTCAGCTCTTAATACTTGGGAGGCTGAGGAGGGAGGATTGCTTGAGCCCAGGAGGTTGAGAATGGAGTGAGCTGTGATTGTGCCACTGCACTCCAGCCTGGGTGACAAAACAAGACCGTATCTCTAAAACTAACTAACTAAATAATCTAGCTACTGGAAAAGTTAAAATGATGTTAAGTGGCTCACATCATTTTTCTACTGTGCTAAAAACATATGGGAAAACTGTTTTTTTTTTTTTTAAGACAAAATCTTACTCTTGTTGCCCTGGCTGGAGTACAGTGGTGCAATCTTGGCTCACTGCAACCTCTGCCTCCGGGTTCAAGTGAATCTCCTGCCTCAGCCTCCTGAGTAGCTGAGATTACAGGCGTGCACCACCACGCCAGCTAATTTTTTTTTTTTTTTTTTTTTTTTTTTTTTTGAGACGGAGTCTCGCTCTGTCGCCCAGGCTGGAGTGCAGTGGCGGGATCTCGGCTCACTGCAAGCTCCGCTTCCCGGGTTCACGCCATTCTCCTGCCTCAGCCTCCCAAGTAGCTGGGACTACAGGCGCCCGCCACTACGCCCGGCTAATTTTTTGTATTTTTAGTAGAGATGGGGTTTCGCCATGTTGGCCAGGCTGGTCTCAAACTCTTGATCTCTGGTGATCCACCTGCCTCAGCCTCCCAAAGTGCTGGGATTACAGGCGTGAGCCACCGTGCTTGGCCAGGAAAGCTTTTATATAAGGCTTATCATGTGTCAGGCACTGTTCTGAGTCTTACTTCTATTAGTTGATTTACCCTTCACACTGACTATATGAAGGAGGCATTACTTTCATGCCTGTGTTGCCCATGAGGAAACTGGCCAGACACAGTGGCTCACGCCTGTGATCCCAGCATGTTGGGAGGCCGAGGCAGGAGGATCACTTAAGCCCAGGAGTTCAAGACCAGCCTGGGCAACATAGCAAGACCCCCATCTATAAATATATTAAATAAATAAATAAGCCAGGCATGGTGGTATATGCCTTTGGTCCCAGCTACTTGGGAGGCTCAGGTGGGAGGGTCACTTGAGCCTGGGAGATTGAGGCTGCAGCGAGCCATGATCATGTCACAGCCCTCCAGAATGGGCAACAGAGCCAGACCTTGTTTCCAAATAAAAAAAAAAAACGCAAACAAACAAAAAAAAACACACCACAACCCCCAAAACAGATGAGAAAACCGAGGCCCAGAGAGGGCAAGTCACTTGCCTTAGATCACAGAGCAAGAAGTGGCAATGGGGGGATTTGAACTTCTGTGGCCCAACTCCAGGCTCTTTTTTTTTTTTTTTTTTTTTTTGAGACAGAGTCTGGCTCTGTCGCCCAGGCTGCAGTGCAGCTGCACGACCTCGGCTCACTGCAAGCTCCACCTCCCAGGTTCACGTCATTGTCCTGCCTCAGCCTGCTGAGTAGCTGGGACTACAGGCACCCGCCACCACACCCAGCTAATTTTTTTTTTTGTATTGTTAGTAGAGACGGGGGTTTCACCATGTTAGCCAGAATGGTCTCGATCTCCTGACCGCGTGATCTGCCCACCTCGGCCTTCCAAAGTGCTGGGATTACAGGCGTGAGCCACCGTGCCCGGCCTCAACTCCAGGTTCTTAAGTGCTGCACTCTGTTGCCATTATACCTGGTGTGTGTGTGTGCATGCGTGTGTCTTCACGTGTCCGGGTGTGTATGTTTGTGCACATACTGTATGTGGTGTGTGTATGTTATGCGCATGTGTGTCTCTGACTAGAGGCCCCTGCTTGGGTTGGGCACTCTCTCTGGCCACATGGAAGCCTCCGCTAGCTGATTCTACACTGTCCTGGGGTCCCCCAGCATCCTGCCCTTACCTGGATGGTGACCTCGGCTGAGCTTGTCTTGGAGTCTCTGCCCAGGTCCTGGACTTTGTCGAAGAATCGGGAAAGCGTCTGCAGAGAGAGGAGATGTGGGGGTCAGAGAGCCTGGACGGCGGGTGGGAAGTTTAGAACAAGGAGACGGATGCAGTGCTGTGTGGATGGAGTTCCCGCCGCCTCGTCCCTGTGGGGGCCACTCACCTGGCTGTGGACTCCAGGGGGCGGGGTCCAGGTGGAGAAAGTCATATCTGTAGGGAACAAGACAAGCGGCTCATTAGGCCGCTTGTCAGTGTGTGTGCTGGGGGTGGGGAGCTTCTAGGGCCAGGTCATACCTTCACAGACAGTGTCCTTTTGGTTATTCGGGATTCCGTGTCTGGGCTTCCAGCCTGGGCGGCAGCGGCAGCTGTATGAACCCACGGTGTTGAAGCAGACGGTGGAGCTGTCACACTGATGCTGCCCGGAGCTGCACTCGTCCACATCTGAGGACAGGAAGAAGGGGGTCAGGTCCTGTCCCAGCCTGGAGAGGGTCCTGTCTCCTGTCTGTGCCCCCAGCTCATTCCTCCCGGCATTAGTGCCCCCCTTGGAGTGGTGGACGCTGGGTTATGGAAGCGTGGAGAGGCCTGGGCACAGCAGGTGGGCCCCGTGCAGATGAGCAGGTTATGAATATGGTGAAACGCCTTCCTCCCAGTGAGTCATCAGCTGTTGCCTGGGGTCCCCCTGAGCCTTCCCCCTCAGTACCCCAGCTCCTTCCGGAGGACCCTTGCTCTTTTCTCATCTAGCCTCAGAAGAATGAACGAACGCCTGGCACAGCCAGGTGCCTCCAGCGCTCATTCTGCTTGGTTTGTGTGGGCGCCGTTGAACATGTGATCAGATGTTTGTGGGTCGCTAGAAACGTGGGATCTGAGCTCTCGACCTTCACAGACGGTATTGTTTGGGCCATTGGGGGACCCCGGAATCGGTTGCCAGCCCGGGCGGCAGCGGCACTGATAGCTGCCCACGTTGTTGAGGCAGTGGGTGGAGCTGTGGCACGGGTTTTGTCCGGAGGTGCATTCATTCACATCTGAGGACAAAGCCAGAGGGTCAAACCCTGTCCCTGACCAGCCTGGGCCTGCCCTCCACTCACTGCACCCACTCCCCTATCTTTTCATTGCCTCAGACTGAAGACCATTATTGCACATGCCGCCACTTGGTGACCTTCAACTTCACCTTCAAAGCATCTTATGATGGTCTTCCTACCAGATGGGCACAGCAGGGACCATGGTCCCCAGTTTATAGGAGGTGAAACCAAAAGGGAAACTGAGTCATGGGAGCTAGATTTCCATGACTAAAAACTAAAAACTCTCATCTGCTCCCTCCCTGGTCATAGTGGAGATTCCCCTTCTTAGAACTGGAAGTGACACCTTCTTCCACTCGCACGTGACAGATGAGGAAGGGGTGAGGTCTGGGGGCCCACAAGGGCACTCCAGCCCTGAAGGCCCTGCCGCCTCCCTGCCGTGTGGCAGGACCTTCCTGGGAGGTGAATCCTTAGGCAGGGGCTTAGCAGGTCCTTGACCTTGTGGGAACCTGCGGATCTTCCCCCTCCTCCTCGGCTGCTTTGGAGGACGTGCCTCAGCTCCATCCCCAGCTCCCGTCCAGCCTCACGGCGTCTTCCTGGGGCCTCTACCTGTGCAGACCTTCGGATCCTCAGGTATGAACTTGAAGCCAGGCAGGCACTGGCAGGTATAGCTGCCAAGGGTGTTGACGCAGGTGCCGTAGCTTTTACAGAGCCTTGGGTTCTGCTGACATTCGTCCACATCTGCAAGAGGAAGGAGAGGGTGAAGGATGCCCGTAGCTGTGAGCAGCTTTCAGGGCTGAGGGTCCGCCATGTTTCCTGGCACGGAAGCATCTGGAAGGCACCACTGTCTCCTCCCTTTTCCAATCCACACAGAGGCATCCTATGGTGAGGGTGGTGGCTCAGTCCTTCTGTTGTCCAGATGTGGCTGGAAGCAGCCAAGTCCTCCCCTTCTCCTCTGCCTTCCTGGGCAGCTCCAAGCTGGGGTGTCCCAGCCATCTGTGTCCCAGCCTAAGGATTCCGGGCAAAGGCCAGGGTGGGGCCTTCCTGAGAACCAAATGCAGGGGACATGCCGTGCGCCTGGGCAGGACACGTCTTGGTTCCCAACGGTGGCCCTCGGCCTGACTCCCACAGAACGGCCGCTCGCTGGCCAAATTCTCAGCATCCTGGTGGCCCTAGCAGGATGCTGCTCTCCCATCCACACTAGCTCTGAGAGCCCAGCTTCATGGGCATGGACCAAGACCCCTCCCTAAGCCAGTGCCCCCGCGATGCAGGGCAATAGCAGGGGTGGGGAGAGTGCGGGATGATGTGGGACAGGCTAGGGCTGCCCGGACAGTGGGCACCAGGCTGGGGTGAACAGTGGGGGCTGATGTCCAGCCAGGCAGCCCCGAGTCTACAAAGATGCTTTTTTCTGATCCCCAGGAAAGGATCTATGGATATGGAAATAGCAGGATTTGGTGAGAATCCATATCTAAGCAGAACTGGCCGTGAGCGGGGGCCTGTGGCTAGAGAGGGCACAGGTGCCGATGGGTGAGGGGTGGCAGATGTATCTGTCCTCTCATCCCTTGTCATTCCACCAGGGACAGAGACCTGTGGGCCCTGCTGAATGGGGTTCAAGCTTCCATCTCTGTCCTTGAGTGGTCCAGACCAGGACTGACTACAGGAGAGGATCGGGCCTGGGACGATGGTCCCCAGTGATGCTGTCTCTTGCCGGCTAGTCCAGGCTGGAGCCGCCTCCTTCATCCAACCCTCTGAGTGCGTTTTTGTTTTTTTTTTTTTTTTTTGGAGACAGCGTCTCTCTCTGTTGCCCAGGCTGGAGTGCAATGATGTGATCTCAGCTCACTGCGACCTCTGCCTCCCGGGTTCAAGCGATTCCCCTGCCTCAGCCTCCTGAGTAGCTGGGATTACAGGTGCGTGCCACTGCGCCCGGCTAATTTTTGTATTTTTAGTACAGACAGGGTTGCACCATGTTGGTCAGGCTGCTCTCGAATTCCCGACCTCAAGTGATCCTTCCACCTTGGCCTCCCAAAGTGCTGGGATTCCAGGCATGAGTCACGGCACCCAGCCCTCTGAATCCATTTGTGGGGTCCACATCACGCTGCCCACACCTGGCCACAGCATCCTCCCAAGCTTTGGTCATTGACGGTGCGTTCAGGCCCAGGAATTACCAGGGTGGGTTAGGGTGGAGCCTTGGATGGGGAAATGGATGAGGGCTAAACGGCCAGAAAGGTGGTCGGGAGGCATCTTCTCCAAGCAAGGCTGCTGGCTGGAGACAGTTGTCCTGTCCTTGAGATTCCCTCCTCCTGAGTTTCTGGACAGGGTTTTGGGGTTCATTATGGTAGGTGTGGGTGTCAGAGGGGTTCCAGGTGTGGCTGAGCTCATGGGAGCCCCGGTGGCAGCAAGTCTCATCCTGGCAGTCCCCGGCGATGGCGGAGAGGATGGATACTGTACTGGAATGCGCCACCACACGCCATGTCATGAGCCCATGAAATATCCTGAGTGCCAGCCCCCTTTTGTTTTATGCAAATAAGATGCCAGATGGGCAGGGGGATGTTCCGAGCTTCCAAAGTGGCCTCCTGTGGAGTGTCCCGAGTCTCAGGGTTGGGACAAAGACGGGTGATCAGGGGTTTAGGATGGCCCTGAGATGCCTGGAGACAGGGGGGTGAGGAGTGGAGGGAGCCGCCCGAGGTCTCTGGCCTGGATGTCACAGGCCCCATGGGCTGTGACACTGGGTGCACGTGTCCTCAGGTGCAATAGCGAAGCCTGGAGTGCCTTGGGTTAAAGGGAGGGGCCCAGGCCCCTCTGAGCGTCTCACCTCTGGTCATAGGTCCTGCTCCAAACCAGCAGGCTGTTGGCTCCATCACCTGCTTTGATGTCCGTGGAGGTCCCTCTTATCACCTCAGCCCTGCTGTCCATGTCTCTGCCCAGCTGCCTGACTGAGTCCCCTTCTCTCAGCCCAGGCCTGTTTCTAACACAGCAACACACCTCCTTCATAACCACAACCACCATCCCATGCAGGGGGTTCATAGCAGTGGGTGGGCGGCACCCCTAGCCAGAGCACCCTGGGAGGAAACCATGATCACCAAGTACAGCTGTGCAGGTTGCTCACTGCACAGGTATTGGGCCAATGAGATGAGCAGGGGCTGAAAACCAGCCCACTTTTTGTTTGTCAAATGTATCCACCGGGAGAGGGGGATCTTTTTCCAGTTCACATGAAGACTCTGTCTCCTCTGGCCAAGTCACATGCATGTGGGGTAACATGATGTCCACTTGCAAGGGGGCCCTGGGGACTAGCAGTGTGGCGGACAGAAGCCTCCTTCTGGGCTCCACGCAGGTGTACGTCCCAGGTATATGCATCTCTGCCTTGTCCCCCAACCCACCTCCCTCTTTATCCCTCTGTGCTCTGCCTGAATGCAGGGCAGGAGGGGTGGGGCTGGGATCTGGGCTGCCGGCCCTTTCTTCTCTCTGTAGTCTTGAGTCTCATCACCTCCCACCTCTGCACCACTCCTCTTCCTGATCTCGGTACCCTGCACTAACTCCCTCTCTTTGAATGAGTCGCAGCTCCCAGCTGCCCACTGCTGGCTCCCATCTGCCCCTGTGAATCCTGGAAGCCCCTCCCCTGCCCAACCAGCTTCCCTGGAAAATAGGCAAAGCCTGGAGTCCCAGTTTCTCCCGGCCTGAGCTGTGGCCTCAAGCAAGACCATAGCAAAGGCTGTGGCCTCTGCGCAGGGGTAGAGCCTTGCAGCTGCTCTCTGATCTCGCACCCTACGGATACCCATCCTGGGGGCGCATCAGATCAGAATTACAATAAAATCCCCATTAGCCATTGCTGATAGAGTGCATTCTGCAAGCCAGGAGCTTTTAAGTGATTTTTTTTTTTTTTTTTAGATGGAGTCTCGCTCTGTTGCCCAGGCTGGAGTGTAGTGGCGCAATATCGGCTCACTGCAACCTCCGCCTCCCGGGTTCACGCCATTCTCCTGACTCAGCCTCCAGAGTAGCTGGGACTACAGATGCCGGCCACCATGCCTGGCTAATTTCTTGTGTTTTTAGTAGAGACGGGGTTTCACTGTGTTAGCCAGGATGGTCTTGATCTCCTGACCTCGTGATCCACCCGCCTCGGCCTCCCAAAGTGCTGGGATTACAGGCATGAGCCATCGCGCCTAGCCATTTTTTTTTTTTTTTTGAAATGGAGTCTCGCTCTGTCACCTAAGCTGGAGTGCAGTGCTGTCATCTCGGATCACTGCAACCTCTGCCTTTCAGGTTCAAGCGATTCTCGTGCTTTAGCCTCTTGAGTAGCTGGGATTACAGGCATGCACCACCACACCCAGCTAATTTTTGTATTTTTAGTAGACACAGGGTTTCGCCATGTTGGCCAGGCTGGTCTTGAACTCCTGACCTCAGATGATCCACCTGCCTCGGCCTCCCAGAGTACTAGCATTACAAGTGTGAGCCACTGTGCCCAGCCTGTTAAATACTTTTGTAGGTAAATGCCATTACTCCCCTTTTAGCAAGGTGAAAGTAACTTTAACCTTTTAACAAGGTGAAAGTAACCTGTCCAAGGTCTATATTTAACAAAAGTCAAAGCTACTTTTGTTTTTATCTTTAAAAGATAAGGACTCAGCCTGGGCATGGTGGCTCACGCCTGTAATCCCAGCTACTTGGGAGGCTGAGGCATGAGAATCACTTGAACCCAGGAGGCGGAGGTTGCAGTGAGCCGAGATCACACTACTGCCCTCCAGCCTGGGTGACAGAGTGAGACTCTGTCTCAAAAACAAACAAACAAAACAAATAAAAGATAAGGACTCTTTCTTCCCCTTGTCTATATTTTTGTTTTTGTAGAGATGGGGTCTTGAAATGTTACCCAGGCTGGTCTTGAACTCCCAGACTCAAGTGAAGTGATCCTCCCACCTTGGCCTCCCAAAGTGTTGGGATTACAGGCATGAGCCATGGCACCCAACCTATCTTTTTTTTTTTTTTTTTTTCAGACAGAGTCTCACTCTGTCACCCAGGCTGGAGTGCAGTGGCGCGATCTTGGCTCACTGCAACCTCTGCCTCCTGAGTTCAAGCGATTCTCCTGCCTCAGCCTCTGGAGTAGCTGGTAGCTGGGATTACAGGCGCGTGCCACCATGTCTGGCTAATTTTTGTATTTTTAGTAGAGACGGGGGTTTCATCATGTTGGTCAGGCTGGTCTCAAACTCCTGACGTTGTGATCCACCCACCTCGGCCTCCCAAAGTGTTGGGATTACAGGTGTGAGCCACTGCGCCCGGCCAGTTCTTTTTTCATTTAATGTTTTTAATTTTTTAAAATCCTGCCTCCAAGAAAGCTTTGGTTTGATTTTTTCTTTTTTAGAGACAGGATCTTGCTCTGTCACTCAGGCTGGAGTGCAGGGGCTTGATCATGGCTCACTGCAGCCTTGACCTCCCAGCCTGAAGCAATCATCCCACCTCAGCCTCCTGAGTAGCTGGGACTACAGGCGCAGGCCTCTATGCCTGGCTAATTAATTTTTTTTTTTTTGGTATTTTTTGTAGAGATGGGGTTTCACCCGCTTGCTCATGCTGGTCTCGAACCCCTGGGCTCAAACAATCTACCTGCCTTCGCCTCCCCTTTTATAGGGGTGGGGTCTTGCTATGTTGCTATGGGCTGGTCTTGAACTCCTGGCCTCAAGAGATCCTCCCGCCTCAGCCTCCCAAAGCACTGGAATTACAAGCATGATAACGTTATCACATCTCACATGTGGACAGCGGTTTCTGAATAAGTATCCTGGCCAACGTCATACACTTGGTTATCAGGATTTGGCCCAGGCAGCTGGTCCCAGAGTCAGCCCTTAATCCTCACATCACTCTGCCTCTCTGGGGTGGTGGGGTAGGTACATGTGCACCTGTCCCATCTCAGACGCCAGGCACTGACCCTACAACCAAGGCCCTGCTCTCTGGATGCTGCCAGAATGGCTCTGGTGACCCCAAACCTCATGGATGGAAAGTCAGAGGACGTGGGGTGGTTCTTACCTTGACAGGTGTTCTCGCTCTCATTCTTGAATGTTTTTGCCCCAGAAACAGGCTCATATCCCGGGCTGCACACGCAGTCGTAGCTCCCCTCTGTGTTCCAGCAGTCCGAGAATTTTCCGCATGACACTTTCGACGGTGTTGCACACTCGTTGATGTCTGGAACACAACAGGACAGGGAGTCACCTCCCAAAGATGTGAGTTCTGTCAGGGCAGAGACCCCCATCCTGACTCCCCAACATGGGGCCTGCTGCTTAGTATCTTTTGGAAAAAATCTTAAGTTGCACTGCACAGGCTATGCTGCAGCTGGAGCAAGCCATTCCTGAAGACCACACTTGATCTTAGTTCTCTGGCTGGCATCTTAGATTTGGACACAGTGAACAGTGCTGAGGTGAGGGATGGACAGGAAGCTCCACATCCCCATCCCCAGTCTCTTTGTAGAAATTTAAACCCCATGGCGGCCGGGTGCAGTGGCTCACGCCTGTAATCCCAGCATTTTGGGAGGCTGAGGCAGGTGGATCCCCTGAGGTCAGGAGTTCGAGACCAGCCTGGCCAAGATGGCAAAACCCCGTCTCTACTAAAAATACAAAAATTATCTGGGCATGGTGGTGCATGCCTGTAATCACAGCTACTTAGGAGGCTGAGTCAGGAGGATCGCTTGAACCTAGGAGGTGGAGGTTGCAGTGAGCCGAGATCGGGTCACTGCACTCCAGCCTGGGTGACAGAGTGAGACTCTGTCTCAAAAAAAAAAAAAAGGAAAAAAAAACCTCATAGCCAGAATGTACCCCCTCCCCAGTCTTAAGGGTAAACTGAGGCACAGACTCCAGATTCCTGAGCACCCAGCTTCTCTCTCTCCAGGAAGCCATGCCTATTCACTTCTTACTTCTCCCCCTTCATATTCTTCCCTTATTTCCTTCCTTCCTTCCTTCCTCCCTCCTTCCCTCCCTCCCTCTTCTTTCCCTCCCTCCCTCCCTCTCTCTCTTGTTCTTTTCTTCTCTTTTTTTTTGAGACAGAGTTTCACTCTTGTTGCCCAGGCTGGAGTGCAATGGCACGGTCTTGGCTCACTGCAACTTCCGCCTCCCGGGTTCAAGCGATTCTCCTGCCTCAGCCCCCGGAGTAGCTGGGATTACAAGCATGTGCTCATGGGCCACCACACCCGGTTAATTTTGTATTTTTAGTAGAGATGAGGTTTCTCCATGTTGGTCAGGCTGGTCTCGAACTCCCAACCTCAGGTGATCCGCCCGCCTTGGCCTCCCAAACTGCTGGGATTACAGGCGTAAGCCACCATGCCGGGCCTACTTTTCTTTCTCTTTCTCTCCTTCTCTGTCTCTCTCTTTTTTTTTTTTGAGACAAAGTCTTGCTCTGGTCGCCCAGGCCAGAGTGCAGTGGCGCAATCTCGGCTCACTGCAACATTCACCTCCCAGGTTTAAGCGATTCTCCTGCCTCAGCCTCCCGAGTAGCTGGGATTACAGGTGACCACCACCACCCCCGGCTAATTTTTTGTGTTTTTAGTATAGAGAGGAGGTTTCACCATGTTGGCCAGGCTAGTCTCGAATTCCCAACCTCAAGTGATCTGTCCACCTCGGCCTCCTGAAGTGCTGGGATTACAGGCATGACCCACCATGCCGGGCCTATCTCTCTCCCTCCCTTCCTCCCTTCCTTCCTTCCTGCCTCCTTTCCTCTCCCTCTGCCTCCCCCTCCCCTTCCCCGTCTCCCTCCTCATCCCCCTCCCCTTCCCCTCCCCTTCCCCCCTCCCTCCCCCATCCCCCTCCCCTTCCCCCTTCCCCTCCCCTTCCCCTCCCCTTCCCCCTTCCCCTCCCCCTCTCCCTCCCCATCCCCCTCCCTTTCCCCCTTCCCCTCCCCTTCTCCCTCCCCCTACCCCTCTCCCTCTTCCCCTTCCTCTCCCCCTCTCCCTCTTCCCCTTCCTCTCCCTCTCCCTGAGACACGATCTCATTCTGTTGCCCAGGCTAGAGTGCAGTGGTGCAATCATAGCTCACTGCAGCCTCAAACTCTTGGGCTCAAATAATCCTCTCCCCTCAGTCTTCTGAGTACTCCTGGCCTCAAACGATCTGCCCGCCTCAGCCTCCCAAAGTGCTGGGATTACAGGCGTGAGCCACCACGCCTGCCCTCTTTTTCTTTTCTCTGGCCATGATGATAGTCTGGAAGGTAAGGCTGTGGCCCCTCACAACAACCTCTGTCCCCCACTGGCTGGGCAATGCCTCATAATCGCGGATGTCCCCTGCGCTGCCCTCAAGCCTCTGTACCGTCACAAGTCTCCGTCGGGGTGGTGATGATCTCAGAAAAAGAGCTGAACCCTGGATTGCAGCGACAGGCGGTGGCATTGACACACGAGGAGTTCTGAGGGCACCACCGGGCACAGCCTGCAAGAGCAGGGAGCACGGTCAGAAGGTGAGGGGTAAGGGAATACACAAAAAGGGGGCACTGGGGGAGATGGGGCAGGGCGCTGAGTTTCTCGTGCGCGAGCCCTCTCTTTCCCTGGGCTGAAGGGGGCTGGGCGGGGGTCCAGGACCCTCCCCAGGCTCTGGCTGTGGACTGTGCTTTCTGCTTCCCAGCAGACTCACCCCTGGAGTCCTGGGTTTCAGCTCCCGGCAGAGTCAGCCAGACACAGAATGCTGCAACAGAGAAAGGAAAGGGGGTCAGAGGGGATCCCAGGGTGGGAAAGGAGGCGTAAGGGTGATGCACTTTGTGGGAGGAGGATGCTGACCCCTCTCAGGCTCAGATCCTGACGGTCGTTCAGAGTGAGCAGATGTCATGTCCCACTCAGATGCTCAAAGCCAAAGAGTCTGTCACCCTGTTCCCATAGGGGCGGGTTTTTTTGTTTTTGTTTTTTTTTTGACACAGGCTCCTGCTTGGTCACCCAGGCTGGAGTGCAGTGGTGCAATCATATCTCACTGCAGCCTCCAATTCCTAGGCTCAAGAGATCCTCCTGCCTCAGCCTCCCAAGTAGCTGGGACCACAGGTGTGCACTAAATTTTTTTTTCTTTTTGAGACAGAGTCTTGCTCTGTCGCCCAGGCTGAAGTGCAATGCTGTGATCTTGGCTCACTGCAATCTCTACCTCCTGGGTTCAAGTGATTCTCCTGCTTCAGCCTCCTGAGTAGCTGGGATTACAGGAGTCTGCCACCACACCCGGCTAATTTTTTGTATTTTTACTAGAGACAGGGTTTCACCATATTGGCCAGGCTGGTCTCGAACTCCTGACCTCAGGTGATCTGCCTGTCTTGGCCTCCCAAAGTGCTGGGATTACAGGCGTGAGCCACATTTCCTGACTCAAAATTTTTAAAATAAAATAATTTATCATGCCAGGCCAAAAAATTAAAAATAATTTTTTTTTTTGAAACGGAGTCTCACTCTGTCACCCAGGCTGGAGTGCAGTGGCATGATCTCAGCTCACTGCAAGCTCCGCTTCCTGGGTTCATGCCATTCTCCTGCCTCAGCCTCCCGAGTAGCTGGGACTACAGGCGTCCACCACCACACCCGGCTAATTTTTTGTATTTTTAGTAGAGATGGGGTTTCACTGTGTTAGCCAGTATGGTCTCGATCTCCTGACCTCGTGATCCACCCACCTCGGCCTCCCAAAGTGCTGGGATTACAGGCATGAGCCACTGTGGCCGGCCTAAAAATAATTCAAAAAATTATTTTACAGACAGAGTCTTGCTCTGTTGCCCAGGCTGATCTTGAACTCCTGGCCTCAAGCGATCCTCCCCGCCTCAGCCTCCCGAGCTCGGCTTGAGGGTGGAGTTTCAGGAACTGAGTAGGGAAGGGCCATGAGCCTGGTGGGGGTCTCAGCTCCAGCTGCTGCTCTTCTGACCTGGGGTGTGTGGGGAGTGGCTAAGAAAACAGACAGGAGCCAGGCATCCCCAGTTCAAATCCCAGACAGTGGGCCTCTCTGCCTCAGTTTCCCTCTGTAGAATAGGGATGATGGCGCCCACTCCCCAGTGTAGTGTGTGTGGGAGTAAACCACATGACTGCTGTCCGGTGTGCCTGAGCATTTACTGCCATCTTCATTTCTTCTTCTTTTATTTATTTATTTATTTTATTTTTTTTCTGAGACAGAGTCTCTCTCTGTCGCCCAGGCTGGAGTGCGATGGCACGATCCTGGCTCACTGCAACCTCCACCTCCCGGGTTCAAGCAATTCCTCTGCCTCAGTCTCCAGAGTATCTGGGATTACAGGCACCCGCCACCAAGCCCGGCTGATTTTTTTGTATTTTTGTAGAGACGGGGTTTCACCATGTTGGCCAGGCTGGTCTTGAACTCCCGGCCTCAAGTGATCCTCCCGCCTTGGCCTCCAAAAGTGCTGGGATTACAGGCGTGAGCCACCGTGCCCAGCCTGCCATCTTCATTTCTCTTTTTTTTTTTTTTTTTTTTTGAGACGGAGTCTTGCTCTGTCGCCCAGGCTGGAGTGCAGTGGTGCAAACTTGGCTCACTGCAAGCTCCGCCTCCCGGGTTCACACCATTCTCCTGTCTCAGCCTCTCGAGTAGCTGGGACCACAGGCTCCCGCCACCACGCCCAGCTTATTTTTTTGTATTTTTAGTAGAGACAAGGTTTCACCATGTTAGCCAGGATGGTAGTCTTGATCTCCTGACCTCATGATCCGCCCGCCTCAGCCTCCCAAAGTGCTGGAATTACAGGCGTGAGCCACCGCGCCCGGCCTCTCTTTTTTTTTTTTTTTTTTTTTTTTTTGAGATGGAGTCTTGCTCTGTTGCCCAGGATGAAGTGCAGTGGTGTGATCTCTGCTCACTGCAAGCTCCACCTCCCGGGTTCACGCCATTCTCCTGCCTCAGCCTCCAGAGTAGCTGGAACTACTGGCGCCCACCACCACGCCTGGCTAACTTTTTATATTTTTAGTAGAGAAGGGGTTTCACCATGTTAGCCAGGATGGTTTCGATCTCCTGACCTCGTGATCCACCTGCCTTGGCCTCCCAAAGTGCTGGCACAAGCCGCCAGGCCCTGCCTGCCATCTTCATTTCTTTAGGTAAAAATGAAGGCGTGGTCAGGCACAGTGGCTCATGCCTGTAATCCCAGCACTTTGGGAGGCCGAGGCGGGTGGATCACTTGAGATCGGGAGTTCGAGACCAGCCTGCCTAATATGGTGAAACCCCCTCTCTACTGAAAATACAAAAAATTAGCTGGGCGTGGTGGTGGGTGCCTGTTATCCCAGCTACTTGGGAGACTGAGGCTTGAGAATCGCTTGAACTAAGGAGGCAGAGTTGCAGCAAGCCAAGATCACGCCACTGCACTCCAGCCTGAGTGACAGAGCAAGACTCCGTCTCAGAAAAAAAAAAAAAAAAATGACGGTGTTGGATCACCCAGGCTCTGAGATGCCCTGGACCTCCACGCTTCCTCAGGGACACAGGTGCACACACACCACACCCACAACTGCCACTGGCCCTGGCGGTCTGTCCTGGAACCCAGTGGTGATATTTCACCCCCGGGCCCCCCTCCCACAGGAAGACGCTGTAGCCGCCTGTTGGGGTGCACGTGGAGTGGCGGTTCCCAGCACTCAGGGGGTTCCCCCTCCCAAGGCATGTTCTGGGGGACCCTCCTCAGGTCACCAGGGGATTCAGAGATGGGGACCTAGGGATCTCCTTGCTGTTCACCAGAGAGATAGAGACAAAGAAGCAGGGGTGGAGAGAAAATAGAGATTAGAGAGAGAGAGAGACAGACAGAGAGAGAGAAAGAGTCAGAAAGAAAGAGAGACACAGAAAGAGAGACAGAGACACAAAGAGACAGAGAGACAGAAGGTGGGGGGCTGTGCTTGGTGGTTCACGCCTGTAATCCCAGCACTTTGGGAGGCCGAGGCAGATGGATCACCTGAGGCCAGGAGTGTGAGACCAGCCTGGCCAACATAGTGAAACCCCATCTCTACTAAAAATACAAAAAATTAGCCGGGCATGGTGGCACACGCCTGTAATCCCAGCTATTTGGGAGGTGGAGGCAGGAGAATCGCTTGAACACAGAAGGCAGAGGTTGCAGTGAGCTGAGATCCCGCCACTGCACGCCAGCCTGGGCAACAGAGCAAGACTCTCAAAAAAAAAAAAAAAAAAAAAAGAGCAAGAGTCTCAAAAAAAAAAAAAAGAAAGAAAAGAAAAGAACAAAGAGAGAGAGAGACAGAGAGATAGAGGGACAGAGACGGAGACAGAGAGGAGAAAGGAGACAAGCTGGAGAGAGAGAGGGAGACAGAGAGGAGAAAGAAGACAGCTAGAGAAATATAAGACAGAGGAGACAGAGACACGGAGAGATAGAGACAGACAGAGAGACAGAAATTACATGGTGATAGAGAGAGGTGGAGAGAGAAACAAGGGGCCCATAAAGAGCAGAAGGGGAAACAGGAGGAGATGGGACAGAGAGAACAGAGAGACAGAGAGATAAACAGTGAGGAAGAAAGAAAACCATGAGAAAGGAGGGTGGATGGAAACAGAGGGGAAGGGCAGGGGAACGGAGGGCGTTGGGATATGAGCGGCAGGTGGGGCCTGGGGCGGGCTGGGAGGGGACGTCCAGTCCCTGCCGATCTGGGAATACTGGGGACCCCAATAATCCAGGGAGACCTGAAGGGGGGTGTCGGGCAGAGGGATGGGGACCAGGACAACGGCTGGGCATGAGTCACTTCCTGGGCCTAAGGGAAGGAATGACTCACCACTCATTTGCCCCAATTCAACCCTGGAGGGGCTTCCAGGGGAATTTTGGGGTCTGTTATGAGCACAGCTTCAGAGGGCGGGTGTTTGGGGTGCAGATTGGAGGTCCCCGGACCACTCAGCCACTGTGTTCAAATTTAGTACCCCTTAGGTGGGTGGAAGGCAGAGATCCCCACTCCCACCTCCACACTCCTTCCAGCTGGGTTAAACCAAGGCCGAAACCCCCCAGCCCAAGCCCGTACTCCCCACTTCTGTCAGGATTCCCCTCTTCCTCCTCTCTGGCCACAAGGCTTGGCTAGTTCCTCCCTCGGCCAGAACCCAGTTCCTCTTTGCAGAACAGACCACAAAATGACCTCCCCTGGCAGGACAGGATCTAGGCAGATTCATCTCTAACTCCCAAAGCCCCAGGTAACTCCTTTAAAGCTCAGAACCACTCTAGGAGGCAGGGGCTGTGTTGATGCCCATTCTACAGATAGAGAAACTGAGGCTTGGAGCCCAGAAAAGGATCAGGAGGAATCCAATAAACAGAAGAGGTTGGGGAAGGAGGAATTGAGGGATTGAGGTCCTCAGGGCCCTGGGCAGGGTTCCTTTGTGCCCCATCCCCTCTGCATGGGCTGAGCTGGGTTCTCTACTCCCACCGTGAGGCTACAGGGCCCAGCTGCCTCCATCTGGGGCCTTGGAAGTTGCCCAAACAGAAGCCGGGAGAGAAGCTGCTGTTCTGGTTTGAGTTCCTTCTGGTTTGCATTCTCTGGGCTGAGCCCTAAGTAGTCAGTTTCCTGCATTGAGATCCTGGGGTGGGGGGTGGTGGGGCAGTCACCCCTTCTTTAGGCTTCCTCCTAAGGACCCCGAGACAATTCCCCAGACCCACTAGTGTCTTACCAGAATTTAATAATCATCATAATTTATTATTTATTCATTTATTTTGAGACAGGGTCTCACTGTCACCCAGGCTGGAGTGCAGTGGCGTGATCTCAGCTCACTGCAACCTCCACCTCCCAGGTTCAAGAGACTCTCCTACCTCAGGCTCCCGAGTAGCTGGGATTACAGGCGCCCGCCACCACACCCAGGTAATTTTTGTATTTTTAGTAAAGACAGAGTTTCACCATGTTGGCCAGGCTGGTCTCGAACTCCTGACCTCTGGTGATCTGCTGGCCTGGGCCTACCAAAGTGCTGGGATTACAGGTGTGAGCCACTGCACCCGGCCTTATTATTAATTTATTTTTTGAGATAGGATCTTGCTCTGTCACCCAGGCTGGAGTGCAGTGGTGCAAACACAGCTCACTGCAGCTTCAACCTCCTGGGCTCAAGGGATCCTCCCACCTCAGCCTCCTGAGCCACTAGGACTACAGGCGCACACCACCAAGCCCGACTAATTAAAAAAAATTTTTTTTGGCTGGGCGCGGTGGCTCATGCCTGTAATCCCAGCACTTTGGGAGGCGGAGGCGGGTGAATCACCTGAGGTCAGGAGTTTGAGACCAGCCTGGCCATCATGGTGAAACCCCGTCTCTACTAAAAATACAAACACAAAAACTAAAACAAAAAACTAGCCGGGCATGGTGGCAGGCACCTATAATCCCAGCTACTCGGGGTGGATGGGGGCGAGGCAGGAGAATCGCTTGAACCCAGGAGGCGGAGGTTGCAGTGAGCCGAGATTGCACCATTGCACTCCAGCCTGAGCGACAAGAGCGAGACTTTGTCTCAAAAAAAAAAAAAAAAATTTGTTTTTGGTAGAGACAACGTCTCGATGTGTTGCCCAGGCTAGTCTCCAGTCCCTGGGCTCAAGAGATCCACCTGCCTCGGCCTCTCAAAGTGCTGGGATTGCAGGTGTGAGCCACTGTGCCCAGCCAACACTTTTAAAATGCTGTTTACCTAATTCTTACTGTGAACCAGGAATAGTTTGTGTCCTAACTCACTCATCCCTTAAAACAATCTAAGACGGAGACGGGTTGTGCTCCATTTTATAGATGAGAAAAGTGAGGCGCAGAGGCTCTCTGACTTGGCCCTGGTGACACAGACAGCCAGGGCGTGGAACCCTTGGGAAGCCAGGTCTTGGCAACTGCCCCCAACAAGTGTGCCCCCAAGAAACCCAAGGTGGGCTCTTGTCTCTCACTCTCAAGCCAAGGCGGGGTGCTGAGCTGACACCTGCCACTTGGGGCTGGCCCAGGGAAGCTGTGTCCCTGTGGTCCAGGAAGTTCTGGTTTTTGCCCCAAATGTCATTTCTTCACTCTCTTTGTTGCCCCGTTGCTTAGGCAACGAGCTACCCTGATAACCGTTACAGTCACCTTGGGTGGGGCGGGAAAGGGAGTCCCAGGAAGTCACAACAAAAATCAAATTCAAACCCAGAACCAGGCAAAGTCCCTTCGATCCGCAGCTGAGCCCCAGCCAGGTCTGCGGGGAGCAAGAACTGGGGTCTCTGGGGGCTGCCCCTGCTGCTGAGACTGCGAGGGACAAATTGGGGGTACCTTGCAGTGGAGAAGTCCTGGCTTCTAGCTTCCCCACCCCCGCCCATGTCCTTCTATGCGTTATATTAAGCACAGCGGCTCTCAGGGTCCCAGCACTCACTTTTTGCCCCTTTCCTTCCCCCGTGCCTCAGTTTCCCCTCTTAGGGAGCAGATGCCAGACTGGCTCCAGTAGAAAGCTTGAGGATCCCTCCAGGCAGGGTAGCAGGCTCCAAGAGCACCCTGGAGTTCCTGCCGGGGTGTGGGGGTGCCCAAGCACCACCAGCCCCTCTCGCCGTGTGCCCGTGAGTGCCTGCTTGACCATGTGGCTTCCTCTATCGCAGGCCCCACAGACACCAGCGGCGCCTCCCGTTTCTCAGACGCAGCCAAGGGGTCCCGCTGGAGCTTCCTCGCCCCTCCCAGCGGGGCCCCAAAGTACTTACCGAGAAAGACGCGGCCTCCCATGGTTGGAGCTGCCGGCAGGAGCGGCAGGGGAAAGAGTGAGTGGGACAGGGCTGTCCCGTCTCCACAGGCTAGGCAGCTGTGCAGGCTGTCCCGAGGCCAGGACTTTATGAAGGAGGGGGGGCGGACAGCCGCTGGCCCAGGGCCCTCCCCGGAACTGGCGGTGCAGCTGGAAGCCAGCAGGAAAGTGCAATAAAAACACAGACCCAGGGGCGCTGCATACACACACACACACACACACACACACACACACACACACACGTGCACTCAGTAAGAATGAAGTGCAACCTGCTTTCAAAAACCCTCTGCTAGAGTTTCCACCATGTGGCTCTGACGAACCCTTTGGCCTCTGTGTTGGGGCTGGCTGCTCTGAGGGGAAGGTGTGGCAGCCGGGCGGGGCGGTCTTGCCTGGGGCCACTTGGCTCTTCCCTGGGCAGGCGCAAAGGGGTCTTGTCAGAAATAGCTCTGGACGCCCACGCTGGTGGGACTCGCCCTGTGCCCAGAGCTTTGGCATGCCAGAGTTGGCAGAGCCTGCGTCCCAGCTGGCAGAACGTTTCCCTGCCATTTTCCAGATGAGGAAACAGGTCGGGTGCAGAGGCTCGCACCTGTGATCTCAGCACTCTGGGAGGCCGAGGCAGGAGGATCGCTTGAGCTCAGGAGTTTGACACCAGCCTGGGCAACATGGCGAAACTCTTGTTTCTACAAAATAAATAAATAAATAATCCAGGCTGGTGGCAGACATCTGTAGTCCCAGCTACTACTACTCAGGAGGCTGAGGCGGGGAGAATCACCCGAGCTGGGGAGTTTGAGGCTGCAGTGAGCTATGATGGTGCCACTGCACTCCAGCTTGGGTGATAGAGTGAGATCCTGTGTCAAAAACAAAAAGAAAGAAAGAAAACTGAGGCATTACAGTGTCCACATAAAAGCCCAGGGAGGGAGAAGGGGCCCTCTTCCGATGCCAGGCAGGTGCCAAGAAGAGAAGCTTCACCGCACAGAGCAGACCTCCTGGATCTTTCTGATCTTTCTAAGCCAGTTTCCCCCTGTGGGAAACTTATATTTCAGAGGCCTCTTCGTTAATCAACAGAGAATCATGTGATAGGAGGGTTCTTTCCTTTCTGGATAAATCACATGATTAGCTTGTCTCTTGAGCTACCTCATAATTTTTTAAAACGCTATTTTTTGGCTGGGTGCGGTGGCTCACACCTGTAATCCCAGCACTTTGGGAGTCTGAGGTGGGTGGATCACCTGAGGTCGGGAGTTCGAGACTCAGCCTGACCAACATGGAGAAACCCTGTCTCTACTAAAAATACAAAATTAGCCGGGTGTGGCGGCACATGCCTGTAATCCCAGCTACTTGGGAGGCTGAGGCAGGAGGACTGATAGAACCCAGGAGGCGGAGGTTGTGGTGAGCTGAGATTGTGCCCTTGCACTCAAGCCTGGGCAACAAGAGTGAAACTGTCTAAAAACAAACAAACAAACGCTATATATATTTTTAAGAGATCTTACTCTGTCACCCAGGCTGGAGTGCAGTGGCACCATCACAGCTCACTGCAGCCTCAAACTCCAGGGCTCAAAGGATCCTCCTGCCTCAGCCTCCTGAGGAGCTGGGACTGCAGCTGTGCACCATCACGCCTGGCTAGTTTTTTCTTAAGTTTTTTTTTTTTTTTTTTTAAGACAAGCTCTCGCTATGCTGCCAAGAAAATGCTATTATTTATAGAGCACTTAGTCTGCACCAGGCCTGGTCATAAGTTTGTTTTTTTTTTAATCTATTTTAACTCATTTACTCCTCAAAACATCTGCAATGATGTTGTCATTCCCATTTGACAGAGGAGGAAACTGAGGCACAAGTGACCTACCCAGCTGAGAAGATCCATAGGCGGGCAGCCCAGCCCCAGAGTCCCTACAATGAGCCCAGGGGAAAGTCTCTACTGGGCACTAACATGTCTTTAGCGCCTCCGTGACCCTGAGGCTTAGCAGGCGTCTGTGTCCAGCCAGAATTCAAGGACTTGGTTTTGAGTTCCTTATATTCACATTTATTTTTAGGTTTCCCTACTATTTGGGGCAATGAGGAGGGTTTTTCAGTGAGGATGCCGAAATCAAGTCTCCTTGTTACATGAATAAATTCAAGATGCAGAAGTGATGAATGCTAAGCAAAATATAGTTCAATTGTTCAAAGGGGGAGATTGCAGCGATGGGGAAAAAAAGTCACTAATCACTGAAGTCACAGAACTATTGTCCTGGGAATAATCAAACATCCCCAGTCCTAGAATTTACCCCTTCCTGTCCTGGGCTCCTGTGGGGGTGGCCTGGGCTGTGGGGGAGGGGAATGAACACCAGCAGAAGCTGGAAGGAGAGAGGGCCAGACCAGCTCTGGAGGGATTTTGCCCTTTTTTTCTCAGAAAGTCAGAAACTCCAGCTAGAACCCCAGGGCTCAACGTCCCTTCTCTGCAGATCAGATGGGCACGTCAGACAGCTGGTGTCTGCAGAATCTCAGGGAGGCAGGAGGCGCTTCCTGATGCCAGGGATTGTCCCTACACCCCTTCATAGTGATCATCGACACTTTTTTATTTTATTTTATTTTATTTTACTTTATGTTAGAGATAGAGTCTGCTGTTGCCCAGGCTGGAGTGCAATGGCACGATCATAGCTCATTCCAGCCTCAAACTGCTGGGCTCCAGCGATCCTCCCACCTCAGCCTCCCGAGTAGCTGGGATTCCAGGTGAGCACAACCAGGTCCTCATTTTTTAATTTTTATTTATTTATTTTCATTATTATTATTTTTTGAGACAGAGTCTCTCCGTAGCCCAGGCTGGAGTGCAGTGGCACGATCTCGGCTCACTGCAGCCTCCGCCTTCCAGATTCAAGCGATTCTCCTGCCTCAGCCTCCCAAGCAGCTGGGGTTACAGGCATGCACCACCATACCTGGATAGTTTTTTGTATTTTTAGTAGAGATGAAGTTTCATCATGTTGGCCAGGCTGGTCTCGAACTCCTGACCTCAAATGATCCACGCGCCTCAGCCTCCCAAAGCGTTGGGATTACAGGCGTGAGTCACCATTCCTGGCGGCTTTCTTGAGTCTCTCCAATACTTCTCACCATCTCCCTTCTTCCCTTGCAACAATCTGCCCTCGAGCCGCATTAGGCTGTCAGCCCCCTGAGTGACTTTTGTCTTTTTCTCTGCAGAGCACCAGCACAGAGCCTGTGCTGAGTGGGGCCCTATATGGTAAACCATGCAAATTAGTAGTACTCCTGCCACTCCACTCCGCTGCCGCCCAGCTAAAGGAAGCCTCCTTCAGCCTCGCTGATCTGGTCCCTGCCGGGGCGTCTGCCTATGTTTCTCCACTTTCTCTTTGTCCTGAAGTCTCAGTCCTGCTGACCTATTTTGCAGCTTCTGGACAACCTCATGACTTTTGTTCTGCAATGATGAGGGGCGGGAACATGGTCCTCATTTGTCAAAAGGGAAACTGGCACCTGGGCGTTTTGAGCCACTGGCCCCAGGTTGCTCAGCTCAGAAGTAACCCAAGATTGCCTGTAATCCCAGCTGCTTGGGCAGCTGAGGCAGGAGAATTGCTTGAGCCCAGGAGACGTAGATTGCTGTGAGCTGAGATCGTGAGATCGTGAGGTCGCGCCACTGCACTCCAGCCCGGGCAACAGAGCAAGACTCCATCTCAAAAAAAAGAAAAAAAAAAAAAGAAGCAACCCAAGATTATCCAACCAACAATAATAATTATTATAGTATAATAATAATTATATAATATAATTATTATAGTATAATAATAATTATATAATATAATTATTATAGTATAAAATAATTATATTATATAATTATTATAGTATGATAATAATTATATAATAGAATTATTATGTATAATAATTATTATATAATATAATTATAGTATAATAATTATTATATAATATAATTATTATATAATCTAAGAATTATAGTCATATAATAATAATTATATAATCTAAGAATTATAATCGTATAATTATATAATCTAATAATTATTATAATCGTATAATAATTATAATATATAATATGTAACATTATAATATATTATATAATATAGTAATAATTATATTATATAATATAATAATTATTATAATATAATTATAATAATTATATTATATAATATAATAATAATAATTATATTATATAATATAATAATTATTATAATATAATTATAATATATTAGTATAATTTTTTTTGAGACGGAGTTTCACTCTTATTGCCCAGGCTGGAGTCCAATGGTGCGATCTCGACTCACTGCACCCTCCACCTCCTGGGTTCAAGTGATTCTCCTGCCTCAGCCTCCCGAGTAAGCTGGGATTACAGGCATCTGACACCGCACCCGGCTAATTCTTTTTTTTTTTTTTTTTTTTGTATTTTTAGTAGAGATGGGATTTCTCCATGTTAGTCAGACTGGTCTCGAACTCCCGACCTCAGGTGATCCGACTGCCTCGGCCTCCCAAACTGTTGGGATTACAGGCGTGAGCCACCACGCCCAGCCTAATTTATTATTATTATTTTAGAGACAGGGTCTCTGTTGCCCAGGCTGGAACTCAGTGGCACAATTATGGCTTGAGGCAGACTGCACCTCCTGGACTCATGCCACCCTCCCGCCTCAGCCTCCCAAGTAGCTGGGAATACAGGCACGTGCCGCCATGCCTGGCTAACTTTTTTTACTTTTTTTTTTTTTTTTTTAGATGGAGTTTCGCTCTTGTTGCCCAGGCTGGAGTGCAGTGGCGCGATCTTGGTTCACTGCAACCTCCGCCTCCCGGGTTCAAGCGATTCTCCTGCCTCAGCCTCCTGAGTAAGCTGGGATTACAGGCGCCTGCCACCGCACCAGGCTAATTTTTTTGTATTTTTGATAGAGACGGGGTTTCCCCATGTTGGCCAGGCTGGTCTCGAACTCCTGACCTCAGGTGATCCACCCTCCTCAGCCTCCAAAAGTACTGGGATTACAGGCATAAGCCACCACGCCCAGAGCTCCCTTTTGGGCTGTGTGGTCTCAGGCAGGTGATGTGGCCTTTCCGGGCCTCAGTTTCCCGATCTGTGAAATGGTCAGAACTTCTCCAGGTGCCCGTGAGGACCAGACTGGAGGGAACGCATTGCAGAAGTGTAGGTGGGCATGGACGCTCAATAAACAACAGGAGCCGCGGTTAGGATGATCCCAGAGCGGGGTGAACTGTCTCTTTGCTGCCCTCTGCAACAGGGAGGGACACCAGGAGACCCCAACGCCCCACTCCCCGGCTTCTTATGCCGCCAGCCCTTGCCCAGCACCCGCACAAGCCTGGGCTGAGGCGGGGGGTCAGATGGGGTCTCCGGGTGGAGGGGGGCATAACAGGATGCCCCCTGGCTGGGAGACAATGGCAGAGGAAGGGGCCGGGCAGCCCCCACACGGATGAGCCCCGCAGCTGGCTCCAGGAGGGCGGCGCAGCTATTGTGAGACCAGACAGCTGTCCCTGTGCCAGGAAGCCCCAGAGAACGGGAAAGAGGGTGGGAAGCCCGCTGGCCAACCCTGATCCCCCACCGGGGGCAGGTCCCACTATGGTCTGTTTGTCTCCTCCAGCAGGCTGAACACCTGGGTTTCCGGGAGCCTGGCCTGTCAGTGTGCACCTGGCCCAGGGGGCCCTCACTGCAGACCCCATCTGGCCCCACTGACATCTCCCTAACTCCTTGCTCCCTACTCATCCCAGCCTGGCCTGGGGATTTTGGAGGCTGCACTGATCTGGGCTGTATTTATAGTTCCCTGGTGCTGCTGAGCCAGCTTCTAAATATAGAAGTCCAGCTATTTGGGGCCTCGGCCCTGGAGCAGAGTGGGGAAGAGCCAGTCCTGCACATGTGTGCCTCCCCGCCCATCCCAGAGACCACCCAGGCCTCTTAGTCTCCTGGGGTCTGGGCTGCAGGGGTCTCTGGTGCTGAAGGGAAGTCCAGGAGGAGCCCAAACATAAAGAGGGCAGAAGCGAGAGGCCGCGATGGCTCAGAGGGACAAGGCAACGAGGCCCCGTGCTCCGGGGCTGAGGGGGAGTGCATGTGTTTGCGACCTGGGGTGCCAGCACCTGGTTCCTCTTCTTCCTCCTTGGCCCCATGACCCACTGTGGGAAGGAAGGGGGGTTGATCTGTCAGCTCAGTGTTCTCAGCTTCTAGGAAATGAAGCCCTTCAGGAAGCAGCAGAGGCACCCCCAAACCCCAAACAAACTCTAGCACCTAGTAACCCACTTCCCCTTCCCCATGGACACTGAGTTCACTGGTTGCCCTGGCAGGGGGCGGGTGACGTGGGGTGGGGGGGCGGGGTTATAAATAGATGGTATATAAGCAACCTCGAGGATAGCTGAGCAGAAGTGGCCGAAGCAGAAGTGGGGTCCTCATGGGCAGCTGGGCCCAAAAGTGTCCCCAGTCTTGGCCCCTCCCAGAGATCACCAAGATTTGGGGCAGTAAGGAGGAAGAAAAGGGTGAAATGCTTAAAAGGGCATCATTAATCCTTCAAAGCAATCTATGAACATGATGGTCATTAAGTCATTAATAAAACCCTAGCACTTCCTCAGCGGTAACTTTATAAAGCACTTGGAATATTATACAGCTGTGAAAAAATAACTCCAGGGGTGTGCAATTTTTTGAGGGGGGGCAGGGGACAGAGTCTTGCTCTGTTGCCCGAACTAGAGTGCAGTGGCGAGATCTCGGCTCACTGCAACCTCCGCCTCCTGAGTTCAAGCAATTCTCCTGCCTCAACCTCCCTAGAAGCTGGGATTACAGGCACACGCCACCACGCCTGGCTAATTTTTGTATTTTTAGTAGAGATGGAGTTTCACCATGTTGGCTAGGCTGGTCTCGATCTCCTGACCCTCAAGTGATCCGCCCACCTCAGCCTCCCAAAATGCTGGGGTTACAGGTGCATGCCACCATGCCTAGCCACACCTCTTTCTTCAATTTAAAAACTTAGTGAAGTCAGGAGAAAAAAATCTTAAATTGCAGCGTGACAGATTCCACAGTAGAATCTTGAAAAAGTCTCCAAAGCCCCATAGGAAAAAGCCACCTTGCGAAAAAGCTCAGACACAAAGATCATAAAACGAGATTTGGTTTCAGGATACAAACATATGCAAGAAGACTTTGAAAAATAAACAAGGCGGCCGGGCTCAGTGGCTCACCCCTGTAACCTCCCAGCACTTTGGGAGACTGAGGCGGGCGGATCACCTGAGGTCAAGAGTTCAAGACCAGCCTGGCCAACACGGTGAAACCCCATCTCTACTAAAAGTATGAAAGTTAGCCAGGTGTGGTGGCAGGCACCTGTAATCCCAGCTACTCAGGAGCCTGAGGTCAGAAAATCACTTGAACCCAGGAGGCGGAGGTTGCAGTGAGCTGAGATAGCGCCACCGCACTCCAGCCTGGGTGACAGAGCAAGACTCCGTGTCAAAAAAAAACAATAATAATAAAATAAATAAATAAATAAAAATAAACAAGGCTGGGCCAGGCGCAGTGGCTCATGCCTATAATCCCAGCTACTTGGGGAGGCCAAGGTGGGAGGATCGCTTGAGCCCAGGAGTTCGAGACCATCCTGGGCAACATAGTGAGACCCCCATCTCTCCAAAAATACAAATAAAAAATTTGCCAGGTGTGGTGACTCGCACCTGTAGTCCCAGCTACTCAGGAGGCTGAAGTGGGAGGATGGCTTGAGGCCAGGAATTCGAGGCAGCAGTGAGCTGTGATCACGCCACTGCACTCCAGCCTGGGTGACAGAGCAAGACTCTGTCTCAAAAAAAAAAAAAAAATTAAGTAACTGAGCAAAGGAATAAGGGGCAAAGAATATTCGGAGTGGTGGTAATCAGCAAGATAAACATGGGAGCATGGGAACAAGGTCATATCTCAGTTCTTGGTGAAGAGGGAGGCTCATGGGTATGCCTTCCTTCCCTTTTATTTTTTAATTTACATATTTTCTTGCAAAGTAAAATTCTTTATTCCCGCAAATTGTGAATAATACACACAGAAGTTTCCAGGTATAAACGTTTCCTAAAATGATGGCTGTTTTGTGTGTGTGTGTGTGTGTGTTTTTGAGACAGAGTCTCTTGCTCTGTCGACAGACTGGAGTGTGGAGTGCAGTGGCACAATCTCGGCTCACTGCAACCTCCGCCCCCCGGTTCAAGCCATTCTCCTGCCTCAGCCTCCCAAGTGGCTGGGATTACAGGCGCGCACCACCACGCCCGGCTAATTTTTTTGTATTTTTAGTAGAGATGGGCATGGATCACTGCACCCAGCCAAAATGATGGCTGTTTAACATAACGCCATGTAACGCAGGCATGTGGTGTTTTGCGGTTATATTCAGACGTGATTTTATCAGAGACCAAAGCAAAAACAGAGAATTCTGAAAAGAGTTTGTATCAAGGAAGATAAAATGCGCCAGGGAGAGTGGCTCATGCCTGTGATCTCAGCGCTTTGGGAGGCTGAGGCGGGAGGATCCCTTGAGCCCAGGAATTCTAGACCAGCCTGGGCAACATGGTAAAACCCAGTCTCTACAAAAAATGCAAAAATTAGCCAGGAGTGGTGGCACGTGCCTGTAATCCCAGCTGCTCAGGGGGCTGAGGTGGGAGAATCTCTTGAGCCTGGGAGTTTGAGGTTGCAGTGAGCTATGATCTCACCACTGCACTCCAGCCTGGGCCACAGAGTGAGACTCTGTCTCAGTAAATAAGTAAGTAAAATAAAGCTGATCATGGATAGACCGATGGTCCCAAGAATTGCATTGTTTCATTTATTCTATAAACCTGAGGCTCTATACAAATATTTAAAAAAGAATTTTAAAATGTTTAAAGGTTTTAAGGAGAAGCGTTTAGAGGAAGCAAAGGAGAGTAGGGTGGGGGAGGGGAACAGCTCAGGGGTGGCTGTGGGGGTGGGGAACTGGTGGCAGCCAACAAGAAGCCCTGAGCTGGGAACGCTGTGTGACACTTGGTGGCATTTTTGTCACTTTCTTGCAGCTCTCAGTGTCTTCCCCATTTTGCAAAGTCTTCTGAGCGGGGTGGTGCTGATGTCCCGATAAGGATGGGGTCAGGCTTCTGGGGGGCACTGTGAGGACGGGGGTCTCAGAATCCTTCCCTTGACTTTCGATGGGTGGGGAAGGCCAGGGGAGGAAGGGGGCTTATTCAGGCTGGGTGCCCACCCGGGTCAACCCCTCCGCATGCCTCTGGGCCTCTTCTGTTGTGGGCTTGTGGGTTCCCGAGAAATAGGGCCACAGATGGCACTGACGGTCCCAGCCAGTCCCAGAAAGAAGCGATGGGAAAGCATTGGTGAGAATCAACCCATCCCCAGGGCTCTGTCCCTTGGATGGAGGTCTCCCTTTCACTTCTTTCCAGGCATAGAAAACAGTTTGCGGCTCCTCAAAAAGTTACGTGTAGAGTGACCCTGTGATCCAGCCATTCTGCTCCTGAGTATACACCTGAGAAAACTGAAGGCAGACACTCAAATGGATACTTATGTTTATTTTATTTTTTGAGATGGAGTCTCACTCTTGTCCAGGCTGGAGTGCAGTGGCGCGATCTCAGCTCATTGCAACCTCCACCTCCTGGGTTCAAGTGATTCTCCTGCCTCAGCCTCCCGAGTAGCTGAGATTACAGGCACCCACCACCATGCCCGGCTAATTTTTGTATTTTAGTAGAGAGAGGGTTGCACCGTGTTGGTCAGGCTGGTCTCAAACTCCTGACCTCAAATGATCTGCCCACCTCAGCCTCCCAAAGCGCTGGGATTCCAGGCATGAGCCACTGTGCCTGACCTCAAACAGATACTTATACACCCATGTTCATAGCAGCACGGTTCACAATTACCATAAAAAGCGATTTTTAATTCAACCATAAAAAGGAACGAGGCTCTGATCCATGCTACAGGGTGGATGAACCTTGAAAACATGATACTGAGTGAGAGAAGCCAGACACAGAAGGTCACATAGTGCACGATTCCATTTATATGAAATGTCCAGAATAGGCAAATTCATAGCCAGAAAACAGATTGGTGGTTGCCAGGGGCTGGGGAGGAGGAATGAGGAATGAGTGGTAATGAGGACGGGGTTTCCTTTTGCGGTGTTGAAAACATTCTGGAACTAGATAGAGGTGATGGTTGCTCAACGTAGTGAATGTACTAAATGGCGCTGAACCATGCACTTTAAAAGGGTCTATTTTATGTCATGTCAATCTCACCTCCATAAAAAAAAAAAACAAAAACAAAAAAAAAAAACAGGCCGGGTGCAGTGGCTCATGCCTGTATTCCCAGCACTTTGGGAGACCGAGGCAGGAAGATTGCTTGAGTCCAGCAGTTCAAGAGCAGCCTGGGCTACATATCGAGACCTCATCTCTACAAAAACTCCACAAATTAGCTGGGCATGGTAGTGTGCACCTGTAGTCTCAGCAACTTGGGAGGCAGAGGTGGGAGGATCACTTGAGCCTAGGAGGCAGAGGTGGCAGTGAGCCGAAATCGCACCACTGCACTGCAGCCAGGGTGACAGAGTGAGACTCTGTCTCAAAAAAATAAAATAAAATAAATACATAAATAAAATAGACCAGGCATGGTGGCTTATGCTTGTAATCCTAGCACTTTGGAAGGCTGAGGTAGGTGGATTACTTGAGGTCAGGCGTTTGAGACCAGTCTGGCCAACATGGTGAAATCCTGCCTCTACTAAAAGTGCAAAAATTAGCCGGGCATGGTGGCGCATGCCTGTAATCCCAGCTACTCAGGAGGCTGAGGCAGGAGAATTGCTTGAACCTGGGAGGCAGAGAGGTTGCAGTGAGCCGAGATGACGCCACTGCTCTCCAGCTTGGGCGACAGAGCGAAACTCTGTCTCAAAAAAAAAAAAAAAAAAAAAAAGAAGTCTGAGTTTTTCACAGCTATATCTCTGACACCTCTAAACACTTCAGTCGTCGCTTTCGGTTTTTAATTTCCTTCCCCATTTTTTTTCTTTACTTTTTTATAATGAGACAGGGGTCTCATTATGTTGCCCAGGCTGGTCTTGGACTCCTGAGCTCTAGCGATCCTCCCGCCTCTGCCTCCCAAACTGTTGGGATTACAGGCGTGAGCCACTGCGCCTGGCCTATTTCTTTCCCTTTTTGTCTCCTTTCAATTTTTTTTTTTAAACAAAAAGAGCAGTCTCTTTGATCCAGAGCTTCACTGGAGGGTGAGGCTGTGGATCCCAGGGTCCTGCGAGTGAGCGACTCATTATATTCTACGCCTGGGCACCTCCCTCTCCCTACCCTAGTCCCGGCTCTTGAGGCTTCAACCAGGCGACAGCAGGAAGCAAGTTTAATTTCACCCCCACCCCTACAAATATAGGTCCTTTTGCTGTTGCTTTCTACTTATGGAAATGGCCCTGGTTTCCTTTTGTTTCCTTTTGTGGTGGTGGCATAAAAGTTCCTTCCCAAATAAATTCATTTAAGTTTTTTTTTTTTTTTTAAAGGAAAAGCAAGTTGATTGAAGGAAAAATCTGTGGTCCGGGGAGATGTTCCAAATCCTGGAGGTGGAGAGGAATGAATGACGTTTGTGGCTTGCAGATCAACTCCCCGCAGCGGGCGTGACGTTGTCACAGCCAAAATTGTCCTCCACGCGCTGCTACGGTGAGTCAGGGGGAGAGGGGCCCCTCTGGGCAGACGGCAAAAGCCATTTTTGAGTGTACAAGGAGGCATTTTTCTGACAGCATTTCCTGTCGGTACCCTCCTATCTAGGGGCAAAAGTGTCACTGGGGCTTTCTGGGGCCTTTGGTGTGGGTCTTAGTGACAAAGTTCAGTGGCAATCTGGCATTCCCCTAGTGGAATTGTCACTCCCACGACAGCCTCTCATGCCCAGCTTCTGTCCGGCCCGAGGAGCCAGCTCTGGGCTGCCTGCTATCCACGAGGTCAGGCGGCCCTGACATTGGCAAGGAGATTGACACCCACACTCTGTGCTTCCTTTGAAACAGAGTTGTTAAAATTCCAGGCCAGACAAATGTCCAATAGGCCTATGAAAAGATACTCAAAGTCACCAATCATTAGGGAAATGCAAATCAAAACCACAGGCCAGGTGCGGTGGCTCACGCCTGTAATTCCAGCACTTTGGGAGGCCGAGGTGGGAGGATCACTTGAGGCCAGGAGTTTGAGACCAGCCTGGGCAACATAGCAAGACTCCATCTCTATAAATAAATGAATAAACAAATAAAAACCACAGTGAGATACTACCTAACACCCATTAGGATGGCTACTATCAAAAAAACAGAAAATAGGTTAGAAGTGGTAGCTCACAACTGTTATCCCAATGCTTTGGGAGGCCAAGGAGAGAGGATCAGTTGGGCCAGGAGTTCAAGACCAGCCTGGGCAACAAAGGAAGACTTCATTTCTAAAAATATTTAAAAATTAGCTGAGCATGGTGGCATGCACCTGTAGTCCCAACTACTTGGGAGGCCGAGGCAAGAGGATCGCTTGATCCCAGGAGGTCAAGGCTGCAGTGAGCTATGATTGCACCATTGCACTCCAGCCTGGGCAACAGAGTGAGACCCTGTCCAAAAAAAAAAAAAAAAAAAAGCAAAACAAAACAAAACCCCATAAATTGAAACCATTGTGGGCTGCTGGTGACAATGTAAAATGGTGCAGCCACTGTGGAAAACAGTATGGAGAGTCCTAAAAAAATTAAACATAGAGGCCAGGCATGGTGGCTCATGCCTGTAATCCCAGCACTTTGAGAGGCCGAGGTGGGTGGACCATTTGAGGTCAGGAGTTTGAGACCAGCCTGGACAACAATACAAAGATTAGCCGGGTGTGGTGGCAGCTGCCTCTAATCCCAGCTACTCGAGAGGCTGAGGCAGGAGAATCGCTTGAACCCGGGAGGTGGAGGTTGCAGTGAGCGGAGATCGCGCCACTGCACTCCAGCCTGGGTGACAGAGCAAGACTCCATCTCAAAAAAAAAAAAAAAATTAAACATAGAATTGTCATATGATCCATCAATTCTACTTCTGCATAGACACCCGAATTGAAAGCAAAGTTCAAAGAGACATCTGTACACCTATGTTCACGGCAGCATTAGCTAAAATAGCCAAAAGTTGAAAGCAACCAGTCTCCATGGATAGATGAATGGATAAACAAAATGTGGTCTATCTATACAGTGGAATATTACTCAGCCTTAAAGAGGAAGGAAATTCTCGTACATATAACATGAATGCACCCTGAGGGCATTATGCTAAGTGAAATAAACCTGCCACAAAAGAACAAATACCGTATGATCACATTTACAGGAAGTAACTAAACTTGTCAAATTCATAGAAACAGAAAGTAGAATTGTGGTTTCCAGGAACTGGAGGGAGGAGGAACGGGGAGTTGTTTTGTGGATACAGTTTTAGTTTTGCAAGATGAAAAAGTTCTGGAGATGAATGATGGTGTCAGTGGCAACTATGAGAATTTATTTTTTCTGGTTTTTGTTTTGTTTTGTTTTGAGACGGGGTCTTACTCTGTTGCCCAGGCCGCAGTGCAGTGGCACAATCTGGGCTCACTGCAACCTCTGCCTCCTGGGTTCAAGTGATTCTCGTGCCTCAGCCTCCCAAGTAGCTGGGATTACAGGTGTGCACAACCATTCCTGGCTAATTTTTGTATTTTTAGTACAGCCAGGGTGTCACCATGTTGGCCAGGCTGGTCTCAAACTCCTGATCTCAGATGATCTGCCCACCTCAGCCTCCCAAAGTGCTGGGATTACACGTGTGAGCCACTGTGCCCAACTGAGAATTTTCTTTTCTTTTTGAGACTGAGTCTCACTCTGTTGCCCAGGCCGGAGTACAGTGGCTCAATCTTGGCTCTCTGCAACCTCTGTCTCCTGGGTTCAAGTGATTCTCTTGTCTCAGCCTCCCAGTAGCTGGGACTACAGGTTCACACCACCGTGCCTGGCCAATTTTTGTATTTTTAGGACAGACGGGGTTTCACCATATTGGTCAGGCTGGTCTTGAACTTCTGACTTCAAGTGATCTGTCCATCTCAGCCTCCCAAAGTGCTGGGATTACAGGCATGAGCCCCCACGCCCGGCCTGACAATTTTCTTAATGTAACTGAACTGTACACTTAAAATGGTTAAGATAGAACATTTCATGTCATGTGTATTTCACCACAAATTTTATCCAGGCTGAAGGACAGGCACGGTGGCTCGCTTTGGCAGGACGAGGCAGGAGGATCGCTTAAGGCCAGGAGTTCAAGACCAGCTAGGGCAACATAGCGAGACCCGCACCCCCATCTCTACAAAAAAAGTTTAAAAATTACCCAGGCCTGATGGCACATGACTCTGGTCCCAGCTACTCGGGAGGCTGAGGCAGGAGGATTGCTTGAGCCCAAGAGGTTGAGGCTGCAGCGAACTATATGGTTGCACCACTGTACTTCGGCGAGATCCTGTCTCAAAAAAAAAATCAAAAAAAAAAAAAAATCCAGTCTCAGAGGAGACTGGGGCAGGATTCCCATCCTGTGGGTCCTGGCAGGTGACCCCCATGTGTCCTCCATAGTAGGGGGTGATCAGGCCCTCCAAGAAGTCAATACCAATTATATCCCAAAGCCTCTTACATGTCTCCACCTGGACCTCCCTGTCTACCTCCAGACATACAGCTGCCCTCTGGACCTCACCCAGGGACACTGCTATGATCACTGAGCGATTCACCAATATTCCAGCTCTTTCTCCCTCCAGGTACAAGGTAGGAAGGCATTGCTCCACCCACTTGTGTGGCCACGTGACTTGCTCTGACCAATGGCATGTGAGCAGGTTTGACTTGTGTCACTTCTGGGCAGAGGCTTTAAGAGCTGCTGCAGAGCATGCTATATGTTCTTTTTCTTCTGCCTTGGCAACGGGCAACATGCCAGATGCTGGCTGAGTGAAAAGTGAAACCTCTGATGTTTTAAGCTCCTGAGATTTGGGGCTTAAAGTAGCTGGGACTACAGGTGTGTGCCACCATGCCTGGCTCATTTTTTTCCCTGGCTTGTTACTGCAGCAGAACTGAACCTGCCTTGAGTCCAGTGTGGCAGCAGAATCTGTAGATGTCACTCATCCAGTCCTGTCTTGTGCATGACGATGGTCTCATATCATTAAGCTGTAGGGCTGGAATGAGAGGCAAGGTGGATGCTTGACTTGGGAACAAAATTTCAGGGGGTGTCAAAGAACTCAAGAACTTTGTCCTGAACTCATAAATATTATTTTATTGTGATATTTTGTAAAAGTCAAGATTAATGCAAAACCATGATGAATAAAATGGTAACATTAAATCTATCTATCTATCTATCTATCTATCTATCTATCTATCTATCTATAGATATGTATATATATACACATAGGTCAGGCGCGGTGGCTCACACCTGTAATCCCAACACTTTGGGAAGCCGATGCAGGTGGATTGCTTGAGACCAGGAGTTCGAGACCAGCCTGGCCAACATGGTGAAACCCCATCTCTGCTAAAAGTACAAAAAATTAGCAGGTCGTGATACTGCACACCTGTAATTCCAGCTACTTGGAAGGCTGACGCACGAGAATCGCTTGAACCCAGGAGGCGGAGGTTGGAGTGAGTAGAGATCATACCACTGCACTGCACTCCAGCCTGGGCAACAGAATGAGACTCCATCTCAAAAAAAAAATATATGTATATATATATACACATATATGAGAGAGACAAGGTCTCACTCTGTCACCCAGGCTGGAGTGCAGTGGCACAATCATAGCTCACTGCAGCATTGACCTCCTGAGCACAAGCAATCCTCCCACCTCAGCCTCCCGAGTAGCTGGGACTACAGGTGTGCACCACCACACCCAGCTAATGCTTGAATTTTTATAGAGATGGGGTCTTGCTATGTTGCCCAGACTGGTCTTGAACTCCTGGGCTCAAGTGATCCCTCTGTCTCAGCCTCCCAAAGTGCTGAGATTATGGGCGTGAGCCACTGCTCCTGGCATACATTGTCCTAGTCTATTGTTAGAAGCAAGTTATTGGGTCCAGCTCACACTCGAGGGATCACACAGAGTGCAGACATCAGGAGGTGGGAATCATGGAGGAGTCTTGGAGCCTGTCTGCCTCACCTCCTCTCCTCTAGTATTCCTAGTTTTTTTTTTTTTTTCGAGATGGAGTTTTGCTCTTGTTGCTTAGACTGGAGTGCAATGGCAGGATCTCGGCTCGCTACAACCTCTGCCTCCCAGGTCCAGGTGATCCTCCTGTCTCAGCCTCCCAAGTAGCTGGGATTACAGGAGCCCCCTGCCACACCTGGCTAATTTTTGTATTTTTAGTAGAGATGGGGTTTCACCATGTTGGTCAGGCTGGTCTTGAACTCATGACCTCAAATGATCTGCCTGTCTGGGCCTCCCAAAGTGCTGGGGTTACAGGCATGAGCCACCAAGCCTGGCCTCTTTGCTGATTTTCATCTGTAACTTTCACTGTAATAAACCATAACTGGGAGTAACACCACTTTTCTGGGATCTATCAATCTCAGCAAATTATTGACCCTGAGGGTGGTCTCAGGGACCCCCGACACAAGCCCCATTTCCCAGCCACCATCTTTTGCAATCTCCATTGCCCTAGTCACCGAATGGCATATTCTTATCCATTTGCTATTTCCTGCCTCTCTCCTCTGGATCAAAGGCTCTGGAAGGTCGAAAACTCATCTGTCTTTCCCATGAAAGGCTGTAGAACAAAATGGTCAGGGGTCAAGTCCTGGCCCTGTCACTTTTTCATTGTTGCTGAGTCAAGGTCTCAGCCAGGGTGGAGTGCAGCAGTGCAGTCATAGCTTACTGCAGCCTTGAACTCCCGGGCTCAAGCAATCCTCCCACCTCAGCCTCCCTTGTGGCTGGGACTACAGTCACATGCCACCACAGCCAGCTATTTTTTTTCTTTTAAGACAGGGTGTCGCTCTGTCACCCAGGCTGGAGTGCAGTGGCATGATCTCGGCTCACTGCAACGTCTGCCTCCCAGGTTCAACTGATTCTCCTGCCTCAGCCTCCCGAGTAGCTGGAATTACAGGCATGCGCCACCACGCCTGGCTAATTTTTTTTTGTATTTTTAGTAGAGACGGGGTTTCACCATGTTGGCCAGGCTGGTCTTGAACTTCTGACCTCAGGTGATCCGCCTGCCTCGGCCTCCCAAAGTGCTGGGATTACAGGCTTGAGCCACCAAGCCCGGCCCCACACCCAGCTAATTTTTATTTTTTGAGACGGAGTCTTGCTTTGTTGCCCAGGCTGGAGTGCAGTGGCACGATCTCAGCTCACTGCAATCTCCACCTCCCAAGTTCAAGCGATTCTCCTGCCTCAGCCTCCGCAGTAGCTGGGATTACAGGCATCCGCCACTACGCCAGCTAATTTTTTTGTATTTTTAGTAGAGACGAGGTTTCATCTTGTTGGCCAGGCTGGTCTTGAACTCCTGACCTCAAGTGATCCGTCAGTCTCAGCCTCCCAGAATGCCTGAAGGTTAGCTTTTAAGTGTTGGTTACTTTATCTCCTCAGTAGCTAGATCAGGGTCCAGGTGGTCAGGATTCAGTCAAAAGCAAGTGATTAAGGAGACTCCTCTGGGGACTTTGCGATGGAGAGGCAGGAGGGGCCACGAGCGGGGGTGGGGAAGAGAAGAGGGCACAGAGGCCAGCGGATGAGAGAGACACCAGGGAGCCTGGGATGCCTGCCCGAGGCTCTGGCCACGCCCATGCCCTGCCTGTCCCGCTAAGGTGAGCTGGTCCTTCTGTGATCACCCGGGGAGGAGGCCTACAGGAGCTGCAGAGCTGAGTAGAGAGGGAAGGCGCGGGGGAGGCCAAGTCCCACGGGTCTGGGCTTCTAGGAGGAAACGTGTGGGAGGTTGGGACGGGAGGCGTGGGGGCGGGGGACAGGCAGGGCAGCTGGAGCCGGGGCTGTAGTCGGGCGCCGGCCAAGCCCCAAAGAAAGCCTGTGTTGGGCAGCGTCCGGTCTGGCCTGGCCTGGGAGGATGCCTGCTTGCTGCTGGGGGGCCCTGGAGATGCCGACGTAGCTCTGTACCCCCGGGAGGAATGTGACCCCCTCCCCACCCCCAGCCTCCAAATTTTTCCACATAAGGCTTCAGGGGTGCTCATGCCGCATGAGTTCAGGACAAAGGAATCAAAAGCACATGGACTGGATTCCCTAGGGAGGAGAAATTCTGGAAATAAGACGAAGAGGAGGACAAAGGGGCCCGGGGGCGGGGTGAGGGTGCTGGGACGGAAGCGGGGGGCGGGGATTGGGAGGCAGCCGGAGAAGGTGCCTGGCTCTGAGTGGCCTTAGACTGGGGACACATCTCAGCTGGGGATGAAGGCCACTGTGGCCCCGGACCGCCAGGGCAACTCCTTGGACCTCTCTGAGCCTTGTTCCTTCCTTTTTTTTCTTTTTTCTTTTTTTTTTGAGACGGAGTCTTGCTCTGTCACCCAGGCTGGAGTGCAGTGGCGCGATCTCGGCTCACTGCAAGCTCTGCCTCCCAGGTTCACGCCATTCTCCTGCCTCAGCCTCCCGAGTAGCTGGGGCTACAGGCGCCCCCCACCACGCCCGGCTAATTTTTTGTATTTTTAGTAGAGACGGGGTTTCACCGTGTTAGCCAGGATGGTCTCAATCTCCTGACCTCGTGATCCGCCCGCCTCGGCCTCCCAAAGTGCTGGGATTACAGGCGGGAGCCACCGCGCCCGGCCACCTTGTTTCCTTTCTTTTGGCCCAGATTCTTGGGGCAAAATACTTGGAGTCCTCCATGTCTCTGTCTCTGTTTTATTTTGTTCTCTCTTTCTGTTTCCTTCTTTCTTCTCTTTCTTCGTTCTCTGTCTCTCCTTCCTTCCTTCCTTCCTTCCTTCCCTCTCTTTCTTTCTTCTCCTTCCTTCTTTCTTTCATCTATCTCTGTCTCTCCTCCCTTTCTTTCTCCTTCCTTCCTTCCCTCCCTCCCTCCATTTCTTCCTTCCTTCCTTCCTTCCTTCCCTCTTTCTTCTCCTTCCTTCTTTCTTTCTTTCCTCTATCTCTATCTCTCCTCCCTTTCTTTCTCCTTCCTCCCCTCCCTCCCTCCCTCCCTCCCTCCCTCCCTCCCTCCCTCCCTTCCTTCCTTCCTTCCTTCTCCTTCCCCGGTCTCACTTTGTTGCCCAGGCTGGTCTTGAACTCCTAGGCTTCAGTGACCCTCCTGCCTCTGCCCCACAAAGTACTGGGATTACAGGCATGAGCCACCATGCCTGGCCTCTATCTCTGCCCCTGTCCCTTTCTCTCTCTCTCTATTGTATCAGCAAATCCCGAGAGCTCTATTTTCAAAATCTATCCAGCATCTACTCACTTTTCACCTCCTCCACAGCCCCTACCTGGTCCGGCCCCATCAACTCCCCCTTGGCCCAGTGCAGACTCCTCTGCCCTGGTCTCCTGGCTCCTGCCCTTGCTCGCCCGCTCCATGCTTTTCTGTCAGGGCACGTCCCTCCTCTGCTCAAGGACCCTCCAGGGCTCCCACCTCACTCAGTGCAAAAGCCAAATTCCTTCTTGTGGCCCACAGGGCCCTGCAGGATCTGCTCAGCACTTATCTGCCCTCACCTCCTCCTTCTCTCCCCTTTGCTCATTCCCTTCAGCCAGGCCAGCTTCCTCGCCGTTTTGGGCATGCTCCTACCTTAGGGGCTTTGCACGGCAGCTCACTCTCACTTGCAGCACCACCTCCTCCTCCAGATCCCCACATGGCTTTCTCTCGCCCCCTTCAGGTCTTTTTTTTTTTTTTTTTGAGACAGAGTCTCATTCTGTCACCCAGGCTGGAGTGCAGTGGCACAATCTCAGCTGGCTGCAGCCTCCGCCTCTCGGGTTCAAGTGATTCTCCTGCCTCAGCCTCCTGAGTAGCTGGGATTACAGGCACGCACCACCACACTCAGGTAATTTTTGTATTTTTTTTTTTTTTTGAGACAGAGTCTTGCTCTGTTGCCCAGGCCAGAGTGCAGTGGTGCGATCTCGGCTCACTGCAAGCTTCGCCTCCCAGGTTCACGCCACTCTCCTGCCTCAGCCTCCCTAGTAGCTGGGACTACAGGCACCCGCCACCACGCCCAGCTCATTTTTTGTATTTTTAGTAGAGACAGGGTTTCATCGTGTTAGCCAGGATGGTCTCGATCTCCTGACCTCGTGATCCGCCTGCCTCGGCCTCCCAAAGTGCTGGGATTACAGGCGTGAGCCACCGCGCCCGGTTGTAATTTTTGTATTTTTAGTGGAGACAAGGTTTCACCACGTTGGCCAGGCTGGTCTCAAACTCCTGACCTCAGATGATCTGCACGCCTTGGCCTCCCAAAGTCCTGGGATTACAGGTGTGAGCCACCATGCTTGGCCCAAGTCTTTTGTTCGTTTGCTTTTAAAGAGATGTATATATTAGTTCTTTATTTCTCTTTTTTCTTTTTATTTTGAAACAGGGTCTTGCTCTGTCGCTCAGGCTGGGGTGCAGTGGTGCGATCATAGCTCACTGCAGCCTCCAGCTCCTGGGCTCAAGCAATCCTCCTGCCTCACCCTCCTGAGTAGCTGGGACTACAGGTCTGCACTACCATGCCAGGCTAATTTGGTTTATTTAATTAAATGAATACATAAATTTATTTGTTTGTTTTGGTTTCTATCTACAGACCAGGACAGTGCTGAACATTTTGAGACAGGGTTTCACTCTGTTACCCAGGCTGGAGTGCAGTGGTGCAATCTCAGCTCACTGCAGCCTCAACCTCCTGGGTTCAAGTGATCCTTCTGCCTCAGCCTCCTGAGTAGCTGGGACTACAAGTGTGCACCACCACACTTGACTAATTTTGTTTATTTTATTTTTTGTAGAGATAGGGGTCTTGCTATGTTGCCCAGACTGGTCACAAACTCCTGGTCTCAAGCGATCTTCCTGCCTCAGCTTCCCAAAGTGCTGAGATTATAGGCCTGAGTCACCGTGCCTGACCACCCTGCTGGACTTTTTTTCTTTCTTTTTTTTTTTTTTTTTATTTTGAGATGGAGTCTCACTCTATCACCCAGACAAGTGCAGTGGCACAATCTTGGCTCACTGCAACCTCTGCCTCCCGGGTTCAAGCAATTCTCCTGCCTCAGCCTCCCGAGTAGCTGGGATTACAGGCATGCGCCACCACGCTCAGCTAATTTTTGTTTTTTTTTTAGTAGAGATGGGGTTTCCCCATGTTGGCCAGGCTGGTTATGAACTGAGCTCAAGTGATCTGCCTGCCTCAGCCTCCCAAAGTGCTGGGATTACAGGTGTGAGCACCGCGCCCGGCCCACCCTGCTAGATTTTAGTTCTTGATCTTGCTCCCTCTCTGTCTCCCCCTGAGAATGTCAGCCCCAGGATATTTGTCTATTTTATTTCCTGCTGTGCCTCCAGAGCTCAGAAAAGGGTTGGGGACTGTAGGGACTTGTTGAGTCAATAGATCGGATGGTGACAAGCCCATAGCCGAATTTTTAGGGCAACATTTTTTTTTTTTTTTGAGATGGGGTCTTGCTCTGTCACCCAGGCTGGAGTGCAGTGGCGTGATCTCAGCTCACTGCAAGCTCTGCCTCCAGGGTTCCTGTCATTCTCCTGCCTCAGCCTCCCAAGTACCTGGGACTACAGACGACCGCCACCACGCCCAGCTAATTTTTTGTATTTTTAGTAGAGACGGGGTTTCGCCGTGTTAGCCAGGATGGTCTTGATCTCCTGACCTTGTGATCCGCCCACCTCGGCCTCCCAAAGTGCTGGGATTACAGGCATGAGCCACCACGCCTGGCCTAGGGCAACATTTTTATAGCCTTATTGAGGAATAACTTATATAGCCTATAATTCGCCCATTACAAACCTACAGTTAGATGACTTTTAGTAAACTCACCTAGCTGTGCAAGTATTACTACAATACAGCATTTGAGAACACTTTGATTTCCCCCCAAATCCCCACATTAGCAATCCATCCGCACTCCCAGCCTCAGCTCCAGGTAATCACTAATCTGCTTTCTGTCTCTAGAGCTCTGCCTTTTCTAGAAATTTCATATAAATGGAATTGTACAATATGTAATATTGTGGGTCTGGCTTCTTCCACTCGGCATATTTTTGAGGTTTATCCATGTTGCTGTGTTTATCAACAGTTTGTTGCTTTCTATTGCTAACCAGTGTTTCCTTGCATGGGAGGACCACAGTTGTTTGTCCATTCATCTGTTGATGGACACTTGAATTTGTCAACATAAAAGAGGCTGGGCTGGGTGCGGTGGCTCAACCCTGTAATCCCAGCACTTTGGGAGGCCGAGGCGGGCGGATCACGAGGTCAGGAGATCGAGACCATCCTGGCTAACATGTGAAACCCCGTCTCTACTAAAAATACAAAAAATGAGCTGGGCGTGGTGGTGGGCGCCTGTAGTCCCAGCTACTCAGGAGGCTGAGGCAGGAGAATGGTGTGAACCCGGGAGGCGGAGGTTGCAGTGAGCCGAGATCGCACCACTGCACTCCACACTCCAGCCTGGGCGACAGAGTGAGACTCTGTCTCAAAAAAAAAAAAAAAAAAAAAAAAAAAAGGAAGAAGCTGAAGCATAAAAGATGATTTAAAGAGTTTACTTGGGGCCAGGTGCGGTGGCTCATGCCTGTAATCCCAATGCTCTGGGAGGCCAAGGCGGGCGGATAACCTGAGGTCGGGAGTTCAAGACCAGCCTGACCAACGTGGAGAAACCCTGTCTCTACTAAAAGTACAAAATTAGCCAGGCGTGGTGGTGCACGCCTGTAGTCCCAGCTACTCAGGAGGCTGAGGCAGGAGAATCGCTTGAACCCGGGAGGCGGAGGTTGCCGTGAGCAGAGATCATGCCACTGCACTCCACTCCAGCCTGGGCAACAAGAGCAAAACTCCGTCTCAAAAAAAAAAAAAAAAAAAGAGTTCACCTGAGGCCAGGCACAGTGGCTCATGCCTGTAATCCCAACACTTTGGAAGGCTGAGGGAGGAGGATCACTTGAGCTCAGAAGTTTGAGACCAGCTTAGGCAACGTGGCAAAACTCCGTCTCTATAAAAAATACAAAAAAATTCTCAGCATCTTGGGAGGCTGAGATGGGCGCATCACTTAAGGCCAGGAGTTCACAACCAGCCTGACCAACATGGCAAAACCTAGTCTCTATTAAAAATACAAAAAAAAAAAAAAAAAAAATAGCTGGGTGTGGTGGTACATGCCTGTAATCCCAGCTACTCTGTAGGCTGAGGCAGGAGGATCACTTGAACCCAGGAGGCGGAGGTTACAGTGAGCTGAGATCGTGCCACTGAATTCCAGCTGGGCAACAGAACGAGAATGTCTCAAACAAACAAAAAATTAATCAGGCAGAGTGGTGCATGCCTGTGGTTCCCAGCTACTTGGGAGGCTGAGGTGGAAGGATCGCTTGAGCCCAGGAGTTCAAGGCTGCAGTGAGCTATGATGGCACCATTGCACTCCAGCCTGTGCGACAGAAATAGACCCTGTCTCAAAAAAAAGAAACCCCAAAACACAACTTAGCCAGGCGTGGCGGTGTCCACTTGTAGTCCTGGTGACTTGGGAGGCTAAAGTGGGAGGATCGCTTGACCCAGGAAGTCGAGGCTGCAGTGAGCTATGATTGCACCACTGCACTCCAGCCTGGGTGACAGAGTGAGACTCCATCTCAAAAATAAAAAATAAATCTTAGCTCTTCTAATAGATGTATGAAGTGGTATCTCCTTGTGGTTTTAATTTGCATTTCTGTAACAACTAATGCTGTTGCGCATCTTTTCATATGCATATTTACCATCGAAATGTCCTCTTTGGCGAAGCATCTGTTCAAATCTTTTGCCCATTTTTAAACTGGGATTTTTTTTCCTTCTTATTGTTGAGTTCCGTATATATTCTTATATAAAGAGTTTTTATTTTAAGAGTTCTTTATATATTCTGGATACACATTCTTTCAGAAAAATGATTTGAAAATATTTCCTCCTAGTTGGCGGCTTGTCTTTTTATTTTCTTTATGTCTTTTGAAGAGCAAAAGTTTTCATTGTGATGAAGTTCAATTCGCTCATTATTTTTTTCTTTTACGGATTGTGGTTTTGGTGACATAGGTAAGAAACCTTTGCCTAATCCATGGTCTCAAAGATTTCTTTTTCTTTTTTTGTCTCCTGAGACGGAGTCTTGCTCTGTCGCCCAGACTGGAGTGCAGTGGTGCAATCTCGGCTCATTGCAACCTCCGCCTCCCCAGTTCAGGTGATTCTCAGGCCTCAGCCTCCAGAGTAGCTGGGATCACAGGCATGAGCCACCACGCCTGGCTACTTTTTAAATATTTTTAGTACAGACGGGGTTTTGCCATGTTGGCCAGGCTGGTCTCAAACTCCTGACCTCAGATGATCCCTCCACCTGAGTCTCCCAAAGTGCTGGGATTACAGGCATGAGCTACTGCGCCTAGTCTCATTTAGTCATTTAGTTACTTTTTGTGTGTGATTATGAGGTAGGGTCTAAGTTCTTTTTTTTTTTTTTTTTTTTGAGACGGAGTCTCGCTCTTGTTGCCCAGGCTGGAGTGCAATGGCACGTGACCTCTGCTCACTGCAACCTCTGCCTCCCGGTTTCAAGTGATTCTCCCTCAGCCTCTCAAGTAGCTGGGATTACAGGCACCTGCCACCACGCCCGGCTAATTTTTTTTTCTTTTTTGAGATGGAGTCTCTGCTCCCATCACGCACAGTGAAGTGCAGTGGCTCAGTCTTGGCTCACTGCAACCTCTGCCTCCCAGGTTCAAGTGATTCTCCTGCCTCAGCCTCCCAAGTAGCTGGGATTACAGGCATGTGCCACCAAGCCTGGCTAATTTTTGTATTTTTAGTAGAGATGGTGTTTCACCATGTTGGCCAGGCTGGTCTCGAACTTCTGACCTCAGGTGATCCACCCACCTCAGCCTCCCAAAGTGCTGGGTTTACAGGCATGAGCCACCATGCCCAGCTGGGTCTAAGTTTTAAATTATTATTATTATTTTTTTACACGTGTATATCCTATTCTTGGGAAAATTTAAAGGGAGTTATTTCTGTTTCTGGTAACGTGCGCGTTCAGTGTGTGCTCCCCTGCCTGTAATTCTCCCATTAGGGTCAGGGCAGGGCTGGAGAAGCGAAAACCATAACTAGAAGAGACTTCCCCAACAGGATGTTGCCCAACCCTGGCCGGGCTGACATTCAGCCTCGAGGGTCCTTATCGGCAGTACAATTGCAGCTGTGACCAAACCCAGCCACCCACAGCCTGACACCCCCAACATCCTTGACCTTCCCTTTAGCTTCGGGCTTGAGCAGGCCTTTGATACTCAAATAGAGAAAGGAGACAGCAAGACCCCTGTGCCTTCTCAGAGGGGGCACCCCCTTCCCCGATGCCTTCACGGGTCCTGCCTCTCCGGGACCCAGCTTCCCTCCTGGCCACCCCACCACCTCCCCAGCCACACCTCATTTCCACCCATCTAGAGAGGGTGAAACACAAACACTCCTGGCAGCCCTGCCCGAGTGTGTCCTGGGACATGGTGGGGTGGGGGCTCCCTGACTCCTGGGAAGGGGAACTCTGGGGTGGCCTGTCCTCCCAGCTCCTCACCCCACTGGTGCCTCGCCCCATGAGTCGTGTGAAAAGGCAACAAAACCAACCGCAGGGAGATATAAAATCTCTTCCTGTATCTGTGACAGCTGTTATGTTGGTCTGGCCGTCTGTTCTTCCTGTGAGCACCTGAATCCGTTCAGACCAAGCTCTTCCTCTCTCCAAGAAGCCTCTATGGCTCCCACCTCACCCAGTAAAATCCAGTCTTCCCCAAGGCCCACAAGGCTTGGCTGTGTGATTTGCCCTGTCACCTCCAGCTCTCTTCCCCTCATTCACTTGGCTCCAGCCACCCCAGCTTCCTCACTGTTCCCCAAATAAATATGCCAGGCCCAGTCCAGCCTCACAGCCTTTGCATGCGCTGTTCCCTCTGCCTGGAACACCTTTCCCCCAGATATTTTTTTATTTTTTTATTATTTTGTGTTTTTGAGACAGAGTCTTGCTCTGTTGCCCAGGCTGGAGTGCAGTGGCGCAACCTCAGCTCACCACAGCCTCTGCCTCCTGGGTTCAAGCCATTCTCCTGCCTCAGCCTCCCGAAAAGCTGGGACTACAAGTGGGCATCACCACGCCCGGCTAATTTTTGTATTTTTAGTAGAGACGGGGTTTCACCATGTTGGCCAGGCTGGTCTCGAACTCCTGACCTCAACTGATCTGCCTGCCTTGGCCTCCCAAAGTGCTGGGATTACAGGCATGAGCCACTGCGCCTGGCCCCTCTCACTCTTTTGTCTGCCTAACATACTTGCTCAGAGGTCACCTCCTCAGTGAGTACTTCCCTGACGACCCCCATATTTGAAATTTTAGCTTCCTTCCCCCAGTCCTTTCTAACCTTTCCCCTCTATTTTATTTTTCTCTATAGCACATCACCTTCTAATATTTTAATTCATGAATTTACATAGAGTGTCAGTCCCATGGGGGCAGGGGTTTTTCTGTCTTGTTCACTGCTGTATCCTCAGCACCTAAAACAGGGCCAGGGACACCACAGGTGCTCAATTAATGTTTCTCAGCCAGGTGCAGTGGCTCAGGGCTGTAATCCCAGCACTTTTGGGAGGCCAAGACGGGCACATCACCTGAGGTCAGGAGTTCGAGACCAGCCTGGCCAACACGGTGAAACCCTGTCTCTACTAAAAATACAAAAATTAGCTGGGTGTGGTGGCGCGTGCCTGTAATCCCAGCTACTAGGGAGGCTGAGGCAGGAGAATTGTGTGAACCCAGGAGGCGGAGGTTGCAGTGAGCTGAGATTGCGCTAGTGCACTCCAGCCTGGGCAACAGAGCGAGACTGTGTCTCAAAAAAATAAATAAATCAAAATAAATAAATAAATAAATGTTTCTTGAATAAATTGTCACTTTTGCCTACACTCTTTGTCTACTGAGGTCTGTAGGGCCATCCCCACCCTCATCAACAGGAGTGGCTCATGGACTCATTCTATCCTTTCTAGCCACTGTGATTGGTTCCTAAATGACATGTGACCCCAAACTGTCCAATCAGAGGGAGCCCAGGAATTATTATTTTCTTCTTTTGAAGCAGGGCTTCACTTTGTCACCCAGGTGTGAGTGCAGTGGCACGATCATGGTTCCACTGCAGCCTCAATTCCCAGGCTCGAGTGATCCTCCCTCCTTATTTTTTAATTTTTTTTTATAGAGATGAGGTTTCACTATGTTGCCCGGGCTGGTCTCAAACTCCTGGGCTCAAGCAAGCCTCCTGCCTTGGCCTCCCAAACTGCTGGGATTACAGGCATGAGCCACCACACCCAGCCAGATTACTTTGTTTGAGCCCGTGAATCCAGCTGTCCCTGAAGCCAACATATCTTAAACTTTTCAATGACACAAACCAATAAATTATCATTATTTTTTCTTTAAGCCAGTTTGGGTTTGGATTTTTTACTTGCAACTAGAATAGTCTTCCCCAATCAACCACCTCTCCCTCCCTCCCTTGCTCACTCTCTTCTTTCTTCTCTCCCTCCCTCCTTCCTCCTTTCTCTCTCTTTTTTTTTTTTTTTTTTCAGGACCAACTCTGGTCCAGGCTGGAGTGCAGTGGCATGATCTTGGCCCACTGCAACCTCTGCCTCCCAGTTCAAGCAATTCTCCTGCCTGAGCCTCCCGAGTAGCTGGGATTACAGGCACCTGCCACCATGCCTGGCTAATTTTTGTATTTTTAGTAGGGACGGAGTTTAGCCATGTTGGCCAGGCTGGTCTCAAACTCCTGACCTCAAGTGATCGGCCCACCTTAGCCTCCAAAAATGCTGACATTGCAGGCGTAAGCCAGCGCGCCTAATTTAATCTCTACTATATCTTGGCAGAGTCACTATGTCCTCCAACACAGCTGAATCAAAACCGTATTTCACCTTTCTGCCAAACAGCTCTCCACCCATCATTCCCTCCTCCGCCTTCCCCTGCCATCCCCTCCCCCACTCTGTGTGGGGGACTCTGCCCAGTATGGGAATGAATTATGGCTCCCCCACTAGAGGGCTGCGTGCCCTCGCTAAGTGACTTCACCTTTCTGGGGCCTCACTTTCCCCATCTATAAAATGAGGTCATAACAGTATACCCATTGTTCCCAAGTCTGCCTCCTCTCTAACCACGCCCTTTTTTTTTTTTTTTTTTTTTGAAACAGAGTCTCGCTCTGTCACCCAGGCTGGAGTGCAGTGGTGCGATCTTTGCTCACTGCAATCTCCACCTCCTGGGTTCATGTGATTCTTGTGTCTCAGCCTCCTGAGTAGCTGGGACTATAGGTGCCCGCCACCATGCCCAGCTAATTTCTTTTTTTCTTTCTTTCTTTCTTTTTTTTTTTTTTTTGAGATGGAGTCTCCCTCTGTGAGGCTGCCAGTGGAGTCCAGGCTGGAGTCCAGTGGCATAATCTAGGCTCACTGCAACCTCTGCCTCCCGGGTTCAAGCGATTCTCCTGCCTCAGCCTCCTGAGTAGCTGGGACTACAGGCGCATGCCACCATGCCCAGCTAATTTTTGTATTTTTAGTAGAGACAGAGTTTCACCACATTGGCTGGGATGGTCTCAAACTCCTGACCTCCTGATCCACCCACCTCGGCCTCCCGCAGTGCTAGGATTACAGGCATGAGCCACCGCGCCCGGCCTCTAATTTTCATATTTTTAGTAGATACGGGCTTTCACCATGTTGCCCGGGCTGGTCTCGAACTCCTGATGTCAAGTGATCTGCCCGCCTTAGCCTCCCAAAGTGCTGGGATTACAGGCGTGAGACACCATGTCAGTCCTCTAACCCCTTCTGACTGACCCATCACTTGAGCCTTGCTCACTTGCCCTGCTCCGGCCCTCTGGCCCCTGCTCCTGGCTCACTTGCCCTGCTCCCCCAAGTCCACTCCTTGGCCATAGAAGAAGGTCTCAACCCACCGGACCCCCACGGCCACCACAGTCAGGTCTGGAACTCTGAGGAGGCTGTTGTCATCACCCCCATTTCACAGATGAGGATACTGGGCCCTGAGTCACCCAGCCAGGATCTAAACAAGGCAATTTACATAAGAGAGGTAAAAGTGTGGCCAGGGGCAGTGGCTCATGCCTGTAATCCCAGCACTTTGGGAGGCAGAGGCAGAAGGATCTCTTGAGGCCGTAAGTTTGAGACCAGTCTGGGTAACATAACAAGACCCCATCGCTGCAAAAAACTATTTTTAAATTATCTAGATGTGGTGGTGCGTGCTTATAGTCCCAGCTACTTTGGAGGATCGCTTGAGGCCAGGAGTTCAAGGCTGTAGTGAGCTATGAGCATACCACTGCACTCCAGCCCGGGCAACAGAGTGAGACCCTGTCTCTGTAAAAACAGAGAGCAAGGGCCGGGCACAGCGGCTCATGCCTGTAATCCCAGCACTTTGGGAGGCCGAGGTGGGCAGATCACTTGAGGTCAAGAGTTCGAGACCAGCCTGGCCAACATGGTGAAACCCCATCTCCACTAAAAATATTAAAAAATTAGCCAGGTGTGGTGGTGTGCGCCTGTAATCCCAGCTACTCGGGAGGCTGAGGCCTGAGAATCATTTGAACCCAGGAGGCACAGGTTGCAGTGAGCCCAGATCATGCCACTGCACTCCAGCCTGGGTGACAGAGTGAGACTCCATCTCAAAAAAAAAAAAAAAAGAGAGAGAGAGAGAGCAAAAGAGAGATAGAAGGCCGGGCGCAGTGGCTCACGCCTGTAATCCCAGCACTTTGGGAGGCCGAGGCAGGCGGATCACGAGGTCAGGAGATGGAGACCATCCTGGCTAATACGGTGAAACCCCGTCTCTACTAAAAATACAAAAAATTAGCCGGGTGTGGTGGCGGGTGCCTGTAGTCCCAGCTACTCAGGAGGCTGAGGCAGGAGAATGGTGTGAACCTGGGAGGAGGGGCTTGCAGTGAGCAGAGATCACGCCACTGCACTCCAGCCTGGGCGACAGAGCGAGACTCCACCTGAAAAAAAAAAAAAAAAAAAAGAAGAAGTGTGATAAGCTGGAGAATTCCCAGGAAGGAGTGGTTCAGGGGAGAGAGGGTGGTCAGGGAAGGCTCCCTGGAGGAGGTGACATTTCAGGACAAAAGCTTCTCAGACACAGCACCATCAGGGGGGAAAGTAAGCCAGGCAGGGGGAACACCAGGGACAAAAGTTCTGAGTTGGGAACCAGTGCGGTGTGTTCAAAGCCCATCAAGGGGGTTAGGAGGAAGGCAGGGAGATGAGGGCTGGGAAGTGGGTGGGCCCTAATTCTTACATTACTACAAACCCAGGCAGAGGAGCAACAAGCTAGATGAGCTGCAGATGAGTGATGTCTTCTCGGTGCCCACCAGGATTTCATCTCCGAGGGCAGCCTTTATTCCCTGCTCACTCTGCCTGGCTCATCGCAGCCCTGGCCCCATTTAACAAGTGAGGAAACTGAGACTCCAGGCAGCATTCCCATGCCTGAAACCATCAGCTCCAGCTTCCCCAGGCCCTGCTACCCTCTAGGTGGCACAGAATTCTAGGAGCCCTTGGCTTACCTGGGAGGTTGACTTGGGGTCCTTAAGACCAACCCATGGCCACCTCTTCCAGGAAGTCTTCCTGCCTTGAGCTGGCTGGGAACCTCTCTCCTCTGAATCCCGCTCTTGCTTGCGGCAGGCCCGGCAAGTGTGTTCTCTGAGGGGAGACTGGTGGTTTCCGATCCTCCGGACCCCACCCAGCCCATCGTGCCCCTCCTTGCAGGGAAATTAGAAAAAGCAAAAGGGAGGAGGCACTTCTGGAAGGGAAAATATTTTGATTCTCTGAAGGCACAAAAATTGCCTGATTCCTGAACAATTAGGGGTAATTAACCCTTCACAAGGTAGTAATTAAGTCGGTGCCTCTGAAGCCTTAATTACAAGCTCCAAGAGGCTCTGCCCTCTCCCCAATAGCCAGGCAGTCCCCAGAACTGAGGCCAGGCTGTGGAGAGAGGGTGTACCCCTTCTGCACTGGCGGGGAGTCGGGGACAGGGCTCTGCTCCCCTTCTGTGGCTGCGCAAGACCCACAGCCTCTCTCGTGGCCACCCCCAGGCAGGGATCCCAAGAGCAATGTTCATGAAACCAGATCTCCTCCCTGCATAGTCCCTTTTGGGGTTGTCAGGCCACATGGGGAGACTGCTCTCGGGAGTATGAAGGCAAAGGGGGCAGGCCGGGCTGAGGTCCGTGTGTGGGGCTGGCAACTTTTTTTTTTTTTTTTTGAGGCGGAGTCTCACTCTTTCACCCAGGCTGGAGTGCAGTGGCACAATCTCAGCTCACTGCAACCTCTGCCCCCCAAGTTCAAGTGATTCTCCTGCCTCAGCCTCCCGAGTAGCTGGAATTACAGGTGCCTGCCACAACGCCCGGTTAATTTTTGTATTTTTAGTAGAGACGGGGTTTCACCATATTGGCCAGGCTAGTCTCAAACTCCTGACCTCAGGCAATCCGCCCACCTCGGCCTCCCAAAGTGCTGGGATTACAGGCATGAGCCACCGCGCCTGGCCAAGCATTGGTCTTGGAAGGCACATTGCATGGTTCCCTGTGTCTCCCAGGGAGATGGGCAGGGGGTAAGAAGGGGACTTTGCAAGCAGAGCCGACCACGTGCACCTTAACTGCATAATTGGGGTCAATATGGTCAGAGGCAAAGTCCTGGGAGAGTGGTGGGGTGGGTAGGGGGACAGTGCATGGGCCAGGGCTTCTTTCTGTGGGCGACACCATATCTGTGGGTGGGCGACGAGAAGGGTGCAGCTGGTGGTGTTGGAGGGCTTTTAGCTCAGTGTGAGCCTTCTTCTCCCCTCGGGCTTTTAGGAGGTGACTCCTCAGGGGGAGTGAGAGATCAGATTTGTCTCCAAAATAGGCCTTGACATCGCAGCCCACCTGTTTCTTCATCTCTCGGCTCTGGCTACTGTGACCTCCTTTCCCACTGTTCAACACCCGAGCTCCTTTCTGCCACAGGGCCTTTGCGCTGGCTGCGCCTTCTACTGGAAATCCTGGCTCCAGACTCGGCATGGCTGGGGCTTTATTCTTCTCAGGCCTCAGGATAAGCGTCACTTCCTCAGAGCCCACTCCACCCACTCTACCCACAGCAGGTGCTTCAGTGACATCCCTGTATATACTTTCTCCTTCAGAACACTTACTGCACTTACTGCCATCAGCAATGATCTTGCAGCCTGTTGTCCTCTTCCTCCTCTCTTCTCTCTTCCCTTGGACTGTAAGCTCCAGAAGGGCATGGAGGTTTATCTGTTTTGTTTCCATTTTTTTTCTTTTTTTTGAGATGGAGTCTTGCTCTGTCGCCCAGGCTGGAGTGCAGTGACACGATCTCTGCTCACTGCAACCTCCGTCTCCTGGGTTCAAGTAATTCTCCTGCCTCAGCCTCCTGAGTAGCTGGGATTACAGGCGCCCGCCACCACGCCTGGCTAATTTTTGTATTTTTAGTAGAGAGGGGGTTTCACCATGTCGGTCAGGCTGGTATCGAACTGCTGACCTCGTGATCCGCACGCCTTGGCCTCCCAAAGTGCTGGAATTACAGGCGTGAGCCACCGTGCCTGGCCGAGCCACTGTACCTGGCCTCTTTTTACTTTTAGAGACAGGGTATCGCTGTGTTTCTCAGACTGGAGTGCAATGGTGCCATCATGACTCACAGCAGCCTCCATCTTCTGGGCTCAAGTGATCCTCCCACCTCAGCCTCCTGAGTGGCTGGGGTTACAGGCCTGAGCCAGCCCCATTCTGTCTTCTGTGTACTCTAAACCTAGAGCAATGATCTAGGTTTGCTCAATACACACAGTAGGTGCTCAATAAATGTTGCATGAATGCATGGACGACGAGTTCTAGCTGGGAAATGGCAGCCGGGAAAAGTGGGTTGTGGAGGAGAATTTAAGAGATGAGAGCTGTTTCCGAAACTCCTGGAGGGCCCGAGGTCCCCCGGGTTGGGGAGAAACGGGGGCGACCGTCCACCTCCCCGGGAGTCGCACGCACCTCCCCTTGGAGGCCCACAGGTGGCGCTCGCTCCCCGCGCTGCAGTGGCGGGAAGCGGAGGTGGAAAAACCCGAGCTTTAGCCCCGTCCCGGGTCTGGCTGCTGGGGTCAGTTCCTGGCCCGGATTTGGACGCCAGTCCCTGGGATCCTGCTTGGGGTCCTACCTCGTGGTAGAGGGGCTTTTTGGTCAAACGAGGGGGATCTGAGAAGAGTGGGGGTGGTGGGCTGCAGAGTCCGGGCAGCTGAGGGCTCCCTCCATCTGTCCACGCGTGCTCTGATTCCATTCCCAAAACTAGTTCAGCAGCTCCATGCCTGGGGGAGGGGGAGACGCACTTACCATGTTCGTGTTCTTCCTTAACTTTATATAGGTTAGAGCTGGGCGCAGCGCTTGGTGTCAGTGGGTCTTGGGTGCACATTTGTGGAATGGTGAATGGGTGAATCCCCGTTTTACAGATGGGGAAACTGAGGCTCAGGGAGGCGATGCGGCTCACCCAGGTTCATAGAGCCAGAAAATGGCAAGGCTGGGATTGGAGACACCAGGCCTGTGTGAGTCCAGAGTCAGCCCATTTTGTTTGTTTGTTTGTTTGAGACACGGTTTTGCTCTGTCACTCAGGCTGGAGTGCAGTGGCAGGATCTTGGCTCAGTGCAACCTCTGCCTCCTGGGTTCAAGCCATCTCCTGCCTCAGACTCCCGAGTAGCTGGGATTACAGGCACGCGCCACCACGCCCAGCTAATTTTTTGTATTTTTAGTAGAGACAGGGTTTCACCACGTTGACCAGGCTGGTGTGAAACTCCTGACCTCAAGTGATCTGCCCGCCTCAGCTTCCTAAAGTGCTGGGATTACAGGCGTGATGCTTGGCCAAGAGTCAGCCAATGTTTAAAAAACAATGTATGTTTAAAAAACATTGTATTTGGCTGGGCGTCATGGCTCACGCCTATAATCCCAGCACTTTGGGAGGCTGAGGCGGGTGAATTACTGGAGGTCAGGATTTCAAGACCAGCCTGGCCAACATGGCGAAACCCCGTCTCTACTAAAAATACAAAACTAGCTGGGCGTGGTGGCATGCGCCTGTAATCCCGGTTACTCGGGAGGCTGAGGCAGGAGACTCCTTTGAACCCGGGAGGCAGAGGTTGCAGTGAGCTGAGGTCACGCCATTGCACTCCAGCCTGGGCAAAAAGAGCGAAACTTCGTCTCAAAAGAACAAACAAACAACAACAACAACAAAAATTGTATTTTATTTATTGCAGAGACGAGAAGTCTTGCCATGTTGCCCGGGTTGGTCTCCAACTCTTGGGCTCAAGACATCCTCCTGCTTCAGGCTCCCTCAGTGCTGAGATTTCAGGTGAGCACTACCTCGCCCAGCCTAAAAACATTTTTCAATAGATTTTCTAGTTACCCAAAGTGATACAGGATTCCCTCTGGGAAGCTAAAGCCCTTCCTGTCCCTCCTTATCTCAATTCCGAGATGATGGTGGGGAGGGTCTCCTTTCATCCTACCCTCTTTGCCTTCAAAAGCATGTCTACACATGCCTAAGGGGTCTCTGGGTTTCTAGCTGGGTCATAAACTTCTCCTGTCTGGGCTGGGCACAGTGGCTCATGCCAATAATCCCAGCACTTTGGGAGGACAAGGTGGGAGGATCACTTAAGATCAGGAGTTCGAGACCAGCCTGGTCAACATGGAGTGACCCTGTCTCTACTAAAAATACAAAAATTAGCTGGGTGTGGTGGCACGCGCCTGTAGCTACTTGGGAGACTGAGGCATGAGAATCGTTTGAACCCAGGAGGCAGAGGTTGCAGTGAGCTGAGATGGTGCCACTGCACTCCAGCCTGGGCAACAGAGCAAGACTCCATCTCAAAAAACAAAAACAAAAACACAACAACAAAACACTTACCCTGTCTGGGCCTCAGTTGCCTCGTCTCTAAAATGGTTTTAATGGTCATTGAACCACTTTCCAGGGTGTCTGTGAGTTGCACAAAAAGCTGGTCTGGGCAGGGCCCCACATCTGGGTGGAATTGGGGGTCTCCTCTGCTGGTTTATACATCTTGGTAGGAAAACACACCAGGTGTGGATGATCCTGCTGTTTCCTTAGTTCAAGGACTTGGTGCACAGTGGGTATGTGTGGTCTAATGCTGCCGGTGCACCCACTGTGTCTGCATTTGAATAATGTGCGTGCACTGAGCTGTTTCCACGTGGGGCCCAGTGGCTTCCCGTAGACCAGGGTTTCTCAATGTCAGCACTCTTGACATTTGGGGCCACATCATTTTTTGCTCTGGGGAACTGTTCTGTGCCTTGTAGGATTTTTTTTTTTTTGCAGGGGAGATGAGGTCTTGCTATGTTGCCCAGGCTGGCCTTGGACTCATGGCCTCAAGTGATCCTCGTGCCTTGACTTCCCGAAGTGCTGGGATCACAGGCCTTAGCCACCTTGCCCAGTCCCTTGTAGGACATTGAGCGTCCCTGAACTGGACCCACTAAATGCCAGGAGTACCCCTGCCCCCATTTTTTTTTTTTTTTTTTTTTTTTGAGATGGAGTCTCACTCTGTCGCCCAGGCTGGAGTGAGGTGGAATGATCTTGGCTCACTGCAACCTCTGCCTCCCAGGTTCAAGTGATTCCCCCACCTCAGCCTCTCGAGTAGCTGGGATTACAGGCACTAACCACCACACCTGGCTAATTTTTGTATTTTTAGTAGAGATGGAGTTTTCCCCATATTGGCCACGCTGGTCTTGAACTCCTCACCTCAAGTGATCCGCCCACTTTGGTCTCCCAAAGTGCTGGGGTTACAAGTGTAAGTCACTGTGTCTGGCCCCCTGCCCCAATTTTACAGCCAGAAATACCTTCAGACATTGCCAAATGTCTCCTGGGTGACAGAGTTACCCTCATTGAGACCCATTGCTGTGTATACTTCTGGGAGGTACACATACAGGTCAGAAACAGACCCTGATAGAGGGTTGGAGGGCAAGTGGTTTATTTGGGAAATGAACACAGGAAACCTGGGGAGGGGAGAAGAGAGATGACAAGGGATATCAAACAGGTTGTCACTACGGAAAACTGGGGCCTGATCCCTCCAGGGGTCTCTGGGAGACTGTGGATTAGGCATATGCTGGGGAGGGAGCTGGGGTATTTATCCACCAACTCATTCCATTTCTGGCTCAGGGCTACTCCCAGGGATGTCAATTTCCCACACTCTGTCTCCTGTTCAAGTACACTGAAGTGATCAGGTCCCAGATGTGGCCAGGGTCCAGCGGGACATCTCTGCAGCGGTTTCTGTTCCTTTTTGTGCGAGCCCACCCGGGCTTTTGGTCTCTTCGGGCTGTGCGAGCCCACCCGGATGTCTGCAGCCGGCTGTGTGTATATTTGGTGTGCCAGTGTGTGTTTATCTGCCATGCATGTGTTTGCGTCTGTATTTATCTGGCACAAGTGTGCTTGTCTTTGTTTTCCCTTCTGCTCCATCTCCACGAATGTGGGGGAAACTTCTGTTTTTAATCAGGGGCCAGGGAACTGTCTTACTGCCACATTAGCAACTGTGTTATTAATGAGGCCGATCGGAAGTGATTTTTCGTACTTGCTCCGAGGTCTGAGTCAAGGCACCATGCCCAAAGCTCTCCCAGAGGGTAGCCTCAAAGCCCTGCCAGCTTCTTGTATGCCCAAGAGGAAAACTGAGGCACAGTCAGGGAAAGGGAGTTAACACCTATTGGAAACTGATTATCTGCAAAGCATTTCACATGCATAAATGCTTAATGAGTTCTTATGCCTACTACATATAAGGAAAGGAATTCATGTTCCCATTTACTGATGAGGAAGCTGAGGCTGGGGTGAGGTCCAGAGCTCTTGTGGAAGCTGATGGCTCTGGGGTCTCCAATACCCATTTCTTTGTTCCTTTCAAATGGCAACCATTCTTGTGTGTTTGTGGTGGGAAGGGGACAGGGCAGGGTATCACTCTGTTGCCCAGGCTGGAGTGCAGTGGCACAATCTCAGCTCACTGCAACCTCTGCCTCCCGTCTCATGGGTTCAAGAGATTCTCCTGCCTCAGCCTCCCAAGTAGCTGGGATTAGAGGTGTGCACCACCATGCCTGGCTAATCTTTGTATTTTTGGTAGACACAGGGTTTCACCATGATGACCAGGCTGGTCTCTGTCACGTGCATCCGTGTGAAAAGGGTCCACCAAACAGGCTTTGCGTGAGCAATAAAGCTTTTTTTTGGGTGCAGGCAGGGCTGAGTCCGAAAAGAGAGTCAGCAAAGGGTGATGGGATTATCATTAGTTCTTATAGGTTTGGGATAGGTGGTGGAGTTAGGTGCAATTTTTTTTTTTCTGAGACTGAGTCTCGCTCTGTCGCCCAGGCTGGAGTGCAGTGGCGCAATCTTGGCTCACTGCAAGCTCCATCTCCCAGGTTCACGCCATTCTCCTGGCTCAGCCTCCCAAGTAGCTGGGACTACAGGCGCCCACCACCATGCCTGGTTAATTTTTTGTATTTTTAGTAGAGACAGGGTTTCACCATGTTAGCCAGGATGGTCTCGATCTCCTGACCTCGTGGTCCACCCACCTCGGCCTCGCAAAGTGCTGGGATTACAGGCATGAGCCACCGCGCCCAGCCAGGAGCAATTTTTTTGCAGGCAGGGGGTGGATCATACAAAGTACATTCTCAAGTTGGGTGGGGAGAATATTACAATCTACCTTCTCAAGGGTGGGGAGGGTGTATCCTACAAAGTACATTCATAAGGGCGGGGGAATATCACAAAGTACATTATTGCAAGGGCGGGGAGGGTATATTGTCACAAAGTCAGTTGAACAGTTAGGGTTGGGCAGGAACAAATCACGATGGTGGGATGTCATCAGTTAAGGAGGAACTGGCTATTTTCACTTCTTTTGTGGATCTTCAGTTGCTTCAGGCCATCTGGATGTATATGCAGGTCACAGGGGATATGATGGCTTAGCTTGGGCTCAGAGGCCTGACAGCCTCGAACTCCTGACCTCAAGTGATTTGCCTGCCTTGGCCTCCCAAAGTGCTGGGATTACAGGCATAAACCACCATGCCTGGCCTCAGATGGCAACCATTCTTAAAGCTCTCCAGGACTGTTGGTGCTCAGCAGTGCCTCAGTTTCCCCTTCTGGTCACATGAGTCCTTCCCAGCAAACCAGCCCTTGGGTGTCTGAAGAATCCCTGCTGCTTGGCAGGGTGCCAGGGTTCTTGTACTTTCCTCCTGTGGATGCTCCAGGCCCAGGGGCCTGGCTGGCTCTGTGAACACAGATATTAATTAGCATTCATTAAAAACCCCCTGTGCGGTGAGAGCGGCTCTGGTAGATCCTCAGGCTCTGAAATACCTAGAAGCTGACTGGGGTCCCCAGAGCGTGGCAGTTGCTGCCTGGACCAAGAGCAGGGCCTATGGGTAGCGCCACCTGAAACGTCTTTTGTCGTTTTTTTGAGATGCAGTCTCGCCATGTTGCCCAGGCCGGTCTCGAACTCCTGACCTCGTGATCTGCCTGCCTTGGCCTCTCAAAGTGCTGGGATTACAGGTGTGAGCCACCACGCCCAGCCTACCTGGAAGGTCTTAACCAGTCAGGGCTTCTCCCTGGCCCAGTCCTGGGGGACTAGGCTGCAGTCCCTGTTTCTCCCTATGGCTATGGAACATTTGTGCTGAAAGAGACCCTCACTCCAACGCCCAGGAGATGGAGCCCGTGGTCCCCCAGAGGGTCCCATGGTCAGCTACCGAGGCTCAAGTCCCTGCTCTGGCACCCACCTGACCTCAGGCAAGTTGCTTACTCGCTCCTTGCCTCCGTTTCCTCATCTATAACATGAAGGTATTTTCTGCCTTGCAAGGTTGTTGGAATACATAAATGACCATGTGCGTTTCATGTCATATACACGTAAGGGCTCAGCAGCCACTGAGACCAGCTCTGCCTCTTACCAGCGGTGTGATCTGCTCACAGGGAATCCATGTACCTGGGTATCAGTTTTCTGTCTGTAAAATGGGGCTATCGACCGGGCACGGTGGCTCATACCTGTAATCCCAGCACTTTGGGAGGCCAAGGCCGGCAGATCACCAGAGGTCAGGAGTTGGAGACCAGCCTGGCCAACATGGCAAAACCCCGTCTCTACTAAAAATACAAAAATTACCCGGGCGTGGTGGCACTTGCCTGTAGGCCCAGCTACTCAGGAGGCTGAGGCAGGAGAATCGCTTGAACCCGGGAGGCAGAAGTTACAGTGAGCCGAGATCGCACCATTTCACTCCAGCCCGGGTGACAGAGCGAGACCGTGTCTCGGAAAAAAAAAAAAAGATATGTTGATTCAGGTGCGGTGGCTCATGCCTGTTCCCAGGCTATAATTTGAATTTTGAGAGGCTAAGGCAGGAGGATTGCTTGAGGCCAGGAGTTTGAGGTTGGTCTGGGCAACCCTATCTCTATTAAAAACACAGCAAGACCCTATCTCTATTAAAAACAAACAAACAAACAAACAACAAAAAACAGAAGGCTGAGTGTAGTGGCTCATGCCTGTAATCCCAGCATTTTGGGAGGCTGAGGTGGGTGGATTGCTTGAGGTCAAGAGTTTGAGACCAGCCTAGGCAACATGGTGAAACTCTGTCTCTACCAAAAATACAAAAATTAGCTGGGCATGGTGGCATGCAGGAGGCAGAGGTTGCAGTGAGTGGAGATCACGTCACTGCACTCCAGCCTGGGCGACAGAGCGAGAGTGTCTCAAAAAAAAAAAAAAATGAAGTCGTAACCCTGGGTTCTCCTGAATGAATTATTTGGAAACAGGGTCTTTGCAGATATAATCAGTTAAGTTAATGTGAGGTCACATTGGATTAGGGTGGGCTCTAAATCCAATATGGCTGGTGTCTTTATTTATTTATTTAATTTTTTTTTTTTTTTAGACAGGGTCTTGCTCTGTTGTCCAGGCTGGAGTGCAGTGGTGCAATCATAGCTCACTGCAGCCTCAATATCCAGGGCTCAGGGGATCCTCCCACCTCAGTCTCCCAAGTAGCTAAGACTACAGGTGAGCACCACCATGCTTGGCTAATTTTGTATATTGTTTTGCAGAGACGGGGTTTTGCTATGTTGCCCAGGCTGGTCTTGAACCCCTGGGCTCAAGCGATCCTCCCACTTTGGCCTCCCAAAGTGCTGGGATTACATGCGTGAACTACTGTACCTGGCTGCACTTCACTTTTTTTTTTAATTTTTGGGACGGAGTCTCACACTGTCGCCCAGGCTGGAGTGCAGTGGTGCGATCCTGGCTCACTGCAACCTCTGCCTCCCGGGTTCAAGCGATTCTCCTGTCTCAGCCTCCTGAGTAGCTGGGACTACAAGCGCATACCACCAAGCCCGGCTAATTTTTGTATTTTTAGTAGAGACAGGGTTTTGCCATGTTGGCCAGGCTGGCTTCAAACTCCTGACCTCAAGTGATCCACCTGCCTCAGCCTCCCAAAGTGCTGGGATTACAGACATGAGCCATTGCACTCGGCCTGCACTTCATGTTTTAATGCACTCTGCCAAGTTGCTCCCCAAAAGTGCTGTGCACGTTGCACTCCCTTCCAAATGGAACCTTTCTAAGAATGTATTTCAAATATAGGTCATAGCTGCCCAGTGATGCTGCATTCTGGTCATAATAGTGGTTTTGTCCAGAGTGAGAGAGGTGCGGAGGCTTTCTTTATTTTGTTTTATTTTATTTTTTAAAAGATGGGGTCTCTCTCTGTCACTCAGGTTGGAGTGCAGTGGTGCGATCATAGCTCACTGCAGCCTCAAACTCCTGGGCTCAAGTGATCCTCCCATCTCAGCCTCCCAAATAGCTGGGCCTATAGGCATGCACTACCATGCTCAGCTAATTCTTTTGTTGTTGTTGTTGAGACGAAGCCTCGCTCTGTCGCCCAGGCTGGAGTGCAGTGGCACAATCTCGGCTCGCTGCAAGCTCCGCCTCCCAGGTTTGTGCCATTCTCCTGCCTCGGCCTCCCGAGTAGCTGAGACTACAGGCGCCCGCCACCACACCCTGCTAATTTTGTTTTGTATTTTTAATAGAGACGGGGTTTTACCATGTTAGCCAGGATGGTCTCAATCTCCTGTGATCCACCCACCTCGGCCTCCCAAAGTGCTGGGATTACAGGCGTGAGCCACCACACCCGGCCAATTCTTTTTTTTAGAGATGGGATCTCACTATGATGCCCAGGCTGGTCTTTTTTTTTTTTTCTTTTTTTTTGACATGGAGTCTCGCTTTGTTGCCCAGACTGGAGTGCAGTGACATGATCTCGGCTCACTGCAGCCTCTGCTTCCTGGGTTCAATTGATTCTCCTGCCTCAGCTTCCCAACTAGTTGGGACTACAGGCATGAGCCACCATGCCCAGCTAATTTTTGTATTTTTAGTAGAGATGAGGTTTCACCATGTTGGCCAGGCTGGTCTTGAACTCCTGGCCTCAAATGATCCTCCTGCCTCTGCCTCACAAAGCACTGGATTACGGGCATGAGCCACCGTGCCTGGCTTTGCAGAGGCTTTCTTAACCTGTTCCTTGGGTATTGAGTCCCTCTCTGGTTTGCCTGAACTCCAAAGGGGCTGGGAGATCTAGGATATGGTTGATCTGAGAGATGATCTCAGTAAGCATGGGTAGGGGAGAAGGAGAGTGAGGAAGGGAAGGGCAGGTAGCCAATGAAGGGTGTTTATGAGCCAGTTTCCACTGTGGGCAACTCAATTATGCTGGAGAATGCTGAAATCAAATAGAGCACACTCTTCAGAGGGTGCCCACCTAGGGGCGAGGGAGCTGGGATATTTATCCACCAACTCCCATCAGCCATTGCTCAAGGTCTGCTCCAGGAGAGTGTTTGTTCTCCATACTTTCCACCCACTCAGCAGCCAGAGCCACTTCTCGGGAGCTGGTTCTTAGAAGCTGTGGGGTCAGCGTGCCCAGGAGTGCGTGGGGGACATGAGTGGGTGTTGACATTCTGGGGAGGGGGAGACAGAGGATAAAAAGAACAAATAAAGCATAGAGCATGTTCAAAAGGGGCCGGGCGCAGTGGCTCACACCTGTAATCCCAGCAATTTGGGAGGCCAAGACAGGCGGATCACTTGGGATCAGGAGTTTGAGACCAGCCTGGCCAACCTGGTGAAACTCCCTCTCTACTAAAAAAAAATACAAAAATTAGCCAGGTGGTGGTGTGCACCTGTAATCCCAGCTACTCAGGAGGCTGAGGTGGGAGAATCGATTGAATCCGGGAGGCGGAGGTTGCAGTGAGCCGAGATCACGCACCTGCACCCCAGCCTGGGCGACAGAGTAAGACCCTGTCTCAACAAAACAAAACAAAACAAAACAAAACAAAAACAAAAAGGGGTAAGTGTTGGGGACAAAAAGAAAATTAGACCAGCCCAAGATAAGGCGAAGAGGCTGTGGGGGAAGGTTCCTAGCATCCAACTTGGCACCCAGTAGGCGACAATAAATGTTCTGTTGCTTCTCTCTGGTCCATGGGGTGAAGGAGAGAGAGAGAGAGAATGCCCTGGTGTAGTGGGAGCCTGGGCAGGGGAGGAGGAAAGTGGGGAGGGAGCCAGTGTTAATGATGCTGAAAAGTAATCGGCCCTTCTCTCTGGGAGGCGGTGAAACTCTAATTAGAATGAAAATGTAGTTTAATGAGGATGAAAACGGTAATTGTGCCAGGCAGCGCAGTTCAGAAGTGTCGCTTTCCCTTGGGGCACCTTGCTGGCCTCTGAGGCTCTGGGCATGGGTGAGAAGGACTCAGGGCTGGGAAGGCAGGGGATTGTCAGTGCCTCAGTTTCCCCCCAAAGTGTCCTCCCGCTGGCATGGGGTAAAGAGCCTGTGTAGAGCCCCACGTGCCCCTGGGGCTGGTTCCAGGTGCCCAGAGCAACGTTTTTCCATCCCACACTTTATTCCTATTAATAATACAACCATCCGTGGAACCATATCAGTGATGCCATTTATTGAGTGCCTACTATGTGCCAGGTACCATTCTAACCCCTTCACAGATGCTAACTCAGGTAATCCTTAAAATTATCCTCATTTTACAGATGGGAACACTGAGGCACAGATAAACCATTGACCCTGGTAGGGATATTTTAAAGAGCGGGTGAGGGCCGGGCGTGGTGGCTCACACCTGTAATCCCAGCACTTTGGGAGGCTGAGGCGGGCGGACCACTTGAGGTCAGGAGTTCAAGACTAGCCTGAAAAACATGGCAAAACCCCATCTCTACTAAAAATACAAAAATTAGCCGGAGGTAGTGGTGCGTGTTTGTAGTCCCAGCTACTTGGGAGGCTGAGGCAGGAGAATAGCTTGAACTCAGGAGGCGGAGGTTGCAGTGAGCCGAGATGGTGCCACTGTACTCCAGCCTGGATGACAGAGAAGGACTCCGTCTCAAAAAAAAAAAAAAAAAAAAGAGTGGGTGAGGAGAAAGGTGGAATACAGTAGCCAGGTGCCTCCTTCTTTCTTTTTTTTATTTTCTTTTTCTTTTTTCTTTTCTTTTCTTTTCTTTTTTTTTTTTTTTTTTTGAGACAGTCTTGCTTTGTTGCCCAGGCTGGAGTGAAGTGGTGTGATCTCGGCTCACTGCAACCTTCGCCTGCTGAGTTCAAGCGATTCTCGTGCCTCAGCCTCTTGAGTAGCTGGGATTACAGGCATACACGACCACACCGGCTGATTTTTGTATTTTTAGTAGAGATGGGGTTTTGCCATGTTGATCAGGCTGGTCTTGAACTCCTGGCCTCAAGTTCAAGATTTGCCTGCCTCGGCCTCCCAAAGTGCTGGGATTACAGGAGTGAGTCATTGCGCCCAGCTATCCTTTCTTTAACCAGGTGGGTGCTAGGGGCATGAAGGAATTGCCAGCCATCGAGGCCAGGGGATCTTCTCCCTCCTCCTCCCCCTGGCCCAGGATCCTCACTATTTCGGTTCTTCACTTCTTTTTAATGCTCTAATCACGCCTCTCTCTTTAATGCTCTAATCACACCTCTCCACTCGAAGGTGGGCGTGGCTAGACGATTGGTGGGCGTAGCTAGATGAGAGGGCGTGGTTTATGTACAGTGGGCATGGTTTGATACACAGTGGGCGTGGCTAGAAGCGCATTCTGCGTGGCAGAATTTACCAACCCATCTTAACTTGGAGGAATCAGAAACTGGAGCCATAGCAGTAAACTACAGAACCCAGACACAAAGCCGTGGCTTCTGGCCCCAGGGCCTGAGCTTTCTTGCCATGGAAAGCTGAAGGGTTCTTCAAGTGTTCTGGGTAAGACTGAGGTTCATAAGATCTCAAAGTCTCTGCTTTTGTTTCTGGAGGAACCGCCAATAAAATGCAACCTGCAATGAGGCCTAGACAGAAGAGAAATGTTCATTGAGGCCAGTTGGGCAATAAAAGGAGATCTAGCTGGAGTCCCAGATCAGAGGAGATAGCCAGCCTGGGCAACATAGTGAGACCCCATCCCTACAAAAATAATTTTTAAAAATTTATCTGGGCATGGTGGCACACACCTGTGGTCCCAGCTACTCAGGAGGCTGAGGCAGGAGGATGGCTTGAGCCCAGGAGGTTGATGCTGCAGTGATTGCGGTGAGCTATTATGGTGCCACTGCATTCCAGCCTGGGCAACGGAGTGAGGCTCTATCTCAAGAAAAAAAAGGAAAAGAAAAGATCAAGGGAGATTAGATTGTTTGCCACGTATATGGCAGACAAATCATTAAGAGCCTTAATATACAAAAAGCACATATGAATCAATAAGAAAAAAAAGACAAACATCCCAAATGTGAAATTGGCACAGGGCTTGAATAGGGGGTTCACAAAGGAGTGAGAGCTTAACAAACCTCTGTAAAGATGCTCAATCTGACCGTTCAGCTGAAGAATCACTTTTCCTTGTCAAGCTTATGAGTGTGTGTGAAGTTTTGGGAATGCACACTTGAGCACGGTCATGGGAGTTTAAATTGACACAACTTTTTTTTTTTTAATTTTTTGAGACAGGGTCTCACTATGTCACCCATGCTGGAGTGCAGTGGCACAATCACGGCTCACTGCAGCCTCAACCTCCTAGGCTTAAGGAATCCTCCCACCTCAGCCTGCCAAATAGCTGACTACAGGTACAGGTCACCACACCCAGCTAATTTTTTAAAAACTTTTTGTAACATGGGGTCTCACGACTTGCCCAGGCTGGTCTCAAACTCCTGATCTCAAGTGATCCTCCCTCCTCGGCCACCCAAAGTGCTAGGATTACAGATGTCAGCCACCGCACCCGGCCACGATACAACTTTCTTGGGATGGTGTTCTAGATATTAGTATTAAACCTTTAAGCATGTGGATTCTCTGACCCAGCAAATCCACCTCTAGGAATTTATGTCAGGGATATAATCAGTCAAATAGGTGGAGAACTATAAAGAATAGGCTGGGCACGGTGGCTCACGCCTGTAATCCCAGCACTTTGGGAGGCTGAGGCGGGCAGATCACCTGAGGTCAGGAGTTCGAGACCAGGTTGGCCAACATGGTGAAACGCCGTCTCTACTAAAAATACAAAAATCAGCCGGGCGTGGTGGCAGGCGCCTGTAATCCCAGCTACTCGGGAGGCTGAGGCAGGAGAATTGCTTGAACCTGGGAGGCAGAGGTTGCAGTGAGCCGATATTGTACCATTGCACTCCAGCCTGGGGGACAAGAGCAAGACTTCGTCTCAAAAAAAGAAAAGAAAAGAAAAGAATAACTAACACAGGGTGGTTAAGAGCTCTGGAATCAGACAGCCAGGGTTCGAATTCTGGCTTCACCACCTTCAAGCTGTGTGACCTAAGTCATATGGTTTATTGTTACGGTTCCCAGATTTTCTCATCAGTAAAATGGGCCTCTCATGAGGACTCCATGAGGCAAAGTGTGTGAAATGCTTAGCCTTCTGCCAGGCACATAGAGGATGCTTGCTGTTACCATCATTAAGAAAAGCTTTAAAAGAGGCTGGAAACAATGGAGGTACCTGGGCTCTGGGGATTGGCTACATGCATAGTAGAAAATGAAAGTGGGCTGGGCATGGTGGCTCATGCCTGTAATCCCAGCACTTTGGGAGGCCCAGGTGGGAGGATCGCCTGAGCCCAGGAGTTCAAGACTAGCCTGGGCAACATAGCCAGATCCCAACTCTACAAAAACTAAAAAATTAGCCAGGCATGGTGGCACATGTCTGTACTTCCAGCTACTTGGGAGGCTGAGGGGGGAGGATTGCTTGAGCCCAAGGAGGTGGAGGCTGCAGTGAGCGCATATCGCACCACTGCACTCCAACCTGGGTGACAGAATGAGAACCTGTCTCAACAAAGAAAAGGAAATTAAAAGCTGGGTGTGGTGGCTGACACCTGTAATCTCAGCACTTTGGGAGGCTGAGGTGGGCGGATCACTTGAGGTCACGAGTTCGAGACCAGCCTGGCCAACTTGGTGAAACCCTGTCTCTACTAATAATACAAAAATTAGCTGGATGTGTTGGTGGGTGCCTGTAATCCCAGCTACTTGGGAGGTGAGGCAGGAGAATCGCTTGAACCCAGGAGGTGAAAGTTGCAGTGAGCCGAGATCTCGCCACTGCACTCCAGCCTGGGTGATAAGGTGGCTCAGTCTCAAAAAAAAGAAAAGAAAATTCAAGTGCTAAAACTTATATTCATTGACACAGCGTGACCTCTGTGATATATTAATTAAAAAAAAAAGAAAACCAATTTCAAACATCATATATAACCACATCTTTCAAGCACTTTGATCACAAATCAAAGAATTAATTTTTTACATTGCAACGTAGGCCTTCTACCCAGGTTTGGAACTAAAACAAAAGTTTCAGGAAGTCATAGTCATATTTCTACTGTGCAGTGGGTTCTGATATTTTCTAGTCTCTTTTGTTCCATTTTAAAAGGCTGGTCGTTTTTGCAATTACAGTATTTTTCTCTTTAAGGTTCTGGTTAATGTAACCCTGTAACCCAGACTCCCAGTAAAAAGGGTGTCTAGATAGTGACTAAGGAAAGGATGAAGGAAGACAGGGAAAGTGGTATTTCCAATCCACTAGGCTTGAATTTTTTTTTTTTTTTTTTTTTTTTGAGACGGAGTTTCGCTTTTGTAGCCCAGGCTGGAGTGCAATGGCACGATCTTGGCTCACTGCAAGCTCCGCCTCCCAGGTTCAAGCAATTCTCCTGCCTCAGCCTCCCGAGTGGCTGGGATTACAGGCGCCCGCCACCACACCCGGCTAAGAGTGTGTGTGTGTGTGTGTGTGTGTGTGTGTGTGTGTTTAGTAGAGACGGGGTTTCACCATGTTGGCCGGGCTGGTCACAAACTCCTGGGGTTACAGGCGTGAGTCACCGCACCTAGCCTCTTTTTTTTTTTTTTTTTTTTTTTTTGAGACGGAGTCTTGCTCTGTCGCCCAGGTTGGAGTGCAGTGGCGCGATCTCGGCTCACTGCAAGCTCCGCCTCCTGGGTTGACGCCATTCTCCTGCCTCAGCCTCCTGAGTAGCTGGGACTACAGGCGCCCGCCACCACGCCTGGCTAATTTTTTGTATTTTTAGTAGAGACGGGTTTTCACCGTGTTAGCCAGGATGGTCTCAATCTCCTGACCTTGTGATCTGCCGGTCTTGGCCTCCCAAAGTGCTGGGATTACAGGCGTGAGCCACCGCGCCCAGCCTTTTTTTTTTTTTTTTTTTTTTTTTTTTTTTTTTAATATAGTGATGCGGTCTTACCATGTTGTCCAGGCTGTTCTCAAGCTCCTGGGCTCAAGCGATCCTCCTGTCTTGCCATCCCAAAGTGCTGGGTTTGCAGGCCTGAGCAACTGCGCCTGGCAGTGGTAACTCTTGAATGGGGGAAAAGTGGGCACAGACAAGCCCCACGATGGTCCAGCCTCCAAAGCGCAGCCGCCTGGGTCTTCCCCTCCAGCCTCCGGGACAAGGGGAATCTCAGTGGCTGAAACTTCTGGGGATGGAGGAGGAGCGGCATCCGGGGAGGGTGAGCCGAGCCCGGCGTGCGGCTCCGGAGGAGGCTCCGCCCGGCTCGGGTCCCCTCCCAGGGGCTGGGCTGGCGGGAAGGGCCCGGGCTGCCGGGCAGGCAGAAACGGAGCCTGGGAGTCTGCTATCGACCGCCTGGGCGGCGGTAGGGAAGCTTTTAGATCTGCCCGCTCGTCCCGGAGGGGGGCAAGGGCGAGGCTCCCCCTCCCCTAAAGAGCGGAGGCCCGGGGGGTTTCCTGTCACCCCTACAGGCCACCCACCAGCAAGGCTTGCAGGCTAGCCTCCGAACTGAGCCCAAAATCCGGTTGCTGGAATTGGAATTACTTTTCCTGGAACTTTATTGAGAGTTAATTTACATGCGGTGAAGTCCCAAGCCTGCACATATTATTTGCATGCACGACCCCGTGTCCCCACCCCATCAAAGTAAGGAACACTTCCATTCAGACGGCCCAGAAATCAATGTCCCTTCATCCATTCCCCACCCACAGCCACTCCACTGATTTTTTTTTTTTTTTTTTTTTTTTTTTGAGATGGAGTTTTGCTCTTGTTGCCCAGGCTGGAGTGCAATGGCACGATCTGGGCTCACCGCAACCTCTGCCTCCCGGGTTCTAGCGATTCTCCTGCCTCAGCCTCCTGAGTAGTTGGGATTACAGGCATGCACCACCATGCCCAGCTAATTTTTGTATTTTTAGTACAGATGGGGTTTCACCATGCTGGTCAGGCTGGTCTCAAACTCCCAACCTTAGATGATCCGCCCGCCTCGGCCTCCCAAAGCACTGGGATTACAGGTGTGAGCCACCAGGCCCGGCCTGATTTTTCTTTTCTTTTCTTTTTTTTTTTGTTTTTTGTTTTTTGAGACAGAGTCTCGCTCTGTCAGCCAGGCTGGAGTGTAGTGGTGCGATCTCGGCTCACTGCAAGCTCTGCCTCCCAGGTTCACGCCATTCTTCTGCCTCAGCCTCCCGACAAGCTGGGACTACAGGCGCCGGCCACCACGTCCGGCTAATTGTTTTTTGTATTATTTAGTAGAGACGGGGTTTCATCATGTTAGCCAGGATGGTCTCGATCTCCTGACCTCGTGATCCGCCTGCCTCGGCCTCCCAAAGTGCTGGGATTACAGGCGTGAGCCACCGTGCCCGGCCTCTTTTCTTTTCTTTTTAGAAACAGGGTCTTGCTCTGTTGCCCAGGCTGGAGTGCAGTGGTGCAACCATAGCTCACCGAAGCCTCTACCTCCTAGGCTCAAGCAATTCTCCTGTCTCAGCCTCTGAGTAGCTGGAACTACAGGCCCTCACCACCAAGCCCAGCTAATTTTTGTATTTTTTGTAGAGACAGACAGGGTCTTGCTGTTATCCAGGCTGATGTTGAATTCCTGGCCTCAAGCGATCCTCCTGTCTCAGCCTCCCAAAGTGCTGAGATTACAGGTGTGAGCCATAGGGTGGGGCCCACTATCCTGAATTCTTTTTGTGTGTGTGACAGTTTCACTCTGTTGCCCAGGCTGGAGTGCAGTGGCACGATCTCAGCTCACTGCACCCTCCACTTCCCAGGGTCAAGCGATTCTCATGTCTCAGTCTCCAAAGTAGCTGAAATTACAGGCACACGCCACCACACCCCGCTGATTTTTGTATTTTTTGTAAAGATGGGGTTTTGACATGTTGGCCAAGCTGGTCTTAAAGTCCTGGCCTCAAGTGATCTGCCCACCTCGGCCTCCCAAAGTGCTGGGATTATAGGCGTGAGTCACTGCACCTGGCTACTATTCTGATTTCTATCACCTTAGATTAGTTGAGCCTTTTGCAAAATTTCAGATAAATAAAATCACACAGTGTGGTCTCTCTTCCACTCAGCATCATGCATTCTGAGATTTATCAACATTGTGTGAATCAGTAGTTTGTTCCTTTTTGTTGCTAAGAATTACTACATCCTATGGATGGGCCTTAATTTATATTCTCCTGTCTGTAGATATTTTGATTGTTTCCAGTTTTTCAGCAATAATTGAACAAATCTGCTATGAACATTTGCCAACAAGTCTTTATATGGATATATTCTTTCTTTTCTCTTGGGTAAATGTATAGCAATGGAATTGCTGGGATGAATGGTAAGTCTAACTTTATTTTTTAAAATTAATTATTTTATATATTTTTTGAGATGGAGTCTCACTCTGTCACCCAGGCTGGCCTGCAGTGGCATGATCTTGGCTCACTGCAACCCCCACTTCCCTGGTTCAAGCGATTCCCCTGCCTCAGCCTCATGAGTAGCTGGAATTACAGGTGCCCACCACCACACCCGGCTAATTTCTTTTGTATATTTAGTAGAGACGAGGTTTCACCATGTTGGCCAGATTGGTCTCGAACTCCTGACCTCAGGCAATCTGCCTGCCTTGGCCTCCCAATGTAACTTTATTTTAAAAACTGTTTCCCGGCTAGGCGCGGTGGCTCACGCCTGTAATCCCAGCACTTTGGGAGGCTGAGGCAGGCAGATCATGAGGTCAGGAGATCTAGACCATCTTGGCTAACATGGTGAAACCCCGTCTCTGCTAAAAATACAAAAAATTAGCTGGGCGTGGTGGTTCGTGCCTGTAGTCCCAGCTACTCCAGAGGCTGAGGCAAGAGAATCGCTTGAACCTGGGAAGCGGAGGTGGCAGTGAGCGGATATTGTGCTACTGCACTCCAGCCTGGGCAACAGAGCAAGATTCCGTCTTAAAAATAAATAAATAAAAATAAAAATTGTTTTCCAAAGTGGTTGTGCCATTTCACATGCAAACCAGCAGCAGATGAGCAAGCTATTCTGCCTCAGCCTCCCGAGTAGCTGGGATTACAGACATGCGCCACCACGCCCGGCTAATTTTTTGTATTTTTAGTAGAGACAGGGTTTCACCATCTTGGCCAGGATGGTCTTGCTCTTTTGACCTCGTGATCTGCCCGCCTCGGTCTCCCAAAGTGCTGGGATTACAGGCATGAGCCACCGCACCTGGCCTTTTTTTTTTTTTTTTTTTTTTTTGAGATGGAGTCTCTTTGTCGCCCAGGCTGGAGTGCAGTGGTGGTGATCTCGGTTCATTACAACCTCCACCTCTCAGGTTTACATGAGTCTCCTGCCTCAGCCTCCTGAGTAGCTGGGATGACAGGAGTGTGCCACCATGCTGGGCTAATTTTTGTATTTTTAGTAGATACGGGGTTTTACCACATTGGCCAGGCTGGTCTCGAACTCCTGACCTCACGTGATCCACCCGCCTCAGCTGGGATTACAGGTGTGTTAATTTTTTATTTTTGTAAAGATGGGGTCTCACTATGTTTCCCAAGCTGGTCTCCAACTCCTGGCCTCAAGCCATCCTCCCACCTCGGTGCTGAGATTACAAGCGTGAGCCACTGTGCCCTGCTCACCCAACTTTTAGAATAATGAGCTTTCAGTGGGGTGTGGCGGCTCACACCTGTAATCCCAGCACTTTGGCAGGCCGAGACAGGTGGATGACCTGACGTCAGGAGTTCGAGACCAGCCTGGCCAACATGGTGAAACCCCGTCTCTATTAAAAATGCAAAAATTAGCTGGGTGTGGTGGTGCACCCCTGTCATCCCAGCTACTTGGAGGCTGACGTGGGAGAAATGCTTGTACCTGGGAGGCGGAGGTTGTAGTGAGCCAAGATCGTGCCACTGTACTCCAGCCTGGGTGACAGAGCGATACCCCATCTCAAAAAAAAAAAGAGATTTCTTAAATCAAATACCAGATACCATATTACTTCAGTAGGTATCGTAGGAATCTTAAATCAGATGACATCATGTGTTGGCTTGAAATTGCACTGTGGTTTCTCATGGTTCTTAGAAAAAATTCAGAAAGTTACTTCTCATAGGGTCCCCAGGACCACTGCTGGCCTCTCTGTCTTCATGTTCTAACTCTCCCGCCCCCAAATTCCTGCTCCAGCCACACTGCACTCCCTCTTGTCCTGACCACATGGCTTCGCTTGTTCCTGCTTCAAGGCTTTTGCACTTGCCGTTCCTTCTGCCTGGAATGCTGTTCCCCCTGATGGTTGCTGTGGGAGGCAGTATCTAAGACAGCCTCCAAGGGTCCCTGCCTCCTGGCCTTCAGGCCTTTGTCTAATCCCCTCCCCTTGAGTGTGGGCTGGATCTAGCAACTCATTTCTTTTTTTTCTTTTTTTGAGACAGAGTCTCACTCTGTCACCCAGGCTGGAGTGCAGCGGCGTGATCTCAGCTCACTGCAACCTCAGCCTCCCGGGTTCAAGTGATTCTCCTGCCTCAGCCTCCCGAGTAGCTGAGACTACAGGCTTGAGCCACCACGCTCAGCTAATATTTGTATTTTTAGTAGAAATGAAGTTTCACTAGGTTGGCCAGGCTGGTCTCCAACTCCTGACCTCAGGTGATCCACCCATCTCGGTCTCCCAAAGGGCTGGGATTACAGGCATGAGCCATCGCGCCCAGCCGAGGGGCTCCTTTCTAACCAAAGAACATGGCAAAAATGATGGATGTCACTTCTAAGATTAGGTTATAAAAGACCGTGATGTCTGGGCCGGGCATGGTGGCTCATGCCTGTAATGCCAGCACTTTGGGAGGCTGAGGCAGGCAGATCGCTTGAGGTCAGGAGTTCGAGACCAGCCTGGCCAACATGGTGAAACCCCGTCTGTACTAAAAACACAAAAATTAGCCGGGTGTGTTGGTGCCTGTAGTCCCACCTACTGGGGAGGCTCAGGCATGAGAATCGCTTGAACCCAGAAGGCAGAGGATGCAGTGGGCTGAGATCGCGCCACTGCACTCCAGCCTGGGCAACAGAGTGAGACTCCATCTCAAACAAAACAAAACAAAACCATGATGTCTGTCCTGCTGAATTCCCTCCTTCTTGTCAGCACTCTGTCTTGCCCACTGGCTGGCTTGCTCTGATGAAGTCAGTGCCCATGTTCTCAGATGCTCTTTGGAGAGACCCACGTGTCAAGGAACTGAGACTAGCCTTCAGCCAACAGCCAGTGGGGAACTGAATTCTGACAACAGCCACATGTGTGAGCTTGGAAGTGGGTCCTTCCCAGTTGAACCTTGGGAAGGCTATAGCCCAGCAGATGCCTTGACTACAGACTTGTGAGTGGCCCTAAGCCACATCCAGATTTCTGACCCACAGACACTGTGAGATAATCCATGTTGCTGAGATTTTGGGGGTGGGGCAATTTGTTAGGCAGCCATAACTGACTAATACAACTCCCTCACCTCCTTCAACTCTTTGCTCAAGAGTCACCTTCAGGCCAGGCGCAGTGACTCATGCCCGTAATCCCAGCACTTTGGGTGGCCGAGGCAGGCAGATCGCTCGAGGTCAGGAGTTCAAGACCAGCCTGGCCAACGTGGTGAAACCCTGTCTCTACTAAAAATACAAAAGATTATCCAGGCATGGAGGCGCGTGCCTGTAGTCCCAGCTACTCAGGAGGCTGATGCAGGAGAATCGCTTGAACACAGGAGGCAGAGGCTGCAGTGAGCTGAGATTGGGCCACTGCATTCCAGCCTGGGCAACAGAGCGAGACTGTCTCAAAAAAAAAAAAAAAAAAAAAAAAAGGAGTCACCTTCCCAGTGAGGCCTTCCCTGGACACCCAATTAAAATTGCAACCCCGATCCTCAGCACTTCCTGTTTGTCTCCCTTGCTTTTTTTTTTTTTTTTTTTTTCCTTTTTTGAGATGGAGTCTTACTCTGTTGCCCAGGCTGGAGTGCAATGGTGCAATCTCAGCTCACTGTAGCCTCTGCCTCCCAGGTTCAAGCAATTCTCCTGCCTCAGCCTCCCAGGTAGCTAGGACTACAGGTGCATGCCACCACGCCTGGCTAATTTTTTTTGTATTTTTAGTAGAGACAGAGTTTCACCATGTTGACCAGGATGGTCTCAATCTCTTGACCTTGTGATCTGCCCGCCTCGGCCTCCCAAAGTGCTGGGATTACAAGCATGAGCCACTGGGCCCAGCCTATTTTTTTCTTTACTTTATTTTCCTTGTTGAACCTACCACTTATTTTATTTAACTAACTCATTGTCGCCTTCCCCCACTGGAATGTTGTCTCTGTGAGGACAAGGGACTTTGTCTGTTTTGTTTACTGAATTTAATGAATTAATTTTAATTTTTATTTTTTGAGTTGGGGTCTTGCTCTGCTGCCCAAGCTGGACTGCAGTGACACAATCATAGCTCACTGCAGCCTTGATCTCCTGAGCTCGAGCAGTCCTCCCACCTTGGCCTCCCAAAGTGCTGAGATTACAGATGTGAGCCACTGTGCCTAGCTTAAAGGGCAATTTCTATTTTATTGATTGATTGATTGATTGATTGAGACAGGGTCTCATTTTGTCGCCCATGCTGCAGTACAATGGTGTGATCATAGTTCACTGCAGCCTCAACCTCCTGGGTTCAAGCCATCCTCCAGTCTCAAACTCACATAATCAGCTGGGGCAACAGACATCTGCCAACACACCTGGCTAAATTTTTACATTTTTTTTTTCTTTAGACAGAGTCTTGCTCTGTTGCCCAGGCTGGAGTGCAGTGGCCAGTGACGCAATCTCGGCTCCCTGCAAGCTCCGCCTCTCGGGTTCACACCATTCTTCTGCCTCAGCCTCCTGACAAGCTGGGACTATAGGCACCTGTCACCACGCCCAGCTAATTTTTTTGTATTTTTAGTACAGACAGGGTTTCACTGTGTTAGCCAGGATGGTCTCGATATCCTGACCTCGTGATCTGCCTGCCTCAGCCTCCCAAAGTGCTGGGATTACAGGCGTGAGCCACCGCGCCCAGCGATTTTTAAATTTTTTGTAGAGACGAGTTCTCACTATGTTACCCAGGCTGGTCTTGAACTCCTGGCCTCAAGCAACCCTACTGCCTTGGCCTCCCAAAGTGTTGAGACTACAGGCATGAGCCACCATGTCTGAACTGTTTACTGGATTTTGTTTTTTTTTTGAGACGGGGTCTCGTTGTGATGCCCAGGCTGGAGTGCAGTGGCGTGATCTCGGCTCACTGCAACCTCCACCTTCTGGGTTCAATCAATTCTCCTGCCCCAGCCTCCTGAGTAGCTGGGACTACAGAAGCGCACTGCCATGCTCAGCTAATTTTGGAGACGGGGGTTTCACCATGTTGCCCAGGCTGGTCTCGAACTCCTGACCTCAAGTGATCTGCCCGCTTCTGCCTCCCAAAGTGCTGGGATTACAGGTTTGAGCCACCTTGCTCAGCAGTTTTTTTTTTTTAACATGGAGTCTCACTCTGGCTGGAGTGCAGTGGTGCGATCTCGGCTCACTGCAGACTCTGCCTCCCGGGTTCAAGTGATTCTCCTGCCTCAGTCTTCCAAGTAGCTGGGATTACAGGTGTGCACCACCACATCTGGCTAATTTTTCTATTTTTATTAGAGATGGGGTTTCCTTTTGTTGGCCAGGCTGGTCTTGAACTCCTGAACTCAAGTGATCTGCCCGCCTTGCCTCCCAAAGTGCCCAGATTATAGGTGTGAGTCACCGTGCCTGGACTGCTGGATTTAATTTAAATATACACCTACCATGCTCTCCTGTCTCCCTGGGGTGTGGGGCTCCATCACAAGCTTCTGGTTTTGCAGCCAGACTTTGCAACTTGGGGTCCTAGTTGTCCTCCTCTCATTTGAGCTGAACTGTCTGCATACAATTCCTTCCCCTCCCTGCCCCCCTCAAATTGCCATGGCTTTCACATCTTCCCAGGATCTCAGGAATTTTTTCAAGGACAGGAAATCCTCCTCCTGACCAAATATAGAACCAGAAAGCAGTCACCCATGTCTGCTCAGCTTGGACTTGGAGAGGTGGAGAACTGGGCTGGTGCACCACCCGCTGGGGCTTTCTTGTTCCTTATGCAGCTGCCTCTGGACAACCTTGATGGGCAGGGGGGCTGGGAACCCATGTCATGGGGGTGGGGGATGATCTTCAGCTCTGGAACACTGTCCTGCATCAATTACACCTTTGGGGGGCTTCTGACATCCATCCCAAACACCCCATCCATACATATACTAGCCACTGCATGCAGCCCAGCAGACCCCCACTCCAGTCCTCCTGTCGTTGAACTACAAAGTAATGAGGGGATCCAGCCACTATTCATGAAAGGTCTGTGAGTCTATATGTAACTGGGGAGCTTGCAGGCTGGCTGTGTGCTGAATGTTTTTCATTTGTCCCATTATGGACTGAATTGTGCCCCTCCAAATTAAAATGGTGAGGTCCTAACCCCCAATGTGACTATATTTGGACATAGGGCCTTTAAAGAGGTAATGAAAGTTACATGGGGTCATCAGGGTGAGGCCTTAATCCAATAAAACTGGTGTCCTTATAAGGAAAGGAAGAGATGCCAGAGATCTCTCTCTCTCTTCAAGCACACAGAGGAAAGGCCATGTGAGGACACAGCAAGAAGGCGGCCATCTGCAAGCCAAGAAGAGAGTCCTCACCAGGAACCAACTCTGCTGACACCTTGCTGTTGGACTTCCAGCCTCTATAAATGTGAGAAGGAAATTTCTGTTGTTTAAGCCACTCAGTCTATGGTATTTTCTTTGTTGTTGTCATTTTTGAGACAAAGTCTTGCTCTCTTGCCCAGACTGGAGTGCAGTGGCATGATCTCGGCTCACTACAACCTCCACGTCCTGGGTTCAAGCAATTCTCCTGCCTCAGCCTCCCAGGTAGCTGGGATTACAGGTGCCCAACACCATGCCCGGCTAATTTTTGTATTTTTAGCAGAGACGGGGTTTCACCATGTTGGCCATGCTGGTCTCGAACTCCTGACCTCAGGTGATCCACCTGCCTCGGCCTCCCAAAGTGCTAGGATTACAGGTGTGAGCTACTGCGCCCAGCCAATTTATCGTATTTTCTTATGGCAGCCTGTGATGTTTATTCTGCGTTATCAACTTAACTAAGGGGTACCCAGAGACCTGGTGAAACATGATTTCTGCCTGTGTCTGTGAGGCTTTCTGGAAGAGATTAGTGTTTGAATTAGTAGACTGAGGAAAGAAGATCCACCCTCCCTAATGTAGGTGGGCATCATCCAATCCATTGAGGACATGGCTAGAACCAAAAGGCAGAGGAAGGTTAAATTCATTCTCTCTGCTCCAGCTGGGACATCCGTTTTCTTCTGTCCTCAGATACTGGCAATCCTGGTTCTCAGGCCTTTGGTCTCGGACCCGGGACTTACCCCATCTGCTCTCCTGGTGTGCAGGCCTTTGAGTTTGGGCTGGAATCACACCACCAGCTTTCCTGAGTCTCCAGCTTGCAGATGGCAGATTGTAGGACTTCTCAGCCTCCATAAGTACATGAGTCAATCTCTCATAATAGATCTCCTTCTCTGTATCTATATATATCCTATTGGTTCTGTTTCTCTGGCGAGCCTTGACTAATACACAGTCCAAGCTGACGAAGACGTGCCCCTTGCATCAGTTCAGGTCCTCTGAGAAGCTGATGCTGAGATGGAGTTGAAAGTACAAGAGATTCGGCCAGGCACCGTGGCTCACGCCTGTAATCCCAGCACTTTGGGAGGCTGAGGCGGGCAGATCACGAGGTCAGGAGATCGAGACCATCCTGGCTAACACGGTGAAACCCCATCTCTACTAAAAATACAAAAAAATTAGCCGGGCGTGGTGGCGGACGCCTGTAGTCCCAGCTACTCGGGAGGCTGAGGCAGGAGAATGGCGTGAACCCAGGAGGTGGAGCTTGCAGTGAGCCAAGATCGCGCCGCTGCACTCCAGCCTGGGCGACACAGCAAGACTCCGTCTCAAAAAAAAAAAAAAAAAAAAGAAAGTACAAGAGATTCACGGGGGAGACACCCGTGAGTGACAGAGGGGCAGTGGGGCAGGAGCTGATCGGGACAGCCTTCAGACAGTGATGGAAGTCTGAAGTCTTTGCATGCAGAGGGGAATAAGGAAAACTGAGCGGTGTATCTTTGGGATATGGGCCACTCTTCATCTTCTTCCGCCCTGTTCCATGCCTAGGAGGCTGATATGTAAGAACCCATTGCCAGGCACAGTGCCTCACGCCTGTAATCCCAGCACTTTGAGAGGCTGAGGCAGGTGGATCACTTGAGGTCAGGAGTTTGAGACCAGCCTGGCCAACATGGAGAAATCCCAGCTCTACTAAAAATACAAAAATTAGCCGGGCGTGGTGGCACATGCCTGTAATCCTAGTTACTCGGGAGGCTGAGGCAGGAGAATGACTTGAACCCTGGGGGCAGAGGTTGCAGTGAGCTGAGATCGCACCACTTCACTCCAACCTAGGTGACAGAGTAAAACTCTGTCTCAAACAAACAAACAACAACAACAACAAAACCTGAAAATTAGCCAGGAGTGGTGGCCCATGCCTGTAATCCCAGCTACTCTGGAGGCTGAGGCAGAAGAATGGCTTGAACCCAGGAGGCGGAGGTTGCGGTGAGCCGAGATGATGCCATTGCACTCCAGCTTGGGAGACAGAGTGAGACTCTGTCTCAAAAGCAAACAAACAAACAAAGAACCCATTAATAGCTCCCTTGTCCTCTGGCTTCAGTTAGGTTCAGCCAATAGAAAGCCTCAAAAGAAGGTTAGAAGGCAGAGGAGAGAGGTGGGGAGCATTGACTCTCCGCTTCCTCCCTGTGTGGTTGCCTGCGTCCCTGCAGTCTGGAGACATTTAGGGTTGTTGCGACTTGGGATCCTGCTAAACATCCACCAATGCACAGGACAGGACCCCCCAACAAAGAATGGCCCAGCCCCAAATGTCAGCAGTGCTCAGGTCAAGAAACTCCAGCCTGGGCAACATAGCAAGACTCTGTCTCTAAAAAAAAAAAAAAAAAAAAAAATTAGCCAGGCCTGGTGGCGTGCATCTGTAGTCCTAGCTACTCCAGAGGCTGAAGTGGGAAGATAGCATGAGCCCAGGAGTTTGGGGCTGCAGTGAGCTCTGATTGCACCATTGCACTCCAGCCTGGGTGATAGAGCAAGACCGAAAGAAGAAAGAAAGAAAGGAGAGAGAGACAGAGAGAAAGAAAGAAAAATAGAAAGAAAGAAGGAAAGAAAAAAGAAAGAAAGAAAGAGAGAAAGAAAGAAAGAAAGAAAGAAAGAGAAAGAAAAAAAAGAGAGAAATAAAGGAAGGAGGGAAGGAGGAGAGGAAAGGAAGGAAGGAAGGAGAGAGGAAGGGTCAGGTTTGGTGGCTCACAACTGTAATCACAGCCCTTTGGGATGCCAAGACGAGTGGATCACCTGAGGTCAGGAGTTCAAGATCAGCCTGGCTAACATGGTGAAATCCCGTCTCTGCTAAAAATACAAAAATTAACCAGGTGTGGTGGTACATGCCTGTAATCCCAGCTACTCGGGAGGCTGAGGTAGGAGAACCACTTGAACCCGGGACGCAGAGGTTGCAGTGAGCTGAGATCATGCCACTGCACTCCAGCCTGGGTGACAGAGCGAGACTCTGTTTAAAAAAAAAAAAGAGAGAGCAAAAGAGAGAAAGGAAAAGAGAGGAAAGAAACCCCTGCTCTAGAGGTACAGGAACCAAATACTCCCTTCCTGAAGCCTCACAACACTGTATTAGAGGCAGGCACTAATATATACCCATTTCACAGAAGGGAAAACTGAGGCTCCAGGAGGGAAAGTGACAGGGCCAAGCTCAGACAGCTGAGCTGGGTGCTCACACTGCTCTTGAGCACACAAGACTTAGTGTTTGATAGATCAGTAGGGTGACTACAGTAAACAGTAATCCATTATACATTTCAAAATAGCTAGGAGAGGCCAGACATGGTGGCTCATGCCTGTAATCCCAGCGCTTTGGGAGGCAAAGGCAGTCGGATCACCTGAGGTCAGGAGTTCGAGACCAGCCTGGCCAACATGGTGAAACCCTGTCTCTACTAAAAATACAAAAATTAGCCAGGCGTGGTGATGCTTGCCTGTAATCCCAACTACTCGGGAGGCTGAGGCAGGAGAATGGCTGGAACCCGGGAGGTGGAGGTTGCAGTGAGCTGAGATCGCACCATTGCACTCCAGACTGGGCAGCAAGAGCAAAGCTCTGTCTCGAAAAAAAAAAAAAAAAAAAAGGTAGGAGAGCTATTTTGAGCATTCCTAGCATAAAGAAAAGATAAACCTTTAAGATGATGGATACTGCAATTACCCTGATTTGATCTCTACACATGATATGAATGTATCAAAATATCACGTACCCTGAAAATATGTACCTCTATTATGAATCAGTTTTAAAAATCCATAAAAGCCGGGTGTGGTAGTGTATGCCTGTAGTCTCAGCTACTTGAGAGGGTGAGGTGGGAGGATCGTTTGTGCCAGGAGGTTGAGACCAGCCTGGGTAACAATGCAAGACCCTTTCTCTACAAAAACTAAAAAACTTAGCCGGCTATGGTGGAGCGTGCCAGTAGTCTCAGTTACTCCAGAGTCTAAGGCGGGAGGATCCCTTGAGTCCAGGAGTGTGAGGCTGGAGTGTGCTATGATCACACTACTACACTCCAACCTGGGTGACAGCAAGACCCCGTCCCTAAAAAAAAAAAAGAAAAAGGAAAAAAAAAAAAGGCAACTGAGCATGGTGGCTCACACCTGTAATCCCAGCACTTTGGGAGGCCAAGACAGGCGGATCACCTGAGATCAGGAGTTCGAGACCAGCCTGGCCAACATGGTGAAACCCCATTCGTACTAAAAATGCAAAAATTAGCCAGGTGTGGTGGCGCGCGCCTGTAATCCCAGCTACTCGGGAGGCTGAGGCAGGAGAATCACTTGAACCTGGGAGGCGGAGGTTGCAGTGAGCCGAGATCGCATCACTGCACTGCAGCTTTGGCAACAAGAGCAAAACTCTGTCTCAAAAAAAAAGAGGCAGCAAAGATAGCAGTGGGTAGGGGTCCCCATGTCGCCACTTGGACAAACTCTTGGTTTCCCAGCAGGGGCCCTGGATGGGGTCTATGCAGAATGGGTGGGGACAGCTCAGTTATCAGTATCTGATGGAAGAGCATCCCCAGCAGAGGTCCCAGGGAGTAGAATGGCCCCAGGATGGAAGGAAGACAGGGAGACTGGCTTCACCCTCTTACTTGTCTTCCCTTCCTCCTAATCCCAAACTGGAGAAAGGGTCAACTCCAGGCCAGGAGATTCCACCCCACGGTATACTTGAGCTGGGTCAAAGTGGCTCACAAGAGTCATTTCATTATGCAATCTCTTCCTAAGTTGGGATTCAGTGGCATCACACTCATAGCTTGAATTCAGCCAAGGGGGAAGAATTTACACCATGGAAATTGGCAAACACTACAAATTGGGTCTCCTCTCTGCAGCTGGCTTACCGGCTCATCATTGATTACACCCATCTGGACACCACCTCACAATCCCCTTGCCCCCTCAAACTTCCCCCACCCTGTCAAGGAAATCTTACATTCACAGCTTGAAGTCAGCCAAGGTGGCAGAATTTACACCGCTGGAATTGGCAAACACTACAAATCCTCTTCTCTCCCCACAACAGGTTCACAAGCACACCACTGTTTACACCCATCTAGAAGGCCCCTCCCAGCTGACATCTTTCTGCCTACCTTTCAGGAAGACAGACGAAACTCTCTGCCTTCAGGTGGGGCAAGGTAGGTGGCCAGTCTGATGAGAGAGGCGGATGACAAACATCATGACAGAGGGTGATGAAGAAATCTCAAACAGAAAACTATAGCAGAAGCTGGGCACAGTGGCTGACACCCGTAATCCCAGCACTTTGGGAGGCCGAGGCAGGAGGATCGCTTGAGCCCAGGAGTTTGAGACCAGCCTGGGCAACATAGGGAGACCCCATCTCTACAAAAATTAAAAGATTAGCTGAGCGTGGTGGTGCACACTTGTAGTCCCAGCTACTTGGGAGGCTGAGGCAGGAGGATGGATTGAGACCAGGAGTTGGAGGCTGCAGTGAACTATGATTGCACCACTGCACTCCAGCCTGGGCAGCAGAGTGAGATCCTGTCTCTAAAATCAAAGAAATAAAGAAAACAGCCAGGCACGGTGGCTCACACCTGTAATCCCAGCATTTTGGGAGGCCGAGACTGGCAGATCACCTGAGGTCGGGAGTTCAAGACCAGACTTACCAACATGGAGAAACCCTGACTCTACTAAAAATACAAAATTAGCCGGGTGTGGTGGCGTGTGCCTGTAATCCCAGCTACTCTGGGGGCTGAGGCAGGAGAATCGCTTGAACCCAGGAGGCAAAGGTTGAGGTGAGCCAAGATTGCGCCATTGCACTTCAGCCTGGGGAAGAAGAGTGAAACTCTGTCTCAAAAATAAATAAATAAATAAATAGAAAACAACAGCAGGGAGAGGGTAGGGGGAAAAGCAAGAGACAGGGGCTGCCATTTCAGATTGAGGGGCAGGGAAAACCCCTCTCCCCGCATTGTGCAGACCCCAGTATCTTCCTGCCCCCTTCCTGCCCCCATTCACCACATTATTGCATGTCCCGATCTTGTTTTTCATCCCTTCCCTCCCCTCCTATCCCCCTGAGTCCTTCCAGAGGCTCTTGCTCAGCTGCTCCTAAGGTCTGTCCTGCTCCCTGGAATTTTTGTCATGCAGAAATTTCTCAGCCCGGAGCTCATTTCTGCCCACTTAACTCATCTTTCACCTGAAATTGGCTTTGCTGCCTGCTCCGGGAGTGTCTTTGCTGCTGTTGGAACGATGCACATGGGTAGTGACTCGAAGGTCACCCTGTCCTTTCGGGAGCCCCGTGGTCACTGCCTGCTCTCCGTCCACCTCACCGTAACACCACGGCCACTGGGGGGCCTCCTTCGGCTGGTGCCTGCTCAACGGGGAACCCCCAACCCCAGCCAGGGCTTATCCACTGCGAAGGAAGGTGGGGTCTAGCTGACTCCAAGTGGGTGGGGAGGGCACCCAATACATATCCTGTGGTCCAGCCTGCTTTGCTCTGCCTCAGTTTCCCCATCTGCTCATCTCAGCAACTCCCAGGGGAGCCTCTGGGGAAGAATTTCCAGACATACAAGAATGAGGCAGAGGCCGGGTGCAGTGGCTCACGCCTGTAATCCCAGCACTTTGGGAGGCCGAGGCGGGCAGATCACCTGAGGTCAGGGGTTCAAGACCAGCCTGGCCAACATGGTGAAACCCTGACTCCACTAAAAATACAAAAATTAGCCAGGTGTGGTGGCACGCGCCTGTAATCCCAGCTACTTGGGAGACTGAGGCAGGAGAATTGCTTGAACCCGGGAGGTGGAGGTTGTGGTGAGTGGAGATTGTGCCACTGCACTCCAGCCTGGGCAATAAGAGCGAAACTCTGTCTCAAAAATAATAATAATGAAGCAGAACTCATCCTCATACCACAGCCCAAATGGGTCTAGGAGATCAGGAAATTCTAAATCTTTCTCAGATCAACACCCCAGTTAGCCTGGGCCCATGAATATTGACGATTCCTGCTGAACTTGGATAGAGACCACTTCCATTCTCCCTGTGGCTGGGAACACACTTGCCCAAATATATATATATATATATGTGTGTGTGTATATATATATATGTGTATATATATATATATATGTATATATATGTGTGTGTATATATGTGTATGTATACACATATATATGTATATATGTATATGTGTGTATATGTATATGTATATATGTATATGTGTATATATGTATATGTCTATATATGTATATGTCTATATATGTATATATGTATATATTTATGTTTTTATATATATGTATGGTGTGTGTGTGTGTGTGTGTGTGTGTATATATATATATATATATATATATATATATATTTTTTTTTTTTTTTTTTTTTTCCCCAGAGACAGGGTCTTGCTGTATCACCCAGGCTGGAGTGCAGAGGCACAATCTAAGCTCACTACAGCCTCAAACTCCAGGGTTCAAGCCATCCTCCTACCTCAGCCTCCAGAGTAGCTGGGACTACAGGCACACGCTACCACGCCAGGCTAATTTTTAAATTTTTTTGTAGAGATAGGGTCTTGCTATCTTTCTCAGGCTGATCTCCAACTTCTGGCCTCAAGCGATCCTCCTGCCTCAGCCTCCCAAAGTGCTGGGATTATAGGCATGAGCCACTGTGCCTGCCATCCCCCTTCCCCAAATCTTACAGACACCCAGCTACCTTTGCAGGGGGGCCTCTCCCCTGCTGTGGCTTTGCCCCGCAACACCCACCCCAGCCAATCCTCACCCACCTAGACTCCCACCATCAAAGCCAGCAGGCATGGCTCCTGTTTATAGATTGGTGTCAGGGGGTGGGAGAGAGGTTGGCAAGTTTTAAAAGCTCATTAAGGCCTGAATTCTTTTTATAGATGGAGTTTTCTGCGTCTTTTACTCCACACCCCCTCCAACCCTCCCCGAATTCTGAACGCCGTATTTATTTGAGTTAGAAAAATAATGAGGTCCCTGAGGTCGTACACAACACATCGGCTCTCTAATCAAAGTATGGCTGTGGAATTAAAAATATATGGGAAGCTGTGTTTGTGCGCGTGCCGCCGGCCGTGGACGCGGAACACACTCGCCCGTCACCACCCAGACCCCACCAGATGGGCTCCGGGGCAGAGATATAATTAGCTCTTTTCCAGCAAAGTCTCTGGGTGGAGAATGGGATTGAATTGCTCATGGTCCTCGCCAGTGGGGACTCGGGGAAGGAGTGCCGTCCACTAGAGCGGACTTAGGTGCTGGATCCCACCAGACGTGGATGTGGTTATGGGTGGGGCCTCAGGGAACAGGGGTCCCAGGTGTAGAGGCCAGGTTAGGTGTAGAGGGCAAGGAGACTATCAGAGAGGAAGTCCCCTGGGGTGCACCCAGCCTGAGAGGCCCAGACTCCACTGTTTTTGGGTTTTAATTTAATTTAATTTTTTTTTTTTTTTGAGACAGAGTCTTGCTCTTGTCACCCAGGCTGGAGTGCAGTGGCTCGATCTTGGCTCACTGCAACCTCTGCCTCCCAGGTTCAAGCCAATTCTCCTGCCTCAGCCTCCTGAGTAGGTGCGATTACAGGTGCCCGCCACCATGCCTGGCTAATTTTTGTACTTTTAGTAGAGACGAGTTTTCACCATGTTGGCCAGGCTGGTCTCTAACACCTGACCTCAGGCAATCTGCTCACCTCAGCCTCCCAAAGTGCTGGGATTACAGGCGTGAGCCACTGCGCCTGGCAAATTTAATTTAATTTATTTTGGGACAGAGTTTCTCTCTGTCACCCAGGCTGGAGTGCAGTGGCGCGATCTTAGTTCATTGTAGCCTGCAACTCCTGAGTTTAAACAATCCTCCCGCTTTAGCCTCCCAAGTAGGTGGGACTACGGTTATGCCAACATGCCCAGCTGGTTTTCTTTGTTATTTTTATTTTATTTTGTTTTCAGAGATGGAGTCTCACTCTGTCACCCAGTTGGAGTGCAGTGGTGCAATCTTGGCTCACTGCAACCTCTATCTCCTGAGTTCAAGCAATTCTTTTTTTTTTTTCTGAGACAGAGTTTTGCTCATATTGCCCAGGCTGGAGTGCAGTGGTGCGAACTCGGCTCACTGCAACCTCAGCCTCCCGGGTTCAAGCAATTCTCCTGCCTCAGCCTCCCAAGTAGCTGGAATTACAGGCATGCGCCTCCATGCCCGACTAATTTTGTATTTTTGGTAGAGACGGGGTTTCACCATGTTGGTCAGGCTGTGCTCGAACTCCTGATCTCAGGTAATCCGCCCACCTCGGCCTCCTGAAGTGCTGGGATTACAGGTGTGAGCCATCACGCCCAGCTGGGTTCAAGCAACTCTCCTGCCTCAGCCTCTTGAGTAGCTGGGATTACAGGTGTGCACCACCACGCCCAGCTAATTTCTGTATTTTTAGTAAAAACAGCATTTTACCATGTTGGCCAGGCTGGTCTCAAACTCCTGACCCACAAATGATCCGCCCACCTCAGCCTACCAAAGTGTTGGGATTACAGGTGTGAGTCACTGCGCCCGGCCCAATTTAATTTTTTAAATTTTGTGTAGAGATGGGGTCTTGCTATGTTGCCCAGATTTGTCTTGAACTCCTGGGCTCCAGCGAATCCTCCTGCCTCGGCTTCCCAAAGTGTTGAGATTGCAGTCATGAGCCACTGGGCTCAGCTCTTTTTTTCCCCCTTTATATCCCTTGTTGAGGCTTCTCTCTGTCACACATGCACATCCATACTTTTGTTTATGTCTGACTCTCCACTGGACATCAGCCCCATGTAGGTGGGGATTTCTGTCTTGGGTGCTGTGGTGCCCCCAGTGGCGTGGACAGAGTGGGACACACAGAAACCGCTGGATCTAATATACAAGATGAGCCGGTTGCAGTGGTTCACGCCTGTAATCCCAGCACTTTGAGAGGCTGAGGCGGGTGGATCACTGGAGGTCAGGAGTTCGAGACCAGCCTGGCCATCATGGCGAAACCCCGTCTCTACTAAAAATACAAAAATTACGGTGGCTTACGCCTGTAATCCCTGCACTTTGGGATGCCGAGTCGGGCAGATCCTAGGTCAGGAGATCGAGACCATCCAGGCCAACATGGTGAAACCCCGTCTCTACTAAAAATACAAAAATTCGCTTGGCATGGCAGTGCGTGCCTGTAATCCTAGCTACTCGGGAGGCTGAGGCAGAATTGCTTGAATCTGGGAAGTGGAGGTTGCAGTGAGCTGAGATTGTGCCACTGCACTCCAGCCTGGCAACAGAGCTAGACTCCATCAAAAAAAAAAAAAAAAAAATCAGGCCTGACACAGTGGCTCATGCGTGTAATCCCAGCACTTTGGGAGGCTGAAGCAGGCAGATTACCTGAGGTCAGGAGTGGGAGAACAGCCTGACCAATATGGTGAAACCCCGTTTCTACTAAAAATACAAAAATTAGCTGGGTGTGGTGGCGCACACCTGTGGTCCCGGCTACCAGGGAGGCTGAGGCAGGGGAATCGCTTGAACTCGGGAGGCAGAGGTTGCAGTGAGCCGAGATGGTGTCACTGCATTGCAGCCTAGGTGACAGAGTGAGACTCTGTCTCAAAATAATAATAACATGCAAGATGAATCAATGAATGAACAAAAAGCAAAGAATCTCAGGCACCCTCATCACTCCAGGCTTGGAGCCATTCCTTTGTCTGGGAGGGTTTTCCTGGTCCTCCTCATCCCGGAGACCCAGGGGGTGCTGGCGTTGAGGGGTTCTGGTTTTCAAAGGGTGATCCTCTCTCTAAATGGGGCTAGTCATGAAGCAGAGGGATTTGGGGCATCTTCGGGCCCCTGCTCCCCTCCCACCCAGCCTCCCCTTCTGCACTCCCCTCCTGCTCAGGCCACAGCAGCAGCAGTAGGTGACATCTGGAGAGTCTTCAGGCAGCTTTGGGAGGGGGCGAAGGCAGAGGAGGCCACGGGTGTTTGCAGAATGTGTGTGTGTACGCATGTGTGTGAGAATGTGTGAGACTGTGAGACTGTGAGTGTGAGTGCCTATAGGTGTGAGCATGTGGTTGTGTGTTCCTGTGTGAATGTGTGAGTCTGCATTTGTGCAACAATGTGTGTGATGTGAAGGGTATGAGACTTGTGAAGATGGATGTGTGTGAGGCTGTGGGGCTGTGTGAGGGTGGGTGGGAGTGTGTGAGGCTGGGGGGCTGTGAGGATGCGTGTGAGTGTGCAAGGCTGTGGGGCTGTGTGAGGGTGGGTGGGAGTGTGCGAGGCTGTGGGGCTGTGTGAGGGTGGGTGGGAGTGTGCGAGGCTGTGGGGCTGTGTGAGGGTGGGTGGGAGTGTGCAAGGCTGTGGGGCTGTGTGAGGATGAGTGTGTGAGACCATGTATGAGCATGCGTGTGACTGTGTGAGTGTGACAGAGCATAAGTGTGAGTGTTGAGTGTGAGTGTATGTCCTGGGGACAGGGCCCCTGTTTGCTGAGAATGCACGTGTGCTCCAGGCCTGGCCGCCGTTCTCTTCCACCCTGCTCCTCCTGCCCTAAGTTCTCTCCTTTCACACTTCACACCAGGGTTACTTCTCTCCCCTCCCAAATTCCCTTTTTTTTTTTTTTTTTTTTTTGAGGCAGAGTCTTGCTCTGTCACTCAGGCAGCGGCGCCATCTCGGCTCACTGCAACCTCCACCTCGTGGGTTCAAGCGATTCTCTTGCCTCAGCCTCCTGAGCAGCTGGGATTACAGGTACCTGCCACCATGCCTGGCTAATTTTTGTATTTTTAGTAGAGACGGGGTTTCACCATGTTGGCCAGACTGGTCTCGAACTCCTGACCTCAGGTGATCTACCTGCCCTAGCTCCCCAAAGCGCTGGGATTACAGGCGTGAGCCACCATGCCCGGCCCCCTCCAGAATTCTTATTCCCTTTGTTGGCCCCATTCCTGTCTCTCTCCCTAGCCAGGGCAAAGAGGCTGAGGGAGAGGAAGTCCTGAGCAGCCTCAGGAGACCTCTGCGGGCCCGAAGGAGGTCACTGGGATCCCCCAGCGCAAGCCAGGTCACCAGGCCAGGGATCCGCAGGAGAACCTGGGCCTGGGGCTAGGGGGCTCAGAGGCTGAGGCTGTTTCCACCAGCAGATCTTCCCACCCTCTCTGTCCACAGACACCCAGTAGAGGGGGAACCGAGAGAGAGGTTCCGGGTGGTGCAGCAGGGGACCGGACGGGAGAACCCTCTGACCCTCTGCACTGGCGGTTCCCAAGCCTGGCTGCACCTGAAAGTCACCCTGGGGAGCTTTAAAATGTTTCTGGCAGGGTGCGGTGGCTCACGCCTGTAATCCCAGCACTTTGGGAGGCCAAGGTGGGCAGATCACCTGAGGCTGGGAGTTCGAGACCAGCCTGGCCAACATGCTGAAACCCCATCTCTACTAAAAATACAAAAATTAGCTGGGTGCGGTGGTGTGCGCCTGTAATCCCAGCTACTCGGGAGGCTGAGGAAGGAGAATGGCTTGAACTGGGAGGAGGAGGTTGCAGTGAGCCGAGATCGTACCACTGCACTCCAGCCTGGGTGACAGAGTGAGACTCCGTCTCAAAAAAATAAGTAGCTGGGCGCGGTGGCTCACGCCTGTAATCCCAGCACTTTGGGAGGCCAAGATGGGCGGATCACAAGGTCAGGAGATCGAGACCATCCTGGCTAACACAGTGAAACCCCGTCTCTACTAAAAATACAAAAAAAAAAAATTAGCCAGGCATAGTGGTGGGCGCCTGCAGTCCCAGCTACTCGGGAGGCTGAGGCAGGAGAATGGCTTGAACCCAGGAGGCAGAGCTTGCAGTGAGCCAAGATCGTGCCACTGCACTCCAGCCTGGACGACAGAGCAAGACTCTGTCTCCAATAAATAAATAAATAAATAAATAAAAAGTAAACAAACAAATAAAAAGTAAACAAATAAATAAATAAGATGTTTCTGATGTCCTGGCACCCCTGCCCCCACCCCGGCTGCGGCTCCTGTCCGAGGCAGAGCCTAGGCACTAGGGAAATTTGGAACCAGACCATTCACTGTCTGTTTTGGGAGCTATCGTAGGATCCCCGGCCTCCACCCCGAGATGCCAGTAACAATCCCCGCCTCCAGTTGTGACCACTAAGTACGTCTCTAGATGGTCCCCATGGGAGACAGAATCATCCCGGGTGACAATTTCTGGGCTAGACGGAGAAGTGAGCCACCAATGGGCCCCATAATATAGCCCATTACACGGCCTCCCAATCCCCAGGAAGCTCTGGTCTCTGGGGGACTTTCTTTCTTTCTTCAGTTGGGGTCTTGCTCTGTTGCCCAGGCTGGTCTCGAACTCCTGGGCTCAAGAGATCTTCCCAAGTAGCTGGGATTATAGGAGCGCACCAACACGCCAGGCTCCTTGGGGAGACATTCTTTTTTCTTTTTTTTTTTTTTTTGAGACAGACTCTCGCTCTGTCTCTCAGGCTGGAGTGCAGTGGCGCAATCTCAGCTCACTGCAGCCTCCGTCTCCCAGGTTCAAGTGATTCTCCTGCCTCAGCCTCCCATGTAGCTGGGACTACAGGCGCCCACCACCACACCCGGCTAATTTTTTGTATTTTTAGTAGAGACGGAGTCTCACCGTGTTAGCCGGGATGGTCTCCATCTCCTGACCTCGTGATCCGCCCGCCTCGGCATCCCAAAGTGCTAGGATTACAGGCGTGAGCCACCGCGCCTGGCTCCAACTCCTATTTCTAATCATATCACACTCCTGTCCCCCGCTCCAGCCTCTCTAAATTCTCTCCTCCCCTCTACAGCCAAGATGATCCTATTCACTTTTTTTTGTTTGTTTAATTTTAGAGACAGAATCTTGTTCTGTCACCCAGGCTGGAGTGCAGTGAGGCAAGCATAGCTGGAGTGCAGTGGTGCAATCATAGCTCACTGTAGCCTCAACCTCCTGGGCTCAAGTGATCCTCCTGCCTCAGCCTCCTGAGTAGCTGGGACCACAGGTACACGCCACCACACACCACACCCAGCTAATTATTTTTATTTTTTGTAGAAATGGGGTCTTGCTATGTTGCCCAGGCTGGTCTCAAACTCCTGGGCTCAAGGGATCCTCCTCCCTCGGCTTCCAAAAGTGCTAGGATTACAGGTGTGAGCCACCACACCCAGCCTCAAAAAAAATTTAAATATGGCGGGGCCCGGTGGCTCACACCTGTAATCCCAGCACTTTGGGAGGCCGAGGCGGATGGATCGCTTGAGGTCAGGAGTTTGAGACCAGCCTGACCAACATGGTGAAACCTCGTCTCTACTAAAAATACAAAAATTAGCCAGGCATAGTGGTGTGTGCCTGTAATCCCAACTACTTGGGAGGCTGAGGCAGGAGAACCACTTGAACCTAGGAGGTGGAGTTGAAGTGAGTTGAGGTCACACCACTCTACTCCAGCCTGGGCAACAGAACAAGACTCTGTCTCAAAAAAATATAAATAAAAATGAAGATTCGGCCGGACGCGGTGGCTCACGCCTGTAATCCCAGCACTTTGGGAGGCCAAGGAAGGTGGATCACCTGAGGTCAGGAGTTCCAGACCAGCCTAGCCAATATGATGAAACCCCGTCTCTACTAAAAATACAAAAAATTAGCCGGGCGTGGTGGCAGGCACCTGTAATCCCAGCTACTTGGGAGGCTGAGGCAGGAGAATCACTTGAACTCAGGAGGCGGAGGTTGCGGTGAGCCGAGATCGCGCCATTGCACTCCAGCCTGGACAACAAGAGCGAAACTCCATCTCAAAAAAAAAAAAAAGAAGGTTTGATGGTTCAAATAATTTTGGCAGTCTCTGAGTTATGGGGTGATCTCTAGTTGTCCATACCTGACTCTGGGGTGATTTAGGCAGGAGGAATATTGTCTTGGTGTGTCAGAGTTTGATAAAGGAGATAGTTGGGGGTTGGGCTCTGGACTGCTTGGTTTGTATATTAAACATACGCTCACAGCTGTGTTGTTTGCTATCTCTAGGAATTAGCTAGCCCTGGGAGGAGCAGTCTCTCCAGGATCAGTAAGCCTCCAAATGTCAAAGCATCATAAAATTCAGAAAATAAAAAAACGTAATGAATACAAACAGCGGCCTGGCACTGTGGCTCATGCCTGTAATTCCAACACTTTGGGAGGCTGGGATGGGAGAATCGTGAGACAAGCCTGGGCAACATATTGTCCCATGGGGGTTGCGGATGGACTTGTTTAAATAAAACTAGTTTAAAGAAAAGGGAACTTATTTATATAGCTCTAGTGTTGGCCATTAGGTTTCACTGTGGTTGGCAGTTGTGGGATGTGTTATGTTTTGGGTTAGTAGGATGAGGAACAAGTGAACTACATCACAAACAACCACACAGAAAGGGAAAGTTGGTGGGGTTTTTTTTGGGTTTTTTTTGTTTTTTGTTTTTAGATGGAGTTTCGCTCTTGTTGTCCAGGCTGGACTGCAATGGCACCATCTTGGATCACTGCAACTTACACCTCCCAGGTTCAAGTGATTCTCCTGCCTCAGCCTCCCAAGTAGCTGGGATTACAGGCACCCGCCACCATGCCTGGCTAATTTTTTTGTATTTTTTAGTAGAGACAGGGTTTCACCATGTTGGCCAGACTGGTCTCAAACTCCTGACCTCAGGTGATCCGCCCGCCTCGGCCTCCCAAAGTGCTGGGATTACAGGCGTGAGCCACTGCACCCAGCCAAGAAGGGGAAGTTTTTGTTGTTGCCATTTGGTTGGTTGGTTTTGTTTATTTGTGTTTGTTTTTGTTTGTTTGTTTTTGAGACAGAGTCTCACACTGTAATCCAGGCTGAAGTGCAGTGGTGCCATCTCAGCTCACTGCAACTTCCATCTCCTGGGTTCAAGCATGAGCCATTGCACCCCACCAGGAAGAGGAAGTTGTTTTTTTGGTTTTTTTGGTTTTTGTTTTTTTTGAGACAGAATCTCGCTCTGTCTCTCAGGCTGGAGTGCAGTGGCGCAATCTCGGCTCGCTGCAACCTCCGTCTCCCAGGTTCAAGTGATTCTCCTGCCTCAGCCTCCTGTGTAGCTGGGACTATAAGCGCCCACCACCACGCCTGGCTAATTTTTTTTTGTATTTTTAGTAGAAACAGGATTTCACTGTGTTAGCCAGGATGGTCTTGATCTCCTGACCTCGTGATCCGCCCGTCTCGGCCTCCTAAAGTGCTGGGATTCAGGCATGAGCCATGGCGCCCGGCCAGGAAGGGGAAGTTTTAACTAAGCCAAAAGTGATGGGATACAACTGTGCTTCAAACAACTTAGGTCAGGCCTAAAAATGGCTGCTGAGGCAGCAACTAGATTAAACAAATCTATGAAGAGATGGACAAAAACAGACTCCTGGTGACATGATCTCAGCATCTGGATCCAGCCACACCTGAAGATATACTGCTTCTTTACATTTTTCAGTTGTGTGAGCAAATCTCTTCTCTTTAAAAAAAAATTTTTTTTTTCAGGCTGGGCGCGGTGGCTTACACCTGTAATCCCATCACTTCGGGAGGCCACAGCAGGTGGATCACTTCAGGCTAATAATTTGAGACCAGCCTGGGCAACCTGCTGAAACTCTGTCTCCACTAAAAATACAAAAATTAGCCAGGTGTGGTGGCACATACCTGCAATCTCAGCTACTCGGGAGGCTGAGAATCGCTTGAACCTAGGAGGCAAAATTTGCAGTGAGCCGAGACTCTGTCTCAAAAAAACAAATTTCAGAGACAGGGTCTTGCTCTGTTGTCCAGGCTGGAGGGGCAGTGACATCAGTCATAGCTCACTGTAGCCTCGAACTTTTGGGTTCAAGGGATCCTCTGGTCCCAGCCTCCTGAGTATCTAAGACTACAGTTGCTCTCCACATTGCCCAGCTAATTAAAAAAAGATCTTTTGATAGAAACAGAATCTTGCTATATTGCTCAGGCTAGTCTCAAACTCCTGGGCTCCAGTGATCCTCCTGCCTCAGCCTCCGAAAGTGCTGGGATTACAGGAATGAGCCACCATGCTCAGCCTCTTCTCTTCTTAATTAGTTGTGGCAGGTAAGGATTCTCTTATGTGCTAACAACAACAAAAATGTTCTGTCTGCTGCAACCCCAGCTGTAATCTCCCCTAACCAGAAAGGTGTACATTTTTCAGTTGTATGAGCGAATCTCTTCTCTTTGAAAAAAAAGGAGCACCTGTCTTTACTCCATTGGATTAATCATCCACCCTCCCACTTCAGGCCTCACCTCTATCAGAAAGGAAGATGAAAATCCCTACACAAGCTAACATAAACAATAATAATAGTCACCATTTCACAGAACAATAAATTCAGGGTTAGGGAAGCTCTAGCGGTTAATTCAGTGGCCTCATGATACCATCAACCAGGTTCTTTCTGTCTGTCCAGTCCACCTTCCCCAGCATCTCAGCTTTGTCCTAAGGGTATTCCCTCCTCATGGTCCCAAGACAGCTTCCAAGACTCCAGCCATCACATGCAGAAATAGCAGATTCCAGAGGAAGAAGAGGCCTTCTAGAAGGAAGGAAGTCCTTCCTGGTACTTGCCTTCAGTTCTCCCTAACCTGAAATCTGTCATGTGGTGTCTTGATTTGAGGCCTCCCAGAAGTCGATCCAGGAGTAAGAATTTGAGTGCAAGCAGTTTATCTGGGATGGAACTGAACTGTGCATGCCCCTCCAAATTCACATGTTAAAGTCCTAACCCCTAGTGTGGCTGTATTTAGAGATGGAGCCTTTAGGTAATTAGATAGAGGTAATTAAGGTTAATCGAGGTCATAAGGGTGGGGCCCTTGTTCAATAGGATTGGTGTCCTTAGAAGAAGAGACAACACAGAGCCCACTCTTTTTCCCCGTGTGCACTCTGAGGAAAGGCCACAGGAGGATGCATTGAGAAGGCGGCTGTACACAAGCAAGGAAGTGAGCCCTCACCAAGAACTGAATTGGCTGACACCGTGATCTTGGACTTCCCAGTTTCCAGAACTGCATGAAATTTAGTGTTGTTTTGTGATATTTTGTTAGCCCTACCAGACTAAGACTGAGTGATTCCAGGAATCACTGATAGGGGAGAAGAAAAATGAGACAGGAACATGAGAACAGCCCATGCAAGGTATAAATAAGTAGTTACTGCTGAGAGCCGCTGGGTCCCAATCCCACTGGGGCTTGCTGTGAAAACTGTGTGACACATGCACCTTGGAGACATCCCACCCAAGTGGAGAGGGAGCTGGGGTTTTGTTTTGTTTTGTTTTGTTTTGTTTTGTTTGAGACGGAGTCTCACTCTGTTGCCCAGGCTGGAGTGCAGTGGTGTGATGTCAGCTCACTGCAACCTCTGCCTCCCGGGTTCAAGCCATTCTCCTGCCTCAGGCTCCCGAGTAGCTGGGATTACGGGTGCCCACCACCACGCCCTGCTAATTTTTGTATTTTTAGTAGAGACAGGGTTTCGCCATGTTGGCCAGGCTGGTCTTGAACTCCTGACCTCAAGTAATCCACCCACCTCGGCCTCCCAAAGTGGGGGGTTTACAGGCGTAAGCCACCGCACCACCCGGACAAAGCTGAGGTATTTGACAGTTACCACCCATCCTACACTGAGGGCTGTGCCCTGGGCACTTCTGACCTGTCCCACATGTGGGCCAGGAGAAAGCCCCCAGGCAGAGAGGTGTAGGTAGCACATGCTGTTAGTATACACTAGCCCAGGGCTCAGCAACATCTTTCTGTAAAGGACCAGATAGTAAGTACTTTCAGCTTTGCAAGCCAGACATTCTCTGTTGCAACTACCGATTTTCCTTGACTTACAATGGAACTATGTTCCAATAAACCCACTGTAAACTGAAAACATCGCTGAAGTGGGAGGATCACTTGTGCCCTGGAGTTTATCAGCCTGGGCAACATAGTGAGACCCCATCTCTACCAAAAAAATTAAAAATTAGCCAGGTATGGTGACACATGCCTGTAGACCCAGCTACTTGGGAGGCTGAGGTAGAAGGATCGCTTTAGCTGGGAGTTCAAGTCTGCAGTGAGCTGTGATGGAACTACTGCACTCTAGCCTTGGGTGACGGAGCAAAATTCTGTTTCAAAAGGAAGAAAAGAGAAGGGGAGGGAAGGGGAGGAGAGAGGAAGGAAGGGAAAAGGTAAAGGAAAGGAAAAAGGAGAAAGGAAAGAGTCACAAGTTGAAAATACATGGAATACACCTAACCTAGTGAACATCACAGCTTAGCCTAACTTACCTTAAACATGCTCAGAACACTTAACATTAGCCCACGGTTGGGCAAAATCATCAAACACAAAGCCTATTTTAAAATAAAGTGTTGAATATCTCACATAATTCTTTGAATACTATACTGAACGTGAAAAACACAATGTATGGGTCCCCGAAGTAGGGTTTCTACCAAATGTGTATCACTTTCACACCATTGTAAAGTTGAAACATTGTCAGTTAAACCATCGTTAAGTTGGGACCATCTGTATTTGGTTCTGTCCTTGAGTGAAAGCTGCCCCAAACGACATGCAAACAGATGAGCACAATTGTGTGCCAATAAAACTTTATTTACAAAAACAGGTGGTGGGCCATCCCTAAGTCAATTACGAGGGAGGGAATGGAGCATTAGATGGATTTGGACCAACCAGGGCTGACCCGCTGAAGCACGTGACCACTCAGGATGGAAATAGATTTGCCCTGCTGCATCTTCCTAGCCTGTTCTCTCAGGGCAGCTGCCCTCGACAATGAGGTCTGCACAGCCTCACAGCAGGTCCCAGTCCCAATAAACTATGTCCCAAGAAATGCACTTGGCTCTGGGGTTCAGTTTGGCTTTTTTTTTTTTTCTCCACAGACTGCTGATGGCTGGAACAGGAGCTTGGCACCTCCACCCTGACCCAGACACAAGCCTGTCTGTCCCACTCAAATCGAGCTGGCCAGAGACTACAACTGTGTTGGTTCCCAAGACATAGAAAAGCCAGAAGAGGTCGGGCGCAGTGGCTCACGCCTGTCAGCACTTTGGGAAGCCGAGGCAGGCAGATTACCTAAGGTCAAGAGTTCAAGACCAATCTGGCCAATGTGGTGAAACCCCATCTCTACTAAAAATACAAAAATTAGCTGGGTGTGGTGGTGCACCTACAGGCCCAGCTACTCGGGCGGCTGAGGCAGGAGAATCGCTGGAATCCAGGAGGCAGAGGTTGCAGTGAGCCGGTATCACGCCACTGCACTCCAGCCTGGGCGACAAGAGCTAAACTCCACCTCAAAAAACAACAACAACAACAAAACAAACAAACAGAAAACAAGCCAGAAGAGATGGGGAGGAACTGGAGTGTGATCTCCCATTCCATTAACCCAGATCTGGGACTACCAGGTGGAACATTCCAAACATATCATTTTTTATTTTCTCTCTCCCTCTCTCTTAAGGCACATCTTCCAATACTCTGCAGTCATTAAGCAGAATGAGGCAGGTCTGGATGTGCTGATTTGGGGAAGGTGTCCACAGTATATAATTAACTGGAAAAAGCTATCATGGAACTGTGTGCCTGCAACGATCCCTATTTGTGAAAGTAAAAGGAGGATATTCGTATCGACTCTGGTGTGCAAATAGAAAATGCCAGGGCGGATACACCGGGCAGCTCTTAGCAGAGCTATATTAGGGGGAAGGGAGGAGCTGAGAGAGAGACTCCATTCAATATGCTCCCCCTCCGATAGGGTTTGAATTCCTTGCGTTTTATCATGAGCATGTATTGCTTTTCTAAGAAAAGAAATCCACCAGGTGCGGTGGCTCATGTCTGTAATCCCAACACTTTGGGAGGATGAGGTGGGAGGATTGATTGCTTGAGGCCAGGAGGTGGAGGTTGCAGTGCGCTGTGATTGCACCACTGCACTCCAGCATGGGTGACAGAGGGAGATCCTGTCTAATTAAAATTTAAAAAAAAAATTAGAAAGAAAATGAAGGCCAGGCATGAGCCACCACTTTAGGAGGCCGAGGCAGGCAGATCACCTGAGATCAGGAGTTCGAGACCAGCCTGGCCAACATGGTGAAACCCTGTCTCTACTAAAAATACAAAAATTAGTTGGGCATGGTAGCGTGTGCCTTTAATCCCAGCTACTTGGGAGGCTGAAGCAGGAGAATTGCTTGAACCCACGAGGCAGAGGTTGCAGTGAGCCCAGATCGCGCCATTGCGCTCCAGCCTGGGTGACACAGCGAAATTCCGTCTCAAAAAAAAAAAAAAAGGAAAAAAAGAAAAAGAGACACTGCCTCTAAAAAACAAATAAGTCTCTCTCTGTCTCTCTCTTTGTGTGTTTCTCTCACGCCTGTGGATTCTGTTTCTCTGGAGAACCCTGACTAACACAGCAGAACTTTACAAATTGTCTCTCTAGTCTGCAGCTACCCATTTTATAGATGAGAAAACTGAGGCCCAGGGAGGGGAATGGCTGCTCAGGGCCTCTGGAGTCCAGGACGCTTTCTGTTCCAATCCCACAGCCTCCCCCTTCCCTGTTTCCCATTGGAAGGAGCAAAAAGGGTTTAAACAGCAGAGAGATAAGGGAAGATCTAGAATCAGCTCCTCCCCTGGCTGGCTGGGTGACCCGGAACATCCACTCGCCCACTTGCCCCCTGGGTACCAGGCCCTGGGTTCAGTACCACAGAATCACTAGTGAGAAAGTGACTTCCTTTACTGAACTATCAATCCCTCTAATCCCTCAAAAAAAGCAAGTCTCAGGCTGGGCCTGGTGGCTCACACCTGTAATCCCAGCACTTTGAGACGCCGAGGCAGGGGGATCACCTGAGGTCAGGGGTTTAAGACCAGTTTCGCCAACATGGTGAAACCCCCTCTACTAAAAATACAAGAATTAGTGAGGCGTGGTGGCACATGCCTGTAATCTCAGCTACTTACGAGGCTGAGGCAGGAGAATTGCTTGAATCTAGAAAGTGAAGGTTGCAAGGAGATTGCACTATTTCACTCCAGCCTGGGTGACAGAGTGAGACTCTGTCTCAAAAAAAAAAAAAAAAAAAGCAATTCTTAGAGAGGTGCTAGCTAGCATGATTTTCACGCCCCTCCGATGCTTCCCAATCCAATTTTTTTTTTTTTTTTTTTTTTTTTTAGCCAAAAGAGCTGGTCCCAGCCTTACAGTCTTGACAAAGTATAGGGAGAATGTCATGATACTCTTTGCACTTTCATTATTTTTATTTTTCATTTCTTTTTTTTTTGAGACAAAGTCTCGGCTCTGTCACCCAGGCTGGAGTGTGGTGGCACAATCTCAGCTCACTGCAACCTCTGTCTCTTAGGCTCAGGTGATCCTCCCACCTCAGCCTCTCAAGTAGCTGGGACTACAGGTACATGCCACCATGCCCGGCTAATTTTTGTAGAGATGGGGTTTTGCTATGTTGCCCTGGCTGGGCTTGAACTCCTGAGCTCAAGCGATCCTCCACCCTCAGCCTCCCCGAGTGCTGGGATTATAGGCATGGGCTACTGCACCAAGCCTCATTTTGTCTATTTTATACTTGTTTGTGGCCACTCGTGGTGGTTTTGCATTCATGGCCATGAGAGAACATTCCTTTTGTGAGTGAGTTGGGTTAAGTTTCAAACCGAGTTAGTCCATTTTAGAAATAAAGTAAAATCGCTTGTGTGTAGCCTGGGACCCTGAAGAGCTTGCACCCAGCCACACTGGCCACACTGGCAGACTTACACAGCTGCATTCTGGAAGCAGTTCTTCAGCAATGGGGCACCCTGCAACTCAGCCTTCAGACACCTGGTCCCTTTTATTACTATTCTTTCTCTTTCTTTTGCTTTCCTTCTGTCTCTCTCTTTTCTTCCTTCCCTTTCCTTTCTTTCTTTCTTTTCTTTCTCTCCCCCTCCCCTCCCCTCCCCTCCACTCCCATCCCCTCCTGTCCTCTCCCCTCCCCTTCCTTTCCCTTCCTTTCCTTTCCCTTTCTTTTTCTTGACAGAGTCTTGCTCTGTCGCCCAGGCTGGAGTGCAGTGGCTTGATCTCAGCTCACTGCAACCTCCACCTCCCGGGTTCATGCCATTCTCCTGCCTCAGCCTCCTGAGTAGCTGGGACTACAGGCATGTGCCACCACACCTGGCTACTTTTTTTTTGTATTTTTAGTAGAGACGGAGTTTCACCATGTAGCCAGGCTGGTCTCGAACTCCTGACCTCAGGTGATCCACCCAGCTCGGCCACCCAAAGTGCTGGGACTTCAGCTGTGAGCCACCGTGCCTGGCTCCTTTTTTCTTTTTTTAGAGATGAGATCTCTCTCTGTTGCCCAGGCAGGAGTGCACTGGTGTGATCACAGCTCACTGCAGCCTCAAACTCCTGGGTTCAAGTGATCCTCCCACCTCAGCCCCCTGAGTAGTTGGGACTACAGTTGCACGACACCACACACGACTAATTTTTAGAATTATTTTTTGTAGACATGGGGTCTCACTCTGTCGCCCAGGCTGGGAGTGCAGTGGTGCGATCTCGGCTCACTACAACCTCCGCCTCCTGGGTTCAACCAGTTCTCCTGTGTCAGCCTCCCGAGTAGCTGGGATTAGAGGCACACACCACCACGCCCAGCTAATTTTTGTGTTTTTGTATTTTTAGTAAAGATGGGGTTTCACCATGTTGGCCAGGCTAGTCTCGAACTCCTGACCTCATGATCCACCCACCTCAGCCTCCCAAAGTGCTGGGATTATAGGTGTGAGCCACCGTGCCCAGTTAGCTTCTTGTATTTTTACCGGGCGCATCTGTCTGGCCTGCCTGCTGTGTGCTTGCCAAGGTGATGCGTTTGGGAAGATGGACGGAAAGTGATGAAACCAGGGGACCCTTGGGCTGCCTCCAGCCCAGACCTATTTGCTCTATTTTTATTTTTAGAGGTGGGGGTCTCACTCTGTCACCCAAGCTGGAGTGCAGTGGCATGATCATGGCTCACTGCAGCTTTGACCTCCTGGGCTCAAGTGATCCTCCCACCTCAGCCTCCTGAGTAGCTGGGACACAGGTGTGTGCCACCACACCCAGCTAATTTTTTTCTTTTTCTTTTTTTGTAGAGATAAGGTCTCAATATGTTTCCCAGGTTGGGGTCTCAAACTCCTGGCCTCCAGTGCTCCTCCTGATGCAGGAATAAGCAGGCCCCCAAAATTGGGGCTTAGGCTGGGTGGGTGACTCATGCCTGTAGTCCCAGCACCTTGGGATGCGAGGCGGGTGGATCATTTGGACCCAGGAGTTCGATACCAGCCTGGGCAACATAGCAAGATCCCATCTCTACAAAAATTACAAAAATTAGGCGGGTGTAGTGGCACAGACCTGTACTCCTGGCTACTTGGGAGGTTGAAATGGGAGGATCATCTGACACCCAGAGGTCGAGGCTGCAGAGAGTCGAGACTGCACCTCTGCATTCCAGCCTGGGTGTCGAAGACCCCTTCTCAAAAAAAAAAAAAAAAAAAAGCCAGGTGCAGCGGCTAATGCCTGAAATCCCAGCACCTCAGGAGGCCATGGTGGGTGGATCACCTGAGGTCAGGAGTTCAAGACCAGCCTGGCCAACATGGCAATATCCCATCTCTACTAAAAATACAAAAATTATCTGGGCTTGATGGCATGTGCCTGTAATCCCAGCTACTCGGGGAGGCTGAGGCAGGAGAATTGCTTGAACCCAGGAGGCAGAGGTTGCAGTGAGCTGAGATCGAACCACTACACTCCAGCAGCCTGAGCTACAGAGCGAGATTCAGTCTGAAGAAAAAAAAAAAAATTAGGGCTTAGCCCTGGAGGGTTCTTAGATTCACCCAAAAAGGAATTCAAGGGAGAGCTGGTGGTGTTAAACAGAAAATTTAGTGAAGAATCAGGGCTACCCAAAAGGCAGTGTGCCCAGAGTAGCAGCTCAGAGGTGCTGCTGTATTCACTCATATTTATATCCATTTTTAATTATATGCAAATTAAGGGGCAGTTTATGTAGAAATTTCTAGGATGAGAGTGGTAACTTCCAGGTGGTTGGGTAGTTGCCATGGAAAGGGGCGGGGAATTCCAGGTGTTGCCATGGTAATCGTAAACCGACATGGCACACTGGTGGGCGTGTCTTATGGGGAGGTGCTACACACACACACACACACACACACACACACACCTACACACACCTGCTTTAGCTAGTTCTTTGTTTGTTTTTGGAGACGGAGTTTTACTCTTGTCTCCCAGGCTGGAGTACAGTGGCATGATCTCGGCTCACTGCAACCTCTGCTTCCCAGGTTCAAGCGATTCTCCTGCCTCAGCCTCTCGAGTAGCTGGGATTAGAGGCGCCTGCCACCACACCCGGCTAATCTTTGTATTATTAGTAGAGACGGGGTTTCACCATGTTGGCCAGGCTGGTCTCGAACTCCTGACCTCAGGTGATCCACCCACCTTGGCCTCCCAAAGTGCTGGGATTACAAGTGTGAACCACCGCATCTGGCCATCAATTTGGTCCAGTGTCTGAACTTCACCTCCAGAGTCCCTTCCAGCCTCCTACCTCACTCCTACCTTGGCCTCCTGAGTAGCTGGGACAACAGGCTTGCGCCACCATTAACCATATAATTTTAAAAAAGTTTTCTTCTTTGTAAATATGGGGTCTCCCCATGTTTCCCAGACTCCAAACCTATTTCCTAACCTTTATCATTATCTGCTTCTGTGGGATGCGAATGGAAGTGAGGTGTGCTACATTCAGGCTTTTAACACCTCCCACCTGCACCTTCTAATTCTTCCTTTGCATCTGCTGGCTGGACAAAGAGGGTCTTGTGGGGCCTCTGAGTCACTGGAAGAAGGTGAAGCCACAATATAGCCGGCGTCTGGTTCCCAGGTGCGGCAGCGTGATGTGAGTGAGAAAGTAGCCTTTAGTGCATTAAGCCACTGGGATCTACAGGTTGCTCGTTACAGCAGCTGGCGTGTCCTTGTTCTAATACACAGTTTGTCTTTTATTTTGTTTTTGGATTTTTTAGGGACGGAGTCTTGCTCTGTCCCCCAGGCTGCAGTGCAGATCCTCTCGCCTTAGCCTCTGGAGTAGCTGGGACTACAGACATGGGGGCGCCACCATGCTCAGCTTGTTATACGTTTATGTAGAGATGGGGTCTTGCTATGTTGCCCAGGCTGGTCTCAAACTTCTGGACTTAGGCGATCCTCCCATCTCAGCCTCCCAAGTAGCTGGGACTGCAGGTGCATGCTACCATGCCCGGCTAATTTTTAATATTTTTTTCTGTAGAGATGGAGTCTTGCTATATTGCCCAGGCCAGTCTCAAACTCCTGGGCTCAAGCAATCCTCCCATCTCAGCCTCCCAAAGTGCTGGGATTATAGGTGCGAGCCACCACGCCCAACCAGTTGCTCAATTCTTATAACAGCCCTTGGAGGTAGGTTCCATTGTTAGCCCCAGTCTTATTTATTTATTTAGATGGAGTCTCACTCTGTTGCCCAGGCTGGAGTGCAGTGGCACGATCCCAGCTCACTGCAACCTTCGCCTCCTGGGTTCAAGTGATTCTCCTGCCTCTGCCTCCTGAGTAACTGGGATAACAGGCACAGGCCACCATGATTGGCTCATTTTCTTTTTTGTATTTTTAGTAGAGACAGGGTTTCACCACGTTGGCCAGGTTGATTTCGAATTCCTGACCTCAAATGATCTGCCCACCTCGGCCTCCCATAGCCCCAATCTTTAAATGAGGAAATTGAGGTGCAGAGAGGGTCGGCCACTCGCCAAATGGGAAAAGCTAGAATTCTAACCCAGACCATTTGCCTTCAAAACCTACCCTGACCACCACAGTAACCTGTGATAAGGTGCAACTCAGAGGGAATAACCTTCTCCTCTCTGGGCCCTGAAGTCTCTCTACCTACAATGGATTTCCTGTTCCTGTGTGGGGAGGGAGGTGCAACACCAGCCCCCGAGCTTTGAGCCTTGCCTCGTCCTCCCTGTATATTAAGGAGTGCTCAGATGTGGCTGTAGCTGCACCTCTTTCTCCAAGATGGAGCCCACCCAGAGATGCTGTGTGCAAAAGGCTTGACTCACAGCCGGTGCATAGTAAGCCCTCAATAAATGTTTGAAATTATTATCGATGGTTTCAGGGTGCTGGCTGAAAGGCAGCATAGCTCAGCAGTTAAGCCAGACGGGCTGGGTTCAAATCCCATCTCTATCATGTAATAGCTGTGTGACCTTGGGTAAATTACTCAACCTCTCTGTTCCCCCGTCTATAAAATGGGGGAAATGACACTATCTATTTTATAGAGCTATTGCAAGGATTAGCATAGAAAATGCCTCAACCGTGCCTGCCACTGATGTCAGGTTTTATTATTGCTGTAACACTTTCCCCTATTCAGTTTCATCTCCTAGATCCCCGGGCACGGCAACAGCTGGCTTTCAGATCAGGGCCTCCCTGGGAGGTTTTAGTCCCAGCACAAGTCCCCTGCCTTCCCCCTCTCTGGCTCCCAGCAGCCGCATCCTTCCCCCAGTCTTGGCCCGGGTTCCAGCACCGTCTCCTCCCCTCCCCTTTGCCCCTCAGCCCCGGGGTGACCAAAGCCTCTGCCTCGTGGGACGGCTTTCTGGCACTTTCCTCCTTTTAAGAGATTGACTGCAATTTCTATAATAACATCACATTAGCCAGAAATTAATGTCCTCATTAAGATAGCAATTAGGCACATTAGCGTGGCAATAAAAGAGAAGCTTATGAAATAATTGCTGGTTCCAAAATGCCTTTAATTTAGTATTTTATATTGTGCCATGTTATTAATTTTTTTCCCTCGGCAGAAGATAATAAGAGAAACATTTGAATTGTGGGGAGGTTTAAAATAAAAAAATTTTTGAGAAGGAAAGCAATGTTGATACCTGTAGACAGACGATCTGTCTTCTCCCCAAAACCCCATTGGTCCTGAGTCCATAGGGTGACTCCATGGGGTGTCACAAGAGGGAAAGCGTTGACGGGTAGGGGGCCAGGCCATGTCCTGGGACTTTTGGCCAGGCTTGGCATCCAGCGGAGATTGGAGTGGAACAGCCTTTGATCCTAGAAGCAGGAGAAATGGTGCCATGTTTCTTTGCCCTAAACAACAAATACCTGTTTGTTTGGGTTTTTTCCCCCAATAGGCTCCATCTCCTGAATTCAAATTCTTTCAGCAAATGTTTCCTTGGTACCCTGTGGCTCTGACTCTGCTGTTGAGGGCTTTCCAGATTGTTGGAGACGACAGATGTATAAATGGGAAAATGCCATGATAAACTGGGAATGCAGTATTTTGCAACTTGTAATGAAATCATGGCTCTAGGCCGGGCACCGTGGCTCACGCCTGTAATCCCAGAACTTTGGGAGGGCAAGGTGGGAGGATCGCTTCAGGCCAGCAGTTCGAGATCAGCCTGGGAAACATAATGAGACCCCCCCCAACCCCGTCTCTTAAAAAAAAAAAAAAAAAGGAAAGAAAGAAAGAAATCATGGATCTAGGACATGATTAGCCATGGATAGTAAAATCATTAGGGGAAAGGTGGATGAGGAATGGTTTTGTGTGGCCGGGCACAGTGGCTCACACCTGTAATTCCAGCACTTTGGGAGGCTCAGGCAGGCGGATCACCCGAGGTCAAGAGTTCGAGACTAGCCTGGCCAACATGGTGAAACCCCATCTCTACTAAAAATACAAAAATTAGCCTGCTGTGGTGGCAGGTGCCTGTAATTCCAACTACTCGAGAGGCCGAGGCAGGAGAATTGCTGGAACCTGGGAGGCAGGGGTTGCAGCGAGTCAAGATCGCGCCACTGCACTCCAGCCTGGGTGACAGAACAAGACTCTGTCTCAAAAAAAAAAAGAAAAAGAAAAAAGAAAAAAGAAAAAAAAAAAGGAATGTTTTAGGGGAGGGCTGTTCTGCTCCCATCTGAGCCCTGGGTCAACTTTAGCGTCCTAGGCTGGACATGATGTGGCTCCCATTGGGAGCAGTAGTAGATTGGTGAGGGCCTGGAAGGAGACGTGTATCTATCTAAGTTAAGGCGGGCACCTCAGAGGATCACGCACATGAACAGAGACCTGAAGGAGTAAAAGCGGAGGATACACATAGAGATCTGGGGGAAGAAGGTTCCAGACAGGAGGAACAGCGGGTGCCAAGACTCTGGGGTGGGAACTAGCATAGAGGAGATCAGCTAGGAGGCTGATGTGGCTGGACGGAAGTGAAAGAGAGAGGAGAGGAGGTGCAATCAGAGAGATACCAAGGAAAGAAAACATGGGGGGCTGGGCACGGTGGCTCACGCTTGTAATCCCAGCACTTTGGGAGGCCAAGGCGGGCAGATCACCTGAGGTCAGGAGTTAGAGACCAGCCTGGCCAACACGGTGGAACACCGTCTCTATTAAACATACAAAAATTAGTGGGGCATGGTGGTACATGTAATCCCAGCTATTCGGGAGGCTGAGGCAGGAGAAACGCTTGAGCCTGGGAGGCAGAGGCTGCAGTGAGCCGAGATCGCGCCACTGCAATCCAGCCTGGGCAACAAAGCGAGACTCCGTCCAAAAAAAAAAAAAAAAGAAAAGAAAGAAAAAGGAAAAATGGGGAATTTCACTGGAAGGCCATGCCAAAAAACAAACAAAAAAGAAACAAATAAAGGAAAAATGGGGAAGGATTCCTCAGGAAGTTAAAGAGTTGACAATCAATTTTGGGGACCTCGGGATTTGAGTCTAGCTCCTTCGTGGGCAAGGGGACGTGCTGACCAATGCACACCTGTGCCTGCCAGGCTCCTTGTCAGTTACCTGTTGCCAGTTAAGCTGTCTAACACAAGGCCAGGCACAGTGCCTCATGCCTGTAATCCCAGCACTTTGAGAGGCCAGGCAGCTGGATCACTTGAGGCCACGAGTTTGAGACCAACCTGGCCAACATGGCAAAACCTCATCTCTACTAAAAATACAAAAATTAGTCGTGGTGGCGGGTGTCTGTAATCCCAGCTACTCGGGAGGCCGAGGCAGGAGAATCGCTTGAATCCGGGAGGCAGAGGTTGCAGTGAGCCAAGATTGCACCACTACATTCCAGCCTGGGCCACAAAGTGAGACTGAGTCAAAAAAAAAAAAAAAAAGCTGCCTAACAACGCTCAAATCCAGCAGTTTAGGACAATCAGCATTAATTTTGGCTTCGCAGGCTACAGAGCAGTTTTTCCGCCCCTGGCTGGGCTCACCCACCAACGTCTATGGGTCCAAGAGGCACACTGTATTTATTCAGGCTGGGTCTTTTCGTATATTTGGGGCCCGGCTGGCTGTAGGCTGGTCTAGGACAACAGGATTCTTCCCTCATCCTCCAGCAGGCTAGCTAGGGCTTGGTCACCTGACAGGGGCAGGGTTTCCAGACATCGAGCAGAAACATGCACCACTTCTTCAGGCCTAGATTGGGAAGTGACTTCACTTCTGCTGCAATCCATTGATTGGCCAAAGGAGATCACGAGACCAACCCAGATTCAAGGGGTGTGGAAATAGGCTCCACCTCCCAGTGGGAGGAGCTACCTAGGCAAAGAGTATAGATGGTGGGCTGTAGAATTGGGTCCGTGAAGCAAACTTGACCAGCCCCATGATTTCTTTGGGGCTTTTGATAATCATTCCCTGCCCCTCCCTGGGTACCCCAGGGCATTCTATGGTCCTCGACCCTAGCTTTGGCCCCTGTAGAAGTTCTTTTTTTTTGAGATGGAGTCTCGCTCTGTCACCCAGGCTGGAGTGCAGTGGCGCGATCTCAGCTCACTGCAAGCTCCTCCTCCCGGGTTCACGCCATTCTCCTGCCTCCGTCTCCCGAACACCTGGAACTACAGGCGCCCACCACCACGCCCGGCTAAGTTTTTGTATTTTTAGTAGAGACGGGGTTTCACTGTGTTAGCCAGGATGGTCTCGATCTCCTGACCTCGTGATCCGCCCGTCTCTGCCTCCCAAAGTGCTGGATTACAGGCATGAGCCACCGCGCCCGGCCCTCTGTAGAAGTTCTTTCTGCCCAGGTTTGCTCTCTCTCTAAGCTCCCACAGGAGCTGTGGCTTGGGTTGTTCAAGACCCCAAATTCCCGACTGGACTTCCTTTCTTCAGCTCTGCATTGGGGTGTGACCAGGACTGAAGTATTTTATTGAAATCATTGGCTCTCCTGATAGCAGAGAGTTGGTGTCAGTAAGGCAGAGGAGAGGTTAGTCTGTAGTGTGCTATGGAGTAAGGGAGCAATGGAAATCGGGAGCTTAGTTTGAACACACTCAGTGTCCCCTTGTGCAGTGTCCAACCTGCCCAACCGTACCAGCCCACCCTGATTGAGGGACTAAAGAGTGGAGGAAAGGAAGGGGAAAGGGATTTCACTGACAGCTGGAACCTTAGCCCTCGGGCCAAATGAAGGACCTTCCCAGAACAGAGTGACCCAGAAGGAAGCTGTGGCCCAACCACCCAGATGGGTAACCCTGACAGGGGCAACCTGCCCTCTTGTCAATCAAGGCTGGACCAGGTGGTGTGGGGAGGGGTGGAGGACTAAGAGGGGGCAAAGAGGAGGGTAGGAAGGTCCTGGCCTAAACGACCCAGTTAGTTTCCCCATCACCCCCTACCCCCATTCTGTATCCCAGGGAAGTAAAGTGCAGCTGGGTTCCTGGTTGCCAGGGCGACTGACAAAAAAAAAGACTTGGGGGGAGGAAAACACCCCGGGGCATGAAGGAGCAATTTGCTCTCAGGTCTGGGAGTCAGCACCGGAATCAGAATGTCCTAAGGAGGAAAGAAAACTGAGCGAGCCGGGCTTGGGCAGGCGGCAAACCTTCCCAAGGCCCCCTGCCAGCCATCCTAAGGGAGAGAGGGTAGGGGCGACCCCAGCTCTGTGTGGGAGGCGCCAACTCTAAGCCCACACCCCCGAGGCTGCCCCTCCCACCCGAAGAGTTTAGCACCCAGGGTCTGTGGGGGGGGGAGGCGGGGGCGGGGGCGGGGCTTCCCAACGGATTGCCTTTTTTTTTTTTTTTTTTTTTTAATTTCCAGTTCCGCCTTGGGACGAGGCCCTGGCTGGGGGAACCGCATCAGGCCTGACACCCATCCCATTCCCCCCTAAACCCAGAACGACATCCAACCTCATTCCGCAGCCCCTTCCCGACCTCGCCGCTCAGGCTATGATGGAAAGGTCCCTGGGAGTGGGGAGGAGGGCGAATTTAAACCCAGAGAGAGATCCTGTAGCCCAGTTCTCCTCGGTTCCCTAAACCTCCAGGAAAGCGGAGAAAGTCACATTGTGGTGGCAGCTGCAGGTTTTTTTTTTTTAATCTGTTAATAAAACGCAAGTGAATCAAATCCGCCCTAAGGGAAGGGGGGGGGGCGCGGCGAGGCAGGGGCCATGGTGTTTGCAGAAGTTGGAAATTTAATAAGAAGGAAAAATAAAAATAGCCACTGTGCTGGAGAGAGAGAGAGAGAAGGTTGGGAGAAGCAGGCAAGTGTGGGACTCCTGGCTGGGTGGAAACGTGCAGAGGGGGCTGGGGAAGGCGAGGGCACCCCTAGTCTGGAGGAGCAAGGGAGACACTGCTGGGGATACCAGGAGGGGAGTCTTTGGGGTGTCACCCAGAACAGTCCAGTTCCTTGGCAGATTTTTCACCAGCAATGAGCTGGGCACAGAGGTTGGGGTTTGGCCCTCTAAACACCTGGGTGTAGAGGTCCAGCCTCTGGTTACTTGGTCTTCACAGCGCCCCTCACCTTCTGAGCTACTCAAGAGATGGGGGACAGGAGCAGTACTGCCAAGAACAGTTGTGCAAGTTGCACACTGCACAAGCATACCAGACAGAAGCTAGAGCAGAAGCTGACGTCGTCTGTTCCCCTCACCACACATTGCATCTGCCCAGAGGAAGAGGTACCTTTTATTTATTTTATTTTATTTTATTTTATTTTATTTTATTTTATTTTATTTTATTTTATTTTATTTTATTTTTTGAGATGGAGTCTCACTGTTATTGCCTGGGCTGGAGTGCAATGGTGCGATCTTGGCTCACTGCAACCTCTGCCTCCCAGGTTCCAGCAATTCTCCTGCCTCAGCCTCCCGAGTAGCTGAGATTACAGGTGCCCGCCACCACGCCCAGCTAATTTTTGTATTTTTAATAGAGACGAGGTTTCACCATGTTGGCCAGGCTGGTCTCGAACTCCTGACCTCAGGTGAGCTGCCCACCTCAGCCTTTCAAAGTATTGGGATTACAGGCATGAGCCACGGCACCCAGCATGGAAGGGGTACCTTTTAAAGATCTACACAAGGCCGGGCGCCATGGCTCATGCCTGTAATCCCAGCACTTTGGGAGGCCAAGACAGAAGGATCACCCAGGACCTGAAGACCAGCCTAAGCAGCATAGGGAGGCCCCCATCTCTACAATAAATAAATAATGAGAAAATAAACACCTGGCTGGGCGTTGTGGCTCACGCCTGTAATCCCAATGCTTTGAGAGGCCCAGGCAGGCAGATTGCTTGAGCTCAGTTCAAGACCAGCTTGGGCAACATGGTGAATCCCTGTCTCTATGAAAAATACAAAAATTACCCAGGCATGGTGGCGCACAACTGTGGTCCCAGCTACTCAGGAGGCTGAGGTGGGAGGATCGCTGGAGTGGAGGCTGCAGTGAGCTGTGATCACGCCACTGCACACCAGCCTGTGTGACAGAGTGAGATCCAGCCTCAAAGAAAAAGGGAAAAGTCCACACAAAGTTGATAGTGAACCAGCTGCATCTCTGAACACATCCAGTGATACCCCCTCCACCCACCTCCAGGAAACCCAAGATTGCTGACCGGCCCAGCCAGAGCAGCTTTGAGCTGGCTGCAGCCTGTGGGGTCCTCTGGGAGCAGCTGAATGGAATTTGTTCATGCATTCACTCAACAAGTATTTACTGGGTGTTTATTTCATGCCAGGTGCCGTGCTGGGCAGTGAATGAATGAACCTTGCCCTGGGTTTAACACTCCAGTGGGATGAACAGACAAACCCCACAAGCACTGCATACGGTATGCAAAATGGGATGCATGCTATGGAGGGAAATACAGCTGGGAGGGGTGGGGGCGGGCAGGGGCCCTGGGTGCAATTTTTGCAAAGTCACCTCACTGAGGAGGGGACATTGCCGCAAACCCAGAAGCAGGCAAGGAGGAGTCACGTGGCTGGCTGAGGGAACAGCATTTTAGGCAGGGGGAACAGCCTGTGCAAAGCACTGAGACCTTGTTTTGTGAATTGAGTGCCTTGAAATATGCGTTGCTTGGCCCTAGTTAAGGTTCTGAAAGAGCCTTTAATTTTTTTTCCCCTAGACCTGGGTGGGGCGGCTCATGTCTGTAATCCTAACTACTCAAGAGGCTGAGGTGGAAGGATCGCTTAAATCCAGAAGGTTGAGGCTGCAGTGAGCCATGATCATACCACACGGCACTTCACCCTGGGTGACAGAGCAAGACTTTGTCTCAAAAACAAAAAACAAAAAAATCCAATTCTGGCCGGGCGCGGTGGCTCACGCCTGTAATCTCAGCACTTTGGGAGGCCGAGGCAGGTGGATCACAAGGTCAGGAGTTCAAGACCAGCCTGGCCAAGATGGTGAAACCCCGTCTCTACTAAAAATAAAAAAAAAATTAGCTGGGCATGGTGGCACGTGCCTGTAGTCCCAGCTACTCGGGAGGCTGAGGCAGGAGAATTCCTTGAACCTGGGAGGCGGAGGTTGCAGTGAGCCAAGATTGTGCACTGCACTCTAGCCTGGGTGACAGAGCGAGACTCCATCTCAAAAAAAAAAAAAATCCAATTCCAACCTATACAAGGCAGCAGCTGTGAGGTGACACAAGTATGAACCCCATTAAGTCCCCTCAAAAGCCAGAATCTTGGATTTCTTTCACAAGTGAATGACCCCCCCCCAATCTTGAAGGAAAATCATTCTAGCAGCAAATCCTAGACAGGACTTACTATCAGCCAGATATTGCCATCTGCCTTAACTGGTTTAATCCTGACAGTGAACCCCAATGATGTAGAAAATGTTACCACCATTTTTTTTTTTTAAATACGGAGTCTCGCTCTGTCCCCCAGGCTGGAGTGCAGTAGTGCAATCTCGGCTCACTGCAACCTCTGACTCCTGGGTTCAAGTGATTCTACTGCTTCAGCCTCCCAAGTAGCTGGGATTACAGGGGCACACCACCACACCTGGCTAATTTTTATATTTTTAGTAGAGATTTTTATATATTTGCCATGTTGGCCAGGCTGGTCTCGAAGTCCTGACCTCAGGTGATCTGCCTGCCGCAGCCTCCCAAAGTGCTGGGATTACAGGCATGAGCCACCATGCCCGGCTGTTATCACCATTTTACAGGTGGTGAAACCAAGACACAGAACAATGCAGTGGCTCCCACGTGTGGATAAGAAGTAGCTTGTGGATTTGAACCCAGGACACCTTGTCTGTGCATTGAGCCAGGCCGATCTGCACCCAGGCACCTGCCCAGGTAGATGCAGGGCCTGTGAGATTCTTCCAAGGCCTCCCATTTTGATGGGGTCCCCAGGCCTCCAGGCCTGCACTGGAGCTGGTCTGCTTCCAGGTGGAGCCAATGGAGGGTCCTGGTGCGGGGGAGTCGGCGTTGGCGGGTGATTGATGGTTTAATATCTCGCGCTGCGACCCGGGCCCCTCCTCGCCCACGCCTCTGCGGGCGGCCCCCAGTGAGAGGTGGAGATGGGATAATTCGGTTACCAAAAAGAGAATGAAAATTCCAGAGAGAGAAAGAGACAGAGAAAGAGGTGCAGACCAGGGAGTGAGCTGGGAGCTGATTTGGCAGGGCTGGGCTTGGATGGGAGGGAGGAGGCCGACTCTCAAATCCGGAATCCCTCTGGGGGCCTGGGGACTCACAGGTCCCAGCCGTCTTCAACTCCCATCTGACTTCCTGTCTTGAGAACAGAGACAGCAGATATGACAAGTGAGAGGTCACAGGCAGGGGCAAGGCCTCAGAGGAGAGGGAAGCATGTGGCCTCCGCCTGGGACAACTGCTGGCAGGTGAGGCCAAGGGGAGGTAGGGACTAGTGGAGTTGGGGTGGAGGGAACAGGAGACTCCAAGTTCCCAGCTCAGAGGCTTCTGGTCATCCTTGACTCGAGTCCTCTCTCTCTTTTTTTTTTTTTTTTAGATGGAGTCTTACTCTGTCTTCCAGGCTGGAGTGCAATGGCATAGTCTAGGCTCACTGCAACCTCCGCCTCCCGGGTTCGAGCAAGTCTGCTGTCTCAGCCTCCTGAGTAGCTGGGACTACAGGCGTGCAGCACCACACCTGGCTATTTTTTGTATTTTTGGTACAGACGGTGTTTCACTGTGTTGGCCAGGCTGGTCTCGAACTCCTGACCTCAAGTGATTCTCCCACCTTGGCCTCCCAAAGTGCTGGGATTACAGGCGTGAGCCACCGTGCCCCGCTGGAGTCCTCTCTTTTTTTCTCTTTCCATCCACGTTCAAACCTCGGACTTCATTTCTTCCCCACCTCCCCGGCCCTCACTTGGTCCAGCCCAGCATCCCTCACCTGGTCCAGCCCAGCATCCCTCACCTGGACTGTGCAGTTCCCTCTACCCTTGCTCAGGTCTCCAGCCTGGCCCTGAAGCCTGTTCCCTCCGCAGCCTCCAGAGGGCGCGAGCGAACACCTGATCAGGCCACGCCCCCTCCTCCCGCTCAGAACCGGGAAAGCTCCCACCTTGTGTTAATTTCCCATGGTTGCCGTCACTAGCTAGCATTTATTTAACGACGCAAATTATCCTACAGCTCTAGAGGTCAGAGATGTGGTTCAGGGTCTCACCTGCCTAAGACCAAGATGTCAGCAGGCTGCAGTCCTTTCTTGGAGGTTTTAGGGGATGATCTATTTTTTGCTCATTTAGGGGTGCAAGATTCAGTTCCCTGGGGTTGTAGAACTGAGGCCCTGTTTTCTTGCTGGTTGTCCATTCCCCGTTTCTAGAAGTTGCCTGCATTCCTTGGCTCGTGGGCCCTCCCTCCATTTTCAAAGCCAGCAATGACGAGTCAAGTCCTTCTCATATGACAGCCTTCAACTCCCCTCTGCCGCCCCCTTGCATTTTAAGGACTTGTGTGATTAGATGATCCAAGGTCATTTCCCTGTCTGAAGATCCTTAATTACCTAATCAGCAAAGTCCCTTTTGTTGCATGAGGTAGCAATTCACTAACCCTGCTTCTCAGGGCCTGGCTGTGTCCAAAGGAGTCTTTCTCCTTTAGACACTTTTAAGTGTCTGACCTGTCTTCTGCCTCTCCCTGGGCACCTGCTCCCTGCTCAGCCTGCCTCTCCCGCAATTCAAGCCAGTCATATGCTTGACACTCCTCCAGGAAGCCTCCCTGAAGTACCCATGTTTATCAACCCGCTGGAGCAGTTACCAGCCCCTTTCTCCTATCCTCCCCAGGCCATGAGATCTTGAAAGTTTAGGATGAGGAAGTAGATACCTTGGGAAGGAGGGCATTATTCTCCTTACCAACTGCCTCACTCAGAGCAAAACTCCAGTCCTCACGGAGGCCAGAAAACCCAGCTTTCTCCAAGCAGATGGGCCTCCTTACTGTTCTCCAAACTCACCAAAGACATCCTGCCTCAGGGCCTTTGCACAGGCTGTTCCCTCTGCCTGAGTCATCCTCCCCAGATATCCACATGGCTCCTCCCTCACCTCCTCCAGGTCTCCCTTCACTTGTGCCCCTCCCCAGGGAAGCCTTCTCTGATGCACACACACCCAATTTACAACATCCACAGACTCTTATTGCTTTTTTTTTTTTTTTTTTTTTGAGACGGGGTCTCGCGCTGTTGCTCAGGCTGGAGTGCAATGGCGTGCTCTCAGCTCACTGCAACCTCCACCTCCGAGTGCAAGTGATTCTCCTGCCTCAGCCTACCGAGTAGCTGGGATTACAGGCATGCTCCATGACACCTGGCTAATTTTTGTATTTTTAGTAGAGACAGGGTTTTGCCATGCTGACCAGGCTGGTTTTGAACTCCTAGCCTCAAGTGATCCGCCCGCCTCGGCCTACCAAAGTGCTGGGATTACAGGCCTGAGGCTGCTGTATTTTCTCCATTGCACTGGCTGCTTTTGGCTACAACACAGAATATTCATTCCTTGTTCATCTTGTCATCGCCCAGGTCTCCCACTGGAAAGTCAGCTCCAAAAGGGAAGTTCCTCCACACTGTTCCCTCCTGGCTCTGTATGCCGCCCCCTTCCCTGGCCCTTGGCATACAGCAGGTGCTCAATAAGTGTTAGGGCTGGGCGCAGTGGCTCACACCTGTAACTACCAGCACTTTGAGAGGCCAAGCGGACAGATTTGAGCCCAGGAGTTCAAGACCAGCCTGGCCAACATGGCAAAACCCCGTCTTTACTAAAAATACAAAAATTATCCAGGTGTGGTGATGCATGCCTGTAATCCCAACTATTCGAGAGGCTGAGAAATGAGAATTGCTTAAACCTGGGAGGCAGAGGCTGCAGTGAGCAGTGATCGTGCCACTGCACTCCAGCATGGGCGACAGAGCGAGACTGTGTCTCAAAAAATAATAATAATAAGTGTTTGTTGAGTGAATGGATGGCAGGCAGGCAGGGCCCCAGCCCAGAGGAGGATGGGGACCCAGTGGAAGGTGGGAGCGGCAGGTGGAGAGGGATTGGTGTGGAGATGGTAGAGAAAAAGACCTTCTAGAACAATCCTGGGGGTCAGGTGGTCCCTGTGATGAAATGAACCAGCATTGTGTGAATTCCGGTCAAGGGCTGATCTGTCATGATCTCTATAACATGCTTTTCACAGGGAAATGTGTCCCCCCTGCCCCGCAATCCCCTTGATAAAATCTTAGCCTTATGACTTTGTTCTCTGTTCATCTCAGATAACAGATGTTCCTGGAGTCGCCTTAGTCACAGGGCAGCTTGGCTTCAATTCAAAACAAGGAATGTCCAGACCCAAGCTGGGGCCTTGATTTAGACTTCAATCCTATTTCCTTCTACCTCTCCTCCATCCCCACCAGCGTCATGTTCTGGGGGTCTGGGTGGTGCTAGGGCCCCTTCCTTCTTGCTTTCCTCTCCTTTCCTTTCACGGCCAGGGCTGCAGCTCCAGGAGGGAATATAGTGTGTCAAATGGTGGCCCCCCAAAAGGATGTGTCCACACTCTGGCCCCTGCAACCTGTGAATGTGATGTTTTTATATTATTATTATTTTTTTTTTTTTGAGATGAAGTCTTGCTCTTGTCTCCCAACTGGAGTGCAGTGGCGCAATCAAGGCTCGCTGCAACTTCCGCCTCCCGGGTTCAAGCGATTCTCCTGCCTCAGCCTCCTGAGTAGCTGGGATTACAGGCGCCTGCCACCACGTCCGCCTAATTTTTGTATTTTTAGGAGAGACGGGCTTTCCCCATGTTGGCCAGGCTGGTCTCAAACTCCTGATCTCAGATGATCTGCCTGCCTCGGCCTCCCAAAGTGCTGGGATTACAGGCATGAGCCACCACGCCTGGCCAACTTATTTTTTTTTTAAAGACATGGTCTTGCTCTGTCACTCAGGGTGGCCAGAGAGCAATGGCATGATTTTGGCTCACTGCAGCCTCGACTTCCCAGGCTCAAGTGATCTTCCCACCTCAGCCTTCCAAGTAGCTGGGACCACAGGCACGCAACACCGTGCCTGGCTAATTTTTGTATTTTTTTGCAGAGAGAGATTCTTGCTATGTTTCCCGGGCTGGTCTCAAGGTCCTGGCCTTGAGCAATCCTCCCACCTCGGACTCCCAAAGTGCTGGGATTACAGGCACGAGCCACTGCGCCTGGCCTGAATGTGATCTTAGGTGGATAAACTGTAACTGTCATAGGCCCATTGTTTGAGGCACTGGGCAAGTCAACATGCTGAGATACCAGTTTGCAGCAGAGAAGGAGGTTTAATCATAGGGCCACAGATCGACGAGATGGGAGCAAATCTAAAATCCATCTCCTGGGTGGGTGTGGTGGCTCACACCTATAATCCCAGCACTTTGGGAGGCTGAGGTGGGCAGAGCACTTGAGGCCAGGAGTTTGAGACCAGCCTGGCCAACATGGCAAAACCCTGTCTCTACTAAAAATACAAAAATTAGCCGGGTGTGGTGGTGCGTGCCTGTAGTCCCAGCTACTTGGGAGGCTGAGGTGGGAGAATCAGTTGAACCTGGGAGATGAAGGTTGTAGTGAGCCAAGATCGCACCTCTGCACTCCAGCCTGGGTGACAGAGTGAGATTCTCTCAGAAAACAAACAAACTAAAATTAATAAATAAAAATGAAATAAAATAAAAAAAAAATTCATCTCCCCTAGGAATTTGGGGCTGGGGTTTTTAAGGGGTATGGAGTGGGCCCAAGTGTGGAGATCCTTTGATTGGTCAAAGAGTGCAAGATGAAGTCTTGGGACAGAGGATTGGGCAGGAGTTGAGGGACAAGGGGTGGGTGAAGAAGCTGTATTCTCATGCTGATCCCATTCCTATATGGGGGGTCTTCTTCAGACTGGTTGCTGGAATTCAGGATCTGCAAAAACATCTGAAGCGATCCTTAAGCAAAAGCCATATGATCCTGACTGGGCGCAGTGGCTCACGCCTGTAATCCCAGCACTTGGAGGCCGAGGCGGTGGATCACTTGAGGTCAGGAGTTCAAGACCAGCCTGGCCAACATGGTAAAACCCCTTCTTTACTAAACATGCAAAAATTAGCCAGGTGTGGTGGTGCACGCCTGTAATCCCGGCTACTCTGGAGGCTGAGGCAGGAGAATCGCTGGAACCCGGAAGGCAGCGGTTACAGTGAGCTGAGATCACGTCAGTGCACTCCAGCCTGGGTGACAGAGCAAGACTCCATCTCAAAAAAAAAAAAAAAAAAAAGCCATATGCTCCTAATGTCAGAGATCCTGTCTGTAGAAACAATGGGATGTATTTGTGTTTTGTTTTGTTTTGAGACAGAGTTTCGCTCTTGATGCCCAGGCTGGAGCGCAGTGGCACGATCTCAGCTCACTGGAACCTCTGCCTCCCGGGATCAAGCAATTCTCCTGCCTCAGCCTCCCCAGTAGCTGGGTTTACAGGCATGCACCACCATGCCTGGCTAATTTTTGTATCTTTGGTAGAGATAGGGTTTCTCCATGTTGGTCAGGCTGGTCTCGAACTCCCAACCTCAGGTGATCCACCCGCCTTGGCCTCCCAAAGTGCTGGGATTACAGGCGCGATCCACTGCGCCTGGTGAAACAATGGGGTGTAAAAGTACTACCTGACCTTTAGCAGCAAGGAAGGGGACCCTAGTGCAGCCTGATTCATGGTTCATTGTAACTGTATTTCTGTCTGGAATCTGGCATGCAATCCTTGTCAACTCTGTAGGAGGGGTTTTGAAAGGGTCATTGCAGATATTAGAATTCTGAAGATGAGATCATCCTGGAAAACATGGTAGTCCTAAATCCACAGACGACTCTCCTTAGGAGAGACACAGAGAGGAGACACAGTAGAGAAGGACCCGTGAAGACGGAAGCAGAGGTTGGAATGCTGTGGTCGCCACCGAGGAATGCCTGGAGCCCTCACAAGCTGGAAGGGGCCAGGAGGGATTCCTCCCTAGAGCCTCTGTGGGGAGCGTGGCCCTGCAGATGTTTTGATTTCAGACTTCTGGCCTGCAGAACTGTGAGAAAATAGGTTTCTGTTGTTTTAAGTGACTCAGTTTGTGGTACTGTTATAGCGGCCACAGGAAGGAAACAAATCCAGGGGTCAGATGGTTCTCATTGCACTGGGTCTGCTGTCAGCCAACCTTGCCTTTCAGGACCTAGTGGTGTTCAGAATGAAATCTTTCACTTTCACTTTTTTTTTTTGAGACAAGGTCTCACTCTGTCACCTAGGCTGGAGTGTAGTGGGGCAATCTTGGCTCACTGCAACTTCTGCCTCCCAAGTTCCAGCGATTCTCCTGTCTCAGGCCAAGGCAGGTGGATCACTTCAGGTCAGGAGTTCAAGACCAGCCTCGCCAGTGAAACCTTGTCCCTACTAAAAAAATATAAAAAATACAAAAATTAGCCGGGCGTGGTGGTGTCCACCTGTAGTCCCAGCTACTCGGAGGCTGAGGTGGGAGAATCACTTGAACCCAGGATGTAGAAGTTGCAGTGAGCTGAGATTGTGCCACTGCACTCCAGCCTGGGCAGCAGACTGAGACCCTGTCTGAAAAAAAAACAAAAAACAAAAAACAAAACAGCTGGGTGCAGTGGCTCACACCTGTAATCCCAGCACTTTGGGAGGCCGAGGCGGGCGGATCACGAGGTCAGGAGTTCGAGACCAGCCTGACCAATATAGTGAAACCCTGTCTCTACTAAAAATACAAAAATTAGGCCGAGTGCAGTGGCTCACACCTGTAATCCCAGCACTCTGGGAGGCCGAGGCGGGTGGATCACGAGGTCAGGAGATTGAGACCATCCTGGCTAACATGGTAAAACCCCGTTTCTACTAAAAATACAAAAAAAAAAAAAAAAATTAGCTGGGCGTGGTGGCGAGCGCCTGTAGTCCCAGCTACTCCAGAGGCTGAGGCAGGAGAATGGCGTGAACCCGGGAGACAGAGCTTGCAGTGAGCCGAGATCGGGCCATTGCACCCCAGCCTGGGCGACAGAGTGAGACTCTGTCTCAAAAAAATTTATCTTCCGAGTAATGTGCAAAGGAAATCAGTATTCGGAAGAGCTATCTGCACTCCCAAGTTCTTTGCAGCACTATTCACAATAACAAGATATGGAAGCAACCTAAGTGTCCATCAATGAATGAATGGATAAAGAAAATGTGGTGCATATACACAATGGAGTACTGTTCAGCCTGATAAAAGAAGGAAATCTTGTCATTTGCAACAACGTGCATGAATCTGGAGGACATTATGCGAAGTAAACTAAGCCTGGCGCAGAAAGACAAATAGTTCATGATCTCACTTGTATGCAGAATCTAAAAAAAAAAAAGTCACATTCACCGAAGTAGAGAGTAGAACAGTCCTTACCAGAGTCTGGGGTCGCGGAAAACATGTTGCCCAAAGGATACAAAGTTTCCATTAGGAAGAGTAAGTCCTGGTGATCTATTGCACAGCAAGGTGGCTATAGCTAATCATAATGTATATTTTTTCTTTTTCTTTTTTTTTTTTTTTTTGAGACAGAGTCTCGTTCTGTTACCCAGGCTGGAGTGCAGTGGCACAATCTCGGCTCACTGCAACCTCCACCTCCCGGGTTCAAGCAATTCTCTGCCTCAGCCTCCTGAGGAGCTGGGACTACAGGCGCCCGCCACTACGCCTGGCTAATTTTTATATTTTTAGTAGAGACAGGGTTTCACCATCTTGGCCAGGCTGGTCTTGAACTCGTGACCTCGTGATCCACCTGCCTCGGCCTCCCAAAGTGCTGGGATTACAGGCGTGAGTGACTGTGCCCCACCCCATAATGTATTTTCAAACTTGTGAAATGAGTGGATTTTAAATGGTCTCACTATAGGGTCTGGTGCGGTAGCTCACATGTGTAATCCCAGCATTTTGGGAGGCTGAGATGGGAGGATCACTTTAGCCCAGGTGTTCAAAACCAGCCTGGGCAATATTTTACACACCCTGTCTCTAAAAAAACAAACTGTTCTCGCTACAAAGAAATAAGTATGTAAGGTGATGGATATGTTCATTAGCGCGATCTGCTTTATAATATATACAGTATTGAAACATCACATCATACTCCATAAACATATGCAATTACTTGTCAATTAAAAATTAGGGATCAGATGTGGTAGCTCACACCTGTAATCCCAGCACTTTGGGAGGCCAAGGCGGGTGGATCACTTGAGGTCAGGAGTTTGTGACCAGCCTGACCAACATGGTGAAATCCCAACTCTACTAAAAATATGAAATTAGCCAGGCGTGGTGGCACGTACCTGTAATCCCAGCTACTTGAGAGCCTGAAGCAGGAGAATCGCTTGAATCCAGGAGGGGGAAGTTGCAGTGAGCCAAGATTGTGCCATTGCACTCCAGCCTGGGCAACAGAGCAAGACTCTGTCAAAAAAAAAAGAAAAAGGCTGGGCATGGTGGCTCACGCCTGTAATCCCAGCAATTTGGGAGGCCAAGGCAGGCGGATCATAAGGTCAGGAGTTTGAGACCAGCCTGGCCAACATGGTGACACCTCGTCTCTACTAATAATACAAAAATTAGCTGGGTGTGGTGGTGTGCACCTGTAGTCCCAGCTACTCAGGAGTCTGAGGCAGGAGAATGGCGTGAACCTGGGAGGCAGAGGTTGCAGTAAGCCAAGATTACCTAGTGACAGAGCAAGACTCTGTCTCAAAAAAAAAAAAAAGAGAAAGAAAAGGAAGGAAGGAGAGAGGGAGGGAAGGAGAAAGAAAGAGAAAGGAAGGAAGGAAAGAAGGAAGGAATGAAGGAAAGGAATGAAGGAAAGGAAGGAAGGAAGGAAGGAAGGAAGGAAGGAAGGGCTGGGTGCAGTGGCTCACGCCTGTAATCCCAGCACTTTGGGAGGCCGAGGCGAGCGGATCACGAGGTCAGGAGATCGAGACCATCCTGGCTAACACGGTGAAACCCCGTCTCTACTAAAAATACAAAAAAATTAGCCGGGCGTGGTGGCAGGCGCCAGTAGTCCCAGTTCCTCAGGAGGCTGAGGCAGGAGAATGGCGTGAACCCGGAAGGCGGAGCTTGCAGTGAGCCAAGCTTGCAGTGAGCCGAGATCGCGCCACTGCACTCCAGCCTGGGCAACAGAGCGAGACTCCGTCTCAAAAAAAAAAAAAATAGAAAAGAAAAGAAAGAAAGGAAAGAAAGAGAGAAAGGGAGGGAGGGGGAGAGAGAAAGAGAAAGAGAGAAAGAAAGAGAAGAAAGAAAGAAAAGAAAAGAGATCTTCACTGTGGTCTGGCTTCTGTTGCTAGTCGTTGTGTCTCCCTGGTTGAAATGTCCATCTTAGCATCCCGTTACTCTATCGGCATTCAACTCTGGTAGTCACTGGTGTGACATTATTGCGTAAATGTTCCTGGCCAACAGAGAAGAGGAAAATTTGTAGAAGGGAAGAAAGAATGGATGAGGGAGCATGGGTGGAAAATTTAAGGGTGGTCTGAGCTATACCCAGGAAGCCTGGGATCGGGAAAACCCAACTCTCAGTGCCCTTGGGGCTGAGAGCAACATAAGGTTTAGCAGCCTTAGTAATTTCTTTAAAATCTAAACTGGGGCCGGGGGCAGTGGCTCATGCCTGTAATCCCAGCACTTTGAGAGGCTGAGGTGGGTGGATCATCTGAGATCAGGAGTTCGAGACCAGCCTGGCCAATGTGGCGAAACTCCATCTCTACTAAAAATACAAAAATTAGCTGGGCATGGTGGCGGGCGCCTGTAATCCCAGCTACTTGGGAGGCTGAGGCAGGGATAATTGCTTGAACCCAGGAGATAGAGGTTGCAGTGAGCCGAGATGGTGCCACTACATTCCAGCCTGGGCAACAGAGCAAGACTCCATCTTAAAAAACAAAATCTAAATTGGACCAGGCATGTTGGCTCACACCTGCAATCCCAGCACTTTGGGAGGCCAAGGAGACCAGCCTGGACAACACAACAAGACCCCACCTCTACAAAAAACTTTAGAATTTGCCAGGCGTGGTGGCACATGCCTATAGTTCCACCTGCTTGGGAGGCTGAGGTGGGAGGATCGCTTGAGCCTAGGGAGGTCAAAACTGTAGTGAGCCATGATTGTGCCCCTACACGCTAGCCTGGGCAAGAGAGCGAGACCCTGATTCTATATTAATTCCTTGAGCCACTGTGATTTTGATTTTTGTCCCAGCAGCCAACAAAGAAAAAGGCTTCCTTCATTGACTTCTGTGGGGATTCAATGACGTCGTACACATAAAGCACTTAGCATATGCCTGGTACATGGTAGGTGCTCACTAAATGTTCATTATTCCCACCCCCCATTTTGGTTTTGGGAAGGAGATGCCTTTGGTCTCCAGACTGGCTTCTCAGGGGTATCCCTAAGGTGTATTAGGAAGTTAGGACATGTGGCTTCTATGCAGGTCATTCTCTATTCCTGTTACCTACCCCAGGTTCCATCAATCTGCAGTCCAATCCTGTTTTTTGGTGTTTTTTTTTTTTCTTTTTTTTGAGACAGAGTCTTGCTCTGTCTCCCAGGCTGGAGTGCAGTGGAGTGATCTCAGCTCACTGCAACCTCCGCCTCCCAGGTTCAAGCAATTCTCCTATCTCTGCCTCCCACAGTGCTGAGATTACAGGCATGAGCCACTGCGTCCGGCCAACCATCCTGTTCTATGTCCTGAGAGCTGACCTCTAGGCCCACACCACTGGGCTCCATTGCCCTCTGCTTTGGGGTTGGATTCAGCCAAAAGGAGGTACTGGTGGGAGGGAAAAAGCCTGGGCGTTCCCCTGCAGCTTCACCCCCTCAAGAGCAGATCTGCTTCTTCCAAAGGGAACCTCTTTTCTTTCTTCAGTCACATCCATTTTTTTTCTTTTTTTTTGAGACAGAGTCTCACTCCATCACCCAGGCTGGAGTGCAGTGGCGCGATCTCAGCTCACTGCAACCTCCACCTCCCGGGTTCAAGCAATTCTCCTGCCTCAGTCTCCTGAGCGGCTGGGACTATAGACAAGGCATGTGCTACCATGCCTGGCTAATTTTCTGTATTTTTAGTAGAGACGGTGTTTCATCCTGTTGGCCAGGCTAGTCTTGAACAGGACCTCACATGATCCACCCGCCTTGGCCTCCCAAAGTACTGGTGTGTCCAGAATCAGTGGGTTCTTGGTCTCACTGACTTCAAGAACGAAGCCGCAGACCCTTGCAGTATTACAGTTCTTAAAGGTGGTGTGTCGGGAGTTTGTTCCTTCTGATGTTCGGATGTGTTTGGAATTTCTTCTTTCTGGCGGGCTGGTGGTCCCGCTGGCTTCGGCAGTGAAGCTGCAGACCTTCACGGCGAGTGTTGCAGCTCTTAAGGCAGCACGTCTGTAGTTGTTCATTCCTCCCGGTGGGTTCCTGGTCTCACTGGCCTCAGGAGTGAAGCTGTAGACCTTCGCGGTGAGTGTCACAGCTCATAAACGCAATGCAGACCCAAAGAGTGTGCAGCAGTAAGATTTATTGCAAAGAGCAAAAGAACAAAACTTCCACACCATGGACGGGAATGGGAGCAGGTTGGCACTGCTAGCTCGGGCAGCCTGCTTTTATTCCCTTATCTGGCCCCACCCACATCCTGCTGATTGGTCCGTTTTACAGAGAGCTGATTGGTCCATTTTGACAGGGTGCCAATTAGTGCGTTTACAATCCCTGAGCTAGGCACAAAAGTTCTCCAAGTCCCCACTAGATTAGCCAGACACAGAGCACTGATTGGTGCATTTACAAACCTTGAGCTAGACAGAGAGTGCTGATTGGTGTATTTACAATCCCTTAGCTAGACACTAAAGGTTCTCCAAGTCCCCACCATATTAGCTAGATACAGAGTGCAAACCTTGAGCTAGACACAGAGTGCTGATTGGTGTATTTACAAATCTTGAGCTAGACACAGAGTGCTAATTGGTGCATTTACAAGCCTTGAGCTAGACAGAGTGCTGATTGGTATATTTACAATCCCTTAGCTAGACATAAAGGTTCTCCAAGTCCCACTGGACTCAGGAGTCCAGCTGGCTTCACATAGTGGATCCCGCACCAGGGCAGCAGGTGGAGCTGCCTGCCAGTCCCGCGCTGTGCGCCCGCACTTCTCAGCTCTTGGGTGGTCGGTGGGACCCGGCGCCGCGGAGCAGGGGGCGGCGCTGGTAGGGGAGGCTCAGGCCGCACAAGAGGCCATGGCGTTGGGGGAAGGCTCAAGCATGGCAGGCTGCAGATCCCGAGCCCTGCCCGGCGGGGAGGTAGCTGAGGCCCAGCGAGAATTCGAGCACAGCGCCGGGACCCGGCGAACCCTCCGCAGCTGCTGGCCCGGGTGCCAAGCCCCTCACTGCCCAGGGCCGGCAGCGCCAGCCTGCTGCTCCGAGTGCGGGGCCACGGAGCCCACACCCACCTGGAACTCACGCTGGCCTGCAAGTGCAGCGGGCAGCCCTGGTTTCCACCAGTCCGCACCTCCCCACAAGCTGAGGGAGCTGGCTCCGGCCTCAGCCAACCCAGAGAGGGGTTCCCACATTGCAGCCGCAGGCTGAAGGGCCCCTCAAGCGCGGCTAGAGTGGGCGCCTGAGGCCCAGGAGGCGCCGAGAGCGAGCGAGGGCTGCGAGGGCTGCCAGCACACTGTCACCTCTCACTGGGATTACAGGCTTGAGCCACCATGGCCGGCGGACATCCTCTTCTTAAATGCCCCTCCACTAAACCCTTTGAGGCCACCCCACGTGCTTCCCTCCAGCCCCAAACCCGCCAGCAACCCCAGGCACAGGGCCTGGCCCGGTTTCTTGCAAAACTTTCTGAACCCGCTCTGACTACTAAGTGGTTAAAAATATCCACTCCACCCAGGCAATTTTGCTAAGCTTATGTCAGGGGGAGAAAGGGAGACTCCGGAGAGCTCACAAATGAAGCAAATTGCTGAAAATCGGATTTTTACTGTCTTATCTCGGAGCCACATGAGAGGAGAGGAGATTGCAATTTCTGCGGGAACTTTCTCACATCCCCGAGTTTGAAGAGAGCAAGTGGCAGGGGAGGAGGTGCAGAGAGAAGGCTGGGAGAGGGAACCAGAAGAGAAGAGAGAGGTGTGAGAAGGAAAAAGCAAGTAGAGGCTGGGAGCGGTGGCTCACGCCTGTAATCCCAGCACTTTGGGAGGCTGAGGTGGGCGGATCACTTGAGGTCAGGAGTTCAAGACCAGCCTGACCAACATGGTGAAACCCTGTCTCTACTAAAAATACAAAAATTAGCTGGGTATGATTGCGTGCGCCTGTAGTCCCAACTACTTGGGAGGCTGAGGTGGGAGAATCGTTTGAACATGGGAGGCAGAGGTTGCAATGAGCCAAGATCACACCACTGCACTCCAGTCTGAGTGACAGAATGAGACTCTCTCTCAAAAAAAAAAAAAAAAAAAAAGCAAGAAGACAGAGGGGGAGGAAAGAATACACAAGAGAAAAGGAAAACAGCCACGTGAGACATTAAGGCAGAACTGAGAAAGGTAGCTGGGTGCAGTGGCTCATGCTTATAATCCCAGCACTTTGGGAGGCTGAGGAGGGAGGATTGCTTGAGGCCAGGAGTTCGAGACCAGCCTGACCAACATGGCAAGACCCCATTTCCACTAAAAAGAAAGAAAAGGGCCAGACACAGTGGCTCACACCTGTAATCCCAGCACTTTGGGAGGTTGAGGCAGCCAGATCACCTGAGGTCAGTATTACATGCGTCCATATGACGAGACCACCAAACAGGCTTTCTGTAAGCAATAAAGCTTTTTAATCACCTGGGTGCAGGCGGACTGAGTCCAAAAAAGGAGTCAGCAAAGGGGTGGGGCAGTTTTATAGGATTTGGGTAGGTAGTGGAAAATTACAGTTAAACGGGGTTTTCTCTTGTGGGCAGGGGCGGGGGTCACAAGGTGCTCGGTGGGGAGCTCCTGAGACTCATTGTCCAGGAGAAGGAATGTCACAAAGTCAATTGATCAGTTAGGGTGGGGCAGGAACAAATCACAATGGTGGAATGTCATCCACCATTAGCCAGTTAAGGCAGGAATTGACTATTTCACTTTTTTTGTGGTTCTTCAGTTGCTTCAGGCCGTCTGGATGTATACGTGCAGGTCACAGGGGTTATGATGGCTTAGCTTGGGCTCAGAGTCCTGACAGTAAGGAGTTTCAGACCAGCCTGGCTAACATGGTGAAACCCTGTCTCTACTAAAAGTACAAAAATTAACCGGGCTTGGTGGCAGGCACCTGTTATCCCAGCTACTCAGGAGGCTGAGGCAGGAGAATAGCTTGAACCCGGGAGGTGAAGGTTGCAGTGAGCTGAGAACACACTACTGCACTCCAGCCTGGGCAACACAGTGAGACTCTGTCTCAAAAAAAAAAAAAAAAGAAAGAAAGAAAAGGGCTGGGCGCAGTAGCTTACACCTGTATTCCCAGCACTTTGGGAGGCCAAGGTGGGCGGATCACCTGAGGTTAGGAGTTCGAGACCAGCCTGGTCAACATGTCAAAACCCTATCTCTACTAAGAGTACAAAAATTAGCTGAGCGTGGTGGTGGGCGCTTGTAATCCCAGCTACTCAGGAGGCTGAGGCAGGAGAACAGCTTGAATCCAGGAGGCAGACGTTGCAGTGAGCCAAGATCACGAAACTGCACTCCAGCCTGGGTGATAAGAGCGAGACTCTTTCTCAGAAAAAAGGAAAAGGAAGGGAGGGAGGGAGGGAAGGGAAGGGAAGGAGAGAGGGGGAAGAAAGAGAAAAAGAAAGAGAGAAAGAAAAGAAAGAAAGAGAAAGAGAAAAAAGAAAAGAGAGAGAAAAGAAAGGAAAGATGTGGGGATTACTGGGGGGTTTTGGATCCTGTGACTCCAGCCAAAAGCACCTGCAGGAGCTGTCCCACTTTCAAAGTCCCTTGGCCCATGACATGCAATTTTAATTGCAGAGCAAGCTCGTGCAGTTAAGTAGGGGCCTCTCACCCCATTTTACAGAGGACAAAATGGAGCCTTAGAGAAAGAACACTGACATGTTTGACTGTGTCTCCACCCAAATCGCATCTAGAATTGTAATCCCCACGTGTCGAGGGGAGGGACCTGGTGGGAGGAGATTGGATCACGGGAGCATTTCCCCCTTGCTATTCTCGTGACAATGAGTTCTCACCAGATCTGGTTGTTTGATAAGCGTCTGGCACTTCCTCTCTCTCTCTCTCTCTCTCTCTCTCTCTCTCTCTCTCTCTCTCTCTCTCTCTCTCTCTCCTCTCTCTCTCTCTCTCTCTCTCTCTCTCTCTCCCCTGCCTCCATGTACGATGTGCCTTGCTTTCCCTTCACTTTTTGTCATGATTGTAAGTTTCCTGAGGCCCCATCAGCCATGCGGAACTGTGAGTCAATTAAACCTTTTTTCTTCATAAATTACTCACTCTCACATAGTTCTTTATAGCGGTGTGAAAACAGACTAATACAGACATGTTTGCTCCAAGATCCTAGAACTAACTTATTCATTGTGGGAATGACCAAATGAAGTCAAGAGCAGAGGATGGAAAACTTTTTCCATCAAGGATCAGAATCTAAATATTTCTGTCTTTGCAGGCCACATGTTCTCGCTCTCTTTTTTTTTTTTTTTTTTTTTTGAGACGGAGTGTCACTCTTGTCACCCAGGCTGGAGTGCAATGGTGTGATCTCAGCTCACTTGCAACCTCTGCCTCCCAGGCTCAAGTGATCCTCCCGCCTCAGCCTCCAAAGTAGCTGGGATTACAGGCATGTGCCACCACACCCTGCTAATTTTTTGTATTTTTAGTAGAGATGGGCTTTCACCGTGTTGCCCAGGCTGGTCTCGAACTCCTGAGCTCAAGCGATCCGCCTGCCTTGGCCTCCCAAAGTACTGGGATTACAGGTGTGAGCCACCACGACGATCTGATGCTCCTCATTTATAGAATCCACCCTGTAACCCTCCTGGCAACAGAATCTTAGACAAGGAGTAGTTGCCAGAATTCCAGCCCCTGAAATACACAGGAAAACAAGATGTAGATAGGCTAACAGATAATCCAACACATTCAAAAAGGTGACAAATGGCAGTGTTGGCCACAGGGTTCGAAACATGCTAGAAGGAGGAATTGGAAGTGTTTTGGGCCATGGTGGAAATCCAACTCCATTCCAGATGTCCAACACAGCTTCCTTGTTCCATGAGGTCATTGCCTCCCAGTGTCTCTTTGGTTGCGTTCCTCCCCACAAAGCAATAAAAGTTGGATGACAAAGTTGAGCCCTGGTGAATGAAGGGGATATTAAAAATAAAGAATGGAGAATTGTTGGTAATAAAAGGAAATGAGCAGGACGGGGCGCTGCGGCTCACGCCTGTAATCCCAGCACTTTGAGAGGCTGAGGCAGGAGGATTGCTTGAGCCCAGGAGTTTTGAGACCAGCCTGGGCAACATAGTGAGACCCCCATCTCTACAAGCAGTAAAAAAAAAAAAATATTAGCCAGGCATGGTGGTGTGCACCTGTGGTCCCGGCTACTCTGGAGGCCGAGGATGGCTTGAGCCCAAGAGTTTGAGGCTGCAGTGAGCTATGATTGCCCCACTGCATTCCAGCCTGGAGGACAGTGAAATCTCATCTCAGAAAAAAAAAGAATAGCCAAGCATGGCGGCTCACACCTGTAATCCTAGCATTTTGGGAGGCCGAGGTGGGCATATCACCTGAGGTCAGGAGTTTGAGACTAGCCTGGCCAAAATGGTCAAACCCCGTCTCTACTGAAATACAAACAAATTAGCGGGGCGTAGTGGCACATTCCTGTAGTCCCAGCTACTCGGGAGGCTGAGGCAGGAGAATCGCTTGAATCCTGGAGGCGGAGGTTGCAGTGAACCGAGATTGCGCCACTGCACTCTAGCCTAGGTGACAAAGCGAGGCTCCATCTCAAAAAAAAAGAGAGAGAGAACGTGATGATTCTGTGATCTCTAATGAACAGAAATGAGCTGACTCCTTGAGCTGCCAGGGATGTACTAGGCATTGATTTCCAGCCTCTATGGCTGCAAGCTATGAACCCTTCATGACCTCACCTAGGTTTGTATGCAAACTGGGCCTCTGTTGTGAAACTGAGGTCAGGGTGATGGGGGTTCAGATACTTCCAAGTCACCACCACAGAAGCGGCAAACACAATAGTTGTCAATGCTTTTGGACACGCCTCCATCTGTCTCCTGCCCAGAGGAGAAAATTATCTGGGCATGGTGGCATGTGCCTGTTTCACCAGCTATGAAGTGGAGATACAATATGTAATAGTCAGATAACCTAAGTTATGCTACGTAACAAACGATCCCATACAAGGCCAGATTGTTGAACTGAAAGAGGCTGTATTTCCAGATTCAGGACATGCTGCCTGCCAATAATTTGGGAAGTAGGGCTATAAAACACACTTGATTATGGGAGGGCAGTCCTGGTTCTGTAGCAGGTCAGGGTGGTGGGGGTAGATATTTGCAAGTCCCCACTGCAGAGGCAGCAAACACACAGATGTTAATGCTTTCGCACACACCCCCATCTGTCTCTTGCTCAGAGCCCAGCTAGGAGACAGCACAGCTCCAAACCCACCCTCTCCCTGGGTCCAATCTCCTAATCTGGAAAACTCTCTTCTTTCCTTCCCTCTCCCCTGCCCCCACATTCCTTCAGAGCTGGAGGTTAATAAACTCATCACTGCTGAGCAGGGAACACGTCTGCAGAGGTTTTAATTACAGCAGAAAATTGGTCCAATTGGTATTTAATGTAGAATAAGTGTCGCGTTAACTGGTCAGGGCGGGAGGAGTGGAGGTTTGCCTGTAAGTGTCCTGAGCCCTGTCTGGCTGGTCCTCCCTGGGAGCTTCTGAGTGCAGAGGGGACTCAGAGACCCCGGGAAGTGACAGGAGGCAGCCCAAGGGATGAAGAGGTGAGAAGACATTTCTGAAACCTCAGCTCCGGGCTCTCCTCAGGACCCAGGAGTCTAATGGCTCAGCTCTCTGGCTTGAGGATTTTTCTCCCTGTAGCAAACAATTGTTCTCCAGCCCTTAGGAGGAAGTGTTAGGGCTCATGTGATCAGAGTGTAGGCAGAGCAGGGGATTGGCAAGGAGATCAGAGGGGATTGGAGGTGTAAGGCTGAAGGAACTAAAGGGTCCAGGTGGGTGTTAGAGGGAGGAGGATGTTACTCAATCCTCTTGTCCAGCCTCCTAGATCTCCCCCAGGGGAGATGCTAGAGAGAAACCAACCAAGAGAGCCAGTGCTCAAGAGGGAAAGAAACAAGAAGCCAAAAATGATCAGGGGTGGCAGGGCGAGATGGCTCATGCCTGTAATCCCAGCACTTTGGGAGGCTGAGGCAGGTGGATCAACTGAGGTCAGGAATTCGAGACCAGCCTGGCTAACATGGTGAAGCCCTGTCTTGGCCGGGCATGGTGGCTCACACCTGTAATCCCAGCACTTTGGGAGCCTGAGGCAGGCGGATCACGAGGTCGAGACCATCCTGGCTAACACGGTGAAACCCCGTCTCTACTAAAAATAGAAAAAAAAAATTAGCTGGGCGTGGTAGCGGACGCCTGTAGTCCCAGCTACTTAGGAGGCTGAGGCAGGAGAATGGCGTGAACCTGGGAGTTGGAGCTTGCAGTGAGCCAAGATCGTGCCACTGCACTCCAGCCTGGGTGACAGAGCGAGACTCCGTCTCACAAAAAAAGAAAAAAAGAAAAGAAAAAAGAAACCCCATCTCTACTAAAAATACAAAAATTAGCCAGGCGTGGTGGCTCATGCCTATAGTCCCAGCTACTCAGGAGCCTGAGGCAGGAGAATTGCTGGAACCCAGGAGGTGGATGGAGGTTGCAGTGAGCTGAGATCACGCCACTGCACTCCAGCCTGGGCCACAGGGCGAGAAACCATCTCAAAAAAAAAAAAAAATTATCAGAGGCAACAGGACAGCAAAGGCCAACCTCATCCAGAATCTGTTGCAGTTTGTGAATTTTCCATATGTTTAGGGACCCCCCCCGCCACCGAAGATAACAGTTTAGAAACAACAGCAGACCAGGCCTGGTGGCTCATGCCTGTAATCCTAACACTTTGGGAGGCTGAGGCTGGAGGATCGCTTGAGGCCAGGAGTTTGAGACCAGCCTGGGCAACATAGTGAGACTTAGTTTCTACAAAAAAAAAAAAAAAAAAAGAAAGCCAGGGGTGGTGGTGCATGCCTGTAGTCCTAGCTACTTCAGAGGGTGAGGTGAGAGGAATTGCTTGAACCCGGAAGTCTGAGGCCGCAGTGAGCCATGATCACACCACTGCACTCCAGCCTCAGTGATAGAGCAAGACTCTGTCTCTAAAAATAAAAAAAAAGGTTTGAGGCTGCAGTGAGCTGTGATAATACCACTGCACTCCAGCCTGAGTGATAGAGCAAGACTCTGTCTCTAAAAATAGAAAAAGAGGTTGGGTGTAGTGGCTCATGCCTGTAATCCCAGCACTTTGTGAGGCTGAGGTATGTAGATCACCTGAGATCAGGAGTTTGAGACCAGCCTGGCCAACATGGTGAAACCCCATCTACTAAAAATACAAAAATTAGCCGGGCATGATCTCCGCCTGTAATCCCAGCTACTTGGGAGGCTGAGGCAAGAGAATCATTTGAACCCGAGAGGCAGAGGCTCCAGTGAGCCAAGATCGTGCCACTGCACTCCAGCCTGGGTGACAGAGTGAGACTCCTCAAAAAAAAAAAAAAAAAAAAAAAAAGCCGGGGCCGGGCACGGTGGCTAACGCCTGTAATCCCAGCACTTTGGGAGGCCGAGGCGGGCAGATTACCTGAGCTCAAGAGTTCGTGACCAGCCTGGGTAACACGGTGAAACCCCGTCTCTACTAAAATACAAAAAAAAAAAAAAAAAAAAAAAAAAAAGCCAGGCGTAGCTTCGTGCACCTGTAGTCCCAGCTACTCAGGAGTCTGAGGCTGGAGAATTGCTTGAACCTGAGAGGCGGAGGTCGCAGTGAGCCAAGATCGTGCCACTGCACTCCAGCCTGGCCGACAGAGTGAGACTCCGTCTCAAAAAAAAAAAAAAAAAAAAAAAAAAAGCCAGGCATGGTGGCTCATGCCTGTAATCCCAGCACTTTGGGAGGCCGAGGTGGGAGGATCACCTGAGTTCGGGAGTTTGAGACCAGCCTGACCAACATGGAGAAATCCCATCTCTACTAAAAATACAAAATGAGCTGGGCGTGGTGGCACATGCCTGTAATCCCAGCTACTGGGGAGGCTGAGGCAGGAGAATCGCTTGAACCTGGGAGGCAAAGGTTGCGGTGAGCTGAGATCGCGCCATTACACTCCAGCCTGGGCAACAAGAGTGAAACTCCGCCAAGAAAGGAAGAAAGAGAGAAAGAGAGAGAGAGAGAGAAAAAGAGAGAGAGAGAGAAACAGAGAAAGAGAAAAAAAGAAAAAGAAAGAAAAGGAAAGAAAGAGAAAGAAAGAAAGAAGGAAAGAAAGAAAAAGAAAGCAAGCAAGCAGAGACTTTAGAGTCAGACTGTCCGGATTCTAACCTTGACTCTATCACTTTGTCACTTACTAGCTGGGTGACCAAGAACAGTGATTAACCTGTCTATGCCTCAGTTTCTTCACCTGTAAAAAGGGGTGTGTAATTTGTAATGGTTAGGATAGGCTAGGTCATGCTGCAGAAACAAACTAGCCCAAGAACCTTAAAACTACAACGTTTATTCCTCACCCAGGCTTCATGTCCATTTTGGGTCGTTGCAAGGAGGTTCTGCTCATCATAGTCTCCGATGGAACAGCCACATTCTGGAACATTATGAAACATTGCTTGCTGTCACGCTGGAAGGAAGTAAGAGCTTTGGGGGATCTCACACAGGCAATTAAATGCTGTAGTTTGGGAATAATGCCTGTCAATTTCACTCACAGCTCATTGGTTAGAGCTAGTCACATGACCTCATCCAACACAAGGTGGGCATGAAGTGCAGCTACTGTAACCAAAATGTGGGTTAGTCACTTGCCAGCTTGCGAAGTCCAATTAACGAGAGCTAGGTCTGGTCTAAAGAAAGTGATTTATTCCAAAACTAGCTTAGGGGAAGAAGCACAGGCGTCCCACCTTCAAACATACTGCTTCCGTTTTGGAGCAGAAAGCCAGCACTTTAAAAGGCAGGGGAAAAAGTAGGGTGGGGGGCGCATGTTAGCTCTGGTGCCTTATCTACTGGGCGGTTGAGCTAGGGGCTGCTGGCACCTTTGTGGACAGGACTAGGCCAAAATCTCCCCAGGTGGGAGTTTTTCGAGGTAGTCTCCCGATGGAGGGAGTTTCGTAGATTTGGCTGTTACCTCTTGAGGCAACCTCCTGATGGGTGAGAGTTCTGCAGCAGGCATGCTTTGGTCTCTAAATCAACTGTCAACTCTTGAGGAGTTTAATGAACTTGCCCTGTAGGGAGTGTCTGGTGAATCAAGGGGGCGTTGGGGGAGGAAGGAGTAAAAGGTTATATTTGGGGTTTTTTGTTCGTTTTTGTTTGTTCGTTTGTTTGTTTCTTTTTTTGAGACAAAACCTCGCTCTGTAGCCCAGGCTAGAGTGCGGTGACGTGATGTCGGCTCACTGCAACCTCCGCCTCCCGGGTTCAAGCGATTCTCCTGCCTCAGCCTCCCGAATGGCTGGAATTACAGGCGCGTGCCACTGTGAGACGGGGTTTCACCATGTTGGCCAGGCTGGTCGTGAACTCCCGACCTCAGGTAATTTTCCCACCTCGGCCTCCCAAAATGCTAGGATTACAGGAGTGAGCTACCACGCCCGGCCTATATTTGTATTTCTAAAGGGCTGAGTAGGAAGTGGGGAACCAGGGAATGACAAAAGAGGAGAGAGAGAGAAAAAATAAACCATATCTTAGAAAAATGGGGGTGGCTGTTTGCAGTGGCTCATGCCTGTAATCCTACCACTTTGGGAGGCTGAGGAAAGTAGAAGGCTTGAGCTCAGGAGTTCAAGACCAGCGTGGGCAACATAATGAGACCCTATCGCTACAAAAAATTAGCCGGGCATGATGGAACACGCCTGTAGTCCCAGCTACTTAGGAGGCTGAGGTGGGAGGATCACCTGAGCCTGGGTGATAGAGGCTGCACTGAAGTGAACCATGATCATGATTGTGCCACTGCACTTCAGCCTGGGTGACAGAGTGAGACCCTGTTTCAAAAAAAAAAAAAAGAAAGAAAAGAAAAAGAGAAGTGGGGGTACTCAATTATACTATCTTGCTCACAGGAAAGGCAAGAGCAGGAAATATCTGGCCAACAGAACGAATGGCGTCCAACTAACAGCATCTTGTGAAAATAAAATGAGTTAATGAAAGTTAACTCACTTAAGACAGCACCTGGTATATAGTGAGTGCTCTTTATGTGGTTCCCAATTTTGTGTTTCATCAAGAAAGGTGATCTCACTCAGGTACCTGATGCCTCTCTGACACTGGGTGAGCAAGACCAAGATGGATCAGTGGCTGAAAGCCTGAAAGATATATGCCATGTGTACACCAAGTGTGTGCCAGGCATAGACCAGGTGTGCACCAGGAATGTGGCAGGTGTGTGCCAGGTGTACACCAGCTGTGCACCAGGAATGTGGCAGGCGTGTGCCAGGTGTACACCAGGTGTACATCAGGAATGTGGCAGGCGTGTGCCAGGTATACTCCAGGTGTGCACCAGGAATGTGGCAGGTGTGTGCTAGGTATACGCTAGGTGTGCACCAGGAATGTGGCAGGTGTGTGCCAGGTATACTCCCGGTGTGCACCAGGAATGTGGCAGGCATGTGCCACGTATATGCCAGGTGTGCACCAGGTATGTGCTGTGTGCCAGGTATACACCAGGTGTGCACCAGGAATGTGCAACCACTGAGGCACAGGTCAGGGCACACTGGTGCCTGGTTCTGATCTCTGACCACACTCATGTCTGGTCATAGCGCTCCATCACACATTCCTAGGGAAATATAAACTGAAGACCCAGATCCTTTACTTAGACCTTTTACCACTGGGCCAATAGACACCCACTTCTTCCCCACCCAGAGACCCCCTGGGCATCCACATCCGCTGGGCAAGAGCAGGTATTCATGTCAGTTTTGGTCTACAGCCTGGGAGCTCTAAAAGGTAGGAGCCGGCAACCTCCCCAACCCACCAGCCCGGATCCCTACAGCTGTCCCACCCACCCCTGTCCTTCCTCCTCCTCTCTTGGCCAGGAGGAGCACTCATTCTGAACCAGGCCCTTTTAGTCATTCAGTTCCTGACCCAGAGCAGCTGAGAAGTCAGAGGCGAGGAGAGAGCTCCAAGAAGCAAAGTCACTCACTCAGGATCTCCCAGTGCTGGGTGGTGGAGGCAGGATTCGAACCTAGGCTGCTCTGTCTTCCAAGTTTTTGTTTCTTATTTTATTTTATATTTTATTGTTATTATTATTATTTTGAGAAAGGGTCTCACTCTGTTGCCCGGGCTGGAGTGCAGTGGCACGATCATAGCTCACTGCAGACTCAAAACTCCTGGGCTCAAGTGATCCTACTACCTCAGCTCCCCGAGTAGCTGGGACTAGGGGTGTGCCACCATACCTGCCTTTTTTTTTTTTTTTTTTTTTGTAGAGACAGGGTCTCACTATGTTGCCCAGGCTGGTCTCAAACTCCTGGACTCAAGCAATCCTGCCTCAGCCTCCCAAAAGTGCTGAGATTACAGGTATGAGCCACTCATGCTCAGCCTGCCACAGCCTGGGCAACATAGTGAGACCCCTTCTCTACCGAGAAAGAAAACAAAATTTAGCATAGCGTGGTGGCATGCACCTGTAGTCCCAGCTACTCAGGAGGCCAAGGTGGGAGGCTCACCTGAGCCTAGGACTTCAAGGCTGCAGTGAGCTATGATCACGCCACCGCACTCCAGCCTGGGCAACAGAGCAAGGCCTGGTTTCAAAAAAAATAAACAAACAAAAATTGTAAAAACATTTTTAAAAATGTCAGCAGGCCGTCTATTTGATACTGCCTCTGTTTCCCCCATTAAGCCCCCGCATTTCCCGCGAATTCCTCCCAGACCCGGCCCAGCAGAACACCCCGCCTCGCCCCCGCTCCTCCCACCATCCAACCAGAGCTCACTTCAAAGGTGGGAACGGAGGCCAGCCAGGCACCCAGAGAGCCCCCTGAACAACCGACATCGCCCGGGGCCCGAAAAGCGCTGGCAACTCGGGTTAAAGCCGTGCGCCCTCGGAGGACGCATCCTAATCACCTCGGCAAAGAGCCGAGCCAGGCCGGGGGCCAGGGGCTCCACTCCCTCCAGCGGCGCTGGTTTCTTTAAGGAAAGGAGAACAGCAAGTCAGGGCGGCTCCCCAGCTCCCAAATCCTCCTTCCCCTGATGGGGACCAAGGGAGGCCAGGGCTGGCCGAGGGGGAAGTGGGGGCCGTCTACCTGGATTCTGGAGCCACAAGAAGTGGATTCCAAGATCGGGGATTGGGAGGGGCAAAAACGAGCGGTGTCCTCGCCCACAGGTGGGTAGGTGTTGGGAGTCCCGAGATGCTTGTGGGTGGGGGGGGAACCCACCATCCCTTCTCTGTTTTAGGGGGGCCCTAGAGGTCTCCCAATGCGCTCCAGTTTTCCAGCCCTCATTCGCTGCGAGCTAAACCCAGCCCGGGGGCCTCCCTGCCCGGAAAGGGCAGGAACCGAGAGTTAAGCAGGATTTAGAGGCCCGCCCGCCTGCGGAGAGATTAGATGCGATCAATAAACAGAGGGCTGGGCAAAGATCCCCTCGGAGGGGCTCCTTAAGACCGTGACCCTGAGAAGTAATTAACAAGCTTGCTGGGGCTGGGCCAGCCCCGGGGCAGCCCCACCCCCAAGGCAGCTCCTCTGAAGCTGGGGCTGGGGTCCGGCTGCTTTGGCTCCAAGGCTTCTGGGGGTGTAAGTGGGGGGCTCACCAGGCTCCCTCTTCCTCTTCCACACCAACTCTGTGGGTTCAGAATCTGGGTCCTCCAAACTGCTACTCCCTGGGGAGCCCAAGGGATCACTGTGATGGAGGCTTCATTGATTGATTGCTTGCCGCCAACCAGTCACTGTCTAAAGCTTTGCATAGCTCCCTCAGTTCGCACCACAGTTCTAGGCAGCAGGTTACTAAGACCAGGTCTACTTTACAGATGGAGAAACTGAGGCACGGGACAATGAGAGGCCTTGTCCAAGGTCACACCACAAGTAAATAATGAATCTGGGATCCAAATGCAAGCATTTGGGGACCAGGGCTTCAGCCCTTATCCCTAGGGACTACAGTTTCTTTTGTCCCCTTCCCACTCCCAAAATTGCTCCCTCCCGAGACAAGGCATCACCAGTAACAGCACCTTATTGTCCCCCAGCCATTGTTCTGACACCTTTATCTGAAACTCAACTTAGCATCCAGTGCAGTTAAAACTCTCTAAGAACTGAAGCGCATATTTAAAGGTCTGCGCAGGCCGGGCGCGGTGGCTCACACCTGGAAAGTAATCCCAGCACTTTGGGAGGCCAAGGAGGGCAGATCCCTTGAGGTCAGGAATTTGAGACCAGCCTGGGCAACATGGTGAAACCCCATCTCTACTAAAAATACAAAAAGTAGCCAGGTGTGGTGGCGCATGCCTGTGGTCCCAGCTACTTGGGAGGCTGAGGCAGGAGAATCACTTGAGCCCAGGAGGTTGAGGCTGCAGTGAGCCAAGATCACACCACTGTATTCCAGCCTGGGTAACAGAGCGAGACCCTGTCTCGAAAATAAATAATAATAAAATAAAAGTCTATGCATAAGCTAAAGGAGGTGACCCCGAAGTCTTATAAGCTCCAGGAAGGTGGGAGATCTGAGCTGTTTTTCCTTGACAAGTATAAGGTCTAGCATGTGGTGGGTGGTTACTATATTCTGGTCAAGTTGAACTGATGGTTGTGGCCCTCACTTATAGCCAATTTGCTTGTGGTTTAGACACAATAATAACAAGCTTGGTGATGTCAAATGGAGACAAGGCACAACTTAGGGGGATATACCGACAGTACTCACGGCAAAGGATGGAGTGAAATCTTGCCTCCTCCTCCACTTACTTGCAGTGCCTTGATCCTCCTTCCTTTCTTTCTTTCTCTTTTTTTTTCTTTTTTGAGACAGAGTCTTGCTCTGTTGCCCAGGCTAGAGTGCAGTGGCACGATCTCCGCTCACAGCAACCTCCACCTCCCAGGTTCAAGCGATTCTCCTGCCTCAGCTTTCCGAGTAGCTGGGATTACAGGCGCCAGCCACCACCCCCAGCTAATTTTTGTATTTTTGGTAGAGACCGGGTTTCACCTTGTTGGCCAGGCTGGTCTGGAACTCCTGACCTCAAGTGATCCGCCTGCCTCAGCCTTCCAAAGTGTTGGGATTATAGGCGTGAGCCACCGCGCCCAGCCCTCCTTTCTTTCAAATGGGTTCTTGTGACTGTTATAGAAAATAGTGTCTGTCAAGGTGTTTAGCCTTTGTGCATGGAACTTAGTAAGCACTCAATGAAACATTCACTTGATTTTTTTTTTTTTTCTGTAAGAGATAAGGTGTCTATCATTCTGTGGCCCAGGCTGGAGTGCAGTGGCACGGTCATAGCTCACTGCAGCCTTGGACTCCTGGGCTCAAGCCATCTTCCCACCTCAGTCTCCCAAAGTGCTGGGATTATAGGCATGCACCAGTCTACCTGGTCTCACTTACATTTATTATTTATTTATTTATTTTTTGAGACGGAGTCTCGATCTTGTTGCCCAGGCTGGAGTGCAATGGCTCAATATCGGCTCACTGCAACCTCCGCCTCCTGGGTTCAAGCAATTCTCCTGCCTCAGCCTCCTAAGTAGCTGGGATTACAGGCACGCGCCACCATGCCTAGCTAATTTTTGTACTTTTAGTAGAGACGGGTTTCATTATGTTGGCCAGGCTGGTCTTGAACTCCTGACCTCAGGTGATCCACCTGCCTCAGGCTCCCAGAGTGCTGGGATTACAGGCGTGAGCCACCGCACCCGGCCTTAAATTTTTTTTTTCAACAGGGTCTCCCTCTCTTGCCCAGGCTGGAGTGCAGTGGCATGATCTCAGCTTACTGCAACCTCCAACTCCCGGGTTCAAGTGATTCTCATGCCCCAGTTTGCCAAGTAGCTGGGATTACAGGCGTGCACCACCTTGCCCAGCTACTTTTTGTATTTTAAGTAGAGATGAGGTTTCACCATGTTGGCGAGGCTGGTCTCAAACTCTTGACCTCCAGTGATCCACCCACCTTGGCCTCCCAAAGTGCTGGGATTACATGTGTGAGTCACCATTCCTGGCCCAGACATAAGATCTTAAAAACCAATGGCAGGTATGAAACCCCGTCTCTATTAAAAATACAAAAAAATTAGCCAGGCATAGTGGCGGGTGCCTGTAGTCCCAGCTACTCGGAGGCTGAGGCAGGAGAACTGTGTGAACTCGGGGGGCGGAGCTTGCAGTGAGCCGAGATCGTGCCACTGCGCTCCAGCCTGGGCGACAGAACGAGACTCCGTCTCAAAAAAAAAAAAACAAAACAAAAAAACACGGCAGGTTCTAGGACTGTGGAACAAGACCAAAACTTGGCCTGGGTCACATAGAAGAGGGGCTGAAATCCTGTTATCTATAGAAAGCCTGAAGAAGAATTTGAACATCTGTTATATAACATTCCTGTAGCCGGGGTGGTGGCTTGTGCCTGTAATCCCAGATACTTGAGGGGCTGAGGAGGAGGATCACTTGATACCAGGAGTTCGAGACCAGCCTGGGCAACAAAGCGAGACCCCGTCTCTAAAACAAACCTTTTAAAAAATTAGCCAGGCATGGCTGGACGCGGTGGCTCATGCCTGTAATCCCAGCACTTTGGGAGGCCGAGGCAGGCAGATCACAAGGTCAGGAGATTGAGACCATCCTGGCTAACACGGTGAAACCCTGTCTCTACTAAAAAATACAAAAAAATTAGCCGGGCGTAGTGGCGGGCGCCTGTAGTCCCAGCTACTTGGGAGGCTGAGGCAGGAGAATGGCGTGAACCTAGGAGGCGGAGCTTGCAGTGAGCTGAGATTGCGCCAGTGCACTCCAGCCTGGGTGACAGAGCGAGACGCCATCTCAAAAAAAAAAAAAAATTAGACAGTCATGGCATACTACTACTAGGGAGGCTGACGGGGAGGATCGTCTGAGCCCAAGAGTTTGGGGCTGCAGTTAGCTATAACACCACTGCACTCCAGCCTGGTGACATAGTAGGAACCGACATTTATCAACCTCAGGGCATTTACACCCAGCAATCTGACAAAGTTGGCACTATGCTTACACCATTTATAAATGAGGAAACTGAAGCTCAGAGAGGTTGAGACACTTGCCCAAGCTCACAGAGCATATCGTGGTCAGGCAGGCATTCAGGCCCGGCTCTGTCTGATCCCAGAGCCCTGTCCTGAGAAAGACAAGAGGGAGGCTGGCTGCAGCAGCTCAGGCTTGTAATCCCAGCACTTTGGGAGGCTGAGGCAGGCAGATCACCTGAGGTCAGGAGTTCAAGACCAGTCTGGCCAGCATAGTGAAACCCGTCTCTACAAAAAATGCAAAAAATAGCCAGGTGTGGTGGCACGCCCTTGTAATCTCAGCTACTCAGGAGGCTGAGGCAGGAGAATCCCTTGAACCCGGAAGATGGAGGCTGCAGTGAGCCGAGATCACACCACTGCATCCCAGCCTGGGCAACAGAGCAAGACCCCATCTCAAAAAAAAAAAGAAGGGGGGGGCCAGGCGCGGTGGCTCACGCCTGTAATCCCAGCACTTTGGGAGGCCGAGGCAGGCGGATCACGAGGTCAGGAGACAGAGACCATCCTGGCTAACATGGTGAAACCCCATCTCTACTAAAAGTACAAAAAAAATTAGCCAGGCGTGGTGGCGGGTGCCTGTAGTCCCAGCTACTAGGGAGACTGAGGCAGGAAAATGGTGTCAACCCAGGAGGCGGAGCTTGCAATGAACCGCGATGGCACCATTGCACTCCGGCCTGGGCGACAGTGGGAGACTCTGTCTCAAAAAAAACAAAAAACAAACAAAAAAAATGGCCAGGCGCGGTGGCTCACGCCTGTAATCTTAGCACTTTGGGAGGCTGAGGCGGGCAGACCACGAGGTCAGGAGATCGAGACCATCCTGACCAATATGGTGAAACTCCATCTCTATTAAAAATACAAAAATTAGCTGTGGTGGCAGTCGCCTGTAGTCCCAGCTACTTGGGAGGCGGAGGTAGGAGAATTGCTTGAATCCGGGAGGCAGAAGTTGTGGTGAGCCAAGATCACGCCACTGCACTCCAGCCTGGGTGACAGACAGGGAGACTCCGTCTTAGAAACAACAAGAACAACAACAAAAAAACAAAAAACAAAAAAAGAAGGGTGGGCATGGTGGCACATGTAATCCCAGCACTTTGGGAGCCCGAGGCGGGTGGATCACCTGAGGTCAGGCGTTCGAGACCAGCCTGGCCAACATGGTGAAACCCCGTCTCTACTAAAAATGGAAAAAGTATCCAGGCATGGTGGCAGGCGCCTGTAATCCCAGCTACTCGGGAGGCTGAGGCAGGAGAATCACTTGAACCTGGGGGGCGGAGGTTGCGGTGAGCGGAGATCACGCCACTACACTCCAGCCTGGGCAACAGAGCAAGACACCATCTCAAAAAAAAAAAAAAGACAAAAAGGATAGACACCTAAAGATCAGCAGTGGTTTCCTCAGGGCTGGAAATGTGGAGATCTTTATAGTCTTCTGGTTTACACATAGCGTATTTCCTGCCTATAATAACAAAAAAGAAGAAAAAGTTATTTTTAGATGTTCCCAAAATCTAACGCATTTGCTATCAGGAAAAGCTCCTGGAGAAGAATGCTTTTTGGTTACGATCCCCATGGGAAGCATCCTGCAATCACAGTGGGTGACTGAGGTCTGTCATAAAGATAAGAGAATTTGCAGGAAAAGCTTCAAAGGCCGGCACAGTGGCTCACTCCTATAATCTCAGCACTCTGGGAGGCCGAGGCGGGCGGATCACTCCTTGAGTCCAGGAGTTCAAGACCAGCCTGGATGTGGCAATACCCCGTCTCTAGAAACAAATTAAAAAATTAGCTGGGTGTGGTGACCTGCACCTGTACTCCCAGCTACTCGGGAGGCTGAGGTGGGAGGATCGCCTGAGCCCAGGAGGTTGAGGCTGCAGTGAGCCATGATTTTGCTGCTGCACTCCAGCCTGGGTGACAGGGTGAGACTCTGTGTCAATAACAAACTAACAAACAAACAATAACTAACTAAATACATAAAAATTTTAAAAGGCTTCAATCACAACCCTAGCACCCTGGGACACTGGGCAGATGTTGCCATCCCCAGAAACCATGGCTCTGGGTCAGGTGAGTGACCTGTTCTCAGGACAGGCTTGAAGCTGAATTCACTCCCGTCCTGCCATCCATCTCCTCTCAGTTGTCTGACCCCAGATGGAAGGCAGAGGACCAGGGAACCCCAGATCTGTCCAAAGAACCAGAGCCAAGTAGAGGCGCGTGAAAAGTGGATCTAGAAAGCCAAGTGGGAACTATCTTATCCTACCCAACCCAGAACACAAAAACAGCCCATCGGCCGGGCGCGGTGGCTCACACCCATAATCTCAGCACTTTGGGAGGCCAAGGTGGGCAGATCCTGAGGTCAAGAAATTGAGACCATCCTGGCCAACATGGTGAAACCCGTCTCTACTTAAAAAATACAAAAATTAGCTGGGTGTGGTGGCGCACACCTGTAGTTCCAGCTACTTGGGAGGCTGAGGCAGGAGAATCACTTGAACCCAGGAGGCGGAGGTTGCAGTTAGCTAAGATCACGCCACTGCACTCCAGCCTGGTGACAGAGCAAGACTCTGTCTCAACAACAACAACAACAACAACAACAAAAAACCAAACCAGCCCATCAGCCGGATGAGATGGCTCACACCCGTAATTCCAGCACTCTGGGAAGCCAAGGCCGGCGGATCACCTGAGGTCAGGAGTTTGAGACCAGCCTGGCCAACATGATGAAACTCCGTCTCTACCAAAAATACAAAAATTAGCCGGGTATGGCGGCAGGCGCCTATAATCCCAGCTACTCGGGAGGCTGAGGCAGGAGAATCATTTAAACCCGAGAGGCAGAGGTTGCAGTGGGCTGAGCTCATGCCATTGCACTCCAGCCTGGGTGACAAGAGTGAAACTCCGTCTCAAAAAACACCCAAAAACCAAAAACCAGCCTGTCCTTCCACCAGTGGGAACACTTCTTGGAGAAATATTTGTTCTCCAGTACAATACAGTGCAGACAAAAAACTAGGAAAGAACAAAGAGTTGGCAACAATGTACGGTTCATCAATCAAAGAAAATGGTTTAAATGAATTATGCCCCAGACTATGAAAAACAAGTCCAAAAAAAGAGAAAGAGGTGGAAAAATCACAACATCTATTGTGATTGTAGCAGGTTGAATTGTGGCCCCAAAGCAGATATGTATGGGCCGGGCCCGGTGGCTCACGCCTGTAATCCCAGCACTTTGGGAGCCTGAGGCAGGAGGATCCTTTGAGTCCAGGAGTTCAAGACCAGCCTGGGCAATATAGCAATACCCCATCTCTACAAAAAAATTTTAAAAATTAGCCAGGTGTGGTGATACATGCCTGTAGTCCCAGCTACTTGGGAGGCTGAGGCAGGAGGATCACCTGAGCCCGGGAGGTCAAGGCTGCAGTGAGACATGATTGTGCCACTGCACTCTAGCCTAGGCAACAGGGTAAGAGCCTGAAAAGAAAGAAGAAAAGAGAAGAAGAGCAGGAGGAGGAGCAGGGGGAAGGGAAAGGAAGAAAGAAGAAAGAAGAAGAACAAAGGGAAGGGGAGGGGGAGGAGAAGAAGAAGGGGAAGGAAGAAAGAAGATGAAAGGGAAGGGGAGGGAGGCGGGGGAGGAGGAGAAGGGAAAGGGGAAGGAAAAAAGAAGAAAGAAGAAGAAAGGGGGCCGGGCGCGGTGGCTCACGCCTGTAATCCCAGCACTTTGGGAGGCCGAGGCAGGCGGATCACGAGGTCAGGAGATCGAGACCATCCTGGCTAACATGATGAAACCTCATCTCTACTAAAAAATACAAAAAATTAGCCAGGCATGGTGGCGGGCGCCTGTATTCCCAGCTATTGTGGAGGCTGAGGCAGGAGAATGGCGTGAACCCGGGAGGCAGAGCTTGCAGTGAACCAAGATTGTGCCACTGCACTCCAGCCTGGGCGACAGAGCGAGACTCCGTCTCAAAAAAAAAAAAAAAAAAAAAAGGAAGGGAAGGGGAGGAGGAGGAGGAAAGAAGAAGAAAGAAGAAATGTGTAACCTTTGGTATCTGTGAATGTGGCCTTATTTGGAAATAGGGTCTTTGCAGATGGAATTAAGTTAAAGATCTCACTATCAGAACATCTTGGATTTTAGGGTAGGCCCTAAATCCAATGACTGATATCCTTAGAAACAAGAGGGCCAGGTGCAGTGGTTCACACCTGTAATCCCAGCGATTTGGAAGTCTGAGGCAGGAGGATTACTAAGCCCAAGAGTTGGTACATGCTACCCACCCTCCGGCTAATATTTTAGAAGAGCTGGGAGGATCCTTGAGCCCAGGAGTTTGAGGCTGTAGTGAGCTATGACTGCAGCTATGATTGCACCACTGCACTCCAGCCTGCGCAATAAATTGAGACCCTGTCTCTCTTTTTTTTTTTTTTTTTGAGATGGAGTCTTGCTGTTGCCCAGGCTAGAGCGCAGTGGTGCAATCTTGGCTCACCACAACCTCTGCCTCCCAGGTTCAAGCGATTCTCCTGTCTCAGCCTCCAGAGTAGCTGGGACTACAGGTGCATGCCACAACGCCCAGCTAATTTTTGTATTTTTAGTAGAGACAGGGTTTCACCATATTGGTCAGGCTGGTCTCGAACTCCTGATCTCAGGTGATCCACCTGCCTTGGCCTCCCAAAGTGCTGGGATTACAGGCGTGAGCCACTGCGCCTGGTGAGACCCTGTCTCTTAAAAAAAAAAAAAAAAAAAACTGTTAAAAACCACCAGACAGAGTGGCTCTTGCCTACAATTCCAGCTACTCTAGAGGCTGAGGCAGGATTTGAAGCTCAAAGTTCAAGACCAGTCTGGGCAACATAAGGAGACGCCCATCTCTACAAAAAAAAAAAATTTTTTTTTTGAGACGGAGTTTCACTCTTGTTGCCCAGGCAGGAGTGCAGTGGCACAATCTCAACTCACTGCAACCTCCGCCTCCCGGGTTCAAGCGATTCTCCTGCTTCAGCCTCCCAAGTAGCTGGGATTACAGGCGCCCACCACCCCTGCCAACTAATTTTTGTATTTTTAGTAGAGACAGGGTTTCACCATGTTAGCCAGGCTGGTCTCAAACTCCTGACCTCAGGTGATCCACCTGCCTCAGCCTCCCAAAGTGCTGGGATTACAAGCGTGAGCCACCACGTCTGCCACAAGACCCCATTTCTACAAAAAATTTAAAAATCAGGCAGATGAGGCACCATGTGCCTGTAGTCTCAGGCACTGGGGAGGCTGGGGAGGATCACTTGTGCCCAGGAGTTTGAGGCTGCAGTGAGCTATGATGGCACCACCGCACTCCAGCCTGGGCAGCAGAGCGAGCAAGCAAGCAAGCAAGCAGGGAAGAAAGGAAGAAAGGAAGAGGAGGGGAGGGGAGGCGAGGGGAGGCGAGGGAAGGGAGAAAGAGAGAGGGAGGGAGGGAGAGAGAGAGGAAGTGAGGAAGGGAGGGAAGAAGGAAGGAAGGGAGTGAGGGAGGGAGGGAGGGAGGGAAGAAAGAGAGAGAGAGAGAGGGAGAAAGACAGGCCAGGTGAAAGCCATCTTCTATGACTCAACCTTCAAAACCTCATTGACTCAATTCCTTCATACTCCATTGGTTGGAGCAGTCACAAGTCCCACCCAGGTTTAGGAGGTGGGAACACAGGTCCTGTGATATGGTTTGGATTTGTATCCCCCCCACCCAAATCTTATGTTGAATTGTAATCCCTGGTGTTGGAGGAAGGGCCTGGTGGGAGGTGATTGGATCATGGGGTCAGAGGCCTCCCTTGCTGTGCTTGTGATAGTGAGTGAGTTCTCACAAGATCTGGTTGTTTAAAAGTGTTCACCAATATGACAAACAGATCTCCAGGCCAGGCGCAGTGGCTCACACCTGTAATCCCAACACTTTGGGAGGCCAAGGCAGGTGGATCATTTGAGGTCAGGAGTTCGAGACCACCCTGACCAACACAGTGAAACCCCATCTTTACTAAAAATACAAAAAAACTAGCTGGCCACAGTGGCGCAGGCCTATAATCCTGGCTACTCAGGAGGCTGAGGCAGGAGAATGGCGTGAACCCAGGAGGCGGAGCTTGCAGTGAGCCGAGATCATGCCACTGCACTCCAGCCTGGGCGACAGAGCGAGACTTCGTCTTAAAAAAAAAAAAGAGAGAGAGAGAGCCATGATCAGGAAGCCGTCATGATGACTTGTGGAGACGCTGGCCCTGAAGTAGCTGCAACCCTCTTAATACACAGGAAGAAAGGGCTGGGAGACAAGCACAGGCAGCCCCTCTGTGAACCCTCAGGTAGGAGCCACCAGCCATTTTACTGCTGAGTTTAGCATTTGGGGTTGTTCAAGAGTCCAGGGCTTCTGGGAGACTAGAGAATGCCTTCATCTCCAGGGCACTAAAACCTCAGTTACCTAATCTGTGAAATGGGTATGATCATAGCAATCCCACAAAACTGCTGGTAGGGTTACATGTAATTATTTCTTTTTCTTTCTTCTTCTTCTTCTTCTTCTTCTTCTTTCTTCTTTCTTCTTCTTTTCTTTTTTTAAGAGATGGGTTCTCCCTATGTATGTTGCCCAGGCTGGACTTGAACTCCTAGGCTCAAGTGATCCTCCCACCTTGGCCTTCCAAAGTGCTGGGATCACAGTAAATTTTTTCTTGTAGAAACAGGGTCTCCCTGCTGGGCACGGTGGTTCACGCCTGTAATTCCAGCACTTTGGGAGGCTGAGGCGGGTGGATCACCTGAGGTCAGGAGTTTGAGACCAGCCTGGCTGACATGGTGAAACCCCGTCTCTACTAAAAATACAAAAAATTGTCCAGGCGTGGTGGCTCACGCCTGTAATCCCAGCACTTTGGGAGGCCGAGGTGGGCGGATCACGAGGTCAGGAGATGGAGACCATCCTGGCTAACACGGTGAAACCCCATCTCTACTAAAAATACAAAAATTAGCCAGGCGTGATGGCGGGCGCCTGTAGTCCCAGCTACTGGGGAGGCTGAGCCAGGAGAATGGCATGAACCTGGGAGACAGAGCTTGCAGTGAGCCGAGATCGCGCCACTGCACTCCAACCTGGGCAACAGAGCGAGACTCTGTCTCAAACAAACAAAACAAAACAAAACAAAAAACAACAAAAAATTAGCTGGGCGTGGTGGTGGACACCTGGAGAAGGAGGAAAATCGCTTGAATCCGGGAAACAGAGGTTGCAGTGAGCCGAGATCACACCATTGCACTCCAGCCTGGGTAACAAGAGCAAAACTCCGTCTCAAAAAAATAATAATAAAATAACAATCGATTGGTTGAGAGATCACCATATGCCATATGCCAGAAGTTGCTTTAAGCATTTTGCATGTGTTAATCCATTTTACACCTCACAATATCGCTACCAAGTAGAAACAATTATCTCGATTTTGTAAAAGGTGAAACAGGAAAAAACCACTAGAGCAAAGCTGCCAGACCCTCAACCTTCTTTTCCTTCTGACTCCAAATGACAGGCAGCATTCTTTCCATCTCTCACCTCCTCATGCCTCCTGTGGAAAAAATGAATGGACAGATGAGAAAAGTTGGAGCTGGAGAAAGACCGTGTTCCTCGTGTTCGGTGGGACCTGGGAAGGCTGCTAAAACCCAGGGAGCAGGAGTTCTCCTCCCTCCATCCTTATCCACAGTCTGGGTCCCATCCAGACCCTCCTCTCCAAACCGGGGGTTTGGGACAAAGCAGGTGAGGGAGGCATTTCATTCCAGAGCAGAAGAAGGGGGTTCCTCCCCCATCCCACTCCCGTTTCATTTTTAAGGGGGAAAAGCAGCTCCCCATACGGTGAGGCAATGAGGCGGACCAGCAGGTTCCCGGGGATCTCCGCAGCCCCGTTGCCATAACAACCGAACTCACTCGCAGTCGCTGATAGGGGAGTCAGCTGGGACCACAGCTTGGGCAGGAAAGGGATGAGGGAGTAGGAAAGAAACTTCAAGATCAACCACTGGCCCTCACGCCGAGCTGCGCACACCCCAAGGCCAAGGGAGGCTGGCAACCCTTGTCGTCCTTGGGAAATGGGGGAGGGCACTGGTACCCCTTGGACCTCCCTCCTGAATCTGGGCAGCTTTAAACATTTTTTTTTTCCAACTTTGGAAGACAGTTGTACAACCTCGAAGGAGAGGAGGTGTCAGGATTCACAAAGCGTATGGATCACACATGGCTCTAGGGGACATTCTCTTTGCTCTGTTTTATTTTTATTGTATATTTTATTCTTTTATTTTGAGATAGGGTCTTGCTCTATTGCCCAGGCTGGAGTCCAGTGGTGTGATCACACCTTACTGCAGCCTCAAATTACTGGACTGAGGTGATCCTCCTGCCTCAGCCATGCGAGTAGCTGGGACTACAGACATGCACCACCACACCTGGCTAATTTTTAAAATATATATGTTTTTGTAGAGATAGGGTCCTGCTACATTGCCCAGGCTGGTCTCAAACTCCTGGCTTCAAGTGATCCTCTTGCTTTGGCCTCCCAAAGTGTTGGGATTATAGGCATGAGCCACTGCATCCAGCATCATTTCTTTTCATTATTATTATGATTATTATTTTGAGATGGAGTCTCGCTCTGTCACCCAGGCTGTAGTGGAGTGGTGTGACCTTGGCTCACTGCAACCTCCACCTCCCAGGTTCAAGTGATTCTCCTGCCTCAGCCTCCTGAGGAGCTGCGATTACAGGTAACCTCCACAATGCCTGGCTAACTTTTTTTTCTTTTTGAGACGGAGTCTTCCTCTGTCGCCCAGGCTGGAGTGCAATGGCGCGATCTCAGCTTACGGCAATCTCTGCTTCCCGGGTTCAAGCAATTCTTCTGCCTCAGCCTCCCGAGTAGCTGGGACTACAGGCAGGCGCCTACCACCACACCTGACTAATTTTTGTATTTTTAGTAGAGACGGAGTTTCACCATATTGGCTGGTCTCAAACTCCTGACCTTATAATCCGCCCACCTCGGCCTCCAAAATGCTGGGATTACAGGCGTAAGCCACTATCCCTGGCCTAACCTGGCTAATTTTTATATTTTTAGTAGAGACAGGGCTTCACCATGTTGGCAAGGCAAGTCTCGAACTCATGACCTCAAGTGATCTGCTCACCTTGGCCTCCCAAAGTGCTGGGATTACAGCCACTGCACCCAGCCTAATCTTTTTTTTTTTTTTTTTTTTAAATGAAGACAGGGTCTCACTACATTACCCAGCTGGTCTCGAGCTCCTGGCCTCAAGCGATCCTCTCATCTCAGCCTCCTGAGTAGCTTGGATTACAGGCACAAGCCATCATGACTGGCTTCCTTTTTTTTTTTTTTTTTTTAATGAATATGGTAAAGTGCACAAATCATAAATTTCAGCGTGGTGAATTTCTACACGTGTATACCTGTGTATCCACCATGCAGACCAGAAGAACATAATTGTCCCTCCAGGAAATTCCCAAATGCTCTTTCTCAGTCAGTATCCTCCAATTTGACATTTTCATCATAGATTAGTTTTGCCTACCCCTGAACTTTGTGTAAGTGGAAATACATGGTTTGTCGTCTTGCTTTTACGCAACATTGTATCTGTGAGAATCTATTGTCATGTCTGCTTTCCTGTTCTTTTTCTTGGTTGTATAATAATCCATTGTGGAGATGTATCACAATGTATTTATCTTACTGCTGATAGATATTTGAGTTGTTTGCAGTGAATGGTTATTGTAGATAAAGCAGCTATGAACATCCTTGTACATGTCTTTTGATGAACATAAGTTTACCTCTTGTGGGGATGTGGACAGGGTCTCACTCAGTAACTCAGGCTGGATCGCAGGAACCTGGCTCACTGCAGCCTCAACCGCCCAGGCTCAAGTGATCCTCCCACCTCAGCCTCTCGAATAGCTGGGACCACAGGTATACACTATCACACCCAGCTAATTTTTTTGTAATTTTTGTAGAGACAGGGTCTCGCTTTGTTGTCCAGGCTGCTCTTGAACCCCTGGTTCAAACTATCCTCCTGCCTTGGCCTCCCAACATGCTGGGGTTACAGGCGTGAGCCACTGTGCCCAGCATCTTGGTTTATTGAATGCTGGTGACCTGCCAAGAACTTTACATCACTTATATCCTTACATAGTCACAACGTTATTTATTTAATTCACTCAGTCAACACATATTTGAAAATCTAGTAGGTGCCAGGTATTGTGGGACACACCGAGAATAAGAGTCAAGGTTTATAAATTTTGGCCAGGTGCGGTGGCTCACACCTGTAATCCCAGCACTTTGGGAGGCCGAGATGAACAGATCACTTGAGGCCGAGACAAACAGATCACTTGAGGTCAGGAGTTCAAGACCAGCCTGGCCAACATGGTGAAAACCTGTCTCTATTAAAAATACAAAGATTAGCCGGGAATGGTGGCACCTGCCTATTGTCCCAGCTACTTGGGAGGCTGAGGCAGGAGAATCACTTGAACACGGTGGAGGTTACAGTGAGCCGAGATCACGCTGCTGCACCCCAGCCTGGGTGATAGAGTGAGACACCATCTCAAAAAAGAAAGAAACAGCTTGGCTCAGTGGCTCATGCCTGTAATCCCAGCACTTTGAGAGGCTGAGGCGGGCGGATCACCTGAGGTCAGGAGTTCAAGACCACCCTGGCCAACATGGTGAAACCCTGTCTCTACTAAAATCACAAAATTTAGCTGAGTGTACAGCCATGCCTGTAATCCCACCTACTGGGGAGGCTGAGGCAGGAGAATCGCAGAGGTTGCAATGAGCCAAGATCGTGCCTTTGCACTCCAGCCTGGGTGTTCAGAGCGAGACTCTGTCAAAAAAAACAAAAAAGGAAGGAAGCAAGAAAGGAAGGAAGGAGGGAGGGAAAAAGGAAGGAAGGAAAAGAGAGAGAGAGAGAGAGATGTTATTCCAGGAGGGAATGGTCATGAAAACAAATAAGTAAGCGATATCAGAGAGTTAATGGAGATTGACTAGGGGTGGTGACATGGAGCTGAGGCGTGAAGAAGAAGGCAGAGCTGGTTGGCCATGTGAGATCTAGGGGGAAGGGTGTTGCAGGAAGTGGGAACAACCAGTGCAAAGGCTCAGTGTAGCTGGAGTGGACTTAGCGATGGAGAGAGGAATCCCAAGGAGGTTGAGTGAGGGATTTCGGTCTTAATCTAAGAGCCATGGCGGTGCATTGCAGCGTTCTCAATAGAAGGAAAACGTGAACTTCCTTGTCTTTTCAAAGATACCTCTGGGCTGTGGTAAGGACGGATGGAGGCCAGGGCAGAAGCCAGGAGCCTGTGGCCAAGGCAACCTCAGTAAATCCAGGCAAGTGATGAAGGAGTTGGGAAGCACAAAAGTGGAAAGAAGTGGGTGAATTCACGTTCTCTTTTTTTTTTTTTTTTAGGGACAGGGTCTTGCTCTGTTGCCCAGGCTGGAGTGCAGTGGTGCGACCTCCGCTCACTGCAACCTCCGCCTCCCGGTTCAAGGGATTCTCGTGCCTCAGCCTCCCGAGTAGCTGGGATGACAGGCATGCACCACCACACCGGCTAATTTTTGTACTTTTTTTTTTTTTAGTAGAGACAGGGTTTCGCCATGTTGGCCAGGCTGGTCTTGAACTCCTGACCTCAAGTGATCCACCTGCCTTGGCCTCCCAAAGTGCTGGGATTACAGGTGTGAGCCACTGTGCCTGGCCCTTGACTAATTTTTTCAAAAAAATTTTTTTTTTAATTTGAGACAGGGGTTTCGCTATGTTGCCCAGGCTGGTCTCCAACTCCTTGCCTCAAGTGATCCTCCCACCTCAGCCTCAGGTTCTTTGAACATAATTATTCCCAAATTACAAGTAGAGAGAACTGAATCTCAGAGAGGTTAAGTAATTTGCCTAAGGTCACACAGCTATGAAATGGAGAAAGGGTAAGAAAATCCGTCTGACCTTCCTTCAGTTATGCAAAAGATGTCATGTGGTGGGTGGTGTGACCTCAGAAAACCTAGAGGAGTGGGGGGTCCAGGCTGGTGGTGGGGTAATAAGACCCAAGTGAACACACCTGTCCTGCTGGGGTAACTACTCACCCCTAGGCCACAGGGCAAGCAAAGTGGCAAGCCGCAAATTGAATTGGGGGGCTGGAGGGGGATGTTTCATTGATGTCACAAATGAGCATGGACCCCGTATCTGCAGCAGGGATGTTTCAGGGCCAGTCAAGGAGATGATCGGGGCCCACGGACCCTCAAACGCGTCAGGAAGCCAGGCTGGTCCCTGAGTGTGTGTGATGGGGTGTGTGTTTGTGGGGGGGCACTGCCGGGAGCTGCCGCCGCCCGCCCCATTAGCAACACCGTCATTATCCCAGATTTATGTATGTATAATTCTTCTTCCTCAAACCGCTCCAACATCTCCCCTGGCTGCAAACCCGCCTCCCCCGGAAACAGCCACGGAGCCGCCTGCCACCGGGCCATTAGCACGCAGGGAAGGGGGTGTGGAGGGAGGGGGCAGGCAGCAGGGAAGGGGAAGGGGGGAGCCAGGAGAGGACGAGGAAGGCAGGAGCTGTAAGGATGGGAGTGAGGCGGCAAGATGGAAGAGGGGAAGGAAACAGGGCTTGGAGGAGCTGGGGAACCTCGGAGGGTTCTGGGGGGAGGGGGGGACACGTGTCCCAGAGGACCTGGCCGCAGACAGCGGGCCCCAGGGGCAGCCGAGGGTCTCCTGCGCCCTTTCTGGCCAATGCCAGGGCTGAGAATAGGGGGGTGGGGATCCCATCGGCCGGGACTCTGTGGCTGGGTCTCAGCCCAGAAGTTACTAGAGGGCCTCGCGCCGGAACCCCTCCCCCACTCTGGGAACCTCCACCTGCGGGGTGGGGTGGGGGTCTCCAGGCGGGGCGCGGGGAGGGCGCCGGCTGCAGAGCTGGGAGCCCGGAGCGATGACTCCATCACCCTCCACTTTTCCCTCCTCGCCCCCGAAACTGGCCCCCTCCCTTCTTGCGCCCCTCGGGTTGGGGGCGCGGGAGAGCCCCCTCTATTACGAGGGAAATCAATGCCGCATTAATGCAAGGTTTCCAGGCGAGGAGCGGGGATCGCTTCATAAAAGATGCATTGTTTCCATGGCCTGCACGCGGCTCCCTCCCCAGCATCCTGCAAGATGGCGGCGGCCCCAGGGAGAGAGGGGGAGGGGCTGGGGGGAGCGCGGCCCCCTCTCTCCTGCTGGGGAAGGTGGGAAGAGAGGCTGGGATGAAGGAAGGAAAGGGAGAGAGGGAGAGAGAGAGGGAGGGAGGAGGGGGCTGGGAGGCTGAGAGAGCGTTAGGGAGGCGGGAGCCAGTCAGAAGGAGGAGGGCGGGCTGGGGAGGGGGAGAGGGGATGGCCTGGAACTCGGAGGAGGGAAGAGAAACGCAGCCCAAGGAGGTGGCACGGGGGAGGCAGGAGAGCAGGCCGGGGGGTTGGGAGTGGGGGGCGCTGGGGCCTGGAGGGGGGCAGGCGGGGGTGGGGGCAAAAGGGGAGGGAAAGGGGAGAAAAAGGCCGACCGGGCAGCGTGGCCAGGAGAGAGGGGAAGACAGTACCCCCTCAACTGTCTCTAGGCTCCAAGCCCCCCTCCAGCGGGGTCCTTTGGTTCTCTCTCCTGGTCCCCGTGCACCCTCCCGCCGAGGAGATGATCCAGGGAGCCCCCATTTTCTGGCATGGAGGCCGCTGCACCCCATTGGCTTGCCTCCCTACCCTCCTTCCTGCCTTGGCACCACGGCTGCCATGCTGAGAGGGATCAAGCCTCCTCCATCTGCCTCCCTAGTCAAGGCCTCCGGAGTTGACCCGAAAGAGCTCCTTAGGAAGAAACTGCCGTTTGGGCACACCTGCATCCGTCCTACCTGCTGGGGACGGTTCCAGAAACCAGACAGAGGTTCCAGAGAGGGAAACTGGGGCAGAGGACAGCCGAGAACTCAACACGGGTCTCCACCTGCCCAGCGCCCCACCAGTGACCCCAGACCAACCTCAGCCCCCCTCCTCCCCGCCTTTTCCTCCATCCTCCGCGGGCAACCACGAAGAGAGTTTCAAGGCCCCCCACTTCCCAGCCTTCCTGCTTCGCCGTAGGGGAGCTCCCAAACGCCTGAAAATACCTTTAAATTAGGAAAAAGAGCTAAGCCGCCAGAGTCCTTTGGTCTATTAAAGGAAGAGCAGAGGCCACCGGCGCCCCCACCCCATCCCCAGCCCGATTTTGCATTTGAAGCCCTGACCGCGGATCTAGCCGGAACAATGACGGGGCCTGCCCAGCCGGCCCCAGCTGAATCCCTTTCAGTGGCCCTGGGCCCCCTGCCAGGTGTGCCAAAATTAGGACGGCTCCCCTCCTAGGCCCTTTTCATCCCCCCGGGGCTGCTGGGGCCTCAGAGGCGCTAATGAAGCGCCTCTTGCCGCCTTCCCTCTAGGAAGAGGGGGCCAGGGGGAGCGGGAGGCAGGGCCACATTGGGGGCAGGCACCTGGAAATCTGCCTTCCAAGAACTGCCCCAGGAACATGTTTTTGTGCCTTGGTCAGCGGCAGCTCCCTCCCTCCCTGCTCCTCAGGGTCCTCCCGCAGGTCCTGGTGACATCCACCTCCTCCAGGCAGCCCTCCCAGCCTGCTGGCATTGGCTCCCTACTGTGTTTCCCTTGGAGTTCGGCAGTGGGGGCAGGCTGCCTGGATTCAGATTGGAGCTCCATTGCTTTCTGGCTGTGGCTCAATTAGCCACCCTGAGCCTCAGTTTCCCCGCCCGTCAAGAGAGGAGAATTATAAAAACCTATGTCATGAGACTGTTGTGAAGGAGTCGCTGTGTGAAGAATTGTGGAAGGTCACACGTGCAAAGTGGGTGCAATAATCCCTAGACTTTCGCCTCAGCCACAGGGGGCCCCTCACTGCACCCCAGACACACCCAGTGTGTGCCCATTTCTGGGACTTCCCACTGGCTGTTCTCTTTATTTTATTTGTATTTGTATTTTTTCTTTTGAGGCGGAGTCTTGCTCTGTAGCCCAGGTTGGAGTGCAGTGGTGCAATCTCGGCTCACTGCAACCTCCACCTCCTGGGTTCAAGCAGCTTCCTGAGTAGCTGGGATTACCGGCGCATGCCACCATGCCCAGCTAATTTTTGTATTTTTAGTAGATACCGGATTTCACCATGTTGGCCAGGCTGGTCTAGAACTCCTGACCTCAGGTGATCCACCTGCCTCGGTCTTCCAAAGCGCTGGGATTACAGGCATGAGCCACCGCGCCGGCCTTTTTTTTTTGAGACGGAGTCTTGCTCTGTCGCCCAGGCTGAAGTGCGGTGGCCTGATCTCGGCTCACTGCAAGCTCCGCCTCCCGGGTTCACGGCATTCTCCTGCCTCGACCTCCCGAGTAGCTGAGACTACAGGCGCCCGCCACCATGCCCGGCTAATTTTTTGTATTTTTAGTATTGACTGGGTTTCACTGTGTTAGCCAGGATGGTCTCGATCTCCTAACCTCGTGATCCGCCCGCCTCGGCCTCCCAAAGTGCTGGGATTACAGGCGTGAGCCACCGCCCCTGGCCTTTTTTTTTTTTGAGATGGAGTCTCGCTCTGTCACCCAGGCTAGAGCACAGTGGTGTGATCTCACTGCAACCTCCGCCTCTTGGGTTCAAGCGATTCTCCCACCTCAGCCTCACAAGTAGCTGGGACCACAGGCACATGCCACCACACCTGGCTAATTTTTGTATTTTTAATACAGACAGGGTTTCACCATGTTGGCCAGGCTAGTCTCAAACTCCTGACCTCAGGTGATCCGCCTACCTCTGCCTCCCAAAGTGCTGGGATTACAAGTGTGAGCCACCTTGCCAGGCCTAGTGGTCCCTGTTATTTACCATCATCTGTCTTACAGCCAGCTGACATTGTATTACTTACCTGAACTCAGGGTCTTATGCTCTCGAATCCAAGAACCTGGGTTCAAATCCCGGCTTCACAGTTATTAGCTGTGTGACATTGGGCATGTTACTTAACTTCTCCGAGCCCCTTTCCTCATTTATAAAATGAGGATGGTAATAAAACCCACCTGGAGCCGGGTGCAGTGTCCGGAGTCTGTAATCCCAGCCACTCAGGAGCCCAAGGTAGGAGGGTCCCTTTAGGCCAAGAGTTTGAGACCAGCCTGGGCAACATAGCAAGACCCTGTCTCTACCAAAAAAAAAAAAAAAAAAAAAAAAAAAAGCCAGGCACAATGGCTTACACCTGTAGTCTCTAAAAAAAAATCTGCAAGGCGGGGTGTGGTGGCTCACGCCTGTAATCCCAGCACTTTGGGAGGCTGAGGCAGGCGGATCACGAGGTCAGGAGATCGAGACCATCCTGGCTAACAAGGGGAAACCCCATCTCTACTAAAAATACAAAAAATTAGCCGGGCATGGTGGCGGGCGCCTGTAGTCCCAGCTACTCGGGAGGCTGAGGCAGGAGAATGGCATGAACCCAGGAGGCGGAGCTTGCAGTGAGCCGAGATCGCGCCACTGCACTCCAGCCTGGGCAACAGAGCGAGACTCCATCTCAAAAAAAAAAAAAAAAAAAAGAATCCACAAAAACAAAAAACCCACCTTATATAGCGGGTAATGAATAATTGACTTAGTGAATGAGAAGTCCTCAAAGCAGTGCCTGGACCACAGTACAAGTTATTCCCATAACCAATATTATTTCTGAGCCACCCCATCCCTCAGCAACTAGAATATAAGCCCTCCTGAAAGCTAACTCTGCAGGGATGGTATTGGCTTTATTTATTTATTTATTTAAGAGTTGAGGTCTTGGCCGGGCGTAGTGGCTCATGCCTGTAATCCCAACACTTTGGGAGGCCAAGGTGGGCAGATCACTGAGGTCAGGAGTTTGAGACCGCCTGGCCAACATGGTGAAACCCTGTCTCTACTAAAAATACAAAAACTTAGCTGGGCGTGGTGGCGTGTACCTGTAATCCCAGCTACTCGGGAGGCTAAGGCAGGAAAATCGCTTGAACCCAGGAGGCAGAGGTTGCAGTGAGCTGAGATCACACCACTGGACTCCAGCCTGGATGACAGAGTGAAACTCCATCTCAGGGGGAAAAAAAAAAGAATTTGCCTTGAAGGCTGGGTGCAGTGGCTCACGCCTGTAATCCCAACACTTTGGGAGGCCGAGGTGGGCAGATCTCCTGAGGTCAAGAGTTCAAGACCAGTCTGGTCAACATGGTGAAACTCCACCTCTACTAAAAATACAAAAATTAGCCGGGCATGGTGGTGTGCACCTGTAATCCCAGCTACTCATGAGGCTGAGACAGGAGAATTGCTTGAACCTGGGAGGCAGAGGTTGTAGTGAACCGAGATCGTGCCATTGCACTCCATCCTGGGCAACAAGAGCAAAACTTCATCTCAAAAAAAAAAAAGGAATAATTTGCCGTGAGTCTGTAGCATAGTGCTTAGTCCTTAGCGGGCACTCAATATACTTCATCCAGATTCAGAGGCAGGGAGAATTGTGGGAGACACAGTTTGTCAAATTCACACCTATCTCTTTCCTTTGCTAACACAGGGCTCCTTAAGTGTCAGTGTGCCCTGCCTAATCCTTGCCCTCCAGCCCCCCTTGCTTCTATTTTATTTATTTATGTGTTTATGTATTTTTTTTGTCTTCCAGCCCCTCTTCCAGCTCCCCTTGCCATTATTCCAGCCTTCAAGTCCCGCTTGCTTCTATTTTATTTATTTATTTATTTATTTATTTATTTTTGGGGACAGAGTCTCACTCTGTTACCCAGGCTGGAGGACAGTGGTGCAATCTCAGCTCACTGCAACCTCCGCCTCCCAGGTTCAAGCTACTCTCCTACCTCAGCCTCCCGAGTAGCTGGGATTACAGGCACCCACCACCATGCCCGGCTAATTTTTTGTATTTTTAGTAGAGACGGGGTTTCGTCATGTTGGCCAGGCTGATCTCAAACTCCTGACCTCAAGTGATCCGCCTACCTCAGCCTCCCAACTCCCTTCCTTCTAGAGATGGCTGTGTGACACTCTTCCGGCCAATAAGACTCCAGCAGAAGTCTTCTGGGTGGTTCCAGGAAGAATGAGCATGTTATTATCCAAGACTCAGTGGCTTCATCTATAAAATGGGGCTAAAAATTGCAACTTGCCTCAGGTCTCGAACTCCTGACCTCAAGTGATCCGCCCGCCTCAGCCTCCCAAAGTGCTGGGATTACGGGCGTGAGCCACTGCGCCCAGCCAATACGACCAGTGTCTTGGTAAGAAGAGAATAGACACAAGTACACGAGGGAGAGTCCATGTGATGGAGGAGGCAGAGACTGGATGATGCAGAGATTGGAGAGATGCATCATCTACAAGCCAAGGAGCACCCAGCATTGCTGGCCACCACCAATGCCCGCTGGCCAGGCAGGGGCAAGGAAGGAGTCTCCCTTGCAAGTTTCAGAGGGAACATGGTCCTGTCAACACCTTGATTCCAGGCTTCTGGCCTCCAGGTGTGGAAGAGAATAAATCTCTGTTGCTTTAAGCCACCCAATGGGTAGCACTTCCTTACAGCAGCCTGGGAGACTAACAAGGAGGGTTGAAAGCAGCAAGATTTCTTGCAAAGGCTCCTTCGGACTTCCAGGCTGTGTGACCTGCGGCAAGTCATTTACCCACTTTGGCATTTTTTTTTTTTTTTTTTTAGATGATGTCTCGCTCTGTCACCAGGCTGAAGTGCAGTGGCGCGATCTCGGCTCACTGCAACCTCCGACTACCTGGTTCAAGCGATTCTCCTGCCTCAGCCTCCCGAGTAGCTGGGATTACAGGCACACAACACCACACCCAGCTAATTTTTTATTTGTAGTAGAGACGGGGTTTCACCATGTTGGCCAGGATGGTCTCGATCTCCTGACCTGGTGATCCACCCACCTTGGCCTCCCAAAGTGCTGGGATTACAGGCATGAGCCACTGCGCCCGGCCTTTTTTTTTTTTTTTTTTTAAGAGACAAGGCCTCATTCCGTCACCCAGGCTAACAATCTCCCAGGCTCAAGGAATCCTCCTGCCTCAGCCTCTGGAGTAGCTGAGACTACAGGTGTGTGCCACCACATCCAGCTAATTTTTTGTTATTTTTTAAGAGATTGGGTCTCGCTATGTTGCCCAAGCTGGTCTTGAAGCAATCCTCAAGCAATCCTCCCACTTTGGCCTGCTGAAATGGTGGGATTACAGGCATGAGCCACCATGCCCTGCCCCAGTCTGGCCTTTGTGTGTTTAGCTGGCTCAGAATACAAAGATGGGCCAGCTGTGGTGGCTTACGCCTATAATCTTAGCACTTTGGGGGGCCAAGGCAGGCGGATCACTTGAGGTCAGGAGTTCAAGACCAGCCTGGCCAACATGGTGAAACCCCGTCTCTACTAAAAATACAAAAATTAGCCAGGCATGGTGACAGGCACTTGTAATCTCATATACTCAGGAGGCTGAGGCAGGAGAATTGCCGGAAAGGCAGAGGTTGCAGTGAACCAACATCTCACCACTGCACTCCAGCCTGTACGACAGAGCAAGACTCTGTCTCAAAACAAACAACAATCCAAAAAAAAAAAAACAAAAACCAACAAAGACGAACAAAAAGAGTCCTTCCTGCCTTTCCAAATCTCTCCCAGGCAGAGTTAACACATCCCAGGTGCTCTTACACAGGGTTGAGTAGTTCCTGTGGATTTCAGTTGAGTGATACCTGCCTTGACTCCCCTGCTACGCTAGACCCTATCTCTGAGGACAAGAAATGGGCCTGTTCATCAGCGCAGCTGAGAAAGACCAAACCACCTTCTGTTCTCTTCTTTTCTTTTTTTTTTTTTGAGACGGAGTTTTGCTCTTGTTTCCCAGGCCGGAGTACAATGGCGCGATCTTGATTCACCACAACCTCTGCCTCCTGGGTTCAAGCGATTCTCCTGCCTCAGCCTCCTGAGTAGCTGGGATTACAGGCATGTGCCACCACGCCCGGCTAATTTTGTATTTTTAGTAGAAACAGGGTTTCTCCATGGTGGTCAGGCTGGTCTGAAACTCCTGACCTCTGGTGATCCGCCTGCCTGGCCTCCCAAAGTGCTAGGATTACAGGTGTGCGCCACCGTGCCCGGCCTTGAAGACCAAACCACCTTCTGGATAAAGCCAAGAGATGTAAACCTGCCAGGGTCTCTGGGCACTTGGAAACGCCCATCTGTTTGGAAGTGAGAGAATTAACACATTGGATGCATAAGCTGAATGTCAATGAAGACCCCAGGGCTGGTATAGAAACTGCGTGGGTTCAAATCCCAGCCCTGGGGTCAGCAGTAGCTCATGCCTGTAATCCCAGGACTTTAGGAGACTGAAGCGGGCAAGTCACTTGGGGTCAGGAGTTCAAGACCAGCCTGGCCAACATGGTGAAACCCCGTTTCTACTAAAAATACAAAAATCATTTGGGAGGCCGAGGTGGGCAGATCACAAGGTCACGAGATTGAGACCATCCTGGCCAACATGGTGAAACCCCCGTCTCTACTAAAATACAAAAAATTAGTCGGGTGTGGTGGCATGCGCCTATAGTCCCAGCTACTTGGGAAGCTGAGGCAGGAGAATTGCTTGAACCCAGGAGGCGGAGGTTGCAGTGGGCCAAGATCGCGCCACTGCACTCCAGCCTGGTGACAGAGCAAAACTCCATCTCAAAAAAAAAAAAAAAGAAAAAAAGCCAGGCGTGGTGGTTCATGCCTGTAATCTCAGCATTTTGGGAGCCAAGGCGGGCAGATCTCCTGAGGTTGGGAGTTCGAGACCAGGCTGACCAACATGGAGAAACCCTGTCTCTACTAAAAATATAAAAAATTAGCTGGGCATGTTGGCGCATGCCTGTAATCCCAGCTACTCGGGAGGCTGAGGCAGGAGAATCACAGGAACCTGGGAGGCGGAGGTTGCAGTGAGCCGAGATCGCGCCACTGCACTCCAGCCTGGGCAACAAGAGTGAAACTCTGACTCAAAACAAAAGAAAACAAACAAACAAAAAATCAGCCAGGCATGGTGGTGCACACCTGTAATCCCAGCTACTTGAGAGGCTGGGGCACGAGAATCGCTTGAACCCGGGAGGTGGAGGTTGCAGTGAGCTGAGATAGCACCACTGCACTCCAGCCTGGGTGACAGGGCAAGACTCCGTCTCAAACAACAAAAAAAACCTACAAATCCCAGCCCTGCCTGGCATTGACTGAGTCACCTTAGGTAAGTGGTTTTGCTGGTCTGTGCCTCTGTTTCTCTGGCTATAATATAGGTACAATGACAGTAGGGTCATTTCAAGGATTAAATGAGAAAAATGCCTGTTGGATACTCAGAGGTCAGGTACATACAGTAAGTGCTTAATGAGTGCTGGTCCCATGCATGAATGGAAGCACTGGGTGAGCATGTGCTTAAGGAAGAAGTGCAGGAGGCCGGATGCAGTGGCTCACGCCTGTAATCCCAGCACTTTAGGAGGTGGAGGTGGGAGGATCGCTTGAGGCTAGGGGTTCGAGACCACATCTTTACAAAAAATTTAAAATTAGGCCAGGCACAGTTGCTGACACCTGTAATCCCAACACTTTGGGAAGCTGAGGCAGGCAGATCACTTGAGGCCAGGAGTTCGAGACCAGCCTGGCCAACGTGGCAAAACCCCATCTCTACTAAAAATACAAAAATTAGCCATGTGGGGTGGTGCATACCTGTAATCCCAGCTACTTGGGAGGCTAAGCAGGAGAATCACTTGAACCCGGGAGATGGAGGTAACAGTGAGGCAAGATCACACCACTGTACTCACTGCCTGGGCGACACACTGCCTGGGCGACAGAGTGAGTGAGACTCCATTTCAAAAAAAAAAAAAATTAGCTGAGCACAGTGGCACGCACCTGTAGTTCCAGCTGCTGTGGAGGCTAAGGCAGGAGACTCATTTAAGCCCAGGAGGTTGAGGCTGCAGTAAGCTATGATTGCACCACTTCACTCCCTTCTGGGCAACAAAATGACACGCTGTCTCTAAAATAAAGAATTAAAAAGCCTACCTTGGCTGAGCAGATCCACCTGGATAGAGCTTGATAGGGAGGAGAGATCTTTGCTACAATTCAGATGACAGACAAGAATGACTTGTCCCAGGCTGGTGGCAGTGCAGGTGAGGAAGGCTCTATGGGCTCAGGGTGGGTTTTGGAGTTGGAGTGGACAGGGCTGGCTAATGGATTGGATGTGAGGGATGACAGAAAGAGGGGAGTCTACAGTGATGGGGTACAGATGGGTTACTATCCGGGTGCAGTCGCTCACGCCTGTAATCTCAGCACTTTGGGAGGCCAAGGCGGCCGGATCATGAGGTCAGGAGTTCAGGACCAGCCTGACCAACATGGTTAAACCCCGTCTCTACTAAAAATACAAAAATGAGCCGGGCATGGTGGTGCGCACCTGTAATCCCAGCTACTCAGGAGGCTGAGGCAGGATAATCGCTTGAACCTGGGAGGCAGAAGTTGCAATGAGCCGAGATTGCACGTGGTGGTTCATCCCTATAATCCTAGCACTTTGGGGGGCCAAGGGAGGTGGATCGCTTGAGCTCAATAGTTGTAGACAGGCCTGGGCAACATGGTGAAACCTGATCTCTACAAAAAATACTAAAATTAGATGGGCATGGTGGTGTGTGCCTGTAGTCCCAGCTACTTGGGAGGCTGAGGTGGGAGGAACACCTGACCCCAGTAGGTTGAGGCTGCAGTGAGCCATGATCATGCCACTGCACTCCAGCCTGGATGACAAAGTGAGTCCCTGTTTCCAAAAAAGAAAGAAAAAGAACAGAGAGTGAATGGTGGTTACCAGGGGCTAGAGTGGAGGGACTGGGGAGATGTTAGTCAAAGGCTATACACTTTCAGTTAGACAGGAATACAGTCAAGAGATGTCTTCTACAGTATGGTGACTATAGCTAATAACAATGTATCGTATACTTGAAAATCACTGAGAGAGATTTTAAGTGTTCTTGTCACACACAAAAATAGGCATGTGAGGTAATATATATGTTAATTCACTCCATTTAGCCATTCTGAAATGTATATGTACTTCAAAACATCATGTCATACACCATAAATACGTACAATTTTAATTTGTCAATTAAATAAATTTTAGGCCAGTGCAGTGACTCACCTCTATAATCCCAGCACTTTGGGAGGCTGAAGTAGGTGGATCACTTGAGGCCAGAAGTTTGAGACCAGCCTGGCCAACATGGTGAAACCCCATCTCTATTAAAAATACAAAATCTAGCCGGGCATGGTGGCATGGGCCTGTAGTTTCAGCTACTCAGGAGGCTGAATAGGAGAATCACTTGAACTCAGGAGGCGGAGGTTGTAGTGAGCCGAGATTGCACCACTGCACTCCAGCCTAGGTGACAGAGTGAGACTCCATCTCAAAACAAAACTAAACTAAACTAAACAAAAAATTAGCCAGGTGTGGTGGCATGCACCTATAGTCCCAGCTACTTGGGAAACTGAGGTAGAAGGATCCCTTGAGCCCAGGAGTTCAATACTGCAGGGAGCTATTGATCGCACCACTGCACTCCAGCCTGGACAGCAGAGTGAGACCCTATCTCTATTTTTTAATTAATTAATTAACTAACAACAACAAAAAGCAAATGGGCATGGATGCATCTCAATTAAAAAGAAATAGTTGGTGACTGAGGCCATGATCTCATCTGAAAGCTCGACTGGGGAGGATCCACTTTCAAGCTCATGAGTTGTTGGCAGGATCAGTTGCCCACTGGCTGTTGGTCAGAGGCCTCTTCTGGTTCCTGGCCTTGTGACCCTCTCCGATGGGCAGCTCACAGCCTGGCAGTTGGCTTCCCTCAGAGTGAGCAGAAGAGAGGGCAAGAAAGGGAGTGCATCCAGCTGGGCACAATGGTTCACGCCTGTAATCCCAGCACTTTGGGAGGCTGAGGTGGGTGGGTGAGGTCTGGAGTCCAAAACCAGCCTGACCAACATGGTGAAACCCCATCTCTAGTAAAAATAAAAAATTAGCTGGGCATAATGGCCCATGCCTGTAATCCCAGCTACTTGGGAGGCTGAGGCAGGAGAATCACTTGAACCGGGAGGTGGAGGTTGCAGTGAGCAGAGATTGCACCATTGCACTCCAGCCTGGACGACAGAGCAAGACTCCATCTCCAAAAAAAAAAAAAAAAGGGAGTGCACCCAAGATGAAAGGCGTGGTCTTTTTTGTGACCTAATTTTAGAAGTGACATTGCATCGATTTTGCCACATTCTATGGGCAGGAAGCAAGTCATAGAGTCTAACCACACTCAAGGGTAGGGCATTAATGCAAGGGTTGGAACATTGAGGGCCATCTTAGAGGCTGTCCCTACACCATGCACGTCAATCCAGTGGCTTCATACCACCTGTACCTGTGACTCTTTGCCTGACAGCTTTGCTCTGGTGCATGCAGGCAGCCAGAAGTTCTGGAGAATTCATTTTCCCTGCTAGCATACCTCAACTAACAATGGCTGGGAGTTGGAGGATAAATACCCCAGCTCCCTCACCCTTTGCATAAGATAACTCTCAGGGTTTGTCCAAGATGAGTTAAGACCTAGATATCGCAGAATAACCTGCTCATTTCCACATGATGTACTGGCTGCCCTCCCTTCTGCATCTCATCTCCTCCATCCCCTGCCAGCACTCCCTGCAATCACCTTACAGATAAACCACTTTTACTCAAATCAGAGTGTCTCAGGTACACTTCTGAAGCACCCAACTGTATTAGTTTTCTAGTGCTGCTGCAATAAATTACCACAAACTTGGTGGTTTGAAGCAACATAAGTTTGTTATTCTCTTACAGTTCTGCAGGCTCAAAGTCCAAAGTCAAGGTGTTGGCAGGGCTGGGCTCCCTTTGAAGGTTCTAGGGAAGAATCCTTCCTTGTCTCTCTCCTAGATTTTGGTAGCTCCTTGTAATCCTTGGTGTTCCTCAACTCAAAGCTGCATCATTCCAGTCATTCCATGGAGAGGCTTCCATGGTCTCTGTGTGTCTCTGTGTCCTCTCCTCTTCTTAGATGGACACTTGTCATTGGATTTAGGGCTCATTCTAGTCCAGTAAGACTTCATCTTTTTTTTTTTTTTTTTAAGAGACAGGGTCTTACTCTGTCACTCAGGCTGGAGTGCAGTGGCACAATCATGGCTCACTGCAGCCTCCAATTTTTGGGCTCAAGCAATCCTCCCATCTTGGCCTCCTAAGTAGCTGGGACTACAAGTGTGTGCCACATGCCTGGCTAATTTTTTAAAATTTTTGGCTGGGTGTGGTGGCTCACAACTGTAATCCCAGCATTTTGGGAGGCTGAGGAGAGTGGATCATTTGAGCTGAGGAGTTAGAGACCAGCTTGGCCAACATGGTGAAACTTCATCTCTACTAAAAATACAAAATTAGCTGGGCGTGGTGGTGCATGCCTATAATCCCATGTACTTGGGAGGCTGAGGCAAGAGAATCACTTGAACCCAAGAGGCGGAGGTTGCAATGAGGAGAGATCGTGCCACTGCACTCTAGCCCGGGCTGCAGAGTGAGACTCTGTCTCAAAAAACAAAACAAAACAAAAAGCCCAGGTGTGGTGGCTCACACCTGTAATCCCAGCACTTTGGGAGGTCAAGGCGGGCGGATCACGAGGTCAGGAGATTGAGACCGTCCTGGTTAACATGGTGAAACCCCATCTCTACTAAAAATACAAAAACAACAACAACAAAAAAAAACATTAGCCAGGCGTGGTGGCGGGCGCCTGTAGTCCCAGCTACTTAGGAGGCTGAGGCAGGAGAATGGCGTGAACCTGGAAGATGGAGCTTGCAGTGAGCCGAGATCGTGCCACTGGACTCCAGCCTGGGTGACAGAGCGAGACTCAGTCTCAAAAAAAAAAAAAATTTTTATTTTTGTAGAGACAAGGTTTCATTATGTTGCCCAGGCTGGTGTCAAACCCCTGGCCTCAAGTGATCCTCCCACCTCAGCGTCTTGCATAGCTGGGAATACAGGCTCAAGCCACAGTGCTGGGCTAGTAAGATCTTATTTTAACTTAACTAATGACATCTGCAAAGATGCTATTTCCAAATATGGTCACATTCTGAGGCTCCAGGTAAACATGAATTTTGTCAGGGGAGGAAGACACTATTCCAGCTCCTGCACCAATAGAGGACGATGATGTGTCATTAACTGATTTGGGGAGGACACAGGAGGGGGGAGGACAGAGGAGGGGGGAGGACAGAGGAGGCGGAGGACAGAGGAGGGGGGAGGACAGAGGAGGGGGGAGGACAGAGGGGCGGGGAGGACAGAGGAGGGGAGGACAGAGGAGCGGGGAGGACAGAGGAGCAGGGAGGACAGAGGAGCGGGGAGGACAGAGGAGGAAACAGGTCTGGAGTGTGATGAAGAGTCTGCTTCCGGTGTGATACTTGGGTGTGCCCACTGGGTTTCCAGCAGAGACATCTGGGGGGCAGGTGAAGGTCAGCAGAGAGGTGAGAGGTGGGGGACGCCACTGGGAGCTGTCGGGTGTAAGTGGCATTTATTTATTTATTTATTTATTTATTTATTTATTTATTTATTTATTTTTGAGATGGAGTTTCACTCTTGTTGCCCAGGCTGGAGTGCAGTGGCGAGATCTCAGCTCACTGCAACCTCCACCTTCCGGTTTCAAGTGATTCTCCTGCCTCAGCCTCCTGAGTAGCTGGGATTACAGGTGCCTGCCACTATGCCCGACTACCTTTTGTGTTTTTAGTAGAGATGGGGTTTCACCATGTTGGCCAGGCTGGTCTCAAACTCCTAACCTCGGCCTCCCAAACTGCTGGGATTACAGTGAGCCACCACGCTCAGCCCAGCATTTATTTTATTTTTATTTATTAATTGTTTTCTTTTTTTTTTCTTTTTAGACAGAGTCTCGCTCTGTTGCCCAGGCAGGAGGGCAGTGGTGCAATCTTGCCTCACTGCAAGCTTTGCCTTCCGGGTTCACGCCATTCTCCTGCCTCAGCCTCCCGAGTAGCTGGGACTACAGGTGCCCGCCACCACACCTGGCAAATTTTTTGTATTTTTAGTAGAGACGGGGTTTCACCATCTTGGCCAGGCTGGTCTCGAACTCCTGACCTCGTGATCTGCCCGCCTGGACCTTCCAAAGTTCTGGGATTACATGCGTGAGCCACTGTGCCCAGCCTATTTTATTTTATTTTAATCATTTTTTTCTTGAGACAGAGTCTCGCTCTGTCGCCCAGGCTGGTGAGCAATGATCCGATCTTGGCTCTTGGCTTTCTCTTCAAGGCTAAGATTGGGAGATGAAGAGGAATCACAGAAGAGACTAAGAAGTGGTGGCCTTGGAGGTGGGAGGGGAAGCTGGGAGTGCACAGTCCTAGAGGCTGAGAAACGACCATCAGGTTGGGCAGGATGGAGCCCTTCTAGTGGCCGAGTGGGAACAAAATACTGAAAGGAGAGGATCAGAGAGAGGACGAGAGAAGAGCAGCCGGACCCAGTGATAACTCTTGGGATGTTTTGCTAGGAAAGGGAATGTATTCTAGTCCTCTCTTTGCATCCTGTAGGATTGGTTCCAGGACCTCCCTGGATACCAAAATCCACAGATGCTCAAGTTTCTTTTATAAAACAGCATAGTATTTGCATATCACCTATGCACATCCTGCTGTATATATACATACATGTGTATATATGCTGTATACATGTATGTATATATACACATATATGTATATGTATACATATGTGTGGCTAGAGTGCAGTGGCGCGATCTTGGCTCACTGCAACCTCCACCTCCCGGCTTCAAGTGATTCTCAGGCCTCAGCCTCCCGAGTAGCGAAGATTACAGGCACGTGCCACCATGACTGGCTAATTTTTTTGTATTTTTAGTAGAGACGGGGTTTCACCATGTTGGCCAAGCTAGTCTTGAACTCCTGGCCACAAGTGATCCGCCTCCCTCATTTTTATTTTTTAATTTTTATCATTTTCTGAATCCGGGCTGCAGAGAATGTATTTTTTTTTACTGTTGTGATATTTTTAACCATAAAGATAATTGTTAAAATAATAAAATAATTAAACATAGGCCGGGCACGGTGGCTCACGCCTGTAATCCCAACACATTGGGAGGCCGAGGCAGCGGATCACGAGGTCAGGAGATCAAGAGGTCAGGAGATCAAGACCATTCTGGCTAACATGGTGAAACCCCGTCTCTACTAAAAATACAAATAAATAAATAAATAAATAAATAGCCGGGCATGGTGGCACATGCCTGTAGTCCCAGCTACTCGGGAGGCTGAGGCAGGAGAATCACTTGAATCCGGGAGGTGGAGGTTGCAGTGAGCTGAGATTGTGCCATTGCACTCCAGCCTGGGTGACAGAGCGAGACTCCATCTAAAAAAAAAAAGAAAATAATAATAATAATACAAAAAATTAGCCAGGCGTGGTGGCGGGTGCCTGTAGTCCCAGCTACTCAGGAGGCTGAGGCAGGAGAATGGCGTGAACCTGGGAGGCGGAGCTTGCAGTGAGCCAAGATCGCACCACTGCACTCCAGCCTGGGCGACAGAGTGAGACTCTGTCTCAAAACTAAATAAATAAATAATAATAATAATTTAAAATAATAAAAATGATAAATAGATAAAATATGGTTTGTTTTGTTTGTTTGTTTGTTTGTTTGTTTGGATAGAGTCTTGCTTTATCACCCAGGCTGGATTGCAGTGGTGCAATCATCACTCAGTGCAACCTCAACCTCCCAGGCTGAAGCAATTCTCCTGCCTTGGCCTCTCGAGTAGCTGGGACCACAGGTGTGCGCCACCCACTGGACTTATTTTGTTAATGTTTTTTGTAGAGATGGGGGTCTTGCTACTTTGCCCAGGCTGCTCTCCAACTCCTGGGCTCCAACAACCCGCCCACCTCAGCCTCCCAAATTCTTGGGACTATAGACATGAGCCAGCATGGCTAGCCAGGGTTTTTGTTGTTGTTTTTTGTTTTTCTTTTTGTTTTTTTTAGACAGGATCTCACTCTGTTGCCCAGGCTGGAGTGCAATGGCATGATCTTGGCTCACTGCAACCTCCACCTCCCAGGTTCAAGCGACTCTCCTGCCTCAGCCTCCTAAGTAGCTGGGACTACAGGTGTCTGCCACCACGCCCAGCTAATTTTTTTCTATCTTTAGTAGAGACAGGGTTTCACCATGTTGGCCAGGCTGGTCTCAAACTCCTGACCTCAAGTGATCTGCCTGCCTCACCCTCCCAAAGTGCTAGGATTAGGGTTTTTTTCCCTAATGTTTTCCATTCACAGTTTGTTGAATCCTGGATAAGGAACCCGTGGCTATGGAGGGCCAACTATAATATTTCCTGTGACTGTTGTAACCAATGCCCACAAACTAGGTGGCTTCAGGACAGCAGAAAACAAAACAATACGACTATTATATATCAATAAAATATAATTTCAAAACAAAAACAAAAAAAACACATTTATTTTCTTACAGTTCTGGATCCCTTAAGTCCCAAATCAGTATCATTAGCCCCAAGTCAAGGTGGCCCTCTGGAGGCTCTAGGGGAGGATCCTTTCTGCCTCTTCAAGCCTCTGGTGGCTCCCAGCATTCCTTGGCTTGTGGCTGCATCACTCCAGTTTCTGCCACCATTGTCACATGGACTTTTTCCCTGTGTCTCTGTGTCTGGTTCCCTTTTTTTCTTTTTCGTTTCCTTTTTTTTTAAATTTTTTTGAGACGGAATCTCGCTCTGTCACCCAGCCTAGACTGAAGCGGTACAATCATGGCTCACTGCAGCCTCGACCTCCTAGGCTCAAGGGATCCTCCCACCTCAGCCTCCTGAGTAGCTGGGACTACAGGCACACACCACCAAGCCCCACTAATTTTTAAAAACTTTTTTCTAAAGACAGGGGTCTCACTATGTTGCTCAGGCTGATCTCAAACTCCTGGGCTCAAGTGATCCTCCCAACTCAGCCTCCCAAGGCTCTGGGATTACAGGTGTGAGTCACGGTGGCCTCTCCATTCTTTTCTGATGACATTTTTTCTTTCTTTCTTTTTTTTTTCCCTCTGGCTCTGTGACCCATGCTGGAATGCAGTGGCATGATCTTGGCTCACTGCAGCCTCTGCCTCCCCAACTCAAGTGATCTGATCTTCCCACCTCAGTCTTTCAGGTAGTTGGGACTACGGACGCCCGCCACCACACCTGGCTAATTTTTGTATTTTTAGTAGAGACGGGGTTTCACCACGTTGGTCAGGCTGGTCTTAAACTCCTGACCTTCGGTGATCCACCTGCCTCAGCCTCCCAAAGTGCTGGGATTACAGGCGTGAGCCACCGCACCCGGCCAGGACACTTATTAATAGATTTAGAGCCCATTCTAATTCAGGATGATCTCATGTCAGGATTCTTCACATAAATACAACTTCAAAGACCCTTTGTCCAAATAAGATCACACGTACAGGCTCTGGGGGTTAGGATATGAATGTACATTTTTGGAGGACTGTCATTCAACCAACTGTAGGGAGTAAACGGATGGGGCTGGGGTGGGGAGATGACTTGGCAAGCCAAGTGCTTTGGTGTGAATGTTTGTGTCCCCCCAAATTTATATGTTGAAATCTTTTTTATCTTTTTTTTTTTTTTTTTTTGAGATGGAGTCTCATCACCCTGTTGCTCAGGCTGGAGTGCAGTGGCGCAATCTCGGCTCACTGCAAACTCCACCTCCTGAGTTCCAGTGATTCTCCAGCTTCAGCCTCCGGAGTAGCTGGGATTACAGGCGCCCACCACCATACCTGGCTGATTTTTGCATTTTTAGTAGGGATGGGGTTTTTGGTATGTTGCCCAGGCTGGTCTTAAACTCCTGAGCTCAAAGCAATCTGCTCACTTTGGCCTCCTAAAGTGCTGGGATTACAGGTGTGCACCACCATGCCTGGCCAATATATGTTGAAATCTTAACCCCCCAGGTCGTGGTGTTAAGAATTGGGGCCTATGGGAGATGAGGAGGGTGGAGACCTCGTGAATGGGACCTGTGCCTTCACACAAGAGGCTGGAGAGAGACCTCATGCCCTGTGAGATGAGAGGGCGAGAACGCTAACATCTTTGTCTATAAAAAGAGCCTGGCTGGGTGTGGTGGCTCATGCCTGTAATCCCAGCACTTTGGGAGGCCAAGGCAGGCAGATCACCTGAGGCCAGGAGTTTGAGACCAGCAAGTTCACCCATAGTGAAACCCTGTCTCTACTAAAAATACAAAAATTAACTGGCATGGTGGTGCATGCCTGTAATCCTATCTACTAGGGAGGTTGAGGCGGGAGAATCACTTGAACCCTGGAGGCGGAGGCTGCAGTAAGCCGAGATCACGCCACTGCACTCCAGCCTGGGCAACAGAGTGAGACCCTGTCTCAAAAAAAAAAAAAAAAAAGAAAAAAAAAAGTCTCAATGCCGGAGGAATGGAAGACTCTGCTCAGGAACAAGACAAAAGTCCTCAAGTCTCTGGCCACTCCCCACGCCATTCCCCAGGACCCCAGCATCCCCCGCCCCCACTATCCTTGGCTCCATGACTGTTCTCCCAGGTCAGAGCCCACATCACACTCTTTCAACCTCCAGAAGTTTGCCCAGGAAGTCTCTCCACCTGACTGGCCTTCCCTCCCACAACTCCCTCTGTCTGCCTATCCTTAAAGTAGCAGCCAGGGTGACCCTTCTGAAGGGGGTTTGGGTTATGCCAAGATCTCTTCTTCCCTCCCCTCCCCTCCCCTCCCCTTCCCTTTCCTTCCTTTCTCTTCTGACAGAGTCTCACTCTGTCCCTCAGGCTGAAATGCAGTGGCACAATCTCGGCTCACTCCAACCCCCGCCTCCCAGGTTCAAGGAATTCTCCTGCCTCCTCCTGAGTAGGTGGGATTACAGGCATGAGCCACCACCCCTGGCTAATTTTTGTATTTTTAGTAGAGACGGGGTTTCACCATGTTGGCCAGTTTGGTCTCGAACTCCTGGCCTCAAGTGATCCACCCACTTCGGCCACCCAAAGTTCTGGGATTACAGGCATGAACCACCATGCCCAGCCTTCTTTTCTTTTTGAGATGGGATCTTTTTCTGTGGCCCAGGCTGGAGTACAATGGCATGATCATAGCTCACTGCAGCCTCAAATTCTTAGGTCCAAGTGATCCTCTTGCCTCAGCCTCCCAAGTAGCTGGGACTAGAAGGCATGTGCCACCACGCCCAGCTAATTTTTAAATTTTTTTTTAGAGTTGGTGGTCTTGCTATGTTGTCCAGGCTGGTCCCAAACTCCTGGCCTCAAGCGATCCTCCTGCCTCAGCCTCCCAAAGTGCTGGGATTGTAGCTGTGAGCCACCATGCTCAGCCCAGCCCTGCCAAGATCCGTTTTCCATTCCCGTGGCACTCAACAGTCTCCTCAGAGCAGTTTCCACAATTGTAATTACCTAGTTTGGCAGAGTGATGTCTTAATGTTGCTCTCTCTGCTTCTAGAATGTGAGCCCCCAGAGAGGTCAGGGCCTGGGAGATTTATTCATTTACATATCCCACGCACCTAGTCAGGCATAGCACACAGTTAGTGCTTAATATATGTGCCCAGGAGGTTTGCAAATGAATCCCTTTCGGCCAGGCACGGCGGCTCACGCCTGTAATCCCAGCACTTTGGGAGGCCAAGGTGAGTAGATCACTTGAGGTCAGGAGTTCAAGATCAGCCCGGCCAATATGGCGAAACTCTGTCTCTACTTAAAATACAAAACTTAGCCAGGCATGCTGGCGGGCGCCTGTAATCCCAGCTACTCAGGAGGTTGAGGCAGAAGAATCGCTTGAACCAGGGAGGTGGAGATTGCAGTGAGCCGGGATTGCACCACTGCACTCCAGCCTGGGCAATAGAGCAAGACTCAGTCTCAAAAAAAAAAAAAAAAAAAAAAAAAAAAAGGAATCCCTTTTGTCCAGGCAAGTGGGATGCACTGGTTCTCTGACCAGCAATTCCCCAATTCCCCAACTGGACGGGTCACTTGGTGTCCCAGTGGAATATTCGGGAATCTTCTCTAAGGCAACAGGACACACACACACACACACACACACGCACAATCACACACACACACACAAAATGAACCCCCCCTCCTCAATTTCTTTACCAACTATTTTTCCCCCCAGGCAGAAAATGAACCATTATTAAAACAACACGGCAACCGGCCGGGAAAACCCATTTACAGCGATTTATATCGCTTCGCTGCGGCTGCCGAGAGGAAATGGGAGGAGAAGCTCGAGGTTTAAGCACTGGGTGAAAAATCACATTCCATCAGAGGAAGAACAGATGGGTGTTTTTTTCCTCCCCTTTCTCCCCCTTGCTTGGGCTCGGAGTCAGGAATCTATGTCAGCCGTGGGTTTGTTCTTGGTGTGATAGGGTGATTCTGGGGAGACAGAGGCCCAGCCAGGCTGCTGGGTCCCAGGGAGCAAGCGGTGGCTTGTGAGCCACTGAGGACCCCCGCTCCCCATCCTCCATCCTCCTGCCCACCCGCTCTGTCTCCTGGGCCTGTAGGCTGCCGATCTGAGCCCCATCCCCCATCCTGCTATTTTAATTTTTACATTTTCTCATCACCCCCTGGAATTACCGTCTCTCCTTATTTCCTTCCTCCTTCACAGTCTTTTTCCTTGAAGGCAGGGCCATGTCTGTCCTGTTCGTCGTTGCATCCTTAGTGCATTGAACACATAGCAGTGGCTCCCATATCTGCAGACAACCACTAACCCTCTGCCACGGTCCCACCATCACGGCTGCCATCCTATCCTAACCTTACTAAGGACACCTTCCCCCTCTCCCCGGCGGCTGTGAGCGCGCTGGAAGACGGGGGCTGTTTAGTTTGTTTCCTTCATGGATGGATCTACTGTCCCTCCACCCCCAAAGAAAGCCTGATTCACAGCTTTCTGGGTGTTGGGATTGGGGGATGGGGACAGACAGGCATGACTGAGTCATTCAGCTGTTTAAAAGCTATCACTGACTTCTTCAAAATTGAAAAATGTTATCGTGGCTCCAAAGGTCCTTTCCAACCTAGACCCAAAACACCTGTTCAGTTTAAACCACGCCCCCTCCACCGCGCCAGCCCCGACAAACATGCTGGCACCCGCCTAGGCACCACCTAGTCAAACCCCCTGGCCCATGTGGTCCCCAACTCACCCATGATGCTTTGCATCGCCTTCACTAAATGCCCCGCCCCTCCCTCTGTGTCCGCCCCAGAGCTGAATCCAGCCCACAGATGTAATTGGCTTGGTCCATGCAGGCTTTAAAAACATTTTGTAATGACTTGCTAGCTTTTATTTATTTATTTATTTATTTATTTATTTATTTATTTATTTATTTATTTTTGAGATGGAGTCCCACTCTGTCACCCAGGCTGGAGTGCAGTGGCGCGATCTTGGCTCACTGCAAGCTCTGCCTTGCGGGTTCACGCCATTCTCCTGCCTCAGCCTCCCGAGTAGCTGGGACTACAGGCGCCCCCCACCACGCCCGGCTAATTTTTTGTATTTTTAGTAGAGACGGGGTTTCACCGTGTTAGCCAGGATGGTCTCGATCTTCTGACCTTGTGATCTGCCCACCTCGGCCTCCCAAAGTGCTGGGATTACAGGCGTGAGCCACCGCGCCCGGCCCATGACTTGCTAGCTTTTAAATACAGGCTGCTTTTTCATTGTTGTTGTTGTTGTTTTTGTTTTTGAGATGGCGTCTCGCTGTGTCGCCCAGGCTGTAGTGCAGTGGTGTGATCTCTGCTCACTGCAACCTCTGCCTCCTAGGTTCAAGCGATTCTCCTGCCTCAGCCTCCCAAGTAGCTGGGATTACAGGCAAAGGCCACCAGGCCCAGCTAGTTTTTTTCTATTTTTAGTAGAGGCAGGGTTTCACCATGTTGGTCAGGCGGCCTTGAGCTCTTGAACTCAAGTGATTCGCCCCCCTCAGCCTCCCAAAGTGCTGGGATTACAGGCCTGAGCCACCAGTGCCAGACCTCAGGTGATTTTTGCATAAAAATCTGGATGCCTGACTTCCTCTAAAGATGAAATCTTGTCTGGGCGTGGTGGCTCATGCCTGTAATCCCAGCACTTTGGGAGGCCTAGATGGGCAGATCACCTGAGGTCAGGAGTTCGAGACCAGCCTGGCCAACATGGCAAAACCTTGTCTCTACTAAAAATGCAAAAATTAGCCAGGTGTGGTGGCACGTGCTTGTAATCCCAGCTACTCGGGAAGCTGAGGCAGGAGAATTGCTTGAACCTGGGAGACGGAGGTTGCAGTGAACCGAGATTGTGCCACTGCACTCCAACCTGGGTGACACAGCAAGACTTGTCTCAAAAAAAAAAAAAAAACACAACTGAATTAAATGAGTTCATGCTATATAAGGAACGGGCTTAGCAAGTGCTGATAAATGTTACTCATTCTTATCATTATTTGCCATAGTCCCACCCCCCCTTACTGTCTCCCTGACACTGAAGCTGTTCCGTTGCTGGTGCAGTCAGTCTTTTTATCTTGGCTGCTTGGCGTATTTATATTACCTACTGGCTGTCCCTGTAGGTTTGTGGCATGCTCCAGCTCAGTTCTGGGTCATCACCTCTGCTATAAAGAGGTTCCCCAGTCTGGGCATGGTGGCTCAAGCCTGTAATCTCAGCACTTTGGGAGGCCAAGACAGGAGGATGGCTTGAAGCCAGGAGCTCAAGACTAGCCTGGGCAACACAGTGACACCCCATCTCTACAAAAAATAAATAAATAATTAGCCATGCATGATAGCATGTGCCTGTAGTCCCAGCTACTCGGGAGGCTGAGGCAGGAGGATCGCTTGAACCCAGGAGGTCGACTGCGCCACTGCATTCTAGCCTGGGTGACGAAGAGAGGTCCTGTCTAAAAAAAAAAAAAAGAAGAAAAGAAAAAAAAGCCTCTCTGGTCCTCCACCTCACTGTCCATCCGTTTCTCAACACTCCCCATTTTCGAGTTTCCCTCCCCCTCCACTGTACCACGGGCCCTTCCTGACGCTTCATCAAGTGCTTGTGGAATTGGATATCAGGGCCTGTGTTCATTTCCTGGGGCTGCTGAAATACATTACCATAAACTAGGTGGCTGGAAACAACAAGAATTTATTATTTCACCATTCCGGAGGCCAGAGGTTGCAATCAGGGTGGTGCAGGGCTGCAATCCCTCCGAAGGCACTAGGTGAGGATTCGTCCTTTTTTCTTCCAGCCTCTGATGGTTCCTTGCTTGTGTCTGTACTGCTGAAAGCCCTGCCTGTCTTCACTTGGCCTTCTTCTCTGTGTCTAACCCCCTTCTCTTCTAAGGTCATTTATCATTGGATTTTGGGCCACCCTAATCCAGGATGATCTCATTGCAAAATCCTTAACTTAATTACATCTGCAAAAACGCTTTGTCCAAATAAGGTCACTGCTATGGTTTGAATGTCTGTGTCCCTTCCAAATCCATATGTTGGAAGAGTTGGGGTTCTTGGGAAGTGATTAGGCCAGGAGGGCCCCATTCTCATGGGTGAGATTATTGCCCTTATAATTGAGTGTGACAGTTTGGAGATTTCTCAAACAATTTAAAATTCTTCTATTTTATTTGACCCAGCAATCCCATTACTGGGTATATACTCAAAGGAATATAAATTGTTCTACTATAAAAACACATGCACATGTATGTTCATTGCAGCACTATTCACAATAGCAAAGACTTGGAATCAGCCTAGGTGCCCGTCAATGGAGGATTGGATAAAGAAAATGTGGTACATATGCACCATGGAATACTATGCAGCCATTAAAAAAGAATGAGGCCGGGCATGGTGGCTCATGGCTGTAATCCCAGCATTTTCGGAGGCCAAGGTGGGTGGATCACTTGAGGCCAGGAGTTCGAGACCAGCCTGGTTAACATGGCAAAACCCCGTCTCTACAAAAAAATACAAAAATTAGCAGGGTATGGTGGCAGGTGCCTGTAGTCCCAGCTACTTGAGGGGCTGAGGCAGGAGAATTGCTTGAACCTGGGAGGCGGAGGTTGCAGTGAGCCGAGGTCACGACACTGCACTTCAGCCTGGGTGACAGAATGAGATTGTCTCAAAAAAAAAAAAAAAAAAAAAAAGAATGAGATTATATCCTTTGCAGCAATATGGATGGAGCTGGAGGCCATTCTCCTAAGTCAACTAATGCAGGAACAGAAAACCAAATACCACACGTTTTCACTTATAAGTGGTAGTTAAACACTGAGTACACATGGACACAAAGGTGAGAACAACAGGCCAGGCACAGCGGCTCACGCCTGTAATCCCAGCACTTTGGGAGGCTGAGGCAGGTGGATCACTTGAGGTCAGGAGTTCGAGACCAGCCTGGCCAACATGGTGAAACCCCATTTCCACTAAAAATACAAAAACTAGCCAGGCGTGCTGGCACACACCTATAATCTCAGCTACTAGGGAGGGTGAGGCAAGAGAATCTCTTGAACCCGGAAGGCAGAGGTTGCAGTCAGCCGAAATTATGCCAGTGCACTCTACCCTGGGCAACGGAGCAAGACTCCATCTCAAAAAAAAAAAAAAAAAAGATGGGAACAACAGACACTGGTGTCTATTTGAGGGTGGAAGGTAAAAGGAGGGTCAGGATTGAAAAACTACCTGTTGGGTGTTATGGTGATTACCTGGGTGACAAGATTATCTGTATACCAAACTCCTGCAAAACACAATTTACCCAAATAAGAAACTTGGACATGTGCCCCCTTGAACTTAAAACAAACATTGGATAAATAAATAAATAAATAAATAGGCCAGGCACAGTGGCACACGCCTGTAATCCCAGCAATTTGGGAGGCTGAGGCAGACGGATCACTTGAGCTCACTAGTTCGATACCAGCCTGGACAACATGACAAACCCCATCTCTACAAAAAATACAAAAATTGGCCGGGTGCGGTCGCTCACACCTGTAATCTCTGCACTTTGGGAGGTCGAAGCGGGTGGATCATGAGGTCAGGAGATCAAGACCATCTTGGCCAACATGGTAAAACCCCGTCTCTATTAAAAATAGAGAAAATTAGCCAGGCATGGTGGCAGACACCTGTAATCCCAGCTACTCGGGAGGCTGAGGCAGGAGAATCACTTGAACCTGGGAGGCGGAGGTTGCAGTGAGCCGAGATCACGCCACTGCACTCCAGCCTGGTGACAGAGTGAGACTCCGTCTGAAAAAAAAAAAAAATCAGTTGGGTGTAGTGGTGCGCACCTGTAGTCCCAGCTGCTCCCTGGGAGGCTGAGGTGGGGGGATGGCTTGAGCCCGGGAAATGGAGGTTGCGGTGAGCCGAGATCGCACCACTGCACTCCAGCCTGGGTAATAGAACCAGATCTTGTCTCAAATAAACAAATAAATAAAATAAAAATAACTCGCTTGGCCAGGTGCGGTGGCTCACACCTATAATCCCAGCACTTTGTGAGGCTGAGGTGGGTGGATCACCTAAGGTCAGGAGTTCAAGAACAGCCTGGCCAACAGGGCAAAACCCCATCTCTACTAAAAATACAAAAGTTAGCCAGGCATGGTGGCGCACACCTGTAATCCCAGCTACTCAGGAGGCTGAGGCAGGAAAATCGCTTGAACCTGGGGGGTGGAGTGGGCTCTCACCAGACACCAAATCTGCTAGTGCCTTGATCTTGGACTTCCTGGCCTCCAGAACTGTAAGCAATACATTTCTACTGGCTGGGTGCAGTGGCTCACACATGTAATCCCTGCACTTTGGGAGGCCGAGGTGGGCAGATCACCTGAGGTCAGGAGTTCCAGACCAGCCTGGCCAACGTGGCAAAACCCCGTCTCTACTAAAAATACAAAAATTAGCCGGGTGTGGTGGCGGGCGCCTATAATCCCAGCTACTTGGGAGGTTGAGACAGGAGAATCGCTTGAACCCGGGAGACCGAGGTTGCAGCGAGCCGAGATCTCGTCACTACACTCCAGCCGGGGTGACAGAGCGAGACTCTGCCTCAAAAAAAAAAAAGAAAAAGAAAAAATTCTATTACAGTTGACCTTTGAACAACACGGGCTTGAGCCATAACTGCCTGAGTCCCCTTGTAAGTGGATGTTGTTCCGCCTCTGCCACCCCTGAGACAACCCCTCTTCTTCCTCTTCCTCCTCAGCCTATTCCATCGGAAGACTCGTGGATGAAGACGGTTATGGTAATCCACTTCCACTTCATGAACGGTAAATACATTTTCTCTTTCTCATGATTTTCATACCATTTCTTTTTTCTAGCTTACTTTATTCTAAGAATACTGTATGTAATATATAGAACATACAGAATACGAGTTCATGGATTGTTTATGTCATTGGTAAGGCTTTTGATCAACCATAGGCTATCAGTGGTTAAGTTTTTGGGAAGTCCAAAGTTATATGCAGGCCAGGTGCAGTGGCTCACGCCTATAATCCCAGCACTTTGTGAGGCTGAGGCAGGAGGATCACTTGAGCCGGGAGTTCAAGACCACATTGGGCAACATAGCGAAACCCTATCTCTACAAAAAATATGAAAGTTAGCTGGGTGTTGTGGTGTGCGCCTGTGGTCCCAGCTACTCGGGAGGCCTTAACTTTCTTCTTTTTTTTTTTTTTTTTTTTTTTGAGACGGAGTCTTGTTCTGTCGTCCAGGCTAGAATGCAGTGGCGCGATCTCGGCTCACTGCAAGCTCCGCCTCCCGGGTTCACACCATTCTCCTGCCTCAGCCTCCCGAGTAGCTGGGATTACAGGGCCCGCCATCACACCTGGCTAATTTTTGTACTTTTTGGTAGAGCAGAGTTTCACCATGTTGGCCAGGCTGGTCTCAAACTCCTGACCTCCAGTGATCTGCCCGCCTCAGCCTCCTAAAGTGCTGGGATTACAGGCATGAGCCACCGTGCCTGGCCTCCTTAATTTTCTTTGTCTCTCTTCACTCATTCAGTTTTTTATTTTATTTTATTATTTTTTGAGTGGAGTCCTGCTCTGTTGCCCAGGCTGGAGTGCAGTGGTGCAATCTTGGGTCATTGCAACCTCTGCCTCCAGGGTTCAAGCAATTCTCCTGCCTCAGCATCCCGAGTAGTTGGGATTACAGGCACCTGCAGCCACACCCAGCTAATTTTTGTATTTTTAGTAGAGACAGGGTTTCACTATTTTGGCTAGGCTGGTCTCAAACTCCTGAGGTCCGGTGATCTGCCTGCTTCAGCCTCCCAAAGTGCTAGGATTACAGGTGTTAGCCACTGCGCCCGGCCATCATTCAGTTTTTTGAAGCCAACGGAGACTCAGACCCTGCACCCCCAGCCGTGCCCCCAGAAGCCCGCTGTCTTCTCTCTTCCTTGCACCCACGGGAATGGCTCTCCCTCCAGGAGGGATGGGTAGGGGCAAATGCCACCCCGTCCGCCCTTTGTTACCAGGGAGGCCGAACCCACCTCTCTTCACACTGCAGAAGAACTCGGGTGAGCACCCCCACTTTCCCGCAAGCTCGCAGAGAGCATCCTCCGCCCACCCGGCAAGCACCACTTCATCATGCCACCGCCAGGGTGTCAGGCCGGGCGGGGCTGAGCGGTTGTCATTTCTCTAACTCGTCAGAACTCTGCACTTCCTTGACAGTTCGCTGGCTGGCCTCCGACCCGTAGCTGATTTCTTTCCAGGGCTGACAGGTTGGGTTAAGAGGGAGCGCTCCCCTGAGCCGAGACATACTTTCTTTTGCCTCCAAGTTGCGTCATCCCCCACCCTTCACCAAGAACGCCCACAACTCCTGGATGGTGCATTACCCTCCCACCCCCCCACCCCGTCCCCTTCCTTTCCCTCCATTCCCAAATGACGGCAGCCCTGGGGCCAAACTGGCCCCAGATGTGTTGTTTGGCCTGTGTGGTTAACTCCTTGTTTTTAAAAAATTCCTTTTTTAAAAAAAATTAAAAAAAAATTTTAAATTCCTTTTTGGAATAAAATTCACCTAACGTAACACTCGCCATTTTATTTTATATTATTTTTAGAAACAGAATCTCTCTCTGTTTCCCCGGGCTGGAGTGCAGTGGTGCAATCATAGCTCACTGCAACCTCAAACTCCTGGGGTCAAGCGATCCTCCCACCTCAGCCTTCCAAGTAGCTGGGATTACAGGCAGGCTCCATGTTGCCCAGCTAATTAAAAAAAATTTTCGCCGGGCACTGTGGCTCACGCCTGTAATCCCAGCACTTTGGGAGACTGAGGTGGGTGGATAACCTGAGGTCAGGAGTTCGAGACCAGCCTGGCCAACATGGTGAAACCCTGTCTCTACTAAAAATACAAAAATCAGCCAGGTGTAGTGGCACGCGCCTGTAATCCCAGCTACTTGGGAGGCTGAGGCAGGAGAATCGCTTGAACCTGGGAGGCAGAGGTTGCAACGAGCCAAGATCGCACCACTGCACTCCAGCCTGGGCAACAGAGCAAGACTCTGTCTCAAAAAAAAAAAAAAATTTTGTAGAGGTGGGGTCTTGCTATGTTGCCCAGGCTGGTCTCAAACTCCTGGGCTCAAGCAATCCTCCCACCTCTGCTTCTCAAAGTGTTAGGATTACAGGCATGAGCCACTGTGCCCAGCCAAGATTAATTGTACATTTTTTTGTTTTTGTTTTTTGAGACAGAGTCTTGCTGTGACACCCAGGCTGGAGTGCAGTGGTGCGATCTTTGCTCATTGCAACCTCTGCCTCCTGGGTTCAAGTGATTCTCTTGCCTCAGCCTCCTGAGTAGCTGGGACTAGAGGCGTGCACCACCATGCCTGGCTAATTTTTGTATATTTAGTAGAGATAGGGTTTCACCATATTGGCCAGAATGGTCTTGAACTCCTGACCTCAAGTGATCTGCCCGCCTCGGCCTCCCAAAGTGCTGGGATTACAGGCATGAGTCACTGTGCCTGGCCCCAATTGTACATTTTAAAATGTACAATTCACTGGACTTTTGTATACTCAAAGAGTTGTGCAACTATCACCTCTAATTACAGAACATTTCCATCACCCCCAAAAGAAGCCCTATCCCCACTAGCAGTCAATCTCCATTCCCCATCCCCCATCCCCTGGCAACCACCAATCTGTTTCTGTCCCTATGTGTTTACCTGTTTTGGGCATTTCATATAAAGGAAGTCATACACTATGTGACCCTCTGTGTCCGGCTTCTTTCCCTTTTCCAAATGTTTTCAAGGGTCATCCATGTTGTAGAGTTAATGTCTTTATTGTGAAACACATAAATCTTAGGAGCACAGGTCCGTGGATTTTTGAAATACATTTCACCCTTATCACTGTCACCTAGTTCAAGATCAAGAACAGTCCAGTCTCCCAGGAGGCTCCCTGGGCTACTTTCCAGGAAGTGGGCTGCCTCAAAACATCACCAAGCCAGTGGCTTTTTTTTTTTTTTTTTTTTTTTTTGAGACGTAGTCTTGCTCTGTTACCCAGGCTGGAGTGCAGTGGTGCTATCTTTCTTTGCTCACTGCAACCTCTGCCTCCTGGGTTCAAGCAATTCTCCTGCCTCAGCCTCCCACGTAGCTGGGACTATAAGCACACGCCACCATGTCTGGCTAATTTTTTTGTATTTTTAGTAGAGACAGGGTTTCACCATGTTGGCCAGGCTGGGCTTGAACTCCTGGCCTCAAGTGATCCACCCGCCTCGGCCTCCCAAAGTGCTGGGATTACAGGTGTGAGCCACTACACCCGGACCAGTGGCTCCCATCTGATGGTGATTATGCCCCTAACAACAGAAATTTGTCGCAACTGGGGGGTGCTGCTGGTACGTAATGGTTGGAGGCCAGGGATTCTGCTCAACGTCCTACAGTGCACAGGACAGCCCCCATCACGCAGGATCATTTAGCCACAAATGTCAATGAGGCCGAAGTAAGGAAACCCTGGGCTTCCCCAACTCTTTTCATAGGTTACTTCTGCCTGGCCTTGAACAACACAGAATGAAATCACTCGGGGTATTCTCTTTGTTATCTTGCTTCTCCTACTGAACATTATGTCTCTGGGATTCATCCATGCTGTGAATGCGTCAGTAGTATATTCTTTTTCATTGCTGCGTTATATTCCATTATAAGAATGTCCTCCCATTTCTTTTCCACTTGCCAGTCGATGGTCAACTTAAGGGGTGTCTGGTGTTTGGTGATCATGAATGAAGCTGCTAGGCACATCCATGGATATGTCTTTAGGTGACCCTAAGCTCCTGTTCCCACTGGGAATCAACCCAGGAATGGAATTGCTGGGTGGCAGCAATTTAACTTTAGTAGATCCCCATGGGATATTTAAAGCTCAGGGAATTTTGCGCAACAACCGTGATTTCTGGCTTCTCTTGAAGAAGCTATTTTGGCAACATTGAGCCTGAGTTCCCACGTGGTAGCGCACAGCTGGAGCTGAGTGGTAGCAAGCGGGTGCCTAAGGAAAAGGGGGGGTGGTGCAACTTCAGCTACCCTGTCCTTCACCACCGCCTCACACCTGCCCAATTTCTGCATTTTCATTCCCTGGTCAGCATTTGGCTTTGTGTCCCCTGAAATGAGCTCATGCAAGGTTAGGAGTCACCTTCTACCTTCCCGTGGCCATCACCTCTACCTCTCTGGGACCCACCTATAACCCCTCACTCCTATTCCCAACCCCCTTCCCAACCTATCTCCATTCCACAGAGCCTGCAAGCCCCCACATCCACCTTAATCCCAAACACAGGATCCCTTTAGACCTGGCAGGCATTTCTGGGTTGCCGCAGACCCCAACACTCCCTATCACACTATTGCAGCTTGGATCCTGCCGGCTTTTTTCTTGGTAACAGCCTCAGAGCCTCCATATGAGTGGTCCTCTCTGCCCAGATCACCATGAGGGGGACTGCTATTTAAAGCCAGCAGGTCCCTGCCTCAGTTTACCTGTCACTTCCCCAGGGCTGGGCAGCCTTCTTTGTGCCAGGACTGGCCAGTGCCGGGACTGGATCTGTCTCATTCATTGCTGTTTTCCCACCACTCAATTCATTACACAATGAATCCTGGCCCTGAGGCTTGAAGGAGAGAGAGGCAGAGTCAGTGCCAGGTTGAATAAGCCACTTACTGGCCACACGTTCTGCAAAAGCTAGCTGGTGAGCTTGCCAGGCACATCTCACTCCTCAAAGGAGAAGTCCCTCCCCGTTGCTGGTCTGAGGGATCTGGGTCTGAGAAATCCCTCTTCCTCCCCAGAACACACTGGCCAAGTCCAAGTCCAGCAAAGCTTAGGGCTTCTTCCCTGGGATCCTCAACCCCACAGGCCAATCCCACCCCTCAATCGTCCCGGTCTTTTCCATGCATGGTCTAAATTTCCTCCAGTGGAGCCACCAGGGCAAGGCCTTCCGCCTGCCAGACTTTCCCGGACTCCCCAGTTGATCACCCATCTTCCCGCACCTCCCTCAACTCTCCGCTCCTCTCTCCCTAACACCGGGCTGTCTCCTCACCTTCTCACACCTCCCAACCTCCCTACGCATTTTTCCCTTCCTTTAAGCAGCCCCCATCTCAAACACGCTCAGCTCTCTCCCTTCACCCCCACTTTGTCCCCTCACACCCCAACTCCCTGAGCACCTGGGGAGAAGGGGCGGGGCCCCCTCACCTGGCGGCCGCAGAGCAGCGGGGAAGCGGCCCCTAGCGGCCGGGGAAGGAAGCGCAGCCCAGCCGGGCTCCCCTTTCAGCTGGTGCCTAACTAGGAATCCGCCTCCACTTAAACGCCCGCCTGCTGCTCAGGCTGGAACCCGGCGGCTTCCGGGATTCTCGCTTTCCTCCACTCCCCCGCTTTCTCCTGAGCGCCTACTATGTTCCAGGATCGGTCCTAGGCTCCGGGTAGACAGCAGTGAACAAGAAACAAACATCTCTGGACTGGGGAGTTGGTATTCTAGTGAGGGAGACAGATAAATGAATGAAAACGAAACTAGGTCAGGATATGCTGTGGGGACCAGGAGTTCGAGACCAGCCTGGACAACATAGCGAGACCCCCCCCCCCCCCACATCTCTGGGACTGGAGAGAGATAAAGGGGAGAGGAGATCAAGGGAGTGAGGAGGGTGGGGGTGTTTGCAGTTTTCTTTTTTTTGAGACAGAGTCTTGCTCTGTCGCCCAGGCTGGAGTGCAGAGGTGTGATCTCGGCTCACTGCAACCTCCACCTCCCGGGTTCAAGCGACTCTTGTGCCTCAGCCTCCTAAGTAGCCGGGATTACAGGCATGCGCCACCACACCCAGCTAATTTTTGTGTTTTGTATTTTCTTTTCTTTTCTTTTTTTTTTTTTTTTTTTTGAGACGGAGTCTCGCTCTGTCGCTCAGGCTGGAGTGCAGTGGCGTGATCTCTGCTCACTGCAAGCTCCGCCTCCCGGGTTCACGCCATTCTCCTGCCTCAGCCTCCCTAGTAGCTGGGACTACAGGCACACACCACCACGCCTGGCTAATTTTTTGTATTTTTAGTAGAGACGGGGTTTCACCGTGTTAGCCAGGATGGTCTCGAGCTCCTGACCTCGTGATCTACCCGCCTCGGCCTCCCAAAGTGCTGGGATTACAGGCGTGAGCCAGCGCGCCCCGTCCTGTGTTTTGCATTTTCAATAGAGTGGTCAGGAAGTAACATGAGCAGAGTTCAAGGAGGGTGCAAAGTAAGGGGTCCTGTTGACTCTGCCCCTAAGACATGCCCAAAACCTAACGTTTCCCCCCAGCATCCTGTTCTGGGCCTCCATCACCTGCCTGTCACCTGGATGACAGTGGTGATCACCTCGCGAATCTCCTGGCTCCCTCTCAAATTGACTATATAATTTATTTATTTATTTATTTATTTATTTAGAGACCAGGTCTTGCTATGCTGCCCAGGCTGGTCTCGAACTCCTGGGCTCAAACGATCCTCCCGCCTTGACCTCCCAAAGTGCTGGGATTACAGGCATGAGTCACTGCGCCCGGCTGACCTGTATAATTAAAAAATAATAATAATCAATATATATATAATTGATTGTATATATTATATATATTATATATATTATATATAATTGATATATATAATATAATATATATTATATATTATACAATATATTATATATTATACATTATATAATATATATTATACATTATATATTATACATTATATATTATATATTATACAGTATATATTATACATTATATAATATATATTATATTATACTATATATTGTATATTATATTATATATTATATTATACTATATATAGTATAATATATTATATTATATATTATATTATACTATATATAGTATAATATATTATATTATATAATATATTATACTATATATAGTATAATATATTATATTATATATTATATTATACTATATATTGTATAATATATTATATTATATATTATATATTGTATAATATATTATATTATATATTATATATTGTATAATATATTATATTATATATTATATATTATAATATATTATATTATATATTATATATTATAATATATTATATTATATATTATATATTATAATATATAATATTATATATTATATATTATATATTATATATAATATTATATAATATAATATTATATATTATATATAATATTATATTATGTATTATATAATATATATTATATATTATATATTATATATTATATATTATATTATAATATATAATATTATAATATATAATATATAATATTATAATATATAATATTATATATTATAAAATATAATATTATATATTATTATATAATATATAATATTATATATTATAATATATAATATATAATATATAATATATATTATAATATATAATATATAATATATAATATATAATATTATATATATAATATATAATATTATATATATAATATATAATATTATATATTATATATATAATATATAATATTATATATATAATATATAATATATAATATTATATATTATATATATAATATATGATATATAATATTATGCAATATATAATATAATATATAATATTATATAATGTATAATATATAATGTATAATGTATAATATAATATATAATATTATACAATATATAATATAATATATATTATACAATATATAATATAATATATATTATATAATGTATAATATATAATATATAATATTATATAATGTATAATATATAATGTATAATGTATAATATATAATATTATATAATGTATAATATATAATATTATATAATATATAATATATTATATTATATAATATATAATATATTATATATTATATATATCAATTATATATAATATATATAATATATATAATATATATAATCAATTATATATATTGATTATTATTATTTTATTGATATTTATTGATAATATTATATCAATATTTTTTGATAATATTATATATAATATTATAATATATAATATTATATAATATATACAATATATAATAATAATCAATAAATTATATATATATATATATTTTAAGAGATAGGGGTATCGCTCGGTCACCCAGGCTGGAGTGCAGTGTTGCAGTCACAGCTCACTGCAGTCTCTAACTCCCAGGCTCAAGTGATCCTCCCACTTCAGCCTCCCAGGTAGCTGGGATTACAAGAGCACACCAGCATTCCTAGCATTTTCTTTCCTTCCTTCCTTCCTCCCTTCTTATCTTCCTTCCTTCCTTTTTTTTTTTTTTTGGCATCTCACTCTATTGCCCAGGCTGGACTGCAGTGGTGCGATCTCAGCTCACTGCAAACTCTGCCCCTGGGTTCAAGTGATTCTCCTGCCTCAGCCTCTGGAGTAGCTGGGACTACGGGCATGTGCCACCACGCCCAACTTTTTTTGTATTTTTAGTAGAGATGGGGTTCTCCATGTTGGCCAGGCTGGTCTCAAACTCCTGGCCTCAAGTGATTTGCCAGCCTCTACCTCCCAAAGTGCTGGGATTACAGGGGTAAGACACCGTGCCCCAGCCCCTAGCATTTTTTTTTTTTTTGAGGCAGAGTCTCACTCTGTTGCCCAGGTTGGAGTGCAGTGGCACAATCTCGGCTCACTGCAACCTCTGCCTCCTGGGTTCAAGCGATTCTCCTGCCTCAGCCTCCTGAGTAGCTGGGATTGCAGGCGCCCGCCACTACGCCCGGCTAATTTTTATAGTTTTAGTGGAGACGGTGTTTCACCATCTTGGCCAAGCTGGTCTTGAACTCCTGACCTCGTGATCCACCTACCTCGGCCTCCCAAAGTACTGGGATTACAGGCGTGAGCCACCGCGCCCGTCGGCCAGCATTTTTAATTGAGCTGAAATTCCCACAACAAAAAATTAACCACCAACCATTTTAAGGTGGACGATGTCGTGTCATGTCATAGTACATTCATCATGTCTAGTTCCAAGACGTTTTTCATCATCCCCTAAAGAAAACTCACACCTGTTAGCAGTCACTCCCCATTTCCTGCCTCATATAGTAATTCTGTGTTATTGAGGGAGCACTCATATAATCTTTTATTTATTTATTTATTTTTATTGATTGATTTGTTTTTTTGAGACAGAGTCTCGCTCTGTTGCCCAGGTTGGAGTGCAGTGACATGATCTTGGCTCACTGAAAGCTCCGCCTCCCCCGTTCACACTATTCTCCTGCCTCAGCCTCCCGAGTAGCTGGGACTACAGGTGCCCGCCACCACGCCCAGGTAATTTTTTGTATTTTTAGTAGAGATGGGGTTTCACTGTGTTAGCCAGGATGGTTTCGATCTCCTGACCTCATGATCCACCAGCCTCGGCCTCCCAAAGTGCTGGGATTACAGGCATGAGCCACCGTGCCTGGCCTATTTTATTTATTTTTACTTTAACGTTTTGTTTTAGAGACAGGGTTGGGAGGTTTTAGAGAGGATAGGTTGGGGGCGGGGAATAATTCCAACTGTGGTCTTTTTCTTTTCTCACCCTGTTGCCCAGGCTGGAGTGCAGTGGCTATTCACAGACGTGATTCCACTACTGATCAACACAGGAGTTTTGACCTGCTCTGTTTCCAACCTGGGCCAGTTGACTCTTCCTTAGGCAACCTGGTGGTCCCCTGCTCTTGGGGGGTCACCACATTGACGCCGATGGTCATGGCACACACCACCTCCCAGAAGTCCTAGGCTCAAGCCTGTGTGCGTGAATCCTCCTGCCTCAGCTAGGATACAGGATCACACCACCAAGCCCAGCCCTATAATCTTTTAAACATCCAAATAAGATCATGCCACCCACTTCTGAAAGCCCTCTTGGGGTTCCTAGTATCACTGGGAATATAATCTAGACCCTCTCCTGGCCTCCCACCATGCTAGCCTAGCCCTGGTGCCTTTCAAATAGTCCTGCCTAGCTAGGCGCAGTGGCTCACACCTGTAATGCTAGCATTTTGGGAGACCGAGGCGGGAGGATCGCTTGAGCCTGGGAGTTTGAGAACAGCCTGGGCAACATTGTGAAACCCTGTCTCTACAAAAATACAAAATTAGCCAGGCATGGTGGTGTATGCCTGTCGTCCCAGCTACTCAGGAGGCTGAGGCAGGAGACTTGCTTGAACATAGGAAACAGAGGTTGCAGTGAGCTGAGATTGAGTCACTACACTCCAGCCTGGACAACAGAGTGAGAAAAGAAAAAGACCACGGTTGGAATTATTCCCTGCCCCCACCCTATCCTCCCAGCCCAAATCTGGGACCCGGCTCAGAACCTAACTTTTTCTTTTTTTTTTTTTTTTTTAGACTGAGTCTTGCTCTGTCTCCAGGCTGGATTGCAGTGGTGCGATCTCGGCTCACCACAACCTCCAGCTCCCGGATTCAAGCGATTCTCCTGCCTCAGCCTCCCAAGTAGCTGGGATTACAGGCATGTGCCACCATGCCTGGCTAATTTTGTATTTTTAGTACAGACCGGGTTTCTCCATGTTTGTCAGGCTGGTCTCGAACTCCCAACCTCAGGTGATCTGCCCACCTCAGCCTCCCAAAGTAATGGGATTACAGACGTGAGCCACTGCGCCCGGCCTATAACTACATTTTTTAACTACTTGGGCATGTTCTGGAGCCTTCGTTGCCCCTTCTATAAGATGGGGAGAAAGTCCCCCACCCACAGAGTTACCATAAAGTATAAATGAGAGCATTCGTGTTCATTTGAGCCATTTCTCGGCCAGCCTGAACCTCTCCCCGGGCACCAACTTCATGCCTCCACTTGGACATATCAAACCAAAGGCTTGGATCTAACCTACAAAACTGCCTCCTCTCCATCCTCTCCATCCTTCCAGGGGCTCACTCAGCTCACACATTTTGACTTACCTCTTTCCCTCGTATCCCACTTCCAATCCATCTGCTCCACCTTCAAAATATACCCCCTGAGGATGGGCGCGGTGGCTCACGCCTGTAATCCCAGCACTTTGGGAGACTGAGGTGGGCAGATCACCTGAGGATGGGAGTTCAAGACCAGCCTGACCAACACGGAGAAACCCCGTCTCTACTAAAAATACAAAATTAGCCAGGCGTGGTGGTGTGTGCCTGTAATCCCAGCTACTCCGGAGGCTGAGGCAGGATAATGGCTTGAACCCCGGAGGTGGAGGTTGTGGTAAGCTGAGATCACACCATTGCACTCCAGCCTGGGCAACTGCGTCTCAAAAAAACAAAACAAAACAAAACAAAAAACAAACAACAAAAAAACCTGGCCGGGTGCAGTGGCTCATTTCTGTAATCCCAGCACTTTGGGAGGCTGAGGTGGGCAGATCATTTGAGGTCAGGAGTTCAAGACCAGCCTGGCCAACATGGTGAAACCGTTTCTACTGAAAAAAAAAAAAAAAAATCAAAAATTAGCCTGGCATGGAGGCGCATGCCTGTAATCCCAGCTACTTGGGAGGCTGAGGTAGGAGAATCAATTGAATCTGGGAGGCAGAAGTTGCAGTGAGTCGAGATCATGCTACTGCACTCCAGCCTGGATGACAGAGTGGGACTCCATCTCAAAAAAAAAAAAAAAAAGAACACAGTTGGAATTACTCCCTGCCCCCAACCTATCCTCCTAGCCCAATTCTGGGACCTCTTTATCTTGCCCTCCACTTGGCTTGGCAGTGGGGGTGGAACTGAATGGAGCTCAGAAATCGCCCAAGGTTGGCCGGCCACCATGGCTCACACCTGTAATCCCAGCCCTCTGGGAGACTTAGGAAGGAGGATCATTTGAGCCCGGGAGTTTGAGACCAGTCTGGGCAACATAGCAAGCTATGAAAAAAAAAAAAACAAAAATTAGCTGGGTGTGGTGGCTCGTGCAGTGAGCTGCAGTGAGGTATGATTTCATCACTGCACTCCAACCTGGGTGACAGAGAGAGACCCTGTCTCTAAAAATAAATAAAGAGGGCAGCGCGGTGGCTCACGCCTGTAATCCTAACATTTTGGGAGGCCGAGGTGGGCGGATCACTTGAGGTCAGGAGTTCGAGACCAGCCTAGCCAACATGGTGAAACCCTGTCCCTACTAAAAATACAAAAATTAGCCGGAAATCACTTGAACCCGGGAGAGGGAGGTTGCAGTGAGCAGAGATCGTGCCACTGCACTCCATCCTGGGCAACAGAGCGAGACTCCTCAAAATAAATAAATAAATACAAATATAAATAAATAAATACAAATATAAATAAATAAATAAAAGAAGTTGCCTAAGATGGGGGTACAGGGAGCCTCTGGAAAGGCCAGGGACACACAAAACTTCACCCACACCTCAAGGCTTGGATAGGTCCATCCTCCACTCCCTGGCACCTGCTGACTTTCCAGGGCTCATTCCATCACACATTCTGAGTCCATCTTCTCCATGATGAAGGGAGCGCCCAGAGAAGGCTCCCTGCCTTGTTCCCTGTGCACTGGAGGCGCATTCTCAATGCATCACACTGCACCTGACAGGTAAGAGCATATAAGGTGCGTGCTGTGTGTTTGAGGCGTAAATGGAAGGAATGAATACGTGCACCGAGCAGTGAAATGAACAGCAGGGTTGTGCATCCTATACCGAATGGGCTCTAGGAAAACAGGGGCTGGGGGCGCCTGGTGGACAGTGGCTGTCTGGCGTTGCCCTGACCTGTCCAGGAGCCTGAGGCAGGGCACCCGGGAACGAGGGCGCTGGGCCTGAGGCAAAGGGAAGCTGAGCACTGGGGTGAAGCAGAGCCTTCAGGACTGTGAGGCTGGGGGCCCAACCGAGGCAGTGGGCGCAATACATGGAAGGCACAGAGAGGGGACAGACAAGGCACAGGCGAGCCCAGCTGTGTCTGACGCTGGGATGCTGGAGGTGCTAGGCGTACAAAATGTGGAGTCCCAGATACGCAGGAGAGCACAGGGTGCCCTAGGCATAGGGCACCCTGGGCGTGCGGGTTCTCTAGCACAGGGTGCGCAGAAGATGGGGCGTCCAGGTGCAGGGTTCATAGAACATGGGGTACTCGAGGCGCGTGGCACCGTGGGCGTGGAGGTCCCGTGGGACGGAATACACAGAGCGTGGGGTGTCTCAGGAGCGGGGCTCATGGGGAGCCCAAGGCGCAAAGTGGGAGGCTGGAAGCGAGGAGCGCCCTGGGAGCAGGGTGTCCGAAGCGCGGGTACCGACCTGGGCAGCGCGGGGCACGCGGCGCGCGGGCGAGTCTGCGTGCGCGCGCGGACGCCTTGGTTCCCGGAGCCCGGTTGCTGGCGCGGCCTCCACTGCGGCTGCGCAGCCGAAGGCCTGAGGGGCGCCAGGGCTCTTTACGCGCCCCCCAGCCCCTCCGCACTCTTTGCCTCCTGAGCACGCCGCTCACAAGTCCAGGAGACATGGATCAGATGGAGGCTGGAGAGCCGATCCCAGCTGGGACCAGTGGGGTTTAGAGGGTCTAGAAAGGGGCGAGGGGCGGGGGTGAGGGGGGTTCCGGCTGGGGTTTTCCAAACTGAGCTGAGGGTGCCTTAAAGAATGTCGTTGCTTTCCCTCATGTAAGTAAAGGCCACTCCTTCTCGTAGCCTCTGGAGAGTGCAAGTTAGAACCACCTCCTAGGCTAGCTCTGTAGGGGGAAGTGGGTGGGCTGCTCAGGGCTGGAGGGTGGGGTGGGGACAAAGGCCTGGAGCAGGAGAACAAGGAGGTGACCAGCTTTTCCTGAGCGTCAAGTTCTGTTCCCTTTTCGGTACTGCTGGGTTTATAGAAAGCTGGCTGCCTGGAGTGCCCTCCATCTCAAAGCCTTCATGGGTCTTACTTGGTGCTGTCAATATCTCAAACTGGGAAATTGAGGCGTAGAGAGATGGGATGCCCTCCTCCATACCCAGTGGATCTGCAGTCAACCACAGATGGATGGGATCCGTTTTGCACTCACCAAATCCTACTTTATATTTGGTCCCCCAGATCCCGGTGTCCAACCTGGCCACCCAGATTCAAGGCTGGACAGCTTTGCAGCCATGAAATCCTGGGCATGAAGGAGGAACGAAAGTGACCCATCCCTCCATTTTGAAGTTCTCTGGGGCCAGATTTGCCTAGGTTCTGGCTTTCAAGAATCCCTTCCCCGTCGTGAAGAGACAGCTGTCCGTAGAAGGCGGTGGAGGGTGACAGGCTGCCACAGCAGTGGTGCGTGGTCACCCGGGCAGCCTGGAAGTCTGGTGTCCCTGCACTTCCTCCAGTTTAGCCACAGGGACGTGCTTCTAGGAAGGGATTCTTAGAGGCCAAGTTAATTCCCGTGCAGATATTCAATTCAGGCTTTCTTAGATACTCATTTTTCCCATCCAGATATGCCTCAAGTTTTGTGGATTTACCACTCCTACTCAGGAACCCTTTTCCCTTTCCTCATTCATTCTGCAAAGCGCATGGTTAGCAATGCACTCTCTTCCCTGGACATATAGGGAATGGGGGTTTCCCCCATCCCCATCCTCAGCCCGTCCCCCTCCTCTAAAACTCAGATCAGGGTTTGTCTGCCCTGCTGCTAAGATGCAGCCCAACTTTGAACTCTGAGCTGTCTGCTTTAACATTTGGGCCTCACTTGAATGGATTCCCTTCCCTGAGGATTCCAAGCCCTCCCCAGCCATCAGTCTTCCCATCTTTCATAAAATGGAGCCAGCAGCCCCGCTTCAGGGACTCCCCCCCTCCCCCCTGTTCCCTCCACTCCAGGATTCTTCCCACTTCCATTTCCCTCCAGCCCCCACCCTGCACAAAGTTGCCTGTTCTGCCGAAGTGCCTATTTTTGGCTTGGGGCCCAGTTTTATAGCCCCAGCTATAGGTCTTGGCAGTCATAACTTTCGCTCTCCAGAGAGCCAAGCCGGGTCCAACAGCCTTCCCCACCCCAGAGAGGGGGTGCGGGGGCTCCCTCTGCAGCCTCAACCCGAAACCTGCCCCTCGCCTCACTTGGTCTGATGCCTGGGAACCCAAGCCTGCTTCTTGCCCTACTTCTTAGAGTCCACCAGCTGCAATGGAGTTGTTAGGTGTTGAAAATCCATGCCGGGTTTTTACTCTTTTAGAGAACATAAAATTCAATTTTTCCCCTCGCACCCCCTCCCCAAAAGCAAGACTTTGAGGCGTTTACAGGTACAAACCTCCCCCTAACGCTTCCCTCCGCCCCTGCTGCCCGGTCAGCTCCAAGCCCCTGTCCCGGTGGCCCAGGATCTTCTGCTGAGGGTCTCATCCCGTCCCGCGCTCCAGTCCTGGCTTTGCGTGCCTCCCTCGCCTTTTATTGTAGGTCTGGTCTCCCAGGGTAGCGGCCTCATCGCATTCCCTTCGCAGCGCCCCTGGATCCAGAAACCGCTTTTACCTGTCCGCTCCGGTGCAGCCAGCGCGCCAAATCCCTTCGTACCCGAGTCCAGTCCTCCTTTTGCCCGTCCCCCTTGCACGTCGCTGCCAGGAAGATGAGGGCAGCCCAAGTCGCCTCAGCCACTAAGCATCCCCCTTCCAGAACCCCCCACCATGCGAACCCAGGTCCCGGGAGTTCCGGGCCGGGTCTTGCTTGTTTCCACTGCGTTAGGCCTGACGCATTACTCCGTCTCCCGAGAAAGAATCCGGCCCGAAATTTGCGTGCCCCGGGTGCATTTGGCCATGTCGCATCTACCCCCCAACCCCCCGCTCCAACACCGTTCCTCCCATCTTTATCTAATCCAACTCGGGTTTTGCACAACCCTTCCAGATCTCCCCATTTGCGCCCTCCTTCCCCGGGCTCGGCGCCTTTCCTTATACTTCACTGGAAAATCCGCTCCGGGTCTTCCTTACGCCTGTCTCCCTTCCCCCACTCCCCGCTCCAACGCGGGGCTCCAGCACGTCGCTTTCCCTCTCCCTGCTTTTCCAGGGAGGAGGCGAGAGGAGGCGAAAGGAAGGAAAGTCCAGCCCGGGTTTTCGGGCCGGCTCCTGGGGCGCTCAAGCGGGTTGCGGCGGCCAGTCCCGGGCGGCGACTCCGGGCCGGGTTTTGCGCGCGCCCACCGCCCCCCTCCCGGAGCGGGTGCGCCGGGGAGCGGGGCGAGCAGGCGGCTTGTCATTGCTGGTGCCCGGCGCCGGCTCGGTCCGCGCGTCCTGCGGTGCCCACGGGCCCGGCCCGGCGCCCCCCCTCCGGCCGCACCGGGGGCGCGACGCCGCGGCACCCGCCTCCAGCCGCGCCGCCCCCCTCCGCCAGCTCCGCGCCGCCCGCCCCCAACCCGAGCTCCCCGCGGCCACTGCGGGGAGCCCGAGCCGTCGGCGCGGGAGCTGTCGGCGCTGCGGTGCCCCCGCCCCGCCGTCTGCCGAGGAGGCCCCGGCTGATGGGGCCGCGCGGGCCCCGGAGCGGCGCCGCCGGGCGGCGGGGGCCTGCAGGGGCGCCCCGGCTGCCCCGTTAACCCCTCGTCCACCGCCGGCGTCGGAGGGGGCTGGGAAGTCGCCTGGGCGCACACGTGCCGCCTCCGTCGGGGCCGCGGAGCTGCGGGGGAGATGCGGGCCGCTGCCGGCGCCGCCTCGGGGCGCTCCGCCTCGCCCCAGCCCCCGGCGCTCTGACGCCGCCCCCGCCCCACCGCCTCCCTCCCCGGGAGGGGCGCAGACCCGATCGCCCCCAGTCCCGAGCCTCCGCCGCCGCGAGGGGGCCGCCTTTGGATCCGTGTAATCCGCCTCTTTTTTTTCTTTTCTTTTCTTTTTTTTTTTTTTTCCTAATTTTTGGTCGGCGGCGGTGCTGGGCCAGGGGAAGGAAGGGACACGGAGGCCGCCCTCGTCCCGCCACCTCCTACCCGCTTCCCCCCAGCCCCGGCTCCGGGAGATGTGCCGGGCGGGGGGCCCGGGTTCGCCGAGCCGCAGGAGAGACACGCTGGGCCGACCCCAGAGAGGCGCTGGACAGGTGAGTGTCTGCGGGCCCAGGGCGAGGGGCGAAGCCGCACCTGGGCCAGGTGTGCGGGGCGCGTGGAAGAGGGGAGGCGGGAAGGATGGGAGGCCGGGGCCTGTCCTGGCCGCGAGGGGGGAGGGGACACGGGAGCCGCGCGGGGCACCGCACCTGAGCGGGAGGGGCGTCGGGGGCAGCCCGCACCTCACCCCCACTGGCGAGGGGCCTGGGAGGGGCGGCCCCCACGGAGCGCCCGGGGCGCGGGGGTGCGGACGGGCTACCGCAGGGTGCCTGGCGGGGGGAGGGGACCGCGAGTGTGCCCGCGCGTGGCTGCGTGTGCCCGCGCGCGCGCCAGCCTTTGTGGGGAAGCGGCGCGGCGGTGCCTGCGTGTCCCCGGTGCGTGTGCGCGCGGGTGCTTGGCGCCCTGTTTGTGTAGGTGTCTGGGTGTGAGCGGAGGGGGTGCGTGTGCGCGCCGCGCGCCGGCCCCGCGCCCCAGAGGAGCCGTGTCGGGGGCTGGCACCACAGGATGCTGGGCGAGGGGGTTGTTTTTCTCTGGGAGGCAGTGGCGCGGGGGATGGGGAGGGGTCCGTCTGGGTGTCCAGCCGGCCGCAGTCCGGGGGGCGCCGCTGTCAGGAGGAGGGGGTGCAGCCGGGCAGCACCTTCTCTCCGTGGTGCCGGGTTAAAGCACGGGAGGCCGGCAGGTTTGATCCACTCGGATTATTCGTGCTTTGAGGACAGCTCCCCACCCCCACCCCAGGTGCGCATTGGATTGAGCTGCGAGGGTTTGGTTGTCATCCTCCCATCTGACGGTCCTGGGACCCGAGTCCAGGCCTGAAGTGGTGGGGTGGGGGGATGCTGTGTTTGCTCCAGCCGTGTCCAGAAAATGCCCTCCCAGGTATCTCTCCAGTGCACCCCTGGCCCCCATCTGAAGACAGCCGCTGGCTACACACACCCCTGTCTCTACACTTCCAGTCCGGGTCCTCACACTGCCCCATCCCTGGCCAACACCTCACTGTACCTGCCTGGACCCTTTCTTCCTGTTCCAACCCCCATCCACCCCCAGCCATGCCAGCTGCGTGGGTGTTTCTGTATCCCAGTTCCAGGCAGGGCCCCCCCTTCCGCCTGGCTTCCACCGGACTCAGAGCTGGGGTCTGTCTTCCCACATCCCACTTCCCAACATGTGTGCCTGGGGGCAGGAGGGGGAGGGGTTCAAAATGGCTGCCAAGATGGCTGGCTCGCGCGCTCTCTCTCTCTCTGTCTGTCTCTCTCTCTCTCTCTCTCTCTCTCTCACTCTCTCTGTCTTTCTCTATCTCTCTCTGTCTTTCTCTCTTCCCCTCTCTGCTTGCCCGGCTCCCTTATCCTGGTAGGGAGTCACTGCTTAGAGGAGGTCGGATCCAGTGGGGCACACCTGAGGGTGAATGTCTATTCCGGGCCGTTGACCTCCATGCTGTTTGGGGACAGACCATTGGTTTCTGCTTCTCTCTCCAACACCCCAAGGGCTGGCATGAGTCTAACCTGACCCCAGACCCCACTCCTTCACCCTGGCTCACAGCCTGAAAGCTCCGTGCCCTCCACCTGCTCTCCAGGGCCTGGCCCCCTGAATTGATCAACCCCACGGAGGGTCCACACCCCTCATTCTCTTCTCCTGTCTGCCCCCGGCAGGGGACTCTGCGTGGGTCCCTGTCAGGCCCCAGCTTTGGGGGGCAGGTGACTTCTCCTTCCTCCCTGCTCCCCTCCCACTAATGCCAAATTTATTACTTAAAAGTAGGATGAAAACAGGGAGAATAAGAGAAGGATTACAACCTTCATTATCATATCGAGAAAATTATCCGTGATTTTCCTAACTAGCAATTTGTCTGCCATGCCGTTCAGAACTGACTTGCCCATTAATTACAGAGATGAAAAATCATCTGGAATTCGGAAAAGGGAACTAATTCCATGGCTGGCAGCGATCGCACCCGTGCACGGAGCCACATACGTGTGCGACATACGTGTGCGCTCACATGTGGGTCCCGGCCCTCCTGCTGGTCTTGCCACCATCTTCCTACCCAGCTTGGTGACCTCCCTCATGGCCCCGCTCGGTCCACCCCATGTGTGTGTGGCATCTGCTCTGGGACACCCCTGCAGGCCCTCTTTCTCTCCAAGGGGCGCCCATCTCAATCCCCACTTCTGGGCGCTTGCGTACCCCGTGATCACCCACGCTGATTCCTGCTCTTGGGGGTGTAGCTGGCGCCCAGGCTTGGGGAGGATGGGGAGCTGGGGACCAGCACACCTGGGCTGTGGAGCCTGCAGGGAGGGGGTGGAAGGGGGGGACTCGAAGCCCAGCTTCTATTCCCAGCCTGCCCAGGGGAGCCCTTTCTCCTGGGGGGCCTTGGAGGACCCTGTGGGCACGTTGGGGAGGAGCCTACAGGCGCCTCAGCTGCACGGGAGTGTGTTTGCATCCAGCAGTTTGGGCTCCTGGCGGGTGGCCTCTCCACCTGCATGTGAGGCTGTGTGACGCTTGCATCTCGGGGCGTCTGCGTCCTCCCTACCCTGCCAGGCTGGTGGCAGAGCATGTGTTGCTTCAGCCCCAGCGCAGGCATCTCGGTGGGGAGGGTGGCAGTGGGTGCCCCTCAAGAGGAACGGGAGGAGTGGGAGCACTGCCATCCCCGCCAGAGCATCGTCTTTGCCCTCCACCCCCTCCTTTCTCCCTGGCGAGACATGTGGCCAAGGACACACAAGGCTCTCGTTTCTGTGTGGGTTCCTCTCACGGATCTGATTTCCAGATGCCAGACACTTCCCCTCCTCCAGCCCCTCTGTGGGGAGGCAGGGGGAGGGGCTCCTGAGGCGGGGGTTCCCTGGGTCTGAAACCCTGACCCCAGTGACCCTGAAGGTGCCGTGGCAAGACAGACAGCTCCTCCCAGGCTGGGTTTGGGGCAAAGTGGTTGCTATTGGGCACCCTGATGGAAGGGGAGAGACGGGTCCTGGAGTGAGGTGGGAGGCCAAGTAGAAACATGGAGGGGGTCCCGGTGTCCCCAGAATCCAGATGTCTGTCTGTCTGTCTGCACCTGTGCATAGGTGTCCTCTGCCTGTGTGGCCTGGATGGTGATCTAGCCAAGGGTGCATGTGGCCACGTGACCATCAGACTCATCCGGTGTTCATAAAGGTCCCTCCTGTGCTGGTGTTTGTGTTTTGCAGAGGGGGTGGTCATGCTGGGGGAGGCAGGGCTGCAAGAAGGAGTAGCTGTCTGTGTGCACACATGGGGCTGTCTGCATCTTTTGTGCACCTGCAGTTGTGTGCTCAGGACTTCTTGGAGCAAGGCTGGGTGCACCTTGTCATGCAATCTGCACACACTTGCCTCCCCACCCAGCACCATGCAGGGGGCGCCATGGGGGGTGGTGGCCATGTCCTGTCCTCATGGAGCTCACACTCTAGCAACACATATGGGGTTTCCATCAAAGCTCTCCTATCAGCTGGGCGTGGTGGCTCATACCTGTAATCCCAGCACTTTGGGAGGCTGAGGCGGGTGGATCACCTGAGGTCAGGGGCTCGAGACCAGCCTGGCCAACATGGTGAAACCCCATCTCTACTACAAGTACAGAAATTAGCCAGGCGTGGTGGTGTGCACCTGTAGTCCCAGCTACCAGGGAGGCTGAGGCGGGAGGATTGCTTGAATCCAGGAGGCGGAGGTTGCAGCGAGCCGAGATTGTGCCACTGCACTCCAGCGTGGGCGACAGAGCGAGACTCATTCTCAATAAAAAAAAAAAACCCAAAACAAAAAAGCAAAACTCTCCTGTCATGTGAGTTGGGGAGAAGGCATGTGTGTCTTCTTTTCGAGGGTAGCCCCAAACTCTGACTGCAGTAGCCCACAGGCTTGGACTGTCCTGGGGTCTGGCCCTTCATGGTCTTTCTGGGCCATCTCCTCCCTCCTCGTTGCTCGTCCAGTGTGCTAAGTGTGATCCTACCCCGGGGCGTTTGCACTGGCTGTTCTGCCACGGAGGACCCTTCCCCAGATATTTTCGAGGCTTTTTCTCCCCCACCCTCTTGAAATATCACCTCCCCAGTAACGTTTACTCCCAGGCACCTTCTGCAAAGTCTCAGCTTCCCACACCCCTCCTGATGTTCAGTACAGCGGACGGCTTTTCACATAGTCTGTAATTTCCTGATGTTCTGCGCTTGTTTGTTTACTGTCTGTGTCTGTGAGGAGGATCCAAGCGCGCGAGGATGTTGTGATTTGCTTTGCTTTGGGAATCCCAGGTGTCAACAGTCATCACTGGCCCACAGTGTGCGTTCAAGAAGTCTTACCTGACCCAGGTGTGGTGACTCACACCTGTAAACCCAGAATGTTGGGAAGCCGAGGTGGGAGGATTGCTTGAGGACAAGAATTTGAGATCAGCCTGGGCAACATAGCAAGACTCGTTTCTAAAATTTTTTTTTTAATAGTTGGGCATCGTGAATATGTACCTGTAGTCTCAGCTGCTCAGGAGGCTGAGGTGGGAGGATGGCTTGAGCCCAGAGGTTTGAGGCTGCAGTGAGCTATGATTGCACAAGTGCACTCCAGCCTGGGCGACGAAGCAGGATCCTGACTCTTAAAAAAAAAAAAAAATGCCCCTGCCTTCACTGTCTCCTGTTCCAAAATTTGGGGGGAGATAAAAATTCAATAAATAGATGCCCAGGCCAAAAATAACCTTGCCCCCCCCCACCCCGCCAAAAAAAAAAAACAAAAAAACTCAGAATAGCCAGTGCCCCTCCCTCAGAGGCTAAAAATACCCTGCAGGTCACAAATGATCAGGTCAGGAAGCCAGATGGATTCTCCTTCTTATCCCTTGAGGAGGTGAGGGGTCCGGGGCTGGCTTTCCCAGACAGGATTTCCTAGACGATTTCCATTACTCCTGACTTCGGCACTGCATCATTCTCTGTGGGAGGCTGTCCTCTGTACTATAGGATGCTCAGAGGCCACCCTAGCCTCTTCCCGATGGATGTCAGTGACACCTCCAGCCCCACAGTCGTAACACCTCAGAAAGTCTCCAGACATTGCTAAACATACTGGGATCAGGGGCAGAATTGTCCTGGGTTGGCAGTGATGGCTGTAGAGTAGAGGTTGCCAGTGGGAAAAAGTGGCCCACGCCTGTAATCCCAGCACTTTGGGAGGCTGAGGCAGGAGGATCACTTGAGTCCAGGAGTTCAAGACCAGCCTGGGCGACAAAGCGAGACCCCCTTCTTTACAGAATACAAAATTTAAAAATTAGTTGGGCATGGTGCCGCACGCCTGTCGTCCCAGCTACCCGGGAGGCTGAGGCAGGAGGATCACTTGAGCTGGGAGGTCAAGGCTGCAGTGAGCTGTGATCGCGCCACTGCATTCCAGCCTGGGCAACAGAGCAAGACCCTGTCTCAAAAAAATATATACGTAAATAAAATAGAGTAGAGGTTGGCTGACTTTTCTGTAGAAAGCCCGATGGTAAATCCTGCAAGCTTTGCGGGCCGCAGACGGGTTCTGTGGCCTGTTCTCTTTTCTCTTCTTCTCTTCAGTCCTTTAAAAATGTAAACACCATTCTTAGCTCACCAGCTGTACAAAGGCAGGCGGGGGCCTGACCATGGTTGGCCGACCCTGCCCCAGAACGCCCCCTAGTGGCTTCTGGGAGTGAAGGCTGGGCAGAGGGGCGGCCCCATTTGGGGAGCAGTTGTGTGTTTAAAGTACAAGGCGAGTCCTGCACAGTCTGTTCCCGGCACCTCCCTGCTCTCACCTCCTCCCACTCTCCTCACCAGCTCACAACCCGCTTCCTCGATGCAGCTGCCACCGTTATTCAAACATATAGGCACGGTCCAGCCCCAGGGCCTTTGCACGGGCTGTGACCCTGCCCAGGATGCTCTTCTAACTCTCCTGAACTGAACACCTGCGTGCTCCTCTCTCAAATTCACAGGGGTTTGCTGAAATGTCATCTTCTCCAGGGGAGATGGCCTTTCCTGATCATCCTGTTGAAAATTGCAACAGCCGGGCACAGTGGCTCATGCCTGTAATCCCAGCACTTTGGAAGGCCGAGGTGGGTGGATCACCTGAGATCAGGAGATCGAGACCAGCCTGACCAACATGGTGAAACCCTGTCTCTACTAAAAATACAAAAATTAGCTGGGTGTGGTGGTGAGTGCCTGTAGTCCCAGCTAATCAGGAGTCTGAGTCAGGAGAATCGCTTGAACCTGGGAGGCAGAGGTTGCAGTGAGCCAAGATCACGCCATTGCACTCCAGCCTGGATGACAGAGCAAGACTCTGTCTCAAATAAATAAATAAAATAAAATAAAATTGCAACAGCCGGGCACAGTAGCTCGTGCCTGTAATCCCAGCACTTTGGGAGGATGAGGCGGGAGGATCGCTTGAGTTTGAGACCAGCCTGGGAAACATAACGAGGCCCCCATTTCTACAAAAAAATTAAAAATTAGCTGGGCACGGTGGCACACGCCCTGTGGTCCCAGCTACTTGGGAGGCTGAGGCAGGAGGATCCCTTGAGCTCAGAGGCTGTGGTGAGCTATGATCCCACCACTGCACTCCAACCTGGGCAACAGAGTAAGACCCTGTCTCTAAAAATACGATTAAAAAAAAAAACACACACACTCCCAAACCCACACACACTCATAGCCACTTTTCCTGGCTTTATCTTCTTTCACAACACTGGTACGCTATAGAATCGACTTTTTTGTACCCAGCCCCTCAGTGTCTGGCACATAGAAGATGCTCCAAAAAAGATGTGTGGAATTGCCGAAAATTATTTCTAACCCCCACAGCCACCCTGGGAGGCTCTCGTTCCCCAGCTCCCCCGTGGAGAGACAGAATTGAGAGGAGTGACGTGGGTGTCCTGTCGTGCTGACATGACGGCGCACAGCCTGGATTTGAACCTGCAACTTAAGGGCGCTATGCCGGAGGCCTCTTCTCTCCTGCCCTGCTAGGCACCATGCCCCTGTCTCCTGGTCTTACCCTGCCCCTTACCTGCCAGCATCTGATGAGGCAGGGGGATCCCGCCTCTGTGCCCTCTGCTCGGGCCCTAGCTTCTAGAACTCTTTTCAGCTCTGCTCTGCTGAGCTCAGAGTGCAAAGGTTGGGGCTGGACAGTGAACACTTTGGAGTGGAAACAGACCACAGGCCACTGTGGTGTGGACGTGCCATGATGGTGAGCGCAACAGAGTTGCAAGTCAGGGAAGGCTTCCCGGAGGAGGGGGCTTCCCAGCTGCAACCTGGAGGGGGAGGAGGGGTATGGTGGAGGGGAAGGAGCATCTGTGAGAGAGAGGGGCTGCCCTGAGGTCAGACAGAAGATGGTGGCTCAAAGGGGAGGAAGGAGAAATGTTTCACAACTGCATGTGGAGAGAAGCTGGAGGCTGCTGGCTGGACTTGTGACTGTGGGGCTGCCAGGGCCTGTGGCAGGGGTGGGGGTAGAGGTAGGGGGTTTGCGTCAGGATCCAGATGGCAGGGTGAGAATGTTTAGCATGAGCTCCCTCTAGCTGCTACGTGGGAGAGAGCCATAGTTGGCAGGAAGGGAGGCCAGGAGGCCAGAAGGGAGGCCAGGAGGCAACCAGCAAGGTGGGGGCCAGAAGCAGCCAGTGCTTGGTGGAAGCTTCAGGTTTCTGGCTTTGACAGCCCTGTGGACAAAAGGCAAGGGACAGGTGGGGTAGAGAGTACCCTCCACTCCCAGCAACCCTCCCCACACACAGTCTGATCTCCACCTCTGCGGCCAGAGGACACCTGTGAACACCCGAGCCAGATCCCATCCCTCTGTTCAGGATTCCCGATGGCTCCCACCTCTCTAGAAAGCCAAAGTCCTCCCTGAGGTCCACAAGGCCCTGTATGGCCTCTGTGACCCCCCTCCCCAGCCGCCCTCACCTCCTTCCACTCTTCCCCTTGCTTGCAGGGCCCCAGCCACATCTCAGCACATTCCTACCCCAGGACCTTTGCACGTGCTGTTTCCTCTGCCCAGAATGCTCTTTGCACAGGTACCTAGATGGCTCACCTCCTCAAGACCTCTGCCGAAATGTCACTTTTTAGGGGAGGCATTTCCTGGCCACCCTGTCTACAGTTGCACCTACATGTATACCCCCTGTCAAGCACACCTTCCTCCATTGCACTTGTGACCAGTTGGGAACTCGGTAAACATCCACTGAATAGATGATCTGCTTTTTGGGTCTATTTCATCTTCATTCATTAAACAAATGAATAAGCATCCACTCCTTGCCCAGGGTTGGGTATGCAACAAGAGCCAGCCCAACCCACAATGGTACTTTCCCGTCAGAGTCCCTCGATGGTGGGGAAGACAGACATTTAACAGCTGAGCCCAAGTCCAGTTAGGGGAGCAAAACACAGAGACCCTGTGTGCTGTGAGAGTGGATATGAGAGATACGAATGCTGTCCTCTGGGCAGAGCCCTTTGGAGGGAGAGCAGAATAAGGAACTGTGTGTGAGAGAGAGACAGACGCTGAGTAGAAGTGATGGGAAGGTGGCAGGACAGCAGGGCCTGAGATGCCATGTTAGAGCATCACAGGCAATAGGGAGCCATGGAGGGTTGTAGGCAGGGAGGGGTGTAATTGGATTTCCATTTTGCAAAGATCGTTCTGACCTCAGGGTAGAGACTGGATGGGACGGGGTGGCAGATAGATGGGGAGATGAGGGAGAAGGTGTTGGGGGCGGGGGCAGGGAATTTTTTGAACGACCCCTACCCCTCTGCAGTCCAGTGCTGCTTGGTGGCCGGGGTGACCTTTATTTTATTTTATTTAGAGACGGAGTCTTGTTTTGTCACCCAGGCTGGAGTGCAGTGGCATGATCATAGCTCACTGCAGCCTTGACTTTTTGGGCTTGAATGACCCTGCTGCCTCAGCCTCCCGAGTAGCCAGGACCACAGGTGTGTGCCACCATGCCTGGCTAATTTTTAAATTTTTGTAGAGACAGGATCTCACTGTGTTGCCCAGGCTGGTCTCAAACTCCTGGACACAAGCAATTCTGCATTGGTCTCCCAAAGTGCTAGGATTACAGGCATGAGCCACTGTGCCCAGCTCCAGGGTGACCTTTAAAAGGTTCTTCGTTGAACAATTATATTTCAGCTTCCTGCTTGTGCCAGGCGCTGTGCTGAGTGTAGTATGCAAACCCCACCCTGCAGAGCCAGCATCTAGTAGCAGAGAGTTCATAAGCAAATAAAATGCATGGCGTGCTGGTGATAGGTATGGAGAAATCAAGTCAGGACATGGTGTAGGAGTGTGGGGGCCAGCAGGACCTTGCTGAACTAGTGATGTTTGAGGAAAGACCAAAAGGAAGATGCAGGAGGAGCTGTGAGGGGATCTGGGGAAGAGAGAAACAGCCCGTGAAGAGGCCCTAAGGCAGAACAGTGCCTGGTGTTTCACATTGTACAGGGCTTGTTTGTTTTTTGTTTTTGAGATGGGGTCTTGCTCTGTTGCCCAAGCTAGAGTGCAGTGGCATAATCTCAGCTCACTGCAACCTCCACCACCCGGGCTCAAGAGATCCTCCCACCTAAGCCTCCCGAGGAGCTGGGATCACAGGCGTGTGCCACTATGCCTGGCTAACTTTTTGTATTTTTGGCAGAGACAAGGTTTCACTATGTTCCCCAGGCTGGTCTGGAACTTCTGAGCCCAAGCAATCAGCCCTCTTCAGCCTCCTGAAGTGCTGGGATTACAGGTGTGCGCCGCCACATCCGGCCCAGTGCAGAGCCTTTGTATGATACAGACTTTGGCTTTTGGTCGAGTGAGGTGGGAGCCACGGAGGGTTCTGAGCAGAGGAGGGAAGCGGCTGACTTAGATGCTCACACGCGCCCTCTGGTGGCCCTGGGGGAAACATACTGTAGACAGTTTCATTTTGCAAAGATTGTTCTCGCCTCGAGGTAGAGATTGGATGGGACAGGGGTGGCAGATAGATAGGGAGACGAGGTGTAGACAGTGAGGTGGGGAAGTGGGGTCCAGCCAGGAGATGATGGGGCTGGACCAGAGAAGCTGAGGAGTGGCGAGAGGTGAGTGGACTCTGAAGGAGTAGCCACAGGACCTGACGGGGCTGGATGTGATGTGAGGGGAGAGGGATCCAGGATGACTGTCCGGTTCCTGAGCCCCTGGAGGGACTGGGCTGCCATCCACTGAGCTGGAGGATGGGGCAGGGACTGGAGATGCTGTGAGAACCCTGCCCTGCCCGAGGATCATGTACCTGGGCCCTCTCTGGGCACGTGCTCTGTCTCTGCGAGGTAGGTCTGTTAGTCCCTGAGCAGCAATGGGGAAATAGGTTCAGAGAGGCCAAGTGCTTGCTCTGAAGCTACACAGCAGATTGAAATTCAGGGGCTTCAACTCTCAGCTGATCCTTCATAGTCACCCCAGGGCCTGCGGCTTCCTTATGGACCTGCCGGATGCCTGAGGGCTTCCTGAAGGAGGCGGGCTCATGGGCGGCTGGGTTTGGGGAGTGGGCAGGAGGCAGGAGATGCAGCCAGAGGGCTGTGTGTGGAGGGGCCGGCTGCTGCCAGGAAGGGAGGAGACCATGAAGGGGGCCCAGATCCCAGATCCCCACCTTGGTTCCCCCACCCCCCACCCAAGGCACTCAGACTCCCACCCACTCGAGCACGCAGAGGGTTGCCATGGCAACTGCAGGCTAGGGCAGGCTAGAGGCGCCCCCTCTCCCCCAGCAGCCGCTTCTCCTCCTGTTGCTCTCCCCATCCCCATCACAGGGCACCCGAGGACAGAGTCTGGGCCTCAGTGGCCCACCCTGCCGCACCGACCCTTGACTTGAGACAGACGCAGGGCTTAGATGCGAACATACAGGCAGGTGTGCAGCCCCGTTTCCCATGGGTGAGATAGGGTCGCCTATGGCTGGGTGCAATGGATTCCTGGGTACACCTGTAATCCCAGCACTTTGGGAGGCTGAGGCGGGAGGATCGCTTGAGCCCAGGAATTCAAGACCAGCCTGGGCAACATGGTGAAACCTCATCTCTACAAAAAACACAAAAATTAGCCGGGCATGGTTTTGTGTGCCTGTAGTCCCAGCTACTCGGGAGGCTGAGCTGGGAGGATCACTTGAGCCTGGGAGGATGAGGCTGCAGTGAGCTGAGAGTGCACCATTGCACTCCAGCCTGGGCGACACAGCAAGATCCTGCTGTCTCAAAGGAAAAAAAAAAAAAAGAGAAGAAAGAAGGAAAGAAAAAAGAAAGACAAATAAGGTGACCAGAGACTACTGAGGTGCAAGGTGGGGACGGACACAGGTGTGGGCTCACCTGGCTTCCCAGGTGTAGAACGTCCAGGCGTGACCAGCTCTGAGGTTGCATAGACACTCAAATACAGTGTGGGCCCGGGGGTGGGGGCTCTTCTGGCCCCCCAGGATCCCCCCACAGCTCACCAAGCCCAACCTGGGGAGCCAGCCCTCCCTGGGTTCAAGCCCCCTTACCAGTTGAGTGTCCCTGGGTATATCTCTTCAATGACAGGACCTCACTTTCCTCCTCTGTAAACTGTGGGTACAAGCATCTCTCCTTCCTAAATGGTTATTAGGATTACATGAGTTACACGTGGAAGCTGCTCGGGCTGGCACTTGGAGCTGTCCGTCACTGTCCCAGGCATCTCAGGTGGTTCCTTGCTGGAGAGCCCAGCTAGATGCTCACCCTGTCGTTTGCTGTTTCCTGTAAATGGTTTCTTTAAAGTTCTGTGGCTCAGGCCCTTGCCCCCATCTCTGCCTCCCTCCTCACTCTCTTTGTGTCCTGACTCCCTATATGAATTTCCTAGGCTCCCACAACAAATTACCACAGACGGGACAGCTTTAGCAACAGAGACTTTATTGGTTTTTTTGTTTATGTTTCAGAGATGAGGTCTTGCTCTATTGCCCAGGCTGAAGTGTACTGGTGCGATCACAGGTCACTGCAGCCTCAGCCTCCCGAGCAGCTGGGACTACAGGTGCATCCCATCATGCCCAGCTACTTTTTTATATTTGTTTGTAGAGCTGGGGTCTCACTGTGTTGCCCAGGCTGGTCTCAAACTCCTGGGCTCAAGCAATTCTCCCGCCTTGGCCTCCCAAAGTGCTGGGATTACAGGCGTGAGCCACTGCAGCCAACAACAGAATTGTGTCGCCTCCCAGCTCTGGAGGTTGGAAGTCCAAGATCAAGGTGTTGTCAGGGTTGGTTCCTTCTGGGAGCCTTCAGGCAGAATCCGTTGCAGGCCTGTCTCCTGGCTTCTTTTGGTCATTAACTGGCAATCTTCCCTGGCTTCTAGAAGCATCACTCTGATCTCTGCCTTCATGGTCACATGGTCTTCTGTGCATGTCTGTGTCCAGGTTTCTCCTTTGTATAAGGGCGTCAGTTGTTGGATTAGGACCCACACTAATGACCTCATTTTAACTTGATTATCTCTGTAAGGACTCCAGATGTTCCCAACACAGTCACATTTGAGTTATCAGGAGTTGGGACTTCAACATATCTTTTGTATTTTTGACATGGGGTCCCACTCTCTTGCCCAGGCTAGAATGCAATGGTGCAATCAGAGCTCACTGCAGCCTCAACCTCCTGGGCTCAAGCAACCCTCCCCCTTCAGCCTTCCCAGTAGCTGGGACTATAGGCACGTGCCACCGTGCTCGGCTAATTTTTGTGTTTTTTGTGGAGATGGGGTCTCACTATGTTGCTCAGGCTGGTCTCAAACTCCAGGGCTCAAGTGATCCTCCCACCTTGGCCTCCCAAAGTACTGGGGTTGTAGGTGTGAGCCACTGTGCACTGTGCCCAGCCTGAGTTTTTTTTTTTTTTTTTTTTTTGGCGGTGGGGGCGGGGGGCCATATTTCAATCCTCCCCCTCCAGAGGCCTCAGGGATGGTCAGGCCTGGGTCTCCCGGGGGACACCCACCACCTGCCAAGCTGAGGCTGGTTCCTGGGGGTGTCTGGAGCTTCCTAGGGGAGCCACTCTGGGGAGAGGGCGTCGTGCTCCTGGGGAACTCTGTCTGTACCCCTAAGGCAATGGCACCCTGCCTGTGGGGGTCAGGCGTGGTCCCCCAGGTCACAGGGCAGACGCCCCATCTCCAGCTATCCTCACTGCCGTCCTTAGTCACTCCCCTGTCTTCAGTAAGTTTTTGCTTGGGGACCCACTGTGTGTTCAGGGAACCAGGAGACAGGAGTCGGGGAAACCAAGTTCCAGCCTCAGGAGTTTCCATTCTTCTGGGAGTAGAAAGAAAATCTAGAAGGCTGGGCACGGTGGCTCACGCCTGTAATCTCAGCACTTTGGGAGGCCGAGGCGCGTGGATCATCTGAGGTTGGGAGTTCGAGAGCAGCCTGACCAATATGGCGAAACCCCGTCTCTACTAAAAATACGAAAATTAGCCAGGTGTGGTGGCCTGTGACTGTAATCTCAGCTACTCAGGAGGCTGAGGCAGGAGAATCACTCGAGGTTCTTGAATCACTTGAGGCGGAGGTTGCAGTGAGCCAAGATCACGCCAATGCATTCCAGCCTGGGCGACAGAGCAAGACTCCGTCTCAAAACAAAACAAAGAAAAGGCCGGGAGCAGTGGCTCACGCCTGTAATCCCAACACTTTGGGAGACCAAGGCAGGTGGATCACCTGAGGTTGGGAGTTCAAGACCAGCCTGACCAACATGGCAAAACGTCATCTCTACTAAAAATACAAAAATTAGGCAGGCGTGGTGGCGTGTGACTGTAATCCTAGCTACTCAGGAGGCTGAGGCAGGAGAATTGCTTGAACCTGGGAGGTGGAGGTTGCAGTGAGCCGAGATCGCGCCACTGCACTCCAGCCTGAGCGACAGAGTGAAACTCCGTCTCAAAAAATAAATAAATAAATAAAATAAAATAAAGGAACTCTAGGAGTGGTCAAGTAAAAGTATGGAGCAGGGATGGGATGGATGAGGTTATGGACTAAATTGTATCTTCCCACCTCCCTCCCAAATGCAGAGGTTGAAGCCCTGACTCCCAGCGTGAGTGTATTTGGAGGTAGGCCCTTGAGGGAGGTAGTTAAGGTTAAATGAGATCTTAAGGGTGGGGCCCCCTACTCTCAGAGGACTGGTATCCCAATAAGAAGAGAGAGGCCGGCGCTTGTGGCTCATGCCTGTAATCCCAGCACTTTGGGAGGCCAAGGCAGGAAGATCGCTTGAGGCCAGGAGCTCAAGACCAGCCTGGGCGACATAGCGAGACCCCATCTCTACAAAAAAAATCGAAAAAGTAGCTGGGCACAGGAGCACGCACCTGTAGCCCCAGCTACTCAGGAGGCTGAGGCGGGAGGATCCCATGAGCCTGGGAGGTTGAGACTGCAATGAGCCGGGATTGTGCCACTGCACTCCAGCCTGAGCAAGAGAGCCAGACCTTGTCTCAGAAAAAAAAAAAAAAAGAGAGAGACAGCAGGGATCTGTCTCCCTTTATGCATGTCTAGAGAAGAGGCCCTGTGAGGATATAGTGAGAAGGCGGAAGAGAATTTCCACAGAAACTGAATTCGCTGGCACCTTGATCTTGGCCTTCTGGCCTCCAGAACTAGGAGGAAGTAAATTTCTGCTGTGTAAGCCGCGCAGTCTATGGCACTTTGTTATGGCAGCCCGAGCTAATAGAGAAGGTGACAATGGGGACAAGGGATGCTTCACCCTGTCTGTGTGCCAGGAGCATCCCGAGTGTCTCGTGTGTGAATTTGTCCTGTTGCACAGCTGCCCTCTGAGGTATCCCCGTTTTACCAAGAAGAAAACAGAGACACAAGAGGTCACAGCATGGCAAGGGATGCACAGGCAGGCGGTGACTGCAGGGCACTGTAATACAGGGTGGCAGAGGCCCATGTCTGCGTCTCTGGGGAGGACACCTCTGAGTCTGAGGGACACAGATGGGGACAGGCTGAGGCTGGAGGGTGGGAACCCGCATGGCTGGAGGGAGACAAGGCGGGAGTCAGAGGTGTTGGAGGGGTTAAAGCAGAAGACCCACCACTCAACATTGTCTTTTGTTTTTGTTTTTGTTTTGAGACGGAGTCTTGCTCTGTCGGCCAGGCTAGAGTCGGTGGCGTGATCTTGGCTCACCGCAACCTCTGCCTCCCAGGTTCAAGCAATTCTCCTACCTCAGCCTCCCGAGTAGCTGAGATTACAGGTCCCCGCCATCACACCTGGCTAATTTTTGTATTTTTAATAGAGATGGGGTTTCACCATGTTGGCCAGGCTGGTCTTGAACTCCTGACCTCAGGTGATCTGCCCTCCTCGGCCTCCCAAAGTGCTGGGATTACAGGCGTGAGCCACTGCGCCCGGCCAAGATTGTCTTTTAAAACACCCCTCTGGAATGGATGAACCTGGAGGACATTATGCTAAGTGAAATAAGCCAGACACAGAAAGACAAATAGTGCATGACCTCACTTATCTGTGGAATCTAAAAAAGAATTGAACTCGTAGAAGCAGAGTAGAGCAGTGGTTATGGTGGTGAGGGCACAGGGGAAGGCGGGGGATGTAGGTCAAAGGGTACAAGCTTTCAGCTTTCAGATAAACACGTTTTAACCAGGCAGAATGGCTTGTGCCTGTAATCCCAGCACTTTGGGAGGCCAAGGCGGGAGCATCGCTTGACGCCAGGAGTGCAAGGCCAGCCTGAACAACATAGCAAGACCCTGTCTCCACAAAAAAATTTAAAATCAGCCAAGCATGGTGGCACACACCTGTAATTCCAGCTACACGGAAGGCTGAGGTGGGAGGATCTCTTGAGCCCAGGAGTTCGAGGCTACAGTGAGCTTTGATGGTGCCACTGCACTCCAGCCTGGGCAACAGAGCAAGACCTCATCTCTAAAAGAAAAAAGTTCCAGAGACCTAAGGTACAGCATGGTGACTATAATTAATAATAGCAGGCCAGGTGTGGCGGCTCATACCTATAATCGCAGCACTTTGGGAGGCCGAGGCAGGCAGATTGCTTGAGCTCAAGAGTTTGAGACCAGCCTGGGCAACATGAGACTCCATCTCTACTAAAAATACAAAAATTAACCAGGCACGGTGGTGCCCACCCGTAGCCCCGGCCACTTAGGAGGCTGAGGCACGAGAATTGCTTGAACTGGGAGGGAGAAGTTGCAGTGAGCCAAGATTGCGCCACTGCACTCCAGCATGGGTGACAGAGCGAGACTCCGTCTCAAAATAATAATAATTATTATAGCATACTGTTTTCTTGAAACTTGCTGAGGAATTAGACTCAAGTGTTCTCACCACACACACCAGAAAGGTGTCTAGGTGAGGTGTTGGATGTGTTGTTAGCTTGGTTGTGGTAATCACTTCACAACACATAATGGATATCAAAATATCATGTAACCTTAAATAGATGTAATTTCTATTTGTCAATGATGCCTCAGCAAAGCTAGGGAGAAAATAAAAAGGATCCTTCTGTGCAACAGCCCGCATGTCCATTACCGATGACTGGATAAAGAAAACGTGCTCCACCCATGCAGTGGAATACTACGCAGCCATAAAACGGAATGAAGCTCGGATCCAGGCTAGAACGTAGGTGAGCCTTGGAAACGTGGCGCTGAGTGAGAGAAGCTGGACACAAAATAAGGCCAGGAATGGTGGCTCACAGCCGTAATCCCAGCACTTTACGAGGCCAAGATGGGCAGATCACTTGAGTCCAGGAGTTTGAGGCCAGCCTAGGCAACATGACGAAATCCTGCCTCTACAAAAAATACAAAAGTTAGCCAGGAGTTCATTTAGAGGAGTCATGTGACTATAGTCCCAGCTACTCAGGAGGCTGAGATGGGAGAATCACTTGAGCCTGGGAGGTGGAGGTTACAGTGAGCCGAGATTGGGCCACGGCACTCCAGCCTGGGCAACAGAGTGAGACCCCCATCTAACTGGGAAAAAAAAAAAAAAAAAGGCCACATAGCCTGTGACTCCATTTGTATGAAATGTCTAGAATAGGTAAATCCATGGAGACAGAAAGTAGATTATAAGTTACCAGGGCTGGGCGACAAGGGGAGTGGGCATTATTGTTTAGTGGGTACGGAGTTTCTATGTGGGGTGATAAAAAAGTTTTGGAGGCTGGGCACGATGGCTCATGCCTGTAATCCCAACACGTTGGGAGGCCGAGGCGGGTGGATCACTTGAGGTCAGGAGTTCCAGACTAGCCTGGCCAACATGGTGAAACCCCGTGTCTGCTCGTGGTGGTGGGCGCCTATAATCCCAGCTACTCAGGAGGCTGAGGCAGGAGAATCACTTGAACCCGGGAGGTGGAAGTTGCAGTGAGCCAAGATTGTGCCACTGCACTCCAGCCCCGGTGACAAAGTGAGACTCCGTCTCAAAAAAAGAAAAAAAAGGAGGTGGTGCCTCTGGCTGCCAGGAGAGCCTGGACGTCGGAGGCAAAGGAGCCAGAGGGCACTTGGGGAGTGGCCAGGGCCCAGGACTAGAGGGGCAGATGCTGAAGACAGATGTGTGGACCAACACTGGGGTGTTCTGGAAGTATACACAGCCCAAAGACTTACTCTTGAACTGGATTTAGGGGTGAGAGAGGAGTCAAGGGTTTCAGCTCCTGGGGTTCTGGCTGGAGGGCCTGGGAGGATGGTGGCACCGTGCACTGATGTAGGGGCTTATTTTGGTCTGGTTGGGCTGAAGGTGCCTTGGAGTTCCCGGTGGAAGTATACATGGCTCTGGGGGGTCCACTCTGGAGTCTTAGCATTCTAGGGTGCAGCCTGGGAGGAAGAGAGGGACTGCCTCTTCCGTGGGTGTCTTTGTGCCCTGACTGGCACCAGGCTGTGCACAGCACCCTCTGATGGGGCCTGTATTGGCCCAGCGTGTACGTGTACTGCTCTCCTTACCAGAACCCTGCAGAATAGCAGCGCAGAGGGAACCAGGGCCAGGGAGGTGAGGAGACCAGCTCAAGGTCACACAGGGCATGTATAAGGCAAAATTGGGATCTAGACCCATGTGGATTCGCTGCCCACACAATTTGGCATCGAGTGGCTTCCCTGCCATTTATTTATTTATTTATTTTTATTAAGAGAGGGTCTTGCTCTGTTGCCCAGACTGGAGTGCAGTGGCAGGATCATAGCTTACTGCAGCCTTGCAAACTCCTGGGCTCAAGTGATCCACCCACCTTAGCCTCCCAAAGCACTGGGATCACAGGCACGAGTCACCGTACCAAGCCAGCCATTTTTACTCCCTCTAACCAGTTCCTCTGCTCGGATGCCTGTTGCAGTGGGAAAGAAAGCGCTTGGAGACCCTGGGAGGGGAGTATCCTCAGCTTGGGGACACTGCCTCCCCTGAACCTTTCTGTGGCTGGGCAGTTGGGGGAGAAATGAGGAAGTTGAAATAAGGAAGCCACTCCCCATTCCCAAGGTAACATGCTGGAAAATGATTTGAAAGTGACACCGGCCATGTCTAGTCACAGATGTGGGGGAGATGCGGATAGGGGCTGGTGGCGGCGGCGGGGTAACACGCTGTAAAATCATCTGAAAGTGACACTGGCCGTGTCTAGTCAGGGATGTGGGGGGAGACGCGGTTGGGGGCTGGAGGTAGCTGGGGGGGATTTACTGAAGAAGCTGGGGCAGTGGAGAGGGAGCTGGTATCGGGAGTGGGCATGAGAGGGGAAGCGGGCAGAGAGCTACAGGGCTGGAGAGGGGGTGTTCAGGGCTGTCTTGCAGATATTATCTTCCCATTTCCCACGTGAGGAGACTGGGGTCTGGACCAGGTGTCCTGCCCTGTGGGGATCTTTATTTATTGAGGGCCTGTGCCGATTTGTTTTATTTATTTATTTTTGAGACAGTCTGGCTCTGTTGCCCAGGCTGGAGTGCAATGGCACAATCTCAGCTCACTGCAACCTCTACCTCTCAGGTTCAACCAGTTCTCGTGCCTCAGCCTCCCGAGTAGCTGGGATTACAGGCACCCGCCACCACGCCCGGCTAATTTTTTGGTATTTTTAGTAGAGATGGGGTTTCACCATGTTGGCCAGGCTGGTCTCGAACTCCCACCTCTGGTGATCCACCCGCCTCGGCTTCCCAAAGTGCTGGGATTACAGGCACGGGCCACCGTGCCCAGCCGTGTGCTGATTTGTAAGGGCCTCTCTCAAGAAGCTCGTGTTGATAAAAAGGTAATTTCAGGTGCTCACTTGAGAGCTGTGAATTAAAAACAGGGAAAAGGATGGCGGGTGAGGGCAGCAGGCGAGGACTGTTTTGTTTGCAGGGGGTCAGGGTAGGTCACTCTGCTGGGGTGACCTTGCGGCTGAGCCCTGAACAATGAGCAGCCGCAGCCGACATGCAGGGATCCTGCTTGGGGACTGGAACTGGAATGTTGAATGTTTCAGGAACAGGAGGGAGGACAGAATGGGGCTTGGAGAGCTTGGTGGCACCAGTTCACCCACAGCCTCTGGGCTCTAGTGAGGAACTGAGACCCCAGCAGAGACCAGGGGGTCAGTTAATGTTCGGATCAACATCATCATGTGGTCCCTTAGCTCTGAGTGAAGGGCGGATTGGGAGGCGGGCAAGGAGGCCAGGACAACATACAGGTGACATAGGATGGTGCATGGGCCTGGGTGCTGTGCTTAGAGCCAGAAGTGGGCAGGTCGCGAGGTACTTCAGAGGCAGAGCCCACAGGAGTTGCTGATGGCTTCCGTGAGGGGGATGACAGGGAAGGTGAGGAATCAAGGCAGAGTCTCAGCTTTGGGATCTGAGATTCATTCAACAAATAATTAATTCATTGCCACGTGCCAGGCCTATTCTAAAAGTTGAGGATATGAAGACAACAGTGGTGATGGCCTCACGCAGTAATCCCAGCACTTTGGGATGTTGAGGCAGGAGGATCTCTTGAGGCCAGAAGTTCATGTTCAGCCTGGGCAACATAGCAAGACCTCATCTTTGCAAAATAAAATAAATTAGCTGGATGTGATGGTGCATACCTGTGGTCTCAGCTACTAGGGAGGCCGAGGCGGGAGGATCACTTGAGCCTGGGAGGTGGAGGCTGCAGTGAGCCATGATTTCACCACTGCACTCCAGCCTGAGTGACAGAGCAAGACCCTATCTCTAAAAAAATAAAAGTAAATAAAAGTTGGGGATACGGCCACCATGAGCAAAACAGTTCAATGATCCCTGCCCCATGAAGAGGACATTCTATACACCAGGTGAATAGTTCTATCTGAGCAGAGGCCTGAAGGAGCCAGCCATGTGGACAGTGGGTTGGCAGAAGCTACAGGTGGAGGAAGCAACAGGTGCAAAGGCCCTGGGGCAAGGCCTGCTGTGGTCCAGGAATAGCAGGAGTGGCTGGAGCAGAAATGGGGTCAGGGAGCTAACTGGGCCAATTACAAGGGTTTTGGTTTTCAGCAGGGAAATGGTAGTGGGGGCTCTGATGAGAGATTCCAGGCTGGACATAAGAGATTTGAAAGTGCTGGCTCAATGATGGTACTGAGAGCCCAGGACAGCCTGAGATGGGACAGGCTGGGATGACAGCTGGATATGACAGAGCAGGGGTTCCCACGCTTCAGGGCCTGCCTCAGAGAATGTGTGTTTCTGGCCAGCACAGTGGCTCACGCCTGTAATCCCAGCACTTTGGGAGACTGAGGTGGGAGGATCATTTGAGGCCAGGAGTTCAAGACCAGCTTGGGCAACATAGCAAGATCCTGTCTCTATAAGACATTTTAAAATTAGCTGGGCGTGGTGGCGAGAGCCTGTGGTCCCAGCTACTCGAAAGGCTGAAGTAGGAGCATCACTTGAACCCAGGATCTGGAGGTTGCAGTGAGCCGTCATTGTGCCACTGTACTCCAGCCTGGGCAACAGAGCAAGACCCTGTCTCTTAAAAAAAGAAAGAGAGAGAGAGAATGTGTGTTTCTACCAAGTTCCTGGCAAGGCTGATGCCAGTGTGCTGGGACCACACCTGGAGAACCAGGGTGTAGATAAAGCAAAGAGCTGAGGACAGACATTTGAGCGTGCAAGCCTGAGAGGATTTGGGGAGACTGAGGCGGGGAGAGAGGTGAGAAGGAGCAGCCATAAGGCAGGAAGAAACCAGTTAGAACCGAGTCCTGGACTGGGCACAGTGGCTCACTCCTGTAATCCCAAAGTTTTGGGGGGCCCAGGCAGGAAGATCCCTTAAGCCCAGGAGTTTGAGATCAGTCTGGGCAACATAGCAAGACCTCCTCTCTGCAGCAAATTTAAAAATTAGCTGGTGGTGCTGGGCGCTGTGGCTCACGCCTGTAATCCCAGCACTTTGGGAGGCCGAGACGGGCGGATCACGAGGTCAGGAGATAGAGACCATCCTGGCTAACACGGTGAAACCCCATCTCGACTAAAAATACAAAAAATTAGCCGGGCGTGTTGGTGGGTGCCTGTAGTCCCAGCTACTCGGGAGGCTGAGGCAGGAGAATGGCGTGAACCCAGGAGGCGGAGCTTGCAGTGAGCTGAGTCTGTGCCACTGCACTCCAGCCTGGGGGACAGAGCACGACTCCGTCTCAGAAAAAAAAATAAATAAATAAATAAATAAATAAATAAATAAATAAATAAAATAAAAATTAGCTGGTGGTAGTGGTGCAAGCCTGTGATTTCAGCTACTTGGGAGGCTGAGGTGGGAGGATTCCTTGAGTCTGGGAGGTTGAGGCTGCAGTGAGCTGTGATTATATCATTGCACTCCAGCCTGGGCAACAGAGTGAGACCTGGTTTCTAAAATTTAAAAAAATAATAATAATGAAAAAAAAAACTGAGCCGCTGTGCCTGGGGACAGAGCAGGTGGGGAGGATGGCAGGGGACAGCACACAATTCTCACCCCTCCCCCATCTCCCCTGGCCCCCCCAGAGGGGGAGGCAGTGTCCGCCTCCCACCCCGCCTGCCTGTCTCCAGCTTACCCTGAAGGTCCCCCAGAGAGGAAAGAGGGGACTCGGGCGTCCCTGGTTCCCGATCTGTGGCGCCAGCTGGATTCTAATTAGCCACCAGAGCTTGAGAGACAGGAAGCAGGGGGCTGGGGGCGGGGGCTTGGATTTCTGCCCAAGACGGGGAGGCTGCAAGTTGGGTTGCAATGAGTCCCTCACTTGGGAGGACACTCATTACCTCCTTGCTCATGGTGAGGATGCGAGTAGGGGAGATGAGTGGGCAGGGTCAGGACAGGGGCATGGGGAAGAGGCTTCCAGAGGGTCCAAGGCCTGCCTGGGATCTCCCCGTGAGCTGTCCCAGGAGGTTCCAGTGGGGAAGAGTTGGCAGTCTCTTTGCCCAGAGGTGCCCAGATAGCTGGGTCTGGCTGCTGGGTGTAAGGGTGGGGGGTGTGGTGTGAGCTGCAGACCCCGGAGGGGGCCCTACAGATAGGGCTGGCTCGAGGGACGTGCTGGACCTCAGCCTCTCAGAGCTACTCAGCCACCAGCAGGAGGAGAGGGGAGCGGCCTGGAGGCCCTATCCCCACCTCAGTCTCCCTGTCCTCCCCCAGGCTGGTGGTCCAGGCCGTGGTGCCTGCCAGGTGATGTGGGGCAAAGCCCCCCGCACAGGCCACTGAGAGCTCCGGACACGCACCCGGCTGCCACCATGGCCCGCCTAGCCGCAGTGCTCTGGAATCTGTGTGTCACCGCCGTCCTGGTCACCTCGGCCACCCAAGGTAGGTGCTGCTGGGGCCGGGGAGGGGCCGCGGCTCCCAAACCCTTCTGGGGGGGGCAGATAAAATGTTGAAAACCCTCCTGATCACTCAGTAAAGAATTACAGCCCCCTGCCCCGCCCCAGACCTCAGCTGGAGCAGGCCAGTGGAAGACTCAGGGGTAACACACACCCCAGTGCCACCAAGAGGCCCCTGGACCATCCTCTTACCTCCAACAAGTCGGCTGGGCCAGGTTGGTAGGGGCCATCCCGCTGTGGCCCCTGGGACCAGGACAGGCCTTCTTGGTGAGCCGATGCTCCTCTCTCTGTCTCTCTCTCGCTCTCTCTCTCTCTCTCTCTCTCTGTGATTACATCTTCGAGGCTCTCACTGGGAAGAAGGCTTAATTAAAGCATGCCCGCTGACGTTTATTTAAAAACAACTAATTACCCGGCTCGGCCCTATGCCGGCCCTAGGATCCTGCACACGCCACTATTAGTGCCCCAAGCCTGCCCGCCCACCCTCACCGATTACTCGATTACTGGCCCCGTGACCAGCCCAGGCCGGGGGCAAGGGCGGGATAAGGTGAGAGGCCAAGAGAAGAGGCCAGTAGGCCCGGCCCCTCACTCTGGGATGTGCCCCCTGCCCACCCCGACATCCCTGTATGAAGGGCATTGGCGGGTGACTCTGCTCCCTCTGGCCCTGCCCTCTGGAAAGCTCCAAAGGTTGAAGGGACACGGTTCAGCTGGGCCCCAGGGCCTTGGCACTGCCCCGCTGGCCAGCAACCTCACTCCTCTGCTGCTACGTTCTCTGCCCATCCAGGTCCTGCCCCATAGCCCCAGCTGGGCCGGGAGGGCTGCCTCCACCCCCAGACCCATCTGAGCCAGCCTTCCACCCCCGGCCCTCCCTCCCAAGCCCGGGAAGGCTAAAATTAGATGAGGAGGCAGATGGTGCTGGAGGAACACATGTGAAATGTTCCCCCCGCTGGGACTCAACTCACCCCAAAAAACCCCAAGGGCCTCCCTGCCATACCCCTGGGGTACCCACCCAGATCTCTGGAAAGGCTCAGCTCTGTCACCGTCCCGCACGAGTGCCCTCCCGAAACCTCGTACAGCAGGTGGTCACTTCCTTCACCTACAAGCGACGGTCCCCACATTGGGGCATCTGGGTCCCTGGCTGAATCCCTGCTGCCCTCCAGCACCCCGCAGGGCCTGGCTGGAACCAGCGTCACAGAAGGTGCTGCCCCGGCCAGCATGGACCCTGCCAGGCACCCTCTGTTGTGCAGACAAACCGCCTTAATAATATTCATAATAACAATAATTAGCATTCATATCATCTCACTGCGCTCTGCACACATTAACACCCTGGAGCCATCACAACAGTCCTGTGAGATGGGAATTGTCCTCTCTGCCCCTCAGGGGAGGGACAGAGGCACAGAGGCGGTCAGTGACTTGGATGAGGCTGCAGCCAGGGAGTGGCCGGGCTGGAATTCCAACCCCAGCCATCTGTCTGGCTCCTACATTCTAGTTCTCCATCCCCGTGTGGTACAAGGTGATGACCAACATGGGGCAACGCAATCCCCCCAGGGAGCTCAGCCTGCTCAGAACATGTCCCTTCCTTGTCACAGTGAAATCCTTGGAGGTTCACCAGATGATACTGATCAGGCACCCTCCGTGTGCAGGGTGCCATGCTCAGTGCTTTCCTTCAAGAGCATTTTCTAAGGCACAGGATCCCTGCAGGATGACCCGGGGCTGTAGGTGCTCATTTTACAGATTGGGAAACTGAGGCTTGGGGAAAGAAGAACGGTGGCTGTTCAAACTTTTTAAATGTTTTTATTTTGAGATGGAGTTTTGCTCTTGTCGCCCAGGCTGGAGTGCAGTGGTGTGATCTCGGCTCACTGCAACCTCTGCCTCCCGGGTTCAAGCGATTCTCCTGCCTCAGCCTCCCGAGTAGCTGGGATTACAGCCGCCTGCCACCATGCCCGGCTAATTTTTTGTATTTTTAGTAGAGACAGGGTTTCACCATGTTGGCCAGGCTAGTCTCGAATTCCTGACCTCTGGTGATCCACCCACCTCGGCCTTCCAAAGTGCTGGGATTACAGGCGTGAACCACCGCGCCCAGCCACTGTTCGAACTTGAGCATGCATCACCATCACCTGGTTGGCACATAGCCCTGCAGGCTCCTGGCCTCACCCCTGGGATTTTGATCCAGCAGGCCGAGTATGGGGCCCGAATCTGCATTCTGAACCAGACTTCACATCTGCCCTGTCAGCGGCAAAGCCAGTCTCTATGGTTTCTTCTAGAAACATGAGTTCATTCCCATGTTTTCTCTGCTCCTCGCATGGGGTGGGGTGAAGTTAGGGAAGTCCCCAAGCCAAGCCTCACTTCTGACACCAATGACAAGTTTGGGGGTCCCCCAGAGAACACTCAGGTATGATCATTCACTAGAAGGACTTGGAACTAACTAGATGTTATGCTCACAGTTTATTTATTTTTTATTTATTTATTTTTTCGAGATGGAGTCTCGCTCTGTCGCCCAGGCTGGAGTGCAGTGGTGTGATCTCGGCTCACTGCAAGCTCTACCTCCCAGGTTCACACCATTCTCCTGCCTCAGCCTCCTGAGTAGCTGGGACTATAGGTGCCTGCCACCACGCCCGGCTAATTTGCTCACAGTTTATTACATCAAAAGGATACAGATTAAAATCAGGGCCAGGTGCACTGGCTCACTCCTGTAATCCCAACACTTTGGGAAGCCAAGGTGGGAGGATTGCTTGAGCTCAAGAGTTTGAGACCAGCCTGGGCAACATAGCAAGTACCCCCATCACTACAAAAAATAAAAAAAAATTAGCCAGGCATGGTGGTATGTGCCTGTAGTCCCAGCTACTCGGGAGGCTGAGGCAGGAGGATCCCCTGAGCCCAGGAGTTTGAGGCTGCAGTGAGCTATGATCACACCACTGTGCTCTAACCTTGGTGACAGGGTGAGACCCTGTCTGAAAAAACAAACAGGCCAGGCGTGGTGGCTCATGCCTGTAATCCCAGCACTTTGGGAGGCTCAGGCGGGCGGATCACCTGAGGTCAGGAGTTTGAGACCAGCCTGGCCAACATGGCAAAACCCCGTCTCTACTAAAAATACAAAAATTAGTGGGGTGTGGTGGCAGGCGCCTGTAATCCCAGCTACTTGGGAGGCTGAGGCAGGAGAATCGCTTGAACCTGGGAGGCAGAGGTTGCAGTGAGCTGAGATCGCGCCATTCCACTCCAGCCTGGGTGACAGAGCGAGACTCTGTCTCAAAACAAATAGAAGTCAGGCAAGGGAAGAGGTGCATAGGGCAGAGTCCAAGAAAGTTCCATGCATGGAGTTTCCAGTTACTCCCTTCAGTGGAGTCCTGGACAGTGTTAACTCTCCCGGCAACAATGTGTGACAACACACATGGTGTACTGCCAACCATAGAGGCTCCCCCAAGCCTTGTTATCCAGGGTTTGTATTGGAGCTCAGTTCTGTACTCTGTAGCCCTGATAGACCACCTACAGGGCTGAGCTGAATCTCTAGCATCTCTAGAAGTCAGCTGAGACTATGTGACCCAAAGCTCCTGCCCCAAGTCCTGTTAGCATATTCATTAACTAGGGCCGCCCTAACAAAGTACCAGAGACCATGTGTCTTTGTTTGTCGCCCAGGCTGGAGTACAGTGGCATGATCTCTGCATGCCATCACTGCAACCTCCGCCTCCTGGGTTCAAGCAATTGTCCTGCCTCGCCTCCCAAGTAGCTGGGATTACAGGTGCCTGCCACCACACCCGGCTAATTTTTGTAGTTTTTTAAGTAGAGATGGGGGTTTCACCATGTTGGCCAGGCTGGTCTCAAACTCCTGACCTCAGGTGATTCGCCCACCTCGACCTCCCAAAGTCCTGGGATTACAGGTGTGAGCCACCGAGCCCGGCCTAGACCATGTGTCTTAAGCAACAGACATTGATTGTCTCACAGTTGCAGAGGCCAGAAGTCTGAGGTCAAGGTATCAGCCAGGGTTGGTTCCTTCTGAGGCCTCTCTCCTTGGCATTTATTTGTTTGTTTGTTTGATGGAGTCTCGCTCTGTCGCCCAGGCTGTAGTGCAGTGGTGCAATCTCAGCTCACTGCAAGCCCTGCCTCCTGGGTTCAGGCCATTCTCCTTCCTCAGCCTCCCAAGTAGCTGGGACTACAGGTGCCCGCCACCATGCCCAGCTAATTTTTTGTATTTTTGGTAGAGATGGGGTTTCACCGTTTTAGCCAGGATGGTCTCAATCACCTCACCTCATGATCTGCCCACCCTGGCCTCTCAAAGTGCTGGGATTATAGGCGTGAGCCACCGTGCCTGACCTATTTTTTTTTTATTTTTTATTTATTTTTGAGATGGAATGTCACTCTGTCACCCAGGCTGGAGTGCAGTGGCACGATCTGGGCTCACTGCAATCTCTGCCTCCCCAGCTCAAGTGATTCTCCTGCCTCAGCCTCTCAAGTCGCTGGGATTACAGGCACATGCCACCACGTCCAGCTGATTTTTGTATTTTTAGTAGAGATGGGGTTTCACCACGTTGGCCAGGCTGGTCTCAAACTCCTGACCTCAGGTGATCCACCCGCCTCAGCCTCCCAAAGTGCGGGGATTACAGGTGTGAGCCACCGCGCCTGGCCTCTCCTTGGCTTATAGATAGATGGCCGCCTGCTCCTGTGTCTTCACATTGTCTTCCCCCTGTACACTTCTGTGCCCAAATTTCTCCTTTTAGCCAGGTGCGAGGACTCAGGCCCATAATCCTAGCACTTTGAGAGGCCAAGGCAGGAGGATTGCTTGAGACCAGACTAGCTTGGGCAACATAGAAAAGGGACCCATTTCTATGAAACAATGTAAAAAATTAGCCGGACATGGTGGCGTGAATCTGTAGTTCCAGCTACTTGGGAGGTTGAGGCAGGATCACCTGAGCCCAGGAGGTTGAGACTTGCAGTGAGCCATGATCGCACCACTGCACTCCAGCCTGGGTGACAGAGGAAGATCCTATCTTAACAACAACGCCCCACCCCCTCTTTTTTTATTGAGATAGGGTCTCGCTCTGTTGCCCAGGCTAGAGTGCAATGGCACAATCATGGCTTACTGGAGCCTCAACCTCCTGGGCTGAGGTGATCCTCCCACCTCAGCCTCCCCAGTAGCTGGGACTACAGGTGTGTGCCACCACGTCTGGCTAATTTGTGTATTTTTGGTAGAGACAGGGTTTCACTATATTGCTCAGGCTGGTCTCAAACTCCTGGGTTCAGGCGATTTGCCCACCTCTGTCTCCCAAAATGCTGGGGTTACAAGTGTGTGCCTCTGTGCCTGGCCAAAATTGCCCGTTTTTATAAGGACCACAGTCATATTGGATTGGGGCCTACCCTAATAGCCTCATTTGAATTTATCTCTATAAAGACCTTATCTCCAAATAATGTCACATTTTCAGGTCCTGGGGGTTAGGACTTCAGCATATGAATTTTCAGGGGAACACAGTTCAATCCATAACAGCATATCTGGTGTAGCCCGAGGACCCCAGGAAAACAGTCACTCTTATCAAGCAGAGCATTCCAAAGGCTCAGACGTCACTTCCTAGGAGCTGAGAGTCCAGGCACTCTCTGGGCCAGGTTAATGTCCTCACTACACAAGTGGGCACACTGAGAGGCCCATTCTACAGCTGAATCAACTGAGGCTGCCTCAGCTGGCTTCCAGGACACAGCCGAGCCAGAGGTGGTGTTTTCTTGGCAGTGGGTAGGGTCTTCCCTTCCTGGCCCAGGCCCAGGAGTGACACCATCCCCAACCCTCCCTGCAGGCCTGAGCCGGGCCGGGCTCCCGTTCGGGCTGATGCGCCGGGAGCTGGCGTGTGAAGGCTACCCCATCGAGCTGCGGTGCCCCGGCAGCGACGTCATCATGGTGGAGAATGCCAACTACGGGCGCACGGACGACAAGATTTGCGATGCTGACCCTTTCCAGATGGAGAATGTGCAGTGCTACCTGCCGGACGCCTTCAAGATCATGTCACAGAGGTGAGTGGGCTCTCGTGGCAGTTCCTGGATGAAGTGCCCGCCTAAAAGCACTGCACACCTGCCAGCACACCCGTTCACCTTACATCTTTTTTTTATGCATTCAACACATGTTTACTGAGCACTTAATAGGTGCTGGGCCCCATGCAGACGAGAATAAGACCCAGTACATCTCCCCACAGCCAGCCTGTGCCCCCGACAGAGGCCTATACCCATACATACACTGGGAAGTCCCTCCCCCCACCAGCCTCTTGCTTCCATAACTTCCATCCCAAGATTAGCCAGGGCAGTTTGTTTGTTTGTTTTTGAGATGGAGTCTTACTCTGTTACCAGGCTGGAGCGTGGTGGCATCTCAGCTCACTGCAACCTCCACCTCCTGGGTTTAGGCGATTCTTCTGCCTCAGCCTCCCAAGTAGCTGGGGATTATAGGCGCACGCCACCACGCCTGACTAATTTTTTTGTATTTTTAGTAGAGACAGGGTTTTGTAATTGGCCAGGCAGGTCTCGAACTCCTGACCTCAGGTGATCTGCCCACCTCGACCTCCCAAAGTGCTGGCATTACAGGCATGAGATGAGCCATCACACCCAGCCTTAGCCAGGGCAGTTTGGAGCTTGTAAAATATAAAGAACAGCAGGACAGAGCGAAGGTGTCATGGGAGGACTTTTCCCTTCATCCCAGACTCTTTTTTTTTTTTTGAAGATAGGGTCTCACTGTTGCCTAGGCTGGAGCACAGTGGCACAATCACAGCTCACTGCAGCTGTGACCTCTCAGGTTCAAGCAATCCCCCTGCCTCAGCCTCCTGAGTAGCTGGGACTACAGGCGCCTGCCACCATGCCTGGCTAATTTTATTTTATTTTTTGTAGAGGCAGGGTCTTGCTATGTTGCCCAGGCTGGTCTTAAACTCCTGGCCTCAAGCAATCCTCCTGCCTCGGCCTCTCAAAGCGCTGGGATGACAGGCATGAGCCACCGCACCCACCCATCCCAGATTTGAGAGCTCATCAGGCTACTCCAAGGAGGAGACACCTGAGCACAGATGATAGAAGCACAGGCCTGTGTGAGTGATTGTGTGTGGGGTGAATGCTTGAGCATGCAAGACTGTAACTTGGAGTGTGTCTGTGTGATTGCATGCATCTATGAGTATGACGGTGTATTTGTTTTATTTTATTTAGTTATTTAATTTTTGAGACAGAGTCTCAGTCTGTCACCCAGGCTGGAGTGCAGTGGTGCGATCTTGGCTCACTGCCACCTCCGCTTCCTGGGTTCAAGCGATTCTCCTGCCTCAGCCTCCCGAGTAGCTAGGACTACAGGCGCGCACCACCACGCCAAGCTAATTTTTTTGTATTTTTAATAGAGACGGGGTGTCACCATCTTGGCCAGGATGGTCTCGATCTCTTGACCTCATGATCCGCCCACTTGGCCTCCCAAAGTGCTGGGACTACAGGTGTAAGCCACTGCGCCCGGCCTGTTTTGTTTATTTTTGAGACAGAATCTTGCTCTGTCGCCCAGGCTGCAGTGCAGTGGTGTGATCTCAGCTCATTGCAACCTCCACCTCCAGGGTTCAAGCAATTCTCCCGCCTCAGCCTCCCGAGTAGCTGGGATTACAGGTACGCACCATCATGCCCAGCTTATTTTTGTATTTTTGTACAGACAGGGTTTTACCATGTTGGCCAGGTTGGTCTTGAACTCCTGACCTCAGGTGATTCACCTGCCTGCCTTGGCCCCCTTAAGTGCTGGGATTACAGGCGTGAGCCACTGCGCCTGGCCTGTGTGTGTATTTGAGTGTGAGTATGTGTGCATTTTTGAGTGTGTGACTAAATGTGTGTGATTGTGACTAAGTGTGTCTGTGTGTCTAAGTGTATGTGAACAGGTGTAGGTGTGTGCAGATGTGTGTGACTAAACATGTCTTTGAGTGTGTCTGAGTGTGTCTGTATGAGTGTGTATTGGAGTGTGTATCTGGGTGGGTGGATGTGTGTGTGAATGTGGGTGTTTGTGGGTGAATATGTGGTTATATGAGTGTATTTGGGTGTGTTTAAGTGTACGTGAGCGGGTGTGGGTGTGAGCATGTGTGTGAGCGGGTGTGGCTGACTGAGGTGTGTGTTTTCATATCTGTGAGTGGTGAGGTGGATGGGTGCACGTGTGTGGGGGTGGGTGGGTGTGGCTGTGTCTTTGTGTATTTAACTGTGTCTGTGGGCAGATGTGTGTATGTGGATGAGGGTTTGTGTGTGGTTGACTGAGAGTGTATTTGTATTTCTTTGAGTTGTTTGTGATTGTGTGAGCGTGGAGGGGTTGCCCCAGGCTGAGGCACCACGTGTGCAAATCTGCACAAGCCTCTCTCACACCCACAGTCAGTCCATGTAGAGCTGATCAGCCTTTCCTTCAAATTACACCCAGGCTGGACGCGGTGGCTCACGCCTGTAATCACAGAACTTTGGGAGGCTGAGGCAGGGGGATCGCTTTAGGTCAGGAGTTCGAGACCAGACTGGGCAACATAGCAAGACCCTGTCTCTACTAGAAACTAAAAAATAAATTAGCCAGTCATGGTGTGTGCCTGTGGTCCCAGCTACTCAGATGACCGATGCAGGAGGATCACTTGGGCCCGGGAGTTTGAGGCTTCAATGAGCTATGATCCCACCACTGCACTCCAGCCTGGGTGACTGAGCAAGACCCTGTCTCTAAAAAAAAAAAAAAAAAAAAACAGACCAGGTGCAGTGTTTCACGCCTGTAATCCCAGCACTTTGGGAGGCCATGGCGGGTGGATCACTTGAGGTCAGGAGTTCGAGACCAACCTGGCCAACATGGTGAAACCCTGTCTCTACCAAAAATACAAAAATTAGCCTGATACGGTGGTGTGAGCCTGTAGTCCCAGATACTTGGGAGGCTGAGGCAGGAGAATCGCTTGAACCTTGGAGGCAGAGGTTGCAGTGAACCAAGATAACACCACTGCACTCCAGCCTAGGTGACAGAGTGAGACTCTGTCTCAAAAAAAAAAAAAAAAAATGTGTGTTACCAGGGGAGGAGCGGGTCACTGAGAGCCCCAGGAGAGCAGGAGAGGTTTGGGCAGGGGATGACAGTGTTCAGGTGGCTGAGATAGCTGGGCTGGGCTGGGCTGGAGGCACCTCATCATCTCCTCCTCTCTGCCTCTCTCTCAAACTGCCATTCCCCTCCAGCAATCTTGCCTCTCTTCCCCGCTTCCTGTCCCCTGACACCCCTGCCGAGGGTGCCCTGCATAGGCATTCCCAGTCCAGGCTCTAGCCTTTGCTTAGGCTGTGGGCCCCCTCCCTGGGAGCCCCCTTCCTCCCACCTCTCCAAATTCTCCCTGCTGACTTCATTCAACACCAGCTTTGGGGGACTGCATTCTTCTCCATTATCTCTCTAGCACCTAGTACAGCATCTGGCCCAGTTCCCATGTCCGTGGGGAATGCTGTGCAGAATAGTTACCGGGGCTGAGGGAGTGTGATGAGGCCTCTGGAGTCACATCCAGAAGGACTTGTAGGGGGCCTTAGTCCTGCTTCCTCTCCGCTGAGTCCCCAACCCCCACTGCTCCACAACCAAGCCTGGAGACTCTTTTTTTTTTTTTTTTTTTTTTTTTGAGACGGAGTCTTGCTCTCCCCCAGGCTGGAGTGCAGTGGCATGATCTCGGCTCACTGCAACCTCCGCTTTCCGGTTCAAACAGTCCTCCTGCTTCAGCCTCGCAAGTGGCTGGGACTACAAGCATGCACCACCACGCCCGGCTAATTTTTGTATTTTTAGTAAAGACGACGTTTCACCATGTTGGCCAGGCTGGTCTCAAACTTCTGACCTCAATTGATCTGCCAGTCTTGGCCTCCCAAAGTGCTGGGATTATAGCCATGAGCCACTGCGCCCAGCCTAGCTGTTCATTTGTTGGTGGATGTTTGGGCTGCCTCCACGTTTGTGGTGATTGTGAATAATGCAGCTGTGAACGTGCGTGTACAACGATTTGCTTAAACACTTGTTTTAAATTCTTTTGGGTACAGTAATCCCCACTTACCCACTGGGGAAACGCTCCAAGAACCCCAGTGGATGCCTAAACTGCAGAGAGCTACTGAACCTTGTATATACCATGTTTTCTCCTATACAGCTCTAATTATAATAAAGTTTAATTTACAAATTAGGCACAGCTAGATGCGGTGGCTCATGCCTGTAATCCCAGCACTTCGGGAAGTCGAGACTACAATGAGCCATGATCACACCGCTGCTCTCCGTCCTGGGCAATAGAGTAAGACCCTGTCTAAAAAATAATAAAATAAAATAGGCTGGGTGTGATGGCTCATGATTGTAATCCCAGCACTTTGGGAGGTCGAGACGGGTAGATTGTTTGAACCCAGGAGTTTGAGACCAGCCTAGGCAACACGGCAAAACCCCATCTCTACTAAAAATACAAAAAATTAGCAGGGCATGGTGGCACATACCTGTAGTCCCAGCTCCTTGGGAGGCAGAGGCTGGAGGATCACTTGAGCCTGGGAGGCCGAGGCTGCAGTGAGCCAAGATTGTACCACTGCACTCCAGCCTCGGTGACAGAGCGGGACCCTGTCTCAAAACATAATAATAATAAAATACGTTAGGCACAGTGAGAGACTAACAACAACAATAATAATTTTTAGTAGTAAAATATTGTTACATAAACTAAGGGCTACTTGAACATAAGCACTGTGAAACCGTGACAGTTGATGGATAACTGAGATGACCACTAGTGACTAACAGACAGGGAGCAAATACAGCATGGACACGCCCCATACAGCATGAGATTTCATCAGGCTACTCACAACAGCACACAACTTAAAATGTATGAATTGTCTACTTCTGGAGTACAGCGGTGCGATCTCGGCTCACTGCAACCTCTGCCTCCTGGGTTCTAGCGATTCTTGGGCCTCAGCCTCCCGAGTAGCTGGGATTACCGGTGCGCCCCACCACGCCTGGCTAATTTTTGTTTATTTAGTAGAGATGGGGTTTTACCATGTTGGCCAGGCTGCTCTCAAGCTCCTGGCTTCAAGTGATCCATCCACCACGGCCTCCCAAAGTTCTGGGATTACAGGTGTGAGCCACTGCACCCTGCCCCAGTGTTCTATTTTTTGTTTTCTTTTGTTTTGTTTGAGACGGAGTCTTACTCTGTCACCCAGGCTGGAGTGCAGTGGCTCAGTCTTGGCTCACTGCAACCTCCGCCTCCTGGGTTCAAGTGATTCTTCTGCCTTAGCCTCCTGTGTAGCTGGGATTACAGACATGCACCACCACGCCTGGCTAGTTTTTGTATTTTTAGTAGAGACAGGGTTTCACTATGTTGGTCAGGCTGGTTTCAAACTTCTGACATCAGGTGATCCACCCGCCTTGGCCTCCCAAAGTGCTGGGATTACAGGCGTGAGCCACCACGCCCAGCCAGTGTTCTATTTTTAAAGAAGAGGATGAGGTGGATGGATACAGACAGATCTTCCCACACCCCATCCTGCCCCCCATTTTTCTCTCTCCCTGCTAGATCCTTAGTCCCTTCTCAAGTGTCTGCCTGTGTTTAGTACCCTTGGTTAAGAGCAGGATTGAAGGGGAGACACAGGGCCTCTTCTGCCCCATACCTGTCGGGAAGCCTCTCAAACTATGTCCTGCATGCCCGTGTCCTGCCTGGCCTAGCCCCAGCCTGCTGCAAGGGACAGAGACCCTGACAGTGGGGACAGACAGCAGATGAGACACACCTTTTTGTTAAATAGGTTCCCCCTTACATGCTAGCCAGCCCCCTGGGAAGTTGACAGTGACTTGGAGGAGTTGCCTCTTGGGAACCGAGAATGGCTTTCCCCTGGGGATGCTCTCTCCTGGCTGCCCTGGCTATAAGTCTGCACAGCAGCACTGCCCAAAGGGTGGGATGTGTCCACGAGATGGTGTGAAGTGGACACAGCTGGACACTGAACATTTCATTGATCGTAAGTTTGCAGAGACACCACCTCACGTGCATGGCTTCACATGTATTACTCTCCAGTGAACAGCGCAGGGGCTTTAAAGTCCATTTAAAGAAAAATGCCAAGGATATAATAGTGTCAGCTACACTCACAATGAAAGAGATGAGGGGTGGCCAGGAAAGCACTGTTTAGCGGGTGACTCCTCCTTCTTAGCCCTGAGGATGATGCTGTGCTGGGGCTGAAAATAGAAGAACCCTGGTGGGAAAGAGAGAGCAGGCAGGAAACAAAAAGTGCCCACACAAGTCCTCTGGGCTTGGTGTGTTAGTTCGTTCTTATACTGGTATAAAGAAATACCTGAGATTGGGTAGTTTATAAAGAAAAGACATTTAATTGGCTCATAGTTCTGCAGGCTGTACAGGAAGCATAGTAGCTTCTGCTTCTGGGGAGGCCTCAGGAAACTTACAATCACAGCAGAAGGTGAAGGGGAAGCAGGCACGCCGTACATGGCTGGAGTAGGAGGAAAAGAGAACAGGGGAGGTGCTACACACTTTTAAACAACCAGATCTCAACAGCACGGAGGGGATGGTGATAAACCATTCATTAGAAACTGCCCCCATGATCCAATCACCTCCCACCAGGCCCCACCTCCAACACTGGAGATCACAATTCAACATGAGATTTGGGTATGGACACAGATCCAAACTATATCACTTGGTTTCCAGCTCCACTGCCCCTTCCCAATTTGGGGGTGTCTATGACACCATGACCCTGGAGCATGCACCCCCACCCCCGCCACCCCGTCTATGTGTTTCTTTCCCAATGCCCTGTTTCTCCTCTGAAGGTGTAACAACCGCACCCAGTGCGTGGTGGTCGCCGGCTCGGATGCCTTTCCTGACCCCTGTCCTGGGACCTACAAGTACCTGGAGGTGCAGTACGACTGTGTCCCCTACAGTGAGTCATCTTGTTCCTTGTGCGGATGCGGGCCCTTCTCGCATGAGTGAGTGAGGAGGAGACACCTTGACCCATCACACATGTGCACACATGCATGGGGCCTGGGCACAGTGGGGACAGCCGGGCCTGCTCTCTCCAACACACATTCTCTAATCCCAGACACCAGTGTCCACACTCAGTGCCTGCTCCCCCGCCTCACAGACTCTGTCCCCTCCTGTGGGGACACCTTCTCCAGCTCTCCTTACCCCAGCCCACTCACCCTGCTTCTTCATGCACCCTATACTCATTTCCACACTGCCAGGCCATGGTCCCGTGCTCTGCCTGGCACACTTACGTCTCTCTCTTCTCCCTTGGCCTCTATGCTTTTCTCCCCCATCTGCCTCCCTCGCCTTCTCACATCCCTTCCTTTTCTGACTCTTCTGACCTTTTCTGACCCTTCTCATCTACCTTCTCTTCCCTCTCACTTACCCCACTGCCCCTCTCAACACCGTTCTCTCAGCACCCTCACTCCCCACACACTTCTTCCCAATCATGGAAGCTGGACTCTACACCCATAGAGTGGGATACCATCCTCTGAGGCCTGGTGGCAGATTCAGGGTGAAGGGCTGGGGGGCATTTTCAACAGATTCATAGCTCCTCACTGGTCTCCCCATTACCATGTGGCACTTCCTGTCTGCAAAGGAAATGCCGCCATGTTGGACTGAGGGTGGCCTCCAGGCAGCCTGAAGAAAGTGATTTGGGGAGCCAGGAGCCTGGCCATCTTGCACCTGGCCAAAGGGATCAGACAAAGACAAGGTCTCTCCTCCTCAGCACCCCACCCTTGACATCACCTTTTTCCTGCCCTCTCTCCTCCCTCCCTCCTTCCCATTATCCCTTCCCTTCTCCTCCCACAATGGGTTCCATGTAGTCAACCTGGTGGTAGGGCCTCCGGGAAGAGTGGGGAGAAGGCAGGGCCATCAGGGTGTCTGAGTGTGGCGGGCCGGGTTTGGGGACTAAGAGGCCCTGTAACTCTCCCTCCTCTCCCCTCCCACCCCAACCTTCCCTGCCAGCCTTTGATTTCTCCTCACAGGTGACTCGATGCTGGGGAAACAGGATCCCTTCTGTGCTTCCGTAATTTTCTTCTTTTACTCTTCGTCCTTTCCTTTCAGCGCTTGAGGCCTTCAGCCACCACCGAGGGGGATGCCCATCTGCTCCTTGAAGCCTCCCCACAGCACTGGGGACACGGCTGACTCCCGCGGCTGGGACAGCGGGGAAGGGGGGTGGGAGGCAGCGAGCTCAGCACAGGGGGGCAGTCAGATGGGTGTAGGTTCAAGGCTCGACTGGGCTCTTGAGTTTTCTGGCTCTGAAACCTTGAGCAAATGATTTAATTTCTCTGGGCCACTACGGAAGGAGGTGTGAGTCCATGAGATGACATGTGAGAAGCGCTTGGCCCAGGGCCGGCCACAAAGTCGCTCCTGGTGGCAGGGTTTTGAGTGCCGAGTGTAAACTTCCCAAGGGCAGAGGCTTCGTCTTCACCCGCCGCCCCAGCGCCCAGACCCATGCCTGGTTCAGGATGTGCTCAGTAATATTACCAATGCCCTTTAAGCCAGCTGAGCCTGTTTATTCATCTGTGATGGGGTGGAGAGGGGTCAAAAGCCTTCCCTGGGAAGCCACAAGGAGTAGCGACAACGCATGTCAAGCTTGTGTGCACCCGAGCTGTAGATGCAAAGGAAATGGTGCCTGCTTTCGCCAGCCATGTGGCCTCACTTCAGTGTGCCTCAGTTTTCCCATCTGTAGACAGGGTTCTCAAAAGACGGCCAGTGAGGTGCGTAGCATAGTTGCTGGCCCCTCGTGAGTGCTGGACACTTGGTAGTCGTTGCTTTTGTTGCAGCTCCTTGTAATGCCTCTTGTCAATTACGATTATTGCTGTGGTAATCAAAATTAAAATAACAACGGATAATGACCCAACTTCTCCCGAGGCAGGTGAGATAAAGGGCAGGAAAAATTCCTCGGTCCAGGTGGAAGCCAAAGCAAGTAGACGAGAGGCTCAGGTCAAGCCGCAGGAAAGAAGCTAGGGGAGGAGAGGAGCTGAGAAACCTCCTGGAGCCGAGGCCCTGAGCGTGGTCCAGGGGCTACAACCGACAGAGACCAGGCAGGCTCCAGGGACAGAGGGCAGGACAGTTCAGAGGATGAGTGGCTGCCTGTCTGATGGAAGAGAGATAGCCTGAGCCCTTGGGGAGACAGGAGACACACGCACACACACACACGCGCAGACATGTGTGCACACATACGGGGTGGATGTTGGGGGCAGAGCTAACTCCTGATGCTCCAGAGGAAGGAGGCTGGAGTTAAAGCGGGGACAGGAGGTAGCTAGAGGACAGGGAGGCCAGGCACTCACTTGTCCCCAAAATGTTCACTGAGCATCTCCTGAGTGCCAGGCCCTGGGTGAGGCGCTGGGAAGGGAGGCAGAGGCTGCCCCTGCGGAGCTCCCTGCTGGAACCTTCAGAGAGGGGCCAGGAGAGCCAGTCCCTCCAGTCAGAAGTTCCTGAGGGGCCAGGGATGCAGAGGGGGAGCGGCCTGGGCAGCCACCTGGCCCAGGGCTTCAGAGGCTGGGGGTGACCCCAGTGCTGGTGAGGGTGGGTCAGGGGTGGGTGGCAGGGGGCACGTGATGTGTGGGAACCCTCCCACACAGTGGACAAGCCCGACTAATGCTGGATTTGCTTTGCAGCTGAGCACAGTCTAACCGCGCCCCTTCCTCCCCTAGGTGCCGCCCGTCCGCAGGGCAGCGGGCAGGGCGGAGCTCCCAGCTCCTGGGCCCCCGGGCCCTGGGTGGGTTGAGCAGAGAAGCCGAGCCTCAGACTTGCCCCTGGGGAGCCTGGGAGCGTGTCTGTGCCCCCACTTGCTGTCCCACCCAGTCTGTGTCCCCCACCCCCGCCACCTCTCTGCCTCCGTCTCCCCAACCCTGGCTCTCTCTGGGGCCCGGGTGCAACTGCCCGTCTGCCTGTCGTTCTGTGTCTGGCTCTGCCACCTTCTCTCTGTGTTTGCTTCTTCTGGGTTGTGAGGGCTTGGGGGAAGTCAGCTGGACCTGGGTGAGGCCAGCATAAAGGGGAAGGAGTTCAGCCTGTTTCTTGGCTGAGGGTGGGCCCAGGCCCTGGGAGACACTGAAATCCTTCCCCTGGGGCCCCTGGTTCTAGCAGGAGGGCAGCAGGCAGGGTGGGAAGGGAGCCGAGTGGCTTATCCACCCCACCACTCCCTGGTGCCCCCTCTGACCGGAGCCCACCTCCCAGCTGGGGCTCCCTACTCCCTGCCCCCGCCTTGCACCAAGGGTGCCCCCTCCCACCTGAGGGCTCTGTCTGCCTGCCTGTACCCCCCTACCACCCCTGTGTCTTTCTGTGTCTTCTCCCTCCTGTGTGTGTCCCCCTCGTCCCTCTGACTGTCTCCCCAGCACCCTCTCACCCCACCTGACCACCCCCAGAGGAAGGGACCTGGGGGCGGGGGCCCGAGCTGATGCTACGGAAGGGGTTGGGGAAGCAGGAGCGAGGAAGGAAAGGAAAAGGGGGCGTGTTGCCAGAAAAGAAACGAAAGCAATTTAATCTCTTTTTTTTTCTCTTTTTTTCTTGCACATTTTTTTTTTCAATTTGTTTTCTCTCTCTCTTCCGATGCTTAAAGTAGAAGTGGAGCAGAAAGGTAAACGCACTGTTACCAATGCTAACCCCTAACTCACACTTTGTTCTACCTGTACCATACTTATGTGACCTGCCCTCCCCCGGCCCCTTCTTCTCTCCCCAACCCACACTTGGTCCGGTCGGTATCCCCCACCCTGGGTTGTCCTCCCAGTGGGACCAGCCCTGGTGCGGCCACGGGCATCTCCACCCTCCAGATACCCACGGAAGCTCCTCTCTGAGCTTGGGCAGGATTTTCTCTCTCTCGCTGTTTCTGTCTCTCTCTGTCCCTCCTTCCTGGTCCCTGGCCCTTTCGGGGGACCTGGCCTTTTCTCATACTTCTTTTGCCTCCTTCAGGAGAAGTGTATAAGCATCCAGGGCGGGTGGGGAGGGAGGGACTCCCTTCCCCGGCTCCCCCACTGGGGCACCGGGTGAGCTGTCTCTCTCTCTCTCTCTCTTTCTCTCTCTCTCTCTCTCTGTCTCTCCCCTCTCTCTTCCTCCTTCCCCTGTACCTTTTATAACATGTTTCTGGTTCATGGGAGGCGGGCTGGAGGGGACACCATTGTTTTCCTTTTGGGGAGCAGATTCTCCTATGTCTCGGGCTCCTGGTGGCTTAAGTTCCTTCTGGTTTGATGTTTCCAAGGCCCAGAGCTGTTTTGGAGCATGGAGCACCAGTCCTCCCCACCCCCAACCTGATCCCCATCTCTGACCAGCTGGGGGCCCAGCCCTGGGGAGGGGTGTCAGCTGTCCCCAGCCCTGGGAGGGGGCAGCCTGCCAAAAAATGAAAAAATGAGGGCGAGGGGGCGGGGGCGGGCCTCGTGGTTGGGGGAGCGAAGGGTGGGGGAGCGTGTTCTCTGTTTCTTTCACACTTGCAAAGCTGCAGTCAGGGTTTCTTCTGGGCTGTTGTGGTTAGAGGACCAGGGAGATGGGCGGCGGGCGGCGGGGGCACAGTCTGGGGACTTCCACAGACTCCGTAATTTCTAGCAGAGAACTCCCTAGTGGATGGGGCTGGCCATTACTGGCTGTTATTGGGGGGAGCGGAGGTGCTGCTGCTGAGGGGCTTCTAGGGTGAGATGTTAGGGATGACCATTTCCTCTCCAGAAAGTTTTGGGAAATTTACCCATCTGAGGCCGGCAGCAGCAGGCAGGGCTGGAGGACATGGCCTTTAGGGATCCCTTTTGCCTTGAAATTACAGTGGTCTGTGGAGCATCCCTTCCGAAGGAGGTGGGGCAGGGTCCCTCTGAGCTGCTCCCCTCCCCGTCTTCCCCTCTCCCCCATCTCAGAGAGGCCTGGGCTGCTGGCCCCAGGTCCGCCCCCTCACCACACCCCTCCAGTCTCCTCTCTTTCTCCTGGAGTCTCTCTCCCTCCCAGCACCAGCCACTCTTCTTGCAGGCCCACTGGTTTGGATGCGGCACCACTGGAGATTTTCTCTTCGAGGGCCAGGGCAGGGCGGGTGGGGTGACGGGGCAAGGGAGGGAAGAGGAGGGATTGGGAGTTTGGTGCTGGTGAAGGGTCCTTGCTGTCCAAGGCCCCAGACAGACCCTTCCTCATCTTCTCCCCCTTCCCCTGGGTTGACCTCTAACCACATTTTTCCCCCCTGACACCCTCTGAGCAGGTTAGGCTCTGAGGCCTCCCACCGTCCCCTTCACACAAACACGTCCCCTCAGATGCCACACACCTGGTGGGGGTGGGGACCGGCTTGGGCAGAGGCCAGTGTGCTGGACAGAGTGGGCAGGCCGACCCCTCAGGGCATCAGGGACAGGGGGATGGCCAGTCCCCAGGGCCCAAGCCAGGGTCGTTTTGGCTCCTGCCCAGCTCTATGTCCCAGGCTCCTCTCCCTCTACAAAAACTACATCCTGGCTGCTTTGTGCCAGGGGGCCCCTGAGCCACATTGTTCCCATGCTGTGAAGGGAGTGCTGCCTGTCCCCCTCCCTCCCAAGCCTGCTGGAGGTGGGGAATGAGGACTAGCCCAAGCCCCTCTTGCCACTGGGGCTGCCCCCCAAGCCGGTGCCAGGTCCCAGCCCCCCGATCCCCTCGGGGCCAGCTGCTTTGGTGACATGCCAAGCAAGAGCAGAGAATTCACTGCAAACCCTCCACCCTCGCCCTGTGCCCTCGCCCTGGCCTATGTGTGGGTTCTGCCAGCCAGGAGGTGAGGGAGGCCCGGCCATCCTGGATGGAGGGGCGCACTCTGGGAGGAGGTGGGGTGTCTGGCCACACTGACCCCCGGATCAGTCAAGGGGAGGTTAGGAGTAGGTGGTGCTGGGACGTGACTGGGCAAGGGTGGGCCGGCCAGCAGTGGCCAACGAGATGCAGTTGAGGTTTTCCTCCTTTTCAGGGATTGGGGGGGTGGGGCGGGGCCCCCCACCTTTCTGACATCAGCGCTGCCTTGGTCCCTCTTCCCGAGCCGGGGATGGTCGCAGGTAAATCGGGGTCCGGGCCAGGGGAGGTGGGGGGCCTGGCTGGGGCGGGCTGGGTCTTTATCCTAGCGCCTGGTTCCCTCCCCTGCCCCCTCCGAGCTGGACCTGGGACTGCCCCCCTGAGGGACCCTCAGTCGGGCCTGGGCCTTGGAGTGAATTCTCTGCTCACCCCTCTCTCCTCCGCCAGCACTAACCCTTTCTTCCCAGGTGGTTTGCAGCGCAGCCTCCCACGGAGCCAGGACCTCGCCAAGCCCCATACGCCCTTGTCTCTCTTCCCTCTGCACAGCTCTCCTCTCCCTCCCCAACTCTCCCGGGAGCCCTGTCCCTCTCCATGTCCCCACCCCCACCCCTGTGCACAGTGCCACTGTCTGCTGCTGAGCCAGACCCCATGAGAGACCCTGCCGGCTGGGGGCAGGGCTGGGCGCCCTCCAGGAGGGGCCAGACTCTTTCATTCCCCGTCCTAGCCTGGGAGCTGCCTCTGGGAATCCCTTCCTCGGCTACTGACTTCGTGGGTACTGGGTGGGGGGTGGGGAGCAGGCTGCATCAGGAACCTGGGGAGAGAGTTGAAACCCCTATCCTGGAATAGGGAGACACTCCTGACACCCACAGTGGGTATGGAAACACCACTCTACCTTGCAATTTTTGCAGGAGGAAGAAAGAGGAGTTAAAAAAAAAAACACTGTCCGGGTGTGGTTGGTGAAGGATGGGATCCTGGACCCTAGCTCTTCCCTAAGTGGCAGAGAAGAGGGAGAAGGGGCCGGGTGCTGAGTCCCTGGACCGTCAAAGTCAGGAGTGACTGTAGCGGGGAGATTCTGCCCCCACTTAAATCACACAGGACCACCTCTGGGAGGGCTCTTGCCAAACTCCTCCCCAGCCTGTGGGGTCTCTAGCAGCCAGGGAAGGGAAGAGGGGCACCACTTCCCCTCACTAACCCCGCTCTTAATGGCCTTCAGGGTTCACATTTCCAGGGAGAGGGGCAGCTGGGCAGGGCGTGGGGAGGGGGTCGGGTCCCAGCCCGGAAACCCCCTTCCCATCACCAGCCATACCAAGCAACCGTGACTGCAGCAGCAGGAGGGGACAACCTGGCTCCCCACCAGCAGCGTGACCAACTTGCCTCTCTCCCCCCTCTCTCTCTCTCTCTCTCTCTCTCTCTCTCTCCTCCCTCTCGCCTCTGCCCCTTCTCTCCTACCTCCTCCCCTCCCGCCCACTCTGCCCAGTCTTCGTGTGCCCAGGGACCCTGCAGAAGGTGCTGGAGCCCACCTCGACACACGAGTCAGAGCACCAGTCTGGCGCATGGTGCAAGGACCCGCTGCAGGCGGGTGACCGCATCTACGTGATGCCCTGGATCCCCTACCGCACGGACACACTGACTGAGTATGCCTCGTGGGAGGACTACGTGGCCGCCCGCCACACCACCACCTACCGCCTGCCCAACCGCGTGGATGGCACAGGCTTTGTGGTCTACGATGGTGCCGTCTTCTACAACAAGGAGCGCACGCGCAACATCGTCAAGTATGACCTACGGACGCGCATCAAGAGCGGGGAGACGGTCATCAATACCGCCAACTACCATGACACCTCGCCCTACCGCTGGGGCGGAAAGACCGACATTGACCTGGCGGTGGACGAGAACGGGCTGTGGGTCATCTACGCCACTGAGGGCAACAACGGGCGGCTGGTGGTGAGCCAGCTGAACCCCTACACACTGCGCTTTGAGGGCACGTGGGAGACGGGTTACGACAAGCGCTCGGCATCCAACGCCTTCATGGTGTGTGGGGTCCTGTACGTCCTGCGTTCCGTGTACGTGGATGATGACAGCGAGGCGGCTGGCAACCGCGTGGACTATGCCTTCAACACCAATGCCAACCGCGAGGAGCCTGTCAGCCTCACCTTCCCCAACCCCTACCAGTTCATCTCCTCCGTTGACTACAACCCTCGCGACAACCAGCTGTACGTCTGGAACAACTATTTCGTGGTGCGCTACAGCCTGGAGTTCGGGCCGCCCGACCCCAGTGCTGGTGAGGACGACTCACTTCCAGGCATGGAGCCTGCTTGCCTTTGTCCCCTCCACCCCCACCCACCCCTGGGTCCCAGAGTGGGGAGCCCCATCCTGTGAGCTCTTGGGGATCGGGAGGTAAAGGAAATTCACAGCATGTGACAGACGCTGTTCTAAGCACTTCACAGTCATTAACTCGTCTCCTCACGGTCTATGACACAGGGATCCTTACTGCCCTGTTTTACAGATGACACTGAGGCTCTGTGTGGGTAGGGGATTAAGTTATTTGAGGATTTGAACCCAGCCTCCCAACCACTGAACTGCAGTGCCTCTCCCAGGGGCCTGGGCACCTTTACTCCAGGAACCCTTGGATCCACCAAAATCCTGGGTGGAAGTCCAGTATCCACAAAAGAGCTGAGCTGCTGATGCTGACCGGGCTGAGGGCAACTCTGCAGTCTTCTTTTGCCCCGCCTAGCTGCCCTGCTAGCTCTGTGCCACCCCAGGGCTCCAGGGAGCCCGATCTAACCCCATCTTGTTTGCAAAAGGGGGAGTTGAGGCCCCCAGAAGGAAGGAGCATAGCCAGGTTACATAAGCCAAAGTCAGCTAGAACGAGGATGGGGGGCGGTGGTATTCAGCCCCCACCTGGTGGCGGGGCTGACCTGGATTGGGGAGGGCTCCTGCCCTCGGGCTCAACCTGGGAGGATTCCTGTCCCCCAGACACCTCTGTCCCTGCCTCTCCCCTGACCGTTCTCTCAGACCTTATGGTACACATCGTGGATTTTTACCACTCTTTGCTACTTTATATGGGCCCATGGGCATAAGGGACTTTGGTGGGCACAGAGCGGCCAGGGGAGATCAACTCATAGACCCAGTGGGGCCCGGCACGTGTTTCCACTTCAGTAGATGAGGAAGATGCTAAGATGGCCTGGGACCCCCTGCCCAAGCACACTGTGGCATGGCCCTGAGCATGGGGATGACCCTGTCTCGTATCCCCTCTCCAGGCCCAGCCACTTCCCCACCCCTCAGCACGACCACCACAGCCAGGCCCACGCCCCTCACCAGCACAGCCTCGCCCGCAGCCACCACCCCGCTCCGCCGGGCACCCCTCACCACGCACCCAGTGGGTGCCATCAACCAGCTGGGACCTGATCTGCCTCCAGCCACAGCCCCAGTCCCCAGCACCCGGCGGCCCCCAGCCCCGAATCTACACGTGTCCCCTGAGCTCTTCTGCGAGCCCCGAGAGGTACGGCGGGTCCAGTGGCCGGCCACCCAGCAGGGCATGCTGGTGGAGAGGCCCTGCCCCAAGGGGACTCGAGGTGAGTACAGAGGCTGCAGCCAGGGGAGGGATGGGGGCCATGCCCCCAGCAGCTTAGCACAGATGCATGTGTGGGTGGGGGTCTCTACTGCGGAGCAGAGGTTTTCTGAGGGCAGGGGTCATCCCCAGTGACCAGCAGAGCTCTCAGGGCACAGGAGCCACTCAGTGCCCCTGGCCCCACCTGCAGAACCTGCAGGGAGTCCGCAGGAGGTGACCTGGCTCCCGGCCTCAGGCTGACCTGCCACAGCCCCAGGCACAGTCAGCTTCACATGGATGGCCAGCTGAAGTGCAAAAAGGGCAGGGCCGTGTGTCCTGGAGATCTGAGGGGAGGGTTGGCAGGTGCTTCGTGGAGAGGGGGCGTTCAAGATGGGCCTTGCTGGAAGGTTCTAACTCTGGAGGCAAAGACAGAAGGGGGCAGGAGGGAGAGCTCAGGGGAAGTGAGTGGCGCCTCTTTCGACTGTCCAGCCCGCTTCATGTCTGTTTCTCCGTGTTTCCCTCACCTCCCTCTTCGCCCGCTCGTCCCCCACTCTCTGTCATCTCCTTTCCCCCTCTCTGTCCCATCCTTCTCTTCTTCCCTTTGGCTCCCTTGTCTGTTCCTGTCTGTCTGTCCCTGCAGGAATTGCCTCCTTCCAGTGTCTACCAGCCTTGGGGCTCTGGAACCCCCGGGGCCCTGACCTCAGCAACTGCACCTCCCCCTGGGTCAACCAGGTGGCCCAGAAGGTACCAGCCACCACCCCTCGCAGGCAGGCACATGTGCTCGGGCCCAGGGCCCAGGGCCCAGCGGGGGTCGTGGAGCAGCTGGGGAGACATGGGCTGGCAGGTCTGGAAGGCAGGACTGTGGGGTCACCTCCCTGGCCTACAAAGGGAGCAGGGACAGATGGGGTGGGAAGGGGCAGATGGCGATGGGGAAGTGGAGAGAGAGATAGGAGAGGCTGCACAGGCCAGGGAAGCCGGGGAGGGCAGGATGGTCCCTGACAGTCCTGGGATTCCCCCTTCCCGCCCCCACCTCATGCAGATCAAGAGTGGGGAGAACGCGGCCAACATCGCCAGCGAGCTGGCCCGACACACCCGGGGCTCCATCTACGCGGGGGACGTCTCCTCCTCTGTGAAGCTGATGGAGCAGCTGCTGGACATCCTGGATGCCCAGCTGCAGGCCCTGCGGCCCATCGAGCGCGAGTCAGCCGGCAAGAACTACAACAAGGTGGGGCCTGGCGGTGGCGCTGACCTGGTATGGGGAGGGCGCCTGCCCCCAGGGGCTTGGGAAGTACCTGACCTGGTACCTCCCAGCCAGGCTGCCACCTCCACTCCTTTCCTCAGAGAGGAAGGACCCCCCCCTCTCCGCCAAGGACTGCCGGGTCTCACTCCTGTGCTGCCCCGGATGGTCCTGGGGGTTGGGGATCCCTGAGGAATGTCTTGCTGATAGCCCAGCCCTGGGTCAGTGGTAACCGCAGACGAGAGAGCTATCCAGATGTGACAGTATTAGGGTGAGGGAACCGGCACCCAGAGGCCTGGCCTGACATCACCTCCATCTCTTTCTAGATGCACAAGCGAGAGAGAACTTGTAAGGATTATATCAAGGTGAGACCCAGGGGGTCCCAGTGTAAGGACCGTGGGCTCCAGCTGATGGGGGGATTAGGGGTGGAGGTTGAGAAGAGGGCATGCAGAGCCCACCCCCAGGAATTAGAGGGTGTTGGGGGGCTCACAGCACCATGCCCTCTGCCTGTGCAGGCCGTGGTGGAGACAGTGGACAATCTGCTCCGGCCAGAAGCTCTGGAGTCCTGGAAGGACATGAATGCCACGGAGCAGGTGCACACGGCCACCATGCTCCTCGACGTCCTGGAGGAGGGCGCCTTCCTGCTGGCCGACAATGTCAGGGAGCCTGCCCGCTTCCTGGCTGCCAAGGAGAACGTGGGTGAGTGCCACAGTCACCCAGGGCAAACTCAGATACGAACCTTAAACCACGGGGTTCTGGCCTGGAGGCCACAGGGGGGCTATCCGACCCTTGGGCATCTTGCCAGAGTCTCGTTCTGCAGCCTGAGCCCCTGGACTGGGAACAGACCCCAACTGTGTATGCCTTGCCTTCCCCTGTCCCCACAGTCCTGGAGGTCACAGTCCTGAACACAGAGGGCCAGGTGCAGGAGCTGGTGTTCCCCCAGGAGGAGTACCCGAGAAAGAACTCCATCCAGCTGTCTGCCAAAACCATCAAGCAGAACAGCCGCAATGGTCAGTGTCCCCGGCGGGGCCTCGGGTGGGGAAGCAGCCCCACCCCCACCCCCCAGCTCTGTGCCAGCGTCTCTGTGCCATTTGTAGAGGGCAGCGGTGCTGACCTTTTCTCATGCTAGTGTAAAATTTGAGGGGATTCATGGGCCCTGAAGTGCTGCAGAGCCCTAAGGGTGAGCCTTACAGTTGCAAAGCTGGCTCCTGGGCCTCACAGCTCAGAGAGGATGGGGCCATTGAGATGAAGGCTCAGAGAGGTCAGGGGCTTGCCCAAGGTCACACAGTGAGAATGGGTGGGTCGGAGGCCCAGCTTGTGTGTCCTGGCACACTGCCCTGCTGTTTAGAACTGCCTTCAGCTGAGCAGTGGTCTTGTGGACAGGGCTCCCTGACCCCCACCTGCCTGGGCTATGGACTGGCTTCAGAGGTCCCAGTGGCCAGCGTGGCCAAGGGCTGAGGAGCTGGCTGAGCTGGGAAGCCAGGGGCCTGGATGGAGGTGCGCCAGCTGAGGATGCTGACACATCCAAACGTGCCTGTTCTCACCAGGGGTGGTCAAAGTTGTCTTCATCCTCTACAACAACCTGGGCCTCTTCCTGTCCACGGAGAATGCCACAGTGAAGCTGGCCGGCGAAGCAGGCCCGGGTGGCCCTGGGGGCGCCTCTCTAGTGGTGAACTCACAGGTCATCGCAGCATCCATCAACAAGGAGTCCAGCCGCGTCTTCCTCATGGACCCTGTCATCTTCACCGTGGCCCACCTGGAGGTGAGCTGAGCCGTCCCCCTCCCTCCATGGGGGTCCCTGTACCCTCTGTGTTCCCAGGCTGTGTACCTGCCCCTCCATGTGCTCACCTCCAGAACAAGTTATGGGTTCTTCCACTTTAGAGCTTGGGCCATTTGTCCCCAGAGCTCTCAGAATGTCAACTGGAGCCCCAGACCCCAGGCACTTCTTTGATACTTGGTACCATCCCTGTTGCCAGGTGTGGGGGGTCGGAATGGGACTCCCCGGTTCTGACTCTAGTTATGACACCCTGGTGCCACCACACAACAGGACAAGAACCACTTCAATGCTAACTGCTCCTTCTGGAACTACTCGGAGCGTTCCATGCTGGGCTACTGGTCGACCCAAGGCTGCCGCCTGGTGGAGTCCAACAAGACCCATACCACGTGTGCCTGCAGCCACCTCACCAACTTCGCTGTGCTCATGGCTCACCGTGAGATCGTAAGCTGGCTGGTGCTCTGCTCCTCCAGGCAGGCCCGATTGCTGGCCTGGCTTTGCATGGCATCCTAGAGAGATCACGGGCAGTACCAGGGGAGGCTAGCCCCATGGGTGTGGGGGGCCCCTGGTCTTGCCTGGGGCATGAGGCCATGCGTCTGGTCCTCTATGGCCATGATCCCACCGTCTCCCAAGGCACTCTGGAGAAGCAAGTTGGTGTTACGTTGGTCATCTCTCCACAAGCCTTCCAGAGCATGAGGAAGTGAGCGCATTGCTGCGTGCAGAGGGGTGAGGGCTGCCAGGTTGGCGGCACCAGAGGTCCTCACGGCCCATGGCCTTGCCCAGGGCCCTGTCTGTGGCTGGCACCTGGCTGAGCCCAGCGTGCAAAACCAAAGGCCCTGAGCGTGCCCCCTGTTCCTGTCCCCAGTACCAGGGCCGCATCAACGAGCTGCTGCTGTCGGTCATCACCTGGGTGGGCATTGTGATCTCCCTGGTCTGCTTGGCCATCTGCATCTCCACCTTCTGCTTCCTGCGGGGGCTGCAGACCGACCGCAACACCATCCACAAGAACCTGTGCATCAACCTCTTCCTGGCTGAGCTGCTCTTCCTGGTCGGGATCGACAAGACTCAGTATGAGGTGGGCTGGGACTCTAGGGCAGGTGACGGCCAGCGCCTGGGGGCCGGGAGAAGAAGGGGGACACCTGTCCAGGCAGCAGCCCCTCACCCTCAGTGCTCCCCGCAGATTGCCTGCCCCATCTTCGCCGGCCTGCTGCACTATTTCTTCCTGGCTGCCTTCTCCTGGCTGTGCCTGGAGGGCGTGCACCTCTACCTGCTACTAGTGGAGGTGTTTGAGAGCGAGTATTCCCGCACCAAGTACTACTACCTGGGTGGCTACTGCTTCCCGGCCCTGGTGGTGGGCATCGCGGCTGCCATTGACTACCGCAGCTACGGCACCGAGAAGGCGTGAGTTTCCACCTCCCAGCCCTGCACCCTCCCACCTGGTTCCCTGCTGGGCGGCACCCCTTGGACCAGGACCCTCAGGGCGGTAGTCCCTTCCTCCTCCTGATCCCAGAGGCTGCAGCCTGCAGAGTCCTAGGCCTTCATGAGTCGCTGGGAATGGCTCCTCGGCTTCTCTCTATACCCCGGCCCTGTTTCCTTTACAGCTGCTGGCTCCGAGTGGACAATTACTTCATCTGGAGTTTCATCGGGCCAGTCTCCTTCGTTATCGTGGTGAGTTGGGAGGTGACACCCCTAGCACCACATCTTCCTTCATCCAGGCTGGCCTTGACCCCAGCCCCTGCCCCCGCCCCCCACCCCCCCCACACACACACACACTCTCTCTCTCTCCACACATCGGAACTGAGCCACCGGCTGAGAGGATGAAAGTGTGCTGGGTCCATGGAGCTCCAGTGCTGAGGGCTGCTCGCCTGGGGGGCTGTGATTTGAGCCCCTAGTGTGTGTCAGGCCATGGGCCTTGTCCTCCCAGCAGCCAGGAGTGGCATTAAATTGCCGGTCATGCCAATCAGCTCACCGCTGCACAGCGGGCACCTCAGGGGCAGGTACGGGGTTCTCCCAGCAGAGGCGAGGGCCACAGCTGAGATTTCGCCAGGCTGGGCCCTAGCCTCAGTGCTCACTGAGGGAGGCAGGGCCACTCTCAGCCCAGCCTGCCCCTTGTCCCGCCCCCAGGTCAACCTGGTGTTCCTCATGGTGACCCTGCACAAGATGATCCGAAGCTCATCTGTGCTCAAGCCCGACTCCAGCCGCCTGGACAACATTAAGTGAGCCTCGCCCCTGCCTGCCCCCTGCCCCATCACCCACCCCCGCCCCACGCTGGGCCCACCTCTTCCAGGGTGTCCTAAAAGGTAGTGCTGTCACCTCTGGTGACACACATTGCAATTTTAAGTACCAACAGGGGTGTTCTATTGTGTTCACTATGTACCTACTTAATGGGTCTTAGATAGCGTATCATTAGCACGTCCAACCTGTGGTTTTAGGGGCATCGGTATGTAGGCTGAGGCTAAATTCAAAAGGTGAGTCTGTTTAAGGGCAACTTAAAGAGAAATAGGCAGCAAATATAGCCTAAGTGGTCTGGAAATTTAGCAGAAACAATGAAGTTGGCAGAGGAATAACTGATGTTCACAATACCCCGACCCCTGACCCAGTACCTTTCCCTCAGGCCCAGGCTCCGGTGGAGGTGTCCTGGGCAGGCCACTGCCCCCAAGGCCCACTCGGCCCGCTCAGGGCTTTGCAGACAGTGCCCAGGCCCACCCAAGGGCCCCCGTTGTAGGCTGCAGGGGAGGCCTGGGCTGAGGCCGTCCCCTCCGGCGGGTACTTTGACTCCCCTGTCGCCCCACTCCCAGATCCTGGGCGCTGGGGGCCATCGCGCTGCTGTTCCTGCTGGGCCTCACCTGGGCTTTCGGCCTCCTCTTCATCAACAAGGAGTCGGTGGTCATGGCCTATCTCTTCACCACCTTCAACGCCTTCCAGGGGGTCTTCATCTTCGTCTTTCACTGCGCCTTACAGAAGAAGGTGAGGTCGAGGCGGGGTCCTGGGTCACAGCCTCCCTTGGAGACGTTTCCTGGGTACCCAGGAGAAGGCGGCGAGGGTGGAGGGGACTCAGGGGCTCCCTCAAGCCCCCAGTGAGTGCTGCAGGGCTTCTGTGGTCAGGTCTGCGTCCACCGGGAGGGGAGCACGAGCTCAGGGTTAGGGAGGGTTTAACCACGGGTGAAGAGGGTTCTGGAAAACAAGATACAGCAACTTAGAGGAGTGAGAGCAGAACAGATTTGGTAATGGGGAACCCTCACCACCATGAGGGCCACGAGTCAGGCCTGGGAGAGGGAGGACTTTGGGAGCCACCCTGAGGGAGCACTGCCTACATTCATAGTTCTGGAAAGAATTGTGAATTTTGTGGTGATAGAAAGGATCTTTTTAAAATAAATGTGTTAAAATCTGAATCTTAAAAAAACATACAGTCCGGACACGGTGGCTCACGCCTGTAATCCCAGCACTTTAGGAGGCTGAGGCGGGCGGATCACCTGAGGTCAGGAGTTCCAGACCAGCCTGGCCAACATGGTGAAACCCCGTCTCTACTTAAAAAATATAAAAATTAGCCTGGTGTGGTGGTGGGCGCCTGTAGTCCCAGCTACTTGGGAGGCTGAGGGGCTGAGGCAGGAGAATTGCTTGAACCCCAAAGGCAGAGGTTGCAGTGAGCCAAGATTGCGCCACTGCACTCCAGTCTGGGCAACAGAGCAAAACTCTGTCTCCAAAACAAACAAACAAAAAAACCACACATACAAAGGGCTGGGTGCAGTGGCTCATGCCTGTAATCCCAGCACTTTGGGAGGCTGAGGCAGGAGGATTGCTTAAGCCCAGAAATTCAAGACCAGCCTGGGCAACAGAGACCCCGTCTCTATTTAAAAAAACCAAAGGGGACAACAGTAGCTGGGGAACATGGGCAGGGAATGGGGATACTGGCAGCACCCTCAGGACTGAAGCTGGGGAGACGGAGCTGAGGCATTTGTAGAGTCAGTCCTGGCAGCAGTGCAGGCCATGGAGACTGCTGTTGGACTTGGGGAGTGGTGAGGCAGGTAAGGCTTAAGGCAGGGGATGGCAGAGGCAGTGATCATGAGAATCCTGGTTGCAAGGGAGGAGGTGGCCTGTGTCCCTGCTCTGTCCAACATTGTCCTGGCCCCTCCTTGGACACACGGTCAAAGGCAGTGTTTTCACAGCCCCCACCTCACACGCAGTGGCAGCAATGTCCTTTCAGGGGACCCCAGGCCCCTATGGTCTGATCTGGGCCCCTCGGCTCCCCTCCCTCCAACCTCTGCTCTCAGACACCTAGATGTGGACCCTCAGGGTGCAGCCCCCGTTCTTACCTTGGCTTAAATGAGGCCTCCTCTGATCTATTTATTTTTTTAGGTTTTTTTTTTATTATCATTATTATTTTTGAGACAGAGTCTCGTTCTGTCCCCAGGCTAGAGTGCAATGGCGCGATCTCGGCTCACTGCAACCTCCACCCCCCCAGCTTCAAGCAATTCTCCTGCCAACTAGCTGGGATTACAGACGCCCACTGCCACGACCAGCTAATTTTTGTATTTTTAGTAGAGGTGGGGTTTCACCATGTTGCCCAGGCTGGTCTCGAACTCCTGACCTCAGGTGATCCACCCACCTCTGCCTTCCAAAGTGCTGGGATTACAGGTGTGAGCCACCATGCCTGGCCTCCTCTGATCTATTTAAAATCACAACCAGTCTGGCCAACATGGTGAAACCCCGTCTCTACTAAAAATACAAAAAAAAAAAAAAAAATTAGCCAGGTGTGGTGGTGTGCGCCTGTAATCCCAGCTACTCAGGAGGCTGTGGCAGGAGAATCGTGTGAACCAGGGAGGTGGAGGTTGCAGTGAGCCAAGATTGCACCATTGCACTCCAGCCCGAGTGACAGTGCAAGATTCCATCTCAAAAAAAAAAAAAAAAAAAAAATCACAACCTGCTCCCAAGTCAGCACTGCCTAACCCCCTTTCTGGCCATAGTTTTCTCCGCAGCACCTAACAGCATCCAACAGCTTGCATATTTATATTTTCATCTATGTTCTGTCTCTGTCTACTGAAATATAAGCTCTCAGAGGTAGGGATTTGTGTCTGTTGTGTTCCATACCTTCCCTGAGGCCTAAATTGTGCCTGGCACATAGCGGATGCTCAATAATGCTCTGTTGATTTTATGAATGAATGAAAAACTGTCAGAGGAGGTGGAGAAGAGGATGGGCCTGAGTAAGAAGAGAGTGAAACCTGATCGGCTGGCTGTTGGGGGACAGGGGACATCAAGGCTTCCGTGGCCTGCAAGTCGCTGAACAGGGGAACACAGTCATTGGAAGCTCGGTCTCCGGCCTCCCAAGGCTGCCTGTCTTGTGACCAGCCCTGTGGGAGACTGGATCACAGAGGAGGCCAGTGTCCCAGCCAGCTGACTGTCCTCCACCTCCCAGGTGCACAAGGAGTACAGCAAGTGCCTGCGTCACTCCTACTGCTGCATCCGCTCCCCACCCGGGGGCACTCACGGATCCCTCAAGACCTCAGCCATGCGAAGCAACACCCGCTACTACACAGGGACCCAGGTATCGGGCCAGACAGGACTCCCTGGGGCTGAGTGTTGGAACCTGGAGCCTGAGAGGTGGGGAGTGGCTTGGCCTAGGTTTCTGATCGTGATGATCAGGTGAGCAGTCTCAGAAAGACGCCAGAGGGTGGGTGGCCCAAGGATCCCCTCACATTTGGGTTGTGTTCCCAGAGCCGAATTCGGAGGATGTGGAATGACACTGTGAGGAAACAGACGGAGTCCTCCTTCATGGCGGGTGACATCAACAGCACCCCCACCCTGAACCGAGGTGAGAAGGCATCCTTCTGCCTCTGGCTTCAGTCTCTGGAGGCTCCCGGCTGCCTTGTGACCTCTGATCCTTTGGCCAGGTACCATGGGGAACCACCTGCTGACCAACCCCGTGCTGCAGCCCCGTGGGGGCACCAGTCCCTACAACACCCTCATCGCCGAGTCAGTGGGCTTCAATCCCTCCTCGCCCCCTGTCTTCAACTCCCCAGGTGAGAGCACGGGGGAAACATCCCAGGTTGGGAAATGGAGGGTTTGTGTCCCAAGGGACCTCTGCATGGGATGTTCTGTGCCCCAGAACTGGAGCCTGGACTTGCATTTCGAGCTCATCCTTGCCTTTTCTCTTCTCTCTTCTGGCTGCCACCTGCAGGGAGCTACCGGGAACCCAGTAAGTGTGACTCTTCCCTGGGGATGTTTCTGAGGCTGGGAGAGGGACAGACAGTGGCCTTCTCAGACGGCCTCACTTAAGGAGGAGAACTCGGGATGCCTCCCCATGCCCACATTTCCCCACCCCCCGACACACAGCCTCTGGCAGCCGAATGGAGGATAATGGATGGTGTTCATTGAGTTTGGGCTGTTAAGTGCTGAGGGTCTGAGCACAGGAAAGCGATCCTGTTGCCCAGGCCTCCTCACACTGCTGAGATTCTGAACCTCCAGCTGGGGATGAGATCCTGGGGGAACTGGTCCTTGTCCCCCACCTTTCATCAATACGCTGCTGGGCTGGTGTGTCTAGTGCCAGTGAGGGAGAAAGGGAATGTGAGATCAGAGATCCAGGGGGCAGGGGGAAGCCTACGGAAAACCAGCAGGAATCAAGCCCACTTCTCCACATGGACCGCACCCCCTCACTGTCCCCTAGTGCATCCAGGGCCCCTCTTCAACCTGACCAGCCCCTTTCTGCCCTGCAGAGCACCCCTTGGGAGGCCGGGAAGCCTGTGGCATGGACACCCTGCCCCTGAACGGCAACTTCAATAACAGTTACTCCTTGCGAAGTGGGGATTTCCCTCCCGGGGATGGGGGCCCTGAGCCGCCCCGAGGCCGGAACCTAGCCGATGCGGCGGCCTTTGAGAAGATGATCATCTCAGAGCTGGTGCACAACAACCTGCGGGGGAGCAGCAGCGCGGCCAAGGGCCCTCCACCGCCTGAGCCCCCTGTGCCACCTGTGCCAGGGGGCGGGGGCGAGGAAGAGGCGGGCGGGCCCGGGGGTGCTGACCGGGCCGAGATTGAACTTCTCTATAAGGCCCTGGAGGAGCCTCTGCTGCTGCCCCGGGCCCAGTCGGTGCTGTACCAGAGCGATCTGGACGAGTCGGAGAGCTGCACGGCCGAGGACGGCGCCACCAGCCGGCCCCTCTCCTCCCCTCCTGGCCGGGACTCCCTCTATGCCAGCGGGGCCAACCTGCGGGACTCACCCTCCTACCCGGACAGCAGCCCTGAGGGGCCCAGTGAGGCCCTGCCCCCACCCCCTCCCGCACCCCCCGGCCCCCCCGAAATCTACTACACCTCGCGCCCGCCAGCCCTGGTGGCCCGGAATCCCCTGCAGGGCTACTACCAGGTGCGGCGTCCTAGCCACGAGGGCTACCTGGCAGCCCCAGGCCTTGAGGGGCCAGGGCCCGATGGGGACGGGCAGATGCAGCTGGTCACCAGTCTCTGAGGGCACCTCATGGACCAGGGGCTGGTGGCCCAGGCCAGGGAGGGAACCCTGGGCAGGGCTCTGGTGGGAGAGGGAGACAGATGGAGGCAGTGGCTGGTGGGCCACTCTCTCCAGGTGCCCCTCAGCCATGGGCCCTACAGTCCCCTCAGGGGACTCTAACCTGGGGGCCTGAGGTGCCAGGGTTCACAGACAGGGTTTCCCACCAGCCACACGCACCAGCTCTATTTGGGGGAAGTGTAGTGAGGAGGAGCCCAGAGGACCCCAGGGGAGTGAGGAGGGAGAACTTGGAAGGGTGCAGCCCACTTCCAGACTCTCCCCTCTCCCACCCTTCTACCCTGTGAAGGGAAATGAGGGCTTTAGTTTCCTGGGCAGGGAGGGGCAGCTTCTGAGGTTGCCAAAGGCCCCCACTGGATGGAACCTGTTAGCTGCTCCTCTCCGCAGCCAGAAATGCTGCCGGCTGCACCCAGAGGGAGCAGTGAGGCAGGACAGATGGACAGGTTCCTCCTGCGCTGTAATTCCCTGCTCCCTGGAGACTGGGAAAAGGCCGCAGGGCAGGGGGACTGGGCGGTGGTGGCTGGTGGTTTAAAGGTTGAACTTTCTCTGAAGCTCCTTTCCCCTTGCTCTTGGTCCCTGCCCCGCAAGCAAACCTGCCCCCTCTGCCTCCCAGTGCACCCAATGACCCCCTCCCTTGGGGCGACTCCTGATGAAGCACAACTCCCCGCAGGGCCCCCAGCCCACAGGGGTGGCCATATTTGGGCAGTTCCCAGTCCTGTGGGCTCGGCTATCTGGGGAGCAGATTTTGGGTCTGGATCTCCCTGGGGAGTGGGTCCTGGGCTTGGATCTTTCCCTAGGGGGCCCTCTTACTCCTTCCTCTCTCCTCCTCCTTCCCCATTGCTGTAAATATTTCAACGAAATGGAAAAGAAAAAAAAAAGACAAAAAAAAAAAAAAAGAAAAGAAAAAAAATCTCATCACTTGAAGCCACCGGGAGCCTGCGGCCCGGGCCAGCCCGGGCTTTCTCCGGAGCAGAGCAGCGCTGCTGGCCTGGCAGCCAGGACTTCTCCGTGTACGTGCATCCCCAGTCCCCGCCGGGGCGGGCGGGCCGCCAGAGCAGCTTTTTACAATCCAGAGACAGAAAACAAAATCTAGATGCAACAGCGAAACAAAGAACCCATTTCCTTCCTGGCACCCTCCTTTCCTGCTCCGCCTGCCCGGCATCATCAGCCCTTCTGGGGCGTGTACCTCTCACTGCCTGCCCCAGGACCAGAGGCCTGTCTCCCCCTTCCCTCCCCACCGGCCCGGGGGAGACCTCTTCACACCCAAAGATGCTTTGTCAAGATGGCTGCGCTGTCCCTTTGAGTTCCTGCTTCTTGTATATTGCTCTGGGGACTCTCGCCGGGGAAGATGGGGCTGATTTCCCACCTAGAGAGGTTGATGGCAGAAGGAAAATGGGGAGGCACTGGGGTTGTGGAGGGCATGGGTATGGCTGAGGAGGGTGCTGGGAACGGCAAGGCGGTCTGGGGGATGGGGAGGGGCAAAGGTGAGAGATCACCTTCCCTATCCTCCACCTTCCCGCAGGGAAGACGAAGCCAGGTGCCAGGGCTGGGGTCGGGACACCCATGTTCTGGGCGGCTTGACCCCAAATCCCAGACCCCGGAAGCTCCAGGCTCGGGATGTGTCCTGAGCACCTGTCCCGGCCCCCTCCTCTCCAGCCTGTCAGGCCAGCCTCCCCAGCCCCCTTCCCTCAACTCTAGGGGCAGCATAGCCCCAGGCCACCCTAGCCCAGCCCCTGCATTGCCGTTTCCCCAGAGGTGGCCCCTCCACCTCTGCTCTGACCTCTCCCCATCTCTCTGCCCCTCCTTTTCTCACAAGTGCCATGAGTTTTCAAACATCTTCGGGTCTCAGCCTGCTGCTGCCATGAACTTTGTTGGGTTAAGGGGGAGGGGCTCTAGGAAGGAACTGGGGGGAAGGGGACAGGTAGGTGGCTGGAGGGACCCTTTTTGCTGCTAGAAAGCCCCTCCCTTCTCCCGGGGAGCTGGGGCTGGCTTGTCCCCATCAATTAGGGGAGAAGGGGTCAGACCAAAGATGGTGGTTTGTCCCGTGTAAGGGAACAGGTGTGGGGAAGAGGTGGGGTTGGGTTCCAACTCTGGCTTTTTCTGGTAGAAAGGCCTAACCCATTACACCAGAAGACCATGGGTGAAGTCTAGATGGGGAGGAGAAGTGAGGCCAGGGACAGTCTTGCCAGACGACTCTGAGGAGGGCAAGGGACAGTTCCATGGCCCTTCCCGGACTGCACTAGGCTGGGAGCTCTGTTGTGTGGAGGGGTGGTCAGAGGTCTGTGAAGAGCGGGCAGGAGGCATGAGCAGGCGAGGAGCTGGCCTGTCCCGGGAAGCAGCCCAGCCTGTGGCTGCCCCCGACACCAGGAGGAGGGCCAGGAGAGTTCCAGGGGGCTGAGGCACACAGAGAGGCCAACTTCCTCCCTGCCCAGCCTTCCTTGTATCTCTCCAGACTCGGACAATCAAAGGGAGAGAGGGTGTATCGGGTCCTGTTCCAGCCGGCATCGCCGGGTGGCTTCCAGGCCTCAGAGCTGTGTGGCAGGGCCCCCTGCTGGGGCTGGACATCACTGCAGTCCAGTGCAAAGCCGCCCCCAGAGCCCAGGTGTCCCCCCAACCTAACCAGACCTGGTGCCTTGACGCCCCCACCCCAGCTGGGACGGTACAGAGAAGGGTCTTGGTTTCCTCTCCTACTCCCTTCCTTAGGCTCCTGAACTCGTTTGCTCCTAAATCTTGTTAATTCTTTTTCTCTGGATTTTGGTTTCTTTTGGCTTTCCCTTGCCTTCCCCTTTCTCTGTCTCCAACACTCTTTCCCCATGTCTTTCTGGCTGTCTCTATGTTCCTCTTCTCTTATCCTCAACTTTCTGTCCATTCGGGCCTCCTCCCCACCTCCCACGCCCCAGCCCCTCCCTCCTTGGTCTCCTTTTCGATATGCCAAACCAATTTTGGGTCGAGTGCATTTAACGAGAACAAAACAAAAGGCTCATAACAACAAGAACGTTTCAGAAAAAAACAAAAAGTTTTAAAAAAATTGTTGAGTCAAAAAGTCAAACAATAAAGAAATTAAGATTTCTTGGAATGACAAGAGTGGTGTGACTTCTTGAGTGGGGGAGTAAGAAATGGGTGAATAGCTGGGCGCGGTGGCTCAGGCCTGTAATCCCAGCATTTTGGGAGGCCGAGGTGGGTGGATCACTTGAGGCCAGGAGTTTGAGACTAGCCTAGTCAACATGGTGAAACCCCATCTCTACTAAAAAGACAAAATTAGCTGGGCGTGGTGGCAAGCACCTGTGGTCCCAGCTACTTGGGAGGCTAAGGCAGGAGAATTGCTTGAACCCGGCTGGGAGGCAGAGGTTGCAGTAAGCCAAGATCGTACCACTGCACTCCAGCCTGGGCTATAGAGTGAAATTCTGTCTCAAAAAAGAAAGAAAGAAATGGTTGAGCAGATCTGCACAGGGGCGTCCCCATGGGCTCTGGTCTGCACTCGAGCATTCAGAACCCCTGGCAGAGGCTTGACAGTTATAGAATCATTCACGTTTATGAGACCTTGGTAAGTTCCTGGGCCTGGTGGAGCATTTCATGTGCAGTTTCTCTGAATCCTCACAAAATCCTCCCAGATGGAGACAGCGATTAGAGTTCCATTTTACAGATGGGGAAACTGAGGCTTACAGCCCTCAGATGCATGCCCAAGTCTCTCTGACCAGGCCACTGTTCCATGCTGTCTCACAGAAGCCCTTCTTGGCCCAGACGTCTGTCCCCAGGCTGTACTAGAGCAGAGCTCAGGAATTTTACACTGTGATGTCTCATTACAATTGCCATTCCTACACTCCCACACGCTACTGGCAGGGAGTGCTTTCAAACTTGACACACGGTGGAATTGCATCATGTGTATTTCACGTTGTCAGTTCACCAACGAACTGCCCATGCTCAGAGAGAGGCATAACTACTCAAACTACAAGGATCCTTTTCCGGGCCCCTCTGCCTTAAAAAGATACCTGTGTCTAGGACACCACCCACCTCCCCACAACAGCCACTCCTTCCCAGTCTTCATGGCTGGCTCCTTCTCATCTGACCTCCTAATGATGGGGAACCCAGGGGCTCAGTCCTTAGACCTTTTCTCTCACTCCCTGGAAGGTTTCACCCCATCTCATGGTTTGAAATGCCTCCGGGTGGGTGCAGTGGCTCATGCCTGTAATCCCAACACTTTGGGAGGCCGAGGCAGGCAGATCACGAGGTCAGGAGTTCGAGACCAGCCTGGCCAACAAGGTGAAATCCCGTCTCTACTAAAAACACAAAAATTAGCTGGGTGTGGTGGCGAGCGCCTGTAGTCCCAGCTGCTCAGGAGGCTGAGGCAGGAGAATCGCTGGAACCCAGGAGGCGGAGGTTGCAGTGAGCTGAGATCGCACCACTGCACTCCAGCCTGGGCGACTGAGACTCCATCAGAAGAAAGAAAAGAAAGAGAAGAGAAAGGAAAAGAGAAACGGAGAAAGAAAGAGAAAGGAAGGAAAGAAGAAAAAGAAAAGAAAGAAAAGGAAAGAAAGAGAAAGAGAGAGAGAGAGAGAAAGAAACGCTACCTATACACTGATCACCCCCAAACGTAGCTCTCCAGCCTGAACTCCTACCTGAGCTCCAGATTTACATATATTCACCTACCTACCCCATCTCTCTGCCTGGTATCTGGTAGGATCTCAAACTAACCTGTCCTAAACTGAGACCCTGGCCTCTCCCACCCCCATCTCTACCACTGCCACCACTGTAGTTCTTCCCACGTGAGGCTTTGAGGCTTCCTCACCTCAACTAAAAGTGAGTCCATCCATACCTTGATTCAAGCTAAAGACCTTGGAGCTTCTCTTGAACTCATCTTGTTTGATACCCCACATCTAATTTGACAGTAAATGCAATGGTGGCTCTAACTTCTAAATATCCAGAATTAATTAGTTCTCACCCATCTTTCACCAGAGCCACTACAACAGTCCCCTAAATATTATAGCTCGTTTGTCCCTCTTCAGGTTTTTCTCAACACAGAAACCAGAGTGATCTTGGTAAACAGATTTTGTCCCTCCTCAGCTCAAAACTCTCCAATGCTCTCCTATCTCACCCAAAGCACAGGTAAAGGTCAACACAATGGCCTACAGGCCCTCCAACCTCACCCCCTGGCGTCCTCCCTACCTTCCGTCCACTCGCTGGACTCAAACATGCAGGCACCCTCTTGCCTGCCTCAGGGCTTTTGCACCGGCTGTTCTCGCTGCTGGCTTGGGCCCCCTCCCCCATCCCCATATCCACAGAGTTGACTTCCTCTCCTGCAGAGTTTATGAAAATGAAATCCTATTTCCCAGAAGGCCTTCCCAAGCCACTCCAGAACTTCCTAGTCTGTGCCTTGCTCTGTCTTCATAGTACTACTGGCTAGCAATTACGTTTTGCTTATCTGTTTATTATCTGCCTCTTGGCTAGAATGTAAGATCTGAAAATGCAAGGGTTCTTGATCTGAGCCTAGCATAGCATCTGGCACACAGGCGATATGTAAATTTCTGTTAAAGAATGGGAGCTGAATTCAGCACAAGACCCAAAGTGAGCACAAGATGAGAGTGAAGGGCGATGGAAGCTCTTCAATAAGGATAAAGAAATATATTAAAAAGAAAAAAAAGAATGATAGAAACTGTGAATCTACCATTCCCTCAGCGGGTTCAGTTTCACCGTGTGATGCTAAGGTTTTAATTCAGCGTGGCTCCAAAAACCTAAGATCAGTATTTCCTCTGGTGCCCAGCTGAAGAAGAGGTAATCTGTTCTCACACTGGAGGATGAAATGAATCTACTAGACTTTCTGAGAGATGCACTGTGGGCAAGCATGGGGACTTTTAAGAGTAGATAATTGTAGCCAGGCACAGTGGCTCATGCCTGTATTCCCAACACTTTGGGAGGCCGAGGTGGGCAGATCGCTTGAGGCCAGGAGTTCGAGACCAGCCTGGCCAACATGGCAAAACTCTACTAAAACTACAAAAATTAGCTGAACGTGGTGGTGCACGCCTGTAATCCCAGTTATTCAAGAGGCTGAGGCAGGAGAATTGCTTGAACCCCAAAAGGCAGAGGTTGCAGTGAACCAAGATCACACTCCACTCCAGCCTGGGTGACAGAGCAACACCACGTCTCAAAAAAAAAAAAAAAAAAAAAAGAGTAGATAATTTTAACTATATGTGATTTGACCTCATGCTCTGATTTGAAATCGAATCCCGCATACAATGAGAGCCAAATATGACCAGTCCTTCTGTGTCTTTTACTCTCCCCTTCACTACACACAACCTAAACCCACTGTGCCTGACTGGACGCGGTGGCTCACGCCTGTAATCCCAACACTTTGGAGGCCAAGGCGGGCGGATCACCTGAGGTCAGGAATTCAAAACCAGCCTGGCCAACATGGCAAAACCCCGTCTCTACTAAAAAAAAAAAAAGAAAAAAAAATTAGCCAGTTGTGGTGGTGGGCGCCTGTAGTCCCAGGTACTCGGGACTGGGAGGCAGAGGTTGCAGTGAGCCGAGGTCACGCCACTGCACTCCAGCCTGGCGACAGAGTGAGACTCTGTCTCAAAAATAAAAATAAACCTGCTGTGCCTGACAACCTCTGACCCTCAGGTAGTTGTTAGTGGCACCCATTCATCTGCATGTGCCTAGGGACGGTACATTTATGCTGAAATGTATCATTTCAAAGCTCTTTCCTACATTTTGTCTCATTTAATTCTCAGAATATATGTTTTGTTTGTTTATTTTTGAGACAGAGTCTCACTCTGTTGCCCAGACTGGAGTGCAGTGGTGCAATCTCAGCTCACTGCAACCTCAGCCTCCCGGGTTCAAGAGATTCTCCTGCCTCAGCCTCCTGAATAGCTGGAATTACAGGCACCCGCCGCCAACCCCGGCAACTTTTTGTATTTTTAGAAGAGATAGGGTTTAGCCATGTTGGCCAGGTTGGTGTCAAACTCCTGACCTCAGGTGACCCGCCCGCCTCGGCCTCCCAAAGTGCTGGGACTACAGGCATGAGAGACTGGTCCAAAAAGCTATTCGGGAGGCTGAGGCAGGAGAATTGCTTGAACCCGGGAGGCGGAGGTTGCAGTGAGCCAAGTTCACACCATTGCACTTCACCCTGGGCGACAAAGCAAGACTTTGTCTCAAATAATAATAATAATAATAATAATTTTTAAAAATGCTGAACATCAAAACATTATAAAAATTAAAAGATGTCTGGGTGCGGTGGCTCATACATGTAATCCCAGCACTTTGGGAAGCTGAGGCGGGCAGATCACCTAAGGTCAGGAGTTCGATACCAGCCTGGCTAACATGGTGAAACCCCATCTATACTAAAAATACAAAAATTAGCCAGGCGTGGTGGTGCACACCTGTAATCCCAGCTACTCAGAAGGCTGAGACAAGAGAATCGCTTGAACCCGGGAGGCGGCGCTTGAACCCGGGAGGCCGAGATCGTGCCATTGAACTCTAGCTTGGGCAACAAGAGCGAAACTCTGTCTCAAAAATAAAAATAAAAATAAAAGATAAGGACACTGAGCAACAGGAACACTAACGAGGGGAGTGAGAACCAGTACCATGATTCCGAAGAGCAGATTAGCAGTATCTTGAAAAGATGAATACTTCCGCAACCCCCCGTCCAGCACTTCAACTCCTAGGTTTATCTCCCAGAGTAACTCCTACATGTGTTCAAGGAGACATAGATACCAACGCATACTGCAGCACTGTTTGTAATGGTAGAAAACTGAAAACACCCTAAATTTCAACCAAGTGAATTGATAAACACTGTCCAACAAAACTCTCTGTTCTCATGGAAATGTTTCCTCTCTATGTTCTCTATACACCATGGTGGCCACTAGCCACAGGCTCCTGCTGAACATGTGAAATGTGACTAGTGTGTCTGGGGAAGTAGATTATTTGTTTCGTCTAATTTTAATCTAAATAGCCACATGTGGCTAGTGGTTACCTTATCAGCACAGCTGTATAGCAGTGAAAATAAGTGAATTAGAGCTATACACGTTTCCACATAGATAAATCTCAAAAGCATTACACTGGATTAAAAAAAGCAAGTTTCAGAAGGCAGGACCCAGTGCCACCTTAGTGCCAGCTCTGTCAGGATACACCCAGTATGATCCTGCTATCAGAGGTCCCCAAGACCACCCTGAGGTTCAATGACTCACTAAGAGGAGTCACAGGATTTTGCTTGGAAGCGTAGGCATGGCTGTGATTTATGATAGTGAAGAGACACAAGGCACAATCAGCAAAGGGAAAAGATGCAGGAGCTGAAGTCCAGAGGAAACCAGGACAAGCTTCTAAGAGTCCTCTCCTAGTGGAGTCACACAGGACTCCATCAATTCCTACCGCCAAGTATGACAGCACGACGGATAGGCGGTCTACCAGGGAAGCTCATTACTCAGTGACCAGAGTTGTACTTGGGGGTGGTCGTGTACCAAAATGCCAGACTCCAGAAGGAGAGCAGGTGTTCAACATGAACCACATTGTTGGTGGAAACAGTTTAGGCACTCATCATTTGGGGAACGGCAGGAACCCTCCTGAAATCCAAGTTCCTAGATATCAGCCAAGGGCCAATCTTGCAAACAGGTCTTTCTAAGGATAGCAGTCTCAGGCCTGCTAGGTTAACTCTAAATTGCGCAGACACCATTTATATAAAAGTATAGAACATGACAAACAATACTATATATTGTTTAAAGATACACGCCGATATGCACAGAAGACTGTAAACACCAAATTCAGGGTTGTGGTTACATGTGAGGAAAAAGGAAGAGGAATGGGTTTGATGTAGGGGTATAGGGCCCTTCAGTTGCATCTCTAATGTTTTAGCTGTTAAGCTGGGTAACAGTATTTTGCTATAGCACTTCTTATACTTTCTCGAGCATGTGTGCACCTGAAGTATTAAACAAGAATGAAGACGTATCTGCTTATTACTATATGCTACTAACAGTTCAGTCTTTTGTTTGTTTTTAGACAGGGTCTCACTCTGTTGCCTAGCTAAGCTGGAGTGCAGTGGTGAGATCTTGGTTCACTGCAACCTCTGCCCCCAGGGCTCAAGCAATCCTCTCACCTCAGCCTCCTGAGTAGCTGGGACCACAGGCACATGCCACCACACCCGGCTAATTTTTTTATGTTTTGTAGAGACAGGGTTTTGCCCAGGCTGGTCTCGAACTCCTGAGGTCAAGCAATCTACCCGCCTCAGCCTCCCAAAGTGCTGGGATTACAGGCGTGAGCCACTGCACCTGGCTGGTTCATGTTTATTGAGTACTTTTCACATTCCAGGTACTATGCTAAACCCACCCTTTACATAGATTTATTCTTTTTTTTTTTGAGACGGAGTCTTCCTCTGTCACCAGACTGGAGTGCAGTGGTGCAATCTAGGCTCACTGCAACCTCCACCTCCCAGGTTCAAGCAATTCCCCTGCCTCAGCCTCCCAAGTAGCTAGGACTACAGGTACGCACCACCACGGCTGGCTAATTTTTTGTATTTTAGTAGAGACAGGTTTTAATCATGTTTGCCATGATGGTCTCGATCTCCTGACCTGGTAATCCGCCCACCTCGGCCTCCCAGAGTGTGTGACTCACTGCGCCCAGCCAGATTTATTCTTTTTGAAAAATTGATTGAGGACTTTCTATGAGCCACGTCCTCTGCTAAGCTCTGGAAGTACAACATTGAGAGGTGTGAGCTAGGCGAGATCTCTTCTCACAACCAGCTTTCAATCTACTGAGGGATGATGAGATAATAAGCACAATTTAAAACCAAAATAAGTAGAAATTCTTTTTTTCTTTTTAAGATGGAATCTCTCTCAGTTGCCCAGGCTTGAGTGCAGTGGCGTGATCTCGGCTCATTGCAGCCTCTGCCTCCCCGGTTCAAGCAATTCTTCTGCCTCCTGAGCAGCTGGGACTACAGGCACGTGCCACCACGCCCAGCTAATTTATTTATTTATTTATTTATTTATTTTGTATTTTTTTTTTTTAGTAGAAACGGGGTCTTGCCATGTTGGCCAGGCTGGTCTCGAACTCCTGACCTCAAGTGACCGGCCCGCCTTGGCCTCCTAAAGTGCTGGGATTATAGGTGTGAGCCACCATGCCCACCCGAAAATAAGTACAAATTCTGATATGCGTTACTAAGATCATAAAACTGAGTGATGTGATTAAGAAAAAGCTACTTTATTTATTTATTTATTTTTTTTGACACGGAGTCTTGCTCTGTCACCCAGGCTGGATTGCAGAGGCACGATCTCAGCTCACTGCAACCCTCACCTCTCAGATTCAAGCGATTCACCTGCCTCAGCCTCCCAAGTAGCTGGGACTACAGGCGCCCGCCACCACGCCCGGCTAATTTTTTGTATTTTTAGTAGAGATGCGGTTTCACCATGTTAGCCAGGATGGTCTCGATCTCCTGACCTCGTGATCCGCCTGCCTTGGCCTCCCAAAGTGCTGGGATTACAGGCATGAGCCACCGCGCCCGGCCAAGAAAGTGCTACTTTAAATAGGGTACTCTGGGAAGTCTTCTTTCAGAGGACATTTGAGCTGAACCACAAGCGAAGAGAAAGAGACAGCCATGCAATTATCTGGAGGAAGCACATTCCAGGCAGAGGGAACGGCAAGTGCAAAGCCCTGCGGCAGAAATAAGCTGGGTGTGTTGAAAGAAGGGAAATAAAGCCAGCTGGGCTTGAGAGCGGTGACAAGAGGAAGAATGGTAGATGAGGCCTGAGAGGTCAGCTGAGGCCACCACGCAGGGCCGCCTAAGCCATAGGAAAGATCTTAGGTTTCATTCTAAGTAGGATAAGCCTCTGAAGGTTTTAAGCAGAGTAATGACATGATCTGGTTTACAAGTGAAGATCATTCAGCCAGCTGTAAGGAGAATGCATCATAGACAGGGCCACATTCTTCATTAGCGCCACGGAAATAATGCTGGTGGATCATGAGCTTCTCAGGGGCTACGAAAAGGTCAGGGACAGGGATAAAGGGAAAAAAGTTCCACAATGCAAAGAGAAAACTACAAAGTTGGAATGAATAAATGTTTAATTAAGCATCTAGAAATGTGACATCATGACAACTGCATTAATCATTAAATTTAGTATTCATAAGCAATCGAATTACATTTGGAAATTAGATTTTCTCAAATCACAAATATCCCTAAGTATGCAATGATTGCCAAGAAATCAAGCGAATCATAAATGTGAGTTTCCTTGAAGCCAAATAATTTCAAAAGAATAAAAACAAAGCTTTCGATTTTTTAACAGCTAAAAAGAATTTTTCTTAACTTAATGTGAGATGTAGATACCAAAAATGGGCTAGGCGCTGTAATCCCAGCACTTAAGGACAAGATAGGTGGACTGCTTGAGGCCAGGAGTTTCAAGACCAGCCTGGGCAACAGCGAGACCCTGTCTCTACAAAAAATTTAAAAAGTATAAGAGGCAGGGCACGGTGGCTCATGCCTGTAATCTCAGCACTTTGGGCGGCCGAGGTGAGTGGATCACCTGAGGTCAGGAGTTTGAGACCAGCCTGGCCAACATAGTGAAACCCCATCTTTACTAAAAATACAAAAATTAGCTGGGTAAGGTAGCGTGTGCCTGTAGTCCCAGCTACTCGGGAGGCTGAGGTGGGAGAATCGCTTGAAGCTGGAAGCAGGAGGTTGCAGTGAGCTGAGATTGCGCCACTGCATTCCAGCCTGAGTGACAGAGCAAGACTCCCTCTCAAAAAAAAAATAAAATAAAATAAAACAAATTAGGCATGGTGGCACGCACTGGTGATCCCAGCCACTCGGGAGGCTGAGGTGGGAGGATCACTTGAGCCCAAGAGTTCCAGGTTATAGTGAGCCACGATTATGCCACTTGCACTCCAGCCTGGGCAACAGACCTCTATTAAAAAAAAAAAATCCCACAGGAACTGGATTGTTTAAAAAGAAAAGGAAAAGGAAAACATACTAGCACAGTGAGTGAGTCCTAGTGAGCCCACAGAGGTGACTGGGTAAGAAATACTAGTGCCTTGGCTCAGTGCTGTTCAGGCGTACGGCCTGTGAGTTTGAACACTGTCCAGAGCACCCTTAGAAAGGCCTCTCTGGGGAGAGGACATTTGAACAGAGACTTGAATGACAAGAAGGCATAAGCCATGCCAAGAGCCTAGGAGAAGAGGTTCTGGGCAGAGGCTTTGCACTGGGAGTGGCTTGTCAGAATTTTAACAAAAAGAGGGTTACTTAGCCTGGTTTGAAGTTGGAGCTGGGTGGTTAACAGGAGACAAAGCATAGAGTTTCAAAGACAATGCTCTCATCCGGAGAAGTGACCTGGTCAAATGTGTTTCTGACCTTCGCTGTCCAGTAATACAGGAGCCACTTGTCACACGGGCTCAGGAGCACTCAACTGCGGCTATCAAGACAGCTAAACTGAACTTTCTTTTTTAAAATTTAATTTTAATTTTTAGAGACAGGGTCTCACTCTGACACTCAGGCTGGAGTGCAGTGGCTGGAGCATTCTGGGCTCAAGAGATCCTCCTGCCTCAGCTTCAGGAGTAGCAGACACTACAGGTATGCACTACCACACCTGGCTTATTCTTTTATTTTTTGTAGATATGAGGTCTTGTTATGTTGCCCAGGCTGATCTTGAACTCCTGGCCTCAAGAAATCCTCCATGACCAGCCTCTAAAATTACAAATAATAATAAAAAAAGATATGGCCGGGCACAGTGGCTCACGCCTGTAATCCCAGCACTCTGGAAGGCCGAGGCGGGCGGATCACTTGAGGTCAGGAGTTCGAGACCAGCCTGGCCAACATGGTGAAACCCCGTCTCTACTGAAAATACAGAAAAAAAATTAGCTGGTTGTGGTGGTGGGCACCTGTAATCCCAGCTACTCAGGAGGCTGAGGCAGGAGAATCGCTTGAACCCGGGAGGTAGAGGTTGCAGTGAGCCGAGATCGCGCCATTGCACTCCAGCCTGAGTGACAGCGCGAGATTCCATCTCAAAAAAAAAAAAGTGGCTTCCAAAAAATGTTAATTTTACACCTAATTTTGGTGCGCGGCTGGCATTATTTTTCCACTGGGCAGCACTGATCGCCCGTGGGGGCAGAGACTCTGAGACCTGGAGTCTCCCAGGCCGGGGGCGACGGCCCAGACGGGAGGCGGTGGAGAGAAGTTTCCGGATGTATTATGTGGTCATGAATCATGTCAGGGAATTGCCACGGCCCCCGTTGAATGGGGAGGCGCTGCCTCGGGCGCTGAGTAGCAGAGCCCGGACTCTGAACACTGGTCTGCCCCCGAACTGGAACTCCCATTTTCAGTACCGTCCGCTTGAAACCTCCCAAGAGCCCTCAAGGGGGCGAGAGAGGGATCCAAACCCCTCGGGGGCGAGAGCGGGATCCGAACCCCTCGGGGGCGAGAGCGGGATCCGAACCCCTCGGGGGCGAGAGCGGGATCCGAACCCCTCGGGGGCGAAAGCGGGATCCGAACCCGGCCGGATTCCCGAGGTCTGAGCGCGCCTCGTGACCGCCACTCCGAACGTTCGCAACGTTCACAACGGACTCCCGCGCCGCTGGACCTCAAGGGTCAGGAGCCACTCAGAAAAGCTCCAGGAAACGCTCACCTGTTGACAGACGCTGAGGCCGCAAACGCTCCTCCTCTCTCTTCACACTCGCCAACACCGCGGTGGCGCTCGACTTCCGCTTCTCTCCAGCGAATCCCCAGCTGAGCCTCCTTCTGCTCCCGCCACCATTACCAATCCAGCCAATAAACTCTCAGAAAACCCTCTTTATCTCCGCCCCACTCCCTCCTGCCAATCACTTCGGGTGCGAGCACCGCCCTTCCCGCCTTCTTTAGCGAGCGCCGCGCGCCACCGCTCGGCGGGTGGCGGCGCTGCGCGCTGCGGGATGCATCTCCCGGAAAAGCGAGGCGAGGGGCGGGCCACGCCGGTGCGGGAACCCTCAGGATTGGCCAGAAGGAGGCCGGCGCTGTGACTCCGTCCATTCCCGCCGTTGACATCCAAGTCGGAGACGCTGGGGATTGGTTTCCAGCGGACACGCTAAGAAGCTTGGAGATAGTTTCGCCCTCCTCACACGCTGCGGAGAGGGAGCTCCGCTGATTGGTCCGAGGAGTCTGGGCGCGCGCCGATCGGCGCTCCAGGACTGGCTGAGGGGGTGCGCGCGCCGCCAGGGAGCGTTGGCGGTGATTGGCCAGAGGGCGGAGGCCGGCTATTTGAAGGCGGCGCGCGGACTAGGTGCGCACTTCAGTTCTCGGAGAGAAGAGGCGGGAGTGGACCTGGTCAGCCCTACCCCACTGACCCCACCGGACCCAGGCGCGGCCTCCGCCACAGCCACAGCCCCTGCCCCTGCTGCGGCGCGGCGAGGCGAGGCGATGGCCAAGGTGTCGGTGCTGAACGTGGCGGTCCTGGAGAACCCGAGCCCTTTCCACAGCCCCTTCCGGTTCGAGATCAGCTTCGAGTGCAGTGAAGCCCTGGCGGACGGTGAGGCTGGGCCTGTGCGGGGACCCCCACCCCCGGGCCGACCCCGGCCTCCCCTCAGAGAACCGCTCCCATGGCCAACTTGATCTCCCCCATGAAACCCCTCGTCCCCCTTCCGCCAACCCCGATCTCCCCCAGCCCGCCAGTCAACCGGATCTCCCGGTGGAGACCCCCCGCCACCAGCCAACACGGACCTCCCCGTGACCTCCTCCCCCACTGCCCGCCTTGACCTCCCGGGTGGAGACCCCCCGCCAGCTAACTCGGACCTCCCAGTGGCCTCTTCCCCCACTGCCCGCCCCGACCTCCCCATAGAGATTAACCCCCTCCAAGCCCCATTTCCCGCGTGGGGAACCTCATCCATCTTTTTTCTCTGGAGCTCTTCCTAGGTACCCGTTTTCATGGGGAGACCTTCTCGGCCTCCATTTCTTAACCCACGGAGATCTTCAGCCACCGTGGTTTCCCTGTGGCAAGACCCCCGCTTCAACCACCCACCCATTTTTGCCCACTTATTCCCTCTTTCCTGTAGTGAGATACTCACACCTCCCATTTTCCCTCTGGAGACCCCCAATATCCAGCCCCTTCCCATTTTCCCCGGGGGAAATCCCAGCCATCTCCTATTTTCCCTATGGAGACCTCTCACCCAAGCTCCTCTCTCCTTGCCGTGAAGACCCTCCCCTCCAGTAACCTTTTTTTCCTGTGAAAACCCCTCAACCCCTTTTCAGGACCTCTCTCAACCCCATCTTCCCATTTGTGTCCCACCAGTCCCCTCCCCAACCTGCCAATATTTCAATAACCCCACGCCCACCAGTTGCTGCCGCTTTTCTGCCCCAATGCACATACCCTGGAACCTGGTTTCTCTCCTTCGTTGGGGCCCAACCCCCCTATGCTTGAGCTCTCCCTGGGAAAGGATGCTACCGTCTTTGAGGGGAACTTTGTCTCCCCAGCTCCCCTTCCCCACCTTTCTCTGTGGGCTTGGATAAACACACTGAGATCCGAGGGGTGGCATAGCCAGGCAGGCATTAGCTAGTTCTCCAGGTTTGCCCACCCGTTTCCAGCTGAGTTACTGCAGCAATTTTTCTGTCACTTTTTCTTTCTTCTTCTTCCTCTTCTTTTTTTTTTTTTTTTTTTTGAGACAGTCTCACTCTGTTGCCCAGGCTGGAGTGCAATGGCACGATCTCGGCTCACTGCAACCTCCACCTCCCGAGTTCAAGCGATTCTTCTGCCTCAGCCTCCCGAGTAGCTGGGACTACAGGCGCCTGTCACCACGCCCAGCTAATTTTAGTATTTTTAGTGGAGGCAGCGTTTCACCATGTTAGCCAGGTTGGTCTCGAACTCCTGACCTCAAGTGATCCACCCGCCTTGGCCTCCCAAAGTGCTGGGATTACAGGCGTGAGCCACCGTGCCCCGTCTTCTTCTTTTTTTTTTTTAATATAGCTGGATAATCAGTGCCAAGCTCCCGTTGCTTTTGATGGTCTGACCTAGTCTGGGGGGTGGGTGGATTGGGCTGAGCTGTGACGGGCTCCAGCTTCAAACAGTCGGCTGGAGCTTGGAGGTCACAGCCTCCTGTACATCTTTTCCAAGGTGCTTCCGTAGATGTACTTATTAATCTGTGTGACTTAAAGGTGGGCATGGCTCTCATCTCACAGATGAGAAGACAGGAGCCACAAAACGCAAAAGACCTTTCAAGTCAAGGCCTGTACAAATCCAAAATCTAAGGTCACCTAGGGAGCCTTGGCACCACTAACAGGCAAGTCCTGCTTTCAGGAAGAAGTACTCCATTAGGCCATTTTTCTACTTGGTGGTTGAAAGAGAAAAGGCAGCAGCCGAGGAGGTGGTGATCTGGGGGCCTGTGAAGCCAGGATATGCTAACTAGTGCCTCTCGGGGGCAGGTAGGTGTTTTGCCCTCAAAGCTGGTCGCCTGGACTAGCTTGGAGCTGATAGAGTGAGATGTGGATGTGCTTTGGGTAGGCCAGTGGGTCTGTCTCTCCCCGGTCTCTCTCGCTCCTTTTTAAATTAAGGAGTCTACTTGTGGCTAACTATAGAATATGCCGAGTTAAATCCTTTCTGGAACAAGGCAGCGGGTAAATAAATAAATAAAGTGTAGAATGACGCTGTGGAATAAGATTTAATTTAAAAGCCAGGAGGAGATGGAAGGAAGTAATAGGTTGAGGGATTCCCAGCTCCCCGACGGCAGGAGATCAGGTTTCAATCAGCCTGTTTGTGTTCCTTGCATTTAAAAATGGTTGTGGCCGAGCGCGGTGGCTCACGCCTGTAATCCCAGCACTTTGGGAGGCCGAGGCGGGCGGATCACGAGGTCAGGAGATCGAGACCATCCTGGCTAACACGGTGAAACCCCGTCTCTACTAAAAAACACAAAAAATTAGCCGGGCGTGGTGGCGGGCGCCTGTAGTCCCAGCTACGCGGGAGGCTGAGGCAGGAGAATGGCGTGAACCCGGGAGGCGGAGCTTGCAGTGAGCCGAGATCGCGCCACTGCACTCCAGCCTGGGCGACAGAGCGAGACTCCGTCTCAAAAAAAAAAAAAAAAAAAAAAAATGGTTGTGCGGTCATTATCTGGTACTTCTACTCCTAGGAAGCCCCTGCCCTGTGACTTTACTAACTTATTTATAGAATTAGAGCCGGAAGGGCTAAATTCAACCTGCTGGTCCTTTTTTTGTTTTTTTGGAGATGAAGTCTTGCTCTTGTCCCCCAGGCTGGAGTGCAATGGCGCGATCTTGGCTCACTGCAACCTCCACCTCCCAGATTCAAGCGATTCTCCTGCCTCAGCCTCCCGAGCAGCTGGGATTACAGGTGCCTGCTATGACGCCTGGCTAATTTTTGTATTTTTAGTAGAGACGGGGTTTCACCATCTTGGCCAGGCTGGTCTTGAACTCCTGACCTCAGGTGATCCGCCCGCCTCAGCCTCCCAAAGTGCTGGGATTACAGGCGTGAGCCACTGCGTCCAGCCTCTGCTGATCATTTTTTAATAGAAATGGAGTGACTTCACCAGAGTCACACAGCCAGTTTGTAGAAGTATTGGCACTGAAGTTTTGAATCTAAATTCTTTATCTTTGCTCCAATCCAGGGAAAGAAAGGAAGGATTCCCTGTTTCAGGGGTGGAGCATAGATAGGAATGACCACAGAATTTATTGCCTAATCAGGACACTCAAAATGCAGTGAAGGGAAGTGCTATTATTATTATTTATTTATTTATTTATTTATTTATTTATTTTTGAGATGGAGTCTCGCTGTGTCACCCAGGCTGGAGTGCAGTGGCGTGATCATGGCTCATTGCAAGCTCCGCCTCCCGGGTTCACGCCATTCTCCTGCCTCAATCTCCCAAGTAGCTGGGACTACAGGCGCCCGAAACCATGCCCAGCTAACTTTTTGGATTTTTAGTAGAGACGGGGTTTCACTGTGTTACCCAGGATGGTCTCGATTTCCTGACCTTGTGATCCGCCCGCCTCGGCCTGGGATTACAGGCGTGAGCCACCGTGCCCGTCGTATGATTATGATGATGATGATGATTATTATTAGAAATGGAATCTCACTATGTCACCCAGGCTACAGTGCAGTGGTGCAATCTCAGCTCACTGCAATCTCCACCTCTCGAGTTCAAGCGATTCTCCGGCCTCAGTATCCCAAGTAGTTGGGATTACAAGCTTGAGCCACCATGCCCGGCTAATTTTTGTGTCTTTAGTAGAGACGAGGTTTCACCATGTTGGCCAGGCTGGTCTCAAACCTGATCGCAAGTGATATGCCCACTTCAGCCTCCCAAAGTGCTGGGATTACACTTTGAATCCTAAGCGCCTGGCCAGAGAATGCTATTGTTAATTGTACCTGGATGATAAAGCTTTTCCTTTGAGTAACTCAAGTGAGAAATCCTGGCTCTTCCAGTCCTAGGGCTCTCTGTGACTGATCTGCCAGCTTGCTTTCTGCCTCCTTCTGGACTCCTCTCCATGAAAAAGGGAGAATCTGCCTCACTCTCAGCAGCGTCAACTGAAAATCTGACAAAACCCCCAACCCAGCTGTGTGAGGTGGCTCATGCCTGTAATTCCAGCACTTTGGGAGGCTAAGGAAGGAGGATCTCTTGAGCCCAGGAATTTGGGCCAGCCTGGGTAACATAGCAAAACCTTGTCTCTACAGAAACATCAAAAAATTAACGGGACTTGGTGGCACGTGTCTGTGGTCCCAGCTACTCAGGAGGCTGAAGTGGGAGGATTGCATGAGCCCAGGAGGTCAGGGCTGCAGTGAGCCATGATTGCACCACTGCACTCCAACCTGGGTGAGAGAGCAAGACCCCCATCTCAAAAAAAAAAAAAAAAAAAACCACCCTAACCCCTAAGCCCCAGTTGGGTGACCCCTATTTCTCAGGGGCCCCAAGCCCCCTTTGCACTTTTATCTTCCACATCTGGAAATAGATTCTTCCACATTTAGCTGAGAAATTCAACAGACACTGGTTGAATAAGTCATAGAAGCCAGATGTTCTGACCCAGAAATAACGAAGTTGTTATGGCAGCAGAGCTCATCTTTGATTATGAACAAAGGCAAAAAGCAAACAAACAAAGGAGGCCTGGCATGGTGGCTCACGCCTGTAATCCCAGCACTTTGGGAGACCAAGGCGGGCAGATTACCTGAGGTCAGAAGTTCGAGACCAGCCTGGCCAACATGGTGAAACCCCGTCTCTACTAAAAATACAAAAAATTAGCCGGGTGTGGTGGCGGGCGCCTGTAGTCCCAGCTACTCGGGAGGCTGAGGCAGGAGAATGGCGTGAACCCAGGAGGCAGAGCTTGCAGCGAGCCGAGATTGCACCACTGCACCCCAACCTGGGCAACAAAGCAAGACTCCATCTCAAAAAAAAAAAAAAAGAAAAAGCCAGGTGTGGTGGCTCACACCTGTAATCCCAGCACTTTGGGAGGCCGAGGCGGATGGATCACAAGGTCAGGAGTTCGAGACCAGCCTAACCGACGTGGTGAAACCCCGGCTCTACTAAATACAAAAATTAGCCAGGCATGGTGGCACGCAGCTATAATCCCAGCTACTCAGGAGGCTGAGGCAGAAGAATCGCTAGAACCCGGGAGGCAGAGGTTGCAGTGAGCTGAGATTGTGCCACTGCACTCCAACCTGGGTGACAGAGCGAGACTCTGTTTCAAAAAAAAAAAAAGAAAAAAAAAATGGCCAGGCACAGTGGCTTACCCCTGTAATCCCAGCATTTTGGGAGACCAAGGCAGGTGGATCATCTGAGGTCAGGAGTTTGAGACCAGCCTGGCCAATGTGGTGAAACCCTGTCTCTACTAAAAATACAAAAGTTAGCCAGGCTTGGTGGCAGGTGCCTGTAGTCCCAGCTATTTGGGAGGCTGAGGCAGGAGAAGCGCTTGAACCCGGGAGATGGAAATTGCAGTGAGCCCAGATTGCGCCATTGCACTCCAGCCTGGGCGACAGAGCAAGACTGTCTCAAAAAAACAACAACAAAAAAGCAGGAAGCAGACTTTTTAGCTAGTTCAGCTATACTAATTGTGTACATGTCTTTAGTCTTATCATTTATATATATATATATATATATATACACACAAACACACAGTGGAGGTATGTCTTGCACAGGGACTAGCTTGTGAAGTTAGCGCAGAGAGATAACATGGGACACAGTTGAGTTGCCTTGACATTGCTCAGAAGGTTAGGTACACACGTCATGTGTACAGCTGTGTCCTGTACTCATAGCTATGAGTTCCTGCTGTATTGGTGATTTGTGTCCCATGTATAATTCTAAAGAAAGATTATATTTAGAGATGAAATCATACACGTATGTCTCTACTTATAACACTGCAGCCAGATTTTTTTTTTTTTTTTTAAAGAGATAGGGTGTCACTATGTTGCCCAGACTGGACTTGAACTCCTGGGCTTAAGCAGTCCTCCCACCTCAGCTTCCTAAGTAGCTGGAACCACAGGTGCACATCACCATGCCTGGGCACTTCAGCAAATTTAAGATGATTCTCGACTGGGCATAGTGGCTCATGCCTGTAATCCCAGCACTTTGGGAGGCCAAGGCAGGCGGATCACAAGGTCAGGAGATCGAGACCATCTTGGCTAACACAGTGAAACCCCGTCTCTACTAAAAATAGAAAAAAAAATTAGCCGGGCGTGGTGGGGGGTGCCTGTAGTCCCAGCTGATTAGGAGGCTGAGGCACAAGAATGGCATGAACCCGGGAGGCGGAGCTTGCAGTGAGCCGAGATCGTGCCACTGCACTCTAGTCTGGGCAACAGAGTGAGACTCCATGTCAAAATAAAATAAAATAAATTAGAATTACAGGTGCACACCACCACGCCCAGCTAATTTTTTATATTTTTAGTAGAGATGGAGTCTCACTCTGTCACCCAGGCTGGAGTGCAGAGGCACGATCTCAGTTCACTGCAACCTCAGCCTCCCGAGTAGCTGAGACTACAGGGGCATGCCACCACGCCTGGCTAATTTTTTGTATTTTTTGTATCACCATGTTGCCCAGGCTGATCTCGAACTTCTGAGCTCAAGCAATCCACCCGCCTCAGCCTCCCAAAGTGCTAGGATTACAGCCATGATCCAATGATCCACCTCACCTGGCCCTATACCTATAACTCTTTTTTTCTTCCTTTCTTTCCTTCTTTCTTCTTTTTTTTTTTTTTTTTTTTTTTTTTTTTTTTGACGGAGGCTGGCTCTGTTGCCCAGGCTGGAGTGCAGTGGCAAAATCTCGGCTCACTGCAATCTCTGCTGCCTCCCAGGTTCAAGCAGTTCTTATGCCTCAGACTCCTGAGTAGCTGGAATTACAGGTGCACACCATCATGCCCAGCTAAATTTTTATATTTTTAGTAGAGATGGGGTTTCACCATGTTGCCCAGGTTGGTCTCGAACTCGTGAGCTCAGGCAATCTGCCTGCCTCGGCCTCCCAAAGTGCTAGGATTACAGGTGTGAGCTGCCGTGCCCAACCAGCTTCTGTAACTCTTGAGTCAGTATTTCTCTACAGCCGTTAGTTAATTCTCCAGTTTCTTTCCAGCCCTGGTTGAAAGAGCCATTTCAGCCCCTGTGCCTGACAGTCAACACAGTACATTTTTTCTTTTTCTTTTTTTTCCTTTGAGATAGGGTCTCTGTCGTCCAGGCTGGAATGCAGTGGCTCGATCATGGCTCACTGCAGCCCTGAACTCCTAGGCTCAAGCGATCCTCCAACCTTAGCCTCCCGCATAGCTGGGACCACCGGCACGCGCCACCACACCCAATTAATTTTGTTGATTTTTAATAGAGTCGAGTCTGCCTATGTTGCAGGGGCCCATTTATTTCGGTGAGTTTCCACATGCTCTTTGTTTAGGTTTTGCCGATTAGTATTGACCTCAGCTGGACAACATCAGGTGCTCGTGGGTACACTTTAGTCTTTTTTGTCTACCTTCCCAGGACATGAATTAAATGCACCCGTACAGGATTCTACCGGCTATGAGAGGAAAGGGCTCAAGGATATACACCAAAATGATACAACTGCTTTAGAAAGGAGAGAGCAGGGCTGGCTGGCTTTTCTGTCTTCCCCCAAAACTTGATTCCAGTTGTGTCACTACTTGTAACAAAAATAAATCAACAGGCTGGACATGATGGCTCAGACAAATTCCAGCACTTTGGGAGGCCAAGGCGGGAGGATTGCTTGAGACCAGGCTGGGCAACCAAGCAAGACCTCATCTCTAAAAACAATTTAAAAATTCCCTGGGCGTGTGGCACAAGCCTGTGGTCCCAGCTACTTGGGAGGCTAAGGCAAGAGAATCACTTGAGCGCAGGAATTTGTGGCTGTAGTGAGCTATGATTATGCCACTGCACTGCAGCCTGGGTGACGGACCGAGACCCCATCTCCAGTGAAAAAAGTCAACTTCCTCCCTGCAAATAGTAAGAGGCTAGTTCGACCAAACACCTGTGAGTTCAATGGTCACCCGTATCCTACAGACCTGCTATAGGGTTCCTGAGTGAAACCACAAAGGGACAGGCAGCCAGTGCATCAAAGAAGGGCATGGGGCTCAGGTGACAAGCCTCTGTAGTCATGACCTGGCAGCAGCATGCTTCCAAAGTTGGATGCTCTTGTGGGACACTGGACCAAGGAACAGGGCAGCTTCTGAGAGAGTTTGCTTCCTGTGAAAATCACAGCTTGTGAAACTTCCCCCAGCTGCTAGAGCTGAAGGGTTGTGTAATTTCTAAAGAGCCAAAAATAAGTTTCAAGCCTCTTGCCAAGCCTCCCTGTACCAGCATGACCTTGCCCCTGATACACTTGGACCTCCTGCAAGAGGCCATGTTGACCGGAATTTCCTGTGATTGACAGCCAGAGGTTCCATAAGCACTTTCCTTTCATCTCAATGGAGCATATTCAGGGGAGGGGGCCCTCCTGCTGGATGGGGTGCAAGAGTTAGGGTTTGAGGCTGGGCACGGTGGCTCACACCTGTAATCCCAGCACTTTGGGAGGCGGAGGCGGATGGATGACCTGAGGTCAGGAGTTCGAGACCAACCTGGCCAACATGGTGAAACCCCATCTCTACTAAAAATACAAAACATTAGCCGGCTGTGGTGGCGGGCGCCTATAATCCCAGCTACTCAGGAGGCTGAGGCAGGAGAATCACTTGAACCCGGGAGGCAGAGGTTGCAGTGAGCCGAGATCTCACCATTGCACTCTAGCCTGGACAACAAGAGTGAAACTGTCAAAAAAAAAAAGTGTTTGGAGGATCACCCCGGGATGCCACATTTGTTGACTGAGTTGCCCAAATGTCTCTAAGTAGGCATGACTTGGTGCCAGATCTGGAAGACCAGGGTGGCTGGCTCCCTGAGCAACCTCACCTTCCCCCTCCTGCAGGCTGGCTCTCCTGCCGGATTGGAATCTGCCACCCTGCCCCAGTTGTCGAGGGATCCACTTCGTTGAGTGGCACCGGTCCCTGTGTGTGAAAGAGGATGCTGCTTCCTATCCCAGCACCCAGTGGGCAGGGCCCTGAAATGACCCAACTCCCTGCCGTTCCCTTCTCAGCACGTCTGTGTCACGTGGCTCTTAATTCAGCCTCTGCCATACAGTTCACGCTCAGGCCTTGAGAGGCCCAGGTTTCCCCAGAGGTATAGTCAAGGTCACCTGTCATAGCTAGGCTTACAAGACAGAATTCCCTAATGGAGGTAGAGCTTTGTGCCCACCTCAGCATTCAAGACTGCAGTGCCTGGCACTAAGTGTCTGACAGATGGAATAATAGTCTTTTAACATATTAAGGATCTGTCTAAAATTACCACAAGGCTGGGCACAGCAGCCCACACCTGTGATCCCAACATGGTGGGAGTCCGAGGCAGGAGGATCGCTTGAGCCCAGGAGGTTGAGGCTACAGTGAGCCATGAACATCCCGCTGCACACCAGCCTAGGCAACAGAGGGAGACTGTCTCAAAAAATAAGTAAATAAAAATAAAATAGAAGATGTGGCCGGGCGCAGTGGCTCACACCTGTAATCCCACCAGTTTGGAAGGCTGAGGCGGGCAGATCACTTGAAGTCAGGAGTTGGATACCAGCTTGGCCAACATGGTGAAACCCCATCTCTACTAAAAATACAAAAACAGGCCAGGTACAGTGGCTCACACCTGTCATCCCAGCACTTTGGGAGGCCAAGGCGGGTGGATCACCTGAGGTCAGGAGTTCTAAACCAGCCTGATCAACATGGTGAAACCCTGTCTCTACTAAAAATAAAAAAATTAGCCAGCCATGATGGCAGGTGCCTGTAATTCCAGCTACTCAGTAGGCTGAGACAGGAGAATCGCTTGAACCTGGGAGGCAGAGATTGCAGTGAGCCAAGATCACACCATTGTACTCCAACCTGGGTGACAAGAGTGAAACTCCATCTCAAAAAAGAAAAAAAAAATTAGCTAGGCGTGGCAGCGGGCACCTATAATCCCAGCCACTCGGGAGGCTGAGGTATGAGAATCACTGGAACCTGGGAGGCGGAAGTTGCAGTGAGCTGAGATCGCATCACTGTATTCTAACCTGTGTGACAGAACGAGACTCCATCTCAAAAAAAAAAAAAAATACAAGAGCCTATCCCTGCCTTCTTGCTGTTGAGCTATTTCAATTAGTTAACCCTCCTATATCTTTGCAGACCTGGAGTGGAAGATCATTTATGTTGGCTCGGCTGAGAGTGAGGAATTTGATCAGATCCTAGACTCGGTGCTGGTGGGCCCTGTGCCAGCAGGGAGACACATGTTTGTCTTTCAGGTAAGAAAGATGAGGCCTTAGGCCTTAGCCCTTGATTCCTAGAAACATCCTCTTTTACCTGAAATCCCACAGAGTGCTTCAGGAATCAAAAGTTCAAGTTCAGCTGGGCACGGGCTCACGCCTATAGACCCAGCTACTCCAGGGACTGAGGTGAGAGGATTGCTTGAGCCCGGGAGTCTGAGGCTGCAGTGAGCCACTGCACTCCAGCCTAGGCAACACAGTGAGACCCTGTCTCTAAAAAAGAAAAAAACAAGTATTAAAAACATAGAGGCCGGGCACAGTTGCTCACACCTGTAATCCCAGCACTTTGGGAGGCCGAGGTGGGAGGATTGCTTGAGGCCAGGAGTTTGAGACCAGCTGGGGCAATATAGTGAGACCGCATCTCTACAAAAAATGTAAAAATCAGCAGAGCATGGTGGTGTGCGCCTGTAGTCTCAGATACTTGGGAGGCTGAAATGGGAGGATCACTTGAGCCTGGGAGATGGAAGCTACAATGAGCCAAGACCACACCACTGCACTCCAGCCTGGGCAACAGTAAGACCCAGTCTCAATCAATCAATTAAAACAATTTAAAAGTTCAGGTTCAAATCCTAGTTCTACTGTCAGGAACTATCTGACCTCTCAGAGGCCGTCAGGCCCTCCCTTCCCCCACCTCTGTGTCAAAGCTGCCACTGATTTACAGGCAATTCCCATTATTTACAAGAGTTACGTTCTATAAAGTTGCCGCGAACACTGAATTAGTGAATACTGAACCATTGCCCCAGGGGAAATACAGGGTTAGATTCTTGGAAGTCACATTTTCGTCAGCTGGTTAATACGTAAACTTGTATGTGTGTTTATGTTGAAAAGACACCAGGACGGCTATGATGGCTCAAACCTGTAATCCCAGCACTTTGGGAGGCTGAGGTGGGTGGATCGCCTGAGGTCAGGAGTTCAAGACCAGCCTGGCCAATGTGATGAAACCCCGTCTCTACTAAAAATACAAAAATCAGCCAGGTGTGGTGGCGCATGCCTGTAATCCCAGCTACTCGGGAGGCTGCGGCGGGAGAATCGCTTGAACCTGGGAGATGGAGATTGCAGTGAGCTGAGATCGCACCAGTGCACTCTAGCCTGGGTGATACAGCGATACTCTGTCTCAGAAAAAAAGGAAAGATACCTTATTTAATATATACAGTGGTTCATTTATGTTGAATTCACAGCCAACAGCACTATAACTCTCCTGAATGAAACTTCTCTAATACGCATATTTTCCATAAAGCCTTTCTTGTATCCTACACTGCACTTCAGCACTACCGTTGGGTGCCATCATAGACAGCAAACTCACCAACAAAAAGCACAAAACATGGAAAAAAGCACTAAGTAGGCTGAGGAAAGGACGCTCATTCACAGTGAGAGCTGAGACCAGAAGACAGAGTGTTGCCTTGTTTGACCTCAGGTGGGAACAGGCGTGGTAGGTAACTCTAGGTGGGAACAGGCATGGTAGGTAACTCCAGTTTTTCCCTGCTCTGTGCATGTCTGCAAGTGACTGTGAAAGCAAGCAGGTGTTCATCTTGGGGTTACAAATAAACTTAGCAGGTAGGTGAACTTGCACATATGGAACCCATGAATAATGAGGATGGACTGTAACTCCTAAATGGCTCTCATGCAGCACCCCACCTGGGTTGTCAAATGTAGATTCTGGCCGGGTGTGGTGGCTTCCAGCACTTTGGGAGGCAGAGGCGGGAGGACTGCTTAAGGCCAGGAGTTCCAGACTAGCCTGGGCCACATAGCGAGACCCCCATCTCTACAAAAAATAGAAAAATTAGCCGGGTGTGGTGGCTTGCACCTGTCGTCCCAGCTACTTGGGAGGCTGAAGCAGGAGGCTTGCTTGAGCCTGAGAGTTTGAGGCTACAGCGAGCTATGATTGCACCTCTGCACTGCATTCTGGGTGACAGCGAGACCTGTCTCTACAAAAAAAACATTAACCAGGCATAGTGATGCAGGCCTGTAGTGCCAGCTACTAGGGAGGCTGAAGCAGAAGACTCACTTGAGGCCAGGTGCCATGGCTCACACCTGTAATCTCAACACTTTGGGAGGCTGGGGCAGGCAGATCACTTGGGGTCAGGAGTTAAAGACTAGCCTGGCCAACATGGTGAAACCCTGTCTCTACTAAAAAATACAAAAATTAGCTGGATGTGGTGGTGCACATTTGTTATCCTAGCTACTCGGGAGGCTGAGGCACGAGAATTATTTGAATCCAGGGGGCGGAAGTTACAGTGAGCTGAGATTGCGCCACTGCACTCGAGCCTGGGCAACAGAGTGAGACCCTGTCTCTAAAAAAAAAAAAAAAAAAAAATAGGCTCGCTTGAGCCCAGGAGTTCCAGGAGTTTACAGTGATCTGTGATTGCACCACTGCACTCCAGTCTGGATGACAGAGGGAAAAGCTATCTCTTTAAAAAAAGAAGGCCGGTGCAGTGGCTCACGCCTGTAATCCCAGCACTTTGGAAGGCCAAGGTGGGCGGATCACAAGGTCAGGAGATTGAGACCATCTTGGCTAACATGGTGAAGCCCCATCTCTACTAAAAAATACAAGAAATTAGCCAGGCCTGGTGGCGGGCACCTGTAGTCTCAGCTACTCAGGAGGCTGAGGCAGGAGAATGGCGTGAACCTGGGAGGCGGAGCTTGCAGTGAGCCGAGATCACGCCACTGCACTCCAGCCTGGGTGACAGTGAGACTCCATCTCAAAAAAAAAAAAAAAAAAAAAGAAGAAAGAAAAAACAAATGGAGATTCTGAGTTCTCCAGGTGATTTTTCAGGATCCTCTGCTCGGATACACTCCCTTACCTCCATCACTGCTGTTACCGCCCTAATCCAAGCTACCACATCCTATCTAACCCCTTCAGCCACCACTACTAAATCCACTGACAGGCCCTATCTACTCAACAGTCAGGACTGGCCTCCTGGGTGTGCAACCCAGGCAGCTGCACAGGACCCCACACTTGGTGCGATACTCTGCTGTCACCGTCTGAAACCTAATAGCTTTTCTGGAGGGGCGTGGTGTTTTCATTTTGCATTGGTTTTATTTTGCACCAATTACGTGGCTGGTCTTGTTTGCAGTAGTACACCCTGAATCTGTTCTTTACTGCCTGGTCTAAGCCAAGTCCACTGCCTCTCCAGGATGACTGGTGTAAGCCTTCTGCTCCACTACAGTCTCCTGTCACGGCTCCACACTTTGCCAGAGGCTTCTTTTCAGATCACAAGAGTGATGTGGCACTTAACCTCCTGCTTACTCTCTTGCCCTTTCCCAATCCCTTAGCTGGCCCCCGGGTGGCCTGATACCACCTGCCTCACCTGTTCAGCTTCATGCCACTGTCCCCCGGCTCACCACACTCCTCCAGAGTACCACGCACCTCTCCCTGCCACAGTCAACGTTTTGTAGTCATTTGTGGGATTGATTCTGTGTTTCCATCAGTTGACAACTCCTGGCTGGGCACAGTGACTCACACCTGTAATCCCAGCCCTTTGGGAGGCTGAGGTGAGAGGATCGCTTGAGCCCAGGAGTTTGAGACCAGCCTGGGCAACATGGAGAAACCCTGTCTCTACAAAAAATAATTGGCTAGACATGTTGGCACACACCGTTGTCCCAGCTATTTGGGAGGCTGAAGCAGGAGGATTGCTTGAGCCCAGGAGTTCAAGGATGCAGTGAGCCATGATGGCGCCATTGCACTCCAGCCTGGGTAACAGAGGGAGGCCAGACCCTGTGTAAAAAAAAAAAAAGTCCAGGCGCAATGGCTCACACCTGTAATCCCAACACTTTGGGAGGCCGAGGTGGGCAGATCACCTGAAGTCAGGAGTTTAAGACCAGCCTGGCCAACATGGTGAAATCCCGTCTGTACTAAAAATACAAAAAAAAGGCTGGGCGCAGTGGCTCACACCTGTAATCCCAACACTTTAGGAGTCCAAGACGGGTGGATCACCTGAGGTCAGGAGTTCGAGACCAGCCTGGCCAACATGGCGAAACCCCATCTCTACTAAAAATACAAAAATTAGCCGGGCATGGTGGTGGGCACCTGTAATCCCAGCTACTCGGGAGGCTGAGGCAGGAGAATCGCTTGAACCCGTGAGGCGGAGGTTGCAGTGAGCCGAGATCGCACCATTGCACTTCAGCCTGGGCAACAGAGCAAAACTCCATTAAAAAAAAATACCAAAAAAAAAAAAAAGTTAGCCGGGTGTGGTGGTGTGTGCCTGTAGTCCCAGCTGCCTGGGATGCTGAGGCAGAATTGTTTGAACCCGAGAGGCAGAAGTAAAAAAAAGAAAACTGAGGGCAGAGAGCATACTTTTTGCTCAGTAAATACATGATGCTTGGGAATCTTTGTACTAATGACATCGAGGCATGGCTGTGGCACTGCTAAGGCCTAGGATGTGTCTCCCCTAGGCCGACGCCCCCAACCCATCCCTCATCCCAGAGACTGATGCCGTGGGTGTGACTGTGGTCCTCATCACCTGCACCTACCATGGACAGGAGTTCATCCGAGTGGGCTACTACGTCAACAACGAGTACCTCAACCCTGAGCTGCGTGAGAACCCGCCCATGAAGCCAGATTTCTCCCAGGTGGGGCCTGTTTCCACTTCCTGCTTCCCACAAGGCCGTTCTTTATACTTGGGGGGAGTTCAGCCATTCAAATTGAGAGTCAAGGTCACTTCTTAAGGTTTTCAAGTAATATTCAGTTCTTACAGTACTGTGTTAGAAGAGGAGAAAAAGACCTTTGTCTCTCAAAGGCATGTCTTAGAGAATTAAGATTAGGCCAGCCTGGGCAACATAGTGAGACCCTGTCCCTAACCCCCGCAAAAAAAAAAAAAAAAAAAAATGAGCCAGACATGGGTGGTGTGCTCTACTCTGGAGGCTGAGGTGGGAGGATCGCTTGAGCCCAGGAGTTTGAGGCTGCAGTGAGCTCAGATCGTGCCACTGCATTCCAGCCTGACCAACAGAGTGAGACTGTCCCTTAAAAAAAAAAAGTCCTGGGCCAGGCACAGTGGCTCACGCGTTGTAATCCCAGCACTTTGGGAGGCCGAGGCTGTAGGATCACCTGAGGTCAGGAGTTTGAGACCAGCCTGGCCAACATGGTGAAAGCCCGTCTCTACTAAAAATACGAAAATGAGCCAGGTATGGTGCCTTGCACCTGTAGTCCCAGCTACACAGGAGGCTGAGGCAAGAGAATCGCTTGAACCCGGAAGGCAGAGGTTGCAGTGAGACGAGATCACAGCATTGCACTCCAGCCTGGGCAACAAAAGCAAAACTCCGTCTCAAAAAATAAATAAATAAATAAATAAATAAGGTCCTGGCCACAGGTGTTTTCTGGAGTTCCATATGTAGGTTGCTCTTGCTGGGCTTGAGATGGGTGATTGGGGGTGTCCTGGCTCTATGGGACCAAGGAGAGGGCGTACCTACAAGGGTTGACGTTCCTCTTCCTGCCCCAGCTCCAGCGGAACATCTTGGCCTCGAACCCCCGGGTGACCCGCTTCCATATCAACTGGGACAACAACATGGACAGGCTGGAGGCCATAGAGACCCAGGACCCCTCCCTGGGCTGCGGCCTCCCACTCAACTGCACTCCTATCAAGGGCTTGGGGCTCCCTGGCTGCATCCCTGGCCTCCTCCCTGAGAACTCCATGGACTGCATCTAACTGCAGGAACCCAGAGTGTCCCAGCACGCCGGGAGGGGCAACCAGGCCTCCCAGCGAGTCCTGCAGGGCCCATCTAGAGGACTTTGGGGGCCATCAGCTGCAATCCAGGTCTGTCAAACTCAGCCCCTAGGAAAGAACAGGCCTTGGGTCTCCCCTAGTCCTGGCCAGAAGGATGATCTCGCTTTTCCTCTACAGGCCTATAAGAAGCAGGTACTTCAGTTCTAAATTCTGACTTGTGTTCTTTTCGTCTTCATAAATTCTAACTAAGGCCACTGTGCCACTGTGCACCCTTGAGTACCATTGATCCAAAGCTTTCCCACAGACCTCCCTGGCCCACCTAGAGGCTTTCTTGGTCAGTGCCTGTCAAGGCTCCAGTCCTGCTGAGCCAAAGGCTTTGTCATTCCTTTCTCTTCCTGTACATCTGAGCAGACCCACTCCAGCTTTCTGGTGTCACAGGCGGGAATGTTAGTTAGTAGGTAGACTTAGATCCCATTTCTGTCCTGCTCCCAGGAAGATTCTTAGGTCCTCTTCAATCCAGCAGCCCCTCCCAGAGGTGTGATCAGCAGGATGCTGAGGAACCATGTTGCCTTTCCTGTCAATCACAGCCACCTTCCTGTTATCTCCTAAATGGATCTGGCTTTTCCTGGAGGCTGCCATGGTTGGAAGATGGTATCAGAGGGCCTGCCTGGGCAGTCTGTCTCCGGGCCAGGGTCAGGGACCCTCTGCCTCTGGCAGCCTTAACCTGTCCTCTGCTAGGACCAGGGTGATTTCAAGCCAGGGAAGCAACTGGGACCCTGAAAACTGTCCCTCCCCAGCCCGCTCCCCCTCTCTGTGCCCTGGTCCCCTTGCTGCCATGTGGATGCTGTTGTGATTGCTGTTTGTATATTATCAAAATGTTTTTATATTAAAAATGTTTGGTCTGAAAATTAAAAGCACTTCATTTAGAATGATTGTTTGTGCTTTTGTCTCTGGTGGACTGAAGCAACTTTGTCCACTCTCCCCCAGAAGTGGCCTCTTGCCCTGTCCAGTGGGTTGGCTGTCCCACGTCTTCTTTCCAGCTTCCTACTCCAGTCTTAATTGGTTCTACAGTTGTATTCCAGACTGAGGTTCCAGGAGGGGTTTTTCTTTGTCAAAACTTAAACCAGCTGTCCTGCAGATAGATTATAATGAGTGATTTTTCAGACTTTGCCCTTGACCCACAGGAAATTAACATCGTGATCCCAACACACAAACAGCAATGCTTTTATTAAATTTTACTAAACCTTACCATGTATCTATCCATCCAGAGGCGGAGTGGTCAGCCATTTCCCCATAGTTCACAGAAAGGCTCTGACTCTCCCTCCCTGGAACTGTGGTTGATCTGGGAACATGGGGGCAGACAGCAGCTGGAGAAGGTGGAGGCTATTCAAGTCGAAGCAGCAGATCGGCTTGTAGTTAAGCCCAGCTAGCCCTTCCGAGTCGGGGTGACCTGGCTTCTCCCCTCCCCTGACCCTCTCTTAAGTGCTTCTCAATCAGGAGCAGTTCGGCCCCGCAAGAGCACATTCACCAATGTCAGGAGACAGCGGTTGCCACAGCCAGCAGGAAGATAGAGGAGGGGCTACTGGCATCCAGTGGGTAGAGGCGGGGGATGTTGCTCAACACCCAGTGGTGCACAAGACACCCCCCAGCAGAAAATGATCCAGCCTCACCGTCAGTAGTGTCGCAGTTGGGAAACCCCGACTGTCCTCTGCTAAGTGTGTACTGAAAGAGGATCCTGAAGGAAGGGGCAGGTTCCCTTCGCATTGCCCAGACAGGAAATACAGACGGGGAACAGGAGCAGGGAATCTGCCTGGCTGTACCCCAGATTCCTCATCTGTGCAATGGGAGTGATGATGGTAGCACCTACGCGATGGGAGTGTGGTGCGAAGGAGCGTTAAGTGGGTGCCAGCTCTTACTACTGGCAGGAGCCCAGGGCTAGGGCCCAGCAAAGGGGTGGACACTGAGCGCCCCTTCCCAGCCACCCCTTGCGCCGGGCCCGGCATCCTCCTGAGTGCGGCTGGGAAAACCCAGGAGGCCCCGCGGCCTGGCCCCCAAGCAGGCCTGGCCTCGGCCGCCCAGCGCCAGGCCTTATGAATGACGCCGGCGGCGGCCGGGCGACCTCTGACCCGCGCGCCGGCCGCGCCCCTCCCCCGCTGGCAGGTGGACAGCGGCTGCGCCGGGCAGGCCGCGGCGCCAACTCCGGCTGGCCGACAGCCGCTGCCGCACTGAGCGGGGGCGGGGGACTGCGGCGCGCGCGGGGCCGGCCGGGCGCCCGCCGGGGCCGCCTCCTGAGCCTCGGAGCGCTGCGCGGCCGCCAGCCAGCCTCCGCCGCCCCGCCCCGCCGGCCCGGGCCCGCAGACTGCGTCTCCGCCCCGCCCTCTCACCCCCGGATTGACACTGAGCGTTCTGCTGGGGGGCTTGGCGGACCCGGCACCTCCGCCAATCGGCGGCCTCGCAGGGCGGACCCCGGGCCCAGTCCAGCGTCTCGGCCAATCGGACGCGTCTGCCCGCCCAGCTGCGGCCTCGCGAGCGAGTGAATGGCCGAGAGTCCGCGGTGCGTGTCCCGAGGCTGAGAGCCTATAGTGGCGCGGGAAGGTCGCGGGAGGGCCAATGGGAGGCGGCGCTGAGCCGTCAGTCAGGGCGGCCTAGGCCAATGAGCGGCGGGCTGCGGGGGCGTCACAGACAGCGGCAGAGATCTTGGGCTGAGGTTCCCGGGCGGGCGGGCGCGGAGAGACGCGGGAAGCAGGGGCTGGGCGGGGGTCGCGGCGCCGCAGCTAGCGCAGCCAGCCCGAGGGCCGCCGCCGCCGCCGCCCAGCGCGCTCCGGGGCCGCCGGCCGCAGCCAGCACCCGCCGCGCCGCAGCTCCGGGACCGGCCCCGGCCGCCGCCGCCGCGATGGGCAACGCCGCCGCCGCCAAGAAGGGCAGCGAGCAGGAGAGCGGTGAGTGCCCGGGCTGTGACCCCGATCTTGGCCCTGCGCTGCCAGCCCTGGCCTTGTCCATCATCGCCTGGCCCCTCCCCCTACGGGGCCCCTCATCCTCTCTGCCTACCCCCCAGCGCCCCTTGCCCCGGCCTGTCCAAGGCTGGGGCCCGCGGGCCCGCAGAGTACCCCCTGTAGGGGTCCCCTTCCCCTAGGGCCGCCCCATGCTGCAAAGACCGTGCTCCCCCCCAGCTGTCACTGCCAACCATGGCACGTATGACCGCTGGGGCCCCACATGGGCCCCTGTCACCAGCCTACCCCCTCCTTTCCTGGCCCCTCTTCCCAGATTCTAATCCCCCCACTTCCTCACTCACCTCTCTCACCTATGGGATCCTCTGCCTGACCCCGACCCAGGTTTCTACCAGTTTGGGAATGCGATGAGGTCTGTCTGCCTCCACCGCGCAGGGACCTTGGCCACTTGCTGACCACACCCCTCCCCCCTCCAGCCCCCGCCATCTTTCTCCTGCCCTTTCCCTCTTCACCTTAGCACAGCCCCCCCTTCCAAACCCATCCTGCCCCCTGAACATTTCCCAGAGCCACCTCCAGCATTATTTTTTTCTTCTGTGTCACTTGGCATGGGGGACAGGATCTTTCTGGGTCCCTCTGCCTCTCTCATCCTGTCACTCTGTCATTCTGCTGCTCTGCTTGTGCTCCGTCCTCCAAGCAAGCGTCTGTCCCTGGCTGGGGTAGCAGACTGTTTATGAACGTAGAGAATTGCTTCAGTGCTTCCAAAGCCAAGTTTGAGCTGGTCTTGTTGGGATTCATTGCATCCTCTTTCCTGCGTTGGGGTAAGGGGGTGGTGGCAGAGCCCCCTCTCATTTCCTGTCTTGCAGTGAGCTCTAGGCTCCATGGAGGGCCCCTCAATAAATGGTCGTTTCACAACTGAGGCTCCGTCATTCACCCAGTCCCTGGGGCTTCTTCCACCACTCCTGGCTTGGGATGAAAAGTGTCTGGGTTTAGCGAGGTTCATTCGGTTCTAACTGAGATGGTCAGAAAGAGCACTGGGGAGGAGGAGGCAGTCAAAGAGAGTAATGGGTGACGTCTAGTGATTTGCTTTGACGTCTAGTGATTCTGATCATTCCCAGGGCTCAGCCAGAGAGAGACCTGTTTCACCCACTTGCCCACACATTAGGTTGGTCTTTTCCAGCCAGCCAGAGAAAGAGATTCTCTATCTGGAAATACCATCAGAAATGGTCTTGAACCCCATTCCCAATTTTTACAGCTCTTAAATTGTTGTCACTCCAGTCTGAAAGCTGGAAGGCAGCTGGGATCCCCTGTCCACTTACCCAGAAATAGTCGGAACTATTGGTCGAAAAGGAAGGCCAGTTTTTGGTCTCAAACCCCAGCATCTGAGTTTCCTGAATGCCCCCTCCCAGAAAGGTATGAAAGCCAGGGAACTTTATTCCCATACGGATTCAAATAGCAGAACTCAGAGTCACAGAGCGATCATGAAGAGGCCTGACATGTCACCAATGGGTGGGGGCTGGGGAGGGAAATGCCTGTAGCTGAGTGCCTGATGACAGAGGAGCAGGTGGGTAGTGTCCAAAAAAGGTCTGGGCATGAGCTTGGAGGGGACTTGGCCGGGGGGGGAGGAGTCAGGCCCCCAGCAGGTGAGGCCAGCTGGGAGGTGGAAGGTAGAGGCAGGCAGCTATATATTGCGGTAGCTCAGTTGAAAGTTGGGGAGATGACAGTCCTGGAAAACCTTCAAGGCTATCAGACACATGTGGTGGGGGGTGGAAAGCCACACAAGAAAAAGGATCCCAAGAAAAAGATCAGAGGCTCTGGAAGGAACCACTGATTCTCTCAGAGCACAGGTCAGACACCCAGGAATGAATGATCATGGTAAAATAGAGCTACTATTTATTGGGCATCTAGGCTGTGCCACAGGCTAAATGGCCAGGCGGATAGAGATACCTACTCTGGTGACTTTCATAACGGGCTGTTATCCAAATTTTCCAAAGGAGCCCTCTGGTAGAAATGACATCCATGACATAGATGATGTCACAGAGGCAGGATTCACATCCAGATCCATCTACCAGCAAACTTCTTGGACCCCAGAATTCCCCGACTTTGACATTTTTCAGCAGCCTCCCAGATTTTTACTCTATCATATTTTCTTAATTTAAAATAATAAAAGTTTTACTCACTTGTGTTCAGATGTAAACTTGGAGCTCATTCTAAACAATAATATAAATGAAATCATGGGATTGCCATGCCAGTTATATTTTCTCTGATACGCATTAAATACAGTGTAACTAGATAAATGAAACATCCCGAAAATCATGTCATGTTCTGCCAATGGGACTATGTCACACGTTGAGAAACGCCCGAAGCTGTACTTCCTCCCAGAGGCTCCCAGAGAAGGAAATAAGATGAGGAAGGAAGTCCCTCTTTGCTTTGAGGCGCTCTGATTCTGAGAGGATGGAGTTAGACAAAATTTGCCCTCTTAGAAGGGTGGGGCAGGGGCAGGGGCAGTAGCCAGGCCAGCCTGCAGGGGGCACCTGGATTTCATCTGCCAGACGCCGGCCCGACTGGGGTCAGGAAAATGCCCAGGCCTTGGGAGGCACCAGTTAAGCATCCTGCAGTCCCCTGTGGTACCATCTCTGTGCCAGGGCAGGACAGAGTCCGCCTCCTCCCAAGAGGCCAGGGATCCAGAATGAACCCTGGAGTGGAGTTGGGGGAATCTACACCCAAAGATGGCAAAGCCATTGGGAGAGCTGAGAGGGCCAAGAAAAAAGACTAAGGCCCAGGCTCTGGCCAAGTTGGAAGAATGGAGAGGGAGCAGCGGCCCCAGGGGGCAGGCGCCCAGGTCAGACAGCCAAGTGGGGCTCAGGTCGTGGCTGGCACTGGCTGAAGATACCCCTGGGAGCTGGCCCACAGGGGAAGGGGCAGAGCTAGTAAAAGGGAGCCCCCGATCCCCAGGACACAAGCAGATCCTGGCAAAGAGAGAAAAGCACCCCCCAAGAAGACCCTAGATGGGAAGAACTAGTGCCGTGTAACATCCTATGGATGCCTAAGACGGCCAAACACCTTCTGTGCCTTGGCAGTTGTATGGGTGCCCAAGAGGTCTTATCAAGGCAGCTCTCCCCTTAGCGCAACCGCGTCTACAGAAACTCGGAGGGCCCTATCTGTCCCTCCTCCACACCCAGTGGCCTCTGGGTTGGGTTTCTCTTCCTGCTCCCACCCCACGGCTCCCTAGCTCCCCCTGCAGGCAGGGTTCTGGGGACAGACAGCCGAACAGACACGGCAGGTCTCATGAGCCTTCCCAGCCACCGTAGTGCCGGTGCCCTGAGAACAGGACTGAGTGATGGCTTCCAACTCCAGCGATGGTGAGGCTGAGTCCTGTTACTATAGCAACTTCCTAGGCACACTCTGCCCCTTAAGTCAGGGAGGGGCTGCAGCGGGGTCTGGGGCACAGGCGAAGAGAAGAAGGATGTGAACCCCTGGCTGGCCCTGGAAACGCCTCCTGTACAGCCCCGGGCTGTGCGGCCTGGGGAAGAGAGAGGGGATCGGTGGCCCAGTTCAGACAAGGGAGGATGGTCCACCCGGCAGGGGGCCAGCTCAGAGAGGGGTGGTGGAGTGGTCCATCCCAGTGTTGGGGTTCAGCTCAGACTGTAGGATGAGCCATCCCAGTGTTGGGGTCCAGCTCAGAATGGGGGTCGTTCCAGCCAGTGTTGGGGTCCAGCTCAGAGTTGTGTCATTTAGGTAAGCCCAGAGCAGGGAATCCAGGCTCCACTGGAGGAATCAGCCAGCCTCGAGTAGGGGGCCCAGCCCAGGCTGGGCATTCCTGCCCCAGAATTCCCAGGACAGCCAGATTTCAAAAGGGCAGAAGGTCTGAGATTGTTGTCCGGAGGAAGGGGGTTCTGTGGCTGGGCTCCTTCCGAGAGAGACCCCAAGCCCCTTGCCCAAATTGATATTCTGCTGTTGCAATTCCCCATTCCCAGGGCGAGTTTCTAGATTTCTGCTTTCTGCTGTGGTCCTGGCTTTTCAAGGGGTGTCAAGGAGTTTTCCCTATGAACCCAAATGGAATCTGGACCAGAGTGAGAGCTGGCACCCCCCGTGTGGGAGATGTGGGCAGGGCGGCAGGCTGTACAGGCCAGCAGCTGGCTGGGTTACCATCCTCTGCCACTTCCTGTTGCTAGCAGGGGTCCTGGATGCCGGGCACACTCAAAGAGGCTGCCACTGACCCTCTGCTTCTTTTGGGATCTGGAAAGAAGGAGGAAGATGGTCAAGGCTGCCTCCCCCTCCCCCACCCCTGGGTTTAGCCGCTCGTTTCCGGTTTGGACTTTCATGGCCGAGAGTAGAGCCAAGCACAGGGCAAGGTTTGAGAGAGGCCAAGGACATCCCGGGATGCCTTTCCCCTCTCCACCCCCGCATAGGAGCAAAACAAAAGAGTCAGATATACCCATTTTCTCTCTCAGGATAGCAGGATTTGGGGGTTCCACATTGAAAGGGAGTTCAGGGGAGGAGGCAGGGTGGCTCTTGTCGCCCCCCGCCCCAAGCCTTTCTCTCCAGCTGTTCTTTCAGCGAATTAAGGGAGCTCTGGGGCCTCTTTAGCCCCTAAGGAGTCTCTGGCTGTTGCCTGATCCTGAACCTTAACTCTTTCCCCTCTGCCCAGTGGGCACTGCTCTGGGCACATCAGGCGCTGTCCTCTGCACAGTCCAGTGCCCACTGAGGAAGGCAGGGCCTGGCGTCCTGGGAGCAGTGAAGTCCGTGGAAAGGGAAGTTAGTTTTATCGCCCCGCCCTGGGGCACGCAGGCCAGCCAGAGGGACACCCTCGGGAGAATCTTCCCATTGCCTCCTGCCAAGGGAGCCCTCTGCAAACCTTGGCTAGCTTGGAGCAGGTACCTTTAAAAGCTTCTGTGGCAACCAGCTCCTCCTCCCTGGTCCCCTGAGGCCATCCCAAGGAAGCTGACTTAGAGGCTCTGCGTTTTCCTGGTTTCTCAGCAAAAGGAAGATTCCAGGGAGAGCCCAAGGGGGCTGGGGATGGATCTGGGATCAGGCAGCAGCCAGGGTGGGGACTTGGAGACCACCTTCCAGCTGTGGCTGCAGCTGCTCCTCTGGGCCCACCTGGCTGTACGTTTCCTGGGCTACCTGCACCGCACCTTCCGGGGGCCTAAGCCACAGCCAGCACCCTGAGCCTCCCTGGCCAGGGGGCAGAAGGCCGCCAGATCACCCCATCCCACCCACCCTTTATTCTACCCTTTCCTGGAAGAGACAGGAAGCAGAGGTGAGTGTGGGGCCTCTTGATTGAGGTTACCTGCCCCTCCCCCCCATCATCCCTCTCTCTGCCTGCTCCTCCTGGCACTGGCCTCCCCCATGCCCCATCCCCAAATCTGACAAGCTAACAGGGCTAGTGGCACCAGAGGGGACAGAGCCTGGGCGCTCTGGTCCTTTGAGAGGCCAGAGAAGGGCCATGCTAACAGCAAGGCACCCTGTGGAGCGACTCTGTGGGGCACCAGCGGACAGCCAGGGGCTGGGAGCTCAGCGAGTCGGGGAGGTGCAGGATTCAGCAATTCTTTCCTTTTTGCTAAGAGCAAAGGGAAAACGGACCAGACCTTTTGGATTCCCTTCAAGCCTGGCACCTCTCTGCCTTCTTGTGTGGGTGAAGGTAGAATCCCAAGAGGGCACCCTCCACCCTCCCCACCCACTGCTGAATTCTGTGTGGATTATTTGGAGGTTTCCAAGGAAGATGTTTTCTGTCACAAAGGTTCTATGACTGAAGCCAGGCACAGTGGCTCATGCCCGTAATCCCAGCACTTTGGGAGACTAAGGTGGGGGAATCCATTGAGGCCAGAAGTTGGAGACCAGCCTGGGCAACATAGCAAGACCCCATCTCAAAACAAAATAAAACACTCAAACAAAGGTTCTGCTAGTGAAAGTGTTGGATTTGGTGTGACCCCCAGGCTCAGGCCCCTGGGCTAGTTGGTGGCCCAGCCAGGCACCCATCTAGGACTCCTGGCCATTCATTGCCTATCCCCTCTCCGCCTGGTCATTTATTGTGGGGCCTTCTTGGCCACGGTCTCTCTCCATCTGCCATCTACCACTTTCTTTTTTTTTTTTTTGAGACAGAGTTTCACTCTTGTTGTCCAGGCTGGAGTGCAATGGCGCGATCTGAGCCCACTGCAACCTCTGCCTCCCGGGTTCAAGCAATTCTCCTGCCTCAGCCTCCTGAGTAGCTGGGATTACAGGCATGTGCCACCACGCCCAGCTAATTTTGTATTTTTAGTAGAGACAGGGTTTCTCCATGTTGGTCAGGCTGGTCTCAAACTCCCAACCTCAGGTGATCTGCCTGTCTCAGCCTCCCAAAGTGCTGGGATTACAGGCGTGAGCCACTGCACCCAGCCACCATCTACCACTTTCTAGCTCCATGAGGGCTCTTCTCTCTGAATGCTGAGGGAAAGCTCTGGAGACAGGTAGTGGGGGTGGCTCCCCACAAGGCCATGTGGGATTACTGGCAGGCAGATAACCAGCAATGCCAAAGGGCAAGTGTACAGGGCCCCTCGGTGGCAGCAAACCCAGGAACATCAGGGGGTTGAAGGCAGCTCTGTCCACATTGGCCACCCTGGTGCACTGGACTCAGCACTGAAACCAATGGCTGAGTTGGCAGTGAAGTAGTTAATCTCATGGGATGTGGGGGCAGGCAAGTGACCTCAGACCTGATCAGTCTTCTCCTCTGTACAGTGGGAATAACAGCAGCTCCCACCCCACAGGGTGAGAACGAAGCATAGAAAATACTCAGCAAGGGGCTGGTCCCTTGTAGCCCTAGGTGGTGGTTAAAAGGACAAGTCCATAATGCAAGAATCTGTCAGGCTGCGCATTTAAGATTTGAGCACTCAGTGTATCTCCTATATTTGTTTTTGGGGTTTTTTTATTATTACTTTTTTTTTTGAGACAGGGCCTCACTCTGTCACCCAGCCTGCAGTGTAATGGCTCAGTCACGGCTCACTGCAGGCTCTATGTCCCGGGCTTGAACAATCCTCCCACCTCTGCCTCCTGAGTAGCTGGGACTACAGGTGCATACCACCACACCTGGCTAATGTTTTTATTTTTTGTAGAGGGTTTTGATGTTGTCCAGGCTGGTCTCGAATTCCTGTATTCAAGCAATCCCCCCAACTCGGCCTCCCAGAGTATTATTATTTTTTTGAGAAAGAGTCTCACTCTTGCTCAGGCTGGAGTGTAGTGGTGTGATCATAGCTCACTGCAACCTCAATCTCCTGGGCTTTAAGCAATCTTCCTGCCTCAGCCTCCTGCTTAGCTGAAACTGCGGGCATGGGCCACTATGCTCAGCTAATTTTTTAATTGTTTTATTTTTTGTAGAGATTGGGTCTTGCTATGTTGCCAAGGCTGGTCTCTAATTCCAGGCCTCAAGCGATCCTCCAACCTCGGCCTTCTAAAGCACTGGGATTACAGGCATGAGCCACCGTTCCCGGCTCTCCCTATGTGTGTGTGTGTGTGTGTGTATATATATATATATATATATATATATATATATATTTTTTTTTTTTTTTTTTTTTTTTTTTTTGAGACAGAGTCTCACTCTGTCGCCTAGGCTGGAGTGCAGTGGCATGATCTCAGCTCACTGTAACCTCTGCCTCCCAAGTTCAAGAGATTTTCCTGCCCCAGCCTCCCAAATAGCTGGGATTACAGGCATGCGCCACCGTGCCCAGCTAATTTTTGTATTTTTAGTAGAGACGGGGTTTCACCATGTTGGCCAGGCTGGTTTCAAACTCCTGACCTCAAGTGATCTGCCTGCCTCGGCCTCCCAAAGTGCTGGGATTATAGACGTGAGCCACCATGCCCGATCGCTCCCCATATTTTCTTTTCTTTTTTCTTTTTTTTTTCTTAGACGAGTCTTGCTCTGTCACCCAGGCTGGAGTGCAGTGGTGCAATCTCGGCTCACTGCAACCTCAGTCTCCCGGATTCAAGCAATTCTCCTGCCTCAGCCTCCCAGGTAGCTAGGATTACAGGCACACATCACCACCACGCCTGGCTAATTTTTTTGTTTTGTTTTGGAGACAGAGTCTCGCCCCGTCGCCTAGGCTGGAGTGCAATGGCATGATCTCAGCTCACTGCAACTTCTGCCTCCCGGGTCGAAGCGATTCTCCTGCCACCATGCCCGGCTGATTTTTTTGTACTTTTAGTAGAAACGGGGTTTTACCATGTTGACCACGCTGGTCTTGAACTCCTGACCTCAAGTGATCTACCCGCCTTGGCCTCCCAAAGTGCTGGGATTATAGGTGTGACCCACCGTGCCTGGCCTCATTTTTTTATTTTTAGTAGAGATGGGGTTTCGCCATGTTGGCCAGGCTGGTCTCGAACTCCTGACCTTGTGATCCACCCACCTTGGCCTCCCAGAGTGCTGGGATTACAGACGTCAGCCACCTCACCCAGCCTCTCTCCCCATATTTTATACCTCAATTTAGAAAATAATAGGCTGGGCACGGTGGCTCATGCCTGTAATCCCAGCACTTTGGGAGGCCAAGGTGGGCAGATCACCTGAGGTCAGGAGTTCGAGACCAGCCTAGCCAACATGGCAAAACCCTGTCTCTACTAAACATACCAAAATTAGCTGGGCGTGGTGGCAGGTGTCTGTAATCCCAGCTACTCAGGAGGCTGAGGCAGGAGAATCATCTGAACCTGGGAGGCGGAGGTTGCAGTGAGCTGAGATTGTGCCACTGCACTCCAGCCTGGGCAACAAAGTGGGACTCCATCTCAAAAAAAAAAATAATAATAATTAAAAAAAATAAATTGGCCGGGCATGGTGGCTCACGCCTGTAATCCCAGCACTTTGGGAGGCCGAGGCGGGTGGATCACGAGGTCAGGAGATCGAGACCATCCTGGCTAACACGGTGAAACCCCGTCTCCACTAAAAAAAATACAAAAAATTCTCTGGGCGTGGTGGCAGGCGTCTGTAGTCCCAGCTACTCAGGAGGCTGAGGCAGGAGAATGGCGTGAGCACGGGAGGCGGAGCTTGCAGTGAGCGGAGATTGCGCCACTGCATTCCAGCCTGGGCGACAGAGGGAGACTCCGTCTCAATCAATCAATCAATCAATCAGTCAATAGATAGATAAATAAAAAATAATAATAGCTGACATTTATCTGGCACTATCATCACACGGGGCCACTGTTCAACTCCCTTTGTCAAGATGAACTCATTCATTCCTCAAAACCACCCCACTTTACAGATGAGGAAAACTGAGGCCTAGAGAGGTGAGATCAGTTACCCAAAGTCACAGAGTTCATCAGAGACCAGGCTGGGCTCTGAACTGGATCTTGACCCCAAGTCCTGGCCCTTAGCCACTTTGCTGGGCTGTGTCTCAGCAGAGACGAGAATGACTGTTTTCAAGCCTGTTTCCTGGGTTGTTAAGTGGAGACAATGGATACAAGGCAGGTTGCCGAGTGAGTCAGATGAGACAGTGTAGACAGCAGCCGGCACAGGGTCTGCCGGGGAAGTTTCAACATTAGCCAGGCGGTGATGTTCACCTTGGGATACCATGGGGCCGAGGAGTGGGCATCGGGCGAGACTTCCCTTGAACCAGCTCTGGAGCAATGCCCTTGCGATTGCCACGGAGAGGAACAGGGCCAGCTGGGGGCCAAGGTGACAGCTGAGCCCCCCAAGGGCACCTGCTACCCGAGCCCCCGAGGCCTCCATCCCAGGCCCGGCCTCCCCAGAGAAGGGGCCAGAGGAACAGCCAAATCCCAAGGCTATAAATACCTCGGCTGGCGTCGGCCCTGGCCATGGAATGTCGGTCAGAACTGGGGCGAGTGGGGGTGGGCTGGTCTGCCTGGGCACCTCCCTCCGTTCCCCTGCGAGTGACCCCTGAGACTCTCTGTACCCCACTTTGGATGGAGTGGCAGCTGGATCCCACCTCTCTGTAGCAAGGGAGGCCCAGGCCACGGCCCAGCCAAGGCCCCAGAGGCACCAGAAAAAGGTCAGGCTCTGGGTTGGAACTGCACCCCACTTTCCACCAAGTATCTCCCCAGAAATCACCTGAACCCACCCCGGTGAGACGGGCGTCTCTGTATAACTCTCCCCTCTCTCCCTTTCAGTGAAAGAATTCTTAGCCAAAGCCAAAGAAGATTTTCTTAAAAAATGGGAAAGTCCCGCTCAGGTAAGGCTGCCGGGTGCAGAGCCCAGGGAGGGGTGAGCTGCTAACCCCCAGCCCCTGGCTGTGTCCCAGCAACACAGCTAGAATTTCAGAAACCCCATAGAAGGCTTCAGACCCTCCCCATTTGCTCCCTAGGTGCCCATGGGGGCTCCTGTGTGGAGACACCTGACTGCCCAATGCCAGGCACCCCCATCCCACCACCCCTCCCAACGGCCCGCCCCTGCCCCCAGCACAGCTGCCAGCAGCTTCCAGGCCCCAGGCCAGGGCCGGATCTGGCCCCTGCCACCCGCCTTAAGGAATGTGCCCTCTGCCATCTTGATTTTCCGCCCCCTGTCCTCACCCCGCTGACCCCACGTGCTCCCCGGGGCCCCCTCTGCCGGTGGCAGAGGGGATGCCCCAGACCTTAGCCAAGCAGGCCGCGGGGAGGGCGTGCCCTGAGCCTACCGACCCCTCTGCCCACAGAACACAGCCCACTTGGATCAGTTTGAACGAATCAAGACCCTCGGCACGGGCTCCTTCGGGCGGGTGATGCTGGTGAAACACAAGGAGACCGGGAACCACTATGCCATGAAGATCCTCGACAAACAGAAGGTGAGGTGGCCTGTCCTCGCTCAGGGCCTGCCTGTCAGGCCTTTGCCTGGACTGTGCCCACTCCTTAGAGTGCCCTATCCACCCGTTCACTCACTTGCTTTTTTTTGATTCAGAGTCTCGCTCTGTCGCTCAGGCTGGAGTACAGTGGCGTGATCTCGGCTCACTGCAACCTCCACCTCCCTAGTTCAAGCGATTCTCCTGCCTCAGCCTCCCGAGTAGCTGGGATTACAGGCGCCTGCCACCACACCCAGCTAATTTTTGTATTTTTAGTAGAGATGGGTTTTCGCCATGTTGGCCAGGATGGTTTCGAATTCCTGACCTCAGGTGATACACCTGCCTCAGCCTCCCAAAGTGCTGGGATTACAGGCGTGAGCCACCGCGCCTGGCCGCTTGGTTTTTTTGTGGGGGACAGGATCCTGCTCTGTTGCCCAAGCAGGAAAGTGCAGTGACGTGATCATAGCTCACTGTAGCCTCAAACTCCTGAGCTCAAGAGATCCTCCTGAGTAGCTGGGACTACAAGCGCACACTACCATGCCTGGCTAATTTTTTTTTGTTGTTTGTTTGTTTTTTGTTTTAGACAGGGGGTCTTGCTGTGTTGCCCAGGCTGGTCTTGAACTCCTGGCCTCAAGTGATCTCCTACTTCAGCCTCCCAAAGCACAGGGATTACAGGCATGAGCCACCATGCCAGGCTCACCCACTATTCCCCGAGCCCCCATAATGTGCCAGCCCCAGGGGTCAGAAGGGCCCTGTGCCGCCTTCCCAAAGCTCCCTCTCCAGGCCGGCCATGGATTCAAAGCCAGGCACTGTGACACAGGGTCAGACACCAGCCCAACAGGAGGAGAACAAGAGCACTCTTGGGGGAAGTGGTGTTTATGTGCACTTTCTTCCCGTAAATATTTTTGTGATCGGACTTTATACCAGGCACTGCTATAAAGCAGCAATGTAACTAGCAGAAATGTAACCTGAGCCACAGAAGCAATTTTAAATTTTCTGTTTGCTCCATCATAAACAGTAAAAACAGCCAAGCACGGTGGCGCACGCCTGTAGTCCCAGCTACTAGACAGGCTGAGGTGGGAGGATCACTTGAACCCAGGAGTTCAACTCCAGCCTCGACAACACAGCCAGACCCCATCTCTAAAAAAACACCCAAAGTTTGTAATTAAAAGAGAAAATGAAAGAAACAGGTGTCATTCATGAAATTCATTTTAATGACATGTTTGGGGCTTTTTTTTATGTTTTTTTTTTTTTGAGACAGAGTCTCACTCTTGTCGCCCAGGCTGGACTGCAGTGGCGTGATCTCAGCTCACTGCAACCTCCACCTCCCAGGTTCAAGTGATTCTCCTGCCTCAGCTTCCCAAGTAGCTGGGATTATGGGTGCCACCACCACGCCCAGCTAACTTTTGTATTTTTAGTAGACTTGGGGTTTCACCATGTTGGTCAGGTTGGTCTCGAACTCCTGACCTCAGGTAATCCGCCCGCCTCAGCCTTCCAAAGTGCTGGGATTACAGATGTGAGCCACCACACCTGGCCTAATGATATGTTTTAATTAAGCCAGTATATCTACAGTATTACCCTTTCCATATATTATCAATGTGAAAATATCATTAATGAAACATTTTACATTCCTTTTGTTTTTTTCCCAGTCCTCCATGACTTCGGAAATATTTCCTTTTTTTCTGTACTGAAGTATCTTTAAAATCCAGTGTCTATTGTATGCTTACAACAGTTCTCAACTCTGATGGTAAATTTTTCCTGGAAAGATAAGAAAAAGCAGGGAAGTTGAAAAAGCAGATTCACATGCCCAAGTTGTTCCAACCATGCCTGAAAGTCACCAGTACCTGCATCAAGAGTTTAATTTTTGTTTTGTTTTGTTTTGTTTTGTTTTTGAGATGGAGTTTCGCTCTTGTTGCCCAGGCTGGAGTGCAATGGCATGATCTCAGCTCACTACAACCTCTGCCTCCGGGTTTCAAGCGATTCTTGTGCTCCAGCCTCCTGAGTAGCTGGAATTACAGGCGCCGGCTACCACGCCCAGCTAATTTTTTAATTTTTTTTTTTTTTTTTTTTGAGATGGAGTCTCGCTCTGTCGCTCAGGCTGGAGTGCAGTGGCACGATCTTGGCTCACTGCAACCTCTGCCTCCCGGGTTCACGCCATTCTTCTGCCTCAGCCTCCTGAGTAGCTGGGACTACAGGCGCCCACCACCACGCCTGGCTAATTTTTTGTATTTTTAGTAGAGATGGGGTTTCACCGTGTTAGCCAGGATGGTCTCCATCTCCTGACCTTGTAATCCACCGGCCTCGGCCTCCCAAAGTGCTGGGATTACAGGCGTGAGCCACCACACCTGGCCAGTTTTTAAATATTTTTAGTAGAGACAGGGTTTCACCATTTTGGCCTGGCTGGTTGTTGTTTTTTTTTTTTTTTTTTTGAGACGGAGTCTCGCTCTGCCACCCAGGCTGGACTGCAGTGGTGTGATCTCAGCTCACTGCCAGCTCCACCTCCCGGGTTCATGCCATTCTCCTGCCTCAGCCTCCCGAGTAGCAGGGACTACAGGCGCCCGCCACCACACCCGGCTAATTTTTTGTGTTTTTAGTAGAGACGGGGTTTCACCATGTTAGCCAGGATGGTCTCGATCTCCTGACCTCGTGATCCACCTGCCTCGGCCTCTCAAAGTGCTGGGATTACAGGCGTGAGCCACCGTACCCGGCCTGGTTGTTTTGTTTTTGAGACAGGGTCTTGCTCTGTTGCCCAGGCTGAAGTGCAGTTGGGCTCAAATGATCCTCCCACCTCAGCCTCTGGAGCTGCTGGGACCATAGTCGTGCCATGCCCAGCTAATTGCTTTTGTTGTCCTTGTTGTTGTTTGTAGAGATGGGGTCTCGCTACATTGCCCAGGCTAGTCTCAAACTCCTGGGCTCAAGCGATTTACCTGCCTGGGCCTCCCAAAGTGCTGGGATTACGGGCGTGAGCCACCATGCCCAGCTGGTGTCAGTTTTTTAATTTATATTTTAGATACTTAAAATTTTTGAATTTGGCTCCCCATCCGACCAGCCATATTTCAAGGGCCCAGCATCCCCCTGTGGCTAATGGGGACTGAACTGGGTAGGGCAGGTATAGACTCTGAGGACACAGCTATGTGAGCAAAGCAGTTGACAGCTGACTGAGGGACCAGGCTGGCCACATGTTACACACCAGCCTGACATCAGCCAGCTGTGTGACCTTGGACAAGTCACCTCCCCTCTGTGTCTGGTCTTCCAAACTGGCGTACTCCCAGCATGGGCCTCTAGGGCTTCTATCCTGATTCAGTGAGAGACTGGGTGCCAGGTGCCTGCTCATGGCATCTGCTATTAGGGGACAGCTGATGGCTGAGGAGCTGTTAGCCTGAGGTTCAGGTTGCTGTGTGGAGTGTTCTAGACAAGGGTAAGGCAGGTCCTAAACCCCCCACCTCTTGGGCTTCTCCTGCCTGTCTTTTCAATTTCAGTTCAGCTGCCCCTTCCTCCAGAAAGCGCTGTCTGATTCCCCCTTCCCCAGACCACGCCAGGTACTTTACATGGGCTTCTTGGGGGCTGCTTCTCCACAACCCCAAGATACCCTCCACCACGGCTCTGACCTCTGTGGGGGTAACCCATGTATTCTTTGCCCTGGACTTAGTGCCGTGCAAGGACAAGCAGCCCCTAGCCTCCCTGATGCTGTGTCCTCAGCATCAGCTAAGGGCCCGACAGGCCACAGGCACACAAATGATTCTGGCTGAAGGAACCGGCCTGGCTCCGGCATCCCTAGTTCCAGGCATTAGGGGAAATGAGGCCCCTCTCACCTCCCCCTCCTTTCTGCCCTCCCCTCCTTCCCTTCCCAGGTGGTGAAACTGAAACAGATCGAACACACCCTGAATGAAAAGCGCATCCTGCAAGCTGTCAACTTTCCGTTCCTCGTCAAACTCGAGTTCTCCTTCAAGGTGGGGTCCCAGTGGCCAAGGGCGGGGGGTCACTGCATTGGGTCCCAGCCTTCTGGCCCCCAGGGCTGGGGTCGGAGCTGAGGACAATCAGTGGCTGCTCTCTTTTGTGGAAGAACAAGATCCCTGGAGGAGGGAGATCAGGGGACAGGAGTCAGGCTGGGACTCTGGTAGACCCAAGTTCAGTTCCTGGTCCAGCCAGTTTGTAGTTCGATACCCTTGGTGAGTCACCCAACCTCAGTAACATCCCTCAAAAGCAGCACCTGGTTTATGGTAAGAGCCTGACCCAGGAGCACAAACTCTGCCCCAGGCAGCCGGGGTTCATTTCCCAGTTCAGTACTTCTTGATGTGTGGCCCCGGGCAAGAGACTTATCTCCCCAAGCCTCAGCTTTCTCATGGTAAAATGGGGATCATACCAGTTCCAGCCTGGTGGGGTTGTCATGACAGTTCCAGGCACGTCTTGAGCGCCCTTTGGGAGCCGTTTTGGGTGCCATCCAAAGCTGTGGTCATGAGAAACAGGAAAGGCCACTCAGGGCCAGCTTCATGGACGTTTGACCCAGAGAAGCACAAGGGCCTGTTCTCCGAGGGACCCCACACCTGGTTTAACGCTTTGCTGCTGCTGCTGTCTTGAGATCCGTAATAATTTTTTTTTGTTGAGACAGAGTCTCACTCTGTTGCTCAGGCTGGAGAGCAGTGGCGCAATCTTGGCTCACTACAACCTCTGCCTCCTGGGTTCAAGCAATTCTCCTGCCTCAGCCTCCTGAGTAGCGGGGATTACAGGTGCCCACCACCATGCCCAGCTTATGTTTGTATTTTTAGTAGAGACAGGATTTTGCCATGTTGCTCAGGCTGGTCTTGAACTCCTGACCTCAAGTGATCTGCCTGCCTTGGCCTCCCAAAGTGCTGGGATTACAGGCATGAGCCACTGTGCCAAGCCTAATTTTTATTTTTTTTATTGAGACAGAGTTTGGCTGTTGTTGCCCAGGCTGGAGTGCAATGATGCGATCTCAGCTCACCACAACCTCTGACTCCTGGGTTCAAGCAATTCTTCTGCCTCAGCCTCCCGAGTAGCTGGGATTACAGGCATGTGCCATCACATCTGGCTAATTTTGTATTTTTTAGTAGAGACAGGGTTTCCCCATGTTGGTCAGGCTGGTCTTGAACTCCTGACCTCAGGTGATCTGCCTGCCTCGACCTCCCAAAGTGCTGGGATTGCAGGTGTGAGCCGTGCCCGGCCATTTTGTTTTGTTTTGTTTAAGATAAGGTCTTACCCTGTTGCCCAGGCTGGAGTGCAGTGGCGCAATTACAGCTCACAACCTTTGCCTCCCAGGCTCAAGCAATCCTCCCACCTCAGTCTCCTGAGTATGAGACTACAGGTGCACGCCATGATGCCCAGCTAATTTTTGTATTTTTGCAGAGACGGGGTCTCACTATGTTGCCCAGGCTGGTCTCAAACTCCTAGGCTCAAGTGATCCACCCACCTTGGCCTCCCAAAGTACTGGGATTATACAGGCATGAGCCACCACACCCGACCCTCTGTAATAATTTTTTAACCAGGGGCCATCTTTTTTATTCTGGGCCCCACTAATTCTGCAGCCTATCATGATCCCATTTTACAGATGACAAAACTGTGGCCTCAGAGCCTTACTCAAGCTCCCAGAGCAAGGTACTACAGAGTTCTCTCTCCAGCCAAGGCAGGCTAACCAGGTCCTGACATACCTCTGAGCCAGCCCTCACTTTCACCCATTAACAGCAGGATAAGGGTCGCCCCTGTAGAACATGATTCCTACAGGGAGCCAGGATCGCTGTTGTCATTTAATGTTTGAACACCAGCCGGGGAGGCCCCCAAGGCCTTCAGATCGGGTCCAAGTCTCAGGGGTGGGCCCTTGACCAGCCACTGCTTCCCACAGGACAACTCAAACTTATACATGGTCATGGAGTACGTGCCCGGCGGGGAGATGTTCTCACACCTACGGCGGATCGGAAGGTTCAGGTAAGCGGGCCACCCCCCATCACATCAGGCTGTCAGGGTGTCCACAGGTGGCAGTGCACGACCAAGCCCCCTGGGAATGCAGAGGAGTCCAGCATACTTCAACATGCAGGTGGTCTCCCAGACCCTGTGGGTTTCTGTTTCCCCTCTGCTGAGGAATATGTGATATTTCAACCACCACAAAACAAAACAGAGCAAACAGGGCAACTTAGGTGTCCAAACTGAAGTTGCTGCCAGGCACGGTGGTTCTCACCAGTAATCCCAGCACTTTGGGAGGCCAAGGTGGGCAGATCACCTGAGGTCAGGAGTTTGAGACCAGCCTGGCCAACATGGCAAAACCCTGTCTCCACTAAAAATACAAAACTGAGCTGGGCATGGTGGTGGGCACCTGTAATCCCAGCTACTTGGGAGGCTGAGGCAGGAGAATCACTTGAACCCAGGAGACAGAGGTTGCAGTGAGCCAAGATCACACCACTGTACTCCAGCCTGGGTGAGAGAGTGACATGCCGTCTCAAAAAAAAAAATTGAAGTTGTTGATTTTGTGCATTTTTTGAGCCCCAAAAGGTGGCATGCATCTGTAGTCCCACTAGTCCTGAGGCTGAGGTGAGAAGATCATTTGAGCTCAAGAATTTGAGACCAGCCTGGGCTGCATAGTGAGGTTTTGTCTCTTTTAAAAAAAAAAAATTGGCTGGGCGCAGTGGCTCGTGCCTGTAATCCTAGAACTTTGGGAGGCCGAGGCGGGCGGATCACGAGGTCAGGAGATCAAGACCATCCTGGTTAACATGGTGAAACCCCGTCTCTACTAAAAAAATACAAAAAAATTAGCCGGGTGTGATGGCGGGCGCCTATAGTCCCAGCTACTCGGGAGGCTGAGGCAGAATGGCGTGAACCCGGGAGGCGGAGTTTGCAGTGAGCCGAGATCGCGCCACTGCACTTCCAGCCTGGGTGACAGAGCGAGACTCCGTCTCAAAAAAATAAAATAAAAATTATACTATTATTTTATTTTATATAGGTGGACAGTTTTATATGTGTAGATTTTAATATATATTTTTATACATAAAATAAATCTATATACAGAAATTTGTAAGTTTAAGATACAGGCTGGGTACTGTGGCTCATGCCCTATAATCCCACTTGGGGAGGCCAAGGTGGGCAGATTGCTAGAGCCCAGGAATTTGAGACCAGCCTTACATAGCAAGACCCCATCTCTACAAAAAAATACAAAAAAAAAAAAAAAAAGTCAGGTGTGGTGGCACATTCCTGTAGTCCCAGCTCCTGGGGAGGCTGAGGTGGGAAGATCACCTGAGTCTGGGAGGTCAAGACTGCATGAGCCCACCTTCATCCCTAGGATGCAAGGCTGGTTCAACATATGCAAAAAAAAAAAAAGACTGCATAAGCCGTGATCACGCTGCTGCAGTCCAGACTGGGTTGTAACCCAGTCAGACCCTGCTGAAAGAAAAAAAAAATTTTTAACTTATAAATTTGTCTTATTAACTTATAAGTTTACATACGTAGTTTTATTTGATTTTATTTTTTGAGACAGAGTTTCACTCTTGTCACCCAGGCTGGAGTGCAGTGGCACGATCTCGGCTCCATGCAAACTCTGCCTCCCGGGTTCAAGTGATTCTCTTGTCTCAGCCTCCCAAGTAGCTGGGACTACAGGTGCATGCCCCCTTGCCTGGCTAATTTTTGTATTTTTAGTAGAGATGGGGTTTCACCATGTTGGCCAGGCTGGTCTCGAACTCCTGACCTCAGGTGATCCGCCCCCCCCGCCTTGGCCTCTCAAGATGCTGGGATTACAGGCATGGGCCACCGCGCTGGCCTTGTAGTTGTATTTTAGATAGATAACTATAGATTCACTTTACATACAACAAAATGCACAGTTCTTCAATGTTCCATGCTACAAGTTTTGACAGTTGTATATAGCTACCTAACCTCCACCCAAAACAGTATATGGAACTTTTCTATCACCTAAGAAAATTCCCTTGAATCCCTTTTTTTTTTTTTTTTTTTTCCAATAACATACAGAGGTGGAGGCCGGGTGCCATGGCTCACGCCTGTAATCCCAGCACTTTGGGAGGCCGAGGCGGGCGAATCACAAGGTCAGGAGTTCGAGACCAGCCTGACCAACATGGTGAAACCCCGTCTCTACTAAAAATATAAAAATTAGCCGGGCGTGGTGGTGCACACCTGTAATCCCAGCTACTCAGGAGGCTGAGGCAAGAGAATCACTTGTTTCCAGGAGGCAAAGGTTGCAGTGAGCCGAGATTATGCCATTGCACTCCAGCCTGGGCAAGAGAGCGAGACTGTCTTAAAAAAAATAAATTAATCAAAAAAAAATATATATATATATATACACACACACACACATATCTACATACATACAGAGGTGAGGTCTTGCCTATATTGCCCAGGCTGGTCTCGAACTCCTGGGCTCAAGCGATCTTCCCACCTCGACCCCCCAAAATGCTGGGATTACAGGGGTGAGCCACCGCACCGGGCCGAATCCCTCTCTTGACACGTCACCTCCCCACCAAAGGCAGTTGTCCTTTCTGACTTCAAACACCGTGCCTTTGTTTTGTCTGGGCGTGGACATGATATAAATGGAATCATTCATGTTCTTTTGTGTCTTCTTTTGCTTAACATAATCAGTTTGAAATGCAGCCACATTGTTGAGTGGATGCATGGGCTGTCCTGTTGGCGGTGGTGGTGGTGAGTGGAATTCCATTGTATGACTATAGCTCAGTCTGTGATTCCATTTTCCTGTGGATGGACCCACAGGCTGTTTCCCATGTCGGGCTATCTAAGAATCAGGTGCCTTGCGTTTCTGACGGCTGGACTGGAGGTGTCTTCCTCTGGGGTAGGCTCTGCAGGGCCACCTGCTGGACCATTTTGGGGCATGACCACTGACGTTCACCTCCCCATTTGTCCCCATCAGTGAGCCCCATGCCCGTTTCTACGCGGCCCAGATCGTCCTGACCTTTGAGTATCTGCACTCGCTGGATCTCATCTACAGGGACCTGAAGCCGGAGAATCTGCTCATTGACCAGCAGGGCTACATTCAGGTGCCCACCAGGCCGGGCGAGGGGCAGCCCTGGGGAAGCCGTGGCCTGGACCCTTCCTCCCTGCCAACTGCCTGTTCTTGTGCCCACAGGTGACAGACTTCGGTTTCGCCAAGCGCGTGAAGGGCCGCACTTGGACCTTGTGCGGCACCCCTGAGTACCTGGCCCCTGAGATTATCCTGAGCAAAGTAGGAGCCTCCCCAGCCCTCCCCTTCCCCTGAGGCCGGCTCTGCTCTCCTGCTCTCGCCTCCTCCTCACCCTGTGCCCCCCCATCTTGCTCCAGGGCTACAACAAGGCCGTGGACTGGTGGGCCCTGGGGGTTCTTATCTATGAAATGGCCGCTGGCTACCCGCCCTTCTTCGCAGACCAGCCCATCCAGATCTATGAGAAGATCGTCTCTGGGAAGGTGAGGTCCGGATGTGGGGACACAGCCCTGGAAGAAACAGACCGTTCCCTGCTCACCCATCCTATTCCCTGGGGAGCCCTGCTTGTTGTCAGAATAATCTAGAAGTTCCTTAAGTCAGGCCAGGTGGTGAAGCTGGACGCGCCGGCCACACTGAGGCCAACACCTCAAGCCCCCTTGCTGTCCAGCCCCAACCCCGCGGTTCCAGAATCCCATGGGCTTCCAAAATCCCGAGCCTCACGGGAACATCTTGGCCACAGAACACAAACCGCCCTGCCAGACGACCCTCCTTTTCGCTCCTCATCCCAGTTAGTGTGAGTTTTCGCAAATTCCAAGGCAGAAAAACGAATGTATTTGGTTCCTGTTCCCAGGTGCTGTCCATAGCCTCACCCAGGATTGCCCTCACTTAGCATTTATAGCCCATGCTTCCTCTCCCAAACCCAGACTTGCCTAACTCTGAGGGTTCAGATGAGGGGTGGTGAAGCCATCTCAGCTCACATCTATGACAGGTGCAAAGTGCCCACCATCCACCAGGCCCCAGAATCCCCATCAGTCACACCCTGAGATAGTGGCACCCTCTGTAGGAGAGGTGAGGAAACAGGCTGGGAAAAGGGATGTGTCTTGGCCAAGATCACACTTTGGTGAGTAGGTAATCACCGTAGGCAATCATTGTAGGCACTGATGGCCGGAGAGAGGTTGGGGACCCCACCTCTGCCCTCAGCTCAACCACCTTGCTGGGAAGACCCGACCATCCCCCGACTTGGTCCAGCATCTCCTACACAGGAGCTTTTGGTTGGCCCGGAGTCATGACACTGTGGTGGGAGCACCCTCAGGCTCAGCCTGGGCCCCAGTCCCAGCTCTGCCACCGACTGGCTTTGAAACTTTGGGGCTGGGTACAATGGCTCACACCTGTAATGCCAGCACCTTGGGAAGTGGAGGCTTGAGGCCAGGAGTTCCAGACCAGCCTGGGCAACATAGCCAGACCCCATCTCTAAAAAAAAAAAAAAAAAAACAAACTGGCCGGGCGCGGTGGCTTACACCTGTAATCCCAGCACTGTGGGAAGCCAAGGCGGGCAGATCACCTGAGGTCGGGAGTTCGAGACCAGCCTGACTAACATGGTGAAACTCCGTCTCTACTAAAAACACACACAAAAAAAATTAGCTGGGTATAGTGGTGGGCGCCTGTAATCCCAGCTACTTGGGAGGCTGAGGCAGGAGAATCACTTGAACCCAGGAGGCGGAGGTTGCAGTGAGCCAAGATCACACCATTGTACTCCAGCCTGGGCAACAGGGCAGGACTCTGTCTCAAAAAAAAAAAAAAAAAAAAAAAACTAAAAATTAGCTGGGCGTGATGGTGCACCCCTGTGTTCCCAGCTCATCGGGAGGGTGAGGCAGGAGGATCGCTTGAGCCCAGAAGTGAGCTGTGAGCTGTGATTGCATCACTGCAGTCTAGCCTGGGTCACAGAGCCAGACCCTGTCTTTTAAAAAAATTCAGGCAAGTGGGGTGCCCCAGCTGGACACATAGCATCACTAAAAGAGAAAGATGAAGGCCAGGCGCGGTGGCTCACACCTATAATCCCAGCATTTTGGGAGGCCAAGGCAGGTGGATCACGAGGTCAGGAGTTCAAGACCAGCCTGGCTAACATGGTGAAACCCTGTCTCTACTAAAAATACAAAAATTAGCTGGGCGTGGTGGCGGGTGCCTGTAATCCCAGCTACTCGGGAGGCTGAGGCAGAGAACTGCTTGAACCCGGGAGACAGAGGTTGTAGTGAGCCGAGATTGCGCCACTGCACTTCAGCCTGGGTGACAGAGCAAGACTCTGTCTCAAAAAAAGGGAAAGATGAGGCATCTGCCACCGGACCAAAAGAAACTGCCAAGAAAATGGCCCAGAGTTGGCCGGGTGTGGTGGCTCACGCCTGTAATCCCAGCACTTTGGGAGGCCGAGGCGGGCGGATCACGAGGTCAGGAGTTTAAGACCAGCCTGACCAACATGGTGAAACCCCGTCTCTACTAAAAATACAAAAATTAGCCGGATATGGTGGCACACACCTGTAATCCCAGCTACTCAGGAGTCTGAGGCAGGAGAATCACTTGAAACCGGGAGGCAGAGGTTGCAGTGAGCTGAGATTGTGCCACTGCACTCCAGCCTGGGCAACAGAGCAAGACTCCATCTCAAAAAAAAAAAAGAAAAAAAGAAAAAAAAATGTCCCAGAGTGGGAAAAAAAAGAAAGAAAAAAACACAGAAGATCCCACAGGAGAAGATGCACATGACTCCCTTCTTTGTAGCATTTTCTAGTTCCCCCGCACCGTCAGTGGTATTATCTCCCTCGTGCAGCCCTGGCATATCTGCCCCACATCTGAGAGGCATGCGCAGGCCCAGAGAGGTTAAGGGCCATGGCCAAGGTCACACAGCGTGTAAGAGGCACAGCAGGAACAAGAAGTCGTTTCTTGCAACTATAACTCCAGTGATGACTTGCATACAAGGCGTGGGCTCAGAGGGTTTGGGGAAAACTTTCAAGAAGAGTTGAGCTGGGCTTTAAAGAACGGAAGAGCCTTAGCTATGCAGAAAGAGAGGAGAGAAAAAGTTTGTCATAAGCAAGAATATTTCAGAAGTCTCCAGACCCCAGCAGAGATGCCTTAAGCAGCAGCAGCAGCAGCTGAGAATGCAAGTTCTAGAGTCCAGTAGACCTGAGATGGAATTGCCCCATCACACACCTCAATGTGACCTAGGAAGAGCTGTTTAACCCAAGCCTCAGTTTCCCCTTCTCTGAAATGGAAATCATCATAGCACTTGCCTTAGAGCAATGGTTCTTAAAAGGGACCCCTTTCCAGCAGCACCATTGCTGGGGAATTTGTTAGAAATGCAGATTCTTGGGCCAGGCACGGTGGCTCACACCTGTAATCCCAACACTTTGGGAGGCCAAGGCAGGTGGATCACCTAAGGTCAAGAGTTCAAGACCAGCCTGACCAATATGGTGAAACCCCGTCTCTACTAAAAATACAAAAATTAGCCAGGTGTCTTGGCGTGAGCCTGTAATCCCAGCTACTCAGGAGGCTGAGACAGGAGAATTCCTTGAACCCAGGAGGCGGAGGTTGCAGTGAGCCCAGATCGCACCACTGCACTCCAGCCTGGGCTACAGAGTGAGGCTATTTTTTTTTTTTTTTTTTTTTTTTTTTCAAAAAAAGAAATGCAGATTCTTGCTGGGTGTGGTGGCTCACGCCTATAATCCTAGCACTTTGGGAGGCCAAAGCAGGAGGATCGCTTGAGCCTAGAAGTTCAAGACCAGCCTGGGCAACGTAGTGAGACCCTGTCTCTACAAAAACTTCTTAAAATAACTAACTCTTGAATTTTTAAAGTTTTTAAAGAAATGCAGATTCTCAGGCCACAGTATCAGACTTCCTAAATTGGAAACTGTAGGGTAGGCTCAAGGAGCTGTTTTACAAGATGCTGGCAGGCACTCTGCTTTGGAGGCCCACACCCAGTAGGACCGTTGGATGGAGAAAGAAGCATCATGGGCTTCCCAAGTTCCAGACCAGCTTCCCACCCTGTCCTTGTACCCCTTCCTCCAGGTGCGCTTCCCTTCCCACTTCAGCTCTGACTTGAAGGACCTGCTGCGGAACCTCCTGCAGGTAGATCTCACCAAGCGCTTTGGGAACCTCAAGAATGGGGTCAACGATATCAAGAACCACAAGTGGTTTGCCACAACTGACTGGATTGCCATCTACCAGAGGAAGGTGGGCCTCCCCTCCTTAAGCCTGCTGAGGGTTTGGGAGCAGGCCAAGAGTCAGGGAGGACAGCCAATAGAGAAATAGAGAAGAGAACACAGGTTCAGGAGCAACCTAGAGTAGAGAGCTTAGAGCAGTGGGGTCTAGAAATGGGATTCTGGGGTCATTTGGCCATTCCATGACCTTGTGCAACAGATGCCTCTCTCTGGGAAGTAATTTCCCCTTTGATGAGTTGCTACATTAAGAGTTTCGGGCTGTTAAGAGGAATCCATAACCTAATGGTAAGCACAGGCCTGAGTCAGAGTAAATATCTCTTGAATGTTAGGCCATTCGCATTTATTGTTGTAATAATGATTATGTTGAATGCTGAGGTCTGGGTGATTCTTGATCCCTCTCCAGGTGGAAGCTCCCTTCATACCAAAGTTTAAAGGCCCTGGGGATACGAGTAACTTTGACGACTATGAGGAAGAAGAAATCCGGGTCTCCATCAATGAGAAGTGTGGCAAGGAGTTTTCTGAGTTTTAGGGGCATGCCTGTGCCCCCATGGGTTTTCTTTTTTCTTTTTTCTTTTTTTTGGTCGGGGGGGTGGGAGGGTTGGATTGAACAGCCAGAGGGCCCCAGAGTTCCTTGCATCTAATTTCACCCCCACCCCACCCTCCAGGGTTAGGGGGAGCAGGAAGCCCAGATAATCAGAGGGACAGAAACACCAGCTGCTCCCCCTCATCCCCTTCACCCTCCTGCCCCCTCTCCCACTTTTCCCTTCCTCTTTCCCCACAGCCCCCCAGCCCCTCAGCCCTCCCAGCCCACTTCTGCCTGTTTTAAACGAGTTTCTCAACTCCAGTCAGACCAGGTCTTGCTGGTGTATCCAGGGACAGGGTATGGAAAGAGGGGCTCACGCTTAACTCCAGCCCCCACCCACACCCCCATCCCACCCAACCACAGGCCCCACTTGCTAAGGGCAAATGAACGAAGCGCCAACCTTCCTTTCGGAGTAATCCTGCCTGGGAAGGAGAGATTTTTAGTGACATGTTCAGTGGGTTGCTTGCTAGAATTTTTTTAAAAAAACAACAATTTAAAATCTTATTTAAGTTCCACCAGTGCCTCCCTCCCTCCTTCCTCTACTCCCACCCCTCCCATGTCCCCCCATTCCTCAAATCCATTTTAAAGAGAAGCAGACTGACTTTGGAAAGGGAGGCGCTGGGGTTTGAACCTCCCCGCTGCTAATCTCCCCTGGGCCCCTCCCCGGGGAATCCTCTCTGCCAATCCTGCGAGGGTCTAGGCCCCTTTAGGAAGCCTCCGCTCTCTTTTTCCCCAACAGACCTGTCTTCACCCTTGGGCTTTGAAAGCCAGACAAAGCAGCTGCCCCTCTCCCTGCCAAAGAGGAGTCATCCCCCAAAAAGACAGAGGGGGAGCCCCAAGCCCAAGTCTTTCCTCCCAGCAGCGTTTCCCCCCAACTCCTTAATTTTATTCTCCGCTAGATTTTAACGTCCAGCCTTCCCTCAGCTGAGTGGGGAGGGCATCCCTGCAAAAGGGAACAGAAGAGGCCAAGTCCCCCCAAGCCACGGCCCGGGGTTCAAGGCTAGAGCTGCTGGGGAGGGGCTGCCTGTTTTACTCACCCACCAGCTTCCGCCTCCCCCATCCTGGGCGCCCCTCCTCCAGCTTAGCTGTCAGCTGTCCATCACCTCTCCCCCACTTTCTCATTTGTGCTTTTTTCTCTCGTAATAGAAAAGTGGGGAGCCGCTGGGGAGCCACCCCATTCATCCCCGTATTTCCCCCTCTCATAACTTCTCCCCATCCCAGGAGGAGTTCTCAGGCCTGGGGTGGGGCCCCGGGTGGGTGCGGGGGCGATTCAACCTGTGTGCTGCGAAGGACGAGACTTCCTCTTGAACAGTGTGCTGTTGTAAACATATTTGAAAACTATTACCAATAAAGTTTTGTTTAAAAAAAAAGTGTCGCTGGTGTTCTCGACTTCGATCACCCACCCACACACCCCCAGGGGGTTGGAAAGGGAATTTCGGACCCCAGCGTGCAGGCCGATCAGGTCCTGGCTTGAAGTCCTTGTAACCAGGGTTTAGCTGAAATTCCGGCACTCCTTCGGCCCCGCAGGAGAAACGAGCGTCAAACTGCCCTTTGACCCCAGATTCGGGGTCCCCAAATCTGCGGCGCGCCCCCTCGGCGTCCAGCCCGGGACCGAGAGGGCGCTCTAGGGAGGCGCTGGGGCTGGCGCGCCAGGAGGCCGAGCGGCGGCGGGGGCGGCCCTGGCAGGGGGAGTAGAAGGGGGAGAGGGTGCGCGCCCCCCTTCCCGCATCCTCAGCGCCGGGCCAGGCGCGCCTGAGGGACGCGGGGGCGGCGGCAGCAGGAGGGTCCCCGCAGCACCCTGCGAGCGCGGCAGCCCCGGCCCGCGGGCGGCGAGTTCCCGGTAAGTGCGGTCCCGAGAGCGGAGCGCGCTGGAGAGGCGTGGAGAGGGGGGCTGGGCGCCGGGGACGTCTGGGTCCCGCGCCCAATGGCTGGAGGGCGGCCGAGCGCCGCCCGCCCGCCCTGCCCGCCCCCTCTCCACTCCCCCCGGCACTCCCCTCCCCCTCCCCCGCCCGCCGCTTTCCCCCGCCCCCGCCCCGGGCCAACTCCGCGGCGCCTCCTTAAAAAGCGCGCGGGAGTTGTAAGGGGGGGCCGGAGCGAGCCGGAGTGAGCGAGAGCGCAGGGTAAAGGGGGCGGGCGGGGGGCCCGGGCTCCACCTTAAAAGCGGGCGCGTGGGGGTGGGAGGGAGGAAGGCGGGCGGCGGGGAGGAGGGAGGGAGGGAAGGAAGGGGGGCCGGAGTGTCCCGGGCGCAGGGCGCGCGTGCGGCGGCGGCGGCGGCGGGGAGGGGCCGGCCGCGCCGCGCTCCCCTCCTCCCCCTCGCATCCCCGGCCCCGCGCGCGCCCAGCAGAAGCGGGTCTGTGTGTGCGTGCGTGCGAGTGAGTGAGTGTGTGCATATTTTTTTCTCTCTTTTCTTTCTCTCTCACTGTTTTTTCCTCTCTCTCTCTCTCCCTCTCTCTCTCTTTTTTTTTTTTTTTTTTTTGCAAAGAAACAGCAGCGCCGCCGCCGCTCCGCCGAGGCGCTGCGCCCCCCGGGGGGGGAGGCGGAGGAGGCGGGCAGCGGCGGAGGGAGGGGAGCCGGGGAGGGGGGCGCCGCGCTGGGAGGGAGGCAGCGCGCACGGTGCAGCCGGGCCGGGCGGGAGGCATGGCGGGGCCCCCGGCCCTACCCCCGCCGGAGACGGCGGCGGCCGCCACCACGGCGGCCGCCGCCTCGTCGTCCGCCGCTTCCCCGCACTACCAAGAGTGGATCCTGGACACCATCGACTCGCTGCGCTCGCGCAAGGCGCGGCCGGACCTGGAGCGCATCTGCCGGATGGTGCGGCGGCGGCACGGCCCGGAGCCGGAGCGCACGCGCGCCGAGCTCGAGAAACTGATCCAGCAGCGCGCCGTGCTCCGGGTCAGCTACAAGGGGAGCATCTCGTACCGCAACGCGGCGCGCGTCCAGCCGCCCCGGCGCGGAGCCACCCCGCCGGCCCCGCCGGCGCCGCCACAGCAGCAGCAGCCGCCGCCGCCGCAGCCACAGCCGCCGCCGGAGGGGGGCGCGGTGCGGGCCGGCGGCGCGGCGCGGCCCGTGAGCCTGCGGGAAGTCGTGCGCTACCTCGGGGGCAGCGGCGGCGCCGGCGGTCGCCTAACCCGCGGCCGCGTGCAGGGGCTGCTGGAGGAGGAGGCGGCGGCTCGAGGCCGTCTGGAGCGCACCCGTCTCGGAGCGCTTGCGCTGCCCCGCGGGGACAGGCCCGGACGGGCGCCGCCGGCCGCCAGCGCCCGCCCGTCTCGCAGCAAGGTGAGCGCGCCGGGGAGCGGGGGCGCCGCGCGGTGGGCAGGTGCGGGCGAAGTTGGTGGCGGGGGCGCGAGTCCCGGGAGGAACTGGGTGGCGGGTGGCTGGGGCTTTGCGCGCGTTTCCTGCGGGCTCGGTGCGTGGTGACCTTGGCAAGTGATTGAATCTCCCGGAGCCTCAGTTTCCTCCGCTGTAAACGCGGTTTAATAACAGTAGCGACCCCTTGGGGTTGTTGAGCGAGTTTAGTAAGATTTGGTTGTCGAGGGCTTTAGTTAACACAGAGCCTGGCACGGAGTGAATGCGTAAAAGTTAGTCCGTATTGTTCTTAAAGGTGGAATCGGTTCCTCCTCCCCACCGCCCGGACGCCACAGTCAGGGTCTGGGATTAGAACAGCTACTAATTTTGCATGCTTCTCTCCTCGGCTCCAGAGAGGTGGAGAAGAGCGAGTACTTGAGAAAGAAGAGGAAGAAGATGATGATGAAGATGAAGATGAAGAAGATGATGTGTCAGAGGGCTCTGAAGTGCCCGAGAGTGACCGTCCTGCAGGTGCCCAGCACCACCAGCTTAACGGCGAGCGGGGACCTCAGAGTGCCAAGGAGAGGGTCAAGGAGTGGACCCCCTGCGGACCGCACCAGGGCCAGGATGAAGGGCGGGGGCCAGCCCCGGGCAGCGGCACCCGCCAGGTGTTCTCCATGGCAGCCATGAACAAGGAAGGGGGAACAGGTAAGGATCCCTCTGGGTGGGGAAGAGTGCTAGGTGGAGAGGAACTCAGCCCGAAGACAAAGCCAAAGACAGGTGTTTTTTTCCTTCCCAGCTTCTGTTGCCACCGGGCCAGACTCCCCGTCCCCCGTGCCTTTGCCCCCAGGCAAACCAGCCCTACCTGGGGCCGACGGGACCCCCTTTGGCTGTCCGTAAGTTGGGGTATTGGAGACATGGGGGTGCTGCTCAGGTGTGTGGTACAGCCAGAGAGACATCCGTGTTCACTGGTGTCTGTTTGTTTTGATGCAGTCCCGGGCGCAAAGAGAAGCCATCTGATCCCGTCGAGTGGACCGTGATGGATGTCGTCGAATATTTTACTGAGGCTGGATTCCCGGAGCAGGCGACAGCTTTCCAAGAGCAGGTGAGTTTCCAGCCCAGGACTACACACTGACAGACACAGAGGGCCTCCCTGGGATGTGCCCTGATCCCGGCTCTCTCTGTTCCTGTCCCACCCAGGAAATTGATGGCAAATCTTTGCTGCTCATGCAGCGCACAGATGTGCTCACCGGCCTGTCCATCCGCCTCGGGCCAGCCCTGAAAATCTACGAGCACCACATCAAGGTGCTTCAGCAAGGCCACTTTGAGGATGATGACCCCGATGGCTTCTTAGGCTGAGCGCCCAGCCTCACCCCTGCCCCAGCCCATTCCGGCCCCCATCTCACCCAAGATCCCCCAGAGTCCAGGAGCTGGACGGGGACACCCTCAGCCCTCATAACAGATTCCAAGGAGAGGGCACCCTCTTGTCCTTATCTTTGCCCCTTGTGTCTGTCTCACACACATCTGCTCCTCAGCACGTCGGTGTGGGGAGGGGATTGCTCCTTAAACCCCAGGTGGCTGACCCTCCCCACCCAGTCCAGGACATTTTAGGAAAAAAAAAATGAAATGTGGGGGGCTTCTCATCTCCCCAAGATCCTCTTCCGTTCAGCCAGATGTTTCCTGTATAAATGTTTGGATCTGCCTGTTTATTTTGGTGGGTGGTCTTTCCTCCCTCCCCTACCACCCATGCCCCCCTTCTCAGTCTGCCCCTGGCCTCCAGCCCCTAGGGGACTAGCTGGGTTGGGGTTCCTCGGGCCTTTTCTCTCCTCCCTCTTTTCTTTCTGTTGATTGTCGCTCCAGCTGGCTGTATTGCTTTTTAATATTGCACCGAAGGTTTTTTAAATAAAATTTTAAAAAAAGAAAAAGGGAAAAAAAAGCCACGGAGTCCATTTTATGAATGGGGTGGGGAGAGGGCACTAAAGAGCCTCCTAAGAGAGCCTCAGGTTAGGACAGAATTGTTTGGGGAGGGAGAAAAACAGAAACAATGAATTATAGCTGCCTCACAGCCATGTATAACAATAATTGCTCCAGGAAGGTGGGAATATTTGCTTTTTTTTCTTCTGTAATCTCACCGTGTCCGTGTCCAGAACAGAGCTAGGCACACAGCAGGTGCTCAATTTTTGTTTTTCGTTTAGACAGGTTTCATTCTTTCACCCAGGCTGGAGTGCAGTGGTGCTATCATAGCTCATTGTAGCCTCAAACTCCTGGGCTGAAGTGATCCTCCCACCTCAGCCTCCTGAGTAGCTGGGACTACAGGTGCACTCTGCCATGCCGGGCTAACTTTTAAAAATTTTTGTCCGGGCACAGTGGCTCATGCCTGTAATCCCAGCACTTTGGGAGGCCGAGGTGGGTGGATCATGAGGTCAGGAGTTCAAGATCAGCCTGGCCAAGATGATGAAACCCTGTCTCTACTAAAAATATAAAAAAAAATTAGCTGGGCGTGGTGGTGGGTGCCTGTAATCCTAGCTATTCAGGAGGCTGAGGCAGAGGATTGCTTACACCTGGGAGGCGGAGGGTGCAGTGAGCCAAGATCGTGCCACTGCACTCCAGCCTGGGTGACAAAGTGAGACTCTGTCTCAAAAAAAAATCTTTGTGTGTGTGTGGAGATGAGGGTATGCACTTTGTTGGCCAGGTTGGCCTCGAACTCCCAGCCAAGCAATTCTGCCTGGGATTACAAGCGTGAGCCACCATGCCTGGCCTCAAATATTGTTGAATGGCTAGCAGTTAAGTCCTTGGGTTTATAAGCATTTCCTCAACTGTCCTCCCAAGTCCCCATAAGACAAAAAACTCATAAAATCCCACCTTACAGAAGAGGCAGCTGGCCCGGCACAGAGATGCTGTCTGCCCCGGGTCACACAGGGTGGCATCTGACACCTGTCTGAGTTCTTCACTCAGAGTCTTTAAATATAATTAGCGTATTTGACATAATGTACATTAAAAACTATAAACCTGTCAGCCTTTGTCTACTGCAAAGAATCCACTACAAATATTGGGGCAGGGATCTGTTCTTGGACCATAGTAGTGTCTCCAGACCTCATGGTCCTCTTCATTAAAACAACAGAAAATTCCTTCTGGGCCATCAGATGAGACCATGAGATAGAAGATTTCCAAGTGAAGATTTTGTTTCAAGACAGAGTCTTGCTCTGTCACTCAGGCTAGAGTGTACTGGTGCAATCATAACTGTGGTGACAGCCTCGAACTTTTGGGTACAAGTGATTCTCATGCCTCAGACAACACCCAACTAATATTTTGGTTTTTGTATAGACAGGGTCTTGCTATGTGGCTTAGGCTGGTCTTGAACTCCTGGCCTCAAGCAGTCCTCCCGCTTCAGCCTCCTAAAGTGTCAGGATTACAGACATGAGCCACCAAGTCCAGCCTGAAGATTTTTAAAAATTATTGTTAGTAGTAGTCGCCAGAGTTACTACATCCAAAGTCCCTACTAAGTTCTAAGTAGTCCCTACTAAGTTCTAAGGCAGTTTCTCAACTCATTAGAGTTGTTTTTTGTTTTTAAAGAAAAAAAGAGGCTGGGCACTTTAGGAGACCGACACGGGAGGATCGCTTGAGTCCAGGAGTTTGAGACCAACCTGGGCAACATGGGCCCCCATCTCTAAAAATTTTAAATTAAAAAAATGTTTTAACAACAAAAAGCGTTCTGGGAGTGAGGGGCTGGGGCCTGGGCGGCCTCATTCCATATACCTGTGCCGGGTTGAGGGGTTGGAGACACGTTTAGAGACCCCTCCACTCTAGGAATCCACCTCGAGAGATAAAGGTCCCGGCCCTAGCCACACCCCCAGGACACGGCCAGAGGCCACCTCCCTAGGCGGGTCCCTCCCCACCGCCAGGTTCCTGGAGCGCGTGCGGCGCGTGTGCAGGGGTAGGGGGCCGCAGGCGCGCGGACTGGAGAGGCGCGCCCCTCCCGCGTGTTGAAATTCAAAAGAGGCGAACGGCCCCCGGCGCGGCGGCGCGGCTCCGGTGGAGAGGTCAAGGCAGGGGCCAGTCGGAGGCTCCCGGGGCGGGGTCGAACCCGCGGCCAACCTGAGCAGCAGCGGAAGCTTAAAGAGCTCAGGTTCCCGCCCCCCGGCCCTACCATGGCTACAGAGCAGTGGTTCGAGGGGTCGCTCCCCCTGGACCCTGGAGAAACACCGCCTCCAGACGCCTTGGAACCTGGGACGCCGCCCTGCGGAGACCCCTCCAGGTCGACGCCCCCTGGCAGGCCTGGGAACCCATCTGAGCCGGATCCTGAAGATGCCGAGGGGCGGCTGGCTGAGGCCCGGGCCTCCACGTCTTCCCCCAAACCTCTGGTCCCCCGGCCTGGGCCAGCACCTCCCCGCCTATCCCTGGACACTTTGTTCAGCCCCATCACCCAACAGCTGCGCTACCTACTGAAGAAGGCAGATGATTTCCAGAGCTACTTGCTCTACAGGTGATGCTGGACAGGGTCCCAGGTCCCCATGGGTAAGGAGACTTGGAGGGGAGGCGACAGGATGGGTGACACACACCAGGGTCGCAAAATTACAAGCGCTAGGAGCCAGAGGGAGACAGTGGAAGAAGCTAGCATATTAGAATCCAGTTTAAGAGAATGAGGAAGACTGTAGAATTGCGGGTAGGGGATGGCTGCTATTACTGTCGTGGCAGTGTGGGCCTGGGGTTGTCAAGTCTCTAGGACTTTTTCTCCCAGTTTTTAAGTGCTGTCTTACATTTTGAGCCCTGTGCTGGCTAAACAAGACCCACCTGAGCCAAACTTGGCCTGCAGGACATCAGTTTGAGACTCCAAAGGATAATGTGATTCCCAGACCAGGTTTCCCTGTGACTCTCAATTTCAGTGTCCATTGGAATTTCCTAGGAGGCTGGGTTGGGTTTTGTTTGCGTGTTTGTTTTTGAGATGGAGTCTCACTCTGTCGCCCAGGCTGGAGTGCAGTGGTGCAATCTCAGCTCACTGCAACCTCCGCCTCCCGGATTGAAGCAATTCTCTGCCTCAGCCTCCCGAGTAGCTGGGATTACAGGCGCCCACCAACATGTGTTGCCCGGCTAATTTTTTTCTTTTCTTAGTAGAGACAGAGTTTCACCATCTTGGCCAGACTGGTCTTGAGCTCCTGACCTCATGATCCACCCGCCTTGGCCTCCCAAAGTGCTGGAATTACAGACGTGAGCCACCGCGCCTACCCGAGGCTGGGTTTTTTTGTTTTGTTTTGTTGTTATGTGTTTTTTTGAAATGGAGTCTTGCTCTGTCACCTAGGCTGGAGTGCAGTGGGGCGAACTCAGCTCACTGCAACCTCCGCCTCCCAGGTTCGAGGGATTCTCATGAGGCTGTTTTTTTTTTTTTAATGAGACAGGGTCTCGCTCTGTCACCCAAGCTGGAGTGCAGTGGGGCAGTCATAGCTCACTGCACCCTCGAACTCCTGGTCTCAAGCAATCTTCCCACCTCCACCTCCTGGGTAACTGGGACTACAGGTGCCACCATGCCCAGCTAATTATTTTTGTGTAGAGATGGGTTCTTGCTATGTTGCCTAGGCTTGTCTGGAACTCCTGGCCTCAAGCAATCCTCCAGCCTCAGCCTCCCAAAACTCTAGGATTGCAGGCGTGAGCCACTGCGCCCAGACCCTGCAGGAAGCTCTGGGTCCTAAGTGTTGTGAGACTCAGGTGTCAGCACTTTAACAAGTGTTCCAAATGGGTTTGATGCAGGTAAACCAGAAAGATGTTCAGAAAAGACCTGAAACTGGGGGCTTTTCTAATGGGTCAAAGCCAGGGATACAGGTTGGGATTGAGTAGAATGGGGAAAACTGCGGGGTGGGGAGGGGTTGTGAGGGATTCCAGGCAAAGGCCCCCTTCTTCCTTCAGCAGAGACCAAGTACAGAAGGAGCAGCTGGCCAAGGCCATGCCCACCTTCTTACAGATGTGTGAGCCCTACTTCCTGTACCTGGAGGCAGCCGCGAGAAGCATACCCCCCATCTATGGACCCCTGCAGGAGCTGGTCCGAAAGGGGGTGTGTGGAGGTTTCTTAGACCCCACGCCCCTTTCTTCTCGCAGCTCTGAGCCTGTGGGGATGGTGGAGGGGGAGGCCCACTCCTCGCAGGCCAGCTGATCTCACTGTACCCCCCTCTTGTATGCAGCTGTTAGAGATCTCCCAACAGCTGACCCTGCGCCTGGAACAGCTGGTCCTCATGTACGCTTCCTTTGGGTTCGTGGACCTGGAGGAGATGAACCCCCTTAGGTAAAATGGTAGGAGACTCAGATGGGGGGATGAAGGAGTCCAAGGCCCAGCCTCACCCCTCCATTCTCTCATGTCTCGCCAGCATCTCCTGTTTCTTTTGCGGGAGGTTCTCCATCAGCCTGTCCCATGAGGTCTCCATCTTCAGATACTGTGCCCCAACCGCCTACACTGCCAGCCGCTTCCCCCGCTACCTCTATAAGAAGATGCGCTGGCACCTGGAAGCCACCCCAGAGGCCCCTGGTCGGGGACAAGATTCCCTTGTGGATTAGTAAGTCCTCTTACCCAAATCAAAGTCCTCCCCTTTCTATGATGAATGCCAATATGACCCTCCAAACCGTCACCAGCAAAGTGAAAAGTGAGCCAGGGCCCGAGGCAGTGGCTCACGCCTGTAATCCCAACACTTTGGGAGGCCGAGGCAGGAGGATCACTTGAGCTCAAGAGTTTGAGATCAGCCTGGGCAAGATGGCAAGACCCTGTCTCAACAACAAAGAAATTCGCCAGGCGTGATGGCTGGCACCTGTAGTCCCAGCTACTTGGGAGGCTTAGGCAGGAGGAGCACTTGAGCCCAGGAATCAAGGCTACGGTGAGCTGTGATTGTGCCACTGCACTCCACCCTGAGTGGAAGCAATAATCTGTCTCTTAAAAAAAAAAAAAAGTGAACCAGGAAACTAAAGGCTTTTGAAAGGCTACCTCTATTTTCTTAAAACCCACCCTCCCACCAAAATAAAAGTTCTCATCTTAAAAGTAGGCTGGCAGGGAGAAAAGGCCTTGGAGTCACATTCCTACCTGAGAACTTCAGGGCAACTTCTGATGAGTTCCCACCTCAACTCCAAAATTAAAGCCCTCAACAGAAGTAGCTAGGAAGCTGATCACTTCTAATTACAGCTCCCTCCCCTCCTAGCTACTTTCTGTGCTATCGAGATACTTGGGAAGACACAGGCCAGAGTCCAGCCAATTCGTGCCCACAGATCCAGAAGCTGTGGTCCATCGGCCGATGGGTGCCCCTAGGACCAGCCGAGGATGACCTTTATTCATGGTAGGAGCTAGGGCAATAGCAACGTGGGCCTGGGAGCTGGAGGGGGAGGCAGAACCCCACCAAAGACAATCCACCTTCCCAAACACTTTGCTTCCCTTAGTAGTGATAGCATTTTATTGTGCCCTGAAAAGCACTTCATGCAGACCCCAGTAACAACCCATGGAGATCTATGCTATTGGCCCCATTTAACAAAGAAAACAGGGTGCTCAGAGAAGTTGTTACCTGCCCAAGGACACACAGCTAGCAGAGCGAATGGACAGGTCAGGACCAGTTATTCAGCCTCTAGGAGCCATTACTAAGTCTCTGATCAACAAGGAAACAAGTTTCCCCCGGGGGTTTTTCCCACCCGCAGCTGAAACAAAGCCTCTTTCACCTGAGCCTCTCACTCAAAGGGAGGGACTCCCGAGGGGCAGGGGGCACTCAAGTCCAGGCCTGTCTATCCCTGGCCCCCCCACCCCAGGATTTTGTGCCCGCAGCCGCTTGGGGACTACCAGCAGCTGCTGACCATCGGCTTCGAGGAGCCCACGCCCACGCTGGCCACCGACCTGCTGGTGCAGATCCTCACGGGCCAGGCAGGCCAGGCCCGGCCTCCGAGCGCAGCCGGGCCTGCGGGGTGGGCAGCGCAGGGGTCTTGAACCTGGGGAAGAGGGTAGGAGCTGGAACTTGACAGTTCCAAACTCCAGAATAGGGGGCAGGGGAGGGGCTCACTCGTTCTCGCAGTGCAGCCCGGCCTCGCCTTCCAAAGGGCCAGGCCGAGCTGACCTGTCTGCACCGAGTCCGGCTTGGCCGTGGGGCCCTGAATGCGGACACGTCAGTTTTGTGTTAAATAAAAGAAAGAAAGAGGTCACAGGCTCAGCGTCCGCTGCGAATGCCGCGCCCCTCCCCCGGGGGATTGCCCCACCCACTCGCGTGGCCTTCTGGGAAATGTAGTCTTTTGAAAGAAGCCTGGAATTCGCCAATAGGCGGACGAGAGTTTGGCGCATGCGCATAGGCGCACATGAAGCAAAAAGGGAAGTGGTGCCCGTCAACACCGGAACCCAGAAAACTGCAAGTTTAGGGTACCGGGGAAATTCAACGTCCACTGGAGGAAGAGACTTAAGGCTACGCCCACTCCCATATTTTGACCCGGAAGTTATTTATTTTAGCGTAGAAGACTACTTTTCCCGACGCGCCCCAGGAAAGTGCCCTCGATCAGTTTCCTAAGGGCCCGAGTTAGACTTTTTTTTTCTCTTCCAGCTTTTGGGACTTGGGGGCCGGACAGGTCGTCGTCTTTCTTGGGGTATCCGGGGTGCGGACAAGGTGGGAGAGCCCTACGGTATCCAAGCTTAGGATCTCTCAGCCTCTCTCTAATCTCGGACTGGAGAGGAGACCCTGGCTGAGAGAAATGAACTCACCTGCTCAAAGCTCCTGCGAGCAAGTGGCGGACCTTGGACCTGAACCGGGTACTTGTGATCGCAACCCGGTACTTGTGGCCCGTTGCAAGGAGGAAGGGTGTCCTCCTGAGCCAGGTGTCACTCAGCTGCGGGTTATACCCCTTTAATCCAAGAGGGACCCTTTTGGTTCTCCTCCCCTCCCCTCCCCTCCCCCCGCCCCCGGCAGCATTTTCATAGAGGAGACACCCAGAGCCCTGCCCTTATTTATGATTTTGAGCAAAGCACCTACCTTCCAGTCCCTGGCACATAGTATTAGCCTCCATTTCCAGATGATAAAAAAGGACGTTAGAGGTGAAATGAATCAATATTGAATGCCAACACTAGTTTCGCTCTTGTCGCCCAGGCTGGAGTACAATGGCATGATCTCGGCTCACTGCAACCTCCGCTTCCCAGGCTCAAGTGATTTTCTTGCCTCAGCCCCACGAGTAGCTGGGATTACAGGCTGATGCCACCAGGCCCAGCTAGTTTTTGTATTTCTAGTAGAGACGGGGTTTCGCCATGTTGGCCAGGCTGGTCTCCAACTCCTGACCTCAGGTGATCCGCTCGCCTCTGCCTCCCAAAGTGCTGGGATTACAGGCGTGAGCCACCGCGCCCGGCCACTATTGCTCTTCCATGGGTATTTCTGGTGACAATTTCTGACTGCATCAAGGATGTTTTTTAGTCCACAGCTGTGGTCTGAATGACATCAAGGAAATCCTGATGCTCCCTGATACCGCTTTGAGGGAGTCCCTGTGAGTTTTCCTGTGGCTCTAAGATGTTTTTCGGGGGGAGGGAAGGGTCTTGCTCTGTCACCCAGGCTGGAGTGCAATGGCGCAATCCTGGAACCTCCAACTTCTGCAAACTCTAACTCCTGGGTTCAAGTGATCCTCCCACTTCGGCCTCCTAAGCAGCTGGGAGTACAGGCAGCGACGATGCCCCTATTTTATTATTATTATTATATTATTATTATTATTGTAGAGAAGGGGGGGGTTCTTCCTATGTTGACCAGGCTGGTCTCGAACTCCTGGCTTAAGCTATCCTCCCGCTTCGGCCTCCCAAAGTGCTGGGATTACAGGCATGAGCCACCCTGCCCGGCCTTTAAGATTCTTTAGACTCGTGGGGTCCAATGGAAATATCAAGTGAGCTGCAAACGCAAATCACGTATGTAGTTTCAAATTTTCTAGTAACCACATAAAAAAATTAAGAGGTTAGGGCCAGGCGCCGTGGCTCATGCCTATAATCCCAGCACTTTGGGAAGCTGAGGCAGGCGGATCACGAGGTCAGGAGATTGAGACCATCCTGGCTAACACGGTGAAACCCCGTCTCTACTAAAAATACAAAAAATTAGCCGGGCGTGGTGGCAGGCGCCTGTAGTCCCAGCCATTCGGGAGGCTGAGGCAGGAGAATGGCGTGAACCCGGGAGGTGGATCTTGCAGTGAGCCGAGATCGCACCACTGCATTCCAGCCTGGGTGACACAGCGAGACTCCGTCTCAAAAAAAAATAAAAAATAAAAAATTAAGAGGTTAGATTCATTTTCGTGATATTTTATTTAACCTGTTATACCCAAAATATTATTTCAATGTATAATCCATGTAAAAAAATTATTGAGGTATTTTCCTTTTTTGTACTGTCTTAGAAATCTTGGCCGGACATGGTGGCTCATGCCCATAATCCCAGCACTTTGGGAGGCCGAGACAGGTGGGTCACTTGAGGTCACGAGTTCGAGACCAGCCTGGCCAACATGGCAAAATCCTGTCTCTACTAAAAATGCAAAAAAAAAAAACAAAAAAAAAAAAGGTGGGTGTGGTGGTGGGCGCCTGTGATCCCAGCTATTCAAGAGGCTGAGCCAGGAGACTCGCTTAAATCTGGGAGATGGAGGTTGCAGTGAGCCGAGATCGCACCACTACACTCCAGCCTGCGCAACAGAGCGAGACTCCATCTGAAAAAAAAAAAAAAAAGCCAGATGCAGTGGCTCACACCTGTAATCCCAGCACTTTGGGAGGCCGAGGCAGGCAGATCATGAGGTCAGGAGTTTGAGACCAGCCTGGCCAACATGGCGAAACCCCATCTCTACTAAAACTACAAAAATTAGCCGGGCATGGTGGCAGGTGCTGGTAATCTCAGCTACTCTGGAGGCTGAGGCAGGAGAACCGCTTGAGCCCAGGAGATGGAGGTTGCAGTGAGCCGAGATCGTGCCATTGCACTCCAGCCTGGGCAACAAGAGCAAGACTCCATCTCAAAAAAAAAAAAAAAAAAAAAAAGGAAAAGAAATCTAGCATTTCACATTTACAACATATCTCAATTCAGACTAGCCACAAGCAGCTCTAGACGGTCTCCTTTAAGTCAAATCCACTGTCTCTTAAGACAGGGTTTCGGGTGGGTGGTGACAGTACAGTACTGGAAGGGGAAGGAAACAAGCTTTGTTTCCTGGGTCCTGTTGCTGAGCAGCTTTCTACACCCTTGATTCTCAAACTTCCTAGTGTGCATCAGAATCACATGGAGAGTTTGATCATTAAGTCTGGGATGAGACCCAAGAAAGTGCTTTTTTTTCTCTCTCTCTTTTTTTTTTTTGGTAGAGACTTTGTCTTGCTATATTGCCCACACTGGTCTTGAACTCCCAGACTCAAGCAATTATCCCACCTCAGCCTCCCAAAGTGCTGTGATTATAGGCATGAGCCACCACACCTGGCCCCTGGAAGGCGCATGTCTAGCAATTCCCCAAGCATTGCGGATACTGCTGGTCCTGGTGCCACTACATTGAGAACTGCTGGTTTATATTTACTTCATGGTTCTCAGACTCAGCTGTATATTGTAATCACCTGGGAGCTTCAAAAAATACTGATGTCAAGCCCTTCCCCCATTCTGATTTACTTGACATATGGGGGCCTCAGTTGAGTTTAATATTCAGAAAAGTTAGAGAATCCCTCATCTATACTTAAGTAGTCCTGTCCACTCTTTTTTTTTTGGAGATGGAGTCTCGCTCTGTCACCCAGGCTGGAGTACAGTGGTGCAATCTCAGGGCTCACTGCAACCTCTGCCTCCTGGGTTCAAGTGATTCTCCTGCCTCAGTCTCTTGAGTAGCTTGGACTACAGGCATGCGCCACCATGCCTGGCTAATTTCTTGATTTTTAGTAGAGATGGGGTTTCTCCATGTTGGCCAGGCTGATCTCGAACTCCTGACCTCAGGTGATCCACTCGCCTTAGCCTCCCAAAGTGCTGGGATTACAGGCATGAGCCACTGCACCAGGCCTAATTTTTGTATTTTTAGTGGAGATGGGTTTTCACCATGTTGGCCAGGCTGGTCTCAAACTCCTGACCTCAGGTGATCCACCCACCTTGGCCTCCCAAAGTGCTGGGATTACAGGCATGAGCCACCATGCCCGGCCCCTGTCCACTCATGACATACTTAGTTCTTGGCTCCCCTGCTGGAAATTAAGACCAGCCTCTAGGTGTTTCCATTTTCCACCTTCCCAGGCTCTCTCCGCCTTTCTCTACATAGCTCCCACAGTCACAGTGAAGTATGCTGAGGATGGGGTCACTGGGCTGAGGATGGGGTCAGCTGATGAGCCCTTCATGGGCTGAGCTGCTCTTGGGTGCAGCCTTGTATCAGCATGACCTCTCTGTATTTTATGCATATGGATTTCACTAGACATTTGATGCCCCTATACAAGAGACAGAGTTGGACAGAGCCAAGAATTTGTTTTTGTTTAAGACAGAGTTTCGCTCTGTCACCCAGGCTGGAGTGCAGTGACACGATCTCAAGAGCCAAGAGTTGAAACAGCGATTCTAAAATGTTCCTGGGTTGGGTGTGGTGGTTCACACCTGTAGTCCCAGCTACTCAGGAGGCTGAGGCAGGAGGATCACTTGAGCCCAGGAGATCAAGGTTACAGTAAGCTGTGATCATGCCACTGCACTGCAGCCTGCGTGACAGAACAAGACTTGTCTCCAAAATTGAAAACATTTTTAAATTTAAACTTCCTGGGTCTCCCCTTTTCTGGTCTTAGTGAATTTTTTTTTTTTCTTAGGTTACAGATCTCACTCTCACCCAGGCTGGAGTGCAGTGGTTCAATCATAGCTCACTGTAGCCTCAACCTCCCAGGCTCAGGCGATCTCCTGCTAAGCTTCCAGAGTAGCTGGGACCACAGGCACATGCCACCACACCCGGTTAATTTTTTGTAGAGATGGGGTGGGGCAGTGTCTCGCTATGTTGCCCAAGCTGGTCTTGAACTCCTGGGATCAAGCAATCCTCCTGCCTTGGCCTCCCAAAGTGCTAGAATTACAGGCATGAGTCACCATGTCTGGTCCTCAGTGCACTTCTTTTTTTTTTTTTTAATATGGAGTCTTGTTCTGTCACCCAGGCTAGAGTGCAGTGGTGCAATCTCGGGTCATTGCAACCTCCACCTCCCGGGTTCACGCCATTCTCCTGCCTCAGCCTCCTGAGTAGCTGGGACTACAGGCACCCACCACCACGCCCGGCTAATTTTTTTTTTTTTTTTTGTATTTTTAGTAGAGATGGGGTTTCACCATATTAGCCAGGATGGTCTTGATCTCCTGACCTCGTGATCCACCTGCTTTGGCCTCCCAAAGTGCTGGGATTACAGGCGTGAGCCACCGCGCCAGGCCCTCAGTGCACTTCTAAGACACTGTAAAAATAGTCCCAGAATGTTAACTGTGCAGATACAGTTTTAGAGACAATTTAGGGTGTTCACCCACCCTCTTGAACCCCCATCCAGGGGAGAGAAATTAACCAGAGCTTGCAAATTGACAGCCACAGGCCCTATTGCAAACAGTTGTTGCTTGCCAACTTCCTTCCTTCCTCTCCTCCCGCACAACTTTAAAAGTTTTTTCTAGGCAGGGCGCCTAGAAAAAACTGGGAGGCTGAGGCCGGCAGATCACTTGAGGCCAGGAGTTCAAGACCAGCCTGGACAACATGGTGAAAACCCATCTCTACTAAAAATACAATAAATTAGCCGGTGTGGTGATGTGCACCTGTAATTCCAGCTACTCGGGAGGCTTAGGCAGGAGAATTGCTTGAGCCCAGGAGGCAAAGGTTGTAGTGAGCTGAGATCGCACCACTGCACTCCAGCCTGGGTGACAGAGCAAAACTGTCTCAAAAAAAAAAAAAAGTTTTTCCTAAATAGTCACAATCATAAAAATGCAGATTTCTCTCTTAAAAGCCAGGTTTCAGTTGCCTTTTTTATTTTTTTGAGGCAGAGTCTCACTGTGTCACCCAGGCTGGAGTGCAGTGGCCCGTTCTTGGCTCACTGCAACCTCCGCCTCCTGGGTTCAAGTGATTCTCATGCCTCAGCCTCCTGAGTAGCTGGATTACAGACATGCACCACCACGCCCGGCTAATATTTTGTATTTTTAGTAGAGACGGGGTTTCACCGTGTTGGCCAGGCTCGTCTCCAATTCCTGGCCTCAACTGATCCACCCACGTCGGCCTCCCAAAGTGCTGGGATTACAGGCGTGAGCCACCGCGCCCGGCCACGGATGCTTTTGGAAAGCAGAAACTCTTGACCCAACACCACGAATGAGCACGTCTCATAGTGAGGACCCATGAGGTCAAGAAGAACGGTGATCATTAGGAACTAATAATGTTGAGAAGCCTGAACCCTCACCACCTCTTTTTTTTAGTAGCTATTGTTTACGTTCCCAGGGTAGGAACAGCCTCTTATCACCACTGTCTAGCCAGTGCCCAGCGCAGGGCACATCGTTGGCACCAATAAATGTTGACGAGGAAGCCTGGAAACGAGAGGGTGTGAACTCGGTAAGCGCGCCACATTTTGCGCCCGGGCCGCCAGGGGGCGGTAGGACCTGGGCCAGGCCGTGTCTGGCCGTGCCGGGGGAGGCGGGCAGCCCCAGAGCAGGGCGGTAAGGGCGCATTCCCGCATTCCGGCCCGCACCTCTTGGGGTTTTCTCGGGCCTCCCTCGGCCCGCCGTGCTCCCGCCCCACCCCAGACGAAGAGGACCCAGAAAAAAACAGGCTGCAGTGCCCTGAAAGAAGAGGCTTTATTGGGGGTGGGGGGAGTGGGGCAATCGAGGCGGTAACTCCGGCCCTCTTAACAGTCAAGGGAGAGGGTAGTTCAGTTTGCAATTAGGCAGAGAAGGGCTGGGCAGTTTCACTGGCGGAGTTGTGGGTGGTGGTCAGTTTCCCAATGGGGGACTGTAAGTTTTATAGAGGGGGCTGGTCAATTTCACAAAGGCAAGTCGATTTCATCTTCCCCAATGCAGAGAGCCGACCCTTCTCCAGGCCTAATGCTAGACGCCCCCCGCCCTGTTCCTCTGACGCGTACGTTACTTCCGGCCGGGGGTCCCAGCCTTTTCAAACCTCAAGGTTTGCGCTCCTCCTGGGGACAGAGGACCAGAAGGAAGGCCGGCCTCAGGGACCTGCGCACTGCATCCAGGCTCGGGGTGGCGGTTTGGGCCTCAAGACCACCGTCTCCTCTTCACCCCGGGGATGCGTCCCAGACTGAGTTCTGACCAGAGTGGCCCTCCAGGGAGGATGCACTTTTCCCCACCAAGCGTCCTGGCACCGGAGGGGTGGGGGGACCGACAAGCGCTAGAGGCACACGGGTAAGGGGGCTCCCACCTGCTCCAGGCCGTTCTCCGAGACCTTTCTGCGGGGGGGCCAGATCACCACCAACTTTCCGTCGCCCCTGCTCGCTGCGGGGGAAGGGGCGCTCAGCTCACCAGCTGGCGGCAGCCAGGATGAAAGGCCGGCCGCACCCCTTAAACACACACAGGCGTTCACCCTCCGCCTCCCCATGAAAGCCTCCATTCAACTCCAGGCACCCAGGAACCCGAGGGAGGAGGGAGGTGAACCCAGAATGGAGAAGCAGGAGCCCGAAAATTCAGAGGGAGGACCCAGGAGTGCCAGAACCCAGTCAGGGTTCCCTGGAACCCGACAAAAAGGAAGACATCTGGAATGCCCCCACCCCCGCGCAGCCTGGGTGGTGTGGATCAGAGAGTCCATCACTCCCGGTGGAGGGGTGGATCACAGCGAGTAATGGAGCTCCAGAAGGGGTAGGCAAGAGACAAAATTGAGAGGGGGTCTGGGAGCTTGGAGGGAGAGACCCCGAGAATCGGAGGGCCACAGGAGGGGCCACTGAAGTTGGGCAATCGGTGGGGGCGGCTGGAACCCTGGGGGTCCCGGCGTTGCTACGCCCGCGGCTTACCGGTGAGGCTCGGCGTAGGCTCCTTGAACTCCGCGGTGCCATAGACGCTGCGCCGCTGGCGCTGCAGTTCCTGCTCGCGCTCGCGCACGGCGCGCACCTCCTGCTCCAGCAGTGACGGAGTGAAAGGCGGCGGGGCGCTGCCCAGCACCCGGCACCCGCCCTGCACGGCCGAGCGCGGCCGTCCCCCAGGCTCTGGCAGCCTCTGCGGGCCCGCGCCGTCCCCCGCCCCCGCCGAGGAGCCGCTCCCCGCCGCGGCCTCGAAGAAGCGCTTGAGTTCGCCCAGCGGCTGCGGCGGCGACCGGGCGCGCGGCTCGGGGACCGCGGGGCGCGCCAGCGCCGCCTGCCGGTGGGCCTCCCGCTCGATGTCCCGCTGCATCTGCGCGCCCGCCCGCGCCCGCTCCAGGGCGCGCGGGAGCGCGGGGCCAGGACCCGGCAGGTTGAGCACCGGCCGCACGCGCAGCTCGACGAGTTCACGGCCTGCGCGGCCCGGGCTCAGGCCCCGGCTCCGGCGCAGGCTCTCCTCGCGTTCGCAGCTGCGGCGGATTTCGCGCTCGATGGGCGTCTCCATGAACCGCTCCTCCGGGGGACGCTGGGGAGCCTCGGGGCACGGCGGAAAACGCAGGTGGGGGGCTTCCGAGCCTGACCTGGAGGAGGAGGTCTTAGGGCCTGGAGGGGGATGCTGCCCCTGGACCTCCGCCCTTTGCGCTTCGGACGGCCCAGGGTCGTCTCTGCCTGGCTCAGGACTCTCAAAGCCCGCAGCTGTGGACAGCCCGGGGCTCTCTGCGTCCTGCTCGACTGATGGCTCGAGGACTTCGCTCTCTTGCTCCAGGATCTCCACGTCCTTTGCGGAGGGCTTGGGGACCTCGGTGTTCAGCTCCGCAGCAGCTCTGGGGCTTCGCTGTCTGGCCCTGGGGACTCCTGGCCCTCCTCTTCAGACGACCCCAGGGTTTCGTTCTCCGGCCGGTGGGGGCCTTCGTGTCCAGGGTTGGAAGCAGTTCGGAAGCCTCAGTTCCCAACCGGGGTTTTGATTCCCAGAGCGAGGACAGAGGGCACTGTGAGGCACCTGTGGCGGCAGTGGCGGCCGTGGGTTCCAAGGCGTCGCCCGCACCGGCGGCTTCTCTGACCCGCCTCTGGCCTCCAGGAACGGCCCCCGGGGGCAGGGCCGGGCACCGCCCCCGGCACCTGCCAGGAGGACTCCCGCCCCGCCCTGGCCCCGCCCTCGGGACAGGGGCGCCTCGGTGGGGCACTCAGTTTCATCAACTAGCGCGCCCAGTCACCTCAGGGCACGGGACTTCTTGGAAGAGGGCTTCCCTAGACCCGGCCCCGCTCTCTGGGGGGCCATTCTGGGTGCTGGGTTCTACTGAGCGCACCCTGGCACTTTTTCAGAGCCATGTCCCCGTCATCGTCCCGGAGACTGGGCCCAGCAGCGCGTCGGACTGGGGTTCTGAACCACTAGCCGCTTGGTGAGGTGTCCCCCGAAGCCGTATTTTCGGGACCCGGGCAGTCCCGCTTGGTCGTGCCAGCCGGCAGGCAGCGACTCCTCAGGCCCCTGGGCCCTCCCTCCGATCCAGCCTTGCAGCGCACAGCTCCGGCCCGAGGGGGCGCCAGGAGCCGCCTTACTGGCCGCTGGGGTCTCCCTACCAATGCTTGGGCTCAGCGAGGTTCCCAGCCGCGCACCACTGCCCCCACGCCAAGCCGAGAAGCGGCTTCCCCTCTCCTCCCGGAAAAATCCGGGAGGTGTCCGCTGCCAAGGGCACTCCCGGATTGAGGGAGGAGGGAGAGACGGACACAGTGCGCCGTGGGCGCAGCTTAGCGGTTGCAGTTGAAAGGCGGTCACCTTGGGCCCGGGCGCCTGGGGAGGCCCAGACAGGAAACAGGAGGCGTCCAGGGTAGGGGGAAAGAGCAGCTGGGGCCGGATCATGCGGTTCAAGGGCAGGATCGATGCCCTTGCGCGGGCCACCCTCCCCTAGGGACGTTTTCCACTTTCCCCCTAATGGAAGCAGACTCTTCCCAGAACCTGCCCCCAACCCCACCATTCTGGGGTGCCCAGAAGGAAAAATACAGTTACCGGCCGGGCATGGAGGCTCATGCCCGTGATGCCAGCACTTTGAGAGGCCGAGGCGGGAGGATCACCTGAGGTCAGCAGTTCGAAACCAGCCTGGCCAGCATGGCCAAACCCCGTCTCTACTAAAAATACAAAAAAAAAATTAGCCAGGCCTGGTGGTGGGCGCCTGTAATCCCAGCTACTCGGGAAGCTGAGGTGGGAGAATCACTTGAACCTGGGAGGTGGAGGTTACAGTGAGCCAAGATCGCGCCACTGCACTCTAGCCTAGGCAGCAAGAGCAAAACTCTGTCTCAAAATAAATAAATAAATAAATAAATAAATAAGCTGTATACTTCTGGGAAAAAGTTTTCTCTATAGCACCTTCCCCACTGCATCATCTCCTGGTCCTTCCTCCAGCCATGCCAACTGGGCTGGGTTCTTGGCCCCCTTTCACGGGAACATTTTTTTCTTTTTCTTTTTCTTTTCTTTCTTTCTTTTTTTTTTCTTTTTTTTTTTTTTTTTTTTTTTTGCCGGTCTCAGTCTTTAATCGTGGCAGGGCCTTACGCACGCGCACACATACACACACTCAGGCTTCAGATCTTGTTGAAAGCTGCGATATCGACACTCTGCACGTGCTCCTCAAATTTAGTGATCTCCTCCTCCAGCAAGTAAGTCCCCACCTTGTCGTCCTCCACCACACACTGAATCTGTAGCTTCCGGATACCGTAGCCCACGGGCATCAGCTTGGAGGTCCCCCAGACCAGCCCGTCCAGCTCGATAGAGCGCACACAGGCCTCCAGCTGGGCCATGTCCGTCTCATCGTCCCAAGGCTTGACATCCAGCAGGATGGAGGACTTGGCCACTAATGCAGGCTTCTTGGCCTTCTCCGCGTACTGCCGTAGCCGCTCCTCCCGCAGCTGTGCCGCCTCCTTGTCCTCCTCCTCATTGTCGCTGCCAAACAGGTCGATGTCATCATCCTCGTCATCCTCTGCTGGTGAGGCTGGCTTCTTGGCCGGGGACTCCACTTGGCGCATAGGAGACACGTGCTGGGTCTGCGGGGCCGTGGCCCGGTGGCCAGGCGAGCTCTTCTCCAGCACGTTCAGCTGGGCCTCCAGCTTGGAGATGGCCTGCTGCAGCTCCTGTACCACGCCACGCAGGCTCTGGTTCTCCACTTCCAGACTGGCGATCCGGACAACGAGCTCGCTGTGGTCTCCGCTGGGGCCACTGGAGGCCCCGGGGCCTGAGCTTCCAGCCAGGGATTTCTGGATGTTCTCTCTGGCTCTCACAATGTCATGGAGGATCACGCTGGCGCCGTTCTCCTGGCGGGAGGCACCTGCCACAGGCCTGTTCATCTGCTGATAGAATCTCCTTTCTGCGTCGTCATATTTGAACTTGTCAAACCAGATCTTCTCATGTGCTAGGAAGTTTGTAGCCATTTTTCTGACGCCAGCCAAGGACGCGGCGACCAAGGAGGAGGAATCGGCGGACGCGGGAAGATTGATGAAAGGGCTCTTTTTCTTTTTTGAGACGAAGTCTCACTCTGTTGCCCAGGCTGGAGTGCAGTGGTGTGATCTTGGCTCACTGCAACCTCCGCCTCCTGAGTTCAAGCGATTCTCCTGCTTCAGCCTCTGGAGTAGCTGGGATTATAGGCGTGTGCCACCACGCCCAGCTAATTTTTTTGTAGTTTTAGTAGAGACGGGGTTTCACCATGTTGGCCAGGCTGGTCTCGAACTCCTGACCTCATGATCTGCCCGCCTCAGCCTCCCAAAGTGCCAGGATTACAGGTATGAGCCACCGCGCCCGGCTTCTGGGAGCTTTTTCTGACAAGAGCACCTATGATGTCCGTTTGGCAGATTCAATCACTGACTTCATTCCCTGTCCTCCTCTTCATTAGCTCCTTGGTCTTTGGGTACACCACCCCCTCCTGATTTCCTTCTACTTCACAAGCACCCCTTCTCAGACTTCTGTTTCACCTTCCTTCCCCTCTGGCTTCCTTGGGGTCACCTGATGAAAGAGAGGAGAGTGAAGCCAAGGTGTTTATCCCAGCCAGGCACGGTGGCTCACACCTGTAATTTTAACACTTTGGGAGGCCGAGGCAGGAGGATTGCTTGAAACCAGCCTGGGTAATATAGGGAGACCCTGTCTCTGCAGAAAGGAAGAAAGAAAGAAAGAAGGAAAGAGAGAAAGAAAGGGAGGGAGGGAGGGAGGGAAAGAAGGAAGGAAGGAGGGAAGGAATGAAGGAAAGAAGACATTTTTTAAAATTAGCTGGGTATGGTGGTTTGTGTCTGTAGGCCCAGGCACTTGGGAGCCTGAGGTGGGAGGATCATTTGAGCCTAGGAGTTTGAGGCCGCAGTAAGCTATAATAATGCCAATACACTCCAGCCTGGGTGACAGAGAAAGACCCTGTCTCTAAATAAATAAATAAATAAAATAACACTAAAAAAAGATGTTTAGCTGGGCACAGTGGTTCACACCTGTAATCCCAACACTTTGGGAGGCTGAGGCGGGCAGATGGCTTGAGCCCCAGGAGTTCAAGACCAGCCTGGGTAACGTAGTGAGACCCCATCTCTACAAAAAATGCAAAAATTAGCAGCATGTTGGTGGTGTGTGCCTACAGTCCCAGCTACTCAGGAGGCTGAGGTGGGAGGATCACCTGAGCCCAGGGAGATCAAGGCTGCAGTGAGCTGTGATCACACCACTGCACTCTAGCCTGAGCAACAGAGTAAGACTCTGTCTCAAAAAAAAAAAAAAAAAAAAAATTGGCCACGCACAGTGGCTCATGCCTGTAATCCCAGTGCTTTGAGAGGCCGAGGCAGGTGGATCACCTGAGGTCAGGAGTTCGAGACTAGCCTGGCCAATATGGCGAAAACCCATTTCTACTAAGAATACTAAAAATTAGCCAGGTGTGGTGGCGGGCACCTGTAATCCCAGCTACTTGGGAGACTGAGGCAGGAGAATTGCTTGAACCTGGGAGATGGAGGTTGTAGTGAGCCGAGATCGCACCATTGCACTCCAGCCTGGGCGACAGAGTGAGACTCTGTCTCAAAAAAAAAAGAAAAAGTTTATCCCGTGTCCCCTACCTCCAAGCCCCATTGGTGACATCCCTCTGCTACAGGCAGTAGCTCTACACAGCTCTCTCCAGGGCAAAGAGGTGGTCACAGCTGCCAGGCGTTGCTAACCCAGGGCGTCTATACTGTGCCTTGATGGTTTCCCCTCCAGCTTTATAAACTGGGTTCTATTAAGTTCTCATCAACCACCGTGTTCAAGTGCACAATCTTTTTTTTTTTTTTTGAGACGGAGTTTCGCTTTTGTTGCCCAGGCTGGAGTGCAATGGTGCGTTCTCGGTTCACTGCAACCTTTGCCTCTTGGGGTTCGAGCGATTCTCCTGCCTCAGCCTCCCAAGTACCTGGGATTACAGGCATGTGCCAGCACGCCCACCTAATTTTTTGTATTTTTAGTAGAGACGGGGTTTTACCATGGCCAGGCCGGTCTTGAACTTGTTACCTCAGGTGATCCGCCTGCCTCAGCCTCCCAGAGTGCTGGGATTACAGGCATGAGCCACCGTGCCCAGACTTTTTTTTTTTTTTTTTTTTTTTTTTTGAGAAGGAGTCTTGTTCTGTTGCCCAGGCTGGAGGGCAGTGGCACAATCTTGGGTCACTGCAACCTCCACCTCCTGGGTTCAAGCAATTCTCTGCCTCAGCCTCCCGAGTAGCTGGGATTACAGGCACCCACCACCACGCCCAGCTAATTTTGTATTTTTAGTAGAGACAGGGTTTCACCATCTTGGCCAGGCTGGTCTTGAACTCCTAACCTCATGATCCACTCGCCTCAGCCTCCCAAAGTGCTAGGATTACAGACGTGAGCCACTGCCCCCAGCCTCAAGTGCACAATCTTTCCTATTGGGACTCAGGCTCTGACAAATTTCAATCTCATGTTTTAAACATCTAGGCTGGGCTGGGCACAGTGGCTCAAGCCTGTAATCCCAGCACTTTGGGAGGCGGAGGTGGTGGATCACTTGAGGTCAGGAGTTCGAGACCAGCCTGGCCAACGTGGTGGAACCCCGTCTCTACTAAAAATACAAAAAAATTTAGGTGGGCGTGATGGTGTGGGCCTGCTACTCAGGAGGCTGAGGCAGGAGAATCCCTTGAACTTGTGAGGCAGAGGTTGCAGTGAGCCGAGATCGTGCCACTGAACTCCAGCCTGGGTGACAGAGTGAGACTCAGTCTCAAAAAAAAAAATCTACGCTGGGTGCAGTGGCTCACGCCTGTAATCCCAGTGCTTTGGGAGGCTGTGGCAGGAGGATCACTTGAGGCAAGGAGTTTGAGACCAACCTGGGCAACGTGGCAAGTGGTGAGACTCCACTTCTAATATATATATAATATATTATAAAATATCTATAATATATAATATTATATAATTATATAATATATTAATATAGAAATATAAATATTATATATATATTTATATATATAATATATAATATATAATACATTAATATATAATATATAATACATTAATATATTATATATAATATATGTATTATATTATTATTTTTTATATTTATTAATTTATTAATAATATATCAACAATAAATTATTAATAAATTAATAATATATTTATATTTATTATTATATTATGTATTTATTATTATATATTATTAATATATTATATATAATATATTTATAGACATTATTATAATATATAAATAAATATATTATTATATATAATATATAATACATTATATATAATATATTTATATATAATATATTAATATATATAATATATTAATATATTATATATATATAATCTTTATGCTGATGTCTCCCAAATTTATATCTCTAACTCTAACTGCTCCGCTAGGCTTTGGACTCATATCTAGCAGTCTCCGGTCTAATAGACATTTCAGACTGAACACTTCCAAAACCACATTCTTGGTTCTTCCAACCCTACTCCTCCTCACCATGTGTGTCAATTTCACCCATTCAGTTTTTCGTGCCAAAAAGTACCCCAGGAGTCAGCCTTAATTTCTTTCTTTAGCCACCCTCCAATTCATCAGCAAACTCTCTTGACTCCACCTCCAAACAGATTTTGGATTCATCCACTTCTCTCCATCCTTGTTCCTTCCAGCCACCTCCTCCCTCTCAAAGGTTCCCATCAAGCCACGCACAGTGGCTTGCTCATAATCCTAGCTACCCTGGAGGCTCAGGCGGGAGGATGGCTTGAGCCTAGGAGTTCAAGAACAGCCTGGACAACATAGTAAGACACCATCTCTAAAACAATAATAATAATACAAATAAAACAAAGGCTCCCACCAAATTTAGAATAAAAATACGAATTCTCTACCTTGCCCCAGCAGGCCCTGCCCACTTCTCAGGTCATATCTTCTCACACTGTCACCTTGTGTCACTTCATTTCAGCTTCGTACTTCCCTTAACCCCTCCCCCAACTGCATTCCCACCTCAGGGTCTTTGCACTGCTGTTTTCTCTGCTTGAAATGACAGTCACATGGCTGGTTCCTCTATTCAGGTCTCACCTCAAATGTCACTTCTTCAGGGAAGTGGTCTCTGATAACCCAGCCTACAAGAGCACTCCTTCTTTAGCCCCATTTCAGGTATTCTCAATAACTCACCCCCAATTGCAGTTGCCACCAATTGCTTTCATTTTTATTTTATTCTTTTTTTTTTTTTTTTTTTTTTTTTGACAAAAAGTCTCACTCTGCCAACCAGGCTGGAGTTCAGTGGCGCGATCTTGGCTCACTGCAATCTCTGCCTCCAGGATTCAAGCAATTCTTCTGCCACAGCCTCCCGAGTAGCTGGAATTACTGGTGGCACCACCGCGGCTGGCTTATTTTTCTATTTTTAGTGGAGACGGGGTTTCACCACGTTGGCCAGGCTGGTCTTGAACTCCTGACCTCATGATCCACCCACCTCGGCCTCCCGATGTGCTGGGATTACAGGCATGAGCCACCGCGCCCAGCCTTCTTCTTCTTCTTCTTTTTTTGAGAGGGAGTCTCGCTTTGTCACCCAGGCTAGAGTGCAGTGGCATGATCTCGGCTCACTGCAAGCTCTGCCTCCCGGGTTCATGCCATTCTCCTGCCTCAGCCTCCCATGTAGCTGGGACTACAGGTGCCCGCCACCATGCCTGGATAATTTCTTTTTTTTTTTGTATTTTTTAGTAGAGACAGGGTTTCACCATGTTAGCCAGGATGGTCTCGATCTCCTGACCTCATGATCTGCCTGCCTCGGCCTCCCAAAGTGCTGGGATTACAGGCGTGAGCCACCGTGCCTGGCCCCAGCCTTCTTTTTATTATTTTTTTTTTTTGAGAAGGAGTCTTGCTCTGTTGCCCAGGCTGGAGTGCAGTAGCACCATCTCGGCTCACTGCAACCTCTGCCTCTCAGGTTCAAGCAATTCTCCTGTCTCAGCCTCCTGAGTAGCTGGGATTACAGGTGCATGGCCGGCTAATTTTTTGTATTTTTAGTAGAGTCGGGGGTTTCGCCATGTTGGCTAGGCTGGTCTCGAACTCCTGACCTAAGGTGATTTGCCTGCTCGGGCTTCCAAAGTGCTGGGTTTACAGGCATGAGCCACCAGACCCGGCACCAATTGCTTTTATATTTCTTTCTATTTGTGTATTATCTGTCTCTCTCCCCATACGAGAAAGTGAGCTGCATAATAGCATTTTCTGTTTGTCTAGTTCATCTCTATACCCAATGCCCCCATGCCTAGAATAATGCCTTATTATTATTATTATTTGAGATAGGGTCTTGCTCTGTCACCTAGGCTGGAGTGCAGTGGCGTGATTACAACTCACTGCAGCCTCAACCTCCTGGGCTTAAGCAATCCTCCTGCCTCCGCCTCCCGAGTAGTTGGAATTACAGGCATGAGCCACCATGCCTGGCTCCAACATCTAAATATTTAACAGTTATAAAATCAATCTACAAACAATTAAATAGGCTGGATGTGGTGGCTCACATCTGTAATCCCAGCACTTTGGGGGGTGGATCACTTGAGGTCAGGAGTTCAAGACCAGCTTGGCCAATATGGTGAAACCCGCCTCTACTAAAAACACAAAAAATAGCCAGGCATGGTGGCGCATGCCTGTAATCCCAGCTACTCAGGAGTCTGAGGCAGGAGAATCACTTGAACCTGGGGGGCAGAGGTTGCAGTGAGCCAAGATCGCACCACTGCACTCCAGTCCAGCCTGGGTGACACAGTGAGACTGTCTCAAATAAATAAATAAATAATAAATAGAATATTTTATTTCCTCCAAAAGGTGGAAATAACTCAAATGTCTATCAATGGATAAATGGATCAGCAAAATATAGTATACTCATATGATGAAATATTATTCAGCCATAAAAAAGGAATTAAGGGGGCTGGGCACGGTGGCTCATGCCTGTAATCCCAGCACTTTGGGAGGCCGAGGCGGGTGGATCACGAGGTCAGGAGATTGAGACCATCCTGGCTAACACAGTGAAACCCCGTCTCTACTAAAAATACAAAAATTAGCCAGGTGTGTTGGCGGGCGCCTGTAGTCCCAGCTACTTGGGAGGCTGAGGCAGGAGAATGGTGTGAACCCGGGAGGCGGAGCTTGCAGTGAGCCTAGATTGCACCACTGCACTCCAGCCTGGGCAACAGAGCGAGACTCCGTCTCAAAAAAAAAAAAAAAAGAATTAAGGAACGATAAATACACGCTACATGGATGAAATTTTAAAACGTGATGCTGAGTGAAAGAAGCCAAACACAAAAGACCACATAGTGTGTGAGTCTTTTGTTTGTTTGTTTGTTGAGACCGAGTTTCGCTCTTGTTGCCCAGGCTGGAGTGCAATGGCGTGATCTCGGCTCATCGCAACCTCCGCCTCCCGGGTTCAAGTGATTCTCCTGCCTCAGCCTCCCAAGTAGCTGAGATTACAGGTATGCACCACCATGCCTGGCTAATTTTGTATTTTTAGTAGAGATAGGGTTTCTCCATGTTGGTCAGGCTGGTCTTGAACTCCTGACCTCAGGTAATCCGCCCACCTCAGCCTCCCAAAATGCTGGGATTACAGGCATGAGCCACTGCGCCCGGCCTGTGAGTCCATTTTTATAGAACTATCCAGAATAGTCCGGGCACAGTGGCTGACGCCTGTAATCCCAGCAGTTTGGGAGGCCAAGGAGGATGGATCACCTGAGGTCAGAAGTTCAAGACCAGCCTGGCCAACATGGTGAAACCCTGTCTCTACAAGAATACAAAAATTAGCTGGGCGTGATGGCGGGTGCCTGTAATCCCAGCTACTTGGGAGGCTGAGGCAGGAAAATTGCTTGAACCCAGCAGGTGGAGGTTGCAGTGAGCCAAGATTGTGCCCATCGCACTCTAGCCTGGGCGATAGAGTGAGGCTCCATCTAAAAAAACAAACAAACAAAAAAGAAAAACAAAAAGTCCAGAATAGGCAAATCCATAGAGATGGACACAGATTGGTGGTTGCCAGGCACGGGAGGCAGGGGAATGAGTAGTGATCACTTCCTTTTGGGTTGATGAAAATATTCTGAACCAGTGGTGAGGATTGCATAATATTGTGAACATACTAAATGCCACTAATGGTAAATTTTGTTATGTGTATTTTACCACGATCAAAAAGTAATTTTTTTTTTTCAGACGGAGTCTTGCTCCGTCACCCAGGCTGGAGTGCAGTGGCATGATCTCAGCTCCCTGCAATCTCCGCCTCCTGGGTACAAGCAATTCTCCTGCCTCAACCTCCCGAGTAGCTAGGACTACAGGTGTGCCACCACACCTGGCTAATGTGTATCTTTAGCAGAGGCAGGCTTTCTCCATGTTGGCCAGGCTGGTCTCAAACTCCTGACCTCGTGATCCGCCCACCTCGGCCTCCCAAAGTGCTGGGATTACAGGCGTGAGCCACCGTGCCTGGCTCAAAAAGTAATTTTTTTTTTTTTAGACAGAGTTTTGCTCTTGTTGCCCAGGCTGGAGTGCAATGGTGCGATCTTGGCTAACTGCAACCTCTGCCACCTGGGTTCAAGTGATTCTTCTGCCTCAGCCTCCCAAGTAGCGGAGGTTACAGGCATGCACCACCATGCCCGGCTAAGTTTTTTTTTGTATTTAGCAGAGACGGGGTTTCACCATGTTGGTCAGACCAGTCTCGAACTCCGCCCTCAGGTGATCCACCCACCTGGGCCTCCCAAAGTGCTAGGATTACACATATGCACCACTGTGCCTGTTCTTAAAAAATAATTTTAAAAAATGTTATCTGCCAGATGTGGTGGCTCATGCCTGTAATCCCAGCACTTTGAGAAGCCGAGGAGGGAGGATTGTTTGCGCCCCGGAGTCTGAAACTGCAGTGAGCTATGATCGCACTACTACATTTTAGCCTGGGCAACAGAGTGAGACCCCCATCTCTAAAAAAATAAAACAGTCTCCAGCCTGTGTGCTATGCAATGGTGCTCTCCTGTGGGTGAGTCTTGGCAGGCAGTCAGACTCAAGATGATTGGGGTGCCAAGTAGAAATGCCATTCTCTGGTGGCAGGGGGAGTCACCGACTCAGTACTCTCACCCCCACGCTTGACCACGCGTGTGTGAAAGTGTTTTCCGGGAGGCAGCTGAGTGCAACAAAGAGGCCAGAGGCTGGTGAATAATTTATCAGGACAGCTGATAGTACCTCCCCAGAACTGCCCTCCAGCCCCCAGCCCCCCTCTCTGGTGTGCCTACCGCCTCCCTGGCCCAAACCCGCTGGACCTGCTCTCCCGGTGCCCGCCCGCAGCCCCCCCCCACTCCAGGCAGCCAAGTCACAGCCTCCGGGGCACCTTCAGGCAAGCGGGTGGTGGGTCCAGAACTCGGAGACCAGAAAGTGAACTTCTGGGCAGAGATGGCCCTGCAGAGCCAGGTGTGGTCTCTGGCCACACCCATGTAAGTGTCTGGGGGGTCAGGGGGGCTGGTGGGCAGGGCCTTGGGAGGGGCTCATGGGGGATGCTGGCCTTGTCTGGGAGCCGAGAGCTCCAGTGGTCTCTCCTAAGGGGACCCGGGGAGTGGAGGGGTTGGCTAGCCAACCCCATAGGCTCATCAGTGTCACCCTTCCTTAAAGAGTCAAGGGGTGGGAGAGAGATATAGGCTCCCCCTGCCCCTTCCTCTTCGGGGATTTTCCGCTGCCAGGGCTGAGAACCCAAAGTCCAGCCAGGGGGTGGGGCTACTGCTGTGGTGCAGGGAGTGGGGAAGGTCAGGGTCACTGGGTTCCACGTTTTGCCCCTAAAGTCAGTGTCCAAGGTGGGAGAAAAGGCTTGAGATCCAACAGAAGTTAAAAGCTCCCAGCCTGAGAAAGACAATGGCAACATTGCAAGGATGACCTCCTTCATGAAATGGCCACCAACTCTTGCGGGTGGCCAGAAGCCCAGGCCGCCTACGTTGTTCTTCCAGAGTTAGTTAGAGATAAGCAAGATGGAATGGGGTGTGTGAAGTCTTTTCATAGCTGAGGGGTGAGAGTTTTTTAAGGTTAAAAGGGTAGAGGGGGCTTCAGAGGTTTGGAAAGAGTTTTGGAAAAGGGGCTTCCCCCCACACTAGGGACCCCAATTCGGTTCCTCACCCTTCTAGGTCCTCCATTGCATTATTCACCAACTACAAACCTGGTTGCTTAGCAATGGGAACCCGATCCCCCCCAGCAAGGAAGAGGCAGGGAGATTACATCTTGGGGGTGGTACAGGAGACCACGGGACTTCAGCCCTCCCCCAGGGGCAAACCTATAAGCACAGAATCTGGGCTTCCTTTGGGATATCTTGCAAAGCATGACTTCGTGGCCGGGCACGGTGGCTCACGCCTGTAATCCCAGCACTTTGGGAGGCCGAGGCGGGCAGATCACCTGAGGTCAGGAGTTCGAGACCAGCCTGGCCAGTATGGTGAAACCCCATCTGTACTAAAAATACAAAAATTAGCCGGGCTTGGTGGTGCACGCCTGTAATCTCAGCTACTCAGGAGGCTGAGGCAGGAGAATCACTTGAACCCAGGAAGCGGGGGTTGCAGTGAGCTGAGATTGAGCCATTGCACTCCAGCCTGGGTGACAGAGCGAGACTCCGACTCAAAAAAAGAAAGAGCATGACTTCAATTCCTTGCCCCAAACAGCATTCAGGGTCTCCAGGCTGCTCTCTTAGCTACCTTGATGGGGATTCCTAGACCTGCACCCCCACCCCCCTCGCCAGCTGTGTTCTCAGTATTTTGGATCTGATAGCTTCAAGTTCTGATCTTGGCTCCATGACCTTGGACACTGCTGCCACTTCTCAGAACCTCAGTTTTCCCATCCATAAAATGGACACATTCATATAGCTTACCTCCTAGAGTCGTTGGGAGGATTCAGTGAATTACATTGCACCTGGCACGTGTTACGGGCTAGCTAATGGTTGGCTGATTTTGTTCTTAGCTGGAATGTCAACTCAGCAAAGAGTTGACTCCACTGTGTCATGATAGAGGCAGGGAGGGGGAGGCAGAGGTGGCTGTGGGAACCTAGCGGAAACCCCGTGGGGCACTTAGAACACTATATGCTATATATAGTATATATATATCATATATATAGCACTATAAGTGCTAATAGCCTTCACGTTGTGGCCACAGAAGATCTGGAAGGTCCTAGCTGGAGTTCAGGCAATGAGGCTTACCCAGTAGGGTGACTGTTCAAATTAATAAATGTTTGAGGGTTTGATCAGCGCCCGTCCATGCCGGTGGAGATGACAGGCAGAGAGACATCGCTTTCTAGATACTGGCCTGTGACACGTGGTCAACATAGCAACATAGTCAGGGGTGCCCAATGCATGTCTGTGTTGATAAGGTTGGTGTGACACTGACTGTCCCTAATCATCCTGCAGTATGACAGTCACCCTCCAGCTTCCACGGGAGCCTAAGTGGGTCCAGAGGCCACTCTGGAGGCTGAGAAGTAGAGATGTTTTGAGGAAGACAATGACAGGGGAATCTCGAGTTAAACCTTAAATGGCAAGTCCCCCTCCTCCCAGCTCAGAGTCCAGTCCTAGGCAGAGTGACCCAGTGATCCTTGTCCCCAGGGAGGGGGGTTAGCAGGTGGAGGAGGCAGCTCTGGGGTTACCATGGCAACAGTGGGAGGGCCACAGACTCGCTTGCCCCCCCAGCGCTTGAGAAATTCTGGGTAGGAGCTGAGGTCCAGAGAGGGTGTGGGACTGGGAAGAGAAAGAGGCACACAGCCTGTTAGGGGCCTGGTGGCATTTGAGAGTTTCTGCAGGTTGGACTGGAGATGGTTATTATAATTAATCATACATATTATTCATCATGGAATTATATAAATTATGATTATTCATAAACAATGGGACTATTTTTGTAGCACTGTACCCTAAGCTTTTCCCTGCATGAATAGCTCCTTGCAAGCGTCCTCTGAGATCGGGGGTGGCAAGGACAGGGTGGTCAAGCTATTCCTGCCCATCTTACAGATGAGGAAACTGAGGCTGAGAGAGACAAAGCCAGATTTAGGGAGGGCTTTAGCCTCACCAGTCGTGGTCACTGCTCAGTTCCCCTCCCAAGACCCTCGCCCCCCGCCCAGACTCTTCCCAGGTGCAAAGGGGAAACAGAGGCAAAGTGCTGGGCTCGGGGCAATTTCCATACTGCTCAGGGATCTTGGCCAAGAGGGGGGCGTTCAAGATGGGAGCCCCTCGAAGCCCCTGCCCTCTCCCAACAGGCCCATGGCGGAGAGCTCCCTCTACCGGCAGCGGCTAGAAGTCATCGCTGTAAGTGACGCCCTCCCCGCGCCCTGGGCACCCCCAAACTTTCCACCATGCTCCCTTCTCGTCTCTCCGTCATCTCTGCGGAGAGCGCCCTCAGCTCCAGCCCCGCCCAGGGCTCCCCACACCAATTCTCCAGCCCCCTCTGCCCCCCAGTTCCTGTCTGGTCACTACCACCCTCAGAATGGGGAGCTGTGGCCCCCACACTTCCAGAGCCTGCATCGGCTATGCCTCATTCCTGAACCCCAGCCTCCCAAAAACCCCATGCCTGAGCCGCATCTCTCGGACCGCCTTTTATCAGACCGCTATCTCTCAAATCTCCCTACCTCGGAGCCCCCATCCTGACAGTCCTTCCTTGGGAACTTTCATCCCTGACTTCCTCGTCTCTCTGGACTCCCCCATCTCTGGGTCTCTACCACTCTGATCCTATCTCTGTCCTGCATCCTTCCCTCCTCCATCTCCCTGAACCCCAACTTTCCGCACGCACTTACATACCCCATCTATCCATACCTCCACCTCTGTACCCCATATTTCTGACCCCTATCTCTGTATCCCATCTCCCTGATCCCCACCTCTACACCTCAGTATCTCTGGACCCCGTGGCTGCACTCCCATCTCACTACTCACTAGCATCCTCCTTTTGATCCCCATCTCTGCACCCCATCTCTCCGGACCCCCATGGCTGCACCCCCATTTTGGATCCCCATCTCACTAGCACCCTCCTTTTTATTCCCCATCTATGGAACCCCATCTCCCTGCACCCCATCTCTCTATACCCCACTTCTGTACCCTATCTCTTCGCACTCAACTTCTATACCCCACCTATCTGCACCCCACTTCTGTACCCCATCTCACTGTACCCCACTTCTGTACCCCATCTCTCTGCACCCCCACCTCTGCACCCCATCTCTCTAGATTCCATGTCTACACTCCATTACTCTGGGCTCCCATGGCTGCATCCCCATTTCGGACCCCCATCTCACTAGCACCCTCCCCTCCTTTTTTCTTTTTTTGAGACGGAGTCTCGCTCTGTCGCCCAGGCTGGAGTGCAGTGGCGCGATCTCCGCTCACTGCAACCTGCGCCTCCCGAGTTCAAGAGATTCTCCCGCCTCAGCCTCCCCGGTAGCTGGGATTACAGGCGCCTGCTACCACGCCCAGCTAATTTTTGTATTTTTAGTAGAGCCGGGTTTTCACCATGTTGGCCAGGGTAGGCTAGAACTCCTGACCTCAAGCGATCTGTCCGCCTCGGTCTCCCAAAGTCCTGGGATTACAGGCGTGAGCCACCGCGTACGGCCGCACCCTCCCTTTGATCCCCATTTCTCTTAACCTCGTATCTCGGAGCTCCCCAGCTCTGCCCCTCCCCCGATAGCTGTCCCAAGGCCCCACCCCCTACACCCCCCATCCACAGACCCCCATTGGGCGCGGGCGAGGCCTCCGCAGCATCCCGGGCGCGGCCGGCCCCGCCCCCGCCCCGCCCCCCCCACTCCGCCCGCCGCTGAGTCAGCGCCTCCGCAGCCCCCTCCCCGCCCTGGGTGCAGACCCGCGCTGGGCCACCCCCGCCGGGCTCGCTGCCTCGGGAGCCCCGGGAGCTCCGGTGAGCCCCGCGGAGGAGGGAGGGGAAAGGGAGGGAAGAGGAGGTGGTGGAGGCCGCGCCCGGCCGGCGGGCAGCTCCGGGTCCTCTGTGCGCAGGAGAAGCGGCGGCTGCAGGAGGAGATCCGCGCCGCGCGCCGGGAGGTGGAGGAGGAGAAACTCCGCGTGGAGCGTCTCAAGGTTGGGGGCGGGCGGGGGCGCCTGCCTAGCCTGGGGAATGGAGTGGGGGGTGTCTGTGCAAGTCGGTTTGGGGGACGATAGGAGCCTCTGTCCAATTTTTGGGGGGGAGCGGGCAGTTGGGGGCGTTGGTTCCAGCTTGGCCGGGGCGGGGTATGTCTTTCCCAGCCTGGGAGGGACGAAGTGGGGTGGTCATGGGGACATTTGTTCCATTTGGGGAAAAGTCTGGGACAGTGATGCTGTTTGTCCCAATTTGGGGGAGATGGAGAGGAGCCGAAGTCTAGCTTTGGGGTAGGGAGGGGCCAGTAGGGAGGGACATTGATTTCACTTTGGAAGTGCCCGTTTCATTTTGGAAGGGTTTGGAACAAGGGATGTCTGCCCACTTGCAGCGTTGGGGGGCACTGTGGCCATGTATCCCAGCCTGATGTATGTCGCAACTGGTTGTGAGGTGGTGATAAGATACCTGCCCAGCCTGCAGAGGTCGGGAGGGGACTTTACATGGACCGGGGTAGTCTGTATGCCCAGCCCCAACTCCCTTCCCCTGCCCAGAGGAAGTCTCTCCGGGAACGTTGGCTAATGGATGGGGCAGCTGCAGTGCCAGAGCCATCCGAAGACCCCACCTCGAAGGACCCCCAGTCACCCGAGGGCCAGGCTCAGGCCCGAATCCGGAACCTGGAAGACAGTTTGTTCACGTGAGTGGAGACCTTCTAGCTCTGCCCGAACCCTGCCCCAGCTGGGTGAGATCGAGACCCTGGGCACATTCCAAGGAGGTGGTCGCTTGAGTCTAGGAGCCCAAGGAGCCTGGGGGCCCAGCTCCTAGCAGCCCTCTCTCTTCTTCAGACTCCAGTCCCAGCTGCAACTGTTGCAAAGTGCTTCCACAGGTGCCCAGCACAAGCCCTCAGGCAGGCCCAGCTGGCGCAGACAGGTGAGGGGGGAATCAGGGGAGTGGGATGGGAGGGCATGGCCAGCAGGCCTCAAGGCAGGACATGGAATCAGGAATGCAGCTTTCTCCAAGGGCAGCCTGGCCACTAGGTCTGCATTCAGATCCGCTTCCCGCTTTTACTTTGCTCTGTGGTCTTGGCAAGTCAATTTCCTTTTCCAAGCCTTAGTTTTCCCATCTCTAAAATGGGAATAACAACAGTATAGGCCAGGCATGGTGGCTCACGCCTGTAATCCCAGAACTTTGGGAGGCCGAGGTGGGCGGATCACTTAAGGTTAGGAATTGGAGACCAGCCTGGCCAACATGGTGAAACCCCATCTCTACTAAAAACACAAAAATTAGCTCGGTATGGTGGTGTGTCCCTGTAGTCCCAGCTACTGGGGAGGTTGAGGTAGGAGAATCACTTGAACCCTGGAGACAGAGGTTGCAGTGAGCTGAGATCACACCACTGCACTCCAGCCTGGGCAACAGAGTGAGACTCTGTCTCAAACAAAAATTAGCTGGGCATGCTGGCAGGTGCCTGTAGTCCCAGCTACTAGGGAGGCTGAGACAGGGAAATCGTTTGAAACCAGGAGGCGAACGTTGCAGTGAGCCGAGATTACGCCACTGCACTCCAGCCTGGGCGACACAGCAAGACTCCATCTCAAAAAAAAAATTAATTTGTATTTATGTTGATTGGAATGTAAGTGCCAAAAACAAAAGGCTTAAGTGTCCCTTGTGCATGGTAACCAGTAACTGACAAAGTAGGCCCCTAATACAGATTGGCTATGGGAATGCAGTATTGTTTAAGCACCTACTGTGTGCAAGGCCCTGGAACATAGGGCAATAAGATAGATGAGGAAGGCAGAGGTACAATGTGGAGTTTGATCCTGAAGGTAATAGAGAGCCACTGAGGGTATTTAGGGGTGGTGGGGTGGGAGCCTAGCATGCAGGGAGGCTGGAGGTGGGGATGAGGGCCAGCCTGACCTTGTCTCCGCCATCTCTGCAGGGTCACCGTCCTCTCTCCCAGTCCATTGTCGAGGCAGGTTCTGTAGGTAAGTGTGGGAGCCCCTAGGTCTGGGGGTCAGGTCACCCCAGAGCCTGGGTGTGAGAGGGTGACTCAAGGGGAGTGTGGATGGCAGTCCTTTTGTTCCATCTTAACCCTGTCTTCCCTTTTGTCCTCTCCCCTCCACCTCTGACTCCCCCAGGCCAGACTGATCTGAACAAGAGAGCCTCCCTGCCGGCTGGACTAGTGGGCACGCCTCCAGAGTCCCCCTCTGAGCCCAGGGAGGATGTCTTGGGGTTTCTGCCAGGCCCGAGGCAGGTCCCCGGGGCAGCAGGAGACTCCTCAGAAGCCAATGGCCCATGCCCCAGCCCCATCCCCACTCCAGAGCAGGGGCTAAGTCAGAGGGCAGTGCCATCCGAAGGGCGGGTGGGTGAGGCCAAAGGAGGGGGCGTGGTGAGTGTGGTGTGGGAAGGGCTGAGGGCCACAGAGGACTGTGCCACAGGGGCCACGGGCCCCGAGCTGGAGGCTAAGGTGGAGGAAGTGGTGCTGGAAGCCATCGGAGACAGGAAGGGAGCTGGTAGCCTGGAGCTCCCGGCCTGGGTGAAGGAGGACAGGGGCATCGTGGAGGTGGTCTGGGAGGGGGTGGGTGGCAGTGATGCAGAGGCCATGGGGGAGATAGGCAGGGTCCCTGAGGTCGTGCAGACTAGCTCGCCTAGGCTCCAGGAGAGATTAGAGGCAGCAGCTTCCATAGAAGGGGAAGATGTGCCCCAGGGCAGCCCTGAGGGTGATGGGCAGGGAGGCTCTGGAGGAGAGGAGGGATCCTTCATTTGGGTGGAGAGAGTGACCCTCAGTGAAGAGTGGGAGGAGCTGCTGGTGGAGGGGTTGGAAGGGCCCGAGGTGGCAGGGAGGGAGAGAGGAGATGAAAGCCCGCTGGGGGCCGAGGGGGCCAAGACGGGAGGAGGCGAGGAGACCTGGGAGGCAGAGAAGAGAAAAGCGGAAGAATCCATGGGAATAGGAAGTGAGGAAAAGCCAGGGACAGGGAGGGATGAAGCGGAGATGTCACCAGTGGTAGAGAGGAAAGGAGGAGAGAAGAAGTTGGAGCTGGAGAGCAGAGGAAGTGCAGAAAAGCTGGGAACAGAGAGGGAAGGAGGTGAGGAACCACTGGGCATAGAGAGAAAAGTTGAGGGACATTTGAGGGCAGAGAAGGAAGGAGATGAGGAAAAGCGAGGGGCAGAGGAGGAGGAGGTAGAAGAACCATTGGGAGTAGAGAAGAAAGGAGGTGAGGAAGAGCCAGAGGCAACCAAAGAACCACTGGAGGCAGAGAGAAAGGGAGGGGAGGAGACACTGGAGGCAGAGAAAAGGGGAGGTGAGGAATCATTGGAGACAGAGAAGACCCAAGGGACGGAGGGAGATCTGAATCTAGAACAAGGGTCTAGGGAAGGAAGTGAATCCCAGGCAGAGGAGATGAATGAGGCAGGGCCTCCCCTTGAGGCTAACACGGAGACAAGGCCAGAGAAGGAAGGACCCCAGCCCCAGGAGAAGCCAGTAGGAGCCCTGGAGGAGGAAGGAGTGAAGCCCCAAACCGCTGCTGAGGGCCAAGGCCCCTTGGGGGATGCCACACCTCTTCTGGCAGAGACCCCAGCCCCAGAGCAGCCCGCCGAATGCCAGCCACTGCTTCAGGGGGAGGGGCCCAGCGCCAACCCCAGTGCCCACCCTGTGCCCACCTACGCGCCTGCCCGGCAGCCTGAGCCATCTGCCCCCACCGAGGGTGAAGAGGCAAGTGGCCCTAAGCAAAAGACGTGCCAGTGTTGTGCGGTCATGTGAACCCATGCCCCTCCACCCCATGTCCAGCTCCTCTCACAGCTACCTCGGCCTCTTGGCACCCAGAAGAGGGTCCCAGGCACAGACAGGGACCACAGGACTGGCCATGGCACCTGGGAGCCAGCTAGCCTGCACGTCCACCTAAACCTGGGCTTCCAGACCCCTTGCCCACTGCCTGTAACCCTGGCCTCCTTCTGCGATGAAGCCTTTATACTTGAAAATAAAATGTGAAAGCACTCAAGACGGCTTGAATGTGTGTGTAGTCAGCACAGAATCACAGCGTCATCTCCTGGTGGGAAATTTGAGGCTTAACCCTGCTACAGTCAAAGATTATGAATCAGTGAGAGTATAGATTGAGCTGCTGTAACAAAAAGACCTCAAAGCTACAGTAGCTATAAAAATATAAAAGTTTATTTTTCTTAGTGGTTCTATCCATGCAGTCATTCAGGGATTCAGGTTCCTTTTCATTTCTTGCTCCACCTTCCCCTTGGGTATGACCAAAGCTGGATCATAGGCATGTGTTATGTTCCAGCTCATAGGCAAGGAAAGGATGTGGGGGAGCCCCCACCCAGACCCCGTGTTGGCATATGTCACTTCTGACCACATTCTGTTGTCAAGAACTCAGTCCATGCTGCACCTGGATGCAAGGGAGCTGAGATGGTGCCCAAATGCAGTGTTTTTTCTTTTCTTTTTTTTTTTTTTTTGCTTTTTATTAGTTTGTTTATTTTTGAGATAAGGTCTCATTCTGTTACCCAGCCTGGAGTGCAGTGGTGCAATCAGAGGTCCCTGCAGCTTCGAACTCCTGGGCTCAACCGATCCTCCCACCTCAGCCTCCCAAGTGGCTCGGACTACAGGTGTGTGCCATCATGCCCAGCTAATTGTTTTTGTTTTTGATGTTTTATTTTTGTAGTGAGGGGTCTTGCTATATTGCCCAGGCTGGTCTCAAACTCCTAGCTCTAAGTGATCCTTCCACCTTGGCCTGCCAAAGTGCTGGGATTACAGGCGTGAGCCACTGTGCTGGGGTCCAAATTCAGTTCTGTTACAGCGGAACAGATTTTGGCAGGCAGCTGCCACTCTCAATTTCATGTATTTTCCTTTGCTCCACCTTCCATCCGTGTCTTCCCCATGGGGGCCAAGCCCTTCTCTATAGGGGTCCTTCAATCCCAGCTCTGCCTGGCTGGGTGTCCTCAGGTAAGTGACTCAGCCTCTCTGAGTCCTCAGTGTCTTCATCCATCAAGAGGGCTAATCCAGGACTGGGGTGCAACCTGCATGAGCATCCCTCTAGCCTGGCTGGCAGCCCCCAGCCAGACGTGTGGTTCAGGCCAGAACCTGTGGCCTGGGGGGCCCCAGAAGGCCCAGCTCCTCAGGTGTGGGCAGGAAGTGCTTCTCATACCCAGAGTCAAGCGGGGCGGTGGCCTGGGCGGGCTGGGAGGACTCCATAACCGGCGGGGGCTCCATCTCCTCCACTTCCAGGATGGGCAAGTCCCCAAGGGGCTGGGCCTCAGGTACTTGCTGGGAAGAGATGAGCCTGTAATCCTGCCCCAGCCTCCCCGACCCACACCTCACCCCCTCCCCACTGCCCCAGGACTCCCCAGTCCCCCAGAGGGCTCCGACTAGCCGGCCCTTTGACTCACCTCCATGTGGGGCTGGCCTGAACTGCTGTTGGCAGGATCAGGAACTTTCTCCCAGACCCAGCGGGGCAGCACTTTGTGCCTTAGGTGGTAGCACCTGGCAAGACAGGAGTAGTCAGGGCAGCAGATCCAGATGGCCAGATGCCCCAGCCCAGGGTGCAGGGTTCATGAATGTGACTGCGCCCTGAGGCCTCCCTTCAAGCCCCCTGGAAGCTCAGCAAAATGCCCAGCTGCCTTCCCCACGTGGGTAGAGATGCATGTATCCGACAGCCTCACCTTCCAGAGGTGGCCAGGCTCAGGCCACACCCCAACAGGAACAAGCCCCACAAGAATAGGATGCCCGGCAGAACTTTCCACCTCAGGGTGTTATCTGGTAGGGTAGGGAAGAGATCATTCTTAATTTTTTATTTTATTTTATTTTTTATTTTTATTTTTGAGACAGAGTCTTGCCCTGTCACCCAGGCTGGAGTGCAGTGGTGCGACCTCAGCTCACTGCAACCTCCGCCTCCTGGGTTCAAGCAATTCTCTCTCAGCCTCCCAAGTAGCTGGGATTACAGCCGCACGCCACCACGCCCAGCTAATTTTTGTATTTTTAGTAGAGATGGGGTTTCACCACATTGGCCAGGCTGGTCTCGAACTCCTGACCTCAACTGATCCACCCGCCTCGGCCTCCCAAAGTGCTGAGATTACAGGCGTGAGCCACTGTGCCTGGCAATTCTTAATTTTTTAAAGACAGGGTCTTGCTTTGTTGCCCAGGCTGGAGCGCAGTGGTGTAATCCGTGTACTGCAGCCTCCAACTCCTGGGCTCAAGCGATCCTCGAGCCTCAGCTTCTCCAGGAGCTGGGACCGCAGGCGCATGCTACCACATCCAGCTAATTGTTTTATTTTTTGTAGAGAAGGGGGTCTCACTATGTTGCCCAGGCTGGTCTCGAGCTCCTGGGCTCAAGTGATCCACCTGCCTCAGCCTCCCAGAGTGTTAGGATTACAGGGGTGAGCCACTGCACCTAGCTTCCAAGTAATGACTCCAGATGCTACCTCTCCCCACTGTGGAGTACATCCCCTCCCTGTGGCAATCCCATCCCAACCCCCCTACCTGGTAGATGAAGCCGGAGGATGGGACCAGGAGGGCCCTGTCCAGCGATGGTAGATGCTGTCACCCACAGCTCACAGGGACCCCAAGGAAGGTCAGGCAGGGTGACACTCTGTGTGTTGCCACTCACTGGAGAACACAACCAAAGAAGTTGGGGAGGTGGTCAAGCCTACCACAGGGCCTTTGCATGTGCTCTTCCTGCTGTCTGCAACACTCTCTCCCAGGTATCCACATGGCTCCCTCCTCATCTCTTTTAGGTCTTTGCTCAAAGGTCACCTCTTCCGTGAGGCTTTCCTTGACCCCGCTCTATTTGAAATTGCACCCCCTTCACCACCCACCTTCCTTGTTTGATTCTCTTTTTTTTTTTTTTTTTTTGACATGAAGTCTCGCTCTGTAACACTCTGTTGCCCAGGATGGAGTGCAGTCATGTGATCTCAGCTCACTGCAACCTCTGCCTCCTGGGTTCAAGCAATTCTGCTGTCTTAGCCTCCTGAGTAGCTGGGACTACAGGTGCCCGCCACCACATCTGGCTAATTTTTATATTTTTAGTAGAGACTGGGTTTCACCATATTGGTCAGACTGGTCTCAAACTCCTGACCTCAGGTGATCTGCCCACCTCGGCCTCCAAAAGTGCTGGGATTATAGGTGTGAGCCACCTTGCCCAGCCCCTTGCTTCATTCTCTACTCAGCACTTATCACCATCTCATACACTGCTTAGATATTATTTAGTTTGTCTTTGCATGATCTTGGCTCACTGCAACCTCCACCTCCCGGATTCAAGCAATTCTAGTGCCTCAGCCACCTTCTGAGTAGCTGGACTACAGGCTGTGCCACCATGCCTGGCTAATTTTTGTATTTTTAGTAGAGATGAGGTTTCACCATGTTGGCCAGGCTGGTCTCGAACTCCTGACCTCAAGTGATCTGCCTGCCTTGGCCTCCCAAAGTGCTGGGATTACAGGCGTGACCCACCATGCCGGGCCTTCTATATATATTTTTAAAATTATATATAGGCCGGGCGCAGTGGCTCACACCTATAATCCCCGCACTTTGGGAGGCTGAGGTGGGTGGATCACGAGGTCAGGAGTTCGAGATCAGTCTGACCAACATGGTGAAACTGTCTCTACTAAAAATACAAAAATTAGCCGGGCATGGTGGCATGCGCCTGTAATCCCAGCTACTCAGGAGGCTGAGGCAGGAGAATTGCTTGAACCTGGGAGGCGGAGGTTGCAGTGAGCTGAGATCGTGCCATTGCACTCCAGCCTGGTGACAAAGCGAGACTCTGTCTCAAAAAAAAAAAAAAAAAATGGAACCATACCACGGAATTTTAACATCCTTTTATCTTTTTCACTAATAAAATATGACAAGCATCTTTCAATGTCAATAAATATAGATTGGCATCCTCATTTTTAATGGCCGAATGAAAGCTCGTTACATTGATAGCCAAGAGGGAATTGAGGACACCATGTATGGTCCCTGGGCCAAAGAGGCCCACGTGGGGACAAGGGGTGGGGCTGACTGATGGGTGGGTCTTGTGGGGGCTGGGAGGACAGGTCAGCAGGCAGGGAAGCTCACCATTCATGCAGACGGAGGGGCTGGTTCCACTCTGTGCACACAAGGTGTAGTGGGTGAGGTGGCCTCGAAGCTGGTGCCTTGGGACCTCTCCCCACGCTATGGCGGGGGTCCCTGGAGGGGCATCTTGGAGTCGCCAAAGCGTTGGCCCCACTAGGGGTGCTGGGGAGGAAGGCAGTAGGTCAAGGTCGGCCTGGGTTACAGAAGCCCCCCCATCCTCCAGCCCCACTCTTACCTAATTCCTCCCTGAACCCCCAGACGGAGGATGCAGAGGCCAAGCCTGAAGCAGAGACTGCGGTCACAGTGATTCGATAGGGGACCCCGACAGTGAAATTCCCTGAGTGACAAAGAAATAAAGACCAGTTAGAGTTGGCTCTCCTTCCCATGCTCATTTCCTAGGTGTCTTCACTGGGGTCCCCAGAAGGACACCCTGAGATAAGGATCTGACTGTAAGTCATTTATCTAGGAGGTAATCCCAGAAAACCCCAATAGGGCAGTAGGGGAGTGAAATGGGGAAGGAACAGGTTCTCACTGTGGACAACTGAGACGCAGTCCCATGGGGGACCTCTAGGGGCCAGCAGAGAGCAGGCATCGCAGAGTCAGCCCAGCTCAGGGGGACGGAGCTGGGGTATTTATCCACCAAGCCTCATTAGTCATGCTGAGGGCTGTTCCTGAGGGCTCTTCTCAATATTTCCATCTTGCTTCTCAGGCAGGCAAAATGCCTCAGTGACCAGAAAAAGCCCTTAGGCCAGGAAACAAGTGTGGGCAGCTGGGAGAGAGGCCTAAAACCTCTGAGGTGGTCAAACAGATATGAGCAGGCAACTGACAGCACCTACCATGGTAGCTGAGGGTGCTGCACTCTCTCCCCTAAACCCTATCACATCCACATAGCCTTCCCCAACTGGGAATTTTCCATAATTGGGCCTTCGCTTCTTTGGTTCATATATCCTTGTGGGTCTTGGGACTGTGTCCTAAATTTCTTACCCAACATCTTCACAGTTCTTCCAAGTTCATTAATTAATTAATTTATTTATTTATTTATTTATTTATAAAGATTTCTTGCCAGGTACCGTGGCTCATGCCTGTCATCCCAGCACTTTGGGAGGCCAAGGCAGGTGGATTGCCTGAGCTCAGGAGTTCAAGAACAGCCTGGGCAACATGGAGAAACCCCACCTCTACAAAAAATACAAAAACTGGCTGGGCTTGGTGGCGCATGCCTGTAATACCAGCTCCTCAGGGCGCTGAGGTGGGAGGATTGCTTGAGCCATGGAGGTCGACGCTGCAGTGAGCTGAGATCACGCCACTGCACTCCAGCCTGGCTGACAGAGTGAGACTCATCTCTTAAAAAAAAAAAAATGCCGGGTGCGGTGGCTCATGCCTGAAATCCCAGCACTTTGGGAGGCTGAGGAGGGCAGATCACGAGGTCAAGAGATCGAGACCATCCTGGCTAATATGGTGAAACTCCGTTCCTACTAAAAATACAAAAAAAAAAAAAAATTAGCCGGGCGTGGTGGCGGGCGCCTGTACTCCCAGTTGCTCGGGAGGCTGAGGCAGGAGAATGGCGTGAACCCAGGAGGTGGAGCTTGCAGTGAGCCGATATCGCACCACTGCACTCCAGCCTGGGCGACAGAGCAAGACTCCAAAAAAAAAAAAAAAAAAAGGGCCAGGCATGGTGGCTCACCCCTGTCATCCCATCATTTTGGGAGGCCAATGCGGGTGGATCTCTTGAGGTCAGGAGTTTGACACCAGCCTAGCCAACATGGTGAAACCCCGTCTCTACTAAAAATAAAAAAATTAGCTGGGCATGGCGGTGGGGGCCTGTGATCCCAGTCACTCCCCAGAGGCTGAGGCACGAGAATCGCTTGAACCCGGGAGGTGAAGGCTGCAGTGAGCTGAGATCACACCATTGCACTCCAGCCTGGGTGACAGAGCCAGCCTCCATCTCAAAAAAAAAAAAAAGAAAAGTTAGGCTGGGCATAGTGGCTCATGCCTGTAATCCCAGCACTTTGGGAGGCCAAGGCAGGCAGATCACTTGAGGTCAGGAGTTGGAGACCAGCCAAACCAACATGGTGAAACCCCGTCTCTACTTAAAAAAAAAAAAAAAAAATTAACCGATTGTGGTGGTACGCTCCCATAGTCCCAGCTACTCGGGAAGCTGAGTCACGAGAATCACTTGAACCCAGGAGATGGAAGTTGCAGTGAGCTGAGATGGCACCATTGCACTCTAGCCTGGGCCACAGAGTGGGATCTTGCCTCCAAAAAGCAAAAAAAAAAGTCTTGTGTGAATTCACGCTATTTATTTATTTATTTATTTATTTTTTGAGACTGAGTCTCACTCTGTCACCCAGGCTAGAGTGCAGTGGCGCAATCTCGGCTCACTGCAACCTCCACCTCCCAGGTTCAAGCGATTCTCCTGCCTCAGCCTCCCGAGTAGCTGGGACTACAGGCATGTGCCACCACGCCCCACTAATTTTTGTATTTTTAGTAGAGACGGGGTTTCACTATGTTGGCCAGGCTGGTGTCCAACTCCTGACCTCAGGTGATCCGCCCCTTTCGGCCTCCCAAAGTGCTGAGATTACAGGCATGAGCCACCAAGCCCGGCCATCACGCTACTTTAATCATAGCACTCCCTCTTACAAGTCCACCCATCCGTCTGCTCTAACAGCGGGGATGGAGACCCAGGTGTCCCAGGGCCTCACCTGGTAACAGAGCACTGAGGTTCCCAGGGGGAAGCCGGACCCAGTTGAGTTTCTCCAGGGGGTCCCCATCTCGAGCCCAGTCCACTACATGCTCCAGTGGTTCCCCAGGCCCCGGTTGCCAGGTCACCAGTAGCTCCGTGCTCCCAGCGATGCTGCTGACTGCCACGCTACGGGGGGCAGAGGCTGAATCTGGAGGGTGGAGAGAAGTCTCAGCTGCCCACTCAGGAAGTCACTTCCCACCCCTCCAGGGCACCGAGCTGAGGAAGGTCACAGTCTCTTACCCAAGCAGACCAAAGAGAGGTTGGTGAGAGGCTCCCAGCTTGTGGCGTTGACAGCGGACACCCTGGCCCACTCCGCCCCACTGGGAATTAGGGAGCAGCAGCAGGTAATTCCTTCTGGACTCAGCTCACGACCTCCAACCCAGAACCAGACTTTGTAGCTCACCTGCACACAGGGCCCTGGGGCCTGAGAGATGAAGGGAAAAAGGGGTTAATGTCTCCCATTAATCACGCACATATATGTGTCTCCCTGAGGTCACCTGATAAACCACCGGTCAGTGAAGCATTTTTTGTTTGTTTGTTTGTTTGTTTTTTGAGACGGAGTCTTCATTCTGTTACCCAGACTGGAGTGAAGTGGCGTGATCTCGGCTCACTGCAACCTTCACCTCCCGGGTTCAAGCGATGTTCCTGCCTCAGCCTCCTGAGTAGCTGGGATTACAGGCGCCTGCCATCACGCCCGGCTAATTTTTGTATTTTTAGTAGAGACGGGGTTTCACCATGTTGGCCAGGCTGGTCTCAAACTCCTGACCTCAAGTGATCTGCCTGCCTCAGCCTCCCAAAGTGCTAGGATTACAGGCGTGAGTCAGCAAACCTGGCCAGGTGCAAAATTTAAAAGGGAGTGGGGGATACCAAAAACCCAATAAGTGAGATAAATAATATTTTAATGCAGTATTGTAATAAATGAAAATTAATGCCTAAAAACCCATGACAAACAAAATATCAACTTTTTTTTTTTTTTTGAGACAGAGTCTCGCTCTGTCGCCCAGGCTGGAGTGCAGTGGCGCCATCTCGGCTCACTGCAAGCTCTGCCTCCCGGGTTCACGCCATTCGCCTGCCTCAGCCTCCCCAGTACCTGGGACTACAGGCGCCTGCCACCACGTCCGGCTAATTTTTTGTATTTTTAGTAGAGACGGGGTTTCACATGTTAGCCAGGATGGTCTTGATCTCCTGACCTTGTCTCTTAAAAAAAAAATCCGCCCGTCTCGGCCTCCCAAAGTGCTGGGATTACAGGCGTGAGCCACCACGCCCAGCCATCTTTTTTTTTTTTTTCTTTTTGACATAAGTTCTCACTATTGTACAGGCTGAAGTGCGGTGGTGCAATCATAGCTCACTGCAGCCTCAACATCCTAGGCTGAAGTGATCCTCCCACCTCAGCCTCCCCAGTAGCTGGGACTATAGACGCATGCCACCACACCCCGCTAATTTTTTTTTTTTTTTTTGGAGACAGAGTCTCATTCTGTCACCCAGGCTGGAGTGCAGTGGCGCAATCTGAGCTCACTGCAACCTCCCCGGGTTCAGGAGATTCTCCTGCCTCAGCCTCCTAAGTAGCTGGGATTACAGGTGCCTGCCACCACGCCCGGCTAATTTGTGTATTTTTAGTAGAGATGGGGGTTTCACCATCTTGGCCAGGCTGGTCTTGAACTCCTGACCTTATGATCCACCCGCCTCGGCCTCCCAAAGTGTTGGGATTACAGGCTGAGCCACTGTGCCCGGCCCCTGGTAATGTTTTATTCTCTGTATAGATGGGTAGCTTGCTATGTTGCCCAGGCTGGTCTCGAACTCCTGGCCTCAAGTGGTCCTCCTGCCTCAGACTCTCAAAGTGCTGGGATTACAGGTATGAGCCACCCACTCGGTCCAAAATATCAAGATTTTAAAGTAAAAACAGGATTTGATCCTGCACCTGTGTGACCCTACCCTGCTCACCTCCCTAACCCTGGTCTTGGTTCCAATCAAACTGTATTTCTGAAAACAGGCAGTTGGTCCTTGAACTCTAGTTTGCTGATTTAATTTTTTAAAATATCGGCCAGGCACGGTGGCTCACACCTGTAATCCCAGCACTTTGGGAGGCCGAGTGGGCAGATCACCTGATTTCAGGAGTTCGAGACCAGCCTGGCCAACATGGTGAAACCTCGTCTCTACTAAAAATACAAAAATTAGCCGGGTGTGGTGGCGGGCGCCTATAATCACAGCTACTCAGGAGGCTGAGGCAGGAGAATCGCTTGAACCCAGGAGGCGGAGGTTGCGGTGAGCCAAGATCGCCCCATTGCACTCCAGCCTGGGCAACAAGAGTGACACTCCATCTCAAATACATAAATAAATAAAAGATACTGGATTGTGTGGTCTAAGAAGGTGGAAAACCACACCTGTCATCGTGTTCCTTTGCTTATTTACTGAGAGCAAGGGTCAAGCAATGCCACCTGGCACATAGCAGGTGCTTCACAGATTTGAATCAGTGAGGATAATTGCACCTTGTCAGCCATTTTATAATACCTTTTTTTTTTTTTTTTTTGTGAGACAGAGTCTTGCTCTTGTTGCCCAGACTGGAGTGCAGTGGCTCGAGCTCAGCTCACTGCAACCTCCACCTCCCAGGTTCAAGCGATTCTCCTGTCTCAGCCTCCTAAGTAGCTGGGATTACAGGTGCCTGCCACCAGGCCCAGCTAATTTTTGTATTTTTAGTAGAGATGGGGTTTCACCATGTTGGCCAGGCTGGTCTCGAACTCCTGACCTCAAGTGATCTGCCCACCTGAGCCTCTCAAAGTGCTGGGATTACAGGCATGAGCCACCATGCCCAGCCTATTAATACCCTTTTGATACTAGCATTTAAACTCTTAGCACAGGCCAGGCGCGGTGGCTCCCGCCTGTAATTCCAGCACTTTGGGAGGCCGAGGTGGCTGGATCATGAGGTCAGGAGTTCAAGGCCCCCCTGGCCAAGATGGTGAAACCCCCATCTCTACTAAAAATACAAAAATTAGCCGGGCGTGGTGGGGGGGCACCTGTAATCCCAGCTACTTGGGAGGCTGAGGCAGAGAATGGCTTGAACCTGGGAGGTGGAGGTTGCAGTGAGCTGAGATGAGATGACGCTGCTGCACTCCAGCCTGGGCAACAGAGCGAGACTCCATCTCAAAATAAATAAATGAATAAATAAACTCTTAGCACACTGTGTTATATTTTCTGGAGCTGAGCTCCAGTCTCGCTGTCAGGTTTTTGCATCTGCTGCCCCTGCCCGGAATATCTGCACCCATCCTTATGGCTCAGACCTCTCGGAAGCAGCTGACATTGGTGGAGACTTGCTCCATGCCCCACCCTGTGCTGACCACTTTAGCAACCCATCCTTGAATCTTCGAAGCAACCTCAAGGGGGCAGCATGGTAAACTCTGTCTTGTTTATGTCATTGGGTTTTGTTTGTTTTTTGTTTTGGAGACGGAGTTTCACTCTTGTTGCCCAGGCTGGAGTGCAGTGGTGTGATCTCGGCTCACTGCAACCTTCACCTCCTGGGTTCAAGTGATTCTTCTGCCTCAGCCTCCAGAGTAGCTGGGATTACAGGCGCCCACGACCACTCCCCGTGAAGTTTTGTATTTTTAGTAGAGATGGGGTTTCACCATGTTGGCCAGGCTGGTCTCCAACTGCTGACCTCAAGTGATCCACCCTCCTCGGCCTCCCACAGCAGTGTTGGGATTACAAGCGTGAGCCACTGCATCCGGCCTTATGTCATTGTTATTTAGGGGTTTCCTAACACGTGCAGAGAAATGTAACTGGTGCCTGAAGCTCACCTTCCATAGAAGCAAAGGTTCCTCTCCTCCAGGCGTCCCACAGAGGTTCCCTGATACCCACACATCTTTTGGAGCTGGCAAGGATGAGGAAACGGGGAACAAATGAGTGGGACATGATTGGACAGACTTCTGGGGGTGGGAGGGGCGTGGATTGAGGGCAAGCCCAGATATCCTCACCAGAAGGCGGTGTCTGGAAGGACAAAATGGGGCTCCACTCGCCCCACAAATCCTCTTCTTTCTCCATCCGGCAGCGGCCATACACTTTGTAGCCAGTGGCTAGCTCCAAATCTTGGATCTCAACAGGGGTCAGGGGTATGGTCTTCAGCTCCGGTTCCAGCTGGGGGAGAGACAGGCGAGCGTGATGGGCCCAGGGCCTGAGTCAAGGGTATTTGAACTTATCTTTTTTTTTTTCCTTTGTTTTTCGTTTTGAGACAGTCTCGTTGTGGCCCAGGCTAGAGTGCAGTGGTGTGATCTTGGCTCACTGCAACCTCTCCCTCCTGGGTTCAAGCAATTCTCCTGCCTCAGCCTCCTGAGTAGCTGGGATTACAGGCACCCACCACCACACCTGGTTAATTTTTTTTTTTTTTTTTTTGAGGCAGAGTCTTGCTCTGTCGCCAGGCTGGAGTGCAGTGGCACGATCTCAGCTCACTTCAACCTCTGCCTCCTGGGTTCAAGCGATTCCCCTGCCTCAGCCTCCCAAGTAGCTGGGATTACAGGCACGCGCCACCATGCCCAGCTAATTTTTTGTATTTTAGTAGAGACAGAGTTTCACCATGTTGGCCAAGATGGTCTCGATCTCCTGACCTCGTGATCCGCCCGCCTCGGCCTCCCACAGTGCTGGGATTACAGGTGTGAGCCACCAAGCCCAGCCAATTTTTGTATTTTTAGTAGAGACGGGGTTTCACCATCTTGGCCAGGCTGGTCTTGAACTCCTGACCTTAGGTGATCTGCCCACCTCGGCCTCCCAAAGTGCTGGGATTAGAGCTACTGCGCCTAGCTGGTACTTGAACTTATCTATCAGCAGAGTGAGCAACCATTTGTATTTGCCCAGGACCAAGGGGGTTTCCAGAACATGGGCCTGTCAAAAAAATTGCCACAGTCCCGAGCAGACAGAGAAAAGGTGGTCACTCTATGTGCTAGGTATAGCAGGAAGTGGTAACTTCTATTATTATCTCGTTTTACAGACGAGGGAACTGAGGCCCAGAGAGGGAAAGTGACTAGCCCAAGGTCACAGAGCTGGTGTGCTGGAGCTGAGCACTGAGGTAGTCAGATTCCAAAGTCTGCATCTCAGCCGGGTGAGGTGGCTCACGCCTGTAATCCCAACACTTTAGGAGGTGGAGGTGGGTGGATCACCTGAGGTCAGGAGTTCGAGACCAGCCTGGCCAAATAGCGAAACCCCATCTCTATTAAAAAAAATACAAAAACTTAGCTGGGCATGGTGGCACATGCCTGTAATCCCACCTACTTGAGGGGCTGAGGTGGGGGAATCACTTGAACCTGAGAGGTGGAGGTTGCAGTGAGTTGAGATGGCACCACTGCACTCCAGCCTGGGCAACACAGTGAGACTCCGTCTCAAAAAAAAAAGGGGGCCGGGTGCAGTGGCTCATGCCTGTAATCCCAGCACTTTGGGAGGCCCAGGTGGGTGGATCACCTGAGGTCAGGAGTTCAAGACCAGCCTGACCAACATGGAGAAACCCCGTCTCTACTGAAAATACAAAATGAGCCGGGCATGATGGCACATGCCTGTAATCCCAGCTACTCGGGAGGCTGAGGCAGGAGAATCGCTTGAACCTAGATGGTGGAGGTTACAGTGAGCCGAGATCATGCCATTGCACTCCAGCCTGGGCAATTAAGAGCAAAACGCCATCTCAAAAAAAAAAAAAAAAATTCTGCATCTCAGTGTTGCTCTGAATTGCATGAATAATCACAATTCTGAACTCTTCTTCTTCTTTTTTTTTTTGAGACGGAGTCTTGCTCTGTTGCCAGGCTGGAGTGTGGAGTGCAGTGGCACGATCTCAGCTCACTGCAACCTCCACCTCCTGGGTTCAAGTGATTCTCTCCTGCCTTAGCCTCTCAATTAGCTGGGACTACAGGCACCCACCAGCACGCCCAGCTACTTTTTTGTATTTTTAGTAGAGATGGGGTTTCACCATGTTGGCCAGGCTGGTCCCGAACTCCTGACCTCAGGTGATCCACTCTCCTTGGCCTCCCACAGTGCTGGGATTACAGGTGTGAGCCACCGCACCTGGTCAGATTATTTTTTAACTTCTTAGAGACGAGTCTTGCTATCCTGCCCAGGCTGGTCTCAAACTCTTGACCTCAAACAATCTTCCTGCCTCAGCCTCCCAAGGTGCTGGGATTTTAGAAATGAGCCACTGTGACCGGGTGATAGATTATTTTGGCAGGAGAAAAAAAATTTTTTTTTTTTGAGACTGAGTCTCACTCTGTAGCTCAGGCTGGAGCACAGTGGCCCAATCTCAGCTCACTGCAACCTCTGCCTCTCGGGTTCCAGTGATTCCCCTGCTTCAGCTTTCAGTAGCTGGGATTACAGGCGCCCACCACCATGCCTAGGTAATTTTTGTATTTTTAGTGGAGATGGGATTTCACCATGTTGGCCAGGCTGGTCTCGAACTCTTGACCTCAAGTGATCCATCCCCCTCAGCCTCCCAAAGTGCTGGGATTACAGGCGTGAACCACCGTGCCCAGCCATGGGAGGAGAATTTGTAGCTGAACAAGAGGCACATGCAGGCATTTTGAGTGGGAGGCATACAGGCTCAGGGGCAGGCACAGAATGAGTCCTGGGCTGGGTCTCAGATTAGGAGATGTTGCCTCAGTCCCCGCCCGGAATAGGGTGGGGAGAAAAGGACCCCAGCACTCACCAGGGTCCAGGCCGCCTCCTGACATCTTCGGTAGTGGAACTGGCAGATCAGAACTTTATGAGATGGCCATGTAGGTGGGGCCCAATGGACAGTGGCCTCCAGGGGGTCATCCTCGGAAAAGTCCACGTCAGGGCCCAGCCGGGGGGCGTTTGGCTTCACTGGGGAAGGGGAAACTAGGGTGTAGTGAGCCACGCCCTCCAAGAGCACCCACCCCGCATAGAGCGCCCACCCTCCTGCCACGTTACTTTGGGTTTCTAGGTTCACGAAGACGGGGGGCCAGAGAGGCTGGCCTGCCTTAGTGCCCCAGACAAGGAGTTTGTCAGACATGGTGAGCTGTTCCCGAGGAATGGCCACCCAGCTCCGTCCGGCTGCCACTGCCACAGTCTGGGTTTTGTTGGAACGGCTGTGAGGAGAGAGGCGGGGATGAGATGCACACTCGGCTAGAGCCAGGGCCACTGATAACCACCCTTGTGCCAACAGAGTGGCTGCAGCCTGCTCTGCTTGGGTTCAAATCCCACCTCTGCTGCTTCAGAGCTGTGTGACCTTGAGTAAGTGACTTAACTTCTCTGTGCATCAGTTTCCTCATCTACAAAATGAGGGTAATAAAAGTAACTGCTCTTTTTCTTTTTTTTTTTTAAGACAGTCACCTAGGTTGGAGTATAATGTCGTGATCTTGGCTTACTGCAACCTCTGCCTCCTGGGTTCAAGTGATCCTCCCACCTCATCCTCCCAAGTAGCTAGAATTATAGGCGTGTGCCACCACACCTGGCCAATTTTTTTGTGTTTTTAGTAGCGATGGGGTTTCACCATGTTGGCTAGGCTGGTCTCGAACTCCTGACCTCAAGTGATGCACACACCTCGGCCTCCCAAATTGCTAAGATTACAGGCATGAGCCACCATACCTGGTCATAACTGCTCTTTTCTCTCTCTCTTTTTCTTTCTTTCCTTCCCTTCCTCTCCCTCTCCCTTCTTTCCTCCCTCCCTCCCTTCCTTCCTTGCTTTCTCTCTCTCTTTTTTTTTTCTTTTGAGACAGATTTTTGTTCTTGTTGCCCAGCTTGGAGTGCAATGGTGCGATCTTGGCTCACCGCAACCTCTGCCTCCCAGGTTCAAGCGATTCTCCTGCCTCAGCCTCCCTAGTGGCTGGAATTACAGGCATGCGCCACCACTCCCGGCTAGTTTTGTACTTTTAGTAGAGACAGGGTTTCTCCATGTTGGTCAGGCTGGTCTCGAACTCCCGACCTCAGGTGATCCGCCTGTCTCGGCCTCCCAAAGTACTGGAATTACAGGCGTGAGCCACTGCGCCCGGCCCTTTCCTCTCTCTCTTTTTTTTTTTTTTTTTTTTTAGAGACACGACCTCACTCTGTAACTGGAGCAGTGCGATCATAGATCACTGCAACCTTGAACTCCTAGGCTCAAGCAATCCTCCTGCCTCAGCCTCCAGAGTAGCTGGGATAACAGGTGTGCATCACAATGTTCAGCTAATTTTTAAATTTTTTGTAGAAATGGGGTCTTGCTATGTTGCCCAGGCTGGTCTCCTCTAACTCTTGGCCTCAAGCAGTCACATACTGAGACCCCCATGTCTACAAAAAATGTTTTAAAAATTAGCCAGGGGTAGTGGCGCGCACTTGTGGTTCCAACTACTTGAGAGGCTGGGGTGGGAGGATCGATTGAGCCCAGGAGGTTGAGTTGCAGTCATGCCACTGCACTCCAGCCTGGGTGACAGGATAAGACCCTGTCTCAAAAACAGCAACAAAAGCACCATATATAGAAAGAGAGAGACAGGCCAGGTGCAGTGGCTCACGCCTGTAATCCTAGCACTTTGGGAGCCCGAGGCAGGTGGATCACGAAGTCAAGAGATCGAGACCATCCTGGCCAACACGGTGAAACCCCCGTCTCTACTAAAAATACAAAAATTAGCTGGACGTGGTGGCACGTGCCTGTAATCCCAGCTACTCGGAAGGCTGAGGCAGGAGAATCGCTTGAACCAGGGAGTTGGAGGTTGCAGTGAGCCGAGATCGCACCACTGCACTCCAGCCTGGCAACAGAGCAAGACTCCATTTCAAAAAAAAAAAAAAAGAGAGAGAGAGCGAGAGGGTCTCACTCTGTTGGCCAGACTGGTCTCGAACTCCTGGCCTCAAGCAATCCCCCGCACCATCCCCCTTGGCCTCCCAGTGTTGGGATTACAGGTGCAGGGACATCACGCCCAGCCTGAGGAGACATTTGAATAAAGGCCTGAAGGAGATGAGGACAGAACCATGCAGTAGCTAGAAGAACAGCATTCCAGGAAGAGGAAACACAGGGTGCAAAGACCTGGAGGCCAAACTGTGCCTGGTGTGTTTAACAAATAGTAAGAAGGGGCCAGGCGTGGTGGCTCACGCCTGTAATCCCAGCACTTTGGGAGGCCGAGGCAGGCGGATCACTTGAAGCCAGGAGTTGGAGACCAGCCTGGACAACATCGTGAAACCCCATCTCTACTAAAAATACAAAAATTAGCCGTGTGTCCTGGCAGACGCTTGTAGTCCCAGCTACTTGGGAGGCAGGAGAATCACTTGAACCCGAAAGATGGAGGTTGCATTGAGCTGAGATTGCTCCATTGCCCTCCAGCCTGGGCAACAGAGTGAGACTCTGTCTCAAAAAAAAAAAAAGTAAAAATAAATATATAAATAAGGAAATGAAATCAGTTTGTCCAACGGACGTGTCTTCCCAATGCAGCACTATTCACAACAGCCAATATATGGAATGTGTCCATCACCAGATGTATGGATCAAGAATATGTGGGGCCGGGCACGGTGGCTCATGCCTGTAATCCCAGCACTTTGGGAGGCCAAGGCAGGCAGAGTTCGGGTCAGGAGTTCGAGACCAGCCTGACAAACATGGCGAAACCCCGTCTCTATTAAAAATACAAAAATTAGCCAGGTGTGATGGCGCATGCCTGTCATCCCAGCTACTCAGGAGGCTAAAGCAGGAGAATCGCTTGAACCCTGGAGGCAGAGGTTGCAGTGAGCTGAGATCACGCCATTGCACTCCAGCCTGAGCGACAGAGCGAGACTTTGTCTCAAAAAAAAAAAAATGTGGTATACATACACGATGGAATACTATTCAACCTTAAAAAAGAAGAAAATACACTGTGCGTGGTGGCTCACGCCTGTAATCCCAGCACTTTGGGAGGCCGAGGTGGGTGGATTACTTGAGATCAAGAGTTTGAGATCAGCCTGGCTGACATGGTGAAACTCGGCTCTACTAAAAATACAAAAATTAGCCAGATGTGGAGATGCGCACCTATAATCTCAGCTACTCGGGAGGCTGAGGCACGAGAATCGCTTGGACCGGGGAGGCAGAGGTTGCAGTGAGCTGAGATCGCGCCACTGCACTCCAGCCTGGGTGACAGAGCCAGATTCTGTCTCAAAAAAAAAAAAAAAAAGGAAATCCTGTCATTTGTAACAATGTGGATGGAAATGGCGAACATTATGTTACGTGAAATAAGACACGGAAAGACAAACACCACATGTTTTCATTGATACGTGGAATCTAAAACATCTGAACTCCTCCTAGAGGCAGAGTAAACTGGTGACTACAGAGGCTAGGGGGAGAAGATGATGGCCAAAGAGTACAAAATCTCAGGCTGGGCATAGTAGCACCTGTAATTCCATTATTTTGGGAGGGCAAGATGGGAGGATCGCTTGAGCTCAGGAGTTTGAGACTACCCTAGGCAACAGAGCAAGACTCTGTCTCTACCAAAAAAATTATTTATTTATTTACTTTTAAAATTATTCTTACTTTTTTCCCTCCTCTTCCTCTTCTTCTTCTTCTTCTTCTTTCTTTTTTTTTTTTTTAATAGAGACGGGTCTCACTACGTTGCCCAGGCTGGTCTCCAACCCCTGGGCTCAAGCCATCCTTCTGCCTCGGCCTCCCAAAGTGCTGGGATTACAGACGTGAGCTACCACTACAAAAAATTTTTAAAAATTAGCTGGTCATGGTGACACATTCCTGTAATTCCAACTACTGGGAAGGCCGAGGAGGGAAAATGGCTGGAGCCCAGGAGTTTGAGGTTGCAGTGAGCTATGATCGCACCGCTGCACTCTAGCCTGGGTGACAGAGCAAGACCTCTTCTCAAAATAAATAAAATCAATACATAAATCAATAAAACTAAAATAAAAATAGAAAAGATGTGGCTTCTCTGACTCCCCCTCCCTGTACCAATTAAAACTAGGCCCCCCGCCAGGCTCAGTGGCTTCTGCCTGTAATCCCAGCACTTTGGGAGGCCCAGGTGGGTGGATCACCTGAGGTCGGGAGTTCGAGACCAGCCAGACCAACATGGAGAAACCCCATCTCTACTAAAAATACAAAATTAGCCATGCGTGGTGGCGTGTGCCTGTAATCCCAACTACTCTGGAGGCTGAGGCAGGAGAATTGCTGGAACCCGGGAGGCGGAGGTTGCAGTGAGCCGAGATCGCGCCATTGCACTCCAGCCTGGGCAACAAGAGCGAAACTCCATCTCAAATAAAAAAAAACTAGGCCCCCTTCTGGAGGTGAATGGTAACCGGGATAGCACCATGGGAATGTACTTAATGCCACTGAACTGGACACTTAAAAATGGTTAAGATCGTAGATTTTGGCCAGGCACAGTGACTCACGCCTGTAGTCCCAGCACTTTGGGAGGACAAAGGAGGTGGATCTCTTGAGGCCAGTAGTTCGAAAGCAGTCTGGGCAACATGGTAAAACCCTGTGTCTACTAAAAATATATATTTAAAAAATTAGCTGGGCATGGTGTTGCATGCCTGTAGTCCCAGCTACTTGGGAGGCTGAGGTGGGAGGATCACCTGAGCCTGAGAAGTCGCTGCAGTGAACTGACTGCCCCACTGCACTCCAGCCTGGGCAACAGGAGTAAGACCCTGTTCCCAAAACAAATTTTTAAAAATATCGTTAAGTTTTATGTTGTATGAATTTTTTTTTTTTTTGAGACGGAGTCTCGCTCTGTTGCCCAGGCTGGAGTGCAGTGGCGCGATCTCGGCTCATTGCAAGCTCTGCCTCCTGGGTTCACGCCACTCTCCTGCCTCAGCCTCCTGAGTAGCTGGGACTACAGGCGCCAGCCACCACGCCCAGCTAATTTTTTTGTATTTTTAGTAGAGACGGGGTTTCACCGTGTTAGCCAGGATGGTCTCGATCTCCTGACCTCATGATCCACCGCCTCGGCCTCCCAAAGTGCTAGGATTACAGGCTTGAGCCACCGCGCCCGGCCTTTTTTTTTTTTTAGACAGAGTCTTGCTCTGTCACCCAGGCTGGAGTACAGTGGCGCGATCTTGGCTCACTCCAACCTCTGCCTCCCGAGTTCCAGCGATTCTCCTGCCTCAGACTCCCAAATAGCTGGGGCTACAGGCATGTGCCACCACGCCTGGCTAATTTTTGTATTTTTAGTAGAGACGGAGTTTCACCATGTTGGCCAGGCTGGTCTGCAACTCCTGACCTCAGGTGATCTGCCTGTCTCGGCCTCCCAAAGTGCTGGGATTACAGGCGTGAGCCACCGTGTAGGGCCTGTTGTGTGTATTTTAACCATTAATATTAAAAAGAAAAAAAAATCCAGGACCTCTGTCTCCCATTCTTATCTTTCATTGACTCTTTTCCTCTTCCCTCACTTAGCCCAATTTGAAATTATGAGTTTCCAGGTATGATTCATCATGAAGAAACACATGGAGTCCTTGGACTGTGGGCAGGGCTTTCTGTCTACCTCTTTCACTGCAGCATCCCCAGCACCACACTGAATAATCTTTTAACATGCTCAGAGAGGTTAAGTGACTTGCCTAATGTCACACAGCAATAAAAACCAGGTTCACATTATGAAGCAACTTTCTCCTTGCCAAGCACCTAACTCTTTGAATCCTCAGACTTAACCTTCGGAGGCAGGTTCTGTTATTATTTCCCTTTTTTATTTTTTATTTTTAGTGTTTTTGAGATGGAGTCTCGCTCTGTCGGCCAGGCTGGAGTGCAGTGGTGCGATCTCAGCTCACTGCAACCTCCACTTCCTGGGTTCAAGCAATTCTCCTGCCTCAGCCTCCTGAGTAACTGGGATTACAGGCATGCACCACCACATCGGCTAATCTTTGTATTTTTAGTGGAGACAGGGTTTCACCATGTTGGTCAGGCTGGTCTCGAACTCCTGACCTCGTGATCTGCCCGCCTCGGCCTCCCAAAGTGCTGAGATTATAGGCGTGAGCCACCACGCCAGCTTTTATTTTTTAAAATTTTTTTGAGACAGAGTCTCACTCTGTCACCCAGGCTGGAGTGCAATGGCACGATCTTAGCTCACCGCAACCTCTGCCTCCTGGGTTCAAGTGATCCTCCCACCTCAGCCTCCCGAGTAGCTGGAATTACTACAGCTGGTCTTGAACTCCTGACCTCAAGTAATCTGCCCACCTCGGCCTCTCAAAGTGCTGGGATTATAGGTGTGAACCACTGCGCCTGGCCTATTTCCCTTTATTTATATTATATTTTATATTTTTAAGAGACGGGCTCTCGGCCAGGCACGGTGGCTCACACCTGTAATCCCAGAACTTTGGGAGGCTGAGGCGGGTGGATCACCTGAGGTCAGGAGTTCAAGACCAGCCTGGCCAACATGGTGAAACCTCCCCCCTCTACTAAAAATACAAAAATTAGCCAGGCATGGTGGCACATGCCTGTAATCCCAGCTACTCTGGAGGCTGAGGCAGGAGAATCGCTTGAACCCAGGAGGTGGAGGTTGCAGTGAGCCGAGACCACACCATTGCATTCCAGCCTGGGCAACAAGAGTGAAACTCCGTTTCAAAAAAAAAAAAAAAAAAAAGTGACGGGCTCTCTAAAACTCTGAACTCCTCCTGGGCTCAAGCGATCCTCCCGCCTCGGCCTCCCAAAATGCTGGGATGACAGGTGCAAACCACCTCTCCTGGCCCTATGATTGCTATTTAATAGAGAAATGAAAAGGAGACTCAAAGAGGGAAAGTGACTTGCCCAGGGTGACACAGCAAAGAAACGAGGGAAGCTAGAATTGAAGGAGTGGAGGAGTATTGGGGGAGGGGGGCAGACTCCTGGGACTTTCTTTTCTTTTCTTTTCTTTTTTTTTTTTTTTTTTTTTGAGACAGAGTCTCCCTCTGTCCCCCAGGCTGGAGTGCAGTGGCGAGATCTGGGCTTACTGCAACCTCCGCCTCCCGGGTTCAAGCGATTCTCCTGTCTCAGCCTCCTGAGTATCAGGGACTACAGGCGCGCGCCACCACCCCTGGGTAATTTTTTTTTTTTTTTTTTTTTTGTATTTTTAGTATAGACAGGGTTTCACCATGTTGGCCAGGCTTGACTCCTGGAACCTTTCAACCAAAGCAGCCTGGGGCCTGAGCGGCCACCTCCAAAGCCTGTTTCCCCACGTCACCTCCCTGTACTCACTACTTTTGGCTCTGGAGGTGTAACTCGGAGGGGGCTCCCAGGTCCCCAAGAGGCTCCCACGAGCAGTTCAAGTCGCCCAAGGGTCCAACTCCGTAGCACTGCAGTGGCCCGGCGCTGCCTGGAGAGGGAGTCAGAGGGTCTCAGGAAAGGGGGTCGAATCCCCCCCTTCCGCCTGCACACCCCAGAACTTGGACTTCTGACAATTGCAAGGTGGGGGGGCTTAGGGAAATGAGCAGCAGGAAGGGAGGCGCTAGGCACCCCTGCCCGGGCTCCGTGCAAACCCCCCCTTTCCCTGTGCTCGCCACATCCTGTTAACCACCCAGAGAGCTCCCCCACCCCGCCCCGGGGCTCCGGTTCGACCTCGCTGCCGCCCATTCCCCAGTGTCGCCGGGTCCCTGCCCCGGGAGGAGCCGAGTGGCGCCTGCACCTCTACCGTTCGCTCTGCATACGCGTGGCTTATCCTGGAGCACTGGCGCCTTCGCGGGGAGCGCAGCGGCAGCGCCCGGGACACGAGCTCCCTCCAGCACTCACCCTGGGGACGCGTCCGCTGGAAAAGCACCCACAACAGAGGCAGCAGCGCCAGCTTGGGCAGCGGCCACAGCCAGAAAGGGGCGCCCCTGCCTCCCCGCATGGCGTCCCTCGGGAGCCCCGAGTCCGGCCCAGCCTTGCCGGGTCCGCGCGGCCGCGCTGCTCCTCTTCGAGCTCTGGGTACAGCGCCCGAGGCGGCAACGGGAAGCCGAACCACCCCGGCAGGCCGCCTCCGCACCTTTCGCTCAGGGTCCCCGCCCCTTCCCCGCGACGGAAAGTCCCCGGCTGGGGCTGCTTGAGGGGGAGTGGGGAGGCGGCCTGGGCGTCTGGGGGTGGGGGCCTCCGAGGGGTGGTACCGCGTACCGCGCATCCCCGAAACCTGTCCTACGCCCAACAACCATACACACACACACACACTCTCTGCCAAAGTCTTCGAATTTTTATTATTGGAGTTTGGGAAGATTCGAATGTGCCCAGAGCTCTCCTAGGGGGGCCACCTGCCACCTTCTCTGGGGTCCACAGCCTTGGAACTCTGGCAGGGGAGTTGGAGGGAGAGGGGATGGAAAGCAGGGCAAAGGAAGCGTGCGTGCAAAGGCTGGACTGAGACAGAGGCTTGATTTTAGCTGGTCAGGGGACAATGGCCACAGTTTGGACTGGGAAGGGGGCAGGGGTCTCTGTGTGGCCAGCCTAGGTAGAGTAGGGACCCAGTTGTGGCAGTGGAGTGTGTAGGCCAGGCAAACGCATGGTTAGGGCTGGGGAGAGGTCAGGGGTCAGGATGGGGGGGTCCCCACTTGACCAGGCAGGGGCACAGCTTCCTTAGGGGCCAGGGTCATGATAGGCTGGTCAAAGGGCAGGGTTGGATAGGTGGTGTCGGGAGACTGTGCCTGAGCCCACAGTGCCTCTGTGACTTGTAGATGAATGAATGAATGTGTGAGGCTCGAAAGACAGGTGCCCAGCCAGACACTAGTTGAGTGGATGGCAGGACTGGGGCATTGGTCCTGGTGCCCACGGCTGCCCAGCCCTCAAACTAGCAAAGGCTACTGATTTCACTTTTGCTACACCCCCACTTGCAGCAGCTGCTGGAAAGGCCAGCCAGGACATCTCGGCTGCCCCGAAGAACCCCAGGGGTTCCTTGCCAGCTGGGTCGCCCCCTGTAAAAGGCCTGGGGTGACTTGGTCAGGGCCAGCCACTCGCTGGACCCCATGGCCTCATCCAGCTCGCCTGCCAGACTGTCTTCATCAGCATCTGCATCCGGGAAGGTATCTCCTGCAAAAGATGAACAGAGTTAGTGATCAGGGCTCAGCTGCTGCTGCACCCACAGTCATGGCTCCTGGCCAGTCTAGCTCTGATCTTGTGACAACAGTCATAGACATAGTTCAGAGTTTTTATTCCACCCAGTCCTGGGTTCAAATTCTGGCTCTGCCAGAGTAGGTGGGATTACAGGTGTCTGCCAGCAGGCCTGGCTGATTTTTGTATTGTTATAGAGATGGGGTTCACCATGTTGTTCAGGCTGGTCGCAAACTCCTGACCTCAAGTGATGTGCCCACCTCAGCCACCCAAAGTGCTGGGATTACAGGCGTGAGCCACCGCACCCAGCCCTGTCATTTATTTCTCCTTACTCTTTATTAATTGAGGACCTGGTACATTTGGGAGCTGGGCTGACTGAGCATGAATCCAGCTTCTCTAATCGTGAGCAAGTAAATTTACTTCTTGGAGCCTCAATGTTCTTTTCTGCAAAGTGGAAAAAAATAATTACTCCAACCTTCTCAAGTTTTATAAGGAGTTAATATTCATTAAAAAAAAAAACTTAGAACAATGTCTGGAACATGATGAGCACTCAAAAATGACTATTGAGTCCGGGCACGGTGTCTCACACCTGTAATCCCAGCACTTCCAGGGGCACATGCTGGAGGATCACCAGAACCAGGAGTTCAAGAACAGCCTGGACAACACAGCACTACCCTGTCTCTACAAATAATAAAAAGTTAGACATGTTGGCACAAGCCTGTAGTCCCAGCTACTCAGGAGGCTGAGGCAGGAGAATTGCTTGAGCCCAAGAGGTTGAAGCTGCAGTGAGCTGTGATCACACCACTGCACTCCAGTCTGGGCAACAGAGCAAGACCCTGTCTCAAAAATAATAATAATAATAATAATAATAATAATAATAATTTATTGATCACTTACTTTGTGTCAAACAACGTTTTAAGTGCTTTAGCAGGTTAACTTCTTTATTCTTCTCAGTGATAACCAGTTGAGGTGGGTGCAGTTATCACCCGTATTTTCCAGAGGAGACCACTGAGGCAGGACTCAGTAAAGAATTTGCATGGCTGGGCGCGGTGGCTCATGCCTGTAATCCCAGCACTTTGGGAGGCTGAGGTGGGAGGATCACCTGAGGTCAGGAGTTGGAGACCAGCCTGGCCAACATGGTGAAACTGTCTCTACTAAAAATAAAAAGATTAGCGAGGTATGGTGGCACACATCTGTAATCCCAGCTACTTGGGAGGCTGGAGGCACGAGAATCGCTTGAACCCAGGTGATGGAGGTTACAGTGAGCCAAGATTGCACCACTGCACTCCAGCCTGGGCAACAGAATGAGATTCTGTCTCAAAAAAAAAAAAAATAGTAGCACATGAACACACAACTATTACATTGTAGAGCTACTATCTGAATCCAAGTGGTGTGTCTTCTATGTCCACGCTCATACCTATCCTCCTTCTCACCATCATGAATATCTATTTGCCAGGTCCCTGCCCCTCATGAAGCTAGGTCTTCTGTTCCCTCTGACTCTCCTGATGGATCCCAGATTGTGCCGCTGCCCTGCTGAGACTCTGCCCTAATCTGTTTTGATTTAATCATACCACTTAATCCTGCAAGATTCAGGAACTGTGTCTCCCATTTGAAGATAAAGACACTCAGAGACTCTAATCTCAGCACTTAGGGAGGCCGAGGTGGGAGGATCACTTGAGCCCAGGAGTTCGAGACCAGCCTAGGCAACATAGTGAGACCCCTGTTTCTACAAAAAAAAAATTTAAAACTAGCCAGGCATGGTGTCAGGTGCCTGTGGTCTCAACTACTCTGGAGGCGGAGGCAGGAGAATCACTTGAGCCTGGGAGGTCGAGGCTGCAATGAGCAGTGATTGGGCCACTGCATTCAAGCCTGGGCAATGGAGTGAGACCACATCTCCAAAAAAAAGACACTCAGAGACGGAAGAAAAACCAACTTGCTGGGGAGAGGTCATGCATTAGGTGACAAACCCAGCTATGTGTATACCACACCCTTCACATTACCTGCTGGAAAGGGTTGGAAAACACTTCGGTGTTGTCTTTGCAAATGGCACGCTCCCCGCCCCCACCTGTCCTCAGACTTCCAGCCCCCATGGATGGCTTGCAACACCCCATCCCAGCTCTGCAGCTCTGCTAACTCCTGAGCCCTTGTTTCAAGGCTGGGCAGGTGTCCCTGGCTGAATGTGGCAGGACAGGGACCCTCCTCCTCCAGCAACCTCCTCTTATCTCTGTCCTTAGCTCCTGGGACCCATCCAGCCACCTGTTCCCCTTCTACATCCACTCTCTCCCCAGCCTCACCCATAGCCTCGTGGGCCAGGATGTCTGATCGTCTCCACCGGGAGCCCCCGCAGGTGAAGATGACTGCTCGGATGAATTCTCGGCCGCAAAGCCTGACCCCGTAAGGCGCTGCCCGGGCCTCAGCTCCCGGCCACAGCTCCCCGGTCAGCACCCATACCGCCAGGAGCAGCAGCAGCATGTACCTGGCCATGCTGGACGGAGATGCTTTGAACGTGAGAGTGGGCCAGTGTCTCTGCTGCCTCTTGGCCCCCCATTTATACATCGTGGCTCCCCCACACTCTGCCTGAAGAAAGCTGAGTGCCTCCCTTATCTTCTCCAGCAGAGGGGAGACAGGCACGGCCCCCCCAACCCGACCTTTCTCATGTCCCCAGCGAAGTGATAACCTTTCGCTAGGGACAGGGTGATGTGGCCCAGCTTATTGTCAACATCATTGACAGAGAGGCGAGAAGGTCTCCAACCTGCAGAGACCAGAAACGCATAATCCCAAAAGGCGGGGTAAGGTGACACAACCAGATCCCCACAACGTTAGGGTCCTGGACCTCTTCGAAGATCATAATAGCAGTGAACGCCCAGTGCAGTATGTGCTACGAGGCCAGGCACACTACTGTAAGCATTTTATTGTTTATTTGTTTGTTTGTTTGTTTAGATGGAGTCTCGCTCTGTCACCCAGGCTAGAGGTACAGTCCCAATGGCACAATCTTGGCTCACTGCAACCTCCGCCTCCCAGATTCAAGAAATTCTCCCGCCTCAGCCTCCCAAGTAGTTGGGATTACAGGCGCCCACCACCACACCTGGCTAATTTTTGTATTTTCAGTAGAGACGGGGTTTTACCACGTTGGCCAGGCTGGTCTCGAACTCCTGGCCTCAGGTGATCCGCCTGTCTCAGCCTCCCAAAGTGCTGGGATTACAGATATGAGCCACAGCCCTCAGCTGCTCAAAGCATTTTATATCTCTGTAATGTATTTGATTCTCCCAACAACCCAGGGTAATGGTTCTCAAATGTGAGTGAGCTTCAGAATCTTTGGGTAGGCTTGTTAAAACAGAAATCAGGCCAGGCGCGGTGGCTCACGCCTGTAATCCCAGCACTTTGGGAGGCCATGGCAGGAGGATTACCTGAGGTCCGGAGTTCGAGACCAGCCTGGCCAACATGGTGAAACCCCGCCTCTACTAAAAATACAAAAAATTAGCCGGGTGTGGTGGCTCATGTCTGTAGCCCCAGCTCCTTGGGAGGCTGAGGCAGGAGAATTGCTTGAACCTGGGAGGTGGAGGTTGCAGTGAGCTGAGATGGCGCCACTGCACTTCAGCCTGGGCAACAGAGTGAGACTCTGTCTCAAAAACAAACAAACAAAACACATATCTTTGTGTCCTACCTGCAGAGCTCCTGACTCAACAGGTATGGAACATATCTAAGAATCTGCATTTCCAACCAGTTCCCAGGTGACATTGATCCTGCTGGTTCAGAAACCAGACTTTTTTTTTTTTCTTTTTTTCAGAGACAGGGTCTGGCTATGTTGCCCAGGCTGGATTGTAGTGGTGGCAACATAGCTCACTGCAGCCTTGAATTCCCGGGTTCAAATGATCCTCCCACCTCAGCCTCCTAAGTAGCTGGGACTACAGGTGTGTACCACCATGCTCAGCTAATTTTTGTATTTTTTGTAGAGATGAGACCTCACAATGTTGCCCGGGCTGGTCTCAAACTCTTGGACTCAAGGGACCCAAATGCGTCAGACTCTCGAAGTGCTGGGATTGGCTGGACACAGTGGTTCACACCTGTAATCCCAGCACTTTGGGAGGTCGAGGCGGGTGGATCACCTGAGGTCAGGAGTTTGAGACCAGCCTGGCCAACATGATGAAACCCTGTCTCTATTAAAAATATAAAAATTAGCCGGGCATGGTGGCGGGTGCCTGTAATCCCAGCTACTGAGAAGGCTGAGGCAGGAGAATCGCTTGAACCCAGGAGGCAGAGGTTGCAGTGAGCCAAGATTGTGTCATTGCACTCCAGCCTGGAGCACCACGCCCAGCCCAGAAACCACAGTTTCTTTCTTTCTTTTTTTTTTTTTTTTGAGATGGAGTCTCGCACTGTCGCCCAGGCTGGAGTGCAGTGGCATGATCTCGGCTCACTGCAAGCTCCCCACTTCCCAGGTTCACGCCATTCTCCTGCCTCAGCCTCCCGAGTAGCTGGGACTACAGGCGCCCGCCACCACGCCCGGCTAATTTTTTGTATTTTTAGTAGAGACGGGGTTTCACTGTGTTAGCCAGGATGGTCTCGATCTCCTGACCTCGTGATCCGCCCGCCTCGACCTCCCAAAGTGCTGGGATTACAGGCGTGAGACACTGCGCCCGGCGGAAACCACACTTTTAAGAGCATGGGGTTATGAATTCAGGACTAAGATAATTCTCATATTACAAATGAGGAAACGGAGACACAGAAGGGTGTCCTGAGGCAGCAGATCCTAACGTTTTTGACGCCAGAAACCGGTTTCGTGGAAGACAATTTTTCCATGGATGGAGTGTCAAGTGGATGGTTTCGGGATGATTCAAGCGTATCACTTTTTTTTTTTTTTTTTTTTTTTTTGAGATGGAGTCTTGCTGTGTCACCAGGCTGGAGTGCAATGGCGCAATCTTGGCTCACTGCAACTTCTGCCTCCCAGGTTCAAGCGATTCTCCTGCCTCAGCTTCCGAGTAGCTGGGACTACAGGCATATGCCACCACGCCCAGCTAATTTTTGTATTTTTAGTAGAGACGAGGTTTCACCATGTTGTCCAGGTTGGTCCCGATCTCTTGACCTCATGATCCGTCCACCTCGGCCTCCCAAAGTGCTGGGACTACAGGCATGAGCCACCGCGCCTGGCCAAGCGCATCACATTTATTGTGCACTTTATTTCTATTATTATTATACTGTAGTTGTATATTGAAATAATCATACAACTCACCATAATGTAAAATTAGTGGCAGTGGCCAGGCACAGTGGCTCATGCCTGTAATCCTAGAACTTTGGGCAGCTGAGGCGGGCGAGTCACTTGAGGTCAGGAGTTCGAGACCAGCCTGGCCGACATGGTCAAACCCCATCTCTACTAATAGTACAAAAATTAGCTGGGCATGGTGGCACATGCCTGTAATCCCAGTTACTCAGGAGTCTGAGGCAGGAGACTCACTTGAACCCAGGAGGCAGAGTCTGCAGTGAGCCGAGATTGAGCCACTGTGCATCAGCGTGGGCGACAGAGTGAGACTTTGTCACAAAAAATAATCATCATCATCATAATAAAATAAAAATATATATATTGAGAGGCTGGGAATGATGGCTCACGCCTGTAATTCCGGAACTTTGGGCAGCCAAGGCAGGAGGATTGCTTGAACCCAAGAGTTCCAGACCAGCCTGGGCAACAGGTGAAACCCCACCTCTACAAATAATGTAAAAATTAGCCAGGTGTGGTGGCACACATCTGTGATCCCAGCTACTCAGGAGGCTGAGGTGGGAAGATCACTTTTGCCTAAGCGTTCAAGGCTGCCATGAGCTGAGATTGCATCACTGCACTCCAGCCTGTACAACGGAGCCAAACCTTGTCTAAAAAAAAAAAAAATTGAGGCCGGGCATGGTGGCTCATGCCTGTAATCCCAGCACTTTGGGAGGCTGAGGAGGACGGATCACTTGAGGTCAAGAGTTTGAGACCAGCCTGGCCAACACGGTGAAACCCGTCTCTACTAAAAATACAAAAATTTGCTGGGCATGGTGGCAGATGCCTGTAATCCCAGCTACTCAGGAGGCTGAGGCAGGAGAATCTCTTGAACCTGGGAGTCGGAGGATGCAGTGAGCGGAGATCACGCCATTGCACTCCAGCCTGGGCAACAAGAGCGAAACTCTGTCTCAAAAAAAAAAAAAAAAAGAGAGAGATAACATCCATATAAAATAAAACTAACCAGGCCAGGTACGGTGGCTCACGTCTGTAATCCCAGCACTTTGGGAGGCCAAGGCGGGCAGATCACTTGAGTTCAGGAGTTTGAGACCAGCCTGTCCACCGTAGTGTAAAACCCAGTCTCTAACAAAAATACAAAAATTAGCCAGGTGGGAAACAGGTGGTTTACAAATGTAAACCACTGCGGCCAGTCTTTCTTTTTTAAAGAGATGAGGCCTAACTATGTTGCCCAGGCTGATCTGGAACTCCTGAGCTCAAGTGATCCTCCCCCTTTGGCCTCCCAAAGTGCTAGGACTACAGGCATGAGCCACCAGGCACAGCTATGTTAATGTCAATTTCACCTCGACTTTAAAACACAGCAAAAACAAGGGCTCTGGTAAGGGGGGCAAGCTTGGCTTCAAATTCCACCTCTGCCTCTTTCCTGCTGTGTGACCTTGGCCAAGTCACTTAAACTCTCTGTGCCTTGGTTTCCTCACTTGCAAAATGGGAAAGATTTAATGAGTGAGTCAAATTTTTACAACAATCTCCTGCATGAAGTAAGTGCTGTTTAAATGTTATTTCTACTGGACACGTTCCCTTTGGATTAGAACTTCATCTCTTTGTCCTTTTCTCTGTCACAAACTCCTGGCCCCAGTTGCCTGCTGTGGATGTCACAGGCCAAGGGCAACCTTCCGGAGGCAGAGGTCACCTCTGATTGCTCTGTTTCTAAAGGGCTGGTGAATAATACTCTCTTCCCCTCGGCCTCTTCTCCAGGAACTTCCTGTAGGGAGGTACCCTCCTGCCCTTTTCTCCTGCGCCCCCAGTGCCTGGCCTGGGGAAGAACAAGCATTCAGGAAATATCTGCTGCCTGCCTGCCTGACTTAACTGATGGGCCTCAAACCAGAAGCCTCTTTTTTCTTTTTCTTTTCTTTTTTTTTTTTTTTTGACACAGGGTCTCACTCTGTCGCTCAGACTGGAGTGCAATGGAGTGATCTCGGCTCATCGCAGCCTCTGTCTCCAGGGTTCAAGCTATTCATGTGCCTCAGCCTCCCAAGTAGCTAGGACTGCAGGTGTGCGCCACCATGTCTGGTTAATTTTTGTATTTTTAGTAGAGACGGGGTTTTGCCATGTTGGCCAGGCTAGCCTCAAACTCTTGATCTCAAGTGATCTGCCCACCTCAGCCTCCCAAAGTGCTGGCGTGAGTCACTGCACCCAGCCCAGAAGCGTCTTTTGTGTCTCACATAGAATCAGAGTTTTGGGCCCAACATAGCTAGGTTCAAATCTCTGTTCCTGTGTATCCTTGGGCAAGACCCTATACCTCTCTGAGTTCATTGTGAAGATGGAGATGATAAGTATACCTGCTTCATGAGCCTCTTGGGGACTTTGGTGAAATTCTATAGAGTCCTAAGCATTCTGCACAGCACTCGTCGGTGTGGTGTGTAAATGGTGATCTGCAGAAATCTATGTCCACATCCTAAACCCTGGGATCTATAAATGTGATCTTACTAGAAAAAAGTATTTGAAACCAAGTGCGGTGGCTCACACCTGTAATCCCAGCACACTGGGAGGCCAAGGAGGACGGATCACCTGGGGTCAGGAGTTTGAGACCAGCCTGGCCAACACAGTGAAACCCTGTCTCTACTAAAAAATAAAAAAATTAGTCAGGCACGGTGGCAGGTGCCTGTAATCTCAGCTACTCAGGAGGCTGAGGCAGGAGGATTGCTTGAGCCCAGAAGGTCACGGCTGCAGTGAGCCATGATTGTGTCACCCAGCTTGGGTGACAGAGATCCTATCTTAAAACAAAACAAAACAAAACCTTAGCCAGGTGAGGTGATGTGTGCCTGTATTTCCAGCTACTTAGGAAGCTGAGGCCGGAGGAACACTTGAGCGTAAGAGTTTAAGACCAGCCTGGGCAAAATGTCAAGATCTGGCCTTTAAAAAATAGAAAATATTAGCCAGGCATGCATGCCTGTGGTCTCAGCTACTTGGAAGACCAAGGCAGGAGGATTGCTAGAGGCCAGGAGTTCCACACCAGCTTGGACAATACAGTGACACTCCCGTCTCTACAAATACAAAAATTAGCTGGGTATGGTGGTGTGTTCCTGTAGTCCCCTACACAGGAGGCTGAGGTGGGAGGATCGCTTGAGCCCAGGAATTTGAGACTGTAGTGAGCTGGGATGGTGTCACTGCACTCCAGCCTCGGCAACAGAGTGAGACCCTGTCTCAAAAAAAAAAAAGAAAGAAAGAAAAAGAAAAAGAGCTTTTGCAAATGTAATTAAGAATCTTTAGATGGCCTTGGGGGGTGGCTCATGCCTGTAATCCCAGGACTTCAGGAAGCTGAGGCAGGCAGATCACCTGAGGTCAGGAGTTCCAGACCAGCCTGGCCAACATGGTGAAACCCGGTCTCTACTGAAAATACAAAAATTAGCTGGGTGTGGTGACGGGCACCTGTAATATGAGCTACTCAGGAGGCTGATCCAGGAGAATCGCTTGAACCCGGGAGTCGGAGGTTGCATTGAACCCAGATCGCATGCCACTGCACTCCAGTCTGAGCAACACAGTGAGACTCCATTAAAAAAAAATTAAAAAGAACCTTAAGATGAGCTCAACCTGGATTATCTTCGTGGGCCCTAAATCCAATTATGAGTGTCCTTTTAAAAAACAAAAGAGTTGAAGACACAGACAAAAGAGGAAAGTTCATATGAAGACAGAGGCAGAAATTGGCTTAATGCCATTGAGGAAGCCAAGGAAGGCCTGGAGCCTCCAGAAGCTGGAAGAGGCAAGGAGGGACCCTCCCCTAGAGGCCTCAGAGGGGGCGCGGCCCTGCGACGCCTGCATTTCAGACTCCTGACAACCAGAACAGGAAGGGAATAAATGTTCATTGGTGTAAGCCACCTGGTTTGTGGACACTGGTTACAGCAGCTACAGTGAAATGAATATAGTCAGAACGGGAAATGTCACCTGCTAGGAATATGGGTGTCATGATGATTTTGTTCACTATAAAAATGCAAGCCAATTTTGCCAATTCTAAATAAAGCCCTGATTTCCAAACTTTATATATATAATATATATTTATAAGTTTATAAAATTATTATGATATACATTTATAAATTATAATATATCTATAATATACATAACATCTATAACATATAAATATATTTATATATCATATAATAAACATATTATATAATATGCATATATCATAATAAACATAATATGCATATATCATATATAAACATATTATATAATATGTTTATATATTATATAAACATATATAATATACTTATATATTGTATAATATATATTATATAAGTATACTTATATATTATAGATGTTATATATTATACTATATTCTATTATATAATATACTTATATATTATATAGAAATACATTTATATATTTATATATAAATATATTATAATTATAATAATATAGTATATTATAATATATAAATATATTCTACATAAATATATATGATATATTTATATATTTATATATATAATATAAATAGGTTATATAATATATTATATATATTTATATTTATGTATAATATATATATTTATTTTATATATATAATATATATAATATATATTATAAAATATATAATAAAATATTTATATATTTATTATATTATAATACAATATATAATATATAATATAAAATTATATATTATATTATATTAAGATAAGCTCATCCTGGATTATCTGGGTGGGCCCTAAATCCAATTATGAGTGTCCTTTTAAAAAAACAAAACAGTTGAAGATACAGACTGTATATATATATATATATATAAAATATATAAATATATGTGTTATATGTAATTATTATAAAAATATACATTATATATTAAATATAATTATTATATATCATGTATGATATATAATGTATATGATATATAATGTATATTATATATCATGTATAATCTATTATATGAGATATAATTTTATATTTATGTTATACAATATATCATAGCATTTATATATAACATATTATATAACATATTTATATAATATATAAATATTTTATTTATAGAATATGTTATAATATATTAATATATTATATTATAATTAATATATTATAATGTATTATGATATATAATATATAATATGTAATATAAATATGTTATATAATGTATAATATAGATTTATATTTCCTATCTCTGGGGACATGTTAAAAAAGTATACAAAAAATATATAATATATAATATGTAATATATACATTATATATTATATGTTACATTATGCTATATAAAATAAATACATAGCATAATGTAACATATTTTTATGATATATTATTTATATAATATAAATATAGCACATATAAATATAGCCTAGGACATAATGTAACATTTTTATAATATATTAATATATTGTATACAGAAATATATGTAAATTAATACATCTTATATTAATATAATTTAATTAGTATAATATAATTAATTAATATAATATATTACCTTAATATAAATTAATATGTTGTATACATATATGTATGTATACAATATATTAACATATTATATATAAATATATATTATATATATATTGAGATGGAGTCTTGCTCTGTCATCCAGGCTGGAGTGCAGTGGCACCATCTCAGTGCACTGCAATGTCCACCTCCTGGGTTCAAGTGATTCTCCTGTCTCAGCCTCCCGAGTAGCTGAAACTACAGGCACCCGCCACCACTCCCGGCTAATTTTTGTATTTTTATTAGAGATGGTGTTTCACCATGTTGGCCAGGGTAGTCTCAAACTCTTGGCCTCAAGTGATCCACCTGCCTCAGCCTCCCAAAGTGCTGAGGTTACAGACATGAGCCACTGTGCCCAGCAATACAATAAATATATATATATATATATATATATATATATATATATATATATATATATATATATTTTTTTTTTTTTTTTTTTTTTTTTTAAGAGACTGGAGTCTCGCTGTGTTGCCAGGCTGGTCTTAGTTCCCTTTCCTAAAGTGATCGTCCCACCTCAGCCTCCCAAATAGCTGGGATTAGAGGTCTGTATCACTGCCCTCAGCTTCTCCAAACTATTTAATTTATCTTCGAATAGTTAATACATTTACATGCTTCAAAAAGCAAAGCATATAAGGTTTATGAAGCAGCATCTGCCTTCCAAGTTTCAGTTCCTCCCCTTTCTCTCATGAATAACCACAGCTCTTAATTTCCTGAGTATCTTTCCAGAATTACTTTGTACACATGAAAACAAATATGAATACAGGTTTTTTTTTTCTTTATGAGACAGGGTCTCACTCCGTTGCCCAGGCTAGAGTCAGCAGCAATATCACGGCTCACTGCAGCCTCGATCTCCCGGGCTCAAGTTATCCTCCCACCTTAGCCGCCTGAGTAGCTGGGACCACAGATGCATACCACTCTCAGCTCATTTTTAAATTTTTTGTAGAGACAGGGTCTCAGTATGTGCCCCAGGCAGGTCTCAAACTCCTAGGCTTGCTTTATTTATTTATTTATTTATTTATTTTTTGAGACAGGGTCTTACTCTATCACCCAGGCTGAAGTGCAGTAGCACCATCCCAGCTCACTGTAGCCTTGACCTCCTGGGCTCAAGTGATCCTCCTGCCTCAGCCTCCCAGAGTAGCTGAGACCACAGGCACATGTCACCACGCCCAGCTAAATTTTTTTTTTTTTTTTTTTTGCAGAAACAGGGTTTCACCATGTTGCCCAGGCTGGTCTTAAACTCCTGAGTTCAAGCAACCTGCCTGCCTCATCCTCCCAAAGTGCTGGGATTATAGGTGTGAGCCATTGTGCCCCGCCAGTATGTTAAACCCATTTTTTTCCCTCTTTGGCTTTGTCTGGCTCTGGCTCTGTCACTCAGACTGGAGTGCAGTGGCACGATCATAGCTCACTGCAGTCTCAAACCCCTGGGATCAAGCCATCTTCCCACCTCAGCTCACTACTATGCTTGGCCAATATTTTTCTTTTTCTTGTTTTTTTTTTTCTTTTTTTTTTTAGAGACAGGGCCTCAATATTTTGCCCAGGCATGAGCTGCTGCACCTGGCCTAAACATTTTTTGTTAATGTGGCAAAATACATGTAAAATTTACCGTTTTAACATTTTTTTTTTCTTTTGGCATGGAGTTTTGCTCTTGTTGCGCAGGCTGGAGTGCAATGCCGCCATCTTGACTCGCTGCAGTCTCCACCTCCCAGGTTCCAGCGATTCTCCTGTCTCAGCCTCCCGAGTAGCTGGAATTACAGGCGTGCGCCACTACATCCAGCTAATGTGTTTTGTATTTTTAGTAGAGACGGGGTTTCACCATGTTGGCCAGGCTGGTCTTGAATCCTGACCTCAGGGGATCTCCCCACCTCGGGCTCCCAAAGTGCTGGGATTACAGGCGTGAGCACTGTGTCCGGCTGTTTTAACTATTTTTAAGTGTACGATTCAGTGGCATTACCCATATTTACATTATTGTGCAATCATCCATCTCCAGAACATTTTGTCTTCCCCAACCAAAACTCTGTCCCCATTAAACACTCTCTCCGTCCTTCCTCCTTCTACCCCTGGCAACCACCATACTACTTTCTACCCCTGTGAATTTTTTTTTTTTTCTTGAGGTGGAGTTTCCCTCCCATTGCACAGTCTGGAGTGCAGTGGCGCCATCTCGGCTCACTGCAACCTCCACCTCCTGGGTTAAAGTGATTCTCCTTCCTCAGCCTCCTGAGTAGCTGGGATTACAGGCACCCGCCACTACACCCAGGTAATTTTTTTTTTTTTTTTTTTTTTTTGAAACAGAGTCTCGCTCTGTCGCCAGGCTGGAATGCAGTGGTGCGACCTCAGCTCACTGCAACCTCCGCCTCCCAGGTTCAAGGGATTCCCCTGCCTCAGCCTCCCGAGTAGCTGGGATTACAGGCACATGCCACCGCACCTGGCTAATTTTTTGTATTTTAGTAGAGACGGGGTTTCACCATGTTGGCTGGGATGGTCTCGATCTCCTGACCTCGTTATCCACCCGCCTCGGCCTCCCAGAATGCTGGGATTACAGGCGTGATCCACCGTGCCTGGCCTAATTTTTGTATTTCTAGTGGAGATGGCATTTCACCATGTTGGCCAGGCTGGTCTTGAACTCCTGACCTCAGGCTATCCACTCACCTCGGCCTCCCAAAGTGCTAGGATTACAGGCCTGAGCCACCGCACCCGGACTTTTAAAAATTTTTTTCCGAGATGGAGTCTTGCTCTGTCACCTAGACTGGAGTGCACTGGTATGATCTCGGCTCACTGCAACCCTCGCCTCTCGGGTTCAAGAGATCCTCCTGCCCCAGCCTCCCAAGTAGCTGGGATTACAGGTGGGCACCACTAGGCCCAGCAAATTTTTGTATTTTTAGTAGAGATGGGGTTTCACCATGTTGGCCAGGCTGGTCTCAAACTCCTGACCTTTCTATCCACCCACCTTAGCCTCCCAAAGTGCTGGGATTATAGGCATGAGCCACCACACCTGGCTGAGACTTCATTTCTCCAAAAGAATTTTTAAAATTTGGCCCAGGGTGGTGGCGTGTGCTTGTAGTCCCATCTACTTGGGAGGCTGAGGTGGGAGGATCACTTGAGCCCAGGAGTTGGCGGCTGCAGTGAGCTATGATTGTGCCACTGCACTCCAGCCTGGGTGACAGAGCAAGATCCTGTCCAGTCTCACTAGAAACGAGGTCTTATTATGTTGCCCAGGCTGGTCTCGAACTTCTGGGCTCAAGTGATCCTCCCACCTCGGCCTCCCAAAGTGCTGGGATTATAGGCATGAGCCAGCATGCTTGGCCCAGAATTTCATTAAAAGGTAGCATGTTCTACACATTCTTCTGAATGTTGCTTCTCCCACGTGACTTAACAAGTGTTGGAGATCTCTTAACAAAACTTTATTTTATTTTATTTTAATTTTTATTGAGACGGAGTCTTGCTCTTGCCCAGGCTGGAGTGCAGTGGCGCCAACTCGGCTCATTGCAACCTCTGTCTCCCAGGTTCAAGGAATTCTCAGCCGGGCTCAGTGGCTCACGCCTGTAACCCCAGCACTTTGGGAGGCCGAGGCGGGCAGATCACGAGGTCAGGAGATCGAGACCATCCTGGCTAACACGGTGAAACCCCATCTCTACTAAAAATACAAAAAATTAGCTGGGCGTGGTGGCAGGTGCCTGTAGTCCCAGCTACTCGGGAGGCTGAGGCAGGAGAATGGCATGAACCTGGCAGGTGGAGCTTGCCGTGAGCCGAGATCGCGCCACTGCACTCCAGCCTGGGTGACAGAGTGAGACTCCGTCTCAAAAAAAAAAAAAAAAAAGGAATTCTCATGCCTCAGCCTCCCAAGTAGCTGGGACTACAGGTGCATGCCACCATGCCCAGCTAATTTTTTTATTTTTTAGTAGAGATGGGATTTCACCATGTTGGCCAGGCTGGTCTCAAACTCCTGACCTCAAGTGATAGGCCCGCCTTGGCCTCCCAGAGTGCTGGGATTACAGGCGTGAGCCACTGTGCCTGGCCACATTCTTGTTATTTTTTATTTTTATTTTTTCACAGCTGCATAGCATGCTGCTGTGTGAATGCTTTATGGTTAATTTCACTCTCAGAGATGGACATTTTTTCCACTCGTTTGTTCTTAGGCTGACATCGCCATACAGAACGTCATTTTACACATATGCAAGTGTCTCTGTGGATAAATTTTCCGAAGCGGGATTTCTGGCTCAAAGACTGTGTGCATTTGTAATTTTTACGCATATTGACAAATATTCCCCCTCAGGTGTTAGAGCGATTCACACTCTCTCTAGCAATGGGTAAAAGTTCTGCTGCCTTACAGCCTTACCAACAGAGAGTGTTATCGAACTTTGGTTTCTTGCCAACATGACATGTGAAAAATAGTATCTCAGAGTAGAGAAAATTTGCATTTTCCTGACCACAAGCAAGGCAGGGCAAAGTCCCATGTGTTTAAGGACCATTAGTTTCCTCTGTACTCTCTGGTAACCTCCCTTGCCTAGTATACTTTTGGATTATTGATCTTTTTCCTTCTTTTTTTAATTTTTTTTTTTTTTGAGACAGAGTCCCGCTCTGTTGACCAGGCTGGAGTGCAATGGCATGGTCTCGCTCACTGCAACCTCCAACTCCCAGGTTTAAGCAATTCTCTTGCCTCAGCCTCTCGAGTAGCTGGGATTACAGGCAACTGCCACCACGCCCAGCTTATTTATTTATTTATTTATTTTGTATTTTTAGTAGAGACGGGGTTTCGGCATGGTGGTCAGGCTAGTCTCCAACTCCTGACCTCAGGTGATCTGCTCACCTCAGCCTCCCAAAGTGCTGGGATTACAGGCATGAGCCACCACCCCCGGCCAAATTTTTTTTTTTTTTTTTTTTTTGGATGGAGTCTGGCTCTGTTGTTCAGGCTAGAGTGCAGTGATGCAATCTCGGCTCACTGCAACCTCTGCCTCCCGGGTTCAAGTCATTCTCATGCCTCAGCCTACCGAGTAGCTGAGATTACAAGTGCCCGCCACCTCGCCCGGCTAATTTTTGTATTTTTAGTAGAGATGGGGTTTCACCATGTTAGCCAGGCTGGTCTCGAACTCCTGATCTTAGGTGATCTGCCCGCCTCGGCCTCCCAAAGTGCTGGGATTACAGGCATGAGCCACCGCACCCGGCCTCATCTACTTTTTTTAGCACCTATAGATGATCGCTGTCTGCATCAATGATTTTGCTGGCTTTTGCAACATGGTGATTTTCTAATTCTTTCCTTCTCTTTTTTCTTTGTTTTGAGACAGAGTTTTGCTCTTGTCACCCAGGCTGGGGTGCAGTGGCGCGATCTTGGCTTACTGCAGCCTCCGCCTCCCAGGTGCAAGTGATTCTCCTGCCTCAGCCTCCCGAATAGCTGGGATTACAGGCGCACAACACCATGCCTGGCTGATTTTTGTAATATTAGTAGAGACGGGGTTTCACCATGTTGGTCAGGCTGGTCTCGAACTCCTGACCTCAAGTGATCCACTCACCTTGGCCTCCCACAGTGCTGGCATTACAGGTGTAAGTAAGTAAGTAAGTAAAAATGCCTGGCCTTTTTTTTTTTTTTTTTTTTTTTTTGAGACAGACTCTCACTCTGTTGCCCAGTTGCCCAGGCGGTAGTCCAGTGGTGTGATCTCCGCTCACTGCAGCCTCTGCCTCCTGGGTTCAAGCTATTCTCCTGCCTCAGCCTCTCAAGTAGCTGGGATTACAAGGGTGTGCCATCACACCTGGCTAATTTTTGTATTTTTAGTAGAGACGGGGTTTCACCATGTTGCCCAGGCTGGTCTTGAACCCCTGACCTCTGGTGATCCACCCACCTCAGCCTCCCAAAGTGATTATAGGCATAAGCTACCATGCCCAGATAATTGCTGTATTTTTAGTAGAGACAGGGTTTTGCCATGTTGGCCAGCTGGTCTTGAACTCCCAACCTAGGTGATCCTCCCACCTGGGCCTCCCAAAGTGCTGGAATTACAGGCGTAAGCCAGCATGCCTGGCCTGTTATTATTTATTTGAACTTTTTTCCATTACTTTTTTTTCTTTGTAGAGATGGAGTTTTGCTATGTTGCCCAGGCTGGTCTTGAACTTCTGAGTTCAAGTAATCCTCCCACCTTGGTCTCCCAAAGTGCTGGGATTACAAGCATGAGCCACCAAGCATGGACTGTTTGAGTTTTTCTTTTTTTTTTGAGATGGAGTCTCGCTCTGTCACCCAGGCTGGAGTGCAGTGGCACGAACTTGGCTCACTGCAAGCTCTGCCTCCTGGTTTCACGCCATTCTCCTGCCTCAGCCTCCCGAGTAGCTGGGACTACAGACGCCTGCCACCATGCCCGGCTAATTTTTTGTATTTTTAGTAGAGACGGGGTTTCACCGTGTTAGCCAGGATGGTCTCGATCTCCTGACCTCGTGATCCGCCCACCTCAGCCTCCCAAAGTGCTGGGATTACAGGCGTGAGCCACCACGTCCGGCCTCTTTTTTTAAAAAACTTTTTTTTTCTTCCATAGGTTATTGGGGAACAGGTGGTGCCTGGTTACATGAGCATGTTTTTAGTGGTGATTTGTGAGATTTTGGTGCACCCATCACCTGAGCAGTATACACTGCACCCTATTTGTAGTCTTTTATCCCTCAGCCCCTTCCCACCCTTCCCCCACTGAATCCCCAAAGCCTATTGTGTCATTCTTATGCCTTTGCATCCTCATAGTTTAGCTCCCACTTATGAGTGAGAACATACGATGTTTGGTTTTCCATTCCTGAGTTACTTCACTTAGAATAATAGCCTCCAAGTCCATCCAGGTTGCTGCGAATGCCATTAATTCATTCCTTTTTATGGCTGAGTAGTATTCCATTGAATATATATCCACAGTTTCTTTATCCACTCGCTGATTGATGGGCATTTGGATTGGGTCCACGTTTTTGCAATGACAAATTTTGCTGCTATAAACATGTATGTGCAAGTATCTTTTTTGTAGAATGACTTCTTTTCCTCTGGGTAGATACGCAGTAGTGGGATTGCTGGATCAGATGGTAGTTCTACTTTTAGTTCCTTGAGTACTCCCCACACTGTTTTCCATAGTGGTTGTACTAGTTTACATTCCCACCAGCTGTGTAGGAGGGTTCCCTGATCACTGCATCCATGCCAACATCTACTGTTTTTTTTGATTTTTTGATTATGGCCATTCTTGCAGGAGTTTAAGGTGGTATCACAATGTGGTTTTGATTTGCATCTCCCTGATCATTAGTGACGTTGAGCATTTTTTCATATGTTTGCTGGTCATTCGTATACCTTCTTTTGAGACATGTCTATTCATGTCCTAAGCCCACTTTTTGATGGGATTATTTGTTTTCTTCTTGTTGATTTGTTGAAATTCATTTTAAATTCTGGGTATTAGTCCTTTGTCAGATGTTTACATTGTGAAGATTTTTTCCCACTCTGTAGGTTGTCTGTTTACTCTACTGACTGTTACTTAGCTCTTTAGTCTAATTAAGTCCCAGAAATTTATCTTTGTTTTTATTGCATTTGCCTTTGGGCTCTTGGTCATGAAATCCTTGCCTAAGCCAATGTCTAGAAGGGTTTTTCCAATGTTATCTTCCAGAATTTTTATAGTTTCCAGTCTTAGATTTAAGTCCTTCACCCATCTTGAGTTGATTTTTGTATAAGGTGAGAGATGAGGATCCAGTTTCATTCTCCTACATGTGGCTAGCCAATTATCCTGGCGTTACTATTGAAAAGGGTGTCCTTTCCCCCCTTTTATGTTTTTGTTTGCTTTGCTGAAGACCAGTTGGCTGTTAAGTATTTGGGTTTATGGTCTATGTGCTTTTTTTTTTTTTTTTTTTTTTTTAGACAGGGTCTTACTCTGTCGCCCAGGCTGGAGTACAGTGGCGCGATCTTGGCTCACTGCAACCTCTGCCTCCCGGGTTCAAGCGATTCTCCTGCCTCAGCCTCCCTAATAGCTGAGATTACATGTGCCCACCACTGCGCCCACCTGATTTTTGTATTTTTAGTAGAGACGGGGTTGCACCATGTTGGCCAGACTGGTCTTGAACTCCTGACCTCAAGTGATCCACCTGCCTTGGCCTCCCAAAGTGCTGGGATTACAGGCTTCAGCCACCACGCCCGGCCTATGTGCCTATTTTTATACCAGTACCAGAGCACGGCCTATTTGAATGTTTGATTTGCAGTTAGTTGAATCTTCCAATGAATGTGTAACCTGTGGATACAGGGAGGGCTGACTATATGCTGTACAACCTCCACCAGATAAAAATATAGAACATTTCAGCCTCCACCTTGCATTTCCAGCCACAAAGTCTTATAATGAATTTTTTTTGAGACAGAGTCTCTCTCTGTCGCCCAAGCTGGCGTGCAGTGGCGCGATCTCGACTCACTGCAACCTCCACCTTCCAGGTTCCAGCCATTCTCCTGCCTCAGCCTCCCAAGTACGTGGGATTATGGGCACACACCACCATGCCCAGCTAACTTTGTATTTTTAGTAGAGACGGGGTTTCACCATGTTGGCCAGGCTGGTCTCAAACTGCTGACCTCAGGTGATCCGCCAGTCTAGGCCTCCCAAACTGCTGGGATTACAGGTGTGAGCCACCACGCCCAGCTGAATATTTTTGATGGACGACATGGTCTCTGGGCTTGGTCCAGCTACTTCTGGGCATTGGAGAAATGGGTAGGAGGTGGAAATAGGGCTTCTAGTTTCCCTCCCCACAATGAAGTCCCCATGGCTGGTCCTGGGACCCTGATGTGACTTGTATTGCCAGCTGGGATTCATTCTTGGGCACTGCCTGCCTGGAAGTCTCATTAATTCTTGCAGGTACTGTCAGGGCTGGGACTCAACCGGCAATTCCAGGCAGACTGGAGCTGCTGCTTCTCCTCTTCTCCCATCCAGGGTCACACCCAGGGCACTGGAAAGTCCCATGAAAAGAGATGGGCTCTGGTTCCTCCAGCTTCGTGATCTTGGGGTGGAGATGTTACAGGAAAGGGGGGTCCGATCCAGAGTCCAAGACAGGGTTCCTGGATATCACGCAAGAAAGAATTCAGGGCCTGGTGCGGTGGCTCACGCCTGTAATCCCAGCACTTTGGGAGGCCGAGGCGGGCAGATCACGAGGTCAGGAGTTAGAGACCAGCTTGGCCAATATGGTGTAACCCCATCTCTACTAAAAATACAAAAATTAGCCAGGCGTGGTGGCGCTCGCCTGTAGTCCCAGCTACTCGGGAGGCTGAGGCAAAAGAATCGCTTGAGCCTGGGAGGCGGAGGTTGCAATCAGTCAAGATCGTGCCACTGAACTCCAGCCTAGGTGACAGAGAGAGACTCCGTCTCAAAAAAAAAAAAAAAAAAAAGAATTCCAGGTGAGTCCGTAAAGTGGAAGCAAATTTGTAAGGAATAAAAGAATGGTTACTCCATAGAGCAGCCTCGAGGGCTGTATTTTTTTTTATTTTTTTTGAGATGGAGTCTCCATGTTGCCCAGGCTGGAGTGCAGTGGTGTGATCTTGGCTCACTGCAACCTCTGCCACCCGGGATCAAGCAATTCTCTTGCCTCAGCCTCCTGAGTAGCTGGGATCACAGGCATGCGCCACACGCCCGGCTAATTTTTGTATTTTAAGTAGAGACGGGGTTTCGCCATGCTGGCCAGGCTGTTCTTGAACTCCCGACCTCAAGCGATCTGCCAGCTTCGGCCTCCCAAAGTGCTGGGATTACAGGCATGAGCCACCACACTCAGCCTTATTTCTTGATGATATGCTAAACAAGGGGTGGATTATTCCATGCCTCTTGTTTTTAGTCCATATAAAGTAACTTCCTGGCGTTGCCATGGCATTTGTAAACTGTAATGGTGCTGGTGGGAGTGTAGCAGTGAGGACCAGACGTTACTCTCATGGCCATCTTGGTTTTGGTGGGTTTGAGCCAGCTTCTTTACTGCAACCTGTTTTATCAGCAAGGTCTTTATTTATGTATTTTTCTAAATTATTTTTAAAATTTTTATCTTTTTTGAAACAGAGTCTCACAATGTCACCCAGGCTGGAGTGCAGTGGCGCGATCCTGGCACACTGCACTCTCCACCTCCCGGGTTCAAGTAATTCTGCCTCAGCCTCCCTAGTAGCTGGGATTACAGGCGCACGCCACCACACCCGGCTAATTTTTGCATTTTTAGTACAGATGGGGTTTCACCATGTTGGCCAGGCTGGTCTCAAAATCCTGACCTCGTGATCTGCCCACCTTAGCCTCCCAAAGTGACGGGATTACAGGCGTGAGCCACCACGCCCGGCGAGGTCTTTATTTTTATTTATTTATTTATTTATTTATTTATTTATTTATTTATTTATTTGAGATGGAGTCTCACTCTGTCACCCAGGCTGGAGTGCAGTGGGGTGATCTCGGCTCACTGCAACCTCTGCCTCTCGGGTTCGAGCGATTCTCCTGCCTCAGCCTCCAAGTAGTTGAGATTACAGGTGCCCACCACCACGCCCATCTAATTTTCGTATTTTTATTAGAAATCGGGTTTTGCCATGTTTTCCATACTGGTCTCGAACTCCTGACCTCAAGTGATCCGCCCACTTCCGCCTCCCAAACTGTTCGGATTATAGGCATGAGCCACTGCACCCAGCCAGCAAGGTCTTTATGAACTGTATTTTGCGCTGACCTCCTGTCTTATCCTGTGACTAAGAATGCCTTAACCATTTAGGAATGAAGCCTAGCAGGTCTCAGCCTCATTTTACCCAGTTCCTGTTCAAGATGGAGTTGCTCTGGTTCACACGCCTCTGGCAGAGAGGGCACCTACTTCCTCTCTCTGGGCATCCATTGCCCACCTGTCAAGAGCGGGGAGCGTCCCACTTTGCTGGGTTCGCTGGGAATTATGTGGCTATTATTACCTCTACAACCTTATCTCTCCTGGCTTTAGCAGAAGTTCCTGTTCCCAGCTTTGAAGGCAGTTCTCTCCCCCCGTTTTTTTTTTTTTTTTTTGAGACGGAGTCTCACTGTGTTGCCCAGGCTGGAGTACAGTGGCGCGATCTTGGCTCACTGCAACCTCTGCCTCCCAGGTTCAAGTGATTCTCCCACCTCAGCCTCCCCAGTAGCTGGGACTACAGGCACGTGCCACCACACCGACCTATTTTAGTATTTTTAGTAGAGACAGGATTTCGCCGTGTTGGCCAGACTGTTCTGGAACTCCTGAACTTGGCCTCCCAAAGTGCTGGGATTACAGGCATGAGCCATCATGACCGGCCCCTCCACCTGGATTTATGAGGCTTGCTTCGTCTCTCACCACTCAGGCTCATTCTGTGGGACATCCCCCCTCAGATAACACTGGCTACAGCATCCTCTCATTCTCCTACCCCACTCTCTTATGTTGCTCTCAGGACTCTAAGGAGCCTATCTTACAATTTATCTGTTTATTGTGTATCCCATCCTAGAATGCAAAGGGAGTTGTTTGCTTTCTTTTTTTTCCTTTTTTTCTTTTTTTTCTGAGACTCAGGCTGGACCACACAATCATTGCTTACTGCAGCCTCTACCTCCGGAGCTGAACCAATCCTGCCAGCCTCAGCCTCCAGAGTAGCTGGGACCACAGGCACATGCCACCACGCCTAGCTAATTGCTTTTTTTTTTTTGAGACAAAGTCTCGCTCTGTCGCCCAGGCTGGAGTGCAGTGGCAGAATCTTGGTTCACTGCAACCTCCCCCTCCCGGGTTCAAGCAATCCTCCTACCTCAGCCTCCGGAGTAGCTGGGATTACAGGCATACACTACCATGCCCAGCTAATTTTTGTAGAGACGGGTGTCTTGCTTTGTTGCCAAGGCTGGTCTTGAACTCCTTGGCTCAAGCAATCTTCCTTGCTTGGCCTCCCAAAGTGCTGGGATTACAGGTGTGAGCCACCATAAATGAAGTCACCTTTCTTCACTTGTATAGCCCAGGGCCTTGCACCGAGGAAATATAATGTTGGTTGAATTAGGAAACAAACTTAGGTGGAGTCACTTTCTGAATGCCACACAGCAGGGCTGGCATTAGACTTCAGGGCTGTCTGAGCCTGTTTTCTTTTCCCCTTGCTGTTCTAGGGCCTACCTGGGATGAGAATGCAAAATTTAAGAGAAGGCCAAAGAGCTCAGTCATAAGATAATTGACATTTAAAACATAAAAAGTAGGCCGGGCGTGGTGGCTCACGCCTGTAACCCCAGCACTTTGGGAGGCCGAGGCGGGCGGATCACGAGGTCAGGAGATCGAGACCATCCTGGCTAACACGGTGAAACCCCGTCTCTACTAAATATACAAAAAATTAGCCGGGCGTGGTGGCGAGCACCTGTAGTCCCAGCTACTCGGGAGGCTGAGGCAGGAGAATGGCGTGAACCTGGGAGGCGGAGCTTGCAGTGAGCCGAGATTGCGCCACTGCACTCCAGCCTCAGCGACAGAGTGAGACTCCGTCTCAAAAAATAATAATAATAAATTTATTTTAAACACAAGATCTGACCCTGAGCTTGCATAACGCATCTCACCTTAATCCCTGTGTTGGCGGATCCTGTCTTTATTTAAAATTGTGATGTTTTGTTCATCATAGATTTATTTTTTCCCATTAATTTGGATATTTAACAAATATTGAATTAGAAGATTATTTATCTTGATGACTGAGTTTTTGCTCCCAAGATGTTCACCCTAGTCCGGGCCCTGTTTCTGTCTCTTCTCGTCCTGCAGCACCCAGACAGTCCCTTGAGGAAACTGAGGCACAGAGGAGCGTATGTGTGGGAGGTGTGTGTGTGTGGCGGGGGTTGTGGTGAGCTCTCCTGGGCGGACCAAGCTCCCTGGGCTGGGTCGGGGCTGACCTTTGCTTATCTACCGCGGTTGAAGCCGCGAATGAAGTCCCCCGCCTTGCAGAGACCTTTCCCAAGGCGGCCGCACCGCCTGCGGGGCAGAGATAGCCGCGGTCACCCCGGCAGCGGTGACCTTTTCCGGCTGGAGGGGACCGGGAGGCGGGAGAAGGCGCGGCGGCCGCGCTGTCTGGCCGGCTTGGGCGGAGGAGGATGTCACCCCAGCGGGTGGGAGCTGGGATCGAACCCCGCCGCGGCCTCCCGCTTCCACCCAACCCCGACGGGGCCATGGGCAGTGGGGAAGGGGGACGCGCGCCCAGTGACGTCATCGAATCCCGAGTCCGGCCTTCGCCGCTGTCGTCACAGAGGGGCTGCGCTGCGTCACTGCATTCCTCCCCTGACGTCAGCGCAAGAAGCCAGAAACTGGCCCACCGAGCGAGAGAGAAGTCTGGAGCGGAGTCTTCCTTTCTCGCCTTTTTAATTTGGTAAGACATGTAAAGTGTACGCAAGAGCGGACTACAACTCCCAATCGGCCTTGCGTGCCGAGCATGCGCACGGCCTCCAGCCAGAGAGCGCGGCAAACCTTTGGTAGATTGACGTCCCTTTAGTCGAACCAGGAGGCCGGTTTTACATCGGCAAACCAATCCCGTCCTCACGAGTCCTACCCCTTTATTCTTAACCAGCTGCTTCCCTGCCGGAGTGACGGGCCCGGCTGCCTTTGAGGGTTCAGTTTCTTTTGATGGACATTCATACTGATAAATCAGATCGCCGGGAAGTCCAGAGGGTGTTGAAAAGCGTGCATCGGAACTAATAGTTTAGCTGCAAGGCCTGGCGCCGTCCAATCACTTCTCCGGCCGCCGCCAATCACCCCGGGCCCCGCCCCCGCGCGTGACGTAACTAGGGTGGGTAGCAACAGTTGCCCCGGTGAGGGAAACGGAGGCGCCATAGCCACGGTAGTCGTGGCGACCAAGCAACCCGGCAACGCGAGTCAACAACAACAACCGCCCGGCCGACCCCCACCCCCACCCCCCAGGCCCGGCCCGGGGACCCCAGCACGTCCCGTCCCCTTCCCAACATCGACTCCGAGACCTCCGAAAAGCGTTTCCGCAGACAGAAGTGGGGAGAAGCGGAGGTAACCAGGGCGGCCCCGGGGTGGCTGGCCGGGCCGGGGTGGGCGGCGGGGCCGGGGCAGTAGGTGTCTCTGTAATCACAGTCCGGGGGGAAGGGGCGGGCGGTCAAAATGGCGGCGGCGACTGTCTGGACCGTGGGGGAGGGGGCCGGGGCCCGGCTGGAACGACACCACCCGCCCCCGTCCCCGCGGCCCGGCCCCCGCGAGGGGCGGGCGCTCGCAGGCCCGCGGCGAGTGGAGGTCGGCAGGCCGGGGCGGGGGGCTTTTATATGTCGGGAGCGCGAAGGGGCGGGCCTGGGGAGGCTGGGCCAATGGGAGCGAGGGAGGTACGAGGCGGGGCCAAGGTGGGTGGGCGGGACCAGGAGGGAAGGTATGGGCGGGGCCGGCTGGGTCTCCCCAACCTCCACCTCGGGAACCAGGGTGGGCAGCCACCACCCGGTCCGCCTTCCAGATCCTTAAGCGACTCCCTTCTTCCTTAAGAGCTTTGCAGTTGTCCCAGGACTCAGAACTTGGACAAGTGCCTGTCCATCTGAGGCCTCAGTTTTCCATCCTGTAAAATGGGGAGAATCATTGACATCGCCCTTTTCCTGCAGTACCGGGACTCCTCATTCCTTCCAGGAATTTTACTTACGGCTTATCTTTGAACCTTTTCCTCGTATCTACCGTTTCTGAATGTGGTTTGATAAAATAACTGTCAGCTAGTCCTGATTTCAACACTGCAGCCCACTCCTAAACCTGCCACCTTCTCTCTGGGAGGAAGCAAAGAGGAAGCAAAGTTTCATGGAGGAGCTAGGAGTCGATTTGGCTTTAGCGTGGAGGATCTGGTTTGCAGAAATCAAAGTCCATGGTAGGGAGGAGTGACCATGAGGGAATGCTTTAGAGGAACAGAAACCTGAGTGCTTTTCTCTGGGCTGCTGTTTGAGACCTGATGTTTCCTGGTTTGAGGTTGCGGGGGTTTGTTCCTGGAGATGGAACGTTTCTGGGTCCTGCCCATCGAGGTCTCCCCTACTGGGAATGGGGGAGCAAATGAAGCCTGAGGAAGTTTCTTAGATTTTTTAAACCCGCTTCTCTTGGCCAGACACATGTTTTTGTGTCAAACGAGTGTCAACCGAGTCACATGTCACTGACAAGGTCCCAGCCTCTAGGGCCACGTGGGCAGGAGCGGTCAGAGGGAAGGGGAAGCTATCCATGTTTGTGAGAGGAGAATCTTTGCCACTGCTTTTTAGGGTGACAATATCCTGCCAGCTCGGGGAGGAATTTTTTTTTTAAGTAGCCAGCCAGGCCAAGTCTAGTTGGCTTATTCTCCGTCTTGCTTTTGAGCTTAGTGTCGGTGTGCAAACTGCAGCCATTTCCTTTTAAATCAGTCAATACATTCCAAGGAAAAGGATCATTTCAGGCTTTTTCCCAAGAGTTTGAGATTGGTCTGGTGGGGGTTGGCGGGTCCTAACTTCTCCAGGTACTTTTTCTAGGCCTGGCCCTTTTTAGAGGAGGCAGGGACTCTTTGAAAGTTAGGACAGGTGGAGATTAATTTTCAGTAAAACAAACAAAAAAGCTAGAAATGCCAAGTTGCTAGACGGATCATCAGCACTTTTTTTTTTGGAGACGGAGTCTCACTCTGTGGCCAGGCTGGAGTGCAGTGGCTTGATTTTGGCTCACTGCAGCCTCCGCCTCCCGGGTACAAGTGATTCTCCTGCCTCAGTCTCCTGAGTCGCTGGGACTACAGGCGCTCGCCATCATGCCCGGCTGATTTTCGTATTTTTAGTAGAGACGGGGTTTCACCATGTTGGTCAGGATGGTCTTGATCTCTTGACCTCGAGATTTACCTGCCTCGGCCTCCCAAAATGCTGGGATTACAGGCGTGAGCCACCGCGCCCGGCTAGCCCTTCTTAAAAAAGCTAACTGAGCAGGCTGGGCGTGGTGGCTCACACCTGTAATCCCAGCACTTTGGGAGGCTGAGGTGGGCGGATCACCTGAGGTCAGGAGTTTGAGACTAGCCCGGCCAACATGGTGAAACCCTGTTTCTAAAAAAATTAGCCAGGCGTGGTGGCACATGCCTGTAATCCCAGCTACTCGGGAGGCTGAGACACAAGAATTGCTTGAGCCTGGGAGGCGGAGGTTGCAGTGAGCTGAGATCACAGGCCACTGCACTCCAGCCTGGGCAACAGAGTGAGACTTGTCTCAAAAAAAAAAAAGCTAACTGAGCAGAAAGTGATGTTACCAATTATCTGGTCATGTTGACTGCCTCAGTCACCAGTTACATTTACAGATGAAGGGCCTGAGGAGTCATTTGACTAGGAAGAGAACACTAGGGTGATTTGAAGCTGACTTGAAACAGTCAGCTTTTCTAGCTGTGTGCTCTTAGGTGAGTTACTTAAGTTTTCTGGGCCTCAGTTTCCCTTCCTTTCATCTAGGGGCAGTAATCCTTGGTAGTCCTTTCAATCTCATGTTTCTGTGCTATGGATCCCAGAAAATAATACCTGTTGAATATCAAATACATAGGAATTGCTGAAACTAACTAAATACAAAGTAATTGCTAATGTAGTTATGTTAGCCTCTGCTGTTACGGTGATTGTCGCTTCCTGTTCAACCCTCGGAAATACACCGTTGGCTTTTATTTTTATCATTTTGAATCCAGTGAGAGCCCTCGTGGCTTTAAAGGTTGACTTGCTTCTCGCTTGCTGGGCTGTGTGGGTCGATGACAGGGATCCAGGAAGCTGGATACCAGGGATCCAGTTTGTAGTGGGAAAGTCACTCCCCTGGCTGCTGAATGGCTGTTCTCTGGCTTTAGGAGAGTCACTAGAAAGAAAAATCCTGGCCGGGCACAGTGGCTCAATTTGGGTGCTCACTCCCCCAGCACTTTGAGAGGCCAAGGTGGGTGGATCACTTGAGGTAAAGAGTTGGAGACCAGCCTGGCCAACACGGTGAAACCCTATCTCTACTAAAAATACAAAAAGTAGCCGGGCATGGTAGCACATGACTGTAGTAGTCCCAGCTATTTAGGAGGCTGAGGCAGGAGAATCCCTTGAACCGTGGAGATGGAAGTTGCAGTGAGCCAAGATCGTGCCACTGCACTTGAGCCTGGGTGACAGAGCAAGACTGTCTCAAAACACACACACAAAATGCTACTTGGGCTCAGGCCCAGACACAGTCCCAAGCCTTCCAGGAGGCAGCTGGGTGAGCGGGGATGTGGACATTGTGGGAACGGTGGGGAGCTTGGAATGGCGTCTCTGGAGCCGAGGTCCTCACCCTTCTCCTCTGTCATGTACCTGAGCATCTCAGGGAAGGGGATGGCCAGGCTGCCCCGCCCGCAGAGATGCTGCCTTCAATAGCAGCTGTACAGGACGTGGTCTTCCTAGGCGAGAAAGACTTTCTCCCACCTGCTTCCCAGGCCTGTTCTGGACCAGAAGGCATTGCCTGGCTCTGTAGCACAAGCAGGCTTGTGGCAGGAAGTAACTTTCTCACACGGTCTCAGCAGTTGATAGACTGGAACCTGCCTTTGATGCTCACTAGCAGTGTGTTCTGGTGCATCATTTATGCTGCCTGGACAGTAAGAGTCAAAACCCCCACTATTTGCCTGTCAGTTTTCTTTTCTTTTTTCTTTCTTTCTTTCTTTTTTTTGTTGAGACAGAGTCCTACTCTGTCGCCCAGGATGGAGTGCAGTGGCGTGATCTCAGCTCACCGCAACCTCCACCTCCCCAGTTCAAGCAATTCTCCTGCTTCAGCCTCCCGAGTAGCTGGGATTACAGATGCCTGCCACCATGCCTGGCTAATTTTTTTTTTTTTTTTTTTTTGAGACAGAGTCTCACTCTGTCATCCAGGCTGGAGTGCAGTGGCACGATCTTGGCTCACTGCAACATCCACCTCCTGGGTTCAAGCAGTTCTCTTGCCTCAGCCATCCGAGTACCTGGGAATACAGATGCCCGCCACCATGACCGGCTCATTTTTGTTTTGTTTCGGTTTGGTTTATTTGAGACGGAGTGTCTCTCTTGTTGCCCAGGCTGGAATGCAATGGCGCAATCTTGGCTCACCGCAACCTCCACCTCCCAGGTTCAAGAGATTCTCCTGCCTCAGCCTCCCGAGTAGCTGGGATTACAGGCACCCACCACCATGCCCGGCTAATTTTTGTATTTTTAGTAGAGACAGGGTTTCACCATGTTGGCCAGGCTGGTGTCGAACTCCTGACCTCAGGTGATCCACACGCTTTGGCCTCCCAAAGTGCTGGAACTATAGGTGTGAGCCACCGCAGCAGCCTAATTTCTGTATTTTTAGTAGAGACAGGGTTTCACCATGTTGGCCAGGCTAGACTTGAAATTCTGACTTCAGGCGATCTGCCCGCCTCAGCCTCCCAAAATATTGGGATTACAGGCGTGAGCCACTGCTCCCGGCCTTGCCTGTCAGTTTTCTAGGAGCTGAGACAGAGACCAGGCCCACCAGGTCTCTGCCTGTGGGGCCCTTACCTTTCCAGTCAGGGAGGGAAGAGGAACTAGGAGGAAGAAAATAAATCCAGCCAGACTCAGTGGCTTATGCTTGTAATCCCAGCACTTCGGGAGGCTGAGACATGAGGATCACTTAAGCCCAGGAGTTTGAGACCAGCCTGGGCAACATAGCGAGACCCCATCTCTTAAAAAGATTTAAAAATTAGCCAGGTGTCGTGGCACAGGCCTGCGTTCCCATATACTGTGGAGGCTGAGGCCGGAGGATCACTTGAGCCCAGGAATTCAAGGTTACAGTGAGCTGTGATTGTGCCACTGTGCTCCAGCCTGGGCAACAGAGTGAGACCTTGTCTCTAAGAAACGAAAAAGAAAGAAAATAAACTCAACAGGGAAACACAGTGTCAGGAAGCAAATAAAATAGTAGTATGTGCTTGAGGGTACCTTCAGACCCAAGGAAGTGTGTACGAGCTGAGACCTGAATAAGGAGGAGAAGCCAGCCGTGAAGGTGGCGGTGGGGACAGCATGCCAGGTGGGAGGAAGAGGTGGGGCCGAGGCCATGAGAGGCAGGAATGGATCTGCAGCATTTTTTTGTTTTGTTTTGTTTTTTGTTTTTTTTGTTTTTGCAGAGAGGCTCACTGCAACCTCTGCCTCCTGGGTTCAAGCAATTCTACCTCAGCCTCCCGAGTAGCTGGGATTACAGGCACACGCCATCACGCCCACCTAATTTTTAAAATTTTTTTGTCGAGATGGAGTCTCGGCTATGCTGCTAAGACTGGTCTCAAACTTCTGGCCTCAAGCAATCTTCCTGCCCTGGGCTCTCAAAGTGCTGAGATTACAGGCGTGAGCCGCCATGCCTGTCCAGGATATATTTTAAAGAGACAGGGTCTTGTTCTGTTGCCCAGACTGGAGTGTGGCGGTGTGATCATAGCTCACTGAAGCCTGGAACTCCTGGGCTCAAGTGATTCTCCCACCCCAGCCTCCCGAGCAGCTGGGACTTCAGGTGTCGGGTACTATGCCTAGCTGATTTTTTCACTTTTTTATAGAGATAAGGCGTCACTTTGTTGCTTAGGCTGGTCTTGAACTCCTGGGCTCAAGTGATCCTCCAATCTTGGACTCCCAAAGTGGTGGGATTATAGATGTGAGCACTGCGCCCAGTCATTAGGAGATGTGTGCGAGTGTGTGTGTGTGTATGTGTATGTGTATGTGTGTGTTTGTATGCATGCAGTGGCACAATCTCAGCTCACTGCAACCTCTGCCCCGCCAGACTCAAGCGATCCTCCTGCCTAAGCCTCCTGAGTAGCTGGGATTACAGCCACACACCACCACACCCAGCTAATTTTTGTATTTTTAGTAGAGACGGGGTTTCGCCATGTTGGCTAGACTGGCTTCAAACTCCTGACCTCAAATGATCCGCCCGCCTCAGCCTTCCAAAGTGCTGGGATCACAGGCATAAGCCACCACGCCCGGCCTCTAGGATATATTTTGGAGGAGTAATTGACAAATCTTCTAAATGAATTGGATATAGAGGATGAGAGAAACACACATCATCCCATTTAATTTTGCCATTCTTCTGCAAGTTCATTATTGAAGCCATTCTATAGATGAAGAGAGTGAGTTTTCTTTCTATATCTTTGGGAGGGCCTTGCTGAGGATGTAAACCATTTGATTAGAGAATCTGGCATCCAAAACAGGGGTCAGGCCAGTCGCGGTGGCTCATGCCTGTAATCCCAGCACTTTGGGAGGCCAAGGTGGGAGGATCACCTGAGGTCAGGAGTTCGAGACCAGCCTGGCTAACATGGTGAAACCCCATCTGTACTAAAAATACAAAAGCTAGCCAGGCATGGTGGTGGGCACCTGTAATCCCAGCTCCTCAGGAGGCTGAGACAGGAGAATCACTTGAACCCGGGAGGCAGAGGTTGCAGTGAGCAGAGACTGTGCCATTGCACTCCAGCCTGGGCAACGAAAGAGAAACTTTGCCTCAAAAACAAAAAAAAACAAAAAAAAAACACAGGGTTCAACAAACTATGGCCTGCTGCCTGTTTTTGGCTGGTGAGCTAAGAATGATTTTTACATTTTTAAATTATTGGAAATATCAACACCGGAATTATATTTCATGATATGTGAAAATTACATGAAGTTCAAATCTCAGTGTCTAGAAATAAAGTTTTATTCGCACACAGCCTGCTCATTTGTTTACCTATTGTGCATGGCCACTTTCACATTACAGTGGCAGAGTTGAACAGCTGCTGCAGAGACTAGCCACAAAACTAATAACGTTTACTGCTTGGCCCTTACAGAACTTTGCCGAGCCCTCATTTAAAGTAATAGATTTAAACAGTCTCCATAAGCAGCTGCTGGCTTTGAAGGTAGGTGCAGCCACTAGTGCTTTTCTTGGCAGATTCATTGCCAAGGAACAGTTTGTTAAGTAATTCCCTTGTTTTGTGTGCCAGGCTCCATAAAGAAAGGGTTCTCACGCTCAAATATATGGGCAATACCTCATGCTATGTATGTATATGTGATTTATTTCTCTCTAGGGAACAAACCTGTATAATTGCTTAATGTAGTCTCCTTAAAAGGTAGAAAAGGGCTCTTTGGTCAAATAATTGTAGGAAAAAGATTGACAATCACAGTGCTGAGAAGGCCTCCAATAGAGAAGTTGGTTTAGTTGTTCCTCGATCTCCCACCTCCTCCTTTTGAGCTCAGCCTTTTAGAAATTAATCATTGCCTCCTCTTCTTGCCCCTGAGTGGAAGGGATGAGGCCCATGGGCTTTGTATCCCTAGGAGGAGAAAGAGCCAGTAAGTGAGGAGCTTTTAAAGCCCTTTCTTTGTGGGAGGGGCCACAAGGGGCCAGGTCTCTTAGGGCTGAGAAAGCCAAGGCCAGCATTTCTCAGAGTGCTGTCAGGACTGTCTGCCTCAGAATCATCTAAGGGACCAGCTAAAACAGACTCTGGGGCCATTTCAGACTCACTGGGCAGTAGAGCTCAGGAATCTGCATGATGTTGCTGACGAAAGCTTAGGTTGGATTTCCTCTTGGTGTCCCCTCCCAAGAGCTTGAAGATCCTGTCTCCTTCCTCCTCTGTCCCAACCTGGCTTGGATATTTGTTGAATGAATAATAACACCTGCCACTTATCAGTGTTTATTGGGTGCTGAGCTGATCTCATTGGATTTTTTTTTTTTCTTGAGACAGAGTCTTGCTCTGTCACCCAGTCACCCAGGCTGGATTGCAGTGGTGTGATCTCTGCTCACTGCACCCTCTGCCTCCTGGGTTCAAGTGATTCTTCTGCCTCAGCCTCCCGAATAGGTGGGGCTACAGGCACACGCCACCATACCTGGCCAATTTTTGTATTTTTATAGAGACGGGGTTTCGCCATGTTGGCCAGACTGGTCTCGAACTCCTGACCTCAGCTGATCCACCTGCCTAGGCCTCACAAAGTGCTGGAATTATAGGTGTGAGCCACCGTGCCCGGCCTGATCTCATTGGATCTTTGCAGCAATTTGATGAATTGGGTGTTCTCGTTATCCCCAGGTGACAGGCAACTGAGGCCCAGAAGAAGGTTGGTAATATGTTAATGAGTTAAGACATAGCGCCAGGGTTCATGTGGGTGAGGGTCTGACACCAGACAGATGAAGGGTCGTCGGCTACAGTGACTTGAGTACCCGAGCTGGGCCAGATTTGGACCCGATGGTGTGAGGAACCTCCACCCCTCTAATGCTGGCAGAAAGGAGTTTGGGGAGGGCAGGGGCTGGAGGAGGATGGTCTTCGCCTTGTTCAAGGCAGGCAGCAGCCTTTTCCCTCTCACGGTGGGCAAGTTTCTCTGCTGCCCGAGTCCCTGGGCCTCGGAGCACTAAGGCTGGCCACCTGCTAGGTGGGAAGGCCCCAAACGGCTTCTCATCCTGCCTGCCTCCACTCCTACCAGAATGACCTCACCTGGCAGGGAGGGTGGCCCCAGGGCCCTGTCAGCTCTGTTCCTGCCAGCCAGGAGGGTCCTGGAGTCCCTCCCAAGCCTGCCGCAAGCCCAGAGGGCACATCCAAGAGGCAAGTGTAAGCTCCTGTTTCCTTCATCCTCAGCAGCACAAAGCTCTGGAGGCTGGAAGGCAGCAGGCAGGGCCAGAAGGTATTTTCATCTTTCCTGGAACTGCGTTAAAGGGCCCTGGGCAGTGAAGGAGCCAGAGCCATTTCCTGCGTGCTTACAGCATGCCAGGTGCCTGGCCACACACTGCCCACAGGATCAGCTTGAACCCTCAGCAGCCCCGCCTGGTAGGGCCAGCCGTCCTCCCATTTCACAGATGGAGCCGTAGGGGCTCTCCTCAAAAGTCACACAGTTAGGAGATAGCCAAATTCAAATCGTGGTGCATCCATCCCCGTCCAGGGCTCGTTTCTTACCTACCTTGCCCCCCTGCTAACTCGGACACCTCTTGAGTTTGGCATCCAAGAGCAGAACCTGGATCCCGGGGGAGGGAGGCACAGGGAGGCGTGAAGGATGGGAACCAGCCTCCCCTGGGCTGCTTGGGCCGGCTTCCCCCTTGCCAGTTCTGCTGCCCTTAACTGCGGCCTTGGGCAGGGGGCGTAACCTTTGCAGGTGACGCTTGGGTCTCCCTGTTGGAAGACCGGCAAGATGCCGTGTACTTACTTTAAGAAGCAAATGAAGGTTGGGCGCGGTGGCTCACGCCTGTAATCCTAGCACTTTGGGAGGCCGAGGTGGGCGGATTACTTGAGGTCAGGAGTTCAAGACCTGCCCAACCAACATGGTGAAACCCTGTCTCCACTAAAAACACGAAAATTAGCTGGATGTGGTAGTAGGCTCCTGTAGTCGCAGCTACTCGGGAGGCTGAGGCAGGAGAATCACTTGAACCCGTGGGGGCAGAGGTTGCAGTGAGCCAAGATCGTGCCACTGCACTCCAGCCTGGATGACAGAGTGATACTCCATCTCAAAAAAAAAAAAAAAAAAAAAAGCAAATGAGCCCTGTGCCTGGCATCCTAAGTAGGGTTGGGGACTGACAGAATGTATCTGGGGGTCAGAGAGACCTGGGTTCAATCCCCCCTCACCAGTTGCTCGAGGCTTTCAGCAGCCTACCCCTCAGCCTCGCTCAGCTCATCTGTAAAATGGGCATGATGATGCCTCCCTCATACGACTGCCAGGAGGAGGTGACCTCAGTGGAGGGGTCTGGGGGCTCCTGGTCAACCAACAGCAGTTGTTTTTTACCTCCTCCTTCCTTTGAGGGTCACCCTGCGGCTGGAGGGCCATCTGGGCACATCGTGGCACATGGGTGCTGAGTGTTAGTGCAGAAGAGGCTCTGGTCCAGTTGCTAGCCAGGAGGCAGTACTGCCCGGAGTCATGGCCAGCTGCAGGCAGGGCTCTCAGACCCAAATGCCTTCTGGGGCCAGGCAGGAGCCACAAAAGCACGGATCTGGAGCCTTTCCTCTTAACCACTCGTGCCTCTGTCCCACTGTCCCTCAAATGCTTTGGACCTGGGGATAGGGCTTATGAGTACAAGGGTCCCCAAACCATCTGCCGATCCCCTGCTACAGTGGGGCTGAGCCGGAGGGAGGCCATGCCCAGCCCAGCACCTGGGAGAGGAACACACCCTTTAACAGCCAGGCCTGCCCTGTTCTTTCCTTTTGTTTTGTTTTGCTCTGAGACAGGGTGTTGCTGTGTCACTGAGGCTGGAGTGCAGTGGAACAATCTCGGCTCACAGCTCTCTGCAACCTCTGCCTCCTGGGTTCAAGCAATTCTCCCACCTCAGCCTCCTGAGTAGCTGGGATTACAGGTGCGCGCCACCACTCCCGTTTAATTTTTTTTTTTTTTTTTTTTTTTTTTTGGAGACAGAGTGTCACTTTGTTGCCCAAGCTGGAATGCAGTGACAAGATCTCGGCTCATTGCAACCTCCGCCTCCCAGGTTCAAGTGATTCTCCTGCCTCATCCTCCTAAGTAGCTGGGATTACAGGCATGTGCCACCATGCCCAGCTGATTTTTGTACTTTTAGTAGAGACTGGGTTTCGCCATGTTGACCAGGCTGGTCTTGAGTGCCTGACTTCAGGTGATCCAGCCACCCTGGTCTCCCAAAGTGTTGGGATTACAGGCGTGAGCCACTGCGCTTGGCCAAGGCCGGCCCTGTTCTGAAGTCAGCCGCAGCTGCCAGGTTCTCAGTGCAGCCTGGGCCTGCTCCCAGCCCTGTCACCCCTGGCCACAGAAGGGCACTGTCCCACTGATGAGCTTACATCTGGTGTCAAGACCCATAACTGCTCCCAGACAGAGGGCCCAAAAAGCCCCTGTGGCCCCATGCAGCTCACAGGGGCTTTTTGGACTCAAAACACCTTCCCACTGGGAATGCTACTCAGCCGAGAATCCCAAGTCCAGATGGCAGGCACGTAGGGAACTGGCACGGGTCCCTGGGAGGCAGCTTTCCCCATGACTCTGCTTTCCGGCAATAAACTGACGAGTCAGGAGCATAGAACACCCAGAGTTCAAATGCAGCCCTGCCACCACTTCCCCGCTGTGTGGCCTGGGGCAAGCACCTTAACCTCTCTGAGCCTCAGCTCCCTATCTAGCAGACAGAACCCAAACCCAGACATGGTTGTTGGAAAGTTTAAAATGAAATAGGCCGGGCGTGGTGGCTCACACCTAGAATCCCAGCACTTTTTGGGAGGCTAAGGCAGGAGGATTGCTTGAGCCCAGGAGTTCAAGACCAGACTGGGCATGATAATGAGACTCCCATCTCTGAAAAAAATGATTATATATATATATATATATATATATATATATATATATATATATATGTATGTATATTTCAATATACATATACAATATATATACATGTGTACATATATGTATACAGTGTATATGTGTGTGTATATATATACTATATATGTATATATATGTACATGTAGATTTCAATATATAAGTAAAAAAATACACACACACACACACACACACACACACACACACACACATATATATTTAGACAGAGTCTTGGGTCTCCCAGGCTGGAGTACAGTGGTGCAATCTTGGCTTACTGCCACCTCCGCCTCCCAGGTTCAAGTGATTCTCCTGCCTCAGCCTCCTGAGTAGCTGGGACTACAGGCATGCACCACCACGCCCAGCAAATTTTGTATTTTTAGTAGAGACGGGGTTTCACCATGTTGGCCAGGCTGGTCTCGAACTCCTGACCTCAAGTGATCCGCTCACCTCGGCCTCCCAAAGTGCTGGAATTGCAGGCATGAGCCACTGTGCCCGGCCTAATAGACATTTTAAAAAGATGAACTAACATAGGGAAAGTGCCCAGCCCTGTGCCTGGCCTACAAGAGCCCTCAGGAAGTGCCCACTTGGGGTCCTCAGCTAAGGAGATGGAGGCAAGGGAGGGGGCAGCCCCTGGTAGTTGAGAGTGACCCAGTGAGAACCGTACCATTTTTCTCTGGGTGAGGGCACAGAGCAACCACACAGGCCCAAGTTCCCCCGCAGTGTGGGGAAATGCGATCCTATGTGGATGTGGGGGTCTCTGGGTACCAGGGACTGGGAAGGCAGGAGTCCTGGCTTGGGGTGAGTGGGGGTGCGGAGTGGGGCTCCAGCCCTGGTCTACAGCTGGTCCCCCTGCAGTGACGGGTTGGATATTTCTGGCCACCAGCCTGGGGATTTAATTAAGTTAGTGATGAACCCAAGCACATCTCCAGGGAACCCAGAGCTGTCCCTGCTTTCTCTGCCTGTGGATTAATTCCTGTTTTTCCTTCTTTTGTTTTGTTTTGTTTTTCTCTCCCCCATCCCCGTCTTTCTTCCCAAGGAATTAAAAAAAAAAAAAAGCCTTATTTATTATCATTTTCCCCACCGTTGGCATGGCAACACAGGCGTATACTGAGCTACAGGCAGCCCCGCCACCATCCCAGCCGCCACAGGCCCCGCCACAAGCCCAGCCCCAGCCGCCACCGCCACCACCCCCAGCGGCACCCCAGCCCCCGCAGCCACCCACCGCTGCTGCCACCCCTCAGCCCCAATATGTCACCGAGCTGCAGAGCCCCCAGCCCCAGGCACAGCCACCGGGTGGCCAGAAGCAGTACGTGACGGAGCTCCCGGCTGTACCCGCACCCTCGCAGCCAACCGGTGCACCCACCCCTTCGCCTGCACCCCAGCAGTACATCGTGGTCACTGTCTCTGGTAAGTGCCGCGCTCGTGTGTCCTGAAAACTCCTCTCAGAGTTGTTCAGATAGCCTAGACCCTGGGTGTGAAGGCACAGGGCTGCCATGCCCCCCAAGGTTTCTGGATGGGACTTGGGGTATCACTAGGGCAGGGGTGCTTAAGCCATGCAAGGAGGCCTCTGTCCCCCCAAACTCCTTCCCACCAGAGCAGCTCTTAGAGCTTCTTTTTTTGGTTTTATTTTATTTTTTGAGACAGAGTCTCATTCTGTTGCCCAGGCTGGAGTGCAGTGGCACAATCACAGCTCACAGCAGCCTCAACCCTCCAGGCTCAAGCAATCCTTCCACCTCAGCCTCCCAAGTAGCTGAGACCACAGGTGCCCACCACCATGCCTGGCTAATTTTTAAAATTTTTTGTAGCTATGGGATCTTCCCATGTTGCTCAGGCAGGTCTCAAACTCCTGGCCTCAAATGATCCTCCCGGCCTCAAATGATCCTCCCACCTCGGTCTCCTGAGTTGCTGAGACCACAGGTGTGCAGCTGTGCCCAGCTAATTTTTTTGTTTTTTTGTATTTTTTGTAGAGATGAGGTCTCGCCATATTGCCTAGGCTGGTCTCAAACTCCTGGACTCAAGCGATCCTCCTGCCATAGCCTCCCAAAGTGCTGGGAATACAGGCATGAGTCACCATGCTCAGCCTCTTAGAGCTGTTCTGACCTCTCTTTGCAAATAAGATGTCACTGGAAGAAGGGTTTGGGCAGTGGCATCAAAGTTTGCATGCACCTGTGGGAGACAGAGGCCTGGCCTGGCTACACACCAGTCTTTTGGCCTCCCTGCTCTGGTTTCCTCATTTGTGATGGGATCATCATAGCTCCTCTCTCTCAGGGGACGCATGCGAGGGTCTCATAGCCAGGATGGCCTTGAGTGGGCACTTCAGGGAGGTCAGCTGGGGGTGAGGGCCTGGACATGTCACCTCCCCTTCCTAGAGCAGCCGCCCTGTTGTTTTGGGCAGGATCCAGGGACTGGCCCTTTTCTTTATTTTTGCTTTTCTTTCTCATGACATAAGCTAAGGCACGCAGGACCTGTGTTGAGAGCAGGCCATCTTGGACAGACCTGTTGCCCTCTGAGCATTTCCCACAGTAAACATAGTGACGATGTTTTGACTGGTTTAGGGTCTGCCTGAGGGCTGGGTCTCTGTCTCGACTGACTCAGTGCTCTGGTGGGAATGGCAGCACAGCCTGGGCATTAGGCTAGATTCGTGTGTTTTTTTGGTTTAGAGATGGGGTCTTGCTATGCTGTCCAGACTGACCTCGAACTCCTGGGCTCAAGTGATTCTCCTGCCTCAGCCTTGTAGGTAGCTGGGACTACAGGCGCCTGCCACTGTGCACAGCTAGTGTGTTTTTAATGTGCTCTGTGGTGGACGGAGGCCTCAGTGGGAGCCCGGATCAAAGCTGGCCCTGGTCCTTCTCAGAGTGGGAATGGAAGGGGTGAGATCATCAGGGCATCCTGAGGGGCTGTGGAAGGGGTGGGTCAAGATGGGATTGGGGACCATCAGGTCATAAAGAGTCATCAAAACATGTAGCAATTGGCCGGGTGTGGTGGCTCACACCTATAACCCCAGCACTTTGGGAGGCCGAGGCAGGTGGATCACTTGAGGTCAGGAGTTCGAGACCAGCCTGGCCAACATGGTGAGACCCCATCTATACTAAAAATATAAAAATTAGCTGGGCGTGGTGGCGCGAACCTGTAATGCCAGCTACTCAGGAAGCTGAGGCAGGAAAAATCACTTGAACCCGGAGGCAGAGGTTGCAGTGAGCTGAGATCGTGCCACTGCGCTCCAGCCTGGGTAACGGAGCGAGAATCCATCTCAAAAAAAAAGTAATGAAAAGTGTAGCAATTGGCCCCGTTGTGGAACAAAGCAGATGGGGCTGGAGCCCTGGGCAGTGTCCCAGAGGCTTCTGGCAGTGTCTGCGTGGGAGGTCCAGGGTCTCTGGCAGAGGTTTGGGGCGGGAACATGCAGGGACTCAGGGCAGTGACTCTTTACTATATGGACGGAGTGGAGGTGTCCGCATGAGCGCCACACTTAGTGCCCCCCCGCCTGTGTAGACACAGCCCTGCCCTGGTTGAGGTCGGGCTGCAGTCATGGGCAGGGTCTTCAGGCCACAAACCTCTGGTGGGTTCTCAGCACCCCTCAGAAATCCTGCAGCATTTCCTTAACAGTGAACTTCATGCTCCAAGAAACCCATTCTCCCTCTGCCCCACCTTCACCTCCATCACCTTTGTCTTATACTATGATCCTGGTCCCTGACCCTGCAGGCAACCTTACTGGGGACAGAGTACCATCAGGCAGCCACAGGGACCCCTTCTCCTGCCCAGCTCCTGGGGTGCATCTGCACCCACCACCTTTGCCTTCTTGGATTAAGCAGCACCACCCATATCCAGAACACGCTCCTGCCATTGCTCCTTCTAGTTCCTTCTGCATCACTTAATCCCCCTCTTGCAGATCTTCCCATCCACCCATCAAGGTGGAACAGCACCCATTTTGTTTATTTTTTATGTATTTATTTTTTGAGACAGGGTCTTGCTCTGTCGCCCAGGCTGGAGTGCAATGGTGCAATCATGGCTCACTGTAACCTCCAACTCCTGGGCTCAGTGATACTCTCACAGCCTCCCAAGTAGCTGGGACTATAGGCATGTGCCACCACACCCAGGTAATTTTTTTTTTTTTCTTTGAGACAAAGTCTCGCTCTGACACCCAGGCTGGAGTGCAGTGGCAGGATCTCGGCTCACTGCAAGCTCTGCCTCCGGGGTTCACACCATTCTCCTGCCTCAGCCTCCCAAGTAGCTGGGACTATAGGTGCCCGCCACCATGCCTGGCTAATTTTTTGTATTTTTAGTAGAGACGGGGTTTCACTGTGTTAGCCAGGATGGTCTTGATCTCCTGACCTCGTGATCCACCCGCCTCGGCCTCCAAAAGTGCTGGGATTACAGGCGTGAGCCACCGCGCCCGGCCTAATCTTTTAATTTTTTTGTAGAGACAGAGTCTCACTATGTTGCCCAGGCTGGTCTTGAACTCCTGGCCTCAAACAATTCTCCCACTTCAGCCTCCCAAAGTGCTGGAATTACAAGTGTGAGCCACCGCGCCCAGCCAAGCCCCCATTTTCTCCAGGAACCTCCAGCTGCTGGACCCCCTGCAGCTGGCCCCCTTTTTCCCAAAGATCCCCTCTTGTGAGGCCTCCAGGAGCCCACACTGCCCTGGTCTCCGCCCACCGCCCGCAGCCCCTCCGTGGTCCTCTCTGCTGCTTCTCCCCATCTCCCTGACCTTGTCAGCAAAGGACGGGGAGCCCCAGACTCAGACCTGGGAACCTCTCTTAGCTCCTGTAGTTCTCCCTTAACGATGGCCTCATCCTGTGTCCCAGCTCTCATTACCCACACTGAGGTCTCCAGCCTGGGCTGCAACCCTGAACCGCAGGACCCCACATCCAGCCCCTCCTGACTCATCCACTTGGTGTTGAATTTGATGCAGGCCAGTGCAGCCACATTGAATTCTGCATTTTTCCCTCTTCAAATCTCTCCTTCAAGGCTTTCTCATCCTCCCAGGCCCACGGTCAGTCTTGTTTCTGTCCTACTCCTCCTTGAGTAAGACCTCTCGGCTCCACCTCCTAAACTCTTCCAGAACCCCCCCCGCCTCTTCCACTTCTATGACCCCAATCCTGGTCGAGCCTCCGCCCTCACAGTCTGACCCCTCCCAGCAGCCAGAGGGAGCAGGTTCACAACTGTCCATTAGGTCCCGTCACATCCTAGCTCAACCCTGATGGCTCCAAGCCAGGTGGTTCCATGGGCACTCTTTGAGAAACCCCAGCCTAGGCTTTCTCAGCTCTGGGAGAGCAGGCTCCTTCCCCTCCCCCGATACCTGACAAAAAAGGACTTTAAAAGCTACACACACAGACACACACTCTCTTTCTCTCTGTCTGTCTGTCTGTCTGTCTGTCTGTCTCTCTCTCTCTCTCTCTAAGCTGGGTGTGGTGGTGGGCGCCGTAATCCCAGCTACTTGGGAGGCTGAGGCAGGAGAATCGCTTGAACCCAGGAGGTGGAGGTTGCAGTGAGCCAAGACTGCACCATTGCACTCCAGCCTGGGCAACAAGAGTGAAACTCCGTCTCAAAAACAAAAAAACAAAAACAAAATGCAAAAATGCTCCACACACCCTGTGCCCCTACTAGCAAATGTCAAGCCCCTTCAACTCTGGCCTGCCAGCCTCCCAGCCTCGCCCACTTCCACCCATCCCCTCACATACCTGGTCCAGCCCCTCTTGCCTTCCTACAGCTCCACAAACCCGCCAGGCTCAGTCCTGCCTCCTGACCTTTGCACTCTCGGTACCCTCTGCCAGGAGCACTCCCTGCCCCAGACCCTCTGGGAGCTTGCCTCTTGTCTCCCTTAGGTCGCTGCTCAGACACTACCTTTCTGACTCCACACCTCCCTGCCCCTACCCCCATTGCTCACTCTCTGTCTTCTTGTTTGTTTGTTTTTGAGACAAAGTCTCGCTGTGTCACCCAGGCCGGATGCAGTGGTGCGATCTCAGTTCACTGCAACCTCTGCCTCCTGGGTTCAAGCGATTCTCCTGCCTCAGCCTCCCGAGTAGCTGGGATTACAGGGGCGCACCACCACACCAGGGTAATTTTTGTATTTTTTGGTAGAGATGGCGTTTTGCCATGTTGGCCAGGCTGGTCTCAAACTTCTTACCTCAAGTAATCTGCCTGCCTCGGCCTCCCAAAGTGCTGGGATTATAGGTGTGAGCCACTGCGCCCCGCTGGTCTTCTTAACACTTAACACTACTTGAAGTTACAATAATGGGATGGTGGGGGTGCCCACCTGCAGGCAGGGCTCTGTCAGTGCTCAGTCTCTGTGGAATGACTGAGGAGCACCAGCCTGACCCAGAACAGCCTAGAGGAGCACCTAGCACAGCCATCATGTCCCATCAGCTCCTGCATGGCTGACTGTTTGCAGGAGGCCTCGCATGTCACCAGTGGATGGCTCTGCTTGGCGCCCAGAGTGTCTGATGGGTCCTGATCCACGCCCTGGGTGTGGGTCTTACCTGCTTCAGGGTCCAGGCTCCCTAGAGCCAGGGTCTGGAGTGGGCACACAGCTCCAGGCTCCACCACTCCCCAAGTCCTTCCACTCTTGACCTTGGCTTCTCCAGCTCTTCCCGCACTCCCTCAGGGGGGCCCTGGTGCTTCAAAGTCAAGACCAAGTCCCCGCACTTTGGGAGGCTGAGGCAGGCGGATCACCTGAGGTCAGGAGTTCAAGACCAGCCTGGCCAACATGATGAAACCCCGTCTCTAATAAAAATACAAAAATTAGCCCGGCGTGTTGGCGTGTGCCTGTAGCACCAGCTACTGGGGAGGCTGGGGCAGGAGAATCGCTCGAACCTGGGAGGTGGAGGTTGCAGTGAGTCGAGATCATGTCATTGCGCTCCAGCCTGAGTAACAGAGCAAGACTCTGTCTCAAAAAAAAAAAAAAAAAAAAGAGCAAGAAGTCAAGAGCAAGTCAAGAGCAAGGCATGGTCTTTGGGTCAGACAGAGCTAGGCCGGACTCTAAGTAGCTGTTAGGCATGGGGAGGTGGCCTCTGTCTCCCCCATCTTGGTAGTGTTCCCAGGAGGGTACTCTGTACCCATGAGGGCAGGCTGTAGCAACCCTGCTGTCCACAGAACTCTCTGGGGCTCACTTTGGTCAGGCGGTAGCTTAGTCGCCTTTCACAGTGGTCCCAGGGAATTTCATTTCCCTGCCACTCCACATTCTGGCAGGTGCCAGCCTGTCCCCAGAAGGGTCACTGGGCAATGCTTCCTGGATTTGTTCTGAGGAAGAGGAGGTTGGCTTGTGCCCTGCCAGCTGTCCCCTCCCCCACCCCTTGCAGTAACTCCCCAGCCTTCCTCCCTGACCCTCTGCCAGGTTAGCGTCCTTCCTCATCTAAGGGTGGCCGGGGCCACGTGAGCGCCGGGGAAGCAGGAGTAACTGACACCAGTGAAGGCTGCCACAAGGCACCTAGGACTTCTCCCAAGCCAGGAGCAATCGGAGCTGACCAGGGACCCAGGGAGGTGGCAGGGAAGAGGAAGGGAGGGGCCTGGACCCAGACTTGGAGCCTGGGGCTGGACACCAGCCGACACCAAACCAGACACAGCTCACCCAGCCCCGGTCCCTGCCTGCCCTGCCTAAAGGTGACTTTGGAGGTGGTAGGAAGGAAGATCAAGTTTCCCTGGTCAGGAACAATACTAGATCCATAAATCCCTGTCCTCAGAGGCCATCAGACTCTCCCAGAACCCAAGGCGGAAGGAGAGTGCTGTGGGCTCTGGCAGCCACTCCTGGGAAGGTGAAACCGAGCCGGCCTGCAGGGAACAGGGGCCGCCCCGAAGGAGGGGCCGAGTCCGGCCCTTCTTCCCTGCTTCTCTCTCACTTGGAGTTCTAGGGGGGCCAAGAAGACTTGTGTCCAGACAGAGAAGTGGAGTGTGTTTGTCAGCATTCCCAAGCACAGATGGGGAAACTGAGGTTGGAGCAGACAAGGGATAGAGGACACTGGGGGCAGCAGGGGCCCCTCCAGGAGCCCCTGACTGACATCATCCCAGGGAGCCCAGGGGCAGGAGGCAGAGGGTCAGGTGGCCCCATCTGTCTATGGGGAAGGGGGCCAGGCCCCCAGGGTGGATGCCAGGAGTCCAGCCTCTAGGGCCTCCCCTGGGCTCCCCCAAGTAGCTCATTTAAGGTTTGAGTAGGTCTAGATGGGGAAGTGCGGGGCCCGGGGAGGATGGGTGCCCACTTGTCAGAGTCATTCCACTGCTCAGAGATGTTAATGTGTCAGATTCAGAGACAGGAAATCGGCCGCCGTTTCCTGAGACAGTGGGGGCCTCCCTGGCCTCCTGCGCATGCCCAGAGTGGCGATCTCCGGCAGATAGATGCAGACGCTCGCTCGCAGACTCAGTGCCACCCCCCACTTCCCCTCCTGGCTTCTCCTCCCTGAAACACAGCGAGGGCCAGACCCAGTGGTGGAGGGGCCCTGCCCCGGCCGCAGGCAGACAGGGATGGCTGCACAGGAAGCCCTCATCCGCATGAGTCACTCAGGCTCACCTGTTAGCCTCGTGGCGCATCCCCTGGCGCCCTCCTGGGCTGGCAGGCGGGGTCCCAGCCTTGAGGGCTACCCCAGAGGCAGGAGACGGGCAAGGCTGCTTCCTGGAGACAGCCACCTGGTCTCAGCAGGTCCCCAGGCCTCCTCCTGCTGTAGGTCCTGCTCAGCGACCAGCCCCTGAGCCCTGGAGAGGGTGGGGGGCCAGCCCCCCACTCCCTGCCCACCTTGAGCTTCCTGGGTGAGACACCATCCCTTAGGCTGGGCCTGAGTCCTTGGACCCCACGGACCCAGGTGTGCAGTGCCGGTCACATGACTCGGGGCTGTCTCGGGTTTCTCCCAGGAGGGGCCCTCTCAGCAAGGGCCTCCTCCCTTATGGCTCAGGGCTGGGAAGCCTAAAGCAGATGCCAGGGAAGATTCCAGCAAAACACAGGGATTAGGGCCTGTGGAATTGGCTGCACAGGTAGCTGGTCAGGCAGGCATGGGATTGACCAAATGCCCCACAGCCCACATGCGGCTACGCGGAGGCCTCCCCCAACACCTCCCACATCTGGCAACCCCCGCCCCCAACACACACTCCTGCGCTCTGCCCTTGACTTGGCCTTTGCATCTGCCCTGAATAGCCCTCCTGCCCTGTCCAGGCCCCTCTCCCTCCTGTGCCCTGCCTGGACAGCCGAGACCCAGTCTGGATACTTCAGACTTTGAGGGGTCCCCGTAGACCCCCAGCTTACTTTCCTTCCTGTGCCCATATACCCAAGTTCACACATCACTGCCCTTGGGGCGCAGCCCAGGCAGAACCAGTGACTCCGGTTCCATATGTGGTATGAGGTTCGTGTGGGCCCAGAGGGGAACCTGCGTCATGGCCTGCACGGTGGATGGTGCATTTGACCTTGGACAGATCACTTCCTTGCTTCTGGTCTCTGTTGCCTTGTCTGAAAATGGGTAATAAAAGCTCTTACTGTCAGCCAGGTGCAGTGGCTCATGCCTGTAATCCCAGCACTTTGAGAGACCGAGGCGGGCGGATCACTTGAAGCCAGGAGTTCAAGAGCAGCCTGGCCAACATGGCAAAACCCCGTCTCTACTAAAACCACAAAAATTAGCTGGGCGTGGTGGCGGGTGCCTGCAGTCCTAGCTACTCAGTGGGTTGAGGCAGGAGAATCACTTGAACCGGGAGGCGGAGATTTCAGTGAGCAGAGATTGCGCCACTGCACTCCAGCCTGGGCAACTGTGAGACCCTGTCTCAAAAAAAAAAAAAAATCCCGGAAAGCTCTTACTGTCAGCCAGGCACAGTGGCTCACGCCGGTAATTCCGGCACTTCGGGAGATGGAAGCAGGTGGATTGCTTGAGTCCAAGAGTTCGAGACCAGCCTGGGCAATATAGCAAGACCCCAGTCCCTATTAAAAATACAAAAATTAGCCGGACATGGTGGTGCATGCGTGTAGTCCCAGCTACTTGGGAGGCTGAGGCAGGATAATTGCTTGAACCCCAGGGGACAGAGGTTGCAGTGAGCCAAGATCGTGCTACTGCACTCCAGCCTGGGTGACAGAGCGAAACCCTGTCTCAAAAAAACAAAAAAGCTCTATCTCTGGCTGTCCAGAGTCTAACATAACACCTAGTGTGCCAGAAGCAACACTAGTGTCTGCAGTGATAACTCCTTGCCCGTGGCCCTTCAGTCCTGCCGGGGGTCGGATAAACCCCTCTAAATCCCCAAGAAAGGTGGGCCTGGGACCTTGGCTCCTTGATGGTGGAGGAAGGGCAGGTACATGTCCACCCCCAGCCCCACCTCGGCCTCTGGAGCTGCTGGGGGTATGCCAGGTCACATGGAGGGGATGGGATGGATGGTGTCCCAGCTGGGGTGAGGGTCTTCTAGCCAGCGCCTCTTGGGAACACTCGCCTCTACCCCCAGCACCCCTGCTAATCACTCAGCAAGATGTGCATGAAATTTGACCTGTGCCTGCCTGATAGCATCTCCGGGTACCAACCTCCCTCCTCACCCCGCAGCGCTGCCCCAGCCCCGCGAAGGCCCCGCTTTGCTGGGGAGGGGAGTGTTTTTCCAAGAGGGCAGGCAGGCTCTCTGCATCCACCGGGGGGATTAGCGCCCCAAGGTCGTGGGTATAAAGCCACCTGCACACCCTGCTGTTCTATAGAGGCAGGCAAGGAGCAAAGAGGGCCAGGCAGGCCCCCCTGGACGGACAGGCGGACGGGGTGGGGGGCGGGTGGGGTGGGGGAGGGGATGAGCACCATGTTCTATGATTGTCTCTTCTCAGCTGCCTGTCAGCGTGAGTACCTGCCTCCCCCACTCCAAGCCCCTTGTGGTCCCCACCCCACTGAGGACAGAGGGGCAGGGAGGGAGGACTTGGCCACAGGCTAGCAAGACCTTCCAGGGACCACTCCTCCGAGCAGCTTCCACTCCCGGGAAGCCAGGGTCACCCCAGAGAAGGTGGCCCCAGCACCTCGATCCTTCCAGCGCTGCCAGGACCCTGGAGTGGACAGTCAGTTCCCTGCCTGTCCACAAGTCCCGTCTGCTGGGAAGGGTCCAGCCTTCTGGGTTTTGAGCATCATAGCTCTTCAGTCACCCTATCTGGTCTGACTTCAGGATGAGGAAAGCTGATGAGGGCTGCTGCCAGGTATTAAGGATCCTGGGTCCTGCAAGCCTCAGCCCGCTCTGCCACGTGGGCCCCTGATGGGTGCAGTCAGGGCTGGCCAGGGGGAAGCAGGACTCTTGGAGGGGCCTGACCTTGCTGGGGGTTGGCTTCAGGCTGCATCTTCCCCTCCAGGGGGGCTCAGGCTTAGGCTGGGGGCAGGGAAAGCAGGAAGAACTGACCTGGTGGCCCCTCCCCACAGAAGGTGCCATGCGGGCCAGCGAGACAGTGTCGGAGGCCAGCCCCGGCTCCACCGCCAGCCAGACCGGCGTTCCTACTCAGGTGGTTCAGCAGGTGCAGGGCACCCAGCAGGTAGGATGTGGCCCTCCCAGGGGGTGGGGGAGGGCCCGGGAGGGGGGCAGTGCAGGCTGCGTCCTCGGGGGCCTCACCTCCCCTCCCCGCTTCCTGCTGGAGCCATCTGCTCACCTGTTCTTATCAAGATGTGCACAGCAGCCGCCCGCCACCCAACCACGCCAGGCCTCCCTGGGGGAAGTGGCAGCTCAGCTCCTCCTGCCTTGTCTCCACAGCGGCTGCTGGTCCAGACGAGCGTGCAGGCCAAGCCAGGCCACGTGTCGCCCCTCCAGCTGACCAACATCCAAGTGCCCCAGCAGGTAATGCTGCTGCACCTGGCCACCACCCTGGAAGGCTCCCTCAGGGTGGAGGACCAACCCCCTGTGGCAAGCCTGGATCTGTCCTCACCAGGATGGAGGGAAGAGTCCCCATCCAGGGGCTGCCCTACCTCCTGGCTCTGGGCAGTCACCTCCCCAGGGTGAGACTATCCGGCAGGGGCCATCAGGGACAGAGGAGCTGCAGGAGCCATCTCAGCAGAGAGAACAAGATGTATAGTTGGGAAGGTGGTTTGCGGGTCCAACCCAGTGTCCCGAAGCAGAGAACCCAAGGCCAGGTTTAGAGTCAGGAGTCCACAGCCAGCACAGGGTGGTCTGTCCCCCAGAAGGCTGCGCATGAGGTGCCGCGCACACCCGTTTCCGACTGATCAGCGCAGATCTGGACAAAGTACTGTTGGGTTTTACAATGGCTCGATCTCGGCTCACTGCAACCTCCGCCTCCCAGGGTCAAGTGATTCTCCTGCCTCAGCCTCCTGAGTAGCTGAGACTACAGGTGTGCACCACCACACCTGGCTAATTTTTGTATTATTAGTAGAAACAAGATTTCACCATGTCGGCCAGGCTGGTCTCGAACTCCTGACCTCAGGTGATCTGCCCGCCTCAGTCTCCCAAAGTGCTGGGATTACAGGTGTGAGCCACCACACCCAGCCTAGGACTATTGGGTTTTAAGGATGACAGCACATTCCACATGGCCTGACAACAACTCCGGCTCTGCCGCTTCCTGGCTTTAGGACCTCAGATAAGTGCCTTTGCCGTCCTGAGCCTTGGTGTCACCCTCTGTGAAGTGGGGGCAGTAGCCGAGCTTCATCAGGGCTGTCAGGGCGATTCTGTGAGCTAACAGGCGTGAAGCACTTAGAATGTCACCTGGCACTGCGCAGATGCTCGGTGCAACTGCACGGGCTGTCATCAGTGATCTGCCCTCCCTCTCCCTCCCTGGCCCCAGGCTCTTCCCACGCAGCGTCTGGTGGTGCAGAGCGCAGCCCCAGGCAGCAAAGGTGGCCAGGTCTCCCTGACGGTCCATGGTACCCAGCAGGTGCACTCGCCCCCAGAGGTAAGTGGTGGTCCTGTTGGCCGCCCTCCCCCCTGCTGTCTCCCGAGGTCAGCAATGTATCCCCATAGTATATTTGGGGCTCCCTGCCCCGCCCCCCAAGCCCACTTGCTCCTCCAAAGTCCTGCTTCCCTCTTCACTCCCAGTGCAACGCCCTTGTTGACCCCAGGTAGGGTGGCTTAGCTGCCCAATTCCTGGCCCTGCCAGCTCTGAGCTAAGCGGCCGTGGAGCTCTGCTCTGGGAGAAGGAGGTGATTTCCTGGGTTGAGATGGTCCTGGCAGCTCCAGCTCAGGGAACTGCATTCCGAGAAACAAAGTGGGTTCCTCTTCCCCCCGGAGGGTGGGACAGTCTCTTCCAGGAAGCCTTGGACCACAGGGTAGATTCTGGGGACCCACAACACCAATGAGGGTGTTGAAGACAGGCTGTGGATGCTGTCTGCATCAGGAGCTCGGGGTCAGATGGCTGGCCCAGCCACTTCCTCTCGTGGGACTCTAGGCAGGCCTCTGAGCCTTGTTTTGTTTTGTTTTTGAGACAGAATCTCGCTCTGTCCCCCAGGCTGGAGTGAAGTGGTGCGATCTCAGCTCACTGCAACCTCCGACTCCTGGGTTCAAGCGATTCTCCTGTCTCAGCCTCCCGAGTAGCTGGGATTAGAGACATGCGCCACCACGCCCTGCTAATTTTTGTATTTTTAGTAGAGATGGGGTTTCACCATGTTGGCCAGGCTGGTCTTGAACTCCTGACCTCAGGTGATCTGCCCACCTCAGCCTTCCAAAGTGCTGGGATTACAGGCGTGAGCCACCATGCCCGGCCCCTTTGAGCCTTCTGAGCCCTGAGTTTTCTCTGTGTCAAACAACTGATGGTATCAACCACCCCTCAGCTTGCTGTGGGAATTACAGCCTGAGGCACAGTAGGGCTCAGAGCAGACATGGGGCTCTATGGCCAGCCTGCCTGGGCTCAGCCCTGTGCCTCATCGCCTGCAGCCATGTGACCCAGGGCTTGTCCCTTCCCCTCTGCCCCTCCATTGGGAAGTGGGGGTGCCATGAGATTCCAGTGAGTACATTTAAAGCGCTCAGTGCAGTGTCTGGTGGGAGTCGGCCCAATATCACACCAGAGGCTGCTGTCGTCATTGCTATAACCTTTGAGGGTCAGCCCCAGGAGAGCTTCAGGGGTGCTGGCGGCACCACCCACCATCAGCCAACCTTGCTGGGGAGGGTTAAACCCCCATCATTGCTGGGAGTTGACTGGGACTGTTGCAGGGAGTAGGCATTTGGATGCGTGGGACGCGGTCAGTTACCAGCCTCGGTGGTTGGGATAGGTCCCCACAGACTGCCGCCCTCCCCAGACAGCTCTCCTGAGAAGGGTGTGTGTGTGAGCCCACCTCAGAGAGGATGCAAGCCCACCCCAGCGGCACTCCTGTGTCTCCTTCCCTTACAGCAGTCGCCGGTGCAGGCCAACAGCTCTTCCAGCAAGACAGCCGGGGCCCCCACGGGCACAGTGCCACAGCAGCTGCAGGTCCACGGCGTCCAGCAGAGTGTCCCCGTCACCCAAGAGGTGCCAGGCCAAGGCGGGCAGTGGCTCGGTCCAGGGGTACCGGCCAGGCAGCCTCTGCAGCCCCCCACGGCTGTGCCTCTGGCCTATTAGAGCCCAGCCCATGTGGGTCCAGCCCCAGCCTGCCACCCTGGCCTTTGATAAGCATCTCTGCCTGTCTCCAGACTCAGCATCCTGGGGCTAGAGGATGGGGGAGCCGCGGGGAGGACGAAATTTGAACCTCCTGGAAGGAGACTGGGGCGTAGTGGGCCATGGGAACCGCTTGGAGAAGCCACCTGAGCCTCTTTGGGCCCATTTGCCTGAAGGAAGCCCCGAGGCCACATCCTGGCTCCTTCTGGGGAGGATTTCAGGGAGGGGACCCAGCCCCCAAATCCACACCCAGCCTCTGCAGGAGGCAGAGCCCTGAGCCGGCGCAGGTTAAGATGCTGGGGCTGCGCACCATCTGGTTGTTACCACTGAAGTTGAGGGGGTTCCAAGCCCCTTGAAAAAACAGATGAAATCCATAGACCCTTCCCCAAGTGTAAACAGAAACCCTGTCCCAGAGGTTTCACAGATACTCCCCCGCCTGGCACTAGAGCCCCCCCGAACCTCCAGACCTAGGTCCAGGCCCCAGCTCCTCCACTCAGCACCCTCCTCCGCCAGCCTCCGTCCCTGGCTCTGCGCCCCTAGGATAATCCCCGCATGCCCGCCACAGCACAGAACAGGGCACACAGTTGACATTGGGGGGTGTGGGGACGAAAGATAACCCAAGGCCTTGCCTGCGGGTTCTTGGCACAGCTTCAGGGGCCCGTAGGGAGAGGGGGCGGAGAGCAGAGACCCCGAAGTTAGTCCCAGGTTCAACTCAGCCCTGCTGCTTCCTGGGAGCCTCACTTTATCAGTAATGGATCCAGCACCCTCCTTGCTTGGCTGGAGAATGGTGGCCTCTTGCTTATGGGTCTGCTGTGAGCTTTACAGAAGCTCACCTGTGCAGGGGCTGGGTAGGTTGACGGCCATCGTTGCCATGGTCATCTTATTGTTGCCTTTCCCCTCCCAGAGATCTGTGGTCCAGGCCACTCCACAAGCGCCCAAACCCGGCCCGGTGCAGCCGCTGACCGTGCAGGGCCTCCAGCCAGTCCACGTGGCTCAAGAGGTGTGTGTCTCCCCCTCCTACCCCACGGGCAAAGGGGCTGGTCCCGGGCTGGGGCTGGGGAGTGCAGGCCCCTGAGGCCGCAGGGAGGGAAATGCCTCTGTGAGCTGCAGACACTGCCCTACATCCTTCCCCTTTCCCGGCCCCCTGGCAGCTCAGGGTCCAGGTTTTGCTAAGAGAGATCTGGATTCAAACCCCTCTTCTTTCTTGCGTGGCCCTGGGTCAGTTCTAACCCCTCTCCGAGACCCCGGGCGGCGGGGATCTTCCCTCGGGTGGCTGCGTGCGCGCTCAGCAACCCGGTGGGTGGAGGCCTGGAGCCCCGCCCGCGGCCGCCCCCGTTGACCCCCCAGTGTCTCTGTTTGTCCTCCAGAGCTCAGGCAGTCAGTTTCCCGCTAGGAAGGCAGAGCAGCGAGATCCCCGGCCCACGCCGCCGCCGGAGCCGCCGCCCCGGCCGCCCGCGTGCAGCGGCGAGGCCCCGCAGCTAGGCAGCCCCGAGCCGCCGCCGCCCCATTACGAGCCGGGCGCCGAGCAGTGGGTGGAGCTGGTGGGCGTGCTGCCCCCACACCTGCTCCTGCCGCAGCAGAAAGTGGTCTTCGAGCCACTGTCCCGGCTCCCGGCCCGAGCCAGCCCCGACCAGAGGGTCAGGATCCAGAGAATCCCCCAGGTGCTAGTGTTCGGCACGGCCGCCACGGCCCTCAAAGTAGGTGGCGGACGCACGGGCGGGGGGCAGCGGGCGGGCGGGGGCGGGGGCGCCCAGTCTGGGCCGCCCACCAGGCCCCGCAAGCCCTGTAGACCCCACCTCCGCCCGACGGGTCGGTCTAGGGACCCGCCTCTGACTCCCCACCCAAGCCCCGTCCAGGTCCCAGCTCCGCCCCTGCAGACAAGGGTGGGGGATGGAGGTGGGGGACTCAGGCCCCGCCCCTAAGGCCCTGTCAGTGATTCCAGGTTCTGTCCCACCAACCGGGGCCCCAGGCTCCGCCCCTCACATCCTGTGCCCGGTTTCCAGGCCCCACCCCTGAGGCCCTTTCTGTAGCTCCATGGCTCCAGCGATAGCCTTGCCCCTGTGCCTGGGGTCCAACCTTCACGCCCACTACAGGACCCTGTCTCGGGTCCCCTCCACTGTCCGTCAGGCCCCACCCTTGCTGGCCCCAGCCGAAGCCGAGAGTCCTGGCTTCTCCTGACACAGCTCTTCCTGATTCCCAGCCCTGGCCTCCTCCAGGGTGTTTTGTTGAGAGTCCAGAAGCCACCCTTGGGTCCGGGAGCTGGGCGTCAGGGATAGCCTGGGTGGGCACCAGCCCTTTAGAGGGAGAACCGTAGGAGCTGGCCCACCCCTGACCCTCCACGTGCCCTTCCTCTGCCCCAGGTGCAGCAGCTCCAGCAGGTGCCCGTCCCACACGTGTACTCCAGCCAGGTGCAGTATGTGGAGGGCGGCGATGCCAGCTACACGGCCAGTGCCATGTAAGTGAAGGGAGAGGGGTGGGTGAGGGAGTCAGGTCTGCACTGGAGCCTCCCCAGTCTCCCAGGACACCAGTCCCCAGTCCCAGCCCCCAGCAGGCCATCCGGCCTTCAAGGCCTCAGGTGACAGACACACAGGTGGGCACTCCCCAGGGGCAGCCACAGCCACGAAAAGTGGCGAAGCAGAGGGACCCTTGAAGGTTGGGAAAGGCACCCCGGCATAGCTTAGGGCTTGGGAGTCAAATGAGCCTGGTTTTTAACCAAAAAAAAAAAAAAAAGGCCAGGCACGGTGGCTCACGCCTGTAATCCCAGCACTTTGGGAGGCCTAAGCGGGCAGATCACTTGAGGTCAGGAGTTCAAGACTAGCCTGGCCAACATGGTGAAACCCTGTCTCTACTAAAAATACAAAAGTTAGCCAGGAGTGGTGGCAGGCACCTGTAATTCCAGCTACTCGGGAGGCTGAGGCAGAAGAATTGATTGAACCCAGGAGGCGGAGGTTGCAGTGAGCTGAGATCGTGCCACTGTACTCTAGCCTGGGCAATAGAGTGACACTCCATCTCAAAAAAAAAAAATCATTTGACTCTCAACCCTGTCCCAGAGAGGATGCTGTGACCTGTTTCTTTGTTTCTTTCCAGAGATACTCTAAGAACAGAAACTCTAGCCCTCTATCCATTTTTTTCTTTTTTTTTGTTTTTTTTTTTGAGATGGAGTCTTGCTCTATCGCCAGGCTGGAGTGCAGTGGTGTGATCTCGGCTCACTGCAACCTCTGCCTCCTGTGTTCAAGTGATTCTCGTGTCTCAGCCTCCCGGGTAGCTGGGATTACAGGCACACACCACCACACCCAGCTAATTTTTGTGTTGTTAGTAGAGATGGGGTATCACCATGTTGGTCAGGCTGGTCTTCAATTCCTGACCTCGTGATCCACCCGTCTCAGCCTCCCAAAGTGCTGGGATTACAGGCATGAGCCACCGCACTGGACTTTTTTTTTCTGTTTTTTTTGAGACAGGGTCTCACTCTGTCGCCCAGGCCAGAGAGCAGTGGCGCGATCAGGGCTCACTGCAGCTCACGGGCTCAAGCAATCCTCTTACCTCAGCCTCCCTAGTAGCTGGGACTACAGGTGTGCACCACCATGCTCAGCTAATTTTTGTATTTTTGTAGAGATGGGGTTTTGCCACGTTGCCCAGGCTCATCTCCTCGAACTCTTGGACTTAAATGATCCTCCCGTCTTGGCCTCCGAAAGTGCTGGGATTACAGGCATGAGCCACAGTGCCCAGCCTCTACCCGCTTTCTGTGGTCAGAAATAGACGCAGGACATTCCATCCATACCTTATTTCTTTCCTGGCTCTTCTACCATGTGTCCTCGTGGGTCCTGGTCACCCTCTTAGCTGCTGTGTAATAACCCCTGTGCAGATGCAGCAGCCACGATGTCATCAGTCCCCACCCAGTGATGCATAGGGGGCTTCTTCCCCTCCCTGGGTACAGCACTACCATTCCTGTGTATGGGCCGTGTCAGGCAGGGGCCACGTCCTGGCCCCGCTTCAGTCCCGGCTCGGGCTCCTCGCCGGGGGTCCTCCATGCCACCTTCCCTCTCCCATCTCCACAGAAATTGCTGCAGTACTAGAGTTACTGTTGGTTTAGTTTCCAGAGGTTTCACTTGGTTTTCTTTGCATTTGCATGATTTCTTTTTTCATCCCTGCCACTTGTTCTTCTGGGGACAATGCTGGGATTGGTTAGCTCATGGATCGACTTAGTCCTAGGGTCATGATGCTCTGACCGACCCCAGTGGGCCTGGTCCAGGCATCTAAATCGTGAGGCTTGGTCCCCGGCGTCCGGCTACCTCACAGTTCCATTTGTTTCTTTCCAGTGCTGCTAATCTTTTCACTGTGTGGTTGAGCCAAGCTGGCAGGGGCCAGACAGGGCATTGCAAAGAGGAACACGGTGTCCAAGGGTTCCTGCTGCCATCCCTGGTAGCGTCTCTCCTGTCTCTCCTTTGCTTCTGTCTGAATTCCTCTCTCAGTGATCATAGTGTGTGTGATTGCACCTAGTTCATCGTTGCTATCGGGTTTTTCTGCTACGAGAAGTTGTTGGGGGCCACTCCTGCTGTCAGCTGCCCACCCCTTCTGTCTCTCCCTCTGAGTGAATTACTGCGAGTTCCCGACCCTTTGCCAGCCCTATCCCCACCCTGGCCAAAGCCACAGCCCCTGGGCCTCCATCCCTGGTCCTGTTCTGGGGGGCATCCAGAGCTGCACACATTCATTTATTCAGTCATTCAGCAACCATCTACCAAAGCAACCTTTTTGCAGCACACATTGCATGCTGGGTGTGCAGGAGTGAGCAGGCTGTGGCCCCCGCCTTGGAGAAGTAGGGGCTCTTGCTCAGGTCATGTGCTCTTGGTGTCACTTTGTGTGGTAGACATAGGGCAGGACAGAGAGATCGAGAGCTGGACCTGATGTGTGACAAAGACCATGCTTCCATATCTCCTTCCACTGTCCCCCTCAACTCCCTCTCTTTGTTCACCCACAACCACTCGGGCCTGTGCGGCTCCCTCCCCTGCCACCTTCAGAGTCTGAGCCAGGCCACCTCTTGACTGACCACACTGTCTTTCTGGATGTTTAATTTTTTTTTTTTTTTTTGAGATAGAGTTTCCCTCTTGTTGCACAGCTGGAGTGCAATGGTGCAATCTTGGCTCACTGCAACCTCCACCTTCAGGGTGGTTCTCCTGCGATTCTCCTGCCTCAGTCTCCCGAGTAGTTGGGATTACAGGCGCCCACCACCACACCCGGCTAACTTTTTGTATTTTCAGTAGAGAGAGGGTTTCATCATGTTGGCCAGGCTGGTCTTGAACTCCTGACCTCAGGTGATCCACCCGCCTTGGCCTCCCAGAGTGCTGGGGTTACAGGTGTGAGCCACCGTGCCTGCCCCTGCCCCCCTCCCTTTTTTTTTTTTTTTTTGAGGTGGAGTTTCACTCTGTCACCCAGGCTGGAGTGCAGTGGCATGATCTCAGCTCACTACAGCCTCCACCTCCCAGGTTCAAGTGATCCTCCTGCCCCAGCCTCCTGAGTAGCTGGGACTACAGGCGCCTGCCACCATGCCTGGCTAATTTTTGTATTTTTAGTAGAGACGGTTTCACTATGTTGGCCAGGCTGGTCTCGAACTCCTGACCTCAAGTGATCCACCCGCCTCGTCCTCCCAAAGTGCTGGGATTACAGGTGTGATTACACTGCACCTGGCCTAATGCTATGTTTTTAATCACTAGTACATTGAAAGAGTTCAAAGATCAAAACTATGTCCAACGATGTTTAGCGAGATGGTGAGAGGTGCCCCCTGCCTGTCCCCCTCGACGGAGCCCTCCATGCCCACAGATGACAGACACGCATGCCACATGCAACGCATTCTTCCCTATTGTTCGGTCACACGGTCCCCACTCTTCTCTGCCTCTTATCTGCCCGGTGTTAGGTTCTGGAGCTTGTTCTTTCGGGGGACGACAAGCCTTGCCTCCTTCTCTTTCACCCCTGCATAGGATTCCATCATCTTTTGTTTAACAGCCCCTTGAGGTTGAACCCCTGGTGGTTTTTATACTTGTATACTTGTGACGATTTGCAGCCTCAAGCCTGTGTCACCGGTGCCCATCCCGTCACGCGATATCTGAAGGAGAGAGGCTTCCCCAGCCTGGGATAGGTAGCTTGGCTCAGGGGAAACATATCTGCATTCCTGATGGTCTTCTCCAATCACAGCGTCGCCTTCTCTAGTCCCTTCCAATCACAGCATCGCCTTCTCTAGCCCCACCCCCTTCCTGCTTCACTCACTGCCTGATCACCTTCTGTTATGATCTCTCATTTACCTTTGCACGTGGCTTCTTGCCTGTCTCCCCAACTAGACGGTTCCGGGGGCCGGGGCTTTTCATTCTTGTCCATTGCTGTGTCCAAAGTGTGTGAAACAGTGCCTAGCACACAGTAGGCACTCGAAGTACTTGCCAATTTTATTTTTTTAATGAAGTGTGTAGCATTCCAAGTTCCCTAACCCTTCGGTATTTTTTTTTTTTTTTAATTAAAAAGACAGGGTCGGCCAGGTGTGGTGGCTCATGCCTGTAATCCCAGGACTGTGGGAGACTGAGGCGGGTGGATCACTTGAGGTCAGAAGTTCGAGACCAGCCTGGCCAACATGGTGGAACACCAACTGTACTAAAAAAATACAAAAATTAACCTGGTGTGGTGGTGAGCCCTGTATTCCCAGCTCCTTGGGAGGCTGAGGCAGGAGGATAGCTTGAACCCAGGAGGCGGAGGTTGCAGTGAGCCAAGATTGCGACACTGCACTCTAGCCTGGGTGACAGAGCAAGACTCTGTCTCAATAAGTAAATAAATAAATAAAATAACAAAAATAAAAAGCCAGAGTCTCACTGTCACCTAGGCTTTGCTGCAGTGGTAGTATGGTTATAGCTCACTACAACCTTGAACTCCTGGACTCAAGGGATCTTCCTGCCTCAGCCTCCCAAGTAGCTGGGATTGCAGGTGTGCACCAGCATGCCTGGCTAATCTTCATATTTTTTGTAGAGATGGGTTTTCACTATGTGGCCCAGGCTAGTCTTGAACTCCTGGCCTTCAACGATCCTCCTGCCTCTGCTTCCCAAAGTGCTGGAATTACAGGCAGGAGCCACCATGCCCAGCTGATGATTATATGAAATACTGCCCATCAAGCACTCAGGATGGTACCCAGTCCGTTGTAGATGAATGCTAGGATCTGCTCCTTGCTGCAGGGGAGCTGCTGCTTCCCCAGTCCCCTCCTAGGACCCCCCTTCCTGCACAGTCATGCCCCTCGGCCCCCCAGTTCTCATCCCCCTGACTCTCCCTTGGCTTTGCCTCTTTCCCAGCCGTTCCAGCACCTACTCCTATCCCGAGACGCCGCTGTACACGCAGACGGCAAGCACCAGCTACTACGAGGCCGCAGGCACGGCCACCCAGGTCAGCACCCCCGCCACCTCCCAGGCGGTGGCCAGCAGTGGCTCCATGCCCATGTACGTGTCCGGCAGCCAGGTCGTCGCCAGCTCCACCAGCACTGGGGCTGGGGCCAGCAACAGCAGCGGAGGTGGTGGCAGTGGTGGTGGCGGCGGCGGCGGGGGAGGCGGTGGCGGGGGTGGCAGTGGCAGCACCGGAGGCGGCGGCAGCGGAGCAGGCACCTACGTGATCCAAGGCGGCTACATGCTGGGCAGTGCCAGCCAGTCTTACTCTCACACCACCCGTGCCTCGCCAGCCACGGTAAGTGCCCCAACGCGGGCCCCAGAGGAGGCAGGCAGTGGTGGGTGGTGGGCACTAGAAGCCCAGTCCATGACGGTGGTTACCAACCACCGCTAGCAGGAGCCTGTGTGGCCCCCAATGAAGAGAACATATGCAGATGTCCTGGGATTGAATGCTGTGTGGCCTCAGATAAATTACTCAGCCTCTCTGGGCCTCAGCTGATATGCATGAAATTCTTAACACAATACTACAGAAGTGTTGTCTATTGTTGGCTGGGCGCTGTGGCTCACACCTGTAATCCCAGGACTTTGGGAGACTGAAGTGGGTGGATCACCTGAAGTCAGGAGTTCAAGACCAGCCCGACCAACATGGTGAAACTCCATCTCTACTAAAAATACAAAAATTAGCCGGGCATGGTGGTATGCACCTGTAATCCCAGCTACTCAGGAGGGTGAGGCATGAGACTTGCTTGAACCTGGGAGGTGGTTGCAGTGAGCGGAGACTGCGCCACCGCACTCAAGCCTGGGAGACACAGCAAGATTCTGTCTCAAAAAAAAAAAAAAAATGTTGTCTACTTTTTTTTTTTTTTTTTTTTGAGACAGGGTTTTGTTCTGTCGTCCAGGCTGAAGCACAGTGCTGTAATCATAGCTCACTGCAGCCTCAAACTCCCAGGCTCAAGTGATCCTCCCAGTTTACCCTTGCAAGTAGCTGGGACTACAGGCATGCCGCACCATGTCCGGCTAATTTTTTTGTTTGTTTAAGACGGAGTCTTGCTCTGTCGCCAGGCTGAAGTGCAGTGGCATGATCTCGGCTCACTGCGACCTCCGCCTCCCGGGTTCAAGTGATTCTCCTGCCCCAGTCTCCCGAGTAGCTGGGACTATAGGCGTGCCACCACGCTCAGCTAATTTTTGTATTTTTAGTAGAGACGGGGTTTCACCATGTTGGCCAGGATGGTCTCGATTTCCTGACCTCGTGATCCACCCTCCTCGGCCTCCCAAAGTGCTGGGATTACAGACGTGAGCCACCACGCCTGGCGGATTTTAAAAAATTTTTTTTGTAGAGACAGGATCTCACTCTGTTGCCTAGGCTGGTCTCAAAATCCTGGCCTCAGGCGATCCTCCCAGCCATCTATTCTGATTAAAATTGATTATAGAGAATAGATAATGAGGGCAGAGAGAAGCCAGCACTGCCATGGGGAGCTTCCTGAACAGGGTTCTTCCACCATCAGGAAGGCGGGTGCTGGAACCTCCCTGTGCCTAGAAGTGGTTGTGTGAAGTCCCTGGGGCAGCCCTGGATTCCAACCCCAACCGGGCCCTTCGACATTTGTGTGATTGTGGGGTGGGTCAGCGCTGGTGGTCCTGGTGGTCCCTCATGGTCCTGATGTAGCCTGGCTTCTAGTCTATTCTAGTCTTTTTTTTTCTTTTTTGGAGATGGAGTTTTGCTCTTGTCACCCAGACTGGAGTGCAGTGGCGCAATCTCAGTTCACTGTAACCTTCCCACCTCCCAGGTTCAAGCAATTTTTGTGCCTCAGCCTCTCGAGTAGCTGGGATGACAGGTGCCCACCACCACACCTGGCTAATTTTTGTATTTTTAGTAGAGACAGGGTTTCACCATGTTGGCCAGGCTGGTCTCTAACTTCTGACTTCAGGTGATCCGCCCGCCTCGGCCTCCCAAAGTGTTGGGATTACAGGTGTGAGCCACCACTCCTGGCTTGAAAATTTGATTTTTTTCATTCTGCATAAATTCATATAATTTTTTTTTTTTAGAAGGAATCTTGCTCTGTCGCACAGGTTGGAGTGCAGTGGTGCGATCTTGGCTCACTGCAGCCTCTGCCTCCCTGCAACCTCTGCCTCCCAAGTTCAAATGATTCTCCTGTCTCAGCCTCCCAAGCAGCTGGGACTACAGGCGCACACCGCCACTCCCAGCTAATTTTTGTATTTTTAGTAGAGACGGGGTTTCACAATATTGACCAGGCTGGTCTCAGTCTCCTGATCTCATGATCCACCCACCTGCCTTGGCCTCCCAAAGTGCTGGGATTACAGGCATGAGCCACCACGTCCTGCTAATTTTTTTTTTTTTTTTTTTTTTTTTTTTTTTTTTTTGAGACAAGGTCTCACTGTATCCAGGCTGGAGTATAGTGGCTTGACCATAGCCTACTGCAGCCTTGAACTTCTGAGCTGAAGGGATCCTCTTGCCTCAGCCTCCCAAATAGCTGGGACTGCAGGTGTGCACCACGACACTAGCTAATTTTTTTAAAAATTCGTTGGTAGAGACAGGGTCTCCCTATGTTGCCCAGCCTGGGCTCAAGTGATCCTCCTACCTTAGCCTCCCAAAGTGCTGGAACTAAAGGGGTGAGCCGTGCCCGGCCTTTAATGTATTTAGCTATACATGGCAACTGTATTGGACAGTGCAGTTCTAGAGTTCTGTGGGACATAGTTCTTGGAGAGGATGGCAGTAGGATGTGCTAACTTATGTGGGCGTGGCTGTCAGGATCCCAGCTGGAAGTCGATGTGGGGCACTCAGCCCCAGCACTCAGAGATGACGGAAGCGCCTCTGACTGGTGCTCTCCCATCTCCCTCCCACCCCAGGTCCAGTGGCTCCTGGACAACTATGAGACGGCTGAGGGCGTGAGTCTGCCACGGAGCACCCTCTACTGCCACTACTTACTGCACTGCCAGGAGCAGAAGCTGGAGCCCGTCAACGCCGCCTCCTTCGGCAAGCTCATCCGCTCCGTCTTCATGGGCCTGCGAACCCGCCGTCTGGGCACCAGGTAGGGCCATCCGTCTACTCCCAGCAGTCCCTGGGGAATTGGTGGGCATGCCAAGGCCCACCCCCACTCCGAGTCATCTCAGGCAGTCCAGTCCAGCCCAGTCCCGCCGGCCTCTGCGAGGCTCCTCGACAGCCCCGCTCACTCCCACTCTAGGCCTTTGCACTGGCGGTGCCTTCCACCTCATGTGCTTCTCACCCCTCCTTACTTGCACGTCCCCTGACTGCCTCAACTAAAACTGCAGCCTCCCCCTCTCCCCTGCCCGACACCCCCCAACCCTGCTTTATTTTTCTCTTTAGCATTCAGCACGCTCACACGTGACTTTTTTTTTTTTTTGGAGACAAGAGTCTCACTCTGTGGCCCAGGCTGGAGTGCAGTGACTCAATCTCGGCTCACTGCAACCTCTGCCTCACGGGTTCAAGCCATTCTCATGCCTCAGCCTCTTGAGTAGCTTGGGACTACAAGCATGTGCCACCACGCCCAGCTAATTTTTAAAAAATAATTTTAGTAGAGACAGGGCTTTGCTATGTTGGCCAGGCTGGTCTTGAACTCCTGTCCTCAAGTGATCCACCTGCCTTGGCCTCCCAAAGTGCTAGGATTATAGGCATGACCCCACCGTGCCCGGCCCACACGTGCCTTTTACATGACTTATTTCAGTTGTTCTGGTCCGTCTGCAGTGCTCGTACCTCGATGACGCGGGGTTGTACCTAGTCAGTGCTTCATCAGGGTCTGTGAGTCAGTAAATTCATGCGGGAAGGAACAAGAAGGCATCCCAAGAACCCGCCCCTCTCTTCCTCTCCTTTGCAACCCCCATGGCTCACCTCCGCTCACGTCTCGGTTCCCATTCCCAGCTTCAGCGTCACCTCGTTCAGCCATTCATCCATTCAGCCATTCATTTATGCATAATCTTGGGCAAACCGCTGGATCTCTCCTGACACCCACAGCCCCTGTGCCTCCTCAGTGCAGCACCCCCGTCTCTGCAGGGCAGGCGTCTCTCTATCCATTCTCCTAACAGAGAGGAGACGGGTGTGCTGTGAGGTGCTCCATGGCCGGCCAGCCGGCAGACCCCCAGCCCAGCCCTTCCCCTCCACCTCCCTCCCAGGGGCAACTCCAAGTACCACTACTATGGCCTGCGCATCAAGGCCAGCTCACCCCTGCTGCGGCTGATGGAGGACCAGCAGCACATGGCCATGCGGGGCCAGCCCTTCTCGCAGAAGCAGAGGTAGGAAGGCAGGGCCGGACCCAGGGCAGGGCAGGCGGGGAAGGGCACACAGGCCGGCCCCCAGCAGCCGGCCCACCTGCCCATTCTACTCCAGGCTCAAGCCCATCCAGAAGATGGAAGGCATGACCAACGGCGTGGCGGTGGGGCAGCAGCCGAGCACGGGGCTGTCGGACATCAGCGCCCAGGTGCAGCAGTACCAGCAATTTTTGGGTGAGAGCTCCCTGGCCCGTGCTTCCCCAACCACCGCCTCCCTGCCCCGTGCAGACGGTTCCCAAAGCTGGATGGCGGCAGGCAGCCTCTGAGCTGGGGAGGGCTTGGTGAGAGATGCCCGAGAACCAGCAGGGGGTGGGGGAGACATCACAGTCTCCGTCCACAGTGACAGTTCTGTCCCTAGAATCCTTCTTCAAGGTAGATTCTCATTTCTTTCAATGCAAAGCATTTCTCGGGGGTTCTGAGCTTCCCAGTGAATCCCCTTTATGCTACTTGAGATTTTCTTTATTTTTGTATTTATTTGTTTATTTTTTTGAGATAGATTCTCTGTCGTCCAGGCTGGAGTGCAGTGGCACCATCCTAGCTCACTGCAACCTCCGCCTCCTGGGTTCAAGTGATTCTCCTGCCTCAGCCTCCTGAGTAGCTGGAACTACAGGCACGTGCCACTATGCCTGGCTAATTTTAGTAACTTTAGGAGAGATGGGGTTTCACCATCTTGGCTAGGCTGGTCTCGAACTCCTGACCTGAAGTGATCCTCCCACCTTGGCCTCCCAAAGTTCTGGGATTACAGGCATGAGCCACCATGCCCGGCATACATGAGATTTCAAATCCCACCCAGTTGGACATGGTTACTTTTTGGAGATATGACGGCAGGTCCTCTTCTCTCATGAGTCCTGTGAGGCCCACTCGCTTTCCCATCCAGCCATCCCACAGCCATGGTGTCCACAGGGCTAGGACCACTCACTCGCCAAGAAGGCAGGTGTGTACCCAGTGTTTCTAAAAGTAAGGCCTGGTGCAGTGGTTCATGTCTGTAATCCCAGCACTTTGGGAGGCCGAGGCTGGAGGAATCGCTTGAGGTCAAGAGTTCGAGACCAGCCTAGTCAACATGGTGAATCCCCATCTCTACTAAAAATACCAAAATTAGCCGGGTGTGGTGGCGGGTGCCTGTAATCCCAGCTACTCAGGAGGCTGAGGCAGGAGAATTGCTTGAACTCAGGAGGCGGAGGTTGCAGTGAGTCAAGATCATGCCATTGCACTGCAGCCTGGGCGACACAGTGAGTGAGACTCTGTCTCAGGAAAATAAAAAAGGCCGGGTGCAGTGGCTCACGTGTGTAATCCCAGCACGTTGGGAGGCCGAGGTGGGAGGAATTGCTTGAGTCCAGGAGTTGGAGACCAGCCTGGGCAACATAGCAAGACCCCATCTCTTAAAAAAAAAAAAAGACAAAGTAAACAACAATCCATGAAAACAGGGCCAAAGGATGCTAAGTAAACAAGCAACCCTTGGAACCCACAGTCCAGCCACACATCCTTGATCCTGAGCACGTGGGAGCTCATTTCCCCACCTGCCCTGGAGGCCGGGACATCCCATTTGGAGGGTGGGGAACAATACTTCTAGCAGAGTCGAGGGGCATCCCTAGGGCGACTGTCCATGGCTAGCCCCAACCTGGGGTGCTTAGGCTCAGGGCAGTGTCCTGTGGTCCTGACTGTGCCCTGGGTGCCTACCCATTCCCCGGCCAGGTGGGTGCTGTGTTGCAGCCGGGACTCAGAGGCCCACGTCCTGAGGGTTGGTGCAGTGCTGTTACTCAGCAGACAGGCAGGGCTGGCACAAGACCCTCCTGTCCTCTCTGCCAGAGGAGTGTGGGCCCTCACTCCTGGGCCCGTCCTGGGCCCGGGCCAGGCGCTCACCCCACCTAGCGTTGTCTCACCGGCACATGGGGGACCCCAGTCTGATGGGAAACGGACAGGTCAGTAGGACCCCAGGGTGGGCAGGCAAGGGGGATGAAGGGCCTCACGGTTCCCCCCGGCCCCCTAGATGCCTCTCGGAGCCTCCCTGACTTCACAGAGCTCGACCTCCAGGGCAAGGTGCTGCCTGAGGGCGTCGGGCCCGGGGACATCAAAGCCTTCCAGGTCCTGTACCGGGAACACTGTGAGGTAGGGTGGCCAGGTGGGCAGGCAAGTGGACGGGGACGCAGCCACGGGCATGGGAGGGCCATGCTGCCCCCCAGCCTCCCTGAGCATCCGCCTCTGCCACAGGCCATTGTCGACGTCATGGTGAACCTGCAGTTCACCCTGGTGGAGACGCTGTGGAAGACCTTCTGGAGGTACAACCTCAGCCAGCCCAGTGAGGCGCCACCGCTGGCTGTGTGAGTACTGCCCGGCGACTGTGGGAGGGAGAGGGGGGAGGAGGGCATGACCCGCAGGTGATTTTGATGGCCAGGGTTGGGGCACCTGCTTGTCCCCTGCAGTTTGTGGGGTACACATATCCTTGGCTGTGTGGAGTGTGTATAGCCACCCGACACTCAACAGTCGGGGGTGGAGTGCCTGACTAAGCCCAGGCATGGGGCAGGGCACCATCTTCTCCCTGGAGTGGCAGGTTCTGGAATCTGTTTGACCCCTGTATGGAGGGTAGGGCATAGGATCCCGTCCCACCCCTCGGGCCTGTGCCAACCAGACCCTGGGGATCTTTGGGAGGCAGGGGGTACTTACCTGGGGACGGGGGTACCTGTGCCCTTCTGACGCTGGGGGCAGGGCCACAGAGTGCCCCCAGTGACCCTGGGTTGGGGACAAGGTATACCTGTGCCTTCTGGCACTGGAGGCAAGACACAGAGTGCCCCACTGACCCTGGAGTGGGGGTAAGGGGGTACCTGTGCCTTCTGATGCTGGGGGTAGAACCACAGAGTACCCCAGTGACCCTGGGTCAGGGACAGGGGCTACCTGTTCCCTTCTGACGATGGGGGCAGGACCATAGAGTACCCCAGTGACCCGGGGTGGGGTGGGTGCCCGCAGACATGACGAGGCCGAGAAGCGACTGCCCAAAGCCATCCTGGTGCTCCTCTCCAAGTTCGAGCCCGTGCTCCAATGGACCAAGCACTGTGACAACGTGCTGTACCAGGGCCTGGTGGAAATCCTCATTCCCGACGTGCTGCGGCCCATCCCCAGTGAGTGCTCGGCCTGCTCGGCATCCCCTGCCCCACATACACCCGCCCTGCCCTGACCGACCCCCGCCACCGCCCACAGGTGCCTTGACCCAAGCGATCCGGAACTTTGCCAAGAGCCTGGAGAGCTGGCTCACCCACGCCATGGTCAACATCCCCGAGGAGATGCTGCGGGTGAAGGTGAGAGTGTGAGGGGGTCCCTTTCTCCTATCTCTGGGGCTTAGGCCTCCGTCTCCTCTGCTCCCCAGGGGCGGTAAAATTTGTCCCCACGCCTGTTCCAGGGATGATGCCTGTGGAGGAAGGGGAGACCTTCTCCGCCTCGGGGAGCACCCTGGGCATTGTCTTTATAAACCAGTGTCCTCAGGCACCCACTTCTGAAATGCAACCCCCTTTGTGGTGTTACTGTACTCAACACAGCATCTTTCAAAAATAAAAACCAACTGCAAATGTACAGTAGTTCCCTTTAGACAGCCTTGCTAGAAAGTGCTTCAGGTGTGCAGAAACAGATAAAACTTTTTAAGAAAGGCAACAACATCTATAAGGAAACATAATACTTGCCTTTTTCATCAAAAGATGCACATTCGCTGACTACTTAGATGTGAGGAATTTGATGGGATGTGGTTGGGAAAAACAAACAAACAAAAAAACCACCGCTGGGCACAGGGCAGGGACTGGGGCCTTTGGAGACAGTAGATGCCAGATCCAGGAGCAAACCCTTCAGAAGAAACAGCGAGACTCATGTATTCATGTATTCACACAACCTCCTTCTCAGTACACAGCAATGAACAAGATGGACAAAACCCCTGTCCTCTCCCAGAGCTGAGATTCCAGGGTACGAAAGAAAATGAGGCCGGGCGTAGTGGCTCATGCCTGTAATCCCAGCACTTTGGGAGGCGAGGCGGGCGGATCACTTGAGGTCAGGAGTTCAAGACCAGCCTGGCCAACATGGTGAAACCTTGTCTCTACTAAAAATACAAAAATTAGCCCGGCGTGGTGGTGTGCACCTATGATCCCAGCTACCCAGGAGGCTGAGGCACGAGAATCGCTTGAACCCACGAGGCGGAGGATGCAGTGAGCTGAGATCGCGCCACTGCACTCTAGCCTGGATAGAGAGAGATTCAGTGTCAAACAAAAAACAGAAAAAGAAAATGAAACGTGTTTATCAAAGCAGTGTTTGCCCTTTCTGTGCAGTGCCCTCCATATTATCTATTGTGTTCTTTCGTTTTTAAAAAAAAAAAAAAGGCCTTTCCTGGCACGGTGGCTCACTCCCAACATTTTGGGAGGCAAAGGCAGGAGGATCACTTGAAGCCAGAAGTTCGAGACCAGTCTGGGCAACATGGCGAGACCCTGTCTCAATAGTTATTTTAAAAAATATAAATAAATTTCAAAGAATATTGTGCCCTGGTCAGAACACAATAAATTGAATTTTGGGGGGCGCTTGTGAGTGGACACCCAAAGTTTGAAGGTCCCGATCCTTCTGTGTCCCAACAAAAGTAGCGAGGCACATCCCTCCTTTTTTAGGAAAAAGGAAACAGGCTTAGGGAGGTTGCAGCGGGGTGGGGCCAGGGCTGGCGGGCTGGGGTTCCTTGGAAGCAGCAAGCCCCTCAATCCCTGCACGCAGGTGGCCGCGGCTGGCGCCTTCGCGCAGACACTGCGGCGCTACACGTCGCTCAACCACCTGGCGCAGGCGGCGCGCGCTGTGCTGCAGAACACCGCACAGATCAACCAGATGCTGAGCGACCTCAACCGCGTGGACTTCGCCAACGTGCAGGTGAGCGCGGGGCGGGGCGGGGCGGGCGAATGAGGGGCAGCCTAACGGGGCGGGCCAGGCGGGGGTGACGGCGGCTGAGCCCCGGGCGCCCGCCCACCCTCTGTGCCCCAGGAGCAGGCCTCGTGGGTGTGCCGCTGCGAGGACCGCGTGGTGCAGCGGCTGGAGCAGGACTTCAAGGTGACGCTGCAGCAGCAGAACTCGCTGGAGCAGTGGGCGGCCTGGCTGGACGGCGTGGTGAGCCAGGTGCTCAAGCCCTACCAGGGCAGCGCCGGCTTCCCCAAGGCCGCCAAGCTCTTCCTCCTCAAGTGGTCCTTCTACAGGTGCGCGCGCGGCGGGATCGGGTCCGGGCGGCACCAGGGAAGGCCCCGCGTCCCTGGGGGTCTCAGGTGCTCTTCTACGACGACCCGAGCCTGCAGGCTGGGCGGGCAGGCTGGGGCCCTGGGCTCATGTGCCGGGAAGGCTGTGCGGGATCCAGCCTGAGTCACTGGGCTGGCGCGAGGCCCGGGCGCATCGCAGCGGGGAGGGGGAGAGGGGGTCGGGCCGGACGGGGCCTGACGGTCTCCTCTCCGTCTCCATCCCCAGCTCCATGGTGATCCGGGACCTGACCCTGCGCAGCGCCGCCAGCTTCGGTTCCTTCCACCTCATCCGGCTGCTCTACGACGAGTACATGTACTACCTGATCGAGCACCGCGTAGCCCAGGCCAAGGGCGAGACCCCCATCGCCGTCATGGGCGAGGTGCGCGAGGCGGGCCACTGGGGGCGCGGGCGGGGCGCCAGGCGGCGGGACCCTCACCCATTTTCTTCTCTTCTTCCTCCAGTTCGCCAATCTGGCCACCTCCCTGAACCCCCTGGACCCCGACAAAGGTAGGCGAGGCGTGTTCCCACCCAGGGCGCGGGTCCCGGGGGTGGCGGACAACGGAGGGGCTCGGGAGGAGGAGGAGCCCGGGGGCGTTGCCACCCCGCCCCGAGCCGGACTTGGTCCCTGTGTTCCAGACGAGGAGGAAGAAGAGGAGGAGGAGAGCGAGGACGAGCTGCCGCAGGACATCTCACTGGCGGCTGGCGGCGAGTCACCCGCGCTGGGCCCGGAGACCCTGGAGCCGCCGGCCAAGCTGGCGCGGACTGACGCGCGCGGCCTCTTCGTGCAGGCGCTGCCCTCCAGCTAAGCCCTTGGCCTCCCCGCCCCACCCGCCCCCGCCACCCCTCCACGCCAGGGTCCCTCAAAGCTTCTGTGGCTTCGTGGTCACTGCTCCAGCCTCAGCCAGGGCAGGGAGGGGGACTCCGAGACAGGGAAGACCGGGGCCCTCCTCCCTTATGGGGCCGGCACAATCAGTGGGCTGGGCGGAGCCGCAGCTGCAAACTCTGACACAAAAGACGTGCCTTAAGGAACCCGCCGCGTGCCCAGGTGCCCCGCGGGGCATCCAGCTCGGCCCCTTGGCCGCCCCCCTCCCAGGCCCCAGCGTCTTCTCCCCAGCCCCGTCCTCCCACCACCCCAGGGGGCAGGCAGGCAGGCCCCCTCCCGTGCGAAACTGTTAACTTATTCAGCTCGCTGGCTTTGCACAGCCTGTCCTGGGCCCAGCCCTGAGCCCCGGGCCGGCGCAGGTGGGCGTCACCTGGGGACTCCCCACTGTCAGCAGCAGCCCCGGGACACCCTACCCCCAGCAACCCCACTGCTTCCCCTTCTTGGTATTAAGTGCAATTAAAGCCGTGGGTGTCGCATCTTCTCCAGCGCTGGGCCCTCCCTTGCCCCCAAGCTCAAGAAGGGGGCACTGCCCGGCCCGGCTGTGAGGAGGGCGGCAGGGGGCACGGCCTCCAGCTTCCAAAGAGCAGCGAGCCGCGGAGCCGGGGAGTGCCCACAGACCCCAGCCCCCGCGCCCCCGCCCTCCGCCGCTGGTTTGTAATGGAACCTTTTCTGTGCCCCTATCTTCCCGGAGACCACGCTTCTCCTCCGTGCCGTGCGACCCCCACCCCATGACTATTGTGCGATTCGTGAGCGCCGCCCGAGCGGAGTTGGTAACTTGTTGGGTTTTTTTCCAACCATCATGGCCTTATCTGTTCCAGTTTTCTCAGTGTTTTCAGCCTGTGAGATAGATGTTTATGGCAAGAAAAAGGAAAAAAAAATGGAAATCTGACCTATTGTATAAAAATCACTATTTTGTGTGCTCCGCGTGCTATAGCTTTTGGGGCGGCCCTGCCCAGTCCCCGTGCCCACGGGGCTCCCTCTCCCGGTGGTGAAAGTGTCCACACGTGTGGTAGTCTAGTGTGCCGAGCTGTTTTCTACCTTTTTGTAGTCTTTCTTAAAACAATAAATTCCGCTGTGATATTTGCCTACTGCTGACTCGCCGGGCCTTGGTGGGGGCCTTGGGGCGGGGGCTCCAGCTGGGCCCCAAGCTGCAGTGACAGGACCTCAATGAGGTTCAGAAATTAAAACATTTATTACATGAAGAAGAACGGAATGGGGATGGCCAGGTTGCCGGCCTGGGTGGGGAGGCTGGGGGCGGGCAGGGCAGGGGGAATGGGGTCCATTCGACCTCCCCGAGGGCAACGTCCACAGCTGTAGCCGAGAAAAGGGCAAATGCACGAGGGGCCAGGCCCATGCCCAGCTCGGGGTGAAGGCGGGGCACTCAGGCTGGTGGGGCAGGGGGCGCCCTCTCTCTGCCCCTTCCCAACTTAAATAGGCATAAATAAAAAGCGTCCAGACCCTCAGGCCAACAGAGGCTGCCCTGCCCAGCCCCGTTCCGCAGGCTAACACTAGTGCCGGTCATCAGTCGGTGGGCCAGCCGGCCAGGAAGAGGCCACCCCAGGAAGGGGGCCGGTCCCAGGCCACGGAGGTAGTTGGAGTCAGTGTCCGGGGCGGCCTGGCCCTCACAGCACGATCCACGTATATCGCTCGCTGTCCGCCAGAACCTTCAGGGAGCACCCTACAGGGACAGGTGGAGACAAAGCATAGAGCCCCTGCCTGCCTGGCCCTGCGGCCACACCCTCCACCTGACTTGCTTCTGGCCCAGAAGGTTCCAGAAGGCAGGGACCCTGCTGAGTTGCCCTCCACCTCTAGCCTGCAGCTACCCAATAAATGTAGCGTGAATGAGTGACCAGCCAGGCCATGACTGGTGGGAGGCTCCCAGGCCCCACACTTTCAGGGCTGCTGAGCTGGGCCTGGCCTGGGCTGCCCTCTCCTCACCAGCCTTCCCACCCATTTCATCAGCGCTCAGGAATCAGCTCCTGGGTGAGGACAAGTGTTCCTGGTGACCCTGACCATCACGGGGTCACCGAGCCCCACCTTTGTGCAGCGCCTCATTGGTCATCCTGTTGACGTAGCGGCCGCTGCTCTCCGGCACCAGCCACTTCATGACCATGTCCACGCAGCTCTTGCGGTAGGAGCTCCAGACACTGCCGCTGCGGGGCCAGGGGGTGAGTGGCTCTCGTCGCCTTGGCCGCGCCCTGACCCTGCCCCCCAGCCCTGCCTCACCTGGTCTGCCCTTTGACCTCAGTCAGGTCGCCTACACTGACTGTCTCGAAGATCCCTGTGTTGAGGTCCCATGCCACCTTGAGGCTGGTGTGATAGGTCTTTGGTCTACAGTGGAGAGGGACATAGGACAAACGCTGGGACAGCCGGGCTCCTGAACCAGGCCCCAGGCTACCCTGAGGGCCTTTTGTCTTTGGAACAGCTATGGAGGGGCCCAGCCAGGTTGTGGCACAGGGAGAGCCTTCTCACGTCCCCACACCCCCACCGTGAAGTGTCTGCCAGTGGCCCCCCTAGTGGACAGAGAGGGCAGGATCCCCGCGCTCACCGGAGCTGGCCCTCCTCAGTGGGGGACGGGAAGGCCAGGAGCAGCAGGCCAATGTTGATGAGGACCTGGTTGGTTTCTGGGCAGACCTGGGGGTGGGGGTGGATGATGCCAACTGTTGAGGGCGACCCCAGAGTACAGGAGGCCCTGGGCCCACCCTGCCCGCCCTGGGCCCACCTCCAGAATGACGATGTCATAGTCGCTGAAAGAACAGAACTGATGGCCCCAGGTAGCGTCGTGGCGGATGACCTCATTGATAACATATTCGAAGTCTAGTGTGAGCTGCTCCACTGTCAGGTACTGGCCCTGCGGGTGAGTGGGTAGGCGCAGGGGACGGTGCCAACTGCCCCCCGGCAGCTCCCCGGGACTGTCCTTGGCCCGCCCACTGCCCACACCCACCTGGACAGCAGTCCGCTCCCGCATGGGCCGCAGGTTGCGGCCACGAAGATCAGTCACCACGAAGGGCAGGGAGATCTTGTCGTCCTCCAACTCTGGGGAGGCAGGAAGTGGGGGTGGGGTGGAGGGAGGCCAGGGGCCCCGTCTGGGCTGGCCTCTCCATCCCAGGCCCTGTCACATGCCTGCCCCCCGCTCACCATCCTCCGGCTCCGTCCCCTCTCCGGACTCCAGCACATAGTACAGCTTGGTGTAGTTGACATAGCCAGGCTCGGAGGCAGGTGCCTCCGAGGCAGGGGGGCTGTCCCGGGGTGCCGTCTCTCCACACAGGGCTAGGGGCTCAGAGTGCGCACGGCAGCGGCTGCCAGAGGGTCCTGGGCACAGGGCAGGCCGGGCTTCCTCAGGGACCCCGCCCTTGGCCTCTTTGGCCCGGCGGAAGATGTCAGCCACAAACTCCTTGGCTTTGGCAATGGCGGGCGAGGGCTCAGGAGACCCAGAAGAACGGGCTGGGGCCGCCTCAGGGCAGAAGCTGGGGAGGGCAGGGGGCAGCTCTGGGCTCTGGGGCTCAGGGGGGCTGGCAGGCGCCAGGGGGCAGGTGCTGTGGTCATACAGGATTTGGCAGAAACTCCTGTCACCTAAGAAGAGATGGGGGTGGAGAAGTGTCAGTCTGGGGTGCTCCCAGCCTCGCTCAGTGTCCCCAGGGGTTTTCAGAAACCCACCTTAAGGAGACACTTCTAGGAGACTTGGCTATGCTGAGATCAGTTTGAAACACCCAAAAGGGGAAAGACCTTTCTGCGCATGCACACCACGCATTCATGCGTGCAGACGTTCATTCAAACCCCTTTCTTAAGCTGTCTACTGAGCGCCCCACACTGAGGACACAGGAGTGAACCAGACAGACAGAACCCTGCCCTGAGGGAGACAACACTCTACAGCGTAGAGTGTTCACTACAGTAGCATCCAGCCTCCTAACATCTGCCACTCTGTCGAGGGACATCTTGTGATTTTCACTGGCGTTTCTCTGATATGGAAGACCTAAGGCAAAGCCCTCGGTCCTTCCTGACACAAGCCAGACCACTGCGGGCACACTTCATCGAATCAGGGCCTCTGTCTCTGCCTGCCTAGAGACGACTCCCCCAAGGAATGTGGGGAACACATGGAGAACCCCAACATATTCACTAAGCAACCCTGTGGCTGGGCCCCAACCCAGGTTTCCTCCAAGCCCCCTACAAGCAACCCCTAGAGAGGGGCCACATCCCCCAGAATGCAGCTCAGGGATAAACATGCCCAAGGTCACATCTGAGAAAAATCGAGTACGGGCTCCCCTCCACCACCGTGACAGCCCTCCCACAACAGGGCGGGGAACAGAAGGTGACAATGGCCAAGGAAGAAAGCACCCCTCTGTGTCGGCAGCTCCCACTGATGACCACGCCCTTTCCCTGGGCTGGTACAGAGCTGATAGTCCGCTGTGGTCGTTCCTAACAGGACCCACAGCCAAAAGGGCAGAGCGGCGTCAACCCTCGCAAGCTGGGGGGTTCATGGCCAAAAACCAAGTGGTCAAGCCTCAGCAAGAGACAGCGCCTCACCCTTCCTGGTATAGATTGGGGGTGAGGACAGAAAGCCCCAGATATGTCTGGGGACAGAGTGCCCTGGCCCCTGGCTTATTTGTGGGCTGCGTTATATACATTTAATCCTGCCCATTCCCCGACCGCCCCAGGGACAACCATTTCCATGAGGATTTAATGGACGTCTTTGCATCTGAGTTCTTGCAAAATTAAAACGTCTTTTTTTTTTGGAGATGGAGTCTTGCTGTCTCCCAGGCTGGAGTACATTGGCACAATCTCGGCTCACTGCAACCTCCGCCTCCCTCAGTCTCCTGAGTAGCTGGAATTATAAGCATGTGCCACCATGCCCAGCTAATTCTTATATTTTTACTAGAGATGGGGTTTCACCGTGTTGGCCACACTGGTCTTGAACTCCCTGATCTCATGTGATCCGCCTGCCTCAGCCTCCCAAAGTGCTGGGATTACAGGCATGAGCCACTGTGCCTGGCCTAAATCGTCTTTTTAATTTATATTAAGTGGTTCCAGTTATAGATTCCTTGTGTTTCACCCACATGTGCACGCATCTGACACATGCTCCATGGATGCACACACAGGGGCCTTCATTGGTGTTCCACAGATGCCCCCAACCCCTCGCCACCTCCTAAGTCGCTCCCCAATCCCCAGGGAGGGTTCTTCAGGTGGCCCCCAACTCCCCCTCAGCAGTCTTGGACATACGGACCCAGTGAGACTCTGCCAGAGGGAGAGACCCGGGCACAGGGCAGCTGGGTCAGTCATAGTCACAATTCTGTTGCCAAATGGCCCCCGGGGCCCCCTCCCTCCTGTTGCTGCCAGCCGGTGGCATGATCCAGCCTCCTGACATTTGTCACTGTCAAGGGACATCTTGTGATTCTCACTGGCATCTTTCCGATATCAAACATATAATGCCAAGTGCCTGCCCACTAACCACACCCTGAAATGTCACATTAGCGTTTCTCTTCTTAAGAGAAAGGGGCGCTACCCCGTCCAGCTAGCCAACTGTAGCTATTTCAGCTTAAAACAACTACAATTAAATCCATCACAGGCCAGACGCGGTGGCTCACGCCTGTCATCCCAACACTTTGGGAGGCCAAGGTGAGTGGATCACTTGAGGTCAGGAGTTTGAGACCAACCTGATCAACATGGTGAAATCCCATCTCTACTAAAAACACAAAAATTAGCTGGGTATGATGGCACAGGCCTGTAGTCCCAGCTTCTCGGGAGGCTGAGGCAGGAGAATTGCTTGAGCCTGGGAGGTTGCAGTGAGCCAAGATCGCACCACTGGACTCCAGTGGAAAAAAAAGTATCACAAGCTCAGTTCCTCAGTCACATGAGCCACATTCCAAGTGGCTGCTGGAGGCAGCCATGGTGGGACATCTCAGCCACTGGAAAGATCCCGTGGGCAGGGCTGTGGTGGGCGTGGCCACATTTGGACCGCAGCATTCCCACAACCAGGCTGTGTGACTTGGGGAAGTAGCTCCCACCTCTCTACGCCTGGGGCCCCTTGTCTGTGTGGTGGGGTAGGGAGAGGACCCGCTTCACGCGTTGCCGGGTGGCCACGAGACCGCAGGGCCTACCTGCCGAGTGGACGGAGACGGCGCAGGCCACCAGGGAGTAGCTGGTGTTGAGCAGCACCACCTGGTCCTTCTTGAGCTGGAAGGCGGGCTGGAAGGTGGGGAAGGGGTAGACCACCTGGTACTTGGTGTGCAGCATGAAGCCATGCCGTAGGCACTGTGCATTCGGGTCTCCTGTAGCAACACACGCCACAGCAGCTCACTCTCGGCCCGGAGCAAGGGGGGGAGGGGGGAAGAGGCCCTCGCCCCCTCGGCCCCCTCACCTGGGTGGGCTCGGCTGGCATCCTGGCAAGCAGCACAGCGGCCTGGCGGTGGCACGGCCACGGTGCTGACGTAGATGTCACGGTGGTTCTCGTCACTCATCATCATCATGTTCATGAGCATCCCGTTGGCCGAGCGGGTGCTGGGGGCCAGCATACCCTCAGCTGCCTGGTCGGCGCCTGGGGGGCCCCCACTGCACACCCCCTGCCCCAACCAGCCAAGGCTCCCCCAGGCGCCTGGTCTCACTTGAAGCCGAAGACGATGACCTTGGAGGCGTCGCTGGGCCACTCGCATACGGTCAGGTACAGGTCGCTGTAGATCTCCTCGTCCTGGAATAGCCGAACCTGCCGGACCTGTGAGGCACGTTCAGGGGCAGCACCGGGTCAGGGAAACTGCGGAGGTCCCCCGAAGCTGTACGATGCAGTCCCTCATCAGGGCTGGGGCTGAGCGGGTAGGAGCACCCCAACAGCACCCGCCACACCCCTCCACCTTGCCTGAGGACAGCCGTGGAGGCTCCTTTCACCAGTCGGGGAGACCAGGCCAGGGTGGGATGCAGCCGATGGGAACAATGTCCCGGGGGAGACTGCGCCAGGCACTGGTTCCAAGCCCAGCCTACCCTGAAGCCCGTTCAGCTCTCTGAGTTCACATGTATGCTGAGGTAACAGCACACCTCCTGGGGGGGTTCCAGGAGTCAAGGGTCAAGGCTAAAGCCAGGGTGGCCTGGTCCTAATAAAGCTAACTGGCCTGAGCCAACATGTTCTACAGCTTCATAGGGTGTGTTGAACCAAATGGAATTGCTGCTATTTACCCATTTTGAACCATAAAAATGGTAATTTCTTTTTCTTTTTTGAGACAGAGTCTTGCTCTGTAGACTGGAGTGCAGTGGTTCGATCTCGGCTCACTGCAACCTCCACCTCGCAGGTTCTAAGCGATTCTCCTGCCTCAGCCTCCGGAATAGCTGGGATTACAGACATGTGCCACCATGCCCGGCTAATTTTGTATTTTTAGTAGAGATGGGGTTTCACCATGTTGGCCAGGCTGGTCTTGAACTCCTGACCTCAGGTGATCCACCCACCTCGGGCTCCCAAAGTGCTGGGATTACAGGCGTGAGCCACTGTGGCCAGCCTTCATTTGTTTTGTTTTGTTTTGTTTTGTTTTAGAGACAGGGTCTCACTCTGTTGCCCAGGCTGGAGTGCAATGGTGTGATCATGGCTCACTGCAGCCTCAAACTCTTGGGCTCAGGTGATCCTCCTGCCTCAGCCTCCAGAGGAGCTGACTACAGGCACACGCCAATATGCCCAGCTAATTTTTTTTTATTTTTAGTAGAGACAGGGTTTTGCCATGTTGCCCAGCCTGGTCTTGAACTACTCGGACCAAGTGATCCTCCCGCCTTGGCCTCCCAAAGTGCTGGGATTACAGGTGTGAGCTACCATGCCAGGCCCTGGTAATTTCATATGGTTGGATCTAACACATGGAATCTTGATGATGACCCCAGGAGTACATGATGATCATTTTACACCCAAGGAACCTGAGGCTCAGAGGTTGCTGTGACCTGCTGAACCACACCATCTGAAGGGCCAGCCTGGTGTTGAAGCCTCCCTACCAGCTTGAGCTTGCTGTGAACGTTGAACTCCCACCAGTACAGATGGTAGATGTAGAAGGAGAAGTCGTCATCCCCACTGCTGCTGGTGTAGGAGAGGACGTAGCGGCCGCATTTGGAAAAGCCCAGGAAGATATGTCTGTGGGGGTGGAGGGGGCACAGCGGCCAGGTCAGGGCGAGCCCACCACTCCCGCCCACCTGCCCCCTTTGCCTGGGCCCAGCCTCACCCTGCATAGAGGAAGTCCTCATCCACAATGTTCTTGAGGGACACGCACACCCGGGGAGGCAGCTTCCGGAAGAGGCGAGGGGAGAGCTGTCCGCTGATCTGGGGAAGGGGTGGCCAGGGCACTTCAGGCACCATCTGCAGCCCCCAGCCCCCTCACCCACGGCAGAGAGGCAGAGCGGCTCTCACCGGGTCCAGACCGGCCCAGCCCACCATAATGGTCAAAAGAAGGCCAAGCTCTGGAAGGTGGGAACAACTGAGGCAGATGGGGACAGTAAAGCCAGATGGACCGCGCTTGAGCCTTCATCTCCACCAGGGACCCAGGCCACCTTCCCAGTTCCATACCTCTTCAGCCTCAGGTCCCTCTTGACTGAGCCCAGCGTCACCGCCCCCAAGAAAGTTCCCCAATCACCCTGTCCCACGCTGGGCCACCTGCTTCCCTCCCTGAAGGCTGTCCCTAAGCTGTGGGTATTTATCCTACTAAGGAGGCTGGGACAGAGTCCTGACCTGCACCCATCTGTTCCCAACCCACCAGCCTTCAAACAAGGGGGCTCCTCCTCCCCGGGGCAGCTCTGGCCTCTGCTGGGGGCCAGTCGAGGCAGATAGAAGGGTGAGCCTAACCAATGACCCAACGCCCCCTTCCCAATTAACTACCGCCTTCCAACGGAATCCAAGGGAATCCCTCATCCCCAAAACTTCACCGCGGAAGGATCTGCGGGGACTGACAGGCAGAAGCCAGGCACAGGGATATCCGAACAGCCTCAGTCTTGCTACCCAACTCTGCCTTCAAGACATTCCAATCTGATGGGAAGAGTCCTGTCTGGGAAGCTCCCTGTCTGATGGGAGACAGCCCTGTCCACATGGAGGTCTCAGTCTGACGGAGGAAACAGCCTGGCCAGCCAGGCCCAGGCCGACAGGGGAGACACAGTCCCTGCCCAAGGAGCTTCCAAGCTAAGGGCGGAACCACAGCCAAGCCCAGGGAGCTCCCAGGCTAAGGGCGGAGACTGTCCCAGCCCAGGGAGCTCCCAGTCAAAAGGGGGAGACACAGCACTGCCCTTACAAAGCTACCAGCCTCACGGAGAAGGCGCAGTCCCTGTCCACAGAGACACAGCCTTGCCCCAGTTACTGCCCACCTGCAAGAGATCCACATTTCTGCCCTCCAGAGCTCCCAAACTGATGGGGGAGAGAGACATCATCCCCCAGCTCTGGGAGTTTCCAGTCTGATGGAGGAGACAGAGCCTGCTTCGGTAACTCTCACTCTGCGGGGGAAGACTCAGCCCTATCCAGGGAGCTCCCACACTTTCAATGGGGAGGCCCACCCAGGTACTGGAACTCCCAGCTCATGTGTGGTCGGGGCTTGGGCAGGGAGAGGAACATCAGGCGGAGGAAGCCCAAAGCCAGCGGCAGGGGCTCTGCAAAGGGGGCGGGAAGGTTCCATTATGGAGCAACCATGGGAGCAGAGCTTTGAAAAGCCTGGATCGCCCCCTTCCTCCTGATTCTCCCTGCGGCCTCTGGGGTCGCCTCCCTCCGAGCCCCCTCCCTGGGGCCCCGCCCCCAACCCCCTCCATCCCAGCCCCTTTGCCGGTCACCCGACACAACCACCTGCATCCAGGCCCCCAACTGAGCCCCCTCCATCCAAGCCATCTCCCCCGGGCCCCGCCCAGGCCCTGCATCCGAGCCCCCTCCCCTGGGGCCCCGCCCCCAACCCCTCACCCCGCGAACGCCCTCCTCCCTCCGCCTCCCTCGTCCCTACTCCCCACCCTCCGGCGCGCTCCCCACTCCGGCTCCAGGCCTCACCTTGACCCGCTCCAGCTGCTTGAGGACGTGCTCCCGCCGCCGCCCTGCTGCCCGCTTCCCTCCGGCTCCCCCGGGGCCGCCGCCGCCGCTCCCAGCCCCGCTGTTCCGCTCCGATTTCGAGCTGGGCGCCATTTTCACCCCCTCCCTCCACTTCCGGAGCAACCGGCCCCTTCGCCCCACCCCTGCCGCCTCCTCATTGGTCCTTTTTCGGGACAGCGGCCCGCCGGTTGGGCGAAAGCCCGCACTCGCGCTATGCCTGTCCATCAAAGCCATCTCGACTCTTGATTGGTAGCGACAGTAACAGCCCCCGCGGCCCGTTGCCGTATTCCCGCCCCGCCTTAAGGACGTACCACTCGGAGGTCCCGTTTGTTCGCCCTGCCCAGATAACTTTGATCTGATAGGTGAATATCTCTGTCTGTCTCAACGGCGTCACGCCCCCTGTGGCTGGCGGGTTTCCATGGAGACCACAGGCGGTCCAGGCCCTTGGGCGGGGCGACGGGAGCCTGTGGTCCACCAAGGCTCGAGAATCCTCAGCCCCGGGCTGCCCGCGCCCGGTCCAGGTGGGCAAAGGCCTGACGAGCATACTTGGGCGGCAGAGCCAGGCCGAGGAAAGAGATTTACAAAAAAGGAAAAAACGATGGGATTCGATGAAAGCTTGTTTCCGATGGGCGGGTTGGTGGGATGATGGTGGTGATAATGATAGCATCAATCATGGATCGCTCCACATGTGACAGACACGGTTCTGAGCTTAAACAGTTCGATGTGGCAGGGCCCTGTTGTGCCAATTATGCAGATCATAGCAATAAAAATAATTGTTGAAGGTCCGCTCCGTGCATCATATTCGTATACATTACCTCATTTATTTTATTTTTTTAGACAGAGTCTCACTTTGTCACCCAGGCTGGAGTGCAGTGGCGTGATCACGGTTCACTGCAGCCTCGACCCCGGGCTCAGATGATCCTCTCACCTCAGCCTCTCATGTAGCTAGGACTACAGGCGTGCGCCACCACGCCTGCCTAATTTTTTGTATTTTTAGTAGAGACGAGGTTTCACTATGTTGGCCAGGCTGGTTGCGAACTCCTGACCTCAGGTGATCCGCCCGCCTAGGCCTCCCAAAGTGCTGGAATTACGGGCATAAGCCACCGCGCCCGGCCTAATTTTTTGTATTTTTTGTAGGGACGGAGTTTCACCAAGTTGTCCAGGCTGGTCTCCAACACCTGGGCTCAAGTGATCCTCCCACCTCTGCTTCCCAAAGTGTTGGGAGGACAGGTGTGAGCCCCCACCCCTGGCCAGCCCATTTAATCCTCTGAACAATCTAGAAGATAGTTTTTTTTTATTGTCTTCATTAAAAAAATTTTTTTTGTAGAGATGGGGTCTCACTATGTTGCCCAGGCTGCTCGAAAACTCCTGACCTCAAGGGATCATCCCGTCTTGGCCTCCCAAAGTGCTGGGATTACAGGCATAAACCACTGTGCCCAGCTGATTTCAAGGGTTTTAGGAGTTATGTACTAGAAAACCTAAGACCAAAATATGGTTTTTTAAAAATATATCACAACACAATATCACAACATATCTTTTTTTTTTTTTTTTTTTTTGAGATGGAGTTTTGCTCTTGTTGCCCAGGCTGGAGTGCAATGGCACAATCTCAACTCACTGCACCCTTCACCTCCCGGGTTCAAGCAAACGATTCTCCTGCCTCAGCCTCCCAAGTAGCTGGGATTACAGGCATGTGCCACCATGCCCGGCTAATCTTTGTATTTTTAGTAGAGACAGGGTTTCACTATGTTGGCTAGGCTGGTCTCAAACTCCTGACCTCAAGTGATCCACCCACCTCACCCTCCCAAAGTGCTGAGATTACAGGCGTGAGCCACTGCGCCCGGCCATCACAATGTATCTTTAGCCAAAGGTTCCCCTGCTTCTTGCATACCCTACGTCCATGGAGAGCAAAGCTGTCTCCAAGACAGTGGGGACACCTGGCAGCTACTGCCTTAACCAAGTGATCAAAATCAACATCACCAGTGATAAGTCATACTGACATCACGGACCCCAGCTATGTGATAGGGAGGACATTTGTAACTGTCTGATATTATCCCCAAACCTAGAACCTCAATCTAACCATTAGACAACATCAGACATTTATCCCAGATTGAAGAAGGTTCTCAAAATACATGACCAGGCCAGGTGCGGTGGCTCATGCCTGTAAGCCCAGCACTTTGGGAAGCAGAGGAGGGAGGATCACTTGAACCCACGAGATCAAGACCAGCCTGGGCAACATGGCGAAACCCTCATCTCTACAAAACATCAAAGAAATTCACTGACTCTACTGGCACACGCCTATAGTTTCAGCCACTCGGGAGGCTGAGGCAGAAAGATTACTTGAGCCCAGGAGGTCAAGGCTGCAGGGAGCTATGATGGTGCCACTGCACTCCAGCCTGGGAGACAGAGCGAGACCTTGTCTCAAATAAAAAACAAAACAAGGCCAGGCATGGTGGATCACGACTGTAATCCCAGCACTTTGGGAGGCTGAGGTGGGCAGATCACAAGGTCATGAGACTGAGACCATCCTGGCTAACACAGTGAAACCCCGTCTCTACTAAAAATACAGAAAATTAGCCGGGCCTGTAATCTCAGGTGGCACACGCCTGTAGTCCAGCTTCTCGGGAGGCTGAGGCAGGAGAATCACTTGAACCTGGGAGGTGGAGGTTTCAGTGAGTCGAGATCACGCCACTGCACTGCAGCCTGGGTGACAGAGCAAGACTCTCAAAAAAAAAATAAATAAATAATTTAGCGGAGTGTGGTGGCGTGAACCTACAGTCCCAGCTACGTAAGAGGCTGAGGTGGGAGGATCACCCGAGCCCTGGAGGCTACAGTGAGCGGAGATTGAGCCACTGCGCTCCAGCCTGGGCGACAGAGTGAGATCCTGTCTCAAAACAAAACCCAAAACCCAAAACCCAAAAAACATTAGAGGAAATTGAGTGAAGGGAATAAAAGAACTCTCTGTACCTTCTTTGCAGATCTGAAAATGTCTAATTTCAGGCTGGGCACAGTGGCTCACACCTGTAATCCCAGCATTTTGGGAGGCTGAGACAGGAAGATGGCTTGAGAAGAATTTGACCAGCCTCGGCAACTGTTAAGACCTCGTCTCTACAATGAAAAAACATTTTTTTTTCATTAGTCTGGTGTGTGGTAGCACGTCTGTAGTCCTATGTACGTGGGAGGCTGAGTCGGGAGGATCCCTTGTGCCCAGGAGTTTGAAATTACAGTGAGCTGTGATGGCGTCACTACATTCCAGCCTGGGTGACAGAGCAAGACCCTGTCTTTAATAATAATAATAATAAAATTACAAATAACAAAAATAAAATAATGTTGTTTCAAAATTCAAAGGGGCCAGGCACGGTGGCTCACATCTGTAATCCCAACACTTGGGGAGGCCAAGGCGGGCGGATCACTTGAGGACAGGGGTTCAAGACAAGCCTGGTCAACATGGTGAAATGCTGTCTCTACTAAAAATACAAAAATTAGCTGGGCTTGATGGTGGGCTCCTATGATCCCAGCTACTCAGGAGGCTGAGGCATGAGAATCGCTTGAACCCGGGAGGCAGAGGTTTCAGTGACACAGAGCGTGACTCTGTGTCAATAAATAAACACATAAATAAACTCTAAGTTTTTAAAAGAGCATGGGGGAGGATTTTTTTTTTTTTTTCTGAGACAGAGTCTCACTCTGTCACCCAGGCTGGAGGACTGTGGCACCATCTTGGCTCACTGCAACCTCCTCCCAGGTTCAAGTGATTCTCCTGCCTCAGCCTCCCAAGTAGCTGGGACTACAGGCGCCTGCCACCATGCCTGGCTTTTTTTTTTTTTTTTTTTTTTTGTAGAGGCAGGGTTTCACCATGTTAGCCAGGACGGTCAGGATGGTCTTGATCTCCTGACCTCGTGATCCTCCCACCTTGGCTTCCCAAAGCGCTGGGATTACAGGCGTGAGCCACCACACCCGGCCAGGAGGATGTTATTATGACTGCTATGTGCAGAATGGTCTTGGGGGATGAGGATGGGGGCAGGAATAGTCTTGGGGGAGCCAGGAGGGTAGGTGATGCTGACTTAGATTAATCTACTAGCATTGAAAATGGAGAATACGGCCGGGCATGGTGGCTCACACCTGTAATCCCAGTACTTTGGGAGGCTGAGGCAGGTGGATCAGGAGGTCAGGAGATCGAGACCATCCTGGCTAAACATGGTGAAACCCCGTCTCTACTAAAAATACAAAAAAAAAAAAAAAAATTAGCCGGGCGTGGTGGCGGGCGCCTGTAGTCCCAGCTACTCAGGAGGCTGAGGCAGGAGAATGGCATGAACCTGGGAGGCAGAGAGCTTGCAGTGAGCCGAGATTGCGCCACTGCACTCCAACCTGGGCGACTGATCAAGACTCCGTCTCAAAAAAAAAAAAAGAAAAGAAAAGAAAAGAAAATGGAGAATATTGGCCGTGGTGGCTCACGCCTGTAATCTCAGTGCTTTGGAAGACCAAGGCAGGAGATGGCTTGAGTGGGAGGATTGCTTAAAGTCTCCCTTGATCCCCGGAGACCAACCTGGGCAACATAGTGAGATCCCATCTCTATAAAAATTTTAGAAATTAGCATGAGGGCCTGAGCCTGTACTCCCAGCTACTTGGGAGGCTGAGGTGAGAGGATCGCTTGAGCCCAGGAGTTCAAGGCTGCAAGTGAGCCATGATCGCACCACTGCACTTCAGCCTGGGCAACAGAATGAGACGCTGTCTCAGAAATAATAATAAAAATAAAGAAAGAAAATGGAGAAAAGTGGCCATAGTCAGAGCCGATGGGGTCATTTTCAAGGACAAGATATTGGGATAGGGGCAAGGAGAGAGAAGTTAATGATGACTTTAGCATCTGAGTGGAATATTTAGCAAAATGTTAGTGCCATTTTTTGATATGAGGAAGACTAGGGAGAAGTCAGTTTGGCCCAAGTCAGTTGAATACGTACATGGGACAAACAGACTGTTTTTCCTTCTATATCACATCACTCTCAATCCTTCGCTTCTGACACCAGATGATGGGGCAGCTTCTCCCAAATCAAGTAATTCCCCAATTCTTGGTGGACACCAACATGATGTCCTGCAATTTACCTCAATTCTTTTTTTTTTCTTTTTTTTTTTGAGGTGGAGTTTTGCTCTTGTCACCCAGGCTGGAGTGCAATGGTGCGATCTCAGCTCACTGCAACCTCCGTCTCCCGGGTTCAAGTGATTCTCCTGCGTCAGCCTCCCAAATAGCTGGCATTACAGGCATGCACCACCAGGCCCAGCTAATTTTTGTATTTTCAGTAGAGACGGGGTTTCGCCATGTTGACCAGGCTGGTCTTGAGCTCCTGGCCTCAGGTGATCCACCTGCCTTGGCCTCCTAAAGTGCTGGGATTACAGGCATGAGCCACCATGGCCAGCCTTTTTTTTTTTTTTTTTTTTTTTTTTTTCTGAGATGGAGTCTTGCTCTTTCACCCAGGCTAGAGTGCAGTGGTGCAATCTTGGCTCACTGAAACCTCCGCCTACAACAATTATTATAAAGGTGTTTTTATGGTGTTTTTTTTTTGTTTTTTTGTGTTTTTTTTTTTTTGAGACAGGCTGGAGTGCAGTGGTGTGATCATAGCTCACTGTAGCCTCGACCTCCCAGCCTCACGCAATTCTCCCACCTCAGCCTCCCGAGTAGCTGGGACTACAAGTGCGTACCACCACGGCCAGCTAATTTTTGTGTTTTTAGTAGAGAAGGGGTTTCACCATGTTAGCCAGGATGGTCTTGATCTCCTGACCTCGTGATCCGCCCACCTCGGCCTCCCAAAGTGCTGGAATTACAGGCGTGAGCCACTGCACCTAGCCAAGATTTCCCATATTTCTGATCGTTCGTCACTTGGACTCTCCCTTAATACGTATATGTATTTGTTTACAAATAACCCAACTATACAGGTGCATTTAGACCACTCTTTCTAGCCTGTGAATTAAATCATACCTGGAAAAGGGCCATAAAACAGGATGGGGCAGGTAAATAGAACTAGAAATTATGATTCATTTCCCACACCCAACTTTGGAGACCAGTGGCTTTGAACACAGAAAGCCTTGGGCTCAATTTTCCTTGTGGTCCTAACTCCTCATTGCTTCCTTTTTACAGGTCATCCCACTTTTATGCAGTAGTGATAGAAACTCAATTTTTTTTTTTTTCCAAGACAGAGTTTTGCTCTGTCACCCAGGCTGGAGTGTAATGGCTCGATCTTGGCTCACTGCAACCTCTGCCTCCCAGGTTCAAGCAATTCTCCTGCCTCAGCCTCCCAAGTAAGCTGGGATTACGGGTACCCACCACCACGTCTGGCTAATTTTTGTATTTTTAGTAGAGACGGGTTTCATCATGTTGGCCAGGCTGGTCTCAAACTCCTTACCTCGTGATCCGCCCACCTCGGCCTCCCAAAGTGCTAGGATTACAGGCATGAGCCACTGTACCCAGCCAAGAAACTCCATTTTTATCTGAACATGTGGCTTCCCAGTAGAAAGATGGTGTTTCTCATCCTCCCTTGAAGTTAGCAGTGTGTATCCACCATTTCCTTTCTTTTCTTTTTTAGAAACAGGGTCTTGCTCTGTTGCCCAAGTTGGAGTGCAGTGGCACTCCACCCAGGCTCAAGCAGTCTTCCCACTTCAGCCTCCCAAGGAGCTGGAACTACACGCATGCACCACTGTGCCCAGCTAATTAAAAAGTTTGTTTTTTTTTTTTTAATGGAGTCTCGCTCTGTCGCCCAGGCTGGAGTGCAATGGTGTGATCTCGGCTTACTGCAACCTCTGCCTCCCAGGTTCAAGCGATTCTCCTGCCTCTACAACACCAGGTGCAGTGGCTTACGCCTGTAATCCCAACACTTTGGGAGGCTGAGGTGGGTGGATCACAAGGTGAGGAGTTCAAGACCAGCTTGGCCAAGATGGTGAAACCGTGTCTCTACTAAAAATACAAAAATTAGCTGGGCGCAGTGGCAGGCACCTGTAATTCCAACTACTCAGGAGGCTGAGGCAGGAGAATCACTTGAACTCGGGGGATAGAGGTTGCAGTGAGCCGAGATCATGCCACTGCACTCCAGCCTGGGCAGCAGAGTGAGACTCCATTTCAAAAAAAAAAATTGTAGAGACAGGGTCTCACTTTGTTTCTCAGGCTGGTCTTGAACTCCCGGGCTCATGCAATCCTTCCACCTCCACCTCCCAAAGTGCTGGGATTACAACCGTGAGCCACCTTGCCCAACCTAATTTTCTGAATTTTTTTTTTTTTTAGAGATGAGGGTCTCACTATGTTGCCCAGGCTGGTTTTGAACTCTTGTCCTCAAGTGTTCCTCCTGCCTCAGGCTCCTGAGTAGCTAGGATTACAGGTGTGAGCCACTGCACCCTGCTCAACTTTTTTGCTATTTAATTCAACAGATGTACAGGGCACAGTGGTGCATGCCCATGGCCCCAACTATTCAGGAGTATTGCTTGAGCCTGGGAGTTGGAGTTCAGACTGGGAAACATAGCGAGCTCCTGTCTCTTAAAAAACAAAATAAAACAGGCCGAGTGTGGTGGCTCATGCCTGTAACCTCAGCCCTTTGGGAGGCCAAGGTGGGTGGATCACCTGAGATCAGGAGTTCAAGACCAGCCTGACCAATATGGTAAAATCCTGTCTGTAATAAAAATACAAAAATTAGCCAAGCATGGTGGTGTACACCTGTAGTCTTAGCTACTGGGAAGACTGAGACAGAAGAATTGCTTGAACCCAGGAGGCAGAGGTCGCAGTGAGCCGAGATCGTGCCACTGGACTCCAGCCTGGGTGACAGAGTGAGACTCCCTCTCAAAAAAACCCCAAAACAAACAAAAAAAAAACCCCAAACAGGCCAGGAGTAGTGGCTCACATCTGTAATCCAGTACTTTGGAAGGCCAAGGCGGGCGGATCATTGAGGTCAGGAGTTTGAAACCAGCCTGGCCAACTTGGCAAAACCTGTCTCTATTAAAAATACAAAAATTAGCCAGGCATCATGGCCTGCACCTGTAGTCCCAGCTACTCGGGAGGCTGAGACACGAGAATCGCTTGAACCCAGGGATCGGAGGCTGCAGTAAGCAAAGATCCCGCCACTGCACTCCAGCCTGGGCAACAGAGAGACTTTGTCTCAAAATAAACAAATAGGGCCAGGTGTGGTGGCTCACGCCTGTAATCCCAGCACTTTGGGAGGCCAAGGCAGGCAGATCATGAGGTCAGGAGATCAAGACCATCCTGGCTAACACGGTGAAACCCTGTCTCTACTAAAAATACAAAAAAATTTAGCCAGGCATGGTGGCGGGTGCCTGTAGTCCCAGCTACCCGGGAGGCTGAGGCAGGAGAAGGTGTGAACCCGGGAGGCGGAGCTTGCAGTGAGCCGCCGAGATTGCGCCACTGCACTCCAGCCTGGGTGACAGAGCGAGACTCTGTCAAAAAAATTAATTAATTAATTAATTTAATAAATAAAACAAAACAAAAACAGATGTACAAGGATATCCAGTGGCAAGCCTCTCTTTGCCCCCAGCCACAAGCATTCAGGTCTCCCCCCAGAGCTAGCCAATATGTATGTTTTAATATATGGAAATGATCTACATTGTTAGCATCATTCTGCAATTTTTTTTCCCACAAGATTATCTCTACCCAGGTAAATCCATGTCGTGGTTTGAATGGTGTCCCTCAAATAGATAGGTAGATGTCCTGTCTCCCCGATGCCGTGAATGTGACCTGATTTGGAAAACAGGTCTTTGCGATGTAATTCAGTTAAGGATCTTGAGATGAGATTATCCCAGATTAACTGAGTGGACCCTGAATCCAAAGACCAGTGTCTTTATAAAAGACAGGAGAGGAGAGGCTGGGCGCGGTGGCTCACGCCTGTAATCCCAGCACTTTGGGAGGCTGAGGCAGGTGGATCATGAGGTCAGGAGATCGAAACCATCCTGGCTAACATGATGAAACACCGTCTCTACTAAAAACACAAAAAAATTAGCCGGGCGTGGTGGCATGCACCTTTAGTCCCAGCTAATTGGGAGGCTGAGGCAGGAGAATGGCCTGAACCCAGGAGGCAGAGCTTGCAGTGAATCAAGATCACACCACTGCACTCCAGCCTGAGCAACAGAGCGAGACTCCATCTCAAAAATAAATAAATAAAGACAGGAGAGGAGAAACAGGCTCAGTGAAGAAGGCCACGTGGAAACTGAGGCAGAGATTAGGGTGATGCAGCCACAAGCCAGGAAACACCAAGTTGCCTGGAACCACTTCCAGCCTCCAGAACTGTGAATGCATTCCTTTTCTTTCTTTCTTTTTTCTTCTTTTTTTTTTTGGAGTTTCACTCTCGTTGCCCAGGCTGGAGTGCAATGGCGCGATCTCAGCTCACCACAACTTCTGCCTCCCAGGTTCAAGTGATTCTTCTGCCTCAGCCTCCTGAGTAGCTGGGATTACAGGCATGTGCCACCATGCCTGGCTAATTTTGTATTTTTAGTAGAGACGGGGTTTATCCATGTTTGTCAGGCTGGTCTCAAACTCCCGACCTCAGGTGATCCGCCTGCCTCAGCCTCCCAAAGTGCTGGGATTACAGCATGAGACACCGTGCCTGGCCCTTTCTGTCTTTTTTTAGAGAGAGTCTTGCTCTGTCACCCAGGCTGGAGTGCAGTGGTGTGATCGCGGCTCACTGCAACCTGTGCCTCCTGAGCTCAAGCGATTCTCCTGCCTCAGCCTCCTGAGTAGCTGGGATTACAGGTGTGCACCACCATACACAGCTAATTTTTTTTGTTGTTTTTTTTTGTATTTTTTAGTAGACATGGGGTTTCACCATGTTGGCCAGGCTGGTCTCAAACTCCCAACCTCACATGATCTGCCCGTCTCTGCCTCCCAAAGTGCTGGGATTACAGGTGTGAGCCACAGGGGCGCACAGCCAATCCTATGTGCATTCTGTAAATATTTACTAAATACTGATTATACCAGGCTCCATGCTGGACACTGGGGCCACATTGATGGACCATACTCCATTGTTATCCCTGCAGAGGCCCCTGCTGGGTAATGCAGAACTGGGCAGGACCAGGCAGGACTGGACAGGACAGTGTGGCAGAAGGGGAGTTTGTTGCAGGAAGATAAGGCCAGTGGGTTATTTACAGGAACAATGGTTAGGTTCCTAGCCAATCAGCACATTCCATCCCTCTGGCCCCAGGGATTGGCTCTGGATGGACATGTGACCAAATTTAGGCCAATGAGATTTAAGTCTGAGGCTTTCTACTAAAGCCAGGGAAGAATGCTTATTGGTTCTGGGAATGTCTTAGCACCACATACAGAAGCCTGCAAGTAGAGTTCAGAGTTCAAGAGAGAATTCATCTAGAAGAGATCACTGGAGCCCCTGGATCCAGCTGTGCCTGAAGGATACAGGTTTTCTGTTCATGAGCCAGTAAATGCCCTTGTTTGTATTAGCTAGTTCAGTTTGGGTTCTCCTTCCTTTGCAATGGAAAGAGGCTTGCCCGGAACTCAAACATCTTGGTTCTTATTGCTGCTTCCCTGGGGGCTAGGACTGCTACAGTAGTCCTGTCTCCCTAGGGTTAGCCCCATTACACTGCTGAAGAGACTGAGGAACTTCCACCCAATGTCCAAGCTAATGGCCATCCATCCCATGGGGAGTACTTGAGATAGGAGCTGTTGTTCTCTTCTGGCCTAAACTAAGACCCGTCTCCTGTCTCACCCCATGAAGAGAGACCCTCAGGAGGTCACACAGCCCTAGGAAACATGAACAGATAACCACCTCTCTTGGCCCATGTTTCTTAACTTTTTTTTCTTTGAGATGGAGTCTTGCACTGTCGCCCAGGCTGGAGTGCAGTGATGCAATCTCGGCTCACTGCAACCTCCACCTCCCAGGTTCAAGAAATTCTCCTGCCTCAGCCTCCCAAGTAGCTGGGATTATAGGTGCCTGCCACCATGCCTGGCTAATTTTTTTGTATTTTTAGTAGAGACGGGGTTTCACCTTGTTGGCCAGGATGGTCTCGAACTCCTGACCTTAGGTGATCTGCCCACCTCAGCCTCCCAAAGTGCTGGAATTACAGGCGTGGGCCACTGCGCCCAGCCACTGTTTCTTGATCACTTCCTCCCTCCCCTGTATCACTGCCTGCCTTCTCTGGAATAAATGCACTCAATCCTTGTCTCAAGCTCTGCTTCTGGGAGACTCCAACTCCTGGCCTTGGCCACTCCCAAGCTGAGCAGACGCTATACTTTTTTTTTTTTTTTTTTTTTGAGACGGAGTCTCACTGTTACCCAGCCTGGAGTGCAGTGGTGTGATCTCGGCTCACTGCAGCCTCCAGCTCTCAGGTTCAAGCAATTCTCCTGCATTAGCCTCCTGAGTAGCTGGGATTACAGGCATGCACCACCGTGCCCAGGAAATTTTTGTATTTTTAGTAGAGACTGGGTTTCACCATGTTGGCCAGGTTGGTTTCAAACTCCTGACCTCAGGTGATCCACCTGCCTTGGCCTCCCAAAGTGCTGGGATTACAGGTGTGAGCCACCGTCCTTGGCCGACACTATACTTTTATTTTTATTTATTCATTCATTTTTGAGACAGGGTCTCACTCTGTCATCCAGGCTGGTGTACAGTAGCATGAACACGGCTCACTGCAGCTTCAACCTCCTGGGTTCATGTGATCCTCCCACTTCAGCCTCCCTGGTAGCTGGGACTACAGGCAACACCACCATGCCCCGCTAAGTTTTGTTTTGTTTGAGACAGAGTCTCGCACCATAGCCCAGACTGGAGTGCAGTAGCACAATCTCTGCTCACTGCAACCTCTGCCTCCCAAGTTCAAGCCATTTTCCTGCCTCAGCCTCCCAAGTAGCTGGGATTACAGGCACATGCCACCACACCCAGCTAATTTTTGTATTTTTTAGTAGAGACAGGGTTTCGCCATGTTGGCCAGGCTGGTCTCGAACTCCTGACCTCAGCTGATCTGCCCACCTCGGCCTCCCAAAGTGCTGGGATTACAGGTGTGAGCTACCGCGCCTGGCCCCCGCTAAGTTTTTTTTTTTTTTTTTTTTTGAGACGGAGTCTTGCTCTGTCACCCAGGCTGGAGTACAGTGGCGTGATCTCGGCTCACTGCAACCTCCGCCTCCCTGGTTCTAGTGATTCTCCTGCCTCAGGCTCCTGAGTAGCTGGGACTACAGGCGCGCACCACCACACCCAGCTAATTTTTTGTATTTTTAGTAGAGATGGGGTTTCACAGTGTTAGCCAGGATGGTCTCGATCTCTTGACCTTGTGATCCACCTGCCTCGGCCTCCCAAAGTGCTGGGATTACAGGTGTGAGCCACCGCGCCTGGCCCCCCACAAAGTTTTTAAAAAATTTTTTTAGAGACGGGGGTCTCACCATTATTGACCAGGCTGGTCTCAAACTCCTGGGCTTAGAGCCATCCTCCTGCCTCAGCCTCCAAAAGTGTTGGGATTACAGGCATGAGCCACCACACCCAGCCACCATTCTTAAAATGTTCTACCCACTGCCTCGTTCTGCTTCAAGACAGCTCTTTGAGGGGGGGGGTTTGTCATCCCCCCACTTTTTTTTTCTTTATTTAATAACAGGGTTTTATTCTGTTGCCCAGAGTGGCGTGCAGTGGCACATAGCTCATTGTAACCTCAAACTTGAGCCCAGAGGCTCAAGTGTTCCTCCTGCCTTGGCCTCCTGAGTACCTGGGACTGTGGGTGTGCACCACCATACCAGGTTAGTTATTATTATTATTATTATTATTGAAACAGAGTTTTGCTCTGTTGCCCAGGCTGGAGTGCAGTGATGTGATCTCCACTTCCCAGGTTCAAGCGATTCTCGTGCCTCAGCCTCTGGAGTAGCTGGGATTACAGGCACGTGCCATCATGCCCAGCTAATTTTTGTATTTTTAGTAGACAGGATTTCACCATGTTGGGCTCGATGCTCTGGAACTCCTGACCTCAGGTGATCCGCCTGCCTAAGCCTCCCAAAGTGCTGGGATTACAGGTGTGAGCCATGGAGCCCAGCCCAGGCTAATTTTTTTTTAAATTTATTTTTAGAGACAGGGTCTCACTATATTGCCCAGTCTGGTCTCAAATTCCTGGCCTCAAGAGATCCTTCTAGCCAGATGTGGTGGCTCATGCCTGTAATCCGAGCACTTTGGGAGGCCAAGGTGGGCAAATCACCTGAGGTCAGGAGTTCGAGACCAGCCTGGCCAACTTGGCGAAACCCTGTCTGTACTAAAAATACAAAAATTAGCTGGGCATGGTGGGAGGCGCCTGTAATCCCAGCTACTTGGGAGGCTGAGGCGGGAGAATCACTTGAACCCCGGAGGTGGAGGTTGCAGTGAGCCGAGATCACGCCACTGCCCTCCAGCCTAGGCGACAGAGTGACAGAGTGAGACTCTGTCTCAAAAAACAAAAGAGAGATCCTCCTGTCTCAGCTTCCCAAAGCACTGGGATTACAGGTATAAACCCCAGCACCCAGCCTGTCAATCCCATTTTATGTGTGGGAAAGCTGAGGTCTGGGCAGGAGAAGGACCTGTCTGAAGCCGCCCTGTTGGTAAGTTGTGGGTCTGGGAGAATTGACCTCATGTGGAGACCAGCTTGTCACCCCCATCCACGGGTGCCAAAGCCCTGGGATATGCCAGGCACTGTTCTGAATGCACACTTCGTATAATCCTTACAACACTGTGGGGGAGTGTGGGGTGGTGAGCCAACCATTACCCCAGAAAGGGAAACCAAGGCCCTGAGAGGTGGCACAGCCCAGGTTCAAACCCAGGCAGGCTGGCACCAAGCTCACACTCTTAACCACCAGGCTGATGCCTGGATATATGTAATTTCCTTCCAGGCGGCTGTGGCCATTTGCGGGGGGAGGAGGGGGCGGGTGTCTGGAGCAAGACCAGCCAGCAGAGGGGAGGTGGGTGCCGGGCAGCAGACCTGGTCAGGAGCTCCCAGGCTGGCATCTGGGCTGCCAGGCTAAGCTCAGGCCTCCCTAATCCCTCGCTGCTGCCCGCCCCTGCTTCTCGGAACTCTCCTGTGCCCCGAAGCTCCCCCCATCCCTCCATCCCCACCCCTACTCCTGCGGTCGTCCCAAATACCAGACAGGACGAATCTCAGCTTTTCCCCAAACATTCCTTGTTCTTGTGGCCCGGCCCAGGCTGGCTGAGGTTACGAAAGCAGAGATGGGGTGGTTGTTGGGGGGGACCAAGGGGACGGGCTGGCCTGTCCTCACCACCCCATCCGGCCGCCTGCCCGTCCTCCCCAGGGCGGGGAAGGGGGTGGGCCAGCTCCCCCAAAGCCCCGGGAGAACAGGCTGTTGTGGGGGGTGGCATGGGTCTGGAGATGGGGGGCGGTGGTGGCCACAGCAGAGGCTCCAGGAGGTGACCGCCTGGTTTCCATTAGGAAGTCCTGGTCAGCAGCTTGGGCGAGATGGCAGAGTCAGGGCTGGCCATGGTAAGGTGGGGCACGGGAGGGTCTGAGGGTGGGGCCTGCCTGCCCCCCCACCCCTGCTCTGCCAACTGGCCACTGCCTCCCCACCAAGACCCTCCCCGAGGAGGGGATGCTCCAGTCACCATGGCGACCCTGCGCCCAGCCTGGAGACACGCTGACCCTCCCTCCCCCGCAGTGGCCGAGCCTGCTGCTGCTCCTGCTGTTGCCGGGGCCCCCGCCCGTCGCCGGCTTGGAAGACGCTGCCTTCCCCCACCTGGGGGAGAGCTTGCAGCCCCTGCCCCGGGCCTGTCCCCTGCGCTGCTCCTGCCCCCGAGTCGACACTGTGGACTGTGATGGCTTGGACCTTCGAGTGTTCCCGGACAACATCACCAGAGCCGCTCAGCACCTCTCCCTGCAGGTGGGGCCCACGGAGGGGAGTGGGGGCATGCAGGGCTGAGACCCAGTGGTGAGGGGAGCTGGAGGGGTGCCCCAGAGCTGAGGAGCGTGGTGGGGTATAGGAACACACTTGCAGGAGGGCGGTGCAGAGCAGGCTGTGATGGAGCTTTGCCTTGGCAGATTGGCTCTGCATGCCCAAGATGAGAGGGGTGAGCGTGGACATGCTGGAAGTTGTCGGGGACTGAGGATTAGTGGTGTTAGGGTCAACATCTTGGCGGTTATAGTGTTGTTTGGAGTTAGTGTGATGGGGAGTTTGGGGTTATGGGGATGTTGTGGCGTGTGGGGTTGATGGTGGGGGTGATGGCACATTTGGGGTCGATTGTGGGGGTGATGGCGCATTTGGGGTCAATTGTGGGGGTGATGTCGCATTGTGGTCGATTGTGGGGGTGATGGCGCATTTGGGGTCGATTGCGGGGGTGATGGCGCATTTGGGGTCGATTGCGGGGGTGTTGGGGCATGTGGGGTTGATTGCGGGGGTGATGGCACATTTGGGGTCGATTGCGGGGGTGTTGGGGCATGTGGGGTTGATTGCGGGGGTGATGGCACATTTGGGGTCGATTGCGGGGGTGTTGGGGCATGTGGGGTTGATTGCGGGGGTGATGGCACATTTGGGGTCGATTGCGGGGGTGTTGTGGCATGTGGGGTTGATTGCGGGGGTGATGGCGCATTTGGGGTCGATTGTGGGGGTGTTGTGGCATGTGGGGTTGATTGCGGGGGTGATGGCGCATTTGGGGTCGATTGTGGGGGTGTTGTGGCATGTGGGGTTGATTGCGGGGGTGATGGCGCATTTGGGGTCGATTGTGGGGGTGTTGTGGCATGTGGGGTTGATTGCGGGGGTGATGGCGCATTTGGGGTCGATTGTGGGGGTGTTGGGGCATTTGGGGTCGATTGTGGGGGTGATGGTGCATTTGGGGGTGATTGTGGGGGTGATGGCACATTTGGGGTTGATTGTGGGGGTGTTGAGGAATTTGGGGTCGATTGTGGGGGTGATGGTGCATTTGGGGTCGGTTGTGGGGGTGATGGCACATTTGGGTTGATTGTGGGGGTGTTGGGGGAATTGGGGTCGATTGTGGGGGTGATGGCACATTTGGGGTCGATTGTGGGGGTTTGGGGTTTGACATCTTGGCAGTTATAAGACTGGGTCAGAGTGATGGGGTGTTTGGGATTAACTGTGGGGGTGATGATGGTATGGGGCTGGTTTGGGCTGATGGGAAGTTGAGAATCAGTGCTTGGGGTCACTTGGTCACGGGGTCACGGGTGTGAACACCCCAACTCTCACCCTGCAGAACAACCAGCTCCAGGAACTCCCCTACAATGAGCTGTCCCGCCTCAGTGGCCTGCGAACCCTCAACCTCCACAACAACCTCATCTCCTCCGAAGGTGAGGGGGCAGAGGGAGGCGGCCTCTCTGGGGCTGTAGGACTGACCGAGGTCTCAGCTGCCATCCCCCTCCCCCGCCCCATCTGCGGGCAGCTCTGTGGCAGTTCCCAGAACTGCCCTTTGCTGAGCAGGATGGAAACTCAGGAGCTGGGGTGGGGGTTGGGGGCTGTGGCTTTTGAGTAGGGATGGGGAGGAGGGGATCTGAGGGCCTGGGGAGCCTCTGCCAGTTCCCCGGCCGAGAGTCCTGGGGCAGCTGGGAGCCCAGACTCCCCCTCCACCCAAGACAGGCCTGGGGTCCCTTCACTGCCCCCCTACTCTCCCAGGCCTGCCTGACGAGGCCTTCGAGTCCCTCACCCAGCTGCAGCACCTCTGCGTGGCTCACAACAAGGTGAGCCCCCAGCCCCACCCGCAGGCCGAGCCCAGTGAGGGTGCAGCTTCAGTCACTCAGCCCAGGGTGTGGAGGGGACAGCTCTGCTGGGGAAGTGGTGGGGCCAAGGCGCACCAGGACCAGTCCGGCTGTGGGCTGTGTCCCCACAGCTCTCAGTGGCCCCTCAGTTTCTGCCCCGGTCCCTCCGTGTCGCGGATCTGGCTGCCAACCAAGTGATGGAGATCTTCCCCCTCACCTTTGGGGAGAAGCCGGCACTCAGGTAGACCCTGGCCCAGCCCAGGCCCCCAGGCCTCAGATACATCTGTGTCATGCCCCGGTTCTAGGAGCAATGAGGGAGTTAAGACCTTGCCCTCGGCCGGGTGCAGTGGCTCACTCCTGTAATCCTAGCACTTTGGGAGGCCAAGGTGGGAGGATCATCTGGGGTCAGGAGTTCGAGACCAGCCTGGCCAACATGATGAAACCCTGTCTCTACTTAAAATACAAAAATTAGCTGGGGGTGGTGGTGTGCGCCTGTAATCCCCGCCACTCAGGAGGCTGAGGCAGGAGACTGGCTTGAACCCAGGAGGTGGAGTTTGCAGTGAGACGAAATCGTGCCACCGCACTCAAGCCTGGGCGACAGAGTGAGACTCTGTCTCAAAATTAAAAACAAAAACAGAAACAAAATGCCTTGCCCTGGAGGGCTTAACCAGGGACAGATCCCTAGCCTTGGGGAGTGGGAAGAGGGCATAGTTCTACCCTGGGAGGAGAGTGAGCGGGGAGACAGGGCCCTGTATGCTGTGTCAGAACTCCAGACTGAGGTGGAGACAGTATGTGCAGGGACACACACACACACACACTTACACAGACTCACATACACACCTGCACACACAACCACATGAACACATGCTCATGCACACACAATCACATGCACACACAAGCACACACACAGACTCACATACACACCTGCACACACTTCCAACCACATGCACACAGGCACACACTCATGCATGCACACGCAATCACATGCACACACAAGCACACACATGCACATATGTACACAATGCTCACACTTTTGCACATGATCACATGCACACATGGACATACATGCATACACACAGTTGCACACTCGGCTGCACACACACAATCACATGCACACTTATGCACAGGCATGCACACATGCACACCCACACTTACAATCACATGCACACACTCACCCATGCACACTTATGCACAGGCACATAGCACACACTTGCATATACATACACACATGCACGCCCACACACTCTTACAATCACATACACACGTGCACACACACTCCACATATGCACTCATTACACTTACACATGCACACTGCTCACACATGCACACACGTCTATTCATACAACACACATGCACACTCACCTGCACACCTACGCACAGTCACATGCACACATACACAATTACATTCCCACACAGACTCCACACATGCGCGCGCACACACACACACACACACACACACACACTGAAGGCGACCCTGAGCAGGGTGTGGTGCGGGAGTGGGGTGGTAGGAGGCGAGGGGCAGGCTGGTGGCCGGAGCCTGGCTCTCCTCAGGTCCGTGTACCTCCACAACAACCAGCTGAGCAACGCTGGCCTGCCCCCCGACGCCTTCCGCGGCTCCGAGGCCATCGCCACCCTCAGCCTCTCCAACAACCAGCTCAGCTACCTGCCGCCCAGCCTGCCGCCCTCACTCGAGCGGCTCCACCTGCAGGTAGCCCTGCTGTAGGTCCCACCCCGGGCCAGACTCTCTTCACCTCTTTCCAGGGGGACCCCTCCAGTTCCTAGCTTTCCATTCTTCTCAATTGCCCCTCAGAATGCCAGTGGTCAGAGTTATCCTTCTTTGAATCACTTTATTGGAAATCGCTTTGAGCTCAAGGCAAGCTCCTCGTCACTCCCTTACTCAAGAGCCGTCTGTGGCTTCCCGCTGCCCTCATCCCAGACTCAAGTCTCATTCTCTTCTTCCTTCTCCAGAACAATCTCATCTCCAAGGTGCCCCGAGGAGCCCTGAGCCGCCAGACTCAACTCCGTGAGCTCTACCTCCAGCACAACCAGCTGACAGACAGTGGCCTGGATGCCACCACCTTCAGGTACAGGCTGGTTGGGGGGCAGCAGGGGCTGAGAATTTACAGTCGGGGGTCCCAACCTTCAGTCCCCCTTCCCTGACTGGCTCCTAAGCCACGGCCTCATTTACTGAGTGCCTGCTGCTCACTGGGCTCGGCAGAGCACTGGGTAGGTGTCCCTGTTCCCCACAGCCCTGCACTGACATCGTAAGTCTCACATGCCTTTCCATCTCGGCTCTACCCTGGTCACCCCCATAGCTAACTCTCAGGCTGGAATCTGCCCTGGGCACCCCAAGTTTACCTCCCACCCAGCTCTCTCCACGCATCACTCCCAAGTCAAAATCTCCAGCTTAAATCTGTCTCAGGACCACTCCCCAGCCTCCCCGCCAAAATCTGTCAGGCACCCCACTCCAAGTGCCCCACCTAACACCGACCCTCTCTCCTTCCAGCAAGCTGCATAGCCTTGAATACCTGGATCTCTCCCACAACCAGCTGACCACAGTGCCCGCCGGCCTGCCCCGGACCCTGGCTATCCTGCACCTGGGCCGCAACCGCATCCGGCAGGTGGAGGCGGCTCGGCTGCACGGGGCGCGTGGTCTGCGCTATTTGTTGCTGCAGCACAACCAGCTGGGGAGCTCAGGGCTGCCCGCCGGGGCTCTGCGGCCGCTGCGGGGCCTGCACACGCTGCACCTCTATGGCAATGGGCTGGACCGCGTGCCTCCAGCCCTGCCCCGCCGCCTGCGTGCCCTGGTGCTGCCCCACAACCACGTGGCCGCGCTGGGTGCCCGTGACCTGGTCGCCACACCGGGCCTGACGGAGCTTAACCTGGCCTATAACCGCCTGGCCAGCGCCCGTGTGCACCACCGGGCCTTCCGCCGGTTGCGTGCCCTGCGCAGCCTCGACCTGGCAGGGAATCAGCTAACCCGGCTGCCCATGGGCCTGCCCACTGGCCTGCGCACCCTGCAGCTGCAACGCAACCAGCTGCGGATGCTCGAGCCCGAGCCTCTGGCCGGCCTGGACCAACTGCGGGAGCTCAGCCTGGCGCACAACCGGCTCCGGGTCGGCGACATCGGGCCAGGCACCTGGCATGAGCTCCAAGCCCTCCAGGTCAGGCACAGGCTGGTTAGCCACACTGTCCCCAGGGCCCCTCCATCCCCCTGCCTGCCCTGCCACGTCCCAAACATTCTAGTTAGCTGGTAAAGCAATCAGAACAAGAAAATGATAAGAGTGGGTTAGAAGGTGATGAGGAGGCTGGGTGAGGTGGCTCATGCCTGTAATCCCAGCACTTTGGGGAGCCAAGGCAGGAGAATCGCTTTAGGCTATGGGTTTGAGACCAGCCTGGCAACACAGCAAGACCCTATCTCTACCAAAAAAACATAGCCAAGCGTGGTGGCACATGCCTGTAGTCCCAGCTATTCAGGAGGCTGAGGCAGGAGGATCGCTTGAGCCCAGAAGTTTGAGGCTGCAATGAGCCGTGATCGGGCCACTGCCCTCTAGACTGGGCAACAGAGCAAGACCCTGTCTCTTGAAAAAAAAAGTGATGAAAGAGGTATGGTGCGATTCAATGACTGACTCATTTAATCAAGTGGGGACCTGTCTGTCTGTGCCTTCCTGGGAAGGGCCTTAGTTTACCTCTGCAGAAGGGAGGAATTTGGCAATCATGGGGGGTGGGGGGCAGAAGGGCCAGGCTGGTATGAAGGGGGCAGGGGACTCTCAGAGAGGTTGGGGGCTGGCTGAGCTGAGTGGCCCAGGCCTGGGGCTGCCACGATGCCATCTATAACCCCCTGCCCAGATGCTGGACCTCAGCCACAATGAGCTGTCCTTTGTGCCCCCGGACCTGCCTGAGGCCCTAGAGGAGCTGCACCTCGAGGGCAACCGCATCGGCCACGTGGGCCCCGAGGCCTTCCTCAGCACACCCCGCCTGCGTGCCCTCTTCCTCAGGTGCCCCGAGGGTGACCGGAGGGGTGGAGGTGGGCAGGGGAGGGCCTGGGAGGGTCATGACCGCCTCTCTGTGCAGGGCCAACAGGCTTCACATGACGAGCATCGCGGCTGAGGCCTTCCTGGGGCTCCCAAACCTGCGTGTGGTGGACACGGCAGGGAATCCGGAGCAGGTCCTGATCCGGCTGCCTCCCACCACCCCACGTGGGCCACGGGCAGGGGGCCCCTGATCCTAGAGAGGCCCAGCAGAGCAGCTCAGACTCCTGGGACTCCGCTGGGCCGTGGACTGAGGAGACAACGCCCACCAGGGGCCCTTGGTCTGGCTCTCCTGGGCCTCCAGGGCTGGGCCTGCTCTGCCTGCCACTGGCCGAGACACAGAGGCACACAGCTGGCATACTCCAGGCTCACAGACCACGCCGGCCTGGCGGGACACACCCTACCCCAAACTCCCAACACAGATGGAGGCAGCAACAATAAAGCCAAACCCTTCCAGCACTCAGCACGGACCAGGCACCCTTTGGGGGCTCTGTCCACGGACTCCTCCCCACAACCAGTCCAGCTGGGGAAACTGAGGCTCTGGGATGCTAAGTGGGTCAGGACTGAATTTTGAGGTCTTGAGGCACACACTGGGGTCACCAAACAGCACCCTGTGCGACCTAGCCACGTGTGATTGCAGGGACGCCCAAGGCCACCCACTGAAAAAACACTGGGTGACAGATATAGGGACCCTCACATGTATCCCCCCCCACAGCAAGCATGGGAATGAAATGCATCCTTCAAGCTGGGTGTGTGGTGGTGCCCTTCTGTAATCCGTTAGGAGGCTGAGGCAGGAGGATCATGTGAGCCCAGGAGTCGGAGGCTGCAATGAGCTGATTGTGCCACTGCGCTGCAGCCTGGGTGACAGAGGGAAACCCGGTCTCTAAAAAAAAAAAAAAAAAGCACCTTTCACAAGCACACTGTCCCTCCCCAAAACTGCTTCCCTAACAGGCGCCTCCCCATCCACTTCCAGGGGAACCGGGGGGTGGGTGGGAAGACCTAGCCTGGCCACCGAGGGTCTGAGCAAGAAACAGACAGGACAGAGCTGGGCTGAGTGTGGCCCTGGCTATTTTATTCCATGTGCTGGCCCTGGGGACCCAGCTGGGCCAGGTCGACGCCCCTGGGGAGACAGTGTGGCTCGGCCAGCCTCAGTGGCTTCTTTGGGGTGCAGGAGGGCTTTGGGGTTAAGGCTGGGGAGGAACAGGAAGTAAAGTGCTTGCAGGGGCCCTCGGGGCTTGGCCCCAGCCACCCTCCCTGCTCCGGGGCGGGCCAGAGGCCGGACACCCCTGGGCTGTGCAAACAGGACTCTCCAGGGCCCAGCCAGGCCTGGGTGAGGGGCACATACTGGCTGGCAGGCATGGTTCCCAACACCCGCAGCCACGGAGGCTCTGGCGGGGCTGGGGGCCCGGATGAGGGGTGAGTCCAGAACCGATTGTCCGCTGATTGTCTGCTTGTCTGGTTCGTGGCTGTGTCGGCTCTTCCCGGTATCGGGGCCTGCTGCCCGCTTTCTGGGGGCTGCCCGCCCCATGGGCTCCTCACCTGCGGAGCCGCTGCAGCTGGGGGAGAGGAGGCCACTGGGGTCATGGAGGTGGGCTACGACCACAGTGATCCCCCAACCACCCCATCTCCTAAGCTGCTTACCTCACTCTCTACCAGATTCCGCCTATAGAGCGCCTCCTTTGCAGCATCCTGTGGGGGATGGGCATTCAGCAGGTAGTCCCTGCAGGCCCCACCCTGCCCGCTGCCCAGTGCCCACCCGGCCCGCGACCAGCTCACCCTGCTGCCATCGTTGCCCAGGCGCCGGGCAGCCTCCGTGTAGAACTGCAGCTGCCGCTCCAGCTGGGCTGCGTATTCTGAGAATGGATGGCGGGGGAATGGAGGCTTAGGGTGGGGCCTCACTGCCCACAACCCTCCTGGACTGTGCCCATCCCCAAGCCCGTCCCCCGCCAGGTGCCCATCCCCGAGCCCCTCCCCCTCCAGGTGCCCATCCCCGAGCCCCTCCCCCTCCAGGTGCCCATCCCCGAGCCCCTCCCCCTCCAGGTGCCCATCCCCGAGCCCCTCCCTCTCCAGATGCCCATCCCCGAGCCCCTCCCCCTCCAGGTGCCCATCCCCGAGCCCCTCCCCCTCCAGGTGCCCATCCCCGAGCCCCTCCCTCTCCAGATGCCCATCCCCGAGCCCCTCCCCCACCAGATATGCATCCCTGAGCACCTCCCCCCCCATGCCTATCCTGGAGCTCCTCCCCCACCAGATGCCCATCTCCAAACCCCTACCCCGTCGGATGCCCACACCCCCCTGCTCCAGCTGTGCCCTCTGCCACTGGCTGCGTTGCATGATGTCCTGGTACTGCTGGGCCACTTCTGGGGGCACCGGCCGCCGCGCCTGCCTGAGGGCCAGGATCTAGAGGATACAGAGGGTCCTGTGAGGATCCTGCCTGGGCCTGCAGACTCCCCAGTCCTGCCCCATGTAGCCCGGCAGGATGGATACCCACCTTCCGCTCCAGACGCTCTTGGTCAAACGCCAGCACACTGAGGCTATGCAGGGGCCGGGCTGATCTAAGGGGTGGAGGAAGGATAAGGGACTGCAGAGATTCCCCCAGCCCAACCCTGTTAATTCAAAAGACACACTGGGCTGGGCACAGTGGCTCACGCCTGTAATCCCTGCACTTTGGGAGGCGGAGGTGAGTGGATCATGAGGTCAGGAGTTCGAGACCAGCCTGGCCAATATGGTGAAACCCCGTCTCTACTAAAAATAGAAAAAAAATTAGCTGGGCATGGTGGTGTGCTCCTGTAGTCCCAGCTACTTGGGAGGCTGAGGCAGAAGAATTGCTTGAACCTGGGAGCTGGAGGTTGCAATGAGCCGAGATCACACCACTGCACTCCAACCTGGGTGACAGAGCAAGATTCTGTCTCAAAAAAAAAAAAAAGCCGAGCATGGTAGCTCATGCCTGTAATCCCAGCACTTTGGGAGGCCGAGGCAGGCAGATCACCTGAGGTCGGGAGTTCGAGACCAGCCTGACCAACATGGAGAAACCCCATCTCTACTAAAAATAGAAAAATTAGCTGGGTGTGGTGGCGCATGCCTGTAATCCCAGCTACTCAGGAGGCTGAGGCAGGAGAATCGCTTGAACCCCAGAGGCGGAGGTTGCTGTGAGCTGAGATCGCGCCATTGCACTCTAGCCTGGGCGACAGAGCTAGACTCTGTCTCAAAAAAAAAAAAAAAAAAAAAAGACACACTGGGCACTGGGGGTATGGTGGGAGACAGCCGAGAACCACCCGGTGTTACTGATCCCAAAACCTAGCGGGGATGATGGCTGCACACCCAGGAAACTATGATGCCTAGTGGTCAGGGAGGGCTTCCTGGAGGAGGTAACAGCCAAGTTGGGATCCAAAGAAGGAATCAGAGGTGGGCAGAGGAACAAGGAACACCCCTACCCTAGGTAGGGGTGTTCAGGGCACTGGAACCCACAGAAGTCCAGAGGCCAGTGAAAACTATTCATGGACATGAACCACAGGAGGGAGTAGGGAGAGAGAAGCCTGGATATGTTGACAATGGTCAGATCACAAAAGGTTTTAAAGACCAAACCAAGGAGTTTAAACTGGATCCTCTGGGAAAAGGGGTGCCAAGAAAGGTTTTGCAGCAGGAGAGGGACGTGGTCCAATTTGTGCCTGGTGGGAAACTGTCCAGGTGGGGCTGAGAGGGGAATTGGGTGTTTTCTCCAGCATGCCCTGGCCCAGATACCTACCTGTTCCCTGACTCCCTTGCAGGGGCAGGCACAGGAGGGGCCTTCCCTTTGGGCCCAGCAACCTGCTTCAGAGGAGAGAACCAGTCCTGTGAGTCCTGGGCCCCTGAACCAAGCTTCCCTCCCTGGGGTTGCTGATGGGTGGGGGTGGGGGGTCTCACTGTGGGCACAGCTGCCGGCACAGGGTCAATGACCAGCCACCTCTCTGTCGTCGTCTCCAACTGCTGGGCTGTCAGTGGCTCCCGAATCCGGACCATTACCTCCAGTCGCCCCCCTGTGGGCCGGCGACCATCCAGGACCTGGGTGGGGGTAAGGAGAAACTGTTGGTGGGAAGCAGGAAGTGACTAGAGGCCCAGGGCCAGGACAAGGGAGAACAAGACTGGTTTTTTTTTTTGGTTTTTTTTTTTTCTGAGATAGAGTCTCGCTCTGTTGTCCAGGCTGGAGTGCAGTGGTGCAATCTGGGCTCACTGCAAGCTCCGCCTCCTGGGTTTACTTACGCCATTCTCCTGCCTCAGCCTCCCGAGTAGCTGGGACTACAGGCGCCCGCCACCATGCCTGGCTAATTTTTTTGTATTTTAGTAGAAACAGGGTTTCACCATGTTAGCCAGGATGGTCTCGATCTCCTGACCTCGTGATCTGCCCGCCTCAGCCTCCCAAAGTGCTGGGATTACAGGCATGAGCCACCATGCCTGGCCAAGAGTGGTTTCTAAAATATGAGCCCATGGTATGGCTGAGATACCAGTTGATCATAATGGAGTGGGGTACTGCAAGTATTTAGGGCTGGGCAGTAGGGAGGTCTGAGGCTCTGAGGGGAGGGGCTGGGTCAACAGACAGGCTCATAGAGGGCTCAAGGCAGGAAGTGTTTTAATAATGTTAACGAGTAGCATGGCCATACCGGAGCACGCGGATGAATGTCCACCTCTCACCTCAAGGATCTCCCGGACCTCACATGCTATCTCCAGTGCATCCAGCTTCAGCTGGGCTGTCCCCAGCACCCGGTCAGTCTTGAACAGCCCCCTGTGTGCATGTGTGTATAGTGGGGACAGGATGGTTGGTTCAGAGGAGCTCCCCTCCCCTGGAGCCCACCCAGCGGCCATGGCTCTCTCTAGCTCACCCCTTGTGAACCACTTCGAACTTGATGCCCTTGGTCTGGATGGCCCTTCGGAAGCCACGGTGGCTGCGGTTGATGCAGAGTTTGAACTGCTCCTTGAACTCTGCAGGAGGAAGGAGGGAGAGGAAGTTGGGTGGGGTCAGGCCATTGTCTTATGTCCCTTCTGCTGCAAGGGAGTAGGGGTAGGGTGCTTCCAGCCGAGGCTCACCAGGGGAGTCTGTGTTCTTGATCACACTGGTCTTGTCTTTCTGAGCTTCTTCCTATGACCAGAGAGGAGGCAGGAAATCTAGGGGGCCTGGGACCTGGCTTTGGCCCACTGAGGCTGCAGCCCTCCCCTCCTCAGCTCCCCACGTACCACGTTGGGATAGGGGAAGTCAAACCGAACAAAGACATCCAGATCGCCAGGGGACAGTCCTGTGGGCAAACAACGGTCAGAGCTGGGCAGAGAGGGGGTCCCCATGACCCTGACCCTTGCCTACAGCCCCCTCACCTGGGGGTGTGGGCAAGTTGATGCCCTTCACGATGAAGAGGAGCATGTCGTTGCTGCTGAGGTCAGGGAAGATCCTTCCGGGTGGGCAGGTGGGCAGGCAGGTGGGCAGGGAAACAGAGGCACCTCAGTCCCACTGCCCGCCTGCCTTCTCTTCCCCCAGTGGGGGCAGGGAACAAACCCCACCCTGGCCTTCGGGGGTGTCTCAGCTCCTGGGCTCATTTTAGAATCAGACAGACTAGAGTTCTCTGTTCAGGTTGGCAATGGATCACTTTCGAGTCTTTTCTTCAGTCTGTGTATATTTATTTGGTATCTACTGTGTGCTAGGTACCCTAGCTGCTGGGTGATATTCCCTTCACTTAACAGTTGTTGAGTCCTACTAAGCATCAGCCAGTGCCCTAGCTGCTGGGAGATCTTTCCTTCATTTCCCAATGTTTCTTGAGCACCTACTATGTGCCAGCCAGTACCCCAGCTGCTGGGGGACCTTCTTTTCACTTAATATATATGTGTGTGTGTGTGTGTGTGTGTATATATACATATATATACGTGTATATATATATATATACACATATATATACGTATATATATATATACACACATATATGTATATATATATACACATATATATACGTGTATATATATATATATATATATATATATTTTTTTTTTTTTTTTAGACAGAGTCTTGCTCTGTCGCCCAGGCTGGAGTACAATGGTACGACCTCAGCCCACTGCAACCTCCACCTCCCAGATTCAAGAGATTCTTCTGCCTCAGCCTCCTGAGTAGCTGGGATTACAGCTGCCCGCCACCACTGCTGGATAATTTTTATATTTTTAGTAGAGATGGGGTTTCACCATGTTGGCCAGGCTGGTCTCGAACTCCCGACCTCAAATGATCCGCCTGCCTTGGCCTCCCAGCCTGGCCTCACTTAATATTTTTTGAGTCCTATTAAAGCACCAGCTAGTGTCCTAGTTGCTGGGGGACCTTCTATTCATTTCACAATATTTCTTTTTTTTTTGAGACAGTCTCACTCTGTCGCCCAGGCTGGAGTGCAGTGCGATCTCTGCTCACTGCAAGCTCTGCCTCCCAGGTTCATGCCATTCTCCTGCCTCAGCCTCCTAAGAAGGTGGGACTATGGGCGCCTACCACCACGCCCGGATAATTTTGTGTATTTTTAGTAGAGACGGGATTTCACCATGTTAGCCAGAATGGTCTCGATCTCCTGACCTCGTGATCCACCCACCTCAGCCTCCCAAAGTGCTGGGATTACAGGCGTGAGCCAGCACGCCTGGCCTCATTTCACAATATTTCTTGAGCACCTACTATGTGCCAGTCAGTACCCTAGCTGCTGGGGATCTAGAAGTAAATACCCATACCCTGTGCTCAATCTAGCTGAGTGGACAGATGAGCATAAGTACATAAATAGAAAAACAATAAAAAACTCAGCAGAGAGGGGAGAGTGGAGTGTGCTCAGAAGAGACTGCTCGGATAGATAGGGAGGGCCTCTTAGAGGGAAGGTGACATCATAGGTGACTCTAGATGTCAAGAGGGAGCTGCCACATGGAGACCTGAGGAAGAGGGTGAAGGCGGAAGAAATAGCTGATGCAGAGGCTTGGGGTAGGAACACACTTTGTTTGTAGGAGGGACCAAAAAGAGTCCCTTGTGGCCAAAGCTGAGTGAAGCGGGGACAGGAGGCAGAGAAGAGGTGACAAGGAGCCAGGCTGTGTGGAGATGGGGGAGCCAGGGTAAGGGGTGGGGGTTATCCCAAGGGCAGCTGGGAACCACCGGAGGGCTAGTGGCTGCACCTAACCTCATTTAGAAAGTGGAGAAAATGGGCCGGACGCAGTGGCTCACTCCTGTAACCCCAGAATTTTGGGAGGCCAAGGCAGGCGGATCATTTAAGGAGACCAGCCTGGCCAACTGAATGAAACCCCGTCTCTACTAAAAATACAAAAATTAGCTGGGCATGGTGGTGGGCACCTGTAGTCCCAGCTATTTGGGAGGCTGAGGCAGGAGAATTGCTTGAACCTGGGAGGCAGAGGTTGAAGTGAGCTGAGATTGCGCCACTGTACTCCCGCCTGGGTGACAAAGTGAGACTGTCTCAGAAAAAAAATTTTAAAAAAGGCCGGGAGTGGTGGCTCACGCCTGTAATCCCAGCACTTTGGGAGGCCGAGGTGGGCGGATCACGAGGTCAAGAGATCGAGACCATCCTGGCTAACACGGTGAAATCCCGTCTCTACTAAAAATACAAAAAATTAGCCAGGCGTGGTGGTGGGCGGCTGTAGTCCCAGCTTCTCGGGAGGCTGAGGCAGGAGAATGGCATGAATCCAGGAGGTGGAGCTTGCAGTGAGCAGAGATCACACCCCTGCACTCCAGCCTGGGCAACAGAGTGAGACTCTGTCTCAAAATAAAAATAAAAATAAAGTGGAGAAAACAATCCCCGCTCCTCTGGGCATGGGAAGACTTGATAGTACCAAGACTAACACCCACCAAAGCCGTGACTCATCTCTGGTCCCCCGTGGACTCACCCAGGCCCTGGGACAAGATACACCTTTGCACTCTCTAGATCTTTCCCAAATGCGTCACTGTGACTGCACCCTCACCATCCTTCACTTGTATCTCATGCCTGCCCCAGAGCCTTTGCATGCTCTGTGCTCTTCCACCTATCCAAAATTTCTTCCAGATGTAAATCTTGTGCCAGCTTCTGGGGAGCACAACCCGCCCCACCGCCACCAAAGGGCCACTGGGGCCACGTGGTGGGGCGTAGATCAGGAGCCTTACTTGATGACGCTGAAGGTCCTTTGCTCAAAGCGGGCGGTGGGCGTGGGGAGACCCCGGACGAAGGCTTGCTTCAGAATGTCCATGCTCCGCTTACAGTCCTCCGCCAACTTTTCAAACCTGCCGGTGGGAGGGCCCTGCTCATGTCCCTGGCCCTGGGGATGGGTGGCTGGGGGTGCAAGTGTCTGGCACAGGTCAGGGCACTTACTTGGTGGTTTCAGTGATGTTGCCCAGCTGGGTGAATTGGTTTGAGTGGTTCAGGCACATCTGGGGAAACAGAAGGCAGTGAGTCGAGGGAAGGGAAGAGAGGGGAAGGAGGGTCACGCTCCTGGGGGATGGGCTGGGGGCCTCCCCCTCACCTCGTGCTGCTGCCGTATGAGCTTGGTGAGTTCACCATAGCGCCGGGCGGCCTCCTGAGACAGACCCGGGCCAGGCCGCTGGACCAGGGCAAAGTCGTCCTTGTTGACAGGGGCAGGCGGCACCTGGGGAGGACGAGGCTGGTGGCGGGGGTAAGGAGGACAAGCAGGCCCACCTAGGGCTCTGCAGAAATGTCATTCTTCCTTGACGAGGGGCATTCCCTGACCACGGCTCTGTCACCCTTCTCTGGTCTTTTTTTTTTTTTGAGATGGAGTCTCGCTCTGTTGCCCAGGCTGGAGTGCAATGGCGGGATCTCAGCTCACTGCAACTTCCACCTCCCGGGTTCAAGTGATTCTCCTGCCTCAGCCTCCTGAGTAGCTGGAATTACAGGCGCCTGCCACCACACCTGGCTAATTTTTGTATTTTTAGTAGAGACAGGGTTTCACCATGTTGGCCAGACTGGTCTCGAACTCCTGACCTCAAGTGATCCGCTGGCCTTGGCCTCCTTAATTGCTAGGATTACAGGCATGAAAGACCATGCCCGGCCTCTGTTCTTTCTTCTTGATCCTTCCATTGTCCCATTTAACAAGGGCATCCTTCAGTCACCCCAGAAATCATGTATGGTGCCGGGTGCAGTGGCTCATGTCTATAATCCCAGAACTTTGGGAGGCTAAGGCGGGTGGATTGCTTGAGCTCAAGAGTTTGAGAAATCATGTATGGAGCCCCTACTGTGCGCTAGGCTCTGCTTTGGGGCTGGGGACACAAGGATGAAGAAGAGAGAACAAAATCCCTGCCCTCGTGGGGCTGACATTCTCTTGGGGGAGATGGGCAATAATCAGAAGAAATAAGTAAATCATATGAGAGAGTAGAAGGTGATACATGCCACAGGGAGAGGCAGAGCTGGGAGGAGGAGCAGAGGGATCTGGGTGACAGGGAGGGATTTTAGACAGCTCAGGGTAGGCCTCCTGGAGATGTGATGTCTGAGCAGAGACCTAATGATGGGAGAAAGTGAACCACACAGGTGTCTGTGGGAAAAGCATTCAGGCAGTGGGAACTGCATGTGCAAAGGCCCTGAGGTTGCAGAGTGCCTGGTGTTTGAGGCTACCAGACAGCAAGGGGAAGAGTGAGCGAGGGGGTGGGTGAAAGAGAAGGGGCAGGCCGGGCACAGTGGCTCATGCCTGTAATCCCAGCACTTTGGGAGGTCGAGGCAGGTGGATTGCCTGAGGTCAGGAGTTCAAGCCCAGCCTGGCCAACATAGTGAAACCCCATCTCTACTAAAAATATAAAAATTAGCCGGGCATGGTGGCGTGTGCCTGTAGTTCCAGCTACTCGGGAGGCTAAGGCAGGAGAATCGCTTGAGCCTGGGAGGTAGAGGTTGCAGTGAGCTGAGGTCGTGCCACTGCATTCCAGCCTGGATGACAGGGCGAGACTCCGTCTCAAAACAAAACAAAACAAAACAAAAACAAGAAAGAGACCAGGCAAGGGAGCTGATGGGGCAGATGGTGCAGTCTTCATGGGCCGTGATAAGGTGCTGTATTTATTTGTGTGTTTCTTGTGGTCTCTCAATTAGAACATCCACTCCATGACAGTGAGTCTCACTGTGTTTCCCAGGCTAGTTTCGAGCTCCTGGCCTCAAGGAATCCTCCCACCTCAGCCTCCCAAGTAGCTGGAATTACAGGTGTGACCCACCATGTCCAGAGAGAGTGTGGATTTTTGCCTTTTTTGCTCAAGGCCATGTCTCCAGTGTCCAGCAAAGACTACATGTCCCAGGCTCCTCTGAGGCTAAATGTAGCCATGTGACTGTTTGGGCCAATGGGAGGCAAGCAAAAGTGATGTCACTTCCTTAAACTGGGTGGCCTTTGCTGGGCGCCCAGTTCAAGCTCCTCAAATGTTTCCTATTATGAGTACTATTCTATCACATGAGGAATCCTGGCTGTCTTTCTTTGAGGCAGGGGTGGCCATCCCCACTTCTCTGAGAAAAATGATGCTCAGAGAAAAAGGAATGGTCCTGTCCTAAGTGGCAGAATCTAAGTGTCTCCCCAGATCTGATCCCCTCCCCTTCCCTAGTAATGGAGCTCAGGCTGGTCACACAGTGCACCAACAAGAGACTACATGTCCCAGCCTCCTCTGTGGCTAAATGTGGCCATGTTACTTAGTTCTGGCCAATGGGAGACAAGCAATAGTGATGTCACTTCCTTTAAAAGGGACTACTAGCTCTGCCTCTTTCTCTAGTCCTTCTGACAGGATCCACTTGGATCATGTGGACAAGGACAACCCCCTCAGGTGCAGCAAAGCAATAAGGTGGAAGAAACTCAGGCCCTGGAGGACCTCCCATTTGCAGAGCCCAGACTGCCCTGGGTGGTACATGCAAGAAACATAATAAATGTCTGTCTCCTTTCAGCCATTGTCTTGGGAGGACCTATTTGTTACAGCAGCTGGACCTTGACTAATACACTTCTAGTTCACGTGGCTGCTAAGGGGCAGGAGCCTGACAAGTGGGTGCCTGGGCAGTTCCCACAAGCCCAGAAGGTTCACCTTGGTGATGTCCACAGGCAGCCCATTGCGCGAGGCCTCCAGCATAGGCTCCAGTCCCTTGGCTTGGCGCAGGTGCATCTTGGCACCCTCCACGTCGTTTTTCTGCTTGGCTCGCAGTGCGGCCTGCAGGAGCTGCTTCTTGCGGCCCTCTAGGAAGGCCAGCTGCTGCTGGGCTGTGGGCATAGGAGCTGCTATGGGTGCTGCCCAGGCCACAGCCAGGCAACAGGCAGCTGGGGCGGGGAGGGGGAACTTACCTCTGGTGGATGTGGCTTTGGGGGGCGCTTTGGCTGTTGGGGCTGATCCCGACTGGGGAGTTCTTGAGGGTGGGGCTTTGGGCTGGGCTGTGGGGGCCACAGGGCTGTTCTGCTGTAGAGGAAGAGAGAGGATGTTAGAGATTTCGTAGCGCCTGTGATGAGTCCAGTCCCCAAGGATCAGGGTCTGATGGTGACAACAGTGGTCATTTAGTGGGCTCCCAGGACTTTGCTACTCCCCTGCCTCACTCAAAGCCCCTGGCCCCAAACACCTTTTTTTTTTTTTTTTTCTTTTTTGAGACAGAGTATCACTGTATCGTCCAGGCTGGAGTGCAGTAGCACGATCTTGGCTCACTGCAACCTCTGCCTCCCGGTTCAAGCAATTCTCACCAAACACTTTTTTTTTTTTTTAATTGTCTTGGAGATGAGGTCTTGCTCTGTCACCCAGACTGGCGTACAGTGGCATGACCATGGCTCACTGCAGCCTTGAACTCCTTAGTTCAGGTGATCCTCCCACCTCAGTCTCCCAAGTAGCAGGGACTACAGGTGAGTCCCACCATGCCTGGCTAATTTTAAAAAATTTTTTTGTAGAGACGGGGGTCTCACTGTGTGGCCCAGGATGGTCTCAAACTCCTGGCCTCAAGCGATCCTCCCATCTTGGATTCCCAAAGTGCTGGGACTACAGGTGTGAGCCACTGCGCCCGGCCCCAACCCTCAAACCTTCTTAGGCACCTCATCCTCTTCATCCTCTGGGCCTTCATCCTGGTTGGCCAGCTTCATGGCAGTCTCCAGGACACCCACCAGACTCTGCTGGGTGGGCTTGGTGGCCTCCAGGCCCTGGATTGGGGGGAAGCCTGGGTGGCCAGTCGAGGCCTGGTTATTGTGTGTCAGGATGGAGACCAACTCACACCATTATGGTGGAGATGCAGATTCCTCTCCCACCTATAGAGTCTTGGGCCTTTACTTTTTTTAATTAATTAATTTTTTTTTTTTTGAGACAGGATCTCGCTCTGTTGCCCAGGCTGGAGTACAGTGGCATGATCTAGAGTGGGACTGCAGGTGTGCACCACCACACCAGGCTAATTTTTAAATTTCTTGTAGCCACGGGGTCTTGCCACGTTGCCCAAGCTGGTCTTGAACTCCTGGCCTCAAGTGATTTTCCCACCTCAGCCTCCCAAAGTGCTGGGATTACAGACATGACCACCTCGTCCAGCCGGTTTGCCAATTTCTACAGTGCAGACACATCATGTCCAATGTCAAGCTCCCACTGATTAACAAGTTTACAAAACCCTTGAATATGTTGTATTCAGCTCCCTGAGCCTGTGCTATGGGGAGTAATAGCATCTGCCAAGGCTCAGAGGCTGGAGGAACAGGAGCTTGGGGCACAGCCTGCCAGCGGCGGGGCCTCTGGGGGCGGGGCCTACGGGGGCGGGGCCTACTGGGGCGAGGCCTACAGGGGCAAGGCCTACCTGGGGGCACGGGCAATTCAGCGACATCCACGGCTCGGCCAGCCTTGTGGGCTCGGATGGCATCTTGGTATTGCTGCGAGGGCCACAGGTGTTAGGGCTGCCTGTGGGAGGGCTCCCGGGCTGCCCACTCGCCCCACCTCCCCCGGAACCCCCAGGGCACCTTGACGATGCGCTCGTGCATTCGAGCTTTCCGCTGGTCCCCCTTGCTCTTGGCCTGGGCTGCGGCCACCTGGTACCGCTCCATCCGCTGCTCCAGCGCCTCCAGCAGGGTCCTCGGGGGTGGGGGCACCTCTGGGCCGGACAGGGGGACAAGGTTAAGAGTCAACGGATGGGTAGACAGTCTGGCTCCAGCCTGCCCCCAACCCCAGAGGGTCCCAGAACCTACCTGTTGTGGAGGGCGCCGTAGCGGGGGTCGGAGGCTGCGACGGTGGTGACGGTGGGTCTGGGGGCAGCTGGTCTGGGGACAGAGAGGTCCAGGCCAATGAGGGGCTTGTTAGCTGCACCCCCGACAAGCTGGTCTGGCCTGAGGGTGGTCTCTGGGCCTGACCAACAGGGGTGGCAGCATCAAGGAGAACTTAGTGTATGCCTGAAACCATCCCAGAGAGTGGGCATGGCAGGGTTCTCACCGGGTGGAGGGGGCAGGCAGGAGAGGTCCACGGGCTCACCCCGGCTCAGGGCCTCCAAGACAGCATCAAAGCTCTGGGAGAAGGAAGAGGAGATTAGAAGAAGAGGTGCAGTTGGGGGCTTGGACCCTGTGGGGAGCCTCCGGGCCCTTCCATGCCACCGAGGACTTCTAGCTCCCTCCCTTCCATTTGTGCCATCTTGCTTAATCCTCTTCCAACACACGTGCCCATTTCACAGAGGGGGTAAACTGAGGCTCCAAGACTTACAGCAAACTATTGCTAGGGAGTGACCAAGCTAGGATGCAAATTTGGGTGCTTTGCCACCAGGCCACGTGGGAAGCATCCTGCCCCATCCCTCCAGTCCTGTCCGTCAGGCTGGACGCACCTTAGCCACGCGGAAGTGTCTAGCGGCAGCAGTGGTATCTCCCTGCTGCTTGGCGTGGAGGGCAGCCAGCTTGTAGTCGCGCTGGCGGCTCTGCAACTGGGCCAGAGGGCCAGGGCTGCAGGGACCTGGAAGGGAGAACAACATACAGGAAGCCTCCAGGGCCTGGGCCAAGTTCACCGTGTAAACCATTTGTTATTTATTTATTTAATTTTTTTTTTCTTTTTCAGACAGAGCCTCACTCTGTTGCCCATGCTGGGGTACAGTGGCGCAATCTCAGCTCACTGCAACTTCCGCCTCCTGGGTTCAAGTGATTCTCCTGCCTCAGCCTCCTGAGTAGCTGGGATTACAGGCACATGCCCGGCTAATTTTTATGTTTTTAGTAGAGACAGGGTTTCGCCGTGTTGGCCAGGCTGGTCTCAAAGTCCTGACCTCAGGTGATCCGCCCACCTTGGACTCCCAAAGTGCTGGGATTATAGGTGTGAACCACCGCGCCTGGCTTTAATGTATTTTTTGAGACTGGGTCTTGCTCTGTTGCCCAGACTGGAGTGCAGTGGCACAATCTTGGCTCACTGCAACCTCCGCCTCCCAATTTCTGGCTAATTTTTGTATTCTTAGTAGAGACGGGGTTTCACCATGTTGGCCAGGCTGGTCTCAAACTCCTGACCTCAAGTGATCTGCTCACCTTGGCCTCCCAAAGTAGGATTACAGGTGTGAGTTACCGTGCCTGGCCATATTTAATGTATTTTTTTTTAAAGAGATAGAGTCTTGCTCTGCTGCTCACTATAGCCTCAGACACCGGGCTTAGGCGATCCTCCCATCTCAGCTTCCTGAGTAGCTGGGGCTACAGAGCATGCACCTGCATGCCCGGCTGGTTTTTTATTTTTTTTTGTAGAGATGGGGTCTTACTATGTTGTCCAGGCTAGTCTCAAACTCCTGGGCTCAAGTGATCCTCCCACCTCAGCTTCCCAAAGTGCAGAGATTACAGGCATGTGCCACCATGCCCAACTCACTTTTTAAATATATCCTGGGACTCACTTTAAGCAGTTGGGAATTTTGAGTCTTCTCTTATTTCCATCCACGTCCCCCACAGAAATTTATGCTAACATGATATAGCTGTGTGTTTGAAAGCCTTTTTTGCCTACCCTATTGTATATTTATACAACCAAAATATATTTATGCAGTGTGTTTGCAAAGTTAGGAAACCCAGTATTCAGTGCTTTTTAAACAGTGTGTTAGTTACAGTTTCAAATAATATGCTCAGTATGTTTTCTGGGGAAGTACCTCAATGTTTAAAGCTATAAGTGCAATTCTTAGTATAAAATAACACAGTACAATAAAGACACCACCCAGTGTCTGCAAAATCTGGAAACACCCAGAAAATGGCACGCAGTATCTTTTTTTCAGACTAACAACTGGACCCATTGCTTTAAACTTAGGCTTACTTCCCTGAAAATATGTTTGGAGGTAGAAGTGACACACCTTTGACATTGTATTGGTTTTATTTCCTGTGATTATAAATCTTTCATTGTTAAAAACAATGTTTTTCCGGGTTGAATTATTGTTATAATTATTACTAGCATGTAATTGAGCAAAACGTAAATACATCAAGCTTATTTTATTTTATTTTTTTGGAGACAGGGTCTCATTCTGTCACCCAGGCTGGAGTGCAGTGGTGCAATCACAGCTCACTTCAGCCTCAACCTTCCAGGCTCAAGTGATTCTCCCACCTCAGCCTCCCAAGTAGCTGGGACTACAGGCATGCACCACCATGGCTGGCTAATTTTTAATTTTTTATAGAGACGCAGTTTCCCTATGTTGCCCAGACAGATCTCGAACTCCGGGGTTCAAGCGATCCTCCCACCTTGGCCTCCCAGAGTGCTGGAATTATAGGTGTGAGCCACCACACCCAGCTGAGCTTTTTGGGTTGGTTTGTTTGTTGAGACAGAGTCTTGCTCTGTCGCCCAGACTGGAGTGCAGTGGTGTGATCGTGGCTCACTGCAACCCCTGCCTTCTGGGTTCAAGTGATTCTCTTGCCTCATCCACCCGAGTGGCTGGGACTACCAGCATGCACCACCACGCCCAGCTAATTTTTGTATTTTTAGTAGAGATGAGGTCTCACCATGTTGGCCAGGGCTGGTCTTGAACTCCTGGCCTCAAGTGATCCGCCCGCTTTGGTGTCCCAAAGTGCTGGGATTACAGGTGTGAACCACCACGCCCAGCCCCTGCTGAGCTATTTGATAGTTTTGGTACACCAAGAGCAAAATTCTACCAGAAATGTACCTCTTGCTGACATAATTGGAGCTGGGTCCAATCCCTAACAATCAACTCGTTTCTCCCATTCAATCCTCTTCTGTTTTTTCTTTTTTTAGAGATAAGATCTTGCTCTGTTGCCCAGACTTGGAGTGGCACGATCACGGCTCACTGCAGCCTTGAACTCCTGGACTCAAGCGAACCTCCCACCTCAGCTTCTCGAGGAGCTGGGACTAAAGGCATGCACTACCACACCCGGCTAATTTCTTAATTTTTATGTAGAGATGGGTTCTTGCTATGTTGCCTAGACTGCTCTTGAACTCCTGGCCTCCCAGAGTGCTGGGATTACAGGCATGAGCCACTACATCTGCACTTTTTTTCTTTTTTAAAGTGTTGAGGCCAGGGGTGGTGGCTCACGCCTGTAATCCCCGCACTTTGGGAGGCGGAGCAGGCGGATCACCTGAGGTCAGGAGTTCGAGACCAGCCTGGGCAGCAACATGGTGAAACCCCGTCTCTACTAAAAATACAAAAATTAGCCGGGCTTGGTGGTGGGCGCTTGTAATCCCAGCTACTCGAGAAGCTGAGGCAGGTGAATCACTTGAACCTGGGAGGCGGAGGTTGCAGTGAGCCGAGATCACGCCATCGCACTCCAGCCTGGAAACAAGAGCGAGACTCCGTCTCAAAAAAATTAAAGTATTGAGAAACCTACTTCACATTAACAAATAGATTGGAAGACACAGAATTTTGTTACTGTGATGTCTTTGTATTCTTTGAACTCCTGACAAGTTTTATGCCAAACTTCCATTGTGAAAAATTTTTGGTCGTTTCAGTTGACAATTTCAGGTGACAATTCCAGTAATCCTTGAACTTTGTCAAAAACAATGGCTTGGAAACTAGCTTGGTTGCAGAAGGATTTAGTGACCCAGTGTTTGCTTTCTCAAACCCATGCCAGTATTTTGAGTTGTCTCTTTGCTTCCTGCCAGGGAAGTGTTTGGACCTGGGGCAAAGCCCCGTGTTCATATCACAAAGAGAGGGAGGGAGGCCTTCCTTTCCTAGGGGGAGGTTAGGAAGAAAAACCTCTTAGAAGATATGTTCTAGCTTGGGCAACATGGCACCTCTACAAAAAGTACAAAAATTAGCTGGGCATGGGGCACGGTGGCATATGCCTGTAATCCCAGCTACTCAGGAGGCTGAGGCGGGAGGATTGCTTGAGCCTGGGAGGCAGGTTGCAGTGAACTAGGATCATGCTACTGCACTCCAGCCTGGGCAATAGAGTGAGACTCTGTTTCAAAAAAAAAAAAAAGGCGATGAGGCCTGGCGTGGTGGCTCATGCTTGTAATCCTAACACTTTGGGAGGCCGAGGCAGGCAGATCACAAGGTCAGGAGATCGAGACCATCCTGGCTAACACAGTGAAACCCCGTCTCTACTAAAAATACAAAAAATTAGCCAGGTGTGGTGGCATGCACCTGTAATGCCAGCTACTCAGGAGGCTGAGGCAGGAGAATTGCTTGAACCCAGGAGGCAAAGGTTGCAGTGAGCCGAGATCGCACCACTGCACTCCAGCCTGGGTGACAGAGCGAGACTCCGACTCAAAAAAAAAAAAAAAATTAGCCAAGTGTGTGGTGCATGCCTGTAGTCCCAGCTACTGGTGAAGGTGAGGGAAGATCCCTTGAGCCCAGGAGGTTGAGGCTACACTGAGCTATGATCACATCACTGCACTCCAGCCTGGGTGATGGAGTAAGACCCTGTCTCAAAGAATTAAAAAAAGCCGGGCACAGTGGCTCATGCCTGTAATCCCAGCAAATTGGGAGGCCGAAGTGGGTGGATCACCTGAGGTCAGGAATTCAAGACCAGCCTGGCCAACAAGGTGAAACCCCATCTCTACTCAAAATACAAAATTAGCCAAGTGTGGCATATGCCTGTAATCCCAGCTACTTGGGAGGCTGAGGCAGGAGAATCGCTTGAACTTGGGAGGTGGAGGTTGTAATGAGCTGAGATCGTGCCACTGCGCTCCAGCCTGGGCAACAAGAACGAAACTCCATCTCAAAAAAAAGAACTAAAATAATTTTTAATGGCAAATGTGATCTATATTTTATCATAATATCATAATAACAACAAAAAAAACTCTCTGGGTATCCATGTCCTGCTTGGGAGGTATTCATGAACTCCAGGGGCTTGAAGACCCCAGGACTCAGGGTGTTGAAAATATCTCACAATCAGTGCACAGCCGGCACCCCCCTAGAGCAGCATCCTGCCAGATGGCCCACTCGGATCCCATATCAGCCCGGCCCTGCCCATCACCTACCTGGGGGCATCTGGGGCTTAGCCAAGCCTGGAGATGAGGCTGGGGCGGTGGCAGAAGGTCCCTCCAGGGTGACCCTGGGCTCTGGGGCTGACGCGATTCTAGGGGCCGGCTGGGTGGGTGCAGGGCTGTAGGTAGGCGTGGACGCCGGGCCTTTTCCTATGGCCACTGGCGGCGGGATGTCCGCTTCGTCAATGGCATTGCCCTTACGGATGGAGGCGAGCAGGTTTTCCAGTGTCTAAGATAAGGCGTGAGTATTGGTTTGGGAGAAGCCAAGAGCTTGGTGCAGGGCATCGGGGTTGGCGGGGGGTCCCTGTACCCTGCCCTCTGCCCACTTACTTTAAGCCCCCGATCGTAGCGCCGCATCTTGGCGCTGTCTCCAGCTTGTCTGGCGCTTTCAATTGCTGTCTGATAGAGCGCCAGCCTCTCCTGCAAGGTGGTCTCCAGCCCCGGATGAGGGGCCTCAGGCTTCGGCTGTGGGAGGGCAGGGGCACAGTGTGGGTGGTGACCCCACTTGGGATGCCCCTGTTAGCCCCTTCTGCAGTAACAGTCGGCCCCATGTCATCCCTGGACCAGCCTCCCCTGCCCCAGTGAGGCAGAAATCATGGTCCCCATTTCCCAGTGGAGGGAATGGGGTTTCAGAAGCATCATGTCACCCACCTGATATGGGTCACATGGCTGTGAAGGATAAGGGTGGGCCAGGCGCGGTGGCTCACGCCTGTAATCCCAACACTTTGGGAGGCCAAGGCAGGTGGATCACTTGAGGTCAGGACCAGCCTGGCCAACACAGAGAAACACCATCTCTACCAAAAAATACAAAAATTAGCCAGGCGTGGTGGCACACACCTGTAATCCCAGCTACTGGGGAGGCTGAGGTGGGAGGATCCCTTGAACCTGGGAGGCAGAGGTTGTAGTGAGCTGAGATGGCACCACTGCACTCCAGCCTGGGTGACACAGCAAGACTCCATCTCATAAAAAAGGCTAGGTCTTGAACCCCGGGCTGTCCGTTGGGTTGTGGTTCAAGGGAGTGGAGTCATCCAAACTGTACCTGGGCCACAGGAGGTGGGGTCTCTGAAGCCTTCTGCTCCTCTCCAAGGACCTCATTTAGCTCCGCCTGCAGGGACACACAGCCAGGGCAGGATATAAGGGCCTGCTGGATGGGGGCAACCGGATCAGAGCCCCCACCCCGCCCTCAGTGCTCACCAGCAGGTCATCATCAGCCTCCAAGTCGTCCTCATCCGTCCCCTCCTCCTCATCCTCATCCGGGTCTCTCATGCACAGGCTGGCCATCTTCTCAATGGCCTCCATCGGCAAGGGACCTGGCGGTAGGGGGATGCCCCAGGTGGACCAGGGTCGTACACCAAGAGCCCCCATTTCCCATCCTGGACACGCTAGGTGATCCCACTTCTCGCTGACTTCCCCATTTCATCTCTTCCTTATTCAGCCTCAGGTCTGGGGCCTGGCTACCTGAATTCAAAACCCAGCTCTGCAGACCGGGCACAGTGACTCACGCCTATAATCCCAGCACTTTGGGAGGCCGAGGCAGAAGGATCACTTGAAGTCAGGCGTTCAAGACCAGCCTGGCCAACATGGTGAAACCCTGTCTCTACTAAAAATACAAAAATTAGGCTGGGCGCAGTGGCTCACGCCTGTAACCCCAGCACTTTGGGAGGCCGAGGCGGGTGGATCACAAGGTCAGGAGATCGAGACCATCCTGGCTAACACGGTGAAACCCCGTCTCTACTACAAATACAAAAAATTAGCCAGGCATGCTGGCGGGCGCCTGTGGTCCCAGCTACTCGGGAGCCTGAGGCAGGGGAATGGCGTGAACCTAGGAGGCGGAGCTTGCGGTGAGCCAAGATCGCGCCACTGTACTCCAGCCTGGGCGACAGAGCGAGACTCCGTCTCAAAAAAAAAAAAAAAAAAAAAAAAAAATTAGCTGGGCATGGTGGCGTGTAATCCCCGCTGCTAAAGAGGCTGAGGCAGGAGAATCACTTAAGCCCAGGAGGCAGAGGTCGCAGTGAGCTGAGATTGCGCCACTGCACTGCAGCCTGGGCAACAGAGCAAGGGTTTGTCTCCAAAAAAAAAAAAAAAAACACACACACACAACAACAACAAAAAAAACCCCAGCTCTGCAACTTTCTCTCTGTGAGAACTTCGGCAAGTGATGTCACCTCTCTGAGCCTCAGTTTCTCCCTCTGTGACACGGGGATGACAACAGTTCCTCCTTCATAGGTAGGTTGGAGCAGAGAAGGTCAATGAAGCTCTTAGAATAGCATATTGCCAATATCTTGTTATTAGTTATGTTACATTCTATAAAGCTGCTTTGAAGACTAAATTAATGACTATAAGACTGTTGCTCCTAGGGGAAATTTAAGCTTAGGTTCCTGTGAATCTCCAGTCATAACCTTTTTTGGAGACAGGATCTTGCTCTGTCACCCAGGCTGGAGTGCAGTGGCCCAATCAGAGCTCACTGCAGCCTCAAACTCTTGGCCTCAAGTGATCTTCCTGCCTCAGCCTCCCGAGTAGCTGGGATTACAGGCATGCACCACCACACCCAGCTCTGGTCACAAAATTTTAATCAACTGATCAATACACAACCTTGCTCTATGTGTGTTTCTGTTTGAAGACACCTTCCTGAATAGATATCGTTCATTCATTAACTTTGAATTCACAGCCAACAGCACAGTAGTTCATGCCTGAATGAAGCTTCTCTCTTTTTTGTTTTTTGGAAACAGGATCTTGCTCTGTCACCCAGGCTGGAGTGCAGTGGCGCAATCTCTGCCCACTGCAACTGCTGCCTCCTGGATTCAAGCGATTCTCATGCCTCAGCCTCCCAAGTAGCTGGGATTACAGGTGTTCGCCACCAAGCTTGGCTAATTTTTGTATTTTTAGTAAAGACAGGGTTTCACCATGTTGGCCAGGCTGGTCTCGAACTCCTGGCCCCAAGTGATCTGTCCACCTTGGCCTCCCAGAGTGCTGGGATTACATGCATGAGCCAATGTGCCTGGCTGACATGAGCTTATTGTGTGTGAGGGGGCCCTGGGTGAAATACTTATGGACTCCAGATTAACTCCTATAACATGGTTATTATTCCAGTTTTACAGATGGTGAAACTGAGGCCAAAGCACATGATGTGACTCATCAAGTCACATAACCAGTAAGTGGCAGAGCTCGGATTCCAACTCTCAGTCTCGGTCCAGACTTGATCTTTTTTTTTTTTTTTTTTTTTTTGAGACGGAGTCTTGCTCTGTCGCCCAGGCTGTAGCGCAGTGGTGCGATCTCGGCTCACTGCAAGCTCCGCCTCCCTGGTTCACGCCATTCTTCTGCCTCAGCCTCCTGAGTAGCTGGGACTACAGGCGCCCGCCACCACGCCCGGCTAATTTTTTTTTTTTTTTTGTATTTTTAGTAGAGACAGAGTTTCACCGTGTTAGCCGGGATGGTCTCAATCTCCTGACCTCATGATCTGCCTGCCTCGGCCTCCCAAAGTGCTGGGATTACAGGCGTGAGCCACCGTGCCCGGCCTCAGAGTCGATCTTGACTCTCTTACCCAGATCATTGGCTCCAGGAGAACAGGGGTCTTCTCTGTCTTCTTTCCCCTACCTACCCAGTGCCCCCAGTTCTGCGCCCGAACCACTTGCAGGAGATCAGAAAATGTTCTGAGGGTGTGTTAACCATCTCACCTTTGCCTTTGAGCTTCTCCAGGGCTGGGGGCTGGCCCCCGACCAAAGCCAAGAACTCAGCCTCCAGTTCTTCATCGTTAGCCCCGTCCTCAGGGATCATCAGGCCATCTGGGGAGAGGTCAACCAGCAGGCCCAGCTAGGGGAACAGCAAGGGTTCAGTCAGACCTTTGGTTCACCACATGGCTAGAGGCAGCCATGATGGCCAGAGAGTCCCCTTGGGAGGAAGGAAACAAGGTCTCCCAGGGAAAGCCATTTCCCTGGGGAGTGCCAGGAGGCTGGAACAAGCCCAGAACAGGTGTTCCAAGATAGGCCAGGCCCTCTGGCACAGTTCAACCTGGGGCAAAGGGCAAGAGACCCAGCTCTCTGATCTGAATCCACACTTATGATGTGCTGCTGGGCCAAGTTCAGTGGGAAAAGCAGGCCCCTGGCTGGGCGCAGTGGCTCACGCCTGTCATCCCAGCACTTTGGGAGGCCAAGGCAAGAGGATGGCTTGTGTCTGGGAGTTCCAGACCAGCCTGGGCAATACAGTGAGACCCCCAACTCTACAAAAAAAAAAAAAGTTTTTTGTTTTTTGTTTTTTTTTGACACAGAGTCTCGCTCTGTCACCCAGGCTGGAGTGCAGTGGTGCAGTCTCAGCTCACTGCAACCTCCGCCTCCGGGGTTCATGCCATTCTCCTGCCTCAACATCCCGAGTAGCTGGGACTACAGGCGCCCGCCACCACGCCCGGCTAATTTTTTTTTTGTATTTTTAGCAGAGACGGGGTTTCACCTTGTTAGCCAGGATGGTCTCGATCTCCTGACCTCATGATCTGCCCGCCTCGGCCTCCCAAAGTGCTGGGATTACAGGAAAAAAAACTTTTTAAAATTAGCTGGGAGTTGTGCTGTGTGCCTGTGGTCCCAGCTACTCGGGAGGCTGAGGCAGGAGGATCACTTGAGCCTGGGGAGATCAAGGCTGCAGTGAGCCATGACTGTGCTACGGCACTCCGCCTGGGCAACAGAGTAAAGCCCTGTTGAAAGGAAAGAAAGAAAGAGAGATGGAGCCGGGGAGGGAGAGAGGGAGGGAGGAAGGAGGGAAGGAAGGAAAAAAAGAAGGAAGCGAGGGAGGGAGGGAAGGAGGGAAGGAAGCAGGCTCCACACTTTGCCCAAAGCAAAGCTACTCTGTACACTTGGGCTTTTCTTTCCAGCATCCTCAGCAGAGGGGCTGTGTGGGAAGGTTGGGCTTCAAGAGCATGATGGCTGCATGCGGTGGCTCACGCCTGTAATCCAGGAGTTCGAGACCAGCCTAGCCAACATGGTGAAACCCCGTCTCTACTAAAAATACAAAAATTAGCTGGGAGTGCTGGCGGTGTCTGCAATCCCAGCTACTCGGGAGGCTGAGGCAGGAGAATTGCTTGAACCTGGGAGGTGGAGGTTGCAGTGAGCTGAGATTGCGCCACCAAACTCCAGCCTGGGCAACAGAGCAAGACTCTGTCTCCAAAAAAAAAAGAAGAGCAATTAGAAGCCCTGACGACAGGGCCAGGTGCAGTGGCTCACGCTTGTAATCCCAGCACTTTGGGAGACCAAGGTGGGGGGATCACCTGAGGTCAGCAGTTCGAGACTAGCCTGGCCAACATGGTGAAATCCCATCACTACTAAAAATACAAAAATTAGGCCGGGCACGGTGGCTCACGCCTGTAACCCCAGCACTTTGGGAGGCCGAGGCAGGCGGGTCACCTGAGATGGGGAGTTCGAGACAGACCAGCCTGACCAACAGGGAGAAACCCCGTCTCTACTAAAAAATACAAAATTAACCAGGCATGGTGGCGCATGCCTGTAATCCCAGCTACTCGGGAGGCTGAGGCAGGAGAATCGCTTGAACCCGGGAAGCGGAGGTTGCAGTGGGCCGAGATTGCGCCACTGCACTCCAGCCTGGGGCGAGAGAGCAAGACTCTGTCTCAAAAACAAACAAACAAAAAAAGAACCCCTAACCACAATGCAGGTTTGCCATGCAGACCCGTCTTCCTATCTTGGCTAATGACCAATCATGATGTGATAACATCGTGTTTAACCATATGAAATTGCCTTTCCTGTAGGTAAAAAATGGCCAAATATTGGCAATTATGTATGGTTCCACCAACTAGTAATAATGATAATAGTAACATTTATTGAGTGCTATGTTCTAGCACTTTCCATAAACTATCTCAATGACTCTCTACAACTGTCCTGTAATGTAGGGTCTCTTGGAGGTCTCCATTTTTAATTTTTTATTTATTTATTTATTTTCAGAAGGAATTTATTTATTTATTTTGAGAAGGAGCCTTGCTCTGTCACCCAGTCTGGAATGCAGTGGCGCGATCTCAGCTCACTGCAACCTCCGCCTCTCGGTTCAAGCGATTCTCCCACCTCAGCCTCCCGAGTAGCTGGGATTACAGGTGCCCGCCACCATGCCCAGCTAATTTTTGTATTTTTAGTAGAGATGGGGTTTCGCCATGGCCTCCCAAAGTGCTGGGATTACAGGTGTGAGACACCACCCCGGACTTCCATTTTTAATTTTTTATCTTTATTTTAGAGAAAGAGTCTTGTTCTGTCACCCAGGCTGGAGCAGAAGTAGCGCAATCATAGCTCACTGCGGTCTTGAACTCCTGGGCTCAAGCAATCCTCCCTTCTTAGCCTCCCAAGTAGTAGTACTACAGGCACATGCCACCATGCCCAGTTAGTCTTTTTTTGTCGAGACGGGGGTCTTGCTTTTGCCCAGGCTGGTCTCAAACTCTGGCCTCAAATGACTCTCCCACCTCTGCCTCCGCCTCCATCTCCTGAAGTGCTGGGATTATAGAGATCTCCATTTTACAGATGAGAAAGCTGAGGCTCAGAGCTGTAAAGTCAAGTGTCCGATGTACAGAGGCCAGGAGGGAACTTCAGGTCAGCCAGACTCTAATATCTGAACACCAAGCTATGTCCTGGGCTCCTTCCATCAAAACTGAGAAAAATCAAACTATCTGGTGCCTGGGGCAAAGAAGTCGGGAGAGTGAGAAGGGGTCCAGCCACAGTGCCATAAGCTTATGGCTGCAGCCCTGGATTTGTGCTTAGCCCTGGCCAAGCTGTTAATCCCTATGACCTTGGGCAGATGTCTTCACGTCTCTGAGTCTCAAAGTCCTCATCTGTACAATGGAATAAAAAGAGTCTGACATGGCCCGACTGATGCAAGGGTTTGATGTGTCAAGTCCGAGGACTGCCCCTCCTCGACTGGAGCAGCTGTGGCAACAGGTGGCCCCGAACCCGGGGCAGGGCCCCAGGAGCTGGGGAGCCAAGGCCAGTAGGCCACACTTGGGTGGTGTTGGAGCCTCACCTGGGGGGAGGCGGGGACCGGGGCTTACCTGTGGGGCGGAGATCGGGCTTCCCTGGGGGGTGGGGCCCTTCCCTGAGCGAGTGACGGGGGTGGGGAGGGATCCCCAGGTCGGGCCGTGGGGCGCAAACTCACCTGGCGGGCGGCCGCGGCGCCTCTGCCCGGGGGTCCCGGGGGTCCTTTCCTCTTGTGCATCTTCAAGGCTGGATGCCCGGACCACCTGCCCCCAAGCCCGGCCTTGCCCTGCCTCCTTCCCCGGGCTCTGTCGCCGCGCACTCGCCCTTCCTGAGTCCTGCACTCCTCGTCGGCGCCCCGCGGCCGTCGATCCCGAGCCCTCGCTTCCCTGCTTGGCCGTCCCACTTCCGCCTCGGGCCTCGGGCGCCGCCGCACCGGAGCGCGGCCACTGGGCTCGCCGGGTCTGCCGAGCCGAAACTACAACTCCCGGCAGGTAGTGCGTGGGCGCGCAGGCGCCTGGCTGGGGCGGTGCTGACTGTCGCGGGCTGCGAGGGCGGTGTTTGCGTCGCTCATGCGCGGGGCGGGACCTCGCGGGGCGCGGGAAAGAGGCAGAGCGCGCGCAGGTGTGAGGGGCGGCGACATCTGTGGGGTTCAGAGCGTCTGTCAGTCACCGACGGGCTCCGGCTTCACGTGGGCTCTCGGCCTGTGGAGTCCTCACTTCTCGGTGGTCGGCGTAGTGTCAGTGTGGGGCTTGTCACCGGGAGCGGGGTCTACAGCGCCCACCCTCAGGCCTTTCCATCTTTCACCTCCGGACTCGAGGCCTCCAGCGTTCTGTGAGGGCCAATTTGGCCATTTATTTTTTCCAAAAAGAGTAACGCGGATAATTCAAGCGACTTATTCCCAACTGATCCAGGCAGAGCTCGTTTCTGATAAGGACAGAGGGTCCTCAACGACTTCTGTGGCCCAGGTCCGTTCTGGTTTGCCTCGCCCCCAAGGCTGGGAGAAACCGGCCTATGGCAGCTCTTTCCCCTCCAAGGACCCAGCTGTCCCCTTTAAAGTGGCACGATCTTGGCTCATTGCAACCTCTGCCTCCTGGCCTTGTACCACAGCCTCCTGAGTAGCTGGGATTACGGGTGTGTGCCACCGCACCTGACTAATTTTTTTTTTTTTTTTTGAGACGGAGTCTCGCTCTGTCGCCCAGGCTGGAGTGCAGTAGAGCGATCTCGGCTCACTGCAACCTCTGCCTCATGGGTTCAAGGAATTCTACTGTCTCAGCCTCCCAAGTAGCTGGGATTACAGGTGTGCGTCACGATGCCCAGGCTAATTTTTGTGTTTTTAATAGAGAGGGGGTTTCACCATATTGGCCAGGCTGGTCTCCAGAGGCCCCTGGAGAGTCCTCAAGTGTCCTTGGAAGGGCCCCCAGATACCCCAGTCTGGAGGGAGGGGCTTCACACAGGCTGTTTCATCCTAGGGACCAGAGTCTGGGTCCCCGGGGCTATCTATAAGGACCCCCCAGGGCCCATTTGTCTTTCAGGTCCTGGGCATAAGATCTTCAGTTTGGAGGAGGTTTGAATTCCTACCTGGCCATGGCCCAAAGTGGCTGTGACTCTGTGTCCCATCCTGTGTCCCAGTGGGAGCCATCTGACCCCTGGGGCAGCCAAATGGGCTGAGGTGGAGGTAGGGGTAACCTCTGCTCTCAGCCAAAGCCACTGGATATAAACAGAGACAGAGACTGCTTATAATGATGAGAGATTTTGCTTGTTTTCAGATTTCTCAAGGGGAAGATAAAATGACTAAGAGGAAGAAGCTGCGGACCTCAGGTACGTTCATTCAAATGGACACTTGTTGATTTCTGCTTCTGCTTGTGGGAAGAATGTGGGCTTGTTTATTGCAGATCTGGCTAACACGACTGCCTTAACCTCCTTAAAAGGAAGCAAGGATTGGCCGGGTGCGGTGGCTCACACCTGTAATCTCAGCACTTTGGGAGGCCGAGGCGGGCAGATCACAAGGTCAGGAGTTCAAGACCAGCCTGACCAACATGGTGAAACCCCGTCTCTACTAAAAATACAAAAATTAGCCAGGTGTTGTGGCACATGCCTGTAGTCCCACCTACTCGGGAGACTGAGGCAGGAGAATCGTTTGAACCTGGGAGTCCGATGTTGCAGTGAGCCAAGATGGTGCCACTGCACTCTAGCCTGGGCAACAGAGCAAGACTCTGTCTCAAAAAAAAGAAAAAGACAAAAAGGATTTAATTCATGCTGGTAAGAAAAATAGAAGGCCGGTGTGGTGGCTCACGCCTGTAATCCTAGCACTTTGGGAGGCCGAGGTGGGCGGATCGCTTGAGTCCAGGAGTTCAAGACCAGCCTGGGCAACATAGCGAGATCCTGTCTCTACAATGTAAAGTAAGGAAATTAGCTGGGCGTGGTGGCAGGCACCTGTAGTCCCAGCTACTCAGGAGGTTGAGGCAGGAAGATTGCTTGAACTGGGAGGTGGAGGTTGCAGTGAATCCAGATCGTACCACTGCACTCCATCCTGACTGATAGATTGAGGCCCTGTCTCAAAAAAAAAAAGAAAGAAAGAAAAATAGAAATAACGGAGAGGGCATACAGGAAAAGTAAAAGTGAAAGTTTTCTGGAGCTTCTGCAAGCCTCTGGTGGGGTCCCACAGCTTAGAGGAGGCCTCCCCGGGCTTCAGGGCAGCGGGACAGCCTCCCTGCGGAACCAGTCCCAGAGATGACCCCTGGAATAATGCTTGATGTACTACAAGGCCACTCGGTATGTGGCTGAGTGTTTTACTCTGGGGCCCAAAACCTGGGTTCATCCCAGTTCTGCTCAGTGTGTGGTGGTGGATGATTTCCTCTGTGCCACAGTTTCCCCTTTTGTAAATTGGGGATAATAAAAGCCACTACCCTTTCCTTTAGAGCAGTGTTTCTCAACTAGGTGAGAGGAAGGGATTTTGACCTCCAGAGACAGCTGGCAATGTTTGGAGACTTTATTTTTTTTTTTTTTGGAGACCAAGTCTGACTCTGTCGTCCAGGCTGGAGTGCAGTAGCAAGATCTTGGCTCACTGCAGCCTCCACCTCCTGGGTTCAAGCGATTCTGCAGCCTCAGCCTCCTAAGTAGCTGGGACTACAGATGTGCACCACCACGCCCGCCTAATTTTTGTATTTTTAGTAGGGATAGGGTTTCACAATGTTGGCCAGGCTGGTCTCAAACTCCTGACCTCAGGTGATCTGCCTGCCTCAGCCTCCCAAAGTGCTGGGATTACAGGTGGGAGCCACCGTGCCCGGCCTAGAGACTTTTTTTGGTTTTCATAACTGGGGAAATTATACTGACATCTAGTGGGTGGAGGCCAGGGATGCTGCTCAAATATCCTACCATGCATAGGATGCCCCCCAGCCACAGAGAATGATCCAGCCCCAAATGTCCTCCAAGGTGAAGAATCCTGCCCTTAGAGCTCACATGTGGATTAGTATCTGTAAAGCACCCAGAACTGACCTAAGGTAGTACACAAATGTACACTGCTGTTAACAATTCTTCTTCCAGACTTTTAAGAAAACTTTTATTTTGAAGTAATCTGGGACTTAAAGAAAAGTTGCAAAAATAATTCAGAGAGTTCTAGCTACCCTTCTCCAAGCTTTCCCTAATGTTGACATCTAGCATAGCCATAGGACAGTGATCAACTGTAGAACAGCATGAAAAACAGGACAGGACTCTAACCTCGGTACACTGCTTCTAGACTTTTTTTTTTTTTTTTGAGACGGAGTTTCGCTCTTGTTGCCCAGGCTGGAGTGCAGTGGCGCGATCTCGGCTTACTGCAACCTCCACCTCCCAAGTTCAGGCGATTCTCCTGCCTCAGCCTCCCAAGTAGCTGGGATTACAGGCACCCACCACCATGCTGAGCTAATTTTTGTATTTTTTTAGTAGAGTCAGGGTTTGGTCAGGCTGGTCTTGAACTCCCAACCTCAGGTGATCTGCCCGTCTTGGTGTCCCAAAGTGCTGGGGATACAGGAGTAGGCCACCGCGCCCAGCCCAGACTTTTTTGTTTTTGTTTTTGAGACAGAGTCTTGATCTTGTTGCCCAGGCTGGCGCGATCTCGGCTCACCGCAACCTCTGCCTCCTAGATTCAAGCAATTCTCCTGCCTCAGCCTCCCAAGTAACTGAGATTACAGGCATATGCCACCATGCCCAGCTAATTTTTTTGTATTTTTAGTAGAGATGGGGTTTCTCCATGTTGGTCAGGCTGGTCTCGAACTCCCAACCTCAGGTGATCCGCCCATCTCGGCCTCCCAAAGTGCTGGGATTACAGGCATGAGCCAGCGCGCCCAGCTCAGACTTTTTTTTAAGATGATGTCTCACTCTGTTGCCCAGACTGGAGTGCAGTGGCACGATCTTGACTCACTGCAGCCTCCGCCTCCTGGTTTCAAGCGATTCTCTTGCATCAGCCTCCTGAGTAGCTGGGATTACAGGTGTCTGCCACCACGCTCAGATAATTTTTGTATTTGTAGTAGAGATGGGGTTTCACCATGTTGCCCAGGCTGATCTTGAACTCCTGGCCTCACATGATCTGCCCGCCTCAGCCAAAGTGCTGGGATTACTGGAGTGAGCCACCATACCCAGCTTTTTTTTTTTTCTTTTTTTCGAGACAGAGTCTTGCTTTGTCGCCCAGGCTGGAGAGCAGTGGCACAATCATAGCTCGCTGCAGCCTCGACCTCCCCAGGCTCAGGTGATCTTCCCACCTCAGCCTCCGGAATAGCTGGGACTACAGGTGTGTGCCACCATGACTGGCTAATTTTTGTATTTTTTGGAAGAGACGAGGCCTCACTATGTTGCCCAGGCTGGTCTTGAACTTCTGGGCTCCAGCAGTCCACCTGCCTTGGCCTCCCAATGTGCTCAGAATTACAGGCATGAGCCACCATGCCTGGTCAGACTTTTTCTGTATATATACAGATACAGTGTTGAGCTTTTTTCTTTTTTTTTTTTTTGGAGACAGTCTCACTCTGTCACCCAGGCTGGAGTGCAGTGGCACGATTTTGGTTCACTGTAACCTCTGCCTCCTGGGTTCAAGTGATGCTCATGCCTCAGCCTCCTGAGTAGCTGGGATTACAGGTACCTGCCACCATGCCTGGCAAATTTTTGCATTTTTAGTAGAGACGGGGTTTCACCATGTTGGCTAGGCTGCTCTCTAACTCCTGACTTCAAGTTATCCGCCTGCCTCAGCCTCCCAAAGATTACAGGCATGAGCCACCGTGCCTGGCCCAGATAAAATGTTTTTATTGGAAAATCGAATCATCACACTTACTGATCTGCAACCTCCATTTTTCACTTTGTGGTAGATCATGACCATGTTTACTTGTCAACATACCTATACAATTTCATCATTTGAAAAGAAAAACACCCCAAAATAGCCAGGCTTGGTGGTACGCACCTGTACTCCAGGCTACTTGGGAGGCCGAGGTGAAAGGATTGCCTGAGACCAGGAGTTCATGACCAGCCTGAGCAACATAATGTTACCCAGTCTCTAAAAAAAAAAAAAAATTTTAATTAACCAGTGTGGTGGTGCCTACCTGTAGTCCTGGCTACTTGGGAGATTGAGGCAGGAGGATGGCTTGAGCTGAGGAGTTCCAGGCTGCAGTGAGCTATGATTGCGCCTGCACTCCAGCCTGGGCCACAGAACAAAACCCTGTCTCTTAGAAAAAAAGAAAGATTGTTGGGCACGATGGCTCATGCCTGTAATCTGAGCACTTTGGGAGGCCGAGGCAGGTGGATGGATCATTTGAGGTCAGGGTTCGAGACCAACCTGGTCAACATGGTGAAACCCCATCTGTACTAAAAACACAAAAATTAGCCGGGCATGGTGGCATGTGTCTGTAATCCCAGCTACTTGGGAGGCTGAGACACGAGACTCGCTTGAGCCCAGGAGAGCTGAGATTGCACCACTGCACTCCAGCCTGGGCGACAGAGTGAGACTCTGTCTAAAAAAAAAAAGGAACAAACCAAGTCAGAAAGACAAACTCCCAATATGATGTAGTAGAGTTCCATTTGCCTATCATTTTCTAAAGTAAGTTAAATTTCTTCAAAATTTTGAAATGACTTTTTAATTTAGTGGCTGATGAATTTAGGGAATGGTGTGCATGTTTTTTCCCCCAAGATATGGGACAGGAGAGGAAATGATCAGCAGATTGAACATGTTTTGTGCAGAGATGAGCAACAGGCTGCTTGGAGGCATCAGAATTTCTCTGACCTTGGAGGGGGAAGCTGGGGACAGCCAGGTCCACCCACAGCAGGTCACTTGGGGCCTCTGTTGGCGGTAGACTCCCCAGCTCAGTGGACCTCTGGGCTGGCCCTGGACAACCCTTTCTGTGTGTGCTGGAAGGGTGGAGAGAGAGGAAGAAAATTCTGGCAGGTGGTGAAAGAGGCCTTTTCCCTCCCAATGTCTTTAGTCTTTGGTGTCGAACACAAGGTTCTGCCTTATTTTTTCTTAAATTAGTCCCATGTGGACAGATCACAGGAAGGAAAGAGAAGACTCTTCAATGCCATTGATATTTTTTTGCTTTTTATTTGGTACAAATGGCCATTCAGTCAGCCAAGTGAGCAAGTGTTTGAGAATCTCAAGAAACCAAATAAACAAAGCAGCTATATTTTGTCTTTTCTGGCAGACCACAAGGTCGTGTTTCTTTTGAGACAGAGTCTTGCTCTGTCACCCAGGCTGGAGTGCAGTGGTGCAGTCTTGGCTTACTGCAACCTCCGCCGCCTGGGTTCAAGTGATTCTCCTGCCTCAGCCTCCTGATTAGCTGGGACTACAGGTGCCCACCACCACACCTGGCTAATTTTTTGTATTTGTAGTAGAGACAGGGTTTCACCATGTTGGCCAGGCTGGTCTTGAACTCCTGACCTCAAGCAATCTGCCCACCTCACCCTCTCAACGTGGTGAGATTACAGGCATGAGCCACTGCACCCGGACGGTTAGGAATGTGTTTCTATAAGCAATGTCCATCGGAGCTTTACTTGTGGTGGTACATCCTTTGAGGTGGGCACCTGATGGGGCAGGGCAGGGCGAAGGGGAGATCAAAGGGTGCATTGCACTCAGTTCCTGCCCTGGAGATCCTCCAGCTGTAGTCAGAGGACAAAGGAAAATGCTTCTCTCAGCGAGAGCTAAGCAAATACACAGCAGTGGGATAAAGTTCTAAACGGGCACTCCCGAACTGTAACTGACAGAATTACAAGCAACTTACCGTGCGCCATGGCTCACACCTGCATTCCCAGCACTTTGGGAGGCCAAGGCAGACAGATCACTTGAGATCAGGAGTTCAAAACCAGTGTGGCCAACGTGGTGAAAACCCGTCTCTACTGAAAATACAAAAAAATTAACCAGGCATGGTGGCTTGCACCTGTAGTCGCAGCCAATCAGGAGGCTGAGGCAGGAGAATTGCTTGAACCCAGGAGGCAGAGGTTACAGTGAGCTGAGATCATGCCACTGTACTCTAGCCTGGGCAACAGAGCGAGAGTCCATCTCAAAAAAAAAAAAAAAGAAGAAGAAGAAGAATTAGAAGCAATTACAGGAAGATTGCTGTGGTTTAGTGGAGGGCAAACAGCTGAATGGGGACTGATGCAGACCCTAGCAATTGGCGTCGAGGAAAGAGAGACTCATTCAGTAGGTTTACTTCACGATGTGTAAGTGTGTAATGTAGAGCTGAGGTTGGAAAGAGTCCATCTGGGGTTTGGATAGTGTTATTCTTTTTTTTTTTTTTTTTTTTTTGAGATGGAGTTTCACTCTTGTTGCCCAGGCTGGAGTGCAATGACGCGATATCGGCTCACTGCAACCTCCGCCTCCCGGGTTCAAGCGATTCTCCTGCCTCAGCCTCCTGAGTAGCTGAGATTACAGGCATGAGCCACCATGCCCGGCTAATTTTGTATTTTTAGTAGAGACAGGGTTTCTCCATGTTGGTCAGGCTGGTCTTAAACTCCCGACCTCAGGGGATCCGCCCGCCTCAGCCTCCCAAAGTGCTGGGATTACAGGCATGAACCACTGCGCCTGGTCCTGGATAGTGTTATTCTTTAGTGTTTTTTTTAGAGATAGGATCTAGCTCTGTTGCTGAGGCCAGAGTGCAGTGGCACAATCACGGCTTGCTGCAGCTTCAACCTCCAGGGCTCAAGCAATCCTCCTGCCTCAGCCTCCTGAGTAGCTGAGACTACAGGTGCATGCCACCACCCTCAGCTAATTTTTAAATGTTTTATAGAGGTGGGATCTCACTGTGTTACCCAAGTGAGATCCTGGACTCAAGTGATCCTACCCCCTCAGCCTCCTGAGTAGCTGGGACTGCAGGTGTGCACCACCACACCTGGCTGTTGGTTTGTCTTTTTGTTCTGCCTGCCTTGGCAGAAATCTACTACATAGTAGGCATTCAGTAAATGCTCAAGTATTCTTAAGTGTGCTGGTTCTGGAGTTGGACGGGGTGCCAGCCTTGGTTCCTGGGCCTCTGTGTGCCTTAACGTTTTCACCTCTCTGGGAACTTGGGGCCCTTGGGTGTCAATTCTCGCATCTTTCCTTTCCTTTTAATTTAATTTAATTATTTATTTTTTTGAGATGGAATCTCACTCCCTTGCCCAGGCTGGAGTGCAGTGGCGCCATCTTGGCTCATTGCAACCTCAGCCCCCCGGATTCAAGCGATTCTCCTGCCTCAGCCTCCCAAGTAGCTGGGATTACAGGTGCCCACCACCATGCCCAGCTAACTTTTGCATTTTTAGTAGAGATGGGGTTTTGCCATATTGCCCTTTTATTTATTTATTTTAATTTAAATGTTTAATTTAAATGTTTTTTTGAGACAGGCTCTAGTTCTGTTGCCCAGGCTGGAGTGCAGTGGCACAGTCTGGACTCATTGCAATCTCTTCCTCTGGGCTCAAGTCATCCTCCCCCTTCAGCCTCCCAAGTATGTGGGACTGCAGGCATGCACCACCATGTTTGGCTAATTTTCGTACTTTTTAGACAGGGTTTCGCCATGTTGCCCAGGCTGGTCTTGAACTGCTGAGCTTAAGCAATCCACCTGCCTCGGCCTCCCAAAGTCCTGGGATTACAGGCTGGCATCTTTCCTTGCTGGTGGCAAAGGCCAATATTTTAATCATGGACAAAGATAATATTGAATTGCTCAAGGTACTTCTGTAAGGCAGGCATAACAGCAGCACCCTGCCTTGAGCTTTTATCTTAACACACACAAGTTCTTAGGACAGCATCTGGTGTGGAACTCACTAGAGTCAACCCTTATCATTTGTTCACTGAATGCATGATTAGGTTGGGGCCAGGCTTGGGGAAGTCTTACAAGCCAGCCACTATTGAAAGTTTTGATGTGGCTGGGCACGGTGGCTCATGTCTGTAATCCCAGCACTTTGGGAGGCCGAGGCGGGCGGATCATGAGGTCAAGAGATCGAGACCATCCTGGCCAACATGGTGAAACCCTGTCTCTACTAAAAATACAAAAATTAGCTGGGTGTGGTGGTGCGTGCCTGTGGTCTCAGCTACTCAGGAGGCTGAGGCAGGAGAATCACTTGAACCCGGGAGGCAGAGGTTGCGGTGAGCAGAGATCGTGCCATTGCACTCCAGCCTGGTGACAGAGCGAGACTCTGTCTCAAAAAAAAAAAAAAAAAGTTTCGATGTAAGGGAGTTTTCTTAATTCAAAAGATAGATTCTGGCGAGGCAAAGTGGTTCATGCCTGTAATTCCAGCACTTTGGGAGGCCGAGACAAGAGGATCACTTGAGCGCCAGAGTTCACGACCAGCCTGGGCAACATATGAGACCCTGTCTCAACAAAACAAAAGCAAAAGAAAACTTAGCCAGGCATGGTGGCACACACCTTTTGTCCCAGCTACTTGAGTGGCCTGAGGTGGGAGGATGGCTTGAGCCTATGAGGTCAAGACTGCAGTGATCCACAGTTGCACCACCTCACTCTAGCCTGGGAGACAAAGCCAGACCCTGTCTTAAAAAAAGAAAAAATATATATATAGTATATATAATACATAAATACATATATGTAAATACGTATGTATAAATACATATGTATGTATAAATACATATGTATAAATATATATATTTACATATTTGGCTGAGGCTGAATCCTGAGGTGGCGTGGCCTGGCTTTAGATCACATGGAACAACCTGGCAATATAATGGGATATATAATATATATAGTATATATTTAATAAATATATATCATATATAAATATATAATATAATACAAGGATATAATGTTTATAATATATTAATATATCATAAATATATAATTTAAATAATATATTTTATAATTATAAATATGCAATATGTAAATACATTATAATTATATATTTTATATGTATGTATATATTAAATATGAATATGTATGTATTTTATATATGATATATAATATATATTAATTTTTTTTTGAGACAGAGTCTCGCTCTGTCAACCAGGCTGGAGTGCAGTAGCGCAATCTCAGCTCACTGCAACTTCCGCCTACCAGGTTCAAGCGATTCTCCTGCCTCAGCCTCCCAAGTAGCTGGGACTATAGGTGGGTGCCACCATGCCCGGCTAATTTTTGTATTTTCAGTAGAGACGGGGTTTTGCCATGTTGGCCAGGCTGGTCTTGAACTCCTGACCTTAGGTGATCCACCCGCCTCGGCCTCCCAAAGTGCTGGGATTATAGGCGTGAGCCACTGCGCTATATATACAAAGATGTCAATAAGCATCTTTAGCCTCTTAAATGCCAGAAGAAGACACATCGCAATTGCTTTCAGTGATGGGGAAGTTAGTGCAGAAATGCAAGGGGCCAGGACGTGGCCAAAGCATCACCTCTTCAGCACCCGGTGGCTGTGAGTCCCAGTTTTCCCAGGATGGCTATTTTGCAGATGTCTCAGCACATTAGAATGGTACATAATTTAGTCTTGTCTGCCCTTGGTGGTGTGCATTTATCCAGTCATGGATAATTTATTTATTGAGCACCAACAGTGTACAAGATGCTCTTACAGGCACTTGGGACCCCGCAGAGAGTGAAATGGATTCGGCCCCTTCTCGCGTGCAGCCTGGTTGTAGTGGGGGAGACCTGAGTTGTCAGCCATGAGCAGTGGCTGTATCCCCCACCCCTTCATCTTCCTCTGTCTCTAAAACAGGAGAGGGACTCTGTCCTCCAAAACCCCTAAAGAACCCAAGGCTAGGAGACTTCTATGGGGACCCCCAGAGTTCCATGTTGGGCTGTTTACATCACCCTGAGGAGCCAGAGGGCAAATTGGGACCTGTTCCCTCTACACAGCAGCACGGGGAGGAACCAGGAAAGGCCGTCTCCAGGTAGGTGGCTCTGAACATTCCGGCAGGTCTCCCCACTGACAGTCCACATAGCACAGCAGCTCAGCAGACAGCAATGCTTTGGGAAAGAGACCCACAACCTATCTAGTGCTGTGACCCACTCCCTCCCAGAGCTCAGGGCCCTCGGATCTCGCTTCTCCTAGCTTTCCTCGCTGGTAAGAAGGGTTGATGTTTTAGCCGGGCATGGTGGCTAATGCCTGTAATCCCAACACTTTGGGAGGCCGAGGGGGGAAGATCACTTGAGGTCACGAGTTTGAGACAAGACTGGCCAACACTGCAAAACCCCGTCTCTACTAAAAATACAAAAATTAGCTGGGTGTGGTGGCGCACCTGTAATCCCAGATACTCAGGAGGCTAAGGCAGGAGAATCGACTGAACCCAGGAGGCAGAGGTTGCAGTAAGCTGAGATCATGCCACTACGCTCCAGCCTGGGCAACAGCGAGACTCCATCTAAAAAAAGAAAAAAAAGTTTTAACTGTGGGCAAAGATAACATTGCATTTTTCAGGGTTACAGAACTCATATTCTGTCTGCTGGTCAAACCCATCCTTCTTCCACATTCCTCCTCTTCCTTAATCAAGAAGGGAACAAAGGAATTGTTGTTATGTGAGCTAACGACCAATAAAAAAAGAAAAGCAATCAGGGCTGAGTGCAGTGGCTCATGCCTATAATCCCAGCACACTGGGAGGCTGAGGCAAGAGGATCGCTTGAGCCCAGGAGTTCAAGAGGAGCCTGTGTAACATAACAAGGATGACCCCATATCTACAAGAAATAAAATAATTAGCCAAAACAAAACGATATACATATCCTTATTTATTTATTTATTTATTTGAGACAGGGTCTTTCTCTGTCACCCAGGCTGGAGTGCAGTGGCACAATCTCGGCTCACTGCAACCTCCACCTCCCGGGTTCAAGCGATTCTCCTGCCTCAGCCTCCTGAGTAGCTGGGATGAAAGGCGCCCGCCACCACACCCAACTAATTTTTGTATTTTTAGTAGAGACGGGGTTTCACCATGTTGGCCAGGCTGGTCTCGAACTCCTGACTTAAGGTGATCCGCCCGCCTCGGCCTCCCAAAGTGCTGGGATTACAGGCGTGAGCCACCACGCCTGGCCCTTATTTATTTAAATATAACCCTAAGTTTCACTAGTTTTTAAAGACACTATGTTTCTTGCATCCACAATTTCCTTTCCCTAGAATGTGCCGTGTCAGGGCTGGAGTGTCCGTCCAAATGAGAATATCCCTATTCCCAGTTCAGAAGGCAATTCCTGGGATTATAAATGTAACAAAGTCACCTGTTAAGGCAGTGTATTCTCCAGGTGGGACTCTGCACCCTCCTTGACAGTTAAATGTTCTCAGGTCACTGCTTCTCCATCCCCATCCCACTCTTTCAAAGCAGGTTTTCCAGGGCCTTCCATCTAGCAGACATTTTTTTTTTTTTGAGATAGGGTCTTGCTCTGTCACCCAGGCTGGAGTGCAGTGGCGTGATCATAGCTCATTGCAGCCTGAACTCCCCTGGCTCAGATGATCGTGACATTTCAGCCTCTCAAGTAGCTGGGGCCACAGGCACACATCACCACGTCCAGCTAATTTTTAAATTTTTTGTAGAAAAGGGGTCTCACTATGTTGCTCAGGCTGGTCTCAAACTCCTGGGCATCCACCCACCTCAGCTTCCCACAGTGCTGGGATTAAAGGGATGAGCCACCACGCCCAGCCTAGGAGACTCTTAGCACTGGTTTCCTGTTGGATTTTGTTTTGCGTTTGTCTCGATAGGTGAGTGACAACCTAGGAGGATTTCAGATCCCCCTCGTTTGTTTGTTTTTGACACAGAACCTTGTTCTCTCACCTAGGCTGGAATGCAGTAGCACAATCTTGGCTCACTGCAAACACCATCTCCTGAGTTCAAGCCATTCTGCCTCAGCCTCCCAAGTAGCTGGGATTACAGGCGTGCGCCACCACATCCAGCTAATTTTTGTATTTTTAGTAGAGATACGGTTTCACCATGTTCCCCAGGTTGGTCTCGAACTCCTGGCCTCGGTGATCTGCCCGCCTCAGCCGCCCAAAGTGCTGCAATTACAGGTGTGAGCCACCGCACCCGGGCAGATCTCCTTCAGTTTTATCTTTTCCTACATAGCTCCCCTGATGAGGAAACAGGATCTCCCTGCCGGCTCCTCCGTCAACCAGAAAAGGAGCCAGCTCCCCTTCCTCCTTCCCAGGTGAGCTCGTCCTGTGGCCTCGTGGATATAGAAGCACCACTGCCTCCCTTAAAGTTCCGGCTCTGTGTCTCCCTTCTTTGTCACCAATTGCTCACTCATGGTCTACAGGGGCTGGAGGGAATGTGCCCAGAGGGCAAGGGTGGAGTTCTCTCAAGGCTACAAGAAAGGAGCAGGTTTGGGGTTGCTTTTTTCCTAAGACCTCATTCCTCTCTTATCTTTATTGCTGCTTTGTTCTTGTATCCGGTTTACAGAACTCATTCGGGAGGTTTGTTCCCCAGTTTGCAAAATCCAGGAAGACAGTGACAAGAAAAGAAGAGATGAAGGATGAGGACCGTGGGAGTGGGGCCTTTAGCCTGGTAAGGCTCTAAAATCAGCCAGGCTGAGCCCAGCGCAGGTGCAGCCTCCTGGCCCAGCCTCGGCAGCCCCATTTAACCCTGGAGTTCTTTGGCAATGGTGAGGCCTGCACCTCTCCACCCACCGTTTTCAGTACATTGCGCTATGGATGTGTGTTGACTATGCAACAATTCTTTATTTTATTTTTTTTCTTTTTTTTGAGACAGAGTTTCACTCTTGTCACCCAGGCTGGAGTGCGATGGTGCCATCTTGGCACACTGCAACCTCTGCCCCACTGGGTTCAAGCAATTCTCCCGCCTCAGCCTCCCAAGTAGCTGGGATAACAGACGCCTGCCCACCGCGCCCAGCTAATTTTTGTATTTTTAGTAGAGACGGGGTTTTACCATGTTGGCCAGCCTGGTCTTGAACTCCTGACCTCAGGTGATCTGCCCGCCTCAGCCACCCAAAGTGCTGGGATTACAGGCATGAGCCACTGCGCACGGCCTTAGCACAATTTTTAAAAAAACACAAAATGGTACAGAGTGAATTTCCGGTGTTCTCTGTTTTAGCTTCACCGAGTGGTAACACCATGCATAACTATAGTCCATCACCAAAACTAGGCAATTGGCCAGGTGCAGTGGCTCATGCCTATGATCCCAACACTTTGGGAGACTTCCCTTGACCAGCCTGGGCAACATGGCAAGACTCTGTCTCTACAATAATTTTTTTTTTTTTTTGAGATGGAGTCTTGCTTATCGCCCAGGTTGGAGTGCAGTGGTGTGATCTCGGCTCACTGCAGCCTCCACCTCCTGGGTTCAAGTGATTTTCCTGCCTCAGCCTCCCCAGTAGCTGGGACTACAGGTGCACACCACCACACCTGGCTTATTTTTGTATTTTTATTAGAATAGGGGTTTCACCCTGTTGGCCAGGCTGGTCTCGAACTCCCAACTTCAAATGATCCGCCTGCCTCGGCCTCTCAAAGTGCTGGGATTACAGGCATGAGCCACTGCGTCCAGGCTACAATAATTGTTTTAAAACTTGGCCAGGTGCAGTGGCTCCCACCTGTAATCCCAGCACTTTGGGAGGCCGAGGCAGGAGGATCACTTGAGCCCAGGCATTCAAGACCAGCCTGGGCAACATGGCACAACGCCATCTCTACCAAAAAAACCACAAAATTTAGCCAGTTGTGGTGTGTACCTGTAGTCCCAGCTACTTAGGAGGCTGAGGTGGGAGGGTCGTCTGAATCTAGGAAGGTCAAAACTACAGTGAGCCGTGATCACACCACTGCACTCCAGCCTGGACGAAAGAGTGAGACCCTGTCTCAAAATTATGAAAAATAAATAATAAAAATAATAATAGCCGCTGGGCGCAGTGGCTCATGCCTTTAATCCCAGCACTTTGGGAGGCCGAGATGGGCAGATCACCTGAGGTCTGTAGTTTGAGACCAGCCTGGTCAACATGGAGAAACTCTGTCTCTACTAAGTATACAAAATTAGCCGGGCATGGTGGCGCGAGCCTGTAATCCCAGCTACTCGGGAGGCTGAGGCAGGAGAATTGCGTGAACCCGGGAGGTGGGGGTTGCAGTGAGCCAAGATCGCACCATTGCACTCCAGCCTGGGCAACAAGAGTGAAACTCTGTCTAATAATAATAATAATAATAATAATAATAATAAACAGGAAATTGACATTGGTGTGGTCTGAATGCCACCTTGATTTTCATATCCCTGATCTGATTGAGTACCTGGTGCTGGTGGAGAGAAGAGCTTGGTGGAAGGAGAGGTTTCTGTGCTTCCAGATCCCCCTCCAGTCGCCGGCCCTGGTACTGATGCCTATTTCCATGCATGATGGCCGGTGCCAATATCTGAGTCTTTGAACAGGGTGGTGACAACTATTAGATTGGTGCAAAAGTAAGTGCAGTTTTTGCCACTAATTTTTTTGTGTGTATGAGACAGAGTCTTACTCTGTCGTCCAGGCTGGAGTGCAGTCCTATCTCGGCTCACTGCAACCTCCGCCTCCCGGGTTCAAACAATTCTCCTGCCTCAGCCTCCTGAGTAGTTGGGACTACAGTCAACTGCCACCATGCCTGGCTAATTTTTGTATTTGTTGAGTAGAGATGGGGTTTCACCATTTTGGCCAGGCTGATCTTGAACTCCTGACCTCAAGTGATCCGCCCACCTCGGCCTCCCAAAGTGCTGGGATTACAGGCATGAGCCATCACGCCTGGCCAATTTTTGCCATTAAAAGTAATGACAAAACCCGCAATTACTTTTACACCAACCTAATAGAAAACTCTTCGGAGAACTTGGTTATCAAAGGCCCCGGGGCTGAGTCTTTTTCTGTCCACAGGAAACAATCGCAGAGTCCAGCGCCCAGAGTCCAGGATGCCAGCTGCTAGTGGAGACCCTGGGGGTCCCCCTCCAGGAGGCCACGGAGCTGGGGGACCCAACGCAGGCAGACAGTGCCCGCCCTGAGCAGAGCAGCCAGAGCCCTGTGCAGGCGGTGCCCGGCAGTGGGGATTCTCAGCCTGATGACCCTCCAGACAGGGGGACGGGGTTGTCCGCCTCACAGAGGGCCAGCCAAGACCACCTGTCAGAACAAGGGGCCGATGACAGCAAGCCTGAGACAGACAGGGTTCCAGGTGACGGTGGCCAAAAGGAACACCTACCAAGCATTGATTCTGAAGGGGAGAAGCCAGACAGAGGAGCCCCCCAGGAGGGAGGGGCCCAAAGGACAGCAGGGGCTGGCCTGCCTGGAGGGCCCCAGGAGGAGGGAGACGGTGTCCCCTGTACCCCAGCATCAGCTCCTACCTCAGGCCCTGCTCCAGGACTGGGCCCTGCCTCTTGGTGCCTGGAACCCGGGTCTGTGGCCCAGGGCTCCCCTGACCCCCAGCAGACCCCCAGCAGGATGGGTAGGGAAGGGGAAGGGACTCATAGCAGCCTGGGATGCTCCTCCCTCGGGATGGTTGTCATCGCAGACCTGAGCACAGACCCCACTGAGCTGGAAGAGAGGGCTCTGGAGGTGGCTGGGCCCGATGGGCAGGCCAGTGCCATATCACCTGCCTCTCCCAGGAGGAAGGCCGCTGATGGAGGCCACAGGAGGGCCTTGCCAGGCTGCACCTCGCTCACTGGGGAAACCACAGGAGAAAGTGGGGAGGCAGGGCAGGATGGCAAGCCCCCCGGCGATGTCCTAGTGGGCCCTACAGCCTCCCTGGCTCTGGCACCTGGGAGCGGAGAGTCCATGATGGGTGCTGGAGATTCCGGTCATGCATCCCCGGACACAGGTCCATGTGTCAATCAGAAGCAGGAGCCAGGTCCTGCTCAAGAGGAAGCCGAGTTAGGTGGCCAGAACCTCGAACGAGACCTCGAGGGGTTCCGTGTGTCCCCGCAAGCCTCTGTTGTGCTGGAACACAGAGAAATAGCAGACGACCCTCTCCAGGAGCCCGGGGCTCAGCAGGGCATTCCAGACACCACCTCAGAGCTGGCAGGGCAGCGAGACCACCTGCCTCATTCTGCAGACCAGGGCACCTGGGCAGACTCTTTAGCTGTGGAACTCGACTTCCTGCTGGACAGCCAGATACAGGATGCCCTGGACGCCTCTGACTTCGAAGCCCCACCTGAGCAGGTGAGAGCTGCCCTGAGTGACAGACATACCTGCCCAGGGCAGGCACCCAACCTCCACAAGCCCCCTCCTCACTCGGTGCAGTGGCAGAGGGGGAGCTGGGGCTCAGGGCTTACCATTTACACAGCCAACGACTATAGGAGTCCGAGTTGCAGCTCTACTGGGTGTGGAGTCGGTGGTTTTCCAGAAAGTGTAGACCTGCCTTTTGGTGGTTGTCGACATATCTAGGGATGGTGACACACAGCTGCTTTCTCAGCCGGGCCCCCCACATTGAACTGGAGTCCCCAGGAGTGCCAGCCCCTGGCAGCTTCTGCTTCAGTGCCTGACCCTGGCCGTGGGGTCCCAGGGGATGTATTGAGGCGGGTAGACACAGATGGAGAGAAGCTGGGCCTGGGGATGGCTTTATACCTGGGCCTGGGGAGGGGGCTTCACTCCCAAGCTGCAAAAGAGCCTTTGCCCATCTCCTTAGGGTCCTCTGGGGGTCCTGATATGATTCTTTTCCAAACATACATAAGTCATTTTGTTTTTCTGCCAGAACGTGTAAGGGCTTTGCCTCCTTCAGGGATCTGCCCGCCCCACCGGCTGCCCGGATGTGGCCTCCTCTGGCTCCAGAGCCGGTGCCAGCCGTTGGCGTTCATTCTCCTGTCTGGGCAGATGGCAGCCTTGCTTCAGCCCTGCCCCCCAGGGAAAGAGCGACCTCCCTAGCCGTTGGCACACCTGAGCCTGGGCTGAGGGCATCACAGTCACGCCCAGGGAGGTAGGCAGTTCTCTGTCCACACACTGGGTGTGGCAGTGAAGACTCTGGAGGAGTTCGTGCGCCTGCTAGAGGTGAGGCAGGTGGGAGGGGAGGAGGCCAGGCTGGCACCCAGGTCATGCCCCAGCCGCCGCGTCCTGGAACGCAGAGTCCAATTTGCTTTTCAAATGTCAGCCTCTGTTTCTTTGGCTGTCCCTGTGTTGAGATGTTAAAAAAAAAAAAAAAAATTCATGGCCAGGCACAGTGGCTCCCACCTGTAATCTCAGGACTTTGGGAGACCGAGGCAGGAGAGCAGGACCAGCCTGGCCAACATGGTGAAGCCCCATCTCTACCAAAATACAAAAATTAGCTGGGCATGGTGGCGTGTGCCTCTAATCCCAGCTACTCCGGAGGCTGAGGCAGAAGAATCACTTGAACCTGGGAGACTGAGGTTGCAGTGAGCCAAGATCGCGCCACTGCACTCCAGCCTGGGCAAGAGAGCAAGACTCTCTCAAGAAAAGAAAAAATTAGCCAGGCATGGGGATGCATGGCTGCAGTCCCAGCTACTTGGGAGGCTGAGGCAGGAGAATCACTTGAGCCCAGGAGTTTGAGGTTGCAGTGAGCCGAGATTACACCACTGCACTCCAGCCTGGGTGCTGAACTCCCTGTCTCAAAAAAAAAAAAAAAGTGAGTCACAGTGTGGTTCAGTGGTAGAGGCTGAACACGAGCATGTGGGAAAGGCAGGAGTTCTGGTGCTGGGCACAGCTGAAATTTTATGAGAGCTTCATGCCTTGCAAAATGCAAATCCCTCGCTTGAGAGAAGAGCCGCCTCCATTGCCTCCAGTCTGTGGTCTCGTGAGTGGTGGCTTGGAGAGAAGGCTGGGAAATGGTTAAGGTGTTTGGGGCCAGGTGTGCCTAGGTGGCATCCAGCAGGTGAAGCCCCTAGCCCTCCTAAACGGGCTGCCAAACTGCAAGCTTGGAAAAAGACCCTGAAATCCAGACTTGGGGGGATCCAGACAGACAGCCAGGCTGGTCAAACCCGACCAGCATTAGCAGCCTTTCCCCAGCCAGGGGAGGAGGCACCGCCCTGACAGCACTGCCAGGGCCTGGGCGTGTTTGGCTTTGACACGAGGCGTTCCCCAGCAAGTTGAGGCGACCCAGGCAAGGAACACATTCCCGTGGGAAGGTTCCGGGTGGCTCCCGGCAGGAAGGCCGAGGCCCGTGTCTCCCAACATGGGCAGGGGCACGGGGAACAGCAAAGATGGATCGAGCGGGCCGTCTCAGCACCTCCTCCTGACCTCACTGTGGCCACACACTGTGCTAGAGGAGGGGACTCAGAGGTGACACAGCAGAGACAGAGCTTTCAAACCTCAAACCAAGGTCTCGTCATGGGAGGGTTTGGTGTTACTTTCTCATAGATCCTTTGCACTCACTCTTGGACTGATGGAGCTTCTGCAATCTGCATATGGAGTCATTTAATTTAAATTTTAGAGACAGGGCCTTGCTCTGTCGCCCAGGCTGGAGTGCAGTGGCACAATCACAGCTCACTGCAGCCTCAACCTCCCGGGCTCAAGCAGTTGATCCTCCTGCCTCAGCCTCCCAAGTAGCTAGGACCACAGGTGCGTGCCACCATGCCCAGCTAATTTTTTTTTTTTTTTTTTGTACAGACAGGGTCTCGCCGTGTTGCCCAGGCTGGTCTGGAACTCTTGGCCTCAAACAATCCTCCCACCTCAGCCTTCCAAAGTGCTGGGATTACAGGTGTCCCCAGCCTGGCTCATTGCCTCTTTTCTGAGGGACATCATAGGTCACCACTGTAACGGAGCTTAACATTTTCCATGGAAATTAAACCACCATTGACGCTTAGAAGCTTAAGCGCCGTGGAGTTACCAGGCTTTCCCCTGTATTCACTGGGAGTTTTCCCCTCGTGTTATATTTGCAAACTCCTTTCCTAACAGGATGTCTGTGGCACATTCAGCCAAGGTAGACGACTCCACTTCACCGCAGTTGCCCCCGCTTTGTGTTTTCTCTGTACCCGTAAAGACAGTGAGGGGCATGCAGGAGACTGCAGTGGTGTCAGGGCCAGAGATCATGGCACAGTGGTGCCCCCACTGCCCAGATCAGCCTGTGGGAGGCCCGGGCCTAGGAGCGGACACCAGGGTTGGCTGTGGCCTTTCTCTTTCCAAGGGGAAAGGACGGGCGCAGCCCAGGCTGGTAGCCTCGGGTCTACCCATCGTGGATTTCCTCCCCGTTACCGCTCTTCCTCTGCAGGAGTCCCAGCCAGCCCCGATGTGACCTGCTGTGGCCGCGGTGAAGCCAAAAGCATCAGCGTGACTTCTGGTTCCCCTGTGCAGAGCTTGCCCGACCCAGGCCTCGACCACTCACACCTTGTGCTCTCTTTCCAGCTCTTTCCTTCGGGGAACAAGCCGGGCCCTTGCTGGCCGGGCCCCAGCTCACATGCCAATGGAGACCCTGTTGCAGTGGCCAAGGCCCAGCCGAGGTAGGTGTGGCGTGGGTGAGAAGTGGCTCCAGGACCCTCACAAATTTTACCAAGGAGGGTGACAGATGGAGGAGACAGACCCCAGTTCTCCCTCCCTGGGCCTCGACTTCCTCAGTCCAGCAGGGGAGCTGAGCCCTGTCTTTCAAACTGTATACATTCCCCTGCTCCCCGAAAGCAGAGAATGGGCGACAGTGACCAGTGATCGACACCCAACCCAGCATCTCCCCACCCAGAAGCTCCCCAGGAGCCCTGGGACAGTGCCTCCGGCTCTGTGGGCTCTTTCTCTCTGGGAAGAGGGGCCAAAGCTTCCTCCTGAGTCCCTGGGAAGGGGAGGGGACCCAGACAGGGCTCAGAACTGTTGGCTGAGACCATCTTGGAGCTGTTCCTAGCTCTGGCACCAGGCGGGCACCCGAGTGAGTCTAACCTGCCCTCACCTCCTCCCCTCCCCACTTGGCTCTTGCCCTAGGCGAACCACCTCCTCCCTCCCACAGGCCACCAGTGAGCCGTCCTCCAGCCTGCTGTGTGTGAGGAGGGCACCCTCTCCCCCGCACCATGCCCGGGGTCTCCGCAGCCTGTCCCCTCCTCCCGTGCCCTCCCACAGCCCTCCTCGAAGCCAGCGCTGGGTGGCTGCCCTCTCTGTTACCTGGCACTTGAACCTGCCTCTCTGCAGAGGCGGCAGCTTATCAATTATTTATGGCCAAGTTTCTGTTTCTGTCTGGCAGGGGTGGAGGAGGGTTTGGGACTCAGCCCTTGGCTGTGTGTGGCCCCCACACCCTCCTCCTCCTTCTCCTCCCCTAGCAGAGGGCGGCTCTGTCCCTGCCTCCTGCCGTCACTCCCTGTGACTTGTACCTGCTGTGCCACTGGCCACCTCCCTTAGCCACACACACAACCTGCACGTGGACCAGAGGCAGTTCATCAGAGCGGCCCGCTGTGGTTTGAGTGAAGAGCCGGGAGGGTTCACATCTGAATCTCCGACAGCGTCCCAGGGCCAATGCAGCTCCCCTCCCCACCGTCCTGGATGTCTGGAAGCTCCCAGAGGGCCCCGGGTCTGGTTTGGTGGCTTGAGGCTGAATGACACACACAAGAGGCTAAGACCCAGGGGCTGCCAGACACCTCAGGGTGACCAAGGCAGGAGCAGCAGGACAGCAGTTTCCATAGTGACAGCCCCGGAGGTGCTGCGAAGCCTGGGGCATGGGCGGGTTTAGGGCGGGTGGCCCCCACTTACCCGCCTGGCCACCTGTACTGCCTGTGTCTGAGAGTGGCACCTGTTCTGTGGGGTGGGGGAGGTGTTCTGTGGCTCCTTGGCTCTTCCGTGATTTTTTTTTTTTTTTTGAGACACAGTCTTACTCCCATCACCCAGGCTGGAGTGCAGTGGTGCAACCTCAGCTCACTGCAGCCTCGATCTCCCAGGCTCGCATGATTCTCCCACTTCAGCCCCCTAAGTAGCTGGGATTACAGGTACCCGCCACCACACCCGGCTAATTTTGTATATTTTTTTTTAGAGATGGGATTTTGCCGTGTTGCCCAGGCTGGTCTCAAACTCCTGGATTCAAGTAATCCACCTGCCTCAGCCTCACAAAGTGGTGGGATTACAGGCATGAGCCATCGTGCCTGGCGGGATATTTTTTAGATAGAGTCTTGCTCTGTTGCCCAGGCTGGTGTACAGGATCATAGCTTACTGTAGCCTCCATCTCCCAGGCTCAACTGATCCTCCCACTTCATCCTCCTGAGTAGCTGGGACTACAGGCGCGCACCACTATGCCTGGCTAATTTTGTATTATTTGTAGAGATGGGGGTCTCACTACATTGCCGAGGCTGGTCTTGAATTCCTGGGTTCAAGCCATCCTCCCACCTTGACCTCCCAAACCTTCCAAGGATATGAATGCCATCTGGGCTGGCCTTTCTAGCACTGCCCTGGGTGCTGGGGAGGCAGTGTGGGACAAAACACAGAGTTGAATGCTACTGGGGGATTCGGGGTGTGGGGACATGAGAGACAGCAGATTAGATAGTCAGATGGCAGAGTGTTGGGGAAAAAAAGGCAGCGGAGAAGGGGTTAAAATGTAAGGAGGAATCAGGGAAGCCACCACCAGGAGGAGACATTTGGGAAAGAACATTCCAGAATCCTGAGAGGTGCTCAAGGAATGGCCAGGAGTCTAGTGTGGCTAGAGCCGAGGGGAGGGGAGAAGCGGGGGATGAGGGGAGGGCACGGGGCAGGCAGGTGGTGCACAGCTGCGGGAGGAGAGGGCTTGCCTCTGAGCTAGGTTTCCAAGTTCACAGCCCCCAGTGCCTGTGGGGGACAAGCCACAGGGGCAGGAGATAGGGAGGCGGTGGCAGCAGCGTCCTGAGAGGGCAGGGCAGGTAGGGGAGAAGCGGTTGGGTTCTGGGCCTGCTGGGCAGTGGAGCCAGCTGGGTTGGCCATCAGGGTTCTGTCGTGAACAGAGGAGGACAGGCTGGACACCTGGAAAAGATGGCGCGAGGCCCTGCGGAAGCCCCTCCCACTGGAGAGCTCTGGTAGTCCAGTGAGGTCGGGCCACTCTCAATTTCCTTCCCTGCTGGCCAGGACCTTCGTGGGGATCCAGGCCTCTGAGGCCTCCAGGATGGAGGATGCCACCAACGTCGTGCGTGGCCTCATCGTTGAGCTCTCCAACCTGAAGTACGGGGTGGGCTTGGACTCACGGCACAGGGTCTGCGGGAGGCCAGTGGGGACTCAGAGGAGCAGGGAGGGACTGAAGTGTGAAGCCCCTAGGTGGGCAGCGAGGGTCAGGCACCTCACTGCTGCTGGGTCCTCACCGTGGCCCCCCTCCCCCGTCCTTTGCAGAACACAGGCTCTGAAGAAAGGCTGCAACAGGCCCAGCCTGTGCTACAACAGGCCCTTTCTGGTTATGTGCACGTGTGTGAGCCGTGTGTGTGCACCTGAGTCATTGGTGACCATGTGGCTGTGAGGCGCGGCCCCCTCTGTCACCTGGTGACCACTGAGCCCCACACGCATGCCTGTGTTTCCCCCACAGCCGGCTGATCATGGGCACCCACCGGGACCTGGAAGCTTTCAAGCGCCTTAACTACCGGAAGACAAAGCTGGGAGGCAAAGCCCCCCTGCCTTACCCTTCCAAGGGGCCTGGGAATATCCCTCGAGGGGACCCACCCTGGAGGGAGTTGTAGGCCACTTTGAGGTCTGTGTTTCCTTTGCCACCCAGCCCCCATGTCCGCAGACCTCCTCCAAGATGCTCCAGGGGGTCCTAGTGGACCCTACAAACCTCCCTTCAGTTGCCCGGAAGTTGGTCTTCCATGGACAACACAAAGGAGGCCGTGAGGTCCTGGCCTCACCTGGCCAGGGTCAAGGTCATTTGCCACCCTTGGCTTCAGGGAGGGAAACTGTGTCTCCCACAGCCCCAGTGACTTCAAGCGGGCCTGGGCTCCAGGAAGCTGGCCACCTCTGAGCAGGGCCCATCCTGTCCGGATTTGCAAATTTTAGGGTCCTGAGCCAAGTATGGATGGTTCAGAATTTGTTTCTTTCCTGGAGGAGAAGAGAGCTCCCTTTGTTTTCTTTCTCCCCATTTCCATTTTATTTCTTCTGGGAAGACCCATAATAAATGATTCTGTAGAGGCCCCGTGACCTGCTGTTTGGGGCTGAGGCTTCAGTTCCTTCACCTTCCGCCCACAAACCTCTCTACCCACTTCCTCCTCCTCGCCCTCTACGAGTTTTATGCCTCAGCTTCCCTGGGAAAGCAAGGGGGGGGCGAATCTCCAGGGGTGGGTGACTGTGTGCCCACATCTGTGTGCAGGCTCTTGAGCATACACGCGGGTCGAAGCCTAAGAGACGCCCTGGGCGATCATCCAGCTGCAGGGTGAGTCCTGCGCTCCGGTGGCTTGGCCCATCCTCCAGGACAAGCTGCCTGTGGGCCCCAGACAGGAAGGAGGCCATCCCAGGAGGTTATGGATGCAAACATGGCTGAAGTCGTGGCATTTCTCATCCCACGCAAGCCTCTCGAGCCAGATGACAGTCCTGTTAGCAACCACAGGGGCTGCTGTCATCCCCAGTTTACAGAAAACAATGCCTCTGTGAAATCTGTCACTGAAAGGCTGACTGGACCTTCGACATCATGAAGCACTCTGTGACTCCTGCACCCCAGCTCCCATGGCTCAGGCGGGGTCCTCCTCCCACCCTGCAGCCTTACACCCTGGAGACCTGATGCAGGAGGGGAGGAAAGAGCAGGGTGGGTTCACACCCAGGTGAGCCCCCTGTCCACCAGGACATGCCCTGGTGTAAGCCCAGTTCCCCGGGTCTCCAGCCCCAGCGGCTCTGCCCTAGGAAACTGTAACTCCATTCCCAGACCCTGGGAGCCGCTGGGATCCTTCTGTTTTCTTTCTCCTCCTCCCCACTTCCCCCTCCACGACCCAGCTGTCTGCAAGAGCCCACCCCCATCCCCAGGGCCTCCGGTTCCAATTTAAGTCTTTTAAGTCGGAAAGCCAAGGGCAGAGGGGACAGCAAAGAGCTCGATTCCTGCTCCCCGCTGCCAGACCACAGGCCTCAGGGCTGGTTTGTGGGACGGGGGCGGGGTAGGAATGTGGACTGCACAGTGGGCGCACTGGCTTCCTGAGCACTGCCACCTGTTGCCCCAACAGGACAAGATCTGGAGGTGGAGGAGGCAGGCAGGGGTGTGGGGATTCCCCCACATGCATTTCCCCCCCGCCCTGCCAGAACAGCCCCATCCTTCTGCTCCTGCCCAAGCCCACCCAGGACATGGTCCCATTCCCTGCCCCCTAAATGTCCCTCCCTTGCTCTAAACTGCCTGGCTTGTCACTGGGGCATCCATGGTGACATAAACATTCACCTTCCTTAGTGATGAGGATGTCGGGGGGGGGGGCTCTGTCTAGTTGTGTGTCAATTTCTTCCTCAAATGAAGCCCCCACCTCCAGTACGGAGCTGGGGGTGGGATGGGAGGAGTCCACCCATCTTGCATGTCAGTGCAGGGGGTGGCTGAAAGACCAAATGTCCACAGAAAGGGTCTCATGATGTCGATCTGGCTTTGAGGTGCCATGAACCCCCCCAGCTACCCCAAGGCACCCACTTGTGTTTCTCTGCACAAAGCAGCTCACCCCAGCACCCCAGGGTGCCGAAACTCAAAGAAGGAGAAGGGGAGATCTAGGTACAGGACTCCCAGCAAGGTTCACACTACACCTTGTCCCAAGACCAGGGCTTGTCTGTTGTTGATCCATTCATAAGCATTTATTGAGGGCTGACTGGATGCCCAGCACTAGGGAAACGGCAGATGGCACAAAGGGTGGGGTCCCCAAGGACAGGGCGATTTCAGCTCTTCCCTTGCCAACCCCGGGTCATCCCCAGGGCTCAATCCCAGGCTGGGGGGAGGGTCTGGGAGTGGGGGCAGTCGTCATAGGGTGGGTCTTCCTGGAAATCCAGCCGAGCCCGGGTGCCCTTGCCCAGGTGTAGGCAGCCTCCTAGGTGGACATGGAGGGAGAGCAGGAGGGCGAAGGCTCAGACTTCCCGGCACCTCTGAAACCTAGTGGAGGGGGAGGGAGAGAAATGCTTAATCACAGGCGATGACTCAACGCTCCCCAAGTTGCCCACGGACTCGGCCTCCGGGCCTGCTGGACCTCTGGCGCCACCCAGGGGCTGCTCCGGAGACAGCGACCCCGTGACGTCTCTGGCTCCGCCGGGCGGCCCCGCTGGGACCCAGAGCCCGAGACAAAGCACAGGAGTTCCGATTCTGCGACTGTGGTGCCCTCTCGTGGCCGCCGTGCTCTGGGGTCCCCGGATCTGTTACTCCCAAAAGTTGTTCATCAGAAAGGCTGGCCGCAGGACACCATCTTCCCTATGTCCTTTTGGCCTCCAGCGTCTCCCAGTGAGACAGCATCAAACCTCACAGGAAACACTATCTTCTCCTGGAGGCAGTCTTTCATGCTTTCTTTTTTTTGTGAGACGGAGTCTCACTCTGTCGCCCAGGCTGGAGTGCAGTGACGTGACCTCAGCTCACTGCGACCTCCACCTCCCGGGTTCTAGCGATTCTCCTGTCTCAGCCCCCCGAGTAGCAGGGATTACAGGCGCATGCCACCATGCCCAGTTAATTTTTTGTATTTTCAGTAGAGACGGGGTTTCACCATGTTGGCCAGGCTGGTCTTGAATTCCTGACCTCAGGTGATCCACCTGCCTCAGCTTCCCCAAGTACTGGGATTACAGGCATGAGCCACCATGACCAGTGCTTTTTTTTTTTTTTAAGACGAGGTCTTGCTGTGTTGCCCAGGCTGCAGTGCAGTGGCACCATCTCAGCTCACTGCAGCCTCTGTCCCCTGGACCCAAGCGATCCTCCCTCGTCAGCCTCCCAAGTAGCTGGGACTACAGGCACACACTACCATGCCCAGCTAATTTTTTGTAGACACTGGGTTTCACCATGTTGCCCTGGCTGGTCTCAAACTCTTGGGCTCAAGCGATCCTCCTGCCTTGGCCTCCCAAAGTATTGGGATTACAGGTGTAAGCCATCACACCTGACCCTTTCATGACTTTAAGAAATGTTCACTGCAAAGCTGCCTGAGAGTAGTTGGGAGGGGTCGTCCTCTCCCAGTCACTATCCTCCAGGAGCTCACAGTCTGCTGGGGGAGGCAGTGCCCAAACACACCTAGTTAGACTGGCCCCTCCTCTGTTAGCTGACTTCCTCAAAGGCAATTTAAGTTGCTAGAACGAGTTTCTCTTTTAAAACCTCACTGGGGGCCAGGCATGGTGGCTCAAGCCTGTAATATCAGCACTTCGGGAGGCTAAGGCGGGTGGATCTCGAGGTCAGGAGTTCAAGACTCAGCCTGGCCAAGATGGTGAAATCCCGTCTGTACTAAAAATACAAAAATTAGCCGTGCGTGGTGGTGGGTGCCTGTAATCCCAGCTACTCGGGAGGCTGAGGTAAGAGAATCGCTTGAACCCGGGAGACAGGTTGCAGTGAGCCAAGATCGCGCCACTGCACTCTAGCCTGGGTGACAGAGCAAGACTCCATCTCAGAAAAATAATCAAATAAAAGAAAGAAAGAAAGAAAACCTCACTGGGGCCAGGCGTGGTGGCTCACGCCTATAATCCTAGCATTTTGGGATGCCTAGGCAGGAGGATCACCTAAGCCGTGTTTGAGACCGGCCTGGGAAACATAGTAAGACCCTGTTTCTATGGGAGGAAAAAAAAAACACACCAGGAATGGTGGTGCACGCCTGTAATTCCAGCTACTCGGGAGGCTGAGGCAGGAGAATCGCTTGAACCCAGGAGGCAGAGGTTGCAGTGAGCCAAGATCGCACCACTGAACTCCATCCAGCCTGGGTGGATAGAGCGAGACTCTATCTCAAAAAAAAAAATTAAAAAAAAAAAGGAAGAAAAATAAATTGATAAATAAATAAAATAAAAGTCTTCTTTCTGCATCTATAATAACCCTGCGGGCCAGATGTGGTGGCTGATGCCTGTAATCCCAGCACTTTGGGAGGCTGAGGAGGGTGGATCACGAGGTTGGGAGTTCGAGACCAGCCTGGCCAACATGGTGAAACCCCATCTCTACTAAAAATACAAAAATTAGCTGGCCATGGTGGCAGGCGCCTGTAATCTCAGCTTCTCAGGAGGCTGAGGCAGAAGAATCGCTTGAACCCGGAAGGCAGAGGTTGCAGTGAGCCAAGATCATGCCACTGCACTCCAGCCTGGGTGACAGAAAGAGACTCTGTCTCAAGATAAATAAATAAATACATAAACAAACTGGCTCGGTGCGGTGCTCACGCCTGTAATCTCAGCAGTTTGGGAGGCCGAGGTGGGCGGATCACGAGATCAGGAGTTTTGAGACCAGCCTGGCCAACATGGTGAAACCCCATCTCTACTAAAAATACAAAATTTAGCCGGGCATGGTGGCAATTAGCCGGGTGTGGTGGCGCGCGCCTATAATCCCAGCTACCCAGGAAGCTGGGGCAGGAGAATCGCTTGAATCCAGGAGGTGGAGGTTGCAGTGAGCCGAGATGGCGCCACTGCACTCCAGCCTGAGCAACAGAAAGAGACCTGTCTCAAGATAAATAAATAAATACGTAAATAAAATCAACTGCTGTTCTAAGCTCTCTCTAAGGTCTTCCCCTAACCCTTGGAGGTGGGTACTGGGGCTAATCTTACTTCACAGGGGGGCTCAGCCACTACCCTCGGACAGGTCCCCCCCAGCCACCTGTGCAGGCACCTGCTCCTCCTCCTCCTCCTCGGCGGTGGCCTGTGTCCTGTGTCTTCGCCTTGTCAGGCCGGACCAGCTTCTTGCCTGCCGAGTTTCGGGTGGTGTGGCTGTAGACGGAGGTGTAGCCCTGGCCAGTAAGTGGGCAGAAGCGTCGGGTGTGGGCGCGCTCACGTGTGGCGCCGCACTGGGGACACACGTAGTCCCGCAGGATGGGACACAGCACCCTGCCAGCCTCGTCCTTCAGCACGTGGGACTGGTAGATGGCCCGGGACTCGCCGTTGTGTTTGCAGAAAGAGCACAGGCGTTCGGGAGCTGGCGAGGACTCCAGGCTGCGCTTCTGATCCTTGGGTCCCGGCACTGGCACCGACTCCGGCGCTGGCATCGGCTCCAGGGCTGACACCGGCTCCAGCATTGGCTCTGGCTCTGGCTGGGGGCTCAGCCTGGTTTCAGGACCCTCTTTCCCACTCAGAGCCCTAACCAGGTGTGCCAAACCCAGGTAATCTGTCCACAGGTCAAAGGTCCCCATAGCTGGGCAGCATGTGCCAGGCGGAAGGAGTCACAGAGACAAGTAACCCTGCCTGGCTTAAGCTCCCTCCTTCTGACCCCTCTCTGCTGCCCCTTCCTTCCCCTCTCTGGAGCCTGGGAGTCTGTGCTGGCCGACCCTCCTTTTACCTCCAAGGGGGTGTGAAGAGGGAGGAGCAGGCTGTGGGAGGTTCCTTATTGTCACAGGGGGGCCTGGTGCCCCACTAATACTCCTCCTAAAGGGCTGTATGGCCTCTGGCTGTGCCGGGGGACTACAGGACACAGGGTGTGTGGGGGGGCATCCTGCGAGGTGCACCACAGCCCCCCGTACACACCTCCAGGGAATTGGGGGGCTACCCTGCCTCCCCTCCTTGTAGGAGTCCTTAGCCCTCCAGCCCCACTGGAGGATGGGGAGAATGGGTTGGAAACCCCACCCCCAAAGACTAGCAGTTACCAGTAACTTAAAGAAGTTAACTTAGTAACTTCTTTATAACTTTTTCTTCCTTCCCCTGGGCGGGGGAGTGGCCAGGTGCCCCTGGGTTCTTTGTGTGTGTGTGTGTCCAGGCGGGAGGTTGCTGATGCTCCAGCTGTCTCTGAAAGGAGTGTGGTAGTCCCAGGCTCATGGGCTGGTTGCGGGGGTAGGGGGGAAGGATCATGCCCCCCGGCCCCCAGCTCTGGTCTCCCTCCAAGAGTTTTCACATCGGTTGTCTTAGTGGAACCCCCATTGAATGGATGAGCAAACTGAGGTGTGAAGCCACCTGCCCATCCAGTTATTTATAAAGACATGCACCAGGCCAGGGAGTGGTGGCTCATGCCTGTCATCCCAACAGTTTGGGAGGCCAAGACAGGCGGATCACCTGAGGTCAAGAGTTCGAGACCAGCCTGGCTAACATGGTGAAACCCTGTCTCTACTAAAAATACACACACACACACACACACACACAAAATTAGCTGGGCATGGTGGCGGGTGCCTGTGATCCCAGCTACTCAGGAGGCTGAGGCAGAAGAATTGCTTGAACCCAGGAGGCAGAGGTTGCGGTGAGCCAAGATCAAGCCACTGCACTCCAGCCTGGGAAACAGAGTAAGACTCTGTCTCAAAACAACAACAACAAAAAGCACCACATCTGCCTCCTTCTTCTAGTTACTGGGGCCCCCTGAGGCTAGGTGCTGGGGAGGGAGCCCTTTCCTGGCGGGGGCTGCAGAGGGGTGAGAAAGAACCCTCTGGAGTTGGGAGGTGGGGGATAGCAAGTTGGGCTGTTAGGAGGGGACCCCTAGTACCTACAGGTCTTCAGTGTCCTCCCCGAGATGAGATCTCAGCTCAGTCCCAGGAGGGGAGGGTGTGCTCAGGACTTGGACACAGAGGAGAGACGCTGTGCCGCTTACACAGCTCATCCACCCATCCATTCATTTAAGAAACTTTTATTGGCCAGGCACTGTGGCTCATTTTGAGAGGCCGAGGAGGATTGCTTGAACCTAGGAGTTGGAGACCAGCCTGGGCAACGTTTTGAGACCCTGTTCCTACAAAAACACTTTTTCGAAATAAGCTAGGTGTGGTGGTGCGTGCCCGTGGTTCCGGCTACTGGGGAGGCTGAGGCGGGAGGATCAACGCTTGACTCCAGTTATTAGAGGCTGCAGTGAGCTAAGGTCACACCATTGCACTCCAGCCTGGGTGACAAGAGCGAGATCCTGTCTCTAATTTAAAAAACAAAACTATGGAGCACTCCACGGAGCAGAACTTACCACCCACATTTCAGAAAGGGGTTTTAGGCCAGGCAAAGTGGCTCATGCCTGTAATCCCAGCACTTTGGGAGGCCGAGGGGGGAGGATTACTTGAGGTCAGGAGTTTGAGACCAGCCTGGCCAACACAGTGAAATCTCGTCTCTACTAAAAATACAAAAATTAGCCCACTGTGGTGGCAGATGCCTGTAATCCCAGCTACTTGGGAGGCTGAGGCCAGAGAATCACTCAAACCCTGGAGGCAGAGGTTGCAGTGAGCTGAGATTGGGCCACTGCACTCCAGCCTAGGCAACAGAGTGAGACTCTGTCTTAAAAAAAAAAAAAAAAGGGGATTTTAGCTGCCCTGCCCCAGCCTGTTTACCCCCAACCCTCTAATATTTAGTCCCAAATCCAGCCAGAGCCCATCCAGATTCCAGACACCAGCTCTCCTCTCCAAAGAGGAGTGGTTGGGGTCAGGGCAAAAAACAGGCTGAGTGACTGTGGCGGTGGGGGGTCCTGTCCCCAGTCCCCATTCCCCTTAAGCCGTGTCTGGCCCAGCCACAGTGACATTCATCCCCCGGTGGGTCTGGCCTCAGTCCTCACAACCCACCGACAACAATGAATGTTGATTGTGACCTCGGCTGTGGCCTAGGGGAGGGGACGTGCCCAGGCTGGATTGGGGGCTCCCCAGGCCCCCCTAGATCTGGAAGGTCAGAGTCACCGGCAGGAGGATGGCAATTCCAGGCCTCAGGGTCCACTCAACGGTCGATGGTTTGCCTGAGCTGCCCAAACTCACCGACAGGTTGAATGTTCCCCCAAACCCTTGGCAAATTTTCCGGGACCTGGAGTCGGGGGTGGGGTAGGTGGCAGGGAACCAGAGAGCATGAAGAGGGAGAGGAGGAGAGAGTAAGGAACCCCTTTTCTCTCATGAAATAAACAAACGCTTTTCAGGTGCTGTTTGCACCTAGATCTGGGAAAAACACAAGGCAAATATAAATGCTAGTAAATAAAATGTAGCCTTTGCTATGGGGATGGAGATGTAGCAGTGCAGGGGAGTGCTGGCCTCAAGCCCGCTCCTTAAGTAATTCACAAAGTGATCCTGGAGGTGCAGATTACCCCCCTTTGTCAACTGGGGAGACTGAGGCCAAAGGCCACTGCTAGTCCGAGGTGGAGGAGGCATTCCAAGTGTTCCCGGGAAGTCTGGCAACGGAGGATCCTGGCCCCGAGGGCATTGATGCAACGTGGAGATAAACAAGCCATTTTAATACAATGTAATACGTTCTGGGAGCTTCACTGAGTTCCGGGCACGATGGTTTAGGAATCACAACAGCGTGAGTGGAGCGCTTGGGGGTGGGGGGTCGTCAGGTCTCTCCACTTTACAAGTGCACTGGGGCCCCACTAGACAGGGGAGAGGCAGGAGGTTCAGAGAGGGCGCCGCTCGCCCCGCGTGCGCGGTCACACAGCATCTGAACTCGGGCACTTCCGGAGGGAGTCCGCGCAGCCACGTGGGGGCTGCCCCTTGGGCCTCAAAACCGGCTGCGGCGCCCCCTCTCCATTTCCTCATCCCTCAAATGACCCCCAGTCCCTTCCTCCAGTGATCGCACAGAGTTCGGCGACCACCCCCCCGCCCCGGGTGCCCCCAGGCCTACAGGTACGCACCCCTATCTCCCACCCCCCGCAAGCCAAGCAGTGACGACCAGGGATGGGCGAGCGCGCCTTCGCCCCTGACCTGGGTCTGCGGACGGCCTAGGAAGGTGCACCCGGCATGGCCGGGTGCTGCGGCTCAGGCCTGTAATTCAGTATTTTGGGAGGCTGAGGCGGGAGGATCTTTTGAGCCCAGGAGATGGAGACCAACCTGAGCAACATAGCGAGATACCTGTCCCTACAAAAAAATTAGCTGGGTGTGGTGTAGTGAGCCTGTAGTCTTAGCTACTTAGGAGGCTGAGATGGGAGGATCGCTTGGACCCCAAGAGTTCGAGGCTCGAGGCTGCAGTGAGCCGTGATCGCGCCACTGTATTCCAGCCTGGGTCACAGGACGAGACCCCGTCGTCGCAAAAAAATAAGTAATTTCCTGGCCCCTGGCATTTCACCGAGGGGAATACTGAGGCCCAAAATAACCGCCTGGCATAACCCCAAGGTAGATGAGGGACCCCCAAGTGTGCCGAGCTGCGTGAACCACCCCCCCACCACACCCCTCACGGTGGTGGCAACGGAACCCGGCCGAGCCCCCGAGGACGCGCCCCCGAGAGCCCCGCCCCCGAGAGCCCCACCCACAGTCTGGAGCCACCAGCCAAGGCCCCAGCCCAGGCCCTGCCCCTTAGAGCCCCGTCGCTTTTGACCTGTTCCCCAGAACACACTCCCTCTAAAACCCGCCCATATAGACTCCCACGGAGCCCACCGCCAAACCCCTAAGCCAGTCCTCAAAGAGCCCAGCTCCCTTAGGGCCCGCCCCCTTAGAGCCCTCCACAAAAGCCTGCTCTATAGACGCCCCGGGACTGCGTCCTGCCCCCACGAAGCCCAACCCCCCACTAAGGTCCGCCCCGACCGGGCACGCCCCCAAACCGAATTTCGTAGGGCCCCTCAAGCCCGATCCCGGCTAACTCGCCCTCCCGAAGCCCCCCTCCCGCCTCCCGGCACCTTCTAGAGCCCTTTCCCCAGAGCCCGCCCTCTCACCCGCCCCGGGTCGGGGTCACGTTCCCACCCCTCTGTCTGGAGCTGGAGTGGGGCGCCCTCTCTCGCAGCTCATCCGCCACGTCCAGCAGATCCTCCCATTCAGGCTGTGGAGTGGGGGGGCCTGATCGGCTTCTCTTTATCCGCCACCTCCACCCCAGGTGTCCAGGCCCTTCCGAGGGAGGTGGCCGGTCCCCTGCCTTGTGGATCATCATTCTAAGGAGGAGAACGCCTAGGACTTGGGAAGGAGAGTGAGTTGGGAGCACAGGTGTTAATAATTACATTACTGATGATAACGCTACATTCATCACGCTGTGAGCAGGATATACCCATTTTGTGGACTGGGAAGGTAAGTGGCTCTGTTAGTCCAGAACTCTCAAGATTCCTCAAAAGCTTGGTTCTTGTCTGTAGTCCCAGCTAGTTGGGAGGCAGGAGGATGGCTGGAGCCCAGAAGTTGAGACTAGCCTGGAAAACACAGTGAGACCCCCATCTCTCTCTCTCTCTCTTTTTTTTTTTTTTTTTGAGATGGAGTCTTGCTCTGTCACCCAGGCTGGAGTGCAGTGGCGCGATCTCTGCCCACTGCAATTTCCACCTCCTGGGTTCAAGCAGTTCTCCTGCCTCAGCCTCCTGAGTAGCTGGGACTACAGGCACCTGCCACTATGGCCAGCTAATTTTTGTATTTTGAGTAGAGACAGGGTTTCACTATGTTGGCCAGGTTGGTCTCCAACTCCTGGGCCTCCCAAAGTGCTGGGATTACAGGCATGAACCACGGCACCCAGCAGTGGTTCTTTAAAACCCCGTTTCTTTAAAAAAGAAAAATCTTTATTCTCTTTTTTGTTGCTGTTGTTGTTTTGTTTTGTTTTGTTTTGAGACGGGGTCTCGCTCTGTTGCCCAGGCTGGAGTGCAGTGGCGCAATCACAGCTCACTGCAGCCTCGACCTCCCAGCCCCAACCAATCCTCCCACCTTAGCTTCCCAAGTAGCTGGGATCACAGGTGCCTGGCCTGGCTAACTTAAAACAAAAACAAACAAATAAAAAAAAGTTTTGTAGAGATGAGATCTCACTATGTTGCCCAGGCTGGTCGCGAACTCCTGGGCCTCCCAAAGTTCTGGGATTACAGGCATGAGCCACCTCGTCCCACAGGAATCTTTCTTCTTGATGACTGTGAACAGCTTTAATGTTGGGGGCGGGGGGTCATCAGGCAGGAGACATTCTGGCTATGTTGGAGGGGGTTCCCCAGACACCTCCTGTGTGTCCTTTCTGCCTCCCACTCCTCCCTCTGAGGGCTTTGGCCTTGAACTGCCAAGGAGGTTGTTCCCTGTAAGGTTTCTCCCTAAGACAAGACACAAGACCACAGTGGAAGAGGGGTCTGGTCTTGAAGGCCAGGAAGCTGGGGCTGGGGCGACAGGAGGCCGGCAGCCCCAATCCTGGGTCTGACTATCTCTCTTCTTTGCCTGTGGTCCGTGCAGGCTTCTGGCCCTCAGTGTCCATCTGGGTCCACCTGTCTCTTGGTCATCCCAGGGTCGTCTGTCTGGGTCGGACTATGCCCCTCACACATCTGTTCTCCATCTGGGTCTCCTGCCCAGCCCGTGCACCTGCCTCAAACTGTCTGGATCTGCCTGTATGTGTCTAGCTGTTTACCCCCCATCTCCATCTCCTGTCTGTGACTGGTGACCGTGATACCTGTCCCCTCCTGTCCCCTGAGGGAGTCTGCAGCCCTGCCCTGCTTGTCTGGTTGCAGCTGTCTGCTGGTTTGACTTTGAAGTCCCTCAGAGTGGGAGGTGACAAGCTGTCTCCTCCTGCTTGTGACCCTGAGCCTCAGTGCATGGGGGGTAGGGGTGTCTTTCAGGGCCTTCATTTTGCTTCTTCTTTATCCTTAGTTCCTGGGACCCCTCACCTGACCCCAGTGCAGCTGGGAGGGTCTTTCTGGGCAGGGGAGCTGGGGATAAGTGGGGTGTGGGGGACGGCCCTCTAAAAGCCACGTTATGAGCCGGGCACGGTGGCTCATTCCTGTAATCCCAGCACTTTGGGAGGCCGAGGCGGGCAGATCAGTTGAGGTCAGGAGTTCGAGACCAGCCTAACCAACATGGTGAAACCCCATCTCTACTAAAAATACAAACAAACAAAAAAAAAGTAGCCAGGCATGGTGGCGCACACCTGTAGTCCCAGCTACTTGGGAGGCTGAGGCACGAGAATTGCTTGAACCTGGGAGGCAGAGATTGCAGTGAGCCGAGATTGAGCCACTGCACTCCAGCCTGAGTGACAGAGTGAGACTCCGTCTCAAAAAAAAAAAAAAAAAAAAAAAAAGCCACGCTATCCCAGGGCCTTGCCCCCACCCCCCCACACATAGCACCAGGAAGGTGCAGGGCAGCTGGCACAAGTCGGGGGATCAGAGTCGGAGGTGAGAAGTCCTAGCAGAGGCAGGTGAGCAAGTGATGGATGGATGGATGGATGGAGGCAGCTCTACCGTCAAGCTGAAGAACAAGGCTGGGCGCCGGGTGGCTCATGCCCGTCATCCCACTGCTTTGGGAGGCCAAAGCAGGAAGACTGACTGAGCACAGGAGTTCAAGACCAGCCTGAGCAACATGGTGAAACCCTGGCTCAACTAAAAATAGAAAAACTTAGCCGGGTGTGGTGGTGTGCGCCTGTAGTCCCAGCTATTTGGGAGGCTGAGGTGGGAGGATCACGCAAGCCAGGGAAGTCGAGGCTGACGGAAGCCAGGGAAGTCGAGGCTGCAGTGAGTGAGACGCAGTCACGCCACTGCACTCCAGCCCAGGCTACAGGAGTGAGACCCTGTCTCAAAAAAAAAAAAATAGTTGAAGAACAAGGTGGGCATGGCTAGAAGGCCAGGTCTCCAAGCTCCCAGGGGTGTCTGGCGGCCCGTGTGTCCTGCCCGTGATTCTTGAAGTCTTGACTGTGAAGTCCCTCAGGGTGGGAGGTGGCAAGCTGTCTCCTCTCGATCTCAACCCTGAGCCTTGGTGCATGGGGGTTGGGGGTGTCTCTGTATGTTCACGCATGAGTACCTATATATATGCTCCTGTGTGTCTGTGTGTTGTATGTAACTGTATGTGTGTGCGTGTGTGTGTGTGTGTGCGTGCGTGTGTGTGTGTGTGTACTTGGGCCTGGAAGGGGGACACGGGGTGGGGGAGGTCGTCAGGACCTGGCAGACAAAGAGCCCATTATGGGGGTTCCAGCGACACCAAGAGCCCTGTGGGGGTCTCCGTGGGGTCACGGTGATGGCCCAGGCTGTCTAGACTGGCAAGCAGGGGTGTCTCGTTTCAGTGATACCTGCGTGGGCTCTGAGGTTCCCACCCCACCCTCCGCAGGCCACCTCCCCCACTTCCTTTCCAGCTGCGGGAGTCTTTCATGCCAGGGGTCCTCAGACAAGGGGCTCCTCTGTCCCACCCAGCCCGTGGGCGGTGGGTGGGCTAGGAGCCCAGCTTCCTTCCCAGGCCTGCCAGATGTGAGGCCAGGGCTGGGGAAGGCGAGAAGGTTCTGGCTTCTCCAGGAATGGGATTGGGGGCTATGGAGGGGCCAAGCTGAAGGAGAATTCAGGCCGGGCACGGTGGCTCATGCCCGTAGTCCCAACGCTTTGGGAGGCCGAGGCAGGAGGATCACTTGAGCCCAGGAGTTCAAGATCAGCCTGGGCAACGCAGTGAGACCTCATCTCTACAAAAAACAAATTAAAAAAATTTTTTAATAAGGGAAATTCAGACACTTCTACTGAGGCTTATGGTGCTGGGTGACCCTGGGTTTGGGGTCAGGGTGGGCTCCGTCTCAAGAACTCTTGTAGGATGTTTCTATGGGTCTATAAATAGGGGCTTCAGGTCCAAGCTACTTTGCTGAGGTATTTTGGGGGGTTCTGTGGGTGTCTGTAAGTCCAGGTGGGAGTGTGCTATAGCAGGTGGCTGTCTCTCCACCAGCTGTGTGTGTGCGTGTGTGTGTAAGTTCCTGTGGGCTTCTGTTTGTGTGTGGATGTCAGCATTGCTGTGGGTGTATATCAGGCTAATTGTGTGTAATTCCAGGTCGACATGTGAGCCAGTGTGCGTGGGTGTCTGGTGTCTGCTGGTGTCACTATGAGTGACTGGAGTCTGTATCATCCAGTCATGGTGTCCCCCCCATCCCATTCCCCACTAAAATGTCAGGTGTGGGAAGACAGGGATTTCATTCTTTTTTTTTTTTTTAAAAGAGACTAGGTCTCGCTGTCACCCAGGCTAGAGTGCAGTGGTGCCATCATAGCTCACTGCAATCTCAAACTCCTGGGCTCAAAGCGATCCTCCCGCCTCAGCCTCCCTAGTACCTGAGACTATAGGCGCACACCACCACGCCCAGCTAATATGTTTTTTAAACTCCTCATCTCAAGTGATCCTGCCACCTCGGCCTCCCAAAGTGCTGAGATTACAGGCGTGAACCACTGTGCTCGTTCAGATTTCCCTCTTGTTCACAGCTGCATCCCCAGTGCTAGAACAGTGCTGGGTACATAACAGATGCTCAATAAATGAGTATTGGGGCCGGACGCACTGGCTCACACCTGTAATCTCGGCACTTTGGGAGACCGAGGTGGGTGGATCACCTGAGATCAGGAGTTCAAGACTAGCCTGGACAACATTGTGAAACTCTGTCTCTATTAAAAATACAAAAATTAGCCAGGCATGGTAGCGGGCGCCTGTAATCCCAGCTACTCGAGAGGCTGAGGCAGGAGAATCGCTTGAACCTGGGAGTTGGAGATTGCAGTGAGCTGAGATTGTGTCACTGCACTCCAGCCTGGGTGACAGAGCACTCCAGCCTGGGTGACAGAGCAAGACTCTGTCTCCAAAAAAAAAAAAATATTATTGGGTTTGTGGGCATCCAGATGACAGGATTTCTGCCTGCCTGTGTGTCATTTCCCCGTGAGTCTATGCATGCCAGTGTGTATGCATGTGTTACTGTGTCTGTGTGTATGTCAGTATTATTGTAGATGTGCAGGTGTCTGAGTGCCTAAACAAGTCTCAGGGTAGGTGACGATGGGCATATGGCCACTGGGTTCGTGCTCATATATCTTTGTGGGTGACAGTGTCTTTGTGGGTGGCTAAGAGGATCCATTTTACTGTGAACAACTGTGTGTCCATGTGTGCAGTTGTGTTCTTGGGCGGGGGTGGTCTGTATGTGTGTGTATATCAAGATTACTGAGACCTGCTACTCGGGAGGCTAATGTGGGAGGATCATTTGAGTCTGAGAGTTTGAGGCTGCTGTGAGCTATGATCGTGCCACTGAACTCCAGTCTGGGTGACAGAGCCAGACCCTGTCTCAAAAAACAAAACAAACAAACAAAAATTTGGGCCAGGCATGGTGGCTCGGCGCTCTGGGAAGCCGAGGTGGGTGGATAGCTAGAGCTCAACGAGTTTGAGACGAGCCTGGGCAACCGGCAAAACTCCATCTCTACAAAAAATACAAAAATTACCCAGGTGTGGTGGTGCGCACCTGTTCTCCCAGCTACTCGGGAAGCTGAGGTGGGAGGATTGCTTGAGCCCAGGAGATGGGCCTAGATTGCAGTGAGCCTAGATTGCAGTGAGCCTAGATCGTGCCACTGCACTCCAGCCTAGGCAGCAGAGTGAGACCCTGTCTCAAAAAAATAAAAAGGAAACTGTGGCCGGGTGCGGCGGTTCACACCTGTAATCCCAGCACTTTGGGAGGCTGAAGCCAGCGGATCCCCTGAGGTCAGGAGTTCAAGACCAGCCTGGCCAACATGGTGAAACCCCATCTCTACTAAAAATACAAAAATTAGCCTGGTGTGGTGGCACGCGCCTGTAATCCCAGCTACTCAGGAGGCTGAGGCAAGAGAATTGCTTGAATCCGGGAGATCGTGCCACGGCATTCCAACCTGGGCAGCCAAGAGAGACTCCATCTCAAAATAAATAAGTAAATAAAAATAAAAAAGATTATGTGTGACCTGCTGTCAGATGTGTTTCTGCAGGCCTTGTACCGTCTGTGTGTGTGTGTATGTGTGTGTGTGTGGTGGGGGTGACTGTGGGTGACTGTGAGTGTGCAGGTGTGAACTTGGTTGGGAGGACACATGGATGTCTGTGTGTGTCCCAGGTATTGTGAACGATGGAGTCGGAGTCTGTGTGTGCCTGACTGATGGGCTTTAGGGATCTGCGTTTGTCATTGCTACCCTGAGTGACATGCTGTGGGTGAACACCCACTTCTGTGTGTCAGTGTTATGCGAAAGGCTGTGTCTATGTTGTAGCTGCCTTCGTTGGTGGCTCCATTTCTGTGTGACAGCCTTTCAATGGGCACTATCCCTGGATGTCCGAGCCCTTGTGGGTGACGTGTCTACACACGTGGCAGTGTTATTGTGGGGACTGTATGTGTGTGTCAGCATCACTTTCGACTGCGTATTAATCGGGGTGCTGTATGTCTGTGTATAGCGTGTAATTTTGGGGGTCTCCATCAGGGCCTTGGGAATATCTAATCGTGGCTGGCTTAATGCATCTGTGAGCAGTCCAGGGGTGTGGAATGGGTAGGGAAAGAGATGGGGGGAGGGGAACCGAAGTGTGGGACCGTGGGGGGGACGTCTCAGTCCCTATCAGCCAATGAGGTGTCTTTTCCACCCCCCCACCCCCAGCCTGCCCTCCAGGGCAGGTCGCCGTGAAAGGCGCCCTGTAGCTTTAAAAGGGCTCCCCGGCAGTGGGATTCGGGGCCATTTTCCCTTTTTATGGCCAGTTTTGGAGGGCGGGTTCCTGTTCGCAAACCTTGGCCCCAGTAAATACCCTGCAGCTGCTGCCGGTAATGACAGGCCGGAGGGGCGGCCCGCGCAGGGCGCCAGGGCTTCCGGAGGTGGCGCGGCTGCAGCACCCCCAGCCCGCGGCCAGGCCTGAGCGGGGCCCCCGCCAGGATCGGTCTCCGCAGGCCCGAGCGCCCATGAACTTGGCCGGAGCAGCCTTCACGAACGCGCGCGCGCCGGGCCGTACTCTCTTCTGGCATTCGATTTCCGAGCGCCCCACCCGCCCCGCGCCCCCAAGAACAAAGCTCGCCGCCGCCCCGGCCCGTGGCCTCCCCGCGCGCGGTCAGGTGTCGGGCGGTCGGGGCGCCGCTGTCCCCACGCCCCCCATCGCGCGTCCCCGCCCCGCGAGGGCATCTCCGCTTGCCCTCCCCCTGGCGGCCCCGGCTCCGGGACTCGGGGGTCTGTCCCCTTTGCAGAGTCCGACCCTCCCGGCGCCCCCTCTCCGGAAAGGCGAGACGCAGAGATGCCGCCGGGGCCTCCCCGCCCCCCTTCCAAGCCCCAACAACAATGGAGGGCCGGGCCGCAGAGGCCGGGGCGCCCGCCCCGGGGCTGCGAGCAGGTGCGCGAGGGGGCTGCGGCCGCGTCCCGCCCCGCCCCGCCGCGCCCCCTGCCCGCGGGCGGCCCCCGCCCCGCCCGTGCCCCCGGCCCGCCCGGCGCCCGCGCTCACCTCGATTGGGGCCGCCGCCGCATTTCCCCCTCTTCTTTCCAAAACCCGCCCGGAAAAGCCCCCCGGGCCCGAGGCGCCTGCACGGGAAATTGCATTTCGGCGGCTCCGGGGCAGGGCGGGGGCTCCCTAGGCCGTGGGCGGGGGGGGGGAGGGGGCCGCGGGGCTCCGGCGCCGGCTCGAACCCGTGGCCGCCGCCGCCCGCCCGCCTGTCTGTCTCGGTGACGTGCCCGCGCTCCCCGCTGCCGCCGCCCCCTCCCTCCTCCCCGCGCCGCGCCGGGCGGTGGGTCCAGCCGCGGCCGTGCGCGTCCCGAGGCCTCCTGCCAGGCGCACCGGGACGCACTCGGGGGATGCCCGTGGGTCTCCAAAACGCAGCTCCCGGGGCCCGCGCGGGGGAATCAGGGACACGGGGGCGCGGGCGGGCACACGCAGGGACCCAGACGCACGCAGACCTCAAAGGCGCCGGGGGGAGCACACGCGCACAAAGGCACGCGGGCCACAGACATAGGGAACGGTGTGCAGGGGGCTGCGAGACACACACCCAAGGGAGGGGGTGGCGGGACGTGCGGGCGTGCCGGGCCGCACGAGGGTGGTCATAAAACCCAGCTACACACAGAGGGACACCCGGGGGCACCAGACACATGCAAGGTACACAGACACACCACATTCAGGACAGGAGGGAAGGTCCTTAGAACCGAAATATGCAGAAACGCGGCTGAACCCCGGGCACGCACAGCTCACACAAGACACACGGACACGCAGGAGATCACAGACGCACTGGGGTATCCACAGACCTGAGATATACCCCCCAACATACACACACAGTACCCCAGGTACACAGCCACAGGAGCACCGTGACACACACAAAATAACCTAATACATGGATATAGACATAGAACCAGAACACACCCATGGAGACACAGATCCACAAAGTTCACAGACACACACATATATGCACAGCCACTCGGGTCAAATGGACCAGTCGCAGAGGCAGAGAAACACAGCCAACAGCCACATGCACAAGACCCCCAGCAGGTCCCAGAGCCACAGGGGTCCACATGGACACACGCAATTCAGGGGCACGTGGGGATGTGTACCTGGGACCATGAGGCACAAGCATATATACAGGCCAGGTGCACAGACCACATGCAAGCTGTACAAAGGATGGGGCTCCCCGGATCTCCCAAAGATCCTTGCACAGACGGTACTCCTCCCCAGACATCCCCCCTCCCCCTGCCCAGGTATAAGAGCATGCACAAGGCTGGAATGATCGTACCCTGGCTGAGGCTCCACACACTGCCCCTGCCCGCAGTGGCCACCGCGGCTGGTAGAGGAAGGTCACATCAGGGCAAACCATGGCGCCAGGCAGCCTCCCATTGGCCCGGGCTGAGCTGACAGATTTCTCATTCTGTTTATTTATCCCCCACCCCAGTCTGAGAGGGGGATGGAGAAACCTTTGACTGGCCCCCTTCCAAGCCCAGACCTTAACCCTTATGGGGCCATGGCCCTTCCCCACCTGATCGCGCACCCCTCACTTCCTTTCAGCCTCCTCCACCACAGTCCTGCCTCAGTTTCTCCTTGACAGGTTCACCCTCCCACATCGTCCAGCTGCCTTCAGGTCTCAGCCCAGAAAGTCTGGTTCCAGGTCCAGGAGAGTGGATGTCTCCAGGACCACTCCCCCGACCCCCAACCCCACCAAAGGTTAGAGGGGCCAGCTGTAGTCTACACCTAACCTCTCCCAAAGGAAGTCTTCTCCCAGAGTGGGGATGGAGAGACACGTGCAGGGGAGAGAATGGGAGTTCATTGCAATCTAGTAATCATACCTCCATGGGGTTGGGGGGGGCCAGTCAGCTCTGTTGATGGCCCTCCTGTGCCGCCCGCCCCCCTGCCGGCCAGCCCTTCTTACAGAAAAGAGGCAAGGGGGGCCGGGCACAGTGGCTCAAGCCTGTAATCCCAGCACTTTGGGAGGCCGAGGCAGGAGAATCGCTTGAGGCCAGGAGTTCAAGACCAGTCTGGGCAACACAGCGAGACACTGTCTCTACAAAAATAAAATTAAAAAAAAAATTAGCTGGGTGTGGTGGTGAGCGCCTATAGTCCCAGCTACTTGGGAGGCTGAAGCAAAAGGATCCGTTGAGCCCAGGAGTTCAAGGCTACAATGAGCTATGATGGTGCCACTGTACTCCAGCCTGTGCAACAGACAGAGACTTCATCTCTAAAAAAAAGAGCGTATTGGGGAAAGAGTTCCTCTCTTAGAAAAAGAGGCGGAAGGGGTTGGGGAGGGACTTGCTTTGGAATATGCAACATTCACATTTATTCATTCACTCATTCATCCACTCATAGACGTGTATGAGCCTCGTCTCCCATCCAGACCAGAGCAACCCTTGAGGCAGGGACTATTCTCTTTAGAAGGGTGGGCCCAGGGTAGAGTTCTCCCCAGCTGTATCTTCGAACCTTCTTCCTGGTCCCAGGAATGCCTATCATCATCTCAGATTCTTCCCAGCAGGCCAATGAAGTGAATACTGCCCTTTCCACAGATGGGCAACCGAGGCCCAGATGGGGCCTGCCCTTGCCCAAGGTGGTACCGCCTGTAAGAGGCAGGGCTGGGGCCAGGCGTGGTGGCTCACACCTGTAATCACAGCATTTTGGGAGGCCGAGGCGGGCGGATCACGAGGTCAGGAGTTCGAGACCAGCCTGACCAACATGGTGAAATCTCTTCTCTACTAAAAACACAAAAATTAGCCGGGCGTGGTGGCACGCGCCTATAATCCCAGCTACTCAGGAAGCTAAAGCATGAGAATCACTTGAACCCGGGAGGCGGAGGTTGCAGTGAGCCGAGATTGTGCCACTGCACTCCAGCCTGGGCCACAGAGCGAGACTCCGTCTCAAAAAAAAAGAAAAAAGAAAAAAAAAAGGCAGAGCTGGAATTCTTTCTGTGCGAGGCCTTTCCCCCCGTCTCTTCTCCAGGACCGGCCAGCTGTCCTGCTCGCTGAATTTCCTGCAGCCACCAGCAGGGGGCAGCAGAGTCCAGCGCCCTCCCAGCTGTGGAGGCCGGCGGGACTGATCTCAGCTCTCAGCGCAGTCTCCTCCCCCTCCTCCCCGCCACCTCCCACTCCACGGTAGCTGAGGACTCTGCCTGGACACCCCAGGCTGGAGCCTCCACTGCTCAAATGCAGAGTCCCCAGAAGGAAGGGCCCCTTCTTAAATAAAGCCCCCTAGAAGTGCCGTCCACACAAATGTCCAACTCACTCGGTGTTTCTCTACGTCTAACTCTCCTTCTTGCTGCAACGCATTTGCCGGGGCGGGCGGCCTCTGCATTCCTGAACTGGGTCAGACCAGGAGAGAGGATTCCTGGATCCTGGCCCAGTGGCCAATCCGCCCTGGGCTTCTCACCCCCCAGACTCCTCTGAAGATCCCCAGAGCCCAGCACAGGATGGGAGGAGCGGTGGGGGAAGCCCCAGCGCCCCAGACGCCTTAGGGCGTGGGAACTGCCCTCCCCCCTACACACCCCCGGTCCCCAGTTCCTGGGGCCCCTGCCAGTGCTGACTCATAGGGGGAGCCCAGGGCTGCGACACAGCAGCAGCTCTTCCTGAACCTCTCCCTGGGAGATTTCACCTCCTGTCCCCTTGGGGGTCTCCGTGGGGACCCAAGGTGGGTGTAAGAGCCAGGCAGCCCTTCTCAACTCCATCAGCCCGGAACTCCAGCCCCCGAAGTCCCCCAAGGCTGTGGCCATTGGACACTGGGTGGATGTGTCAGGCCGTGGGGGTCTTCGGAGGTGCCCCTGTATACTCAGATGTGGGTGTAGTTTGCACACTCAGGCATCGACCGAGAGAAAGCCCCGAGGAGGCAAAGCCTAGGCCATGTGGGTGCTTTCCTCCGCACCCCACCAGAGTCTGGGCAGGGACACTTCAGGGCCAGAACGAAGCCCTGGGCTCAGAGCTCATTTCCTCAACTGCAAACGGTCTCCCGCCATCTTCCCGGTCTCCGGAAATGGCAGCTCCATCCTCCCAGCTGCTCAGACAAAAACTTTTATTAACAGATGCAACCCATTAACAATTTTGCTTACTGTCCTTTTTTTTTTTTTCTTCTGAAACAGGGTCTGGCTCTATCGCCCAGGCTGGAGTACAGTGGCACGATCTCTGCTCACTGTATCCTCCGCCTCCCGGATTCAAGCCATCCTCCCATTTCTTTCAGCCTCCCAAATAGTTGGGGCAACAGGCACCTGCCACCACGCCTGGCTGATTTTTTTGTATTTTTAGTAGAGATAGGTCTTGCTATGTTGCCCAGGCTGGTCTCGAACTCCTAGACTCAAGCAATCCACCCGTCTTGGCCTCTTAAAGTGCTGGGATTACAGGCATGAGCCACTGCTCCCAGGCTAGTTACTGTCCCTTCTAATGCATCCAGAATCCTGACTTCTCCAAGGCCCACCCTGGTCCGGCTTCCATCATCTCTCCCCAGAATTGCTCCAGTTGCCACCTCTCTGCACACCTTGCAGCCCCCGACAGTCTGTCCCCATCCCCCTAATCCCCTCCCCACCACAGCAGCCGGGGCGGGGCGCCTGTGAGCACCCAAGTCAGGTCCAGTCCCTCCTCTGCTCAGAACCCTCAATGGCTCCCACCTTATTCAGAGCAAAAGCCAAAGTCCTCCCCAGGACCCAGAAGGCTTTGCACAGTCTCCTGTCTCCTCTCTGCCTCACCCTCTCCACTCCCTCCCTCATTCACCCCATTCCAGACCTCCTCAGCTGGGATTACAGGCAACCACCACGACACCCAGCTAATTTTTTTTGTATTTTTAGTAGAGACAGGGTTTCACCATGTTACCCAGGCTGGTCTCAAACTCCTGAGCTCAGGCAATCCGCCCACCTCAGCCTCCCAAAGTGCTGGAATTACAGATGGAGCCCGGCCGACTCCCCTATTTCAAAATTGCACCCACCTTGCTTTCTCCTCTATTTATTTCTCACAACCCTGTCACCTTTTTTTTTTTTTTTTTTTTTTTTTGAGATGGAGTCTCGCTGTCGCCCAGGCTGAAGTGCAATGGCGCGATCTCGGCTCACTGCAACCTCCGCTCCCGGGTTCAAGCCATTCTCCTGCCTCAGCCTCCCAAGTCGCTGGGATTACAGGTGCCACCACCATGCCCGGCTAATTTTTTGTATTTTTAGTAGAGACGGGGTTTCACTATGTTGGCCAGGCTGGTCTCAAACTCTTGACCTCGTGATCCGCCTGCCTCGGCCTCCCAAAGTGCTGGGATTACAGGCGTGAGCCACCGCGCCTGGCCCTGTCACCTTTCAACACACTACATGTTTTACTACACATCTTGTTTCTTGTCTGTCTCCTGTACTTGATTGTCAGCTCTGCCAGCACAATAGCTGTTGTCTTTTTTTTTTTTTTTTTTTTTTTTGGAGAGATGGGGGTGGGTCTCACTTTGTTGCCCAGGGCAGTCTCGAACTCCTGGGCTCAAGCGATCCTCCTGCCTCAGTCTCCCAAAGTGCTGGGATGACAGGTATGAGCCACCGTGCCCAGCCTACAACGTTTGTCTTCATCACTGCTGGAGAACTTAAAAAAGGCCCTTAGTCAATATCTAGTGAATTAATGCATTAATAATCACTATGTTCCTGGCATGCATGTGGGGTGAGATGATGGGAAGTGGGGGAGGGACAAAACAGACTAGGAGCTTGCCTGCCACCATCTGGCAGGGGGCTAGTCATGTAGCTAGCCAATTACAATGAAGAGTTTTCAGTGCTGAGAGTCAAGGCCCAGCCTGGAAGATGAAAGTGCAATCTGGGAAGGCTTTTGAGGAGGTGACGTCTTATAGGTCCTTGATCAGTAAGGAGTTTGGATTTAAGTATGATGAGAAGGCTTAGGGATTTTTGTTTGTTTGATTTGTTTTTTAGAAACGGGATCTTGCTGTGTTGCCCAGGCTGGAGTTCAGTAGCACACTCCTAGCCCATTGAGGCCTCAACCTGGGTTTCGGCAATTCTCCTGCCCCAGCCTCCCAACTAGCTGGGACTACTGGCACACACCACCACACCTGGCTAATTTTTAAATTTTTTTGTAGTGACAGTGTCTCACTATGTTGCTCAGGCTGGTCTCAAACTACTGGGCTCAAATGATCCACCCTCCTCAGCCTCCCAAAGTCTTGGGATTACAAGCATGAGCCACCATGCCCAATCAAGGGTTTTATTATTTTATTTTATTTTGTTTTGTTTTTTGAGACGGAGTCTCACTCTGTTGCCCAGGCTGGAGTGCAGTGGCATGATCTCGGCTTATTGCAATCATCTCTCCCAGGTTTAAGCGATTCTCGTGCCTCAGCCTCCAGAGTAGCTGGGATTACAGGCGCCCGCCACCATGCTCAGCTAATTTTTGTATTTTTAGTAGAAATGGGGTTTTGCCATGTTGGCTAGGCTGGTCTCAAACTCTTGACCTCAAGTGATCCGCTCGCCTTGGCCTCCCGAAGTGCTGGGATTATAGGTATGAGCCACCGCACCCGGCCTCTACAAAAATTTTAAAAATTAGCTGGGCGTGGTGGTGTACGCTTGTGGTCCCAGCTATTCAGAGGCAGAAGTGAGAGGACTGGTTGAGCTCCAGAGGTGGAGGCTGCAGTGAGCCATGATCACACCACTGCATTCCACCCTGTCTAGAAAAAAAAAATTGTTTTTTTCAATAAAGATAGGATCCAACAGAGCTGGGATTAGGGATAGGTGAGTGACATGAGTCACACAAGGGCAGGACTCGGGCCTGTCTGGACTGCATTTTCCAATGACGTTACTACTGGTCACGTGGCTACTGAGCACCTGAAATACAGCTATTCTTCGAAGTAATGGCAGCCGGGTGCAGTGGCTCACGCCTGTAATCCCAGCACTTTGGGAGGCCGAGGAGGGTGGATACCTGAGGTCAGGAGTTTGAGACCAGCCTGGCCATCATGGTGCAACCCCGTCTCTACTAAAAACACAAAAATTAGCCAGGTGTGGTGGTGCATGCCTGTAATCCCAGCTACTCGGGAGGCTGAGGCAGGAGAATCGCTTGAACCCGGGAGGCAGAGGTTGCAGTGAACCGAGACTGTGCCACTGCACTCCAGCCTGGCAACAGAGCAAGACTCTTCCTCAAAAAAAAAAAAAAAAAAAAAAAAAGCAGGCGCGGTGGCTTATGCCTGTAATCCCAGCACTTTGGGAGGCTGAGGCGGGTGGATCACAAGGTCAGGAGATCGAGACCATCCTAACACGGTGAAACCCCGTCTCTACTAAAAATACAAAAAAAATAGCCAGGTGTAGTGGCGGGTGCCTGTAGTCCCAGCTACTCGGGAGGCTGAGGCAGGAGAATGGCGTGAACCTGGGAGGCGGAGCTTGCATTAGCTGAGATCGCACCACTGCACTCCAGCCTGGGGGACAGGGTGAGACTCCGTCTCAAAAAAAAAAAAAAAGAAAAGAAAGAAAGAAAGTAATGATGGCAAGAACCACAATTACTTTGCACCAACCTAACAGTTTGAATTGAGATGTTATAAGTATAAAATCCACATCAGATTTTTGAAGACAGTACCAAAAAACTGAAATATCTCATTCATAATATTTACCTTGATTATATGTTAAAAGGATACTATTTTGGATATACTCAGTTAAATAAAATCTTATTAAAATTAATTTTGTAGCCAAGTGTAGTAACTCACACCTGTAATCCCAGCACTTTGGGAGGCCGAGGCGGGTGGATCACCTGAGGTCAGGAGTTCAAGACCAGCCTGGCCAACATGGTGAAACTCCGTCTCTACTAAAAATACAAAAATTAGCCAGGTGTGGTGGCAGGCACCTGCAATCCCAGCTACTTGGAGGCTGAGGCAGGAAAATCACTTGAACCCAGGAAGTGGAGGTTGCAATGAGCTGAGACCATGCCACTGCACTCCAGCCTGGGCAACAGGACAAGACTCCGTCTCAAATTAAAAAAAAAAATAATTCTGGCAGGCTCACTGGCTCATGCCTGTAATCCCAGCACTTTAGGAGGCTGAGGCAGGCAGATCACTTGAGGTCAGGAGTTCAAAACCAGCCTGGCCAACATGGCGAAACCCCGTCTCTACTAAAAATATAAAATTGGCTGGGCATGGTGACATACACCTGTAATCCTGACTGCTTGGGAGGCTGAGGCAGGAGAATCACTTAAACCCGGGAGGCAGAGGTTGCAGTGAGCCAAGATCGTGCCACTGCGCTCCAGCCTGGGCAACAGAGCAAGACTCCGTCTCAAAAAAAAAAAATTAATTTTGGCAGGCTCACTAGTTTATGCCCGCAATCCCAGCACTTTGGGAGGCTGAGGCAGGTGGATCACTTGTGGTCAGGAGTTCAAAACCAGCCTGGCCAACATGGCAAAACCCCGTCTCTACTAAAAATATAAAATTGGCTGGGTGTGGTGGCACGCACCTGTAATCCCAACTACTTGGGAAGCTGAGGCAGGAGAATCACTTGAACCTGGGAGGCAGAGGTTACAGTGAGCCGAGATCCTACCACTGCACTCCATTCTGCGTGACAGAGTGATACTGTGTCTCAAAAATAAATAAATAAATGTGAATAAAATAAAATTAATTTCACCTGCTACTTTTTTAAAAAAATGTGGCTACTAAAAAAGTTTTCATTACATATGTGGCTTGCATTTGTGGCTCACAATATATTTCTTTAGACACTGCCTTTATTGCCTTCCCTCCCATTTACTTATCAGGCGGCTGCCTGATCACACTACTGATATCAGACTTCAGAGTCAGGCCAAGTTCTCAGCTGTAGCTGTCCTTGAGCTCCGTGTAGTATCTGTCACCTTTGCCTGGTTCCTCCTTGGCCTTGGGACACTAGATCCTCCTGACATCCCTTCTCTGTCTCAGTCTTCTTTGTGAGACAGCATCTGCTTCTCAAATACTTTGTTCCTGGGACATAGCTTTGGTCTATTTTATTTTCATTTTTATTTTATATTTATTTATTTATTTATTTATTTTTGAGACAGAGTCTCACTGTGTCGCCCAGGCTGGAGTGCAGTGGCGTGATCTCGGCTCACTGCAACCTCTGCCTCCCGGGTTCAAGAGATTCTCCTGCCTCAGCCTCCGGAGTAGCTGGGATTACAGGCACGTGCCACCACGCCCAGCTTTTTTTTTTTTTTTTTTTTTTTTTGAGACGAAGTCTTGCTCTGTTGCCCAGGCTGGAGTGCAATGGTGCAATCTCGGCTCACTGCAACCTGGGCCTCCCACGTTCAAGCGATTCTCCTGCCTCAGCCTCCCAAGTAGCTGGTATTAAAGGTGCCCGCCACCATGCCTGGCTAATTTTTGTATTTTTAGTAGAGACAGGTTTCACCATGTTGGCCCGGCTGGTCTTGAACTACTGAGCTCAAGTCATCCACCTGCCTCAGCCTCCTAAAGTGTTGGGATCACAGGCATGAGCCACCCCGCCCAGCCTCATTTTTATTTTAGAAACGAGGTCTCGTCATTTTAGAAACAAAGTCTCACTCTGTTGCCCAGGCTGGAGTACAGTAAAAGAATCCTAGCCCATTGCAGCCTCGACCTCCTGGGCTCAAGTGATCCTCTTGCCCCAGTGTCCTGAGTAGCTGGGACTACAGGCGAGGACCACCATGCCCAGCTAATTTTTGTAATTTTTGTAGGGATAGGGTTTCACTACATTGCCCAGGCTGGTCTCAAGCTCCTGAGGTGAAGTGATCCTCCCACCTCAGCCTCCCAAAGTACTGGGATTACAGGCATGGGCCACCACACCCAGCCCGTATCACATATTATTTGGCAATAAAAAGGAATAAGGTACTCACGCTTGTTACACTTGTTATAACATGGATGAACTCTGTTGACAGCATTTATACTCAGAGACAAAAAGTAGACCAGGGTTGCCAGAGGCTGAGAATGTTGGGGGGTGAAATAGAAAGTGATTTCTTTTCTCTTCTCTTTTCCTTTTCTTTCCTTTCCTTCCTTTCTTTCCTTTCTTTTTTTGAGACAGAGTCTCGCTCTGTCACCCAGGATGGAGTGCAGTGGCATGATCTCGGCTCACTGCAACCTCTGCCTCCCGGGTTCAAGTGATTCTCCCAACTCAGCCTCCCGAATAGCTGGGACTACAGGCATGTGCCACCATACCTGACTAATTTTTGTATTGTTAGTAGAGACGGGGTTTCACCGTGTTGGCCAGGCTGGTCTCGAACTCCTGACCTCAGGTGATCCACCTGCCTTGGCCTCCCAAAGTGCTGGGGTTACAGGCGTGAGCCACCACACCCGGCCAGAAAATGATTTCTAATGGGCTTGAGATTTCTTTTGCGGGTGATGGAAATGTTCTAAAGTTGGGCAGGGCGTGGTCACTCATGCTGTAATCCCAGCACTTTGGAAGGCCGATGTGGGAGGACTGCTTGAGCCCAGGTGTTTGAGAACAGCCTGAGCAACATAGCAACGCCCTGTCTTTAAAAAAAAAAAAAAAAAAAAATGGCCAGGCGCGGTGGCTCACGCCTGTAATCTTGCGGATCACGAGGTCAGGAGATTGAGACCATCCTGGCTAACACGGTGAAACCCCGTCTCCACTAAAAATACAAAAAATTAGCCAGGCGTGGTAACGGGCGCCTGTAGTCCCAGCTACTCGGAAGGCTGAGGCAGGAGAATGGCGTGAACCCGGGAGGCGGAGCTTGCAGTGAGCAGAGATGGCGCCACTGCACTGCAGCCTGGGCGACAGAGGTAGACTCCGTCTCAAAAAAAAAAAAAAAAAAAAAAAAAAAATTAGCTGGGCGTGGTGGCGGGCGCCTGCAGTCTCAGCTATTCCAAAGGCTGAGGTGGGAGGATTGCTTGAGCCCGGGAGGCAGTGGTTGCAATGAGCCAGGATGCCGCCACTGCACTCCACTCTGGGCTACACAGTAAGATCCTGCCTCAGCGAAAAAAAAGGCCGGGCGTAGTGGCTCCTGCCTCTAATCCCAGAATTTTGGAAGGCTGATGCAGGCGGATTGCCTGAGCTCAGGAGTTGGAGACTAGGCTGGGCAACACGGTGAAACCTCATCTCTACTAAAATACAAAAAATTAGCTGGTGTGGACCAGGCACAGTGGCTCACGCCTGTAATCCCAGCACTTCCGGAGGCCAAGGCGGGCAGATTACTAGGTCAGGAGTTCGAGACCAGTCTGGCCAACATGGTGAAACCCTGTCTCTACTAAAAATACAAAAATTAGCTGGGCGTGGTGGTGCTCGCCTGTAATCCCAGCTACTTGGGAGGCTGAGGCAGGAGAATCGCTTGAACCTGGGAGGCGGAGGTTGCAGTGAGCCGAGATCACACCACTGCACTCCTGCCTGGGTGACAGAGTGAGACTCTGTCTCCAAAAAAAAAGGAATGTTCTAAAATTTATTGTGGTGATGGTTGCATAAGTCTATGAATATTCTAAACACATTTGACTGTATACAGTCGTCCCCCTTATCTGCAGTTTCGATTTCCTCGGTTTCAGTTATCCTTGGTCAACTTTGGTCCAAAAATATTAAATGGAAAATTCCAGAGGCTGGGCGAGGTGGCTCACGCCTTTAATCCCAGCATTTTGGGGGGCCGAGGCAGGCGGATCACCTGACGTCAGGAGTTCGAGACCAGCCTGGCCAACATGGTGAAACCCCGCCTCTACTAAAAATACAAAAATTAACCGGGCGTGGTGGCACGCGCCTGTAATCCCAGCTACTCGGGAGGCTGAGGCAGGTGAATGGCCTGAACACGGTAGGCAGAGGTTGCAATGAGCAGAGATCACACCACTGCACTCCAGCCTGGGTGACAGAGCGAGACTCGGTCTCAGAAAAAAAAAAAAGAAAGAAAATTCCAGAAATAAAACAAGTCATACCTTCACATTCCAGGCCGTTCTGAGTAGTGTGATGAAATCTCCCACAGTCCTGGGATGTGAATCATCCCTTTACCCAGCTTATCCATGCTGTCTGTATAGGCTACCAGTCTGTTAGTCCCTTTATAGCCATCTCAGTCAACAAATAGAAAAAGCAAAGTGGTCAGCCGAGGTGGCTCATGCCTGTAATACCAGCACTTTGGGAGACCAATGCAGGAGGAGGATTGGTTGAGACCAGGAATTCAAGACCAGCCTGGGAAACATAGTAAGACCCTGTCTCTAAAAAAAAATAAAATAAAATAAAATAAAATAAATGTGTATAAATAAGCTGGGTGTGCTTGCACATGCCTGTAGTCCTAGCTACTTGGGAGGCTGAGGCAGGAGGCTCACTTAAGGCCAGGAGTTGGAGACCAGTCTAGGCAACACAGCAAGACCCTCACGCCCCGACCCCCACAAGATAAATAAATTAGCCAGGTGTGGTGGTGCTCACCTGTAGTTCCAGCTACTCTGGAGGTTGAGGTAGAAGGATCCTTTGAGCCCCGGAGCTTGAGATGGCAGTGGTGAGACCTTGTCTTAAAAAATTTTGATCCTGGGCTGGGCGTGGTGGCTCACGCCTGTAATCCCAGCACTTTGGGAGGCCGAGGCAGGTGGATCACCAGGTCAGGAGATCGAGACCATCCTAGCTAACATGGCGAAACCCCGTCTCTACTTAAAAAATACAAAAAATTAGCCAGGCATGGTGGCACACGCCTGTAGTCTCAGCTACTTCAGAGGCTGAGGCAGGAGAATCGCTTTAACCTGGGAGGTGGAGGCTGCAGTGAGCCGAGATCGCGCCACTGCACTCCAGCCTGGGTGACAGAGACTCCATCTCAATAAATAAATAAATATTAAATAATAATAATTTTTTTTTATCTTAAAGCTGGGTGTGGACATATTTGCCTGTATTCCCAGCTACTCGGGAGGATCCCTTAAACCCAGGAGTTTGAGGCCAGCCAGGGCAACATGGAGACACCCCTATCTCTAAAAAATAAACAAACAGGTCAGGGCCCAGGGGCTCATGCCTGTAATCCCAGCACTTTAGGAGGCTAAGGTGGGCGGAACTCTTGAGGGCAGGAATTCGAGTCAGGAATTCCAGACCCGCCTGGGCAACACAGCATAACCCTGTCTCTACAAAAAAAAAAAAAAAAATACAAAAATTAGCTGGGTGTGGTCGCTCTCACCTGTGGTCCCAGCTACTTGGGAGGCTGAGGTGGGAGGCTCAGCTGAGTTCAGGAGGTCGAGGCTGCAGTAAGACGTGATTGTGCCACTGCACTCCAGCCTGGGCGACACAATGAGACCCTGTCTCAATACATAAATAAATACAAATTGGCCAGGCGCAGTAGCTCACGCCTTTAATCCCAGCACTTTGGGAGGCCAAGGCAGGCGGATCACCTGAGGTCAGGAGTTCGAGACTGCCCTGGCCAACATGGTGAAACCCCATCTCTACTAAAACTACAAAAATTAGTTGGGCATGGTGGCGTGTGCTCGTAGTCCCAGCTACTTGGGAGGCTGAAGCAGGAGAATCGCTTGAACCTGGGAGGCAGAGGTTGCAGTGAGCCGAGATTGTGCTACTGCACTCCAGCCTGGGTGACAGGGTGAGACTCAGTCTCAAAAAAAAAAGTAAATAAATATAAATAAATAAATAATAAAATTAAAAAAAAAAATCTCAATTCTTCCGCTAGTAGAGTGCCTCCCTGGAATCCCATCCAGCTTGCTGTCCTTCTCACTCCAAGTTTAAGAAGGATAGAAAGGTGGGGGAGACTGTTTCGGGGCAGGCAAGGAGGGGAGGCCTAGGCAGGAGGTGTGGTGAAACCCACCATATGTGCCCTCAAGCACCCTCTTTCTCTGCCAGAGGCCACAGGCTTGGAAGAACCATGTCTCTTCCCAGGTTTCCTTCTCAGCCTGACTCGAAGCGTCCTGGCCTGCCCGCCCCACCAGACAGTCTGACTCAATTTGCCCGCTGTGTGCGTGGGCCCTGCGCGTGTGACCCTCCACCATTCCAGTGACTCAGGCAGCCTGGAAGCCCCCTCCCCGGGGGACACCCAGCTTCCTATGGTGACTTTTCACAGACATGGCTGAAACTGGCTGGCGCCTCCCAGACCCAGGCCGGGCTCCTGGGGGCAGCCCAGCAGGGCCTCGGCCCCACAGCCCACCCCTAGAGAGGGCCTAGGGGGTGGGAGTAGGGGGTGGGGAACTCTTCTCAAAGGGCCTTTGTGGGAGCAGCTGGGGGGGCTAACGGGGGACCCCGCCCTGTGTGACTCAAGCCTCATTGCTGGGCGGTGACTCACCCCCAGGCCCCCCTTCTGCCTGCCCGCAGCAGGTGCTGTGAGCCAGCTTCGGGATAGGGGCCTCTGCAGCCATGGTCATGCCACCCTGCCCTGGACCTGTGACTTGCCACCCACTTCTAGGGGTTCCAGTCTTGCCCTCACCTCCTTGCCCTCCTGAGCTCGGACCACAGAGAAAACCTCCTACATCCCGTCCCTCCGTGGGGCAGCAGACATGGTACTGAAATGTGCCACGCATTGTCTCACTATGAATTCACGGGATTCTCAAACCACCCGAGAGGCAGGGTGTTTGTTCTTGCTACTGCCCTGTAACAGATGCGGAAATTGATTCTCCGTGAGGTTGCAGAGTTTAACACAGGAGATTCACGTGCAGAATCTGGGTGTCCCAAACTTGCTGCCCCGCAGTGTCACTGCGTGATCATCTCAGCTGCTTTAAATGCCAGTGGTGGGTTACTGCACCCTCCAGTGTCGCTTCTTTTACTGACGGGTAAACTGAGGCAAGGAGCCTTGAAGTCACAGATCAAGAGTCAAGAGTAAGAGGCAGGGCTGGGATTCGAACCGAGTCCGAGAGCCCGGGACCTGCTCCGCCGCTTCCCCACGGGCCTCCGGCGCCCACTTGGGGGCTAAGGCGCCCCCGCCGCCGGGCCCCTCCGGACGCCGAGGCCAGCCGAGATCGGGCCGCCGGCCAGGCTGCTGGGCGCCGCGCCCGTCCGCATCACGCCGCGGTGAGTCACCGCGCGCCGGCCCCGGCCCCGCCCCCCGCGCCAACAAACAGCGCGTTGCTCGGCAACCGCCACCGCCCTCCAGCGCGGACCTGGGTTCGAGCCTCAGGCCGGGGTGCGCGCTAAGAGGGATTTTGGGACTCCGTAGTCTTCCCTAGATTAGGGGTTCAGATCAGGCCTGTAATCCTGGTGGGCACGGAGGTGATGGTGAAGGAGACAGCTGTGGTCCAATGAAGGTGGGGAGGGCTGAGGGTGGCTCTCTCCAATCCAGACCCACCGGGGCTCCCCAGAAGTGGGCGGTCAGGTCAGGAGATGGCGGCTGGGCCAGAGTTGCAGCTGAGAGGTCGAGGCCATTTTCCTAAGGGATTTGGGGAGCTGGCCTGGCGGGAGCTGTCAGGAGCGCTGTGATGAGGGCTTTTTTGCATCCTCCCCACCCCTGCCGACCTCCCAAACTAGCTAACACTTAATGAGCACGTTCTATGTTCTAAGCCTGTTCTATGCATGTGTGGGCCTATGTGTATTAACTCATGTAATGTTCACCATGAAGTCGGGCGCGGCGGCTCACGCCTATAATCCCAGCACTTTAGGAAGCCGAAGCCCGTGGATCACTTGATGTCAGGAGTTCAAGACCAGCCTGGGCAAAATGGTGAAACCCCGTCTGTACTAAAAATACAAAAATTAGCCGAGCGTGATGGCCAGCACCTCTAATCCCAGCTACTTGGGAGACCGAGGCAGGAGAATCGCTTGAACCCGGGAGGCAGAGGTTGCAGTGGGCCAAGATCGTGCCACTGCACTCCAGCCTGGGTGACAAGAGTGAAACTCCGTCTCAAAAAATAATAATAATAAAAATTAAAAATAGTGTTCACCATGGCCCTCTGACGTTTCATTGACATTCTCATTTTACAGATGGGGAAACTGAGTCAACAGAGGGTCAATGTCCTTTGCCAGAGGATGCACAGCCAAGCTGGCATCCGGGCTCCCAAACCTGTCTCAGGAGGGTGCATGCCTGGCCTTGGCAGGGCCATATCTGTGGGAGTCTTCAGGCGTTGTGGGGATAGGTGCCAAGGCTACATTGAAGTGTGGGTAGGTTATGCAAGTGGGGGATGGCGCCTGGTGGGCTCCTTGGGGGCTGTCGACACATGATACTGAAGGCTGTGCACTACAGAGGTTGCACCAGCACCCCCCTAGACTTCCCATGCCATCTGAGTGCAGGGAGAGAGTTTCCCAGCACCAGCTTCAGATGGCCTGAACTCCGGGCTCCCTGGCACCCCAATAGTCACCACTGAGCCGCCCACAGGACCCTTAAGGGAGCTGCCTGAGGGGCCTTCCGGAGCCCCAGATCCTATGGGGCGGGGAGAAGAGTAGATACTAGCATCTCAGACACGGAGATGGACCAGCTGCCTGGGAAGTGACCAGCTTTGAGTCCTGTAAGAAATGTCCATTTGGCTCACATGACCAAGTCAATCACTCAAATGGTTGAGTTGGGGAGATGGCTGAGTTACAGGGATCCTGGACAGTCTAAAGCCAAGAAGGTGAGGAGGGCTTCTCGGAGGAGGTGATACCCTGGGAACTGAAGGATGCTCGGGAGTTGGCGAATAACAGGCAGGACCTTCCTGCGGGAGAGGTTGGGACACCAGGAACTTTTCCAAGTGGAAGGTAGAGGGGACACGTGATTGGATTTAACGGGCTGTCTCTGGAGAATGGCTAGAAGGCATAAGGAAAGTCGGAGAGGACCAGGGAGGTGGCTGTTGGAATATATTTAGGCCAGAGATGATGGTGACTTAAGGATACAGTTGGCAGATTTAACAAATAAAAAATACAGGACATCAGTTAAATTTGAATTTCAGATACAGAACAAGTAATTTTTTTTTAGTATAAAACTTTTTTTTTAGTATAGCGATGTCCCCAAAATTGCATGGGACATACTTATACTAAAAAAAGAGATCCGCTGTGTATCTGAAAAATTAAGTTTCACTGGGTGTCCTGTGTCTCATCTGGGAACTGTACTTGGTGGAGGGGGGTGGGTCTCAGGGGCCCCTGGGGAGGGGGAAACGATCATAGCTAACACTCAGGGAATAAATGCACTTTATTTTTCTTTTTTATGTGTTTTCATTTTACTTATTCACTTTTTCGTAGAGATGGGGGTCTCACTATGTTGCCTAGGCTGGTCTCAAACTCCTAAGTTCAAGCGATCCTCCTGCCACAGCCTCCCAAAGTTTTGGGATTATAGAGTGAGTTGACACTCCTAACCCAACAAATGCACTTTGAAGTGAGTACTGCTATCATGCCCATTTTACAGCTAGGTAAACTGAGGCCTGGAGCAGTTTTGCTCTTGTCGTGTGTGTGCGGGGGGGGGGCTTTTTTTTTTTTTTGGTAACTTGTTTATACTGTTAGGTTAGGAAGTGGGTGACCCTCGATTGGAACCCAGGCATGTTGGCTGCAGTCCCTCAACTCTCAGAACTTGAACCCCCTCCCCCACGGGATTGGTGGGGGTGGTTGGACACTATGGTTCCCTGGGTTCCTGGTGACCCAGCTAAGGGCCTTTCTCATGGGATGCGCTTCCCCAGTCCCCCAGCGCAGCCTAGGCTCTGTGGCACCCCTACTTGCCCCCCTCCTGCCAGGACAGCGAGGCACTGGGAGGGACGGGAGGCGGCCTCAGGGGGCCTCCTCTCCCGGCTGAGGCTCGGCCTCGCCCTCCTCCAGGCTGGGAGGATCCGCCGTCTGCGCCGCCGGCAGGGGGAGGGGGCGGGTTATTTTTACCTCCCTCCAGGCAGCCGGGGCGACAGGAAGTGAGCGCGCGGCCCGCCAGATGTGGGGAGCCAGGGAGCTGGGAACAGCCACAGCTGGACTGGCGGCCGGCCGGGAGCGGGGTTAGGGGGGAGGGTGTGTGGAGGGTGGATCCCCAGGCCTCCGGTCCCCTCTTTGTTCCCCGCCGCCCCAGCCTCCCCTCCAAAGACCCCTCGTCCCCATCCCCCGCTCATGTGGGTCGTGGCCTCGCTGTCCCTCATCTGGGCGCCAATCCCCTCGCTGGCTCGAGGGCTCTCAGATCCTGGGCAGGGAGGGGGACCCTGCCCCTCGCCCCAGGGACCCCCAGGTCCCAGCAGAGTCGGGGGTAAGAGGGGGAGACGGCCTCTCGCCGGCCCCGCCTGCCACCGCCATTGTTTACCCGTCGGCTGCCTCCTAGGAAACTTAACCCGCCCGCGGTAATTTTATTTGGGAACTTCGGCCAGTTGCCATAGCAACCCCCAGTGACGTCAGAGGGGCTGGGGCCCGAAATCCCCGGGAAAGTGGGGGGGATGGGATGGGGGGGAGACCCCCAGAAGGGCTCTCCTTAACCCTCTGCGTACCAGATCCCAGCCAGGCAGGGACAGCCAGATGTGACACTTCTTGGGTGCGCCCCCCCAGTTCTGGCCTGGGGCCAGGTCAGGGTGGCAGGCCAGGCCTTGATGTCATCGGGAGCTGGGTGGGTGGTGAGTCATTCCTGAGGTGGGGGCTGGGCCAGGCCTGGGGTCTATTCCTGTCTGACCTGCCCCACCAGTGCCCTTGAGCAATACTGGGACCCTTCCCCGGGGATTTCAGGCACCTGGCTGGGAGTCCCCACAGATCCCTGGGACCTCTCTGCCCTTCTGAACCATTATGTAGGTAGACAAAGTCTTTCCTGGTGCTCCAGACACCAGGCAATTGAGTTTGTCACGGTGAGCTGGGGCCACCGTGTAATGTCCTTCTCCGGATGTGGGGAGTGGCTGGTGCCCTGGTGAGGGGGCAGGGATGTGGTGGGATCCCGGCTCAGTCCATAACACAGCTGGTCGCCAGGGCAACAGGAGGCAGGGGCCCTGACTGGCATGGGGGTCACTGCCGCCAGCCGGGGGCTGGGCTGGGAGGAGCCACTCTAACCGCAGTGACGTGGGACTTCCTCGGCAGGGCCTGTTTGATGTCTCTGTGTGTGGCGTTGCCATGGGGCCCAGCAGGCAGCCCTGCATGTGAGCTGGGGTGACCTGTGGGCCGGCTGGGCCTGTCAGGGTCCCTTGATCCAGGTGTACCTGGTGTATCACTTACCCTCTTTCTACCTGCGATCAGCACATCACACGTCTCACCTCAAAGCCTGGTAACAACTGCAAATTGCGCATTTTCAGCCCCATTTTTCAGCCGACAAAACTGAGGCTTAGGAAGTGTAATCGCCTGGCCCCAAAGCCATCCCAAAGACATCCAGCTAGAAAGCTGGGGTGTAGGGCCTGGCGCTGTGGCTCACACCTGTCATCCCAGCACTTTGGGAGGCTGAGGCGGGCGGATCACTTGAAGTCAGGAGTTCAAGATCAGCCTGGCCAATATGGTGAAACCCTGTCTCTACTAAAAATAGAAAAATTAGCCGAGCATGGTGGTGCACGCCTGTAATCCCAGCTACTTGGGAGGCTGAGGCAGGAGAATCGCTTGAACTGGGGAGGCAGAGGTTTCAGTGAGCCAAGATTGTGACAATGCACTCCAGCCTGGGCGACAGAGTGAGACTCCTTCTCAAACAAAACAAAACAAAACAAATCTTTGTTCTTCTTCCATTCCACTCCTCTCTCTGCCTCCATGAAACCGGTCTGCTTTGCTGGTTTTCCAATGTTCCAGGCACCGTCCTACCGCAAAGCCTGTGCACTGGCCGTTCTCTACCTGGAACTCTCTTCCTCTCGATGTCTTCCTGGCTTTTCCCTCAGTGCCTAAAAGTCTTTGTTCAAAGTCACCTCCTCCTCAGGGAGGACTTTCCTGACCTAACCTCCACTCATTTCATCTCTCATCTCTCTTGCCTTTTTCTAGATTACCCATAGACTTTCCACCCAACACATTTTATATATATATATATATATATATATAATATAATTTAAAACAATATATATATAATTTTTAAACATATAGACACATAATTTTAAAATATATATAGATATATAATTTTTAAATATATAGATATGTAATTTTTAAAAATATATATAGATATATAATTTTTTTTTGAGACAGGGTTTCCCTGTGTCGCTCAGGCTGGAGTCCAGTGGAGCAATCTTGGCTCACTACAACCTCCGCCTCCTGGTTCAAATGATTCTCCTGCCTCAGCCTCCCGAGTAGCTGGGTACAGGCGTGCGCCACCATGCCCGGCTAATTGTTGTATTTTTAGTAGAGACGGGGTTTCACCATGTTGGCCAGGCTTGTCTCGAACTCCCGACCTCAAGTGATCAGGCTGCCTCAGCCTCCCAAAGTGCTGGGAAGACAGGCATGAGCCACCGCTCCTGGCCACATTATATATCTTTATACCTATCTATCTGCTTATCATGTTTGTTTCTCCCATAGATGCTGGTCCCAAAAGTACAGGGATTTTTTTTTCTGTTTTGTTCTCTTCTGTGTCCCCAAATGCCCGGAACAGAGCCTGACATACATACAGCAGGCACTCAATGTTTGTAGAATGAACAAAAGGGTGTGTGGTGTGTGTGTGTGTGTGTGTGTGTGTGTGTGTGTGTGCCATGCCATTTGACCACTTGACCTGGTCTCACCTTCGCCCTGTCCCTTCATCACTCCCTCACCTGCTGTCCCCTGGGTAAACCGGCAGGCTCAGGACCGGGGCCTGTGGAAGTAAATGTCAAGGGACCCAGAGGGAGAGGTGGGGGTTCTGGGAGGACCCTCCAAGCCTGGGCTGAGGGATACTAGTGAGCCGGGGTGTGGTCCAAGCCACAGGCAACAGAACAGCGAAAATTAGATAAAAAAAAAATCTGGGGGAAGAGGTATCCCCAGAGGCCAGCATGGAGGAGGTGTTCTCCCTGAATGTGAATTGGACTGATGACGGGACAGGCAATGTCTGGATGGAAGGCCTTATTATGGGGTGAAGGGAATTCTGGAGGGGCAATATGGATGGGGATGCGGTAGAGATCCGAGTTTTGTTTGTCATTGTAATTTGGTCACTTTCTACTTTTGCAATGACAAGTTTGTCTGTGTGCGTGTGTCCCTTACAGGGAGACCCCCACCCCCACCCCAGGCCCGCCCTGGAAATGCCATTCTTGTGTGTAGCTGCTCAGAAGGCCATGTGGTAAGTTGCTCCCACCTTCTGCGCCCCACCCTGAGTTGGGGAATTCTGTGCCACCCCAAATCTTCCCCTGGGGCCCCACTAGGCGGCTCTGCCCCCTCCTGCCCCAACCTGTCAGATCCTGCATCCTGGGCCAGCCTGCCCCTTGGGCCCCACAGGGAAGAAAAGGCCCTGGAGTCCCCAGGGCTGGGCCCCACGGGATGGTAGCTGGGTGTGGCTCCTAACTCCCTCTCCCCAGTTCCACCAGGTAGCAAGGTGAGAGCCAGCTGAGCTGATGAAATGGGGGACCCTGGAGGAATTCTGGGGTGCAAGGTGACACAGAAGCATCCAACTAGTCCCTCCAGTCCCTTGGAGGGCCTGGCCTGCTGCTGGGTACCCCCGCGCCCCCACCCCCAGAGTTACTCAAAAGGGGAGGCTGCTATCTTACCACCCAGGACGTGGATGAAGAATTGGATCCCTAGCCCCAAGGATGACACTTCAAAAATATTGGGGGCTGAGTGGAAAACATCATCCCCCAAAGCAATGCCCACCCAGGTCTGGGAAGGGTCCTGCGGGTTCCAGACCCCCACTGTGACACGATGGTGGTCGTGGGTGGTGGATAGGGGTCCATCGGCCTTTGTCGAGTCCTGGAGAGGGCAGATGGCAGCGGGACATGCCCAAGGAGACTGGCATGGTTGCAGAGGGCACCCCGCCCCTCGATCTCAGAGTTTTGTTCCTGGCCACCCACCTGGGCACTGGGCCAGGCCCCGAGGCAGGGCCTCCTCCTGAGGAACAATGCAGCCGCGTTCCTCCCGGTGGAGGCTGGAGGATGGAGCGGGAAAGACAGGCACACCGGGAAAGAGGGAGGGATCCAGGGAGGGCCTTGCTCCCAGAGCTACTCCGGGAGCCCGGGGAGTTTCCCAGAGGTCCCAGCGGGTGGGGGAGGGTGCCGGGAAGCCTAGGGGGAGGGGACCCAGACCCAGGGGCTGCATGGCCTGGGACCAGAAAGTCTTTTCTATGGCAGCAGGAGAGGGTTAGGTAGGATAAGAGGAGGAACTTCCTAAGGCTGGAGAAGGCGCTGTGGAACTGGAGCAAGTGGGGGTTCCTGTTTGGTGGCATCCCAGGGCAATACCCAGACCCAGGCCCCCCTCCCCGGGAGGGGTCTGCAGTGCCCAGTGTGCCCTGGGTCTGGGACCGAGCCCACCCGCCAAACCGCCCCTCACCAATCTCTATTCCCAGGGGCTCACGGCCTCCTGGGTTGCCTCTCCCTGGGCAGGCGCAGGCCTTAGACCAACAGGGGTTCCAGAGGTGGGATAGGGGGTTAGACCCTTTGCTCCCACCCTACCCCCGCAGACAGAGCCTTGGGCTTAAAACTCGGGACTGGGACTCAAGTTCAGGGTCCAGAGGGGGAAGTTGGGCTGGGTATGGGGCCCAGGCTGATTTCGGGACAAGGAGGGAGAAAGTTGGCCTTGAGTTGGGGGACGGGACAGAGTTGGGGGACAGGACAGAGAAACTGGGGGCGGGCCGGCTCGGGGGCACATGACGGCGACGCCTGCCCCGCCCCGCGCCCGCCCCCTGCCCGGCCCGGGGAGGGGGGGAGGAGACGGGAAGGTTTTAAAAGCGATTCGGCCCCGCGGCTGGCCGGCCAGTGAGTGGGGTGGAGCGCGGCCGGCGGCCGCCCCCGGCCGGTCTCGGGCCCGCAGCCCGCCCGCCTGAGCCTCGGCCGGCCCGGCCCGGGGCGGCGGCCGGAGCCCGGAGTGCGCGCCCGGCTCCCCTCCCCCCGCGGGTAAGTGGAAGTCAGGAGGGACCCAGGAGGGAGGCCGGGAGCGATCGGCGCCTCGGCGGCAGCGGCGCCGGCAACTTTTCCGCGCCTGGCTCGTGGGCGGAGTGGGGCTGCGCCCGGCGGGTCCCCAAGAGCGTTGCGAGAAGGCGAGGGCGCCGCCCCGCGCGCCTTGAGCGCCCCGCCGCCCGGGGTGGGTCGGGGATCGGGGACAGTGCGTCTGACGGTGGCGACGGCGGCCGCGGAGTCCCGGGGCGCCCCCTACGGAGCGGGGGAAGGGCGGCCCGGCCTCTGTTCCCTTCCCAGTGGCCCCTCCACCCCGACCCCCCAGGGGACGCATGGGAATGCGGTGGGGAGGGCGGGTCCCCGCGCGACTTGGGCAGGTCAAGGTGGGCAGAGAGTTGTCAGGGTGGGAGGGCTTGTGTCCGGCTCGGACATGGGGCTTGGGTTGAGGGGCTTGGATATGCATATGCCTACCCCACTCCTAGCCCCCCGACCTGGCCTTTGGACGGGAGGAATGGGTTGGGGGGGTCTCTCAGAGTTCTTTGGGTGGGGGCGGGGGTGGATACCGGTCCAAGTTCTTGACGTGTCGCCCGCTGGGTAGGGGGAAGGTCTCTTGTTGGGCAGGGGCTGGTGGGAGCTGGGGGGATGTCTCCTTTCCCTTCGGAGAAAAGCGCTCATTCAAGGTTGCATAGGAAGGAAAGCCAGGTTGGGGACCAGCCCTGTGCAGCTTGGGGTCCCCGTGCCTTTTGGCTGAAGGAGGAGGTTAAAAGGGCCCAGACTGAACCCCGACCCCTCTGTCTTAGCCCCAGACTGTTTTCTGATTTTAGCACTAGATTTGGCTGCCCCTAAAGCCCTTAGCCCTAACTGACCTTCCTGCCCAGCCCAGCCCAGCCCAGCCCAGCCAGGCCCCAGACCCAGTGGCTTCTTGAATGTTTTGGCTGTGCAGCTGGCTCCTTGTCACCTGCCCCCTTCCCAACCTTCCCCAGCTGGCAGCCTCTGACTCCTGGTCTATGAGGGTGAGGCTGGGGGCTGGGGGACCCCTGGCATAAGGGGTGTCCTCTGGCAGTCCTGCCCCAGCTGGAGGGCTGTACCCAACAGGTGCCCAGGCTTAGAGGCGAGGTGATGTTGGACACACCCTGTCCGCTCGCCCACATGCCCTGCCCGGGCCAGCCTGGGTACATGTGTTCACATGCCGATGTCCTGGGAAGGCACAGGCCCTGGGGCTGGTGCTAGCTTTGTTCTCTGATCCCGTGAGGCACCCATGGCCCTCTGCCCTTGCAGCACGTCCTCTGGGAGCTCCTTCAAGACCCCAACAGGCAGGCCTTGCCTGTGGATCTAGAGGGGGCCCTAAAATAGGTGCCGGCCTGGCCTGGGGCTGGCACGCGGAGCACATGCGTGACAGGGCGTGTCCAGAGGGTCGGGCCTGTCTGTGCTGGCCTGGCCACTGAGCCTCCGCCGACCCTTGCTCGCTGGAGAAAGACAGCAGAGGCGGATGCTTTAGGAGGGACCCCCGTGTCGTGCCCACCCTCTAACAATGCAAGTGGACGCCAGATGTTCCATGCAGACCGCAGCTGCGGGGCAGGCCCCCATCTATCTGCAATCCCAGGGTAATTAGCCCGGTGGGTACACTGGGGTGACCCGCTCGCCCGATCTAGGTGGTGCTTTGATACCTCTTAAAGCATTTTTTGGAGTTTGCCCTTCACCTTGGAAAGCTGGGTGGGGGATTCTGTCCTCCATGAATAACGGCGCCAGGAACCTTGGGCGATCTTGAGAAAACTCCTTCCTGTAACCTCTGTTTTCCACGTTGGATGTGTTTTAGGCCACAGTCAGGCCTGGCTTTTTTTTTTTTTTTTTTTTAAGACTTATTCCATGACCTTAAGCCCCAGTCTGAATCTCTGAGCCTTAATTATTCTATCTATAAATGGGAAGCATTTGGAAATGGGACGGAGAGAAGTGTACACTTTGCCCCTGGCCGCCTTCTTCCCTCCTGGTGTCCTGGGTGGACACGGAGGTGTGTCTGGGGAAGGTGTGTCCTTTAGGGCCGGTCGCCTGGGAAGGATGTTGAGCGGAGGGCAGTGGGTGTGGGTGAGAATCCCTGGGCAGAGAAGGGCGCCGCCATGCTGGGCACGGCTGAGTCACGCTCCAGCGACGCCTTGCCCCAGGGTGCTGGAGCTGGCGCCACCCTGGGTGTGGTCACTGAGCTGTGGCCCTGGGCAGAGCAGGGCTGGGTGGTCTAGGATGTGGGGCCTCGGTGCCTGGGGAACTGACTTCGAAGATGCCAAGCCCCCTGGCCTCCCGCCTGGCCTAGGTTCTGGGGTCACCCTCCAGGACTGTGGTGGCCCACACCCTGAGAATGCCTTGGAGAGCCTAGAGGCCCTGAGCCTTGGGCCTGGGAATCGGTGCGTTGAGGGAGGTGGATAGGGCGCAGACACCAGTGACTGCATTCAAGGCCAGGGGACCCCCACAGCCAGGCCCTCACTGCAAAATGTACCTATGTGGGGAGAAGGCAGGGGTGGACCTGATGACGGGGTGTACCACTCTACTAAGGGTTCCCAACATGAAGGTGAGGGGGCCCCTGGGAATTCTGTGATTGGTCTGGGAAAGATTAAAGTCTAAGTGGGGGTTAGAGTGTGGACTGGCGGGACGCAATGGGGGCTGGGATGTCACTTTCATGGTTCCCCTATTTATAACAAGTGATTCAGCCCTCACTTACTCACCCCTTCCTGAGCCTCCCCCCACCCCAGCCCTGGGTGGGCAGCGGGGCCCACCCACTTGTCAGTGCCCTGACTTTCCCTACCCAGTGCCACCCTCTGAGGGCTGCCCATCGGGGCGGTTGTTATTGTCGCTGCACTGGGATTGGGGCAGAGGGGCGGGGGGCTCCTGGTCAGGCGGCGCTTGGCCGGGCAGCCCAGGTTGGCGGCTGGCTCGAGGCCCAGCCCACGGAGCTTCTGCTGAGAGTCTGGGCCCATTAGGCAAAGCGTTAGTGACAGGCTGGGAGGGCGGGTGGCGCGGCGGGCAGGGCGGGGCCTGCAGCCCTTGGTATTTTCCGATCCCAGCTGCTCTGTGAGGGTGGAAAGTATTTGGGGACCAGGCTTGGGGGCGGAGGTGGTGGTGGCGCCCCCGGCGGAAGCTGCCCCTGATTCATTCTTGGAGCATGGGGTTGGGGGGGTAGCGGTACACATACATACCCTTGTGTGTCTGGTCCACGCACACGCTGTCTGGAGGGGGTATTCAGGCATACCCACATGCATTGGCTGGCCGGGGTGTCCTGATGCAGCCTGGGGCCTGCTTTGCTCCCCAGCCCAGGGGCCCGCCCTCTCCCTCATGCCTCCAGCTGCTAGGAGCTTGGTTTCCCCCTGGACACCATCTCCCAAGAGCCTGAGAAGTGCACCATGATTGGTAAAGGGGACCCTGTCTCCTGGGCACCTGCATGGCAGCACCCCTTCCACTCAAGACCCAGACCTTTTGTGCCTGCGGGGATGGGGAGTGGCCTTGGCCCCGGCCCTGGGCTCTGTGCAGGGGAAACCCCACAGGAAACGAGCCTGGCCAAATGGCCGCCCTTCCCGTTCTCGTCCCTGGGACACGAATGTGCTGTCTCACTTCCGGAGGCGGCCCAGGGAGGCTGGCCGCCCTGCGGGGCCTCGCCTGCTCCCAGTTGGCGCCTCCAGACCCTAAGGGGACAGGGCTGGGCTGGGGCCTGATGGGAAAGAGTGGCTGGTATGTGTGTATGTGTGTATAGGGAGGGGACAAAACAGGACATCACTCGCCGCCTGTCTCGAAGTGGTGAGCGCCACCACATCGGGCGGACACTGGGGTCCTGGTGTGAGACACCCACGTTTCCGTTATCCTTTGCCTTGGCAAAGACAGCAGCAGCTCTGTCGTGATCATGTTTATCACTCATGGGGTCCTCACCATGACTTATGAAGTCCATACTTATTATCCCTGTTTTGCAGATGGGGAAGCTGAGGCCCAGAGAGGTTGAGTGACTTGCCCAGAGTCACCCAGCTCAGAAGCTGCAGAGCTGGGGCTTTCAAATCTGGGCAGACTTGGGCTCCAAAACTGGAGTCTGCTAGCCAGGTGTTGGGCTCTTATCAAAAGAAGCTCCACTCACTAAAGACTTAGGGCTGGCTTCATGCATTTGTGAAACGGGCAGTCTCACGGCAGCCCTGCTTGGAGGGACCTGGAGGTTAGTTTAATGTTGCACTGCTGGGGTCATGAATTTTTTTTTATTATTATTAATTTTTTTGTCTTGTATTGCCCAGGCTGGTCTCGAACTCCTGGCCCCAAGCGATCTTCCTGTCTTGGCCTCCCGAAGTGCCGGGATTATAGGGATGAGCCACCGCGCTCAGCCTGAAATTATTTTCTTTTTTTAAACTTGTTTTTGTTTATTTTAGAGATAGGGTCTTGCTCTGTCACTTAGGCTGGAGTTCAGTGGCATGGTCATAGATCACGGCAGCCTCAAACTCCTGGGCTCAAGCAGTCCTCCCACCTCAGCCGCCTGAGTAGCTGGGGCTACAGATGTGTACCACCACTCCTGGCTGATTTTTTAGTGAATTTTTTGTGGGCCAGACACTGTGGCTCAGGCCTGTAAGCCCAGCACTTTGGGAGGCTGAGGCAGGCGGATTGCTTGAGCCCAGGAGTTGGAGACCAGTCTGGGCAACATGGCAAAACCCCATCTCTACAAAAATTAGGGCCAGGTGTGGTGGCTCACGCCTGTAATCCCAGCACTTTGGAAAGCCGAGGTGGGCGGATCACCTGAGGTCAGGAGGTCGAGACCAGCCTGGCCAACATGGTGAAACCCCGTCTCTACTAAAAATACAAAACTTAACTGGGCGTGGTGGCGGGCACCTGTAATCCCAGCTACTCGGGAGGCTGAAGCAGGAGAATTGCTTGAACTCTGGAGGTGGAGGTTGCAGTGAACCGAGATCACGCCATTGCACTCCAGCCTGGGCGACAGGGCGAGACTCTGTCTCAAAAAAAAAAAAAAAGAAAAGAAAAAGAAAAAATTAGCCGGGCATGGTGGTGCATAGCTGTAGTCCCAGCTACCCCGGAGGCTAAGGTGGGAGGATCACTTGAACCTGGGAGGCTGAGGCTGCAGTGAGCTGTGATTGCACCCCTGCACTCTAGCCGTGGCGACAGAGTGAGACCCTGTCTCAAAAAAGAAAAAATATTTTTTTTTTTTGTAGAGATGGGGTATTGTCGTATTGCGCAGGCTGGTCTTGAACTCCTGGCCTCAGGTGACTCTCCTGCCTCGGCCTCCCAAAGTGCTGGGATTACAGGCGTGAGCCGCCATGCTTGGCCTGAAATTCTTAGTTTTCGAACTAGAGGACCACGTGTTCATTTTGCACCGGGTCCTGAAAATCCTGTATCTTGCCCTGGTGCTGGGCACTTACTGAGTGACATACATACTCGGTGACATCTCACTGGGCTATGCAAAAGAGGCTCTTGGCTCCATTTTACAGATGGGGAAACTGAAGCTTTGGAGAGTCTTTGGGAAACTGTGGAGCAAGGATTTGAACCTTGGGCTGTTTGGGTGGAGAGGCCTGTATCTTGGAGCTTGGATCCTGTGCTCTGGGGGGCGGGGGGTGCGTGTCTAGAAAGAGAGGGGGGTGCCTTGCTGCCGGCATCCGCCCTGGTGGGTGTGGGCTAAGCCCTGGCCACTGAGGAGACCGGGCCACGGGGGGGGAGGCCCTGGTGGTTTCCTCCTGCCCTCCAGGCTTCTAGGAAGTGGCGCCAGCTGGGGTGAGATCACTTCCTCACCCGCCTGCCTGGCCCCCCTTGGCTTCCTCTCCCCATGGCCCCATTTGGCCTGCCCAGGGCTCAATGAGGGGGGAGCTTGGCCATGCAAGTTGCTGTAGCCTCCTTGTCCCGCATGGGCCCTCTAGGTATCTCTGCCTCTCCAGTCCTGGGGCTGGAACGGAGGGCACAGCTAGGCTCCAGCTCCCCGTGTGGTGGCTCCTGCATATGAGAAAAGAGCTTCCCTGTGATCAAAGGAAGCATCTGGGGACCTGGAGGGGAGGTGTCCCCAAATCTCATTACCTCCTTTGCTCTCTCTCTCTTTCTCCCCTCCAGGTGCCAGCCTCTGGCCCCGCCCGGTGCCCCCCTCACCCCTGTGCCACGGCCGGCTGGGGTTCCTGGGGATGGGATTTGCTTCCTGTCACAAATCACATTGCCAGGGATTTCCAACCGACCCTGAGCTCTGCCACCGAGGATGCTGCCCGGGGACGGGGTGGCAGAGAGGCCCCGAAGCCTGTGCCTGGCCTGAGGAGCAGGGCTTAGCTGCTTGTGAGCAGGGTCCACACCAAGTCGTGTTCACAGTGGCTAAGTTCCGCCCCCCAGGCCCTCACCTCCTCTGGCCTTGCCGCCTGTCCCCTGCTGCCGCCTGTCTGCCTGCCATCCTGCTGCCTGGCCTCCCTGGGCTCTGCCTCCCGTGCCTACTGAGCTGAAACACAGTTGGTTTGTGTACACTGGCTCAGTTCAGCAGGAACAGGGGTCAAGCCCCCTTGGAGCCTGCAGCCCCTGCCTTCCCTGGGTGGGCTGATGCTTGGAGCAGAGATGAGGACTCAGAATCAGACCTGTGTCTGGAGGAGGGATGTGGTGGGTGGGGTTGGCTGGGCCCAAATGTGTGCTGCAGGCCCTGATCCCCAACTCTGCAACTGGGGACCCCTGCATGGCCACAGCTCAGGCTGGGCTGTGGTGCCAGCATAGATAGGTGGGTGAGTGGGTGGCCCTTCCATTAAAAGGGAAGCCAGCTGTGTCCTTTCCGGGCCTGGAGGCTTGGCCCCTCCTCTCCCAAGCCTGGCAGGGGCACTGGCCCGGCCCGCACCTTCCTAGCAGCCAGTTACCCAAGAGGAAGCTGCCTTGGGCCTCCAGACCGTTAAATGCCAACTCCTGGCTTCCGGTATCAGGCTGGGTTGACCTGACCTGGCCCCTTCTTGCTGGGCCCTGCAGCTTTCTAACTTGCCGGGAGGAGCAGTGACACCCGCCCCACATGTGGGGCATGGAACAAGTTCCTTGTGGACCCAGAAGGGACACAAGCAGGTGTGCTTAGTCCTGAGGCGCTGGGAATAGCTGATCCTCCCTGCCTTGAGGGGGTTCTCAGGGCAGGGAAGAGTTAGGACTCTGTTTTTTTTTTTTTGTTTTTTTTTTTTTGAGATGGAGTCTCGCACTGTCACCCGGGCTGGAGTGCAATGGCTCGATCTCGGCTCACTGCAACCTCCACCTCCCCAGTTCACACGATTCTCCTGCCTCAGCCTCCCAAGTAGCTGGGATTACAGGTGCACACCACCGCACCTGGCTAATTTTTGTATTTTTAGTAGAGACCGAGTTTCGCCATGTTGGCCAGGCTGGTCTCGAACTCTTGACCTCAGGTGATCTGCCCGCCTCAGCCACCCAAAGTGTTGGGATTACAGGCATGAGCCACTGCGCCCGGCCAATTTTTTTTTATGTTTTGTAGAGACGGGGTTTCGCCATGTTACCCAGACTGGTCTTGAACTCCTGACCTCAAGCAATCTGCTCGTCTTAGCCTCCCAAAGTGCTGGGATTACAGCTGTGAGCCACCGTGCCTGGCCTTTTATTGTTTGTTTTTGAGACGGAGTCTCACTCTGTTGCCCAGGCTGAAGTGCAGTGGTGTGATCTTGGCTCACTGCAACCTCTGCCTCCTGGGTTCAAGCGATTCTCCTGCCTCAGCCTCCTGAGTAGCTGGGCTTACAGGCACCCACCACCATGCCCGGCTAATCTTTGTATTTTTAGTAGAGACGGGGTTTCACCATCTTGGCCAGGCTGGTGTGATCATGGCTCATTGCAACCTTGAATTCCTGGGCACAAGTGATCCTCCTGCCTTAGCCTCCCCAGTAGAGCTGGGACTACAGGTATGCGCCACCACACCTGGCTAATTTTTTTAATTTTAATTTTTGTAGAGATGGGGGGGCAGGTCTCACTATGTTGCCCAGGCTGTTCTCGAACTCCTGGCCACAAGCCATCCTCCCACCTTAGTCTCCCAATGCGCCGGAATTACAGGTGGCTCAGGTGTGAGCCACCGTGCCTGGCTTTTCTCCACTATCTTGAAATCAGATGGGAGGAGGCTTTTTTCTGGGTGGGACTGAGGAGGCACACTGAAGTCCCCCAGGTCATCGGGGCTGGGCCATTGCCTTTTTCCCCACCCTGGGTAGTCGTGGACAGAAGCTTGGGATGGGATGGAGAGGAGAGATCGTGCTGTGTGTCATGTCTGTTGTTCAAGTAAATAAAAGTTGCCCTGACTTCATTCCTGAAGGTCTGGTCTGTGATTCACTCCTGCCTCCCATCGCTGGAGTTTCAGCTTTTGATTGGCCTGAATTTACCATCCTGGCACTCCGGGCTCCTGCCTGCCCATCCCTGCCCCACCTGCTCTGTGCAGCAGGGTATCCTGTGCTTGGAAAGGTGACCTTGGGGGTGTCCTGGATCGTGGGGTGACCATGAGGGAAACCCTAGAGTGGAAAGATTTTCACATCGCTGATCAAGGGAGGATGGAAGCTGATCTGAAGTGGTGGTGGTGGGGTGACCCTGAGGGAAACGCTGAGCCTGAGGGGTGACATGTGGCGATAACCAGGATCTGAGGGTCTTGAGCTAGTGACATTTGGGGGCAACTTGGACCTACGGGATTACTCAGGCCTCAGGGGAAGATTTGGGGTGCCTGGTATCTGAGAATGCTGGAGGGGAACTTGGGTTTGAGGGATGTGACATGAAGGAAACCCCAGTTCTTAAGGGGGGACATTTGGATGTGGCTGGGACCTGCGTGACGCCCCAGGAACATGGGAACATTCGTGGGTGACACCTGAGGGGCACAGTAAAGGGTCCCCCAGGTCCGAAGGCGGCAGGGACCACAAGGGGTGCACTCCGGGCTCTCCACCCACCTCCACCGTCCCAGACCTCGAGGCGGCGCCACGGAGCGCGCGGGGCAGTCCCGGGTCCGCCCGCACATACCTGCTGGAATACGCGCGGCGGGGCAGGAGGTGGGGCCGTCTCCGATTGGCCCACTCGAGCGGAGGGGCGGTGCGAAAAGCCAATCCCCATGCACAGCGCCGCCAAAGTCCCGCCCCCGACTGCGGGCCCCGCCCTCTAGCGACGGGCCCTGCCGCTCCGGGAAGCCTCTGTCCTCTCCTGCCCCGGCTCTGGCAGTGACCCAGACACAGCATCTCCATTCATCCAAAAGGCAGGAAGGCCCCGAGGAAACTGCTTCTCGGGGAGCCAGGGACGTTTAGACAACCACGGGCTTTCTCGCCGTCCTTTGGATCCCATCCCTCACTCTATTTGACGACTGGGAGCCTCTTCAGTGGCGCAAGATCCCAGACACGCCCTGGCCACGTCCCCTGGCGAGTGTCCACGCACAGACCACCCCCACTCCGTTTTTCTTCTCTTGGCCAGAGCCCCGCCCACCGAGGTCGAGTCTAAACCCGGGGTTCCCGCTTTTGATCGGGGTGTCTTCCCCATCCAGCTGCACCAACACCTGCCACAGCCTCCCATGCTCAGCAATTTGGAGACAAGGACCCCCAACATTGGTGTCTGGAGCCAGGGCGCCCCCCACCCCCATCTTGGCCCTTCCTAGGGGCTCAAGGACCCTGCAGTCAGGGGTGGGCAGGGGTCAGTGGCCCCAACCAGGTCCTAAATCAAACGTCCTAGCTAGGTGCCCTTCCCCCCTGCCCCCCACCCACGGAGTCTCGCTCTGTCGCCCAGGCTGGAGTGCAGTGGGGCGATCTCGGCTCACTGCAAGCTCCACCTCCAGGGTTCACGCCATTCTCCTGCCTCAGCCTCCCTAGTAGCTGGGACTACAGGCGCCCGTCACCACGCCTGGCTAATTTTTTGTTATATCTTTAGTAGAGACGGGGTTTTACCGTGTTAGTCAGGATGGTCTCAATCTCCTGACCTCGTGATCCGCCCGCCTCGGCCTCCCAAAGTGCTGGGATTACAGACGTGAGCCACCGCGCCCGGCCGCTGGGTGCCCTTTCTTTCCACTTTGCAACCTCAGTTTTCTCATCTGTAAAATGGAAAAGATAATCCTACCAACTCATAGGGCTGTGGTGACGATTAAATGACAGCGGTAACGCATTCAGCCCTGTGTTCCCTCATGGTGAGCTGTCCATCTCTGTTTTGAAATATTTACATAAGGCCGGGTGCGGTGGCTCACGCCTGTAATCCCAGCACTTTGGGAGGCTGAGGCGGGCAGACCACCTGAGGTCAGGTGTTCGAGACCAGCCTGGCCAACATGGTGAAACCCCGTCTCTACTAAAAAATACAAAAATTAGCCCGGTGTGGTGGCGCATGCCTGTAATCCCAGCTACTTGGGAGGCTGAGCCAGGAGAATCGCTTGAACCCGGGAGGTGGAGGTTGGAGTGAGCCCAGATCGCGCTACTGCACTCCAGCCTGGGCAACAGAGAAAGACCAAAAAAAAAAAAAGGGAAATATTTACATAATTACCATGGAATGAAGCCAGCAGTCGCTCCCATCCCACCCCTCGCTTGGCGCTGCACCCAGAAATAAGGCCAGACATTTTTTTTTTTTTTTTTTTTTTTTGCGGAGGAAACGAGGTTGAGGGTGTGAGTGGCTCTGGAGATGCACCCCAGTCTCAAAATAAAATTAAAAAGAAAAATTTCTGTTCAATCTTTGAAAAAAAAAAAGGAAAAGGACATGTAATACACCGTTCAATAAATAGAAAAAAAGTTACAAAATGATGTGGTATTTTGTCCTTAATATACAAGAAGGGAAAAGATGTGGGGGTGACTTGGGGGGGTGATGTTCTCCCTTCTCCTCCCTGGGTCAAGGTGGGGGAAAGGAAGGATGGCCAAAGAGAGAGGGCGGCAGGGACTTAGGTGCAGAGAGAAAGGCAGGTAAGTGCCGGGAAAAATGGAAACAGAGTAAGATGAAGGGGCGAAGCAGAAAGACAGGAGGCGAAAGGGTGAAAAAGCCAGAAAAACACCAAGATACAGGTCTCTTTCCTTTCCAGATCGGGGGTGGGGGTCTCCGGCTCTCTCGCGTCTGTGTCCCCCAACCCCAGGTTGGAAGGGGCAGTGTGAGCCTCGCTCAGTTCCTGAGTTGTACGTCCAGTGACTAGCAGGTGAGAAGAGAGGGCAGCGAGGACTTCCCCAACCCTGAGCCCACCCTGGGACCCTAGTGCCCAAGGAAATGGGGGTCCTGGCCGGATAGGATAAGGGGGTGAGGTATGAGGCTGAGGCCTGAGGCCTCTTCAATTCCTTCAGTGGGGGTGAGCCAATGGTCCTGGCTGGGCAGCCACTTTGGAGGTGGCATAATGGGGGGCCCTGAGCAGTAGGGGGTGGGGGAGGACCCTTGGCCACCCAGGGTGGGGTTGGGGGAAAATGTGCTACATTGACTTAGAGGGTCGATTTCTGGAAAGTCCTGCCTCCCAGCCTCCCTCCTGGAGCCCAAGCCAGTCTGGGTAAGGGGAGTTTGCCTATTGCTTTTGGGGTGCCCAAAGTGGGGTCATACCAGCAGCCCAAGCACACACCCCTTCCAGGCTTCTGGGTGGCAGTATGGCTTCTGCTTCTGGAGTCTTGCACACTTGCTCACAGACTCCCAGGCACACACGTGGCAGGATGCTGCTCCCCCTGCCCCCATCTCCAGCCGGGCTCCTTCCCTGACTTAATAATACTGAAATGCCACGTGGGCCTAATTGGAGAGCAAGGGTGGGGGACGCAGGGGCGAGGGGGATCCCCACTCCCACGCACCCCACTGTCCCTCAACCAAAACGCTCCCGCACCAAAAGCATGAGTTTCTTCTTGCCCTTGTAGGTCTGTTTGAGGTTCTCCAAGAACTGTGAGAACTGGAGGTGCCCGTCGGGCGCCAGCAGGAAGGTCTCCCGGGCCTTGCCCAGGAATTCGATGAAATCCCCATAGTGCCGCGGGCTGATGTGCGTGAGGCGCGAGTGGCTGGTGGTGATGTAGGCGGTGACTGCCGCGTCCAGGAGCTGGCAGAGCGGCGCCCGGTCGGCACCCAGTGGCTTGGCGGCCCGGCGTGCCCCTAAGGGGCCCAGACCGGGCGCCGAGAGAGTCCAGCGGCGCAGAATATCGGACAGCATTGGGGCACAGTGGATGCTGCGAATGATGAGGGGGACGATGGCAGAGAGCTCGTGCCGGCCCAGGGAGTGGCTGAGAGAGCAGGCCCAAAGCACGTCGTTGACGGCAGGGTGGCTGTCCTGGTTGAAGGCGATGCTGAGCTGCGCCAGGGCCAGCGTCGCCAGCTTGTAGGCCCGGAGCGGCAGCCCGCGGTGCTCCATATAGCGGGCCACAGTGAAGAGGTGGGCGTGGCCCAGGCCGCCGGCCGCCGCGTCCAGCACGATCTGGTAGGCCGCCTCGAAGGCCGAGTGGTTCTTCTCGCACAGGGTCAGGGCAGGCAAGGCGCAGTTCTGAGGGTCCTTCATCGCGCACTGCAAGGCCAGGGTGCGGGCGCAGGCCCAGAGCTCCTCCCTCCGCGATGTGTCCAGCTGCAGTCGCAGCAGAGTGGCGTGTGTGGTGCCCGTCACTGCCACGATGGTAGCCGCCTCCACTGGTGTGAATAAGGAATACCAGTTCTGCATGATATTCATCAGGGCTTGCGGGCCTGGTGGGAGGTGAGGGAGGGAAATCCGTCAGGAGCGGGGGCAGACACACGTACATGTATGCGTGGGTTAACCATGACACTGCCACCTCCACTTCCACCTCCACACCATGCTGAACAGAAACTTCCTTTCCAAATCATCAGGGCGCACCTGGACTAGGTGGGAATCACGTGTGTAGAAGGCTAAGCTTTGGAGCCTCTTTCTGCAACCCCCTCAACCCCCTGCAGCCACATTAGCCTGGCCAGCCTCTAGGCCTTTGTCCAGCTCCATGCTGGCCAGCCATTCCCTCCCGGCCAAGCCCTGAGCACAGGCTGGAATCGGAGAAGAGTCTCTGAAGAGTCTCTACTTCTCTTTCCTTTTTTTTTTTTGAGATGGAGTCTCGCTCTGTTGCCCAGGCTGGAGGGCAGTGGCACCATCTCGGCTCACTGCAAGCTCCGCCTCCTGGGTTCACGCCATTCTCCTGCCTCAGCCTCCTGAGTAGCTGGGACTACAGGGGCCCACCACCACGCCCAGCTAGTTTTTTTGTATTTTTAGTAGAGACGGGGTTTCACCGTATTAGCCAGGATGGTCTCAATCTCCTGACCTTGTGATCTGCCCATTTTGAGATGGAGTCTTGCTCTGTCACCCAGGCTGGAGTGCGGTAGTGAGTTCTCGGCTCACTGCAACCTCTGTCTCCCAGGTTCCAGCAATTCTCCTGCCTCAGCCTCCCGAGTAGCTGGAATTACAGGCACCTGCCACCACATCTGGCTAATTTTTGTATTTTTAGTAGAGATGGGGTTTTGCCATGTTGGCCAGGCTGGTCTCGAACTCCTGACCTCAAGTGATCCACATGCCTTGGCCTCCCAAAGTGCTAGGATTACAGGTGTGAGCCACTGCGCCTGGCCCTCTTTCTTTTTGTTAAACAATTTTTTAGAGACAGGGTCTCACCCTGCCACTCAGGCTGGAGTGCAGTGGCACAATCACAGCTCACTGCAACCTCAATCTCCTGGGCTCAAGTGATTTTCCCACCTCAGCCCTCCGGATAGGACTACAGGTGTGTGCCACCATGCCTGGCTTGCTTCTCTCTCTCTCTCTCTCTTTTTTTTTTCCCAGAGGAGGTTTTCCTCTGTTGCCCAGGCTGGAGTGCAGTGGTATGATCATGGCTAACTGTAGCGTTGACCTCCTGGGCTCAAGCAATCTATCCTCCTGCTTCAGCCTCCCAAGCAGCTGGAACTACAGGCACTTGCCACCACGCCCAGCTAATTTTTAATTTTTTGTAGAGATGGGGTCTCACTATGTTACCCAGGCTGCTCTTGAACTCCTGGGCTCAAGTGATCCTCCCGCTTTGGCCTCCCAAAGTGCTGGGATTACAGGTGTGAGCCACCGCACCCCGCCACTTCTCTCTTTCTTGTCTGCCTGGTTCTCTCAGTGCGCTCTGCAGAACCAGAACAGCGAAGTGGGTGGCAGGTCCCCTTAGGGGCTCTCACCAATCTCTGTGGCACAGCTGACCAGCCAGCGCACCATCTCCCTCCGCCGCCAGGTCATTACGTTCAGAGTCATCCGCATCACCTGCAAGGTAGGGGTGGGGAGAAGGGGGTTAGCCTGAGTCTTGGGCTGGCCTATGGAGGGGCGTTGGGAGATGGAGGACCCCAGAAACACTTGGAGGTTAAAGCTGATCCAATGAACCCGGGTAAGTGATCTCAACTTTCTGGGCCTCAATTACCTAGAAAATGGAGATAAAATAGTATCTGTCTCATAGGATTGTTGTTTTTTCTTTTTTGTTGTTGTTTTGTTTTGTTTTTTTTTGAGATGGAATCTTGCTCTGTCACCCAGAATGGCATGCAGTGGTGCGATCTTGGCTCACTACAACCTCCGCCTCCCGAGTTCAAGCATTCTCCTGCCTCAGGCTCCCAAGTAGCTGGGATTACAGGTGCCCGCCACCATGCTCAGCTAATTTTTGTATTTTTAGTAGAGATGGGGTTTCACTATGTTGGCCAGGCTGGTCTCGAACTCCTGACCTCAAGTGATCCGCCCGCCTCAGCCTCTCAAAGTGCTGGGATTATAGGCGTGAGCCACTGCACCCAGCCTGATTGTTGTGAGAAGTAAACAAAATTGCGTAGGTGAAGCTTTCTGCAAGGTGCTTATTGCTTGAAAATGCTCTCAGGTAATGTCAGCTCTTAATATCACTGCTGTTGTTGCTGTTCTTCTGAAGTGAGTCCTCACAGATCCTACCCCAGATCCCACCTCATAGATCCTATGCCGGAACAAACCAACCTGTCCCTTCGCTCCTGAAACCTCCATGCTTCCTGTTGGCTCCTCTCTCTTGCCTCTAAGTACCTGCTGTATAAGCCCCACCTTCACTAGGTCCCACCACCAATCAGCAGCTCACGTGTTTGCCTCTCCCCTGAGGCCCCATCCACAGGTCCTGTCCTGCAGACCCTGCCTTCTGTAAGCTCCTACCTCTTGAGTAGCCTCTGAAAGCTCCTTGTCTTGCTCCCCACACTACAACGGCTCCAATCAGGAGGCTGTCCAGGGCTGATTCTGCACCCTGCTGGCCCTTGTTTGTTCTAGCTGGGAAGGTCCCCAGTTTCTTTTTTTTTCTTTTCTTTTTTTTTTTTTTTTTTTGAGGGTCTCACTCTGTCGCCGGGGCTGAAGTGCAGTTGTGGTCTCTTGGCTCACTGTAACCTACACCTCCTGGGTTCATGTGATTCTCCTGCCTCAGCCTCCCGAGCAGCTGGGACTACACGCGTCCACCACCATGCATGGCTGATTTTTGGGAGAGACGGGTTTTTGCTGTGTTGGCCAGGCTGGTCTTGAACTCCTGGCCTCAAGCGATCCGCATCGGCCTCCCAAAGTGCTGGGATTACAGGTGTGAACCACAGGGCCTGGCCCCAACTTCTTTTTTCTTTTCTATTTTTTTCTTTTAGAGTTGGGGTCTTCTTGCTCTGTTACCTGGAGTACAGTGGCGCGATCATAGCTCACTGCTGCAGCCTCAAACTCCTGGCCTCAAGCGATCCTCTCGCCTCAGCCTCCTGAGGAGCTGGGACTACAGGGGTGCACCATCACACCTGGCTAATTTTTAAAGTTTTTTGTAGAGATGGGGGTCTCACTATGTTGTCCAGGCCAATCTCAAACTCCTGGCCCCAAGCAATCCTCCCACCTTGGCCTCCCAAAATGCTGGAATTACAGGTGTGAGGCACTGTGCCCGGCCCTATTCCTTATCTTCTTAGTGAACTTCTGCCACCCTTTGAGGCCCCGCCCCTTACCTGTCTATCCTGCAGACCCCACCCTCCTCCAGGTCCCATGGCACTCACACCCTACCAATGACACCTTTCCAGCAAGCTGCACCCAAGATTTGGCCTTGCAGGACCACCCTTTGTTCAGCCCCTGGGGATGACCCAGACACTCAGTTGCAGGCCCTGCATACAGGACTTTTTTTTTTCTTCCCCAAGACGGAGTCTTGCTCCGTCCTTCAGGCTGGAATGCAGTGGTGTGATTTCGGCTCACTGCAACCTCTCCCTCCTGGGTTCAAGCGATTCTCTTGCCTCAACCTCCCGAGTAGCTGGGATTACAGGCGCGTGCCACCACGCTTGGCTAATTTTTGTATTTTTAGTAGAGACGGAGTTTCATCATGTTGGCCAGGCTGGTCTCGAACTCCTGGCCTCGTGATCTGCCCCCCTCGGCCTCCCAAAGTGTGGGATTACAGATGTGAGCCACCACACCCGGGCTCATACAGGGCTTTCAACCACAGACCCCACCCCTAGAGTTGGCATCTCATCTTCAAGACCTTCCGCCAGGCCAGCCCTTCAGTGGTGAATCCCTCTCCTTAGGCGGCAATCCTCTTCAGGCCCTGCCCCCAAGGAAGCTCTTTATTGCTAGGCTCTGCCTCACCCTCAGCTTCAAACTCACCCACCCATGATCCTTAACCAATAGCACATCACTCCCAGGCCCCACCCCCAGGCTCCGCTTGCGATCCATCTGCTGGCTTGCAGGCCCTGCCTCTCCGCTCCAGTGACAACTCTCCCCTAGACCTCAGTCTCCTCCATAGACGGATTCTATTAATAATTCATAGGCTTCATCCCTACTGGGAACCCCATTCCCACACTCCCATGACTTACAGACCTTGGCCTTCTGTGGCCCCGCCCCTAAAGGTGAGGTTCACACTCAGGCCCCACCTGCAGAGGTGTGGCCCAAGTGAAGACCCCATCCCCAGAGACACGATTCATCCAGTCCCCATTCCCAGGGGAGTGGCTCACTCATGCCACGCCCCCAAGGAAGTGGCCCACACTCAGGCCACGCCCCCAGAGGTGTGTCTCACTCACAGTCCCCGCCCCAAGAGTGGTTCTCGCTCAGTCCCCAGCCACAGAGGAATAGCTCACGCAAATGCCGGGCCCCCAGCGAAGTGGCTCACACTCAGCCCATGCCCCGGGAGGCGCAGCTCACAGTCAGTCCTGGCCCCGAGCCACCATCGCCCTCCCGCATCCACCTGGCAGCCCTCACCTGCAGCCCCAGCTCCAGTGCGATGCCCAGCAGCGTGGTGTCTGGTGGGGCGCTGACCGGGGTGGCTGTCTTGCAGGCGTCCTGCGCCAGCTTAAAGAGCAGGGCCGGAGAGTGGATGTTCTGCTGGATGGAGCCCAGTACCGTGTGCAGCCACTTGGGGTCTCCTGGGTGAAGGGCGGGACAGAGGACACCATCGGATACACCTCAGCACCAGCCTCTGACCACCACCCGACCTGTTCACACAGATCCTTCCACCCAGGGGCACATGTGTGAGTGTGGAGGGATGTGTACTGGGCCATGGTTCTGTGAAGATTCAGACCTCAGTGCCCCTAGCCCTTGCCAATTATCTCCTCTCTGGCCCTTTCCTGTTACAGAAAGCCACCTAGGGGCCGGGCGCAGTGGCTCACACCTGTAATCCCAGCACTTTGGGAGGCTGAGGTGGGTGGATCACGAGGTCAAGAGTTTGAGACCAGCCTGGCCAACATGGCGAAACCCCATCTACAAAAATTAGCTGGGCATGGTGGCGGGTGCCTGTAATCCCAGCTACTTGGGAGGATGAGGCACGAGAATCGCTTGAACCCGGGAGGCAGAGGTTGCAGTCAGCTGAGATGGCACCACTGCACTCCAGCCTAGATGATAGAGTAATATCCATCTCAAAAAAAAAAAAAAGAAAAGAAAAGCCACCTAGGGATCCTATGGACCTCTCCCTCATCTCAAGGGCATTGGTTGCACACCCAGAATGCCAGGGTTCAAATCCTGGTCCTGCCACCCACTAGCTGTGTGACCCTGAGCAAGTCACTTCACCTCTCTGTGCCCTGGCTGCCCCATCTGTAAAATGGGTAACACTCAGGCAATGGAACCCACCTCACAGGGTGGTGGTGGGCCCATACTTGGCAAGGCCTTAACATGGCAAGGAGCTGCTCAAATGTTAGCTTTTATTATTATTATTATTATTATTATTATTATTATTATTATTATTTTGAGATGGAGTTTTGTTCTTGTTGTCCAGGCTGGAGTGCAACGGTGCAGTCTCGGCTCACTGCAACCTTTGCCTCCCGGGTTCAAGTGATTCTCCTGCCTCAGCCTCCCAAGTAGCTGGGATTACAGGTGCCGGTCACCACGCCCAGCTAATTTTCATATTTTTAGTAGACACAGAGTTTCACCATGTTGGCCAGGCTGGTCTCGAACTCCTGACCTCAGGTGATCCCCCGGCCTCGGCCTCCCAAATCGCTGGGATTACAGGCGTGCACCACTGTGCCTGGCTAATTTTTGCATTTTTAGTAGAGATGGGGTTTCACCATATTGGCCAGGCTGGTCTTGAAGAACTTCTGGCCTCAAGTGATTTGCTGGTCCCGAACTCCTGGCCTCAAGTGATTTGCCCGCCTCAGCCTCCCAAAGTGCTGGGATTACAGGCATGAGCTACCGTGCCCAGCCAATAATTAGGTTTAGATGAGGTCATGAAGTTCAGGTACTCATGAGAGGGTTAGTGACCTTAGAAGAAGATACACTGGAGAAATTTAACTTCTCCTCTCTGTCTCTCCTCTCTCCCTCTTCTCTTTCTTCTCTCTCTCCTCTCTGGCACCTGACTCCTCTCTCTCCCTCTCTCTCTATCCCCCCCTACTATCTCTCCTTTCTCCCTCTCTCTCTCTCCCAGCCTCCTCTCTCTCACTTTCCTCTCTACTCCCCACTTCACTCCCCCCAACTCTCAACAAAGCAAGAAGGTGGCCGTCTGTAAGCTGAGAAGAGAGCCCTCACCAGGAGCTAGCCATACTGACATAGTGATCTTAGACTTCTAGCCTACAGAAATGTGAGAAAATAAATTTTTGTTGTTGAAGTCACGCAGTCTCTGGTGTTTTGTTACAGCAGCCTGAGCTAAGACACCAGGTACCTGCAAGGCTCCACCTCATCTTCAGGTCTCTGCTTAAATGTTCAACTGTTTTATTCCACTCCATGGCACCTGTTACCGTCTCATTTACTGCATCACTCTCTTCTCCCCACTAGAATGTCATTCCACAGGGCAGGGGATCTGGGACAGTTTTGTCACCTGCTACATCCCCAGCACCTGAGACAGTGTCCGGTACATATAGGAGGTGCTCAAAGAATGCAGGGGGAAGTTTGTGAAAGGATAAGAGGAGGCAGGAAAGTTAAGAGGGAAGGAAGAAGGAGATGACAGAGGAGGAAGACAAAGGAATCGGGACAGCTGCCAGCCTCACCCTTGGCGGCCGTCAACATGGTGGAAGCCAGTTCACACTGGCGGGTCTCCAGGTGGCCAAGGATGAACCAGCGGGGGAAGCGGTTGCTCATGATGGAGTCCAGCGGGCTGGGATGAGGTTCTCCAGCAGGAAATGCTGTCTCCAGTATGGGCAGCCTGGGTAAGGGGAGAAGTGAGCCATGGTGAGGAGGGGCTGCTGTCCCCATTCTCTCTAGGAGACAGAGAAGCCTCCTGGCCCAGCCTCCCCACTTCAGCCAGCAGAGCCCTGAGAGCCCAAGATGATGGAAGATGTGTGTGCAAGATGTTCACTGCAGTGTTGTTTATAAATTGATACATTTACTTATTTTAGAGACAGGGTCTCACTCTGTTGTCACCCAGGCTGGAGTCCTGTGGGACAATCATAGCTCACTGAAGCCTCAAACTTCTCGGCTCAAGTAATCCTCCCACTTCAGCCTCCTGAGTAGCTGGGACTACAGGCACGTGCCACCATACCTGGCTTTTTTCTTTCTTTTTTTTTTTTTTGAGACGGAGTTTCACTCTTTTTGCCCAGGCTGGCGTGCAATGGCGCAATCTCGGCTCACTGCAACCTCTGCCTCCTGGGTTCAAACGATTCTCTTGCCTCAGCCTCCCGAGTAGCTGGGATTACAGGCGTGTACTACCACACCTGGCTAATTTTGTATTTTTAGTAGAGACGGGTTTTCTCCATGTTGGTCAGGCCGGTCTCAAACTCCTGACCTTAGGTGATCCGCCCTCCTCGGCCTCCCAAAGTACTGGGATTATAGGCGTGAACCATGGCTCCTGGCCCTAATTTTTGTATTTTTAGTAGACATGGGGTTGCATCATGTTGGCCAGGCTAGTCTTGAACTCCTGTCCTCAAGTGATCCGCCCGTCTTGGCCTCCCAAAGTGCTGGGATTACAGACATGAGCCACCATGCCTGGCCACTGATCTGTATTTCAATGACTTAATTCTGTCATTGTTCTGCCAGAAAAGCCACAGACAATTCACAGATGAATGGACATGGCTGTGTGCCAATAAAACCATTTCTGGACACTGAAATTTGAATTTCATATATTTTTCATGTGTTACAAAATATTCTTTTGATTTTTTTCAACCGTTTATAAATGTAAAAACCATTCTTATCTCATGGGCTGTACGAAAACAGGTGGTTGGCCAAATTAGGCCCCATGGGCTGTATTTTGCTGAGAAAAAAAATTCTTGCATAGAAAAGTCTGTTGTCTAAATCTTGGCTCTTACAGGCTGTTCTTTCTAAATATTCTGGAAAAACACTCCAAACTGTGTGTGTGTGTGTGTGTGTGTGTGTGTGTGTGTGTGTGTGTATGTGTGTGTGTGTTTGTGTGTTTTAAAGAGATGGGCCAAGGCGAGAGGGTCGCTTGAGGCCAGGAATTTGAGACCAACCTGGGCAATGTAATGAGATCCCATCATTACAAAAAAAATTTTTAAACTAGGCCGGGTGTGGTGGCTCATGCCTGTAATCCCAGCACTTTGGGAGGCTGAGGTGGGTGGATCACGAGGTCAGGAGATTGAGACCATCCCGGCTGACATGGTGAAAACCTGTCTCTACTAAAAATACAAAAAATTAACCAGGCGTGGTGGTGGGTGACTGTAGTCCCAGCTACTTGGGAGGCTGAGGCAGGAGAATCACTTGAACCCGGGAGGTTTGGAGCTTGCAGTGAGCGGAGCTTGCAGTGAGCTGAGATTGTGCCACTGCACTCCAGCCTGGGCGAGAAAGTGAGACTCCCTCTCAAAAAAAAAAAAATTTAAAACTAGCCAGGCATGGTGACAAGTACCTGTAGTCCCAGTTACTTGGTGGGAGGCTTAGGTGGGAGGATCCTTTGAGCCCATGTATATGAGGCTGTGAAGAGCTATGATCCTGCCATTGCATATCCAGCCTGGGCAATGGAGCGAGACTGTCTCTAAAAGGACAAAAAAAAGAGAGAGATGGGGTCTTGCTCTGTTGCCCAGGCTGGCGTGCAGTGGCAATTCATAGGTGGGATCATAGATCACTACAGCCTTGAATTCCTGGGCTCAAGCAATCCTCCCTCCTCAGCCTCCCAAGTAGCTAGGACCATAGATGTGTACCAGGCTGGATCCCAAGTTGTTTATAGGTACCTCTGAAGGATGGTTTCAGAAGGTGTGGAATAGGTTGCACCTTTTTGGGCATGGTTTACTATTGAGTTGGCCTTTTTTTTTTTTTTGGAGACAGAGTCTCGCTCTGTCTCCCAGGCTGGAGTGCAGTGGTGCGATCTGGGCTCATTGCAACCTCCACCTCCCGGGTTTAAGTCATTCTCCTGTCTCAGCCTCCGGAGTAGCTGGGATTACAGGTATGCACCTCCACACCCAGCTAATTTTTGTATTTTTAGTAGAGATAGGTTTTCACTATGTTGGCCAGGCTGGTCTCAAACTCATGACCTCAGGTGATCCGTCCGCCTTGGCCTCCCAAAGTGCTGGGATTACAGGCATGAGCCACCATGCCCGGCCAAGTTGGCTTTCAAATATTCTCCTTCTGTGAATCTGCTGGTGTACGTGATAAATGAAAACCAGGTTATTCATTGCCTTTTTTTTTTTTTTTTGGAAATTGCGTAAATGTCTATCAGCTTCCAAGTGGTTCTTTTATGACGTGTCCTTAGAGTGGAAGGCTACGCAGTGATTCACGTACTGTGTGATAAGACAAATCCTGTAAGATGCAAAGCTCAGTGAGAAAAAGGTGCAAAGAATAGATACAGGATGTACCACTGGTATAAAAGGAGGATCAACGTTCAATTTCCAGATTATGGGTTTGCAGAAACCTCAATTCTTGCAGGATAGACACAAAAGTGATAACCCTGCTTGCATCCGGAGAGATCTGGATAGGCTGAGATAAAACTGCCTAGAAAAGATTTCAGCTTTGTGTATCTTTTCATGTATCATGTGAATATTCTCAAACTCAAAATAATATTACACATTTAGCCAGGTGCAGTGGCTCACGCCTGTAATCCCAGAGCTTTGGAAAGCCAAGGTGGGCGGATCACTTGAGCTCAGAAATTCGAGACCAGCCTGAGCAACATGGTGAAACCCCGTCTCTACAAAAAATACAAAAATTAGCCCAGTGCGGTGGTGCACGCCTGGAGTCCTGGATACTCAGGAGGCTGAGATGGGAGGATCGCTTGAGCCTGGGAGGCAGAGGTTGCACTGAGCAGAGATGGCACCACTTTACTCTGGCCTGGGTGACAGAGCCAGACCCTGTCTCAAAACAAAAAAAACACAAAACAAAAAACACACATTTATACTTAATAATAAAAAGCACGGCTGTGCGAGGTGGCTTATGCCTGTAATCCTAGCACTTTGGGAGGCCAAGGCGGGTGGATCATGAGGTCAGGAGTTCGAGACAACATGGGCAACATGGCGAAATCCTGTCTCTATTAAAAATACAAAAATTACTAACACGGTGAAACCCCGTCTCTACTAAAAATACAAAAAATTAGCCGGGCGTGGTGGCGGGCGCCTGTGGTCCCAGCTACTCAGGAGGCTGAGGCAGGAGAATGGTGTGAACCTGGAAGGCGGAGCTGAGATCGGCCCTGGGAGTGGGCCGAGATCGCGCCACTGCACTCCAGCCTGGGTGACAGAGCAAGACTCCGTCTCAAAAAAAAAAAAAACAAAAAACAAAAATTAGCTGGGCATGGTGGTGCATGCCTGTAATCCTAGCCACTCGGGAGGCTGAGGCAGGAAATTGCTTGAACCCAGGAGGTGGAGGTTGCAGTGAGCTGAGATCGCGCCACTGCACTCCAGCCTGGGTCACAGAGGACTCCAGCTCAAAATAAATAAATAAATAAATAAATAAATAAATAATAATAATGAAAAGCACATGGCATCATCAAATGCCAGGGTGAGAGAGACTGAATTAACTAGGCTGTGAGTTCAGGCTGGATGGGTGGGGCTCTGAGCTACCCCCCATGCCCGCCCCTCTTCCCCCCAGCTCCCCCTGCCACTGCCTTGGCCACCTATCCTCACCTCATAGCTCGCAGCGCGAGGCGATAGGCCAGGTCCGGGTCATGAGGCAGCAGTGCGGTGAACAGGTAGCGGGCACAGGTGTGCATGGGCACGCTCTCCCGGAACAGCACCTCCCCAAAGCCACTGAAGGGACCCCCTGCAGGAACAGCCTGAGCTCAGTCCCCAAGTGTGGGCTCGCCTCTGCCCTTCCCCAGGTCTCACTAGACCCCAGGCTTTAAGTAGAGGGTGGGCTGGCCCCTGGGTAGAGTGGCTGTGGCTAGATGGGTCTCTGGGGTAGGGGTTCAGGTCTGAGACTGAGGCAATCTCTGGGTAATCCAAATAAAAGAGGAGGCCTGGCGCGGTGGCTCACGCCTGTAATCCCAGCACTTTGGGAGGCCGAGGCTGGCGGATCACGAGGTTAGGAGTTCGAGACCATCCTGGCTAACACGGTGAAACCCCGTCTCTACTAAAAATACAAAAAAAATTAGCCAGGTGTGGTGGCAGGCGCAAGTAGTCCCAGCTACTCGGGAGGCTGAGGCAGGAGAATGGCGTGAACCCGGGATCGGAGGGTGCAGTGAGCCGAGATTGCGCCACTGCACTCCAACCTGGGAGACAGAGCGAGACTCCGTCTCAAAAAAAAAAAAAGAGGAGGCAGGGGACCACGGCTCATGCCTGTAATCCCAGCACTTTGGGAGGCCGAGGCGGGCAGATCACTTGAGGTCAGGAGTTTGAGACCAGCCTGGCCAACATGGGGAAACCCCATCTCTACTAAAAATACAAAAATCAGCCGGGTGTGGTGGCGCACGCCTGTAATCCCAGCTACTCGGGAGGCTGAGGCAGAAGAATCACTTGAACCCGGGAGGCAGAGATTGCAGTGAGCCGAGATCGCGCCACTGCACTCCAGCCTGGGTGACAGAGTGAAGACTGTCGCAAAATAAAAAAGGAAAAAAGGAAAAGGAAAAGAAGAGACTCCAGGCACACTCGCAGGTGAGGAGCAGGACTCAGATACAAGGTGGGGCCAGAGGGTGGAGGTGGGGCTGCACCTGCCTTGGGGAACGGGACCAGCGGCCAAGACCAGCAAGTCCGATAGCGTAGGGGGCCTTGAAGGGGCAGGGATAAACGGCTCCCTGTAGCGCTAGGGGACGGAGTCTCACAACACACAGGTCAATAGGGCCTGGCCATTGGCGGGGCCAATGAGGAGCAGGCCGGGACAGGGGCGGTGTCTAAGTTGCGGATGAAGGTGGGACGCCCTCGCTTTAACATCAACCACTTGGCTCACTGGCTCCCGGGAGGGAAGGGGGCGGCGCCTCAGCACACGCAGCAGTTGCTGGCTGGCAGCACGCACTAGGTGGCGGGAAAAAGAGCTGGCTCTCTCCTTTTAGAAACTGCCAAGGTATGAGGGGACAGTATCACCAGGAGGCGGGGCTAGGGGCGGGGCTGGGGCGGGGCCTCCCATCTGGCAGCAACCGGGCCGCTACAGGACCAGGGGCTGGACCCTACCCTTCAGCAACAGCCAGGCCTAGGGGCGCGGCCTCACCTTCCAGCAGCAGCCCCGCCTGCTTGCGCAGCACCTGCACCAACCGCTCATCCAACTCCACCTCCTCCAGCAGGGCCAGCAGCTGCTCCTCGTTGCGCACCACCTTGTCCTGGGCGTACAGCCCCTCCGGCAGGGCCCGCTGCTGCCCCAGCCCCAGCAGTGCCACCTCCAGCGCCAGCACCAAGTAGGACTCCCCAGGGCTCCCGGGCACAGGCACGTGCTGGTAGGCCACCTTCCGCTTCTCGGGGCCTGAGTCTGGGGGAGACAGGGCCAGGGCTGCTGGAGACGGATCCCCTTCCCTAAGGTCCCTGTAGCCCTTGGCCTCAAGCATGGAGACCTGGGCGCAGGGTAGGCTTTAGAGGGAGCCCAGAAGCTCCCAGCACTCACGGGGTTGGGGGAGCGCGGGAGCCCCACCTTCTAGCAGCAGCTAGGCCTATGGTGGCCTCACTTTCAGGAGAAGCTAAGCCTATTGGCTCTGGGCACTGGCCAGAGGAGGTAGCCAAGGGTAGGGGCGTGGCCAAGGGTCAGAGTCTGGGAGTTACCTTATAGGGGTACTGGGCCAGGGGGCGTGGCCAACGAGGCGGGGTTGTCCCACCTCCTCCAAGAGTACCCCATGTGAGTACCTGGGTAAAGGGTAAGTGTCTCCTCCTCCAGACGACAGGCCTCCAGGAGCGCCCTGCAGAGGCAGCCAATGGGGTCCAGGGGGTGCCCCACCCATCCTTCGGTGTTGGTGATGCAGGTGGAGCCCTTCTGGAGCAGCTCTGCAGGTGGAAAGAGGGGGCTCAATGCCCACACACCTGCCCAAGTCTCTAGGAGGGAGGGATATTCCTCTTCTTGACCTGCCAGCCAGCCTAGCCCCATAATGCCCACCACCTGCTCACCCAATGGTCACCTTCAACTTTTTTTTTTGAGGTGGGGTCTCGCTTATTGCCCAGGCTGGAGTGCAGTGGCCCAATCATAGCTCACTGCAGCCTCTGGAGCTCAAGCGATCCTCCTGCTTCGGCCTCCCAAAGGGATTACAGGCATGGGCCACCATGCCTGGCCACTGGACGCTTTCTAAAACACCCGAAGTGTCATTCCCCTCCTCATTGCCCTTATTCCCTCTCCACCTCTCTGAAGATAAAGCCCCAACAGCCTTTAGGGCCCCCAAGGACCAGTATGAAGTTTTTCCATATACTGGTGACCTGCCTCATCTGGAGGCCAATCCTCCAGCCTCGTCCTCCAAGCCACGTACTCTCTTCCCTCCTGGCTGCTGCTCATGGTGTTCCTTCTATTCTGAGCACTTCCTCCATCCCCTTCTCCTGGGTAACTCCTGCACATCCTTTTTCTTTTTTTAAATTTTTTCTGAGATGGAGTTTTGCTCTTGTTGCCCAGACTAGAGTGCAATGGCGTGATCTCAGCTCACCACAACCTCCAGGTACCTCCCGGTTCAAGGGATTCTCCTGCCTCAGTGTCCTGAGTAGCTGGGAATACAGGTACGTGCCACCACACCTGGCTAATTTGTTTTGGATTTTTAGTAGAGATGGGGTTTCACTATGTTGGCCAGGCTGGTTTTGAACTCCTGACCTCAGGCACTCCACCTGCCTCCACCTCCCAAAGTGTTGGGATTACAGGTGTGAGCCACTGTGCCTGGCCATGCACATCCTTAAATACTCAGCTAATTAGCCACCTGGCTAATTTTTAAAATCTAGGGGCCTTTCACTGATGCTGCCAAGCCTGGTCAGAGCTCTGCTCGGGTCCCAGGGCCCCCATGTTTCCTCCACGACACACTTTTCTTCGTTCAATTTCCTGATAGCTGATCCATCAACCCCATCGACTAGCTCTCTCAACTGGTGGCCTCCCTCCTGTCCCCCACCCCCATATCTAGTACACAATGTGGTTTTTGGGGCTCATACAGCCTCCTTCCCTCCCTCCCTTCCTTCCTTCCCCTCTCTCTCCCCCCATCTCTCTCTGTCCCTCCCTCCCCACCTCTTTCTTTCCTCTTCTCTCTCTCCTCGCTCTCCTCTCTCTCTCTTTTTTTTTTTTTAATTTTTTGAGACGGAGTCTCGCTCTGTCACCCAGTCTAGAGTGCAGTGGTGTAATCTTGGCTCACTGCAACCAACCTCTGCCTCCCAGATTAAAGCAATTCTCATGCCGCAGCCTCCCTAGTAGCTGGAAATACAGGTGTGCGCCACCACGCCTGGCTAATTTTAAAAATATTTTCAGTAGGCCAGGCACGGTGGCTTACACCTGTAATCCCAGCACTTTGGGAGGCTGAGGTGGGTGGATCAAAAGGTCAGGAGTTCGAGAAGAGCCTGGCCAACATAGTGAAACCCCATCTCTACTAAAAACACAAAAATTAACTGGGTGTGGTGGTGGGTGCCTGTAGTCCCAAGCTACTCAGGAGGCTGAGGCCGGAGAATTGCTTGAACCTGGGAGGCAGAGGTTGCAGTAAGCTGAGATTGCGCCACTGCACTCCAGACTGGGCGAAAGACCGAGACTCCATCTCAAAAAAAAAAAAAAAAAAAAAAAAAAAAAAAATTTCCAGGCACGGTGGCTCAAGCCTGTAATCCCAGCACTTTGGGAGGCCAAGGCAGGCAGATCACCTGAGGTTGGGAGTTCGAGACCAGTCTCACCAATGGAGAAACCCCATCTCTACTAAAAATACAAAAAAATTAGCCGGGCATGGTGGCGCATGCCTGTAATCCCAGCTACTTGGGAGGCTGAGGCAGGAGAATCCCTTGAACCTGGGAGGTGGAGGTTGCGGTGAGCCGAGATTGCTCCATTGCACTCCAACCTGGGCAACAAGAGCGAAACTCTGTCTCAAAAAAAAAAAGAGATGAGGTCTTGCTCTGTCACCCAGGCTAGAGTGCAGTGGCATAATTATAGCTCACTGCAGCCTTGAACTCCTGGGCTCAAGTGATCCTCCTGCCTCAGCCTACAGAGTAGCTGGGACTACAGGTGTGAGCCACCACATCCAGCTAATTTTTTTTTTTTAATTTTTGTAGAGACATTGTCTCACTATGTTGCCCAGGCTGATGTTGAACTCCTGGCCTCAAGCAATCCTCCCACCTCGGACTCCCAATGTGCTGGGATCACAGGTGCGAGCCCCCGTGCCCGGCTGAGGCTGACCTTTTTTCTGCTGCTTGTAGCTCTCTAGCTGATGCCGCTGCTGCAGCCGGAGTGTGTTGATGATGGCACTTGCCAGCCGCAGGGCCTGGCGGGGGTATCCGTGGGCACGCAGGGTGTCCACACGGGCACAGGCAGTGGGGAAAGGTTCTCCCAGCCACAGTGGGCGGCCCTGGGGGTCGAAAGTCGGTTTGTCCCCACCCACGCTGCCTGTGAGGCTGGGCCCGTAGGAGTCACTGGCCAGGATCCTCTGCAGGTAGGCGTCATTCCAGTGTAGCTCTCCAGCCAGCAAGGCGCGGCCAAATACCGTGTGGCGGGGACTTGTGGCTGCCACCTCTTCCTCTTCCTCCGAGCCTGCAGAGAGGCACCCAACATGGCTCAGTGAGGGGGGGTCCCTATAGCAGTTGAGCCGTGTCCAGCTTTTCCCACCAAGTACTAACTGGGGTTTAGGCCTGGGCAAAGCTATGGGCATACATCATCTGCCCAGTCCTTGAAGCCACCCTTCAAAGATGCATGTGTAGGCTGGGCATGGTGGCTTACACTTGTAATCCCAGCACTTTGGGAGGCCAAGGTGGGAGGATCACATGAGGCCAGGAGTTCGAGACCAGCCTGGCCAACATGGCGACACCCCATCTCTACTAAAATTAACCCTGGCGTGGTGGTGCACACCTGTAATCCCAGCTACTTGGGAGGCTGAGGAATGAGAATCGCTTGAACCCAGGAGGCAGAGGTTGCAGTGAGCCAAGGTTGCGTCACTGCACTCCAGCCTGGGCATCAGAGTGAGACTGTCTCAAAAAAAAAAAAAAAAGGATGCGTGTATGTGTTAGGAGCTAGTACAGGCCCATCACATTGATAGGAAACTGAGGTTGAGCAACTAACTGGCTGTCTGTCTTCCTCTTCCTACTTGCTATTTTTCTTTTCTTTCTTTCTTTCTTTTTTTTTTTTTTTGAGACAGGGTCTCACTCTGTCGTCCAGGCTAGAGTGCAGTGGTGCGATCTTGGCTCACTGCAACCTCCGCCTCCCAGGCTCAAGCGATTCTCCCATCTCAGCCCCCTGAGTATCCGGGATTCCAGGTGTGCGTCACAACACCCAGCTAATTTTTGTATTTTTTGTAGAGACAAGGTCTCACCATGTTACTCTGGCTGGTCTTGAACTCCTGGCCTCAAGCAATCTGCCCCCCTCAGCTTCCCAAAGTGCTGGGATTACAGGCGTGAGACACCATGCCTGGCCTGTACTTGCTATAAATTTTTTTTTCCCTCTCTCCTCAATCTCTCTCTGTCTTCCTTCCTATCTGCTCCTCTGTCTGCCTCTCCCTCTCTCCATCCATCTCTGCCTCTCTTCACTTGTTTCTCTCTCCTCAATATCTCACTTTCCCCTTCTGTTTGATTCCTCCTTTTTTCCTCTCTCATCCTCTCTTTGGTCCCATAGCTAGCAGAAGGCCAAGCCAGACCAGCCCAGGACTGCAGGTGTTTTAAGCATTTTACTTCACTTGCCCACTTGGGCTGCCATTGCTCCTGCCCTTGGCACTCGCTCTTTCCTGGCTAGACAAGTTGGGATTAGTCCTGGAAGAACAGCCAAGGACTGGGGTCTGCTTTGCTCTGCCCCACTCCCTCTCTCTCCTGGGAAGAGGACCATGATGGTAAGTGGGGCCACAGTTAGTGGTGATGGTTTTTGGGGGGCATGGTAAAGACCCCTCTCTCCTACCTGGGGCGGGGGCCATGGTGGGCTGCAGGCTGGGGCCGTCGAAGGAGTAGTTGCCCTCTTCCAGTGGGCAGACGTCGAGCTTGTCCCACCTGCTGAGTAGCTGGAGCCAGCCTGCCCTTTCCTCTGGTTTGCAGTGGGGGCTCAGGACGACGCAAACCCACAGGGCCCCTGAGGAGGCACGGGGCAGGCTCAATATTCCTGCCAACAGTGGCAGCAACACACACTTCCGCAGTGCCCACTGTGTGCCACCTGATGATCTGCTAACCCCTCACCTCGACCCTCGGAAGTTGCAACTCGCAGCCTTTGCACCTTACAGACAAGCAAACTGAGGCACAGAGACATAACACGGCTTGCACAGGGTCACACCGCTGGTAAGTTAGAAGTTGGGATTAGAGGGTCAGGCGTGATGACTCACGCCTGTAATCCCAGCACTCTGGAAGGCTGAGGCAGGCGGATCACCTGAGGTCAGGAGTTTAAGAACAGCCTGGCCAACAGGGTGAAGCCCTGTCTCTACTGAAAATACCAAAAAAAAAAAAAAAAAGCCAGGCATGATTGTGGGTGCCTGTAATCCCAGCTATTCAGGAGGCTGAGGCAGGAGAATGGCTCGAACCCGGGAGGTGGAGGTTGCAGGGAGCTGAGATCACACCACTGCACTCCAGCCTGGGTAAAAAGAGCAAAACTCCATCTCAAAAAAAAAAAAAAAAAAGTTGGGATTACATCCCGGGCCTCTGTAGTCCTAGCTACTTGGGAGGCTGAGGCACAAGAATCGCTTCAACCCAGGAGGCAGAGGTTGCAGTGAGCCGAGATCACACCACTGTACTCCAGCCTGGGCAACAGAGTGAGACTCGATCTCAAAACAAAACAAAACAAAAACAAAAACAAACAAACAAAAAAACCAGGCCTCCAGACTCCTCTCAAGGTGTTTTGGGGTTTTTTGGGTAGCATTTATCACCATCTCATGCAGGGGTCTGCGAACTAGCAAACCACTGCCCATGGTGAAAACTGAACCACCCTTTATTTTTGATTAGCCTGCACGCTAAGATTTATTTTTCCCTTTTTATTTGTACTTGTTTTTATTTATTTATTTTTTGAGACAGAGTCTCACTCTGTCACCCAGGCTGGAGTGCAGTGGCGCAATCTCAGCTCACTGTAACCTCCACCTCCTGGGTTCAAGCGATTCTCCTGCCTCAGCCTCCCAAGTAGCTGGGATTACAGGCGTCCGCCACAATGCCTGGCTAATTTTTGCATTTTTAGTAAAGGCGGGGTTTCACCATGTTGGCCAAGCTGGTCTCGATCTCCTGACCTCAAGTGATCTGCCCACCTCGGCCTCCCAAACTGCTGGAATTAAGGTGTGAGCCACTGCACCCGGCCTATTTTTCCAGTTTTAAATGGTCAGGGAAATACAACCAAAAGAATATTTTGCAACTTGTGGGAATAATATAAAATTCAAATAAATTAGTAAGTATCTATAAATAAAGCCGGTTTTTAAAAAATTTAGAGACAGGGTCTCATCATGTCGTCTAAGCTGCACTCGAACTCCTGGGCTCAAGCAATCCTCCTGCCTCACTCAGCCTTCCAAGTAGTAGGGAGTACAGGCTCCTGCCACTGTGCCAAGCGCCTTTTTTTGTTGTTGTTGAGACAGGGTCTTGCTCTGTTGCCCGGGCTGGAGTGCAGTGGTGTGATCATGGCTCACTGCAGCCTCAACCTCCGGGGCCCAAGTGATCCCCCTACCTCAGCCCCGCAAAGTGCTGGGATTACAGGTGTGAGCCACTGCACCTGGCCTCCCAGCTCTTAAATAAAGTTTTATTGAAATGCTACCATGCCCGTTTGGTATATATGTCTGTGTCTGCCTTTTTTACTATAATAGACAGAGTGAGGTCTTCATGACAGAGACCAGATGGCCTGCAGGGCTGAATAACATTAACTCTGTGTCTCTTACAGAAAACACATGTTGGCCGGTGCGGTGGCTCATGCCTGTAATCCCAGCACTTTGGGAGGCCTAGGCAGGCGGATCACGAGGTCAGGAGATCGAGACCATCCTGGCTAACACGGTGAAACCCCATCTCTACTAAAAATACAAAAAATTAGCCGGGCGTGGTGGCAGGCGCCTGTGATCCCAGCTACTCGGGAGGCTGAGGCAGGAGAACAGCGTGAACCTGGGGGGCGGAGCTTGCAGTGAGCCGAGATCGTGCCACTGCACTACAGCCTGGGTGACAAAGCAAGACTCCATCTCAAAAAAAAAAAAAAAAAAAAAAGGCTGGGCGTGGTGGCTCACGCCTGTAATCCCAACCCTTTGGGAAGCCGAGGCGGGCGGATCATGAGGTCAGGGGATCGAGACCATCCTGGTTAACCCAGTGAAACCCCGTTGCTACTAAAAATACAAAAAAATTAGCCGGGCGTGGTGGTGGGCCTCTGTAGTCCCAGCTACTCGGGAGGCTGAGGCAGGAGAATGGCATGAACCCAGGAGGCAGAGCTTGCAGTGAGCTGAGATTGTGCCACTGCACTCCAGCTTGGGTGACAGAGCAAGACTCCGTCTCAAAAAAAAAAGAAAAAAGAAAAAAGAAAACATATGTTGGCTGGGTGTGGTGGCTCACGCCTGTAATCCCAGCACTTTGGGAGGCTGAGGCGGGTGGATCACGAAGACAGGAGTTCGAGACCAGCCTGATCAACATGGTGAAACTCCGTCTCTACTAAAAATACAATAATTAGCTAGGCATGGTGGCACGCACCTATAATCCCAGCTACTGAGAAGGCTAAGGCAGGAGAATCATTTGAACCCAGGAGGTGGAGGTTGCAGTGAGCCGAGATCGTGCCACTGCACTCCAGCCTGGGAGACAGGGTGAGAGTCCGTGTCAAAAAAAGAAAACAGGCCAGGTGCCGTGGCTCACACCTGTAATCCCAGCACTCTGGGAGGCTGAGGCGGGTAGATCACAAGGTCAGGAGATCAAGACAACCCTGCCTAACACAGTGAAACCCCGTCTCTAATAAAAAAAATACAAAAAATTAGCCGGACTTAGTGGCGGGTGCCTGTAGTCCCAGCTACTAGGGAGGCTGAGGCAGGAGAATGGTGTGAACCCGGAGGGCGGAGCTTGCAGTGAGCCAAGATAGTACCACTGCACTCCAGCACTCCAGCCTGGATGACAGAGCGAGACTCCTTCTCAAAAAAAAAAAAAGAAAAGAAAAGAAAACAAACAAACAAAAATATGTCAGCTTGGTACAGTGGCTCATGCCTGTCATCCCAGCACTTTGAGAGGCCAAGGCCAGAGGATCACTTGAGCCCAAGAGTTTGAAGTTACAGTGAGCCGTGACTGTGCCACTGTACTTCAGCCTGGGCGCACAGTGAGATCCTGTCTCTAAAAAAAGAAAAAAAGAAACAAAACATGTAGGCTGGGTGTGGTGGCTCATGCATGTCATCTCAGTACTTTGGGAGGCTGGGTGAGAGGACTGCTTGAGTCCAGGAGTTCAAGACCAGACTTGGCAAGATAGTGAGACTCTGTCTCTTCAAAAAATTAAAAATTAGCTGGATGTGGTAGTGTGCACCTGTAGACCCAGCTACTTGGGAGGCTGAGGTGTAGGATCACTTGAGTCCGGGAGGCAGAGGTTGCAGTCAGCCGAGATTGTGCCACTGCACGCCAGCCTGGGCAACAGAGTGATACCCTGTCTCAAAACAAAGAAAACGTGTGTACGTGTGTATCAACCCCTGGGCCAATGACATTTGATTGCCTGTGCCTCCTGTCAGATCCACGTGAACAGGATTTTGACTCTCTTGTTCTCTGCCGGACCACCAGTGCCCAGTACCATGCCTGGCACTTTAGAGGCGCTCATAAATGTTTGCCAAACGAATGGAGGGCGGATTCAGGGAACAGACCCTAATCTTGGAGTGGGCCAGCCCCCATGGGAGCCGAAGTCCCGGTGTCCACCACGCACCGGGGTTTGGGCCTCACCCAGCTCATCCCAGAGCTGCCGGCACTTGTCCGTCATGCCCGCGCCCTGCTGCCGCCACAGGGCCAGGCGCGTGTCCTGCAGGAACTGCTCGGTCATGAGAATCAGCATGCGCGCCCCGTTGGAGTCCCGCATTCGCAGCATCTCCCGCACCTGTGCCGGGGACAGGGTGGTGAGGAAGGGCTGGGGCGTCCGCCGGGGCCTTCTGCACCCCGCGCCCCGCCGGCCCGCACGGCACCTTGCTGAACATGGAGCGCAGCTGCTGGCTGGCCCCGTAGTAGCCGCCATTGGACAGTAGCTGCTTCACCTGCTCCTGGATCTGCTCCTCGTCCAGGTGCCAGCAGTTGGCGTCCTCGATTCCTGCGCCGGCGGTGGGGTCTGGGGCACCTGCCGGGAGGGAGGGAAAGGAAGCTGAGGCTGGGGCTGGAGTTGGGGTTGGGTTGGGTTGAGGAGAGCTGTCCTTTTTTTTTTTTTTTTTTTTTGGAGACGGAGTTTGGCTCTTCTTGCCCAGGCTGGAGTGCTGTAGCACGATCTTCGCTCACTACAACCTCTGCCTCCCGGGTTCAAGTGATTCTCCTGCCTTAGCCTCCCAAGTAGCTGGGATTACAGGCACGCCCCACTACACTTTGCCAATTTTTTTTGTATTTTTAGTACAGGCGGGATTTCACCATGTTGGTCAGGCTGGTCTCAAACTCCTGACCTCAGGTGATCCACCCGCCTTGGCCTCCCAAAGTGCTGGGATTACAGGCATAAGCTACTGTGCCCGACCCATCCATCCATTCTTCCAAGTCACCCAACCCAGTCTAAAGTTCCATCCATCCCACCTAAACCCCACCCACCCATCTGCTTGTCCATCCCACCCGACCATCTATTCATGTTTATCCATCCATCCATCCCTCCATCAATCCATCTATCTTGTCCTAAACATGACTAGCTCATGCATCCATTTTCTCATTCATCCACTTAGTCATCTGATATGGTTTGGCTCTGTGTCTCCACCCAAATCTCATGTTGAATTATGATCCCCAGAGTTGGAAGTGGGGCATGGAGGGAGGTGACTGGATCATGGGGATGGTTTCTAATGGTGTAGCACCATTCCCTTAGTGTTGTCTCATGATAGAGTTCTCATGAGATCTGGTTGTTTGAAAGTGTGTAGTGTCTCCCCCTTCGCTCTCTCTCTCCTGACAGCCATGTGAAGATGTGTTTGCTTCTCCTTCACCTTCCGCCATGATTGTAAGTTTCCTGAGGCCTCCCCAAATGCAGAAGCCTGTGTAGCTTGCAGAACTATGAGCCGATTAAACCTGTTTCCTTTAAATTAACCTGTTTCAGGTATGTCTTTATAGCAGTGTGAGAACAGAGTAATACATCACCCATCCAATCCATTCATCTATCTTACCTGAAACACAACACACCCATACACCCATACACCCATCCATCCATCCATCCATCCATCCATCCATCCATCCATGCATCCATCCATGCATCCATCTGTCCATCCATCCATGCATCCATCCATCTTGTCCAAAACGCCACCAGCTCATCCATTTGCTCATTTATCCACTGAGTCATCCATCCAATCCATCTATCTCCCCTGTAGTAATATTCATCCATCCATCCATCCATCCATCCATCCATCCATCCATCCATCCATCTTGCCCAAAACACCAGGAGCTCATTCATCCATTTGTTCATTCATCCATTTACTTACCCATCCAATCCATTCATCTATCTCTCCTGAAACACTACACATCTATCCATCTACCCATCCACTCATCCATTTACCCATCCCACTCAAAACACCACCGACCCATCTGTTTACTCATCTGTCTCACCTGAAACACAACCCACTTATCCACCCCCACCCAAGTCATGCCAGCCTCTATCTACCTGGCCATATCCCCCATTTCACTTCATCCACATGTCCATACCCTTTAAACAACCACCTACCCCATCATGGGTCCATCATCCACCCTACCCATAATTCCCACCCATCCACCCATCTATATACTCATCTTATTGATCTATCTGCCCACTCACCCCTTTTATCTTTCCAATCCACGTGAACTAACCACTCAAAATACCCACCCGCCCATTTGTCCATTGACCCACACAAGTACACTATCCACCCCACCCAGTAACTATCATCCAATAACTAACCCTAGTTATCTAGGTGATAACTATTAGTTATCACCCAATAACTAATCCTAACTCTCTATGCTTCCATTAAACCACCCATTCATTATCAAACCATCCATTCATATGTACCTCTCAAAACACCCACTACCCCATTCGTCCATCCATCCACCCTACACAAAGCGCCCACCCACTCTGCCCACCCACGATGTTGATCCACATATGTGAACCTTCCTTCCATTCACCCATCAACTCACTCCCAATGCATGTACCCATTGGATCTTTCATTCTTTCACTAACTTCATCTGTCCACCACTGTCAGTCTACCTTAACTCCACTAGTCAAAGCCCTCCCCACCCAACCACTCATCCTCACCTCCAATCACCACCAGTTCTGTCCTTCCCTTCTTTTTTTTTTTTTGTTTTTTGAGTCAGGGTCTCAGTCTGTCATCAGGTTGGAGTGTAGTAGCACGATCATAGCTGACTGCAGCCTTTACCTCCCACGCTCATGATCCTCCCATCTCAGCTTCCCAAGTATCTACAGGCGTGTGTGTGCCATCATGCCCAACTACTTTTGTTTATTTTTTGTAGAGAGGAGGTCTCCCTATTTTGCCCAGGCCGGTCTTGAACTGCTGGTCTCGAGTGATCCTCCTTCCTCAGCCTCCCAAATGCTGGGATTATAGGTATGAGCCACCACACTCAGCTTCCAATTCCCATTCACCTAACGGCATTGTTAATATCCCGTCCAGGCTGGGTGTGGTGGCTCACACCTGTAATCCCAGGACTTTGGGAGGCTGAGGCAGGTGGATCACCTGAGGTCAGAAGTTCAAGACCAGCCTGGCCAACATGGGGAAACCCCTGTCTCTACAAAAATACAAAAATTAGCCGGGCATGATGGTGTGCATCTGTAATCCCAGCTACTCAGGAGGCTGAGACAGGAGAATTGCTTGAACCCAGGAGGCAGAGGTTGCAGTGAGCTGAGATTGCACCACTGCACTCCAGCTTGGGTGACAGAGGAAGACTCCATCTCAAAAAAAAAAATATCCCCCACCCACCCATTCGTTTTTCCACACCATCAGTTGCCCTCAGTGACTGATCATGAACGCTTTTTTTTTTTTTGGAGTCAGGGTCTCACTTTGTCTCCCAGGCTGGAGTGCAATGGCGCGATGTCAGCTCACTGCAACCTCTGCCTCCCGGGTTCAACCCATTCTCCCACCTCAGCTTCCTGAGTGGCTGGGACTACAGGCACCCACCACCACGCCCGGCTAATTTTTATATTTTGGTAGAGATGGGGTTTTGCCATGTTGTCCAGGCTGGTCTTGAACTCCTGACCTCAACTGATCCGCCCACCTCGGCCTCCCAAAGTGCTGGGATTACAGGTGTGAGCCCCTGCGCCCAGCCAATCACGAACACTTTCTGTACCCACCCAGCACCTCCCTCCATCATCCATCCATGCCTCCACCTACTACTCACCTTCCCCATCCTAGCTAGGCAACCCAAGCCCCTCGGAGCCCCCCAAACCCTCCCAGCCCTCACCACGCCTCCTGGTGTATCCCCTCACCCATAACACCTCTGACACCCACAAACGTCCCACATTCCCTTCACGCCCCCTCTTCTCCTCCCATACCCAGGATGCTCCATCTATTGACATACCCAGCCCTGGGGCCAGACCTCCCACTTGCCCTCTAACGCAGGATCTCCCCTCCTGCCCTCGCCCTCTGCCCGTAGGCTGATTTGCAACTACTCATCTGTCCTGTGTCCAGATATCTGGGATCTGCCACTCACCAGGTGGGTGACCTCAGATGATGCAGGCCATGGCGCGTTTTCCGCCCCCCGCCCCCACAACTTTCTGTCAGTAAGTGACCAGCACTGGGCACACAGCAAGTGGCGTGGCTGTGCGCTTGGGCATCCTCTCCCCACCGGACCCCCGGGGTGCCCTTACCATTCACCAAGTTGATCTCGGAGCCCAGCAGGAGGATCTCATCAGCCAAGCGCTGAGCAGTGGGCAGCACCTCAGTGTGATGGGCGCTGATGAGGTACTGCACGAACTTCTGCAGCTGGTCCCGGTTCATCTGGGAGAGCGTCTCGGAGATGGGCAGCCGCAGCTCCACCTGGTGGGCGTGCCGAATGCGGTACAGGGACAGGGCCACCACGTGGGCACAGTAGAAGAGGTCGCGGTTGTCACAGCCGCAGCTCACGGACGTGATCTTGCAGCGATCAAAGCTGATGGAGACATGGTAGAGGCGCTCGGGCTCTCCAGGACTCCCTGGCTCGCGGATGTTTCCGCTCAGGTGGAATCCTAGGATCAAAGCCAAACTGTCGCATCCGTGTCATCCCAGAGACAGGCGGTGTTTGTGGTACACAGCAAGACCCGGTTGCAAAGCCCAGCCGAGTCACTTCACTAGCACAAGTCACCTCACTCACTTTGCATTTTTTTTTTTTTTGAAACAAAATCTCGCTCTGTGGCCCAGGCTGGAGTGTAGTGCTGCGACCTGGGCTCACTGCAACCTCCGCCTCCCAGGTTCAAGCGATTCTCCTGCTTCAGCCTCCCAAGTAACTGGGATTACAGGCACACACCACCATGCCCGGCTAATTTTATTTATTTATTTATTTATTTATTTGGGACAGAGCTTTGCTCTGTTGCCCAGGCAGGAGTGCAATGGTGTGATCTCGGCTCACCGCAACCTCCACCTCCCAGGTTCAAGTGATTCTCCTGCCTCAGCTTCCCGAGTAGCTGGGATTACAGGCATGCGCCACCATGCCCGGCTAATTTTGTATTTTTAGTAGAGATGGGGTTTCTCCATGTTGGTCAGGCTGATTTTGAACTCCTGGCCTCAGGTGATCCGCCTGCCTCAGCCTCCCAAAGTGCAGGGATTACAGGCGTGGGCCACGGTGCCCAGCCTAATTTTTGTATTTTTAGAAGAGACAGCCCGGCGCAGTGGCTCATGCCTGTAATCCCAGCACTTTGGGAGGCCGAGGCTGGTAGATCACCTGAGGTCCGGAGTTCAAGACCAGCATGGCCAACATGGTGAAACCCTGTCTCTACTAAAAATATAAAAAAATTAGCCGGGCATGGTGGCGGGCGCCTGTAATCCCAGCTACTCAGGAGGCTGAGGCAGGAGAATGGCTTGAACCCGGGAGGCAGAGGTTGCAGTGAGCTGAGATCGCACCATTGCACTCCAGCCTGGGTAACAGAATGAGACTCTGTCTCAAAAAAAGGCTTAGAACGCTGTTGGTATGAAGTTAAGTCCTAAGTAAACACTTGCTTTTTTTTTTTTTTTTTTCTGAGACAGAGTCTTGCTCTGTCACCCAGGCTGGAGTGCAGTGGCGCTATCTTGACTCACTGCAACCTCCGCCTCCTGGGTTCAAGCGATTCTCCTACCTCAGCTTCCTGTGTAGCTGGGATTACAGGCGTGCACCACCATGCCCGGCTAATCTTTTGTATTTTTAGTAGAGATCAGGTTTCACCATATTGGCCAGGCTAGTCTTGAACTCCTGACCTAGTGTAGTCTTGAACTCCTGACCTAGTGATCCACCCGCCTCGGCCTCCCAAAGTGCTGGGATTATAGGCGCGAGCCACCGAGCCCAGCCCAACACTTGCTCTTATTTTAATTATGAATAGTATCATACCATGACATTGAAGGTGGTTTTCTGATTCCTTGGGTTACAATGAATATGGCCAGGGCTTCAGGAGCCCCTCAATTTCCTGAGAAAATGCCAAAGACCCGTGGCGCTTGGGGCGAGGGGCTGATGAAGTAAGCCAGGGGCCAGGTGTCCCCTTCACTCCCCCTGCCCCTCCCTGGGCAGCCCAGGTGCCAGGCTCATCTGACTGGTTCGGCAGCTCAGGCCCAGCCTGGGTCATGCAGGGAGATGGCTTCCTCATACCAGCTGGAGGTGGCAAGGAGCCCGTGGTCAGCGGGGCCATGTCCCAGCAAAGGGGCTCCAAAGCAGATAGAGCCGACGGGGCATCATATCAGCCCAGCCCCGACCTCTAGCTGGGAGAAATGGCCTGCTGCAGCCAGAGGTCTGGAGTCCCAGGCCTCACTTTTGTTTTCTGGCTCAGCCTCTACTGGTCCCTTTCTGAGTCTGGCTGCCTGAGATCCAAGGCCTTTCCACTATTCTCATTACATCTCTCCCAGTCTCTGCAGCCCTTTTGTTTTCTTAGCTTGAGGTCTGAGCCCACCCTTCACAGCTGATCTTAACCTGATACTTGGCCAGGCATGGTGGGTCACGCCTGTAATCCCAGTGCTTTGGGAGGCTGTGGCAGGAGGATCTCTTGAGCCCAGGAGTTCGAGACCAGCCTGGGCAACAGAGTGAGACCAGGTCTCTACAAAAAACTTAAAAACTAGTCAAGTGTGGTGGCCTGCGCCTGTGGTACCAACTACTTGGGAGGCTGAGGTGGGAGGATCACTTGAGCTCAGATGTTTGTGGCTGCAGTGAGCTATTATCGCGCCACTGCACTCCAGCCTGGGCAACAGAGTGAGACCCTATCTCCCTTTTTTTTTTCTTTTGAGACAGAGTCTCTCTCTCTTGCCCAGGCTGGAGAGCAATGACATGATCTTGGCTCACTGCAACCTCTGCCTCCCGGGTTCAACTGATTCTCCTGCCTCAGCCTCTCAAGTAGCTGGGATTACAGGCATGTGCCACCACACCTGGCTAATTTTTGTATCTTTAGTAGAGACGGGGTTTCACCATGTTGGCCAGGCTGAACTCCTGACCTTAGGTGATCCACCCGCCTCAGCCCCCAAAGTGCTGGGATTACAGGTGTGAGCCACTGTGCCCGGCCGAGACTCTATCTCTTAAAAAAAAAAATTTGGCCAGGCGTGGTGGCTCATGCCTGTAATCCCAGCACTGTAGGAGGCTGAGGCGGGCGGATCACTAGGTCAGGAGATCGAGACTATCCTGGCTAACACGGTGAAACGCCGTCTCTACTAAAAAATAGAAAAAATTAGCTGGGTGTGGTGGCAGGTGCCTGTAGTCCCAGCTACTTGGGAGGCTGAGGCAGGAGAATGGTGTGAACCCAGGAAGTGGAGGTTGCAGTAAGCCGAGATTGTGCCACTGCACTCCAGCCTGGGCAACAGAGTGAGACTCCATCTCAAAAAAAAAAAAAAAAAAAATTCTAAGCTGGGCATGGTGGCTCACACCTGTAATCCCAGCACTTTGGGAGGCTGAGGCGGGTGGATCACGAGGTCAGGAGTTCAAGACCAGCCTGGCCAACATGGTGAAACCCTGTCTCTACAAAAATACAAAAATTAGCCAGGCATGATAGCGGGTGCCTGTAGTCCCAGCTACTAGGGAGGCCGAGGCAGGGGTATTCCTTGAACCTGGGAGGTGGAGGTTGCAGTGAGCTGAGATCGTGCCACTGCACTCCAGCCTGGGCAACAGAGCAAGACTCCATCTCGGAAAAAAAAAAAAAAAAGAATTCTAAACTTCTACTCTACATTCCCACCTCAGCCCTGTTGCCTTAGGTCTAAGACCATTGCTCAACAATAGCTCTAAGCCTTTGAAATCCCAGCCTCTCTGCCTGAGGTCTAAGACTCTCACCTGTGGCTCTAAATCTTTGTGTCCAACTCCCACGTGGGCCCCACTGCCTGAGGTCTAGGATCATTCTTACCTCTGGCTCTAAACCCCTGGCCCAAAGCATCACTGGGTCCCTCAGCCCGAGGTCTGGAGCCTCCTCTCACTGCTGGCTGACAGCTGCTTCTCTGATCCTCAGCTGGGACCTGCTCTTCTCTCCGTCTCACTACTTCATTCCCCATTCCCCAGCTCAGCAGCCTGAGGTCTAGGGCTCTAGGAGCACTTTCCACCTTCAGCTCATAATCCCGAACCCAACCCCATCTGGACCTGAAGCCTGAGGTCTGGCACCTTCACCACCATGTCTCAACCTCTACCCTTGTCCCTAGAGTGGCCCTCACCTCTCTTCCTTTTTTTTTTTCTTTTTTCTCTTTGAGATAGCATCTCGCTCTGTAACCCAGGCTGGAGTACGGTGGTGCAATCATAGCTTACTGCAGGCTCGACCTCTCGGGCAAAAGCGATCCTCCTGCCTTGGCCTCCCATGTACCTGGGACCACAGGCACCCGCCACCATGCCCAGCTCATTTTTTGATTTTTTTGTGAAGACAAGGTCTCATTGTGTTGCCCAGGCTGGTCTTGAACTCTTGGCCTCAAGTGATCTTCCTGCCTTGGCCTCCCAAAGTGTTGAGATCACAGGTGTGAACCACCACATCTGGCCTCACCCCTCCTTTACATGGGCTCTGATGTGTAAGTTCTGGGATCTCTCCTCCCCTGTTTCTGGTTCACCATCCTCTCCCCCAACCCCTTGTCTAAACCCTGCTGCCTGGGTTCTAGGGTGATCCTTGAGCTTTTGCTCAAAACATCGTGTACAGGCTGGGTGTGGTGGCTCATGCCTGTAATCCCAGCACTTTGGGAGGCCGAGGTGGGGGGATCACGAGGTCAGGAGATCGAGACCATCCCGGCTAACACAGTAAAACCCCATCTCTACTAAAAATACAAAATACAAAAAATGGGGCCGGGAGCGGTGGCTCACGCCTGTAATCCCAGCACTTTGGGAGGCCGAGGCGGGTGGATCACGAGGTCAGGAGATCGAGACCATCCTGGCTAACATGGTGAAACCCCGTCTCTACTAAAAATACAAAAAATTAGCCGGGCTTGGTGGCGGGCGCCTGTAGTCCCGGCTACTTGGGAGGCTGAGGCAGGAGAATGGCGTGAACCCGGGAGGCGGAGCTTGCAGTGAGCCGAGATCGCGCCACTGCACTCCGGCCTGGGCGAAAAAGCGAGACTCCGTCTCAAAAAAAAAAAAAAAAAAAAAAAAAAAAAAAAAAAAAAAGAAATACAAAAAATTAGCTGGGCGCGGTGGCGGGCGCCTGTAATCCCAGCTACTCGGGAGGCTGAGGCAGAATGGCGTGAACCCAGGAGGCGGAGCTTGCAGTGAGCCGAGATCGCGCCACTGCACTCCGGCCTGGGCCAAAGAGCGAGACTCCGTCTCAAAAAAAAAAAAAAAAAAAATCTTGTACAATCCTATCTGGGCCTCGAAGCCTGAGGTCTGTAACCTCCCATCCCCTGGCCCCAGGCCTCCCTCCAACTCCCCCATTTCCAGGCCTGGTATGGACCTCCTGGCCTCCCCAGCAGGAGTGGGGGACAAAGACTCACCCACTTGCAACACGCGGTCCACGGCCCCGCTCTGGAGCAGGTGCAGCCCGCGGGTAAAGGGCACCCGGGCATCGTGCTCGCCCTCTGGGGGCGGGTAACCCAGCGACGAGTACATACATATTTCCCGTTCACTGCGTGGAAACGACCAAAACACGATGCGCTTCTGGACGGGCTCAGGCACCCGGGAGAACCGCTCCTCCACCTGTAGGAAGGGCCAGTGGGTTAGGAGCCTGGGGTTGATGTAATCCCAGCGCTTTGGGAAGCTTAGGAGGGAGGATCGCTTGAGGCCAAGAGTTCGAGACCAGCCTGGGCAACATAGAGAGGCTCCCATCTTTACAAAAAAACTGGCCGGGCACGATGGCTCACGCCTGTAATCCCAGGATTTTTGGGAGGCCGAGGCAGGCAGATCACCTGAGGTCAGGAGTTCAAGACCAGCCTGGCCAACATGATGAAACCCCATCTCTACTAAAGATAAAAAAAATTAGCCGGGTGTGGTGGTGAGCACCTGTAGTCCCAGCTGCTCGGGAGGCTGAGGCAGGAAAATCGCTGGAACCTGGAAGGCAGAGGCTGCAGTGAGCTGAGATCATGCCACTGCACTCCAGCCTGGGTGACAGAGCAAGACTGCATCTCGAAAAAAAAAAAAAAAAGATAAAAAAATAAAAAAATAAAAAAAATTAGCCAGGCATGGTGGCATGCATCTGGAATCCCAGCTACCTGGGAGGGTGGGGCAGGAGGGTCACTTGAGGCCATGAGTTTGAGGCTGCAGTGAGCCATGATTGCACCAGCGGCACTCCAGCCTGGGCAACAGAGCAAGATCCCATCTCAAAAAAAATAGGTCAGGGCAGTGGCTCATGCCTGCAATTCTAGCATTTTGGGAGGCCAAGGCAGTTGGTGCACTTGAGTCCAGGAGTTCGAGAGCAGCCTGGCCAACATGGCGAAACCCCGTCTCTACTAAAAATACAAAAATTAGCCAGGTGTGGTGGCATGCACCTATAATCTCAGCTACTTGGGAGGCTGAGGCGCGAGAACCACTTGAACCCGGGAGGCGGAGGTTGCAGTGAGCCGAGATTGCGCCATTGCACTCCAGTCTGGGCCACGGAGCGAGACTCCGTCTCAAATAAATAAATAAAAATAAAAAAACAGAGAAACCGAGGCTTGAATCCTAGCTTTACTATTTAGGAGCACTGTGACCCCAGGCAAGTCACTTGGCCTCAGTATTCTCAGGTGTAAAGTGGGGAGGTCCACGGCACCAACCTCTTGAGGATTGTGGAGACTAAATATGCAGTATGGATGTAAAGAGCTTAAAGAACTTACAATAACACCTGGCCCATAGTTAGCATTCTAGAACTTTCTTGCGGTTTCCCTCCTGGATCCTCCTAGCTGCAGGGTCTTGGGATTCTGTTGTGAGATCTTCCCACCCACCAGGCTTTGGTGGAGCAGGAAGAAGTTAGAAAAAAGTGATAATAATGATTAAGGTGCCCATCTTGGCTGGACACCTGTAATCTCAGCACTTTGGGAGGCTGAGGCGGCAGCATTGCCTGAGCTCAGGCGTTCCAGACCAGCGTGAGCAACATAGTGAGACCCCATGTCTACACACACACACACAGAATTAAAAATTAGCCAGGTGTGGTGGTGGGCGTCTGGAATCCCAGCTACTCAAGAGGCTGAGGCAGGAGGATTGCTTGAGCCCAGGAGTTTGAGGCTGCAGTGAGTTATGATTGTGTCATTGCGCAATCATTGTTTCACTGGGCTACTGAGCAAGGCTCTGCCTCAAAAGAAAAGAAAAAAGAAAAGAAAAGAAAAGAATGCACACACTATGCTGAACACTTTATGTATGTAATTTCCAAATTCTCACAGCCACCTAGTGTGAGCTTGTCCAACCCACGCCCCACGGCCCTGGCCCAGGAGAGCTTTGAATGCAGGCCAACACAAATTCGTAAGCTTTCTTAAAACATTATAAGATACGTCCGGGTGCGGTGGCTCATGCCTGTAATTCCAACACTTTGGGAGGGAGGCCAAGGTGGGAGGATCACTTGAGGTCAGGAGTTTGAAACCAGCCTGGCCAACATGGTGAAACCCCATCTCTACTAAATATACAAAAATTAGCTGGGTATGGCGGCTCACACCTGTAGTCCCAGCTACTCAGGAGGCTGAGGCGGGAGAATTGCTTGAACCCAGGAGGTGGAGGCTACAGTGAGCCGAGATCGTGCCACTGCACTCCAGCCTTGGCAACAGACTGAGACTCGTTTCAGATAAATAAATAAATAAATAAATACAAAGATTTTCTTTTCTTTTCTTTTTAAGCTCATCAGCTATTGTTAGTGTTAGTGCATTTTATATGTGGCCCAAGACAGTTCTTCTTCCAGTGTGGCCTAGGGAAGCTAAAAGATTGAACACCCTTGATGGCACATTGATACTAAATCATGAACCTGTTTTATAGCTGGGAGAATCTGAGACTTAGTGGGATGAATTCACTTGTTCAGGGTCCCAGAGCTGTGAGTTGTTTCAACTCCTAAGACAGACTCTGTCGTTCCTCAGTTTCCCTTCCATGCCCCATCCCTGGGAAGGGGCCCCAGGAGGGGAGGGGGTGTCCTGGCCACCGCTGTGGGCTCTGGGCAATACAGTGAGCTGGCTGAGCCTGCCTTCCAATCTGGACTTGCTATTCCCTGGCTGGGTGACCTTGGGCAAGTTTCTCAACTTCTCTGTGCCCCAGTTTCCTCAAAGTGGGAACAAGAACAACTGCCAAAGGGTTGCAGGGGATTCCATGAGCTTCTGTGGGTCAAGAACTCTGAGGGCTCGGCTTGGCCAGGGCAGGTTTGTGGGAGGCTCGGAGATGGTTTTCAGATTGTTCTGTGTGTCTCACATGCAATGAAGGGGCCCTCCTTAGCCCCTACTCCACCTGGGTTTCTAGGGGAAGTGGGAGAGGCAATGACCAGCCCAGGCCTCAGGGACAGTTGGCAAATGACTAAGGAGGGATTTTCCAGTCCATGAATCAGAGCCTGCCCATCCACACTTGGCCCAAACCCATCCGTCCAGGCCGACTTCCTAACTCCAGAGAGGCCGGGCAGGAAAGAACGCCCCCTGAAGCTGGACAGAGGATAGAGCCCGTGTGTGCTTCCTGTTCAAGTCTGGGCCATGTCTCCAGTTCCTTGGGGGCCCACACTGAAGCTGAAAAAGGGGACTTAAAGGGCCCCAGCTCTGGGACATCCTGTCAGTGCCACCAGAAGCCACAGAAGAGAGCTTCTAGGTGCACCTGTCCAGGGACCACCACCCAGGCTCCGCCCCTGCTGTTTTCCTATGGGAAGAGATAGGATAGGTCAGGGGGATGAGGTGGGGAGGAGGAGGGACCCTGGCATTTCAGTAATCCCTGCGGCAAGCCAGGAGAAGACGGGCAGCCCCGAAAGAGGAATCTGGAGGAGTAGAGAGGGGTCCCCAAGGAACAGGTGGAATCTGGAGGCTCGAGGGCAGGAATGAATGGGGAAAAAAGGGGTGTCTTGAGCTGGAATCTGGAGAGATGGGGGAGTTATTTACTTGGGGTGTACGGTAGGGATCTGGAGAGCAGGAATGGGGTAGTGTGAGTCTCTAGAGGCTACGATGGAGGGAGACAGGGTGTCCCCAAGCGGGGGGCCGAAGAGAGGATTGAAGACTGAATGGGGTGCCCTGATTGGCGAATAAAGATGCGGTAGGAAAAGAGGGGTACCGTTGGGGGATAAGGTGGGAAAAGAGGGGTACCGTTGGGGGATAAGGTGGGAAAAGAGGGGTACCGTTGGGGGATAAGGCGGGAAAAGAGGGGTGCCCAGGGTTGTAGGCGGGCCATGGGGGCCAGATCTCAGAGATCTGGGGTTGGTAGGAGAAGAAGGAAGTGTCCTGATTTGGGATCTGGGGCGCTGAGGGGCAGAGATGGCAGAGAAGGGATGGGGGTGGGTTACTGGGTTTGAAGGACAGAAACAGGAGGATGAGGGGGTGTTTCCAGGCAGGGTTAAGGGTCCTGGGGGTGGAATCTCAGGGGGTGTCTCTGATTGGGTTAGCTCTGGAGTCTGGGGATTGTGGGGGAGGAGAAGACAGGTGGGGAAGGTGCTGGGGGTGCGTCCCTGCCCCCGCCCCCTTCCCCCGCGGTCACCTGCTCGAAGGCCCAGCTCTCGGCTACCCGCTTGGCGCTGAGGTCCAGCAGCGCCTCGGGCCGGCCCCGGCCACGCGCGGCCCCGGCCCCGGCATCGCGCTCCTCGGGTCCCGCGGGGCAGCCCCGGCTCCGCTTGGCCGCGGGGGGTTCCATCCGGCCCGGCCGGGGCCAGGGCCGGGGCGGGGCCTCTTTGGGGGGCTCGGTCCGATGCCCGCTCCGCTTCGCCGGCTCCCGCGCCCCCTGCCCTCCTTCCCGTCCGTCCTCTGCGCTCGGCCGCCCCGGGACCCCTACCGCACCCACCCCCGACCCGCGCCGGGCCGGCAGGGTGATGCGGCCCCTTTAAGACTCTTCACAACAATGAAGCTGCTTCAGCCGCCGCTTTAGCTCCGCCGTCGTCCCGCCCCCACCGCCTGTCCCTATTGGCCCCCCCTCGGCCTCCTCGGCCCTCCCCCGCCATTGGCTGCGCCGCCAGACCCGTGTCCAAGCCTCGCTGCTCACTCGATGACTGCGATGCCAGTCTTTTCTTGTTTACCCAACCAGAGCGCACAGCGAGGGGCGCTGTCAATCACGGGGCGCCAGAGGCCAATCAGAGTGGGAGGACCCCCGCGGCCCAGGCCTTATGCGGAGTTTCGGGGCGGGCCCGGGGTTCATTCACAACATTCCTCCCCCGCCTCTCTTGGGCTGGACTGCGCGCCCCAGGCTTCTGGGGCTGCGCCCACACACGGCTTTGTTTACTGAGGGTCGCTTCCGGGCGCCGCGAGGGGACAATCAACATAGCCCGGCCGGTGAGCGAGACAGAGCAGCGGGATCCCTTGGCAGTGGCTCAGCCCCTCGTCCCTCCCAGCTGTGCGACCCGAGAAACTCACTCAACCTCTCTGGGCACCGGGTCAAGTTTTGGTTCTTGTGGGGGCGGAGGGGTCGCAGGCTCACTGAGGGAGCTCATGCGGGCCGCGGACCCCCTCTCCAGAAACAAAGCTCGGTTAGGGGGTTCATAGGTCATCCCTTGAGCCTCAAAACTAGTATAGTACCCCGCCCCTCCTTTCCATGCCCTAGATACTATCTTGGGTCATATGAAATTGCTAATTTTTTTTTACCATTTTTGGCCTGTTAAAATGGCAATTCCATGAGGTTCACCCTAACACTTAATCAAACCCCAGCACCTCTGAGCATTTTTTCTGACTCAGCTTGTGTAGGCCACCGTCTCTGGCCTGGAAGCTGGCCATGGCTTCCATCACCCGTTCCCGTCCCGGCTCCTTGCCAATGTCCTCAGAGGACCCTGCATTTTTCCTTCCTCATACTTCTCACCATTACCATTTATTTATCTGTTTCGGCGGTTTTTTTTTTTTTTTTTTTTTTTTTTTTTACGGAGTTTCACTCTTGTCGTCCAGGCTGGGGTGCAGTGGTGCGATCTCGGCTCACTGCAACCTGCGCCTCCCGGGGTCAAGTGATTCTCCTGCCTCAGCCTCCCGAATAGCTGAAATTATAGGCGCCCACCACCACGCCCGGCTAATTTTTGTATTTTTGGTAGAGACGGAGTTTTGCCATGTTGGCCAGGCTGGTCTTGAACTCCTGACCTCAAGTGATCCACCTTTGGTAGTTGCTTAATTTCAATCTCTCCCTCTCCACTGTGAGCCTCAGGAGGCAGGAGTTTGTCCCATCTGTGCTTTACTGTACCGGCAGCACCTGGAAGGTAGGCGCTTAACCTAGAACTTGTTGAATGTACCAACCAACACATGCTTTGCCTCCATTCAGTTAAATGATAGGCACAGCAGAAAAAAAAAAAAAACAGTGATTATCCACTCATCCATATGGAAGCCCTAGCTTTTTCTTGGAGAAACTTCGAGTCTCACAGCTGCACCCTCTGGCCAGTCTTCACCCACTCTCCCTGCCACCCCCTCAATTAGTTAAACTCCCCTGCAGACCTGCACTGTCCAGTATGGTCACCAATGGCCACAAGTGGTCTCTGAGCCCTTGAAATGGGACTGGCTGAAATTAGGTTGTGCTGGAAAGGTAAAATACAGAGTGGATTTTGGAGACATAGCAGGAAGGGAACAAGGAAAAATATTTCTTTTTTTTTTTTTGAGATGGAGTGATCTCAGCTCACTGCAACCTCTGCCTCCCAGGTTCACGTGATTATTCTGCCTCAGCCTCCCAAGTAGCTGGGGCTACAGGCACCCACCGCCACGCCTGACTAACTTTTGCATTTTTAGTAGAGACGGGGTTTCACCATATTGGCAGGCTGGTCTCAAACTCCTGACCTTATGATCTGCCTGCCTTGGCCTCCCAAAGTGCTGGGATTCCAGGCGTGAGCCACCACGCCCGGCCTAAAATATTTCATTAAGAATGTTTTCCATCCTGGCTAACACAGTGAAACCCCTTCTCTACTAAAAATACAAAAAATTAGCCGGGCATGGTGGCAGGCGCCTATAGTCCCAGCTACTAGGGAGGCTAGGGCAGGAGAATGGTGGGAACCCAGGAGGCAGAGGTTGCAGTGAGCCAAGATTGCGCCACTGCACTCCAGCCTGGGGGACAGAGTGAGACTCCAAAAAAAAAAAAAAAAGAATGTTTTGGCCAGGCGCGGTGGTTCACGCCTGGAATCCCAGCACTTTGGGATGGTGAGGTGGGAAGATCACTTGAGCCCAGGAGTTTGAGACCAGCATGGGCAACATGGCGAAAACCCATCTCTATTAAAAAATAAGAAAATCAGCTGGGCGTGGTGGCACAAGCCAGTAGTCCCAGCTACTCTGGAGGCTGTGACAGGAGGATCTCTCGAGCCCAAGAGGTTCAGGCTACAGTGAGATATGATTGTATCACTGTGCTCCAGCCGGAGTGACAGTGTGACCGTCTCAGGAAAACAAACAAACAAACAAAAAAACAGAAAACGAGGCCGGGCAAGGTGTCTCACACCTGTAATCCCAGCACTTTCGAAGACTGAGACAGGCGGATCACCTGAGGTCTGGAGTTCAAGACCAGCCTGGCCAACATGGTGAAACCCCGTCTCTACTAAAAATACAAAAATTAGGGCCGGGCACAGTGGCTCACGCCTGTAATCCCAGCACTTCGGGAGGCCGAGGCGGGCGGATCATGAGGTCAGGAGATGCAGACCATCCTGGTTAACACGGTGAAACCCCGTCTTTATTAAAAATACAAAAAAATTAGCCTGGCGTGGGGGCGGGCACCTGTAGTCCCAGCTACTCCGGAGGCTGAGGCAGGAGAATGGCGTGAACCCGGGAGGTGGAGCTTGCAGTGAGCTGAGATCGCGCCACTGCACTCCAGCCTGGGCAATAGAGCAAGACTCCGCCTCAAAAAACAAAACAAAACAAAACAAAACAAAAATCAGCTGGGCGTGGTGGCGGGCGCCTGTAATCCCAGCTGCTTGCGAGGCTGAGGCAGGAGAATCACTTGAACCCAGGAGGCGGAGTTTGCAGTGAGCCAAGATTGCACCACGGCACTCCAGCCTGGGCAACAAAGTGAGACTCTGTCTCAAAAAAAAAAAAAAAAAGACAGAACAAAAGAAAGCAAATGTTTAGTGTTGTTAACATGTTGAAATTATATTTTAGATAAACTTGGTTTAATAAAATACATTATTAAAATTGATTTCATATATTTTCTTTTACATGGTTTCAGGACATTTAAATTACGTATGTAGGCTGGGTACAGTGGCTCAGGGCTGTAATCCCAGCACTTTGGAAGGCCGAGGCGGGCAGATCATCTGAGGTCAGGAGTTTAAGACCAGCTTAGGCGGGGCGCGGTGGCTCACTCCTGTAATCCCAGCACTTTGGGAGGCCGAGGAGGGCGGATCGCAAGGTCAGGAGTTTGAGACCAGCCTGGCCAACATAGTGAAACCCCGTCTCTACTAAAAATACAAAAAATTAGCTGGGCCTGGTGGCGGGTGCCTGTAATCCCAGCTACTTGGGAGGCTGAGGCAGGAGAATGGCGTGAACCCGGGAGGTGGAGGTTGAAGTAAGCTGAGATCACAGTGTTGCACTCCAGCCTGGGCGACAGAACGAGACTCCGTCTCAAAAAAAGAAAAAAAAAAAAAAAGACCAGCTTGGCCAACATGGTGAAACCTGTCTCTACTAAAAATACAAAAAATTAGCCAGGCATGGTGGTGCGTGCCTGTAATCCCAGCTACGTGGGAGGCTGAGGGAGGAGAATCGCTTGAACCTGGGAGGCAGAGGTTGCAGTGAGCCAACATCGCACCACTGCACTCCAGCCTGGGTGAAAGAGTGAGACTCCATCTCAAAAAAAATATATATATATATATATAAAATAAATAAATAAAGTAAAATAAAATAAAATAACATATGTGGCAGGGCACAGTGGTTGGTCCCTGTAAACACAGCACTTTGGGAGGCTGAGCGGAGAGCAGCACTTGAGTCCAGGAGTTTGTGACTGGGCTAGGCAACACAGTGAGATGCTATCTCAAAAATAAATAAGTAAATAAATAAATAAATAAAAGTATATATGTGTCTCAAGTTGTATTTCTTTCTTTTTTTCCTTTTTTGTTTTTTGTTTTTTTTTTTTTTGAGCCGGAGTCTCGCTCTGTCACCAGGCTGGAGTGCAGTGGCGCGATCTCGGCTCACTGCAACCTCACTTGAACCTTGGGTTCAAGCAAGTCTCCTGCCTCAGCCTCCCAAGTAGCTGGGACTATAGGTGTGCGTCACCACACCCGGCCAATTTTTGCATTTTTAATAGAGATGGGGTTTTACCATGTTGGCCAGGCTGGTCTCGAACTCCTGACTTCAAGTGATCCACCTGCCTTGGCCTCCCAAAGTCCTGGGATTACAGGCGTGAGCCACCATCCCTGGTTAATTTTTTTTTTTTTTTGAGACGGAGTTTCGCTTTTGTTGCCCAGGCTGGAGTGCAATGGCGTGATCTCGGCTCACCGCAGCCTCCACCTCCCGGGTTCAAGCGATTCTCCTGCCTCGCCTCCCAAGTAGCTGGGATTACAGGCACCCGCCACCATGCCCTTCTAATTTTTGTATTTTTAGTAGAGACGGGGTTTCTCCATGTTGGTCAGGCTGGTCTGGAACTCCCGACCTCAGGTGATTTGCCTGCTTCTGCTTCCCAAAGTGTGAGGATTACAGGTGTGAGCCAGCATGCCTGGCCAATTTTTTTGAATTTTGATAGAGAGGAAGTCTTGTTGTGTTGCCCATGGTCTTGAATTCCTGAGTTCAAGCAATCCTTCCGCCTCGGCCTCCCAGATTGCTGGGATTACAGGCGTGAGCCACCACATCCGGCTTGAGTTGTATTTCTGTTAGACAGTGCCCGTCTTGAGAAACCACAGCCTGCCACAGTGATAGCAACAGAAATAGCAATAATAATAATGTGTTGAGTGCTCATGCAATGCCCGTAGCTATGGAGATAAACGCTGAAGTATAAGCCGTCAAACAGTGTTGCAAAGTGGGGACTGTCACTTCCATTTCTTAGAGGAGGAAACTGAGGCTTGGAGAGGCTGAGCCACTTGCTTGAGGTCACCCAGCAGTAGGAGCTGGACTAGTGGAAGTCAACTGGGGGCTGCTTTGGAGCCCTAGACTTACTGGGGTATCTCCTTGCATAGGATTTAGACTTATGGGGAGTGAGTAACTGGGGTCAGAGGAGACACAGGGAGGAGTTCAAGCAAAGGATGGCCGGGTGCAGTGGCTCACACCTGTAATCCCAGCACTTGGGGAAGCTGAAGTGGGAGGATTGCTTGAGTCCAGGAGTTCAAGACCAGGCTGGGCAATATAGCGAGACCCCCCTCCCCCATTTCTAAAAATTTATTTGATGTTTATTTATTTATTTATTTTTTAATTTTTGAGATGGAGTCTTGCTGTGTAGCCCAGGCTGGAGTGCAGTGGTGCGATCTTGGCTCACTGTAACCTCTGCCTCCCGGGTTTAAGTGATTCTCCTGCCTCAGCCTCCCGAGTAGCTGGGTTTACAGGCATGTGCCACCACACCGGGCTAATTTTTTTGTATTTTTAATAGAGACGGTGTTTCACCGTGTTAGCCAGGCTGGTCTCGAACTCCTGACGTTGTGATCCACCCACCTCGGCCTCCCAAAGTGCTGGGATTACAGGCGTGAGCCACTGCACCTGGCCTATTTATTTATTAGTTTATTTATTTATTTTGAAATGGAGTCTTGCTCTGTTGCCCAGGCTGGAGTGCGGTGGCGAGTCTCAGGTCACTGCAAGCTCCACATCCTAGGGTCAAGCAATTCTCCTGTTTCAGCCTCCCGAGTAACTGGGACTATAGACGAGCGCCACTATACCCAGAAAATTTTTGTATTTTTACTAGAGACGGGGTTTCACCATGTTGGCCAGGCTGGTCTCAAACTCCTGACCTCAGGTTATCTGCCTGCCTCGGCCTCCCAAAGTGCTGGGATTACAGGTGTGAGCCACTGTGCCTGGCCTAAATTTTTTTTTTTTTTAATTAACCGGGTGTGGTGGTGCGCATCTGTAGTCCCAGCTACTCAGGAAGCTGTGGTGGGAGGATTGCTTGAGCCTAGAAGGTTGAGGCTGCAGTGAGCCATGATTGCGCCACTGCACTCCAGTCTGGGCGACAGAGCCAGACCTCGTCTCAAGAAAAAACAAACCAAGACAGAACAAAAATGAAAAGCATGTCTTTCTGGTGCTCCCCTTGCAAACAGGACCTCAGGGCTGGCTTTTCCCAGCAGCCCTCTTCAGCATCTGATACGTGGCTATGTCGGCTAAGTCTAGCTTTGAAAGGGCTCCAATGTACGTCCTGTAATGCTGAATCAGAGAAGTCACTCTAGGCCAGTGGGTAGACTTTAGGAGGAACACAGAATGGGGTATCAGAGGGTGAGAATGTCTTATTTAATTCTCTAACAATAGATACTAACATATATATATAGAGAGAGAGACAGACAGAGAGAGAGTCTTGCTCTGTTGCTCAGGCTGGAGTGCAGTGGAGCGATCTCAGCTCACTACAGCCTCCGCCTCCCGGGTTCAAGCTATTCTCCTGCCTCAGCCTCCTGAGTAGCTGGGATCACAGGGCAAACCCGGCTAATTTTTGTATTTTTAGTAGAGATGGGGTTTCACCATGTTGGCCAGGCTGGTCTCGAACTCCTGACATCAGGTCATCCACGCTCCTCCGCCTCCCAAAGTGCTGGGATTACAGGTGGGAGCCACTACGCCCTGCCTTCAAACAGCTAACCCTGTTTTGAGACAGGGTCTTGCTCTGTTGCGTGGGTTGAAGTGCAATGGCGTGATCACGACTTGCTGCAGCTTCAACCTCCCGGGCTCAAGTGGTCCACCTGCCTCAGCCTCGTGAGTAGCTGAGACTGCAGGCGTGTAGCACTATGCCTGGCTAATTTTTTAAAACAATTTTTTTAAAAGAGATGGGGTCTCACTATGTTGGCCAGGCTGATCTTGAGCTCCTGGGCTCAAGCGATCGATCCTTCCACCTTGGCTTCCCAAAGTGCTGGGATTACAGGTGTGAGGGGCTGTGCCCAGCCAGTCCCATCTACTTGAAAGGCAGAGGAGGTAGGATCGCTTATGCCTCGGAGTTCAAGACCAGCCTGGACAATATAGCAAGACTCTTGTCTCAAAAAAAAAAAAAAAAAAAAAAAAGAGGAAAAAAAGGAGTTTGATGGGGGTAGTTCCAACCACCTGCGTCCTTCCTTCTCAGTAAAGCCAGCAAGCTTGGGCTTTGGGGAAATGGAAGCCAGATTGATCCTGCCCGCGCCCAGCGTGAGCTCACTGTCTAGGCATGTACAGCTCCTGACCCCAAACCACGTGTGCTCTCAACCCGTGGAAGATGGGGCTACCCTGGGGGCTCAGATGAAGGTGGAGACAAGGACCCCCAGCTCGTGGATATCTCCACCCTAGCTTTCTGAGGGTCCCTCCCTTCTGCCAGCCCCCTGCAGCACCCCCAGCCACCGTTGACTCAGGCAGGAAACCAGCTGGGTAGGCTTCGCTTGCTTCCTGGTCGCGACGACGCAGCCCCTCCGGCATGCGCAGCTGGCAAGATTTCCTTCTTGCATTTCTTTTCTTTCTTTTTGAAACAGAAGTTCATGGGCAAAGTGTCAGGGCCCTGCCAGGAGAAGTGGTCGTGCCAGGTCGAGGCGGGGGAAGGTGGAGGCAGGAGAGAAAGGCTTAGGCAAGAATAACTGTGTTTTTTTGTTTTTTTTTTTTGTTGTTGTTTTTTTTTGAGACGGAGTTTCGCTCTTGTTGCCCAGGCCAGGCTGGAGTGCAATGGCGCGATGTTGGCTCACCGAAACCTCCACCTCCTGGGTTCAAGTGATTCTCCTGCCTCAGCCTCCTGAGTGGCTGGGATTACAGGCATGTGCCACCACGCCAGGCTTATTTTGTATTTTTAGTAGAGGCAGGGTTTCTCCATGTTGGTCAGGCAGGTCTCAAACTCCTAACCTCAGGTGATCCGCTCGCCTCAGCCTCCCAAAGTATTTTTTTTTTGAGACGGAGTCTCGCTTGCTCTGTTGCCCAGGCTGGAGTGCAGTGGCGGATCTTGACTCACTGCAACCTCTGCCTCCTGGGTTCAAGCAGGAGTTCAAGCAGCTTGAACCTCCTGGGTTCAAGCTGGATTCTCCTGCCTCAGCCTCCCTGTAATGGGATTACACGCCTGTAATCCCAGCACTGTAATCCCCGCCGCCAGCACTGTAATCCCCGCCGCCAGCCAAGGCGGGCGGATCACGAGGTCAGGAGATCGAGACCATCCTGGCTAACATGGTGAAACCCCGTCTCTACTAAAAAAGACAAAATTAGCTGGGCATGGTGGCGGGCGCCTGTGGTCCCAGCTACTCGGGAGGCTGAGGCAGAAGAATGGTGTGAACCCGGGAGGCGGAGCTTGCAGTGAGTCGAGATCGCGCCACTGCACTCCAGCCTGGGTGACAGAGCAAGACTCCGTCTCAAAAAAAAAAAAAAAGAAAGAAATTGGTATGTCCCTTATCCTTAGGCTCCTGAATTCACACTGAGAGGGAGTGGGGATCCCAATGTAACAGACAGAGAAACTGAGGCTCAGAAAGGCTTTAATTTTTTTTTTTTTTTGAGACAGAGTCTCACTCAGTCGCCCAGGCTGGGGTGGGGTGCAGTGACGTGATCTCGGCTCACTACAACCTTTGCCTCCCAGGTTCAAGCGATTCTCCTGCCTCAGCCCCCCGAGTAGCTGGGACTACAGGCGCCCGCCACCACGCCTGGCTAATTTTTGTATTTTTAGTAGAGATGGGGTTTCGCCATATTGGCCAGGCTGGTCTTGAATTCCTGACCTCAGGTGATCCACCTGCCTCGGCCTCCCAAAGTGCTGGGATTATAGGCGTGAGCCACAGCGCCCGGCCAATAACTGTCAGGAAAAGCCACATTTAATGACGCCTCTGTCCCTGGGAGAGGGGAGCTAGGGAGGGACAGAGAGGACGGGGGATGGCAGGACTTGGGTTCCCACTGCTCTGCCCCCAGCACACAAGCGCAGCTCCTAGTCACATTGGTATGTCCCGCCAGGCGCGGTGGCTCACGCCCGTAATCCCAGCACTTTGGGAGGCCGAGGCGGGCGGATCATGAGGTCAGGAGTTGAGACCGTCCTGGCTAACACGGTGAAACCCCGTCTCTACTAAAAAACACAAAAAATTAGCCGGGCATGGTGGCGGGTGCCTGCAGTCCCAGCCACTCCGGAGGCTGAGGCAGGAGAATGGTGTGAACCGGGAGGCGGAGCTTGCAGTGAGTCGAGATCGCACCACTGCACTCCAGTCTGGGCGACAGAGCGAGACTCCATCTCAAAAAAAAAAAAAAAAAAAAAAATTGGTATGTCCCTTATTCTTAGGCTCCTGAACTCACACTGAGGGGGAGTGGGGATCCCAATGTAACAGACAGAGAAACTGAGGCTCAGAAAGGTTTTAATTTTTTTTTTTTTTGAGACAGAGTCTCAGTTGCCCAGGCTGGGGTGGGGTGCAGTGACATGATCTCAGCTCACTACAACCTTCACCTCCCAGGTTCAAGTGATTCTCCTGTCTCAGCCTCCCGTTTTGTTTTGTTTTGTTTTGTTTTGTTTTTTGAGACAGAGTCTCACTCAGTCGCCCAGGCTGGGGTGGGGTGCAGTGACGTGATCTCGGCTCACTACAACCTCCGCCTCCCGGGTTCAAGCGATTCTCCTGCCTCAGCCTCCCGAGTAGCTGGGATTACAGGCGCGCACCACCACACCCGGCTAATTTTTGTACTTTTGGTAGAGACGAGGTTTCTTCATGTTGGCCAGGCTGGTGTTGAACTCCTGACCTCAAGTGATCTGCTGGCCTCAGCCTCCCAAAGTGCTGAGATTACAGGCATGAGCCACGGCCCCAGGCTGAGACTCAGAAAGGTGAAGGGACTTGACGGTCACACAGTCAAAAAGTGGCAGAACCTGGCAAAGAACTCAAGGTGTGGGTTCTTCCGGAGTCTGGGGCTCCTGGCTCCAGCACTAATCAGGGCTTGGGGGAGTGCAGGAGGGGAAAGTCACCCAGGAAAGTGAAGGGGAAAATGAGGCTGTTTGGGGAGCCCTGAGGGGAGAGGTGAAGGGGGAATGGGTGAGTGCACATTCCAGACCCCATACCTGCAGTGCCTGAAAGCCCTTCCTTGCCCCTGGGGTGCTCCTCGAAGGGGCTGGCGTCAGAGGCACAAAGGGAGCCAGAATGCAGGATTCCTGGGCTGGTCGAGACGCCACCAGCCTGCGGGTGGATTTAACCCCGGTTAGAGGCGCCTCCTGGTGTCCAACTCCGGTGCCAGATGGCACCCAGAGCCCACCCCGTCCTGGCCCAGAGCCCACCCCGTCCTGGCCCTTGCCTTTCTGATTCCAGATAGAAAGACCGGAAGCTAATTTTTTGAAGGTGGCAAAATCACCACTCCCTTAACATATAAAGATGAATGGGTGCTAAAATGTTTTTTTCTTCCTGTTCGCCAGGTCAGAAATTTTTTTTGTTTCTTTTTTGTGTTTTTTTGTCTCTTCTTTTTTTCTTTCTTTTTTTTTTTGAGACAGAGCTTGCTCTGTTGCCCAGGCTGGAGTGCAATGGCACGATCTTGGCTTACTGCAACTTTCGTTTCCCGGGTTCAAGCGATTCTTCTGCCTCAGCCTCATGAGTAGCTGGGACTATAGGTGCCTGCCACCACGCCCGGCTAATCTATTTATTTTTAGTAGAGACGGGGTTTCACCATGTTGGCCAGGTTGGTCTCGAACTCCTAACCTCAGGTGATCTGCCTGCCTTGGCCTCCCAAAGTGCTGGGATTACAGATGTGAGCCACCACACCTAGCCTTGTTTTTCTCTTAATTTCACTGATGTGGGAAACAGGCAGATGTTATGTTCAAGAGAGTCTGAAAAAGACACTTTTGTTTTTGAGATGGGGCCTTGCTGCATCGCCCAAGCTGGAGTGCAGTGGTGCGATTTGGGCTCATTGCAGCCCCAACCTCCCGTGCTCAAGTGACCCTCCCAGTTCAGTCTCTGGAGTAGCTGGGACTCCAGGCATGCCCCACCACACCCAGCTAATTTTTAAAAATGTTTTGCAGAGATAGGGTCTTGCTATGTTGCCCAGGCTGGTCTTGAACTCCTGGCCTCGAGCAATCTGCCCACCTCCGCCTCCCAAAGTGCTGGGATTAGGCTGGGCGCAGTGGCTCACACCTGTAATCCCACACTTTGGGAAGCCAAGGTAGGCGGATCACTTGAGGTCAGGAGTTCGAGACCAGTCTGGGCAACATGGTGAATCCCCATCTCTACTAAAAATACAAAAATTAGGCGGGTGTGGTGGCGCGCGCCTGTAGTCCTAGCTACTCGGGAGGCTGGGGCAGGAAAATCTCTTGAACCCAGGAGGCGGAGGTTGCCCTGAGCTGAGATCATGCCATTGCACTCCAGCCTGGGTGACAGAGGGAGACGATCTAAAAAACATCATCATCATTAACAAAAACCACACACAGACACACACAAAGTGCTGGGACTGCAGGTGTGAGCCAGGGTGCCTGACCTTGAAAAAGACACTTTAGAAATCAAGCTGTTGAAGCAAAGGTGTGAATGTAGGCAAATTCGGTTTTCCACAGGGGAATAAGCGTTGTCAACTGAACCTCTAGGCTGGACAGGATATGACATTTGCATGTCTGTAGATAAGAACTATTTTGTATTGCTATCAATTTTCACAACTTACAGAGTTGTAAAATAGTTCAAAGACAATGATATGAATCAGGTACTCCGGAGAGGGTGTATTGTTTAGGAAGGGTGTATTGTTTATAGCTAAGGGGCTGAATGAACCATTGAATAATCATAACTCATTCACTGAAACAAAAGGTTTTAGAAGGAACCGTTCCTTCAATAAACACCTGCTCATCGAGTGCCTATTGTGAGCTGTTCTAGTTGCTTGAGACACAGCCCCGAACAGAGTCGGGGTCCTTGAGAAGCAAAGTAGAAACAGAGGAAAGTAACAGAAAGTGACCCTGGCTAAGAAGACAATCAAACAGGCCACTTCTGGGGGCAGGGGACAAAGAAGGCTTCTCTGAGGTGATGTCTCGGGGGAAGGAACTGTGGGCACAAAGGCAGGGAGGACTGTGGCCTGGATGGGAAGGGGATACAAACTTGGTGTTGTCTCTTTTTTCTGTTGTCACTGGAATGTCAGGTTTGTTTTGTTTTGTGTTTTTGAGACAGAGTCTTGCTCTGCCGCCCAGGTGGAGTGCAGTAGCATGATCTCAGCTCACTGCAACCTCTGCCTCCTGGGTTCAAGCGATTCTCCTGCCTCAGCCTCCTGAGTAGCTGGGATTATAGGTGTGTGCCACGATGCCGGCCAATTTTTGTATTTTTAGTAGAGACAGGGTTTCACCATGTTGGCCAGGCTGGTCTTGAAGTCCTGACCTCAAGTGATCCACCTGCCTCAGCCACCCAAAGTGCTGGGATTAGAGGCGTGAACCATCACGGCCAGCCTGAATGTTAGTTCTTAGTTCTGCCTAGAAGAGAGGTTGGCATGAAGTAGTCACAATAGCTGGGTGTGGTGGCTCATGTCTACAATCCCAGCAGTTTGGGAGGCTGAAGTGGGACGATGGCTTGAGGCCAAAATCAGTCGGGGCAACATAGGGAGACCCTGTCTCTACGGAAAATAAAAAAATTAGCTGGGCGTGGTGGTGCATGCCTGTGGTTCCAACTACTAGGGAGGCTGAGGTGGGAGGATCACTTGAGTGTAGGAGTTTGAGTTTGCAGTGACTTATGATCTCACCACTGCAGTCGCGACACAGCAAGACGCTGTCTCTAAAAAAATATAAAAGTAATCACAATAAGTACTGAACAAGGAGAACTTGGTTTCTCAAGTTACCCGTCTGGCCCTCTTCTAAGTTATACTTTCCTTCTTTCCTTTCCTTATTGTTTTAAGGCTTTTTAATAAACTTTCATTCCTGCTCTGAAAAAAAAAAATACTGAATGAGCCAAGTGGCCCTACCTGAAAGGCCTTAAGTCAGCTGGGTGGCTCATGCCTGTAATCCCAGCACTTTGGGAGGCCAAGGCAGGAAGATCGCTTGAGGTAGAAGTGTTTGAGACCAGCCTGGACAACATAGTGAGACCCCATCTCCCAAAACAAAAAAACAAAAAACAAAACAAAAAAAAAAACAGCTCATGCCCAGTGTCTCACATCTGTAATCCCAGCACTTTGGGAGGCCGAGGTGGGCAGATCACCAGAGGTCAGGAGTTCGAGACCAGCCTGGCCAACATGGTGAAACCCCATCTCTACTAAAAAAAAATTACCCGAGTGTGGTGGTGTGTGCCTATAGTCCCAGTTACTCGGGATGCTGAGGCAGGATAATCACTTGAACCCGGGAGGCGGAGGTTGTAGTGAGCCGAGATCACGCCACTGCACTCCAGCCTGGGTGACAGAGGGAGACTCCATCTCAAAAAAATAAAAAATAAAAAAAAAAATAAAACAAAACCAAGGGCAGAAGTCAATTACTGCCTGAGGTGGGCAGACAGCCAGAGAAACCAGGTTCCCTAGATGGGGCTCAAGGATGTGTGCCCTGGAAGCTGGAACAGCCAATCCCCAGCCCTGAACAGAGGCCGGGGATTGGCTGTGAAAGGGAAGCCCAGAAAGGAAAGAGCTACCCTTATCCCTCAGTCTGAGATCTGGGCCTCATTCATCCTCCAGCCCCTCCCTCCCCCTCCAGAAACAATGAGGGCGGGGCCTTCCTGGCAGCTTGGGAAACGCCAGACTACTCAGTCTTTCCATCTCATGCGTGCGGCTTCCACTGCCCTGATTCCTGATTTTTCAAGATGCTAAGTTAGGACTTTTTAATGAAATTTCTCTCTGCATGTTTGGGCGGGGAGGGGTGGTGGTGCTAAAATTCACCATTTTATTTTAATTATTTTTTGAGACCATGTCTCACTCTGTCACCCAGGCTGACATGCAATGGCACCATCTTGGCTCACTGCAACCTCCGCCTCCCAGGTTCAAGTGATTCTCCTGCCTCAGCCTCCCAAGTGGCTGGGATTACAGGCACTCACCACCATACCCGGCTAATTTTTGTATTTTTAGTAGAGTTGGGGTTTTGCCATATTGGCCATGCTGGTCTCGAACTCCTGGCCTCAAGTGATCCACCGGCCTTGGCCCCCCAAAGTTCTGGGATTACAGTTATGAGCCACCACGCCCGGCCTAATGCACCATTTTAAAGTGCACAGTTCAGTATAATCACAATGTTGTACAATCACTTCTGACTCCAGGACATTTTCATACCCCTTGAAAAGAAACCCCATTCCCGCTCCCTCAGCCCCTGGCAATCACTCATCTGCTTTCTCCCCCCATGGATTTGCCTGTTTGGGACATTTCATGTAAGTGGGACGATTCAAGATGTAGCCTTTTGTGTCTCGCTTTGTTCACTTAGTTTATTTTCAGGCTCATTCTTGTAGTTTCCTGGATCAGTGCTTCATTCCTTTTTAAGAGTCGGGATCTGGCTTTGTCACCCAGGCTGGAGTGCAGTGGTGAGATCATAGCTCACTGCTGCCTTCAACTCCCAGGCTCAAGTGATCCTCCTGCCTCAGCCTCCTAAGTAGTTGGGATGACAGGCATGAGCCACTGCACTTGGCCTTCCTCCCCAAGGGTGAATATTCTATTGAAGGATAGACCTCAGTTTATCCCTTCATCCGTAGATGGATGTGTGGGCTGTGTCCATTTTTTCTTTTTTTTTTTGAGACGGAGTCTCACTCTGTCGCCCAGGCTCGAGTGCAATGGCACGATTTCCGCTCACTGCAACCTCGGTCTCCCGGGTTCAAGCGATTCTCCTGTGTCAGCCTCCTGAGTAGCTGATATTACAGGCGTGTACCACCACGCCCGGCTAATTTTTGTTTTTTTTTGAGACGGAGTCTTGCTGTGTTGCCCAGGCTGGAGTGCAGTGCCGCGATCTCGGCTCACTGCAAGCTCCGCCTCCCAGGTTCACGCCATTCTCCTGCCTCAGCCTCCCAGGTAGCTGGGAGTACAGGCGCCAGCCACCACACCTGGCTAATTTTTTGTATTTTTAGTAGAGACAGGGTTTCACCATGTTAGCCAGGATGGTCTCAATCTCCTGACCTCATGATCCACCCGCTTCGGCCTCCCAAAGTGCTGGGATGACAGGTGTAAGCCACCACACCTGGCCTAATTTTTGTGTTTTTAATAGAGACGGGGTTTCACCCTGTTGGTCAGGCAGGTCTTGAACTCGACCTCGTGATCGGCCTGCCTCAGCCTCTCAAAGTGCTGGGATTACAGGCATGAGCCACTGCGCCTGGCCTGTGTCCACCTTTTCGCTATTGTGAGCAGTGCTGCTATTTACATGGATATGCAAATCTACAAGTGAACATGTCTTCCATTCTTCTGGGAATATACCTAGGAGCGGAATTGCTGGGTCATACGGTAGCTCCACAATGAACTTACTGAAGAACCACTGAACTGTTTTTCCCCTCTTTATAGCCTGTAATCCCAGCATTTTGGGAGGCTGAGGTGGGTGGATCACTTGAGGTCAGGAGTTTGAGACCAGCCTGGTCAACATGGTGAAACCCCGTGTCTACTAAAAATACAAAAATTATCTGGGTGTGGTGGCACATGCCTATAATCCCAGCTACTTGGGAGGCTGAGGTGTCAGGATCGCTTGAGCCTGGGACACAGAGGTAACAGTGAGCCACGATCATGCCACTGCACTCCAGAGCAAGACTCTGTCTGAAAAAAAAAAAAAAAAGGCAAAATCTTGACTGTCACTGTGTGGAACCCAGAAAACACACTTGAGATGGGGTTTGGGGGTAGCTGCTGGTGACCCAGCACCTCTGTCTCCTTGGTAGGTGAGGTGGCCAGGAGTGGATAAGCCACTAGGGAACCAGTCACCCCACCCCGTCTCAGGGTAGAAGCTGACTGTATGCACAGGTACCACTCCCCAAAGACAGCAGTTCAGTATCACCCAGACTACAGCCCAACTTTTCCCTGTGCTGTGACCTTGACCTGGATCCAGTGAAGGGAGAAAAGGAAGGTTATCAGGCCAGAGATCCCAGAATATTCCATAGGTACTGTGTGGCACAACAGACTCAAACAATTTGGAGGTGGAGGAACTCCAGGATGGGCAGAAGTGAATTCTGGTCTTGACAGTGACAGGTAGCCAGAGGGTCAGCTGAGAGCACGGATCAGGACTCTGCCAACTACGGGATCAATTCCACTCTGGAACATTATGCAGGACCTGAACAGGGCATCCTGCTAGATGACATGTATAACGCATTAGAACTTGTGGGGCATGGTGGATCACACCTGTAATCCTAGCACTCTGGGAGGCCAAGGCAGGACGACTGCTGGAGGCCATGAAGTTGAGACCAGCCTGGGCAACTTAGCAAGACCCCACATCTACAAAAAGCAATAAATCAGCTGGGCATGGCAGTGCATGCCTGTAGTTCCAACTACTTGGGAGGCTGAGGTGGGAGGATTGCTTGAGCCTGGAAGATGGAGGCTGAAGTGAGCTATGATTGTGCCACTGCACTCCAGCCTGGGCGACAGTGCGGCCTGGCTCATAGGTAGTGCTACCACTGGCTGTCCTGACTACCTTACAGTTGGCACTCTTTAACCAGGTAGTACCACGTGGTTTCTGAATGTATTCCGGTTTAATCGGCACCTTGGTCCTGTGAGGTGGCATCTGACCTACTGATGTCCAGCTTGACTCTGGTTGTGTCCCCAGGGGTGAGGACTGGCCAGGGAGTGAGTCACCCGGGGTTAAATGGAGAAAAGACTCTTTCCCGGCTCTCAGGCTCAGGGCCAGAGGTGTAGAAGCCCAGCTGTCCCCTGGGCACATGGTTGCTAAAGGCGGTGGGGTGGGGTGGAGCACGCCAGGCCACGTCACTCATGGAGACTTGTGGGCTCACCTGGCCTGCTCACCCGAACACAGGACTGCAAGAGGGATGACAAAGCCAGGTTTATTGTTCTGGGTTAAACCTGTGGAGGCAGGACCTGGGAAGGGGCACGGGGACAGATGAAGTTAGTGACTGTATCTTCCTGGTCATTGCTGGGTTCTCAGCACCCTTGGCCCCCACTGAAGTTCTAGGTGAAGCCCAGTGCTGGGGGACAGGGTCCTCTTCCTGACAGTGCAGCCTGTGGGATGACTTGCAAGGTCCCATATGGAGGTAGGGGGTGGGATGTTGGCCTGCACTGGGGCCAGCGTCCTCAGGAAGGTGTCTTGGAGGAGGTGGCGGCAGCTGCCCCTTTCTTCTTGGCTGGGGCCTTCAGCAGTGCCAGCTTCTTGGGCAGGCTGCTGCTGGCTTTCATCACCACGTCATGTTCGATCTTCTTCCGGATTCCGACTTCTAGGTTCTGAGGGAGAAGCACGGGGCAGTCAGATTGTGACCTGGGGCTGAGAGAGGGCCTGACCAGTCACCCTCTTCCTGGCTAGAGCTCGCAGGGGGCTAGATCAGCAACTATCCCCTCGAACCGCACCTGACTGTGGGTCTGGTGGCTGGGGTTTAAGTCCTGCACTCTCCGGGGCCTCCACACACACAAAAATCCTCACTTCTGCACCTTGGCTTCTAAACCTCTGCTCATGCCCATTTTATGGATGGGGAAACAGTCTGCTGCAGCCAGGAGGCACTGGTTGCCCAGGTCCCTAAACTGCATGGGATCCGGCGTGCCCACAGCCTCTGGTCCCAGCCTCTAGAAGGGCAGCCTCCTCTGCCCCAGGTCATCTCTGCTTTGCAGACGGCAAGCTGAGGATCTGAAGAGTGGGCAAGGGAGCTGGCAAGTAAGGCACAAGCGTGGGGCAAAACCAGCAGTGTGAACCCCAAACTGGTGGCTCAGTCGCCTTTCCCAGACTGCCTCTGCCCTGCCATTCTGAGTTCCGACGGACTGGGTGTGGTGGCTCAAGCCTGTGATCCCAGCACTTTGCGAGGCTGAGGCAGGAAGATCACTTGAGCCCAGGAACTCGAGACCAGCCTGGGCAACACAGCGAGACTGCATCTGTACTAAAAGAAAGAATTAGCACGGTGTGCTGGTGCGTGCCTCTCGTCTCAGCTGTTTGGGTGGTCGAGCCCAGGAGGTCCAGGCTGCAGTGAGCTATGATCGTTCCACTACACTGCAGCCTGGGGGACAGCGTGAGACCGTCTCAAAGAAAAAAAAAAAAGTTCCGGCTGGGTGCAGTGGCTGTAATCCCAGCACCTTGGGAGGCCAAGGCAGGCATATCACCTGAGGTCAGGAGCTCTAGACCAGGCTGGCCAACATGGTGAAACCCAATCTCTACTAAAAACACAAAAAGTAGCCAGGTGTGGTGGCGGGCGCCTGTAATCCCAGCTACTCGAGAGGCTGAGGCAGGAGAATTGCTTGAACCCAGGAGGCAGAGGTTGCAGTGAGCCCAGACCGCACCACTGCACTCCAGCCTGGGCAACAAGAACGAAACTCTATCTCAAAACAAAAACAAAAAACAAAAACAGTTCCAATGACCACGATCACCAGCATCGGGACAGCTAACCAGGTGCCTGGATGCAGGGGTCATGGAGCTGGAATTCAGTGCATGTACCGGGACAATATAAGCATCAGTAGCGTAATATGTTACACTGTTAAAGGATGGTAAGCGCTGCTATGGCAAAGAGGAAACAGGAGTGAGGAGGGATGGGTACAGGTCACCATCAAGGCAGGCCTCTTTGAAGAGAGTTGGAAGAAGGGAGCAGTGTGTATTATTGGGAGAGGAATCCAGGCAGAGGAAACAGCCAGTGCAAAAGTTCTCAGGTGGGACAAGGAGCCCAGGAAGGGCTCCGGGAAGGAGGGGTCAGGGGCCAGTAAGGCTAGAGGGAGTTAGCAGAGGAGAGGGTGGAAGGAGACGAGGGCAGATTCTACAGGGCCTTGTGGCTGAGTGAGGACTGGACCTTTTTCCTGGGTGAGGTGGAAGCCATGGAGGATTCTGAGCCAAGGAGGGAGGGAACCGACTCAGGTGCTCATGGGCACCCTCTGGCTTCTGTGAGAGGACCAGGTGGGATCCAGGAGACAAGGGAGAAGGTGGCTGCACTGGTCCCGGTGGGAAATGATGTGGGTGGGACCAGGTAGGGGCCAAGAAGATGGGAGGCGGGTGGATTCTGGATTGATTCTAAGGGCAAAATAGGGGCGAGCACAGTGGCTCATGCCTGTAATCCCAGCACTTTGGGAGGCCGAGGCGGGTAGATCATGAGGTCAGGAGTTCGAGACCAGCCTGGCCAACATAGTGAAACCCCATCTCTACTAAAATTACAAAAAAAAAAAAAAAAAAAAAAAAAAATTAGCCCGGTGTGGTGGTGCAGGCCTGTAATCCCAGTTACTCGGGAGGCTGAGGGAGGAAAATCGCTTGAACCCAGGAGGCAGAGGTTGCACCTAAGCCAAGATCACTCAACTGCACTCCAGCCTGGGCGACAGAGCGAGACTCCATCTCAAAAAAACAAAACAAAACAAATGGGATGAGACCGGGATGTGAGAGAAAGGAGGGATTCAAGGATGACCTATGGCATCTGGAAGGAAGTGATCACAGGGGGAGGAGGGCAGAATGGGAAGGGAGGATCAGGAATTTGGTTTTGGACATGCTGAGTGCAAGGTGACCATGAGATTCCCCACTCCACGGAGGTAAGCGGGCCAGTGGGTACCCAGTTCTGAGAAAACCGACACTCTGGGGTGACGAAACAATTTGCTCAAGATCACAGGGCTGTTTACTGTGGAGTACAATTCAAACCCAGGTTTGACTCCCACCAAAACCAGTTTTAAATCTCCTTCCAACTTCTTTACAAGCTCAACCTTACCCATCTACATATAAATGTTGCACTTAAAAACAACCATAGGGTGGCTCACGCCTGTAATCCCAGCATTTTGGGAGGCAGAGGCGGGAGGATGCCTTGAGGCCAGGAGTTCAAGACCAGCCCGAGCAGCATAGTGAAACCTGTCTCTACCAAAAATACAAAAAAAATAAAATTAGCCGCGTATTGGCGAGCACCTGCAATTCTACCTACTCGAGAGGCTGAGACGGAAAGATTGCCTAAGTCCAGGAGGCTGAGGCTGCAGTGAGCTATAATGGGGCCACTGCACTCCAGCCTGGGCAACAGTGAGACCCTGACTCAAAAAAAAATGACGATAACCAACGCACCCTCACACTTCTTTGAGCCCTCTGCTGTTCTAGGTTTACAAAGCTGGGCTTTCAATTCCCTTCCCATGTCACCTCGCTGTCTTCCTGAGTTCAATTAAAGAAAACAGTAACAGCAAGAGGCTGACGTTATTGGAACCCTTTTTGGGCCGCAGGTCTTGCTTCTACGAGGCCCTTTTGAAGTGGTAAGTGGTGTTCCTGCACCCCTTGCACAAGGAAGAAAAGGGAGGCCCACAGAGCTGGGAGTCCTCCAGGCCTCATCCCTTGCCCTTTGCCGATCCCTGTGCTCCTTCCCTCGCCGGCCTCCAGATTTCATCTCTCGTCCCTAGCACGTCCCCCAGCCCCTATCCCTCGCCAGCTTCCACCTCTTACCCCTCTCTGCGCCCCGGGCTCCATCCTTCGCTCCTAACGCGGCCCCTGGCTCTATCCCCTCGCTCCTAGCTCGTCCCCAGGATCCACCCTCTCCCCTCACTGATCCCCGGGCTCCACCCATCCCCCCTCGCCGTCCTCCGGGTTCCACCCCTCGCTACTCGCCGCCCTCCGGGCTCCATCTCTCGCCCCCGCACACCTTCTTGAGCTTTTGCTGCTGCACGACGCGCGCCTTCTTGGGAGCGATAACACGACCTGGGGAAAGATGTGCTCACGTGAGGCCGGGAAGCCGGGGGTCCACCTCGCCCCCAAGTCCCCGGGCCGCTCCTTACCGCCTTTTCTTGGGCCCCGATTCTTTTCAGAGGCTGCCGCTGCCGTCTTACTCTTTGCGGGTTTGTGCGCCTGAAACTTGCGCTGCCCCTGCGCCATGGTCCGGCACGCAGCGGAAGAGGCGGGACTGTGAGCAGTCGTAGCCGGAAGGCACAGGGAACCATGGGATACAGCGGGGCGGAAAAACGCAAGAACTCACGGGATACAACGTGGCACAGAGTTAAAGAGACAGCATCCCACAAGGGTAGTGTAGTGGATCACAGTTGGAGTTTTCAAACATTACGAACAAAACGGTGACAATGATAAGCTAACGTTTATTGAGAGCTTATGTGTTTTAGAAAACTTACAACGTTTTATGATCTTTACACATAAAAACTCAGACTAGGTTAGGGTGTGGCACTCACCTCTGGTACAGAATTTAAGAAGGTTCAAAAACTTTGGTAATAGTAAACAATATTTTCAAGACTTAAAAAATATTTTAATATCCAAAATAATCAAATTGTTAAACTACATCCTGCAGACCGGCAGCATAATTTTGTAAATAAAGTTTTAGTGGAACCAGGGTGTTGAGGTCAGTAAGCTCAAGGCACAAGTGCGGGGTTCTAGCCTCTTCAAAATTTTATTTAGGCCGGGCACGGTGGCTCACGCTTGTAATCCCAGCACTTTCGGAGGCCGCGGGGCGCGGATCACCCGAGGTCAGGAGTTGGAGACCAGCCACGACTAACATGGTGTCTCCAATAAAAATACAAAAATTAGCCAGGCATAGTGCCAGGCTCCTGTAATCCCAGCTACTCGGGAGGCTGAGGCAGGAGAGTCGCTTGAACCCAGAAGGCGGAGGTTGCAGTGAGCTGAGATGGCACCACTGTACTCCAGCCTGGGCGACAGAGCGAGACCCCGTCTCAAACAAATACTTGTTTTGTTCATCATGGATTTTTTTTTTTTTTTAAAGAGATGGGGTCTCACTCTGTTGCTTAGGGTGAAGTGCAGTAGTGCAATCAAAGCACACTGCATCCTTGAACTCCTGGGCTCAAGCCATCCTCCCACTTCAGCCTGAGTAGCTGGGGCTAGAGGTGTGAGTTCCATGCCCAGCTCATTGTTTTTAAATTTTTGTTTGTAGAGACAAGCTCTTCCTATGTTACCCAAACTGGTCTCAAACACCTGGGCTCAAGGGATCCTCCCAAAGTGCTGGAATTACAGGCATGAGCCACCAAGCCTGGCCTCATCATGGATTTTTGCATTAATTTTGATTTTTAAAAAATACTGCTGTAAGGTCAGGCACAGTGGCTCATGCCTGTAGTCCCAGCACTTTGGGAGGCTGAGGCAGGGGGATCATTTGAGTCAGGAGTTCGAGACCAGCCTGGCCAACATGGTGAAATCATGTCTCTACTAAAAATAGAAAAATTAGCTGGGCATGGTGGCGCATGCCTGTAATCCCAGCTACTCAGGAGGCTGTGGCAGGAGAATCGCTTGAACCGGGGAGGCACAGGTTTCAGTGAGCTGAGATCTCGCCTCTACATTCCAGCCTGGGTAACGAGTGATACTTGATCTCAAAAAAAAAAAACCCAAAACAAAATATTGCTTTAAAATATTTTTTATCTTGGTTGCTGAGCTTTTTTGGTGTCCTCTTAAAATTCTGCCCTGGAGATGTCACCCTAGCTCCAGCCCTGACCTTAAGAGGGAGGTACTAGTATTATCCACATTTATTTTTTATTTTTTTAATTAAATAATTAATTAATTATATTTATTTTTGAGACGGAGTCTCGCTCTGTTGCCCAGGCTGGAGTGCAGTGGCGCTATCTCGGCTCACTGCAAGCTCTGCCTCCCAGTTTCACGCCATTCTCCTGCCTCAGCCTCCCAAGTAGCTGGGACTGCAGGTGCCCACCACCACACCCGGCTAATTTTTTGTATTTTTAGTAGAGATGGGGTTTCACCATGTTAGCCAGGATGGTCTCAATCTCCTGATCTTGTGATCCACCTGCCTCGGCCTCCCAAAGTGCTGGGATTACAGGTGTGAGCCACTGCGCCCGGCCTGTTATCCACATTTTATAAATGAGGAAACCAAGGCACAGAGAGGTGAAGTGACTTGCCCAAGATCATACAGTGGGAAAAGTGGCGGAGTCAGGATTTGAATCTGGGCAGCCTGGCTCTAGGTGCTGGGCTCTAGATGGAAGGCCCTGTCTGAGCTCCCTGCACTAGGAACAAGTGTGGTCAGGGGCTGGACGGTCAGCTTTTGGGTAGCCATTCAAGAAATGTATTGAAAAACCTAGAGAGGCAGGCTAGGGAGAGCTGAGTTGGTTACATCTGGGGTCCATCTAGGGTTCCATCCCTGGAAGAGATGGTGGTGGTTAGGGCTGTCCGGAGCTCCTCAGGGGCAAAGACCCCCAGTTCTGTGATGATGCCACCAGTGATGAGGTCGTGGGGGGTGACATCGAAGGCAGGATTCCAAACTCCAATCCCTGCAGGGGAGAGAGGGGAGGCAAGGAGGCAAGAATTTGCTTCTGTGAAAGTTCTCAGGTTGTAGTCATCTGTTTCTACCACAGTGGTTCTTGGAGTTGGGGAGTCCTTGAGAACCTGAGGATTCTCACCCCAAAAGTACATGCAGGCATGGACATTGTACTCAATAGTAAGTTTAGACTCGCCACTGCCCCTAGAATGTCAGTCCCCAAGAAAAATTCAAAGTCCTATACACATCTATGCCACTTATTTTTTTATTTTTTGTGAGATGTAGTTTTGCTCTTGTTGCCCAGGCTGGAGTGCAATGGCACGATCTTGGTTCACTGCAACCTCCACCTCCCAGGTTTCAAGCAATTCTCCTGCCTCAGCCTCCCGAGTAGCTGGGATTACAGGCATGCACCACCATGCCCAGCCAGTATTTTTAGTAGAGACGAGGTTTTTCCATGTTGGTCAGGCTGGTCTCAAACTCCCGACCTCAGGTGATCTGCCCGCCTCGGCCTCCCAAAGTGCTGGGATTACAGGCGTGAGCCACCGCACCTGGCCCATCCCACTTATTTTTTTAGTTTTATTTTTAATTATTATTATTATTTTTGACACAGAGTCTCGTTGTGTCACCCAGGCTGTAGTACAGTGGTGCGATCTTGGCTCAGTGTAACCTCTGCCTCTTGGATTCAAACGATTCTCCTGCTGCAGCCTCCTGAGCAGCTGGGACCACAGATGTGCACCATCATGTCTAGCTGTTTTTTTGTTTTTTTGAGATGGAGTTTTGCTCTTGTCACCTAGGCTGGAGTGCAGTGACATGATCTCAACTCACTGCAACCTGTGCCTCCCAGGTTCAAGCGATTCTCCTGCCTCAGCCTCCCAAGTAGTTGGGATTACAGGCGCCTGCCACCTCGCCCAGCTAACGTTTTTTTTTTTTGTATTTTTAGTAGAGACGGGGTTTCACCACATTGGCCAGGCTGGTCTCGAACCCCTGACCTCAGGTGATCCGCCCGCCTCAGCCTCCCAAAGTGCTGGGGTTACAATCATGAACCACCACACCTGGCAAAACAATTTTTTTAGAGATTGTGGTCTGGCAATGTTGCCCAGGCTGGTCTTGAACTCCTGAGCTCAAGTGATCCTCCCACCTCAGCCTCCCAAAATACTGGGATTTCAGGTGTGAGCCATTTTACCTGGCCCCATAATGCTAATATTGGTTCATGCTAATATTTCATGAACTGTTTTTTCTTTTTTTTCTTTGAGATGGAGTTTCACTCTTGTTGCCCAGGCTGGAGTGCTGTGGCGCTATCTTGGCTCATTGCAACCTCCGCCTCCCGGGTTCAAGCAATTCTCCTGCCTCAGCCTCCTGAGTAGCTGGGGTTACAGGCATGTGCCACCACGCCCGGCTAATTTTGTATTTTTAGTAGAGGCAGGGTTTCTCCATGTTGGTCAGGCTGGTCTTGAACTCCCGACCTCAGGTGATCCGCCCGCCTCGGCTTCCCAAAGTGCTGGGATTACAGGCGTGAGCCACAGCGCTCGGCCTTTTTTTTTATTTTTGAGATGGAGTTTCGCTCTGTCACCCAGACTGGAGTGCAGTGGTGCAGTCTCAACTTACTGCAACCTCTGCGTCCTAGGTTCAAGCAATTCTCATGCCTCAGCTTCCCAAGTAGATGGGACTACAGGCATGTGCCACCACGCCTGGCTAATTTTTATATTTTTTTAGTAGAGACGTGGTTTCGCTCTGTTGGCTAGGCTGGTCTGGAACGCCTGACCTCAAGTGATCCGCCCACCTCCGCCTCCCAAAGTGTTGGGATTATAGGCGTGAGCCACGGCATCTGAGTGCATGAACTATTTAAAGGGCCAGTCATTGATCTAAATGTCCTGTGGGTTAATTCACTGACCGCCCTTGGGTTTATGCAGCAGGTTCTAGCCATAGCCCATTTTACAGATAGGACCAGTGAGGATCTTAGGGAATTAGAGAATTTAGGGAACTTGCTAACGGTTGCACAGCCAGGAAGTATAGGCAGCTAAGAAAAGTCTTGCAGCTAGGCATGGGAGCTCACACCTGTAATCTCAGTGCTTTGGGAGGCTGAGGCAGGAGGATCGCTTGAGGCCAGGAGTTTGAGACCAGCCTGGGGAACATAGCGAGACCCTATCTCTATGAAAATAAACAAATAAAAATAAGTGTAGAAATATCTTGCTTTTTCTTTTCTTTTTTTTTTTTGAGACAGAATCTCACTCTGTTGCCCAGGCTGGAGTGCAATGGTGTAATCTCAGCTCACCACAACCTCCGCCTCTCAGGTTCAAGTGATTCTCCTCCCTCAGCCTCCTGAGTAGTTGGGACTACAGGCGGGTGCCACCATGTCCGGCTAATTTTTGTATTTTTAGTAGAGACGGGGTTTCACTATGTTGACCAGGCTGGTCTCGAACTCCTGACCTTGTGATCTGCCCGCCTCGGCCTCCCAAAGTGCTGGGATTACAGGTGTGAGCCACCTCGCCTGGCCGTCTTGGTTTTTCTTTACAAACACGTGGCCAGCCAGATATTCTTATTTCCTCTTAAGAAAACCTAAGTGGAGAATAGCAAGACAGTTACTCAAGATCATTCATATAACCGGTTAGTTGTAAATTCCAACATTGGATCTGACCTCCAGGATGCACCTGTTAGAAGAAGTGGCTTGGGCCAGGCGTGCTGTGGCTCACACCTGTAATCCTAGCGCTTTGGGAGGCAGAGGCAGGCTGATTGCTTGAGGTCAGTAGTTAATAAATAGCCTGGTCCACATGTTGAAACCTCATCTCTACTAAAAATACAAAAATTAGCCAGGCGTGGTGGCACCCACCTATAGTCCCAGCTACTTGGGGGGCTGAGGCAGGAGAACTGCTTGAGCCCGGGAGGTGGAGGTTGCAGGGAGCCCAGATCGTGCCACTGCACTCTAGCCTGAGGGACAGAGCAAGACTCCATCTCAAAAAAAAGAAAAAAGAAAAAGTGGCTTGTAGGAGCTGTGTATGTTCCAGAAGGATGACAAGGACCTGCATATCACCTGCCTCCATGAAGTGCCCAGGAGCTGGGGTGTCCCCTTTCTGAGGGGGCAGCTTACCAGGTGCTGCAATCCGGACCCCATTAACATCGGTCAGCTCCTGGCCCGGTCGCTCTTCAATAATGATCTCCTTGCCGGTCTCCAGACGGAGGTCACATGAAGAGCTGGGGGCAGCCACGTAGAAGGGAATGCCATGGTGCTTGGCGACAATGGCCAGCTGGTAGGTGCCCACCTTGTTGGCTGTGTCGCCGTTGGCAACCACGCGGTCAGCTCCCACGACCACAGCTGGGGAGGGGGCGTATGAGAAGTTGGGGGTCATTACCTGGCCCCATGCTCCAGAGCCCCGCCCCCAGGGCTTACCGTCTGCTTACCTGACACGCCCCTATGGGCCATGGCAGCAGCCACCATGCTGTCGGTGATAAGGGTGGCGGGGATCTGCTCATAGACCAGCTCAAAGGCCGTCAGCCGGGCTCCCTGGTTGTAGGGCCGGGTCTCTGTGCAGAAGGCATGCTCCAGGCGGCCCAGGCTGTGCAGTGAGCGAATCACACCTGCGGGGGCCCCACCCACCAGGAGAAGGCCCCGGGGAGGGGCAAACAGACAGGGTGGTCCATTGGTTAGGGGTGCAGGCTCCTAGTCTGGGCGTGGATTGCCAAAGGCTTACCGAGCACAGTCCCGCCCAGGGGCCCTCGCAGTGGCAGTTCCCTCTGCCTGGTATGCTCTTCCCAATGCTCGCATAGCTCCGTTTCACGTCTGTTTAAAGGACACCTTCTCGGTGAAGCCTTCCCTGATATATCAGTTTTGCATAGCAATCCCCACACTTTCAGTTTCCTGCTCTCTGTCCTTAGCATTTATCACCTTCTAACACCTCATGTGTACAGGCAGCCCCCCTTTTCTATGGGTTCTCCATCCATGGACTCAACCATGTGGATTGAAAATATTTGGGCTGGGCGTGGTGGCTCACGCCTGTAATCCCAGCACTTTGGGAGGCCTAGGCAGATGGATCACGAGGTCAGGAGATCGAGACCATCCTGGCTAACACGGTGAAACCCCATCTCTACTAAAAGTTCAAAAAATTAGCCGGGCGTGGTGGCGGGCACCTGTAGTCCCAGCTACTCGAGAGGCGGAGGCAGGAGAATGGCGTGAACCTGGGAGGCGGAGCTTGCAGTGAGCCGAGACTGCGCCACTGCACTCCAGCCTGGGCAACAGTGCAAGACTCTGTCTCAAAAAAAAAAAAAAAAAAAAAAAAAGGAAAGAAAGAAAATACTTGAAAAGAATCGCTGGAACCCAGGAGGCAGAGGTTGCAAGGAGCCAAGGTCGTGCCATGGCACTCCAGCCTGGGTGACAGAGCAAGACTCTGTCTCCAAAATAAATAAATAAATAAAAAGCAATCCTCCCATCTCAGTCCCCTCCCGAATAGGTGGGACCACAGGTGCATACCACTACACCCAGCTAATTTTAGTATTTTTTGTAGAGATGGGGTTTTGCCATGAAGCCCAGGCTGGTTTTGAACCCCTGAGCTCAAGCGATCCGCCCACCTTGGCCTCCCGAAGTGCTGGCATTACAGGCTTAAAAATAGAGACAGGGTCTTGCTGTGTTGCAAAGGCTGGTCTAGAACTTCTGAGTTCAAGCAATCCTCCCACCCCAGCCTCCTGATTACAGGCCTGCACCGCCACTACACCTAGCCAGTAACAACAATTTACATAGTATTTACATGGGACTAGCTATGATATGCAATCTAGACACGATTTAAAATATAGGGGTGGGCTGGGCACTGTGGCTTACGTCTGTAATCCCAGCACTTTGGGAGGCCGAGGCTGGCGGACCGCCTAAGGTCAGAAGTTCGAGACCAGCCTGGCCAATGTCGTGAAACCCCGTCCCTACTAAAAATATAAAAATTAGCTGGGCGTAGTGGCTCACGCCTATAATCCCAGACACTCAGGAGGCTGAGGCATGAGAATCTCTTGAACCCGGGAAGCAGAGGTTGTAGTAAGCTGAGATCATGCCACTGCACCAGCCTGGGCGACAGAGCAAGACTCTGTCTCAAAAAAAAAAAAAAAAAAAAAAAAAAAAATATATATATATATATATATATATATATATGTGGATGTGCATAGGTCATGCAAATATGATGGCATTTTTATATCAGAGACTTGAGCATCCATGGATTTTGGTATCTGTGGGAGGTCCTGGAACCAGTCCCCCACAGATATTGAAGGATGACTGTACTTATTTTGCCTGTTGACTGTTCCTTCTGCTTCCCTGGGACCCCTGAGAGCAGAGATTTTGTCTGTTTTGTTCACTGCTGCGTCCCCAGCAAATGGCGGTGTCTGAGCCACAGCAGGTGCTTACTAAATGCTGGGTGAGTGAATGAATCAAAGGCAGAGGTCTTTCCATTAAGGCCTCAGTTCCCAGGGATGAAGGTGGGACTCAGGCAGGTAGGGAAATTTCCTGGTGAATTTAGGGTCAAGTGGAATCTGCTGCCTTGGCCCCCTACAGCCCACTCCCCCTGTCTCCTGGTCACAGCTACCTAATCTTTCTCTGCTCACTCCCTTCTCCCCAGTTCCTCCTGGAGTCCACGTCCTGCCCTGGCTCTAGGCATATGGCTCAGGCGGGGCCCATCGAATGACTGCTCTGGGATGGGCAGGTGCCCTAGTGGACCCCCTGAGATACAAGGAGACTTTTCTAGTATAGGAGGCTCTTTTCCTCATGATTTGGACCCTAACAGCCGCCTGCCAGCCCATGGAACCTGAAGATGAAGGAGGGCAGAGCTGAAGCACAGAGATAGATAGGTCCTGATGCTACTGGTTGAGCCCCTTGATCTTGCCATACCTGAAGCCAACTGTATAAGTGTTTCCGTACTAGAACTAGTACCTTCCCATTTTTTTTGTGGATAAAGTGGTTTGGGTTTGGGATTCTTTCTCTTGTATCTAAAAAAGTTCCTAGAAGGCCCTCCCCTACCCCCTGAGGAGGCCCTCTCACCTAGGGCTGTACCATAGCCAGCGGTGGCCAGAGCACCAGTGTTACAGTGGGTCAGCACAGTCACCTTGCCACCGCTGGGGGCCACCCGCTCCAGGAGGTGGCGGGCTCCTAGGTCCCCAATGCTTCGGTTGTCTCTGAGGTCTTTCTCCAGCATGTCCTCGGTGCAGCAGATCACTCTGGGGTGACAAGGAGTTTTCAGCACCAGCCACCAGGACCCGGGGCCCAGGCCAACGCCTCCTCTCTGCCTAACGCTGCTGTCCTGGAGCCCTCCTGCTCAAAGCCTCTCATTGCTGTGGGGCCTGGACCCTTCGGCCAGGGCCACCGAAGTGTCACTCCGTTCATTCATGCAAAGACATGTTTACCAAGCAGTTCCGGTATGACCCAGCAGTAAACAAGACAAAAATCTCTGCTCCTGTGGAGTTGACACTGGGGTGAGTGAGCCAGCTGATGAAGAGATAATAAAATGAAGGAAAAGCCGGCAGAATCAGGCAACAGAGAGCAGCGGGTGAGCTGGATCATATAGAATGGTGGAGGAGGGCGCTATGGATACCTGGCCCGCACCAATGGCACGTGCAAAGGCTGTAAGGCAGGCTCGAGCTTGGTGGGGTAAAGTGACATTGCAGGGAGGGCTGGAGCAGAAAGGAAGTGGGGGGAAAAAGATGGCAGGAAGGGGACCAGGACAGGAAAAAAAGTTCCTCAAAAGCAGAAACCAAGAGAACACGGAGATACTAAAAAGGGCCTCCAAGGGCGGATAAGGGGCTGCGTGTATTCAGGGGAGGCACGATTAAGGAGTTAGGTTTCAGGGCCAGGCTGCCCAGGCTAGACTCTGGGCCCCATCTGTGGGGCCCTGGACAAGGGACTTAAGGTCGCCGTGCCTCAGTCTCCCCATCTGTGGGGCCCTGGACAAGGGACTTAAGGTCGCCGTGCCTCAGTTTCCCCATCTGTATAGTGGGTCACTGTACTTAAAAAGAGTCAATATAATTCCTGCTCAGCGCCGTGCCTGGTACCAGATCCCCGTACCTCTCCCGGACCGCCTCTTCCGTAGCGCCCTCCCGTTCGGCCTCCCGGGCTGCAACATCAGCCAGGTCGCGGGCGGCGCGGGCCATGTTGACAGCGGTGGGCCGGGCGGTGACGAGGAAGCTCAGCTTGTCGCGCACGAAGGCCACGAGCGCGGCGAGTCCCGGTCCCCCGGCGCCCGCCTGCAGCTCCACGGCGAGGCTGAGACAGCCCACCAGGGCTATGGCCGGGGCGCCCCGCACCTGCGGGGCAGGGATTTGGGCGTCGGAAGCTGCAGGCGCGGGCGCACTCCCACCTCCAACCCGGCCGCCCCGCCGCCCCGCCGCCCCGCCGCCCCGCCGCCCCGCCGCCCCGCCGCCCCGCCGCCCCGCCGCCCCGCCGCCCCGCTGCACCTTCATGGCGCGGATGGCCTCCCAGGCCTGGTGCACCGAGCCCACCGCCTCGTAGCGGCTCTGCTTGGGCAGCAGCAGCTGGTCTAGGATCTGCAGGGAGCCCCGCGAGTAGCGGATCGCCTCCAGGGTCATGGTGCAGCAGCCAAGCCCAGCGCAACTCAGAGGGAGCTAGGGGTCCGCGCGCACTTGGGAGCGGGGCGGGGCCGTGGGCGGAGCCTCCCCCGGAAAAAGAGACACGCACATGCGCATCCAACCCGATTCCACGGGTTCCCAGGAGGCGGATTCCACGGGTTCCCAGGAGGCGGATTCCACGGGTTCCCAGGAGGCGGATTCCACGGGTTCCCAGGAGGCGGATTCCACGGGTTCCCAGGAGGCGGATTCCACGGGTTCCCAGGACGCGGATTCCACGGGTTCCCAGGACGCGGATTCCACGTGGCCGAACCCACTCCACGACTCCTGCCAAGCCCGAACGGAGTGAGCCGCCTCCTCGGAACCACAAAAGTGGCAGCATTTATGGGACGCCTAGTGGATACCAGGCCCCGTGTTTAACAACCTGCTGTCTAGAGTTAGGGATGTATCCCCAGTGGCAAGGTAACATCAAGTGTTCAAACCAAAGAATTTGTTAAATGATCTTCCAAGGTTGAGGGGGAGGTAGTGGGGGGTCGTGTGCCCCTTGATGGATGCAAGGCTGTTTCTGGGCCATTTTCTGCTCGGTTTCATTCAAAAGTAACATGCAGGACAGGCGCTGTGGCTCACGCCTGGAATCCCAGCATTTTGGGAGGCCGAGTCGGGCAGATCACTTGAGGTCAGGAGTTCGAGACCAGCCTGGCCAACATGGTGAAACCCAGTCTCTACTAAAAATACAAAAAATTAGCTGGGCGTGGTGGCGCACACCCGTAGTCCCAGCTGCTCGGGAGGCTGAGGCAGAAGAATCACTTGAACCCAGGAGGCAGAGGTTGCAGTGAGCCGAGATCGCGCCACTGCACTCCAGCCTGGGTGACAGAGCAAGACTCGGTCTCAAAAACAAAACAAAAAAACCCCAAAAGTAACATGCACGGGGGGCTTTTCCATGGGCCACCCCTGGGCTGGGTATAATAAAAAGCTCACACCTGTGTGCTCCAGCCCCTGCTGCATCTGGCACACATCCTGGGTACCCCGTGTGCCTTGTCCCTGGCCTTGTGTGTGTGGTTCCTGGCCCCCTTTTCACCCTTCACACTTGGCCCATGCCTCCTCCTCCAGGAAGTCTGTCCTGATTCCTGGCCAACCGGGACCACCACCTTGAGACTCTTGTTACTCTGGAAGGGGACCATGTCTGTGGTCACAGCTATGACCCTATACCAGCATTTGCTGATGAGAGGCCTACCAAGCTTGGTCAAGGTGGGGGGGTGGGGGGGCAGCCCCAGGGTCCATCTAACAACCCAAGACAGGGAAGAAGAGACAGGTCTTTAATGTACGGAGTCTCACAAGGCACAAACACCCTCACCAGGACCAAATAAATAACTCCACGGTTGCAGGAAGGCGCGGTCTGGGGAGGATGCGGCATCTGAGCTCTCCCAGGGCTGGTGGGCGAGCCGGGGGTCTGCAGTCTGTGAGGGGCCTCCTGGGTGTGTCCGGGCCTCTAGAGCGGGTCCAGTCTCCAGGATGGGGATCGCTCACTCACTCTCCGAGTCGGAGTAGTCCGCCACGAGGGAGGAGCCGAGACTGCAGGGGTGCCGCGTGTCGGGGGTGTCAGCTGCCTCCTGGGAGGAGCCTGCTGGCGACAGGGGCTTGTCCTGACGGCTCCCTTCCTGCCCCCTCGGGCTGCTGCACTTGGGGGTCTCAGTTGTTTCCGGAGGACAGTCTCCGGGGGACATGGGCCGGTCCTGGGCAGCCTCCTCTGGTACCCGCGGTTCCCCAGACTTGGGGGTGTCGGCCGCATGCTGGGGGCTCTCCGGGACGTCCCGAGACCTCCGCCGCACGATGCCCAGGTCCCCGACGGTGATGGGGGAGGTGGCAAGCGCGGTTCTGCGGCTCTGTGCCAGCTTCTTCAGGACGCCGCTGACCTTGCTGCTGGAGGCGGATCCGGGGGCAGAGGGGAACCAGGAGCGGCTGATGATCTCGGTCCGCTTGAGTTTCTGCTTGTCCTCGTAGGCTAGAGGAGAGGAGAGGACATTTCAGGGGCGGCAGGGGAGGGGGTCCAGAACTGCCCTCTGGTAGACCAGAGTCCACTCATGGCTGAGGACCCCCCATCTCCAGGCAACTCTGAGCCTCCCTGTCCCCTTTTCCCCCTGGCCTCCTACGCACAGTCCAGGGTGTGGAACTTCAGCAGAGCCGCCAGCTTGCGGTCATCTTCCGTCTCGGGCACCAGCGGGATGGTCAGGCTCGCCTTGGCCTGCAAGGCCTGGTCTCTCTCCTCCTCCTCCTGGATGGCTTTTTTCTTTTCCTGTGTTGAGGGCCAAGAACACCAGAGATAGGGGGTGTCAAAGCCCTGTCTCTTCTGTGTACTAGGGGGCACTGCTCCAACTCTCGGGGTCTCATTTACTCTTTTTGAGACAGTTTCATTCTGTCGCCCAGACTGGAGTGCAGTGGCACAATCATAGCTCACTGCAGCCTCGAACTCCTGGGCTCAAGCGATTCTCTCATGTCAGCCTCCCAAGTATCCAGTACTACAGATGTGCACCACCACGCCCAGCTAATTAAAACATTTATTTTTGTAGAGACTGGGCCTGGTAGTTCATGTCTGTAATCCCAGCACTTTGGGAGGCTGAGGCGGGTGGATCCCTTGAGGCCAGTAGTTTGAGACCAGCTTGGCCATCAAGGCAAAATCCTGTCTCTATTAAAAATATAAAAATTAGCCAGGCATGGTGGCATGCGCCTATGGTCCTAGCTACTTGGGAGGCTGAGGCATGAAAATCACTTCAACCGGGGAGGTGGAGGTTGCGGTGGGCTGAGATCGTTGTCACTGCACTCCAGCCAGGGCGAAAGGGGGGAGACTGTTTCAAAAAAAAAAAAAAATTTTTTTTTGTAGAGATGGGGTCTCACTATGTTGCCCAGGCTGGTCTCCAACTCATGGCCTCAAACAATCCTCCCACCTGAGCCTCCCAAAGCACTGGGATTACAGGTGTGAGCCACCACGCACGGCCTCATCCCACAAATATTTCTGGGATACCCACCTTGTGCTAGGCTTTGTTCTGGACACTCGGCATACAGTGGCAGGCAGGGAAAAACCCTTGCCCTGGTGGAGCTGGCCTCTAGTGGTGAGACAGTGATAAGGAGAAAAAAAATGCAGGACAGGTGGGTAGGGGATGGGCTGGGCGGTTCCATTTATTTTTTAATTTAGTTTAATTCTATATTTTTTTGAGACAAGAGTCTTGCTCTGTCGGCCAGGCTGGAGTGCAGTGGCACGATCTCAGCTCACTGCAAACTCCACCTCCCAGGTTCACGCCATTCTCTTGCCTCAGCCTCCCAAGTAGCTGGGACTACAGGCACCCGCCACCACACCTGGCTAATTTTTTTTTGCATTTTTAGTAGAGACGGGGTTTCACCATGTTAGCCAGGATGGTCTCGATCTCCTGACCTCGTGATCCGCCTGCCTCAGCCTCCCAAAGTGCTGGGATTACAGATGTGAGCCACCGCGCCCAGCCAAGAGGTTCCATTTAAAATGTGGTGGCCAGGTCAGATGCAGTGGCTCACGCCTGTAATCCTAGCACTTTGGGAGGTTGAGGTGGGTGGATCACATGAGGCCAGGATTTCGAGACCAGCCTGGCCAACATGGTGATACCCAGTCTCTACTAAAAATACAAAAATTAGCCATGCACAGTGGTGGGAACCTGGAATCCCAGCTACTTGGGAGGCTGAGGCAGGAGAATTGCTTGAACCTGGGGTGGAGGCTTCAGTGAGCCGGGATCATGCCACTGCACTGCAGCATGGGCGACGAGCGAGACTCAGTCTAAGCAAAAACAAAACACAAAAAACCCAACATTAGCCAGGTGTGATGGCTCATGCCTGTGGGTCCCAGCTACTTGGGAGGCTTAGTGGGGAGGATTGCTTGAACCTGGGACATCGAGGCTGCAGTGAGACATGATTTGCCGCTGTACTCCAGCCTGGGCAACAGAGTGAGACCCAGTCACAAAAAGAAAAAAAATAAATAAATAAAAGGAGGCAACCAGGTAGGTATCTCCCATGGCATGGTGAGGTAGGGGTGAGCTATGGTCTCAATGTCTGTGTCCCCCAAATTGATATGTTGAAGCTTAATCCTCAACGTTGACAGTGTTAAAAGATGTGAGGCATTTGGGGAAGTAATTAAGTCAGAAGGGCTACGTCCTCACCAATGAGATTATTGGACTTATAAAAGGAGGCTCAAGGGAACTTGTTTGTCCCTTCTGCCACATGAGGACACAGCTAGAAGCCACCGCCTATGAGAAATGGGCCCTCACCAGACACTGGATCTGCCAGCGCCTTGATCCTGGACTTCGCAGACTCCAGAACCATGAGAAATAAAATTCTATTGTTTATTTTGGCTGGTCTCGGTGGCTCACGCCTGTAATCCCAGCACTTTGGGTAGGCCACGGTGGATCACTTGAGGTTGGGAGTTCGAGACCAGCCTGGCCAACATGGTGAAACCCCGCCTCTACTAAAAATACACAAATTGGCCAGGTGCGGTGGCTCACGCCTGTGATCCCAGCACTTTAGGAGGCCGAGGCAGGCAGATAACCTGAGGATGGGAGTTTGAGACCTGCCTGACCAACATGGAGAAACCCCGTCTCTACTAAGAATACTAGCTGTGCGTGATGGTGCATGCCTATAATCCCAGCTACTCAGGAGGCTGAGGCAGGAGAATCACTTGAACCCGGGAGGCAGAAGTTGCGGTGACCCAAGATCATGCCATTGCACTCCAGCCTGGGCAATAAGAGTGAAACTCAGTCTCAAAAAAAAAAAAAAAAATTAGCCAGGCGTGGTGGTGGTGGGTACCTATAATTCCTGCTACTCTGGAGGCTGAGGCAGGAGGATTGCTTGAACCCAGGAGGCAGAGGTGCAGTGAGCCAAGATTGCGCCACTGCACTCTAGCCTGGATGACAGAGCGAGATGACTACTGTCTCAAAACAAAAAAAAAATTAATTTCTATTATTTATTTATTTAGAGATGCTGGGGGAGGGGGGGGGTGGTGTCTCACTATGTTGCCCAGGCTGATCTTGAACTCCTGGCCTCAAGCGATCCTCCCAATGTGCTGGATTACAGGCGTGAGTCACTGTGCCCAGCCAAATTTCTACTGTTTCTGTCTATGGTATTTTTTATTATAGTAGCCAGAATGGATTAAGACAGGGCATGGTCACCATGTAGCAGATGGGGAAACTGAGGCTCAGAGGGTACAGTGGCCTGCTCAAAGCTAGGATGTGGTGGGGGGAGGGCTGGACCCGGGCCTTGGTCCACCATGCATCCTCTCTGACCCCGGGCTGGAGCCCCCCTCACCCGGAACCTTCTCCGCAGCATGCTGTTGAGGGCGAAGTCGTCCTTCCAGGCGCTCTGGGCCTCCTGGATGTGGCTCAGTGTGGGCAGCGCCTTCTTGAGTGTGCTGCGGTCGGCCTCGCCATGCTCCAGCCGGAACATGGCGTCCGTCTCCAGCTTCTGCTTCTTCTCATGCTCTGCAACGATCAGAGCTCGGCTGGGCTTTGGGGGCCCCAGCGCAGACTCAGGGCCAGGGCCCCCAGGCAGGTAAGTGGGTGGCGCTCACCTGTGGTCAGCACCTGCTCATTGTCCGCCATGTCCCAGCGCTCCTCCTTGCGCTGGGCGCCACTCACGATCACGTAGTCGCAGTTGGCGGGGTCCGTCTGCATCTCGATGTAGTTGACACAGAGGTGGCATTTCATCCGGAACCTGGGAGGGAGCGGTGGGCAGGAGTCAGGAGGCTGTGGCTGTGCACCAGGACAGCCCTGTCGCCTCTGCCTGCTTCCTTCCACCCAATGGTGTCATTTGACAAAAATTCACTGAGCACCCACTGTGTGCCGTGTAGAGCCACGGGCAAAAAGGGGCACATCCGGGCACCCAGAACGGACCTTCTGTCAGTGGGGCTGCAGTTGGCTTATTCATTTGTTCATTCAGCTGTTTGTTCATTCATTCATTCCCTCATCCATTTTTTTGGTTCATTTATTCGTTAATTCATTTGTTCATTCATTAGTGCATTTGTTTGTTGGTTCACTGATTCATTTGTTAAAGTAATTCATACATTCATTTGCTCATCCATCCATTTGTTAATTCACTTATCATTTGTTCATTCTGTTCATTCATTTGTTCATTCATTTGTCCACTAGTTCATTTATTCAACAAACCCGCCCAAGACAGGCTGCTCTGTGGCAGGCTCAGTGCCAGCTGCTGGGGAAATTGCTGAGTAGTGGAAAAGCCAACTTGCTCATGGAAAGGCTGACGTCCCAGCAGGGCCCACCTTGATAGCAAGGGCACAAGCAACCAGTGTCAAGTCTCACTTTAGAAAAGGTGTCTCTGAGGGGTGCTGTTTGAGCAGAAACCCCGGGTGAGGGAGGAGCCTTGGAGCTACCTGGGGAAGAGCATTCCAGGTGGAAGCACAGAGGTGGGTGTGTCCCTGGGGTGTGTGAGGGACAACGAGGAGGCCAGGGAGGGGGACAGCAGGAGGAGGTTAGGGTGAAGAAAGGACAGGCAGAGTGTGTGGTGCCTTGTGAGCCAGGGGGAGGACTTGGGCTTTTACTGAGGAAGGTGGGAGCCATGGAGGGTTGCGGGGGTGGGGTGTGCCCTGATTCACCAACCAGGGCGATTTCCAGGAGTCCTGCAGGGAATGGGTTCCCCCCGCAACTCAGGCTCTTTGTAGCCCCCTCGCCCTGTGGCCACCCCACCTGTTCCCAAGATGCCACCAAGCCGCCCTTACCTGTAGATCGGGGTTGTGTAGTAATTGCCCACCTTCTTCTTTTCTGCATTGTAACGAACACCTGGAAGGGGGTCAGGCGGGGGTGGTAATTTCATTGCCATCTGAATTTTGCAGATGGGTAAAATGAGGTACAAAGAGGCTCACTGTCACTTGCTGAGGGTTCCCCAACTAGGAGGAGTTAGAGACGGGATTGGAAGCCAGAGCCTGGCTTCCTAATCCCTCTGCAAAGGGGCTTCCATGGCCAGCCAGTCACTCGGGTGCCCGTCTCCTCCCTCATTCCTGATCAGGACCCTCCCACCCCCACCCCGGCGGCATCCAGCAGTTAGGGGGTCTGATGTTTGCAGGACTGAATGGAGGGTGGGCAGAGGCTCACCCATGCCGATGTGGTTCTTGCAGCCATCGCACCAGATGTTATATGGCATTTCGAATCTGCAAAGACAGACAGCATCTTACTTGCACTTGTCCACTTGGACACTCCCTGGGTCTCCACACCTGCGACTCTGGCCGCGGTTGTGATTTGAGGGGTGGGGTATTAGACTGCCCTGTTAACGGGAGTTGCTGCACTCACATTACACAGGAAATGGATATATGGAAGAAAAAGAATCACAACCATTGTAACTGAGCAGGAACTTCCTGCCTGCTAGAAAGCAGACTGACCAGGTCCAGGGACAGCCGCCTTTGGGTGCTGCTGCGACTTTTTTTTTTTGAGACAGAGTCTTGCTCTGTTCCCCATGCTAGAGTGCAGTGGTGCGATCCTGGCTCACTGCAACCTCTGCCTCCTGGGTTCAAGCAATTCTTATGCCTCAGCCTCCCAAGTAGCTGGGATTATAGGTGTGCGCCACCAATTCCGGCGAATTTTTTTTTTTTTTTTGAGATGGAGTCTCGCTCTGTTGCCAGGCTGCAGTACAGTGGCATGGTCTTGGCTCACTGCAACCTCCAGCTCCCTAGTTCAAGTGATTCTCCTGCCTCAGCCTCCCGAGGAGCTGGGATTACAGGTGTGAGCCACCGCACCCAGCCTAATTTTTTCTATTTTCAGTAGAGACAGGGTTTCACTGTGTTGGCCAGGCTGCTCTCGAACTCTTGGTCTCAAGTGATCCACCTGCCTCACCCTCCCAAAGTGCTGGGTTTACAGGCGTGACCCACTGTGCCCAACTACGATCACTGTCTTTTTTGAGAGTCCTATGTGATCAAGTCCAGGCTGGCCTGCTACAGGTTGAGATACAACACGGAGCAGAGCCCAGCTGTACAGGTCAAGTCCCTGCTAAACCAGCCAGTCCCCAGCCAGCCAACTCTGAAACACATGGGAGCCCAGCCCAGATCAGGCCAGCCTAGCCCAGCCCAGCCAAGCTCTTCCAAGCCCAGCAGAGATATTTTGCTGAGCTGCAGACATGTGAGCAATAATAAATGCTTATTGTTTTGTCACACGGCAATAACTGACTGATACGGTGACTTTCTGCTTTATGGAATGAAGACCCTGCAGCACTGGGCCAATGAGGGCACTGAACTCTCCTTGAGACTGAAGGAATGGGGCAGGACGGTGGGGTCCTCAGGTGATGCTGGGCCTTACCGGATGATGAGGATGCCCTGTGACAGCTTCCGAGCCCGCTCCCGAAGCGGGTGGCTGTTGTGGTATCGGTTGAGAGAGCCATGCTGTGTGGAGAGGATGAGGAGCGGATTAGTGCTGCTGAGCTGGAGGAGCTCACAATTTTCTGCCACCCCCACTGCTTTGGGACAAGTGTCTCACAGGTGGGAGAGGCCTTGATTCTTATGTCCTGCAGGACGGGTGTTCATAGCAATAGGGGGCATCCAGGTCTTACTGGAACATGTAGGCTTGGAACCAGGAACGTGAGTTTGAATAGTCCCTCTCTTATTTATTTATTTATTTTTTGAGATGGAGTTTTGCTCTTGTTGCCCAGGCTGGAGTGCAATGGCATGACCTTGGCTCACTGCAACCTCTGCCTCCCGGGTTCAAGTGATTCTCCTGCCTCAGGCTCCTAAGTAGCTGGGATTACAGGCGCCTGCCACCACGCCCGGCTATTTTTTTTGTATTTGTAGTAAAGACGGGGTTTCACCATGTCACCCAGGCTGGTCTCCAACTCCTGACCTCAGGTGATCCACTTGCCTCGGCCTCCCAAAGTGCTGGGATTCCGGGTGTGAGCTACTGCGCCCAGCCCTGTTCCCATTTATGAGCTGAAAGAGCCAGGGGACCCTGGGCGAGTGACCTCACGTTTTGCCTTCCCGAGCCTCTGTTTCCCTTGTCTGTCAACTACGTATAATGGTCATTATTACTTCCAGGTTTTATGGGGAAGATGAGGTGAGGTGACAAGACTGGCAAACATTCGCTGGGGACTTCATGTGCATCACCTTATTTTTTTTTTTTTTTTTTTGAGACAGAGTCTCGCTCTGTCACTAGGCTGGAGTGCAGTGGCGTGATCTCGGCTCACTGCAACCTCCGCCTTCCGGGTTCAAGCGATTCTCCTGTCTCAGTCTCCCAAGTAGCTGGGACTACAGGTGTGGGCCACTACGCCCAGCTAATTTTTGTATTTTTAGTAGAGATCAAGTTTCACCATGTTGGCCAGGATGGTCTTAAACTCTCGACCTGGTGATCCACCTGCCTTGGCCTCCCAAAGTGCTGGGATTAGAGGCGTGAGCCATGGCGCCGGCTTTTTTTTTTTTTTTTTTTGAGGCAGGGTCTGGCTCTGTAGCCCAGGCTGGGGTGCAGTGGTATGATTATGACTCACTGCAGTCTCCACCTCCTGGGCTCAAGCAATCCTCCCACCTCAGCCTCCTGAGTAGCTAGGATTTATCCCTCAATGATTCTGTGAGGTCAGCTCATTTTATTTCCCCCTTCTGACGTATGGAGAAACTTTGGCATAGAGAGGCTAAATCCTATACTCAGGACGAGGCAGCTGGGACACTTGGGCCCTTACTGAGCACCTACTGTGTGGGGACACAGCCACAATAAGATAGATGAACATCTCTGCCTTCAGGGAGAGAATGTTCTAGCGGGGGAGATGGACAAGACGCAAATAAATGAATAAGTGAGGGAGTTATAAGGGCTATGAGATTATATAAAGTGCTCAGCAATGCAACAGAGAACGAGACAGTGGTCAGGGAGGACCTCTGTGAGAAAAGCACTTAAGGAAGTGAGAGTATGGTGAAATGGAGGAAGAGATTCCAGGCAGAGGGGACAACCAGGACGCCACAGGTGCTGGAGCTGGGGAAGCCATGGGATCTGACCCTTCATCTGTGCGCTCTGCCTTATCCTGGGCCCCTGCTGTAAACACACTATACTCTAGTATAGTGTGGACATGGAGTTACAGGTCCCTGAGGAGAGCCACAGTTATCACCCAAAAGTGAAGACAGCCTCGAGACTCAGGTGACATGCAGAAGACAAAAAGACCTTGGGGGCCACCCATCCTTCCGCAGCAGTGGCTCTAACCCCAAGAGGGGATGACGTGGGTCTTTTTGCTACTGTGGACCTGGAGCGGAGAGCCTGCTTACCTTCTCAGGGTTGAAGTCTGGAGGATAGTACTTGTTGACCCCTTTCCTTTCACCCTGCAAAGCAGAACAGAGACATGACTCAGAGAGAGGCTGATATGGTTTGGCTGTGTCCCTACCCAAATCTCATTCAAAAAAATTTTTTCTGATTTTTTATTTTACTATTAATTTTTAGAGATGGAGTCTTGCTCTGTCACCCATGCTGGAGTGCAGTGGTGCGATCTTGACTCACTGTAACCTCCGTTTCCCGAGTTCAGGCGATTCTCCTGCCTCAGCCTCCTGAGTAGCTAGGATTACAGGCATGCACCACCACGCCCAGCTAATTTTTTGTATTTTTAGTAGAGATGGGGTTTCACCATGTTGGCCAGGCTGGTCTTGAACTCCTGACATCAAGTGATGCACCCACCTCAGCCTCCCAAAGTGCTGGGATTACAGGCGAAATCTCATCTTGAATTGTAGTTCCCATAATCCCCACGTGTCATGGGAGGGACCTGGTGGGAGGTAACTGAATCGAATCATGGGGGCGAATCATGCTGTTCTCATGACAGCGAATGAGTTCTCGAGAGACCTCATGGTTTTACAAGGAGCTTTTCCTCTTGCTCATTCTTGCTGCTGCCACGTGAAGAAGGATGTGTTTGCTTCCCCTTCTGCCATGATTGTTAAGTTTCCTGAGGCCTCCCCAGCCATGCTGAACTGTGAGTCAATTAAACCTCTTTCCTTTATAAATTACCCAGGCTTGAGTATGTCTTTTTTTTTTTTTTTTTTTTTTTTGAGACAGAGTTTCACTCTTGTTGCCCAGGCTGGAGTGCAATGGTGCGATCTCATCTCACTGCAACCTCCGCCTCCCGGATTCAAGCAATTCTCCTGCCTCAGCCTCCCGAGTAGCTGGGATTACAGGCATGTGCCACTACGCCCAGCTAATTTTTTTGTATTTTTAGTACAGACAAAGTTTCACCATATTGGCCAGGCTGGTCTTGAACTCCTGACCTTGTGACCCACCTACCTCGACCTCCCAAAGTGCTGGGATTACAGGCGTGAGCCACCGCGCCCAGCCCTTGGGTATGTCTTTATGAGCAGCGTGAGACTGGACTAATACACAGGCTCCCTCCAGGAAACCTACTTGTGCAGCCTCAGGGGGCAGGACCTGGATAAGGGGGACTTGGGGACATTTTAGAGGACAGTGCTGGGCTCAGTGTCTGATTGGGGAAGGGCTACTTGGGCAAAAAACCCATTGTCATTGCTTTGGAAAATTCCATGAGGTTCAGATGCTCCTATGGTGGCTTTCACACTCTTTTGGAGACTGTGATTGACGGTAAGAAGTATTTAACATTGCCACTGGGCAGATACACATGTAGTACCGTTGAACACAGGTCTCAAGAAAGAACACTGAGCCTGGCTGAAGAGTCGCTCTTGTTTTCTTCTTTTTTTTTTTTGAGACAGAGTCTTGCTCTGTCACGCAGGCTTGGGTGCAGTGGTGCAATCTTGGCTCACTGCAACCTCTGCCTCCTGAGTTCAAGCAATCCTCGTGCCTTAGCCTCCTGAGTAGCAGGGACTACAGGAATGTGCTACCACATCCAACTAATTTTTGTATTTTTTTTTTTGAGATGGAGTTTCGCTTTCGTTGCCCAGGCTGGAGTGTGGTGGCATGTTCTCAGCCCACTGCAACCTCCACCTCCCGGGTTCAAGCGATTCTCCTGCCTCACCCTCCAGAGTGGCTGGGACTACAGGCTCCCGCCAACACGCCTGGCTAATTTTTGTATTTTTAGTAGAGACGGGGTTTCACCACGTTGGCCAGGGTAGTCTCAAACTCCTGACCTCAGGTGATCCACCCAGCTCAACCTCGCAAAGTGCTGGGATTACAGGCGTGAGCCACCGCGCCCAGCCTAATTTTTGTATTTTTAGTAGAGACAGGGTTTCGCCATGTTGGCCAGGCTGGTCTCAAACTCCTAATCTTAAATGATTTGCCTGCCTTGGCCTCCCAAACTGCTGGTATTACAGGCGTGAGCCACTGTGCCTGGCCTTGCAATGGTTAATTTTATGTTATATGAATTTCACCTTGTTAAAAAAAAATGAAAGAAAGAAAGAGAAAGGAAGGGGTAGGGGAGGGGGAGGGGAAAGGGGGAAGGGGAAATTTAGGTTGAGTGTAGTGGATCACTTGAGGTCAGGAGTTTCAGACCAGCCTGACCAACATGGCAAAACCCCGTCTCTACTAAAAATACAAAAATTAGTGGGACGTGCTTGCTTGAACCCAGAAGGCGGAGGTTGCAGTGAGCCGAGAGCGTGCCACTGCACTCCAGCCTAGGCAACAAAGTGAGACTGTCTCAAAAACAAAAGAAAATGAAACAAAAAAACATTTAAAAAGTGCCCATGGGTGATGTTAGCGCAAAGCCACATTTCAGACCCACTGCACCAAAAGATGATGACCCGGAGATTGAAATCATCATCTTAGAGCTCTGGGAGGGGAGGAGGGGCTGCTTCCAGGGTCCTACAAAGACTGGGAGAGAAACCCAGGGCACACGAGGCTGTCTACTCACCATCTTGGGAGCTGCCTACTGGTCCTCAGCCTCGGGGCGGACGATCAGAAACTGGCCTTGTGAACACACTGCACTGTCCTGACCTCTTGTGGAGCCTGGCAGAGGGTCCACAGGCTTCCCTGCGAAGATGTCGTGGGCCGTGTGGTGGTGCCAGCTCAGACAAGACTCCCGCCAGGCATAGGAGGCATCCAAAAAGCGGCGTGTCTGTTTAGAAAGAGAGAGTCCCGTCCACTCTACAGCCAATATACGCATCACATCTGACACTTTCATCCCTCTGTGGCCCCCACCGGGTCCAGCACCCATCATCACTCACGTGGGCCAGCACGGTCTTCTCTCTCCCGACTCTGCCCTTGACACTTGCTCACCCCACAGCTGCCCAGGGGATCTTTTTGTTTTTTGAGATGGAGTCTCGCTCTGTCACCAGGCTGGAGTGCAGTGGCGCGATCTCTGCTCACTGCAACCTCCACCTCCTGGGTTCAAGTGATTCTCCTGCCTCAGTCTCCCGAGTAGCTGGGACTACAAGCGTGCGCCACCACACCCAGCTAATTTTGTATTTTTAATAGAGACAGGGTTTCACCATGTTGCCCAGGATGGTCTTGATCTCTTTACCTCATGATCCACCCGCCCCAACCTCCCAAAGTGCTGGCATTACAGGTGTGAGCCACCATGCCCAGCTGGGATCTTTTAATATGAACAAACGTGTCACTCTCCTGCTTAAACCCCTCCCATGATTCATATGGTTTTTAGAATCAAGTCAAACCCCTTCCCACGGCCTGTGGGGCCCCTGCCTGCCTCTCCAAGCCTAACTCTTACCCCTCTATCTCTCGTTCACTCTGTTCCAGCCACACTGGCTTCCTGGCTGTCTTCAAAGGCCAAGTGCAGCTGGCCTGCACCTGCTGTTCCTCAGGTTTGCAAGCTCTTTGTTACAGGCTTTTTTTTTTTTTTTTTTTTTTTGAGACGGAGTCTCACTCTATCACCCAGGCTGGAGTGGGGTGGCATGATCTTGGCTCACTATCTCTGCCTCCTGGGTTTAAGTGATGTCATGCCTCAGTCTCCTGAGTAGCTGGGATTACAGGTACCCGCCACCAAGCCTGGCTAATTTTTTTGTATTTTTAGTAGAGACAGGGTTTCACTGTGTTGACCAGGCCAGTCTGGAACTCCTGGCCTGAGGTGATCCACACACCTAGGGCCTCCCAAAGTGCTGGGATCACAGGCACAAGCCACTGCACCCAGCCCCCTGTCACAGGTCTTGACCTACATATCATATCCATCAAAGACCTCATCCGGCCAGGTGCGGTGGCTCACACCTGTAATCCCAGCAGTTTGGGAGGCTGAAGCAGGTGGATCCCCTGAGGTCAGGAGTTCAAGACCAGCCTGGCCAACATGGTGAAACCCCATCTCTACTAAAAATACAAAAATTAGCCGAGTGTGATGGTGCATGCCTGTAATCCCAGCTACTCGGGAAACTGAGGCAGGAGAATGGCTCAAACCGGGAGGCGGAGGTTGCAGTAAGCCAAGATGGCGCCACTGCACCCCAGCCTAGGCTACAAAGTGAGACTCCGTCTCAAACAAACAAACAAAAAAAACCAATGAACTCATCTAACCATCCAATCCATAGTCACTTGTTTCCTGGAATTCTGATCATATCACCCTGTGTCGGTTTATGTCTCCCCCGGCAGGTCACACTGTGCCATATCCCTAACACCTAGGACAGTGCCAGGCCCAGATAAATGTCAACTGGGTAAACAACTGAGATAACTGAATGAGGCTCCATAAGGGTCACAGTCAGTGCAGGTGACACAGGTGGGAAATGCAGGGGCTCCTCAAACTAGGGGTGGTGAGACCCCCTCTCATGTTTGGAAGGGAGGCTTTTAGGTCATATAGAAGGAAGTTCTTCACGCCTGTAATCCCAGCACTTTGGGAGGCCGAGGCGGGTGGATCATGAGGTCAGGAGATCGAGACCATCCTGGCAAACACAGTGAAACCCCGTCTCTACTAAAAAATACAAAAAATTAGCTGGGCGTGGTGGCGGGTGCCTGTAGTCCCAGCTACTCGGGAGGCTGAGGCAGGAGAATGGCGTGAACCCGGGAGGCGGAGCTTGCAGTGAGCAAAGATTGCGCCACCACACTCCAGCCTGGGCGATAGAGCGAGACTCCATCTCAAAAAAAAAAAAAAAAAAGAAAGAAGTTCTAGTTTACACTAAAGAGAGACTCTGTGAAGCAGTGAAGGGTATTCTAGAACAGAGATTGGCAAAGTTTCTCTGTCAAGGGCCAGAAAATAAGTATTTCTAGCTTTTTAGGCCAGATTATCTCTGCCCCAACAACTCAACTCTGCTTTCATAGCTAGAAATCAGTCCCAAACAATATATAAATGAACGGGCGTAGCTGCATGCCAATATAAATTTTATTGATGGACACAGAAATTTGAATTTCACATAATCGTCATGTCACAAAGTATTATTCTTTTGATTTTTCCCCAACTACTAGAAAATTTAAAACCATTCTTGGGGGCCGGACTCGGTGGCTCACGCCTGTAATCCCAGCACTTTGGGAGGCTGAGGCAGGTGGATCACTTGAGGTCAGGAGTTCAAGACCGGCCTGGCCAACATGGTGAAACCCTGTCTCTACTAAAAATACAAAAATTGGCCAGGCCTGGTGGCGTACGCCTGTAATCCCAGCTACTGGAGAGGCTGAGGCAGGAGAATCGCTTGAATCTGGGAGGCGGAGGTTGCAGTGAACCGAGATCACGCCACTGCACTCCATCCAAGGTGACAAGAGTGAGATTCTGTCTCCAACAAAAAGAAAGAAAGAAGCTGATGGAAGAGCTTCTGATGGAGTGGGAGTGGTGTAGTGAGGTGGTGAGGCAGTGGTGCAAAGTCCCGGATATAAACTGTTCTACCCTCACCTTAGTCTTGTATCCTCCAACTATAAAGTGTGTCCTTTAGATTGGATTATTCCAAGGTCCCTTCCAACCTAAAAATACTTTTGCCAACAAAATAGCTAAGTGCCCCTTGAGGCGTTAGGGGACACGGCTCCCTGGGCTTGAATCCCAGCTCCACTCCTCATCAGCTGGGTGACCTTGGTCAGTGACTGCGCTTCCCTGGGCTTGTATTTCGTCACCGGTAAAGGGCGAATGACGACGACAAGACTGACTTTCTGGGGATGCTGTGAATCAACTAACCCACGGGAAGAGCCTGCAAAGAGCAAATACTCCGTTTACAGGAGCTCGAGGGTGTGTGTGTGTCTTAAGATGGTTTTGTTACCCCAGTAAATGGCAGACGGGGCTATCGGGTGGGCGTGTAGATATCTCCGGTCCTTGGTGCAAAAGTAATTACCGACCCTGTTTGTCCTGGGCTTACGGCTTGGGCTCGGAGCTCCACCCTGCTGCTTCCTATCTGCTTGACTTGGGGCAAATTGTTTTCTCTCTCTAAGCCTCATTTTCCTTATGTGTAAAAATGGCTGGTTAAGGCATTCAGGGCAGCGCCTGACGCCGAGTTAAACGTTTGGCAGTTTAGTCATTTCTGCTGCTCACGGTTTTACAAGAATCATTTTTATAAAATCTGGTGAGATAGGGACTTATTGGTCCCATTTTCCCGATGCAAAAACCCAGGACCCTTCAGGCATAATATGGATCCGGGCTAGGATGGGACCGGGTCCCGGGCACTTGGGTCAGAGGTCTCAGCTGGGGCCTCAGGGACTTTGGTCCTGGCTGGGACCTGGGCCGGCTCCGGGCATCTAAATCGGGTCCTCAGCTCCGCGTCCCCCGACGCGGAAGGGCGCGCCGGGCAGCTCCGAGGCCAGGGTGAGGCGGCTGCCGGACCCCCGGCCCTCCCCGCTCCTCCGCCCGCCGGCACTTACCTGCCCTCCTCCCGACGTCACGCCCTGACCGTGCCCGGAAGTGCGCGCTGAGAGCGCGGTGAACCTGGGCGCCCTCTCCGCGCCCCCAGGACGCCGGCGTGAGGCGGGGCGAGGCAGCAGCTCCACGCTGATTGGCTGAAGGACGATACGCCAAGCGTTCTGCGACGCCGGAGTGGGCCAATCCAGGAATGCCCCGCCCAACCGCGCTTACGCCAAGAGGCTCCATCCTCTGTCCAGCCCACTACGTGAGGCCCAATCCGAGGCCCGCCTCCTGGCACCGCCCTCCCAGGCGTGCTGTCCTGCGCGCTGCAGCCGGTCAGCGAGGGTGTGGTGGCGGGCCCCTGTAGTCCCAGCTACTTGGGAGGCTGAGGCAAAAGAATTGCTTGAACCCGGGAGGCAGAGGTTGCAAAGAGCCGAGATCGCGCCACTGCACTCCAGCCTGGGCAACAACAGCAAGACTCCGTCTCAAGAAAAATTATTTGCACAGGCAAGGTCTTACTATGTTGCCCCGGCTAGTCTCGAACTCCAGGGCCCAAGCAATCCTCCTGCCTCCCAAAGTGCTGGGATTACAGGCGTGAACCACTGCTCTGTTTTTGCATTTTTAAATAGTTAGGTGGGGGAAAAACTATTTTACGACTTATGAAAATAAAACATTCAAATTTCAGCGTACGTAAATAAAATTTCATTGGAACACAGGGATATGCGCTTTTGTCTGCTGATTGCTTCAAAATAAGGGCACTTGGGGGAACAGCAAATGCAGGGAAGGAGAGGTTTTCTCTGAATTTCTCTTATCTGCCTAAAGACAGAAAGAGGAATGCTTTCCTACGATCTTATTAACTAGGGAAGAGTGAAACCATTCCCAATCATGTATCCTTCTGAGGGCTGCTCTGAGACAACTTTTATTACCTGCAAGACTTTTTTATTTGCTTAACAAGACAGACTTTCTCCATCATACAATTTCTCCCCTTACCCTCCCATAACTTGTGTTACCACCATCCTCCCAGAAGCCCCAAACCCCTATTCTTTTCTTTGATACTTTTTTTTTTTTGAGAGGGAGTCTTGCTCTGTGGTCCAGGCTGGAGTTCAATGGCGTGATCTCAGCTCACTGCGCTCTCCACCTCCCAGGTTCAAGTGATTCTCTTGCCTCAGCCTCCCGAGTAGCTGGGATTACAGGCACCTTCCACCACGCCCGGCTATTTTTTGTATTTTTAGTAGAGATGGGGTTTCACCATGTTGGCCAGACTGGTCTGGAAGTCCCAACCTCAGGTGATCTGCCTGCCTTGGCCTTCCAAAGTGCCTGGATTACAGGCATGAGCCACTGGGCCCAGCCTCTCTGATCCTTTTTGGAGTCTTGTATTTTGTGGGACTCCCCTGCATAGGTACATAATTAAATATGGCTTTTGCCCTGTCTGTTTACATGTCAATTTAATTCGTAGCCCAGCCAAAGAACCTATAAAGGTGAAGGGAAGCCATTTTTCACCTACCTACAAACAGCCGGGCCCATTCATTTATCTATTGTCTATGTCTGCAACAGGGTTGAATTCAGTGGTTGCCACAGAGGAAGAGAGAGCCCAAAGAATCTAAAATATTTACCATCTGGCCTTTTACAGAAGAAGTGGGTGGATACTTCTCTTAGAGCCTTCAGATTAGCCTGGCCCTGCCTTCTGCACAGGTGAATGGCTTTTGAATTTACTTTTTTTTTTTTGAGTCGGAGTCTCACTGTCACTCAGGCTGGAGTGCAGTGGTGTGGTCTCAGCTCACTACACCCTCTGCCTCCCAGGTTCAAGTGAGTCTCCTGCTTCAGCCTCCCAGGTAGCTGGGACTACAGGTGCCCGCCACCATGCCTGGCTAATATTTGTATTTTTAGTAGAGATGGGGTTTCACCATGTTGGCCAGGCTGGTCTCAAACTCCTGACCTCAGATGATCTGCCCGCCTTGGCCTCCCAAAGTGCTGGGATTACAGGCATGAGCCACTGTGCCCAGACTGAATTTACTTTTATGCCTTGTAGGGCCTAACAGAATCTATTTGTTCATTCAACAGCTGAGCTGTTCATTGGACACCTGCTATATGTCTGGTCCTGGGGATTCAGAGAGGAAAGAACACACTCTTTTCTCAGTGATGAAGCAGACACTTCAACTGGCAATTTATCAAAGACAGGGTGAGAAGTGATGACAATATTACTACTATTCCTCCTGATATATATATATATCTATATATATATATATAGATATCTATAGATCTATAGATATCTATATATCTATATCTATCTATCTATCTATCTATCTATCTATCTATCTATCTATCTATGGAGTTTTGCTCTTGTTGCTCAGGCTGGAGAGCAAAGGCACAATCTTGGCTCACCGCAACCTCCACCTTCCTTCCGGGATCAAGCGATTCTCCTGCCTCAGCCCTGGGATTACAGGCATGCGCCACCACACCCAGCTAGTATTTTTAGTAGAGACGGGGTTTCTCCACGTTGGCCAGGCTGGTGTTGAATTCCTGACCTCAGGTGATCTGCCCACCTCGGCCTCCCAAAGTGCTGGGATTACAGGCATGAGCCACTGCGCCCGGCCTCCCCATGCTTTATTATTCGGTGCCAGGTTCCATCTCTGTTCTAAAGCCGGGCTCTACTAACAAATGAATTCTTACATAGTCATGGTGCTGCATACTGAGTGCTCACTACCCACTAGGCACCACTGAGCAATGCTTGGTGCTCACTCACACATGCATAATCTCATAGAATGCCCCTAGAAGGTAGATACTTTTCATCATTTCTGTTTTACAGATGGTGAGACAGGCCCAGAGAGGTTAAGTCGCACAGTTAGTGAGGGGTGGAGGAGCTGACCTACAACTGCTCATGCTAAACCTTGTTCCCTTGTCCTCTGAGCTATACTGTTTTGGGTTGTATGCATTTGACTTAAAAGACCATGAGACCCCAGAAAAATCTTTTTTTTTTTTTTTGAGACGGAGTCTCGCTCTGTTGCCTGGGCTGGAGTGCAGTGGCATGATCTCGGCTCACTGCAGGCTCCGCCTCCCGGGTTCACGCCATTCTCCTGCCTCAGCCTCCCGAGTAACTGGGACTACAGGCGCCCGCCACAACACCCGGCTAATTTTTTGTATTTTTAGTAGAAACGGGGTTTCACCATGTTAGCCAAGATGGTCTCCATCTCCTGACCTCGTGATCCGCCCGTCTCGGCCTCCCAAAGTGCTGGGATTACAGGCGTGAGCCACTGCGCCCGGCCTAACCCCAGAGAAATTTTTAAAGAGGGTAGGGTGTTTGAGAATGGGCTGGAGTGAGGGTCAGTAAGACCCTGAGACAGAGCAGGGATCCCCTTTTTTACGAGACCCCAAGCATGGAAACAAAGGAAATTTCTGAGTTCCTTCAAGGGAAATTCCAGGCCCCTAGCTAGCCTTGAGAAGTAAATAAGTAACTTGTTAAACAAAAAAGACATAATGATCCAAAACAAAAGCTAAGGAAGTTAGAGTCCCAGAGATGTTTGGTTTCCCTATAGAAATTAAAGATAACATCTTAACATATGTCCCTGAATTGTCTTTCAGAGTCTTGGAAACCCCAGATAAGGGGGAAGTGAAGACTAAACTTTATGTCCCTTTTGTTCCAAGTTTCCTCCTGAGGGGCTTGGAGAAAGTTACTTCCCCTAACCAGTTGACATGTTTCTACTGACTCAAAATTTTTAAACAAAGCTTCTCTTCCTTAATCCATTGCAAATCAGAAGATGTTTAAATCTTTTTCTTTTCTTTTTTTTTTTGAGACTAAGTCTCTGTTGCCCAAGCTGGAGTCCTGTGGCGTGATCTCGGCTCACTGCAACCTTCACCTCTCGGGTTCAAGTGATTCTCCTGCCTCAGCTTCCCAAGTAGCTGGGATTACAGGCACCTGCCACCATGCCCAGCTAATTTTTGTATCTATAGTAGAGACGAGGTTTCACTATGCTGGCCAGGCTGGCTTGAACTCCTGACTTCGTGATCCACCCGCCTCGGCCTCCCAAAGTGTTGGGATTACAGGCGTGAGCCACTGCGCCCAGCCTATTTTTTTCTTTTTCTTTTTTTTCCTGAGACTGAGTCTTGCCCAGGCTGGAGTGCAGTGGCGTGGTCTCGGCTCACTGCAACCTCAACCTCCCAGGTTCAAGCGATTCTCCTGCCTCAGCCTCCCGAGTAGCGAGGATCACAGGCATGTGCCACCGCATCCGGCTAATTTTTGTATTTTTAGTAGAGACAGGGCTTCGTCATGTTGGCCAGGCTGGTCTCGAACTCCTGACCTCAGGTAATCCTCCCATCTTGGCCTCCCAAAGTGTTGGGATTACAGGCGTGAGCCACTGCGCCCAGGCTTTCTATTTTTTTCTTTTTCTTTTTTTTTTCCTGAGACTGAGTCTTGCTGTCGCCCAGGCTGGAGTACAGTGGCATGATCTCGGCTCACTGCAACCTCAACTTCCCAGGTTCAAGCGATTCTCCTGCCTCAGCCTCCCGAGTAGCAAGGATCACAGGCATGTGCCACCACATCCGGCTAATGTTTGTATTTTTAGTAGAGACAGGGCTTCGTCATGTTGGCGAGGCTGGTCTCGAACTCCTGACCTCAGGTAATCCTCCCATCTTGGCCTCCCAAAGTATTAGGATTACAGGCGTGAGCCACCGTGCCCTGCCTAGATGTTTAAATCTATCTACGACCTGTAAGCCCCCACTTTAAGATATCCTGCCTTTTTAAGTGGAAACCAATGTGTAATCTCCATGCATTGATTTATGATTTTGCTTGTAGCTTCTGGTTTACTGAAATTTACACCTGCCTTAAAAAACCCCCACCTGCAAGCCATTGGTGATTTCAGGTCTTAAGCATGAGCTGCCCTGATTCTCCTTGCATGGTGCCCTGCAATAAACACCTTTCTTTCTATCACTGCAAAGACCTTAGTGTGGGTATCTGGTTTTACTGTGCTGGGTAAGCAGACCTCAGTTGGTTTCTGTAAGAACTCCTGTAAGGAGGGACCTCTGACCTGGATGAGGCAGAATGAGTCAGGTGGGGGGTGTGCTGTAGGGAGGCATGCTCGCTGATCCCCAGGAATGAGAGGGAACTGCATTTCACCCCAATAATCTCACTCAGTCCATCTGGATTTTGCTTGAGCCCTTGTCTTGTACCTGAACCAAGAGTTAGTGACTGAAAAGGCACAGAATGTCATCTTGGGAGCAGGACTTCCTAGAGAGGGGAGAATGAGAAGCCTTGGCTTGTAGAGTCTCACTGTTACTACTTAATGCACAGGGCAAGTGATGGAGCCTGAACATCAGCCTGGGATACAAAGAGGCTGTTCTATAAAGATACCAAATGCAGGCCAGTTCTGGTGGGGCCAAAGGAATTGATACAGGGAAAGGAAGGCATAGGGCAAAGGGAAAACTTCCCTTTCACGTTCTGAAGTTTCACTGAAATGAGCTGACAATAGACAGATTAACAAAAGAAAGGGCACAGACATTTATGCGTAAGCATGGGAGCCATATAAAATGTGAGACTTGTAATGCCAGCTACTTGGGAGGCTGAGGCAGGAGAATCGCTTGAACCCGGGAGGCGGAGGTTGCAGTGAGCCGAGATTGCGCCACTGCACTCCAGCGCTGGCGACAGTGAGACTCCGTCTCAAAAAAAAAAAAAAAAAAAAAAAAAAAAGTGGGACTCAAAGAAGGACCAGATGGTTGTGAGTTAAATACTGTCTTCCTAGGGGAGAGAGAAATGGGGAATGTAGGCAGTTTTGAGGGGAAATGAATGATGTTCAGGGGAACTGATGAAGCCCAATGAACAGACAGTGGCCTGGGACAAAGTTCCTCTGAGCTCTTGGGGAGGCGACAGAAAGGTGAGGGCAGAACTTCATTGTGAACAAAGGCCGTCTTATTATGTAGATAAAGTCTCCCATGTAATCTCTCCAAGCTGCACAGAGAGGAGTAGATGAAGTCTGTTTGGACATGATGCCAATTTTTAGTCTTTTCTCTTTGCCAGTGGTTAATATTTCCTGGATATTTGATGAGATTCTTAGGGAGGAGTCATCTTAAGACAACTGCATTTCTTTTGGAAGAAGTTTTCATCAGTCAAATAAGGGAACTTCCAAAGAGAGCCCCTCCCTGTGCTTGGGAGATGGGGAGAAACAAGAGAAAGTTAGGAAGTCCTTGGTTCTGAGGCAGCTTATAAGGCCCTCCAATAGCTTCTTTTGTTTTGTTTTGTTTTGTTTGGTTTGGTTTGAGACAGGGTCTCCACTGTCACCCAGGCTGAAGTGCAGTGGTGCAATCACTGCAGCCTTGAACTCCCAGGTTCAAGCCGTCCTCACACCTCAGCTTTTTGAGTAGTTGGGACCACAGGCACCATGCCTAGCTAATTTTTTTTTTTTTTTTTAATTTGTAGAAACGAGGTCTTCCTGTGTTGCCCAGGCTACTCTTGGGCTCCTGTGCTCAAGTCATCCTCCCACCACTCCAGCCTGGGCATCAAAGAAAGACCCCATCTCTTAAAAAAAAATTTCTGGCCAGGCATGGTGGCTCACACCTGTAATCCCAGCACTTCGGGAGGCTGAGGTGGGCCGATCATGAGGTCAGGGGTTTGAGATCAGCCTGACCAACACGGTGAAACCCCATCTCTACTAAAAATACAAAAATTAGCCAGGCATGGTGGCGTGCACCTGTAATCCCAGCTACTCAGGAGGCTGAGGCAGGAGAATCACTTGAACCCAGGAGGCAGAGGTTGCAGTGAGCTGAGATCACGCCATTGCACTGCAGCTTGGGCAACAAGAGCGAAACTCCGTCTCAAAAAAAAAAAAAAAAAAAAGAAATCTATAAAAGCCAAAGGCCTCCAGCCAGCACAAAGAAAGAAACAGACATCTGGAAAGACTAATTAAAGCCTACCTGGTTTTGACAATATATTACTTATCTCTGGTTGCGTAACAAATTACCCCAAAGTATAGAGGCCTAAAACATTTATTATCTCACTGTTTCTTTGGGTCAGGAATCTGGGTGTGGCTTAGCTGAACCCTATGCGCAGGGCTGCAATTGAGGGTTGGATGTGCTCATATGAAGAGGGTAGGGCTGGGCAGACATCCCAAATGGCTTTGATCACAGCCACAAACCAAATATAAAAATGTCTAAGGCCGGGCACGGTGGCTCACGCCTGTAATCCCAGCACTTTGGGAGCCCAAGGGAGGCAGATCGCGAGGTCAGGAGTTCAAGACCAGCCTGACCAATATGGTGAAACCCCATCTCCACTAAAAATACAAAGATTAGCCGGGCGTGGTGGCGCACGCATGTAATCCCAGCTATTCGGGAGGCTGAGGCAGGAGAATTGCTTGAACTCGGAGGCAGAGGTTGCAGTGAGCCAAGATTGCGCCACTACACTCTAGCCTGGGTGACAGAGCGAGACTCCATCACATAAAAAACAAACAAACAAACAAAAAAACAAAAAACGTCTAACTGGCTGGGCATGGTGGTTCATGCCTGTAACCCCAGTGCTTTGAGAGGCAAAAGCGGGAGGATCACTTGAGGCCAGGAGGTCAAGACCAGCCTCGGCAACATGGTGAGACCCCTGTCTCTACAAAAAACAAAAAATTAGCCAGGCATAGTGGCACGTGCCTGTAGTCCAAGCTACTCAAGAGGCTGAGGTGGAAAGATTGCTTGAGCTTAGAAGGTGGAGGCTGCAGTGAGCCATGATCTCATCACTGTACTCGGCCTGGGTGACAGAGCAAGATTCTGTCTCAAACAAAAATAAATTAAAATTTCTAACTTATGTTAGTTTGCTGAGAGTGATGGCTTCCAGTTTCATGCATGTCCCTGCAAAGGACATGAACTCAATTTTTTATGGCTGCATGGTAGTCCATGGTATATATGTGCCACATTTTCTTAATCCAGTGATAGCATTGGTGGGCATTTGGGTTGGTTCCAAGTCTTTGCTATTGTAAATAGTAATGCAGTAAACATACAGAAACCAAACACCGCATGTTCTCACTCATAAGTGGGAGTTGAACAATGAGAACGCGTGGACACAGGGAGGGGAACATCACACACTGGGGCCTGTCAGGGAATGGGGGCCAAGGGGAGGAAGAGCATTAGGACAAATACGTAATGCATGTGGGGCTTAAAACCTAGATGATGGATTGATAGGTGCAGCAAACCACCACAGCACATATATAGCTGTGTAACAAACCTGCACGTTCTGCACATGTATCCCAGAACTTAAAAAAAAAATTCTAACTTATTTGACCTGCTTTCTGAGCTCTAATTGGTGACTGGAAGGATAAAGAAGCCAGGACTAGACTCAAACTTTGGGTTCCTAGAGAGGAGAAGGAGCTGGAGGCCTGGTATGTGGGAAGAGGGGTTGGATCTCTGTGGCCCACAAAGGCAGGAATAAGGCCAGTGGTGCCAGTATCAGGGAGGTGGGTTCCAACCACAACCACACATTTTAACAAACCGAGGGAGTGTTTGCCATAGCTAGAGCTTCCAAATCCATAGAGTAGAGTTGAAGGAATAAAGAATTAGAGTTTCCAGCTAATGTGAATGTATACAGCTCTCTTAGAGGTCAAATATCAAAACATATTAAAGAATGCACTAGTAAGACAATGAACTTAGGCAACACAAGGAGACCCTGTCTCTATAAAAAAGTTAAAATGAAAATATGTCAGCTGGGTGTGGTGGCATGTACCTGTAGTCCCAGCTACTCGGGAGGCTGAGGCAGGAGGATTGCTTGAGCCCAGGTGTTTGAGGCTGCAGTGAGCTGTGATCGCACCATGGTACTTCAGTATGGGTGACAGAGAGACCCTGTCTCTTAAAAAGGTTAAAGACAATGGAGGGCTATATGTATTTGAGTGCAACTGATTTATATAAATAACCATAAATCCATTTGTTTGTTTGTTTATTTATTTATTTAGAGATGGAGTCTTGCTCTGTCACCTAGGCTGGAGTGCAGTGGTGCAATCTCGGCTCACTGCCACCTCTGTCTCCCGGGTTCAACCAATTCTCCTGTCTCAGCCTCCCAAGTAGCTGGGATTACAGGTGCCCACCACCATGCACAGCTAATTTTTTTTTTTTTTTTTTTTTTGAGACAGAGTCTTGCTCTGTCATCCAGGCTGGAGTGCAGTAGTGGCTCGATCTCGGCTCACTGCAAGCTCCGCCTCCCGGGTTCACACCATTCTCCTGCCTCAGCCTCCCGAGTAGCTGGGACTATAGGCACCCACCACCATGCCCGGCTAATTTTTGTATTTTTAGTAGAGACGGGGTTTCACCGTGTTAGCCAGGATAGTCTCGATCTCCTGACCTCGTGATCTGCCCGCCTCGGCCTCCCAAAGTGCTGGGATTACAGGCGTGAGCCACCACGCCCGGCTTTTTTGTATTTTTAATAGAGACGGGGTTTCACCGTGTTGGCCAGGCTGGTTTTGAACTCCTGATCTCAAGTGATCCGCCCGCCTTGGCCTTCTAAAGTGCTAGGATTACAGGTGTGAGCCACTGTACCCAGCCTTATTTTGTTTTTATCTGGCAAAGGAACTCAACACAAGAAACTTCTGTTAGGTAAGCAGTCAGTCAAAAGAGTTTTAAACACATGTGAAGAAATGGATACCAAGAATCAGAAGAAAATCAATCCATAACAGTGACAATCTATGATGACAATGATGTAAGAGCTGTGATGATGCCATAATGATGGATGATGTCATTCCACCTGACTTTTCATCCCCTTTTCCACTTCTTCTGCTCATCCACTGAAATTTCCCTGGGGCCCAAGGCCACGATGAAGAGGAAACTTCCCAGAACAGACATGGCATGGAAAAGTCATGCTTCACTAATTAGTGGAAAGCTAGGTTTTGAGGGACAGTCCAAAAGACACCCTGAGCTTTTTCAGTTGAGGAGAAACATTTGAATCACAAGAATCACTGTGTCCAGCTTGGTCTAGAACCCAATGGCTACTGGGATACTCAACACCAAGGGGCAGATGGCCTGTTTCGAAGCAGGGAAGGCCAGAAGAGTGATCATTCTGATAGATTCATCCATACAAAGAGCTAGCAGCACTTTGTTGGCATTCCTGAAGCTTATTTACCTTTGGAAAACTGTCTCATTTATATTATTTCCCAAGGGCATGGAGTATGGTCTAGAACTGTCCAATAGGAGACTAACCAGCTACATCTGGCTAACTTAAATTTATTTATTTATTTTTTGAGATGGAGTCTTGCTCTGTCGCTCAGGCTGGAGTGCAGTGGCATGATCTCAGCTCACTGCAACCTCCACCTCCCAGGTTCCAGCGATTCCCCTGCCTCAGCCTCCTGAGTAGCTGGGATTACAGGCGCTCGCCGCCATGCCTGGCTAATTTTTGTATTTTTAGTAGAGACGGGATTTTGCCATGTTGGTCAGGCTGGTCTTGAACTCCTGACCTCGTGATCCACCTGCCTCGGCCTCCCAAGGTGCTGGGATTACAGGTGTGAGCCACCGCGCCCAGCCCTACCTGCTTTTCTATGTACTCTGCAGTTGTTGGATTAGGACAAAGGGCCAGAAGATTCTATGAACTACCCAGGAAGAGCAGGAACTTGAAGAATTGGGATCCTGCTCCTAGAAAATGGTCTGACCAGTATCATCCAAACTGAAGACACTAGAACAAAAGCTGAAGAGAGCAAAGAAGTGGCCAGGCACAGTGGATCATGCCTGTAATCCCAGCATTTTTGGGAGGCTGCAGTGGGAGGATCCCTTGAGCCCAGGGGTTCAAGACCAGCCTGTGAAACATAGTGAGATGCTCTACAAAAAAAGTTTAAAAACTAGGCTGGGTGTTGTCATGTGCTTATAGTCACAGATAGCGTGGAGACTGAGGCAGGAAGATCACTTGAGCCCTGGAGTTTGAGGCTGCAGTGAGCTATGACTGTGCCACTGCACTCCAGCATGGGTGACAGAGCGAGACCCTCTTTTTTCTTTTTTTTTTTTTTTTGAGAATGAGTCTTGCTGTGTTGCTCAGGCTGGAGCACAGTGGCACGATCTCAGCTCACCGCAACCTCCGCCTCCTGGGTTCAAGCCATTCTCCTGCCTCAGCCTCCCGAGTAGCTAGGATCACAGCTTCCCACCACCTGGCTAATTTTTGTATTTTTAGTAGACACGGGATTTCGCCATGTTGGCCAGGCTGGTCTCGAACTCCTGACCTCAGGTGATCCACCTGCCTCGGCTTCCCAAAGTGCTGGGACGACAGGCGTGAGCTACCGCACCTGGCCGAGACCCTGTCTCTTAAAAAAATGGAAAACAAAACGGCAAAGACTGCCTATTTTGTTTATCACTGCATCTCCAACATTTAGAGCTACGTAGTAGCACTCAGTAAATACACTGAATGAATGAATCAATAAATGAATGAGGGAGTCTTTGGGTAAGTACTTAGAGTATTTGGGTAAGTACAAAATAAAATTAGGCTGGGCACGGTGGCTTATGCCTATAATCCCAGCACTTTGGGAGGCCGAGGCAGGTGGATCATTTGAGGTCCAGAGTTCAAGACCAGCCTGGCCAACATGGAGAAAAACTGTCTCTACTAAAAAATACAAAAATTAGCCGGGCTTAGTGGCAGGTGCCTGTAATCCCAGCTACTTGGGAGGTTGAGGCAGGAGAATCACTTGAACCCAGGAGATGGAGGCTGCAGTGAGCCGAGATTGTGCCACTGCACTCCAGCCTGAGCGACAGAGTCAAACTCCGTCACAAAAAAAAAAAAAAAAAAAAAAGAAAGAAAGAAAAGCAGGTGGATGCTCTAGAGAATTAATTAAAGGGAGGAGCTATGGCTCTTTGTATACATATTAGCCAGGTCAGAAGAACTAATGATATTGGTATATCCTATAATTTACTTGGATATTCCTATATTCCAGACTTGGGATACTCCTAAAATACACACCACATCGTGGAGCAAGAGGCCATTTTTTTTTTTTTTGAGACGGAGTCTCCCTCTGTCACCCAGGCTGGAGTGTAGTGGCGCGATCTCGGCTCACTGCAAGCTCTGCCTCCCAGGTTCATGCCATTCTCCTGCCTCAGCCTCCCGAGTAGCTGGGACTACAGGTGCCCCCCACCACGCCCGGCTAATTTTCTGTATTTTTAGTAGAGATGGGGTTTCACCGTGTTAGCCAGGATGGCCTCGATCTCCTGACCTCGTGATCCGCCCGCCTTGGCTTCCCAAAGTGCTGGGATTACAGGCGTGAGCCACCGCACCCGGCCGCAAGAGGCCAGTTTTAAATTTTATTTTTCCTCAGGCAAACCCCAGGGTGTCTTGTGCTTAAACACCATAATTTCCCACAAAGGAGCCCCTGCCACTGCTGTGTTAACCACCACCGTAATTTACCCATTAGCATCAGGAATAATAATGAGTTTGTCTGAGTGGTAACAACAGCTTGGAAGAGCTGACTCCAAAAGATGTGTTTAGGGGACTGGGCTGGGGGCTGGAGAAAAAAAAAAAAAACACAGACACTGGGGTGGCTGGGCGGCTTCAATAACTTCTGGTGGGGGACGGGGAGGGAGCATCCTGTCAGAATCTGGGTGTTTGTAAGTCCTTAGAAATCACCTCAACATCCTCATTTGACAGAGGGGAAAACAAGTCCAGGGAAAAGTTAAGTGATAATGTCACAGAGCTTGTAATGGTAGAACTGGCAACAGACTCAAGTCTCCTGATTTCTTGAGACAGAGTCTCGCTCTGTCTTCCAGGCTGGAGTGCGGTGGCGCAATCTCGGCTCACTGCAACCTCTGCCTCCCAGGTTCAAGCGATTCTCCTGCCTCAGCTGGGAGCAGCTGAGACTACAGGTGCCCACCACCATGCCCGACTAATTTTTTGTATTTTTAGTAGAGATGGGGTTTCACCATGTTGGCCAGGCTGGTCTTGAACTCCTGACCTCAGGTGATCCACCCGCCTAGGCTTCCCAAAGTGCTGGATTACAGGCATGAGCCGCTGTGCCCTGCTAAGATCTCCTGATCCTTGGCCAGGGCTAGTTCCACTCAGTTGAACTGTTGATTACAATCATCCATTGTGTTTCATATAATCCAACTGGGTCAACCAGTTTCCAGAAAATCTGGCTATTTTAAGAATCTTAGCCAGGTGCAGAAGCTTGTGCCCATCCCAGCACTTTGGGAGGCTGAGGTGGGAGGATCACTTGAGCCCCAGGGAGTTTGAGACCAGCCTGGGCAACAAAGTGAGGCCTCACTTCTACAAAACAGAACCAAAACTAAAACCAAAAACCAATTAGCTGTGCATGGTGGAGCACACCTGTAATCCCAGCTACCTGGGAGGCTGAGGTGAGAGGACCCTTTGAGCCCAGGAGGTTGAGGCTGCAGTGAGCTATGTTTGCAGCACTGCACTCCAGGCTGGGTGGTAGAGTGAGAACCTGTCTTAAAACAAACAAAAAAAGGGCCGGGCGCGGTGGCTCACGCCTGTAATCCCAGCACTTCGGGAGGCCGAGGCGGGCGGATCACTTGAGGCCAGGAGTTCAAGACCAGCCTGGCCAACATGGTGAAACTCTGTCTCTACTAAAAATACAAAAATAGCCAGACGTGGTGGTGTGTCCCTGTAATCCCAGCTACTTGGGAGGGTGAGGCAGGAGAATCACTTGAACCCGGTGGCAGAGGTTGCAGTGAGTGAAGATCGTGCCATTGCACTCCAGTCTGGGTGACAGAACGAGACTCCATCTCAAAAAAAAAAAAACAATCTCTACAGTGAGAGAATTAATATAGTGTATACTTTCTGGTAGAGGACAATGGTTAAAGAATTCAAGACCAGGCGTGCTGGCTCACGCCTGTAATCTCAACAATTTGGGAAACTGAGGTGAGAGGGTCTCTTGAGGCCAAGAGTTTGAGACTAGCCTGGGCAACATAGTGAGACCCTGTCTCTACAAAAGATACAAAAATTAGCCAAGCAGGGTGGTGCATGCCTATAGTCCCAGCTACTAGGGAGGCTGAAGTGGGAGGATCCCTTGAGCTCAGGAGTTGGAGGCTACAGTGAGTCATGATTGCACCACTGTACTCCAGCCTGGGGGACAGAGTGAGATCCTGCCTCTCAAAATAAAATGAAACAAAAACAATAAAATAAAATAAAGAATTCAAATCTATTTAGTGAAAACTAACAGATTTCTCTCTTTTAATTCTTGGCTCATGGCCAGTGTTTCTCAATAGGAGCCATCTTCACCCCTTCAGGGGCAATGTCTGCAGACATTTTTGGTTGTGACAAATTGGGTTGGGAGGGAGTGTTCATGGCGTCTAATGTTCGTTTTTTGTTTTTTTGAGATGGAGTTTCACTCTCGTTGCCCAGGTTGGAGTGCAATGGCATGATCTCGGCTCACTACAACCTCCACCTTCTGGGTTCATGCGATTCTCCTGCTTCAGCCTCCCGAGTAGCTGGGATTAGAGGCATGTGCCACCACGCCCAGCTAATTTTGTATTTTTAGTAGAGACAGGGTTTCTCCATGTTGGTCAGACTGGTCTTGAACTCCTGACCTCAGGTGATCTACCCACCTCGGCCTCCCAAAGTGCTGGGATTACAGGCGTCAGCCACCGTGCCTGGCTATGGCGTCTAATGAGCAGAGGCTGGATATGCTGCTCAACTTCTCACAGTGCACAGGACAGCCTTTGCACTACAAAGAATGATCCGGCCCCGAATGCCAGTAGTGCCAAGGTTAACAAACTCAGAAATCAAAATAGCTCAGTTTGAACAGGAAGTTGGTGGGCCGTTTGACTAAGATGGAGATGCCAGGTGGGCTTAAGAATTTTCCAGCAAGGCCGGGCGTGGTGGCTCATGCCTGTAATCCCAGCACTTTGGGAGGCCGAGACAGGTGGATCACGAGGTCAGGAGATCGAGACTATCCTGGCTAACACCATGAAACCCCGTCTCTACTAAATATACAAAAAATTAGCCGGGTGAGGTGGCGGGCACCTGTAGTCCCAGCTACTCGGGAGGCTGAGGCAGGAGAATGGCGTGAACCTGGGAGGCAGAGCTTGCAGTGAGCCGAGATCGCGCCACTGCACTCCAGCCTGGGTGACAGAGCAAGACCCCGTCTCAAAAAAAAAAAAAAAATTTCAAAAGGTATGCATTTTTTATGCCGGGTGCAGTTGCTCATGCCTGTAATCCCAGCACTTTGGGAGGAAGAGGCAGGTGGATCACTTGAGGTCAGGAGTTTGAGACCAGTCTGGCCAACACGGTGAAACCCGGTCTCTACTAAAAATACAGAAATTAGCTGAGTGTGGTGGTGCATGCCTGTAGTCCCAGCTACTGGGAGGCTAAGGCAGGAGAGCTGCTTGGACCGGGAAGGCAGAGGTTGCAGTGAGCCGAGATCGTGCCACTGTACTCCAGCCTGGGCAACAGAGTGAGACTCTGTCGCAAAAAAAAAAAAAAAAAGAAAGAAAGTATGCACTTTTTTTTTTTTTTTAAGGAAACAAGGATCTCACTATGTTGCCCAGGAGGGATTGGCACTCCTGGGCTAAAGCGATCCTCCTGCCTCAGCCTTCCAAGTAGCTGAGACTACAGACTTGGGCCACCAGGCCTGTCAAGGTTAGCATCTTTGAGCTCCTAAGTCCAACACTATCGCCATCACTTTTATGGTCCGGATGGCGTTTGGGGCATTTTGGGCATTTTATTTCTTGCCTTCATTCCTTCTCCCCACCCTTAATATTTAAATATTATCCTACTCCCTCTGCTGAGATAGGTACAAGGCTCATCTCACCTCTGGATTCTCCAGTGAGGGTTACTCCAGGGTGGGCCTCTTCCCCTTCACGTCCTGCCAGGCAATCCCCTTGGGGCGAGTCATAACTTTTCTGGACCTCAGTTTCCTTCCCTGTAAAATAAGAACAATAATAATACTTCCTCGGGCTGTTGTCGGGGACTCTTCAGCCCACCACTCCCACCCCGAAGTCCTACCCAGCGCTCACCACAAAGCCTACCCTCTTCTGAGCTCTCTGAATCCTCAAAGCCTCCTCTGAGATAGAGGCTGTGAACGCCTTTCCTACAAATGGGGAAACTGAGGCTGGGAGACCCGAGAACTGGACCATGATCTCAAACCTTTGAGGGAGGGAGCTACCCTGGAAGGCGATGGTCTTCTCCAGAGCCCTCCCAAGGGCGCTCAGTACCACGTGGGCACCCAGAGAAGTTTTCTTATCCCTCTTGGCCCCCTCGGATCCTAACTCCCAGCTCGGCGAGGACCCTGGAAGCGGGTTCAGCCTTCGCTGGTTGAAGCCAGCTCCGAGGCGCATGCGCAAGTGAGCGCGCGCGGTGGCCTGTGGGAGGCTGGCTGCGAGTCCGAAGCTCAGCCCAGACGCCGGCGCTGTTGTCAGGGCGACCGGGGTGGGGCGGGGCCAGAACGTGGCCAAGCCTTTACTCGCTCTTCAATGGTCCCTTGTTTTCACGGGGCCAACCTTCTCTTAATTGTTCTTTGTTGTTAGTTCGTTCCCTTCCTCGATGGACAGAAGCTGACTTGTAGCGTGTGTCTACCAAAGGACAGGCAGAAGCAGGAGGATCTCGGCCATGATTAAGCGCCGGTGGAGACCCCTGACTCAATTCGGTTCATATACACGAGTCAATTTTTTTTTTTCTTTCCTCTTTTGCCTTTGAGTAATCTGTAATTTATTAGCGACATCTATAATTTATCTCACTTCTCCGGCCAGATCTTGCTTAGGCAAAACCGCAAACCTGAAGTTTGCAGAAATGACTCAGTGGTGACTAATTCCATTAGGAAAGCATTCTTCACAAAAGAGTTCACAGCAGGATTTCTTTAAATAGAAAACTTCCTCAGTGCACTGAAAACGATTCATTTTATATAAAACACATTTGGATACCGGATCCTCTTTTCTCTTCACTTTTTTTTTTGAGACTGAATCTTGCTCTGTCGCCTAGGCTGGAGTGCAGTGGTGCGATCTCGGCTCACTGCAACCTCTGCCTCCCGGGTTCAAGCAATTCTCCTGCTTCAGCCTCCCGAGTAGCTGGGACTTCAAGGGCCCGCCACCATGCCCGGCTAATTTTTGTACTTTTAGTAGAGACGGGGTTTCACCATATTGGCCAGGCTGTTCTGGGACTCCTGATCTTGTGATCTGCCCACCTCGGCTTCCCAAAGTGCTGGGATTACAGGCGTGAACCACCGCGTCCGGCCTATTGTTTTTGTAGTTGCATACAGACATAGTCAGGGCCACTGTGTACGATTGTGCAGGTTGTGCCCTGAACAAGTGTGCCTGGCCGAGGGCATGAGAATGGGGCTGAAGTCCGGCCTAGGCTGTGTTCTCCAAGTTGGAGGATAGGGCACCTTCTTCTAATTTGTCTTTTAGAGAGCATACTTCATTCTATTTGCATGAAGTTTCCGTGTGTGCCAGCTGTCTTCCTGCATACGATACTTTTAGTGTCAAAAATATAATCAGGCCTGGCGCGGTGGCTCACGCCTGTAATCCCAGCTCTCTGGGAGGCCGAGGCGGGTGGATCACCTGAGGTCAGGAGTTTGAGACCAGCCTGGCAAACATAGTGAACGCCCATCTCTACCAAAAATACAAAAATTAGCCCAGCATGGTAGTGGGCACCTGTAATCCCAGATACTCGGGAGGCTGAGGCTTGAGAATCACTTGAACCCAGGAGGCAGAGGTTGCAGTGAGCCGAGATCATGCCACTGCACTCCAGCTCAATGATAGGCCAAGACTGTCTAAAACAAAACAAAACAAAACAAATATATACACACACACACACACACACACACACACACACATACATACATACATATATAAAATCAGATACAGTTAGAAAAAAATTAAAAGTTCTTTGTCATACAGCAAGTCTTGATTCAGGAGATGTCAAATCAAGTGGTAAGAAGTTCTCTTACAGCAGTTAGGGCAAGTTTATAAGGCATAAAGGAGGAAGTATTTTGAGCTTTTTTGTGATTGGCTGTTTTACATTAACTTCTTTTTAAGGCAAATAGACCCGTTTAAGCTCATTTGTCTACAGCCGATTGGTTTAATTTCACTGAATCATGCTGACAAGGATGTAAAACTTACATTTTCATGTTTCATTTATGATTAGAGCTAGCATTTCAGGGGAATCAAGATGACAAACTTTGTGTGGTTATGGGTGGTTGGCCTTGGGTGGGGGGGATGAATCTAAACTATAGCCTTCATTTTAACGTTTTTTTGTTTGTTTGTTTGTTTGTTTGTTTGTTTGTTTTGAGACTGATCTCACTTTGTCTCCCAGGCTGTGGAGTGCAGTGGTGTGATCTCGGCTCGCTGCAACCTCCTCTTCCCAGGTTCAAGTGATTCTTGTACCTCAGCCTCCCGAGTAGCTGGGATTACAGGCGTGCGCCACTAAGCCTGGCCCACAATATGCTCTTAATTCCAGGAAGTGGCACAAAAATATACAGCCAAGGGGAAAAGTGTCTAAAGAGTTGAAATGTCCCATCTCATTGCTATTAGAAAAGCATGTTGAAACCATGCCTATCATTTATCCTCTTGTGAGCAAGAGACTTAATTTAATTTATTTTATTATTATTGTTATTATTATTTATTTATTTTTCTTTTTGAGATGGAGTCTCGCTCTGTCGCCCAGGCTGGAGTGCAGTGGCACGATCTCAGCTGACTGCAACCTCCGCCTTCCGGGTTCAAGCGATTCTTCTGCCTCAGCCTCCTGAGTAGCTGGGACTACAGGTGCATGCCACCATGCCCGGCTAATTTTTGTATTTTTAGCAGAGACGAGGTTTCACCATATTGGCCAGGCTGGTCTCGAACTCCTGACCTCATGGTCCACCTGCCTTGGCCTCCCAAAGTGTTGGGATTACAGGCGTGAGCCACCACTCCCTGCCCTTAATTTTATTTAAAAAAAATTTATTATTATTTTTTTCCCAAGATAGAGTCGTGCTCTGTCACCCAGACTGGAGTGCAATGGCATGATCTTGGCTCACTGCAACCTCCACCTCCTGGGTTCAAGCGATTCCCCTGCCTCAGCCTCCAGAGTAGCTGGGATTAAAGGCTTGTGCCACCATGCCCAGCTAATTTTTGTATTTTTAATAGAGATGGGGTTTCACCGTGTTGGCCAGGCTGGTCTTGAACTGACCTCAAGTGATCTGCCTGCCTCGGCCTCCCAAAGTGTTGGGATTACAGGCGTGAGCCACCGGGCCTGGCCAAAAAAGACAGTGATATTGAATGAAGTCTACTTAATAGTATTGTACCAATGTTAATATCATAGTTTTGACAAATGTGGCATGGTTATGTAAGACGCTCAGATTAGGGGAAGCTGGCATCGTACAATTTGCTTTCTTTCTTTTTTCTTTTTTTTCAGACGGAGTTTCACTCTTGTTGCCCAGGCTGGAGTGCAATGGCAATGGAGCGATCTCAGCTCACTGCAACCTCTGCCTCCTGGGTTCAAGTGATTCTCCTGCCTTAGCCTCCCGAGTAGCTGGGATTACAGATGCATGCCACCACGCCCTTTGTATTTTTAGTAGATATGGGGTTTCTCCATGTTGATCAGGCTGGGTTCGAACTACTGACCTCGTGAACCGCCCTCCTCGACCTCCCAAAGTGCTGGGATTATAGGCGTGAGCCACCGTGCCCAGACCAAAGTTTGCTTTCTTTTGCTTGCATAGCAGTGGTGCTGTTTCACCTTGCATGGTGGCCCAGTTAAGGGTTACTTGTCCCAGCCTTCATTGTAGCCAGGTGTAGCCATGGAGGGCACCGTCCGTCCAGTGAAAAATGAACAGTGATGAGGCATGGCATTTCTGGGTACGGGCCTTCTAACACCAAGTGTGGGCTACTCTGTGCTCTTTCTCCTCCATGGAGTAGAAACAGGGACATTCCTCCATCCCAGCATCAACCCTGCAACGGGGACAGTGCTCGAGGTGATGGCTGTTAGGAGTTACCTTGTGTCCCCTCAAAGATATGTCAAAGTCTTATCCCTCAGTGTCTGTGAATGAGACCTGATTTGGAAATCTATTTGCAGATATTACCAAGTTAAATGATGTCATTAAGGTGGGCCCCAGTCCAAAATGACTTCATTCTTGGATATTCTTGAAACTGCTACATTCTTGGGTCTCTGTTATATAACAGCTTAGTTTTTTTTTTTGAGATGGAGTCTCGTCCTGTCACCCAGGCTGGAGTGCAATGGTGCGATCTCGGCTCACTGCAACCTCCGCTTCCTGGGTTCAAGCGGTTCCCCTGCCTCAGCCTTCCGAGTAGCTGGGATTACAGGCACTTGCCACCACGTCTGGCTAATTTTTGTATTTTCAGTAGAGACAGGGTTTCGCCATGTTGGCCAGGCTGGTCTTGAACTCCTCAAGTGATCCTCTTGCCTTGGCCTCCCAAAGTGCTGGGATTACAGGCATGAGCTGCCTCGTCCAGCCACAGCTTAGTGTTTTTGTTTGTTTGTTTTTGGAAATATTGGACTAGTGTCTTTTATTTATTATTATTATTATTATTATTATTATTATTATTATTATTGTTATTATTTGTTTGTTTGGAGACAGAGTCTCGCACTGTCACCCAGGCTGGAGTGCAATGGCGCGATCTCGGCTCACTGCAACCTCTGCCTCCCGGGTTCACACAATTTTCCTGCCTCAGCCTCCTGAGTAGCTGGGGTTACAGGTGCCCACCACCACGCCCGGCTAATTTTTTTGTAATTTTTAATAGAGACGGGGTTTCACTATGTTGGCCAGACTGGTCTCGAACTCCTGACCTCGTGATCTGCTTGCCTCATCCTCCCAAAGTGCTGGGATTACAGGCGTGAGCCACCGCACCTGGCCTTACTATTATTATTATTATTATTATTTTTTTTTTTTTTTTTTTTTTTTTTTTTTGAGACGGAGTCTCGCTCTGTCACCCAGGCTGGAGTGCAGTGGCGGGATCTCGGCTCACTGCAAGCTCCGCCTCCCGGGTTCACGCCATTCTCCTGCCTCAGCCTCCCAAGTAGCTGGGACTACAGGCGCCCGCCACTACGCCCGGCTAATTTTTTTGTATTTTTAGTAGAGACGGGGTTTCACCGTTTTAGCCGGGATGGTCTCGATCTCCTGACCTCGTGATCCGCCCGCCTCGGCCTCCCAAAGTGCTGGGATTACAGGCGTGAGCCACCGCGCCCGGCCCTATTATTATTATTTTTAAAGCGACAGGGTTTCCCTGTGTTGCCCAGGTTGGAGTGCAGTGGCATGATCATGGCTTACTGAAGTCGCTAATTCCTGGGCTCTAGTAATCCTCCTGCCTCAGCCTCCCAAAAAGCTGGGACTACAGATGCACACCACTATACCTGGCTAATTTTTTATTTTTGGTAGAGACGGGGTATTTTTTATGTTGCTCAGGCTGGTCGTGAACTCCTGGCCTCAAGCGATCCTCCCGCCTTGGCCTCCCAAAGCTCTGGGGTTACAGGTGCCATCCACCATGCCTAGCCTGACTAGTGGCCACTTTACAGTAAGAGGAGATGACAGAGAGAGATAAAGGGAAGATGGCCATGTGAAGATGGAAGCAGAGATTAGAGTGATGCAACCATAAGCCAAGGAACGCCAGGGGCTACCAGAAGCTAGAAGAGGCAAGAAAGAGCCTGCAGAGGGAGTGTGGCCCTGCTGACACCTTGATTTCTGACTTCTAGCTACCAGAACTGTAAAAGAATACATTTCTGTTGTGTTAAGCCACCCAGTTGGTGACACTGTTATGGCAGCCCTCGGCAATGAAAACCTTGGTAGAACAAGAAATAGCAAGAAGCTACATCCCAAGTGACCCAACACAAAGACGCTCTTGGCCGGGCACGGTGGCTCATGCCTGTAATCTCAGCAGTGTGGGAGGCCAAGGCGGGTGGATCACCTGAGGTCAGGAGTTCGAGACCAGCCTGGCCAACATGTTGAAACCCCATCTTTACTAAAAATACAAAAATTAGCTGGGCATGGTGGCGGGCACCTGTAATCCCAGCTACTCGGGAGGCTGAGGCAGTAGAATCACTTGAACCCGGGAGGCAGAGGTTGCAATGAGGCGAGATTGTGCCACTGCACTCCAGCGTGGGCAACAGAGTAAGACTCTGTCTCAAAGAAAAAGAAATAAAAGAGACGCTTTCATGCCCTTTAGTATCACTTACCTCAAGGTAGTTACCTGAGAAAGATTCAAGCTTGGATGTTCTCTAAACTGCTCCCTTTTAGGGTCTCTTTAGTTTAGTTTAGGTTAGTTTTTTCTTTTTTTTTTGAGACAGGGTCTTACTCCTCAGTTACCCGGACTGGAGTGCAGTGGCACGATCATGGATCACTGCGGCCTCAACCTCCTGGGCTCAAGCGATCCTCCTGCCTCAGCTTCCCAAATAGCTGGGACCACAGGCACGCACCAGCATGCCTGGGTAGTTAAAAGAAAAATTTTTTTTCGTAGAGACAGGCGTCTTGCCATATTGCCCAGGCTTGTCTTGAACTGGTTTCACGCAATCCTCCTGCCTAGGTCTCCCAAAGTGCTGAGATTACAGGTGTGAGACACCGTGCCCAGCCAGCTTTATTATTATCATTATTTTTTTTGAGACGGAGTTTTGCTCTTGTTGCCCAGGCTGGAGTGCAATGGCGCGATCTTGGCTCACTGCAACCTCCGCCTCCCAGGTTCAAGCGATTCTCCTGCCTCAGCCTCCCGAGTAGCTGGGATTACAGGAGCCCACCACCACGCCCAGCTAATTTTTGTATTTTTAGTAGAGACAGGGTTCCTCCATGTCGGTCAGGCTGGTCTCGAACTCCTGACCTCAGGTGATCCACCCGCCTCGGCCTCCCAAATTGCTGGGATTGCAGTAGTGAGCCACTGCGCCTGGCCCATTATTTTTTTTTATACTCTACTAATAGACTTTGTGACATTGAACACTAATGTGTCTTTCTCCCGGAAGCTCCTCCTTCATTTTCCTTCTTCCTTTTCGGCTCTTTCCATCTGTTTTGGGAAAGTTAACTTTCTCCTGTCTTGGAACACCCCTTGTTGAGTACCCTATCTTTGTGACTGTCTGCTTTTGAGTACTGCTTTCGAGAGAGAATAGTAGAAGTTGTAAGAGACGTACGTGACAAATTTGGCATCCTGGAACACCAAGAGGATTACCAGTTTTTTAGAAAGCAGCATGAATCAACCTCAATTATTCGTAAGTAAAATTAGAGTAGTTTCAAGCTGTCACTTCTTTCTGTCCTACACACGTTATTCAAATAAGTTGGTGGAAGAATGTTGTTTGGGTTTACAATAGGGAATTATGGGGACATAAATCTGGGTCTAAATTAGTGAAATTTTAAATGGGAAATTGCTTAACTCTTAGAGGTGGCAGAGTGTAGTGATCGAGAGGGTAGAGTGTGACACTGGGTTGTCTGGTTGGAGCCTTACCTCTGCTATTTCTTGGCTGTGGGACCTTGGGAGAGCTCCTTAACTTCTCTGGTCCTGATATAGTTTGGATCTGTGTCCCCTCCAAATCTTATGTCAGAGTGTAGTCCCCAGTGTTGGAGGTGGGTCCTGGTGGGAGGTGATCAGATCATGGGGGTGGCAGTCTCATGGTTTAGTACCATCCTTCCAGTGCTACATAGTGTGTGGGTTATCATGAGATCTGGCTGTTTGGAAGTGTGTAGCACCTCCTGCCTCATTCTCTCTTCTTCTCTGTCCATGTAAGACGTACCTGCTTCCCCTTCCCCTTCTGCCATGATTCTAAGTTTCCTGAGGCCTTCCTAGAAGCCGAGCAGATGCCAGCATCATGCTCCCTGTACGGGCTATGGAACCATGGCTGTACCGCAGGTAAAAGAGCCAGTGAAACCTTTTTTCTTTATAAATTACCTAGTCTTAAGTATTTCTTTATAGCAATGTGAGAATGGACTAATACAGGGCCTCATCTCCTCATTTGTTACATGGGATTGTCTTAGGTCTTGGCTCACTGCAACCTCCGCCTTCTGGGTTCAAGGAATTCTCATGCCTCAGCCTCCGTAGTAGCTGGGATTACAGGCATATGCCACCATGCCTGGCTATTTTTTTTTTTTTCTTGAGGCAGAGTCTCGCTCTGTTGCCCAGGCTGGAGTGCAGTGGCATGATCTCGGCTCACTGCAACCTCTGCCTCCTGGGTTCAAGCGATTCTCCTGCCTCAGCCTCCCGAGTAGCTGGGACAACAGGCACACGGCACCACACCCGACTAATTTTTTGTATCTTTAGTAGAGACGGGGTTTCACCGTGTTAGCCAGGATGGTCTCGATCTCTTGACCTCAGGTGATCTGCCTGCCTTGGCCTCCCAAAGTGCTGGGATTACAGGTATGAGCCACCACACCTGGCCAAACAATTCTTTCTCTTTCTAACTGTGGCAAAATATACACAATATAAAATGTACCATCTTAATTTTTTTTGGAGATGGGGTCTCGCTATTGGGAGATGGGGTTGCCCATGGCGGTCTCAAACTCCTGTCCTCAAAAAGTCTTGGCCTCCTAGAGCACTGGGATTACAGGCATGAACCATCGCCTCCAGCCCATCTTAACAATTTGTAAGTGAACAGTTCAGTGATACTAAGTACATCACATTGTTGTGTAACCAGCACCGCTATCCTTCTCCAGGATGTTTGCATCTTTCCAAGCTGAAACTCTGTACCCATTGAGCAATAATTTCCTATTCCCTGCTTCCTCGCAGTCCCTGGAAAGCACCTTTTTGTCACTGTGAATTTGACTACTCTGCCTATGAGGTTATGCATTTCTGGCAGGAATTCCACAGAAATGATGCGTCCTTTTGAGTATAGCCTATTAGGGGACATGTGATACGATGTGCTGATGTTCACTGTGATCAATTACAGCCTGAAGTCTTTTTTCTTTTTTAGAGACAGGGTCTCACTCTGTTGTACAGGGTGAAATGCAGTGGTGTGATCATAGCTCACTCCAGCCTTGATCTTCCACCTCGGCCCCTGAGTAGCTGGGACTACAGGTGCATGCTACCACGCCTGACTTTTTAAAAATTTTTATTTTTAGTAGAGACAAGGTCTCCCTATGTTACCCAGGCTGGTCTTGAACCCCTGGGCTCAAGTGATCCTCCCACCTCAGCCTCCTAAAATGCTGGGATTACAGTCATGGGCTACCATGTCCAGCTCACCCTGGGGTCTTTAGCCCCAAACTTTTGGGCTGCCTTGAGGGGTTGGAGAAGGCTGAAGAAAGCCAAAAGATGTGTGGTCCAGGCTTGAGGTGGGACAAGTAAGTCAGGTCTCACAGGGAACTGTCTCCTGCAGATGCAGAGAGGGGACTTGCGGCACCAGAGGGACTGCTACAGTGAGGCGGTGATAAAACAGCCCATTAGGCCGGGCACGGTGGCTCACGCCTGTCATCCCAGCACTTTGGGAGGCCAAGGCGGGCGGATCACCTGAGGTCAGGAGTTCGAGACCAGCCTGGTCAACATGGTGAAACCCCATTTCTACTAAAAATACAAAAATTAGCCGGGGGTGGTAGTGCATGCCTGTAATCCCAGCTACTCCAGAGACTGAAGAAGGAGAATTGCTTGAACCTGGGAGGTGGAGGCTGCAGTGAGCTGAGATCACACCGTTGCACTCCAGCCTGGGTGAGAGAGCGAGACTCCATCTCAAAACAACAACAAGAACAAAAACAAAACCCTGGCCCATCAGCCCACAGGGCTATTGTCAGGATTAAGTGCATTAATGCAGTGCTTGGTACGTAGCAACTGTTCAGTGGGTGTTAGCCAGTTCTACAAGATTTCCAACAGCTGGCGATATCATTCTGAGACTATCAAGTCGCTCACCACTCCAGCTTGCCTGGTGATAGTACCTTTATTTCTTGGCATTTCCCAAGACTCGGGAAATTCAGCAGGCCTGCTGGCACTGAGACCAAATATTCTATGTCCCTCAAGAAATATTTCATAAATAGGACAGGGCAGGGTGGCTCATGCCTGTAATCTCAACACTTTGGGAGGCCAAGGGGGGAGGATCGCTCGAGCCCAGGCGTATGAGACCAGCCTGGGCAACATAGCGAAACCCTGTCTCTGAAAAAAAAAAAAAAATTAGCCAGGCGTGAGGGCACACAACTGTGGTCCCAGCAACTTGGGAGGCTGAGGCAGGAGGATCACTTGAGCCTGGGAGGTAGAGGCTGCAGTGAACTATGATTGCACCACTGCACTCCAGCCTGGGTGGCAGAGTGAGATCTTTTCTCAAAAAAAGGAGAGAAATATTTCTTTTTTTTTTTTTTTTGAGACAGAGTCTAGCTCTGTTGCCAGGCTGGGGTGCAGTGGCGTGATCTCGGCTCACTGCAACCTCCCCCTCCCAGGTTCAAGCGATTCCCCTGCCTCAGCCTCCCGAGTAGCTGGGACTATAGGTGTGTGCCACCATGCCCAGCTAATTTTTGTATTTTTAGTAGAGATGGGGTTTCACCATGTTGGCCAGGATAGTCTCGAACTCCTGACCTCATGATCCACCTGCCTCGGCCTCCCAAAGTGCTGGGATTACAGGCTTGAGCCACCACGCCCGGCTGAGAAATATTTCATAAGTCATAGAACTAAGGAAAGTATAATAACTGAAGTTCGAGAACTGAGGTACACCCTCCAGCTTCCTCATGACCATCACAATCCACTTCGCCTCATGGGGCAGTCTATTCTCCACACTGCAGCCAGAGGGAGCCTTTGTTTTTCCTTTTTAGCAAAACTTTTCAAATTTGTATATCAGTTTTTTTCTTTTTTAAATTGAGCCAGGCAGGGTGGCTGTTTTCTGTAATTTCAACACTTTGGGAGGCCAAGGCGGTAGGATCACCTGAGACTAGGAGTTCGATACCAGCCTGGAAAACACAGTGAGACCTCGTCTCTACAAAAAAATACAAAATATTAGCTGGGAGTGGAGGTGCGTGCCTGTAATCCTGGCTGCTCGGGAGGCTGAGGTGGGAGGATGGCTTGGGCCCAGGAGTTTGAGGCTGTTGTGAGCCGAGATCATGCTACTGCACTCCAGCCTGGGTGACAGAGAGAGACTCTGTCTCAATAAACAAACAAAGTTGAACTGAAATTCACAAAACATAAAATTAAGTTTTAGGTTGGGCGCGGTGGCTCACGCCTGTAATCTCAGCACTGTGGGAGGCTGAGGTGGGCGGATCACCTGAGGTCAGGAGTTCGAGACCAGCCTGGCCAATATGGTGAAACCCTGTCTCTACTAAAAATACAAAAAATTAGCTGGGCGTAGTGGCGGGTGCCTGTAATCCCAGCTACTTGGGAGGCTGAGGCAGGACTGGGCAAGAAGAGCAAAACTCCATCTCAAAAAAAAAGAAAAAGTTTAAAAAGAACAGTTCAGTGGCAGTACATTTGCAATGTTATGCAACCGCCACAACATTTAAAAACAAAAAACCACACACACACACACAAAATGAGACAAGTTCTCACTATGGTGCCTAGGCTGATCTCAAATTCTTGGGCTCCAGTGATCCTCCCGCCTTGGCCTCCCAAGTAGCTGAGATCACAGGCGGCTAACCACCTCTATTTAGTTTCAGAATATTTTCATTATCCCCAAAGGAAACCTGTTGTTGGTAAACTTGTGTTGAAGGCCATAGCCAGAACCCCTATAGTATGGGGGTTTCTGGGGAGGTGTTCTACGCATGGTTTTGTAGGGGCATCCTTTGCTGTGCCCTCATATTATTCTACTTTGCTTTCCTCCTCTTCCCATTTAGGCCTGAGCTGGGTAAACAATTAATTGAATCGCTCATCGATTTGTTCATGGATGGTCATTTATTTTGTGTCAGGCATTAGACCAGATGGTAAGGCTACCAGGATGGAATCACTTGCCCTTGCACTTAAGGTAGTTTCATTTGATAGAAGAGGGAAAAAAGAAGGCTGGGCGTGGTGGCTCACGTCTGTAATCCTAGCACTTTGGGAGGCCGAGGCGGGTGGATCACCTGAGGTCAGGAGTTCGAGACCAGCCTGGCCAACATGGTGAAACCCTATCTGTACCAAAAATACAAAAATTAGCTGGGTGTGGTGGTACATGCCTGTAATCTCAACTACTCAGGAGGCTGAGGCTGGGGAATTGCTTGAACTTGGGAGGCGGAGGCTGCAGTGAGCTGAGATAGTGCCACCGCACTCCAGCCTGGGCGACAGAGTGAGACTCCGTCTCAAAAAAATAAAAAAGGTTGTCGGCTGTGTTGTCTAGGCTGGTCTCGAACTCCTGGACTCAAGTAATTTTTATGCTTTGGCTTCCCAAAGGTGAAAGGCAAAGTAATCCTTGCCTGCTATGGTTACAGGCACGATCCACGGTGCCCGGCCATATTCCATGTTTGATAGCAGAGTAGAATGACTATACTTAAAAAAATGTATTGTACTTAGGTGACAGATACCCTGGATACCCTAAATACCCTGATTTAATCACTATGCATTATATACACATAAAAAATGTCTCAGTACACCATAATTTGCACAAATAAAAAAAGTATTCCTTCTCAGCCAGACACGGTGGCTCACGCCTGTAACCCCAGCACTTTGGGAGGCCGGAGGGGCGGATCACTTGAGGTCAGGAGTTGGAAACCAGCCCGGCCAACATGGTGAAACCCTGTCGCTACTAAAAATACCTGTCACGAGTAAAAATACAAAAATTAGCCAGGTGTGGTGGCACGTGCTTGTAGTCCCAGCTACTTGGGAGGCTGAGGCATTAGAATTGCTTGAACCTGGGAGGCGGAGGTTGCAGTGAGCCCAGATCGCACCACTGCACTCCAGCCTGCATGACAGTGAGAGACTTAGGTGATGGATACCCTAAATACCCTGATTTAATCACTATGCATTATATACATGTAAAACATTTCTCATGTACACCATAACTTGCAGAAAGAAAAAAAGTATTCCTCCTGTCTAACTGCAACTTACACTCTTAGACAAAAATCTCTCCACTTCCCACCACTCCCCATTCAGCCCCTGGTAATCATCATTCTTCTCTCTGCATCTTTGAGTTCAACTTTTTTAGATCTCATAGAGGAGTGAGAGCATGTGGAATTGGTCTTTCTGTGCCTGGCTTTTGCATTTAGCATAACATCCTTCAGCATTTCGCTTGCATGCTAATGTTGGCCTCGGTGCCTGGAATTCCATTGACAGATGCATGCTTGTGTCTGACAAGCTTCTCCCCAGAGAGCGCTTAGAGCTGCTCTCCCGATCTGAGGCATGATGCCCACGGGAGGGCACAAGAGCTCCGTCATTACATCTAGGTTTTAGGCGTTGCCTCAAGAGGAGCCTTTTATTTATTTATTTTTGAGACAGAGTTTTGCTCTGTTGCCCAGGCTGGAAGTGCAGTGGCACAATCTCGGCTCACTGCAACCTCCACCTCCCGGGTTCAAGCAATTCTTCTGCCTCAGCCTCCCGAACAGCCGGGACTTCAGGTGTGTACCACCATGTCCGGCTAATTATTTTTATTTTTTGTAGAGATGAGGTCTTGCTATGCTGCCCAGGCTGGCCTTGAACTCCTGGCCTCAAGTAATCCTCCCCACCTTGGTCTCCCAAAGTGTTGGGATTACAGGCGTGAGCCACCACACCTGATCCCACCTGGATTTTTTTAGAGGATAAATTGTATGTTTAGTCTTTGCCTTAGAATGGATACAGGTGGGACTGGCTGGCTCTCTAGGCATTCACTCATGTAAGGATGTTTTCCCATGGGTTTTCATGTCCTTAGCAACTTTGTTCTCTTTAATGTCTTCAATAGCCCCACTCATGAGTTGGGAGGACAGAAATTAGGCAGAGATAAAGGGGAACACATTGATTTGCTTTCTCTGTAAATTTTAATTAACACAGAAACTATTTTTAGAAAAATCACTAAACCAATCACTTCTCCAATTACTTCTCCTTTTGCCCTGAAAGTAGTTAACGATGGGAAATGGCTTTCCCCTAAGTCTCAATTCTTTTTTTCCTCCGCCTCTGTTTCACTCTGTTATTCTTGGGCTGTCTGCTTTTATTTGACATCATGTCCACTCCTGGTCTTTCCAAGTGTTCTCTTTTTTTTTTTTTCCTTTTTCTGAGATGGAGTTTCGCCCTGTCCCCCAGGCTGGAGTGCAGTGGTGTGATCTTGGCTCACTGCAACCTCCGCCTCCTGGGTTCAAGCAATTCTCCTGCCTCAGCCTCCTGAGTAGCTAGGATTACAAGCGTGCACCACCATGCCTGGCTAATTTTTGTATTTTTAGTAGAGATGGGATTTCACCATGTTGGCCAGGCTGGTCTTGAACTCCTGACCTTGTGATCTGCCTGCCTCGGCCTCCCAAAGTGCTGGGATTACAGGCGTGAGCCACTGCGCCCAGCCCCAAGTGTTCTCTTCGATTGCGTCTTCATTTTGCTTTTCTGATAGTTTATTTGGAAAATGGTTTCAGGAAGCAGTAACAGGGATATTGGAAGAGGCAGACAGGTTAGGAGGAAAAGCCAATGAAGAGTGCATTATTGAGCTACTCCTGCAAGTAAATGGTGCAGAAAAAAAGTCAGAATAGTCCCCCAAGCGGATGAGGGTGGGGAGTGACACATTCATTTATTGACTCTGCACTGGTTGAGCGTTACCTCCTCGGGGCTTTATCTCTTCCTAACTTCTGGCAGCATCTGCACGCAGACAGCCTTCAATAGCTGCAAAAAAGCTCCGAGGCAGAAAAATGAGTTGCTGTGGCTGATACTTGAGGTGGGAGGCAGTCTGGGTGCATGGAACTTCTGCCACTTCTACAGGCGTTAGCCACCTCACCCGGCCCAGGGCAGGGATTTTTGCCTGTTGTGTTTACTGCTTGCTACATTCCCATTGCCTTAGACAAAATCTGAGGACTTAAAACAATAAATCCTAAAGAAATGCTTGATGGATCCTAACTGCTAATGCTTTAGTTCAGGTCTTTGTGACTCATCTGGATGCTGTCGAAGAGACAGAGCTGGACACCGGTTAAAAGTGGTAAAGACAGTTTTATTCGGTACTATTGTAATAGGGGAAAAGAGACTTCAGCAGAGAAATGAGCTCAGTTTCCAAAACAGCAAAGACAGATTGGCATTTACAGCCGATGAGCAGAGTGAAGGGTTTAGTGGGTGAAAAATGACTAAGAGGAAACATCAAGCATAGGGGGATTCTTTTTTATTTTTAATAGAGACAGGGTCTTACTATGTTGCCCAGGCTGCTCTTGAACTCCTGGCCTCCAGCAATCTTCCTGCTTTTCCCTCCTAAAGTGTTGGGATTACAGGCATGAGCCACTGCACTCGGCAGATAGGGGGATTCTTGCCAAACCATTGTTGTAGACAATGTTTGTGTCTCCTTCAAATTCATGTTTTTGGTTTTTTTTTTTTTAATTTTATGGAGTCTCGCCCTGTTGCCCAGGCTGGAGTGCAGTGGCATGATTCTCAGCTTACTGCAACTTCCGCTTTCCGGGTTCAAGTGATTCTCCTGCCTCAGCCTCCCAAGTAGCTGGAATTACAGGCCCATGTCACCACGCCTAGCTAATTTTTGTAGTTTTAGTAGAGACAGGTTTTTGCCATGTTGGCCAGGCTGGTCTTGGACTCTTGACCTCAGGTGATCCACCTGCCGTGGCCTCCCAAAATGCTGAGATTACAGGCGTGAGCTACTGTGCCAGGCCCAAATTCATGTATTGAAACCTAATCCTCAATGTGATGGTGTTGGAGGCAGGGCCTTTGGGAGGTGATAAAGTTATGGGACTGGAGCCCTCAGGAATGGGATTAATGCCTCTATCAAACAGATCCCAGAGAGGTCCCTCAACCCTTCCACCATGTGGGGGCACAATGAAAAAATGGTCATCTATGAACCAAGAAGCAGATTCTCAGCAGGCACTGAATGCGCTGGTGCCTTGCTCTTGGACTTCCCAGCCACTAGAATTGTGGGAAATGAATTTCTGTTGCTTTTAAGCCACTCAATCTATGTTATTTTGTTAGAGTAGCCCAAATGGATTAAGATGCTAACTTAAGGATTCTTGCTGAAGGCTGGCCAGGGTGATAAAATATTAAGGATTGGGGTATAATTTAGCAGGATTCTTTGCCAAGACTGACAGAAGCAGGCTAAGGACAGGATCCAAGAATGATGCCTAGTTGAAAAGAGGAGTCATGGGTGGCTCATGCCTGCAGTCCTAGCACTTGGGGAGGCTAGTGTGAAGCTTGCTTGAGCCCTAGGAGTTCAAGACCAGCCTGGGAAAAATAGAGAGACCCCCATCTCTACCAAAAATAAAAATAAAAATAAAAAAATTAGGCGGGCATAGTAGTGCATGCCTGTGGTCCCAGCTACTCAAGAGGCTGAGCCAAGAGGATCGCTTCAGCTCTGGTGGTCGAGGTTACAGTGAGCGCTGTGATCACTGCTGCACTCTAGCCTGGGTGACAGAGTGAGACCTTGTTTCCCAAAAAAAAAGAAAGAAAGAAAAAGAGAGTCTTTATCAATGCTTTCATGGCCTCTTTTTTTTTTTTTTTTTTTTTTTGAGACAAGGTCTCACTTTGTTGCCCAGGCTGGAGTGCAGTGGCACGATCTCACCTCACTGCAACCTCTGCCTCTCAGGTTCAAGCAATTCTCCTGCCTCAGCCTCCCAAGTAGCTGGGACTACAAGTGTGCACCACCACACCCAGATAATTTTTGTATTTTTTTTTTTTTGAGACGGAGTCTCGCTCTGTTGCCCAGGCTGGAGTGCACTGGCGTGATCTCAGCTCACTGCAAGCTCTGCCTCCCGGGTTCACACCATTCTCCTGCCTCACCCTTCCGAGTAGCTGGGACTACAGGCGCCCGCCATCATGCCCGGCTATTTTTTTTTGTATTTTTAGTAGCGACGGGGTTTCACCGTGTTAGCCAGGATGGTCTCAATCTCCTGACCTCGTGATCCACCCGCCTTGGCCTCCCAAAGTGCTGGGATTACAGGCACCCGCCACCACGCCCGGCTAGTTTTTTCTGTATTTTTAGTAGAGTTGGGGTTTCACCATGTTGGCCAGGCTTGTCTCAAACTCCTGACCTCAAGTGGTCTGCCTGCCTCAACCCTCGAAAGTGCTAGTATTATAGGTGTGAGCCACAGTGCCCGGCCCTTTCATGGCCTCTTAACTGGAATTTTTGCATCATATCTCTCTTCCAATCCTCCACATACTACAGATGGATCTTCCTGAGGTGCAAATCTAATCAGATCATCTCCCTCTTTAGACAGGCTTGAATCAGATCTGGACTACATCTTCATTCTCATTTTTTGACACAAGTCATGCTCACTGTATGGGCCAGCCACACTGAACTATGGGCTATGTCGTTCATGCCCATGGGCCTCTGCATAACCTTTTCAACAGCCTTCACTTTCTCTTAACTGTCAGGTCAAGCATCACTTCTTTCTGGAAGTGTTTTCCAATCCTCCGAGTTAGGTCCACCCACTTCTATGAATTAATAGCATTTATCACAATGTCGTGATTGTTAGGTTTCTCCTCTAGGAGAAGTATAGCACAGTGCTGAGAGCCTAATGCCAGAGCCAATCTGGATTTGAATTCTGACTTTACTCCTTACTGGCCATTCACATAACCTGTGTGGTTCTGTTTACTTGGGTCTGCCACATAATGAATGCAGTATAAATGCTACTTATCATAGCAGTCAGCTATTGCTGCACAAGAAAAGAGACCCCAAAACTCAGTATCTTGAAATAACAATACCTTAAGCTTTTTTTCGTTTTTCATACAGGCATTCAAAGCTATGCCTTTTCCTCTCAGCACTGCTTTAGCTGCATCCCACAGCATTTTTTCAGGTATGTTCATTAGCATTCAGTTCAAAATATTTTCTTATTTCCACTGTGATTTTTTTTTTCTCTGACTTAGGAGTTATTTAGGGATGTGTGGTTAAATTTCCAAACAATTGTAAATTTCTAGTTATCTTTTTTGTTGTTGACTTCTAGTTTAATTCCACTGTGCTCATACTTTGTAGGATCTCAGTTCTACAAAATTTGTTGAGACTTGCTTGACAGCCCAGCATATGGGCTATTGTGATGGCTATTCCAAAAGTAGCAATCATTTATTTTTGCCCACATGTCTGAGGACTTGGCTGATGTGGGTGGGGACCAGCTGGACAGCTTTGATGCATGCTTTGGCCTCTCTCTGCAGGTTGGGTTTAGATCAATTCTGCATGTATTCATTCTTTTTTTTTTTTTCAGACATAGTCTCACTCTGCTGCCCAGGCTGGAGTGCGGTGGTGTGATCTCGGCTGACTGCAACCTCTGCCTCCTGGATTCAAGTGGTTCTCCCGCCTCAGCCTCCTGAGTAGCTGGGATTACAGGCACCTGCCACCACGCCCGACTTTTTTTTTTTTTTTTTTTTTGTAGAGATGGGGTTTCTCCATGTTGGCCAGGCTGGTCTGACACTCCTGACCTCAGGCGATCCGCCCACCTTGGCCTCCAAAAGTGCTGGGATTACAGGCGTGAGCCACTGTGCCTGGCTGGCATGTATTCATTCTGAGGCCTCGGCCAAAGGAATAATCATTCTTGGGAGGAAGCTTCCCTCATGATGATGACAGAGATAAGCCAAGTGGAGACATGGGAGGCTTCTTGAGGGATGCTTGGAACTGGTTACCTGTTGAGCAAAGCTGGTCCCACAGCCCAAACAGCCCAAAGTCAAGAGGCAAGGGTTCTGCTTTTGGTGAGAATAACAGCAAAGTCCCACGGCACACAGAGTGTGGATCTACAGAGGATTGAAAAAACTGGAACAATAATTCAAGCAGTGCCTGTAACCCCAGCTACTCGGGAGGCTGAGGTGGGAGGATCTCTTGAGCCCAGGAGTTTGAGGCTGCTGTGAGCCGTGATTGCACCACTGCACTCCAGCCTGGGCAACACAGCAAGACCCTGTCTCAAAAAAAAAAAAAAATTCAACCAAGCATATTATCACTACTTCCCCATTTCCCTTGCTGGACTACAAGCTCCCGATGGCAGGAACTGGGAGAAGCTACTGTGTTTTCCAGAGCTTGGAACATAAGCACTCCATGAATGCATACTGCACAAATCAGCTAATCACCGGAAGCCAGAGTATTTTGGCGCCCTGACAGACTTGGATTAGGTGATGTTGCTTCTCAGATGCTGAGAAAGTGTCCTGATGCCGCAGTTGAGTGCTGACCCAGATTTGGAAGGAGATGAAAGGAGTATGTTTTCATGCCTAGTTTCTGCCCTCCTCTTTCAGCTTCTCAAAGTCTCCACTCAACATTTAATCACTCCGGCATTTGTCTGACATGCTGTGAAAGGGTGTTTTGAACAGCTCTATTTCGGGATTTTGGCAACGTCACCTCCCCACCCATCAACTCCTTCCACTCAATCTGTTCCCACGAGGGCAGAGAAGTGTTACTTGTCCTGTTTGTTGACTGGGTTGGGGAGGGGGGCGGGGTGGTGGTGATGGTGCTAATTTGTCTTGCAGATGCCTCTGCCTGGACATCCTTGTTTTACTTCAATTTTTTTCTCACCAGCTTTAAAATATTCTAACAACCCACATTCCAAGATTCACATCTATCCCAAGGTTCCCTGGCTCCTAAATGGCTCATGCAAATCTTGAAGGAGTCTCTACTTTTTGAGGAGGAAAACAGCTCTTTAATCTGGACTCCACGATGTTGTTGAAAACACGCTTGCAGGTATCGTTGGAAATGGGGAGCATCTGGGGTTAACGTCTAAGTGGCAACCAAGTTGTTCCTGAGACTCTCAAATCTTCCTCTGTTTCCTTCATTAGGCTCTCAGGAGGAGGATGTTTTGATACTCAGAGTCCGTGCTTGAAATAATCAAAACACAGGCGATAGACTAGGTGGCTTCTTTTCTTTTCTTTTTTTTGAGACAGGGTCTCGCTCTGTCGCCCAGGCTGGAGTACACTGGTGCGATCTTGGCTCACTGCAACCTCTGCCTCCACGGTTCAACCAATTCTCCTGCCTCAGCCTCCAAGTAGCTGGGATTACAGGCATGGGCCACCACGCCTGGCTAATTTTTTGTACTTTGTAGAGACGGGGTTTCACTAGGTTGGTCAGGCTGGTCTTGAACTCCTGACCTCAGGTGATCCACCCACCTCGGCCTCCCAAAGTGCTGGGATTACATGTGTAAGCCACCGTGCCCAGCCCTTTTTTTTTTTTTTTTCAGACAGCGTCTTGCTCTGTCACCTAGTCTGGAGTGCAGTGGTGCGATCTCGGATCACCACAACCTCCGCCTCCCGGGTTCAAGCAATTCTCCTGCCTCAGCCTCCCGAGTAGCTGGGATTACAGGCGCCTGCCACCAGGCCCAGCTAATTTTTGTATTTTTAGTAGAGACGGGGTTTTGCCACGTTGGCCGGGCTGGTCTCAAACTCCTGACCTCAGGTGATCCACCCGCCTCGGCCTCCCAAAGTGATGGGATTACAGGCATGAGCCACCATGCCCGGCCGTGACTTATTTTTTCAATATTTTGTTTTGAAGATGTTCAAACCTGTAGAAAAATTACAGTACAATGAACACCTACAAACCCTTCACCTACACTCCTTAGTCGGTAACGTTTCCTACGTAGGTTCATCTGTTTCTGCCTGTCTCTTTCTACAGATATACACACAGATATGTATGTATATACATACACATACATTATTAGATATTTTGAGAGTTAGTTGCAGATATACTGATCCTTCACTCTCAAATACTTTAGTGTGCATCTCTTAAGAATCAGAACATTCTCTGGCTGGGCACGGTGGCTCACGCCTGTAATCCCAGCACTTTGGGAGGCTGAGGCAGGTAGATCACCTGGGGTCAAGAGTTTGAGACCAGCCTGGCCAACATGGTGAAACCACATCTCTACTAAAAATACAAAAATTAGCCAACCGTGGTGGTGGGTACCTGTAATCTCAGCTACTTGGGAGGCTGAGGTAGGAGAATTGTTTGAACCTGGGAGGCGGAGGTTGCAGTGAGCTGAGATTGCACCATTGCACTCTAGCCTGGGCGACAGAACGAAACTCTGTCTCAAAAACAAAAAAGAATGAGAACATTCTCTGACATGATTACAAAATAATCAATTTCAAGAAATTGAACGTTGAGGCCGGGTGTGGTGGCTCACTCCTGTAATCCCAGCACTTTGGGAGGCTGAGGCGGGTGGATCACCTGAGGTCAGGAGTTTGAGACCAGCCTGGCCAACATGGCAAAACCCTGTCTCTACCAAAAATACAAAAATTAGCCAGGTGTGGTGGGGTGCGCCTGTAATCCCAGCTACTCGGGAGGCTGAGGCAGGAGAATGGCTTGAACCCAGGAGGTGGAGATTGCATTAAGCTGAGATCAGGCCACTGCACTCCAGCCTGAGTGACAGAGTGAGACTCCATCTCAAAAAAAAAAAAAAAAAGGAAGAAAAAAAGAAAAAAGAAGAAAGTTAGTGGCAGAAGACACAATGCCTGTTATCCCTCAATACTTCAGAGTTTTGTCCCTCAATACTTCCGAGTTTGTCCCTCAATACTTCAGTTTGTCCCTCAATACTTCAGAGTTTGTTTCCTAAACCCAAGAGCATTCTTTTGCAAAACCATTAAACAATTGTCAAAACGAGGAGAAGAAATTTGCTCTAATACAACCATCTAATGCCCAGACCTTGTTCATAATTTGCCAATAGCCCCAATATTGTCCTTTAGGGCATAAAGGTCCAATTCAGAGTCATGGGTTGTATTTAGTTGTGAGGTCCCTTCAGCTTCTTTCAGCGTGGGATCATTCCCCTGCCTTTCCTCATCTTCTATGACCTTGATGCTTTTAAAGAGTTTGAAGGCGACCAGTCGCGGTGGCTCATGCTTGCAATCCCAGCACTTTGGGAGGCTGAGGTGGGTGGATCACTTGAAGTTAGGAGTTTGAGACCAGCCTGGCCGACATGGTGAAACTCTGACTCTACGAAAAATTAAAAAATTAGCTGGGCACGGTTGCACGTGCCTGTAATCCCAGCTACTTGGGAGACTGAGGTGGGTGAATTGCTTGAACCTGGAAGGCAGAGGTTGCAGTGAGCCGAGATCACACCACTGCACTCCAGCCTGGGTGACAGAGTAAGGCTCTGTCTCAAAAAAAACAAAAACAAAAAAACCCCAAAAAACCCAAACCTACAGAGCCCCTCAGCAAAGCCCTGGTATTAGGACTATAGCGGCTCCCCATTATCTGAGGGACAATATATTTATTCCGAGAGTCCTAGTGGGTGCCTGAAACCACAGATAGTACCAGACCCTATATATACTGTGTGCTTTCCTATGCATACATGCCTAGGATAAAGTTTAACTTATAAATTAGGCACTGTAAGAAAATTAACAGGCCAGGTGCACTGGCTCACGCCTCTAATTCCAGCACTTTGGGAGGCCGAGGCGGGTGGATCACGAAGTCAGGAGATCGAGACCATCCTGGCTAACACCATGAAACCCCGTCTCTACTTAAAAAATACAAAAAAATGAGCCGGGTGTGGTGGCGGGCGCCTGTAGTCCCAGCTACACGGGAGGCTGAGGCAGGAGAATGGCGTGAATCCGGGAGGCGGAGCTTGCAGTGAGCCGAGATCGCGCCACTGCACTCCAGCCTGGGAGACAGAGCGAGACCCCGTCTCAAAAAAAAAAAAAAAAAAAAGAAAATTACAGCAATGACTGAAAATACAATAGAACAATTGTAGCAAATAATTACAGTTATGTGAATGTGGTCTCTCTCAAAATATCTTATTGTACGGTATTCACATATTTTCAGACTACAGTTAACCGCAGGTAGCTGAAGCTACAAAAAGTGAAACCACAGATAAGGTGGTGGTGGGGAGACTGGTGCGTTCCATGAAGTTGATGTCAAAATCCAGAAGACTGGGGCATGCAGATTGTAAGATCTGTGGATGGAGAGAATTCTAGAGGCTGAGGAATGGAATTTGAACCCAAATAGGATATCACAGAAAGGAAGAAAGAAATGAAAACCTACCCCAAAGTCAAACTGAGATATTTCAAAGTCACATCCTCCAAAAGTTCTAAAAGTTTGATATTCCAAAACAAGTCTTTTATTTATTTACTTTTAAAGGCGGGGGTCTTGCTCTGTTGCCTGGGCAGCAGTGCAGTGGTACAATCATGGCTCACTGCAGCCTCGACCCCCCGGGGCTCAAATGATCCTCCCACCTCAGTCTCCCAAGTAGCTGGGACCACAGGTGTGCACCATCATGCCCGGCTAATTTTTAAATTTTTTGTAGAGATGAGGCCTCCCTATTCTGCCCAGGGTGGTCTTGAACTCCTGAGCTCAAGTGATCCTCTCACCTCGGCCTCCCAAAGTGCCAGGATTACAGGTATGAGCCACTGCATCTGGCTTGTTTTTGTTATTTTCGATCACCACTTCTCACATTTTACATTTTAGGATGATAGCTGCATTTTTATTTTATTTTATTTTTTAAAAATTTATTATTATTATTATTATTATGAGATAGATTTTTGCTCTTGTCACCCAGGCTGGAGCGCAATGGCGAGATCTCCGCTCACTGCAACCTCCGCCTCCCCGGTTCAAGCAATTCTCCTGCCTCAGCCTCCCGAGTAGCTGGGATTACAGGCGTCTGCCACCATGCCCGGCTAATTTTTTGTTTTTTTAGTAGAGATGGGGTTTTGCTGTGCTGGCCAGGCTGGTCTTGAACTCCTGACCTCAGGTGATCTGCCCGCCTCGGCCTCCCAAAGTGCTGGGAATACAGGGGTGAGCCACTGTGCCCGGCCGATAGCTGCATTTCTATGCATTACAAATTTGTTGCAATGGTTTGTTTGGGCAAAGGAAATCATGCACGGCAGAGAAAATCAGGCTGTTAAAAAAGTCCAATGTTGCTAAATTTAATATATGTAAACCTCTAGGACTGTGCCTGAGCTGTTATGATAATTATTTTTCTTTTGCAAAAGTTTTTTTTTTTCTTTTAACTTCTTATCCTGCTCCAGGCATTTAGGCATTCACACGAAATGTCTGTGTGCCAACCTTTCATGTTCTAATTTGATGAATGTGACCTTTCAAACTGAGGACACAACCCAACAGGGGAGAGGAGAGGAAAAACTGGAAGTAAATTTGGATATAATCAGTTGTGGGCGCAGAGAACCGTTTCTGCGCTAAGGACAGACCAAACATAAGCAAACAGGCCATTTGTTAATTTCAGTGAGTTTGTTGGCAGAAAGAGGCAGGAGGGTGTTGCCAAAATCTCTTCCAAGTTTAAATTTAGGACAGCAGGTTCCCCAGGAGTGGGGAAGTTTTAGAATCCTTGCTCCCATTCTCACTGTAACTTTTTTGTGATCTTCAGGGGTTGCCACATGGAGGGAATTAATTCCAAATTTTCCTCTCTGCTTCTCTTCCCCAAATTATCATCCAGACTGAAACTAGAATTAGCGTGTTTTTTAAAAAGAATTATTTATTTATTTATTTTTGAGACAGAGTCTCGCTCTGTCGCCCAGGCTGGAGTGCAGTGGCGTGATCTCGGCTCACTGCAACCTCAGCCTCTTGGGTTCAAGTGATTCTCCTGCCTCAGCCTCCCAAGTAGCTGGGATTACAGGTGTCTGCCACCATGCCGGGCTAATTTTTGTATTTTTAGTAGAGATGGGGTTTCACCATGTTGGCCAGGCTGGTCTCAAACTCCTGACCTCAGGTGATCCGCCTGCCTCAGCCTCCCAAAGTGCTGGGATTACAGGCGTGAGCCACTGTGCCTGGCTCTTTTTTTTTTTTTTTTTTTTTTTAAAGAGAGGGTCTCACTCTGTTGCCCATGCTAGAGCGCAGTGGTGTGATCATAGCTCACTGCAGCCTTGAACTCCTGCACTCAAGGGATCTTCCTTCCTCAGACTCCTGAGTAGCTGGGACTACAGGCATGCGCTGCCACACTGGGCTAATGAAAACATTCTTTTTTGTAGAGATGGGTGTCTCACTATGTTACTCAGGCTGGTCTTTAACTCCTGGCCCCAAGCGATCCTCTCGCCTTGGCCTCCCAAAGTGCTGGGATTATAGTCATGAGCCACCTTGCTTGGCCAAAAATTTTTTTTGATGAGGGGATAGATTGCAGAGACCTTTCCATCCAGCCTTCCAAATGGGGAAACTGCGTCTTACATGGGCGGAGTGACTTATGTACATCACTGCTAGGAGAGGCTCTTAGCTATATCCTCTTTACAAAGAAGCTTGATATTCATCACATAATAAATAAATTTTCCACAAGGCAAGGTGGCTCACTCCTGTAATCTCAGCATTTTGGGATGCTGAGGTGAGTGGATCACTTGAGCCCAGGAGTTCAAGACCAGCCTGGGCAACATGGTGAAACCCTGTCTCTACAAAAATACAGAAAAATTAGCTGGGTGTGGTGGTGTGTGCCTGTAGTCCCAGCTACTCAGGAGGCTGAAGCAGGAGGATTGCTTGAGCCCAGGAGATTGGGGCTGCAGTGAGCTGTGATTGCACCATCGCACTCCAGCCTGGGCAAAAGAGTGAGACTCTGTCTCAAAATTGTTTTTCTTCTCAAACAAATGGGATCAGCAAAGTGCTGCCTACCTATCTTTGGTAGTTCTTTGCTAAGTTCTGTGAGTTCCCCTCAGAAAATGAATTATGCAAATTGTAGCTGGGGATAATGACATGTAATGTTTGCAAGATTCCCTGAGAATTCATCCTTTTTCCAGAAATGATGCTTGCTAGACAGCATAAGGCTATATTCAGTACCAATAACAAACAAATCAGAAACTTCGGTAGCTTTATACAGCACAAGTTTGTTTCTTATTCCTGTAAGCTAGTTAGCAGGGGCTCGCCTCCAAGCGGTGATGCAGAGATCCAGTCTTCCTCCATTTTGCAACAGCACCATCTCTCACAAGGCTTCCAAAATCACCTCAGGGAGGAAAGAGAAGGACAGAGGAATGTATCAGCTCTTAACTGCCTCATCCCAGTGGCGATAATCCATTGGCTAGAATGAGTCATATGGGTCTGTCTCATCTGCAAGGGATTCTGGGAAATGTAGGGGAACATATAGGTGAGCACCAACACATGGCTTATTATTTCTACTGGAAAGTAGAGAGAGACTTGCCTTTTAGGACCTTGAATATGGCAAGATAATTATGTTTGGATATCACCAGCATAATAAAAGGGCAGAACACTTTTTCTTTTCTTTTTTTCCTTTGAGCAGTGTCTCACTCTGTCACCTAGGTTGGAATGTAGTGGCACGATCCTGGCTCACTGCAGTCTTGAATTCCTGGGCTTAAGCAATCCTCCCGCCTCAGCCTCCTGAGGAATTGGGATTACAGATGGGCACCAACACCCCTGGCTAATAATTTTTTTTTTTTTTTTTTTTTGTACAGACGGGGTTTTACCATGTTACTCAGGCTGGTCTGGAACTTCTGGGTTCAAGCGATCCTCCTGCCTTGGCCTCCCAAAGTGTTGATATTACAGGCTTGAGCCACCAAACCCAGCCACAGAACATGTTTCCCTTTACATAAAGCCATTTAGACTTGCTATTGATCTTGACCGTACATAGCTGGCAAATCCTGTGTCTTCCACAAGACCAAGTAAACCACATTTGTTTGAGGGTGATGTCCTGCTCAGAGATTTAAACCCCTGGCTTTCAGCAGAGGGTGAATACAATGAGGGTGAGTCAGTCAGGATAGGCTAAATTTTAGGGGCGTTAAAGCAACAAAGATTTATTTCTATCCCATTCCACCCATTTCAGTTACCTATTGCTGAGTAACAAACTGTCCTAGAACTCAGAGACTGAGAACAATGATGATGATTTCTCATGACTCTATGGTTGGCTGAGCTCAGCTGGGCAGTTCTTCTGTTCCGTGTGGTGTAGGCTGAAGTCCCTCATTGGAAGGTGAGAGAGCTGGGGCATTTATCCACCAACTTTTGTCAGTTACTAGTTGAGAGCTGCTCTCAGGGGCATTCATTCTGTGGCCTACAGGTGGCAAAGCAGGTCTCAACAGCAAACAAAAGACCCCAGTTTTGGCACTTGGGAAGCAGTCTGGTTTGCAGACTGTGAAGAGGTAAGGGCAAGGGGGCATGGCTAGAATTCCTGTGCAATTAGTAAAAACCAGATGGAAAATGCAGCATGGTTATTGTGGCAGAGACTGCTAATTGCAGTCTCAGTATTCATCTTCATTCTTCTTTCCCTCCCTCCCTCCCTCCCTCCCTCCCTTTCTTCCCTCCTTCCTTCCTTCCTTTCTTCCTTCCTTTTTGAGACAGGGCCTCACTCTGTTACCCAGGCTGGAGCACAGTGGCGTGATCTTGGCTCACTGCAGCTTTCATCTCCCCAGCTCCAGTGATCCTCCCACCTGAGCCTCCCGAGTAGCTGGGATCACAGGTATGCACCACTATGCCCTGCTGGTTTTTATTTTTTGTAGAGAAGGGGTCTTACTATGTTGCCCAGGCTGGTCTAAAACTCCTGGGCTTAAGCAATTGTCCTGCCTCAGCCTCCCAAAGTGTTGGGATTACAGGTGTGAGCCACCGTGCCTGGCTCTATTCTTCTTTTTAACAGAACCCCTACCTTCATATTTATTGGGGGTAACAATGTGCTCAGCTAAAAGACTACATTTCCTAATTTAATGCAGATAGCAGTGGCCCAATGAGCTGTAAGCAGAAGTTATTGAATGAGGCTTTTTTTTTTGTTTGTTTTTGTTTTTGTTTTTTTTTTTTTTTTTAAATTTATTTTTTTATTGATAATTCTTGGGTGTTTCTCACAGAGGGGGATTTGGCAGGGTCATGGGACAATAGTGGAGGGAAGGTCAGCAGATAAACAAGTGAACAAAGGTCTCTGGTTTTCCTAGGCAGAGGACCCTGCGGCCTTCCGCAGTGTTTGTGTCCCTGATTACTTGAGATTAGGGATTGGTGATGACTCTTAACGAGCATGCTGCCTTCAAGCATCTGTTTAACAAAGCACATCTTGCACCGCCCTTAATCCATTTAACCCTGAGTGGACACAGCACATGTTTCAGAGAGCACAGGGTTGGGGGTAAGGTCACAGATCAACAGGATCCCAAGGCAGAGGAATTTTTCTTAGTGCAGAACAAAATGAAAAGTCTCCCATGTCTATTTCTTTCTACACAGACACGGCAACCATCCGATTTCTCAATCTTTTCCCCACCTTTCCCGCCTTTCTATTCCGCAAAGCCGCCATTGTCATCCTGGCCCGTTCTCAATGAGCTGTTGGGCACACCTCCCAGACCGGGCGGTGGCCGGGCAGAGGGGCTCCTCACTTCCCAGTAGGGGCGGCCGGGCAGAGGCGCCCCTCACCTCCCGGACGGGGCGGCTGGCCGGGCAGGGGGGCCGACCCCCCCACCTCCCTCCCGGACGGGGCGGCTGGCCAGGCAGAGGGGCTCCTCACTTCCCAGTAGGGGCGGCCGGGCAGAGGCACCCCTCACCTCCCAGACGGGGCGGCTGGCCGGGCGGAGGGCTGACCCCCCCCCACCTCCCTCCCGGACAGGGCGGCTGGCCGGGCGGGGGGCTGACCCCCCCACCTCCCTCCCGGACGGGGCGGCTGGCCAGGTGGGGGGCTGACCCCCCTACCTCCCTCCCGGACGGGGCGGCTGGCCGGGTGGGGGGGCTGACCCCCCCATCTCCCTCCCGGACGGGGTGGCTGGCCGGGCTGAGGGGCTCCTCACTTCCCAGTAGGGGCGGCCGGGCAGAGGCGCCCCTCACCTCCCGGACGGGGCGGCTGGCCGGGCGGGGGGCTGACCCCCCCACCTCCCTCCCGGACGGCACGGCTGGCCAGGCGGGGGGCTGACCCCCCCACCTCCCTCCCGGATGGCACGGCTGGCCGGGTGGGGGGGCTGACCCCCCACCTCCCTCCCGGATGGGGCGGCTGGCCGGGCGGGGGGCTGACCCCCCCCCACCTCCCTCCCGGACGGGGTGGCTGCCGGGCGGAGACGCTCCTCACTTCCCAGATGGGGTGGCTGCCGGGCGGAGAGGCTCCTCACTTCTCAGACGGGGCAGCTGCCGGGCGGAGGGGCTCCTCACTTCTCAGACGGGGTGGTTGCCAGGCAGAGGGTCTCCTCACTTCTCAGACGGGGCGGCCGGGCAGAGACGCTCCTCACCTCCCAGACGGGGTCTCGGCCGGGCAGAGGCGCTCCTCACATCCCAGATGGGGCGGCGGGGCAGAGGCGCTCCCCACATCTCAGACGATGGGCGGCCGGGCAGAGACGCTCCTCACTTCCTAGATGTGATCGCGGCTGGGAAGAGGCGCTCCTCACTTCCTAGATGGGATGGCGGCCGGGAGGAGACGCTCCTCACTTTCCAGACTGGGCAGCCAGGCAGAGGGGCTCCTCACATCCCAGACGATGGGCGGCCAGGCAGAGACACTCCTCACTTCCCAGACGGGGTGGCAGCCGGGCAGAGGCTGCAATCTCGGCACTTTGGGAGGCCAAGGCAGGCGGCTGCTCCTTGCCCTCAGGCCCCGCGGGGCCCGTCCGCTCCTCCAGCCGCTGCCTCCCGGGCGGCGCTCGCCGGCGCGGCGGCAAAGACTGAGACAGCTCCGCTGCCCGCTGAAATCCATCCTCCCGGCGGTCGGGCGGTGGCGGCTGCGGTCGGTCGCGGCAGCGGCTCCGCTTCATATCTGCAGCTGGGGCCCGCGGGCGTCAGCGCCGCGACTGTCCCGGCTCCGCACTGCCCCGGGCCGCAGCGCAGCCGCGCCAACCACCAGCCACGGCCACCATGGCCGGACGGGCTCCCTAAGCCACCGACCCCAGCCCGCGGCGCCTTCGACCCTTCTGGGGCCTCCGGCGCCGCGACCTCGTCTGCCTGAAATTTCTTTTTTCTTTTCCTTTTATTTTATTTTATTTTTTGAGACGGAGTCTTGCTCTGTTGTCTGGGTGGAGTGCAGTGGTGCAATCTCGGCTCACTGCAACCTCTGCCTCCCAGGTAAAAAACCTCATTTCGAGACAGGGTTTCATTCTGTTGGCCAGGCTGGAGTGCAGTGGTCTGATCATAGCTCATTACAGCCTTGAACTTCTGGACTCACGCAGTCCTCCTGAGTAGCTGGGACTACATTAATTACCACACCTAGTATTTTTTTTTTATTTTTATTTTTTGTAGCAACAGGGTCTCGCTGTGCTGCCCAGGCTGGGTTTGAACTCATGGCCTCAAACACTCTTTCTGCCTCAGCCTCCCAAAGTGCTGGGATTACAAGCATGAGCCACTGTGTCGGGCCAGCATTCCACTTTGATAATAGACCTGTGGAAAAGGCCCATGCAAGTCCTGAATGTGGGCATGGATTCAATTAAGTAGGGAATTCCAGGATCCTGGATACCTAGAATATCTGAATGAGGCTTTTAATAAACTCTTTAATGATGATGGCTCAGTTGAGAAGTGTACCCTTTAGCCCTAGCCGCTTTCCTCTTAATATTGTCTGGGACATGGATATGATGGCTGGTGCTCTCGCAGCCATTTTGTGGTCATGAGGCAACCTTGAGGATGGAAGCCAAGGATGACAGAGCAGAAAGTTAGAAGGCCTTAAGGTCCTTGATAATTGTGGAGCTGCCTTGCCAGCCATGAACTGAACTACTGTGGTACACCTACATGGCAGAAAAATATACCTCTGCCCTGTTTAAGCCACTATTATTTTTCTCTTCTATGCAGCAGAATTGAATTCTAACTGATACATGTATTCACATGCTGAAAGGGAAAAAAATGACTATTACTAAAATACTTCCTCTTCCCTCTTTTTCTCTCCTCCTCCTTCTATTCTTTTCCCTCCCGCTCCTTCTATTCTTTTCCTCCTCCTCTTTCTTCTTTGCTAAAATGTGCTTAAAGGGTCTGGATATTCTGGCCGGGCACGGCGGCTCATGCCTGTAATCCCAGCACTTTGGGAGGCTGAGGCGGGCAGATCACTTGAGGCCAGGAGTTCGAGACCAGCCTGGCCCACGTGGTGAAACCCCATCTCTGCTGAAAATACAAAAAATTAGCCAGGCGTGGTGGCACATGCTTGTAATCTTGTAATCCCAGCTGCTTGGGAGGCTGAGGCAGGAGAATTGCTTGAACCCAGGAGGCAGAGGTTGCAATGAGCCGAGATGAGCCAATGCAGTCCAGCCTGGGCGACAAGAGTGAAATTCCATCTCAAAAAACAAAACAAAACAAAAAACAAAAAGGGTCTGGATACTCCTTGCTGAGTTGTGGCTAGAATCAAGTTAGACAACGGTCTTGGGGCCCATGAAATAATGCCTAGCACCTAGAAAGGACCCAGAAATTAGCAGTTGTTACTATTCTAAAATAGAATAAGTCAGAAATTACGCTTCCTGGTAATGGAATACTTTTCAGTGCGCTATGCTCCGTATTTTGATTAATCCGTGGCTCAGTGCGACTCTCCCAGGGGAAATAATGAACCATATTTTGCTTTTCAAACATCCCTGGCATTTAGCTATTTATTCTTGTTATGTGAAACCCCTAGACGGTCTGCTTATTTAATTGCCCTGATTGGAGCTGTAAGAAATTACGTTGAACATCTGTAAGCAAGGTTTTTATGACACAGGCTTTTGACTAACAGAAGAGAATGTTATGGTCCCCATTTTGACTAGGGAGAGCCTCTTTCAGTTCGTTCCCATGTTCATCTGACAAAAACACTCCTTTAGTCTTTAAAGGCGTTTTCCTTGTTTTCTGATACAAGTAGATATTCTGAACTCTGCCTGTTCATTTCCAGGGCACAGATTTTTGTTTTGGTCGTTCTTGTAGTCTCAGGGCTGAGAACAGAGCCTGACACTGACTGACTGACTGACTGACTGACTGAATGAATGAATGAATTTTTGCATTTCACTCCTTCCTCTGCTTCTTCCCCCATAACTCAATTTTCACCATTGATTAAGTCAGAAATCAGAACTGAGACATTACTGGGCCACTCCAAAGGCTCTCTGAGGTGCCACCTGCCCCCCGACACCCCTTCATTGCAGCTCAGCCCAGCTGGGCCCCAACTCCAGGATCCTAAGGCTAAAAATACCTCAGTGCAGCCTTAACAGCTCCCAGCATCCTGGCTATTTTTAGGATACAGGAAAGGATGAGGGATAAATGTGACTGAGGGTCACCTCCAGGGAGGAACATCTCCTTCCACCATCCAGAAATGGCCACACCTGGGAAAGACTCAAATCCAAGAAGTAGATGATCACACGATATGCTTTCCTTCAATTCTGGATTTTGAATGCCTGCCGGGCAGCTGGCATGCTCTGCTGGAGATGAAAGGAAACAGTGTTGCAGAGTCAAATCAGAGAAGCCACGAAGATTCTATGCAGCCTCTGAACTTTTATTACCAACTGCTGAGCAGTAGTTATTGGATAACTCAAGGAATACAATTGTCCCTTAGTGTCCAAGGAGGATTAGTTTCAGGACCCCTGCAGATACCAAAATCTGTGGATGCTCAAGTCCCTGACATAAAACAGCATAGTATTTGCATATAAATTATGCATATTCGTCTATATACTTTTTTTTTTTTTTTGAGATGGAGTTTTGCTCTTGTCGCCCAGGCTGGAGTGCAATGGTGCGATCTCGGCTCACTGCAACCTCTGCCTCCCGGGTTCAAGTGATTCTCCTGCCTCAGCCTCCTGAGTAGCTGGGATTACAGGCACCCACCACCATGTCCAGCTAATTTTTTTTGTATTTTTAGTAGATACAGGGTTTCACCATGTTGGCTAGGCTGGTCTTGAACTCCTGACCTCAGGTGATCCACCCACTTCGGCCTCCCAAAGTGCTGGGATTGCAGGCATGAGCCATGGTGCGTGGCCTCCGTCTGTATACTTTATTTTAATTTTATTTTATTGAGATGGAGTGTCCCTCTGTCGCCCAGGCTGGAGTGCAGTGGCTCGATCTTGGCTCACTGCAACCTCTGCCTCCTGGGCTCAAGCAATTCTCCTGCCTCAGCCTCCTGAGTAGCTGGGACTACATGCGCCCGCCACCATGCCCAGCTAATTTTTGTATTTTTAGTAGACATGGGGTTTCACCATGTTAGCCAGGCTGATCTCGAACTCCTGACCTCATGATCCGCCTGCCTCGGCCTCACAAAATGCTGGGATTACAGGCGGGAGCCACCATGCCCGGCCCTTGCCTGCTTCTTTCTTTGGAAATCACAATAAAGACCTTTGCCTATGTTTTCCCCACTACCTCTGCCTCCTGACCAACCCTGGTGCTTTCTCATGTGTCCCTGTATGGCATGGAGTGCCCCGTCCTCTCGGGAAGAGTGAATAACAAACTTTTGTGTTTTCTAATGGCAGTCATATCCTGATCTGTTGGCCTCACCATACATGAATAATAATAAAACGTATTTTTTATTTTTATTTTTATTTTTATTTTGAGGCAGAGTCTCACTCTGTCACCCAGGCCAGAGTGCAGTGGTGTGATCTTTGCTCACTGAATCCTCCACCTCCTGGGCTCAGGCGATCCTCCCACCTCAGCCTCCCGAGTAGCTGAGACCACAGGTGCTGCGCCACCAATGCCTGGCTAATTTTTTGTATTTTTTTGGTAGAGACAAGGTTTTGCCATGTTGCCCAGGCTGATCTTGAACTCCTGAGCTCAAGCTATACGCGTGCCTCAGCCTCCCAAAGTGCTGCGATTACAGGTGTGAGCCACTGCTCCTCGCCCTCAAAAATCATATGTTTTATTTTATTTTTTGAGATGGAGTTTTGCTCTTGTTGCTCAGCCTGGAGTGCAATGGCGCGATCTCCAACTGCAATTAACTAGGTATAGTGGCGCACGCCTGTAGTCCCAGCTACTCAGGAGGTTGAGGTAGGAGAATCGCTTGAACCCGGGAGGCGGAGGTTACAGTGAGCTGAGATTGCACCACTGCACTCCAGCCTGGGTGACAGATCAAGACTCTGTCTCAATAAATAAAATAATAAATAAATAAATACATTCTTTATGGTTACCTTGAAAATTGTCTTCTGGAAAAGCCTTGTTAATGCCCAGTTATTTACAGATTATTTCACTGCAAATTTCAGATGGCAGGGTATATCAGTCAAGGTTTTTGTTTGCAACAGGAGTGAGTTCTGTGGATCTTCAATTTAAGGAATGGGTTTTATGGAAACAAGTGCAGATGTTCACAGAATAGACAAGAAGCTGCAAAAACAGGCTTGGAGGAAGGGCATAAATTCTGGGAGCTCTGGGGGTCTAGTGAATACCATGAAGGTTATAAATTGTTGTAGCTGATACTAATGTTGAATTGCCCTAACCCTGGGAAGATACTACCAGCTACCAGTATTTGTATCTTCTTGCCCAAGGGATTTTTTTTTTTTTTTGAGACAGGGTCTTGCTCTGTCATCCAGGCTCCGTACAGTGGTGTGATCATAGCTCATCGCAGCCTCGACCTCCTGGGCTCAAGCGATCCTCCCACCTCAGCCTCTCAAAGTGCTGGGATTATAGGTATGAGCCACTCTACTCGGCCCCCAACAGCTTGCTTGCTTTCTTTTCTTCTTTTTTTTGGGACAGGGTCTTGCTCTGTCACCCAGGCCGAAGTGCAGTGGCACAGTCATAGCTCACTGCAACCTTGAGCTCCTAGGCTTAAGCTATCCATCCGCCTCAGCCTCCTGAGTAGCTGAGACTGCAGGTGTGTGCTACCACGCCTGGCTATTTTTTTTTTTTTTTGAGATGGAGTCTTGCTCTGTTGCCCAGGCTGAAGTGCAATGGCATGATCTCAGCTCACTGCAATCTCTGCCTCCTGGGCTCAAGCGATTCTTCTGCCTCAGCCTCCCAAGTAGCTGGGATTATAGGCGCACGCCACTACGCCCAGCTAATTTTTGTATGTTTAGTAGAAATGGCGTTTCACCATGGTGGTCAGGCTGGTCTTGAACTCCTGACCTCAGGTGATCTGCCTACCTCGGCCTCCCAAAGTGCTAGGATTATAGGCATGAGCCACCACGCCTGGGCTATGCCTGGCTAATTTTTTTTTCATTTTTAGTAGAGATGGGGTCTTGCTATGTTGCCCAGACTAGTCTCAAACTGCTGGGCTCAAGCGATCCTCCTGCCTCAGTCTCTCAAAGTGCTGGGATTACAGGTGTGAGTCACTGTGCTTGGCCCCTGAGGGCTTTCTTTAAAGCTGCCAAAGACTGAATAGCAGAGTGGAAGTATCTGAGAATTAACAGCCACATTCTTCATTCCCTAATAAGCCCCCCTAATCAGTGACCAATGGGAGCTGGTGGATAAATACCCCAGCTCCCTCTCCCCTCAAGTGGGATGACTCTAAGGTGTGTGTTCCACTCAGTCCCCAGCATTTTCCAGCATGACTGAACCCCTGTTGCCCACAGAGGTAACTTGCTCATCATGCACCTTTATGGACTGCCCTCTCTTCTCTGTGTCACACCCCTATTCCCCTACTGGTATCTCCTGGCGTCTCCCTTAAACAAACTACTTGCCCATTGAGTCCTTGGGTCATTGTCTACTTCTGGGAGAACCTAAGTGAAGACAATTGCATTCCATGGTAGAAGTCTGCAGACCCATGAATTTAGGTGTCAATGTTAGCACCTAGAGGTTCCTTGGAATTCTCCCCGTCACTTGGGGACAGTATTCCTCCAAGATAGGAGCCAGGTAGGGTGGAGGTCTCTAGGCCTGAAAGCCAGCTCTGTTCAGTTTCCTTCCTTGATATTGTGGGAGAAAAGCCTTTAGCAGAGTTCAGCACATCCCTTCTCCTGGTCACTTGTGTGTTATGCCAAACTTCCATGCGCATTCACGCTGGATAAAAAGTTCATAGGAGGTTCATCCTTGGCATGTCTGTATTAGATAAACCTTCCTCCTTGGATCCCAGCTAGAGAGTTCAGAGCCAAGGTCTCATGGCAAACAGCTCTGACTACATGCCATCTCTGCCACTGTTCTACAAACATTCTCAAATGACACTGGGACACTCACCTAGGAGCCAAAGCAATGAGCTTTGGGTTGACCAAGTGTGTGTCACAGGCTTGCCCTGGGAGGCTAGTGTTGGGAACAGTCCTTGTGTTAAGACAACTTTCAGCTGGACAATTCCCCCCAAAAAGGGAAGTCTGAATGCTAATGGGAAGGTGTGGTATAGCCAGAAATATAGCCAATGTCATCTACCCAAGGGGAAGGAGGGCTTGTCACTTTCATGATTTCTTTTTTGTATTTACATTGCAGCCTATGACAGGCCCAAGAGCTGAGGACCCACCTAAGATGTTCCCAGATTCCTGACCCTCAGAAACTATTAGATAATAGATACGTGTTATTTAATGTCACTGAAGTTTTGAGGTAATTTGTTATGCAGCAATAGCTAACTAATACAGTGCTCATTATCACACCTTTTATTGGCTTCCTTTTCCTGTCTGCCTTTCTTTTTTCTTTTTTTTTTTTTTTTTTTTTTGAGACAGAGTCTCGCTCTGTCTCCCAGGCTGGAGTGCAGTGGCACAATCTCAGTTCACTGCAACCTCTGCCTCAGCCTCCTGAGTAGATGGGATTACAGGCATGCACCACCACGCCCAGCTAGTTATTTGTATTTTTAGTAGAGACGGGACTTCACCATGTTGACCAGACTGGTCTCAAACTCCTTGACCTCAAGTGATCTGCCTGCCTTGGCCTCCCAAAGTGCTGGGATTACAGGCGCCGGCCAGCATCAGCTTCCTGATCCCTGAATTGCAGTCCTGGAGTTGTGGTTTTGAACTTAACCTTTTGGGCAATGGCCCCTCAATTTCCTCCTGTATTAATGAATTAAGGCAACCACTGCTGCTGTAACGCCTAAATCCCTTAACTCCAGTGTGTTTTAAGACAATAGAAGTTATTTACCAGAAATTGACAAAAAAGAGACAATAGAAGGAAGATTTTGCTCATGTGAAGTTGTGGTGGGGTGGAAGCATCTTAGACTGCAGGACATTTCTGAGAGACTTTGGCCAGGCCATTGAGCCAAAGTTGCTTGTCCCAGAAGATTTCTGAGTCTCTCAGGACCTGGCTTGCCACAGTGTCCCTGCTCTGCTCAGGCCCGGGTGAGGAGCAGCCCTTGGGAAACATGGCCTCAGTTCCTATGACGTGCTGGACTTCAGAGCCCAGCAGCTGGGGTGCTTGTTCAATCACACTTCTTGCAGATCCCAGAGGTGCATTTTCATGATCATCGGCCCATGATTTCAGAAATCCAAGGTCTTTCCATCTTGAGGCTCCACCATAGCCAAAGCCTTGGAATTTTGCTTTCAGTGGATGGAGACACAGAATTAGAGCGTATGGAGCATCTATGGGAGGGTTTTTATTTTTATTTTTATTTTTATTTTTGTTTTGAGACAGAGTTTCACTCTTGTCGCCCAGGCTGGAGTGCAATGGTGCGATCTCGGTTCACTGCAACCTCCGCCCTCCCAGGTTCAAGCAATTCTCCTGACTCAGCCTCCTGAGTAGCTGGGACTATAGGCACGCACCACCACACCTGGCTAATTTTTGTATTTTTAGTAGAAACTGGGTTTCACCATGTTGGCCAGGCTGGTCTTAAACTCCTGACCTCAGGTGATCCACCCACCTCAGCCTCCCAAAATGCTGGGATTACAGGCCTGAGCCACCGTGCCCAGCCTAAAACATTTTTAAACAGGCTTTTTTAGGCCAGGCACGGTGGCTTAAGCCTGTAATCCCAGCACTTTGGGAGGCCGAGGCGGGTGGATGACCTGAGGTCAGGAGTTTGAGACCAGCCTGGCCAACATGGTGAAACCCCATCTCTACTAAAAATACAAAAAATTACCGGGCGTGGTGGCAGGCACCTGTAATCCCAGCTACTTAGGAGGCTGAGGCAGGAGAATCGCTTGAACCCGGGAGGCGGAGGTTGCAGTGAGCTGAGATCCCACCACTGCACTCCAGCCTGGGCAACAAGAGCGAAACTCTGTCTCAAAAAAAAAAAAAGGCTTTTTTTCTCTGTAAGTTAACTCTACCTGATCCATGGAGTCTTTTGGTTTCTATTTCTCTATTGTTGGGTCACAAAAGCCTAGTACTGCTCATGTAGCAAGATTTTCATCCCCAGCAACTCAAGGTCACACCTATTCCCTCACCCTCATCACTTTAGCAAACATTAGCTTCATTTCCGGCTCCCAAGACCTGCTCTGAGCACCTGCCTTTCTTTCCCTGGGGGCTTTCTCTTGCAGCCAGGGTCTGTTTTGTCTTCACTGTGACAGCCAGAAGTGCTGGGGAATCTAAGTCCCCCAGGTGCCGTCTTCCTGCTAATGACTGACAGAGGTCACGGATCCATCCTCCAGCTCCCTTGCCCCTCCAGTGGGATAACTGTCAGGTGGATTTCCACCTCCCATTTCCCAGGGGATTAAGCCCTTATTGCCCACAGCAGTAACTCACTAAGGATGTATCCTTTGCTAGCTGCCTTCTCTTCCCCTCTTTCTTGCTTATTCTCTACCGATGCTTCCTAGGGGCTATTTCCTAAATAGTCTACTTATCCTCAAATCCTTGTCGCAGGCTTGGCTCCTGGGGGAATTCAAATTAAGACATTCTCAAAGTAGGTAAGTAGATTGAGCTTCTTAAGTCTATGCAACTCGAACATGATTATTTGTGTGTGTGTGTGTGTGTGTGTGTGTGTGTAGAAAGTATAACTTAAGCCGGGTGCAGTGGCTCATGCCTGTAATCCCAGCACTTTTAGAGGCCAAGGCAGGGGGATTGCTTGAGGTCAGGAGTCCAAGACCAGCCTGGGCAACAAGCAAGACCCTATCTCTAAAAAATAAAAAATAAATGAGCCCAGTGAGGTAGTGTGTGCTTGTAGTCCCAGCTCCTCTGGAGGCTGAGGTGGGAGGATCACTTGAGCCCAGCAGTTTGAGGTTACGATGAGCTATGATTGTGCCACTGCACTGTAGCCTGAGCAACAGAGTGGGACCTTGTCTCTAAATAATAATAATAAAGACAGCAGGCTGGGCACGGTGGCTTAAGGCTGGGCATGGTGGCTCATGCCTGTATCCCAGCACTTTGGGAGGTTGAGGCGGATGGATCGTCTGAGGTCAGGAGTTGGAGACCAGCCTGGCCAACATGGTGGAACCCCATCTCTACTAAAAATACGAAAATTAGCCTGGCATGGTGGCAGCCGCCTGTAATCCCAGCTACTCAGGAGGCTGAGGCAGGAGAATCACTTGAAGCAGGGAGGCGGAGGTTTCAGTGAGGCGAGATTGTGCCACTGCACTCCAGCCTGGGCGACACAAGAGTGAAACTCCATCTTAAAAAAAAAAGGAAAGCACAAGTTCAAAAGGTAAAACCTTACGAAGAGTTGAAATTGCCCCAGTAAAATTTTGTCTTACTCAGGAGACTGAGGTATGAGGATTACTTGAGCCCAGGAGGTTGAGGCTGCAGTGAGCTATGTTTGCACCATTGCACTCCTGCGTAGGGGACGGAGTGAGAACCTGTCTCAAAAAAAAAAAAAAAAAAAAAGAAAAAAGACTTTGTTTTGCAGTCTCCTATAGCACATGGAATAGGACCCCAGTAGAGCTGTGTATTCTAGAAATGGTTGGGTTGGTTTGTGATTTGAAGTGGGGGAAAGAAAACCAAGGAGATGTTTTCACCAGCAACCTGGAATTGCTAACAATTCTTTTAATACTTTGAAATGGGTCGTGGAGGAGTTGGCAGCTCCCCACCTCCCTTCAGCATGCAACTGGATGGAACGGCAGACGTTTCTGAGCACAAAGAACATCCACACATCCATTATGCACCCGCTGACACCATCAAAGGAGAATCTCCATCTTTTGACCCCATTTTGGAAACTAGCAGGCTGTCAATATCTGTTAAAGGGCTGAACGGTTTCTTTGCCAAACACGACTTCAACTGGTAGAAAACTGTCGGTCTTCCAGCTCAGGAGCACCTGGGATGCTTGGCACCCCACCTGGCTTGGCTGCTTTGGGGGATCATGGAGTGCCACCTGCCCTCCTGAGTCACAGCCTCTCTGTGGGCACACGCCATTGTCAGAGATGCCAGCTCACTGACGGATGTCTCATTGCAGCTGCACCAACCACTGACTTGAGTCTTGAGTCACTGCCTGTTCAAGGGCCAAGAAATAGAAGCAGAAAATGGATTCTTTTCTATTTCACAGAAGTTGGCTGGCTTTCAAGGCGAGTGTGCTTTTAAGACAAATGCTTGATTGGGTTTTGGGCACAAGTTTCTCCGTTTTTTTGCTCACTCTCGGAGCAATTTGACAAGGACACCAACCAGGGCTTGGCAGTGCCCTGGGACCAACTGGATGAGGAGAAATCAAAGCCCTACAGTCACTATTAGGGATTCTTTGAAACATCTGGGATTTCTTTTGGCCAAATTACCAGGCTGTGAGAGGAGATTGGAGATAATTCCGTGGAAATTTTTAACTCTAGCAGAAGACATCTGCAGGCTGGCGTAGAGTGAGAGAAATCTGCAGATGTATGATTAAAGTTTGCTTCCCCCATTACAACAGAAATGTATAAGCTGTTTCTTGCTGATACAGCATCAGAGTAGCAGGCAGTGTGGGCAGCCACACCCGGACCTCACCCCACCTCAGTGCATCCATCCCCTGGTTTCTTAATGCTTACATGCTACCTGCTCACACCTGTGACCTTCAGAGGTTGTTCTTGGGCCCTGGAGCTGCCCTGCCCATATGGAGGGCCAGAGTGCCTTGGAGCCTACCTTGCTCAACCTTCCCTGGCAGCCAATCATCAATAGGTTTAGGGGTCAGTTATGGACTAAATGTTTGTGTGCCCTCCAAATCCCTGTGCCCCACAATGTGACTGTATTCAGAGATAAGACTTTTAGGAGGCAATTAAGTTAAATGAAGTATTCAGGGTGGGGCCCTGATCCAATAGGATTAGCATCCTTATAAAAAGAGGCAGCAGACCAAGGTGCGGTGGCTGGCATATGTAATCCCAGTGCTTTGGGAGGCTGAGGTGGAAGGATTGCTTGAGCCCAGGAGTTTGAGACCAGCCTAGGCAACATAGTGAGACCATCTCTACAAAAATACATGAAAAAATAATTAGCCAGGTGTGGTAGTGTACATCTGTAATCATAGCTACTGGAGACGCTGAGGTGGGAGAATTCTTTGAGCCCAGGAATTAAAGGCTGCAGTGAGCTATGATTCTACCACTGCACTCCAGCTTGGGCAATAGGGCAAGACCCTGTCTCTTAAAAAGAGAGAGAGAGGCCGGGTACAGTGGCTCATGACTGTAATCCCAGCACTTTGAGGGGCCGAGGAGGGTGGATCATTTGAGGTCGGGAGTTTGAGACCAGCCTGGCCAAGATGGTGAAACCCCATCTCCACTAAAAATACAAAAATTAGCCAGGCGCGGTGATGCATGCTTGTAATCCCAGCTACTTGGGAGGCGGAGGCAGGAGAATCACTTGAACTTGGGAGGCAGAGGTTGCAGTGAGCCGAGATTGCGCCATTGCACTCCAGCCTGGGCGACAGAGTGAGACTCTGTCTCAAAACAGACAAACAACAAACAAACAAACAAAAATAGAGAGAGAGAGACACCAGAGAGTTACTTCTGTTTCTGTCTCTCTCTTCATGCATGAGAGAAAGGCCATGTGGGGACACATGAGAAGGTAGTTGTCTATAGCCCAAGGGGAGAGCCCTCTGCAGACATTGACTTTGCTGGCACCTTGAACTTGAACTTCTCAGCCTCCAAAACTGTGAGAGGATAAATTTCTCTTAAGTCACTAAGTCTGTGGCATTTTGTTGTAGCAGCCCAAGCTGATGAATACAGGGTCCAAAGCCCTTCTCCTTTGTCTCTAGGTGGGACCAGCTTTGGGGTATAGTTTGCGCTCCAGGGGTCCCTGGCTGGAACAGTCTGGGTGTGAAACTTCACTTGGTATTGAATGTTTGTTTTGCTTCTTTGTTTTCCCTGTCCTGCTTTCCCCACCATCCCCTTATTGATTACCCTGGGAATACTTCTTTTTTCTTTTTTTTTGTTTTTTGAGACCACATCTCACTCTGTCGCTCAGGCTGGAGTGCAGTGGTGTGATCTTGGCTCACTGCAACCTCCGCCTTATGGGTTCAAGTGATTCTCCTGCCTCAGCCTCCCAAGTAGCTGGGATTACAGGCACCCACCACCACACCCGGCTAATTTTTGTATTTTTAGTAGATACGAGGTTTCGCCGTGTTGGCCAGGCTGGTCTTGAACTCCTGACCTCAGGTGATCCACCCGCCTTAGCCTCCCAAAGTGCTAGGATTACAGGTGTAAGCCACCGCGCCCAGCTAGGAACACTTCTTTTTTTTTTATTTTTTATTTTTATTATTATACTTTAAGTTCTAAGGTACATGTGCACAACGTGCAGGTTTGTTACATATGTATACATGTGCCATGTTGGTGTGCTGCACCCATTAACTCATCATTTACGTTAGGTATATCTCCTAATGCTATCCCTCCCCCCTCCCCCTACCCCATGACAGGTCTTGGTGTGTGATGTTCCCCTTCCTGTGTCCAAGTGTTCTCATTGTTCAATTCCCACCTATGAGTGAGAACAGGCGGTGTTTGGTTTTCTGTCCTTGCGATAGTTTGCTGAGAAGGGAACACTTCTTAATAAATTATTTGCACCCAGATCCTTGTCTCAGGGACTGCTTTTGGGAGAATCTGACCTAAGAAAATCAGTGATGGAGAACTTTGCCAAAGATAACCTCAGTACTGAGCTGAGGACAAAGGAACTGTCAGGACATGCATTCAACTTGCAGAGTTTTGGTAGTTCCTATTAATGGCTGTTCTGATTCTCCTTGGGTATTAGTTAGACTAAGGAATGCCAGCTGCTGCAATAGTTAAGTCCTGAAATCTAGTGGCTTAATAAAACAAAGGCTTATTTCTCACTCATACACAGTCTGAGATAGGTTGGCCAGCCCTCTTCTCCCATCTAGAACATATGGTTTCCAAGGTTATTGGGCAGGGGGAAGAGGGAGAGAGGAGGAATGCCAGTTTTTCACTGCCTCAGTCTGGAAATGGCATGCATCATTTATGCTCACAGCCCATTGGCCAAAACTAATCACATGATGCTAATCAAAGCGCAAGGGATACTGGGAAATGTAGGCAGCACATGGGATATTTGAGGAGCTGCAGTTGTTCTTACAGTGGAGTTGCACCTTCTACAGGGTGTAGGTTAAGAAGGCAGGGACAGAGGCAAAAATGGCACGTGGCCCAAACTGCCTTTGAAGGCAACATTGCTATAAGAGTTGTAGGCTGGGTGCGGTGGCTCAGGCCTGTAATTCTAACACTTTGGGAGGCTGAGGTGGGAGAATTGCATGAGCCCAGAAGTTCAGCCTAGGCAACATAGTGAGACCCTGTATGTACAAAAAATAAAAAAAAATTAGCTAGGCATAGTAGTGTCTGCCTGTAGTCCCAGCTGCTCAGGTGGCTGAGTTGGGAAGATTGCTTGAGCCTGGGAGGTTGAGGCTGCAGTGAGCTATGATGGCACCACTCCCCTCCAGCCTTGGTGACAGAGTGAGATCATTTCAAAAAAAACAAACAGGCGGGGCATGGTGGCTCACACCTGTAATCCCAGCACTTTGTGAGGCTGAGGTGGGTGCATCACCTGAGGTCAGGAGTTTGAGACCAGCCTGGCCAACATGGTGAAACCCTGTCTCTACTAAAAATATAAAAAAATTAGCCAGATGTGGTGGCATGTACCTGTAATCCCAGCTACTCAGGAGGCTGAGGCAGGAGAATCGCTTGAACCCAGGAGGCGGGGGTTGCAGTGAGCTGAGATAATGCCACTGCACTGCAGCCTGGGTAATAGAGCAAAACTCTGTCTCAAAAACAAACAAACAAACAGACAATAAGAATTGTAGACTCTTATATAGTCTTTTATTACAAAGAAATAATAACAGAAAAATGTCTTCGCTTTTTTTGAGTAAAAAGTAATAAATCAACATTTTTGAAATTTTGCTAATAAAAACACCTAACATTTGGGTGCGCTTTTGTGAATTTCAAGGAGAAGACATATTATTTGGCTTGGATAAGCCGAATCAGATCCCAAAAAGCACTAATCATAAAGTAAAATACTGATTAATTAGACTTTATTAAAATTAAGAACTTTTATTCATCAGAGATCCCGTGAAGAGAGTGAAAAGTCAAGCCACAAACTGGGAGAAGACATTTGCATTATGTCTTGTCTCAAAGGACTCATATTCGGAATATATAAAGAACCCTCACAAATCAATAAGCCAGGTGAGTGAATAAGAAAGTGGGTGAAGACTTAAACAGGCACTTCACAAAACAAAGATGAAAAAGTGAGGCTGGGCACGGTGGCTCATGCCTGTAATCCCAGCACTTTGGGAGGTCAAGGCAGGCAGATCACTTGAGGTCAGGAATTCGAGACCAGTGTGGCCAACATGGCAAAACTCTGTCTCTATGAAAAATACAAAATTTAGCTGGGTGTGGTGGCGCACGCCTGTAATCCCAGCTACTTGGGAGGCTGAGGCACAAGAATCGCGTGAACCTGGGAGATGGAAGTTTCAGTGAGCTGAGATTGCACCACTGCACTCCAGCCTGGATGACAAAGCAAGGGTCCATCTCAAAAAAAAAGCAAAGAAGAAAAAGTGACCAATATACAATAAGGTACTTAACACCCTTGCAGAGTAGAGAAATACAAATTAACTATAACTCCATCAGAATGGCTAATATTAAAAGGACTGACCAGGCCAGGCCTGGTGGCTCACGCTTGTAATCCCAGCACTTTGGGAGGCCGAGATGGGAGGATCACCTGAGGTCAGGAGTTCGAGACCCGCCTGGCCAACATGGTGAAACCTCGTCTCTACTAAAAATACAAAAATTAGCCAGCCGTGGTGATGCGCACCTGTAATCCCAGCTACTGGGGAGGCTGAGGCATGAGAATTGCTTGAACCAAGGAGATGGAGGTTGCAGTGAGCTGAGATCGCACCACTGTACTCCAGCCTGGGTGACAAGAGTGAAACTCTGTCTCAAAATAAATAAATAAATAAATGGACTGACAACAAATACTAAGTTTGAGTGAAGATGTGGAGTGACGGGAAGGGATGCTCATACATTACTGATAGGAGTACAGCCACTTTGGAAAACTGGAAGGTTCCACTAAAGCTGAATATACATTTATCATATAATCTAGCAATTCTACAGCTAGGTATATGTCAATAGAAATAGGTGGTTATATGCACCAAAACACATGTAGAAGAATGTTTACAGCAGGCTTTTTAGCCAAAACTTGAAACTCAAATATCTATCAATAGTAGGATAATAATTTTTTTTTGAGACAGGGTCTCATTCTGTTCCCCAGGCTGGAGTGCAGTGGCATGAACGTGGCTCACTGCAGCCTCAACCTCCTGGGCTCAAGCAATCCTCCTGCCTCAGCCTCCTGAGTAGCTGGGACTACAGGCATGTGCCACCACACCCGGCTTTTAGGTGCATTTTCTTTTCTTATTTTTCTTTTTTTTTTTTTTTTTTTGAGACGGAGTTTCACTCTTGTTGCCCAGGCTGGAGTGCAATGGCACTATCTCGGCTCACCACAACCTCTGCCTCCTGGGTTCAAGCAATTCTCCTGCCTCAGCCTCGCAAGTAGCTGGGATTACAGGCATGTGCCACTGCACCCGGCTAATTTTGTATTTTCAGTAGAGACAGGGTTTCTCCATGTTGGTCAGGCTGGTTTCGAACTCCCAACCTCAGGCGATCCGTCTGCCTCAGCCTCCCAAAGTGCTGGGATTACAGACATGAGCCACCGTGCCCGGCCCTTTAGGTGCATTTTTGTATGAGATTTTATTTCTTTTGCTGGTGTTGGTTCTGGGTGCAAGTGATGAATGACGCTCTTGCGAGTGAATGTTGAGTGGTGTGTGGATAATGACTCAGTTAGGACTACAGGCACATGCCACCATGCCAGGCTAATTGTTTTAATTTTTTTTTTTTTTTGAGACAGTCTCTCTCTGTCTCCCAGGCTGGAGTGCAGTGGCACAATCTCAATTCTTCTGCCTCAGCCTCTGGAGTAGCTGAGACTGCAGGTGCACACCACCATGCCGGCTAATTTTTGTATTTTTAGTAGAGACAGGGTTTCCCCGTGTTGGCCAGGCTGGTCTGGAATTCCTGGCCTCAAGTGACCCGCCCTGCCTCAGCCTCCCAAGTGCTGGGATTACAGGCATGGGCCGCCCGGGCTTAATTTTTTTTTATTTTTATTTTTGCAGAGATGGAGTCTTCCTGTGTTGCCTAGGGTTGTCTCAAACTCCTGGCCTCGAGTAATCTTCCTGCCTTGGCCTCCCAAAATGCTGGGATTACAGCTGTTACTATAATAATGCCATGTAACAAACCACCCAAAACTCAGACTTGCTTCCTCACAATAAGCCTTTATTCTTATGCTCAGGGTTCTAAAGGTCCAGTTTGGCTTAGCTGATCCTCCATTCAAGACTTGGATAAATGACTCTGCTTCAGGCTGTTGGATTGGTTGGGTTCTGTCGGTGCCAAATCCAAGGTTGGGTTTACTCTGCTCCACATTTGATAATTCTCAGGATAAGGGTAAGCAATTCCCTGGGGCATGCTCTTCTCCTGGCAGAATACTTGAGTGAAAGAGCTCAGCTAAGCCCTGCGGGCACATTTACATCTGTTGTTCACATCTGCTGACATCCCATATGCCAGAGGAAGTCACATGACCAACCCCAGTATCAGTGTGGTGGGGAAATATACTCTACCCACGGTGGGAGGGCACAGTCACATGCAGAGTGCAGAGGTACTGCATTTCTGAAAATGCAATCTGGCCAGGCGTGGTGGCTCACACCTGTAATCCCAGCACTTTGGGAGGCCAAGGCGGGTGGATCACCTGAGGTCAGGAGTTCGAGACCAGACTGGCCAACATGGTGAAACCCCGTCTCTACTAAAAATACAAAAATTAGCCAGGATTGATGGTGGGTGCCTGTAATCCCAGCTACTCGGGAGGCTGAGGCAGGAGAATCGCTTAAATCCGGGAGGCGGAGGTTGCAGTGAGCCGAGATAGCACCACTGCACTCCAGCCTGGGGGACAGAGCGAGACTCTGTCTCATAAATAAATAAATAAAAAATGCGATCCTATCCACCATAGCTCTCATGGTGGTTACGGGAGAGGGGGAGATCCTGTGGGTGGCAGAACTGACAGATGGAGAGAGAGCGTGAGTCCTAATATTATCTTTGGCAGCCCTGGATCTAGCCATGTTTGAAGCCAGATTTATCCTTGGACATCTCAGAGTCACCAATAAGCTCCCCTGGCTCCTTCCTTTTTTTTTTTTTTTTTTTTTTGAGACAGGGTCTTGTTCTGCAGCCCAGGCTGGAGTGCAGTGGCTTGATCGTAGCCCACTGTAACTTTGAACTCCTGGGCTCCAGCAATCCTCTTGTCTTGAATAGTTAGGACTACAGGCACATGCCACCATGCTAATTGTTTTAATTTTTTTTTTTTTTGAGGCAGTCTCACTCTGTCACCCAGGCTGGAGTGCAGTGGCACAATCTCAGCTCATTGCAACCTCCACTTCTCAGGCTCAAGTGATTCTTCCTCAGCCTCCAGAGTAGCTGAAGCTACAGGTGCACACCACCATGCCGGCTAATTTTGTATTTTTAGTAGAGACAGGGTTTCCCCATGTTGGCCAGGCTGGTCTCGAATTCCTGGCCTCAAGTGATCTGCCTGCCTCGGCCTCCCAAGTGCTGAGATTACAGGCATGGGCAACCGCGCCCAGCCTTAATTTTTCTTTCTTTCTTTTTTTTTTTCTTCAGAGATGGGATCTTCCTGTGTTGCCTAGGGTTGTCTCAAACTCCTGGCCTCAAGTGATCTTCCTGCCTTGGCCTCCCAAAGTGCTGGGATTACAGGTATGAGCCACCGGAACCAGCCTTTGGTTTACTTTTAGAATGCGATGATTTTTCAGGCTGAAGTTGGGTTTGCAACAAGGATACATTTCCCAAGTGTTTTGGGTGCTGAAATGGTTTTTTGCTGTTGATTATAATATCTCTCCAGGCTGAGGGTGTTTCTTATTGTAGTCAATGTTTCCTGTTGAAACAGCACAGAATGACATGTCACCTTTCCCAAGAAGCCTCATTGAATGTTATTTTGGGTTACAGAGCCAGAGTAAGAAAAGATAGAGGGTGAGACAGCTGTCACAAGATCTCCAGAAAGTGGCATCATATTTCACAATTTCATGGTAACTGCTCCTTGGAAGCGTGACACCTGCCTAGGAGAAATTCAAAGCTTGAAAGAGAATTTGCCTATTAAGAAAACTGAATATATGAATTCAACTAATTTCCAGGAGAAGGGAACAGTACAGAAAGGGCAAAACATTTTTAGGAAGCTATTATTGGTTGTCATTTAGATACCTGAGACTAGAACTTGGGAATCTGGACAGTTTCTTTTTTTTCTGAGACGGAGTCTCACTCTGTCACCCAGGCTGGAGTGCAATGGAATGATCTTGGCTTACAGCAACTGCCGCCTCCCAGGTTCAAGCAGTACTCCTGCCTCAGCCTCCCGAGTAGCTGGGACTACAGGTGTGCACGACCACGCCCAGATACTTTTTGTATTTTTAGTAGAGATGGGTTTTGCCATGTTGGCCAGGCTGGTCTCAAACTCCTGACCTCAGGTGATCCACCCGCCTCGGCCTCCCAAAGTGCTGGGATTACAGGCGTGAGCTACCGCGCCCAGCCAGTTTCTTTCTTTTTTTTATTTTTTGTTTTGAGGTAGGGTCTCACTCTGTTAGCTAGGCTGGAGTGCAGTGTTACAATCATGGCTCACTGCAGCCTTGACCTCCTGGGCTCAAGTGATCCTCCCACCTCAGCCTCCTAAGTAGCTGAGATTACAGGAGTGCACCATCATGCCCAGCTAATTAAAAAAAATTTGTTGAGATGAGGTCTCACTACACTGCTCAGGCTTGGACAGTCAGTTTCTAACTCTTAGGGGAGACAAGGGAGGGGAGTGGTTTAAATCCTTGCTCCTCAAATTATAATCCATGGACCTCCCAGCCTCAGCTGGGAGCTTTCTAGAAATGCAGAATTTCAGCCTCTGTCTAGGACCTACTGAATCAGAACCTTCTCCATGGGCTTGAAACTTGGCTTCCACTTCTGTTTGCATCATTTGTTGATTTTGGGATGGTGGGTGAAATATTTAACTTTCTCTGAGTCTCAGTTCCCTTATTTGTGAAATGGGAATAATAATAGTAACCAGTTCCCTGGGTTGTTGTGAAGATTAAATGAACTAGTCTACTGTGTTAGGGCAAAGGTTAAGAAGCTATAACAAACCTGGGCGCGGTGGCTCACGCCTGGAATCCCAGTACTTTGGGAGGCTGAGGAGGGTGGATCACCTGAGGTCAGGAGTTCGAGACCAGCCTGGCCAACATGGTGAAACCTTGTCTCTACTAAAAATACAAAAATTAGCTGGGCGTGGTGGCGCAGGCCTGTAATCTCAGCTACTCGGGAGGCTGAGGCAGGAGAATCGCTTGAGCCTGGGAGGCAGAGGTTGCAGTGAGCTGAGATCATGCCGCTGCACTCCAGCCTAGGAAACAGAGCGAGACTCTGTCTCAAAACAAAACAAAACAAGCAAACAAACAAAAAAACCCCAAAAGGACTCCCAGACACAGTGGCTTGTGGAGGACAGATGATTACCCCTCTTTCACACAATATTTGGCCATGAGCAGTCCAGGTTGGCAGGGAAGAGCTGTTTTACACACAGTCATTTGGGATCCTGCTTCCTCTCATCTTGCTGCTAGGTCATTACTTAGGGTATTGTCCTCATTTAATAGGTTGACACTGGGTCTCAGGCACATCTATGTTCCAGTACTTGGGCAAGCAACTCATCACTTTGGCTCACATTCCACTGGCAATAAGAAAGGAGGCAGGCAGGACTCATCTCTGGCCCAGATTAAAGGCACCAAAAGCACCTCTTCGTTGCCCATCACCATAAGACACCCCCACCAGCACCATGAGAGTTTACCATTGCCATAGCAACGCCCCAAACTACCACCCCTTGCCATGGCAACACCCAAAGTTACCGCCCATTTTCTAGCTATTTCTGAATAATCTGGCTTTTAACTAACATGTATTGAAAGTGGGTATAGGTCAGGCGCGGTGGCTCACGCCTGTAATCCCAACACTTTGGGAGGCTGATGCGGGTGAATCATGAGGTCAGAAGATCGAGACCGTCCTGGCTAACACGGTGAAACCCCGTCTCTACTAAAAATACAAAAAATTAGCCGGGCGTGGTTGCAGGCGCCTGTAGTCCCAGCTACTCGGGAGATTGAGGCAGGAGAATGGCATGAACCTGGGAGATGGAGCTTGCAGTGAGCCAAGATCTCACCACTGCACTCCAGCCTGGGCGACAGAGTGAGACTCCATCTCAAAAAAAAAAAAAATTGGGTATAAATATGACCGCAGATCACTACTACTCTTGGTGCAATGCCTGTGGGGAGCAGGAGTAGTCACAGAGCTGTAACACTGCTGCTACCTCAGTAAAGCTGCTTTCTCCAACCACCGGCTCACTCTTGAATTCCTTCTTGAGCAAAGCCAAGAACCTGCCCTGCATCAGCAAGACCTTACTCATCTGGCTACACCCAGCCCCAAGAGAGGCTGGGAGACGTAGTTTCCAATCAGGCATCCCTGTGCCTGAAATCGTCCTATAAACTTTATGAAATTAATCAGGGAGAAAGGGAGGGGGAGAAGTGAAAATAAGCCAAGCTTGCAGCACATTCAGCATTAATCATTAAGTCAGCTTGCTCTCTGGCCTGCTTCCTTATAGCTGTTTGCTTCCTATTGCATCAGAATCAGGTAGACCCTGTTACAAGATTATAGTTTCCCTTAACTGCTCTATAGATGTCATCCTAAGCATTGTGAGGCATTAAGTTTTCCATTTGAGATGTTCTTTCAGACCCTGAATATCAGTGAAACTACTACCTCTTTTTTTTTTTTTTGAGATGGAGTTTTGTTCTTGTTGCCCTGCCTGGAGTGCAATGGCGTGATCTCGGCTCACTGCAACCTCCGCCTCCTGGGTTCAAGCGATTCTCCTGCCTCAGCCTCCTGAGTAGCTGGAACTACAGGTATGCACCACCACACCTAGCTAATTTTGTATTTTTAGTAGAGATGGGGTTTCTCCATGTTGGTCAGGCTGGTCTCGAACTCCCGACCTCAGGTGATCCGCCTGCCTTGGCCTCTCAAAGTACTGGGATTACAGGTGTGAGCCACCGTGCCCGGCCGGTGAAACTACTGATGTCAGCTGGTCTGAAGGACCCCACAAAGAGCTGACTTACCAAAGAATGCAGTTTCCATATCTTGATGATTTCATCCTCCTTACCCCAACCAATCAGACTCAATTTTCCAGTCCTTGCCCTCCATGATCCTCTTAAAACCCCAGCTCAGAACTCCTTGGGGAGACAGATTTGGGGGTTCCTCTTTTCTCCTCACTCAGATGCCCTGTGAGCACTAAACTCTTTCTCTGCTGCAAACCCTGCTGTCTTGGTTGATTGGTATGTTACTGCACAGCAGGCATACAAACCTGGTGGGTCTGCAACATACCCACTCTGTGAGTCTCCACTGCTCCTGTGTCAGGTACTTCTTACAGGGGCTGGCTCTGTGAATTTCAGCTTCTATGATGCATCATTTTTACTGTGATATTTCTCAGCTCAGAGGCACTTTTCACCTTTTATCCTGCCACACAGCTTGTGGACAGGTGTGATATATCACTGCATCTGCTATTTTGCTAAAGTGATTATCCAGTTCTTTCTAATTACCTGGTCAGGAGGGGAATGGATATCACCACAGTCAAGACTGGGATTTAGCAGCAGTGGTGTATTTAGATACTTCCCCACTTGTGGAAGTCTGATTAGCTCCATTTGCTAAGTACGTAGCAGCTGCTATTAGTCTTTAATGATCTTAATTCCCAAAGTAGCTTGGTGGCAAAAAAAAAAAAAAAAAAAAAATCTTAGATTTTTTCCTGCCAGGATTCCCAGGAGACAGACGTTTGCTCTCAGCATCTGTATATTAGGGAAAGGAAAGGAATATTCTTTGGCTCCCAAAGATTTCTAGTCAAGAGGGTTAGTAACAGAGACCATATTTGGCAGAAAGATTGGATCCTGAGATTGAAATTGCTCTGACTTCATCCCAAGGGCAAATAGATTATGTTCTCAAAGCATTTACTTTTAGAGATAAACTAGAGAGAATATTTTTTTCTCTATTCAGTAAATGGTTTGCCTTCCTTGCACTAAACTAGAAATCAGTTGCTTTGCTAGCTTTCTTTTTCATAGTCCTAAAAACGTTCTTTGCATTCCCTCAAATAATTACTTTATAGGTGAATGCAAAATCACTTTTTTTTTTTTAAGAGATGAGGTCTTGGTCCATTGCCCAGGCTGGAGTGCAGTGACATGATCATAACTCATTGCAGCATCAAACTCCTGCACTAAAGTAATCCTCCTGCCTCAGCCTACTGAGTAGCTAGGACTAACAGGTGCAAGCCCCCATGCCCAGCTAATTTTTAAGATTATTTTTAGAGATGGGGTCTAGCTATGTTGCCCAGGATGGTTTTAAATTCCTGACCTCAAGTGATCCTCCCACCTCAGCCTCCTGAGCAGCTGGGATTACAGGTGCGAGCTACTGCATTGACCAAAGTCACTGTTTGAAAATGAATTTTCTTAAGGCTTTGACTAAAGAGTTTTAACGCTCTAGTTATACCACTTATTAGACATGTGTCACATTATTTATGTCTTTTTCTCGTTTACAAAATGGGATTAATAATAGTAACTACCTCAGAGAGCTGAGGATTAAAGGAGTTGATACAAATGCTTAGAATAGTGCCTGGTACATTGTACATAAGTGGTAGCTATTATTACTATTTCTTAAAAATAATTGTGAGTTAACTGTGGCATCCTCTTTTTCATCTCCTGTCCCCTCATGGCAGACATTGTCATCTGTCCCAGAAACCCCTCTCCTCTTCCTACTTTTGGGAATAGAACTCCCTTGAGTATCAGCAGGGCACATGGTTGCCCAGTTAGAGACTACATTTCCCAGCTTCTCTTGCAGCTATATAAGGCCATGTGAACAAGGTCCCAGCAATAGAATATGAGTGGAAAAACAATGTAACTTCTGTGTTGCTTCCATAAAATGAAATGCTTGCTCTCTACTTTTTCTCTTTACTACTTTCATGATGACTCCAATAAGGACACTGTCGTGAGCCAGGGTGGCATATGGAAGAAAACATATCCTGGATATAATGGATCAGCGAGATGGAAAGAGCTGGGTTTCTGGGTGACTTTGTGCAGTGGAGCCCCCTGCTTGTGTCAGACCATCTGCCTCCTTCTGGATTCTTAGGTGAGAGAGAGTTAAACTTGTTTCTTATTTGAGCCATTGTTTTCTTGAATCTCTTTGTTCAGTTTTTTTTTTTTTGAGACAGGGTCTGGCTCTGTCGCCCAGGCTGAAGTGCAGTGGTGCAGTCACAGCCCACTGCAGCGTCCACTTCTTGGGCTCAAGTGATCTTCCCACCTCAGCATTCTGAGTAGCTGGAACTACAGGAATGCACCACCGCATGCAGCTTCTTCAATATCTTGATGTCTTTGTTTCAAAATCTCATTTATATGCTAATACATTCACTTACTATCTGGGCAATAGAGTGTATCTGAGACAAATGGATTCAGAGCTTAACCTGAGCCAAAGTTTGTAAACAAAATTTAGAATTTATTGGTCAGTTAGTCGACCCTAAAAGCAAAAAAGTCCAGTCCCAATTAGACTGCATACAAATGGGGCCCCATTAACATTAATGCCTGAATTTCAATACCTCATTATTTTCCACATGGAGGACCTCAACATCTCCTCGCTACAAGCTTCCCACACTATGTTGCAGGATTCTGCGGTGTGGCGGGCGGGGGGATGTTTCATTTGTGTCCAGGAAAAACTTTGCTCATAACAGATTTGCTGCTGTTAAAGTCCCAATGGCAAGGCTGGGTACAGTGGCTCACGCCTGTAATCCCAGCATTTTGGGAGGCCGAGACGGGTGGATCACCTGAGGTCAGGAGTTTGAGACCAGCCTGGCCAACATAGTGAAACCCCGTCTCTAATAGAAATACAAAAATTAGCTGGGCATGATCGCAGGTGCCTGTAATCCCAGCTACTTGGGAGGCTGAGGGGGGAGAATCAGTTGAACCTGGGAGGAGGAGGTTGCAGTGAGCTGAGATTGTGCCATTAGTGCCATTATAGTACAGCCTGGGTGACAAAGCAAGACTGCGTCTCAAAAAACAAAACAAAACAGAACCCTGGCATGGTGGCGGGCACCTGTAATCCCAGCTACTGGGGAGGCAGGAGAATCGCTTGAACCTGGGAGGCGGAGATTGCGGTGAGCCAAGATTGTTGCCACTGCACTCCAGCCTGGGGGACGCAGTGAGATCCTGTCTCAAAAAATAAATAAATAAAAATAAAAAATAAAGTCCCAATGGCAGTCTCCTTGCTACCGTCTCTGCTTCTAGTGCTTTCCATGAGTGACCTGCTTTTTCGGATGCCAGGGCCCAGTGGTCCTCACTGGTGACCTTCCTCAACCCTCACGGCACCAAAGCTGTCAAGGGTCTTGAATGGAGAATGGCATTTGCTCCAATTATGTCAAGGTATCATTCCAATGCCTTCCGTCTTCCACTATTACTGATGGAAAGTCACCTGGGTTGAAATGGCCAGGCCTTTGTAGATGATGTCTACTTTCTTCCTGGCTGCTGTTAAGATCTTCTGTCTATCTTTGGTGTTTTGTTTCACCAAGATGGGCCTAGGCATATATTTCTTTTTATTTATCCTGGTTGGATCTTCACTCTGTGCGTCTTTAGTCTGTGGACTTCGGTTTGTCATCAATTTTAGAAAATTTGCAGGTCTTATCTCTTTAAATCTTGCCTCGCCTCCATTTTCTCTATTTGATTCTTCGGGATGTTTGATTAAGTGCATCTAGAATTTAATTTTTTTTTTTTCTCAAGACAGAGTCGCTCTGTTACCCAGGCTGGAGTGCAGTGGCATGCTCTCGGCTCACTGCAACCTCTGCCTTCCGGGTTCAAGTGATTCTCCTGCTTCAGCCTCTCCAGTAGCTGAGATTATGGGCGTGTGCCACCATGCCCAGCTAATTTTTGTAGTTTTAGTAGAGACAGGGGTTTCGCCATGTTGGCCAGGCTGGTCTCTAACTCCTGGCCTCATGTGATCCACCCACCTTGGCCTGCCTCCCAGAGAGCTGGGATTACAGGTGTGAGTCACCTCACCTAGCCAAATTTAATACTCCTACCCTTCATCTCTCTTACTGTTTCATATTTTATTTTATTTTTTATTCTCATTTACTTATTGTTTTTTTGAGACAGGGTCTCATGCTGTCACTCAGGCTGGAGTGCAGTGGTGTGATCATCATGGTCCACCGCAGCCTTGACCTCCTGGGCTCAAGCAATCCTCCTGCCTCAGCCTCCTGTGTAGCTGAGACCATAGGTGCATGCAACCATGCCCGACCTTTTTTTTTTTTTTTAGTTTTTGTAGAAATGAGATCTTACTTTGTTACTTTGTTGCCCAGGCTAGTCTCAAACTCCTGGGCTCAAGCAATCCTCCTGCCTCAGCCTCCCAAAGTGCTGAGATTACAGACCACTGCGCCCAGCCTGTTTCATATTTTATATCTCTTGTCTCTTTGTGTTACATTCAAGGTTATTTCTTCAGCTACATCTTTGAGTTCACTCATTTACTCTTGGGTTGTGTTTAAGCTGATTTTTGTCAGTTGAGTTTTTATTTCAGCGATTATATTTTTCATTTTTATGTTATATTGGAAAGCATCTATTTGTTCCCCAAAGTTTCTTGTTCTTTGATCACCTTTATGACTGCCTCTTTCCTTCCTTTCTTTCTCTCTCTCCCTTCCTTCCTTCCTTCCTTCCCTCCCTCCCTTCCTTCCTTCCTTCCTGTCTCTCTCCCCCCCTCCCTCCCTCCCTTCCTTCCTTCCTTTCTTTGGACAGAGTCTCGCTCTGTTGCCCAGGCTGAAGTGCAGTGGTGTGATCTTGGCTCACTGCAACCTCTGCCTCCTGGGTTCAAGCAATTCTCCTGCCTCAGCTTCTCGAGTAGCTGGGATTACAGGCATGCACCACCACACCCGGGTAATTTTTGCAATCTTAGTAGAGACAGGATTTCATCATGTTGGCCAGGCTGGTCTCGAACTCTTGACCTCAGGTGACGCACCTGCTGGGATTACAGGCCTGAGCCACCACGTCCAGCCGTCTTTCATTTCTCCAGTCATTTCTCTCATGACTACTCTTCTGTATCTGACAATCCCAGTATCTGCAGACACTGGAAGGGGATTTACTTCTCCTTTTGATTATTTCTTCTGTCTTTCAAAGCAGCTTCTCATGTGTTTGGTGACTTTTAAGTTATGAGCTAATGTAGCATTGTGCCTGTGGTATCAGATTCCTGTGTTTGAATTCTTTCTCCACCACCCACTATTAGTGTGGACTTTACTTTTTTGTATCTTGGATTCCTCATTCATGAAATAGGGTAACTAGAGATGTTACCCATTAGTTGGCTACATCACAAGGGTGTTTGAGGGTTTCAAGAGTAAGTATCTGAAAACGGTCCAGAACAGTGCCTGACATATAGTTAGCTCTCAATAACAGTGAGCCCTTGTCAATATCCAGTAAGCATTTGTTGAATGAATGACAAATAGGTGAATGCAGTCTCAGTTTTCTCACCTTTAAGAAAGGAGCCAAATTGGCCAGGTGCAGTAGCTCACTCCTGTAACTGCAGCACTTTGGGAGGCCAAGGTGGGCAGATCACGAGGTCAGGAGTTCGAGACCAGCCTGGCCAACATAGTAAAACCCCGTCTGTACTAAAAATTAGCCAGGCGTGGTGGCACATGCCTGTAATCCCAGCTACTTGGGAGACTGAGGCTAGAGAATTGCTTGAACCCAGGAGGCAGAGGTTGTAGAGTTGAGATCATGCCACTGTACTCCAGCCTGGGTGACAGAGCAAGACTCTGTCTCAAAAAGAAAAAAAAGGAGCCAAATTAAAAACTATCTATACAGTCTTTTAAAGTCTTAAATTCATTGACTTCCATACTTAATGTGTACTGCACCTAACATTTCTGAAAGCATATTGGGCATATAAAATGTGACATTTTGGCTGGGTGCGGTGGTTCATGCCAGTAATCCCAGCATTTTGGGAGGCTGAGGCTGGAGGATCGCTTGAGCCCAGGAGTTTAAGACCAGCCTGGGCAAGACAGTGAGACCCCATCTCTACAAAAAATTTAAAAATTAGCTTGGCATGGTGATGCATGCCTGTAACCTCAGCTACTTGGGAGGCCGAGGTGGGAGGACCACTTGAGCCTGGGAGTTCAAGATGGCAGTGAGCTATGATCACACCACTGCACTCCAGCCTGGGTGACAGATCAAAACCTTGACTCTAAGGAAAAAAAGTGACATTTTATTAACAAAATTTGTTAATAACATTCAGAAGGAATATAGGACAGTATACTTAATTAAAAAGCATAGACCGTGACCTAGATAGAACTTGGTAAATTGTACCTCTGAACCACAGTTTCTTATCTGTAGAATGTAGTAATGACAATGCCTACTGCACTGCAGTATGTGAGGATTAAATCCACTATTACAAGGAAAATGCTCAGTACAATACCTGGTACACAGTAAGCACTCAATAAATGTTATTTGAAATAATGAAAATTGAGGCTGGGCGGGGTGGCTCATGCCTGTAATCCCAGCACTTTAGGAGGCCGAGGTGGACAAATCACGAGGTCAGGAGTTCGAGACCAGCCTGGCCAACATAGTGAAACCCCATCTCTACTACAAATACAAAAAAATAGCCGGGCGTGGTGGTGGGCGCCTGTAGTCCCAGCTGCTCGGGAGGCTGAGGCAGGAGAATCATTTGAACCCGGGAGGTGGAGGTTGTAGTGAGCCAAGGTCACGCCACTGCACTCCAGCCTGGGTGACAGAGCGAGACTCTCACTCAAAACAAAACAAAAACAAATAAAGAAAGATTGAAAATTGAACGACTTGTTTGAAAATGCAGTGGAAGTAGATAGGACAGAGGAGCAGAGATCTCATGAACTATAAGAGGAATGGAATGGTCAGGGGTGGGATTAAGAGTTCTTCCAGCTGGGCGTGGTGGCTCACGCCTGTAATCCCAGCACTTTGGGAGGCCAAGGCAGGTGAATCACCTAAGGTCAGCAGCTGGAGACCAGCCTGGCCAACCTGATGAAACCCCGTTTCTACTAAAAATACAAAAAATTAGGCGGGCGTGGTGGCCAATGCTTGTAATCTCAGCCACTCAGGAGGCTGAGGCAGGAGAATCACTTGAACCCGGAAGGCGGAGGTTGCAGTAATCCGAGATCGCGCCACTGTACTCCAGCCTGGGCAACAAGAGCGAAACTGTCTCAAAAAAACAAAAAAATTCTTCCAAGTCCATGAAATAAAACCCTGCTCCATCAGAAATCTTCCCCATCTCAGCACTTTGAGAGGCCAAGGCAGGCGGATTACCTGAGGTCAGGAGTTCGAGACCACCCTGGTCAACATGGTGAAACCCTGTCTCTACTAAAAATGCAAAAATTAACCAGGCGTGGCAGTGTGTGCCTGTAATCCCAGCTACTTGGGAGGCTGAGACAGGAGAATCACTTGAATCCGAGAGGTGCAGGTTGCAGTGAGCTGAGATTGTGCCACTGCACTCTAGCCTGTACCACAGAGCGAGACTCTGTTTCAAAAAAAAAAAAAAAAGAAATCTTCCCCATCTCAGTTGTAGATAAACTAATATGCAGTTTTTGAGTTTATCAAAGTTGCTTTTGTTTTGGAAGTTAATGTTATAAAAGTGAGTGGTCTGTTTTCTGGGGAAGTCAGAGTCCCTCACCTGGTAACCTGGTATAAATGGTCCGTGTTAGCAAGTCAGCTCCTGGAAGTCACTCAGGTTTCCAATCTCCTGTTCTCAGTTTACCCTTCTCTAAGGCAATTGTCTTCAATGTAGCTACATTTTGGAATCACTCTGGAAGCTGTAAAAAAACACTGATACCTGGGCCCCACCTTCAGAGATTTTGATTTATTTTGTCTGGGATAGGGCCTGGACATGGTTTTTATCTTTTTTCTTTTCTTTTTTCTTAAAAAGTTCCCAGGAGATTCTAATGTGCAGCCATGTTTACAATCTCCTGTTGTGCAGCATTGCTTTGTCTGCCTGGTCAATGCTGGATCCCCACTAAGTCTTAATTCCAGCCAATGGGAAGGAGGAAGAGACTATGAAGAAAGTGCTGCCTGGGCACGGTGGCTCATGCCTGTAATCTCAGCACTTTGGGAGGCCAAAGTGGGTGGATCACCTGAGGTCAGGAGTTCGAGACCAGCCTGACCAACAGGGAGAAAACTCATCTCTACTAAAAATACAGAATTAGCTGGGCGTGGTGGCACATGCCTGTAATCCCAGCTACTAGGGAGGCTGAGGCAGTAGAGTCCTTTGAACCTGGGAGGCAGAGGTTGCAGTCAGCTGAGATCACACGATTGCACTCCAGCCTGGGCGACAGAGCAAAATTCTGTCTCAAAAAAAAAAAAAAAAAAAAAAAAAAGGAAGTGCTTATGATGTCATAAGACTCAAACCAGGAAGTGGAACATGTCACTTCCTCTCACACCCCATTGGTGAGAACTCAGTCATGTGACTCCATCTGACTGCAAAGGAGGCTGGGAAATGTCAACCTAGGCAGCCATGTTCCTGGCCACCATTCTATTACTTTGAAAGAAGAAAATGGACTTAGGACGAAGGATGTGGCTCAGACATCTAGGAGATCTGAAGTGGTGAGAACAAGAGTGGATCTAGGAGTGAATACCATTGGGCGATGTGTTAATTTCCAAGGACTGCTGTAACTAAGTAGCACAAACTGGGTGCTTAAAACAACAAAATATACCACCGCACACTTCTGGAGGCTAGAAGTCTGACATCAAGGTGTTGTAGGGCTACGTTCCCTAAAACCTGTAGGGGAGATATCTTCTTTGCCACTTCCTGGCTTCTGGTGGTTTGCCTCCAGTTCACCTTGGCATTCCTTGGCTTTCAGCTGCAGCACATGGATCTCTGCCTTGTTACATGGTGTTCCTCCCTTGTGTCTCTATGTCTCGTCTCTTTTTCTTTTTTCTGAGACAGAGTCTTGTGCTATCACCCAGGCTGGAGTGTAGTGGCGTGATCTCCGCTTATTGCAACCTCCACCTCCCCAGTTCAAGCGATTCTCCTGCCTCAGCCCCTAGTAGCTGGGACTACAGGTGCATGCCACCGAGCCCGGCTAATGTTTTTATTTTTAGTAGAGACGGGGTTTCACCATGTTGGCCAGGCTGGTCTTGAACTCCTGACCTCAGGTGATCCATCCTCCTCGGCCTCCCAAAGTGCTGGGATTACAGGCGTGAGCCACCGCGCCCAGCCTCTTTTTCTTAAAAGGACATTAGTTATATTGGATTAAGGGCCTGCCGTACTGCGATATAACCTCATCTTAACTAATTCCATCTGTAACAACCTTAATCAGATCATATTCTGAGGTACTAGGGGTTAAGACTTAAACATATCTTTTTGGGGGACTCAGTTCAACTCATGGCAGCCAATAATCAAGCATCACAATTCTGAGGAACCCTCCATGAGGCCATTGTAAGGAGGCAATGACTTGGCAATTTATCTCACCCTTCTGTCTCCCACATCTAGGTACCATCCAAGCCCTAGGGAAATAAGATGCAGCACCAAGGTACCAAGGAAAAGGGTAGAAGCACTCCGAGTTGACCTGAGATGAACTTTTCACCACTCTTGAAGAATGAGGACTTGAACTAGTGATCACTTTCAGTTCTAGAAAAATAAGGTGGCCGGGTGAGGTGGCTCATGCCTGTACTCCCAGTGCTTTGGGAGGCCGAGGTGGGCGGATCACGAGATCAGGAGTTTGAGACTAGCCCGGCCAACATGGTGAAACCTCGTCTCTACTAAAAATACAAAAAATTAGCTGGGCAAGGTGGTGGGCACCTGTAATCCCAGCTGCTCAGGAGGCTGAGGCAGGAGAATTGCTTGAACCCGGGAGGCAGAGGTTGCAGTGAGCCGAGATCACGCCATTGCACTCCAGCCTGGGCGACAGTGCGAGGCTCTCAAAACAAACAAACAAAAAAAAATGCACAAAAAACAAAAATAAGATTACATCTCTTAAGTCTCTAAATTGGGAACTGAAATTCACACCTGCAACATCTTTAATGATCCAATGGAAAGAAGTCCAAACTCCTTGACCAGGGTTTGACAAATTATGGCCCACGGGCCAAATTTGGTTGGCTGCCTGTTTTTGTTATTAAAGAGTTTTTGGAATACTGCCATGCCCATTTGCGTATGTATTGCCTCTGGCTATTTTTGTACTGCAGCATCAGGGTTGAGTTATTGTGACAGAGACACTAGAGCCTGCAAAACCAAAAAGATTTATTATCTGATCCACTTTAGAAGAAATTTGCCAACCTTTGTCCTAGATCAAGTTTTCAAGACCGTCCACAATTTAAGACCATTTTTTTTTTTTTTGAGACGAAGTGTTGCTCTTGTCGCCCAGGCTGAAGTACAATGGCACGATCTCGGCTCACTGCAACCTCCGCCTCCTGGGTTCAAGCAATTCTCCTGCCTCAGCCTCCTGCATAGCTGGGATTGCAGGTACACACCACCATATCCGACTAATTTTTATATTTTTAGTAGAAACGGGGTTTCACCATGTTGGCCAGGCTGGTCTCGAACTCCTGACCTCGTAATCCACCTGCCTCAGCCTCCCAAAGTGCCGGGCATGAGCCACCACGCCCGGCCTAAGACCAGTTTTTAAAACATATACTCTGCCACTCTACCACATAAACTTTCCAAGGTACTAAAACCAGTATATGCAAAGTTCTCTTAAGTTATCAGCTCTAAATTTTTTCCCCCAGCCCAATTAGGAGGGAATTAAGGCTTCACCCCCATTCCCACTTTCCAGCAGAAAAACAAGTAGGTGATAAAAATGGAATGTCATCCTAAAAGCTTTCTAAAAGTTGGGGAATTGTGGGTACATCTGCTTAAGCAATAAGAGTACAGATGATTTCTATTTTTGCTCAATGCATACATGACTTAAAGTCTATTTATTGAACAATTATAGGCCAAAAATACTGCTGATGCAAATGAGTATTATTAAACACTGTAGAATTTGCCAAACAACCCACAACAAATTAAATTGCTAATAACAAGCTAAACAGTGATTTATCATTAGCTAAGCAAAAAGAACAGCGGTTGAAAACCGTGGCCAATTCAAGATAACACAAAGACAAAATGTTCCTCCAGGAAATTATGGAAATTTATACTATCAGTGTACACTTGTGTGCAATGCTGGGAGGTATTGTGTGTCTGCCAGGCTTCTAGGTGGAATACCAAAATAGAGTGCTCAATAAATTACAGTAACTTTCTATTCTGAATGTACGAACACTATGTTTTAGTAAGCCTTAATAACTTGCTTAGTGTAGGTGGACTGGGTATCAGCTGCATTTGCGGGTGCAGCATCCATGCCTCTTTCTTCTGATTTTCCCTGGGGGAGCCATTATCCCATTTGCATCCATGTGCTTGGAAAGGGGCCAGCTTTAGAATGGGGCATGTAGGGCCAGGCGTGGTGGCTCACGCCTGTAATCCCAGCACTTTGGGAGGCTGAGGTGGGCAGAGCACCTGAGGTCGGGAGTTCGAGACCAACCTGGGCAATGTGGTGAAACCCTGTCTCTGCTAAAAATACAAAAATTAGCTGGGCGTGGGCTGGGTGTGGTGGCTCAAGCCTGTAATCCTAGCACTTCAGGCTGAGGCAGGCGGATCATGATGTCAATAGATCGAGACCATCCTGGCCAACATGGTGAAACCCTGTCTCTACTAAAAATACAAAAATTAGCTAGGTGTGGTGGTGGGTGCCTGTAGTCCAAGCTACTTAGAAGGCTGAGGTGGGAGAATCGCTTGAACCGGGGAGGTGAAGGTTGCACCACTGTACTTCAACCTGGGCGACAGAGTGAGACTCTGTCTCAAAAAAAAAAAACCAAAAAACAAAAAACTAGCGGGGCATGGTGGCATGTACCTGTAATCCCAGCTACTCAGGAGGCTGAGGCAGGAGAATCTCTGGAACCCAGGAGGTGGAGGTTGCAGTGAGCCGAGATCACGTCATTGTACACCAGCCTGGGCGACAGAGGAAGACTTCGTCTCAAAAAAAAAAAAAAAAAGAAAGAAAATGGGGCACATGACCCAGAGTGGCCAATCTCATCCCTCTGCTTGTAGTTCAGTCATAACCACATATCTCAAGATGAGCCAATGAGACATCATCCCGGGACTTCTGTTAGAATTGCTAACCCTGGAGAACGGAACTGACAGTTGATGAAGCCGACACAAAGGAGACCAGGGACTGGGCGGAGTGTTTTATGCCTGTAATCCCAGCACTTTGGGAAGCGGTGGCAGGATCTCCTGAGGCCAGGAGTTCGAGACCAGCCTGGGCAACATAGTGAGACTGTGTCTCTACAAAAAATAAAAAAAATTGGCCAGGCACAGTGGCTCATGCTTGTAATCTCAGCACTTTGGGAGACTGAGGTGGGTGGATCATTGGAGTTCAGGAGTTCGAGACCAGCCTAATCAACACGGCGAAATGCCGCCTCTACTAAAAATACAAAAAATTTAGCTGGGCATGGTGGCACATGCCTGTAGTCCCAGCTACTTGGGAGCCTGAGTCAGGACAATCGCTTGAACCTGGGAGGTGGAGGCTGCAGTGAGCCAAGATCGTGCCACTGCATTCCAGCCTGGGCAACAACAGAGCGAGACTCTGTCTCAGAACAAATAAATAAATAAATAAATAAGTGAATAAAAAATTAAGCCAGGCATGGTGGCACACACCTGTGGTCTTAGCTACTTGGGAGGCTGAAGTAGGAGGATCACTTGAGCCCAGGAGACTGAGGTTGCAGTGAGCCATGATCGTGCCACTGCACTCCAGCCCGGGCGACAGTGTGAGACCCTGTCTCAAATAAATATATAAATGAAAGAGACAGGTTCCAGATTCCTGAACCTGTTCAAGGACCTGGATCCAGCTGAGCCTGAAGCCAATGTGCGAGAGTCTCTTTTAAGAACTAAAGCAAGGGAGGGTGTGCTGGCTCATGCCTGCAATCCCAGTACTTAGGGAGGCCAACGCAGGCTGGATCATTTGAGTCCAGGAGTTTGATACCAGCCTGGGTAACATAGTGAGACCTTGTCGGTACAAATAAAAAAAAAATTAGTGGGGCGTGGTGGTGTCACATATAGTCCTAGCTACTTGTGAGACTGAGGTGGGAGGATGGCTTGAACCCGGGAGGCAGAGGTTGCCACTGCACTCCAGCCTGGGTGACAGAGCAAGACTCCATCTCAAAAATAATAATAATAATAAAAGATAGGCCTTGAACAGTGTCTCCCTCTGTTTCCCAGGCTGCAGTGCAGTGGCGTGATCTGGCTCATGGCAGCCTCAGCCTCCCAGATTCAAGCGATCCTCATATCTCACCCTCCCGAGTAGCTGGGATTCCACGCCTGCTAAATTTTGTATTTTTATTGAGACAGGTGTCACCATGTTGGCCAGGGTGGTCTCAAACTCCTGACCTCAAATGATCCACCCGCCTTGGTCTCCCAAAGTTCTGGGATTACAGGCATGAACCACCATGCCCGGCCAGCTGGAATTTTTCCAAAGGAACTTCGCTTCACAAGGATGTAGAGAGAAAGCAAAGAAGGCAGTAGAGACAATGCAATCCACATGAAAAAGGAAACTCACAAAATGAAAGTTCTCGTCCCCAGGTTTTACTAAAGGCTGCATCAAGACTTGTTGGTGCCTCCTGACATGAGTGTGATTCCTGTCCTTAGCATTCATTGATCTCAGATGCTAGGCATCTGGTGGTGAGAATCCCGCGTGCTGTGCGTCTTCCCACGAGGGCTTTTGGGTTTCGTTTGAAGGTGGAGGGAGATGTTATTTTGTACATGTATCTTGTAGGCTATGGAGAAAAGGGAGGGTTGGTTTGGATGCTTGTCCCAGCAGCATTTTTTTTTTTTTTTTGAGACGGAGTCTCGCTCCATCGCCCAGGCTGGAGTGCAATGGTGCCATCTCGGCTCACTGCAACCTCTGCCTCCTGGGTTCAAGCGATTCTCCTGCCTCAGCCTCCTGAGTAACCCAGCAGCATATTTGAACTGGTTTGGAGACTACATAGAGATGAAGAGAAAGCTACTTTCCTAAGACTTTGAGAGACTAAAGGCCCAGGGCACATTGCTTTGGGGCTCAGATGACATAGGGAAGACTGCACTGGGGAGATACGCCAAGCACCTCCTGCTGCATAACTAAACTGGCAGAAGGAAACCCTCCTGGAGTCAGGGCCAGTCCTACAAGATGTAAAGCTTCTCGAATGATCTTGCCCCCCAGGTGTCGTGGTGTGCACCTGTAATCCCAGCTACTCGGGAGGCTGAGGCACGAGAATCGCTTGAACCCAGGAGGCGGAGGTTGCAGTGAGCTGAGATCGCACCACTGCACTCCAGCCTGGGTGATGGAGTGAGACTCAGTCTCAAAAAAAAAAAAAAAAAAAAAAAAAAAAGGTAACTCAACAAAACACATGAAATAACAGATAACAGAAACAGTTTTATTACTCACAAATCCCAGAGAGAGGAGGACAGAGTGCCTTGCAGGGCAATAGGAAGAGGGGAGCCATTTGGGATGTGCAAGATCAACCAGAAGATGGGGGAAGTGTGAGGCGGGGGACCTGGAGGCCAAGGCCCTTACTGGGGTTCAGGGCATTACCCAAGAACGTTTCCCCTGGGGAGTTCTAATTGTTGTGTTTAGAGGAAAACAGCACAAATTCCGTGGGGTCACCCTGTGGCTGAGAGGTGGTCACTGCCACCCGTACACCAGGGGTTCCCAATCCCCAGGCCATGGACCGGTAACAGTGGCCTGTTAGAAACCGGGCCACACAGCAGGAGGTGAGGGGCAGCCGAATGAGCGAAGCTTCATCTGTATTTACGGCTGCTCCCCATTGCTCGCATCACCGCCTGAGCCCCGCCTCCTGTCAGATCAGTGGCAGCATTAGATTCTCACAGGAGCACGAATCCTATTGTGAACTGCACATGCGAGGGATCTAGGATGCGTGATCCTTATGAGAATCTTTTTTTGTTTGTTTGTTTCTTCGTTTTTTGAGATGGAGTCTCGCTCTGTCACCCAGGCTGGAGTGCAATGGCGCGATCTCGGCACGCTGCAACCTCTGCTTCCTGGGTTCAAGTGATTCTCCGGCCTCAGCCTCCCAAGTAGCTGAAATCACAGGCACCCACCACCATGCCTGGCTAATTTTTTGTATTTTTAGTAGAGATGGGGTTTTGCCATGTTGGCCAGGCTGGTCTTGAACTCCTGACCTCAGGTGGTCCACCTGTCTCGGCCTCCCAGAGTGCTGGGATTACAGGCGTGAGCCACTGGGCCCGGCCAGGAGCCCTGGTTTAGAATGAAGGGGTAGGAAATGCCTCTCCTGAAAGAAGCACTTCTTTTATCCCAAGCTTCCCTTCCTCGGCTAGTCAATCTTAGGAAATCCTTACGATTTCCTGCTTGTTAATCAAATATCTGGAATTGCCAATGTCCAGATACCTTATCGACTCAGGAGATCCTCACATAAACCCTCTTTGCCCCATGAGTGAGAAATGTGGTTTCCATGGCAGCGAGGTTAAAGTTCTCTCCAACTTTATTTCACTTCGTTTGGAGTTTAGTTTCCTTGGACAAGAAAAAAAAAAAAAAAAAGACACCGTATACTGATTTCTGTACAACTCACAGCGATTATGAATAACGTCCCTCTGGGAGAATATTTTATCTTTCCTTTCTGTCACCCCATAACACTTGCTAAAAAATAATGCCCAGAAGCGACGTGGTGCAAAGCCTAAAATTAAGGCTCAATGTTATGTGCTGCCTTGACAGCTGGTGAAACCAGGAGGGCTTCAAATGACTGATCCCAAAGTCCCCTCCCTACTCTGCCCTGATGGAGAAGTTACCACCCCTACCCCAAAGCCAAGCAGCTCTCTTTATTAAATGGACCAGGTACAGTTCCTGTTTATCTCTGAGCAGAGGGTTTCAGTTCCCTGCTGTCTGATTTATCAAGACAGGGGAATTGCAATAGAGAAAGAGTAATTCACACAGAGCTGGCCGTGCGGGAGACCAGAGTTTTATTATGACTAAAATCAGTCTCCCCAAATATTCAAAAAGCAGAGTTTTTTGTTTTTTTCTCTTTTTTCAGAGATGGAGTCTCCCTCTGTTACCCAGGCTGGAGTGCAGTGAGGGAGCAGAGTTTATTTTATTTTATTTATTTTTTTGAGACAGAGTCTTGCTCTGTTGCCAGGCTGGAGTGCAGTGGCGCAATCTCAGCTCACTGCAACCTCCACCTCCCGGGTTCAAGCAATTGTTCTGCCTCAGCCTCCTGAGTAGCTGGGACTACATGCACCCGCCACCACGCCCAGCTAATTTTCTTTTTTTTTTAATTTTTAGTAGAGACGGGGTTTCGCCATGTTGGCCAGGCTGGTCTCGAACTCCTGACCTCAGGTAATCTGCCTGCCTCGGCCTCCCAAAGTGCTGGGATTACAGGCGTGAGCCACCGTGCCCAGTCTGTCATCTTTGTTTTAAACTATAAACTATAAACTGAGTTTCTCCCAAAGTTAGTCCAGCCTACGCCAAGGAATGAACAAGGACAGCTTGGAGGTTAGAAGCAAGATGGAGTCGATTCAGTTAGATTTCTTTGACTGTCTCAGTCATAATTTTGCAAAGGCAGTTTCAACAGTGTCTCCTTTCTCCAGGCAGTGAGTGTAAATAACTAATAAATGGCTGTCAGTCTCATCTGTCCCATGTCAGGCATGTGTTTGGCCATCTGCATAACACTAGGGCAAGAATCCCCCCCTCACCAATGTGGTGAAAGGTAGGTAATTGAAATAAGCAGTGGCTTTTGTCCTTCCTTCTCTGCCTTCCCACCACCCAGCATATCTAAGGGTGATGAGACACACTGTTAGAAACACTGTATCTGGGCCGGGCGCTGTGGCTCATGCCTGTAATCCCAGCACTTTGGGAGGCCGAGGCAGGCGGATCACTTGAGGTCAGCAGTTCGAGACCAGACTGGCCAACATGGCGAAATCCCATCTCTACTAAAAATACAAAAATTTGCCGGGTGTGGTGGCGCACGCCTGTAGTCCCAGCTACTCAGGAGGCTGAGGCATGAGAATGGCTTGAACCCTGGGAGTTAGAGGTTGCAGTGAGCTGAGATAGTGCCACTGCACTCCAGCCTGGGTGACAGAGTAAGACTCCATCTAAAAAAATAAATAAATAAATAAAATAAAAAAAGAAACACTGTATCTGTAGGCTAGTGGTTTTAACAGGAATCAGGGCAGCCCCATGCAGGATGGAGCATCTCTGTGTGTGTGTGATTATAAAGCTCCTCAGAGGCTGGGCATGGTGGCTTTGGAGGCCAAGGTGGGAGGATTGCTTGAGGCCAGGAGTTCAAGACCAGCCTGGGCAACATAGTGAAACTCCTGTCTCTAATTTTTGTATTTTTAGTAGAGATGGGGTTTCTCCATGTTGGTCAGGCTGGTCTCAAACTCCTGACCTCAGGTGATCCACCCACCTTGGACTCCCAGAGTGCTGAGATTACAGTTGTGAGCCACCTTGCCCAGCCTATTCCTTCACTTTCTTAATAAACTTGCTTTCACTTGGCTCTGTGGACTCACCCTGAATTCTCTTGTGTGAGATCCAAGAGCCCTCTCTTGGGGTCTGGATAGGGACCCCTTTCCGGTAACAGGGTGACCCAAACCTTCACTCCTGAAGAGTCTGGGCTGTTACTTTCAATGGCAAAAACCACAATTAATTTTCCACCAACCGAATACATTGGTAGTCCTGCCTGAATTGGGTTCTTTTTCCATTGACTTTGATCACAGGGCATGGTAGTGCTGATGGCAAATCTGAACCTGCTACAAAACCTGCTGACTCCCAGACCTGTAAAGAAGAAAAAGAAGTTTTGAGATTAGTCCATTATGTAGAATTGTTGTTGCAAAGACCAACTAATATAATCTATAGCTATACATAGATACAGAAATACTGTGGTCTCAAATACATAAAAAGTTCAAATACCAGTGCAAAGGAAAAAAAAAAAAAAAGACTTCAGAGAAAAATGCCTTGGTTGGGTTTGGAAGATGGATGGGTTGGTTGCCCAGATCAGAAATAGAAATCATATTGCCTTCAACAAAAATAACAACAGTGGAATCAATGGGCTCCCATTGCTGAAAAGTTCAGGGATAGATTTAGCTTCGAGCATAGTTGGATTCAGATGACTGAAGGACATTGTCAGGACACTGTCTGTATTTCTCCACTCAGATTTCATTCTCAGGCAGGCTCTCCCCTCATGGTGGCATCATAGACCCCGATCATTCCAGGCTTAGTTTTTTCAAGTTTATCCACACCGATGGAAAAAGCTCATCTCTTTCCTGCCAGCTTCATTCAAAATCCTGGCACTATCTGATTGGCTCAGTGTGGGTCGTTTACCCTTCAACCAATCTCAGAGGACAGGGGATGGGACTCTTCCAAGGGGAAAGCCTACCCCAGGAGCTAGAGATGCAATCAGTCTTGTCCAGCCACACGGAAGGAGGAAGGTAAAGTCAAGGGGGTGGGTGGTTTTCCAAGGGAGAATCAGGCCATTGCTTTCAGGAAAAAAAGGAAATATGGATGCTGCACAATTGAAAAACACTATCTAGGCCGGACGCAGTGGCTCACTCATGCCTGTAATTCCAGCATTTTGGGAAGCGGAGTCAAGAAGATGGCTTGAGCGGTCTTGAGTTCAAGACCAGCCTGGGCAGTGTGGCAAAACCCCATGTCTACTAAAAATATAAAAATTAGCCAGGCATGATGGTGTGCACCTGTAATCCCAGCTACTTGGGGGGCTGAGGTGGGACAATTGCTTGAGCCCGGGAGGTGGGGGTTGCAGTGAGCCAAGATTGCACCATTGCACTCCAGCCTGGGTGACAGAGTGAGACACTGTCTCTGAAACAACAATAACAACAAAACCAAAACCCCCCCAAACTATCTATTTATCACAATGGGTGATTTTATTTGTCTACGTCTTCAAGTTGTTCTTTTTTTTGAGATGGAGTCTCGCTCTGTTGCCCACATTGGAGGGCAATGGCCTCATCTCAGCTCACTGCAACCTCTGCCCCCCAGGTTCAAGCGATTCTCCCGCCTCAGCCTCCCGAGTAGCTGGGACTACAGGTGTGTGCCACCATACCTGGCTAATTTTTGTATTTTTAGTAGAGATGGGGTTTCACTGTTGGCCAGGCTGGTCTCGAACTCCTGACCTCATGTGTTCCACCTGCCTCGGCCTCCCAAAGTGCTGGGATTACAGGCATGAGCCACCAAGCCCTGCCCATCTTCAAGTTTTTAACTGATGAGTATGTTACTTCCATAATGAAATAAGTATTGTTAAAAACGAAAGATTTTCCCAGGATTCTCTTTTACTTTGCTCATGTATTCTTTATGGCTATGTCCTTGTGGGGAATGTGCACTTGGAGAGACCCTACGATCGAATGGGAGAAAACCTTCCCAGCTATGACCAACTGGCTTCCTAAATGGACACCAGATGTTTGAATTGTGGGCCTTTTATGGTTTTTGTTTTTTGAGACACAGTCTCACTCTTTTGTCCAGGCTGGAGTACAGTGGCGCCATCTCGGCTCACTGCAACCTCTGCTTCCCAGGTTCAAGCGATCCTCCTGCCTCACCCTCCTGAGTAGCTAGGATAACAGGCACGTACCACCACGCCCGGCTAATTTTTGTATTTTTAATAGAGACGGGGTTTCACTATGTTGGCCAGGCTGGTCTCAAACTCCTGACCTCAGGTGATCCACCCACCTCGGCCTCCCAAAGTGCTGGGATTACAGGTGTGAGCCACTGTGCCTGGCTGAATTAAGGGCCTTTTAGAGGAACCATGCATTTCTGTGCGGATCACTGGTTTCTAAACTAGGCACTTTTGCTCTTTAATTTCTTAATATGTGTGATGCCAAAATTCTGTGGTGATCTGCTGCTGGAAAGATACCTAACCCTGTGAATCTTAGTGATGCCTTGTGGGTGCTGTGGGAGCTCTCCAGGCAGAAAAGACAACTAGGCCCTAGAATTAGGAGATGATTGTCCTGATAAGAGTTAGGATGGAGCCTATTAATAACTTTCCAAATGGCTAACCCAATGCTGAAATTACCCAAGAAGCATTAAGAAAGCAATGTGTTTACAGCAAAGAGCTCTACAGAGGTAGTTGTTAGAGATGCTTGATTTTTTTTTGCCCTATTTATTTATTTTATTATTATTATTTTTTGAAATGGAGTCTTGCTCTGTCGCCCAGGCTGGAGTGCAGTGGCGCGATCTTGGCTCACTGCAACCTCTGTCTCCCGGGTTCAAGCGATTCTCCCGCCTCAGCCTCCTGGAGTAACTGAGATTACAGGCACCCGCCACCATGCTGGCTAATTTTTGTATTTTTGTAGAAATGGGGTTTCACCCTGTTGGCCATGCTGGTCTCCAACTCTTGACCTTAGGTGATCCACCTGCCTCGGCCTCCCAAAGTGCTGGGATTACAGGCGCCTGGCCTTTTTTGCCCAATTAAAAAAAGTTTTTTATTTTGTTTAATAATTTTTTAGAGACAGGGTCTTGCTCTTTCATCCAGGCTAGATGCAGTGGTGCGACCACAGCTCACTGCAGCCTCAAACCCCTGGTCTCAAGGGATCCTCCCGCCACAGCTTCCCAAGTAGCTGAGACTACAGACACAAGCCACCATGCCTGGCTAATTTTTGTTTTTAAATGTATTTATAAAGATAGTGTCTCACTGTGTTGCCCAGGCTGGTCTTCAACTCCTGGCCTCATCCTCCTGAGTAGCCTGAGACTACAGGTGCAAGCCACCATGCCCGGCCTACCCATTTAGAAAAAAAAAAAAAAAAAAAAAAACCCATAGTAAAAATACACATAAATAAAATTTACTACCCTCTCCATTTTAAAGTGGACAGTTCAGTGGCATTAAGTACATTCTCATTGTTGTGCAATCATCAACACCATCTGTCTCCAGAGCTCTTTTCTTCTTGTAAAACTGAAACGACTCACCGGGCGTGGTAGCTCACGCCTGTAATCCCAGCACTTTGGGAGGCTGAGGCGAGCGGATCATCTGAGGTCAGGAGTTCGAGACCAGCCTGGCCAGTATGGTGAAACCCCATCTCTACTAAAAATACAAAAATCAGCTGGGCATGGTGGTGGGGCGCCTGTAGTCCCAGCTACTCAGGAGGCTGAGGCAGGAGAATTGCTCGAACTCGGGAGGTGGAGGTTGCAGTGAGCTGAGATCGCGCCACTGCACTCCAGCTTGGCGACAGAGCGAGACTCCATCTCAAAAAGAAAAAAAAAGAAACAAACAAACAACAAACTGAAACAACTCATTTATTTTTGCGAAACTGAAATTCTGTCCCCATTAAACACTCCTGATGCATCCCTCCCTTATTCCCAGCCCCTGGCAACCACCATCCCACTTTCTGTCTCTATGAATTTCACTACTCTAAGGCCTCATGGAATAATATAACATTTGTCTTTTTGTGACTTACTTCCCTGAGCATATATAGAAATGTATGCGCTCCTACATTATTCATGGTAGTATAAATTAATGCAATCTTCCTGGAGAAAAATTGGAGATAGCTACTAATAGGCTTTGGCCTGGAAATCTTATTGCTAGGTATTTACTCTCCAGAGAGAGTTTGCCAAGATATAGGGTTGAAGATATTATCTTTTTTTTTTTTTTTTTTTTTTGAGACGGAGTGTTGCTCTGTCACCCATGCTGGAGTGCATTGGCACGATCTTGGCTCACTGCAACCTCCACCTCCTGGGTTCAAGCGGTCTTCCTGCCTCAGCCTCCTGAGTAGCTGGGATTACCGGCGTGTGCCAACATGCCTGGCTAATTTTTGTCTTTTTAGTAGAGACGAGTTTTCATTATGTTGGTGAGGCTGGTCTCGAACTCCCGACCTCAGGTGATCCATCTGCCCCGGCCTCCCAAAGTGCTGGGATTATAGGCGTGAGCCACCACACCCGGCCGGGTTGAAGATATTTTCTGTAGCCTTATTTGAAATAGCCCAAAACTGGAAAGTGTCCCTCATTTGGGGATTGATTTGAACAAATTAAGACACAGTGTTAGTATTACAATACTAATGCAGTTATTAAGAAGAAAGACATAGACCTGGGTAGAGTGTAATATTTTGGAAAGATCTCCACTATATATTACTATGTGAAAATGTGCAAGTTGCAGAACCATTGGCTGAGGGTGGTTTTGCAGAAGTTATTAGCATCAAAATGGAGTCACTTACATCAAATCCTAACACAATGGACCCAGGAGGCCATGAAGAGGCAGCCCTGGAGCATGTATGCCCATGCTAAGGACATCCAAAGAATTTTTCAGAGCTGTGATATTCCAGATAAGCTACTTGCTTTTATAAATAAATAAATAAATAAATAAATAAATAAATTAATTAATTTATTTATTTATTTTTGAGATGGAGTCTCACTCTGTCACCCAGGCTGGAGGGCAGAGGTACAATTTCAGCTCACTGCAACCTCTGCCTCCTGGGTTCAAGCGATTCTCCTGCCTCAATCTCCCGAGTAACAGGGACTACAGGTGCCCGCCACCACGCCTGGCTAATTTTTGTATTTTTAGTAGAGACGGGGTTTCACCATATTGGCTAGGCTGGTCTTGAACTCCTGACCTCGTGACCCACCCGCCTCGACTTCCCAAAGTGCTGGGATTACAGGCGTGAGCCACTGCGCCCGGCCCAGATAAGCTACTTGTGCAAGGACAGCTGCCTGAGTGACAAGTGTTTCCGTGTCCACCAATGAACTAATAAACTCCCGCAACAAGCTCCTGCAACCAATGGTCTTTGTTTCAAAACAGTTCATTTGGGCCTTTCCTATTTTTCTTTTTTTAAAAAATTAAATTAAATTAAATTAAATTTATTATTATTTTTTATTTTTTTAATTTTTTTTTTCTGAGACAGAATCTTGCTCTGTCACCCAGGCGGGAGTGCAATGGCACGATCTCGGCTCACTGCAACCTCTGTCTCCCTGGTTCAAGCAATTCTCCTGCCTCAGCCTCCTGCATAGCTGGGATTACAGGCTCGCGCTACTACGCCCAACTAATTTTTGTATTTTTAGTAGAGACGGGGTTTCACCATGTTGGCCAGGCTGGTCTCAAACTCCTGACCTATTCATCCACCCACCCGGCCTCCCAAAGTGCTAGGATTACAGGTGTGAGCCACCGTGCCCAGACTTAAATTTTATTTTTTTTAAAGAGACAGGGTTTCTGTCACCTTGGCTGGAGTACATGGCATGATTATAGCTCTCTGCAGCCTCGACCTCCTGGGCTTAAGTGATCCTCCCACCTTAGCCTCCCTAGTCATTGCGATTGAAGGCCTGAGCTACCACGCCTGGCTCTTTTTTTTCTTTCGAAAGTTTCCCCTGCCCTAACCTCTTTGGATGCTCCTACGGTGGGCCATAGCATGCGGATCTCAGATTGTAATCCCCTGCTATTCCTGAATAAATTCTTTGTTGTCTGGTAACGGTGGCTCACGCCTATAATCCCAGCACTTTGGGAGACTGAGACGGGTAGATCACGATGTCAGGAGTTCGAGACCATCCTGGCCAACATGGTGAAACCCCGTCTCTACTAAAAATACAAAAATTAGCCGGACATGGTGGCACACGCCTGTAGTCCCAGCTACTTGGGAGACTAAGGCAGGAGAGTCACTTGAACCTGGGAGGCAGAGGTTGTAGTGAGCTGAGATCGTGCCACTGAACTCTAGCCTGGGCAACAGAGCAAGACTCCATCTCAGAAAAAAAAAATTCTTTCTTAAAGAGAGTTGATCTCTCTGTTGCTTATTTCAGATTGACAGTTCCTTTTAAATAAATAATAAAATTAAAGGCGCATCTAGATAGATCCATATGGAAAAGAGTATGGAGGTTTCTCAAAGAACTAAAAATAGAACTACAATTTGATCCAGCAATCTCACTACTGAATATCTACCCAAAGGAAAATAAATCATTATATTAAAAGGGTACCTGCACCTGTATGTTTACTGAAGTACTATCCACAATAGCAAAGATGAAGAATCAACCTAGAGGTCCATCCATGGATAATTGGATAGTGAAAATGTGGTACATATACACCATAGAATACTATTCGATGATAAAAAAATAATGGAATCATGTCTTTTGCAGCTACATAGATGGAACCAGAGGCCATTATGTTAAGTGAAACAAGTTAGACATAGAAACACAAATACCACATGTTCTCACTCATAAGCAGGAGCTAAATCATGCCAACATATGGACTTAGAGAGTGGAATGATGGGCAAGGGAGACTCAGAAGGGGTGGGAGGGTGGTGGGTTATGAAAAATCAATGGGTGCAAAGTATGTTATTGAGGTGATGGTTACCCTAAAAGCTCTGACTGCACTGCTATGTAATCTATGCATGTAACAAAATTGCACGTATGTCCCATACATTTAATTATTTTTATTTTATTTTTTATTTTTTTATTTTTTTTTGAGATGGAGTTTCACTCATGTTGCCCAGGCTGGAGTGCAATGGCACGATCTCAGCTCACTGCAACCTCTGCCTCCCGGGTTCAAGTGATTCTCCTGCCTCAGCCTCCTGAGTAGCTGGGATTAGAGGCACCCGCCACCACACCTGACTAATTTTTGTATTTTTAGTAGTGACGGGGTTTCACCATGTTGGCCAGGCTAGTCTTGAACTGACCTCAAGTGATCCACCCGCCTCAGCCTCCCAAAGTGCTAGGATTACAGGTGTGAGCCACCACGCCTGGCTTCCATTGTTCCTTTAAATAGAATTTCTGACGTTAGAAACATAAGGCTTTTGTTTTAGGATTCCTTAAACAATCAGACCCTGATTTCCAGCAAAACAGCTGATGCCAACCCGTTTGAAGACCCCCACAGAGGAATAGGATCAGCAGAAGACGTCAGTGTCTTCATCTTCCAGTCACATGACTTCATCCTGCATTCTTCAACCAGCGAATGATTTCCACACTTCAGCCCCTCCAACACCCTTAAAAACCCTAGCCCCGGCCGGGCACGGTGGCTCACGCCCGTAATCCCAGCACTTTGGGAGGCTGAGGTGGGTGGATCACCTGAGGTCAGGAGTTCAAGACCAGCCTGACCAACATGGTGAAGCCCAGTCTCTACTAAAAATACGAAAATTAGCCAGGCATGATGGCACACCTGTAATCCCAGCTACTCGGGAGGCTGAGGCAGTAAATCACTTGAACCGGGGAGGTGGAGGATGTAGTGAGCCGAGATCATGCCACTGCACTCCAGCCTGGGCGACAGAGCAAGACTCCATCTCAAAAAAAAAAAAAAAACCAAAAAACAAAAAGCAAAAAAAAAAAAACAAAAAACCCTAGCCCCAAACTCCTTGGGGAGATGGATTTGAGGTACCCTCCCAACTCCTCATTCAGCTGCCCTACAGTTAAACGTCTTTCTGTGCTGCAACCCAGTGTCTTGGCATATTCACTTGCTGTGTGCATGAGGCAGTGGGCCTATTATGGTTACAAGATGTGAGTCCACGATTATCACCACTGGAATGTGTTCAGAAGCAATGCATGCCTGCTGCAGGGGCCAAGGAGAAATTTCCCTGTCACCCTTTGAAGTTTCACTGAAAAATCAAGTCACTGAAGGCAGATTAATTGGAGAAAAGGCATACACATTTCTTTGATCATAGTTTTACATGACACGGATGCCTTCAGAATGAAGACCCAGAGATACAACGGAAACTTTTTTTCTTTTTTTTTGAGACAGAGTCTCGCTCTGTCGCCCAGGCTGGAGTGCAGTGGTGCAATCTCAGCTCACTGCAAGCTCCACCTCCCGGGTTCACACCATTCTCCTGCCTCAGCCTCCCGAGTAGCTGGGACTACAGGTGCCCGCCACCATGCCCGGCTATTTTTTTGTATTTTTAGTAGAGATGGGGTTTCACTGTGTTAGCCAGGATGTTCTTGATCTCCTGACCTTGTGATCCACCCATCTCGGCCTCCCAAAGTGCTGGGATTACAAGCATGAGCCACTGCGCCCAGTGGAAACTGTTTTTATGCTTAGGTTCCACAGAGTATGGACAGCTGTGCAGAAACATGATTGGAAATACAGGGTCTGATCTAATGGTAATAGACCGAGTGGAGAAATCTGGCAAGGTCTGTCTATCTAGATTCTTCTTGGCTTTTCTGTGAAGCATTATTTCCTTCTGGGTAAGGTAGAAGGCAGGACTCAACTCTGGAGGTGGGACTTGGACACTGGACCAGATTGAAGACTAGCTAAAACAGGGAAGAGGCAAAAGCACCTCTCCACAAGACATGCCCACTAGTGAGCCATGTCAACTTACCATTGCCATGGTAACACCTAGAAGTTACCATCCCTTTCCTTAGCAATGATCTGATGACCTGGAAGTTACCATCACTTTTCTAGACATTTTTGTATAATCCACCCCTTAATTTACACATAATTAAAAGTGGGTTATAAATATGCCTGCAGCACTGCCTCTGAGCTGCTGCTTTGGGTACACTGCCTATGGGGCGGCCCCGTTCCACAAGGAGCAATACCTCCACAGCTGCTGTGCACTGCTGCTTCAGTAAAAGTGACTAACACCTCTGGCTCATCCTTGTATCCTTTCCAGGCTGAAGCCAAGAACCCTCCCAGGCTAAGCCCCAATATTGGGGCTCAACTGCCCAGCATCCTGGCTATGGGCTAAGACCCTCTCTGGAATGGAGGTCTTATGACCTACAGTCAAACAGGGTGGGTCAGATAATTTCTTTATGGCCAGTTTTTACACAAAAAGGCAGAGAAAAAGAGTCATATTTTTAGGTCTTATGGCTGGCTTTGGGAAAAAAGGGGTTGTGGTTCTATGACCCACCTTGGGGAAGAGGGATTCTAGTTTCTATGGCTAGCCTCAGGGGAGCATGGGACTGAGAGACAGGTGGTCAGGAGAAGATCAGAGAAAAACTTTTGCTCTGGGGCCCTCATTTTGGGGCATTGTTTGTGAGTCCTTACTTGCTCACTGCCTTACTTGCTGTATCAGTTAGTTATTGCCACAAAAATGCTGTGTAACAAACCATCCCAAAACTCAGGGGCTTAAAACAACAATCATCTATTTTCACTTACTTCTGTGTGTTGTCTGATCTCAGCTGAGTTTTGTTCCACATGTGTCTCATTCTCCTCCTAGGACCAATGGGCTAGTCTGGGCATGTCCTCCTCGTGATGATGGCAGGGGCAAGTGGCGACATTCAAGGCTTCTTGAGTCCCAGTGTGATGGTTAATTTTATGTCAACTCGACTGGGCAAAGGGGTGCCCAGATTAAACATTTTTTCTGAGTGTGTCTGTGACAATGCTTCTGATTAATAGCATTAGCCTGCCGGGTGTGGTGGCTCACACCTATAATACCAGCACTTTGGGAGGCCGAGGCGGGTGGATCACCTGAGGTCGGGAATTCAAGACCAGCCTGACCAACATGGAGAAACCCCTTCTCTACTAAAAATACAAAATTAGATGGGCGTGGTTGTGCATGCCTGTAATCCCAGCTACTCGGGAGGCTGAGGTGGGAGAATTGCTTGAACCCAGGAGGCAGAGGTTGCAGTGAGCCGAGATCGTGCCATTGCACTCCAGCCTGGGCAATAAGAGAGAAATTCTGTCTCAATTAAAAAAAAAATACCATTAGCCTTTGTTTTCTTTTGAGACAGGGTCTCACTCTGTTGCCCAGGCTGGAGTGCAATGGTATAATCATAGCTCACTATAGCCTTGACCTTCTGGGTTCAAATGATCCTCCCACCTCAGGCTCCCAAATAGCTGGGACCACAGGTGTGTGCTACCATGCCTGGCTAATTTGTATTTATTTTTTGTAGAGATGGGGTCTTGCTATGTTGCCCAGTCTGGTCTCAAACTCCTTGGTTCAAGTGATCCTCATGCCCCAGCCTCCCAAAGTGTTGAGATTACAGGCATGGGCCACTATGCCTGGCCTGATTGAGAGTATTAGTGAAGTGGCATTATTCGCCTGGGGTAATACCCAAGGTTCACTGCTTCACACCAAGGAAATCAAGGATGTGGACACACAAGGAGTGAGGTTAAGAGTAGAGGTTTAATAGGCGAAAGAAAGAGAAAAATCTCTCTCCTGCAGAGAGAGAGGGGCTCCTAAGCAGGGCTTCCTGTTTGTGGCAAAGTACAGGATGTTTAATAGATGAGCTTGAGGAAGTGATGTCTGATTTACATAGGGCATGAAGGATTGGTCAGACCAGGTATGCCATTTGCATAGCATGTGAAGACCCGGATTGGACTACGGGTGCCGTTTGCATAGTGCACAAAGAAGCTGGCCTCACCACCCTAATGTTTTATTATGCAGATGGGTTCTCTACCTGGCCAGCACCATGTTGCCTGCTTTTCTACTGCACATGTGGTGACAAAGAAAAGGGAAGATGGAGCCTCCATGTTGAACATGCCAGGTAGCCCTTTTCTATTGGCACAGCTGCTGGCATTCACCTGTGCAAGCTTCCAGCTTGCTTATCTATGTTTGCAGCTCAAAGTTTCAGGCTGCTCTTTGTTAGAAAAGAAATTATTTGGGGGCTGCTTTTTGTTAAAAGGGTAATTCTGCTGAGGACTCTCTTACCCTCACTGTCTGCCTAAATAATTTCTTTTTAGCTCCTGTATCATTAGCGTTTGAATCACTGTACTCAGTAAAGCAGGCTGCCATCATCCCCAGTTGGGTGGATATCATCCAATCTGTTGAGGGCCTGAGTAGAACAAAAGATGGAGGAAGGAGAATTTTGCCTCTTTTACTGCTTTATTGCTTGAGCTGGGACATATCATCTTATCTTCTCTGGTCCCTAGACGAGGATTTATATCATTGGCTACACTGGTTCTCAGGCCTTTGGGAGTCAAACTGAATGACACCACTGACTTTTCTGGATCTCCAGCTTGGAGATGGCAGATTGTATGACTTCTCAGCCTCCATAATCACGTGAGCCAATACCTCCTGATAAATCTATCTTTCCCTCTGGCTCTCTCCCTGTCTCTGTCTCGTGTATCTTTACTATACTACTGGTTCTATTTCTCTGACTAATATACCTAGGCTCAAAAATGACACACTGTCAGTTTTGTGGTTTTTAAAATTATTGTCCAAAGCAAGTCGTATAACGAAATCCAAAGTCAAGAGGTGAGACCATATGTTTTGCTCATAATAAGAGTATTGCAAAGTTACACAGCCAAAGGTGGGGATACAGGGAAGGGCAATGATATGAGAACATTTTTGGGGGCAGGCATGGTGGTGTGCACCTGTGGTCTCAGCTACTCAGGAGGCTGAGGTGGGAGGATTGCTTGCGCCAGGAGTTTGAGGCTGCAGTGAGCTATGATCACGCCGCTGCACTCCAGCCTGGTTGACAGAGCAATACCCTATCTCAAACGAAACAAAACAAAGCAAAAACCAACCCCAACCCCAAACCACAAAACCCAACCATGCCCCAAGTTAGGGGCATAAAATAGAAACCAGTTTATGTGCTATCAGATTCTATGGGTCAGGAATTCAGAATGGATGCAGAAAAAGATGCCTTGATTTTGCTGCATAGTGCCTGGGTCTCTACTGGGAATATTCAAGGTTGAGGCGACTCAACAACTGGAGGCTGAAATCATCTGAAGGTTGCTCATTCCCATGTCTGGTAGTTGATGCTGACTGTCAACTGGACCTCAGCTGGGGCTGTTGGTCAATACATACCATTTGCATCCAACCCATTAATCTGTAATGTGAGAGAGATTTGGAGTATGAATGATTCTAGCTAGCACACATACACACAAGTCACAATATGTCTATGTGTTTTCTAGGCCCTTGAAGGGAAAAAAGTCAAGTTTTAAAACTTACCAAAACAAAACAAATTATTTATGCAATTCAAGGAGAGAGGTCTGAGAAGGAACCAATCTAGCTGGTACGTTGATTTTGAACTTCCAGCCTCCAACCCTGTGTGAAAATAAATTCTTGTTGTGTAAGCCACCCAATCTATGGTATTTGGTGATGGAGGCCCCAGCAAACGAATACATATGGGTCACAGGTCCTAGAATCGTACATTCAATGAATTCTACAGTTTCAGGGAACCATAGGGACCCCTTTTTTTGATGAAATTACATGATTCTGTCCTGCTGCTAGTTGATGATACTTGGAACTGGAAACCAGATCTTTGGAGGCTAAATTCATTTAGTATCCTTTCTGTTCCTCCTAGAAGAAGAGCTCATGAGTTTATATGAATGAAATTTTGGGTCTACACAAAGATCTCTTGAACTCATTGGACTGTGTTTTAACTTCCCGACATTAGCAACCGTTGGCTGAAGGTCATGGCTTATGGTGTTAGCCAACAGGAAACTTGCATGGGTCCAGTTTACACAGCAAAGCTATTATTTTGACCCAGCAAGAATTTCAAGCAGTACATCCTACAGTGAGATGACAGGGTCCAGCTTCCCCAGTGGTAAGTATTTTTGAAAGAGTAGAGACCAAGCCAGCTGTTCTGGCTAAGATAGCACCTCTCATAGGTTCAGTTGCTTTTAATAATCAATTATGCAAGTAACAGCTGAATAGTTCTTAACAACTTGCCTTGCTGACAAAGCCACTCTGTGGTTTATATTCAGCTCATTATTATCATTATTATTTTTTGAGACGGAGTTTTGCTCTTGCTGCCTAGGCTGGAGTGCAGTGGCGCAATCTTGGCTCACTGCAACCTCTGCCTCCTGGGTTCAAGCGATTATCCTGCCTCAGCCTCAGAGTAGCTGGGATTACAGGCTCATGCTACTATGCCCAGCTAATTTTTTAAAACATATTTTTGGTAGAGACAGGGTTTCACCATATTGGCCAGGCTGGTTTCGAACTTCTGATCTCAAGTGATCCGCCCACCTTGGCCTCCCAAAGTGCTAGGATTACAGGTGTGAGCCACCATGCCCAGCCCCAACTCATTAATTTGTATTGTGTTTGAGGGGGATTTGAGGTATGAATGATCCTAGGTAGCATACACAGACAAGTCAAAATATGGCTTTGTTCTTGTTAGGTCTTTGAAGAGAAAAAGCCAAGCTAATCCCGGCACTTTGGGAGGCCGAGGCAGGCGGATCATCTGAGGTCAGGAGTTTGAGACCAGCCTGGCCAACATGGTAAAACCAGGTCTCTACTAAAACTACAAAAATCAGCTGGGCATGGTGGCACACACCTGTAATTCCAGCTACTCGGGAGGCTGAGGCAGGAGAATTGCTTGAGCCGGGAAGATGGAGGTTGCAGTGAGCTGAAATCGTGCCACTGCACTCCAGCCTTGAATTTCCTCCCGAGTAGCTGGGACCACAGGTGTGTGCCACCATGCTTGGCTAATTTTTTGTATTTTAGTAGAGACGGGGTTTCACCATGTTGGCCAGGCTGGTCTCGAACTCCTGATCTCAGGTGATCCACCTGCCTTAGCCTCCCAAAGTAGTGGGATTACAGGCGTGAGCCACCGCGCCCAGCCTAACACAATGAATATATTTTATTATATTTAAAAAAAAATTTAGTGAGAAGAGTGGCGTTGCTTTACATATTTACAAATTTCTTTACTGTCTGGTTTAATAGAAGACTGCTTTATTCTCACAGCTGCTACACACACTCTGTTGTGATACATTGTTTTGGTTGAAGACTCAAGAAAATCTACATACATGTAGTTGATGAAGGGAGGAAATTATTTCAATATTTCAGAAAATTCAGGAATTACTCTTTGATACTACACCAAAACTCAAAAACTGGAAGTTTCTTAAAGATCAGTTGCTCCGAGAAATCTGAATCCATTTTAATCAGTTCTGTTTCATTAAAATCCATTGGTTTACCTTGTACTTTGTTTGTTTGTTTGAGATGGAGTCTTGCTCTGTCATCCAGGCTGGAGTGCAGTGGCACGATCTCAGCTCACTGCAACTTCTGCCTCCCAGGTTCAAGCGATTCTCCTGTCTCAGCCTCCTGAGTAGCTGGGATTACAGGCGCCTGCCACCATGCCCAGCTAATTTTTGTATTTTTAGTAGAGATGGGGTTTCACCATGTTGGTCAGGCTGGTCTCGAACTCCTGACCTCAAGTGATCCTCCCGCCTTGGCCTCCTGAAGTGCTGGGATTACAGGCATGAGCCACCGCACCCAGCCTAATTGAAAACTTTTTAAGAGGGGGTCTGGCCATGTTGCCCATGCTGGAGTGCAGTGGCTCTTCACAAGCACAATCATGGTGTGCTGCAGCCTTGAACCCCTGGGTTCAAGGGATCCTCTCACCTCGAGTAGCTGAGACTACAGGTGTGGACCACTGCAACTTTAAGTGAAGTTGTCCCTCCCTCCTTCCTTCCCCCCTCCCCCTCCTTCCCTCTCTCCCCCTCCTTCCCTCCCTCCCTTCCTTCCCTCCTTCCCTCCCCCCTCCCTCCCTCCCTCCCTTCCTTCCTTCCCTCCTTCCCTCCCTCCCTCCCTCCCTCCCTTCCTTCCTTCCTTCCCTCCTTCCTTCATTCCTTCTTCCCTTCCTTCCTCACTGTGAGTGCATGGTATGAAAAAAACAATTACTAGTACAATATTGTAATACTGCATTGATTCCTGCTAAGGCACCAGCAGTTTTCCCCACCATTCCTTTGGTACCAACAGTGCAAATGACAACACAGAGAAAAAGGAAAATCAGGTCTTAATATTACTACAAACGGAGGTGTGCTGGTAAATGTTTAACTATTTTCTCATGGAAAGGGGAGGGAAAAAAGCTCTGCATGCCAATTTCCATGGTGTAAATACTTCTTCCATGGCCAATTTCAAGCTATCAACTGGCTCGCACCAGTGCCTGAACATTTTAACAATTGGTTTCTTCTAGCTGATAGAAATAGGTCTCAGTACACCACTGGATCTCATGGATTCTCAAAAGGGTCTTAGGTTTAAGGGTTCACAGAATACACTTTGAAGAACAGTTGATTTAGAGATAAATACTTCAGATATTCATTTGGGAAGATGGGAGGAAACCACGCCTTTTTTTTTTTTTTTTTCTTTTTGAGATGGAGTCTCACTCTGTTGCCCAGGCTGCAGTGCAGTGGCATGATCTCAGCTCACTGCAAACTCTGCCTCCTGTGTTCAAAAGATCCTCCCACCTTAGCCTTCCGAGTAGCTGGGATTACAGGCAGACAACACCATACCTGGCTAACTTTTGTATTTTTAGTGGAGACACGGTTTTGCCATGTTGGCCAGGCTGGTCTCAAACTCCTGACCTCAGGTGATCTGCCCCCCTTGGCCTCTCAAAGTGTTGGGATTACAGGCATAAGCCACTGTGCTCGGCCAACACATTTTAAACAAGGTTTACTGGACATTTTTTTTTTTTGAGACGGAATTTCACTCTTGTTGCCCAAGCTGGAGTGCAATGGTGCCATCTTGGCTCACTGCAACCTCCGCCTCCCAGGTTCAAGCAATTCTCCCACCTCAGCCTCCTGAGTAGCTGAGATTACAGGTGAGCAACACCACACCTGGCTAATTTTTGTGTTTTTAGTAGAGACGGGGTTTCACCACGTTGGCCAGGCTGGTCTCGAACTCCCAACCTCAGGTGATCTGCCCGTCTCGGCCTCCCAAAGTGCTGGGATTACAGGCATGAGCCACTGTGCCCGGCCAACACATTTTAAACAAGGTTTTCTAGACATCTAATCTTGATTAATTATGTTCTGAAAACAGTCAATACTGAAAACAGTGGAAAGGACACTGGAAGGGGATTACATGACGTTGTCTTTGCCTTGGCTCTCATGCTAATGGTGGATGTGGTGGATGTGGGTTGGTTACCCTCTGGGGTAGACTGGAACCTTGACCTGTATGAGTCAGGGCAGGGATGTGACATTGACTCTGGCCATTGAGATGTAGAGTAAATGTAGCGGCCATTGTCATGCCCTGCCCAGATCCCCTCTGATCCCTTTACCAGTTCTGCGTGTTTTGCTGCTGACGTCCAGCCTCTGTGGCCATCACAGGGTTGCCTTTGGACACGGGGACCTCCTTGCCTGCACAGAGACTGGGGAATGCCTGTGTATTTGCGTCTTCTCTGGGGGCACCTATAGCCAGGAGCTAACTCCTTTTTTCTCCAGGTGGGACATTTGGCTTTGGATAACGTCAATTCAGCTAAGCTGGAAGAACATTTCTCCCTTCTCTCTTCCCTGTAAAGTTCTGGGTTAGAGTTGGCTAGAAGAATAACCTGCACAAGATTTGGAAGATGGATGTAAAGCAATGACCCTAGTTTTTAATCTTCCTGGAGGTGTCAGGCATGGCGGCAGCACACACACACATTGCTGCAGAGCTGTTGGCTCTTCTCCAGCTCTTGCCAGATCTCTTTCATCTTCCCTGAGAACTAGGCCAAGTGAACACGCAGCTCCAAGGTGAAGGATGACAGCTTCACCTGCAGGTCACTCACGACATTGAGGTTGCAGGTGGTGCGAGACAGACGCAAGTCCCTCGTGGGTTCTGCTCCTCCCTGCTCTTGTGCACAGCTAGTGTTCCCTCCTGACGGATGGGCTGGCTGACCTAGAGTGATTGCAGACCCAGTACCAGACCAAGGGCCACAGTCTGCTCCACTAACTCACTATTGCACAAGGTCAAATCCCATAATAAATTCCCCGTTCTAGATCACTCACAGTGGTTCTGCTTCTCTGATTGAGAGACACCATGGGACAGTCTCCAAGATGGAATTTAAGCTGTGGAGCTCTCTATGGGGGAGGGGTTAGGCTGGAACTTCCTCTCCGTGTCTTGTCTTCTTCCCTTTCCTTGTTCTGCTTCCTTTATTCCCTTCATGGTTTCTTCTGGAACAAACCTTCTCAATAAACCCTTTGCATCAGGATGCTTATTTTAGACTAGACTCTACATTGGGAGAACTTGACCCATGATAAAGAAGTCTGCTGGAGGGCTCTTGAAGATGCAGATTTATTCCTTGTTAAAAGGCAAGAGCAGGCCGATGCAGTGGCACAGGCCCGTAATCCCAGCACTTTGGGATGCCAAGGCAGGCGGATTGCTTGAGCCCAGGAGTTCGGTACCAGCTTGGTCAACATGGCGAAACCCCCATCTCTACAAAAAATTACAAAAATTAGCCAGACCTGGTGGTGGGCACTTTTAGTCAGCTACTCAGGAGCCTGAGGTGAGAGAATCACCTGAGCTGAGGAGGTCGAGGCTGCAGTGAGCTGAGATCATGCCACTTCACTCCAGCCTAGGTGACGGAGTGAGACCCTGTCTCATACAAAAAAAAAAAAAAAAAGTAAATAAATAATACAAAATTGGCCAGGCAGCCCGCCTGTAATCCCAGCACTTTGGGAGGCCGAGGCGGGCAGATCACCTGAGGTCAGGAGCTCGAGACCAGTCTGGCCAACATGGTGAAACCCTGTCTCTACTAAAAATACAAAAAATTAGCTGGGTGTGGTGGTGTGCACCTGTAATCCCATCTACTCAGGAGTCTGAGGCAGGAGGATCACGTGAACCCGGGAGGCGGAGGTTGCAGTGAGCCGAGATCGCACCACTGCACTCCAGCCTGGGTGACAGAGTGAGACTGTGTCTCAAAAAATAAAAATAAACATAAAATAAATTTTTTTTTAAAATTTTATTTTTAATTGACAAATAATTGTACATGATACATACGATGTATAGTGATTAGATCAGGGATAATCAGTATATTAATCATTTCAAATATTTATCATTTCTTTGTGTTGGGACGGTCACTATCCTCCTTCTAGCTATTGGAAACTATACATAATTGTTAGCTATAGTCATCCTACAGTGGTATAGAACACTAGAACTTACTCCTCCTTTCCAGCTGTAGCAGCCACCTTTGAGACTATGAAGTGATTAAATTTAAGGAGGAAAAGCAATATAGTGAGGATGGTGGGTGAAAGAAGGAGAGAAGAATGGCTTTTTAATTCATTTATTTATTTTTTTGAGACAGTCTGGCTCTGTCGCCCAGGCTGGAGTGCAGTGGCATGATCTTGGCTCACTGCAACCTCTGCCTCCCGGGTTCAAGTGATTCTCCTGCCTCAGCCTCCTGAGTAGCTGGGATTACAGGCACCCGCCACCATGCCTGGCTAATTTGTGTATTTTTGGTGGAGACAGGGTTTCACCATGTTGGCCAGGCTGGCCTCGAACTCCTGATCTCAAGTGATCCACCCGCCTTGGCCTCCCAAAGTGCTGGGATTACAGACAAGCCACTGCCCGTGCCTGAGAATGGCTTTTTAAAAAATGGCTATCATCTACCTCCATACTTTTCGCTTTGTGAGAAAACTGAAGTCCTATTTATTTAAGCCACTCTTACTCAGGTTATTGGTAACCTACAGATGACAACATTCCTAATTAACCCACTTTCCATGAATGTCTTCCAATATTTTCCCTTTCTTGCTGTTTTTCACTTGGGACTCCATCTATTTCTAGGGAAGTGAGTTTTGCCTTAGCTTCCGGGTAGACCATGTGACCAGTTTAGGCCAATCAGCATACCCCATCTACCTTCATTGGCTCAGAGGTGGTCATGTGATATGGACTGGGCCAATCAGAGTGAATCTCAGGATGGAGGTAGTGTATATCCATCTCCGGTTGTGAACAAGGGGCGTGAAGTTGCAGAAGGTCCTCCTGGCAGTCATCTTGTGAGCCAACACATCAAACCTCTTTTGAAAGCACATCCTACTTTTTATTTATTATATTCTTCATGTGAGCTGATAATTTTCTTTAATGTTTAATTCAGTTTGGGATTTTAGTTATTCACAACTAGAAGCATCCCATATGATGCAGTGGAAACTAATTTTTAACTTAAATGAAATAGCTTAAATTAATTTTTAATTGACATGAGCCTCAGTTTTCTCATGTGTAAAATGCATTAGAGGCAAGAGGTCTCTGCTTGCCTCCTAGTGTTATCCTGCAGATTAAGTGAAATAAAGTATTTTCGAATATTTGGAAAACTATGAAGTAAGCAGAAGGTATTTATGAAAATTAATATAAGCCAAAGGCTGTCAGACAAGGGTCAGGAGTGGGTACGGTGAGGCAGGGAAAAAAGGAACACAACATCCTGTTTTCCCGTAGAGATAGATAAACAGCAGCATGAGCATGCATATTGGAGTATGCACGCCTGACTCACAAATCCAAAAATAAGTCATAAGACGCTATATGGAGAGATTAACTATAAATATAGCAATATTAGCTGTGAGTGACAAGCCCAATTAGAGGACATAGAGATGATTTAGAAGGTCTCCATGCAGTGCATCTTGAAGAGCTATAAAAATACTTGATGTTTACAGCTTAAGAAAGAGATGAAAATTAAGGGGAGATCGTTTATGATCTGATTATGTATCCACTCTATAGGAGGAATGGTCGGCACCTGGCCTTCCCCTACCTCATCCTTGGTCAGCACACTCTGGCCTAATTTCCAGTGGCCAGCACCTGCATTCATTTGTTTGAGGACTGTCTCTGGTCTTTGGGGTACACATTATGATCTACACAGTTGGGCCAGAAATGCTAGAGATTTAATGTCCTCCATGAGTGGCTGTCAATCAGTGACTGGTAGGAAGGTGGAGGATAAATATCCCAGCTCCCTCACTCCTCTGCTGGGCAATTCTGAGATCTGTATTCTATGTTGTCTCCTAGAGGTCACCAGTAGATTGAGCGTCAGTTGCCCACAGTGGTAACTTGCTTGATGCTTGTTGTTTTCCTTCCCTGTGTCACTTTATCTTCCCATACTGAGTCTCCTGGAACTGACTCTAAAATAAACAACTTTCACTTGAATCATGTCTCAAGGTCAGCTTCTGAGGGAGCCCAAACTAAGGCAGACTTTCCTGCCTGCATGTATATATATTTTCCAAGAATAATAAGTCCTTACAATTTTATACAGCATTTCACTTTTATGAAAAAAAAGTGATGGAATATTCACATACAATGGAATATTACTCAGCAATTAAAAAAATAAAATACCGATAGGTGAATATCAAGTGCATTATTCTGAGTGAAAGAAGCCAGACTCAAGTGTCTATGTAGTGTACACTTTGATTTATGTGACTTTCTAGAGAAGGCAAGGCTGTAGGGACAGAAAATAGATCAATGATTGCTATGGGCTAAGGCTTCAGGAAGGGATTAATTACAAAGGATCAAAAGAGAACTGTCTATGGGTGAGGGAACTGTACTATTTCTTGATTTTTGTAGAGGCTACAAGACTGTGTATGTTTGTCCAAACCTATAGAACTGTATACTAATAAAGGGTGGATTTTACTGTATATAAATGATACCTCAATAAAAAATTCCATAAAGAGTATTCACCATCATTATCTTATTTGGTTGTCATAACAACCCTGCAGCAATCAGGCATTATTCTTCATTTATTCAGCCAACTGTAATTCCACTTCCTTCTCTCCATTCACTCCAAACCCACTGTTGTTTGCCTTTCAATCCACCATTCCTATCAAATTGTTCTTGCCAAGGCCACTAATGACCTGTTATTTGCTCAAGCCAATGGCCACTTTTCAGCCCTTCCTTGACCTTTATGCACAACTTGATGGTGTTGATGCATCTGCCTTGGTGCTCCTTTGGCCCATGCTGTTGCAGCCCACAATGCTGCTCTGTCCAGTCTAACTTTAGCTGTCCTCAGCTGCTCCTCTACCCTGTCCCTCCCCATTTGTCTGCCTTTTCCTCTTCTCATATTTCCCCCCACACTCCCTGGGGGATCTCAACCATCCTTTTGGCATCAACGATCACTTATATACTTAGTCTACTTTGCATTACTATAAGAAAATATCACAAACTGGGTAGTTTATAAAGAAAATAAATGTCGGGCGTAGTGGCTCATGCCTGTAATCCCAGCACTTTGGGAGGCTGAGGCAGGTGAATCGCTTGAGGCCAGGAGTTTGAGACCAGCCTGGCCAACACGGCAAAAACCTGTCTCTACTAAAAATACAAAAAAAAAAAAAATAGCTGGACATGTTGGCACATGCTTGTTAAGTCCAGCTACTTGGGAGGCTGAGATGTGAGCATCACTTAAACTCAGGAAGTGGAAGCTGCAGTGAGTTGAGATCGTGCTGTTGCACTCCAGCCTGGGCAACAGAGCAAGACGCTGCCAAAAAGAAAAAAAAAAGAAAGAAAAAAAAGAAAAAAATGTTTTTCTTACAGTTCTGGAGGCTGGGAAGGCCAAGACTGAAGAACTGACATCTGGTGAGGGCCTTCTTGCTGTGTCATAACATGGCAGAGGGCATCCTGTAGTGAGGGGGCAAGAGCGTGCATGTAAACTCAGGTCTCTCTTCCTTTTTTTATAAAGCCACCAGTCCCATCATGAACGTTTAACCCTGATGACCTTATCTGATCCTAAATACCTTCCCAAAGCCCTGTTTTGAATTAACATATAAATTTGGGGAGTAAGTTTCAAATACATAAAATGTGGGGACACATTCAAGCCATATCACATACTCATAACTTCTAAGAGTGTTTTATGTTTTATCTCCTCATTATCTAGTTACTTGGATTTCCAGTTTATTTTATTTTTTAGAGAGAGGGAGTGACCCTGTCACCCAGGCTAGAGTGAAGAGGCACGCTCATCACTCACTGCAGCCTCGAATTACTGGGCTCAAGAGATCCTCCCAAGTAGCTAGGACTACAGGCGTACACCACCATGACTGACTAATTTTTAATTTGTTTTTGTAGAGATGGGGTCTTGCTATGTTGCTCAGGCTGGTCTTGAATTCCTGGCCTCAAGAGATCCTCCTGCCTTGGCCTCCCAAAACACTGGGATTACAGGTGTGAGTCACCACATCTGGTTTTGGATTTCCAGTTTAATACTCAAAAGTTGATTTTTCAGCCTCCCAAAATGCCATTAAGTCAGGCAAACTTTTTCTCAAGTTTCTGGTACAAAATTTATAGCTCAGGGCTACTATTACAAGATCTAGTAGAATGATGCAGATATTTTTTAATGTCCATTGGAGAGCAGCTCTCTAAACTCTTATGAAACCATAAATAATGTTCAAGAATAATTAAAGAAAGAAGAAAAATCATGACTTTCATACATATGTGAAGTGAATGTGTGTTAAAGATTTTATCTTCCTCATGAATGACGGAACCAATGTTACAACTCATTCAAAGGCGCATTCAAATAAAAGACACAGTTATGGATCAGAAACACTGAAATGACTGTGCAAATTGAACTCTTCCGTAGTGGTGGAGGGAAGTAGGTTGAACTTCTGGTGGACATTACAGCTTTTTCTTGTCTACAAAAAAAGGATTATTTTGCATTGCTATCAATTATCAAGAACTTGCAGAATAGTAAAATAGGTCAAAGGAAAGGAAAGGCTAGAATCAGATAACTCAGAAGAGTGTTCTTTACCCTATGGGTTGCCAGGCTTTTTCTGTAAAGGGCCAGGTAGTAAATATCTTAGGCTTTGCTAGACATATGGTCTACATGGCAACTACTCCACTTCCATTGAAGCATGAAAACAGCTGTAAAAAATATAAACAAATAGGAGTGGTTGGATTTGGTTTCTGGGCTGTGGTTTGCCAATCCCTGCTCTAGACAGTGTCTAATTTTCCACTGAAGCAGAATTTTTTCCTGTGGCCAGGTGTGGTGGCTCATGCCTCTAATCCCAGCACTTTGGGAGGCCAAGGCAGGGGTATCACTTTAGCCCAGGCGTACAAGACCTGCCTGAGCAAAGTAGTGAGACCCCATCTCTACAAAAAATAAATAAAAAATTAGCCAGGCACAGTGGCACACTCCTGTAGTCCCAGCTACTAGGGAGGCTGAGGAGGGAGGATTGCATGAGCTTGGGAGGTTGAGGCTGCAGTGAACTGTGATTGTGCCACTGCACTCCAGCCTGGGTGACAGAGGGAGACACTGTCTCAAAAAAAAAAAAAAAAAGGTATAAAAACATTTTTCTCCTGCAATAGGACAGTGCCTAGAAGTCTTAAAAAATATCTTAAGAAGATGACTGACATTAAAACATCATTTTGATAATCATGAATTATGCAGCAATCAGCCTAATTCATTCATGGTGAATTACACCCTTCTTCTAATTTACTGGATTTAGGGGTTTGTTGGAAATCTCGTGGAAAGGTAAAGCTCTGGTCAGCTTTACTTTGAAGGTTCTTAGGCTGTTGGATTAAGGCAAGGGTCAGCAAACTATGGCCCATGGGCCAAATCCACATGGCCCATGAAGCCTAAAATATTTATTTTCTGGTCCTTTATATAAAAAGGTTGTTGCCCTCTGGACTTAGGGTTTAGAAGCAAGGACTCTTTGAGTCTACCCCTCACTAGCTATGGGCTTTCAGGCCAGTTATTTAACTTCTTTCTGACTCAGTTTTCTCATTTGCAAAGTGGATATGTTAGTGACACTTATCTCCTGGTGAAAATGAACTTACTTATTACCTGTGAAGCTTTTTGAGCAGTGTCCAGAACATAAGAATTGTTCAGTAAATGCTAGAGTTGATAAAGGAAGAAGGGAAAGGGAAGGAGGAGGAAGAGAAGCAGATGTTCTGGCTGGATGTTTTGATCACCTCCTTTCCACCCCATTAGTGAGGGTGCCCCAGATATATGAGCAATAAACTTAATGTTGCATGTCACTGACGTTTTCACATCCATTTGTTACGCAGCATTACCATGGCATTAGGTAACTGATACAGGCTGTTCTGAACATTTGTGCAATTGTCTCTCTAGGTTAGAGTTAAGGTTAGAAATGAAGTGCTGAGATAATGGTTATTGTAGTGAACATCTTTTGGAGTGTCTACTCGTCTAAAATCCAATTGTTGCTGCTGAGCCAGTCCAGGTTTTACACTTCGCCACACAAAAGAATCTGAGAGCAAGTCCAAAGTAGACGTAAGCAAGAGGCCAGGCATGGTGGCTCATGCCTGTAATGCCAGCACTTTGGGAGACTGAGTCGGGTAGATCACTTTAGCCCAGGAATTTGAGAACAGCCTGGGCAACATAGCAGGATCCATGTCTCTACAAAAAAATACAAAAATTAGTCGGGTGTGGTGGTGCGCGCCTGTGGTCTCAGCTACTCAGGAAGCTGAGGTGAGAGGATCACCTAAGCCTGGAGAGGTCTGAGCTGCAGTGAGCTGAGAGTAAACAGAGTAAATTTTGGGGTTTTTTTTAGGCAGGGTCTTGCTCCATCACCCAGGCTGGAGTGCAGTGGTGCAATCATAGGTCACTGCAGCCTCAACCTTCCAGGCTCAAATGATCCTCCCACCTAACTCAGCCTCTCAAGTAGCTGTGACTACAGGCACGTCCCACCACACTTGGCTAATTTTTGTATTTTTGGCAGAGATTTTTTTTTTTTTTTTTTTTTTGAGACAGAGTCTCACTCTGTCGCTCAGGCTGGAGTGCAGTGGCACGATCTTGGCTCACTGCAACATCTGCCTCTCAGGTTCAAGCGATTCTCCTGCCTTAGCTTCCCGGCTAATTTTTGTATTTTTAGCAGAGGCAGGGTTTCACCATGTTGCTCAGGCTGGTCTCGGACTCCTGACCTCAAGTGATCCACCTGCCTCGACCTCCCAAAATGCTGGGATTACAGGAGTGAGCCACCACACCAGGCCGAAATGGGGTTTTGCCATGTTGCCCAGGCTGGTCTTGAACTGCTGGGCTCAAGTGATCTGCCTGCCTTGGCCTCTCAAAGTGTTGGGATTATAGGCATGAGCCACTGCACCCGGCCCAACAGTGTAAATTAATGTCTGTTTCCCACATCCTAGAGCACACTGGTTATTACCTATATGTATGTGTTTTCAATGTTCAGAAAAGAGATGGCCGGGCGCAGTGGTGCACGCCTGTAATCCCAGCACTTTGGGAGACTGAGGCAGGTGGATTACGAAGTCTGGAGTTTGAGACCATCCTGGCCAACATGGTGAAACCCCATCTCTACTAAAATACAAAAAAATGAGCCAGGCGTGGTGGCACATGCCTGTAGTCCCAGTTACTCGGGAGGCTGAGGCAGGAGAATCACTTGAACCCGGGAGTCAGAGGTTGCAGTGAGCCCAGATTGCACCACTGCACTCCAGCCTGGTGACAGAGCAAGACCCTGTCTCAAAAAAAAAAAAAAAAAAAAAGCAAAAAAGATGAGCTCCCCTGTGCTCACCTTGGGCTGGTGGAGAGTCTTCCTGGTACCCTGTCCCTAGGTGTGGTCCTACCAGGATCCCTACTTTATACAGGGAGCCTCAATTCCTACTCACCATCTTGCAAAGACCTAAGGCCTCATCTCCCACCCTGTGGTATGCCCAGTATGCCCTTCCATCCACCCCCTCACTCCCACACCCTAAAAACCTCTGCAGTGCCATCTTGCATTCCCACCTCCTGACTCTCAGCAATGTCTTCTCTGACCCCCGGGCTTTCCCTTCGTGTCTTTAAAGCTTACTCATGCATGAGCATGCATACGACATCATTAGACATTAGGGAAATGCAAATTAAAACCCCAGGCAGATGTCACCACACATCCACTAGAATAGTTATAATCAAAAAGACGGGTGATACCAAGTGCTGGCCAGGATGTAGAGTGATGCACACACTGTTGGTGGATGACAGTCTGGTAGCTTCTTATGGGGTTAAATGGACACTCACCAGGTGACTCAACAATTCCGCTCTCTGGTATTTACCCAGGATCCCCACAAAGACATTTTTGTTTGTTTGTTTTTTGAGACAGAGCCTCGCTCTGTTGCCCAGGCTGGAGTGCAGTGGTGCAATTTCAGCACACTGCAACCTCCACCTCCCAGGTTCAACTGATTCTCCCACCTCAGCCTCCTGAGTAGCTGAGATTACAGGCATGCATCACCATGCCTGGCTCATTTTTGTATTTTTTGTAGAGACGGGGTTTCACCATGTTGGCCTGGCTGGTCTTGAACTCCTGACCTCAGGTGATCTTCCCACCTTGGCCTCCCAAAGTGCTGGGATTATAGGCGTGAGCCACTGAGCCTGGCCCCGACAAAGACTTTTATACATGGATGTTCATAGCAGCTTTATTCATGTTAGCCAAATACTAGAAACAAACCATATGCCCATTCACAAGAGAGAGGACAAACAGTGGTCCACCCATACACTGGAGTATAATAGAAAGGAACAGATTCTGATGAAAAGATCAGAAGGATGCATCTCACAAGTGTGGAGTGAAAGGAGCCAATCACAAAAGAGGACAGACTGTATGATTGTATGATTCCATTTCTTTTTCTTTTTTTTTTTTTTTATTTTCTTTCTTTTTTTTTTTTTTTTGAGACAAGGTCTCGCTCTGTCACCCAGGCTAGAGTGCAGCGGCATGATCTTGGCTCACTGCAACCTCCGCCTCCCAGGTTCAAGTGATTCTCCTGCCTCAGTCTCCCGAGAAGCTGGGACTACAGGCGCCCGCCACCATGCCTGGCTAATTTTTGTATTTTTAGTAGAGACGGGGTTTCCCCATGTTGGCCAGGCTGGTCTTGAACTCCTGAACTTGTGATCCACCCGCCTTGGCCTCCCAAAGTGCTGGGATGACAGGTGTGAGCCACCATGCTCGGCCCATTTCTTTTCTTTTTCTTTGGAGAGAGGGTCTTTCTCTGTCACCCAGGCTAGAGTGCAGTGGTGCGATCATAACTCACTGCAGCCTTAATCTCCTGTGCTCAAGTTATCCTCTCTCCTCAGCATCTCGAGTAGCTGGGACTACAGGTGCATACCACCACCCGCAGCTAATTTTTTTGGATTTTTGGTAGAGACAATGTCTCACTATGTTGTTCAGGCTGGACTTGAACCCCTGAGCTCAAGCAATCCTACTGCCTGGGCCTCCCAAAGTGCTGAGATTACAGGCATGGACCACTGCCCCTGGTGTGATTCTGTTTCTATACAATTATAGAATAGGCAAGTTGAATCTAAAGTGACAGACAGATCAGTGGTCGCCTGGGGGACGGGAATGGAGGCATTGGCCACAAAGGGGCATGGGGGCATTTTGGGAGTGATGGAAATGTTCTAAATCTTTGGCGGTTATGTGTTGTACACATTAGTCAAAACCTGCAAACTGTACACTGAAGATGGGTGCACTTTTTTTTTTTTGAGACAGAGCCTCCCTCTATCACCCAGGCTGGAGTGCAGTGGCACAATCTCAGCTCACTGCACTCTCCGCCTCCCGGGTTCAAGTGATTCTCGTGCCTCAGCCTCCCAAATAGCTGGGATTACAGGTGCACACCACCATGGCCGGCTAATTTTTGTATTTTTAGTAGAGACAGGGTTTCACCATGTTGGCCAGGCTGGTCTCGATCTCCTGACTTCAAGTAATCCACCTGCCTCAGCTTCCCAAAGTTCTGGGATTACAGGCATGAGCCACCGTGCTCAAACATTTTTTAAGAGACAGGGTCTTACTCTGTCACCCAGGCTGGAGTGCAGTGGCAGGATTGCAGCTTCCTGCAGTCTTCAACTTCTGGGCTTAAGCAGTCCTCCTGCCTCAGCCTCCTGAGTCCTTGGGATTACAGATGTAAGCCACTGCAGCCAGCTCAGGTACATTTTATTGTACTAATTTATATCTTTTTTTTTTTTTTTGAGATGGAGTCTTGCTGTGTTGCCCAGGCTGGAGTGCGGTCATGTGATCTCAGCTCACTGCAACCTCTGCCTCCTGGGTTCAAGTGATTCTCCTGCCTCAGCCTCCTGAGTAGCTGGGATTACAGGATAGCACCACTACTCCTGGCTAATTTTTGTATTTTTGGTAGAAATGGGGTTTTGCCGTGTTGGCCAGGCTGGTCTTGAACTCCTGACCTCAGGTGATTCGCCTGCCTTGGCCTCCCAAAGTGCTGGGATTACTGGCATGAGTTACTGTGCCTGGCTTGTAATTTATATCTTAGCAAAATTGACGACAGTGTTACATGATACCTAGTGTCACTCACTGATTTATCTGCAGGCTTTTCTCCGTGTTTCCTACACCCCTGGACTCCCCCTGGAAGTCTTTAGCACATCTTTTCCTAGCCGGACGGTTTTTTCAGGACCCACTCTGTGCCAGAAACTGTTTTAAATGCCTCCCTTTTTCATAATCATTTCATCAAGATTATTTGTCCATTCAAGGTTCTTAGCCTGTTTTACAGGGAGACTGAGACTCAGATTAAGTTACCATTATGGGTTGAATTATGTCTTTGAAAGCTCATAAGTTGAGCTGGGCATGGTAGCACACACCTGTAATCCCAGCTACTCGGGAGGCTGAGGTGGGAGGACTGCTTGAGTTCAGGAGTTTGAGGCTGCAGTGAGCTATGACTGCGCCACTGCACTCCAGCCTGGGTGACAGAGCCAGGCCTCGTGTCTTAAAAAAAAGTTCATAAGTTGAAGTCCTAACTTCTAGTACCCTAGAATGTGACTTTATTTGGAACTTGGGTCATTAGAGACATAATTCATTAAGATGAGGTCACTGGGGTGGGCCTAGTCTTAGTTCGTTCCTGCTGCTATAACAAAATACCAGAGAATGGGTAATTTGTAAACAACAGATATTTATTGCTTATGGTCCTAGAGGCTGGGAAGTCCAAGATCAAGGCACCAGCAGATTCAGTGTCTGGTGAGGGCTTGTCCTCCGCCTTCGAGATGGTATCTTGTTGTTGTGTTTTTACGTGGCAGAAGAACAAAAGGGCAGCCAGGCATGGTGGCTCGTGCCTTTAATGCCAGCACTTTGGGAGGCAGAGGCAGGAGGATCACTTGAGCCCAGGAGTTCAAGACCAGCCCGGACAACATAGCAATACCCTGTCTCAAAAAAAGTTTTGTTTTGTTTTTTTTTTTTAAAGAACAGATGGGCAGCCGGGCATGGTGGCTCACGCCTGTAATCCCAGCACTTTGGGAGGCCGAGGCGGGCGGATCACGAGGTCAGGATATCGAGACGATCCTGACCAACATAGTGACACCCCATCTCTACTAAAAATACAAAAATTAGCCAAGCATGGTGGCGCATGCCTGTAATCCCAGCTACTCGGGAGGTGGAGACAGGAGAATCCCTTGAACCAGAGAGTTGGAGGTTGCCGTGAGCCAAGATCACGCCACAGCACTCTAGCCTGGCAACAGAGGGAGACTCCGTCTCAAAAAAAAAAAAAAAAAAAAAAAAAAAAAAAAAAAAAAAGAACAGATGGGCCAAAGGCCCTAGCTAGTTCCCTCAGGCCCTTTTTTAAGGTACTAATCCCATTCAGAGGGGCAGAGTCCTCCGGACTTAATCACCTCTAAAGGCCCCACTGCTTAACACTATTGCATGGGTCTTAGGGTCCAACATTTCAATTTGGGTGCACACATGCATTCAAACCCTGGCAATCCCTAATCCAATATGACTGGTATCCTCATAGAAGGAGGAGAATTTTGAACATAGGCAGTGGACACACACACACACACACACGCGCGCGCGCGAAGGAAGGAAGGAAGGAAAAGAGAGAGACAGAAGAAGGAAGGAAGGAGAAGAGAGAGAGACAGAGGAAGGAAGGAAGGAAAAGAGAGAGAGGAAGGAAGGAAAGAAGGAAGGAAAAGAGACAGAAGAAGGAAGGAAAAAGAGAGAGGAAGGAAGGAAGGAAAGAAGGAATGGAGGAAGGAAAAGAGAGAGAGACAGAGGAAGGAAGGAAGGAAAAGAGAGAAAGAGAGGAAGGAAGGAAGGAAAGAAGGAAAGAAAGAAGGAAAAGAGAGACAGAGGAAGGAAGAAAAGAAGGAAGGAAAAGAGAGAGACAGAGGAAGGAAGGAAGGAAAAGAGAGAGAGAGACAGAGAGGAAGGAAGGAAGGAAAGAAGGAAGGAAGGAAGGAAAGGAAGAGAGACCATGGCACCAGGAAGTGATAAAGTTGGGGTCTGAGCACAGAAGGATTCGATTTCAGAGCCTGTGTGTCTTCTTGCAGTTTAAACAATTGGCTCACACAGGCAAGGAGAGTGTACACTTTATCTCACATATTATTTCTTGGTTTCCTGCATCCTAATTGTCCTTCTGTCACTGTTAATGCATAACTAGACTTTGCCCAGGATATGCAAGCAACGATTTTCTTGCCTGGGCCAATGGCAAAGGCATTCATTCTGCTGATGGTAGATGGTGTCAAATTTCCCAGTAGCGCTCTGTGTGCGGGGCTCAGCTGTTGGGCTCAGAGAGAGACCTCTGCCCCCATGGAGGGCATTATATGTTTGGCCAGCTGCCTGCTCTCTGGGCCAAGAGAAATACGATCAGAACATAAACAGTATAGTAACAGCACTCCACCCACAGCGGGACTGGCTCAAAACCAGATGTCACGAGGAACATAAATGCATAAATGGGATTGTCCTTGAGGCTTACTGGAGGCTTCCCTGGAAAATCAATTTTCCCTTTTGTATCTGTTTCCTTTGGTAGCCAGAGAAGGAAAAAGGAATCAGATCAGCCAAGCAGGCTGCTGAGAAAGATGACCTGAATTGCAGGGATGCAGAAAGTGCTGAAGATGCTTTGTCAGCTGAGAACTGGTTAAGAGAAAGTGGGTAAAGTCCATTTTTCCTTCCAGCTCTACTCTTCCTCACCTTCTACCCTCTTCTGTTCCTGAGGCTGACCCCAAAAGACAACATCATTGGGCTCTGTTGCCCACTGGCTTTTGGTTGGCTCAGCCAATGGGAGTTACTCACAGATGAAAAGTGAGAGAAGGTGCGATGGCTCATGCCTGTAATCCCAGCACTTTGGGAGGCTGAGCGGGGAGCATTGCTTGAGGCCGGGAATTTGTGACCAGCCTGGGCAGCATAGGGAGACTCCATCTCTCCAAAGAAAGAAAAAGAAAAGAAAGAGAAAAAAAAAAAAAGGAAGGAAGGAGAGAGAGAGGGAAGGGAGGGAGGGAGGAAGGAAGGAAGAATTAGCTGAGTATGGTGGCACATACTTGTAGTGCCAGTTACTTGGGAGGCTGAGGCAGGAGGATTACTTGAGCCCAGGAGGTCGAGGCTGCAGTGAGCTATGATCCTGTCACTGCACTCCAGCCTGGGTGACAGAGCAGAAAAAAAAAAAAAAGTGGGAGAAGGGTGAGGTTGAGGGAATTTATCTTATTTATTTATTATTTATTTATTTATTTATTTATTTGAGACGTAGTCGTCTCACTTTGTCAACCAGACTGGAGTGCAGTGGCGTGATCTCAGCTCACCGCAACCTCCACCTCCTGGGTTCAAGTGATTCTCCCTGCCTCAGCTTCCCGAGTAGCTGGGATTACAGGCACCTGACACCACACCCGGATAATTTTTGTATTTTTTGTAGAGACAGAGTTTCACCATGGTGGCCAGGCTGGTCTCAAGCTCCTGACCTAAAGAGATCCACACACCTCGATCTCCCAAAGTGTTGGGATTATAGGCATGAGCCACCGCGCCCGGCCAGTTAAGGGAATTTAAATTTATTTCCTTGGCTTCCTCTGTTTCAGGTTGCTATGGGTTGTGTGCGTCCCTCTTTCAGGCTGCCTTTTCTGCACAATTCTCCCTGTGTCTGTGGAGCCTAGAACCTTCTCTTCTTCACCCCTTCAGGTGTGGGTGGTAACAGCTTCCTGTAGTTGCTGTTGCATTATCCAACCGATCCAGCCTTTGCTGTAAATATATTTTATTAAATGCTTCTCAGATTACCCAGTTTGAATGTGCCCTCTGTTTTTTGCATGGGCCCTTGGAGGTAAGTGAGGTAGTATTCTCTGCCTCGTTCCTGGACTGGCTGACCAAGGCCCTCCCAGTTTTCTAACTGGATCAACACATGACATTGCTTTCTAAATGGTTTTGCTTCCAGCATCTTTTCTTTCTTTTCTTTTCTTTCTTTTTTTTGAGATGGAGTCTTGCTCTGTTGCCCAGGCTAGAGTGCAGTGGCATGATCTTGGCTCACTGCAAGCTCCGCCTTCCGGGCTCACACCATTCTCCTGCCTCAGCCTCCCAAGTAGCTGGGACTACAGGTGCCCACCACCACACCCGGCTAATTTTTTGTAGTTTTTAGTAGAGACGGGGTTTCACTGTGTTAGCCAGGATGGTCTCAATCTCCCGATCTCGTGATCCGCCCGCCTCAGCCTCCCAAAGTGCTGGGATTACAGGCGTAAGCCACCGCGCCTGGCTTTTTTTTTTTTTTTTTTTTTTTTTTGAGACAGAGTCTCGCTCTGTAGCCCACCTGGAGTGCAGTGGCGCAAACTCGGCTCACTAAAACCTCTGCCTCCTGGGTTCAAGTGATTCTCCTACCTCGGCCTTCCGAGTAGCTGGATTACAGGTGTGTGCCACCACACCCGGCTAATTTTTTGTATTTTTAGTAGAGACGGGGTTTCACCATGTTACCCAGGATGGTCTCCATCTCCTGACCTCGTGATCCACCCACCTTGGCCTCCCAAAGTGCTGGGATTACAGGCATGAGCCACTGTGCCTGGCCTTTTTTTTTTTTTTTTTTTTTTTTTTTTTTTTTGAAGGCAGAGTTGAAAAACCAATTGGAATCATAGAGAAGGTGCCCAGACTTTGGCTACTGGACAGAAGTTCCTTTTTTTTTTTTTTTTTTTTTTTTTTTTTTTAGACAGGGTCTCCCTCTGTCACCTAGGCTGGAGTGCAGTGGGGCAATCTCAGCTCACTGCAACCTCTGCCTCCCGGGTTCAAGCAATTCTCCAGCCTCAGCCTCCCAAGTAGCTGGATTACAGGCGTGTGCCACCGCACTTGGCTAATTTTTTGTGCTTTTATTAGAGATGGGGTTTCACCGTGTTGGCCAGGCTGGTCTCTAGCTCCTGACCTCCCAAGTGCTGGGATTATAGGCATGAACGAACATGGTAAAACCCCGCCTCTACTAAAAATACAAAAAATAACGAGCCGGGCATGGTGGCCCTAGCCTGTAATTCCAGCTACTCAGGAGGCTGAGGCACGAAATGGAGATATCTCCCCTTCTTCTGCTTTTTTGTTCTATCCTTGCCCTCAGTGGATTGGAAGATACTCACTGCATCGAGGAGGCTGAATCTTCTTTACTCAGTCTACAGATTCAAACACGAATCTCTTCTAAAAACACAGACACATCCAGAAATAAGGTGTAACTAGCTATCTGGGTATCTCTTAACCCAGTCAAGCTGACCCCAAATTAACCATCACAGCTGCATCATACATGACCCCAAAACTTAGTGGCTTAAAGCAATAGTCATTTATTCCCCATGCACATGTGTACCAGCTGGGTTTGGCTGATCTGGCTGGGGCTCAGCTGGGTGACTCCTCTGCTCCACGTGTCCCTCCTCTTCCTCCTGGGACAGTTGTTTCCGTGGTGGGAGCAGAGGTGCAAGAGGGCAGGCAGAAACACATGTGGCTTCTGAATCCTGGTTTGGAACTCACTCCTTGCCATTTCTGCCCACCTACCATTGACTGAAGCAAGTCACGTGGCCAAGCCTAAGGCCAAGCCATGGAGAAGTACCCACCACCCATGATGAGACCATCGCAAAGATAGGCACACAGGAGAGAGTGACTCATCAGGGCCAATCATTCAATCTATTCATGGTCACCAACTCTGGCAAAAAACACAAGAGTTTAAAAGATGGTTGACTCAGGATGGTCTCATTTGCGTAAGAGGAAAAGTAGAACTTTTTGACATTTTCAAAGGACTTCTAAGGAAACCAGGATGACTATTTATGTTGATCACGAAGTGACTCATACAAGTCATGTGATTTAAAAACAGGAAAATTCAATGCTAATTGCATAGACTTATGACTCCCTGCATAATAATGACAGCTTATGTGACATAGCATTTTTGAGTTCACGAGGCACTTTAATAACCACGTCTTATGTTATACTAGGAACAAATTTCTCCTTTTTTTTTTTTTTTTTTTTTTGAGACAGAGTCTCACCCTGTCACCCAGGCTGGAGTATAGCAGCGTGATCTCGGCTCACTGCAACCTCCGCCTCCCAGGTTCAACCGATTCTCCTGTCTCAGCCTCCAGAATAGCTGGGATTCCAGGCGCGCACCACCATGCCTGGCTAATTTTTTGTAGTTTTAGTAAAGACAGGGTTTCACCATGTTGGCCAGGCTGGTCTCAAACTCCTGACCTCAGGGAATCCACCTGCCTTGGCCTCCGAAAGTGCTGGGATTACACGCATGAGCCAACGGACCTGGCCAAGCCTAGGATTTTTATTATCTGGCCTTTTACCAAAAAAAAAAAAAAGAAAAAAAGTATGATGTCTCTTGACATGCATGATCTCACGTTTTAATTAAATAAATTTTTAAATCAACAAGTAAAAATTGTATATATACTTATGGATGTTTTGATATATATACATACATTATACAATGGCTAAATCAAGCTATTTAACATATGCATTAACTCATATAATCCATATCGTACTCACATGGTTTAAAATTCCCTAAATATAAAAAAATAAGCAGAGAAAAGCGGACCCCTATGATTGATTTTCATGTGTCTTTCAGAGATGGTTTTTGTCTTAGCCCTCTTTCTGTTGCTTATAACAGAATACCTGAAACTGGGCTGGGCATGGTGGTTGACTCCTGTAATCCCAGCACTTTGGGAGGCCAAGGTGGGAGGACTGCTTGAGCCTAGGAGTTTGAGACCAGCCTGGGCAACACGGCAAAACCCTATCTCTATAAAACATTTAAAAAATCAGCTGGGCAGAGTGGCGCACGCCTGTAGTCCCGGCTACTCGGGAGGCTGAAGTGGGAGGATCACTTGAGCCAGAGATGTTGAGGCTGCAGTGAGCCATGATCGCGCCACTGCACTCCAGCTTGGGTGACAGAGCAAGACTCTGTCTCATTTAAAAAAAAAGTATACCTGAAACTGGGTAATTTATAAAGAAAAGGAGTTAATTTCTTCCAGTTACGGAGGCTGAGAAGTTCAAGGTCAAGAGGCCAAATCTGAGGAGGAGCTCCTTGTTGGTGGGGATTCTGCAGAGTCCCAAGTCGGTGCAGGGGATGGCATGGTGAGGAGCTGAGTGTGCAAGCTCAGGTTTCTCTTCCTCTTCTCCTCTCCTCTCCTCTCCTTTCCTCTCTTTCTTTTTAAAATAGACACAGGGGTCTCACTATGTTGCCCAGGCTGGTCTCAAGCTTCAGGTCTCTCTTCCTTTTCCCCTTCCCTCTCCTCCTCTCCCCTCCCCTCTTCTCCCCTCCCCTCTCCTCTCCTTTTAAAAATAGAGACAGGGGTCTCACTATGTTGCCCAGGCTGGTCTCAAACTTCTGTCCTCAAGCAATCCTCCTGCCTTGGCTTTCAAAAGTGCTGGGATTACAAGCATGAGTCACTGCCCCCGGCTCATCTTTCTCTTTTCATAAGGCCACCAGTCCCACTTCCATAACAACCCCTTAATCCATTAGCCCATTAATTCATTAATCCATAAATGAATCAGTCCATTCATGAGGGCTGTCATGACCCAGTCACCTTGTAAAGGTCCCACCTCCCAGTACTGCCATACTGGGGATTCAATTTCAACATGAATTTTAGCAGGGACAAACAGCCAAACCATAACAGTTTTAGAAGCAAATATTATTTTCTTGTTGTTCCTTTTTAACACGATCTCATTTAATGCTCACAAAATCCCCACCAGGTATGAAGGATTAGCCTGGTTTTACTGATGTGGAGATGAAGCTTGGGCAGGGTCCCAGGCTGGCAGGGTGGATTGAGTCCTTTTGTTCTCCAGGCCGAGGGACCCCAGGGCTGGCTTCTTCTCTACACTCCAGTGTAGGTGACGGACCTGGAGGCCTCCTGGCCTGGGGAAAATCCCACCAGCTTTGCTTTGAGTTGCTTCCCATCCTAGTGGCTCCCCAGCTGCTGAACTACGGGCTGGACTCACCCACATAGAAATCCCCCAATCTGGTTTTTTTTTTTTTTTTTTTTTTTTTGAGATGGAGTTTCGCTCTTCTTGCCCAGGCTGGAGCGCAGTGGTGCAATCTTGGCTCACTGCAACCTCTGCTTCCTGGGTTCAAGTGATTCTCTTGCTTCAGCTTCCCAAGTAGCTGGGATTACAGGCATGCACCACCATGCCCGGCTAGTTTTTTGTATTTAGTAGAGACCGGGTTTCACCATGTTGGTCAGGCTGGTCTCAAACTCCTGACCTCAGGTGATCCACCCACCTCGGCCTCTCAAAGTGCTGGGATTACAGCCGTGAGCCACTGTGTCCAGCCAAAATTGTCTGTTGGTCTAAACCCACTGACATGGGCTGCATTCTTCTTAATCCACACTTCCCAGACGTCTCTTTAAAATAGAAAATTTCAATAAAATAAAATAAAATAAAAACAAAAAAGAAAAGAAAAGGAAACAAAACAAATATAGAAAATTACTAGCCTGGGCAATATAGCGAGACCCCATCTCTACAAAAAATCAAAAAAATTAGCTGGACATGGTGTCGTGAGCCTATAGTACCAGCCACTCAGAAGGCTGAGGCGGGAGGATTGCTTGAGCCCAGGAGGTTTGGGCTGCAGTGAGCCATGATTGTACCACTGCACTCCATCCTGGGCATCAGAATGAGATCTTGTCTCAAAAACAGAAACAAAATTTCAAATATACACAAAGTAGAGAAGTAGAGAGAATACAATGAAAAAAATACAGCAAATCCCCAAGGCCCTATCACCCAGCTTCTCCAATTAGCAATTCCCTCCCTTCCCCTCCCCTCCCCTCCCTCCCCGCTTCCCACCTCCCAGTACTGCCATATTGGGGATTCAATTTCAACATGAATTTTACCGGGGACAAACAGCCAAACCATAACAGTTTTAGAAGCAAATATTATTTTCTTGTTCCCTTCCCTTCCCTCCCCTCCCCTCCCCCCTTCCCTCCCCTCCTCTCCCCTCCCTTCCCTTCCCATTCTTTCCCCCTTCCCTTCCCCTTCCCCTTTCCCTTCCCCCTTCCCTTTCCCCTTCCTTTCCCTTCCCTTCCACAAGGTCTTGCTCTGTCGCCCAGGCTGGAGTGCAATGGCATGATCATAGCTCACCGCAGCCTCAACTTCCCAGGCTCAGGTGATTCTCCCACCTCAACCTCTCAGGTAGCTGGGAACTCAGGCACGCATTTTTGTATTTTTTTGTAGAGACAGGTTTTTGCCATGTTGCCAAGGCTAGTCTCTAACTCCTGGGCTCAAGCGATTCTCTTGCCTCAGCCTCCCAAAGTGCTGGGATTACAGGCATGAGCCACCCTCGTGCGTGGCCAATTAGCAGTTTTCTGCTCTTCGGGTGTATCTTTTCCCTTCTTTTCTGGTGGGATTTTTTTTTTAAGTAGAGGTGAAATTCACATAACATAAACTTAACTATTTTAAAATGCTATTCTGGCCAGGTGCGGTGGCTCACTCTTGTAATCCCAGTATTTTGGGAGGCCGAGGCAGGCAATTACTTGAGGTCAGGAGCTTGAGACCAGCCTGGCCAACATGGTGAAACCTCGTCTCTACTAAAAATACAAAAATTAGCCGGGCATGGGGGAGGGCGCCTGTAATCCCAGCTACTCGGGAGGCTGAGGCAGGAGAATTGCTTGAACCCAGGAGGCGGAGGTTGCATTGAGCTAAGATTGCCCCACTGCACTCCAGCCTGGGCGACAGAGCAAGACTCTGTCTCAAAAATAAATAAATAAGTAAATAAATAAATAATAAAATAAAATGCAATTCCATAGCACATTCACGATGTTGTGAAAACCATCACCTTTATCTAGTTCCAGAACATTTTCATGACCCCGAAAGGAAACCCCATCCCTGACAGCAATCACTCCACATTCCCTCTCCACCTGCCCCTGCCAATCACTCACCTGATTTCCATCTCTATGGATCTGCCTACTCTGGACAATTTGCATAAATGGAATCCTACACCATGTGGTCTTTTGTGTCTGCCTTCTTTCACTCAACATCATGTTTTTGGGGTTCATCCACGTTGCAGCACGGATCAGTGCTTCATTCCGTTTCATGGCTGAATAATATTCCATTGCATAGCTATGCCATATTTTATTTATGTGGTGCTGTTTCCTGGAGTTTTTAAAAAAGCAAATCCAGGTATCATATCACCTTATCCATAAATACTTCCATATGCATCTCTAACAGACAAACACTTTTAAAGAACACCATAACCAAATACCACCAACAGTCCTTACAAAACTCACATGAATTCTTTAAAATCCCCTGACACCCAGTCAGGTTCGATTTTCCCCACCTGTCTAAATGCTGCTTTGTTCTTAATGAGGTAGATTCTCCCCATTTTGGCTCAGCCTTGGGAAAAATACGGAGATTCTCTGTGCCCTTGATGCTGCTGCTGCTTCTTCTTTTTTTTTTTTTTTTTTTAAATGAGACAGAGTTTCTCTCTTGTTGCCCAGGTTGGAGTGCAATGGCACAATCTCAGCTAACTGCAGCCTCCGCCTCCCAGGTTCAAGCGATTCTCCTGCCTCAGCCTCCTGAGTAGCTGGGATTACAGGCACCTGGCTAATTTTTGTATTTTTAGTAGAGACAGGGTTTTGCCATGTTGGCCAAGCTGGTCTCAAACTCCTGACCTCAGGTGATCCACCCGCCTTGGCCTCCCAAAGTGTTGGGATTACGGGCATGAGCCACCGCACCGGCCTCTTGATGCTTCTTATAGGAAAAACAAAACCCCTATCTTTAACAGGAGGCCCCTTTGAAAAGAGACATGGGATTACCCTAGTTTTGAGAGCATAAGTCTACACAGATTGCAAACAAACTTACCAAGTTGTAATGGATTGGTGTTTTGCATGAAAGGACTCAACTTTCCTTTTCCTGCCTTTCTTCTTTAATAATACAACCCCTCTGCCTAAGGGAGGAGATCAGGGTACTGGGAAGCTGTTTCCAGAATGAACACGACAGACTCAGAGAGGAGGCTAGCAGCTGTCCTCTAATTATCATTTTTCTAAGAGCATAAATAATTTAGGTTGCAATGTGGCGGAGTGGAGATGGTTAAATTATAACACGATTCCATATCCCTGCTGCCTGATGCCTATTCTACACGCCCCCTCCCCGGACCCCCGACAGGAACCAGTGGAAGAGAGAGAATACTCTTCTTACCACCGTTCCTCTGCTCTTTAAGGGAAGCCCGAACGGGGGGAAAAAGTCTCCTTTTTGAGACAACAGTTTTGCCCTGTGCTGGGAGGTCCCAGTGCGGTGTTAAGGGGCATAGAGAAGAGAGCAAGAAATCGTGAATTATTTTTCCCCCTGAGGAGCAGTGGCCTGGCTTGTTCTCAGCTTCTGCCTTGCCTGGATTGATCTCCCCAGGCTGGGTCCCCGTGTAGCACTTAGCTAAAGATGATCAGCAGCTGAGAACGATCGGTCCTCCTTTCCCTCCTCCCAGCATCAGGGAAACCTCCTCCTCCTCTTTTTTTTTTTCCCTTGGCAGCTGATACAGCAACCCCGTTCAGTGTCTGCTTTTGTGGGGAGCCCTCTGCTCAGAAAACTGCTCTTCTTGGCACCCACTTTTCTCCCTCCTGTCTCTGGGCCACCCTTCTTCTTTCCACTGGGTGGGCCATGGATGCATGGACTTCAGATAGCTCGGACCCCTGGGTGCTGACGAGATGGGACCCTCGGGACCCCTGGAGGACTCGCAGTGCTGACCACTAGCCGCGTCGCCTGAGCCCCAGCGCTGATGCGATACAGGTGAGTGGGGCTTCTGAGAGCGGGGGACGCTGGAGGCAAAGTCCTGCAGGGAGTTTAATCTTTCTTTCCTTGCTGCAAATTACCTCCATCTGCAAAGGTAGAAATACAAAGATCTTCCCCTGCTCCCTCTATGAAGAGTTTTTCTTTGCGGGCGGGCAGCTTATTTCCAGATTTCACTTGCTTCTGCCTTAAGAACCTCTTCCCTTTTCTGAACAGTTTCTCTTGCTGGGAAGAAGGGGGGCAGACTCTTCATTTCCAGCGTATTCCTGTTTCTTTCTTAAAAATCCATTTTCATTCAATTGCCCTTGGCAACCCCCCTCCCAGCAACCGATGTCTTTGCCATCTGCCCTGAACATGTGACGTTTTCCCAAGAATGAGAATTTCTGACCTAAGTCAAATTCTACTTTTTTATATCTTCCCCACCCCCCCTCATTCAAGTCCACATTTTAAGTCTCGTGCTGCTTTGAACAAGTGACAACATTTAGAATTATGAAATATCCCCTCACCGCTCCCCACCCCCCAATTGCCCATGGCTTTGGGGACCCCGAACAAAAGTTCCCGACGCCTGTGTGCCTGGGCCTTGTTTGCTGTGATCGACGCGGCGTGAATGTGTTGGGAAAAGAGAGATAAATGGCAGATGGAGTTTAGGCTGTTGGGAATAATTACATCGTCTTAGGAAACCACTTCTTCCTTTTAATATTTAATATTCTTCCCTCTCTTGCCCCACTTGAAGGAAAAGCAGAGAAAGAGCTGGACACCCCCTCTAAGCCATTCCCCCCTTGCCCCTTCCGCCTTTTTTCTTTAATTTTGAACCGAGTTGTCTGGGTGGCTTTTGTTTCTCAATAAGTGGGAAAAACTGGCAGCAGAATTCCTCTTCTCCCCTCTCCTTCCTTTGAAGCTAACAGCTTCGTACAACAGACGCTGCTGGGGACGGCAGGGCATGGGGATCATGTTGATTGCTCCAGGCTCCTTCCTTAGAGGCTCCTGAGAGACTGACCCAGGAGAAGGAGCCAATTTAGAATGTCAACAGGAGGTCAGAGCACCTTCCCAGAGGCTGAACCAACAAGAGGGAAGCTTCTCTCTCTCCTCCTTCTCCTCAAAGCCCTAGGTGCTGTGGAGGAATATTCTCTAGGTATCCCTGGCTCAGGGCTCCTGTCCTGTTCAGAGACAGTGACTCTAGGGCAGCCTTGCCGTGTCCTGCACCTGCTCTTTCAGGGATAGCCTTCAGTTGCTTGCAGGGATCTCAGGTGCTTACAGCTGACACAGACCTCCCCTTACCCATGTGACCCCTAGTCCATCCTCAACACCCCAATACCAGGCTGCAGGAAGTCTCCCCAACTACAGAAGTCTAAGAGGCTGAGTTTATCCCTGTGTGGATACTCCATTTTCCTCCAAGACACAGAGATCTCAGGAGATGTATCAAGATGTCACTCGGTGGCCGGGCGCAGTGACTCATGCCTGTAATCCCAGCAGTTTGGGAGGCCGAGGTGGACGGATCACTTGAGGTCAGGAGACCGAGACCATCCTGGCTAACATGGTGAAACCCCATCTCTACTAAAAATGCAAAACATTTGCCGGGCGTGGTGGCAGGCGCATGTAGTCCCAGTTACTCAGGAGACTGAGGCAGGAGAATTGCTTGAACCCGGGAGGCGGAGGTGGCAGTGAGCCGAGATCATGCCATCACACTCCAGCTGGGGCGACAGAGCGAGACTCCGTCTCAAAAAAAAAAAAAAAAGTCACTCGGTGCAAATGCCACTTTCCCTCCACATAAGATGGGTTCAATTCAATGCAGCCTCCCCAAAAAGAAAACAGAAGATCATTACAGGGGTCAGGAGGGAGAGGGTGGATTTGACACTGAGTGAAATTACTGAGCAAATGACCTGTAAAACTCGTGGACATCAAAAGCTCTGGCAGAGGGTTTCATTTATTATTATTATTATTTAAAATGTTAGGGCATAGGACCAGAGGGCCCTCTGGGCCCAGGGCAAATGAGGGAGCTTCTATTCCAGGATCCTTCAACCCTAGCTGTCTCCACAGTGACAGACAGACGAACGCTCTGGGTAAGCATTTTCCACCCCCTTATAGGCCAAGTTTGTCCAGTGGACGAGGGAGGACTGACTTAGCCTCCGGGGAAGAAATCCTCCCCTCAAAGTGCAGGTCTTGGCCAGTCCCAGGCTCCACTCAGCCCTGCTGAGTTAGAATCTGCATTTGAACTTGAGGCTGGGTGAGTCATGAGCCAGTCAGCATCTGAGAAGCCCTGGAGGCCACATACTCATTGGCGTGTGACCCAGGGGAGCCACTCAGCCCTCTGTGCCTCAGTGCCCCCTGCTGACTGCAAGGATGACGATGGCGTCTGTGTCTTAGCATTGCTGAGAAGCCCAGCCACAGGTGATACCCAGTGGCAGGCACCTAGTACGTGCTCACTAAATGTTGGCTACTTTCAAATTACTCTCCAGAGCATGTGTTTGATTTATTTTTATTTTTTATTTATTTATTTTTGAGACAGAGTCTTATTCTGTCACCTAGGCCGGAGTGCAGTGGTGCAATCTTGACTTACTGCAACCTCCGTCTCCTAGGTTCAAGCCATTCTTCTGCCTCAACTTTCCAAGTAGCTGGGATTACAGGCACCCGCCACCATGCCTGGCTAATTTTTGTATTTTTAGCAGAGACGGGGTTTCACCATCTTGGCCAGGCTGGTCTTGAACTCCTGACCTCGGGTGATCCACCCACCTCGGCCTCCCAAAGTGCTTGGATTACAGGTGTGAGCTAACACACCCAGCCAATTTCTTTTTAAATTATGGTAAAAAAACACATAGAGCATACCATTTTAACTATTTGATTGATTGACTGATTGATTGAGACAGGGTCTCACTCAACGCCCAGGCTGGAGTGCAGTAGCCCGATCTCGGCTCACTATAACCTCAACCTCCAGGGCTCAGGTGATCCTCCCACATCAGCCTCTCGAGTAGCTGGTACCACAGGCGTGCGCCACCACACTCAGCTAATTTTTTATGTATTTTTGTAGAGATGAGGTTTTGCCGTGTTGCCCAGGCTGGTCTTGAACTCCTGGGCTCAAGCAATCCACCCGCCTCAGCCTCCCAAAGTACTGGGATTACAGGCGTGAGCCACCATGCCCGGTCTCTGATTTCTTTTTTAGTTCACATTTCTTTCTTCTTCCTGTACCACTTGTCTTACCCTCCATGAAATCGTCCTGGTCAGACATGAGTAACAGAACCCTACTAGTTAGTATGGACCCTACTAACTCATACATTAATTCTTAGCTACCAACACCAAAATCTTGAAGATGGTAGGCAGACACCATCTTCAAACATCTTTTTTCAGGACTCAACTCAAGGGCTACTCACTTTTTTTCCCCAAAGGGACTACAACTTTTGGTGTACAGTTATTTTTCTCTCCAGCAAAACCAACACTACATTTTCTTTTGACCCCCCAAGGGGAGGCAGGTTTTGTTTTGTTTTTGAGACGGAGTCTCGCTCTGTTGCCCAGGCTGGAGTACAGTGGCGTGAACTCGGCTCACTGCAACCTCCACCTCCTGAATTCAAGTGATTCTCCTGCCTCAGCCTCCTGAGTAGCTGAGTACAGGTGCATGCCACCACACCCAGCTCATTTTTTATATTTTTGGTAGAGACAGGGTTTCATCATGTTGGCCAGGCTGGTCTCGGACTCCTGACCTCAGGTGATCCGCCTGCCTTGGCCTCCCAAAGTATTGGGATTATAGGCGTGAGTTATGGTGCCTGGCCGGGAGGCAGTTTTTAGGTGATTTCTCTAGAGTCTTAAGATCCCAAGATGAATGATAATTGGATCACAGTGGTACACAGTTGGTAGTTAATAAATATTTGTTGAACAAACAAAGCATATCAGAATTCAAAATGACCACTGAGGGCTGGGCACGGTGGCTCACGCCTGTAATCCCAGAGCTTTGGGAGGCCAAGGTGGGAGGATTGCTTGAGTTTGGGAGTTTAAAACTAGCCTGGGCAACAGAGCAAGATCTCGTTTCTATAAAAAATTTTAAAATTAGCCAGGCATGGTGGCCAATGTCTGTGGTCCCAGCTCTCGGGAGGCTGAGGTGGGAGGATCGCTTGAGCCCAGGAGTTAGAGGTTGCAGGGAGTTCTGATTGTGTCACTGCACCCCAGCCTGGGCAACAGAGCAAGACCCTGTATCTAAAAAAAAAAAAAGCCAGAAAATGACCTCCATAATGAATTATTGCTTTAACATGTTAATATGTTGATGACACACACAGACACTGTCTGGCCAAAGAGGCAGGATAAATGAGGGACATGGTGAAACACCTACCAGTTGCTCAATATTGAGGAGTCAAGAATACCTAATCAGGAAAAAAATTCAAGGAGATAGAATAAAAGCAACATTACCCACCCACTCCTGCCCAAGAATGACTTAAGAGAACAGATGCATGGTTTAGTTTGTGGGAGAAACATTAGAGAAATACAGTCCCTGTGGGAGGAGTTTTATTTTTTTCCTGGTACTCTGTACTGTTTCCTTTTAGTTCTCCAATGCTGATGAAGTCAAGCAAGTTTGTGAGAGAGACAGAGAGAGAGAGAGAGAGAGAGAGAGAGAAGGTGGACAGGGGATGACACATGGTGCTAAGTGTCCAGGTATTTGGTTCAGTTTCAGTATTGACCTGATGCCACTGGTTTTGCCTTGCTTGGACAAGAGGAATAATTGATCCACCTTCTTCCTTCCTTCCTTCCCTTCCTTCCCTTCCTTCCCTTCCTTCCTTCCTTCCTTCCTTCCTTCCTTCCTTTCTTCCGTCCCTCCCTCCCTCCCTTCCTTCCCTCCCTCCCTTCCCTCCCTCCCTCCCTTCTCCTTCCTCCCTCCCTTCTCCTTCCTCCCTCCCTCCTTTCCTTCCTACCTTCCTACCTTCCTTCCTTCCTTCTTTCCTTCCTTCCTTCCTTCCTTCCTTCCTTCCTTCCGTCCCTCCCTCCCTCCCTCCCTTCCTTCCCTCCCTCCCTTCTCCTTCCTCCCTCCCTCCTTTCCTTCCTTCCTTCCTTCTTTCCTTTCTTTTTATTTCTTTCTTTCATCCTTCCCTCCTCCTTCTCTCTCTTTCTTCCATCTTTCTTTCTTCTTCCCTCCTTCCTTCTCTCTCTCTCTCTCTCTCTCTCTCTGTCTCTGTCTTTCTTTGTCTGGCTCTGTCACCCAGGCTGGAATGCAATGGCTTGATCATAGCTCACTGCAGCCTCAACCTCCAGGGCTCAAGTGAACCTTCTACTTCGGTCTCCCTCGTAGCTGGGACTACAGGTGTGTACCACTGCACCTGGCTAATTTATTATTTTGTTGTTGTTGTTGAGATAGGGGGTCTCCCTATGTCGCCCAGGCTGGTCTTAAACTCCTGGCCTCAAGCAATCCTCTGGCTTCAGCCTCCCAAATTGCTGGGATTACAGAGGTGAGCCACCGCACCTGGCAATCTGCCTTTCAGCAATTATTTATTGAGTTCTTCCTGTTGGCCAGGCACTGTGCTAGGCTTTGAGGATTCAACAGAGAATGAAACTATCATTGTAAACACAGTAATAACAGTAGCAAACACTCATATTGGGGCTTACCATGTGTGGGACACTGTCCTGGGCATGCTGCATAGAATTAAGTTATTTCATCCTCACAATGACACTGTGAAGGATGTGTTTTTATTATCCCCATTTTACAGATGAGGAAACTGGCCCAGAGAGGTGGAGCGATTTACCCAAGGTCACATAGCAGGAGGCAGCTGATCCTGAATCCAAGCCCAAGCAGTCTGGTTGCAAAGATGGGGATATTTCTCTACCAACTCCTGGCAGCAGCCATTGGTTGAGGAATATTCCAGGGGTAGCACCTGTGACCTGTCCCCTGCAGATGGGCTTCACTCCTGCGGCCAGAGGAGCCCCAGGTCGGGAGCGGCAGGTGCTAGGGGCAGGGAGCCATGGGCAGACAGGAGGTGTGGGCACTGGTAGGATTTTCTAGAAGAGGCTTGTGAAGCAGAAATGTATTTTGAGCTGGACCTTGGGGATGAGGAGAGGGAAAGGTATTCAGGGTGGTGAAAGTCAGAGGTGTGGTCAGGATTGTCTCAGAGCATCAGCTTCATGTAGTGAGAAGTGAGGATGGAAGGAATTCTGGGGCTACATCGTGGCACATATATGGGGCTGGCGAAAGGACTCACACTTTATTCAGCTGGTTGTGGAAAGAGTCTCTACGGGATTGGCTAATGGATGAACTGATTGCTTTTTTTTGTTGTTGTTGTTGGCTTTTTTTGTTTGTTTGTTTTTGTTTTTTGAGATGGAGTTTCACTCTTGTTGCCCAGGCTGGAGTGCAGTAGTGCAATCTCAGCTCACTGCAACCTCCGCCTCCCGGGTTCAAGTGATTCTCCTGCCTCAGCCTCCCAAGTAGCTGGGATTACAGGTGTCTGCCACCACACCCAGCTAATTTTGTATTTTTAGTAGAGATGGGGTTTCACCATGTTGGTCAGGCTGGTCTCGAACTCTTGACCTCAAATGATCCACCTGCCTTGGCCTCCCAAAGTGCTGGGATTACAGGCATGAGCCACCGCGCCTGGCCAGGACTCACACTTTATTCAGCTGGCTGTGGGGAGTCTTTAGGGGACTGGCTAATGGATGAACTGATTGTTTATGATGACTTGGAGGAGACGAGATTCAGAGAGGAATGAATGTGGCCTACGGCAAGTGGGAGGGGAAGGACAAGGCGGAGTCATCAGCTCTGATGATGAGTAGAATGTGGAAGTGAAGGAAAGAGAGAAGGAAGGAACCCCACAATGTCTGGGGTGATTGATTCCACTGCATTTGGGGTTTCTTGCAAATGTGACCTCCAGAGGGCTCCCATGAATACCTGAGTCAGGCCACATCCCTCATCTCCTTAGATCCTTTCATAGCTCCCACCTCATGCAGAGCAAAAGCCAAAGTTCTCCCTATGGCCCACAAGACCCTGTACCATCTGTTCCCCTTATCTCCCTGCCCTTACCTCCTGGCCCCGTTACCTCCCTGCCCTCACCTTCTGGCCCCCTCACTCACTCTGCTCCAGCCACACTGGCCTCTGTGCCGTTCCTTGAACACATCAGCCACACGGCCAGCCATAGCGCCTTTGCAAGGGCCTTTTCCTCTGCCTTGGAATGCTCTTCCCACAGACACCCTCATGCATCCTCCCTCATCCTCATCTCCCTTCAGGTCTTTACTCAAATATTTCTTTCTCAGTGAGGCCATTCTGGCCACTTTACCTAAATGACAGTCAGCTTCCCCTTCCCCCTCCTCCTCTACCGTTTTCTTTTCTCTATCTGACATTCTGTCTATTTCAGGAGCTTTTCCTGTTTCTTGTTCATCTCCTTTATTAGAACGCCAGCTCCAGGAGGGACTTTTGTCTGTGTTATTCATGTCTTAGTCCTCAGTGTTGAGAACAGTGCCTGGAATACAGTAGGTGCTCAATAAATATTGCTGGATGAATGAATGAATGATGAATGGATGCATGAGTGATGGGGAGGATAACAGAGCCACGAAGTGAAGTTGGGAGGAAGAATTTAGCCTGAGATTCAGCCCAACAGCCTGTACCCCTGGGGGTCTCCTCCCCTCCTTCCCCCGTCCTGCAGCCTCACTCAGTGTCCTGGGGCTGCCCAACCATCCAGCAATCCCGGGTGATCTGTTCATCTCTGTGGGAGGGTGCGTGTTTATCTCACCGCACCATGATCACACCGTCCAGCTGGTGAAGAAAAAAGTGGGTGGAACACGAGACCAGCTGTGACATGGTTTATTCTCACCAGGGGATGAACACTTGCAGCCACACTTGGGGCTATGCTGGCTTGCTGGTCTCAGCTTGCGTTCAACCTTGGCCATCTGGCCTGGCGTTTTATTTAGCTTTGTTCTCACGTATGTGGGGCAGTTCTGGAGTTTTGCCCCAAGTGATGAGAGCTCTTCTTGGCCCCAGCTTTACTTTTTCTTTCATCTTGCTGGTTGCTTGTCTATGCAAAGATAGGGGGGAGGGGGTCCACCCTGCCCGAGATGGGGAAGCTTCTGGTTGTGGCCAGAAGGAGCATAAACACCCTTGTATATGCCCATATCTAACTATTGATGCTATCTCTACTTGTTGGTGCCTATATCCATTTATTGATGCCTATATCTACCTGTTGATGCCTATATCCACTTATTGGTGCCTATATCCATTTATTGATGTCTATATCCTCTTATTGGGCCTGTAGCTACTTATTGATACCTATACCCACCTATTGGTGCCTATATTCAGTTACTGATGCCTACATCTACTTATTGATGCCTATATCTACTTATTGGCACCTGCGGCTACTTATTGATGCTTATGCCTACTTATTGAGCCCTATATCCACTTATTCCTGCCTATATCTAGTTACTGGTGCCTATGTCTATTTATTGAGGGCTATATCTACTTATTGGTGCCTATATCCACTTATTGATGCCTATATCTACTTATTGATGTCTATATTCACTTATTGATGCCTATATCCACTTATTGATGCCTATATCCACTTATTGTTGCCTATATCTACTTATTGATGCCTATATCCACTTATTGATGCCTATATCTACTTATAGGTGCCTGTGGCTACTTATTGACACTTATGCCTACTTATTGACGCTTATGCCTACTTATTGAGGCCTGTATCCACTTATTCATGCCTATATCTAGTTACTGGTGCCTATGTTTATTTATTGAGGCCTATATCTACTTATTGGTACCTATGTCTACTTATTGGTTCCTATATCCATGTATTGGTGCCTATATCCATTTATTGATGTTTATATCCTCTTATTGGTGTCTGCAGCTACTTATTGATGTCTATAACCACTCGTTGGTGCCTATATTCACTTAATGTGCCTATATCTACTTATTGATGCCTGTATCTATTTACTGATGCCTATATCCACTTATTGGTGTCTGTAGCTACTTATTGATGCTTATGCCTACTTATTGGTGTTTATATCTACTTATTGGTGCCTATGTCCATTTATTGGTGCCTATATCCACTTATTGGTGTCTATATCTACTTATTGGGGTCTACATCTTTTTTTGTTTTTGAGACACAGTCTCGCTGTGTGCAGTGGTTTGATCCCTGCTCACTGCAGCCTCCACCTCCTGGGTTCAAGTGATTCTCCTGCCTCAGTCTCCCAAGTAGCTGGCACTACAGGTGTGTGCCACCATGCTTGGCTAACTTTTTTTGTTTGCATTTTTAGTAGAGATGGGGTTCCACCATATTGCCTGAGCTGGTCTCAAACTCCTGAGCTCAGGCAATCTGCCTCCCTCAGCCTCCTAAAGTGCTGGGATTACAGGTATAAGCTACCACGCCTGGCCATGCCTACATCTATTGATTCATGCCTCTATTCACTTATTGGTGCTTATACCCACTTATTGGTGCCTATATCCACGTATTGATACCTGTATTCATTTATTAATTTTTTTTTTTGAGACAGAGTCTCACTCCGTCACCCAGGCTGGCATGCAATGGCATGATCTCAGCTCACTGCAACCTCTGCCTGCTGGGTTCAAGCAATTCTCCTGGCTCAGCCTCCTGAGTAGCTGAGATTACAGGCTACGCGCCACCACGCCTGACTAATTTTTGTATTTTTAGTAGAGACGGGGTTTCACCACGTTGGCCAGGCTGGTCTCGAACTCCTGACCTCAAGTGATCTGTCCGCCTTGGTCTCCCAACATGCTGGGATCACAGGCATGAACCACCACGCCCGGCCAGAATTTCCTCCCTCTCTAAGCCTGAATAACTTCTCATTGTGCGTGTGCACCACCCACATCTTTTTTTTTTTTTTTTTTTTTTTTTTTTTTTTTTTTTTTTGAGATGAAGTCTCGCTCTTGTCCCCCAGGCTGGAGAGCAATGGTGCGATCTTGGCTCACTGCAACCTCCGCCTCCCAGGTTCAAGTCATTCTCCTGCCTCAGCCTCCCGAGTAGCTGGGGTTACAGGCATGCACAACCATGCCCAGCTAATTTTTGTATTTTTAGTAGAGATGGAGTTTCACCATGTTGGCTAGGCTGGTCTCGAACGCCTGACCTCAGGTGATCCACCCACCTCGGTCTCCCAACGTGCTGGGATTGCAGACGTGAGCCACCGTGCCACATCTCTTTGTTTATCCATCCTGCCATCGACGCACATTTGGGTTGTTCCCTGGTTCTGAGTTTTCAATTCTAGGAAGATCCTTAGCAGTTGCTCCACACCTGGCTGCCTACCATGGAGAGTGTTTGTTCAGGGCCTGGAAACCGCTTTTACTATCAGCCAAATAAAACATCATCCGGAAGGTGACAAATGCATCTGAAGGTCGATTACAAATGACATTTAGATGATCTTCATCCCAGCGCCTCCTTAGTAGCTGTTAGAATCCACGGTCTGCTGAATTTCACACTCTCTAGCCTAGAACTTGGGAGGGAAGATCATGCCCCTGGGTCTTAGCAACCCTAGTTTTGTCCAGGGCTGGATTAAGGTGTTTTATTGATGGAGCTCTTAGCACACAGAGAAAGACAGGATCAAATGACAAGTGAAAGAAAGAGGATCAAGGCCAGAGAGAGAGCGAGAGAGAGAGAGAACAAGAGAGAGGAGGGGAGGAGATGTGATTTCAAACATAGATGTTGTTTTTAAGCTGCTTTTTAAAAATATATTTATTAAAAAAATTTTTTTAAGACAGTCTTATTCTGTTGCCCAGGCTGCAATGCAGGGGCACAATCTCGACTCACTGTAAACTCTGCCTCCCAGGCTCAAGCGATTCTTGTGCTTCGGCCTCTCGGGTAGCTGGGATTATAGGTGCCCGCCACCACACCTGGCTAATTTTTGTATTTTGTATTTTTAGTAGAGACAGAGTTTCACCATGTTGGCCAGGCTGGTCTTGAAATCCTGGTCCCAAGTGATCTGCCTGCCTCGGCCTCCCAAAGTGTTTAAGCTGCTTTTAAAGGAACACTTCTGTGCTCTCAACCAGGACTCCACACCTGCGTATATTCCACTCGAAGGCAAACCCCACGAAGTGCTGGGATTACAGGTGTGAGCCACCTCGCCCAGTCTTACACTCTTTGACAGAGCAATTCCACCTCTGGGGATTTATTCTGCAGAGATATTTGTAGCAGAACCTGAAGATCTACAATGCAGGACGTTGGCTGCAACATTCTGGGGAATAGCAAGAAATCAGAAAGACCCAGAGGTCCAGACCAGATAAATTTGATGGAGTCATTGAAAAATACTATCGAAAGCTGGGTATGGTGGTGTGTGCCTGTAATCTCAGCTACTTGGGAGGCTGAGGCAGGAGGATTGCTTGAGCCCTAGGAGGTTGAGGCTGCAGTGAGCTATGATCGTGCCACTGTACCCCAGCCTGGGTGACGTAGCAAGACCCCATCTCAAAACAACATAAAAATAAACTACAGGAACTGATGTGGAATATTTGTAAGAAACATTCCTATAGGAACTGATGTGGAATGTTATCTAAGACATATTACTAAGTATAAAAAAGTTGTAGACTTTTAATATATATGTATGTATGTATATACACATATATAATCTCACAAATTCCATGTTTGTAAAAAATTATTCTACATGTATGTAACTGCCTATTAATTTTTCTATTGCTGCCATACCAAATTACCACCAAATAAATGCCTTAACCACACTCAGTGGGCCGGGGGTGGTGGCTCACACCTGTAATCCCAGCACTTTGGGAGGCCAAGGTGGGCGGATCACCTGACGTCAGGAGTTCAAGACTGGCCTGGCCAGCGTGGTGAAACCCCGTGTCTACTAAAAATACAAAAATTAACAGGGCATGGTGGCAGGTGCCTGTACTTCCAGCTACTCTGGAGGCTAAGGCATGAGAATTGCTTGAACTCAGGAAGTGGAGGTTGTAGTGAGCTGAGATTGCACCACTGCACTCCAGCCTGGACGACAGAGTGAGATTCCATCTCAAACAAAACAAAACAAAACAAAACAAAACAAAACAAAACAAAACAAACCACTCACTTATTATCTCACAGTTTCTATAGGTCAGAAAGCCAACAGGCCTGGCTGGGCTGAAATCAAAGTGTTGCTTGGCTGTGCTTCCTTCCAGAGGCTCTAGGGAAGAATCTGTTTTCTTGTTCATTTAAGTTGTTGGCAGAATCCAGTTTCATGCTGTGTAGGACTGGAGTCCTGTTTCCTTGCTTGCTGTCAGCAGGGGGTCATTCTCAGCTTCCAGGGGTGGCCTGCATTCCCTGGCTCGTGGCCTCCTTCATCTCACAGCCAGCAACAGTGTTTCAAGTCCATCTCTTGTACTTTATTTTAAGAGACAGGGCCTTGCTCTGTCACCCAGGCTGGAGTGCAGAGGTGAGATCACAGCTCACTGCAGCCTCAACTTCCCCGGCTCAAGTGATTCTCCCACCTTGGCCTCTCATTTTTAGTTTTTAAATTTTCCTCCAAGATGGGTGGAAAAAGACATTTTCCCACACCAGAGAATAAAAGAAGAGCTTGTAAGATTACAGTCCAGCCCCTCCCTGGCTCTATATTGAATTCTTTAGACAAAGGACATATTGGGGCTTCCTGAGCTCCCATCTCCTTCCAAGGAGCATCTTTCCTCTTCCTTTTTTTTCTTTTTTTTAAGAGTCAGGGTCTCACTCTGTCACCCCAGCAAAAGCGCAGTGGTGCAATCATAGCTCACTGCAGCCTTGACCTCCTGGGCTCAAGTGGTCCTCTGGCCTCAGCCTCCCGAGTAGCTAGGACTACAGGCACACACCATGATGCCTGGCTCCAGCATCACATGCTTTTCCAATGTGTATGATGAACCCGCAAAGTTTCAGAGAATGTTTTTCCTCTACTTTTAAAAATTAAGGGGCCGGGCACGGTGGCTCACGCCTGTAATCCCGGCACTTTGGGAGGCCGAGGTGGGTGGATCATGAGGTCAGGAGTTCAAGACCAGCCTGGCCAAGATGGTGAAACCCCGTCTCCACTAAAAATACAAAAAAATTAGCCGGGCATGGTGGCATGTGCCTGTAATCCCAGCTACTCCGGAGGCTGAGGCAGAGAATTGCTTAAACCTGGATGGGCGGAGGTTGCAGTGAGTCACTGCACTCCAGCCTGGGCAACAGAGTGAGACTCTGTCTCAAAAAAAAAAAAAAAAAAAAAAAATATATATATATATATGTGGTGTATCTTTTACTCATTTTTACCAGTTGTGACCACTTCTTTCATTTGTGGGTGGCGAAGCCTGGTGTCTGTCACAGAAACATGTAAATGTTTCTGTCCATGTAGGAGGGTCACAGAAAGCACCCCCAGACTTCCCTGTGGTCCCTCCCTCTCTGTCTCTTCCCCTAGAGCTCCTGGACCAGGCTGTGTGAATCAGGAGCATCTCCAGGTGCCATCCGGTTGCCATGGCAATTCAGGCCAGTCCAGGCTTGGCAGCGGAGGGCTCAGCTCCTGTTTCAGGTGTGGGAAAGTGGTGGGGACCACCGATACCTGGCGTATCAGGCAGGTGCTGTGATTGTTATTCCATTAACAATGAGGCTTTCTGTGGCCTCAGGCTTCGTGTTGTTTATTTTCTTCTGTTTACTTTTTCTATTGTCTTCTCTTTGGTGCTGTCTGTTGGTGGAACCCTGCTGATTCTCAGTGAAGCCAAGCCCACGTACTTTGCCACTTCCTCCGTGCTGAGGTTGGGCAAACAGAGAGAGAGAGAGAGAGAGGACAGCACATTTGGTCATGGGGCCCCCGCAGGTGCCAGGCGCAGGCACCTGGCTGGGGAGGGAGCGACCCCTGGCTGGAAATGTGTTTGTTTCTCGTGTGTACACACAGGACAGCTGGGGCTCCGTTGGAACTGCTCACGAGTGCTCTGCAAAGCGTCCTTGGTGATGTAGCTGGAGTGGCTGTCCCCCTTTCCTGCAGATGCCCCACTCTGCCCACCTGCCCCAGGTTAACACTAGACTAGGTGTGGACCTAGCACTTTCTGTGGCCCAGCGCTGTGTTCGTTGCATTGACTTCTCATGGAGGAGCCTGATAACCCTTCATGACAACGGCTTTCTGAAGTACTTGCCATGATCCCCACGTTGTGGAGGAGAAAGCAGAGACTCAGAGGCTTAGGCAATTTTCCTGGGACCCCACGGTTCATTGTTGTGTGAAGAGGTTAGACCTTCCTCCAGAATATGCCTTATTTCCCGCATACTTTATCCCTTCCCTGCTTAGAAAAACATCCCAGGCTGGGCACAGTGGCTCACACCTGTAATCCCAGCACTTTGGGAGGCTGAGGCGGGAGGACCATTTGAGGCCAAGAATTAGAGATCAGCCTGGGCAACATAGCGAGACCCTGTCTCTCAAAAAATAAAATAAAATAATTAGCTGGGCATAGTGGTGTGCACCTGTGGTCCCAGCTACTCGAGAGGCTGAGGTGGGATGATCGATTGAGCCCAGGAGTTCGAGGCTGCACTGAGGTAGGATCATGCCTCTGTACTCCAGCCTGGGTAACAGAGTGAGACCCCATCTCAAAAATAATAATAAAACAGCAGGGCACGGTGGCTCATGCCTGTAATCCCAGCACTTTGGGAAGCTGAGGTGGGAGGATCACCTGAGGTCAGGAGATCGAGACCAGTCTGGCCAACATGGCGAAACCCCGTCTGTACTAAAAGTACAAAAATTAGCTGGGCATGGTGGTGGGCACCTGTAATCCCAGCTACTCAGGAGGCAGAGGTAGGAGAATCACTTGAATCCAGGAGGCAGAGGTTGCAGTGAGCCGAGATCACACCACTGCACTGCAGCCTGGACGACAGAGTGAGACTCTGTCTCAAAATCATAATAATAATAATAATATTAAAAAATAAATACATAAAATTGAAAAGTCACAGACCCCTGGTGGTGGTTTGGAAGGGGCTTAATGACATTTTCCTGGGTAGACTCATTCCTAAGAATATTCATTCATTCATTTATTCATTCATTCAGGCAAGAAATAGTGAAGGTATTGGAGACTCAATGGCAAATGAGACAGGCCAAGATCCTTGTTCAAATTCAGCTGAGATCCTATCAGGGAGGTGGATGTTATAGAAGCCCGCATGTACGTACTGGTCTCAGGGAGCAACAAACACCTTAAGGAAGACCTCACAGGCGAGCGTGATGAGAACGCCTGCTGGGGGTGGTGCTTTGGGTGGATGGTTCTGCAAGTTGGCATCTGATCACAGCCTTGCATGACGACAGGAAGCTGGCTTGTCCGAGACTAGGGGAAAAGCATTCCAGGAAGAGGGAACAGCAGGTGCGAAGGTGGAATGAGCTTGACACAGCCCAGAAACAGGGACAAGGCCAGTGATTCTGGGGCTAAAAGTGCAACAGGGAGAAGGGGAGGGGACAAAGTCACAGGGATGAGGCAGCCTGGGAGGATGCGGCTTTTATTCCAGCAAAAGCAAATGTGCTGATTGACATTTTTTATTTTTATTTTTTATTATTATTATTTTTTGAGATGGAGTCTCACTCTGTTGCTCAGGCTGGAGTGTAGTGGCGTGATCTCAGCTCACTGCAACCTCTGCCTCCTGGGTTCAAGCAATTCTGCCTCAGCCTCTCGCTGGGATTACAGGCAAGTGCCACCAAGCCCGGCTAATTTTTGTGTTTTTAGTAGAGACAGGGTTCTGCCATGTTGGCCAGGCTGGTCTTGAACCCCTGACCTCAGGTGATCTGCCCACCTGGGCCTACCAAAGTGCTAGGATTACAGATGTGAGCCACTGTACCTGGCCTGATTGACATTTTAGAAAGACTGCACTGACTGCAGAGGAGGGAATGGATTGGGAGTGGGAGTAGGGAAGAAGGCAGCCCCAGTCCAAATGATTGAGGGTGGCAGCCATGCAGTGCAGGAAGTGGTTGGATTCAGGATATATTTTGTATGTATGTATGTATGTATGTATGTATGTATGTATGTATGTATGTATTTATTTATTTATTGAGATGGAGTTTTTCTCTTGTTGCCCAGGCTGGAGGGCAATGGCGTGATCTCGGCTCACCAAAACCTGCGCCTCCTGGGTTCAAGCGATTCTCCTGCCTCAGCCTTCCAAGTAGCTGGGATTACAGGCATGTGCCACCATGCCCAGCTAATTTTGTATTTTTAGTGCAGATGGGGTTTCTCCATGTTGGTCAGGCTGGTTTTGAACTCCTGACCTCAGGTGATCTGCCCGCCTCGGCCTCCCAAAGTGCTGGGATTACAGGCGTGAGCCACCGCACCAGCCTTGTTTTTATTTTTATTTTTTTGAGACAGAGTCTCACTCTGTCACCCAGGCTGGGGTGCCATGATACAATCTTGGCTCACTGCAACCTCCTCCTCCCAGGTGAAAGTGATTCTCCTGCCTCAGCCTCCTGAGTAGCTGAAATTATGGTGCCCACCATCACACCTGGCTAATTTTTGTATTTTTATTAGAGACGGGGTTTCATCATGTTGTCCAGGGTGGTCTCAAACTCCTGACCTCAAGTGATCCTCCCGCCTTGGCCTCCCAAAGTGTTGGGATTACAGGCATGAGCCACCATGCCTGGCTTATTTTTATTTTTGAGATAGGGTTTCACTTTGTTATCCAGGCTGGAGTGCAGTGGCATGATCACAGCTCACTGCAGTCTCAACTTCCTGAGCTCAGGTGATCCTCCTGCCTCAGCCTTCTGAGTAGCTGGGATTACTGTTGCCATTGCATGCCACCACGTTTGGCTGATTTAAAAAAATTCTTTTTTGCAGACAGGGTCTCACTGTGTTGTTCGCTATGTTGTTCAGTTGAGCTCCTGGGCTTAAAAGGTGCTCCTGCCTTAGCCTCCCAAAGTGTTGAGATTATAGGCATGAGCCCCCACGTCCAGCCCTCAGGATATATTTTGGAGGTGAGTAGATGGTACCTGCGGATGGATTTGATGCCTGGAGTTAAGGGAAGCGAGAAGCCAGGATTGACAACTCAATTTCTGGCTTGGGTATCAGGGTGAATTTGGAAGCCTGTAATGGGATGGGGGAGGATGGGAGCTATGTGCTATAGCACCAGAGAGGGAAATTGAGCATCCCATGTCAGGCTGTGGGATAAGCAGGTGCACGTCTCCAAAGATGTCACCTGGGATATTAGCTTTAGGTTTTGACTTCCTGATCTGCTTCCTACTTTCCCAGGTAGAAACACTCCTTCTGCTTTCAGAACTTAATTAATTAATTAATCTTCAGAGATAGAGCCTTACTCTGTCACCCAGGCTGGAGTACAGTAGCGTGATCATTGCTCACTACAACCTCGACCTCCTGGGCTGATCCTCCCGTCTCAGCCTCCTTAGTAGCTGGGACCACAAGTGAGAGCCACAGAGCCTGGCTTGTTCAGAATTTTTGCCGTCAAAGTTCTTGCACTGTGTCTGGTTTCTGGGATTTTAGTTAATGTGTAGGTACTACACAGCTCACCCAACCTGTAAACTGGATTCTTTCTCTTTTTTTTTGTCACCCAGGCTGAAGTGCAGTGGCACAATCTCCACCCACTGCAACCTCGCCTCCCAGGTTCAAGCGATTCTCCTGACTCAGCCTCCCACGTAGCTGGGACTACGGATGTGTACCACCACACCCGGCTAATTTTTGTATTTTTAGTAGAGATAGGGTTTCACCAGGTTGGTCAGATTGGTCTCAAACCGCTGACCTCAAGTGACCCACCTGCCTCGGCCTCCCAAAGTGCTGGATAACAGGCGTGAGCCACTGCACCCAGCCGATTTTTTCTTTCTTTAATATCGTTGTGGCCGGGCGCGGTGGCTTACACTTATCATCCCGGAGCTTTGAGAGACTGAGACAGGAGGATCACTTGAGGCAAGGAGTTTGAGACCAGCCTGGGCCACATAGGGAGATCCTATCTCTAAGAAAAATTTAAAAATTTTAAAAATTAGCCTGCTGTGGTGGCACGGGCCTGTGGTCCCAGCTACTTCGGAGGATCACTTGAGCCCAGGACTTCAAGGGTGCTGTGAGTTATGATGGTGCCACTGTGCTCCAATCTGGGCGACAGAGCAAGACCCTGCCTCTTAAAAAAAAAAGAAAAAGAAAAAGAAAAAAAAATATATGTGCAGGAAGAATATTTTTGGGGAGGGGTGAAATAAAACCTTGTAGCTGGAACACACTTGAATCTACCTCTTGTTTTCAGTTTTATTTCTGTGAAATGGGAAGAAGAATGGCATCCGTGCAGAAGTGGTTATAAAAGGAAAGCAGATTTCTTTTTCAGCACAATGGGAAAGTATTTGGCAAAACACAAAAGACTATAAATGCACAATCGTGGGCAATTAAGAGTGAGGTTTCACTGGAGTAAATTGAAGCTTAAAAGCGTCATGAAGGATAGATCTATTAAACTCCATTAGTTATAGGATTTCGAAAGAAACCGGAAGGTAACTGCATTTGCTAAGCTGATAGTGAGTTGATCTGCTTAGGAGAGGCTGGGAGAGTTCTCATTTCTTTGCATGCTTAAAGCAGGGTGAGAGGAAATGGAATGGAGATAATTCTTCCCTCCTTCCTTCCTTCAATTGGTTCTTTGCAATCTGGGGGCAGCCTCATTCTGTGCACCACCTACTTATACCTGTGGGTGTTGAAGTGACTTGTGAAATGTTTCTGTATAGGGTTGAGCTTCTTAATTTGTTTTCTTTCTTTTTCCTTTTTCTCTCTCCTTTCTTTCTCTTTCTCGCTCCTCTCTTTTCTTTCTCCTTTCTTTCTTTTCTTTCTCCTTTCTTCCTTTTTCTCTTTTCTTTCTCTCTTCTTTCTTTTTCTCTTCTTTCTTTGTCTCTCTTCTTTCTTTCTTCTCTCTTTTTCTCTTTCTTTCTCTTCCTCTCTCCTCTCTTTTCTTTTTCTCTCTCTTCTTCCTCTTCTCTTTTCTTTCTCTCTTTTCCTTTTCTTTTTCTCCTTCTCACTCCTTTCTTTTCTTTCTCTTTCTCTCTGTTTTTTTCATTCTCCTGTCTTTCTTTCTCTTCTTTCTCTCCGTTCTCTTTTTTTTCTCTCTCATTTCTTTCTCTTCTTTCTTTCTTCTCTTTCTCTCTCTTCTTTCTCCTTCCTTCCTTCCTTTTTGACGGGGTCTTTCTTTCTTGCTTTCTTTCTTTCTCTCTCCTTTTGAGACAGGGTCTCCCTTCCCTTCCCCTTCCCCTTCCTCCTTCCCTTCTCTTCCTTCCTTCCTTCCTTTCTTTCTCTCTTTCTTTCTTTTTTCTTTCTTTCCTTCTCTCTCACTCTCTCTCTCTCTCTCTTTCTTTCTTGATGGAGTCTCACTCTGTCACCCAAACTGGAGTGCAATGGCACGATCTCGGCTCACTGCAACCTCTGCCTCCTGGGTTCAAGTGATTCTCGTGCCTCAGCCTCCCGAGTAGCTGGGATTACAAGTGCCCGCCACCATGCCCGGCTAATTTTTGTATTTTTAGTAGAGACGGGGTTTCACCATTTTGGCCAGGCTGGTCTTGAACTCCTGACCTCAGGTGATCCTCCTGCCTCGGCCTCCCAAAGTTCTGGGATTACAGGCATGAGCCACTGCGCCCGGCCTCTTTGTCTTTCTCTTTCTCTCTTTCTTTCTCTGTTTTCTTTCTCTCCTCTCTTTCTCTCTCTTTTCTTTCCATCCTCTCTTCTTTCTCTCCCTTCTCTCTTTCTTTCTCTCTCTCTCTCTTTCTTTCTTCTTTCCTCTCTTTCCTTCCTTCCTTCCTTCCTTCCTTCGTTCCTTCCTTCTCTTTCTTTCTAACAAGGTAGGCTATCTGTAGCCCAGGCTGGAATGCAGTGGTGCAATAATAATTCACCGCAGCCTCGAACTCCTGGGCTCAAGGTTTCCTCCCATCTATGCCTTTCGAGTGTCTAGGACTACAGGTACATGCCACCTGGCTAATTTCTTTAAACAAAGTTTATTTTTGTTGTTTTTGTTTTTAGAGACAGGGTCTTGCTATGTTGCTCAGGCTGGTCTCAAACTTCCGGGCTGAAGCAATCCTCCTCCCTCGGCCTCCCAAACTGTTGTGATTACAGACATGAGCCACTGTGCATGGCCTAATTCTATTTCATTCATGCCAGCCTCCCAGCAGATACGCTTTTCTTGGACAGACACTGAGAGGCTAGTTGTAGGGGCTGACTCAGGTGGGAAAAATCAGTCTGGGACTGGAAATATGCTTTTGGGTGAGGTGTAGATTCCAAAAGCCACGGACCACGTCACCCACAGCCACACGGGCCTCTTCTTTGTTCCTTGAGACACACAGTCCTGCCTCAAGACCCTTGCATGTGCTGTTCCTTCTGCCTGGAAAGCTCTTCTCTCAGATACCCATGTGGCTCCTCACCTCCCTCAGGCCTCTCTCAGATGTCACCTCCTCAGTGAGGCTGTCTCTGCACCCCTATTTAATGAAGTCACCAGTCGGGCCGGGTGCGGTGGCTCACGCCTGTAATCCCAGCACTTTGGGAGGCCGAGGCGGGCGGATCACGAGGTCAGGAGATCGAGACCATCCTGGCTAACTCAGTGAAACCCCTTCTCTATTAAAAATACAAAAAAATTAGCCGGGCGTAGTGGCGGGCGCCTGTAGTCCCAGCTACTTGGGAGGCTGAGGCAGGAGAATGGCGTGAACCCGGGAGGTGGAGCTTGCAGTGAGCCAAGATCACACCACTGCACTCCAGCCTGGATGACAGAGTGAGACTCCGTCTCAAAAATAAATAAATAAATAAATAAATAAATAAATAAATAAATAAATAAAATAAAGTCACCAGTCTACCCAACTCTTCTTCTTCTCCCTCTTCTTCCTCCTCCTCCTCCTCCTCCTCTTCTTCTTCTTCTTCTTCTTCTTCTTCTTCTTCTTCTTCTTCTTCTTCTTCTTCTTCTTCTTCTTCTTCTTTCACACAGGGTCTCACTCCATTGCTCAGGCAGGAGTTCAGTGGGACAATCACGGCTCACTGCAACCTCAACATCTCAGGCTCAGACAATCCTCCTGCCTCAGCCTCCTGAGTAGCTGGGACTACAGGCACGTGCCACCATGCCTGGCTGATTTTTAAAACATTATTTGTAGAGGCAGGGTCTTGTTATGTTGCCCAGGCTGGTCTTGAATTCCTGGCCTCAAGTGATCCTCCTGCCTTGGCCTCCCAAGTGCTGGGATTACAGGCATGAGCTGGTGTAGGCAGCCAGCCTACACACCTTACCCTTCTTTGTTAAGGACTGAATGGTGTCTTCCCAAATTCATATGTTGAAGTCTAAACTCCAGTATCTCAGAATGGGGCTGTATATGGAGACAGGACCTTTACAAAGGTAATTAAGGTAAAAGGAGGTCAGATGAGTAGCCCTAATTCAATATTACTCGTGTTCTTATAAGAAGAGATTAGCCACAAAAAGACCTCAGTAAGTGTGTGAGGTAATGCATGTTAATTAGCTCAAGGTTGCCATTCCACAATGCATACGTGTTCGAGAACATCATGTTAGACATCATAAATATGTACAATTTTGTAATCCCAGGTATATGGGAGGCTGAGGCGGGAGAGTTGCTTGAAACTAAGAGGCAGAGGGTGCAGTGAGCTGAGATCATGCCACTGCACTCCAGCCTGGGCAACAAGAGTGAAACTTTGTCTCAAAAAAAATATATATATATGTGTGTGTGTGTATGTGTGTATGTATGTGCATGTGTGTGTGCATATATATATATACAATCTTTTTTTTTTTTTTTTGAGATGGAGTCTCCCTCTGTCTCCCAGGCTGGAGTGCAGTGGTGTGATCTCGGCTCACTGCAAACTCTGCCTCCCAGGTTCATGCCATTCTCCTGCCTCAGCCTCCCGAGTAGCTGGGACTACAGGCGCCCGCCACCACGCCCAGCTATTTTTTTGTATTTTTAGTAGAGACAGGGTTTCACCGTGTTAGCCAGATAGTCTCAATCTCCTGACCTTGTGATCCGCCCGCCCCGGCCTCCCAAAGTGCTGGGATTACAGGCGTGAGCCACCACGCCTGGCCTATATATATATATACAATTTTTATTTGTCAATTTAAAAACTTTTTTTTTTTGAGACATGGTCTGGCTTTGTCACCCAGGCTAGAGTGCAGTGGCACAATCTTGGCTCACTGCAACCTCTGCCTCCCAGTCTCAAGTGATCCTCCCACCTCAGCCTCCCAAGTAGTTAGAACTACAGGCATGCACCACCATGCCTGGCTAATTTTTGTATTTTTAGTAGAGATGGGGTCTCACTATGTTGCCCAGGCTGGCCTCAAACTCCTAGGCTCAGGCAATCTGACCGCCAAAGTGCTAGGATTACAGGCATGAGCCACCACACCTGGTCCTTTGGCCCTTCCCAGCACTTTTCAACTCCTAATCTCTATATAATGTACCCACTTATTTTGTTCCTTGTCTGTCTCCCTCCTAGAATGCCTTCTCCATGAGGGTGGGGACATTTGCCAGTCTTATTCATGGCTGCGTCCCCAGGACCTAGCACAGGGCCAGGCACAAATTGGGTGGTCGCTCAGAGTTTGTTGAATGATTAAGTGATTGGAGATAAAAATCTTGGGGCTTCAAGGTCCTTTGGTGTGTTGAGTGTCCACCTGATAAATGTGTGAGTGGAGGAAACCCTGTCTCTTTTCTCTTTCCAAAAACCAGCTGTTGGCCAGGCACGGTGGCTCATGCCTGTAATCCCAGCACTTTGGGAGGCAGAGGCGGGCCGGTCACTTGAGATCAGGAGTTCAAGACCAGCTTGGCCAACATGGTGAAACATGAAACATGGTGAAACCCCGTCTCTACTAAAAATTCAAAAGTTAGCTGGGCGTGGTGGCGCACGCCTGTAGTCCCAGCTACTCAGGAGCATTGCTTGAACCCGGGAGGTGGAGGTTGCAGTGAGCCAAGATCACACCACAACTCCAGCCTGGGCAACAGAGTAAGACTCCATCTCAAACAAACAAACAAACAAACAAACCAAAGAGCCGTAACCTGGTGTGGTGGCGTGCACCTGTCATTCCAGCTACTCAAGAGGGAGGCTGAGGCAGGAGGATTGCTAGAGCCCAGCAGTTCCAGACCAGCCTGGGCAATATAGCAAGACCCCATCTCTAAAAAAAAATAAAAATGAAGTTAAAAAAACAGAGAACCTGGTGAGAAGCAGTGTGGCTGGACAGGTGGCCACTCACATGTGGATTTATTTATTTATTTATTTATTTTTTGGAGACAGAGTCTCACTGTCACCCAGGCTGGAGTGCAGTGGTGGGACCTCGGCTCACTGCAACCTCTGCCTCCTGGGTTCAAGCGATTCTCCTGCCTCAGCCTCCTGAGCAGCTGGGATTACAGGCATGTGGATTACAGGCATGGGCCATCATGCTCGGCTAAATTTTTGTATTTTTAGTAGAGACAGGGCTTCACCATGTTGGCCAGGCTGGTCTCGAACCCCTCACCTCAGGTGATCTGGCTACCTCTGCCTCCCAAAGTGCTAGGATTACCTGGGGGAGCCACTGCACCCAGCCTTCCACGTGCGTTTAAAACTGCCTCTTGAACTCACCCTTTCAGCTTTCCAGAGCTCACAGGACCAAGGGACTGAGGGAGAGCCAACCCCCAGGCCCATGGTGGCTCATTTTGCAGAAGGAGACATAGAGATGCTGAGAAATCCAGCATCCCGCCCTCTGTGGCCGGCACCTGGGAGGTGGAGCGAGTGCCCGCGGCACAGCCTCATAGTGTTTTGCTCCATGGGGCACATATGTTGCCGGGCAGCTCCTAAGAACTGGCTTTCTGGGCCCTGAGTTGCCAAGGAACTACTAAATCCCGGCCAGCCTGGGCTGGGGTGTATTTTGACTTTCTGCGAAGGAGGGTGGGGCGGCCTCTCCTTGTCTTCTGAGTTCCCTTCTCCTTGCCCTCTGTGAGCTCTGTCTGCCTCTCCCTCACACTGGCCCTCTCTGTCTCCTCTTTCTTCTTCTAGTTTCCCCCTCACTGTGCTGGAGGGAGAAGACCCTGGGATTTCTGAGCGAGGCCCGTGGATGTTGAAGTCTTCCTGGGTCCCCGACTCCATGCTCTCGCGCCCCAGTTACTATGACGCCCTGCACAACCGCAGCTCGGGGCACGCCCAGCGCCCTGCAGGACACTCGGCCTCCCCGGCTCAGCATCTGCTTCGAGGGCCCCCCTCTGAGGCGGCGGGGCGGCGTGGTGGATCACCGAGATGTCATCTTGGCCCACCAGGCCCACAAAATCCACAGCACCCCCCAGGCCAGGAGGAAAGAATGGGAGTGAGTATGCCTGGGTGGTGGTGATCGGGGGGCGGTGCGGCTGTACCGGGGATCCCTTGGGGGTTAGGATGTTTTTGGCGAGCTTTTTCGGGGAGCAAATTCATGCAGCTGGAACATATTGATAAGGCTGTGCTGGCTTCTGAAATCTCAAAATCCTTCCCTGCTAACTGATCAATACTGGTTGCCTTATGCCCCCCGGACACCCCCATCCGGCTCTGTGAATCCCTGAGCTGCCCCAGGCTGAGGCAACAGAGATTAACCATGGATGGGGCAGCCAGGACCAGGCTCCCAGGATTGTGAGTGTCCACTCTGATGGGTTGGCAAATCTTTCTTTCTTTCTTTCTGGTTTTTTTTTTTGTTTTTTTTTTTTGAGACTGAATCTTGCTCTGTCACCCAGGCTGGAGTGCAGTGGCCCAATCTCGGCTCACTGCAAAGTCCGCCTCCTGGGTTCAAGAGATTCTTCTGCCTCAGCCTCCCAAGTAGCTGGGACCACAGGCACACGCCACTATGCCTGGCTAATTTTTGTATTTTTAGTAGAGACGGGGTTTCATCATATTGGTCAGGCTGGTCTCAAACTCCTGACCTCAAATGATCCACCCGCCTTGGCCTCCCAAAGTGCTAGAATTACAGGCGTGAGCCACTGCGCTCAGCCAGCAAATATTTCTGTTGAGATGGCTGAGAAATGCTGCTTTCTGGGGAAAAACGTGGGAATCCCATTTCTACTTCCAGTGTTGAGTTGAAATCTGCGGGTTTCAGGGCTGAAGACAGAAGTGTGTGAAGGCAGAGAGGGACCTAGATAGGGCTGGGAGTACGTGGTGGCTTCAGTTGAGTCTGGTTCTGGGTCCCCCTTTCTCTTTGTCAGTGACCCCAAAAGTGGGTCTTCTGGTGGGAGACACTGGGGGTGGAACTGGCTCTGTCATGTAGTTGCTGCTGGGCAATGTTGGATGAATGGCTTTCCTGAGCTGGGGTCTTGGCTGTTCGAGGGTTGAAGGTGGTTTGTGTGAAGGTTCAGTCTCAGGCCGGCCCCTACGCATCCTTTTCCACACAGTGGGGGAGCTACTGGGTTTTTTCTTTCCTTCCTCCCTCCTTCCCTCCCTCCCTCCCTCCCTCCCTTCCTTCCTTCCCTCCCTCCCTCCCTCCCTTCCTTCCTTCCTCTTTCTTTCCCTCCCTCTCTCCTTTCCCTCTTTTCTTTCATTTCCTTTTAAGACAGTGTCTCTCTTCTCTCTCTCCTCCTTCCTTCCTTTTTTCCTTCTTTCCTTTCTTCCTTCCTTCCTTTCCTTCCTTCCTTCCTTTTTGACAGGGTCTCTCCTTCCTTCCTTTTCTTTTTTCCTTCCTTCCTTCTTTTCTTTTTTCCTTCCTTCCTTCCTCTCTCTTTCTTTCTTTCTTTTTATTTCTTTCTCTTTTCTTTCTTTCCTTTTGAGACAGGGTCCCTTCCCTTCCCTTCCCTCTCTTCTTTTCTCTTTCCCTTTCCCCTTCCCCTTTACTTTCCTTTTCCTCAAAAGTTTTTTTTTTTTTTTGGCAAAGGCACAGGCCTAGGGTGGATTCCTGAGCAGACATCAGGAGTGTGGGATGAGAATATAAATATTATTTTGATTGGAGCTGAGGCTGATATGGATACTAATCAATTTAGGGGACCCCAAAATTTACTCTCTTACCCTCTTGATGCTCCCGACCTGACCCTGTGGGAAGCACCCTTCACCAGACACCCACCCTGGCCCCATTTTTCCATTTGCAGGAGAGGAAGTGGGGTTATAAATGCCATTTGAGTTGGGAGGGTGCTGGTGAGGGAGTGTGTAAATACAGGGTGCAATGCAAACTGTTTTATTAAAATGAGCCTTTGCTCATTTTGAATCAAAGAACTTCAGGATGGGGCCAGGGTGGTGCAAGCTTGGCCCCGAGGTGGTTTCCTGAGGTTAGTCTGACATCTACTGGCGTGTTTGAGCATCATTTAGGAAGGCATGTTGTGACTTCCCCACCACCTGCCACAAAACTGGGTTCCTCTTAACCTCCCCTCCATCCACTCATCTGTCCACTCACCCACCCACCACCCACCCATTTAAACTTCTAATTGTGCATGCATCCATCCATCCATCCGTCCATCACCCATCCATCTTTCTACCCATCAATCCATTCATCCACCTCCCTGTTCTTTCTCCCATCCATCCATTTTCCAGCCATCCAACCAACTTCCCATTCACCCACCTGTCCACACATCTATCCATCCACCCAACCCACCCACCCACTCACCCATTCTTCCATTCACCCATTCATCCATCCATTCTTCCATCCATTCTTCCATTCATTCTTCCGTCCATCCACCCACCTATCATCTTATATACCAATCTGTCCATCCACCCATCCATCATTCCATAAATAACCAGGAAAAGCACCTATTCCCTTTAACGTCTGCCTTGGTTTCTAGAACCCATAAAAGTTTCTTTAATTTATTTTCATTTTTACAAATTTTAATTAATTAATTAATTTTGGAGGCAGGGTCTTGCTCTGTCACCCAGGCTGGAGTGCAGTGGCCCTATCACGGCTCACTGCAACCTCTGCCTCCTGGGTTCAAACGATCCTCCCACCTCAGCCTTGCAAGTAGCTGGGACTACAGGTGCATGACACCATGCCCAGCTAATTAAAAACAATTTTTTTTGGTAAAGATGGGATCTTGCTATGTTGCTCAGGTTGGTCTCGAACTCGTGGGCTCAAGCGACCCTCTTGCCTTGGCCTCCCAAATTGCTGGGATTACAGGCATGAGTCACCATGCCTGGCCCAAAGCGTCCTTATAGCCATGATCTCCAAACTTCTGAACTCCTACCCCAGCCAGCAAAACAATTTTTGAGCACACTCATAGCTGAAATGCGTAGCCACGGCCCATGCATTTTTAGTTATATATAATTTATAAAAATATTTTGCTAAATGTGTTATATGCACTGTAAAATACACATAAAAATAAAAACGTGAAAAGGATGAGACATCAACAAGATATATATATTTCCAAATGGCTTAATAGTTTGATTTAATAGTACAACACGCTTCTACCCTTATGTTTTAGAAGTTTGCCTTCGCTTTTTGAATACCGTGCTCTGTGAGAGCTTTTTATTCTGAAGATGTTCCAATACACTAAAAGTAGGAAAAAGAGGTCAGTGAGACTTTCGTATCCATTAAAATTTAATAATTATCAGGATTGTGCCAGACTCACATCATAAATCCATATCCTCTTTCTGAGATGTTTAAAAGTAAATCCCTGACCTTATGTGATTTTTGCAAACTTCAGACTACATCTCTAAAGCACACAGACACATCTTAATCACATCACACTGACAATATTAATCATGATTTTTATATCTAATTTCTGGTCCACATTCAGATTTCCTTGCTCATCTTTTTACAGTTGAGTTTTTTGAATCAAGAAGGCTTGTGTGTTGCATTTCATCGTTTCTCTCTCTTTTTATTGTGGTAAAATACACACAACGTAAAATTGACCATTTTAACCATTTTTAAGCATACAGTTCAGTGGCATTAAGTAGATTCGCATTGTTGTGCAACCGTCACCACCATCCATCTCCAGAACGTTTTGTTTGTTTTGAGACAGAGTCTCGCTCTGTCTTCCAGGCTGGAGTGCAGTGGCATGATCTTGGCTCACTGCAACCTCCATCTCACGGATTCAAGGGATTCTCCTGCCTCAGCCTCCCGAGTAGCTGGGATTATAGGCGCCTGCTACCACGCCCAGCTAATTTTTGTATTTTTAGTAGAGATGGGATTTGGCCATGTTGGACAGGCTGGTATCGAACTCCTGACCTCAAGTGGTCAGCCCCGCTCAGCTCCCAAAGTGCCAAGATTACAGGCATGAGCCACCATGCCCGGCTGATCTCCAGAACTTTTTCATCACTCCAAACTGAAACTCTGTCTCCATGAAACACTCACTCCCCAGCCCCTGGCACCCATCATTCCACTTTCTGTCTCATGAATCTGATGACTCTGGGGACCTCATATAAGTAGAAACATACAGCATTTGTCCTCTTGTGTCTAGCTTATTTCACTAAGCATAATGTCCTCCAGGTTTATCCATGTTGTAGCATGTGTCAGAATTTTCTTAGTTTTTAAAGCTGAATAATATTCCATTGTATGAATAGACCACATTTTGTCCGTCCATCTATCCATCCATCCATCCATCCATCCATCCATCCATCCATCCATCCACCCATCTATCCATCTATCCATCCATCCATCCATCCGTCCATCCATCCATCCATCCATCCACCCATCCATCCACCCACCCACATATCCATCCACCCACCCACATATCCATCCACCCACTCACCCATCCATCCACCCATCCACCCATCCATCCACCCATCCACCCATCCATCCATCCAGCCATCCACCCACATATCCATCCACCTACTCACCCATCCATCCATCCATCCATCCATCCATCCATCCATCCATCCACCCGTCCACCCATCCATCCACCCACCCATCCATCCATCCATCCACCCACCCATCCATCCATCCACCAACTCACCCATCCATCCACCCACCCATCCATCCATCCATCCATCCATCCATCCATCCATCCATCCATCCATCCATGAACACTTGGGTTGCTTCTATTTTCGGGCTATTGAGAATAATGCTACTATGAACATAGGTGTACAAATAACTCTTGGAGACCCTGCTTTCCATTCTTGGAGATATATTCCTAGAAGCAGGGTTGCTGGATCATATGATAATTCTATATTTAATTTTCTGGTAGTCATGTCTTCTATGTCTTACTTAGTCTACAGCAGTCTCTTTCTGATCCCCTATTTTCTACCCTATTGACTCTGAGAATAAACCAGATAAATCATCCTGTAGAATGTCTCCTATTATTATTATTGTTATTGTTATTATTATTTAGAGACAGGATCTTCCTCTGTTACCCAGGCTGGAGTCCAGTGGGGGCAATCATAGCTCAGCGAAGCCTTGAACCCCTGGGCTCATGTGATCCTCCCTTCTTAGCCTCCCCAGTAGCTAGGACTACAGGAGTGTACCACCACACCTGGCTAATTTTTTATTTTTGTAGAGACAAGTTCTCACTATGTTGCCCAGGCTGGTCTCAAACTCCTGGCCTCAAGTGATCCTCCTGTCTCAGCCTCCCAAATCACTGGGATTATACATGTAAGCTACTGCATCTCCTAAGCATCTTCCATTCTTCATTGCTGTTTGGAAGCTTTATTTTTATAACTGTGGTGGTTTTGTCCACCAGTAGGAACCCCACCCAGGCACGGTACATGCCACAGTGAGGCTTACGTGATTTCACCTCACCGATTGTCTTCATGAGAATTCTGAATGTTTTCTGGCCACCTTCTGATAGCGATTGAATTAGATCACCACCGTGATTACTTCTCATGACTGACAGACTTTGGTCTCTTTGCTCATTTCTGCTTCTGTTACTATCTTCTTCAATCCTCTTTCTCTCTCTCTCTCTTTTTTTTTTTTTTTTTTTTGAGACAGAGTCTTGCTTTGTCACCCAGACTGGAGTACAGTGGCGTGATCTCAGCTTACTGCAACCTCTGCCTCCCGGGTTCAAGTGATCCTTCTGCCTCAGCCTCCCAAGTAGCTGAGATTACAGGCACCTGCCACCACGCCCAGCTAATTTTGTATTTTTAGCAGAGACGGGGTTTCACCATGTTGGCTAGGCTGGTCTTGAACTCCTGGCCTCAAGTGATCCGCCCACCTTGGCCTCCCAATGTGTTGGGATTACAGGTGTGAGCCACTGCGTCCGGTCTCAATATTTGCTTTCTAGGCAGGAATCTTTTAAAGCCACGTGTCCACTTTATCAGCCAACATCCCAGTCCATCAATCACTCATGCAGGTCTAAGCAGACTGCAATACATTGCCATTCACTGGAATTGTTATTTATCTCATTTCTAGTGGTCTGTCTTGCCCACTGGAGTATCCCCAATCAGGTTGCTTGTCTGTCCTGTTCACAGCTGTATCCCCAGAGACTGAGGCCAGCACCCAGTAGGTGCTCATAAAATATCTCTTGAGTAAAAGCATTGACTGACAGTGAATGAGAGCCAGTGCCAGCCAGTCAAGTGGATTTGGGTCAACCATCAGTTAAGGACTAATAAAACTCAATACTTTTCTTATTTTTATTTTTGAGACAGAGTCACGTTCTGTCACTCAGGCTGGAGTGCAATGGCTCGATCATGGCTCACTGCAGCCTCAACCTCCTGGGCTCAAGCAATCCTCCTGCCTCAGCCTCCCAAAATCTTGGGATTACAGGTGTGAGCCACCGCGCCTGGCCTATGGGGTCTTGTTAAATGCAGATTCTGTTTCAACAGGTCTAGGCTAAGACTTGGGATTTTGCATTTCTTTCTAACAGGCTGCCAGGTGAGGCTGACGCTGCCTGGGTGTAAGCAGCGAGCTGCTGAACCGTCATCTTCATCAGAGAATAGAGAGAACATTAGTGTGAATGGGGAGCAGAGAGAGGAGAGTTAAGGGAACTACCATGAGTATCATTAATAATACTTCTTAGGCCATAATAATAATAATAACCATGTTTTTTGTTTGTTTGTTTTTGTTTTTGTTTTGAGACGGAGTCTCGCTCTGTCACCTAGGCTGGAGTGTAGTGGCGCGATCTCGGCTCGCTGCAAGCTCTGCCTCCCAGGTTCACGCCATTCTCTTGCTTCAGCCTCCCTAGTAGCTGGGACTACAGGCGCCCACCACCATGCCCGGCTAATTTTTTTGGTATTTTTAGTAGAGACGGGGTTTCACTGTGTTAGCCAGGATGGTCTCGATCTCCTGACCTCGTGATCCACCCGCCTTGGCCTCCCAAAGTGCTGGGATTACAGGCGCGTAATTCCACAGGCGCCCAGCCCAACCAGGTGTTTTTTTTTTTTTTTTTTTTTTGAGATGGGGGTCTCACTATGTTGCCCAGGCTGATCTCAAACTCCCGGGCTCAAGCGATCCTTCCACTTCAGCCTCTGGACTATCTGGGATTATAGGCATGAGCCACTGTGCCCGGCAATAACCAGTATTGACTGGGCATGGCGGTTCACGCCTGTAATCCAAGCACTTTGGGAGGCCAAGGCAGGTGGATCGCTTGAGGTCAAGAGTTAGAGACTAGCCTGGCCAACATGGTGAAACCCCGTCTCTACTAAAAATACAAAAAAATCAGCCGGGTGTGGTGGTGCGTGCCTGTAGTCCCAGCTACTCCGGAGGGTGAGGCAGGAGAATCGCCTGAACCCAGGAGGGGAGGTTGCCGTGGGCCGAGATCACACCACTGTACTCCAGCGTGGGCGACAAAGTGAGACTCTGTCTCAAAAACCAAACAAAAACCCAGTGTTGATGGAGCACTTACTATCTGTGGGGCACGGCTCCAAGACCTTTACATGCATTGACTCGATTAGTCCTCATCACCATTGTTATAAATAGATTGTGGTGCAGGTTATTGTTTTCCAAAGTGTTTCGTTGCAGCACATCTTATCAAATGCACGCAACGATCTCCTGAAACAGCTAGGGCAGCTCTTGTTGCTATTGTTATTGTGGTTACTTAGTATCTTATTATGATTACTTTTTTTTTTTTTTTTTTTTGAGACAGAGTCTCACTCTGTCATCCAGGCTGGAGTGCAGTGGCGCGATCTCGGCTCAGTGCAACCTCGACCTCCCAGGTTCAAGCAATTCTCCTGCCTCAGCCTCCCAAATAGCTGGGATGACAGTCATGCACCACCACGCCTAGCTAATTTTTTTTTGTATTTTTAGTAGAGACGGGGTTTCACCCTGTTGGCTAGGCTGGTCTCGAACTCCTGACCTCAGGTGATCCACCCACCTCAGCCTCCCAAAGTGCTGGGATTATGGGAGTGAGCCACCACGCCCGGCCATGATTACTTGTTATGACCGGTAGTACCCTTATTATTTTGTCCCTTATGCAGATGGGTGAACAGACCCGGAGAGGTGAATTCCAGGTTACTGAGGCATTTGAGAGCCAAGCCAAGAGAGAGATGGTGTGACCTTGAATTCCAGGCCAGAACTGACCACTTATAGGATATGGGGACCCAGGCTCAGCCAAACTGCAGGTCACCAGCTAGGACTGGGTGACTTTCCCAGCTAGGGATCGGATGGGTGGCCTGAATTGTCCTGGTCCCCGAGGCCTGAGCTGAGAGAATGAGACACACAAAGTGAGACTTTTATTTTATTTTTAGAGACAGGGTCTCACTCTGTCACCCAGGCTGGAGTGCAGTGGTGCAATGATGGCTGATTGCAGCCTTGACCTCCTGGGCTCAAGTGATCCTCCCACCTCGGTCACCTGAGCAGCCAGGACCGTAGGTGCGTGTCACCACTCCTGGAAAATTTTTAAATTTTTTTGTAGAGGCAGGGTCTTGCTATGTTGCCCAGGCTGGTCTCAAACTCCTGGCCTCAAGTGATCCTCCTGCCTCGGCCTCCCAAAGCATTGAGATCATAGGTGTTAGCAACCATGCTCAGCCCCCCAGAGAGATCATATTTTAACACAAGTCAGATTATATCCCTCCTCTGCTCAGAACCCTCCATGGCTCCCACCTGACTCATAGCAAAAGCCAAAGTCCTCACCAAGACCCATAAGGCCCTGCCCCTGTCACCTCCCTGCCCTCACCTCCCTCCTCTCTCTCCCTCGTGCACTGTGCTGCAGCCATACTAACCTTATCACTGTTCCTCCAATGCACCAGGGTGGTCCAGCCTCAGGGCCTTTGCACTGGCTGTTCCTTCTGCTAGGAATGCTCTTCTCCTCGGCACCCACACGGCTTCTTCCTTGCCTCCTTCCAGCCTTTGATTAAAGGTTTCCTCCTCATCAAACTTTTCATCATCACCCTATTTAAAATGCAGCCCCGGCTGGGTGCAGTGTCTCATGCCTATAATCCTAGCACTTTGGGAGGCCAAGGCGGGAGGATCACTTGAGGCCAAGAGTTTGAGACCAGCCTGGGCAACATAGTGAGGCATCTCCACAAAAAACAAAAAAATATTAGCCAGGCATGGTGGTGTGCGCCTGTGGTCCCAGCTACTTGGGAGGCTGAGGTGGGAGGATCCTTTGATCCTGGGAGGTCAAGGCTGCAGTGAGCCATGATCGTGCCACCGCACTCCAGCCTGGGCAACAGAGTGAGACCCTGTCTCATAAATAAATAAATAAATAAATAAGATAAAAATAAAATAAAATGCAGCCCTACTCGTGCTTATTCCCTGCCCCGCTTAATTTTCCCCACTAGCACTCATAACCAGATCCTATGTGTTACATATGGGGCTTCCTCCCTCGTTGACTGTACTGGGACCTGTAGTCCTAGCTACTCAGGAGGCCAAGGCAGGAGGATCCTGTGAGCCCAGGAGTTTGAGACCATCCTGGACAGCATGGCAAGATTCCATCTTTACAAAAATTAGCTGGGCATGGTGATGCGTACCTGTAGTCCCAGCTACTCAGGAGGCTGAGGTGGGAGGACTGCTTGAGCCTGGGAGTTGAAGGTTGCAATGAGCTATGATTGCACCACTGCACTCCAGCCTGGGCAACAGAGAGAGATCCTATCTCTAAATAAATAAATAGAATTGAAAAAAAATAAAATGCAACCCCTACTTATGTTGGTTCCCTGCCCCGCTTAATTTTCCCCACTAGCACTCACGACCAGCTCATATGTGTTACGCATCGGCTTTCTCCCTTGTTGCTGCCATATTTGCTCTGTGAGCTCCACGTGGGCCGGTCTGGTGTCACCCAGGCTGGTGTGCAGGGGCGAGATCTCGGCTCACTGCAACCTCAGCCTCCCGGGTTCAAGCGATTCTCCTGCCTCAGCCTCCGGAGTAGCTGGGACTACAGGTGCGCGCCACCACGCCCAGCTAATTTTTGTATTTTTTAGTAGAGACGGGGTTTCATTTACCATGTTGGCCAGGTTGGTCTCGAACTCCTGACCTCAGGTTATCCACCTACCTTGGCCTCCCAAAATGCTGGGATTACAGGCGTGAGCTACCACGCCCGACCCGTTCATTAATTTTTGTTGTCGTATAATAAAAAGAAGGATAATTCTTGATAGGTGAAAGTTGTATGCCGTTCAAAATTTGGTGTCCATAAAGTTTTATTGGAACACAGCCTTTTCTATTTGTGCTGATGTTGTCTGTGGCTCCTTTTGTGTTACAACGGCAGAGCTGTCTCTGGGACAGAGACTGTCTAGCCCTCAGAGCCGGAAGCATTTCATCTGAGGTCCTTTATCGAAGAGGTTTTTGGACCCCTGAGCTGGAACAGCGCCTGACACACACTGTGCTCAAAAAGCAGCCTGCGCGGGTCTCCCCTGCGTTCACCCACTGTCGCCCGCCGCTGCTAAGACTGGCCACCAGGTGGCGCCATGGCTCCCCAGCCTGGCAGGCGCCGGGCAGCAGAGCGCTCAGCTCGCTCTCCGGAGTACCCACCTCCCTGCCGCTTCCTTTCTGCCTGTTCCGAGAAATGGAAGTCAGCCCCAAATCAATAATTGAATTCCCATCATGTGATAACTAATCATTACATATATGGCTATTGCTTTTTCATGCACAAAGGGCTTGGTAAAGACCAACTGGGGCGGCAGGGGCGGACTCGGGGCTTTGCAGGGCTCCCTGAGGTCTGATGGGTTACAAGCAGGTCCTGAGGTCAAGTGTGGGGCTTACCTGGCTTCAATCTGGGGTGTGGTTGAGTGCCCCGGCCAGGGTTCAAATCCCAACTCTGCCACTTGCTGACTGATTCTGGGGAGGAGGGTTCCTTTCCCTTTCGGTGCCTCAGTTTCCCTCTCTGTCAAATGGGGAAAACAATAGCACCCATCTCTGGGGCTCTTACAAAGATTAAGTTCACTGCATTATTACATAGAAAGCATTTAGAACAGTGCAGCCACATAGTAAGTACTTGGTAATAGTTTTCTGTTTCTGTAGCGGGTATGCCATTAAGCATTTTGAGGCCTCAGTTTACACAGTTAAAAAAAAAAAAAAGAGGCTGGGCACGGTGGCTCACGCCTGTAATCCCAGCACTTTGGGAGGCTGAGGTGGGAGGATCGATTGAGCCCCGGAATTCAAGGTCAGCCTGTGCAACATAGGGAGACCTCGTCTCTACGAAAAATGCTCACGTAATTAAAAAAAAAAAAAAAATTAGCCAGGTGTAGTGGTGCCCAACTGTAGTCCCAGCTACTCGGGAGGGTGAGATGGGAGGATTGCTTGAGCCCAGGAGTTCAAGGCTGCAGTGAGTGATGATCACACCACTGCACTCCAGCCTGGGTGACAGAGTGAGACCCTGTCTTGGAAAAAAAAAAAAAAAAAGAAAGAAAAGCAGGTTGTTTTGTTTAGACATCACAATTAAACTGCAACCTAACCTTTAAAAAAGAACCTACTTAGAAATCAGAGCTCTCTTTCTCTTCTTCTTCTTTTTATTTACTTATTTTTTTGAGCAGGAGTCTTGCTCTGTTGTCCAGGCTGGAGTGCAGTGGCATGATCTCAGCTCACTGCAACCTCCGCCTCCCAGGTTCAAGTGATTCTCACCTCAGCCTCCCAAGTAGCTAGGATTACAGGGACCCACTGTGATTAGCTGCCATGCCTGGCTAATTTTTGTATTTTTAGTAGAGATGAGGCTTTAGCATGTTGGCCAGGCTTGTCTCAAACTCATGACCTCAAATCATCCACCTGCCTCGGCCTCCCGAAGTGCTGGGATTATAGGCGTGAGCCACTGCGCCCGGCCTCTTTCTTTCTTTTCTTAAGGGAGGCAGGCTGGCCAATTCTAGCCTAGTTGATATTTAAAAAAAATAGGTCTGGTCCCAGGGAGCTTCTTTTTCAGTGCAGCTGGCTGACTTTTGGTGCAGAGAGACCCTTCTTTTGTTCTTTGAATTAGCAGCTTTGGCAGCCATGGAAGGTCTGGGTAGGGCCCCCCAGAGATGGGGCTCCCCTATCTCTTTTGGTCTATCAGATTCTCCATGCTGGTCCTTGAAACCCAAGCAGCTTATGAACAAATATCCCCCACCACCCCCACTGCCAAATTATCCTCTCTGTTCAATGTGACTTTTCCATCTAGAATTTATCTGTACCTTGGGTTTCCAATCCTGGGAACAACTATGCCTTATTTATTTATTTATTTATTTATTTATTTATTTATTTATTTTTGATACAGAGTCTCACTCTGTCACCCAGGCTGGAGTACGGTGGCGCGATCTCAGCTCACTGCAACCTCCGCTTCCCAGGTTCAAGCGATTCTCCTGCCTCAGCCTCCCGAGTAGCTGGGATTACAGGTGCACACCACCACGCCCAGCTAATTTTTGTATTTTTAGTAGAGACTGGATTTCACCATGTTGGCCAGGCTGGTCTCAAACTCCTGACCTCAGGTGATCCACCCACCTCGGCCTCCCAAAGTGCTGGGGTTACAAGTGTGAGCCACTGCGTCCGGCCTCCTGTCTTCGTTTTCTTCTTCTTTTTTTGAGACAGAGTTTTGCTCTTGTTGCCCAGGCTATAGGGCAATGTTGTGATCTTGGCTCACCACAACCTCTGTCTCCCAGGTTCAAGCAATTCTCCTGCCTCAAGCTCCTGAGTAGATGGGATTACAGGCATGCACCACCACGCCTGGCTAATTTTGTATTTTTAGTAGAGACGGGGTTTCTCCATGTTGGTCAGGCTGGTCTTGAACTCCCGACCTCAGGTGATCCGCCTGCCTCAGCCTCCCAAAGTGCTGGGATTACAGACCTGAGCCACCACGCCTGGCCCTCTTTTCTTCTTGTGGGGTCTGCATACTTCTGCTTGCCTACCGCTGATCCCTGTCTTTCCTCCTCTTCCACTTCCTCCTCTTCTTCTACCTCTTTCTCTTCCTCTTCTTCTTTGACAGGGTCTCACTCTGTCACCCACGCAGGAGTGCAGTGGTACAATCATAGCTCACTGTACTCTTAAACTCTCAGGTTCAAGCAGTCCTCCCAACTCAGTCTCCCAAGTAACTAAGATTACAGACATGTGGCACCACACCTGGCTATTATATTTTACTTTATTTTTTGTAGAGATTGAATCTTGCTATGTTGCCCAGGCTGATCTCAAACTCCTAAGCTCAAGTGATGCCTCTCCTTCAGCTTTTAGAGTCCCTGGAATTACAGGCACGAGCCACTGTGCCCAAACTGATCCTTGTCTTTTATTCTGTCACCGTCACTCCAAAATTCTATCTTTTCAACACCTCAGGGTTATTTTTGTTGTTGTTGTTGTTGAGATAGAGTCTCACTCAGTCACCTAAGCTGGAGTGCAGTGGGGCGATCTTGGCTCACTGCAACCTCTGCCTCCCAGGTTCAAGTGATTCTCCTGCCTCGGCCTCCCAGGTAGCTGGGATCACAGGCACACGTCATCACGCCTGGTTAATTTTTATATTTTTGGTAGAGACGAGGTTTCACCATGTTGGCCAGGCTGGTCTCGAACTCCTGACCTCAAATGGTCCACCTGCCTTGGCCTCTCAAAGTGCTGGGATTACAGGCGTGAGCCACCGCGCCCGGCCTTCAGGGTTCTTTTGATGGCGTCTGTCCACACTCCAGGCTCCCTTAACTGCTTGAACCTTGGTGCAGGGCTCTGCCCATGACTCTCTGCCCATGATTCCATCATTATTGCCCTCACTTTGGTTGAGTCCCGGTGGCTTTCCTTCTGTCCCCTGCATTTTCAAGGCCTTTGCACTTGCTGTTCCTCCTGCCTGGAATGTTCTTCCCATGGCTGGCTCCTTCACACACTGTGGTCTCAGCACAAATGTCACCTTCTCCTGTAGAGCCCCTCTCCTGGGGCGACTGTTCATTTTGCAGAGCCATTCTGCTCATTATATAAAATTACGTGTTTCTTTCTAAATTGGATTGTCAGTTCCACAAGGGCAGGTTTGTCTGTTTGTTTCTGGTCTGTCTTTTCTGCTACCGTGTCTCTAGTGCTTAGAAAAGTGCCTAGAGTATAATAGATACCAATGTTTGTTGAGTGAATAACTGATGGACCCCTGTGAACTTGAACATCTATGTGGATCACCTCTTCGTGGCTCTGGCTTTGAGACCTGAAAGCCTCTTAGAGCAAGTGAACCCTATTTTCTTTTCCATTCTCTGCCCAGGGGATCTTCTGGTTCCACATTTATGCACTGTACTCAAGGGGGCCTGCCTGGAGGAGGAGGCAGACATGCAAACAGCAGCTGTACAATGTCTATGAGCTACACAGAGACCAGTTCCCATTTATTCCACACCCGCCATGGGCCCAGCCCTAGGCCAAGGGGCTTTGGGTATGAGCTCATGGGTTACTAACCCCAGTACCCATTTTACAGAGGAGGCAACCGAGGCACAGAGGGGTTAAATAATGAAGCCAATAAGTTAGAACCAGCTTTGGAACCCAGGTCTGTCAGAATCCAGAGCCCATGTTCTTAACTCCTGCCTTTTCAAGGTCTTGAACTTGGAAATGCCTGGCATAGAGTCGAATGAACGAATGAATGAAAGGACGACTGAATGAATGAAAGGGAGAATGAATGAAATTGTGATCATTAACCTTTTCCCTGCCCTTCAAGTCCTAAACTCTACAAAGGCAAGTCCCTTTTCTTATTTGACCCTTGAAGCTATGGGAGTGCTCTGCACAGAGCTTTGCAGGTAGAAAGCACGTGATGTCTGTCAAACTTGGTTGTGTGAAGTCTCAAACAAACTTAGGATGAAATCTATACAATCCTGAAGGCCAGCATGGCACATACAACCCATTCTCTAAGTCCTGGCCACTAGAACCAGCTTGAAAGAGACCGAACTGGGATTAAAATAAAATAAGACCTCACCTTCTGATATTTCCAAATTCTCACAGTCCTTTCACCTCCTCTGTCTCTTGCAACCATGAAAACGACATTTGGGAGGGCAGGTCTTGTAATGCTCAGATCACAATTGAAGAAATGAAGGCCAAGTCCACATAGAGATGAGTGCTGGGTCAAAATCTAATGGTGACAATGAACTTAAAAAACAATCCCATTATCCCCAGCATTTTGGGAGGCCGAGGAGGGCAGATCATCTGAGGTCAGGAGTTTGAGACCAGCCTGGCCAATTTGGTGAAAACTTGTCTCTACTAAAAAATACAAAAAAACAAAAACAAACAAACAAAAAACAAACACGCAAACAAAAAAACAGAAAACAAACAACAAAAATTAGCCAGGCGTGGTGGTGGCACACATCTGTAGTCCCAGCTACTCGAGAGGCTGAGGTAGGAGAATTGCTTGAACCCAGAAGGCAGAGGTTGCAGTGAGCCAAGGTCACACCACTGCACTCCAGCCTGGGTGACAGAGCGAGACTCCTCAAAAAACACCAAAAAGCAAAAAACAAAGAGCTACAATAACAAAACCCCAATCCCACTATCTCTCTGAAATGCCACGTTGCAAATCAAATGTATTCCTTTGCCATCCAAGAAGGCCATTCTTGCCTGGTGAAATTCCTCTGGAGGGCCCCACATATGTTGCAAAAGACAGATCTGGGGACAAAAGGAGCCACCTTGAAAATCCCAGCTCATCCTGTTAGAGCTGGGCGACCCTGGGCAACTGCCACAGCCTCTCTGAGCACTGAAGGAAGATAACAACAGTTCCTAGTGCAGAAAGTCTGGGAGAGAGCACTGACAAGGCCAGGTTCAAATAACAGTGTCTTGAAGGATAAGTCACTTTCTTTTTTTTTCCTTCTGTGGTCTGGGCACCGCCTGGTCAATATTTATGTGTAGTGCCTCCATCTGTATGCTAGGTCAAGGGCTTCTGAATAAGGAGACTGTGGAGCTTATTGGCTCTGGAGCTAGTCTGGCTGGATTCACACCCTGGTTCTAACTATTTGCTGTGTGACCTTGGACAAGTGACTTCACCTCTCTGAGCCTCTGTTTCCTTGCCTGCAAAATGCAGGAAAAAAATAGCAGTCACTTCATAGGGTCATTACAAGAATTAAGCATTTGAAAAATGCTTAGGACAGTGCATCTCACATTATAAGCAGGAATGGCCAGTTAAATAATAATAATAATAATAATTATTATTATTATTTTGAAAGGAGTCTCACTCTATTGCCCAGGCTGGAGTGCAGCGATGCGATCCTGGCTCACTGCAGCCTCCACTCCTGGGTTCAAGCCATTCTCCTGCCTCAGCCTCCAGAGTAGCTAGGATTACAGGCATCCACCACTATGTCTGGCTAATTTTTGTATTTTTAGTAGAGACAGGGTTTCACCATATTGGCCAGGTTGGTCTCAAACTCCTGACCTCAAGCAATCTGCCTACCTTTGGCCCCCCAAAGTGCTGAGATTACAGGCATGAGCCACTGCACCTGGTTAGGCCTGTTAAATTAAGTGAAATGAACAAATTCCCACCCATACTCCGAGGTGTGACCTCCAAAAGGGCATGGACTTTATCTTATTGGTTATGTTTCACCAGAGCCTAGCATATAGCAGGTGGTTAGTAAAGGCTGGGTGAAAGCAAGATATGAGGTTGGAATGTGTTTGTGGCTGAGAGATGAAAATCTGACCTCTAAATCTAGGATTTGCAGACTTCTGTAAAGAACCAGATAGTGGGCTGTATCTGGCCTGCAGGACGTTGACTGCTAACTTCTGCTATAAATCACAGTGAGAGGTTAATGGGAACTAAGAGAGGATGTTTCAGATGGTCCTTTCTGGAGAGATGGTGATATCAAACGCCCTTAAGTCTCAAATAGGAAGGCCTATTTATTTTTCTTATTAACATTTATGAAGCACGTTATCCTGTCCACATGCCAATCAGTGCCATAGGCACTCATACTCTCTTTTTTATTTTTAGGACAATCTTGGAAAATCATATCTTTAATTACTCCTCCCTCCTTTTAATTTAATTTTTATTTTTTTATTTGTGCAAATATATAGGATATATGTGCAAATTCCTTCTTCTTCTCTTTTTTTCTTTAAATAGATAGGGGGCCGGGCGTGGTGGCTCACACCTGTAATCCCAGCACTTTGGGAGGCCGAGGCAGGTGGATAACTTGAGGTCAGGAGTTTGAGACCAGACCAGCCAACATGGTGAAACCCCATCTCTACTAAAAACAACAAAAAAATTAGCTGGGCATGGTGGTGCACACCTGTAATCCCAGCTACTCGGGAGGCTACAGCAGGAGAATCCCTTGAACCCAGGAGGCAGAGGTTGCAGTGAGTCAAGACTGCACCACTGCACTCCAGCCTGGGCAACAGAGCGAGACTCTGTCTCAAAAAAAAAAAAAACCAAATAAATAAAGAGACAGGGTCTCGCTCTGTTGCCCAGGCTGGAGTGCAGTGGTGCAATCATAGCTCACTGCAGCCTTGAACTCCTGGGCTCGGGTGATCCTCCTGCCTCAGCCTTCTGAGTAGCTGAGACTACAGGTGGACACCACCACACTAGCTAATTAAATTTTTTTTTGTGGAGACAGGGGTCTTTCTATGTTGTCCAGGCTGGCCTCAAACTCCTGGCCTTTAGCAATCCTCCTGCCTCAGCCTCCTAAGTAGCTGGGATTATAGGAATGAGCCACAGTGTCTGGCTCACCTCTTCCCTTTTTTAAATTAGGAAACTAGGGCCCAGAATGGTTAAAAAAAACTTTCTCAAATTCATACAAGTTTAACTGGGTCCATTTTCTTTGTTTCTTTGTTTCTTTTTTTTTTGAGACAGATTCTCACTGTATCCCCCAGGCTGAAGTGTAGTGGTGCACTTCTCGGCTCACTGCAACCTCTGGGTTCAAGTGATTCCCATGCCTCAGCCTCCTGAGTAGCTGGGATTACAGGCACCTGCCCACCACACCTGGCTAATTTTTTAATTTTTATTTTTTAGTAGAGGTGCGGTTTCACCATGTTGGCCAGGCTGGTCTCAAACTCCTGACTTCAGGTGATCTGCCTGCCTCGGCATCCCAAAGTGCTGAGATTACAGGTGTGAGCCACTGCACCTGGCCGAACTGGGTCCATTTTCAAAGCTCTGGCTTCTTATGTCTGGACCAGAGAACAGCTGAGGCCTTGTCTCAAAGCTGCCATTTAAATGTTCACGGCTGAGTGCACAGGCCCTAGAAGCAAGCTTCGGAACACAGGGCAGCACCCAAGGCACAATATGTAAGGCTTTTCAGTAGACACGCATGACTACAATCCATCACAAAGTGGCACGGAGTCCGTGCATTGGTCCTGCGGGTGGGCCTGCGGGAACATTCTGGAACTCTTCAGTGCTTGCCTTAGAATGAGGATGTCCCCATTTAAAAAGGTTCGCTTGGCGGGGCACGGTGGCTCACGCCTGTAATCCCAACACTTTGGGAGGCCAAGGTGGCAGGATCACATGGTCAGGAGATTGAGACCATCCTGGCTAACACAGTGAAACCCTTTCTCTACTAAAAATACAAAAAATTGGCCGGGCGTGGTGGCGGGCACCTGTGATCCCAGCTACTCGGGAGGCTGAGGCAGGAGAATTGCTTGAACCTAGGAGGTGGAGATTGCAGTGAGCCGAGATCGTGCCATTGCACCCCAGCCTGGGCAACAGAGCGAGAAAAAAAAAAAAAAGAGGCTCCCTAAAGCAGGAGCAGGTGCAGCCCGTTGGAGAGCTCCTTGGGCTTCTCAATTGCAGAGGGTAGGACTCATTTTCACCCATTTTCTTTCCCCCTTTGGTGGGACCTCTCAGGCGTACCTTAAATGTTCCCTTGGTTGGCTCCCACAAGCACAGCCAATTTTCCAGAGTCTGGTTCAGTCTCCTGAGATCTGTGTCCAAAATCTCCAGCCCATGGCCAGGCACAGTGGCTCATGCCTGTAATCTCAGCACTTTGGGAGGCCGAGGTGGGAGGACTGCTTGAGGCCAGGAGTTTGAGACCAGCCTGGGCAACATAGTGAGACCCCCATCTGTACAGAAAAAAAGAAAAAAAAAATTAGCCAGGCGTGGTGGTGCGTGCCTGTGGTCCTAGCTACTCGGGAGGCTAAGGTGGGAAGGTGGGAGGATCGCTTGAGCCTGTGAGTTCAAGGCTGCAGTGAGCTGTGATCATAGCACTGCACTCCAGCCTGCGTGACAGAGTGAGATCCCCATCTCAAAACAAAAACAAAAAACAAAGTCTCCAGCCCCAGATTAGCCTGTGTGCTGGACTTGGAGACCCCAGCATGTTCATGGCACAGTGGAGTTTTGGAGGGTTTTCATTGACCTTGCGTCCATGTGGCATGGCGGTCTTGCAAGAGAAACAGGTAGTGGATCTTTCATTCTGCCAGCTCTCTGGTCCTTGAGCACACATCAGCCCCCCCCTTCGGGCTTGTGAAAACACAGATATTTCTGGGTTCACCTTGGGGTTGCTGATTCAGTAGGTCCCAGCAGAGCCTGAGACTCTGCATTTCTCCAAGCTCCTAGGTGATGCTGCTGCTGCTGGTTTGTGGACCGCATTTTAAGAAGCATGGCTTTACATCAGTGGTTCCCAACCTTGGCTGCACAATCATCTGGGCTGTTTTAAAAATCATGATGTCCAGGCCCTACTCCATTAAATCCAACTCTGGATGTAGGGTCCTGGCATTAGCACTTTTCAAGTTACCTGGTAGGCTGGGCATGGTAGCTCATGCCTGCAATCCCAGTGCTTTTGGGAGGCCTGGCTCCTGGCTTTAGGCCAGGAGTTTGAGACCAGCCTGGGCAATATAGCAAGATCCCATCTCTACGAAAAATTTTGTTTAAAATTTAGCCAGGCATGGTGGCATGCACCTGTAGTCCCAGCTACTCGGGAGGTTGAGGCAAGAGGATTGCTTGAGCCCAGGAGGTCAAGACTGCAGTGAATTATGATCATGCCACTGCCCTTCAGCCTGGGCAACAGAGCAAGACTCTGCTGCTATACAAATAAAATAAAAATAAAGTTCCCAGGCGATTCTAGCCAGTGTGCGAGTCATCACGTTCCACTTTACTTATGATACACTCAGCAGAGGCCCCCAGGTTTATACCAACTTGGAAATTTAAAATCCACTGGGGAATGAAAAAACATGATGGTGTCTAATCCATTTCTAAGCCAAGGCGGAATGATTGCAGTATGATTCACGGCTTGGATTCTTATTCTTTTGGCTTCAATAATCTCCTTTCTGTGTATTCAGGGCAGATATTCAGCTGAGACACATTGGCACAGCTGATTGTTAAAATATTAAAATATTTCCACACCAGTTAGTAAATAGCTGTTGCCTGGAGGCCCCTAGTGAGCTCCCCCACCCACCCAAGTCCCTTCCTGGGTCCTCCCATGCCTCCTGACAATCAGTGCTCTGGGGATAGTGCCTCCTACTGGTAGCTACATATTTTAACCTTCCCTGCAGTGTGTTTGATCTACTTACTCACGTCTTTATCTTTAGTTTTTGTGTCTGAGCACGTGAGTATCTCAAATAGATAAGAAGGTGGGTTTGCAAACTCAGGAGTGTGGTTCTGCTGTAATCTCAACATAATGCAGTCTCTCATTTAGCTGCGTTATGTTGATGGCTGGCAGGGCTGGACAGTCCATGAGGTTTCACTCACATGTTTGCACCAAACATGAGCTTTTTCAGTATATTCTTTCTCTCCATGTGGCTAGCTTGAGCTTCCTTATAGCATGGTGGCTTTGCATAATTGAACATTCAAAAGTCTGACTTTAAAGAAGGGGCGTGTCAAACTTGAAAGCAGAAGCTGCAAGGGAGGCTGCCAGGTTTGAAGGAGCTCAGATATCACCTTGGGAAGCTTGGGATTTATCCCATTTTCATTGACCAGGCTATTGGAGGTCTGTCCACCATTGGCTGGAGTGCAGTGGTGCAATCGTGTATGGCTCATTGCAGCTTGGAACTCCTGGGCTCAAGTAATCCTCCCACCTCAGCCTCCCAAGTAGCTGGGACTACAGGTGCACACCACTATGCCTGGCTAATTATTTTATTTTATTTTTTGAGCGACGGGGTCTCACTATGTTGCCAAGGCTGGTCTTGAACTCCTAGACTCAAGAGATCCTCCCACCTCAGCCTCCTGAGTAGCATCGGAGGTCTTTTGATGGGAGACCATGCACTTCAACACATCATAATGGTGTTTTACAAAGTAATTTCTGAAAAGAGTCCAGGTCAGTGGGAAGTACAGAGTCTGGAGAGAAAAATGCCAGCTCTTTCTACTCTTACGTGACCCTGTGTTTTATTTAACTTTCATGAGTTTTCAGTTGCATCATCTGTAAAACAGGATAAGAATCTGTACCATACACACTCTGCAGGGCTTTTATAAGGATCAAATAAGGTACTTTGAAATCCAGGGTTGCTAAACTCAATTGTCTACAGGGGCCAAGTGGGTAATGGTGACTGGGGCAGCTTCCATGTCAGGGAGACATTAGAGAGTGGTGAGGTCTTTGGCAAACTAGATAGCTCCAGGCTCATCTGAAGGATATAACCATTATTCAATAGAAGCTGATTGCTGTCATGCAGGAATGTAGGCTCAGCTCGGGTAAATCGTCTGAGTTTTTGAGAAAAAGCAAAAATTTCACTTTTATATGTAATCTCCTGACTTGTTCTGAACATATTTTTATCTTAAGATGTGGATAGATCAAGGAAGTAATTTGTGAGCTCTGAGTTTGTAACATCTGCTGTAAACCCTAAAACTCAGTGTAAATACTAGTTATTAATTTTGTCATAGATTTTTAAAACTGGGAGGGGAAGATGAGCAAGAGGGAGGTGTGGAGGGGGGCAATGCCAGTGAGTCAGGAGATAGCTGAACTAGGACAGCAGTGTTGGGAATAAAGGTGGGGAGAGGATCTAAGAAACACTTTAGAAGGAGAATCAATAGGATTCACTTGCTAATTGGCTGGCGTGAAGATTCTTAACATTTTCTGAGCCGTGGAGCTCTCTTCAGTTTGACAAAAGCCAAGGGATCTCTTCTCAGAATTGTGCTTTTTAAGTGCATAATATCAAATGCAGAGGAAATCAATTACATTGAACATTAGTTATAAAAATATTTGAAAGAACAGATTTGTCATACATCACTAATGTGTTTCTTTCATAATGCATAAATAACAAGAGCTAGTAACAGACCTAACAACTTCAAGGTAGTCATGAGAGTAAGTGAGTTTCAAGATATCTGCAATAATTACAATGTGACATAATAAAAATGTGGTTTCTGTTTTTTGGTTGGTTGTTTGTTTTGAGAGAGAGTCACTCTGTTGCCCAGGCTGGAGTGCAGTGATGAGATCACAGCTCACGGCAGCCTCTACCTCCCAGGTGCAGTGGTGAGATCACAGCTCATGGCAGCCTCTACCTCCCAGGTGCAAGTGATCCTCCAACCTCAGCCCCCTGAGTAGGTGGGTCTACAGGTGTGCACCACCATGCCCAGCTAATTTTTGTATTTTTTTGTAGAGATGGGGGTTTCACCACGTTCCCCAGGCCAGTCTCAAACTCCTGAGCTCAAGTGATCCACCTGCCTTGGCCTTCCAAAATGCTGGGATTACAGGCGTGAGCTACTGCCCCCAGCTGAGATGTGGTTTCTGTTGATGACAAAGTCACAGGTGTCATGAACACTGCTAATATTGCTGCAATTTGTTGCCTCCATGCATAATTACAGCTAGAGGCTGTAATGAATATGCGAATTTTCCCAACCAAATTTACAGGCTCCCTGAATTATAAACAAGTTAAGTACCACTTCATCTAGGAAGTGAAAGAACAGGTGAGTTCAAAGGGAAATCTGAGATTTCTAGTTTGGGGAGAGTCAAAGTGGAGTTGCCTAGGAGGCTATAAGAAATTGGGGAACAGAGCAGAAGAGACTAAAAGTGGGTAGAAATAGTGTTTGGGGAACTGTGAGAAATTGAACAGAGTGACTAAGCCTGTAGGCTCAGGAGCCACAGTGCCTGGCTTCAAATCCTGGCCCAACGTCTTACCAGCTTTGTAATCTTAGTGCATTTAACGGCACCCCACTTCTGATACCAAATCCAGATTTCATTGGCTTGTATACCAGTTACTGGACCAACATCTTGTGCCTCAGTTTTTTTCAACTATGAAATGGGGATGATAATTGCATCACCTACCTCTCAGAGAGATTGTTAGCATCAAATTAATTAATACATGCAAATTACTTAGAACAGTGCTTGGCACACAGTAAGTGCTACATAGACATAGTTATAGAAGGGATGGAAGTGGATGAGGTTCATTCATTAATCATTCAACAGAGATTCATCAAGCAGCTTTAAAAATGACTTTAATTGACAAACAACAATTGTATATATTCATGGGCTACAATGTGATATTTCAACCTATGTGTACATTATGGAAAGATTCAATCAAGCTAATTAACATACCCATCACCTCACCAACTTATCACTGAACACTTTGGAGGCAGAGAACAAATCAGACAAGGACTTTACACTCATGGAGTTTAAATTTTATAAGGGAAAACAGATAATATACTAGTAAATAGATAATACAATAATTTGAGGCAGTGAGATTGACAATAACACTGCGATGGGGTAAAACGTGACTGAAACAGGAGAACCTAAGAAAAGGTGGTTAGGGGTGGTTCATCTGGTGAACTGATATTTGAATTGAGTGCTTAATGAAGAGGATGAGCCAGCCATGCAAAGTTCTTGGGAAAGGAAGTTCCAAGCAGAGAGAACAGCAAGTGCAAAGGCCCTGAGGCAGGAATGTGCCTGGTGTGTTTTGAGTATCAGCAAGACAGCTGGTGTTGGTTGGGACAAGGTGAGTGAGGTGGGAGTGATGGGAAATGAAGTCAGAGGGGTTGATGTGGATCAGCTCCTGTGTTATCCATCAGGCATATATGGATGAATACATTATAGTCAGTGCCCTCAATGAATTCAAAATCATTGCCATAGACTGTCCCAATGAGGTAAATGCTTTAAGAGAGGTATAACTGATGGATTAGCAACAGCTTTCTTTCTCCTCCCCTCCCCTCCCCTCCCCTCCCCTTCCCTTCCCTTTTCTTTCTTGAGACAGAGTCTCATTCTGTTGCCCAGGCTGGAGAGCAGTGGTGCAAATTCAGCTCACTGCAGCCTCCACCTCCCGGGTTCAAGCGATTCTCCTGCCTCAGTCTCTCGAGTAGCTGGGATTATAGGTGTGCGCCACCATACCCAGCTAATTTTTGTGTTTTTGGTAGAGATGGGGGGGAGGGTCTCACCATGTTGGCCAGGCCTGGTCTCGAACTCATGACCTCAAGTGATCTGCCCACCTTGGCCTCCCAAAGTGCTGGGATCACAGGCGGGAGCCACCGTCGCCAGCCTAGCAATAGCTTTCTAAGGGACTCATGAGCTGAAACCAAAAGATAAGTAGGAAAACAATCAAGAATGGAGCAAGAAGCCTATGAGTTAGCCATTAGCATTATCCCCATTTAGCAGACGAGGAAACTCAGGCACGGAGGGACTAGGTAACTTGTCCTAGGTCATATGGGGTACAAGTGGCATTTGAACCCAGGCAGCTTGACTCTGGATCTTGTGCCCTGTAACCACCAACCTATTGTCCTCTTAAATTTTGCCAGTTGTAGTGGCTCAGCCTCCAGCATTTCACTTAATCTTTTTACAGAAAGCCGGTGAGATGGGGAATCACTGATATACCATTTATGGGATGCATTAAAAGCCACGTGTAAAGGCCCCCCGGCAGGTCAGTTGGAGAGCTGGGATTGAACCCAGGTTTGCCTGAGCTCAGCGTGCAGTTGTTCACATGCCACGCCAGGCGGCACCCTTGGTCCCTGCACCAACCCCAGCTCCTGAGAGGCGGCCGGCATGGAAATCAGAGTCATTATTGTGATCGTTGCAAAATATTTTAGTGAGTGGGTTTCAAACACTGTAAACAGGTTTAGTCCTCTTCTGCTCCTTTGCAAAGACGCAATTTACTCAGAGCAAAGGAATCTGAGCTAAATTTAACAAACTGAAGCTGGTGAGCGGCTCAAGGAGCCCTGGGGAGGAGCTACCTTGGCAGTGTCAGATAAGGTGGCCAAGAGCCTTCCTGGATGCTCTTCTCCTTCTCCCCGGCCAGTGGTCTCTGGGTATTCCAAGTGGGGCGAGGAGCAGAGATGCCATGCCAACCGAGGGCGAAGGACTGAATAGAAGGGGCTGCCCAGGGCTGGGAGCGGTGGTTCATGCCTGTAATCCCAGCACTTTGGGAGGCCAAGGCGGGAGGCTCGTTTGAGGTCAGGAGTTCGAGACCGGCCTGGGCGATTTGGTGAAACCCTGTCTCTACTAAAATACAAAAAATTAGCCAGGCGTGGTGGTGGGCACCTGTAATCCCAGCTACTCAGGAGGCTGAGGCACGAGAATCACTTGAACCTGGGAGGTAGAGGTTGCAGTGAGCCAAGACTGATCCTTCCAAGTAGCTGGAACTACAGATCAAGTCACGCACTCCAGCCTGGGTGACAGAGTGAGACTCCATCTGAGAGAGAGACAGAGAAAGAGAGAGAGAGAGAGAGAGAGAAGGGGCTTCCTATTCCTCTCTCATCTGTCTCTGTTTCTCTCTATCTGAATTCTGTTTTCCCTCGGTCTCTCTGTCTTTCTCTTTGGGTCTCTTTCTTTCTTTCTTTCTTTCTCTTTCTTTGGGTCTCTGTCTTTTTATTTCTGCCCCTTTCTCTCTCTCCCTTTGGATCTCTATCTCTGTCTTTGCATCACCCTCTCTCTCTTTTGTTCTCTCTTCCTCCAACAGCCTCCCTGCACCAGTGTGTGTGTGTGTGTGTGTGTGTGTCTGTGTGTGTGTGTGTGTGTTGCTCTTTCTCTGTCTCTGGATCTCTCTGTCTCTTTCTCTTATTTTCTCTGTCTCTCTCTGTCTCTGGGTCTCTCTGTCTGTCTCTCTTTGGGTCTCTCTCTGTATCTTTCTTTTTTCTTTTCTTTTTCTTTCTTTCTTTCTTTTTTTTTTTTTTTTTTTTTTTGAGACAGGGTCTTGCTTTGTCAGCCAGGCTGGAGTGCAGTGGCATGATCTCTGCTCACTGCAACCTCTGCCTCCCGGGTTCAAGCAATTCTCCTGCCTCAGCCTCCCGAGTAGCTGGGATTATAGGCATGCGCCACCACGCCTGGATAATTTTTGAATTTTTAGTAGAGACGGGGTTTCGTCATGTTGGCCAGGCTGGTCTCGAACTCCTGACCTCAAGTGATCTGCCCGCCTCGGCCTCCCAAAATGCAGGGATTACATGAGCCACTGCACCCAGCCATTCTCTCTCTGTATCTCTCCATATGGCTTTGGGTCTCTCTGTCTTTGTGTCTCTCTCTGTCTCTCTCTTTGGGTCTCTGTCTGTCCCCCTGTCTCTCTCTCCCTCCTGCCCCCGCCTTTCTCTCTCACACATGCTTTCTCTCATCGCCCCCTTTTGCCCACCCCCGTTCTTGCTGCTCCATCTGCATGACCAGAAGGCCACCCTGGCTGTGGGCTGGGCTCTGGGCCTGGAAGAGGAATTCCTGCACCCCCGGCATTGGGTCCTAGCTGCTAGTAGGCGCTTTCAGTGGACAGCAAGTGCGTTAGGTCAGATTTCCTGGAAGAGGAGCCCACGCTGGCGATTCTTGGGTAAGGAGCTTACAAAGGGGGTGTTCTCAGGAGAGACCTCTGAGGCAGTGCTTCTCTAAGTTGGCTGCACTTTATAATTGCCTGGGGAGATTTTTAAAAATCCGTGTGGCTGGGCCTCGTGCCTTACCAATTAAGTCAGGACCTCTGGGAGTGTTTCCAGTTTGAGAATCGGTGGTCTAAGGAGAATGAGAAAAGCAGCACAGGGCAGAGGAAGAAGCTGATCAAGGATGCGGTTCAGCCCAAGTTCAGCCTCCACCTGATCCTGGGGGAGGTTCCGGATGGTGAGGAGCTCATTGATTCACCTCAGGGTGATCTACCCACCAGGGTATATGAGCAAGGGGTCTGGGCTCTTTTTTTTTTTTTTTTTTTTTTTTTTGAGACAGAGTCTCTCTCTGTCGCCCAGGCTGGAATGCAATGGAGTGATTTTGGCTGACTGCAACCTCTGCCTCCCAGGTTCAAATGTTTCTCCTGCCTCAGCCTCCAGAGTAGCTGGAATAGCTGGAACTACAGGCATGCGCCACCACGCCCAGCCAATTTTTGTATTTTTAGTAGAGACGGGGTTTCACCATGCTGGCCAGGGTGGTCTTGATCTCTTGACTTCGTGATCCGCCCGCCTCGGCCTCCCAAACTGCTGGGATTACAGGTGTGAGCCACCGTACCCGTCTGGGTCTGGGCTCTTAAACCCCAGGCTCAGCCAGCTACAGGCAGTGGCCGCCTCCCGGAAGAGGGGTCATGGGTCTAACCCAGGCATCTCATGGTGACGTAACGCCCATCAGCTAAGGGGATGTCTGGGAGCCACTAAGAACTCAACTGGGCATCGTGGCTCATGCCTATAATCCCAGCACTTTCGGAGGCCGAGGTGGGAGGATCACTTGACGCCAGGAATTTGAGACCAGCCTGGGCAACATAGCAAGACCCAGATTTCTTCAAAAAATTAAATAAAAAAACATTAGCCGGGTGTGGTGGCATGCACCTGTAATCCCAGCTAATCGGGAGGCTGAGGCAGGAGGATCACTTGAGTCCAGGAGGTCAAGGCAGAGTGGGCCGTGTTTGCGCCACTGCACTCCAGCCTGGGCAACAGAGCAAGATCCTATCTCTTAAAAACAAAAACAAAACAAAACCCCAAAATCAAAAAAACAGCCCAACTCACAGTAGCCTGGGACAGACCCCCAGCTGGGTCAGAGGGATCTGGCTGGGGACCAGTAGCTTCTCATCGGGATGTAGAAATGGCTGGATAATACAGGACCTATAATATTAACATGTTTACATTTCTTTTTGGAATCCCATGCCTTTACTCCCGGGAGCCACTGGCCATTGAACCAAGAGAAACTGAAGGTGCTAATGAGGTAGAGTTGATGCATTTGTTGAATTCCTACAACATGCTAAGGCCTGGAGTCTGGTGGTGGATAATATCAATGTGGAATTTACATTTGCTTTTTTTTTTCTTTTTCTTTTTCTTTTGAGACAGGGTCTCGCTCTGTCACCCAGGCTGGAGTGCAGTGGTGCAATCACAGCTCACTGCAGCCTTGACCTCCCAGCCTCAAGCCATCCTCCTGCCTCACCCTTCCAAATAGCTAGGACTACAGGCACGTGCCATCGCACCTGGCTAATTTTTGTATTTTTAGTAGAGATGGGGTTTCGCCATGTTGCCCGGACTGGTCTCGAACTTCTGAGTTCAAGCAATCTGCCCACATCAGCCTCCCAAAGTGCTGGGATTACAGGTGTGAGCCAACACACCTGGCCGGAATTTACATTTTCACAGGAAAGACAGATAATAAATGATTAAGCCCAAAAGTAAGCACATCATTTCAGATTATTTTGAAGAGAGATGTTTTCAGGGGTCATTATGAGATGGGCTAAGGAGGGGTGAGCAGTTGGGTAGAGAAGGTCTCTCAAGAGATGGCAGTGATGCCTGAATGGGGAGAAGGAGGCAGCCACTGAGGATGCAAGGATAGGTGTTGCGGGCTGAGGGAACAGAAAGTGCAAAGGTCCTGAGGCAGCGATGACCCTGATATGTTTTAGGAGCAGAAGAGAGGCTGGTGAGGATGGAATGGGATGAGTTGGGGGAGAGAAGTAGAAGATGCTGTTGGTAGGAGTCAGATTATGTAGACTCCTGTAGACCAGCATGGAGAGGCTGGGTCATTTTTTCTTTTTCTTTTAAATTTAATTTTATTTTAAGTTCTGGGATACAAGTGCAGGACATGCAGGTTTGCTACATAGGTAAACGTGTGCCACGGTGGTTGGCTGTGCCTATCAACCCATCACCTAGGTACTAAGCCCAGCATGCATTAGCTATTTATCCTGATGCTCTCTCTCCTCCTCCCACCGATGACAGGCTCCAGCGTGTGCTCTTCCCCTCTCTGTGTCCATGTGTTCTCATTGTTCAGCTCCCACTTATAAGTGAGAATATGTGGTGTTTGATCTTCTGTTCCTGTTTTAGTTTGCTGAGGATAATGATAATGGCTTCCAGCTCCATCCATGTCCCTGCAAAGGACATGATCTCATTCGTTTTTATGGCTGCATGGTATTCTATGGTGTGTATGTACCACATTTTCTTTTTCCAGTCTGTTATTGATGAACATTTGGGTTGATTCCATATCTTTGCTATCATGAATACTGCTGCAATGAATATATGTGTGCTTGTTTTTTCTAAGTGCAATGGGGAGCCATAGGAGGTTTGAAGCAGGGGAGTAACATGATTTGATTTCAATTTTTTTTTTTTTTTTTTTTAGAGATGGTCTTGCTTTGACACCCAGGTTGGAGTGCAGTGGTGCCATCATAGCTCACGGCAGCCTTGAACTCCTGGGCTCAAGGAATCCTCCTGCCTCAGCCTTCCAAGTAGCTGGGAATTCAGGTGTATACCACCATGTCTAGCTAATTTAAAAATTTTTTTTGGCCGGGCGTGGTGGCTCACACCTGTAATCCCAGCACTTTGGGGGTGCTGAGGCGGGCAGATTACGAGGTCAGGAGATTGAGACCATCCTGGCTAACGTGGTGAAACCCCGTCACTAATAAAAATACAAAAAAATTAGCCAGGCGTGGTGGCGGGAGCCTGTAGTCCCAGCTACTCTGGAGGCTGAGGCAGGAGAATGGCATGAACCTGGGAGGCGGAGCTTGCAGTGAGTCGAGATCGTGCCACTGCACTCCAGCCTGGGCGACAGAGCAAGACTCTGTCTCAAAAAAAAAAATTTTTTTTTTGTAGAGACGGAGTCTCTCTGTGTCGCCCAGGCTGCAGTGCAGTGGTGCAATCATAGCTCACTGCAGCCTCAAAACTCTGGGCTCAAGTGATCCTTCCACCTCAGCCTCCCAAGTAGCTGGGATTTATAGGCCCTCACCCCCATGCCTGGCTATTGATTTAGAATTTTTAAAAAGATGTAAAATTCACATAACATGCAGTTAACCATATTAAAGCAAACAATTCAGTGGCATTTAGTATATTTATGATGTTGTGCAACCATCACCTCTAGTTCCAAAACAGTTTCATCACCCCAGATGGAAATCAGACCAGTGTCTGATGCACAGTAAATAAAGTCTCTCCAGATCATGCAGGGCTGGATAGGTGCTACAATCAAATAATGATTTGTGTTCAATATCCATGGTGGTTAATATTATTATGATTATTAGAATAATAAATAATATTATTATAGCAATACTAGTAATAGAGGCAGCTATAGCAGAGCAGGTCAAAGAAGGGAGAGAGGGTCAAATGGCCTGGGTTCAAATCCTGGCTCTGCCACACTCACTAGCTGTGTGGTCTTGGAAGAGTCACTTCACCTCTCTGGGCCTCAGTTTCCTCACCTGTAAAATGGGAGAGCAATCAGCCGGGTGCAGTGGCTGATACCTGTAATCCCAGCAGTTTGGGAGGCTGAGGCGGGCGGATCACAAGGTCAGGAGTTCAAGACCAGCCTGGCCAATATGGTGAAACCCCGTCTCTACTAAAAATACAAAAATTAGCTGGGTGTGGTGGTGTGCACCTGTACTCCCAGCTACTTGGGAGGTTGAGGCAGAAGAATCACTTGAACCCGGGAGGCAGAGGTTGCAGTGAGCCAAGATCACATCACCGTACTCCAGCCTGGGCAATAGAGCGAGACTCCATCTCAAAAAAAAAAAAGAAAAAAAGAAAAAGAAAAAGGGATCGCAATCATATCAATCTCATAAGGTTAGCTAATAAATGTGATGTGTCAGGTATATAGTGAGTGCTATGAAAGTACTTCCTATTTATCCCTCTCACTGATTATGAGATCTGTCACGTTCAGATCTTCCCTGTAGTTTGAGATATTTTCCATGTGTATCAAAGTGGGTAGCAGGTTAAAATAGCTCTTTCCAAAATAACCTCATTGGATGGTTCTTCTAATACTGGATCGATTCCCTCTTCTCCAGCTCTCACTCTACCTTCCCTAGTTCTTAGCAAGATGGTGGCCATCTACATGGGACAGGAAGCCCATGGAAGGTGAGCAGAATGATCCAGGCAGGACTGAATCATTCTTTTCTTTTCTTTTTTTTTTTTGAGGCAGAGTCTCGCTCTGTCACCCAGGCTGGAGTGCAGTGGTGCAATCTCAGCTCACTGCAAGCTCCACTTTCCAGGTTCACGCCATTCTCCTGCCTCAGCCTCCCGAGTAGCTGGGACTACAGTTGCCTGCCACCACACCCAGCTAATTTTTTGTATTTTTAGTACAGACAGGGTTTCACCATGTTAGCCAGGATGGTCTCGATCTCCTGACTTCATGATCCGCCCGCCTTGGCCTCCCAAAGTGCTGGGATTACAGGTGTGAGCCACCGCGCCCGGCCTCTTTTCTTTTATTATTATTTATTTTTATTTTTTTGAGGCAGAGTCTTATTCTGTTGCCCAGGCTGGAGTGCAGTGGCACGATCTTGGCTCACTGCAACCTTAGCTTCCTGGGCTCAAGTGATTCTTATGCCTCAGCCTCCTGAGTAGCTGGGATTACAGGCATTCGTCACTACACCCAGCTAATTTTTGTATTTTTAATAGAGACAGGGATTCATCATATTGACCAGACTGGTCTCTAACTCCTGGCCTCAGGTGATCCACCTGTCTCAGCTTCCCAAAGTGCTGGGATTACAGGTGTGAGCCACCGCACCCGGGCCATTATTATTATTATCATTTAGAGACAGGGTCCCACTCTGTCATCTAGGCTGGAGTGCAGTGGTGTGATCATAGCTTACTTCAAACTTCTGCTCAAGTGATCCTCCAGCCTCAGCCTTCCAGGTAGCTGGGACTACAGATGCACACCACGATGCCTGGCTATTTTAAAATTTTTTTGTAGAGACAGGGTCTCACTATGTTGCCCAGGAAGGTCTCAAACTCCTGGCCTCAAGTGATCCTCCTGCCTCGGCCACCCAAAGTGATAGTATTACAGGCGTATACCATTGCGCCTAGCCTGAATTATTCAAATAGAATCACAGAATAGTCGGGAATGATGGCTCCCGCCTATAATTCCAGCTACTCAGGAGTTAGAGGCAGAAGGATCGCCTGAGTGCTTGAGCCCAGGAGTTCATATAGTGAGCTATGATTGCGCCACTGCACTCCAGCCTGGGTGACAGGGCGAGATCCTACTAAAAAAAAAAAAAAAAAAAAAAAAAAAAAGGAAGGAAATCCTGTAATTTGCAGCAACATGAATGAACCTGAAGGACATTATGTTAAGTGAAATAAACTACACATAGACAAATACTGCAGGATCTCACTTACATGCGGAATCTAAAAAAGTCAAACTCACAGAGGCAGAGAGTAGAATGATGGTTACCCGGGACTGGGGGCAGGGAAGAAATGCAGAAATGTCAGTCAAGCAGTGCAAGCTTTGAGTTAGGCAAGATGAGTAAGTTCTGGGGAGTTAATGTACAGCATGATGACTATAGTTAAGAATACTGTATTGTCTACTTGATTTGTTTTGTTTTGTTTTGTTTTGAGATGGAGTCTTGCTGTGTCACCTAGGCTGGAGTGCCGTGGTATGATCTTGGCTCACTGCAACCTCCGCCTCCTGTGTTCAAACAATTCTCCTGCCTCAGCCTCCTGAGTAGCTGGGATTACAGGTGCCCACCACCATGCCCGGCTCTTTTTTTTTTTTTGTATTTTTAGTAGAAACGGAGTTTCACCATGTTGGCCAGACTGGTTTCAAACTCCTGGCCTCAAGTAATCCACCTGCCTCAGCCTCCCAAAGTGCTGGGATTACAGACGTGAGCTGCCACACCCAGCCTGTCTACTTGAAATTTGCTAAAAGGATATATCTTAAATGTTCTCACCACACACAGACTAAATGGTAACCAGATGAGGTGATGGATGTATTAATTCGCTTGATAGTGGTAATCATTTTTCGATGTACACACATTATCAAAGATCATGTTGTACACCTGAAATATTATCTTAGTCCATTTGTGTTGCTATAAAAGAGTACCCAGCTTCAGGTACTCCTTGGGTACACAAATGGAAAACAGGCTTATTGGTCATAGTTCTGCAAGCTGTACCAGAAGCATGGCACCAGCATCTGCTTCTGATGAGAACCTCAGGCTGCTTCTACTCATAGTGGAAGGGAAAGGGGGACCCAGTGTGTGGAGATCCATGGTGAGAGAGGAAGCAAGAGAGGGCAGGGAGATGTGCGGGGCTCTTTTTTTTTTTTTTTTTCCTGAGACAGAGTCTCGTTCTGTCTCCCAGGCTGGAGTGCAGTGGTGCGATCTCAGCTCGCTGCAACCTCCACCTCCCCGGTTCAAGTGATTCTCCTGCCTCAGTCTCTCTAGTAGCTGGGATAACAGGCACCCACCACCATGCCCGGCTAATTTTTGTATTTTTAGTAGAGACAGGATTTCACCTTATTGGTCAGTCTGGTCTCTAACTCCTGACCTCAGGTGATCTACCTACCTTGGCCTCCCAAAGTGCTGGGATTACAGGTGTGAGCCACCGCACTCGGCCAGGGCTCCTTTTAGTAATCAGCTCTTGCTGGAGCTAATAGAGTGAGAAGTCACTCACTCGTTACTATGAGAAAGCCACCAAGCCATTCACGAGGGATCCACTCTGCTCCCATGACCAAAACACCTCCCATCAGGCCCCACCTCCAATATTGGGGATAAAATTTCAACATGAGGCCAGGTGCGGTGGCTCATGCCTGTAATCCCCACACTTTTGAAAGTGAGGTGGGATCACTTGGGGCCAGGAATTCAAGACCAGCCTGGGCAACAGAGTGAGACCTTGTTTATACAAAAACAAACAAAACACACACACACAAAAACAAACAACTAGCCAGGTATGGTAGTGCATGTCGGTAGTCCCAGCTATTCAGCAGGCTGAAGCAGGAGCATCACTTATAACCAGGAGTTTGAGACTTTAGTGAGCTATGACTGCACAACTGCACTCTAGCCTGGGGAACAGAGCAAAACCCTGTCTGTAAACTAATAATGATAATAATAAAATTTTTAACATGAGGTTTGGGGACACAAACATCCAAACTATAGCAAATGTACACCATTTTTTATTTGTCAATTATATCTCAACAAAGCTGGGGAAAAAAGCAAAAGTCTTCAAAGAAGGCAGGAAGAACAGCCTCAATGAAGGAGGAAATGAAGCCAGTGACCTAGGCAGAGGCAGATTAAAACAAAACAAAACAAAACAAAACAAAACAAAACAAAACACCACAGCTCCTTTAAACTTTCTGGGCCTAAACAAATCCCATCCAAGGGTGGAGGGAGAATTTGCACATGTGGTGGGGAAGCCACTTGTTGCGGACTTTGAAAATCATGAAGCAAGCCAGACTGGGCCAGGACTGGGGTGAGGTAGGGGAGGTGCTTACGTTAGGCACAAACTCTAAGAGTACCAACAAATTCAGAGATCAAGGTAAATAACATTTTAGTACAATAATTTCAGAAATAAAAATCAATGCAAAAATCCATGATGAGCAAAAATATCAACTTTCTCAATAAAAGCAAGATCAGTATTTCAGATTTTTCCTTTGGCCTCAGGATGCAATATGGCTTGGCATGTGTGATGAGTTGAAATGTTTCCCTCTCCTACCCCTCACGCTCATATGTTAAGGTCCTAACGCCCCGCCTTAATCTGTTTGGGCTGCTATAACAAAATGTCTTAGACTGTGTAATTTATAAACAAAGGAAATTTATGGCTTACAGTTCTGGAGGCTGGGAAGTCCAAGATCAAGGCACCAGTAGATTTGGTGTCTGGTGAGGGCCCTTCCTCATAGACAGCACATTGTGTCTTCAAATAGTGGACGTGGCAAGCAGACTCCTTGGAATCTCTCTCTCTTTTTTTTTTTGTTGTTGTTGTTTTGTTTTGTTTTTTGAGATAGGCTGCCCAGGCTGGAGTGTAGTGGTGCAATCATGGCTCACTGCAGCCTCGACCTCCCAGGCTCAAGCAATCCTCCCGCCTCAGCCTCCTGAATAGCTGAGACCACAAAGGCACACCACCACACTTGGCTAATTTTAAAAATTTTTTGGTAGAGACGGGATCTTCCTGTGTTGCTCAGACTGGTCTCAAACTCCTGGGCTCGAGCAATCCTTTTGTCTTGGCTTTGCAATGTGCTGAGATTACAGGCATGAACCACCCTTGAGCCTCTTTTATAAAGGCACTATTCCCATTCGTGAAGGTGCAGTACTCATGACCTAATCACCTCTCAAAGTCCTCCCTCTTAATACTATTGCACTGTGGACTAAGTATCAACATGCAAATAGTGGGCTGGGGCAGTGGCTCACGTCTGTAATCCCAGCACTTTGGGAGGCTGAGGCAGGCGGATCACTCAAGGCCAGGAGTTCAAGACCAGCCTGGCCAACATGGTGAAACCTTGTCTCTACTAAAAATACAAAAATCAGCTGGGCGTGGTGGCGGGTGCCTATAATCCCAACTACTCAGGAGGCTGAGGTGGGAGAATTACTTGAACACAGGAAGCAGAGGTTGCAGTGAGCTGAGATTGCACCACTGCACTCCAGCCTGGACAACAGAGCAAGACTTCATCTCAAAACAAAAACAAACAAAAAAACCAGAAATGACAACAAAAAAACATACAAATTTTGGAGAGACACAACATTAAGACTATAGCATCTTGAGTACCCTAGAATGTGAACTTTTTTGGAAATTGCAGACATAGTTGGAGACATAATTAGTTAAGATGAGGTGGGCCCCTAATCCAATGTGAGTGGGTCGTCCATATAGAAAGGGGAAAACTGGACACAGCCATGTGCACTTGGGAGAATGTTGTGTAAAGACTGGAGTTGTGGGGCCGAGTGCGGTGGCTCATGCCTGTAATCCCAGCACTTTGGGAGGCCAAGGGGGGCGGAACACGAGGTCAAGAGATGGAGACCATCCTCGCCAACATAGTGAAACCCAATCTCTACTAAAAATACAAAAATTAGCTGGGCATGGTGGCGCACGCCTGTAATCCCAGCTACTCGGGAGGCTGAGGCTGGAGAATGGCGTGAACCCGGGAGGCAGAGCTTGCAGTGAGCAGAGATGGCGCCACTGCACTCCAGCCTGGGTGACAGAGTGAGACTCCGTCTCAAAAAAAAAAAAAAAAAAAAGAGATGGAGACCATCCTTGCCAACATAGTGAAACCCTATCTCTACTAAAAATACAAAAATTAGCTGGGCGTGGTGGTGCACGCCTGTAATCCCAGCTACTCGGGAGGCTGAGGCAGGAGAATCGCTTGAACCCAGGAAGTAGAGGTTGCAGTCAGCCAAGATCGCACCACTGCACTCCAGCCTGGCGACAGAGTCAGACTACGTCTCAAATAAATAAATAAATAAAATAAAAAGATTGGAGTTGTGCTGCCATATGCTGAGAGACGACCTGAAGCCAGGAGAGAGACCTGGAACAAATCCTTCCTCCGCACCTTCAGAGGGAGGATAGCCCCGTTGACACCTTGATCTATGAATTCTAGATTCCAGAACTGAGAGACAGTCTGTTTTTTTGCTGAATCCACTCAGTGTGGTGCCTTGTCACGGCAGCCGTAGCAAACTCAAATAGCCCAGCGTGTAAGTGTTTAATTTTGTGCTCAAAGCCAGTGCTCATTCTCCTCACTCTGGCCCCAATCTCGATGCACGGGGGTGTCAGGAAATGGGGTTTAGGCTGTTGTTTTCTTTCCTTTAAATAAAACAAGAGCTTTGGCGAGGCACAGTGGCTCACGCCTGTAATTCTAGCGCTTTGAGAAGCTGAGGCAGGAGGATCTCTTGAAGCCAGGAGTTCGAGACCAGCCTGGGCAACATAGCAAGACCTTGTTTCTACCAAAAAAAAAAAAAAAAAGAAAATTATCCAGGTATGGTGGTGCACCTGTAGTCCCAGCTACTCAGGGAGCTGAGGCAGGAGGATGGCTTGAGCCCAGGAGTTCCAGGCTACAGAGTGCTGTGATTGTGCCCCTGCATCCCAGCCTGGGCAACAGAGTGAGATCTTGCCTCAAAAATAAATAAATAAATAAATAAACAGCTTTATTGGGCTATAACTCACATACCTTAAAATTCACCCCTTTAAAGTGTACAATTCAGTGGTTTTTAGCACGTTCTAGATTGTATAATCAACAACACCATCTAATTTCGTAACATTTTTATCACCCCCACCAAAGAACTTTATACCCACCATAGGTTGCTGTTTTCTGGATTAATAAAAAAACAACCTAGTCTGGGCCTTACCTGACCAGCTCAGGTAAAGCGGATGACGCCTTCCTTGTCCTCCCCACTGAGGATGCATCTCTATGATAATCAGATCTGGCACAGGCATCAGCCCATCAGTGTGCACATGACCCATAGCTAGGGACTGGGAGCCCAGGGTTTTCCTGAGTGCCCGAACTATCCCTTTATTTATTTTTATTTTATTATTATTATTTTTTGAGATGGAGTCTTGCTCTGTCACCCGGGCTGGAGTGAAGTGGCGTGTTGAAACCTTGGTCTAGGAATTCTATATTCCAGAACTGAATTCTAGAATTCCAGAATTCTCAGCTCACTGCAACCCCCACCTCCCAGGTTCAAGTGATTCTCCTGCCTCAACCTCCCTACTAGCTGGGATTACAGGCATGAGCCACCATGCTGTGCTAATTTTTGTATTTTTAGTAGAGACGGGGTTTCGCCATGTTGGCCAGGCTGGTCTTGAACTCCTGACCTCAGGTGATCTGCCTGCCTCTGCCTCCCAAAGTGCTGGGATTGCAGGTGTGAGCCACCATGCCTGGCCCTATCCCTTTATTTGATGGGTCAAAAGGAGGTCTAGGGTGGCTTGGAGGAAGGACCCAGAGAGCAGGTGGGGGGCCCTCAGGGGTACTCATATATTAATCAAAGTTCTCCAGAGAAGCAGAAACAATAGGATGAAGCCTATATCTCTAACTCCATCTCCATCTATGCCTATGTCCATCTTCATCTATGTCTATTCATACCCACGTGTATATCCACGTCTATGTCTATATTTATCCTGTTGGCCTTACATGTGTATACATGTAGGAGAGGGTGTACTATAAGGTATTGGTTCATGTAATTATAGAAACTAAGAAGTCCCCTGATTTGCCATCTGCAAGCTGGAGACCCAAGAAAGCTGGTGGTGTATTTTGAAGGCTTGAGAACCAGAGGGCTGATTCCAGTCCAGGTCTGAAGGCCTGAGAACCAGGAGCACCAAGGGCAGGAGAAAATTGATGTCCCAGCTCCGCAGTCCAGCAGAGTTAATTCAACCTTCCTCCACTTTTTTGTTCTATTCAGCCCCTCAACAGATGGGACAATGCCCAGCTACACTGCGGAGGGCCATCTGCTTTACTGAGTCCCCCACTGCAAACGCTAATCTCTTTCAGAATCACCCTGATATGATTTGGCTGTGTCCCCACCCAAATCTCATCTTGAAATTGTAACTCCCATAATTTCCATGTGCTGTGGGAGGAACCCGGTGGGAGATAACTGAATCATGGGGGTGGTTGCCCCATACTGTTCTCATGGTAGTGAATAAGTCTCATGAGATCTGATGGTTTTATAAGGGGAAATCCCTCTCACTTGGTTCTTCTCTCTTGTCTGCTGTCAAGTAAGATGTGCCTTTTGCCTTCTACCATGATTGTGAGGCCTCCCCAGCCATGTGGAACTGTGAGTCCATTAAACCTCTTTTTCTTTATAAATTACCCGGTCTCTGGTATGTCTTTATCAGCAACATGAAAACGGGCTAATACCCACCCTCACAGACACACCCAGAAATCATGTTTAAGCAAATATCTGGGCATCCCATAGCCCAGTCACATTCACATACAAAATTAACCATCATAACTCAGGACAGTGGCTATCTATGAACTTATGTGGTATATTTCACCATTGTAACAGCCTGAGCAGTGAGCAGCAGCCATGATTACAACCTCCCAGTTGGTTTGGTGTTTCTCCCTTCAAATATTTGCTCCCTAGTTTGACCTTCAGCTATTTGAGAGCAGGGTCAATGAATCAATGTGGTGTTAGTACTTGGTATACTGTGGGTGCTTAATAAATGTTTGCCAAATTTATATTTAAAGCCTGGACAGTCACAAGCCTGTGGGAAAGAGATGATGAGGGTGGCTTTACCCATAAATGTGCTTGACGGGGGAGGATTCCCTTGTGGAGAAGTCCAGCTTGCTGGACAGCAATGGAGTTAAGAGGTTGAATCCTGGAGTCAAGATGGGAATTTGGGTCTCAGCTATGTTACCTCCTTGCTGCATAACCTGGGATGACTGTGGTCTTTCTATGTGTCCTGGTCTGTGCATTAAAGGTGATAATAATTTATCCCCAGGCTTCGTTTGGGGTCTCCTGAGGCAGACTCTGAGAAAAGAATTCAAGTGCGAATAGTCATTTGGGAGGTTACTCCAGGAAATACCCATAGGCGAGAGGGGAAGTGAAAGAGGGAAGGGAAGGGAAGGTAGCTAGTGAATGGTATGTTATTAAGTCATCACTGTGGGCAATTGGGGCTCAGCCCCATCAGGAAGCACTGGAGGAGGATAGCATAGACCTCAGGCATCCTACTTTAGAGGTGAGGGAGCTGGGGTATTTATCCAACAATTCTCATTACTCATGGGTTGAGGACATTAATTGTTTCCAGGGGTGTTAACTTCCAGCATTTTTGGGTGTACTCCCTCCCTCAAAATTTACTGAGGGGTTATTATTGGTGGGCTACCAAATGAGTTGGCAGAGGCTTCTCAGGAACACTCAGTGAAATGATGCATCAAAACTGCAAATCCTCAATGTTGGGTGCTCTTCTCTCTGAAATTGCAGCTCTCAGGCTCAGTAGAAAAAAAGGCTGATATATCTGTTAGGATAAGGCTAGGCTGCTGTTAACAAAGAACCCCAATACTATTAATATTTCAATGCCTTAAAGAGGGTGGGAGTATTTTCCTCTCAATTGTTACAGTTCAAGTTGCTACGGTCTAGGTTGATGACAGTGGCTCTGCTCCAGGCAGTCATTCAGGAGCCCAGGTTCTTTCTGTTGTGTGGTTCTGCCATTGCTGATACTATAGATATTCCGCGTGCCATCCTTCTGGCACTTCCCATATCTATACCTTCCAGCCCAATTCTCGGCTGACAGCAACTGCATCTTTATGTCCTGGCAGCCAAAGTTCTCTATGTGTGCAACCAAGGCAAGCCTGAAGTGCTGGGGAGCAGGCCCAACAATGACTACTGAGGGTTGGTGTTTAAATACTCCAGCTCCCTCCCACTTGGGTGGATGCCTCCAAGGTCTATGTTCCACTCTGCTTCCCAGAACTCACCAGTGTTATTCAGTCCCAGGTGCCCACAGTGGTACCTGGTTCAACAACACACCACTCACTGGCTGCCTTCGATTCCTTGTCTCACTTCCTTTCTGCCCTACTGGTGTTTTCTCGGGTCATTTCATAAATAAATGCAGTCATGTGCCTCATAATGATGTCTTGGTCAATGACAGACCACATGTGTGAAAGTGGCCCCGTAAGATTATCATGGAAGGCTGGGCACGGTGGCTCATGCTTGTAATCCCAGCACTTTGGTAGGCTGAGGCGGGTGATCACTTGAGGTCAGGAGTTCAAGACCAGCCTGGCCAACATGGTGAAACCCCGTCTCTACTAAAAATACAAAAAAAAAATTAGCCAGGTATGGTGGTGTGTGCCTGTAATCCCAGCTACTCAGAAGGCTGAAGCAGAATCGCTTGAACCCAGGAGGCAGAGGTTGTAGTGAGCCGAGATCGTGCCACTGCACTCCAGCCTGGGCAACAGAGTGAGACTCTGTCTCATTAAAAAAAAAAAAAAAATCTAACGGAGCTAAAACGTTTATATTTTCTAGTGACGTCTTAATGATCCTGACCCTGTATAGTACTAGGCTAATGTGTGTTTGTGTATTAAACTTTAACAAAAATGTTTTAGAAATAAAACTATTTTTTAATTAAATATAGAAAAAAGCATATAGAATAAGGATATAAAGAAAGAAAATATTTTTTACAGATGTACAATGTGTTTTATGCTAAGTGTTATTACTAAAGTTTATCAGTGTTATTCCAGTGTTATTACAAAAAGCACCAGCATCTAGATTTAGTAATCTTCGATTACTAAAGTGTTATTACAAAAAGTTTTTAAGGCTAGTGCAATTGCTCACGCCTGTAATCCCAGAACTTTGGGAGGCTGAGGTGGGTGGACCTGAGATCAGGAGTTCAAGATCAGCCTGGCCAACATGGTGAAACCCTGTTTCTACTAAAAATATAAAAATTAGCTGGGCGTGGTGGCACATGCCTGTAATCCCAGCTACTCAGGAGGCTGAGGCAGGAGAATCACTTGAACCCGGGAGGTGGAAGTTGCAGTGAGCTAAGATTGTGCCATTGCACTCCAGCCTAGGTGACAAGAGCAACACTCCACAAACAAAAAACAAACAAAAAAATTTTTTAAATTAAAAAGTTAATAAAGTAAAAATAGTTATAGTAAACTAGGGTAATTTATTATTGAAGAAAGAAAGAGTTGTTTTTTGTAAATGTAGCGTGGCCTAAGTGTGGAGTGTTTGTAAATTCTTTTTTTTTTTTCATTTTTAATTAAAAAGTAAACTTTAATGTCAAAAATGCAAACTTGGGGGAAGACAGAAAAGATCACACACAAGGCTATCACTTCACACTTGGAAGGTTGCACAGCAGCCGGACAGAGGCGCTCCTCACTTCCCAGATGGGGCGACCGGGGTGTTTGTAAATTCTATAGTAGTGTATGGTAATGTCCTATACCTTCACACTCACTCACTCTTCACTGAATTAGCCTGTAGTCCTGTAAGCTCCATTTCTGATGAATGTCCTATATAGATGTACCATTTCTTATCTTTTATATCATGTCTTTACTATATTTTTTCTATGGTTAGATATGTTTAGATACACAAATATTTTCCTTTGTGGTAACTATCTACCTAATCCAGATCTGAAACAGGCACCTGCAACCTCTCCCATTTCCCTGGTCACATGACCACACAGAATTGCAAGGGCATCTGGGAAATGTAGTCCATCCCATGCCCAGGACGCTGGTAGACACCACCTTTCTCTTCTACATCCAGGAGTGGCAAAGGTGACTGATCAAGGACAAAAACTTACAACCTTTACTCATAAAGTGCATAATTCACTTGCGGATAACTTCACGCTCACAATCATAACTGTCTTTCTCCCTGGGTTAGCCTAAAAGTTCCTTTTCTGTTCATTTCCAGGAGCAAAGCCAGTTCCTAGTCTTGAAATCTTAGTGGTGTAGCACTTGAGCGCTGAAGAACAGAGAAATCTGCCTCTATTTTTGTGTTTCTGGTTAGATGACAGTTCTATAGGTGTAGTATCTGGACCCTGGGATACCTGCCCGCACCCAAGCCAGCCAACTAGACAGTCATGGAACACAAAAATATATGTGTGTTTTCTTTGTGAGGCTGATCTAGTATTTGTACCTAGTTTTCTTGGGAATGCTTTCTGGATAAATATTCTTTAGAGGGTTAATTTTTTTTGTTTTTATTTTGTTTGTTTGTTTGTTTTGAGACAGTCTCTCTCTGTCACCCAGGCTGGAGTACAGTGGTAGGATCTTGGCTCACTGCAATCTCTTCCTCCCAGGTTCAAGTGATTCTCCTGCCTCAGCATGCCCGAGGAGTGGGGATTACAGGCATGTGCCACCACACCTGGCTAATTTTTGTATTTTTAGTAGAGACGGGGTCTCACATTGTTGCCCAACCTGGTCTCAAACTCCTGGCCTCAAGCGATCCGCCCACCTCGGCCTCCCAAAGTGCTAGGATTACAGGCGTGAGCCACCGCCCCCAGCCAAAAAATAATTTTTTTAAGTGAGCTCTATTTTCATTTTGGTGGTGGTGGTGGTGGGGCGGGGTTTGTTAGTGAAGCTTAAATGTTGCATTTCTGGAGGGTTTTTTTTTTTTGCCTTTTCTCTAGAGGAGGCAGAAATGGGTGGAAATCTCTCCAGCCTCCAAGGCAGTGTATTCAGATCCCATCAGAGCTGGTTCTTAATCCTTTTTTTTTTTTGCCTTGGAAGCATCTTTTTTTTCCACCACCCCAGCATCTTGCCAGCCAGTTCTTCTGAGAGCTCTCCTCTTCCTCCCCCGACTCGGAGGCTTTTCCAAAGCTCTCAGATTAAAAAGTGCTGAGACCAGTGTCTCTAAGTGCTGCACTCTCCTGTTGTCATGGGAAGGGAGCTGGCACGGATGAGCTAACTCCTTCCTCCTCAGGGGCGACAAGCAACCTGGGCCCACGGTACAACATGGGCCCACGGTACAACCTGGGGCGTTAGCCTTTTACAGTCTCCAGCAGCAGCCTTCTACCAGCCAAGCCATTGTGCTCGTCGATAATTCAAAAATATTTTGCATTTTAAAAGTTTTTAAAAATTGGGATGTCAAGATACATTTGACAAGATGTATAAAAATGCATATACTTTAAGTTCAGAGCACCACAAATTTTTACAGATGTATACAACTAGTGAACATCACCCACATCTGGATGGAGAACAACCCTGACCCCCCAGCAAGGTGCCTTGGCACCCCTTCTGAGTCTATACCCCATTATTCTGATGTCTAACTTATTCTTATTTTTAAACTTCCAATAAATGGATCTCTCCTGCCTCCCCACCCCACCGCACAATTCTTGGCCATGGACAATTGACATTTTCCTAGTTTTAAGTGTGAATAAAAACATCAGCTTCCCAAAGTGCTGGTATTGCAGGTGTGAGCCACCAAGCCAGGCCTAAATCAATGTTTTTGACGTGTTTGAGTTGATCTCTGATTTCTCCTGCAAGATGATCCCCACTATTGGTGAATGGTCCTGCAGAATTTTTCCCATCCATGTATAAAGATAAGCAAAATTCATCTCCTACCTATCTGTTGCTTTATAACATGTTCTTTTCCACTTAGTAATGGGTGATGATGTTGATGATGATGTCTTTACAGTATGGGCTAGGATTTCTTTCAAACCTTCATTCAGTATTGTTCAGTGAGCACCTACTCTGTTTTGTGTTCCAGAGCTGGGGATCCACCAGTGCCTTCATTTAGAAAGATTTTAAAAAATTCCTGCCTTGTTGCCTGGGCTCAGTGGCTCATACCTATGATCCCAGCACTTTGGGATGCTGAGGTGGGATGATTTCTTGAAGCCAGGAGTTCGAGACCGGCCTGGGCAACAAAGGCAGATCCTATCTCTACCAAACAAACAAACAAACAAAACTCAGACTGGCATGATGGTGCATGCCTGGGGAGGTTGAAGCAGAAGGATCACTTGCCAGGAGATGGAGACTGCAGCAAGCTATGATCGTGCCACTGCACGCCTGTCAGAGCAACAGAGCAAGACCCTGTCTCTGAAAAAACAAAAATCCCTACCTTGTCCTCTACTTTATTTTTGCTCCTCTTTCTCATTTGTAAAATAAGGATAACACTGGAACCTATCCCATACAGTTTCAAGGAGAATGAATTGAGTTAATACATGTTAGGTTGTCAGCTAAGTGCCTGGCGCATAGTAAGAATGATATTTCTTAGCCATTACTGTGATCATTCTTCTTTTATCTTTTCCCTTCTTTTCTTTCCCCTTTCTATGTCTCTTTTGCATATCTTCTCACTCTCCCTTTCTCTTATGGGGAGGAAGGATGGTTAAATTCCAAGTGTTCTGTGTGGGTCTATTACCAATGGCTAGGAAGAGAAGAATGAACTAAATTAGAAGATGCATTCGGCTAGCTCAGGGAGCAGTGGGGGAGAGCTGGAGCCAGCTGGAATGGAATGGACATATCTTCCTCCCCCTTTCCCATCCGATTCCCCCCTCAGACAAATTATTTCTTATTGTTTCTGGGGATCCAGAGGAGATTAGCCTGGCAAGTGGGCACTGGGGGCAGGGGTTGGCCATACAGCAGATGAAAGAAAGGCTTACTGCTGGCAAGAGCCACCCACTCGTTTATCTGCCTGTCTCTGAGGTCCCTCTGTTCCCTTCCCACACACCTTGCCTGCTATTTAATCAGAGGAGAGAATGCATGCATGAGCCCTGCAGCCACCATCAGTGGTACAGCCTTTTGTTTTTCTTACCCTTTTTAAAAATAAATCCATTGTCAGAGGAAGGCAACACTTTTTACTATTTAATCATTCACTTACTGGTTCATTCAACACAACAGCTATTTACTGGATGCTGCTGGGGTCAGGGCTGGGAACACAAACACGAAGAGACCACAGTGCTCACCCCTCAGGAACGAACAATCTAGGGCAGCCAACACAGAAATCAACAATCGTCACGGTGCCAGATGAATGCTGCAGGGAGGAATGTTCGGAGTGAAATAGGCACCCTTAGGTTTGCTCTATGGAATCACGGAAGCCTTCCCAGAGGAGGAAGCATTGGGTCAAGGTGGGAGGTGAGCCAGAGTGTGTCAGGCTAATGAATGTGGTGGGCTGGGGAGGCCATTCCAGATGGACGGGATAGCCCAGGGGTATCTATCAGAATTCTTTAAATTGCAAGAGACACAATGCAAACAGACTTAGATTAAAAACTGGGGTAAGGGGGATTTATTGACTCAAGTCATTTAAATGTAGGCTCCAGGAATGGCTGTATCTAGAGGCTGAAATAAGGTAGCTGACCTTATTTCAGCTTTCAGGAATGGTTGTATCCTGGGGCTGAAATAATGTTAGTTTTCAGGAATGGCTGTAACCAGGGGCTGAAATAAGGTCAGCTTTCAGGAATGGTTGTATCCAGGGGGTGAACTATTGTCAGGTTTCAGGAATGGCTGTATCCAGGTGCTGAAATAATGTCAGGTTTCAGGAATGGTTGTATCCAGGGGGTGAACTACTGTCAGGTTTCAGGAATGGCTGTATCCAGGGGCTGACGTAATGTCCGGTTTCAGAAATGGCCTATTCAGGGGCTGGAATGAGGTCATCAACCTGTGGTATAATAAAAAATACTTGGTCTCTGTCCCCAGTTCCTGTGACATGCTCAAGGTGAAGCCAGCTCTTGCAGGACACAGAGTGGGTGACAGAGTTAGGGGTCAAATGATTTCTTGTCTGGTTGTGTCCCACACTTTGTTGATTCCAGACACCATTTCAGTTTTTCCACACCTACTTTACTGCTTGTATTACTTCAGTAGGTTAAATAGTGTCCTCTGCTGTTATTATGATATAATAAGAAATACATATTTGATCTTCATCCCTGATTCCTGGTACAGCGCTCTTAAAACTCTTGTAATTTCCTGAGTAATAAAGATGATAGGAGCATCTTTTGTTATGTTCAGTCTTAGTCTAGGGTTCCTAATACAAAAGCTTCTAAGACCCTTAGAATCTCCTGAATGATAAGAGTCTCTTGGGTACGCTAATGATTGGTTCGGGGTGCCTAGATGGTTTCAGGATGGGGCCTGGTCACCAGAAAAACCAAGATATGATTAAAAGGTTGAGATTTTCTTTTCTTTTTTTTTTTTTTTTTTTTTTTTGAGGCAGAGTTTCGCTCTTGTTGCCCAGACTGGAGTGCAACGGCACAATCTCGGCTCACTGCAACTTCCACCTCCCAGGTTCAAGCAATTCTCCTCCCTCAGCCTTCCAAGTAGCTGAGATTACAGTCATGTTCCATCATGCTCGGCTAATTTTGTATTTTTAGTAGAGACGGGGTTTCGCCATGTTGATCAGGCTGGTCTCGAACCCCTGACCTCAAGTGATACACCCGCCTTGGCCTCCCAAAGTGCTGGGATTACAGGCGTGAGCCACTGTGCCCGGCCAGGGTTGGGATTTTCAATCCCACCCTTCAGCCCCCAGGGAGTGGAGAGAAGCTGGAGATTGAGCTCTTTCATCTCTTTAATCACCAGTGGTCAGTGATTTAATGAATCATGCCTACAAAATGAAGCTTCCATAAAAATTCCTAAACAATGAGATTCTCAGTGAGGGAACTCTGATATGTGCCATAACATGGATGAACCCAGAGGACATTGTGCTCAGTGAAATAAACCTGACCCAAAAGGACAAATACTATATGATTCCACTTATATAAGGTCCCTAGAGTAGTCAAATTCATAGAGACAGAAAGTAGAATGGTGGGTGCCAGCAGGTAGGGAAGAGGGAATGGGGAGTTATAGTTTAATGGTGACAGAGTTGCAGTTTGGGAAGATGAGAAAGTTTTGCAGATTGATGATGCTGATGCTTGTACAACCACATGACCACTTAATCTACTAACCTGTGCACTTAAAAATGGTTAAGATGGTAAAGTTTATGTTGTGTGAATTTTGCCACAATTAGAAAGAGAGAGTTATTAAAGAGTTTTGCCAGCGTGGTGGCTCACGTCTGTGATCCCAGCACTTTGGGAAGCCAAAGGCAGGAGAATCACTTGAGGCCAGGAATTCGAGACCAGCCTGGGCAACATAGTGAGACCTCGTCTCTACAAAACAAACTAAAAAAATAAAAATTAGGTGCCTGGGATGACACTCACCTGTAATCCTAACTACTCAGGAGGCTGTGACAGGAGGATCACTTGAGACCAGGAGTTGGAGGCTATAGTGAGCTATGATTATGCCACTGCACTCCAGCCTGGGCAAAAAAGAAAGACCCCGTCTCTTTAAAAAAAAAAAAAAAAAAAAAAAAAAAGTTAGGGCCGGGCGCGGTGGCTCATGCCTGTAATCCCAGCACTTTGGGAGGCCGAGGCGGGTGGATCACGAGGTCAGGAGATCGAGACCATCCTGGCTAATATGGTGAAACCCCGTCTCTACTAAAAATACAAAAAAAAAATTAGCCGGCGTGGTGGTGGGCGCCTGTAGTCCCAGCTACTCAGGAGGCTGAGGCAGGAGAATGGTGTGAAACTGGGAGGCAGAGCTTGCAGTGAGCCGAGATCGTGCCACTGCACTGCAGCCTGGGGGACTGAGCAAGACTCTGTCTCAAAAAAAAAAAAAAAAAGTTTTACCATCTCCTCGATCAGATGTGTAAGTTAGAAAAGGCCATCTGGGGCCAGTGTAAGGGACGGTTGGAGAAAAATGATACTAGAGGAGGAGAACCAGGAGGGAAGATACTGCTACAGTCCAAGCAAATGATGATGGAGGCCAGAATTGAGTGGTCACAGGGGCAGAGAGGAGGGAATGGGTTGCAGAAGTATTTGACAAGTGGCTGGCTGCTTAATTGAATAGGGGTTGTGAAAAGGGCTTTGAATCTGTTTAGACCTGGTTATTAATGCTTTTTAAAACCTGTATTATTTGGATTAGGGCTCCCAGCAGGACCTAAACTGGGACTCCTGGTTTGACCATCTCAAATGCATTGTTGGGCTCACTTGGCAAATCTGTACAGATTTGCATGAACTGATACAGTTTTATGTGGTCCCACCAGGAAAGGGTGTTGGGCTGCAAGTCACAGCAAACTCAAGCAGATTGAACAGCAAGGGAAGGTACTGGTTTTCATGACTGTAAGTCCAGTGGTGGTGTGGGCTTCAGGATGGGGTTGATCCAGCACTATTTTCACCTCTCAAGGAGCCAAAATCTTAAGATAGCTGCCACTGCAGTCGAAGCTACCTGTTTTCCTGTTTATACCCAGTGGAATGGTTGAAAAGGGTAGTTTCCCATGACTTTTGTGAAAGATAAGAATTCTTTGCAGATGTCTCCAGTAATTTTTTTGTGGGCTGTTTATTACCCAAATTAAAGTGTGTTTGAAAGTTGGGTCCCTTTGTGGTCACAGCCAGCCATGCAACAGGACTTGAGGATGCAACAGGACTTGAGGCAGATTCTACAATGTCACATGGAGTTGGTTGAGTTAGGTTGGGGGTAAACATAGGAGCTCCAGGGGTGAGACACCCCCGTCATCCCATCATTCCACAAAGAGGGATGCCAGCACCCGGCACCCTGATGGACATGCAGAGGGAATCTACAAGCCAGGACACATTGCCTGGTTGGTGGAAAGTGCCTTCTGATAAGATAAAGTTGCCTTTCTTCCAGGCAGCCACAGCCCATCCTAGGGAACATGTTTAAATGCATGTAGGCTTAATTTAAAACAATTTTCAAAACCACTTTTTATTATGAACATTTTCAAACTCACCCCAAAATGGAGAGAAACATAAAGACGATCTTCAGGAATCTATTTCCTGACTTCAATAAATATCAATATTTGGCAAATCTAGTTTCTTTATGCTCTCACCTATTATCTGCACTTTGCTGTATTATTTTAAAGCAAAGTCTAGTCATTGCATCATTGTATCTGTTAATGTTACAGATGATTGGAGTCTAATCTAATAGACTCTAAGAGACACTGTGTATTAGAAAGTACAGTCTAGCCAGGTGCAGTGGATTATCCTGTAATCTTGGTGCTTTTGGAGGCTGAGGTGGGTGGATCACTTGAGGCCAGGAGTTTGAGACCAGCCTAGGCAACATAGAAAGATCTCATCACTACAATTATTGTTATTTTTAATTTACCAGGAGTGGTGGTGTGCACCTGTATCCTAGCTACTCAGGAAGCTGAAGCAAGATGATTGCTTGAGGCCAGGAGTTGGAGGCTGCAGTAAGCTATGATCGTGCCACTGCACTCCAGCCTGGCGACAGAGCAAGATCCTGTTTCAAACAACAAAGACAAAACAAAACTGCAATCACAAGACCATTGTCTTAAAACAAACTTTACATTTGGGAATAATTTTAGATTTATAGAAAAATTGCCAAGATAATAGAGTGTTTCTACATACACCTCATCTAGCCCCTCCTGTTGTTACCATCTTACATTACTGTGATTTGTCACCATTCACTAAATCACAGACTCTATTCAGATTTTACCCTTTTTTTCATTAATGCCGTTTTTGCTGTTCCGTGATCCAACCCCAAATATTATATTGCATTTAGCACTATGTCATTTTCACATCTACCCAAAATGGCTGTTATTTCCTTAAGACTCACTGAACAGCCAGTCGTTATCCCCATTTCCCTGATTGGCTGATGTATCTTATAAGACTCTTGGAATCTTGAACAGTTTTGCCTCCTTCTTTTGTTTGCTTGCCATTTATTTGTGGAAGAAACTGGATCATTTGTCCTGGAGGCTGTTCCACACTTTGGATTCTGCTGATTGCGTGCCTCATGGTGTTGATTTAGTGTGCTCCTCTCTCCCCTGTATTTCCTGTGAACGGGGGGCTAGATCTAGACCTGGGGTTGGTGAACTTTTCTGTAAAAATCTGGATAATGCGTCTTCTAGGTATTGCAGTTCATATGGTTTCAACTCTGCCTTTGCAGTGTGAAAGCAAGGCACAGACAATACTTAAATAAATGAGTGTGGCTGTGTCCCAGTGAAACCTTATTTACAAGATCAGGCAGTAGGCTAGATTTGACTAGGGGGCCATAGTTTGGTGATCCCTGATCTAGAGGATGAATCAGATTCAGTTTCAATGTTTCTGTTTTATGCTTGGTTGTGTTTGCAAGGATAATTCTTTGATGATGACTGGTACATCTTGCTTCATTGGGTGGCACATCACGTCTGGCTGCCTCTCATTTAGTGATGTTGAATTTGACAAGGGTTCAGATGTCACCAGCTTGATCCATCCATCATGAAGCACTCCATCAGTGAGTTGTATTTCAGCTCTCCTCTCTCTCATGTGGCCAGGAGCACTTGTGCAGTGCACGCCTTGAGCAACCATACATGGAGTCCCCTCCCCAGCCTTTTTTATTGGCTCTTGACTTCTCTGTTTTCAAACAGTATGTAGAACAGTTGCCCTACAGGTCCTTAGAGTGCTACAAACTCTGCCACTCAGTCAAGCAAAACAACCTCCGGGGGATTTCCTGAGGACACACAGATTCTGGATTCATCTGGATCAGAGGTTGTATATAGGCCACAGAAATTCTCATTTTCTAAAAATTTAATCCTTGCCAACATTTAAAATCTGGAAGGTTTCTTATAAAAATATGGTTTTCCACTTCTCTTGAAAAATAAGAGAAGCTAGCCACTTTGGACCCACATTCAGGGGTAGCAATAAGGAGCTGGAGCTGAGAGTAACTCAGCTTTAGATGAGATGAGAATTCAACATCAGGCAGACAATAGGGAGTGGTGGGGACTCAAGAAAACTGCAAGGCACGTGCCCTGTCAATAATTAGATGAGCGGCTGGGTGTGGTGGCTCACACCTGTAATCCCAGCACTTTGGGAGGCCGAGGCAGGTGGATCATTTGAGGTCAGGAGTTCGAGACCAGCCTGGCCAACATGGTGAAACCTCATCTCTACTAAAAATACAAAAATTAGCTGGGCATGGTGGCACGCGCCTGTAGTTCCAGCTACTTGGGAGGCTGAGGCAGGAGAAGAATCGCTTGAACCTGGGAGACAAAGGTTGCAGTGAGCCGAGATCATGCCACTGCACTCCAGCCAAGGCGACAAGAGTGAGAAAAAAAAAAAAAGACGAATGATGCTTTTCTCAAGTACCCGTAAGCTTCTCTGGCAATTTCAAAATTAAATGCTAATGTTTCAGTAGTTAATCCTTTTACATCTCCTACCATTCCCCAATCTGCCCCATCCCCCTCCCCACTTTCATCTCCTTCCCCTGAAACATTTATTGCTTTCTTGTATGTCTTCCCAGAGTTAGTTCATGCAAACACATGAAATGTGCGCAAATGTAAAATATTTATTTTACTTTCCCCTCTCTTCTTACATAAGGGAGCGTATACTCTACATGCAGTTCAGCATCTTGCTTTTTTTCACCTAACAATATGTTCTTGGAGATCTTTCCAGATTAGTTTGGCAGAAGCTTCCTTATTTTCAGAGAGGCAATATTACAACTGTGTGGTCGAGAGTGCAGAGACAGCTGAGGAAGACAGAGAAACTGAGGCTCCCTCTTCCATCCCACCCACCATTATCTTCCTGGGAACCTGTGTGTGAGCAGAAGGTGACCCTACAGCATCCTATGGCCCGACCCACTGTCATTTATCATCCTTGTGCATCAAACAGCTTTTTTTTTTTTTTTTCTTTTTTGGAGACAGAGTCTCCCTCTGTCGCCCAGGGTGGAATGCAGTGTTGCCATCTCGGCTCACTGTAACCTCCACCTCCTGAGTTCAAGCGATCCTCCTGCCTCAGCCTCCCGAGTAGCTGGGACTACAGGCACACACCACCCACCCTCCTCAGCTAATTTTTGTACTTTTGGTAGAGACAAGGTTTCGCCATGTTGGTCAGGCTGGTCTCGAACTTCTGACCCCAAGCAATTTGCCTGCCTTGGCCTCCCAAAGTGCTGAGATTACAGGTATGAGTCACCACGCCTGGCCCAAACAGCTCTCTTGGGCTTCTTCCTTTTATAGCTACATCATTGTGCCTGCTTCCAGCCCCTCAAGGGACCAGCTCCCCTCACTGACCTGATTTGCTGCTTCCAGGCTGTGTGATCTTGGGCAAGTCACTGATCCTCTCTGTGCTTCAGTGTCTTCACCTATAACATAGAAAAGTGGTTAGAGTGCACCTGCTATGGTTATTATGAATTATTACATATAACACATTTAGAATCATGCTAGGCATGAATGAAGTAAGTGATGTGTCTAGGCTATGATTATTATTTTTATGTAGTGGTCCATAATTTATTAAACCAGCCTCTATTGATAGATTCATGGGTTGTTTGCAATATCCTGCCATTACATACAGTCTAATAATGAGTAACTTTGTACATATGCCCTCCTTTCCTTTCCTTTCCTTTCCTTTCCTTTCCTTTCCTTTCCTTTCCTTTCCTTTCCTTTCCTTTCATTTCCTTTCCTTTCCTTTCCTTTTGAGACAGGATCTCACTCTGTCACTTAGGCAGGAGTGTGGTGATGCAATCATAGCTTACTAAAACCTTGGCCTCCTGGGCTCAGGTGATCCTCCTGCCTCAGCCTCCCAAGTAGCTGGGACTACCAATGCAAAATTTGTTTTTTGTAGAGATGGGGTCTTGCTATGTTGCCCAAGCTGGTCTCAAACTCTGGGTCTCAAGAAATCCTCCCACCTCAGCCTCCCAAAGTGCTGAAATCACAGGTATGGGCCACACATATGTCACTTTTTAAAACATGTCAGTTGCTGGGTGTGGTGGCTCATGCCCGTAATCCCAGCTACTCGGGAGGCTGAGTAATAGCAAGACTCCGTCTCTAAAAAAAATTCTTTTTAAATTAGCTGGCAGGCACCTGTAGTCCTAGCTCCTCGGGAGGCTAAGGTGGGCAGATCACCTTGAGCCCAGGGGTTCAAGGCTGCAGTGAGCCATGATCGTGCCACTGCACTCCAGCCTGGGCAACAAAGCAAGGCTGCCTCAAAAATGAATTAAAAAAAATAGATAAAAACATATCAGGGTATCATAGACAATGGGATAAATTTGGAGAAACTGGATTGCTGGGTCAAAGGGTAAAGATATGGGTAATCTTGGTGAATTTTGCCAAATGATCCTCCATGGAGATTGTACCAGTTTCCACTCCCATCAGCGATACAGGTGATTGTCTGGTGCCCCTCGGCCCTGCCAGCAGCGTGTGTTATCATGCTTTTGCCCATAAGGTAGGTGAAAAATGGCATCTCAATACAATTTTAATTGGTCTTCTCTTATTATGAGTGAAAATGGTCCCCTTGTCATCTGTTTAAGGGCCATTTTGTATTTCCTTGGGACCTGGGGAAAGTGATTACTGAAGCAAAGGCAGGACATGCATAATAGGTTGATAAGTCTATTTTTAAATCCCAGCTATCATTGCCAGTCAACACATTCCGAGGATCATTTGGCTTGATTTTTGGCATGGAATTGGCATTCTCACTTGTTTAATTTTAATTTTAAGTGCCTGGGGTCTTGGATCAAATGCCACCCCTTTAGAGCATGTGGTGTGTGTCATCTTCTGGTGCCACCTGGTTTATTTGTATGTTTTCTATTGTCTTTGCTTCCTTGCCATTATCTACTCACTCCCAAAGAGAATTCAAGGTCCACAAAAGCAAAGATGAGCAAGAATGTAGTCTCATGGAACTTCTGGTTTTAGGGTTGTCCAGATGATAGTTATCTTTGGTTTCTTTTGGAGTCACAGATTCACACTCAGCATCTTGAAGAAATTTATTCAGCCATCCGTTCTTCCATTCATCCTTCCATCAATCATTCACTCATTTATCCATCCATTCATTCATCCATTCACTCATTTACCCATCCATCCATTCATCAAATCATCTATCCCAATCATTCATCCATTAAATCATCCATTCACTCATCCATCCATCCATCCATCAAATCATCTATCCATCCATCAAATCATCTGTCCATCCATCCATTTTTAAAATTTATTCAACAATATTTTAGTAAGCACCTACTATATGTCATGCCCCATGCTTGACCCTGAAATCACAATAATGAACAATGCAGATGTTGGCGCTGCTGGTCAGCTTACCAGTCTAGCAGGTAAATGCAGTGCTCTAAATGCAGGACATGGTTTATAATCACAGAGTCGAATGCCATTTAACAAACTCAAAGAAGGCTTCTTGGATAAAGGAGCATTTAAGCTGAAACCTAGAGAATGAGTAGAAGTTTAGCTGGGAAAGAAGAAGAGGAGTGTTTTGGCTGTGGGAGCAGTATCTCAAAGGTCCAAAGGCAGGAAAAGAATATGGTGCATTTAAAGAATTGAAAGGAGTCCAAGTCAGTTAGAATATAGAGTCTGAGAGGGAAGAGGCTGGGGTTGGGGCAGGGGCCAGATCACACAGGACCTCTGGGCCACATTAACAGAATTGGAATTTATCCTAAGAGATGATGGTGGCCTGGAATTTGATGGAAGCAATGGTGATGAAAGTGGATGGATTTGAGAGGTATCTGGATGTAGAATCAATACATCTTGGTGACTGATAGAATAGTGGGATGAGGGAGAGGGAGGAGTCAAAAGTAACTCCCAGCTCTCTGCCTTAGTAACTGGGTTAACAGCTTGTGTGCTTGGTTTGCCTAGTGGCTGGACAGCAGTATCTCCAAGGCCAAAGTCATGGGTATGAGGCTTCCAAAGAGTTTTTAATCTGTCCTGCAGCAGCAAACAGCATCTCTGTCCATTTTGGTTGAAACACACATTGTCTGCAGTGCCCCTTTGGCATTCCAGGTGGAGATGAGTGCAAGGGCAAAGAGACAGAGGCAAGAAACAGCTTGGAGAGGACAATGGCAGAGATGGGAGGTGGTGAAGATGCTGGATGGATGGTCTGAGCCTTGAAGGAGTATGAATTCTTTCTCAAAGGCAGGAAAATAAAGGTTTAGAAGCAGAATTGGAGGGAATGTAAACTCTTCTCAAAATCTACACACACTGTTATGGAAAGGGTGTATTATACAGGATAAGGGATTTAGCTGCTGTGACAGCTAAGCCCTGAACTCTCAGTGGCTGAACACAGTGAGCGTTTCCTTCTTGCTCACTCTACTGTCCAAGATGGATGGTGTATTAGATAGGATAAGGGATATTAGCTGCTATAACAAATAAACCCTGAATTCTCAGAGGTTGAACATGGTGAAAGTGTCCTTCTTGTTCACTCAACTATCCGAGATAGATGTTTTCTCCCAGTAGGCTTTTCTCTTTTTAAAAAATTTTTTGTAGGTACATAGTATATATATATATATTATATATATATATTATATATATGTATATATATATATTATATATATGTGTGTATATATATATTATATATGTGTGTATACATTATATATATATGTGTATATATATATGATATATGGGATATTTTGATACAGGCATGCAATGTGTAATAATTACATATGGAAAAATGAGGTATCTTTCACCTCAAGCATTTATCCTTTGTGTTACAATCCAATTATGCTCTTTTAGTTATTTTTAAATATACAAATAAATTATCATTGACTATAGTCACCCTGTTGTACTATCAAATACTACATCTTATTCATTCTTTTCTATTTTTTTGTACTTATTAAACATTCCTCCTCCACCCCCATCCACTCCCCTTCTTAGCTTCTGGTAACCATCATTCTACTCTCTATCTCCATGAGTGCAATTGTTTTAATTTTTAACTCCCACAAATAAGTGAGAACATGCGAAGTTTGTCTTTCTGTCCCTGGCTTATTTTCCTTAACATAATGACTTCCGGTTCCATCCATGTTGTTGCAAATGACAGGATCTCATTCTTTTTTATGGCTGAGCAGTACTCCACTGTGTATATGTACCATATTTTCTTTATCCATTCATCTGTTGATGGACACTTGAGTTGTTTCCAAATTTTGGCTATTGTGAATAGTGCTGCAATAAACATGGGAGTGCAGATATCTCTTCGATATACTATTTTCTTTCTTTTGGGTATATACCCAGCGGCAGGATTGCTGGATCATATGGTGGCTCTATTTTTAGTTTTTTGAGGAACCTCCAAACTTCTCCATAATGGTTGTACTTCCTGGGAGACTCTTCTCCAGGCAGTGACGCAGGGATTCAGGGTCCTCCCATCTTGTGGCTTTGCCATTGTCTAGGAAGGGCCTCTGCTTTCCCCTAATTGCTTCTGAATTTGTACACAGAGAATTATGCTGGACATTTTGTATGGGTTAGGCTTAGAAGTGGTTCACATCACTTTTACCTAAATGCCATTAGCCAGAATGTAGTCCCAGGGCCCAACGAACTTCAGTGAGAGCTGGAATATGTCCCTTTGCTGTACGTATCCCAGGAAGGAAAAGAAAATGGGATTTGCCAGATCCATAGCATTATCTCTGCTACAAATGGGACCAGAGAGGGTGGTTGGATAAACGAACACCTATGTCCACAATGTACCAAAACTGGAGGGAAAAGCACAGGTACGAAGGGTTTGCTTTTGGTGCTGAAGGGTCAGGAACATTCCCTGGGAAGATGGATAGGGCTTTAGAGTTAAAAGCCTTGTTATTTCATTCTGCCGAGATCCCATTTAACATCAGAAACTCCTTTAGAAATATCTTTTTTTAAGAAAAAGCATATCCACTTTCCCTCCTAATCTCAGGGTCTCTTCGCTTTGCCACAACCTTCAGATTCTGTTTTTCTCCAATGCATGATTTCTAGGCTGCTTTTTCTTTCAATTTCTCCCTAAGTCCTTGGTCCTTTCTTCAGTACGATTGGTTATTTTTCTTGCCAGCTCCAGGCAAGAGAGAGAGGTTGAGCAGTTGTATACTAATTACTGGGCTATTACTGTTATTATTCAGCTGTGGAAAAGAGAATTCAGAGAGTCCCAAATATAATTCACCTCATTGACATCTCTCTCTGTCTCTGTCTCTCCTTGTTTCTGTCCCCTCCTCCCCACATTCTCTCTTTCCCTCTCTCTCCATCTCTTTGTTTCTTTTTCTTTCTCTGTATCCCTTTACCTCTATTCATGCATCTGTCTCTCTCCCCAATACCTCTGAGTATATATTTTTCTAGCATCATATGCCTTTCTTTCATTACCCACATCAACATTCTAATTCGCTCTTATTGATTTTCTCATTTAGTTAGTATAAAGATAAGGACTGGCCGCTCACGGTGGCTCATGCCTGTAATCCCAGCACTTTGGGATGCCGAGGCCGGCAGATCGCTTGAGCTCAGGAGTTCGAGACCCACCTGGGCAACATAGTGAGACCCCCATCTCTACAAAAATTAGCCAGGCATGGTGGTGCATGCCTGTAATCCCAGAACTTTGGGAGGCTGAGGCAGGTGGATCATCTGAGGTCAGGAGTTTGAGACCAGCCTGGCTAACATGGTGAAACCCTGTCTCTACAAAAAATACAAAAATTAGCCGGGCATGATGGTACACAGCTGTAGTCCCAGCTACTTTGGAGGCTGAGGCATGAGGATCACTTGAACCCAGGAGGCGGAGGTTGCAGTGAGCTGAGATAGTGCCACTGCACTCCAGCCTGGGCAACAGAGCAAGACGCTGTCTCAAAAAAAAAAAAAAGATAAAGACTATGTCCAGTTTTGCCTCTAATGCATCCTTAGCATGGATCAGGGGCTCAAAGATATTTATTAATGAGTCCACACACAGTTGTTAATACCTAACTGTTAACATCTCTTTCTTACATTTTTTTTCTTATTCTTGTGACTAATTTCTGCCTCACCTCCTTCAGGTCTCTGCTCACAGTCACCTTCTCGACCTCAGCTATGTAAAATTGAAACTACTGCACCCCCATTCACTTTTTCCTGCCCCGTTCCTTCTTTCCTTCCTTTGTTCATTTTTTCCTTCCTTCCTCCCATCCTTCCCTCCTTTCACCTCTCTCTTTCCTTCCTTCCTTTTCTTTCTTTTTTCTCTTTCTTTTCCTTCCCTTTCTCCCCTCCTTTTCTCCCTCCCTCCTCCCTTACTTTTTCTTTCTTTCCTTCTCTTCCTTCCTTTTCTTTCTTTCTTCTTTTTCTTCCCTCTCTCCCTTCCTCCTTCCCTTTCTCTCTCCCTCCCTCCCTTCTTTCCTTCTTCCCTCCCTCCCTCCATCCCATACTGTCATTTTAATGCCTATAGAAGGGTCTTTTCCTTATAACCTACTGTTGGGTATATTTTGACATTATACATAATGCTACAATCAAATCTTTACATACATTTTCCCTTCACTGGGATTCATTTCTTTGTATTAGATTTCCAGGAGTAGTTTTACTGAGTCAAAAATGAGTACTATTTTAATGGTTTCTTATATATATGGTTTTTCCAAAGGGTTGTATCAATTTACACATTTAACAGCAACGCTGAAGTCTATTCATTTCAATGCACACAGACCAGCATTGGGTTTTATTGTTTTAAAAACATTTTTTGGGCCAGGCACAGTGGCTCATGCCTGTGATCTCACACTTTGGGAGGCCAAGGTGGGAAAATTGCCTGAGCCCAGGAGTTGAAGACCAATGTGGGGAAACTCCATATCTACTAAAAATACAAAAATTAGCCAGACGTGGTGGCACGCACCTGTAGTCCCAGCTTCTATGGAGGCTGAGATGGGACGATTGCTTGAGCCTGGGAAGTTGAGGCTGCAGTTAGCCGTGAGTGCACCACTACACTCCACCCTGGGCAATAGAGCAAGACCCTGTCTCAAAAATATATATATATTTTTTGTTAATTTAATAGACAAAAATGGCATCACCTTATTATTTTTATTCTGGTTTATTTAATGGGAAGTGAAGTTAGTTATTCTATAAATATTCATTGAGCAACTTCTCCATGGCAGAACCTGTGCTGGGTCCGGGGTACTAGTGAGTAAAGCGGATATGTGTTCTGTGCCCTTGAACTTACCACCTGGTGGGGAGTGTCTCTCAGAGTCTACAGAGGAAACAGAGTTCACTCTCCAGCCCCCAGATATTTCAAAGGAAGAGGCATTAAGGAGGAGCTTTGCTGGGTGTGGTGGCTCATGCTTGTGATCCCAGCACTTTGGGAGGCTGAGGTGGGTGGATCACTTGAGCCCAGGAGTTTGAGACCAGCCTGGGCAACATAGTGAGACCCCATCTCTACAAAAAAATCAAAAATTAGCCAGGCGTGGTGGCATATGCCTGTAGTCCCAGCTACTCGGCGGGGCTGAGGCAGGAGGATCACCTGAGTCTGGAAGGTTAAGGATGTAGTGTGCTGTGATCATGTCAATGCACTCCAGCCTGGGCAACAGAGAGAGAACCTGTCTCAAAATAAATAAATAAATATATATATAAAAAGAAAGAAAGAAAGAAAAGAAAAGGAAGGACTTCCTTACAGAGGTGTGGACAGAGTTAACCCATGTGGGATGTTGGGCACCCAGAGGCTAGCAATAGCAGGAAGCCCCTACAATCCTTGGATTGAAGAAATTGCAACATTGGAGCCAGTGGCAGCTGGAACGATGAGGGAGGAGCTGCTGGCAGTAGCTGTCATCACGGAAGGGATCAGCCACTGCCAGAGATGTGGCACCCAAGCAGAGAGCGAATAGGGGAAGAAGATGCCCTTCCTGGGCCTGCTGCGTTTTAAATTATAAAAGTCATGCTACCTTACTCATTCATGAATTCATCTGACATTTCTTGAGGGCTTATGAAGCTAAATAAAATTGGTTTCTGCACTCATGAAGTCTTCCTTTTTACTGTTACTTTTATTATTTGTTTATCCCTTGAGACAGGGTCTCGTGCTGTTGCCCAGGATAAAGTGTCGTGACATGATCATAGCTCACTGCAGCTTCAACCTCCTGGGCTCAATTGATCCTCCCACCTCAGCCTCCTGAGAAGCTGGGACTACAGGTGTGTGCCACCAAACCCAGCTAATTTTTGTGTTTTTAGTAGAGGCAGGGTCTCGCTGTGTTGCCCAGCTGGTCTCAAATTCCTGGCCTCAAGTGTTCCTCCTGCCTTGGCCTCCCAAAGTGCTGAGATTCCAGGTGTGAGCCACTGCACCCAGCCTCAAGAAGTCTTATGTGGAGAAACAGGCTAATAAAAAGACAACTTTTTCAGAACATACATGTGCATCAGTCGAAAATTTTATTTGGTTGCATATAAAATAAAAATGCTGCAGTGGCCCAAGGATGTTCAGCCAAGACCAAGGTCAGCTTGGTCTTTTCCTCATGGTCAGTCTCAGGATGGCTGCTGCTGCTCCAGCCATCACATCAGTGCTTCAGACAGAAAGGAGGAAGAAGGTCAAAGGACAAAGGTCAGTTGAGATCAGCATCCTTATGGTTGATTGGCCAGAACTGTTCATGTGGCCACATCTCTCTGCAAAAGTGCCCAGGAAATGTAGTTCTGTTTTATTGCTGGGTTCTGAAAGCTAGGGAAGTTATGAGGGGATAATGGGTGGGTGGGTAACAGGTGGTCTCCGAAACACTCTATCTCAAGCATCCAGTGCAGTGCCTGCAACATAGTAGAAGCTTAATAATTGTTTGTTGCATGAGTAAATAAACAATAGACTACAGCAGGGCAGTTTGTATGATCAAGGTGGCCGCAAACAACAATGGAAGCAGAGACACAGATTCTAATCCATCCAGCATTGGTGAGGGTTAGGCAGCAAAGAGAGAAAGAAGAGTGGAACTGCCCGTAGTTCCACTACGGCAGCTAGTTAGTGGAGCTAGTTAGGTGTAATCATCTCCTAGCTTGAGAAGTCCTCATCTAGTCTTGCCAAACATCCTATCCCCCACGATTATTTTGTTTTCTCACTTCACGTCTTTCTATAGCTCTGTTATGTTTATCTTTGTGTTCAGACAATCCTGGGTCTTACAGAAGGGTAGATGAAGGCATGGTAATGTTAGATTAAACAGATTCTCACATGAGGAAGGGACTTTGCCATTCTCCGTCTACTCCCTGATGGCATTTTATTGGCTTTGAGAGCTGTAGAAGCTTATTTGGGGATTTTTTTCTGGCAAAATTCCCAGAGAGCAGGGTTTATCTAAACTGGCTAATATGCAGCATTTGCGAATAATTATTAATAGATGTTTGCATTTTCATTCTTTATGAATACTGCTGTGGGGTGATTCTATAATTCAAGGGGGAAGTGGTGAGTGAATTGTTATCTTCCCCCAACACTACCCCCACCCTCCCACTTCCCCGCCCCAGTTTTCTTCCCCTCAGCTGATAGCAGAGCTGTGTCCTCAGACTGCTCATGTCAAAATCCCTGAGACATTCTTGACTCCTCTCCTCCAGGCATCCTCCACTTCCAATCCATAAGCCACACCTGTCTGCTTTACCATCTCAACATAACCAGAATTAACTCACCGTGGTACCCACCTGGTCACGGCCCCCCACCTAACCCAGTGTGGTTTCCTCTTCCTCCCCCTCCCAGCTTCTGCTTTCTTTCCCATCTGCTCTCGTGGCCAGAGGGCACCTGTGAACACCTGAGCCAGGTAACGCCCCTCCTCTGCTCAGAATCTTCCACAGCTCCTCCCTCACTCACGATAGGAGCCAAAGTCCCCCCTGTGGTCCACAAGACCCTGCATGATCTGCACCCATCTACTTCTCGGTGCACACAAAGCACATTCCTGCCCCAGAGCCTTCGCATAGCTGTTCCCTCGTGCTAGAATGCTCTTCCCACGGATTTTTGATGGTATCCTTCCTCGCCGCCTTCAAGTGTCTGCTTGAATTTTATCTTACCAAGGAAGCTTCCCTGATCATCCTCTCTGGATCCCGCTGAAGCGGTGTTGTTGTCTGGGGTAAATCTGCGAAGTTCGTCCTCTCACACCAAGGAAATCGAGGACACGGACACAAGAAGTGGGTTTAGGAGTAGAGGTTTAATAGGCAAAAGAAAGAGAAAGGAGAATAACTCTCTCTCTTGTGTGAGAGGGGCTTCCGAATGGGACTTCCCACCCATGGCAGAGTGCACCAGTTTATAGACAGGCTTGAGGGGGCGGTGTCTGATTTGCATAGGGCCCAAGGATTGGTTGGACCAGGTGTGATGTTTACATAGCACATGGGGAAGCTGGATGGCTCGCCCTAATCTTATGCAAATGGGATCTTTGCCTCGCTGGTGCCATGTTATCTGCTCCTTACTGTACACGTGGCTGACAAAGAGAAGGGAAGATGAGGCCGCCATTTTGAACATGCCTAGTCCCAGGTAGCCTTTTCCTATTGGCACAGCTGCCGGCATTCACCTGGCAAGTTTCCAGCCTGCTTGTCTATGTCTGCAGCTCAATTTTACAGGCTGCTCTTTGTTAGAAAAGAAATAATTTGGGGGCTGCTTTTCATGAAAAGGAAAACCTTATTGAGGACGCTCATACCCTATCTGCCTAAATAATTTCTTCTTAGCTCTTGTATCACCACCCTACATTTCTATAATACATCATGTCTAACATATTGAACAATTATTTGTTTGTTGTCTATTTTTCTGAATTTGACTGTCTGTTCCATGAGGGCAACTATTGGAGGTCATCTCATTCTGGGCTGTATCCCAGGTGCCTAGAACAGCGCCTGGCCCACAGTGGTGTTTAACAAATATACGTAATCTGTGAGGAGTAGAAATATCTCTCCAAATGTTTCTGATGGCAGGGTACATTTCTACAGCCAGTTTGGAAAGACACTGAGAAATATGTATCAAGAGCCATACAAATGTTGCAATTTCGCATCTAATCCAGTAATTCCACACGTGGGATAAAATCCTCACAGCTAAACGCACAAAGACATATCATTACTTATTTCCTTATTGCTTTTAAAAGCATCTCATCAGAAACATTATTAAAAGTTCATTAAAAAAGGAATAAGTAAATAAATTAAATGAATGTAGCCATCAAAGATAATGGTGGTTATAATATGATTTTAAGTAAGAAAGTGCTAGAGGAAACCTATTCATTTCAGAGTACTAAGTACTGGAAAAAGCTGCTTAAACTGAATCCACTGAATACAGGAATCCAAATTTCACAGGGAGCACCGGGTGTGGGGGTGAGGAGAGAGAGGCAATTGGGACTTTGTCCTGTAAAATGAAGCCACACTTTCTAAGCCTCAGTTAATTTTTTAAATTGTGTTCAACAAAGTTTAAATAGTAATTCCAAACATGATCAGCTTCTTAGAATTAACAAAGAATCAAAAGTTGATACAGTCAGCCCTATACACTGAATCCACAGGTTCAACCAACCATGGGTTCAACAAGTTGCAGATGTAAAATGTAATTAGGCCTGCGATGGTTGTGCCTGTACTGAACATGTACAGACTTTTTTCTTGTCATTATTCCCTAAGCAATACAACAACTGTTTACATAGCATTTACATGATCTTGGGTATTATAATTAATCTAGAGATGACTTAAAGCATACTGGGCTAGGCGCAGTGGCTCATGCCTTTAATCCTAGCACTTTGGGAGGCTGAGACAGGAGGATTGCTTGAGGCCAGGAGTTTAAGACTTGCCTGGGCAACATAGTAAGATTATCTCTACAAAAAATATATAAATATATGTGTATATATATATTTCTACAAAATATATATGTGTATATATATATTTCTACAAAATATATATATGTGTATATATATATTTCTACAAAATATATATATGTGTATATATATATTTCTACAAAATATATATATGTGTATATATATATTTCTACAAAATATATATATGTGTATATATATATTTCTACAAAATATATATATGTGTATATATATATTTCTACAAAATATATATATGTGTATATATATATTTCTACAAAATATATATATGTGTATATATATATTTCTACAAAATATATATATGTGTATATATATATTTCTACAAAATATATATATGTGTATATATATATTTCTACAAAATATATATATGTGTATATATATATTTCTACAAAATATATATATGTGTATATATATATTTCTACAAAATATATATATGTGTATATATATATTTCTACAAAATATATATATGTGTATATATATATTTTTTTTTAATTAGCTGAGCATGGTAGTGTACACCTTTAGTCCCAGCTACTGGGGAGGCTGAGGTGGGAGGATCACTTGAGCCTGGGAGGTCGAGGCTGCAGTGAGCCGAGATGGTGCCACTGCACTCCAGCCTGGGCGACAGAGTGAGACCCTGTCTCAAAAAATAAATGAATAATTAATTAATTAAAGTGTGCTGGAGGATGTGCACAGGCTATATGCAAACACGGTGCCATCTTCTATCAGGGACTTGAGCATCTGTAGATTTTGTTATCCGTTGGGGGTTCCTAGAACCAATCCCTCATGGATACTTAGGGATGACTGTATTCAAGCGTGCCTTATTTCCCAACAAAATTATATGGTAGAACAACAGAACCCCTTTCATTTCATCTTTGACTTCAGTGGTGTAATTTTTTTCCCCAACTTTTAAGTTCCAGGGTACATGTGCAGGTTTGTTACATAGGTAAACATGTGCCATGGTGGTTTGCTGCACAGATCATACCATCACCTAGATATTAAGCCCAGCATCCATTAGCTCTTCTTCCTGATGCTCTCCCTCCCACCCCCCACCTTCAAAAAGGCCCCAGTGTGTGTTGTTCCCCTCTATGTGTCCATGTGTTCTCATCATTCAGCTCCCGCTTTTAAGTGAGAACATGCGGTATTTGGTTTTCTGTTCCTGTGTTAGTTTGCTGAGGATAATGGCTTCCAGCTCCATCCACATCCCTGCAAAGGACATGATCTTGTTCCTTTCTATGGTTGCATAGTATTCCATGGTATATATGTACCACATTTTCTTTATCCAGTCTGTCATTGATGGGCATTTAGGTTGGTTCCATGTCTTTGCAATTGTGAATATTGCTGCAATAAACATACACATGCATGTGTCTTTACAATAGAATAATTTATATTCCTTTGGGCATGTACCCGGTAATGGGAGAAAAAGGAATGCTTTTACACTTTTGGTGGGAATGTAAATTAGTTCAACTATTGTGGAAGACAGTGTGGTGATTCCTCAAAAACCTAAAGGCAGTTATGTAATCTTGAACTTTGTTGGGAATCATTTTGTGGGCCAAAACAAGGTGCCTCAGAGGGCTTTTTAAACCATTTGATCATCCATTCATTCCATTTATTTATTTATTTATTTATTTGAGACAGAGTCTCGCTCCCCCGCCCAGGCTGGAGTGCAGTAGCGTGATCTCAGCTCACTGCAACCTCTGCCTCCCAGGTTCCAGCGATTCTCCTGCCTCAGCCTCCCGAGTAGCTGGGATTACAGGCACCTGCCACCATGCCTGGCTACTTTTCTTGCATTGTTAGTAGAGACGGGGTTTCGCCATGTTGGCCAGGCTGGTCTTGAACTTCTGACCTCAGGTGATCTGCCCGCCTCAGCCTCCCAAAGTGCTAGGATTACAGGCATAAGCCACCGCTCCCAGCCCATTCATTTTATTTCAAAGTGTTCATCACTATCATCCACCTGTCATCTCCTTTTCTGTTGTTAACCAGTCTCACTGCAAGTTCCTCACTTAACAATGTTATTCTCTGCATTGCAAGTAGCTCTCCAACATCACTTTCATTGACTTCATGAAATCCTGCTGCCCCTTGCAAAGATTTTCAATGTTCACTCTGCAGTTGTTTCACATAGTTTTGAATTGTGTCATTGAGTTTCAAGCAACCATCAACAATCAGAGATAAACAGTGACAAACACACTGATCTGATGGCTTCCAAAGCAATATTTGTATTACTCCGAAATGGATGGTTGAGGGGGATAATTGTCAAGTTGTCAGTTCATTAGTGACAATTTTTATGTTAGGATGACTTTTGCTTCCCTAAACACATAATGGTGTAAATACTTGGATAATGAGCCGTATAGTGACTACTCAGATGATGGAAAACTATTGTATATAAAATCTTTAAATTATAATTACATGTGTATGAAAAATAAAAACCTAGAGGGGGAGAACCAGACAGAAATACAATAAAATACCCAGTATTTGTATTGGAGAAGTCATGGGAGAGTGGCTTTAAAATATTGTGCTTTTTCTTTTTTTGAGACTGTCTCACTCTGTCGCCCAGGCTGGAGTGGCGCGATCTCGGCTCACTGCAACCTCCACCTCTTGAGTTCAAGTGATTCTCATGCCTCAGTCTCCCGAGTAGCTGGGATTATAGGTGTGCGCCACCACGCCTGCTAATTTTTGTATTTTTAGTAGAGACGGGGTTTTACTATGTTGGCCAGGCTAGTCTCGAATTCCTGACTCAGGTGATCTGCCCACCTCAGCCTCCCAAAGTGCTGGGATTATGGGCATGAGCCACGGTGCCCAGCCTAAAATATTTTAAAATAAAAATTACTTTACTTTTGCAAAAATTTTTAAAACAAATGAAAGAAATTTGATTTATGGCTGGATGCAGTGGTTCACACTTTAGTCCTAGTGCTTTGGGAAGCTGAGGCTTGAACCCAGGAATTCAAGGCTGCAGTGAGCTATGATCGTACCACTGCACTCCAGCCTGGGTGACAAAGTGAGACCCTATCTCTTAAAAAAATAAAAACAAGGAAATTTAAAGAAAACTTTCAGACTCACTGTTTGTTTGTTTGTTTGTTTGAGATGGAGTCTTGCTCTGTCACCCAGGCTGAAGTACAGTGGTACGATCATAACTCACTGCAACCTCAACCTCCTGGGCTCAAGCAATCCTCCCACCTTAGCCTCCAAAGTATGAGGCCACAGGCATGTGCCACCATGCCTGGCTATTTTTTTGGGTGGGGTCTTGCTATGTTGCCCAGGCTGGTTTTGAACTCCTAGGCACAAGCAATCCTCCTGCCTTGGCCTCTCAGATCTCTGAGTTTACAGATGAGAGCCACCACACTGGCCACAATTGTTACATTCAGTGGGAGCTAATGCACTAAAATGTCCAAAGGACACGATTGCTTTTCACATGGTTTTGATATACCAGGAGCCCTCTCAGACTCATGTGGGAGGAGGGGAGTCACTTTGGTGATAATACGTGACTGTAAGTTGGAGGCAGTGAAAATTACCAACACCGCCACCCAGGCTGTGAGCCTATCTAACATGACTTTAATCCACACAATCACCAATCACAAGAACACTGCACTTTCCCTGTTTTACTAAGGAGCACGCTGAGGCCAGAGAGGTTGAGCAGCTTGCCCAAGGTCATACAACTCCAACATATGCCGTGCCGCCTTGTAACACATCTTTAAGCCCAGTTAAATCTCTTTCCCCTGATTCTGGTCCCCCAAGGTGACTTGGTTTTTTCTTGATTTGGGAACAAATAACACTTTTACTCGTAGAGTAACTTGGACAGAATTTATTTTTATGCAGTATTGTTTTCCTCTCAATAACTGCATTTATTTTCGTGTATTGGAGGATTATACCACATTCTTCAGTAGAATTTTAAAATTCTTTTCATAAGGGTTCTTCCCACTCCATAAGTTTATTTTCAATACAGTACTTTATCCTGGTTTGCTTTTGTAAATGAGATTTCCCCCCGTTTTATTCACTGAGTGGTCATCATATATAGTTAGCATTATTATTATTTTATTATTTTTGAGATGGAGTCTTGCCCTGTGGCCCAGGCTGGAGTCCAGTGGCGCAATCTCGACTCACTGCAACCTCCATCTCCTGGGTTCAAGCAATTCTCCAGCCTCTGCCTCCAGAGTAGCTAGGATTACAGGCACGCACAACCACAACTGGCTAATTTTTTTTGCATTTTTAGTAGAGATGGGGTTTCACCATGTTGGCCAGGCTGGTCCTGAACTCCTGACCTCAGGTGATCTGCCCACCTCGGCCTCCCAAAGTGCTGGGACTACAGGTGTGAGCCACTGTGCCCGGCCAAGTTTATTTTCAATACAGTACTTTATCTTGGTTTGCTTTTGTAAATGAGACTTTTTTCCCCATTTTATTCAGTAAGTGGTCATCATATATAGTTATTATTATTATTATTATTTTTGAGACAGAGTCTCACTCTGTCACCCAGGCTGGAGTGCAATGGTGCGATCTCGGCTCACTGCAACCTCCACCTCTTGGGTTCAAGCTGTTCTCCTGCCTCACCATCCCAAGTAGCTGGGATTACAGGCATGCACCACCATGCCCAGCTAATTTTTGTATTTTTAGTAGAGACGGGGTTTTGCCATATTGGTCAGGCCTGTCTCGAATGCCTGACCTCAGGTGATCCGCCCGCCTTGGCCTCCCAAAGTGCTGGGATTACAGGCATGAGCCACCGTGCCCGGGCAGCATTAATTTTTATAATAATTTTTTGGTTTTTTTTTTGAGACAAGGTCTTGCCCTGTTGGCCAGGCTGGAATGCAGTGTCATCATCGTAGCTCACTGCAGCCTCATCCTCCTGCCTCAGCCTCCTGCGTAGCTGGACTACAGGTGTGCACCACTATGCCCTTGTAATATAATTTTTTTTTTTTTTAGAAACAGGATCTCTGCTATGTTGACTAGGCTGGTCTTGAACTCCTGGTCTCAAGCAATTCTCCCACCTTGGCCTCCCAAAGCGCTGGGATTACAAGGATGAGCCACTGTGCCCGATCCAATTTTTATATTAATTTTATAACTAGCCACCTTATGGAATTATCTCATTGTTTCTAATATTTTTATTTAACTTCCTATGTTTTATAATTAGATCATCATTTAATATGCAAATAGTATTAATCTCTATATTTGTTCCTCTTAATTTCCTTTTTTCTATGGATACATAATAATTGTACATATTTATGGAAGGCATGTGATATTTTGACACGTGTCCAAGGAACACACAATCCTCTGAGGCATGCTCTTAAATGAGTGCCTCAGGTGAGAGTTGAGTGATTTCTGTCGGCATGGGATGAAAGCTTTTTCCACAACAAAAGACACAGACGACGCCAAGGAAGGGAAGGCAAGAGACACAGAAGCGAGATTTAATGGTCTGCCAAGTCAACCTATTAAGCTCTCTGTGGGACAACATGCATTTGAACAGTCTGAACACAAATGCGTTCATGTTTTTCTCCACATGTAATTCTTAGGTGAAATTTTTACTCCCACCAATAAGTGATGCTGGGGTCTCTTTTTCTATTACCTTTATTTGATTGTGTCTCCAGTGGGTCTTTTTTTTTTTTTTTTTTTTTTTGAGACGGAGTCACACTCTGTCATCCAGGCTGGAGTGCAATGGCAAGATCTCGGCTCATCGCAACCTTCACCTCCTGGGTTCAAATGATTCTCCTGCCTCAGTCTCTTGAGTAGCTGGGACTACAGGTGCGTGCCACTACACCTAGCTGTAATTTTTGTATTTTTAGTATAGATGGGGTTTCACTATGTTGGCCAGGCTGGTCTCAAACTCCTGACCTCATGATCCACCCGCCTTGGCCTCCCAAAGTGTTGGGATTACAGGCGTGAGCCACCGCGCCTGGCCTCCAGTGGGTCTTTTTCTGTTTTTGCCTTCTCTGTTTCTGGAGCACCAGGTGCTTTCCTGGACACGAGAAGCAATTTCTTTTTTTTTTTTTAACTTTTAATTGTATTATTATTATTTTTTATTTTACCGTAAGTTCCAGGATACATGTGCAGAATGTGCCGGTTTGTTACATAGGTGTACTTGTGCCATGGTGGTTTGCTGCACCCATCAACCCATCATCTAGGTTTTAAGCCCCGCATGCGCTAGGTATTTGTCCTAATGCTCTCCCTCCCCTTCCCCACCACTGCCTGACAGGCCCCAGTGTGTGATGTTGCCTTCCCTGTGTCCATGTGTTCTCATTATTCAGCTCCCATTTATGAGTGAGAACATGTGATGTTTCGTTTTCTATTCCTGTGTTAGTTTGCTGAGAATGATGGCTTCCAGTTTCATCCATGGCCCTGCAAAGGACATGATCTCATTCTTTTTTATGGCTGTATAGTATTCCATGGTGTGTATGTGCCACATTTTATTTATCTAGTCTATCATTGATGGGCATTTGGGTTGGTTCCAAGTCTTTGCTATTGTAAATAGTGCTGCAAAAAACATATGTGTGCATGTGTCTTTATAGTAAAATGATTTATAATCCTTTGGGTATATAGCCAGTAATGGGATTGCTGCGGCAAATGATAGTTCTGGTTCTAGATCCTTGAGGAATCGTCACAGTCTTCCACAATGGTTGAGCTAATTTACACTCCCATCAACGGTGTAAAAGCGTTACTATTTCTCCACAGCCTCGCCAGCATCTATTGTTTCCTGATTTTTTAATAATTGCCATTCTGGCTGGCGTGAGATGGTATCTCACTGTGGTTTTGATTTGCATTGTAAGAGGCAATTTCAACTGCACTCAGTAAAGAGGATTGCCAATGAAGTCAGTGTTTATTTTCCACTACCCTGTGCTTGGCCTGTCACATATAGAGGGAGGGCATTGTTCCATCCTTTCGTGATCCCATGGGGTGTGTCCTGTCCTCATCCTCATTTTGCAGGTGAGGAAACTGAGGCTCAAAGAGGTGAAATGATAGTTCAAACTCACATAAGTAGAACCCAGCATGGATGTTAGCATGGTATTATTATTCTTTGTTGCTGTTGCATTGTTTCTAGATGAGGAAACCATTTCTAAGGGGTCATGGAGCTCAGAAGTGCAGGGCTGGGGTAGCCATCCAGGCAAGCACTCTCCAACAGAAATACAACAAGGGATCAGGGTGCTGTGGCTCATGCCTATAATCCCAGCTCTTTGGGAGGCTGAGACGGGAGGATTGCTTGAGGCCAGGAATTCAAGGCTGCAGTGAGCTATGATCGTGCCACTGTGTTCCAGCCTGAGCAACAGTGAAACCCTGTCTCTAAAGAAAAAAGAAAAAAGAAGCCAAGCACGGTGGCTCATGTCTGTAATCCCAGCACTTTGGTAGGCCAAGGTAGGGGGTGGATCACTTGAGGCCAGGAGTTCAAGACCAGCCTGGCCAACATGGTGAAACACCAACTCTACTAAAAATACAAAACTTAGCCAGGTGTGGTGGCAGGTGCCTGTAACCCCAGCTACTCGGGAGGCTGAGGCAGGAGAATTGCTTGAACCTGGGAGGCAGTGGTTGCAATGAGCCGAGAGCATACTGCCGCACTCCAGCCTGGGTGACAGAGCAAGACTCCATCTCAAACAAACAAACAAAAAGAAGTGCAGGGCTTGGTAGTCATCCGATAAGCACTGTCCAACAGAAATACAACAAGGGGTCAGGGTGCTGTGGTTCATCCCTGTAATCCCAAGTCTTTGGGAGGCTGAGGTGGGAGGATTTCTTGAGGCCAGGAATTCAAAGCTGCAGTGAGCTATGATTGTGCCGTTGTGTTCCAGCCTGGGCAACAAAGTGAGACCCTGTCTCTAAAAAAAAAAAAACAAGAAAGAAAAGAAAACAAAAGAAATACAAGGATCACATATGTAATGTTAAATTTTCAGGTAGCCTCGTTAGAAATGGTAATAAGAAACAGGTGAAGCTAGTTTTAATAATATATTTTTAACCCAATATATTGAAAATGTTACTTCCACATGAGATGAACATATAAACTATTGAGATATTTCAGACTTTTAAAAACATTAAGTCTTCAGGTTGGGCACAGTGGCTCATGTCTGTAATCCTAGCACTTTGGGAGGCCAAGACAGGCAGATTGCTTGAGTTCAGGAGTTCCAGACCAGCCTGGACAACATGACAAAACCCCATCTCTACAAAAAGTTAGCTGGGCATAGTGGTATGCACCTGTAGTCCCAGCTACGAGGGAGGCTGAGGCAGGAGGATCTCCTAAATCCAGGAGGTCAAGGCTGCAGTGTGCCATGATCACGCCACTGCACTCCAGCCTGGGCGACAGAGTGAGAACCTGTCTCAACAAACAAACAAACAGAAACAAAAATCTTCAATATCTGGTGTGTATTTTATGCTTTACTGATCTCAATTCAGATGAGTCACATTTCAAGCACTCAGTGGCCACATGTGGCTTATGGCTAGGTTTTGGATAGTGTGTGTGGGTCTAAATCTTTGACGAGTATTTCTGGTATTTTTTGGTGACACAATAAGGCTCAGGTAGTAAACATATCGGGGGTACCTGATATATGCTTGTTTTGTCATACAAAACCCTTTGCTTTTGGTCTGGATATTTGACCCCTCCAAATCTCATGTTGAAATTTAATTCTCAATGTTGGAGATGGGGTCTAGTGGGAGGTGTTTGGGTTATGGGGGCAGATCACTCATGAAGGGCTTGGTATTTTCCTCTCAGTAATGAGTAAGTTCTTGCTCTATTAATTCCCCCAAGAGCTGGTTGTTCAAAAGACTCTGGCACTTCTCTCTGCTCTCTCTTGCTTCCTCTGTCATCATGTGGTCTCTGTACATGCCAGCTCCCTTTCACCTTCTACCATGATGGAAGCAGCCTGAGGCCCTCACCAGAGGCAGATGCCTGTACCAACTTTCTTGTACAGCCTGCAGGACTGTTGACCAAACAAACCTCTTTTCTTTATAAATTGCCCAGCCTCAGGTATTCCTTTATAGCAACACTAATGGACTAAGACACCTTTCATACTCTTTTTTGATGAAGGAAGGAAGGAGAAAGGAAGGAAGGAAGGAAGGGAGGAAGGAAGGAAGGAAAAAAGGAAGTCCTTCCTAAAAATATTTCCCCCAATATGGAAAAAAAACCTTTGTATGTAACACCATTAAGTATTGCCCCAGCAGAAGCAGCCCCATGTCTTGAGCTGGAAGGAAGGAAGGAAAGAGAGAGAAAGAAAGGAGAATGAGAGGAAGAAACAAGAGGAAGAAATGGAAGGAAGGAAGGAAGGAAGGAAAATGAAAGGAAGGAAGTTCAGTGGAGGATCCAGGAAAACTGCCCTGAATGCCCTGAAGTTCCTTCCTTCTGCCTAAATATTTTGAAGTAGCTAACAGAATCTGTCCAACTCCATTGTCTTAGTTTGAATCCCGCCCCCCAACTCCCAAGAAGCAGATCCAGAAGCAGAGATTTGAATGCTTCTGGAGGAGATCCCAAAACACACTGGCAGAAAAGTAGGAAAGGGAAGACCCAGTGATAAGTGAGTCATCAGGCAAGTTACCACCATGAGCAACTGGGTCTCAATTACCAGTGGGGACCTCTGGGAGGCAGCAGAGAGCACATTCCTCAGCGTTGTTGCATGCTAGTGGTGAGGGAGCTGGGGTATTGATCCATCAACTCCCATCCATCATAAGTTAAAGGATGGGAGTATTAATTCTCTAACACCACAGACTGCTGAGTGGACACTTTGATAGCCAGAGAAAATGCCCTGGGGGCTGGCAGGGGGAAGTCAGACCTGCATGCACTCAAGTGGTCAGGGCATGGCTGGACAGTGTTTGCTGCACCAGTGTAGTACCTACTTCCTTATAATTCAAAAAGTTTACTTTTTGTACCACAAGCCCTTGTGAACTTTATGTCCATTAACTTTGTGACAGTCTGGCTGCCATATGGGACATGAGATGATTTAGTTGTTATTTCAGTGACGGAAAAGGCAGAACAGCTATGGAAGGAGATCACAGATGTATGCATATATTTATGTGTAACCTTGCAAACATGTGCGTGTGCTCCCATTCTTGTTGTCACCAAGCCTAACTCTCTTACCACATTCTCTGTTGTCTTCCCCGGATACATACAAGCTCTTTTTTAGTCGTTGGGCAAAACAGAAGAAAATAAAAGGACCAAGTCTCCATTTTCTGGGGAAATCATGCTATTCTCCTTCTAAGGAGGCATCAGAATCAAATGCCCCCTACCTGTGTCCCCAGCTTCATTCTCTCTCTCTCCCCATTGGAAAATAATTTGTATTGGTTTCTGGCTAATCTTTTGTTTCTTCTTGAGAATATGAGCAAAATGGTTTTTCTTTTTTTCATGTATTTCTGTCTCTTTCTTTCATAAAGATAGCTCAACACCTGCACTTCTCTGCAACTTGCCCTTTTCACTTCTGGAGGTGTTGGGTTTCTATTTTGACCTCTCTTCATGGCTGAGGCTGAGGCAGTGAACAAGACAGACAGGAGCTTTGAGGTCCTATAACTCGAAACATTTTAAGAGCCCCAATGTGCCTTTACAAGAGGAAACATCTTTGAGGCAAGTTTCATAAAATCAACGTATTAACCATGTCTTTTTGCTCGTTTGTTTGTTTTTTGAGATGTAGTCTCACTCTCACCCAGGCTGGAGTGCAGTGGCATGATCTCAGCTCACTGCAAGCTCTGCCTCCCAGGTTCAAGAGATTCTCCTGCCTCAGCCTCCCAAGTAGCTGGGACCACAGGCACCCGCCATCACACCAGGCTAATTTTTGTATTTTTTGTACAGACAGAGTTTCACCATGTTGGCCAGGCTGGTCTCGAACTCCTGACCTTGAGTGATCCACCCACCCCCCTCCACCTCCCAAAGTGCTGGAATTACAGGCATGAGCCACTGTACCCGGTCTTAACCATGTATTTCTGATTCTCTGATATGTGGGGCTTTGCTGACCCTACAAGGATGCCCCCTCCCAGAGCTAGACAATTTCTAGATAGTAAAGAGCCTTTTACATGCAAACCAACCAATCCAGATCTACACCCCCAACCATCTCCTTTCTTGGGCTCTCACATGCTGGGACACTATTCCCCTGCTCTAATGATCTCAGAGCCAGGTACCAAACAACGAGGGGCAACTCCCATGCCCCGAAGCCCTCACCCTGCCTGGCTCATTCCTTCCCATGGAAACCACAATAAAGGCTCTTGCCCACATGTTTTCTTTATTCCCTCGGTCCCTGGCCCAGCCCTGGTGCTTCCCTGTGTGGCCCTGCATAGCATGGGCGTGCCCCTTCTTCTTGGACCTGTGAGTAACAAACTGTCTTTTCAATGGCAGTCATCCCCTGATCTAGTGGCCTTGCCATACCTGAATAATAATAAAACTGGGCTGGGTGCAGCGGCTCATGCCTGTAATCCCAGCAATTTGGGAAGCTGAAGTGGGAAGATTGCTTGAGACCAGGAGTTCAAGACCAGCCCTGGCAACATAACAAGATCCCTATTTCTACAAAAGAAACCCGGAAAAATTAGCCAGGCATGGTGGCACACGCCTGTAGTCCCAGCAATTCAGGAGGCTGAGGTGTGAGGTTTGCTTGAGCCCAGGGGGTTGAGGCTGCAGTGAATCTCCCCCATGATCATGCCATGGCATCCAGCCTGGGCAATAGAGCAAAAACCTGTCTCAAAAAGATAACAATAATAATAAAACCTACATTTTAAAACAATAAAGGCCCAACATGGAATGCCAGCCCCATAATCCCCATCACCTCCCTGCCCTCATGTCCTATTCTCTCCACTCCAGCCACACAAGCCTCCTTAATGTTCTTCAAGCATGCCAGGCATCTTCCATCTAGGCCTCTGCCTATGCTGTTCCCTGTGCCTGCGATGCTCTTCCTTCAGATAGCAGCACGTCTTTTCCTGCCTTCATGTCTCTGCTCAAATATCACCTTCTTAGAGCAGTCTTTTGCAAAATAGCTCCCACTCTGACCCTTACCTGCTTCTTTCTTTCTTTCTTTTTCTTTTTTTCTTTCTTTCTTTCTCTCTTTTCTTTTCTCTTTCTTTCTTTTTCTTTTTTCTTTTTCTTTCTTTCTTCTTTCTTTCTCTCTTCCCTCCCTCCCTCCCTTCCTTTCTTCCTTCCTTCTCTCTCTCCCTTTCCTTCCTTCCTTCCCTCTCTCTCCTTCCTTCCTTTATTCCTTCCTTCTCTCCCTTTCCTTCCTTCCTTCCCCCTCTCTCCTTCCTTCCTTCCTTCCTTCCCTCTCTCTCCTTCCTTCCTTCCTTTCTTCTTTCAACAGGGTCTTGCTCTGTCACCCAGGCTGGAGTGCAATGGTGTGATCTTGGCTCACTACAACCTCCGCCTCCTGGGTTCAAGCAATTCTCATGCCTCAGCCACCCAAGTAGCTGGGATTACAGGCATGCACCACCATCCCCAGCTAATTTTTGTATTTTTAGTGGAGACAGAGTTTCTCCATGTTGGCCAGGCTGATTTCTAACTCCTGGCCTCAAGTGATCCACCAGCCGTGGCCTCCCAAAGTGCTGGGATTACAGGCGTTAACCACCACACCTGGCCTCCATTTTTCTTATAAAAACTATCTTTACCTGACAGATGATAAATCTGCCTGAGTTTATTTGTCTGATTTCTCTGCCCTAAACAGTGAGTTTCCTAAGAACAGGAAATTATTTGCTCTATTAATGGATGTGCCTGGGATAGGATCTGGTATAGAATAAATGCATAATCAACATATGTCAAATGAATGAATGAACAGATGAAGCTGATAATTTTTCTCAAGCTTTCTAGGTGAAATAGTGCACTTGATCCTATCGTTGGTAACTTTATCTCCAGGTGTGGTAAAACTTGTTATTTTGCAACCTGGGGACACCTTGCTCGGTTCTTACTCAAGAAAAACCAGCCGGGCGCGGTGGCTCATGCCTGTAATCCCAGTACTTTGGGAGGCTGAGGCGGGAGGATCACAAGGTCAGGAGTTCAAGACCAGCCTGAGCAACATGGTGAAACCCTGTTTCTACTAAAAACACAGAAACTAGCCGGGCGTGGTGGTGGGCGCCTGTAATCCCAGCTATTCAGGAGGCTGAGGCAGGAGAATTGCTTGAACCCAGGAGGTGGAGGTTGCAGTGAGCCGAGACCGTGCCGTTGCACTCCTGCCTGGGCGACAGAGTGAGACTCTGTCTCAAAAAAAAAAAAGAAAAAAGAAAAACTAAGATCTGCATTTCCATAAGCAGGTGTAGCTCATTTGATTAAATTTCCCTTGCTAACTTCTTAGGATACACATGAATATATAACTAAGCATTTAATCAAGCTCCTGACTTACCAGAGGGGTTAGATGCTGAATATAATTTGTAATTGCCTAAGAATATAGTAAGCTTGAGTACTTTTGTTTCCATAATTAAGTGTGAGGCCCTTGTCTCAATGTGAATTAAGAATACTTCAAGCACTTTATATGAAAAGTAAATTTATTTTCTTTTGGAAAAGTTCAAACACATATGAAAGAAGAGAAAATAGAATGATATCCCACCCAATTCCTATAACCCATCTTCAATAATTATCAACTCATAACACATCTTGTATTTCTCTAGCCCAAACTTAAACATAACCTTAATTTGCAAATTGAAGCAAACCTTTAATTTGCTCTAACATAACCCTGGGTTGTGTTTAACCCTGTTAAAGGAAATCTCAGACATCGTATGATTTCATCTGCAAATATTTTAATATGTACTTCTCAAAGCTAAGGACTCTGCAGCCGCTGCAGAAAATGGTATGGTGATTCCTCAAAAACTCAAATATAAAGTTAATGTATAATCCAGCAATTTTACTTCTGGGTGTAAACCTCAAAGAAATGAAAGCAGGGGCTCAAACAGATGTTCCTTTGTACATCCATTTCATAGCAGCGGTATTCACAATAACCAAAAGGTGGAAGCAACACAAGTGTGTGTCAACAGGTGAATGGATAAGCATTGTGTTGTATATCCATATGAAGGAATATTATTCAGCCTTAAAAAAGGAATGAAATTATGACACATGCTACGACATGAATGAACCTTGAGGACATAATGCTAAGTGAAATCAGCCAGTCACAGGAAGACAAATACTGTATGATTCTGTTTATATGGGGTCCCTAGAGTGGTTAAATTCATAGGGACAGAAAGTAGAAGAGTGGTTGCCAGGGGCTGGGGGAGAGGGAATGGGAAGTTAGTGTTTAATGGGGACAGAGTTTCAGTTTGGGAAGATGAAAAAATTCTGGACACGAATCATGGTGACGGTTACACATCTATGTGAATGTACTTAATGCCACTGAAACGTACACCTTAAAAATGGTTAAAATGATCAAGTTTTTATTATGCATATATATTTTTTGAGACAGAGTTTCGCTTTGATTGCCCAGGCTGGAGTGCAATGGAGCAACCTCGGCTCACTGCAACCTCCACCTCCCTGGTTCAAGTGATTCTTCTGCCTCAGCCTCCCCAGTAGCTGGGCTTACAGGTGCCCGCCACCACTCCCAGCTAAGTTTTTGTATTTTTAGTAGAAACGGGATTTCACCATGTTGGCCAGGCTGGTCTCGAACTCCTGATTTCAGGTGATCTACCCACCTTGGCCTCCCAAAGTCCTGGGATTACAGGCATGAGCCACTGTACCCGGCTATGATGCATATTTTTCCACAATAAAAGAAAAAGCTAAAGAGTCACTTATGTTGCATGTTGTCCTCACTCTGGAGCTAGTCTTAAGGAGCGTTTGCCACCTGGAGCTTTGCCAGTTCCTATGCAGAAGAAAAAAGTGGTGTAGAGCACTGCCGTGGACCACTTTCAAAAGTTCAATAGAACTTTCCAAAAATGTTCCCTATCTCCAATGTTTAATAAAGTAGCTACTAGATACATGTAGCTTTTGAGGACTAGAAATATGGCTTGTACCACTGAACAACAGGATTTTAAATGTTGTTTAATTTTGATAGCCACATGTGGCTACTGCCTTGGACACTGCAACATTAGAGAGATTTGTATTGGTTATTAAATGCTTCAACCTGGGAGTGACATGTTTCATTTCCACTGAGAACTCATTGGTCAGAATTAGTCACATGACCCCAGCAGACCACAAGGGGGCCAGGAAATGCCAGCTTACATCTTACACATGCCTGTATATGGAGAACTGGAAATATTTGGTGAACAGCTCTAATGCCTGTCTCAGAGAATAAATCTTTTTGAGATCCAGAAAGGAGAAAAATTGGCTATTTTATTTCAGGAAGAGAAGATAAGAAATATGGAGACTTAATGTATTATCTATTGCTGTGTAACAATTTACCAAAGCCTTGGCAGCTTTAAGCAACATTTATTTCACAGTTTATGTGAGTCAGGAACCAGGGTGCAGCAGTTTCAGGGTCTCTCTTGAGGCTGCAATCAAGGTATCAACTGGGGCTTCGTTCTCATCTTAAGGCTTGACTGGGGGAAGATGTGATTTCAAGCTTAAACTTGTGGCTGTTGGCAGAATACTATGGAAAAGGAACACTCAGAGAACAATTATAGCAATACCAAAAGCCTCTTGAAATTAAAAAATATAAAAGCATAAATAAAAAACTGAACAAAAGGTGGAAAGATAAAATTAGAGAAATCTCTCAAAAAGAAGATTAAGACACAATGGAAATACAAAATAGAAGGAAAGGAACAGATAAGAGAATCAGTCCAGAAAGTCCAACATCTAAATAATAAGTTTAAAAGAGAATCATGAAAAAAGGGTGAGAATCTTAGCTGGGTGTGGTGGCACACTCCTATAGTCCTCAGGAGCCTGCGGTAGGAGGACTGTTTTGAGCCCAAGAGTTCGAGGCTGTAATAAGCTATGATCACACCACTGCACTCCAGCCTATGTGACAAAGTAAGACCTTGTCTCTAAAAAAAGGGGGTAACAATCATCATACTAAGTGCCCAGTACAATGACTGAAAATAGACCTAAACTAACTTACATCATAATAAAATTTTAGAACACAATGGAAAAAGATTCTAAAAGCTACTAGAGAAAAAAAATGAGGTCATATACAAGAAATCAGGAGTAAGAATGCTTCAAACTTCCCAACAGCAATACTGGAATTGAGAATACGTTGGAGCAATACTTCACATTTTTGAAGTAAAATGATCTCCAAACCAGAATTCTATACCCAGCCAAACTACCAATGAGGTATAAAGCTAAAACAATAGCATTTCATACATAGAAGTCTCCAATATTTACTTCCTGAGACAGATTAGACTGTTCAAAAATGGCTGCACAATGGCTCCCATTTTACACTTGCTTAGAATTTTATCACTTCCCCATAAAGGATTGGAATCTATATTCTCTCCCTTTGAACCTGGGTGAACCTTTGTGACTGATTCAACTAATAGAGTAGGGAAGGAGTGATGCTTTGTGACTTCCAAGGTTAGCTCATAAAAGGAGATGCAGCTTCTGCCTGGCTCTCTCCCTTGAGACATGTGCCTTTGGAGTCCTGAACTGGCATAAGAGAAGTTCAGCTATCCTGAAGTTGCCATACTGGAGATGCCATGTGGAGATACCACATAGAAATGGAGATAGATGCTTGAGAAACCTCAGTTGTTTGAGTCTTTCCAGCCTAAGTTCCAGCCCTGTGACTGAGGAAGCCTTTGAGATGACCCTAGTCCCTCTCGCCATCTGACTGTATTTGCATGAAAGACCCCAAGTGAAAACCACTCAGATGATCCCAGTTGACCACCCAAATCACAAAATGTGATAATAAAAATGAATGTTGCTGTTTTATGCTACTAAGTTTGGGCTGGTTTTTATGCAGCAATAGGTAACTGGAAAACCTCTCATGCATCCTTTCTTAGGAAGCTACCAGAGGATGTGCTTCACCCAAACAAGGGAGTAAACCAAGAAGAGGGAAACAGAGAACACTGGACTTAAGAAATCCAACAATGAGAAGCAAAGGGAATCTCCTGGATGATGATAAAGAGAGAGCCCAGGATGAAAGCTGTATGCCAGGGAAAGTCCTGATTAGACCATGTGACAAGTCTTCAGGAAAGACTGCTTCTGGATGATAAAATGAACTGAATACCTGTTAAGAGACTTGGGGGGTCAAATTTGCAATAAGTACCAAACAAAGAAGATTAAAAAATGATAAGTCCCAAGGGAAACAATATGTTGTAAAGAAAAAGTAGCTATAGTTTGTTCATGACATAACTGTAACTTGCCTTGTACATGATAATATAAACACCGAATCTTCCTCACTTTGTGAAAGAACAATATTGGGCAAATGCGCAGGTTTTGGAAAGTTCCATGTGTAGGGGGATGGAGGGAGAAATTAGCAAAATCCTCCTTTTCTATAGCTAATACCTATAAAGTGCTACAACACCCAGACAGGATACTTCTTTGTTGCTTTCATTATAATATCCTTGGGTATTGCTGTTGGCTATTTCTTAATACTACTTAAATATTCACAAGTGTACGACTTGTTTTCCCAACCTAACTATAAGCTCTTTGATAGTTAATGCTTCTCTATATTATCTGTAGTGGCTGGCATAGTATGCTACGCATAGTATGTGGTCAGTTTGAGAAATATTAGTTGAATAAAATAATAGTGTTGGAACAAATAAATAATGACTAAAACTGAAAAATTTAAAAGTAGAAAGAAGTAAGTGAATGAACGATGTGGGGCTTGGTGTGGTGGCTCATACTTGTAATCCCAGTGCTTTGGGAGGCTGAGGCAGGAGGATTGCTTGAGACTAGGAGTTCGAGACCAGCCTGGGCAACACAACAAGACACTACCTCTACAAAAACAAATAATAAAATTAGCCAGGTGTGGAGGTGTGCATCAGTAGTCCTAGCTACTCAGGAAGATGAGGTGGGAGGATTACTTGAGCCCAGGAGTTTGAGGCTGCAGTGAGCTGACATTGCACCACTGCACCCCAGCCTGGGTAACAGAGTGAGACCTCCATCTCTGAAACAAACAAACAAAAACCCAATATAAATAATATGGTAGTAAATAGCAAAATAATCAGCTAAAGGGAACCAGGCACAGAAACACAAATATCGCATGCTGTCATTCATATGTGGGAGCTTAAAAAAAAAAAAAAAAAAAAGAAGTCATGGAGGTAGAGAGTAGAGTGATAGTTACCAAAAGCTGGGAAGGGTAGTGGGGAGGGTGGAATAAAGAGGAAATGATTAATGGGTACAAAAATAGAGTTAGATAGGAGGAATAAAATCTAGTGCCTGGCAGCACAATAGGGTGACTATAGGTAACAATAATTTATGTTCCCATCACAAAGAAATGGTAAATCCTTTCTTAAAAAATACTTTTAAGTTCAGGGGGTATATGTGTAAGATTGTTATATAGGTTACCTTGTGTCCTGGAGTTTGTTGTACAGATTATTATTATTAGTTTTCGCGGCAGAGTCTCACTCTGTTGCCCAGGCTGGAGTGCAGTGGCACCGTGTCGGCTCACTGCAAACTCCGCCTCCCGGGTTCAAGCGATTCTCCTGCCTTGGCCTCCTGAGTAGCTGGGATTTCAGGCACCTGTCACCACTCCCAGCTAGTTTTTGTGTTTTTAGTAGAGATGGGGTTTCACCATGTTGGCCAGGCTGGTCTCGAACTCCTGACCTCAGGTGATCCGCCCTTCTTGGCCTCCCAAAGTGCTGTGATTACAGGTGTAACAGATTACGCCTGTAATCTGGGTACTAGGTCTTAAGCCTAGTACCCATTAGTTATATTTTTAATCCTCTCCCTCCTCCCACACTAAACCCTCCAATTAGGCCCCAGTGTGTGTTGTTCCCCTCTATGTGTCCATGTGTTCTCATCATTTAGCTCCGACTTATAAGTGAGAACATGCGGTATTTGGTTTTCTGTTCCCGCATTAGTTTGCTAAGGATCATGGCCTCCAGCTCCATTCATGTCCCTGCAAAACACACGATCTTGTTCTTTTATGGTTGCATAGTATTCCAGGATATTTATGTACCATGTTTTCTTTATTCAGTCTACCGTTGATGGGCATTTAGGTTGATTCCATGTCTTTGCTATCGTGAATAGCGCTGCAATGAATACGCGTGCATGTGTCTTTGTAATAGAACAATTTATATTCCTTTGGGTATATACCCAGTAATGGGATTGCTGAGTGTAATGGTATTTTTGTTTTTAGGTCTTTGAGGAATCACCACACTGTCTTCCACAATGGTTGAACTAATTTACACTCCCAACAACAGTGTATAAGCATTCCTTTTTCTCCACAAGCTCATCAGCATCTGTTATTTTTTGACTTTTTAATAATAGCCAAGAAATGGTAAATGCTTGAGGTGGTGGATATCCCAGTCACCCTAATTTGATCATTACACGTTGTATGCTTGTATCAAAATGTCACATATACCCCATAGATAGGCACAACTATTATATATCCATAATGATTTTTAAAATCAGCCAAAAGGTGGCCAGGTTCAGGGGCTCATGCCTGTAACCCCAGCACTTTGGGAGGCTGAGGAAGGCAGATCACTTGAGGTCAGGAATTTGAGACCAGCCTGGCCAACATGGCAAAACCCCGTCTCCACCAAAAATACAAAAAACTAGCCGGGTGTGGTGGTGGGTGCCTATAAGCCTAGCTACTTGGGAGCCTGAGGCAGGAGAATCACTTGAACCTGGGAGGCGGAGGTTGCAGTGAGCCAAGATTGTGCCACTGCGCTGCAGCCTGGGTGACAGAGCAAGACTCCTTCTCAAAAAAGAAAAAAAAATCAGCGAAAAGTGTTGATAGTGAGTATCTTTCAGGAGGGGGATATGAAACATGGAGGGAGGCAGGGGGCTGCTATTTTGCATAACAAAACCTGTTTCAGAGACGCATTTGACTCTAATTCCCAATGGCAGCACCCTCTATTCCCTTTCCTGCTTTGTTTCTCTCCTTAGCACTTAGCCTCATCTGACATACTATGTATTTTCCTTATTATTTACTCTATTTATTCCTCATCTCCATTCAACTCCACGACAACGGGAAATTCTGTCTGCCTTGTTCTGTGCTGGCAAAATTACTGGGCACATGGCAGATGTTCCATACAGTCAGGAGAATGAATGAACCTTGTGCCTCTGCAATTTTTGTAGCCACTCATTTATTTTAACTTTTTATTTTGTTGAAATTTCAGATTTACCAAAAAGTTGTAAGACTGGTACAAAGAAGTCGCCTATATCACTTATCCAGGTTTCTCAAATGTTAACATTTTACCACTTACACTTTACTTTATCCTCTCTCTCTCTCTTTCTCTCCTTACCCCAACCGTTGACCACTGAGAGTAATTTGTAGATATCATGGCCCTTTAACCCTATATAATTCAGTGTGTTTCCCAAAACAGGGCATTCTCTTACATAAGCACAGCACAATGATCAAAATTAGGAAATTAGCATATGAACACTGTTATTATGTAATCTACAGATCTTATTCAGATGTCACCAATTGTTCCAATAGCGTCCTTTGTAGCAAAAGGAGGTCCTGGCTCACTTGTTGAATTTGGTCAGTCACATTTCCTTTACTCTGGACCAGTTGTTCTGTCTTTATCTGGGCTTCACGACATTAACACTTCCAAAGAATACTTATTGTATAAAGTGCCCCTTAATCTGAACATGGTTGTTTACCAATTATTCAAATCATGCATTTTTGGCAGAAGTTCCTAGAAGCGATGTTGCAGCCTTCTTGGTATGTCATTCTAGGAGGCACGTGATTTGCCCGTCACTTGCTTATCTGCCAGGGTGCTCCACTATCAGGTTACTGTTTTGACCATTAAAATTAACAGTTGTCTTTGGGAAGATACTCTGACACTATGTAAATGATCTGTTATCCCTCAAACTTTCATTATCCCCTGATAGTTCTTGTATGTTTTTATGGTAGTTGCCAAATTGCCTACATATATAACTTTTTTTTTTTCTTCAGAAATACGGTCTTATTCTGTCACTGAGGCTGGAGTACAGTGGCAAGATCATAGCTCACTACAGCCTTGAACTCCTGGGCTCAAGAAATCCTCCTATCTCAGACTCCAGAGTAGCTGGGACTACAGGCGAGTGCCACCATGCCCCGCTAATTTTTGTTATTTTTTGTAGAGATGGGATTTTACTATGTTGCTCAGGCTGGTCTCGAACTCCTCAGCTCAAGTGATCTGCCTGCTTCAGCCTCCCAAAGTTCTGGAATTATAGGCATGAGCTACTGTGCCCGGCCTCCTTATGAAAGAATTCTAAAGAATACGGATAGATACTTCCCAGTCCAGAAGGGGATATTTATCCCTCTTCCTCCACTTCATGTGGGTAGGCCTTAGTGACTGTTCAGAAGGTAGAGTAGGTATTGGGAAAAACAGTAGCTTGATGGTGGAGAAACTTGGCAGACACCACCTTAACCAAGGGATCGAGGTTAACATCACTAATGGTAAGTCATGTAACTATCTTACACCCTGATCTGATGCAAAGAGAACGGCACTGCACCTCTGTGCAATGGTCTTCTCTCAAATCCATTATTCCAGTTTAATCATGAAAACAGACAAACCCAAGGTGAGGGACGTTCTACAAAGTACTTGATCAGTACTCCTAGACATTATTAAGGTTGTGAGAAACGAAGAAACAGATCAGAGGAGACTAAGGAGACAAAATGAGGCTGGGCACAGTGGCTCCCACCTGTAATCCCAACACTTTGGGAGGCCAAGGTGGGAGGATTGCTTGAGCCCAGGAGTTTGAGACCAGCCTGGACAACAGAGTGAGACCCTGTCTCTACAAAAAATTAAAAATTAGTTTGGGGCTGGGCGCGGTGGCTCACGCCTGTAATCCCAGCACTTTGGGAGGCCGAGGCGGGAGGATCACGAGGTCAGGAGATCAAGACCATCCTGGCTAACACGGTGAAACCCCGTCTCTACTAAAAATACAAAAAAAAATTAGCCCGGCGAGGTGGCGGGCGCCTGTAATCCCAGCTACGCGGGAGGCTGAGGCAGGAGAATGGCATAAACCCTGGGGGGCGGAGCCTGCAGTGAGCCGAGATCGCGCCACTGCACTCCAGCCTGGGAGACAGCAAGACTCCGTCTCAAAAAAAGAAAAAAAAAAAGAAAAAAAAATTAGTTTGGTATGGTGTTTTGTGCCTGTGGTCTCAGCTACTAGGGATGAAGACAAGGCTTCTTACCCTACAGGTTGCTGTAGGGATGAATTAAGATCAAGCAGAGGCCAGGTGTGATGGTTCATGACCATAATCCCGGCACTTTGGGAGGCCGAGGTGGGTGCATCGCTTGAGCCCAGAAGTTAGAGACCAGCCTGGGCAATATGGTGATACCCCATACCTACTAAAAATACAAAAATTATCGGAGCATGGTAGCACATGCCTGTAGTCTCAGCTACTCAGCTACTCAGGAGGCTGCAGTGGGAGGATCGCTTGAACCCAGGAAGTCGAGGCTGCAGTGAGCCGTGATTGTGCCACTGCACTCCAGCCTGTACAACAGAGTGAGAGCCTGTCTCAAAGAAAAAAAAAAGTCAATATTAGAGGAAGCTGGGTGAAGGGCATAATGATAACTCTCTTGTACTACGTTTTCAAACTTTCTGTAAATCTAAAATTATGCCAAAATAAAATGTTTATTTAAGAAGTTAAAAATAAGGTAATATTTAATCAATCTTAGTCAGTGATATTCACAAATTTCAGGTCTGGAAGATTGACTATGGTGAATTTTTTTTTTTTTTTGAGACGGAGTCTCGCTCTGTCGCCCAGGCTGGAGTGCAGTGGCATGATCTTGGCTCGCTGCAAGCTCCATCTCCCGGGTTCATGCCATTCTCCTGCCTCAGCCTCCCGAGTAGCTGGGACTACAGGCGCCCACCACCTCGCCCGGCTAATTTTTTGTATTTTTAGTAGAGACAGGGTTTCACTGTGTTAGCCAGGATGGTCTCGATCTCCTGACCTCGTGATCTGCCCACGTCGGCCTCCCTAAGAGCTGGGATTACAGGCATGAGCCACCGCACCCGGCCGACTATGGTGATTTTTTAAAAATCTACTTACCATGAATTCTTATATAATATGTATGCTAGTCATTATGCTGAGGGCTTATCTGCTTGATTTTTGTTTGTTTGTTTGTCTGTTTTCTTTTTGAGACAGGGTCTCACCCCATCACCTAGGCTAGAATGCAGTGACATGATCACAGCTCACTGCAGCCTCAACCTTCCAGGTTCAGGTGATCCTCCCACCTCAGCCTCCTGAGTAGCTGAGTAGCTGGGACTACAGGCGTGTGCTACCATGCCGGGATAATTTTTGTATTTTTAGTAGATATGGGGTTTCACCATGTCGCCCAGGCTGGTCTCGAACTCCTAGGCTCAAGTGATGCACCCACCTCAGCCTCCCAAAGTGCTGGGATTATGGTCATGAGCCATCACACCTGGCCTCTGCTTGATCTTAATTCATCCTTATAGCAACCTGTAGGGTAAGGAGTCTTGTCTTCATTTTATTGAGGAAGCTGAAGTTGAGAGAGGGGAAGCACCTTTCCAAATGCACACTACTAGGAATTTCGAGAGCTAGGATTTGAAACCAGGTCTGTGTCCAGAATTAGGCTTTGCCTCATTCGTTTTTGGAAGCTTGCAGAGCACATGCTGCTATGCAATGTAATGCCCAAAGTCGCAGCCACATTCCGTCTCTGAATTCACTCTTGGGTGCCTACATCATGACCCGTAGATGTCTGGATGATCAAATTTGGCTTTGTCATTTTTATCCTCCACCTCCCAAAGATCTTGATACTCATTCCCCATGGGTATCCAGACCAGAAGGCAGAGACCAAATGTCTTTTGGCCGATCCATTTTTGCAACTCAACATGACTAGATTTGCTGATAATTGTTTTAGCAGTCAAATGAATGCGATTTGCAGTTATTTATTTGGGGCATTTATTTCAAAGATGCTAGCCCCGTTCAATTGAATAACATTCTTAAAGCCAGTATAGTAATGCTGCTGCTGATTGATAAATTAAACCTCCAGCTGGCAGATGTGTTAAAGATTAGAACCAATGGTTGGGGCTGGTTTCTGGCTGCCTGCTGTTAAACTGCTTCTGTCTGCAACGCTAATAACATTCTAAATCTTTCTACCTGGTCAACATTAGTAATTTGTATTAGTGGGGGTCCAGGAACTACCTACTACAGTCATTTGAGGAGGCTGCAATGACTTCTTGCCCATCCATTCCCATTTGCTAGGTGATAGGTAAGATTCTGGTGTTAGAGATTCATTCCTTTGGCTACAGAAATGTTATGTCTGCAAAGTGAATCTATAAGATAATGCACATGGAGCCCTGCCACACTTTATAGTAAATGAGTTAAGTTCTTTCTGGAAAAGAGGTATTGAGCAATTGGGGGTTGAAGGACTTGAGAAGATTCCTAGGAAGGAGAGGAGAACCCCAGCACACCAAACTTCGTAGTCAGGCAAACTTTGGAAATGCCATTTGGTGAGAGGAAAGTGTAGACTCTTCTGTCACCTTGATGGCAGGTGAGAGGAGGTGTTTGCAAATGTATGTGGGTATGTCTGGTTATCACATGACTAGGGATGCTACTGACATTTAGTGGGCATTTGCCAAGAAGGCTAAACAATCCGCAATGCACAGGACAGCCCTGAAGAGCAACAAGTGTTGCACCGAAAATGCCAACAGCACCTCCTTTGATAACACTAGAGAATGCCAAGAAAGAGATGGTGAGTTTGCCCCCTTCCAGAGCTGTGGTTGCCAAAACTGGCTATACCCCAGGGACATGCTGAATAAATAAAAGAGAGTGTGGGATGGCTCAGGAATCTGAATGTTCACAACACTTTGCCGGCAGTTCTGTACACAGCCAGCTTCTCTGCTGCCTAGGCACGGTTTGGGGCATCCTGGAGGACTGTTCTTTGTCCTCCAGTAAAGATGTCTGATTTTGTTGTATAGGGGCTTCATGGTCAAAGTGTGCAAAGAGAACAATCACAAATCATCATGACAAGTGGTGCTGCTTGGGCTGTACTTCAGGAGCATCACGAATTTTTTTTTTTTTTTTTGAGACAGAGTCTCACTCTGTCACCCAGGTTGGAGTGCAGTGGCATGATCTCAGCTCACTGCAACCTCCGCCTCCTGGATTCAAGTGATTCTCTTGCCTCAGCCTCCCGAGTAGCTGGGATTACAGGCATGCACCAGCATGCCCGGCTAATTTTTGCATTTTAAGTAGAGACAGGGTTTTACCATGTTGGCCAGGCTGGTCTCGAACTCCTGGCCTCAGGTGATCTGCCCACCTTGGCCTCCCAAAGTGCTGGGATTATAGTCTTGAGCCACCATGCCCAGCCTACAAATATTTTTTATTTAAGTAGGCAGCACACACAAAACTGCACAAATCAGTCACGTGCAGCTCAGTGAAAAGGTACAAAATGAACAAAACTTAAAAAGTGAGCACACCCATGCCACTGTCACCCAGATGGAGATGCTTCCAGAATGTATCCCTTTACCCTCAAAGCGACTACTCCTTTGACTTCTAAAGGTGATCAGTGTTGCTCATTTTTTAATGTTATTATTTACTTATTTAATTTTTTAAAAGAAGAGATTGGGTCTCACTCTGTCGCCCGGGCTGGAGCACAGATCATGTAGCTCACTGCAAGCCTCGAATTCCTGGGCTCAAGCCATCCTCCTGTCTTGGCCTCCAGAGTAGCTGGGAATCAGGATACCTGGGACTACAGGTGTGCACCATTTTTTTTTAAACTTTATATAACAGGAATTATACACCATGTTCTGTTCTGTGTCTGTCTTCTTGGGTTCAGCATGGAGTTTGTAAAATTCATCCATGCACCTGTGTGTAGCTCCATATTGTCCTTTCTTATTGCTGCATAAAATTCCATGTTCTACAGTGTATTTATCCATTACGGTATTTTGGAAATTTCCAACTTTTAGCAAGTATGAATAGTGCTGCACATTCTAGGGCATATATCCTCATTTCTCCTGGGTGTATACCCAGGAGTGACATTGTTGGGTCATAGGATACTCAAATGGCCATGTTAATAGAAATGACCAAAAAGTTTTTCTTTTTATGTGTTTGTTGTCGTTGTTTGTTTTTTGAGACTTGACTGTCTCCCACACTGGAGTGCATGATCTTGGCTCATTGCAGCCTCAAACTCCTGGGCTCACACAATCCTCCCACTTTGGCCTCCCCAGTAGCTGGGACTATAGGCATGCACCACCATGCTCAACTAATTTATTTATTTCCTGACCTTTTCTTTTCTTTTTTCTTTTCTTTCTTTCTCTTTCTTTTCTTTCTCTCTTTCTTCTCTTTTCTTTCTCTCTTTCTTTCCCTCCCCCCTCCCTCCCTCCCTCCCTCCCTCCCTTCCTTCCTTCCTTCCTTTTGTAGAGGCAGGGTCTCACTATGTTGCCCAGGCTGCTCTTGAACTCCTGGGCTCAAGCAGTCCTCCTGCCTCTGCCCACCAAAATACTAGGATTACAGATGTGAGCCACTGCACCCAGCCAACGGTTTTCCAAAGTGGTTGTACCAAATTCCCCTCTGTCCAACAGAATACAAGAGTCAGAAATGGGTTCAGATCCACGTTAGTGACCTTGGGAAAGTTTTTAAGTCTCCCTCACCCTCAGTGTTTGCATCTGTTCCACGGGGCTGCTGTGAAGACTCAGTGGGAGATTTACCCTGGCAGGAGCTCCATCAGTGAGATGTCACTCTTTCCTGAAAAACTCTGGGGTCTTCACAGATCTATGCAGGTAATGCTCCTGCTCTAAAACTGAATAATCTTCTCAGAGAGGTCCATCAGAACAAATGATAAGTTCAACTCAGCTCCTCTCATATGACTGGTTCTTCCCATCTGAACACATGGGCTCGCTTCTTGTTTCATATTAGTTGCTGTTCACCTTTTATATCTGAAACAATGTCAAGTACAAAAATCACTGATATTTGGTGAGCGCCTTAAAAGCCCCTCCTTCTCCCTGAATCCCACACAATTCTATCTCCTTGCAATTCCAATCACTCTTGGTTTAATCATTTCATCCATATCGTGACAAGTTAGAAAATCTTGAAAGTGCTATGGGGCAATGTATAATAGTTGGTGCATTGGCACAGAACGGGGACTTTATATAAAGACATATCATCTTTCCAGAGTGTTCCAAAAGAACTCGAATATTGATATGTGTGTGTGGGGTGGCGAGGGGGGAAGGGAATTAACTAGGATTTAACTAGCTAAGGCTTGAAAGAATATTTGCCTTTTTCATCCTTTTCCCATTCCTCTCCATTTGGCCTTTCTGCGTATACAAGCTCCATGAAAATTCAATGGTTTCTTGGTACATTGAATTTGCAAGACAGTTTGATGACATCTTATAAGCTTGAAGATATGAATACCTTGTGGACCCAGACATTCCACACCTAAGGCTATTCCTAGAGACATGCATTCTTATCTGCACCAAAGGTACCTGAGGCAGTAATGTTTAATAGCCCCAACTGGAAAAAAAACAGATACCCATCAACAAGATGATGGATAAACAAATTGTGGCATATTCTCTTGATGAAATACTATACAGCAGTGAAAGTGAATGAATCACAGCCATGTGTGACAACAAACAGGTGAATTTTTCTAAAATTCGAAACAGATTAGGATGTATGAATCTTGTTTTTTTTGTTTGTTTGTTTTTGTTTTGTTTTGTTTTGTTTGACAGAGTCTCACTTTGTTGCCCAGGCTGGAGGGCAGTGGTTTGATCTTGGCTCACTGCAACATCCTGGACTCAAGGGATCTTCCCATCTCAGCCTCCTAAGTAGCTGGGACTAGGTTCACATCACCATGCCTGGTTAATTTTTATTTTAAAAAAGGTTTTTGGAGAGACAGGGTCTTGCTATATTGCCCAGGCTTGTCTCAAACCCCTGGCCTCAAGCAATCCTCATGCTCTGCCTCCCAAAGTGCTGGGATTACAGGCGCAGACACCGTGCCCTGCCAGATGAATCTTAAAGACATAATGTTGAACCGAAGAAACAAGAAACTGTAGAATATATACTATATGATTATTCCATTTATATAAAAGCCCAAAAGAAGCAAAGTAAAATTGTATTGGTTAGGAACGCATAATAAGGTAGTCAAACTTTTTTTAAAAAAGCAAGATATGAATACCATAAAGTCAGGTAGCGATTATTGCTGGAATAAGGGGCTGTGTAAGCGTGTTGGCAAAGGGGGTTCTGCAGAGGTGGTGATGTTCCATTTCTAGCCCTAGACTTGATTTCATGAGTGTTCATTTCAGACCAATTTCTTAACTCCGTACCTTTATGTTTTATGCATTTTTCTTTGTGCTTATTGAATTTCACCACACAAAAAGCAGAATGGGAAGTAATCAAAGTGGTTCTGGAGAGACGTGAGTATCAAGCAAACTATACCACCCAGAACCCCTATCCAGCCAACTAGGACCTGGTTAATTATTTCCTCCTGGGAGTTCAGACTTGTCACCTCTGGGGTCTCCAAGGTAGAATAAACCTTTAATTCCAACTTGCAGGAGTCCTTGTGATTTGAAACGTTCACAGAAGTAACCCCAAACCACTCTCTCCACTTTCAAAAATGGTCTTTTGCTAAACAGAGCAAATTTGTTTAGAGACTGACGAATCGCACCTCTAGACACAAATCCCCTTCTCTTTTCTGTCTTTTAAGTTTTTTTCCTGCCTCCATCCTGCCTTCTCCTTGCAAGATGCTGGGGAGCGTCCGGCTGTCTGCAACCGAAATGGAACGGGGTGGAAAACAGGCTTTCCTCCCAGGGGAGGAGGAAGCACCCCAATTCCCCCCTCCCTGCCTCCCAACCATGCGACGCTCCCCTCTCTCCCCCACAAACTCCGCTGAGCCCGGTACCCCCGCGCCTCCACGAGCCTCCACGATTGGTCGCGGGCCCTCATGTGTCGACACTCTGGGTGGGTCCTTCTACTGTTAAACTCATCAATTGCTCCCCTTTTCCGTTTGCTGGCCAGTGGTTCAGACCTTTGCGCCCATTTTTTTTTCCTCTTTACCTTCTTCTACCCGCAACCCTCCACACCAGTCTTATTTTAGCAAAACCTAGAGAAGGAGGAGGTGGAGGGATTTGGAGGGTGGAGAGGCATTGCCGCATCCAGGGGCAGCTATTGAGTGGCTAAGCGGAGGGCGCATACCTCTCTCTCTCTCTCTTTTCCCCCTGTTGGGAATTTTCAGGATTTCACTGCTGCAATTTAACCCCAAGATGAGGCACCATTGAGCGAAACGCTGTGCGCACATACACACTCACACTTCCTCCGGGAGCAGAAGAGGCAGCCGTTGGTGATTCAGGAAGAAAAAAAATTTTTTTTTTTTTTTTTAAACCTGGACCCTGCGGTGTGAAGACTCCTTAGGAACCCTCTGGAGCGTCTTACTCCCCTTCCCTCCTCTTTCCCTTCCCTTTCATCTTCTTTGTTTTTATTTTATTTTATTTTTGGAGCTACAGATCTTTCAGCATTTTTAAGGTCTAGGAACTCCAGCAAAACAGAAGGGCACTTAATTTTTTTTTTTTTTTTTTTTGCCCTCCCCACCCAGACCTGGGTTTCGTCTTTCTTTATTTTTAAATATATATATATTTTTTTATTTTTTATTTTTTATTTTTTTTTAATGGGCCGAGCGCACTCCTTTTGCAAGATGCCAGCCTGACCCGGACCTCGGAGGAATTTGAAGCTTCCACTGCGTCCCGGGGGGGGCGTCCTTTGCAAACCGTTCGCGTCTTAAAGGGGGTGTGCGTTGGGTGGATTTTTTTTTTTTAACTGTCTCTTTTTTTTTTTTTCCGGAGTGGGTGGACTGGGGATTGCCTGGATTCCTTCCTCGGTTATTTTTTGCCTCGCTTCTCTCTCCCCTCCCCCCTCCTCCCCGGGCCCCCGCGCCCCGCCCCCGCACCCTCCTCCCGCCCCTCCTTCTCCGGGGTCAGCCAGGAAGATGTCCCGAGCTGCTATCCCCGGCTCGGCCCGGGCAGCCGCCTTCTGAGCCCCCGACCCGAGGCGCCGAGCCGCCGCCGCCCGATGGGCTGGGCCGTGGAGCGTCTCCGCAGTCGTAGCTCCAGCCGCCGCGCTCCCAGCCCCGGCAGCCTCAGCATCAGCGGCGGCGGCGGCGGCGGCGGCGTCTTCCGCATCGTTCGCCGCAGCGTAACCCGGAGCCCTTTGCTCTTTGCAGAATGGCCCGCTTCGGAGACGAGATGCCGGCCCGCTACGGGGGAGGAGGCTCCGGGGCAGCCGCCGGGGTGGTCGTGGGCAGCGGAGGCGGGCGAGGAGCCGGGGGCAGCCGGCAGGGCGGGCAGCCCGGGGCGCAAAGGATGTACAAGCAGTCAATGGCGCAGAGAGCGCGGACCATGGCACTCTACAACCCCATCCCCGTCCGACAGAACTGCCTCACGGTTAACCGGTCTCTCTTCCTCTTCAGCGAAGACAACGTGGTGAGAAAATACGCCAAAAAGATCACCGAATGGCCATATCCTTTTGCCCGAACCCCAGCAGCAGCTGCGCCTCCCCCTCCTCCCTCCGCCTCCCCTCTTCCAGGCTGGGAGAGAGACCCGGGGGTTGATGGGAGGTGGGGAGGAGGGGGGTCTTCCAGGGGCTGGGAGAGGGGGCACCGGGAGGAGTGTGAAAGAATCTCTCCACCCCGAGCTGGGTTGAGCTACCCTGGAGGCTTGGGAATGGGTTTGTGGGGGGCTGGGGGGTGGGCAGCGGAGAGTGGATCCTTCCCAAGGACCGACTCTAGAATGAGATCTGGGGCCTGGGGTCGTGCAGGAGCCTTGGTGGGGGCTTTCGAGCCAAGTCCGGAGGGTTTGGAGTTCTACGGAGTGAGCTTGGAGCGGGCTCGGGCCTGGGCGCTTCTGGCCAGGGCAGGGGAACTATGGGGGCCTTGGTTGGGTTTTCTTGGCCGTCGCTCACTGGAGTCCACGCAGGGGAAGCTGGACAGCCTCTCCACTACTGCTTTCCCCAAGGTGGGGGGCCGCCGCACTTTTAGGGCAGGGCGCTTGGGGGCTCCCAGGGCTAAGAGCAAGAGGGAGTCCATGTGGCCTTCACACTGAGAAGCCAGCACTGGCCGAAGTGAGTACCCCAGGGTGGGCCGCTGTTCCTATCTGGAGAGGATAGTGATGGGCTGGGGGGCGCTTATGTTTCCCTCATGTGTGCAGGTCCCATTGCCTTTAACCGCTGATTGGGGAACCTCATCATCTTTGGGGGTGTCGAGAAAGAGATCCCACTTGCTTTATCTGGGCCCCTGGCCTGGGAAGACCTGATCTGGACACTTTCAGTAAGAAAGACAGGGCAACAGCAAATGAGGTGGTGGGTCCATTTTAGAGCACCATGTCCAGCTTTTCCTACCCCGAGTAGCCGAGAGGGAACACCAGGAGAATCAGCACCCATGTGGACATCTTAGGTAGGTAAATGCCTTTTAAATTTTTTTTTTTTTAATCAAAGATCCAGAGGAAAAAGGTGAAGCCCACATTTTCTTCTGTGGAGATGCTATCAAAATGCAGATCTTCTGTGTTTCTTTAAATCCCTGCCTGCTTGAAATAAACCTTGAGGAGGGCTTAACATCTATCGAGATGTAGGCAGGCAAGGGTGGGTAATTAGTCGGGCTTTCTAGCAGTTATCTAAGCATGACCCAGATTCCAGGAGGGGGGACACACCCTGCTGCCCAGGCTGGCTGGCCACTGTGCCATGCCCAGATGTGCCGCTTCTCCGCACAGTTCCAACCAGCTGCCCTCTGTGTAAAAATGAACGGGCTGGATGGGTCCCTGGGGCTCAGCGATGAGTCCCCTATCCCTTTTGTATGTGGTTTTGCAGTTATAGACTAAACGGGGCTGGGCCCTGTGTGGTCTCCGGGGGTTGCTGTTTGAGGAGCATGGCGGGTGGTAGAGGGACTCACTTCAGGGGGGTTCAAAATCGAGCCTGGCGCTTGGATCCTGGGTGCTGGGATTGCAACAGAGGGCACTGAGGTTTTGGAGTGTGTGAGTGGTCTACTTTGAGGGTGGGGAAAATTAAGAAGTTCAGCAGAGGTGCTTTTGAGGGGAGCATACCTCTAACTACGATGCCATCTCCGTTGGTGCCCAAAGCAGGTGCCAGGTCTTTGCTTCCTAAGTTTCAGACTCTTAAAGAGGCTGGTTCTTAAGGTTAGCAATTCCTCACCATCCCAGGCCCATTGAAGTGCTCAGGGGTGGCTTGATTACTCTGCCTATCAACAGAGTGAGGAGTGGGAGTGCCTTGCAGGAGGACAGGGTATTCATGGGTGCACACCCAGTTAGCTCCAGGAGTGAGAGGGCTTTGCTCGGCTGACAGGTTTCCTCATTGAAAATGGCTTTAGATCGCCTTCTGGAGCCTGGATTTGGAGACTTCTAAGAGGAAAGGAAGGAGGTGGGGAGCCCTTCTGCTGTGTCCTTAGCTTACCTCTGTCCAGCCTGAATCCTGCAGATTGGAGGGCTGTTGGGGGAGAGGGGGATTGCAGTGGCCCCTCGGAAGGGGGAATCGTGGGAGAGGGAGGCAGGTGAATTGCGAGTGTTGCTTGCCACTTCATCTATTCTCTGGCCAGCTCGCCCGGGGCTTTCTTGCTCTTATGATGAGTTTGTGCATTATGCTCTCTGCAGACTGTTTTTGTTCTCTTTGACCCGAGGTAACAAACACATTATACAGCCCTACTCTGGAAGGGAAAACTCCCCACCTCACAATCTGTCATCGAGCTGGGTCATCCAGGACTGAGCTTTCTCTGTCCTGGATGGAGCGGAGGGCGGTGGCGGGGTGGGTGGGAGGGTTGGAGATGAGAGGGGATGGACAGAGACCTGGGGAGGGAGGTAGTGAATAAAAGAATTCAGGCCAGTGTAAAGAGAAAGACACGTGGAATGTCAGAGTCACGATACCAGGGCAGAACATTCTACTTTTTAATCTAAATATTTCTGCCATTAAAAAAAAATGTTTCAGCATATCCTGAGAGTGAAAAAAAAAGTGTGTAGGTACTTAAATAAAGTCTAATATATGTACAGGCAAGTACATATATTCAGATGCATAGATTTTTACAAAATGAACACACCCACGTATCCAGCACCCAGGTCCCGATCAGTGCCCTGGAAGTCCCCCTCCCCATACCGCCTCCTAGTTGCTCCCCCAACAAGGGTACCGCTCACCTGACTTCTAAGGTTCATTTTGCCTCTTTTAAACATGTAAATGGAGTCACACAGTACGTTCTTTTGCCACTGGCTTCTTTTGCTCACATCTGTGTATGTGACTCTACTACAATCTATCCATTCTACTGTTGATGGGCATTTGTGTCATTTCTGTTTGTGCCACTGGGAACATTCTTGTGTCTTCTATTATTTTTTTCCCACAGTTCTCTTAGATAGGAGTGGAATCGCCCCTGCTACTTTTTGATGCATGTGTTGTGGGATGTGTATTTGGAAATGGTGTTGACTAAGGGTTGCAGGTCGATATGGAAAGCAGGTTCCTCCCTGTCTTGTTTAAGAGAAGTGAGTGAATGATCCATGAACTTGTCGGTATGCTCACAGGGCCTAAGAGTGCTACTTCCAAATGTAAATTCTGGCATGGTACACTGGTGAAGGATGCAGTCTTGCTTTCTCCACACTCGGGGCAATTTGTCACTATGATTTCTTCCTCTTTCATCCCTCAGTGGGTCAAACTTGAAGCCATCAATGACAATTAAGAATCCTCATTTATTTCATTTTTTCCCCTCTTCCTAAGTGAGGAAACCCAAATGGAAGTCTTTGATGTTCAAATTTACATTGCCGTGTTTTTCTCATGCCAGGCAGCAAGCCGTCTTGACCACACACCTTGGTTTCATGTTTTCATTGACTGGAATTGTGATTCAAATAGGGCCATGAGGGTCTCTGATGATTGCCGAAGAGCTCAGATCTGTCAGCTCAAAAAGGAGCATCTGTCAGCCTTCCTAGAGTTCCCTCCCCACTTAATGCCACTCACTCCTTCTACCAAGTGCCAAGGTGAATGTCATCTTTCCAGCCCTCCCTGTGCCACCAGGTCTCCCACTGAACATGATGTAGAAACTCAGGCCATCGGAGGAACACTGGAAGCAGGTCAGTGTATTATCACGCACAGTTGCCTGAATTACACGTAGAATTCCAGCTTTTCATCCGGTTTGCAGAAATCTTAACAAGACACCTAAAGTCACATTGACATCAGGTGACATCACTTTGACATCTGTGGACATTGGCTGATTGGCACTCCTCTCATTTTTTTTTTTTTTTTTTTTTTTAAGAAAAGCTCTCTAAAGAGAAACTTTCTGCATGAGAAGCGCTGGGAGACATGGGAGCAGGTTATCAGACTCTTGGCCTGTCCTGAGAGATAGAATGTTCTAGAAGGTACTGCCGTAGAGGGCAGGATGGTGTCACTTACGTGATCCTTGTACTAGACCGGCTTGGCTGGTATTTCCAGAGGAGCAAAATTCTGCGAAGTAAAATTTAGCACGGCTTTTCCAATGGGAGTATTTTCAAAAAGGGTGCAATTTCTTATCCACAATTCCCCAATCCAAAAAGCTCCAAAAACCAAAAGACGAGCTCATATAGAGGTAAAACCTAACCTGAACTGACTTCAGTTTGAAGTCTTAATTTACAGTTTTCATTCATTCTACTTGGTGTGCATTTGAGTATGTTTTGCAGCAGAAATGTTAGATGTGCTTGATGATGAGGTGCTGCTTCAGCTCCTGACTGTTAGGTCTGCATTGTAGTCCTGTCAAACTTTCAGGTGTATGGAAGTTGTCTTGTTAACAGGATGGTTCTGGTCCAGCAGGATTTGGGTGGGGTCTGGGATTCTGCTTTTCTAGCTAGCTTCTAGGGATTCCCCATGTGGTAAGTTCATGGGCTAGGGTTGGAGTATCCAGGTTAGATCATAGAGACATCTTGTTATCATTTTTCTTTTCCTTAAAAATCAGGTTTATAGGGGCCGGGTCTGGTGGTTCACGCCTATAATCCCAGCACTTTGGGAGGCTGAGGCCGGTGGATCATGAGGTCAGGAGTTCGAGACCAGCCTGGCCAACATGGTGAAACCCCGTCTCTACTAAAAATACAAAAATTAGCCAGGCGTGGTATTGTGCGTCTATAATCCCAGCTACTCGGGAGGCTGGCAGGAGAATCATTTGAACCTGGGAGGCAGAGGTTGCAGTGAGCCGAGATTGCACCACTGTACTTTTTTTTGAGACTCTGTCTCAAAAAAAAAATAGATTTATTGATGTATAATTTATTTGTAGCAAAATTCACCCTTTTGACATACTGGTCTGCAAGCTTTGACAAATGGATGTAGTTGTGGCCACCACCCAAATCAAGATATGGGACAGTTTCATCAACCCTAAAATACCCCCACAGTGCCCCTCTTGAGTCAGCACCCCACTTCTCCAGCCCCTTCAACCACTGATCTGTTCTCCATCCCTACAGCTTTGCCTTTTGCCGAAGGTCATATAAATGTAATTTCACAGTATATAGCCTTTTGAATGTGGATTCTTTTACTCAGACTTTGAGATTCATTCATGCTGTTGCCTGTGACAGTAGCGCCTTCCTTTTTGGTGTTGAGCAGGATTCCATGATATGGATGGACCAGAGTTTGCTTCCCAGCCGAAGGACATTGGGATGCTTCCAGTTTCAATGATTATGAATAGAGCTGCTATAAACATTGGCTTATGGGTTTTAGTGGGAACATTTCATTTCATACATTTCATTTCTCTTGGGTAAATTAACCCAGGAGTGAGATTGCTGAGTTGTGTGGTAGGTGTATGTTTAATTTTATAAGAGGCTCTCAAACTGTTTTCCTAAGTGGTTGTACCATTTTACATTCCCATCTTTGCAATGCGTCTAAAAGCCCTGAGTTCTGAATTCCAAAGCACGTCTGGCCTCGATGGCTTAGGATTAAGGATGTGGATCTATGGAAAGGAGTGGAAGTAATAGTGTTAAATCCCGGTCAGAGAAATAAGAAAGATTAAGGATGTCATTCAAAGCTATGTGCCTGCACTAGAGAGAGAGAAAGAAGGGGTTCTCTTGGGTGGGGTTCCACCCCTCCCTGGTAGTTCTACCATTCCCCAGGAAAAAGTCAAGCTCTGAGGCTGTGAGACCCATGATCTTTACCCTGTTCTTCACCACTGCAACCCCAGTGTGTGGGACAAAGCAGGCGTCCTATAAACGTTTGCTGAGCAAATGAGAAAAGGTACCTGTCTTCACCCATTAACTAAATTGTATAACATCTATCTGATCTACCCTTGTGCCAACGTTTTAGGATTTTGATGGGTTTTAGTTGCAGGGGGTTGAGAGACTGTCCATGAGATTATCAGACCAATGAAAGTTTCTGAAATGTTAGTGCTTGAGTAGATTGGATGCAGCGGCCCCTTGAGAATGAAGTCTTTCTTCAGGGACTTGGAGTGGGAGGCATCTGTTGGGTGCGTAGGGCTTATGCTTCCCCCTCCCTGTTTCCCCCCCAGTAGCAAGCACACATATACACTTTCTCAGCAATAAAAAGCACCGCCGGGAAGGTGGACTCCATCCAGAAATGATCAGAGCCTAAGAGCCGTGCAGTAACGCATTTCCGAGAATGCCAGCTCAGCTCCTGAGAAAAGGGCCGGATGGGATGGTGCCTGCTCTGAAAGAGGGCAGAGAGGAGAGGGAAAACACTCCGGACTCTGGGTCAGACTGGCCCAGGTTCACATTATTCACCAGCCATGTTATCTTGGGCACCAGAGCCTATTTCTTGACATGCATGATGAGGATATTCCTTCTAGTAGCATCTCCCTTGGAGGGCTCTCAGGAGATTAAATGGGGTCGTGCGTGAAAAATGGCCAGCACAGTCTCCAGCACAGAGAAAAACCCCAAAACGCCAGAGCCGTAATACTATGGAGTCATTTAGGTTCCAGTGTTCTTTTTTTGGAAACCGGCCAGAAAAGAGGCTTTCTGGGTGGGAATGGGAGCGAAGTGCCCCCCCCCACCACCCCCTGCGACTGGTCAGTGTGGATTGATTAACCTGATCGTGGCGCTCTTTAAAGCCACCTTTGGACATTTTGCATTCTCCGTTCTCTCTGGAAGCTTTCAGGGGAAAAAAAATTCGTGGCCACTTGACCCATTTTTCTATTCCCTTGAGTCTAAGGTAAAAATTAATTCTCTTTCCTCCTTTGGTCCCTCCCTCTCTCTGTGGGTGACAAGGTGAGGGAGTTTTAAAGTATATAATTAGCTTCCCTCTTCCCCTTTTGCACTCCCTGTCTCTTCCTTTGGGGCCGGTCGAGAGTGCAGCCCAGGATGGCCACCCCAGGTGTCCACTGCAAACTCCACAGAAAAACTTTGCTCAACTTTTGGTTTAGAATTTAGGTACCCCCCTCCCCTTCCAAACTTTGGTCTTCTTTCTCCTCACTCCCTAAAAAAATAGGAAAAACAAGGAACATTCCTGGCGAGGGAACCATGAGTGGGCACAGCAACTTAGGTTTCAAAAACCACTGGGCCTCAGTTCTTATCTGAGTAGGGTGACCCTTCAGCCAGGGTTGCCTGGGACTATCCTGGGTTTAGCATCTCTGGAAACTCACAGTCCTGGGCAAACTGGGACGCTGGTCACCCTAATGGTGAGTTCTTAACACCTGAGAGAGAAGAATGGTGCAAGAGATGGTGCCGTTGACCAAGAAAGGGGGAGAGTCAGTTACTTATTCCCTCTGAAAAGCCAAGACTTTTTATTGGAATGAATGCAGCTTTTAGAAGCCGTCTTTAAGGCAGCTAATACAAGAGAGATTCCAGCTATGAAGGGAAATGCCTGAGTTAAGTCCGGATCAAGTTTTGACATCTCGCTTCGGTCAGACACGGCTTTATCTGCCGTTCAGACTGGGAGCAGCCGTGAGTCTTCCTTAAAGGTGCCTGTTGCTCAGGCGGCACCTGCAGTTAGAAATTAGCAGCCTCCCACCCCCAGCCCCCAAATAACAGGATTCAAGAGTCCCCTCTCTGAAGCCATGAGGGAAACCCAACTTAGTCACCCACTTGCCAGTAAATAATATTCATGCTGTTAAGTTCTGTTCTCATTTTAGGCCTATGTGTAAAAAATATATGTAATTTTAAACTGATTTTTAAAGTATTTTCATACGAACAGCATTTGCAGGAGGGCGAAGTCTGGATGTTACCTTTTTGTAAAAGTGGATGGATTTGTCTTCAATGAGACTCTGGGGCAGACTTAAAACTTGGCCCGCAGTGGTGTTACATGGATTCTGATCTTCCAGAGTCTGTCACGTTCTTTTATCTCCATGATCTTTATTATCTTCTTTATTGAGAATGATGGGCATGGTGTGTGTGGGTGGGAGGGCTATGCTGACCATCACTGCAGTGAAATGTGTTCGTGGCATGTTGTGGCGTCTGCATAGGAATGTGTCTGTTTGATTAACAGCACAAGCAGTGGAGGCTGTAAGGAGGAAAAGAGGAGGGAAGGTGATATTGGATGGAGGGGAGACATATAGAGCTTGGGAACAGTCCACCCTGGCTGCAAATCTCAGCTCCAGCTCACAGTTGTGGAGCCTCAGTCTTCTCCTCTGTAAAACGGGGACAGTAGTCCTATGTCCGAGGAATTGTAAGAAGGTTAAAAGATACTGTACCCAGAAAGCACATGGCATATATAATCATCCTGTGAAGTAGCCAACTCAATGAATTTTATTTTATTTATTTTGAGTCAGAGTCTCACTCTGTCACCCAGGCTGGAGTGCAGTGGCATGATCATGGCTCACTATAGCCTCGACCTCCTAGGCTCAAGCGATCCTCCTGCCTTAGCCTCCCGAGAAGCTGGGACTATAGGCATGCACCACCGTACCCAGCTTTAACAACATAAATTTATATATATATATATATATATATATATATATATATATATATATATATATATATATATATTTTTTTTTTTTTTTTTTTTTTTTTTTTTTTTTTGAGATGGAGTTTCATTCTTGTTGCCCAGGCTGGAGTGCAATGGCGCGATCTCGGCTCACTGCAACCTCCGCCTCCCGGGTTCAAGCAGGACGATGGGCATTTGGGATGTTTCTAGTTTGGGGTGGGGGATTGTTTGTTTGTTTGCTGTTATGAACAATGCTGCTGTAAGGAATCAATAATTTTGAATGAATGAATTCGAGGTGTTAATTTTAGTCTGTGTACTTGGAAATCTAGCTTCACCTAGAATCAGCTGAGATTCATCAGCATTTATGGCAGGAGCTAAGACATTTCACAGCTTACTCATCATTTTCTCTAAGAGGCTGGGTCAACCGGTTAGCTCTTGGTCCTGCTTGTATTCTGAGAGTCAGAACCTGTGGTTTAGACACTGGCAATTGATATGGTTGTAGAGAAGCAGCATGGTTGAGTTGAGAGCATGGATTCTGGAGCTAGGTGGCTGGGGTTCAAATCCCAGCTCTACTAGTCACTGGCTGCGTGATCTTGGGCAAGTCACTTAAGTGTTCTGTGCTTCAGTTTCCCAGTCTGTCCCAGTGGTGATTCTAATAGCTCCATGGGGATCCTAATAGCTCCTATCTGGGAGGATTAAATGAGTTAATACATCTGATGTTTAGAGTGGTGCCTGACACTTAGGAAGCACTATATGTGTTTATACATGGAAGAGTGGATAGATGGATGGACTTATGTGGGTGGCCATATTTGGGCTTCTCTGATCCACTGCTGAGAATAGTGTGTGGCACACAGTAGGTGCTGCATAAGTGTTAATATTCTGCTCTTTCTTGCCAAGTCTCTCAACTCCCTTGATCTCTGTTATTTTTGGCGTCTGTGTTGTTAACCCATTCTTCTGAATGATCAGCTGAATCACTGTTGCTCCAATATATAAGCCAAGGAGAACACAATCACAAGGTCTCATTGATTGTCCATACTAGAATTCCATGATTCCTAGGCCCAAGTAGGATTTTCCCCACGTCTCAGCAATCCTTCTTCCATGTTTCTAATCTTTTTCTCTCATTTGTTATGCCCCATTGCCAGACTCTCCAATCTCCCCACAGCTTCCCCTTCCTCTAACTATACTGTCTCTAGTCTTACCTTCTCCCTAAGGGCACCGTCTTTGAAGACATCAAATACTTCAGAGCACCAAATATAGGTTAGCTTCTCTGAGGGCCTTACAAGGACATGGAGTGTTTGGGTCTTACACAAATTGGAATGGTCAGAAATGTTTAGAGACTTGAGTTGTCTTTGAAAGAGTTGTCAGAATGCAAATTTTTGACTTGTGGCCTGTTTCTGATCACAACGCAGTCTTTTAAGTTATGGATCATAGCTGGATGTTTGTGGTTTAGAGGGGATGGAGGCATCCTCTGCAGTTAGTGTTGGATGTCTGGGTGGATGGATGGATGGATGGATGGATGGATGGATGGATGGATGGATGGTTGAACAGATGCATGGATGAGTGGATGGATGGATGGATGGGATGAAGGAAGGAAGGAAGGATGGGTGATTGGAGGGTAGGTGGGTGGATAAGTAGATTGGTAGATGACTCGATGGGTGGGTGGACAAATGGATGGGTGAATGGATGACTGGATGGATGACTGGATGGATTGGTGTATGAGTGAATATATGGCTGGATGAATAAATAGGCAGATGACTAGACTGGATTGAGGGGTAAAAATATGGATGACTGGATGGGTGGATGAGTGGATGATAGATGGTTGAATGGGTGGGTGGATGGGTGGATGTTGGATATAAGGGTGTATGGTAGGGTAGCTGTCTATGTGTGGGTCTCCCTGATATTTGGTGTTCTGTTTGACTTGGGAATGACCAAGTCTCTCCGCTTACCACCTTATTTGTACCTTTTCCAGTATCAAGTGAATTTTGCACACTTTTGTAAAAATCAATAAGATTGTATGTTTAGGACTTTGGGAGGCCGAGGCAGGCAGATCACAAGGTCAGGAGATAGAGACCATCCTGGCTAACAGGGTGAAGCCCCATCTCTACTAAAAATACAAAAAATTAGCCAGGCGTGGTGGCGGGCACCTGTAGTCCCAGCTACCTGGGAGGCTGAGGCAGGAGAATGGCATGAACCCGGGAGGTGGAGCTTGCAGTGAGCCAAGATCATGCCACTGCACTCCAGCTTGGGCGACAGAACGAGACTCCATCTCAAAATAAATAAATAAATAAATATTATATGCTTAGGTTTTACCTATGTAATTAGAAAGCTCCTTGAGGGTAGGGGACAGTGATTTGCCTTCCTCACATCCCCCCAAAGTTCCTGCACTATATCATGCATAAGTATTTAATTGAGTAATGGTGAGGAAAGTAAACAGTGTTATTGAACAAAGATTATTAAAATTCTGGAAACACCTGGTTTTGTTTCAGCACTGGGACTGAAAGTGGAATTCCTTGGATTTTGCTCCATTGGTGGATAGGATAGCATGTGGTGGTGGACTGGTAGACTCTTTCTCTTCCAAGCAGATTGGGTAAATGCCCCAGATTCTTACCCACTAGTCAGAGATTACAGATTACTGATTGATATGGTTTTTCTCTGTGTCCCCACCCAAATCTCATCTCAAATTGTAATACCCACATGTCATGGGAGGGACCTGGTGAAGGTGACTGGATCATGGGGGTGATTTCCCCCATGCTGTTCTTGTGATAGTGAGTTCTCATGAGATCTGATGGTTTTAAACTTGTGTGGGCCTCTTTCCTCTCTCTCCTCTCCTGCTGCCATGTAAGACGTGCCTTGCTTTCCCTTTGCCTTCTGCCATGATTTGTAAGTTTCCTGAGGCGTCCCCAGCCATGCAGAACTGTGAGTCAATTGAACCTCTTTTCTTTATAAATTACTTTTATAGCAGTGTGAAAACGGACTAACACACTGATGTAGCAAGGTCCTTTAAGGCCCCATGTGATCTGGTCCCTGTTTTGTCTTTGATCTCATCTCTTTCATTGTCTACCTTCCTTTCATTGTCTATTCTGTCTCAGCCCTGCTGACCATTTTACTCACACCCATGTCATTTGCATTACATGACATTCCTTCTGTTCAGCATAAGCTATTTCCTCTGCCTGCATCACTGTTTCTCCAGGTCTCCCCATGGCTAACTCCTTCTCTTCATTTAGGTCTCAGCCCAAAAGTTACCTCCTCCAAGAGGCCTATCCTTTTCATTTACTGAACATCTCATGTACAAAAAAGAATATAAAATATATGTATACTCTCTCATCCACAAAAAAATCTCTGAAGACATTTTAATGTATTTCATCCCATACCTTTTTATGCATGTAAACTTTTAGGAACACATTTCCATGCCACTAGGTATCCTTGAAAAAATAAGGGCCACCATGTATAGTTGCACAGGTTGTGCACTGCACAAAGATAGCATGTCACATATCTTAAGTATCATGGAGCTTGTATGTCTACTATTTCAGTACCCCAGCTGATAAAAGCTTAAGTATCTTGTTCTAGCAAGATGAAGCTATTATGACAATTTTTGACAGAGAAAGGGGTGTTTTGTTTAAGTTCACAATCAGAGAAATGGGTGTCTTGTTTAATTTCACAACCAGAGAAAGGGGTGTCTTGTTTAAATTCATACAGTGGTGCTGTATGGGTTGGTGGCAACCCCAGAAAAGACTGTTGTTAATATCTGATAATGTTCCACTTTATACGTGTATTATATTCATGTAACAATCTCTGGCTGTTTGTTTTGCCATTATAAATAACAGTGCAGTAAACATCTTTGTGTGTGAATCTCTGTCCAAGGTTCTGATAGTTTTCTGAATGAAATTCCTGTCTATATATGGCACTCCAAGCCCATAATTGAAACTCTGCTGTTACCACTTTCTTTGAATCTGTAGAAGGAATTTTGAGAACAGGTGACTGGTATATTCAGGATGTTGATGACAAGGAACAGAGAAAGAACAGTTAAATGGTTTGGAATTTTTCCTGGGCTGCATGTAAAGCAGTGCTTTTGAACTGGGAGCAATTTTTCCCCCAAGGGGACTTTTGGCAATGTCTGGAGACGTTTTTGGTTGTCACGAATGTAGGGGGAGGGGGCAAGATGCTACTGGCATCTGGCTGGTAGAAACCAGGGATGCAGTTCAGCATCTTAAAATGCACAGGACAGCCTTTCTCAGTAAAGAATTATCCAGCTCCAAATGTCAGTAATACCAAGGTTGAGAAATCTTGATGTAATCGATGTCATGGGTTTCTTCAAGAGGAGTGGGTGGATTTAGGGTTTTTGGGTGACTTAAATTTAATTTACAGTTTGTCTTCCTAGCTGGGTGTCTAAGCCAGCTTTCTGTGAACTTTAGATCCCACACAAGAAGCAACAGGCTTGCTACCGACAGATTCGTTGATGTAAATATAGATGAGTGTATAGAAGGAAATCTCACCCAGAGCTGGAAAATGTTGGAATGAAAACTGCGGCGGCCTCCCCTTCTCTCTCCTTCCCCTTCTGTTGCCCTGTTTGAAAATCGTGCCTTACTTTCTTTGGTCTCCTGGCATGGTGAATGCTGCTGGTATGGACTGTGTTTCTATATCCCCTTGATCCCCACACCCTTAGGAACGTACAGGAGAGAGACCCTGGAGCATATCAGCTTAGAGATGGAGGGGAATGGGAAGGAGTGCGTTCATTCATTCATAAATGTTGACTGAGCACCTACTGTATGCTAGGTGAATGGGAGGACGTGAGGGCAGGGAGGTGACAAGGTTGGCTTATTCTGGGCTTTGTGAACTATGGTGAGGATTTTGTTTTTTTCCAAAGGAAATGGAATAACCACTCCTTTTTTCCCCCCGATATACCTAAACTTTTTGATTTTCATAACAAAAATGGGCTTCCTTTTGTATATTTGTTTTGAGACCAGCCGTTTTTCCACCAACACTGATCACACTGCAGTGAGCATCCTGGTAGAGAAGTCTTTGCACACTTCTGTCACTGTTTCCCTAGGACAGATTCCTGGAAATGGTATGGCAAGGTTGTATGTCAGGCTTTTGGGCCAGGTTGCAAGAAACAGGAAGTCTGTGCCCTTTCAAATTCCAAGGTCCCCTTTCCCTGACGACGTGGCCCAATCAGGCTTGCCCTCCCTTGATTTTACATCTTCACCAATCAGATAAGTGAAAGTGAAATCCTGTTGTGGTATCCTGTGCATTTCTTTGGTGACTTAAGACATAGAGCATTTTCCAGATCTCTGTGGGCTGTTTGGATATCCTTTCCTCTGTTTTCTCAGGCACATTCTTTACCGATGTCTTTGAGGGATTGAGCAAGTTTCTGTTGAAATTGAGGCATGTCATGGCTCTGTGTGGGGCTTGAGGCAGTCCAGTGTAGTGGAGGGAGGGAGGCTGTGGAGCCTGGCTGCCTAGGTTCAAATACCAACTCTGCTTATTTCCATTCATATCATTTTAGGCAAATCACTTAGCCCCCTGGGCCTGCCTTTCCTCATCAGTAAAAGTGGTATAACATTAGTGCCTGCATTGTGGGGTGGTTGTGAGGAAAGCAGCACTCAAAACAGTACCTGACACACAGTGGGTGCCAAATAAGAGTCTGATGTATTAGTGTTATAGGTATCGGCCTCCTCCCTCCCCAGTGCAATAGTGTGTGTGCGCCTCTGTGTACCTCTGTTGGTGCTGACAAGCCCTTTTTAAAATTTAGAGGTGAGGTCTCACTCTGTCCCCTAGGCTGGAGCACAGTGGTGCAATCATGGCTCACTGCAGCCTCAACCGCCTGGGCTCAAGCAATCCTCCCAGCTTAGCCTCCTGAGTAGTTGGGACTATCGGTGTGCACCACCACACCTGGCCCTTAGACAGCCCCTTTATTTCAAAGCGAAATGGCAGCCACAAGATTTAGTGCAAGCTCTCCAAGCTTTAGGACCAGCTGCAACTCCTCTAACTGACCAAACAGGATCCCCCATGTCCCCAACCCCCAAAACCTGATGAAAAGCAAACAGACCATTTTCCACATTCATGACGGAAAGGCCCTTTTCTTGGCTCCTGCCCTTGCTCATGTCAGGATTTCACTCCATCCCTGATAAAGAGGAAGCACCATGTCCCAGGAGGACATGGAAACTCTCTGCTTTGTGGTGAATAGTTACAGTAACAGTAGCTCCTCTCTGTGGGGAGCTTATGAGCCCCTAAGCTTTATAGAACTGCCCTGGCAGTTTATGAGAACTTCATCCCAGCCCCCAGAGCTCATGGCACTTATTTTTGCCCCCAGTTTGCAGATGTGCACACTGAGACTCAGAGAGCTAACACTGCTTGCCAAGGTCACACATCTAGCAAATGGAGAAACTTTATGAGACAGGTGAAGGCACAGCAAGGATAAAAACCCAGAGGGAAAAATACTCAAGTTTTCTCCGGGAAACCATTTGCATTCCAGAGAGGTTGGTGTGCGAGTGGGCAAGAGATGTCGCGGGACGATGGTTAAGGGACAGAGTCTGAGCTCAACTAGGACTAGGTTTCTTCCTTTCCTTCCTTCCTTCCTTTCTTCCTTCCTTCTTCCTTTCCTTTGTCTTTCTCTCCCTCCCTTCCTTCTTCCTTTCCTTCCTTTCCTTTCTCTTTCCCTCCCTCCCTCCCTTCCTTCTTCCTTCCTTACTCCTTTCCTTCCTTCCTCCTTTCCTTCCTTTCCTTTCTCTTTCCCTCCTTCCCTCCCTCCCTTCTTCCTTCCTTTCTTTCCTTCCTTCCTTTTTCCTTTCTCTTTCCTTTCTTTCCTTTCCTTCCTTCCTCTCTTCTTCCTTCTTTTCTTTCTTTCTTTTCTCTTTCTTTCTTTCTTTCTTTCTTTCTTTCTTTCTTTCTTTCCTTTCTTTCTCTCTCTCTCTCTTTCTTTCCTTCTTTCTCCTTCCTTCCTTCCTTCTTTTCTTTTCTTTTCCTTTCTTTTCTTTTGTTTTTTGAGATGGAGTCTCGCTCTGTTGCCCAGGCTGGAGTGCAATGGCACAATCTCAGCTCACTGCAACCTCTGCCTCCCGGTTCAAGCAATTTTCCTGCCTTGGCCTCCCAAGTGGCTGGGACTACAGGCACGCGCCACCACACCCAGCTAATTTTTGCATTTTTAGTAGAGATGGAGTTTCACCATGTTGGCCAAGCTGGTCTCGACCTCTTGACCTCGTGATCCTCCTGCCTCAGCCTCCCAAAGTGCTGGCATTACAGGCGTGAGCTACCACGCCTGGGCTAGGACTAGGTTTCTATCGGTGGTGTGGCTTTTGGGAAGCTACCTAATCTTAACCACTCTGTTTCGTCATCTATAAGATAAGCAGTGTAGCATTTTCTTGCAGGAATGTTGCAAGGATTAAGTGGATGGTGACTGTAAAACATCATGCGTGGCACATAGTAAATTCTCAGCAGGTAGTCATTGCTGGTCATTTACTTTTCTCTAATGACCAGCAAGCTCTTAATTTCCTCCTTGGCATGGGCACTGGGACGTAGATGGACAAAACACAGAGAGAAATAAACACACGGACAAAAATCCCCGCCCTGGTGTGGCTGATATTCTGGGTGGGGAGAGAGAGGGAGTCCAAGGACCAGATAAACAGGTAAAGGATAGTTTGAGTGTGGTAAGTACTAAGGCTCAAAAATAAAGATCTCCCAGGTGATCTTAGCTGCATTTGGAGGTGACAGGAGATACAACTGAGAAACTGAGATAGGAGGAAACCCAAGGGGAGATGTGGGCTTGATTTAGGGTGATCTGAGGAGTAGGAGAAGTCAGGGGCTGGTGTGGGGAGGCTCTGATGGTTCTCTCTGGGGAGTGAAGCAGGGATTCGTTGGGGAGACCCAAGGGGACAGGTGAAGGCCCCTGAACAGGTGGCCAGTGCTGAGAAAGGAAAGGTGGAGGACCCAAGTGAGTTCCTAATTTCTTCATTGCTCCCCTAAGGTGTTTGTCTCACCCTTGGCCATAGTCTTGGATCACTTACAGATGCAGACCAGGCTGGGCTCAATGGCTTGTGCCTGTAATCCCAGCACTTTGAGAGGCTGAACCCAGGAGTTTGAGAGCAGGCTGGGCAACATGGTGAAACCCCGTCTCTACAAAAAAATACAAAAATTGGCCGAGGGTGTTGGCACATGCCTGTAGTCCCAGCTACTTGGGAGGCTGAGGTAGGAGGATCTCTTGAGCCCGGGAGACCTATGCTGCCAAATAAGGTAGGCAGTAGCCACACATGGCTATTGCAATTTTAGAAATTAATTACAGGCCACATGTGGTGGCTCACACCTGTAATCCCAACACTTTGGGAGGCCGAGGCGGGCAGATCATGAGGTCAGGAGATCGAGATCATCCTGGCCAACATGGTGAAACCCCATCTCTACTAAAAATACAAAAATTAGCTGGGCATGGTGGTGCACACCCGCAGTCCCAGCTACTCGGGAGACTGAGGCAGGAGAATTGCTTGAACCCAGGAGGCAGAGGCTGCAGTGAGCTGAGATTGCACCACTGCACTCCAGCCTGGGCAACAGAGAGAGACTCCGTCTCAAAAAAAAAAAAAAAAAAAAAAAAAAGAAAAGAAAAGAAATTAATTACAATAAAAACAGTCCCTGAGTTTCACTGGCCACATTTGAAGTGCCCGATGACCCTGTGTGGCTTAGTGACCACTGTGCTGAATAGTGCAGATCTAGAGCATCCTACTGGACATGTTGCCAGGGTCCCTGAACCAACAGAATTAGCATCTCCTGGGAGCTTGTTGGAAATGCAGAATCTCATCCCCTACCCCAGACCTGCTCAATCCCAATCTGCTCTTCAGTGAGATTCCTCAGGTGATCTTGACTGCACCTTCTAATCACTTGGAAGCTTTAAAAATGCTGAGGCTGGGCACGGTGGCTCACGTGTGTAATCCCAGCACTTTAAGAGGCCAAGGCGGGTGGATCACCTGAGGTCAGAAGTTTGAGACCAGCCTGGCCAACATGGTGAAACTCCATCTCTACTAAAAATTACAAAAATTACCCAGGTGTGGTGGCACACACCTGTAGTCCCAGCTACTTGGGAGGCTGAGGCAGGAGAACTGCTTGAACCTGGGAGGTGGAGGTTGCAGTAAGCTGAGATGGCACTGCTGCACTCCAGCCTGGGTGACAGAGTGGGACTCTGTCTCAAAAAAAAAAAAAAAAAAAAAAAAAAGAAAAGAAAAAGGAAAATGCTGATGCCCCAAGCTCCACCCCCACAGATGCTGGAGAGATTTGTCCAGGGCTTCCCCTGGAGTGGGGAATGTTTGAAAACTCCCCAAGGGTTTCTAAAGTTCAGCCAGAGTTAGCAGAAAGCCCATTAGGTGGCTAAGCAGGTAGACTGAAGTTGGAGCTGTGTGACCTTGGGCAAGCCACTTACCCTCTCTGAACCACAAGCTCCCTTCTCTCTAAAACTAGAGACCTGCTGGCACCTCCCTCCCAGGGCTGTGAGAAGTAAATGATGGGATGATTCAAAGTGCTGAGTAGGGTCAGATGCAGTGGCTCACACCTATAATCCTAGCACTTTGGGACGCTGAAATGGGAGGATTGCTTGAAGCCAGGAGTTTGAGACCAGCCTGGGCAACATTTAAACATTACCCAGGTGTAGTGGTGCATGCCTGTAGTCCTAGCTGCTTGGGAGGCCGAGGTGGGGGGATCCCTTGAGCCCAGGAGTTCAAGGCTGCAGTGAACAATGATGGTGCCACTGCACTCCAGCCTGGGGGACAAGAGTGAGACCCTATTTCTAAAAAAGAAAGAAACCCAAAATGCTGAGCGAGTGCCTTGGATTGATAGTAAGCAGTGCCTGTGTAATAAGCATGAATTTTAAAAAATGAGGTCAGCAGCCTTAGAGCTAATGGTTAATGGGTTTGGGTGTGGGATTTTTTTTTTTTTAATTTTTAAAACATTGAGATAAAATTCCCATAACATAAAATTGACCATTAACCATTTTAAAGTGTACAGTTTGGTGGCATTTAATACACTCAGTGTTGTGCAACCATCACCTCTCTGTAGTTCAAAGACCCCAAAAAGGAGACCCCGTACTCACTGAGCGCTCACTCCCTGTCTCTCCCCGCTCCCCCAGCCCCTGGCAACTACTAATCTTCTGTCTGTATAGATTGACCTATTCTGATTTTGGGGGTTTTTGAACTCGCCTTCCCTGGCTGACAACCTCTCGCCATCCAGGTGAGACTGTGTGAAAGCCCAGCTCCCTGCATTTCTGGGTCTTCCTCTCCCCACTGGGGGCTGCCCCCACCTGTTTCCCCCTCTGGGCACCCTGGTTCTACTCATCAGCCTGGCTTAATCCCAGCAGCAGGTCCATGTTCTGCTCTCCTGTGGCTGCCACAAATGAGAGGTTTCATCTCAGCTGGGTTTCTCCTAGTTAAATATTTAATAAATAAGACCTACAACTTGTGATGCTGGGAGTGTTTGATAGTGAAATTAATGATGGGGAGAGAGTGGCAGGCGGCCCACAGGTCCATGCTGGAGCTGGGATGAGGCGCCCTGGGCAGGCGTCCGTGCCACTGATGCTTGGGAACCACGGTGGGCCATGCCATCCCATTTCCCCCAGCCAGGGCCTCTTTTTTAGCACTGTGTCCAGCACAGGGTAGCCACCTGATAAATAAGTGTTAAAAGAAAGAGAGGCTGCGTGTGTAGGGAAGAAGGAAGAGACAGAGGAGACAAAGAGGAGACACAGAGAGAGAGAGAGAGATGAGAGAGAAAGAAAAGTGGAAGGTGAGAAAGAGACAGAGATGGAAGGGGAGAGAAGGACCTGGATGGAGGAAGTGCAAGGAAGGCAATGGTGAGGGAAAAGAGAGAGAGACAAAGATGGAAGGGATGAAGGAGAGGGAGAGATATGGAGGTAGAGAAAGAGAGACAGAAAGAAGAGAGAGAATATTGCTTCTTGTATCTTCCCCTTCTCCTGTTATCCTTGACCATCTTATTATTTTTTTCTTTTTTCTGTCTCTCCAGTTCTCATTTCCTTACCCTCGCCGTCTTGCCAACTCGTCATCTCTTTTCATTTCCTGTGTCTATGTTATCTTTTAATTTTCTGTCTGGGTATTTTCCCCTTTTCTCTTTCTCAGCATAAACTGTTGGTTGGTGTATGTGTCTTCTTTCTTTTTTAGTCTTTAACTGACGTGTGTGTGTATGTGTGTGTGTGAGAGAGAGAGAGACAGACAGACAGAGAGAGAGAGAGAGAGACAGAACAAACCTAGAGAGCAGTGTAGGAACATAGATGAACATTTTAAAGACCAAACCATGAAGCGTACACCCATTTTACCCAGGTCAAGAGCCACAGGGCCACCATCAGATTCTCCCTCATGCTCATCCTCAATCACAGCCACTCCTTCCCTCCTGGAGGAACCACTATTGGAGATTGTATGGGAACCATTCGCTTGCTTTCTTGTGTGGTTGTACCACCTAAGTACGCATCCTGAAGCAATATAGTCAGATATTATGTGGTTTTGAGTTTTATATGAATAAAATCATGTGAGAGGAGTTGTTTTGTATTTTGCTTCATTGGTTTGCAGTTACCTTTGTGAGATTTCATCCTCATTGTGGTCACTGCAGCTCCTTCATGATCTTGTTTATTCATTGATGATGAGCATGTGACTTTGTTCTCTTTTGGGCACTGGCATAAGCAGCTTTGTTGGTTGTTTATGGATTCTGCTGCTCGCTTGCAGGGGTCTCTCTGGAGCACATCGCTCTGTGTGAAATTGTTGGATACTAAGATTTGTACATTTTCACCTTGACTAAACACTGCCAAACAATTTTCCAAAGTGCTTGTGCTAATTTACACTCCTGCCGGTGGTGGGTGAGCATTCAAGATGCTTCACAACCTTGCCAACACTTGGTATTGTCAGGTTTTTAAGTTATAGCCTTTCTCATGGTGATTTCTCATTGTGATTTTAGTTTGCATCCCCCGATTGCAAATTAGAGTGAACATAGTTTAAAATATTTATTGACTATTCAAGCTTGCTTTTTTGTGAAGTGCCTCTACATGCTCTGTCCATTTTTGATTAGGTCACTTTTAAAAAAAAAATATTGATTTGTGGGTGATCCTTACATAGCCTGGAAACTGATTCTTCATCATTATATGTTGTGCAATATTTTCTCTTGGCTTGGCTTTTGATCTTTTTTATAATGTCTTTTGATCACCAACAGTTCTTAATTTTGATGTGGTTGATTTTAGAAATCTTTTCCTTTATAGTTTGTGGGCTTTGTATCTTATTTAAGAAAATCATTTCTACCCTGAGGCCATGGATATATTTTATGTTATTTCTGAAAGTTTTACAGTTGTGTTCACTGTATGTCTTTAATCAGCTTGGGATTGATTTTTATATGTGGTGGTAGGTAGGGGTCCAATTTCCTTTTTATTCCATAAGAATTGTCCCAGCATCATTTATTAAAAAGCCCATTCTTGCCCCAATGATCTGCAAGACAACCTCTTGACTGTTTAACTTTTACCTTCTTTCATCTGGTCTGTTTTTATACTCAACCTTTGAAGCCACAAATATTTATTGAGTGCCAACTGTGTGCCAGGCACTGAGTTACAGTGACGGATATGACAGATGCAATCATGGCTTTCATGGAGTTTACAGTCTGGCAAGGATGACATGTAAATAGTTATTACTACTTATAATTTAAAATGTTATAGGCCTTGCAAAAAGGGACAAGTCTGGCTTGCTCTAAAAGAAACATGTGAAACAACATCTTCCAGGGAAGTGCTGATAAACTGAGTCTTTAGTGGGCCTCTGCTATTGTAGGGGTGGGAATGGTGGAAAAGATGTTTTGGCCACAGGGAACAGCATGTGCAAAGGTCCTGTGGAAGGTGCTTAGGAGTTTGATATTTATCCTAAAGGCACTGTCAGGCTACTGAAGCAGTAATACAATGATTTTATGTCTGTGAATAGTTCCACTGGTTGCTGCATGGAGAATGTATTGGAATACAGCAAGAATAAAAAGCCATGAGACCAATTAGGAAATGATTTCACTCATTCAGGGAAGTGTGCCTTGGGCTGGCATGGTGGCTGTGGAGATGGAAATCATTGATCAGATTAAAAGAAATTTTGAGCTGGCATGATTTTTCCCCTCTCTCCCCTCTCTCTATCTCTGTTTCTTTTCTGGTTGTGTTTTCTGGGTGAGAAAAGCAGTTTGTGATCCTGCCAAGGGTATGTGCTCTGGAGGATGTATTTGCCACAGATGGTCTTTGGAATTCTGGCCAAGAGAGTCACTGGACAGCCCCTGGCCCCCAGGGTTTCTGGAGCCAATTCAACAATGACTGTTTATTAACAACAGCAAGGATGAGTTGCTAGCCTTTCCTTCAGAGCACCTTTTAACTGTTACCTTACTTTGTTACCCAAACCGACACTATGGAATTGGTGGGGGAGAAGTGGAAGGGTTTTTATCTCCATTTTTTATAGAACGGGGGAAGTTAATTGGCACTCTTGAAATCATACAAAAGATGTTGGTTTCAGGATTGGTTTCTGGACTTTCAGCCCAATCCCAATTACTCAAGCTCACACACCCAATCCCCAAACATACTCTTTTGCAAATAATTTCCCTACTGAGGTGCTCCTGGCCAATTTAAAAGGTCCCCATTTCCTTGCCTATAAAATGGGAATTAAAGTAAAAATATCTACCTGTTGACTTGCTGTGAGGTCAGTGGGCCTGACACATGGTGTGGACTCATTATATTTACCTATGTGAATCCCTTAGTTCCCTTTACTTGGAAGAGGTGGAAAACTCAAAGGGGCTTAAACAAGAAGTGGGGATTGTATTGGCTCATGAGACTGAAGAGTCTCAGGAGTGTCCAGCTTCAGGCTTGTTTGGATCTAGGGATCAGATAACACCATTAGGCCTCTGTTTCTGTTTCTTGGCTCTACTTTTTGCAGCTGGCTCCATTATCCATGACTTAGCTGCACTTCCAGCCCTCCAGTCTGCCCAAGACCATATTCAGAGAGAGATTCTTCTCTCTTTTTCAGCTATCTTCCCGGAATTTTCAGCAAATGCTTTCTTGCTTTTGATTGGCTGTTGCTGAGGTCGTGTGCTCATGCCAGAACCAATCACTGTGGGGAAATGGGAGGTGGAGAACGGGGTGCTCTGATTGGCTTAGGCTTGGGTCACATGACTTTATGGAGTTGGGGTGGAGCCAACTTCTCCAAGTGGGGAAGAGCAGTCTTCTTAAAGGTGTATTAGGATATGCTTGCTGCTGTAACAAGCAACCCCCAAGTCTGCAGTAGCTTAAGGCAATACGAATGTACTTCTCACTCACCCTAAATCCAATCAGATAATCAGCAAGTGGCATTCCATGTGGTGATTTCAGGACCCGGCTCTTTCCATCTGTGGCTCCACCATCCCCTAAGATCAGAAAGTCCTTCACTTCCGGCCTGTAGGAAAAGAGTATGAAGGCTCACACAGGAAGTTTTGGGAGGCCACATATAGAAGTAGTGAACCTTACTTCTGCCTGCATTCTGTGGACTGGAATTTCATCCCATGGTGTATGAGAGAGGGTCCCAGTAGGAAACGGAAGACACAGACCAAGAATCAAATTAAGAGATAGCTTAAGAATCAAATTAAGAGATAGCTTACAAAGGTGTGGGCCCTTACTGAAATAGAGAAGGAGGAAGAGAGGAAGGAGGCAGAGACAGAGAGAGACTGAGACTCACAAAGACACACACACACACACACACACACACACACACACACACACACACACAAGTTGAGAGAAAGAAGGGGGGAGAGAAAGAGAGAGAGGGAGCATTTCCTAACAGGAAGCTGGCAGAATAAATGTCCCCCATTGTCCAAAGCCAGAGGGCTGGGAGCCCAGTGAGCCCATCCACACAGGTCAGCCCCCCATGTGACAGTCCTAGAAGGGTAAAGAAGGAAGGAGAGTGGATTTGGGGTAATGGAAGACAGCCAATACCCATGGTCCATCTGACTGCAGGGGGAACTGAGAAATTCAGTCCATGGAGAAGAAGGTTTAGTGGACACGTCACTTTGTCTTTTTCACAAAGTGAAACTAGGTTCTCAGGTGGAAAAAAGAAAAAGAAGGTTTGCCTTGCTGCTATTCTTTTTTTTTTTTTGAGACGGAGTCTCACTCTGTCACCCAAGCGGGAGTGCAGTGGCACGATCTCGGCTCACTGGAAGCTCTGCCTCCTGGGTTCACGCCATTCTCCTGCCTCAGCCTCCCGAGTAGCTGGGACTACAGGCACCCACCACCACGCCCGGCTAGTTTTTTTGTATTTTAGTAGAGACGGGGTTTCACTGCTAGCCAGGATGGTCTCGATCTCCTGACCTCGTGATCCGCCCGCCTCAGCCTCCCAAAATGCTGGGATTACAGACGTGAGCCACCGCACCCGGCCTCCTTACTGCTATTCTTATTATTGGTGGTAGCAGTGGTGGTGATGGTTATTGGTTCTTAGTTCCCTCTACATGCCAGTATCTGCTCTCTTCTTTTTTTCTCCCTTACTTCTTTCCTTGTTCTGCAAATTCTTTCCCTTTAAGTGAAAATCTTTCCGTGTTCTCCAAGGGAGATAAATTCTATGCCAAGCTTGAGTGTGGGGTCCTCTGCTTGGATAGCTGTCTTCTCCAGGAGATGAGGTAGAACTGAGATAGTGGGGGTCTCTGCAGGCAGTCTGTGCCCCTGGCAAGCCCCTCACCTTAACCTGAGGCTGGGTGGGGAAAGATGCCTTGATGGAGTCAGAACAGAAAGCAAGTGATCGCTGCCTGAACCAAGCAGTCACTTTCCTGGAGGTGAAACCTAGAAACGGTCCCTCAGGCTGGGTCCAGGGAGGTGGACTTGGGTCCCAGGGGCAGGAAGCAACCTGCCCCTCACCTGCTCCTACCTCTTTGTAGCCTATCTTGGCAACCAGAAGTAGGTATACAAGTGACGTTGAAGCTGGGCATGTTAACAATGGTGTGAGCCCGCCTGACTCCAATCTGGTCCAGCTGTACTGGCCGTGCATCCTCATCTCCAGCCCCCAGGGTCAGCCCAGCGGCTGTAACAATGGTCTGTCCCCTCCCCGCCCCACCCACTTCTTTGAACTCCTCCAAGGATCTGTGATGATAGGGCTGTCACTGTCTTAGCTTCCACCATTCAAGCTTAACCGGCCTTCTTCCCCTCCATGGAGAACGGAAGAGCAACCCCTCATTGCCTCTGGCAGCTGACCAGCAGGTCCCTGCCTTCTGCCCACTCCCAGGTCTAGGACAATGAGGTGAGAGGTAGACAGGACCAAGTTCCCCAGTGCTGTCTTCTAGGTCCACCTATCATGAGAGCCGTGATTCCTAGTTTTTATCACCCTCTCCCCAACTTTGCCAGCTCTCCACTTCTGGCAGTGGTGGCTGCCCATGACTTCACCTTCCCGTGCCTCAGTTTCCTCATCTGTAAAATAAGGACAGCCATGGTAATGAGAGTTCTGGTCAATATGCCAGGCACCTCGCTTGCATCAATTTAGCTCATCCTTTCAGTGCCCTGAGGGGTGGGTACTGTTATCATCCCGTGTAACAAAAAGAGAAAACCGAAACAGAGAGAGAGACTCACTATCTGAGGTCTTGCACCCCTCAAGCAACAAAAGTGGGATTTCAGCCTAGGCTATCTAGATTCGGAGTCCACGGTCTCAATGAATAATAACAACAATAATAATATTGTCCTAATCTGATGAGTTTTTGATCAGATTCAATACAAGAGCATAGGCAGAAAAGCTTAGCCCAGTGCCCAGCACATGGTAAGAACTCAGCATGTTATTTATAATAGTAATAAACCATTTTATGTTATGTAATTATATATTCATAGATAAATATAGTTGACTCTTGAACAACATAGGGGTTGGGGCAATGACCTCCTGTGCAGTCAAAAATGTGTGTGTAACTTTTTTTCTCTATTTTTTAGAAATTTTAAAATTAGAGACAAGGTCTCGCTTTTGTTGCTCAGGTTGATCTCGAACTCCTGGGCTCAAGTGATCCTCCTGCCTCAGCCTCTCAAAGTGCTAGGATTACAGGTGTGAGCCCCCGCACCCAGCCTGTGTATAACTTCTGACTCCCCCAAAGCTTAACTACTAACAGTCTATTCTTGACCAGAAGCCTTACCAGTAACATAAACAGTCGATGAAGACAGATTTTATATGTTATATGCATTATATACTGTATTCTTACAATAAAGTAAGCTAGGGAGGAGAAAGTATTATTTTAAGAAAATCATAAGGAAGAGAAAATATATTTACTATTCATTAATTGGAAAGGGATCATTATAAAGGTCTTCATCCTCATTGTCTTCACATTAAGTAGGCTGAAGAAGAGGAGGAGTTGGTCTTGTTGTCTCAGGGGTGGCAGAGGTGGAGGTGGAAGGGGAGGCCAGAAAGACAAGCACGCTTGGTGTAACTGTTATTGGAAACAAATCTACATAAGTGGACCCATAAAATTCAAACCTGAGTTGTTCAGGGGTCAACTATATATGCTACAAATACGTAATATGCTAATATAGTTGTATGTTATTGTTATAGTACGGGGATCAGAAAATGTTTTCTGCAAAGGATTAGCTAGAAAATGTCTAGTAAATACTGTCTCTTTGGGACCACTCTACTCTGCCATTATAGCAAAGGCAGCTACAGGCAATACGTAAATGAATGGGCATGGCCATTTGCCAATAAAACTTTGTTTACACAAACAAGCCATGGGCCAGAGTTTGTCAACGGCTGGTATAGTATATGTTATTATATATTAGCTTTACTTTTTCTGTTGCTTTGTTTATGTTCTTCTTTGCCCTTCCTTTCTTAAAGGCCAGCCTTTCTTTCTCTCTGTTGGTCTGTCTTTTAGGACAGCATGGCAGGCCACTGGGACATGGGCTCTCCTGACTCCAGGCTTGTTTGTCTGATAAGACATGAAGAGTGAAGGTGGCAGGACTCTGAGCTCAGGCCTGTCCTCCTCCTCTTCCCTCTCTTCGTTTTTTCTTTCCTCTTTCCTCTTTTCTTCCCAAGCTCCAGAAGTTGCCATTTTCCTTTCCCATTGCTGATTTTCTCTGCCTTGGGAGAAAGCCCGAGAAGATCACTTGGAAAAGCCCACGAGCATCTCTGGCCTCACTCACCCAGCTCCTGCCATTGTCTTTACTCTTCCTCAGACACACCAGGCACAGTCCTACCTCAGGGCCTTTGCACTGGCTGTTTCCTCTGTCTGCATTGTTCTTCTCTCAGGTGACCTCATGGCTTCTCCCTCCTCTCCTTCAGGACTTCACTCAAAGGCCACCTTCTCAGCATTTGCCTCCCGCCCTTCTGCCTTATTTTCCCCTTTGGAACTTTTCACCTTCTTACTTACTCATCTGTCTGCTATCTGTCACCCTACATCACTATGATCTCCACAAGGGAAGGTGATTTTATTCGTTTTTTGTTCTGTTTTGTTGAAGATGAGGTTTTGCTCTTGTTACCCAGGCTGGAGTGTGGTGGCACGATCTGGGCTCACTGCAACCTCCACCTCCCGGATTCAAGTGAGTCTCCTGCCTCAGCCTCCTGAGTAGCTGGGATTACAGGCACCCACCACCATGCCTGGCTAATTTTTGTATTTTTAGTACAGATGGGGTTTCACCATGTTGGCCAGGCTGATCTCAAACTCCTGACCTCAGGTGATCCACCCACCTCAGCCTTCCAAAGTGCTGGGATTACTGTGAGCCACCACACCTGATCTTTTGGTTTTACCCACCAATGTGGACTAGAACAGCCTAGATCAGCAGGTGGCATGCAGTAAGCAGTTGATAAATATGTGTTGGATGAGTGAGCACTGTGGCTTCTGTCATTCTGTTGCTCAATAGCATTCATCTGGAAATAACCACAGTTTGTTTATCCATTTACCTGTTGATTGGCATTTCTGTTGATTCTCGTTTGGGCCATTATGAACAAAGCTGCTGTGAAATACTTATACCTTTGCCCAATTCTTCACTTGGTGAACCCTTATAAATCCTTTAGGCCAGGTGTGGTAGCTCACGCTTGTAACCCCAGCACTTTGGGAAGCCGAGGTAGGAGGATCGCTGGAGGCCAGGAGTTCAAAACCAGCCTGGGTAACATAGCAAGACCCGTCTCTACAAAAAAATAAAAAATTGGCTGGACGTGGCAATGCATGCCTGTAGTTCCAGCTACTTAGGAGGCTGAGGTGGGAAGAGTGCCTGAGCCCAGGAGTTCAAGACCGCAGTGAGTGATCGCGTCCTGCACTCCAGGCTGGGCGATAGAGTGAGACCCTGTCTGTAAAAATGACAGCAACAACAACAATAATAAAACCTTTAGGTTTCCTCTTAAAAGGAACATCCTTAGAGCTTTTCCTGACCCAGCAACTCACCCCAAGTCTGAATTAGACTTCACCCCATTTCTTTCATAACATTTATCACAATGACATGTTTATTTTGTGGGGGCGGGTGGCATTCTGGCCAGAACTGTCGACTTCCAGAGTGAAAATACGGAAGAACCAAATAAAACACAACACACACATTTGCACAGCAGCTCGAGGGAGGTGCTTAGTTCTTTGAGTTTCCAAGAACAGAGAGACGAAGATTTGTCTGGGGAGGAAAAATCAGGGACTGCTTCTTGGAGGAGGTGGACTGTTGCTGCCCCATCCACCCACACATTTGCAGATGTGGTGATGAGAAGATGACTGTCACGAGGTCTCTGAGCCCAGGGGGCCCATGGTTGAGTGCAAAGATAGTGGGGTTGACAAATAATCGTCGTATAACAAAAGAAAAGCCACCACAGTTGCATAATGGAAAGGCGGCTTCTATAGAACATTCAGATCATAGTTGAAGGCATGTCACACTGTGTTACTCAGAGGCCACTGTCAGAGCCAAAAGTGAGAGTGGATGAGAGTTTGGGCAGGAAACAACTGAACCAGATACAGCATCACCTCCATGAGGGCTCAGCTTTATCTATTTTGTCTTCTGTTGCATCCCCAGCCCTTAGAACACTGCCTGGTCCATCTTTGCTGTGTGAATAATAATAAGGAACGATCGCTGTGTTGAGTTTGGGCTGTGAATTCAGACAGTTTGCTGCTGCATACCTGATTATGAGTCTCAGTTTTCCTCCTCCATAAAATGGGCAAAACAGTCCTTGCCTCATGGGGCTGTGCATTTGTTTAGCAAACACTGAAGGAGTATACATGGTGGCCAAGGCACTCTTCAAGACACAGGAAGCAGACAAAAGTCCCTGCCCTCTGGGAGCTTACATGCTCATGGGGAGAGATGTATGATAAGAAACAAAAATAGTAGGTAAGTTGCATAGTACTTTAGAAGATTATAAGGGTAATGGGAAGAGAACAGCAGAGAAAGGGCTGGGGAGGCAGTTGCTGTATTAGATAGAGCTTTATCGAGGCGATGGCATTGGAGCCAAGACTTGAGGAAGCTGTGAGGATGTCTAGAGAAAGAAGGAACAGCTGGTGCAAAGGCCCTGAGGTAGGGGTATATGTGACATGTGTGACAGTGAGGAGGCAGATGTGGCTGAAGCCAGTGAGCAAGAGAGAGGGAAGGTGCAAGGATAAGGACAGAGAGGTGACGGGACAGGTTTTGGAGGGCCTTATGGGCTGCGGGGAGGACTTTGGCTTTTGCTCTGAGGGAGCTGGGAGCCACGGAGGGCTTTTGAGCAGAGGAGGGACGTGACCTGACTCAGATATTCATAGGCTCCTCTGGCTGCTGTGAAAAGAACAGACTTTGAAGGTTGGGGGCAGGCAGGGCAGAAGCTGGGGAATTAGGAAGGAGGTGACAGTGTTGGTCCTGGCAGGTAATAGTGGGGGTGGAACCAGGTTGTTGTCTGTGGAGATAATAATGAGTGGCTGGATTCTGGTTATAATTTTTAAGTTTTTTTATTGTGATAAAATGAATTTTTTTATTGTGATAAAATGAAATTTACCACTTTGAGGTGTGCAATTCCACAGCACTTACTACAGTCACCCTGTTATGCAACAGTCACCTCTATTTAATCTCAGAACATTTCATCCCCCCTAAAGGAAACCCTGCACCCATTAGTAGTTACTTCCAGTTTCTCCCTTCCCCCAGCTTCTGGAAACTACTAATTCTGGATATAAGTTGAAAGTTGACCAGTAGGATTTCTAGGCAGACAGGTGGTGAGGGCTCAATGCATTCATGCACAGAAAGTACTCAGGTGGCATATCATAGGTGCTCAAAACTGAAATGGTGATGATGAGTTGGCAATGATGGTGAGTCCTTCCAGAATCCCTGCTCTAGTGCTAAACTGACCTACCTGGCTGTGTAGAATTCTCACCTGCTGGCCGGGAGGGTGGCAGAACCAGGATCCCTTCTTACTTCCAGTCTGGCTTGGGTTAGGGATAGGGGAGGAATGATCAGAAGAACCAAGCTAGCACCATCTGTTCTGGAACATCATCCAACTCTTGTCCAGATTTCCCAGAACTGAGCAGGAAAATGTCCAGGGAGGAACAGTGCAGCTGATGGAAGTCCTGGTAAGCCCTGGCCCCAGCTTCCTGAGCTGCTGTTGCACCAACTAGCATTTGTTGGACCTTCAGTCTGAGCCAAGATGGCAGCTTCAGAGGAAGAACAAGAAGTGTACAAGTTTCTTTCATGGTTGTGTCCCCGCCTCCTTATATAGCCTCATATAAACCCCTGCACTATCCCGTTACTGTTTGCCTCTCCCTGAAAAGAGTGTAAAACTCCCCCACTTTTTCCCTACTTTTCACAATGTGTTTTGGTTTCTAAAGATGAAACTCCTTTAATTATGTTCTGGTTGTAATTTTCTGGCTCCTTTTATTTCTCCCTTACTTGATGTATTATTTTCCCTTGTTCCTTCTGCCCCCTGCCTCCATTGATGTTTCTCTTCACTGCTATCTAGATTTAATTCTCAACTCCTGCCAAGTTCAGGGTGATAGTGCAAAAAGACATGGACCATTTAGTCTTGAATTCAGGTCCCACTTCTGACACCTTCAAAGCTGCTTTACTTTGGGCAAGTCATATGATCTTCCTGAGGGGGTATCCTTTACCTTGTTCAGCTAACATTTCTTGTTTTTCTCTGGGCACAGAGTAGAGTGTCATTTTCCCCACCTCCCTGAAGTTAGGTATGGCTGTGTGATTTGGTTTCATCAATGAAATGTGAGGGGAAGTGACGTGAGTCCTTCCGGACAGAAGCCTTAAGGGTGAGCATGGGATTCACCATGTTTCCTTTTTCCTGCCTCCACTGTCATGGATGCACAAAGATGGACCCTCTCTCAAAGTAAGTGCTGGAGAGAGGATGACATAGATCAGTCCCCATCCCACTTCATAGCATGAGTAGAAAAATAGACCTGGGGTGTGTTCAACCACTGAGATCTGGGGATTGTTTGTTACTGCAGCAGGACATAGACTAGGCTGACTGTATACCTCATTATCTGCATTTTGGGGCTGATATCTAATCACAGTGTCTCCAGGAAGATTATGTTGATGTATGTTTTAGGGATGGATATTCATATTTTCCTATAAGGGCTCAATAGGTTTGGAAATGTCACATGCATGTAAACTTCTGATTAACAAATATTTCTTGCTTTCCAATTTCTTCCTATAGTGCTTCTAATTTTCCTGTTTTTCAATCTTGAATAAAATGTGAGAAGTGTTTGACTTCTCCTTCGAGGAGATTAATGGTTTCTAAAGCCTGGGGCATTGATTTAGTCATTCTCAACCTCCTTGTTTCTATGACCTTTTTTTCTCCTTCTCTGGTCACTTAGTGTCTGCTAAGGGGTGAAGGAATGTCTGTTTTAACTCATTGCATTTTTTTTTTTTTTGAGACGGAGTCTCCCTCTGTTGCCCAGGCTGGAGTGCAGTGGTGTGATGTTGGCTCACTGCAACCTCTGCCTCCTGGGTTCAAGTGATTCTCCTGCCTCAGCATCCCAAGTAGCTGGGACTACAGGTGTCTGCCACCACTCCCGGCTAATTTTTGTATTTTTAGTAGAGACGGGGTTTCACCATATTGGCCAGGCTGGTCTCGAACTCCTGACCTTGTGATCCGCCCGCCTTGGCCTCCCAAAGTGCTGGGATTACAGGCGTAAGCCACCACACCTGGCAAACTCTTTGCATTTTTAACTCTTGACATCTTCATCTTCTTTTTCCCACCTCCCCTTTGCCTGTTCCTCCCCTGCTCACCCCACCAGGGAGTTTATAATCAGGTTCTAGAACCTGCAATGTTTTTCTGTTGTTGTCTTCCATCTTCCTTGAGTCTTATGGGAATCGGCCATAGTCGCAAATTAACAAATAGCTCTGAAGCGCCTCAAGCTTGGAGGCATTTCCTTTTGCTCACCTAAGCAAGATCCTGGAGCTGTTGCAAATATCCTGCCCCCTACTGTAAATCTGTCTTCATGGTTGTAAGAGATTCAGTCGGGGTCAGTGAAGACCCGAGCAGGAGATCTTGGCCGAGGCTCCTTGATGTTCTGTCTGCGCTGGGTGTTGTCATATTGATTAAGCTCCTGGGACTGCTGCCAGCAGCCTCTAGGATTAAATCAATAGAGTTTGCAAAAGTAAAAGCTTCTTTTGGAGACACAGAATATGTGGGTTTATTTTTTAATGATAAAGCTTCAAGGAGAATCTTCATGGATGGCAGAACCAGTGATGGAAAAGGCGAGGCAGACCCAAATATTTGGGGAAGTGCAGTGGGGAGCAAGTGAGGGAGGTTTCATTGGGAGGCCGGGGCTTTCCAGAAAATCTGTTTAACTGGAGTTGCTAATGCAACAGCTCAGAGTTAGAAGTGAAGGTGGAAGATGCAAGAAGGACTGCCGCTGAGATGTAAAGAGAAATGAAGGAGAGGTGGATCCATTTGCTCATTCAATAAACATTTTGGGAGGCAGGGGGGTGGGGGGGAGCCTGCCATGTGCCTGGAACTGGGATGTACATGGTGGGGACATGACAGTGGGCAGGACAGATGTGGTTCCTCCTGGCCCTCCTGGAACTTGTAACAGGAAAAGAAGGCATAAAATAAGGAATAGGCAAATACAGACATAATTACTAATTGTGGTAAGTGTTTGGGAGAAAACCAGCAGGGTCCTGTGTTTGTTTCCTAGGGCTGCCAGGACAAATTGCCATGAACTATATGGCTTAAAACAACATAAATATATTGTCACCCAGTTCTGAAGGCTGGAAGACCAAAATCAAGGCATCAGCAGTGCTGAGCTCCCTTGGACGGCTCTAGAGAAGAATGCTTCCTTGATTCTTCCAGTTTCTGGTAGTTGTTAGCATACATTGGCTTGATTGGCTTGTGGCTGCATCACTGCAGTCTCTGCCTCTGTCTTCACATGGCCTTCTCCTTCATGTCAGTGTCTTCTCTTCCTCTTCTCTCTCTCTCTTTTTTTTTTTTTTGTCAGGGCCTCACTCTGTCACCCTGTACAAGAGTACAGCAGTGCAATTATAGCTCACTGCAACTGCTGCTTCCCAGCATCAAACAATCCTCCCACCTCAGCCTCCTGAGCAGCTGGGACTTACAGGCGTGCACCACCATACTCAGCTAATTTTTAAATTTTTGATAGAGATGGGATCTCACTATATTGCCCAGACTGGTCTTGAACTTCTGGGCTCAAGTGATCCTCCCTCCTCAGCCTCCCGAAGTGCTGGGATTACAGGTGTGAGCCACTGCACCTGGCCTCTTCTGTCTCTTATAAGGATCTTTGTCGATGGATTTTGAGCCCGTCAGATAATCCAGGACAATCTCATCTTGAGATCTCTAATTTAATTATACTTGCAGAGGCCGTTTTACTAAATAAGGTCATGGCCAGAGGCTCCAGAGGCTAAAGCATGGGTATGATTGCACCACTGCACTTTAGGCTGGGTGACAGAGCAAGGCCCCATCTCTGAAAAATAAAATAAAATAAGTAACCTACTACAGGCCCTTTGCGTAGAGGATAATTAGAAGTACAGGGGTACCACGTAAGTGAAGACCTGAAGGTTGTTAAGCACAGAGCAGAGTGTGAACAGAATGAGACAGAGGGAGGAAGAGAATCCCAGGCAGAGGGAACAGCATGTGCAAAGGCCCTGGGGAAGGAACAAGTTCATCATGTTAAAAATGAGCCAGTGTAGCTAGAGTCTGATGAGCAAAGGGACTCACAGGTGGGAAGACACCCAAGAAGTTGGCAGAGACAGGTCACACAAGACCTTCTAGGTCAAGTTCCGGAGGTGAACTTTATTCTACATGCAATGAGAAGTCCTCAGAGAAGCTTAAGTGGGATGGGACAGAACTGCTTTACTTTAAATATATATACATATATACAAACATATAATATTACATATATAAAGCATATATATGTATACATATATACATATCTATCTACCTGTCTATATATTTTTTAGCTGGGCATGGTGGCTCACACCTGTGATCCTAGCACTTTGGGAGGCTGAGGTGGGAGGATCACTTGAGCCCAGGAGTTCAAGACCAGCCTGGGCAACATAGGGAGACCCCATCACTACAAATAAAAATAAAAATTAAAAATTAGCTGGGTGTGATAGTGTGCACCTGTAGTCCCAGCTACCCGGGAGGCTGAGGTAGGAGGATTGCTGGAGCCCCAAAGGTTGAGGCTCCAGTAAGCCGTGATTGTGCCCCTGCACTCTAGCTTGAGCAACAGAGTGAGATCCTGTCTCAATAAAATAATTTTTGTATTGAGGTGAAATTCATGCAACATAAGTTAACCATTTTAAAATGAGCAATTCAGTGGCATTCAGCGCATTCACAATATTGTACAACCTCCACCTCTTTCTAGTGCTGAAATATTTTCATCACCACCCCTCCAGAAAACCCTGTATCCATGAGGCAGTTGCTCCTCATCCTCCCCTCCCGGTATCCCCCCAACCCCCACCACTCCTGGTAACTACAAATTTGTTTTCTGTTTCTATGGATTTACCTATACTGGCTCTTTCATATAAATGAATTCAGGCACTGTGTGACCTTTCGTGTCTGGCTTCTTTCACTTAGCATAATGCCCTGGCTTCTCTCTGGAGAATGAAATGGATAGACCACTTTGGAGTCTACTGAGATTATAGATATTTCTGTGGGAAGGGACAGTGGCTTGACCTTGGGTGGTGCTGAAGAGGCAATGCTGAGCAGGAGGATTCAAAGTCTAATTTCGGAAGTAGAATTGGTGGGGTCTGATGATACATCAGCTGTAGGGGGAGGAAGATGTAGGAACTGGGAAGGTCTCTTAGGGTAACCTTACCTGATTGAGCTCCTTACTAGGCAGCTGGTGGTACAATTCATAACAAAGGTTAATAGAGAAAGAGACATGGGATTAGGGAGGGAATGGAAGAGTTTGGGCCTTGGACACTGTAGTGGTTTGAATCCTGTCCACCAAAAATTCAGATGCATTTGGAACTTCAGAACCTGAGACCTCATTTGAAAGTAGGATCTTTGCAGATGTCATTGAGTCAGGGATTGAGATGAGGTCATCCTGGATTACAGTGGACTCGAGATTCCATGGTAAGTGCTTTTATATGAGAAGGTACAGGGGAGAAAGTCATGTGGCAATAGAAGCAGAGAATGGAGTGCTGCAGCCACAAGCCAAAAGACATGTAGAGGCACCAAAAGCGGGAAGAGGCAAGGAAGGATCCTCCCCTAGAGCCTTTGAAGGGAAACCCCCTAATTTCAGAACCTTGCCTCCAGGATGACGAGAGAATAAATTTCTGTTGTTTTAAGCCACCCAATCTGTGGCAATTTGTCATGACTGCCCTAGGAGACTAATATAGACACTCCTATGAGATGCTCTAAGAAGACACAGAGTGGTATAGCTATTGCTAAGACCACACACTGTAGCAGGGAGGAAATCAAATGGAGAAATGCCCCAACTCCCCCTCCTCTCTGATCTCTTGCTGGTGCCTCCCGTTGGCCAAGCCAACCCAGAAGGCAGAAGATGTGGTGGAGGGCAGCGTTGCAGGGCTTGGATGATGCAGTCACAGAAGTCAGCCCTGCCTCTACCAGGATGCCAAACAGGGCAATGAGTGGATATTTTAGGGAGAAAGGGCAACAAGAGAATGGCAAAATACATCGAAATGCATGCAAGCTCTAGAAAGAGGATAGAGATAGATAAAGGGTGATTACCTAGGATTAAGCCCCAGGGAAGACCAACATTTAGAGATTGGATAGAAAAAGAGGAGCAAAAAGGGAAGATTGAGAAGTAGAGACCAGGAGGATAGGAGGAAAACTAGAACAACATTAAGAAGGGCATGGTCAAGTAATCTGGGCACAGAAAAATGGCCCTGGGATTTGGCAGCCTGGGGGTCTTTGGTGATCCTCTTTGGAAGAGTTTTGGTTGAGTGATGGGGGCTAGAAACCAGCCTGGGGAGGGTAGGAGAAGAATGTGCAGTGAGGAAGTGGCAGGAACACGTGAAGGCAACTCTTCATGAAGGGGAGTAGAGAAATTGGTTGGTGGCTGAAGGAAAATTTTCAGTCAAGGGTGGAGGTTTTAATGATGGAAGAATATTGATTTCTGTAAATTGGGTCATTCCCATCCATTATACCAATATGCACGGGTGTCTTCTCTGATATAGGATGCTGGGATTCTCAAATGCCCATTTGAGTTTAGCATCATGAATTTAATGTCACCAGCCCAGATAGTTGATCTCATTCAGGAATGCTCCACTGCCCAGGTATGGGGAAGGCAACTAGTTGAGTTCATGCAGGGATGGATTTTTTCCAGGAGAGAAACAGGAGGCAAGAAAGTGCGATATAATCAACCTATGTAAGGTTGACAAGGCAGGAGAGGGTCCTGAGAAATGGCGGGGTCAGTGGGTTGCAGGGCTCGATGGGATGGACGTTGGTTTGCATTTAAGGGAGTTAGTGAGCTGGGAGGTGGTTAAAGAGGAGGTGGTTCAGCCGGGCGCGGTGGCCCACACCTGTAATCGCAGCACTTTGGGGAGCCGAGGCGGGCGGATCACAAGGTCAGGCGATCGAGACCATCCTGGCTAACACGGTGAAACCCTGTCTCTACTAAAAATACAAAAAAAAAAAAAAAAATTAGCCAGGCGTGGTGGCGGGCGCCTGTAGTCCCAGCTACTCAGGAGCCTGAGGCAGGAGAATGGCGTGAACCCGGGAGGCGGAGCTGCTGTACTCCAGCCTGGGCGACAGGGCGAGACTCCGTCTCAAAAAAAAAAAAAAAAAAAAAAAAAAAAGAGGTGGTTCAAGACAAGGATGCTGGAAACAGGTGTTTTGGAGGTGGCTGGTGTAGCTTCTGAGCATGCATAGCTGGAGTGGCTTGGAGGAGACATTGGTTATTGATGAAGAGGTAGGGACATCCTCCAGTGATCAAGGAAGCAGGGGACCAGCATGGACAATGGTCTCTCCACAGGGAAATTGGAGGTCATCAAATGTTAACAGGTTCCGTCGGAGTCTTAGCTCCCAGCTTCTGTTTTCCTGTGGATCTCAGGATCTTGGCTGCTGGTGCTACCTCTGACTTTGGACTTCCCATTGAGCCCAGCAGCACTGGGAGGGACCTTCATGGCATTGGCTGGTTTAAGGAAGACTTCCTTGGCTTTGCTGACTTTCTTGGGGGCCTTCTTGGCTACACCTGCTTTTGAGGGAGCCCTCCTCACCTCACCTGACTTCTTGGGGGCACCTTTTCCACCTTATCTGAGTTGGGAAGGTCTTTCTTTGATTCTCTTGCTTTCTTGGGGCCCTTCTCACTGGTTTTTCTGGGGGCCATGATGGTGGACATATTCCAGAGCTGAGCTTTCCTTTTGTTCTTAGGAACTAATTTGAGGCTGCCAGTGGCCCCACCTTGGTCTTAGAGTTGATGGTCTGCAGGGAATTTCCAGGTTAAAGGTTTTTTATTTGTTTGTTTAATTTTGAGACAGAGTCTTGCTCTGTCACCCAGGTTGGAGTGCAGCGGCACGATCTTGGCTCACTGCAGCCTCCGCCTCCTGGGTTCAAACAGTTTTCCTGCCTCAGCCTCCTAAGTAGCTGGGATTACAAGCACGCACCACCATGCCCAGCTAACTTTTGTATTTTTAGTGGAGACAGGGTTTCACCATGTTGACCAAGCTGGTCTCAAACTCCTGATCTGAAGTGATCCGGCCACCTTGGCCTCCCAAAGTGCTGGGATTACAGGTGTGAGCCACTGCGCCTGACCTCCAGGTTTAAGTTTAAACCATGAAGTAGATGGACTGTGTAGAGAGAGACCAGGGAAATGGAGGATTTTACTGACCACTGAACAGGGATGTCACTATTGCCAGAGAGGAAAAGGATTCCCCCTTGGTAGAGTGAACATATAAGGGAAAGTGGTTGAAAATTGAATCAGGAGACAGAGACCTCACACCACTCAGAGGTCCCTAGAGAACTTTACTGACCTAGAAAAAAAGATAAACAGGGAGAAGGTCTTCAGTTCTTGTTTGGAATCTGACACTGAAGCATCCTCACTCCTCACTCTCTTCCCGACCCCGAGAGTCTGAAATTGATTAATACTTTTTGTTTAAAACTTGGCTTGTTGTTTTGTTTTTTCTTTCTGTTTTCATCAAGGGATCTTTATTTTACTTTTGTGTATTTGTGTGTTTTCCATGAGTCATGTTAATTCTTCCATGTTTAAACTTTTTGGCCCAGAGGAATTTATACATTTAAATTATGGATTTAATTTCAGAAGGTACATACACACACACACACACACACTCACTCATCTCACTTTTTAAAAACTGTAAAATATAGCCCTGTAAATATCCAGAAAATATCTAATGTGGGCCGGGTATGGTGGCTCATGCCTGTAATCTCAGCACTTTGGGAGGCCGAGGTGGGTGGATCACCTGAGGTCAGGAGTTCGAGACTAGCCTGGCCAACGTGGTGAAACCCTATCCTCACTAAAAATAAAAAAATTAGCTGGGCATGGTGGCAGGTGCCTGTAATCCCAGCTACTCGGGAGGATGAGACAGGAGAATCACTTGAACCCAGGAGGCAGAGGCTGCAGTGAGCCGAGATCACCCCACTGCGCCCCAGCCTGGGCGACAGACTGAGACTCTGTCTCACAAAAAAAAAAAAAGAAAAGAAAAAGTCAGTGTGCATCCCCTCTGACATCCAGCAACTTCACATCTTGGAATTTATGCTGCAGGAAAATTATCACAAGTGCACAAGGATGTATGGTGAGATAGTTATTATTATCATTTTAAAAGATAGGGTCTCACTGTGTCACCCAGGCTGGAGTGCAGTGAAGTGATCACAGCTCACTGCAGCCTTGACCTTCTGGGCTCGAGTGATCCTCGTGCCTCAGCCTCCCCAGTAGCTGGGATTACAGGTGTGAGCCACCATGCCTGGCATCCCCCTTTTTTTAAAAAAAGGTTTTAATTATGAAAAGAATATGGGCTTGTTGTTTTGTGTGGTTTTTTAAAAGCTTAAAAAATGTGTAGTGTGTCATTTAGAAGGTGAAAAGCCCTTACCCCATCCCACCTCCCAGAGATAACCTCTGCTAGCAATTTCGTGTTTGTCTTTCAAATTTTTTCCCACACACATTCTTTGTACTGGCTGCTTCCCCTCCTGGGTTACTCTTCTCCCAGACAGAAACAGGGCTCATTCCCTTGCCTCCTCCAGCTTTTATTAAAACATTAACTTCCCTGTAGCTGGATGCAGTGGCTCACGCCTGTAATCCCAGTGTTTTGGGAGGTGGGGAGGCAGGAGGATAGCTTGAGCCCAGGAGTTTGAGACTAGCCTGGGCAACATAGCGAGACCCATCTCTACAAATAAATAAATAAATAAATAAATAAATAAATAAATAATGGAAATTTAAAAGAGAGAGGGAAGGACTCTTGAAAACCGTCCATATCATGCTTCTCTAAATGGTTGAGGGCTCAGAGGAAAAAAAATCAGCAATTTCACATCACGGAATTTATTCTGCAGAAAAATTCTCACAAGTGCACAAGGATGCGTGGTCAGATGATGATGATGATGATTATTATTATTATTATTGAAGAAAGTAGCAGCAGCAGCAGCAGTATTTTAAAAGACAGAGTCTCGGATGGGCATGGTGGCTCACGCCTGTAATCCCAGCACTTTGGGAGGTTGAGGTGGGCAGATCACTTGAGGTCAGGAGTTCGAGACCAGTCTGGCCAACATGGTGAAACCCCAACTCTACTAAAAATGCAAAAATTAGCCAGGTATGGTGGTGGGTGCCTGCAGTCCCAGCTACCAGGGAGGCTGAGGCACGAGAATAGCTTGAACCCAGGAAATGGAGGCTGCAGTGAGCCAAGATCGTGCCACTGCACTCCATGCACTCCAGCCTGGGTGCTGACCCAGGTTAGGTGCAAGACTCCGTCTTAAAAAAAAAGAAAAGGAAAAAAAAAAAAAAAGGACAGAGCCTCACTGTGTCGCCCAGGGTAAAGTGCAATGAGTAAAGGCCCATGATGGGAACCCTGAGGAGAGAGTCAAGGGGAAAGAAAAAAAAAAAAGCAAAACCAAAATGGAATTTAAAAAAAATCAGGTGCAATTTGCATAACAGAAAATTAACCATTTTAAAGTGAACGGCTCTGTGGCATTTACTGCACTCCAACTGTTATGTAACTACCACCTCTGTCTAGCTCCAGAACATTTTCACCACCCCTAAAGGAGACCTTGTACCCATTAAGCAGTCTCTCTCCTTCTCCCCTCCCCACCACCTTCCTCCAGCCTCTGGCAACCACCCATCTGCATTCTGTCTCTATGGATTTACCTATTCTAGGTAGTCAACAGGATGAGATATCCCAAAAGTCCATCCATGGATGAACAGATAAACCAAGTGTGATATGCCTTCCTCAGATATTAGTCTGCCTTAAAAAGGAATGAAATACTAATCTTTGCTACAACATAGATGAACCTCAAAAATATGATGTGGCTGGACACAGTGGCTTACACCTGTAATCCCAGAACTTTGGGAGGCTGAGGTGGGCGGATCGCTTGAGCCCAGGTGTTCAAGACCACCCTGGGTAACATAGCAAAACTCCATCTCTACAAAACAATTTACAAAAAACTAGCCAGGTGTGGTGACATGTGCCTGTAGTCCCAGCTATTCAGGAGACTGAGGCGAGAGGATCGATTGAGCCCAGGAGGCCGAGGCTGCAGTGAGCCATGATCATACCACTGCACTCCAGCCTAGGCAACAGAGTGAGACCCTATCTCAAAAAACAAAACAAAACAAAACAAAAAAGTTGATGCTGAGTGAAAGAAGCCAGACACAAAAGGCAACATCGTGTTTAATTCCATTTACATGAAATGTCCAATGAAGATTTTTTTTGGCAACATTTATTTTGAGTATAATATTCAGTGAGTGGACCACACATATGCATGCACTGCAGTATGTTCTTGGAAACATTTCAGATTTGAGAGGTCTGTTCAGCTATGATGACGGTAGGTATTGTCCCTTCCCTCCCTCCTTGAAGAAAAGGAACTAAGGCTGGACGCGGTGGCTCATGCCTGTAATCCCAGTACTTTGGGAGGCTGAGGTGGGCAGATCACTTGAGGTCAGGAGTTCAAGACTAGCCTGGCCAACATGGTGAAACCATGTCTCTACTAAAAAATACAAAAAATTAGCCAGGTATGGTGCTGCACGCCTGTAGTCCCAGCTACTCGGGAGGCTGAGGCAGGAGAATTGCTCGCACCCAGGAGGTGGAGGCTGCAGTCAACCGAGATTGCACCATTGCACTCCAGCCTGGGTGGCAGAGCAAGACTCTGTCTCAAAAAGAAAAGAGAAGAGAAGAGAAAAGAAAAGAAACCAAAAGAAAAGGAAAGAAAAGAAAAGGAACCAAGACCTAGAAGGGCAAAAATAGGAAAAGTTGGCCGGGCGCAGTGGCTCACGCCTGTAATCCCAGCACTTTGGGAGGCCAAGGTGGGCAGATCACAAGGTCAGGAGATCGAGACCACCCTGGCTAACACGGTGAAACCCCGTCTCTACTAAAAATACTAAAAATTAGCCGGGCGCGGTGGCAGGCGCCTGTAATCCCAGCTACTCGGGAGGCTGAGGCAGGAGAATGGCGTGAACCTGGGAGGCGGAGCTTGCAGTGAGCCGAGATAGCACCACTGCAGTCTGGCCTGGGCGAAAGAGCAAGACTCGGTCTCTAAAAAAAAAAAAAAAAAAAAAATTGGAAAAGTTATTTACTATTAGCAGCAATTGTCATAAAGTAATGAACATTTATTGCATGATTACAATGAGATAAATTGTATCCTGTTTTTATAAGCATATTAAGTTTTCTTTTTTAAAAAAATGTATGTATTTATTTATTTTAAGAGATAGGGTCTTGCTCTGTTGCCCAGACTGGAGTGCCATGGTATGATCATAGCTCAATGCAGCCTCAAATTCCCAGGTTCAAGCAATCTTCTTGCCTCAGTCTCTCGAGTAGCTAGGACTACAGGCATGTGCCAACATGCCTGGCTAGTTTTCTTATTTTTAAATGTATTTTTGTAGAGACAGGATCTTGCTGTGTCGCCCAGGCTGTCCTCAAACTCCTGGCCTCAAGCGATCCTCTGCCTTGGCCTCCCAAAGGGCTGAGATGATAGGCATCTACCTCTGCATTTGGCCCACATTAAATTTTCTAGTCATCATGGGAACCAAAATAAACAATATAAAACACTCACATTCCTTGAGCACTTACTATATGCAGGGCCCTGTAATAGATTATTGTGTGTATCAGCTCATTCCATTCTCACACAACCTATGAGGTTGATGCTATTTTCTACCTTTTATATATGAGGAAACTGAGGCTCAGAGAAGGAAACTGCCTTGCCCAAGGTCAAGGCCACGTCTGATCCCCAAATCCTTTCAACTCCTCTGCACTACTATTTTTTAGTGCAGATATTGCCAGTTTTCTAAGCAGAAGCATGATTTAGCAGCCCTGAGTAGACTTCTCATTTCAGAACCAAAGTGTTGGACATTGTTGGATAATATGAAAAACAAATGACACACAAACCTATTTGATACTGTTTTTAATTTTCTCTTCATTTGATTTTCCTGATGACATGATTAATCTTTTTTGCCTCTACCCTGTATGTGAAATGTAGGTCTTTGCAGATGTCTCAGAGAGTGTTAATAGTTGCTGCTGGTTTTGTTTTCTCTCCCCGGGGATTCCCATCCCTGGGTGCAAGTGAAATTAAACTTGTGCCTCTTTGCCGCTGGCCGTGGTGCTGAAAACATCCCGGGCAGCGCTAGGGTTGCCCTTGTTAGCATGCCATCCCTGCTAAGAGTCTTAGGCTGATCAGCGAGTGGAGAGATCTTTTCCAGGCTTCATTTTGGTTAGAACTGTGTGTTGAAGATTTTAAAGCCCATGTCTGGGAACTGGAGACTGTTTGGATTGTTTGAAGTTGAAATAGTCATGAATAATTCCTACTTGAGATGGGCTTATGAGGGCGTGGACTAGCATGCAATGGTTGGCCTTTACTAAACTGTGGCCATTGGTTGGGACTTGGGTGAGGTGTAACCCATTTGGTCTAATCCATATGGTTAGGGCCCCAAGTGCACCTGCATTCTATTTTTTTTTTTTTTTAAATAAAGGCAAACCCATCTATCTTCTAACCAGGATAGCTCCTGAGTGGTCTTTGGGGACCACCAGCTTAAAAGCATAGACTGTGGGCTGGGCACAGTGGCTCATACCTGTAATCCCAGCACTTTGAAAGGCCAAGGTGAGAGGATCGCTTGAGCCCAGGAGTTCAAGACCAGCCTAGGCAACATGGTGAGACCCTCATCTCTACAAAAATGTTAAAAGTTAGCCAGGTGTGTTGGCATGCACCTATAGTCCCAGCTACTCAGGAGGCTGAAGTGGGTGGATCGCTTGAGCCTGGGAGGTCAAGGCTACAGTGAGCTGTGATCGTGCCACTGTATTTCACCCTGGGCAACAGAGCAAGACCCTAACTCAAACAAACAAACAAAAAAAGGCATAGACTGTGGAGTTGGGCAGACCTGGGTGTGAGCCCCAGCTCTGCCAGTACCTCCTATGTGACCTTGAAAATTTGTTTAATCTCTCTGAGCCTGGATTTTCTTGTGTGGAAAATGAGGCTTACCACAGAACCCACCTTGTAGAAATGTTGCAAGGAATTAACTGAAACAAAGTGCTTACCACGGTATCTGCCCAAAGAAGCAGTTGGAAACAAGGCAGCTGTAATTATGGTCGCTGTGCTTGTTAATGGCCCCATAATAGTTGATCATATTGCAGAGTGAAATTGGGGTATGTGTTTAATGGACCAAGGAATATGTCTTAAACCCATATATCTAGGGTTCTGGTACCCTCTACTCTTTTTCCTGGTGATTGTGATGAGCATGGAACTTACATGAAAATGAGGTCTGTTTGGCTTCTTCACACAAGCTCAATGACCTGGCTAACTGCTACAAGTATCTGTTTCCTTAGAACCCACCCATCAGCAGTCCCCATAGTGGAGACAAGGTCACAAAGAGTTGACAAACCTGATTTGATTTCCGCACCAACCACAGGAGGCTTGAAATGAGATGAGGGTGAAGGGCACCACAGAGGGATGCAAGGATTACTTGGACACTGCAAGGTCTTGCTAAGGGATGGGAACCATCAGCCACGCCCACTTTGAGAATTTTCCTTCATGTTCTGAATCTGAAGAGCAAGGTCCTGTTCTCAGATGCAAGCCCTCCTTCTTCCCTACGCAGAGTCAAACTTGGTCTTTTCCAGGGTCACATACAGCCTCTCTCTGGGGCCTCTGCAGGTCCTGATCAATTTCATTGTGTATAGAGCTCTGTGTCTCCTCACCTGCCTGCAGGGCTGTCTGCTATCCTGACTTCCGAGAGCCATTTCGGAAGCCAGCTTTTCCTCCCATCAGGGATGCTTCTCTTCTTTCAGCCCCCGCCCCGCTTTGGCCTCCTAGGATGGCTGATTTTTCTGGATCCCGCTGACACAGGTGCTTTCTCTCCGAGCCAATCAGGGAGCAGAAAGGCTCAGCTCAGCTAACAGAGGCATTGCTCACCGCAGCTGTGAGTTAGAACTCAGGCTTTCTAAATCGGGAGGATCAGGCATGACTTGAGGTTGGGCTGAGAAAGCCTCGCCTGCCCCCCAGCTCGACTACCCAGTGAAACCTTTGGCTTCTGCCTCGGGCGAGGCATCTCTTACCATGCCAAGAACTCAGCAGCCCATCTTTCTTTCATCTGGGCACCAAGTACATCATTGCATATTTCAGGGGGTTTCATTGTGTCCTTAACATGCTCATGGAGACTTGGCTTGAGATGAAGTCGGGGTTTCTAGGCAGCAGGACCCATGTCCCCTTCCTTCATTTCCTCCACCGGTGATTTTTGTTTTGTTTTGTTTTGTTTTGTTTTGTTTTGTTTTGTTTTTGAGACGGAGTCTCGTTCTGTTGTCCAGGCTGGAGTGCAGTGGCGTTATCTCGGCTCACTGCAAACTCTGCTTCCCGGGTTCAGGTGATTCTCCTGCCTCAGCCTCCCAAGTAGCTGAGATTACAGGCGTCTGCCACTATGCCCAGCTAATTTTTGTATTTTTAGTAGAGACGGGGTTTCACCATGTTGGCCAGGCTGGTCTCGAACTCCTGACCTCTGGTGATCCACCCGCCTCGGCCTCCCAAAGTGCTGGGATTACAGGTGTGAGCCACCGCACCAGGCCCTTCCACTGGTGTTTTTTGAGCATCTACTATATAGAGAATGCTCTCCTGGGCACAGAGGATGAAGCAGTGAACAAAGTAGACAAAAAATCCCCACGTGCATAGAGTGTGCAGTCTCGTGGGAGAGACAGGGAACAAGATAAAGAAGGAAAAAAATAGCAGATGCTTGACTGGGGACGGGGACTAAAGAAAGAAAAAAATAAGCAGGCTAAGGGGGTTGATGGATGTGACCTTTGAGTAAAGGCCTAAAGGAAGTGAGGGAGGGAGTCATGTGGATGTCTGGGGAAAGACTATTCCAGGAGAATGAACAGCAGGTACAAAGGCCCCTGGGTACAAATGTGCCTGGGGAGTTTGGGGAATAAAAGGGAGGCCGGCGTTGCTGTAGCTGAGTGACTAAGGGAGAGAATAGAGGAGATGAGGGGAGGGAGGTAATGGGAGCAGGTCATGCACCTTGCTGGTGCTGGAAGGACTTTGTTTTTGCTTTTGAGTGAGATGGGATCCATGGGAAGGCTTTGAATACTTCCACATGCATTAGGCTGAAATTTTCTTTTCTGCTTTTGTCGCATTCCAACATTGCTTTTATTTCATCAAAATCTTCGGTTTCTTCTCAGGCTCTTTACCCAAGTGGGAGCAGAAGGCTGGTACCCAGGGCTGTTCAGTTCTCCCCCTGGGGTCAGAACGTGGAGGAGAAAGCTTGGAGGAGAAACAGGAACCCCCACCTCTTTCTGGATGACTCAAAACCGCAATTACCTGAGCTCCTCCTCCTATCCCTGAAATAGAGGCACTTAGCACTTCCTAAACTTCCCGGTGCACACAAATCCCCTGGCGATCTTTTTAAATGCAGGTTCTGACTCAGCAGGTGGATGCAAGGTCTAAGGCTGCATTCCTAACCGGTGCTGGTTCTGGGACCACACTTTGAGTAGCAAGGGTCTGAGGTCATTGTTGCAGATGTCCATCTGGGGCATGTCTGTGGACACTTGCGGGGGTGCGGGTGAGCAGAGGGAGGGGGGATGATGTTGGAAAAGCAGTGTGAGTATCTGTGTTTGATAAGAAGTAAGAAAATGAAGCAAGGTGGGAGAGTAGAACCTCTTTATTTTTGCCTACGTGCTAAGGTTTTATTGCCATACCCAGAGAGCCCTGGGTCTGAAATCCAGGCAACACTGGCCAGTTGAAACCCTGATATTGCAGCCCATAAAAGTGCTGCATGCTGCATGGTGGACTTCTGGGACTCTTCCTGGAACCTTCAGTGCCAGAGCCGGTCCAAAGGAAGTCACATCCCTGCCATTGAGGGGCAGGAGACCAGGGAACCGGAGGAGTGGGATGGCAGAAGCGCGTGTAAGGAGGCTGAGTTGGCAGGGAGAGAAAGCGAAGTCAGCTTCAAATCATAGCGAGAGGAGACCAGGGAAGGGCTTGGCGTTGCTGCTCTGTGTACAAATATTGTCTCTTATTTTCCAGGCTGCAGGGTGAGGCAGAGTGGAGTATTTGTGCAACACAGCCCAGCTTTGTTCTCTGGGCTCCTAATGCCTGTCAGCTCAGAGGCAGAAAGCCAATCAGAGATGATCGTCGGCAAGGCCGGCTTTTGTTGGCTCCCCAAATTGCCCTGAGTCTCGGATTTTGCTTTTCAGAGTGTGCTTTCAGCTGGAGGCAAAGGCTGAAGCTGGTGACAAAAGGAAGCCTGGTTTTCCTGGCTTTCCGAGACTTTTACTGAGGGGGTTTCTATTTCAGACTCCGTTTTCCCACCTGGAAAGCAGGTTCCACTCTCCCTCCGGCCTGGAAGGGATGGTTTTATGGTGCTTCCAAAATGCCAAACCTAACTCCAGGGCAGAAGAGGAGACTGAAACCAATTAATTTTCCAAAGGTTAGAGCTACGAGGAGGGGAGAGGTTTAGCATGGTCAAGTTCCCCAAGACATACTAATTGATCTCTCTACAGAATGCGGGATTTCAGTGCCCCCAGGGGACACTCAGCAATGTTTAGAGACCACTTGAGGTTGTCATCACTGGACAGGAGGGGCTGCTACTGGCATCTAGCACACACAGGCCAGGGATACTGTTGAACATGCTGCAGTGCCCAGACAGCCCCACCAAGGAGAATGATCCACCCCTAAACCTAGTGCTGAGGTTGGGAAATCCTGCTCCGGAGTAACCAACACCCTATGGCTTTTTCACTCAAGCAGCCGCTTCTCCAGCGCTTACACCTCCTCAGAGATTGCCAGATCCATATGCAGAGCCTGTTGGCGTGGGACACTTCTGAGGGGTGTGGCAGGGAGACAGCGGACATTCCCATTTACCAGCTGATCAGCAGGTTAGGAGCTAATATGAAATGAACAAGATAGACCCTCCCCACCTGCCCTGCAGATCCTCTGGTGGGACACTAGGGAGGGAGGCCTCCTAAACCCAAATGACAGTTCCCAGGATGCAGGGAGGAGTTTACCTATGCAAACTGGAGAGAATGCAAATGGGGCATCTAGAGATACTTACTGGACGACCCCTCCCCTGCCTCGGGTCTTGGAAGAACAGATTCTCAGAGGTCTGCCCTGATCACTGTAATTTTTTTTTTATTGAGGTAAAATTAATATAACACAATTAACCATTTTAAAGTGACATTTAGGGCTGGGCACAGTGGCTCATGCCTGTAATCCCCGCACTTTGGGAGGCTGAGGAAGAAAGGTCGCCCAGGAGTTCAAGACCACCCTGGGCAACAAAGTAAGACTCTGTCTCTTACAAAAAAAAAATTAGGCACACATGGTGTTGTGCACCTGTAGTCCCAGCTACTCAGGAGGCTGAGGCAGGAGGATCGTTTGAGCCTAGGAATTCAAGGCTGCGGTGAGCTATGATCATGCCACTGCACTCCAGCCTGGGTGACAGAGCAAAATTGTGTTTCTTTAAAAAAATAAAAGTAAAAATAAATAAGAAAAGAAAGGAGAGGGGAGGGGAGAGGCGTTTAGTACACTCACAATGTTGTGTAACTGTCACCTTCATCTAGTTCTAAAACATTAAGCAGCCACTCCCATTTCCCTTGCCATTCCCCAGGAACAACAAATCTGCTGTCTGTCTCTGGATTTGCCTGTTCGGGATATTTCATATACATGGAATCATACAATATGGGGTATTTTATGTCTGCTTCTTTCGCTTGGCATAATGTTTTCAAGGTTCATTCCTGTTCTATCATGTATCAGTACTTCATTCCTTTTTTTTTTTTTTTTTTGAAACGGAGTTTTGCTTTTGTTGCCCAGGCTGGAGTGCAATGGCACAATCTTGGCTCACTGCAACCTCCGCCTCCCGGGTTCAAGCAATCCTCCTGCCTCAGCCTCCTGAGTAGCTGGGATTACAGGCATGCGCCACCACACCCAGCTAATTTTGTACTTTTTTTAGTAGAGATGGGGTTTCTCCATGTTGGTCATGCTGGTCTTGAACTCCCAACCTCAGGTGATCTGCCTGCCTCGGCCTTCCAAAGTGCTGGGATTACAGGCGTGAGCCACTGCACCCGGCCTACTTCATTCCTTTTTATGGCTGAATACTATTCCATTCTATGAGTAGACCACATTTTGTTTATCCATTCACCCACTGGTGAAATTTAGGTTGTTTCCATCTTTTGGCTGTTGTGAATAGTGCTGCTGTGAATATTTGTGTATGAGTGTTCGTTGGAATACCTGTCTTACGATCCTTTTGTGTTTATACCTTGGAGTGGAGTTACTGTGTGTCACATGGTAACTCTGTGATTAACTTTTTGAGGAACCAAGGAATGGTTTTCTATGGCAGTTGCACTGGTGTTTTTTTGTTGTTGTTGTTTTTGTTGTTGTTGTTTTGAGACAGGGTCTCACTCCCATTGCCCAGGCTGGAGTGCAGTGGTGCAGTCATGGTTCACTGCAGCCTCAACCTCCTGGGGCTCAAGCAATCCTCTCTCCTCAGCCTCCCAAGTAGCTGGCACTACAGGCCTGCGCCACTATGCCCGGCTAATTTTTCATATTTTTTGTAGAGATAGAGTCTCAGTTTGTTGCCTAGGCTGGTCTCGGACTCCTGTGCTCAAGTAATCCTCCTACCTCGGCCTCCCAAAGTGCTGGGATTACAGGCATGAGCCACCGCATCTGGCCAGCTACACCATTTTATATTCCCACCAGCATGAGGGTTTCAATTTCTTCACATCTTCACCAACACTTGTTTTCTGTTTGTTTGTTTGTTTTTAATAGCTATCCTAGTGGATGTGAAGCAGTATCCCGTTGGGGTTTGATTTGCACTTCCCTGATCACTAATACCCTCATGTACATATTGGCCATTTGACTGTCTTCTTTGGAGAAATGTCTATTCCAGCCTCCTGTCCATTTTTCAATTGGATTATCTTTTTGTTGTTGTGTTGTAAATGTTCTCTCTTTATTTTTTATTTTTTTGAGACAGAGTCTCGCTCTGTCGCCCAGGCTGGAGTGCAGTGGCACGATCTTGGCTCACTGCAAGCTCCGCCTCCCAGGTTCACGCCATTCTCCTGCCTCAGCCTCCCGAGTAGCTGGGACTACAGATGCCCGCTACCACGCCCGGCTAATTTTTTGTATTTTTTTAGTAGAGATAGGGTTTCACCGTGTTAGCCAGGATGGTCTCGATCTCCTGACCTCATGATCCACCCGCCTTGGCCTCCCAAAGTTCTGGGATTACAGGCGTGAGCCACCACACCTGGCCGTAAATGTTCTTTATATAGTACTAGACCCTTATCAGATACATGATTTGCAAATAGCTTCTCCTATTCTGTTACTTGCCTTTTAACTTTCTTGATAACGTCCTTTGATGCACAAAAGGTTTAAATTTTGATAAAGCCCAGCATATCTGTTTTTTCTTCTGTGGATCATGCATTAGGTGTCAAATCTGATCATAATGTTTTATTTATTTATTTACTTATTTATTTATTATTTTATTTATTTTTGAGATGGAGTCTTGCTCTGTTGCCCAGGCTAGAGTGCAGTGGCATGATCTCGGCTCACTGCAACCTCCACCTCCCAGGTTCAAGCGATTCTCCTGCCCCGGCCTCCCAAGTAGCTGGGACTACAGGTGTGTACCACCACGCCTGGCTAATTTTTGTATTTTTAGTAGAGACAGGGTTTCACCATGTTGGCCAGGCTGGTCTCAAAGTCCTGACCGCAAGTGATCCACCCACCGCAGCCTCTATCTATTTTTAATTTATCTCTTTTTTTTTTTTTTTTTTTGAGACAGGGCCTCCTTCTGTCACCCAGGCTGGAGTGCAGTGGTATAGTCATTGTACACTGCAGCCTCTACCTCCTCGGCTCAAGCAATTCTCTCGCCTCAGCCTCCCAAGTACCTGGGACCACAGGTGCCTGCCATCATGCTGGCCCTGCCACCATATTTGAAATTGCAGCCCTGACCCCTTCCACTGTCTATAGTCTTCACCATCTTACTACATAACATAGCATATATGATGTACTGTATAACATGGTATATGCAGTGTACTGTATAGCATAGTATACATGATGTAGTCATCTCATTTATTTGCTTCTCCTCTGGGAAGCAGGAGGAAGCTTCTCCTCTTGTCTGCTTTGCTCTCAACTGTGTCCCTAGCCCAGAACAGAGTCTGGCACACAGCAGGTACTGAATGAATATGTGTTCAGTGAATATTGTGGGTGAGATAGAAGGTGAATATCCACATTTCCCTTTAGAAGTCACCTGATCTGGGTTTGAGATCTGCAGGGATCTACTCCAGACAGGAGAACGAATAATTCCACCTGTGCTGATGAGTTGGAAGGATCTAGAGGGCTTGAGATCTTTCCACTGGGGTCAGTGGGGGTGGGTGCACCTCCAACACCCTTCTTTTCTTTGAACAAGATTTTTCCTTAATTCCCCAATACTCCCTTTGAATATATGATTTTAGCCACCATCATAGCGAATTGCATCGTCCTCGCACTGGAGCAGCATCTGCCTGATGATGACAAGACCCCGATGTCTGAACGGCTGGTGAGTGATGTCTTTTCTCAGGGTCTTCTCCTTGGCTTTAGCAGGACATTAATTTTTGGGGGAGTGGAGCAGGGCACAGAGGAGGCTCTCAGTCCTGGAGCCCAGAGCCAGATCATGGGAAGCCTAAATTTCCTTTTCATTTTTTCTTGAACCAGAGTCTCGCTCTGTCACCCAGGCTGGAGTGCAGTGGTTCAGTCATAGCTCACTGCAGCCTCCACCTCCTGGGCTCAAGCCATCCTCCCACTGCAGCCTCCTGAGTAGCAGGGACTACAGGTGCCACCATGCCCAGTTAATTTTCTTATTTTTATCTTTTTTTGTAGAGATGGGGATCTCACTAGGTTGCTTAGGCTGGTCTCAAACTGCCCACTTTGGCATCTGACATAATTTCAGGCAGTATACTCAAATGAACATTGTTAATGTTAATAATTATGTCTTGGCCAGACACTGTAGCTCATGCCTGTAATCCCAGCAGTTTGGGAGGCCAAGGCAGGTAGATCACTTGAGGTCAAGAGTTCGAGACCATCCTGACCAACATGGTGAAAGCCCGTCTCTACTAAAAAAATACAAAATTAGCTGGATATGGTGGTGCACACCTGTAATCCCAGCTACTTGGGAGGCTGAGGCAGGAGAATCGCTTGAACCCGGGAGGCAGAGGTTGCAGTAAGCCAAGATCGCACCATTGCACTCCAGTCTGGGCAACAGGAGTGAAACTCCATCTTGGTGGGGGGGAGGCGAAAAAAAAGAAACAAGAATATTACAAAGGATACAGATGAAGAGATGCAAAGGGTGAGATATAGGAGAAGGGTGTGGCTGGCAGCTTCTAGGTAGCTTCAGGAGGGGGACTGGTCACCAGAAAGACCAAGGCATGATTCGAGGGTTGCGACTTTCAGCCCCACCCCCCAACCTCTGGGAGGGCAGAGGGGCTGAAAATCAAGTTGATCACCAACGGTCAATGATTTAAATCCAAACCTCTAATCATGCCTTGGTTTTCCCGGTGACCAACCCCCATCCTGAAGCTACCTAGAAGCTGCCAGCCATCAGTCAATCCTTAGCCTGCAAAAAGACATCCCTTTGGAGATCCCAAGGGTTTTAGGAGCTGTACACCAGGAAACAGTGTCAAAGACCAAACATACATTTCACAATGTCACAGTCTTCTAAAAACTATAACTAGCCTAGCAAACCTATGATTTCTAGATCTTTGCATTTTCACTTAAAATAAAGCTAAATAAAAAGCGTCCATTGAAAGACTGGTAAGCAAGTAGAAGTACCAGTGGCAAGCTAATGTGGAAAAAAAAAATCATTCAGGCAGAGTGAAAATGATTGTAGCTCGAGAAACGTTGCTGTAACAGATGGGAAAACATTCACATTGGGGCTCTGATGGAGAAGAGCTTGTAGCTTAATTTCAAATATGATAGATTAGCAGCTGGAAGCCAGAACCAGCCGGAGGTTCTGCAGAGGAACTGGAGGTGAGGATACTGGCCACTTATCAGCCAGTACAGAAGTCCTATTCCAAACCTTTAACAATCTACATGCCAGCTGAGAACCATCCTAAGGGGTCAGATTTAGGAGTGAGGTCAATGCACAAGCTCTAGCCTCAAATACCTTGAACGCTGCATGTGACAAGTAAATTCTCTAAACCAATGCTTTCCATTAGAACTTTCTGCAGTCACAGAAATGATCTCCATCTGCCCTGTCCAATAGGATTGTCACTTGAAATGTAGCCAGTGTGACTGCAGAACTGTGTTTTTTATTTTATTGCATTTAAATTAATTTTAATTGAAATAGCCACATGTGGCCTGTGACTGTCGTATTGAATAAGACAGGTGCAAACAAATAATTCTGTTTAGCTGAGTGATATGTGAGGTTGGCCCAAAAGGAATGAAGGAGGAAGGTGCCTTCTCTAGGCATTGGCTTTGCTCGCAAAAGGCTTTGGACAAGAGAACTCTGCAAGAGGCAGTGAGGGGTGGTGAGTGCAGGAGGGTCAGGGGAAGTGAGAGGGTGATAGGTACTGATTTCTAGGTGGGCTGGTTCCCTGATCTTGTCAACATCTGCCCAGCCCAAGACGCTGACCTTGCCTTCTCTCCCTTCCAGGATGACACAGAACCATACTTCATTGGAATTTTTTGTTTCGAGGCTGGAATTAAAATCATTGCCCTTGGGTTTGCCTTCCACAAAGGCTCCTACTTGAGGAATGGCTGGAATGTCATGGACTTTGTGGTGGTGCTAACGGGGTAAGTGGCGCGTGCTATACGCTTTGGATTTAACTAGCTGAAGGATTACGAGGCTTTTGGTTGGTGTGGTCCGGGCCAGGCTCAGGAAGGCTGAGCCCTTGTGTTCTCCCTCCCCTTGTTATGCGCCTGCCTCCTTTCTGCCAACACCCCACCTCCATGTCTCAGCTGTATATTACAGCAGATGCTTTCTGTTACAATTAAAATAATAGCTCATTATTGTTGGCTGCTTCCAGAGTGCTTTATGCCCATTCTCTAATTTAATCCTTGCAACAACCCACTGAATTAGGAAATATTAATATTCCCATCTGACCACTGAGGAATCAGAAACTCAGAGTGTAACTTGCTTAAGGCCACCCAGCAAGTAAGTGATGGAACTGGGAGATGAACAGAAGATTATGCATTCCAGAACTCAAGGTTTTAAGTGTTGTACGTGCATGGGTCTCTTGATTTGCTTGAGGATATCTTGCTTTTATTTCAACTTGGTGAATGTTTTTTGAGAATGTCTGGGTGCAAGGGATTGTGATTATGACAAAGGAGAAAAGCAAGCTAAATAAGGTACAGTTACTGTCTTCAAGGAGTTTTCAGATCCATATATGATGAACTGTGGTTGAAATGTGTATATGCTTTCCTCTAAGCACCCTGTATGAGGTAGCACTTGCTGGTATAACAAAAGATCCAAAGCTAGGAAATGACTTAAACACGGCAGAAGTTTATTTGTCACTCATAGAAAATTCAAAATTGAGCTGGGTGTGGTGGTGCATGCCTGTAATCTCAGCACTTTGGGAGGCTGAGGTGGGAGGATCACTTGAGCTCAGGAGTTCAAGACCAGCTTGGGCAACACAGTGAGACCACCCCCCCATCTGTAAAACATAAAATAAAATAAAAATTAACCAGGCATGGTGGTACATGCCTGGGAGAATTGCTTGAGCTCAGGAGTTGGAGGGCACAGTGAGCTATGATCATCCAACCGTGCTCCAGCCTGGGCAACAGAGCAAGACCCCATCTCGAAAAAAAAAAGTCCAAAATAATTGTTCCTAGTTGACAGGCTCATCTCCTCCAATGACTGACGGACCCTGACCCTTGCCATATTGTGGCTCTTCATTGTCAGCCCACATCATCCAATAACTCCATGCTTGTCTGTATCAAACCAGGAAGGAGAAGTGAGCATAGAAGGTGATACTTGGAAAGGTTTATGAGTTTGGAAGGGGTGTGACCCATACCTGTTCCATTCATATCCTATTGGCTAGAACTCGGTCACATGACCACACATCACTGCAAGGGAAGCTGGGAAGTATCAGATTGTGCTTAGAAGAAAAGGGAAATGGATTTGGAGAATGACCTACTAGTCTGTCAGGGACCTTAAAAACTTTTATTAGATTCCAGTAGGGACATTAGTATCTGGTACCAATGGCTGGTTCCTCCTCTTCCCACTCTCTACTCTCCTCTCAGCTAAGTCTGGGCTCTTCTATTCTAAGACCCTTCTTCACTGGACACCTTTTTCATAGTAATCATTTACAGGATCATAGCTTTCCATGTTTTGTTGCTGCTCCAGGTTCTGTCTCTCTTGGCGGATGTGATGGGTTGCAGCACCCACACTGTGCTGGCCGGGCTCTCACAATGCAGATTTGTTTCAGAGCAATGTTGCCTCTCACAGAAGGAGCTGTGGCCTATTGGGCTGTTTCTGTAGAGGCCTTCAGATGTCAGCAGTCTGTTGTAAGGACTCTGGGCTAGCTCTCATGGGCTTGGGTGTTCACAGAGGGATCTTTGTTGGCTGTGCTCACAGTTCGGTGGCTTGGGACCTTGGTGGGTTCCAAGGGCATATTATGGTACTGGGCACTTTTCTCTTAGTCTACTAGGAAACTCATCTAGAAACAGCCTAGTGGCTAACTTTTTTATTGTTTAAAAAATGTAAAGCTGGGCAGGGTGGCTCATGCCTGTATCCCAGCACATTGGGAGGCCAAGGTGGGAGGATTGCTTGGGCCCAGGAGTTTGAGACGAGCCTGAGCAACATAGCAAGACCACATCTCCACAAAATAAAAATTAAAAGTGTATAAAGCTGGGTACAGTGGCACATGCCTGTAACCCCAATTACTCAGGAGGCTGGAGAGAGAGGATTGCTTGAGCCTAACTAGTTTGAGACCAGCTTGGGTAACCTAGCAAGATCCCATGCAAAACTAAGTAGAGAATAATAGAGCAAACACCTGTGTATACATTCATTTATTCAATGACTATTTATTGAACACTTCTGTGTGCCAGGTCCTGTTCTAGGCTCTGGGACACAGCAGTAAACAAAATAGAAAAATCCCCTGTCCTCATGGAGCTGAGAGTCTACTGATGGAGATGGACACAATTGATGAATGAATCTAGTGTGTCAGATGGCGGTGAGGGGTACAGAGGAAAAATAAAGCAGGGGAGGGATGGGATGTGTGGCAGGCAGGGGTGAGGGGTGCTGGAAGCCAGGGAAGACTTCACTGGGCATGTGACATCTGAATGAAAACCTAAGGGAGGTGAGTGAGTGAGCCATGAGGAGAGCTGGAACAGAGTGTCAGGCAAAGGGAACAGCCAGTGCAAAGGCTCTGAGGCTGGACTGTATCTGACATGTTTGATCAACAGTAAGAAGACCCACATGGCTAGAGAAGGTGACCAGAAGAATGGGGAGAATTGGGGATAGAGAAGTAATGGAGTAACCTGCTATCAAAACACAACCTTTCTCTTTTTTTTTTTTTTTTTTTTTTTGACAAGAGTCTCCCTCTGTCACCCAGGCTGGAGTGCAGTGGTACAATCTCAGCTCACTGCAGCCTCTGCCTCCCAGTTTCAAGTGATTCTCCTGCCTCAGCCTCCCAAGTAGCTTGGATTACAGGCGTGTACCACAACATCTAGCTAATTTTTGTATTTTTAGTAGAGACGGGTTTACGCCATGTTGGCCAGGCTGGTCTTGAACTCCTGACCTCAAGTGATCCACCTGGCATGGCCTCCCAAAGTGCTGGGATTACAGGCGTAAGCCACTGTGCCCAGCAAAACAAAACCTTTCTAACCTTTCTAATCCCTGTTTTCTCCCTCCCTAGACCCATTCCTTTCTCTCCCCCATCCAGGGGCACTTTCCTGAATTTTATGTTTATTATTTGCATTTATGTATTCACACTTTGGCTGCCTAAGTATATAAGAAATATATGCTACCTATTTTTACACTTCAAAATATTTTTTAAATAGCATCAGAGTGAGAATAGTTTACACTTTGACTACATGCATAGATAAGAAATATGTGGGCTGGGAATGGTGGCTCACACCTGTAATCCTAGCAATTTTGGAGGCAAAGATGGAAGGATTACTTTAGGCCAGAAGTTTGAGACCAGCCTGGCCAATGTAGTGAAACCCTGTCTCTACAAAATGAAATAAAATGTAATAAAATATTCAGCTGGGCATGGTGGTGTGCTCCTGTGGTCCCAGCTACTCAGGAGGCCAAGGCGGGAGGATCACTTAAGCCCATAAGGTCGACGCTGTAGTGAGCTATGACTGCACTCCAGCTTGGGCAACAGAGCAAGACCCTGTCCCTAAAAAATGTTTTTTGTTGTTGTTGTTGTTTTTTGTTTTTTTGTTTTTTTAATAAAGGCCAGGTGTGATGGCTCACACTTGTAAGCCTAGCACTTTGAGAGGCCAGGGCAGGAAGACTGCTTGAGTCCAGGAGTTTAAGACCAGCCTGGGCAACATGGTGAAACCCCATCTATAAAAAAAATGCAAAAAATTAGCCAGGCATGATGACGCACGCCTGTAGTCCCAGCTACTCAGGAGGCTGAGGTGGGAGGATCACGTGAGCCCAGGAGGTCGAGGCTGCAGTGATCCGTGATTGCACCACTGCACTCCAGGCTGGGCAACAAAGTAAGACCTTGTCTCAAAAAAATAAAATAAAATAAAAAATAAAAAAAAGAAAAGAGAAAGAAAAAAAGAGATATGTGGTACTGTTTTTCAAACTTCACATTTCTCTAACCTGACTTTTGTGTTCAACATGAGATAAATCTGATTAATAAAAATAGTTTCCATGCATCCATTTTCATGACTGCATAGTATTCTGTGGTAGGAGTATGCTGCCGTGTATTTATCTATTTGGATTGTTTCCAGCTTTGGGCTATTTTGACCCAAAGTGTCCCTGCTTTCTCCCAAGTGAGTTTCTCTAGGGCACGTACCCAGGAGTGGAACTGCTGAGTTGTATACTGTGTGCATCCTCAGCCCCACTAGGTATTGCCAAATTGCTCTGCAAAGTGGTTGTGCCAATTCATGCTCCCTGGGGGCTGGCTTCTGCTGGCTGAGGCTGGCTTGACCTTGCTGGCAGGAAGGAGCCTTAAAAATCCCTGTGTGGTTTTTTTTGTTTTACTTTTATTTTAAGTTTAGGGGTACAAGTGCAGATCTATTACATGGGTAAACTTGTGTCTTGGGGGTTTGTTGTACAGGTTATTTCATCACCCACGTATTAAGCCTAGTACCCATTAGTTATTTTTCTTGATCATCTTCCTCCTCCCGCCCTCCACCCTCCAAAAGGCCCCAGTGCGTGTTGTTCACCTCTGTATGTCCATGTGTTATCATCATTTAGCCCCCACTTAGAACACGCAGTATTTGGTTTTCTGTTTCTGCATTAGTTTGCTAAGGATAATGGCCTCCAGCTCCGTCCGTGTTCCTGCAAAGGACATGATCTTGTTCTTTTTCTTGGCTGCATAGTATTCCATGGTGTATATGTACCACATTTTCTTTATCCAGTCTATCATTGATGGGCTTTTGCAGCCCTGTTTTTTTTTTTTTTTCATAATAACACGGTTATGGGAACACTTAGGGAAGCTCATATATTATTGAGCAGTGTGATGGTTAATATTGAGCATCAACTTGATCAGCTTGAAGGATGCAAAGTCTTGTTCCTGGGTGTGTCTGTGAGGGTGTTGCCAAAGGAGATTAACATTTGAGCCGGTGAACTAGGAGAGGCAGACTCACCCCCAATCTGTGTGGGCACCATCTAATCAGCTGCCAGTGTGGCCAGAATAAAAGCAGGCAGAAGAAGTTGGAAAGAGTAGACTTGCTGAGTCTTCTGGCCTTCATCTTTGTCCTGTGCTGAATGCTTCCTGCCCTCTAAAATCAGATTCCAAGTTCTTCAGCTTTTGGACTCATGGACTTACACCAATGGTTAGCCAGGAGCTCTCAGGCCTTTGGCCACAGACTGAAGGCTGCACTGTCAGCTTCCCTACTTTTGAGGTTTGAGGACTCTGACGGATCCACCACTGGCTTCCTTGCTCTTCATCCTTCAGATGGGCTATCGTGGGACTTTACCTTGTGATTGTGTGAGTCAATTCTCCTTATAAACTCCCTTTCATATATACATCTATCCTGTTAGTTTTGTCCCTCTGAAGAACCTTGACTAATACAGACACCTAGTGGGTCCCAATAAGTGATCATTAAACTGAAGGCAGTCATTCAGTAGGTCAGTTTGTCACTTGTGTTTGTATCTCCCTGCTTACAACAAGGTGGCCTTTCTTCTAGTTTCCTGTCATCTGATGGAAGAGATTCTAGACTCATTCCTCTAGAGGAGAAATACTTCATCTAGAACAGATAGGTCCTAAGGGTGAGAGCTCATCGTTGGGATGAATGAACCCACTGAAATTTTATGCAAGAAGAAAATTGTGTATATGTATATTTTTTTTTCTGGTCTGTAGTTTTTATTAGATTCTCAGGGAATCCTGATCCTATCATGAAGACCTTCTATTCTAGATTGGGTTCCTTTCACATCCCCTTCTCCTTTCTTGTTGAATTCTCCATGCATTTCTTTCACTTGCTTTTCTTGCTCTTATTTCTCTGGTAGTCAGTTATCCTTTTTGTCTGGTGGTTCTATCTCCTTCAAATGAGGCACATTGCTCAAATTTTATTACTCCAAATTCCAAGGTGCTGTTTAGTGTCCTGTTGGGTTGTAAGCTAGGAACAGGGAGGGGAAAGTAAAACATTCTGCATGAGCTGGGTGCAGCGGGCAAGCACCTGGAATTCCAGCTACTGGAAGCTGAGGTGGGAGGATTCCCTGAGCCCAAGGGTTTAAGGCCAGCCTGGGCAACAAAGTGAGATTTTGTCTTAAAAAAAAAAAAAATCCCAGCTGGGCTCTGTGGCTCATACCTGTAATCCCAGCACTTTGGGAGGCAGAGGCGGGCAGATCGCTTGAAGTCAGGAGTTCCAGACCAGCCTGGCCAACGTGGTGAAACCCCATCTGTACTAAAAATACAAAAAAAAAAAAAAAAAAGCCTGGCATGGTGGTGTGGTGTGCACTGGTAATCCCAGTTATTTGGGAGGCTGAGGCAGCAGAATCACTTGAATCCAGGAGGCAGAGGTTGCAGTGAGCTGAGATTGTGCCACTGCACTCCATCCTGGATGACAGAGTGAGACTCTGTCTCAAAAAAAAAAAAAAAAAGAAAGAAAAAACACGCGCGCACACACACACACATCATGCAGACCTAGCCTTCTGCCAATGTCAATGGTAGAGAAACACAGTAGACACTTAATTCTATGTTTCAGAGAGGAGGGGACTCAAATATATTAATTTGACATTGAGACAGTGATGACTTTAATGAGTACTTTCTTTCCTTTTTTTTTTTTTTTTTTTCGGGACAGAGTGCAGTGGTGGGATTTTGGCTCACTGTAGCCTCCACCTCCTGGGTTCCAGCAGTTCTCCTGCCTCAGCCTCCTGAGTAGCTGGGACTACAGGCATGCACTGCTGTGCCTGGCTAATTTTTGTATTTTTAGTAGAGACGGGGTTTCACACTATCAGCCAGACTGGTCTCGAACTCCGGACCTCAGGTGATCTGCCCACCTCGGCCTCCCAAAGTGCTGGGATTACAGGCATGAGCCACCGTGCCCGGCCTAATGAGTACTTTCTGATTAACCTGTTGCCCTCTCAGATTCCTGAAGCAAACCACAGCGTTAAAACGTGATTCATTTTGTGTGGACCACCACGGTGTTTACCTTCTTCTTGGGTGAAGTTTGGTGGAAAAGATCTTACCCCGGACATCTGTTTGTTCTTTGTAACTCAGAGCCTCAGAGAAATCCTAACTTTATAATGTTGTCAAACCCTTGTAAGGCATGTTTTTATTGTATTTGTGTTCTGATCATGAAACTGAAAATGTGTAAGAGGAAGATTTCAGAAGCTTGGCTGTATGTCTGAGATGACAGTTCTTTTACTGTCATTCTCAAATATATATAAATATTGAAGAGATCAAATAACACAAATCGTGCATGTTAAGAAAAGAGACTGTGAACCTCACCAGAGAGGGGTGAGCACAATTTTTTTTCTTTTTTATTCACAGGGTTAGCACTGTCCCTTTCACATAATAAATGCTCAGTAAAATAAATGGTTGTTAAGCCGGAAAAGGGTAACACTTCTGATAATGAGTGTCCTGGGAAATTTACTAAGCTGTTTAGAAGATGGGACCAACACACTGATAGAAATAGTCAGATAGTCCAGAAGTCTATGGCAGATGCCCTGAACATCAGATGAGATATAAGACAGAGAAGCTCTGGGTCTTTGCCAGCTCTGACATTTTATGACTCTATGAAACGGAAGGTTCCTTTTTAGAAGGGTCTATAAACTGTCTCAGGCTTTGGGCCATTTTGTTGAAGATCAGAGGCAAGGAAAAGACACAACTACACAGGAACCATCAGGGAAAGATGTTGTTTTTTGGTCTTGAAGCATCATTGAATTTTTTTTTTTTTTTTTGAGACGGAGTTTTTCTCTTGTTGCCCAGGCTAGAGTGCAATGGCATGATCTCGGCTCACTGCAACCTCCGCCTCCCAGGTTCAAGTGATTCTCCTGCCTCAGCCTTCTGAGTAGCTGGGATTACAGGCATGTACCACCAAGCCCGGGTAATTTTTTTGTATGTTTAGTAGAGACGAGGTTTCTCCATGTTGGTCAGGCTAGTCTCCAAGTCCTGCCCTCAGGTGGTCCGCCCACCTCTGTCTCCCAAAGTGCTGAGATTACAAGCGTGAGCCACCGCACCGGGCCGCATCATTGGATTTTAAGGCTCCATGGATTCTGGCAGGTCCAGCCCTTCTGTTTTACTCACAAACAAGTGGTTTGTCCAAAGTCACACAGAGATGGTGGCAAGAGATCTAGAATAAGAAGGTGTCTTCAAGTCATGGAGCCAGGAACCCTGGCTTTTTGGGCAATGGAAGTGGTATAAATGTTTAATATCACCCCTCAGGTTCTGCCACTAGAGCCCAGCTCTCTCTTCCTTCCTCTTGCCCCCTGACTAGCCTATGGCCTCTTTCCAGAGAATAAGAAAGGGATCCTCAGAGAATAATCCCAGTTCCTCGCTTTTTATTATATAGTTGAGGAAACCAAGTCTCAGAGGGGTCAGTGTCTTGACCATACACCTCTCATGTCCTCTCTCCTTTTTGATTAATTGAATAAATACATGTAGTTGCTTCTTACCTCCTTTCTTTCTTCACCCCTGCCCCATGCACCTGCTCTTAGTTGCCTTCACATGTAAACAGCATTCCAACAACAACAACAAAACACAACCAGCATTCTAACTCATGAGACCAGCAACAGTTCCTATAAATACCAGCAGCATTTTATTTTAATGTCTCTCTGCAGTAGTTTCTCCCCTCCATGGATCAGTCATCCTTGGTACCAAAAGGATTCCCCACTGTGACACAAATGCTTTTTGTCATTCTCAGTGAGTTATACCATTGAGAGAGCATCGATCTTTTTATTGTTCAAAGCTTTTGGTTGTCATGATATTTGCTGGACCATGTTTCACCAGGAACCACATCACTTCCTAGCAGCAGGAGCTATTTTCTTCCATCTTCTAACAACACCAGCAGTGACAGTGATAATAATGATGTTAGCTGCCATGGTCGTTATTCTTATCATTTATTGAGTACTTACTATGTGCCAGGGACTACATTAAGAGTTTTATGTGTATTATCACATTGAGCCTCGCTAGCCTTTGTACAGATGAATCTGAGGCTCAGAGAGGTTAAGCTGCTCACAAGGGAGTCACACAGCTGGTAAGGGGTGGATCAGGATCTCAGCCTCTCTGCTAGGACACTTCTCTAAACCTAGAATAATACTGGGCCTGTGTTAAGTTCAGCAAAGAGCTGTATTCAACCCAGTGTCCTTAGGAATGTAATGCCTGTTATTAACAACAGTGGCAACATTGATAAGCTGAAACTTATGAGGTGCTTACAATATGATATACTATATATTATATACATACATAGGCACCCACCTATAATCTCAGCACTTTAGGAGGCCAAGTCAGGAGGATCACTTGAGCCCAGGAGTTCGAGACCAGCCTGAGCAGCATAGCAAGATCCTGTCTCTGTAAAAAGTTTATTTTTTCAGTTGGCCAGGTATGTTGGTACATGCCTATAGTCCCAGCTAATGAGGAGGCTGAGGCAGGAGGATTGCTTGAGCCCAGGAATTTGAGGCTGCAGTGAACTATGATCACACCACTGCACTCCAGCCTGGGTGACAGAGCAAGACTGTCTCTAAAAATAAAAATAAAAATAAAATTATTTCAACTCTCAAGGTTAAATAAATACTATTATTATTCCCATTTACAGATGGAGCAACTGAGGCTCAAAGACATTAAATGCTTACTGTCTTAGTCTGTTTTCTGTTGCTTATAGCAGAACACCTGAAACTGAGTAATTTATAAAGAAAAAGCAATTTATTTCTTACAGTTATGGAGACTGGAAAGTTTAAGATCAAGGCTGCATGAGCTATAATGCACACACACTATTGCACTCCAGGCTGGGTGACAGGGTGAGACCCCGTGTCAATAAATAATAATATAAAATAAATAAAACAAATTTCAACATGAGTTTTGGAAGGTTTGAAATATTCAAGCCAGAGCATCTGTCTCATAAGTGGTGGACCCAGGATTTGAACTAAGGCAGATCTGGATCTAGAACCCATTTTCTTGAATCCTACGCTATTTCTCTAAGGTCAAGTTTGCCAAGGAAAATAAACTTGAGAATTTGAATAGAGCTCTCTGACATGGGAAGTCAGGGTGATCCTTCCTTCCCCTCCCTGATCTTGGGTTCCACTATGGCTGGGGGAAAACAGGAGCAGAAGAGATTTCAAGAAATGAGAGATTGGCCTAGCGCCATGGTTAAGACCTGGACTTCAGAGTCAGAGGAAGCTCCTCCCTCTATGACAGTGAGAATGTGGGTTGAACTCACTGAACCTCAGTTTTCTCACCTGGAAAAAGGGAGTAAAACTAGTGCCTAGCTCCTAGGGTTTGCATCACACACGAAAGTTGGTGAACTGAAGGAAAAAAACTTAAATTCTTGTGGGGGAGCATGTGATAGATGCTACAAATTCTCCATGCCTTATTTACCTAGCTTACGTCTAAGTTCACCTGCAGCTTCCTCTTGGTACACTCCCATCTCTCTACATCTCTGTTGGAGGGCAGTCTCTGGCATCACAGAGTTTGCTGAGCCAGATGCTTAACAACCTCGGTAGCATCCCTCAACCAGTGAGCTAGGGAGTCAGTGTATAAATACCCTGGCTTCCCCATTGCTCAGTGGGAAAACACTGAAATATGTTATACAGCATCATAGAGGTGCCTCAGTAAAATTGAATCCTAGTTGTTCACATAAAACCCATTCACTAGTGTACCCTTTACCAATCTCTCTCTTCCTCATTCCTCACTTGTAATTCCTTGCATTACCTCCCAAATTAACCATTGGACCCTAGTTTTTGCCTTGGGGTCTACTCGGCGCTAACTCAAGGAGCGGAAGTTGGAAGCTTAGCGGGTTACAGGTTTCAGCACCCTGGACAGCTCCCAGCACACCGTATTGTGCTAAAATGTTCTCTTCCCTCCCTCTGCCTCCAGCTGGGGTGGAGAGGGACTGAGTAAAGGCCAGATGGCCAGGTGACCTTGTTCCATACTGAGCTTCTTGGCCATTTTCCCTGTGGGGCTGGAGAAGACCTTGCCATCCATCTCTCCGCAGGTTTGGGGGCCGACTGAGGTCTTGTTTTCTCGAATTGCTATGACAAATGCCAGCCTGCCTCCAAGGGGCATCTGTCCCACTGCCTCTACAGTTTGCATGCCTAATGACTCCTCTCCTCTCACCAGGGCAGGGAGGTGGCTGCCTGGTGGGCCGCTTGAAGCCGGGAGACCAAGATCATGCCACTGGACTCGCAACAAACCGAGACTCTTTTTTTTTTTTTTTTTTCCTCGAGACAGGGTCTTGCTCTGTTGCCCAGGCTGGAGTGCAGTGGCGCGATCTTGGCTCACTGCAGCCTCCGCCTCCCAGGTTCAAGCACTCCCACCTCAGCCTCCCAAGTAGCTGGGATTACAGGCGCACACCACCATGCCTGGCTAATTTTTGCATTTTTAGTAGAGAGGGGGTTTCACCATGTTGGCCAGGCTGATCTCGAACTTCTCCCCTCAGGTGATCCACTCGCCTTGGCCTCTCAAAGTGCTGGGATTGCAGCTGTGAGCCACCATGCCTGGCCAACAGAATAGGACTCTGTCTCAAAAAATAATTTTTTTTAAACATTGCTTTGCAACCCAGCTGCTTCTTGTGCAGGCATCTCTAAATGAGGACAGCCAGTCTACATAGACACGTAAGGAAGCATAGTGGTTAAGACCTGGTCTTTGGGGTTAGAGTGGATTCCCAACCTGACTCCACTGTTTCCAAGCTGTGTGACCTTGGGCAAGTTACTGTACCTCCCTGAATCTTCCATTTCTTCATCTGGAAAATGAGAGTAGTAGCATCCCCTGACTTGGTGGGGCATGGTGGCTGATGCTTGTAATCCAAACACTTTGGGAAGCCAAGGTGGGTGAATCGCTTAAACTTGGGAGTTCAAGGCCATTCTGGGCAACATGGTGAAACTCCATCTCTACAAAAACAAAACAAAGCAAAAATTATCTGGGTGTGATAGTGTGTGCCTGTAATTCCAGCTACTCAGGAGGCTGAGGTGGGAGAATCACTTGAGCCCAGGAGGTCAAGTCTGCAGTGAGCCGTGCTTGCACCACTGCAGTCCAACAGAGCGAGACCTTGTCTCAAACAAACAAAACAAAACACAAAACAACAACAAAATACTACCACCTTATGGAGTTGTTTTCAAGGTTCAATGAGTTAATGTCTGACCCATGCTGGGCTGGGTTTATGGATGTTACTTGCCCAGGGACAGTCTGAAGAAAGAGAAAGTGATATAGTCCATTGGGCCTCAGCTTCCTCATCTGTGGAATGGGAATAATAATTGCACCTACCTCAAAAGGTAAAAGTCAGTGAGATACATATAAGGCATTCAGAACAAAAACTGGCACAGAATAAGTGCTCAATTATATTAGCTATTGTAAGACTAATAACTATCATTATAATGATGATAATAATTATTACTACTTCCCCAGGCCCAGTTCCATAGACCAGTTAGTTAACTGTAGGGAACGTTTGCTATTATTAGTTGGGTTCCCAATATCTGACCTCCCTTTCCAATTTAGGGAGAATCCTCCCCTTTCTATAAAGTACTGCTGGTCTATGGGATCCCACCCTCACTAATAAGTTGAAGGTGAAAGGGATTCATTGTCACCCCATCACCTGGTAGTCAGGGCATGTGATTTAAACAACCAGGGCCAGGCGCAGTGGCTCACGCCTGTAATCCCAGCACTTTGGGACGCCAAGGCAGGAGGATAGCTTGAGCCAAGCCCAGGAGTTTGAGACCAGACTGGGCAACATAGTGAGACCCCTATCTCTTAAAAATTTTTTAATTAGCTGGGGGTGGTAGCACAGGCTTGTAGTCCCCGCTACTCAGGAGGCTGAGGCAGGAGGATTGCTTGAGCCCAGGAGGTCAAGGCTGCAGTGAGCCGTGATAGTGCCACTACACTCCAGCCCAGCCTGGGCAACAGGGCAAGATCCTGTCTCAAAAAACAAACTAATAAAAAACTCAACCAGTCACGTTTTCCTACCCAGGAATTTGAAAATGGACCAAGTGATCCAAACATGATGGTTTGGACTCTTTCATGGCCTCCTGCTACAGGAGAAGGTCAGGCTGGCTACATTGTTCCTGCTGATTTCCCAAATCCCCTCTTCTGGCCCCCTGTTGATTATCTGAGTTTCCTAAAAATCCCTTTTATGCCTAAGATAGCCGGTCAGTGTTTGGTTTTGCAATCAAGAACCCAGACTGGGCCAGGCACGGTGGCCCACGCCTGTAATCCCAGCACTTTGGGAGGCCGAGGCGGGCAGATCATGAGATCAGGAGATCGAGACCATCCTGGCTAACGTGGTGAAACCCCGTCTCTACTAAAAATACAAAACAAAAAAAAAAAAATTAGCCAGGCATGATGGCGGTCACCTGTAGTCCCAGCTACTGGGGAGGCTGAGGCAGGAGAATGGCGTGAACCCGGGAGGCGGAGCTTGCAGTGAGCTGAGATGGCACCACTGCACTCCAGCCTGGGCGACAGAACGAGACTCCGTCAAAAAAAAAAAAAGAAAAAAGAAGAACCCAGAACCCAGACTGATCCTGAGACAAAGATTTGAGGGCAACGAATCACGAGGTCAGGAAATCGAGACCATCCTGGCTAACATGGTGAAACCCCGTCTTTATTAAAAATACAACAAATTAGCTGAGCGTGGTGGTGGGCGCCTGTAGTCCCAGCTACTCGGGAGGCTGAGGAAGGAGAATGGCGTGAACCTGGGAGGCGGAGCTTGCAATAAGCCAAGATCGCACCACTGCACTCCAGCCTGGGTGACAGAGCAAGACTCCATCTCAAAAAAAAAAAAAAAAAATTTGAGGACAAGTGGTTTGTTTGGCAATACCAGGAAACAGGGGAACAGGATAGTCAGAAAAGAAAGAGAAAGCTGGGCATGGTGGCTCACTCCTGTAATCTCAGCACTTTGGGAGGCCAAGGCAGGTGGATCACCTGAGGTCAGGAGTTTGAGACCAGCCTGGCCAACATGGTGAAATCCCGTCTCTGCTAAAAATATAAAAATTAGTCGGGTGTGGTGGCGTGCACCTATAATCAAAATAAAATAAAATCAGGATATTTTATTTTAAAACTCTGTCTTAGTGTAACTCATATTTACCTCTTCTGTATGCTCCTTTGCATCAGTTATATATTGCCATAATACGGCTGTGTAACAAACAATCCCCAAGACCCAGTGGCTTATAATGACAAGCATTTATTTAGCTCATGATTCTGAAGGGTGGCAGTTTAGGCTGGGCCCAGTTGGGTGCTTTATCTGGTCTCAGTTGAGCTCATTCATGCATCTTTGGTCAGCTGCGGGTCAGCTGGGTGGCTCTTCTGTTTGGCTGTTAGCTGGCTGCAGACTGGTCCAGGATGACCTCGGCTGGAATGACTGTGCTCCACTCCCTATGGTCTTTCACCCTCCAGCAGGCTAGCCTGAGCTAGTTCACATGGCAGCTTTTCATCCTCCAGCAGGCTAGCCTGAGCTAGTTCACGTGGCAGCAATGGGATTCTAAGAGAAAGAGGAAGTGTTCAGCCTTCTTAAGGGCTAGTCCCAGGAATGGCACAACATCGTGTTGGCCACTGTTGTCCAAAGCAAGCAATGAAGCTGGTCCAGATTCAAGGAATGGGGCAACAGAGCCCATCTGGTATTTACCTGGGGCCACTGGGGCCCCATTCCTGTTCCCTGGGGCCTTTTGCCCTGACTTCTGTGGGCCCTCAGAGCATATTTTCAGATTCCTTTCCATCCCTGACCCTCAGCAATCAATGTAGATGACGTGTCATTACTGTGTCACTTGCACAGAGAAAAGGAGGAAAAAATGTCAGCAAAAACTCTGCTGAGAGCAGAGGGCCCATCATACAGCAAGCTGGAAAGAAAAGTGGGAATGATTACACAGCCTCCTCAGATGCTTCCAGCTTTTATCAAATCTCACTGTGATATCTGAGTTCTGAACCCTCACAGGTGGTTGGCGTGCAAGGGAAGAGATTTCTTGTCTGCCATGCTGACATGCACAGACACGCAACCTGGCTCCCTCTGTCCACTGGGGCTTTGGATTTTGTTTGTTGAAATGTTACCCACTCCTGATCAGAGCTGGATGGAAACCTGGCTCTGATTCCATTGGCTCAGGGGCTCAGGTGGGGGCAGAGGCCAGGCTGGTTGGGTGTCTATGTGGAGACCTTAACTCTTCTCCCTCCCGCCCCAACTCTTTTTGTTTCTTTTTTTTTTTTTTTTTTTTTTTGAGATGGGGTTTCACTCTTGTTGCCCAGGCTGGAGTGCAGTGGCGTGATCTTGGCTCACTGCAACTTCTGCCTCCTGGGTTCAAGCAATTCTCCCACCTCAGCCTCCTGAGTAGCTGGGATTACAGGAGCACGCCACCATACCTGGCTAATTTTTGTATTTTTAGTAGAGACAGGGTTTCGCCATGTTGGCCAGGCTGGTCTTGAACTCCTGACCTCAGGTGATCCACCCTCCTCAGCCTCCCAAAATGCTGGGATTAGAGGCGTGAGCCACCACACCTGGCCCTTTTCTTTTCTTAGCTGCCTCCACCTCTCTTCCCTTCTGCAGTGTTAGGTTTATGGAAACCGAGGCCGGCGTAGAGATCAACTTCAGAGAGCATGAACTGAGCATCTGCTGGGTCTTAGATCCTTTACATAGCTTATCATCTTCAAACCTTCTCACAGTTCTGTGTGGCTAGAGCCAGGATTTGGACACAGCTCTGCCCCACTGTAGAACCAGGCTTCCTTCTGTCCACTGTCAAATTTTAGAGGGAGAAAATAGGGAAAGGGACACCAGCCTTCTCCACGAGCAGCTTCTGCCCACTCACCCCAGGGACTTTGCACATGCTGTGTGCCTGTGTCTGAGATATGCTCCCTCCTCTGTATCTGCTTAATTCTTACCCAGACATGATACATAAAGTATTTAACATCCAGGTGGCAGGGACACCAGCTAACCTGAAAAGAGGTTCCCCTGTTGTGCCACATGTGTACTCATTGTTTGCTGCATTGTGGGGGCAGTCCAGGGGCCTTGAAGAGGGGCCAAGGTGCCAAAGGGGCACTCTCAGGCCTCAAGGAAGTACATGTTTACTGATATGATACTGTCTCTTCCTCCAGGAAGGAAGCCTTCCCTGATCTCCCCACTGCATGCCCACTATGATACCAGTTTAGGTCCCCTCTTTATGGCCATCTGTGGCATCAGTGTGAATCCTCTTAATGTTGTCTATTTGGTTAATCATCTGTCTCCTTCCTCTGGGGGGTAAAGACAGAACCACAGAGCCTCGTGTAGAACTTGAGAATGGGGTTCAGTAAAAATCTGTTGAATGCATAAATGGGTGATTGAGTGAATGAATGAATGAGTGAATGAATGAGTGAGTGGATGAATGAATGAGTGAATGAATGAGTGAGTGAATGAATGAATGAGTGAATTAATGAATGAATTCATAGCTGATAATACAGGCTTCATGGCTTTTGTTAGGCTTGCCCAGACATTGCTAGGGGATGGACAGAAGGAAGAAGAGCTATACTTAATTCCAGTCCTGTTGTTCTGTAGCAGGAGGAGAAAAACAGGGACTGCCCAGCCTGCTCTGGGTGGATTCAGGAGCAGCTGAGGTTCCTCTCTTATTTGCAAACAGGGAATTCAAAAAGCCCCAACCTCAGAATCACACTCGCCTCAGCAGCTGTACCAGCCAAGGGGACAATGTGGGAAGCCTTGGGCACCAGGAATGCTGAGTGCTTCGAAAAAGCGAAGGCTCAGGGAACAATCCCTGATTTTTCATTCCCTTGTCCTTTCTGAAGAAACAGGCAAAGGCAGGCCAGGCACGGTGGCTCACACCTGTAATCCCAACACTTTAGGAGGCCGAGGCTGGTGAATCACTTGAGGTCAGGAGTTCAAGACCAGCGTAGCCAACATCATGAAATCCCATCTCTACTAAAAATACAAAAATTAGCTGGGTTTGGTGGTGCATCCCTGTAATCTCAGCTACTCGGGAGGCTGAGGCATGAGAATCACCTGAACTGGGGAGGTGGAGGTTGCAGTGAGCTGAGTCTGCGCCACTGCACTCCAGCCTGGATGACAGAGTGAGACTCCATCTTAAAACAAAACAAAACAAAAACAAGTAAAGCCTTGTGTGTTTTTAAATTGTAGGTTCAGCAGCAAAGCTCTGTAATAAGGAGCTGGACCCTGCAGTCAGACAGTCATGGGCTTCTCCAGTGCCCAGCCGAGTGACCCGAGGGAGTTATGATAAACACCAACATTCATCCACAATTTGTACCTAGTGCTATTCTCAATATCTTGAGTAAATTATCTCATTTAATCCTCCAGGCACATCTTTCTTGGTAGGTGCCGTCATTGTCCCCAGTGTACATCTGGGAAAATGAGGACAGGCTGGCAGAGCACCCTTCCTGCTCACCTCTGCTGCTCTGCTGACCTCTGGCAAGACTGTTGTCTCTCTGAGCCTCAGTTTCCCCATCTGAAAATTGGGGCCTGTATTAGCCCGTTCTCACATTGCTATAACGAGATGCTTGGCTGGGGCTGGGCGTGATGGCTTATGCTTGTAATCCCAGCACTTTGGGAGGCTGAGTTGGGCAGATTGGGAGTGTGAGACCAGCTTGGGCAATATAGCAAGACCCCATCTCTTCTAAAAAAAAAAAAAAATTAGCCAGGCATGGTGATATGCACCTGTAATTCCAGCTACCCAGGAGGCTGAGGCAGGAGAATTGCTTGAACCCAGGAGGCAGAGGTTGCAGTGAGCCAAGATTGCGCCACTGCACTCCAGCCTGGGAGACAGAGTGAGACTCCATCTCAAAAAACAAATTATTTTTAAAAAATTAAAAAAAAAAATGCCTGGCTGGGCACAGTGGCTCACACCCATAATCCCAGTACTTTGGGAGGCCAAGGTGGGAAGATTGCTTGAGCCCAGGAGTTCCAGACCAGCCTGGGCAACACAGTGAAATCCTGTCTCTACTAAAAGTACAAAAATTAGCCAGGTGTGGTGGCACGCGCCTGTGGTCCCAGCTACTCAGGAGGGTGAGGTGGGAGGATTGCTTAAGCCTGGGAGGTCAAGGCTGCAGTGAGCAATGATTATGCCACTGCACTCCAGCCTGGGCGACAGAGTGAGACCTTGTAAAAATAATAATAATAATAATAAATAAATAAAAACCCTGAGACTGGGGTAATTTATAAAGAAAAGAGGTTTAATTGACTCACGATTCTGCAGGCTCTACAGAAAGCATGGCAGCATCTGCTCAGCTTCTGGGAAGGCCTCAGGAAACTTACAATCATGGCAGAAGGTAAAGCTGGAGCAGGTGTCCTCACATGGCCAGAACAGGAGGAAGAGAGAGAGTGGGGAGATGCTACACACCTTTAAATGTCCAATCTCACAAGAACTCACTCACGATCTCGAGAATAGCACCAAGGCGGAAATCTGCCCCCATGATCCAATTACCTTCCACCAGGCCCCACCTCCAACATTGGGGATTACAATTCGCCATAAGATTTGGTTGCGGACAGACACAGATCCAAAGTACATTAAAAGTAATGGCAAAAACCACAATTACTTTTGCACCAACCTAATATCTCAGGGGCTCATTGTACCTATTTCACAGGACAAATGAAGGTATCAGTAATAACAGTAGCCTGTAGTCCCAGCTATTCAGGAGGCCGAGACAGGAGGATCACTTGAACCCAGGAGGTCGAGGCTGCAGTGAGCTATGATCACGCCACTGCACTGCACCCTGGGTGACAGGGCGAAAACTTATCTCTAAAAATAATAATAACAACAACAATAGTGAACACAGATATAACATGTGTGTGGCCAGGCTGTGCCCTTAGGGCTTTGCAGGGATTATTTCATTCACTCTCAATCTCCCCATTTTACAGATGAGAAAACTGACGTTCAGAAAAGCTAGAGGACTTGCCCCAAGCCACACGGCTAGGAAGTGGTGGAATTGGGGTTTAAATGAGGAAGCTTGACTTCAGTGTCGAAGCTCTTAACTGCCACACTCAATACATGGAGTAGAGGTTGCTGATTCTGTGATTATCTGATTCTGGAAAGTAAAGACCCTGTTTCCAGACGTTTGCTGCTTGACTTAGTTCCCAGGGGATGGCCACTGGATGATGCAGTGTTGCCCAGGAGAGGTTAGCTAGACACACTGCAACCATTCCATTGCTAATACTTATACTTGCTCTTGTTCTGCTGGGTGCTATGCAGGGAAGGGCTGTCTGAGCCCTTTGCAAGAATTCTCCCATTGGTGCCTCCCAGAGATTCTGAGGTTGGGGCTTTTTGCATCCCTTATTAGCAGATGAGACACCAAAGCCCAGGTCAATAATCTGACCTGCATCCCCCGCCTACCAGCCAGACCAAGGTCACTTCCCCACAATGCAGGCCCTGATCCAAGGCTCTGGGTGCAAACCAGTTTCCATGTCCCTGGGGGTCCATCTTCTTCAGCTGACTTTTTTTTTTTTTTTTTTTTTTTGAGACAGCGTCTTGCTTTGTTGCCGAGGCTGGAGTGCAGTGGTGTGATCATGGCTTATTGCAGCCTTGACCTCCCAGGCTCAAGCAATCCTCCCACGTCAGCCTCCTGAGTAGCTAGGACTATGGGCACACGCCATGATGCCTGGGTAATTTTTTTTTTTTTTTTTTTGAGACAGAGTCTCGCACTGTAGCCCAGGCTGGAGTGCAGTGGCGCAATCTCGGCTCACTGCAAGCCCCATCTCCCAGGTTCATGCCATTCTCCTGCCTCAGCCTCTCGAGTAGCTGGGATTACAGGTGCCTGCTACCTCGCCTGGCTAATTTTTTGTATTTTTAGTAGAGACGGGGTTTCACCGTGTTAGCCAGGATGGTCTCCATCTCCTGACTTCGTGATCCGCCCACCTCAGCCTCCCAAAGCGCTGGGATTACAGGCATGAGCCAGATGCCTGGCTAATTTTTAAGTTTTTTTATAAAGGCGGGGTCTTGCTATGTTGCCCAAGCTGGTCTCAAACTCCTGGCCTCAAAAAGTCTTCCTGCCTCAGCCTCCCAAAGTGCTAGGATTACAGACATGAGCCACTGCACCCAGCCTGACTTTTTTTCTAACTGAAAAATTAATTATATATATTCATGGAGTACAATGGGATGTTCTGATATATGTTTACATTTTTGAATGATTAAATCAAGCCAATTAACATATCCACTACATCGCATACTTATTTTTTGTGGTGAGAACGCTTAAAATCTACTCTTTTAGCAATTTTGAAATATACAATACCTTATGTTGTATATTACATTATGTTGTATAGTACGTTGAAACATACACTACAATACGTTATCATTAATTGTGGTCACCATGCTGTGCAAAAGATCTCTAAAACGTATTCCTCCTGTCTGACTGAAACTTTGTATCCTTTGCCTAATATCTCCCCAATCCCTCCACCACCAGCCCCTGGTAACCACCATTCTCTCTGCTTCCATGGGTTCAAATTTTTTATTTTTTGAAATTTTTAATTTTTATTTATTTATTTATTTATTTATTTATTTATTTTTGAGATGGAGTCTCGCTCTGTCACCCAGTCTGGAGTGCAATGGTGCCATCTTGGCTCACTGCAACCTCCGCCTCCTGGGTTCAAGCGATTCTCCAGCCTCAGCCTCCCGAGTAGCTGGGGTTACAGGTGCTTGCCACCAGGCCCGGCTAATTTTTGTATTTTTAGTAGAGACGGGGTTTCACCATGTTGGCTAGGCTGGTCTGGAACTCCTGACCTCCAGTGATCCACCCACCTCGGCCTCCCAAAGTGCTGAGATTACAAGCGTTGAGCCACTGCACCTGGCCTAAAATTTTTTTTTTTTTTTTTTTTTTTGAGACGGAGTCTCACTCTCTTGCTAGGCTGGAGTGCAGTGGCATGATCTCAGCCCACTGCAACCTCAGCCTCCCGGGTTCAAGCGATTCTCCTGCCTCAGCCTCCTGAGTAGCTGGGACTAGAGGTGTGCACCACCACGCCCAGCTAATTTTTGTATTTTTAGTAGGGACAGGGTTTCACCATGTTGGCCAGGATGGTGTCAATCTCTTGATCTCGTGATCTGCCTGCCTCGGGCTTCCAAAGTGATGGGATTATGGGCCACCACGCCCGGCCTCAAATTTTTTAGAGCTCACATATAAGCGAGATTGTGTACTATTTGCGTTTCTGTGTCTGGCTTGTTTCATCTTAGTATAATGTCCTCCAGGTTCATGCACGTTGTCGCAAAAGATGGAATTTGCTCCTTTTTAAAGACTGAATAGTACTTCATTGTGTACATATACACGCCATATTTTCTTCATCCATTCCTTTACTGATGGACATTTGGGTTGTACCTGCATCTTGGCTATTGTGAAGAGTGCTGTCATGAACATGGGTGTGCAGCTGACTCTGAGGTGTTAGAGGGATTACAGCTCCTCCAAAAGACCACCGTCACCCAAACCTGCTCCTCCTGCCCTATTTTCTGTTTAGGTAAAGGCGGCTTTAACCCCCTGCAGTGCTCTGGCCTCAGACCTCCAGATCTTCCTCTATGCCTCTATGCCTCTTTTTCTCCACCCCCTGCATCCAATCTGTTAGCACATCTTATTGGCTCTACCTTCAGAATCTACCCAGAATCCACCACCCACCTCTCACCACCTTCACAGCCCCACCCCGGTCCAGCCCCCATCTTTGCTGGCCTGGACTAAACCAGTTGCCCCTCCACCCCAATCTGGTCTCTTAACTTCAGTCCTTGCCCCACCCCCAGGACTGTTCCCCACACAGCAGCCAGAGGGCACCTGTGAGCCACTGAGTCAGGACCTGGCTCCTCTTTGCTCACAACCTCACTTGGAGAAAAAGCCCAAATTCTCCTCACAGGGACCCACAAACTCTGCCCCTGTGATCCCCCATCCCCCTCTATTCCCACTCTCCTCTCCACTCACTCGGCTTCAGCTACACAAGTTCCCTGCTGTCCCTTACACACCAAGCACTCCCCAGCCTCAGGGCCTTTGCACAGGCTGTTCCCTCTGCCTGGAACACTCTTCCCCCAGATATCTGCTTGGCTCCCCCCTCACTTCCTTTGGGTCTTTGCTCAAGTGTCCTTCTAACATGTAACTGCCTCACCTGCACTGTGCCACCCCACTCCCCGCCTCTAGGCTTAATTTCCCTCTACACCCCTGAAGAGCATCTGCCAAGCTATATTTACTTGTTTATTGGTTATTGCCAATCCCCTGCCCCCACTAGAATGCCAGCTCCATGAGGGCAGGGACTTCTGTCTGTTTTGTTCACTGCTATTCCCCCAGAGCCTAGAACACAGCCTGGCACATAGTAAGTATTCACTAAATAATTTGTAATATGAATTGTGCCAGTAAAATCTTCCAGGGGCATCAAGCCCCTGCCATGACTAGGTGGTAACATCCTCACCCCCTGTCCATGTGCTATCTCCTCCTGACCTGCTTGTCTCATTGTTCTAATGGTGGCTCACGCCTGTAATCCCAGCACTTGGGGAGGCCGAGGCGGGCAGATACCTGAGTTCAGGAGTTTGAGACCAGCCTGGCCAACATGATGAAACCCTGTCTCTACTAAAAATACAAAAATTAGCTGGGCGTGGCATTGCACGCCTGTAGTCCTAGCTACTCGAGAGGCTGAGGCAGGAGAATCGCTTGAACCCGGGAGGTGGAGGTTGCAGTGAGCTGAGATCATGCCATTGCAATCCAGCCTGGGCCACAAGAGCGAAACTCTGTCTCAAAAAATATATATATATATTTCATTGTGGTAACATATGCATAACATAAAATGTACCATTTTTTAAGTGTTTAGTTGAGCGGCGTTAAGTACATTCATATTGTTGTGCAACCAGGACCGCCATCCATCTCCAGAACTTTTGCATCTTGCAAAACTGAAGCTCTGCCCCCAGGAAACTCTCACTCCCCGCTCCCCCTTCCCCTCTCCCCGACTCCCCCTTCCCCCCTCCCCACTCCCCCCACCCTACTCCACACTCCCCACTCCCCCAGCCCCTGGCACCCGCCGTTCTAGTTTCTATCTCTGTGAATTTGGCTACTTTGGGTCCCCCCTGTGAGTAGAATCATACAGTATTTGTCTTTTTGTGACTGGTTTGTTTCGTGGAGCATAATGTCCTCCAGTCTCATCCATATTGTAGCATGAGTCAGAATTTCCTTCTTTTCCAGGCCGAATCGTATTCCATTGTGTGGATGGACCACACTTTGCTTATCTGTTCATCCAGATGGGCACTTGGCTTCCACCTTTTGGCTATTGTAAATAATGCTGCTGTAAACCTGTGTGTACAAATAGCTGAGTCCCTGCTTTCAATTCTTTTGGATATAGACCCAGAAGTGGAATTTTTTTTAAATCAAGATTTGACCCACTGGGGCCCTTAGAGGTCTCATTGGCTCTGAAGCTTTTTTTTTTTTTTTTTTTTGGACGCTTTGAAACTAAAAATAGGAGTGAGGGGCACAGTGAGGGGGGCACACATCTCTCGTGTCAGCGTTTTTTAAAAACACCCCGGGAGGAAGATGTGTGAAATCCCTCCCTTCCCCCCGCTCCCACCCCCTCCAAGATCTCAAAATACCTCTTGTTTTAGGAAGCGGCTGTGACATCAGGCAGGCAGCGTGTGGCATCTGAGACACAATATCGCAAGTGGCTGGGAGCCCAGAGAAACCAGGACAGGCGTGCTGGGGATGTGGACTAGAGATGGAGCTAATTTTAGTGGCTGAAGAGGCTGCAAGAAGAGAGAGAAAGAGGGGTGTGTGTGTGTGTGTGTGTGTGTGTGTGTGTGTGTGTGTACGCACAGTGATAGAGGCTGGAGGGGGAGAAATGACAGATAAATCAGCTTGGGCAAAGAAAGCTAATGGGCAGAGGAGCGAGACCCAGCTCAGAAGGTGGTCAGCAAATCTAAAGATGTGTGCCCGAGGGTCAAGGTGGTGGGGGGATTCATAGGCAAGTGGTAGAGAGGCTATTCCATTTGCAGAGGCTCTCTCTGTTTGAGGCGTGATTCACCTGTGCCGTCCTCAAGGCCATTCTGAGAACACCACTGTTGTTTTCCTCCTTTTATGAGTAGGGAAACTGAGGCATTGAACTGCTTCTATTCTTCAGTAAGAAGCAGGGGGAACATATGGTAGAAGCAAAGAAATACAAACATGAGGGCTCTCGGGGTCTACGTGATTGGCTGTGACATCCATGAGAGCGGATCGCAGGTTGAAGGAAACACTGGTGGCAGAAAGTAGCTGAACATTTGGATTTGGGAATCCCAGTGGACGTGGCGAAAATTCTGGCTTTTCCCTTCACAGGCTGCGGGGCCACTCTGACCTGCGGTTTCCTTATCTGTGAAATGGAACGATGCCACCTGTCTCAGCGTTGTTTTGAGGATGCGAGGAGATGATCCGTGTAATATGCCCACTAGGGGGCCTGCTCCAGGGTAGATTCTCAGCAAATGGTAGTCATGGTTTTTGTTACATTTGGGGATATTGGCAGGTAAAAAGGAAATACTTCATTCATTCCAAAATTGCTCACTGAGGTTCTACTATGTGCTAGGCCCTGATGACACATCGGTCAACAAGACAGGCCTGCTTTCTGCCCTTGTAAAACTTCAGTTCAACTGCATTGCACTCATCAGCCTAATAATCCAGGTAAATTGTGATGAGAATAACAACTAGCATTTACTATGAGCCCTTTACAAATATTAACCCATTTAATCTTCTAAAGAGCCTATAAGATAAGAGCTCTTGCCCTGCGCAGTGGCTCACGCCTATAATCCCAGCACGTCGTGAGGCCAAGGCAGGTGGATCACCTGAGGTCAGGAGTTCAAGAATAGCCTGACCAACAGGGTGAAACCCTGTCTCTGCTAATAATACAAAAATTAGCCAGGCATGGTGGCAGGTGCCTGTAATCCCAGCTACTTGGCTGAGGTAGGAGAATCGCTTGAACCCAGGAGGCGGAGGTTGCAGTGAGTCGAGATCACTCCACTGCACTCCAAGAGTGAAACTCTGTCACACACACAAAAAAAAACAACCTGTTATTATCCACATTTTACCTATGAGGAAACCGATGCCCAGAGAGGTTAAGTAACTGTCCAAAGGTCACACAGCTACGGAGTGGTAGAGCTGGGATTCAGACCCAGGAGTGTGATCCCAGAGTGTGTGTGTATGTTTGTTTGTTTGTTTGTTTGTTTGTTTGTTTTTACCACTGTGTTTTCCTGCTTCTGCAATAGAAGTAATCACCAGTAACACTGAGCAGTTGTTATGTGCCATGCCCTTAACACACATCTCCTTGGATCTTTGGAAAGAATCCTAAAAGGGTTGTTTTTCATGATCCACATTTTATGGAGAGAGAGAGATCAAAGCATAGAGAGAGGAAGTAACTTGCCCAAGATCCTGCAGCTGAAGACTCTAGGGTTGCAAATTTGGGACGGCCCTGGACCCTGCATTCCAGCTTCTAGCAGCTCATAGGGGGAACTCTTTATTTATTTATTTATTTATTTATTTATTTATTTATTTATTTTGAGATGGAGTTTCGCTCTTCTTGCCCAGCCTGGAATGCAATGGCATGATCTCGGCTCACTGCAACCTCCGCCTCCTGGGTTCAAGTGATTCTCCTGCCTCAGCCTCCTGAGTAGCTGAGATTACAGGCATATGCCACCACGCCTGGCTAATTTAATTTTTTTTAGTAGAGACGGGGTTTCTCCATGTTGGTCAGGCTGGTCTCGAACTCCTGACCTCAGGTGATCCGCCCATCTCGGCCCCCCAAAGTGCTAGGAATACAGGCCTGAGCCACCACGCATGCCCTGGGGGGGACCACTTTTATCGGTGCATTTCTTCCATTTTCCCTGTGTCTGTGTAAAGATAAACACCCCCAAGCCCCTTGACTATGAACTGTGGGCCATAATTAGTTAATGGAAGGTAAATGTTTTAGAGACGGAAATTGCTGTGCCATTTTTCCCCGCTAGGCATTGTTGCCTGCATGCTAATGCAACACAATGTGCCTTTCTTCTGTCAGGCATTTTTAGACAAATTCTATTTTCCCTAAAATATTTTGCCAAAGAAAATAGCAAATGGGGAAGACATTCAGAGGCTCAGGCAGAGAGAGGACACCATTCCCTTGGGTTTAAACAGAATGGCAGAGTGGATAACAGCACAGATCTTGAGTTAGGTGGATGCCAATTTGTGATTTATTTCCCAGCAAACCAAGATGCTGGCTCTCTGTGTGCCTCAGTTTACTTATTTGTCAAATGAGGAGAATAATGGTACCTGTCTCTCACCAGCTTACCAGTTGCCTCTTTAGCTATGTCTAATCTGCTATTAACCACGCCCACTATGTCTTTAATTCCAAGTATTAGAATTGTTTTCTTCCTACAAGCTGTCTGATCTTTTTTAATCCTGCTTCATCTTTTGCAGTATTGTTTTCCTACAGCAGGATTTCTCAACCTTGGCACAATTGACATTTTGGGCTAGGTAATTCTTGGCCGTGAGCTACCACCCTGTGCTAAGATACTTAGAGCATCCCTGGCCTCTCACCCTACTAAATGCCAGTAGCAGCCCCTCCCCAGTTGTGGCAGCCAAAAATGGCTCAGACATTGCCAAACGAAATGTCCCATGGAGGGTAGAAACGCCCCCACTTGAGAATTGTTCTATAGGTATTTTCAAGCATGTCTTACATTTCTTTAAGTATAATATGCAAAAGAAAAGGCTAAATCTAAAAAAAGCCCATAATATGCGAAGAATTTTTATAATCAGTGTCCAATAACTTAAGTATCTAAAATTGTTATGGCTTTTTTTCTGCTGTCTCTTGTTTCCTGTGATTCCTCATTCTGGTGCCTTGTTTTCTTGAATGTCTTGTTATCTTTGGTTGTGTGAAGCTCATTTTCCATGGGACACTATTTTTTGTTTTGTTTTGTTTTGAGACAGAGTCTCGCTTGGTTGCCCAGGCTGGAGTGCAGTGGTGCAATATCAGTTCACTACAACCTCAGCCTCCCAGGCCCAAATGATTCTCCTGCCTCAGCCTCCTGAGTAGCTGGGATTACAGGCGTGTGCCACCACACCCAGCTAATTTTTTTGTATTTTTAGTAGAGGCAGGGTTTCACCACGTTGGCCAGGCTGGTTTTGAACTCCTGACCTCAAGTGATCAACCCGCCTCGGCCCCCCAAAGTGCTGGGATTACAGGTGTGAGCCACCGTGCCCGGCATCCATGGGACACTGTTGAAGGGAGTTCATTGAGGCCTGCGATGAAGGCGAACCCTCCATGGACAATTTGCATTTACTTTTTCCAGGTGTCTGGGAAACTCCCAGTCTAGGACCATCTTAGACTTTTAGACCAACAATGTGTTGAGAATTTAGGTCACCAGTGTCTGCAAAAGCCAGCTTGTGGTTATAATTTCTCAAAAACTTTTGTTTTTCTCCTTTTCTGCAAAGTGCCAAAGTAACTTCCTCAAAAATCTCTGGGAATGGAAAGACGGGAGTAAATTAACTTCAGGTTTCTTACCTGAAAGTGATAGCCTATTGGGGCCCCATCCTACTTGGGGAGTGGTGTGTCTCCTTTGAGACTTTCTAACACGTGTGTACCCTGGACTTTGCCCCACCCCTGCTCCCTAGGAGGCCATAAAACTTGAAGCAGCAGTTCCATGGGTTAGACAGATGCCCTTGGGGCAAAAGTGGTTTTAATGCTCTGGTAGATGCTCAGGTTACCTCTGGGAAATTCTTGACTTCACTTATTTATTTGGGGCTGATAACTACTAATTGTCAGGCCTTTCTTGTTTCAACAACATGGACTTCAGATTTTATGCAGGATTTGTCATCGTTTTCAGCAAGAGAGTCAGTCTTATTACCCAGCTTACTGCATTAGAAATAGATGTCTGGGCCAGGCGCAGTGGCTCACACCTGTAATCCCAGCTGTTTGGGAGGCTAAGGTGGGCGGATCATGAGGTCAGGAGTTCGAGACCAGCCTGGCCAACATGGTAAAACCCCATCTATACTAAAGATAGAAAAAATTAGCTGGGTGTGGTGGTGCGTGCCTGTAATCCCAGCTACTTGGGAGGCTGAGGCAGGAGAATTGCTTGAACCCGGGAGGCAGAGGTTGCAGTGAGCCAAGATCGCACCACTGCACTCCAGCCTGGGTGACAGGACGAGACTCTGTCTCAAAAAAAGAAATAGATGTCTGTTGTGTGGATTATTTAAAAGAGTAGATGGCCAAGAACTATGACTTATGCCTGTCATCTCAGCACTTTGAGAGGCTAAGGTGGAGGGATCACTTGAGGCCATGAGTTAGAGACCAGCCTGGGAAACATAGCAAGACCCCCATCTCTGCAAAAGTAAAATAAAATAAGTTAGTGTGCATGATGGTGCAGGCATACCTCTAGTCCTAGCTACTCAGGAGGCTGAGGCAGGAGGATCACTTGAGCCTAGGAGTTTGAGGCTACAGTGATCTATGATCATGCCACTGCACTCCAGCCTGGGTGACAGATCAAGACCCTGCCTCTAAAACATAAAAATAAATACAAATTAAGTTAAAAAATAAAATAAATAAGTAATAGAACATCCAGCACAGTTCTTGGCATGCATTGACTGTTGTTGTTTGTTTGTTTGTTTGTTTGTGACGGAGTCTCACTCTTGTTGCCCAGGCTGGAGTGCAATGGCATGATCTTGGCTCATCATAACTTCCACCTCCCAGGTTCAGGTGATTCTCCTACTTCAGCCTCCTGAGTAGCTGGGATTACAGGCACGTGCCACCACTCCTAGCTGTTTTGTTTTGTTTGTTTGTTTGTTTTGTATTTTTAGTAGAGATGGGGTTTCTCCAAGTTGGTCAGGCTGGTCTCAAACTCCTGACCTCAGGCGATCTGCCAGCCTCGGCCTCCCAAAGTGCTGAGATTACAGACGTAAGCCACCACGCCTGGCCAGCTGTTTTGATTGTTAAATGAAGGTGGTATGAAAGGGAAGGAAGAACAGTGACATTTGCAAGGGACACTCCCTGGAGGGCAGGGCAAGGGGGCTGTGGAGGGGAGAAGTCAGAGAGTATGATACAGGTTGCCTTGGGTGATGTTTTAGATTTTAGCCAACATTGGCAAAGAGCCTCATTTATCTCTCAGAGTAGCTCTGGCTACTGGAAATGCTGCACAACTTCAGGCGGACTTTCTAGAAGAAAACTCTTGGCCAGGTGCAGTGACTCACACCTGTAATCCCAACACTTTGGGAGGCTGAGGCAGGTGGATCACTTGAGCTCAAGAGTTTGAGACCAGACTGGGCAACGTGGCAAAACCTCATCTCTACAAAAAAAAATACAAAAATTAACCAGGCGTGGTGGTGCATGCCTGTATCCCAGCTACTTGGGAGGCTGAGGTGGGAGGATTGCTTGAGCCTGGGGAGGTGGAGGTGGTAGTGAGCCAAGATTGCACCACTGCACTCCCATTTGAGTGACAGAGCAAGACCTTGTCTCAAAAAAGAAAAAAAGAAAAGAAAAGAAAAGAAAATTCTCTCTGGGATTCAATCCTGGCCCACACAGCATTGGCTTCACTTCACCTCCTTCTCCCCTGAGATACACAGCACCATTCCCCCAAGCTTCATCAACTTAATCTCTGATCTGGGTGCTGTGACTTGTCCCCATTCCTGGCCAGAATTTAAGGTAGGGATGAACCCACTAGCCCTCCATCACGCACTCTGCCATAAAAGCACACCACGTGCTGATTGCTGTCTTTGGTCTCCTTTCTGCCTTGCCCTCTAGACTCTGAGCTGCTTGGAGACAGAGGCCAGTTTTGTCCATCTCCAAATCCCCTAAAGTCCTGTGGCCAGCAAGCAGGTAGGACATCTGAAAGTTCGTCAGAGAGGGAATTGCTTTTCTCTTGAGATGCAACTAGAACAAGAATCTTATTGACCTGGAGTAGCTTCAAGGTTGTAAGAGTATGTGTCAGGGTTCTCCAAGACCACTCTCAGGTTTGAAGGTTTGCTAAAAGGGCTCACGGGACCCAGAAAAGCTGTGAAATTCAGTTATGGTTTATTACAGTGGAAGAATACAGATAATACAGATTAAAATCTGCAAAGCAAAAGATGCACAAGGCAATGTCCAGGGGAGATCAGGCATGAGCTTCCAGCTGTTCACTCCCAGTGGAGTTATGCAAACAGTGCTCAATTCTCCCAGCAATGGTGTGTGACAATGTACAGTGTACCGCCAACCAGAGAAGCTCACCTGAGCCTTGGTGTCCAGGGTTTTTATTGGGGCTCAGTTACATTGACATGGAGCACCCATGTGACTGACTTTAACTGCTGGGTCTCCAGCACACTCCAAGATCAAACTGATACCGTGTGTCCCAGGGCCCCAGCTGAACACAAACAGGCAGTCACCATAGATCCCATTGTGAGCATAAGCTACCAGGCATGGCCCAAAGCCCTAGATATACAGATATTCTTTCCAGGAGCCAGCCAAGGGCCAGTCCTTCCTTTGGAATATGCAGAGTTTGAACTCCCCAACCCCAAGGAGTTAACTCTTTACTACACAGAATATAAATCTCACCAAGTCTTTCTTCTTGTCAAGTCCTCTCAAGGTGACCCATTGCTTTTAGCAGTGTCTTTGAGACCCTGCGTCATCTGGCCTTGACCCATATCACCTGTGTTATCTCTCCACTCTAGCTACATTGAACTTTTCTTTTTTGAGATGTGGTCTCACTCCATCACCCAGGCTGAAGTGCAGTGGTACAGTCACAGCTCACTGCAGCCTCAAACTCCTGGGCTCAAGTGATCCTCCCACCTCAGCCTCCTGAGTAGCTGAGCCCACAGGTGCATGCCATTACACCCAGCTAATATTTTTATTTTTAGTAAAGATGGGTTCTCACTATGTTTCCCAGGTTGGTCTCAAACTCCTGGGCTCAAGCAGTCCTCCCATCTTGGCCTCCCAAAGTATTGGCATTACAGGGGTTAGCCACCACATCCAGCCCATTGAACTTTTTAAGGATCCCCTAGCATCCTATACTTTCTGTCACTGGATAGCCTTGGAATTATTTTTCCTTCTTTTTGAAATACTCTTCTTCTTTCCACCCTTTGCTGTCAAGTCTCAGAATAGGCATTATTTCCTCCAAAAACCCTCTCCTGACCCTCCAAATCTGGATGAGGACACTTCCTTTGCCCAGAGAGCACCTGTTTTAATCCTCTCAGGTGGCTATAATAAAATACCTTAAACTGGGTGGCTTATACACCTCAGAAATTTATTTTCCACAGTTCTGGAGGCTGGGAAGATCAAGGCACTGACAGATTTGGTGTCTGATGAGGGGCCATTTCTTGTTTCGTAGAAGGGGTCTTCCTACTGCATCTTTCCATGGTGAAAAGAGTTGAGGCAGCTCTCTGAAACCTCTTTCATGAGAGCATGAATCCCTCTGTCTTCATGATCTAATCACCTCCCAAAGGCCCCACTTCCTAATATCTTCACATTGGTGACTAGGTTTCAACATATGAATTTGAGAAAGACACAGACATTCAGACCATAGCAGTGCTCTTCCACCAGGTTTTTTATCCCCCTGTATTATAATTGAGGTTTAAATTATCTGCTTTCCTTCCCTTAGATTGTAAGCTCCATGAGAGCAGGGCCCTACCCATCCAGTCATTGTCCTATCCCCCATGACTACAACTTCCTGGGTACATAATTAATATTTATTATATTATGTAGCAAAGGTATGCTGCCATACTAAGAGACCCAAAAGGCCACCGGATTAAAACCTTAAAGAAAAAAAAATAATTTCTCTCCTATAATAGCTGCAAGGTTAGCCATGCAGGTTGGCAGGGAAGCTCACTTCCACAAAGTCACTCAGGGATTCAGGCTCCTGTTGCCCTCTTCTTTTCTACCACCAAATGATCTTCAGCACCATTTGCACAATCAAAACTTAACTGGTCTTGAATAGGCAGACCTTGAATTTCTGAAGTCTCAGACCCAAAAGTGGCAGCTGTCACTTCCACTGACATATCACTGATGGAAACTTAATCATGTGATCATACCAAACTGCTAGGGATGCTGGGAAATGTAGTTTTGTTGGGAACTCCATGACTTGGCTAAAATTCCATTACTGTAGAAGATGGTGGGGGATGGGGGAGTGGTGGACATCCAGTGGTTGCTACCATATTTATTGAATCAAATTGTCAAACAGGACCTATCTGATAAGGGGTTCTTTTCCAGAATTAACTGAAGTATTAAATCAGGGGCAAAGGCATGTCACCTCATCTTTCTCTCCCTATATTGGCTTTCTAGGGCTGTTATAACAGAGTAACATGAACTTGGCGGCTTAAAACAACAGAAATTTATTTTCTCTTAGTTCTGGAGGCTAGAAGCCTAAAATCAAGGTGTCAGCAGAGCCACCTTGACAACTGCTCTAGGAAAGAATTCTTCCTTGCCTCTTCTGGTGGCTCCTGGCAACCCTTGGTATTCTTTGTCTGGCATCCACTTCAATCTCTGCCTCCATCTTCATTTGCCTTTTTTCTCTGTGTGTCTATGTCCTTTCCTCTTCTTAGAAGGATACCAGTCATTGAATTTAGGGCTTACTCTAAATCCAGGATGATCTCACCTCAAGATCCTTAATTAGTTACATCTGCAAAGAGCTTATTTCAAAACAAGATTGCATTCTGAGGTTTCGGTAAACACGAATTTGGGGGAAATAGTATTCAACTCAATTCACTGCTTTACTTAAGAAAAGAGACCATGAAGTGAGCCTCCTTCTGCTTGAGAGAGAGAGCGAGCCTTTCTGTGCAATAGGTCAATGAATGGATGCAGCTGAATTCCACATAACTTTATAAAAATAGATGGCCAGCCCATGGGGTTTGCTGACCCCTGCCCAAAAATTCCAAAGTCAACAGCAGTCTCTTTTTTAATCATTTCTCTATTTTTTAATTTATTTTTATTTTTATGTTGAGATAGAGTCCCGCTCTGTCGCCCAGGCTGGAGTGTAGTAGTCTCGGCTCACTGCAACCTCTACCTTCCAGATACAAGTGATTCTCCTGCCTCAGTCTCCTGAGTGGCTAGGAGTACAGGTGTCCGCCACCATACCCAGCTAATTTTTGTATTTTTAATAGAAACAGGGTTTCACCATGTTGGCCAGGCTGGTCTCGAACTCCTGACCTCAAGTGGTCCACCCACCTCGGCCTCCCAAAGTGCTGGGATTACAGGCATGAGCCACCATGCCCGGCCAGGATTTTCTTCATTTTAACAGCATTCTTACTTGTCCCACATCCATTCTATCCTGGGTCTAATTAGATAACAAAATCTACAGATCTTGTTTAACTGACATTGTCCTGGGGGATACTTTTTATCTTTTGAGACAAGGTCTCACTCTGTTACCCAGGCTGGAGTGCAGTGGCCTGATAACAGCTCACTGCAGCCTCGACCACCTGGGTTCAAGCGATCCTCCCACCTCAGCCTCCAGAGTAGCTGGAACCACAGATGCATGCCACCACACCTGGCTAATTTTTAAATTTCTTGTAGAGGTGGGGTCTCCCTATGTTACCAAAGGCTGGTCTCAAACTCCTGGGCTCAAAAGAGCCTCCCACCTTAACCTCCCAAAGTGCTGGGATTACAGATATGAGCCACTGTTTCCAGCCTTGGAAATATAGTCTAAGAACTGAGTCAATAGGCGATTTTGTCATTGTGTGGACATCATGTAGAGAACTTAACACAAACCTAGATGGTATAAACTACTGCACACCTCAGTTATGGGGCATACCCTATTGCACCTAGGCTGCAAACCTGCACAGCAGGTTACTGTCTTGAATACTGTAGGCAGTTGTAACACAATGGTAAGTATTTGTGTATCTAAACATATCTAGGCCGGGCACGGTGGCTCACGCCTGTAATTCCAGATCACCTGAGGTCAGGAGTTCGAGCCCAGCCTGGCCAACATGGCGAAACTCCTTCTTTACTGAAAAATGCAAAAATTAGCCAGGTGTGGTGGCAGGCACCTGTAATCCCAGCTATTCGGGAGGCTGAGGCAGGAGAATCGCTTGAACCTGGGAGGTGGAGGTTGCAGTGAGCTGAGATCATGCCACTGCACTCCAGCCTGGGTGACAGAGCAAAACTCCATCTCAAAAAAATAAAAAATAAAAAACATATCTAAACAGAAAAGGTACAGTAAAAATACAGTTATAACCATATGGGACCACCATTGTATAGGCAGTCCGCTGTTGATCAAAACATATCAAAACATCGTTATGTAGCACATGACTGTACCATAAACCACACGGCTTCAAACAAGGGAAATGTATTCTCTCACTGTTTTGGAGGCCATAGGTCTGAAATCGAGGTGTCACCAGGGTCCCTCCAAAGGATCCGGGGGAGGATCCTTCCATTGGATTTGGAGTTGCTTCACTCCAGTCTCTGCCTCAGTGGTGACAGGGCGTTCTCCTCTTCCCTCTCAAAGTTCCCTCTTCTGCTGTGTCATAAGGATACATATGACTGCATTTAGGCCCCACTCAGAAAATCCAGGAATAAACTCTTGCCCTCATATTCTTAACTAAATCGTACCTGCATACCTTATTTTTTCTAAATAAGGTAGCATTCCAGGGATTAGGACATCAACATAACTTCTGGAGGGTTCACTGTTCAACCCACTACAGCCAGAATGCGCTTTGAATTCAGGTTCTGACATCTGGGACTGCCTCCCACGTACACACACCACTACCTTGTACTGAATGCCTGAAGGGTTCTGCCCCCACCTCCACTCCCCCAAATATTTGCTGTGGACCTGAGAAAGCTGACTTCATGGAAGCTTCATTCCATTGTTCTAAGGACTTTTCATACATTAACAAATGTCTTCTCTCTATGGGGAAAACCACAGAGAAATCAAGACAGAGTGGGGTTAAGTAACTCACCTGAGGAGGAACAGTAAGTGGCAGAGCCAGGATTCAAACCAACATGGTTTTGCACAGTTTTGACATCATTTGCAACACAAATATTGTCACAGATACCTTTTTGAGCATCTACTGTGCTAACCGCCAGGAAGGAAAAGAACATGGGGCCGGGAGAGCTCTTGACAGGGGACAGGGCTGGCCATGGAGGTCTGTGTCTTGGTGGAAGATGCTATGGTTCTCTTTTTTTTTTTTTTTTTTTGAGATGGAGTCTTGCTCTGTCACCCAGGCTGGAGTGCAGTAGTGCAATCTTAGCTCACAGCAACCTCCACCTCCCGGGTTCAAGCGATTCTCCTGCCTCAGCCTCCCAAATATCTGGGATTATAGGCACACACCACCACGCCCAGCTAATTTTTGTATTTTTAGTAGAGATGGGGTTTCACCATGTGGGCCAGGCTGGTCTCGATCTCCTGACCTTGTTGTGATCCACCCGCCTCGGTCTCCCAAAGTGCTGGGATTACAGGCATGAGCCACCACACTGGGCAACTATGGTTCTCTTTTAACTCCTTGTGCTGAAATTATTGCAGAAGCCCAGGCCAGTTCATCCCCAGAAAGTGAGGCATAAACAGGCAGAGCTCTACAGAAACAGAGAATCCACGACTGGTTTGATGGAGGCTGCCTCACTACCTACAGAATGGGCTCTGGGTGGATTGTTCTATCTGGGGAGCCAGCCCACCCACCAGTCTCAGCCCTTGGCGACTCTTTCCTGCTGTCACAGCAGCTGGACATTCAGAAACCGAAACATGACAGCCTTCCCTCCCTGTTCCTGCCCAGTGGAGTGGAAACCCCTCGGGACCCACATACCGAGCGTGCACAGCAGCACAGAGTTGCACAGTTAACACAGCGCTTCTTCTCCAGCCCTCCGGATGCAAGCTGACAGATTGGCAGCTGGCTGACTTCCAAGGTCCAGTGAGTTCTTGGCAGTCGCTTTCTGACCTGGACGAGTGGCTGCCACCTCCTGGAACATCAGGCTGCCCCCTTGGGGAGAGGGTGACGGTCTCTCTGGAAAGACTGTGAGCTTTGAGGTGGTCATCAAAAGCCATTCTTGGAAACATTCTTTGAGCTGTACCGTGCAATTCGGTCACCAATTGCACGTATTTGGATATTAATATCCGTATGTGGATATTAAATTGGTTTTGGGTTTTGTTTTGTTTTGATTGTGGCAAAATATACACAACAATCCTCCTGCCTCAGCCTCCCAAGTAGCTACAGGCATGCACCACCATACCCAGCTAATTTTTGGATTTTTTAAATTTGTTTGTTTGTTTTTGTTTTTTGAGATGGAGTGTAGCACTGTTGCCTGGGCTGGAGTGCAGTGGCGCGATCTCAGCTCACTGCCACCTCCGCCTCCTGGATTCAAGTGATTCTCTTGCCTCAGCCTCCTGAGTAGCTGGGATTACAGGCGCCCGCCAACACGCCCAGCTAATTTTTTGTATTTTTAGTAGAGATGAGGTTTTACCATGTCGGCCAGGCTTGTCTCGAACTCCTGACCTTGTGATCCACCCGCCTCAGCCTCCCAAAGTGCTGGGATTACAGGTGTGAGCCACCGCGCCCGGCCGATTTTTGTAGTTTTAGTAGAGACAGGGTTTCACCATGTTGGCTAGGCTGGTCCCGAATTCCTGATCTCAGGTGATCCACCGCCTCGGCCTCCCGAAGTGCTAGGATTACAGGCATGAGCCACCGCACACAGCCTAAATGCTGTGCCTCACGCCTGTAATCCCAACACTTTGGTAAGCTGAGGCCAGAGGATTGCTTGAGCCCAGGAGTTTGAGACCAGCCTGGGCAACATAGGAAGACCCCATCTCTATAAAAAATAAAAATAAATTAGCCAGGCGTGGTGGTGCAGGCCTGTGGTCCCAGCTACTCGGGAGGATGAGGCAGGAGGATCGCTTGAGCCCAAGAGGTCAAGGCTGCAGTGAGCTGTGATTGTGCCACTGCACTCCAGCATGGGTGAAAGAGCAAGACCTTGTCTCAAAAAAAATTAAGCGAAATTTAAAATTCTGTTTCTCACTCACACAGGCTGCACTTCAAGTGCTTAATCATCCCTTGTGGGTGGTGGCTATCATATTGGACAGCATGGATAGAGAATATTTTTATCAGCGTAGGAAGCTTCATCAGAGAGGACCGCTCAGAGGCCTGTGGGGACCAGCACAGTGCAGTAGAAGACACAGGCCAGCTGGTGAGAGACTGGTCTTCTGATCCCAGATCTGTCCCTCACTTGCTAGGTGACCTTGGACAGCTCCCTCAGTCCCTCTGGAGTTTTCTCTTCATTGTTAAATCAGGAAATTGGCCTCAGTGAATTCTGAGGCCCCATCTACTTTTTTTTTTTTTTTTTTTTTTTTTTTTTTAATTGAGACAGAGTCTCGCTCTGTTGACCAGGCTGGAGTGCAGTGGCATGATCTTGGCTCACTGTAACCTCCGCCTCCCAGGTTCAAGCAATTCTCTGCCTCATCCTCCCCAGTAGCTGGGACTACAGGCGTGCACCACCATGCCTGGGTAATTTTTGTGTTTTCAGTAGAGACCGGGTTTTGCCATGTTGGCCAGGCTGGTCTCAAACTCCCAACCTTGAGTGATCCTCCCGCCTCGGCCTCCCAAAGTGCTGGGATTACAGGTGTGAGCCACCACGCCTGGCCTCATCTAGTTCTAAATGTTATGACCCACTCAGCTCTGAAGACAAGGGAGGAACATCCTCTCAGTCTAGCTCTGACATGCAGAAGCCTCTCACCCTGTCCCCCAGGTCATAAAGGCAGGCGTGTTGTGAAGAGCACAGAATGGGCTGAGAAAAATATGCAGGGATTGCGTCTATCTCCCTTCCTTCCGCACGTTTCCTTGTCGGCACCACCTGCCTCTATTCCGCGCCGCACACACACCCGCCTTCTCTCTGTCTCGGAGGAAGACAGGATCTTCCATCCCCCAAATCCTGCCCTGATTCCTACTCTGAAGCCTCTGCCCTGACTCCTTTAAGCTCCCTGGGAATACAGCCCATCTCCTATGCCCTCCTCATCCCAGTAGTTCCTACCTTCCCCAAAATCGCTTTGGGAAAGTCCCCCAATGAGTAACCAGCTGTCCTACATGGGCATCTCAGAACTTCTCTTCTGTTGTTGTTGTTGTTTGTTTTGCTTTTGTTTTGAGACAGGATCTCTCTTTTTCACCCAGGCTCGAGTGCAGAGGTGTGATCTCAGCTCACTGTAGCCTTGACCTCCCAGGCTCAGGCGATCCTCCCCCCTCAGCCTCTGGAATAGCTGGGACTACAGGCACACGCCACCACACCCGGGCAAATTTTTTTTAGGACTTTTGGTAGAAATGGAGTTTCGCCGTGTTGCCCAGGCTGGTCTCTAACTCCTGGGCTCAAGCGATCCGCCCACTTTGGTCTCTCAAAGTGCTGGGACTACAGACATGAGCCACCACACCCGGCAGAGCTTCTATTTCTTGAGTGTGTTCTCAGCCATGCTAAGACATTTTCTCTTCTCAGCCTGATGATGCTTTTGGCTTGTGTTTCTTTGTTTTTAATTACCCCTTCCCAGTCGCTGTCATGGGATCATGAGGGTCTTCTGTCCATCTAGATGACACCTTTCTTGTGCCACGTGTCTCCAACATTCCCTGGTTTTTAAACCCTTATTGCTTTCAAGATACTATCCAAGCTCCTTAATGTGGCACATTGTCCTTCGCTGCTATCTGCCTGCTTTTTTTTTGAGACAGAGCCTCGCTCTATTGCCTAGGCTGGAGTGCAGTGGCGCAATCACAGCTTACTCTGCAGCCTCGACTTCTTGGGCTCAAGCAATCCTCCTGCCTCAGCCTTCTGAGTAGCTGGGACCACAGGCATGCACCATCATGCTTGGCTAATTTATTTTTATTTATTTTTATAGAGAAGGAGTCTCCCTATGTTGCCCAGGCTGGTCTCAAACTCCCGGACTCAAAGTTCATTGCAGTTTCAATTTTTTCCTTGGCTCAAGGATCCTCCCACTTCAGCCTCCTGAGTAGCTGGGACTACAGACGGGCACCAACACACCTGGCTAATTTTTGTATTTTTTGTAGAGATGGGGTCCCACTATGTTGCCCAGGCTTCTATCTGCTTTTATCTCACCTTCCACTCTTCCATCCTTCCTTTCTTTTCTTTTATTTCCTTTCCCTTCCCTTGCCTTCCTTTTCTTTCTTTCTTTCTTTCTTTCTTTCTTTCTTTCTTTCTTTCTTTCTTTTTCTTTCTTTCTTTCTTGACAGAGTCTGGCTCTGTCACCCAGACTGAAGTGCAATGGCAAGATCTTAGCTCACTGCAACCTCCACCTCCTGGGTTCAAGCAATTCTCCTGTCTCAGCCTCCCGAGTAGCTGAGATTACAGGTACCTGGCACCACACCCGGCAATTTTTTTTTTTTTTTTAGTAGAGACGGGGTTTCGCTATGTTGGCCGGGCTGGTCTTGAACTCCTGACCTCAGGTGATCCTCCCACCTCAGCCTCCCAAAGTGTTGGGATTAACAGGTGTGAGCCACTGTGCCTGGCCTTTTTTTTTTTTTTTTTTTTTTTTAAGACAGGACCTTGCTCTGTCACTCAGGCCAGAGTGCAGTGGCACTATAATCACTTTCTGCAGCCGTGACCTCCTGGGCTCAAGGGATCCTCTTGCCTTGGCCTCCCTAGTAGCTGGGACTACAGGCATGTGCCACCACACTGGCTAATTTTTAAAACTTTTTGTAGGCCGGGCACGGTGGCTCACACCTGTAATCCCAGCACTTTGGGAGGCCAAGGCGGGCGGATCACGAGGTCAGGAGATTGAGACCATCCTGGCTAACACAGTGAAACCCCATCTCTACTGAAAATACAAAAAATTAGCCAGGTATGGTGGCGGGCGCCTGTAGTCCCAGCTACTCGGGAGGCTGAGGCAGGAGAATGGTGTGAACCTGGGAGGCGGAGCTTGCAGTGAGCTGAGATCACGCCACTGCACTCCAGCCTGGGCGACAGAGCGCGAGACACCATCTAAAAAAAAAACAAAAAAAAAAAACAAAAAACTTTTTGTAGAGATGGATTCTTGCTAGGTTGCCCAGGCTGGTCTCAAGCTTCTAGGCTCAAGCAGTCCTCTTGCCTGTGCCTCCCAAAGCCTTGGGATTACAGGCGTGAGCCCCCACACCTGGTCCTAACCCACTTTCTGAACTTCCAACCACACCATTTTGTCCTAATATTTAAGTCACACCATAACATGTCCCACTTCAGAAATGCCTACCAAAGTAGTCTTCAAATCTTTTTAAATCAGTGGACCCTTTCTACCAAACAAATGTTATTTTTTAAATATTTATTTTAGAGTAATTTAGACTTTTAGAAAGGTTGTAGCTGGGCGCAGTGGCTAACGCCTGTAATCCCAGCACTTTGGGAGGCCGAGACAGGTAGATCACCTGAGGTTGGGCGTTTGAGACCAGCCTGGGCAACATGGTGAAACCCCGTCTCTACTGAAAATACGAAATTAGTCAGGTATGGTGGCACGCGCCTGTAGTCTCAGCTACTCGGGAGGCTGAGGCAGGAGAATTGCTTGAACCCAGGAGGCGGAGGTTGCAGTGAGCTGAGATCGCGCCACTGCACTCCAGCCTGGGTGACAGAGTGAGACTCCATCTCAAAAAAAAAAAAGAAAAGAAAAAAAAGAAAGGTTATAAATATATTATAAAGAGTTCCCACATACCCTTCACCCAGTTTCTCCTGTTGTTTGTATCTTATATTATCACCATATGCTTGTCAATGCTAAGGAATTGCTGGGTGCAGAGTGGCACATGGCTGCAGTCCCAGATACTCAGGAGGCCAAGGCAGGAGGATATCGCTTGAGCCCAGGAGTTCAAGTCTAGCCTGGGCAACACAGTGAGACCTCTTTTCTGCAAAAGAAAACAAATAAAACATCTAAAAAAGAATACACTGGAGGCGGCGTGGAAACAAGGATCTCATTTGGGAGTTGTCTGCAATGTTCTGAGCAAGCAGTAACGGAGGCCTCAAGTCAGGGCTGTGGTCATGGAGGTGGGGAGGGGTGGTTGGTTTCACTATCTGTGTTGACTTAATTTTAGATTTGCAGACTCAACTGAGTATGAACTTTAAGAGAAAGAGAGAGGCCAGGCACGGTGGGTCACACCTGTAATCCCAGCACTTTAGGAGGCCAAGTGGGGAAGGCCGCTTGAGCCCAGGAGTTTGACACCAGCCTGGGCAACATAGTGAGACCCCTGTCTCTACAAAAAAAAATTTTTAAATTAGCCAGGCAGGGTGATGTGTCCCTGTAATCCCAGCTACTCAGGACAGTGAAGCAGGAGGATCATTTGAGCCCAGAAAGTTGAGGCTGTAGTGAGCTGTAGTTGCACCATTGTGCTTCAGCCTGGGAGACAAAGTGAGACCCTGTCTCAAAAAGGAGAATGGGGAGAGAGAGAGAGAGAGAGAAGGAGAAAGAGAGAGAAAGAGAGAGAGGGAAGTCAAGGAGAACCCCACATTTTTTGACATGGTGTATTAGTCTCTTCTCACACTGCTAATAAAGACATACCTGAGACTGGGTAATTTATAAAGGAAAGAGGTTTAATGCACTCACAGTTCCACATGGCTGGGGAGGCCTCACAACCATGGCAGAAGGCAAAGGAGAAGTAAAGGCATGTCTTACATGGCAGCAGGCAAGAGAGCTTGTGCCATTTATAAAACCATCAGATCTCATGAGACTTATTCACTACCACAAGAACAGTATGGGGGAAACTGCCCCCATGATTCAGTTATCTCCACCTGGCGCCGCCCTTGACACGTGGGGATTATTACAATTCAAGTTGAGATTTGGGTGGGAACACAGCCAAACCCTATCACATGGGCAAGTGAAAGGATGGGTTTGCCATCAAATAAAATGGGGAAGGAGACTGACTAGGTGGGCAGATTAGGAACTCAGCTTTCTATGAAGTGCCTACTGATGGATAGAGATATTGTGTTGGCCATCTATTAGGTTGGTGCAAAAGTAATTGCGGTTTTGCCATTAAAAGTAATGGCAAAGGAAATAACCTTTGCACCAGCCTAATAGGAATTGGAGTCTAAAATTCAAAAAAGGTAAGTCAGAGCTGGAGATCCAAAGGCAGGAGTCAGCCTCCTGTGGAGGCTATTTAAGGAACTGAATAAGGGCATAGATGCAGGAGAGCACCCAGGACTGAGCCCAGGGCTTACTCTCCATCATTAAAGAGGTTGGGGAAGATGAGGAGGAGCCAGCAGAGAAGACTGAATTGGAGCAAATCAGAAGAATGTGGGTGCTGGCTGTCATGCAAGGAAAGTGCTAAGCCATTTCAAGTATGAGGGAATGATCAATGATGTCCACTGATGCTGATGTGTTGACTCAAATGAAAAATGAGAATCAACCATTGGATGTAGTGGCATGGAGATCTTTCGTGACCTGAGCCAGAGCTGCTTAGGTGAAGAGGTGAAGGCAAGAGGCTACTGGAAGGATTACTACTAGCTCTTTTAAAGAGTTCTGCTGTGAAGGGTAGAGGAAGAGAGATGGGGCATGTGTTAGCTGGTGGGGGAAGTGGATTTCAGAGGTTTGTTTCCCTTAAAAAAAAAAAAAAAAAGAAAAAAGAATAAAGAAAAAAAAAAGGCCAGGCACAATGACTCACACCTGTAATCCCAGCATTTTGGGAGGCTGAGACCTCGGGAATTTGAGACTAGCCTGGACAACATAGTGAGACCCCATCTCTACAAAAAAAATTTTTTTTTAATTAGCTGGGCATGGTGGTGCATGCCTGTGGTCCTAGCTACTTGGGAGGCTGAGGTGAGAGGATCTCTTGAGCCTGGGAGGTCGAGGCTGCAGTGAGCTATGATCACACCACTGCACTCCAGGCTGGACAACAGAGCAAGACCCTGTCTCAAAAAAAAAAGATGGGAGACCTAACAGCAGATTTTATGCTGATAGGAATAACCTATTAGGGGAGAAAAACATGAGGATGCTGGAGGAAGAAGAGTGTCAGGAGGACATCTCTTGGTGGACGAGAGGGGATGGCATTTGGTGTACAGGTGGAAGGTTTCACTTTAGATGACAGCACACACAGTTATCTATAGAAACAGGAGAAAATGCACTATATGGGCATACATGCTGGGAGGTAGAGAGTAAATAATAGTGGTGGTTGCTTGTGGAAATTCTCTTCTAATGTTTTTATATTTTTATGGTTTATCAAGGACAATTTATATTTTTACAGTTTACTGCAAACAACAAGTTCTAATTTATTCAATAATTATTTGTGGGTAGACCGAGTGCAGTGGTGCATGCCTGTAATCCTAGCACTTTGGGAAGCCAAGGTGGGAGGATTGCTTGAACTCCTGATTCACTTCTGAGCTTGAATCAGGAGTTCGAGATCAGCCTAAGCAACATGGCAAAACACTGTCTCTACACAAAATACAAAAACTAGCCAGGTATAGTGGCATGCACGTAGTCCCAGCTATTCGGGAGGCTAAAACGGGAGGATCATTTGAGCCCTGAAGGTGGAGGTTGCAGTGAGCCAAGAGCGAGCCACTGCACTCCAGCCTGGGTGATAGAATAAGACCCTGCCTCAAAAAGAAATTCTTATTCTTCTTCTTCTTATTATTATTTGAGGAGACATTTACTTTGTACCAGGCGCTGTGCTAGATGCTGGAGATACAGACATCAACAATGACAAGGCTAAGTGCCTGGCGTATTTGTACTTTGAGTCTAATAAAAGACATCACACAGACACACAACACACACACACACACACACAGGATTGTCAAAGGATCAACCATTTCACATGTCAAGATCAGGAATGATATTGGTCTACTACTGCCTTACCATATCTCCTACCATGACCTCATCTTCCTCTTGCCAGATTTTAAGTCTTTATACCTCAACTCCCAGAACTCTCTTCGCCTCACACCCTATCACAATGTCATCCGTACCCCACGGCCAATACTCCATCATTCGGGAAAGCAAAGTTCCAAAGCGTCAAGATTGTATCAATGGACCTGTCTCTATGGCAACAGTCCTGAATGAGCCAAGCAAGGTAACCCTGGAGATGGCGTGAATGAGAAAGTGGCCTGTTGCCACGGAGACGTGCTGAATGGGAAGGCCCCCACGAGCCAGGCTATGTCACGAAGCCGAAACAGTCAGCATGAAGTCGGTATGTCTATTTTCAACTCGGAATTACAAAAATACATTTTAATAGAGCTCATGACCCATCTCCTTCCTCGTCCCTGCCTCCCACCCCACTCTTCAGCCTTCATCCTACAACACAATCGAGCCTCACCAGGAACCCTTCAAACCCCTCAAGGACACCTTACTGTTCCTTCAGTACACAGTCCCCTTCCTGGGCTGAGGTGGTATTCCTTTGACCAACTACTGTCTCCCCTTTGGGACCAACAGTATTCTCAAAAGCCATGAGCTTATGGGAAGAACATTAACTACATTCTTTGGGGCAAGAACAGTTGCTCACCTGTGAACCAGCTCAGCTTGCATCTGTGAGAATGATTGCAATGGGTAGACCAGTTCTCCATCAAAGAATGGCCCTAGCACCCCACACACAGTGGTATAATCTGATCATGCTGGTGTATTGAACATATAATGTTAGTGCCACATGAAAGGAATTTGTAAAAGGACTTAGTGCCTAGAAAGGTACCTTTGAAGATCTTGGAATCTCTGAAACTTACCCAGGTTCCTTATACCCTGCTCAAAGTATTCCTCCATTTATTTCTTCATTCATTAGTTCTTTTGTTTCACCACATATATATTTTTGAAACGGGGTCTCACTCTGTTGCCCAGGCTAGAGTGCAGTGGCAAGATCGTGGCTCACTGCAGCCTCAACCTCCCCATCTCAAGCAGTCCTCCCACCTCAGCTTCCTGAGTAGCTGGGACACCACAGGTACAAGCCACCACGCCAGGCTAATTCTTGTAATTTTTGTAGAGACGGGGTTTTGCCATGTTGCCCAGTGTATTCGTTTGTTCTCACATTGCTATAAAGAACTACCTGAGACTGAGTAGTTTATAAAGAAAAGAGGTTTAATTGACTCACGGCTCCACAGGCTGTGCGGAAGGCATGGCTGAGGAGGCCACAGGAAACTTGCAATCATGGCGGAAAATGAAGGGGAAACAAGCACATCTTCACATGGTGGCAGGAGAGAGAGAGTGAGGGGGGGAGTGCTACAAAACCAGGTCTCACGAGAACTCACTCACTGTCATGAGAAAAGCAAGGGGGAAATCTGCTCCCAGGATCCAATCACCTCCTACCAGGTCCCTCCCCCAACATTGGGGATTACAATTCAACATGAGATCTGGGTGGGGACACAGAGCCAAACCATATCACCCAGGCTGGTCTCTAACTCCTGAGCTCAAGCAATCTGCCTGCCTTGGCCTCCCAAAGTGCTAGGATTACAGACGTGAACCATATTTATTAAGCATTGTTACAGCAAAGAGAAGCATTGTTGCAGCATAACAATTGGAAGACTCCATTGATGGACGTCTCCATCAACAAGAACTGTCGGATAAACTATGGTACACCCATCCCTTAGCGTGTTATGAAGTCATTACAAAAAGAAGAAGCAGATCTCTGAGTGTCAATAAGAGCTAGTACTTATAGGGTGTCTACTGTATACAAGTGCTGTTAGAAAGTGAGTATTAACTCATTTAATTCTTGTAACAAGCCTGTGAGGTGGATTCTTTCATATCCCCATTTTACAGAGAAGGAAATAGGAATCTCTATATCCAAGATATGTTATCAGGTGACAAAAGCAGTTTTTGAATGGTGCCGCCATTTTCTCGTAAGAGCAAATCTGGAAGATTCCATGAGAAATTAATAATTGTGTTTGCCTCTGTAGCGGCACCCTGAAAGATTTGGAAGTAGGTGTGGAAAGGAAACTTACTTTCTTGTGTCTTTCTGAATTTTGTACTGTCTACGCGTTTTGTCTTTCACAAAACCAAACAGAAAATGACCATTTGGTGCATTTTGTGTGTCAGGCATTCTTCTAGTCTAGAGAAGCACAGGAGAGCAAAATATTTTACTGACGAGAAAAATGAGGCATGGAGAAGTTAAGTGACTTGCCCAGGTAGCAGAGCTGGGATTCCACATCATAGGGTTTATACAGGAAACAGGTAAACAGAGCTGTGCTTGTGTGTGGGTATGTGTGTACACATGCATACATGTGTGCATGTGTGTGTGTGTTTGTGTGTGTGTGAATGTGCTTGTGTGTTGGGAGAGGGAAATGGCAAGAGAAGAACCTACAGAAGGTCAGCAGGAACCAACCCATGTTTTGAGGAGTTTGGACTTTATCCTGAAGGCACAAGGGAGCCATGGAAGGATTTAGACAAGGGGTGGTTGTGCTTAGCTTTTTATTTAGAAGGATGACTCTGGCTGAAGGGTGATGGCCCAGAATACAGGTATATGTGAAGGACTCCTCCTGCCCTAGTAGGAGGATGCCCACCCACCCTCTCTGCCCAGTGCAGTATCAAAGGGCAAATTGGGTACAGAGAATTCTCACCAAGCTGGGTAGAATCCACTCTGATGCTGGGGAGTGGACACTGAATGCACCAGCCTCTCCTCCTGCTCAATCCCTGAATTGAAGCTGTTCCACTAATGTTAGGGATCAGATTCCCTTCATATATATATATATATATATATATATATATATATATATATATATATAATTTTTTTTTTGAGACAGAGTCTCCCTCTGTCACCCAGGCTGAAGCCCATTGTCGCGATCTTGGCTCACTGCAACCTCCACCTCCCAGGTTCAAGCAACTCTTGTTCCTCAGACTCCCAAGTAGCTGCGATTACAGGCACCCGCCACCACACCTGGCTAATTCTATATTTTTAGTAGAGACAGGGATTCACCTATGTTGGCCAGGCTGGTCTTGAGCTCCTGGGCTCAAGTGATCAGTCTGCCTCAGCCTCCCAAAGTGCTAGTATTACAGGCATGAGCCACCATGCCCGTCCTTTTTATATTACCTTTTTTTATAGAGATGTGGTTTCACTATGTTGACCAGGCAGGTCTTAAACTCCTGGCCTCAAGCGATCCTCCCTCCTCAGCCTCCCAAAATGCTAGGATTACAGGTGTGAGCCACTGCATCTGTCCAGACTCTGTTCTCCATAAAGCTGGCATATGGAAAGAGGGAAGACCATCCAGGCAATATCGAAGTCCCATTGGTGCTGATGTGGCTGCTGAGACCACATGAATGGATGCATTCTGACTCTGCCACCTCTCAGCTATGTGACCCTGGGCCAGTCAGCAAGTCCCTCTATAACTCAGTTTTCTCATCTGTAAAATGGCGTCAACAGTAGCCAACCCCAGCAAATACTGTGAAATATACAGAACATCATTATAATGGTGAGGATGATAGAGATGCTATGTTATCAGAATACCTGGGCTTGAACCAGCTCCCCTTCTTGCAAGCTGTGTGACTTGGAGCTGATGCCCAAACCTCTGTGGGCCTCATTTGTTTCATCTGTTCAATGGGGATAATAACACTCTTACTTCATACAGTTATGGAGGATTTATTGAAATAATTGACATACAGCTCTTAGAACAGTATCCGGCTCCTTGTAAGCGCTCAAGAAATATTACAGACTGTTGATAATAATGCAATACTACTACCAATAATATGGCCAGGAGCAATGGCTCACACCTGTAATCCCAGCACTTTAGGAGGCAGAAGCAGGCTGATTGCTTGAGCACGGGAGTTCGAGGCCAGCCTGGGTAACATAGGGAGACTCTGTCTTTACAAAAAATAAAAATAAAAATACAAATAATTAGCCAGGTATGGTGGTGCATACCTGTAGTTCCAGCTACTTGGGAGGCTGAGGTGGGAGGATTGCTTGAGCCCAGGAAGTTGAGGCTACAGTGAGCTGTGATCACACCACTGCACTCCAGCCAGGGCAACAGAGTGAGACCCTATCTCAAAAATAATAATAATGGCCGGGCGCGCTGGCTCATACCTGTAATCCCAGCACTTTGGGAGGCCAAGGCGGGCAGATCACTTGAGGTCAGGAGTTTGAGACCAGCCTGGCCAACATGGTGAAACCCCATCTACTAAAAACACAAAAATTAGCCGGGTGTGGTGGCGGGGTGCCTGTAATCCCAGCCACTCAGGAGGCTGAGGCAGGAGAATCGCTTGAACCCGGGAGGTGGAAGTTGCAGTGAGCCGAGATCACACCACTGCACTCCAGCCTAGGTGACACAGTGAGACTCCATCTCAAATAATAATATGAGTAATAATAATAATATCATTTTTATCATCATTCTTACTAACAGTCTCTCACTCCTTGCCCTGCAGTTTTGCCTGTTTTCTTGGAATAACACTCTTCCACACCTTTCCCCTCAGGGATGGTTCACGTTTAGCATCATGACCCACCCCTGGGGATTAGTTAGCTCATTTCTGGAAAGCACTTTGGAGCTGTAGGTGCTTTGCAGGCTGGAAACATCACGGGACTTGTACCATATTTAAGCAATGCCAGATTATTCTGCCTGGCAGGGGGAGGACACAGAGGATACGGCCCTGGTATCTTTTCTCCCTGCCTACCTCAGCTTTGCTCTGAACCATTTTCTGTCCTGTTCAGGGCAGCCTGGGCCACTTGCCACTTCCAGCTTTCTCGGGAGAGGATGCCTTCCTGATGGCACGCCTCTTAACACACACCTGGTGCTGTTGTTGAAAAAGCAACAATTGACTCCAGCGCCAGCACTGAGAGGCTTGTCCTTAAAATTAGCAGGAGCTGTTGGAAGGTCGCTGTTAGCTCTTTTGACTGGAACACACTGTTCCCCAGGTGGCATGAGGCTGAATACAGTGCAGGGATTGGCTCTGCTCTCAGGTGGCCTGCTCCACGCTCCTGAGCTCCGGGTGGAAGCTGTGACCATTATTTCCTTAACAGAAACATATATAGCAGCATTAACTATGAACCTTATTACTGTGTGTGTGTGTGTGTATATGTGTATATATATATATGCACATATGTGCATATGTGTGCCTATGAACCTGTTCTGAGCACTTTACAAATGTCAATGTATTTTATCCTCCCAACAACCCATTTTATAAATAAGACTTGAGGCACAGAGAGGTTACGTTACTGCCCCAAGATCACACAGCTGGAGAGTGGTGAGGCCAAGATTTGAACATATGTACCATTGTACCATATGTACCAACTTTTTTTTTCTTTTTGGGATGCATTCTTGCTCTGTCACCCAGGCTGGAGAGCAGTGGCATGACCACGGCTCATTACAACCTCAACCTCCAGGTTCAAGCTATCCTCCCACCTCAGCCTCTCAAGTAGCTAGGACCACAGGTGCATACCACCATGCCCAGCTAATTTAAAGTTTTTTTTTGTTTGTTTGTTTGTTTGTTTGCAGAGATGGGGTCTCCTTATATTACCCAGGCTGGTCTAGAACTCCTAGGTTCAAGCAATCCCCCCACCTCGGCCTTCCAACATGCTGGGATTACAGGCATGAGCCACTGCACCCAGGTCCTCCCTCCTTATAAAGGTCGCCAAGCACAATCTTGTGAGCCTGGCCCTATCCACACCCATACGCAACATGGTGTGTATTTTTCAAACAAAAACTGAATGAACACCTCTGGTTTGGGTTCCCCTCACACTTGTCCCGGGTTTGTTGACTCTGTGTTGTGGGCCTAGACAAAGCAGTGTCTGGAGCTCCTAGACCCAGGGACCAGACAGTCTGGGTTCAAATCCTGGCTCTTCCACTTCTGCCTGAGTGCTCTCTCTGAACCTGTCTTTCTTTATCTATAAAATGGAGATAATTTTTTTAAACTCATCACTTGGTCAAACTGCTTTGAGCATGCAAATGAGTTCATATGTATAAACCTCTTAGAATGTCCCAGGCAAAGAACAACACTTCACTCAGATCAACATTTATTTAGCATCTACTGTGTACCCATGACTATTCTAGGTGATGAGGAGACCCTCTGGTTCTTATGAGGTAGTGAGGTGGGGGAGGGTGAGAACCCTAAACATTAACGATGGTGTGTTCGCAGGTGGGAAAATCAGTAAAGTCGGGTAAAGGGAATTTGGGAGTGCTGTGCTCAAGTCCTGGCCCTGCCACTTTCTGGGGTGCAAGATACAGCATTGAATAGGGTGGTCAGGGTAGGCCTTATTGGGAAAGTGATATTTGAGCAGACGATCTAGATGTCGGCACATATTGCTACTGTTTGATGGTACTAATATGAGTTTGAGTTTCACTTGCAAGTATATATATATATATATATATATATATATATATATATATATATGTGTGTGTGTGTGTGTATATATATATGTGTATATATATGTATATATATGTGTGTATATATGTATATATATATGTGTGTATATATGTATATATATGTATATATATGTATATATATGTGTGTATATATATGTGTATATATATGTATATATATATATGAAATTTGGTCCATTTATTTATGCTGATCAATTAATTGATGTTGAAATTATAATTGAATGTTTTATTAATAAACAGATACCCACATACTATTTTTTCAGAAATTGTTAGGTTTTGGGGTTTTCTTTAGATTTTGATTATTTTTATTTGCTTAATTTTCTTTTTTCTTTTTTTTAATTTTATTTTTCCATAAGTTATTGGGGTACAGGTGGTATTTGGTTGCATGAGTAAGTTCTTCAGTGGAGATTTGTGAGAACCTGGTGCACCCATCACCCGGGCAGTATACACTGCACCATATTTGTTGTCTGTTATCCAGTGCTCACCTCCTACTCTTCCCCCCAAGTCTCTAAAGTCCATTGTACCATTATTTTACTCACCCACATTCTTTGGCCTGAGATGCTGAGTGGTCATGACTCCCAGATCCCTTCTTGTTTCTGTATCAAAGATCTTTACTAAGATCCTGGCCTAGGGAACCTATTCCCTTTCCTCATCCCCAATGGGAGAAGGGGCTTCTTCCCCAGCTTATTTGCCAACTCATAGGAAAGGTATGAAGGAGAGGACTGTAGTTGTCTTGAAGCTGGTCAGATGTTGAAGAGATGATAATATTTGCTGATCAAGAGAGACAAAGCAATGCTGGAAGAAGAGGCTGTGTTAGTTAACACCAGCTGCAATAACCAATAAAACCAAAAATCTCTGGCTTAAGAGTATGCATGAGTGAGAAATCAACTTCTAAAGTACAACTGGTGGCCGGATGTGGTGGCTTATGCCTGTAATTCTAGCACTTTGGGAGGCTGTGGTGGGAGGGTCGCTTGACCCCAGTAGTTTAACGCCAACCTGGGCAACACAGTGAGACACCATCTCTACTAAAAATAAAAAATAATAAAGTGAAACTGGTGAGGGGTGCAATGAGGTGGAGTGGTGGGTGACTCAAATATGGCTCGACTCCATGCAGTCACTCAGGGATCCAGGCTGTTGGAGGCTCTCCCTGCTTAAACATGTGGCTTCCAAGGTTGTTCTAAGAGCCTACATTGAGACAGCAGCTGGGGAAAAGGGAAAGTGGAGTGGGAGGTACTTATGAGGGTTCCTGGAAGTGGTGAACAACACTTCTGCCTGCATTCTATTGGGTGGAATTTAGTCATGTGGCCCAGGCTAGCTGCATGGGAGGCTGGGAAATGTAGTCTCTGATTAGGCTGCCATTTCCCAGTCCCACTTGTGAATCTTTAGTGGGAAGCTCACCATGTTTGCACCAGGGATTCAGTCTACCTCCCACTCATGCCTCAACTATGTATCAGGCACTGTCGTAAGTACTTTACATATCAGCCTACCTAATGCAAACAACTACTCAGTGGGTGCTTTATTGGTCACATGTATTAGTGAGAACATGGAAACCCAGAGCCGTTAAATATCTTGCCCAAGGTCACACAGCTAGGAAGTGGCAGAGTTGGAATTTGAATCCAGGAAATCTGGCTGCAGAGCCCCACGCTTAGTATAAATTCATTGTAGTTTAGAAAGAGGCAGAAGGACCCTAAAATTGGCATAATCCATTTTTTGGTCCCTAAGGAACTGACTGAATTGACTACTTGTAAAAGTGAGTCCTGGACAGGCAACAGTGGCTCAGGTCTGTAATTCCAGGACTTTGGGAGGCTGAGGCGGGCAGATCACCTGAGGTCAGGATTTCAAGACCAGCCTGGCCAACATGGCAAAACCCTGTCTCTAAAAAAATAGAAAAATTAGCTGGGTGTGGCGGTGGGTGCCTGTAATTCCAGCTACTCAGGAGGCTGAGGCAGGAGAATCGTTTGAACCTGGGAGGTGGAGGTTGCAGTGAGCAAAGATCACGCCACTTTACTCCAACTTGAATGACAGAGCAAGACTCTGCCTCAGGACCGCCATGGCCCCCTGGGTTCTAGGTCAGAGTTTCTCCGCCACAGCACTGATGACTTTGGGGGCTGCATTATTAGCTCCAAAATGGGAGCTATCCTGTGCACTGCCTCAACTTACTTGATGCCAGTAGCGCCCGCGCCCCAGTTGTGAGAACCAAAAATGTCTCCACACATTGCCAAATGTCCCCTGGGAGGTGAAATCACCCCTGGTTGAGAGTCACTGTTCTAGATTGTTAAATATTATCTTACACTCTAGCACAAGTCCAAGGCAAACTGACTTAGAAATTACCAACCTTGCAAAAAATAGAAGATTTCTTAAAGTCAGTGAGCATGATGGTGGCAAGCTGCTGAAATCACACCCCCAGACATTAGCAGATGGGATCTGGACAGTATTCATCTAGTTAAAAATTGACAAGGACTGGGACACTGCAGGCTCTTCAAAAGAGAATCATTTGAATAACAAGGGGTCAAGACAGGGGTAATTGGTGAAAGCCCCTGCTCATAATTTGAAAATATAAATAGGCATCATGAAAATTCATCCTGCAAAAGTCAAAAGTCGAATGTGCAGTGTTATACATGATCAGTTGATTTGGGAGGGGAAATTGCATGCACACACATGAGAGCTTGCACACCCACACACACACACCTGTTCAAGTGTGTGTGCCAGTGCTCAGTGAGGACCATCTCCCCAACCTGTCTGATCATCTTGCTTTGGGGTGACCCTATGGGTGAGGCAGAAATTCTTGGATCATAGTTTTCTAATGAATATTATAATTGTTAACTTCTGATGGGTGCTGACTTTTTCATCTTTGCAACACTGCGTAGGTATTTTTACTCTCCCCATTTTACAGATGAGACAACTGAGGCTCAGAAAGATTGATTAGCTCTACACGAAGCCAGGATCCAGGCTTAGCCTGGCTCCAGGAATCATGTTTTGAGTTACGTAGCTTCCCTGATTCTGAGGGACCTCCCCACTTCTGAAATCTTCTACTGTTACTCCCCATGGCCCTTTCCTATTGACCGGAGGCACCCCAGCTCCTCACTCGTCCCTTATCTTATGAAACATGACCATGATGTCTGAATTCAAAGGAGAGCCTGGGCTTTGTGGGGAAAACGAAGCAGAAAAAGAAAGGTGGAGGTTGGTGGTTGTTTTTGGCATGGTGAGGAGCCTGTCGTTGCTTGAGGAAAGCAAGAAAGGAGATTGCTGGGGCTTGGATCCATCTCTGGGTGCCTGTGGGTCTGTCTGTAAAAATGAGAACTGGTCGTGCTCATTAGAGGATTTGACCGTTAGGCCTTGGGATAGCGATTTGGGAACTTTTTTCTGCTAAGACAAAGAATAATATGGTTCAGGTTCATTTTGCTCCTGCTTTCCCAAGCCCTACATCTCTTCTGGGCTTTTTTTTTTTTCCTTTTCTCTCCTTCTTCTTCTTCTTCTTCTTCTTCTTCTCATTTTTGGATCTGGACTTCTGCTGACTCATCTCTCTGAGCAAGGAAGGAGGGAGGAAGTCAGAATTGCTCATTAACCGTTTTCTTTAGTGACTCAGCTGTGATTCACATTTTAATTAATGGAGGAGAAAAACCTGATCAGTCCTAAGGCATCTGCCCAATCACGCATAACTCCAGGCTGGTGATAATAATAATACTTGAAAAAAGTGGGGTGTCCTGAATTAAACTATGGCTCATTCCCCACATTAGTCTTGAGGACTCCACCAGGCCCTCTAAGTTCCAGGTCTCAATGGGGCTCCCTGAACCAGAGCAGCTAGTCCAAGCCCCGAGCAGCATTTCTGCAGAGTTAGTCTGAGGTCAGGACAAGAAACAGAGGCTCAAGCCCTCCTGGGATCGCAGGAGGATCATGGGAATGTAATATTGTTTCCTGAGCTGGTCTTTGGCTATAATCCCAGGCTCAAGCCTGGCCTCCCTCCCCTCGGGGCCTGAAATTTGTCAGAGCCTATTGCAGGGGCAGCTTCTGTGCTTTTTGTTTGCCCAGAGAATGAGAAAAGTCCAGATAATCATGACCGCTACTTCCTGAGCACTTACTATGCATCAGGTGGTGTGCTCAGCACTTCTCATGAATGATCACGTTGAATCCTCACTCTGTCCACAAAAAGAAAGAGCTTTTATATAATTCTCCAACCTCCCTATGAGGAAACTGAGGCTTGGCAATTGCCCAATGTAGACAATTAGTAAATAATCAGGCAGGATATAAACCCAACCCTTTCCCACCTGGGAGCCAGAGCTTGCATCTACTATACTTCTCTGCTTTCCAGTCAGCTGCAAAGAAAAATTGGAAGCTGATAGCTCATTCAACAAACACTTATTGAACCCTTCCACCTGCTCAGCCCTGTTCTAGACACCAGAGATCCATCAGTGAACCAAAGAGGCAAATCCATGGTCTCATGAAACTGACAATTTACCTGCCCAAGTGTATTAGTTACTGTTTATAAGTTCCTATTAAGTGTATTAGATATGCTTGCAGCTGTAACAAAGAATCCCAACATGCATAAGGGCTCAAAACAATAAAAATTTCGTTCTTGCACAGATAAAGTTCAAAAGGTGTATTCTTTTTTTTTTTTTCTTTTGCGACGGAGTTTTGCTCTTATCCTCCAGGCATGAGTGCAATGGCCCAGTCTCGGCTCACTGCAACCTCCACCTCCTGGGTTCAAGCATTCTCCTGACTCAGCCTCCCCAGTAGCTGGAATTACAGGTGCCCGCCACCACACCTGGCTAATTTTTTGTATTTTTAGTATAGGTGGGGTTTCACCATGTTGGTCAGGCTGGTCTTAAACTCCTGACCTCAGGTGACCCACCTGCCTCGGCCTCCCAAAGTGCTGGGATTACAGCCGTGAGCCACCGTGCCTGGCCAAAAAAAAAATGTATTCTTAAACAGCAGGCACCTCTCCTCTAAGCAGTAAGTCAGGGGCCCAGGCTTGTTCCATATTGTAGCTCCTCATCTTCAACCCATGGCTTCCAAAGTCTCCATGCTTCTTGATATCAAGCCACAGAAGGGAAAAGAGCATGAGAAGGGCACAGGAGAAATGTTTCTGGGACAGACCCAGAAGTAGTCCATATGACTTCCATCTACCTCCCACTGGCTAGAGCTTACATGGCGGCACCCACTTGCAGAGCTGGGAAATGGAGTCTAACTGAGCATCCAGGAAGGAGAGACAGACATGAGTCTTTGCGTGGGTCCTCACTGAGAATCAAGCTCCACATTTTGATCGATGTCACCAGAGCGTACATGGCGGCGCCCACTTGCAGAGCTGGGAAACGGAGTCTAACTGAGCATCCAGGAAGGAGAGACAGACATCAGTCTCTGCGTGGGTCCTCACTGAGAATCAAGCTTCACATTTTGATCTGTGTCACCTCCTTGCAAGCCCTACCTTAGGACAATTTTAAGGGACATTCCTATCTTCTTCCACCCTTAGGACAGTTTTAAGGGACACTCCTGAGTTCTTCCACCCACCTCCTCTGTTTCTTGGGCTTCCAGCTCTCAGGATTTGCCTTTGCCTTACAATGGGGTGAAGCAAGAATCTGGAAGAATGTCTCTCCCCACAATTTGAAGTCTTATTTGAAAAAAAGCAGTAGAGCATCCCTCCCTCTTGAGGTAGGGAAATCTAGAATCAAATCCTGCTTCTCCAGACTTTGACCTCAGAAACTGGGGGGACTTCAAGGTCTTCAGGTGGGCAGCTTTCATGAACCATTCATTCCTCCCACCTCATACCAATCAGGGTCCTAACAGGAAAAAGAATTAACTTCTAGATGGTTCAAAAGAAGACCATGCCATGAAGAGACTCCTTAAAGAGATAGGAACAGGTGAGAGAAATAGATAACGGCTGTTTGAGGTCCTCAGAGAGAAGCCATCGCGAGCCCTACATTTCCTGGAACCCAGTGGAGGCAGAGCTGTGCAGAAGGGACTACTGTCAGAACCAGGGAGGGAGCAGGGAAGCAATATTCCAATCTCTTTCCCTCCCCTCATCTTCTGCCAGCGCTTCCCCTCAGCCAAACCAAACCGGAAACGGAGCAAAGCATTCTGGGAGTTGTAGTCTTCAAGGGTCCGCCTCGAGGGCACAGAGCCCGCTGGAGCATTGACCTAGAGGGCACACAGGGAATGACTAGTTTGCACCATCATGTGACGGACTGCACGCCCTCGATTATGTAATCCACTCTATAATTCAACTGCAGAGCTGCATGGTACAGCAGGATAGCCACTAGCCACACGAGGCTATTTAAATATAAATGTACATTCATTAAAATTTAACCAAATGAAAATTTTAGCCACTGAGCCCCATTTCAAATGCTCATTAGCCACACGTGGCTCTTGGCTACCATATTGGACAGATCAGAATAGAACATTTCCATCATCCCAGAAAGTTCTAGGGGCCGGCGCAGCTGTGGTGTAACCTGAGCCCATGCATGTTATGGAATGGAGAAGAGAGAAAACAGCACAAGAGGCAGTTTTGAAGGGAGACAGAGAGCTGTGGATCAGTAGGGAGGAGACTCTCTAGGCAAAGGAGCAGTTGAGAAGCAAGAAAGTTGAGTGAGCTGCTTTGCTGCGATGGAGGCTTCCCTCACGGGGAAGAGTAGAGTCAGAAAGCTTTAGTTCAAGTTCAGCTCTGAAATGAACCAATGAGTGTTCTGACAAGACACCTGGCCTTCCGGAACCTTGGTTTTGTAGTGGCCAAGGGCTTGACCCTCTGAAGGTTCACTGAAAAAAATCAACTCACAAGGCATATTAATTGGAGAAAAGGCAGGCAGATTTATTTAATGTGTTTGCACGAGAGCCTTCAGAATGAAGACCCAAAGCTGCAGGGGAAATTGTCCGTTTTTTAAGCTTAGGTTCAACAAAGTATGGACAGCGGTGTAGAAATATGATTGAACAAAAAGTGTACAATGTAAATGCTAATAGACTGAGTGGGGAAACCCAAAAAGGGCTGTCTTGATTCTCCTTGGTCTCTCTGAGCATGCATTTCTTCCGGGTATGGGACAAGACCCTCTCTGGAATGGAGGGGGGGCTCTCTTGGTTCTCCTTGGTCTCTCTCAGCATGCATTCCTTCCGGGTATGGGGCAGGACCCTCTCTGGAATAAGGGGGCTGTCTTGATTCTTCTTGGTCTCTCAGAGCATGCATTCCTTCTGGGTATGGGGCAGGACCCTCTCTGGAATGGGATCCTTATAACCTACGGTCAAATAACGTAAGTTAGATAATTTCTTTTTTTTTTTTTTCTTTTTTTTGAGACAGAGTCTGATTCTGTTGCCCAGGCTAGAGTACAGTGGCACAATCTCGGCTCACTGCAGCCTCTGCCTTCTGGGTTCAAATGATTCTCCTGCCTCAGCCTCCCAAGTAGCTGGGACTACAGGTAAGCACCACCATGCCCAGCTAATTTTTGTATTTTTTAGTAGAGACAGGGTTTCACCATGTTGGCCAGGCTGGTCTCAAACTGCTGACCTCAAGTGATCCACCACCTGGGCCTCCCAAAGTCCTGGGATTTGTAATCCCAGCATGAGCCACTGTGCCCAGCCAGATCATTTCTTTTTCTTTTTCTTTTTCTTTTCTTTTTTTTTTTTTTTTTGAGATGGAGTCTCACTCTGTTGCCCAGGCTGGAGTGCTGTGGTGCAAACTCAGCTCACTGCAGCCTCTGCCTCCTGGGTTCAAGCAATTCTCCTGCCTCAGCCTTCCAAGTAGCTGGGACTAGAGGTGCGCGCCACCATGCCCAGCTAATTTTTGTATTTTTAGTAGAGACAGTGTTTTGCCATGTTGGCCAGGCTGGTCTTAAACTCCTGACCTCAAGTGATCCACCCACGTCGGCCTCCCAAAGTCCCGGGATTTGTAATCCCAGCATGAGCTACCACAGCTGGCCAGATAATTTTTTTATAACTAGTTTTTACAAAGAAAGGTGGAGGGAAAGTTAGAGTAACATTTTTAGGTGTTAGGGCTGACTTTGGGGAAAAGAGGTCTGGTTTCTACGACCCGCCTTAGGGAAGAGGGATTCTAGTTTTTGTGGCTAGCCCCAGGGGAGAATGGGACTAAGAGATAGAAGGGCAGGAGAAGGTCAGAGAAAAACTTTTGCTTCTGTGGCTGCTTCGGAGAACTTCATTTTGGGGTATTGTTTTCTGAGCCCCAACAGTTTGCTTATCAGTGAAGTGGGTATAGGCGCCCACCTCCCACAGTGACGATGCTGTGAACAGGGCTTTGGAAGAGTAGAACTATGAAATATTTGTTGTTGCCTTGTGGGGAAATGGTCGTTAAAGCCAAAATTGTTCAAGAGAAGAAGCAGGAAGAGTTCCTTTCTTTCCTGCAGGTATCCTCTTAAGCTGAGTCTTCAGAATCCCCTGACAACGTTTAATCAACACTTTATTAAATTCACCCCAACCCTGCTTCAAACCTTCACCTGGTCCTCGAGATCTTCCAACTGTTTCTTGATGAAGTTAGCAGGCAATTGTATGGCGGGATCATCATCTCATGTTTTGTTTTGTTTTTTTCCTTTTTACCCTCTGACTTTGAGAAATCCTTGTCCTTTTACTTTTCCAAACCTGAGAGCATTGCAGAGAAGTTAGAATTGAGCAGGACATGGGCTTAAGACCCAGCCCAGCCATGTGCTAGCTGTGTGAACTCGAAGCAGTGACCCCACCTCTCTGACCTGGAAAGTAGAGGGAATGATAGGACCCACCACCGCCACACTTGTAGGGTCATCATGGGGATTGAATAAAATAATGCATAAGACTTGGCCCACAGCAAGCACTCAAGAAATGTTAGCTACTTCCTAAATATATTTTTAACCTTTTATTGAATATAACATACATACAGAAAAGCACATGTATCATACAAGTAGAGCTTGAGTGATTTTCAAAAACTGAGCCCAGTCATGTAACCAGCGCCTAGTTCAAGAAACAGAACATAGCCGAGTGAGGCTGAGGCAGGAGAATCACTTGAATCTGGGAGGCAGAGGTTGCAGTGAGCAGAGATCATGCTATCGCTCCCCAGCGTGGGCAATGGGGGCGGAGGGGAAGAGAGAGAGAGAGAGAGAGAGAGAGAGGAAGGAGGGAGGGAAGGAAGGAAGGAAGGAGGGAGGGAGGGAGGGAAGGGAAGGAAGGGGAGAGAGAGAAAAGGAAAGAAAAGAGGAAGACAGAAAGAGAGAGAGAAAGGTAAAGAAAGAAAAGGAAAGAAAGAGAAAGAAAGAAAAGAGGAAGACAGAGAAAGAAAGAGAAAGCTAAAGAAAGAAAAAAAGGAAGGAAGGAAAATAGGGAGGGAAGAGGAGGAGGAAGAAGAAGAAGAAGGGGGGGAGGGAGGGAACAGCTGCAGCTTCGAGGAAGGAAGGAGGGAGGGAAGGAAGGAAGGAAAGGAAGGAAGGAAAAAAAAACAGCACCAACGTTTAGAAACCCCCTTGTGCCTCTGAGGTCACCAGTAACTCCATCCTGACTTCAAACAGTCTAGATTAGTTTTGCTTGTTTTTGAACTTTAAGCACATGGGGTCATACAGCATGCATGCATTGACTTCTTTCCCTTGACGTTGTATGTGTGAGATTCATCTGTGCTGTTGCTGTTCATTTGTTCTCATCGCTGTGTGTGCTGAACCACCTGTTCATTTACTCTACTAATGGTGGGCAGTTTGGTGCTTTCTACTTTGGGGCTATTCCAGAGAAAGCTACTTTGAACACACTCAGATATGTCTGTGGGTGACCACTCTTCATATTTCTATGGGAGATATTCCTAGGACCGGAACATCTGAGTCAGAGGGAGGAATTGGTTTAGCTTTGGTAGGAACTGCCTAACAATTGGCCGGGCACAGTGGCTCATGCCTGTAATCCCAGCACTTTGGGAGGCTGAGGGGGGCAAATCACTTGAGCTCAGGAGTTCGAGACCAGCCTGGCCAATGTGGCAAAACCCCTGGCCAACATGGCAAAACCCCGTCTCCGCAAAAAAATACAAAGATTAGCCGAGCATGGTGGCGTGTGCCTGTAATCTCAGCTACTCAGGAAACTGAGGCAGGAGAATTGCTTGAACCTGGGAGGCAGAGGTTGCAGTGAGCAGAGATTGCACTACTGTACTCCAGCCTGGGTGGCAGAATACATGAAACTCCATCTCAAAAAGAAGAAAGGAAGGAAGGAAGGGAAGGAAGGAAAGGAAACTGCCCAACAGTTTTCCCAAGTGTTTGGGATGGAAGGAAGGAAGGAAGGAAGGAAAAGAAACTGCCTAACAGTTTTCCCAAGTGGTTGGACCAGTTAAAACTCCCACCACCTGTGAATGAGAGTTTGTTTTTATTTTGCTCCTGGAGTGCCTCTCCTGTAGCAGGTTCCCACTGAATGTCTGGGAATTCAAATGTAATGCACTTGTTCATTTCCTCAAGAGCTTCACTCCATCAATTGGATTCATCCATTGGCTCTCCCATCTCCACTGACACTATGTTCTCACCTCTATTTGGAAGACATCCTGCCTCCACCTGCCCAAGTCACATTATCTTCTCATTCCAGCCTCTCAAGGAGAGTTTTCTCTTTCACCACCTCCTCTAGCCCTGGTGATTGGCAAGGTCTCGCAACAGTACCCTTCAAAACACTCATGACTGTGAATGCACTGGCCTTCACTAAGTTTCCCATTCTTCTCTTTCTTTCTTTTTTCTTTTCTTTTCTTTTTTTTTGAACAGAGTTTCACTCTTGTTGACCAGGCTCGAGTGCAGTGGCACAAACACAGCTCACTGTAGCCTCAACCTCCTGAGCTCAAGGTATCGTCCTGCCTCAGCCTCCTTAGTAGCTGGGACCACAGACATGCAACGTTGTGCCCAGCTGATTTTCTTTTTTTTCTTTTTTTTTTTTTTTTTGAGACATGGTCTCACCCTGTCAACCAAGTGCAGTAGCATGATCACAGCTCACTGCAGCCTTGACCTCCCGGGCTCATGCGATTCTCCCACCTCAGCCTCCCGAGTAGCTGGGGCTACAGGCACAAGCCACCATGCCTGGCTAATTTTTGTACTTCTTGTAGAGACCAGGTTTCACCATGTTGCCCAGGCTGGTCTTGAACTCTTGGGCTCAAGCAGTCCTCCTGCCTCAGCCTCCCAAAATGCTGGGATTACAGGTGTGAGCCAGCACGCCCGGCCATGGCTAATTTCTTCATTTTTGGTAAAGACAGGTCTCACTTTGTTGCCTAGGCTGGTCTTGAACTCCTGGACTCAAGCAATCCTCCTGTCTCAGCCTCCCAAAGTGCTAGGACTACCGATGTGAGCCACCGCACCCGGCAATTTCCCCTTCTTGACTTCTCCAGAGCTCTCATCCCTCTCGAGCTCCTGTCTCTTCTAGAATCACTTACCTCACCACCTTATGGGGTTTTTGCCTCTGTTCCTACTCCTCTTTATTTAAGAAAACACTGTACTTTAAGAGGGCTTCAGAAACCACCCGAAATAGAAACATGTCCTTTTGTTCAATCCTTTACTTTAAAAGACAAATAAAATGAAGAATTGCTCTCCATGTAGAAGGTTAAGGAGCTTGGGAGGACCTTCTGTGAGTGGGGAGAACTTTACATTAAAGGAAAAAAAATGCTGGAGAATAGCTGTGAACCCAGGAAGGGAGAAGGACTTCCTCCACTGAACTTGTAAAGCACAAACTCTAAGGCAAAAAAAGACATGATTACATGAAAACTAAGATATTTGTTCAAATAAAGATGCAATTGGGGCCAGGTGCGGTGGCTCACGCCTGTAATCCCAGCACTTTGGGAGGCCGAGGCAGGCGAATCACGAGGTCAGGAGATCGAGACCATCTTGGTCAACATGGTGAAACCCCATCTCTACTAAAATACAAAAAATTAGCCAGGAATGGTGTCACGTGCCTGTAATCCCAGCTACTTGGGAGGCTTAGGCAGGGGAATTGCTTGAACCAGGGAGGTGGAGGTTGCAGTGAGCTGAAATCACGCCACTGCACTCCAGTCTAGCGACAAAGCAAGACTCCGTCCAAAAAAAAAAGATGCAATAGCAGGTGGTTCGGGAACCAAACCTTACATCCAGATGCTGGTTGTCCCATTTCCTGTGAATCCTTGGGTGAGTTATCAACCTCTCTGAGCCTCAGTTTCCTCGTCAATAAAATGGAGAAAATAGTATCTACCTATGGAATTGTTGTGAGTTTTGAATGAGTTAATATTTATAAATCATTTAGAATAGGAATTAGCACATGGTAAATAGTGGATAGAATCATAAAAAAAAAATTGATCAGGGGTTAACTTCTAACTGCTGTTTGTTATAGAGGTCCCTAGCACTGTGTGGTCATTTTAAATTTAGATGATTTAGAATTAAATGAAATTTAAAACTCAGTTCTTCATTCACACTAGCCACATTTTAAGTGCTCAAAACCCACAGGTGACTAGTGGCTACCATATTTGGCAGCACAGATTGAGAACAGATTTATCATCCAGAAAGTTCTGTCAGACAGTGTTGATCAAGGCTACATGAGGGTCTGGGTGCAGTGGCTCACACCTGTAATCCCAGTGCTTTGGAAGGCCAAGGTGGGAGGATCACTGGAGGCCAGGGGTTTGAGACCAGCCTGGGAAACAGAGAGACCTCATCTCTACCAACATTTTAAGAATTAGCCAGGCAAAGTGTTGCATGCCTGTAGTCCCAGCTACTCAGGAGGCTGAGACAGGATTGCTTGAGCCCAGGAATTTGAGGCTGCAGTGAACTATGAGCGCACCGCTGCACTCCAGTCTGGGTGACAGAGTGAGACCTGTCTCTAAACATAAAAAATAAAAATGTAGGTGGGGCATAGTGGCTCCCGCCTGTAATCCCAGCACTTTGGGAAGCCGAGATGGGCAGATTGTGAGGTCAGGAGATCGAGACCACCCTGGCTAACATGGTAAAACCGCGTCCGTACTAAAAATAAAAAAAAATTAGCCAGGCATGGTGGCGCATGCCTGTAGTCCCAGCTACTCGAGAGGCTGAGGCAGGAGAATTGCTTGAACCTGGGAAGCAGAGGTTGCAGTGAGCTGAGATTGCGCCACTGCACTCCGGCCTGGGCGACAGAGCGAGACTCTGTCTCAAAATAAATAAATAAATAAATAATAATAAAGTAAAAATAAAAATGCAAAGACTACCTGAGGGAATGTCTGCAAGTCAACCAGAATAACACAGCAACCCCAATAGGAAAACAGGCCGAAAATGTGAACAGGCGGATCAGGGAAGTGAAGTCTGAAAAGCTAATCAGCCTATGACATGGTACTCAAAGTCATTTGTAACCAGAAAGATGGAAATGAAAGCAGTATCTCTGTACACCTTTAATATTGGGGAAAAAATATGTGAATAAGCCAAGGGTTTCCAGCGATGCGGGCACAGAGGAAAGTCTTGCACCACTCAAAGGGGTGTGGCCCAGGGAGGCCACTCTGGAGACATATCGGTAGTACTCAGTCCAGTGAGGTCCAGCACCATCAGCGCTTATGTCCCCAGGCATCCATCCCAGGGACATTCTTACCAGGTCTGTTAGGGGCAGGTACGAGAATGCTTACTCCAGCACCATCTATATAAGGGGAGCTGAAGGCCACCTGGTGTCCCTCCTGGAGACCAGGAGGCGGCATGTGACAGCGGCACCCATGGAGCACCAGAATGAGTGAGAGCTCCAGACCGCATATCCGACAGATACTACGGGATGGGGCTTTTAGAAATATGGTTGTTGCCGGGCACGGTGGCTCATGCGTGTCATCCCAGCACTCTGGCAGGCCAAGGCGGGTGGATCACCTGAGGTCAGGAGTTCGAGACCAGCCTGGCCAACATGGTGAAACCCTGTCTCTATTAAAGATACAAAAATTAGCTGGACGTGGTGGCGGGTGCCTGTAATCCCAACTACTCGGGAGGCTGAGGCAAGAGAATCGCTTGAACCCAGGAGGCAGAGGTTGCAGTGAGCCGACATCGTGCCACTGCACTCCAGCCTGGGTGACAAGAGCAAAACTCTGTCTCAAAAAATTTAAAAAACAAAAAATAAAAATATGGTTCTGGGTGAAAACAGGAAACAACAGAATGTGTCTAACTTCATCCTGCTTATGTCAGTTAAAAATAGACACACTCAAAATATCGCACGTGTTTTTGCGAGAATGCACTCCTATAAGGCCAAATTAAACATTCTCTCAGTTGTCTCTGGGAGGGAGAAGAATGAAAGTAGGGTATAGAGAGATATAGGGGAATTAATGCATGAATGAATGAAGGTATAAACAAGAGACAGGCGTCATACAGACCAAAGGTAAAGATATCCCGTAACCTGAGGAGAGCAAAGAACTTGACTCTGCATTTGAAGATTCAGAAAATGAATTTCAGAAATAGTTTTCTCGCCAGGGGGTGGCTCACGCCTGTAACCCCACCACTTTGCGAGGGCGAGGCAGGTGGATCACTTAAGGTCAGGAGTTCGAGACCAGCCTGGCCAACATGATGAAACCCTGTCTCTACTAAAAATACAAAAATTAGCCAGGCATGGTGGCATGTGCCTGTAATCCCAGCTACTCAGGAGGCTGAGGCAGGAAAATCACTTGAACCCGGGAGGCAGAGGTTGCATTGAGCTGAGATCACACCATTGCACTCCAGCCTGGGTGACAGAGCAAGACTTTGTCTCAAAAAAAAAAAAAAAAAAAAAAAAAAAAGAAGAGGAAGAAATCGTTTTTTCAAGAAGGGGAAAGCTGGGTGATTTAAGAATGAACTTGAAGAGGATCACTCAGTCCTCAACCTAGGAGTGGCAAGAATATAGACTGTATGGGAAGTGGTTCTGCTCCTTGGTACCCATCTTAGAAATATTTGGCCTGAGTCTGTAAGAGGCAGGTACTTTATCTAACCTGAGGTTAGGGGGCCACTACATCCCCATCCCCTCCCCTGCTTTCTAACCATGCTAACATCTTCTCACTCTCCTGTCTCCTCTCCTTCTCACTCCCCTAATCTGCCTATTCACATTTTGGGCCTGTTTTCCTATTGGGGTTGCTGTGTTATTCTCACTGATTTGCAGACATTCCTCTGTGTCATCTTTTTAATTTTGTTTTAATTTTTAGAGGCAGGATGTCATTCTGTTGCACTGGCTGTAGTGACGTAGCTCACTGCAGCCTCAAACTCTTGGGCTCAAACTCCTGTCCTCTGCCTCCACTTCTCAACTGGTAACCTCACTTCTCTTCATGAGGTCTCTCCAGCCCCAGGGCCTTTGCACATGTTCCCCTCTCTTCTGAGTGGCATATGGTAGTTGCTCCTCTGTAAATATTTATTGACATCCTGACTTCCAACCAGCAGAGAATTGACCTCCTTCCCATGCTCAGGCTAGTGAAGGCATGAGTTTGGCTGAGGTCCCAGTGGGGAAGGTGAGTGGGGTGGCAGAGTTAACCAGGAGCAGCATGGTAGAATGGGTAAAACCAGACGTAGCACGCAGGCACCACATGTTAGCTGGACAAGTAGTTTAACCCCATGGGTCTCAATTTCCCCATCAATGAAAGGGAGAATAGAACAAGTCCCTGGTAAGCAGCATAAAATGAGCTCTCAGAATGTAAAGTAACAAGCACACAACCTGGAAGAGAATACATTTAGTGAATATTGGCTCCTTTAATCAGCAGGTTCTGATATGACTTAGCTACAATTAAGAAAATAAAAATGGAGGCCGGGCGCAGTGGCTCATGCCTGTAATCCCAGCACTTTGGGAGGCCAAGACGGGTGGGGTGGATCACCTGAGGTCAGGAGTTTGAGAACAGGCTGGCCAACATGGTGAACCCCATCTCTACTAAAAATACAAAAATTAGCCAGGCGTGGTGGCGCACGCCTGTAGTCCCAGCTACTCGGGAGGCTGAGGCAGGAGAAACATTTGAACCCAGGAGGTGGAAGTTGCAGTGAGCCCAGATTGCACCACTGAACTCCAGCCTGGGCGACAGAGTGAGATTTGTCTCAAAAACAAAAGAAGTCTGGAGGCCAGGAGGTTGGTTGCAGGGTTGGTTCCTTGGCTCAACAATGTCTCCAAAGAGTCCTTCCATCTTTCCACTCTAACATCGTCACTGTAAGGACTTTTTTTAACATTTACCACTCACAGCCCCAAGACGACTGCGTCAGTTCTTTCTTTTTTTCCTTCAGACAGAGTCCCGCTCTGTCGCCCAGGCTGGAGTGCAGTGGCATGATCTCGGCTCACTGCAACCTCTGCCTCCTGGGTTCAAGCGATTCTCCTGTCTCAGCCTCCCGAGTAGCTGGGATTACAGGTGCCTGCCACTGCATCCGGCTAATTTTTTGTATTTTTTTTAGTAGAGATAGGGTTTCACCATATTGGTCAGGCTGGTCTCAAACTCCTGACCTCAGGTGATGCACCTGCCTCGGCCTCCCAAAGGGCTGGGATTACAGGCGTGAGCCACTGTGCCCGGCCGATGACTGCCTCAGTTCTAAGGTACTTACCCAGCCATCCACGTAGACAGACACAAAAGCATCCGGCCAAAGAAGAGGGAGAGGAAGGGCTGTCTCTTACCATGTGACTCATCTCACGGGGAAAAAATCCTTTTCCAGAAGCACCCAGCAGATTTTTCACCCAGATCCTGTTAGGCCTACGAATGGGTCATGTGACAAGTGCTCTTATTGCAAGGAATCTTGGGAAAAAGAGACTATTAGGCATTTTCTGCCTCTTTGATGGGAGGTGGGCTCTGCCAGTAAGGCGGGTAGTGGTGGTGGCTCTTGGATGGACAACTGTGTCTTCCATTCTTCTTCTTCTTTTTTTTTTTTTTTTAAGAGACAAGGTCTCACTCTGTTGCCCAGGCAGAAATGCAGTGGCACAATCACAGCTCACTGCTGCCTCGACCTGCCAGGCTCAGGTGATCCGCCCACCTTAGCCTCACGAGCAGCTGGAGGAGTGTACCACCATGGCCGGCTAATTTTTATATTTTTTGTAGAGATGGGGTCTCTTTATGTTGCCCAGGCTGGTCTTGAACTCCTGAGCTCAAACAATCCTCCTGCCTCAGCCTCCCAAAGTGCTGGGATTACAGGCATAAGCCACCACGCCTGGACTCTCTTCTTTAAATACTGAGCCTTCCACCTCTTCTAGAATATACTCTGTTAATTATCAACCACACTTTTCTACATTTTTGCTTCATTATTCATTCAGTAAACATTTATTGAGTGCCTACTGTATGCCAGGCACAGCTTTAGGTGCTGGAGATGCTATGAACAAAACAGATGAAAATTTCTAAAAAATAAAATAAAAAATAAAAATAAATTTTGCAAAGCCAGGCACAGTGGCTTAGGCCTATAGTTCCACCTACTCAGGAGTCCAAGGCAGTAGGATCTCATGAGACTGGGAGTTTGAGTCCAGCCTGGGCAGCATACTAGGACTCTGTCTCTAAAAAAGAAAAGAAGGCCGGGCGCAGTGGCTCACGCCTGTAATCCCAGCACTTTGGGAGGCCGAGGCAGGTGAATCGCAAGGTCAGGAGTTTGAGATCAGCCTGACCAACATGGTGAAACCCCGTCTCTACTAAAAATGTAAAAATTAGCCAGGCATGGTGGCAAGTGCCTGTAATCCCAGCTACTTGGGAGGCTGAGGCAGGAGAATCGCTTGAACCTGGGAAGCGGAGGATGCAATAAGCCGAGATCGTGCCACTGCACTCCAGCCTGGGCAACAGAATGAGACCCTGTCTCAAAAAAAAAAAAAAAAAGAAAGAAAGAATAGAAAATATCTGCCCTACGGGGATGGACATGCTAGAACATCAAAGTCCAATGGAACTTTCTGCACTGATGAAGTATGTATGTATGCACCAGCCACATGTGGCTTGGGAGCACTTAAAACGTGACTGGTACAAGCGAATTTTTCATTTAATTTAAATGAATTTAAATCTGTATTTAAATAGCCATGTGTGGCTAGTGGTTACTTTATTGGGCGGTGCAGCTCTCTAAAGGCCAAGAGATACATCATCAACTTCTCTCCCTTGACCCATATTCAGTTCTCTCCCACCCTGAAAATCTCCTCTCCTACCCAGGCTCACATTTCCAGTTCTTCTCCTCTTGTTCTCCCTCAACCATCAGCCCCCGCAAGACTGACGTGACCCTGATGCCGTATGAAATGCATTCTTCATCCTTTACTCTTACTCACCTCTGTGCGGCCCTGGAGACCAGTGACCTCTCCTTTCTCAAAATACTTTATTTCTGTGTGTTTTTGTTGTTGCTATTGTTTTTGGGGGGTTTTCTTGAGATGGAGTTTCACTCTCATCACCTAGGCTGGAGTGCAGTGGTGCGATCTCAGCTTACTGCAACCTCTGCCTCCCAGGTTCAAGCGATTCTCCTGCCTCAGCCTCCCAAGTAGCTGGGATTACAGGCTCCCGCCACCACGGCTGGCTAATTTTCTTGTATTTTTGGTAGAGACGGAGTTTTGCCATGTTGGCCAGGCTGATCTCGAACTCCTAACCTCAGGGGATCCACCTGCCTCGGCCTTTCAAAGTGCTGAGATTACAGGCATGAGCCACCGCACCCAGCCTCAAAATGCTTTTGAACTTGACTGTCAGGTATGCCATTCTCCACACCAGTCTCCTCCCATGTCTGTGTCTTCTCCCTCTCCACTGGGGACCCTTGGCTTTTTCCACTTCACTCATCTACCCTGGGTTATCTGGTCTTCCATAACCCTGTCCTCTGCCACACCTCACTTATTCACCCACCACAATATTTATTGAGTACTCACTAGGCCATGAAAGATGCTATACAAAAAAAGCCCCTGTCCTCGTGGAGCTGACATTCTAGAAGAAAGCATGAATAATAAATACGACTTAATAAACAGTACGGCCAGGCATGGTGGCTCACGCCTATCATCCAAACACTAAGAGACCAAGATGAGAGGATCACTTGAATCCAGGAGTTTGAGACCACCTTGGGAAACGTACTGGGACCCTGTCTCTACAAAAAAAATATTAAAAATTAGCTGGATAGGGTAATGCATGCCTGTAGTTCCAGCTACTTGGGAGGACAAGGTGGAAGGATTGCTTGAGCCTGAGAGGTCAAGTCCGCAGTGAGCTGTGACTGTGCACTGCACGCCAGCCTGGGTGACAGAGTGAGATCCTGTCTTAAAAATAAATAAATAAACAAACAAACAAACAATATAATTCCAGAGAGTGAAGAGGCAGGATCTCTTTAGCTAGGAAGTTGAGGGATGTTCTCTCTGAGAAGGCAGAATCTGAGTTTCAACCTGAAGAATTCGAAGAGGCCAGCTAGGCAAAAGATGAGAGTTGAAGGAATGGGGACGGCAGAGGAGACAGCCAATATAGTAATTCTCAATAAAGCAGAAAGTGAGCTTTTCCTGCTGGCAGAACAGAAAGGAAGTCGGAGTGGCCAGGGTGTTGTGGGACAAGGTGGTCAGCAGGAGTCACATCACGCAAGGTCATGTGGTCATGGTAGACTTTAAATTTTACTCCAAGCCTGATGGAAGCCATTGGAAGATTTTAACTAAGGAGTGACGGAAAACTGGCATCTCAAACTCAACATGTCTACAACCCAGTTCTTGATCTTTGAAACCTTCTTCCTCCATCTTCCCCATCTCCATTGACAGCAACTTCATCCTTCAGTTAGCTCAGGCCAAAACCCTGGAGTCACCCTTGATACCTCTCTCCTGCTCCACACTCAGTCTTTCCATTGGAAGCCCTAGGGGCTGCCATATTGTTCTCCATAGCACTTCACACCGTCTGACATACTATATCTTTTCCCACTATTGCTTTGTCCTTGGTAGCATCTTTAGGCACTCTCTGAATATCTGGCACATAGTACGTGCTCACTAAATCCTTGTTGAATAAATGAATGAACATCACTCCGTGGTCCTTTCAGAACCAGAGCCATTCTTCTCTTTCTTCACCACCGTTGCCCCTCACCCCGCCCAACTAGTCACAGGAGTTGAAGGATGACACAGTAGAGAACTGGGATTCTGGAGTCCTGTGGCTGGTCTGGGGTTCGAGTTCTTACTCAGTGGTAGGAACCTCCATGTGGGATTAACTTATCTGGTCTTTAGTTTCCTCCTCTGTAAAATGGGCCTCAAACTGCCAACCGCTGGGATGCAGGGAGGATTTGATGAGCCCAGGCAGGCTCCCTGGAGCACAGCAATCAATGGCAGCTATATATAAACCGGGGCCTCTTTTGTACTCCCACTGCCTTTGTCCTAGTTCCAGCCCTCATTACACCAGCCTGCTCTTGCGGCTCCCTCCTAACTTCTGCTCCATCACCACCAATCTGTCCTTTCAGCTGTCAGGCTTGTCTTCTGAACGCCAACCCTAATCACATCCCTTCCTGCTCCAAAACCTTACATGACTCTCACTGTCCACAGGACAAGACCCAGCCTCTAGTTGACAGCCTCCACTGTCCAGCTTACCCAACCTCTCCCCTACCACATACCCTGAGTGGAGCCTTCTGCCTCCATAGGGCTTTCTTAGCCAGAGAAGCCTCCCTTATCTTCCTGTTCTCCTCCTAATTCCTTCTTATCCTTCCAGGGAGGAGGCTGTGAGGTAATGCATCTTGGGAGCCAGCTGGGATTGCACAGGGTGGTGAGATTATCTGCATTTCCGAGGCTTGAACAAGTTAAGGCAATGGGAAAGGTCACACAATGAGAAAATGCAGGGCCAGGATTTAACCCGTCTGAGATGTTCTGACTGTGCTATGCTGCCTCCCCGGACATGAGCTCTGCGATAATGCTGTCCCCAGGCTGTAATCATTCCCTCTTTCATCCCTGCCTCCTCTATCCCTGGGGTCAGAGGGACTTGTAGTTGAATCTCTCACTCACTCATTGGTGTGGTCTCTCCCTAAAGCAGGGTGGAGTTTGTCTTAGCGTTATCACTGCATCCAGCACAACCTCCCTGGTCCAGGCTTATCAGCGTTCAACTGCGTCAATGCAGTTGCCTCCTCCTCAATCTCCCAGCTTCCGGCCTTGCCCCCTAGAGAGATCATATTTTAATACAAGTCAGATTACATCCCTCCTCCCCTCAGAACCCTCCATGGCTCACACCTTACTCAGAGAAAAAGCCAAAGTCCTCTCCACAACCCACAAAGCCCTGCACCATCCATCACCTCACTGCCTTCGTCCCCTCACACCCTCCCCCTTGCTCGCTCTGCTTCAGCCACACCAACTCATCTCTGTTTCTCAAATACACCAGGCATGGCCTAGCTATTAAATGCACGGTCCAGCCTGGTGCATTTGAAGAACACGGATGAATTGGTGTGGCTGGAACAGAGTGAGTGAGGGGGAGAGCGGGAGGAGGACCTTTGCACCAGCTGGACCTTTGCACCGGCTGTTCCATTTGCCTAGAGTTTTCCCTGACATATTCATATGGCTCACTCTCTTGCTTCCCTTGCTTTCTCCCAGTCTTTATTCAAATGTCTATTTCTCTGCACTTGTGCTGTTTGATACAGTCACCGCTGGCCACATGTGGCCTTTGAGCACTTCAGTTGAAACACATGAAAGTGTAGAATATTGACCAGATTCCAAGGAAAACCATGTGCAAAATATCTTTTATCTCTTAAGATACAGGGTCTCGCTCTGTCTTCCAGCCTGGAATGCAGTGGCACGATCACAGCTCACTGCAGCCTCAAAATCCCAAACTCAAGTGGTCCTCCCACCAACAGCCTCCCGAGTAGCTGGGATTACAGGCACACACCACAATGCCCCGCCCATTTTTTTAATTGTTATTATTTTTTTTAATAGCGACAAGGTCTTGCCATGTTGCTCAGGCTGGTCTGGAACTCCTGGCCTCAAGCGATCCTCCTGCCTCAGCCTCCCGAGTAGCTGAGATTACAGGCAGGAGCTTTTGTGCCCAGCAGGTCTACGATCTTCTTAGAATGCTTCAGGCTGGGCATAGTGGCTCATGCCTCAAATACCAGCACTTTGGGAGGCCAAAGCAGGCAGATTGCTTGAGCTCAGGAGTTCGAGACCAGCCTGGGCAATATGGTAAAACCCTGTCTCTCCAAAAAAAATACAAAAATTAGCTGGGCTTGGTGGCTCCCACCTGTAGTCCCAGCTACTTAGGAGGCTGAGGAAGGAAGATCACCTGAGCCCAGGAGGCGGAGGTTGCAGTGAGCCAAGATTGAGCCACTGCACTCCAGCCTAGACAACAGGGAGACCCTGTCTCAAAATAAATAAATAAATAAATAAATAAATAAATAAATAAATAAACAAACAAACAAACAAACCAATAAATGAATTTTACCTGTTTCTTTTTACTTTTTTAATGTGGCTACTAGCAAATTTTAATTTTTTTTTTTTTTTTTTTTTTTTTTGAGACAGAGTCACGCTCTGTCACCCAGGCTGGAGTGCAGTGGTGTGATCTTGGCTCACTGCAACCTCCACCTCATGGGTTCAAGCAGTTCGCCTGCCTCTGCCTCTGAGTAGCTGGGATTACAGATGCCCACCGCCACGCCCAGCTAATTTTTTGCATTTTTAGTAGAGATGGAGTTTCGCCATGTTGGCCAGGCTGGTCTCGAACTCCTGGCCTCAAGTGATCTGCCTGCGTCGGCCTCCCAAAGTGCTGGGATTACAGGCATGAGCCACCGCGCCTGGCTATAAAATTTCATAAGTAGCTCTTAATAGATTTCTCCTGGGCAGTGCTGGTCTAAACACTTTTTTTTTTTTTTTTTTTTTTTGAGACGGCATCTTGCTCTGTCACCAGGCTGGAGTGCAGTGGCGCGATCTCTGCTCACTGCATCCTCTGTCACCCGGGTTCAAGCTATTCTCCTGCCTTAGCCTCCCAAGTAGCTGGGACTACAGACACCCGCCACCACGCCCAGCTAATTTTTGTATTTTTAGTAGAGACGGGTTTTCACCATATTGGCCAGGCTGGTCTCGAACTCCTGACCTTGTGATCCGCCAGCCTTGGCCTCCCAAAGTGCTGGGATTACAGGCATGAGCCACCGCACCTGGCTATAAAATTTCATAAGTAGCTCTTAATAGATTTCTCCTGGGCAGTGCTGGTCTAAACACTTTTTTTTTTTTTTTTTTTTTTTGAGACGGCATCTTGCTCTGTCACCAGGCTGGAGTGCAGTGGCGCGATCTCTGCTCACTGCATCCTCTGTCACCCGGGTTCAAGCTATTCTCCTGCCTTAGCCTCCCAAGTAGCTGGGACTACAGACACCCGCCACCACGCCCAGCTAATTTTTGTATTTTTAGTAGAGACGGGTTTTCACCATATTGGCCAGGCTGGTCTCGAACTCCTGACCTTGTGATCCGCCAGCCTTGGCCTCCCAAAGTGTTGGGATTACAGGTGTGAGCCACCGCGCCCGGCCCTGTAACACTTTTAACACTGAACTGTTTGCCTTCCAGGTGGTAAAGAGCAGGTGCCTTTACTGATAGAAATGTCACCACTCCCTTCATCCCGCCAGCCCCATGTCACTGACGCGTCCTTTCCCCTTGCTCTGTGGTAACTTTCTCCTAAGCACTCATCGCCCTAACATCTGTCATACAGGTATACCTCAGAGACACTGCTGGTTTGGTTCCAGGTCGCCATAACAAAGCGAATATTGCAATAAAGGGAGTCGTGCCTTTTTTGGTTTCCCAGTGCACATAAAAGTTATGCTTACACTATAGTCTGTTAAGTGCATGATAGCATTATGTCTAAAAAAAAATGTACATACCTTAATTTTAAAATCCATCAAGGCTGAGCACAGTGGCTTGTAATCCCAACACTTTGGGAGGCCAAGGCAGGAGGATTGCTTGAGCCCAGGGATTTGAAACCAGGCAACAAAGTGAGACCCCGTTTCTACAAAAAAATTCTTTTTAAAAATAGCTGGGTATGGTGACGCATGCCTGTGGTCCCAGCTACATGAGAGGCTGAGGTGGGAGGCTCACTTGAGCCTGAGAGATTGAGACTGCAGTGAGCTGTGATCACACCACTGCACTCTAGCCTGGGGGACAGAGTGAGACCGTATCTCTCAACAAAAATTAAAAAAAAAAAAAAAAAAGGCTGGGCACAGTGGCTCATGCCTGTAATCCCAACAGTTTGTGAGGCCAAGGTGGGTGGATCACTTGAGGTCAGGAGTTCAAAACCAGCCCAGCCAACATGGTGAAACCCCGTCTCTATGAAAAATACAAAAAAATAGCCGGGTGTGGTGGTGCACACCTATAAGCCCAGCTACTCGGGAGGCTGAGGCACGAGAATTGCTTGAACCTGGGAGGCGGGGGGGAGATTGCAGTGAGCCGAGATTGCACTGCTGCACTCCAGCCTGGGTGACAGACTGAGACTCTGTCTCAAAAAATAAATAAATAAATAAATAAATAAATAAATGTTTTATTACTAAAAAAGTTAACAATCATCTGAGCCTTCAGTGAGTCCTCATCTTGCTGGTGAAGGGTCACTGGCTCAGTGTTGATGGGTGCTGACTGATCGTGGGGGTGGTTGCTGAAGATTGGGGTGCCTGTGACATTTTCTTAAAATAAGACAAGAAAGTTTTCCGCATCCATCGACTCTTCCTTTCACGAAAGATTTCTCTAGCATGAGATGCTTGTTGACAGCAATTTTACCCACAGTAGAACTTTTTTCAAAATTGGAGTCAGTTCTTTCAAACCCTGCCACTGCTTTGTCAACTAAGTTTATGTCATATTCTAAATCTCATGTTGTCATTTTAACAGTGTTCACAGAATTTTCACCAGGAGTAGAATCCATCTCAAGAAATCACTTTCTTTGCTCTTCCATAACAAGTAACGCCTCATGCATTGAAGTTTGATCATGAGGCTGCAGCAATTCAGTCACATCTTCAGGCTCCACTTCTAACTCTAGTTCTCTTGCTAGTTCCATCACTTCTGCAGTGTCTTCCTCCAGTGAAGTCTTGAACTCCTCAAAGTCATCCATGAGGATCGGAATTGACTTCCTCAAAATTCCTATTAATGTTGATATTTTGACCTGTTCCCACGAATCACAAATGTTCTTTTTGTTGTTTGTTTGTTGTGGATTGTTTTTTTATTTTTAATTGAGTTGAGGTCTCACTATGTTGCCCAGACTGGTCTTGAACTCTTGGCCTCAAGTGATCCTCCTGCCTTGATCTCCCTAAGTGCTGGGATTACAGGCATGAGCCACTGGAACAGCCACAAATGTTCCTAATGGTATCTAGAATGGTGAATGCTTTTCAGAAAGTTTTCAATTTCCTTTGCCCAGATGCATCAAAGGAATTTATCTATGGCAGCTATAGCCTTATGAAATGTATCCCTTAAATCATAAGACTTGAAATAGAGAATTACTTCTTGATCCATGGGCTACAGAATGAATGTTGTGGCTGGGCATGGTGGCTCACACCTGTAATCCCAGCACTTTGGGAGGCTGAGGCAGGTGGGTAACTTGAGGTCAGGAGTTCAAGACCAGCCTGGTCAATATGGTGAAACCCCATCACTACTAAAAATACAAAAATTAGCTGGGCATGGTGGCGTATGACTGTAATCCCAGCCACTTGGGAGGCTGAGGCAGGAGAATTGCTTGAACCCTCTTGAAGACAGAGGTTGCAGTGAGCCAAGATCACACCACTGCAGCGACAGAGTGAGACTCTGTCTCAAAAAAAAAAAAAAATGTTGTGTTAGAAGTCATAAAAACAACATTCATCTTCTTGTACATGCCCATTAGAGGTCCTGGATAACCAGTGCATTGTCAGCAGTAATATTTTGAAAGAAATCTTTTTTCTGGCTGGGTACAGTGGCTCGCACCTGTAATCCCACCACTTTGGGAGGCCGAGGCGTGTGGATCACCTGAGGTCGGGAGTTCAAGACCAGCCTGGCCAACATGGTGAAACCCCAACTCTACTAAAAATACAAAAAAATTAGCCAGGCATGGTAGCAGGTGCCTGTAATCCCAGCTACCCTGGAGGCTGAGGCAGGAGAATCGCTTGAACCTGGGAGTCAGAGGTTGCAGTGAGCTGAGGTCGTGCCATTGCACTCCAGCCTGGGCAACAAGAGTGCGACTTCATCTAAAATACATATATATATATAACATGTTATATGTAATATAAATTATATATATAACATATATGTAATATAAATTATATATCACATATAACATATATCATGTGTTATATATATCACATATAACATATGTGTTATATATCACATATAACATGTGTTATATATCACACATAACATATATTATGTGTATATATGTCACATATATTATGTGTTATATATGTCACATATAACATATTGTGTTATATATATCATATATAACATATATTATGTGTAGTGTATCATATGTAACATATATTATGTGTAGTGTATCATATATAACATATATTATGTGTAGTGTATCATATATAACATATGTGTAGTGTGTTATATATAACATATATTATGTGTTATATATCTCATATGTTATATATAACATATATTATGTGTTATATATTATATATATATTTTTTTCTGAGTAGATCTCAACAGTGGGCTTAAAATATCAGTTATCCATGCTATAAACAGACGGGCTGTCATTCAGTCTTCATTGTTCCATTTATAGAGCACAGGCAGAGTAGATTCAGCATAATTCTTAAGACCTTAGGACTTTAGGAATGGTAAGTGAGCATTGGTTTCAACTTAAAGTCACCAGGAGCACTAGCTCCTAACAAGAGAGTCAGCCTGTCCTTTGAAGCTTTGAAGCCAGGCATTGACTTCTCCTCTCTAGCTATGAAAGTCCTAGATGGCAACTTCTTCCAATAGGGCATTTCATCTACATTAAAAATCTATTATTCAGTGTTGCCAGCTTCATTAATAATCTCAGCTAGATCTTCTGGATAACTTACTGCAGCTTCTCCATCAGCACTTATCACTTCACCTTGCACTTTTATATTATGGGGACACCTTCTTTCCTTAAACCTCATGAACCAAGATCTTCTAGCTTCAGATTTTTCTTCTGCACTTCCCCACCTCTCTCAGTCTTGCTGTGGGCTTGCTGTGGATTAGGCTTTGGCTTAAGGGAATGTTGTGGCTGGTTTGATCTTCTATCCAGACCACTAAAACTTTCTCCATGTCAGCAAGAAGCCTGTCTTACTTTCTTATCATTCATGTGTTTACTAGAGTAGCCCTTTTAATTTCCTTCAGTAATTTTTCCTTTGCATTCACAACTTGGCTAACCTCTAGCTTATGGCCTTTTGTTTGTTTGTTTGTTTTGTTTTTGAGACAGGGTCTCACTCCGTTGCCCAGGCTGGAGTGCAGTGGTGCAATCACCGCTCACTGCAGCCTTGACTTCCTGGGACCAAGTGATCCTCCCACCTCAGCCTCCTAAGTAGCTGAGACCACAGGTGTGCACCACCACACCCAGCTAATTTTTTTATTTTCTGTAGAGATAGGGTCTCCCTATTTTGCCCAAGCTAGTCTCAAACTCCTAGGCTCAAGCCATCCTCTCACCTCAGCCTCCCAAAATGCTCGGATTACAGGCATGAGCCACCATCCCTGGCCCTATCTCAGCTTTTGACACGCCTTCCTCACTGTGTTTAATCATTTCTAGCTTTTAATTTAAAGTGAGAGACGTGCAACTCTTCTTTTCACTTGAGCACTTAAAGGCCATTGTACAGTTATACACTGACCTAATTTCAATATTGTTATGTCTCGGGGAATAGGAAGGCCCAAGGAAAGCGGGAGAGATGGGGAAATGGCCAGTTGGTAGAGCAGTCAGAACACACACAATATTTATCGATCAAGTTTGCCATCTTCTATGGATGTGGTTCGTGGCACCCCCAAACAATGACTATAGTCACATCAAAGATCACTGATCACAGACCACCATAACAGATGTAATAATTATGTAAAAGTTTGAAATACCGTAAGAATTACCAGAGTGTGACACAGAGACGCAAAGTGAGCACACGCTGTTGGAAAAAAAATGGCCCTGATAGACCTCCTTGACACAGGGTTGCCACAAATCTTCAATTTGTAAGAAACACAATATCTACAAATTGCAATAAAGCAAAGCACAATGAAATGAAGTCTTCCTCGGCCGGTGTGGTGGCTCACGTCCATAATCCCAGCACTTTGGGAGGCCAAGGCAAGAGGATCCCTTGAGCCCAGGAGTTGGAGGCCAGCCTGGGCAACACAGGGAGACTCCATCTCTAGAACAAAACAAAACAAAGCCTGCTTATATTTATTGGGTTTACTCTCAGTCTCCCCCACACAGAGATAGGGCCTGGCTTGTTATTAGTGCTCAGTTGATGTTTGTGAAGTGAAATACTAAGGACTTAACCACTGCCTGTTCTTTGCTGTTCATGCCCTGACAGCTTTTATGTGCCAGCACAGAAGAAAACAAGGTGCAAGAAGAGAATAGTGATCTCTAAGTCAGAATTTGAGGAACCCAAATTAGTACCAGAAAGCTGGGAGGAGAAGAGAAAAATAAAGTAAATCAAATTAAAAGTTGAATGGGCCAAGTGCAGTAGCTCATACCTATAATCCCAGCACTTTGGGAGGCTGAGGTGAGAGGATCACTTGAGGCCAGGAGTTCTAGACCAGCCTGGGCAATATAGCAAGACCCCATCTCTACAAAAAAAATTTTTTAATTTTCTGAATATGTTGTTGTACACCTGTAGTCCCAGCTGCTTAGGAGGCAGAGGTGGGAGGATCGCTTGAGCCCAGGAGGTTGAGGCTGCAGTGAGCTGTTGTTGCACCACTATACTCAAGCCTGGGTGACAGAATAAGTCCCTGTCTCCAAAAATAAAAATAAATAAATTCATTTTTTGTAAAGTTGTATGTCATGGCCCCTGCCTACTCTGGCTTCATGACTTGCTGCTTGAACCTCACCATCCAAATCCCAGTGGTGACACCATGTCATTTCTTGAATTTGCCAAGCCCTCTTTCAGTCCCAAGCTCTCTGTCATGGCCACTCTCAGCCTGGAAAGTTCTTTCCCCACTGGCCAGATTTCTCCCCCTCATCTATGGGAACTTGACTTGAAGTAGGGGGTATCCCAGGCCCTGGACTAGTTAACACGACCTGCTGTGTGCCCCTCAAAGCCATTGTCTTCCTAGCTGAGAAGGCATCACACCTGCAACAGATTCACTCATTGTGTGCATGTTTTTCTTAACCACTTCTCTTCTGCATCAGCTCCATGGGGCAGGGATAGTCTCATATGTCACTCTACCCAGCACATAGGATACGCTCAGACGCCCACTTGTGGATGGTGGAAAAGGTCAGCCCAACCTAATATGCCCATCTCTCCTCTAGGGGTAATCTTGAGAAAAAAAGTTGGGAACTTGCTTTGTGTTAGTTTAGGATGACCCAGAATAGATCCTGAAACAAGAATTTAGGGCAATCCTTGTGCAAGTAGTTCATCTGAGAGGTGACCCCAGAAGGGTTGGAGAAGGAGAGGGGAGGTGGGGCAAGGAAGGGTGAGTTGTCCTGTAGGCAACTGAGCTCCGTCCTACTGGGAGCCCACGTGGAACTCACCTCTTAAGTGATCCAGAATGAAGGGTGAGGGAGCTGCGGTATTGATCCACCAACTCCCAGCAATCTTTGGTTGAGGGCTGCTCCCTTAAAGTTCATTCCCTGGGCCTGCCCCAGATTTGGAGACAGCCCTAAGGCAAGAGGTACAGATACCAGTTGGCCACAGACTGAAGTGTTAAGACCCAAGCCCCTGGATAAAACTGAAAAATCAAGCCAGATGTGGTGGTTCCCACCTGTAATCCCAGCTACTCAGTAGGCTAAGGCAGGAGGATTGCTTGAGCCCAGGAGTTCAATGCTGTAGCGAGCTATGATTGCACCACTGCATTCCAGCCTGGGCATCAGAGCAAGACCCCATGTCTAAAATAAAAATAAACTGAAAAATCCCCAAGTTATTTGCTGTGACCAACCTTCCATTAACCACAGACCCTCTGGTATTCAGCATTTCTTGTCCATTATATGAAGTTCTGATGACAGTCTCTTTTATTGTATTGTGCCTTGACCACGCACTGTACATCACTTAGCTCTGAAATGGACATGTTCAGGAAACAGGGCCAGGTGGGACCCTGTGTTTCAACAGCAATACTTTTACAAATGAGGTCTCATGACAGGGTCTTGCTCGGAGGGTTTCTATGGAAGCCTCATCCCACCTACTGCTATCATCCTTACTAACTTGCATTTACAAAAGGGACTCTTTTTGACCAGAGGCTTGGGGTCTGTAGCTGCCTTCTAGCCAGCTGATGCTGGCTGGTCCACACAAGCAGGATCACACCCATTTTTTTGTTTTCTTATTTATTTCTGAATAGGTTAGCATACCGGTAACCTGTGTGCCTGGCATTGTGCTGACCACTTTTTGTCAACTTACTGAATCCTCACAACCCTTGGAGGTATTGATACTATTGTTATCCAGGTTATACAAAAGGGGGAAACTGAGGCACAGAGCAGGGATGTCCCTTGCCCAAGGTTACCCAACTGGAAAGTGGCAGATCTGGGATCTGAACCCATGCAGGCTGGGCTCTTAACACTGAACTACTTTCCTGCCATTTGTTAAAGAGCCACAAACCAGGCCAGGCACCATGGCTCACGCCTGTAATCCCAGCACTTTGGGAGGCCGAGGCGGGTGGATCACCTGAGGTCAGGAGTTCAAGACCAGCCTGGCCAACATGGTGAAACCCTGTCTCTACAAAAATACAAAAAAAAGTACCCGGGCATGATGGCGGGTGCGTAGTAATCCCAGCTACTCGGGAGGCTGAGGCAGGAGAATCCCTTGAACCCGGGAGGCAGAGGTTGCAGTGAGCTGAGATCACACCATTGGAGATCGCACTCCAGCCTGGGCAACAGAGTGAGACTCTGTCTCAAAAAAATAAAATAAAATAAAATAAAGAGCCACAAACCCCGAAAGGTCTGCCATTCCCCCAGGGCCCCAGGCCACCCCACAATCTATTGTCATTGTAGGTTGTGAAATATACTGAATGTCACCCCAACCTTGAGCCATGGGGAAGATTCCATTTCTCTCATTGCAACATTTGTGCAACATGAACCATCTGTTGGGGGTCTTCGTAAATCACCTTTTATCCCGTGAGGCAGGTACTGTTAAGACCATTTTACAGGTGACAAAACTGAGGCCAGTGGTGTCGAGTCACCTGCCTGTGGTCACCCAACCAATACAGGACAGCTTGGAATCCCAAGCACCCCCGCCCTGCTGTCTGACCCCCAAAACCCACCCTCTGTTCTCCATTCTGGCTTCTTTCTTTCAGCATCTTGGCGACAGTTGGGACGGAGTTTGACCTACGGACGCTGAGGGCAGTTCGAGTGCTGCGGCCGCTCAAGCTGGTGTCTGGAATCCCAAGTGCGTGAGTTTCCGACCCTGACAAGGGGTTTGCTCACGGGCCCCAGGAGCCCTCAGTTTCCCCTATGCAGAGCATCTCAGGAGGCCACATCCTGCCACCAGCCTGTGTGAGGGCAGTCTCTTCTTTGGGACTCCCTATAGGGAACCCCCTAGGAATATGACTGTAGCTCCCCATGAGCTCCTGAAAGCAAACTAGGAGCCACACCCATTTATTGAGCACCTACTGTCTATCGGGAGCCATGCTAAGCACCACGTGTGATCTCATTCAGTACTCACAGCCCTATGAAGTTGATAGGACTGATGTCTCTATTTTATGGAGGGGGAAACTGAGGCTCAGAGTGGCTGAAACATTGGAGCAGGGTTTTGTGGCTGAGAAGTGGCAGAACTAGGAGTGAGCAAGTGTGACTCCAAGCCTGGGCCGTACCACTGGTGGCAATGACCATTCCCATTTAATGAGTGCCTGCTGCGTGCAGGGCACTACAGAAGGACTTTACATGAATTACCTTATTTCATCCTCACAGTCACCCAGCGAACACCCATTTTACAGATGAGACGGTTGAGGCTTAAGGAGGTTAAATTACTCACCTGAATTCTTAGAGTGGACAGTAATGAGCTCTAAAATTCATACTCATTCCTTGCTGCTTTCTCATTCTCCACAGATACATCTAGTCCCCGTTTAAGGGTGGCTGCCATATGCAGGGTCAAGATTAAGTGTAGGTTGAGCCAAAAAAAAATGTAAAAAGCAAAAATAAAACAGGGCTGTCCTTTTTCTATCTTCTTGTCTTGGTTAATAATAATAATTTAGCCAGGCATGGTGGCTCATGCCTGTAATTCCAGCACTTTGGGAGGATCACTTGAGGCCACAAGTTCGAGACCAGCCTGGGCAACATTGTGAGGAACACCACCCCCACCCCCCCGCCAATATCTACAAATTTTTTTTTTTTTTTTAGAAATTAGCCAGGTTGACTGGGCACAGTGGCTCACACCTGGAATCCCAGCACTTTGGGAGACCGAAGCGGGCAGATAGAGCGAGCTCAGGAGTTTTAAGACCAGCCTGGGCAACATGGCGAAACCCTGTCTCAAAAAAAAAAAAAAATTAGCAGGCATGATGGTGCACACCTGTAGTCCCAGCTACTTAAAAGGCTGAGGCAGGAGGATCTGAGCCCAGGAGGTCAAGGCTGCAGTGAGCTGTGATAGCACCACTGCACTCCAGCCTGGACAACAGAGTGAGACCTTGTCTCAAAAAAACAGACAACAAAAAGTTTAAAAACAAACAATTTATAGGCTGGGTGCAGTGGCTCATGCCTATAATCCTAGCACTTTGGGAGGCCAAGGTGGATGGGTGGATCACCTGAGGTCAGGAGTTCGAGACCTGCCTGGCCAAAATGGGGAAACCCCGTCTCTACTAAAAATACAAAACTTAGCCGGGCGTGGTGGCGGGCATCTATAATCCCAGCTACTCGGGAGGCTGAGGCAGGAGAATCACTTGAACCCGGGGGGCGGAGGTTGCAGTGAGCTGAAATCACGCCACTGCACTCCAGCCTGGATGAAAGAGTGAAACTCCGTCTCAAAAAAAGAAAAAAAAAAATTAAAAAGCACTTACTATGTGCCAGACATTATTCTAAGTATTTCCATTTTTTTAAAGTCCTTTATCCTCCCAACAAGCCTGTGAAGTAGTCTCTTTTATTATCACCATTTTACATTTTATTGGCTTCGTTCTTCCGGTTCATTGCTACCCAGGTTTAAAGAGTAAGATTTCCCAGAGGATCACCAGCAGGATCTTTTTGTAGAAAGAAGACACTTCTATCCAAGGTCTCTGCAAGATCCCAGCAGATGCCTGCATCATATTAAATTAAGGGCCATCCCAAATCTAATAGTCAAAAGAGCCAGGTGCAGTGGCTCACACCTGTAATCCCAGCACTTTGGGAGGCCAAGGCAGGACGATTGCCTGAGGCTAGGAGTTCAACACCAGCCTGGGCAACAAAGTGTGACCCTGTCTCAAAAAATATATGTATATTATAATAGCAGTAGTAACAAGAGTCTCTGTTTAATGACCACCTATGACTTACCAGGTACTTCACTGTGTGTGAACTCTCTCATCTAATCGTATGAGGGAGGTACTATTGCAGTCCCCATTTACAGATGGAGAAGCTGAGGTTTGGAATTCACTAGTAAGTGGATGACTAGGTCAGGTTCCCTTGAAGCGGATACTTAGGTGGGTGTTCAGATGCACCTGCTTTATTGGGGGACGGCTCTTGGGAGAGACAGCAGGAGATCAGCAGGGTGGGGCTGGGGAATGGATAGAGCAGGGACGCAATTTCAGCTGGAGTGTGTGTGACACCAGAGTTGTCCTCCAATGCATGGCAAGGATGCCGGCCTTTTGTACTTCTATAGTCAGTCACTGTGGATGGGAGGTAGAGACGCAGTAGCTCCCAGGTGAGATAGCTTTTGATCACCAAGGGCAATTCTACTAAGAAGAGAGGCAGCTGGGAGGCATTAGCAACCAACATCCATAGCAGCTGGAGGGCGGGTACACCAGAAAGAAAATGGGATCTTGGCCAGACACCAAGAGTATCCAGCACCTTAACCACTGCACCACACTGCATCTGTTAGCACCCACATTACATTTTTTTTTTTTTTTTTTTTTTTTGAGACGGAGTCTCGCTCTGTCGCCCAGGCTGGAGTGCAGTGGCGAGATCTCGGCTCACTGCAAGCTCCGCCTCCCGGGTTCACGCCATTCTCCTGCCTCAGCCTCCCGAGTAGCTGGGACTACAGGCGCCCGCTACCACGCCCGGCTAATTTTTTGTATTTTTAGTAGAGACGGGGTTTCACCGTGTTAGCCAGGATGGTCTCGATCTCCTGACCTCGTGATCCGCCCGCCTCGGCCTCCCAAAGTGCTGGGATTACAGGCGTGAGCCACCGCGCCCGGCCAGCACCCACATTACATTTTTAAGCCCTTGGAGTGGCATGGCCCCTCGAGCTATCCTGACAGCTTCCCTCTCTTACTGTGGTCTCCACCCATCAAGAGCCATGGGAAGTTCCTGCAATCAAGAAGCAAAGCCTCAGGCTATATGTTTGAACCTTCATTTTGATCATAGACTTTCCTAGTAGATACCATAGTGGTTACAAACATAGGATGTTGTCATCGTTCAGACCTGAGTTAATAGCCTCAAGAAAAAAATGGTAGTGGAACCAGGTATGGTGAAGTGTGCCTGTAGTCCCACCTACTCGGGAGGCTGAGGCAGGAGGCTCGCTTGTGCCCAGGAGGTCAAGGCTGCAGTGAGCCGTGATCATGCCACTGTATTCCAGCCTGGGTGACAGAGCAAGCCCATCTCAAAAAAAAAAAAAAGCCAATGATAGGCAGAGAAATACTAACTAAGGCTCTTGCTCTGTCGCCAGGCTGGAGTGCAGTGGTGCAATCACAGCTCAGTACAGCCTCAACCTCCCCAGACTCAAGCAATCCTACCATCTCAGCCTCCCAAATAGCTGGGACTCCAGGCACACAGCACCATGCCCAGTTAATTTTTTTGTATTTTGTAGAGACAGGGTTTCACCACGCTGCTCAGGCTGGTCTCAAACTCCTGAGTTCAAGTGATCCACCCGCCTCAGCCTCCCAAAGTGCTGGGATTACAGGTGTGAGCCACCACGCTTGGCCAGCTATTATTATTATTAACATTCTTCGAGTCTTACAACAGTGGAACTTTTAGTGCAGGATGCGAATTTCAGTATTAACCCCTTCCTCTCCCAAAAGGATTTGAAGCCCAGAGTAATTCAGCCGCCATGAATGAACCATTTGTTAGATGAGAGGCTACTGGAGGCTGAGCTTGGTAGGATAAGAGCTTGCATGGGGTCCCTGATTGATGACAATACCCCCAGATTTAGGTCTTCAGATGCCCAGTTGGGTGTGTCTTCTGTTCCACTGTGTCCCTTCGGGGACTGTTCCCTGCCTTCTTTCTTTTTGAGATGGAATCTCGCACTTTCACCCAGGCTGGAGTGCAATGGCGTGATCTCAGCTCACTGCAAGCTCCACCTCCCGGGTTCACACCATTCTCCTGCCTCAGCCTCCCGAGTAGCCAGGACTACAGGTGCCCGCCACCACGCCCAGCTAATTTTTTTGTATTTTTAGTAGAGACGGGGTTTCACCATATTAGCCAGGATGGTCTCGATCTCCTGACCTCGTGATCTGCCCGCCTCGGCCTCCCAAAGTGCTGGGATTACAGGCGTGAGCCACCACACCTGGCCCCCTGCCTTCTTATTCACCACCATCTTTCTGAATTGGGTTGCTCAGAACAGAGAAAGCAACATCAGCACATGGGCAAACATGGGGCTTCATTTCAGATGGACCTGGGTTCAAATCCTAGTTCTGCCTTTTTTTTTTTTTTTTTTTTTTTTTGAGACAGAGTCTTGCTCTGTCACCCAGACTGGAGTACAGTGGCGTCATCTTGGCTCACTGCAACCTCTGCCTCCCAAGTTCAAGCAATTCTCCTTCCTCAGCCTCCCAAGTAGCTGGGATTACAGGCGCTGGCCACCATGCCCAGATAATTTTTTGTATTTTTAGTAGAGATGGGGTTTCACCATGTTGGCCAGACTTGTCTTGAACTCCTGACCTCGTTAATCCGCTGGCCTCGGCTTCCCAAAGTGCTGGGATTAGAGGCGTGAACCGCCGCCGCGCCCTGCCTAGTTCTGCCATTTCTCATGCATTCTCTGGGTGAATCACAGCATCTCTGTTAGCCTTGCTTCCCACTTCTGTAAAATGAGAGTGACTTTACATGTATGGCCACCTCAGGGGCTTGTCACTAGAAGCCAGTGAAATAATGTTGAGTCTGGTTCCTTGGGGTTGAAATTGGGACCGCCAACCGCTTTCCTACCCAGAGCAGCAACTAGCCTATATGGCGGCCTTTTATGAATGAGGAAAAGACACCGCCTCTTGGCAGAAAAAAAAAATTAAGAAAATGGCTCCCTCTTCTGGGTGCAAGTTGCCCAACACCCAGGAATATGGCTCCAAAAGCAATGGACTCCCACCCCTTTCTTGCCCAAAAGATCATCAAATGGAACAGCATGTCAAATACCTTTATTAAGTACTTTAAAGTTGGCTGGGCTCTGTGGCTCATGCCTGTAATCCCAGAACTTTGGGAGGCAGAGGCTGGAAGATCGCTTGAGGTCAGGAGTTCGAGACCAGCCTGGATAACATAGTGAGACCCTGTCTCTATAAAATATATATATAGATTTATTTGAGACAGCGTCTTGCTCTGCCACTCAGGCTGGGGCGCAGTGGCACAATCATAGCTCACTGCAGCCTTAACGATCCTCCTGCCTCAGTCCCTAGAGTAGCTAGGACTACAGGCATGCACCATCATGCCTGGCTAATTAAAATAAATAAATAAATAAATACTTTAAAGTTAAAAGTGCTTTTTAAAAAATAATAAGGCCAGGCGTGGAGACTCACGTCTGTAATCCCAGAACTTTGGAAGACCGAGGCGGGTGGATCACGAGGTCAGGAGATCGAGACCATCCTGGCTAACACGGTGAAACCCTGTCTCCACTAAAAATATGAAAAATTAGCTGGGCCTACTCGGGAGGCTGAGGCAGGAGAATGGCGTAAACCTGGGAGGCGGAGCTTGCAGTGAGCCGAGATGGCACCACTGCACTCCAGCCTGGGCGATATAACAAGACTCTGTCTCAAAAAAAATAAATAAAATAAATAATAATAATAATAGGGGCCAGGTATGGTGGCTCACACCTATAATCCTAGCACTTTAGGAGGCTGAGGAGTTTGAGTCCTTGGAGACCAGGGGTTTCAGGCCAGCCTGGGCAACATAGCAAGACCCCATCTCTACAAACAAGTTTTAAAACTTAGCCAGGCATGGTGGTGCATGCCTGTAGTCCTAGCTATTGCAGGGACTGAGGCAGGAGGATCACCTGAGCCCAGGAGGTTGAGGCTGCAGTGAGCTGTGATTGTGCCACTGCACTCCAGCCTGGGCAGCAGTGCAAAACCCTGTCTCAAAGGAAAAAAAAAACCTAGGAAGTGTTGTTCCCATGATAAGGATCAGCCTCCGTGTGGTGCTTCCTTCACCATTGCCCAATCCCCAGGCTCCTGGGTGCTTAATGTTCCCTCAGGAACACACCTGCTTTGTCTGGGAGAGACCTGGGCGTCTTGGTGGCGGGGTTTGGGGGTACTTGCTCATGGGCTTATGGGGCCTCTCTCTGTGTCCCCCCAGGTTTACAAGTCGTCCTGAAGTCGATCATGAAGGCGATGATCCCTTTGCTGCAGATCGGCCTCCTCCTATTTTTTGCAATCCTTATTTTTGCAATCATAGGGTTAGAATTTTATATGGGAAAATTTCATACCACCTGCTTTGAAGAGGGGACAGGTAGGTCCACGGAGCATGATGCATCTTTCCAGTTTTCTCCTTCAGGGACAAGCTCTTGGGAGGATTAGGCAGGGGTGTGCTTCTTTCTCCTGGCAGCTGGGAGGACCGTCTCCTTCAGAGAGCACTACAGGAGAGGCAGTGAGTGAAATAGCCTCTGAGATCTTAGCTGTTGAAAGGGGTGGGGTTCCACAGAAGGTGACCCAGCAGAGAAAGAGTTTATTTGGGAATGATCCCAGGAAGCACCATCGGGGGAATGAGGAAGTGAGCAGAGAAAGAAGGGATCTTTTAAAGAGTGTGCTATCAAGCGGGTTACCACTTAAAACTGGGACTGGATCCCCCTGGGCACCTCTGGGAGACAGCAAAGAACACACAACTCAGCTGGTCACGGTGGCTCACGCCTGTAATCCCAGCACTTTGGGGGGCCAAGGCGGGTGGATCACCTGAGATCAGGAGTCAGAGACCATCCTGGCCAACATGGTGAAACCCCATCTGTACTAAAAAATACAAAAATTAGCTGGGTGTGGTGGCAGGCACCTGTAGTCCCAATTACTCAGGAGGCTGAGGCAGGAGAATCACTTGAACCCGGGAGGCAGAAGTTGCAGTGAGCCAAGATCACACCACTGCACTCCAGCCTGGCGAAAGAGTGAGACTCCATCTCAAATAAATAAATAAATAAAAATATAAATAAAAAAAGAACACACACCTCAGAGCCGTCCCAGCCAAGGGGCAAGGGAGCTGGGGTATTTATACACTGGCTTCTTTTTGACATTGGTGAGGACTGCTCCTAGAGTGGGAATTAATGCCTGGCACATCTGGCTGAGTGGAACAGGTATTCTGGGTGCTTTCAGACCTCGACCAGTCCTGACTTCTAAAGCAAGCAAGAAGTGGGGAGAGTTGGGCCAGAAAAGGGTTATTGCCTCAATGCATTGTGAGTGGTACCTTGTGGAAGGTGAGAGACAGAGAAGATTCCAGGCACAGGTGCCATGCTAAACGATAGTTCTCATTTATTATAGGAACCCATGGATTTATTTTGTTCTCTGCCCTGAGTGCTGGGTGAGAGTACTGGATGAGTCCTCCTGGTCTCCCCCAACCCCCAGGATGTACCAGAGATACCCCAATTGGGAGTCCTGGCACCAACCAATCAGAACCTAGCACTCAGCAGCATTCTGCCCCTCCCTGACTATGCCCACATTAACCCTTCAGTGGCTGGGTCTGGGGGTAGGGTGAGCCCCGGAAAAGCCAGGCAGCGCAGAGACACTCTCCCAGGGCTCAGCTCTGAACCAGCAGTGTGGAAGCAGTGTGTCCACCACGATCCACACTCAGGAACCAAATAGCCCTTGGATACGTTTTCAGTTAAATCTTTGCCATCCAAACTCTAGCTGCTTGCTCTCTAAAGCTCCAGAATGAAATGGAATCAAGTAGGAAGGGATGCCTTCAGTATTTCAGTATTTGGACCACTGGCCATCTGGGTGCAGACAGACTGAATAGCAGTTCTGGTTCTGATGATTTGGGTCAAGGGAGCTGTGAATTGAAGGAGTGGATAGAAGGAATCAAGAAGCCCAAAGGGGAACCCAGGTGGGCAGAGAAAGAGGTTTCAGGCCCCTTATTTGGGAAAGGCAGCCACAGAAGAAGATTCTGTCTGGGAGTGGATTTCCACCCACCCTCTCCACCCAGTGACCCCCAAGTGGATCCGCAGAGGCAGCCCCTGAGCCCTCCCTCCCCACTCCTCCCCACGGGGAGGGAAAACCCACTGGGGAAGGTTTATTTGCAATGGTTGGAGGTTTGGGTTTTTTTGTGGGTTTTGGTTTGTTGGTTTTTTTTTTCCTCTTTTTCTCTTGCTCCTCCTGTCTCTTTCTCTCCTGGGCTTGTGAAGTTTGCTCAATATGGAATGTCCTAATTATTTCTTTCCCCGATGAAGAAGGTGTTAATTGAGGCAGAGCTATTTCTGCTCCTGGCCTCGTCACCCAGGCGGAAATGCGAGAGAGAGAGAGAGAGAGAGAGAGAATGAATATGGGGCAGGGCCTCTTGGAAAAATCAGCCGTGAGCAGAGAAACCAGGACTCCTGGATCCTAGGTTTCTGTGAAGTTTTATTTTATGTTTTTCTACCCTAGACTAGCTAAAGGAGAAGAGGCCATGGGGTTGGCTTGGGTCCGAGTGGGGTTTTGAGGGGACAGATGTGGGTGGTGCCACCAGAGGGGAGGAAGCCTCGATTTAGGAGAAAGACTGAAAAGCTAGCTCACGATTAAAAATATAAGACGTGTGAGTAAGAGACAGATATATACAGACACCCAGGCAGTGGGTTAATTTTAAAATGTATTTATAACCGAATTCCTCAGACACTCTGGACGCTTGTTTTTCTAGAAGCAACGCTCAGAGTGTTTCGTGTCGGTGGTTGGGGGGTTGAGGGGGATTGCAAAGCTGCTAAAGATAGACCCGTTTTCAGTAGCATTCCTCAGTGTCGGGAGCCCAGTTCCTGTGTGCCCAGCACCGTGCCAATCGCTTAGAAGGAAGCAAAGATAAAGTGGAAGGCTTCCTGCTTTCTAAGAGCTTCCAAAATAGTTAGAGGAAACAAGACCCCTCATTTGCAGCCATTTTTAACAGTGAAGGCTAATGTGTGATTATACCCACGCCCCCCTAAATATGAAAATTCAGTAGCTATTGTATGCCTGAAAGGGGCCAGGTGCAGTGGCTCACACCTGTAATCCCAGCACTTTGAGAGGCTGAGGTGGGAGTATCCCTTGAGGCCGTTAGTTTGAGACCAGCCTAGGCAACATAGCCAGACCCTGTCTCTGCTAAAATAAAAATTTAAAAATTGGCCGGGTGCAGTGGCTCACGCCTGTAATCCCAGCACTTTGGGAGGCCGAGGCAGGCGGATCAAAAGGTCAGGAGTTCAAGACCAGCCTGGCCAACATAGTGAAACCCCGTCTCTACTAAAAATACAAAAAAAATAAATTAGCCGGGCATGGTGGCGTGTGCCTGTAGTACCACATACTTGAGAGGCTGAGGCAGGAGAATCACTTGAACCTGGGACATAGAGGTTACAGTGAGCCGAGATCACGCTACTGCACTCCAGCTTGGGCAACAGAGTGAGATTTTGTCTCAAAATAAAAAAATTTAAAAATTAGCCATGAGTGGTGGTACATGCCTATAGTCCTAGCTACTCAGGAGGCTGAGGAAGAAGGATCACTTGAGCCCAGGAATTGGAGGCTGCAAGGCTGCAGTAAGCTATGATGGTGCCCGCACTCCAGCCTGGGTGACAAAGTGAGACCCTGTCTCAAAAAAAAAAAAAAAAAGAGAGAGAGGAAGGAAAGAAGGAAGGAAGGGAGGGAGGGAGGGACTGGGGCTGTGTTAACTGGGCTACACAAAGAGGCTACATGGAGGGTGGGAATTGAGCCAGACTTGGACATGGCGTGGAGACAGAGAAGATTCCAGGCACAGGTGCCATGCTAAACGATAGTTCTCATTTATTATAGGAACCCATGGATTTATTTTGTTCTCTGCCCTGAGCCTTATGTTTAAAAGATTTTTGCCTTCCAACCTGTATTTATCAAATAATAGTTCATGTACCAAGTCCAGCATAAGTGAGGAAGGCGTTTCCAACAACTTAAGTTCATGGCGAGGCTAGACTTGGAGTTTCTATTCAGCCAGAGCTTGAAAGGCCAACAAGATTCATTCATTCAGCATTGGTTTATTTCCCTCTGCTGTGTGCTCAGTCAAGGGAGCAGAGAATTGGTGCTGCGAAGTCTGTAGCACATACATTGAGAGATATTTTTGTTGAGTAGGAAGCTTGAGTTTACACACACTCAGCTGTTTGTTTTCTTGTCCGACAATGCCACGGTCGTCTTTGAAAACCTTCAAAAGCATCGCTCACAGAATAAGGTCCTCTCAGACCCGCTGTGCTGGTAAAATGAGGACACTCCCAGATGTGAGCTTTCCTGCCTCCCTACCCCATCAATACCTTAAGATTTGGACTGACCTTTAGCGTTCAGCCTGACTGCCACCTCCCCAGGAAGCTGTCTTTGGTTTCCAGCAAAAGGGGTGTCTGTTGGCACGTTTCTCTCTCCTTGTGGCATTTTCACAGCCTGCCTCCTGCTATTTGGGGAGAAAGCTCAGCTCCTGTTCCTTACCCTTAGGCAAGGGTAGGAACTGTGTGTACTGGTGTCCCTCACCCCCAGAACAGCTCCCTGAGCCCAGTACATCCCAAGAAGAAAAAAATCAGCAAGGCTTATAGGAGAATAACACAATGCGCTTGACAAATTTGTCCTAATGGATGTCGGAAGAAGGCTGCACTTACCAGCTACACCATGCACACGGCACATTTACTAAAACTGACTATATTATGGACCATAAAGTTTGTCTCAACAGAGGTCAAAAAGCTGAAAAAAATACAAATACAAAACATATTTTCTGACCGTAATGCAATTAAGCTGGAAATCAGTAACAAAAAGAGAACTCTAAAAGTGTTTGCAGATTAACAGACATGCCTCTCATTTATGGATGAAATGATATGATGTCTGAGCTTTGCTTTAAAAATATTCTAGGCTGGGTGCAGTGGCTCACGCCTGTAATCCCAGCACTTTGGAGGCCGAGGCGGGCGGATCACTTGAGGTCAGGAGTTCGAGACCAGCCTGGCCAACATGGTGAAACCCCATCTCCACTAAAAATACAAAGATTATCCAGGTGTGGTGGTGGCCACCTATAATCCCAGCTACTTGGGAGCCTGAGGCAGGAGAATCCCTTGAACCTGGGAGTCGGAGATTGTAGTGAGGTGAGATCATGCCATTGCACTCCAGCCTGGGTGACAGAATGAGACTCCGTCTCAAAAAAAAAAAAAAAAAAAAATTCTAGTGGCAAGGCAAAGTGTTTGGAGGGGATACAGAGGAATAGATGAAACAAAATTTGCCAGAAGTAAATAGGTAAGTGTCTAAATTGGTGATAGGTACATGGTGAATCATTATATTGTTTTATACTTCTCTCTCGCTCTCTCTCTCCCCCCGTTCTCTCCCTGTCTTCCTCTCCCCTCTGTCTTCATATATATATATATATATATACACACACACACACACAGACACCTAATAAGTTTTTTTAAAAAACAAATACATCTAAATTACCCATAGGTCAAAGAAGAAATAATAATGGAAATTAGAAAATATTTTACTTGAACAATAATGATAATGCATGACAAAATGTTGAGATGCAGGTAAAGCCACACTTAAAGGCAATTTATAGCCTTAAAGGCAGTTAATCCATCCATCTCAAAAGTTTAGGAAAAGAATAGAAAAAAAAAAAAAACTCATGGAAAACATAAAGAGAAAAGTAGTAAAGCTCAGAGAAGAAATTAATCAATAGAAAACCAATAATAGACCCCCAAAGCCAAACATTGATCTCTTTGAAGACTGATCACGTTTGTCCCAAAAGTTATTCGTTCCAACAGCATTATAGAGTCACTGGTCCCTATTTCTCAGAGCTGGTTTTCCCTGCTCCTTCCCCTGACTTTTCTCCCCTTCCCTTTTGTAGATGACATTCAGGGTGAGTCTCCGGCTCCATGTGGGACAGAAGAGCCCGCCCGCACCTGCCCCAATGGGACCAAATGTCAGCCCTACTGGGAAGGGCCCAACAACGGGATCACTCAGTTCGACAACATCCTGTTTGCAGTGCTGACTGTTTTCCAGTGCATAACCATGGAAGGGTGGACTGATCTCCTCTACAATGTAAGTGATGCTGGGACAGTGTGTGTGGACAATCAGAGTCTCAGGGAGGTGGCCTCCTGGGACCAGTGAGACTCCAAGGCTGCAATGGAGGGACCCTGAGCTGGGAAAGGCAGCCCAAGGACAACACAGCCCCACTGAAGCTGGCCTGAGGCTCAGGCTTTTGAAGATTACAGGGGCTCATGAGCAGAACTCTAACTATAGGGCATAGAAGTCTGGAGGGCCCCCAGATGCAACATCATTTTTCATTGTGCAAGTGTTTAGATATAATTTTAGATTTTTGAATACGGAAAGGTTATGTGATCCAAAAACCAACACAGATAAAAGATAGAGTAATATCTTTGGACGTAGGCGAGGGGTCCCTGCCCTGAGGCTCACCCAGTCCTTCTCCAGCCATACCACTCCCCGTGGGATGAGAAGTTCCTGGAGCCAAGGGGATGTGTCTACCAAGAGCTTGTGCCCCACTTTGTAGGCCATGTTTTAAGTTACCAGGATCCTGGAATTCCCTGCCCATGGCCAGATTCCATGAACTTGCGTGCAATTCTCATATGGATCTGTTCGTAACCCAACTGAGGGCCAAGGACATCCGAGGGGTGGCTGTTAACACAAATGTGGCCAGAGCTTGGATGTACAAGCTGGAATGCCCACACATATGTGTGGAGCCCCTCTGGCAGGACAGAGCCATGACTAAGAAGAGAAAGGGACAGGACAGGGCTGGCTCTCCCCACACCTTGACCCAGTGCAGATATCCGGATTCTAAATTCCACCCTGACCTTCCAAAGTGTAAAGGAAGGTATATTTGCAAAGTAGAAGCACACAGCATGTTTTATTTAGTTACCTTTTCAATATTTCCCCGTAGTATGTGGTCTGCTTTTGTACTCTTGCCCTAGATCTTAAAAATGTTAGGGATGTTTCTGGAAAGATGTATCCCTGCCCCCACTTGCATGCTACTTCCTCTTCCCACAATATGCAACCCCTTTAGTTCCTCAGAATATCCTTCCAATGTTTATTTATGCAATTATAATTATAAGCATAATCGAATCTATGTCCTCCCCCCTCTTTCTTATCCCAAGGAGTAGCATTCTATACATGCTGTTCAATTCTGTGATTTTTGTTTTCTCATAACCACACGTTCTAGAGATCTTTCCACTGCAGGACATGGACAGTCTCTTCACGGGTGCACACTAGTATGCCCAGCTAATTTTTGTAGAGACAGGGTTCTTCCGTGTTGCCCAGGCAGGTCTGGAACTCCTGGGCTCAAGCAATCCTCCCGCCTCTGCCTCCCAAAGTGCTGGGATTACAGGCGTGAGCCACCACGCCTGGCCTTCTTTATTCTTTTGCACAGCTGCATAGCATTCTATTGTGTGGCTGCCCATAGTTTTATTTGTTTGCCATTAAGAGAAATGCTTGACTGGCTTCCTGTCCACTGACATGGAACATGATGCTGCTCTGCCAGGAGCATGTTGCACGTACCTCTTCATACTTTTGCAGATATAGCTAGGGGGTTGGAGGGTCTCCATTCCCAGAAGTGGGATTGCAGGATCAAAGACTAAATGCATTTATAATTTTATTTTTGGGGAAGATTTTTGTTTTGTTTTTTTGGAGACAAGGTCTCCCTCTGTCGTCCAGGCTGGAGCGCAGTGGTGTAATCATAGCTCACTGCAGCCTTAAACTCCTGGGCTCAGGTGATCCTCCCACCCCAGCCTCCTGAGTAGCTGGGACCACAGGCACACACCACCATACCTAGCTAATTTTTAAGAACAATTTTATAGAGATGGGGTCTCACTATGTTTCCCAGGCTGCTCTCAGACTCCTGGCCTCAAGCAATCCTCCTGCCTCAGCCTCCCAAAGTGCTAGGATTACAGGTGTGAGCCACTGCACCCAGCCTAAATGCATTTATAATTTTGATAGATATTTAGGTGTGCAAGTTTTAAACCCCACTCTGTCCTCACCACAGTTCACCTTCCCTCACCTACTATGCAGGTAAGCAGTCCCCAGGCAGGTCACTTGTCAGCAGCTGGAGTGGGGCAGAGCCAAGGATTCAGGATCAAACACAAGGATGCCACAACTGTAGTGACCCCATAGAGCACCCTGGGGCTGCTCCATACACACAGCTCTGTTGACCAGTGGAGGTCTCCTCTTCACCTGCCCTAAGGGCTGAAATTACCATTGAAGTTTAGGCCAGCGGTTGGCCTGACCCGGGAGCAATACCTGGCTTCCTCCTCCTGTACATAGAGAAGCTGAACTTTCCTCTTGGTCCTAGTGTATGTTCCTTAACAACCCATTTATGCCTAGTGTTCCATTATTGGAATGCTAATCCTGTGGGAGTTATTTACATCCTGCTGCTCAAGGTCATCACTAAGGTCGGATTTTTCACACACACAAAAATTGCAACCTCCGGCATAAATGGGTTAAGGAATTTCCCCACTTGTGGGTGGAGGGAGATTTGCAAAAACTCATCCTTGTAATCCTGATCAACAAAGGCCCGTTTTAGTTGGGAGTAGGCAGCAAAAGGAGCCACATGAACAGTTGCGCCTGTCACGCACTGCACAAGAATGTCATTCATATCATAGACAACATACGATTTCTACTGTTATCCTGATAATTTATTGACAGAAAAAAGGATGTGGGGAAGGGACATGGTGTTCTAATTTGCATGAAAACCTCGTCTGAGTGTAGCATCTCTGGGAACATGCAGCAGATCCGAGCTCAGGCCCTCTCTTGGCCGTCACCTGCAAACAGCTTGGACAAAGGGTCAGCCCAATTGGCCAAAACTCACTGGGGAATTTTTGTGGGTTCTAGGTTTTTACTTTGCAAGGCTGGTGTGAGAGGAGGTTCCAGCAGGAAATGAACCCTCCTGAGAGGGAAAGAGACTGGGAAATGGAGAAGGCTGGGAACTCAGGGAGAGAATGGGAGTGGGGAATGGGAGCTGAAAAAAATTGTGAGCATAAAAAAGGGATATGTCACAGGGTTGGATGACCAGAGAAAGCGTCTGGGGGTTCAGATTAAGATGCTGGGGGCGTGCCCAGTGGTGGGACAGGAAGCATGAATTTCCAGAGGGCTCGGTTATAAACATCATTGTCCAATGGGTGTTTCCCTTGGAAGCCTCTAAGCTTAGAGCTAAGCCACCTCTGGGGACACAAACTGAGTGGTTAAGAGCAGAGACTCAGGTGTCAGCCTGTCTGGGTTCCTTCCGACTCTTCCACTTCCTTGCTGTGCAGCCTTCGGCAAGGTGCTTGGCCTCTCTGTGCCACTATTTCCACATGTGCAAAACGAAGAGAAGCATAGTCCCACCTCACAAGGCACGAGGACTAAGTAAGGTGGATTCGCATGAAGTGTTTAGAACTGATCCTGGCCCGGGGTGACCTCCGTGTAAGTCAAATTCCCCACCCTGCATGGTGTTCCTTTTAGAAATGTGCATGAATTTTTCATTAGAACAGCTCCAGCAGTGCCTGAGGAAGTGGAGTGAGGTGTGAGAGGTCTTACTTTATTCCCCTCGCTGGCCCTGCTATTAACCACTAACTCAGAGTAGCTTTCTAGCACTTTCCACACATTTACATCCCACCCTCGTCCTTTGGTTAGCAGCCCATGCAATGATTTGGCCTTAATGTGAACCTAGAACACAGCTTCTCGCCCAGGGATGATTTCTGCCCCCAGGGGACACTTGGCAGTGGCTGCAGACATTTTTGGTTGTCACAACTGGATGGGAAGAAGGAGGATGCTATTGGCATCAAGTGGGTAAAGGCCACGGATGCTACTCAACATTCTACAATGCACAGCATCCCCCACCTCTGCCCCACCATAGAGAATGATCCAGGCCCAAATGTCAGTAAGGTTTCTGTCAGGAAACCCTGGGTCAGAAGACCAAGGTTCCTTGAGGACGGGGATGCCTTATACTGCAATCAGCTGTCACTCTCTGCCTCTCTCTGGGGCTGCTGTGATCACCTGGCCTGCATGGACAACCCCTAGGAGCAGCCCCCATCCAGTGCCTGGAGAAGTCAGTGGATAAATACCCCAGCTCCCTCCCTGTCGGGCGTTTTGCTCTGCCCTGCATCTCTCCAGTGGGATCAGGCTCTGGTTGCCCGCAGGGTTAACCTGGTCACGTACACACCCTTCACTTGCCACCTTCCCTTCCCTGTCTGGTATTTCCTGGGATGAACTTTTAGATTTATTTCCTGGGGCTGCTATAATGAAGCACCACAGACTGAGTAGCTTAAAACAACAGGAATTTATGGTCTGACAGTTCTGGAAGCCAGAAGTCCAACCCCAAGATGTTAGCAGAGCTGACAACACGCCCCTCAAAAGCCTCCGGGGGAGGATCCTTCTTTGCTTCTTCCTGGCTTTTGCTGGTTTCCCACAATCTTTGGGATTCCTTGGCTTCTAGAGCCTTCATTCTCCATTCCAGTCTTCTGTCATCTAATAGCATCCTCCCAGCCCGGGCACAGTGGCTCACGCCTGTAATCCCAGCACTTTGGGAGGCCGAGGCAGGCAGATCACTTGAGGTCAGGAGTTTGAGACCAGCCTGGCCAACATGGTGAAACCCCATCTCTACTAAAGATACAAAAATTAGCCAGGCGTGGTGGGCGGGTGCCTGTAATCCCAGCCACTTGGGAGGCTGAGGCAGGAGAATCACTTGAACCCGGGAGATGGAGGTTGCAGTGAGCCAAGATCATGCCACTGCACTCCAGCCTGGGTGACAGAATGAGACTCCGTCTCAAAAAAAAAAAAAAAAAAAAAAAGAAAAAGAAAAGCATCCTCCCTTCGTGTGTCTGTGTGTGTTCTCCTCTTCTTAGAAGGACATCAGTTGTATTGGATCAGAACCTACCCTACTCCAGTCCAACCTAATTTTAACTAATTACGTCTGCAATTACCCTATTTCCAAATAAGATCACATTCTGAGGTACCAGGGGGTTAGGACTTAAACATTTTTGTGTGTGTAGCAGGAGGACGTAATTCCATTTATAACTCCTCCTAAATAAAACGACTTGCATGTGAACTCTTGTCTGGGGCTTCCCAAAGTGAGATAACCCCTCTCTCTACCCCTAAAACAACGAGTAGCGTCTGTCAATGCCAGGGTGCAGGGGCTAAGGTGCCCATCTTTGAGTTTCTGCTGAGGAGGACACAGCTGCTACGTTGGAGCACTCTTGGGTTCTGCCTTCGTGCCCAGCCATCTCCCTTGGGCTAGCCCTGCCCTGGGTCTATCCTAGAATGAGCCTCGATCTGTTTGGCCATAGGCAAGCAGAGTGTCTGGAAATCTTTGTCCTCCATGACTGGTGCTGGAGCCGAAGCCAGTGGGTGTGGCCTTGCCAGCCAACTCCATTTACCCAGCTCTGAACAAGCTAGTAGTTGAGATCAACGGAGAGTCCAGACAGTCGCTCCAAGCATCTTGGAATCCATGGACACAGGTGTACCGCAGAGGCTTCCCACCTGGGTAGGCAGCCCTTTGTAAGATCCTGGCACCACATTTATTCTCTTAACATCCTTTCAGTTATCCAGTAATCATTTATTGAGCACCTACTGTGTGCCAGGCAATGATTAGGTGATTGGAGACACTGCAACGAAGAAGACAGACTAAAATCTCCACCCTGGTAGGAGAGACAGATGCAAATGGTAAACATGATAAATAATCAATCACCCAGAAAGCAGGAGACACTAAGCAAATGTGTATGTACTATGGGAAGCCCAATAGGAACGAAAGCTACACAAGAGAACAAGTGATGGGTGGTTCCTTAGTCTAGGTCAGGCAATCAGGGAGGGCTTCTCAGAGGAGGTGATGTTTGAGCAGAGAAGGAGGGAGCCAGGCAGATGTTTTGGAAACAGCATTCTCAGCATGGAGAACAGTGGCAGCTCACCTACAGGATGTGTTTGATTCCCTTCCAGATTTTGTATTCGTTTCTTGTTTTTCTCCCTTGGCTTCCTGGTTTAAATGCCTTTTGAAGAAATCTAAGCTCAACTAATCAGCGATGCTGTTGAAGGTTTATATCAGGATATGCATCCCAGAGTTATTTACAAAATTAGAACAAAACTGGAAGCAATTGAAAGCCTGACAATAGGAGATCAGTTAAATACCGTATGGTCCTTCCGTATGATGGCATATTATGTCATCATTAAAAATCGTCTGCTGGGAGAATATTAAGGATACAGGGGAAAGGCTCACCATATAATGATGAGTGGGGGTGCTGGGCGCAGTGGTTCATGCCTGTAATTCCAGCAATTTGGGAGTCTGAGATGGGTGGATCACTTGAGCCCAAGAGTTTGAGGCCAGCCTGGGCAACACAGTGAAACCCAATCTCTACAAAAAAAAAAAAACAAAAATACAAAAATCAGCCAGGCATAGTGGCGTACATCTGTAGTCCCAGCTACTCAGGAGGCTGAGACAGGAGGATAGGATCACTTGAGCCCTGGAGTCAGAGGTGGCAATAAGCCGTGATCACGCCACTGCACTCCAGCCTGGGCAACAGAGTGAAACCCTGTCAAAAAACAAAACAAAAAAAATGATGAGTGGGAGAAACAAGTTTTTAAACAGGGATCAAGGAGGCCAGGCATGGTGGCTCACACCTATAATCCCAGCACTTTGGGAGGCCAAGGCAGGCAGATCACCTGAGGTCAGGAGTTTGAGACCAGCCTGGCCAACATGGCGAAACCTCATCTCTACTAAAAATACAAAAATTAGCCAGGCATGGTGGCGGGCGCCTGTAATCCCAGCTACTTGGGAGGCTGAGGCAGGAAAATCGATTGAGCCCAGGAGGTGGAGGTTGCAGTGAGCTGTGATCATGCCACTGCACTCCAGCCTGGGCAACAGAGCGAAAGCTGCACGAGAGAAGAAGTGATGCATGGTTCCCTAGTCTAGGTCAGCCAATCAGGGAGGGTTCCTAAGAGGAGGTGATGTTTGAGCAGAGAAGGAGGAAGCCAGGCAGATGTTTTGGAAACAGCATTCCCAGCATGGAGAACAGTGGCAGCTCACCCTGTCTAGAAAAGAAGAAATGATAAGAGGGGAAAATGAGTTTTTAAAAAGGAATCAAGGGGAGGTAAACCTTATGATCTCAAAGGTACAAATATGAAAATATAAGTAAAGAAAAACTGGAGGACACTGTACCAAGCTGACCTTCGGGTGGTGGGATTTGGGAATCTTGATATTCTCAATACTTCTTTGTATCTTCAAATTTCTCTATGATGATCACAGTTTACTTTTTTTTTTTTTTTTTGAGATGGAGTCTCACTCTGTTGCCCAGGCTGGAGTGCAGTGGTGCGATCTTGGCTCACTTGGCTCACCTCTGGGGTTCAAGCAATTCTCCTACCTCTTCCTCCCAAGTAGCTGGGACTATAGGCATGCACCAGCATGGTCAGCTAATTTTTTGTATTTTTAGTAAAAATGGGGTTTCATCATGTTGGCCAGGCTGGTCTCGAACTCGTAAGTTCAAGTGATCCACCAACCTCAGCCTCCCAAATTGGCTTGAGCCAATTAAACTTGTCTTGCTAAATGGTTAGCGGGGAGAAAGAAGAAGGTCTCGGGTCATTCCTAGACCAGGAGGCAGGGAGAAAGGGAGGAGAATGAACCTTTCTTAGGCAAACAGTGTCCTAGGTGTCCTTATCTTACATAATCTGTCGAGAGAGTCACACTAAAATAAATCATTGATTGATTGATTGATACATCAATAATAAATGGCCAGCCTTGGTGGCTCACATCTGTAATCCCAGCTACTTAGGAAGCTGAGGTGGGAGGATTGTTTGAGACAAGGAGTTCAAGACCAGCCTGGGAAACACAGCAAGACTCATCTTAAAAAAATTTTTTTTTTTAATTAGCCAGATGCGGTGGCTCACGCCTGTAATCCCAGCACTTTGGGAGGCCGAGGCGGGTGGATCACGAGGTCAGGAATTCGAGACCAGCCTGGCCAACAGGGTGAAACCCCGTCTCTACTAAAAATACAAAAATTAGCCAGGCGTGGTGGCACACGCCTGTAGTCCCAGCTACGCAGGAGGCTGAGGCAGAAGAATCATATGAACCTGGGAAACAGAGGTTGCAGTGAGCTGAGATCACGCCATTACACTCCAGCCTGGGCAACAAGAGCAAAACTACATCTCAAAAAAAATGTTTTTTAATTAGCCGGGTGTGGTGGTCCATGTCTGTAGTTCCAGCTACTTGGGAGGCTGAGGCAGGAGGATTGCTTGAGCCCAGCAGTTCAAGGCTGCAGTGAGCTATGATCCCGCCACTGCACTCCAGCCTGGGCAACAGCAAGACCCCATCTCTTAAATAAACACATAAGTAAATAAATGATCATTTTTATTTTATTATTAAATACACAAGATAAATGAAAAACAGGCAAATCTTTCTTACAAAAGAATTCCATTTAAAGTATGTAAACTTCACTCCCCACTGCCCCAGGAGGTGGAGACTAATCTCCCCTACTTTGAGAGTGGGCTGGATTTAGTGACTCATTTCCGAAGAATAGAGTAGGTAAAGGGGAAAATAGAAGTTTTATAGCGGAGGAACAGATAGATACCACTTTAACCAAATGATGAAGATTAGTATCCCCCAGGGATGTGGATATTATGTAACCCTTGATTTTATGCCTATATAGCGTTCTTCCCAAAAACTCCTAATCCCAGTTTTTTGGGGTTTTGCTCTGTCTTCTAAGCTGGAGTGCGATGATGCAATCATAGCTCACTGCAGCTCAAACTCCTGGTCTCAAGCGATCCTCCCACCTCAACCTCCTGAATAGCTAGGGCTGTAAGCACATACCATCATGCCCAGCTAATTGTATTTTTTTGGTAGAGACATGTTCTCACACATTGCCCACGCTGTCCTCGAGCTACTGGCCTCTAGTGATCCTCCCACCCCAGCCTCCAGAGTCACTGGGATTATAGGCATGAGCCACTGTGACCAGCCCAGAATTTTTTTTTAAGGAGTTGTGATGTCGTTTAAGAGATGTGATTCTTCATAACACATCAACAACAAGTCCCAGCGATGGGTTGGATAAGTCTTGGGATTTCATGGGAGTATTAAGCTTAAAAGACTTTGCATGATATCTGTGAACTATATGTGATTTCTGTTGGTAATGGGGGTCACTGATTCTGCGGTTTGCCACCTCCAATCATCATGGAAGAAAATGTTCCACTTCCAGTGAAAGTAAGAGGAAGTAAAGGGGTAATTATTTTCTATCTAAATTCACGAACTCCTTGAATTCTGTCCACAGACCCCTAAGTGTTTCCTCCCCAAGGTGAAACTGAGAGAATCTTGCCAGTGCCTTCCGCAGTCACTGTGGCTAGAAAACCCCTCAGAAGAGGTGATAGTTTAGCAGGTAACTGGAGTTCTCACCATCCGTGTCTGGCTCAGCCCCCATCACAACCAGTTACCCAGCCCAAAATGTCAGTAGTACTGAGGTTGAGAGGCTCTGCTCTAGGAGGCCAGGCCTCTCAGAGGAAGGAGGATTGGGGTACTGGCTGGGCCTCAAGATGAACCTACCCCCTAAGAGCTTTGGGATGGCGTGAGTTTCTGTCCATACCCAAGGACTACAAATGCAGGTTTACTGGAAATTCTGTGCCAAAAGTGAGGTCCAACTCACTTCTAACTGCTACAAAACAAACCTCCATCAACATAGCCCATCTCTGTTCTTGACCTGGAAGCTCCAAGGTATCCACATGGCTCCCATGCCCACTAGACGGGCCTCTTCCCTGGACCTTCCTGGGCCAGAGAAGGCTCTGGGTAGCCTTGTGGAATCAAGATGGGTGATCAGCCACTTCCTCTGTGCCACCCTGTTTTGGCTACTTCCCTAGGCATCAGCCTGGGATTCCTTGATGGTAAAAATATAAAACTCTCTGAGCTAGGGCCTTTAATATCCCCATTTTACAGATGAAGAAACTGAGTCCCAGAGCTGTGCACAGCGATTGAGAGTCAGAATTCAGCTCTGTCTCACTCAGTGTCAACATCCTCAGATTCTGCCATTTATAGCCTCCCACAGCAAATAGGATTGAGGGCTGCTTCTCTGAGCTCAAGGGGATAGAATGGGGAACCCCATGAGTACTGCAACAAAACTGTTTGCTGGAGACAAGAGCTGGTGGCTCTGTGTTGTTCTAGTGACAGGTGGCCTCATTTCACAGGGACCCCCTCACCCTATGTGCCCCATGTGGCTCAGAAAAGCCAGAAATTGTCTCCACTCTCACAGGGGAAGGTCCCTGACCCCCTCTTTGCCAGCTGGGCCAAGGCAAATTGGGGTCACTTCATGGGGTACAGGACCTACCCTCTCTTGGTTGCCCCCAAGGAGGGGATGTGGAGGGGCTGGGGACCTGGCAGGACCAGGGTGTCTTGAGTTAATTTGGGGCTGCCTTTAGCCGAGGGCTTCTGTGTGCCTGGCATCAGCTTTACATTGTGTCTTGATCCGTAAAACAGCCCTGTGAGGAAAGATATTTTTAACCCCATCTTCCAGATGAGGAAACGGAGGCCCACAGGGTGACGTGACCTGCCAAGGTCCCCTAGCCAAGAGTGACAAAGCCAGGGTTCACACACAGCTCTGGACACAATTCATCACCCTTCATCCGTCTCTCTCTGACTCTTTCTTTTTCCCTCTCTCTCTTTGTCTCTCTTTTTTTTTTTTTTTTTTTTTGAGACAGCGTCTCACTCTGTCACCCAGGCTAGAGTGCAGTGGCGCAATCTCGGCTCACTACAACCTCCATCTCCTGGGTTCAAGCGATTCTTGTGCCTCAACCTCCCAAGTAGCTGGGATTACAGGTGCGTGCCACCACACCCAGCTAATTTTGGGGGGTTTTGTTTTGTTTTGAGATGGAGTCTTGCTCTGTCGCCAGGCTGGAGTACAGTGGCGTGATCTCGGCTCACTGCAGCCTCTGACTCCCAGGTTCAAGTGATTCCCCTGCCTCAGCCTCCTGAGTAGCTGGGACTACAGGCATGCACCAACACGCCCAGCTAATTTTTTGTATTTTAGTAAAGACGGGGTTTCACCATGTTGGCCAGGATGGTCTCGATCTCCTGAGCTCATGATTCGCCCGCCTTGGCCTCCCAAAGTGCCGGGATTACAGGCGTGAGCCACTGTGCCTGCCAATTTTTTGTATTTTTAACAGAGACTGGGTTTCAACATGTTGGCCGGGCTGGTCTCGAGCTCCTGACCTCAAGTGATCTGCCTGCCTTGGCCTCCCAAAGTGCTGGTATTACAGGCATGAGCCACCATGCCCAGCCTTTGTCTCTTTTATTCTTGTGTTCTCTCTCTCTCTTCCTTCTCTTTCTCCACCTCCTTCTCCTTCTCTCCCTTCTCCTCACCCTTCTTTGTGCTTTTCTCTGTGAGTTTCTCTTCTTCTCTATTTCTCTCCTTTGGTGAATGTCAATTAGAAAAGCAGAAAAACTGCGTTTAATTTGTGATCATAAATGCATGTCCCTGGCCAGGCGTGGTGGCTCACGCCTGGAATCCCAGCCCTTTGAGAAGCTGAGGCAGGAAGATTGCTTGAGACCGGGAGTTCAAAACCAGCCTGGTCAAAAAGCAAGACCCCATCTTTAAAAAAGAAAAATAATTAATTAGCTGGGCATGGTGGTGTGTACCTGTAGTCCCAGCTACTCGGGAGGCTGAGGAAGGAGGATTGCCTGAGCCCAAGGGTTTGAAGCTGCACCGAGCTGTGATTACACCCCTGCACTCCAGCCTGGGTGACAGAACCAGACCCTGTCTCAAAAAAAACCTAATAATTAAAAATAAATAAATAAATAAATGCGTGTCCCCTGGCCAGTGGTTGCTAATGTTTGGAATCACCTTTGACCCATGCCCTTTTTCATTCATAGATGTTTGTCTTGACCAAAATCAAAGCATTAGACTTTGGACTATAAATCACTGGTTCATTCAACAACCATCATTGAATGCCTACTGTATGCAGACACTCTTCTGGACACAGAGGAGTTGACGTGTTGGTGGGGAAAGCCAGTGATCAGTTGGGATAAAAAGGGCAGACAGCAGACATTAAATAGTTTAGGCTTTGTGGGCCAGATGGTCTCCATCGCAACGACTCAATCTGCTCCTGTAGCGTGAAAGTAACGACAGATAAAGCGCGTAAGTGAATGAGCATGGCTGTGGGCCAATTAAACGTTAACCTATAAAAACAGGTGGCTGGCCCGCGGGCTGTAGTTTGTGGATCACTGCCTTAGAGATAGTGTTAGAGGGTGGTGAGAGGTCCGGGATAGAATAAAACAGTAGAGAGTTTGTGCATTGTCAAGATGAGAGGTTGCAGTTCTTCTTATACACCCCGAATGGCCGGGCACCGTGGCCATTATGATCTATAATTCTAACACTTTGGGAGGCTGAGGCAGGAGGATCCCTTGAGCCCTAGAGTTTAAGACCAGCCTAGGCACATAGTGAGACCCCATCTCTACAAAAAAAAAAATTTAAAAATTAGCTGGACATGGTGGAGCATGCCTGTAGGCCCAGCTACTTGAGAGGCTGAGATGGGAGGACTGCTTGAGCCTGGGAGGTTGGGGCTGCAGTGAGCCGATCATGCCACTGCACTCCAGCCCGGATGACAGAGCAAGAACTGTCTCAAAAAAAAAAAACAAAAAAACAAAAAAAACAGACCTGAAGGAACAAATCATATGAATGCATTAAAGTATCACATGTATCCAAAAAATATATACATCTATCAGCCTGGCACGGTGGCTCATGCCTGTAATCCTAGCACATTGGGAGGCCAAGGCAGGCAGATTGCCTGAGCTCAGGAGTGCAAGACCACCCTAGGCTACATGGTGAAACCCCGTCTCTACTAAAATACAAAAAATTAGCTGGGCATGGTGGCAGGCGCCTGTAGTCCCAGCTACTTGGGAGGCTGAGGCACAAGAATTGCTTGAACCCAGGAGACAGAGGTTACAGTTAGCCGAGATCGTGCCACTGCACTCCAGCCTGGACAACAGAGCAAGACTCTGTCTCAAAAAAAAAAAAAAAAAAAAAAAAAAAAAAATATATATATATATATATATATATATATATATATATATATATATATATATAATCAATTAAAAATTTTCCTTAATAAATAAACATTTCTCTCCTTCTCTCCCTTGGTGAATGTCAATTAATAAAGCAACAAAACTATGTTTAGTTAGTGATCATTAATGTATGTCCCTGGCTGGGTGTGATGGCTCACACTTGTAATCCCAGCACTTTGGGAGGCTGAGGCAGGAGAGGATAGTTTGAGGCCAGCAATTGCTTGAGGCTTTTTGAAAGACATGAAGGAGATGAAGGGAGCCATGGAGATATCTCAGGGAACAGCAGCCGAGGTAGATGGAACAGCCAGTGCAAAGGTCCTGAGGCAGGATGTTCCTGGCATTTGTGAGGACATGTAGCTGCCCAGATGTCCAGTGGGGAGTGAGTGAGGATGAAGGAAGGAGCTGATGAAGGAAGATGATAAAATACTTCATGGATCAGCCAGGCATGGTGGCTCCCGCCTGTAATCCCAGCACTTTGGGAGGCCAAGGCGGGTGGATCACAAGGTCAAGAGTTCCAGACCAGCCTGGCCAACATGGCGAAACCCCGTCTCTACTAAAAAATACAAAAAAGTTAGCCAGGCGTGGTCATGCACGCGTGTACTCTCAGCTACTTGGGAGACTGAGACTCGAGAATCGCTTGAACCCAGGAGATGGAGGTTGCAGTGAGTTGAGATCACCCCACTGCACTCCAGCCTAGGTGACAGAGCGAGACTCTGTCTCAAAAAAAAAAAAAAAAAAAAAAAGACTTCGTGAACAGACAGCCTATATAATTTATGATCCAAACCAGGACAGTTTTGAGAGTGAAAGGGGAAAAAGAGCACTGAAAAAATAATTAGCAGGCCTGGCATGATCTATAACGGGTATAAAGTGGGACACACAGCCTCTCTCACGGTCACTGTCAGACTTCAGCTTTTTCACACTCAAATCCACCCCCATGTTTATCCCATATACTGGAGAAACGGGTGTTCTCCTGAGCTGAGTTTTGGGGTTTTTTCCTTTTGTTTTGTTTTGTTTTTGTTTTTTTAACATCCTGTATACTTTTTCTCAATGAACCATGCTCAAAAAAATTAGAGGAAAATAAACCATAAAACAGAAGGCACTGAAGGATTTTGCTGGGACTCAGCCATTAGTTTGTTTGATGAGTATTTATGGAGCGCTTTCTAAGCACCAGGCACCACCAGCGATACTGGGATGAATCAGTAACATCCCTCACCCTTGAAGCTCTCTTGGGCCCATTGTTATTTACTTAAAATACTATGCAAGTACGGAGAAGGGGTGAAGTGGGAAAAAATCAGTTGGTTGTAAAGGCCAGAATGACGGGTCTAGTCCCACCCATGCCATCTGCACCCTGTGTGATCCAGGCACATCATGTTGCCTCTCTCAGCTTCAGTTTCTCCATCCACCAGGCACAGAGATGGCGGGAATCGAGGAAGATGTGGGGAGTATTTCATCAGCCCAAAAAGACTTGGCTAATGCGACCATAATTCTGCCTTCTGCCTCTCCTTTCCCAGAAAAATAGCTTAATCATTTGGATTTGGGATAAACACATTTCCTGTGTTTATTATTTAAATGATCCACCAAGCTGGGCATGGTGGCTCACCCCTGTAATCCCAACTCTTTGGGAGGCTGAGGAGGGCGGATTGCTTGAGCCCAGGAGTTCAAGACCAGCCTGGCCAACATGGCGAAACCCCATCTTTACTAAAAAAATACAAAAAAATTAGCTGAGCGTGGTGGTGCGTGCCTGTAATCCCAGCTACTTGGGAGGCCGAGGCACAAGAATCACTTGAACCTGGGAGGCAGAGGTTGCAGTGAGCCTAGATCGTGCCATCACACTCCAGTCTGGGCGACAGAGTGAGATTCTGTCCCTAAATAAATAAATAAATAAATAAATAAATAAATAAAATAAATGATCCACCAACAGGAACCCCAGGAACATTTGTATTGACTATGCAACTAATGCTTAGTGAGCACCTACTATGTCCCTGGTGCTGATCTGGACACTGGGATTTAGACAGGAAAAATCTCTACCCTGGAGGAGCTGATGATCAAGATGACAATCTTGAAATGCATAAGTTGACAAGATGATTCAGACAGTGGAACGTGCTGGGAAGAGAATGAGATGTCTGGCTGAGCTGCAGGAAGGGGCAAGTCCTTTTGATTGAGAGGTCCAAGAAGGCTTCTCTGATGGGGGCACAATGGATCTAAGGTTGAGTGATAAGAAGAAATTGGCCAAGCCAAGACCTAAAGGCAGAGTTGCTCCAGGCATAGGTTCAGAGAATGGAAATAATTGGCTGATTGTGATCTTGAACTTGACCTTTCTTTTCTTCTGCTAACTTTGGGTTTGGTTTGTTCTTGCTTTTCTGGCTCCTTGAGGTACGTGTTGGGTTCTTAATTTGTAATTTTTTTTTTTTTTTTTTGCTTTTTTGAGACAGAGTCTCACTGTGGTGCCCAGGCTGGAGTACAGCAGCATGATCTTGACTCACTGCAACCTCTGCCTCCTAGGCTCAAGTGAACCTCCCACTTCAGCATCCCCAGTAGCTGGGACTACTGGTGCACAGCACCACACCCAGCTAATTTTTTTATTTTTATTTTTTAGAGATGGGGTCTCACTGTGTTGCCCAGGCTGGTCTCAAACCCCTAGCTCAAGCGATCCTCCTGCCTTAGCCCCCCAAAGTGCTGGGATGAGAGGCGTGAGCCACCACATCTGGCCTCTGTTTTTTGTGATGTAGGTATTTGATGCTATAAACTTCCCTCTTAGTTGCTTCTTGGCCCTTTAGCTAAGGTCAAGTGTAAACTTCCCTCAGCACTGCTTCTGCTGCATCTCACAGGTGTTGGTGTGTTGTGTCTCTATTTTCATTCATTTCCAAAATTTTTTAAGTCTCCATCTTAATTTCTGCATTGACCCAATGGTTGTTCAGGAGCATGTTGCGTAATATCCATATATTTGCATCATTTCTGAAATTCTTCTTGGTATTGATTTCTAGTTTTATCCCACGGTAGTCTGAGAAGATGCTTGACAGAATTCCAGTATTTTAAAATTTGTTGAGAGTTGTTTTGTGGCCTAACATGTGGTCTGTCTTGGAGAATGTCCATGTGCTGATGAGAAGAATGTATGTTCTCCATCAGACATGCAAGAGACAGACACTTTCTCACCTGCCTCATGGGATCCATAAAAGAGTCAATCAGAAGTTGGCATTTAAGAAAGACCAGAAGGAGGCTGGGTGCAGTGGCTCATGCCTGTAATCCCAGCACTTTGGGAGGCTGAAGTGGGTGGATCACCTGAGGTCAGGAGTTCAAGACCAGCCTGACCAACAAGGTGAAATCTTGTCTCTATTTTAAAAAATACAAAAATTAGCTAGGTGTGGTGGCGGGCACCTGTAATCCCAGCTACTCTGGAGGCTGAGGCAGAGAATCACTTGGACCCAGGAGGTGGAGGTTGCAGTGAGCTGAGATCACACCATTGCACTCCAGCCTGGGCAACAGAGCAAGACCCCATCTCAAAAAAAAAAAGAAAGAAAAAAAAGAAAGAAAGACCAGAAAGAGGTGAAGGAGCAAGCTACAGAGATATCAAACTGTATCAATCTGGCTGGGCGTGGTGGCTCATGCCTGAAATCCCAGCACTTTGGGAGGCTGAAGCAGGAGGATCACTTGAGCCCAGGAGTTCGAGACCAGCCTGGGCAACAGAGACCCCCTCTCTACAAAATATAAAAATTTAATTAAAAAGATGTATTGGTCAGGGCAGCCAAGTTATGCTGCAGTAACAAACATCCCCAAAGCCTCCATGACTTTTGACAACAGATGTATTTCCTGCTCATGCTACATGTCCAGTGCAGGTTGGCAGTGGGGAAGAAGGGGGCTCTGTTCAGTGCAGTCACTTGAGACCTAGCTAATCACCTAGAACATTGCCACTTGCTATTCCAGAAGGAAAAAAGGAATGCTAGAAGGTCCCACACTGAAAGTTCAATGCTCTGGCTCCAAAATGACAGCTATTTCCACTCACTCCTCATTGGCCAGCACTTAGCATGTGGTCCTCAGCCAACCCCAAAGGGACTCAGGAAGGACCATCCCACCATATTGCTGGAAATATTTGATGGCAGCATTAATGGGGAACAGTGTTCCAGGCAGTGGAAGTCTTTGAGCCCTTGGAAGAAAGACAAGGCGATCTCTAGAGCACATCCTTCCCAATATTAATGAATTTAACAAATGAGCAAGCCATCCTCCCCCACTCTCCTTCCCGAATTCAGACTTGTGCATATCCCTCCCTTAACTTGAACTGCCAAAGAAGAGATGAGAACCAGGAGAAGAGATCTGTGACCCCATCTTTGCTGATGAACTACCACAGAACAGCCATGGCATCTCCAGTCCTTGTGCTTGTAAAATGTACTTTTCATTTTGCTCCTGAACGAAATCCACCCACCCCCACCCCCAAACCAGGGAAAGCTCATCTCCTAATCCAAAACTGCACCCAGCCTTCCACCACCTTCTTCCCTGGGAATTGTTGATTCCAGAGTATGGAATTGAATAATTGGATGAGTTTGGAAGAGAAAAAGTGTCTCTAAAATCAGGCAGCAGAAGCCCACTCCCCAGAGAGGATGGTGCAGATGAGAGTTCAGGAGGGAGCTTGGCTTGGGGTTGACGATCTGAGCTATGCAGGGAACTTGGACACACCTCTCAATCAGTCATTCAACAGACACCACTTATTGAGCACCGACTGTGTGCCAGATGTTGTCCTAGGGGGCTGGGAATACAGGAATACAGCAGGGAACAAAAAGGACAAAGCCCCTCCCTCTTGTCGAATGGACATTCCAGCCAGGAAGACGAGAGAACAAGAGAAATAAGTAAAGTATATAGGCGGTGAAATGCAAATGGGAAAAAAGAAACAATGGGGACCAGAAATGAGGGGTGCAATTGTAAAGGGCCATCAGGGGAGGCCTCCCTCAGAAGGTGGCATTTGAGTAAAAAACCTGAAGGAGGTGAGGGGAAACCATGTAGCAATCTCAGGAAAGAGCATTCCAGGCAGGGAGGGACAGCCTGTGCAAGGGCCGAGGTAGGACTGTGCTTGGCGTGGTTGAGAAACTGCAAGGAAGCCAGGTGGCTGGAACCGAATGAGCGAGGGAAAAGGGGAGGAGATAAAAGCAAGGAGATGGGAGGGTTGGAGGCCCCCTCTGCCATTCAGTAACTGAGTAACTTCATTTATTTCCTGTAGCTTGAACCACAAAGAACCACAAATAGAGTAGCTGAAAACAACAGAAATTTATTTATTCTCTCGCAGTTCAGGAGGCCAGGAGTCCACAGACCATCAAGGTCAGCTGGGCCACAGACCATCAAGATGTCAGCTGGGCCATGGTGCCTCCTGAGACTTGGTCTGAAATCCCTTCTTGCCTCCCTCCTAGCTTCTGGTGGTTTGCCAACAGTGCTTGGTGGTCCTTGTCTTGTAGACGTATCACCCTGATCCCGCCTTCATCTCCATTTCACATGGCCTTCTCCCTCTGTGCAAGGTTGTCTCTGTGCCCAGGTTTCTCCTTTTCTTATTATTTACTTATTTGTTTGTTTGTTTCTTTATTTTAGACACAGGGTCTTGCTCTGTCTCCCAGGCTGGAGTGCAGTGGTGCGATCATAGCTCACTACAGCCTCAAACTCCTGGCCTCAAGCAATCCTCCTACCTCAGCCTCCTGAGTAGCTGGGACTGCAGATGTGAGCCACTGTGCTCTGCCCAGATGTCCTCTTTTTATAAGGAAACCCGTCATTTAGGATGAGGTTCCACCCTAATGACCTGATCTTAACTTGATTCCATCTGCAAAGACCCTATTTCCAATTCATAGGTACCAGGGATTAGGACTTCTTCAATGCATCTTTTTGGAGAGACCCACTGCAACCCACAACAGAACTGTGGGCATGTAACTTGACCTCTCGGCCAGGCGTGATGGCTCACACCTGTAATCCCAGCACTTTGGGAGGCCGAGGTGAGTGGATCGCCTGAGGTCGGGAGTTCGAGACCAGCCTGGCCAACATGGTCAAACCCCGCCTCTACTAAAAATAGAAAAATTAGCTGGGCATGGTAGCAAGCACCTGTAATCCCAACTACTTGGGAGGGTGAGGCAGGAGAATTGCTTGAACCCAGGATGTAGAGGTTGCAGTGAGCCAAGATAGTGCCATTGCACTCCAGCCTGGGTGACAGAGTGAGACTCCATCTCAAAAAAAAAAAAAAAAAAAATAGACCTCTCTGTGCCTCAGCTTTCTCACCCGGGAGGATGGGGATAATTATATACCCACTCCTGGGGTTCATGAGAGGATTAAATGAGCTCAAACAGTCCAAGCCTCCACGTGTGTCTGTTGTGGTGCTGGGTAGCATGTCCTGTGGCCAGAGGTTCCCAAGCTTGTCGAGGACCCAGGCAAGGGCAGATTCGGGTCTTGTTGGCAGCACCTGAGATGGACGGGCTGCCTTGGTATGGAAGGGCCTCGGCTGTTTTTCCCTTTCAGTCCTGTCCCTCTCCCCCATCCTCCACCCTGTCCCTGTCATCTGAGCCTGCTCCTCGTGATGGCTCAGAGTCTCCCTACTGGCGGCCGGTGCAGAGTTTCGTTCCCTGGGCTATATTTAGCCCTGAGAAATGGGAACGAGAACCCTCAGCCGCCAAAGTGATGGAGAGAGGAGCACAAAGCCAGTGCTGCCTTCTGTCCAGCAATGTTCCGCTGACTCGGTTCTTTCTTCCAGAACCTTCCAGAAGCAAAGCATTGGCATTTCTGAGCTCGTTAAAACAAGGATGTGGGCTGGTGGCTGGCACATTCATTGTCCCCAGAACCTGTCTGTGTCCATGATTAAAGCTGACTTTGTTAGTTTTATTTTCAGTGCTTTTTTTTTTTTTTAATCCATGGCAAAACACACATGACATAAAATTTACCATCCTAATATTTTTTTTAACTTTGTAACATTTTTTAATTGACAAGTAATTGTACTTATTCATGGGGTACATAGTGACGTTTCAATGCATATAATGCGTAGTGCTCAGATCAGGGTAATTAGCATATCCATCTTCTCAGACCTTTATTGTTTCTTTCTGTTAGGAACATTCAAGCTCCTCCTTCTAGCTATTTGAAACCATTAATATATTGTTGTCATCCTAACCATTTTTAAGGATACAGTTTCGTGAAATTAAGTATAATACATTCACATTGTTGTGCAACTGTCACCACCATCCATCTCCCAAACTTTTCCATCTTCCAAATGTAACTCTGTCCCCACTAAACGCGAACTCCCTGTTCCCCCTCCCCCAGCCCTTGGCACCCACCATGCTACTTTCTGTTTTTATAAATCTGACGACTCTAGGGACCTCCTATAAATGGAATCATACAGGATTTTCCCTTTTATGACTGGTTTATTTCACATAGCATAATGCCCTCAAGGTTCACCCATGTTGCAGCACGTATCAGCATTTTCTTTCTTTTTAAGGTAAAGTTGACTATTAAAAAAAAACTTCTGCCGGGCTCAGTGGCTCACGCCTGTAATTACAGCACTTTGGGAGGCCAAGGCAGGCAGATCAGGAGGTGAGGAGTTCAAGACCAGCCTGACCAACATGGTGAAACCCCATCTCTACTAAAAATACAAAAATTAGCCAGGCATGGTGGCGGGCGCCTGTAATCCCAACTACTCAGGAGGCTGAGGCAAGAGAATTGCTTGAACCCGGGAGGCAGAGGTTGCAGTGAGCTGAGATCATGCCACTGCACTCCAGCCTCGGCAACAGAGTAAGACTCCGTCTCAAAAAAAAACAACTTTTTAAGAATTGAAGTAGAATAAACATACAGAAAAATCCGCGGATTATAAGTGAAGAGCTTGATTAATTGTCACAAACTAAACACATCCATGTAACCAGCACACAAATGAGGAAACAGAAACTTCTCAGCCCCAGAAGCCCCCCTCATATCCTGTTCCTAGTCACTACCTCCCCGCAAGGGTACCCCTACCAGGACTTTGAGCATCATTCACCAGTTTAGCCTGTTTTGTATTTTGCATAAATGAAGTCTGGCTTCTTTTGCTTGACGTTAACTTTTTAAGATCTCATGTGACCTGTGGCATTGTTCATTGCATGTATCCTCTCTCTCCTATTGATAACAGTGTGGATTGTTTGCAATTTGGAGCTATGATGAATACCATTGCTATGAATGTTCTTGTGTGTGCTTTCTGTTGTGTAATTATTCAGAATTACTATTTCGGAATTACTATCTAATTGTAGTGATCTTGGATCAGTAACTATCCAAGAATTACTGGGTGTTGGCAAAGGTACATACAGTTATACACTGCACAATGGCATTTTGGTCAACAACAGATCAAATATGTAACAGTGGTCCCATAATGGACCGAATACATAACAGTGATTATCATACAGTATTTTTACTATAGCTTTTCTGTTTTTAGATTCTTTTTTTTTTGAGACGAAGTCTCGCTCTGTTGCCCAGGCTGGAGTGCAGTGGTGTGATCTCCGCTCACTGCAAGCTCCGCCTTCTGGGTTCACGCCATTCTCCTGCCTCAGCCTCCCAGGTAGCTACAGGCGCCCGTCACCAGGCCCGGCTAATTTTTTTTGTATTTTTAGTAGAGACGGGGTTTCACCATGTTAGCCAGGATGGCCTCGATCTCCTGACCTCATGATCTGCCCGCCTCGGCCTCCCAAAGTGCTGGGATTGCAGGCGTGAGCCACCGCACCCGGCCTGTTTTTAGATATTTTTAGATACACTATAGAGTTACAATTGCCTACAGTATTCCATAGAATAACATGCTGTATGGGTTTGTAGCCTAGGAGCAATAGGCGAGACCATGCAGCCTAGGTGTGTAGTAGGCTATACCATCTAGGTTTGTGTAAGTACACTCCATGATGTTTGCACAACAAAATGACCTAGTGACACATTTTTCAGAATGTATGCCCATTGTTAAGCATGACTTAATTTTAGCATAGAAACTCTCAACCAATTTTTCAAGTAGTTGTACCATGTGTTATGGGTTTTATTGTCTCACCCCAAAATTCATATGTTGAAGTCCTAACCCCCAGTACCTCAGAATGTGACCTTATTTGGAAATAGATTCATTGCACATGTAAAGGTTTTGCCATTGGCAAAACTGCCGTTATTTTTGCACCAACCATAGCAGTTAAGATGAGATCATTAGGGTGGGTCCTAATCTAATACGATGGTGTCCATATAAAAAGGGGAGATTTTGGCACAGAGACAGGCACACTCACAGGAAGAATGCCATGTTTAAACAAAGGCAGAGCTCAGGATGATGCCTCTACAAGCCAAGAATCAGCAAAGATTGCCAGCAAACCGCCAGAAGCTAGGAGAGAGGCATAAAACAGATTCTGTCTCACAGCTCTCAGAAGGAACCAGCCCTTCTGACACCTTGAGCTTGGATTTTTGGCCTCTATAACTGTAAGACAATAAATCTTTGTTGTTTAAGCCACCTAGGTTGTGGTTCCTTGTTACAGCAGCCACAGGAGATGAATACAGCATGGTGCCCTCCCATTGGCAGATTATGAGGGTTCCAGTTGCTCCACAGCTTCACAGACACCTGGTAGTAATGACCTCATCTTAACTTCTTTCTCATTTTAGCCTTTCTTCCAGGCAGCAGCAGTGTCATACATGCTTTTAAAGGTGGGCTTTTAAAGCCACACTTGAGAGCCCTGCATTCTGCAGGTGTCACAGGGTGATCAACTATTCAAAGGCTACCCCTGCCCTGACAGCTGGAGGCAAGGCTTCCCAGCACAGAGGTTAAGCCCATGGACTCTGGGGCCAGGTGGTTAGTGCAAATCCCATGTCCACTAGTGAATAACTCTGTGATCTTGGGCTGATGATTTTGTCTTTCTAAGCCTCAGTTTCCTCAATAGTAACATGGGCATTATAACATAGAGGCATCATGAGGATTAAATGACTAAGTGAGCTAACATACATAATGTGCTTAGGAAGGTGCCAGCACACCATAAATACTCTGTAAGTGCTGGCTTTTATCATTCTTTTCTCTCTCTCTCTCTCTCTCTCTCTCTCTCTCTCTCTCTCTCTCTCCCTCTCTCTCTCTGTCTCTCTTTCTCTCTCCACCCCCCAACCTCCTCTCCTTGATTTTCTTCCCCTCATCTTACTTCCTTCTTGCTATAGTGTTCTATTTTCTGTTTCAGAGAGTATTCTATTTGTGGACTTTTTTCCTCTTGAAAATTGAGCTGAAACTTCTGAGAATTTTTTGTGATTGGCATTAAGGCTGCAGGGAATGGAGCAGGGAGACACTTGAGGAAAGGGCTCATGGACCATCTGTCTGGCTTGGTGATTTCACCAGGCCATCAGACTCTGTGGTCATGCATCTCCTCTAAGGGGAGTCTATGACTGTGTTGGGAGAAGAGAAGGAACCAGGGATTAATTAATCCATTTCAATAGGTTTTGTGTTTTGTTTGGTTTACTTTTTCCTTCTCCTTCTGGACTGTGGTCTGGGAAGTCCTCTTGTGTTTCTTACTCCATTCCCAGGTCAATTATGTTATGTGAGGAGAACATAATTAAGAGAGAGCTTTACCCTTTGGATGTTTTCTTCAGAAAACGTTCCTCCATTTCCCCCTCTGGGATGCCAGAGCCCCAGAACTCCACAAGCCAAGAACATTTAAGACAGAGCCACAAGAGAACCGAGCTTCCCCTTCCCTCACCTGTCAGGTTCTATCTGAGTCCCAGTCAACTCTCACCTGCTTTCCCTCCTCACACCCTACAGAGCAACGATGCCTCAGGGAACACTTGGAACTGGTTGTACTTCATCCCCCTCATCATCATCGGCTCCTTTTTTATGCTGAACCTTGTGCTGGGTGTGCTGTCAGGGTAAGTTTCTGCTACTCCCCACCCCATCCCACTCACTCCTCTTTGCTAACTTCTTTCCAAGTAGAGGCCATTGAAGCTTTGTTTTCATTCACTAGACAGAGAAAAGGCTTCTTCCCTTGTTTGGGTTACCAGACTGTTATTAGCAAGCCATGCACAGGTGCAGAGGTTGTGTACTGCTAGGGGTACCCAGTGAGAGGGTTCATATGGGCTTTACTTTCTTTACATTTTTTTTAAAAACCAATAGTTTGGGTTTACTTCTCCCCCATTTTCCAAATATAAAATCATAGCATATGCTCTAACGGTGTATTTTCCTGACCCATATTGTCCTCTATCCCCAAGATTTTTTTGGCTTAATCATAAATGGGCTTCATTTTTCTTACCATAAGAAGTCTGGGCACTTGTATGGTGGCTCTATGGCACCATCAGCAACCCCAGATTCTTCCAGCTTTCCATTCTGACATCTTTACCAGAGGCTTCCAATCTCGTGGATACCTCATGGTCTTAAGATGGCTGCCTCACGCCCTCCGGATGGCCACTTCATGTTCCAAACAGGAAAAGGAAGAAGGGAAACAGGAAGAGGTGGGACCTATGGCAGAGAAGCCAACCTGCTGCAGAAATCTTTCATTCATGGCTTATTGGTCTAACTTAAAAGAGGGCTGAAATAATTATTAGCCAAAAGTATGAAGAGAATGAGAATGAGGTATGCAGCCAGTGGTGGTTGGCATGGCATGGTTTTATCCTTTCGGTTTTTTTCTTTTTTATTGTTTTTTTTTGAGACGGTGTCTAGCTTTATTACCCAGACTGGAGTGTAGGGGGCGATCATAGCTCACTGTAACCTAGAACTCCTAGGCACAAGCGATCCTCCTGCCTCAGCCTCCTGAGTAGCTAAGGCAACAAGTGTATGCCACCATGCCCAGCTACATTTTTTATTTTTCATAGAGATGGGGCCCACTGTGTTGTCCAGGCTGGTCTCAAATTCCTGGCCTTAAATGATACTCCCATCTCAGCCTCACAAAGTGCTGGGATTACAGACATGAGCCACTGTGCCTGGCCTTTTTCTTTACCTAGGCACAGTTGTCGGGAAATGTGTGAAGCTGGCAGAAGCACCCATCACTATAATATCCCAGTCTTTTCCCAGAAGTCCTGACTCCTCCTGTTGAAAACTCCTGACCTCCAGGGACTTCTGAATCCCCAAACACACACACACACACAAACACACACACACACACACACACACACACACAAACACACACACAAACGTTTCCTAACATTTTCAAAACAGCCATACTCTGGCTTTTCTATGCTTCTCCAGGGAGTTTGCCAAAGAAAGGGAACGGGTGGAGAACCGGCGGGCTTTTCTGAAGCTGAGGCGGCAACAACAGATTGAACGTGAGCTCAATGGGTACATGGAGTGGATCTCAAAAGCAGGTGAGGCCCTTTCATCCTGGGGCCCAGGGATGGAGATCCCAGGCCACGGAGTACAAAGAGAGTCATGCAGTTTGGAGAAGGCTAAGCTGGGAGGGTTATGATGGGAGGAGAAAGAGAACCTGAATTGGTAGTCCCAAATTTTATCAACAAGAATCCAGAGTCTGATATGAAGAAGTCTAAGATGAAGCCAGGATCTGACATCACGTAACTTGAATTCTGAAATCAGACGCTGGTTTACATCCCGGCCCTGCCACTTTTTACCCATGCACCACACATCCCTGTACCTCCGTTTCCTCAGCTGTTACATGGAGGCGATGGTAGTGCCTAAGTCATAGTACTATTGGAGTATTTAGTAAAATAATCTCAGCTGAGTCACTTGGGGAGAGAAGTGCCTGATACACGGTAGGCACATATTTATTTGTTCAGCCATTTAACAAACATTTAGGGAGCACCTGCTGTGTGCCAGGCACTGATCTAAGCACTGAGGATATGGGAGTAAACAATACACACCAAATCCCTGCCCTCAGAGCTCTGATATTCTAATGAGAGAGATAAAGCAAACAAATACATGTCATGTTGGGAACTCCCAAATTCAGAGAAGGAAGATAAAACAGACTAGGAAGATAAAACAGAGTAGGAAGTTGGCCGGGCGCGGTGGCTCACGCCTGTAATCCCAGCACTTTGGGAGGCTAAGGCGGGCAGATTTCCTGAGGTCAGGCATTCGAGACCAGCCTGGCCAACATGGTGAAACCCTGTCTCTACTAAAAATACAAAAATTAGCCAGGCATGGTGGCGCACGCCTGTAATCCCAGCTACTCGGGAGGCTGAGGCAGGAGAATTGCTTGAACCCAGGAGGCAGAGGTTACAGTGAGCTGAGGTCGCACCACTGCACTCCAGCCTGGGCAACAGAGTGAGACTCTGTGTCAGAGAAAAAAAAAAGAGTAGGAAGTTAGAGGCAGGGTGGTCAGGGAAGGCTTCTCTAAGGAAGTACCCTCTGAGCAGAGAGACCTGAAGGACGTGAAGAAGGAAGCTGTGGGGATGTCAAGGGAAGGGGCATTCCAGGCAGAGACAGCAAGTGCAAAGGCCCTGAGCTAGGAACGTATTTGAGACACAGCAAGGAAGCCAGTGCAGCTGAAACAGAGTGAGAGGTGGGGACAGCTGGAGGAGAGGAAGACAGGAAGGTGATGGAGATCAGATCAAGCAGGGGCTTATAGGCTGTGGTGTGGACATTGGTTTTTATTTTGCGCGAGGTGGGGAGAATGTTGGCTATTGCTACTGTTGCGGAGGTGGGGCTTGAAGTCACAAACCACCCAGCAGCATGTTTTTTGGTCGGTTGAGCTGTCACCATCAGTCAGCAGAGAATGGGGGTGGCCGGGCAGACCCTTCTTCCTGGTCCAAGGGAGAACTCATCCTCCAAATGCAGGAGCTTAACTCTGTGCTCTTCCTCTTCAGAAGAGGTGATCCTCGCCGAGGATGAAACTGACGGGGAGCAGAGGCATCCCTTTGATGGTAACTGCTCTAAACCCACCTCAGGGGTGGGTCCCAGGGGAGAAGGGAGAAGCTGTGGTGGGGAGTCGGGGGAGAGCAGGTGACTGGTTCTAAGGATCTTGCAGAGGGTAGACGTTCCTCTTGGAGGAATTTTAGGACTTCCATGCAGAGTTTCCCTATTCTGGCCTCCACTTTTTTGTTTTAACCATGGACCTGGTTTTTTCTGCTTTGTGCCTTGGTTTTTCTCATCTGCAAAATGGGTATGATATAAACAATACCCTAGCTCACGAGATTGTTTCTCAGAATGATATTCGTTATGGCAAATAGAACACCTGGGATAGTGCCTGGCATGGGGTCAGCACGTTTCTGTTTGCTAAATAAGTAATAATTCCACCAATAATCCAGTTTACTGTGAACGGCTGCTGTCTCCCATGTTAGAAACTTAACGAGACAGAACCATGACTTTCTTTCTTTTCTTTTTTTTTTAATTGAGACAGAGTCTCGCTCTGTCACCCAGGCTGGAGTGCAGTCACACGATCTCACCTCACTGCAACCTCTGGCTCCCAGGTTCAAGCAATTCTCTGCCTCAGCCTCATGAGAAGCTGAGATTACAAGCATGAGCCACCATGCCTGGCTAATTTTTATATTGTTGATAGAGATGGGGTTTCGCCATGTTGGCCGGGCTGGTCTTGAACTCCTTGCCTCAAATGATCTGCACACCTTGGCCTCCCAAAATGCTGGGAGTGTAGATGTCAATTCATGGTCCCCTGGAAACCTGAATATGAAAGGAGGGACCATTAAAAAGGTGTCCAAAAGCCCAACCTCCCCAGCATAGCTGGGAGTCAGGGGACAGACTGTAAGAGTCACTGTGTATCCAACCTGAGGCTTCATGAAAGTAAAGTTTCCTAGAATTTAGAGATAGGGTTGGATGCGGTCTGTCTGTGGCTCACATCTGTAATCCCAACACTTTGGGAGGCCAAGACAGGAGGAACACTTGAGCCTGGGAGTTCAAGACCAGCCTGGGCAACATAATGAGGTTCCGTCTCTACAAAAAATAAACTTAGCCAGATGTGGGGGCACACGCACCTATGGTCCCAGCTACTCAGGAGGCTGAGGTGGGAGGATCACTTGAGCCCAAGAGGTCGAGGTTGCAGTGGGCACCACTCCACTCCAGCCTGGGTGACAGAGTGAGACCCTGTTTCAAAAGAAAAAAAAAGAATTTAGAGATAGGCCAGAATAATATGTCTGCAATATAATAATAACAGCAATAAGAAAAATAATAGTACTCCCTGAAAAATGCAACTTCTTGCTTGAGATTTATCTTCTCATACTTTAGAAAACTGGTTAGACAGGGGCTGGGCGTGGTGGCTCATGCCTGTAATCCCAGCACTTTGGGAGGCCAAGGCGGGTGGATCACTTGAGGCCAGGAGTTCAAGACCGGCCTGGCCATCATGGCGAAACCCCATCTCTACTAAAAATACAAAAATTAGCTAGGTGTCATGGCACACGCCTGTAATCCCAGCTACTCAGGAGGCTAAACTACGAGAATTGCTTGAACCTGGGAGACGGAAGTTGCGGTGAGCCGAGATCACACCACTGCACTCCAGCCTAGGCGACAGAGCAAGACTCTGTCTCAAAAAAAAGAAAGAAAGCTGGTTAGACAGGGTGATGACTTTTGATTAAAAATCTGAGAGATTTGAGGGAAATAAAAGAACTGGCACTGCGTCCCAGAAGGTTATAAAATGAATTTTATTATCTTAGTTGGGGAGGGGAGATTACCTAACTCCCCTAAATGAGTTAGGTAATCTAACTCATTTAGGGTACCTAAATCTTTTTATTGGAAGTCTACACCTGAACTTGTCTGCTGTGGAGCCCCTGGGGTGTATAGCTTGAATATGGGGGCAGAATCCCAAAATTGCAGCCTGCCTAGCGAGTATGCTACAGGTCAAGGGGTGGACTGTTTTCATAAGAAAGTGAGGTTTCTTAGAATTTAAAAATAGAGGCTGAGTGGGGCGGCTCACGCCTGTAATCCTAGCACTTTTGGAGGCCAAGGCAGGCAAATCACTTGAGGTCAAGAGTTTGACCAGCCTGGCCAACATGGCAAAACCCCATCTCTACTAATAATACAAAAATTAGCCAGGCGTGGTGGTGCATGCCTGTAGTCTCAGCTACTCAGGAGGCTGAGGGAGGAGAATCGCTTGAACTCAGGAGGCAGAGGTTGCAGTAAGCCAAGATCACACCACTCTCTGGGTGACAGAGCAAGATTCTGTCTCAAAATAAATAAACAAATAAATAAATAAACCAGAAGGAAAATAGTGGCTGAGGGCCCAGACCTGGAGTCGGACTGAACCCGACTTGATTCTTGTCTTTACCCCTTTAAGCAAAGTGATAGTGCCACCTTGAACCTCAGTTTACACATCTGAAAAATGGGTATACTATTAGTTCCCGTGAGAACAGTTGCCGTGAGAGTTAAATCCAAGGACACACTGTGTCCATATGGTCTGTGTTGCAAAAAGGGTAACGTCTTTTTCTCTTGCCATGTTTCCATTGTTGGAGCTCTGCGGAGAACCACCATAAAGAAAAGCAAGACAGATTTGCTCAACCCCGAAGAGGCTGAGGATCAGCTGGCTGATATAGCCTCTGTGGGTGAGTCCCTTCCTCTGCCACCTATCAGTTGTTCATCACCTATCGCCCAAGAGACATGGTGGGGTGGGGGCAGAGGGCTTGCAAACCGTGCTGCCTGGATTTGGGTCTCAGCTCCACCCTTTCCCACCTGTGCGTGTGTCCTGGGCAGATTACATCATTATGGGAATAACATCCGTGCCTAGCTTCTCATTATTTTGTGGGAATTCAACTAAATGATCCCCATGAAGCATGGCAAACCAGCACCTGGCAGGGACGAAGCTCCCAGTCAAGTTGGTGAATGTTTGTGACTCATTCGGGAAGTATTCATGGGGGACCTGCTTATATTAGGTGCTTGGTTGCAAACAAGACAAGGCAGTCACGAGGCTGAGCTGGGAGGATCACTTGAGCCTGGGAAGTGGAGGCTGCAATAAGCCATTATTGTGTTACTGCACTCCAGCCTGGGCACAGAAAAAAAAAAAAAGACACAAACTGAGCCAGGCACAGTGGCTCACGCCTGTAATCCCAACACTTTGGGAAGCTGAGATGAGCGGATCACCTGATGTCGGGAGTTCGAGACCAGCCTGGCCAACATGGTGAAACCCTGGCTCTACTAAAAATACGAAAAAAATTAGCCTGTAGTTCCAGCTACTCTGGAGGCTGAGGCGGGAGCATCACTTGAACCTGGGAAGCAGAGGTTGCAGTGAGCTGAGATCTCATCACTGCCCTCCAGCCTGGGCAACAGAGCAAGATCCTGTCTCAAAAAAAAAAAAAAAAAAAAGACACAAACCAAATCCCTACCTACATGGAGCTCACAGTCCAGTGCAGGAAATAGAAATTAAACAGAGAATTACACAAATAAACCTGTAATGGTAATGGCACTTCAGGGAGAGGCTCTGGGCTTAGCTTGCTCTAGAAGGATGGGGAGCAGTCAGGGAAGGCTACCTGGAGGAAGTGACGGTTAAGCTGGGAACTGAAGGATGGGTAGGAGATCACTGTGGTGGTGATAGCAGAAGGAACAGTGTGAGAGGCAGGGCTCAGACCTTTGCCACCACAAGGGCCAGAGTTCGAGGGAGGAGGGAACATTTATTCTTTCCCTTCTCACTCCTCTGTCCTATTGATTCATTGGCTGTGATGATGTTGATTTTGACCTTCTAAAGTGAGAATGTATTGTTATTGTTGTTGTTGTTCTTTAATGGGTTTTTGTTTTTAATGGAAGGAAGAGCATCCAGGCAGAGGAAATAAGACTGGAATAAGATTGAGGGGAGAAGGAATTTAGGCTGCTTGGGAAACTGTGTGGCCGCAGTTTAGAGGAAGAAAGGATGGCAAGAGAAAGAGGAAGGGAGGAAGAGAAGGAGGGAGAGAAGTGAAGGAAGGAGGGAAGTTAGTACATCCATGTGTTTCTGATCCATAGTTTCTGATCCACTATTTCGTATTCCCCTTTTATCGCTCGCCCCTAGTTTATAACCTTATTGCTGAGTTTAGGCATAATTTCCATTGCGATCACATATCTCGTAGGGTGGATACACTATGGTTTGTTTAGCCATAGCTCTATTATAGGGTGTTTGAGTTGTTTCCAATAATTTCTCTTACGAAGAACACTGCTGTGCACATTTACGTACAATGACTCCCCCCACCCTTTGGGCGTATTTCCTTGGGGATAATTATAGGATCAAAGATATTAACAGCTTTTCAACTCATTATTCAAAGAGCCATTCTGAGTTTCAAAAACATGGAACCCATTTATAAACCTGCCAAGTATGCATATGTTCATGGATTCCCCACCCAGGCCATCGAATATTACCAATTTAATTTCCTTTCCCAGTTAAGTGGGTTTGTAATGAAACCTTAAAGCTTGTTTTCATTTGCATTTTTAATTTCCAGCCAAAACACGCTTTTCTTTGTAATGGAGAACTCATTCTGCTTCCACTCGTGTGTGCATCTGTTTAATTTCCTGTAAGCAAATGTCAAGAATTGGAGCGCTCAGTAGGTGTCTTGAGTATTTGATCAATTATGTCTGTCTCACGTGTTACGTTACCTCCATTGTTTAAAATCTGTTTTATGACGAGGTACAGTGGTTCACGCCTGTAATCCCACTGCTTTGGGAGGCCAGTGCAGGAGGATCTCCTAAGATCAGCCGTTCAAGACCAGCCTGGGCAACATAACAAGGCTCCATCTCTGAAAAACAAAATGTTGAAAAACTTAGCCAGGCATTATGGCACACACCTATAGTCCCATCTATTTAGGAAGCTAAGGCAGGAGGATTTCTTGAACCCAGGAATTCAAGGTTGCAGTGAGCTATGATTGTGCCACTGCACTGCAACGTGGGCAACAGAGTGAGAACCTGTCTCTTAAAAAAATAAAATAACATACATTCTTAAAAATCTACTTTGCTGGCCGGGCGCGGTGGCTCACGCCTGTAATCCCAGCACTTTGGGAGGCTGAGGCGGGTAGATCGCTTAAGGTCAGGAGTAGGAGACCAGCCTGGCCAACATGGTGAAACCGTGTCTGTACTAAAAATTCAACAATTAGCTGGGTGTGGTGGCGTGAGCCTGTAATCCCAGCTACTCAGGAGGCTGAGGCACAAAATCACTTGAACCCGGGAGGCGGAGGCTGCAGTGAGCTGAGATGGCGCCATTGCCCTCCAGCCTGGGCATCAAGAGTGAAACTCCATCAAAAAAATAAAAAATCTGCATATACATATATATGTATATATATTTTTAATTTTTTTAATTTTTTTTTTTTTTTCTGAGATGGAGTCTTGCTCTAGCACCCAGGCTGGAGAGCAATGGTGCCATCTCGGCTCACTGCAGCCTCCGCCTCTGTTAACAAGGCAGGTGACATTGCAGCTTTCTAAACAGACCCAAAACCCAGGCCAGTGGCTTGTTCTTTCATAGCCACGTTTGCTACAGGCAAATCCACCAAAACCCACCTCATCAGCCTGATTACTCAAAAAGACAAAGAAAGGAGCCCCCAATCTAGCCAGTGGTTTTCTAGACCACCCCAAAAGAGATCTCTGGAATTCCAGGATTCTGGCAAGGAATCACATTTAGCTTTATTTATTTATGTAAAGAATGCAACAATACAGGCTGGGTGTGGTGGCTCACGCCTGTAATCCCAACATTTTGGGAAGCTGAGGTGGGAGGATCGTTTGAGGTCAGGAGTTTCAGACCAGCCTAGGCAACATAGTGAGACCCTGTCTCTATCAAATATTAGCTGGGCATTGTGGCACACGCCAGTAGTCCCAGCTACTCGTGAGGCTGAGGTGGATCACCTGAGCCCAGGAGGTCAAGGCTGCGGTGAGCCACAGCATGCCCCTGCACTCCAGCCTGCGTGACAGAGACTTCATCTCAAAAAAAAAAACAAAAAAAAGTAATAATACAGTAATGCATATTTCAAAGTAAGGTGGGAGCTATGTGGTATTTGCGTTCACGTTCACATTATACCACAGTATGCACAGTCCTTTTTTTTTTTTTTTTGAGACAGTGTCTTGCTCTGATGTTCAGGCTGGAGTGCAGTGGTGCAGGCATAGCTCACTGCAGCCTCAAACCCCTGGACTCAAGTGATCCTCCCACCTCAGCCTCCCAAGTAGCTGGGACTATAGGTGTACACTGCTACACTCAGCTAAGTTTTTTATATTTTTTACTAGAGATGGGATCTCAATATGTTGCCTAGGCTGGTCTCAAACTCCTGGCCTCAAACAATCCTCCTACCTCCACCTCCCAAAGCAGTGGGATTACAGGCGTGAGCCACCACACCTGGCCCACATGCAGTCTTATATAATTGGTGATTCTACTGCGCTGTTGAATCAGTTGATAAACGCACTATAAAGCAGGTTCATTCCTAATTGATGAACTTACTGCTGAAATAAGGAACTTGAATCATTTACATGAAAAGTTGAGCCATGTTGCTGAAAGGATATCAATTTTTTTTTCTTTTTTTTCTTTTTTTTTGAGATGGAGTCTTACTCTGTCGCCCAGGTGGGAGTGCAGTGGTGCGATCTCGGCTCACTGCAACCTCCACCTTCCAGGTTCAAGCGATTCTCCCACCTCAGCCTCCAAGTAGCTGGGACTACAGGTGCACACCACCACGCCCTGCCAATTTTTGTACTGTTAGTAGAGATGGGGTTTCACCATGTTGGCCAGGCTGGTCTCAAACTCCTGACCTCAAGTGATCTGCCCACCTCAGCCTCCGAAAGTGCTGGGATTACAGGTGTTAGCCACCGCGCCTGACAGGATATCAAATTTCATTTAGACTGCAGGAATACGTTCAAGAGATCTATTTTGTACAGCCTGGCGACTGTATTAATAACAATGTATTATATACTTGAAAATTGCTCAGAGAGTAGGTTTTAAGCATTCTCACCGTGAGAAAAGTGATAAGCATATGTAATAATGCATATGTTAACTAGCTCAACTGAGCCACTCCATAGTGTATACATATGGTCAAAATATCATGTTATGCACTATAAATAGATACAGCCTGTATCTGTCAATTTAAAATAAATGAATAATAACTTTAAAAAGAAAAATAACAGTATGGCTGGGCACGGTGGCTCACACCTGTAATCCCAGCACTTTGGGATGCCAAGACAGGCTTGAGGCCAGGAGTTTGAGACCAGCCTGGCCAACATGGCGAAACTTTGTCTCTAATAAATATACAAAAATCGGCTGGGCATGGAGGCGGGCGCCTGTAATCCCAACTACTTGGGAGGCAGAGGCATCACTTAACCTGGGAGATGGAGGTTGCAGTGAGCCAAGATCTGCACTCCAGCCTGGGTGATAGAGTGAGCCTTTATTTATTTCTGTAAAGAATGCAATAATACAGGCCTGGTGCGGTGGCTCATGCCTATAATCCCAATGTTTTGGAAGGCCAAGGTGAGAGGATCATTTGAGGCTACAGGCGCATGCCACAGTGCCCAGCTAATACTTGATAGAGACACGGTCTCGCTATGTTGCCCAGGCTGGTCTCAAAACCCTGGCTTCAAATGAGCCTCCCACCTTGGCCTCCCAGAGTGTTGTGATTACAGGTGTGAGACACTGTACCTGGCCTGTATTAAAAAAAAAAAAAAGAAGAAGAAGAAGAAGAGGAGGAAAGAAGAAGAAGGAAGAAGGAAGAAGAAGAAGAGGAGGAGGAGGAGGAATGGGAAGGGGAAGGGGAAGAAGAAGAGGAGGAAGGGGAAGGGGAAGAAGAAGAGGAGGAGGAAGGGGAAGGGGAAGAGGAAGAAGAAGAGGAAGAAGAAGACGAAGAAGAAGCACAATGATAAATAAGTAAAATGTGGAGCATATGAAAACAAAACAAAAAAAAGTTGATCCATTATGAATGGAAGCTGCCATTGTAACTCTGCTTTTTTAGGAAAACCAGACCCCATTTAGATGATTTTATTTGTTTTTAAAGGCAGGTTCTTGCTCTGTCACTCAGGCTGGAGTGCAGTGATATGATCATAGCTCTCTGCAGCCTGGAGCTCCTGGGCTCAGGCGATCCTCCCAGCTTAGCCTCCCAAGTAGCTGGGACTACAGGCACCACCACACCCAGCTAATTTGTTGTTGTTGTTGATGTTGTTGTTGAGATGGGGTCTGGCTATGTTGCCCAGGCTGGTCTCAAACTCCTGGCCTCAAGTGATCCTCCTGCCCTGGCTTCCCAAAGTTCTGGGATTACAGGCATGATTTTTTATTAATTTATTTGCAGCTGACAAATGGTAATTGTGTATGTTTATGGAGTGCAGTGTGATGTTTTAATCTATGTATACATCATAGAATGATTCAGTCATGCTAATTAACACATCCATCGCCTCACCACCTCACCGTTTTTTGTGTGTGGGGAAGGCATTAAAAATCTCTTAGCAATTTTGAAATATGCAACACATTACTATTTATTAATAATGCAATATAAATACACAATAATGTATTAATGCATCACTAAATGCGATGCAATGCAATGCAATGCAATAGATCACTAAAACTTACTCCTCCAGTCTAACTGCAACTTATACCCTTTGATCAACATCTTCTCCTTCTCAATCCCTCCTCCTCCCCTGCAGCCTCCAGGAACCACCTTCCTGCTCTTTCTATGAGATCAATTTTTTTTAGTTTTAAGCTCCCACATGTGAGATCATACTGTAATTGTCTTTCTGTGCCAGCTTATTTTACTCAGTATAATGTCCTCCAGTTCTGTCCCTGTTGTCACACATTACAGAATTTCTTTCTTTTAGGGCTGTATAGTATTCTATTTGTATACATACCACATTTTCTTTATCCATTCATCCATTGTGGGACACTTAGTTTGCTTCCATATTTTGGCTATTGTGAATAATGCTGAAGTGAACGTGGGAGTGCAGATGTTCTGAAAAGACTTAAATGTCAGACCTGAAATGGTAAAGATGCTCCAAGAAAACATAAGGAGAAAGCTCCATGGCATTGGTCTCGGGAATGATTTTTTGGACAGGACCTCAAAAGCACAGGCAACAGAAGCCAAAATGGACAAATGGGATCGTATCAAACTAAAAAATTTGTGCACAGCAAAGGAAGCGTTCAGCAGAGGAAAGAGACAACCTAAGGAATGTGAGAAAACGTTTGCAAACAATACATCTGATAAGGAGCTAATATCCAAAATATATAAGGAACTCAAACAACTCAACAGCAAGAAAACAACCCAATTAAAAATGGGCAAAGACAGCTACTCGGGAGGCTAAGATGTGACGATCCCTTGAGCCCGGGAGGAGGAGGTTGCAGTGAGCTGACATTGCATCACTGCACTCCACCCTGGGCGACAGAAGGAGACCGAGACCCTGTCTCAAAATAAAAAATAAAAATGTGCAAAGGATCTGAACATACATATCCCAAAAGAAAAGACATACAAGTGGCCAACAGGTATATGAATAAAATGCTGAACATCACTCATCATCAGGGAAATGCAAATCAAAACCACCATTAGCTATCACCTCACACCTGTTAGAGTAGCTATTATCTTTTTGTTTGTTTGTTTGTTTTTTGTTTTTTGTTTTGTTTTTGAGAGGGAGTCTCACTCTGTCACCCAAGCTGGAGCGCAGTGTTGTGATCTCAGCTCACTGCAACCTCTGCCTCCTGGGTTCAAGGGATTCTCCTGCCTCAGCCTCCCGAGTAACTGAAATTACAGGCACACGCCACCATGCCCAGCTAACTTTTGTATTTAGTTTCACTATGTTGGTCAGGCTGGTCTTGAATTCCTGACCTCAAATGATCTGCCCTCCTTGGCCTCCCAAAGTGCTGGGATTACAGGTGTGAGACACTGTGCCCAGCCTAGAGTAGCTATTATCAAAAAGACAAATGAGGTTTGTTGAAGTTCTAACCCCTGGTACCTGCAAATGTGGCCTTACATGAAAATAGGGTCTTTGCAGGTGGTAATCAAGTTAAGATGAGATCAAACTTAATTAGGGTGGGTCCTAAATCCAATGACTGCTGTCTTTATAAGAGGAGAAGCAGGCTGACCAACATGGTGAAACCCCATCTCTACTAAAAATACAAAAATTAGCTGGGTGCAGTAGTGCACACCTGTAGTCCCAGCTACTCAGGAGGCTGAGGCAGGAGAATTGCTTAAACCCAGGAGGTGGAGGTTGCAGTGAGCAGACGTCATGCCACTGCACTCCAGCCTGGGTGACAGAGTGAGACTCCATCTTACAAGAAAAAAAAAAAAGACAAATCATAACAAGTGCTGGCAAGGATGTGGGGAAACGGGGATCCATTTACATCATTTTAATAACACAGGCTCTATATGGGTGGTATTGAGTTCCCAGAGTTGCCATTACAAAATGTCACAAACCCAGTGGCTTAAAACAACAGAAATTTCTTCTCTCACAGTTCTAGAGGCCAGAAGTCCAAACTGAAATCAAGGTGTCAGCAGAGCCACCACGTTCCCTCAGAAGGTTTTAGGGGAGAATCTGTTCCATGGTATTTTCTTAGTTTCTGGTGCTGCCAGCGATACTTGGTGTTCCTCAGTTCATAGATGCATAATTCCAGTCTCTGCCTCTGTTGTCATATGGTCTTCTTTCTGTGTTTCTGTATGCGATTTCTTTTTTTTTTTTTTTTTTCTGAGACAAGTCTCACTCCATCACCCAGGCTGGAGTGCAATGGCACGATCACAGCTCACTACAACCCCAACCTCACAGGCTCATGCCGTCCTCCCACCTCAGCCTCCCGAGTAGCTGGGATTACAGGCGTGTGCCACCATGCCCGGCTAATTTTTGTATTTTTAGTAGATACGGGGTTTCACCATGTTGGCCAGGCTGGTCTCGAACTCCTGACCTTACGATCTGCCCATCTCGGCCTCCCAAAGTGTTGGGATTACGGGCACGAGCCCACCGCACCTGGCCCTAATTACTTTATTTTTTTGTAAATTTTTTTTTGTAAATTTCATGTAGCCTGAGCATACAGTGTTTATAATATATACAGGAGTGTACAATAATATCCTAGGCCTTCACATTCACTCACCACTCAACTCACTCCCTCACCAAGAGCAACTTCCAGTCCTGCAAGCTCCATTCATGCCAAGTACCCTATGCAGCTGAACCACCTTTTCTCTTTTATACTGTGTTTTTACTGTACCTTTTCTATGTTTAGATATGTTCAGACACACAAATACTATGATGTTACAGTTGCCTACAGTATTAAGTACAGTAACATGCTGGGCAGGTTTGTAGCCGAGGAGCTACAAACCACGTAGCCTGGGTGTGGAGTAGGCTACAACATCTAGGTTTATGTAAGTTCACTTTAAGATGCTCACACAAGGACAAAATTGCCTAACAATGCATTTCTCAGAACACGTCTCCCTCATTAAGCCACACATGGCTGTATTACAATTTACATATAATTTTAAGCGTATATAAATTGCCAGAAATCACCAGATGAATCCTTGGCGGTGACATACCCCTTCCCCCACCATAGAACATTGCAGACTGGCCCGGACGCCCAGTATCTCATGCCTGTAATGCCAGCACTTTGGGAGGCTGCAGCGGGCAGATCACTTGAGGTTAGGAGTTCGAGACCAGCCTGACCAACATGGCAAAACACCATCTTTACTAAAAATACAAAAATTATTCGGACGTGGTAGTGGGCACCTGTAGTTCCAGCTACTTGGGAGGCTGAGGCAGGAGAGTCACTTGAACTTGGGAGGCAGAGGTTGCAATGAGCCAAGATCGTGCCACTGCACTCCAGCCCGGGTGACAGAATGAGACTCTATCTCAAAAAAAAAAGAAAAAAAAAAAAAAAGGAAAAGAACATTTCAGACTGGTACCAGTTACACCGGCTCTTGATCCCTTGAATGTGGCTGACCCTGAACTAGGATGTACTTCATAATAACACGTCCGGCTGGGAATACTTAGTACAAAAGAAAGAGTATAAAATATCTTTTGAATCCACCTTGATATTGATTCCATGTTGAAATGGTAATATTTTGGATGTATTGGGTTGAATAAAACATCTCATGAAAGTGATTTTTAAAAATCTAGAAATTGTCTGCAATTATAATTCCAGACCACAGAGAAAAACGAGAGACAGGAATGTATAGAAAAAGGGAACGTGGGACAAAGTGAGTATGAAATTCAACTAACAGAAGTGACAGTGCCTAGCATGGGGTCCAGCACTTAGTAGGTGTTCAATTAATATTCATTTCCCTCTCCCTTACCAGTGAAGGGTATGCCTGTCGTGGGGAATGTGTCTTCAGGCTGAGTGATCAGGAAGGACTTTCTCAATGGCTGGCACGTGAACCTAGTCATGATTTCAGCTCTTGAGGTTGTACTAGAAGATTTATATCCAATAATCGTAAGGTACCACTTAGCATCACGCTAAGATGTATTAATTCATTTATGCCTTTGGATGGCCCTTTGAGGTAGGAAGTGTGGTTGTCTCCAGTTTACCAAGGTGGCTTGCCCAAGGTCATCTGCTGGTTGGTGATTAAGCCAGGTTTTCAGTGTGGCTCCAGCAGGAGTGGGGGCTGGGGACCTTCTACCTGCTGTGGTTTCTCTCTCTCTCTCTCTCTCTCTCTCTCTCTCTCTCTCGATCTGTGGAACATCCCCCCTGTCCCCCAAGGTCCCAAGGGTCTTATTTCTTTTGGCCAAGCCCTTTGGAGACCTGCAGATCTGGACACATCTTTGAGAGTTTCAGGAACTAGGGCCAGAAATGCTGGGCAGGGTCATGAGGAGCTGCCACTGGGGTTGAGAAGGTGATGGACATGAGGGGAAGGGTCTTTGCAGAAAGGAGAGGCGTCCCTGTAAGCAGGTCACAGCCACTGGGCCTGGCCAACTGCAGCCGAGTGGAATGTGCCCCTGCCCCATGACCATATGCCCCAGGTGTGCAATGTGGCGGCCCAGAGCACACACTCTGAACCATCTTGACACATCTTCACTGGTTACTAGACCCCCCTCAGCCTGTTTCCTTGGCTGTAAAATGGGGATGACGCTGGTCCCTACTTCCTAGGGCTCTGAGCAGGAGTAAGTAGCTTGTCGTATAAAACATGTTCCCTGCAGTGCCTGGTGCCTGCTAAATGTTCCATAAACGTCAGCTGTTATTTTCATTCAGGGGAAGCTGAAATCCATATTTTCATGGAAAATCTCCCAGTTTTTAAATGTGGACCAATAATTTCAGCTTTCACAAACCCAGTATGAGTCGGTATGGCCCCTAGGGTGCCAACTCAAAATCTCTGTTGAGAATTTTGCTGATAGGAAGTGGCCTCCTTGGAGGTGTTTGCTGTGTCCTGTGTCTGGCAAGTGGGGTGGTTTTGATAAACGTGCTGGATGGATGTATGGGTGAATGGATAAATGGAGGAATGAATGGAGAAACAAATGAGCAAATGAATAATGAATGGATGGATGAATGGATGAGCGAATGGATGGATGAATGGATGAGCAAATGAATGATGTACACACAAAGGAATGGATAAATGATGAATGTGCTAATGAATTTAAGAATGATGAAAGAATGAATGAATAAATGAACAAATGGATGGATGAAAGAATGAATGAATGTACTAATGAATGAATCAATCAATGAAGAACCATTTAAAAATGAATGCAACTGAGGGTTTATAAGAAAAGGTATCTTAAGCCTGGGCATGGTAATTCATGCTGGAATCCCAATGCTTAGGGACGCTGAGGCGGGAGGATCGCTTGAACCCAGGAGTTCAAGACCAGCCTGGGCAACACAGGGAGACCTCATTGCTACCAAAAACAAAATTGTTTTAATTAAGCGGGCATGGTGGTACGTGCCTGTAGTCATAGCTACTTGGGAGGCTGAGGTGGGAGGATCGCTTGAACCCAGGAGTTCAAGGCTGCAGTGAGCTAGGATCAAGCCACTGCATTCCAGCCTGGGCAACAAAGCAAGATCCTGTCTCAAAAAAAAAAAAAAAAGATGTATTTTAGAAGGTAAATTCAATCTGTCCAAAACTGAGCTCTGACCTTCCCCTAAACCTGTGCCCATTCAGTGGATGAGAGCTCCATCCCTTAAGGGGTTCACCAATTCATCCATTCCTTTGTATGTACATCATTCATTCACCTTGGCTCATCCCTCTCTCTTACATCCACACCGTTCCATCAGCAAATGTTGAATCTGTCTTAAATGATTCATCCCAAATCCTCCCCGCTTAACTACCACCCAACTCCAGCCCCCATCCATCATCATCATCACTTGCCTGGATGGGTTCAGTCACCTCCAGCCTGGTCTCCCAGCTCCCGTCCTCACCTCTCACTGTCTACTCTCCCACTCGGCAGCCAGAGGGTGCCTGTGAACACCCAAATCAGGTTCCATCCCTCCTCTACTCAGAACCCTCCACGGCTCCCCCCTCACTCAGGGTAAAAGCCAAAGTCCTCCTTGTGGTCCACCAGGCCATGCATGATCTGCCTGTCACCTCCCTGCCTTCACCACCTTCCTCTTTTCCCCTCAACCACTCCACTCCAGCCACACTGACTTCCTTGTGCTCTTCCCCAAAAATGTCGGGCAGACACATTCATGCTTCAGGACCTTAAATTTGCTGTTTCCTCTACCTAAGATACTAAAGTGACAAGTCAACACACTCACCTTGACCATGCAATTTAATGTTGCAGCCTACCCTGTGGACTCTCCAAGGGCTCCCAGTCCCTCTGTGATGCTTTACTTTTTCTCTTAAAAAAAAAATTGTTATTTAAAAGAACTTGTCTCGCTGTGTTGCCCAGGCTGGTGTCAAACTCCTGGCCTCATACAGTCCTCCCATTCCAGCTTCCCAAAGTACTGGGATTAGAGGCATGTGCCACTGCACCCATCCCAACTTTTTTTTTCCCATAGCACTTTTCATTTTCCATCCCACTGTTAATTTACTTATTACGTCCACTGTCTGTCTCCTCCCCTTAGAGGGTCAGACCCCGGAAGTCCAGGCTCTGTTGCCTAATGTATCCTGAGCCCCTGGAACAGAGCCTGGCACAAAATAGGTACTCAATAAATGCATAAGAGCAAAACTATATGTAGGCAGAGGACACACCCAGCTTATTCCTCAGTGATCACTTCTAAAGTTAAATGTCCATGGAAAACAGTCTCATCCACATCTCTTTCTGGAGGCCTTCCAAGCGTGCTCCATGCAGCTCTGTTGCCTGCCCCTGCATCAGGGAATGGAGGCTCTGCTTTATCCTGCCCTGTGGTGTGACTCCCAGAGGCATCAGATGTGGCTGGGAGTGGGAGACATGGAAAATTGGCTCCTGCAACAGAGAACTATCAGCCTTCCCATCAATTGGTTACTTCTAATTCTGTTATTTTTCAGGGGCACTGTCTTCTCATAAGCTCCATCTATGCAAAACTAAGCCCATGGGTCATGATGGTTCCCTCAGGCCAGAGGCTTGCTGGAGAGACTAATGGATCCCCTGGCTAAAATCTGTGCTTGGGCTGCACATTGGTTAATTTCTTCTGAAGGAACAGCCTGAGCCTGACATTCTCCATCTTTTCCCTGGCAGGTTCTCCCTTCGCCCGAGCCAGCATTAAAAGTGCCAAGCTGGAGAACTCGACCTTTTTTCACAAAAAGGAGAGGAGGATGCGTTTCTACATCCGCCGCATGGTCAAAACTCAGGCCTTCTACTGGACTGTACTCAGTTTGGTAGCTCTCAACACGCTGTGTGTTGCTATTGTTCACTACAACCAGCCCGAGTGGCTCTCCGACTTCCTTTGTGAGTATCACCCAGCCCCACCCCTGCCAACTCCCTGATCCCTCCCTCACACCCTTTTTCCACTTCTCTTTCTCTGGTAGTATGTGTATCTTCTTTGGTCCTCATTGAATCTGCCCTTTCCTTTAGCCATTTCTATAACTGTCACTGGGGCCAATGTTACTGTTGCTATGACAATGGAACCCATCTCCCTTAGACCTGAGAGCTGGAAGCTGGAATTCAGACCAACAAATGCTCCTGTGATTCCTTTCTAAGAGAGAGGGACAGAGGGGTGCTGGTGAAGGGGATGTTGGAAGAGAGACAGAGAAAGACGGAGCTCATAAGATAGACAGATAGAAACAGAAACATACATGTATTAATAATTTTTATGTACATCTCTGGAAATGTTCATAACTTATGGTTAAGAGAGGATGCCTTAGAAATAAGGAGTGGCTTATATGTTGCCCTCATTTTCTCTACTTATTTCTGACTCTACTTCTCTCTTCTTTCAAACCTTCTGCTTCTTTCCTGTTAGGTTGGTGCAAAATTAATTGCGTTTTTTGCCTTTTTTTTTTTTTTTTTTAACCACAGTTACTTTTGCACCAACCTAATACTTCCTCCCCTGCCCTTTTTGGCTTCCTTATTCATTCATAGAACATCCCCTCCAGTATCTGCGAGAGCGTTTTGCTCCCTCAAGGTACAAGGCCCACTAAGGCTTTGCCCTCTGGGCCTATTCCCAGATTCTATGTGAGTTAGCATGAGATAGTATCAAAATTGAGGGCCAAGTGAGGGTGAGGAAAAGCAGCAAAAGATGGGGAGATGTCTGAGCAGGATTTAAAAAGTAAAGAGCTCGAGGAATCAACAAGAGCAGCGACTGGGGCCAGGCATGGTGGCTCACACCTGTAATCCCAGCATTTTGGGAGGCTGAGGTGGGTGGATCACTTGAGGCCAGGAGTTCAAGACCAGCCTGGCCAATATGGTGAAACCCTGTCTTTACAAAAAATACAAAAATTAGCCAGATGTGATGGTGCACACCTGTAATCCCAGCTACTCAGGAGGCTGAGGCACTAGAACTGCTTGAATCCAGGAGGCAGAGGTTGCAGTGAGCCAAGATCATGCCACTGCACTCCAGCCTGAGCAACAGAGAGAGTGTCTGTCTCAAAAAATAAAGTAAAATAAAATAAAATAAAATAAAGAGTAGTGATTGGGCAGTGAGGGGGGCAGGTGGATGCCCTGGCTTTGGCTCACAGGCCCCAAGTAAGGACTTCTCAAAACGTCTTTTGCCTACTGGCTGTCTAATTTATTCACTGACCTTCTGACCTGGTTCAGAATTGACTTAGGACAGCAAGAAGAGACAGTCTAGTCTTTGACCTAGAAAGGCCCGTGAGCCTAGTCCAGGCCATTGTCTTCTTATAACCCTCCTTGTTCCCAGTCACGTTGGCTGACCCCCCAGGACACCCCTCAGGAACCAGTTCTCCTTCCCAGGGCCCTGACCTAGTTTCAAACTTAGTAATTGTTTTTAGTCCCTCTGGAGTCTCTTATAAATGAGGACTCTACTTCGTGTTTTAACTTCCTCTAATACTCTATTTTTAATCTCCTATATTCTCTCTACTAATCATCTTGTACAGTCTGTCCTGGTTCAGGAACAAGGGACTGAGACTTCCTGCCTGGGTCCTCAGTGTCTATAAAGGTCCTTTACTCATTCCCACTTTCCCTTTGAGAAAACTGAGACACAGAGAGGTTAAGTAGATTGCCCAGGATCACACATTAGCTTGGCATGATGGCGGGCGCCTGTAATCCCAGCTACTTGGGAGGCTGAGGCAGGAGAATCGCTTGAACCTGGGAGGCAGAGGTTGCAGTGAGCCCAGATCATGCCACTGCACTCTAGCCTGGGCAACAGAGCTAGACGCCATCTCAAAAAAAAAAAAAAAAAAAAAAAGATACACATTAATTTCAGAGATGTCAAAATATAAACAAAAATGTATATCTTGGCATCAGTGAAGTGTAGTTGTTTCTCTGGATCTCAGACTCCACATCTATGTGGTAGAAACCGGATTTGATGGTCCTGAAAGTTCTTCCAGATGCAACAATGCTAAGGATAAGTAATTCTTTCAAGTCTTGTGCATCACCTGCTATCATGTTTCCATGGTAACTGAGGAACAAGATCTCAGAAACTCTTCAGTCCTCCCAGAGTTACTTCTGGTGGGTCTAGGAATGTGTCAGATGTTACAAACAGACTTCCTCTGCTGATATTTTGGTCCTAGGAACCCTAGAGTTCCCCTCAGACACTAAGATCTCCTTAGCGTCCTATAAATAAGGAGAAATTTTGGTGATAAATACTGTGAAGGACTTTGACGGTCAGTTCAAAACACCTCTTAAAAGCATGACATAGCAAACACCCTTGGCAAATATCTTAGTTCATTTGTACTGCTATAACAAATTACCCGAGACTGGGTAATTTGATAAGAACAGAAATTTATTTTCTCACAGTTCTGGAGGCTGGGAAGCCCAAGATCAAGGCATTGGCAGGTTTCCCTGTCTGGCGAAAGCTACTCTCTGCTTCCAAGATTGCACCTTGAACACTGTATCCTCTGGAAGGGAGGAACACTGGGTCCTTACATGGCAGAAGGTGGAGGAGCAAGAGGGACAAACTTCCTCTGTCAACCTCTTTTATAAGGGCACCTAATCCCATTCATGAGAGCTCTACCGTAATGACTTAATCACCTCCTGAAGGCCCCACCTCTTAATACTGTTACATTGGCAATTAAGTTTCAACGTGAATTTTGGAGGGGACACAAACATTTAAACCATCACAACCACCAAACACAATTAGCTTTGTGGCCTTAATTAGCTATATGAAATTCATGGAAGTTAGTTTCAGTCCTCTGTCTCTTTCCTTTCTGTATGCTTTCTGCTCCTCAGAAACCCTCCTCATCTCTCCTTTCTATCCATTAAGTACCCACGCCCTTCCTAACTCCTCATCTTCCTACCCTACCAAGAAAGCCCTCTCAGAAAAGGATCTGATGTCAGCCATTTATTTGCTGGAGCAAATGCATATCCATGTTTTACCCCTCCCTGAGGCATTTGCAATTTTATGCTTGCTCATCAAAGAACAAAAGGCTTTGTCTTACTCAAGACTTTTTAGGTCACTCACAACACAGGATTTCTAGGGGACATAAGACAAGTTTTCTGAGTTAGGAGAAAAGCCATACCTTAGGTGGGTTGCCTGTGTCGCTCCAACTAAGTACTTAACTTCAGGATTACAAATAGGATATCATTATGATTTCTATTTCCTTTTATCCTTTGGAGCTCAGTCACGTAGAAGTAGATTAAATATAATTGTTAGATCACAGCACCCTGGCATTATGGGGCCGTTATGGTCCATTGTTATTATGTGAATTATTCAGTTAATTAGTTTATTTTTTAAATGTGATAAACACCCAGGAACCCACCAGTCAACACAAAAGTCCTTGGCAATAATCTATATCCGATCCTTCTCATCGAACCAGGGCAAAAACTACAAGATGGAGACCCACTGATATTTTTCTCATTCCTTTTAAAATCGGCCTAAGGTTGGTTAGCTTGTTGGTTGGAGGGTAGGGCATAATTGTTGCTTTTTTTTTTTTTTTTTTTTTTTAGACAAGGTCTTGCTCTGTCACCCAGGCTACAGTAGGGTGGCCCAATCTTGGCTCACTGCAACCTCCACCTCCCAGGTTTAAGTGATTCTCATGCCTCAGCCTCCCAAGTAGCTGGGTTTACAGGCATGTGTCACCACACTGGCTAATTTTTGTATTTTTAGTAGAGGCGGGGTTTGCCATGTTAGCCAGGCTGGTCTCAAACTCCTGACCTCAGTTGATCTGACCGCCTAGGCCTCCCAAAGTGCTGGGATTACAGACGTGAGCCACCATGCCCAGCCAGCTCTTCCTTTTTAACAGAGGGGAAACTGAGGCCCATGGGAAGGACACCTTGGACAGGGCGTGGCCACAGTGGGTCATGTATATAATCCCAGCACTTTGGGAGGCTGTGCTGGGAGGATCACTTGAGGCCAGGAGTTCAAGACCAGCCAGGGCAACATAGTGAGACCCCCATCTCCACATAAAAATTTTAAAAAGAAAAAAGATAAGTCAGAAGTTGGGTGTGGTGACACATGCCTGTAGTTCTAGCATGTTGGAGGCCAAATCAGGGAAACTGTTTGAGGCCAGGAGTTTGAAACCAGCCTAACAGCATAGCAAGACCTCATCTCTACAAAAAATAAAAAGTTTAAAAATGATAATAAAAGGAAAGTCAGAGCCACCTGGAACCCCTACCCTCAGCAAGCCTAACCTCCTCTCTGTTTCCTCCTTCTCCCTTCTAGACTATGCAGAATTCATTTTCTTAGGACTCTTTATGTCCGAAATGTTTATAAAAATGTACGGGCTTGGGACGCGGCCTTACTTCCACTCTTCCTTCAACTGCTTTGACTGTGGGGTAAGTGCTCTTGTTTCTAAGAGTTCATTTCTCCAGCTCTTGCCTGGAATGACAGATACCTGGACACATTAAAGGGAGAAAGGTAAAGTCACCCCTGAATATGAGAGACTCAGATGGATGCAGAAGGAATGAGAAAACAATCCCAAACACTGGCAAGGATACAGTGTACCCAGAACCCTCAACCACCGCCAGTGGGAGGAAAACGTATAGACCCCCTTTGGAAAGCTAAGTGGGGGACATAAGACAAGTTTTCCAAGTTGGGAGAAAAGCCATGCCTTAGGTGGGTTGCCTGTGTCGCTCCAACTAAGTACCCAACTTCAGGATTACAAACAGGACATCAATATGATTTCTATTTCTTCTTTTCCTTTGTAGCTCAGTCATGTGGAGGTAGATGAAGTATAATTGTTAGATTACAACACCCTGGCATTATGGAGCCATTATGGTCCTTTGTTATTTTGTGAATTACTCAGTTAATTAATTTATTTTTTAAATGTGATTAACACCCAGTAACCCACTAGTCCACACAAAACCTAAGTCCTGGAGAATAATCTACGTCCAATCCTTCTCATCGAACCAGGGCAAAAACTACAAGATGGAGATATGACCCAGCATTCCATTGCTAGGAATTCATCCTAGAAAATCTCACCCAGATACCTAGGAGACACAGGCCAGAATGTCCCTGCAGCTGGAAGTGAAATTAAGGTTGTTCGCAAATAAGTGGAGAATGCCTGGCCCAGGGCAGCCCTAATCATTTACCATAGTCCTGTTGGTCTCAGAAAGGCTTAATAATTTATTTATTTTTTTTTATTTTTTGTTTTTATTTTTTGTTTTTGAGATGGAGTCTCGTTCTGTCACCCAGGCTGGAGTGCGGTGGCGCCATCTCGGCTCACTGCAAGCTCCGCCTCCCAGGTTCACTCCATTCTCCTGCCTCAGCCTCCCGAGTAGCTGGGACTACAGGTGCCCGCCATCATACCTGGCTAATTTTTTGTATTTTTAGTAGAGATGGGGTTTCACCGTGTTAGCCAGGATGGTCTTGATCTCCTGACCTCGTGATCCACCCGCCTTGGCCTCCCAAAGTGCTGGGATTACAGGCGTGAGCCACCACACCCAGCCAGCTTAATAATTTATAATAACTGAATGTTGTACTGTTTTCTGCCATTATAGAAAATTATGTTGTTGGAGAAAACAAAATACATACAAACAAGCAAACCTTCCCTACATAAATGACCCAAGTAGTTAAAGAATAAAACCAATTTCTTTCCATTAAAAAGAAAAGAAAGCCGGGTGTGATGCCTCATGCCTATAGCCTCAGCTATTCAGGAGGCTGAGGCAGCAGAATTGCTTGAGCCCAGGAGTTGAAAACCAGCCCAGGCAACATAGCAAGACCCTGTCTCTACAAAAATTAATAATAATTAGCCAGGTGTGGTGGTGCACACCTGTAGCCCCAGCTACTCAGAAGGCTAAGGTGGGAGGATTGCTTGAGCCCAGCAGTTTGAGGCTGCAGTGAGCTATGATCACACCACTGCCCTCCAGCCTGGACAAGAGAGTGAGACCCCATCTCTAAGAAATAAAAGTAGGCCAGGCACAGTGGCTCACACCTATAATCCCAGCACTTTGAGAGGCGGAGGCAGGTGGATCACCTGAAGTCAGGAGTTCAAGACCAGCCTGGCCAACATGGCGAAACCCCGTCTATACTAAAAAAATACAAAAATTAGCCAGGCGTCGTGGCACATGCCTGTAATCCCAGCTACTTGGGAGGCTGAGGAAGGAGAATCACTTGAACTGGGGAGGCAGAGGTTGCAGTAAGCTGAGATTGCACCACTGCACTCCAGCCTGGGTGACAGAATGAGACTCCGTCTCAAAAAAAAAAAAAGAAAAATTTTAAAATGTCCTGAGCAACCTTGTTTGTAATAGTTCCAAGTCTCAATATCCGTGTATCCCTTTGCTGTAGAACAGATAAATATTTTGTGGCATATCTATATAATGAAATACTCTGTGACAATCAAAGTCCACCAACAGCAGCCACATGCCCAACAACAGGAATGAATCTCACCCATGTAACATGGCACAGAAGGAGGCAGGAGCTAGCAACGTAAGTCCATACAGTTCATGCAAAGTTCAAGTGGACAAAATTAAACTCTCTCTCTCTCTCTACATATATATATATATATATATATATTTTTTTTTTTTTTTTTTTTTTTTTTTTTTTTTTTTGAGACAGAGTCTCACTCTATTGCCCAGGCTGGAGTGCAGTGGCGCAATCTTGGCTCACTACAACCTCCACCTCCCGGGTTCAAGCCATTCTCCCGCCTCAGCCTCCCAAGTAGCTGGGATTAGAGGCATGCACCACCACCCCCGGCTAATTTTGTATTTTTTGTAGAGACCGGGATTCAGCAATTTGCCCAGGCTGGTCTCGAAATCCTGATCTCAGGTGATCCACCTGCCCTGGCCTCCCAAAGTGCTGGGATTACAAGCGTGAGCCACCACGCCCCGCCTTAAACTGTATTTTTTAAGGATGATACTTGAATACGTTAAAAAGGCGAGGACCTTGAAAACACAACGCTCGGTAAAAGAAACCAAACACAAAAGGTCAAGTATTGCATAATTCCATTTGTATGAAATGTCCAGAGCAGGCAAATCCATAGAGACAGAAAGTAGATTAGTGGTTGCTAGGGTCTGGGTGAGGGAGAGTGGGGAGTAACTGCTCATGGGGACAGGGCCTCCTTTGGGGGTGATGAAAATGTTTTGGAACTTGATAGAGGTGATAGTTGCAGAATATTGTGCATGTACCTAAAGGCACTGAATTGTGTAATTCAAAGTGTGAATTTTATGTTATGTGAATTTCACCTCAGTTTTTTTTAAGGTAAGAAAATGGTTATTACAAAATTCAGGATGGTAGTTATATCACAGTGTCTCTGGAAACTTCCAGGGTATCCACATGTCCCTTTTTATTTTATTTTATTTTTTATTTTATTTGAGATAGGGTCTTGCTCTGTTGCCCAGGCTAGAGTGCAGTGGCAGGATCATGACCCTCTCCTGTCTCAAATTCCTAGGCTCAAGCTATCCTCCCTCCTCAGCCTCCTAAGTAGCTGGGACTATAGGCACATGCCACCATGCTTGACTAATTTTTTTTTTTTTTGTAAAGTCAGGGTTTCCCTGTGTTACCCAGGCTGGTCTTGAACTCCTGGGCTCAAGTGATCTGCCCACCTCGGCCTCCCAAAGTTCCAGAATTACAGGCATGAGCCACTGCCCTAGCCTTCTCCTAATTGTTGACATAGGTAGTAGTTGCATGACATTCACTTTGTAATTATGTGTTTCAGGAATTCTCAGGCCTGTGGGAGCTCTTAATAAATAAAAAAGAGGCCAGGTGTGGTGGCTCACGCCTGTAATCCCAGCACTTTGGGAGGCCGAGGCAGGCGGATCACGAGGTCAGGAGTTCGAGACTAGCCTGGCCAACACAGTGAAACCCCGTCTCTACTAAAAATACAAAAAATTAGCCGGGCGTGGTGGCGGGTGCCTGTAATCCCAGTTACTTGGGAGGCTGAGGCAGGAGAATCGCTTGAACCTGGGAGGCGGAGGTTGCAGTAAGCTGAGATCGCGCCACTGCACACCAGCCTGGGTGATAAGAGCAAGACTCCATCTCAAAATAAATGAATAAATAAAAATAAATAAATAAATAAGAGGCCGGGTGCAGTGGCTCAATGCTTTGGAAAGTGGAGGCCAACAGTTGGAGAGACCAAAGCAGGAGGATGGCTTCAGCCCAGAAGTTTGAGGCCAGCCTGGGCAATACTAGCGAGACACTATCTCTATAAAAATGTTTTAAAATTAGCCAGATGTGGTGGGGCACACCTGTAATCCCAGCTACTCAAGAGGCTGAGGTGGGAGGATCACTTAAGCCCAGGAGGACAGTGCTGCAGTGAGCTATGATTGCGCCACTGCACTCCAGCCTGGGTGACACAGTGAGACCCGGTCTCTATAGATAAATGAATGGATGAATGAGGGGGTCAAGGATCCTCACCCGGCTTCCATTTGGAGGGAGGAGTTTGGTTGAGTTCTTGCAAGGTTGGTACCTAGGAAATGCTTGCCAGTTCTGGAGCCCAGACACTGTCCCTGGACATGAGACCAGGTTCTCTGCCCTAGGTTATCATTGGGAGCATCTTCGAGGTCATCTGGGCTGTCATAAAACCTGGCACATCCTTTGGAATCAGCGTGTTACGAGCCCTCAGGTTATTGCGTATTTTCAAAGTCACAAAGTAAGTCTTTGGGGTTCCTGGACATTTGTACAGGGGGTGGGGATGGGGGACATGGTGGGGCCGCCTCCAGAAAGTTGGGAAAGTGAGCCTCGTGTTTCGAGGGCTGACTCCGGGGCCCTGCCTCCCCCGCCTGGCCTGAGTCCTCGCCTGGCCTCTGTCGGCAGGTACTGGGCATCTCTCAGAAACCTGGTCGTCTCTCTCCTCAACTCCATGAAGTCCATCATCAGCCTGTTGTTTCTCCTTTTCCTGTTCATTGTCGTCTTCGCCCTTTTGGGAATGCAACTCTTCGGCGGCCAGTAAGTCCTTCACAGGAATTCCAACTCCTGGTTCCCTGGGGTCAGGCTCAGGGAACACACAGTCCCCTCCACCGTGCAGGCTGCCTTCCTCGTAGCCCAGACACCCATTGCGGTCACCCAAATGGGCAGGGCCCTGGGTACCACTCAGGGTTTCCTGGGGACAGAGATGATGGAGACGTTCGTTTCCTTGGAGATGAGATACTGAGCCACACCCTCAGAGCACCCCGGGTGGGGCCAACGTGAAATGTCTGTGTCCTCCCTGCAGGTTTAATTTCGATGAAGGGACTCCTCCCACCAACTTCGATACTTTTCCAGCAGCAATAATGACGGTGTTTCAGGTACAGCCTCCACCTGGCCCCACGGGCCAACACCTCTCAGTGTCACAGATGAAAGTGCCTGCTCCACATCCAAGGGGCTTCCCTGAACTCCTCCTTCTCTACCTGGCCTTTTCACACCACTTTGAAACACAGATTTTATGGTTATCATTATTCAATTATGGTGAGGCCAACAGATCAGGAGATGAATGTCATTGGAAAGATAGTTTGTGGCTGGGCACGGTGGCTCACACCCATAATCCCAGCACTTTGGCCAGGTACGGTGGCTCACACCTGTAATCCCAACGCTTTGGGAAGCCCAGGTGGGCGGATCACTTGAGATCAGGAATTCGAGACCAGCCTGGCCAACATGGTGAAACCCCATCTCTACTAAAAATACAAAAATTAGCCGGGCGTGGTAGCACATGCCTGTAATCCCAGCTACTCGGGAGATGAGGCACAAGAATTGCTTGAACCTGGGAGGCAGAGGTTGCAGTGAGCCAAGATCGCGCCACTGCACTCCAGCCTGGGCAACAGAGTGAGACTCCATCTCAAAAAAGAAAAAGAAAAAAAAAACCACTTTGGGAGGTCAAGATGGGAGGACTACTTGAGGCCAGGAGTTTGAGACAAGTCTGGGCAACATAGTGAGACTCCGTCTCTGCAAAAAAATAATAATAATAATTAGCTGGGCATGGTGATACATACCTCCTAGCTACTAGGGCAGCTGAAGTGGAAGGATTGCTTGAGCCCAGGAGGTTGAGGCTGCAGTAAGCTACAATCACACCACTATACTCCAGCCTGGGCGAGAGAGCAAAGCCCTGTCTCAAAAACGAAAAGAAAGTTTGTTATACTCACAGATCCTCAGAGAAGGAGCACACCATGCAGGACCAAGCAGAGAAGCAACAGGGTCAAGCAGGAAGAGAAGGAAAATGTGGGCAAGAGGCTTGATTGTGGTTTCCATGGGACGGAATGGGTGAGGCAGAGTAAACAGCTCGAGACTGGCTAGTTTGGATCATTTCAGTGGGCTCTGGGGCAGAGGAGCTGTTCCTACTTGTCTAGGACCTGGCCTTGGGGTGATTAGGGCAGGTGGATAGTGCTGGGAAGATAAAGGAGGTGGTTGGGATATGGGCTGGTTGGGATATTGTTTGGTTTGCTTTTAAAAAGCCTGCTCAGGGCTAAATTGTTTACTACCTCTAGGGACTGGCTAGTGCTGGACCGGGCAGTCCCTCCAGAGTCAGCAAGACCCCAGATGCATCAGAATAAAGAAAATAAAATGCGTGGCCAGGCCAATGAGGTGGTTCATGCCTGTAATCTCAGCACTTTGGGAGACCAAGGCGGGAGGATTGCTTGAGCCCAGGAGTTCAAGGCTGCCGTGAGCTCCAGCCTGCACCACAGAGCAAGGCCCTGTCTCTTAAAAAAAAGGCAGAGAAAAAAAATGGCTAATACACCCATCAAATCTGAAGATACCTTGGTCTCATATTCCAGGGTGATCAACCCAAAGCAACTTCTGCACCCATGTGGGCGCATTCCCTGAGGCTTGGGACTGGCCCAGCCGGGACCTTCAGAGCATCTTTGGTGGATTCTTTCTCTTTGAGGGACTGAGAGTGTATAGAAAATGTGACTTCACTCTCTCCTTCTCCTGGGGAGGTAGTTTCTAAATGAGACCCCAAGACAGGGAGTTGAAGAGGAAACCTTCCATGAAGGGAAGTTCTGAGCCCCCACATAAGCGATTTTTTTTTTTTTTTTGAGATGGAGTCTCGCTCTGTTGCCCAGGCTGGAGTGCGACGGCACGTTCTTGGCTCACTACAACCTCTGCCTCCTGGGTTCAAGCGATTCTCCTGCCTCAGCCTCCCGAGTAGCTGAGACTACAGGTGCATACTACCATGCCTGGCTAATTTTTGTATTTTTAGTAGAGACAGGGTTTCACTATGTTGGCCAGGCTGGTCTCGAACTCCTGGCCTCGTGATCTGCCTGCCTCGGCCTCCCAAAGTGCTGGGATTACAGGCATGAGCCACCACACCTGGCCCATAAGCGATTATTAATAGCACTGATCGCTAGTCATGTATCTTTAGCTCAGAGGTTCTCACCCAAGGACAAGTCTGTCCTCCAAGGACATGTAGCAATGTCTGCAAGCATTGTTGGTTGTCACAGCTAGGGAGAGGGTGCTACTGGCATCTGGTGGGTGGAGACTAGGAATGCTGCTCAATATCCTACAATGCACAGGACAGCCCCAAATAGAATAATCTGGCCCCAAATATCAGCAGTGCTGAGGCTTAGAAACCCTGTTTTAGCAGATTCATGTTTTTGGAGTTCTTTAACATTTACTTTATCCTCATGGGGATATGGATAGAAGGAAGGAAGTTGGATCTTTTTTAAAGGAGCATGTAGGTGCTGTTTGAATATCCCCTTGGTTCTTTCAGTATGCATCAGCACAACTTGCGTCTGTCAACACCTAATCCTTTGCCTTGGTCTTTCTCTGGTCCCCTGCTCTGCCCCCAAGGAACTGCAGTCCAGCAGTACTGTGAATTTTTTGTGCCACACCTTAAAAGGAGCAGCCGTTGGTGGATAAATACCCCAGCTCCCTCACCCTCAGGTGGGATGACCCCTAGAGCTCCCCAGCAAGACCAAGCCCCGGTTACCTACAGTGGAAACTCGCTTGATCACATACTGTTTACGTTCCACCCTCTTTTCCCTTTTCTCACTTCTCCTCTCCCCTACTGGTGCTTCCTGAGATCACCTCCCAGACAAACCACTTGCACCCGAACCCTTGTTCCAGGGTCTGCCTCAGGCAGGGGGACCCCAAACGTGTCCTTGTGCTACATTTGTGCTATCCACGTAGTAGCTTGTTTAATCATCACCATGACCACATGAGGAACACAGGTAAATATTAAAATCCTGTCTTAGTCTGCTCAGGCAGCCATAACAAAATACCACACACTGGGTGGCTTATACAGGAAACATTTATTCTCTCATAGTTCTGGAGGCCGGGAAGTCCAAGATCAAAGTGTTAGCAGGGTTAGTTAGTTCCTGGTGAGGGCCCTCTTCCTAGCTTGCAGATAGCCACCTTCTTGCTGTGTCCTCATATGTCAAAGAGAGAGAGAGAGAGTTGTGATGTTTCTTCCTGTTCTTTTTTTTTTTTTTTTTTTGAGACAAAAATCTCAAAAAAAAATCTATTTTTTTTTTAGGCAAATCACATTTTTTTGTCACCCAGCCTGGAGTGCAGTGGCACAATCATAGCTCACTGCAGCCTCAAACTCCTAGGTTCAAACGATCCTCCCACCTCAGCCCCTTGAGTAGCTGGGACTACAGATGGGCACCAGCTAATTTTTTTAAATTTTTTGTAAAGATGGGGTCTTGCTATATTGCCCAGGCTAATCTTGAACTCCTGGGCTCAAGTGATCCTCCCACCTTGGCCTCCCAAAGTGCTGGGATTACAGGCATGAGCCATGGCATGCGGTCTCTTCCTGTTCTTATAAGGGCACTAATACCATCATGAAGTCCCCCATGACCTCATCTAACCCTAGTTACCTCTTAAAGGCCCCATCTCCAAATACCATCCCATCATAGGTTAGGGCTTCAACTCATGAATTTGGAGGCGGGCACAATTTAGTCCATAACAAATCCCCTTAATCACATCAAGTAAGACAGAGTTACAGGAGGGTCTGTGACTCCTCCAGGGTCCCATTTTCCTAGAAGCCAGGCTAAGAGCCCCACGACGCAGGAACGGCCCTTTCTACTCGCAAACAAAGAGAAAAGCCAAGGAGAAGCCAACACGGAGTCTGGCTCTGCAAACCGGGCAGGATTGTTAAAGACCTCCTGGGCTCGGGGATGGGGTGGGCGGATTCCGGCTCCACAGCTGCATCTCCAAGGGGCCCGTGGCTGAGAGGGGGGTTGGCTGTGTGTTTCTTCCTCCCCTTTCAGATCCTGACGGGCGAAGACTGGAACGAGGTCATGTACGACGGGATCAAGTCTCAGGGGGGCGTGCAGGGCGGCATGGTGTTCTCCATCTATTTCATTGTACTGACGCTCTTTGGGAACTGTATCCTTCATGGAGAGAGAGAAGGGGACAGGCCTGGACCTCTGGCAGAGGAGAGGTTGCAGGGGCTCAAGGGAGGGTACTGAGAGACCCAGATACCCAGGGCCCAAGTGGTGTCCCACCAGTGGTTGCTTTTCCTGACTCAGACATTTGCAGACACCCTCCTGAATGTGTTCTTGGCCATCGCTGTGGACAATCTGGCCAACGCCCAGGAGCTCACCAAGGTGGAGGCGGTGGGAGAATGTTTCTCTGGCAAAGTTACCACCTGCCCATGGCAGATCAGGACGGGGGTGGGGGTGGGGGTGGGGGTGGGGGTGGGGGCATGGGAACAGGGTTAGAACTTTTGCCGGGGATGCACCATGCAAAGAGAAGGCGCCTCTCCCCCCACTCCCAGAAACAGACTGTCCCTCATCAAGCAAATTCTACAGCCAAGAGGGTGGGAAGGGGGAAGGCAGTGAGGTCGCTGCAGGAAACGGATGGCAAACTCAACCAAAAGGCCGTTTACAGGGAGTAAGCAGGGTTTCCAAGGAATGGTGTAGCCCCCAGGCTAGTGGATGGGAGAGGGAGTGCTGTTATGGGGACCCAGTCAGAGCTGGGGCCAAGGAAAAAGGGCTGCCACCAGCCCTGGGACCTTAGAGAACCCAGAACCATGGCAAGGCACAGATGGAGTGGCCAATAAATGTCCCCACCTTCTCTCTTCCTCTGGCTTCCCGCTGGAGCCTCCCCTTAGCCAAACGCAGCATGTTAAGAGCTAGCCTCCGTCCAGCCTAAGCCTCTCCCCAAGGACCCTATTAAGTTAAGATTACATGTAACAGGTACAGGGTCTTCCTCTCAGCCCTGGGGTCTCCCTCAGCATTGCAGCCCCACCTCCAGTGCCTCGAGGTATTCAGGACATGTTTGTGAAATTGAACCAAACCAAGCAGACGTTGCCAACGCTCCATCTGCCGGCCCTGGCAGGAGGGAGAGAGAGTTTCCCGGCCCCAGCTCCCAGTGGAGGGAAGCGGAAGTCTCTGCCATCCCAAGCACACGGCCACAAGCCTGGCCACTGTGGAGCTGGCTGGCATGGCTGAGCCGAGGGCTGATCCAGCCATGAGCTCATCCAAGTTCCAAGAGTCCATCCTTAGGGGCTGGTGCAGGAGGGTAGCAGAAGGGGAGGGAGAAAGGCCAGTTCGTTTATCTCCTGGGAGGTGTGGACATTCCTCTCCAGATCCACATTCTTTCTTTCATTGATCCTACAAGCATTTCTTGGTCATTTAATACGTGTTTTTAATCCTATTCAGTCCTCATGGAAACCTTAGGAGCCAAGTTCTCTGAGCCCCATTTTACAGATTTCATCATTCAGTAAGCACTTAATGAGCACCTACTGTGTGACCAAGGCCCTGGTCTAGGACTTAGGGATTAAGCAGTGAACAAAAAAAGGCAAAAATCCCTGCCTCCGTGGAGCAGGGATTCAAGAGGGGAGACAGACAAGAAACAAGATAAATTTGTAAACATACGTAGCTTGTCAGTTGGTGATAAACACAACAGAGAAAAATTCAGTAGGGAAAGTCAGGGAGAGTTGGAATTTTAGATGAGATGTGTGTCGCACAGAGAGGTTGAGAGACTTGCCCAAGGCCACACAGCAGTAAGTTGTGGAGCTGGGATTTGAACCCAGGCCGTCTGGGTCTGCAGCTTGTGCTCTTAACTGCTGTGTACCAGTTGCTTGAATTTGGGCATGTTTTATGCTCACTTGGGAACCTGTGGGAAATGCAGATTCCAGGGCCCAGCACTGGTTCTATAGATTATTTGGGGAGCCTGAGGATCTGCATTTTAGGTGTTTCTGAGGCAGATGGTCCAGAGACCTAGCTCTGAAAAATGCTGGGAATGGTGCCAGGAGGGGTGGGGGTGGCCCTATGAGAGCAGGGTGGCCAGCCAGATCCCATCTCCATGTTGTCTCTGACAGTGTCCTGATCTGACCATTTCCAAGGTGGTAAGGTTGCTCCCCGTTCCAGTGATTCGGAGCACAGCGGGAGAGCTGCCTGCAATGGCATGACTTTTCTTATGGGCGGGTTCATTTCTGGCCATTTCTTTCTCGTTGCCTTTTCTTTGCTTTTTCTTTGTTGGCTTTTCTGTTTTACGAATGAGGCCCTGCATGAAGGCTGAAGAAGGATTTAAAGTCCAAAAACGTCTTTTTCTGTATGTATTTTTAAAACCTCTTCCCCCATTCTCCTCCTCTCTGAACCTAACCACCAGTGAGCAGCAGCACCCTGGGCAGTTGGCTGTAGCCCAAGTGCCCTGCTCTCCTCTCCCCACCGCCTTCCTGTCATGGGGGCTGGGAATATAAATTCCTCTCCTCATTCTCCTTCTGGGGGCTGTTGACAGTGCATGGCAGGGGCCATCGGATGCCAGGCTCTTCTGTGTGTGAGGGTAGTTGGTGTTTTTTGAAAGTTGGTTCAGAGAGTTCACATGGCTCAGAAAGCCTAGTGAGAGGAAAATCTTTGCACTGCTTTCCAGCTCATTAAGACAGGATGCAGGGGCCAGGCATGGTGGCACATGCCTGGAATCCCAGCACTTTGGGAGGCCGAAATGGGAGGATCATTTGAGGCCAGAAGTTCAAGACCAGCCTGGGCAACATAGTGAGACCCTGTCTCTACAAAAAAAAAAAAAAAATTAAATGTATACAGGCATAGTGGCATGCACCTGTAGTCCCAGTTGCTTGGGAGGCTGAGGTGGGAGGATTGCTTGAGCCCAGGAGTTCAAGGTTACAGTGAGCTATGATTGTGCCACTGCACTCCAGGCTGGGCAACCAAGGGAGACTCTGTCTCTGAAAACAAACAAAAGAAAAAAAAATAGGCTGCAGGAAAGTCTTCATTGTAGGAAGAGAAGGGACATTTTTATTTTTTGTTATCTGGCTGTGTGTTAAAATAGGCTTCATAATGAGTTAGATGTCAAACTTATACACAGAGGGGATAGCAATACACTTAACCAATAGCAGGTACCCATTCCAATTGGGGAGCCTTGGTTCTGATTGGTCGAAATATTTCAAATGTTGCCCCTGGTCAGCAACAGGGTCAGAAGTGAGTCCCCAAGGCCTAGTTCATGTTTTGTGAACAAAGATTCCACGTGCCTTTTAGGACGAGCAAGAGGAAGAAGAAGCAGCGAACCAGAAACTTGCCCTACAGAAAGCCAAGGAGGTGGCAGAAGTGAGTCCTCTGTCCGCGGCCAACATGTCTATAGCTGTGTAAGTGCCCCTAATCCCTGGGATGCTACCCTGGCTCCTGAACGTCCACACTATCCCAGGCACAGATTTGGGAAGCAGTGGGGGTGGTCCTTGACAGAACTGAGCTTTAGGAAGAGACACTTCTTGTCCTTCCACCCACTTTCACTCAATAAATATTTGGTTAGCAGCTGTTATGTACCCAGCACTGTTCTAACTTCTGGGGATACAGCATTAACAAGGAGGAAAAAAAAAATCCCACCTGTGTGTAGCCATTCTAGCAAGGGAAGGAGTCAATAAATTAGATAAATAAGTAAATTATATATTGTGTTAGAAGGCGATGGAACTACAGAGAAAGTAGGGGAGGGAAATAGCAAATGCTGGGAGTGAAGAGAGTTGTGATTTTAAACGAAGTTGTCAGGGAAGGCATCACCTAGAATAGGGGTCCCCAGTCCCGGGGCTGTGGACTGGTACCAGGCCGAGGCCTATTAGGAACGGGGCTGCACAGCAGGAGGTGAACAGTGAGCAAGCAAGCATTACCGCCTGAGCTCCACCTGCCGTCAGATCAGCAGGCAGCATTAGATTCTCATAGGAACACAAACACTATTGTGAACGGTGCATCTGAGGGATCTAGGTTGCGTGCTCCTTTTAAGAATCGAATGCCTGATGATCTCAGGTGAAACAGTTTCATCCCAAAACCACCCCCCACACCTAGGTCTGTGGAAAAACTGTCTTCCACAAAACTGGCCCCTGGTGCCAAAAAGGTTGGGGACTGCTCACCTAGAAGGTTACATGGCCTGAAGGAGGTGAGGGAGGAGCCACTGGGGGGCCTGGGGAAGGGCATCCCAGGCAGAGGGAACAGCATAGGCAATGGCCCTGAGGCAGGAACATGCCTGATGTGAAGGAGGCCTGTGTGACTAGAATCGAATAGTAAGTGTGAGGAGGTGAAGGCAAGGAGGTGACAAGCAGATTACACAGGGCCTTCTGGGTCAGGGGGGAGGACTTGGGCTTTTGCCCCTAGCCAGGTGGGAGCCATGGAGGGTTCTTGAGCAGAGGAGGCTGGGACCTGACTCAGATGCTCACAGACTCCTAGCATTCAGTGGGGAGTAGAGGGTGGAGAGCAGGAGTGGGAGGCTGAGATGTGGGTTGGTTCGCCTGGGTCATCCATCCAAGCTACAGTGCCTAGCAATGCTCTAAGTCCTGTGACCATGCCACTGCAGGAAAGAGCAACAGAAGAATCAAAAGCCAGCCAAGTCCGTGTGGGAGCAGCGGACCAGTGAGATGCGAAAGCAGAACTTGCTGGCCAGCCGGGAGGCCCTGTATAACGAAATGGACCCGGACGAGCGCTGGAAGGCTGCCTACACGCGGCACCTGCGGCCAGACATGAAGACGCACTTGGACCGGCCGCTGGTGGTGGACCCGCAGGAGAACCGCAACAACAACACCAACAAGAGCCGGGCGGCCGAGCCCACCGTGGACCAGCGCCTCGGCCAGCAGCGCGCCGAGGACTTCCTCAGGAAACAGGCCCGCTACCACGATCGGGCCCGGGACCCCAGCGGCTCGGCGGGCCTGGACGCACGGAGGCCCTGGGCGGGAAGCCAGGAGGCCGAGCTGAGCCGGGAGGGACCCTACGGCCGCGAGTCGGACCACCACGCCCGGGAGGGCAGCCTGGAGCAACCCGGGTTCTGGGAGGGCGAGGCCGAGCGAGGCAAGGCCGGGGACCCCCACCGGAGGCACGTGCACCGGCAGGGGGGCAGCAGGGAGAGCCGCAGCGGGTCCCCGCGCACGGGCGCGGACGGGGAGCATCGACGTCATCGCGCGCACCGCAGGCCCGGGGAGGAGGGTCCGGAGGACAAGGCGGAGCGGAGGGCGCGGCACCGCGAGGGCAGCCGGCCGGCCCGGGGCGGCGAGGGCGAGGGCGAGGGCCCCGACGGGGGCGAGCGCAGGAGAAGGCACCGGCATGGCGCTCCAGCCACGTACGAGGGGGACGCGCGGAGGGAGGACAAGGAGCGGAGGCATCGGAGGAGGAAGTAAGTGGAGGTGACCTCGAATCCGCAGAATGACGGTAACATTAATAATGACAACAGCCAAAGTAGCACGTGCTGTGTATTTGTTTATAAAAATATATTATAAAATGCTGTATTTGGCCAGGCGCAGTGGCTCACGCCTGTAATCCCAGCACTTTGGGAGGCCGAGGCGGATGGATCACGAGGTCAGGAGTTCAAGACCAGCCTGGCCAAGATGGTGAAACCCCACCTCTAATAAAAATACAAAAATTAGCCGGGCACGGTGGCAGGCGCCTGTAGCCCCAGCTACTCAGGAGGCTGAGGCAGGAGAATCGCCTGAAAACAGGGGGCGGAGGTTGCAATGAGCCGAGATCACACCACCGCACTCCAGCCTGGGCGACAGAGTGAGACTCTGTCTCAAAAAAAAAAAAAAAGTGCTGTATTTGGCCAGGAGCAGTGGCTCATGCCTGTAATCCCAGCACTTTGAGAGGCCGAGGCGGGCGGATCACTTGAGGTCAGGAGTTGGAGAACAGGCTGGCCAACATAGTGAAACCCCGTCTCTACTAAAAATACAAAAATTAGTGGTGGTGCCCACCTGTATTCCCACTACTCAGGAGGCTGAGGCGGGAGAATCAGTTGAACCTGGGAGGTGGAGGTAGGTTGCAGTGAGCTGAGATCGTGCCATCACACTCCAGCCTGGGCAACAGAGCAAGACTCTGTCTCAAAAAAAAAAAAATGCTGTATGTTTTTGTTTTTTTGACACAGGGTCTCGCCTGTTGCCCAGGCTGGAGTGCAGTGGCAGTCATAGCTCAGTGCAGCCTCTACCTCCCGGGCTCAAGCCATCCGCCTCAGCCTCACAAGTAGCTGGGACCACAGACATGTGCCACATGCCTGGCTAATTTTTGTAGAGACAGTGTTTTGTAGAGACAGGGTTTCACTGTGTTTCCCAGGCTGGTCTCAAACTCCTGAACTCAAGCATTCCGCCTGCCTTAGCCTCCCTAAAGTGCTGGGACTACAGGGTTGAGCCACCACACTCAGCCTAATTTTTTTACCTTTAGTAGAAATGAGGCCTGGCTCTGTTGCCCAGGCTGGTCCCCAACTCCTGGCCTCAAGCAATCATCCCACCTCAGTCTCCCAAAGTGTTCGGATTAGAGGCTTCACAGATGGGGAAACTGAGAGATTGAGTGAGCTCCTCAAGGTCATTCCTCTAACCAGTGTCCTTGAACCCAGGCTCTCTGGCACCAGAGGCCTTGAGCATTTCAGGGAAACTATTAAGAGAAGCCCCACTGTCGTCCAGAATTATATAGTCTTCTGTGTTCTTGCTGTGTGACTTTTGCAAAGTGACTTCATATCTCTGGGCCTCACACAATGGAAATAGTGGGATCTAATTGGGTCATTGCCAGGATTGAATGAGGTAATGTATGCAAAGGGCCTGGAAGAGCAGCTGACACATAATAAGTGCTCGGTAAATTTAGAGCATTTTTGGCCATTTTCAGCCAACTCTATTTACCTAATGCTATTCTTTGGAAGTTTGAAAAGCCACTCTGTTGGGAGGCCAAGGTGGGAGGATCACTTGATACCAGGAGTTGGAGACCAGTCTGGGCAATAGAGGCAGACCCCATCTCTATAAAATATAAAAAATTAAACAGATGTGGTGGCATGCACCTGCAGTCCCAACTACTTGGGAGGCTGAGGCAGGAGGGTCACTGGAGCCCAGGATGTCTAGGCTATGATGAGCTATGATTGCACCACTGCACTTCAGCCTGGGCGACAGAGCAAGGCTTTGTCTCAAAAAATAAAATAAAAAATAAAGAAAAAGAAAAGGCACTTTGGGCCGTTAGAATTGAAGGGAGAGCAGAGTTTCAAAGCTTTGGATGCAGCGGGATGTGGTGGCTCATGCCTGTAGTCCCAGCACTTTGGGAGGCCAAGGTGGGAGGATCCACTTGAGCCCCGGAGTTCAAGACCAGCCTGCGCAACATAGTGAGACCTCACCTTTTAAAAATAAATAAAAATGTTAGAAAGCTTTTGAGGCATCTTCCAGGCCAGCAACTTATCCATTCAGAACCAGCATCCTCTTTTTCATAACGACATTTTGTAATACTTTCTAGCAGATGCTATAGTGATTCTGCATATAGGGACTCAACAACTTACCCATTAAAATAGACATCGTAGACATTGTCCTATTACAAATTAACCTGCTCTTAGTCCTCTTTTATATTACCATCAGGGCATAATATTGATTTTTTTAATGATGGGTTTAAGTGATCCTGTTGTATGACATATGAGGTAGGCCAGCACTTCTCAAAATCTAATGTGTATGTGAATCCCCAGGGATCTTGTTAAAACACAAATTGTAATTCCGTAGGGCTAAGGACTCAGTGGAGCCTGAGATTCTGCATTTGCAACGAGCTCCCAGATGAGGCTGATACTACTGGTCCAGGGACCACATTTTGAGTAATGAGACTCTGGAGGACATAGTGAAGTAATTCTGATATGTACACCATACACAAAATCACCATGAAGTGACAGGCACAAATGATGGCTAACTCTGGGTTGTGTGGACAATTCAAACCACATGAGGGGAGTTGCCAGCAGTGTCAAGATGTTCCACAATGTTGAACACCTCTTGGCAAAGTTCCATATACAAAAGAGTCTAGTCTTTCTTCCATTTATTTAATAGTTGCATTGCAGGAAAATGCAATGTATATTAAAAACATACAAAAAATATGTTGTGTTCTTATGTAAAAGAGTTAGGTTTAAACTAAAAGCACAGGATCAGGTGCAGTGGCTCCCACCTGTAATCCCAGTGCATTGGGAGGCTGAGGAAGGAGAATCGCTTGAGGCCAGGAGTTCGAGACCAACCTGGGCGACATAAGGAGACCTCGATCTCTACAAAAGAAGTTTTTTAATTAGCCAGGTGTGGCGGCAGGTGCCTGTAGTTCTAGCTACTTGGAAGGCTGAAGCAGGAGGATTGCTTGAGCCCAGGAGTTCAAGATTACAGTGAGCTATGATTATGCCATTGCATTCCAACCTGGGCAACAGAACAAGTCCTTGTCTCAAAAAAAAAAAAAAGAAAGAAAGAAAGAAAAAACCCAAACAAACAAGCAAACTAAAAGCACAGGTAATTACAAGCAAGATTTTTCACCTCTTTGAGGGACATTAGAAAGTCATGAAGAGGAAAAGATAAGTCTTTCCCATATGGGACTGTCATGTACATGGTAGGGTATTTAGTATAACTGCCTACCATTCTCTAAGTGCCTGCAGTGCCCCTCAATCATTATGTTATTAGGTTTCCACGTAGTTCTACAACAGTTTTCTGAAAACCATTGTTCTAGGTCATTCTTTCGCTTCAATCTTCTCCTATGGGTTTATGCATTCATTCAGTTAGTATTTACTAAGTGCCTACTATATTCTAAGCTCATGCTGTGAGTTCAGTCACACAACTGCAAGTGAAGTGGTCTGAGACATTCTGAGAAATACGACCAAGAAACTGCTCCCAGGGTCTCAGGGCAGGTTTCCAGAGGAGCAATCTGAGAAGGGAGTAGAGTGTTTCAGTCTAACAACAGCATGTGCAAAGGCCCTGGGGTGGACCAGAAGGAGGCCAGTTTGCAGGACATGACTAGTGACGAGAAAGTGACAAAGAAATTGAAGGTGCATTGATGAGACTCTGGGGCTGTCAGTCACTCAGGGGAATGAGAGATCAAAACGGGAGTTTAGGTGGAATAAAGTGTTTACCACAGCACTCTCTGTATAGTAAAGACCAATGAAGAGCCAGGTACAGGCCAGTGTGATGGTTCACGCCTGTAATCCCAGCACTTTGGGAGGCAGAGACAGGTGGATCACCTGAGGTCAGGGGTTCAGAACCAGCTTGGCCAACATGGCAAAACCCTGTCTCTACTAAAAATACAAAAAATTAGCCAGGCGTGGTGGTGGACGCCTATAATCCCAGCTACTCAGGAGGCTGAGGCACAAGAATTGTCCTGCGAGGCAGAGGTTACAGTGAGCTGAGATCACACCACTGCACTCCAGCCTGGGCAACAGAACAAGACTCTGTCTCAAAAAAAAAAAAAAAAAAAAAAAGCCAGGTACAGTGGTATGCACCTGTAATCCCAGCTACTCAGGAGGCTGAGGCAAAGGATTGCTTGAGCCCAGGAGTTCGAGACCAGCCTGAGCATTTAGAGAATGGGAGGCCAGTATACTAAATACCCTACCATGTACAAGACAGTCTCATATGGAAAAGAATTATCCTTTCCTCTTCATGACTTTCTAGTGCTCCTCACACAGGTGAAAAATCTTGCTTATAATTATCTGTGCCTTTAGTTTGTTGGTTTATTTAGGGTTTTGTTTGTTTTTTTTTTTTTTTTGAGGCAGGGTCTTGCTCTGTTGCCCAGGTTGGATTGCAGTAGCATTGCTCATTTTAGAGATGAGCAAGACCTCATGTCTAAAAAAAAAAGAAAGACCAATGATTATTAATTACTCTTGCTATTATTACTAATATTACTGTTATTATCAGCCTTATTAACAGATCTACTGTTATTGAAGGAGGCAGAGTGACAGGGACAAAATGTCTCTCCCTAACAATATGCCAGGAAGAGTTTTTGAAAGACAACAGTAAACATTGGAAACTACAAGAGCAGCAAAGCCTGGTTGTGAAAGGCAAGGACTTTGGGGCAGGCAGTCACATTCCTGCCCTATCACTTCCAGGCTGTGTGACTTTCAGAATTTCACTCCTCTCTGGGCCTCCATTTCCTCATCTATAAAATGAAGATAAGAATAGTAGCTACCTCCTTCTCTGGGTATAAGATTTAACTGAGCCGGGCGCGGTGGCTCATGCCTGTAATCCCAGCACTTTGGGAGGCCGAGGTGAGCGGATCACAAGGTCATGAGTTCAAGACCATCCTGGCTAATATGGTGAAACCCCATCTCTACTAAAAATACCAAAAAAAAAAAAAATTAGCCGGGCGTAGGTGGTGCACGCCTGTAGTCCCAGCTACTCGGGAGGCTGAGGTAGGAGAATGGTGTAAAACCCGGGAGGCGGAGCTTGCAGTGAGCCGAGATCGCACCACTGCACTCCAGCCGGGGAGACAGAGCGAGACTCCATCTCAAAAAAAAAAAAAAAAAAAAAAAAGATTTAACTGAGTTAGTACGTGTAAAATGCTTTGAGTGGTTCCTGGCTTATACCAAGAGCTCAATAAATGTTAGCAATTTTTTGTAGCATTTTGGGGTCTCACTATGTTGCCCAGGCTGGTGTCAAACTCCTGGCCTCAAGAAATTCTCCCACTTTGGCCTCCCAAAGTGCTGGATTTACAGACATGAGACACCATGCCTGGCCATGTTAGCTATTATTAATATGAATATTATTAAGTACTCAATGAATGCTATTTTTAGCAGTAATAGTAAGCACTCAGGAAGTGTCAGCTAATACTGTTAGTAATACTCTCATCAATAAACATAAAAAGCAATAAGGACCCAGCTTGCCCAAATCCCACAGATGGTTCCTGCTCCCTCTCTTCTTCAGAGGAAGAAACTATCTCCCCACTTTCACCCCCATAGCCTCAGCTGGCCAGACCCCCATTCTGAACCAGGGGAGTACTGCTAATTCCATTATTAATAGACACATCAAACAATCTGGCCGGGAGAGACATTATTCATTTGGCTGATAAAGAGGTTCTAAGGCTCTTTGGAAATAAAAGTTCATGAAGATTCATGCACTTTAAGAGAAAAAAATTCAAGATCAGTCATTCATCTGCTTTAAAAAAAGTGGCAAAGATAAAACTTTATTTGAGAATATAAAATAATAAAAAGACATTTTCGTTCTCTGTTGTGACAAAGCCAGTGGCCTTCGGAGGTCTGCCTTGTACATTTTTCCTCTTCTTCAGTCATTCCTTGAGGCTTTTTGCAAACGTACCCTGTGTTTTTCATTCTCCAGCATATTGATAATTTTTTTTTTTTGAGACATGGTCTCGCTTTGTCATCCAGGCCCCGGAGTACAGTGGTACAATCATGGCTCACTGCAGCCTTGACTTCCTGAGCTCAGGTGATTCTCCCACCTCAGCCTCCCGAGCAGCTGGGACTACAGGTGTGCATGACCATGCCTAGCTAATCTTTTGTATTTTTTGTAGACACAGGGTTTTGCCACATTGCCAAGGCTGGTCTCCAACTCCTGGGTTCAAGCGATCCTCCCACCTCAGCCTCCCAAAGTGCTGGGATTACAGGAGCGAGCTACCTTGCCAGGCCGATCATATTTTTTTCCTTTTTATTCACTTTGTCTTCTCCTCATTCCTACCTTCATCTGTCTTTCAGTGGCTCACTCCAGTGAAAAGTGGACTGACGCACATTCTATTTCATATAATTCAATGGCTGCTGGCCCCAGATCCCCCATACCAGGTGGCCGAGCCCAGTGGCCCTGCAGGGTGGACAAAATGAGGGTGGAACTTTCCCAGACTGTCAGTAAAAATCTATGGAGGACAGAGCTTCTGCCTCTCCCTTGCAACCAGGCAGTGCCTTCTCCCAGGCCTATCTGCTTGCAAAGGGAACTTTTGCCAAGACCTGCTCCACTCTAGAATTCTTATCTCTGCTGTTCGCATCCTAATTCCACCTGCATCTGTCACCATGACAACCTGCTCCCCAAAAGGAACAGGAAGAGAGATGCTGGACTTTTGAGCTCCACAGTTTATCCTGCATGGGGGTAGGGAGTGGTTAATTACTTAGCACTCTAATTCTTACGGTACCCCCAATGGGCCCAAGTTGGTTTTTTTAAAAAAAAACAGTCTTGCTCTGTTACCCAGGCTGGAGTGCAGTGGCACAATCATAGCTCACTGTAGCCTCAAACTCCTGGACTCAAATGATCTTCCCACCTCAGCCTCCCAAGTAACTGGAACAACAGTCTCGTGCAACTACGCCCAGCTAATTTTTTTTTTTTTTTTTTTTTTTTAGAGATGGGGTCTCACTATGTTCCCCAGACTGATCTCAAACTCCTGGGCTCAAGCGATCTTCCTTCCTCAGCCTCCCAAAGTGCTAGGATTACAGGCGTAAGCCACTGTACCAAGCTGCCCCATTAAAGCTTTGAACACCAGAGAGCCCAGCTCAGCTGTTTTCCAGCTGGGTAACTCTGGGTAACTTTGCCTCTCTGAACCTCAGTCTCCTCCTGTGTGAAATGGGGCTGATCACTATACCCATCTCGGATGGTGGTAGTTGCAGGGATTAAATGAGTTAATACGTGAGGTCCTTAGGACAGGGGGTGGGGACACGAGATAAGCAATAAACAGGAACTGCTGTTATTATCACCCCCACATAATCCGATCTCAGGGTCTGAGTGTGCCCCAGGCAAGGTGTCCACAGCCCTCTGCAGAAGGATGCCCAAGTGATCAGCTGGCACAAGAACGCCACGCACAGCAGGTGTTATGCAACTGGCCACCTATTCCAGGCAGAGGATGCCAGATCCCCAGGGAGAAGGGGGTAGGGGTGCAGCTTCAAAGTTTTCTGCCCCTTTTGAGTTCTCCTTGGAGACACTTTGGAAATGAAACCTCCCGGAAATTGATATTAGGCCTCTGCAGGCTGAGCTTGTTAAAATTTCCCAACAAACAGAGCCAACAGACGCTCTACAAGGAAGCAAAAACAAGACAAAACACATTGGCAGACCCTTTTCCATCTGCTCTTGGTAGATGGTATTCCTCTAAGAAAATGCCGCCACGAGTTTCTCCATGGCTTCTTGAGCTGGTGGCCAAAGGATTTAGGTTCTCTTTGAAATTATAACTTAACTGGGCCTGCTTTATGGCAGGGATATCACTCTCTGAAATGTGTATATATATGTGTATGTATATATATACACATATATACACATATACATACACAGGGCCAGGCGTGGTGGCTCACACCTGTAATCCCAGCACTTTGGGCGGCCAAGGCAGGTGGATCTCTTGAGCCCCAGGAGTTCAATACCAGCCTGAACAACATAGTGAGACCCTGTCTCTACAAAAATTAATAAAAATAACCAGGCATGGCAGTGTGTGCCTGCAATCCCAGCTACCCAGGGTGGGAAGATCGCTTGAGCCCAGGAGTTAAAAGTTGCAGTGAGCTATGGTCATACCACTGCACTTCAGCCTGGGCAACAGAGCAAGACCCTGTCTCTTAAAAATATATTATTATTATTATACACACACAGACACACACAGACACACACACACATTACAGATGATGAGAAAATACTCTCAGCCAGGTTTTCATGATACACAACTTCTCAAAAAGCATCACAAGCAGGTTAGAATTAGGGATTTCTTTGTGGACTGTCCAAGATGTTGAGGAAATATTGGTTTAGAATTTACCTCATTTAGGCCAGAAATGGTGGCTCACGCCTGTAATCCTAACACTTTGGGAGGCCAAGGCCAATGGATCTCTTGAAGCCAGGAGTTTTAGCCTGGCCAACATGGCAAAATCCTGTCTCTACTAAAACTACAGAAAAAAAAAAAAAAATTAGCCGGGTGTGGTGGCACAGGCCTGTAGTCCCAGCTACTCTGGAGGCTGAGGCAGGAGAATCACTTGAACCTGGGAGGCAGAGGTTGCAGTGAGCCGAGATCGTGCATTACACTTCAGCCTGGGTGACAGAGCAAGACTCCATCTCAAAAAATAAGATAGATAAGATAAATATATATAATATATATGTTATATATATAATATAGAAACTACAGAACAAGTGATCTTTGTATGTTTCCAGAATATAACAGCGGGACAGGCATAGGATAGACGTTCCCATTGCAAAAGGGAGAAATTGGAAGGGATAAAGAGGTCACCAGTCCTAAGCAAGTGCTAAATCCAGCAAGACAAATCCCATTAGGTTTCAAGGCCTGAGAATAATCCTCGGTGACTCTCAGCTCATTAACATACTTAGTTCTCAGAGCCAGACTCAATGAGGTTACGGCCCGCATGTTATGGGTCAGGAACTGAGGCTAAGTAACTCACTGGAGATTATGTGGTAAAGAAGGTCCAGGATCATTGCTTCAGTCTCCAGGATATGGGGAAGGTTCTACTCCTGTTATCCCAAATTTTAAAATGTGGGAACTAAGGCTCAGAGAGGTTAAGCAAATCACACAGGGTTGCACAGCTAGTGATGTTGCTGAGATTTCCCTGTGTGTAGTGGCTCATGCCTATAATCCCAGCATTTTGGGAGGCTGAGGCAAGAGGGTCGCTTGATCCCAGGAGTTTGAGACCAGCCTGGGCAATATAGTGAGACCTCATCTCTACAAAAAGAAAAATTAAAAAGTTAGCCAGGCGTGGTGGCAGGCACCTGAAGTCCCAGCTACTGGGAAGGCTGAGGTGGGAGGATTGCCTGAGCCTGGGAGGTGGCGATTACAGTGAGCTGAGATCGCGCCACTGCACTACAACCTGGGCGACAGAGTGAGACCCTGTCTCAAAAAAAAAAAAAAAAAAAGACATTGCCGAGATTCAAACCCAGGTCAGCCTGTCTTCTGAAATGTCCCTCTATGACCCACTCACAAAACTGAGAAGGCAGAAAGTTGCTTGGACCTGTCTATTTCCCCTGTGCAGTCTCAGAGAAACAGTGGAACTGCCTCGGTTTCTCCTTCCGGGAAGTATTCATAGAAGCATCCCACTTACCTACTTTGGTCTGAAAATAAATTAGCTTGTCTCTCTTCCACTTACTAAAAACACCGTGGGTTTTTGCAAGTTAAAATGCAAAAATAAAATGAGGAGAATGGTGCTGGTAGTTTAGCCAGTGGGAAGCCCTCTGGGGAAAGCCAGCCTTTTATTTATTACTTATTTATTTATTTATTCTTTCTAGATAGATTTATGGGAAACCAGGGCTGTGTTGTCCAGGGGTCTGTAGTCCAGAAGGCATCAGATGGGCTACTAAGTGAGTCTTTGTCCACCTGTAGATGGCAAGAGGCAGGGCCCAGGTGTCCATGGCTTGGAGAGGCAGGGGTTGATGGGAGGTTTGAGGCTGTGGGATCTCTCCTGGGGCCTCAGTATCCTCATCTGGATAATGGGGACATTCTGGCCAGGCACGGTGGCTCTATATATCCAGCACTTAGGGAGGCCTATAATCCCAGCACTTTGGGAGGCTGAGGTGGGTGGATCACTGTAGGCCACGAGTTCAAGCAGCCTGGGCAACATGGCGAAGCCCTGTCTCTACTGAAAATAGAAAAACTAGCTGGGTATTGTGGTGCACGCTGGTAATCCCAGCTATTCGGGAGGCTGAGGCACGAGGATCACTTGAATCCACGAGGCAGAGGTTGCAGTGAGCCAAGATCCTGCCACTGCACTCCAGCCTGGGCAACAGAGTGAGGCTCTGTCTCAGTTAAAAAAAAAAAGAAAAAAGAAAAAGAAAGAAAGAAAAAGAAAATGGGGGTATTCATTTATCATTTGACAGTAAGTTTACCCAGCATTGACTGTGTGAGAGGCCCTGTACTAGGCAGTGAAAACTCAGCTAAGAATAAGAAAGTTAAAAACAAGCTGGGCATTGTGGTTTACGCCTGTAATCCCAACATTTTAGGAGGCCGAGGAGGAAGAATCACTTGAGGCCAGGAGTTTGAGACCACCCTGGGCAACATAGTGAGACGCCAGTCTCTACAAAAAATTGTAAAATTAGCCAGACATGGTGGCGTGAGCCTGTAGCCTCAGCTACCTGGAGGCTGAGATGGGAGGATCACTGGAGCCCAGAAGTTCAAGGCTGCAGTAAGCTATGATCCTGCCACTGCTCTCCAGCCTGGGCAACAGAGTAAGACCCTGTCTGAAAAAAAAAAAAAAAAAGAGGCCAGGTGCAGTGGCTCACACCTGTAATCTCAGCACTTTGGGAGGCTGAGGTGGGTGGATCACTTGAGGTCAGGAATTCGAGACCAGCCTGGCCAAAATGGTGAAACCCCATCTCTACTGAAATACAAAAAATTAGCCGGTCGTAGTGGTGGGCACCTGTAATCCCAGCTACTCAGGAGGCTGAGGCAAGAGAATCGCTTGAACCTGGGAGCCAGAGGTTGCAGTGAGCCGAGATCACGCCACTGTACGACAGAGCAAGAAAAAAGAAAGAAAGAAAGAAAAGAAATAAGATGATGGGGAGTTGTGGAAACCTGTCCATGGGCACGTGAAGGTCTTGACCTCTGACCAAGAAGTGAACAGGCTCCTCTCAATTCCAGGCACTGCAGGGATCTGGGACATGACTTCTCCATGACCAAACTGTACCCTTTCCTTTTCTTTTTTGTTTTTTTGGTGACAGGGTCTCACTCTGTCACCCAGACTGGAGTGCAGTGGGGCGATCACGGCTCACTGCAGCCTCAACCTCCCAGGCTCAAGCAATCCTCCCACTTCGGCCTCCCAAGTAGCTAGAACTACAGGCACACAGCGCCACGCCCGTCAATTTACACATTTTTTGTAGAAATAGGGTCTCACTATGTTGCCCAAGCTGGTCTTGAACTCCTGGCCTTAAGCAATCCTCCTGCCTCCGCTTCCCAAAGTGCTGGGATTACAGGCGTGAGCCACTGCGCCCAGCCCAAATTGTACTCTTGAAAGATGGAATCTTAGCTAGGATCCTGAACTGTTGCCTTTTATCCTAAATCAGTTGTTGGTTCTTTTTCATTCACTTGCCTTCCTCAGAGAGAACCAGGGCTCCGGGGTCCCTGTGTCGGGCCCCAACCTGTCAACCACCCGGCCAATCCAGCAGGACCTGGGCCGCCAAGACCCACCCCTGGCAGAGGATATTGACAACATGAAGAACAACAAGCTGGCCACCGCGGAGTCGGCCGCTCCCCACGGCAGCCTTGGCCACGCCGGCCTGCCCCAGAGCCCAGCCAAGATGGGAAACAGCACCGACCCCGGCCCCATGCTGGCCATCCCTGCCATGGCCACCAACCCCCAGAACGCCGCCAGCCGCCGGACGCCCAACAACCCGGGGAACCCATCCAATCCCGGCCCCCCCAAGACCCCCGAGAATAGCCTTATCGTCACCAACCCCAGCGGCACCCAGACCAATTCAGCTAAGACTGCCAGGAAACCCGACCACACCACAGTGGACATCCCCCCAGCCTGCCCACCCCCCCTCAACCACACCGTCGTACAAGGTGAGACCCTCTGCTCTCACATCACTGGGCAGGGGACCTGGCGTCCCTGGAGCCAGAGGCTCTGCTGAGTGACCCTGGACTGTGACCCCATCTCTCTGGCCTCAGTCTCCTCCCCTGGAAAATGGGCATAGGCGTAGTTTCCTACCCCACAGGGCTGTGGAGGGTTCAGTGAGATAATTTGTGCACAGTGCCTGGCACGGGGTTGTGTTCAGTCGGGTTAGCAATATCTTCTACGTCCTTCCTTCCCAAGGGGAGCCAGGAAGCCACCCCATTTGAGGAGCAATAGGGTCCTCTGATGGAAGCTTGAGGGGGTCAGATGATTGATTCTCTCGGCCCAGCACTGTCCAAAAGAAATGTAACACAGGCCACATGCAAATGTCAGTTTAAACTCTCTAGTCGCCACATTAAAAAAGGGGCCAGATGTACTGGCTCATGCCTGTAATCCCAGTACTTCAGGAGGCCGAGGTAGAGTGAGCCAAGATGGCACCTCTGTACTGCAGCCTGGGTGACAAAGCGAGACTGTCTCAAAAAAAAAAAAAAAAAAAAAAAATGGTGAACTGCTGGGTGGATTATGTCTTAAGTTCATCTAGTGTCAGTTCTATGTGAGAGATTTTCATGAGTTTGCTGGATAAAGGCTTTCCATGGTCCTGAGACCTAAGATCCTAAGGTCTTGTCACTGTGCCCATTTTATAGATGTAGGGACTGAGGCTCAGAGAGGCTCAGCCTGCCCGTGGGCACATAAGCAGGCTGGGCTGCAGAATGGAAGCTCCAGAGGCTGATGGCTCCTCCCCCTGAGTCAAGAGAGGGGTGCTAATGGGGGCATGCCATGCAGTTTATGGGAGGTCTCAGTATTTCTATCTGTTCAGTGGGTCTCTTGGCACTCTCCCTACCTGCCTGCAAGTGAGGGTGTGAAGGTCCAACGAGGATAGGGGCAGGTCTGTGTTAATATCCCATGAGGGCCCCACCGCACTCAAGGCTATAGAGTGGTTGAGAGCAGGCTCTCGGGGGCCAGGCCGCCTGGGTTCCAAATGCCAGCTCTGCCACTTCCTGCTGTGTGACCTTAGACAAGTCACTTTACTTCTCTGTGCCTCAATTTCCTCATCTGTAAACAGGAGATCAGAATATATCAACCTCAGGGCTATACAAGGGTTCAGTGATGTCATAAGATGCCTGGTATATACAGCAGGCACTTTAGAAATGTCAGCCGCTTCTTGCCTGCCCTGGGAGTACACAGGAGTTCCCAGAGACTTGTGGGAAATTGTGGAGGGAGCCCTGTGTTGGTTCTTGTCCCAACAGTGAACAAAAACGCCAACCCAGACCCACTGCCAAAAAAAGAGGAAGAGAAGAAGGAGGAGGAGGAAGACGACCGTGGGGAAGACGGCCCTAAGCCAATGCCTCCCTATAGCTCCATGTTCATCCTGTCCACGACCAACCCGTGAGTATGGCCCCCAGCAAGGGCAGGGGGGGCCTGGGGCTCCCACCAGGGTGGCGGAAGTCAGGCCAGATAGAGGGCAATGAGTGAGTGTTGACCACCATGAGTCCAGGGATACCTTTGAACAAGTTGAAAATGGATGCTCCTTCCGTAAGTCAGGTAAGATGATTTGTCACAATATACTTTGTTGGAAGAGACCCCTGTCCTGCCATCCACTAGAAAATCATTGTTATTTATGACAATAAATAAACAAATTTGTCATAAATAAACAAATAAATTTGTCCTAAACAACAAATAAATTTGTCATAAATAAACAAATCTTCACTGTGATGTAAGAGGCACCCCCTTAGAAATGGCTGCCTTGTGCAGTACACAGCCTGAACAACTGCACGTGGCAGCCCTAGGACCTGAACTCTGTTTCTAACCTAGACTCTGTAAGGGTTTAGATTCTGGGCGGATAGTGTCTGAGTTCCATGGCCTTCTGTCTTGGGCATCTTTGAAATGGATAGACTATTTAGGGGAGAAATTTATCCCATGAATGTCGTAGTGGCTCGGAGGTTGTTTTAGAATTGAATGTCTCCCAGGGATATTTCTTGAAAGCCTGACCGCTCAAAATGCTTCTTGACAATGAAGGATCATGTCAGATAAGATGGGGGAGAAGCTGCTTTCTATAATCTGCCTCTTGGCAACTCACCCTGGGTAGTAATAAATAAAAGTACCTTTAAAGTACTTTTTTATTTAGTTGACTTATCGATTTTACTAAGGAAACACTTATGTGGTATCTACTCAGTGCCAGGCACTGTTCTGAGTGCCTTAAAATTTTTTTTAATTTCTCTGAGGTTGTTACTATGCTTAGCTCCATTTGACAGATGAAAAAACTGAGGTCCAGAGACGTGAATTCACCTGCCCAAGGTCACACAGCAAGCCAGTGGGAGAGCTGGAGTTTGAGCCCAGACACTGGCTCTAGCCTCCTTGTTCTTAACCACTCAGCTCTGCTGCCATTCACACAACCTTATGAACTATTTATTATTGGCTCCACTTATTAAGAGGTTAACTGGCACATCCCATTGGCACATTCAAGGCTCTGATAAGGCCTGCAATTCATAATTTCAATAACTAACTTTTTGGAGCCCCTATCATGAGCCAGGCATAAATTAAGTCTTGGGTCTCATGATTTTGTGAAGTAAGCACTAGTATTACGGCTATTTTACAGATGAGGGCACCAAGGCACAGAGGGGACAAGTAACTTGCCCAAGGTCACACAGCTAATTTTTAAAAAGAAAGAAAGAAATCTACTTAACCCATAGATTCACAATATTGTTTGGCCCTGGGACATTTAATATCGAAAAGCCTTTTTATCTCCTACAGAATTAAGGACCGTATTTCTTCAACCTAGCTTGGGGATCAAGATACTTCAAGAGGGTCGTTTGGGAGTGATAGGAACTTTGCTAAACAGGGCATGTGAATGTCTTCTCTCACCGAGGTCCCCTCTGCCTTCTTGGGGTTCCAGGACCCAGAGAGGGCCCCCACCTGGAGGAGTTTAATAGTTTGTTGTGTAGGAGGCCTTGGGGGTTGGAGATCTCAGTAGTGGTAGGTAACATGAGATTATGGAAGAAAAGGGTTTGTGAGCCTGTGGTCTGAGTGGACCTCTGCACGCCCATCTGTCTCCAACAGCCTTCGCCGCCTGTGCCATTACATCCTGAACCTGCGCTACTTTGAGATGTGCATCCTCATGGTCATTGCCATGAGCAGCATCGCCCTGGCCGCCGAGGACCCTGTGCAGCCCAACGCACCTCGGAACAACGTGAGTCCCACAGAGCACACCCCTTCCTAGCCTGGCTGCTCTGCCTCAGGCCACTTTCTCCTGCATCCAAAATGCTCATAGGTAGGGTGGGATGTTGGGGTCACCCCTAGGCATAGCCCTTATGGCTGCTGGTTGAGAGGGGAAGCTCTGATTCCTTGGGGATGCTCTTGGGAGCAAGACATTCCTTGAGGCAGTTTCTCTGTGAGCCTGGTGGGGTGGAGGTGGCCCAGAGTGACTGGGGCTGAAAATTGCTGGATTCTCTAATGGAGGCGTGAGACTAGCAGGATATGGATGTTGCACATTCTCTACATGGAATAGGGGGGTTACTGGGGCAGGGGCGGTGCTCAGAGGTGGTCCCCTCCGCAGTAGACATTTCCCTTTGTACACGAAGCTTTGAAAGAAACAACTATTTGGCTCAGAAACACAGCCTAAGCTTTTGGTTTTTATGAAAGCAAGCCCCTTTGCGGATGGTGGGTCTGTTGACAACCCCTGTTAATTGAGCACTTGCTGTGTCCCAGGAAGAAACTCAGCATGCAGTATCTCATTTAATCCTCACAATGCGCCCCCCCAACCCCCCGCCCAGGCATCCCCATTTGACAGATGGGAAAACTGAGGCTCAGGGGAATGAGAGAGTGGTAAGTGGCCTGTCCAGGGTCACACAGCAGAATTCCAACTCTGCATCCCCCAAAGCTCCCACTGCTTCCCCCAACTGTCTGCATTTACTAATCACCTACTGTATGCTACGGATGGGTGTGCATAGCCCCTTTGAGTCCTGACAAGCAGGAATGAGTGCATGCTTGTGGTTGAGATGGGGAAACCGAGGCACCAACAGGCAAGGGCGTGCCTCAGTCATGGGCTGCGGGCAGAGGCTTGACCCCAGGGCCTGGTAGAGGGTGGACTGGTGGCTCCTGTTTCCCTCCCCAGCTCCCTCCCCCAACCCTTCCCTCCCAACCCAGAGCCAAAAAAGTGTGTTTTCTGCTGGTCCAAGGCTCTGCTGCCCTGGCTAAGTAGGTTAGGACCCAGGCAAAGCTGGCGAGCCCCATCCCTCAAGCCCGCCCACAGCTTACCATGCACTTTCCCTTCCTTCCCAGGCCTGGCAGGCCCCCCTGGGGACCTGATGGGGGAGATGGAAGGAAATAATTAGAACGCAGCTCCTGGAGGAAGCTAGAGCCAGTGCTCAGCCTCCTCACAGTCCGCTTAGTTGCTTCCCGCAGCCTGGTTTCCCCCAGGGGCCTCCAGGAGCCAGGCGTGGGGAGGAGGTGTCCCTGGAGGGGTCCACAAACCCCCTGCTGACGCGAGGATGCTGAAGAAGGCGTTGCCTTCGGCAGGGAGGGCACAGGCATGGATGATCCAGGGGGCACGGCAGCTCCCAGGGCTGAAGGGAATCTAGGCAGTGCTCAGACCAGGCCCCAGGGACTGTTTGCAAAGAGCGTTCAGCTCCCCGGCCCCCTCCCTCGTCCATCTCGCAGTCGAAACTTCTCTACAAGAACACTGTGGCCCCATAACGTTCACACCACGTAACCACCATCCAGGGCAAGAAATAGAACAAAAACGCCCCACGCGGCATGTGCCTCCTCGATCCCCCACCCCCACCGCCTTCTTTCCCTCTAGAGCTGCTGGGGACACTGTCTGGAGACATTTTTGGTTGTCACGACAGGAGGGGGGAGGTGCTCCTGGCATCTGGTGGGTGGAGGCCAGGGATGTTGCTCAGCACCCGCCGATGCCCAGGACAGCCCCCACTCTAGAGGATGATCCAGACCCAAATGTCCACAGAGCCCAGCTTGAGAAACCCTGCCTTACCGGTAACCACGACCCCAGCTTCTGGAATGAGCGTTTTTGGCTTCTCTCTTTTTCCCACCTGCACAGGCTTTTTTTTTTTTTTTTTTTAAGAGACAATGTCTCTCTCTGTCGCCCAGGTTGGGGTGCAGTAACGTGATCATGGCTCACTGCAGCCTCAACGTCCCGGGCTCAAGTGATCCTCCCACCTCAGCCCCCCAGGTAGCTAGGACCACAGGCATGCACCACCACACCCAGCTAATTTTTAAATGCTTGTAGAAACGGGCCTCGCTATGTTGCCAGGCTGGTCTCGAACTCTTGACCTCAAGCAATCCTCCCTCCTCAGATTCCCAGAGCTCTGGAATTACAGGCATGTAATTCCAATTCTTACATGCCTGTAATTGGCCAACACTGGCCAATTCTTAAAAACTGAATTTATGTTTGCTCTTCTGTAACATTCAATAAATGAGACACTTCTATGCTTCGCATTAAATGAGTACATGTTGCTTTTGCAGGATTGATGGGCATTCTTTTTTTTTTTTTTTTTTTTGAGATGGAGTCTTGCTCTGTCACCCAGGCTGGAGTGCAGTGGTGCAATCTTGGCTCACTGCAACCTCCGCCTCCCGGGTTTAAGCGATTCTCCTGCCTCAGCCTCCAGAGTAGCTGGGACTACAGGCAGGCGCCACCACACCCGGCTAATTTTTGTATTTTTAGTAGAGACGGGGTTTCACACTATCAGCCAGACTGGTCTCAAACTCCTGACCTCAAGTGATCCGCCCGCCTTGGCCTCCCAAAGTGCTGGGATTACAGGCGTGAGCCACCACGCCCGGTCAATGAGCATTCTTTATGATGCTGTTTTGAGATTTACTGTGTGGCATGGGATGTGTTATCCATCCCCTGTTGACAGATGTTTGGGTTGTTTCTAAGTGTGAATACTGTCCCCATGCCACGCCCCTCAACATGTTTCCTGAGTCACCTGGACAGTAATTTCTCCAGGAGGCCAGATGCAGTGGCTCACGCCTATAATCCCAGCACTTCGAGAGGCCAAGGTGGGAGCAATGCTTGAGGCCAGGAGTTCAAGACCAGCTTGGGCAACATAGTGAGACCCCCACCTCTACCAAAAAAAAAAAAAATTTTTTTTTTTTTAATTAACCGAGCGTGGTGGTGCACACCTGTGGTCCCAGCCACTTGGGAGGCTGAGGTGGGAGGATCACTTGGGTCTGGAAGGTCAAGGCTGTAGTGATCCATGTTCATACCACTGCACTCCAACCTGGGTGACAGAGCGAGACCCTGTCTCAATAAATAAGAATTCCTCCAGGGTATAAACCAAAAGCGAAGTTTCTAGAGCATATAATTTGCAAGTGGTTGGCCTCAGTAAATGCAGCTTGAATGTTTATTGGACAATAAACACAGTGACCCTTTGGGAGGCCAAGGCGGGTGGATCACCTGAGGTCAGGAGTTTGAGACCAGCCTGGCCAACATGGTGAAACCCCGTCTCTACCAAAAATACAAAAATTATCTGGGCGTGGTAACACACAACTGTAATCCCAGCTACTCGGGAGGCTGAAGCACAAGAATCACTTGAACCCAGGAGGTGGAGGTTGCAGTGAGCCAAGATGGCGTCACTGCACTCTAGCCTTGGCGACAGAGCGAGACCCTGTCTCCAAAATATATATAAATAAATAAAAATAAACACAGTGGGCCGGGCACAGTGGGCCGGGCTCGCACCTGTAATCCCAGCACTTTGGGAGGCCAAGGTGGGTAGATCACGTGAGGTCAGGAGTTCGAGACCAGACTGGCCAATATGGTAAAACCTGGTCTCTACTAAAAATACAAAAATTAGCCGGGCGTGGTAGCATGCGCCTGTAATCCCAGACACTTGGAGGCTGAGGCAGAAGAATTGCTTGAACCCGGGAGGCAGAGGTTCCAGTGAGCCAAGATTGTGCCACTGCACTCCAGCCTGGGTGACAGAGTGAGACACCATCTCAAAAAAAAATTAAAAAATAAATGAACGCAGTGGCCCTTGCACCAGTAGCTCATGGGAACTCCTGTTCTTCCACATCCTTGTCAACACTTGGTACTGTCGACTGTTTCATTTGGCCGATCTGCTGGGTGTGGAGTGAGATCTTATTGGGGTTGTGCTTGGCATTTCCCTGTAATGAATGAGATCAAGCACTTTTTTGGATTAGACTGAGCCACAGGAAATAACATTTTCAAATAGATGAAAAAGATCTAAGTATTAGGAATACTTGAACCTAATTTATTGGTCTTTTGATTTCCTCTTGCACAGCTTATTAAGAGCTCCAGAATTAGATTCACCTGACCCCCACGGCCTGCCCTTTCCCAGCTCCCTCTCTTCCTTCTTTCCTTCCATTCATTCCTTTAGTAAGTATTTGATAAGCAACTACTATGTGCCAGGTACTGAGCGAGCCAGGGAGGATTGACAGGGTATGAGATGGTCCCTGCACTCCCAGAGCCCACAAACCACCAGGCCTTTGACCAGGCTGTGCCCACTGCCTCGTGCACCTGAAATACTCTCCCACCACCATCCCCTCTGCCCACCCAGGTCTTTCAAGCCAATCCCCTTGCACCAGCCCCTCCCTCCAGGAAGTCACCTCACCCTGACCCCAGGCACTCTGGTCTCTGATTCCTCTTCAAGCACCACATATAACAGGAATATAAGTTATAACCACACAGATCACAGAGCCCAGCTCCTCCAGGACCCAGTACAGCCCCAACTGTTGATGCATTCATTCAACAAACATTTCTTGAGCACCTACTGTATTCCTGACCCTGTATTATAAGCTGGAGACGCCATGGTGACAGACAGACATCCCTGTCCTTGTGGGGCTGACATTTGGGTGGGGGAGATGGACAATGAGATTATCAGTAACTACAACAAATGTTCAGGGAGTGATAAGTGGCCGGGGGTGTGGTGGGCAGAGGGAAGGAGAGACTTCGTAAAGAGGATCTCAAGCACCAGGAGATGGAATTTAAACAGCCGGTCAGGGGAGTCCTCACTGGGAAAGTGTTATTTGAGCTAAGTCATAAAGGAGGAGAAAGACGGAATCAAATGGGATGTGGGGGAAAGCATTCCAGAGAGACAGAACAGCCTGTGCAAAGGCCCTGAGGTGGAAGCATCTTGGGGAACAAAAGGAAGTGAGCAAGGGAGAGAATGAGAGGAAGTGAGGGCAGGGAGCTGAATGGTCAGATCGTGCAGGGGCTTGAGGGCCTCGGGGAGGACTTTGACTTTTATCCCTGAATGAGGTGGGAGCCACGGAGGATTGTAAGCAGGGGAAGGATGTGCCTGACTTCTTTGGTGTTCACAGCGCCCTCTGGTGGCCATGTTCAGTAATGCTCAGCCCTTGCAGCTTCTGGGTGGATCTGATTTTTTTTTTTTTTTTTTTTTTAGACAGTCTCTGTCTCCCAGGCTGGAGTGCAGTGGCACGATCTCGGCTCACTGCAACCTCCGCCTCCCACGTTCAAGTGACTGTCACGCCTTGGCCTCCCAAGTAGCTGGAATTACAGGCACACGCCACCATGCCCAGCTAATTTTTTATATTTTTAGTAGACACGGGGTTTTGCCATTTGGTTAGGCTGGTCTCGAACTCCTGACCTCAAGTGATCTGCCTGCCTCAGCCTCCCAAAGTGCTGGGATTACAGGCTCGAGCCACCGTGCCCAGCCGGTGTCCACCCCATGTCTAGCACCAGCCAGACACTGTGCCGGCGCACCCTCATCTTCAGGCCTGGGTGACACCAGAGGTGTGCTATGGTGTGTCCTGGACAGGGGCTGGGCCAGAGGACATTGCTCGTCCAGGCAGAAACATCAGGCCTGGGGAGGGGCACAGGAAAAATCAACCTACCCTGGCAGGGGCCTGGCCTTGAAGCAGGAAGAGATGCCGTGGCAGGAAGTTGGCCCCAGTGTTTAAAAAAACCACGTAGCAACTATTTCTCGCCCAGGATGCCCAGGAAAGCAAGGGTACTGGGGGATTAGATCCATCACCAAGAAGGATACAGTCAGCCCTGAACTTCTCTGGGGCCGCTTCTAATCCACTACAGGGCTTGGGGCAAATTTTAAAAGGTACCCTTCCCGTGGGTTAGCGAACTGGCCTAGTACAGTGATTTTTTTGTTAGGATTTGCTGCCATCTGCTGGACAATTTCATTCACAACATACAAATCTGCAGTATGAAAAGAGATGGGAGGGGCCCTTGTGCAGTGCACGCCCTGCGCAACTGTATATAGCAGCTGTGTTTCCTCTTCTGGGTAGAAACTCTGCTCCCCAGTAGGCGATCGTTAGTTTTACCGGGGCTCTGCTGGAACAGGCCAGTGATCCACTGCTCTCTTGCTTTTATCCCTTACAGGTGCTGCGATACTTTGACTACGTTTTTACAGGCGTCTTTACCTTTGAGATGGTGATCAAGGTGAGTGCAGATTATAAGTGAGAACACACGGTAATTTTTTTTTTTAAGCAAGTGCAGGGCTGGGCACAGTGGATCATGCCTGTAATCCCAGCACTTTGGGAGGCTGAGGCAGGCAGATCACTTGAGATCAGGAGGTTGAGGCCAGCCTGGCCAACATGGTGAAACCCCATCTCTACTAAAAATACAAAAATTAGCCGGGCATGGTGGCACATGTCTGTAATCCCAGCTACTCGGGAGGCTGAGGCAGGAGAATCACTTGAACCCTAGGCTGCAATGAGCCGATGTGGAGGCTGCAGTGAGCCGAGATCTTGCCACTGCATTCCAGCCTGGGTGACACAGCGAGACTCTGTCAAAAAAAAAAAAAAAAAAAAGAGCTGGGATTCCAGGAGATCCTGAGCCTCCAAGAATGCCCCCCTTGAGAGGATGAGTCTCCCAGAGGATTAGAAATGCCTGGTGTGTTTGAAGAGCAGCAAGGAAGCTGGTGTGGCTGGGCGGAGTGAGAGAACAGTGGGGAAACGAAGGACAGAGAGATGAGTGGGGAGGTGAGGGGGCACCTTGTGCCGGGGATCACAGAGAGGGCTCTTCGGCTCTTACTTTGAGTGAGGTGAGGGCCATAGAGTGTTCTGAGCAGAGGAGGGACTTGATCCAGGTGTTCACAGGTGCCCTTTGGCATCTGTGGGAAGCCAGAGGACCTGTGAGCAGGTGATCACACTGGTCCCCATGGGCGATGACGGGGACAGGATCAGGCTGGTGACCAAAGAAGAGGTGAGAAGTGGACAGATTCTTGGAAGGTTCTGGAAATAGAGCCAGTGAGTTTTGCTGATAGAGCCACCAATGAGGGATTTGGGACAAAGAGGCATCAAAGAGGATCCCAAAGTTTGGATCTAAGAGCCGGCAAGCCAGAGCTGGCTTCCATCAGGCAAAGGGGGGCCGCCTCATGGGGCAGGGGCTCCCCACTCCTCCCTGGAGTCCTCTGGCCACTGCCCATCCCTGCAAGATGAGGTGGCCTCATTGGCTTCCCTGCCTCTCCCCGAGAGGCTAGAGAGTGGGTGGCAGCACCCCAGGGTGGGGATCAGGTGGGGGTTCTGAGCACCCTCTCTTCTCCCCCACAGATGATTGACCTGGGGCTCGTCCTGCATCAGGGTGCCTACTTCCGTGACCTCTGGAATATTCTCGACTTCATAGTGGTCAGTGGGGCCCTGGTAGCCTTTGCCTTCACGTAAGTCTCCTCGCAAGGGTTCCTCTTGCCTCTTTTCCCCCAACCCCCAGCCTGGGCCACACATCGGATTACAGGACATGTTCTCAGGGTCTAGGGATGGGGTGTGTGGGCTCCGGGGACGTGGGAGATATCAGCATGCCACCAGGAAGAGCTTCGATGGCTTTTTGCATGATGTCCATGGAGGAAGAAGGAGAAGGGACCCCCCCTCCTGCCAACCTTCTACCTCCTCACACAGCAACGGGCCTCAGCCACATCACTGGCCCCTTGCTGTGCAGCTTCCTGTAGACTAGCCTCGCCGGAACATCTCATCCCCCTACTACTCCACAAGCGCCGCCCAAACCGCTGTCTCTTTGGAAAGTCCCTAAAGAGACAATCAGGAAACGAATGTGCATGAGAATTCTGACCCCCTCCCTATGCCTGAAGGCCCCGTAGTTGTAGACCTGGTGACTCCCTTTGTGTGTCTTTCACTTCTCCTGGCAGTCCTAGGATTCTCTGCCCTCTGAAAGGCCATGTGTCATCCTGCAGCTCCAAGATGGCGCCCCAGTTGTAGGCAGCCATTTCAGGATGGCACCCAAGCTCTTAGTAGTCATCCCAAGATGGCATCCAAGTTCTGGGTGGCCATTCCAAGATGGCCCCTGAGTTCTGAGCTATCATTCCAAGATGGCCTCTGAATTTGGGGTGGTCATTCTTAGATGGTCCCTGAGTTCCAAGGTGACCTTCAAGTTCTGGGTAGCCATTCCAGGATGGTCCCCAAGCTCTGGGTGGCTATTCCAAGATGGCCCCAAGTTCTAGGCAGCCATTGCAAGATGGCCCCTGAGTTCCAGGGTGGCCCCCAAGTTCTGGGCAACCATTCCAAGGTGGCATCCAAGTTCTGGGTGGCTATTCCAAGATGGCCTCTGATTTCTGGGCTACCATGCTAAGATGGCCTCTGGATTCTTGGTGGCCATTCTTACATGGTCCCTGAGTTCCAAGGTGGCCTTCAAGTTCTGGGTAGCCATTCCAAGACGGTCCCCAAGTCTTGGATGGCTACTCGAAGGTGACCCCCAAGTTCTGGGCAGCCATCTCAAGGTGGCACCCTAGTTCTGGGTAACCATTCCAAAATGGCACCCAAGTTCTAGGGCAACCATTTCAAAATGGCCCCCAAGTTCTGGGTGACTATTTCAAGATGGTACCCAACAGGTGAGTGGCCATTAGCCCTTAGGGCCCTGATAGCAGACTTAGCAGTACATTCCTGAAGTTGTAGACATTTGGAGCGGGATGAAAAATATCTAATCAGTCTTTAATCAAGAAACAAATCTTGGGGACCCTGGCTGTGCCCATCATGGTGAATGATTCCCTGACAGGTTTTGAAAGGATCTTGACACATTCACTCCCATCGTGAGAGAATCAGGGGCTTCCTCCTGTGCCTCTGCCTCTAGGCTCCCTCCTGAGCCAATCTGGAGGGGCCCTTGAATGGTCTCCCTCACCAAACAATGAGGACTTGGTTTGTCAGGAGGGCCAAAATAGTGGCCCATTTCCAGTAGAAGGGCTGTTAAGTAGGCCACACTTAGATTCTTCTCTGGGAACACAATGAGGTCAAGTTGTGTTAGAACAAAAAATCTCCAGAGTTTTTGGATGCCTCAGAGCTGGAGATGTATCATGAAGGTTGGGAGGCTGATTATACTTCTTTCTCTTTCTCTTTCACTCCTTCCTCCTCTTTCTCCTCTCTTTTTGTTCGTTTACTCTTTTCTTTTTCTCTTCTCCTCTCCCTCCCCACATCCTTCCCTCTCCTCAAAGCTTTTCAGTGTCTATTTGACTACTAGAGCAATGCACGGTGGCTTACACCTGCAATCCCAGCACTTTGGGAGGCTGAGACAGGCAGATTGCTTGAGCCCAGGAGGCCAAGACCAGCCTGGGTAACATAGGGAGACCCCATCTCTAAAAAAAAAAAAAAACAATTAGCCAGGCATGGTAGTATGCCTGCACTAGCAGCTACACGGGAGGCTGAGGTGGGAGAATTGCTTGAGCCCAGGAGGTTCAAGGCTGCAGTGAGCCGAAATCGCACCACTGCACCCCAGTCTGGGGAACACAGGAAGAACTTGTCTCAAAAAAATAAAAAGTTTAAAAAATTAAAAATCAATGAATTTGCTATTTAGAATATTATGCTTTATATGGTTACTGAATAATTTTAATAGTGATGAGTACAAAAAAAACAGGTTTAGCAAGCTGTTCTGTAGGTTAAAAAGTAAATAAATAAATAATTAATTAAACAAAATACAATGCACATCAAATTAGGGGACAAAGATTGTGACGAATAAGACAAGGAGTCCATGTCTTTAAAATATGAAAAGCAGTTACAAATCAATAAGAAACACTACTTCTCAATGGATAAATGGGCAAAGGACATAAACAGAAATCTGATAGAATGCTGGCAACTAGTAAAAATGGAGGTAAATCAACCCTTGGAATTCAGAGAAATGTAAAATAAAAACGAGATACAATTCATTCCCTATCAAGTTAGCACTGTTCCCGCCGCACCCCCACACACACACAAAAAATGATTTTTTTAGCTAATAAACAGCATATATAAGAATGTATTATAATAGGCTGGGCACAGTGGCTCACGCCTGTAACCCTAGCATTTTGGGAGGCCAAGGGAGGGGGATCACCTGAGGTCAGCAGTTCGAGACCAGCCTGGCCGACATGACAAAACCCTGTCTCTACTAAAAAATACAAAAATTAGCCAGGCATGGTGGCGGATGCCTGTAATCCCAGCTACTCAGGTGGGTAAGGCAGGAGAATTGCTTGGACCCAGGAGATGGAGACTGCAGTGAGCCGAGATCATGCCACTGCACTCCAGCCTGGGTGAGAAAGCAAGATTTTGTCTCAAAAATAAAAAAAGGAATGTATTATAATAAAATATACTTTTCTCCCCCTCTATCACCTATTTAAGCAGGTCCTTCAAGTTGTCAGGTAGACATCATGCTATGAGAAAATTTAAATCCTGAAAAGCCAGAATGTTTTACCACCCTCAGCCTGGAATGAATCCTTCTCCTATGGAAATAACCTACGGGTTTCTCCACCCCTCTCTGCCTTTCAGCCCCTTCCCTCCCTCTCCCCTCCTTTTCTTTCTCCCTCTTTCTCTTCCTCCTTTCCCCTCTCTTCCCTCTCTCTTCTTCCCTCTCTCTGTCTCTTTCTGTTCGTCTTTCTCCTTTTACCCCCTCTCAGTTTCTATCTTTTTATTTTCCTCTTTCTCTCTCTCTCTCCCTCTCTTTCTCTCTCACTCCCTGCACTGTTGATGACCTATGTCCTTGGGTGATGTGGGCCTCCCCTGGACCGTGTAGCTTGGAGAAAGCTGACCCTCTGTCATCGGTCTGGCAACAGGGACTTGGCCCCCCTACCCTGCATTCTGATGAGGAATGGTATTCAGACAAAGGCAGATCCCAGGACACAGGAGGACATGCTCAGGCAGGGACCCCCGCCCCTTTCCTCTGGGGCAAGGTCTGCTCAGCAGCCTCCAAGATTCCTAGGGCTCAAGAGGTGGCAGGTAGCTCAGGGCACTAGGGCAGGCAGTGGGGTGAATATGTCACTCATATCCACCTGTCCACACACAATGCTTACCTTGGCCACCTGTGCCCAGGGGAATGGGTTTTATCCTGTGAATCCTCCCAGTGACCACCACTGAGTGTGGCACAGATAAATGGTACCAAGCCCAAGCTGTTCAGGTCTCCAATGTCACTTTCCTCTCAGACCTCTGTTGTAGCTGACATACTGTAATGCTGAGGAGGGCCGGGCACAGTGGCTCATGCCTGTAATCCTAGCTCTTTCGGAGGCCAAGGCAGATGGATCACCTGGGGTCAGGAGTTCAAGACCAGCCTGGGCAACATGGTGAAACCCCAGGCAACATGGTAAAACCCTGTCTCTACTAAAAATACAAATATTAGCCAAGCGTGATAGCAGGCGCCTGTAATCTCAGCTACTCGGGAGGCTGAGGCAGAAGAATTGCTTGAACCTGGGAAGTGGAGGTTGCAGTGAGCCAAGATTGCACCACTGCACTCCAGCCTGGGCAACAGAGCAAGACTCTGTCTCAAAAAAAAAAAAAAATGCTGAGGAGGTGACTGTCCCACCTCCATCCTCCGAGTTGACCATCACAATTTAGGGAGGGGAATGACCTACAAAGGACCCAGAAGCAAGCCTTTCAATTGTTGAGCTTTTGCCATTATGGGCCATCGTTTACAACATGCTGTTTCTAGGTTCTCTGGAGGTAAAATTAGCCTCCTCTTTTAAACAAAGCTAATCTGCAAAAGCGAACCAAAAATTCTTTTCCACCAGAGATCAATTAGCAGAATGAGCTGGGTGCGATGGCTCACACCTGTAATCCCAGCACTTGGGGAGGCCGAGGCAGGTGGATCACTTGAGGTCAGGGGTCCAAGACCAGCATGGCCAACATGGTGAAACCCCATCTCTACTAAAAATACAAAAACTAGCTGGGTGTGGTGGGGAGGGCCTGTAGTCCCAGCTACTCGGGAGGGTGAGGCAGGAGAATTGCTTGAACCCAGGAGGTGAAGGTTGCAGTGAGCCAAGATTGTGCCACTGCACTCCAGCCTGGGTGACGGAGCAAGACTCCATCTCAAAAAAAAAAAAAAAAAAAAAAAACAGCAGAATGATTCTTTTGGGGAGTTGACTTTTTTTTTAATTTCTGAGTTTTCTTTTTAAATATCAAGTTATACAAGGGCATTCAAATTGGCCTACAACTCACAGGAATTTGGCAGCCTGTTTGCAGAGTCAAGCTTTTACATTGTTCTCATGAAATTGGTACAGGCATAAAGCCACCCTTCACTCTTGAAAATCCATTTTGAATGTTGTTGTTTTAATTCTTATGCAAGAAAAGGATCTGGATAGGGATTTCAGGCCATCCTGTCAACCCTGGCAGGCTTGTAGATCATGCAGGAACTGGGAGGTGTGAGATTTTGCCAGTAGGATCCTGGCAAGTGCCTGGGACTCTCCCAGGGTTTTGGAAGAGCCGACGGACATGAGTCCAACAGGGAGCATCTTTATATCATGGCCGAAGGGATGAGAGAGGAGACCCTCAAACCTCACGCCTACCACACCCTCCCCACCCCACTGTCAAGAGTCCATCTGGTACTGCTGTTCCTCCCCCAGGGCAGGGCTGCAGGCCCAGCACAGCTGGCCAGGTGCCTTGATCAAGCCATTCCTGCACACCTAAGAGCCAAACTGCTAGAAAACCAGAATAGGAGCTACTGCTTTTTTCCCTAAAAAGTTTTGGAATCTTCTCCCCGTTACAGGTTTCTGGCCTCTTTTGCCTGAGAAGGTCTCTCACCCTATGAGGACTTTGCTTATTGTCTTTCCTTGTTATCGGATAGTTGGCACATTGGAAGGAGCATGGATGCTCTGAGGTTCTCAGCCTGAGCGCTGAACTCTCCACCCGCCCCCCACCCCCCACCCCAGGGTCCTCTGCTTATTTCCTTTCTGGTCTTTTAACTTGCTTTGTCTGTCCTCTGTGCATATCCCCTCATAGACAAGGCTGAGAGCCCCACAAGTATTAGATTGACCTTATTGTTTTAAGAAATTGTCCCTCCAGGTCTGTTTGATTTCTCTCTAGATGTGCAAGTCCTTTAGCCTCTCTGTGCCTCAGTTTTTCCCATCTAGATGAGGAAACTGCGGCCCAGAGGGACTGTGGAGGGAAGTAAGTCCGACAAGATCACTGAGGTTGGGTTCAGCTGTCAGATGCTACCCATCTCCCAGCCCTGAATACGGAGGCTCACAGTGAGCAGAATGATGCTCAGCAGCCTGGCCAGCCTGGGTTCTTTGAGGCCTGGCAGGGCTGCGAGATCCAGGGGAAGGGAATAGGGGAAGGGAGCATAAGGTTATTCCCTTCCTTGTTGAAAGGAACCTTGCCATTCTGGCCTGTTGGGGTCAAAGCAAGGATTCTTCCCCCAGTGCTGTGATTGTGGCCTCGTCTCCGATATGGGAGAAAACTATCCCTGTGGTCCCACCAAGGGATGTATTGAAGCTCTTCTGAAGATGTCCACCCCTCCTGCACCTCACCCAAATATCTGTGTGTGTGTGTCCTGCTCAATTCACTGACTGTGTCCCTTGTATCCATGCGTCTACCATAAACACCCCATTTCATGAGCCATCACACGTGGTATCACGCTCTGTGCCCATGCATCAGGGCGGCCAACTGACATTTCTCAGCAGCTGGCAGATCATGATCCTGCCCTCACCGCCAAGAGTCCATCTGGCGCGGCTGTTCTTCCCCCAAAGGCAGGACCGCAACTGGCAGAGCGCCTTGATCAAGCTGCTCCTGCATACCCAGGAGCCAAACTGTCAGGAAGCCAAAGATGGAGCCCTCAGGCTGCTATCTCTTGATCCTCATCTTCAAAACAGCCCCCACCCCTGAAGGCATTATTTTTCTTGTGTATGATGAAATGGAAAGAAGATTAGAGTGCGAGATACCCACACCTGGGTTTGAATCTTAGTCTGTCTTCCCAGCTGTGTGCCTGCCCTTGGGCAGGTCACTCTTTTTCTCTAGGCCTCAGCTTCCTCATCTGGAAAATGGTCATAATGGTGCTGTCTTCCCATAGGCAAATGCAGTGATGTCCAGAAGACTCCCATATTAAACCTAAAGTCAGCAGATTAGGCAAAAATCACTGTCATTGAAAACTCCCTCAATCATCCGTAAAGAAGCTGGGTGTGGTGTCTCTCACCTGTAGTCCCAGCTACTTGGGAGGCTGAGGTGGGAGAATCACTTGAGCCAGGGAGTTCAAGGCTGCGGTAAGCTATGATTGTGCTACTGCACTCCAGCCTGGGCGACAGAGCAAGACCACGTCTCTAAAAATATAAAATAAAGCCGGGTGCGGTGGCTTACGCCTGTAATCCCAGCACTTTGGAAGGCTGAGGCAGCCTGGCAACAGAGTGAGAATCCATCAAAAAAAAAAAAAAAAAAAAAAAAAGTAGAATCTATATGATTCTACGTATGCAATAATTCCTAGATACACTGAATTTGAGAACCCCAAGTCAGACTACAGGAAAAGGAGATGAGGGGGTGTGGAGGAGAATCCACTTGGAATATTTGTAGACATTTAAACCATTCTGTGTTTTAAAAAATATCACAGCCGGGCGCGGTGGCTCACACCTGTAATCCTAGCACTTTGGGAGGCCAAGGTGGGCGGATCACGAGGTCAAGAGATGGAGACCATCCTGGCTAACACGGTGAAACCCCATCTCTACTAAAAATACAAAAAAAATTAGCTGGGCGTGGTGGTGGGCGCCTGTAGTCCCAGCACTCGGGAGGCTGAGGAAGGAGAATGGCGTGAACCTGGGAGGCGGAGCTTGCAGTGAGCCGAGATCTTGCCACTGCACTCCAGCCTGGGCGACAGAGCGAGACTCCGTTTCAAAAAAAAAAAAAAAAATCACTAACTTCCAGAGGGGTCGTGGATGGAAAATTCCATAGAGTCCGCTTGGCGACAGGGTTTCCGCCATTCTGATGGCGGTCAAGTCTTTCTAACCTGGATCTCCAGTCATTGTTGAAGGCGCCTAATGAGCCCCAAGCCTGATTCCAATGAATCACGAGAGGACCAGCTGCTAGGTGCTGATAGCTTTCCCCAGGCCCGCATTTGCTCAGAGGGCTTCAGAGTTGCTTCTAATTCCATCCCAAGTCAGAACTCTTTGCTGACCCCCTCCTTCATAAAGAGCAAAGCCAAGGCCATAGCTTTTGTTAATCAAACATCAGAATTCCACAGACCTGAGTTGGTTGGTTGTTTGTTTTAAGAGACAGAGTCTTGCCCAGGATGCAGTGGCTCACACTTGTAATCCCAGCGCTCTGGGAGGCCTAGGCAGGAGGATCACTTGAGCCCAGGAGTTTGAGACCAGCCTGAGCAACATAATGAGACCCCCGTCTCTACAAAAAATGGAAAAATTTGCCTGTATTTCCAGCTACTTGGGAGGCTAAGGTGGGAGAATCACCTGAGCCCTGGAGGTTGAGGCTACAGTGAGCCAAGATCCCGCTACTGCACTGCAGCCTGGGCAACAGAGGGAGACCCTGCCTCAAAAAAAAAGGAGAGAAGGAGAGAGACAGGGTCTCCCTATGTTGTCCAGGCTGGTCTCGAACTTCTGGCCTCAAGCAATCTTCCCAACTCGTCCTCCCAAGGTGCTGGGATTATAGCTGTGAGCCACGGCACCCAGTCTGGGCCTGTTTTGCAGATGAGGATAACGAGAGGCAGAGTCAGGATTCAAACCCAGGTCCCCTCAACTTCAAAGCTCACAACCTTTTAGACATTCTAAAACCTTGCAGCTCCACAACGCCTGGAGAAGAGGGGTTTCTCCGGCTCTTGGCAGTGACTTTCCGTGGTGAATTCACCTTTGGTAACTGACAGCTTTGCAGCTGTCCTGCTACCTGGAAATTTGGCTTTCTTAGTGCTTTCTTGGGCAGTGCCAGGTGCCTGCCAAGGGCGGGGGACTGAATGGAGGTGGGGGCGGCTTCCAGATGGAAGGATGGACATCGGCCAGCGCCATGAGCCTGAGGCTCCCCCAACTGCTGCCCGGGCGGGACTCGGGGGTGCTCAGGGGTGCGTGTGTGTACGTGCGTGTTCTGTGTTCTTTTTTCTGAGGCCACTTACGATCTGTCTCTCCCTCCGATGCCACATCACCAGGAGCAGTACACGGTAAAGTCTCTCTCTATCTTTCTCTCTCTCTCTCTTTCTCTCTCTCTCTCTCTCATATTCTGTCTCTCGTGATCTGTCCCCTGGTGCAGCCTCGTTAGTTCTGGGCCTGTTTCTGTGGCCTTGTGTCCTTGCTGCCGCTGTCCTGTCGCTTCAAATGACCAGAACTCACTCCCTGCGAAGGAGGCATCCCAAAGGGTCTTGCCAATGCCTCCGCCCATGCCCCACCAGTTCTTGCAGAGAACAGAAGGGGCAGAGGTTCAGTTTCAATAGGCAAGCTGGGTGGAGCAGTTATCAGAAGCAATGAAAGTGGGCCAGACACGGTGGCTCACGCCTCTAATCCCAGCATTTTGGGAGGCCGAGGCGGGTAGATCACTTGAGGTCAGGAGTTTCAGACCAGCCTGGTCAACATGGTGAAACCCCATCTCTACTAAAAATGCAAAAAATTATCTGGGCTTGGTGGTGCACACCTGTAATCCCAGCTACATAGGAAGCTGAGGCAGGAGAATCACTTAAACCTGGGAGGTGGAGGTTGCAGTGAGCTGAGATTGCACCACTGCACTCCACCCTGGGTGACAGAGTGAGACTCTGTCTCAAAAAAATATATAAAATAAATTGAACAATAAAAAAATAAAATGGCCATGGAATCGTTTTCAGATGAGGAGATGCAGAATGCCCATGGAGACATGCTCCCAATTGTCACTTGTTTGGGACATCAAGATTTTAGCCAGTTCCATGTGCAACCTGGATGTACAGTTCCTTGACTTTTTTTCTATCAACATGTATTCTAAAGTTCAATTTCAAAAGGAAACTTTAGCCAGGTGCAGTGGTGCATGCCTGCAGTCCCAGCCATTTGGGAGGCTGAGACTGAAGGATCACTTGAGCCCAGGAGTTGGAGGCTGCGGTGAGCTATGATCGTGCCACTGCACTCCCCCCTGAGATTCCATCTCTTTAATTTAAATAAAAAAAAAGGAAACTATATTATCCACTTACAACCAGCATTGCTAACCTAAGATAAATCTGCAACTGCAAAAGTAAATGTAGGCCAGACATGGTGGCTCACACCTATAATCCCAGCACTTTGGGAGGCCGAGGCAGGTGGATCACTTGAGGTCGGGAGTTCGAGACCAGCCTGACCAACATGGAGAAACCCCGTCTCTACTAAAAATACAAAATTAGCCGGACGTGATGGCACATGCCTGTAATCCCAGCTACTCGGGAGGCTGAGGCAAAAGAATTTCTTGAACCCGGGAGGCAGAGACTGCTGTGAGCTGAGATCACGCCATTCACTCCAGCCTGGGTAACAAGAGAGAAATGCCATCTCAAAAAAAAAAAAAAAAAGTAAATCTAACAGAAACCAGACAATGTTGTTGCCTTCAAGCTGGGCTCTTTGTTAAAAGGAAAATTACTAAGTGTTAGGGAGGTGTTAAAGGCCTATTAGCATCTACCTGAGGCTTCCTTTCTCGCAAAAGCAGAGCGTCTGAAAGATACGTGGAAAAGAAACTTAAAGTATAATAAAAAAGAAAGAAAGAAAAAGAAATGATTATGCCCCTCTGAGATCCAATTATTTAATCTGTGCCCCTGTTCTGCCTAAAATTATCTCAGTGACTGTCCAACGTGTGTCTCACACTTGGGGGCACAGCCTTGAGATGATAATGATGATGTTAGTTTTAAAAAGAAAAAAAAAGGTTCAGAGTTCTGAATCCTGGAGTATATCTCTGCCTAGCAGGCTAAAATACAATTATCGTCTTTGTTCCCTGAAAAATGAAAAAAATGGAGTCCTTTAAAAAGCAAATGGTGTGAAGAATGATGTTTTTGCACTGGATACTGAGACCCATCGTGATGGGGGTCTCTGGGGCAGCTCTGCTCATGACCTGGGAGGTCACTGTAGGGAGATGTTTTCTAGGTGACCTCCCCACCCAAATACTCCAACCGGAGGCATTCACGTGTCCTGAGACCACACGCCAGGCGCAGGCTAGGGGCTAGGACAAGAATCAAGATTAAAGGGGAAATGGCCAGGTGCGGTGGCTCATGCCTGTAATCCCAGCACTTTGGGAGTCAAGGCCAGTGGATTACTTGAGGTCGGGAGTTCGAGACCAGCCTGGCCAACACGGTGAAACCCTGTCTCTACTGAAAATACAAAAATTAGCCAGGTGTGGTGACTCATGCCTGTAGTCCCAGCTATTCGGGAGGCTGAGGTGGGAGAATCACTTGAACCCAGGAGGCAGAGGTTGCAGTAAGCCAAGATCATGCCACTGCACTCCAGCCTGGGCAATAGAGCAAGACTCCATCTCAAAAAAAAAAAAAAAGATTAAAGGGAAAATGAACACAGAGAAGAGTAGATTACACTGTAAGCCTTTGAAGAGTTTTCTGTCTAAAACCAGAGACCGAAGAAACAAACAAAGATTAACTCCGAAATAGCACATAGGAGCTGGCAGGAGCCAGAGGTAGGCAGTCAGGAAATGCTGTCGGAGGGAGCAACAGGTAATTTGGGCTTTGAGGACCGGGTAGTTCTGTGACTGGAGAAGTGGAGGAAGGGCATTTCTAGCAGCGGGAACAGTATATGCATAAGCAGACAGAGGCAAAAGAATGTGGCTGGGGCTTGAGATATGTAGCCATAAATGGGAATGCAAAGGTGAAGGTAAGTTGGACTAGATTTTCAAGAGCATTGAATGCCATGCCCAGAAGTTTGCACTTGCTCTTCTGAGAATTCACGTGCTCCAGAAGAATTCTGAGCAAGAGAAAGAGTGACAAGGTCATTGGCTTTAGCCACTGTGTGCATAAAACATGGAAGAAAAGGCAGGGAATGAGGAGCAAGTTGGGAGACGGGTGAGGGGGGATGGCACCCAGGAATGGATGGCGGGATGTTAAGGAAGGTGACCCACTGGGGATGGGGATGGGGATAGAGGGCAGGCAGTTGACCATGACTCTCAGGTTTCTGGTGTGGACAACTGGATGGGTCATGAGTGCCATGAACCACAAGCTATTCATGGTCCCACTCAATACCCTCCTCTTGGGGGGCCTGAGTCATGGTTGGCCAAGGGTGTCATGGCATCTCTGGGGTCTGCATTGCTAAGCTCAGTTCCAACAGACCTTGGACTGAACTTCTGTGCAGTCCTCTCTGGCAAAGATGGGCTCAGAGACCCTTGGAGCAATGCAGCAGAGACCATGGCAGCAGCCACATCAGCATCTGAAAACAGCGGCACCCGGTTATTTTCCCTCCTTCAGACTCAGGGAATATGGTGGGGGAGGGGAGATTTGGTATAAGGGCCACTTTAAGTATCTTCCAGAATCCCATTGGAAGGGGGAGAAAATCCCATTTTTTTAAGAGCCCACTGATACCACCTTTAAAAAGAATACACAGGGGGCCAGGCGCAGTGGCTCACACCTGTAATCCCAACACTTTGGGAGGCCAAGGTGGGTGGATCACCTGAGGTCAGGAGTTCAAGACCAGCCTGGCCAACATGGTGAAGCCCCATCTCTACTAAAAATACAAAAGTTAGCTGGGCATGGTGGCACGCACCTGTAGTCCCAGCTACTTGGAGAGGCTGAGGCAAGAGAATCACTTGAACCTGGGAGGTGGAGGTTGCAGTGAGCCAAGATCATACCATTGCACTCCAGCCTGGGCAACAAGAGTGAAACTCCATCTCAAAAAAAAAAAAGAATACATAGGGGACCACTAAACTCCTAGACCAAGGGCTTTTTTGAAAATAGCTGTGACCAGGTGTAGTGGCTCACACCTGTAATCCCAGCACTTTGAGAGGGTGAGGAGGGCAGATTGCTTGAGCTCAGGAGTTTGAAACCAGCCTGGGCAACATGGTGAAACCTCATCTCTACAAAAAGACAAAACAATTAGCCAGGCGCAGTGGCGTGTGCCTGTAGTCCCAGCTACTTGGGAGGCTGAGGTGGGAGGATGGCTTTAGCCCAGGAGGCGGAGGTTGCAGTGAGCCGAGATCGTGCCACTGCACTCCAGCCTTGGTGACAGAGCCAGACCCTGTCTCAAAAAAGAAAAAAGAAAAGCTGTGCAGAAATGGGGGTGGGGAATCAGCCAACCCCCTTGTGCTGGGTCTCAGGGACACCCAATACAGCTGCTCAGGCCCAGCCAGATGGCAAAGGGCCCTCAACCAACCCTGGGACCAGAACCACAAAAAGCCACGTACTTACTGGCTCCCGAGCCCAAGCTTAACAGGTGAAATGGACCACTCTTCACCAGGAAGGGCAGGGCTGTGCCAAGCTCACCCCAGACTTCTAGGCCTGGGAGGGTAGGGTCCCATGGAGCTGTGGGCTGCCCCCTACCCAACCTGACCTCTGCTTCCTCTCTTCCCTTCTTCCCACCTAAACATTCCTCCACAGTGGCAATAGCAAAGGAAAAGACATCAACACGATTAAATCCCTCCGAGTCCTCCGGGTGCTACGACCTCTTAAAACCATCAAGCGGCTGCCAAAGCTCAAGGTGAGATTGGGAGATGGTGGGGTGCGGTGGGGGGGACTGTCAGGGTTATCATGTACAGCTGAGCAGGTTGTACACTGCTCAAGGACAACACATTAAAGGAGGTGCTGATAACATCCTAGCCATCGTGTATGGATATTTGTATTATTACAACTTCCCAGCAGATGGCAGTAAAGTGAGCTGACCTAAAATAATCTGTGTATTATGGCAGTTTTTCTTTAGATGAAGTGTCTTGGGGTTAAGATCCTTTTTCCTAATTCGCATGAAGGCATCATATGGATTTAAAAGGGTATAACCGTGATCTGGGAAGCAGGAACTAGATTTCTTGTTCCATAAAATTTTGACTTTTCATCTACCTATTCTAGGCTCTAGTATCTCCCATTCCAAAATAGCATGAACCAGCATTTCCCAAAAGCCTGTCATTCAAAAACATATATATATATTAAGGGAAATAAAATCCAGTCATTAGAGCACCCACTTTCACTCTATGCTTCACCTGGGGGTCCCCAGTATTATCTCTTATGTAATATGTTTCTTTAAATCAAGTCACACCCGTAATCCCTGCATTTTGAAAGACCAAGGCAGGAGTGTTGCTTGAGCCCAGGAGAATGAGACCAGCCTGGGCAACATAGTTAGACTCTGTCTCTACTAAAAATTAAAGACAGAAAACAGATACTGTTATGGAAATCTAACCAAATATGGCTGCCTGCCTAAGGCTTTGTGCATTGACAACTGCTCTTTCTTGGTTAAAGAGGGAAAATGTCAATGGTAGGTGTTAACATGGTAGCAACTAAGTAAAAATTTCTCCTTCACTCAAAAGGATTGAGAGAGTTGGAAAGGAAGTAACTTTGTTACCTTGTTTTTCTGTGTTGGGCTCCTGTATCACTTAAAAGCATCTCTGGTATCCCATCTGGGAGTTTTAGATCCATAGAATGCCAGGATTGAGTCCAACTCCTCCAACGCTTATTTCTGAAAGCTGGGGGGACCTTACCCTAGTGACTTGACTTATGACCTTGCCTGTAAAATGGGAATGATCATGGCAGTATTTTGGTATGATGGGCCACTGGAGGCAGAAGGTTGGGCAGGTCCCCAGCCCCTCATGCTCTCTGTCAACTCCACCCCACAGGCTGTGTTTGACTGTGTGGTGAACTCACTTAAAAACGTCTTCAACATCCTCATCGTCTACATGCTATTCATGTTCATCTTCGCCGTGGTGGCTGTGCAGCTCTTCAAGGGGAAATTCTTCCACTGCACTGACGAGTCCAAAGAGTTTGAGAAAGATTGTCGGTGGGTCTCCACTTTCCAGCACATTCCCATTGGAACCAGCAGGTGGGCAGGGGGGAAGTGGCTAGAGGCATTGGCCACTTGGGCTCAGAGACTGGAGAAGTGATGAGCCTTGGAAGTGACTCAGTTGCAACCAGCTTGGATCTTGGGTAGAAAGAAAACCGGTTTTAGAATTTGAGTCACCACCCAGAGCCACAGAATGAGTCATAAGCAAATTGATTGACCTTTCAGCCACCGCCTTTGTCATGTGAGGGATATTAATACACATCCACAGTTCCTTACTTGAAATCGTTACAGGCAGATGTGTTTCAAAGTTGAGAATATTTTGAGATTCCCATGTGGGACATGACACCCTCAGCTGGGTCTAAGGCAGCCCTATAATCAAACACAATATTTCTGCCATAAAATGTGTAACTATTTACATCAAATGGGGTAAATAACAAGTATAAAGAGCTTCATGTCCAATCAGATCAGGTTTCATTACCAAATAAGTTAGGTAAGAGGCCAGGTGCAGTGGCTCACACCTGTAATTCCAACACTTTGGGAGGCTGAGGTGGGAGGATCACTTGAGGCCAGGAGTTGGAGACCAGGTTGGGCAACATAATGAGAGCCCATCCTACAAAATAAATTTTAAAAGTTAGCGGGGCATGGTAGCACACACCTGTAGTCCCAGCTACCCGGGAGGCTGAGGCGGGAGGATTGTTTAAACACAGGAGTTCAAGGCTGCAATGCACTATGATGGTACCACTGCACTCCAGCCTGCGTGACAGAGTGAGACCCTGCCTCTCAAAAATATATACATATAGGCCGGGCGCAGTGGCTCATGCTTATAATCTCAGCACTTTAGGAGGCCGAGGCGGGCGGATCATGAGGTCAGGAGATCGAGACCATCCTGGCTAACACGGTGAAACCCTGTCTCTACTAAAAATACAAAAACCTAGCTGGGCATGGTGGCAGACGCCTGTAGTCCCAGCTACTTGGGAGGCTGAGACAGGAGAATGGCGTGAACCCGGGAGGCGGAGCTTGCAGTGAGCCCAGATTGGGCCACTGTACTCCAGTCTGGGCAACAGAGCCAGACTCCATCTCAAACAAACAAACAAACAAACAACAACAACAAAAATATATATATATATATATGTATATATATATATGTACACGCACACACACATATGTATTATATGTGTGTGTGTATATATATGTATGTGTATATATAGTGATATTGTTACCAGTGTAAAGTGGCATTTTGCAACACATGGTAGCCTGTTGTTATCTTGATGGCTATTTATTGAAATTAGGAGGATGCCAGATGTCTGGATAGGAGTCTGGAACTAACCCTTGTTTCCTGCCTTGAAAAGGAGTAGCAACCTCCCTTAGCCTGATGAACCTCTAAATGTCCCCTATGTCTCTCTGCCTCCTCCTAAACTCCCTCCACCCCACCCCCAGCAAGCCTGAGGCTCTCACCCTGAGGACTAGAAGTTATCACGTTGGAAGAGGGTGCTGGACCCTGGGTCAGCTCTCCCACCAGGAGTAAGGTTGTGCCATCACCCATGGATTTATCTCAAAGTAGATGCACACGTCATCCCCTATGAAGCACAGGAACACATGGTGGCAGGATGGGGAGTCACTGCTTCCCAAGCAGTCTAGGCTGGTGGACCACTCTTCCTTTCCCTCCCCCTGTCTCTGATAACCAAAGACAAGTGCAAGACAGCCCCTCTTTCCCATTTACTAACAGTCCCCACTCTCTGTGGCAGAGGCAAATACCTCCTCTACGAGAAGAATGAGGTGAAGGCGCGAGACCGGGAGTGGAAGAAGTATGAATTCCATTACGACAATGTGCTGTGGGCTCTGCTGACCCTCTTCACCGTGTCCACGGGAGAAGGCTGGCCACAGTAAGTGGCCCGACTGGAAATCTATCCAGGAGGAGCCCTGGGGAGCAGGAGGATAAAGGGCCTGAGAGCTTAGCAATAAGAAAGGTCTTGGAGGCCGGGCATGGTGGCTCACGCCTGTAATCCCAACACTTTAGGAGGCCAAGGCAGATGTATCACTTGAGGCCAGGAGTTTGAGATCAGCCTGGCCATCATGGCAAAACTCCATTTCTACTAAAAATCCCAAAAAAAAAAAAAAAAAAAAAAAAAAAAAAGCTGCCAGGCATGGTGGCTCACACCTGTGGTCCCGGCTACTCAGGAGGCTGAGACACGAGAATCACTTGAACCCAGGAGGCAGAGGTTGCAGTGAGCCGAGATTGCACCACTGCACTTCATCCTGAGTGACAGAGCAAGACTATGGCCTCCCCGCCTTCAAAAAAAAAAAAAAGTGAGGCTGAATCATGGACTTAGTCTTTATTTAAAATTTTGAGCCACTTGTGGTGGCTCATACCTGTTATCCCAGCTACTCAGGAGGCTGAGGTGGGAGGATCGCTTGAGCCCAAGAGTTCAAGGCTGCAGTGAGCTGTGATTATGCCATTGTACTCCAGCCTAGACAACAGAAGGAGACCCCTATCCCTGAAAAAAAAAAAGAAGAAGAAATTGATATTTGTTCATCATGGACTTTTTGCATTAATTTTGATTTTTTAAAATATTGGAGCAAAAGATTATCTTGATTACTGAGATTTTCAGTACCCCCTTAATTTGCACCCAAAACAAATGCCTCCCTCCCTCACCTCGTCCAAGTAATGGTCTTTCTCTCAGAGGTCTTGGAAATGCCAGGCTGGAAGCTTGGTAGATTCCAGCATGTGCCCTCAGCATCCTCACCTCCCTCCCTCTCTCAGCAAATATGCCAACCTGAACATGCCCTACTACCCACTCTCAGACACATCCAGTACTCACACATGTGGGAATAATGCTAACCCACAAGGCACCTTTGAGCAAAGTTTTTTTAAACACCTTTCTCAACAGACTTCATTTCCATCTGTCTGAAAATCATCGCAATAGACTTAAATGATTTTGTTCAAACAAGGCACTGAAGGACCACCTGCCAAAAAATTGTCATCATGAATACACAAATCTATCATGCCTATCATGTGAAGGTATCGCTTAGACACAGAGCCTTTGAGCAGTGTGCAACCTGCACTACTGTACAGAGCTGCTGTGCACTTACCCACTCTCATATATATCCCCATTGTACCTCCTGAGCACCCAGCACCACCTGTGCTCAAATACCCACTCTACATGCATACACCCACCTCTACTCCCTCCATTGCCACAACCTGTCTTTAAATCCCAACTTGGCCACTTATAAGTGGGTGGTCTTCAGCACGTCCCTTTAAATTGCTGAACCTCAAGTTCCTCATGTGCAAAGTGGAGCCAGTAATAACCTCCCTGGGAGGGTTGCTGAGCCGGTGGGGATGAATTGTTGAATATTGTTTCCAGCACACAGCAAGCCCTTCATGCACAGCAGTAGAAATGACTGACATTGGCCAGGCGTGGTGGCTCACACCTGTAATCTCAACAGTTTGGGAGACCGAGGCAGGTGGATCACCTGAGGTCAGGAGTTCAAGACCAGCCTGGCCAACATGGTGAAACCCCGTCTCTACTAAAAATACAAAAAAATTAGCCAGGCTTGGTGGCGCATGTCTGTAATCCCAGCTACTTGGGAGGCTGAGGCAGGAGAATCATTTGAACCCGGGAGGCGGAGGTTGTAGTGACCCAAGATCACGCCGTTGCACTCCAGCCTGGGCAACGAGAGCGAAACTCCATCTCAAAAAATTAAAATTAAAATTAAGAAATAACTGACATTGTTGTCAGCCTTTCAAAAAACAGCGACTACTTAAATTTCTTTTTCATTTCCCTCTGTTCCTGTTCTGCCATCTCACTTCCACCCTCTCTCCACCTTCCTCATCACCCCTTGGGTCCCTGTCTCTCTCCTTCCTGCCCCTTCCCTCTCCCTGCCCCATTCCTTGCAGGGTCCTCAAGCATTCGGTGGACGCCACCTTTGAGAACCAGGGCCCCAGCCCCGGGTACCGCATGGAGATGTCCATTTTCTACGTCGTCTACTTTGTGGTGTTCCCCTTCTTCTTTGTCAATATCTTTGTGGCCTTGATCATCATCACCTTCCAGGAGCAAGGGGACAAGATGATGGAGGAATACAGCCTGGAGAAAAATGAGGTGCCACTTCCAATTCCATCTGTCCTTTAAAAACTGGGGACACACACAAACTTTAAAACACACACAACACCCAGGAACCCCTTTCTAGGGGTACCTGGGGGAGGGAACAGAAGCATTGTCCCAACCGAATCCAGTCTTCAGGGCAGCCCTTCATGGAGTTTCCAGAGGAAACACATCATATAGTGTATGTATCAGTCAGTTTAGACTAGGTTATGCCGCAGTAACAAGCAACCCCAGATTTCATTGCCAAATATCCACAAAGGGACTTATTTTTTGCTCACACTGCATGTCAACATCAGTTGTGGATCTTGCCATCTTTATTCTGGTTCCCAGGCTGGCAGAGCAGCAGAGCAGCCTCCCTCTGAGATGCTCCAGATGAAAAAGAGAGTATGTCAGACTGAGGTTCAGTTCTTCAGGCTTGTGCTCAAAAATTACACATGTCACTTCTGCTCACATTTCATCAGCCAAAGCAAGTCACACATCCATTCTGACATCAGTGGAGTGGGCAAATACAATCTCCCCTAGCGAAGGGTGGTGAATATTTATGAATGAAAAGCCAAGCCAGGTGTGGTGGCTCACACCTGTAATCCCAACATTTTGGGAAGCTGAGGCAGGAGGATCACTTGAGCTCAGGAGTTTGAGACCAGCCTGGCCAACATAGCAAGACCCCATCTCTACTACAAATCAAAAAAATTAGCCAGGCAGGATGGTGCACACCTTTAGCCCCAGTAACATGGGAGGCTGAGGTGGGAGGATGCTTGAGCTTGGGAGTTCGAGGCTGCAGTGAGCTATCATTATGCCACTGCACTACAGCCTGGGCAACAGAGCAAGACCCTCTCTCAAAAAAAGAAAAGGAAAGAAAATCCAGTCCCCTGTCTACCAGAGAGTATAGACATGACTCTTTGCCTCTCTGGCATCATCCAAGCTAAATAGAGGACCTAGAATATATCCTCTGCTCCCTTGACCCTTAAGACTTAATAACCACTATTCCTCCTTCTCTCTCCCTCAAAGAGAAGGAGAAGACGCAGCAAAGTATTCAGTAAGAAAGAATGGGCTGGGCGCAGTGGCTCACGCCTGTAATCTTAACACTTTAGGAGGCCAAGGCAGGAGGATTGCTTGAGCCCGGAAGTTCAAGACCAGCCTGAGCAACATAGTGAGACCCCATCTCTATGATTAAAAAAAAAAAGTTTTAATTAGCTGGGTGTGGTGGTGCACGCCTGTAGTCCCAGCTACTCAGGAGGCTGAAGCGGGAGGATCACTTGAGTCCAGGAGGTCAAGGCTGCAGTGAGCTGTGATTGCACTGCACTCCAGCCTGGGTGACAAAGCAAGCCCGTGTCAAAGAAAAAAAAAAAAAAAGGAAGGAGGGAGGGAGGGAGGGAAGGAAGGAAATGAGAGAGAGAAAGAAAGGAGGGAGGGAAGGAAGGAGATAGGGAAGAAGGAATGAAGAAGAAAGAAAGGGAGCGAAGGAAAGAAGGAAGAAGAGAGAAAGGAAAGGAGAAAGGGGAAAGGGTGGAAGGAATGAAGGGAAGGAAGGAAAAAGGAAAGTGAAGGAGGGAGGGAGGAAGGAAGGAAAGGAGGGAGGGAAGGAGGGAGGGAAGGAGGGAGGGAGGGAAGGAGGGAGGGAGAGAAGGAGGGAGGGAGGGAAGGAAGGAGGGAGGAAGGAAGGAAGGAGGGAGGGAGCGAGGGAGGGAGGAAGGGGAAGAAGGATTAGGCTTCAATTTGATTTGGCACACTCGGTAGCTGTGTCACCTCAGGCAAGTGGTTTAACCTTTCTAAGCCTCTATTTTGGTGATCTGCAAAGTGAGGCCATTGATAGTACCCACTTCCCATGTTTGTATTAGCCATGCAATAATGGGGAAATGTCAGTGCAAGTTTTGGCAGTTGGTGACATCTCAAGCAACTGTAGCTGTTGGGATAAGAAAGCAATGGTGAGAAGGAAGAGAGAGCCCAGGAATCCTGGCTGGGGGCAAGAGAGGCAGAGACTCAAGCAGAAGCACTTGAGAACCGCGACGAGTTAGACAGAGGGTGCCCGGTGTACAGCCACCTTCCTCCTGCCTCTGCCGCTCTCACCACTGGCCTCTCTCCCGCAGAGGGCCTGCATTGATTTCGCCATCAGCGCCAAGCCGCTGACCCGACACATGCCGCAGAACAAGCAGAGCTTCCAGTACCGCATGTGGCAGTTCGTGGTGTCTCCGCCTTTCGAGTACACGATCATGGCCATGATCGCCCTCAACACCATCGTGCTTATGATGAAGGTAAGTGCCCCACACCAGCCCCCAGCACTACTTAACCCCCACCTCGTTCCTGCCTCTACCCTGATAAAATGAAACCATCTGCAGTTTCCCAGACAGACCACACTCTGGATCACCTCTGAGATTTTGTTCCTGCTGTTCCCTCTACCTGACACACTGTTCCCACCACTCCCCCGGCCAGCTTCTTCTTCCCAGCTGTACCTGCAGACCTCTTCCTCCAGAAAGCCTTCCCTGACCACCCAAGACTGCTTGAGGTGCCCATCTTAGCAGGCATCCTATCTTTATGTCGCCTGCCACAAAAATCTGCGTCAGGTTGCATGACAGTGTCCCCCACCCATTTATGATGACCTCAGCCCTGAATTCCTAGAGGCCAACAAGGATCTGGCTCAGACGGAACAAGAAGCTCTCTATAAATGTTTGATTAATGAAATGAGGGGGCTGGGCGCGGTGGCTCATGCCTGTAATCCCAGAACTTTGGGAGGCCGAGGCGGGCGGATCACCTGAGGTCACGAGTTCGAGACCAGCCTGACCAACACGGAGAAACCGCATCTCTACTAAAAATACAAAATTAGCCAGGCGTGGTGGTGCGCATCTGTAATCCCAGCTACTCGGGAGGCTGAGGCAGGAGAATTGCTTGAACCCGGGAGGCGGAGGTTGCCATGAGCCGAGATAGCGCAATTGCACTCTAGCCTGGGCAACAAGAGCAAGACTCCATCTCAAAAAAAAAAAGAAAAGAAAAAGAAAGAAATGAGGGAGAAGGGGTAGGTGAGGACCCTAAAATCCCCAGGGCTAAGGAGCGGCTTCCAAAAAAAAACTCTGAAAACCTTTCACCCTGTGCTTTGGACTCCAAAGCGTGGATTCAAGCCCAGCTCTTCCATTTAATTCATTTACCTTTGTACAAGCAACCAGTGACTTTCTGGGGACTCAGTTTCCCTGTCAATAAAATGGGAATGATAATAAGAGCACATTTGCCCCCTCCAGAGGAGGTGAGAGGATTGAATGAGAAAGTTCATGCAAGGACCTTAGCTCCTTCTCGGCACTTCAAAAACGATCAATAGTGGCCGGGCAAGGTGGCTCACACCTGTAATCCCAGCACTTTGGGAGGTCGAGGCAGGCGGATCACTTGAGGCCAGGTGTTCGGGACCAACTGGCCAACATGGTGAAATCCCGTCTCTACTAAAAATACAAAAATTAGCTGGGCGTGGTGGCGCATGCCTATAATACCAGCTGCGTGAGAGGCTGAGGCATGAGAATCGCTTGAACCCAGGGGGCGGAAGTTGCAGTGAGCTGAGATCACACCACTGCACTCCAGCCTGGGTAACAGAGTGAGACTCCGTCTCAAAAAAAATAAGGAAGCCGGGGACGGTGGCTCACGCCTGTAATCCCAGCACTTTGGGAGGCCGAGGAGGGCGATCACAAGGTTAGGAGATCAAGACCATCCTGGCTAACACGGTGAAACGCTGTCTCTACTAAAAATACAAAAAGTTAGCTGGGCATGGTGGTGGGCACCTGTAGTCCCAGCTACTTGGGAGGCTGAGGCAGGGGAATGGCATGAACCCAGGAGGTGGAGCTTGCAGTGAGCCGAGATCGCGCCACTGCACTCCAGCCCGGGTGACAGAGTGAGACTCCTCAAAAAAAAAAAAAAAAAAAAAGTATAATTCAGCCAAGCACAATGGCGTATGCCTATAGTCCCGACTATCAGGAGGCTAAGGTAGGATTGTGAGTTCAAGCCCAGCCTGGGCAAAATAGGAAGACCCCGTCTACCAAAAAAAAAAAAAAAAGGTTGGGGGAGGTTTTTGTTTTTTTGGATGTGAAAAGAAGAGCCTAGTCCGGCGGAGAGCGGGGCTTTCCTGAACTGTGCCTCCTACCAGTGAGGTTGCTCAGACCTTGCCTGGGGCTGGAGTGTTGCCTGGAGAACAGCCATGAAGCTGCCTCCCCACTTCCCACTTCCCACCCCTGCTCGCTGACCCCTGCTACTCCTGCTTCTTTCCCCTAGTTCTATGGGGCTTCTGTTGCTTATGAAAATGCCCTGCGGGTGTTCAACATCGTCTTCACCTCCCTCTTCTCTCTGGAATGTGTGCTGAAAGTCATGGCTTTTGGGATTCTGGTAAGTACCACCTTGGGGCTACAGCTATGGGCTTGGGAGAAGCCCAAGGGGGAACAATGGGTCCTGGATGATGGTCTCCCAACGTGGCCCCAAGAACCCCAACCTCAAGGGTGGCTTCAGTATCCTGCCAGTGGCCACAGATCCTACTTAGGCATTCTTGTGTTTGCCAAGGAGTCCCAGGGAGACCCAACCTGTGAGTGTTACCATATGGCTGCTTATGTATCCAGTTCCTCAAAATGATGGGAGTCATCATGGCTGGGAGTCTTTAGCATCCATTTTAGAGATAAGAAAACTGAAATCAGGCTGGGCGAGGTGTCTCATGGCTGTAATTCCAGCACTTTGGGAGGCCAAGGTGGGCGGATCACCTGAGGTCGGGAGTTCGAGACCAGCCTGACCAACATGGAGAAACTCTGTCTCTACTAAAAATACAAAATTAGCCGGGTGTGGTGGCGCATGCCTGTAATCCCAGCTACTCGGGAGGCTGAGGCAGGAGAATCGCTTGAACCTGGGAGGCAGAGGTTGTGGTGAGCCGAGATCACATCACTGCACTCCAGCCTGGGCAACAAGAGTGAAACTCTGTCTCAAAAAAAAGAAAGAAAGAAAGAAAACTGAAATCAGGCTGAGCACAGTGGCTCATGCCTGTAATCCTAGCACTTCAGGAGGCCAAGGCAGGAGGATCGCTTGAAGCTAGGAGTTCTCAACCAGCCTGGGCAGCAAAGCAAGCCCCTGTCCCTACAAAAAAAAAAAAAATTTTTTTTTAATTAGCCAGGCATGGTAACTCGTGCCTGTAGTGCCAGTTACTCAGGAGGCTGAGGTGGGAAGATATTTTGAGCCCAGGAGGTGGAGGTTGCAGTGAGCTATGATCATGCCACTGCACCCCAGCCTGGGCAACAGCAAGACTCCATCTTTAAAAAACAAACACAGAGGTCAGGCACAGTGACTCACACCTGTAATCCCAGCACTTTGGGAGGCAGAGGCAGGCAAATCACTTGAGCCTAGGAGTTCGAGACCACCCTGGCCAACATGGCAAAACCCCATCTCTACTAAAACTACAAAAAATTAGCCTGGCGTGCTTGTGGGTGCCCATGATCCCAGCTACTCAGGAGGCTGAGGCAGGAGAATCGCTTGAACCCACAAAGTGGAGGTTACAGTGAGCTGAGATCACACCACTGCACTCCAGCCTGAGCAACAGAGCAAGTCTCAAAAAAATAATAATAATAAAAATAAATATGTCTTTATTTTTCACCAGCCACTAACTAAATTTTAACATTTCCTTCCATCTTAAAGGGAGATAACAAACCCTTAGTATTAGTATTATCAACCCTTAATATTATCAACATGACCTGTGTCACTTATAAACATCAGATATTTTCATACTGCATTATAAGAGCTGCAGATACCTTAACATTTAATTTGCATTCATCATTGCTTTAAAATGTTGCTTGTGATTAAACCTACAGCTAGAATTTGTTACTCAGTGTTTTTTTGTTGTTGTTCTGTTTTGTTTTGTTTGAGACAGTCTCGCTGTTGCCCAGGCTGGAGTGCAGTGGCGCAATCTCGGCTCACTGAAAGCTCCACCCCCTGGGTTCACGCCATTCTCCTGCCTCAGCCTCCCGAGTAGCTGGGACTACAGGTGCCTGCCACCACACCTGGCTAATTGTTTGTATTTTTAGTAGAGATGGGGTTTCACCATGTTGGCCAGGATGGTCTTGATTTCCTGACCTCATGATCCGCCCGCCTCGGCCTCCCAAAGTGCTGGGATTACAGGCGGGAGCCACCGCACCCGGCCTACTCAGTGTGTTAATGGAGAAGTATATTCATTGTTAGATCGCCATTTTTAAAACTTTTTTTTTTTTTTTGAGACACAGTCTTGCTCTGTTGCCCAAGCTGGAGTACCGTGGCACAATCTTGGCTCACTGAAACCTCCACCTCCTGGGTTCAAGCGATTCTCCCATCTCAGCCTTCTGAGTAGCTGGGACTACAGATGCACACCAGCATGCCAGGCTAATTTTTATATTTTTAGTAGAGACGGGGTTTCACCATGTTGGCCAGGCTGGTCTCGAACTCCTGGCATCAAGCAATCTGCCTGCTTCAGCCTCCCAAAATGCTGGGATTACAGGCATGAGACACTGTGCCTAGCCTTAAAAAATATTTTGATAGCTATTTTATTACAAAAGGTAACCTTGAAGCCCTTGCTATTTTGTTATGCATTTACAAGCCTTTATGCATAAAATAAAATAGCCAGCACTATTCTCACATGGCCAAGGTTCATAGCACACACACAAAAGTATAGTTGGCTGAGTGCGGTGGCTCACACCTGTAATCCCAACACTTTGGGAGACAGAGGTGGGTGGATCATGAGGTCAAGAGATCCAGACCACCCTTGCCAACATGGTGAAACCCCATCTCTACTAAAAAGTACAAAAATTAGCTGGGTGTGGTGGCGCATGCCTGTAGTCTCAGCTACTCGGGAGGCTGAGGCAGGAGAATCATTTGAACGTGGGAGGCGGAGGTTGCAGTGAGCCGAGATCTTGCCACTGCACTCCAGCCTGGGTGACAGAGTGAGACTCCATCTCAATAAATAAATAAATTAAATTAAATTAAATTAAAATTATTTTTTAAAAAATTGGGGGCTGAGTGTGATGGCTCACACCTGTAATCCCGGCAGTTTGGGAGCTTGAGGAGGGCAGATCCCTTGAGGTCAGGAGTTCAAGACCAGCCTGGACAACATGGTGAAACCCCGTCTCTACTAAAAATACAAAAATTAGCCAGGCATGGTGGCGTGTGCCTGTAATCCCAGCTACTCGTGAGGCTGAGGCCCAAGCATCGCTTGAACCTGTGAGGCGGAGGTTGCAGTGAGCCAAGATGGCACCAGTGCACTCCAGCCTGGGTGACAGAGTGAGACTTTGTCTCAAAAAAAAAAAAAAATTAAGGTGAAGAAGGCTTATACTAGTGGGCTGGGACTTGAAGTGAAGTGAATTCTTGAAGGTCCCCAGTGAGTGGCCAAGGTGGGACTTGAACCAGGACATCTGTTCTCTTGACCACCAGCTTAGTCCATCCCTTTGAAGAGAGTGACCTACAGTCTGGGTCTCAGCCAGGGTCTCAGGAAACCAGGTTCCCACCTTGGCTCACGGAGGTGGTTAGGGGCATCAGCTTTAGCACCAGAGTTCAGATCTTGCCTCGTCCTATATAAGCTTTGTCACCTCCCCATCATTAAAAGGAGCCATCCTCCCCCTCCACCTCAGCAGAGCCCTGGTAAACAGCAAATGGACTAACGTGCATCTAGAGGGTTGAGGATGAAGCCTGGCCTGGCATGGGCACTCAATAAATGCTAGGGGCCAGGCACGGTGGCTGACACCTGTAATCGCAGCACTTTGGGAGGCTGAGGCAGGTGGATCGCTTGAGCCCAGGAGTCTGAGACCAACCTGGACAACATAGTGAGATTCTGTCTCTACAAAAAGTACAAAATTAGCCTGGTGTGGTGGCGTGCACCTGCAGTCCCATCTACTTAGGAGGCTGAGGTGAGAGGATGGATTCAGCCCAGGATGTCAGGGCTGCAGTGAGTCGTGATTGAGCCGCTGCACCCCACCCTGGGTGACAGAGCAAGACCCTGTATCAAAATAAATAAATAAATGCTAGGAAAGGGATCCTACTAATGGACCTTTTTCCTCCAAAACAGTGGCTTTCATTTGGTGGAGATGCTACTTATTAGAAGCACTTGAGGCCAGGTGTGGTGGCTCATGCCTGTAGTCCCAGCACTTTGGGACTTCTGCCAAGGCAGAAGAATTGCTTGAACCCAGGCGTTTCAGACCAGCCTGGGCAACATAGCAAGACCTCATCTCTAGAAAACATTGAAAAATTAGCCAGCATAGTGGCACATGACTGTTGTCCTAACTACTTAGGCGAAGGCAGGAGGATTACTTGAGCTCAGGAGTTCAAGGCTGCAGTGAGCTGCGATCACATCACTGCCCTCCAGCCTGAGCAACAACACAAGACCCGGACTCTAAAAATCAAAAAAGAAGCACTTAGGGAAATTTCTTAAAATTAAATGATACCCTGAGCAAACCCCTAGATGTTCTGATTCATTTGGTTTGGTGAGGTGGGAGGGAATCACTGAATCTGTAATTTATTATTATTTTTTTTTTTTTGAGATGGATTCTCACTCTGTTGCCCAGGCTGGAGTGCAGTGGTGCAATCTTGGCTCACTGCAACCTCTGCTTCCCGGGTTCAAGCAATTGTCCTGCCTCAGCCTCCCGACTAGTTGGGATTACAGGCGCCCACCATCACGCCCGGCTAATTTTTGTATTTTTAGCAGAGACGGGGATTCACCACGTCAGCCAGGTTGGTCTCCAACTCCTGACCTCAGGTGATCCGCCTGCCTCGGCCTCCCAAAGTGCTGGGATTATAGGCATGAGCCACCGTACCTAGCCTGCAGTTATTTTATTCTGAGTTGATCTTCTGCTGGTGAAGTGAGTCTTCCACTGGGGCCTGGAGCTGCATCTCCCTCACCCTGCCAATCCTGCAAGAGCCAGCACTGAGCTTCCCCTCTGCTTTCTCTTTTTTTTTTTTTTTTTTTTTTTTGAGATGGGATCTTACTCTGTTGCCCAGCCTGTTCTTGAACTCGTGGCCTCAAGCAGTTCTCCCTCCTTGGCCTCCCAAAGTGCTGGAATTATAGGCATGAGCCACCACGCCTGGTCTCCCCTTTCAGTTTTAAATGAAGCCACAAGTTCCCTGTATAACATTTGGGAGATAGAGGGGAGCTCTCTAGCCTAGGGGTTGAGGTCTGTGACCAAACGCCTATAAAGTTGTCTTTGTTTGGACTCCCCCAGAAGCAGAGCCTGAGACAAGGATTGAGTGCAAGGAATTTATCTGGGATGCAGGGCAGTAAGGGAGAGAGGAAGTGACACAGGGACAGAAAGGCAACCAGGAAAGAGTGTATTATTAAGCCAGTTCCTGCTGTGAACAAATGGGGCTCAGTTTCAGTGGATACCTCCAGGAGGCAACAGAGAGCACATACCACAGAGTCATCCCACCTCACAGGGAGGGAATTGGAGTATTTATCCTCCAGTGCCCATCAGACATAATCACAGGCCACTCCCAGGGGAGCTATTAATTCCCTAACACTTGTGCAGCCACAGAGAGACCCTGGGCAAAGTAGTGTACCTCAGGTGTGTAGTTGAGCTATGGGCAGGGCCCCAGCAACACCTGCCAAAATGCCAAAAGTGCCAGTGGGACCTGAATTCCTTTTTATTTATTTATTTATTTATTTATTTATTTTTATTTATTTATTTTTGACGGAGTCTCGCTCTGTGGCCCAGGCTGGAGTGCAGTGGTGCAATCTCTGCTCACTGCAAGCTCTGCCTCCCAGGTTCACGCCATTCTCCTGCCTCAGCCTCCGGAGTAGCTGGGACTACAGGCGCGCACCACCACGCCTGCCTGATTTTTGTGTGCGTGTATTTTTAGTAGAGATGGGGATTCACCATGTTATCCAGGATGGTCTTGATCTCCTGACCTCGTGATCCGCCCACATCGGCCTCCCAAAGTGCTGGGATTGCAGGCGTGAGCCACCGCGCCCGGCCCCCTGAATTCCTTTTTTAGGCAGTTGTGAAACAACAACATCCCATCTGTTGGGCACCTACTGTATATTCCATGCTCAGCGACGCACATTCATTGTCTGATTGCTGTGTTACCACTGCCTTCCAGAGAAGGGCGCAGAGGCCCCAGGCACTTCGCCTAGGAGGGAAGCACAGCTCTAAGGTCAGGCTCCTTCTCTGTAAGGTAGAGGGGCTACTTCAGGGTCACACTGACCGCCCCAACCCCTGACCTGGCCTCTGCTTCTGCGAAGATGCTGAGAAGGCCCTGTGTTTTGTGTTTTGGGTCCCACTGACCCCAGAGGGGAGGGCCATCTCTTTGACCCAGACTCTTGGATCCAAACTGGGGTGCCACCCATCACCATGTCAGTACCCGGTTGAGGGGAGTCAGAGATAGCAGGAGACCTTGTGGGACTTGAGGCTGTGACTGTTCTCCAAACAATGTGGAGTATTTCCATATTTTAACAAAAGAGAGGCCAGGCGTGGTGGCTCACGCCTGTAATCCCAGCACTTTGGGAGGCCGAGGCGGATGGATCACAACGTCAGGAGATCAAGATCATCCTGGCTAACATGGTGAAACCCCGTCTCTACTAAAAAATACAAAAAATTAGCCAGGCGTGGTGGTGGGCGCCTGTAGTCCCAGCTACTCAGGAGACTGAAGCAGGAGAATGGTGTGAACCCGGGAGGCAGAGCTTGTAGTGAGCCGAGAACGTGCCACTGCACTCCAGCCTGGGCGACAGAGTGAGACTCTGTCTCAAAAAAAAAAAACAAACAGAGAGGTTATGCTTGTGTTTCCCCTTGAGCCAGCACCCAGCCCAGGAATGCAGCAGTCAGGATAGATCAAGTGAAGCTGCAGTAACAAACAGCCCCCACATCTCAGTGACTTAAATTGATGGGAAGGGTTTTTTACATTCAGCAGGGAAGCTGTTTGCCTCATAGTTACCCAGGGACCCAGGCTCACAGAGTAGCTGCCATTCAAAATGTTACTGGTCGCCAAGCCCAGGGTTGAGAGGCTAGAGAGTCCAACACTGACCAGAAAGTGACCACACTGCTTCCACACACAGCACATCACTGCACCTAGACACACATGGCCCCATCTAAACACAAGGGGACCAGGAAGTGCGTGTGCCTGAAAGGCCCCAAAGCCCCGTCCAGTGCCTGTTCTGCACCCTGTTACTGTCCGCCTCCAGATCAGGAAATGGAGGCCCAGAGAGGTTAAGCCACTTGCCCATAGCCACACAGCTGTGGTAGCAGAGCTGGGATTTGAACCCAGAGTCTCCTTTCTTTGCGAGTATGCTGCCAACCTAGTGGGGACCTGAACACAGACTGTGGGCTCTCTGAGGCCTGGGTTCAAATCCTGGCTTTACATCTCTGTGCTGCTAGCCTCAGGCAGATGAGTGGCTTGGTTACCTCCTAGAAAATGGGTATACCTGGGAGTGGTGGCTCACGCCTATAATCCCAACACTTTGGAAGGCCAAAGTGAGCAGATCACTTGAGGTCAGAAGTTCGAGACCAGCCTGACCAACATGGTGAAACCCCGTCTCTACTAAAAATACAAAAATTAGCTGGGTGTGGTGGCATGCACCTGTGGTCCTACCTACTTGGGAGGCTGAGGCAGGAGAATCGCTTGAACCCAGGAGGCAGAGGTTACAGTGAGCCGAGATCGTGCCACTGCACTCCAGCCTGGATGACTGAGCGAGACTCCATCTCAAAAAAAAAAAAAAAAAAGAGAAAGAAAGAAAAAGAAAATGGGTGATAACCCTTCCCTCCAGGATCTTCATGAGGAGCTCAGTGATGTCATTTATAAAGCCCCTGGGGTCTCGGGAGCCCTCAAAAATGCTGGAGAGACAGGCCACAGCTCTGAAGAGCAGCCCCAGCCCTGTGGAGCTGAAGCAGGGTCTGGAGGCCCCCTCTGGGGCCAGGCCAATCATGGGAAGGCCCCCAGGAGTTCCCAGGGAGGGAGACTCAGCACAGATGATGTCGAACAGCCTTTACCGCAGCCCTTCGAACAACCATAACTGTCCCGGGCACTCCGCTGATGGGCAACTGTGCCTCTAACATGCACCCGGCCAGCCTAGGGGGCCGGGAACCAAGCCCTCTGTTGGCATCTCTGTCTTGTGGGTCCCCATTCTAGAATTATTTCCGCGATGCCTGGAACATCTTCGACTTTGTGACTGTTCTGGGCAGCATCACCGATATCCTCGTGACTGAGTTTGGGGTAAGTCTCCCTCCAGCTTCTCTCTGGGTGACTCTGGGCTGGACGAGGCAGGCGGCAGGGGGCGGGGGAGCGGTCCCAGAGGCAGTGTGTCCCGGAAGCCATAGCTGCTTGAGCCAGCACTTGGCCATGACCAGAGAGGGAGAACTGGGGCCCCGGGGACAAGGGCAGCCCCTCAGGAGGGCATTGTGGGGAGATGGGGGTAACCAAAGCTTGGCTGTAGGGCCAGCACTGAGGGGTGGGCTTTCCTGCATCCTGGCCTAGGAATTAATAATGCAGATGAGTACACTGAGGGAACTGAGACACTCAAAAGCTCTGAAAGCTGAGCCGGCTCCCAAACACCACCCTATGTCAGGAGCCCAGAAAGAATGGGTTTCAAGTCAATTCTGTTTGAACCAACCCTCTCCTAGTTAGTGGGCAGGAGAGAGCCACAGCCCTCAGGCCAGTGTGGGGACACCACTCCCAGGGCCATAGAGGGGTCCCCAGGGTGTCTTCCCTCCTCTAGCCCCGGGCCTGGGAGACTCTCAACATGGGAGTCTCTGGACCTCTCTGTGGTGGCCCCACAGGCCACATTGCCCTTCTCCTTTTCTGGAAGACTCAGGGCCCCAGAGGTCCTGTCCTAGACCCTCTCCTTGGCCATCTGCCAATGAGCCCAGGCTTGGGGTCCCTCAGGAGATTGGGGGGAGGGTAGAAGATCCTTGCAGGGGGAAGCAATGGTCAAAAAAGGGTGTCAAAGCCAAGGGTCAAGGGTGATACCAATGTCATCTTACTAACAATAAAAATAACAATAGCTCACGAGAATCGCAGCCTTGCTGTGTGCCAGGGAACTGTGCCAAGTGGTTTACGTGGATTGGCTCAGGGTAGAGGTCTTGGTCTCAGCTCGTAAGAGAATTCCCTCGGAGGGTTCAACTGAAGGCACCCAAATGCAGACCTCACTGGTGGAGGGGAAGGGAAGGGTACCCACAAGGGTGGCAAGGTGTCCAGCGACCACCCACCGTGGGGAGCTGTCACCTGCCCAGGTGCTGAAGTGGGGAGGGAACCTGAGCCGGAGGCCAGGAGAAGCCACCAAGTGGGAGCTGTCCTGTCAATGTGGAGAGACAGAGACCAGGGCCCAAGCAGGCAGAGAGCAATAGGGGAGAAACACCCCAACCTTTCTCTCCCCTCATCCCTTATCTCCTGCCAGAGCCTCCCATGGCCCAAAGTAAACCGGAAGCAAGCTGAATATGATGCTCAGAGCAGGCAGGGAAGTCAGGAGAATAGATCTGGGTGTGGTCGGGCCTGAGGAAGAGGGTGTTGCCTCATTTCACAGATGGGAAAACTGACCTCAGCTGGGCACGGTGGCTCATGCCTGTAATCCCAGCACTTTGGGAGGCCGAAGCCGGCGGATCACCTGAGGCCAGGAGTTCAAGACCAGCCTGGCCAACATGGTGAAACCCCATCTCTACTGACAATACAAAAAAATTAGCCAGGTGTGGTGGTGCATGCCTGTAATCCCAGCTACTCGGGAGGCTGAGGCAGGAAAATTGCTTGAACCCGGAAGGCGGAGGTTGCAGTGAGCGACGGTCATACCATTGCACTCCAGCCTGGGTGACAAGAGCGAAAACTCCATCTCAAAAAAAAAAAGAAAGAAAGAAAACTGATCTTCAATGCCTGGGGAAGTGAGAGACACTCCCAAGGTCACAAAGCCAGGCCTGGGTGACTCCTGAGAGTACACTGACAGCTCCTGGGGTGTCCCAGTCAGATCCCCCTACAGAAAAGGATCTGTTTGCCTGCTCTTCCGTCCTAGAAGGCCAGGAGGGGCTGGGGAACTACACAAAAGAGGGGGCCATTCTTTGATATGTCCTACGGCACCCGCACCCAAGTGATACACACTTATTTGCCTTCAGCTCCAGTGAGCCAGAATTTTCCCCTTCCCCTCACCCTATCCCTGAAACCTTCCTCTAGAGGGTTCTTGCCCACATGGGGGCTCTCTCCACTGGGGTGCCCCCACCTGGTCATTCTCCCCTGTCCTGAGTTTCTAGAGAGGGCTGGAGCTCCAGCTGGCAATCAAAATATCTTGCCATCCGGCTACATACAAGACAGCCTTGAACCAATGTCCCTTTGGGTCAAGAGGTTAGAAGGATGGTCCAGCTCCCCAGAAGGGCAGGTGGGGTGGAGGAAGTTAGCTGAAACCTTCAATCACCAGTAAGAGAGCTGTAGGGACAGACTCCAACAGCCTGTTCTCCTGGCTGGCAGGAAGATGGGGCATGGGGTGTTCATGGGACATCAGGACCCTTGCAGTAGCCAAACAGCCCCCAGCCCTCCCTACCAGCTGTTTGATCTTGGACAACTTGCGCTATCTCTTCTCATGTAGAGTGGGGCTAACCATTGCAACCAACCTCAGACACTTGCAAGACTCACAGTGATGCATGCACTCAAAAGACATTCATTGAGCACCTACTGTGTGCCTGGTGTGATTATAAGTGCTGGAGACAGAACGAGAAGGAGGGGTGCCAAACAAAACAGACCAAGAATACAGAGTGTCTGCTCCCATAGAGCTGACATTCTAAGGAGAGAGACGGGAACTTTTTACAAGTAAAAGCATCAACAGGCCGGGCATGGTGGCTCACGCCTGTAATCTCAGCACTTTGGGAGACCAAGGCAGGTGGATCACTTGAGGTCAGGAGTTCGAGACCAGCCTGGCCAACATGGTGAAACTCTGTCCCTACTAAAAATACAAAAATTAGCCGGGCACGGTGGCAGGTGCCTGTAATCCCAGCTACTCAGGAGGCTGAGGCAAGAGAATCACTTGATTCTCAGGAGGCGAGAGGTTGTAGTAAGCCAAGATTGTGCCACTGCCCTCCAGCCTGGGCGACAGAGTGAAACTCTGTCTCAAAAAGAAAAGGAAGAAAAAGAAAGAAAGAAACGTGAAGTGCTTGGCACAGAACCTGCCAGGAAACCAGGAGTTTGAAAATGGTGGTTGTTAACTATTACTGCTGTTGTTATTGTTATTGTGAATGGGTGTGTAGTTTTGTTAGCCAGCCCTGAGTTACAGTCAATTTGAGGGAAAGATAGGGGGTGGGTGTTTGGGTCCTTCTGGGACAATTAACTCCCAACCTGGAGTAGGGAGAGGCATGTCCTGGCAGGCAAGGAGGTCTCAGTTGCCCCTTTCTGCCTCCCAGGTAAGCCCACTAGTTCTGAGGCCAGGGCTTGGCCAGGCTGAGACAGGAAATGCCAGATGCTTGGGCGGGCAGGTCCCTGGGGTTTAGGGGGCAGAGGGCATGCGGCAGTACTAACCAGTGCTGTCTCAGCTGCTGCCCCCAAGTGGCTGGGGTGATGTGGGTTTGCCCTGTGTGCAATGGATAATGACTGTGTTTCTTGTCTTGTCTCTTTTCATGCCTGCTCTTAAAACTGTATATTGGCGCAACGCCGTCTGAAAAACTCATCCAATCAAAATGCACTATGAAATTCATTTGTTCATCCATGACATGGTCTGTGTGTTCATACACCAATGACTTATCTCCCAACCCACCGCCACCACCACCCCCACTCCCCGCCCGGGAACCGAAACCCATTGGTTTTTTGGCACTGGTTACAAATCAACCTAAAAAATGCTGAACACGCCTCCCCAACTGCCCCCGCCCGCCCGCTCCCCCTCATCTTCAACATCTGCATCTAGAATCCGGTTGGTCTTACTTCTTTCTGAAGTCTAAATGCCTTACATTAACTGTGAACGCATCTCCTCGCGTCGGCATTGCATGCCACACCCTGCCTCTCCAACGTGGGATGCCTGACGCTCTCCTCAACCCTCCGCTCTCCTCTGTCTGTCTGTCCTCCCGCCCCCAGCCCCTGTGCCTCCCACTTCCTGTAGACTCTGTCTCTCTGTTTTTATCGGGTTCTGAATGGGGGTTTTCTGTTTGGGGTGGTTTGCGTCTTTTGCAGAGAAAGGGATGGGTTTTCCCAGCGCAGCACCTCTCTCTTGCCCCATCCCGCACACACATCCCCTACACTCAGAGACAATAGAGGCAAATCCACTCCCAGCCACCTCTCACCACTCCTGTCCCCCATTCAGCTCCATGGACCCCAGGCCCCAGGAAAGCTGCCAACTGTCTCCTCGCCCCTCCAGCTCTCTCCATCCTGCTGTCCCCAATCCTCCATCTCAAGCCCACAAGATCTTTGGCCTTGACCAGCAGAGACTTGACTCTCCAAGTCTGATAAAGGAGACCTGAAGGCCAGGCAGTGTGCCGGCAAAGACTCTCAGGCAGAGGAACTCAGAAGTGCCAGACTTGGATCTGGTAGCTTCATGTGGGGCTGGCCCACTGAGGCCCTCTCCTGGAGCCTTGAACTGTACGTGCACACGCAGTCACACAGTCACTGCACACAGACACTGCACACACAGTCACTGTGCACACACTCAGTCACTGCGCACACACTGTGCACACAGTCACTGCACACAGACGCTGCACGCAGTCACTGCAGTCACTGCACACAGTCACTATGCACACACAGTCACTGCACACAGACACTGCACACACAGTCACTATCCACACACACAGTCACTGCGCAGACACTGCACACACACTGCACACACACAATCACTGCGCACACACAGTCACTGCACGCAGAAACTGGACACACAGTCACTATGCACACACTGCACACACCACTATGCACACACACTGTGCACAGTCACTATGTACACACACTGGCACTGCATGTAGTCACTATGGACACACACTGCACAGTCACTGTGCACACATACACTGCACACACTGTCACTATGCAAACACAGTCACTGCACACAGTCACTATGCACACACACTGCACACACAGTCACTGCACACAGAGCCACTATGCATGCACACACAGTCTGCATTCACACATTGAACACACAGTCGCTATACACACACAGTCACTGCACACACAGTCTATGCACCCACACACTGAACACACAGTCACTGCATGTACAGACACTGCACATAGTCATGACCTCTTCTCTTTTTCTCACTCATTCTCCAATTCTCTCTCTCTCTCGCTCTTTTTTTTTTTTTTTTTTAGACAGAGTCTCGCTCTGTCACCCAGGCTGGCGTGCAGTGGCACAATGTCAGCTAACTGCAACCTCTGCCTCCCCGTTTCAAGCAATTATGATGCCTCAGCCTCCTGAGTACCTGGGATTACAAGCATGTACCACCACGCCAGGCCACTTCTTGTATTTTTAGTAGAGACAGGGTTTCACCATGTTGGCCAGGCTGGTCTCGAACTCCTGACCTCAAGTGATGCACCCGCCTCAGCCTCCCAAAGTGTTGGGATTACAGGTGTGAGCCACTACACCTGGCCTCTAATCCTCATTCACTGTTCCTGTCTCTGTGTCTCTCACATACAGTCATGCATGCATGCACGCATGCACACACACACACACTGGCCCTCTCTGCTACATCTACCCACCCTGTACCCCCACTCCAGTACATACTGCACACATCTCTCTCCCTCCCCCACTTCTCAGCCCCTTGCACACCCCTTGTTCTGTTAAATCTCAACTGCCTCTGCCCCTCTCCTACCCACCAATGAGGCCCTTAGAGGGACGCCCCAATGGCATCTTTGCCCTGGAATCATCCCTTCCCTGCTGGCAATACACATGCATTCACCCACCAAACATTTAATGAGCCCCTATTTGGTGCCACAGATGGAATTATGGGCAGAAGCAGACACCATTACTGTCCCCTCTTACCACATACAGTCAGGTGGGGGAGGCAGGCATCGGTCAAATAACCCCTTGACTCCACTTAAAATTATACCTGCACTGCGAGCTGAAGGATGAGCAGCATTAACAAGGCAGAGAGAGATGCACAGAGCATTCCAGGCCCAGGACAGCACATGCAAAGGCCCTGTGGTGGGACGGAACCTGTGAGGGGTCAGGATCTGCAAGCGAGGGAATGTGGCTGATGCAAAGACAGCCGAGAAAGGCTGGCCTGGAGACAGCCGAAGAAGGCAGAAGGGGACAGGACCCGGGGCTGGGGAGGGCGGGGCTATATTGTGGAATATGGGCTTTCTCCTAAGCACCAGGAAGGGCCTGGGAGGATAGGAAGCAGGGGAGGCGCGACTGGTCATGTGACTAGACAAGCTCGCTCTGGTTGCAGGGCAGGGAACAGCTTGACAGGAGGCTGGGCTGGAGGTGGGCACCAGGAATCGCAGCAAGAGATGACAGTGGAGGAGAGAGAACAGTGGGAGGGTTGTCCTCTGCAGGACCCAGGGAAAGATCAGGTCTGAACTGAGATGAGGTGCCTGGGAGCAGTCGGGTCTGGCTTAAAACTGGGAGATAGGCTGAGCACGGTGACTCAAGCCTCTAATCCCAGCACTTTGGGAGGCTGAGGCAGGAAGATCACCTGAGGTCAGGAGTTCGAGACCAGCCTGACCAACATGGTGAAACCCCATCTCTCCTAAAAAATACAAAAATTAGCCAGGCGTGGTGGCAGGTGCCTGTAATCCCAGATCCTCAGGAGGCCGAGACAGGAGAATCACTTAAACCTGGGAGGTGGAGGTTGCAGTGAGCCGAGGTCGTGCCATTGCACTCCAGCCTGGGCAACAGAGTGAGACTCTCTTAAAAAAAAAATACTGGGTGATAGAGGTGAGCGAGTGCAAGGAAAGGACCAGGTTGGGGGAAGAGAATAGGTGTGGGCATAGCAAGTTTGAGGTGCCTTTAGGACATCCCGAAATAAGTCAGATAGGCAGGTGTTGTGGGGGCTGCAGCTTGGAGCTGAGGTCTACAAGTAGTAGGACTTTTCTGGAGCCCTTAGGTGGGTGGTCTCCATATCCTTCTGAGCACTTGAGGAACATCTGAGCACAGCACTGGAAAAGAAAAGACCACAAGGACGCTGTCCTCATGTCTTCCAGGGGCTGTGTCCCACCCCCATCACATTCTAGCCAGGAAGTTCAGGGGAGGTGTTGAAGAGAGGAAGCTGCACCTCCCAAGCCATGGATTGAAATGTGGAAGGCAGGAAGAGGGAACTTGTCAGAAGTTCTGGGGGCAGTGGAAAGAATTGGTACTGATGCAGGAAGAGATGGAGGGTGGATGAGGGCAGACTAGTACCCTTCCCCCACTGCCCCAAACCCTTCCCGTCTCCACCCCTACCTGCCTCATGTGTCTCCTCCCCCACTTGGCTCCAAGAAGGGAAGCATGTTTTCTGCACGCATCTCCCTGCCAGATCCCTGGCTTTTTTGCATGGTTGCAAGCTTCCCCTGCTCTCCTCCAAACCCCCCTCCTGAGGCTGCTTCCAGGGTCCGCCTGCCTTCGCATGCCTGGCCGAGTCCACATGTTATGATCCGCCCCATGAAAGGGATGGCTTGTACTCTGGGGTTGAACGGGAGGGGGCTGGGGATACCTGAGCCATCGGCCCCATCCCCAGGTGGAGCTGGGTGGCCAGGCAGGGATGGGGGTCAGGGCAGCAGGGCACAGAGAGTGACTCTGTTAGCCAAGCTGGGTTTGGGGCTTGTTCGAGGCACTGGAGACATTCTCACAGCACTTGAGCCCAGTGTGGTCAGGGTAGGATCCCCCAGCCCCCTTCCCCATCCTAGAGGCCTAAGGACGCACTGATGTGTCCCAGAGAGCATCCTAGACATTGCCATCAAACCCAGAGGCCTCAGAAATTCCTTGAACTCCAGTCCTTGCCTCTCAGCTCCCAGGCCAAAGCCAGCACAAGACACAGATCTGGCAGCCAGAAAGCCCTCTGGAAGCCACCAAGTAGGATGCCCATGTCACCCAAACTAGGACACTTTTGAAACAGGAGGGAGGCTGTGACTGTATGGTCACCCTGTGCCATTTGGGGGGTGAAGGTTAGACCAAGTTAAATCTTGCTACGTGGCCTGTAGCAAATCCTACAAATCCCATAGAACAAGTCTGATTAAGCCCCTTCCCTTAGTGTGGAGAGACCCTCTACTCCTCCTGCCTTCACCCTGCTGGGTACTGGCCAGCGAAGGAGGGTTTCCATGTCTGCCTGAGGCTGGGGTCTCAAACTCAAATGCCTCTGGGGGCCAGGCAGACACCAGTCAACCAGGAAAGCAAGTGCCATTTCTAAAACGTGAGGACCCTGGAAAACTGGAGATCATGTGGCCTGCTTCCAGGGAGCAATCGCAGCAGGCCTGGGGTTGCCAGAAAGCCAGATTGGTGGGCAAAATCTCTTGATTTTTAAACAATGGCAATAATTTTTAATTAAAAACAAGGACAAATGAAAAAACACTGCTCGGGCCCAACAAAACAGTTTTATTAGCTAGATTTGGCCCACTCGTGACTTCGAGAGTCCCACCCCCCCCACCAAGGTCCCTTGAAGCCCCACAATGGCCACTTAACTCTAGCTGGTCTCCTCCCTGACTCTCCAACTCTCTGGCCCCCTGGTTCTTCTAGCTTGGGTGGGAGGAGGCAGAGGCAGTGACTAGACAGGGGGTTTTTGAGCAGAGGCAGTGGCCACCCAGGGAGGTCCTGGGGGCAGGGATGGCCCCACCTCCCGGCCCCCAGCACCCGCCCCTTGGTGGGCCCGGGCTGATTTCTGAGCTCACCCACCCATGGGAGCTGAGTGCTTCCTGCTTCCTGCAGGCCTGGTCCCGTGCTACTCCACCCAGCCCCAGAAGCTGAGAAGCCATCCCTGAGAGGGGGGAAAAGGGCCCCAAATGCATCTTCTCCGACTCAGCGGGCAGCGAGGACTCACCCTGCAGCCGAACAGTCCCAGCTCCCTCCCGTCCTCCCCATTCCCGCTCGCCAAGGGGGTAAGAAAAGATGCTCTTCCGCTTCTCCCAATTGGCTCGAGCCGCTGCTCCTCTTGGCCGTGGGGTGAGGTCAGGGCGGGCAGGAGCGGGTGGGCAGCTCGGCAGGGCAGGGCAGGGCAGGGTGCCCGGTGAGTCCCGTGACAGATGCATTTCTGGCCCGGAGCGTAACATGCCCTCGGAACCCGCACATGTCCACCAGGCCTGACTGTGCTGGCGACCTCCACCCCCACCCCCGCCCTGGTGTTTGTGCATCGTACACGTATGATAGATTCCGCAACTTGACCGGCTTGTGTCCTTTCGTCTCAGTGCATTTGGTTGTTGGGAGAAACAAAAACCATCTCGATTTTTTTCCTGATTGGATGATTCGGATATATTTTCTTTTTCTTGTTCTTTTGTTATTTCTTCCCCATCCCCGTTCCTTTTTCCTCCTTTCTTTTTCTTTTCTTTTCCCCATTGTGGGTGGGGCTGGCAGGGAGGGCTTATGCTTTTGAGTTGATGCCTTTTCCTCCCTCCCACCCTCTCTCTCCCAACATTATTCCTTTTTCGAGTTTTTCCTCTGCATCATTGCATTAATAGTGCTTTCTCTCTCCCTCCTTATTTGGGGTCTGGCTTGCTTTTTTCCTGTTGGTTGGCTTCATGTAGGGGCCTCTGTGAGTGGTGACAGCTCTGAGCCTTTTGGGGTGGGTGGATGGTCACCCCTCTTCCTCCATCTCCCCAGAATAACTTCATCAACCTGAGCTTTCTCCGCCTCTTCCGAGCTGCCCGGCTCATCAAACTTCTCCGTCAGGGTTACACCATCCGCATTCTTCTCTGGACCTTTGTGCAGTCCTTCAAGGTGAGTCCTCGTCCCTGCTGCTGGCCCAGGGCTGAGAAGACAGGTGACCCTCATGCTCTGGCTGAATGTAGAAGTCAGATTGGAAGTGCCTCTGTGATGTAGTCGTGCAGAGAATCTGTTATCTCCAAGGCTGTTGTCAAACTTCCTGTCCCTGGTGTGTCTTCAGAGCTGTAAGGGCCTCATCCTAGAGCCCCCAGAGATGCCCACCAGCCCTGGAAGGACTCTGGCACGTGGCATATGGCCACCCAACCCAGTGGGGCAGAGCACTGGGACAAGGGAGGAAGACAGTGCGGCTGAGGGACCCCCAGCACTCTTCTTCATTGCCTTTTTTCCCACCAGGCCCTGCCTTATGTCTGTCTGCTGATCGCCATGCTCTTCTTCATCTATGCCATCATTGGGATGCAGGTGAGTGTCGTGTCCCTAAGGTTCCCAGAGCCTCCCAAGGAGGGCAGCCACCCTTAGAAAGGGGTGGGTCAGAGGAGCCTGGTTCACAGAAGCAGCCATGGAGGTTGAGCTGGGTTTCCCAGAAGCCACTGGAGGAATGGCAGCCCCTGGTCGTCACCCTCCAATTCCACAGGTGTTTGGTAACATTGGCATCGACGTGGAGGACGAGGACAGTGATGAAGATGAGTTCCAAATCACTGAGCACAATAACTTCCGGACCTTCTTCCAGGCCCTCATGCTTCTCTTCCGGTGAGAAGGGGACCTGCTCTGATAATTCTGTTTCCGTGGGGTGGGGTGCCTGCCTTCATCCTTCTGTTCCCATAGAGGATGTACCCTCCTCTTCCAATGCAAGACGTGCCCTCCTCCTTCTCTTCTGGCAGGGGCGCGCCCTCACCCTTCTTTTCCGGTAGGGGGCGTGCCCTTCTCTTCCGGTAGGGGACGTGCCGGCCTTCTCTTCCGATAGGGGGCGTGCCCTCCTCCTCCTTTTCTGGTGTGGGGGTGGCCAGATGTGCTCTTATCCTTCTTTTCCCGTGAGGCTGGAAATGGGTGTCGTGGGGGGCCCAGGAATCCTAGCAGGGCAGAAGCAGAGGGCCCTGGGACATAGTCATCAAGGTCATTTTCCAGGCATTATCTCTGAATCTTCCTGACCACCCTGTGAGGAAGGGATTCTTGGCAGCCCTATCCGACAAATAAGAAAACAGGCTTACAGACCGTGAGGCTTGATTCTTTGGTTCATCATCTTGGCTGCACACAAAAGTTCCTTCACTCGTTCAGTGTAGGTTTTTTGGGGGGGCTTTTTTTTTTTTTTTTTTTTTTTTTGGAGATGGAGTCTCGCTCTGTTCCCCAGGCTGGAGTACAGTGGCGCGATCTCGGCTCACTGCAAGCTCCGCCTCCCGGGTTCACGCCATTCTCCTGCCTCAGCCTCCCGAGTAGCTGGGACTACAGGCGCCCGCCACCACGCCCAGATAATTTTTTTGTATTTTTAGTAGAGTCGGGGTTTCACCATGTTAGCCAGGATGGTCTCGATCTCCTGACCTCGTGATCCGCCCGCCTCGGCCTCCCAAAGTGCTGGGATTACAGGCGTGAGCCACCGTGCCCAGCCCTTTTTTTTTTTTTTTTTTAGATGGAGTCTCTCTCTGTTGCCCAGGCTGGAGTGCAGTGGCGCCATCTCGGCTCACTGCAAGCTCCTCTTGTGGAGGTGTATTGAGCACCTACAGCATGCCAGGCAGGGCTGAAAAACGAGGATGCACCAGGAAATAGAGAAAAGAGACATTTTAAGCACTTTGGAAGCTAACATCCCCATGGGGAAGACGAATAATCAGGAAACAAATTATAGAGGATGCTGGAAAAAGATAAAATTCAAGAATAAAGGGGAATAGGGCCAGGTGCAGTGACTCGTGCCTGTAATCCTAGCATTTTGGGAGGCCGAGGTGGGAGGATCGCTTTAGCCCAGGAGTTTGAGACCAGCCTGGGCAACATAGTGAGACCCCGTCTCTACAAAAAAATTGTTTTTAATTAACTGGGCATAGTGCCACACACCTGTAGTCCCAGCTACTTGGGAGGCTGAGGCAGGAGGATTGCTCGAGCCCAGGAGTTCCAGGCTACAGTAAGCTATGATTGTGCCACTGCACTCCAGCCTCGGCAACAGAGCGAGACTCTGTCTCTAAAAAGAAAAATATATTTTTTTAATTTTTAAAAAAAGTTACAGAGGTAGATAGTGGTGATAGTTGCATAATAATGTGAGCTTACTTAATGCTACTGAATTGTACACTTCAAAATGGTTAAATTGATAAACTTCATGCTGTGTGTATTTTGCCACAGTAAAAAATAATAATGTTTTTAATCTAACAACAAAAAAAGAATAGAGGGCCGGCAGGTTATGCCTCTCTGAAAGTGTGACATTTGAGAGAAATTGGCAAGGGAGGGAGTCAGTGGGTATATGGGGAAGGGCAGGCCAAGCCGAGGGGACTGCCTGTGTAAAGGCCCTGAGGCAGGAGTATGGCTGGCATGTTTGAGGACTGTGAGGAGCCCAGCATACCTAGAACAGAGTGATCTAGGGAGAATATAGTATGAGATGACTGTCACCTTCATGGAGGGGAGCTTTTTTTTTTTTTTAATCTGAGACAGAGTTTCGGTCTTGTTGCCCAGGCTGGAGTGCAGTGGTGCGATCTCGGCTCGGCGCAACTTCTGCCTCCCAGGTTCAAGCAGTTCTCCTGCCTCAGCCTCCCGAGTAGCTGAGATTATAGGTGCCCGTCACCACGCCCAGCTAATTTTTGTATTTTTAGTAGAGACGGGGTTTTGCCATGTTGGTCAGGCCGTTCTCAAACTCCTGACCTCAGGTGATCCACCCGCCTCAGCCACCCAAAGTGCTGGGATTACAGGCATGAGCCACTGCACCCGGCCTGAAGGGAGCTTTTTTTTTTTTTTGCTTTTTTTTGAGACAGAATCTCCCTCTTTGTCACCCAGGCTGGAGTGCAGTGGCGCGATCTCAGCTCACTGCAACCTCCGCCTCCTGGGTTCAAGCGATTTTCCTGCCTCAGCCTCCCAAGTAGCTGAGACTACAGGTGAGCGCCACCACACCGAGCAAATTTTTGGTATTTTTAGTAGAGATAGGGTTTCACCATGTTAGCCAGGATGGTCTCAATCTCCTGACCTCGTGATCCACCCACCTCAGCCTCCCAAAGTGCTGGGATTACAGGTGTGAGCCACCGCGCCCAGCCAAGAGGGGAGCTTTTAAAGCATAACAGTGACCAGCCTGAGCAATGCAGTGAAACCCCATCTCTACAAAAAAAAATAGTTTAAAAATTAGCCAGGAGTGGTGGCGTGTGCCTGTAGTCCCCAGCTACTCAGGAGGCCGAGGCGGGAGGATCACCTGAGCCTGGGAAGTTGAGGCTGCAGTGAGCAGTGATTGTGCCACTACACTCCAACCTGGGTAACAGAGCAAGACCCTGTCAAAAAAAAAAAAGAGAGAGAGAGAGAAAAGAAAGGAAAAGAAAGAGAGAGAGAAGGAAAAGAAAAGAAAAAAACATATCAGTGTCCTCAAATCCCACCCTAGACCAACTGAATCCAAGTCTGCTGGGGTGGGGCACGGGCATTGGTATTTTTTCAAAGCTCTCTGTGGACTTCAGTGCACAGCCAAGAATGTGAATTCCCTTCTCTCAGCTCCCAGTAAAAGGAGGTGGTCCACCTGGGGCTTGCCTGGCCAGCTCCAGAGCCCAAGTGCTCAACGTGTGTGCTCCACCTCCTGGGGAGGCGTTGGTACCCAGTCAGGGCTGGGTGTCCGAGTCTCTGATTTCTCCCTGTCCTCAGGAGTGCCACCGGGGAAGCTTGGCACAACATCATGCTTTCCTGCCTCAGCGGGAAACCGTGTGATAAGAACTCTGGCATCCTGACTCGAGAGTGTGGCAATGAATTTGCTTATTTTTACTTTGTTTCCTTCATCTTCCTCTGCTCGTTTCTGGTGAGTCTGTGGACACTGTGAGGGCCGTCTGGGCTCCCTAAGCCTGGCTTCCTTTCAGGGGAGTGGGTTTCTGTGGAATGTGGCTGTGTCGAAGGCTTGTTCCCTCCAAGGCTTCTCTGAACCAGCCTGGGATCAGGTGACCCTGAGCGTCTCAAACTCAGCACTGTTGACATTTGGGGGTGGCTGATTCTTTGGGGTGGGGCCATCATGTGCACTGCAGTGTATGGCAGCATCCCTGTCCTCCCCCCACCAGATGCTGGCAGCACACGCCACCCGTTCCTCCTGTTGTGACAACCAAAAATGTCTCCGGACATTGCCAGGTGCCCCCAGGGGGTGGGGGTGGGGTTGGGAGTGGGGGCCAGAATTCCCCCATTTGAGACTCAATGAAATATTTCAGCTGGGCGTAGTGGCCGATGCCTGTAATCCCAACACTTCGGGAGGCTGAGGTGGGAGGGTCACTTGAGCCCAGGAATACAAGACCAGCCTGGACAGCATGGTGTGAAACCCATCTCTTTAAAAAAAAAAAAAAAAATTGAATTAGCTGCACACGTGGTGCTGTGCACCTGCAGTCCCAGCTACTCAGGAGGCTGAGGTGGGAGGATCACTTGAGCCTTGGAGGTCGAGGCTGCAGTGAGCCATGATCACACCACTGCACCCCAGCCAGGGCGACAGAATGAGATCCTGTCTCAAAAACAAACAAAAACAAACAAAAAAAAAAAAAACATTGCGAGGGAAGAAATACCTCACTTTGGCCTTGTTGGGGGCAGATGTGGGAGGATTTGGGGTCACAGTGGTTCTCTTGGTGTTGGTCCCTGTTTCAGAAGCCTCCCCTCCCTCTCACTGACTCTGTTTCTTTCCATCATTCTTGGTCTTTGTCTCTCTCTCTCTTTTTTTTTTTTCTTTGAAATGGAGTCTCACTCTGTTGCCCAGGCTAAAGTGCAGTGGCGAGACCTCAGCTCACTGCAGCCTCCACCTCCCAGGTTCAACCGATTCTTCAGCTTCAACCTCCCAAGTAGCTGGGATTACAGGTGCACATGCCACCACACCCAGCTAATTTTTGTATTTTTAGTAGAGACAGTGTTTCACCATGTTGACCAGGCTGGTCTCAAACTCCTGACCTCAAGTGATCTGTCCACCTCGGCCTCCCAAAGTGCTGGGATTACAGGCGTGATCCACCGTGCCCGGCCAGTCTTTGTCTCTTTGTATCTCTCTCTCTCCATCTCTCTCTGTTTCTCTCTTCCTCTTCCCCATCTCTCCACTTGATCTCTCTCTCACTGGACCTCCTTGTGTGAGTGAGCATCACCTCTCCATTCCCCAGTCTCTTTCTGTCTCTGTCTCATTTCCTTTCCCCATCTTCTCTCTATCCCTCTCTCCATCTGGGCCTCTGTGTACATGTCTTTGGGTCTGTCTGTCCGTCTGTCTGTCTGTATCCTTCTCACTCACTCATTCATTCCCTCGGTCTCTGCCCCCATTCTCTCTTGGTCCCCGGGGTCCCCACAGATGCTGAATCTCTTTGTCGCCGTCATCATGGACAACTTTGAGTACCTCACCCGAGACTCCTCCATCCTGGGCCCCCACCACCTGGATGAGTACGTGCGTGTCTGGGCCGAGTATGACCCCGCAGCTTGGTAAGAAGTCACCCCGAATCCTCCAGCCACAATACTCACCTCTCCCTGGAACTGGAACACGGGCTAGGTCAGGCCCCAGACTCTGGAGCACTGAACTCCTGGGGTCCTAGCAGGGGTCTCACAGGTTCAGTCAGGAGAGAAGATATAAGAATCATCACCCTTGCATACCCCAGATTAAACACGTAGGGTGCCAACCCTGCCCAAACCCTGGACTTTCTGGGAAATGAGGGAGGGCGTCAACCATGAGATGTCCTGAAGAGCCCTCTCCTCCTACGAGTCTCTCCTGTCTCTCACTGTGAAGTCTCCAGATGGTGAGGATGCATTAGCCAGGCTCCAGGGAGAAAACCAACAGCATCCCAGCCTCAGTTCTCTTGAGAGTGTGGGGAGGAGGGCTGGCCTACCCTTGGCAGACAGGATTGGCAGCAACATCAGAGTAGCAGAACTCAGCTCCCACTGGGACCCGTGAACCTGGGAGTGAGAGGACATACAGGCCAGGGGAGGACGCAGAGCCTCAGGGGCCCATGCATCTTTGTGGCCACAAAGGGAGTGGGCGCTCCCATCTGGGTAGACACCAGAGGGGTCCCTCTCCACTGACGGGCAATGGTTTCAGAGGGTGGGTTCCACCTTGTGCACGTGTATTGAGTGCCCACCCAACACCAAGCCTTGAAGGACACTCAGAGGCTTTATCTGAATACCTGGAACCCACCAGCCACTAACTGAGGATTTAGTTCAGGCTGGTCTTGGGGCCTGAAGAAGCATTACTGGGGGGCCCTCAGCAGCCTAAGCCCCATCTTCCTCTGGCCTCAGCACCAGAGAGGAGGCCGTCACGAGGAAGGTGGGCAGGAGGTGGTCTTGGCTATTCCCATAGCCTCAAACAAGTACTCCATGAGACCGAGAGGCTGGGGAGAGCCGTGGGTCTGGGGCTGGGCTTTGGCTGGTTCCTAACTCTTCCTCTTTTGATTTTAGGTCACAGCAATTGGATGCTGTCCCCAAGGCCTCTATTCCACAAGCCCCCCCCCACCCCTGTAGCCCATGTAGACTGTGGAGGAGGCAGATGCAGAGAGAGCCCCAGGGGAGGTGCCCTGCAGTCCCGAACTCGACTGACATCCTACACCCCTGGGTCTCCCCAGTGTCTGGGAATGTACTGGGGACCTTCACTTGTCCCCAGTCTCTCCCACTCCTTCAAGCCAGGGACACCCCAGCCTCGGGCATCATGACCTCGCTGTGTGCCCAGGGAGCCCGTGTGAACCCATTGCCTGCACTAACCCCCTTTCTTCTCCTTTCAGCGGTCGGATTCATTATAAGGATATGTACAGTTTATTACGAGTAATATCTCCCCCTCTCGGCTTAGGCAAGAAATGTCCTCATAGGGTTGCTTGCAAGGTTTGACTTCCACTAAAACCTGCTAGCATCCATGGAATGAGTGTGGCTTGGGGTTCTTCAATATATATATTTCATATATATATATATATATATCTCTCTCTCTCTCTAAAAAAACAGAGCCATCTCTCTTTCTTGCATTAAACTAGAAAACTCTCTTAGCCAACAGAATGCAGTCATGTAGACTCGATAAAGCATGGAACATATTTCCTCCTTCCCTTCAGCCTTCAGCCATCTTTGCTTGCTCTTAGCTGAAGCTGCCCATCCTGGGGTCTCCACGGCACCCCAAATCAGATACATCCCCTGGGGGATTGTAACTTTGCATTTCTCCCCCAACCATCACCTCCACTCTCTCCCCCTCCACCCCTCACCTCCCAAAGCCCCTAGCCCTCCTCCCCTCCCTGGCACTGGCCCCTGCTCCCCACCTAGGCCCCCTCAGAGACCAGCCTCAGCCAAACCAGAGAACGTGACCCAACTGTAGAAATAACAGTGATGGCCGGGCGCAGTGGCTCATGCCTGTAATCCCAGCACTTTGGGAGGCCAAAGCAGGAGGATCGCTTGAGCCCAGGAGTTTGAGACCAGCCTGGGCAACATAGCAAGAACCCCCTTCTCTATAAAAAATTAGCCAGGCATTGTGGCGCATGCCTGTAGTCCCAGCTACTTGGGAGGCTGAGGCAGAAGGATTGCTTGAGCCCAGGAGGTGGAGGCTGCAGTGAGCTATGATCACACCACTGCACTCCAACCCAGGCGACAGAGAGAGACCCTGTCTCTTTAAAAAAAAAAAAAAAAAAAAAAAAAGGCAATGAACAAAAGCATGGCTCTACGTCTTCCAAAGTGAGAATTCTCCCTCCCCTCCGCATCCCTCCAGAACTGTAGCTCAGAGCCCACGCTGAATCTGACTTTTCTCTTTTCTCTCTCTCTCCCTGCTCCCGAGCAGTGAAGTAATCTTTTTTTACTGACCTTTTCTTCCATTTTTTTTCCTCCTCTTTTCCATTGATTTGAAATATCTATTTTATCATTCTCTGCATCTTTCTCTCTCTATTTTTTCGGCTCGTGTGGATTTCTTTTTTCTTTCTTCTGTTTCTCCCCACCTCTCTTCCTTTGGTTCTCTGTTCCCATTCCCGTTTTGTTTTTTTGTTTTTGTTTTTGTTTTTTTCATTTTCGGTGCTGCCAGGGGCCGCATGCCTTACCTGGACATGTATCAGATGCTGAGACACATGTCTCCGCCCCTGGGTCTGGGGAAGAAGTGTCCGGCCAGAGTGGCTTACAAGGTAGACTACCCTTGCCGACCACCGACGTCCAGGCACTGGGTTTTTTTTTCTTCTTCTTCTTCTTTTTTTTTAGTGCTGACCAGAAACACCCGGCCGACTCTCTTTTTCCAACGTTTCTCTTCTTTTTTGTTTTTGATTCTTTTTTTTCTTTTCTCGAGTCAACTGATCATGACCATCCCTTGATTCTAAGCAGCACACTGTGTCCGTCCTTTCTGATGAGTGTCTTCGTGTTTTGAGACTCCATTATGGCCGACATGCCGGGGGGAGGGGGAGGGGAGCGCCCAGGTCCCCTTGCACCTGGTCTCCCAGGTACCAAATTGGAAACAAACACGCTTCTTCAGGGAGTCAAAACCCATGCTTCCCACTTCTGCCCACCCAGAGCGGCCCCCATGCCCAGGCTGGGGCAGGCGCCTTGCAGAGAGGGGCTTTAGCCCCCGAAAGCAGGCGAGGTCCCGGGTCCCCGCCCCTGCCACGCACACCTGAAGCTGATCTCTGACCTAGGGCCTTGGGGATTCGAGACCTTCCAAGGAGCACCAAGAACCTCTCTTCCCCTCCCTTCCTTCCCCTGGAGTTTCGTCCCCAGCCCCCGTCCCTAATCCCCCCAAGACACCCCAACATGCCTCTCCATTGTTCCAGAGTGGGCAGGCGGCCGCAGCTGGACCCCTGGACGGTGGCACACTGATGCAGGCCATGCACGCTGCCTTGGCGGGGCCTGGGGCGGGCAGGCACCATGGCCGACGGGGGGTGGTGCATGCTGGCTGAGAGAGCGAGCGTCCTGCCGCCAAGCGGCTGGCCCGGGCCACCCCTCCAGATCCCTGTCCTGGAATCTCCCTTGGTGCCCAAGGACAGATGCTCTGTTCCCTCCATTCATCCACAAGAAGTTCAGGGATGACCTTTAAAGATTCTCCCCACCCAAAAAGTATTACCCCATCATCCTATTCTCCCATCCACCTTGATCTTCCCTGCGTCCCTATCCATCAATGCTATTTGTACCTGCCCCGTGTTGCCACCTCATTCCTTTCCTTCCTCTGTGCACCCCTCCTCACCTAACCTATATGTCTCCCCTCCTTCTCAATCAAAGCCGGGGACAAGGTTGTCCCACCAGCATCTCAGACAATGAGCCTCTCCTGGCACCTGTCGCTCTGTGCCCCTCCCTGCCGCCCCCCCCCCCCCCCCCGGTTTTCCTCAAGTCGCTTCTCTCAGTCTCTGCTTAGATGAATGTGTGCGCATGTGCAAGAGAGGGAGGGCGAGCCCTTCCTCTCCTGGTCTTTGTGCAGGACCACCATGGGTCCATAAGACAACTTTGTGCAAATTTGAAAAAGGCACCCTTTCCACAGAACATGCCTGTTGGAAAATTGTTGCAATCTACCAATGTGGTGAGAACAAGACACTTTTTTTCTATCACCTGGGAAGCTGTTATATTTAATATACAAATCGGGGGCTGGGCGTGGTGGCTCATGCCTGTAATCCTAGTGCTTTGGGAGGCTGAGACGGGAGGATCACTTGAGCCCAGTTCGAGACTAGCCTGGGCAACATAGCGAGACCCCATCTCTACAAAAAGAAAAAATATTTTAATTAATAAATAAGTACATAAATCTATCATTTCCAAGATGGGAGCCCTTTGTGCGGTGTACAACCTGCACAACTGTGCACAGTGGCCCAGTCTATGTGTGTTTCTCTATTTCCCACCTCCTTCCCCACCCTACCCCCAGTGTCCCCTCCAGTGTCCTGCTCTGGATTTACCATACCCCTCCCCATCTTCAACTCTGTGTTTCCTGCCCACTTGTGTCTGAATCCCCACCCAAGTTGCCCTCACCCCCCTTCTCTGTGCCACTTCAGCCTGGGCTGGTGCACACCAGCCCAGCATCCTCTCCCATGCCACCAAGCATGGTGGACAGAGCCCCTGCCTGGGACATGGGGAATCTTTTCTTCCCTGGGCTGGAAGGGAGTGCCCCTCACCCCTTCCCCCTGCCATTGCACAGAGAGCCAAGATCTGGACATGCCCCTGAGATACACTTCCCACGGAGCTATGAATGAGTCTCGAGATTCCGTCTGCATGCGCCCCTGTCTGTGCTGTTCTGTGTCACAGCCTCGCTGCATGCCTGCGAGGGGCCTGCCCCGTCAGTGGGGGGCTGCCTGCCTGCTGCTTCTCAGAGGAATGATGTGGTCTGTGCCCATCTGCTCTGTCCTGGTCTGGGCCAAGCCAGGGATTGGGTGTGGGGAGCCAGTGGCACCCCCCACCAGCGGCTGTGGTCCTGGCCCCCTCAGCCTTGGCTGTTGCATGCACTGCTCAAATCCAGCTTGTGCTCTTTTTCTTTGGGGTCAGACTGAAACGGGGCCATCCAGAAGAACTCTGGGGCAGGGCGGGGGTGGGGCAAGGGTTGAGGCAAACCCTGGAAATGCCAGCTCTCAGGTCAAGCAGGTGGGGGAAAAAAGGAGAGGGCAGGGGACCAGAAGTACAAGAGAGCCTTTTGTGCCCTCCCTGCGGGCCACCAAGAGAAACTGAGTACTGGGACAGGTAACCTAAGTAAGAGACACCTCAGCCGCCACAGCTTTCAGAGTTCTTCCTGGGACTCCCTGGGTAGGGGCGGGCGCGGCTCACGGGAGACCCAGGAGGGATGCCTGGGAATGACTGCGCTTGCCTTGGGTTTTCTGTAGCGGCTTCTGCGGATGGACCTGCCCGTCGCAGATGACAACACCGTCCACTTCAATTCCACCCTCATGGCTCTGATCCGCACAGCCCTGGACATCAAGATTGCCAAGGGTAAGGAAGGGACAGGGGCGGGCACAGACAGGCGTGACAGGGTGGAACCGGGGATCTCCCTCCCTACCCCAAACTAGAGGATCTGCTGTCACCACCCGGATCTTCATTCACTCTTCCATTCATTCGTTCCACAGGGTTTTTTGGGGTTTGGGGTTTTGGTGTTTTTTTTTTTTTTTTTTTGAGACAGAGTCTTGCTCTGTTGCCCAGGCAGCAGTGCGGTGACATGATCGCAAGTCACTGCAGCCTTGACCTCCCAGGCTCAAGTGATCCTTCCACCTCAGCCTCCCCAGTAGCTGGGACTACAGGCACACACCACCATACTCGGCTAATTTTTTTTTTTTTGGTGTGACAATTTCCCTCTGTCACCCAGGCTGAAGTGCAGTGGTGTGATCTTGGCTCATTGCTACCTCCGCCTCCCGGGTTCAAGCGATTCTCCTGCCTCAGCCTCCCAAGTAGCTGGGATTATAGGTACCCACCAGCACACCCGGCTAATTTTTTATATTTTGGGTAGAGATGGGGTTTCACCATGTTGGCCAGGCTGGTCTCGAACTCCTGACCTCTGGTCTCAAACTCCTGACCTCAAGTGATCCACCTGCCTCGACCTCTCAAAGTGCTGGATTACAGGCGTGAGCCACCATGCCCAACCTAATTTTTTATATTTTTTATAGAGATGGGGTTTCATCAGGTTGCCCAGGCTGGTCTCAAACTCCTGGGCTCAAGCAGTCCTCCCACCTTGGTCTCCCAAAATGCTGGTATTACAGGCATGAGCCACCACACCCGGCCCATTTGGCAGATATTTAGTGCACTCCTTCAATGTGCCAGAGACCCGTCCAAGCAGGGGAGGACCCAGCAGCTTACACTTTAGATGGATGGGGAGGCCGCCACTGAGGAGGTAAGGCAGTGTCTCATGGATCCCTGGGGGGAAGGTGCTCCAGGCAGAAGGACTGGCAAAGGCCCTGACAGAGGGGTGAACACAGGACACCCGGGGCATTGAGCTGACTCACCTTCTGAGTGAGGGCACGCCACGCAGGTTCAGAGCAGAGGAGGAACCTGACCCAACTCACATTTGAACAGGTTCCCTCCGGCCACTGAGGGGATGGGAGACCGAAAGGAGGCCAGTGTGGGGGCTGCTGATATCATCTGGGTGGAGACAGGGCGGCAGCTTAGATCTAGGGGTAGGCTCGACGTGGTGGCTCACGCCTGTAATCTCAGCACTTTGGGAGGCCAAGGTGGGTGGATTACTTGAGGTCAGGATGACCAGCCTGGCCAATGTGGTGAAACCCCCGTCTCTACTAAAAATACAAAATTTAGCCAGACGTGGTGGTGGGTACTGTAGTCCCAGCTACTAGGGAGGATGAGGCAGAAGAATCGCTTGAACCTGGGAGGCGGAGGTTGCAGTGAGCCGAGATCACGCCACTGCACTACAGCCTGGGTGACAGAGCAAGACTCTGTCTCAAAAATTAAATTAAATTAAATTAACTGGACATGGTGGCATATGCCTGTGGTCCCAGCTACTCAGGAGGCAGAGATGAGAGTATTGCTTGAAGCCAGGAGTTTGAGGCTGCAGTGAGTCATGATCGCACCACTGCACTCCAGCCTGGGCGACAGAACGAGATCCTAGCTCAAAACAACAGAAAGAAAAAGAAAAAAACATTTTTTTTAAAGCTGAGAAGGGGCTGGGCGCAGTGGCTTACGCCTGTAATCCCAGCACTTTGGGAGGCCAAGGTGGGTGGATCACGAGGTCAGGAGTTCAAGACCAGCCTGGCCAACATGGTGAAACCCCATCTCTACCAAAAATACAAAAAGTAGCCGGGTGTCATGGTGGGCGCCTGTAACCCCAGCTACTCCGGAGGCTGAGGCAGGAGAATCACTTGAACCTGGGAGACAGAGGTTGCAGTGAGCCAAGATCGCGCCACTGAACTCCAGCCTGGATGACAGAGCAAGACGCTGTCTCAAAAAAAAAAAAAGCTGAGGCCGGGCACGCTGGCTCACGCCTGTAATAGCAGCACTTTGGGAGGCCGAGGCGGGCAGATCATGAGGTCAAGAAATCGAGACCATCCTGGGTAACACGGTGAAACCCCTTCTCTACTAAAAATACAAAAAATTAGCTGGGTGTGGTGGCACGCACCTGTAGTCCCTGCTACTCAGAAGGCTGAGGCAGGAGAATTGCTTGAACCCGAGAGGCAGAGGTTGCAGCGAGCCGAGCTTGTGCCACTGCACTCCAGCCTGGGTGACAGAGTGAGACTTCATCTGAAAAAAAAAAAAAAAAAAAGCCGAGAAGGCTGGACATGGTGGCTCACACCTGTAATCTCAGCATTTTGTTGAGGCCAGGCACAGTGGTTCACGCCTGTAATCTGAGCACGCTGGGAGGCCGAGGTGGGTGGATCATTTGAGGTCAGGAGTTCGAGATCAGCCTGGCCAACGTGGCAAAACCCTGTCTCTACTAAAAATACAAAAATTAGCCGGGTGTCGTGGCGTGTGCCTGTAATCCCAGCACTTTGGGAGGCTGAAGCGGGTGGATCACTTGAGGTCAGGAGTTCAAGACCAGCCTGGTCAACATGGCAAAACCCTGTCTCTACTAAAAATACAAAAATTAGCCAGGTGTGGTGGCGGGTACCTGTAATCCCAGTTACTAGGGAGGCTGAGGCAGAAGAATCACTTGAACCCGGGAGGCAGAGATTGCAGTGAGCCGAGATCACATCACTGCACTTTAGCCTGGGCGACAGAGCAAGACTCCATCTCAAAAATAAAAATAAAAATAAAAAATACCGAGAAATTCCCCCAAAGACCTAGCTCAGGGCTCACTCTCCATCATTAGGGGGAAAGAAGAAGAGGAGGCCAGGGAGGCGGGCAGAGACCAGGGCAGTGTGGGCTCCTGGAGGCAGCTTCTATGTTTAAAAGGGCGGCTTCAGGAGGAAGGGGACCAACCGTGTCAGGCACTGCCCAGAGACCAAGGATGACAAGGATCACAAGTGACTGGTCATCATGGTCACTTTGACCAGTGCAGCTTTGGCGGAGGGGTCAGGGGTCCCCTGTCTGGAGTGCATTTCGGAGGCCCGAAAGGGGATGTGATGTGATTTGGCAGCTGATTAAGGACAGCAGGGCAGAGAGACAGGCGCACAATTGCCAGAAGAAACGGGGACCTGAGGCTCACGCCTGTAATCCCAGCACTTTGGGAGGCTGAGGAAGGTGGATCACTTGAGGCCAGGAATTTGAGACCAGCCTGGCCAACATGGCGAAACCCCATCTCCACTAAAAATACAAAAATTAGCCAGGCATGGTGGTGCACACCTATAATCCCAACAACTTGGGAAGCTGAGCACAAGAATTACTTGAACCTGGGAGGCAGAGGTTGCAGTGAGCCGAGATCAAACCATTGCACTCCAGCCTGGGGGACACAGCAAGACTCTGTCTCAAAAAAAAAAAAAAAAAGAAAGAAAGAAAGAAAAGAAAAAACAAATGGGACCAGAAAAAAGGAGTGGGTGGGAGAGGAGCAGGTGGATAGTCCCACACATGGGAAGGTGCTGAGCCCAGCTGAAACCACTAGTAAGTCAGGAGGAGGGAAGACTGAGCCTCGAGACATATGTGCCTTCCAGGGTCTTGAGGGAAAGAAGGGAGGAAGAGCCAAGGCCACGTGGCAAGACTCAAGGAGGAAGTGGCAGGGAAGGTGGGGGACTGGAGGGGTGGAGGACAGATATTGTTAATGCCAGGAACAAAGTGAAGGTAAAGAGAGCACAAGGAAGTTGGGAGCAGTGGCTCACACCTGTAATCCCAGCACTTTGGGAAGCCAAGGCAGGAGGATCACTTGAGGCCAGGAGTTCAAGATCAGCCTGGCCAACACAGAGAGACCCCATCTCTACAGAAAATTTTAAAATTAGCCAGGTGTGGTGATGTGCACCTGTAGTCCCAACTACTTGGGAGGCTGGAGTGGGAGGATCACTGGGGACTGGGATGTCAAGGCTGCAGTGAGCTATATGATGACCACAGACATAGCAGCTTAAGACACACCTATTTGTCAGCTCACAGTCCTGTAGGTCAGAAGTCCAAAAAGCTGGACTGGGCTGTCTGCTGAGGGTCTCACGAGGCTGAAATCAAGGTGTCAGCCAAGCTGGGCTCCTCTCTGGAGGATCTGGGGGAGAATCTACTTCCAGGTTCATTCAGGTGTTGGCAGAATTGAAGTCCTTGTGGCTGTAGGACTGAGGTCTTGTTTTATCACTGGCTTTTTAGCTTTTTGCTCCTGGAAGTGCATGTAATCCTCCATGTGCTCTCATTCTCTCTGACTTCCCCATCTGCCACCCAGCAGAGACAATACTGTGCTTTTCAAGGGCTCACCTGATTGGGGCAGGCCTACCCTGATCATCTCTGTATTTTGAGGTCAGCTGACTTGATATTTTTTTTTTTTCTTGAGACAGAATTTCACTCTTGTTGCCAAGGCTGGAGTATAATAGTGTGATCTCAGTTCACTGCAATCTCCGCCTCCCAGGTTCAAGCAATTCTCCTGCCTCAGCCTCCTGAGTAGCTGAGATTACAGGTGCCCACCACCACGCCCAGCTAAATTTTTTTGTATTTTTAGTAGAGATGGGGTTTCACAAGGTTGGCCAGGCTGGTTTTGAACTCCTGACCTCAGGTGATCCACCCGCCTCAGCCTCCCAAAGTGCTGGGATTACAGGAGTGAGCCACCATGCCCAGCATTTTCTTTCTTTTTTTTTTTTTTTTTGAAACGGAGTCTTGTTCTGTCACCCAGGCTGGAGTGCAGTGGCGCAATCTCGGCTCACTGCAACCTCCATCTCCCGGGTTCAAGTGATTCTGCCTCAGCCTCCCAAGTAGGTGGGACTACAGATGCGTGCCACCACGCCCGGATAATTTTTTGTATTTTTAGTAGAAACGGGGTTTCACCATGATAGCAGGATGGTCTCGATCTCCCAACCTCGTGATCTGCCCACCTCGGCCTCCCAAAGTGCTGGGATTACAGGCGTGAGCCACCGCACCGGGCCTCCGGTATTTTAATTATATCTGCAAAGTCCCTTCATAGCCTGGGCAATGGTCCCTAGATTAGTGTTTGAATAAACAGAATCTTGGCAGAAGGGCAGCTTTTGAATTCTGCCTACCACAGTTCCTTCGTTTGTACAACGGGTCTAACAACACCCCCACTCTTTGTATGTAATGCCATCGTAACTCAGCTTCTGTGGCACTCTGAGAATCTGTGTTCAGGGGTCCCAAAACCACCCACAGGTTCAGTGATTCCCTGGAAGAACTCAGAACTGAGAAAAGTTTTTATACTCACAGTTTATTACAGTGAAAGAATATAGATTAAAATCTGCAAAGGGCCGGGCACGGTGGCTCACGCCTGTAATCCCAGCACTTTGGGAGGGCGAGGTAGGCAGATCACTTGAGGTCACGAGTTCAAGACCAGCCTGACCAACATGGTGAAACCCTGTCTCTACTAAAAATACAAAAATTAGCCAGGCGTGGTGGCTGGCGCCAGTAATCCCAGCTACTTGGAAGGCTAAGGTAGGAGAATCACTTGAGCCCAGGAGGCAGAGGTTGCAGTGAGCCGAGATCCCGCCACTTCACTCCAGGCTGGACAGAGTGAGACTCTATTAGAAAAAAAAAAAAAAAAAAAATCTGCAAAGGGCCTGGCATGGTGGCTTACGCCTGTAATCCTGGCACTTTGGGAGGGCAAGGCGGGCAGATCACTTGAGGTCACAAGTTTGAGACCAGCCTGGCCAACATGGCGAAACCCCGTCTCTACCAAAAATACAAAAATTAGGCATGGTGCCAGACCCCTGTAATCCCAACTACTCAGGAGGCTGAGGCAGGAGAATCGCTTGACCCTGGGAGGCAGAGGTTGCAGTGAGCTGAGACTGTGCCATTGCACTCCAGCCTGTGTGACAAGATCAAAACTCTGTCCAAAAAGAAAATTAGCCAGGTGTGGTGGCATACACCTGTAGTCCCAGCTACTCCAGAGGCTGAGGCACAAGAATCCTTTCAACCCAGGAGATAGAGCTACATTAAGCCAAGATCACGCCACTGCACTCCAGCCTGGGCAACAGAGCAAGACTCTGTCTCAAACAAACAAACAAATTCCAAAAACATAAAATGCGCAAAGGAAGGGCATCTGGGGAAGGGTCCAGGAGACACCAGGTGCGAGCTTCCAGTTGTCTGCCTCCAGTGGAGTTGCACAGACAACGCTTAATTCTCCCTGCAGTGTGTGACAACACGCACCGTGTACTGCCAACCAGGGAAGCTCACCTGAGCCTTGGTGCCCCAGGGTTTTTATTGAGGGTTTGTCATATAGGCAGGGCTGACGTAGTTACTCAGTCTCCAGTCCCTCCAGAGGTCAAACTGATACCACGTGGCCCAAGACCCCAACGATAAATCGCATTGTTAGAATGAACTGTATGGAAAATTATCCAGGCGTGGCGGCGGGCGGCTGTAATCCCAGCTACTGGGGAAGCTGAGGCAGGAGAATCACTTGAAACTAGGAGGCCGAGGTTGCAGTGAGCCAAGATCGCACCATTGCACTCCAGCCTGGGCAATAGAGCAAAAACACCATCTCAAAATAAATAAATAAATAGAATGAACTGTATTGGCCGGGTACAGTGACTCATGCCTATAATCCCAGCACTTTGGGAGGCTGAGGCTGGAGGATCGTTTGAGGCCAGGAGTTCGAGACCAGCCTAGGCAACATAGTGAGACCCTATCTCTTTTTTTTAAAAAAAAAAAAAAAAAAAAAAAAGAATGAACTATACAGTGTGGCCCAAGGCCCCCTGCTAAATAAAGACACTCTTCAGGCAGGACATTTCAAAGGCTTAGAGATCACCTCCCAGGAGCAAGTCAATGGGCCAGTCCTTTCATCGGAATGTGCAGGGTTTGGACAACACTAGCCTACTGAGCTAGTCCTTACTGCTTAGCACCCCAGCTTCTATGACACCTACTGGATTCCCTTCCTGAGGGTTTCAAAGACTCCTGGAGATGTCTCTGAATTTGGCTGTCACAGTTGTTACTTGTACCCCAGATGCCACTCAGTTCCCTGAAGACAATGATCCCCCAGATTTCTCAGCCAGGAGCCCCTCCACCTCTTGTCCTCAGTGGGTGCCAGGCCTCATCCTGGAGTTCCACAGCTGAGCCAGGCTCTCGGGGTTACGGAAGGTCAAGAGGGTGTGGGGACAACAATGGAAGAGTGATAACAGTGGCAGCCCTTTGAGCAGATGCGGGTCTCAGGAGAACATAACGCGCTTTCTTTTCATAGTTCAGCTCACTTTCTAAGCACACTGAGCTTCCTTTCCAGCAGGCTAAGGGGCTGCAAAGGGGGTACAGATTAACCTCATTCTTCAGATTCTCAAAAATGGTGTCACCATTCATTGCTGGAGACTGGGAGAAAGGGGGCAAGTCCATCTCATTCTCTCTGTCTCTGTCTCTCTCTCTCTCTTCCCTGTCCATCTGTTTCTCTCTCCCACCCACCCCTCTGTTCTCTCTGCCCAGAAGAATCTCTATTTTGGTTTTGGTTTTGTTTGTTTTGTATTGTTTTGAGACGGAGTCTCGTTCTGTCGCCCAGGCTGGAGTGCAGTGGCGCAGTCTCAACTCACCACTGCAGCCTCCACCTCCCAGGTTCAAGCGATTCTCATGCCTCAGCCTCCCGAGTAGTTGGGATTACAGGCGCACGCCACCACGCCCAGCTAATTTTTGCATTTTTACTAGAGACTGGTTTCACCATGTTGACCAGGCTGGACCCTATCCTCTTTCAAGCCCCCCACCCCAGGCATTGAGGGCAGAGCCAACTACCTGCCTGAACCAATTAGCATATTAAACGTAAACCCAGTTAGCATATCCAAATAGCAGCCCACAGTGACATTCTGACTGTCAGAATGTGGATTGCTTGAGCCCAGGAGCTCAAGGCTTCGGTGAACAAAGATTGTGCCACAGCCTGGGCAACAGAGTAAGTCCCTGTCGATCGATAGATAGATGATAGATAGATAGATAGATAGATAGATAGATAGATAGATAGATAGATAGATAAATTTTTAAAAAAAATAATAGGCCAGGCACAGTGGCTCATGCCTGTAATCCCAGCACTTTGGGAGGCCGAGGCAGGCAGATCACCTGAGGTCAGGAGTTCGAGACCAGCCTGGCCAACATGGTGAAACCCTGTCTCTACAAAAATATAAAAATAGCCAGGCAGATGTCTGTAATCCCAGCTACTCAGGAGGCTGAGGTAGGAGAATCGCTTGAACTCTGAAGGTGGAGGTTGCAGTGAGCCGAGATCATGCCATTGCACTCCAGCCTGAGTGACAGAGCGAGACTCCATCTCAAAAATAATAACAATAATAAAAATAATAATAAATGCTCTGGCCCCAAAGTGGCACATTACATGGTGCACACCCCATTAGCAAGGACTCATCACATGGCCCTGCCAACCACAGGAGGAACCCCCCCATGTACTCAGGTAGGAGGGCCAGGAAACACCGTCAGAGAGCTTTAATGACTCACCCCATGACTGGGGTGAGGGACGAGGGACTGGCTGCAGGCCAAGGGCATGTCCGTGGCAGTGGAGACTTGGGAAAGGGGAAAAGACCTCCTCTGAGCCACGCACAGTGGCTTTCATCTGTAATTCCAGCACTTTGGGAGGCTGAGGTGGGAGGATCTTGAGCCCAGGAGGTCGAGACTGCAGTGAGCTATGTTTGTGCCACGGCACTCTAGCCTGGGCGACAGAGCAAAACCCTGTCTCAAAAATCAAAATAAAACCAAAACCAAAACTTCCTCTGTTGGGGATGCTCCAGGGCGTCCCAGCCTTGAACAGATGGGTCACTGCAGTAATAATCCTATGGCAGACACTGTCCCAAGGCTGCACGCACGTTACTTTGATCATCAAACAACCAGGTGATAGCCAGGCATGGTGGTGCGTGCCTGTAGTCCCAGCTACTCAGGAAGCTGAAGCGGGAGAATCTCTTGAACCTGGGAGGCGGAGGTAACAGTGAGTCGAGATCACATGACTGCACTTCAGCCTGGGAACAGAGAGAGACTCTGTCAAAAAAAAAAAAAAAACAGGCCAGACGCGGTGGCTCACGCATGTAATCGCCAGCACTTTGGGAGGCTGAGGAGGGTGGATCACCTGAGGTCAGGAGTTTGAGACCAGCCTGGCCAACATGGTGAAACCCCGTCTCTACTAAAAATACAAAATTAGTTGGGCGTGGTGGTGCACACCTGTAATCCCAGCTACTCGGGAGGCTGAGGCAGGAGAATCGCTTGAACCCAGGAGGCAGAGGTTGCAGTGAGCTGAGATTGCACCATTGCACTCCAGCCTGGGCAACAAGAGTGAAACTCCATCTCAAAAAAAAAACAAAAAAAAAACAACCAGCCAGGCGCGGTGGCTTACGCCTGTAATCCCAGCACTTTGGGAGGCCGAGGCGTGTGGATCACCCGAGGTTAGGAGTTCGAGACCAGCTTGACCAACATGGTGAAACTCCGTCTCTACTAAAAATACAAAAAATTAGCCAGGCATGGTGGTGCATGTCTGTAATCCCAGCTACTCGGGAAGCTGAGACAGGAGAATTGCTTGAACCCAGGAGTCGGAGGTTGCAGTGAGCCAAGCTCGTGCCACTGCACTCCAGCCTGGGCAACAGAGCAAGACTCTGTCTAAAAAAAAAAAAAAAACACACACACACACACACAACAACCAGGTGAGGCAAGTACTCTTGCTATCATCTCCATTTCACAGATGGAGAAACTGAGTTACTAAGTGGTAGAGTAACCTAAGTCATGCAGCCGATAACTGGGAGACAAGATTGGGACCCAGGTCGCCCAGCTGTTCTCCATGCCGGGCTGTCTCCTGCACAGCTGCTCCATGGTCCTGGCCCCACCGAAAACCAGAGCCCACAAGGTCATTCCAGCAGCACTGCCCAGGGCCTCCTCTGGGCCAGGCCGTTGGGGAACTGGAGACCCCATGGGGACCAGAAAGATTGGGGTCTCGTTCTCGGGAGCCTATGGCTTTGCAGCTGACCCAGAGTCCAGCTGACACCCAGGCAGGCAGTCAGGGTCTGTCTACACCCCCATTGCAGGAGGAGCCGACAAACAGCAGATGGACGCTGAGCTGCGGAAGGAGATGATGGCGATTTGGCCCAATCTGTCCCAGAAGACGCTAGACCTGCTGGTCACACCTCACAAGTGTAAGAGCTGAGCCCAGCCCTGGGATCCAATCCACCAGGACAGATGGAGGGGGAGGGAAAGGGGAGGCCTGGGGAGAGTGTTGGCCTGGGCTGGTATACACAGGGACCCAGGACAAGGGCCCCAAAGAGGCCTGCCCTTGGTGAGCTCACCGTGTGTGTGCCCCCAGCCACGGACCTCACCGTGGGGAAGATCTACGCAGCCATGATGATCATGGAGTACTACCGGCAGAGCAAGGCCAAGAAGCTGCAGGCCATGCGCGAGGAGCAGGTGCGCTGTTCGCCGCTCTGGGGACATCTGGGCTGGGGACAGTGGCTTGCATGTCACCACGGGAACCAACTGGAATATGAGGGTGGCTGAGCCCCAGGGCAGGTCCCTGAAAAGTAGGGGCTGTGCACAGCAGCTCACACCTGCAATCTCAGTGCTTTGAGAGGCCAGGGCAGAGGGATCGTTTGAGACCAGGATGAGACCACCCTGGGCAACACAGTGAGACTCCATCTCTACAAAATAAAACATTAGCCAGGCATGGTGGTGCACACCTGTAGTCCCAGCTATTTAGGAGGCCAAGATGGGAGGATCACTTGAGGCCAGGAGTGGGAGACCAGTCTGGGCAACATAGAAAGACCCATATCTCTACAAAAAAAAAATAAAATTAGCTGCATGTGGCGCCATGCACCTGTGGTCCCAGCTACTTGGGAGGCTGAGGCAGGAGAATCACTTGAACCTGGGAGGTGGAGGTTGCAGCAAGCCAAGATCAAGCCACTGCACTCCAGCCCGGGTGATAAGAGCAGGACTCTATCTCAAAAAAAAAAAAAAAAAAAAAAAAAAAAGTTCTTGCCAAGGACACATCATGTGGATTCATTCTTCATTCAGCTGCTCCACCAACACTTATTGAGTATTACTGTGTGCAGGGCGCTGTTCTCAGTCCTCGGGGATGCACCCATGGGGAAAATAGGCCAGAATCCCTGCCCTCAGGGAGCAGACATTCCAAGTGGGGAAATGCCAATGGTAGCAAATGACTGAATCGTGCAACATCCAGCAAAGAGAAAGAAAGTGTCGTGGGGGAAAGTGGAGAAGAATCCAGAAGATAGGAGTATCCAGGGGAGGAGGGGATGCGGTGGGAAATGGGTAGTTGGGGAGCCTCCCTGAGAAAGTGACATGTGAGCAAAGGCTTGAAGGAAAAGGGGAGAGGGAGTGAGCTAAGCAATACCTGGAAGGGTGTTCCAGGCAGAGGAAACAGCCAGTGCAAAGGCTCTGAGGCTGGACCGTGCCTGGGTTGTTTGGGTAACAGCAAAGAGGCCAGTGTGGTGGAAAAGAGCAGGGAGGAGACAAGGGCAAGGAGGTGACAGGGCAGATCCTTCAGGGCCATGGGAGCTGCAGGAAGGACTCTGGCTTTTTCCCCAAGCAAGTGGGAGCCATGGAGGGTTCTAAGCAAAGGAGGGATAGGACCTGACTCAAGTGCTCATGGGCGCCCTCTGGTGGCTCTTGTGGAACAGTGGGGTTGAAGGTAGGAGCGGGAGACCTGGGAGAAGGTGCCTGCAGTGAGAGATGAGGACGTGGGACCAGGCTGGGGCTATGACTTGGGTGGAGGAGTGAGAAGTGGTCCAGTTCTGCGTGGAATTGGAAGGGTCTAGATGGATGAGACCTGAGAGAGTGTGTGTGTGTGTGTGTGTGTATACTGGGGATGTCGCAATGCCTTCTGGGTACCACCGTCCCACCACCCCACCCTTGTCCACACACTGCTCTCTGCCCCATTCCCCAGGACCGGACACCCCTCATGTTCCAGCGCATGGAGCCCCCGTCCCCAACGCAGGAAGGGGGACCTGGCCAGAACGCCCTCCCCTCCACCCAGCTGGACCCAGGAGGAGCCCTGTGAGTGTCACCCCTGCCAGGGAGGTGGAGTGTGGGGGTGCCGTGGTCCCCACGTTCTGGAAGCTGCCCAAGCGCCCACTGCTACCCCGGCCTCTGTCCCCCATGCAGGATGGCTCACGAAAGCGGCCTCAAGGAGAGCCCGTCCTGGGTGACCCAGCGTGCCCAGGAGATGTTCCAGAAGACGGGCACATGGAGTCCGGAACAAGGCCCCCCTACCGACATGCCCAACAGCCAGCCTAACTCTCAGGTGCCTCTGTCCCCCAACTCCCCAATGGCTCCCAGGGCCCGGGTGGTTCAGGTGGAAGGGATCTGGGCCCCCCACACACACACACCTGCAGCTCCCTCCCTCTGCAGACACCAGGGATCTGGAGGTCAGGCCCCAGAGCTCATCTGGCTTTGCCATCTGCTCCGCAGTCCGTGGAGATGCGAGAGATGGGCAGAGATGGCTACTCCGACAGCGAGCACTACCTCCCCATGGAAGGCCAGGGCCGGGCTGCCTCCATGCCCCGCCTCCCTGCAGAGAACCAGGTGAGGGCTTTCACCACTGCCCTGGGGCTGGACCCCTCACTCTGCACTGGGTAGGGCCAGGCCCCCCCACAAGCAGCCCAGTGCATCCCCTCCCTGCCGGACTCAGGCCTGGGTAGGGACTCCTTCAGTCTCTGAAGCAGTCTGCAGGCCCCACCCACCACCTGGTCACACCTGGAGCACCTGCAGACCCTCCTCCCTCACAGAGGACAGAGAGGAAAGTGCTCCCCCTGGGGCAGAGGGCAGTGGCCACTGCAAAATGGTCTCTGGCTGCCCTGGTTGGAGGCTGCAGACAGGGGAGGTTGTGGAAGATTTGTGGGTGCAGCAGGGTTCAACAGGGCCAGCTGAGACCTGCCACGAAGATCACCCCTACACAAACACACACACACATGCTCAACATACATGCACACACATGTGCAGCTGTGCGCCTACTCAGATGCTTGCATACACACACGTGTGTGCACGTGGGCATATACACACTGCACATGTACTCACACATGCACACATGTACGTGCACACGTGTCTGCATATGGGAACTTGGCAGGTCCTAGGATACAGTAGCAGAGTCTGGGGTGGGTCTGGGGGCAGCTGGGCTCGTATTTTCTGTCTGGTCTCTGTGGGAGTCATTGGGGGGCACAGGGGTGTGTGCTTGATGTGTGTCTGTGTGTGGCCGCTTCACCCAGCTGCCAGGCCCACCTGCAGGTGATCCCGTTGCCTTGGACTCATGGGACAGAGGGCCCAGAGGCATAGCTGGCTGCCCACCCGGCCTGAACAGCGGGGGCCCATGCACGCAGCCCGCCTCTGGAGGAGAACAGGGCATGGCTGTGAGAGCCTGGCCCGGGTGCGTGGCATGTGTGGCTGTGGCGAGCTTTCCGTGTGCCGTGTGTGGCGTCTGCACGGGGCAGGAGGCTGTGCTGTGCCTGGCTGGACCAGGGTCACCTGAGGGCCTGGCCTCTGGCTGCTGGGAACGTGGGTTGGGGAGCACCCAGCGTGCATGCTGCTGCTCCCTCAGGACCGAGCTGCTGGGCCCCAGGAGAGGGTTGGGACAAGCCCAGCTGACGGCCACCACATGGAAGCTTTGAGCATCGGCCGGAGCCAGGGGTTGGGGTGTGCATCGCATGAGGCAGAGCCCAGGGCCAGGGGCTCGAGGCTGCGCCGTCCTGTCTTTCGGTCCCATGCCTCTGCCATTTGTCTGTCTGCATCTCCTGTCTGTCTCCTCTGTACCCATGGGAATAGAGGACGCCCAGCCCCGGGGGCCTGGGACACCCACCCGCCAGGACTTTAACTTTTCTTTTCCTCCCTGCCTTCTCCCTCCGATTTCTCTTGATGCCAGTGCCACTCCCCTCCTTGGCTTCTTCTCCATGCACCACCTCCTCACTCTCCCTCTTGCCTTTTATATTTATTTTCTTCTTTCTGTTTTTTCTGTGTGCACCATCCCATGGGGCTGTGACAGAGGAGAAGGGGCCGGCCACGTGGGAATAACCTCAGTGTATGTACCGCGCCTGCCCAGCGCCCAGCAGGGCTCCGGCCCCCTCTTCCTCCCCACCCCCCCTCCAGGGAGTCCCGTCATCTCTCACCGTCCCCGGACCCCACCCTTTCTTTGGCAATCGCACCCTCTCCCCTCCATGGAGCCCAATCCTTGTGTGTGGTGTCCTGTGTGTGCCCCTCACCCATAAGCCCTGGTGGGCGGGGCCATCCCCATCCTCACCCCTACCCCCTTTTCTTCAGGGCCCCCCACGCCGGAGGACACTGGCTCTCCAAGAGCCTGGCCCACTCTGCACCTCTTTCTGGGGGGCTTCTTCTCCTGACACCACCACCAACCCCTGGTCCTGCAGCTCCTACCTGGAGCAGGGCCACCAGCGCTCAGCTGGGCTGGACCCTGGGAGGCGGGCGTCTGCCCCATCTCCCTCCTTCCCTCCTCTGCCTGCTGCAGAGAAACCTGTGTGTCAGGGCTTGACCCAGGGATGAAGCACCAGGGAAAAGAGTGGGCCCCCAGAGCCTCCAGTGCCTGGGTATCCCCCACCCCCACCCAGAGCTCCCTAGCTTGGGCCTCACCAGAAGGACTCAGACTTGTGGGGGCAGCGAGCACAGCCCCGTTAGCCGGGAGGACCCAAAGCTGCCATGCCGGGCACCTGGTCCTGAGCCCATAGGTCAGCCAGCCACAGTCGGAGGCTTCTCACCCTCCCAGGAGAGCAAGCTGGGGCAGGGATGAGTGCGGCAGTCCAGGGCTCCCAGGTTTGCACCCTGGATGTGGAGAGGGCTTCCCTCTGGCCAGCCTGAGCCTGCCCAACTGTGGCTGGGCCCCCAGGACTGGAGAGTGAGGATCAGATCTTTCTGGTCAGAACCCAGGATGGGCTCAAAAGGAGCAGTCCTGTCTCTGAGGGACAGAGGAATCCTCAGGCTCCACCCTCAGAGGCCTGGCCACACCCAGAGCCCTGATTGATCAGGGGGAGCCAAGGCCCCATGGCATCCCCTGGCCCCTGCCCCAGGATGGTCACACCGCAGTCACCGAAGGCCACCACCAGGCTGCCACAATGGGGCAGGAAGGACCGGGACCACTTGGTGCTAGCTGCTGACCCCAGCCCACCGGCCTGTCCCCTCCCCCAGACCATCTCAGACACCAGCCCCATGAAGCGTTCAGCCTCCGTGCTGGGCCCCAAGGCCCGACGCCTGGACGATTACTCGCTGGAGCGGGTCCCGCCCGAGGAGAACCAGCGGCACCACCAGCGGCGCCGCGACCGCAGCCACCGCGCCTCTGAGCGCTCCCTGGGCCGCTACACCGATGTGGACACAGGTGGGCAGCCCTGTGGTGCTCAGGGACAAGCAGAACAGAGGAGAGGAGAGGGGAGGAGAAGGCAGGGCGGAGGAGACACTAAGGAAGAAGAAAGGGAGAGGCCTCCATGGAGAGGGGACAGAGGGGGCCAGGCAGCAGCTGCAGGAACCTGGGTACTACCCCCTCCCCCCAACCCACTGACCTGCCTCGGTTCAGGGGATCTCTAGGGCCCCCACACCTTCCAGGTGGCCTCCTGTGTGTGCATCTGCCCCACCTCTCCCTCACGACCACCTGTGTGTCTGTCTGACCCTCACCCGGCCCAGGCTTGGGGACAGACCTGAGCATGACCACCCAATCCGGGGACCTGCCGTCGAAGGAGCGGGACCAGGAGCGGGGCCGGCCCAAGGATCGGAAGCATCGACAGCACCACCACCACCACCACCACCACCACCATCCCCCGCCCCCCGACAAGGACCGCTATGCCCAGGAACGGCCGGACCACGGCCGGGCACGGGCTCGGGACCAGCGCTGGTCCCGCTCGCCCAGCGAGGGCCGAGAGCACATGGCGCACCGGCAGGTGGGTGCGGCTGCAAGTGACCCCAGGCTGGGCTCGGCCGGGAGGCGGGGAGGAGAGAAGGGGATACCCCATCCAACAGCCACTCTAGGCAAAGGTCCCCGGATCCCGGCTGTGACCACCTCCCATCCTGCCCCCAAGCCACCGGGGTGCCCGGCGGCCGGAGCGGACACGGATCCCCACCACACCAGCTGCCTATGCTGTCCCCCCAGCCCCCTTGCCCACCCGCCGCCCCCTCCCCGCCGCCCGCAGCTGCTTGCTCCTCGGTTGTGGATCATATTTGAGTTCTGGGCCGTGCCGCCCGACCTTTCACTTTCCTTTAACCCGGCTTCTGTTTTTGTTTCAATTATGATTTCTGTCCTCTGGACGCCTGTGAGTAATTTTTGAAACTTCTGCTATTTTTAACCCCGAAACTTACAAAACTCCATTTCTCATTTCTCTTTTCACTTTGTTGTGTTGGTTTTCGACTCCTCCCCTCCCTGTCTCACTCCCCCTCCTCCCCTCCCTCCTCCCTGTGGCTGTTGCTTTTTTCCATTCAATGTCCTGTGTCCCCCCTCTCCTCCTCCTCCTCCTCCTCCCCCTCCCCCTCCTCCCTCTCCTCCCGGCCCCTCTCCCTTCGCTCCCCTCTCTTCCTCCCAATCCCGTGTCTCCTTTGATTTTGTTGTATCTTTTTTTTTGATTTCCTTTGTTTCAATTTTCGTGTAGGGCAGTAGTTCCGTAAGTGGAAGCCCAGCCCCCTCAACATCTGGTACCAGCACTCCGCGGCGGGGCCGCCGCCAGCTCCCCCAGACCCCCTCCACCCCCCGGCCACACGTGTCCTATTCCCCTGTGATCCGTAAGGCCGGCGGCTCGGGGCCCCCGCAGCAGCAGCAGCAGCAGCAGCAGCAGCAGCAGCAGCAGGCGGTGGCCAGGCCGGGCCGGGCGGCCACCAGCGGCCCTCGGAGGTACCCAGGCCCCACGGCCGAGCCTCTGGCCGGAGATCGGCCGCCCACGGGGGGCCACAGCAGCGGCCGCTCGCCCAGGATGGAGAGGCGGGTCCCAGGCCCGGCCCGGAGCGAGTCCCCCAGGGCCTGTCGACACGGCGGGGCCCGGTGGCCGGCATCTGGCCCGCACGTGTCCGAGGGGCCCCCGGGTCCCCGGCACCATGGCTACTACCGGGGCTCCGACTACGACGAGGCCGATGGCCCGGGCAGCGGGGGCGGCGAGGAGGCCATGGCCGGGGCCTACGACGCGCCACCCCCCGTACGACACGCGTCCTCGGGCGCCACCGGGCGCTCGCCCAGGACTCCCCGGGCCTCGGGCCCGGCCTGCGCCTCGCCTTCTCGGCACGGCCGGCGACTCCCCAACGGCTACTACCCGGCGCACGGACTGGCCAGGCCCCGCGGGCCGGGCTCCAGGAAGGGCCTGCACGAACCCTACAGCGAGAGTGACGATGATTGGTGCTAAGCCCGGGCGAGGTGGCGCCCGCCCGGCCCCCCACGCACCCCACGCACACACCCCACCCGAGGAGCCGCGCAGAGGCCGCGGGGGCCCAGCACAGAGGGCCCGGGAGAGGGCCAGCCGGGAGACCCCAGACTCTGGAGAGGCCAGGGCTGGGCCACAAGGGTGTCCCGCAGAGACCCTCGGCCAAAAGAGACCCTCCTGGGCAGCCACGGCGCCCCCCAACCAGCCCCGATCCCCCCACCCACGACAGGGGCTCTCGGGTGGGAGGCAGGGAGCAGACAAACCACACAGCCAAGGGATTTGAATTAACTCAGCCATTTTTGGAGAACTTTGGGGAACATGAAAAAAAAAAAAAAAAAAAAAAAAAAAAACATTTTTAAAAGAAAAAACGGGGAGAAAAAAATAGCTTCTATTGATGAGTTTTATCATCTCAATTGAATCTTTCCTTTCCCTGATGAAGACAGCTGGTGGCCGAGTGCGGCAAAGAAGCCAGAAGGAACCAGAATCCCAGTGCCCTACACCCACCACCAGACACACTCACACCCACACACGTTCTCAGACACACACAAGAGTGCTTGCCGGTTATACCAAACCCTACTATTACTGCCTGCAGAAATCAATTTAAAAAAATAATAATAACAATAAACAATTTTAAAAAGGACAAAAAAATTAATGATTGAGAAAAGAGGCATTTTTTTCTGACATTTGGTCCTGCTTGAAACAACAAAAGAAGAAGAAAAACCCACCATCACCACCGATTCCTTTGCTTCTTTTTTCCTTTTTTCCTACCTTGTTTGAAAACCGTGGGCTTGGGACTGTGAATTATTGCATGACATTCAAAAAGAAAAAAAAAATAAAAAAAAGTTGAATCAAAGGGCTTTTGGATAGGAGTGGTCTTTGTCCCTTGGCTAGGTGCTGCCTGGGTGGGTCTCTCTTGGGGAATCATACAAAGAGGCACTTCTTTGTTAGCTCCTAGAAGCACTGTTTGAAAGCGACAAGGAGGCCGGGCATCATGCACGCCTGTAATCCCAGCACTTTGGGAGGCTAAGGCAGATGGATCACTTGAGGTCAGGAGTTCGAGACCAGCCCGACCAACATGGCAAAACCTCATCTCTACTAAAAATACAAAAAAAATTAGCCATGCGTGGTTGCACAAACTGTAATCCCAGCTACTCCGGAGGCTGAGGCATGAGAATCACCTGAGCCTGAGAGGCGGAGGTTAGCAGTGAGCCAAGATCCCACCACTGCACTCCAGCCTGAGTGACGGAATGAGACTCTTGTCTCAAAATAAAAAAAAAAAAGGCAGGGCGCGGTGGCTCACGCCTATAATCCCAGCACTTTGGGAGGCCGAGGTGGGTGGATCACATGAGGTCAGGAGTTCACAACCAGCCTGGCCAACATAGTGAAACGCCGTCTTTACTACAAATACAAAAATTAGCCACGCGTGGTGGTGGGTGCCTGTAATCCCAGCTACTCGGGAAGCTGAGGCAGGAGAATTGCTTGAACCCAGGAGGCGGAGGTTGCAGTGAACCAAGATCGTGCCACTGCACTCCAACCTGGGTGACAGAGCAAGACTCCATCTTAGATAATTAATAATAATAATTTGGTCTCGTGGACACCAACCCCCGCCCCCACGAAGTGTTTCAGCCATCCCCAGAGTCCAATACCCCTTTGAGAGCTTCTGTTCTCACAACAGTACCTGACCCATAGCAAGCTACTATTGACTATCACCATTACTACTGTAGCATTAAGGCAAACATTTTGAACAGGTCTTGTTCCAGACAACAGGCCCTGCTTGAGCTTACCTTGGGTAAGAAATCTGCAGACTCCAGATAGCAAGACAGGTGTAAGTCCTTCTAAAATAATGGTAAGCCAAATGTGGTGGCACACACCTGTAGTCCCAGCTGTTCAGGAGGCTGAGGCAGGAGGATCACTTGAGCCCACGAGGTCAAGACCAGCTATGATCACACCTGTGAATAACCATTGCATTCCAGCCTGGGTGACGTAGAAAGATCCCATCTCTAAAAAAATTAAAAGTAAAAATAAATAAATAAAATAATGGCATCTAGGAAAAGATCAGTCCAACGAGAAGTCAAAGTTTTGAGGTCGAGTGCGGTGTCTGACTCTTGTAATCTCAACACTTTGGGAGAATCACTTGAGGCCAGTAGTTCAAGACCAGCCTGGGCAACATAGCAAGACGCTGTCTCTAAAAAAAAAAGTTTGTTTTTTTTAAGGCTGGGTACAGAGGCTCACGCCTGTAATCCCAGCACTTTGGGAGGCCAAGGTGAGCAGATCACCAAGTCAGGAGTTTGAGACCAGCCTGGCCAACATAGTGAAACCCTGTCTCTACTAAAAATAAAAAAATTAGCCAGGTGTGGTGGTGCATGCCTATATTCCCAGATACTTGGCAGGCTGAGGCAGGAAAATCGCTTGAACCTGGGAGGCAGAGGTTGCAGTGAGCTGAGATTGCGTCACTGCACTGCAGCCTGGGCGACAGAGTGAGACTACGTCTCAAAAAAAAAAAAAAAAAAAAATGGAATGGAAGGGAGGGAGGGAGGGGTTTAACTTTCTAACCAGGCAATCTGGCAACCACCACAGGCTTCTAAACAAGCTGCCCATCCATTGCAGAGCTGGCCTCTGGTCCCCCTCCCATGGTGCTGGGGTTGAGTGTGTCCAGGAGCCACTGGAGTAAGCCAGGGTTTGTGCAATTCCCTCTGCTGTCAATGAGGCTGCAGCCATCTGTCCTCCCAGGAATGAAGTTCACTACCGAAGCCCCCCATGAGCCCTGAACTCAAAGGCCAAGTCTATGCCCGAGTGCCAAGAGGTAGACCCAAGGCCTCCACAGTGCACATCATCAGGCTAGAGTGTTAGTTGCCCAGGAGACACAGGGTGGGAAGATCAGGGGATGAGGAAGAGGGGCGGAGCTTGGCCTAGTCCCCAGTCTCACATACTCTCAGGCCATTGCTTGAGCCTCATCACCTGGAAGGTTGGAAGGGCATGATTGTCATAGAAATGCCCTGAGGTGACCGGGCGCGGTGGCTCAAGCCTGTAATCCCAGCACTTTGGGAGGCCGAGGCGGGCAGATCATGAGGTCAGGAGATCAAGACCATCCTGGCTAACACGGTGAAACCCCGTCTCTGCTAAAAATACAAAAAATCAGCCGGGCATAGTGGCAGGCGCCTGTAGTCCCAGCTACTCAGGAGGCTGAGGCAGGAGAATGGCGTGAACCCGGGAGGCAGAGCCTGCAGTGAGCCGAGATCATGCCACTGCACTCCAGCCTGGGCAACAGAGCGAGACTCAAGAAAAAAAAGAAAAAGAAATGCCCTGAGGTGCAAAAGCCCAGGCATTGGCCGGGCGCGGTGTCTCACGCCTGTAACCCCAGCACTTTGGGAGGCCAAGGTGGGTGGACTGCTTGAGCTCAGGAGTTCGAGACCAGCCTGGGCAACATGGCAAGACCTTGTCTCTACTAAAAATAAAAAAAAGCAGAGTGTAGTGGTACATGCCTGTGGTCCCAGCTACTCGAGAGGCTGAGGCAGGAGGATCACTTGAGCCCAGGAGTTCGAGACCAGCCTGGGCAACATGGTGAAACCCCATTCCTACAAAAAATACAAAAATTGGCCAGGCGTGGTGGCTCACGCCTGTAATCCCAGCACTTTGGGAGGCCGAGGTGGGCGGATCACCTGAGGTCGGGAGTTCGAGAACAGCCTGGCCAACATGGAAAAACCCCATCTCTACTAAAAATGCAAAATTAGCCGGGCGTAGTGGCGCATGCCTATAATCCCAGCTACTCGGGAGGCTGAGGCAGGAGAATCACTTGAACCTGGGAGGTGGAGGTTGCAGTGAGCCGAGATCATGCCATTGCGCTCCAGCCTGGGCAACAAAAGCGAAACTCCGTCTCAAAAAATAAATAAATAAATAATACAAAAGTTAGCCCGGCATGGCGGTGCATGCCTGTGGTCTCAGCTACTTGGGAGGCTGAGGTAGGAGGATCACTTGAACCCAGGAGGTCAAGGCATCAGTGACCTATGATCACACCACTGCACTCCAGCCTGGGTGACAGAGCAAAACCCTGTTCCAAAAAAAAAAGAGAGAGAGGGAGACAGAGAGTTATTTTAGGAAGGTTTGTTTATGTAGACTCATCTTGGGACTGACTATCTGCAGTGATAGGAGTCATTCTGCTCTCCCTGGTAAGGAGACGGGGGGATACCTCCACAAAGGAAAATTTATGTCACCTTTTTTTTTGAAACGGAGTCGCACTCTGTTGCCCAGGCTGGAGTGCAGTGGTGCAATCTTGGCTCACTGCAAGCTCTGCCTCCTGGGATCACGCCATTCTCCTGCCTCAGCCTCCTGAGTAGCTGGAACTATAGGTGCCCGCCACCATGCCCAGCTAATTTTTTTGTATTTTTAGTAGAGACAGGGTTTCACCGTGTTAGCCAGGATGGTCTTGATCTCCTGACCTTGTGATCTGCCCGCCTCGGCCTCCCAAAGTGCTGGGATTACAGGAGTGAGCCACCACGCCCAGCCTTATGTCACCTTCTTAAAGAGAAGTTTATGCCTGGCTTTGAGGCAGAAAAGTAGAGAGCAGAGAATTCTTTCTGCCTCTACTGATTTTTTTTTTTTTTTTTTTTTTTTGAGACAGAGTCTCGCTCTGTTGCCCAGGCTGGATTGTAGTGTCAGGATCTCGACTCACTGCAACCTCCACCTCCCAGGTTCAAGGGATTCTTGTGCCTCAGCCTCCCGAGTAGCTGGGACTATAGGTTCCCACCACCATGCCCAGCTAATTTTTTATATTTTCAGTAGAGACAAGGTTTCACCATATTGGCCAGGATGGTCTCCAACTCCTGACCTCAGGTGATCCACCCACCTCGGCCTCCCAAAGTGCTGGGATTATAGGCGTCAGCCACCGCGCCTGGCCATCTACTGATTTTCTATTGCATTCAGCTCAGAATAATTCTTATGCTAAAGTTGATAGATAGATACATAGATAGATACATAGATAGATAGATAGATAGATAGATAGATAGATAGATAGATAATAGATTGTTTGTTTGTTTGTTTGAGACAGGGTCTTGCTCTGTCACCCAGGCTGGAGGGCAGTGGTGCAATCTCGGCTCACTGCAACCTCAGCCTCGCAGCCTCGAGCCATCCTCCCACCTCAGCCTCCCAAGTAGCTGGGACCACAGGTGGATGCCACCATATGCCTGGTGAATTTTTTGTATTTTTGGTAGAGATGGAGTTTTGCCATGTTGCCCAGGCTGGTCTCGAACTCCCGAGCTCAAATGATCCACTCACCTCCACCTCCCAGAGTGCTGGATTACAGGCGTGAGTCACTGTGCCCGGTCTCTAAGTGATATATTTTTAAGAGTAACATATCCTGATCCCCTTCAGCTGCCGTCAGAGAACTGGGGTGGGGACGTGGAAGGGTGACATCGCTCTGCTGGAGGACTTGTGAGAGAGCCCAGACTGTGCAGGGGGCCCAGCCAGAGCACCCCAGCTTCCAGGACTGGAACCCCAGCCTCAGGAACTCAGGGCAACGCTGGGGTGAAGGCTCAACTTTAGGGAAATACCCGGAAGCAGAGAGGATGGGGTCAGGACACCCAGCCAGGAAGCTGCATTTATTTCACTGTGCATTGGAGAAAGCCCCACCAGCCCAGCAAAGCCAGTCTCTTACAGATACCAATGATTAAAGTGATAAAACAGGGCCGGGCACGGTGGCTCACGCCTGTAATCCCAGCACTTTGGAAGCCTGAGGCAGGCAGATCATGGAGGTCAGGAGTTTGAGAACAGCCTGGCCAACATGGCAAAACCCCGTCTCTACTGTACAAAAATTAGACAGGGGAGGTGGCGTGCACCTGTAGTCCCAGCTACTCAGGAGGCCAAGGCAGGAGAATCACTTGAACCCTGGAGGTTGCAGTGAGCCAAGATCACACCACTGCACTCCAGCCTGGGCGATGGAGAGAGGCTCTGTCTCAAAAAAATAAATAAATTTAAAAAACTGGGCCAGGCACAGAGGCTCACGCCTATAATCCCAGCACTTTGGAAGGCCGAGGCGAGCAGATCACCTGAGGTCGGGAGTTCCAGACCAGCCTGACCAACGTGGAGAAACCCCATCTCTACTAAAAATACAAAGTTAGCTGGGTGTGGTGGTGCATGCCTGTAATCCCAGCTACTCGGGAGGCTGAGGCAGGACAATCGCTTGAACCCGGGAGGCGGAGGTTGCAGTGAGCCGAGATCGCACCACTGTACTCCAGCCTGGGTGACGGAGCAAGGCTCTTTCTCAAAAAAAAAATTTAAAAGAAGTGATAAAACAGGCCAGGTGCAGTGGCTCATGCCTATAATCCAATATTTTGGGAGGCTGAGGTGGGAGGATCACCTGAGCCCAGGAGGTTGAAGCTTCAGTGAGCTGTCATCACACCACTGTACTCCAGCCTGGGTGACAGAGCGAAACCCTATCTCAAAAAAAAAAAAAAAGATAAAATGTTTCAAGTTAAAAAAAAAAAAAAAGTGGCCAGGCGCAGTGGCTGATGCCTGTAATCCCAGCACTTTGGGAGGCCGAGGCAGGTAGATCACAAGGTCAGGAGTTCGAGACCAGCCTAGCCAACATGGTGAAACCCCGTCTCTACTAAAAAATACAGAAATTAGCCAGGTGTGGCAGCGGGTGCCTGTAATCCCACCTACTCAGGAGACTGAGGCAGGAGAATCGCTTGAACACGGGAGGCAGAGGTTGCAGTGAGACAAGATTGCACCACTGCACTCCAGCCTGGGTGACAGAGCCTCCAGTCTGGGAGATAGAGCAAGGCATCATCTCAAAAAAAAAAAAAAAAAAAAAAAATTAAAGAAGTCAGGTGTGGTAGCAAGCACCTGTAGTCCCAGCTAAGGCTAAGGCGAGAGGATCACTTGAGCCCAGGAGTTTGAGAGCAGACTGGGCAACCTAGCAAGAACCCATCTCAAAAAAAAATTAAAGAAATAGGAGTTGGGCCAGGCATGGTGGCTCATGCCTGTAATCCCAGCACTTCGGGAGGCCGAGGTGGGTGCATCACCTGAGGTCAGGAGTTCAAGACCAGCCTGGACAACATGATGAAACCCCATCTCTACTAAAAATACAAAAATCAGCCAGGTGTGGTAGCGGGCACCTGTAATCCCAGCTACTCAGGAGGCTGAGGCAGGAGAATTGGCTTGAACCTGGGAAGCGGAGGTCGTAGTGAGCCGAGATCATGCCACTGCACTCCAGCCTGGGAGACAGAGGGAAACTCCGTCTCAAAAAAATAAAATAAAATAAAAAATTAAAGAAATAGGAGTTGTATTAGTCTCTTCCTGTGGCTGCTGTAATAAATTATCACAGGCTGGGTGGCTTACAATAGCAGACATTTGGCTGGGCACAGTGGTTTACACACATAATCCCAGCACTCTGGGAGGCCGAGGCAGGCGGATCACCTGAGATCAGGAGTTCAAGACCAGCATGGCCAACATGGAGAAACCCCTTCTCTACTAAAAATACAAAAATAAATAAATAAATAACCAGGCATTGTGGCAGACACCTGTAGTCCCAGCTACTCAGGAGGCTGAGACAAGAGAATCGCTTGAACCTGGGAGACGGAGGCTGCAGTGAGCCAAGATCGCATCATCGCCCTCCAGCCTGGGCAACAAGAGCGAACCTCTGTCTCAAAAAAAAAAAAAGTCAGGGCTGGGCGTGGTGGCTCAAGCCTGTAATCCCAGCACTCTAGGAGGCCGAGGCAGGTGGATCACAAGGTCAGCAGTTCGAGACCAGCCTGACCAACATGGTGAAACCCCGTCTCTACTAAAAATACAAAAAAAAATACCTGAGCATGGTGGTGGGCGCCTGTAATCCCAGTGACTTGGGAGGCTGAGGCAGGAGAATCACTTGAGACTGGAAGGTGGAGGTTGCAGTGAGCCAACATTGCGCCACTGCACACTAGCCTGGGCAACAAGAGCAAAACTCCGTCTCAAAAAAAAAAAAAAAAATCCTATCCTTGGACTTCCCTGCCTCCAGAAATGTGAGCTACACGTTTCTGTCGTTCATGAATCCCCCAGTCTACGATATTTTGTTATAGCAGTCCAAACAGACTAAAGCAGATGCTATTCAACCCACATCAGTAACACAAGCGATAAAGGAGGTGCAGACTGTGTCCGCAAATGACCCGGCATCGTGGGATACAGCTAGCCGAGGAAGCACTGGACGCTCCGCTCTGTCTCCCACTGTGAGTCCTGTGGGAACTGGCTTCCTTCTGAGCGTTTACCTGAAGTACACGGTTACTGTGATGACGAATCACTCCCATTCCCTCACCGATGTCAGCTGAGCACCTGCTGAAGGCCAGGTGAGGATGAGCAGACAGGGGCAGCCATCGCGGAGGAGAGACTGCAGAGGGGACAGACACGGAAACCAATGTCATCCCACCCACGTCCTGAATCGGTGATGACAGCCACGTCCGCTATATAGGGTGCCTACGTTCCATCTGGGCTCCTGTCTCTGCCGCCCCTGCCCTGCCTGGAATGATGGCCGGTCCCACGCTGCGGTCTCCTGTCACACCCGTCACGCCTACTACCTCTCCCCCTGTGAGCTTCCCCCAGCCCCAGGCCCCTACGAGCCCTGCACACGTTTACATCAGGCCCAGCCCCTCTCACCCACTCTTGGTTCTCTCATACCTGTCCCTGCAGCCCTGCAAAAGGCGACCTCCCTCCTGCCCACTCTGATATATATATATTTGGACATTTATGTGTGTATATATATATATATATATATATATATATATATATATATATGAACAGGGTCTTGCTCTGTCATCAAAGCTGCAGTGCAATGGCGCGATCATGGCTCACTGCAGCCTGGAGCTCCTGGGCTCAACCAATCCTCCCTCCTCAGTCTCCCAAGTATCTGGGACTACAGGTGCACACTACCACATCCAGCAATTTTTTGTGCAAACTGCATCTTGCTATGTTGCCCAGGATGGTCTGCAACTCCTGGCCTCAAACGATCCTCCACCTCAGCCTCTTGAGTAGTTGGAATTACAAGCATGAGCCACTACACTCAATACTTTTTTTTATTGATGCATCATAGATGTACATAGTTTTGGGGGTACATGTGATAATTTAATACATTCATATAATTTGTAAAGATCAAATCAAGTGTACTTGGGATATGTGTCATCTTAAATATAAATATTTAGGTGGGGTGCCATGGCTCACGTCAGTAATCCCAGCACTTTGGGAGGCTGAGGTGGGTGCATCACCTGAGGTCAAGAGTTCAAGACCAGCCTGGCCAAGATGGTAAAACCCAGTCTCTACTAAAAATACAAAAACTAGCCGGATGTGGTGGTGGGCGCCTGTAATCCCAGCTACTCAGGAGGCTGAGGCAGGAGAATCACTTGAACCCGGGAGCCAGAGGTTGCACCGAGACCGTGCCACTGAACTCCAGCCTGGGCAATAGAGTAAGACTGTCTCTCAAAAAAAAAAAAAAAGAATATATACTGGGGAAAGGACAGTTTCTTCAATAAAATGGTGCTCGGAAAACTGGCTGGCTATGTGCAGAAGAATGAAACTAGGCCCCTATCTCTCACCACACACAAAAATCAAATCAAAATGGATTACAAACCTAAATCTAAGATTTGAAACTATGAAACTCCTAGAAGGAAACTTTGGAGGCCGGGCGCGACGGCTCATGCCTGTAATCCCAGCACTTTGGAAGGTTGAGGCAGGCGGACTATTTGAGTCCAGCAGTTTGAGACTAGCCTAGGCAACATGGTGAAACCCCACATCTACAAAAATACAAAAATTAGCTGGGTGTGGTGGCTCGTGCCTGTAGTCCTAGTTACTCGGGAGGCTGAGGCACAAGAATCACTTGAGCCTGTTAGGCAGAGGTTGCAGTGAGCCCAGATTGCACCACTGCACTCCAGCCTGGATGACAGAGAGAGACCCTGTCGCAAAAATACAAACAAAAAAACAAAAAACCAAAGAGGCCGGGCGCAGTGGCTCAAACCTGTAACCCAGCACTTTGGGAGGCCGAGGTGGGAGGATCACCTGAGGTCAGAAGTTCAATACCAACCTGGGCTGGGTGTGGTGGCTCAAGCCTGTAATCCCAGCACTTTGAAAGGAGGCCGAGGCGGGCTGATCACGAGGTCAGGAGATCAAGACCATCCTGGCTAACACGGTGAAACCCCATCTCTACTAAAAATACAAAAAAAAAAAAAATTAGCCAGGCATGGTGCGGGCGCCTGTAGTCCCAGCTACTCGGGAGGCTGAGGCAGGAGAATGGCGTGAATCCGGGAGGCAGAGCTTGCAGTGAGCCGAGATCGCGCCACTGCACTCCAGCCTGGGTGACAGAGCAAGACTCTGTCTCAAAAAAAAAAAAAAAAACCAGCCTAGCCAACATGGCAAAACCACATTTCTACTAAGAACACAAAAATTAGCCAGGCACAGTAGTGGGTGCCTGTAATTCCAGCTACTGAGGAGGCTGAGGCAGGAGAATCACTTGAGCCGGGGAGGCAGAGGCTGCAGTGTGCTGAGATTGTGCCATTGCACTCCAGCCTGCATGACAGAGTGAGACTCTGCCTCAAAAAAAAACAAAAGAAACAAACAAACAAAAAAGAAGCCTGGGCGAGGTGGCTCACACCTGTAATCCCAGCACTTTGGGAGGCCAAGGCGGGCGGATCACGAGGTCAGGAGTTCGAGACCATCCTGGCCAACATGGTAAAACCCCATCTCTACTAAAATACAAAAAAATTAGCCTGGCGTGGTGGCGCACGCCTGTAGTCCCAGCTACTCTGGAGGCTGAGACAGTGGAATTGCTTGAACCCGAGAGGCAGAGGCTGCAGTGAGCCGATATCGCGCCACTGCACTCCAGCCTGGCAACAAAGCAAGACTCTGTTTCAAAAAAAAAAAGAAAAAAGAAAGAAAGAAGGAAAATAAGAAAACATTGGGAAAATGCTCAGATGTTGGTCTGGGCAAAGATTTTTTGTGCAAGGCCCCAAAAGCACAGGCAACAAAAGGAAAAATCAACAAATGGGATTACATCAAGCACTTTTTTTTTTTTAAGTCAGGGTATTGTTATATTACCCAGGCTGGCCTGAAACTTGTAGACTCAAGGGATCCTCCTGCCTCAGACTCCCAAGTAGCCGGGACTACAGGCACATGCCACAATGCCCAGCTTGGAAAAATGTTCTAAGGGTGCCCAGGCACCTTCTTCTCCAAAATGTGTTTCCTGAGTCTCAAGGACCGCCTTGTCCAATCAAAGACCACAGTATAATAATCAATCAATTGGACAATCAAATTAGATTCAAAACTGCACAAGATTAAGTCCCGGGCCTTGTTCAATGGGGTGTCCCGAGCTCCAGGCTCCAGGGACGGCCTGGAGGCCCTTGGTTGACCTGAGGTGGCAGTCTGTACAAGTGGAGGAGGAGGCAGGTCGACAGCGTCACCTGGAGGCCAGCTGGCAAACAGCCAAAGGTGAGAAAACTGTAACTGATTAACAAATCTAGAACTCGAGGCTGGGAGCGGTGGCTCACACCTGTAATCCCACCGCTTTGGGAGGCCGAGGCGGGCAGATCACTTGAGGTGTCAGGAGTTCACTACCAGCCTGGCCAAAATGGTGAAACGCAGTCTCTATAAAAATACAAAAATTAGCCGGGCATAATGGTGGGTTCCTGTAATCCCCACCATTGTAGTAATTGAGCTACTGGGAGAATTGCTTCAACCTGGGCAGAGGTTGCAGTGAGCCACAGAGCGAGATACCGTCTCAAAAAACAAAAAGAAAGAGATCGAGACCATCCTGGCCAACATGGTGAAACCCTGTCTCTACTAAAAATACAAACTGGGCGTGGTGGTGCGTGCCTGTAGTCAGAGCTACTCAGGAGGCTGAGGCAGCAGGATTGCTTGAACCTGGGAGGTGGAGGTTGAAATGAACCGAGATCTCGACAGAGCAAGACTTCGTCTCAAAACAAACAAACAAAAAGAATCTAGAACTTCGGCCGGGTGCAGTGGCTCACACCTGTAATCCCAGCTACTCAGGAGCCTGAGAGGCTTGAGAACCCCTTCACCCCATGGGTCGGAGGTTGCAGTGAGCCGAGACCACCCCATTGCACTCCAGCCTGGGCAACAGAGTGAGACTGTGTCTCAAACAAATAATAAATTTTGAAATTTTTGAAAAAAATCCGGGAGCCGTGATTCACACCTATAATCCCAGCACTTTGGGAGCCCGAGGCAGGTGGATCACTTGAGGTCAGGAGTTCGGGACCAGCCTGGCCAACATGGTGAAACCCTGTCTCTACGAAAAATACAAAAGTTAGCCAGACGTGGTGGTGCATGCCTGTAACCCCAGCTACTCAGGACGCTGAGGCATAAGAATTCCTTGAACCAGGAAGGCAGAAGTTGCAGTGAGCAGAGATCGCACCACCACTGCACTCCAGCCTATGCGACAGAGTGAGACCCTGTCTCAAAACAAACAAACAAAAAAAAGTAAATCAATTGGACAATCAAATTAGATTTGGAACTCCACAAAATTAGGTCCAGGGCCTTGCTCAAGGTAGTGTCCCAAGCTCCAGGCTCCCGGGGGCCTTGGTTTACCTGAGGTTGCACAGCCTGAACAAGCCAAGGAGTCAGTCGACAGCGCCACCTGGAGGCCAGATGGAAAACAGCCAAAGATTAGACCACTTTTTTTTTTTTTTTTTTTTTTTGAGATGGAGTTTTGCTCTTGTTGCCCAGGCAGGAGTGCAGTGGTGCGATTTCGGCTCACCGCAACCTCCGCCTCCCAGATTCAAGCGATTCTCCTGCCTCAGCCTCCCAAGTAGCTGGGATTACAGGCATGCGCCACCATGCCCGCCTAATTTTGTATATTTTGTAGAGATGGGGTTTCACCATGTTGGTTAGGCTGGTCTCAAACTCCCGACCGCAGGTGATCCTCCCACCTCAGCCTCCCAAAGTGCTGGGATTACAGGCGTGAGCCACCACGCCCGGAGAGACCACTCTTAATTCTAACTGGATGGCCAGGCGCAGTGGGCCACTATAGGTGGGTTTCACAGCGCCCAACTAATTTTTAATTTTTATTTATTATTATTATTATTATTTTTTTGAGATACAGTCTTGCTCTGTCGCCCAGGCTGGAGTACAGCGGCACAATCTCACCTCACTGCAACCTCCGCCTCCCGGGTTGAAGCAATTCTCTTGTGTGAGGGGAGTGGCTGCTTAGGAGAGGTAGAGAAAGTGGCAGGCCAGGCACAGTGGCTCACGCCTGTAATCCCAGCATTTTGGGAGGCCAAGGCAGATGGATCATTTGAGGTCAGGGGCTTGAGACCAGCCTGGCCAACATGGTGAAACCCCATCTCTACTAAAAATACAAAAATTAGCCAGGCATGGTGGCGCATGTCTGTAGTCCTAGCTACTCGGAAGGCTGAAGCAGGAAAATTGCTGTTCTGAACCCGGGAGGCAGAGATTGCAGTGAGCCAAGATCGCACCACTGCACTCCAGCCTGGGCAACAGAGCGAGACACTGTCTCAAAAAAAAAAAAAGAAGAAAGAGAAAAAGGAAGGAAGGAAGGAAGGAAGGAAACCAAAACTGGAAAGACAGAGGCAGTCTCTTTTTTCTTTTTCTTCTTTTTTGTTTTGGTTTGGTTTTCTGTCGTTGTTGTTGAGACAGTGTCTCACTTTGTTTCCCAGGCTGGAGTACCGTGGTCCCATTATAGCTCACTGCACCCTCGACCTCCTCCAATTGAACCTCCCACCTCAGCCTCCCAAGTAGCTGCGACCACAGGTGAGTGCCACCACACCTGGCTACTTTTTTTTTTTAAATCCCAGCACTTTGGGAGGCCAAGACGGGAGGATCACTTGAGTCCAGGAGTTTGAGACAAGGCTGGGCAACATAGTGAGACCTCACTTCTTTTTTTCTTTTTTTGAGACGAGGTTTCGCTCTGTGCAATGGTGTGATCTCGGCTCACTGCAACCTCCGCCTCCTGGGTTCAAGCGATTCTCCTGCCTCAGCCTTCTGGGTAGCTGAGATTACAGGCATGTGCCACCACGCCTGGCTAATTTTGTATTTTTAATAGAGACGGGCTTTCTCCATGTTGGTCAGGCTGGTCTTAAACTCCTGGCCTCAAATGATCCACCTGCCTTGGCCTCCCAAAGTGCTGGGATTATAGGTGTGAGCCACCATGCCCAGCCTGCCACACTCCTGTGGTCCCAGCTACTTGGGAGGTTGGGATGGGAGGATCTCTTGAGCCCAGGAGGTCGAGGCTGCAGTGAGCTATGAACACACCACTGCGCTCCAGCCTGGGTGACAGAGCCAGACCCTCTCTCAAATAAATAAATAAATAAAATAGAGATGGATCTCACTATGTTGCCCAGGCTGGCCTTAAAGTCCAGATTTCAAGCAATTCTCCCACCTGAGCCTACTTAGTAGCTAGGACTACAGGTGGGTGCCGCTGCACCCAACTAATTTTTATTTTTTACTTTTTATTTATTTATTTTTTGAGATACAGTCTTGCTCTGTCGCCCAAGCTGGAGTACAGTGGCATGATCTCACCTCACTGCAACCTCCGCCTCCCGGGTTGAAGCAATTCTCTTGTGTCAGCCTCCCGAGTAGCTGGGACTACAGGTGCCCGCCACCATGCCTCACTAATTTTTGTGTTTTTAGTAGAGATGGGGTCTCATCACATTGGCCAGGCTGGTCTCAAACTCCTGACCTCAAGTGATCCGCCCGCCTTGGCCTCCAAAAGTGCTGGGATTACAGGCGTGAGCCACCGCACCTAACCTTTTTTGTTTGTTTAAGAGACAGGGTTTTGGCCAGGCACGGCGGCTCATGCCTGTAATCCCAACACTTTGGGAGGCCAAGGCGCGTGGATAATCTGAGGTCAGGAGTTCGAGACCAGCCTGGCCAATGTGGTGAGACCCCCCCCCCCCCACCCCGCCCAACATCTCTACTAAAAACACAAAAATTAGCCGGGGGTGGTGGTGGGCATGTGTAATCCCAGTTACTCAGCGGGACTGAGGCAGGAGAATTGCTTGAACCAGGGAGGCAGAGGTTACAGTGATCCAAGATCACGCCATTGTACTCCAGCCTGTGTGACAATAGCAAAACTCTGGCTCAAAAAAAAAAAAAAAAGCCGGGCGTGGTGGCTCACAGCTGTAATCCCAGCACTTTGGGAGGCCAAGGCAGATGGATCACCTGTGGTCGGGAGTTTGAGACCAGCCTGACCAACATGGAGAAACCCCATCTCTACTAAAAAATACAAAATTAGCCAGGCGTGGTGGTGCATGCCTGTAATCCCAGCTACTCGGGAGGCTGAGACAGGAGGATTGCTTGAACCCGGGAGGCGGAGGTTGCGGTGAGCCGAGATCACACCATTGCACTCCAGCCTGGGCAACAAGAGTGAAACTCCGTCTCAAAAAAAAAAAAAGAGACAGGGTTTTGCTATGTTGCCCAACCTGGTCTCAAACTCCTGGCCTCAAAGGATCCAAGGGAGAAAGTTTCTGATCAGAAAAGTGTAAGAGTCAGGCCGGGCACAGTGGCTCATGCCTGTAATCCCAGCACTTTGGGAGGCCGAGGCAGGTGGGTCACTTGCGGTCAGGAGTTCAAGATCAGCCTGGCCAACATAGTGAAACCCCATCTCTATTAAAAATACAAAAATTGGCTGGACATGGTGGTGAGCACCTGTAATCCCAGCTTACTCAGGAGGCTGAGACAGGAGAATTGCTTGAACCCAGGAGGTGGAGGTTGCAGTGAGCCCTGATCCCACCCTGGCACTCCAATCTGGGCGACAGAGCAAGACTCCGTCTCAAAAGAAAATAAAGAGTCAGAAAGGCTCAAAAAGGCTCAATTACTTGTCCAATGTCATACAATTGTAAAAAGGATGAGACTTGAATCTATAACCGGTTGGTTTCTGGTTTCCATCCAGTCACACTTGCCATTTCCCTGAGGTGAGGACACGCCCCTGCTGGTTGAGACCTAGTTAACTTCTGCCACGTCCACCCCACCCCCGCCTCCGCCCCCTCCTAAATCGTGATCCAGAACAACAATCTCCAGGTCCTTGAACTTCAGGAGGTCCAAAGTTCAGGGTGGTTCAAGATATTGAAACCATCTCTTTCCCCTACCCGCCCCAGCCAGCCAGGGAGAGTTAGGTCCTGCTACCTCTGGAACCAAACCATGAATCCAAAGTCCCGTCAGTGGCTGGGTGCAGTGGCCCGTGCTTGTAATCCTAGCACTTTCGGAGGCTGAGGGGGGCAGATCGCCTGAGGCCAGAAGTTCAAGACCACCCTGGGCAACATGGCAAGACCCCATCGTTACAAAAATTAGCTAGGCATGGTGCCTCATGCCTGTAGTCCCGGCTACTTCGGAGGCTGAGGCGGGAGGATCACTTGAGCCTGGGAGGTGGAGACTGCAGTGAGCTATGACCACACCACTGCATTCCAGCCTGTGTGACAGAGTTAAGACTGGCAAAAAAAAAAAAAAAAAATTAGGCCAGGCACGGTGGGTCCCGCCTGTAATCCCAACACTTTGGGAGGCCGAGGTGGGTGGATAATTTGAGGTCGGGAGTTTGAGATCAGCCTGGCCAACATGGTGAAACCCCGCCTCTACTAAATATACAAAAATTAGCTGAGTGTGGTGGCAGGAGCCTGTAGTCCCAGCTACTCGGGAAGCTGAGGCAGGAGAATTGCTTGAACCCAGGAGGTAGAGGTTGCAGTGAGCCAAGATCATACCACTGCACTCCAGCCTGCACAACAAAAGTGAAACTCCATCCCAAAAAAAAAAATTTAAAAGAAAAAATAATTAACAATTAAAAAGAAAAGTCCAGGCCAGGCACGGTGACTCACACCTGCAATCTCAGTATTTTGTGAGGCCGAGGCGGGCGGATCTCTTGAGGACAGGAGTTCATGACCAGCCTGGCCAACATGGTGAAACCCCGTCTCTACTAAAAATACAAAAATTAGCTAAGCGTTGGCCAGGCGCAGTGGCTCACGCCTGTAATCCCAGCACTTTGGGAGGCCGAGGCGGGCGGACCACCTGAGGTCAGGAGTTCGAGACCAGCCTCAACATGGAGAAACCCTGTCTCTACTAAAAATACAAAATTAGTCGGCCATGGTAGTGCATGCCTGTAATCCCAGCTACTCGGGAGGCTGAGGCAGGAGAATTGCTTGAACCTGGGAGGCAGAGGTTGCAGTGAGCCGAGATCACGCCATTACGCTCCAGCCTGGGCAACAAGAGCAAAACTCCATCTCAGAAAAAAAAAAAAAAAATTAGCTGAGCGTGGTGGCAGGTGCCTGTAATCCAAGCTACTAGGGAGGCTGAGGTAGGAGAATCGCTTGAACCCAGGAGGCAGAGATTGCAGTGAGCCGAGATTGCACCACTGCATTCCAGCTGGCCCACAAAGCGAGCCCTTGTCTCAAAAAAAAAAAAAAAAAAAAAAGAAAGAAAATTCCAGTTAGTGGGTGGACAGCTACAGCTCTCCTCCCCACCTCGGCTCTTCTAAGACTTCTCTCTGCCTTGCTGTGGGTCCACAGTGGCCCTGGGGGTTTCCACCTGCTGGGCAGAGGAAATAGGTGTGATGTGTTGTCTCTGGAGGCACAGTAGTGTTAAACCAGAGCCTCCCAATGGAAATCCAAAGTATGCCACATTTAAAATTTCTAGCCTGATGCAGTGGGTTACAACTGTAATCCCAACATTTTGAGAGGCCGAGGTGAGCAGATTGCTTGAACTCAGGAGTTCAAGACCAGCCTGGACAAAAAAGTGAAACCCCATCTCTGCTGGGCACAGTGGATTACGCCTGTAATCCCAGCGCTTTGGTATACCGAGGCGGGCAGATCACCTGAGGTCGGGAGTTCGAGACCAGCCTGACCAACATGGAGAAACCCCGTCTCTACTAAAAATACAAAATTAGCCAGGTGTGGTGGCACATGCCTGTAATCCCAGCTACTTGGGAGGCTGAGGCAAGAGAATCGTTTGAACCCGGGAGATGGAGGTTGCAGTGAGCCGAGATTGCGCCATTGCACTCCAGCCTGGGTGACAAGAGGGAAACCTCATCTCTACAAAAAATACAAAATTTAGCCAGGCGTAGTGGTGTGTGCTTTTAGTCGCAGCTTCTCAGGAGGCTGAGGTGGCAGGATCGCTTGAGTGTGGGAGGTAGAGATTGCAGTGAGCTGAGATGGTGCCACTGAACTCTAGCCTGGGTAACAGAGTCAGACACTGTCTCAATAAATAAATAAACAAACAAACAAAATGTTCTAGTAGTCACATTAAAGAAAGTAAAAAGAGCCAGGCGCAGTGGCTCACGACTGTAATTCCAGCATTTTGGGAGGCCGAGGTGGGCAGATCATCTGAGGTCAGGAGTTCAAGACCAGCCTGGAGAACATGGTGACACCCCGTCTCTATTAAAAATAGAGGCTGGGCGCGGTGGCTTACGCCTGTAATCCCAGCACTTTGGGAGGCCAAGGCGGGTGGATCACAAGGTCAGGAGATCGAGACCATCCTGGCTAACACGGCGAAACCCTGTCTCTACTGAAAATACAAAAAAATTAGTTGTGGAGGGCGCCTGTAATCCCAGCTACTCAGGAGGCTGAGGCAGGAGAATGACATGAACCCGGGAAGCAGAGCTTGCAGTAAGCCAAGATCGCTCCACTCCACTCCAGCCTGGGCTACAGAGCAAGACCCCGTCTCAAAAAAAAAAAAAAAAAAAGAAAGAAAAGAAAAAATTAGCCTGGCATGGTGGCACATGCCTGTAATCCCAGCTACTTGGGAGGCTGAGGCAGGAGAATTGCTTGAACCCAAGAGGCGGAGGTTGCAGTGAGTCGAGATCGAGCCATTGCAATCCAGCCTGGGCAACAAGAGTGAAACTCTGTCTCAAAAAAAAAAAAGAAAGTAAAAAGAGGCTGGGCCCAGTGGCTCATGCCTATAATCCAGGCACTTTGGGAGCCCAAGGCAGGCAGATCACCTGAGGTCAGAAGTTCGAGACCAGCCTGGCCAACATGGTGAAACTCCGTCTCTACTAAAAATACCAAATTAGCCAGGCTTGGTGGCAGGTGCCTGTAATCCCAGCTACTTGGGAGGCTGAGGCAGGAGAATCACTTGAACCCGGGAGGTGGAAGTTGCAGTGAGCCAAGATCATGCCATTGCACTCCAGCCTGAGGGAGAAGAGCAAGACTCTGTCTCAAAAAAAATTTTAAAAAGCCTGGCCGGGTGTGGTGGCTCATGCCTGTAATCCCAGCACTTTGGGAGGCCCAGGCGGGTGGATCACCAGAGGTCAAGAGTTTGAGACCAGCTTGACCAACAAGGTGAAACCCGTCTCTACTAAAAATTCAAAAATTAGCCAGGCGTGGTGGCAGGTGCCTGTAGTACCAGCTACTCAGAAGGCTAAGACAGGAGAATTGCTTTAACCTGGGAGGCAGAGGTTGCAGTGAGCTGAGATCGTGCCACTGCACTCCAGCCTGGGTGACAGAGCAAGACTCCATCTCAAAAATAAAAAAATAAATACAAATACAAAAAATTAGCCGGGTGTAGTGGCAGGCCCCTGTAATCCCAGCTACTTGGGAGGCTGAGGCAGAAGAATTGCTTGAACCCAGGAGACAGAGGTTGCAGTGAGCCAAGCTCGCGCCATTGCTCTCCAGCCTGGGCGACAGAGCGAGACAAGAAAGAAAGAAGAAAGAGAGAAAGAGAGAGAGAGAGAGAGAAAGAAAGAGAAAGAGAGAGAGAGAGAGAGAAAGAAAGACAGGAAGGAAGGAAGGGAGGGAGGTAAGCAAGGAAGGGAGGGAGGGAAGGAAGGAGGAAGGGAGGGAGGGAGAGAGGGAGGAAAGGAAGGGAGGTGAAATTCACATAGCATAAAATTGTTTAAAATGTACAATTCTGAGGCATTCAGTACATTCACAATGTAATACAACCACCACCTGCATCTAGTTTCAGAATATTTTCATCACTCCACCTGTAATCACACGTACTCAGAAGGCTGAGGCGAGAGAATTGCTTTCCCTCAGGAGTTAGAGACCAGCCTCGGCAACATAGTGAGACCCCATCTATAAAAAATTTTTTTGGCTGGGCGTGGTAGCTCACACCTGTAATCCCAGTGAGAGGTGACAGCGTGCTGGCAGTCCTCACAGCCCTCCCTCGCTCTCAGCGCCTCCTCTGCCTGGGCTTCCACTTTGGCGGCACTTGGGGAGCCCTTCAGCCCACCGCTGCACTGTGGGAGCCCCTTTCTAGGCTGGCCAAGGCCGGAGCCCACTCCCTCAGCTTGCAGGGAGAGGCGCGAGCGGGAACCGGGGCTGCGTGCGGCGCTTGCGGGCCGGCTGGAGTTCCGGGTGGGCGTGGGCTTGGCGGGCCCTGCACTTGGAGCAGCCGGCTGGCCCGCCCCACCGGCCCCGGGCAATGAGGGGCTTAGCACCCGGGCCAGCAGCTGCAGAGGGTATACTGGGTCCCCCAGCAGCGCCAGCCCACCGGCGCTGCGCTCAATTTCTCGCCGGGCCTTAGCTGCCTTTCCGTGGGGCAGGGCTCGGGACCTGCAGCCCGCCATGCCTGAGCCTCCCACCCCCTCCGTGGGCTCCTGTACCGCCCGAGCCTCCTCGACGAGCGCCACCCCCTGCTCCACGGCGCCCAGTCCCATCCGACCACCCAAGGGCTGAGGAGTGCAGGCACACGGCGCGGGACTGGCAGGCAGCTCCACCTGCAGCCCCGGTGCAGGATACACTGGGTGAAGGCAGCTAGGCTCCTGAGTCTGGTGGGGCCTTGGAGAACCTTTATGTCTAGCTCAGGGATTGTAAATACACCAATCGGCACTCTGTATCTAGCTCAAGGTTTGTAAACACACCAATCAGCACCCTGTGTCTAGCTCAGGGTTTGTGAATCCACCAATCGACACTCTGTATGTAGCTACTCTGATGGGGCCTTGGAGAACCTTTATGTCTAGCTCAGGGATTGTGAATACACCAATCAGCACTCTGTATCTAGCTCAAGATTTGTAAACACACCAATCAGCACCCTGTGTCTAGCTCGGGCTTTGTTAATGCCCCAATGGACACTCTGTATCTAGCTAATCTGGTGGGGACGTGGAGAACCTTTGTGTCTGGCTCAGGGATTGTAAACGCACCAATCAGCGCCCTGTCAAAACAGACCACTGGGCGCTACCAATCGGCAGGATGTGGGTGGGACCAGATGAGAGAATAAAGGCAGGCTGTCCCAGCTGGCAGTGGCAACGCGTTCCAGTCCGTTTCCACACTGTGGAAGCTTTGTTATTTTGCTCTTTGCAATAAATATTGCTACTGACCACTCTTTGAGTCCACACTGCTTTTATGAGCTGTAACACTCACCGCAAAGGTCTGCAGCTTCACTCCTGAAGCCAGGGAGACCACCAGCCCACCGGGAGGAACAAACAACTCCAGATGCGCCGCCTCAAGAGCTGTGACACTCACTGCAAAGGTCTGCAGCTTCACTCCTGAGCCAGCGAGATCACGAACCCACCAGAAGGAAGAAACTCCGAACACATCCAAACGTCAGAAGGAACAAACTTCAGATTTGCCCCCTTAAGGGCTGTAACACTCACTGCGGGGGTCCGCGGCTTCATACTAGAAGTCAGTGAGACCAAGAACCCACCAACTCCGGACACACCAGCACTTTGGGAGGACAAAGCAGGCGAATCATTGGCGGTCAGGAGTTCGAGACCAGCCTGGCCAACATGGTGAAACCCCATCTCTACTAAAAATACAAAAATCAGCCAGGCATGGTGGCACGTGCCTGTGATCCCAACTACTATGGAGGCTGTGGCATGAGAATCACTTGAACCCAGGAAGCAGAGGTTGTAGAGAGCCAAGATTGTGTCACTGCACTCCAGCCTGGGCAACAGAGCAAGACTGTCTCAAAGAAAAAAAAATTTTTTTTTTTTCTGAGATGGAGTTTTGCTCTTGTTGCCCAGGCTGGCGGGCAATGGCGTGATCTCGGCTCACTGCAACCTCCGTCTCCCGGGTTCAAGTGATTCTCCTGCCTCAGCCTCCCAAGTAGCTGGGATTACAAGCGTCCGCCACCATGCCTGGCTAATTTTTTTATTTTTAGTAGAGACCGGGGTTTTGCTATGTTGGCCAGGCTGGTCTCAAACTCCTGACCTCAGGTGATCCAGCCACGTCAGCCTCCCGCAGTGCTGGGATTACAGGCATGAGCCACCGAACCTGGCTGATATATATATACGTATACGTATACACACGTATGTATGCATATACACACGTATGTATGCGTATACACACGTATGTATGCGTATACACACACGTATGTATGCGTATACACACACGTATGTATGCGTATACACACACGTATGTATGCGTATACACACACGTGTATATATACACGCACGTATATATACACATACACGTATATATACACATACACATGTATATATACACATGTATATACATATATATACACATATATACATATATATATATTTTTTTAGCTGGACACAGTGGCTCACCTCTGCAGTCCCATTGTTTTGAGAGGCAGAGTCAGAATTGCTTGAGCCCAGGATTTCAAGGCTACAGTGTGTTTATTTTATTTTTATTTACTTTTATTTATTTATTTTTTTGATATAGAGTCTCGCTCTGTTGCCCAGGCTAGAGTGCAGTGGCGTGATCTTGGCACACTGCAGGCTCCGCCTCCCGGGTTCACGCCATTCTCTTGCCTCAGCCTCCTGAGTAGCTGGGACTACAGGCTCCCGCCACCACGCCCGGCTAATTTTTTGTATTTTTAGTAGAGACGGGGCTTCACCATGTTAGCCAGGGTGGTCTCTATATCCTGACCTCATAATCCGCCCACCTCGGCCTCCCAAAGTGCTGGGATTACAGGCGTGAGCCACCACGCCAGGCCTGCAGTGTGTTTATTTTTAAAAATAAAATTAATACGAGGCCGGGAGCAGTGGCTCACGCCTGTAATCCTAGCACTTTGAGAGGTTGAGGCGGGCAGATCACCTGAGGTCGGGAGTTCAAGACCAGTCTGGCCAACAACGTGGTGAAACCCTGTCTCTAGAAAAATAAAAAAAACAATTAGCCGGGCATGGTGGGGGGTGCCTGTAATCCCAGCTACTCCGGAGGCTGAGGCAGGAGAATTGCTTGAACCCGGAAGAGGGAGGTTGCGGTAAGCCGAGGTTGTGCCATTGCACTCCAGCCTGGGCAACAAGAGCAAACCTCCGTCGAAAAAAAAAAAATTAATACAATAATACACATAAAAATAAATTAGCCCAGCATGGTGCATGCCCATAGTCCCAGCTGCTCTAGAGGCTGAAGTGGGAGGATTGCTTGAGCCCAGGAGTTTGAGGCTGCATTGAGCAATAGTCATGCCACTGGACTCCAGCCTGGGAGACAGAGCAAGACCCCATCTCTAATAAATAAATAAATAGGAAAAGGCCATGAATGTGTCCCTCTGGGAGGAGGCGGGTGCCTCAGAATCCTGCAGGAGTTACCAGCTGTTAAGCGAGGTCACTGCATAAGCCTGGGGGGCTATCACCGGCCCTCAGCTCCCTGTGGGAACTCCTGAGTTGGGGGCCACCCACAGGGCTTCTCATGGGGTGCAGAGCTGGGCAGGGATGGGGGAGGGCAGCTTAGGCAGCGAGCACCCAGGGTCCACTGGGACCAGCCCAACAGGGCTTCTCAGGGAGACGCTCCCAGCATCTCAGGGAGGACCCCTTCAGGCCTTGCTCTGAACCATTCATCCTGGTGAGGACCCAGCAGTGGAGGTGGAGAGAGTATGCTTTATTTATTATATTTACTTTGATTTGTTTTAAGATGGAGTCTAGCTCTGTTGCCCAGGCTAGAGTGTAGTGGCGGGATCTTGGCTCACTGCAACCTCTGCCTCCCAGGTTCCAGCGATTCTCCTGCCTTAGCCTCCTGAGTAGCTGGGATTACAGGGACCTCCCAACATCATGCCCGGCTAATTTTTGTATTTTTAGTAGAGACGGGGGTTTCACCATGTTGGCCAGGCTGGTCTCGAACTCCTGACCTCAAGTGATCTGCCCACCTCAGCCTCCCAAAGTGCTGAGATTACAAGTGTGAGCCACCATGCCCGGCTTTATTTATTTATTTATTTAATTTATTTTTTGAGATGGAGTCTCGCTCCATCGCCCAGCCTGGAGTGCAGTGGTGCGATCTCGGCTCACTGCAAGCTCCGCCTCCCAGGTTCATGCCATTCTCCTGCCTCAGCCTCCCGAGTAGCTGGGACTACAGGCGCCCGCCACCACACCTGGCTAATTTTTTGTATTTTTAGTAGAGATGGGGTTTCACCGTGTTAGCCAGGATGGTCTCGATCTCCTGACCTCGTGATCCATCTGCCTCGGCCTCCCAAAGTGCTGAGATTACAGGCGTGAGCCACCGCGCCCGGCCTATTTATTTATTTTTTAGTCAGGATCTCTCTGTCACCCAGGCTAGTGCAGTGGCACGAGCATAGCTCACTGCAACTTCGATCTTCTGGGCTCAAGCAATCCTCCCTCCCCAGCCTCCCAAGTAGCTGGGACTACAGGTATCAGCCACTGCACCCAGCTAAGTAAAATATATATATATTTGTAGGGCTGGGCACAGTGCCTCCCGCTTGTAATCCCAGCACCTTGTGAGGCCGAGGGGGGCAGATCACCTGAGGTCAGGAGTTCAAGACTAGCCTGACCAACATGGTGAAACCTCATCTCTACTAAAAATACAAAATTAGCTGGGCGTGGTGGCACAAGCCTGTAATCCCAGCTACTCAGGAGACTGAAGCAGGAGAAAAAATATGTATATATATAATCGCTATATATATATAATCGCTATACATATATATATACACATAATCGCTATATATATATATATATATGTAAAGATGGGGTCTCACTATGTTGCCTAGGCTGGTCTTGAATCCCTGAGCTCCAGTGACCCTCCCACCTCAGCCTTCCAACCTCAGCTTCCTCCAACCTCAGTGTTGAGAATATAGGTGTGAACCATGGTGCCAGTGTCTTAAAATATAGCTCTGCAACACCTGACACTGCAGGGCTATGGCCCCGGGCTGCATGCCGTCAGTGCCAATGGAAGGAAGCTAACAGCCACCCCTGACCCGACTATCCTCCCTCGGCGCCGGGGTTTCAGACGCCTCCGCCTCTTGGTCCCTTCCTTCAAAGCCTCAAACAGCCCACTGACAGGCCCAGGCTCAGAGGTCCAGGCTTTCTGTAAATGTGAGATATAAAAAGAACCGTGGGGTAGAAATGGCCCCCAGCTTGCTAACACATGCCACCCCCACGCTGCCCACAGCACCACAAACACCCCCCCACACACAGATGTGCGCTCGTGCGCCTACATGCAGACACACGGTGACAAGCCCGCATTTAGAATCAGGGAGAAGGAGGCCAGCCAGCTGGGAGGAAGCCAAGCCTGACTTTATGAGGAAGGCCTCTCTCCTCAGGCAGAGCTGGCCCCTGGAAATGGTAAATCCTGTGGCTTCCCTAGCTAAAGTGGGTCAAGCCTACACTAGGAATTCACCTCCTAGCAAGGACACAAGGACACTGTTAGGCCCTGGCTACCAGGCCCTGGCAGGACTCAGCCCAAGACCGGCCTTTCTGGACTTTTTTTTTTTTTTTTTTTTTTTTTTGCAGACAGGGTCTTGCTCTGTCACCCAGGCTGGAAAGCAGTGGCACGATCATAGCTCACTGCAGCTGCAGCCTTGACCTCCTGGGATCAAGCGACCCTCCTGCCTTGGCCTCCCAAAGTGCTGGGATTGAGAGCCCCCTTCCCCAGGCCTTCCCAGGCTTTGTTACTTTTTATTTTTATTATTATTATTTTTTAAGTCTCGTTCTGTCTCCCAGACAGACAGTGGTGCCATCTCAGCTCACTGCAACCTCCGCCTTCTGGGTTCAAGCGATTCTCCTGCCTCAGCCTCCTGAGTAGCTGGGATTACAGGCACCTGCCACCACGCCCAGCTAATTTTTGTACTTTTAGTAGATACAGGGTTTCACCGTGTTGGCCAGGCTTGTCTTGAACCCCTGACCTCAGGTGATCTGCCCGCCTCGGCCTCTGAAAGTGCTGGGATTACAGGCATGAGCCACCGCACCGGGCCCTTCCCAGGCTTTGAACGCACATGCAGGACGGCCAAGAATGTGACCATGGAGCCTCCACACCTCCCGTCCCTCCGTCCCACCTTCTCCTGGCCACATGGCTACACTTCTGCCTGGGGAGCCCATCTCTCTGTGCCCACTTCTCTGCCTCCAAAGACCCTTCTTCTTCTCTCTCAGTGTCTGCAGCCCCTACTCAGCCAGCCCCCTGAGATCTCGGCTCATGCACCCAACCCCACCTGCAGCCCAAGAGCTCCCTACACCCACCCAGAGCCACGAGGCATTCATCTCCTGCCTCAGCCCATCTATCCTCCCCAGCAGCGGACTGCATCCTTTGCCCACCCATTTGGAATTTTCTGCCGTTCCTTCAACTGTATTTTGAGCATCAGCTGAGGATCAAGCACAGGCCTGGGAGCTGGGAGTGCACAGTGCTGAGGAAGAAGGATCCTGTTCCAGCCCTCAAGGGCTCACCATCAGATGGGGGAGGATCAATCAGCCCAGCCTACATCAACAAACCAAAAAGAGGCCAGGCGTGGTGGCTCACATCTGTAATCCCAGCACTTTGGGAGGCCGAGGCGGGCAGATCACCTGAGGTCAGGAGTTTGAGACCAGCCTGGCCAGCATGGTGAAACCCCATCTCTACTAAAAATACAAAAATGAGCCAGGCATGGTGGTAGGGGCCTGTAATCCCAGCTGCTCAGGAGGCTGAGGCAGGAGAATCTCTTGAACCCGAGAAGCAGAGGCTGGATTGAGCCGAGATCACACCACTGCACTCCAGCCTGGATGACAGAGCGAGACTGTGTCCCAAAAAAAAAAAGGAAAGCTCACTGGCTTAGAGACAGGAAGTAGAACAGTAGAAGGGGCTGGGGGTGTGCAGAGAATATTGATTTGATGTTTAACAGAGGTTGAGTTTCAGTTTGGGATGATGAAAGTATTCTGGGCCAGGCAAGGTGGCTCACGCCTGTAATCCCAGCACTTTCGGATGCCGAGGCGGGTAGATCACCTGAGGTCGGGAGTTCGAGACCAGCCTGGCCAACATGGGGAAACCCCATCTCTACTAAAAATACAAAAATTAGCCAGGCATGGTGATAGGTGCCTCCACACCCAGCTACTCGGGAGGCTGAGGCTCAAACATCGCTTGAACCCGGGAGGCAGAGGTTGCAGTGAGCTGAGATAGCATCACTGCACTCCAGCCTGGGAAATAGAGCAAAACTCTGTCTCATAAAAATATATAATAATAATAATAAAGCACTGATCCATGCTGCAACATGCATTAACCACCACCCACCCCCCCACCAAAAAAAACAACAACAAAAAAAACCCATGATGGCAGGCTGGGCGCAGTGGCTCATGCCTGTAATCCCAGCACTTTGAGAAGTCCAGGTAGGAGCATGGCTTGAAGCCAGTTCAACACCAGCCTGGGCAACAAAGCAAGACCCTGTGGTTTTTTTTGAGACACAGTCTTGCTCTGTTGCCCAGGCTGGAGTGCAGTGGCACAATCTCGGCTCACTGCAAGCTCTGCCTCCCGGTTCATGCCATTTTCCTGGCTCAGCCTCCCAAGTAGCTGGGACTACAGGTGCCCGCCACCACGCCTGGCTAATTTTTTTGTATTTTTAGTAGAGACGGGGTTTCACCGTGTTAGCCAGCATGGTCTCGATATCCTGACCTCGTGATCCGCCCACCTCGGCCTCCCAAAGTGCTGGGATTACAGGCGTGAGCCACCGCATCCAACCAAAAAAAAAAAAAAAAAGGTTTTATTAGCCAGGCATTGTGGTACACACCTATAGTCCCAGCTACTCAGGAGGCTGAGGCAGGAGGATTGCTTGAGCCCAGGAGGTTGAGGCTGCAGTGAGCTATTTTCACACCACTGCACCCCAGCCCAGGCAACAGAGTGAGACTGTTTCTAAAAATAAAAATTTTTAAAAATCATGCTGAGTGAAAGAAGCCAGACACAAAAGGCCACACAGTAGATTATTCCATTGATATGAAATGTTCAGAATAGTCAAATCCACAGAGACAGAAAGTAGATGGGTGGGTGCCAGGGGCTGCTGGGAGGGGGAATGGGGAGTGAGTATTTAATGAGGACAGTGTTTCAGTTTTCCAAGATGAAAGCGTTCTGGAGATGGATGGTGGCGACGGCTGCACAACAATGTGGATGTTCGAAATGTCACCGAAATGTTCTCTTTAAAATGGTTAATTTTGAAATGAAGCATGGAATGAGGAAAAAAGGTTTTTTTTAAAGTAAAAAAAAAAAAGGCCAAGCACAGTGGCTCACGCCTGTAATCCCAGCACTTTGGGAGGCCGAGGCAGGTGGATCACCTGCAGTCAGGAGTTCGAGACCAGCCTGGCCAACATGGCAAAACCCAAAAAATAGCCGGGCGTGATGGTGGGCGCCTTGTAGTCCCAGCTACTTGGGAGGCTGAGGCAGGAGAATCGCTTGAATCCGGGAGTCAGAGTTTGCAGTGAGCCAAGATTGTGCCACTGAACTCCAGCCTGGTGACAGAGTGAGACTCGGTCTCAAAAAAAAAAAAAAAAAAAAAAAAGGCCAGGCACGGTGGCTCACCCCTGAAATCCCAGCACTTTGGGAGGCCAAAGTGGGCGGATCACAAGGTCAGGAGTTCGAGACCAGCCTGGCCAATATAGCGAAACCTTGTCTCTACTAAAACTACAAAAATTAGCCGGGCGTGGTGGCAGGAGCCTGTATCCCAGCTACTCGGAAGGCTGAGGCAGGAGAATCACTTGAACCCAGGACGCAGAGCTTGCAGTGAGTGGAGATCACGCCACTGCACTCCAGCCTGGGCAACACAGCGAGACTCCGTCTCAAAAAATAAACAAAAAAAAAACAAAAAGAAAAGAAAGAAAAGTGCACTGGTCATGCTGAGAAAAGGAGATAAGAGAGGTGGGGGACCAACTAAGGGAGCTCAGGGTACATCTCCAGACCCAAGACAATGAAAGAGATGGAGCCTGGTGCAAACAGTGATGGTGGACAGGAGCAGAGAAATGCAGAGACAGCAGATGGGCCTGGGGGACCGGTTAGGGGGAGGTGACCCATGGAATAGATCTGTCCCATCCACTAGGAGATGGGATGGGGGGGAGCTTGCTTGCTTATTTTTTTTCTTTCTTTCTCTCTCTTTTTTCTTTTTTGAGACAGTCTCGTTCTGTCCCCCAAGCTGGAGTGCAGTGGCGCGATCTCGGCTCACTGCAACCTCCACCTCCTGGGTTCAAGTGAGTCTCCTGCCTCAGTCTCCCAAGTAGCTGAGACTACAGGTGCGTGCCACCACACACGGCTAATTTTTTTGGTATTTTTAGTAAAGATGTGGTTTCACCATGTTGGCCAGACTGGTCTTGAACTCCTGGCCTCAAGTGATCCACCCGCCTCAACCTCCCAAAGTGCTAGGATTACAGGTGTGAGCCACCGCGCCCCGCCTCTTTCTTTTTTATTTTCTCTCTCTGTCTCTCTTTCTTTCCTTTTATTTATTTATAATTATTTATTTATTTATTTATTTATTTATTTATTTATTTTTTGAGACAGAGTCTCCCTCTGTCACCCAGGCTGGAGTGCAATGGCATGATCTTGGCTCACTGCAACCTCCACCTCCTGAGTTCAAGTGATTTTCGTGCCTCAGCCTCCCAAGTAACTAGGATTATAGACATGCACCACCATGCCCAGCAAATTTTTGTATTTTTAGTAGAGACAGGGTTTTGCCAAGTTAGCCAGGCTGGTCTTGAACTCCTGACCTCAGGTGATCTGCCTGCCTCAGCCTCCCAAAGTGCTGGGATTACAGGTGTGAGCCACCGCGCCCAGCTTTTTTTTTTTAATTTTTTTAAGAGACAAGGTCTCACTCTGTTGCCCAGGCTGGAGGGCAGTGGTGCAATCATGGCTCACTGCAGCCTGGAACTCCTGGTCTCAAACAATTCCTCCCACCTCAGCTTCCCGAGTAGCTGGGACTACAGGCACGTGCCACCATGCACAGCTAATTTTTTTTTTTTTTTCTTGAAACTGAGTCTCGCTCTGTTGCCCAGGCTGGAGTGTCATGGCGCAATCTCGGCTCACTGCCAGCTCTGCCTCCCAGGTTCACGCCATTCTCCTGCCTCAGCCTCCCGAGTAGCTGGGACTACAGGCGCCCGCCACCATGCCCAGCTAATTTTTTTTGTATTTTTAGTAGAGACGGGGTTTCACTGTGTTAGCCAGGATGGTCTCGATCTCCTGACCTCGCGATCCACCTGCCTCGGCCTCCCAAAGTGCTGGGATTACAGGCATGAGCCACCGCGCCCGGCCTATGGCTAATTTTTTTGTACAGGCGGGGTTTTGCTATGTTGCCGAAGTTGGACTCGAACTGAGCGGGGCAGCTTGAGTTGAGGCACAGGTCTGGCCTCCTGGCCTTTGCTCCTGCCGTGCCCATAGCCAGCCTGCCCACCTCAGTCCTCAATCCTGCTTCACCTTGAAGACCCCAATGCCCCTCCTCCCCAGGGGGCATCCAGTGTTAAGGATCAGTCCTCAGCGAGTCCTCCTGCCTCCAAATCACACCAACGTCTTTTCCATGCCAATGAAGAAATGATCCTGGGACGGCCTGAATCAGGGACAGATTGAAGTGAGGGTCTCAGGCCCCTTAGAAGAGGGGTCTACAAGCTTCTTCTCCAATGGGCCAGACAGTAAATATTTTCAGCTTCGAGGGCCAGACAGTCTGTTGAATGACTCAATTCTGCGGTGAAGCGTAAAAGCAGCCACGGATACAGGGTAAATGAATGAGCCCGGCTCCATGCCAATAAAACTTTATTTATGGACACTAAAATTTGAATTGCATATACTTTTCCCCATGTCGTGAAATTTCCCTTTTGATTCTTTTTTCCCAACCATTTAAAAATGAAAAAGCCATTCTTAACTCGCAGGCTGTGCAGAAACAGGTGGCAGGCTGGATTTAGCAAACCAGCCTGGTTCCAACACCAGCTCCCCTCTCCCTCCGCCCCACATCTGCCCCTTCAACTCCCATATCAGGGAGTCTGGGAGGATTATCCATTTTTTTTAAAGTATTCTTATAAGGATAATATAGTCTTACATTGTTAAAATAAAAACCTGAGTCCAGCTACTTGGGAGGCTAACACTGGAGGACCGCTTGAGCTCAGATAAACGGGCAACATAGTGAGACCCCTATCTTTAAAAATTAAGGCTGGGCATGGTGGCTCATGCCTGTAATCTCAGCAGTTTGGGAGGCCAAGGCGGACGGATCACAAGGTGAAAAGAGATTGAGACCATTCTGGCTAACACGGTGAAACCCTGTCTGTACCAAAAATACAAAAAAATTAGCTAGGCGTGGTGGCGGGCGCCTGTAGTCCCAGCTACTCAGGAGGCTGAGGCAGGAGAATGGTGTGAACCTGGGAGGCGGAGCTTGCACTGAGCTGAGATTGTGCCACTGCCCTCCAGCCTGGGCGACAGAGCGAGACTCTGTCTCAAAAAGAAAAAAAAATAATAATAAAAAACTTTTTTTTTTTTTTTGAGGCAAGGTCTTCTTCTGTCACCCAGGCTGGAGTGCAGTGGTGTGATCACAGCTCACTGCAGCCTTGACCTCCTGGACTTGGCATATCCTCCCACCTCAGCCTCCCAAGTAGCTGGGACCACAGGCACATGCCACCACACCCAGCTAATTTTTTGTATATTTTCTAGAGACAGGGTTTCTCCATGTTGCCCTGGCTGGTCTCAAATTCCTGGGCTCAAGCGATCCTCATGCCTGGGCCTCCCAAAGTGCTGGAAATAGGTACTGCCCCTGGCCTAAAAAAAACAATGTTGACACAGAGTCTTGCTCTGTCGCTGAGGCTGGAGTGCAGTGGTGCGATCTCAGATCACTGCAACCTCCAGCCCTCGGGTTCAAGCGATTCTCCTGCCTCAGCCTCCCCAGTAGCTGGAATTAACAGGTGCCCACCACCATGCCTGGCTAATTTTTGTATTTTTAGTAGAGATGAGGTTTCACCATGTTAGCCAGGCTGGTCTCAAACTCCTGACCTCATGATCCGCCTGCCTCAACCTCCCAAAGTGCTGGGATTACAGGAATGAGCCATCAAGCCCAGCCAATTTTATTATTATTATTATTATTATTATTATTATTATTATTATTATTTTATGCCAGGCGTGATGGCTCACACCTGTAATCCTAGCACTTTGGGAGGCTGAGGCGGGAGGATTGCCTGAGTTCAGGAGTTCAAGACTACCCTGGGCAATACGGTGAAACCCCGTATCTACTAAAATACAAAAAACAAAAAAAATTAGCCGGGCATAGTGGTGCACGTCTGTAATCCCAGCTACTCACAAGGCTGAGGGAGGAGAATTGCTTGAACCCAGGAGGCAGAGGTTGCAGTGAGCCGAGATCCCACCACCGCACTCCAGCCTGGGTGACAGAGCAAGACTCCGTCTCTTAAAAAAAAAAAAAAAGGAAAGAAAACACATGCTCCGGCTGGGCAAGGTGGCTCACGCCTGTAATCCCAGCACTTTGGGAGGCTGAGGCGGGTGGATCACCTGTGGTCAGGAGTTGCCGACCAGCCTGGCCAATATAGTGAACCCCCGTCTCTACTAAAAATACAAAAAAATTAGCCGGGCGTGGTGGCGGACGCCTGTAATCCCAGCTACTAGGGAGACTGAGGCAGGAGAATCACTTGAACCTGGGAGGTGGAGGTTGCAGTGAGCCGAGATCATGCCACTGCACTCCAGCCTGGGCAACAAGAGTGAAACTCTACCTCAAACAAACAAACAAAAAAATTAGCCGGGCATGGCCAGGCGTGGTGGCTCTGGCCTGTAATTCCAGCACTTTGGGAAGCCAAAACGGGCTGATCACTTGAGGTCAGGAGTTCCAGACCAGCCTGACCAACATGGCGAAACCTCGTCTCTACTAAAAATACAAAAAATTAGCCAGACATGGTGGCACGCGCCTGTAATTCCAGCTACTCAGGAGGCTGAGGCAGGAGAATCGCTTGAACCCGGGAGGCAGAGGTTGCAGGAGGCTGAGGCAGGAGAATCGCTTGAACCCGGGAGGCAGAGGTTGCAGTGAGCCGAAATCACGCCACTGCACTCCAGCCTGGGCGACAGAGTGAGACACCATCTCAAAAAAGAGAGAGAGAGAAAAAAAAAGCCAGGTGTGGTGGCTCACGCCTGTAATCCTAGCACTTTGGGAGGCCGAGGCGGCTGAATTACCTCAGGTCAGAGTTCCGGTCCAGCCTGGCCAACATGGTGAAATCCTGTCTCTACTTAAAATATAAAAATTAGCCGGGCATAGTTGCAGGCGCCTGTAATCTCAGCTACTCAGGAGGCTGAGGCAGGAGAATCGCTTGAACCAACGAGGTGGAGGTTGCAGTGACCCAAGATTGCGCTGTTGCACTCCGGCCTGGGCAACAAGAGCAAAACTCTGTCAAAAAAAAGTGTGAGGGGGACAGGGGAGGAGGGGACAAATAGGAAAGTTGTTTAGCTTTGCAGGGTCTCTGTCAAAACAGCTCCACTCTGCCACAGTCACGAAAAGGCAACCACAGACAATGTGGACTCAAATGGGTGTAACCTGTGTACCCTGAATTCATGAAGGCTGGAATTGCAATTTCATATAATTGTTATGTATCATGGAATACTCTTATTCTTTTGTTTTCAACCACTTAAAAATGTAAAAACCATTCTTAGCCCAAGGGCCGTGCAGAGACAACAGACGAATGCCACCTATGGGCTGCGGTTTGCCGACCTGGGTCCAGTTGGCTTCTTGTTCTCCCGCACGTTGTTGGGGGCTGGCACAGGCTAGGCTGTACCCACAAAGGTGTTGCATGAATGAACACTGCGTGCATGAATGGTGGCAGCCAGCCGGGCCAGCAAGAGAACCCTTCCATCATCACCTCTTTCCTGAACAGCCTTGGGAAAGCCACTTAACCTCTCTGGGCCTTGTGTTTACAGCTGTAAGTGATCCTGATGTTAGTCTTGCTGGTTTGTTTTGAAGATGCTAAATGTATCTGGCCCACACAGGGCCTGCCTCAGCCTTGGTGGGGGCCTAGTGATTCCCACTCCTCCTCCCCAAAGCTGACAGGCTGTCTTTAAAAGGGAGAAGGTGGCCAGGCACGGTGGCTCACACCTATAATCGCAGCACTTTGGGAGGCCGAGGCAGGCGGATCATGAGGTCAGGAGTTGGAGACCAGCCTGGCCAACATGGTGAAACCTCATCTCTACTAAAAATAGAAAAAATTAGCCGGGCGTGGTGGCAGATGCCTGTAATCTCAGCTACTCCAGAGGCTGAGGCAAGAGAATCACTTGAACCAAAGAGGCAGAGGTTGCAGTGAGCCAAGACCGCACCACTGCACTCCAGCCTGGGCAACAGAGCGAGACTACATCTCAAAACCAAAAAAAAAAAAAAAAAAAAAGGGAGAAGGCAGGAGCATCCCCACACTGGCTCAGGGCCCCCCACCATCACTCCTCAAGCCCGCCGAGCCGGCGCCAGGGCCTGGCCAGCACCACACACACACTCTTCTCCTGGCCTAAATATATTCCAACCTCAGAGACGTTCCACGCCCCATGCTCACTTCTGCCTTCCTGCCCTAGCGTGGTACCCGGAAAAAAAAATCCCACTGAAAGAGGGCGGGTAGAGGAGGAGGAAGCAGGAGAGGGCAGTGTGGATGGTCTTGACATGTGGCCTCAAGGGTCCTGACCTTTATGGGGATGCTGGGATGGCGGAGATTGGAGGATGATAAGGACCTCCATTCTGTTTCTCTCCTCTTCTCAGTCGCTCTGAGTCACCATTCTGGCAGCCCCTGGCCTAGAGCCAAGGTGAAGTGGGACATGAGGGCAGAAGGCAGGCAGGGAGATCTGCTTGAGTCTCTGGTTTCTCCTCCACGCCCACAGGGGCCATCGGTCTTGGAGCACACACCCTAGCACCCACCCAGTAAATCCGGAGGCAGGATCAGGGTACCCCAAGCCCTCTGGCTCCGGGGCCACCATTGCCACCACCCAACCCTGGGAACCAGGAAATAGAACAAGGCAGCCTGACTCCACCCACCTCAGGCTGCCATCCAGCAAGCCCACCCACCAGGAAATGGGAGGCTGGCACCCCTCACTCCAGGTAGAGGGACGGTGCAATGGGCCATGCTATGGTCTCACCAATCCCTTCCCAAGATTCTGGAACCCGCAGATCACCTCCACCATAAGGACTCGATCCAGGCCCAAGATGAGAAAACACATGCTCCTGGCCAGGCGCAGTGGCTCATGCCTGTAATCCCAGCACTTTTGGAGGCCGAGGCGGGCAGATCTAGAGGTCAAGAGATCGAGACCATCCTGGCTAACATGGTGAAACCCTGTCTCTACTAAAAATACAAAAAAATTAGCCGGGTGTGGTGGCGGGCACCTGTATGTAGTCCCAGCTACTTGGGAGGCTGAGGCAGGAGAATGGCATGAACCCAGGAGGCGGAGCTTGCAGTGAGCCGAGATGGCGCCACTGTACTCCAGCCTGGGTGACAGAGCAAGACTCCGTCTCAAAAAAAAAAAGAAAAAGAAAGAAAGAAAGAAAGAAAAAAAAAGAACACATATGCTCCAGCTGGGCACGGTGGCTCACACCTGTAATCCAGCACTTTGGGAGGCCGAGACGGGTGGATCACCTGAGGTCAGGTCAGGAGTTCGAGCCGCCAGCCTGGCCAACATGGTGAAATCCCATCTCTACTCAAAATAAAAAAATTAGCTGCGCATGGTGGCGGGTGCCTGTAATCCCAGCTACTCGAGAGGCTGAGGCAGGAGAATCGCTTGAACCTGGGAGGCAGAGGTTGTAGTGAGCTGAGATCGTGCCACTGCACTTTAGCCTGGGAGAAAGCAAGACCTCATCTCAGAAAAAAAAAAAGAAAAAGAAAACACACGGTCTAAGTTACTTTGCAGGTTGGTATGAGTATGGACAGGTAGAACAGGTGAAGCAGGCGGCAAGGCTGCGCCCCACCCCACCCCAACATTTGGCAACATCTGGAGACATCTTTCATTGGCACAGGGTTGAGGCCAGGGCTACTACTCAACATCAAAGATGCACAGGGTAGCTCCCTGCACAAAGAGTGATCTGGCCCCACATGGAGAAACCACAGGCCGGGCGCAGTGGCTCATGCCTGTCATCCCAACACTTTGGGAGGCTGAGGCAGGAGGATTGCTTGAGGCCAGCCTGGGCAACACAGAGAGATCCCCATCTCTGAAAAAAAAAAATTCTTTTTTGAGATGGAGTTTCACTCTATTACCTAGGCTGGTGTGCAGTGGAGCAATCTTGGCTCACTGCAATCTCTGCCTCCCAGGTTCAAGTGATTCTCCCACCTCAGCCTCCCAAGGAGCTGGAATTACAGGCACTCACCATCATGCCTGGCTAATTTATATATATATAATTTTTTTTTTCTTGAGACAGAGTCTCACTCTGTCGCCCAGGCTAAAGTGCAGTGGAGTGTTCTCAGCTCACTGCAACCTCCATCTCCCGGGTTCAAGCAATTCTCTGCCTCAGCCTCCCAAGCAGCTGGGACTACAGGTGCCTGTCACCACGCCCGGCTAATTTTTGTATTTTTAGTAGAGACAGGGGTTTCACCAGGTTGGCCAGGCTGGTCTCGAACTCCTGACCTTGTTATCCACCTGCCTCGGCCTCCCAAAGTGCTGGGATTACAGGCGTGAGCCACCATGCCTGGCCTAAGAAAAAAACTTTTTAAATTAGCTGACCATGGTGGCCCACATCTGTAGTCCCTGCTACTCAGGAGGGTGAGGTGGGAAGAATTGCTTGAGCCTAGGAGTTTGAGGCTGCAGTGAGCTATGATCATGCCATGAGCTCCAGCCTGGGTAACAGAATGAGACCCTGTTTCAATAAAAAAACAAAACACAACAAAACAGGAGTTGGAAGACAAAGTTTTGGAGAAGAAGTGAGATTCTCACTGGCCTGGAACACCAAGCAAGAGGGGGCTTGGGGCTGCCTGGGTTGCTGGGAAGAGCTGCCAAGGGACCTGTCCAGTCTGGGGAGTGGCCAGGCCAGCAGGGAAGACAGCAGGAGCATCCCTCCTAGCTGAGCATTGTCCCCATCTTTTCAAAATTTACAGGTCAGCTGCCAGGGAGGGAGCCACCCAGAGCAGAGGATGGGCTCACTCGGGTTATCTGGGACAATCACAGGTAACCTCAGTCTGTCTGAGGCAGCCTGAGGGTGGGGCAGAGAATTTCCCAGGAGCCCTGTGGGGTGGGGTGTGCCTGGCTGTGTGGGACCCGCTGGGCCTGGACAAGGCAACTCTGAGAGTTAAGGAGACCGAGCTAGCCCGTCCAGTCTGACCAGAAACCCAGGCTCAAGGTTGGGATATGAGGCCATGGGGGTGGATCCTAGCTCCAGACTCCCAGCCTCAGGGACAGGGCTGGCTTAGTCATCGTGGAACCACTGGGAAGTTGAGGGATGTGTGTGCCTGCCCCACCCTCCACCCCAGGGATGTCCAGAGAGTCATGAGAAAGAGGGACAATGACCAGGCGTAGTAGCTCATCACAGTACTTTGGGAGGCAGAGGCAGGAGGCTCACTTGAAATCAGGAATTGGAGACCAGCCTCAGCAACATAGCAAGACCCCATATCTGCAAAAAAAATTAAAAAATTAGCCAGGCATGGTGATGTACACCTATAGTCCCAGCTACTTGGGAGGCTGAGGTGGGAAGATCACTTGAGCACAGGAGTTCAGGGCTGCAGTGAGCTATGATCATGCCACTACATTGCAACCTGGGTGACAGAGTGAGACCCTGTCTCTAAAAAAACAAACAAAAGAAAAAAGAAAAAGAAGAAAGGCCGGGCTCACGCCTGTAATCCCAGCATTTTCAGAGGCTGAGGCTAATGGATAACTTGAGGCCAGGAGTTTGAGATCAGCCTGGCCAACATGGTGAAACCCTGTCTCTACTAAAAATACAAAAATCGGCCAGGCATGGTGGCACATGCCTGTAGTCCCAGGTACTGGGGAGGCTGAGGCAGGAGAATTGCTTGAACCTGGGAGGTGGAGGTTGCAGTGAACTGAGATGGCACCACTATACGGCAGCCTGGGTGGAAAAAAAAAAAAAGTCAAGTAAAAGAAAGAGGCACAAGCCTGGGAGAAAGGAGGGGAACCAATGAGGATCCCAGGCATATGGAGATACAGCAGTGCCCACTCAGTGCTCAGAGAACAAAGGCCCTCCCATGAACACCCCCAATTACAAGTGGCCTCATCATAGCACTGCTGCCCTGCCCCTGCCAGAGCTGCAAAGCAAAGCAGAGAGAGGTTACATTATAGACATGTAACAAATGTTCTTATGTACGCCATACATATGCAAAAATAACTGATTTTCTTGAGACTGGGCCTTGCTTTGTTACCCAGGCTGGAGTGCAGTGACATGATCATAGCTCACTGCAGCCTCAAACTCCTGGGCTCAAGCCACCCTCCCGCCTCAGCCTCTAGAGTAGCTGGGACTACAGGTGTGCGCCACCACACCTGGCTAATTTTTTGCAGAGATGGGGGTGTGGTGGTCTTGCCATGTTGCATAGGTTGGTCTCGAACTCCTAGCCTCAAGTGATCATCCCACCTCAGCCACTCAAAGCTTTGGAATTACAGGCATCAGCCACTTTGCCTGGCTTAATTTTTTTTTTTTTTTCAGATGGAGTCTCAAAGTCTGGAGCAATGAAACCTCCTCCTCCCGGGTTCCTGATTATCCTGAGTCAGCCTCCTGAGTAGCTGGGGCTACAGGTGCATGCCACCACCACCAGCTAATTTTTGTATTTCTAGTAGAGTCAGGGTTTCACCATGTTGTCCAGGCTGGTCTCGAACTCCTGACCTCAAGTGATCCACCTGCCTCGACCTCCCAAAGTGTTGAGATTACAGGCGTGAGCCACTGCACCCTCTGAAACCCATGGTGAAACCCTGTCTCTACTAAAAATACAAAAAGTAGCCAGGTGTGGTGGCGCACGCCTGTCGTCCAGCTACTCGGGAGGCTGAGGCAGGAGAATCATTCGAACCTGGGAGGTGGAGGTTGTAGTGAGCTGAGATCACACCACTGCACTCCAGCCTGGGCGACAGAGTGAGACTCTGTCTCAAAAAAGAAAAAGAAAAAGAAAAAAAACCTCCCAGACTGAAGAGAAGGCTTTGGTAGATCCAGGGGCATGCACCCTCAGCTTCCCCCTCCAAACTGGCTTCATATCCAACCCTCATGGGAGGGAATTTCTGGTCCCAAACAGCATGACAGTACTTTGAAAATTCCAGTATCTGTTTATAAGGTAGTGTCCGCAGGGATTTGGAAAGTGTCTGGAGAACGCGTGGAAGGCAGCGCGCAGACTTTAGTGGCCTCCCCCAGCCAGCAGCACGAAGGGGTAAAAGGGTCCCAAGAGCCCCACCCCACCTACCGCCACCTCATCCTGAGTCTGAGAGCTGCAGCCCGCACAGACCAGGCAGTGAGTAATTGCAGGTTTGCTTCAAGCCTTCCGGGTCGTGAGAAACCAAAGTTTCACTCCGGAAGGGCGCGCCTCGGCAGCAGGGGAGAGAAGGAAGGGGGTTGGGGGTGGGGTGGTCTCAGGTGGAGGTTGGCAGCGAGCTGGCCTGGAGCCCAGGCTCCAGAGCTTACCAAGCCCCAGCTGCTGGGCCCCGGCCCCTCTGGCCTCTGACACGCCCCTGACTAGGCGGCCTCCCGACAGGCCCTCCCTGCCCCCCGGTCTAAAGGCTGAAGCAATGAGCCATTTCCTTTCCCGTGAACTCAGCCAGGGCCCCGCTGATTGCAGACACCACCAGCAAGGATGGGTACCAGGAAATGGCGGGGGCAGAGGGAGGAGATTGCAGCAGCCTCTCCAGTCTAGCAGTTTGATCATGCTCAGTAAATAATGTTTACAAAACAAGTAAATAAACAAGTGAGGGTGGGGCGCAGTGGCTCACGCCTGTAATCCCAGCACTTTGGGAGGCTGAGACAGGTGGATCACGAAGTCAGAAGTTCAAGATCAGCCTGGCCAAGATGGTGAAACCACATCTCTACTAAAAATACAAAAATTAGCCGGGCATGGTGGTGCACACCTGTAATCCCAGCTCCTCAGGAGGCTGAGGCAGAGAATTGCTTGAACCCGGGAGGCGGAGGTTGCAGTGAGCCGAGATCGCGCCTTGCACTCCAGCCTGGGTGACAGAACGAGACTCCATCTCAAAATAAATAAATTTAAATAAACAAGTGAACAACAGCAAACAAAAAACTTTGTCTTTACCCAGCCCCTGGACTGAGCGTGCACAGATTGACCCCTGGGGAAGTGTTCATCCTGCAGAAAGGGGAGAAGAGAGGAAAATGAAGTGAAGTGGCAAATGATTCTAAGAGGGAACCTGGTGAGTGATCAGCCCTGGATATGAGGAAAGAGAAAACAGGTAGCCCAGGAGTGGCAAGGAGACCTGGGGTGCGGCTCTCAGCTCCCAGAAGGAGCTGGTTCCTTATCTGAGAACCAGAGATAGAAGCTGGGTTTAAGCAAAAGTTCACCAACCAGGACAAAGGTCCTCACACTCTCCTCCTCCCCACCGAAAAGAAAAGAAAAGAAGAAAAATCCGGCCGGGCGTGGTGGCTCACACCTGTAATCCCAGCACTTTGGGAGGCCGAGGCGGGCAGATCACGAGGTCAGGAGTTCGAGACCAGCCTGACCAACATGGTGAAACCCCGTCTCTACTTAAAAAAAAAAAAAATACAAAAATTAGCTGGGCACGGTGGTGCACGCCTGTAATCCCAGCTACTCAGGAAGCTGAGGCAGGAGAATTGCTTGAACCTGGGAGGCAGAGCTTTCAGTGAGCCAAGATTGGGCCATTGCACTCCCACCTGGGCGACAGAGCAAGACTCCATCTCAAAAAAAAAAAAAAATCCAGGAGAGGAAGAATGTCAATGGGCTTTGCTTTACTGGACAGGGTAACCCTGGACACTTTGTTTAACCACTCTGTGCCTCAGTTCCCCTCAGTTCCCTCATCTGTAAAATGGGGCTAATGAAAGTGCCTACCTGGTGGGGCACAGTGGCTCACACCTGTAATCTCAGCACTTTGGGAGGCTGAGGCAGGCAGATCACCTGAGGTCAGGAGTTCCAAGACCAGCCTGGCCAACATGGTGAATCCCCATCTCTGCTAAAAATACAAAAATTAGCTGGGCGTGGCGGTGCATGCCTGTAATCCCATCTACTTGGGAAGCTGAGGCAGGAGAATTGCTTGAACCTGGGAGGCAGAGGGTTCAATGAGCTGATATCGCGTCACTGCACTCCAGCCTGGGCAACAGAACAAGACTCCACTTCAGAAGGAAAAAAAAAAAAAAGGCCGAGCGCGGTGGCTCACACCTGTAATCCCAGAACTTTGGGAGGCCAAGGCGGGCGGATCACCTGAGGTTGGGAGTTCGAGACCCACATGGCGAAACCCCACCTCTCTACTAAAAATATAAAATTAGCCGGGCATGGTGCCCATGCCTGTAATCCCAGCTGCTCAGGAGGCTGAGGCAAGAGAATCACTTGAACCCAGAGACGGAGGTTGCGGTGAGCTGAGACCGTGCCATTGCACTCCAGCCTGGGCAACAAGAGTGAAACTCCGTCGCGGGGGGAAAAAAAGGCCTACTTTAGGGCTGGGCTGGGCACGGTGGCTCATTCCTGTAACCTCAGCACTTTGGAAGGCCGAAGGCAGGAGGATCACTTGAGCCCAGGAGTTAAAGACCATCCTGGGCAACATAGCAAGACCCCTAAAAAAAAAAAGAGTGAAGTGCCTACTTTTTATCCTGACCCAGGCTTGTGGTGAGGATTAAACAAATGCACGGAAGTGACCAAGTACAGCATACCTTCAGGGCCTGGGGCTGCCATAAGCATCAGTAAGTCTCTCTCTTGACTATGGGAGAGGTTATCTTACCCGTAAAAAACCAGAAGCCTCCAGGGCAGAAGCAAAGTCTCTGGGGCCTTTGGAGGCTCTCGGAATCTTCCGAGGGCATTTCTCAGACTCTCTGTGTAAACAGAGGGGACTTGGCTTGAAGCCTCAATTAACACAGCAGTTAATTCCCCCAACATGACTTCTCAGGGCTCCCAGGAGAAACAAACCGTTTCCAAGGCTCCCAGCCCACTCCTGCCCCTTAGGGAGCTCCTAGACTGCCGTGTCCTCTTGGTAGGCCCCTGAAAGAACTTCTACAAGCCAAGGGAAACTGAGACCCAGGCTGCCAAGGGAACTGACTCAGGGATCGTGGCCCCTAGGTAAGCCCAGCAAGGCAGCTAGAACAGTGGTTTGCAGACATGGCTGTTCCTTGGATTCACCTAGGATGCCTGGGTTCCCCGACCCCATCCCTGTCCATGCCCTGGAGATCCTGGTGTAACCTATCTGGGGAAAAGCCTTGAACGTCTCTGAGCTCAGTGCACAGGCTTCTCCCAGGCTAGCCCTGCCCCGTCCCTGACTGCACAGCCCTCAGCAATAGAGGAGAAAGCCCTGTAACTCCATCAAGTGAGAAAAGGTGTGATTCACCTCACCCCTCCTAAGTACACTCACAAAAGCCTCAATTAACACAACAGTTAATTCCCGCAACAAGATTTCCCCTCAGGCTGCCTCTGCCCCTTCCCACAAGGCGGGACCTGGGAGGTGCTCCCTGCAGCTGCACCCCGAGGAAAGGGTTAACAGGAAGTGCCTGGCGTCCTGCAGCCACAGAAGCCCCATTGTTCTTCAGCCTGTCCCCTCCCCCTCGTCCAGGAAGACCCTCTGGGGAGCCCCTTCCAAGGGGCCGTGGAGTCTCTCCAGGCTGAAGGCCAGCCCATCGGGAGAGTGTGCACAGGAAAAGGAAACCGGCTGGGTGCGGGCTGAGGAGGCACAGCTGTCACTGACGCATCTTGGGCGGGGGGCAATTTCCGAGGAGGGGCGCTCCACCTTGCCCGCCTGGTGTATGCGGGAGGGGGTCAGCCCTCCCTGCAGTCCCCATCTGGAAGCTACAAGCCTTTGATTTGGGGTTCTTAAGTAAAACTGGATCCTCTGCCTCCCTCCAGCCATGCCCCCGCTCCACCCCAAGCATCCCTGGGTCCGAAAGTTTAACATCCCACCCCTCCTCCATCTGATTTCAGATCACTCCTCCAGGTCCTAACTGTCAGCTTTTTCTGATTAACTGTGCTGGGTGGGGTGGCCTGGATTGGGGGTGGGGGGGTTGCAGGAAGGAGGAGAACTGTTGGCAATTCCCTGGGAGCCCGAGGGGGCGGGCTGGCTGAGGGTGAGCAGCTGGCAACCAGACAGGCCGAGGCCCTGGGTGGACAGGCCGAGGAGGAAATTAATTGGTGCCAGTCGGGTGGCCAGCCGGCTGGGATGACGGCACTCCCGGGGGCCCGGCCAGCCGCCGAGGTGCGGGAGAGCTGGGGGATGGGGGACAGTGAATGCTGGGATTATGTCTTAACTAAGACTCAACAGTGTACTGGGGGAGGGGCCAATTGGGCCAGGAGGCTCGAAGACAGTGCAGGGAAGGGCAGCAGGGCTAGGGCCCCTGAGGGTTTCTTCTGAGAAAGGGATTCACCAAAGGGCCAGGCGGGGAGCACGATATGGGGAGGCCTCAGCTCCTGAGCTCAGCTCACTTGGACATGTTTGGGGAGACACAAGCTCCCCTTAACACAGACCTGGGTGGGATGACCCCCTAGGCTGAGCCTCAGGAAACAGGAAAGGTCCTGGTCAGAGCGCTTCTGGACAGAGGTGGGCTTTCCTGGACAAACGTCGGGGCTCTGAACTCATCTGGACACAGGTAGAGAAGATCTGGGCTCCCCCAAACACAGGTGTGTGGATCTGAGCGCTACTAGACACGGCTGTGAGGGTTGTGGGCTCCCCTAGACACTAAAAAACCGGGGAAGGTGTAGGCTTTCCAGAACACGGCGGGTTCTGAGCTCCCCTGGACAGAGGTGTGAGGTTCGGGGCTCCCTGAATACACGTGGAGGCTTCAGCAACCCCCAACCCAAAGAGAGTAGTGTGAGCCTCAAACTCGCAAGTCTCATTACTCTTTCATTCTCTCGGCCCTTTTTCCCTGATTGGGAGCCGAACCCCCAAGGGCGGTGCAGAAGCCACGACTTCCCATTGCCTCTGACGCCCCCGGGACCTGGGCGCGACCCCCGCCTCCGCCTTCCCGCTGGGCCGCAAGCTCCGCCCCCGCCTCCCTGGGGCGGGCAGGGCGGGTCCGGAAAGGGGGCGTGGCCCGGGCAGCTGACTACGCGGGGAGTTCTTGGAAGTCGCGGGTTGCAGCGCGCGGAGACGGAGCCCGGGGAAAAGCCAAATGCGGGAGTCAATTTGCATGCACCGCCCTTGGGCGTGATAGACACAGGATGGCTCCGCCCTGCATAGTGACGACTTACCCACCTCCAACGCTCGGCCTCCCGCTCACATTTCCTTGGCAAGATCAAATCCCCACCCTGCCTGGCTAGCAACTGGGCCGCGGCGTGGCCTGCGTCGTCCCTGCCCTCGGGCGGGTGGACTTCGCCCAAGGTCCTGGAACCGGGTAAACCGGTCTGGGTGCTGCTTCTGGATTGGTCCCGACCTGTGGCCCGGCCCTTTCCCAGATCTACAGAGGCTGAACTGGGGCGCCCTTCCTTTGGGTCCTGCACGGCAGGGCAGGGCAGAGTGGGGAGGAGGCTTCGGGATAGAGGACCCGACTAGAGCTGTCCTTTACTTGCTGTCTTGCAGAGCGAAACTCTGTGGGCCTGTTTCCTCATATATACACAGTGGACGTTAAGAGGACAGATCTCAAACGAAGGTTGCAAAGGCATCATTCATTCACAAAAACCGCTTAACCATCTGCTAGACTTGGAGGCAGTAGGCTACAAGAGGAAACTAACTCAGAAACAACGGTTTAATTCTACAAAGGTAAAATTGCACTTGTGATAAGTATTAACAAAAAAAAATTTTTTTTTTTTTGAGACTGAGTCTCACTGTCACCCAGGCTGGAGTGCATTGGCGCTATCTCAGCTCACTGCAACCTCAGCCCCCCGGCCCCGGGTTCAAACGATTCTCCCATCTCACCCTTCCGAGCAGCTGGAACTACAGGTGCGCGCCACCACGCCTGGCTAATTTTTGTATTTTTAGTAGAGATGGGGTTTCACTATGTTGGCCAGGCTGGTCTCAAACTCCTGACCTCAAGTGATCCGCCCACCTCAGCCTCCAAAAATGCTGGGATTACAGGCATGAACCACCACTCCCAGCCCCGCAAAAATTTATTTTATTATTATTTTTTGAGATGAAGTCTTGCTCTGTCGCCCAGGCTAAAGTGAAGTGGCTTGACCTTGGCTCACTGCAACCTCCGCCTCCCGGGTTCAAGCGATTCTCCTGCCTCAGCCTCCCAAGAGGTGGGATACAGGCTCCTGCCACCACGCCCGGCTAATTTTTGTATTTTTAGTAGAGATGAGGTTTCACCATATTGGCCAGGCTGGTCTCGAGCTCCTGAACTTGTGATCCGCCCACCTTGGCTTCCCAAAGTGCTGGGATTACAGGTGTGAGCCACTGCGCCTGGTCTCTTTATTTTTCTTGAGACAGAGTCTTACTCTGTCGCCCAGCTGGAGTGCAGTGGTGCCATCTCGGCTCACTGAAACCTTCTCCTCCAAGGTTCCAGCGATTCTCCTGCCTCAGCCTCTGGAGTAGCTGGGACTACAGGCGCGTGTTACCATGCCTGGCTAATTTTTGTATTTTTAGTAGAGATGGGGTTTCACCTTATTGGCCAAGTTGGTCTTGAACTCCTGACCTCGTGATCCTCCTGCCTCGGTCTCCCAAAGTGTTGGCATTACAGGCGTGAGCCACCATGCCTGGCCAAATGTTTTAAATAAAGTAGCTCTTGATCCGAGTGTCAAATATAGGGGTCTTGCCTCCCATCAGAGACTGGTTAAATAAATAAATAAAAAACACCAGCCTGGGCAACATGGAAATTCCATCTCTACAAAAAAAATAAAAAATTAGCCAGGCATCGTGGTGTGTGCCTGGGGTCTCAGCTATGCTGGAAGCTGAGATGGGAGGATCCCTTAAGCACTAGACTTTGAGGCTGCAGTGAGCCTTGGATCATGCCACTACACTCCAGTCTGGGCGACAAAGCAAGACCCTGTCTCAAAAATAGATTAATTAATTAAAATAAAATAAAATAGGCCAGGTACGGTGGCTCATGCTTGTAATCTCAGCACTTTGGGAGGCTGAGGCGGGCGGATCAGGAGATCGAGACCATCCTGGACAACATGGTGAAACCCCATTTCTACTAAAAATACAAAAATTAGCTAGGTGTGATGGTGGGAGCTTGTAATCCCAGCTACTCGGGAGGCTGAGGCAGGAGAATCACTTGAACCCGGGAGGTGGAGGTTGCAGTGAGCTGAGATCGCACCACTGCACTCCAGCCTGGGTGACAGAGAGAGACTCCATCTCAAAAAATAAAAATAAAAAATAAAATAAAGCAGTCCTTAGGCCAAAAGAGGGTTAGACAGGGAACACTTCCCTGAGGATTTGCCCCTTGAGCTGAGCTGGCTTCACTAGGTGAGCAAGGAAGCTGAAAGATCTTCAGGAGGTCACGGCATATCCAAAGGCCATGTGGCTGAGAAGGCTGTGGAAGTATGAGGAACAAAAAGCAGGTCCATGTGGCCAGAGGGTGATGCATGATTCATCCAGAGATGGGATGGCCCCAGATCAAGCAGGGCCTTGCAGATCATCATAGGAGTTTGTCCCTCTTCCAGAAGCAGAATTTTCCATATTCTGGGACAGTGTGGCAAAATAATTCAAGGTTATTTATTTATTTATTTATTTTTTTGAGACAGTCTCACTCTGTTGCCCAGGCTGGAGTGCCGTGGTGTGATCTTGACTCACTGCATCCTCTGCCTCCCGGGCTCAAGCAATTCTCCTGCCTCAGCCTCCCAAGTCGCTGGGACTACAGGCACTCACCACCATGCCCGGCTAATTTTTGGATTTTTATTAGAGGTGATGTTTCACCATGTTGGCTAGGCTGGCCTCAAACTCCTGACCTCAGGTGATCCGCCCACCTCGGCCTCCCAAAGTGCTGAGATTACAGGCGTGAGCCACTTCGCCCAGCCCAATTCAATGTTATTTAAATAACGTGGACTGGATCTCTCCAAATTTCTCCCTTGTCAACTTGCATCCCCCTTCTCAGCCCAAGCATAGTTTTCTTCCCTTGGAAACAATGTGTCGTTAAGGCTGGCTAATCTCTCTTTGAAACTATTAAACCTGTTACTGTTTCAGCAGGATCTTTTGACATTGTTTTATTTTCATTGTAACCTTTTAAAAAACTGTTACTTTCTAAATAGGGAGAGTGATTAATAAGTGGGTTAACGCAAAGAAAACTATTACATGAATACAGTTAGCTGGGCATGGTGTCACAGGCCTGCGGTCCCAGCTCCTGCAGAGGCTGAGGTGGGAGGACTGCTTGAGCCTAGGCAGTGGAGGCTGCAGTGAGCTATGATGGCGCTGCTGTTCTCCAGCCTGGGCAACATAGCAAGACCCTGTCTATAAATGATAATAATAATAGTACAGTAGTTATGAAAATATCACAAATATCCTGACCCCTCAACCATCTGAGGTTTGAGAAATTCTAAGAGTCATGTAGAAGCCACTGATTTAATGAGATGATAAACATTAAGCATGTAACACCTGTTTACCCAAAACAACCTCATTCACTCATTCAGGCTCAGGCTGGACATTGGTAGAATTAACAGAATTAACTTCTGAGTTAGGGCACAAATCCTAAGTAAAAAATAAATACGTCCAGGTGCAGTGGCTCACGCCTGTAATCCCAGCACTTTGGGAGGCTGAGGCAGGCAGATCACTTGAGCTCAGGAGTTCCAGACCAGCCTGGGCAACATGGTGAAACCCTGTGTCTGCAAAAAATATAAAAATTAGCCAGGCGCAGTGGTGTGCACCTGCAATCCCAGCTACTCAGGAGGCTGAGGTGGGAGAATCTCGTGAACCTGTTAGGAAGATATTGCAGTGAGCCAAGATCGTGCCACTGCACTCCAGCCTAGGCAATAGAGCAAGACCCTGTTAGAAAAGAAAGAGCCAGGCGCGGTGGCTCATGCCTATAATCCCAACACTTTGGGAGGCTGAGGCGGGCGGATCACGAGGTCGAGATGGAGACCATCTTGGCCAACATGGTAAAACCCCGTCTCTACTAAAATACAAAAAATTTCGGCCAGGTGCGGTGGCTCATTCCTGTAATCCCAGCACTTTGGGAGGCCGAGGTGGGTGGATCACCTGAGGTCAGGAGTTTGAAACTAGCCTGGCCAACATGGTGAAACCTCGTCTTTACTAAAAATACAAAAATTAGCCAGGCATGGTGGCGGGTGCCTGTAATCCTAGCTACTCAGGAAGCTGAGGCAGGAGAATTGCTTGAACCCAGGAGGTGGAGGTTGCAGTGAGCCAAGATTGCACCACTGCACTGCAGCCTGGTTGACAGAGCAAGACTTCGTGTCAAAAAGAAAAAAAAAATTAGCTGGGCTTTCGGCTTGGAGGAGCCCAAGGTGCAGCTTTCTTCGGTTGTCCAGAATCCAGGTTTTTCCAAAACCAATCACCTCCACCATGCTGCCAAAGTTCAACCCCAACGAGATCAAATTTGTATACCTGAGGTGCACTCGGGGTGAAGGGGGTGCCACTTCTGCACTAGCCCCCAAGATCGGCCCCCTGGGTCTGTCTCCAAAAAAGCTTGGTAATGACCTTGCCAAGGCAATGGGGTGACTGGAAGGGCCTGAGGATTACAGTGAAACTGACCATTCAGAACAGACAGGCCCAGATTGAGGTGGTGCCTTCTGCCTCTGCCCTGATCATTAAAGCCCTCAAGGAACCACCAAGAGACAGAAAGAAACAGAAAAACATTAGACACAATGGGAATATCACTTTTGATGAGATCGTCAACATTACTCGACAGATGTGGCACCGATCTTTAGCCAGAGAACTCTCTGGAACCATCAAAGAGATCCTGGGGACTGCCCAGTCTGTAGGCCGTAATGTTGATGGCCGCCACCCTCGTGACATCATAGATGACATCAACAGTGGTGATGGCTGGGCGCGGTGGCTCACGCCTGTAATCCCAGCCCTTTGGGAGGCCGAGGCAGGCAGATCACGAGGTCAGGAGATCAAGACCATCCTTGCTAACAAGGTGAAACCCCGTCTCTACTAAAAATACAATACAAAAAAATTAGCCGGGCGTGGTGGCAGGCGCCTGTAGTCCCAGCTACTCAGGAGGCTGAGGCAGGAGAATGGCGTGAACCTGGGAGGTGGAACTTGCAGTGAGCCGAGATCGCGCCACTGAACTCCAGCCTGAGCGACAGAGCAAGACTCCGACTCAAAAAAAAAAACCCCAAAAAACCAGAAAAACCCACAGTGGTGCTGTGAAATGCCCAGCTAGTTAAGAAGCACAAAGAAAAATATTTCAATAAAGGGTCATTTGACAACCGGTGGGAAAAAAAAAATTAGCCAGGTGTCGTGGTGTGCGCCTGTAGTCCCAGCTACTTCGGAGGCTGAGGCAGGGGAACTGCTTGAATCCGGGAGGCCAGGGTTGCAGTGAGCCGAGATTGCACCACTGTATTCCAGCCTGGCAACAGAGCGAGACTCTGTCAAAAACAAAAAAGAAAAGAAAAGAAAGAGACAAGGAAGAAAAGAGAGAGAAGAAGAAAAAAAAGAAAAATTAGCTGGGTGTGGTGGCGTAGTCCCAGCTACTCCAGAGGCTGAGGTGGGAGGATTGCCTGAGCCCAGGAGCTCGAGGCTGCAGTGAACTGTAATCAAGCCACTGCACTCCAGCCTGGGTGATAGAGAGACTCTAGTTGAAAGAAAGAAAGGAAAGAAAGGAAGAAAGGAAGGGAAGGAGGGAGGGAAAGAAAAGAAAGAAAGAAAAAGGAAAGAAGGAAGGAAGAAAGAAAAGAAAGAAAAAGAGAAAGAAAGAAAAAAAAAAGAAATTAGCTGTGCATGGTGCCTGAGCCTGTGGTCCAACCTGCTTGGGAGGCTGAGGTAGGAGGATTGCTTGAGTCTGGGAGTTCGAGGCTACATGGCTACACTGAGCCATGATTGCACTGAAAACTCTTGGCCTCAAGTGATCCTCCCACCTCAGCCTCCTAAATTTTTGGGGTTACAGGCATGAACCATGGCACCCAGCACATTTAGCATTTTCTACGTGCCAGCACTCTGCTAGGTTTGTTGTAAGGATTACATGTGTAATCTCAATCCTTACAACAAACCTAAAAGGCAGGGACTATTATTGTCCCCAGTATACGGTTGGGGAAACAGGCCCAGAGAGGTCAAGTGACTCACTCAAGGATGCATAGCAAGAAAACGAAAGTAGACCTGGTTGTTTCCCTCCCTCCAGAATATGTTCTTCTTCTTCTTCTTCTTCTTCTTTTTTTGAGACAGAGTCTTCCTCTGTAGCCCAGGCTGGAGTGCAGTGACACCATCTCGGCTCACTGCAACCTCTGCCTCCTGAGTTCAAGTGATTCTCCTGCCTCAGCCTTCGGATAGCTGGGATTACAGGCGCCTGCCACCTTGCCTAGCTAATTTTTGTATTTTTAGTAGAGATGGGGTTTCACCATGTTGATCAGGCTGGTCTCGAACTCCTGACCTCAGGTGAGCTGCCCACCTCAGCCTTCCAAAGTGCTGGGATTACAGGCATGAGCCACCATGCCCGGCCCAGAATATGTGCTTCTTACCTGACTTCTGCAGCTGGCCTTTGTCACTCAGCATCATGTTTCTGGTACCGAATTATCTGTGTGGCCTGTGTGTGTAGTTCTGTCTGGCTCCGGCCTTTTATCCTCTGGGGAGGACCCATCTGGGAGGATGGGCATGTAGGCTGTGCTGTTTGCAGTTTGTGCCAATTTAGTACAAGCCAGCAGCAAACACCTTTCTGGAGTCTCCTGCAGCAGGCTTGGGGTTCCCTGCTGGAACCTGCTGGTCACAGGATGGGTGACCTTTTTAGTTTTCACAGCCATTGTCCAATCAATTAGTCCAGGCCTCACCAATGTTATTTGCTGTGACAAGGTTCAATGCTGCCTTTTCTGATGGGTCCAGTGGGGTCTTGGGGATGGGTGTGTCTTAAGGGGATGTGTCTGTAGTGTGTTTGTTCCAGCCCCATCTTCAGTCCCATCACTTTCAGTCCCCAGCCCCACGGTGGCCGGGCACCGGAAACCCCCAAGAGGCCCGGGCGGGGGCGGGGGTCGGCCAAGCCGCTTCCCGCGGAAGGAAGGGCCCGGCGGTTCCTGCGACAGGATGCGCGGCAAGGCCCCCTCCCCAGGGGCCCGGGACTTCCCTGAGCCTTGCCACGCTCGCGGGGGAGGAACTCCGACGCGGGTGCATTGAGCTACCGCCTGCGGTGTGGGGCTCCAGTGCCCCCACGTCCCCTGGGAGAGTTGGGTGGGTCAGGACTCGGAGTAGGTGGCGCCTTTTAAAAGTCCCCCCACGTGTTCCCAGGAAGGAATCAGGCAGCCGTGGGGGCGAGCTTGGCTGGAGAACGGTGAGAAGCTCTCCTTCACAATCCACACAGGAGAGGAAAGGGGGTGTGGGTTGGGCGGGAGGGGAGCCAAAGCTCCCAGATTCCACCAGCAGACGTTCTGAGGCCGGCTTGCCCCTCCTTCTACCCTGTGGCCACGGGGTCAGTTCCCCTGGGGTCATGGGAAGCCTGCGGCGGCAGAGCCAGCCGTCGGCGGGGCGGGGCGAGCGCTTTCCCGGCGCCTGCCGCCGCCACCACTCCCCGCACCTGCGACTCCTTTGTCTTCCCGACAGGCCCCCTCCCTTCGCCCTGGGGCAACGCCCACAACCCCACTCTTAAACCTACGTGGGGTATATTGAAAGGGCTTTCTCGTTTCGGGGTGGTTATTCTAGAGCTGGGGAGTGACCCAAGAAAATAACTAGGGCTCTAATGGGCATTTTTAAAAACCTAATGCCGGGTGGAGAAGCTGCTTAGAGGCCCATTTCACAGATGAGGAAACTGAGGCTGCACGTCCCTGCCTGAGACACACAACGATTCCTCGAGGAAGATACGGGAACTGGGGACTAAAGAGCCCTTCAAAGCTCACCCGCTCAGCTCCACCTGATACTGTAGGGCCCCGGCCACAGCTGATTCAGTTTGGTCTAGGGGGTGGGGGCGAGATCTACCACCTTTCAAGGCTTCAAAGTGCGTGCAATCGATCCCCAGCTCCGCTTGGGGCAGTGTGTTTAGCACTATTGTCTCAACTCAGAAAGCCCCGATCTCCCTGTCCCGGAGTTGTAGGACAATTTCAAGGGAACCCCCAAATCTGGGGGAGGCGGGGCTCCACCAGTTAGGGAATGCCCGGGCAAGGAAAAGGGGGCCCAACCCTCTCTCGCCCACGTGGTAACCGGTCAGACCGGTTCTTGGGGCCCCAGCGAGCGGCTGCCAGCCCCTGACGCTTTAACCCCGCCCCTCCCCCACCACAGCAGAAAACCAGACAGCACCGGCTTTTTTACTCAAATGGTTTTTATTTTCCTATCTGACATTTCTAACAAAACGCCAGGTAGACGGAGTTAAAAAGAATCCACCGCACGAAAGGTAAACAAAGCAGACCCTCAGAAACTCCCTGGCAAGGATGTTCCCCTCCCCAGATTGGCCCAGTTTCACCAGCAACTGGTCTCAGCTCAGCCTTATGCCTTTCCACTGACACCCCCCACCCCTCCACATTCTCGTGATTCAGACCAGGAACTTCTCGGCTGATTGTGTCCGTGTGTCTGAGGGAGGGGCACGCTGGAACCTGGGAACCTACTGGGCACCTCTAATGCAGATGAGAAAAACTTGAGAATGTGAAAGTAGATCAGTCCCCGCTCCCACCCGAAGGTGCAGAGACGCGGGACATTAACCAGCAGCACGCGGGGGTGAAGTAACTCAGGCCACTCTCCTCCCCACTGCCCAGGGCGGGTGCACGCCCCAGGACCTCCTCCCAGGCCCCACACCCACGCAAGGCGACAGGAAGCTCCCCACGCCTGCCCCATGACGCAACGATGACCGCTTATACAAGTATGTCAGCGGAGGGGGAAGGGGAGTGCCTGGAATTCTCCGAGGTTGGAAACGCAAAACCAACTCTTGAAAAACCTTGAAAGGGCCAGCACAGCCCACAGTACAAAATGAAGTCCGACCCTGAGGAGATCTTTAAAAACAAACAAACAAACAAAACAAAAAACACAACACCCAAGCCTCCCTTCTCCCAGTCCAGAAGGAGAGCGAAAGGTTCACGTCCCAGTCCACTAAGACAGCACCTGTGGGCGCAGGTCTCTGCGGAAGGCGCCCGCGCCCCCGGCTCAGACTCCTCGGTGCCGTCCCTGCACACTGAAGGCGATGGCTCCCCGGGGACAGAGTCCCTCTCCGGGCCTCTCAGCAGCCCGGGCGGCGGCTTCTCTCCACGGTTTTCGCGGGCGCTTCCCCCAGGATGGAGGGGGGTGGCCTCGCCTCAGGTCTGCGCCCTCGGGCCGACGGTTCGACGCGCGCTCTGGGCTCCGGCAGCGCCGCTCGGGGTCCTCAGAAGGCCACCACGGCCCGCACGAGCACGTTGAGCATGCTGTCCGCCGGGCGGCAAGCGGGCTTTGCCTCGCACGCGGGCGGCGCCGTCGGAGGGGCCGCGGGGCTGCAGTTCAGGAGGCCGGAGAAGCGCCTCTGCAGGACGCGGGCCAGGTTGGGAAAGGCGCCCTCCGCTTGCGCCGGAGGGGGCTGCAGGCGATCGGCGACTTCGGATGACGCTCCCTCCTCTTCTTCCTTTTCTTCCAGACGGGCTTTCTTGCTCGGGACCAGTCCAGCGTCCCCGCCGTCGCTCAGGCTGCTGCTGCGTCGTTTGCGGCTGACTTTGGCGGGGCGCGGGGCACAGCAGGCGGAGGTCTCCTCGGCTGTCGGCGCCTCCTGCGTGTCCATTGGCTCCGGAAACGGGTGCTCACCGTCGGGGGTCGCTGTCTCGGCCGTGGACTCGGCTTCTCGGGGCGGGTGCAGGCGAGGGTCAGAGGGGAGGGCGGCCGGCAACGACACCTCGGGCTCGAGGGCCTCCACCTTGGCCGAGAGGTAGAGCTCCCGGGCGCTGCGCATGACCAGCGACAGCTGCAGACTCCGGTGCAGCCGCAGGCCACCGCGCTGCATGCGGGAGTGATACATCTTCCACACCGACAGGGTCATGATGCGCTGTGCCTCTTTCTGCACTTCCATGGCGACTCGACGGCGACAGCGGCGGGGGCTCCCGGGAGGGACAGAACAGGCAGCAGGTGCACTCCGGACAACGGGCTCGCTCACGCCTCTCTACACAAACCAACCCACGCAGTGACACTGCTAGGACGCTCTGCCCAGGCGCCCGCCACCCAGGCCCTTTTATACCCCCAGTGACGTCACTGAGACACCCCGCCCAACCGAAGGACGCATCCGGGCTTTCCAACTCGTCGCGGCCAAACACTCCTTAAAGAGACAGAATGCGATTTACCCAGCAGGGAAAGGGGACGGGAACCCTGGCGAGGAGGAGCGTCCCCCGACTCCACGCTGAGCTTTCTGGGTGGGCTCCTTTCTCTGAGCCCCGCCGATGCATCAGCGCCTTGGCCCAAGGGAGGGGGGCCGGGGGTGGAGCTCACGGCCTACCCACATGCTCCCGTCTGGAGGCCCCAGTGGGTCGTGGGCAGCAAGTTTCCCTTCACACAGGGGAAGACCCTGGTTCCAGCCTGAACATCCCCTGTGGCCACTGTTCTTAGCATTTACCAGGTGTGTCTAATGAGTGTTTTCTGCACCAATAATCATGCTAACAGCGCTTACAACGTGCCAGGCTAGGTTAAGAGCTCTCCTTTTATCAATAATTCACCGATCCCCAGCCTCCACTCCTCGGAGGATACTGTTCTATCTGCTTCCTTCAAGTGGGGAAACCAAGGCAGAGTCACTAGGCCAATATTTACTAAACAAACAATATTTGCTACTGCTGTGAAAGGGGGCCACTGGGGCCTCCAGCTCTTCGGTCTCTAGCGTACGCCAGCCCTTGCTTGTAGGCGGTGACCCGCCCCGGGCTACGGGTTCCCGTGATTCGTACCAAGCCATTCCCCCGCAGTTTCCCGCGACAGGAGCTCCACGGGTGGGTTCAGAGCTCGCACGGCTGCGAACCCGGCGCGCACGACAGTCCCCGTGAACACGTGGCTGCCGCCCCCCAAACAAGGGGGCCGAGTTCCGTCTCCGCGTTCGGGGAGGCGGGGTTAGGTTGGGAGCTGGAAACCCAGCAATGCAGAGACAGAGCAGATAGAAAATCTCCGCCCTACCCTCCGCTACGCGCCGTCTCTCCAAGAAATACTAATTCCACTTCCTCCAAAAATAGGATGCAGAATTGTTCGAATGGCTCCATTCATTCCTGGTGCGGGCCCTTTAAGGGGTGGTGCGCCCCCCGCCCCCTTTCCGCCCGCACTGGCTCGCGGCGCCTTCCCGCCACCAGCGCCCGCTGACTTCCACAACTAAATTTGGACGGAGTGACGTAGGGCAGTCGCGCGGGCCGCTTCCGGTTGCCCATATTAGGACAGGGCCCGTGATCGCCTTAGCGGCCGGCGGCGGGGCTTCCGGGGGGGGGGCGCGGAGGGGCGGGGCTTTGCGCTCCGGCCACGCCCCTCCCCATCCCCGACCCGGGCAGCCGGAGCAGGCTGGAGCCCCAGGCTTCCTGACTCGCATTCCAGCCGGGTGGGGGAAGAGGAGAGTTTCACTTCCTTCCCTCCAGGGGCCAGGAAGGCGTGACGCCAGGAAAGCACCCCGCAGCGGGTAGGGGCGACCTGAGGGCTCCCAGGGACGCCATCTCCCAGAGACGCTGCAGAACGACCCTGCATACACAGGAGACGACCCGCTGAGGCCCCCTTCATCCCATCTCTCCTCTTCCCAATTATTTCCCCCATACAAGGCCCCCTCCCAGGTTATTCCTGACCCCTGCCCCACACTGATCTTCTCAGGCCTTGGGACACCCTCCCGTCCCGCCCTTCCCCCGCACGCTGGGAACTCAAAAGTTATTCCCCCCTAAAATACCCTTCCCAAACTCGTCCCCATTCAACGATGGTGCCAGACTGCGACGACCTGCCGAAGACGCAGGCCGTCCCCACCCCGCTAACCTTACCACGGAGACCCCACAATGATTTCCCCAGCCCAGGCGCTATCTCTGAGACCCCACGCAGCAACTCTGACGCGCAAGGGGGCGACCCTCCGAGGACTCCCTCAGATAACCCGCCCACCCTCCAGGGGAGACCAGGCCCCCTATCACTCAAAAAAAGTGCTTTCCCGAAGCTCCCCAACACACAGCGCCACTGTCACACATAGGGACGACCCTGAGTCCCTCCGCTGATATTCCTGGCCCCTACCCAGACGGAGACCCCACACACAGAGGGCCCCCCTGGAGACCATCCTCAAAGCCACCACCCGCTACCCCCAGGCTCGCACCCAGAAAGACTCCGCGCTTCTGAAGAAACCCACCTCCACGCACTTTCTCAAAGGTGACCTCCCCCCGCTGCTGGCATATCTGGGACCCCCTCACGACCACCTCGCCCCAAGGCGACCTCGAAGTGCCCCCAACTCCGCCACTTCTCAGGAAAGAGATTGGGAGAATGCGGCAGAACTCCCCGGAGGAGCAGGCCCGCTCCTCACCGCGCCCCCGCAGGGAGAAGGGAGGACCACCTCTCCCCCAGACCCTAGCCAAACCTGACACTCGGGACCCTGGGATGGGACGATCTCCCAGGTGCCAGCTCAGGGAGTCCATGAAAAGCTTCAACGAATCGAATGAGCCCCTTCCCCAGCCATAATACCCAGCCGCCAGAGATGAGGGAGGCTATCATTATTTACATTGCCCGTGCCTGGAAGGGAAACTGAAGTTGCGCAGGAACAATCCGAGGAACTGGGCCTTGAACCGAAATTCCGAACTCGGACCCGAATAGGCCCAGACAGAACTCCGACACCGCCCCCTACGGTGCGGCACGAGAGGGCTAAGGGGCGGGGGCATGTGCACCGGAAGCTGCCTCTGCCCACAACCAAGATGGCTGAGGAGAGGGCGGAAGTGTCCGCACGTCGGGCCTCCGAGGCTTCTCTTTCTCCCCTGGCGGTCCGGCTCTCGATGGTGGCGTGACGGGGGCGGGGGTGGCGGCGCGTTCTCCTCGGTTGGGAGGGAACCAGCCCGCGAACCCAGGCCGGGAGGGGGGTTCGGCCTGGGGGGGAAGGGACTGACATGTCTCTCGAAGACCCCTTTTTTGTAGTCCGAGGGTGAGTGACAACGACGGGGGAGGGCGGAGGGTGCTCTGTACCCAAGCCAGCCAGTGCCCGGGTGCCGGCCCCAGCGTGCCCGGCGGGCTGGGCAAGGCCGTCGGGGTGCAGAGTGGGAGGCGCACGCAGGGGTATATAGGGGTCTCCGGAGTCCCCCATGCGTTTGGGTTTGCAGTCGGGGGCAGAGGCAGGCGGGAGGACCGCCTGCCCCCAGCCGCGCCCGCCGTGCCCCTGCCCGCAGCGAGGTGCAGAAGGCGGTGAACACGGCCCGCGGGCTGTACCAGCGCTGGTGCGAGCTCCTGCAGGAAAGCGCGGCGGTCGGACGCGAGGAGCTGGACTGGACGACCAATGAGCTGCGGAATGGCCTGCGCAGCATCGAGTGGGACCTCGAGGACCTGGAAGAGACCATCGATATCCTGGGGCTTTGTGGCAGAGGGTGGCATGGGAGAGCCCATTGCGGTGGCAGCCCACCTTCGGGTAGGGCTGGACCCCTAGGGACGGGGATGATATCTGGCTCCGGCCTTGACCCTTGACTCTCAGCCCACGTATAGTGGAAGCCAACCCAGGCAAGTTCAAGCTCCCAGCCGGGGACCTGCAGGAGAGAAAGGTGTTCGTGGAGCGGATGCGAGAGGCAGTCCAGGTCAGGAAAGGTCCTGCAGGCGGGGAGTGGGGGAAGGTTTGAGTGTGTTTTTTTTTCTTTCTTTCTTTCTTTTTTTTTTTTTTTTTTGAGACAGAGCCTCGCTCTGTCGCCCAGGCTGGAGTACAGTGTTGCAATCTCGGCTCACTGCAACCTCCGCCTCCCAGGCTCAAGCGATTCTTGTGTCTCAGTCTCCTGAGTAGCTGGGACTACAGGTGCCTGCCACGATACCCGGCTAAGTTTTGTGTTTTTAGTAGAGACGGGGTTTCACCATGTTGATCAGGCTGGTCTCGAACTCCTGACCTCAGGTGATCCACCCGGCTTGGTCTCTCAAAGTGCTAGGATTACAGGCGTGAGCCACCGCGCCCAGCCTGAGTGTCTTTCCTCCCTAATGCTGTCCTTACCTCCAGGAAATGAAGGACCATATGGTCAGCCCAACAGCCGTAGCATTTTTGGAGAGGAATAACAGAGAGGTAAGCCTTCCTGACCCACCCTGCCCACCTGAGCCCCTGGGGGTAACCAAGCCAGATCCCTCTGTGCGTGTTCACCTGTCCCTTTTGCGACAGTGCCCGTCCTCTCTGTGGGCAGTTATCTTCTTGCTGTCTACCTGCCTGCACTTTCTCGGTGTGTGCACCTGAACCTCTCTATGTGTATATGTCCGTGGGTTCCTCTCTACTGTGTCCTCTGGGTCTATACTGGTTTCCTGTTGCAGGAGAGGGCTGGGGGCCTGTGTACCTATCTCCTTTCTGCTTCCATGCCATTTGTCCTGTGTGCACCTGTTTCCAGGACGCATGCCTGCCTTTTACTCTTTTTTTTTTCTTTGAGACAGAGTCTTGTTCTGTTGCCCAGGCTGGAGTGCAGTGGCTTGATCTCAGCTCACTGCAACCTCTGCCTCCTGGGTTCAAGCGATTCTCCTGCCTCAGCCTCCCAAGTAGCTGGGATTACAGGTGCTCGTCACCATGCCAGGGTAACTTCTGTATTTTTTTTTTTTTTTTTTTGAGATGGAGTTTCACTCTTGTTGCCCAGGCTGGAGTGCAATGGTGCAATCTCGGCTCACCGCAATCTCCGCCTCCTGGGTTCAAACAATTCTCCTGCCTCAGCCTCCCGAGTAGCTGGGATTATAGGCATACGCCACCATGCCTGGCTAATTTTGTATTTTTAGTAGAGACGGGGTTTCTCCATGTTGGTCAGGCTGATCTTGAACTCCCAACCTCAGGTGATCCACCTGCCTCAGCCTCCCAAAGTGCTGGAATTACAGGCATGAGCCACTGCGCCTGGCCTAATTTTTGTATTTTTAATAGGGTTTTGTCATGTTGGTCAGTCTGGTCTCAAACCCCTCACATCAACTGATCTGCCTGCCTCAGCCTTCCAAAGTGCTGGGATTACAGGCGTGAGCCATCGCACATAACTTCCTTTTTTTTTTTTTTTTTTTTTTTTTTGAGATGCAGTCTCACTCTGTTGCCAGGCTGGAGTGCAGTGGCGCAGTCTCGGCTCACTGCAACCTCCGCCTCCTGGGCTCAACGATTCTCCAGCCTCAGCCTCCTGAGTAGCTGTAATACAGGCACATGCCACCACACCCGGCTAATTTTTTTTTTTTTTTTTTTTTTTGAGACGGAGTGTTGCTCTGTCGCCCAGGCTGGAGTGCAGTGACGTGATCTCGGCTCACTGCAGCCTCCGCCTCCCGGGTTCAAGCAATTCTGTCTCAGCCTCCCGAGTAGCTGGGATTACAGGCACCCACCACCATGCGTGGCTAAATTTTGTATTTCTAGTAGAGACGGGGCTTCAACATCTTGGCCAGGCTGGTCTTGAACTCTTGACCTCGTGATCCACCTGCCTCGGCCTCCCAAAGTGCTGGGATTACAGGTGTGAGCCACCACGCCCGGCCAATTTTTGTATTTTTAGTAGAGACGGAGTTTCATCATGTTGGCCAGGATGGTCTTGATCTCCTGACCTTGTGATCCACTAGCTTCAGCCTCCCAAAATGCTGAGATTACAGGCGTGAGCCACCGCGCCCGGCCAGCTTCCTTTTTTTTTTTTGAGATGGAGTCTTGGCATGTTGCCCAGGCTGGGGTGCAGTGGTGCAATCTTGACTCACTGAAACCTCCACCTTCCGGGTTCAAGCAATTCTCCTGCCTCAGCCTCCTGGGTAGCTGGGACAACAGGAGTGTGCCACCATGCCCAGCTAATTTTTGTGTTTTTAGTAGAGACAGGGTTTCCCCATGTTGGCCAGGCTGGTCTCAAACTCCCTACCTCAGGTGATCCGCCCCCGCCTTTTCATCTGTGCATGCACCTAACCTATTTGGGTGCGTGCACTTGGCCTCTGAGTGTATCTGCATTTTCCCCCCTCATATCCTAATATCTGCTAGTTTCCTCTGTAATGTGCCTGCCGTGTGTGTGTGTGTGTGTGTGTGTGTGTGTGTGTTTCTGTGTTTCTCCCAACCACCTCTGTCAGTCCACTTTTTCTCTTGGTGTTCTCTGTTGATATTTTTCATATGTTGAGAACCACCAGCCTTTCTCTCTCCCTCATAAGCGTACGTGGGGTCGGGGAGGGTGGGGGACTGAGGCTCCTCCCAGTTTGTCATCCCATAGCAGTGCCCACGTGCCTTCCAGATGTGCTGCCTTGGGGGAATTCAAGTCCAAACTCTAAAATACATCTGTTGGAGCCGGGCACGGTGGCTCACACCTAAAATCTCAGCACTTTGGGAGGCCCAGGCAAGTGGATCACCTGAGGTCAGGCGTTCGAGACCAGCCTGGCCAACATGATGAAACCCTGTCTCTACAAAAAATACAAAAATTAGCCAGGCGTGGTGGTGATCACCTGTAATCTCAGATACTTGGGAAGCTGAGGCAGGAGAATTGCTTGAACCCGGGAGGTGGAGGTTGCAGTGAGGCGAGATCACACCACTGCACTCCAGCCTAGGTGACAGAGCAAGACTCTGTCTCAGACAAACAAACAAACATCTGTTGGGCCAGGCATGGTAGCTCACGCCTGTAATCCCAGCACTTTGGGAGGCTGAGGCAGGTGGATCACTTGAGGTCAGGAGTTCGAGACCAGCCTGGCCAACATGGGGAAACCCTATCACTAGTAAAAATACAAAAATTAGCTGGATGTGGTGGCAGGTGCCTGTAATCCCAGCTAAAATCCCCCCAAAAATAAACAAATAGTAAAATGTGACATTTACTAGCATTACTATGTGTTGGGCACTGCTGTAAGTGTCCCCCATCAATTAATTCTTTAAATCCTCATTTCAACCCAGGAAACACGGATTCTAGCTCTTCCCATTTTATTTTATTTTTTTTTTTTTTGAGGCAAGGTCACTCTGACACCCAGGCTGGAAATGCAGTGGTGCGATCTCAGCTCACTGCAACCACCGCCCCCCAGGTTCAAGCGATTCTGCTGCCTTAGCCTCACAAGTAGCTGGGATTACAGGCATGCACTGCCACACCCGGTAATTTTTTTTTTTTTTTTTTTTTTTGAGAGAAGGTCTTAACCTGTCACCCAGGCTGGAGTGCAGTGGTGTGATCTCGGCTCACTGCAACCTCAGCCTCCCAGGTTCAAGTGATTCTGACCTGCCTCAGCCTCCCTAGTAGCTGGGATTACAGGCACCCGCCACCAAGCCTGGCTAATTTTTGTATTTTTAGTAGAGACGGGATTTCACCATGTTGGCCAGGCTGCTCTCAAACTCTTGACCTCGTGATCCATCTACCTCGGCCTCCCAAAGTGCTGGGATTACAGGTGTGAGCCACTGTGCCCGGCCCAATTTTTGTATTTTTAGTAGAGATGGGGTTTCACCATGTTGGCCAGGCTGGTCTCGAGCTCCTGACCTCAAGTTATCTGCCCACCTCCACCTCCCAGAGTGCTGGGATTACAAGCATGAGCTACCATGCCCCATCCTGCTCTCTGCATTTTACAGATGAGGAAACTGAGGCACAAGGAAGCCAAATGATGGGGTCTCTGGGTCACCTTGCTAGTAAGTGGTGAGTGGGGAATGCAGGCTGTCCTGCCCCAGAGTCTGCCCCCCTGACTTACCACCGTGGGGATTTGCCCCACAGGCCCCGCTGTGAGTTGGGGTCTCTCCCTGAGCCTATGTTGTGTGCCCCTGCAGATACTCGCAGGCAAGCCAGCTGCCCAGAAGTCACCCAGCGACCTGCTGGATGCCAGCGCAGTCTCGGCCACATCTCGCTACATCGAGGAGCAGCAGGCCACACAGCAGGTTTTGGGGCCAGCGGGGTGGATCTTGGGAGGGGAGAGCCTTGCAGACTGATCTGAGGTCTGGGGTCCCTTTTTGTTGTTGTTGTTGTTGATATGGAGTTTCGCTTTGTCGCCCAGGCTGGAGTGCAGTGGCGCGATCTCAGCTCACTGCAACCTCCGCCTCCCAGGTTCCAGTGATTCTCCTGCCTCAGCCTCCCTAGTAGCTGGGATTACAGGCGCCCACCACAATGCCTGGCCAATTTTTATATTTTTAGTAGAGATGGGGTTTCACCATGTTGGCCAGGCTGGTCTCGAACTCCTGGCCTCAAGTGATCCGCCTGTCTCGGCCTCCCAGAGTGCTGGGATTACAGTCATAAGCCATAGCGCCTGGCCTTCTGGGGTCGTTTTCAACAGCATCTCCCACCCCTTCGCTCTGCAGCTGATCATGGATGAACAGGATCAACAGCTGGAGATGGTGTCTGGGAGCATCCAGGTTCTGAAGCACATGTCCGGCCGCGTTGGAGAAGAGCTGGACGAGCAGGGCATGTGAGGCCAGGACCCTGGGGGTGGGCCAGGGGCTCTCGGCCACCCTGGTGTGTCTGGGCCATCTGGGGCTGATGCCATCCTGTTCTTGGCAGCATGCTGGATGCCTTCGCCCAAGAGATGGACCACACCCAGTCCCGCATGGACGGGGTCCTCAGGAAGTTGGCCAAAGTATCCCACATGACGAGTGGTGAGTCCCCTCAGGGGAGGGGTCAGTCCTGGTGGGGGCAGGTTGTAGGTGGTACCCTCTCCCCGTGACCCCTGACCTTCTCGTTCCCAGACCGCCGACAGTGGTGTGCCATCGCCGTGCTAGTGGGGGTGCTTCTCCTCGTTCTCATCTTACTATTCTCTCTCTGACCCCAGCCCTCCCTGGCAGGCTGGTCCCTTAAGCCTGGGGAGCCACCAAGCACTTTGGAGCTGGCCTCGCCCCCTAGGAGGAGAGGGTCCCTCCTGGGTAGCTGGAGAGTAGAGGGTCCCGCCTGGGGAGCTGTCCCCATGGCTCTCCCCTAGAGCCAGTGGGACCCTTCAGGACCCTGGGCTGGAACCACCACCACTGGTCCTGTCTCAAGTGCACTTAGGGGGTGGTGGAGGCAGGGACACCTGAGACACACCTGTCTCCATTTCCAGTTCCAGGACCCCAAAGCCATTTGCCCCTGTGCCTTATACACGTGCCAACCTGGAAATAAAATGTCAGCCTTTTTTATACGTATTTGTGTCGTGTGGTGTGTGTTGACTGCAAATGCGTGACCGAGCCCTGATTGGGACTCCCATTCTAAGCCACTGCTTGCACAAGTGCTCCAGTGTGTGTGTGCACATGTGCGTGTTCCGGATTTCTTTTTTTTTTTTTGAGACAGAGTTTCACTCTTGTCACCCAGGCTGGAGTACAGTGGTGCAATCTCTGCTCACTGCAACCTCCACCTCCTGGTTTCCAGCAATTCTGCCTCAGCCTCCCAAGTAGCTTGGATTACAGGTGTGTGTCACCACACCCAGCTAATTTTTGTATTTTTAGTACAGATGGGATTCCTCATGTTGGCCAGGTTGGTCTCAAACTCCTGACCTCAAGTGATTTGCCTGCCTCAGCCTCCCAAAGTGCTGGGATTACAGGCAGGAGCCACCGCACCCATGCGAGTCTTTTTTTTAATGGTTTAGGTTCTCTTGATCTTTTTATTTTTATTTATATTTTTTTGAGACAGAGTCTCGCTCTGTCGCCCAGGCTGGAGTGCAATGGCGTGATCTCGGCTCACTGCAACCTCTGCTTCCTGGGTTGAAGCGGTTCTCATGCCTCAGCCTCCTGAATAGCTGTGATTACAGGAATGCTCCACCACACCCAACTAATTTTTTATTTGTAGTAGAGATGTGGTTTTGCCATGTTGGCCGGGCTGGTCTTGAATTTGAACTCCTGACCTCAAATGATCCGCCTATTTCAGCCTCCCAAAGTGCTGGGATTACAGGCATGAGTCACTGTGCCTGGCCTATTTTGGGTTTGTTTGTTTGAGACAGGGTCTCTCTCACTCTGTCTCCCAGGTTGGAGTGCAGTGGCATAATGATGGCTCACTGCAGCCTGGAACTCCTGGGCTCAAGGCAGCCTTCCACCTCAGTCTCCCAAGTAGCTGGGACCACAGGCACATGCCACCTCGCCTGGCTATTTCATTTTTGTAGAGACAGGGTCTCCCTATATTGCCCAGGCTGGTCTCAAACTCCTGGGCTCCACTGATCCTCCTCTCTCAGCCTTCCAAAGTAATGGAATTACAGGTGTGAGCCATCATGACTGGCTTCTATGTTATTATTTATTTATTTTGAGATAGAGTCTTGCTCTATCACCCAGGCTGGAGTGCAGTGACGCAATCTCGTCTCACTGCAACCTCCACCTCCCGCATTCAAGTGATTTTCCTGTCTCAGCCTCCTGAGTAGCTGGGATTACAGGCACCCGCCACCACACCCAGATAATTTTTGTATTTTTAATAGAGACGTGGTTTTGCCATGTTGGCCAGGCTGGTCTTGAACTCCTGATCTCAGGTGATCCACCTGCCTCGGCCTCCCAAAATGCTGGGATTACAGGCATGAGCCACCGTGCCCAGCCCAGTTACTTTAATCTTGTGTTATCTTTGAGTCTATGGGGACCCACGGTGCATCCATGGTTTTTCCTACTTGATAGAACCATTTGTCCTTTCATATTCTTGGGACCCTCTTGTTCACCCAGATATTTCCAATATCGGTTAAATTTTGTGATCTCGTTTTTTTTTTTTTTTTTTTGAGACTAAGTTTTGCTCGTCACCTAGGCTGGAGTGCAATGGTGCGATCTTGGCTCACTGCAACCTCCGCCTTCCAGGTTCAAGCAATTCTCCTGCCTCAGCCTCCTGGGTAGCTGAGATTACAGGCGCACTCCACCACGCCCAGCTAACTTTTCTATTTTTAGTAAAGATGGGGTTTTGCCATGTTGACCAGGCTGGTCTCGAACTCCTGACCTCAGGTGATCCATCTGCCTCAGCCTCCCGAAGTGCTGGGATTACAGGCATGAGCCACTGCGCCCTGCCGATCTCTTTTATGTTCTTTTAATGCATGAATGCTCTTCTGAATGCGGCGTGGAGTGTGTGTGTATGGGATGTGTTTCTGGGGCTTGGCATATCAGCCACGGCACAGGCGGGCACCGAGTGAGCCAGTGTTGCTGTAAAATTGACAGAGCCACAGCTCCCTTTTTTTTTTTTATTGAGATGGGATCTGACTCTTGCCCATGCTGGAGTGCAGTGGTGCCATCATAGCTCACTGCAGCCTTGACCTTCCCAGTTGAAGTGATTCTCCTGCCTCAGCCTCCAGAGTAGCTGGGAGTACAGGTGCATGCCACCACACCCAGCTAATTAAAAGTATTTTTTCAGGCTGGGTGTGGTGGTGGCTCATGCCTGTAATCCCAGCACTTTGGGAGACCAGCCTGACCAACATGGAGAAACCCCATCTCTACTAAAAATATAAAATTAGCTGAACCTGGTGGTGCATGCCTGTAATCCCAGCTACACAGGAGGCTGAGGCAGGACAATCATTTGAACCTGGGAGGCGGTGGTTGCAGTGAGCCGAGATCGCGCCATGACACTACAGCCTGGCAACAAGAGCGAAACTCCGACTCAAAAAAAAAAAAGAAAAGAAAATGCTGGGCGCGGTGGCTCACACCTGTAATCCCAGCACTTGGGGAGGCCAAGGCGGGTGGATCACCTGAGGTCAGGAGTTCGAGCCCAGCCTGACCAACATGGTGAAACCCTGTCTCTACTAAAAATACAAAAATTAGCCGGGCATGGTGGTGGGTGCCTGCAATCCCCACTATTTGGGGGGGCTAAGGCAGAATGGCTTGAACCCAGGAAGCAGAGGTTGCAGTGAGCCGAGATCGCGCCACTCTAGCCTGGGCGACAGAGTGAAATTCCATCTCAAAAAAAAAAAAAGAAAAAAAAATTGTGTGTGTGTGTGTGTGTGTAGGACCAGCTCATATGTTGCGTTATCTGTATCTGTTGGGGTAACTTGCATGCGTGTTAGAATCGGAGGCTGTCAGTTTGCAGTCAGCAACCTGGGTCTGCTGGGCACAATGCAGGTGTGTGTTCCTCCCTGGGCCCCCAAGTAACGAGCATGCGGCAAGGCTGTTACAAAGGCGTTTAGTTTATTCTCATCAGTATCACTGATATTCTCATGGTTCACATTTGCCAACGCCGCTCCTCTCCTTACAGTAGTTAAATGTGCAATCTCACTTGGGGGCCCAGGGAGGGGTGGGGGCTCGGCCCAGGGTGGGGAGGGCGTTGGCACTTCACGTGGACAGGGTGGGCAGCCTGTCCTGCGTGAAAGAGGTGTGGGTTGAGTGGGCGGCCAGGGAAGGGGAGTTGGCAGGGGAGGGCCCCACAGTCTTTTTTCTCTGGTGGTTGGTGATTCTCCATTCAGATTCCTTCCTGGCTGCCCAGGGTGGGGGAACCATGCAGCTCAGGGCAGGGGAGGAAGAGAAGGAAAAAGCAGCAGGCCGCCCAGGGGTAGGGGTGGAGGGTGAATGGCAGGGCAAGGGGGGTACAGGGGTGGCTCCTGGGGTAAGGCACAACCCTGTCTTTGGCTCTCCTGGTGAGGAGTTTCCTCCCCTGCACCCCCTGCCCGACCCTTCTCCCCACCCCCCCACCCCCCGGACCCACACACAGTCCTGGGAGCCAGGGGGCACCTCCTGGGGTCCCTGAAACAAGTGGGCTCTGCCACCCAAGCCAATGCCACAGGGGCTCGAGGAGGGACACCCGAGGAAAAGGCAGAGAGGGGCAGGCAGGGGCCTACCCAGGACAAGGGGGTGGGGGTGAGAAGACCCCAGGCCCAGGAGCTGGCCCCCCCACCCCAACTAAGGCCTGGAAGTGGGGGAGCACCTTCCTTTCAGGGGTCTGGCTGGAGCCCCGGTCTGCCCCTCGGCCTCCGTCAGGCCCAGCCGCTTGCCAAGTGACCAGGGCATTGTGCTTTGGGGTAAACGCTGGGGTGGGGTGGCAGGCCAGGAGGCGGGGGGAGAGGAGGGGTGACTAAGGTGCTTGTGCTTTAGCTGGGGGTGTCAATATCCCCCACTCAGGCCGGCTGGGGGCTAAGGTTTCAGGCCCCGGCCAGGAAGACAGTGCCAAGACCCCAGCCAGACCCTGGCACTCATGACTGACCCCCGCAACAAGCAGATGTTAAGAGGGACCCCCAGTGGGCCGGCGGGGCTGCTGGTCCCATCGGGGGGATGGTCTCCAAATCAGATTACAAGGGTCCAGTAGGGGCTGGCCCCCACCCCATCTCCTAAAATCCCCCTGCCCCTGGAGAGACCCCTGGGAGCAGTGGGTAGGTGGGGGTTGGGGAGGCAGATGAGAGGCAGGGAGGACGAGGGCCAGAAACACAAACAAGGATGTGGATGTGGATGGTGAAATGACACCCTGCATAGGGGGATGGGGAGTTAAAAAAGAAAAAAAACTGCCTTCACATGAAAATCTAAAACAACAACAAAAAACCACCCACTCTGGGCGAGAACAAAAAGAGAGGAATGGTAAAAGAGAAAATTCTGCAAACAACTGCTAACAATGGAAGTGGACCCGGCCCTGCCCTGCCCTGCCCAGCCCCCAGGAGCTGGGCCCAGCCAACCAGCCAAGGCCTGGGACACCCTTAAACTATAGCCCTGTTGGGGAAGGTGAACAGGGGAGGGGGACCCACAGGACCCACAGGAGCCTAGGCAGCAGCTGGGACTGGAGTCCTACCATGGAAACACACACACACACTCCACACATACACACCCACACACACACATTCAGCCTGCCCCCCAGCCCCCCAACACCGCCCTGCCTTCCAAGGCCCCCCACCCCTGGGGACCGAGGGGGACAATAGACACAGCCCCATTGGTTTGAAAAATAAAAGGAATCTTATACTTCAATATTTCATTCGCTAAAAAAAGGTTTTAAAAATTATGTACAGGGGGGTGGGGGCCAGGAGCCCTGCTGTGGGGTGGGGTGGGTGTGGGGAGATGGAGGGAGGGGCAACAGCCCCCCAGTCTGCTCCCCTGGGTTCCAACCCAGGTCCTACTGCCTCTTGTATCTTCATTTGTTTGAAAGCAAAACTTCTGCACACACACACGCACACACTCTGCCAGCCCTGGAAACCTCTCATTCTATCCTCCGAGACCCTCGGTCTGCCCCCAGGAGACCCCCCCTCCTTTAGGACCTGCCTCTCTGAGGCCCCAGAGGACCAAAGGGAGCAACAGAGGCGGAAGAGGAGAAAGGGCACCAGGCACGCCACTGCCGGCCACCTGAGGTCGGTTGTGCAATTTCTCGGAGCCTGTTTCCCCAGCTATAAAATGGGTAGTCCCCACGGCCTCGCCTACCCCAGCCCCCAGGCGCAGGGATAGACGAGGGTGACAGGAAGGCGCTTTTGGAGACGTGGAAGCACTGGGAGGTGGTGGGAGGGGTCCTGAGAACCCCTGGGGCCCCCCTCAAGTCCCAAGGGGCTGCAGTGAGGGGCGGAGGCTGAAGGCTTCCGCGAGGTGGCCTAGGGCCTGGGGAGGGGCCTTCCCAAGACCCCCAGGCCAGCCCCCTCCCCTGGTGGGCCTGGTGAGTGTGGAGATGACGGCTAGGGGTTAGGTTGGGGAGCCAGAACTCCCCCACTGCACGAGTGTGTGTTAAAGAAGGCAACACGGACCTCACGCCACCTGCCCTGCGGTCCTCTCCCGGCCCAGCTCTCGGTGGGGAAAGGGGGTAGGACAGGAGGGGCAGAGGGCCGGGAACATGCAGCACCCACCGCGGGTCCTGGGGAGGGACAGACAGTAGCTCATGACCAAGATGGCAGGTGTGTGTGTGTGTTGGGAGGGGAAGTGTGTGGCCCCGCGGGAGGCTGGGCGGGTTACTGCAGGGCTTCAGCCGAGGGACCCGCCTCGCCCTCGTGGCTGGCGGTCTCGAAGCCATGCTCCACACCCATCATGTCCGGCTCGATCTTGCCCGTTTCACTGATGAAGGTGGTGTAGGCGTCATCCTCAGCCTTGAGCACCTTGACCTTGGGCATCCAGCTCTTGCGCACGACGCGGCGGGCGTTGGTGCACATGTCGGCCGCGATGGCATTCATCTCGCTCTCCTTGAAGTTGGGGGCGAAGTTCTGGCAGTAGTCTGTGGGGCAGGGTGGGTGCGGCCTTGGCACGGGGGCCAGGTGACTCCCACAAGGCCTACTCACCAGCTCCCCTACAGCATCTGCGACTCCCTCTCAAAGGGGAAACGAGTGAGGCCACGCGGCCAGGACACCACACTACGTGCACCCAACCCTACACCGGACTGAGTTCAGCCATGTGTGGGGATGTGTTGGTTTTGATGGGATGGCCCCGTGTTCTTGAAAAATTCGGATCATTTGCCAGAATTTAGTAACGGGGAGTGGTCACTTGAAAATCTAGATGCCCCCCATGACGAGTGGCTAGCACTGTCTGGCTGCCTCATCCCTCCCAGACTGCCCTGAGTTCGAGACCCTCCTGCCTGACACAGGCTCCCTGGCTTCCCTTCGGCACGTGCATCCCCCAAACACGAAGAAATCTCTAAGCAATCACAGCCGGTTTCCCAGCAAGGCTAGAATGAGCCCCAGAATGCTTCTCAACACTGAACTCTAGCCCTCTCTGAGAGCCAAGGCTGGGAAAAAACGTCAACCTGCGTGCCCCGGGCCCACGCCTCGTCCAGCTGGGCCAACACTCACACTTGACAGCGTGGAGCACGCGGCTGTCCAGGGGCTTCCGACGGGGATCGTTGGTAGAAGAGCGGATGCCGGTGCCGCAGCTGTTGGCCAGCGTGTTCCTGGGGGCAGGGGACATGGAGGGAGTCAGCGCTCAAGTTGGTGGTGGGGGGGACATGGGGAAACCCCACCCCCCTCCCTGGGGCTCTGGCAAGGGCCTTACCGGTCAAAGAAGGAGGCCAGGAGCCGCCGCAGTAGGACCTTGTGCCGCGTGCCTGCGCTGACGTGGCAGTTCATCAGCTGCGCCCTTGTGATGTACACGTTGGTGCCTGGTGAGAGGAAGCCGGAGGATGGCCTGGGGTGCCCCCAAACCGCCACAGCCCCCATGATACCAGGCCTCATCTCAGAACACCCCAGGCCCTCCCTGCTGGGCTCTGGGTCCCAAGAAAACTCACCCAGGGACCTTCTCCCCTACATCTCTACCCACCAAGGGCAGTCAGGGGAGGCTCCTTGGGGCTCCCCCAACCTCATCAGTGCTCAGGAAAGGACAGAAAGGGTTGCTTCACCATCCTCGGGGTGCCTGCTGTGTGGCCAGTCGTGCCGCAAGCCTGTGTGAGGTGGGCACGCTGGCTGTCACCAGCTAGAGATGAGCCCAAGCTCAGCAGGACCAACAGGGAGTGGAGGCTCACACCTAGGCACTCTGACCCAAGGACCAAACACAGTCTTCTTCTTCTTTTTTTAAGAGATGAAGTCTCACTCTGTCACCCAGGCTGGAGTGCAGTGGCCACCACAGCTCACTGCAGCCTTGACCTCCTGGGCTCAAGGGATCCTCCCACCTCAGCCTCCTGAGTAGCTAGGACTACAGGCATTCGCCCCTGTGACTGTCCAAATTCCTAACCTAGGTAGTAGCTGGCCTTCACAGGAGCCCGGGAAGTAGCTAATCTACCCATGCGGCCAAACAATAATAGCCAATGCTCGCCCCGACCCCTTAAGCCAGAAACCTAGAGGCCAGGCCTTGCTGTATCAGCTCCTCCATCTCACCAACGCCCCCACCCTTAGGGTGGCTGTTACCAACACTACAGCACAGATAGGGAAACTGAGGTGCTGGGGGCTCCTAACCAGCTGCCCAGCCCAGCCCAGGCCAGCCGGCTCCAAAGCTGCGGAGGGGAGAGATCTGGGGCGAGACCGGCCCACCTGTCACCAGCTCCAGCTTCTCAGAGGGGTCGCCCTCGTCGTAGAGCTTGGGGTGGCAGCGGTTCCCAATCTGGTTGATAAGTTCAGCCGGGAGAGACGCCAGGTCTTGCCGAACCCGGATGCGATTTCGGGACTCGGGGGCTACCTGCTCCGGGAGGGCCTCCACCTTCTCGGCTGCAGGGAGAGAGTGGCACGCGAGTGGCAGGAGGAGCAGGGGTGGCTGGTGGGATGGGGGACAGGACGGCACCTCACCTGTCTGGCCGACGTTCATCATGCTGTACATGGTGTACATGTTGCAGATCTGCCGGTACTGCTCATCCATGCCCTCCTCGCCACCATCCTCCTCCTCGTCCTCCTCATTGTGGTAGGAGCCAGGGCTGTCGCTGGTGTAGGCGCTTGAGGTGCCTGGGCTGGTCCGCTCCGACGTGCTGGGCCCACTCACCACACCCCCTGCTGCTGCCACCCCACCGGCTGGCTGCCCTGCTCCCGCAGCCACGGCGGGCTGGGCTGCTGCCACCACCGGAGCCTGTTGGGGTGGCGGGGGCTGGTGAGGCCGGTTGGCAGCCAGGTCCGGCGTGGAGAACTTGGCCATCTTGCGGCTGCCATTGCCGCCGCCCCCAGCCTCCTTCTGGCCACTGTCCCACAGCCGCTTGGCCACGGGCATGCACTGCACGGAGTCCGACTCCTGCTGCTCCGTCTTCACCCGCGACACGAGGGGCAGCGGGGTGCTACAGGCTGGCCAGCCCGATGTCTGCGCCACGGGGCTCTGGGGCTCCGACGATGGGGCCTCCTCCGCATGCAGGCCCTGGGAGTCGCAGCTCGGGGAGCTCACCTTGAGGAAGAACTCGGTGCCCTTCTCCATGATCTCCTGGATCTGCAGGAAGCCAGCCGTGTACATGAGCAGGAACTGGTCGCCCACGTTCATGCTCAGCCGGCCCGTGTAGCAGAAGCTGAGGATCTGCTGGAAAGACTGGGGCTGCACAGCCGCCGGCAGCTCCACCACGGCGCTGCGGCTGTTGTTGAACAGGTCCCGGAAGTAGGAGCTGCTGGCAGCAAGCACGGCCCGGTGGGCCTTGAAGGCATGGCCCTTGACCACCACTGACACGTCACAGTACAGGCCCTGCAGCCGCTGTTCATTGAGGCACTCCAGGATGCTGTTGCCGAAGTTCGGGATCTCCATCTGCAGTGTCTGGGCCATGGCAGCGGCTGCACGAGGGGCAGGGAGGAATGGAGAGACAGAGACGGAGGGACGGGGTCAGGCGGCAAATGTGGGTGCTGGCCTAGCCCTGGCCCCAAAGACCTCCCCTGCTGGAGGGACATCCGCACGATGGAATCTACCATGGTGCTAAACCACACAGAGCCCTCTACCCTATCTGTCCTGGTACAGACTCACTTTTACAATATGTGGTCAAATCTGCTAAGCTAGCTGCAGACCAGGGTGGCCACACGCTATCCCTTGCAAAGAGGAGGGGGCAAAGGCATACTTATTCATATGTACTTGAAGAGTAACTGAATATGCTTAAGTGCTCGGAAGAGTGGCTAGGACACAGTGTGCTACCTCTGAGTGCCAGCTATTGCAAGCACCAGGTACATATATGGTATCTCTTCAGGGTACTGGCATGGAAATGCCAGAAAGGCAGGGTCATCTGACTGTGCAGCAGAGTCTGCAGTGCTGGGCACATGCCCTTCAATCACTGTTTGTATAATGACTAAATGACCACTCAAGAAATTACATGAGGTCAGGCGCAGTGGCTCACTCATGTAATCTCAGCACTTTGGGAGGCTGAGGCAGGCGGATCACTTGAGGCCAGGAGTTCGAGACCAGCTTGGCCAACGTGGCAAAACCCTGTCTACCAAAAATACAAAAATTAGCCAGGTAAGGTGGTGTGGGTATGTAGTCCCAGCTACTAGGGAGGCTGAAGCCAGATAATTACTTGAACCCAGGAGACAGAGGTTGCAGTGAGCCGAGATTGTGGCACTGCACTTCAGCCTGGGGCATAGAGTAAGACTGTCTCAAAAAAAAAAAAGGAAAAAGAAATTGCATGAGGCTGGGTGCAGTGGCTCATGCCTGTAATCCCAGCACTTTGGGAGGGCAAGGCGTGTGGATCACTTGAGCCTAGGAGATTGAGACCAGCCTGGGCAGCATGGTGAAACCCTGCCTCTTACGAAAAATACAAAAATTACCCCGGCATGGTGGAGCACACCTGTGGTCCCAGCTACTAGGGAGGGTGTGGTGGGGGGTGGATCTGTTGTTGAGCCCAGGTCAAGGCTGCAGTGAGCTGTGATTGCGCCACTATACTCCAGCCTGGGATACAGACAGAGACACTGTCTCAAAAATAAATAAATAAATAAATAACTTACATGAAAACATCTCTAGTCATCAGGGAAATTAGAAGAAAACATCATCAGGGAAATGCAAATCCTAACCACAATGAGACACCATCTCACACCCACTAGGATGGCTGGAATCAAAAAAGTTGGTGAGGATGAGAAATCCAGAACCCATTTCCACTGCTTGTGGGAATGTCAAATGGCACAGCCACCATGGAGAACAGTCTGACGGTTCCTCAAACGGTTAAAGAGAGTTACCATATGACCCAGCGATTCCACTCCTGGAATTTATGCCCAGGAAAAACGAAAACATTTGCCTGCATTGAAAACCTGTAAACAAACGTTCACAGCAGCATTATTCACAATAGCCCAAAGGTGGAAACAATCCAAACGTCCATCTGCGGATGGATGGGCCAACTAAACATGGTCAGTCCATACAATGGGATATTATTCAGCTATAAAAAGAAAGGAAATTCTGACACATGCTACAACATGGATGTCCCTGGAAAAGATTATTCCAACAGAAAGAGGCCAAACAAAAGGACCACAGATTGTATGATCCATTTATAGGAAATGTCCAGGACAGGCAAATCCACGCAGACAGGAGGCAGATTAGTGGTTGCCAGGGGCTGGGAGGCGGGGAGAATGGGGGTGTGGTGAGGGAAAGCAAAGGGAAGGCAAAGGTGTGTGGGGTTTATTCTTTTTTCTTTTTTTTTTTTGAGATGGAGTCTCACTCTGTCGCCCAGGCTGGAGTGCTGGGATTCCAGGTGTGAGCTATCACGCCCGGCCTCCTCTGTAATTCTATAGGGTCTCTAGAGGGCAGTGGTCCTAACTGGGCAGAGTGCGAGTGAGAAGGCTTCCCTGAGTAAGGCAGATCTTTCCAGACACTCCAGCTGGCCAGCAGGAGAAAGTAACAAGTACATGCAAAGGCCCTGGTGCAGGAATGCACACCTTCCCTCCCTTCCAGTTAGCTCTCAAGCACCTTCCATGTTTCATTAGCAACTCCACTCAGATCTGCCTCCCTGGGCTGGGCACTGAGAATACAGTGGCCACTCTCCTCCTAATCTGGTAACACCCGTTCCGTCTGAAAGGGCTGCTGTGAGGAATAGAAACGGCAAGTGTTCAAAGGCTCAGAGGTACAACCTAAGGTTGAGTCCTGGCTCCAGCACCGACCTGCTCCTCTGACCAGGAGCTCCAAATCTCTGCTTTCTCCATTTGGAAATCGAGGCTGAGGAGGTCAACCTGATTCTACAAACTCAACCTACACTTATTGTTACTGAATGATCATTCAAGAAATTACACGGAAACATTACTAGTCATCAGGGAAATGTGAATCCTAACCACAGTGAGATACCATCTCACTTACTGAGCTGCTACCCTGGCAGGCCACAAGCAAGACACAGGCCCTGCCCCTTACAACACCCAGGCGAATGGAGGAACCAACTCACAACTTCTATGAGCTCCCCGAATCCTCTTAGCAAGACTTCAGGGCTGGTTTCATACTCCCCTTGCAAAGCTGGAAAAACTGAGGTCATGTGGAAATTGAGGACTGTCCTGAGGTCATCTAAAAATTCATTCACCAGGTTCAAAATTCAAAAGATATGTCCTGAAGGGCGGGATGACTCAAGCCTGTAATCCCAGCACTTTTTTTTTTTTTTTTTTTTTTAAGACAGAGTCTTGCTCTGTTACCCAGGCTGGAGTGCAGTGGTGCCATCTCGGCTCACTGCAACCTCCGCCTCCCAGGGTCAAGTGATTCTCAGCCTCCTGAGTAGCTGGGCCTACAGGCGTGTGCCACCATGTCCGGCTAATTTTTGTACTTGTAGTAGAGATGCGGTTTCACCACATAGGCCAGGCTGGTCTTGAACTACTGACCTCAAATGATCCACCTGCCTTGGCCTCCCAAAGTGTAGGATTACAGGCATGAGCCACCACACCTGGCCAATCCCAGCACTTTGGGAGGCCGAGTCAGGTGGATCACCTGAGGTCGGGAGTTCGAGACCAGCCTGGCAAACACGGTGAAACTCCATCTTTATTAAAAATACAAAAATTAGCTGGGTGTGGTGGCCGGTGCCTGTAATCCCAGCTACTCGGGAGGCTGAGGCAGGAGAATCACTTGAACCCGGGAGGGTGGAGGTTGCAGTGAGTCAAGATTGTGCCATTGCACTCTAGCCTGGGCAACAGAGTGAGACTATGTCTCAAAACAAAAACAAACAAAAAAACCCAAGATATGTCCTGAGCTATCTGCTGCCCCTACCACTTACATGCAAAAAGTGGTAAGGCCAAGATTCAAACCAGGGTCTGCCTAGGCACCACAGCCTGTGACTTCCCTTGCTTGTATCTTCCTTCCTCTTCCCCTCCTCAAAATCACTGCCACCATCCTACGAAAACACAAACAAAACAAAACAAAACCCCAAAACCTCCTTAGGGCAATCAGAGGGTGGAGGCTGGATCTAGGAATCCCAGTTACAAGGCAACAAAAATCTCCGCCCAGGAGCTCAAACTCAGAGCTGAATGGGCCAGGAGCTGGCCACTCTGCATGAAGAGGCAGGAGAAACAGGCACCATGTTGGGGGGCAAAGGACAGAGCCCAGAGAGCCTACTTCAGGGGTCCTGGCAGCCCTGAACCACCTCCCTGGGCAGCCAAATTAAAGCCACCCCTGGTACTGGGGCCCACATGACAAGGACCAAGATGGTCAAGGGAAGAGGCTGGCATCCCAGTTCCTAGAGGGGTGCTCCAAGCTCATTCCCCAGGGAGGAGGACAAAGCCAGGACAGGTGTGCAGTGCTGCCAAAATCCTGCACCTGCCTGTGCCTCAGTTTATTCATCTGTAAAATGGGCTGTTCATCCAACCCATCCTGATGAACTGCATCCTCCTTTGTGGGAGGTGCTGGGGACACAGCCCTAAAAGGACCAGCTGTGCTTATGTGGAGCTGTCTAGTGAGGAGACACCGGGGATGATTTAATTACAGTTGGGGTGGGTATGTCAACCAAGCAGATGGCCTTGGTGGTAGGGACCATAAAAGGTTGAGCAACTGCCAGGACAGAGATAACACTTCTGGGCGGGAAGGTATCAGGTGTGGTCCAGGGACCCAAAGAAAGCTGGTGTAGCTGAAGGGCGATGTAGCAGGGACAGGGCTGCCAGGAAGGGTATGGGACAGGTGGGGTCCTGGCCTACAGAGTGTGGACATCTTTGAAAGTGAGCCCCAGGGTCAGGGCAGCATTTTAAGAGTTATATGTACAGGCCAGGCGCGGTGGCTCACGCCTGTAATCCCAGCACATTGGGAGGCTGAGGCGGGCAGATCACCTGAGGTCAGGAGGTCAAGACCAGCTTGGCCAACATGGTGAAACCCCGTCTCTACTAAAAATACAAAAATTAGCCGGGTGTGGTGGTGCACATCTGTAGTTCCAGCTACTCAGGAGGCTGAGGCACGAGAATCACTTGAACTTGGGAGGTGGAGGTTGCAGTGAGCTGAGATCGAGTCACTACACTCCAGCCTGGGCAACAGAGTGATACTCCATCTCAAAAAAAAAAAAAAAAAAGAAAAGAAAAAAGAGGTGTATGTACAGTTAACCCCTCCAAGGGCACTGTCAGCTCAATGAAGGCAAACATTCTGGCTGGTTTTATTCAAGATTAGTTCTTTAGAATGAAATAGATGCTCAGTAAATATTTGTAAATGTGTTAAAGAACAGTGCAGAGAGGCTGGGCACGGTGGCTCACGCCTGTAATCACAGCACTCTGAGAGGCAGAAGCAGGAGGAGCCCCTGAAGCCAGGGGTTCAAGACCAGTCTGGGCAACATAGTGAGACCCCTATCTCTACAAAAAATTTTAAAATTAGTGGGGCTTGGTGGCTTGCACCTGTAGTCCCAGCTACTTGGGAGGCTCAGGTGGGAGGATCACTTGAGCCAAAAAGTTAGAGGCTGCAGTGAGTGATGATTGTGCCACTATATTTCAGCCTGGGTCATAGAGCGAGACCCTGTCTCTAAAACAAAAAAAGCAAAAACAAAAAACCACATCCCCCGACCCCACTACCCCACCAAAACCAACCAACCAACCAGCCAACCAAACAAACAAACAAAACAGTGCAGAACGGGCACAGGACTGCTTCAAGGTGACCTTACCAAGCACCCAGCACCGGCCACAGGTAATTTTTTTTTTTTTAAAGACAGGGTCTCACTATGTTGTCCAGGCTGGTCTTGAACCCCCCCATTTGGCAATGGAGACTGAAAGGTTACGGGGATAATAGGAGGCAACAGAGATGTGGGGGTTGGGAAGGTGGCCCAGGTCCCCTCCTGAGAATGAGAGCCAACCTGATGCTCAGACTGAGGTCCCCCATACCTTGTGAACCTCAGCTTCAGAGCCCAGCACCACAGCACCCAGGGCTTTGGAGCCTTTGATTAGCAATTGGTCCAAATAGCTCAGCCAATTAGCGCACGGGAGCTCTCCCTCCCTCCATGCTGCTGGGGACGAGCGGAGTGGGGCGACGGGTCTGTGAGCCACAGTGACCTGAATGCTGTTCGTCTAGTTCCCCAGTGGCCCCCGCACAGAGTGGACAGGGGTGAGCTGCAGTGTGGGCCAGAGCAGACCCATCTCTGGGAACCCCTCCATCCCTCTGTGATTGGCCCAATCCGGCCCAATCCTGCCCAATGGACTCAGGAGAAAAACTATGTGGGCCCCTGCAAGAAGCCCTCACCCACGCTAGCCCCAGGAAGGGAGCTAGCATGACTGGACTCAGAGGAAACGGGTCTCTCGCTGGCAGGTCCCTAGCAGGGTCACCTGCTGGCTGAAGCAGGGGTGGGATGGAGTCGAGGATTGAGGTCTCTAAACCACCTAATGGTTCTAGTCCCCACCAAATCCCCACCTAAGTCAGGCTCAAACACACTGCCTGGTCCTCCTCTACTGCAGCGAGGCCTTTGCCCAAGCTGTGCACCCTGCCTGGAATACCCTCTTCCTCCACCCTCAGCTACTCACTTCTCCAGGCTAGAGAAGATGTCCCTCTCCTGCCCCACCCCGGCCACAGTGCCCTTAAGCTTACCTCTGAGGAAACTAAGTCCCACTTGACTATAAACTCCCCAAGGGCAGAAAACCATATGAGAATCATCTCTCCTTAAAATTCAGCATATCAGCACCCCTGAGGGTGTGGGGGACAAGGGCAGGAGGCCACAGGGCAGCTGGGACCTTCCTGGCCAGGACAGTGCCTAGTCCTGGCCCTGGGCCTGAGCAGATCTTCTGGTGAGACCCAAGGGCACAGCACACGGTTTCCATGACTTCCCAACAACTACTCAATAAATATTTGCCAGGTCCCTGCCTGGGCAGGCCACAATGGTGACAAAGTAGCCCTGCCTCTGGAGCTCACAGTCCAGCAGGAGACAGGGCCATTCATCCTTGGTCACACAGATCAATGTGCTACACACTGGGGTGCCTGACCTTGCCCAGAAGGGGTGACACTGGAGCTGAGATCTAGGAAGGGCAGTAGTGGATGGGGAGTGTGGCCCTTCCAGAAAGGGTTTTCACCTCCAGGGGACTGGGCTCAGTCTCAGGGCTCTGCTATGGACAAAGTATGTCCCTCCAAATTCACAGATTGAAACTCTGAGCCCCAATGTGCCTGTATCTGGAGATAAAACCTTTGGGAGCTAATTAAGGTTAATTGAGGTCATAACGGTGGTATTAAGAAGGCAGCTGTCTGCAAGCCATGAAGAGAGCCCTCACCAGAACCTGACCACGCTGGCACTCTCATCTAGACTGCCAGCCCCCAGCACTCTGAAATATAAATGTCTGTTGTTTAAGCCACCCAGTCTGTGATATTTTGTTGTGTGGCAGCTTGAGCTGACTAAGACAGGCCTGAAGCACCATCTATTCACTGATGCCTCCCCCACTGGAGTCTTTGGCCCGGACTTCCCTGTGAATGCCAGACTCGCACACACCCCAGACACCTCCACTCAACAATTTCAGGACCTGGCTCCAGTCCTTCCCAAAACCTGTGAATGCCGTAGCTTCACCAGCTCTGGCCCTCCTCATTCAGATCCTTGGATTCATCTTCAACTCCTTCAAAACCACTTTGTACTACCTTGGCCCCAAGTGACACTGCCTGGGCCCCTACAATGCTTTATTGGGGCCCCTGGCAGTCTGGCCCTGCTTGCTCTCGGACCTACTAGAATGGGAATGGGACAGCCATAGCTCTTCATACTCTCCCTGGTCACATAAAGCCCTTTCTCTACTCTTTTGCTTTTGGAGACAGGGCCTTGCTCTGTCACCCAGGCTGGAGTACAGTGGCACCATCATAGCTCACTTCAGCCTCAAACTCCTGGGCTCAAGCAATCCTCCCACCTCAGCTTCCCAAATAGCTGGGACCACAGGAGCTACATCCAGCTAATTTTTTTTTTTCTTTTTTTTTTTGAGGCAGAGTCTCGCTCTGTCGCCCAGGCTGGAGTGCAGTGGTGGGATCTCGGCTCACTGCAAGAATCGTTCAAGCGATTCTCCTGTCTCAGCCTCCTGAGTAGCTGGGATTAAAGGTAACCACCACCATGCCTGGCTAATTTTTCTATTTTTAGTAGAGATGGGGTTTCACCATGTTGGCCAGGCTGGTCTTGAACTCCTGACCTCAAGTGATCCGCCCACCTCCCAAAGTGCTGGGATTACAGGCGTGAGCCACGGCACCCGGCCCATCCAGTTAACCGAAAAAAAAAAAAAAAAAAAAAAAAAAAAAGTATATGTATATGTATGCTTTTTTTTTTTTTTTTTTTTGGTAGAGACGTGATCTCACTATATTGCCTGGGCTGGTCTCCAACTCCCAGCTGAGTGTTCCTCCTGCCACAGCCTCACAAAACCCTGCGATTATAGGCATGAGCCACTGCGTCTGACCAACAAAGCCCTTCCCGACACTAACTCCCTGGCTTGATTCTCCCTGCTTGACTTATCCTTCTTGGGAGTTCCTATGATTTATTTAGCAAGCTGGCCATTTTTCTTTTTCTAAAAAAAAATTATTTATTTGTGCATTTTTTAGTAATAGAGACGAGGTCTCCCTAATGTTGCCCAGGCTGGTCTCAAACTCCTGGGCTCAAGTGGTCCTCCTGCCTTGGCCTCCCAAAGTGCTCGGACTACAGGTGCGAGCCACCACCCCTGCCAAACTGGGCATTTTTTGGGGCTTCATGTCAGTTTCCCTGGGGCAGGGAGTTTGCCTGTGTAGATCCCTGTTGTGTCCTCTACCCCTAGGACCTGGCCAGGTACACAGTGGGTGCTCACAGTCCTTCGTGGAAAAAATGAACAAAGAATTACTTCCATTCCTCCTAACCTAACTCCCTGTTTTGTTCCACATTAACGTGGCTCAAACAGGAATAGGGCTCAGAAGCATTATCTGTGGCTGGGCAGACAGACGACCTCCTTTGACAGCTGCCAAGGTGGGTAGCCAGCAGTCAGGGGCCTATTGAGACCGCAGTGTTACCTGACGAATTGCTCACACTGCCGGTGGATCCTGCCATCTGCAGGAAGGGGGCTGGCAGGATGATTCCTGGGAGTAGTAACTGTCAGCTCTTAGGGAAGAGAGCTGAGGAATTCCCCAGCCAGCATGGGCCTGTGAGAGACTGTCAAAGGCACAGTCCTTTCCTGATGTCTTTCCAGGGAAGCTGTGACATGGCCGTCGACAGATGCTATGGTCTGAATGTTTGCCTCTTCCCAAAATTCACATGCTAAAGCCTATCTCCAATGTAGTGGTATTAAGAAGTGGGGCTGGCTGGGCACGGTGACTCACGCCTGTAACCCCAGCACTTTGGGAGGCTGAGGAGGGCGGATCACGAGGTCACGAGGTCAGGAGATAGAGACCATCCTGGCTAACATGGTGAAACCCCATCTCTACTAAAAATACAAAAAATTAGCCAGGCACAGTGGTACGTGCCTGTAATCCCAGCTACTCGGGAGGCTGAGGCAGGAGAATCGCTTGAACTCAGGAGGCGAAGGTTGCGGTGAGCCGAGATCGGGCCAATGCACTCCAGCCTGGTGACAGAGCAAGACTCCGTCTAAAAAAAAAAAAAAAGTTAGGCCTTTCAGCCAGGTATGGTGGTTCACGCCTGTAATCTCAGCACTTTGGGAGGCCGAGGTGGGCGGATCACCTGAGGTCAGGAGTTGGAGACTAGCCTGGCCAATATGGTGAAACCCCATCTCTACTAAAAATACAAAAATTAGCTGGGCGCAGTGGTGCACGCCTGTAATCCCAGCTATTAGGTAGGCTGAGGCAGAATTGCTTGAACCTAGGAGGTGGAAGTTGCAGCGAGCCAAGATCACGCCACTGCACTCTAGGCTGGGCAACAGAGCAAGACTCCATCTCAAAATAAAAAAGAAGTTGTTGATCAAAAATTTAAAAAGGGCTGGGTGCAGTGGCTCACGCCTGTAATCCCAGCACTTTGGGAGGCAGAGACAGGCGGATTACCTGAGATCAGGAGTTCGAGATCAGCCTGGGCAACACAGTGAAACCCCGTCTCTACTAAAAATACAAAATTAGCCTGGCATGCTGACACATGCCTGTAATCCCAGCTACTTGGGAGGCTGAGGCAGGAGAATCGCTTGAACCTGGGAGGCGGAGGATGCGGTGAGTCAAGATCGCACCACTGCACTCCAGCCTGGGCAACAAGAGTAAATCTCCGTCTCACCAAAAAAAAAAAAAAAAAAAAAAGTGGGGCCTTCGGGAGTTGATTCAGTCAGGAGGGCTCTGTCCTCATGAATACGAACTGTGCCCGTATAAAAGAGGGGGAGCTTGTTTGTCCTTGCCACCCTGTGCAGATACCTAAAAGGTGCTATCTATGAGAGATGGGCCCTCACTAGACACGGAATCTGCTAGCACCGTGATATGGGACTTCCCACCCTCTACAACTATGAGCAGCTCATCTCTGTTGTTTATCAATGGCCCAGTCTGTTTTGTTTTTTTGAGACAGGGTCTTGCTCTGTCACCCAGGCTGAAGCGTAGTGGTGCAATCTTGGATCACTATAGCGTCAAACTCCTGGGCTCAAGTTATCCTCTCACCTCAGCCTCCTGAGTAGCTGGGACTAGGGATGTGTGCCACCACGCCCGGCTAATTAAAACAATTTTTTGCAAAGACGAGAGACATATGTTCTCAGGACCTCCTGAGGGCTGTGTCACGGGTGAAAAACAAATTAAAATTAAATTTTTTTGTAAAGATGAGGTCTCACTATGTTGCCCAGGCTGGTCTCGAACTCCTGGGCTCAAGCAATCCTCCCATCTCAGCCTCCTAAATGCTGAGGTTAGAGGCATGAGCAATGTGCCTGGCTTCCAGTCTAAGGTATTTTATTACAGCAGCCCAGATGGGCTAAGACCTACAAGCCAGTTAAGGGAGACCAGCAACTCCAAGTGTAACAAGGAACAAAGGCCCCAGAGAGCCCCACAGTCCTTCATGCAGCTCAGCAGGATGTGGCTGGATCCTGGCAGCTACTCAGGTTGCCTGCCTGACCCAGAACCAGAAAGACCCCTCTGTAGGGGCTGAATGTGAAGGCAGTCCAGGAAAACAGTTAGTGAAGAACAAACTGTTCAGTGGGGGGCGGTGACTCCTACCTGTAATCCCAGAACTTCGGGAGGCTGAGGCAGGAAGACGCTTGAAGCCAGGAGTTTGAGACCAGCCTGGGCAATACAGCAAGACCTCATCTTGCATCAGTATTTTTTTTTCTTTTTTGTTGAGACAGTCTTCCTCTGTCGCCCAGGCTGGAGTACAGTGGCGTGATTTCGGCTAACTGCAACCTCCGCCTCCTGGGTTCAAGCAATTCTCGTGCCTCCGCCTCCTGAGTAGCTAGGATTACAGGCACACACCACCATGCCTGGCTAATTTTTGTATTTTTAGTAGAGACTGGGTTTCTCCATGTTGGCCAGGCTGGTCTCAAAACTCCTGGCCTCAAGTGATCCGCCCACCTCAGCCTCCCAAAGAGCTGGGATTACAGGCGTGAGCCACTGCACCTGGCCTGTATTTTTTTTCTTATACACCCACAGATTTAATTCGTTATCTCTTTCCCTGAATGACTATTGTTAAATCCATGGTGGAATAGGATTAGTAACAGTGTCCCCTACTCAAGCCTCACTGACTGGGCCCATACCTGGCCAGGGCTCAGACAGGCTCATTTAACTTACTCTTCTTTACAGTTTCTGAGGAAGAAATGAGCCTGCCTGCCATTTCATGGATGGGAATGAGGCCCAGAGAGGTGAAGCCAGAGGTGGGGAACATGTAGCTGGTGAATGGCAGGCACAGGTTTATACCCAGGCCGTCTGGCTCCCGAATCAGGCAAAAATGTGAGGCAGCTGTGACTAGACCCATTTCACAGGTGGGAAAACTGGTGTTCAGAGAAGCAAGGCAGAGACCAGACGGGAACCCCGGACCGGCCGAGCCCAGAGCTGGGGCTCTTTACCTGAGCTACTGGATGTGTCCTCTCCAGAAACAGGGTCTTCTGCCTGTCTGAGGACCTCCACCTCAGGGTCTGGGGTGCCCTCTCTCTAATCCCCAAGGAAGGCCTTCTTCATTCTTTTCATTCTTCCTTTCCCAATCCTCCCAACTGCAGCTATTCTCTAGCCCCTTCTCCCTGCAACCACCATCTCCGGGAATGAGCAGTCTCCGCGTGCTGCCTCTCCCTCCTCCCACTCGCTCCTCCTCGCAGCCCTCGGCAATCTGGCCTCCCTTTGCAGGCAGCAGCTCCAGCTCCTTGGAGAGCCTGGCAGAAGCTCTGCCTCCGTCCTCATGGAGCTCGCAGCCTGCCCGCTCCCTCCCCACCAACTCCAACCATAAGCCCACCCTTCGGAGTTACATCCCACTCCCTGCGTGTAATCAGATCATACCCAAAAGACAGGGCAGCAGTGGCGGCAACCAAGGGTGGAGGGAACAACAGTAAGTGCAAAGGCCCTGAGGTGACCCTGGTGCCGCTAACACAAAGGAGGGTGGAGGGATGGGGATCATCCTGGGAGAGGGGCCTGCTGGGCTGTGCTAGGGAACCACGCAGGACCTAAGATTTTGAATCCTACTATTGTACTAGGCTCAAATCCCTTATAGAGCTTGTCACTCAGAATTACCCTCAATACTGCTCACCCCCCATATCAGTCTCCCATCTAGAAAATGGGCTGACAGCAGCAGCCACCTCACAAGGCTATTTCAAGGATTAAACAACCAAAGAACACAGGCCGATCGGCGCTCGCCCCGTAGTCGGTGCTCATGAATGCCAGCTGCTGTTAGTCGTATCCCCTGGCCCCGTGCTGGGCCGCAAACTCCCTGGGAGTAGAAGACATCTTATGCCTCTCACCATCTCCCAGACCTCGCACATTTCATGGGATTAACAGGCAGTGATCGCTGGGGTTTTCCCCAGAGCCTTCACAGCACTGTCCACTCACACCCCAGACGCCAACCTCTCCCGCAAACCTCATGATAACCAGACAGTGGAGATTCCCCACCCAGCCACTGCATTTGCGTCAATCATTCTTTGTGGTGGGGGCTGCCCTACACACTGTCTGATGTTGAACCGCATCCCTGGCCTATAAACCCACTAGATGCCAGCAGCACACCCCCCCCCCCCCGGCAGGGGCAACCAAAAATGTCCCCAGACATTCCCCAAGTGTCCCCGGAGGTAGGACTGTACCCAGTTGCGAATCACAGCAGTATAGTTGTGCCCACTTGTCACTCCTTATCAGAGGAGGACACTGAGGCTCAGAGGTAAAGACCTTTGCCCAGAGTCTCATGGCTGAGACAGGGGTGGTGCTAAGTGTGAAATTTCACTCTCTACTAGACCGTGTCTGCTCACCCTTACCTACCCTCTCCCTTTGCTCGATTTAGAAACCACGAACTGGACACAGTCAAAGCCCTCAGAGAAGACGCACAGGTCTCTAAGAACTGAGACCTTCGCCAAGGAGGCAGCACATGAGAAGGCTGGAGGGACATGACCACAACCACACACAGATCACAACCTAAGACACGTCACCTCTGCCGGCTCGGCTGGTCCTCACCCCACCTAATGTGCAAGCAGGCCCAGTCCCACCTCCCGGCCCCACCTCATGCGGCCCAGAGGGTTCTCTAGGGGAAGGCAGTAGCGGCTGAGAGGACTGAGGAGCAAATGCAGACACGAGGAACATGAAAGTGGCTGGAAGGCGGCACAGGGGTGGTAGCCAGACCACTTTGCAGCTTGTGTGAAGGAAGGACTAGGGTGCCTCAGTTGCCTTGTGTGTCAAATGATGATAACAGGCAGGACCTGCTAGCCACGGGCTTAAATGAGTTCGAGTGTGTACAAGTGCTGAGAGCAACCTAGGAGGAGAAACGAGGGGCACGGAGGATCTGAGGACGCAGAGTGGCATGAACACTGACTCATGTTTTCCAGCCCCGGTGGCTCACCACCATCCCAAAAGCAATATGCCCCACCAAGCCTGATGGGATCCCTCTCTCCACACAGGCTCTGGCAATGACACTGATGAAATCTAGGGTCAGACAATGTTGGGCCAACCCCAAACTCTCTCCAAACCCCCGGGCCTCCAGGCAGACTCCTTCAATAGACCCTGTAAGGCTGACCAAAACTCACATCTCCTCAAAGCCCAGCTCAAGAACCTGCTGGGGCTCCCTGCTGCCCGGCCAGGAGGCCAGATTTTTTAAATACCCTAGATGCAGGCCAAGGGGTTCTGAACTTCCATCTGGGGGTGATGGGCAGATCCAGGAGACCCAGAGACAGGGCTTCACTCTCTTGTGAATGGTACTAGAGTCTCTGTCTCCACAGTAGGGTCATCCCCCCACTCCTTCCCTCATGAAGACAAAATGTTTAGAGCACTCAGAAGAAGACTGGTACATACTCAAGAAAAGCTGTGAATGTGCTGTCCCCTGAGCCTAGAACACTGACCCCTCCCTGCGCCCCAGCACCACCCACCCCTTAGCTAACATTATTATTCAGATCTTAGCTCTCCGGGAACACTTCCGGCCACCCATCGAAACCTCCCCATCCCCTCATGGCTCATAATGACTTCACTTTGCTACACCATCTTTGTAAACACAGAAGTATGTGAAATTATCTTGATCCTTTGCTTGTGAAAGTTTGGTCGCTTGAGAGCTAGCTGCTCTGGATCTGTTACTCCGGGATGCTTCCCCAGCCCCCAGCGGGGAGTCAGCACCCAGCAGTGAAATAAAACTGTCTCAACGGGCTGCCTACTTGTTGCACTTGCCCCCACAGAGTCTGTGCATGCTAAGTTCTCACCGAAAAGCAGTTATTACTGGTGCCTTCTCCTCTACCTCTAGGCACAAACCGGAGCTGCCTGAGGCACTGCCTGTCCCCCACTCACCAGGGCCAACTCCCAACAGTCTCAGCTAAGTGACTGGATGGTACCACCAATCCCCTATCCCTGGTATCCAACCCAGCTTAGGTCCAGGAGGACCCAGTCTGTGCTGAAGCAGACCTGCAGCAATCCTGGCCCAACCAGCCAGGAAGGATGGTTCAGTCTCTTTGCGGGACTGCTGGCCCAGTTCCTACTCCTCCTAGAACCAAGTGGCTAGCCAGACAGGCAAGAAGGGCAGGGCCCAGGTTGGAGGGTGTCCTGGGAACTATAGGGAGACTGGGGAGAATTAGGGTGACAACCCATCATTAAACCCAGAACTGGCTGACACCACTTGACCCAGCAGTTTGTGGCTCCTGCCTCAGGTGCTGAAGATCCCAAATCAAAGTCCCAAGGACACCCTGGTAACAGCCTTGCAATTAGCCCAGAAAGGAACAAAAGCTGCTGCCATCCGACTGGGGGCCAAAGTGGGGCAAAAACAGTCTAGGCAAGCAAAGTCAAGTCCAGCCCTGGTGGTGCCAGGCCTCCTCAGCTTCCCACGGTCAGCCCACAGTTCCATGACTCCTGACCTCTTGGCTCCCAGGAGGGAAATGGGGAAGAAGGGGTGACCAGGCCTCCGAGAAAGATACCTCCACTGTTCCATTCCCCGGGGACACCATGGAAACTCAGTCTGTCCCAAAGGGGATTGACCCATCCCCCGGGGTGAGCAGAAGGGAAGGCCTGGACGGAGGAGAACGCCCGCCAGGGAATCCAGAACGAGGAGCTCCTTCAGTCACCCTCCTGGAAGGCCACTTGAGTGACTATGGGTTTGGGCTGAGGGTCAGACAATCCCAGTTCAGCCACTGTCTGCTCATGTGATCTGAGACAAGCCACACCACCCCGAGCCTCAGCTTCCTCGTCTGGACCCCAGAGAAGGCCTAAGTTGAACTGGTGGTGGTGAGCCATCAATGAGCTCATCCGACCAGCGAGCTCGGCACAGGGCCTGGCCCAGGACGAGTGTCCCAGAGGTAGATCCCTGGGCCAGGGTGTGAGTGCCTGATTTGATCCCCTTAACTCTTCTCTGTGCCCTGCCTTCACCCCGTCGGGAGCCTCCAAACCACCATCAACAGAGTTTTACATGCTCATTCCCTCTAATTCTTCACCCCCAGGGAGATGGCACACAGAACTCAGGCTCAAGGAGTTGGTGCCTGGGAGGCCATGGTACTAATATATACGATGGTTGCTGTGAGGTCCCATCCACTAGGCTTGAACCACCAGCTTCTGGCCACAAAAGGTAGAGAAAGAATGCAGGATCCTAAAATACCCAGGTAACGTCTGCTGGGCTGCCTCCCTGTAGATATATAAGGTGGGGGTGGGCAAGGGCCACCTTGTGATAAACAAGATGCCTAAGCTAGGTGTTCCAGACTGTCTCCAGCTGCCCACACAAACACCCACTGGCCAGTGCCTTTGAACAGTTGGCAGAGGCTTGCCCAAGGGGTAGGGTCAGGACTCTAGAGGCTTCAGGGATGAGGTGTGAGAAAGACGGAACCCCTTAACACTTGAGTTGGGGGCGGTGGGGGGCGCATCTTAGTATATACCTTCTGGTCACACCAGCTTTTCCTGACCTGCCCCCACATCCCCCCTAGCCTAGCCCAAAAGGCTCTGCTCTCTCGACTCCCAAAACTCCTACAGCAGTCCCTCACCTTACCTGATCGCCCCCACATCTAGCCTCCCCCTCCCCACATCTGAGTCCTGACCTCATGTGACCCCCGGAAAACATCTCTGGGATCTCCTATCCGCCCCCACACGAAGTAACTCCGCCCACACCCGCCGTGCCCCACTTCCTGGGCTTCTCCTCAGCCGCCCCCAGGCCTGTAACTTGACCCACCCACCTCCTCCAGCGCCCAGGCGGTACCTGCAGGCCCGGCCCCTCCCCGCCCCCCTCCGGCCGCGCCGCTCTCCTCTCCTCCCCCACTCGGCCTGGCCGGAGCCCGACTCCTCCTCCCCCTCCCCCTCCCCCTCCGGCATCCACGAGAACCTCCTCACTTTTCCGCCTCGGACCCTCCAACTTCCCCGGATCCCCGGTACCTGCCCCGGCCCGACCTGGCCCCCTCCCTCGCTGGGAGACGGGGGAGCGGTCCAGGTACGATCCTGCCGCCCCCAAGCCCTGAAGCTCGGGCTGGACGCTCAAGGCCGCCCGCGGTAGCTGGGCCTCCACACACTCGCCTGCCCGGGCACAGTGCAGGCTGCGGGCCCGGCTCCTCCTCGGTCCGAGAAAGCACCCAGGCCCTCCCCACTCAGCCCTCGGGCCGCCCCGGCTGGAGGAGGCCGGAACCGGGCCTGAGGCGGGCCGCCTCACCTGCGCCGTGGCCGCGCTCCGGGGGGTCCCGGCGGGCTCCGCAGCGGCGGCTGGGGCCGGGCCTGGGCCCGGGGCGCGCCCCGCTGCGCCGGGGCCTCGGCCTCCGCCTCCGCGGCCTCCGCGGCCTCCGCCTCAGCAGCAGCGGCAGCCGCGGCGGCCATTCATTGTGGGCCAGGCCGCCCCAGCCGAGCGCCGAGCGAGCGCAAGCCGCGCTGCCGCCGCAGCCAGGCCAGGGAGGAGCGGCCCCGGCCCCGCCCGCGCACCGCCCTCGGGCCCCGCCCTCCAGGCGAGGCCAGCCGAGCTCCGAGCGCGCCCCTTCTAACCGGCTCCGTCTCCTCTCTATGCCCCTGGGGGATCCTCGCCAGTACGTCGGCTCAGCTCGATGGTTCGAATCCTGGCCCCGCCACCTTCTAGTCCCGCGACCTTGGGCAAGTCGCTCTACCTTTCCGAACTTTAGTTTCCTGTAAAACAAAAACAATAATGACTGCTGTTTATTGTGGCAGGCACTGCGTTACATTCTTTATGGGAATTAGCTCGTTTAAACTACACAGTAACATTTTTTAGTGAGAACTGCTACAGACACACTATAGAAAATAAAGGCAGCTGGGCGCGGTGTCTCACGCCTGTAATCCCAGCACTTTGGGAGACCGAGGTGGGTGGATCGCCTGAGGTCAGGAGTTCGAAACCAGCCTGGCCAATATGGTGAAACTCTGTCTCTACTAAAAATACAAAAATTAGCCGGGCGTGATGGCATGCGCTTGTAATCCCAGCTACTCGGGAGACTGAGGCAGAAGAATCGCTTGCACCCGGGAGGCGGTGGTTGCAGTGAGCCGAGATCATGCCACTGCACTCCAGCCTGGGCGAGACTCCGTCTCAAAAAAAAAAAAAAAAGAAAGAAAGAAAGAAAAGGAGGCACAGAGAAATGAAGAAAGCTGGTCAAGATCATCACACAGCAAGGAAGTGATGGTAGGTGCCAGGATTTAAACACAGGCTCAAAAGCGACAATAAGACCTAAGACTTTTATGATGCTTACCGGATGCTAGGTTCTGTTAGCATTTTACCTGCACTAACTCGTTTACTTCTCACTACAACCCAGTAACAAATGGTAAAAAAAAGTTCTGCCCATTTTGCAAAAGCGGTAACTTAAGTTCAGAGTTAACAAGTCGCAGGGCGAGCTGAGACTGGAACCCAGGTAGCCGGGACCACTTCGCTGTCCTGCCTTCATACACTGGTTAGAACTTTACCGAGCGCTTACAATGTTAGAGTGGTTCTTTGCACACTTTCCAGGAATCTGTCATTTAATCTTTGCTCTATCTGAGAAACCACGATTCTCATTTAATAGGTAAGAAAAGTGAAGCCGCGGGAGTAACCTGCCCAGAGCATGTGATGGGACTGAGATTCAAACCCGGTAAATCCAACTCCAGAGCCTGAGTCATTCCTGCAGGGTGCTCTGAAATAATGTGTATATAGCACCCAGAACACAGAAGAGGACCAATAAGTGTTGGGTTTCTCCGCTTACCGCCCCTTTTCTGAGCCACAACTTCCTCATCTGTGAAATGGGACTAGGGACGTGTCCTCTCCCAGGGGATCCACTGTGATTAACACCCCCGGAACAGCACGATCAGCGCGCTTCCTTTATGGCTTTCATTTTGATCCCGGCCGCCCACCGTACGTTTCCTCATTGACTGGCCAACCACTATCATGTGATTCGCCCACCCACTGTGCCAACATGGCGGCGCCCAGGTCCTAATTCGGGAAACGTGCACCTTGACTAATTCGGTTTTCTGTGGCTACGAGAGCAGGTGAGGACGGGCTAGGCAGCGCGGGGAGGGATTCGGACTCGGGGCGGGCCTGCACGAGGGCATCGGCTCCACAGGGACCAGTCATCCCCAAAACGAGGGGATATCAGCTTACCGAGGCCGCAGGTTTTCCTAGTCCCTACCTCATAGATATGTAGGACATCCCCGGGCCCGGAATGCGGCTCTCTGACCCTCTCTGTGCCCTCCCCCGCCCCCCGAACCAGGCTTGGCGGGCGGAGGCGCCAGCGGATGTCTCATGCAAGGATCGTCTCTGTGGCTAAGCCTCACTTTCCGCTCCGCCCGGGTGCTCTCTAGAGCCCGGTTTTTCGAGTGGCAGTCTCCAGGGCTGCCGAATACAGCAGCGATGGAGAACGGCACCGGGCCCTACGGAGAAGAACGTCCACGTGAAGTCCAGGAGACGACAGTCACCGAGGGGGCTGCCAAAATCGCCTTTCCCAGTGCCAACGAGGTCTTTTATAACCCGGTGCAGGAATTCAATCGGGACCTGACGTGAGCAGGGGTCAGACGTTAGCCTGGCATCGGCTAGTGGGTCAGTGTGGATGGCGGGGGCGGGGTATGAGCTAGTCCTCTGTCTCCCACCAGATGTGCTGTGATCACCGAGTTTGCTCGCATTCAGCTTGGGGCCAAAGGAATCCAGAGTGAGTGGAGGTCCAGGCTTCTGGTGGGCGGGGGTCACACAAGTTTATCTCCCTGCCTGGGCTCTTCTGCCGCCCAAATCCAGAGGGGCTTCAGCCACATAGCAGGCCCTGGGTTCTGCTCCTTCAGCCTTTCCGCAGGGATTTCAGGGACGATATTTTGGAGATTAAGGGGAGGTTTCTCAGAGGGGACCTTGTTATTCTCTGACTTGTGCCTCTGGGTGGCTGCAGTCAAGGTTCCAGGAGAGAAGGACACGCAAAAAGTGGTCGTGGACTTGTCAGAGCAAGAGGAGGAAAAGGTTGAACTGAAAGAGAGTGAAAACCTGGCCTCAGGAGACCAACCTCGCACAGCGGCCGTGGGGGAGATCTGTGAGGTGGGGCCTGAGCATAGGAGCTGGCAGCCCTGGAATTTAGCGGGAGACAGAGGGCTCCTGGAGGGGGAGAGCTATAGGAGGTGGGTGGTGGGGGCTCCTTGGGGCCCAGAAGAGGATGGAGGTGGAGATGTGAGGGAGGTTTTCTGCTTACTCCAACAGGAAGGCCTGCATGTGCTGGAAGGCCTGGCAGCTTCAGGCCTACGTTCCATTCGATTTGCCCTAGAGGTGCCTGGGCTCAGATCTGTGGTTGCAAACGATGCCTCCACCCGGGCTGTGGATCTCATACGCCGGAATGTCCAGCTCAATGACGTGGCCCACCTGGTACAGCCGAGCCAAGCAGATGCCCGGTAGGTTCTGGGCATCACAGCCTAGCTCTGGGACAAGCCTGCCTGGGGTCAAATTCTGGCTCTGTCACATTCTCACTCTGTGACCTTGAGTGAGTGACTTAGCCTCTTTGAGCCCCAGTTTCCTTGTCTGTCAACTGAGAAAATTAGTTTTACAGGGGTTGCTGTGATGAGTAATAGATAATTATGGTATGATCCATACTCTGTGCCAGAAATAAGTAGCATCCTGGTCTCTGTTTTAACTTCTTACACTCCTTTTATTCATTCAAATGAGCCATAGTATATCCAGTGTCTGCTATGTGTCAGGCACCGTTTTCAAGAACTGGAAATGCATCAGGAAACAAAACATGCAAAATTGGTGACCTTCGCAAGAGTTGGCAAACTATAGCCTGTGGGGCTCACAGCCTTTTTTTGTTTGTTTGCTTGTTTGTTTGTTTTTTGAGATGTAGTCTCGCCCTTGTTGCCCAGGCTGGAGTGCAGTGGCACGATCTCAGCTCATTGCAACCTCCGCCTCCCGGGTTCAAGCCATTCCCCTGCCTCAGCCTCCCGAGTAGCTGGGATTACAGGCACGTGCCACCACGCCTGGCTAATTTTTATTTTTATTTATTTATTTATTTTTTGACACGGAGTCTCGCTCTGTTGCCCAGGCTAGAGTGCACTAGCGTGATCTTGGCTCACTGCAACCTCCGCCTCCCAGGTTCAAGTGATTCTCCTGCCTTAGCCTCCCGACTGAGTAGCTGGGACTACAGACATCTGCTACCACACCCACCTGTATTTATAGTAGAGATGGGGTTTCACCATGGTGGCCAGGATGGTCTCGATTTCCTGACCTCGTGATCTGCCCGCCTCGGCCTCCCAAAGTGGTGGGATTATAGGCATGAGCCACTGCACCTGGCTATGCCAGGCTAATTTTTATATTTTTAGTAGAGACAGGGTTTTGCCATGTTGGCCAGGCTAGTCTCAAACTCCTGACCTCAAGTGATCTGCCCACCTCGGCCTTCCAAAGTGCTGGGATTACAGACGTGAGCCACTGCGCCCGGCCTAGCCTAGTTTATCAATGGCCCACAACCCAAGAATGTTTTTTACATTTTTAAAGGTTAAAAAAGAAGACTATGCAGTAGGGACCACATATGACTCACAAAGCCTAAAATACCTTCTGACCTTTTACAGAGAAAAAAGTTTTTACTTTTCTGACCTTACTAGAATCCAAATAGTAATCACAGACAATGAAAAGTAATTAGCTGGGCATGGTGACTCATGCCTGTAATCAAGCATTTTGAGAGGCCAAGGCAGGAGGATCGCTTGAGGCCAGGATTTCAAGACCAGCCTAGGCAACACAGTGAAACCCGTCTCTACAAAAATTTTAAAATGAGGTCAGACGCAGTGGCTCACCCCTGTAATCCCAGCACTTTGGAAGGCCGAGGTGGGCGGATCACTTGAGGTCAGGAGCTCGAGACCAGCCTGGCCAACATGGTAAAACCTCGTCTCTACTAAAAATATAAAAATTAGCCAGGCATGGTGGCACGTGCCTGTAATCCCAGCTACTTGGGAAGCTGAGGCAGGAGAATCGCTTGAACCCAGGAGGTGGAAGTTGCAGTGCGCCGAGAACCCACCACTGCACTCCAGCCTGGGTGACACAGCGAGACTCTGTCTCCAAAGAAAGGAAAAAAAAAATGTGTTAATACATCTATAAACTGCTTGAAATGGTGTCAGGCAGATACGTCTTATATCAGTATTGTTGTTGTTTTAGATGTGTGGACTGAGTTCCACATGGTGCTTTTCCTAAGTAGGAAAATTGTGCAGTTTAATAAATGACCAAGGCCAGTGCAGTGGCTCACACTTGTAATCTCAGCACTTTGGGAGGCCGAGGTGGATGGATCACTTGAGGTCAGGAGTTTGAGACCAGCCTGGCCAACATGTTGAAACCCCATCTCTACTAAAAATACAAAAATTAGCTGGGCGTGGTGGCACATGTCTGTAGTCCCAGCTACTCTACTCGGGAGGCTGAGGCGCGAGAATTGCTTGAACTGGGGAAGCGGAGGTTGCAGGGAGCCGAGATCACAACACTGCACTCCAGCTGGCTGACAGAGCAAGACTCCGACTCAAAAATAAAATAAATAAATAAATAAATGACTGAGCCAGGACTTGAACTTGGGAATCTGGCCCCGGAGTTCAGACCCAAACCACTGTGCTGTACGAGTTAATATGTGTAGGGGACAGAGAAGGTACCTGGCGTGGGAGGCTGAGGACCTGGCCCTCTTTGCACCCAGGATGCTGATGTACCAGCACCAGAGGGTGTCGGAGAGGTTTGACGTCATCGATCTGGACCCCTATGGCAGCCCAGCCACCTTCCTGGATGCAGCTGTGCAGGCTGTGAGTGAAGGAGGTGAGGTGGGGATGGCACTGGGGTGGGAGCAGGGCTTGGGGTGTTGGAGGGTTCTCACTGCCCAGCCCCTCTCTGCAGGGTTGCTGTGTGTGACCTGCACAGACATGGCGGTGTTGGCGGGGAACAGCGGGGAGACGTGCTACAGCAAGTACGGGGCCATGGCCCTCAAGAGCCGGGCCTGCCACGAGATGGTGAGGGGCCCTCTGCCAGCCAGCCAGGGAGACCGGGGGACAGGTGGTTGTCTGAGTCCCTTCCCAATACACTTTCCCCCTCCTCAGACCTGCTCAGCTTCCTCCAGGCTGATGGCCAGATGCATCCCAGGCTGTTAACGACAGGCGTGTCTTCAACCCACATAGTTCCTAAGAGCATGGCTGATAATCATGGTCATTTGGGGACAGTGGCTTTGGCCAGGACAGGAGTGCATGGCCACATTATTTTAGTTTTCTGTATTAAAACAACTTTTCAAAAAAAAATTTTTTTTTTAAAGGTCGTTTTTCCAGGACTGGGTTTAAATCCTAGCTTTGCTGGTAGCTCTGGGCAAGTGACTTCACCTTTCTGGTCCTCGGGTTTTTTTGCATCTGTAAAATGGGCACAATGATGGTCTGAAGGCCGGGCGCAGTGGCTCACACCTGTAATCCCAGCACTTTGGGAGGCCTAGGCAGGTGGATCACCTGAGGTCAGGACTTTGAGACCAGCTGGCCAACATGGTAAAACCCCATCTCTACTAAAAATACAAAAATTAGCCAGGCATGGTGGCAGATACCTGTAATCCCGGCTACTCAGGAGGCTGAGGCAGGAGAATCACTTGAACCCAGGAGGCGAGGTTGCAGTGAGCCAAGATCACTCCGCTGCACGCCAGCCTGGGAGGGAGACCCCATCTCAAAAAGAAAAAAAATAGGCCGGGCGTGGTAGCTCACGCCTGTAATCCCAGCACTTTGGGAAGTCGAGGTGGGCGGATCATGAGGTCAGGAGATTGAGACCATCCTGGCTAACATGGTGAAATCTGATCTCCACTAAACATACAAAAACTTAGCCAGGCATGGTAGCGGGCACCTGTAGTCCCAGCTGTTCGGGAGGCGGAGGCAGGAGAATGGCGTGAACCCAGGAGGTGGAGCTTGCAGTGAGCTGAGACTGTGCCACTGCACTCCAGCCTGGGCGACAGAGCAAGACTCTGTCTCAAAAAAAAGAAAAAAAAATAGGCCGGGCGCGGTGGCTCACGCCTGTAATCCCAGCACTCTGGGAGGCCGAGGTGGGCGGTGTTCAAGAGGTCAGGTGTTCAAGAGCACCCTGGCCAACATGGTGAAACCCCGTCTCTACTAAAAATACAAAAAAAAAAAAAAAAAAATTAGCTGGGCGTGGTGGTGGGTGCTTGTAATCCCAGCTATTCGGGAGGCTGAGGCAGGAGAATCACTTGAACCCGGGAGGTGGAGGTTGCGGTGAGCCGAGATGGCACCATTGCACTCCAGCCTGGGCAACAAGAGCAAAACTCTGTCTCAAAAAAAAAAAAAAAAAATGGTCTGACCCTATTGAGTGTCTGATCAGGATTCAAGAAGGCTGAGTGGCGAAGTGCAGCGGCTCATGCCTGTAATCCTAGCACTTTCGGAGGCCAAGGTGGGAGGATCACTTGAGGTCAGGAACCTGGGCAACATAGCGAGGACCCCATCTCTACAAAAAAACCCTAAAAATTACCTAGGTGTGGTGGTGGATGCCTGTGGTCCCAGCTACTCTGGAGGCTGAGGCAGGAGGATCACTTGAGCCTAGGAGTTCAAAGTTATTGTGAGCTTTGATAGTGCCACTGCACTCCAGCGTGGTCCACAGAGGGCTCTTGCCCTTGTTCCTAAAGGGTCCTGTCATGAAGTCAGCCCGGGAAATGCTGTCTCCTTTCCCATATCAGAGTCTCACACTAGCAGGAAAGCCCTAGCCGTTTTGCTTTTTTTTCTTTTTTGAGATGGAGTTTCACTCTTGTTGCCCAGGCTGGAGTGCAGTGGTGAGATCTCAGCTAACTGCAACCTTCGCCTCCCAGGTTCAAGTGATTCTCCTGCCTCGGCCTCCCTAGTAGCTGGGATTACAGGCGCCCGCCACCACACCCAGCTAATTTTTTGTATTTTTAGTAGAGACGGGGATTTCATCATGTTAGCCAGGCTGGTCTCAAACTCCTGACCAGCCTCCCAAAGTGCTGGGATTACAGGCATGAGCCACCACGCCCGGCCCAGGCCCCAGCAGTTCTACAGCACCTAGTATCCCCACTTCCTGCCCACAGAGCCCTTGGGGGCTGGAACGTGGGTCCTCAGTACATGCCACATGGCACACCGATAATGCTGGTCAGAATAGGTTGGATCTATGCTTTCCTCACTCGTTTAGTGCCCCCAGCAGTGCCACAGACAGGGACTGTTGTGATTTTGCAGATGAAGAAACTGAGGCACAGAGAGGGGATACTCACTTGTTGAGGGTCCCACAGCCAGGACTTTCAGGGGTGGGCTTGGATCCCAGGGAGCTGGCCCTGAGCCTGTACTTGTGAGTACCACATAGGGCTCCTGGTGGGGTGGGTGGATAGTGGAGGGGAGGCTGACACCCACCCCCCACCCCCAGGCCCTGAGAATCGTCCTGCACAGCCTGGACCTCCGCGCCAACTGCTACCAGCGCTTCGTGGTGCCGCTGCTCAGCATCAGCGCTGACTTCTACGTGCGTGTTTTTGTCCGTGTCTTCACCGGCCAGGCCAAGGTCAAGGCCTCAGCCAGGTCAGCCCGGGGGCAGAGAGCGGTGGTGGATTGAGAGAGGAGACAGGACCTTGCCCTGGGGGATCTGGGGCTTCTTAAGGGACAGAGCCAGTCTAAGGGAGGAGTTGGGGTGTCGTGGTCACGCTGGGAACTCGTGGCCACTGGTACCCCCCACAGCAAGCAGGCGCTGGTGTTCCAGTGTGTGGGCTGCGGGGCCTTCCACCTTCAGCGTCTCGGCAAAGCGTCAGGAGTCCCCAGCGGCCGGTGAGCAGGGAGGAAGGAGAAGAAGGGGAGTCCCAGGGTTTTCCTCCCTCCCCACCAACCACCCCTCTCTGTTTAGGGCCAAGTTCTCTGCAGCCTGTGGTCCCCCTGTGACCCCCGAGTGTGAACACTGTGGGCAACGACACCAGGTAGGGCTAGGCCAGGGGAGGCAAAGGAGCAAGAGGGTCTTGAAGGTCATAGTCCCTGCTCACCTGTCCCCGGTGCGCCCCCAGCTTGGTGGCCCCATGTGGGCAGAGCCCATCCATGACCTGGATTTTGTGGGCCGTGTCCTGGAGGCTGTGAGCGCTAACCCCGGCCGCTTCCACACCTCGGAGCGGATCCGAGGGGTCCTGAGCGTCATCACTGAGGTGAGAGCCGGGCTGTGACGGGGAAGGGGGCTCCACCTGTGCCCGTCCATCTCCACTCATGCCCATCCTGTCCCCCATCGCAGGAGCTCCCGGACGTGCCTCTGTACTACACCCTGGACCAGCTGAGCAGCACCATCCACTGCAACACACCAAGCCTCCTGCAGTTGCGGTAAGAGCCCCTGGGGTCGGGAGGAGCCTGTCCCAGACCACAGGGTGGCCTGGGGCAAGTCCAGGGATTCTCATGCATAGAACTTGCGAGGGGGTGGGGAGAACCCGGTGCACTGTCTCATTCCTGTAATCCCAGTACCTTGGGAGGCTGAGGCAGGAAGATCACTTGAGGCCAACCTGGGCAACGTAGTAAGACCCTATCTCTAACAAATAAATAAATAAATATATATGTACACACACATACATATACACACACATACATACGTATGTATACACACACACACACACACACACACCCATTAGCCTGGCATGGTGATACATGCCTATAGTCCTAACTACTCAGGAGGCTGAGGTGGGAGGATCATTTGGGCCAGGAGTTTGATGCTAAAGTGAGCTATGATCATGCCACTCCAGCCTGGGTGACAAAATGAGACCCTGTCTCTTTAAAAAAAAAAAAAAAAAAAAAAAATTAGGCCAGGCTTATTGGCTCATGCCTATATTCCCAGCACTTTGGGAGGCTGAGGTGGGCAGATCACTTGAGGTCAGGAGTTCAAGACCAGCGTGGTCAAAATGGTTAAACCCTGTCTCTACTAAAAATACAAAAATTAGCTGGGTGTGGTGGCACATGCCTGTAGTCCCAGCTACTTGGGAGGCTGAGGCACGAGAATCACTGGAACCTGGGAGGAGGAGGAGGCGGTGGTGAGCCAAGATTGCGCCACTGCACATCAACCTGGGCAACAGAGCGAGACTCCATTTAAAATATAATAATAATAATTAGAAAAAGAAAAAGGCCAGGTGTGGTGGCTCATGCCTGTAATCCCAGCACTTTGGGAGGCTGAGGCGGGCGAATCACTTGAGGCCAGGAGTTCGAGACCAGCCCGGTCAACGTGGCGAAACCCCATCTCTACTAAAAATACCAAAATATTAGCCAGGCGTCATGGCACATCCCTGTAATCTCAGCTACTCAGGAGGCTGAGACAGGAGAATTGGTTGAACCTGAGAGGCAGAGGCTGCAGTGAGCCAAGATTGCATCATTGCACACCAGCCTGAGCGACAGAGTGAGACTCCACCTCAAAAAAATAATAAATAAGAAGGCCAGGCACGGTGGCTCACTCCTGTAATCCCAGCACTTTGGGAGGCTGAGGCGGGCGGATCACAAGGTTAAGAGATCGAGACCATCCTGGCCAACATGGTGAAACCCTGTCTCTACTAAAAATACAAAAATTAGCTGGGCGTGGTGGCACATGCCTATAGTCCCAGCTATTCGGGAGGCTGAGGCAGGAGAATCGCTTAAACCCAGGAGGCGGAGGCTGTGGTGAGCCAAGATTGCGCCATTGCACTCCAGCCTGAGCGACAGAGCGAGACTCCATCTCAAAAAAAAAAAAAAAAAAAAAAAGAAAAGAAAAGAAATGAACTCTGTAGCCATGAGCCCTTGCCGAAGGTAGTCTTACCTACGCTGGTCAGCTTGGGCTTTGGGGTCAAGGAGTCCGGCATCTCCCTCATAATCCCTGCTGTTCCCCAGGTCGGCCCTCCTCCACGCTGACTTCCGGGTCTCACTCTCCCACGCCTGTAAGAACGCTGTGAAGACGGATGCCCCTGCCTCTGCCCTCTGGGACATCATGCGTTGCTGGGTGAGGGCAGGGCTGACCTCATGCAGGTGGGAGGGCAGGTGGTGGTCACCTGGAGGTCCCTTGGGCCTAGTATTCCCTAACCTCTGACCTCTGCCCCCAGGAGAAGGAATGTCCGGTGAAACGGGAGCGACTATCAGAGACTAGCCCAGCGTTCCGCATTCTCAGTGTGGAGCCCAGGTAGGGGCAAGCACATGCAGGAGCGGCCAGGGCTGCCCACAGACATGGAAGCACATGTGTGTGCAGACAACACAGATGCTGCCCCACACAGACTCGTGCCCATTCTTCAAGTGAGATTCAAAATCTGCTGACTGGGGCTGGGTAGGTGGCTCACGCCTGTAATCCCAGCACTTTGGGAGGCTGAGGCAGGTGGATCACCTGAGGTCAGGAGTTCAAGACCAGCCTGGCCAACATGGTGGAACCCCATCTCTACTAAAAATACAAAAATTAGCTGGGCATGGTGTGGTGGTGGGTGCCTGTAATCCCAGCTACTCAGGAGGCTGAGACAGGAGAATCGCTTGAACCTGGGAGGCAGAGGTTGCGGTGAGTCTAGATCGCGCCATTGCACTCCAGCCTGGGCGACAGAGCGAGACTCCATCTCAAAAAGAATAAAAAAATAGCTGGGTGCGGTGGCTCATGCCTGTAGTCCCAGCACTTTGGGAGGCCGAGGCAGGCGGATCACGAGATCAGGAGATTGAGACCATCCTGGCTAACACAGTGAAACCCTGTCTCTACTAAAAATACAAAAAAAAAAAAAAAAAAATTAGCCGGGCGTGGTGGCAGGTGCCTGTAGTCCCAGCTACTCGGGAGGCTGAGACAGGAGAATGGCGTGAACCCCGGGGGGCAGAGCTTGCAGTGAGCCGAGATAGCGCCACTGCACTCCAGCCTGGGTGACAGAGTAAGACTCCGTCTCAAATAAATAAATAAATAAATAAATAAAAATAAAAATAACTAAATCTGCTGACTGGGCTGGGCGTAGTGGCTCACACCTGTAATCCCAGCACTTTGGGAGGCCAAGACAGGCAGATCACCTGAGGTCAGGAGTTCAAGACCAGCCTGGCCAACATGACGAAACCCTGTCTCTACTAAAAATACAAAAAAAAAAAAAAAATTAGCCAGGTGTGGTGGCACATGCCTGTAGTCCCAGCTACTCGGGAGGCTGAGGCAGGTGAATCGCTTGAACCTGAGGCAGAGTTTGTAGTGAGCCGAGATCGCACCACTGCACTCCAGCCTGGGCGACAGAGTGAGACTCCATCCCAAAAGAAAAGAAAATTAGCATTACCAGCATACCAGGGGTAACTTTTTGTCCATTTTGTTCACTGTCTATTCCCAGCACTGAGAACAATGCAGGCACACAGTCGTTAAATAAAAATGTTTATTAAGGCCAGGCATGGTGGCTCATTCCTATAATCCCAGTGCTTTGGGGGCCAAGGCGGGAAGATCGCTTGAGCCCAGGAATGAAACCAGCCTGGGCAACACAGTAATTAAGACTCCATCTCTACCAGAAAACTAAAAAAATTAGCTGGGCATGGTGGTACCTGCCTGTCGTCCCAGCTACTCAGGAGCTTGAGGCGGAGGCAGGAGGGTTGCTCAAGCCCAGGAGTTCCAGACTGCAGCTTTGATGGCGATCGCACCACTGCACTCCAGCCTGGGCAGCAGAGTGAGACCCTGTATCTTTATTTTATTTTTTTTTAGACAGAGGCTCACTCTCTTGCCCAGGCTGGAGTGCAGTGGTGCGATTTCAGCTCACTGCAACCTCCGCCTCCCAGGTTCAAGCGATTCTCCTGCCTCAGCGTCCCGAGTAGCTGGTATCACAGGCACCCGGCACCACGCCTGGCTAATTTTTGTATTTTTAGTGGAGATGGGGTTTCACCATGTTGGCCAGGCTGGTCTCGAACTCCTGACCTCAGGTGATCCACCCGCCTCAGCCTCCCAAAATGCTGGGATTTACAGGCATGAGCCACCGTGCCTGGCCGAGACCCCATCTCTTTAAAAAAACCAAAAATGTTTATTAGATGAATGAGAGAATCCTGACATGAGCAGACACCTCGTGCTGTGTTGTGGAGGCGGACAGGCCCTGTGGGGAGTGGGGACACACTCGTGTGGCAGCTTCCCCCAGCCCCAACGCCCCACCCCTGCTTCCCTAGGCTGCAGGCCAACTTCACCATCCGGGAAGATGCCAACCCCAGCTCCCGACAGCGAGGACTCAAGCGCTTCCAGGCTAACCCGGAGGCCAACTGGGGTCCCCGGCCTCGTGCCCGGCCAGGGTGAGTGGTGGTAAGGTGGGGGTGGGGCTCAGCCAGGGAAAGAAGGGGTAAAGGGCAGATGGGGTCCCACCTACTCCTCCCCTCGCACAGGGGCAAGGCGGCCGACGAAGCTATGGAGGAGAGACGCAGGCTGCTTCAGAACAAGCGGAAGGAGCCGCCGGAAGATGTGGCCCAGCGGGCTGCCCGGCTCAAGACATTTCCTTGCAAGAGGTTTAAGGAGGTGAGGTCCCTCCTCCCTTTCCTCCACTGCAGGACACATGAGTCTCCCCTTTGGGCAACAGGGAGAGAATTGGGGGAGCTGGGGCCAGGCAAGTGTTTGGGAGTGGGCTTCCCATCCCAGGAAAGGATCCCATCAGGGGCTGCTGAGCTCCGGGCAGGGGTTCACACCCACCATCTTCCCACCAGGGCACCTGTCAACGCGGGGACCAGTGCTGCTACTCCCACAGCCCCCCGACACCCAGGGTTTCTGCTGATGCTGCCCCTGACTGTCCAGAGACCTCCAACCAGACCCCCCCTGGACCTGGGGCTGCCGCTGGGCCAGGCATAGACTGAACCAATAAAGAGATGTCACGTCACCTTCTCCCGATTGCCTGTGGTTTGTGTATTGGTCCATACAGCTGCATGACTGGGATCTGTTCCTCTGGGGATCGTTCGCCCCTGCCTGGCTGGAGTGTTGAGTCTGTATGGGAGGTAGGAGCTGACCATCTGCACAGTGGTCGGCCCCTCTGCAGCGAGGGTCACTGAGCCACCCCAGAGCCGGAGCCAGCGATTCCCGAAGCGGCCACGGGGCGGCAGCTGTGCGCTCGCTCCCGCGGGGGTTCTGCCCCTCTTCCCCCTCCCACCTTCAGCGCTCTCCAGGCCACGGGCTTGCGCATAGTGGGGCGCTCCTGCCCGGTAGCCCCCACGTGTCTTCGCGCCGCTGCCTCCTCGCCGCCTGGTTTCTTTGGCCCAGCTCTCCAGGGGCCACAGTGGCGGAAGCTGGACCGGAACCAGGCGCCCTGTGCATCCGCTCCAGACCAGGTGCTTCCTGCCCTGAGGCCCGGGGCGAGGGGGGCGTGCACACAAAGAGGGACCTCGCAGGCTGCTGCCCAGACACCCAGTGAGGGGGAGCTGTACCCCTCCCTGCCCTCCAGAGTGGGGTTTAGTAACGTTAACGAAGAGTCCTGGGGCAGGATCCCCTCTCTGGCTCCTGCTCCCTTCATCCCCATCTGTAATGAGGCTAATCTTAGGACCCTCCTTGTAGCGATATCAGAGTTAGCGCTTAATTTTTTTTTTTTTTTTTTTTTTTTTGAGGCAAGGTCTAGGTGTGTGGCCCAGGCTGGAGTGCAGTGGCGCAATATTGGCTCACTGCAGCCTCCACCTCCCAGGCTCACGCCATCCTCCCACCTCAGCCTCCAGAGTAGCAGGGACTACAGGCACGCACCACCACAACCAGCTAATTTTTGTATTTTTTGTAGAGATGGGGTTTTGCCATGTTTCCCAGGCTGGTCTCAAACTCATGAGCCCAAGCAATCCGCCAGCCTCAGCCTCCCAAAGTGCTGGGATGACAGGCATGAGCCACCAAGCCCGGCCTTTACTGCATAAAACTTTAGTTCCTGCTTCTTTGGAGGAAAGCAATGGAGGTGTTGATCGTGGGGTCCTGGGCTCCACCCCATTCCTGGGCGGGGGGGGGGGGGGGTTGGTAGTCCTGCTGCTGGGTGCCTGCCTGCCTGGGGGCTCTTGCAGTTGCCCAGATACACAGACGGGCCAAAGCATGAGTATCACAAGTGGGTGGCAGTCTGGTAGCTGCTGCTGCCTGGCTGTGCCCAGAGCCTCTCCCTGTGGGAGGCTCCAGTAGGGTCTTGAGGTTTACCACCAAGCCAGGATAACTGCCCCCCATGAAGGGGCCGGGTGCTGTGGGGTGAGGGCCATGGACCACCAAGTTGGAGTTATGTGATCCTGTAGCCAAGAGGCCTATAGTTGTGGGGACCTGTTGGGCATCTACTGGAAGGTCACACCAGCCCCAGCACCCTAGGAAATCCAACTTCCCCACCCCACCCCTGACAGCCATGGCTCTTCCTCTCACCCTCCTGGGCTTGGAAATGTGTGGATACTGTGCTGAGGGCTTGGGACACCTGCCCAGGCTGGACACCCAAGGCCAGACTGTTAGAACTGTTCCCCTTTGGGTGCCCCACTCCCGGGTAGGGGTGGTGGAGAGGAGGGAAGGGCCTCTGTAAAAAGAGGAACCAGGCTGGGTGAGGAGAGGAGGTGGGGGCCCAGGGTCACGCGGCCCCAACGGGCCGGAAAGGGCTCTCCCTCACCCCCATCAGCACAGACATTCGGGCAGGGAGTGTGCAAAGCCAAAGGGCAGACTCGGACATAAGAGGAGGCAGCTTCCCTGCCTCAGTTTACCCCCTGCGTGCATCCAGGCACCTCCCTCCCCGGCTGCCCTGGGGCCCGGGTCCCCAGAGGCCCGGGGTCCCTACAGTGGCTGGGGGAGCGGAAGGCGAAGCCCTGAGGGGTGGCGGACCGAGTCCTGCCAGCGCCGGCTGGGGGCGGGGCCGGGAGGCCCGCGCTGCTAGGTCCCCGCCCGCTGGTTTCCTCCGGGGTCAGCCAGGCTCCTTATCAGGCGCGGCCAGGCAGCCTGGCCCTTATCTGCACTGGGCCAGCATCCTCCGGCCGCTGCGCCGCCAGGGGTGAGAGGGAGGAAACCGGGCCGCCGGGGGCGGGGAGAAGGCGGGCCGGCCCGGGAGCCGCTCACTTTCCCTGGGGGGGACCTACGCGGAGACCTCGGCTATCCTGGCCTTCCGAGGCCCACGAGGAGGCGCGGCCCAACGCCGGGGCCTGGAGCATTGAGGCCGGACCCTCGCGAGACAGCAGAGCCTGGCCTGACGCTGGAAACCACACCCTGGCCCAGACTGCCAGCCCTGACGGGACAGAGCCAGGGCACTCACCAGGCTGCAAGAACAGTGCTGGGGTAAGAGGGGAGCGGGCCTAAAGGTGGAGGATCCCGGGCCTGGGACCCAGCCTGCATTCCTTTGTTCATTCCTTCATTCATTCATTCACCAGCAGGGACCCACTAGTGAGGGGCCAGGCCTGCTTCCCCAGGGCCTAGCTGAGGAAGACAGGGCAGAGGGGCCAACAGTCTCACACCTTGCTGGGACATCCTGGACTCTGGAACCAAGAGCAAACAGGGATGTCAAAACAGTATGCAAAACTGTGGATGATCGCGGGGCATTGTGGTGCATGCCTGTAATCCCAGCACTTTGGGAGGCTGAGGCAGGAGGATCACTTGAGCCCAGGAGTTCCAGACCACCCTGGACAACAGAGTGAGAACCTGCCTCTACAAAAAAAATTTTTTTTTTTAAATTAGCCGGGCATGGTGGCACATGCCTGTACTCTCAGCTACTCAGGAGGCTGAGACAGGAGGATGGCTCGAGCCCAGGAATTTGAGGCTGCAGTGCACTATGATTGCACCACTGCACTCCAGCCTGGACAACAGAGGGAGACCCTGTCTCTAAAAAAATAAACAAATTTTAAAAAGCGTGGATGCTGATGAGGATGGGGGCTTCCAAGCCAGAGGGAGGGTTGGGGCATGACTGGACTGGACTGGGCAGTGGGGTCAGTGTTTGGGGGTCTAGGGTCAGCATTTGAGGTCATAGTGTCAGTAGTGGGGTCACAGGGTTGCTATGGGGGATGTTTGCAGTGGGAGTGGGGGTCACTCAAGCAATTATGGAGCACTTTCAGGGACAGCAATGGGAAGAACCGCAGGGTCATTCTTGAGGTGCAGAGGGTCAGCCTGGGTGGGGGCTGGGGGCCTTCCGTGAAGGGTCAGAGTCCATCTTGGAGGGATTCCAAGCTCACATGGCATCAATGAGTTAATGAGGAGTCTCTGGGTTGGATCTTTAGATCTGAGGATAACAGGGTTAATCTTGGGGTTTCTGGGGATCCCAGGATCAGTTAGGGGCTCCCTGTCTTGTTCCCTCTCCAGGCTGCAGAGGTGAGGGAATTCTGGAAGAAGGAATATTTGCTCAGAGGCTGGGCAACAGCGCCCCTCCTGGGTCACAAAGAGCTCAGGGACAGTGCGCTGCCTAGCACCTGGGGGGCGCCTCCTACTCTAACGTAGGACCCCCCTCCCGTGTCCTGGAAGTTTCTGGGCCTGCCCCCGCCATCTGCCTTTGCCTACTGAAACTTCTCTCCTCCTCCTTTCCCCCTCCCCCTCCCTCCTTCCCATTTGAGGGGTTTCTTGAGCTAAGCAGGTGGGAGCGGGGCACCTAGTCCTCCTCCCCACTGGCTGCCTTCTTTCCCACAGGTGAGTACCCCCACGTCGGGGTCCATGTGCCCGCCTCAGGCACAGGCAGAGGTGGGCCCCACCATGACTGAGAAGGCAGAGATGGTGTGTGCCCCCAGCCCAGCGCCTGCCCCACCCCCTAAGCCTGCCTCGCCTGGGCCCCCGCAGGTGGAGGAGGTGGGCCACCGAGGAGGCTCCTCGCCCCCCAGGCTGCCACCTGGTGTACCAGTGATCAGCCTGGGCCACAGCAGGCCCCCAGGGGTAGCCATGCCCACCACAGAGCTGGGCACTCTGCGGCCCCCGCTGCTGCAACTCTCCACCCTGGGAACTGCCCCGCCCACTTTGGCCCTGCACTACCACCCTCACCCCTTCCTCAACAGGTCAGTGGGGATCTGGGGTGGGGGGCAGTGGGGATTGGGGGCCAGGGTCCTTGCCCACAAGGCATTAGTGACCCACGACCCCTTACAGTGTCTACATTGGGCCAGCAGGACCTTTTAGCATCTTCCCTAGCAGCCGGTTGAAGCGGAGACCAAGCCACTGTGAGCTGGACCTGGCTGAGGGTGAGTGTGGGTTTGTGTGCCTTGTGGGTTTGTATGCCTGTATGTGCACTTGTGGGTGCACAGAAGGCCTGGCCGTCTCTGTGTGGGGCTCATGTCTGTCCTCTACTCCACCTCGGGGAGACGTGCTTCCAGCACACACAGAGAACAGCCCACATAGGTTCTACCCATGTGCAAAATCGCAGTCCCATAGCCAGCCCCACACAACCACCGCCACCCAACAGGCCAAGCCATGTAGCCGCAGTCACGGCAAAACAGAGCATGCCACACCAGGGCATGGGAGCCACAAAATGACAGCTCCACTGGAATGTGCAGCCACGCAAGACAGCCACAAGACCACAGCCATGCAAGAGACAGCCACAGGACCACAACCACACACAAGACAGCCACAGGACCACAGCCACTTAGGACCACGGCCACACAAGAGTCAGCCACACAACCACAGCCACTCGTGAAACAGCCACATGGCAACATCACACATAACCACAGCCATGAGACATAACAAGAGTCTCACACAGTCATACAAGACACAGGACACAGACAGTCATAATGAGAGGACCTCTCAGACCCATGAGTACACCCAGCCAGCCGTACTTGGGCACAATCAGAATGAGGGCCCCACGGACAGCTTCCCAGACCAAACAAACACAAGGAAATCTTTCTTTAGGGAATCTCAGTCATTGACATAAAGGTGCCCATAGTCACAGATACAGCAGGCCCTTGTCCGTAGGCCGGGCCTGTGATGATTCTTGTCTGGATGGCTCTTGGGAGGGGTGGGGAGAGCTGCCCGTGGACCCCTTGGGTGGAGAAAGCCCCAGCCCATGGCCTGGGTTTAAGTTCCCACGAGGGTGCTGCGTGTCTAGCGGGAGGGCAGGAGGGGCCGCCCTTTGGGCCATGGCACCAACCCGGCCCTCCTTGTCCACAGGGCACCAGCCCCAGAAGGTGGCCCGGCGCGTGTTCACCAACAGCCGGGAGCGCTGGCGGCAGCAGAACGTTAACGGCGCCTTCGCCGAGCTGAGGAAGCTGCTGCCGACGCACCCGCCCGACCGGAAGCTGAGCAAGAACGAGGTGCTCCGCCTAGCCATGAAGTACATCGGCTTCCTGGTGCGGCTGCTGCGCGACCAAGCCGCAGCTCTGGCCGCAGGCCCCACCCCTCCCGGGCCTCGCAAACGGCCGGTGCACCGGGTCCCAGACGACGGCGCCCGCCGGGGATCCGGACGCAGGGCCGAGGCGGCAGCGCGCTCGCAGCCCGCGCCCCCGGCCGACCCCGACGGCAGCCCCGGTGGAGCGGCCCGGCCCATCAAGATGGAGCAAACCGCTTTGAGCCCAGAGGTGCGGTGACCGCACGCGGCAGCACCTCTGAGCCGGAGGGCACCAGGGACTCGGCCCAGGGCCGTCAAGGAAAGGGCAGTGGACGTGCTGCGCATGTTCGGGAGCGAACTCCCCCGAAGAAGGACCAGTGAAGACGTCAGGGGCAAGGTCTCGGGGGTCCGGAAGGGTGATCATCGACCCCCAAGGGACCCGCAGACCCTTAAAAAAATCACCCACAACCCTCTGGAAGTGGCCTTGCCCGGTCCCCTTCCCAGGGGCGAGGTCGGCAAAGCAACATGGCAGAGCAGTCATAGGACCCAAGTGGTGCCTCATTTTTTCCGGGCTGGGGTCGCGGGGGGAGGCCAGGAGGGGCTGGGGAGGCTTCGCTTTTCTCACCGTCGGCCCCTCCGGGAGACCCAGGGGCAGACGCTCGTCGACGGCGTCTGCTGCGCTCCCGGCGCTTGGACAGAGGCGCAGAATCCAAGTCGGGGACGCACCCTACCGACCCCGACCCAGTCCCGCACGGTCGCGTTAGCGAAGGGTCAGGCGCTCTCGCGTTTGTTTTTCTTTATTTCTTTATTTCACATACACATTAGCCATTCAATGGAGAAGCCGGAGAGAGTCAGGCAAAGATGGTATAACAGAAGCGCAGTGACGGGGGCGGGGCGGGGCGGGGCGGAGAGGGAACAGACGGGCTGGCTGCCTACTTGCATTCCGCTAGGACACTGAAAACCCAGAAAACAAAACAGACAGTAAACTACCCTTGTTTCTTATGTATCTCAGTGCAGAGACGGGGGTGGAGGGCAGAGAAGAGGGGGAGACCAGGCTGAAGGAGGAGGAGCAGAGGGAGGGGGACGCTAAGGGGGAAGCACACCAAATCCATTAGTACTATATATAGAGATACTCGTATATACTGCGTTTCTTAGCCTAAGAAGAAACTTGTTTGACGGGACGGGCGGCCTTTGCGGTCCGCGATGCTGGTGCTGGTCGGGCGCACGGATCTCCCGGGAGGGGCCGAAGCGGGGCTGGCCCAGGCTGGCTTGCGGGGGGAGGGGGGCGCCCCGAGGGTGGGTGGGGTGGGGGGGAGCAGAGGCGGGGCTGGGGTGCCCCTCGGGCTCTCGATTGGGGGACGAAAGTTCTCGTGACTTTATTGCTCCTTTATTTTCTCTCGTGTGGGGGGGTCTGTTCAGCACGGTCAGGGTGGGGGAGTGGTGGGTCGTCTGAGCCACCCGGCCCCTCTGGGACCCAGAGCGCGGCGTCCGCTCCGCCAGCACGGGGGTGAGAACAAGGCACTAGGTCGGCCGGCCAGCGCGGGGGCGGGTGTATAAGGCAGTCGACAGGGCTGGTTGCGGGGTGGGGCGGGGCTGTGTGCGGGGCCGTGTGCGTGCGTGCGTGCGGGCGCGGGCCTGGGCAAATCGACCTGTCAGCGTGGCTGGTCCTGTCCTGGAGCGTCGAGCCTTCCCGGTGTTCCCCGGAGGGGGTCGGGGATAGGATGAGAGATGTTGAATGGGGGCGGGAGGGGCGCCGGGAAAGGGGGGAGGAAACTACCAACTTGCTGAGCGCGCTCCTGATAATGCTGGTGAGGGTCAAGTTGGCGTCTGGCTCAAAGAAGGGCGCTCGGGGCGGAGAGGGAGGGAGGGAGGGGACGTTTGTTCGTTGGCATTGACCTCTGCGGGGGAGGGGCCGGGGACCCCTGCCGCGCCCCCGTACCCGGACGGGGATGGGGCGAGGAGGGGTGCTGGGCCCCAGGGAGGGGCGCCCGGGGAGACCCGCGGCCGGAGCAGTCCAGCCGCCGGGGGCACGCCGCTGTCCCGTTCCGTTAAACTCAACAAAGAAGGGATATGCGTATTCCTAACAAGTGCAGGATATTTAATTGATTCATAAACTTATGTATAATAGTTTGTGGGTTCTTTAAAACGTACTTTATAATGTAAGAAGCACCAGGGTTTTATGTTTAATTATCTTAAAAATAATTTTTCTCTCGTCCTTTTCCTTTTTGATCTTGTGTTGGTTGATTTTTTAAATGTCGAGGTGTTTTTTTTAAACTCTAAAATGTGAACGTTTCCTTCAGCCCTCCCACCGAAACAGAACGAACGACGAAACAAATAAAAACCCCAGATCATCCTCGTCAACGCAGGAAAACGACTTAAAAAAAAAAAAACTAAAAACGAACAAAAAAAAGGGAAAAACACTCAGCTTTCGTTATCCCCGCGCAGGGCGGGGCAGGCCCGGTTCTTTTAGCGTCCCCAGAGCCGCGAGGACATTACAACAAAAATAGAATTTTTTTTTCTTAATCTCTTAACATACAAAGATAGGAAAACTCTCTGATGCATTGCACTTGGTTCAATGAAAAAAAAAAGTTAATTTCCCCCATATATATTTTTGTTTTTTTTTTTTTCTCTCCTAACACGTCCCCACATCTCCTGTTGCCCTCATTGCCCCTCACAACACCACTTGGGAAAGGAGCAGCCCCCACCCCCTGCCCGCCCGGGCAGCCCCGCCGGGCACGCTCCGGCCCGGGCCCAGCTGGCCTGCAGCTTCCGACCTCGCCCGGGCAGGCGCCCCGCAGACCCTAGCTCCCACAGTCCCACAGAGCCCGAGCCCTCGACTGTCGTCGAGGGAAAGGGCACGTGGGCCGGACAGGGAGCCCCTTCTGCTTCGCTCTCAGCTCTGACCCTGTTTAGCCAACCGAACTGAAAAATCATTGCACTTTGACCGCGCGTCACGCCCGGCCCACCCGGCCCCCCACCCCCGGGGCCTTACTCCCCACGCCCCGGGAGACTCCCGCAGGATCCACTGCCCCTCAGCCCTGGGGTCCTCTAGGGCTGCACGCTGAGGACAGGGGGAGGGCTTCACTCAACTTCCAACAAAAGCCGCCCCTGGAGCCAGCCACCTTGTGGCTTCCAGCTGGGTAGCAGGCACCGTTCGCCTGCCGCTACGGCCCCAGGTCGCTGACCTCCTCCCCTCCCGTCACTCCCTCCTCTTCCCTCCCTCCGCCAGCTCGGGGCCACAGCCTCACAAACTAGATTCACAATAAATACAGCCCATAGCCCACCCCTACGTGGTGCAATGTTGATTTTCTCTCAGAGGATCCTGACCTGTGCTTTGTGTTTTCATACAATTAAGAAAGAGAGAGAAAGAGAGAGGCACAAGGACTCAAGAAGGGGCCAGGAACGGGAGACGCAGGAGGAGGAGTAAGGCACAGAAAGACAAGCCAGAGGGGCCAAGTCACACCCTGGAGGGGAGCTGGGCGTGCTCATCCTCCCCTCCCTCCCAGGGGGGCTTCTGAAGACCCTCTGGACAGGCCCCCCAACCCTCCCTTGAGGGAGGAGGGGGCTGGGGGGGAGAGCTACTTCCTGTGGTGTGTTACCAAATTGTTCCCAAGTTGCTCAAATGGAGGAGGAGTTCCCATTCCAACAGCAAAAGACCCAAACAATGAATGCCCCACCCCTAAATAAAGAGTAAAGACATTACAGCTAAAATCCAGAGAAAAGTGGCCACGTGGGGGGCGGGGAGGCGGGGGAAAGTCGGGGGGCACAGAAAGCTCCAAAACACTTTTGAAAAGGACGACACCCAACACCCTCCCAAGGAACTGAAAGTCGGCGAGCAGGACGCCTACCTAAGCGCAGGTGGTGGCTTAGCGCGGCAGCGGCGGCTGCCTGGTCCTCCTCGCTCGGCTCCGGGGTCCCCTTTCTGCTCCACCCTCCGGCCCGGCCCCAGCAGGGCAGTCTGCATGAGGGGCAGGGGCAGGAACTGATGGGGCGGAGCGAGGGCACCTGCATGCAGGGCTGGGGGCGGGGGCGACCTGGGGCCCGACTCCCCTCCCTCGTGGCAGGAAGGAGGCCCTCCTGGCCTGCAGAGAGAGGGGAAAGGGGGCCTGTCCCAGGCTGGGACGAGGCCGTCGAGAGCATTCCGACTTTTTCCTACGGACTGTACAGAGGGGTCCAGGGCCCCAGGACTGCTCTTGCGGCTCAGGGTGGGGTGTCAGAACACCCTCCATTCTGGGACACGCAACTAGCTCCAGGGGTCACCCCCTGCCCGCCTGGGGGCTTTTAGCCCAAGGGTGGGGTGGGGTAAGTGGAGGCTGCTCTCCCCCTCCTGGTCGGGAGCAGCTGGGGGAAGAAGCTGGAGCCTTGGCAGAGAGGGAGGGAGGGAGGGAGGGAGGGAAGGGCGGAGTCTGGAGGGGAGAGCCTGAGGGATCTAAACCCCATCATCTTTACAAGCTGGCCCTCCAGGCTCCCTAGGGCAGCTCCGGCTGTGTGGAGGGTGGGGTTCCCCTAGGAAGGGGTGAGGGTGGAGGCCAGGCCCCTTCAGAATTGTGCTGGTTGCTTTGTTTGGGGACTTTGTTCCTTCCCCAGAAGGCCGGGGCGGGGTCAGGGGGAGGAAGGCAGTTCTGCATCCTTTCTTGCTTTCTGTCCTCTACTTGACAGAGTCCATGTCGCGTGTTTCTTTCTGCTTGGCTGCTGGTGCACAGCTCCACCGAGACCCCTTCCAAGGGCTCTCTGAGAACTGGGCTGCTTCTGGGGCCCGCGGGGGTCCCCGGGCTGGAGGAGAGAAGGGCTGAGTGGCTGACGACGTGTAATTTTTGCTTTTCGGTGGGGCTGGGCTGGGCTGGGGGATTTTTCCATTCTCAAAATTTCTTCTCCCCCCTTTCGAGGAACCTCTTCTTCTCATTTTGTTGTTTCTTTTGTCGATCTTATCAGAGGAACCAGGACTGAAACAGGATGAAAAAGAGGCGATACTGAGAACAGCTGGGGCAGGTCCCATCTCACTCCTACCTGGCCCAGTGACCTGGCCCCTCAAGGGTCCAGCTCCCAAAGAGCCAGGGTGCCGGGCAGCCACCACCCACCTTGTTCCCATGGAGAAGAAAGGGCATCCCCATTCTCTCCCTCCCTCCTGCGAGAACCCCGCCCCCTCAGAGACTCTGCCCCTAGTGCTAGAGTCCAGCTGGCCTTCCCGTGGGCACTGTGCCCAGCGGGTGGGACCCCCATGGCTGGCGCTGGCACAGGCCTGAGATCTGGCCATGTTTCCAATTGTTTAGGTTTTTGTGTGGGTCCTGGAGGGTGGGGAAGATGCCAGGCTGGGGCTTTTGTACCCAGAGGGGTTTTAGGAATGGGTTGGGGGTGGCCCAGCTTCTTGCTGAGTTTTCTTTCTGTCTCTTTGGATTAAAAGCAGAAATTCCCATCTATATACCCCAGCCAAGGTCCCACAGGCTGAAAGACTGGGGGCAGGGGAACCACACAGCTTCAGTCCCTAGTAGCGCCAGGCCTGGGGGAGGGGCCACGTAGCCCATGGTGCTGGATCCTCTACCCTCAGGGCACCAGACATTGAGGAAGGACTTGAGGCTCCCTGGGGTGAGCGTCATTTCCTTCATATCGCCAGCAGGGGGCGCTGCCTTCCCACAGACAGGGCCTTGTCTTGTCTGCCTGTGTCTGGTGGCTCAGCTCAGAGCACACCCAGGGCAGACCCCAAGGGTCTGGGCTGCTTGGCTACGCCCTCCATCCAAGGCTCCAGCCCCACCTCCTGGCAAAGTGGTGGGTCAGGGTCTACTGTGGTCTACTGGGCCTGGGTGCACCTGGTAGTACCGTTGGGGCAAAATGAGGGTCCCTGAAAATGCATCTTGGGACCTCTCCCAGGCTGTCACAGACTCTGGTCTGCAGGGGCCAGGCGGAGCCAACTACAGAGCACATACCAGGTCCTGGTTCACTCCACCCCTGCCCTGACCCCACCAGGAAGCTAGGCACAGAGGGGGTACGTGACCTGCCTGAGGCCACACAGCCCTCGGGCAACAGAGCCAGGGTTCAAATGTAAGGGGCAGTGCAGGCTGTGCTCCTAACTGCTGCCTGTGCTGCGAGCACGAGGAAGCAGGGTCTGTGGTGGCCAGAATGCCTGTGCCCTGCCTAGGGTCAGGGTGAGGGCCCAGGGCAGCTCATCTGCCAACTTTTCAAAAGAAGCCAGAAGCCCAAACAGAATTTCGTGTGAAAATTTCCAATATTTAAAACATTGCTTTGGTCAAACATTCTGCCTGCAGGCCAGACCTGCTCTCAGGCTCTGGTTTGGGACTGAGGATAGGGACACTGAGTTTCAGAAAGGGCCTTGGAGATCATCTAGCACTTTCTGTGACAATGGAAATGTTCTCATTTCCATTGCAGTAGCCACTAGCCACAAGTGGTTTCTAAGCACTTGAAATGTGGCTACTGTAACTGAGGAACTAAATTTTTCTTTAGTTAATAATTTAAATGTAAACAGCCACACGTGGCCCGTGGCTACCACAATGGACAGTGCAGATCAAGAGCATCTGGAAATGTGGCGGTTTGGGATTGCCACAATGAGCAGGCGCTGCTGGGTGGGCAGAAATGCTAAATTTCCTGTATGTGCTGGACAGTACGCACAAGAGACCTGCCCTCCCTCAGTGGGGCTCCTCGAGCACCTGCCCCAAGTCCAACCGGTCAATTGACTACAGGCCAAACAGAGGCTCATTGGGGCCTGGCGAGGCTAAGGCGGAAACCCAGGCCTGAGGCATCCCCAGAGTGGGTGGGGGAGAACCGGCCCGCAGCCAGCTCCTGGGCTTCTGGCCCAGGCCCGGGGGTGGGAAGCGCCTGGGCTGGGTGACCCCCACCTGCCACAGGCTTGGGCCTGTTCCCTGGGACCCCCTTCCCAAGGGGAGACTATACAGGAACCCTGTGCCATTGCCCCGAGGTTGAGGGGGAGGCTGACTCTGGTGGTAAGCCCACCCCTCTCCTCACCAGGCAAATGAGGCTTGTGGACAATAGGACAGGGAGGGCCCCACCTGCCCTATCTGCTCCTGGCAGATCATGCCAGGGCCTCACACTGGCCCCTTTGGGGTCTCCTGAGCTGTACAGTTGGGGACAACTGCCAATGCTCAGACTGGGGGGTCCTCCTCAGGGAAGGAAGACTCTGGTTCCAGGTCTGGAGTTAGGGACAAAGGCTGCCCCAAGGGGGCTCCCCGGCACCTCCCCACAGGTCCCAGAAATGGGGGATCTGCTGCCAAGCACAGAGTGGCTTTCTCTGCTCACCCCTCCCTACTTCCTGAGCCAGGTCCAAAATTGATTAAAACTAAGTAAAAAGCGCTGCCCAGGGAATGACAAAATTGCTAAAATTCTCTTTTCTTCCCTCATTCTATTGTTCTCTCTCCATCTGGTGCTCCAGAGATCAGCTAAAGTCACTGGTTACTGTGGAAACCACCCCCGGCTGTACCCCCTGCGCCCGCCCGTTGCAGCCGCCTGCCTGCCCCCAGGCCCGAGGGCTCCAGCTCCGCTTGTCCAGCTTCCGCTCCCCCAACCACTCCCAGACACACCTGCCTGCTCAGGGGCCCTGGACCCCCGCTGGGACTCCTTCCTCCTACCTCCTGGAGCCTAAGACACAGGGAACATGGGGGGAGACAAACTTTCCCTAAACTCTGACTTGGCCCCCAAACGTCCAAGCAAAGTGAGCAAAGAAAGTAAAGGAGGCAGCGGAAACAGGGTTAGCAGGGACGGCTCGTGGCAGTGGTCCTCGGAGCGCACGACCGCAGAGCTGTGAGCAGCCCAGGCAGGCAGCAGGAGGGAGGGAGCGATGGAACCCTGAAGCCTGGTGCCAGCCCAGAGCTGGGAGGGGAGGCCCGCCTGCTGTCCCTTCCTCTCGCACCCCCTCCCGCCTCTGCCAGCAGGGCTCTCTCGGCCTCCCTGGCACAGAGCAGAGGGGGCTGGCTCCAGCCCCTGCTCGGAGCCATTGTTTTTCTTCTCAGCACCCCCAAGTTCAAGTTCATCTGGGTGTTACATCATGTCTGGTTGCTCCTGGAAACCAGACGGGTCAGACGTGACTCTGGGGAAAGGGGGTGGGAAGCTGGAGGGGGTTGAAGTTCTCTTCCCCTCCCCTCCTTGCCACTAGGGAGCTCTGAAGTTTGAAGTTTGACAAAGTTTTTTGGCTTTTTTTTTTTTTTTTTTTTGAGGGAAGGAAAGGAAAAGAAAAAAAAAAAAACAATCTCAAACCACACACACAACTTCCATCCACCAACTTTCTCTGGACTCAGGCCCCAGAACAGAGGCAGAGCAGGAGATGAGAGGTGGCCCCAGGGGCTCTTGAGAGAGGTGGATTTCCCCGGGCTGAGGACACCTCCAAGGTGGTGTTTTTGTAAAATGTGCAAAAGAAAGATCTTTGCATGTTCTTTTTCAAAACCCTGGGTGGTAAAAGCCTCAGGCCCCCTAAAGCTGCCTCTGTCCTCCTCCTGAGATGGGTCTTCCCTGTGCCCCCAAGGGCACTGGGCTCTGTGGGCACTGGCCTCTGGGGTCTCCACCTGGAGGGCTAAGAGTAGTCTTATGCCCTGCTTGTGACGGGGATCTGTCTCCTGGTGAGAACTAAGGGTGGTGTCAGCAGGGGATAGGAGCAAGGATGAGGTCTCCAGCATGCTGGCCTTCTCCCTAACAGGACTCCTGGAGACTTGGGTGAGGGGCCTCTAGGGTGGCGGCCTGCCCTGCCCTGCCCTCAGTGCCAGTTCTGGGCACGCAGCCCACCAGGCCCTCTGTCCCTCCTCCACCCGTCACCCAGCCCACCCAACGCCAGGGGAAAGGGGAGGGCTAGGGGCCGGGGCTTCCAGTCGGGGCAGGTGAAAGCAGTGAGGCAGACTCTATTCTCCTCCCGATGGGCCTCAGGCTTCCATCTTTGCTTCTACCAGGCCTGGCCCAGAGGGCCTCTAGACTTGGGTCCTTGGCCGCCTTCCCCAGGGCCAGGGCTGTCAGAGCTAATTATCCAATTAGCTGATTAGCCAGGGAGCCTGGGGGCTGCCTGGGGAGACAGGCTCAGCTGGGCGTGCAAAAGCCTGGGCCCTCCAGCCCCACCTCAGACCTCTCTCTCCCTGTTAGCCCCAAGGACTCCAGGCTCTTCCCTAACACCAAGATGCCCCCCAACCCTGACTACTCCCCTGGTCCCTGCATCCAGGTGGTGGGCAGGGTCTCCTACCTGAGACTGCTGTGGGATGTTCAGAAAGTTGCCGTCCCGGGGTCCGATGCTGACAAACCGGTTGGCAGAGGAGGCGCCTGTCGTTGCGAATGCTGTGGGGAGCAGGGGAGAGAGGGAGAGACCCTGTCAGGCCTTGGGGCCCACCTGGGCACTGCCCCTCGGGGCTGCTGAGAGAGGGAGAGACTGAGTTAGACCATGCTGCCCGAGTTTAGGCTGGCAGTGGGAAGGATGGGCCAGAGGGGCATCTGAGCTGAAGGCCAGGCTCCGAGCCTGCCCCCCACTACAGAGGGACACCCTCATCCTCTCACTGACCAGGAACACACACTACACCCCCGACACACACCCACTCAGAAGCCACAGTCTCAGCCAGGCATCCTTTTTCACAGCTGGGATGAGGGAGAGGCCCTGGAGGCTGAGACAAGTCTCCTGGACCCAGTTCCACCCGCTAGTGAGGCACTGGGCAGGGCTGGGGATAGCCCTGGTCCCCAGGTACCCTCAGTGGATAACCCTGCTTTCCCACTGGCCCCTCTCAGGTACTGAAGAGAGGGGGCCAGGGGAGGGTGGAGGCTTTGGCAGTCCGGCCCCACCCTGCTTCGGGAAGGCCTTCCCAGCCAGGCTACCTCTCCAACCTGGGTGGCCTAGCTAGATGCTACACCTCTTACCACTCTGGGCAGGCCCAAGGACCAGGCAGGCAGGCTTGGGGAACCCAAAGGGTGCCCAATGGAGGTCTGAGCCAGGTAGGGCAGGGTCAGAGAAGGGCCTAGGAGCTGGCTGCCTGGCTTGGGCCCAGGGGGTGGCAAGGCTCAGGCCTATGGCATTCTCCTCCTCTGACTGATGCACCAGGTCCAACAGGCCTGTGGTTCCAGGACCAAGGCAATAGAGGAGGAGGAGGCTGGAGAGCCTGGCAGAGCCCTAGGGCTCAGATGCCTGGGAGCAGCCATCCTGGGGCCCAAAGACAAAATGATCTCAACAGCCCTGAGTTCCTCTCAGGTTGTCCAGATGGAGCCCTGCTGGAGGGAACAGGCCCTGCACCCCCAGAAGGGAAGATGCCCCCAGAGGAGGCAAGGAGTGTCACAGGTTACCTGGAAGGCCCGCCGCTGCCCTGCACCAGACACACCCAGGGACTCCATGCTCACCAGATTCTGCCCACCTCTCTCCAGAAGTGGCCCCCGAACCCTGTAGCCCAGCTCCCATCCCCCACCCTGCCCACCTCCAATGACTGTGACTTCATGTCTTATGGTGGATGCAGATGGGAAGATGGCATGAAGAGGATGGAGAGGGGAAAAGAACTCAAACCACGAGAAAGGAGGAGAGACAAAGCGAGCGGAGAGCAGTGTGAGATGGGCCACCCCTCCCACCGCCACCGAACTGCCCTGGCCTGTGGCCTGCCCACCCCCAGAGCTGCCCACCCTGGCCCACAGACAGCACCCGCCCCATCCTCCTGTCCTTCACGCCGGGTCTACCTGGGACCTCTCGAATGATTTTTCTTCTTTTCCCTTTGACAAAATTTGTCATTGGTTTAAGAGGAAAAAAAAAGAAAAGAAAAGAAAAGAAAGAGAGACAGAGAGAGAGATGAAGTAAGCCAAAGCCCACAGCCCTCCCTCGTCCTTGGAACATCTAACCTGGGAAAGGAATTGCGGAGAAGGGACGGGAGAGGGATGGAAGGGGGGGAAAAAAAAAGAGGAACAACGAGAAACCAAATGTGAGACTGAGGGGGAAGGGGTCGGGCTGGCCTGCTGCGTCTTTGAGGCCCAAGGGCCCAGGGATGGAGGTGAGGGGCAAGGCAAAAAGGGGATGGTGGTGGCGTCGCCTTGTGGTTACATTTGATTTTCTTGGTGTGGGGGGAACAACGAAACAACAAAAAAATTAAAAAACAAAAACAAAAAACAAAAAAAAAAAAACAGCAATCAGGCATGAAGATGGCATGGCTGTGCCTCCCCGCCCCCTCCCACCCCCGCCAGCACCCCTGGCCTGCGCGCCCCAGCTGTGCTCTCCCTCCCGCCCCCCAGAGGGGCCTGGGCCAGGGGCCCCGGCTGGGAGCAGCGGGCAGGGGGCTCGTGGGGTGCTGGCTGGTGCGACTGAGGCCCGGGAGGGAGGCTGTGGTTGGGGGGCTCGGCTCTGCTCTTGTCCATGGTGCTCTGGGTTGGGGGGCTTTGGTGGTGGGGAGGGGGAAGGCTTTTCTTTTTGCAGTGGAGACTGTTTGGACGGGCCGGGGACGCTGGGCGTTGTGGTTTCGGTTTCATCGTCCACTTACAAGGTGATGGAGGAGTCAAGGCGGCGCCGTCTGGGGCAGTGCTGGTGGATTTGGAATCAGGCATAGGAAGGGGCACAGGTCTGGCCACTGGAGGCGGCGGCGGTAGCAAAAATGACCCCGGGACTTTGCCCTGGCCGCTACCGTTGGGCTGCGAACAACATAAATAGAGTGACGCATGAAGGCACATCACACACAGACACACGCTCCCCTGCGCGGCCGCGCCAGCTCGCTCCTGAGAGCGGGCGCTCCCGGTGGAAGATCCAGGATTGGGTCCTCTCCTCCAGGGCACAGGATGGGTGAGGGTGTAAGGCCTCTATTTGGTCTCTCAGGTGTTTCTCTTTTTTTTTTTTTTTTTTTTTTTTGGTCCTCTTTTGAAGTTGTGGGAGGGAGGGAGGGGGTGTTCGACGGGTGGTTTGTTACTTCTTAGGGAAAATGTTTTAGGTACCAAAATGTGCCACCTAGCAAATACGTGCAGCTGTACCTAGAACTCTCACACTCCTGAAGACCATCTCCTACAGCAGGAAAGATGAGCGCGCTCACCCTGCTCCCCCGGCTCCCCAAAGCACATGCCTGCCTCCCTCTGAGGGCTGTCGGGCTGAGCTGGTTCACCTAACCAAGGACGGCAGGCCTGCCAGCACCCACCCCACAACATGTCCTCAGGAGGCCACCAGAAGTTGGGGAGCTCGTCCTCGGCTCCAGCAGCCTGGGTCCTCACTGCCTGTGGGTGGTAGGGTGCTGACCTGTTCTCTCAAGAATGGCCAGGGAAGAAAATCCATCGCTGCCAGCTCTAGTGCCCGTGAGGTTCTTCAGGAGGACTTCCCTGTACAACGCCCTCAGACGCCATGGATGCTCGGCTGCCAGGATGCATTCCTTGTCCTTTATGCCCTCATTTGCTTCTAACTGGATTTTCTCCTCCAGGCCCTGTGCATGGCCTTGCGTGGGTTGGCCTTCTGGCTTCAGGACACACAGGTGCCAAAGGACAGACAGAGGCGCCCCTGCCTCTCCCAGGCAGGTTCCTTGGAGAGACCTCCCTGGAGGTTTGGGCACACACCTCCTGCTGCTCTGAACAGGACCCTGATGACCACTGCAGCGTGGGCTCAGGAAGGCCTGGCCTGCGCTCTTCATCCTAAACCAGCACCTCTCCTGTGGGATAGAGTTCCGCCCTTCCGGGCACCCGGATGCGAGACCCAGAGAGGATGCTGTGTGCTCCTCCTCCTATCGGTGAGCAAGCCCTGAGGAGCCCATCCCCTTGATGTCTCCAGCCAGTGCCTCGTTCTGTCCTCACAGATTTCAGCTGGACGATGACAATGAGCTGGTGTATGGGGCTCCCCTGTGCTGAGACTGTGCTTATCAGCTCAGGACCCTCAGTGTCCAGCCCTGGACCAGGTGCTTTAGTTCTGTTGTGTAACCCCTGACCCACCCCAGAAAGCATCAGTTCTCACCCAGGGGTAATTCTGTCCCCCTCAAGGAGACACTGGCAATGTCTGGAGACACTTTCAGTTGTCACAACAAAGAGGCTGGAGGGGCTGGGTGGAGGCCAGGATGCTCCTCGACATCCTGCGGTGCACAGGACAGCCCCAACAACAAAGGATCATCAGTCCAAGCATTAACAGGCCTGCCCTGGGAAGCCTTGCCACAAAGGAAGCTCTATTCTCTTTATTTCACAACTGAGGAAACTGAGGCTCTGGGCCATTAAATGGTTTATCCTAAGTCACCCAGCTGCAACTGGCCAGACCTGGAATTCACAGCCATGTCTGCCTGACTACTCCAGGGATGCTAGGATTCTTTCCACCAGGCTCATCAATCCTCTCCCCCAAATCCACATCAGCTCAGGTTTCTCCAGTCCTCTGAAACCTTCCACGGCCCCAGCTATACCCAACATGAAGTCCAATCTCCTCAGTTGGGCATTCAAGGCCCCCACGGATGCCTCTACTGGTCCAGCCCCTACCGCCCCTCTGCACTTCCCATTCCAAACTGACTGGGGTTTCCGGAACACAGGCCGAGCAGGCAGGACTGCACGCTGGCTTGCTGCGAAGCTCTCTGTATGAAAGACTATTTCCCACACCCTTCAAGACCTGCTCAAAAAACGCTGTCCCCTCTGTGGGGACCAGCCAGATCCCCTGAATCACAACCTATCTTTCTCTGCCCTGTTTCTCTAGGACATTCTTGATCTCACTGGAACCTTCAAAACAGGCCACTCCCCCATCCCTGCCAGCTCCCCAACAAGTCGGCAGAAGCATGCAGCACTCAAGTACCACTAAGCACGTGGGATCGACTTGTCCTTCCTGCTGCACTTTAAAGTCACGGAAGCCCAGGCTGGCCTGTGCAGCCACGCCCTTCTGAACTCTGGCTTCTCTGCCCACTGTTTTTTTACCACGATGACCAGCATCTAGGTCTGACACACTGTCCCTCTAAATGGTTCCTTTGACCCATTCCTGCCCACTCCAAGGGTGACAACTCTCAGTGGCCCTTGACAAAAGCAAACAGTGGCTGCTGGTCCCCATATGTGTCAAGGGCTGGAGAACTTTTGTGCAGGTGTTTTGGAAAGGGACCCTCAGTTCCAGGTAACAGTGCAGGTCAGAGCGTGGGGGTTTGCAGCGCTGCAGAGAAAGGTGATGCGACGCCTCCCCTCATCTCCATGCCTGCCTAGAAGGAGGGAATGGGACGGTCTGATCACAGCCTCACTCCTCCTCTCCAGGTGTCCCGAGCTCAGGCTCCCAGGGGACTGGGACACAGAGGCCTTCCAAGCAACCACAGGACGGCCTCTGCCTTCCTCCAGCTTCAGAGCCTGTCTCCCCGAGGAGTATCTAAATCGTTAATCCCACCCAATAATGCTAATCCCCGCCTGATATGGCCAGACATTGAAACCTGCTGATTTACAACATTCAGTTTCTAGATGTAACTTCCAACCAGGCTGGCATGTCTCAGCTCTGACTGGGGTACAGTTGAGGTTTTAAAAACCTCAAGGTCTTGTGACTGTGCAGTGCCTTAAAACCTCAGGAGTTAGGAGCTAGAAGGAGCCTGGAAGGTGGTATAGCTCCTCAATTTTTTTTTTTTTTTTTTTTTTGAGATGGAGTCTCACTCTGTCGCCCAGGCTGGAGTGCAGTGGCGCAATCTCGGCTCACTGCAACCTCCGCCTCCCGGGTTCAAGCGATTCTCCTGCCTCAGCCTCCCAAGTAGCTGGGATTACAGGCACCCACCATCATGCCCGGCTAATTTTTGTATTTTTAGTAGAGACGGGGTTTCTCCATGTTGGTCAGGCTGGTCTCGAACTCCCAACCTCAGATGATCCGCCCACCTCAGCCTCCCAAAGTGCTGGGATTACAGGTATAAGCCACCGCGCCCGACCAGCTCCTCACTTTCACCTTACAGATAAACACGTGGGCCTGGCTGTTCAGACAATGATGGTAAGACTGAGCCAGGACCAGGCATCCTGCCTCCCGGAGTCATGCTCTCCCATTGGGCCCTGTGATTTCTCCATCATGTTCACTTGGCAGTCTCTTCCTTCTCCCTGAAACACAGCTAACCAGGCATCCTCTTAACTGCCCTTTGCATCTCCTCTGCATAGTGTCTCCACATGGCCTTGGCTGTTATTACCCTAGGGTCCAAGGCCATGGCTATAGGTGTGCCCTGGGAACCCTTCTGCAATTGTCTATAAAATTCTGGGTTTTTTTTGTTTTTGTTTTTGTTTTGTACACAGAGTCTCACTCTGTCGCCCAGACTGGAGTGCAGTGGCGCAATCTTGGCTCACTGCAACCTCTGCCTCCCGGGTTCAAGCGATTCTTCTGCCTCAGCCTCCCAAGTAGCTGGGACTACAGGCACACGCCACCACGTCCAGCTAATTTTTTGTATTTTAGTAGAGAGGGGTTTTACCGTGTTGCCCAGGCTGGTCTCGAACTCCTGAGCTCAGGCAATCATCTGCCTGCCTCAGCCTCCCAAAGTGCTAGGATTACAGGTGTGAGCCACCACGCCCAGCCTAAAATTCTTCTATGCAGACATTTTCCTGCAAAACTGATCTGTGACTTCTGATTCTCAAGGAGGTTAGAAACAGCATCAGCATCACCTAGAAAGTTGGGAAAAATGCTAATTCTTAGTCCCCACCCCAGACCTGCTGCATCAGATGCTCTGGGGGTGAGGCACAGCCATCTGTGTGTTAGCCAGGGCTCTAGTTGACTCTCGCGCATGCCAAGTCTGAGAAGCACTGCTTAACAGTGGCTGTAGTGCAAGCACAGCTGGGCGCTGCCACTCCCTACCCACTGGATCAGTGGCGGAGCCGGGCCCTCTGGCTCTCTGCAGCTATGCATCAGCCTCTTGTGTAGCACAGTGCTGTCTCTAGCCTCCTCCCAGAAGCCGGGCGTGGGCTCCATCAAGCAGGCTCCCCGCTGAGCCCCCTCTCCCTCTCTTCAGTACAACAGGCCACACAGGCCACACAAGGAAACTCAGAAGTTGCTCCCCAGCTGGGCCACACTCCTTGCTTAATCAAGGTGCCTGTTTGCGGTGTTTTGTCCATGGTCTGCTTGGAGCAAGTGCCTGCCTCAGGAAGAGAAGCTTCTAGGCAAAATGAGTCCTCTGTCGTTTTTTTAAAAACTATGGCTCTATATCAGAGTCCTCAATCTTGAACAGTCAAGTCAAGGGAGAGGCTCAGGACCCAGCCCTCAGGACCAGAGGCTCAGAATGGCCAGGGGACTAAATGACCCACTTTCTCAAGGGTTCTGTGGTTAGGTTTGGCTCCTTGGCCTAACCTTGGCCGGTCTCTAGGCCAGCCTGAATTTGACTCCAAATCCTGGCTGCCTCGGTAGTTAAGAAAGCAGGTAAGGTAATGTTCCAGGCCTCTCTGCGGCATATCCCAGACCCCAGGCCCCTTGGGGGCTGGGCATAGGCTGGTAGCTCCCCGTGAACTCTGCTGGCATCTCTGATGCAAGCACAGCAGCTGTCAGAGGTCAGGTCTGCTCTTCCCTCCATGGCCCTAAAAGTGGACAGAGCTTGTCCAGAGAGAGGTGGGCGAAGCTACCAGTATGCTAAGGAGCTGCAGAGTCAGCCAAGAGAAACCCTCGATGGGCAAAGGGAGAAGGGAGACGAGGAGGAAAGGAGCAGGAGGGGAACAGGAGGGAGGGAAGAGGACTGGCTTCCCTTAGGGACAGAGTGAGGAGGCGGAGCCACGGCCCCGCCGCAAATCAATACACCAGCACTTAGCAAATGCTCGCTCTGCCAGAGCACACCAAGGCAGCACGGGGCTGGTGGCAGCAGGCAGCCTCTGGTGTGGGCTTCCGGGATGCCTTTCCCCACCACAGCCCTTTGAGCATCCTCCCTGCCTGACCTCTCGCAGCAGGCTTCCAAGCTGGGAGGGCTGGCTACAGAGGAGCTAGAGCTTCTCCTATTACAGCATGCTGCTGAGGCTCTGGATTTTTCCCAGAGGTCTAGAAACCTCCACATTCCAACCAGGGACCGTTGTCCCACTGAAGGGTCATCTCTGGCCCACCACCTCCTGGGATCATTCTTTCGCTGAGCAACCCTGAGTTTCTGTCAGTGACAGAGAAGGGCTCTGGGGGGAGCCAGTGTGTCTCCCAGGGCTGAGGAGCAGCAGGGTTTCACTCTAGAACCAGGACCGTCCTGGGAACCCTTTGTTAAAAGTCCTGCCAGCAGGAGTCTCCGTGGCAGCTATGTGGATCGGGGCTTTCCCTTGACACAGTGCTCCTCACTAGGGATGGTCTTCCCCTCCTGGGCACACTGAAATCTGGAGACTTTTTTTTATTATCAAGACTGGGGAGGAGGAGGTGCTCCTGGCATCTAGCAGGTGGAGGCCAGGGATATTGCTCAACATCCTACAGAGCACTGGATGGTCTCACACAATAGTGAATAAACAGCCCCAAATGTCAACAGTGCTGATACTGGGGAAACCCTGGTCTAGAATCTAGCAAATCCTTGCAGCCCCGAGGTTTAAGAGGAGCGCTGGGAGGTCAGGGCCCAGATCCGGGTTGGATCATCATGAGTTCACTCCTGCTGAGGGGGCAAGGACCATGGGAAAGGCAAGGAGCCTGACTGAGCAAGGGGGCCCAGATGCTGCCCCCACCTCTCCGGACCATGATAGACAAGCCCTGGCATAATACACAGACCCCCGTCCCCAGACCCAGAAAATCGAGGCGTTTGGTACTACCAGCTCCCTGCTGCTCCAGCCCCAGGTGGGCTCCTGGCTTTTGGGCCCTCTCCCTGTGAGCCCTGAGACAGACAGATAGATGTGGAGATGAGGCTGTAGCCGGGCTCCTGGGGCCCTCTGGACTCACCTGTCCGGTGGCCTGGCCCGAGCCATCCGAGCACACAAACTGCACAAACTCCTTCAGTGAGTCCTGCCCGTGGTGGTGGTGGTAGCGGATGGTCGGGTGCGTGAAATACGGGCTCGACTGCTGGATGATGGACGTGGAGGGGAAGTGCAGGGCTGATGCTGTGGCCCGGGGGCTCCCTGCATGCACGTGGGCAGGGAAAAAAGGGCGTCAGGGCCAAGGAGGCAGCCAGTGGGAGGGACAGGAGAGGAGGGGAGCTGCCGGTCAGAGGGTCCTGAGGATCCTGAGCAGGTAAGGCAGCCGCCACAGGCACAAAAGTTAAGGCGGCACAAAAAAGTCAGTCATCAGGATCCATGATGTTTTAATGCAATACAAAAATAATAATAATAATAATAATCAAATAGGCAAACTAGGGTCCAAAGGCCAGCCATTTGTTTTTGTAAATAAAGTTTGATCACAACCAGCGCTGGGAGATTAGGATGAGGCAGATGAGGCAGGGTAGGATCTTGTCTTTATTTTATTTGGCTTTTTAAAAAAGTGTTATTATTATTATTTGAGACAGGGTCTCGCTCTGTCATCCAGACTGGAGTGCAGTGGCACAAACACGGATCACGGCAAGCAATCCTCCTGGGCTCATGCAATCCTCCCACCTCAGCCCCCCAAGTAACCAGCACTACAGGTGCACGCCACCAGGCCTGGTAGATTTTTGCTTTTTTTTTTTTCTAGAGATGAGATTTTGCCATATTGTCCTGGTTAATCTCAAACTCCTGGGCTCAAGTGATCTGCCTGCCTTGGCCTCCCAAAGTGCTGGGATTACAGGCATGAGCCACTGTGCCCAGCCTAAAGAATTTTTTTTTTTGAGACTGAGTCTCGCTCTCTCACCCAGGCTGGAGTGCAGTGGTGCGATCTCAGCTCACTGCAAGCTCTGCCTCCCGGGTTCACGCCATTCTCCTGCCTCAGCCTCCCGAGTAGCTGGGACTACAGGCGCCCACCACCACGCCCGGCTAATTTTTTGTATTTTTAGTAGAGACAGGGTTTCACCGTGTTAGCCAGAATGGTCTCGATCTCCTGACCTTGTGATCCGCCCACCTCAGCCTCCCAAAGTGCTGGGATTACAGGCGTGAGACACCGCGCCCAGCCAGTATCTGTTAAATAGAGACAGGATCTCGCCCTGTCATCCAGGCTGTAGTGCAGTGGCATGATCACAGCTCGCTGCAGCCTCGAACTCCTGGCCTCAAGCAGTCTTCCTGCCTTGGCCTCCCAAAGTACAGGGATTACAAGCATGAGCCACTGTGCCCAGCCTCAACATTTTAAACCATTTTAAACAAAGACATGGCTGAGTGCTGTGGCTCATACCTGTAATCCCAGTGCTTTGGGAGGCCAAGGTGGGAGGATCACTTGATCCAGGAGTTGGAGGTCAGCCTGGGAAACATAACAAGACCCCGTCTCTACAACAAACATTTAAAAATTAGCCAGGGTGGCACACAGGAGGGATCACTTGAGTCTGGGAGTTCAAGGCTTCAGTGAGCTATAATCGTGCCACTGCATTCAGCCTGAGTAATAGAGCAGGAAACTGTCTTTGAAAAAAGAAAAAGAAAAACAAACAAAAAAACTGGTGTTTGCTTACCATACCCTTTTTTTTGCAATAGTTTGGATTTTAAAACATATTCCATTAAAATATTATTTATCTTGATGACTGAGTTTTTGATACTTGCTGACACTCTGCACCTAAGGTGAGTGCCTCACTAGCCCTGCCTTAATTCAGGCCCTGGGTGGGAGACTGGGTGGGGGACAAGAGGAGGCAGAGGGTTCCCTGGGGCTCTGGATGAAGACAAAGCCAGCATCTGCTCAGGATGGCCGTCTGACATATGCACACACATCTCCTGAGTGCGAGCTGGTGTGCACCCAGCCACCGCCACCTAGGCGGTGTTCTCATGTGCTCAGCCTCATCACTCACACACGTGTCCTCACATACGCGTCCTTGCACACGCAATTCCCAACCCAGAGCAGGCCCCAGCTCTTCCTCCTCCCGTCTGTTTCCAATCAGCTCGCTCTTGCTCTCGGTTTCATTAGGGGGCTGAGGAAACTTGGCTTCTCTCTGGAGTTCATAAAAGCTGAGGTGGAGCCGGAGGAGCCAGGCCTGCGCCCTCCTGCTGCCTGTGTAGAGGGCCTGGGCTCCCCACCCCCACCTCGCGGCCACCACACCCTGCCCCAGCACCGGCTGCCTCTGGGCTCCCAGCCAGGAGGCCCCAAGGAGGAAGCCAGGAGGTAAACCTCCTCATTTTCTGTGTCCTACATACGAGCCCAGGAGATGGCAGGCGGACATAGGGCCATATCCAGAAAAAGTCCAGGCCTCTTGCTGCCAGGTGGGTGCCCAGAGAGGGAAGAAGAAAGTGAAGGAGTGACAGGGCTGAGGTCTCAGCTCCCACAGCCTCCTGCCTGATCCTATCTCCTCAGGGCGATCTAGGTGTTCTCATCCTGAGCACCTTCTCAACTGGGACACTGAAGTCAGAGAGCAGCCCCACGGCAGTGGGCAGTTCCTTTTCCTGGGGAGCAGCCCAGGTACCACCTGTCCCCTAGACCCAGCCCTTCCTTTCTAGAAAGCGGCAGGGAGGCCCAGACAAGGTAGCTACTTGCCGCAGGAGCCTGGGCTCCTTAGGAGTACTCTTCTCCATCCAGGCCCCACATCAACCTGGGCTCATGCTGGCAAAAATCCAGAGCCTGGGCTCAGCCAGGAGCTGGGAGAGAGGAGCCGGCAGGAAGGCAGAGCAGAAGGCTGTGCCTTCCCGCTCACAGCTGGCAGGACAAAAGGAGAACTGGGCCAGAGTTGGGGAGGACTCGGGACAGGCTTGTGTTGTATGTAGCACCCATGCACGTGAGGAGTGAGAAGTGGGAGGTTGCTCAGGAGCCAGGTGGGCAGCCCAGGGGCCCGGCCTGGTCCTCGATGAGGTGCTACGTGAAGCAGGGGCCGGCTCCCATGCCCACCCGCTGCTGCACCTTGGCCCACTTGGAGAGCGTGGGGCTGTCACTCGGGGTCAGCTCTGGCCCCTTCACCTGGCCAGCTGCCCCTAGATACTCAGCCACCTCCCCAACTGCCCCCCTCCGGGGCCCCCCATTTCTCACCTGGTCTGACTCCAGCAAGCACAGGCAGCGGGTGGTGGGTGAAAGCCATGCGCGGGGAGCTGCCCTGAGAGGAGAGGGCACTGCAGAAGTCCAGCTTTCCTGACTTCTTTAGAGAAGCCGGGCCTGGGGGGAGGAAGCAGCAACACAGGGCAGGTTTAGCTGGGCTGGGGTGGGTGCGGGGAAGGCGGGAAGCCAGCAGCTCGCTCCTTCTCTCCTCAGCCCCTCCCCACTGCCCCTTCCTCCACTGTGCTCCCTCCTGCTGCTCCTTGCCCAGTCCCAGGCCTTGTTCTAGGCCTGGTTCCGAGGCCCTGTGTGTAGGCCAGCCAAGGGGTGCTTCTAACCAGAGAGGAAAACGAGGCCCCTGGGTAATGTGGGGTGGTGTGTGCCAGGCAGGGGGTGAGCAAGGGCCCCAGCCTATGCCCTGGCAAGCAGGTAATGAAGTGAAAGGGTGGGATGCAGGACCAACATTGGGAAAGGAGTGCAGGAGGAACCCCAGGGCGCCAGCTTGAGAGCCGGGAAGGGGTAAGTTTGGGAGGGACAGGCTGGGGTCTATGCCATGGTGCCCGGGGCCATGGGAGGTTCTGGTGGGAAGAAGCCAGGGCCCCGTTTAGGGAAGGGAGCACACAGCCATGAGCCCTCAGGAGGGACACAATGCCCAGCGAGAGAGCAGGGACAGAGGCCAGAGGACCTGGAGAGTCCTTGGGCTGCTCAGGCCTAGCCGGGCTGTGCAGGCAGAGCCAGAGGGGAGAAGACTCCCCCAGCCAGGGGACCCAGAAGCTCAGCTGCCATAGGATGGATAATTTCAGGGCTCTGCCCTGCTTCTGGTGCCAGAGGTGTGGGTGGCATTCAGCATGAAACAAGGGCACAGAGAACACCTTGTTTGAAGTCTGTCTTTAGAAATTCATCTCTGCCCAGTGGCCATAGCATCCAAATGACAAAGCAGGGCCCCCAGGGGGCCAGGTTCTTCTGGAAAGATCAGCTCCCATCTTGGGCTGAGCTTTAAGGTTGTGCCCAGGCTGGGAAGGATAAGGTAGAGTTGGGGCAGATCTCACAGCTGCCACCCTTGGAGGACAAATCAAGTCAGTTTGGGTGAGGGGTGGAGGGGCTGCAGAACAGAGAAATAAAGAGCCATCTTAACTGCAGAGGGAAGGGGCGGGGGAAGGGCGAACTCCCAGCCGCCAGCGGAGGTGTTATCTGGCAGCAGCTGTGTGCCACCTGATAGCTGGCACAGTGGGGAGGGGGGAGCATCCTACCAGCTGTGCACAGCTGTCCCCATGGCCGCACAGTGCCTCCCCAGCTGTTCCCTGTCCTGCAGCTGGGCTGCTTAATTGGCAATTTGTTGCAGCCCATGAAAACAACACACAGCGGGGTGAGGGGAAAAGGGAGCCGGAGGGTGCTGCAGGAGGATGTTGAGGGGCCGTGCGTGGCAGGACTGCCGGAAGGAGCAGAAATGCAGAAATGGCAGGCGCAAAAGCAGACAGCCAAGAAAGGAGAGAGCAGGAGCCAGGAAGAGGGGGGCTCCTCAGGAATTAGGTCTGGGCACAGGAGCCCAGGAGCCCTTGCCCCAGGAGCCAGCTGCAGACACAGTCCTCTATGCACCCCAGGGGCAGTCCTTGCAGAAGGGGTCACCTACTGAGGCCCCGGCCAGGGACCCAGGATGTAGCCCAAGAGTCTCCCGGGCCTTCTCAACTCCTCTCTCTGCCTCTCAAGGCTCCCCTAGGGAAGCATGTGGCCCATGCTGGCCCAAGTCCCTGCCTGCCACGAGGAGAGCCTGGGAGGGGCCCCAGAGTCACGCAAGGAAGCCTTCTCACAGAGGCCAGCCTCTGCTGGCCATCTAGAGGGTCTCCAGCCCACTCCCTCAGCCTGAGGCCTGGAGGCGAGCCCTCCTTTCCTCCTCCCAGGAGGAGGAGAAGCTGCCAGAACTTGCATTCGTTCTGGGGCAGCAGAAAAGCAGGAGTGCTTCCCAGCCCCACCTCGCTCCACCCCAGACTCTGCCTGCCCACTTGGCCCTTCCCAGTAGGGGCATATCTGGAAAACATCAGACAAAGTACCATTAGGTCAGACCCTCACCTTTTGGAGGAGGAGAATGATGCCCAGGGCCCAGGCCTGTCCAGAGCAGCCATGCCCTGTGCACAACCCACACGCGTGAGTCTGCACTCCCAGGCCCTGTCACACCCACAGTGAGGATAAACACGGGCTGTACCACTGGCACGTCAGCGGGGGACTCTTGCGGCCAGCCTCCTCACACACATGTGCTCATGCACATGCACACACACACACGCACGTGTTACATGCTGTCTTCCAGAGTCCTCTCTAGGTCTGTCTGCACCCTCAGTCAAGAATGGAGGTGAAGGGGGGTGGGTTCAACAAGAAGAAGATCCCTAGAGGAGACTGGGAAGGTCTGAGCTGGCTTCCTCTGTACTCTCTCCCCTTCGCTAGCTTCCCTACCTGGTCTCAAAAGGACTCTGCTCATTCTTCACTAGACTCTGAGCCTCTCTCTGTGAAGCTGGGCCCTTGAGACCAGTGGTTCTCATCCTGGGAGGATTCCATCCCACTAGGGAACGTCTGACAATGTCTGGAGGCGTTTTTGGTCATCAAAACTGGGGGTGGGGGTTTTGCTGCTGGCATCTTGTAGGTGGAGGCCAGGGATGCTGCTAAACATCCTGCCATGCACAGAACAATCCCCTACACAGAATGATGAGCCCCCAGGGTGAGAAACTGCTTTCAACCATGAGGCCACGGGGTGGGGCAACCTCTAGAGAAATACCAGGAGGGGCTGCGGCCATCCCACTGTGGGGCACCAGAGGCTTGGCACCCCCTCTGCTTCCCACCGCCATACCACGGGCTCTGCTGCTGACTCTCACAGCACCCCTCCTCACCCTCACCTCCACTCCCTTCCTTCAGCCTGCTCTGCCCTCCCTGGAAGATCAGGAGGCAAGAAAACAGATGGGTAATGCCCCCCGACAGGGGGACAACTGGTGGGAGGCTCACCAGGTGAACTGAGAAGGGGACAAAAAGACTCTGGGCTGCCCTTGCTCTGGGTCAGGATCCCCCGCACCCATACCTGCATCCACATCGTTGGGCCACCCGCTGGACTGGCTGCTGCCAGCTGCTGGGGAACGGCCTGTCCCGGGATAGAACACGTCATCAACAGGGCTCTCCATCTCACTGTCATCGATGGACTTGGGGCGCTTGGTGGTGCTGGGGAAGAAAGAAAGGGTCACATGGGCCAAGGATGGGCTGAGGCTCCAGGGAGTGACCAAGAGTCCAGGCTAAAGAACTGTGCATAGATGGCCCTCTGGGTGGGGAGTGGTGCCGGCCGACAGCAGCATTTCTGGGCACTCACTGCGTGCCCAACCCCAAGATCAGCCCTAGGGCCCCTCAAGCCATCAGCTTCAACCTGCTCCTCTTCCTCAAGCCCCTTCCCAATCTGTGATGCCACGGTCCTCCAAGCTGCCCACATCAGAGAAGTCGGCAAAACCCTCAGCTGCCTCCTGTATCCCACCTATGATTTCCTGGCAGCCCCCAGGGCTAGGGTGAGGTGAATGACGTACTCACAGGGACAAAAATGTCAGAGGGACAAAAATGTCAGGGGGACAAAAATGCCATAAAACTCAGTCATCAATATAAAGAATATTTTAGTTCCTTTTTTTTTTTTTTTTTTTTTAGATGGAGTCTCGCTCTGTCACCCAGGCTGGAGTGCAGTGGCGTGATCTCAGCTCACTGCAAGCTCCGCCTCCTGGGTTCACACCTTTCTCCTGCCTCAGCCTCCCAAGTAGCTGGGACTACAGGTGCCCACCACCACGCCTGGCTAATTTTTTGTATTTTTTAGTAGAGATGGGGTTTCACCGTGTTAGCCAGGATGGTCTCAATCTCCTGACCTCGTGATCCGCCCATCTCGGCCTCCCAAAGTGCTGGGATTACAGGCGTGAGCCACCGAGCCTGGCCTAGTCCCATATTTTTAAAAAATCAAAATGAATGCCAAAAATCTCGCAATTAATATAAACACCCGTTTTAAAAAAAAAAAAAAAGTGGAGTGGACCCTGCCCAGCACAACTTGCCCTGGCCAGAACCCACATCCCTGCCTCCCAAGCAGCTCCCTCCCTCTCCATCCACCCCACCCTCCAGGCCCTCCCCCACTCTAGCCTTTCCAATGGCCTCCTAACTGGCTATCAGTCCCGCCCACACACACTGTTGCTGGAGAGAGCTTTCTGGAACACACACCCTCAGCATCCCCTGCTTAAAACCCCTCAGGGGTCCCCACTACCCAGGGATGAAGTCTAAATGCCTTCTTCTGGCCTCCAAAGCCCTCTGCAGGGTGCCCCGCCAGCCTGTGCAGGCTGAACTGGGATACAGGCTACCCTCTTCTCCTGGAACATTTTCCCCATACCCCCCAACAACCCCCTCTGTGTCTGGGCTCAAATGTCACCTCCCCAAGACAGAGACCTTCTTGGACTCCCACTTCCAGGCAAAGCGATGCCTTGTGCGAGTTTGTGTCCCCAGGGCTGGGTCCTTCATGACAGCACAAAGCAGCTCAGTGGGTGACTGCGCATGGTGGACTCTAAAGTGTTAGAGCCAGTGCCCTCAATGAGAGAGGTGACATTCTGAAGCACCCTAGCCTCAGTGACACAGCTGACTATAGCCACTGGGACGGCCCTGGCCCTGGGGGGAGTGGAGAGAAGATGGAAAGGCAGGGCCACTGGGCTTACCTGGTGGAAGGAGGGGAGGTGATGGACCGCCGCCCCAGGGTCACCTGGTTGATGTTGTAGTAGCTGGGACTCTCCAGGTCCGCCAGGGAGAAGTTGGGCCCTGATGCTGTTGCAACAGGAGCTGGGAAGAACGAGAGGGTGATGAGGTTTGGAGGTGGGGGGAGGCCTGATGGGGTCTGTTTCTTTGTCATGAACAGCTTCCCAGAAGCCCAGGGTGAGTTTACTGTGGGGCCAGGAGATGGGAGAAAGTGGGCCATCTGGGCTGCTGAGGAACCTCCTCCCAGCTAGTGGGTCACAGAAGAGCCTTTGGTTGTGACTTTTTCTTTTTCCTCCAAAGCAATGGAGACTGGAGACAGGCCTCTCTGGAAGACTCTATTGTACCCAGCCCAGCACCAGTGAAGCCGAGAGTGTCCCAGAAAGCATCTGTTCCCATCCACCTGCCCTAAGACCCCATTAGGAGGACATCCCATGAGGTCCCACCTCCTCACTTTCAATCCCCATCCCTGGCCTGGAAGGAAGGACTCACTTACTCTGTGATACTCTCACCAGCTCCGTCACATTCCAGACCCCGGAAGTCACAAAACAGTCCTGGAAACTTAAGTGCCCTGAAGAGGGGAAAGGATGAGTGAGTCAAGACAAGGCCAGAAGGGGGCTGCCTGGCTATTTCCAAAGGTCTTCCACACTGTTGCTTCTCCCTCCCAAGTCCCGTTTCCAGCTCCAGGCTAGCCCTCAGGTCTACACCGAACAGGGGGGATCCTCTAGGTGTGCCCCCATCCCCTCAGGACAGCAAGCTAAGCTCAGTCAAGGGACAGCTGAATGAAGGGGAAGAAGTGAGGGTGGCCAGGGCAGCCAGGGTGGGGGAAGGAAGTGGAGGGGCATGAAGGATAAGGGCAGCTGGGCAGGTGGGGGGCACTGACCGTTGGGCAGTGGTTTGATGTCCGCATCTCCTTGCTGGTTTGAACTATCTGATTGTCCGGATTCTGCAGGAGACACAAAAGGGGAGAATGTATCAGGAGCAAAGTTCCCCATAAGCACCAGCCAAGCATTGGCCCCTCCAGCCTGGTGCAAGAGCAGGGACGGCCCACCCTGGCTACAGAAACCTTCACCCCACCCTCTCCCCAAACCAGCCCCAGGAGGCTCCGGGAGACCCAAAGCAGAGAAGGAAAGACAGGCCCAGTGCAGGTTTCTCAGCCTCAGCACTGCTGACATTTGGCCTGGATTGCTCTCTCTGGTGGGGACCATCCTGTGCACTGTGGGGTATCTGAGCAGCATCCCTGGCCTCCACCCACTAGATGACAGTAGCACCCCAGTTGTGACAACCCAAACTGTCCCAAGACATTGTCCACTGTGCCCTTAAGGGCAAAGTCACCCTCAGGTAAGAAGCACCGGCCAAGAGTCAGGAGCAAAGAGGGGTCCCAAGAGAGAAGTCAGAGACCATCTCTCTCCACAGCGGGGACAGACCCAAGGGTCCCCCATCCCCCACCCAGCTCCAGCTCCCAGAGGAGCATCCCCTTCCCTAACTTGGTTAATTGAAGCCATTCCTGTCTGCCTGCGCCTCCCCCACCTCACCTTTATGCTCAGAGGCAGTGCCTGGCAACCCAGAGGGGGGAGGTCTGCCCTGACGCTGTCGCCCGCTCTGTGCCAGCCTGTCTGGGCTGTCTCATGCCCCGGTGCCACAGCTGCTCAGAGGGAGCCCCGAGACAAGGGCTCATTGTGCAGTGGGAGCTCACAGAGGGCTGGGGGCAGGGTGGAGTGTGTGTGTGAATATTTTGCTGAGCTTGGGAAAGCCCCCCACCCTGGTCCCCCTGGTCCTCAAAGCTTTGTGTGCCAGGGGCACAACGGGGACCTCCAGAATGCCTGCCTGGGCATGACAGCTGGCGAGAGGGTGGTGGAGGGGGGCCAGGCAGGTTGTGGGGCAGGAGGAAGCCAGGCATTTGGTGAAGAATCAGCTGCTCACAGGGGGACCACATGGGGGTGGCATCTGAAAAACGTGCCTTGGTATTGGCCAGGGCTTTGCCCGACTTTAAAGAGCATTCCTGCCTCCTGGGTCTCGCCACCACCCTGATTCAACCTGCTGGCCCCCACCATAAAGGAGGTTCACAAAAGGTGACATCAGCCCTAGGGTTGGGGTGAGGGACCCCATCAGTCACTTGGGAGGCAAGGAACAGAGCTGGGTTCTGGGGCTGGAGGGCAGGATGCAGCCCACCCGGGTGGCACCCCTGCTTGCAGCATGAGGGCCCCACCATGTCTGGGGCTGAAAGCACTGGCCATGCTCCAGGCTGCCTGCCTTAGTGTAATGGGTAAAAAAGGGTGACTGTTTCAGGCTCCACTTCCCCTCCACCCCATCCCCACTTAACTTTTGATTTTTTAATTCCAAAAAATAAATACTATTGTAGCGAGTCAAGAAAAAGTAGTTCTTTTTAATACGGAAAGTGCTAACAAGTGCTTTTAATATGGAAGGATATACTTCACCACCTCTGGTTTGGGGTGTATCCTTCCATACCTCCCCTTTCGCTCAGCCCTGGTGGTGTGTTTGGCAAAAGAGGTTCCCACCCTGAGCCATCTCTTTGTTAGTGGCACTCTCTGCTCTGGAGGAAGCCTACCCATGTTCCCTGAGAGGGCAGCCTCTCTGTGCCATAGCATGGTGTGAATGTGAACTTTCTTGATACTACCTCACTCTTTCACCTTGGCCCATTGCTGGGTTTCTGGGTCTGATTTGAGCCCCAGCCAGTCCGGGAGTGACAGCCAAGAGGTCTACGGAGCAGGCAGCCCACCCCAGGGCCTCCTCAGACCCCAGTCCTGTGGTTGCTCTAAATCATGGCTCAGGAAGGGCACAACCTCAGGACCCATGTGCAGAGCTCAGCGAGGGTCACGTGGTCCCCACTCTGCTGCCCAGGGGTCTCTCTGCTATGAACCCCACTCATCCTAGGGACAACTTGGTCCCCACCAAGCCCTCCAGAGCTGGATCAGTGGAATCAGGGGAAGAAGGAGGAAGCTTCACAGTCCACCCCATGGGAGCGGCCCCTACCCACTGCGAAAGACCAAGTGGAGATGGCAAGTCATGTGCCCGTGCACACGCGTGTGGATGCGCATGCGCGTACCCAGCCCAGGGACAGCCGAGAGGGAACCCGACAAAGAGATGGAGGTGGGCCAGCGACTGAGGCAGAGACAAATAGGGCTCCAGGAGAGCGCGACAGACAGGAAATCCTTCTAAATCAGGACACAGCCCCAAAACGTTATTGCTGTTATTACTATTAGCTCTGTGTAAAGGAGCAAGTGGGAGCAAGGATCCGGTGCGAGTGCAGCCCCTGCCACGCGCCTCCGGGCGCTGCTCCGGGCGCTGCTGGCAGCCATTTTAGACCTTGGCAGCCATCTTACGGCTGGCGGCCTCAGCCGGAGGCCCACAATGCCGCGACCGCCGGCCCCTGACATGCTCAGCTCAGCTCCAGGACAAAAGGCAGAGACATGGGAAATCTGGACCCAGGCTCAGAGGCACAGGAGCCAGGCCTGCGGCCGGGGCAGCTGCAGCCAGGGCCCCACTGATCTGCTCAAGTGGTGTTCTCCTTCTCCCCGCTGGCCAGCACAGTGAAAGGAGCAGGGAAGGCTGAAGCCAGGGGCAGGGGACACCGCAGCTCTACTCAAAGGTGGCTAAAGTCCTCACAGGCCATCTCTAGCCAGGGCCTTAACTAGCTCAGCAAGAGTAGACCCCTGCCCCGATAGGGCCGCAGGCACCTCGGGACACCAGGGATGTGACGGGGGAAGGTCTCTGAGCACCCTGTCAGCTCGGGGATGTGCCTTGGATAGATAGAGGAAGGAGGCTGGCAGGAACCAGCCAGTGGCTGCAGGGCCCAGAGAGGCCACTAGGTCCATGGTGAAAGGGCTCCTGGGGAGGCAGCTCCTGGGGAGGCAAGGAGACGTCCTGCCCACCAGAGGCACAACGTGGGCCAGCTTTCTTACCTGGCAGGCTCTTTGGGGAGCCTTGCCTTGAGGTCTACACCTGCTCTGGACAGGTGACAGGAGCTGCAGAGCATCTCCATGTCGTGACTGCCTTCCCTGTCTGGGCTTCCCCGGGGGAGGGGATAACCCTGGGATTTGGGACAGAAAGGAGGAAGGCCCCTTTAGGATGCCCCTCCCCAGGCCCTGCCTCGTGGCTGCTCTGCTTTTATCTGGCAGAATGGGGCTTATCAGAGCCACCAGCTGAACAAATACACAAATCCACGGTTAGTGAGAAAAAACACTCTGCCTGAATTCTTTATCTCCTGTTCGCAGGCCCCGCACACTGCCCACTGCCAACACCACAGGAGGGGACCTGACTGCAGCACAGCAGGGCTCTGTTCTCCACTCTGAAGGTGGAGGGCAGCCTCCCGGACTCTGGCCGGGCCTCCCACTCAGTCTCCACGCTCTGTCTCTTGGCCACCCCCACTTCTTTCCTCCTCGCCCCTGAGCCCGGGGTGGCTCTGCCCTGGCAGTCCCTGCCAGGCAGGCGTACATGAGTGAGCCCCTGCCCACAAGGGAGCCCCCTCCAGTGTCTGCTCTCTCACTGGGGACAATGGGCCAGCTGGTGGCCTATGGGCCAGTGGAGGGGCAGGGACAGTGTTGGCTGGCACAACGCGGGCAGGTGCCGGGCTCCATCTTTCATCTTTTATCCTCTGTCATCGGCCGACACCCCCGAGGACTGTCTCTCTGATTCCCCAGTCTTCTGGGGCCATGTCCCCTGGAAGCCTTTCTGGCCTCAGGCTTCTTTCCAGCCTGCTTGCCAGCCAGTGGGGACACTAACTGTGCACCCCCAAGTTCAGGGCCACCCAACCACCCTCCCAGTCTCTTCAGGGACTGTGGCTCCCAGCGCTCCCTGGAGATACTGGTTGGAGATGGGATAGAGTGGGTGCTGCTGCTTCCCCTCGCCCCACACCAACTCAGAGTTTCCCTCCATGCTGGTGCTGGAAGCTGGAGAGTTCTTTCTGTGCTCTTAGCTGCTTCCCACTTGGCCCATCAAATGCAGCTGCCTAAAACCTGAGCCCAGCCGCTGTGTCCGACAGGTGCCTTGGCCAGGCTGGCATTCGGGGTCCCTGGTTTCTGGGCCAGGCTAGGGGAGGGAGAGTATCTCAGAGCCCACAGCTCATTCTCGATGCTGTTTGGGGGTGTCAGGCTGGCTCGTGTCACACAAACACGCAGCTCTGCGGGCTGTCCTTCTCTGGGGACCTGGGCTACTCGTGAGATCCATGTCTCTGAGGCAGAGGCCTCCCCTGCCCATGGTTCTGGCCACTTTGCAGGCTTCTGGAAGGGAGGGCTACGAAGGAGCAGGCAATAAGACTGGACTCCCTCCGCATGGGCCCAAGTGGGCTCTGCTGAAGAAGCCTTTGAAACGGGATTTGGCTCCAGGTTCTGGGGCCACTCTGTATTCATCTGCACACCACTGGTCATTCCACAGCAACAACAGCTTGTGGGCTGGAGGCCTCTGGCAGTGCCCAGACCAGAGCCAGGCTGAGCCAAGTGGCCACTCTGGGCCCCTCTCTTCCTTGGGGGCCCCTCAGTAACCTCTGGAACAGCCACAAAGTTCTCCTGCAAAATTGCCCTTCTCACACCCACACCAGCTCCCCTTCTCAGCCCCTGGAACAAGTCCCCACCTTACTTCTTTTATTCAGCTGCCTTTCCCCTTGGATCCCCATTTCTGATCTTACTTCCCTGTCTCCCTTGGCTCCCCTCCCTCTGTCCTTCCTTTGCCTCCCCCTCACCTCTTCAGCACCCCCCTCTTCCTTCTGCTGTTTGCAGGCACGTGTGCTTGTGCGTGTTTCCAAGAGGACACTGCCTCTTCAGTAGAGCTCTGGAGGGGAAGCTCCAGCAGCCAGGAGGAGCCTGGGATTGCACATAAACTCCAACTGACAGCATGTTTTTGTTTTTTGTTTTTGTTTTTGTTTTTTTTTTGAGATGGAGTCTTGCTCTGTCACCCAGGCTGGAGTGCAGTGGTGCGATCTCGGCTCACTGCAAGCCCCACCTCCTGGGTTCACGCCATTCTCCTGCCTCAGCCTCCCGAGTACTGGGAACTACAGGCACCTGTCACCAGGACCAGCTAATTTTTTGTATTTTTAGAAGAGACAGGGTTTCACAGTGTTAGCCAGGATGGTCTCGATCTCCTGACCTGGTGATCCGCCCGTCTCAGCCTCCCAAAGTGCTGGGATTACAGGCGTGAGCCACCGTGCCCGGATGCATGTTTTTAATATATATATATATATTTTCCACCTACAGATGGGGAGGTAGTTATGGCTCCCACTAGGGTGAGGGAGGAATTCCTGCTGGCTACAGCCAACACTGCCCTCAGCTCCTGCTCGAAACAAACTTGTACTGTGAAAGGGGCCATGTATAATTTGCTGGCCAATTGCCCCCACGGACTTTGGCCTAACAAGTTTTATGGAGGCTGAGGGGTGTGCACAGATTTGGCCTTAGCTGAACCCACATATGCATACCCAGGTATGTGCATACACTTGGATGCATACACTCATATGCTCAGACTCAGACACACACATACACACACACACACACACACACGCACACACACACACACACACGCGCGCACACACACGGAGGTGCCACTAACCACTTCTTGCCGTCCAGAAAGGGTGGAGTGAGATGGTACATCTGGAGCCACCAGAGAGGAATCCCCTTCAACTCTGCAGGAACCGCTGGCCTTTGGAAACGGGGAGAACAGCCCTTGGGGTGTGCCTGCCCATCCCCTGGCCCTCCCAGGCCTGACATTCCAGAAGCAAGTGGGGGTACATTCTGTTCTGGGGGTGCCTCTGGGCAGCTGCAACACCCCATCCTCTGAAGGGCTGATGCGATTCTGGGGCCAATCACTGGCCCTCCCAGCACTGCACCCGCCTCCTACTTCTCTCCCGCTTCCTCTGAGATTCTGGAGCGTCCAGGGCACAGGAAACCCAATCTCAAGGGGAGCCAGAGGCCCTGCCTGTAGCAATCAGAGCTGGAGAATGTAACTATTGTGCCTCCTGAAACTGAAGTCTGAGAATCTGAGACACCCTGAGGAGGGGAACGGTGGATAGATGGGGGGCTAAGGGGACGGGTCACAGAGGGGTTCTCCCCGTCTCAGCAGACAGGAGACTCAGGGGACCAAGGAAGTCCTTGAGAATGCAGGGCAGCCAGAGGGCCGGGGGATGAGGCTTGGCCAGGGTCTGGGCCCACGGGGCTTCTAGGATCTTCCTCTCCTTCTCTCCATTCCTCACCCTGCTCCACCAGCCACCATGCATGTGCACACACACATGTGCACAAACACACACACACATGCACACACACATCCTGGAGTCATCCTGAGGTGGCAGGTTTTTCCCTCCTCTGTCATCCCTAGAGTCTCACATGGTTTAAAGCCGGAGCCTGAACAAGAAGCAGAGCCCGCAAGCTGTGGGTGGGGGCAGGGATAAGGACAGGGGAACATGTCACCCCATTATCGTCCTCTCCCCTTTCCTCATTCCCTCCCTGCTCACAGATCCAAAGGGGCTTCTGCCTTTGACTTGACTGACCTGCTGGAGATGGGGGAAGAGGACATGGCAGAGGGGATAAGTGACAGGAAAGAGGAAGAAACCGAGTGACACCCACATGTGGTCTAGGCCTGCTCTGGCTGCCCCTAGGGCCTAGGCTCAAGAAAAGCCATTGTTGGGGGCGGGGGGGTAGGGAAGGCACAGGAACCTGGCAGATGAAGGGCCAGCATCTGGATGGGACATTCCCCTCTCCATCCCCTGACCCCAGGAAGAACTACTTTCTCCATTCCAACACATCCCGGCCTCTACGGGTGCCCCTGGAGCAAGTGCCAGGCCTGGCTACTACAGGACTCACAGCTCGGCAGTAAGGCTTCGGGAAGCGAGGAGAAAGCAAGTCCATCAGCTCATCTTGTACCCAGGAGACCAGCAGAGCAGTCTCACACTTCATCTGAAAGCCTCAGGCCCCACACGGTGTCGAGGTGAAGAAGGCCTGTCTCCTACAGTCCTTGGTTGCCTCCACTCCCCATGTGGAGATAGACTCATAGCCAGAAGCCTTCCAGCCACACAGCCCATCACTGCCTCCCTCATATAATGAGAAAGGTGTTCCTAAGCTTAAAATTTTCCTCCAGGAAAACAATAGAACTCCCACCTCCCTTCCATCCCCAGCAAGTGGCCCCGGAGCCCTCCAGGGAGTTCTTCTGGTGTGAGCTACTCAGCGTTCTCTGCTTGGCTCCCGTTCATTAGCAGCCGTCCCCAGCCCAGGGAGAACTCCTTTAGATGGGCCCAGGCATGGAGCGGCAGAAGAAGCCAGGAGGCACTGGGGAACTGAATGCTCAGTTGCTCTTCCCCAAGGGATGACAGGCAGTGGCCAGCAAAGGAGAGAGAGAAGGGATATGCCCCTGGTGCACAACAGAGCACCCAGCAGGTGGACAAAGGCCCACCTGCCAATGGCCACTCCAGGATCAGCCCAACAGTTAATAAATGAGACCCCCAGCCACAGCAGCAATGGGACATGCGAGTGGGCCTGCAGGCTCCTCCTGTGTCTGCCCATGGCAAGGTGACCCAGCACCAAACCTAGCACCTCAGATACCTGACTATGGAGGGAACAAGTGGACCCAGGGCATGGCAGCAGCACTGTCTGGGGTGTTTCAGAGATACCTGGGGTAGGAATTCCCATCAGAGCAGAAGAGATTGAAGATGACAGGCAAAGATCAGGCAAGGAAGAAGGCAAAGAAAAACATCTTGGGCAGGAGCCATTGGCCTGGGTCTGCTTCCCCTGTCCTCTGAGCCTGCCCTTGGCCTACCCAGGGAGGTGCCCTTGGTCTGGAGCCTGTGTCCACTGAGGGGGTACAACACAGTGCTCTACCACTGTGGATACCCTATCCTGGGTGAGCTGGCCTTGCCCCAGCACAGAGGGGCCGAAGGGGGCATGCTGAAATGGAGGGTAGGAGGAGGAAGGAGGTGGGTGGCCAGCAACGGCATACCAAGGCTCCCCCAATTCACATCCGTGCTCCAGAACCTACCAGCCTGTGACTTTGGTCAAGTTATGAACTGTTTCCTCATCTGTAAAAGGGAGATAACACCTACCATTAGCATTCCTGGGTAAGGAATAAATGAGAAAACATGTATAATAAGGTGCTTAGCTCAGGGCCTGGCTCATAGTTGGGGCTACATAAATGTCGCCTGTCCTTCCACCTGGATTACTATTTCCCTTCATCTCCATTTGCTGAATGCTTATTCCTCCTTCTCAACTCTGTTCAAATGCCACCTCCCACCCTGGTGGGGGAAGCTGTGGCTGACCCTCAGCTCCCCTCCCCAGGAGCTCACGCTCTTGAGTACATGGTGAGTGTGTCCTAGATTGCAGTTTTTGGTGTCTTGACCCAGGGACCACTGCCAGTGAACAGAGGGGCTCCCTTGGGGCCTGGCCCACTACCATCTACAAAGAGCAACAGAGAGGTTTCTCTGCAAATATAATGGCAGAGCCTGGGCAGACACCTGTACAGGCATATCCCTCCCCACATCGGTGTGCAATAGCCATCCAACGGTCTCAAGACAGTCACCATACTAGAAACAGGGGTGGGGGAGAGAGGGCCAACAGGGAAAAGGGAGGATAGAGCTTGTCCCCCTAGACTCTGGGAGTGCTAGGCCCAAGGCCTGCCCAGCCCAGCCCAGCCTTGGAATACAGAGAGCTGAGAAAACCAGGAGCACAGGCACAGGCCCATGGGCGTCCAGGCCAGGCGCCTCTCCTGGCAGTGCTGGCTGGTGCCACGATTCAGCCGGCAGCTGGAGCCAGCATTTCTGAGAGGGCCTGGGGCCAAGAGTCATGTGATGGTGGGGTCCAGGCAAGCGGCCCCCAGCCCCTGAAGCTTCTATCCCCTCCCCAACTTGACGAAGAAAAACTGACAGTGGAGAATGCCCTCCATACCCCACATGTCAAGAAAAGAGAGGGGCCCTGGGGAGGGGGGGGGTCCCATCCCAGCAAGGGGCCTGCAGAGCTGCTCTTCCACCCCCACCCGCTTTCTCTATTTCCAGCACTGCCCTTTCTGGCCCTTTGAGCTGCCCAGGACAGGACAGGCTGGCCAGACAATCACCCTCACCCCCAGCTGCTCTTAGGGCTATTAATAGTGTCCCAACCTCCCAGGGCTGGGCATCACCCTCCTCCTACCCCCAAATACACTTGCCCTTGGTCTAATTATTCATAAAGGGACAGAGTCCTCCAGACTCTAATGCCAACCTGGTATGAGAAACAGGAGGCGGAGGCTCTGCAGGCCACTCAAGGGATGCGCCTGGGACAAGCAGGAGTTTGGAGGAGGGATGCGAGAAGGCAGGAAGCCCCAGAGCCAGAGAGCAACCAAAAGACAAAACTAAAACTAAAAGATAGAGAGAAAGGGAGAGAGAGGAGGAGCCACAGTAGAGAATCAGGGCCAAAGCAAAGAAAGAAGACTGGGGCAAGAAGAATCAGAGCAGTACAGTACAAGATTCTGAGAGAGGCAGGGAAAGGGGACAAAAACAAAAAAGAGCAGAGAGGAAATTATTCCTTTGGGCGAAGAAAAAAAAAAACAGAAAGAGGAAAACTTTCCTAAAGATACTCAAGAGTGGCTTTGTGTGCACAACTGCTGGGCTGCATGCAGCTGCCAGCATCTGTCTGGTGGGCACTCAGCAGAGTGAGGAACTGGGGAGACCCCAGGACAAGGAGCCCCTACTCACCCACCCCTGAATGCTTCTGGGGAAGGGAGGGAAGGAAGAAGAAAAGGAAAAGGAGAAGGCTCAGAGAAGGAACAACTGGCTAAGAAAAGGAAGGTGGAAGAAGTGAGACCCTATAGAGCAGGAAATTCACTTTAGCCCAGGGCAGGGGAAGGTCCCTAAGCTCTCTGCCTATTTGCCTGAGGAAATCAAAAAGGACAGAGGGTCGGCAGGGATTGGGGAGCATCAGCCTCCCCCACCACCTCTCTCTGCCCCCTGCTCTCTTTCTGGCCTTAAGCAGGGTTCTGCTCCTGCCTCCCTCCACTGTTCCCTTTCCTTGGAAGAATCCATCCAGGAAACCTCAGGGCCTGGGATTAGAACTGTAGAACCCACCGACTTCAATTCACCCTGTGGGGAAGGGGAAGTGGGAGTTAGGCTGAAGCCACCTGCCTCCCCTCCTCAGGTGCTAACTTCCTCAACCCCTGTGAGAGAGCACTCAATACCCCTGTGAGAGAGCACTCAGTACCCAGGCTGGTGACTCCAAAGGGGCCTCCTTCACCCAGAGACTTGCCTTGGTGGAGCAGGGACTGACCCTGGGCTCATGGACAAGCAACAAACACAAATGCCCACCATAATCAGATGTTTAAGTGGGGCCCTTCTCCCACCTGGAGGCTGGAAACTAAACAGCCTTTCCTCCAAATCCCACCTACACAGGGAACCTCTGGCTGGTCCATGGCTGGGGAAGTGGGAGGCTCTAGCTCTGGAAGGCATGAGAGCCCCAGAGACCTGGCCACCAGGCCACTCAGGCCAGGAGGTCCTGACCAGGAACACCCCACTAGACCATCAGCCCCTTGAGGACAAGCCCTCTCTGTTGGTTTTGTTTGCTGCTACATCCCCCACATCTCAAAGCACAGCTGCAGTGGATGATAAGACTCCAAAGAGACCCTTCTAGATCCTTCTTCAAACCATGGCTACACTGACCACCCAGGGAACAGAGGCACCAGCTAGCTGACATCTTCCCCCTCCTGAAGAAAGAATAGCTTTCTTGCAGCCCAACCACCGACACTCATGTCCAGTGAATTAATGTGGAAACCCTGATGCTGCTAATCTTCCTGCAAAGCCGAGCTGGTTCCAGACACAGGACTGAACATACTTGCACCATACTCAAGGGCTGGAATGACCAGAGGAAGGAACTGGAGCCTCACTGAGAACAGCACAGCAGGGGAAGGCAGAGCACTCTCTCGCAGGCCTGCTCTTCTCCTTGCCCTGGAGACCCGAAGGCAGCCACTGTCCAGAGCTGTCCAGAGGAAATACGAGGAATCTGGGCCTTTGACTGCAAATTTCCAGCTTGGAGCCCTAAGAGCCTGGGCAGGGATGGGTTGAATAGGACGGCACCGAGTGCTGCATAGAGCCCTGGGCCTGGAATCAGAAGCCTAGGCTCCAAATCCTAGACTTGCTGCTGTTAGACCTCCAGTGTGTCTCTCCTGCTTCTTGGTGCAACACAACCAAGACCTGCTCAGCAACATGAGATGTGAGTGGGGATTTTTACAGATTTTTTTTTAACATATTTTAACTTTGAGTTTTATATACTATAAAGTACCAAGCTTGCATAAGGACAGCAAAGGCTGCTGAAGGAACAAAGTGACACTGATCCTCCGACTGACAGCTGCCAAATTCCTCATTCATAGCTCCCTGAAGGACCAAAAAGAGGTTTTCCCCAGGCTGCCGAGCAGCACGGCTCAGGGAGCGGCGCGGCTCAGGAAGCGACGCGGTTCAGGGAGCGAAGCGCTGCACTCCTGGACGCCATAGCTAGGTGGCGCAGCGAGTTAACACTAGCTGCCCTCCGAGGGCTGCGGCGGGGCGCGGCCAGCGACCGGCCCAGAGCTCCAGGGGATGTGGTTCCCTCTGCATACCCAGGGGGTCCCAAGAGGAAGGAGAAGAACCCACTCAGGCCCAGGCCACTGGGACCCTGGTTTATGCACCAAGGAAGGAGCTGCCCGTGGCAGCGGCTCCTGTTGCTGTCGCTGCCAAACACATCCCGTGATATGAGGGCCGAGTTTCCCGTTCGCATTGATTAGGAACAGCTTGCGGTGCATGGGCCGGATGGAAAGGGGACTGCGAAATGGGTGGGCGAATAGAAGGCGGGGGACCTGCCAGGTGCATAGCTTGACTGGGGGTTATCCAGTGAGCCCGGTCCCACCCTGTGTGGCTGCCGCTCTGAATCCTGCCTGCTTCTTTCAGAACGGAGCTGCCCTCGATTTGGGGGGGAGGGGGGGGTCTAAGGCCACGTGACTCCCGGAGTATTCCTAACGCACCCAGGATGCCCTCACCTTTTGGCAGTGCAGACTTGTCTCTGCAATTGGTAAACACTTGAAAAGGAAGATCTCTACCCCATCCCCATAAAAAGTGAAAAAATGGAGAATAAAAGTCAGAGATCAGGAACCAGAGACAGAAATGGAGAAAAGTCAGGAAGAAAAAAAAAATCAGCGCCCTCTGCAGTGGCGGCAGCAGCCGGGCGGGCACACCCTCCCGGGCGGGCGTGGAGAAAGGCCCCTTTGTTCCGCTGGGAGGTTAGCCGAGGTGAGGCCGACCCCCCCATCCCCCTGACCCTGGGCAGTGCAGATCGCTTCACAGGGCCCCAGACTGGGCCTGGTTGCTTCCCTGGCCCCGCAATCCTCAGGCCCCAGAGCAAAACAGTCTAGCTGGCTGTGCGAGGGCTGCTCCCTACCCCCCCGCCTTGCCAGGCACCAAGGGTCACACATGTAGGGCTGGACTGGGCTCCTCCAACAGGTCCTTGGACACCCATACTACCAGCCATTAGCAGCTTACCCAGGCTTCTCCTAAGCTATAGGTTTCGGGGTAGATTCTGCACACAGCAGGCGCCCCACAAAGTTGTGGTCAGAGGGTGCAGCACAAGCTGGGAGCTGATGCCCCAGGAGGCAAGGCTGGCTGACCACGCCCCTCCCACCCACAGTGAGGCTCCCGGGCTCTCTCCTTCACCCGTTCCAGATATAGGCCCTTTCCAATGGCCTCAGGCTCTGGGCCAGGAATGGCCCATCCAAGGCTTCCTCAGAGTGGGGGCTGGGCTCTGTACTAGGTCCCTCTGAGAGGTGGGGACTGAGTTCATCCACTCTGTTCTCCAAGGAGCAGCCAGAGTGGAATTACCTGTCCCTAGTAAAGGGGAGCTGAGAACAGGCTTACTCCCACCCCAGAGCCTGCCAAAGCAGAGGCTGAAGTGGAGGGAAGAAATGGAGGCCAAAAGCGTTCCTCTTGGCCGGGTGCGGTGGCTCATGCCTGTAATCTCAGCACTTTGAGAGGCTGAGGCGAGTGGATCGCCTGAGCTCAGGAGTTCGAGACCACCCAGGGCAACAATGGTGAAACCCCGTCTCTACTAAAAATACAAAAAAAATTAACCGGGTGTGGTGGCACATGCCTCTAGTCCCAGCTACTTGGGAGGCTGAGGCAAGAGAATCGCTTGAGCCCCAGAGGCAAAGGCTGCAGTGAGCCGAGATCGCACCACTGCACTCCAGCTTGGGATACAGAGTGAGACTCCGTCTCAAAAAAAAAAAAAAAAAAAAAAAAGAATTCTAATTAAATCAAATTAGAAAAAAAAAAAAAAAGCATCCCTCTTGCCCTGCAGCACACCCCATCTGCTGGCACCACTCCCCCAATCATTATGGCTCCTGGCCACTCCAGTAGGGTTCCCCAAAGTCCTTAGACCAGACTCTCCACCTTTTAAAGCCAGGTGGCTTACACTTGGCCAAGAAGTGTGTCCACTTTCCAACCAGTGGCAAGCAGCCTCCAGCTCCCACTCCAAGAATGGGCAGCAGAAAACCTGGAAGGAGGGATTTGCCTGGACTGTTCTATTCTGACAGTCCCCTGGCCTCACGCTGGGGGTACCTCCTCCTCAGGAGGCCCTAACCTCCCACTAGCTCCCAGAATGCAAGTGGGAGAAGGGAGGAGGAATACACTGGGTGTCCCCAGCCTCCCCAGGCCCTGTGCTGGGGGGCTCTGGCCTAGGAAGTAAAAGGAGAGAGAAGGGGAAGGGGAGAGGCGACAGGCGCAGACCCAGCCACCTGCCCACAGGGAGCAGCAGCGGCTGGAATTACAGGGAGACTGAACCATCAGCCCTTGAAACGGCTGCAAGAGGCTGCAGCTCAGATACACAATGTCCTGCCAAACCCCAGTCCTTTAATTCAATTAAGTATGGGACAGACTTCCCAGATTTGTCTATGTGTGTGAGTGCATGTGAAAATCCCGATGTGCACGAATCCCGGGATCTATGCGCTTGTGTGCACGTGCATGTGGATGTGTGAATCCTAATGGTGGAGGACTAAGATGAGAGGAGGCAAATGAGGATGGGGGATGGGACAAGAGAAAGGTGAGACGGTGGCTCCGGGGAAGAGTGGGGACCTACATCTTCCTGGAGGGACCAACTCCAGACCAGGGTTCTCAACCCCCACACCCTGGGGATTGGGGCTGTTTCATTCACTCAGTCTAGCTCTTTTCTCAGACCTACCCCTCCCCACCTTGCCTGTCTGGCCCCCAGAAGGAGGCTCAGCAATGGTTTCATAAAGCTGGGTACGTTTCATGTGCTCCTGTACTTCTCTCCCTGCAGTATCCGGGCCCTGAGCTTTTTTTCTTTTCTGTTTCTTTTTTGCTTTTTTTGAGACAGGGTCTTGCTCTGTCACCCAGGCTGGAATGCAGTGGTGCCATCATAGCTCACTGCAGCCTCAAACTCCTGGGCTTAAGGACCCTCCTAGCTCTCCTAAAAAATTAGCTGGGGGTGGTAGCATGCAGCTGTGGTCCCAGCTACTTAGCCTCCCAAGTAGCTGGGACCACAGGTGCATGCTACCACCCCTTTTTAACTATTAGAAGAGGCAAGTTCTCCCTATGTTGCCCAGGCTGGTCTCGAACCCCTGGGCTCAAGCGACCCTCTGGTCTGGGCCTCCTAGTGCTGGCATTGATTACGGATGTGAGCTCCTGCGCCCAGCGCACATCCTGAGCTTTTAAAGTCATGGGCCTCAGGTCATGCCTACCGAGGTCCAGATGGAAGCCTGTGCTCTACATAATTGCAGGCAGGGCCTACAGGAGAGGTGAGGGCTTTCCTGAGGACAGATCCCTGGAAAGGTGTCCTGCTTAGCCCCTGGAGCCTGGTGGAAGCCCATGCAAAACCCCTCTTGCCATCCAACCACCCCTCCTGCTTGAAGGCTCCAGAGAAGCAGGAGCTGGGAGGGTCCCCACCTCACCCCAACTTAGGGCAACCCCCTCCCCTGTTCCTAGGGTCACTTGTAGCTGTACTGTCCTGGGGGTGGGGCCAGTTCCAGCTGTCTTTCTCCCCTCAGGCCCCAAGGAGCTTGCCTCTCTCCCCAGCCCTCCAGGATCCCTGAACAGCCCCCTTCTGGGAGCAGAGCCAAAAAGATGGGAGAAGGATGTTTATAAGCTGCTAAAAGGGAAAAGGAAAAAGTGGGAGTTGGGGCAGAGAGGCCCAGGCTTCCAGGTAGTATAGACTAGGGCCTCGGTTGCGGGGAGGGAGGGAGGAAGGGAGGGGCTGCCTTCCCCAGGTAGTCCAACATCTGGCTTACTGGACAAAGAAGTGCCCCCTGCCCTGCCCAGCCCACCACAACCAGACCTCAGTGTACACACTCAGGGGTCTCTAGGCCCCATGCTGGCCTGCCACATGACAGTTTCTGACATTCTTATCCTGACCCACAGGACTCTGAGACACTAGTGGGTTTTCTTTTTATGTATTTATTTACTTTTAATAGCTTGTTCCCCTCTCCTCAGCCTGAGGAGGACATGAGCAGGGGAGGGCCCGGGGCCCTGGGGAGCCGAGGCTGGGGGTGTGGCATCAGGAGCCGGCTTGGTGGGAGCGAAAGCCGAGTCTGCAGCTCGTAGGGCTCCTCGCACACAGCTAATGGGAGGCTGGCAGCGGCAAATTGTTGTTTACTTTTAATTAAGTAAACAATGTCGGCTTTCCGCCTCCTCCCCTGCCATCCCAGCCAGTAATTTGGGGGATGACAATGGGGTTGTTTCCTTCCTCCTGCCTGCTTCCCTCCCTCCAAGCACTCCTGCTCGCTCCCCGCTCTGCACAGGCACAGCCGTCAGAACTTGTCATTGGTGGGGGAGGCTCCACCCGAGGAGGGGAAGGTCCCACTGACCCGCTACTGGCTGGGCCCAGCAGGCTGCAGGTTCCACCTCACCAGGGATATGGTTCCACTGTCAGGTTCACCTAAGGGTGACAAGTGCGGCCTTGCCCTGAGACTCTCTAAGCACTGAAGGTGTGATCCATTCTCATTCTGTTCCCTCCCCTCATAGCCCTCCTCCCTAAGCAACATCTCTAAAATCCAGAAAGTTAGAGTCTCTGAGGGATGCAGCAGCAGGGAGACCACCGTCCCAGGTTGGGAAGAGATTCCCCAGGATCCAGGAAACAAGCAGGTGGAACCTCCTGTTTCAGATCAGGGCAAAGGCCACAGCCCCTGAACCAGTGGGCTGCTGGGTGGTACCAGCTTTCCTTGGAAGCAGGGCTGGCTTCATAACCTTGACTTCCACTGTTGCTGTCTTGAAATTCTTAATTTTTGAACAAGGTGCCCTGAGTTTGCATTTTGCACTGGGCCCCACAAATTCTGCAGCTGATTCTGCTCAATGGTCCAAGTAAGTGAGGAACAGAAAGAAGAATGTAGCTAAGCCAGGTTTTCACCCCTGGGTTCCCTGGCCTCGGGTGTAGGCACTGGGCTCCCGAGTGGAAGGACAGGCAAGAGGGTCCCACCCCACTCCAGGGAGGCCGAATTTCAAATGAAGCATCCTAGAAGGCGGGACTCCACGCAGGATCTTTGTGAAAACAAAGTGCTCCTAACACCCTTTAACAGTAAGAGTGAATACCACCGGGTGGGTGGGCCCACCCTATGTGGGCCCAGCCTATGCAAGCTCACCTCTCCAAGCCCTCTGCACACAGTGAGCACCTCATAAGTGCAGCAGAACTGAGCAAAACAGAAAGGAAATCCCTCCCCACTCCCTCCTCTGCCTCCCAAGGATCAAACGGTCGGGTCCAGAGCCAAGCCTGACCCTCAAGCTCCTCCCCGTGAGGCAGAAGAGACTCTTCAAGGTGTGTTCATATAGAACGGGGCGGTGGGGGGGCCTGAGTCATGTGCAAAGCCCGCTCCTCCCCCTGCCCGCCTGCTTCCCCAACTCCTTCCGAAGGGCGGGTACTGCGGCAGCAAAGTTGGCTGGGGCTGGATGCAATTTCAGCCGCAGAGCAGGGCTCCCTGGCTGGAAGCAATTTTCTCATTAGGACCCCAAGCCTGCTAGCTCGTTGCTTTTCAGCCCTCACTCCCCTCCTGCGAAACCGCACCCCACAGGCCTCCCCACAGACCACTCACACGCACAGGGAACCACACGTATATTGAGTTGAGGGGCGACTGGGGGGTCACCTCCGTGGGGCTGGGTGCAAGGAGAGATTTGCTGGCCAAAGTCCCTGGCCAGGGAGGCGCGAGGTGAGATGAGGACTCCTCACCCAGGCTCCCACACCCAGAAGCCAGTCCCTCCTGGCCTGCCCTACAGAGAGAGAGGATCCTAGACTGCAGGACCCAGAGGAGAGGCTGGGGAACCTGGGGCCAGCCGAGCCTGAGGGCTGGCCTCACGCGACACTCCCAAAAGAGACCCCCGCCCCCTTCTTCCTCAGCTAGGCCCGGGGCGAGCAGATGGGCTCTCAGGAGGCAGACCCCCCCCTCCCCCAGCCCTGAGGCTGCTCCAAGTGGAGGGTGGTCTTGGCTGAGGGAGGAGGAGAGCCGAGGCCCCGTGAGGGGCGGCTCCTCACTCCACAGACACATGTGGTTGGACTTAAAAAGCTATTAGGGAGCAAGGCACTGGCGGGAGTGCGGCCGGCCCTCGCACCAGAGGCAGGGGGAGGGCAGATGCCGAGGCGGTGAGCTCAGCACTGCCCTCCCTGGCGGGGCCCCCGGATGCAAGAAGGACTCGGGGGACCCTCACCCTGCGGGAGAGTGGGGCAGGCCCTCGGGGAAGGGCAGGCAGGCTGCTGGGCCTGGGTCCAGGCACAGATTCTGGGAAGCTTAGCAATCTGAAGACTCTAGGCCTGTGGGGGCCAACCTCTAAGTGGGAGGGAGGAGTGGGGAGGGGGGGAGGGTTGTGCCTGGCGCTTGGATGGGGCCCAGGAGGGCACAGACAGGTCCTCGGCTTTCCTCCAGCTTTCTTGGGGTGACAGCCGGCGGGAGGTCTCCTAAAGGGTGTGTGTGTTTGGTGAGGCTGGAAAGGGGGGATTATTAGGAGAGCGGGGGAGAGAGAGAAGGAAGGGAAAAGTGGGCCCCACCCATCACGAGGCCAGAAAGAACCGACGGAAAGTTCTCTAGAGCCGCCAGCTTGTAAAAAGCTCCTTTTCTTTCCAAATTATGAACATTTTTTAACAAGAGGGGGGGAAAACCCCCCAAAGCAGTGATCTAGGACTTCATTAGGACTGTGTGTGTCTCTGTGTGTGACTGTGGCTGGTGACTGAAGGGTGTGCATCTGCTGACATTCGAAAGTGTTCTCCAAAAGCTGGGCCATCCCTCCTTGGTCCCCCTACCCCCGCCCTCCTCAGGTCTGCTATTTTCAGGGCTCTAGGCACCAACCACCCTGTATGCCTAACCCAGGGAGGACACCCCACTGCTGTTACAGAGTGACATGGATGCCAGGAGGGGCTGGGGGCACACAGAGCAAGACCAGGCCTAGGACAGGCAGGCCACTTGCTACGGACCCAGCTCCGACTCTTGGAGTAGGACTCCCTGGGGTACTGGCCTCAGCACTCCCAGGAGTGGGCCATAGGTTTGGGGCACCCACAGGAGTGCAGGGAAACGTCCCACCCAAGACTCTGGAGACTCCTCTGAGCTCCTCAGCCGCCCACCAAGCCCACCTCCAGCCCCCTAGGAACCCAGGGAGCAGTGCAGAAATGGGGAGCTCGAGTTACACACTGCCTCTTCCACTCTGCGGCAAGCAGGAGCTCTGTGTTTTGGAGACATTGAATCTGCCTGATAGCCCCAAGGGGTGGTTATTTTCCCCATCTTTACAGATGAGAACATATCAACAGAGGCTCGGCGAAACCCACCAAAGTCAGCTGGAGCTGGGATGGAGTTGAACCTCCACTTGTCCCCCAACCCCCACCGAAGGCCCAGTGGCCAAGCTCCTGGGAGTTTCCCTTCTCTGTCCAGATCTGTCCACGGTAGAGACGGGAACTGGGGGAGGACCCTGGGCAGGACAGGAGAGGGGACTGCTCTGAGCTACCAGGAGTCAGGCCGGGAAGCAGGCTGGGTGGGGGAGGAGCTGACCACGAAGCTGGGATCCGTGCTCAGGAAACACGCAAAGAATGCCGCTGGCCGCAGGCCAGTAGGCCAGGACCACAAAGAGGCCTTTGTTTTAGGAGGTGTCCAGGGAGTGGATGGACAGAATGGTAGAGGTGGGGGCAGCACCCCTTGAGGGTGGGACTGGGGGAGGGCAGTGATCCCTGTACTGTCCTCACACACCACCCCCTCCTGTCTGTTCCCCCACACCTCAACCCCAGCAGTGGCAGGTTCTTCTATCAGGCCCCAGACTCCCAGGGAGGGAGCCCTTGGGGACAGATTCTCCTACTTCTCAGCTCCTGACCTCCCTCAACTGGTGGGGGTATATGTCCCAAATCCACCCTTCTGAACCCCAGAAGTTCCTAGGTGCCCCACTGACATCCTTCTCTGCCTCTACCTCTACATGCTGCTGGGGGCTTTGGGAATGAGGATGGAGGATGGGCTGGAGGGTAGCAAGGGTGGGATGGTTAGGGGCCTTTCTCCCTTCCAGGTGGACTGTCTGAGGGCACCAGAGTCACCCTGCTCCCATAGTTATCCTCGCCTCCAGGCGGAAGGGAGGGAAGGCCTTGGAACATTTCCTCTCCCCTTCCCCCCTCTGCAGTTGCAGTTTCCCTGGCCCCTTCTTGGCATCTGGAAAAGTTTGGGAAACTTAAAAAAAATATTTTTGGAGAGTTTGTCTATTGCTCCCCAGCCCTGTGAGGGAGCTACAGCCAAGAGGAAGAAGGAAAAGGAGTGGGTTGGGGTGACTAGGGGATAGAGAGTAAAGTCAAAGAGAAGCAGAGCACTCGGAAAAAGGGCAGCACCCAAGGGTGCTCCCTCAGCCAGCCTGACCCCCATCTAGGTTTCCTGGAGCTACAGGAAAGACCCCCACAAAACACTGTCAAACCACCCAGCACACCAGGCCCTGATGAAGCCCTACCCCGCATTCTGCTTAGCACCTTCTCTGGGCCATCTCCTGCCAGACATGTGTGCACTGTGCAGGAGGGGCAGCCTGTGGCTGTGGGGCCACACGGAAGGAAGGGACGTCTTAAGGCTGGATGGCCAGAGGCAGTACCAGCAGCTTCAAGTGGGGATGGAGGAGAAGGCAGGTTTCTGTCTGGATTTCCACCTCCCTGTGAACAGGACGAAGGGAACATGGGAAGACACAGACTCCTGGGGACTTGGGCTGCAGTGCCAGGCAGAACAGAACTGTGATTAATGTCCCTGTCCTCATCATCCTCACTCCTCTGGTCTGTGTGTGTGGACGGGTGCAGGGGGTGCCAACCTCACGGCCCTGGAGCCGAGCCGTTCCAAGAAGCACAGAAGCACAGCCTCAACTGGGTCGAGATGAGCACAGTATATGGAATCGGCAGGGTTAAGGCCAGGCTATGAACAACTCTAGGTTCAGCCCAAGAAAGGGCACATGTCTGACATGTGACTGTTTCTCTGAGAGAATCTGGATTGTCTTATCTAAGCCAGGAGTGTGCCCCCTTCACCCTGACATGGCCCTCAGCAGAGCCAGGGCCAGCAGCGCAGGAAGCTCACTGGCATGACCCCCAGTGACTCATGGTGGTCCTGCCTGGCAGCTCCTGCATCGTCACCAGGACATCCTCAGGTGACCCACCTGTGTTCTGAGAACAGGGGGATCACTCAGGTGGTTCGTGCCATCCAGGTGGGCTCCCATCTGGGCTCTACCCCCAGCCTAGATGGCCAGCAGTGTGCCTCTGTCTCCTAAGGATGGCTCCATTCCTGGAGACAAAAGAGCACATCTCAGAGAGGCAGCAGCTGGCAGAGGCAGGGGGAAAGCCTGGAGGACCAACAGCACCTGGGTACTAGGTGGAAATGCAGATTCACGAGCCCTGCCCAGACCTACCCACTTGGACAAGCCCCAGGATCTGCATTTTAACAAGCCCCCAGAGGTGCAAGGGCAGGCAGCTGCATATCAACCCGGGCACCACCTGGATGCCTGAGGGCGTTTGGTCCCAAATCCTGCAAGCAGAGTGGACAGCAAAGGAAAGACAGAAGGGAAATGGGGCACAGAGGAGTGGGTAATCGGCAGGAGGGAGGTCTGCAAAGGAAGTGGAGAAACCTGGAGAGCATGAAGCCGGAGCGGAGAAGGCGGGCGCTGTGAGGAGGAGGCGGCGCCTAAGAAGTGCCTTCCCGCAGCCGCCCGGCTGCTCCCGGGAGCCGCCCCGCCCCCTCCAGGCACCTGCTAAGGCGGCAGCGGCGGGTTGTGTTTCTTTAACCCCTGGGGCCTGTTGACACAGATTAGTATCGCTGGTCAGGGGTCAATAGGGAAGGCTCTTGAGGTCAAGACCTGAACAACTGGAGTTGTAATGAGCCACGTGGGGAAGAGGCCCAGGGAGAGGAGAGGGCCAAGAAGGGAGGAGGAGGAGGGCTGGGCTTCTCCGAGGAAGGGCCTCTAGAGCTCACTCGCCTGAGAGGCTGTCTCCTCCCCGAACCTGCCTGACTTGAGGCTTGGAAAAAAATCTGGCTCACTGGCCTGGGTACGGGGGAGATGTCACTGGCTGACTAGAGCTGGAATCCCAGCTAGAGAAGGACAGGGGAGAACCAGCGAGAAGAAAAGCAGCAAAGAGCCACCTTGCAGGACGGCTGACTTGTGCAATGCTGTCAGGTCAGACAGCATTCCCCTCCTCTTCCCTTCCATCCCTAGTACCCTGAGTGAGCTCTGGGTAGTGGCCAGACACACCCCTCTTCCTCCTTGAGTCTTTGGCAGCACCGTGATGTGCCCACCTGAGGCATCCCCCTACCCTGGGCCACCTGGCAAAGCCAGAGCTGAGTGACTCATTTAGAGCCCTCTGGCCCTGAGTGGGGCTGGTATAGGGGCCAGACAGCATCCCAAACACCTGGTGGGACAGCCTTAGCCACACCTTCAGCGATGAGATCTGCAGCACAGTACCCAAGCCATGGGGCAGCTACTCCGTGGCTCCCCTGCTACTATCCTCCTGGAGGTATGCACCCTCCTCCCTCCACTGCCAAGTCATTACCAACAACACCAGGGTAGCAACTATGCTTTTCTCCCGGGACCTGGAGGCTGCTTTGGGGCCTGCCTTCTCCCTGCCCAGGGCCATCTCCAAGGGGGCTGGTCTGGAAGGACGGAAGGGACAGGCCATCTGTCTGCAGGCTACTCAGCCACATGCTTAGAGGAGTGAAGGGAAAGAGCCAAAAGACAGGTCGCATGTCCCCTGTGACCAGAGCTTCCCCAGTAGTCTGGAACAGTTAGGTCACCTGTTTGGGTTAAAGGGGACTGGGTTTCCTCAGAATCACTCTAGAGCTCTCCAAGTCCTGTCTGGGTCACAGAGAAGCAAATATGAGGCCACCGACACCCAGGGGTCCAGAGAGTAATGGGAGGTACACCTTGATTCTATATTCATTTGTATGTCTGCAGGGGCAGACATACAAATCTGTGTGGGTCACACACAGATCTGTGACATGCACACTTGGAAAAGCACATGCAGTGCCTTAAAGTTAATTCCACATGTGTTTGTTGGCACCTGCTAGACGCCAGGAACCACACAGATACAGAGCCAGAGAAGCTGCCTGGGTAACACCCCCCTGCAGCTGAAAGCTGGTGTGTAATGGACAAAATGGAGGCCCCCTCAGAGGGAGGGACTGGCCTCAGAGGATGAGAAGTGATGCGGGACAAGGCTGCACCAAGGAGGTGACAGCCAGGCCGGGGGTAAAAAGATAGAGGCCGTCAGACAAAAGGGGAAGGGACCATGCCAGATACACATGAGCAGAGGCCCAAAGGCAGGAATAGCACAGCACACTCAGGGGCTATAGAGAGCTCCAAATGCTGGAATATGCAGTATAGGAGAAGTAAAGAAATGCAGTGATGGAAGGGTCAGCAGGGGCCCAACCCAGAGAGACCCTGGGTGCCCACTAAGGGGACAGCACTGCTGGGCAGACAAGATGCACAAGGAATGCAGTTATGAAACTCTAGGACAGGGCAATTCCTAAGTATATACCCTAGAGAATCCAAAACATACATCCACATAAATGCTTGTACATGCATGTTTACTGCAACATTACTCACACCACAAAGTGGAAAGAGCCCAAATATCCATCAATGTATGAATGGATAAACAAAATGTGGCACAGCCATACAATTAAATATTATTTGGCCTTAAAAAGGAACTGGCCGGGTGCAGTGGCTCTCGCCTGTAATCCCAACACTTTGGGAGGCCGAGGTGAGCGGATCACGAGATCAGGAGTTCGAGACCAGCCTGGCCAATATGGTGAAACCCTGTCTCTACTAAAAACACAAAAATTAGCTGGGCATGGTGGCGGGCGCCTGTAGTCCCAGCTACTTAGGAGGCCGAGGCAGAAGAATCGCTTGAACCCAGGAGGCAGAGGTTGCAGTGAGCAGAGATCGCGCCACTGCACTCCAGCCTGGGCGACAGAGTAAGACTCTGTCTCAAAAAAAAAAAAAAAAGGAACCACTGACACTTGCTGCTACAACATATAGGAACCTTGAAAACATTATGCTCCGTGAAAGAAGCCCGACATGAAGACCACATAGTGTATGATCTCATTTATATGAAACATCCACAACTAGGCAAATCCATAGAAACAAAGCAGATTAGCGGTTGCCAGGGCCTAGGAGGAATGAGGAATTGGGACTAACAACTAATAGGTATGGAGTTTCTTTTGGGAGCAATGGAATTGTTCTGGAATTAGATGGTGGTGATGGTTACACAACATTGTGAAGGTACTAAATGGCACTGAATCCTATGCTTAATTTTTAGTTTATTTTTTTATTTTTTATTTTTTTTAGAGGCAGTCTTACTCTGTTGCCTGCCCAGGCTGGAGTGCAGTAGTGTGATCATCGCTTGCTGCAACCTTAAATTCTTGGGTTCAAGCAATCCTCCTGCCTCAGCCTCCCAAGTAGCTAGGATTACAAATGCACGCCACCACCGTGCATGGCTAATTTTTGTTTTGTTTTGTTTTTTTTTAGACAGAGTCTTGCTCTGTCGCCCAGGCTGGGGTACAGTGACGCGATCTTGTCTCACTGCAACCTCTGCCTCCTGAGCTCAAGTGATTCTCCTGCCTCAGCCTCCCGAGTAGCTGGGATTACAGGCTGCATCACCACACTTGGCTAATGTTTTTTTTGTATTTTTAGTAAAGACAGGGTTTCACCATGCTGGCCAGGCTGGTCTCGAACTCCTGACTTCAAGTGATCTGCCTGCCTTGGCCTCCCAAAATGTTGGGATTATAGGCATGAGCCACCATGCCTGGCCCTGTACACTTTAAAATACTGAATTTTATTATGTGATTTAAATCTTAATAAAATACAAATCCAAGTACTGCTAATTTTTTTATTTTTTATTTTTTGCAGAGATGAGGTCTCCCTGTGTTGCCCAGGCTGGTCTTGAACTCCTAGCCTCAAGCAATCCTCCTGCCTCGGCTTCCCAAAACGCTGGGATTACAGGCATGAGCCACCATGCCTGGCCTTGTACACTTTAAAATAGTGAATTTTATTATGTGAATTATATCTTAATAAAAGACAAATCCAACCTGGGGAGATGGGGAATTAAAAAAAAAAAATACAACAGAGAGGAGAAGACACTGAGTTCTGAAAACTCAGCCTGGTGAAAAGGCAGGGAGGCTTCAGCCCTTTCACCGGCCTGTGGTTAGTCTGGTTGTGAGGGCTCAAGTGCTTGGCTAGGTGGTGATGCCCACAGCCAAGACAAGGAATGGAGCAGGGAGCAGAGGGCAGCCAGGAGTACTGGGAGGTACCTTGTGGATACGGGGGCAAGCTGTCCACAAGGCATCTGCCTGGTAGCTGGAAAGAAGAGTTTAGAGTTCACAAGGAGAAATCAGACCCTGAGATAAGCCAGGGTGGTCAGCAGTGAGGGGCAGATGTGCAGGGTGGGGACAGGCCCCAGGGCTGCTGCTCGCTAGTGGGTGGCCTTGAGCAAGATTCTTCCGTCTGCCAGCTTCTAGGCATAACACAAGGATTATAAAAGTGCCGAGTTCACTGGACTGTCATGGGCTTAAATGAGATAGGGTTCAGAGACACTGATAAGTGGCATTGCTGATTACAGGTGAAAACACAGGTCGAGAAGCAGAGCATGGGCAGATCCCAGGGAAATCAGCCTTTACCTTCATCGAGCAGACGGAACAAGAGGACCTGGGAAGGGTGGCATGCAATTAACCGGGCCGGAATGCTGCCACCATGGGACAAAGAGAGGGGCCTGTCTTCCCCAAGTCCACAGACCAGCCATACCATGGGCAACTGCAGATGGAAAGCCAGGAGAGAGAGAGCAGGGGACATGGCAAGTCCTCAGGTTCTTGACCCAAAGTACGTGGGGATGTCCGGGAAGCAAGGGTCTCCTCCCCATGGCCTCCTTATCCTATGCTTCCACACTCCTCACCCTGAGCAATAACCCTGCCCACAGTTCTGGGGCCTAGAGCTCAACACATGGCACCACTCAATGGTTTCTGGCACCGAAGAGGAATTTATTTCCTGGACGAAGCAGCCAAAATTGTTCTGCACCTTTGTTCGCAAGCATGGTGTAGTCAGAGCCGACATTTTCTAATGGGGCCAGGGAAGAGCAACTCAAAATGGATTCAAGGAGGGTGTCAGCTGAGGAGCAGCTCAAAAGCAGAGCATTCTGTGGTCTGGAAAGCTGATGGCGGGAAAATGGATGTGGCCACGTTTTTGAAATCAAACTGACCAATGTTTTTAGTGAGTTTGCTGTAAATCAAATCATAGGATAGGTAAGCTACCTGAAGCTTAACAAAGGAGTCCATCTAAAGCAACAAGGCGTCCTACTTTAAAAAAAAAAAGAAAGAAAGAAAGAAAAAAGAATAAGGGAGTGGTCTTGCAGAGGAACCTGTCTCCAGGGAGAAATGGGTTTCCCATTCACGGTGGAAGACTGATATTGATCCCAAGAATCCAAGGCTCATCGTTGATGCTGGGCAGGAGAAACAGTCTCCATTACAACCTACCCTCAGAGCCTTAAGAGTCCTGGATAACTAGACTTCAAGGTCAAGTTCCAGATCTGGCAGCCTTAGTGGGGAGTACAGCCCCATCATCCCATTCCAGCCCTCTGTGAATAGCCAACCCAGGGCCACCTCAGATGGCAGTAGCTTCACTTCTGATGTTCTTCCTGACTCTTCAAGAGTCTGGAACTCTGACCCTCTCCTGATCAGGCTCTGTGATTTAGACCAAGAAGGAAGAGAGCCATCCCAATGCCCCCAAACACCATCCCTCTTCTCTCTCCTCCCTTCTTCTTCCCTTCCCTTTCTCTCTGCTCCTGACATTCACATGCTTGGAGACATGCTCAGACACAAAAAGACGCTGGCATACACAGGGATCCATGTAGAACGACTGCCTCACAGCCTATTTACAGACATTTTACCAAACAAAACATCAACTCCCAATGTTTGACAGGAAGCCCCTCCCCTCTTGTCAGGAGCAATCCCTCCTAAAGGGGGTCCCCAGCGATGAATGGCAAAAGCCCCAGGAACGGGAAAGGGAAGAAAAAGAGTGTATGCAAGGAAAAAGAAGGTAAAATTATAAGGTTGGAGCTGTCAAGGCAAAAAAAAGAGGGGGGGGGAAGGCAACGCGATTCCACTATTAGGGACTCGGTGTGAAACGCAGAATTCACAACAGCTGAAAATCTCCATGCTTTGTCTGCAGAAAACACAAGACACAGTGGCCCAAGGGCTGGGAGGGCATCAGAAGCCACCCTGCCCACAGCAAGCAGGCAGCACACATACCCTTAAACACAGGGCTGCGTTCCCACACCCATCTCACCCAGCCCCACAGACTACCCTCCATGGTGCCCTCCTAACCCACAGGCCTACCCTCTTTCCCGAGAACTCCTTGGTAGTGGGAGTCAAAGTTGAAAACAAAAGTGGAAAAGGAGGCAGGAGTGCCTGCAGGGATGCCCCTTTGGTCAACAGGAATGAATGGTGGAAGGAGGCTTCCTACACTCCATCCAGGTTTACTTGCCAGGCCTCTGCCCCACCCAGCTCCATTTCTCAGAGCAGAAACCAGGCCAGATGTGTGTTGGGGAGAAGCCAGGGTGGGGCCTGTGTCCTTGCAAGATGGAAGCTGGAGAGTGTCAGCCCTTCCTATTTCTGCGTATCTTCCTCTGGACTCCTCCCACCTGGAGGGGTCCATGGGGCTCAAGCTGAGGAAGAATGTCCAAGCCCCTCACTCCCAGGTGCCTCAGTCGGCAACGAGGACATGGAGAGGTGGGCAAGAGCAAATTCTCCAATCCTGGATCCAGCTCTTGCACTGGAGGAGGAAGAAGCCTACGAGAAAAGGGAGGGAGAACGGACAGGCGCAACCACAGCCTGTGGTCCCCTGATGCCCGCCATGGGGTCAACACAGTGCAGTTGTCAACCCAGTGTGCCTGCTGCCCCTCTCTCCTACCTCCCTGGCAACAGACTGCTGAGCACCGTGGGCCAAGGTCTCCAGACTCAGCATCAGGGAGTTCTTAGAGCCCTCCTTGGGCCTGGCTTGCCCTGCTGCCGTTCCTTTCCTTGGCCTCAGTCAGGGTTTCTCAACCTCATTACCCCTCATGCTGGGGCTAGATACTGTCTTCTATGGGGGGTCGTCTTGTGCAGTGTAGGACAGCTAGCAGCATCCCAGCCTCCACCCACGAGATGCCAGTAGCAACCCCATCCCAAGTAGTGACAACCAAAACTGTTTTCAGCCACTACCAAATATACCCTAGGGGCAGAACCACCCTCACTGAGAACCCCTGTGCTATCAGGAACACATGCATCACACACAGCTCTGGGGCCCATGCTAGCCACAGACCAGGATACCACTGTTTGTCCACCTAAATCCATGGTGGCTGTGGAGCTCCCTCAGAAGAGAGCCACTGTCTCACCATGACAAGTGCCACCAGGTCTCTTCCATTCTATGCAGGTGAAGGCCTGTCCAGAAGTAAAGCAGCCTTCAGCATGGAGCCCATGTGGTCAGGGTGCTGAGCCCTGTGCTGCTCCCAGGTATCTGAGCTGCCGGCGGGCCACCGCTGTTCTCACCATCCTCAGTACTGCAGTCATCCCGTGTCATCCCACAGCCTGCAGTGGGACCTTAGCCCACTCCTCACCCCCGGAACCTGACCTGCCTCTTGTCCCAGATCTCCTTAGCCCCCGGGAAGGGTTGTTGTCTTTGTGCCATATCCAAACAGAGGGCTTTTAATAGCAGCTTCCTGTGGGGCTGGGTTCCTCCCATCCCTTGCCTCTCACTCAGCTCAGTCCTGACGGTGGAGACGCAGCGCCCTGTAATTACGACAATTGTAATCTCTTTTACTAACAGGTAGATTAATAGCGAGGCAGGTTCACAAAGAACCCCAGAAAGGAACTGCTCAGCTGCTGAGCGAACGGGAAAGGCCTGACACTTCTCACAAGCATGCACGCCCTCTGACTCAGAAGCTACAAGCCACAGGGGCCAGGTTGGAGTTGGGCCCAGGGGTTACATACCTGCTGTGCCCCCTACTCACTGCACTCCTACTACAGCTCATAGGAGTAACAAGAACTTGAACCTCATGACTGAGAAGTTTCCTCTTACGTTGTTGGGGTGTGAATTAAGCTGACATTTATACACACACACCCCAACCCATACTTGTACACAGACACCCACCTCCTGACACTCAGACACCCACACAGACACCCGCAGGTTAGCACATCCTGAACACCCTGCAGAGGAAAGAACAGAGCAAACCTCATGAACATATGCATCCCACCCACGACTGCGTGGCCACAAGCCCTCTAGACACTGGATGGCCCACACTGCCATGCCACAGCCCCAGCTGAAGGAAGAAAGGGGAGAAACGATGCTGTCGCCTCCCTCTGTCCTACACAACTACCCACATCCACTGCTGCAATTCAAAAGCCTCTTGTGGGGCCTCAGGAGTCTTGAGGCAGCTCCCACTACCCAGGGCCTGAGGACAGTCAGGTTCTGGGTAAGGTGGAGTATCACAGAGAAAGGGTGGGGGACAAGGGTCAACAGAGGCTGAAGACACTTACGCTTCCATGGGCCGAATAGGATGTAGAAAATGATATAAGGCCCGATTTTCTCTTTTTTCTTTTTTTTTAAATTTTATTTTATAGAGATGGGGGTCTTGCTACGTGGCCCAGGCTCGAACTCCTGGGCTCAAATGATCCTCCCACATCGGCCTCCCAAAGTGCTAGAATTACAGGTATGAGCCACCACACCTGGCCCTACGGCCCAGTTTTCGAGATGAATAAGCATGCATATTCAGGCACACAGATAAGAGTGCCATGGCAGTGGGGACCAAGTCTGATGAGAGCATGCTCACTTACACACAGGGACTTGGGGCAGGGCACAAGGGGGCTGTGTGTCCCTGCCTGCATGGCCCTGGGGGACACTGTCTGGGATGCAAGGGTGAGAGAGGGGGTGTCTATGAGTGATGTCAAAGTCCACAGTCCACAGCAACAGCTCACCCTCCCCTGGTCCCCCTTCAAGTCCTGGGAGGACATGTGCGACCTTGGCAGCCCCAGGGGCCTTGTGGCAGACTGCGCAGCTGGCCTCAGGTGTCAGCAGCAGCTGCTTCCTCAGGAGCTCTCTGGCACGTGCTGGCGGCCAGCATGGGCTTGCACCTCAGAAGTGGACCTGGGGGCTGCTGCCATTAAGATACCATGGCCAGCACCTGCTCACCACCAGACAGTCTCAAGAGCCACTTCTGCAGTCCCAAGGCCAGAAGCTGAGAGGAAACTGCCATGCCACGGTGACCCCCAAGGGTCCCTCCCCTTCTAGCAGTGCTAACAGGAAGTGGCTGCAGAGGCCTGGAAGGGGGCACCTCAGATTCATAAAAACATGGATTGGAGGGTGTGAGAATGTGGGCTGATGTCCATGATTAGCTTTTACACTGGGTAACACCATGTGTCCATCAAGGAATGTGTGAGCTGATGCAGAGAATAAATACAGGAACGGGACATACACCTATGACAGGGATGGGAGACTTGACTTGTAAAAGTGCATCCTGACATGACATGTATGTGCAATGTACACGATATGTACAATGATGGCAACATCTTTCTGAGGCTCTGGGGAATAGGATCAGGGTACAGGGACAGAGTGAGATGGATCCTTGCGTGCTGCCTGAGGGTGTCAAGTTTCCAGATGGCAATTTAACAGGATGGACGAAGAGCCTTCAAGAGAGTCCATACCTTTTGCCTAGTAATTCAACTGCTAGGAAGCATTAGCTGAAGGTAACAAATACAGCTACAAAGCTTGGTGTAATAGGATGTCCATCCCAGCAGAATTTACAATGGGGATGAACGCAACACAACTCAAAGGCCTCAGTGGGGGTGGGGGTGGGGTTTACATCAGCTCTGGCATGATGAAATCTCATGAAGCTGTTTAAAAGCATGTTTTTCTTTTTCAGGCCAGGCATGGTGGCTCACTCCTGTAATATCAGCACTTGGAAGGCTGAGGCGGAAAGATCACTTGCAGCCAGGAGTTCAAGACCAGGCTGGCCAACATGGCGAAATCCCGTCTCTACTAAAAACACACAAAAAAATAGCCAGGTGTGGTGGCGCACACCTGTAAACCCAGCTTCTCCTGAAGCTGAGGCATGAGAATTGCTTGAACCCTGGAGGTAGAGGTTGCAGTGAGCTGAGATAGTGCCACTGCACTCCAGCTTGGGTGACAGCGACTCTGTCTCCAAAAAAAAAAAAAAAAAAAAGCATGTAAAAGCATGTTTTTATTTTTCAGTAAGCACCTATTACACTTATAATAAGAGGTAATTTCTCATTTTCAAAAGGGAATAGGGGACAGAAGTCATTAGAAAAGTTGACAATTTAGGGGTAATGCAGCTAACAAGAAAAGATGCTAAGGCCAGGCGCAGTGGCTCATGCCTGTAATCCCAGCACTTTGGGAGGCCAAGGCAGGCGGATCACGAGGTCAGGAGATCAAGACCATCCTGGCTAACATGGTGAAACCCTGTCTCTACTAAAAATACAAAAAAAAAAAAAAATTAGCCAGGTGTGGTGGCAGGCGCCTGTAGTCCCAGCTACTCGGGAGGCTGAGGCAGCAGAATGGCGTGAATCTGGGAGGCGGAACTTGCAGCGACCTGAGATTGCGCCACTGCACTCCAGCCTGGGCGACAGAGCGAGACTCCATCTCAAAAACTAACAAACAAACAAACAAACAAGAAAAAGAAAAGATGCTAAACCACTAAAAATTAGATTTTGAAAAATAGCGACATAGTAGAATACACAATGGTACTGATTTTTTTTTTTTTTTTTGAGACGGAGTCTGGCTCTGTTGCCCAGGCTGGAGTGCAGTGGCACGATCTCGGCTGACTGCAACCTCTGCCTCCCGGGTTCAAGTGATTCTCCTGCCTCAGCCTCCTGAGCAGCTGAGATTACAGGCATGTGCCTCCATGCCTGGCTAATTTTGTATTTTTAGTAGAGACGGGGTTTCACCGTGTTGGTCAGGCTGGTCTTGAACTCCTGATCTCGTGATCTGCCTGCCTCGGCCTCCCAAAGTGCTGGGATTATAGGCATGAGCCACTGCGCCCTGCAGTATTAAATTTTAAAAGCAGCATCCCTAAGTGTCTATACTATAAATTCCAGTAAAAAATAAAATATGTGCATGAATAAGTAAGGGAAAATGCAACAAAAGTTAATAGCAGTTATTTCAGTGGCATAATTGTATAATTTTAATTTCCACCCCCTGACTTCATGCTAATTTTGTATTTTTATTATGAATGTACAGTAGTCTTATAATAAGAAAAATAACCTTTTTAAAACAGTGGACAGATGAGGGACTGTACGTACCAGGCACACTCCCCAAATCATAGAACAACATAATCAGCTGATCGTGAAACTAAGCCCCTGTGTGTCCAGAGTTTGTGAGAGGCAGGCTTGGCCTCCTGAACTTTCATGCTCAAGTGGACTCCAGCCCAAAGAGTGGTAGCAAGGAGGGAAATGTCCTCATGTTACTGTCATGCTGTGGCATGTGACACTACCAAGACCGGGTGCCTGGTGGGCCTCTAGCTACCTTTCCACTGAACAAGGAGGACTTCAGAGGGGAAAACCGGTCTCAGAGAAAGTCAAGAACTGGCACATGGGGCCAGAGGAAAGAGGTTTAGGACCAGGTGAGAGAGGAGGAAGGAGCTATCTAGAGAGTCTTAAGGTAGAAAGTGGAGTGCTCGGAATTCACTCAAAAACTACTGGAAACAGTTCTAAGATCCGAGGCAAGCAAAGGTACAGCAGCGGCAGCAGAATCAACTTTAAGATCTGCTTCGAGAAGTGGCTGTGTGTGTGCGCGAGTGTGTGAAAGACAAACCTCCCTCCCTATTCACATTCCTTTAATAATTCATTGTTAATAACCAAACCCAGCTACCAGAGCCGCAAGCACATGTACCAGCTGGAGGACGGCAGTCATCTCTGACCCGAGAGGCCCAGACTGAAGGGGTCTCCAGGAGATGGAGGGCAGGAATAGCAGCCATGAGTCTGTCCATACAAGGAGCCTGGAGGCCAGGGCTCCTGAGGAGAGGGAGGGAGGCGAGGAAAAGCCTCAGAGCAAAAGGCAAGCAATCCCAGTGGGCCCAGGACTGATCCCTGCCAATCCCTGCCGCAGGGCATCCACCAGGCTAGCGTGGCAGGGAAGATCTGGCACGGGAAGAGACCCTGTCACGAGTGAGTTTGGCTGCTCCGCAGACCAAGTCTGGAGAGGACATGGCCTCTGGGGGGCTGTGTGCTTTGTGGCCAAAAGGGAGGATGTCCCCAAAGATGACTATTTAGCAGGGACAGCCAAGGAGACCAAGAAAAGGCCTATGAGAGGGTGGGGTGGGCTGAGCCCACCAAGCAGTAGCCCCTGTAACAAGGTACTCAGCGGGGGCAGGGGTGAAGGAAGGGGCTGAGAAGAAGGCTGCTCCTTCCCCATTTTCCTGAGAGCTCATTCACATAAAATAAAAACAAGTATTTTGAAAAACCAAGTCTCTTTGAACCCATTAACCCACAGCTTCTCACTTGCCTGCCACACTCCTTCCAGCATTCTGGAAGCTTCCACTGCCCCTCCTCTGTCAGGATTCTCCCCTCATAATGCCCACTCAGAGAGCACACCTGCCACTTTCCCATCTTGGCTCTCTTCCTTCATCAGCCCCCTTTCTGATTTTTATACCATCGTGAGCCTTTACATCATCTCAAGGATGGGCCATGGGCTGCTTCCCATCTGAAGGTAATTCAATATTCAAAATGGGTTTATGGAGCGTATAAAACTATAAGCTGCGCGAGAGACAGATGCAAAGGCGGATAAAACACAGTCCCAGCTCCAAGATTCCAGCCTAAGAGAAACTAAAAACTGCATGCTAAGTATCACAACGGAGCAAAATAAACTGGCCCCCAGCTGAGCCCAGGGCCAACTTGCATAGAAACGGGGCCTCGCCCAGCAGATTGCTCCCCTCTGCAGCAGACTCTCCAAGGTCCCTGTTTTCGTGACAAGACATGTAAAGGCAAGACTTGCCACCATGGGGATGCACTGCCTCTCCCAGGGTGCAGTGAGGAGGCCAACACATGCCTTCTGCCCCATTCACAGGCAAGGTAGCAGAGCTCAGGCTCACCAGGGGCATTTCTGCAGCCGGAGCACTTTGTTGAAGAGGAACACAATTCAAGAGGCCTTGCCAAGCCAGGCTGGCATCTGAGTAATTATATTAATGAATCTCTGAGTTACAAAATCTAATATTAGACAGTGGCTTCAGTACCATCATCCTCAGTTACTGTCCCACGTGGCTGGGAACACTCCTGGGCAGCAGCAGGGCTTGAACAGACCCTACACACACACACACACGTGTATGTGTGTGTGTGGGGGGGGGTGTTTAATTTAAAAGAAATGCATGTATTTGAAACTATGCCCAGAGATTTGTGTGCTGGGCCCACTTTGTAAACCACGATACCATAAATAAGTGAGAGAAATCTGGCCATTGTCCTCAGGGCAGAGGCCTCTCTCTTGGCCATATCTTTTGGGCTGGCAATATCCTGAGGATTATTGCTCCATGGAGCAATGGCCTTTGTGTTCGGAGCCAGCACTGTTCCCCACAGAGTCCCCTTTGGCACAGCAGGCAGGACCTTGCATGTAGACCCTTGGGCCCTTCCTCCCCATCCACGCTTATTAGCTGCCTCAATCTCAAGTCCAAACTCAAAAGTTGGGCCTGACACACACAACGGGTAGCCCACAGCCCAGCTGATCCCCTCTCTCTGGCCAAATCTCTGGTGCAGACCAGACCACTGCGCCACCACCACCATCCTGGCCTTCATCTGTGGGCCCTGTCCGAGGCCAGCAGAAACGATGACCCAGTTGGCCACGCTATGCATGTGGTCAAGGCCAGAGGGCGCCAAGTCAACTGCAGCCAGGTAGTAAACTAAACAGGCACTAAAGGCAGGTGAAAAACAGTGTCTGCTATGCTTTCATGATTACATTTCACATATGCCGGGCTAAACGGAAACTTCTATAAATGACATGAGAACACTTAGAACCTAGATTTCTGTAAACTCCATGTGCCAGAATAGGATTTGGCTCTCTCCTGCTCCTGCCTCATTTGTTTCATTTGGGAAGCTTCTTTGGGTGGCAGAGTCCAGCCCTGGTCACTGGGTCTGGGAAACTGGCTTTTATGGAAGTGAGTTCTCACCCTGGGACTGCTACGCTCAGGAAGCCCCAGGAGCCGCAGTGGCCTGTTCAGGTCTATATGGGAAGAGGTGACCTGAAAGGCAGGGAAAACAGGCAGGCTTTGCCTTTTAGAAACTCTTTGGTAGGCAATAAGGGATAGGTATTTGATGATTTTTCCATTCTTTTTTAAATAACAGATGAAGGATCCACACCAATACCATACTGCCTGGCAGGGCTTGCTGTCAGCACTGTCTCACTTTGAGATGGCACTGTCTCAAAGGGTCTCTGAGCTTTGAGATGGGAAAGACCCTCTCAGAAGCCACACGATTTCCTAGAAAAGGTTTCCAGGCCACAGAACCCTAAACACAACCAATCAAAGCACAGAAAACAAGAGCTGCAAGAAATTCAGGAAGGCAGCCAAGCAGCCCACTCTGCTAGCAGAGGCAAGAGGCGTCCTGAGGAGAGACCACGCACAGCAGGGTCTGCTTATTCTCCCTCTAAGGCTGGGTTTCTCCACCTCCGCACTTGTGACGTTTGGGGGCGAGATGATTCTTTGTTCCTGGGGGACTGTCATATGCAGTAGACTCTTCCCACTAGATTCCAATAGCACCCTCCCCCCACAACTGTGACAACCAAAAGTGTTCACAGACATTGCCAAATGTTCCCTGCGGGACAAAATTGCCCTTGGTTGAAAATCACTGTTCTAGGGTGACCAACAATCCCAGTTTGCTGGAGACTGAGGGGTTTACCGAGGTGAGGGGCTGTGAAACTCTGAGCAAACCAGGACGAGTTGGTCATCCAGCCTTCTTCCAATCCCCTCATCTGCCAAAGGCAAATTTCCTCCTCTATGCTCAGGGCTATGAAGACTAGTTCTTCCCCACCCTATATGAAGCAATCTCCCATACACCTAAAAAGATTATATCCCACCTCATAGTTTCTTCTGGGGCCAGAATACTATCCTTGTCTCCTCTTTCTTCCCCAGGCGCCATCTCTCAGCGCCATTACTTCCACGAGGCTCTCTGAGATCCGCATCAAATTGCTCACATATTTCTTAGATTACTAAGGCTGAAACTGGCCTACTACGTCTGGTAGGGGAAGTGGTCATGCCCTGGGGAGGATATGACCGGGTGCAGAAGTCGGGTCTCCCTTAAGCAAGTGGCCCCAGAGCCCTGTAGAGGTCACCTGGGAGAGAGAAGGACAGGGAAGACTCTGTAGCTCCCCTCTTCTCCCTGACACACAGCCAAGGCTGGCAGAATCTGCTACACACAGGAAAGGGGACTTGAGACCCCCTAAAGATGAAAGGAAACGGAGTCTACTGCCTTGCTTCCCGTTGGGTCAAATACCCAAGGGCAGATGGCCTGTCTCACCCATTAAGGACTCTGCCCAGGAGACCTCACCCTGTTCAGCCCAGGCTTAGCACCCACCCCCAACTCAAGCTTCCTATCCATTTGCCTCCTCCCTTTAAAGGCCTTTCTTCACTTGGTCCCCCGGGAGCATTCCTGTTACTAAGGAAACAATGATGTCATGTGTCCGGGTGGGGCCGCAGGTCCCTCCTACCACCCCCTAACTAGGTACCATGCCCGCTGACGTCACTGCTCAGAAATTTATAGCCCAGCACGGGTATTTATAAGGTGGCTCTGGTGTGACCACATATTTGGTGTGGGGCTGGTGGCTATTTATAGCCAGAGGATATACACTTATTACACCCCCTGTCTGTATTCTGGGCCACCTGTTATATAACTGCCATTATGCAATAACGCCCATTATATAATAATTATGCGCTAATGGGGATATAATCTGCAGGCATAATAAGGACACACTCCCCAAGGGCTGCACTCGGCTGGCCTCCTGCAGGTCGCCTCCGGGGATCTCCCGATCGCTCCACACAGCTCCGCCCAGTCCACAAGAGTCACCAGGTGTCACCCTACTCTCAGCTGTCTGGAGAGCAGCCTTCTCCAGACTGGCAGACTCAACCGCAAAGCCCTCTCTGGATTCCCTCTCTGTCTCGTCCGGTTTCTCATTTCCACAGCCCCACCCCTGGCCTGGAGAGGACGCTCTTCTTCCTCTGCCACTCTTCTCCCTGCTGTATTGTTAAACCCAAAACAAACAATTATGATGAAATAAATCCTGGAAGCATGACTGACGCTTCATCCCCCCATTTTAAGAAAGGAAGCCTCCCGGACACGCCAGGCCAGTTGGCGAAGGGTCTACTCCACACGAAGGAGAGCCCTCGCCTTCCTAGGAGACTTGGGAAGTCGACTCCAGAGGCCAAGCCAGGTGCAGCCAAGCAGGATACTTCCCAGGGGCCCCTCCCTCCAGCCGCAGCCCCCTTGGTGGGGATCTCAGGGCAGGCTGAGGCTTAGGCCCTGACTTCTGTGGTCGGGGTTATACCACCAGCAGGAATCCCCCAGAGTGGGATCCTAACCACTCAGACACCAGTACATGCCCTGTTGGTCACTCCTCCCAGGAATGACACGCTGAAACTGTCACCTCAGGGAAAAGAAGACAGGGACATTGGCTCTGCACTTGGGATGATGCGGGCAAGGGTACAAAAGGCAGCGGGTGGGAAGAGTTAAGACCACAATGGCACTTGACGGAGCCAATTCAATTAGCCCAAACATACCATCTGCTCTTAAAATAGATACCTCTATATTTAAAAGTTACTTGATATATGAATTGATGAAAAAAATTCGAAGAACTAACATGGATCTGCGAAGTGAAGTTGTCTCAGGCACAGGACAGTAGTTTGGGGAACCTGTCTGTCTCTCACATTCTCTATTGTTAAATTTTTACAAAGAATGTGTTTTACTACTATAATAAAAAAAAAAAATCAAATCATTTAAAAAGAGTAGTACTAAGACCCAGACAACAGTTCTGGTCTCCGTGTCTCATGCTGCAGAAACAAACGTCTGCTGTTCTTTGGGGTCTGATACGGGCCTGACAGGATTACCGGTTGCTGCACAGGCCTGGGTCAGCCCAGTAGCAGATCCCCTGTCCTGTTCCCCAGATCAGCAGCCCCAGCACACAGAGACCACTATGCAAAAAATCAGAGAGGAATAACTCAGTAGGGGACTTGGAGGCAGGCTTACAGTTCCAACCAGGGGGAGGTGAAAGGGGAAAGCCCCCAAACTGCTTCAGCCCAGGGCTCTGCTATCCGGAAAAGCGAAAACAACACAGGACACACAGGAGTAGACGATGCTCAGAGGTTCAGTCGACATTCAACACAAGGTAAATGAGGACCTAAACTGGCGGTGAGGCAAGAGGTGAACACAGGTGGCATTCTGTCTGAATCCCTGTTTCTTCCAGGCCAGAGGTTCTCAGCCATGCATGATTCTGTTCCCAGGGAACTCTTAGAAATGTCTGGAGATATTTTTGGTTGTCACACCTTGGGGAGGGAGGTGCAACTGATTTCTAGCGGGTCAAGGCCAGAGATTCCGCTAAAACTCTACAATGTCCAAGACAGTCCCCCAAGACACAGAATGATCTCACTCGAATGTCAACAGTTCCGCAGTTGGGAAATGCTGCTCAAGGGGAGCTGATATCAATGGTGAGAGGTAAGCCTCTGTCTAATTATCATGGACACAGACGAAAATCTAGAGCGGTGAGCCAGCCTCTCCCTGAACCCAGCCTTAGTCATGCTAGGAGAGTTTTTATATACACACCCCGAGAGTTTTCCAACTTTAAGAAAGGGATAAAGGTGAGAGTCAATGTGAAGAAGTGAAAAAGGCAATGAGTAGCAGATTATTGTAAAACTTCCAGCGATCACCTGGTTAATTATGATAATTACATTCATTTTTATTTCAAACTGATTCCAAGGACACTCCCAGGAAAAGGGTGTGACAGTGCAAGGATCAGGAATCCCAAGGTCTAGCAGAACCTGCCTGGCCTCACACCTAGACTTCCTGCCTCCTCTACCTGAGAAGGTCAGGTGGGATCCCTCCCCCATGCTCCAGGGAGATATGAAAAGAAGCAGAGCTGGCTGCAGCAGGGTGAGAGCATCCAGCCAACCTGGCCCCTGTCTATGCTAGACTCAGCCCGTCTATGCTAGCATGCTGCCTCTCGAGGTTGGTGGCAGGGATCCAGGGAGCCATGGCCTGTCAGGAGGGAGGGAGGCCAGTGTCAGGACAGGGCCAGGTGCCCATTCTCTGTTTCCACCCCACATACTCAGCCACTGGGGGAGCCCTTGAGCTGAGCCGCAAGCTGGGCTCTCTTCTAGAGAGTGACAGAGACCACAATGATGAAACTGGCTCCAACAGGGACCCTTGAGGTTTTCTCCTCTGAGACTCTGCCAAAGCCAGTAATCCTGATGAAGTTCAAGGAGCAGCGATGCCCTCAGAATGAGCTCCAGGTACTCAGTGACCTAGAAGCCGGCCCCTTCTGCCAGAAACTCATCATGTGACCAGAGTCCCCTGTCATCTCTGTACTTCGGGTCCTCCTCTGTACAGTAGATACAATAATACCTGCCCTGTCTATATCACTCAACCATTGTGAGGAGGGAATCAGCTCCAGGCACACTGAGAAGGCTCAGGCAGCTGACAAAACGAGCTAATTCCTCACTGTCTTTCAAGGTGCAGGTCAAGTAGGTCGTCTTCTAGGAAGCCTCCCTGGTCCCCAGGTCTGGTTTGCTGATTCCTCACTACACATATTATGCACATCACCTGAGTGCACACACACCCAGCCAGGAGCACAGGCTTAAAACTAGAATCAGGGTGAGAATTCAGGGAATTAATACATAGAGAGGACTTAGCCTGGTGCTAAAGCCATAGAGGGCCTTCAATGGAAAAATGGAATTAAAGCAGGGGATAGAGACCAAGGGCATGCCCACAGGGGACAAGAAGTTGTTAGGAGCCTGGACAAACAGGTGCCCCTTAAGTTATTGGGTGTCCCCAAATAACAGCTAATAAGTACCCTGTACTGGGGTGGTGGTGGCATGCCATGTCATCAGTAAGGCATCAGGAGTGAGAGAAGAGCCAAGATGCCCCCTACTGATAGTCCATGGCAGCTGGTGGTGAAATAAGTCACTTGGGAGACAGACCCATAAAGGGCAGCCCCAGAATATTTTTTAAATCCCCAAAGGGCCAGGAAATAAGGTACGAGATATCCATTATAGACAAAGTAAGGGACCCAGGCACCTGGGGGGTAAGGTCCAGTCCAGCCAAACTTCTCCTCCCTAGGCCCTCCTCCTCCTGGGACCCTATTCTAACGCCAACAACCCTTAAACTCAAACATGCTTAAAATGGCGACGGCGGCCTGCAGGGCCGGGCGTTTGTCGTGCTGTTTTCCACGGTGCCCTTGGTGCCAAGAAAAACCTATCATCAGAAATGCCATCAGCTATATTTATCTATCTCTCAGCCCCCCAGCCTCCTCCTCCCGTCTGCCAACCAGGCCCTGTGAGCCCCCCCTCACCCAATGGGCACACTTCCCTGTTGCTGATGCCCGTGACCACCTGCCTGAGTCTCGGTCTGTGGCACTCTCTTCCCAAGCCCTGACAATTAGGCCTCCATACAGGCATGTAAACCAGCAGGCTGCACCTCTTCTTACTGGGATATAGGGACGTGCCCACATGTGTTAAGGTACGCACCCCAACAGGCACTGGTTTGGGTGTCTCTTGTTCGAAACCTTGGACAAACATGGCCTTCCATTTCTTTTTGGCCTCAACTCCCTACTCACCAAGGTCTCAGCAGCACTGACCTGCCCTCAAAGTCCAAAACAAGCTGTGGGCCCAGGTCCTCTGCACACCATTCCCAGGAAGACACCTAGCTGCTCTATAAACCTCTCACTCCCTCTCCCTCATTCTCTGATTTAGGGTGGGAAGCCCCAACCTGTATTCTGAAGTACTGAGTCTCCAAGAAGTGTGTATGCTAGTAGAATCCCTTCAAAGGCGGAATCTGGGACAAAAAAGGAAAAATAACAAAGTCAAAGTTCACAACTGTGCAAATCCACAGCTGTGAGGAGTCCTCGAACGATGCAACACACAGGGGAATGTCATGTGCCAGACACCTCAGACCTTTCCTCTACCCAACAGGCAGGGCTGCCCTTAGGCCTAGCACATAAGATCTGCCCAAAGTGTTTGTAGGATGAATCAATAACTATATTTAAACCCCTACACCTCCTCCTGTCACCCTGGGAGCTCCACCCAACCCTCCACTCCTACACTAGCCCTCTCTTCAGAAGGCTGCCGTTCAACTCTGAGCCCCCAACTCAGAAAGGAGTTCCAGGGAGCCAACTCCTCTGAGAATGAAGCAACCCAAATAAAAATTTTAAAACCCAGAAGCTCTTTCTCTCCTGCCCCCCTCCCCCTCCACTGGCAAATGAAAACAAACAAGAAATCAAAGAGGCCTTTTGTGCGAGCACCGCGCTGACACGGCTGGGGCCTTTGAAAAGACTTCTGAATCGGACACTGAAGGATAAAATAACTGAAGCGTGGCAGCTCCTGAGACAGAAGGGCGGGGGTGGAGGGATGGGACGGACAGGGCAAAGAGAAAAAGGGGTGGGGAGGGAGTCACCTTCTTCCCTAGGCAGAAAAGGGGACACTCAGCTGTCCCCTCTCTGCCCAGCTGCTACAGGAAGCCAGGACAGAGGGAGAACGTAGCACTGGCCTCATTACCCCTTCTAACCCACTCTTCCTCTGGCATCCCAGGTCTCTGTAACACTAGAGGGTGGCCAAGAAGGACCTTGCCTCCCAATTCACAGCCCACTGTGAGCTATCCCCCAAATAAGGCCCTTTGGGCTTTCCCTCCCCTCCAGCATGGGTCACTGCAGGTTCACGCCTACGCCTACGGGAGGAAGCCTTCTAGAAGATATCATCGGGCCTTTACCCAAAGCCTGCCAGGTACACGCAAGATTCTCTTATTCTTAGAGATCTAGGAACCCCTAGGCCAGGACCTTGCTCACAGTAAGTTGACTAAGTGTGCATTTCATGGATAAAGGGAATTCTACCATGCTTTGGAAGCGCCAAAAAGTAAACCAAGTTCTCAGGAAGTCCTTCTGCACGTCTGGACCCCAGCCCTTCTGCTGCAGAGTAGCCCTGTTTCCTCTGGGTCAGCAATAGAGCACGGCTGGTCACCATGCCCATAATTATGGGATCAGGCCTCTAGGTCCCCTCTGGCTTGTTCACGGTCGGCGCTTTGCTGGCTCAAGCTCCGACAAAGGTGACTCTTTTTTCCCCCATGTCATAGCCTCCAATTCAGCCAGCAGAGCAAGCACTCTACTGAGAAACCCCCTGCATGTTGTAGGCAATGGGAGCTCTTGACTGGTTGGGTGGACAGCACTATGAACAAAAGGGACAAGAGCAGGTGGTCAAAGGAGTCTGAGAATAAGACCAAGCCCAAGCATAAGGATTGGGTCTGGGCATTTCTGTTCTCCTCTTTGGGGTCATGCCCCGCTCTGAGGCCAGCCTGAGCCCCATCATTATTCCACATCACCCAGACCCAGCACCCCAAGTTGTATTAACAGACACGAATGTCCAAAACAAAGGTGGCCAGGGCCAGCTTCACGGGTGTGCAACTTGCGTGCCCCCCACGCTTGGTTAAATGCTCTAACTGATGTCGTGCTGTAATTCCTAAAAATTTTGAACAAGGAGCCCCACATTTTCATTTTGCACTGAGCCCTGCACAGTATGTAGCTGGAAGGCCCTGAAAATTATGTAGCCACCATGGCTGGCTAGGATCTGATCATGCTTGGAGTTTCTGTGTTCAATTCTGAACACTCCAGTTTCAGAAATTTTATGAATCAGAGGGACCAAAACAAACCAGAGGGCTTCCAGGAGGTGGTTACCAAAATGGCAAGGGCACTAGGAGCCATGTGAAATGTGGGAGGCATTAGGGACTGGTGATATTCAGGCTGGAGAGGAGACAGCTTCCTGGGGAGAAGGGTGGAAGGGAGACATAAGAGCTGCCTTTGGTATTTCAAATGCTGTCCTGTTACAGGAAAATCAGCTTTCACCTGGGTCATCCCTTAAGAGAAAAAAAAGACCAACAAGTAAAGGTGACAGAGAGTCAGCCTTGGGCTCCCTAAATCATAACAATTGTCCTCAATCACAGCAGCTGCCGTCCTGCTATGTGCCGGTATCTTTACATATTAGCTGGTTTAATCCCTGGAACCATCCTACAAGCTAGACATGGAAGAATGGAAGAATTTTACAACCAAAGCTGACCTTTGAATGACAGTGACACCTCTTCTGGGATGTTCTAAAGGGGACCCTACATTGGGTTAAAAGATAATCTGTAGATCCTGCTAATTTTAGGCGTCAGTTCCAGGGCCCTGCGATCTTTGTCAGCCCTGGCACCAGATGGCGCTGCCTCAAAGACGCAGACCAGTGGCATTTCTGGGCCTTGAAAAAGGAGGCAATGGATGAGGCGGCACAGGGTCCATGGTGGGGGTGGACCTGGAGAAAGCGGCGGGTGCTCCTGTGGACCCTCCCACATACTCACCCCAGAGCCAACAGTCGGGTTGGGCATCCAGCAAAGGCTTGGGGAACCTCGCTGGCACCAGCCCCGTCTTGGCAGTATGGACACAGCTGAACAATGCCCTCCACCGCCAAGGAAGGACGTGGATGGGCAGCCCTCCCTCAGACCTGAAAACTAGTGCCTGCTACAAAGCCCCAAACCCTAAACTAGAGTGCCGAAACCAAGAAGCTCTCATACCTGAGAAGGCAACCCCACAGGTGAAAAAGTTCACTTAGACAAATCTTCAGGTGCTAACCCATTTCCTGCGACAGGTAAGGCTAAGCTCAGCTGTCCCGGGACCTGAAGGTAGGGAGGGAGGGGAGGCCGAATCTGCTCTCAGAGCACCACACTCACTGAATCACTCGGGGCAGCGCAGCCTGCAGAGTCCAGCTGAGGAAACCCCACAGGACAAACAACCTGTTTCCTTCAACGACAACAACAATGACAACTGCCAGAAAAGAAACCAAGACTAAGGAAGAGGAAGAGGAGAAGGACTACCTAGAGATTATGATGAGTCTTTTGAGACTGATCAACCCATCGCAATGCAGGACTGACCCCATCTGGATCCTGATTCAAACAAACTATAAACAAAAAATTAAGTGATAATTAGGGAAATGTGAACATTAACCAGTATCTGATGATACTAAAAAAAAATGCTGAATTTTTAATGGGTATAATAGTGGTATTGTGGTTTGGTTTTTCAAGAGTCCGTATCTTTAGAGATGTGCACAAAAACATTTACAGATGAAAAGCTATAATGCCTGGATCTTCTAAATAACTCAGCATGGGTGGGCAGTTGGGAGGATGGTTGAATTGAGATTGGCCGTGATCTGGCGATTGCTGGCACTAGTGGTGGGTACACAGGAGTTCTTTCTATGTGGGAAGCTCTCCATCATTAAAGAGTTTAGATAAAGAAAAGAGCCACCACTCAAATACCTGGACTTCGTGGGGATTCCGCTGCAGGCGCACAGGAGGGATCTGACAGGGTGACGCTGACAGTTCCATTCGCTCAAGTATTTTGTTAGCTTTGGATTTTTTTTTTTCTTTCCTAGGACCAAGGCTTAGGTGTCAGGGAAGGTCTGAAGGCACTGGTTCACCTTCAGGGTGCTGCAGAAACTTTGGAGATAGTCTAGCAGCGGTTCTAGGCCAGCTCGGCCATCCTTTCTCACACAAGCAGAGATCTCTCTCCTGGCCCTCCCCAGCTCACCCGTCCCTGGCCACCTGTTCTGGGATACCCGCTTTGAATGGAAGGATATCACCAGGAAATGGATACCCTCCTCCCCACGGCAGTGCTCTCTGACCCTGCCCTGCCTCAACCTCCCTTCCTAAACACAGACAGACACACAGACAGACTCCTTCCCAGCAGGAAGGCCAGCCGCATGGCAGCCTTTTGGACCTAGTATTCTGTATTTGGACCCAGTATTCTGGGAGTGGAGTTTCAACGCCAAACACACGTCCTTTATTCCCTCTCGAACATGTCATCTCTTGAAGCTTCATCTGGGACATAACAAGGGCTCAGGAAGGCCATGGGTGACAATGGCACCTGGGAGCAAAGCCACACCCCCACATTTACCACCACATCACCGTTACTGTCATGAAACCCAGGACCCCCAGCTCAGCCCAGATCTGGCTCTTCAGCCCTGTCTTAAGAAAAGGAAAAACACTTATTTCAGAGTCCAAAGCAGCTCTTGTCTGAGCCTGTGCCATCCCGGCCCCTGTCCCCAGTTTATCATCCTGGAAGGAAGGAGCAAGTGGCAGCTCTGCTGAGTGTGCCTGGCAGGCATGGGCATGGAGAAAGTGGTGCCCACAGATCGATGCTCTTTGGTGGCTCAGCCACAGAAGACATTTTCTAGCAAAGCAAGAAATGTTTTTATTTCTTGCCAGCTCAAGGAGGAAGCAAGCCATGCCTGGTCTGTGCCATCTCAAGACCACCCAACCCAACTCCAAAGAGGAACAAGTGATGCAGCCCACTGGTGGCCCGGGCTGCGCCAACTCGCCTCAACTCACTTCAGGAAGGCACACTCAAACTAAAGCAATTCCAGTGAGAAAAATCCTACCTTCACTGAAATTATCTGGAGTCTGGGGCCTGAATGATATAAAATACACCCTTAGTTCCCTACTCTGCTTTTGTAGAGGAGACTCGGCCTCAGCCCCAGCCCAGAGAAGTGGCCTCGGCTACATGGAATGGGGTATGAATTCACTCATATTCCTGGGCGAATGATCTCTTAAGCTGGCAGGGAGGCATGGTGGGGCCTTTCTTCTGGCCAGGAAACGGTCTGCTTCCTCACATACTTTTCATCCTACCTTAGCCCCACACTGGCAGCAGTCAAGAATTCGGCCTAAAATAAAAGAGGCCAGGGAAACAACTCAGCTACAAGGATCCAGTCAGAGAGCGGGGTTGGAGGAAGCCAGCTCAGAGGAAGATGAGTGTTGATTTTCATCTTAGATGCTCTCGAGCCCCTGGTTCTAAAATTGGAAGGTGCAGAATCCCCTTGTGCAGGAGTATCTGATGGCCACACTGGTAAGCTCGAGGCTCCGAGCCTTCTGCAAGCCACCAGTCACCTCCAATACTACCAGGCACACACCCTCCCAAATCTGGCTTGCTGTATAGACAGAGAATGAGGGGATAACTTTTTTTTCCCTCTCAGTCTGTTTTCCAAAAAGAAAAAAGACAAAAGAAAAAATTCAAGCTGAAGGGAGGGGGAATGACTGGCACCTGGCCCTTCTGCATGACGGGTCACGATGGTCACACAGGGCCGGATGCAGGCCTAGAAAGATCCACAGAAGTAGGTAGAGACTTGGGGGGTGAGAGTGGTGTCCCCTGCTTCTAACCAGTTACCAAAGCAACCTCTCAGGACAAGAATTCCAATACCACCTTCTCCTCTCCACAGTTCTCCAACATGTAAACTCAGGGCTCACTCTAGTCTAGATTACATTCCTGACGCAGTGCTGAAAGCACCCCCAAACCCGAATTTTATTTCTGGATCCAGTTATATCATTCCTCCCAACTTCCCAAACAGGCAAGGGGGTGACCACAGCCATTGTGAATCACTTTTCTTTTTTGTGAATGAACAGGAAGAAAGACACAGAGACACACACTCGCGGAGAAACAACCTTTGCGAGAGTTGAAGTTAAGCCACATTCTCTCAAATTCGCATAAAGAGAGGAAGAAGGAAAATGAAGGGGAAAAAATACTGGAATGGTGGAAAGGAAACACACACACACACACACACACACAGAGAGAGAGAGAGAGAGAGAAAGGTTTGGTAGCCCTCTCATTACAAGTTGGTTGGGCATAATGTAAACACACTTCTGCCTTGCTTAATCACAGAGTGCCGCCCGTTTAGGTTTCAAAGGCGGCAGTAAATTGGGCGTAGCTGAGTGGAGGCTAAAAATTAACCAGCCATCTCTGTTTCAATTTGTAAGAAAACAAAAGCGGAAAGAAATTATAAAAAGGGAAAGGGTAAGGGAAAAAAGGAACAGAGGAGGAGAACTAAACCACCCTGACCCAAAATGCAGGGTAAAACTGGAAAAGCGAAGAGAAGCAGAACTACTTGGAACACAAAAGGAAAAGGAGATTTTACAGAGTTTTTTTTTTTTTTGGTTTGTTTGTTTGCTTGTTTAAGACCTCTTCCACAGCAACGCTGCTCCCTGCCATGCCTGTGCCCCGAGAAAGCCTCTCTGCTCCCCAGTGCCAGGGCTGTGGGCATCCATCCTGAGGCCTTGCCACTTTAGCTGAAATAAGGAGAAGGGAAAGAGCTCAAGGAATCTCGTCCTTGTTTTCACTCTCTATGAAATCAAATTACTTTCATACTGACAGCCAAATCCCAGCCAAAACAGCTCCCGCCTGAGTATTTAGGCCACAGAATCTGCCCACTACTGTCTTCTCTCCTCTTTTCTGTTCATTCAGTCTCATATCCCAGGGTTTCACATGCCCCTTCTCTCCACCGGACTCCTGCCCATCCCGCTTGTACCAAACCCAGTTTTTCCTGGGACTGGAGGTGAAGCTGCAGTAAAACTAGCACCTGCCCCTCAATACTTCTTCTGACTCATTTTAATAAGAGCAATTACTGGTTTGCTGTTGTTGTTCATCTCAAACTCTCACCATCATGGATAATTCTGGGGGCATCATGTCCCCAATCCTAAGACCTGCAGCATCTTTCTGATCAGATAAGTCCTCCAAAGATGGAGATGCACAAAGTCGATACCATGGCCAGGGGGCAGAGGAGGAAGAATAGAACAGGTCGGGGGAGACAGAAGACAGGAAAAAGGAAAAGGGCCCATAGAACCGTGTTGCAGGCCCCGCAGGACGGGCATACACCAGTTAGGCCCATGGCGAGTTATCGCTTGGAAATTAGAGGAACAATAAACAGAACAAATGCCAGCAAGGAAAATAAAATGAGAGGGAAAAATGGTTGAGAACGACCTACCCGGAGTGTGGACAAAGTAAGCCAGATAAAGATCCAGTTCTTTGATTGTGACTCCAATGTGATGTGGCTGGACGCACAGGCCGGGGTTCGAGCACTGAGGCGACTTGTAGAGCCGCTCCCCATCAGTACTTTCCAGGGGGATCCCCTTAAACAAAATCACCATGACCAGGTCCAGCCGCCACACCTTGTCAGCCTGGCGCAGGCAGTCAATCCGCCGGATCTTGCCCTTCTGGTCGGGGTTGGAGAGCACGCAGCAGGGGGGCTTCTTGCCCGTGATGGTCAGCACGAAGTCCTCGCGGAACTCGGGCCGGATGTCCTTGCGCAGCTTGGCCAGCAGCCGGGATGCCCACTTCTGCTTGATCTCGGGCTTCTCGCCCAGCAGCTCGTCCTTCACCGCCCGCTCCTCGTCCTTCGACATCCGCTTTTCATGCTTCTTGAAGTACTTGCGCTTCCGCGCCTGCAGGTTGAACCAGGTGTAGGAGAAAGCGCGGACGTGAGGCAGCAGTGCCTCGATGAACGGGTGGAACTCATCCTGCAGGCGGCAAGCCGGGAGCATGCGGGGCGAGGGAGGACGGGAGGAGGGGAAGACGGGATGAGGGGGAAAGAGAGAAGGAGAAAAGCAGCGTTAGAAGGGGGGGCACAAGGAAAACCGCCTTCTCCTCCTCCTCCCTCCCCCCAACAATTTTCTCTTGCGATTGTTCTACGAAAGTGTGGTTTGAAGCCACCACCAGCTTCGCCAGCCACTTGCTCCCATCTCAGCCTCAGCAGCCAGACAGAGGCACCGGGAGCCTCTACACACACCTATTCTCTCTCTCTCTCCCTCACTCACTCACACACACGCGCACAGACAACGTTGCCGTCCACACACACACGCTGCTGGTATCCCCGCCAGGCTCTGTCGCGCCCATGACATCTCCATGTTCTATCGCAGCCGTGAACTCCTGTCAGCTCGCCCCGGCACAGTGTCCGTCTGCACAGACGCCCGTGGACGCACACGCGGGGGCGTGCGGGGCCGCCTCTGGTCCCCGACACCGGTCGATTTTTGGCCGCCCCCAAGAAGACAGAAAATGACATCCACGAGCAAGCGAGTGAGGAAACAGATCAGGCTTCCCTCTCCCCAGGCTGTTTTCATTTTCTTTTCTCCTGATCCAGTTGGAACATCCACCCCAACATTTTTTAATCAGACCTAAATCCTAAATATGTGATTTCAGCTTTGTTATCGACACCAATACTAATGTTAATCACAGTAATAATGAACAAAACACTTCTTGTTAGCACAAATAAGGTGCTTGTCTCGGCCACATTAGGGTTAAAAGCTACATGGGTCTTCTTGCGACCCCTTCCCCAGCCTCCCACAACCCCTTCACCCTTTTTCCCACTCAGTCAGGTGACAGAAGGATGGGCTCTCTCGGTTTTGTTTGGTTTTTTTTTTTTTTTTTGGTTGTTTGCTTGTTTGAAGTTTAAATAATAATTGATTTCTGTTTACAAAAATAAAACTGGAAAAAATTAAATAATTACCATTGATCTGAAGCACCCGGCAAAGCCCAACGCCCGATTCTGAGATTCTGGACTCAAAAGAGTTGTGAGTTGGGGGCGGGTGGGGGGAGGGGGGAGGAGGAGGAGCAGGGGAGGAAGGTAAATGTTTTAAAGGGGGTTATTATTGGTGTTCTGGGGAATAGGGGCCGGGCTTGGGTGGATTCTCAAACCCTTCCCCCTCCTCCCCCCCCCCATGCTCCATTGCACAGAAGGGGGAAATTAATATTTTTTTTGAAAAGGAGCAAAAAGAAAGAAAGGTCAGGGATAGCAAGCAGAGAGAGGGAGCGAGCCGGCTGCCACACACGCCAGGTAAACAAAAGCCAACAAAATTTTTTTTTCAATTTCTTCCCCTGTGCATCCTCTTCCAGTTTAAAAAAAAAAAAAAAGAAAAAAATGCAAAATTTAAAAATCAAAACCAGCCTCCCACCATCTCCCCACAACCAACAACGCACCCCACCCCACCCCCGTGCAAAACAAAAACAAAAACAAAACCCAGGAGGGAAAAAGCGGCAGCTGAAGAAAAAGGCTTTCGGCTTTGGCAGCGGCACAGGGGTGTAAACTTCGAGCTGCCTGATCGGAGGAAAAGGGGGAGCTCGCAGATTCCCGGGGAAGAGGACGAGTTCTGACCGGCTGCAGACCGTTGCTGGCAGACGCGTGCAAAAGAGAGAGAGGGAGCGAGGGAGGGAGGAAAGGAAGAAGGGGGGGAGGGAGAGATCGAGGATCGAGGGAGGACGTGGATGGGATGGGGCGTGTGTGTGAGTGTGCGCGTGTGTGTGCGCACTGGTTGGGTTTTTGGGGTGTTTTTTTTTTTTGCTCCTTTTCTCTCTCTCAAACTCCCTCTCTCTCTCTCCTTTCAGGCTCAATCCCCATCCATTTGCTTGTGCCAAGCCAGTAAAAAGGGGTGGGGGGAGAAAGAGACAGAGAGAGAGAGAGAGAGAGAGAGAGAAAGAGAGAGAAGGATCCACCTATTTGGCAAAGAGACATCCACGAGCAGCCAATGGCTGCGTCCAAGGGGAGGAGGGAACCGGGCGAGCAGGGAGGGTGGGGAGAGCCCCCGGCAGTTGGAGACCAAAAACAATTTGCCCAATCGACAAGTTCACGTCTAATGAACAAGCAAAGTCCAGCAGTTATGAATTTTTCATTCCAGGCTCCCACTCGGGTCCATTTGGCAGCAGCCACCCAGCAAATCTGGGGGTGGGGTGGGGCATTGGGGGGGACTGGGATTGTGGAAGACTCGAAATTTTTTTTTAAGCCTGAAAAATAAATAAATAAAGGCCTGACTCCCGGCGGGCTGGCGGGCGGGAGCCCCAGAAGGCCTTGGGGAAGCAGCTGCGCCTTCTCTCTGTGTTTTGGTTTCAGTCTTTCTCTCGGGCCTGCACACTCTCTTTTTCTGTTTCTATTTCTTTCTTTCTTTTTTTTTTTCTTCCTATGGAGCACACAGGGGCGAGTGGAAGTTTTCCTCCCCGGCCACATACACACGGGCCTGCGGTGCTATGAATAGAAATAAGAAGAAAGAGAGCTCAGAAAGTGTCCATGCCAGCAGTACTTCCAGGGCAGGGATCTGGTGCCCAGGGTACTGCCACCTTGTGATGCCCCCAGGTCTGGCTGCTGAAGGAGCACTCTCAGACAAGGGGGAGGCCAGCACCCCACACGTCCCTCCCTTCTCCCCCAGCCCCCAGCAAGCTCAGCCTCCTCCTTCGGCCCACACCCAGCCACGCACACTCCATTAGCGGTGACGAGGGATGCCAACGCAACACAGCTCGGCTCGAGAAACTGCAACAGTTTATTAAAATAGCCTCCTGTCACAGCACTCCGCCTGACAAGCTCTACACGCAGCCACAAACAACAGCCAGACCCGGGGAGAAGTGACAAAGGCAAAAAGATGGACACTACCTCTGAGCAGAGGCAAGGAATCTGACCAACGCCCCTCACCACTGCACAGGCATTTAATTCTCCAGATCTGCCCTCTCCAGTTGACCTGAGATTAGTTTTCTTACCTGTCTCCCAAATCAATTTAGACTAAAGAGCCCAAACCCTAGCAGTGCAAAGTGCAAAAGTATAAAATGAGAAACCCAAATGAAAAGAAAAGAGCTAAGAAAGGACACAACAAAAAACAGCAAAGGGCTCTATCAAAAACAGGCCACCTGGGGGAAATCAAGTCACAGAGAAGTGACCCACCGGGGAGCCCCTGCTCTGGTCCTCCACTTGGGGACCTTCCTCACAGCAAGCAGAAAGGGTGAGCACTGGGTAGGGGAGTCCCACTTCTGAGGGGGTCTCTCCAGTTAGAGCTATGGAGCAGCCATGCTTGAGGCCTTCGAAACACAGTAAGAAGGAAATAGATATGACATAAAAGGAAAAGCAGAGGAAGAAGGATGTGGCTGCAGACAGGGAGAAAGGGATCCAATTCCACTCAGAACCCCATCCCTACAGCCGCCCTCTCCCTCAGCGAGGCTCAGTCCTCAGCTGGCGACGGAAAAAAGGTCACTGCTCACTCGTGCCCCTTTCTTCCCCAACTGAAACCCTGTGCTTTGTGGCCTTTATGTTGGCAGAAAGGTTCCCGGAAGAGCACCTGGGGCATGCCAAAATAAAACATCCAGCCCTGGGCTGGCGCTGAACCCTGACAATGGGAGAGGGGCTGCCCAACACCTGGGACCCCAGTCTGTGCCCTGAATTATCCATCTCAAGTGAACTGAGCTCATGGCTGATCCCTGAAAGAAACGGTTAGAGGTGAGAGTACAGAAGGCAGGTGGTATCAGAGACAGGCCTCTTAGGGTGGTGTCCAATAATTCACATCATGTTAATAACCAGCTTCAGTCCAATCAGCCAAAGATGTTAGCTCAGAGACATGACATAAGGTACCAAATCCTGCCTCTCCACCTTGTGGAAACAATTTTACCTTCTAAAGTCAAGATGAGGTCATTAAAAACTACAAGTGAGTTTATATTTGGCATGGAGGTGTTTTTCTTGTATTCTGATTTATACTAAATATTAGACACCAAACAGAAAATGGCCAACACGAGCCTCCTGGAGAATCCTGGCATGTTCCACTTCACAGACCACAGTGCCACAGTAGAAGAGACATGCTCGACATGGGTTGAATCTGAATCTGGTGGTACAACTGGGTCAGGGATAGAGGTGGGGGCAGCAACAGTCCCACAGCTGGGAAATGACAGATGGAAGGATCCATGTAGAAGTTAGGGAAACAGGACAAGATGCACGACTGGCTCCTGGAGAGGGGTTGGGGGTCAAAACTCCACGGACTGGCGGAGAGATCAGAGGAGAGGCGGCAGAAGAGTGTCTCAATAGAGCCTCAGGGACCTACAAAGAGCCCCAAGCACCCCCTCAAGGCTCTCTTAACAGAAGAAGCAACAGGCCTTTCCCAGGGCAGAAAGTTGGAGGAAGAACAATTGTCAATTGTCCTTCTCCTGCCAGTGGCTATAACCTTGCAGGTGGGCAGAAGATTCTCAGGCAAATACTTTCCCCTCACCCCATTCTCTCTATGGGCTGCTGGCTCCCAGTGGAGGAGGCCTTTCTGGAGGAGTGGCCAGGATATTCTGATGCTTCGGGAGATGAGAAGGTCTCTTTCTCTATTTCTCTTTCCTCCCTCCCTCCCTTCCTCCCCTCCTATTTTGGGCGCACACAGAGGAATTGCTCGGGTTCCATTAGAAACATTTCAAGCACCCTTCACTGCGGGCCCCCTCCTCCTGCATGCCACTGGTGGCGGCCATCAGCCCAGACACGCCCCTCATGAGCCCTAGACAAAAGGAAACTGTCCCCCTTTTGTTAAAGAGTGGAGGCTCCTGTTGGAAGATTACCTGTTCCCAGCCCAGCCTCCTTCTCTTCTCCCCTCCAGCCCCAGGCAGGAGATCAGACCGCTTTACATCCTGCACCAAAGACCAGAATCAAGACAAAAAATCCCTCATACGATTCAAGGCTTCTCCAGGTCTGAGTCACTGGCAAGTGTAAGAGTTCAGGTGATGGAAAGAGCAAGGGGACATGCAGGCCACAGAGTAGAAGGACATGGGAAATGGGGAAAGGAAGCCACTGATGCTGGTAATAGGAAGAGAAAAAAAAAAGACAAGGGGGGAAAAAAGGAAAAGCAGGAAACATTGTGGGGGAAAGGTATTTCCCCCATTGGAGAGAAAAATCATCGAGAAGCCAGAAATAAGACTTTTTAAAAATTCATATGGGTTTTTGGTTTGTGGAAAGGGATTTTGCTGCCATTATGGAAGAAAAGCCTCTGTCTTTTATTGTTGAGTACTATTTGGTAAAAAAAAAAAAAAAACAAACAAACAAAAAAAAAACCAGCAACAGTTTTCACTGAAACATTTCTAAAATACATACCCATGCCAGTTTCAGCCATCACTAGGAGAAATGTACCCCCAACAGAAAAAGACTGAAAGGGCCACGGAGAAAGAGAAATAGAGAGAAGGAGAACGAAAAAAGAGAAAAAAGCCAAACCTGGAGAGAGAGTGCCAAGCTAGGCCCACAACTGAAAAGAAAGAAGGACAAAGATGGAGGGAAACAGAACAGCAGAGGAAGAAAAATAAGAAGACAGAAAAGGGCTCTGCACCGCGGCAGAGAAAGAAAAACCAGTTAAGGAAAATGACTGCTTCTCCATGAGAAGAAATGCATGGTTTTCAAAAACTCTACACAACAGACCTGTCCACTGAGCCTGTATGGATTATTTGAAGAAAAATAGGAAAATATGTACAGCACCTCACTCACATATACAGTGTTAAAAATTCTTCAAGGAAACAAAATAATCTTCCCAGACTGAGATAGGTTTTGCAACCTGCCCGCACCTACCTATAGTGAAACATCTAGAAGCATAAGAAGTTGTATATTTTAAGACAGGGCCACTTTTAGTAGCCTTCTTTATCTTAAAAAAAAAAAAATCCTATGTGTCCACATCCTGCTGGCTTTAAGGCCCAGATTTATTCTTTCAGATCCTGGACACTTGGGCCCATGTTGATCTGGGTAACTACAGGCAATTAGAGCAAATAACTTACAAAACTTCACAGAAATGACCAGATATTCCAGTATCCATTTTAATAAAGCATATCTGCAGCCTGGGTATGAAAGGACATGGGAAATTAAAAAGGCCATAAACAGGGCCCCAATTAGTTTGCCCAATTGTTGGAATTTTATAATTCAGCCTTGGTCTGAACCAAAAGAAGCCGGCTTCGTAACCCTGAGCTCTCCCACCTTGTCCCAAGATTACTGCTGCTTCGTGGAAGGCCACAAGAAGACAGTGGCCAGACAGCGGCCAGAGATGGGAAGGGAACTGCAGACATGACGCAGCGGCAGCACTGGGCAGCCAGGGAAGGGGCCCTGCTGCTTATCCTAGAGGAGGGTGGGGCCTCCCCTCAGTTGGGGGCCAACGAGAAGGGGCTCTGTAGTCAGAACAAAATCATCCAAAAGTCTGGAAACTCCAGGAATGGAAACCGGAAAATGCACTTTGCGAGGGAGCTCGGATAATTTGGACAAAGCGGGTTTTTGGCTGACTTGGGCCTGTTTTCCTCTGCTCAGGAAAGGCGGCTCTGCGCAGTTTCTTTCCAGTGTCCTCATGCTGGCTGAATGGATTCGCCCCACACCCCAGTGCTGGGTCTAGGACAGGGTCTGCCTCACAGCCAGGCCGCACACTTCTCTCCTGTAAACCGCGCCCCCCCCCCCCCCCCGCCCCTTCCTTTTCTCCTCCAGACTACAAACCAGGAGCGGTGGCCTGGGATCGGGCCAACAGGCAGCCTCGTTCTGGCTCCAAATGCTCCTCTGCTCCAGGCACATCTCCCTTACCCTCTTGGCACAGAATAATATAGGGTAGGAATGGGGATATTAGGGGAGACAATCTATTCTCTCTAAGGCAACTGGAAATTGTTTACTTTCATCTCATCCTCTACAAGGAATGGGAAACAAAAATCCTACTCTTTAATTCATTATTTAGCTTGAAACTTCCTTGTGTCACCAAACAGAAGTAAAAGCCAGGAAGGCCAAAGCTCTCTTCTCCAGCCGGCAGGCTGCATGGGGATGAAACCTTCCGAAGTGCGTGAAGGACAGATGACAGGGAAGGGCTTCCGGGGGCAAGGGAAGTGCAGAGCCTCACACACCTAACCGGCTTGGGAAGTGTCACTTCATGGTGGCCAAGGGCCCGGGAAGAGGGAAGAACTGCACAGGCCAGCTTCATAACTCTTTCTGAAGAAGAACTGAAAAAGTGACAAAAGGCAAGGCAAAGAGAGACCAGCGCGTGAAGATGAGGTCTGTGCCCAGCACACTGTGAAAATATCTGGAAGTCGAGAGAGAAGGCCAGAGCAAATGGCAAAATGCTGAAAACTCACCCCAGGCACCACAGCAAATCCCCTCCTTCGGAGGGGTCAGGGCAAGGTGACAAAACCCAAAAGGCAGAGGTCTTCCCAGTCCCTCTGCAAGAGCTCCATCAGGATCAGTCCAGACACCCCCCTTCATTTTTTACCAGTTCTGTTTCCCCCGCCACAGGAGAGACAAGGAGCAAGGAAGGATTTCTCCTCACCACCTGCCCTCAGATCGGCCTGGCACCCCTCGGTCCTGAGGGAACCTCTTTCTTGCAATTGCTTCAGCCACAGGCAGTGGCCAGAACCCCAAAATGTACAATTTTAGGAGTTAGAAAGAGGTCATTTTTCAATTCCTCAAAATGTATTGCTCCCGCAACTATTTTATTATCAGGATCATTGCCCAGGAAACCCAAGAATCCACATTTCCCTGGTGTCTAGCCCCTGCAGAGAATGACACCGGGGGTGCTTTGAGGAGCTCGGACCATGCCCACCCCTCGGCCACGCTCCGTCCCTCCCCGGCTCCCTTTCTTTCTCACCCTCTCTCCCCCTCTGCGTCCTTCAGCTCCAACACAAACTGTTTGCACGGGAAGTCTCCCTCTATGACCCGATTCAGCACACACAAGAGAAAACTGTGGGCGACAGACCCAACGTCCTAACGAACTTGAGTTAATTAATGCTAAGGAAGAAAAGAGGCGCCCTCGCTCTGTTGAATCACGGTTCACTAGTCCTTTCAGTTTGCTGTGGGTGGAGGAAAAAAAAAAGAGGCTTTTTGGTTCAAATATTTTTGGGGGGCGAAGAGAAAACAAAAACACCACAGAAGGGCCATGGAGGGCGAAGCTGTCAGTACCTGCCCGGAGGAGCAGAGGCTAAAGGAAGGAGCCCGGCAAGGGCTGCCGAGCGTCCTCCCCCTCATTGCTGGCCTGAGCAGTTCTGGGAAGACAGAGAGGGCGAAAGAAAAGGGAGGGGATTATCAATGGCTCCTGGGCCTGTTTAAATAAATCCCTCCAAAAATTATACTGTCAGACTACAAGATCCATTAAAAAAAAAAAAAAAACTCAAACCCAACAACCCAATTTGAACAGAGCCATGGAATTGTTTTAACAGTGCAGAAAACCGAAGTATAAATGGCAAGCGTACAAAAAATGTAAGTGTGCAGAAAAAAAAGAAGAGGTGGCAATGCGGGGGCGGGGGGCAGGGGCAGAGAGAACAGCTGCAATTTTGCTTTCCAGATGTTGACAGCAAAATGTAATTGGCAAGTAACTTACTCCTCACCATTTCTTATCCTTTAGCCCTGAGATGTTAAAATCCTACCTCTATACCTGTCTGTAGGCAGTTTTCAGGCACTCCACACATGTGGACGGGTCAGGATGCCTCGTGGACCACATGCCTGCTAGCTTTTATATCAGCCCGCTATTTTTTACAAGCCCTCCCACCATTCCTAGCAGGAAGGACTAAGCAAAGCAGGCTGGAGGAAATTTTTATTTAAATTTTTATTATATTTTGTAATGCACAGGTTTTTCTTTACCTTTGAGAGTGGGGCTTCTTTTTTTAAGTAAACTTTTTAACTGAAGCAAGGCAGGTATAAAAAGTGCACACACTGTAAGTTAGGCCGCTTGATACACTTTCACAAAGTGAACACACCCATGTAACCCCACCCAGATTAAGAAATAAACATTTTCAGCACCGCTGAACAAGCCTTAAATTTTTAAGCTATACAGTTCTCATAATTTATATGGCTTAGAAATACCTCCTTGTCACACCAGTATCATCAAATGCAAACACCTATGTGCATACACGTGTTATAGAGCAGAGTGTGCTATTCATGTGACCACAAAAATGTGTGGCAAATAGAAACCCCTCTCATCCTCACTGCTGCAGAGTGCGTGTGCGTGTGCGTGTGTGTGTGTGTGTGTGTGTGATCTCTCTATGCCTGCCCAACTCTGATCCCATCAACAGGGCAACCAACTGTGCAGCGGGTTTAGCAGACTAACAGGGCATGTATGGGGGACAAACAGGACCCGCCGAGCTGAAAGCCAAACAGCCTTAGTGTCTGAGGGGAGCAAGGGCCCCTCCTCTCGCCCTGCTTGCCTGGCAGGCAGGGAATGGGGGGCCTCAGTATGTAGGTCATGAAGGAAAATGACTCTGCAGAGCCAGGGGTTCCCAAAGGGAGAATGGGCACCCACTGGGATACACTGTCCCCATCCCTGTCCACAAGAACCCTGCAGGAAGGTGAGGGGAGTAGAATGGCATCAAGAGAAGAGAGCAGAGAGAGTGAGCAAGCGACACCAGGCTGGGCCTAGGGTCCTGGGGCGGGGCTGCCTCAGGAAGGGAGGCAGAACCCTGCCTCTGCCTACCCCTTCCCTGGCTCCAGCCCCAGCTGGTTCCCCCCTCACTTTCACTAGCACTAAATTTACTTTATAATTTTAAAATTAAATTTTAAAAAAAGCAGGAAAGAGAAAGCACTGAAGGCAAAATACCTCCCACAGTATCTCTCTAAGGAGGAAAAAAAAAAGTTTCTGCTTATGTAAAAAGACGAATACAAGGGATCGCTGAAAAGTCTAAGGACCAAATAACAAGGAAAATAAAAGGGAAACACATGTAATGAAAAACACCTGAAGCAAATACATAAAAAGCTCCCTTTGCACCTCAAAGGCACTTCACAGCCACTAGCGCCTGTGGGCACTAACCCCTATGCCCATTTATTGCCCATTTTTCCCATTGCTTTCTCATTGCTGTTTCTTCCTCAGGCACTTCAGGATCCCCTTTCCCTTCTAAGCGGTCTACCCCACACCTGGCGGAAGGGCCACCGCAGCCACCTCGCCTACCACCAGCCCCCTACCACCAGCCCAGAGCCGAACCTCTGCAGCCCTGATAAAAAGTCCTTTCCCCAACTCCCACATCTCTCCAGGCCGTGCTCAGCCACTGGCCCTGGACCCTGCTCTTCCTCCCCAAATCCAGGCCCTGTGGCCAGTGGCAAGAGCACTCCTCTGGGGCTGGATGCCAGGCCCAGCCCAAGTGGGCAGCTCTCTCTTCTATCAAGGGCACAGGGTTGCCAAGACGGGCTCTCCAAGACTGCATTTTCTCTTCCTATTGCATATGGGGCTGGAAAGAAAGAACTGTTCAATTTAATTTAAAATATGACAAGGGATCTGAGCCCTCTGAGCAGGCGATCTCTAGAAATACTTGATTCTTTTTAGGGGAGAGGATGCAGAGTAGGCAGCGAAGCTGCTTCCCCACACCCGGGTTTGACTCTCCCACCAGCCCGCCGCCTGGGAAACGCGCCCTCGGCTGGCATCGGGGTACCAGAGCCCGGCTCCTTTCTTCCTTTCTTTCTTTTTTAAACGGCTCTAGCGCAAACCAGGCAGTGGGTCAGGGCCCAGAGGCGGGGGAGGGAAGAGGAGAGGGCTGTCTCCAACTCGGGGAGAAGAACGGCCGGCCGCAAGTTTCCCGGTTTGTGCCAGTTTGGGGATTTGCGAATCAGACCGGAGCGGAGGGAACGGCGGGTGAGAAAAAAAAAGCCCGCATTAAAAACTAACCAGCTCTGCCGAAAAGCGCGCTTTCCGCCCTTAAATAAGACAATGCTGAATGGAGAGGAGAGAGGAGAGACGAGTTATTTCTCACTCTTTAATTATTCCAATGCTTAGCATTATTTAAAAAGAAAACCACACACATTAGCCAATGATATATTCTAACCCTCAACAAAGCTGGTATTTTTCTCTGATTACAGACTTTGCCGTGGCAAACCCGGGCTCCGACGACAGAGGCAGCGCAGAAGCTCGCTCCTAAATGAGACAATTTTATTAAAATCATAATTCCTTGCATTTCTATAGCGCCTTTTCAGTGGCGGAGATCTCAGGTGCCCCACGCCAGGGTCTACTAGAGAATCGGGGCGACCGCAAGCTCAGTCGCGGGACAGGCGAGGCTCGCCAGCTCCACGAAGCGTCACCGGCACGTATTTTTCTTTTTTTAACAGCCTGTTTCTACCATTCAGCCTCTGTCTCACATGCTTTATAAAAAAAAAAGAAGTAATAAAACTCCTTTAAATTAAAAAAAATGTTTTTAGAGAAGAGGAAAAAGACTCGAAGAGTAAGGGGGGAAAAAAAAAGCTAAGTGTGGTCTGGGAGCTTGGGGCGGGGGGTGCTGCTGGGATGGGCCGCGTCTGGGTCCAGGGTACAGGGCGCAGCAGGGTCAGCCGCTGCCCCAGGGTCACCTCCCCGGGCGCAGCTGCAGCGGGCTGAGTCATCCGCACGTGGAAAAGGACCTAACACCATCAAAGCTCATTTAAGTAATTCGGGTGATGAGAAGTCGGGTTTATGACCGGCTTCCGAGGGGACTGGGGACGGGCGGCTTTCTCTGAATGCTCGGGGGCTGCTCTGGCTCCAGGGGTGGCTCGGGGGACTTCAGCCCGACGCCAGCTTCCTCCTCCACCAACAGGTTAAGTCGGGTCCGCTGGGCGCACACGTTCTTTTTTCACTTTTCCGTCCTCTCCCCTGGCCTGCCCAGGAAGTGCTGCAAAAGGGCTGGTAGCAACGGGTGGGGAGGCCTCGACGCCCCAAATTCAAGAAATCAGCCCTGAGAGGGAAGGTGGCGTAGATCGAAAGGGACTTGGAGGGGAGGTTTTGGGTTTTTAAAGGTTTTTTTTTTAGAGTCTGCGCAACTCCCCGCGGCCCGAAGGCAGAAGAGAGAGAAAGGGAAAGCGCATTTTCTGCCACTTAGTCACATTTCTTCCCCGCGCTCGCTGGAGGACAAAATCCCCCAAACCCAGCCAACCCTGGAAACAAAAATCTCCCCTGGTAAATTTCCCCGCCTTTACTCCCCCAAAAGAGAAGGCTCGGGGATTGAAGGTGAGGCTCCTCGGAAACCGGGGTAGTCTAGAGATGACGACGCTCACTATGCGACGCGGAGAGATCCTCTCCGAAGGGACGCCCCCAAGCTGTCCTCGGATTTGGGGGCAGTTAAACCCCAAACTCTCCCAAGCACCCAAAGAATCACAGCAATCATCAACATCGCATTCACGGCCAAAGCCCTCCAACGCGCATTATCCTCCGTCGGATGTCAGGATGGGCGCAGGAGGAGAGAAACTGAGGCACAGGCGGCCCTGAACCCCCAACCCCCGCGCGCCTGGGGGACAAACTAGCCTTAAGGCAAAAATGCCGACATCGGAGCCCCTTTTGGCGGCGGCCTTTGACGCAGCAAATGGTGAACTGGGACAGTCCTCCATGCCCACCAGCGCGGGGTCACTTTTTGGGGGGTGGGTCGGGGGGGTCACTGTGAGGGGCAGGCCGCGCCCCGGCAAGAGGGAGCCGCGCTTGAGCAGCGAGGGGCCGGGAGGACGCCACCCAGACCCACTAGAGGGCCTACGGTGCCTGGGAGGGATCATTGAGAAGACTCTGGCGGCACAAACGGTCGAAAGCCAGACCTATGCTCCCAGTTTCCCCTCACCTGCCCCCGGGGTCCGCGGTCCCCACTCTCCACTCAGCACCCATGGCGGTTCCGTCGTCGGAGCCAGCCTGGTACATGCCACACAGGTCGCGTCTGACATCCGGGGCCTCGAAGCGCCGCTTCCCGCCTTTTCGTCGCTGCGCACGCGCGCGCCAGGCTTTGCGCACGGCCCGCTCGTGTCCCGCGGCCCCTTCGCGCCCCGGTTCTGGGCCTCCTGCACGGTCCAGGCATGTGCTGTCCTCTCCCACCCCTCAGTGTGCGATGCAAGTGACAGTGACCGTCAGCACCCATTTTGCCCGCGACATGGAAAGCACACGACCTTCCCTCCTCCTGCCTGGGCCCTGGGGAGACCTCCCCACCACCTCTACCTCCATGAGCCCCCTCCCCCCAGTCTTGAGTCAGTTGCAGCGGGTCCAGGAAATGCCAGGCGCCTTGAGAACCTCCAGGGAGGCTACAATGAAAGGAGCCTGTGGGCGACGGGCACCTGTCGAGGGGCGCACTTGGCGGAGGGGCGGTCTCAGGTAGGGTACGTACAGGCACGCGACCTAATGCACAGAGGCACTGGGGAGGGAGTGTTCGTGCCAACATGGGGTGCAGCCCAGCTTCTCTCTTCCGGGGACCCGGAGGAGACGCTGGAGTACCATCTAACTTTCTCCAGCCGGGCTGGGATATCAAAGAGCTATGATTGGGCAGTGGAGCGTCTGGGGAGTCCCGGCACACCCCCCTGCCTCTGCTCCCACCCCTCCAAAACCCACCCACCCTCACTCCTGAAGTCCATGATGCGCGCAGGGAACTCGCCTCCACCGCCCGGGCGCACCTGGAGCGAAGGCCTGGAGGGCGGGTAGCGTGCGGCCCGAGCTGGACTCGGGGGCAAGTGGAAATTTCTCCCGAGGTGGGGTGGTGGGGGGCATTAAATGGCCTCTTTGTGGCGAATTGCAAGCCGTCACTCAGGGTTAATTTAAGCGGTAACAGCAAACACACACCAAAAAGCAACGTCTCGCCGCCAGCACCCACCCCCGCGATTGTGTTTCTGGGGCTGCGGGATTCGGAGCTGCAGTCCGGCCCTTGGGGGAGGGGGGGTCCCCGGTCTTTAAGAACGTGGGATGTCCGTCCGCAGTGGAGAGGGGGAGGGCTGCTCCCGCCTCCCCCTACATCCCTGCCTGGCGAAATGGTTTTTGCAGGTTTGGGTCGAAGCCTAGTGGGGGTGGTAAAATCCAAGTACAAACGTGGAGCGGGAAGAGGGGGGAGCGGTTCTTACATATAAAAAGTATATATAAAGGTACAAATTTCAAATATAAATATAGCACATGCAGGGGCGCCACTGGGCAGCGGCAGTTCTGGGATGTCCCACCTGTGCCCCAGGGACATATGGGGAGGCGGGTGTTCCGAGAGGGATGGGGGAGGTGGAATTAGGCCTCCCTTCCCTGCCGGCTCCCGCAACAACCTGAATGCCGCTTTGAAGCCAGATGCCCTGAGCGGCCTGGCAGGTGTGTGACTCATGTGAAACACGCGTGTGCAGGCTGGGGAGGTGTGTACCCGCGTGGGCCTGGAGCCATGTGTGTGGGCACCAGAGCGGGCTCACGGACCCACCTGGAGCTCCCCGTTGGGGCGCAGGGCTCGAGTACCTGTGCTCGAAAGCTCCATCGGAGGGAAAGCAGGGGAGTGAATGCTTGTGTTAGGGACCCCCATGTGGTGCCCGATAGGGGCATGTTATAGGTGTAAGTGCGCCAGCCAGTGTCGTTGGGATGTCAGGCCTAGGTGCGCATATAAGCTTTCGGTGCCTGAGATCCCGACTGGGGGCGCCGGGCAAGGGCATGCTGCGGACCCAGGTGGGAGCAACTATACGAGAGCGTGCTTATGTGCGTGCGCACGTCCGAGTTGCCGGGCTGGGGTGTCAGACAGGGACGTGCATGAGCGCGCCTAGGTCCCCTTCGGGGCCGCAGGGCCAGGGGGTGTGCGAGTGCTTGCGCACGCCTTGGGAGTAACCACGTGCGCGAGGGCCGCCGTCCGGACCCAGCTGAGCCCGGATCTGGCCCCTGAGCGGGCCATGGGGCAGGGCCGGCCGCCCGCCCGGCAGGCCAAGGCGGGATGTCGTTGGAGCCCTGTTGGTTTTGGCCGAGGCAACTCCAATGGGGGAAGCCCCAGGAGCAGGCGGGGGAGGAACAAAGAAGGGGAAAGCAAGGGAAAAGCGGGTTGCAGAGGAGGAAGCGCCCTGGACCTCGGAGGGCCCCTGGGGCGGTGGAGGCGGGGCCTGCCTGGGCCAGGGGGCTCCTGGAGGCCCCCCCGGGCCCAAGGTGGGCCACTCCACCTGTGTGGACAGGGTTAGGCTGTTGGTTTGAAGTCCTGAGACTTCTCTGCCTTTGAAGACCCCCGGCCCCGTTCTACCACCAAATCCCCCAAAGGACCACAAGCTGCCACCACTGCGGACCAACTCCAGCCGTCCACATGGCCACTCACACATCAGACACTCAAGCCTAGTGCTACTGTACTTGTAGTTGCCCCTCTGATAGCCCTCACTGCCCATCGGTTTTTCAGTGCCCATCAGTACCCCACTTGGAGCCAAGTAGCATTTGGTGGGGAGGGCGTGGCCCTGTTTTCCCAGCCAGGGGCAGACAGTTTGAACACCCTTAAGCGGGGAATCAGGAAGCCTCTTCCTCCTGTTTCTTGCTCTGGGCTTCTTAGAACTGGGGAATAGGAAGGGAATTCCCATGGGAAGGCCAGAAGGAGGAGCCTCAGGTGGCCAGAAGGGGGATGAAAAGCTGGAGTGAACCTGTTTAAGTCTTGCTCACTCCTGGGAATCTGGCTGGGTAATCCCCACCACCCTGCTTCTAGCCCCATGACCTTGGCACTTGACCTTGCGGCCTCTGTTTCCTCATCTGTAAAACAGGTTACTCATACCTGCCTCGTGTTGGGAGGGTCACAGGAGGTCACATATGCCCGCCTTCCCCCCACCCACCCGCTGCCCAGGCATAATTGCTCTGGAGTCGGTAGCTGTTATTTTTATTGTGAGGAATCTATGGCTGTGACAAGCTGTGACGCTTGGTGTGATCGCGTGAGGCTGGCTGTGTGTGCGACTGTGCCGCTGTGTGTGTGTGTGCGTGTGTGACAGGTTGTGTGTGAGACTGTGCGTGGACGACAGATTGTGCCGGTGTGCGGCGGTGCTTGTGACAGGCTGTCACTGCGCGACAGACTGCGGGTGGCGGGGTGTTGCGGGCGTTGACTGTGAGTGGGGATGAGGCAGTGTGTGGGACTGGGACTGGGAGACCCCCGCAAATCTACCTCGGTGAGGACCTGGCTACAGCGAGGATGGGGAGGCTCTCTGGAACTGCAGGAGGAACTCACTCCGGTTTCCTCTTGGGCCTTGGCTTTTCCATCGGATTCAGTGGGGCTCCACCTGTTTGCAAACCTTGGAGGTGATGGGTCTCAGAGGACCCTGTGACAGAGCCTCTCCTTCACCTACTGTGTCAGCTCAAGTACCCAGCCTCCAGCTTCTTGCTGGGGTTTGGAGGGGGGCCAAAGGAGGGTCATCAGGGGGCTCAGAGCATGGAGGACTGCAGGCCTGGCTGGCTTCAGTGAGGGATGCGTACCCTATGCCTGTTTCCCACGTTTTCCCTGAGCTCCAGGCCTGGGCAGGGCCAGCGGAGACCTGGAGAAAGAAGAAGAGGGATGTGGGGAAAGATCAAGAAAAGCTAGGAGAGAAAGAGAGGAACAAAGTGAGAAAATCACAGAGACGGGAAGATTGGAGCAAGCGAGTAACGTCAGCATGGGCTCCTCCCGGGACCCGGAGAACCCCAAGCTGCTTGGGGTCAGGGCCACCAATCAGGATGAAAACACACCAGGTTTATGGGGTCAGGACTGGCAGAAATGCCTGCCGACACTGGAGCATTGCTTGTATACCAGGCCCTGTGCTCAGAGCCCACTTTTAGGGACTCACCTTTAGGGATGCAGCCCTGCCAGGGGGATGAAAAAACCCAGGCTGGGCTGAAAAGTCCATAGTGTCCCTCTGTGGATGGGGAAACTGAGGCTGGGGGCCTCATCCCAGCACCCCCTCAAGCCCTGGAGTCATGAGAATACAGGACCCCAAGGATCGGAGCCGTACGTTTTTCCCAACATGGCGAAACCCCACCAGCTGGAAGAATCCCAGGACTCCATGGGCTGAGGGGTAGTGCCCTGTCACCCCCTCCTACCTCCTTAACTTGTCAACATGTGTGTTTGTTGTATGTATTATGTGTACCATGCTCCAAGGCTGTCCTGCAGCTGTACCTGGTGTTTAGGCCACAGGATGATGTCTGTGTCTCTGTAGGCACAGGCCTATGTGTGTCTGCTCTGTGTGTCTGTGTGTCCATTCAGGGCCAGCCCCTGCCACAGAGGGGGGAGTGGTATTGGAGCACCCCCCCACCGAAAGTGTGTCTTTGATACTTGCAGCCTCGGCAGCGAAAAACAAGTTTCCACAGGGCCGCCTTGGGTTGAGGCCAGGCCGTCCTCAAATAACATTTGAAGTTACTTAGCAAACTTTGTTTAGTGCCGAGAGAGGCGCGGGCAGCGGGTGTGGGGTGGGGGGGAGGGCATTAAACCGGTTCCTCCGAAGTCCCTTGCCCCATCTGGGGACACAAGTACCGAAGGCGAGGCTTGGTTCCCCCACTCCAGCTCTGGGGAGTGGAAGCAGGAATCTTGGAACCTTGGGGGGAACTTAGGGAAAGGGAGAGGTTGGGGCACACCACAGATGAAGCCTTGCCCTTGCCATGCCAGGGCCTGGGCTTGGGCAGAGATGCCCACCCTAGCCCCCTGGTGGCCCAGATGCCAATACCAGGTGCAGGGCAATCAGAAATGGGAGGGTCGTCACTTTTGCTGCAGTCCTGCTCTGCAAGCTTGAGGCAAATGAAGGGGTGGATGGAGCGAGCTGGCTTAGAACATGTGCCCCCCAACCCCAGAGATACACACGAGCACGCAGAAAGCCCCTGATGTCCACAGGCCCGGCCCCCACCCCCAAATTCCCATTTCCAGGTCCCAGCCCCAGGCGGCAGAGAAGGCCAGAGAGCCAACGATGGCGGCGGGTTTGGAAGTGAGGTTGGCGCCTATGGGGGGGGAGGGGGAAGAGATGCCAAAAATGGTGAGCCATTACAGGCAAGCAGGCGAGAGGGGGAGGAAGGGAGGGAGCGAACCGGGAAGATGGAAGCCAGGCGGGCATCCTTGCTGAGCTCCAGGCTGCAAAGGGGCAGCGGAAGAGGCAGCCCGGCCCTTCCAGGGAACAGGCATGGGGGATGATCCCCAGGTGGCACGGGACAAGCAGGGGCCTGGAGGCGCCCAGCACTTCCCCACCCCCACCTCAAGCTTCGAAATGGAGACTGGCAGCAGCAGCCGCTCGGCTCTGCCCGGGCATGGGGTGGGGGTGGCAGGCAGGCAGGGCGCCAAACCAAATGCCACCAGGCTGGGCACGGTGGTTGCCAGCCTGCAGTGCCGACCCCGCCGGGCCCCAGCCCAGAGCTCTCAAGCCTGGAGCTTTGGGGGTGGAGAGAATCTGGGGCCCTGGTGGGAGTTGGGGAACCCAACAGACAAAGCCTGATACCCCCAAGCTGTGGGCAGATCCCCAAGACCCTGCAAAGATGGCGCAGCCTGGTACTGCCAGGGTGACAGGCTGGGGTAAAAATAAACCCAGCCCGCCCCGGGGGAGCTAAATTGAGGGGCCCAGGTGGAAGTGCCACTCTGGGCCACCAGCTGCCCCTGCCCCATCCCCCAGCTCAGAGCAGCAGGGTTGCGAATACCCAGTGCCCATCAAGCCCCAGTTTCTGTAAAGGAAAGGCCTCGGCCATCTTGTCCCCAGATTTTGGGCGGGCACCGTATGGCATATCCACAAATATGGATAATAGATGAGCTCAGATTGAAGAAATGACAGGCAACATGGTCTGGGCAAATGATGGGCATGCCATGCTGAGCCACACACCCTTGACCTCCAGTCTGCCCCCTGGAGAGAGAAAGGGGCCTGGTGGGCTGCACTTGAGCTATAGCAAGGCAGCGTTCAAAATCATCATCTCACCATGAGGTCTCCGTGCCCACCTCTGCTAAAACCACAGCTGCCCAGCACTCCCGAGGGCCCGGCCAGCTCTGTTCTTCCCACAGCACCTAGCGCCATCTCAAGGACTGGACACTCCCTTGTTTATCAGATTCACAGTCTGCCCTCCCACCGGGGCTGGCATCTTTGCAGATTTTGCTCCCTGCCGAGCCCCCGGGGCCTAAAACAGAGCCTGGCACCCAGGAGGTGCTTGGTAAATATTTGTCGAAGGAATGCACAGGCTCCCGGCTGCACCCCCAGCATTTGAGCTCCGGCTGGGTGCCCAGCAAGGTGTGGGAGAGGATGTTTGGACCTGCGGGGGTGAGGGCAAGCCTGGCCAGCAGGGGTGCAGAGGGGGTGAGACCACCATCCACCTTTATTCTGAGCCTTGGATGGAAGAAGATCCAAAGGTCAGAGTGGTAAGAAAGGTTCAAGGGCCAACCACTAGGGCACGTTTCAAATGGGGGCGTGGGGGTGTGCAGACCCATTTTGAAATTTGGGAAAGGCCAGAGAACAAGCTGCAATTTTGTCCCATCGGCAGGATTTAGGGTGGTGACGATCTTGAAGAAAGAGCTCCCCGCCCTTGACCCTAGCACTGGATACCTCTACTGAGTCTTGGTTTTTCATCCATAAAATCAAAGCAGGTTTTCACATCAAGCACAGTTTTAAAGCGTGTGCTGTGAACCAACTCCTCAGATCCTTACCACAGCCCTGCTTCCTAGATACAGAAATTGAGACCCAGAGAGGTTAAGCAACTTGCCTGAAGTTACACAGCTAGTGAGTGGCAGAGCCAGGAGTCAAACCCAGGAAGCTGGCTCTGCAGGCCCCACTCTCCTAATAACAGTACCTGCTGAACACAGGATTCAAGAAGACAAGCTGGGAAGGCACTTAGCAAGGGTGCAACGCAGCAAGCACACAGTTCACATTAGCTGTTGCTACGATTTTTAGGACAAACATTTATTTTGCTATTATCCTATCTTCTTCTACCATTCTGCTGACCGCTGTCTCTTCTTTCTCTGGGGTCAGAACTGGGGAGTCAAAGGCCAAAGGATTAGTGAGACAGCCCCACGGAGGACAGGAGTCTCAGAACTTAGCTTTGTTGGCCAGGCACAGTGGCTCACGCCTGTAATCCCAGCACTTTGGGAGGCCGAGGCGGGCGGATCACTTGAGGCCAGGAGTTTGAGACCAGTCTGGCCAACATGGAGAAACCCTGTCTCTACTAAAAATACAAAAATTAGCCAGGTGTGATAGTGCACATCTGTAATCCCAGCTACTCGGGAGGCTGAGGCATGAGAATTGCTTGAGCCTGGGAGGCCAAGGTTGCAGTGAGCTGAGATTGCACCACTACACTCTAGCCTGGGCAACAGAGTGAGACTGTTTAAAAAAAAAAAAAAAAAGAACCTAGCTTTGTCCCCATCCCTTCTCTCGGTGGCTGCCAGGAGCAAGGAGGTGAGGGTGGAGCCCTCGACCACGGAGTCTAGAAGACTGCGAGTGTCCTGGGCAGGGATGGGCATGTGGTTTTTCCAGGCTTTGTCTCACCCCAGGCTTCTACAAACCAGGGCAGGGATTTGGGGCTCCCAATTCTATCCTGAGAAGCTGGGGTGGCTGTAGCTGCTGCGCAAAGACAGCTGGTTGTGGCTGACAAGCAGAGGGGAGGTGCCACCAGGGCAGGTCTCAGCTCTCAGGCACCATTTCCAACCACTGCCAGGTGTGGCCCAGGTGCGAATATGTGTGGGGGTGTGGCTCTCGTCCCTGTGTGCTGGGGTAACACTGGACTGTGTACATGGCACGCCGACTGTGCCTGGGTTTGGCAGGGGAAATGGGGTATATATGCGACAATGCCTGGGTCCTAGTGAGGGAGAGTGTGTGTGTGTGACACTGTCAGCTGGCGTCTTGTTTGGGTGTGACTGTGTATGTGGGTGCATGTGTAATGAGTGTCAAGGGTTAGCTGTGCCTGTGTGTGTTACTGTGTATCTGGGGATGCATGGCAGGGTTTCCAACCTTGGCACTACTGACATTTGGGGCTGGATCATTCTTTGTGGTCGGCGAGGGTTGAGGGGTTCCATTGTAGGGGACTGAGCAGCATCCTGGGTCTCCACTCACTAAATAGCACCCCCTCCACAAGTGTGACAACCAAAAATGATTCCAGGTTGGGCATGGTGGCTCATGGCTCCCAGCACCTTGGGAGGCCGAGGCGGGAGGATCACCTGAGCCCAGGAATTCAAAACCAGCCTGGGCAACAAAGCCAGACTTCATCTTTACTAAAAATTTAAAAATTAGCTGGGTATGGTGGTGCTCGGCTGTAGTCCCAGCTACTTGGGAGGGTGAAGCGGGAGAACTGCTTGAGCCCAGGAATTCAAGACCAGCCTGGGCAACATAACCAGACTCTGTCTCTACAAAAAAATTTAAAAATTAGCCAGGTGTGGTGGCATGCACCTGTATTCCCTGCTACTCAGGAGGCTGAGATGGGTAGATCGTTTGAGCTTGGGAGGTCAGGGCTGCAGTGAGCCGAGATCGCACCACTGTGCTCCAGCCTGGGCTACAGATGACAGTCTGTCTCTAAAAAAAAAAAATGTTTCCAGACATTTCCCAATGGGTGAAATCACTCCTGGTGGGTGACACTGGGTTAGGGAGTGTGTGGGGTGTTTTGTGTGTCTGAGAGCGTGTTATTGCATGCATGTGCATGTACCTGTGTGCTTGGTGGCATGTGCGGGTGTATCGGTGCTCATGTGTGTGTTTTGGGCACTGACATTATGACTGAGTGTGTGTGCTGTGTGTTTCTAGCTGTGCCTGTGGGGCTGCATTTGACGGTGGCAGAGCCTGTGTCTGTGCTGTGTGCTTCATGGCATGTGATCGTGTGACTGCGCGTGTCCCGTGTGTCTGCACCCACATGCACGTCCCTGAGTGTGTAATGCCGCATCGATGTGTTCGGGTGTGGCCGGGTGCCTCAAGGTGTCTGTGAGTGAGGGCAAGATTCTTTGTATGGGGACGCCTGTGTCTGTTTGATTGAGGGAGGTGCAGCATGCCAGTGTGTGTCAGCGTGATTCTTTGTGCCCGCATGTGCCAGTGAGAGTGTGTGACTTTGTGTGAGATGGACCCGGAATAAACCCCCCCCCAACTCCCCAAGATGATTCGACCGAAGCCGATATTTGGACGGAACCACCTGGATAATTTGGAACCCATCCCTAGCTCCTGCCTGCCTTGGACTAAAAGGCCCAGGGGGGTCGGGTGCACCTCCATGCTGTCCTTTCCTCCAGCTTGGCTCACACAGATTCAGGTGGGGACAGACAGATCCCCGCTCTTGCCCGATCTGTGCCAGGAAGGCTGGCACTGAGCTTCAGCTGAGGGGGCAGGGTCCTTGGCGATGGTGGTGGGCACTGCCCCCTGCCCACTGCTGGCCACCACCCCCGGCTCCCCTCAGGGTGGGGCCCAGTGGGGGGAGAGCTCCCCAGTGCAACCCCGGCTTCCGATTGGCTGCAGAGCGCCGCAGTGCCCGCTACCCGCCTCCCCTCCCTGGCTGGCGCAGCCACATCGGTAGTGGTGGCAAACGCAACTTGGAGTTCTGGGCACAGCTGCGCCTCACAGAGGCCTGCCAGCCCCACCAGAAGCCAGACACCCCAGCTCCGTGCCCCCGACCCCTCCCTGCCCGCCCGCCCCGCCGGGCAGCTCAGTCACCCTGCCCATTGCCTCCCTCTGGCTGCCAGGCCCTGTCCACCCTGTTCCCTCACCCGCCAGGCCTGTGCCCCCCTGGCCAAGCCCACTCAGGGGGCCCAGGCCCCTGCACGAGGCCACTCCCGCCCTCAGAGGGGCTCCTCGGGAGGGGGGAGGTGGTGAGGAAGGGGGGGTTGGGGAGCTAGCCCTTCTTCCTTTAGTGAACGCGCCCAGAGCTGGAGCCAAAAATCGAGGAGGAGAGATATTCAGACGGAGCCAAGACGCGTTTGGCAGGAGGAGAGAGAGAGGGAGAGAGGGAGCGGGAGGAGGGGAGGAGGGGAGGAGAGAGGGAGGAAAGAGAGAGAGAGAAAGGGGGAAAGAAGGGGGGACCTCAGTTTCCAAATCCGCGCCCTCAGAGCCTCGGAGGGATGGCGGGTGGCCCAGGGGTGTGGGGCCCAGGGCCTGCCTGGCTGTGGGGGCAGCGGGGATAGTGGGCTCAGGCCCACGGAGACAGCCGGACACCCAGCTGGCCAGGCTAGAACGGACACAGGCAGAAGCCAAGATCAATGTGCGCCGGGCAGACAGAGGGAGGCCTGTGGGCGGCCCGAACACACGCCCGCACCTCGCTGCCGCACAACGGGCTTCTGTCCACGCCAGGCCAGGGGCACGGGCGGGGCCCCCAGCAAGGCCACTGCGGCCGCTCAACCTCATGGGAAGGGACTGAGCAGCCAGCCCGCTCCCAGCCGCTTGCCCGGCCGCCATAGCAGGCATCTCACATGGTGCTCGGAGGCCAAGGGAATGCCCAGGAGAGGCGCCCGTGGGGTGAGACCCACAGTGATTGTCACGGGGACAAGCTCAGGAGGCACAGTGATATGAGGGTGATGACACTGGAGACACGTGCGTTGACACGTATGTGGACACAAGTTGACACGGACAGGCCAACACGTGTGTGAGACACACGGATACACTCTTTGCCGTGACGCACAGACACCCAGAAAAACACTGCTGTAGATGTGACGCATGTCGCTGGGACACTGTCACCCCAGATACAAAGCGCAGATACAAAGATGGTGACCGGTACACCAATACCCGTTGACGTGCGCAGCGCCACCGTGACACAGAGACTACATCCGGCACACTGACACGCATGGTGGCACGCTCCCCGACCCCCACTACCAAATACACAAGAGACAGGGCGTGCGATGATCCGTGGAGTCACATGCAGGTAGCACCCAGTGATGGACGCTGGGAGACATGGAGAGGCATGGAGAGGGACCCGGGCAGACACACGCTGCCACACAGACATCCTCGGGAAAATGGTGGCTCTGAGGCCTGACATGCCGATTAACATGCACACCGATCTGGGAGAACCCAGATAGTGGCTCACAGCTGTCCTCCTGGCCCACTTGCCCCCACATCCAGGGCTTTGGGGGCAAGAAAATTAAGACACCCCCCTCCTTTTCCCCACCCCAGCTGGGAGGGAGGGGACAGAAGGCCCATTCTCAGCACCGTGTTGGAGAAAGTGCCCAGCCTCCCCTACCTCTCTGGTCCAGCAAGTCCCCAGATTCCAGCTTCATGGGGGTGGGGGAGACAATATCTCAGCAGATTTAAAAGGCCAGGCTCCCTGTGGGTTAGATGGGGAGGACGGCAGTCAACACACCAACCACGGGGGCATTTTGCCCACAGCCACGGCGCCACGGCCAAACACCCAGCATTGCTCCCACCCGCAATGTGCCCTGATCCAGCCAAGTGCCCACCATAGGGTCCTGCACATATGTCCTGTCTCCATGGCGGGTCCAGGTGACAACGCCCAGGTGCAGACACAGAAAGTTCTGGAGCTTGGGGACGTCCCTGAAGTCATCATCTAGATGCACCGGGTCTCTTTGTCCCACATACATTTGGATGAATGCGTGCACACATACTCTTATACCAGGACTCAGGGCCCCCAACCAGGGTATCTGGTCCTCATGGAACAGTGGAGGCCTCGTCTCTCCCCTCCTGCCCCCCACTCTCCCCCACCATCTCTCCCCTATCTTGAAGTTGTGCCACCCTCTGCTTGGCCTACAGGCCCCCATCCAAAGGTAAAAGAGCTGGGCCATGTGCAAACTCTCATCCTTCCAAACTCTCCTCTTGCCTCCTCCTCCTCCAGGCAGTCCACTTGGATATCTATGGTTGGGAGGTGCTCGATCCTGTCTTCTACCCCTCAGAGGCATCCCTCTCTCAGCTGGGAGGGTCTGGGAGGTTGACAACCAACAATTGGCAACAATTACCATTTATGGAGCACACACTATGTGCCAGGCACCACATTGAACCTAAGTACAGCCCAAGAGATAGACACTGGTTTTTGCCCATTTTACAGGCCAGGAAAATCCTGTGCTTCAGGTCGCAAGATTAGAACATGTAGAGCTGGAGCTCGAACCCATTTCTGTCTGACGGCAAAGCCTAGCCCTTGACTCCGCTCCCGCAGCCTCCGTCTGGGAGCTCTTGAGGCTACACAAGACATTCCAGGCCCTAGAGAGACTGGAGCACCCTGTTCCCGGCAGAGCCCTCGGCTCTGAGCTCGGCCCAGCATCAAAACATCTCACGGAGCCCCAGCTCATCTCATGAGCTACCCCATCCCGGCCCACACCTGGGCACACCTCCCACCCCAGCAGTGGGCATGAATCAGGCAGGGCCAGAGCCGGAGAGAAAATGCCAAGTGCCATGAAAACAGGGCACCAGGCCGGAGCAGGGACAGAGAGCTATAGCTTCGCAGGGACAGAGGGGTGGCCAGAGTGACCCAGAGAGAAAGCTGGGGGAAGGGGGCATCAGGGAAGCCCCAGCCATCCCCCTCCCATGGAAGGAGTGTTGGGGGAGCTATGCAGATACAGAAGTACAGGAACGTTCGGCTGCTTGTATGGCCAGGAAAATGGGCGTAGGTCGCTGCGTGTCTGAGAGCGGGTGTATCCGTGTGTGCGGCCATGTATGTCTTTGTGTGTGTCAGCAAATGTCGGCATGTTTGCCTTTTTATCCCTGTGGCAAGGAGGGGGAAGCACGCATTGGTGCATATTTGTGTGTGTGTGTGTGTGTGTGTGTGTGTTTGAAAAGGTATTTGTGGCCGGGTGCAGTGGCTCATGCCTGTAATCCCAGCACTTTGGGAGGCCGAGGCAGGTGGATCACGAGGTCAGAAGTTCAAGACCAGCCGGGCCAAGATGGTGAAACCCCATCTTCACTAAAAAATACAGAAATTACCCGGGCGTGGTGGCGGGCACCTGTAATCCCAGCTACTCGGGAAGCTGAGGCAGAGAATTGCTTGAACCCGGGAGGCAGAGGTTACAGTGAGCCGAGATCACGCCACTGCACTCCAACCTGGGCGACAGAGCAAGGCTCCGTCTCAAAAAAAAAAAAAATAGAAAAAGAAAAGTTATTTGTGTACACACCTGAGCGAGCCAACTGCATTATGTCTCTGTGTAAAGATGTGTATCCATCCATCCGCCTGTCCGTCCTTGGGTCCATGTGAGCATGTGTGGGGGTGAACACACATTTGTGTCTACCTGTATCCAAGCATGTGCTCAGGGCTCCATGAGTCTGGGAGGTGTCGTGGTCTCCATGTGCCTTCGTCGCTATCTGTATCATCTCGAGGGGTTTGTGAGTGTTTATGTGTGCGCTGGGGGTGGTTGTGAACACAAGTCCACAGTTTCCTGTGTCCATACGTGCGTCAAAGAGGTACTGCTGTGTCGCTAAGCCTACACCAATATACGTGTCCCATTTCAAGAGGTGCGTGTGTGTTAATGGGTGTGTGTGACAGTGTGAACACAAGTCGTCGGTTTCCTGTGTCCGTAGGTCTGTAGGCTCGTCGATGGTCGTGGGTCTGGACATCGGTGTGAACAGGACACTTACATCCCCATCTTGGCGGTGATGGTGGTGTACGTGAGTTCACATCCTGGTTGTGTCTCTGTTTCTTGGCAGGGTTGGGATGGGGATGGGGGTCCATCCATCCACCCCCCACCCCTCTCTCCGCCTGAGACTCAGGACTGTGGCTACAATGGACTCCAGCAGCTCCAGGAACCGCCCCACCCGGCCGCCCTGAATTTCGATGCTTTTTCTAGAAGGAGATTTTTCCCCCCGCCCTTCCCCCTCGCCCACAGTACCTTTCCCCGCCAGGGCCCCGCTGCTCCAAGCTCGTTCCTGCTCAATCATTTATTGACTTTAAAATCGAAGCCAATTCTGGTTTGAAAAAAAGAAAAGGGAGAGAGAGAGAGGGAAAGAGAGAGAGGCAGGCCAGAGAGACAGAGAGAGAGAGAGTCCGAGACGCCAGTGGAGGGGGGAGCAGAGATGGGGCCAAAACTGGAATCAGAGACAGAGACAGTCAGAGACATACAAAAGGACAGAGATGGAGAAAGAGAGATGGAAAAGGGCAGAATACACCAGAGACCGATAAAAACAGACCGAGAAAAAGACAGCAAAGGAAAGAGGTTGTCATAAAAACAGAGACCAGCGGGGCAAACCATGGAAGCAGAAAGATTTGTAAAAACAGAGATGTGATTGTTAGGGAGGGGCAGGCCAGACCCCACTGACCAGCCGACAGCAGCCACCTGCCCAGAGCTGAAGGGTTTCCCTGCCCACCATGAAGGGCTGGCAGCCTGGAGACACCATGCCCACTCCCCTCTCCAGCCATCCTGGCACACTGGAACTGTCGTAACCTGGGCCTACAATCACACAGAGCCAAGCACCGGCCATCGCCCTGGGTCTCGCAGCCGCCCCAGCCCCTTCCTAGCCATGTCACCGGCGTATCCACAGGCATTTTCTCTCCCAGGGTGCTGTGAAATCTGAGGGGCTGGTGTCTCACCCAAGCCATGGGGGAGCAGGCTCAGATGTCTGGCGTGCTTGGCATGGGAGGCCGGGCTGGCAGCCTGGTGGGCAAGGGGCTGCTTGAGCGTGGGGTCTTGGTTCCACTAGGCCCCAAACATCGGCCACACAGCCCAGCCAAGTGTAGCACCAAAGAGGCCCAGCTCAGACACCGCTGGGTAGGCAGTTGTTGTGAGGGGCGCCCAACATGGAGTGGCCGTGGAACTGGAGGTGCAGATGTGGGGGTTCCCCACACTGCCATGGTGCTCAGGGTGCCTGCTCACACCTGCATGCACACTGCAACATGTATGCATGCCGGTGCGCCCTCGCCAACACGTACTTGGGCCTGCTTTCTACAGGAAAACCCGCTCCCTGGGCCACACACACGGCCATGCCACGCAGGCCTGCCCATGGCCGGCCCACAGGGGCTACACACAGACTCTAGATTGATTCACACTTGCATACACTCTCACCTGTGCATACAGGAGTGTGGTGTAGCCACAGCTGACACACACCCCGACAAACCCCTCGCCCCTTGACACCACTGCACACTCCCGGTAGGACCCAGACAAAGTAGGAGCCATACCCATGTGGACTGCCACTGTAAGCTGTGGACACACTTGGCACATGGCTGACAAGGATCAGGCTGGGCAGAGGGGACAATTAGGGCCTGGCCTAGAGAACCCCCACATGCAGGCCTGGCTGGCAGCAGGGCTAAGCAGCCCCTAGATGTCCCCTCTTCGGAGACTGTTACCAGCTGTGGCTTGGCCCTGCAGGCAACGCTGTCAGGGCCACTGTGGGACTCTGGGCAGCTTCTGTGCCCTCTTAGAGCCTCAGGCCACAGCCCAGGGAGAGTTGGGTGGCCCGACAGGCATCCTCGAAGCTTTTGCCGCAGCCGTGCGCCGCGCAGGGAACTTCGCTGCAGGCGGGACGCGCTCTAGCAACGCGCCAAGGTCGGCGCTGTTGTGCCCGAGGCTGACCCGACGGTGTGGCCGCAGCACTGTCGGCTGTGTCCACGGCTGCCTCCCGCCCCTCCCGCCTCCAGGCGACGGGACGGGATTCCCCAGGCCTGCCGGGTCCACTCCGCAGCAGCCCGGGTCGCTGGGGCCAGAAAGTTTGCGCCGAGGAAAGTTTGGGGGTGGGGGGGCAGAGGCTGCGACGTCCGGGGTCGGAGAGGCGCGGCCACCGCTGGCAGCGCGCCCGCCCCCCTCTCCCCTCCCCTGCCCCTCCGAAATTTGGGAGCCCCGCCATTTTCTTAGCCCCGCTCCCATGTGAGGCCTAAACAAAGACTTTGGGGAGACGCCCGGGCCGCTCGGCCCACCCCAGGCACCCCGGCCGCACGCAAGGGCCGCCGCCACGCACGCCGGCCACTGCCACCCTCGGGAACCGCTGCGCCCTCCCCAGGAAGCGTCGCGGGACCCAGTGTCCCCTCTGCGCCCTCGGGACCACCCTCTTGCCACTCTGTCAACCCCGCAAACACTGCCAGCGACCACGCTGCCCGGGTGCGCGCTACAGTAGCCCACAGGTCAGCCGGAGTCCCGCTGCCCATCGCACCCCAGTCGAGCGCGCACACACACACACACACACACACACACACGTACACGCACTCCCGCCTGCGCTCCACGGGCAGCGCCACGACGCAGCTGGCCACCCCCGGAACCCCCAAAAGGAGTCCGCCCGGTGGCCAGGGTCGCACGCGCACGGTGACGCCCGCACGCGTGCCTGGGCTCCCCGCGGCACAGCCTGCACCCCTCGGCGGCCCGCGGGCTCTCGGCCCCCCCTTCCCGGCCGCCGCGCGTCCCCTCCGCCCGCGCCGCCGGCCGGCCTCCCGCGCCCGCTCCCCTCCCCCGGTCGCGCGGGGGCGGCGGCCGGTACCTGGGTGAGGCAGTACGGGGAGTACATAGCTGGGCGCCCGGGCGGGAGCGCGGCGGCCGGCCGCGGCGAGGGGAGGCCCGGCAGGCGGCGGCCGCGCTCGGGCTCGGGCTCCGGCTCGGCTCCTCCGGCCTCCGCCGCGCTGCGCCCGCCCGGCCCGCGGCCCCGCGCTCGGCCCGGCGCCGCTCCGCGCTCGCCGCTCGCAAGCTCGGCCCCGCCGGCTCCGGGGCCGCCGCTGCCGCCGCCGCCGCCGCGCTCGCCGCTGCCTCTCGCGTCCGCCGCCGCCGCCGCTGCCGCCGCGCGTCTACTCCATGCCGCCGCCGCTCGGCCGGTCACCCTCGCCCGCCGCCGCCGCCGCCGCAGCCGCCGCGCTGTGAAAGTGAAAGTTTAGACAAAGTTTGGAAGCGGCGCACTCCGGGGAGAGGGAGCGGGCGGGCGGCGCGGGCGGGAGGAGGGGCGCGGGGAGGGGCGGGCAGGGCGGGGGAGCGGCGGCCGGCGCACACACACAAGCACACACATGCACACACACACACGAACACACGCACACGCGCGCGCGGGGGCGCACACCGACGCGGCCGCCCTGACACGTGCTGGCCCGCGTTCCAGCGCAGACACACGCTGACACGCAGCGGGACTCGGACCCCGCCACACATGTCACGTCCAGAACGCCTGGCCACACGTTCCGCCTTCGAACACAAAGCACACTCGGACACCAGTGCACACAAGGCACAGACACACAACCCCTACACACGGGCACACACACACAGCAGTCTGGGAAAACACCCACGACCCACGCTCTGACATGCACCGTCCCACCATGGTATCCAGGCACACAACAAGGAACCGCGTATAGACATACACCAAAGCAGGCGTCACGTAGACACACACTGATATACACGAAGACACACCAGTGCATGACACATAGAGATGCACACTGATGCACACACACTGACGCATGTTCCTGCAGAACACAGACACATGCAAGATCACACAGCCACACGCTGACACCTTCCAGACACACAATTCCTACACGCAGACACATACACAACACACACACATCGCAGTGCCAGAACACACTGGCAGTTGTGGCAGTACACCCCGATGTACAGAATGACACTGATGATTGAGAGGCCGAGGCCAGTGGATTGCTTGAGCTCAGGAGTTCAAGACCAGCCTGGACAACATGGCAAAACCCCTCTCTACCAAAAATACAAAAATTAGCTGGGTGTGGTGGTGGATGCCTGTGGTCCCAGCTACTTAGGAGGCTGAAGTGGGGGGATCCCTTGAGCCCGGGGAGGTCAAGGGTGCAGTGAGCCATGATAGTGCCATTGCACTCCAACCTGGGTGACAGAGCAAGACCCTGTCTGAAAAAAAATAACTAAATAAATAAGATGACACTAATGAAGGGAAGATACACAATGTCACATAAACACACACCAAACACCTGGAAGTGAATGCAAAGGACCCCAATACAAAGAGATACACAGCGTCACAGATACAAAGCAACACTGGCTGTCACAACACAACACACAGACACACACACACACACACACACTGGGTTGCCCAGATGTACCCACAGGCCTTGGACACACTGACCAACTGATGCCCAGGCGGCTGACAACCCCCCTGGGAGAATCATCTAGCCATGCACACAGGGATCACACACATACACCCATGTCCCTTACGTGCCCCCCCCCCAACACACTTGTAATGTGGCCCTGATCATCGACATAGGCAAATATAGCAGGAGACCCACAGCTCAGCTGTCAGGGACAGAATTGGGCATCAGGGCCTCCGTACATGTACACACACACACACACACTTTGGTGAGGTTCCAGCCCCTCTTGCGGGCCCTGACTCCTCATTTTCAGAACATAAAGGCCTGGGGGGAGAGGTAGTGCTGGGGACCCTGGAGCAAGGGGAGAGGAAGCCCTCTGGTAACCCTCAGGGTGGGTGGGGAGGCAGTGCCTACAGCCCCCAGGCAGCTCCTGCTGAGACAAAACACCCGCCTGCTGCCAGGTGCAACCAGCACCTTCTTGCTCTCTTGGGCCAAAAAGCTGTGGCAATTCTCAGCTATGCATTGTCTGTTAAAGGGGGTGTCAGTGCCCAGGGCGGGGGGTGCGCACGCACACAGGGTTGGCTGTGCCCATTGGGCTCTTGCAAGCAGGCACAAAAGTATGCATGTGTACGTGAGTATGTGTGTAAATGTCCCAGAAACGATATGCTCCTTGTCACAATACTGTATTAGGCTGTGTGGCAGGCAGTGTGTCTGTGGGTGTCTAGATGGGTCTGGTGTCTTCCGGGGACACTGAAGAAATGCAGGTCATGATAGGTGCAAGAGTCTGGCTGGGCGTGGTGGCTCATACCTATAATCCCAGCAATTTGGGAGGCCGAAGCGGGTGGATCACCTGAGGTCAGGAGTTTGAGACCAGCCTGGCCAATATGGTGAAACCCTGTCTCTACTAAAAATAAAAAACTTAGCTGGGCGTGGTGGGATGCCTGTAATCCCAGCTACTAGGGAGGCTGAGGCAGGAGAATCGCTTGAACCTGGGAGGCAGAGGCTGCAGTAAGCCAAGACCATACCACTGCACTCCAGCCTGGGGAACAGAGCAAGACTCTGTCTCAAAACGAAAGAGAGAGAAAGGGAGAGCTCACGCCTGTAATCCCAGCACTTTGGGAGGCCAAGGCAGGCAGATCATGAGGTCAAGAGATCGAGACCATCATGGCCAACATGGTGAAACCCCGTCTCTACTAAAAATACAAAAATTAGCTGGGTGTGGTGGCGTGTACCTGTAGTCCCAGCTACTCGGGAGGCTGAGGCCGGAGATCACTTGAACTCAGGAGGCGGAAGTTGCAGCGAGCTGAGATCGCGCCACTGCACTCCTGCCTGGTGACAGAACGACACTCCATCTATAAATAAATAAATAAATAAATAAATAAATAAATAAATAATAAAAATTTTAAAAAACAAAGCAAGAATCTTTTTGTGTGGATCTGTATGTTGTGCAGCAGAGACTGGGTCTGACTTTGTACTTAAGGTGTCATGAGGCAGAGAAGGTGCCTGCCCGGTCCTATACCAAGCACTGGGGACATGGTGGGGGAAGAAAATAAAGACCATGGCCAGGCGTGGTGGCTCATGCCTATAATCCCAGCACCTTGGGAGGCCGAGGCAGGCAGATCACCTGAGGTCAGGAGCTCGAGACCAGACTCACCAACATGGTGAAACCCCATCTCTACTAAAAATATAAAATTTAGCCGGGCATGGTAGCAGGCGCCTATAATCCCAGCTACTCAGGAGGCTGAGGCAGAATTGCTTGAACCTAGGAGGCAGAGGTTGCGGTGAGCCGAGATCGAACCACTGCACTCCAGACTGAGCAACAGAGCAAGGCTCTATCTCAAAAAAAAGAAAAGAAAAAAAGAAAAAGAGAGAGAGAGAGAAAGAAACAAAGGAAAGAAAGAAAGAAGGAAGAGGAGGGAAGGAAAGGAAGGAAGGAAGAAAGGAAAGAAAGAAAGAAAAGAAAAAGAAAAAGAGAAAGGAAGAAAGAAAGAAAAGAAAAAGAAAGAAAAAGAAAAGCAAGCAAGCAAGCAAGCAAACACCAGCCGGGCACGGTGGCTCACACCTGTAATCCCAGCACTTTGGGAGGCCGAGGCGGGTGGTCAGGAGATCGAGACCATCATGGCTAACACGGTGAAACCCCGTCTCTACTAAAAATACAAAACATTAGCCAGGCATGGTGGCGGGCGCCTGTAATCCCAGCTACTTGGGAGGCTGAGGCAGGAGAATGGCGTGAACCCGGGAGGCGGAGCTTGCAGTGAGCCGAGATCACGCCACTGCACTTCAGCCTGGGCGACAGAGCGAGACTCCGTCTCAAAAAAAAAAAGTGTCAGTGTAGGCCGGATGCGGTGGCTCATGCCTATAATCCCAGCACTTCAGGAGTCTGAAATGGGCAGATTGCTTGAGGTCAGGAGTTCAAGACCAGCTTGGCAACATGATGAGATTCCATCTCTACAAAAAATACAAAAAAAAAAAAAAAAAAAAAAAAGCCAGGCGTGGTGGTGCGTGCCTGTGGTCTCAGCTACTCCAAAAGCTGAGGTGGAAGGATGGCTTGAGCTCAGGGGGCGGAGGTTGCAGTGAGCCATGATCGCGCCACTGCACTCCAGCCTGGACAACAGTGCAGTGTCAGTGTATATGGGTCTGTGTGTGTGTGTGTCTTGAAGTGTGATCACGTGAGTGACTGTGCAAGGGTCCCAGTGGGTCTGGGACCTGCTTGCAAGAGCCCAATGGGCATAGCCAGCCCTGTTTGTGATCAGGGTCTGTGGGGCAGAAAGTGTCAATGGGTGTCACTAGGTGTGTGTTTTGCTATGTGGACCTAGGGCGGTGATGAGGATCTTTGTGTACCAGGGTGTGTACACAGGTGCTCAGGAGTGTCAGGGATCAGGGCTGTCAGGACATGGGGGCTCTGTGTGACAAGGATGTGAGCCTGTGTGTGTCAGGCCATGCCAGAGAGTGTGTGTAGCCATGCGTGTGTGCATGTTTGTGTGTGTGAGAGAGAGCGAGAGCGAGGCCATGTCGGTGTGTGTGTCTGTGTATGAGGGAGGAGGTCTCTGTGTGTCCAGATACATGTGTCTGTGTGTGTCAGGTCGTGTGTGTGTGTCTATGTGAGGCCATGTTAGTGTATGTGACTAGGTGTGTGTATGTGTGTGTGCCAGGGAAGGGGGAGTCCCTGTGAACCTGTATCAGAGATGTGAGTCTGTGTGTGTCAGGCCATGTCAATGTGTGTGTCTGTGAGGCCATATCAGTGTGTGTAACTAGGAGTGTATGTGTGTGTGGGTGGGTGTGTGTGGGTGGGTGTGTGTGTGTCAGGGAGGGGGGTCAATGTAAACCTGTGTCAGAGATGTGAGTCTGTGTGTGTGTCAGGCCATGTCGGTGTGTGTATACACACACTGGTGTATGCGTGTGTCAGTGTCAGGGAGGGGTCTCTGTGTGTCCTGATATGTGTGTCTGTGTCAGGCCATGTCTGTGTGTGACTAGCTGTGTGTGTGTGAGTGTATCAGGGATCGCGTCCCTGTGTGCCTGAGAGTGTGTCTGGGTAGGCGTGTATCTGTCATTCGGTGCTTGGGGGCCTCGGAACCCCGGCTCCCTCCAGTCTGGGCCTCCCCACTGTGCCTGAGGCCGCCACGCCACCGAGGCAAGGCTGTGGAGCAGGGAATCGATATGTCCTTAAAAATTCAAGGGTTTCTCGTAAACAGAAACTTTTAACACCGTTTAAAGTTTCAGGAGTGCTGCGGCTGCCTGCCTCCACACCACCGCTGCCCCAGAAGAGGGAGGGGGCTCCAAGGGGCGGACGGGGGAGGGGTTGGAAGCGGAGCGGGGGTGGGGGTGGGGGCGCAGAGGGGAAGGGGCGGGGCCCCGTGGGGGGCTGGGAGCGGTAAGGGGCTGGAGGAAGGGCCAGAAAGGGATTTGGGGATCAAGGGGGTTGGGCCGATGAATGGATGGTTCTGGAAAGGGGTAGAGGACAGAATGGGGGTCCAGGTGTAGGGAGGGGAGGGGAGCTGGAAAAGGCAGAAGGGATGAACGGAAAAGCGTCTGGGGGCTTTTGAGGGGCCCTAGAGAGGCTGGGATGTCTGGGAGAAGGAGTTGGGGACATGCGGGCTTTGAGGGAGTGATGGGGGATGGAGGCAGGGCGGGGGCTCAGATGGCTGTGGAAAGGAGCAGAGGCAATGTCTGGGGGATCTGGGGGTCCTGGGTGAAGAGGACAGCAGAGCAGTGTGGGTCTGTGGGGGGACTGAGGGGGAAGCTGTGGGAAAGGGCCCGGGGAGGTGTGAGACCCTTCATGGAGCTGGGGGCTTGGAGGATCTTGAGAGCCAGGCAGACCCTGCCCACCCCCCTGCAAATGGCTGTGAGGGGGCACATGGCTCAGAAACCCCAACTCTGGCTGCCCTACCCCACCTGCCAGCCTGTGCTCCAGCCGTGACCACCAGCCCCCAGGCCCCGGGCTCCTGGGCTGATGGTCCCTCATGGCCTTCCTGGTCCTTGCACCTGGCCCAGACCTAGGCTCTCATTCGCACACAAACACACCCCAGCCTTCCATATGCACACACACACCCCCAGCCTTCCATACACACACACACAACACCCAGCCTTCCATACGCACACACACAACACCCAGCCTTCCATATGCACACACACACCCCCAGCCTTTCATATGCACACACAAAACACCCAGCCTTCCATATGCACAAACGCCCATCCTTTCACATGCACACACACAACGCCCATCCTTCATCCACACACACAACACCCATCCTTCCATACGCACACACACAACACCCATCCTTCCATACGCACACATACAACACCCAGCCTTCCATACGCACACACACAACACCCATCCTTCCATTTGCACACATACAACAACCAGCCTTCCATACGCACACACACAACACCCAGCCTTCCATACGCGCACACACACCCCCCAGCCTTCCATACGCACACACACAACACCCAGCCTTCCATACGCACACACACAACACCCAACCTTCCATACGCACACACACACACCCCAGCCTTCCATACGCACACACACACCCCCCAGCCTTCCATACGCACACACACACCCCCAGCCTTCCATACGCACACACACAACACCCAGCCTTCCATACACGCGCGCACACACCCCAGCCTTCATCCACACACACAACACCCAGCCTTCCTTATGTACACACACAACACCCATCCTTCATCCACATATACACGACACCCAGCCTTCATCCACACACATATCTCTCCTACTTTTTTTTTTTTTTGAGACGGAGTCTCACTTGTCACCCGGGCTGGAGTGCAGTGGTGCGATCTTGGCTCAGTGTAAGCTCCGCCTCCCGGGTTCACACCATTCTCCTGCCTCAGCCTCCCGAGCAGCTGGGACTACAGGCGCCCACCACCACGCCCAGCTAATTTTGTTTTTGTATTTTTAGTAGAGAGGGGGTTTCACCATGTTAGCCAGGATGGTCTCAATCTCCTGATCTTGTGATCCGCCTGTCTCAGCCTCCCAAAGTGATGGGATTACAGGCGTGAGCCACTGCGCCCGGCCATCTCTCCTTCATTTTTACACACATAACACACCCTTCATTCACACCCACACAACACTCATCCTTCATTCACAAACACAAACTTGTCCTTCCATTCATACACACAGGACACCAGACTTCCAAAGGTGCACACACACACATCCTTCACACACACAGTCACGGACTCTATGACACTCAGTATCACACCAGAACACCTATTATTCATTCACACACACAACTCATCCCTCCATTCACACACAAAAACACACACAACACACATACACTTCCATTTGTATACACATACTCCTCCCATAACACCCTCCCCATGTACACGCCACACACGCACACACTTCCTTGTATTCAAACACAACTGTCACACCACATCCACACTCACACAGACAAGACACTCACTCTCACACTCACACACACATCCTCATTCAAAGTTCTTTCCCCACATTCAGCACCCCTCCTCTACACTGACAGCACCCTCCTACACACACACACACACACACACACACACACACACACACTCCCTCACTCTGCTCCCCTCCACAACTGCAATGGGAAGAATTTATGGGAAGGCAGAGGGACTGCCAGAGAGGGCAGCGCTGCCCCTCCCTCTCTCCCCCTCCCCGGGGCCCAAGTATTAGGATACACCTGGCCTTCGAGAAATCTCACGGGAGGAGGGTGCCGCCAGGGGGCTGGGCACAGCTGGCATGCCACAGCTGGAATCCCCCACATTCCTCCCTGCCAGGCTGCCCACCTGGCTGTGGCTAGCAGCAGGTGCGTTCCTACCATGCAGGTGTGTTGGGGTAGGACGAGGAGCAGGAAGCGGCAGCCAGGCCCATGGCACTACCTGGCCAGGATGCTGCGGGCAGTGTGGATGTGGGTGAGGGGAGGGCTGAAACATCTGGGCTCTGGCAGCCACATTCTGGGGCACAGAATGTGGGGCCGGGCAACGTGAGGCTCCAGGGCTGCTTGGCAACTGAGCAGGGCTCTTGGGTGAGGTGGGCAAACATCTGGCATGTAGCATAGGCAGGGAGCCAGGCCATGGGTGCTGCCAGGCTGGGAGAAAAGGGTGCTCTAGGCACCCCCAGTAGAACCTGGATATCCCCACTCCCACCAAGAGGGCCTGATGTCCCCGTACTTAGCGTGGTAGGCATGATCTGTGCTCCGGGCCTGGGGTCCTAGCCTTGAAATCACTGTCTGCCTTCCAGGGTGGTCTAGAAGCCCCTATTAGGGACTCAATTTGGGGAGTTACAGGTCGTTGCTTCTGAGGCACACCTCGAGGGACACCCACAACCACACCACACACATGTGAATGCAGACACCAGACTCTCACTATCACACTCACTCAGGGGCACCCAAACATACACAGGCACACTCAGACACACAGAAATACAGACCCTTCTCCTTCCCTCTCCCCTCCCCCCTTTTCCTCTCCTCCTCTGTTCCCACAGATAAAATCCAGAATGACACACAGACACAGGGTCACCCAGATACCATCACACACCCTTCTAGAATATCACACAGACATACAAACACACACAGTCACGCCAAAAATCCCACACAGGCCTTCCCAGAGCCACCCACAGAGTGACAGCCAGGTCATACACACAAAGACCTTCACCATCACATAGATCCCCATAGAGACCCAGACAATACACCGCGTTGCAAAGACACACACAGACGCACAGTCACATGGACTCCCAGAATCTCATGCTGAGTTACACAGGTACACACAGGCCACACTAAGTCACACAGGTTCACAAAAATCTCACACAGGACTGCATGTACCCGATGGGTCACACACGTTGATGTTCTCAAAATCATCCACAGATGTAGCACACAAAAAGTCACCAAAGGCCAGGCGCCGTGGCTCACGCCTATAATCCCAGCACCTTGGGAGGCCGAGGCGGGTGGATCGGTTGAGCCCAGGGGTTCAAGACCAGCCTGGGCAACATAGCGAGACCGTGTCTCTACAAAAAATTTATAAATTCTCCAGGCATAGAGTGTGCATCTGTGGTCCCAGCTAATCTGGTGGGAGGGTCACTTGAGTCCGGGAGGTTGAGGCTGCAGTGAGCATTCCAGCCTGGGCAACAGAGTGAGATCCTATCTCAAAAAAAGAAACAGGCCGGGCGCAGTGGCTCACACCTGTAATCCCAGCACTTTGGGAGGCTGAGATGGGTGGATCACCTGAGGTCAGGAGTTTGAGACCAGCTTAGCCAACATGGCAAAACCCCATCTCTACTAAAAATACAAAAATTAGCAGGGCATGGTGGCGCACACCTGCAATCCCAGCTATTTGGGAGGCTGAGGCAGGAGAATCACTTGAACCTGGGAGGCGGAGATTGCAGTGAGCTGAGATCGTGCCACTGCACTCCAGCCTGGGTGACAGAGTGAGACTCTGTCTTGAAAAAAAATAAAAAAGAAACAAAAAGTCACACAAAGATATCTAGATCGTGCACACACACAGGGAAACACAGACACACACTCACACTTGCCTAGGCAGCACAGCCTGGCCAGGGCCTCCTGTGGCCGTCGCTCATCTGGAGACGAAAGGGAAGGAGCTGGGGAAACGTTTCATTTGCAGCGGGCCAGCCGGAGACCCACCCGCCCTGGAAACCTGGCCCTGGCTCGTGAAAGGAGCCTCTGTGCGCTGCCGCTGGGGCCGCCAGCAATGCTCAGCCGTCCCAGGGTGTGGGTATCAGAGGGGCTGAGTCGGCCACACTGAGTTCCTGGCCAAGCCACGTATGCTGGGAACCTGGGGCCTCCAGGGCCACCCAGCCAGAGGCCAGAGTCCCCTAGACCAGAGAAGCACATCCCGCCCCACCCCCTGCTGGTCCCAGCTGCATCTAGAGGCCACTCCTCCAAACCCAGCCTATGGAGGGGAAGATGGAGGGAGGAGGTTCTGTGCCCCAGCTGGCATCAGATCTCCAGGTGTCCCAGTCTCAGGCTGACGTGCGGCCCCTGGCGAGGCAGCTGCCAATCCCATGCCAGGAGCCCCCTCACTCCAGCACCCAGCTCTCCCTGTGCAGCCTGGAAGTGAGGGTAGGACAGTCATAGCCCTTTGGTTCAGATCATCAAACACAATCACTGTCACACCTTCAACCACACAAAGATCCACGCATTCACTGCCACAGTGTCACCTGCACAGCAACACCATCACACCCTCAGCCACGCTGTCACATGAAGAACTACGGTCACACCCTTGACAATTCTGGTGACACACACCTCAGCTGCACGGTCTCACACATCCTCCCAGGAACCCCGACACTCTGACCCTCACACCACATCAACGTCACACTGGCCAGCAGAGGCACACTGATATACTCAGTCCGCATGTCCCTGCAGCTGTGCTAGCCACGTGGCCACACGGAGTCACCGCCCCACCCAGTCACAAGGAGGAAAAGCAGCTCTGACCACTGCCTCCCCAGGGTGCAGACCGCAGCTGTCCCTTGATCAAGGTTTGAACCAACCCAGTTATTCCAATAGCACAATAACACACCCTTGTTGTCACTGTGTCACAGAGCAGGCAGCCAGTAGGTACAGACCACTGGTCACAGTCACTCGAATAGCACACACTCACAGTCTCCCTGTTGCAGGTGACAGGTACACAGCTCACTCACGCTGCCACACAACGCCCACAGTCCCCAGACCAAGGAGCTACAATGCAACCGTGGGTGACAGCCTCACCACGATTACAAGGACAACCTGTCACACAACAGTCACTCTCCCAGTGCCTGTCACAACATTGAGACAGCCCCTTAGCCGTCCACACAAGCAGCCAGGCATGCTGACTGGGCCCCCACGATTGTCCCTAGGACACCCCCGCCCCCGAGTCTTGGAAACAGGGACAGACACACGCCGACACCCCCCCTCCCCTTTGCAGTCAGTACAGGAAGAGCAGGGAGGGGGACTAATGGACACGCAGCTGTTGGCAGTGGGTGCCAGCCCCCCCACCTCATGAATATTCATCAGCTGGGGCTCTCCTGAACCTGTGGGGAGTCGGAGGTCCCAGGCAGCTGGTCACCCCCTTCCGTGCCAGGAGGCCCCCAGGTGGGGGAGGGAGACTTGGCCAGGTCCCCGAAGTCCTCAGAACCCACACCCAGTTCCACACAGAAGCACACGTGAGTTTGTGAACACAGGCCCCGTGACACGCAAACAACATTCACACAAACTCACAATCACACCCAACAACACAGCCATCCACCATCACAGACACACATACACCCATACACACACTCACCAGGCATGCAAACACAGCCACACACACCACATCCAAACCATAGACACCCACCACACACACACACACACACACCAGACATGCAAACATGGTGCACAGTCACATGAACTCACAACCATACGACCACACCCAAACCACAGACACCCATCATACACATACACACACCAGACATTCAGACATGGGGTTCAGTTACATGAACTCACAACCACACCCAAATTATAGACACCCACCACACACACACACACACACACACACCCCAGACATGCAAACATGGGACACATAGTTCCCCGAACCCACAACCACACCCAAACCACAGACACCCACTATACACACCACACACCAGACAGGCAAACATGGGGTGCACAATCACAGGACCACAAACACACGGACACATTATCACACACAAATGATACCGGCTAATACCATCACACACAAGTGTGCAAATACAAACACACACACTTCCAAACACATGGGCCCCAAGTCACCCCCAAATTACAACCAACCACTTCTCAACTTCTCATAAAACACCCACACAAGCGCGCAAACATGGACCCACAAATTCGCACACACATATACCCACTGACTCATGCAAACTCAGACACACAACCATCCCCAAGGAGCACCGCCGCCTTCTTCCCCTTTCTCCCTTCCTCCTTCTGTCTCTTTCACACTCCGATCTAGCTTTGCCCATCGCCCCCGTTTTACAGATGGGGAAACTGAGGCACTAAGCAGCTGAAGGCCCCTTGAAGTGGGGAAGACCGCCCCTTCTGACTCCGGGCAGAGGCTACTGCCGCGCGCCCCCTGCTGGCCTGGCCCCTCCCTGCAAGAGCGCGCGGGACGGCGGCGCGCGCGACGGGCACGCGCCTGACGTAACCATGGCATCCTCTTGGCACGCGCGGCCCGCGCGCAGGGAGGGCGGGGCGGGCGCGTTGCCATGGCGCCGGCGGCCCGCGTGAATGGGGCATTGTTCGCCGCGGCGCCCGGGCCGGGCCGTCCCGGACCCACCCGGACCCACCCGGGCCGACAGAGACGGGGAGACCGGGATGGGGAGAGACAGAGAAATGGGGAGGGAAAAAGACAGGAGAGACAGGGAGAGACCAGAGATGAGAGAGACCAGAGATGAGAGAGACGGAGATGGGGAGAGACAGAGAAATGGGGAGAGAAAAAAGAGAGACAGGGAGAGACCAGAGATGGGAGACCCAGAGATGCGGAGAGAGATGGGAAGAGATAGGGAGACCTGGTGGGGAGAGACAGAAATGGGGAGAGATGAAGACACTGGGAGGGCCGGAGAAAGCTGGAGAGATTGAGAGACAGAAGGATGGGGAAAGAAACAGATGAGAGGCCGAGCGCAGTGTAATCCCAGCACTTTAGGAGGCCGAGGCGGGCCGATCACGAGGTCAGGAGATCGAGACTATCCAGCCCAACATGATGAAATCCTGTCTCTACTAAAATACAAAAAATTAGCCGGGCATGGTGGTGCGCGCCTGTAGTCCCAGCTATTCGGGAGGCTGAAGCAGGAGAATCGCTTGAACCCGGGAGGCAGAGGTTGCACTGAGCCAAGATCTCCCCACTACACTCCAGCCTGGCGACAGAGTGAGACTCCGTCAGAAAGAAAGAAAGGAGAGAGAGAGAGAGAGACAGAGAAAGAGAGGAAAGAAAGCGAGAGAGAGAGAGAGAGAGAGAGAGAGAGAGAAAGAAAAAGAGAAAGAAAGAAAGAGATGAGAGAGATGGGGAGAGAGAAGAGATGGGGAGACATGGAGATGGAGAGACATGGGGACTGGGTATGGAGAGACAGAGATGGGGAGAGACAGAGACACAGGAAAAGCTGGAGAGACTGAGAGACAGAGAAATGAGGGGAAAAAAGATGGGAGAGACATGATGAGAGAAGAGATGCGGAGACTGAGAGATGGAGAGAGACGGGAGACTAGGCAGGGAGAGGCAGATAAGGAGACACTGGGAGAGAAAAAAAACGGGAAGAGACAGAGATAAAGGGAGAGAGGAGGCCGAGCATGGGGGTTCACACCTGTAATCCTAGCACTTTGGGAGGCCGAAGTGGGCGGATCATTTGAGGTCAGGAGTTCGAGACCAGCCTGGCCAACATGGAGAAACCCCCGTCTCTACTAAAAATACAAAAAGTAGCCGGGTGTGGTGGTACGTGCCTGTAATTCCAGCTACTCCGGAGGCTGGGGCACGAGAATTGCTTGAATGTGGGAGGTGGAGGCTGCAGTGAGCAGAGATGACGCCACTGCACTCCAGCCTGGGTGACAGAGCGAGACTCTGTCTCAAAATAAATACATAAATAAACAAGAGAAAAAAGGAGGAGAGATAGGGAGATGAGAGGGACAGGGAAAAATTAGGAGAAAAGGAGAGAGATGAAAAGAGACATAAATAGGAGAAGATTTAGGGCTGGGAAGAATGGACAAGAGGAGATGGAGTGGGAGAAATGAGACACAAAAGGGGAAAGAAGGCAGGGCACAGTGGCTCATGCCTGTAATCCCAACACTTCGGGAGGCTGAGGCAGGCAGATCACGAGGTCAGGGGTTCAAGACCAGCTTGGCCAACATGGTGAAACCCCGTCTCTACTAAAAATACAAAAATTAGATGGGTGTGGTGGTGCATGCTTGTAATCCCAGCTACTTGTGAGGCTGAGGCAGGAGAATCACTTGAACCTGGAAGGTGGAGGTTGCAGTGAGCCAAGATCACGCCACTGCACTCCAGCCTGGGCAACAGAGCGAGACTGTGTCTCAAAAAAAAAAAAAAAAAAAAAAAAAGGAGGCCGGGCGCGGTGTCTCATGACTGTAATCCCAGCACTTTGGCAGGCCAAGACGGGCGGATCACGAGGTCAGGAGATCGAGACCATGCTGGCTAACATGGTGAAACCCCGTCTCTACTAAAAATACAAAAAAATTAGCTGGGCGTGGTGAAGGGCACCTGTAGTCCCAGCTACTCGGGAGGCTGAGGCAGGAGAATGGCGTGAACCTGGGAGGTAGAGCTTGCAGTGAGCCGAGATCACACCACTGCACTCCAGCCTGGGCAACAGAGCGAGACTCCGTCTCACAAAAAAAAAGGTGGGGAAAGAGACAGAAGAGAGACAAAGACAGAGACAGAGATAGGGAAAGACATGGGGAATCCAAGAGGGAGAAACAACGGGAGAGACCTGGAAGGTGGAGAGAAACACACCAATGAGGAAGGACGGGTGGAGGGAGAAGACCACGGAGAGGCAGAGCCCGGGAGCAAGATGGGAGAGGAAGGGTTGGGGTGAGAGACGGGACAGGACCAGTCAGCCAATACCCCTGGACCCTCCTTGCCTGGTGTGCTGTGCTTAGCAATGGGAAAAATCAGGGGATGGGGGGTTGGGTGCGGTGGCTGACGCCTGTTATCCCAGCACTTTGGGAGGCCGAGGCGGGTGGATCATTTGAGGTCAGGAGTTCAAGAGTAGCCTGGCCAACATGGTGAAAACCTGTCTCTACTAAAAATAGAAAAATTAGCCGGGCAGTAGTGGTGGACGCCTGTAATCCCAGCTACTCGGGAGGCTGAGGCAGGAGAATCTCTTGAGCCTGGGAGGCAGAAGTTGCAGTGAGCCGAGATCACACCATCGCACTCCAGCCTGGGCGACAGAGTGAGACCCTGTCTCAAAAAAAATAAATAAATAAAAATAAAAAATAAAAAAAAATCAGGGGAATGGGGATAGCCAGACAAAGTCAGAAGTGCTGAGAGGTCAGAGGACACACAGCCATAGAAAGACATAGCGGCCGGGTGTGATGGCTCACACCTGTAATCCCAGCACTCTGAAAGGCCAAGGTGTGTGGAATGCTTGAGCCTAGGAGTTTGAGACCAGCCTGGACAACATGGTAAGACCTCATCTCTACAAAAAACATGTTAAGGGCTGGGCGCGATGGCTCACGCCTGTAATCCCAGCACTTTGGGAGGTCAAGGCGAGTGGATCACCTGAGGTCAGGAGTTCAAGACCAGCCTGGCCAACATGGCGAAACGCCGTATCTACTAAAACTACAAAAAATTAGCCAGGTGTGGTGGCATGCGCCTGTAATCCCAGCTACTTGGAAGGCTGAGGCAGGAGAATCGCTTGAACCTGGGAGTCGGAGGTTGTAGTGAGCCGAGATTGCACCATTGCACTCCAGCCAGCGCAACAAGAGTGAGACACTGTCTCAAAAAAAAAAGAAAAGAAAAAAAGAAAAAGAAAAAGAAAAAAGAAATTTTTTTAATTAGCCAAGCGTGGTGTCCTGCACCTGTAGTCCCAGCTACGGCTAAGGTGGGAGGATCACTTGAGCCCAGGAGTTTGAGGCTGCAGTGAGACATGATCGCACCACTGCACTCTAGCCTGGGTGACAGAGCCACACCCTGTCCCAAGGGAAAAAAAAAAAGACATAGCAAGATGGAGGGTGAGATATACCCAGATGTGAGGGAATGAAGGAGAGAAACTTGGAAACAACCCCAGCTCCCTGCTCTGAGAGTCTCTGGTCCCACCTGCCCCTTCCACTCACCCTGGTTTGGTACTCTCAGAAAGCATACCCTCTGTCCTACACACCTTCACACAGCCCCTGATAAGACACTGTTGACACAGAGGCTCAGCCTTCAGGAACACTGCTTCTTTATTTTATTTATTTATTTATTTTGAGATGGAGTCTCACTCTGTCGCCCAAGCTGGAGTGCAGTGGTGCGATCTCAGCTCACTGCAACCTCTGTCTCCTGGGTTCCATCATTCTCCTGCCTCAGCCTCCCGAGTAGCTGGGATTACAGGCACATGCCACCACATCTGGCTGATTTTTGTATTTTTGGTAGAGACCAGATTTCGCCATGTTGGCCAGGCTGGTCTCGAACTCCTGACCTCAGGTGATCTGCCCATCTCAGCCTCCCAAAGTGCTGGAATTACAGGCATGAGCCACTATGTCCAGCCATATTTATTTATTTTTGAAACAAAGTCTTGCTCTGGTACCCAGCCTGGAGTGCAGTGGCACAATCATAGCTCACTGCAGCCTTGAACTCCTGGGCTCAAGTGATCCTCCCACCTCAGCCTCCTGAGTAGCTGAGACTACAGGTGCATGCCACCATGTTCCGCTAATTTTTTAAATTTTTTGTAGAGACAGGGTCTTGCTATGTTGCCCAGGCTGGTCTTGAACTCCTAGGCTCAAATGATCCTCCCACCTTGGCCTCCCAAAGTGCTGGGACACTGCTTCTTTTTTTTTTTTTTTTTGAGACAGAGTCTCGCTCTGTCACCCAGGCTGGAGTGCAATGGCGCATGATCTCAGCTCACTACAACCTCTGCCTCCCAGGTTCAAGCGATTCTCCCACCTCAGCCTCCCTAGTAGCTGGGATTATAGGCACACACCACCATGCCTGGCTAATTTTTGTATTTTTAGTAGAGACACTGTTACACCATGTTGGCCAGGCTGGTCTTGAACTCCTGACCTAGGTGATCTGCCCGCCTCAGCCTCCCAAAGTGCTGGGATTACAGGTCCTGCACCCAGCCAGGACACTGTTTCTGACACTCCAGGACACCGTCACCCAGTGACACTTCCCCTAGATGGTCCCAGTCATACCTATGGATACCTATAGATTCCTAGTGACACAATCATAGACGCAGACACATGAATATGACATGGACACGGACTCATACAAGGGCTCCTGGTGACATCTCCCAGTTATAGACACAACCGTGTAGGTGCACTGTCTCATGAGGACCTTATCAGACATGTGAATACAGTGAGTGGTGGCCACACACCATCCAACACACAGGTTCACATTTTTGTTGTCGTTGTTGTTGTTTTGTTACATAGATGAGGGCTTGAACGCCTGGCCTCACTTTTTTTTTTTTTTTTTTTTTTTTGAGACGGAGTCTTGCTCTTGTTGCCCAGGCTGGAGTGCAGTGGCACTATCTCAGCTCACTGCAACCTTCGCCTTCTGGGTTCAAGCAATTCTCATACCTCAGCCTCCCAAGTAGCTGGGATTACAGGCACGCGCCACCACGACAGGCTAATTTTTGTATTTTTAGTAGAGACGGGGTTTCACTATGTTGGTCAGGCTGGTCTCGAACTCCTGACTTCGTGATCCGCCCGCCCGGCCTTGGGCCTCACTTTCTTATGCGCCAGGACAACAGGCCTGAGCCACCGCGCCTCCCAGGCTCACACTTCTTAGCAATGCTGTCATATGTGGCCACTCCTGATGAATGGTGCACCCTCGCCTTCACACCTGGACACGTTTTCAGACACTCATTGTCACCCTCATGGACACACATGGCTTCAACCCTGGGTCTGACCTACTCACTGGGCAGGCACCTTGTCCCACGGTACTGTTCAGAACACTGTGGGGGTGCTCAGTCCAGTTCTCCACGTTTGAGTCAGTGGGGGCTGACAGATTTCAGGTCCCAGCAGAGACTGGGATGGAAGTGGGGGAAAGTGATGTCCAGCCCCTGGTCCTCCTGAAAGGGCTGAGTCCAACTGGGCCACAGTGGTCCCAGACTCCTCCTCCAGTCGGGCAGCTTGGACCAAATGTAGACCAAGGGTGTCCCCTGGTGGCCATAGGTGGTCTCTGCACCCATCCATGGAGGGACGACAGGCAGCCGCCCAGTTGCTGAACTTGGAGCTGTGGACAGAGAGGACACAGAGCACACAGGCCCAGAGACTGAAGTCCAGAAGCAGGAACGCAGATACAGAACTAAGAGCCGGTAATCCAGATCCCAGGACCCAGGATCAGCATCTAGAGTCCAATCATACCGGGCTGGGCACGGTGGCTCATGCCTGTAATCCCAGCACTTTGGGAGGCCAAGGCAGGCAGATCACTTGAGGTCAGGGGTTCGAGACCAGCCTGACCAACATGGCGAAACCCCGTCTCTACTAAAAATATAAAAATTAGCTGGGTGTGGTAGTGGGCACCTGTAATCCCAGCTACTCAGGAGGCTGAGGCAGGAGAATCGCTTGAACCTGGGAGGCGGAGCTTGCAGTGAGCTGAGATTGCGCCACTGCCCTCCAGCCTGGGCAACAGAGTGAGACTCCATCTCAAAAAAAAAAAAAAAAGATTCCAATCATACCAAGATCTATACTCCAGATCCACGAACTCAGCCAGGCGTGGTGGCTCACAGCTATAATCTCAGCATTTTGGGAGGCCAAGGCGTGAGGATCACTTGATGCCAGGAGTTTGGGACACGATAGGCAACATAGCAAGACTTTATCTCTACAAAAAACTTAAAAATTAGCTGGGTGTAGTGGCACATGTCTGAGGTTGCAGTGAACTATGATGGTGCCACTGAAACCATACTCCGGGATTCAGATTCCAAAAATCTAGATCCTATTGCTCAAAACTAGAATCCACCAGACCCAGAATCTAGCTCCAAGAATTTAGAATCCAAAGGCTACCTTACAAAATTGAGAGCTTTCTTTCTTTTTTTTTTTTTTTTTTGAGACAAGGTCTGGCTCTATCACCCAGGCTGGAAAGCAGTGGCACAACCTTGGCTCACTGCAACCTCTGCCTCCCAGGCTCAAGCCATTCTCCCACCTCAGCCTCCTGAGTAGCTGGGGTTCCAGGTACACACCACCATGCCCAGCTAATTTTTTTTTTTTTTTTTTTTGAGATGGAGTCTTGCTTTGTCGCCCAGCCTGGAGTGCAGTGTCGCCATCTTGGCTCACTGCAACCTCCGCCTCCTGGGTTCAAGCGATTCTCCTGTCTCAGCCTCCCAAGTAGCTGGGATTACAGGCACGCGCCACCACGCCTGGCTAATTTTTATATTTTTAGTAGAGACGGGGTTTCGCCATGTTGGCCAGGCTGGTCTTGAACACCTGATCTCAGGTCATCCACCCGCCTCAGCCTCCCAAAGTACTGAGATTACAGGCATGAGTCACCACGCCCGGCGCCCAGCTAATTTTTAATATATTTTTGTGGAGACATAGTTCTGCCATTTTGGCCAGGCTGGTTGCGAACTTGTGAGCTCAATGAATCCACCTGCCTTGGCCTCCCAAAGTGCTGGGATTACAGGCGTGAGACTCCTCACCCAGCCAAAATCCAGATTCTTAAGCCGTCCTCAGAGCCCTCCAGATCACAGCCACGTAGCAGGAGTTGGCGAAGATAGAAACAAAGGGATAGCTGAGGAGCTCAGCAGTACTGCACATGGCCTCTCCCAAAGCTGATACCCCTCCCAACCTACCCCTGTGCATTTACACACACACACACACACACACACACACCCCATCAGGTTGGGTGTGGTGGCTCACGCCTATAATCCCAGCACTTTGGAAGGCCAAACCAGAAGGATGGCTTGAGCCCAGGAGTTCGAGACCAGCCTGGGCAACACAGTGAGACCCTGTCTCTACAAAAAAATAAACAAAATTAGCTGGGCGTGGTGTCATGAGCCTGTAGCCCCAGCTACTCGGGAGGCTGAGGAGGGAGGATCACTTGAGCCCAGGAGTTTGAGGCTGCAGGGATCGGGCCATGATCACTCCAGCCTGGGTGACAGGGCGAGACCCTGACTCAAATAAGAATAATAATTAATACTACTAATAAAAGAAAAAGACACACCATCATCCAAAGAGACACCCTCCTCCATACGTTCTTGTCCCAGCATGCAGATGCACGAACATCTGTGCACCCACAAAATCTCAGAGCTCCGCCCCCAGCCAGCCCACCAAACTCCTAGACACACAGCCACCATGGAGACACACACAAACCTATGATTTCCAGCCCTGCACCCGGACACACTTTAAGAATTGTGGAGACTGGGATGGGTGTGCACACACACACACATACACACACAGACATAGTCCCCTAAGAAGCTCCACGCCTGGCAGCCACGCAGCCCCTGGGAAGGGTACCCCAGGGATGGGGTTCACCGTGCAACCCCGTGCCCACCCCAGCCGTCCCCCGCCTGGCCGGCTGGCGGGCTTTAATACAGATGCCAAACTCATAATTGTAACTGAGGGTGACAGGGTCACCTTGAGCCCCAGATGCTCGTGCGGTGACAGATGGCGTTGGCAAACCTGATTAGCGGCCCCCGTGCCAGCGCCTGTGGCACCTGCATCCCCTGCCCCTCCCCCGCTCCCCCAGCACTCATTACCCACCCATTACTGGGCCTGGGGGGGCGGGGCAGGGGCCGGCTGGCACTGCCCGGGAGGGGACAGGGACTCTGGGGGCTCCCCTGGCACCAAGGTTCCCAGCTGGCTCCCCTGGCTGGCAGGAGGTGGGCACAGCAGAGGGAGGGAAGGCAAATGCCTCATGCCCACCAGAGGGGGGCTTGCCCATGGTGCCAGGGCTGAGCTGCCCACTCGGACACTGCCTGGGGTTTGGCACAGAACTCTGGAGGGAACAGGGATGGGGCAGCCCCCCCAGAGCCCTTCATGACCCTCCCCTCCAGGGCCCTTCGAGCAAGGGGCCTTGGGAGCTGCCTGCCTGTCCCGTTCCCATCTCTCTGTGAGGCCTGTGAGGTCAGGGGTCTCAGGCTCCCACGCCCCACTGGCCCATCTGTTTCCTCGGGTCCCCTCCTGCTCCCCTCACCTGAGGCCTTCCTTCCTGAGGCAGGAAGAGGGCTGAGAAGGGCCTGGCCGGCTCCCCGCCCCACGCTCCGGGGGGCATTTGGAGGCAACACTGACAACGCCACATGTCCCTGCGTCTGTGCCAGACAGGCCCATCTGCCAGGGCCCTGGTTCCAGCCGCCCAAAGCCAGGCCGCCCTCGCCCGCTGAAGACCCTGAGCCCCAGCTGGGGAGGGAGCACTCAGATGCCCACACCCTGTCATGGGGCCACCCACTCCCAGGGAACCCCAGTTGGAGGAACAAACAGATGCACATATAGACAGCTGGACTCAGCCAACCTTTATGGTTTCTGTGGAATGCCATGCCAGGCGTGGGGCTCTGTGGAGACTCAGGTGGGGGGTCTGAGAGGGACACAGCACCACTATCAAGGCAAGAGGCAGCTGGGAACACGAGGGTCCTGCCTCTGTCTCAAGGACCCCAGGATTTCCCCCAGCAGCTGTCTGCCTGCCTGCTTTGGTTTGCGTTTTTGGTTTGGGTTTTTTTTTTTTTCTTTTTTGGTGTCCCTAGGCTGAGGTCATCACTGTGTCTCTCGGTCTGGGTGGGGCCATCTACCCTCCCTGCAACTGGGAGTGTCTTTGACCTCATTCTATAAGAGACAGTTCAGCCTAATGATTAACAGTGGATTTGATCCCAGCACTTTGGGAGGCCGAGGTGGGCAGATCACCTGAGGCCAGGAGTTTGAGACCAGCCAGGCTAATATGGTGAAACTCTGTCTCTACTAAAAATACAAAAATTAGCTGGGCATGGTGGCGGGTGCCTGTAGTCCCAGCTACTCAGGAGGCTGAGGCAGGAGAACTGCTTGAGCCTGGCAAGTGGAAGTTACAGTGAGCCAAGATCGCGCCATTGCACTCCAGCCTGGGTGACAGAGAGAGACTCTGTCCTTAAAAAAAAAAAATAATAAGGCCAAGGCAGGCAGATCACGAGGTCAGGAGATAGAGACCATCCTGGCTAACACGGTGAAACCCTGTCTTTACTAAAAATACAAAAAATTAGCCGGGCGTGTTGGCGGGTGCCTGTAGTCCCAGCTACTCGGGAGGCTGAGACAGGAGAATGGCATAAACCCGGGAGGTGGAGCTTGCAGTGAGCTGAGATTGCGCCACTGCACTCCAGCCTGGGCGACAGAGCGAGACTCCATCTCAAAAAAAAAAAAAAAAAGTGAGTTGTCAATCATTGTGTGCTGTGACTATCAGTGGTGCAACTCCAGGACGGGCACTGTGTCTACTGTCTGGGGAGCAGGGTGAGGACTCTGGGGACCTGTCTGCCTAACCCTGCATCCCTGGTCTCTTGACCCAGAGTACATCATCCAGGTCCACGTCTTTCTTGGTCCATCTCCCCTCATTTCTCCAAGGTGCGTGTCTCCGTGCACCCATCCACGATGCTCAGTTCATGCTTTTGGGCTGCAGTGACACCCCTCGATCAGCATGGTGGATATCTTCACCCGTCGACGGGAGGCTGAGCTGCCAGTGAGACACCACAGGACCACGGGTGCCCAACGCTTGCGAGCAGGCATACAGCTGTTGCACAGGACTAGTGGGGTGGGGTCCGAGCCAGGGATGTAGAGAGAGGAGCAATGACCAAAGCACAGATGATTTCGGAGGCGTATGGCTGAGCAGCCGGGCCGGGAGAACACCTGGGGCCGGAGGCATGGAGACGGTCAGGGTGGCGGAGTTTGGGGCCAGAGTGGCGAGGATAATCACCTGTCCACTTCCACCCCACCTTGACAGGCATGGATGCTGCAGCCAGGCTGCCTGGGTTCAAATCCTGACTCTGCTGTCTCTTGGCTGAGACATGGGGCAAATTACTTAGCCTCTCTGAGCTTTTGTTTCCTCACCTGGAAAATCATTGAAATTCAACAAGGGCCGGGCGCGGTGGCTCACGCCTGTAATCCCAGCACTTTGGGAGGCCAAGGCGGGCGGATCACGAGGTCAGCAGATCGAGACCATCCTGGCCAACACGGTGAAACCCCGTCTCTACTAAAAATACAAAAAATGAGCCGGGCGTGGTGGTGGGCGCCTGTAGTCCCAGCTACTCGGGAGACTGAGGCAGAAGAATGGTGTGAACCCAGGAGGCGGAGCTTGTAGTGAGCCGAGATAGCGCCACTGCACTCCAGCCTGGGGACAGAGCGAGACTCCGTCTCAAAAAAAAAAAAAAAAAAAAGAAAAGAAATTCAACAAAGACAGCCAGGTGTGGTGGCTCAAGCCTGTAATCCCAGCATTTTGGGAGGCTGAGGTGGGCGGATCACTTCAGGCCAGGAGTTTGAGACCAGCTTGGCCAATATGGCGAAACCCCATCTCTACTGAAAATACAAAACTTAGCCGGGCATGGGCACCTACACCTGTAATCCCAGTTACATGGGAGGCTGAGGTGGAAGAATTGCTTGAACCTGGGAGGTGAAGGTTGCAGCAAGTTGAGATCATGATTGCACTCTAGCCTGGGTAACAGAGCGAGACTCTGTCTCCGAAATAAATAAACAAATAAATTAATTAAATGAGAAAAAGAAGAAATCACTTTAGGCCTTTCAACAAAGAGGACTAATTCAGGGAATTGGTTACCTCGGAGTTAAAAGCCAAGGGCGGGATGTGGTGGCTTGAGACCAGCCTGGGCAATATAGTAAGACCCTGTCTCTACAAAGAAATTAAAAAAAAAAAATTAGCTGAGCTAGCCAGGCACGGTGGCTCATGCCTATAATCCCAGCACTTTGGGAGGCCAACGCAGGCAGATCACGAAGTCAGGAGATCGAGACCATCCTGGCTAATATGGTGAAACCCCGTCTCTACTAAAAATACAAAAAAATTAGCCAGGCGTGGTGGTGGGCGCCTGTGGTCCCAGCTACTTGGGAGGCTGAGGCAGGAGAGTGGCGTGAACCCAGGAGGCGGAGCTTGCAGTGAGCCGAGATCCCACCACCGCACTCCAGCCTGGGCGACAGAGCGAGACTCCGTCTCAAAAAAAAAAAAAAAAAATATTAGCTGGGCTAATGCTGTGCGTCTGTAGGCCTAGCTACTCAGAAGGCTGAGGCAGGAGGATTGCTTGATCCTAGGAATTCAAATCTGCAGTGAGCTATGATCGCACCACTGTACTCCAGCCTGGGTGACAGAGTAAGACCCTGTCTCTAACAAAAAACATGAAAAGGCCGGGTGTGGTGGCTCACGCCTGTAATCCTGGCACTTTGGGAGGCTGAGGTGGGTGGATCATTTGAGGTCAGGAATTCAAGACCATCCTGGCCAACATAGTGAAACCCCGCCTCTACTAAAAATACAGAAATTAGCTGAGCATGGTGGCAGGCGCCCGTGGTCCCAGCTACTCGGGAGGCTGAGGCAGGAGAATTGCTTGAACCCGGGAGATGGAGGTGCAGTGAGCCGAGATTGCACCACTGTACTCCAGCCTAGGCGACAGAGTGAGACTCTGTCTCAAAAAACAAAAACCTGAAAAGAAAAGTAAAGAAGGCCGGGTGCAGTGGCTCATGCCTGTAATCTCAGCACTTGGGGAGGCCGAGGCAGGTGGATCATGAGGTCAGGAGTTTGAGACCAGCCTGACCAACATGGTGAAAGCCCGTCTCTACTAAAAATACAAAAATTAGCTGGGCATGGTGGCGTGTGCTTGTAAAACCAGCTACTCGGAAGGCTAAGGCAGGAGAATCGCTTGAACCCGGGAGGCGGAGGTTGCAGTGAGCTGAGATCGCGCCATTGCACTGCAGCCTGGGCAGCAGAGCGAGACTCTATCTCAAAAATAAAATAAAATAAAATAAATAATAAGAAAAGAAAAGTAAAGAAAAGCCAAGCAGGATATGATGATAAGATGGCCTGATGATGGTACCAGTAGGAAGCCAACTAGCACCCTAGGGGGAAGGGACAGCAGTATCACAGGAGCCCGGAAGCATCCAACAGAAAGCCCTTAGCCCACTGCCTGGCACAAAGTAGGTGCTCAATGCATGTTAGTTCCTCCTATGATCCCCTCCAAGTGGATCTATCATCTCTCCCCCAAATCCTGGTCCTTCTCTGCTTAAATCCTGAGCCATCTTCCTCATAAGAGACTTCTCATTGGCCTGGCGCAGTGGCTCACGCCTGTAATCCCAGCACTTGGGGGGCCGAGGCAGGCGGGTCACCTGAGGTCAGGAGTTCGAGACCAGCCTGGCCAACATGGCCAAACCACGTCTCTACAAAAAGTACAAAATTTAGCCGGACATGGTAGTGCACATCTGTAATCTCAATTACTTGGGAGGCTGAGGCACGAGAATCACTTGAGCCCAGGAAGTGGAGGTTGCAGTGAGCCGAGATTGTACTGCTGCCCTCTAGTCTGGGTGACAGAGTGAGACTGTCTCAAAAAAAGAAAGAGAGAGAGAGAAAAGAAAGAAAGAAAGGAAAGAAAGAAAGAAAGAAAGAGAAAAAAAGAAAAACAAAGAAAGAAAAGAAAGAAAGAAAGAGAAAAAGAAAGAAAGAAAGAAAAGAAAGAAAGTTGGTATATCAAGCAAGAGACGGGCTCACACCTAGAACTCAGGAGGCTGAGGTGGGAGGATTGCTTGAGGCCAGAAGCTCAAGACTAGCTTGGGCAACATAGCGAGACTCCCGTGTCTAAAAAAACAGAAAGAAAGTTGGTGTCTGAGGAAAAGGAGGCTGATGTGTAGAAGCAAAGTAACTGAGGGGGAGAGTGGGAGGAGGTGAAATCAGGGAGGTAACAGGATCAGAGAGTACAGAAATTTGTGGGCTGTGAAGAGGACTTGGGCTTTTGTTCTGAGTAAAGTGGGAGCCATGCAAGGTTCTAGGGGGAGGGGGAACCAGATCTGACTCTGGTGTTCACAGGCACCCTCTGGCTGCTGAGTGGAAAAATAGACTGGGGGGTGGAGAGGGGCATGATAGTGGAATCAAGGAGACCAGGATAGAGGAGGCTTGGGTCGCATTTTACAAGGGAGGAAACTGAGGCACCGAGACATTCAGGTGGAGGATACAGGACTTGAACCCAAATCTTTCTTGGGCCACAGCCTGTGCCTTCTGCCAATGGTGAGACCCAGCCCTCTCCTCCCCACACCCACCCACTCACCTGAACGAAGGGCACAGCCTTACACATCCCCTGGATCACTTCCTGAGGGTTCAGCGGCAGAGTCACAGCAGCCACCTCGTCTTGCCCACGCTGCAGCCTGCCCATCCCCAGCTGCCTGGCTTTCTGCAGGCCCAAGAAGGCCTTCCAGCTCCCAAGGGCAGAAGCTGGCACCAGTGGGGGCAGGGCCCCTGGGCCCAGAGCCCAGGTCTGATTGGCTGCAGCCCAGGACTGAGGTCGAGGAGACTGGGGTTCAGGCCTCCCTGAGCCTGTAGGCAGGGCCCCGCTAAGCAGGCACAGAAGAGTGGATAGCTGGCCAAGGAGCATCTGCTTGTCCGTGCGTCTGTCTGCCTGTCTGTCTGTCCGGACTGGGCTCAAGGTCACTAGCAGTCGACCCTGCTGTCTGGTGAGTGGCATCTGAGCCTTCTGAACCTGCTTTTAATCTCTTGGCCCCTCCTGGATAGCCTGGGAGGCATTTCTGTAGACCCACAGCGGGGGAGGAGAGTAAATTCAGACCAGCTGGGTTCCCACACCTCCTCCCAACTTGCTGAGAGACATGGGGGCTGGTCCTGCTGTGTGCGAGCTGTGGGGACCAGGAAAGACAGGTCTGGGGCCAGGGGCCGAGACACACAATGTCTGAAGACCCTGGGCAGCTGCATTTCCAGTCCTGGGACCCCGATTCTCCAATTAGCAAAAGCACACTTTGGGTGAGGCTCAGTGGCTCACACCTGTAATCCCAGCACTTTGGGAGGCCGAGACGGGAGGATCACCTGACGTCAGGAATTCAAGACCAGCCTGGTCAACATGGTGAGACCTCATCTCTACTTTAAAAATACAAAAATTGGCCAGGCACGGTGGCTCACGCCTGTAATCCCAGCACTTTGGGAGGCTGAGGTGGGCAGATCACGAGGTCCGGAGATTGAGACCATCCTGGCTAACATGGTGAAACCCCATCTCTACTAAACATACAAAAAATTAGCCGGGCGTGGTGGTGGGCGCCCGTAGTCCCAGCTACTCGGGAGGCTGAGGCAGGAGAATGGCCTGAACCCAGAAGGCGGAGCTTGCAGTGAGCGGAGATCACGCCACTGCACTCCAACCTGGGCAATAGACCGAGACTCCGTCTCAAAAAAAAAAAAAAAATTCGCCAGTTGAGGTGGCTCACGCCTGTAATCCCAGCACTTTGGGAGGCCGAAGCGGGCAGATCACGAGGTCAGGAGTTTGAGACCAGCCTGACCAACATGGTGAAACCCCGTCTCTACTAAAAATACAAAAAAAATTAGCTGAACGTGGTGGTGGGCACCTGTAATCCCAGCTACTCAGGAGGCTGAGGCAGGAGAATCGCTTGAACCCAGGAGGCGGAGCTTGCAGTGAGCCAAGATCGCGCCACTGCACTCCAGCCTGGACGACAAGAGTGAGACTCTGTCTCAAAAAAAATTAAAAAATAAATAAAATAAAAATACAAAAATTATGGCCAGGCACGGTGGCTCACACCTGTAATCCTAGCACTTTGGCAGGCTCAGGCGGGCAGATCACCTGAGGTCAGGAGTTCAAGACCAGCCTGGCCAACATAAGTGAAACCCCGTCTCTACTAAAAATACAAAAAGTAGCCAGGCGTGGTGTCACATGCCTGTAATCCCAGCTACTCAGGAGGCTGAGGCAGGAGAATCGCTTGAACCCGGGAGGCGGAGGTTGTAGTGAGCCAAGATCGCGCCACTGCACTCCAGACTGGGCAACAGAGTGAGACTCTGTCTCAAAAAAAATTAAAAACTAGCATACCTTGCAGCCAGGTTTCTTGGGTTCGGCCTAGGCATTGCAATTTCCTGGCTGTGCAACCTTGAGTAAATCCCTTAACCATCCTGGTCCCTACCTTCTTCTTCTGTAATATGAAGATAAAACAGTCCCTATCTCATTGGGTTATTCTGAGGACTCAAGGAGGTAATTTATGTAAGGAGCTTAAAACAGAGGTTCCTACACAGTAACACCATGAATCAGCTCTGAGTAACATTATTGTTGCTGGGTTTTTGTGTTCTTTTTTTTTTTTTTTTTTTTTTAGACAGAGTCTCACTGTGTCTCGTCTCACTGCAACCTCTGCCTCCTGGGGTCAAGTGATTCTCCTGCCTCAGCCCCCCAAGTAGCTGGGATTACAGATGTGAACAACTATGCCCAGCTAATGTTTGTATTTGTAGTAGAGACTATGTTGGCCAGGCTGGTCTCGAACTCCTGACTTCAAGCGATCCGCCCACCTCAGCCTCCCAAAGTGCTGGGATTACAGGCATGAGCCACCATGCCCTGCCAGTTCTTTTTATTTTATTATTTTTTTATTTGACACAGGGTCTTACTATGTTGCCCAGGCTGGTCTTGAAAAGCAGGTCTCAAAATGCTGGGAATATAGGCACAGGAAGCTATCTTGCCTGACTTGTTTTTCTCTTCTTCTTTTTTTTTTCTTTGAGACAGTCTCCCTCTGTCACCCCCAGGCTGGAGTGCAGTGGTGTGATCTCAGCTTACTGCAACCTCCGCCTTCTGGGTTCAAGCAATTCTCCTGCCTCAGCCTCCCGAGTAGTTGGGACTACAGGCCCCTGCCACCATGCCTGGCTAATTTTTTTTTTTTTTTTTTTTTAGTAGAAATGGAGTTTCCCCATGTTGCCCAGGGTAGTCTTGAACTCCTGAGGTCAGGCAGTCTGCCCGTCTTGGCCTCCCAAAGTGCTGGAGTTACAGGTGTAAGCCACCGCACCTGGCTTTTTTTTTTTTTTAACAGGGTCTTGTTCTGTCACCCAGGTTGGCATGCAGTCCCACAATTGCATCTCACTGCAGCCTCAACCTCCTAGACTCAAGGAATCCTCCTGTTTCAAACCCACCGAATAGCTGAGACTACAGGTACACAACACCATGCCTGGCTGATTTTTTTTTTTTTTTTTTTTTTTCTGAGACGGAGACTCGCTCTGTCGCCCAGGCTGGAGTGCAGTGGAGCGATCTTGGCTCACTGCAAGCTCTGCCTCCCGGGTTCACACCATTCTCCTGCCTCAGCCTCCCGAGTAGCTGGGACTACAGGCGCCCACCACCACACCCGGCTAATTTTTTGTATTTTTAGTAGAGATGGGGTTTCACCGTGTTAGCCAGGATGGTCTTGATCTCCTGACCTCATGATCTGCCCGCCTCAGCCTCCCAAAGTGCTGGGATTACAGGCGTGAGCCACCGCACCCGGCCTGGCTGATTTTTAAATTTTCACAGAGACGGGATCTTACTATGTTACCAGGTTTGTCTCAAACTGCTGGCTTCAAGTGATCCTCCTGCCTCAGCCTCCCAAAGTGCTGGGATTAAAGGCACATGCCACCTTGCCCAGCTGTTTTTTTTTTTTTTTTCCTTTAACACTCAGTATAGGCCAGACTTAATCCTGAGCCCTGGTGATACAGGAGGACAAGACAGAAAATGCCATGGATTTTACACGGTGCAGAAAACAGACAATAAAAGATAATTAAGGGGCCGCACGCAGTGGCTCATGCCTGTAATCCGAGCACTTTGGGAGGCCGAGGAGGGCAGATAACTTGAGGCCTGGACAATATAGCGAAACCCCATCTCTACTAAAAAATACAAAAATTAGCCGGGCAAGGCTGGGCGTGGTGGCTCACACCTGTAATCCCAGCACTTTGGGAGGCTGAGGCGGGTGGATCAACTGAGGTCAGGAGTTCGAGACCAGTCTGACCAACATGGAGAAACCCCGTCCGTACTAAAAATACAAAATTAGCCAGGCATGGTGGCACATGCCTATAATCCCAGCTACTCGGGAGGCTGAGGCAGGAGAATCGCTTGAACCCGGGAGGCGGAGGTTGCGATGAGCCGAGATCACACCATTGAACTCCAGCCTGGACAAGAGTAAAACTGCGTCTCAAAAAAAAAAATTAGCCGGGCGTGGTGGCATGAGCCTGTAACCCCAGCTACCTCTGGAGGCTGAGGCAGAAGAATTGCTTGAACTCGGGAGGCGAAGGTTGCAGTGAGCCAGATCACACCACTGCACTCCAGCCTGAGTGACAGAGTGAGACCTTCTCAAAAATATTAATAATAATAATAATAAAGATCATTTCACAGTCTTGATTAAGAAGCTGCTAAAATGGGATGTTCCTTAGAGGCGTCAGGGCGGGGGCTTCTGTCTCCAGGGTGGTCAGGGAAGGCCTCCCCGAGTAGGTGGCATTTTTACAGACACCTGAGATGGCGCTGGAGGCGGTGGGAACAGCTTGGTGTGGGGGTGGAGGTTGGGAGTGTTAGAAGCAGATAAAGAGGGTGAGAGTCGTATCCCAGGCTTTGGGGCCCCGGAGGTGTCTGGGGGGTCCTGGCTGGATCCTGGCACCTCTATCTCGCACCCAGGTGAGGAGCTTGGAGGCCGGGGGGCCGTGGGAAGAGACCAGGCCAGCCTTTCCCGCGCCCTCCCCTCCACGGAGCTGCGAGTGCGATGCGGCGTGCTCGCCCTCTGGCGGCGGCTCCCGGGACTGTGCGGCGGCCGCGCCCAGGACACCCGCCTCCCAGAGGCCAAGCCTGGAGGGGCGGGCGTGCTTCCCACCCAGCTCTGCTACATCCCAGCTCCTGACTGTCCCCCAACCTGCCCTTCTGCTGTCCTCTAGACACAGTTAAAGGCAGCTCTGTCCTGCCAGGTGCTAAGGCTCCAAACTTTGGAGAGCACCTTTGACCTATCTCTTTCTCTAACACCCATCCCCGCCCCCAATCTTATATGACAGTAACTCCGGTCAGCTCCAGAATCTACCCAGAATCCGCCCGCTTCTCACCCACTCCTTGTCCCCCTACCTGGATCAGTGCAGTCGCTTCCTTCCAGGTCTCCCAGTTCCCGCCCTGGCCACCGGCCCCCCACAGTTTATTCCCCCCACAGCGGCCAGAGGGCGCCTGTGAGCACCTGAGTCAAGACTGGTCCCTGTGATGAGAACCTTCCATGGCTCTCATCTCCCTCAGAAAAAAGCCTCAGGAGGAGGCCCACAGTGTGACAGTAATTACTAGAAACAATCTGGTAATTTGATTCTATGCTACTTTATTTCACTAAGAATAAACACCTGAGGATGGGCACAGTGGCTCACGCCTGTAATCCCAGCACTTTGGGAGGCCAAGGTGGGTGGATCACGAAGTCAGGAGAACGAGACCATCCTGGCTAACACGGTGAAACCCCGTCTCTACTAAAAAAAAAAAAAAAAATTAGCCAGGTGTGGTGGTGGGCACCTGTAGTCCCAGCTACTTGGGAGGCTGAGGCAGAAGAATGGCGTGAACCAGGGAGGCAGAGCTTGCAGTGAGCTGAGATTGCACCACTGCACTCCAGTCTGGGTGACAGAGCGAGACTCCATCTCAAAAAACAAACAAACAAAAAAAAAGGAATAAAAACCAGGCTGGTCACAGTGGCTCACGCCTGTAATCCTAGCACTCTAGGAGGCCAATGCAGGTGGATCACCAGGTCAAGAGTTCAAGACCAGCCTGGCCAACATGGTGAAACCCTGTCTCTACTAACAATACAAAAATTATCTGGGCGTGGTGGCGTGTGCCTGTAATCCCAGTTACTCCGGAGGCTGAGGCAGGAGAATTGCTTCAACCTGGGAGGCAGAGGTTGCAGTGACTTGAGATTGCACCACTACACTCCAGCCTGGATGACAGAGCAAGACTCTGTCTCAGCGGGGAAAAAAAGAATAAAAGCCTCAGCACTTCGGGAGGTGGAGGTGGGCAGATCACTTGAGGCCAGGAGTTTGAGACCAGCCTGGCCAACATGGCGAAATCTCATCTCTACTAAAAATACAAAAAAAAATTAGCTCGGCGTGGTGGTGCACACTCCTGATCTCAGGTGATCCACCCACCTTGGCCTCCCAAAGTGCTGGGGTTACAGGCGTGAGCCACTGTGCCCGGTCGTACTCCCAGTTACTTGGGAAGCTGAGGCAAGAGAATCGCTTGAACCTAGCAGAGGTTGCTGTGAGCCAAGATCGTGCCACTGCACTCCAGCCTGGATGACACAGTAAGATTCTGTCTCATAAAAAGAAGAAGAAAGAAGAAAGAAGAAGAAGGAGAAGAACAAGAAGGAGAAGGAGAAAGAGAAGAAGAAGGAGAAGGAGAAGAAGGAGAAGAAGAAGAAGAAATGCTGTACACCCATGTTCATAAGATCATTATTCACAATAGGCAAAAATTGGAGACAGCTCAAATGTCCACGTACAGATAAATGGATAAACAAAATGTAGACCATTCTTTTTTTTTTTTCTTTTGGAGACGGAGTCTCGCTCAGTTGCCCAGGCTGGAGTGCAGTGGTGCAATCTCGGCTCACTGCAAGCTCCGCCTCCCAGGTTCACGCCATTCTCCTGTCTCAGCCTCCCGAGTAGCTGGGACTACAGGTGCCTGCCACCACGCCCGGCTAATTTTTTGTATTTTTAGTGGAGACGGGGTTTCGCCATGTTAGCCAGGATGATCTCGATCTCCTGACCTCATGATCTGCCTGTCTCGGCCTCCCAAAGTGCTGGGATTACAGGCGTGAGCCACCGTGCCTGGCCGCTTTTTTTTTCTTTTTTTTCGAGACGAAGTCTCACTCTGTCACACAGGCTAGAGTGCAGTGGCGCTATCTTGGCTCACTGCAACCTCCACCTCCTGGGTTCAGGCGATTCTCCTGCCTCAGCCTCCTGAGTAGCTGGGATTACAGGCACGCACCACCACGCTCGGCTAATTTTTGTCTTTTTAGTAGAGACAGCGTTTCACCACAGGCTGTTCTCGAACTCCTGACCTTGTAATCCGCCTGCCTCGGCCTCCCAAAGTGCTGGGATTACAGGCATGAGCCATCGTGCCCAGCCTAAAATGTGGTCCATTCTTTCAGCCTGACATCTGCAATTGGGAAAAAAAAAATGTGGTCCATTCATACAATGGAATAGCATTCAGCCTTAAAAAGGAAAAAAAAAATTTTTTTTGAGACAGTCTCGCTCTGTCACCCAGTCTGGAGTGCACTGACATACTCACAGCTCACTGCAGACTTCACCGCCCAGGCTCAATTGACCTCCCACCTCAGCCTCCCAAGTAGGAGGGACTACAGGGATGCACCACCATAGCCAGCTAATTTTTGTATTTTTTGGAGAGACAGGGTTTCACAGTGTTGCCCAGGCTAGGAAAGAAATACTGACACGTTGGCCGGGTGCGGTGGCTCAAGCCTGTAATCCCAGCACTTTGGGAGGCTGAGGCGGGCGGATCATGAGGTCAGGAGATTGAGACCATCCTGGCTAATGCGGGGAAACCCCGTCTCTACTAAAAATACAAAAAAAAGAAAAAAAGAAATTCGGACACGTGCTACAACATGGATGAAACTTTAGGATATGCCAAGCACGGTGGCTCACACCTGTAATCCCAGCACTTTGGGAGGCTGAGGTGGGCAGATCACTTGAGGTCAGGAGTTTGAGATCAGCCTGGCCAACATGGTGAAACCTCGAAAAATACAAAAATTAGCCAGGTGTGGTGGCGGGCACCTGTAATCCCAGCTACTCGGGAGGCTGAGGCACAAGAATTGCTTGAACCGGGGAGGTGGGGGTTGCAGTGATCCAAGACAGTGCCACTGCACTCCAGCCTGGGCGATAGAGAGAGAATGTCGAAAGAAAGAGAAAGGAAGGAAGGAAAGAAAGAAAGGAAGGAAGGAAGGAGAGAAGAGAAGAGAAGGAAAGAAAGAAAGAGAAAGAAAGAAAGAAAGACAGAAAGAAAGAAAGAAAGACAGACAGAAAGAAAGACAGACAGACAGACAGACAGAAAGAAAGAAAGAAAGAAAGAAAGAAAGAAAGAAAGAAAGAAATTTTAGGATATTATACTAATTAAAATCAGCCAGCCCCAGGTGCAGTGGTTTACACCTGTAGTCCCAGCTACTCAGGTGGCTGAGGCATGAGAATTGCTTGAGCCTGGGAGGCAGAGGTTGCAGTGAGCCGAGATCATGCCACTGCGCTCCAGCCTGGGCAACAGAGTAAGTACTCTGTCTCAAAAAAAAAAAAAAAAAGGCCAGGTGTGGTGGCTCACGCCTGTAATCCCAGCACTTTGGGAGGCCGAGGCAGGAGGATCACGAGGTCAGGAGATCGAGACCAACCTGGCTAACATGGTGAAACCCCGTCTCTACTAAAAATACAAAAAATTAGCCGGGCGTGGTGGCGGGCGCCTGTAGTCCCAGCTACTCGGGAGGCTGAGGCAGAAGAATGGCGTGAACCCGGGCGGCGGAGCTTGTAGTGAGCCGAGATGGCGCCCCTGCACTCTAGCTTGGGCGACAGAGCGAAACCCTGTCTCAAAAAAAAAAAAAAAAAAAAAATTAGCCAGGTGAGCACCTGTAGTTTCAGCTACTTGAGAGGCTGAGGTGGGAGTATCACTTGAGTCCAGGAGGTCGATTCTGCAGCCAGTTATAATAATTGTGCCACTGCACTTCAGCCTGGACAACAGAGCAAGACTCTGTCTCAAAATAAAAAATAAGCCAGTTACAAAAGGACAAGTACCGTATGATTCGACTTATATGAGGTACCTAGAGTAGTCAAATTCATAGAAACAAGGTAGAATAGTGACTGCCAGGCCGGGCGCGGTGGCTCACGCCTGTAATCCCAGCACTTTGGGAGGCCGAGACGGGCAGATCGCGAGGTCAGGGGATCGAGACCATCCTGGCTAACACGGTGAAACCCTGTCTCTACCAAAAATACAAACAAATTAGCCGGGTGTGGTGGCGGGTGCCTGGAGTCCCAGCTACTCGGGAGGCTGAGGCAGGAGAATGGCGTGAACCCGGGAGGCGGAGCTTGCAGTGAGCCGAGATCGCGCCACTGCACTCCAGCCTGGGCAACGGAGCGAGACTCCATCCGTCTCAAAAAAAAAAAAAAAAAAGGAATAGTGACTGCCAGGGACTGGGCGAAAGGGAAACTGGGGAGTGAGTGTATAGAGTTACAGGTTTGCAAGATGAAAAAATTCTGAGGTCAGGCATGGTAGCTCATACCTGTAATTCCAACATTTTGGGAGGCCAAGGTGGGAGGATAACTTGGGTCCCAGAATTCAGGACCACCCTGGGCAACATATTGAGACTCTATCTCTACAAATAATACAAAAATTAGCCAGGCTTGATGGTGAGTGCCTGAAGTTCCAGCTACTTAGGAGCCCGAGGTGGGAGGACCACTTGAGACCAGGAGATTGAGGCTGCAGTGATATGCCAGTGTACTCCAGCCTGGGCAACAGTGAGACCCTGTCAAGAAAGGAGGGGAGGGGAGGGGAGGTGAGCCAGGAGTTCAAGACCAACCTGGGTAACATAGAGAAACCCCGTCTCTACAAAAAAATTTAAAATGTAGGTGGGAGTAGCGGTTCATGCCTATAGTCTTGCTACTGAAGAGACTGAGGCGGGAGGATTGCTTGAGCCCAGGAATTCAAGGCTGCAGTGAGCTATGACCGAGCCAGGGCACTCTAGCCTGGGCAACAGAGCAATACCCTGTCTCAAAAAAATAAAATTTAAAAAGCAATCATATAGGTCCTCTTCCTTTGTTGCACATTATGCTTATAAGCATCATCCATCTTCTGTGAGAAGATGTAATATTTGCTCTTTCATTCCTGTGTAGTATTCCATTGGCTGAAACAGCATAATTTAGGTGTCCATTCTACTTCAGATGGACATTGGGTGTGAGCTATTTCCAGCTTGGTAATGACATATATATGTGGTGTTGCTATGAACATTCATGTCTTGAGAAAACTGCAGTTATTTTTTGCGGGGGTAGAGAAGGTGTGCGTGTGTGATTAAAAACAAAAACAACAGGCCAGGCGCGGTGGCTCATGCCTGTAATCCCAGCACTTTGGGAGGCCGAGGCGGGTGGATCACAAGGTCAGGCGATCGAGACCATCCTGGCTAACACGGTGAAACCCCCTCTCTACTAAAAATGCAAAAAAATTAGCCGGGCGTGGTGGCGGGCGCCTGTAGTCCCAGCTACTCGGGAGGCTGAGGCAGGAGAATGGCGTGAACCCCGGAGGCGGAGCTTGCAGTGAGCGGAGATCGCACCACTGCACTCCAGCCTGGGCAACAGAGCTAAACTCCATCTCAAAAACAAACAAACAAAAAAAAAAAAACAAAAAAAACGTGGCCAGTCATGGTGGCTCACACCTGTAATCCTAGCACTTTGGGAGGCTGAAGTGGGCAGATCACTTAAGGTCAGGAGTTTGAGACCAGCCTTACCAACGTGGTGAAACCCCGTCTCTAGTAAAATATGAAAATCAGCCAGGCTTGGTGGCTTGCGCCTGTGGTCCCAGCTACTTAGGAGGCAGAGGCTCGAAAATCCCTTGAATCTGGGAGGCAGAGGTTGCAGTGAGCCAAGATTGCATCACTGTACTCTCACCTGGGAGACAGAGCGAGACTCTGACTCAAAACAAAACAAAACACAAATTCGTTTTATTTATTTTGTATATTTTACAATATAAAATATATTATACATTATAAGCAATAACTCCCACTCCTCCACCCCCAACCCCTGGAACTCCTAATCTACTTTCTGTCTCTATGAATTTGACTACTCTAGTTACCTCATATAAGTGGAATCATACAATATTTGTCCTTTTGTGACTGGCTTCTTTCACTTAGCCTAATGTCCTCAAGGTTCATCCATGTCACAGCATGTGACAGAATTATTTATTTATTTATTTATTTATTTTGAGACAGAGTCTCGATCTGTTGCCCAGGCTGGAGAGCAGTGGTGTAATCTCAGCTCACTGCAACCTCCGCCTCCCGGGTTCAAGCGATTCTCCTGCCTTAGCTTCTCGAGTAGTTGGGATTACAGGTGTGCACCACCGCACCCAGCCAATTTTTGTATTTTTAGTAAAGACGGGGTTTCACCATGTTGGCCAGGCTGGTCTCGAACTCCTGACCTCAGTGATACCTGCCTCAGCCTCCCAAAGTGCTGGGATTACAGGTGTGAACCACCGCGTTCAGCCACATTTACATTAAAAAAATAATAAATGCTAGTGGGCTTTTTGTCTGTTTGTTTGTTCAGACAGAGTCTCACTCTGTCACCCTGGGTAGAGTGCAATGGCACGATCTCAGCTCATTGCAACCTCCACCTCCCAGGTTCAAGCGATTCTCCTGCCTCAGCCTCCTGAGTAGTTGGGATTACAGGCGCCCACCACCACGCCCAGGTAATTTTTGTATTTTTAGTAGAGACAAGGTTTTGCCATGTTGGTCAGGCTGGTCTCCAACTCCTGACCTCAAGTGATCCGCCCGCTTCAGCCTCCCAAAGTACTGGGATTACAGGCGTGAGCCACCAAGCCCAGCCTAATAAATGCTAGTTTAAATGTATAAAAGTAAAGTTAAAAATATAATTTTTACGCAGCCATAAAAAATGATGAGTTCGTGTCCTTTGTAGGGACATGGATGAAACTGGAAACCATCATTCTCAGCAAACTATCGCAAGGACAAAAAACCAAACACCGCATGTTCTCACTCATAGGTGGGAAGTGAACAATGAGACCACATGGACACAGGAAAGGGAACATCACACACCGGGGACTGTTGTGGGGTGGGGGGAGGGGGGAGGGATAGCATTAGGAGATATACCTAATGCTAAATGACGAGTTAATGGGTGCAGCACACCAACATGGCACATGTATACATATGTAACAAACCTGCACGTTGTGCACAAGTACCCTAAAACTTAAAGTATAATAATAATAAAATAAAATAAAATAAACTTTTTGAAGGCAAAAAAAAAAAAAAAAGAATAGCATGGGGGAAACCACCCCCGTGATCCAACCACCTCCCTTCCCCGACATGTGGGGATTACAGGTCCCTCCCTGGACACATGGGGATTATAATTCAGGATGAGATTTGGTTGGGGACACAGAGCCAAACCATATCAGTGGCCCTGCCACAGCCTCTTATTTTTGATTTTTCAATGTGTTCATTCAACATGATTTCAGATTATTCATTGGAGGGCTACTGTGTGCACAGAAGACACATGGATGAATAAAACAGTATGGTTTCTGATATGCAAAAAACAAAAATACAATTTTTACCCAAAGAACACTGAACACTTAGAAAAAAATACACAAATATATATTTGTAGCCAGGTGAGCGTATATATATATGTATATGTGTGTGTGTGTGTATGCATGTATGTATTTATTTTTATTTATTAATTTTTTAGACGGAGTTTCGCTCTTGTTACCCAGGCTGGAATGCAATGGCACGATCTCGGCCCACCCCAACCTCCGCCTCCCGGGTTCAAGCGATTCTCCTGCCTCAGCCTCCCGCGGAGCTGGGACTACAGGCATGCGCCACCATGCCCGGCTAATTTTGTATTTTTAGTAGAGACGGGGTTTCTCCTCTCCTCCCGGAAGGCGGAGGTTACAGTGACCCGAGATCACGCCGTTACCCTCCAGCCTGGGCGACAGAGCGAGACTCTGTCTCGAAAAAAAAAAAAAAAAAAGACTGGTCTCGAACTCGCGACCTCAGGTGATCCGCCCGCCTCGGCCTCCCAAAGTGCTGAGATTACAGGCGTGAGCCACCGCGCCCGACAAAAATATGTATTTTTAAGTGTCAGTGTGCAGAAAGGAGAAGAAAAAAAGTGAAAATTAAAAATGACTTTAATCAGTAACTGCTTAACTAAAATTTAAAGTTATACTTGGAAACGTATAAAACCCATACTATCCCCTTCGCCGCCCTCCCCCGAACTGAGGCAGCAGGGACACCCCTCGCCCTGCCCTGGCCCACACCGGGCCTCGCGCTCAGGCACCGGGCATGGACAGCCCGGCGGGCCTGTGAGGACCCCGCACAGCCAAGATGGCGGCGTCCGTGCGACAGGCACGCAGCCTACTAGGTGTGGCGGCGACCCTGGCCCCGGGTTCCCGTGGCTACCGGGCGCGGCCGCCCCCGCGCCGCAGGCCGGGACCCCGGTGGCCAGACCCCGAGGACCTCCTGACCCCGCGGTGGCAGCTGGGACCGCGCTACGCGGCTAAGCAGTTCGCGCGTTACGGCGCCGCCTCCGGGGTGGTCCCCGGTTCGTTATGGCCGTCGCCGGAGCAGCTGCGGGAGCTGGAGGCCGAAGAACGCGAATGGTACCCGAGCCTGGCGACCATGCAGGAGTCGCTGCGGGTGAAGCAGCTGGCCGAAGAGCAGAAGCGTCGGGAGAGGTGCGTGCGTGCAGGCAGACGCGGGGCTGCCCTCTGTGCCCCGTGGGCGAACTGGGCCCCAAACCGTGCCTACCCCTTCGGGGTCACGTCGCAGCATCTGCATGTTGTAGATTTATGTATACGCTCACCTGGCCGCAAAACAAACTCAGAATAACGTCCATTTAGTCATTCATCAGCAAGTTTTGTTTGTTTGTTTGTTTGTTTTTTGGAGACAAGAGTCTCGCTCTGTTGCCCAGGCTGGAGTGCAGTCGCAAGATCTTGGCTCACTGCAACCTCCGCCTCCCCGGTTCAAGCGATTCTCCCGCCTTAGCCTCCGGTGTAGCTGGGATTACAGGCGTGCACCACCACGCCCGGCAAATTTTTGTAGTTTTAGTAGAGACGGGGTTCCACCATGTTGGCCAGGCTGGTCTCAAACTCCTTACTTCAAGTGATCCACCTGCCTCAGCCTCCCAAAGTGCCGGGATTACAGGTGTGAGCCATCACGTCCGGCCATCACCACCAAGTCTTTACTGAGCGCATACCGTGTGCAAGACCCTGTCCCAGGCCGGGGGCGGTGGCTCGTGCCTGTAATCCCAGTTATTTGGGAGGCCGAGGCAGGCCCCAAAAGGGCCCTTAATATCAGATGGCGACAGCTGACAGGCAAGATAATACCAATGGTGACAGCCGACTAGTAGGAAGGTAAAAGAGTGAAGAGTGTGTGCCTGAGGGCAGCTTTGGTTTGGGAAGCCTCAGGCCTCTCTGAGGAGGTGATGTTTAAGCAAAGACCTGAATAACCAGACTTAGCTATGGGGCGATCTCTTGGGTAGAAAGTTTCTGGTAAAGGGAACAGCTGGGGCAAATGCCCTGAGATACGATATGCCTTAAAGAACAGCCAGGAAGCCAGTGTGGCTGGGGAAAAGGTGAGGGCAGGAAGGTGATGGGTCCTGGAACCAAGAGGGCAGAGGTCAGATACAGAGGCAGGTCTGAAGGACCAGGGGCATCTTTTTGTTGTTGTTGTTGTTGTTGTTTTGAGGCAGAGTTTTGCTCTTGTTGCCCAGGCTGGAGTGCAATCTCAGCTCACTGCAACCTCTGCCTCCCAGGATCAAGAGATTCTCCTGCTTCAGCCTCCCGAGTAGCTGGGATTACAAGCGCCCACCACCACACCCGGCTCATTTTTTGTATTTTTAGTAGAGATGGGGTTTCGCCATATTGGCCAGGCTGGTCTCAAACTCCTGACCTCAGGTGATCCATCTGCCTCGGCCTCCCAAAGTGCTAGGATTACAGGCGTGAGCCACCGCGTCGGGCCAGACCAGGGGCATCTCTTATAGATAATGCCACATCCTGGAGCGTGAAGGGGGTAGGTCAAGTGTGTTCCTGGTGTTTAATCTTCTTGTTTTCCTAATAGCCTTAAGAGGAAGAAGGGATTGCCCTAATTTTAGAGATGAGGAAACTGAGGCTTGGTGAAGTGAAGTCATGCGTCTGATCACCCAGGCAGGGAATCATGGAGCAGGGACTCCTGTTTCTGCCCCTCCTCAGCCAGATGACCATTATAGGGCTTAATTCTTTTACTTTTCTAATCCTTAAATGAGGCTGTCATAAAAAAGAACGAGATCATGTCCTTTGCAGGGACACGACGGGAGCTGGAGGCTATCATCCCTAGCAAACTAACACAGGAACAGAAAACCAAATACAACGTGTTCTCACTTGTAAGTGGGAGCTAAATGATGAGAACACATGGACACACAGGGGAGCAACACACACTAGGGCTTTTTGGAGGGTGGAGGGAGAGGATCAGGAAAAATGACCTCTAGGTACTAGGTTTAATACCTGAGTGATGAAATAAATCTGTACAAAAAAACCCCATGACACAAGTTTACCTACGTAACAAACCTGCACTTGTACCCCTGAACTTAAAAGAAAAAAATGGGGCTGTGACTGGTAGCTACAAACTCAAGGATTGGTGGGAAATGTCTTTCTTGCTTTCACTCCTGTGCCTAGAATTGGGCCTGGCCTCTGTACAGGAAGTGCTCAGCAATGTCTATGAAATAAAGGTGTGAAATTATCCATGGGAGTGGCACTTGGCTTGCTCAGTAGGCAGCTCAGTGAAATGCTGATTTGGCTTTGGCACCTGGGGTTTACTGGGGCTTGACATGCCCTTGTGATCAAATTCATGCACAGGTAACTTTCTCATCATCTCTTCCTGTTTCTTCACTTGTCAAGGGCTTTTCCTGACAGTTAATCTACTGGGGGAGTTGAGGAGGCAGGCTCGTGGGCAAAGGCCTATGGGTGAGATATGGGTGGGTGGGCTCTGCCCTGGCTGAGTGCCAGTGTCACAGCCCACTCTCCCTCCCCTGCAGGGAGCAGCACATCGCAGAGTGCATGGCCAAGATGCCACAGATGATTGTGAACTGGCAGCAGCAGCAGCGGGAGAACTGGGAGAAGGCCCAGGCTGACAAGGAGAGGAGGGCCCGACTGCAGGCTGAGGCCCAGGAGCTCCTGGGCTACCAGGTGGACCCAAGGAGTGCCCGCTTCCAGGAGCTGCTCCAGGACCTAGAGAAGAAGGAGCGCAAGCGCCTCAAGGAGGAAAAACAGAAACGGAAGAAGGAGGCGCGAGCTGCTGCATTGGCTGCAGCTGTGGCTCAAGACCCAGCAGCCTCTGGGGCACCCAGCTCCTGAGGCTTTGTCCCTTCCCAATAAAGCCTGCTACCTGGCAGTACCCCTGAAGAGATCTGCGTCCTCTCAAGGTGTGCCTCTCTGGGTCCCCTGGTTCCTCCCCCAATACTTAAGAGCTGGGGAATCCCCCACTTGGCTGTACTCAAAAGGGGACAGGGACTCTAGGCCCTGCTGACTAACTGGGGCTTCAGTGGGAGGAAAAGGGGGGTGTACAATGGGCAAATAATGGAGAAGCAGATGGCAGAAGAGAAGAAGGCTTCTGTTTACCAACATTCATCTCCAGTAATTAGCCAATTACAAGGCTGGTGGGGGGGGAAGTATAGCCAAAACAGACTGTGGTGATGATGGTGGGGGCCGGGGAGAAGCAGTCCTTGTAACGTTGGGCTGGGGTCCACTGCCTGGAAATGACACACTGGGGGAGGAGACACCGGAAGCCTCAATCTGCAGGGACTCACAGACTCCTCTCCCCCTTCCAGGCACCCGTCACCATGCCTGCCTGTGCCCAGCCAGCCCCCCAAGACCCAGACAGGTGGGCGCGGGGAGCCCCAGCAGGCACAGACCATAGGGCTAGTTTTTAAAACTTTATTCACTTCAAAACCTTTATCAGAGACACGGTTCTGTTCTGGGGTGGGGGTGGCCTTGACAATGAGCTGATGTTAGCCCTTCTCCAGGCTGGAGGCCAAGGCCAGACTGGGGAGGGGGCCTTGGGCCTTTCAGGACTTGCCCTAGATGGAAAGATTTGGGCCACTCCAATGGAGGATCAAAGTTGGGGCTCCAGCTTCCCCTCATCCTAGAAGAGGATGGGGGGGGGTCCTCAGGGGTTTTTCGGAGGATGGAGAGGCAAGCAGCCGCCTTTCCGTCTGGCTGCAGAGAGCTGGGACAGAGGCCAAGAGGGGCCCATCTGTCGCCTCCCAGTCCTGCCAGCTTCTCTGAGCAGGCTGGGCTGGGGAGGAGGACGGGGGGACAGCTGTCTGGCCCGGGAGATGGGAACAGGGGCCACTTTAGGAGGACAGGAAGCTGGACTGTTTGCTTGTTTTTTTAAGATTTTTGATTTTTTTTTCCATTTCTTAAATAAACATGAATATATATATATTTTTTCTTTTATAAAACTTTCATGGAATAAGGGTAGGGTGGGGGCTTCGGTGGCCTGGCTTCCTGGCATCACTCGTCATCAAAGTTCTGACTCAGGAGGAAGTTGGCAGCCAAGTTCTCATTTTTTTCACACGCGAAATAGGCCTGGATGACCAGGCTCTCTGGGAAGCCCAGGGCCTTCAACTGTGGGAAGATAGGTTAAGTGTGAGCAGGAGAGGGTAGGGGTCCTGCCCACCTGCAGTCACCCCTCAGCCAGGCCTCTTACCCTCTCTATAGCTTCTTTCTCCTGCGGCGTCACCTGGATGTAGTTCATCTGCGGGGCCTCCTCTCCTATGGCGCCCACCTCCCCCTCCACATCTGAGATGTCCGCCAGCTCCCCAGGGGGCTCGTTCAGCATCTGGATGAACTGCTCCTGGTGCCGGCTGATTTGCTGCAGGAGAGGGTGGGGAAGGGAAGGTAATTCACAGCCCTGGTCCCCTCCTCTCCCCAGGTCATCACAGCCCTTGCTTTTTCATTCAGTCAGGCAAATATCCAGAGGAGCCTGTTCTGGCCAAACACAACATAGCAGTCGACACAAGCCCTACCCTGGAAGAGCTGATGATGTGCTTTTAAGTGAGCCAAGAAATAAGCCGGGCACGGTGGCTCACACCTGTAATCCCAGCACTTTGGGAGGCAGAGGCAGGTGGATCACTTGAGGTCAGGAGTTCGAGTCCAGCCTGGCCAACATGGTGAACCCCCATCTCTACTAAGAATACAAAAAGTAGCCAGGTGTGGTGGCAGACGCCTGTAATCCCAGCTACTTGGCAGGCTGAGGCATAAGACTGAACCCAGGAGGCGGAGGCTGCAGTAAGCCACTGAACTCCAGCCTGGGCAACAGAGCAAGACCCTGTCTTGAATAAATAAATACATAAATAGGCTGGCTGCAGTGGTTCACACCTATAATCACTTCAGGTGATTCTAGACCAGCCTGGAGTTCGAGACCAGCCTGGCCAATATGGTGAAACTCCGTCTCTACTAAAATACAAAAATTAGCTGGGTGTGATGGCACGTGCCTGTAATCCCATCTACTCAAGAAGGCTAAGGTAGGAGAATCACTTGAACACAGGAGGCAGAGGTTGCAGGGAGCCGAGACTGTGCCACTGCACTCCAGCCTGGGCAAGAGACTCTCAAAAAATAAGTGAGTGAGCCAATAAATGAACCAGACAACTGCAAGTGTCTGGCTAGGAAGGAACTGCAGATGAGGGCTGGTGGAGAGGCCTGCAGTATGGCGGATGCAGAGGGTTTCCTCCAGGTAAAGCAAACAGCAAGTGCAAAGGCCCAGGGTGGATGCATCTGGGAAGTCTCAGAAACAGAAGCAGGAACAGAGTGAATGGGGCTGGGCACGGTGCCTCATGCCTGCAATCCCAGTACTTTGGGAGGCTGAGGCAGGCAGATCACTTGAGGTCAGGAGTTTGAGAGCAGCCTGACCAACATGGAGAAATCCCATCTCTACTAAAAATATAAAATTAGCAGGGCGTGGTGGCACATGCCTGTAATCCCAGCTACTCTGGGGGCTGAGGCAGGAGAATCTCTTGAACCCAGGAGGCGGAGGTTACGGTGAGCTGAGATCACGCCACTGCACTCCAGCCTGGGCAACAAGAGCGAAACTCCATCTCAAAAACAAACAAACAACAACAACAAAAAAAACAAAAAACAGCGAACAAGGGAAGGGGGAGGAGGCAGACAATGACACCAGAGAGGAAGGCCCAAGTCAGACCCATTTTCTAGAGCAGGGGGAAGCCACGGTGGTGACAGTTACATGGGAAAAGACGTGGTCTGTGGATCTTTTAGAAAGGTGAACTTGGCCGGGTGTGGTGGCTCACGCCTGTAACCTCAACAATTTGGGAGGCAAGGCAGGAGGGACTGCTTGGGCCCAAGAGTTCAAAACCAGCCTGGGCAACATAGACCCTGTCTCTATTCCCACCTACCAGCCCCCAAACCAAAAAAAGTGAACTCATCTGGGTGTTGGATTTAGGTATCTGGAAGTTCATTTGTTCATTTTTGTTTCTGTTCTTTTTGAGACACTCTCACTCTGTCACCCAGGCTGGAGTGCAGTGGGGCAATCTCGGTTCACTGTAATTTCTGCCTCCTGGGTTCAAGCGATTCTCCTGCCTCCACCTCCTGAGTAGCTGGGACTACAGTGGCCTGCCGCCATGCTCAGCTACTTTTTGTATTTATAGTAGAGACGAGTTTTTGCCATGTTGGCCAGGCTGGTCTAAAACTCCTGACCAAGTGGTCTGCCTGCCTTAGCCTCCCAAAGTGCTGGGATTACAGGCATGAGCCACTGTGCCCTACCTGGGTATCTGGAAGCTCTGATATAACTCTACCATTGTATGCATCTGATCATTTTCACATTAAAGAAGAAAGTGCTTTTCAGTCAGCCAGGTGTGATGGCTCATGCCTGTAATTGCAGCACTTTGGGAGGCCAAGGCGGGCAGATCATTAGGTCAGGAGATTGAGACCATCCTGGCTAACAGGGTGAAATCCCATCTCTACTAAAAATACAAAAAATTAGTCAGGCGTGGTGGCGGGCGCCTGTAGTCCCAGCTACTCGGGCGGGGGCAAAAGAATCGCTTGAACCCGGGAGGCGGAGGTTGCAGTGAGCCGGGATTGCGCCATTGCACTCCAGCCTGGGCGACAGAGCGAGATTTCCTCTCAAAAAAAAAAAGAAAAGAAAGTGCTTTTTAGTCATCTGCCTCATGGTTGAAAAGTGGACTGTGGGACTATGCAGTGGCAGAGGCCCAGGAAGAGGCTACCAGAGAGCTGGAGTGCAGGGAGGGGCTGAGTGGGAAGAGCAGACAGGACAAGGGGTAGACCCCAGCAGATCCCCAGGGCCTGGGGCTGAAGCAACCCCAAGCTAATCCTTGCAGAGATCGGGGAGGACTGGGGAGGTCTGTTCTAAGTCTTAGACGTCTAGTCTAGGGAGCACTTTGATGGAGAGTTAATTAAGCCAGCCATGGAGTGTGGCATTCAGAGAGGCCTGGGCTGGCTACATAGATTTGGGGGTTCCCATACAGACTGAAGGCCCCAGGACACTATGAGGGAGGGCTGAGTGCAGATGAAGAACACGACCGACCAGGAGGAGCTGGCAAGGGACTGAGAAGTGAGAGGAGAAGGGTCAGACAGCAGGGTCCTGAGCCAAGACCGGTAGGCACTTCACCGAGAACCCAGAGGAACCTACTTGCACCCAGGGGGCCACTCCCCCACTCTTCCTGTGAACCTTCAAGGGCAAGATGGAGCCTCACTGAGCAGAGTTGTCCCAGAGCCAACTGGGGCACAGCTGTCCTGGGTGACGTCATGCCACCTTACAGACATTTACGCAGCACCATCTGTATGTGAAGCCAGAGCCCCAGCCCAGGACCCCACCCCGAGGCAGGAGGCAGACACACACACTACCAGCTGCGTGACCCTGGGAATGACAGGCTGCTCTAAGTTTCCGGTGTCTTCTTCTGTGGGAGGTGATGTTGACAGCACCCACACCTTACAAGGTGGTTGGGAAGACTGAGAAACCAGGGGGGTCACCAGGTCACAGGAAGCACAGGGGCGTGGGGGAAGCATGTGCTTAGTCCTGCTTTCCGGACCTAGAACGATTCCTACGTGTTATGGACTCTGGTGCCCACAGGGAAGGGAAATGGTGGCTGCCCTAGCTCCCTCTGCCCTTGGGACCACACCTGTAAAAGCTGAGGGTTCTCCTGGCCCAGCTGCTGGAGCAGGGCGGGCAGCAGCGCAGGGTTCTGCTGAATCACCTGCCGCATGTTCTGGAACTGGGGCTGGTCCCGCAGGAACTCCAGGGGGTTCTCTCCTGCTGGTAGTAGGAAGGGGTGCAGTCAGACACCACGCCGGGCTCCTAGGAGCACTGCGGGGTGGAGTGTAATGTGAGTCAGGTACCTGGAGGGCAGATGCGGCATGTGCACACCCACCTGCTTCCGTGGCCGGCTGCTCCGATACCTGGCTCTCCTGGACAGAACCGTGTTCCGGCTCGGGGCTCCCAGGAATTCCCTGTCAGGGGTCCTGTTTAGTTCTAATGCACAGACCTCCTGCTGCCACCCTCCTCCATGCCCTGGCAGGACACAGATGAGGCCTCGGCCCTGCCCTCCAGAGGCCCACCCATCACTCACATCCAGCCTCCTGTGGGAAGCCTTTAGTGGCTAGAATCACTACCCAAAGGCTTTTCAGGGCAGGTTTTGCCTTCCCAACCGCCCATCAGGGCAGTGACGCCCGGGTACTCCCTCAAGGCCTCCCCGGGAGGCGGAAGCCCCACCTCACCGTGAGCAGATACTCCACGGCTCGGTGGGGGTTGTTGTAGCTGGCTCTCAGGGCGGCCACGACCCGCTCTCGCTCATAGCCCATGGACATGATCTCCGTCAGCATCGTCTCATACTCAGAGCCCGTCACTGTGGAGGAAGCAGCAAAGCCTAGGTCACCAGGAAGAGGAAAGGGCAGCTCCCAGGCCCTCCCGCACCCAGACAAGGCCCAGCTGATGGCTGGGGCACCCAGTCACCTCTGCCCTGGGGACCACCCACCCACCTAGCGTGGAGGCCGCGTCTTCCTCTCGCCCGCTGCTACCTGAAGAGGGAACAGAGCTGCAAATTCAAGAGAGAGAAATCGGACCCTGGCTTCTGGCGGCTTGCCCTCCCTCCAGGTGTGTGGGACCACTTATGTGGACGCTGGAATGTGCTAGGAGGACAGGGCCCAAGCTGGGACTGCTGCCCCCGCCTTACCCTGACACAGACTCTGGGGACGTCGTGGGGGCGGATTCCTCTGATGGGCTCTTGTCCTCTCTGGCGGCAGGTGGGGGATGGGACATGCCTGAGGTGGGGGCAGGCGGGAAGGATGTAGAGGACTCTGGGGCAGCTGTGGGTGAGGCCTCTGGGGGTGCTGAGGTACCCTGGCCGGCTTTGGTCTGCAACAGCAAGAAAAAGGGAGCTGGCATCAGCAACCCTATCAGACCCAACAACCCGCTCCGCTGTGGCCCCGCCCTGTTCACAGCTAATCTCTCCTGGGCACACAGGCTCTTTGCCAGCTCCCCAGCTCGTCCACCCACCCTCCCAGCCAGCACACGTCACCCACCTTGGTCACCATGACGACCACAAAGTTCTTCTCATCGATGCGATAGTCCCTGATAGGGACATCGTCACTCAAGATCTTGCCGGCATAGATGAGTTTCTGTCCAGCCACGGGGAAGGCATCACGACCCTTCTCAGCTTCTATCTTCTCCTTTAGCACCTTCACCTAGAGGGAGTGGTACAGACAGTCACTGGAGACCCCAAGATTCTCTTTTCCCTTCTAGTTTAGGACAGAGAAACTGCCAGCCCTGATGGCAGAAAGGCAAGCACGCTGGGTTTTTTAAGCTTTCTCAGCATCTAAAGCATGCTAGATTTGAATTCATTCAATCATCATGCCATTCAACACAGTATTTACTTATACTAAACACCCATTATGTGCCAGGTGCTGTTTTAGACACAGAGGCCACAGCACAGAACAAACTCAACACAAGTAAGTCCCTGCTCTCAATGAGAGAACACTAATGTGAAGAAAATGTAATTTCGGGTAGTATAAAGTATAATTAACAGAATAAAGGGGACAGTCCCCCACTCTACACTCTACCTTGGACAATAAGTGACTAATAGTTAATAGTGATATTTTTTAATTTTAAGAGGCAGGATCTCGCTGCCGCCCATGCTGGATTGATGTGGCACGATCATCGCTGACTGCAGCCTCAAACTCCTGGGCTCAACTGGTACTCTTGTCCAGCCTTGGGAGTAGCTAGGACTAAAGGTACACACCACCACTCCAGACTAATTAAAAATAATTTTTTTTTGTAGATAAGAGTCTCCCTATGTTAGACTGGCTGGTCTCAAACTCCTGGCCTCAAGCAATCCTCCTGCCTCTGCCTCCCAAATCATCAGGATTAGAGGCATGAGCCACCGTGCCTGGCCAATAGTGCTACTGTAAATGTATATGTGTCATACCTTTTAAGTTTCCTATGAAATACGTTTAATTGGTCTCATTTTATTTATTGATTTTTGTTTCTTTTTTTTGTAGAGAACGGGGTCTCACTGTGTTGCCAGGATGATCTCGAATTCCTAGGCTCAAGGGCTCCTCTTCCCTCTGCCTCCCTAAGTGCTGGGATTACAGGCGGAAGCCAGCAGGCGACCGGTTCATTTGATATTTGAGAAAACGGAGGCACAGACAGGTAGGCAGGTTAACTTGCCCAAAGCCAAACACTTGAGCGGATCAAAAAATGTGTGTTTCCTTTTCTACAAAAAGTGGACTTCAATGTCTCCCTCACTATGCAAAAAGCGCCAAGTACCCAATAGACATTCAGTATGTTTGAATTAGGTCCTAATTCTACTTTTGACTAAAAAGGCAGCATAATATTTATATCGTGGACGCTCACACGAGGCAGAACCGAATTTGAATCCCAGCTCTGCCATTACTTGTGTGTGACTGTGGCAAAGTTCCTCAATCCCTAGGTTTCCACATCTGTAAAATGATCAGAGGTCCCCAATGACAAGCCCGTTTTGCAGAGCGGTAAAACAACACTACAACACTCGGTGACTGATAAAAAGTAAACGGCCAACAAACACGGACCACCAAAATTATAAAGACTGAGACCCGTTTATTATCATTAACATCGTTGTTGTCGTCACTACTCAGTATCTCCTGGTCATTACTCCTAGATTCGACCACCAGTGTCCCAAGGAGACGCCTGCAAAGCTGGGAACGTGGAGCCCAGTCTTGGAGAGCTTGGCCTGCCCAGGAATCCGAGCTTGTGACTCCCGCGCCCCGCGAGAGCGCTGACATTGGAGCCGGGGCCTGGCCAGCGCCCCGGGGGTGGGGCCTCGCCCGGAGACCGGCGCAGGAGCGCCGCCCGATCGGCTGGGGGCTGGGCCAAAGACCATCGGGGGGTCCAGGAAAGTCGGGCAGGTCGGGGGTCTGGGCAGGGCCGACCCGCGCCGTCCTCCCTGCCCCTCCCGTTGGGATTCTAGCCTCCCCGCCCCCACCCCACCCCCGAAACCCGTCGCTCCCGCCCCCGGGCTCCGGCCCGGCCCGCACCGTCTCGTCAGGCTCCATGCGGATCTTGAAGGTCTGCTGCTGCAGCGTTTTGAGCGTGATGGTGACGGCCATGGCGGGGCCCGAGCGACGCGGCGGCCCCGGGATCCTCACACAACATGCAACTCACGCCGCCGCCATCTTAGCGCCCAGGCGCGCCGCGCCGCGCGCCGACCACTTCCGGGGCAGGCAATGCGCGCGCTGACCACCGGCGCACGTGACCTGCGCACTCCCTCCTTGGCCTTTGTGGGCATGCGCACGAGCGCGTTCTCGAGCGAGGCACGCGCAGACTAAACTCCGCGCTGTGGGCGGGGCTTCTTGCTCGGCCCGCACACGTGGTCTCCTGAGTGACGCCATGCCCGTTATCGGTGACGTCACGGGGCTGCAAAGTGACTCTGGTGTCCCCACTCTCACGCTCAAATGAATTTTTAACAAAGTTTTTATGTACCTGTACTGGTTACAGACATTTGTATTTCTTCTGTAAAAACCTCATTTTGCCTCTTCCAAATGAGAATTTTTTCTTTCAAACAGTCTCTGTCACCCAGGCTGGAGTGCAGTGGCGCGATCTCGGCTCACTGCAGCTTCCGCCTTCCGGGTTCATGCAATTCTCCTGCCTCAGCCTCCCGAGTAACTGGGATTACAGGCACCCCCCACCACGCCCGGATAATTTTTTGTATTGGGTTTCACCGTGTTGGCCAGGCTGGTCTCAAAACTCCTGACCTCAGGTGATCCACCCGCCTCGGCCTCCCAAAGTGCTGGGATTACAGGCGTGAACCACCGTACCCGGCCCCCAAATGAGTTTTATTCTGGTCTGGGTATCCTGGCAGGAACCCTTGTAGAGCAGTCAAAGTGAAAGTTACTCAAAACTAGAAATACCTGAAAGGCCACCAAGCACAGAAAAAAAACCTTAAGTTGGAAGCGGGGGCAAGGTGCCATTTTGTAGCCTCATTCATTCTTTAGGGATCTGGAGTTTTGGAATGAACCTACAATTTTCATTCTTGGGTCTCCGGGCAGGAGTACTTTGTTGTACTATACCTAATCTGACCCCAGAAGTATTTAAAGATGTTAACTTTCAAAGCCTCACTACATTAAATACAGAATTCTCCCTTGGATCTACCAGTCCTGGAGGCATCCCAGAGGGGTTGGGCTGAGCCACAGGACCCCAAAGGAATAGAAGCATGAAAAAGGCCAGTTTAAGGGGCAGGGTGAACCAGATTGAGCCACTGTACGCCAGCCTGGACAACAGAGCGAGAGTCTATCTTAAAAATAAATAAATAAGCAGAACCAAAACTTACCAGTTAGGTTCAAGGATTCAGTAAGTTAGTATGTGGAGTATTTACAGCAGCAACAGCCATTCCCCCGTTGGTTTTGAGGGTTATGGGGTAAATAAGGGTCCCTGGAATCTTGTGGAACACTCAGCAACCTCTCTAGCAATAGCTGAAAAAGGAGATATACTGGAAACCCCCCCCCCCCCCAAAAAGACCACTGCTGGGTTTCCTTAAGTCTGTCTTTCCCCAGAAGGAGACACAGGAGGGAGACACAAAATTTAATTTAATAGAAATTTTGTTTGTAGTTCTTACATTCTCAGTGTGAGCCAATCTGGGACCCACTGCCCCACCCAGAAGTGGCCCAGTCCTGGGGGCAGGGGAGAAAGGGAGGGGTGAAATGAGAAGAGCCCCGTTCTTCCTCAGTGCTGGGGGGTTGGAGACACCACCCCCTTCTGCTGCCCTCCTCTGGGCTCCAGGAAGGAGAGCAGATGAAATCTCAGGCCTGTGGCTTCTCCACACCACTGCCCCCCAGGTTGGAGGGGAGCTAAGAGATGAGAGAAGGGGACAGAGGCAAGAAAAGATGTTGATCAAGAAAGATGAGAACCAGGGGTGAGGGCTGAAGGAGAATCAAAGATAAAATACCAGTTTAAAAAAAAAAAAAAAAAAGGGCGGGGAGGGGGTGGGGGAGAGTGGAGGAGGGGAACAAAACCAAAATCCACCCCAAATCCGAACCAGCCTGGAAAAAAATGAAAGTTCTCGAGTCTCACAGAGACATTATTTGGCGCGGCCAGCTCTGCGGCAGGAGCGCTCAGGCCTCAGTCCAGCCCTGGAGGCAGGCCTCTCTACAGCTCGTCCTTGGCCTGGCCGGGGACATCTTCCTCCTCATCTTCCTCCTTGTCCTCCTCATCCTCCTCATCCTCATCTTTGTCCTCATCATCCTCCTTGTCCTCTGCCTCCTCCTCCTCTTTGCGTTTCTTGTCTTCTTCCTCCTCCTTAAGCCTCTGCTCCTCGTCCTGTTTGTCCTTCATTTGTTTCTCTGCTGCCTGCAGGCAGAGCACACACCTCAGGGCCTTGCCCCCTGCCAGCCCTGCCCGCCCCCGACATCAGGACCAGGACCAGGCCTCACCTTTGTTACGCCCCACGTCTCGTTGCCAAACTCCTCAGCGTATGCCTCATCGTTGGTGATGAGGAAGTTGTCAAAGATGGTGCCAGACTTGACCTGGAGGATGAATGGGAAGGATGGTCAGAGGTGATACCCGATAGCCCTTGCTTTGGACAGGGTTTCCACCTGTGTTCCTATAACCACTATATTCTGCTGCCTGCATCTGCAGAGAAGACAAGGAACACCGCTGACACTGCAGTTAAAAAGATGGAGAGGCCAGGTGAGGTGGATCACGCCTGTAATCCTCGCCCAGAGGCCAAGGTGGGCGGATCACGAGGTCAGGAGATCGAGACCACCCTGGCTAACACGGTGAAACCCCGTCTCTACTAAAAATACAAAAAATCAGCCAGGCGTGGTGGCAAGTGCCTGTAGTCCCAGCTATTTGGGAGGCTGAGACAGGAGAATGATGTGAACCCAGGAGGCGGAGCTTGCAGTGAGCCAAGATCGTGCCACTGCACTCCAGCCTGGGTGACAGAGTGAGACTCCATCTCCAAAAAAAAAAAAAAAAAAAAAAAAGATGGAAAGATGGAGAGACAGCCAGGGACGGGACGGGCTCATGCCTGTAATCCCAGCACTTTGGGAGGTCATGGCGAACGGATCACTTGAGGCCAGGAGTTCGAGACCAACCTGGGCAACATAGTGAAACTCTGTCTCTACTAAAAAAAATTAGCCCGGGGTCTGTGATGGCGCATCCCTGTAATCCCAGCTACTCAGGAGGCCGAGGCAGGAGAATCGCTTGAATCTGGGATGCAGAGGTTGTGGTGAGCCGCCGAGATTGCATCATTGCACTCCAGCCTGGGCAACAAGAGTGAAATTCCATCTCAAAAAAAAAAAAGCCCAGCGTCGTGGCGCATGCCTGTAATTCCAGCTGCTCGAGAGGATGAGGCATGAGAATCACTTGAACCTGGAAGGCAGAGGCTGCAGTGAGCCGAGATCAAGCCACTGCACTCCAACCTGGGTGACAGAGCAAGACTCTGTCTTAAAAAAAAAAAAAAAAAAAGATGGAGAGACTCAGGTGCTGTACTGCCCAGGTTCAAACCCCAGCTTTGTGGTTTCCTACCCCCATGACCTTGGGCCACTGACTTCAGTTCTCTGCACCTGTTTCTTGTTTCTCACTCTCTTATTCAGGTATTTTTCAGGTACCTACTACATGCCAGAACTGTCTTGGGCACAGAAGGTATTTCAGTGACCAAAACAGACAAAAATTCAGTCCCAGCATTTTTTTTTTTTTTTGGGACAGAGTCTCGCTATCACCCAGGCTGGAGTGCAATGGCATGATCTCAGCTCACTGCAAGCTCCGCCTCCCGGGTTCACGTCATCCTTTTGCCTCAGCCTCCCGAGTAGCTGGGACTACAGGCGCCCACCACCACACCTGGCAAATTTTTTGTATTTTTACTAGAGATGGGGTTTCATTCACCATGTTAGCCAGGATGGTCTCCATCTCCTGACCTTGTGATCCACCCGCCTTGGCCTCCCAAAGTGCTGGGATTACAGGTGTGAGCCACTGTGTCCGGCCAAGTCCCAACTTTTTTTGAGAGGGTCTCACTCTGTCACCGAGGCTGGAGTGCAGTGACATAATCATGGCTCACTGCAGCCTCGATGCCCCAGGCTCAAGTGATCATCCTTCTTCCTTGGTAGTTGGGACTACAGGTATGCATGACATCTCGCCAATTTTTAAAGTTTTTGTAGAGGCTAGGCATGGTGGCTAACCCTTGTAATCCCAGCACTTTGGGAGGCCGAGGCGGGCAGATGACCTGAGGCCAGGAGTTCGAGACCAACCTGGGCAACATGAAGCCCTGTCTCTACAAAAAGGCTGGGTGAGGTGGCTCACGCCTGTAATCCCAGCACTTTGGGAGGCCAAGGTGGGTGGTTCATGAGGTCAGGAGATGGAGACCATCCTGGCTAACACGGTGAAACCATGTCTGTACTAAAAAAAAAAATACAAAAAAATTAGCCAGGCATGGTGGGGGGTGCCTGTAGTCCCAGTTACTCGGGACCCTGAGGCAGAAGAATGGAGTGAACCTGGGGGGTCGTGCGGAGCTTGCAGTGAGCAGAGATCACACCACTGCACTCCAGCCTGGGCGACAGAGCAAGGCACGGTCTCAAAAAAAAAAAAAAAAAAAAAAATTAGCCTGGCATCCATAGTAGCACATGCCTGTAATCCCAGCTACTCCGGAGGCTGAGGCAGGAGAATCGCTTGAAACCAGGAGACGGAGGGCGCAGTGAGCTGAGATCGTGCCATTGCACTCCAGCCTCAGCAACAAGAGTGAAACTCTGTCTCAAAAAAAAAAATTTTTTTTGTAGAGATAGGGTCTCCTCGCTGTGTTGCCAAGCTAGGTTGAGTTGTGTAACTCCTGGCCTCAAGCAATCCTCTGTCTCAGCCTCCCAAAGTACCGTGATTGTAAGGGTGAGCCACTGTGCCCAGCCCCAGCTAACTAACTGGGTTACCTGACCACCTTCTAGGTCTTTGGGGGTAAAGAAGTTGATTTGCATAAAAGTACTTGGGGAAGTACTTGGTGCACAGCAAGTATAACCTTAAAGGGGTTGCTGTGAGGACTTCACAGGGACAGACCAGGAAGTACTGTTTACAAGAAGTACCATTTTTGAGTCAGACTCACCTGGGGTGCCTACCCTGTCCCTTTCCTCTTGGGTGATCTTATGCACTTGAGGTACCCCAGGGATCCTCCTTTTTCCTCCAAGTCTCACCTGCCAGAGGTCCAGGCCCAGCACGCCAAAGTTATCATAGGCATAGATACTGGGATCGGGAGAATACTCGGGGTTGTCAATTTCTGGGTGGATCCAAGTGCCCTTGTAATCTGGGTTGTCGATCTGCCGGGGCTTCCACTCACCCTGCAGAAGGGAGAAGGAAACCGAAGGGTGAGTAAGGTTGGTGCACTCCCCACTGTGAGCCCCAGCCCTGCTCAGAGCCCCAAACTCACCTTGTACTCAGGGTTCTGAATCACTGGGGGTTCCCACTCTCCGTCCATCTCTTCATCCCAGTCCTCGGGCTTCTTAGCATCAGGGTCAGGGATATGCTCGGGCTTGTCCCAGTCCTGGGGGGTAGATGAAGAGATCAGAGTTGGCCCAGATGTCTTCCACACCCTCCAATGTGGAGAGCAGAGCCCCTGCCCAAACACCAACCTCAGGCTTGGAGTCTGTGGGATCATCGATCTTGGCCCGCTCATCCCAGTCTTCCGGTTTTGAAGCATCAGGATCCTTTATCTTCTTGGGTGGCAGGAAGTCCCAATCGTCTTCCAAGGAGCCGGACTCCACCTGGCTGTTGTCAATCTTCACCTCATAGGTGTTGTCTGGCCGCACAATCAGTGTGTACAGGTGTGTAAACTCATCATCCTGAAGAAGGAAGAAGGTGAGCGGGGGCCACCCCCCAATGAGGCTGACCTCTGAATCTCCCCATGACAGCCATTTGCCACCACCCCCAGGCACACCTTGCAACGGATGTCCTTGTTGATCAGCACGTTCTTGCCCTTGTAGTTGAAGATGACATGAACCTTCTTGGTGCCAGGGCCACAGATGTCGGGACCTAGGTGTGAAGCAGATCCAGTTAAGAGTCAGAGACTACCCATCATCTCGAGGCTCTCACCCCTCTTTATAAAAGGAAGACCTGGTTCTTCAACTCGGGTCTGTCAAGGCTGAGAAGAGAAACTCAGACCCTGATTCTGTCCTGAATGGGCTGTGGGTGGAGCCTTAAGTTTAAAGGAGAAAAAAAAAAAATCAGTGCTCTAGAACTCAAAATCCTCATTAGTAAGATTGGGAAATAACTATATACAAACACGCAAATTAAATTAACAGCCTAGATCTGCGATCATAATGCAATAAATTGTTGCTGGGACTTATTCTTTTAGCTCCCCTTCCAAAAAAAATCATTATTAAGAAAGTCAATGGGGTCTGGGTCTCCCTCTAACTAATGGGACAGAGATCAGCACCAGGAAGCAGGCCCTCACCAAACATGATGTTGTATTCTGAGTCTCCGTGCATGTCTGTCTGGTCCAAACTATTAGGAAACAGCTTCACATAGCCGCCCCCACAGTCGATGTTCTGCTCATGTTTCACCGTGAACTGCACCACCAGCGTCTGGCCTTTGTTGCTGAAAGGCTCGAAACTGGCCGACAGAGCATAAAAGCGTGCATCCTGGCTTGTCTGCAAACCTGAGACGGGACGGTAGTGAGGTCACCGTTGGGCCTTGACTCGCGAGGACCCTCGACTTAGAGAATAGAGAAGACTCCCCCACTTCCTCCACCTGTCCTCCTCCAAGGGGACTGTCCCGGCTGTGTGTGTACAGACAAGGACTTCTGCCAGGAAGTCCTCCCGGATCTGAGCACCCACTCCTAGGCTCTTACCTTTATCTTTCTCCTCGTCACCGTAGAACTTGCCGGAACTGAGAACGAATTTGCCAAAATCTGACTTGTGTTTGGATTCGATCCAGCGGGAAGTCCACCCGTCTAAGTGGGGGATTAGAGGGGTAGGTCAGAGCGGCTGTGCTAATCCCCCCCCACACCAAACATCTGCCGAGAGCCACAAGCTGCTGGGGACAGGAAAGGAGATCCCCGACACTCCCCATTCCAACCTCTAGTTTGACACGTCGGGTGCCTTCAGAGATCCTCGGGCTAACCCTAACTCCCGCCGCGGGAGGCCGCTACGCCCTCCGCGCTCCCCAGGGACGCAGAAGAGAAATCGCCCGCGGCTCTAGTCCCGGGAGGCCACCGTGTTGGACCTCTAAACGGTAATTACGGGCGACAACGCAGATCCAGGATCGGGGGCCGGCCGCGTCGTCGGGGCGGCCTCGAGGCGGGACCAGGCGTTACCTCCGTCCAGAAACTGCTCCTTGAAGTAGACGGCAGGCTCGGCGACGGCCAGGCCGAGGAGGCCGAGCAGCAGCGGCACGGATAGCAGCATGGCGGGCCGAGGGGGCGGCAACGCGCGGGCCCTTTAAAACGACCCTCCGGCAGCGGCTCTGCAGTACGGACGGACGCCGCCGCCCGCCTTGCACTTTTATACCCACCCGCCTCTCAAACCAACCTGACCCAGCCCTTGGGCCCGCCCCTGCCACTTTGTCATTGGTCTATGCCCATGGCCGTCTTTTTCCATTGGACCTTCGTCGGTTCACTATGTTAGGCTGCGCCTCGGAACGCTGGGTTCCCAGATGGCCGATTTCTATTGGCCTCACCACCGACCAATGATGGTCGACCACGCGTGGGGGGGACGCCCACTGGTGGGGTGGGGGCCGCGAGCACCTCAGGCCAGGTCATGTGACCAGACCTGAACCCAACCCCGCCCTCGTCCGCGCGCGTCGTTGCCCATCTGGGCGTTTAAAGAAACCGCGGGAGCGCAGCTGTCTCCACGCGGGACCGGGACCCTGCCCTCAGCTTCTCTCCCTCCCATTCCCTCTAGGTGGAGGGGCTGGGCAAGGCTTTCTTAGCCAGCTCTTATCTTGCATTTGAGAACCAGCACCCCACTGCTGCTCCCCCACCCCTGCCTGGGATGGGAGAGAGCTCACGGATTGGGGCCCTTGGGGCTTCGCTGCACCCCGGTGCTACAGTCACGCGGGCCGGTGGGAAGAATGCCAGCCCTCTCCTCCTTCTGCCCCTAGAGCCCTGGCAGCCTATCGGACTGCTGCTGTGTGACCGGGGCAAGTCACTTAAGCTCTCTGAAGTGACAGACGTTCCTGAGCAGACAGAGGGGGCGACCCTGGCCAGATGCTACCCAGCAGAAATGCTTTTAACGTTTTTAAAGCTGTCCTGGGACAAGAGGGGAGGAAGGCTTAACGATGTGACTGTGACTTCTGGAGTGGGGATAGGGTTATTACCCAGATTGCAGCCGCCCCTTTACCCTCCTCTCAACCGGTAAATGAAGGGGGTCGCTGTCTGTGGTCTCCCACAAACGGCCTGGCTTTTGCAATTAAACGGCTATAGGCAGGCGAGAGGGCAGGGGGTTCCGTTTGGGGAGGGAAAAAAGACACAGATGGTAGGGACGATAAGATGCTAGGGAGATGGGCAGGACCCACCCCCCGACCCCAGTCTAGAGTCTTCTTCAGAAGCCAGAGGCACGTGACTGGCACCAGTACCCTGCCCCCACGCTGTAGAAAGGAGGAAGGAGAGCTGGGGGTTTTCCAAACTCTGGGCAAATAAGCCCTGGACCTGGGAGCGCGGGAGTGGACTATGGAAGGAGGGAATGAGGGGGATCCAGGAAAGAGGGTGGGGAGGGGGTGCTTCCTGGCTAATGGTTGTGACTCAGAAAAGAGAGGAAGGAAAAAATGAAAAGGAAAATAAAGTGGAGTGGGGGGAATGACTTGGCAAGGGTCTCTGGTTAAAAAAAAAAAAAAGAAATGGTGGCCGGGCGCAGTGGCTCACGCCTGTAAACCCAGCACTTGGGGAGGCCGAGGCGGGCAGATCATTTTAGGTCAGTTCGAGACCAGCCTGGCCAACAAGGTGAAAACCCATCTCCACTAAAAATAAAAATAAATAAATAAATAAAAATTAGCCAGGCGTGGTGGCGGGTGCCTCTAATCCCAGTACTCGGGAGGCTGAGGTGGGAGAATCGCTTGAACCTGGGAGCCAGAGATTGCAGTGAGCCAAGATCACGCCACTCCACTCCAGCCCACCAGCCCAGGTGACAGAGCAAGACTCCATCTCGAAAAAAAGACGGGGGAGAATGAACTGGGAAGTTGGGGTTCTACCACTTCCTCTAGGTAGTATTCAGTATTGCCTAGTCTGGTCCCCCCCATGAGGATCCCGGGGACCATCCCAGGCCTCTTGCTGACCCTTCCTCCTGTTCCTGTGTCAGGCACCTGTGGGCTTGGCGCTTCCTACTTGAGGTTAGACACTGCCTGTTTTGTTCACTTCGCATCCTCCAGTGTCACCTGCAGCACCTGGCACAGAACAGGCTTAAAAAGTACTTGCTGCATGATAGAAGAGAGGAAGGAAGGACTCTTGTGGAAATTAACTAAAAACACACGGGGCACAGTGGCTCACGCCTGTAATCCCAACACTTTGGCAGGCCAAGATGGGAGGAATGCTTAAGGCCAGGAGTTCAAGACCAGCCTGGGCAACATAGCAGGAGGCCATTTTTACAAAAACATTTTTTTTAATTGCCAGGCGTGGTGGCGCCTGCCTGTGTTCCCAGCTACTCAGAAGGCTGAGGCAGGAGGATCACTTGAGACCAGGAGGTTGACGCTGCCGTGAGCTGTGTTGTTGCCACTGCACACTCTAGCCTGGGTTACAGAGCAAGACCCTGTCTCAAAAATAAATAAAAATAAGCCGGACATGGTAGTTCACACTTATAATCCTAGCACCTTGGGAACCTGAGGCAGGCAGATTGTTTGAGCCCGGCAGTTCAAAACCAGCCTGGGCAACATGGTGGAACCTCATTCTTACAAAATATATATATGTACACATATGTAATATATTATATATGACATATAATGCATAAATATATGAATAGTATGTATATTATATATAGCATATAATATATAATATACATAACACAAATTAGCCTGGCCTGCTGGTACACACCTGTAGTCCCAACTACTCGGGAGGCTGAGGTGAGAGGATTGCTTGAGCCCAGGAGGTGGAGGCTGCAGTCAGCCAAGATCATGCCACTGCACTCCAGCCTGGGCAATAGAGTGAGACCCACTCCCTAAATAAATAAATAAATAATCAACATAAAATGGGAGGAGAGAAGGGACTTTGAGAAATGTATCCTTAATACAGAACCTCATATAGGGTCAGGATTTGGGGATATGAGTAATCCCATTTTACAGACTCAAATAATAATTGTGATGTAAAAGGAATAAATGTGTTCTGCTTATAAGAGTGTTCGAACATGGGCCACACTCAATTTAGTAAGCAGTGTGAATATGTGTGGGCATTTAATTCTCACAGTAACCTGGGCTCCAATCACCTCCATGTGAGCAAGAAACTGAGGCACAGAAAGACTACACCTTCTGGTTGAATGACATAAATAACAGATCTAGGATTCTTTTTTTTTTTTTTTTTTTTTTTTGAGACAGAGCCTTGCTCTGTCACCGAGGCTGGAGTGCAGTGGTGCGATCTCTGCTCACTGCAAGCTCCACCTACCAGGCTCAAGTGATTCTCCTGCCTCAGCTTCCCGTGTAGCTGGGATTACAGGCACCCCCACTGCACCCAGCTAATTTTTGTGTTTTTAGAGGAGATGGGGTTTCGCCATCTTGGCCAAGCTGGTCTTGAACTCCTGACCTCAGGTGATTCACCCGCCTCAGCCTCCCAAAGTGCTGGGATTACTGAGCCTGGCCAGCAGATCTAGGATTCTAATCTACCTGTGCTGACGTAAGTCACCACTGCCCACATGTGATTACTGACCATTTGAAATGTGGTTGGTCCGAACTGAGATGTGTTGTAAGTGTAAAATACGCATCAGATTTTGAAGATTTAGTATGAAAAAAAGTGCAATTTTTTTTTTTTTGAGACGGAGTTTCGCCTTGTCACCCAGGCTGGAGTGCAATGACACGATCTCGGCTCACCACAACCTCTGCCTCCCAGGTTCAAGCGACTCTCCTGCCTCAGCCTCCCAAGTAGCTGAGATTACAGGCATGCGCCACCACGCCCTGCTAATTTTGTATTTTTAGTAGAGACGGGGTTTCTCCATGTTGGTCAGGCTGGTCTCAAACTCCCGACCTCAGGTGATCCACCCGCCTCGGCCTCCCAAAGTGCTGGGATTACAGAGGTGAGCCACTGTGCCCGGCCGAGTGCAAAATATTTTATTAGTCATCTTTTTTTTTGTAAGAGTCAGGGTCTGGCTGGCTGGGCGAGGTGGGTCATGCCTCTAATGCCAGCATTTTGGGAGACCGATGCAGGAGGATAACCTGAGCCTAGGAGTTTGAGACCAGCCTGGGCAACATGGCCAAAACCCATACTTAAAAAAAAAAAAAAAGCTGGGTGTGGTGGCGCGCACCTGCAGTTCCAGCTACTCAGGAGCCTAAGGTTGGAGGATCCTTAGAGCCTGGGAAGTCAAGGCTGCAGTAAGCCATAATTGCACCACTGCACTCCAGCATGGGTGACAGAGCAAGACCCTGTCTCAAAAAAGAAAGATGTTTTGCACTGTGTTTCTATAGGACAGTGCTAATCTAGGCCATGCAGTATTTGCACTGACGTTACTCTCAGCGCACAGGGGTGGGAGGATCTGGAAGGTTTATAATTTATGACTTCATTTCCACCAACTCTCTGTAGAACCTTGGGCAAGTCATACCACCCTCTGAGCCTCAGTTTTCTCACATGTGTAATGCGGTTATATCAGTATCTACATCATAAAGTTTTGGGGATAAATGAAATACTACACGTGAAGTACTCAGTTCTGGGCTAAGTACTACCACATACGAGGTAGTCCACACAGGTTAGGTGCCACCTTGACTTACTAGGTGAATTCCTTTTCCCTCTATAAAAAGGGACGGTACCTACCCAGCCTTCCTTTGAAATTTTAAAAGTAGCTGACATCGCCAAAATGACCATCTCTGGAGCCCACCACCCACCGCCTCTCCTAGGGCAAGAGAGAATACCAGAAGGGCAGAGGGTTCTGTAACCCAGAGACGGGGAAGTCCAAGGTCACACAGCCCGCTCGAAGTGAGGCTAGATAAAACTCAAAACAGGGCGGTGCTTCTGACCTTGAGATAATCAATTTTACCCCTCTGGTCAACCAGACGCCATTGATGGAGCCAGGGTGGAGGTGGGAACTGAGTCCCATGCACCTTTTGCGGCTCCGTCGCCACACTCAAGATGACGACACATTGAGCCCTGTTCTACAGTTAGACACATTCAAGATGGCGGTACACACTCCGGTTCCGGTTCCGGTGGCTCAGCTCCCCCCGCCCACCCGGGCCCGGACACGCTGAGCACACTGGAAGGAGTCATGGCGGATGGTCAGGTGGCGGAACTGCTGCTCCGGCGGCTGGAGGCGTCTGATGGCGGCCTGGACAGCGCCGAGTTGGCGGCTGAGCTGGGCATGGAGCACCAGGCGGTGGTGGGCGCCGTGAAGAGCCTTCAGGCGCTGGGCGAGGTGAGCCGGGCCCGTGATGCCGGACCGCCTTGCCCTTGCACCTACAGTCCCCTTGCCACGGGCGCTCTACGTCCAAGCCAAATTCCCTCAGGCCTAGTTTGGGGTAGCTGTATATGTGTCCACTCCGGGATGTGCGGGCGGGAAGTGGGACGAGTGAGGGCCCAGACGCACGGATGTTCCTCATGCAATAAACGTTTATTGAGGCACGGTCAGCGTGGGTAGAGGGTACGATGATGGACGAGGAAGTCGCGGTTGCTGCCCTCACGCAGGTTGCGACGTAATAGGAAGGTGCTTCAAGAACCAGAGTGATGGGGGAAAACAGGGGACCCAGCTGTGACAGCTGACCCAGCCTTGGGGGTCAGGGAGAGCGGCCTGGTGCAGGTGACGGCTGAGTCTGTTCTCTGTTGAGGAAAGTGATAGCACTTTAGAGATCAGTGGCCGGGATCTTGGGGGATGGCAGGCGGCAAGGGAGACCAGCATAGCTGTAATTGCAAAGCCTCTTAGGTCTTTACCTCATGAGGGAACTGGGAAGCGATAGCAGGAGCTAGAGCCGGTCAGATGAGTGTGCTATCCACATCACCTTTGGGAAGAATTGGCATGGACAGGACTGGAGGTGAAGGGATGAAAGAAGAAGCTGGCACTTCCCCAAGCTGGAGGGCATGATGTCTGGCTATGGGAAGGAAGCTTGGGGGAGGTGGGGAAGGCGTGGGATTCAGGACAAGGCAGGGGGCGCACAGATGAAGTCCAGCCTTCTGACTTGGGCAAGTGGACAGTGACAGAGTCACAGGCGTAGGATGCTGAGGGGCCCGTGGGCCACCCAGAAGGCTAGATCCATGGGGCCAGGATCTGGGCTGTTTATCCGTAGAGCTCATGTTCTGTGCCCCACTTTGGTCTCAGCTTGTTTGTCCAATCCATTCCATAATCCTGGCTGATGGCCATGTTATTCCCATTTTGCAGATGTGACAACTGATGGTCAGTAACATAATCAGTGTGAATAGAAGAGGCCGATGAGCCCAGATTTGAAATTAGGCACTCAGGCTGCAGAGCCCATAGTCCTCAATGCAGAGGAGAGATGGCAGCTGTGTTGTGTGGGGTGACAGTGCCTTGACCAATATGATCTGACATTTGTATACGTCACAGAGGGTTAAATAATATAAGGAGGTGAGGTTCAATCTAATGACAGTAATAGCCATAAAAATAATTATAGTAATTAGAATTTATGCCGGGTGCAGTGGTCACACCTGTAATCCCAGCACTTTGGGAGACCAAGGCGGGTGGATCACGAGGTCAGGAGTTCAAGACCAGCCTGGCCAAGATGATGAAACCCTGTCTCTACTAAAAATACAAAAAAAAATTAGCCAGGCGTGTTGGTGGGCACCCGTAATCCCAGCTACTTGGGAGGCTGAGGCAGAGAATTGTTTGAATCGGGAGGTGGAGGTTGCAGTGAGCCGAGATCGCACTCCAGCCTGGGCGACAGAGCGAGACTCCGTCTCAAAAAAAAAAAAAAAAAAAATTTATGCAGTGTTTGTCACGTGGTAGGCACTATATATTCTTTCTGAGTATTAATTTAGCTACTCCTTAAAATCATCTGAGGTAGAACCCATCACACCTTTCTCTTATGGATGAGAAGAGTCACTGAGAGGTTAAGCAACTTTCCTGAGGTCACACAGTAAGTGAAGGGCAGAGTTGGGATTAGAATGAAGTGGGAGCCAGGCCCTGTGCACTCTACTTACCCTTGTTGTCCTTGTCTTCATGACTCTGGACCTGGAACCTCAGTTTTTGTTTGTAATGTGGACCTCCAGGGCCCGTCTCTGACATTCTGGGCACTGACATGTGAACATTTAAACATGGAGACAGGCTGGGTATGGTGGCTCATGCCCATTATGCCAGCACTTTGGGAGGCTGAGGAAGGAGAATCACTTGAGGCCAGGAGTTTGAGACCAGCCTGGACAACATAACAACACCCTGTCTTTAAAAAGTAATTTAAAGGGCCGGGCACGGCGGCTCACGCCTGTAATCCTAGCACTTTGGGAGGCGGAGTCGGCCGATTACGAGGTCAGGAGTTTGAGACCAGCCTGGCCAACATGGTGAAACCCCATCTCTACTAAAAATACAAAAATTAGCTGGGGGTGGTGGTGGGCACCTGTAATCCGAGCTACTCGGGAGGCTGAGGCAGGAGAATCATTTGAACCCGGGAGGCAGAGGTTGCAGTGAACCGAGATCGCACCATTGCACTCTAGCCTGAGCGACAGTGCAAGACTCCGTCTCAAAAAAAAAAAGTAATTTAAAAATTAACCAGGTGTGGCGGCACATGCCTGTAGTCCCAGCTACTCGGGACTGGCGGAAGGATCGCTTGAGCCCAGGAGGTCTAGGCTGCAGTGAGCTATGATCACACCACTGCACCCAGCCTAGTGACAGGGTGAGACCCCCTTTCAAAGAAAACAAAAACAAACAAAAAAATGTGGAGACATATCAGTTCACCTAATTTTTCACATTAAAATCTGTCACAGGTTCAAAACCGACAGAATTTGTCTTCTGCCAGGTAACATCTTTAGTGGTGTACTTTACCCTGGGAGGTGTAAACTATCATTATTACTACCCCTGTGTTACATAAGGGAAATGGAGACACAGCAAGGGGAAGTCTTTCCCTTGAGACCACTTGGCTGTAAAGTTGTATAGCTGGGATGTGAACCTAGCTTTAAGGGCTGTGCTTTCAACCTGGGACCCAGCGCTGCAGAAAGGGGGTGCCTGGCTCTGAGCCTCACCCCTGCCTGGACACCCTCCCCACATTTCCCTCTAGGTCATCGAGGCTGAACTTCGGTCCACCAAGCACTGGGAGCTTACTGCGGAGGGCGAGGAGATTGCCCGGGAGGGCAGCCATGAGGCCCGTGTGTTTCGAAGCATTCCCCCAGAGGGCCTGGCCCAGAGCGAGCTTATGGTAGGAGCTGCGGGGTGAATGGGGAGTGAGTGATGGGATGAAGGTGGCCCTCGTGCCCCACTCACTGCAGCCTCTCTTTTCCAGCGACTGCCCAGTGGCAAAGTGGGCTTCAGCAAGGCCATGTCCAACAAGTGGATTCGGGTGGACAAGAGTGCGGCTGACGGGCCCCGGGTGTTCCGAGTGGTGCGTTCCTGCGGGCTGGTCAGGGGGCAGGTGGACGGGCACATGGGCCCCTGGCCCTCATACCCCTCACACTCCTTATCCTGGCAGGTGGACAGCATGGAGGATGAGGTGCAGCGGCGGCTCCAGCTGGTCCGGGGGGGACAGGCTGAGAAGCTGGGGGAGAAGGAGAGGAGCGAGCTGAGGAAGAGGAAGCTGTTGGCTGAAGTGTGAGTGGGTGCCCCCTGCAGGCTCAGGCCCCCACCACCTGCGAAGCATGGTGGAGGCATGGTGGGAGGGAGACATCTTGCCCACACCAAGCACAGGTGTGGCCAGTTTCCTCCCAGCTCGCTTAATGCCATAGTTGTCAAGCCTACGTGCCTTGGGGTCTTTGCCCATGAGGACCCTTCTGCTGAGAACTGTTTTCCCTCTGATCTTCAAGATAGGCTCCTCATCAAGTCTCTCTCCTGTGTCCCCTTAAAGAGGCCACCCTGACAGCCCTCCTCTCCCCTTGAGTTCCATGAAGCCCATCGCCCCTAGTCTTCATCTTTGGTGCTTGTTCATTTCTTTCACTGTCCTTAGTGTGGTCCAAAGTTTAATGAACACACACCAGACAGGCCTCTGGAACCTAGATGGGCTAGGGGCCGTCCTCTCACAGGACAAATGTCCCCTTTGAGCAGACACAGAGTGGCAGAGAGAAGAGACTAGAGCTGGGATGCCTAACTGAAGTTCGGGCTCTGTCACTTAACTAGTTTTATGACCTTGGCCAAGTCACCTGGCCTTTGCTGGTCTCCGTTTCCTTATCTATAAAATAGCCTGGGCCAAGTGTGTGGCTCACGTGTGTAATCCCAGCTACTCAGGAGGCTGAAGTGTTAGGATCACTTGAATCCATGAATTCAAGGCCAGCCTGGGCAACATAGAGAGACCCCCATCTCAAAGAAAAAGGGGCCAGGCACGATGGCTCATGCCTGTAATCCCAGCACTTTGGGAGGCCGAGGCGGGCAAATCACCTGAGGTCAGGAGTTCGAGACCAGCCTGGCCAACATGGTGAAACCTCGTCTTTACTGAAAATACAAAACTTAGCCGGGTGTGGTGGCGGGTGCCTGTAATCCCAGCTACTCTGGAGGCTGAGGCAGGAGAATCGCTTGAATCTGGGAGGTGGAGGATGCAGTGAGCTGAGACCGTGCCATTGCACTCTAGCCTAGGCAACAAGAGCAAAACTCTGTCTCAAAAAAGGAAAACAAACAAACAAATAAAAAAAACTGCCCTCTTTCCGGGGCTTGTGGGGAGACTTTTGCAGAACAGAGCCTGGCACAGAATAAATCTGCTAGACTTTCCCTAGTATCATCACTCAGTCGTGTACTTAGCACCTTGAACAGACCCTGGCACACATTAGGTTCTCAGTAAGTGTTGAATGAATCAGTGAGTGAATACAGGGAGATACAGCATGGTCACATAGGAGGATTTCAGGTAGTGATAAATGTCAGGATGGAAATAAAGCAGAGTGACTTGGTAGGTAGCATGGGGATCCTCATCAGACGGGAGATCAAGGAAGTCCTCTAGGAGGAGATGGCAGTGGCGTCCCCTTCCTTCCCCTGGCCACAGGACTCTGAAGACCTACTGGGTGAGCAAAGGCAGTGCCTTTAGTACCAGCATCTCCAAGCAAGAGACAGAGCTGAGCCCAGAGATGATCTCCAGGTAGCAGGCAACCCCAGGGTCAGGGCAGGTGGGAGCTGGGGCAGGGGGCAGGGGCGGGCAGCCCTTACCAGGCCCTTGCATCCTCCCCCAGTGGCTCTTGGCGGGACCGGCCCTTCAAGCCCTACAACTTCTTGGCCCACGGTGTCCTCCCCGACAGCGGCCACCTTCACCCGCTGCTCAAGGTCCGCTCCCAGTTCCGACAGATCTTCCTGGAGATGGGGTGAGCACAGGGCTGGGGGCGGTGCCTGGTGCTTCTGCTGGGTACAGGCAGGGCAGTCAGGCTGTGTCTCCCACCAGGTTCACCGAGATGCCGACTGATAACTTCATTGAGAGCTCCTTCTGGAACTTTGACGCCCTCTTCCAGCCCCAGCAGCACCCAGCCCGTGACCAGCACGACACCTTCTTCCTTCGAGGTGGGTCAGCCCCTAGGGCCTCCCTGAGACATGAGAGACACCAGGCCACGGCGGAGCCTTTACAGGATGGGCATCCCATTTGATCAAATTAGGTCTAGAACTGGGCATGGTGGTGTGCACCTGTAGTCCGGCTATTTGGGAGGCCAAGGCAGGAGGATTGCATGAGCCCAGGAGTTCAAATCCAGCTCAGGCAACATAGGGAAGAATCTACCTCTAAAAAAATTAATTGAGTTAAATTAAAGTCCATCCTTGTTGGATGTGTCAAGCTCTGTTCTCATTATGCCACCTGCAGTCTTTTTTTTTTTTTTTTTTTTTTTTGAGACAGGGTCTCACTCTGTCGCCCAAGCTGGAGTGTGCAGTGGCATGATCTTGGCTCGCTGCAAACTTTGCCTCCCAGGTTCAAGCGATTCTCCTGCCTCAGCCTCCCGAGTAGCTGGGATTACAGGTGCATACCACCATGCCCAGCTAATTTTTGTATTTTTAGTAGAGATGGAGTTTTGCCATGTTGGCCAGGGTGGTCTCAAACTCCAGTCTGCCTCGGCCTCCCAAAGTGCTGGGATTACAGGCGTGAGCCACCGCACCTGGCTTTTTTTTTTTTTTTTTTTTTTTTTTGAGACAGTCTCATTCTGTCGCCCAAGCTAGAGTGCAGTGGCACGATCTCAGCTCACTGCAATTTCCACCTCCTGGGTTCAAGCGATTCTCCTGCCTCAGCCTCCTGAGTAGCTGGGATTACAGGCACCCGCCACCACGCTCGGCTAATTTTTGTGTTTTTAATAGAGATGGGGTTTGCCATGTTGGCCAGGCTGGTCTGGAACTCCTGACCTCAAGTGATACTCCCGCCTCAGCCTCCCAAAGTGCTAGGATTACAGGCGTGAGCACCACGCCTAGCCCAAAATTAATGAATTTTTGTTTTGTTTTGTTCTCACTATGTTGCCCAGGCTGGTCTCAAACTCCTGATCTCAAACAGTTTTGCCTCAGCCTCCCAAAGTGCTGGGATTACAGGCATGAGCCCCCACACCCTGCCTGCCCCCATGTCTTCTTTGGGCATTCCAGGCCGTGCACACCTCAGGGCCTTTGCTTATGTTCCGTCTTTAGCCAAGAGCTGTTTTCTCCCAGATCTTCAAGGCAGGCTGCAGCCTCAAATCTCTGCTCACGTGTCACCAGAGACAGGCCAGCCTAACACTCCCGGGCTCACCCCGAGTTCTACAGAAGCCCTTCTCCCCTAGTGTTCATTCTTCTGTCCCATTTCTTTCTTTCATTGCCCTTAGCACTGTCTGAAATGGAATGACTTCCCACAATGGGGTGGCCTTCCTGACCAAGAGGGCAGTTGAGGTCATTGGGTGCCGGCTTACCTGGCCAGAGGAGCAACATCATTCTTGTCATTATTGTCATAGCACCCAAAACTTACTAAGCACTCATCACATACTAGCCACTATTCTAATCTTCCTGCCAACTACTGGAAGCAGTACTGTTACCCCTTTTTACAAAGAAGGAAACTTGGCCAGCCTCAGTGGGTATAATCCCACTGTTTGGGAGGGCAAGGGAGGAGGATCGCTTGAGCCCAGGAGTTTGAGAACAGCCTAAGCAACATAGAAAGACCCATCTGTACAAATAAAATTAGCTGGGCATAGTAGTGCACGCCTGTAGTTGCAGCTACTCGGGAGGCTGAGGTGAAGGATTGCTTGAGCCTGGGAGTTTGAGGCTGCAGTGAGCTATGATTGCATCACTGCACTGCAGGCCAAGCAACAGAGCAAGACTTTGTCTCTTTAGGCCGGGCGCGGTGGCTCACGCCTGTAATCCCAGCACTTTGGGAGGCTGAGACGGGCGGATCGCGAGGTCAGGAGATCAAGACCATCCTGGATAACACAGTGAAACCCCGTCTCTACCAAAAATACAAAAACAATTAGCCAGGCATAGTGGCGGGCGCCTGTAGTCCCAGCTACTCGGGAGGCTGAGGCAGGAGAATGGTGTGAACCCTGGAGGCGGAGCTGGCAGTTAGCCGAGATCATGCCACTGCACTCCAGCCTGGGTGACTGAGCGAGACTCCGTCTAAAAAAAAAAAAAATTTTGTCCCTTTAAAAAAAAAAAATAGGCCGGGCGCGGTGGCTCACGCCTGTAATTCCAGCACTTTGGGAGGCCACGGTGGGTGGATCGAGACCATCCTGGCCAACATGGTGAAATCCCATCTCTACTAAAAATACAAAAATTAGCTGGGCATGGTGGCGTGTGCCTGTAGTCCCATCTATTCAGGAGGCTGAGGCAGGAGAATCACTCGAACCTGGGAGGCAGAGGTTGCAGTGAGCCGAGATCGCGCCACTGCACTCCAGCCTGGGCGACAGAGCGAGACTCCGTCTCAAAAAAAAAGAAAAAATAAAAAGGTCGGGCGCGGTGGCATGATCCCAGCACTTTGGGAGGCCCAGGCAGGCGGATCACTTGAAGTCAGGAGTTCGAGACCAGCCTGGCCAACATGGTGAAACCCCACGTCTACCAAATATAAAAAATTAGCTGTGTGTGGTGGTGCACTTCTGTAATCCCAGCTACTTGGGAGGCTGAGGCAGGAGAATTGCTTGAACCTGGGAGGAGGAGGTTGCAGTGAGCCAAGATCATGCCACTGCACTCCAGCCTGGGCAACAGAGCAAGACTCCATCTCAAAATACATACATACATACGTACATACATAAATAAAGCCCAGGTGCAGTGGCTCATGCCTGTAATCCCAACACTGGGAGGCCGAGGTGGGTGGATCACCTGAGATCAGGAGTTCGAGACCACCCTGACCAACATGGCGAAACCCCATCTCTACTAAAAATACAAAAATTTCCCGGGTGTGGTGGCAGGCACCTGTAATCCCAGCTACTTGGGAGGCTGAATCAGGAGAATTGCTTGAACTTGGGAGGTGGAGGTTGCAGTGAGCCAAGATTGAGCCATTGTACTTCAGCTGGGCCAACTGAACAAGACTCTGTCTCAAAAAAAAAGAACCCAAAAAAGCCACACACAAATGAGAAAACTGAGGCACGAGAATCACTTGAACCTGGGAGGCAGAGGTTGCAGTAAGCCCAGATTGCACCACCGCACTCCAGCCTGGACAACAGTGAGACCCTGTCTGAAAAAAAAAAAGGGGTGGGAAATGCTCGTTGACTGACCTGATGTTGCTCTGTCCTGCCCAGATCCAGCGGAGGCCCTGCAGCTCCCAATGGACTATGTCCAGCGGGTCAAGCGGACCCACTCTCAGGGCGGCTACGGCTCACAGGGGTGAGGCAGGACTTACCTGGTATGGAAGGGAAGGAGGCTGGGGACCCCTGGGCCATTGCATGGACTTCCCACCTTCCCTCCTGAAGGTACAAGTATAACTGGAAGCTGGACGAGGCCCGGAAAAACCTACTGCGAACCCACACCACATCAGCCAGCGCCCGTGCGCTCTACCGCCTTGCCCAGAAGGTGCGGTTGGCCCAGGCGGGGGCCCCAGTGGGGAGAGGGTGCTGTCAAAGGGACCTTCTGACCCATACCTGGGCCTGGCTCGGTTGTCACCCCTAGAAGCCCTTCACTCCGGTCAAGTACTTCTCCATCGACCGCGTATTCCGGAATGAGACCCTGGACGCCACGCACCTGGCTGAGTTCCACCAGATCGAGGGCGTGGTGGCGGATCATGGTCTCACCTTGGGCCACCTCATGGGCGTTCTGCGGGAGTTCTTCACCAAGCTGGGTGAGCAGGGGGGCAGGGGTGGGCCATGGTGGTGAGGCAGCGGGCAGGTGTGTTGATCACCAGCATTATCCTCCAAACCCCTGCTCTCCTGCCCGCCCCCCACTTCCTGCAGGTATCACGCAACTCCGCTTCAAGCCAGCCTACAACCCATACACAGAGCCCAGCATGGAGGTGTTCAGCTACCACCAAGGTCAGGGTAGGCCCTGGTACTGGGGTGGGAGGGAGGTCTCAGGCTACTATGGTTTGGCCTGGGTCCCCCCATTGCCATGCCTGTACCCCACCTCCCAAGCTCACCACCTAGACCCAGAACCTGTACCAGCAGTGCCCAGAAACTCAACACGCACTGCCCGTCTTTTCTGTCCTGCCTCTGCAGGCCTGAAGAAGTGGGTGGAGGTCGGAAACTCGGGGGTCTTCCGTCCAGAGATGCTGCTGCCCATGGGGCTTCCCGAGAACGTGTCGGTCATTGCCTGGGGCCTCTCCCTGGAGCGGTAAGTGCCCAAGTGGAAACTCGGGGTGTCCAGCTGCCTCAAATAACTCTCCAGGTATAGGGGCCTGCGTGGTTTCAGCACCACCCATTCATTCATCCAATGGACAAAACTTTCATCGTGAGTACAAACTGAATGCTCAGCCCCGTGCTGTGAACATGACAGCTTATGTCCCTCCCTCTGAATCTGGGGTCCCAGTGGAGCGAGAAGGATGATAACTAGCAAGACCAACAAGTACATCAGGCCAGGCGTGGTAGCTCATGCCTGTCATCCCAGTGCTGTGGGAGGCCAAGGCAGGAGGATCGCCTGAGCCAGGAGTTTGAGATCAGCCTGGGCAATAGAGCAAGTCTCCGCCTCTACAAAGAATAAAAACAGGCCAGGCGTGGTGGCACATGCCTGTAATCCAAGCACTGTGGGTGGCTGAAGCAGGTGCATCACCTGAGGACAGGAGTTCGAGGCCAGCCTGGCCAACATGGCGAAACCTCATCTCTACTAAAAATATAAAAATTAGCCTGGCGTGGTAGCAGGTGCCTGTAATCCCAGCTACTTAGGAGGCTGAGGCAGGAGAATCGTTTGAACCCAGGAGGCAGAGGTTGCAGTGAGCCAAGATCATGCCACTGCACTCTATTCTAGTCTAGACAACAGAGTGTGACTCTGTCTCCCGTCTCTACTAAAACTACAAAAATTAGCCAGGCACTGTTGCGTGCGTCTGTAGTCCTAGTCCTAGGTACTCAGGAGGCTGAGGTATGAGAATCACTTGAACCTGGGAGGCGGAGGTTGCAGTGAGCTGAGATTACGCCACTGCACTCCACCCTAGGTTACAGAGTGAGACTCTGTTTCAAAAAAACAAATGCACTCAGCAAAAGAAGACAGAAGTGTGTACCAGGGCAGTAAGTGGTATAGGGAGGGCTAAGGCAACTACGTGGTCAGTGAAGGCATCATGGAGGAAGAAGTGCCACCTAAGCAAAATCTAGAGGTAGATAAAGAGGTAAACCATGAGAGTATCTGGGGAAGGGTGTCCCAGGTAGTGGTCACAGTCAGTTCAAAGGCCCAGAGGTGGGAATGTGCTTTTTGTATTAGGAGAAGAGTGAGGAGGCTGGTGTGGCTGAAGGCGGAGGGTGAGAGGTGATAGAGCAGTTGGCGCAGGGCCCTGTGGGTCATGGGGAGAACTTGAACTTTTCCTCTGAAGAAGATGGGAGCCATGGAAATCTGAGCAGAAGGGTGCACGTGCTGACCTCATGATAAACTCTGTTCCCTCCCCCACAAGCCCAACGATGATCAAATATGGCATCAACAATATCCGGGAGCTGGTGGGCCACAAGGTGAACCTGCAGATGGTGTATGACAGTCCCCTGTGCCGCCTGGATGCCGAGCCGAGGCCCCCTCCCACACAGGAGGCTGCGTGACATGGGCCACTCTAGGACAGGTCATCCTCCCCGAGTCCCTGCTGCTGCGCTCCTTTGCATCCCTGGCCAGTGACCTTGTATTTATGAGGCCTCTGTGAGGCCAGCCCCCACCTTCCTCTTTCCCACCTGTCCCAGGACCAGAATCCCAGGGACAGAGGACTGGGTAGCAGGTTCCTTCTGTTGTCCTGTGTGGTGTGTCTACTGTGAGGGTGGGCCCTGAGGAGACCTGTGGGCCACCTATTGTCTAATAAAGTGGGCAGTTGCCCCCATCTGGTGGCTTTCCTTAGGGGTGAGGGGTCTTGTTGGGTCCCCCTAGCTCAGTGTGCCACTTGATGGTCAAAATTCTGGGTACTGGGCTGGGCGAGGTGGCCCGCGTCTGTAATCGCAGCACTTTGGGAGGCTGAGGCGGGCGGGTCACGAGGCCAGGCGATCGAGACCATCCTGGCTAACAGGGTGAAACCCCGTCTCTACTAAAAATACAAAAAAAAAAAAAAAAAGTATGGGTACTGAGCCAGGCACAGTGGCTCACTTCTGTAATCCCAGAACTTTTGGGAGGCCAAGGTGGGTGGGTCACTTGAGGTCAGGAATTCAGGAGCAGCCTGGCCAACGTGGTGAAACCCCATCTCTACTAAAAATAAAAAAATTAGGGCTGGGTGCGGTGGCTCATGCCTGTAATCCCAGCACTTTGGGAGGCTGAGGCGTGTGGATCATGAGGTCAAGAGATTGAGACCATCCTGGCCAACATGGTGAAACCCTGTCTACTAAAAATACAAAAAATTAGCCGGGCGTGGTGGCGGGTGCCTGTAGTCCCAGCTACTCAGGAGGCTGAGGCAGGAGAATGGTGTGAACCTGGGAGGCGGAGCTTGCAGTGAGCGGAGATCGCACCACTGCACTCCAGCCTGGGCAATAGAGCAAGACTCCGTCTCAAAAAAAAAAAAAAAAAAATTAGGCTGGGCGTGGTGGCTCACGCCTGTAATTCCAACACTTTGGGAAGCTGAGGCAGGCAGATCACTTGAGGTCAGGAGTTCGAGAGCAGCCTGGCCAACGTGGTGAAAACCCGTCTCTACTAAAAATACAAAAAAAAAGCTGGGCGTGGTGGTGAGCACCTGTAGTCCCAGCTACCCGGGAGGCTGAGGCACGAGAATCGTTTGAACCAGGAGGTGGAGGTTGCAGTGAGCCAAGATTGTGCCACTGCACTACAGCCTGGGTGACAGAAGAAGACTCTGTTCCAAAAAAAAAAACAAAAAACAAAAATTAGCAGGCATGATGGCAGGCACCTGTAGTCCCAGCTATCTGGGAGGCTGAGGTGGGAGAATCACTTGAACCCAGGAGGTGGAGGTTGTAGGGAGCTGAGATCACACCACTGCACTCCAGTCTGGGCCACAGAGTGAGACCTGTCCCCCAAAAACAGAAAACAAAAATTAGCTCAGCATAGTGGCTCATGCCTGTAATCCCAGGTACTCCAGAGACTGAGGTTGATCACTTGAGCCTGGGAGGTCGAGGCTGCAATGAGCCGTGATTACACCACTGCACTCCAGCCTGGGCAACAGAGTGAGACCCTGTCGTTAAATACATATTTATGTGTCTAAATAAACACAAGTACCCTGGAATCTTGCCATTTCCATCAAATCTGAACTTTGGCTGTGTAGGGGTGAAGAGAAAGCTTCCTTATTGCCCTCTGAAGTTTCACTAAAAATTACTGAGAAAAGGCAGATTAATAAGAGAAAAGGAATACGAATGTATTTGATCATAGTGTTACCTGACAAGCCTTCAGAATGAAGATCCAGAGATACAGGGGAAACTGTGTTTTTGTTTTGTTTTGTTTTGAGACGGAGTCTGGCTCTGTTCCCTGGGCTGGAGTGTAGGGGCGATCTTGGCTCACAGCAGCCTCAGCTTCCCAAGCAGCTGGGATTACAGGTGCCCGCCACCATGCCTGATTAATGAAAAGTGTCTTATGCTTAGGTTCAGCAAAGTTTGAACACCCAGGTAGAAATTTGATTGGACAAAAAGGGTTTGTCGTGGTTCATACTTGTAATCCTGACACTTTGGGAGGCTGAGGCGGGTGGATCACTTGAGGCCAGGAGTTTGAGACCAGCCTGAGCAACATGGAAAAACCCCATCTCTACTAAAAATACAAAAATTAGCTGGGCATGGTGCATCTGTAATCCCAGCTACTTGGTTGGCTGAGAATCGCTTGAACCTGGGAGGCCAAGGTTGCAGCGAGTTGAGATCTTGCCACTGCACTCCAGTGTTGCCTGGACAACAGAGCAAGACAAAAAAAAAAAAAAAAAAAAAAAGCCGGGGGGGTCGTCTAATACTAATAGGCTGAGTGGGGAAACCCAGCAAGGCCTATCTGTCTAGATTCTTCTTGGAGTCTCAGGAATGCATGCTCAGAGAGGCCAAGAAGAATCTAGATAGATAGGCCTTGTGTGGGGCAGAAACTTCTTTGAAACGGGGGTCTTATGACCTACAGTCAATAGGGTAGATCAGATAATTTCTTCTTTTTTTGAGACAGCACTTTGGGAGACCAAGACGGGAGGACGGCTTGAGCCCAGGAGTTGGGGATCAGCCTGGGCTCAGCACAGTGAGATCTCATTTCTACAGGAAAAAAAAATATAATTATGTGTGTGTGTGTGTGTGTGTGTGTGTGTATATATACATACAATCTTTTTTTTTTTTTTGAGACGGAGCTTTACTCTGTCACCCCGGCTGGAGTGCAGTGGCATGATCTCAGCTCACTGCAACCTCTGCGTCCTGGGTTTAAGCAATTCTCCTGCCCCAGCCTCCCGAGTAGCTGGGACTATAGGCGCCCGCCACCACGCCCGGCTATTTTTTGTATTTTTAGTAGAGACAGTTTCACCATGTTGGCTAGGCTGGTCTCGAACTCATGACCTCAGGTGATCCACCCGCCTCGGCCTCCCAAAGTGCTGGGATTACAGGCGTGAGCCACCGCGCCCGGCCAGAAAAATATTTTTAAATTAGAAGGGCCTGGTGAATGACACTGCTACTCAGGAGGCCGAGGCAGGAGGATCGCTTGAACCTGGGAGGTCGAGGCTACAGTGAGCTGTGATCGCACCACTGCACTCCAGCCTGGGCGACAGACCAAGATCTTGTCTCAAAAAAAAAAAAAAATTGTTATGGAGTATATTTTCCAAGGCAGAGTGGATGAAGTTAGAAGCACCGAATAAATACAGGACTCTGAGATCCGTATAACCTGGGCGCCCCGTGGAACCCAGGAGCCTCACAGGGGCACACAAGCGCACCCAGAGCGCGCCGTCCTGCTCCCAAGGGGCGCCGACTGCGCGCGCAGCCCGCGGACCGCGAAACTGCTGCTTAACGGTCGGCCCCGCCCAGTTGGCCGCGCAAGTTCTCAAAGAGGGCGGGGCCGGGAGCACGCGTCACAACACACTCGTCCGCGGGAGCGCAGCTGGCCAGGGGCGGGGTCGGCGCATGCGCAGAGGGTGCGAGCTTGAAGGCGGGAAAATACGGAATGGAGCGACAGGGAGTACGCGGCGCTTGTTTCCTTCTCGCGCGTGGGGCGGGCGGACAGATAGGCAGGGAACGGCTGCGATCCCAGCCATCTCCAGCGGACCCGAGCCCGGCCGCTTGTCCTTTGCCATTGGGGCTCCCTCTCATCAGGCCTGGCCTCAAATTTCCTGACTGACTGAACCCGGCCCTGACTGACGCACTGACGGGTCTGATTTCCACACATGGCGCGTGGCCGGAACGGAGTAGAGAAAGGCACAAACACCCACGCACCGCACCCGTTTCTTTCATTTCTTTTTTTTTTTTTTTTTGAGACGAAGTATCACTCTGTCGCCCAGTCTGGAGTGCAGTGGCGTGATCTCGGCTCACTGCAACCTCTGCCTCCCGGGTTCAAGTGATTCTCCTTCCTCAGCCTCCCGAGTAGCTGGGATTACAGGCACGCACCACCACGTCAGCTAATTTTTGTATTTTTAGTAGAGACGGGGTTTCACCATATTGCTCAGGCTGTTCTCGCACTCCTGACCTCGTGATCCGCCCGCCTCCGCCTCCCAAAGTGCTGGGATTACAGGCGTGAGCCACCGCGCCCGGCCTCATCTCTTTTCTCCTACCTCTTCTCCTTTCTCGAAGGACTCCAGCCAACACACATACCAGTTAGGAGCCCAGGTCCTCCAGTTACATTCCCACAGCCCTGCCCTCACCCGGCCCCTCTAGGTCTGGTGTCCTGGTGTCCCCTAGGGACAGAGTGTCCTTTCACCCCATGCCCCTGCCCTCATGGCACCTGCCCCAGCCCTGCCCGTCTTTCCTGCGGGTCCCCACCGTCCCGCAGCAGCACATCGAGGTGACCAGGGTTGAAGGGTCGGCAGGAGGGCGATCTGTTCACTCCTCATCCTCCCTCCTTGGCCTCCGTCCTGACTGTGCTTGCAGGTGGACGTGCCCCATGTGAAATGCAAAGACCAGGAACCGCAGCCCTTGGGGGAGAGCAAGGAGCATCCGCGGTGGGAAGAGAACTGCGAGGAGGAAGCTGGTGGAGGGCCAGCTAGGTGAGGAAGATCCCAGCCCTATGGGTCTACACAGGCCCCTGGGTCCCTCTCATTCACCCTTTTCTTCCACAAGGCTATGCCAGTGTCTGCTGCTTTTTTTTTCCCTCCTAACACAGCGTCTTGCTTTGTCACCACGCAGTGGCATGATCACGGCTCACTGCAACCTCCACCTCCCAGACTCAAGTGATCCTCCCACCTCAGCCTCCGAAATGGCTGGGACTAGAGGCGGGCCAGAATGTCGGGCCAATTTATTAAAAAATATTGGCCAGGTGCAGTGGTTCACACCTGTAATCCCAACACTTTGGGAGGCCAAGGCGGGTGGATCACCTAAGGTCGGGAGTTTGAGACCAGCCTGACAAACATGGAGAAACCCCGTCTCTACTAAAAATACAAAATTAGCTGGGCATAGTGGCACATGCCTGTAATCCCAGCTACTCAGGAGGCTGAGGCAGGAGAATCGCTTGAACCCAGGAGGTGGAGGTTGCAGTGAGCTGAGATGGCGCCATTGCACTCCAGCCTGGGCAAAAAGACCGAAACGCTGTCTCAAAAAAAAAAAAAAAAAGCCAGGAATGGTGGCTTATGCCTGTAATCCTAGCACTTTGGGAGGCCGAGGGGGGTGGATCAAAAGGTCAAGAGATGGAGACCATCCTGGCTAACATGATGAAACCCCGTCTCTACTAAAAATACAGAAGTTAGCTGGGTGTTGTGGTGCACGCCTGTAGTCCCAGCTACTCGGGAGGCTAAGGCAGGAGAATCGCTTGAACCCCAGAGGCAGAGGTTGTAGTGAGCCGAGATCATGCCACTGCATGCCAGCCTGGTGACAGAGTGAGACTCCGTCTCAAAAAAAAGAAAAAAGAAAAATTTAGTAGGCCGGGCACGGTGGCTTACGCCTGTAATCCCAGCACTTTGGGAGGCCAAGGCAGGCAGATCATGAGGTCAGGAGTTTGAGACTAGCCTGGCCAATATGGTGAAACCCTGTGTCTACAAAAATTAGCCAGGCATGGTGACAGACACTTGTAATCCCAGCTACTCAGAAGGCTGAGGCAGGAGAATTGCTTTAACCTGGGAGGCAGAGATTGCAGTAAGCCAAGATTGTGCCATTGCATTCCAGCCTTGGTGACAGAGCAAGACTCTGTCTCAAAAAAAAAAAAAAAAAGTATATATATAGTAGAGGCTGGGCGCAGTGGCTCACGCCTGTAATCCCAGCACTTTGGGAGGCTGGCGCTGGCAGATAACTTGAGGTCAGGATTTCGAGACCAGCCTGGCCCACATGGTGAAACTCCGTCTCTACTAAAAACACAAAAATCAGCCAGGCGTGGTGGTGCATGCATGTAGTCCTGGCTATTCAGGAGGCCAAGGCAGGAGGATCCCTTGAGCCCAGGAGTTTGAGACCAGCCTGGGCAACAGAGGGAGACATATCTCTCTGAAAAAAAAGAAAGAAAGAAAGAAAGAAATGAGCGTGGTGTGGTGCGGTTGCACACACCTGTGGCCCTAGCTACTTGGAAGGCTGAGGTGGGAGGACCACTTGAGCCTGGGAGGTCGAGGCTGCAGTGAGACGTGATTGCTTCACTGCACTGGAAGAGCAAGACCCTGTCTCAAAAATAAATAAGTGAATAATGTGATTTCAACTGGTGGCAAGTAAGTGGAATGAAGAAACAAAATATAGTAAGGAGCAAGTAGAGTGACAGGGACCTTAGAGCAGTTGGAGAACTCTGAAGAGGTCACATGAGAAGAGGCCAGCCAGGAGGCATTCTGGGCCCAAACCTTCCACGCAGAGGGGGCCGCAAGTATGAAGTCCCTCAGGTAGGAATAAGCTTGATGTGTTCTCAAAAGAGCAAGAAGGAGGCTCATGTTGGCCGGGCGCAGTGGCTCAACCTGTAATCCTAGGACTTTGGGAGGCCGAGGCAGGCGGATCACGAGGTCAGGAGTTCGAGACCAGCCTGGCCAACATAGTGAAACCCTGTTTCTACTAAAAATACAAAAAATTAGCCAGGCGTGGTGGCGCATGCCTTTAATCCCAGCTACTCCGGAGCCTGAGGCAGGAGAATTGCTTGAACCTGGGAGGCAGAGGTTGCAGTGAGCCAAGATAGCACCATTGCACTCCATCCTGGGTGACAGAGTGAGACCCTGTCTCGAGGAAAAAAAAAAAAAAAAAGGCTGATATGGCAGTATTGTGATTGGCAGCAGGGACACTCCTGTCCTCCAGACAGACATGCTCATACCCTCCTGCTGTTTGCATCTGACCAAACACCAACAGGGAAGAGATCATGGTGCTGGGAGACCTTTCCCCTGTGGGCAGCCAGCCTGGAATGGGGAGCCAGGGAAGGTGTCCTTGTAGAAGAGATGTTGAAGCAGAAAGTGTGGGCAGGGTGGGGAAGGAGGGGTTGAGAGAAGAGCTCGTGCGAAGTCCCTGCTCGTGGCATTCGGGGGAGCTAAAGGAAGGCCAGTGTGGCTAGGCGAGCGAGTGGGGTACAGGGGTGAGTGCAAGGGGAGGGCTGCAGAAGGGGCCAGGTTATGAGGCATTTTGTGGGCTACAGACTTTATCCTAGAGGTTTTTTCAGTAACAGCTTTGAGATATAATTCCCATAGCATACGGTTCACCTTTTTTTTTTTTTTTTTTGAGATGGAGTCTCGCTCTGTTGCCCAGGCTGGAGTGAGGGGGCATGATCTTGGCTCACTGCAACCTCCCCCTCCCAGATTCAAGCAATTCTCCTGCCTTAGCCTCCCGAGTAGCTGGGACTACAAGCATGTGCCACCAGGCCTGGCTTTTTTTTTATATATTTTTGGTAGAGACGGGGTTTCACCGTGTTAGCCAGGATGGTCTCAATCTCCTGACCTCATGATCCGCCCGCCTCGGCCTCCCAAAGTGCTGAGATTATAGGCGTGAGCCACCGCGCCCGGCTCACCTCCTTGAAGGGTATGATTTGATTGCTTTTGGTATATTCAGAGCTGGACAACCATTCTCATAGTCAACTTTAAAACAGCTTCATCACTCCAGGCCAGATACAGTGGCCTCCCAAAATGCTGGGATTACAGGCGTGAGCCACTGCATCTGGACTTCATCTTTTCAATGGCTGAATAATATTCCACATGAGTCTACCACATTTTGTTTATCCACTCATCTGTTGATAGTCATTCGGGTGGTTTTCACTTTTTGGCTATTATGAGCAGCACTGCTATGAAATCCATTTAGAAAAGTTTGTGTGTGGACAGATGATTTCATTTCTTCTGGGCATACTCATACCTAGGAGGGGAACTGCTGGGTCACAGAAGTGACATGCTCAGGTTCCCGTTATAAAAAGATACGGCTGCAGGCCGGGCACGATGGCTCATGCCTGTAATCCCAGCACTTTGGGAGTTCGAGGTAGATGGATCACCTGAGGTCAGGAGTTCAAGACCAGCCTGGCCAACATGGCAAAACCCCGTCTCTACTAAAAATACAAAATTAGCCAGGGGTGGTGGTGCATGCCTGTAATCCCAGCTACTTGGGAGGGTTAGGCAGGAGAATCGCTTGAACCTGGGAGGCAGAGGTTGCACTGAGCCAAGATTGCACCATTGCACTCCAGCCTAGGCAACAAGAACAAAACCCTGTCTCAAAAAATATTAATAAAAAAATATGGCTGCTTTGTAGAGAATGGTTGGGAGGGAGAATGTGTGGGTGTAGGGAGGTCTAGTGGGAGGCTTTTATGGGGGGTGTGGGGGGGGTGGCCTTTAGCAGGGCAGATGGAGGAAGTGCCTTGTGCCATAAGACACAGGAAGGGGATGAGGGAGGATGTTTCCCGGCCATGATGTACTGGGGCCAGCTCCTACCGGCTTGAAAGAGCCAATTCTACACATCTCTTCCCAACTTGGCATTTAGCGTCTTCATGTTGGTAGCCTGAAATTGGCTAATGGTGGGAGGCTCTGCACCACGGAAATTGGCAAACACTACGAATCAGGGCTTCCCCCCCATCACACAGCCAGTTGCTAAATGCTTACAAGCACATCACTGCTGTCTGCTTTCCAGCTTGTGGTGGTTTCCGGTAGGTGGTGGCTTCTCTGGCAGAGACAAGAACATGAGTTCTGTGTTGTCCTTGTTTATCTGAGCCACTTTCGGTGGCCAGGGACATCCACATGTCCAGGATACAGTTCAACTTTCTGACCCGGAACTCGGGGTGGGGTGAGGGTCTGGAGATGGTTCTGTGGGAGTCATTGTTTCAGCAGCAGCTGTGGAATGAATGAGCTCACCTGGAGAAGGAGTGAGAGGAGGGTCAGGACAGGGCCCTGAGGACTCTAGGCAGAAAGCAAGCCAGCTTCCCTCTCCTCGCACATTCCTCTGCTGGAAAGCAGGCCACGCGTGAAATGGTTTATAGGTGTGTGCTGTCAATTGGAGACCAAAAAAAAAGGGAAGCAATGGTTGAAGTCGTTTGTTTGCTAATACCTTACTGCGGAATAGCATGTTTAGACCAGGATCTGTGTAGTGAAGAGACACAGACCGCTGCAAATCATTTAGAGACTTCAAGGAGCTCCACAGGAACCCTGGGCCAAAAAACAGATAGATTAAAACCAGTGCAGGGGCCAGTTAATAGATCCAGCAGCAGATACTCAGCAACATGATTAAAATGTTAACACGTTTCCAGAGAGAAAAGGAGAGGTTGAGGAACTGGCTCATCAGCTTCCATTCAAACCTTCCCCCTTCCTGGCTGTACTTCAGCAAAACATTGTTTTGCCCAAGCGCCAGAGATTCTGTTGTGTTCCCCCCTTGAATGTTTGATTAGCTTGCCTCCTCTCCCGGGACTGCCACCCTCGGTGGTCATAAGTGGCTGGCGGATTGTTTACTTGTATATCTGTTAGAGGCCACGGAGGGAGGGCCCCACCAGCGGGCAGTTCTGGCTCAGTCGCCTGCCAATCACAGCTTTACCTGGAGCGAACAGATGGTCTCTTCGCTTAGACCCATTTCCTCCGCAGCTCCTGGGCCCCCTGCCAGCGTGGGCCCTGCTTGGGAACTATGTCCTAATCCTCGCAGCCAAATTAGGGACTTCTTAGAAGGACAGACCATAATAGATGAACGCAGCGCTGTGTTCACAGCCCCCAGCCCGCTGCCCAATCCGGGCGCAGGCCATGCACACCCGACGTGCTGTGTTGGGCTGACTTGCATTCTCTGGCCTCGGTCCAGGGTTCGGCAACAGAAGCCAGCCTAGGAACCGGGAAAGCCAGCAGAGAGGACACCACGCATTTTGTTTGTTAAAGTTAATTGGTGAATGCAGGCCCAGGGAAGCCTATGATTCATTAGCATCCTGATTAATATGCAGCTGCTGTGTATTAAGAAAAATGAAATCAAAAGGGATAAATCCCCAAAGGAGAGGTTGGAAAAATAAAGAAGCTCTCAGCAGACATCTGATGCAGGCCTTTGTCCTACCATGAAACTCGAATTAGCTGAATTCAAGTGATTTTTTTTTTTTTTTACTGTTTGCTTAGCTGCCATGAAAACCGGTTCCAGCCTCATCCCTTGAGCCTTAAAAAGGAGCAGCTCTGAACCATTAGCAGCTCAAGCAGGTTGTGAACAATCACACAAAAAGAAACACCTGGTGCTCTCATCGATTTTAATTTTAGGGTCTGAAACTGTTGAGAGCATCCAGGAGAGGCTGAGACAACAAGGTGAACTGGGTACGAGGAGGTGTGGGAGCCCCAATGTCAGTGCTGCATTCATTTAGATATTCAGCAAACTGATGAAACCTTTGGGGTGCTGCAAAACAAATGAGTAGGGTGTAGTCTGCACCCTCAAGGTGTCGTGCGCTGGAGGGGACTGATGTTCATAAACTTTGGCAGCTTTGTGACCAGCAAGGCCTAGGTATAGCGGGGGGTAGAGAAGCAAAAGTTCCAAATGTTCCATTATGAAGGAGGCAGGAAGGGAAAGTCATTCCAGGCAAAGGCTGACATGTTTGGGGAAATTGTGGTAGGTCCCCAATTGCTGCAGATGGAGGGGCTGTAGAAAACAGTAAGGCTAGATCGGGCTTGGTGGCTCACGCCTGTAATCCCAGCACTTTGGGAGGCCAAGGCGGGCAGATCACGAGGTCAGGAGTTCGAGACCAGCCTGGCTAACATGGTGAAACCCTGTCTCTACTAAAAATACAAAAGTTAGCTGGGTGCAGTGGTGGGCACCTGTAATCCTAGCTACTTGGGAAGCTGAGGCAGGAGAATTGCTTGAACCCGGGAGGCAGAGGTTGCAGTGAGCCGAGATCGTGCCACTGCACTCCAGCCTAGGTGACAGAGCAAGACTCTGTCTTGAAAAAAACAAACAAACAAAAAGAAAACAGTAAGGCTGCACTGGGCACGGTGGCTCACGCCTGTAATCCCAGCAATTTGGGAGGCCAAGGCAGGTGGATCACCTAAGGTCAGGAGTTCAAGACCAGCCTGGCCAACATGGTGAAACCCTATCTCTACTAAAAATACAAAAATTAGCTGGGCATGATGGCAGGTGCCTGTAATCCCAGCTACTCAGGAGGCTGAGATGGGAAAATCACTTGAACCTGGGAGATAGTGGTTGCAGTGAGCCGAGATCGTGGCACTGCACTCCATCCTGGGCAGCTGAGCGAGACCTCGTCTAAAAAAAAAAAAAAAAAAAAAGGCAAAAATTATCCAGGCATGGTTGGTAGGCACCTGTAATCCCAGCTACAGGGGAGGCTGAGGTGGGAGAATTGCTTGAACCCAGGAGGTGGAGGCTGCAGTGAGCCAAGATCATGCCACTGCACTCCAGCCTGGGCGACAGAGTGAGACCCCTTCTCAAAAAAGAAAAAAGAAAGAAAAAGAAAAAAACCCATTAAGGCTGGAAGAGAGGGTGGAGGCCAGGGCCCTGGAAGGCCTTGTATGCTGTGTGAAGGAATTTAGACTTGATCTTGTGGCTGGTGGGGATGGTTTTAGGCTAACAAACAGGAGTAGGAAATCAGATTACAGTGTAGAATGTCACTAGGGGCTGACACTGTGGCTCACGTTTGTAATCTCAGCACTTTGGGGGCCGAGGCAGGATTTTTTGAGGCCAGGAGTTTGAGACCAGCTTGGGTAACATAGCAAGACCTCCATCTATACAGAAAAATTAAACAAAATTTAGCCAGGAGTAGTGGTACCCGCCTGTAGTCCTAGATATTCAGGAGGCAGAGACGAGAGGATCACTTGAGCCTGGGGGAGTTCAAAGTTGCAGTAATTGTACTGATGTACTCCAGCTTGGCAATGTAGCAAACCCTGCCTTCAAAAGAAAAAAAAAGGTCAGGCCGGGTGCGGTGGCTCACGCCTGTAATCCCAGCACTTTGGGAGGCCGAGACGGGCGGATCATGAGGTCAGCAGATTGAGACCATCCTGGCTAACATGGTGAAACCCCGCCTCTACTAAAAATACAAAAAATTAGCCAGGTGTGGTGGCGGGCGCCTGTAGTCCCAGCTACTCGGGAGGCTGAGGCAGGAGAATGGCATGAACCCGGGAGGCAGAGCTTGCAGTGAGCCGAGATTGTGCCACTGCACTCCAGCCTGGGGGACAGAGCGAGACTCCATCTCAAAAAAAATATATATATATAAAAGGTCAGGCGTGGTGGCTCATGCCTATAATCCCAGCACTTTGGGAGGCCGAAGCAGGCGGATCACTTGAGGTCAGGAGTTTGAGACCAGCCTGGCCAACATGGTGAGACCCTGTCTCTACTAAAAATACAAAAATTAGCCGGGCGTGGTGGTGTGTGCCTGTAGTCCCAGCTACTCAGGAGGCTGGGGCACGAGAATGACTCGAGCCCAGGAGGTGGAGGTGGCAGTGAGCTGAGATTGCACCACTCCAGCCTGAGCGACACTCCAGCCTGTCACTCCAGCCTGAGCGACCGAGTGAGAGTCTGTCTCAAAAACAAAATAATAATAACAAAATTTTTTACAAAAGAAAATTTCTTACAAAAGAAAAAAAAATTTTTTAACATAAAATTTATTACAAAATTTTTTACAAAAATAAATAAGTAAATAAAATAAAGGTCCCTATGGCCTAGTTGAGAAGTGAAAGTTATAGAGCTGCTAATGATGGTAGATTTAGAGACATTAAGAAGGTAGGGCCGGGCATGGTGGCTCACGCCTGTAATCCCAGCACTTTGGGAGGCTGAGGCAGGTAGATCACGAGGTCAGGAGTTGGAGACCAGCCTGGCCAAGATGTTGAAACCCCGTCTCTACTAAAAATACAAAAATTAGCTGGGTGTGGTGGCAGGTGCCTGTAATCCCAGCTACTTGGGAGGCCGAGGCAAGAGAATCGCTTGAAACCGGGAGTTGGAGGTTGCAGTGACCTGAGATCGCTCCACTGCACTCTAGCTTGGGCAACAAAGCAAGACTCTGTCTCAAAAACAAATAAATAAAAAGGCTGGGCACAGTGGTTCATGCCTGTAATCCCAGCACTTTGAGAGGCCGAGGAGGGCGGATCACCTGAGGTCGGGAGTTTGAGACCAGCCTGACCAACATGGAGAAACTCCGTCTCTACTAAAAATACAAAATTCGCCAAGTGTGGTGGTACATGCCTGTAATCCCAGCTATTCGGGAGGCTGAGGCAAGAGAATCGCTTGAACCCGGGAGGCGGAGGTTGCAGTGAGCCGAGATCGCGCCATTGCACTCCAGCCTGGGCAATAAGAGTGAAACTCCATCTGAAAAAAAAATTAATTAAAAATAAAAATAAAAAAACAAAGAAGGTAGAAATGAGGGGATTTTGAGACAGGATGCAGAGGGACAGAGAGAAGCTGGACTCTAGGCTTGCTGCTAAGTTTTGAGCTTGGGAACCAGGTGGCTTTTTATGTCATTAACTAAGGGAATGGAAGATGAAATCGGGTTGCCTGGGAGATGACGCTTTTGGTTGTGCAAATGTGGAGTTTCAGATGCCTTTGAGACAGCCATGTGGGGAGGCTGGGAGGTTTCATATATTCTTGGGTCCTCAGGAGAGAGGCATGGGCTGGGATGATAGAATTTAGATGATAGAATCCAAAGTGTGGATGGTAATGGATAGTACTCGCAAGTCATTTACTTATTAGCAGCACATTTATTGCTTCTCTCATGAGGGGTAAGTACTGAAGATACAAAGATGAAGGATGGCCCTGGCCCTTCAGCAGACTACAGTGGGAGGCCAAGGTGTAAACAGTGAAACCGTAGGTGCTGTGTGCACCTAATCCAGCCAAGGAACACTTTCTGGAGGAGACAGGACGTAGGTGGGAAAGGGGACTGTTCAGGGATCCCATGCTACGGGAATGAATGCCTTTGGAGAATAATAGCCTGTGCATTGTGGAATGGTGGCTGGGATATTAGCTGCAGGGGCCAGCAGGGAGGAGGCATGGAGGCCTCACTGCAGAACAAGTGTGTGATTGACGGTGTCTGGCAAGAAGACAGCAGAGGCCCAAGCACAGACCTCTGGGATACCACATGTCGGGAGTAGCAGGGAAGGGTGGTCAGCAGTGCTGGCTGCTGCCAAGAGGTCAGCATGTCACTCTGAGATGTCTATCGGTCTAACCACAAGGTCATGGTGACTGTGGTAGGAGCTGTTTCATTTGAGAACCGGGGGAGGAACCTGATTACAATGGACTGAAAAGTGAATGGGGGTAAGAAAATAAGCCCAGGATGGCCGGGCGCGGTGGCTCACGCCTGTAATCCCAGCACTTTGAGAGGCTGAGGTGGGCAGATCATGAGGTCACGAGATGGAAACCATCCTGGCTAACACGGTGAAACCCTGTCTCTACTAAAAATACAAAAAATTAGCCGGGCGTGGTGGCGGGCGCCTGTAGTCCCAGCTACTCGGGAGGCTGAGGAAAGAGAATGGCGTGAACCCGGGAGGCAGAGCTTGCAGTGAGCTGAGATCATGCCAGTGCACTCCAGCCTCGGTGACAGAGCGAGACTCTGTCTCAAAAGAAAAGAAAAGAAGCCCAGGGTGAGACTCTCTCTCTCTCTTAAAAAAAAAAAAAAAAAAAAAGCCCAGAAAATTTAAGCAGCTCCTTCTAGAACCTTGGCCTTGATGGGGAGGAAAGAGGGAGGTGGCCGGCTGGGGGAGACCGGGTGGAGAGGGGAGGGGTGTATATGTGTGTTGTGGTTGTTTTGTTTGTTTGTTTGAAACAGGGTCTCACTCTGTCGCCCAGGCTGGAGTACAGTGGCGTGATATCATCTAGGCTCCAGTGCAGTGGCATGATCAAGCTTACTGCAGCCTTGACCTCCCGGGCTCAAGTGATCCTCTCACCTCAGCCTCCTAAGTAGCTGGGACTACAAGTACACACCACCACACTCGGCTAATTTTTGTGTTTTTTGTAGAGATGGGGTTTTGCCATGTTGCCCAGGCTGGTCTCAAAACCCTGAGCTCACGATTCACCTGCCTTAGCCCCCCGAAGTGCTGGTATTACAGGCGTGAGCCCACTGTGCCTGGTTGAGATAGCTGAGATTTATTTTTATTTTATTTTATATTTTTGAGATGGAGTCTCGCTCTGTTGCCCAGGCTGGAGTGCAGTGGCACGATCTCAGCTCACTGCAACCTCTGCCTCCCAGGTTCAAGCGATCCTCCTGCCTCAGTCCGCCTAGTAGCTGGGATTACAGACACATGCCACCATGCCTGGGTAATTTTTGTATTTTTAGTAGAGACGGGGTTTCACCATGTTGGCCAGGCTGATCTCGAACTCCTGATCTCTGGTGATCTACCCGCCTCGGCCTCCCAAAATGCTGGGATTACAGGCGTGAGCCACTGTGCCTGGCCAAGATTTATTTTTGTAAGTAATCAGTAACCTGCTTGTGGACACAAGTGTGACCTGCTGCATTCAGGAACTGCTCTGTCCACACCTACAAGGCTTGGCCTTTCAGAGCTGGAGGACCTCAGAGGGCGACGAGGAAATGTAAGATCCAGGAGGGGAGTGGCGCCTGAGTGCCTTAGTAGGAAGCAGGATACCAGCTGGGAAGTCAGGCCTTCTGGGTACAAAGCCCAGCTCTGCCACAGACTGTCCTCCACCTTGAGAAGGTGGTGTAACCACTCTAAGCCCATGTCGTAAAGAGAACAGCAGATGACCCGAGTGTGGTCGTGAGGATGCACCAAGACAAGGCATGTGACTTAGCTCAGTGCCGGGAACATGGCTGAGGAAAAGTTAGCTGTGACTCACAGGGGCAGCTCTACCTGGCCAGAACCGCTAACTGATCAGACGTCAAACCGGTCAAATAAACCAGAGCATCAGAAGAAGAAAAAATATATCTTAATTTAAAATACCAATGGGTTGCCTTATCAGATCACATTTTTTCCATAAACTTCATTCACAATGCATTACCCACAATTTTCAGTTGTTTTAATTTATTTTAATTTAATTTAATTAATTTATTTATTTTTGAGACGAAGTCTTACTCTGTTGCCCGGGCTAGAGTGCAGTGGTGTGATCTCGGCTCCCGAGTTCAAGCGATTCTTGTACCTCAGCCTCCTGAGTAGCTGGGATTACAGGCGCCTGCCACTGCGCCTGGCTAATTTTTTGTGTTTTTAGTAGAGATGGGGTTTCACCATGTTGGCCAGGCTGGTCTCGAACTCCTGCCCTTGTGATCCACCCACCTCGGCCTCCCAAAGTACTGGGATTACAGGCTTGAGCCACCGCGCCCGGCCCCAGTTCTGTTTTTAAAGCAGAGAACAAGGCCTTGGCAGAGCAATCTATATGCAGAATTTTTCTAGATTTTTATGATCTTTGCTTCAATTTTAGTTCTCTCTCCCATACCCAACTGAAGTTCCATTTTATTACATTGAATATTATGAAGTTACGGAACATTACATATTACTCAAAATTTTTCATTCTGTTTAGCTTTTTAGATAGCTGTCACTCTTCTGCCACTATTTCACTTGTTAACACAATATTTGAATTACATAATTACAGTTACATGTACAACATGGGACCAACAACTTTTTGTGTGTGCGCATTTCTTTAAATGCTCTTTAAATATAATTCAACAGGTATTCACCTCACCTGGTGGGAGCAAGGAGGTGCAGGTACACTGTAGCCCCAGGCGGTCAACATCACCCAGTAGGTTGGGAAAGGGATGCAGCAGGTTAATGACAGGAAGGTCACTTAAGAAAGCATCAGGCTGGGCGCAGTGGCTCACGCCTGTAATCCCAGCACTTTTGGAGGCCGAGGCAGGAGGATCACTTGTCAGGAGTTCGAGACCAGCCTGGCCAATATGGTGAAACCCTGTCTCTACTAAAAACACAAAAATTACCTGGGTGTAGTGGTGTGCACCTGTAATTCCAGCTACTCGGGAGGCTGAGGCAGAAGAATGGCTTGAACCTAGGAGACAGAGGTTGCAGGAGATTGCTGATTGCATCAGTCAGGCGCAGTGGCTCATGCCTGTAATCCCAACATTTTGGGAGGCCAGAAGTTTGAGAGCAGCCTGAATAACATAGTGAAGCCCAGTCTCTATTTAAAAATTTTAAAAATTAGCTGTGCATGGTAGCACATGCTTGTAGTCCCACCTATTCAGGAGGCTGAGGTGGGAGGATCACTTGAAGCTGACACTGCAGTGAGCTATGATTGTGCCACTGCACTCCAGCCTGGGCAACAGAGAAAGACCTGTCTCTATAAAAAAAAAGAAAATAAGAAAGAAAGCATTGGGCTGGGCGCGGTGGCTCACGCCTGTAATCCCAGCAGTTTGGGAGGCTGAGGCGGGCGGATCACGAGGTCAGGAGATGGAGACCATCCTGGCTAACACGGTGAAACCCCGTCTCTACTAAAAATACAAAAAATTAGCTGGACGTGGTGGCGGGCGCCTGTAGTCCCAGCTACTCAGGAGGCTGAGCCAGGAGAATGGCATGAACCCGGGAGGTGGAGCTTGCAGTGAGCCGAGATCGCGCCACTGCACTCCAGCCTGGGCGACAGAGTGAGACTCCGTCTCAAAAAAAAAAGAAAGAAAGCATTGACACTATTATTGGTATTCCAAAATTCCAAAGAAGCAAGTTGGTGTCATAAAATAACAGTGGGCTTTGGGGACAGACAGACCTCCTTGGTCTGGAACCTTGGGCATATTTAGTCGTGCCTCTTGGTCTGTTTTCTCAGCTATAAAATGGGGGTGCCATTCTCATCATTCAGGGCGTGTGTGTGAATGGAATAACCTAGGAAGCATGCCTCGTGTCACCCATGGAAGGCAACAACGCGGGTCCCCTCCCACCTGATCTCTCTCAGATCAGCCGCTCTTGGAAGAGTCTGGTGCTGATCTCAGCATCCTGTCCTTTTTTTTTTTTTAGACGGAGTCTCGCTCTGTCACCCAGGCTGGAGTACAGTGGCGTGATCTCGGCTCACTGCAACTTCATCCCCTGGGTTCAAGCAATTCTCCTGCCTCAGCCTCCCAAGTAGCTGGGACTACAGGCACGTGCCACCGTGCCTGGCTAATTTTTTGTTTTTTTGTTTTTACTAGAGACGAGGTTTCACCATGTTGCCAGGCTGGTCTCGAACTCCTGACCTTGTGATCCGCCCACCTCGGCCTACAAAGTGCTGAGATTACAGGCATGAGCGACTACACCTGGCCGCTTCCTGTACTCTGAGAAGTCAGGTTTCTTGCCCTTGTGTCGCCACCTCCAGTGCCAGTTGCCAGCTGACGGTCCTGGAAGGGAAGTCGGGACTCTACTTCTCCTCTCTGGACTCAAGCATTGACATCCTGCAGAAGAGAGCCCAGGAGCTGATCGAAAACATCAACAAGAGCCGGCAAAAGGACCATGCACTCATGACCAACTTCAGGAACAGCCTGAAGACCAAGGTGACAGACTCCACCCAGCGAGAGGGGGGATTCCTTATGCAAAAGGGGAGGGAATGAACCACTGATGGTGTCTGTTGTACACCAGGCACGGTGCTAGGCCATTCACACACAGCACAGGAGCTCCTCCACTTATGATGGGGCTACGTCCCAATAAACCCATTGTGAGTTGAAAATGCTGTAAGTCAAAAATGTAGTAAGTTGAACTGTAGTAAGTTGGGACCATCTGTATCTCAATTTACCCTTAGAATAGTCCTACAGAGAAGAGATTGGACCCATGATATAGATAAGGCTTGGAAATGAATGATTTGCCTGACGAGAGAGCCAGGCTGAGGGAGCGGGGCGTTGGATGCCCTCCTGCCTCCAACACGCAGCCCTCTTACTTCACGCAAGGTCGAGCAGCCACGGGAGTAGGGGGTTGAGGCACAACTTGCATTGTCACACCCATATGTCCTGCAGAAGCCATCGAATGGTCTGTGACGGGGGAGTGGAGCTTCTTCCACATGCCCAGGGCTTACATCTTGCAAAAGCTGGTGTGATGTTCAGGTCCTACATGAATGGTTGCACCTGATGCCTCTTCAGAATATATAATGGGGGGACCAGGCACAGTGGCTCACGCCTGTAATCCCAGCACTTTGGAAGGCCGAGGCAGGTGGATCACTTGAGGCCAGGAGTTCGAGACCAGCCTGGCCAACATGGTGAAACCACGTCTCTACTAAAAATAAAAAAATTGGCTCAGTGCAGTGGCTCTGCACGGCACTGCAGCCTGGGCTAGAGAGCAAGATTTCGTCTCAAAAATAAATAAATAGGGGCCAGGTGTGGTGGCTCACGCCTATAATCCCAGCACTTTGGGAGGCTGAGGCAGGGGGATCACAAGGTCAGGAGATGGAGACCATCCTGGCCAACATGGTGAAACCCCGTCTCTATGAAAAATACAAAAATTAGCTGGGCATGGTGGTGCGCGCCTGTAGTCCCAGCTACTCGGGAGGATGAGACAGAATTGCTTGAACCTGGGAGGCGGAGGTTGCAGTGAGCCGAGATTGCACCACTGCACTCCAGCCTGGTGACAGGTGAGACTCCGTCTCAAAAAAAAAAAAAGAAGAGGGCCGGGCGTGGTGGCTCAGGCCTGTAATCCCAGCACTTTGGGAGGCCGAGGCGGGCAGATCACGAGGTCAGGAGATCAAGACCATCCTGGTTAACATGATGAAACCCTGTCTCTACTAAAAATACAAAAAATTAGCTGGGCGTGGTGGCGGGCGCCTGTAGTCCCAGCTACTCAGGAGGCTGAGGCAGGAGAATGGCCTGAACCCGGGAGGCGGAGCTTGCAGTGAGCAGAGATCCCGCCACTGCATTCCAGCCTGGGTGACAGAGCAAGACTTCATCTCAAAAAAAAAAAAAAAGAAGAAAAAGAAGACTGCCTCTTTCTGGTTTTTTCTTTTTCTTTTTTTTTTTTTTTTGAGACAGAGTCTCGCTCTGTTGCCCAGCCCAGGCTGGAGTAGAGTGGCACGATCTTGGCTGTCTCGAAAAAAAAAAAAAAATTAGCCAGGCATGGTAGCACGTGCCTATAATTCCAGCAAACAAACAAACAAACAAAATACATAATGGGTCACATGAGTGGGACAGCTTGCTGGTTCTAGGTGTCTTGATGACAGATTGACTTTATTTTCCTTTTTCTTTTTTTTTGAGACAAGCCTTGCTGTTGCCCAGACTGCAGTGCAGTGGTGGAATCATAGGTCACTGCAATCTTGAACTCCTGGGCTCAAGCAATCTTCTCACCTCAGCCTCTCGAGTAGCTTGAGACTATAGGCATGCAACATCATGCCCGGCTCACTTGTTTTATTTATTTATTTATATTTTTAGAGGTGGCGTCTCACTCTGTTGCCCAGGCTTACAGAGCAGTGGCACGATCACAGCTCACTGGAGCCTCAAACTCCTGGGCTCAAATGATCCTCCCACCTCTGCCTCTTAAGTAGCTGAGACTACAGGTGTGCACCACCATGCCCAGCTAATTTTCTTTAAACATTTTTTTTGTAGAGATGGGATCTTGCTATGTTACCCAGGCTGGTCTTGAACTCCTCACCCTGCTGCCTTGGCCTCTAGTAGAAAAGATACAAAAACATTTATTTATTTATTTATTTATTTTGATACAGCACCCAGAGGCCACTTTGTTGGATGCCTCTTCTATTCTGTGTACTTTCTTCCTAACCTGGCTGAGCTTGTACTGTACAGTTTTGTGACATGCATCCCTAGGTGACACTGTCATCATCTGAACATCATAGATTGAATTTACACAAACCTAGATGGTATAGTCTACTACACACCTAGGCTACGTGGAAGAGCCTATTGCTCCTAAGCTACAAACCTGCACACAGCATGTTACCATACTGAATACTGTAGGCACTTATAACATGATGGTAAGTATTTGTGTATCTAAATATATATAAACATAGAAAAGGTACAGTAAAAATATGGCATTATACTCTTATGGGCCATCATTGTATATACAGTCTGACATTGACCAAAATGTCATTATGCAGCACACGACTGTATATACTTTTGCCTCTTAAAAAAATTTAACAGGCCAGGTGCAGTGGCTCATGCCTGTAATCCCAGCACTTTGGGAGGCTGAAGGTGGGGATCTCCTGAGGTCAGGAGTTGGAGACCAGCCTGGCTAACATGGTGAAACCCCGTTTCTACTAAAAATACAAAAAGTTAGCTGGGTGTGGTGGCGCTCGCCTGTAATCCCAGCTACTCGGGAGGCTGAGGCAGGAGAATCGCTTGAACCCAGGAGGCGGAGGTTGCAGTGAGCCAAGATCATGCCATTGAACTCCAGCTTGGGCAATGAGAGCGAAACTCCGCCGCAAGAAAACAAAACAAAAAAAGCAAAAAAATTTAAAATATAGGCAATCTGACCCCCAGTCACTGCACTGGGTTTTAGTTTTTGGTGTTTTTCTTTTCTTCTTTTGAGGTAGGGTCTCTCAGGCTGGAGTGCAGTAGTGTGATCATGACTCACTGTAGCCTCCAACTCCTGGGCTCAAGTGATCCTCCTGCCTCAGCCTTCCGAGTAGCTGGGACTGCAAGTGCGCGTCACCTATGCCTTGCTAATTTTTTTTTTTTTGAGACGGAGTTTTGCTCTTGTTGCCCAGGTTAGAGTGCAATGGCATCATCTTGGTTCACTGCAACCTCCACCTCCCAGGTTCAAGCAATTCTCCTGTCTCAGCCTCCCGAGTAGCTGGGATTACAGGTGCACACCACCATGCCCAGTTAGTTTTTATGTATTTGTGTATTTATTTATTTATTTATTTATTTATTTATTTATTTATTTTGAGATGGAGTCTTGCTCTGTAGCCCAGGCTGGAGTGCAGTGGCGCGATCTCAGCTCACTGCAAGCTCCGCCGCCCGGGTTCACGCCATTCTCCTGCCTCAGCCTCCCAAGTAGCTGGGACTACAGGCGCCCGCCACCTCGCCCGGCTAAATTTTTTTGTATTTTTAGTAGAGACGGGGTTTCACAGTGGTCTCGATCTCCTGACCTCGTGATCCGCCCGCCTCGGCCTCCCAAAGTGTTAGGATTACAGGCGTGAGCCACCACACCCGTCCTAGCTTTTATATTTTTAATAGAGATGGGTTTTCACCATGTTGGCCAGGTTGGTCTTGAACTCCTGGCCTCAAGTAATCCACCCACCTTGGCCTACCAAAGTGCTGGGGTTACAGGCATGAGCCACCGTGCCCAGCCTATTTTGTCATTTTCATAAGATAAATTGCAGAAATCTAAGAAACCCACTTAACACAGATGTCTTGTGATACCTCTTGTTTGATTTTCCGAGAACACATCTTATTGTTTAACAGGTTTCGGATCTGACAGAGAAATTAGAGGAGAGGATCTATCAGATTTATAATGACCACAACAAGATCATCCAGGAAAAGCTCCAAGAGTTCACCCAGAAAATGGCAAAGATCAGCCATTTGGAGACAGAGCTCAAACAAGTCTGCCACAGCGTGGAGACTGTGTACAAAGACCTGTGTCTCCAGCCTGAGGTATGAGTAAACTCACAGGGGGGGCGCTGCCTGAGGAAGAGGACAGGGATGGCCCAGCCAAGAGTAAATGTGAACAGAAACCAGGCACCCAGCCCTGACCCCGCCAGGCCACAGTCCCTGCAAAGCCCTTGGTGCACTCACCATCTTGTTTGTGATCCCCTATAACATGGTGTGTCTGAGCTGAGAAGCCAAACCGTTGTCATGTCCCACTGTTGTATGAGCAGCTCTGTGGTGACAGAAAGGACAAAGTCCCTTGCACCCCTGCCACTCAGAAATCATCCCCTCTGCCCACAGCCCTGGCACAGACCGGCACTGCTAACCTGGGTTTCTTTTTTACAGCAGAGCCTAAGACTCAGATGGGGGCCAGACCACTCTAGGGGAAAGTCCCCACCACGTCCCGGCAACTCACAGCCCCCAGACGTGTTCGTTTCTTCTGTGGCTGAAACTACTTCTCAGGTGGTTACCAGTAAACCGGCCTGACACCTTGGGGTCAGATGTGCAGGTCTTTATTTTCCTCTCCCTCACTCTGCTCCAACACCCAGCATAAGGCACTACCCCCAGATGGGAGGGAGGGAGGGCGCACTGTGAACTCAGTGTGAGGGGGTCAGCTGCAGCAGACGGAGTTGCTTCCATGTCACTCTCCTCTCAAGAGAAGCTGCTATTTCAGGGTAAATGGAGTCTGCTCTCATCCATGGTTAAAAGTGGATTGAGACGCTCTACAGAGAATTCCATCTTCTTTTTAAGGAACACATCTGAACGACTTCAGAAGGGAAATTTTGATATTTAAAAATCAGTGTCTCTCACTTCCCACTCCATCCGCCACCTCCCTTTCTAAGCTCAGAGCACAGCGCTCCTACGGTCCAGCCAGGCATCTCTCCAGAAAGGGGCTTGAGAGTTTCGGGCCCCTGATGGAGCGGCTCACTTGCTGGCCGTGAACGCCTGGATTCCCGTGATAGCTCTCCCAAGGATCAGGGCGTGAATGTCATGTGTACCTGGACAAGATTAATACAGAGTCGGTTTGGAGTTTTCATAGCTCACAACTTCCCTTTAAAATCAATTTTCATGTATCCCCAGGCCACTGCTTCAGAAGTACAGACCAACAGAGATGGTGAATGCTGACAGCTGCCGGGAGACTCACGCCTTAGTGACAGTCTCCAGGAGAAGACTGTGAGGCCACCATTTGGGCCACACTGAGAAATTGTTTTTCATGGTTCTATAATGCATCTTGGCAGAAAAAAACAAAAACCCAAAGCTCCTTGTGCTGAACTCCCAAAATGTAGCAAGTCCAGCCCCTGCCATAGGCCCAGGCTTCGTGCTCCCCACCCTTGGCAAGTTCTCCCCACCCCCAGCCCCACAGTTTATTAAATGTTTGATTTTCAACCTGGCCACGCTTCCTTGCCACAGAGGCTGAAAGCACCCCTGAGCTCCAAGGAAACACAGCAAGCCCTTTCTTACCCTCGGGAGGGATAGGAGGGACAGCACATCGGAAGAGCAGTCACTTGCCTCAGCTGACCTCTGCCCATCTGAAGCCGCCTCTCCCAGAGAATCCCACACCCCATGCCCTGGTGTCTCATCCTTTGCTCCTCCCCAGCTCCTTGAAGCAGAAGGCAGATTGTAGCCTCCTTTTTAGAGCCAATTCTGTTTACTTCCTAAAGTACAAACCTATTTTTTTTAAATATAGATAGGGTCTCACTCTGTCACCCAGGCTGGAGTGCAGTGGGGTGATCATAGCTCATCATAACTTCTAACTCCTGGGCTCAAGCAATCCTCCTGCCTTAGCCTCCCAAAGCGCTGGGATTACAGGTGTGAGCCACTGCGCCGAGCCCCTAAAGCACCAAATCTGACTCATCCCTTCTCTGCATAAAACCATCTCATGGCGCCCGCTGCTTGTCCTCAGGGTCATTCTCACATTTGTAGGATCCCCCCACCCCCCAGATGCCAGATAGAGACAAGATCTGGGGTTGCAAGGTGCGCAGGGAAGGCACCCCTCCTGCATTTGCTGTTCTCTCTGTCTGGAAGCATCTCTGCCCGGGGGGTCCTCATACCTCCCTCTATTTCTACATAGCGCATGCTGGGTTTGCACTTTTTTTTTTTTTTTAAGTATCTTTTTCCACATCTGTCTTCCCACCAAGCAAGGGGTTCTGGACCCCCATGTAAATCACCATCAGTTACAGGGTGCAAACACCGTCATCTGAAGATGACTTTTGTCTCTTAACAAAATGGAGCGTTGATTCCTGCGTGTAGCTTCGCTCACTCCCTTGCGTCCACCAGCCTGCTAGGAGTCGGGCCTCACCCCTGGGCTGCCTTCGGAGCTTACCTGTCTCAGGAACATCCCTCCTCCCGAGCATGTGGGAGAAAGAGCTGGGAGCCCCTCGCAAGGCCTGATGGGGCCTCTGTGTGCTGCATGAAGCACTTCACTTCCACAGTCCCCATGTGAGTAACTCCAGATGAGGGACAGAGGGGTAAGGCTCGCCCCAGGTCACACTGTCACTTAGTGATAGGTGGAGTTGGACTCAGACCTGTCCCCGTCCCACCTCCCTGTACCCCCTCCCCAGACACTGAGGCCTCAGTGAGCCCTCTGAGGTCCAGCTCCTACCTTCGTAGGTGTTCACGGCCTCCAGGTTCATGGCGTGCCGGATCACGTGATACTCGTCAGAAATCCCATTCCCCCCCAGCATGTCTCGGGCCTGGCGGGCGATGTCCAGGGCTTTCCCACAGTTATTCCTCTTCAGCAGAGAAACCATCTCGGGGGCAGCCCTGGGAGTGGCACATGAGGGTAACAAGGACTGGGGATCCTGGCATCCCGATGCTCCAAGCAAACCTAGCCCGGGGTGGGGATTCCCTGATGCAGCCAAGCTCCCAATGAGGGACCAGTGGGGCTGTCCTCAGCCCAGCCCATCAAGGACAAGAGGGACAGCAGAAGGTTCAGGTCCCCAGGGCCACCAGGCAGGAAGGACCTTTCTCTCCAGGAAGGACACAAGGTCCTCCAGCCACCGCTGCCATCCCCCCGCCCCCACCACACAGCCCCTACTTGTCCTGGTCCTTCAAGCGGCCGAGCTGCAGGCAGGCGTGAAGGCCCAGGGTAATCTCAGTGAGCATGTCTGCCAGCTTCTTCTGAATCAGCTGGTTCCTGGCCAGTGGGACACCAAACTGCATCCTACATGGGCAATGGCAGGGTAAGAGCGAGGGGAGGCCCACTCTCCCACCCCGTCCCTGTCCTGGGGCCCCCTGCTCCAGGACGCCTTCCCAGGCTGCCTCAGTGCCCCCAAGCTTGCCCTGGCCCTGCCGTTGACTCAGCCCACAGCTGCTCAGAAGGACGTCACTGGTCATTCCAGAGCAAGGAACTCAGGCCTGGTGGGTGGGGGCTGGGGAGTCACCCATGGTATAGAGAGTGAAACCCAAGCTGCCCCACACCCCCAGAGAATCTCACTGCAGCCCTCACACACCTGTCGAGGGCGTACTGCCGGGCTGTGTGCAAGCAGAACTCCGAAGCTCCAAGCACGCCCCACGCGATGCCGTACCGGGCGTTGTTCAGGCAGCCGAAGGGACCCTGTAGGGTTGAGATGGCGCCTCAGGCCCACCCAAGAGACACCAAGAGGGCCTATGCAGAACCAACTCTGAAGCAGGGAAAGCCTCCTCCCCAGCCACCCCACGCAGGGGGACTCAGGTTGTGGTTCACATCACAGATGGCCCTGGCACTGAAGCTCGGTGCCTGCTCACTCGGTTTGCACACAGTCCCACCCAGCCTGGCATCTGGGTTCGATGCTCAGAGCCAGGAGGCTGACGGATGCCAGAAGATGCACTGTGAGTCAAATGACTGAGCTGGTTCAGGCCCATGTGTCCCGGGCAGAGCCGGGATGAGCGAGACGGTCACCAAATGGGGGCAGTTTTCAGCACGTCAGCGAGTCCGGCTGAGTAAGAATCACCACTGTGTGGGCTCCACAGGCACAGGGAGCCGCGTCCCCAGCACGGAGCCTGCCTGACAAAGCCGCATCCGCAGGTGACCCAACACCCATTCCCAAAGTGGCTGCCACTTACCCCCAGGCTGGATGCACCAGGGAGCACATTCTCCTCTGGCACCTCCACACCGTCCATGATGATCATGCCTGTGGCTGAGGCCCGCAGCGAGAACTTGCCCTGGATCCTGGGGGCCGAGAGACCCCGCATCCCCTTCTCCAGCAGGAAGCCCCGAATGCAGCCATCTTCACACCGAGCCCACACTACAAACAGATCGGCCATAGGCGAGTTCGTGATCCTGGGGATGGAACAGTCGGTGAGGGGTCTGACCAGTGCCCCTTTGCCCCTGTTCACCACCTGCCCACCACCCAGAACCCTTACCAGGTCTTGGTCCCATTGAGGGTGTAGCTCTTGTTGGATGAGTTGTAGTGGGCTCTGGTCTCCATGCTGCTGGGGTCACTTCCGCTGTTGGGCTCTGTGAGCCCGAAGCAGCCCAGGAGCTCCCCCTTGGCTGCAGGCACAAGACAAAGTCACAAGGCTGCCTGGTCCCTGATACATCCCCTTACTCAAAAATTATCCTCGTGGCGGGGTGCAGTGGCTCACGCCTGTCATCCCAGCACTTTAGGAGGCCAAGGCAGGTGGATCAATTGAGGTCAGGAGTTCCAGACCAGCCTGGCCAACATGGTGAAACCCCATCTCTACTTAAAAAAAAAAAAAAAAAAAAATAGCCAGATGTGGTGGTGGGTGCCTGTAATCCCAGCTACTCAGGAGACTGAGGCAGGAGAATCGCTTGAACCCGGGCAGGAGAGGTTGCAGTGAGCCAAGATCATGCCACTGCACTACAGCCTGGGCAACAGAGCAAGACTCCATCTCAAAAAAGAAAAAAAATCCAGCCTGACCAATATGGTGAAACCCCATCTCTACTAAAAATACAAAAAATTAGGCCAGTCGAGGTGGCTCACACATGTAATCTCAGCACTTTGGGAGGCCAAGGCAGATGGATCACTTGAGGTCTGGAGTTCGAGACCAGCCTGGCCAACATAGTGAAACACCATCTCTACTAAAAATACAAAAATTAGCCAGGCACGGGTAGCAAGCACCTGCAATCCCAGCTAATTGGGAGGCCGAGGCACAGGAATTGCTTGAACTGGGGAACCGCAGGTTGCAGTGAGCCAAGATTGTACCACTGCACTTCAGCCTGGGGGACGGAGCGGGACTTTGTCTCAAAAAAAGAAAAAAAAAATTACCCTCGCCCCTGAGTCAGACCTCATAACTAAGTTAGATCTGGCCCTGCTTTCAAGAGACAGGTTACCCCAAAGTCATGATCACAATGCCAAGATGGGGAGGGGGACCCAGGGAATCAGGAAGGAGTTGGCCAAACTGGAAGGGTGTGAGGAGTTAAGCAGGAGGAGGCTGTGGGGAAGAGCAGTGCTGGGAGAGGGAACAGATGTGTAAAGAACTGGTGGTACTTCTGGAGAATTTCAAGTAGCTAAGTCTGGCTGGGAGGATCACATGAGTGGCCAGAGATGAGGTGGAAAGGTCAGCAGAGGCCTGGTCACACAGGGCCTTGTGGGTTTTTTTTTTTTTTTGCGAATCTGATCTTATTTGTTACTCAAAAAATCTTATTTCTGACTGGATTCAGACTTAGAAGTGGAAGCTCGCAGAGAGGACAGTCTGCGTCTCTTCACGATTTGTCCCTGGTGCTTCTTAGCCTCCTTCATTCTCTTGGCCAAAAGTTTAGCATATTCTGCAGCCTCTTCTTTATTTTTCTTAATATGCGGCTGCTTCAGAGCAATACGCCGCTGTTTGTGCTGCAGGACATGTGGAGTGACAAGGCGCTGAATCTTGGGTGCTTTGGTCCTAGGTTTCTTACCTTCTTTGTTTAAGGGCTTTTTTACAACATACTGGCAGACATCATTTTCTTTAGAGAGACTGAAAAGTTTACGGATTCTGCTAGCTGTACTGGGCCCCAGGTGACGAGGCATCATAGTCTCAGTCAGTCCAGGAATACCCTTCTCTCCTTTTTTTTACAATAACCAAGTTGAGAACACTCAGATTGGCATCCACGATGCAACCATGAACTGATCTTCTCTTTCTTTCTCCAGTTCTCCTTGGTCTGTAATAGGAATGCCCCTTACTCAGTAGCAAGTGGACACGGCCATGGGTCAAGACACCCTGTTTCAAGGGGAAACCTTGTTTATTGTTCCCACCACTGATTCCGACCACGTAACCCTTCCATTCTTCACCCAGAGCGTCAACAGCAACTTCTGTGGCCATACGCTTCTCATAAAAAGTACAAAGTTTGCGTTCATCGTCCACTTCAATGAGTTTCTGGCAGCCAGTGGCTGGGAAGGAGATGTTCAGCTTCATCTTGAAGCAGCTGAACACCTCCGAGACACCACGGAAGAGGGCCAACGTCCACTTAGCGCAGGTCACATAGGCTCTTTCCTTTTTTTGTTTTTCTAATAGACATGGGGTCTCCTTACGTTGCCCAGGCTGGTTTCGAACTCTTGGGCTCAAGGGATCTTCTCACTTCACCCTCCCAAAGTGCTGGGATTATAGGTGTGAGCCACTGCAAATGGCCAGCAGGAACCTGGTGGACTTTAAACTTTGGGCTGGACTGGGGAACACAGAAAGCATAGGGAGATGACGGTGGTCACAGAGGGGGACAGTCAGGCTGGCCAGGGATCAGATCTCCAGGTGAAGCCCAGGGTCTGGCGGGGGTCCAGGTGGCCACTTATGCTATCTTTGAGATAGGGACAGAATAGGCTCAGGGGACAGCCCCACCCTTGAGTTCCAGACCTCAGAGACTGTCTTCCTTCCACCAGGCCCCATGGGCAGCCACTCACCCAGCTGGGGCAGGTACTTCTGCCGCTGTTCCTCGCTGCCATAGGCATAGATAGGGTGCATGACGAGGGAGGACTGGACACTCATCGCCGACCTGTAGCCACTGTCCACCCGCTCCAGCTCTCGGGCCAGGAGCCCATAGGCCACAGACGAAACCCCAGCACAGCCATATCCTGGTGGTAGTAGGAGGGGAAAGCAGGACAATAGAGAACAGGGCCCTGCCCAGCTAAGACCCAAGAGACAGGGCTGAATAAGGACACACAAGGAGGCAGGCACCAAGCTGGCCCTAGCTGAGGTTTATTCATTTCATCTCCACAGCCACTTTCAGAGGGTGGGACAACAGCCCCACTTTACAGACTGGGAAATTGTGGCTTAGGGAAAGAAGGGGGCTTTCAGTAAGGCAAGAGGATCACTTGAGAACAGCCTGGGCAACACAGTGAGACCCTGTCTCTAAAAAAAGAAACAAAGGGGCCAGGCACGGTGGCTCACGTTTATAATCCCAGCACTTTGGGAGGCCGAGGTGGGTGGATCACCTGAGGTCAGGAGTTCAAGACCAGCCTGGCCAACATGGTGAAATCCCATTTCTACTAAAAAATACAAAAATTAGCTGGGCGTGGTGGTGCACCCCTGTAATCCCAGCTACTCAGAAGGCTGAGGTGGCAGAATTGCTTGAACCTAGGAGGAGGAAACTGCAGTGAGCCAGGATCGCACCACTGTAATCCAGTAATCCAGGCTGGGTGACAGAGCGAAACTCCATCTCAAAAAAAAAAAAAAAAGAAAAGGGCCGGGCAACGGTGGCTCACACCTGTAATCAGGAGGCTGAGGCGGGTGGATCACCTGAGGTCAGGAGTTCGAGACTAGCCTGGCCAACACGGTGAAACCCCACCTCTACTAAAAATACAAAAATTAGCCAGGCGTGGTGGCGGACGCCTGTAATCCCAGCTACTCGGGAGCCTGAGGCAGGATAATCACTTAAACCCGGGAGGTGGAGGCTGCAGTGAGCCAAGATTGCATCACTGCACTCCAGCCTGGACAACAAGAGCGAAACTCCATCTCAAAAAGAAGGCTGAACGTGGTGGCTCATGCCTGTAATCCCAGCACTTTAGGAGGCTGAGGTGGGCGGATCACCTGAGGTCAGGAGTTTGAGACCAGCCTGGCCAACACAGTGAAACCCTGTCTCTACTAAAAATACAAAAATTAGCCAGGCATGGTGGCACATACCTGTAATCCCAGCTACTAGAGGGGTGGAGGCAGGAGAATCGCTTGAGCCTGGGAGGCAGAATTTGCAGTGAGCCAAGATCGTGCCACTGCACTCCAGCCTGGGCAACAGAGCCAGACTCTGTTGGGGGGGAAGAAGAAAGGAAAGAAAAGGAAAAGAAAAGAAAGAGAAGGAAGGAAGAAAGGGAGGGAGGGAAGGAGGAAGAGGCTTTCAGAATACAGAGGGTTCTGCAGTGTGTGGAGAGATACTTGTTCCTACCTTTGATGGTGGGGCCCAGCACACCCAACTCCCCCATCTCCGAAATGATCTCCCGATGAAAAACTGCAAAGGGACCAGTGCCCAAATTCAGGCCCAGGCCTAGGCCACAGGAAGCCCCAGCCCCAAGGACAGAGGGGCCTTGAGGTGGGGTGGCTATGGCTCCAGGCGGAGGAGCAGTCTCAGGGCACCCACCAGCCCGCCCACCTTCGTTGCGATTGGCCAACAGGATGCGAGGCATGAGTCTCTCCTGGCAGTAGGTGCGGAAGGTGTCCCTGATGAGGATCTCATCTGTGGTCAGCTGCTCCTCCAGCACCAGCGGGTCCTGCCAGTCAAACTCGGGACGCGAGGCTGGGAAGGGGAATTCGCCTCGGTCCAGTCCGCAAGATCACTGTGCCCTCCCTTCTCGGACCCTCATCAGCCCTACCCCCCAACACCCATGTCGCCCCCCGGCTAGTGCGAGCTGCAAGCGAGACTGATCAGGTGACTTTTCTCCGGCCCCGCAGGCACAGCGCACTCACTGCCTTAGTGCCTCTGACCCTGGCCACGACCCTGCCACCCCGCTCGGGCAGCTCTCGGATTCTGGGACAGAGTCCACCTGCGGCAGACAGACAGCTGAACAGGGGCAGCAGACACACGGTGCGACCAGAGGTCCTTACACTTAGCCAGTTGGCTCTGTGTTCTCCCGCCTTTCTCTGCAAGCACAGAACGGGAAAGTCACCCCGGAAAGTCCCTAAACCCCCAGTTCCTCCCTCCTTCCCTCCACACTCCCGACCCCACACTGACCGGTCTGCGCCGCCGACGAGACCCACGTGCGAAGGACGTGCAGGCCGGGTCCGCGGCTCAGCAGCCGCACGGAGACGCCTCTCAGGGCCATGCTCTCTCAGAGCGAGCGGAGCAACGACGGCGACCTACAGGAGCGGGGGTGTCAGAGCGGAGCTCCTCTCACCCACGGCTGGGGCTACCGCACCTTCCTTACCTGGTAGTACCTCCCGGTTCACTGCCGAGGCTACAGTGCAACTGACGCAGGCCTTTGACCTCAGCAAGAAGTGGGAGGAGCGGAGGCCGAGTGAGGCTTTTCATTGGTTCCTCCTAGAATCCGGCCCCCTCCGCAGCTCTGCCTTTTAAAAGGGCTAAGGTAGCCTTGCCTGTGGAAATCGGGGGGCCCAGACAGAGATAGGCTAGCCCCTTTAAGAAGCGGACGGGGTAGGGGCGGAAGACGAGTGCGGGAAACCGATTGGCCAGCTGGGTTTCTCCTCTTATTGGCCGTAGGAAAGGGCTCGGCCCACTCCTGGTTGGTCAGTTGCAGGGGGTGTGTGCGGAGGGAGTCAAGAATTAAACAAAGAAATTCTGGCGCGAGCACTAGGCGTCCTCCTGAACCCAGGAGGCCAGACTCGAGTTCTCTAATTGGGTGCTGGTTGTGGGGAAGACGAGCTCCAAGTGGGCGATCTTAGCAAACCTTTCTGCCAGTCTGTCCCAGGAAGCACATGTAGATACTTGTGACTCTGTGTGTGTGTGTGTGTGTGTGTGTGTGTGTCTGTGTCTGTGTATGTGTGTGTGTGTGTGAACTTGTGTGATTCTGTGAGTCTATGTGGTTGTTTTGTTTTGTTTTTGTTTTTTCTTTTTAGACAGGGTCTCGTTCTGTCGCTCAGGCTGGAGTGCAGTGGCGCGATCATAGCTCACTGCAGCTTCCACCTCCTGGGCGATCCTCCCACCTCAGCCTCCAAGTAGCTGGGACCACTGAAGCATGCCATCATGCCTGGCTAATTTTTTTTTTTTTTTTTTTTTTTTGAGACGGATTCTCACTCTGTTGCCCAGGCTGGAGTGCAGTAGCGCAATCTTGGCTCACTGCAACCTCTGCCTACTGGATTCAAGCAATTCTCCTGCCTCAGCCTCCTGAGTAGCTGGGATTACAGGTGTGAGCCACCATGCCTGGCCTTTTTTCTTATATTTAATAGAGACGGGTTTCACCATGTTGGCCAGGCTGGCCTCAAACTCCTGACCTCAAGTGATCCACCCACCTCGGCCTCCCAAAGTGCTGGGATTACAGGCGTGAGCCACCGCGCCCCGCCTGTTTTGTCTTTTTGTGTAGTGCATTTGTGGTGCACCCATTCTGATTGTGTATCTGTTGAGAAATGTGTGTGTCTTGATTCTCAGGACCTGTGATGCCATGTCCTTGCGTTTGTCTGTGTTTAACTGGGTGCATCCCCTACGGTTGGGCACTGGTAGCTATGCAACTGTGACTAAATAATTACTTTACATATTGTAAAAGTGACCGGTGGTGTGACTGTATAAAGTGTAGGTTTTGACTGGCTGGGGCGGCTCATGCCTGTCATCCCAGCACTTTGGGAGGCCAAGGAGGGTGGGTCACCTGAGGTCAGGACCAGCCTGGCCAACATGGGGAAACCCCATCTCTACTAAAAATACAAAAATTAGCCAGGCCTGCTTGTGGGTGCCTGTAATCCCAGCAACTCGGGAGGCTGAGGCAGGAGAATCACTTGAACCCAGGAGGCAGAGGTTGCAGTGAGCTGAGATCATGCCATTGCACTCCAGCCTGGGCAACAAGAGTGAAACTCTGTCTCAAAAAAAAAAAAAAAAAAAAAATTAGCGTGGCGTGGTAGCAGGCACCTGTAATCCCAGCTACTTGGGAGGCTGAGGCAGAGGAATCACTTGAGCCTAGGAGGTGGAGGTTGCAGTGAGCCAAAATCATGCCACTGCACTCCAGCCTGGGTGACAGAGAGAGACACTATCTAAAAAAAAAAAGTTCTGTGACAATGTATCTGACTCCCCATGTGTGTCTGCTCAATTACGGCTAAATTGTGTCAGTAGGATTGTATAACTGTGTGCCTGCCTGTGGATTATGAATTCTGTGTTTTAGAGATTGTTTGGCTATGACATTGTGTAACCAATATAGCATAGGGTTGTGTTTTAGTGCCTGGGAATTGTATGTCTGTGCATAGTCCATATACATAGACAGACACACAATTATATGTGCACGGATTATATGATCAGTGTGACTGAGGGAACAGGAACTCATGTCATTATGTAATTGCATGGTCCTGTGAGTAACTGTGTTTTTGTTTTTGTTTTTAGAGATGGGATCTCGCTATGTTGCCCAAGCTGGTCTTGAACTCCTGGGCTCGAGCATTCCTCCTACCTTGGCCTCCCAAAGTGCTGGGACTGCAGGCATGAGCCACTACTCACTGCTCCAAGCCTGTTTTGTTTTTGTTTTTTAGAGACAGAATCTCACTCTGTAGCCCAGGCTGGAGTGCAGTGGCATGATCTTGGCTCACTGCAACCTCTGCCTCCCAGGCTCAAGTGATTCTTGTGCCTCAGCCTCCCGGGTACCTGGGATTAGAGGTGTATGCCACCATCCCCGGCCTATTTTTATATTTTTAGTAGACAGGGTTTCACTGTGTTGGCCAGGTTTGTCTCGAACTCCTGGCCTCAGGTGATCTGCCTGCCTCGGCCTCCCAAAGTGCTGGGATTACTAGCGTGAGCTACTGCGCCTGGCCCCATGCCTCCAAGTTTCAACCAGTTCTCCAGCTCAGCCTCCCAAATAGCTGGGATTACAAGCATGTGCCACAATGCCCAGCTAATTTTTGTATTTTTAGCAGAGAGAGGGCTTCATCCTGTTGGCCAGTCTGGTCTCGAACTCCTGACCTCAAGTGATCTCCCCACCTTGGCTTCCCAAAGTGCTGGGGTTACAGGTGTGAACCACCGCACCTGGCCTTGTTTTTGTTTGTGTCACCCAGGTTGATCTGCCAGGAATAAAGATGGCCACCCAACTTTTTTTTTTTTCCAGCGACAGAGTCTTGCTTTCTGTGCCCCAGGCTGGACTGCAGTGGTGTGATTATAGTTCAGTGCAGTCCCGACCTCCTGGGCTCAGGCAATCCTCCCACCTCAGCCTCCTGAGTAGCTGGGACTATGGGCATGCACCACCACTCACAGCTTTTTGTTGGAGAGATAGGTTTTATGTTGCCCAGGCTGGTCTTGAAATCCTGGTGTCAAGTGATCCTCCTGCCTCAGTCTTCCAATGAGTGACTATGAGTTATGTGTCTGTAATACGTATCCATGTCCCCTTCCCAGGCTCCCAGGGCACCAGAGTGGAGGTTCCTGTTGTAGAAACTCAGATCCTCTCCTCATGTTGGGCAGAATCAAGGAGCAGCCAGGCCCAGAGCCAGGGCACTGGTCTCCTGCAGGTCAGGTACTGCCTGTGGCTTGATCCAACGGTCCTATCCCACCCAGGAGGAGAGAGGGTCACTTTTCCCTTGGCTGCCCCCATCGCACTAAAGCAGCTGGCACTGAACCAGCCTCCATGCAGTCCCATGCAGTGCCACCCAAGGGTCCCCAGTAGACAATGGTGGGCCAGTTGTCAGGGGCTTCCTCCTGCTGCAGGGCTGAGACCCTGGGAGGTCCCAACCCAGGCAAATTGAACGCCAGGCTAATTTGAAGACCCAACTCCCAGCCCTCCCCTTCACCGGAGGACAGAGCTCTAGCTGGCCTGGGCCCCCACCTGATAGCAGCCTCCAACGTCTGGGGTGTCTGATAATGCTTGGCGGGGAGCTCGTGCCAAGTCCCGCCATCAGCACGGTTGTTGCTGTTTACTGGGGAGGGGGAGGGCTGTGGAGCCTCAATCAGGGGGACAGGGGGTCCCACAGCTTCTTCCCAGAATACCCTTTCTGCCTTTTCCAGGAAAGTTAACTGAGGGAAGACCCCCAAGTCTCTCCTTCTTTGGAGACCCAATGTCTGTTTTTACCCAGCACCTGGACCCTCAAACCCTGAACCCCCCAACCCTTGATATTTGACTTGGCTTTGGACACAGGGTTAGTCTTTAACCCCAGCCCCAGACAGGCCAACGTGAAGTTTGTGCCCCAGAAACAGTGCCCCCCCGCCGCCTTGCCTTGCTTTGCCTTATCAGAGGCTGCAGCCAATCAGCTAAGGACAGAGAGGAGCCCTCGAAGGGGCTATCACAGCCTCAGAGTTCACGAGGCAGCCGAGGAAGAGGAGGCTTGAGGCCCAGGGTGGGCACCAGCCAGCCATGGCCACAGCCGAGACCGCCTTGCCCTCCATCAGCACACTGACCGCCCTGGGCCCCTTCCCGGACACACAGGATGACTTCCTCAAGGTGGGGCCTAGAAGGTGGGGTCTAGGTGGGCTGGCTGGAATCCAGGGCCACAGTCACAGATCTTGGGGTCCAGACCTGCATCTTGACCTGAAATCAAGAGACTTAACCAGGACTGAGGTACGCTCAGTCCAGGAGAGGAGATCTCAGCTTAGTCTGGCAGGGGGTGAGGAGGGTGGTCTAGGGGTTTGAGGTTCTAAGTGTGATCTATTTCGGTAATAGAAAACGAAGGTAGCCTGGGCAACATGGTGAAACCCTATCTCTACAAAAAATACCAAAAACATTAGGCCAGGCATGGGGGCGTGTGCCTGTAGTCCCAGGTACTCCGTAGGCTGATGCAGGAGGATCATTAGAGCCCAGGAGATTAAGGATACAGTGAGCTGCACCACTGCACTCCAGCCTGGGCAAAAGAGTAAGACCCTATCTCAAGAAAAAAAAAAAAAAAAAGGAACGAGATCTAGGCTCACAGACAATCTTCCAGATATCAGCGGGAAATGATGAGTGTGTCTGGGGGACATCCAAAATTTCGGAATTAATCTTGTTTTGGGAGACAGGGAAGGAGAGGGATGTTCTGGGGGAAAACTAAGTCAAGGCTGGCATCCTCTCCCCCGTCCCCTGCCAGTTTTCCATCTCCAGCAGCTCTGCTACCCCTTCCCCCATCCCCGAGTGTGGTTCCAGATAGTGGAAGTCTTATCTCCTGTCTCCAGCCAGACCTGATCGGTTTCTGTCCCTGGAGCTGGGGGGGGAGCGGGGAGAGGGGCGGTTAGAGGGGCAGTGTTGGGGAAGTGGGACAGACAGACAGGCAAACAAGACCCCTTTCCAAAGCCTCTGCGTCAGAGTGTCCAGCCCGCGATGTCCCTGGGCAGGGCACCCCAGTGTCCACCGAACCTCGAGCTGCCTGCTCCCTCCCGCAGTGGTGGCGCTCCGAAGAGGCGCAGGACATGGGCCCGGGTCCTCCTGACCCCACGGAGCCGCCCCTCCACGTGAAGTCTGAGGACCAGCCCGGGGAGGAAGAGGACGATGAGAGGGGCGCGGACGCCACCTGGGACCTGGATCTCCTCCTCACCAACTTCTCGGGCCCGGAGCCCGGTGGCGCGCCCCAGACCTGCGCTCTGGCGCCCAGCGAGGCCTCCGGGGCGCAATATCCGCCGCCGCCCGAGACTCTGGGCGCATATGCTGGCGGCCCGGGGCTGGTGGCTGGGCTTTTGGGTTCGGAGGATCACTCGGGTTGGGTGCGCCCTGCCCTGCGAGCCCGGGCTCCCGACGCCTTCGTGGGCCCAGCCCTGGCTCCAGCCCCGGCCCCCGAGCCCAAGGCGCTGGCGCTGCAACCGGTGTACCCGGGGCCCGGCGCCGGCTCCTCGGGTGGCTACTTCCCGCGGACCGGGCTTTCAGTGCCTGCGGCGTCGGGCGCCCCCTACGGGCTACTGTCCGGGTACCCCGCGATGTACCCGGCGCCTCAGTACCAAGGGCACTTCCAGCTCTTCCGCGGGCTCCAGGGACCCGCGCCCGGTCCCGCCACGTCCCCCTCCTTCCTGAGTTGTTTGGGACCCGGGACGGTGGGCACTGGACTCGGGGGGACTGCAGAGGATCCAGGTGTGATAGCCGAGACCGCGCCATCCAAGCGAGGCCGACGTTCGTGGGCGCGCAAGAGGCAGGCAGCGCACACGTGCGCGCACCCGGGTTGCGGCAAGAGCTACACCAAGAGCTCCCACCTGAAGGCGCATCTGCGCACGCACACAGGTGAGGGGGCGGGGCCCCGGACATGAGAAAGGGCGCGGCGCCCGCTGTAGTTACAGGGGAAGAAGGGTTGCAGAGGGCGGGACTTGGACTTGGCTGGCCTCTGAGAGTGAGTGCCTCCTTAAATTTTGTGCCCTAGGGGCCTCACTTTGTTCATCCTAGTCCCAGCCCAGGCTGAGTAAAGGGGTGTGGCCAGATGCAGGGGACCCGGGGACATGACTGGGCAGACAGTGGCGCTTATGGCTTCCTTGTCCCCTAGGGGAGAAGCCATACGCCTGCACGTGGGAAGGCTGCGGCTGGAGATTCGCGCGCTCGGACGAGCTGACCCGCCACTACCGGAAACACACGGGGCAGCGCCCCTTCCGCTGCCAGCTCTGCCCACGTGCTTTTTCGCGCTCTGACCACCTGGCCTTGCACATGAAGCGCCACCTTTGAGCCCTGCCCTGGCACTTGGACTCTCCTAGTGACTGGGGATGGGACAAGAAGCCTGTTTGGTGGTCTCTTCACACGGACGCGCGTGACACAATGCTGGGTGGTTTTCCCACGAATGGACCCTCTCCTGGACTCGCGTTCCCAAAGATCCACCCAAATATCAAACACGGACCCATAGACAGCCCTGGGGGAGCCTCTTACGGAAAATCCGACAAGCCTTCAGCCACAGGGAGCCACACAGAGATGTCCAAACTGTCGTGCAAACCCAGTGAGACAGACCGCCAAATAAACGGACTCAGTGGACACTCAGACCAGCTCCCAGATGGCCCTGGACAGCAGGAGAGGGTGTGGGATGAGGCTTCCCAGAGACCCTGGGTCTAGAAAGCGGCTCCTGAAGGTCCCTTATTGTGGCTGATATTAACTGTCAATGGTTATGGGTCCTATAAAAATGCCCCTCCCAGATAAAGCTTCAGCGTTGGCCTGAATTTTTGGGTTTTGGAGGCTGGAAGATGGCAGGAGGCTGTAAACCTAGAGGTCATATTAGAGGGCCTTACACACCCTCATCTCCTAAACTACAGTGACACCCCTCAACTCCAACAAGCCCCCTTGGGCACTGGAGGCCTTGCTGTCCTCTCTTTTCCCACCCAGTTCAGGCTACACTGTCCTTGTCTTCTGCCTTGAACCCTGCGGACATTGACAGCAAACATCTCCCTGGATTTAAGAGTTCACAGCCTATGACTGCCCAGGGGGTTCATCTTGCCCACTGTCCAGATAGAGCCAATTTATCGAGACAGAGGGATTGCAATAGAGAGAGTTTAATCCACATACATCCAGCTAAATGGGAGATGGGAGTTTTATTACTTGAATCAGCCTCCCTGAAAATTCAGAGGCTAGGGTTATTCAAGAACAGTTTGGTGGGCAGGAGGGCTAGGGAATGGGTGCCTTGCTGCAATCCTGGAGCTGTGGAAAACAGTTGCTGAGTCAGCTTCTGGGTGGGGACCATAGAGTCGCTAGTCTGGGTGGAGTCATCCAGTTGTCAGATATGCAAAAAGCCTAAAAAGACATCTAAAAAGGCCAGCGTTAGGTTTTGCAATAGTCATGTTATTTGCAGAAATAACTGGGGAAGTTGCAAACCTTGTGACCTCCAGAATAATGGCTGGCCATCTTTGTTTTTGTTTTTGAGATGGAGTCTTGCTCTTGCCCAGGCTGGAGTGCAGTTGTTCCATCTTGGCTCACTGCAACCTCTGCCTCCTGGGTTCAAGTGATTCTCCTGTGTCAGCCTACCAGGTAGCTAGGATTACAGGCACATGCCACCATGCCGGGCTAATTTTTGTATTTTTAGAAGAGATGGGGTTTCGAAATGCTGGCCAGGCTGGTTTCGAAATCCTGACCTCAGGTAATCTGCCAGCCTCGGCCTCTCAAAGTGCTGGGATTACAGGCGTGAGGCACCGCACCCGGCCGGAAAAATGGCTGGTCATAATTTAACTACTACACCTACAGTTTAGCAGAATTCAGGCTCCTCTCATCCTCCTAACCTAGTGCCCTTTCATTATTTCTACAAAGGCAGTTTAGTTTGGGGAAGGGCTATTATCATTTAAGCTATAAACTAAATTCCTCCCAAAATTAGCTTGGGGCCAGGCATGGTGGCTCCCTCTTTAATCCCAGCAATTTGGCAGGCTGAGGCGGGCAGATCACTTGAGCCCAGGAGTTCGACACCAGCCTGAGCCCCAAGGTGAAACCCCATCTCTACCAAAAATGGTGAAACCCAGTCTCTACCAAAAATACAAAAATTAGCTGGGCATGTGGCGCATGCCTGTAATCCCAGCTACTCAGGAAGCTGAGGCAGGAGGATTGCTTGAACCTAGGAGGCGGATGTTGCAGTGAGCTGAGATCACACCACTGGACTCCAGCCTGGGCGACAGAGTGAGACAACGTGTCAAAAAAAAAAAAAAAGTTAGCTTGACCCCACTCCAGGAATGACCAAGCAAGGGCAGTTTGGAGATTAAAGGCAAGATGGAGTTGGTTAGGTCAGAGCTCTTTCACTGACATAATTTTCTGTCATAATTTTTGCAAAGGCAGTTTCAAGCCAGTACTCAGATTCCCATAGCCCTTTGCCCTGCCATGATCCTTTGAGGCTGAGGTGGGAGAATCACTTGAACCCCGGAGTTCCAGAGCAGCCTGGGCAACATAGTGAGACCCTCATCTCTGCAATGAACAATTATCTGGGTGTGGTGGCACAGGCCTGTAGTACCAGCTACCTGGGAAGATCTCTTGAGCCCAGTAGGTTGAGGCTGCAGTGAACTGTGATGGAGTCACTGCATTCTAGCCTGGGTGAGAAACCATTATCCTGTCTCAAAACGACAAAAAACAAACATACAGTCACCTCTTTGCTAGCTCAGGGGATCCTGGAGAAAACGTGCAGAATGAAAAAGGAGAGTCTGGGTGGCGTGGATTACATGCCTGTAATCCCAGCACTTTGGGAGGCAAGACAGGTGGATCCCTTGAGCTCAGGAGTTCAGCCTGAGCCACATGGTGAAACCGTGTTTCAAAAAAAAAACTACAAAAATTAGCTGGGCATAGTGGCATGTGCCCGTGATCCCAGCTACTCGGGAGGCTGAGGTGAGAGGATCACTTGAGCTGGGGAGGCAGAGGTTGCAGTGAGCCAAGATTGCGCCACTGCACTCCGGCCTGGGCAACAGAGCGAGATATTGTCCGGGAAAAAAAAAAAAAAAAAAGGAAGGAAAAAAAAAAAGAAAGAAAAAGGGGAAGATACACTGGAACACAAATGCTTCTTAAGGGGCGCAGTGGCTCACTTCTGCAATCTTGGCACTTTCGGGGGCCGAGGCTGGTGGATCACGAGGTCAGGAGTTCGAGACCAGCCTAGTCAACATGGAAAAACCCCGTCTCTACTAAAACTACAAAAATTAGCCGGGCGTGGTGTCGGGCGCCTGTAATCCCAGCTACTCGGGAGGCTGAGGCAGGATAATCGCTTTAATCAGGAAGGCGGAGGTTGCAGTGAACCGAGATCGTGCCATTGCACTCCAGCCTGGGCGACAAGAGTGAAACTCCGTCTCAAAAAAAAAAAAAAAAAAAAAAAAAAAAAAAGAGGAAGAACAAAGGTCCCAAGAGTTGGACCCAGGTTGTAGGGCTGGAATAAAAAATAAAATACAAACTTGTGCCTGATCCAGAAACCCGGGCGGGAGTTGGGTCAGACAGAAGAGCGTGGGCTGGGATTAGCTACCACGAAAAGGAACGGTGGCCAGGCTCCAGGAGACGCTGGAGCGCCGGGCCCGTCGTGGGCGTGGTCTGGGCAGACTCAGCGTTGCCTTTTGCCTCTCCAAAACGCAGCATCGCGTCTCGGGGGAGGAGTCTGTACCCTCGTGATGTCCCCGCCCCGGTTCCCAGGCAAGTTTAGGGAAGTGAAAGGCGCCAGGTGCCAGTCCTGGCCTCTGATGTAACCCAGCGCCCCGCAGTCCCGACACAGATTCCTGGATCTCAGCCCCATAGCAGCTATGATCCCGCTGCTGCTGGCAGCGCTGCTGTGCGTCCCCGCCGGGGCCCTGACCTGCTACGGGGACTCCGGGCAGCCTGTAGACTGGTGAGTGCGCAGCGGGGGGCCTACCATCGCCCCGGGGTCCGGCTGCGGTCACTCAACCGGGATGGCTACCTCCTCGGGGAACCCTGGGGTGCCTTCTCTTCCCTCTCTCCTATTTCTGTGCATTCTCCGACCTCCAGGTTCGTGGTCTACAAGCTGCCAGCTCTTAGAGGGTCCGGGGAGGCGGCGCAGAGAGGGCTGCAGTACAAGTATCTGGACGAGAGCTCCGGAGGCTGGCGGGACGGCAGGGCACTCATCAACAGCCCGGAGGGGGCCGTGGGCCGAAGCCTGCAGCCGCTGTACCGGAGCAACACCAGCCAGGTGAAGGGGGCCCCGGGCCAACTAGGGGCGAAACTCTAGGGCTGCCCTGCCTGGGAGGAATTTCACGTTGCCTCCGTTTATCCGCCCGCAGCTCGCCTTCCTGCTCTACAATGACCAACCGCCTCAACCCAGCAAGGCTCAGGACTCTTCCATGCGTGGGCACACGAAGGGTGAGGCCTGGATTGGGGGCTGGGGAGAGACTCGGGTCCCATTTTTCCAAGGTAACCCCTGACGTGCATGGGGTGGTCGGGGAGATCTGCACTGTCAGACCCTGGGCATCTATTCCCCCCAACTTTTTTTTTTCTTTGTTTTTGAGACGGTGGGAGTTCGCTCTGTCACCCAAGCTGGAGTGCAGTGGCACAATCTTGGCTCACTGCAATCTCTGCCTCTGGGGTTGAAGCAATTCTCCTGTCTCAGCCTCCCAAGTAGCTGGTATTAAAGGCGCACCATCACACCAGGCTAATTTTCATATTTTTAGTACAGACGAGGTTTCACCATGTTGGCCAGGCTGGTCTCGAACTCCTGGTTTCTACCTCAAGTGATCTACCCGCCTTGGCCTCCCAAAGTGCTGGGATTACAGGAATGAGCCACCCTGCCCAGCCGAGTTCCTATGCATTTTTCCAAGCTAACCCCTGACCTCCATAGTGGGGTGGGAGATCTCCCCTGTCAGACCTTGGGCATCTATTTCCCCTATTTTATTTTCTTTTAGACAAGGTCTCACCCAGTCACCTAGGCTGGAGTGCAGTATCACAGCTCACTGCAGCCTTGACCTCCCAGGGCTCAGGTGATCCTCCTACCTCAGCCTCCCAAGTACTGGGCCTGCCGGTACCCCCCACCACGCCTGGCTTTTTTTTTTTTTTTTTTTTTTTGCGGCACTCTCTCTCCATCACCCAGGCTGGAGTTCGGTGGTGCAATCTCAGCTCACTGCAATCTCCATCTCCCCAGTTCAAGCGATTCTTCTGCCTCAGCCTCTGGAGTAGCTGGGATTACAGGTGTGCGCCACCATGCCCAGCTAAATGTTGTATGTTTTAGTAGAGATGGGGTTTTACCAGGTTGGACAGGCTGATATTGAACTCCTGACCTCAGGTGATCCACCTGCCTTGGCCTCCCAAAGTGCTGGGATTACAGGCGTGAGCCACCACACCTGGCCTACTTTTTGTATTTTTGTAGAGTGGGCTTTTGCCATGTTGCCTAGGCTGGTCTCTAAGTCCTGGTTCAAGCAATCCACCCACCTTGGCCTCTTAATGTGCTGCGATTACCGGCATGAGCCGCCACACCTGGCCTGTTTCCCTACCTTACATTACTCTTGGCGTTATTCTGGACTATAAGAATTTATGCCTGCAAAAACTGAGCTCAGCTGTGGTTCTAACACTGCTGGCACCCTCTCTAAGCCCCGCTGCAAACTGAGGGTGTTCCTGATTGCAGATGAGCTTGCTGGGAGGCCTGGAGCAATACCCTCTAATTGCCTTTTTTTTTTTTTTTTTTTTGAGAAGGAGTTTTGCTCTTGCTACCCAGGCTGGAGTGCAATGGTGCAATCTCGGCTCACTGCAACCTCCGCCTCCTGGGTTCAAGTGATTCTCCTGCATCAGCCTCCCGAGTAGCTGGGATTACAGGCATGCACCACCATGCCCGGCTAATGTTGTATTTTTAGTAGTGATGAGGTTTCTCCATGTTGGCCAGGCTGGTCTTGAACTCCCGACCTCAGGTGATCCGCCCTCCTCGGCTTCCCAAAGTGCTGGGATTACACTGCGTGGGGCCTGCCTTCTTTTTTTAAATTTTTATTTATTTATTTATTTATTTATTTATTTACTTACTTACTTACTTATGTTTGAGATGAAATTTTGCTCTGTGGCCCAGGCTGGAGTGCAGTGGTGGATCTCAGCTCACTGCAACCTCCACCTCCTGGGTTCAAGCGATTCTCCTGCCTCAGCCTCCTGAGTAGCTGGGATTACAGGCGTCCACCACCACGCTCAGCTAATTTTTGTATTTTTAGTAGAGATGGGGTTTCGCCATGTTGGCCAGGCTGATTTCTAACTCCTGACCTCAGGTGATCTGTGTGTCTCGGTCTCCCAAAGTGCTGGGATTACAGGCGTGAGCCACTGCGCCCGACCTCCCCTAATGCCTTCTTTTGGTCCAGGTGTCCTGCTCCTTGACCACGATGGGGGCTTCTGGCTGGTCCACAGTGTACCTAACTTCCCTCCACCGGCCTCCTCTGCTGCATACAGCTGGCCTCATAGCGCCTGTACCTACGGGCAGACCCTGCTCTGTGTGTCTTTTCCCTTCGCTCAGTTCTCGAAGATGGGTAAGTCGAGTCAGGGACACAGGATGAGTCCTGGGTTTACTGACCAGAACCTGGAACGATCTTGCATTTCCTCCTCCCCTTGTCCTCCAGGCAAGCAGCTGACCTACACCTACCCCTGGGTCTATAACTACCAGCTGGAAGGGATCTTTGCCCAGGAATTCCCCGACTTGGAGAATGTGGTCAAGGGCCACCACGTTAGCCAAGAACCCTGGAACAGCAGCATCACACTCACATCCCAGGCCGGGGCTGTTTTCCAGAGCTTTGCCAAGTTCAGCAAATTTGGAGATGGTGAGTCTCAAGGTTGAGGGTTGGAGAGCTCCTTCTCTGCAGACAGGGTGACTGGTGTGGCCATGGCTGAGTTCAAGTCAGCGGTAGAGACCAGGTCTGTTTGGGAGCTATAATCACATGATCAGTGAACAGACCTGGGTTCAAACCCTGGGTTTTGCTGTGTGATGTATAACTTCACCTGAGCCTTGGTCTACTCATCTGAAAAATGGGGATACTGACATCTACTTAAAAAATTGTGAATGAAGTGGTACCTGTAAGTCATTTGGGTGCCAGAGGTGGTGCCTCACTCCTGTAATCCCAGTTACTTAGGAGGCTGAGGCAGGAGGATCATTTGAAGACAGGCATCCAAGACAAGCCTGGGAAACATAGCAAGACCTCATCTCTACAAAATTAAAAATTAGCCAAGCAACTTGGGAGGCTGAGGCAGGAGGATAAATTGAGCCCAGAGTTTCAGACTGCAGTGAGCTATAATGACTCCACTGCACTCCAGCCTGGGTGACAGAGCAAGACCCTGTCTTTATTTAAAAATAAATAAATAGGCTGGGCACAGTGGCTCATGCCTGTAATCCCAGCACTTTGGGAGGCTGAGGTGGGCAGATCACGAGCTCAGGAGATCGAGACCATCCTGGCTAACACGGTGAAACCCTGTCTCTACTAAAAGTGCAAAAATTAGCCAGGCATGGTGGCGGGCACCTGTAGTCCCAGTTACTCGGGAGGCTGAGGCAGGAGAATGGCGTGAACCCGGAAGGTGGAGCTTGCAGTGAGTCAAGATAGTGCCACTGCACTCCAGCCTGGGTGACAGAGTGAGACTGTGTCTCAAAATAAATAAATAAATAAATAAATACAAATAAATAGGCCAGGCACAGTGGCTCACACCTGTAATCCCAGTCGAGGCAGGAGGATTGCTTGAGCCCAGGAGTTTGAGACCAGCCTGGGCAACACAGCGGGACCCCATCTCTACAAAAAAAATTTTAATTAGTGGGGCATAGTGGCACACACGTGTAGTCCCCACTACTCAGGAGGCTGAGGTGGGAGAACAGCTTGAGCCCAGGAGGTCGAGGCTGCAAGTGAGTCATGATCCTGCCACTGCACTCCAGCTGGGGTGTCAAAATGAGACCCAGTCTCAAAATAAATAAGTTAATTAATTAAAAACACTCAGGGCCGGACGCGGTGGCTCACCTGTAATCCCCACATTTTGGGAGACCAAGGCGGGTGGGTCACTTGAGCCCAGGAGTTCAAGACCAGTCTGGCCAACATGGTGAAACTCCATCTCTACTAAAAGTACAAAAATTATCTGGGCATGGTGGAGGGCGCTGGCTGATTACACGGTCAGGAGTTTGAGAACAGCCTGGCCAACATGGTGGAACCCCATCTCTACTAAAAGTACAAAAATTAGCCGGGTGTGGTGGCGGGCACCTGTAATCCCAGCTACTCAGGAGGCTGAGGCATGAGAATCGCTTGAAACCAGGAGGCAGAGGTTGCAGTGTGCCGAGATTACACCACTGCACTCCAGCCTGGGCGACAGAGTGAGACTCTGTCTCAAAAACAAATTTGGGAAGGGCAATTAATATTAATGTCATCATTCCCAGGACTGGGAATTGACAACTGAGCTCAGAAATATGGAAACTGTGGCAGGGCGCGGTGACACACACCTGTAGTCCCAGCATTTTGGAAGACCGAGGTGGGCGGATTGCTTGAGATCAGGAGTTTGAGACCAGCCTGGTCAATATGGTGAAACCCCTCTTTATTAAAAAATTAGCCGGGTATGGTTGTGCATGCCTGTAGTCCCAGCTACTCAGAAGGCTGAGGCAGGAGAATCACTTGAACCTCGGAGGCAGAGGTTGCAATGAGCCTAGATTGCACCAATGCACTCTAGCCTGGGCGACAGAGCAAGACTCCATGTCAAAAAAAAAAAAAAAAAAGGAAATATGGAAACTGAGCTGAGAGAGGGGAAGTGGACTAGGGACTCCCTCGCAGTGGCCCTGACCCTACCTGTGCCCTCTCTCCATCCTTTGCAGACCTGTACTCCGGCTGGTTGGCAGCAGCCCTTGGTACCAACCTGCAGGTCCAGTTCTGGCACAAAACTGTAGGCATCCTGCCCTCTAACTGCTCGGATATCTGGCAGGTTCTGAATGTGAACCAGATAGCTTTCCCTGGACCAGCCGGCCCAAGCTTCAACAGCACAGAGGACCACTCCAAATGGTGCGTGTCCCCAAAAGGGCCCTGGACCTGCGTGGGTGACATGAATCGGAACCAGGGAGAGGAGCAACGGGGTGGGGGCACACTGTGTGCCCAGCTGCCAGCCCTCTGGAAAGCCTTCCAGCCGCTGGTGAAGAACTACCAGCCCTGTAATGGCATGGCCAGGAAGCCCAGCAGAGCTTATAAGATCTAACCCTTATGGCCAGGTGCAGTGGCTCACGTATGTAATCCCAGCACTTTGGGAAGCCAAGGAGGGAGGATCACTTGAACTCAGGAATTCGAGACCAGCCTGGGCTACATAGTGAGACCACATCTCTACTAGAACTTAAAAAAAGTTAGCCAGGCACGGTGATAAATGCCTGTAGTCCCAGCCACTGAAGCCAGAGGATCGATTGAACCAGGGAGATCATGGTCACAGTGAACTATGATTACGCCAACCTGGGTCACATAGCAAGACTCTGTTTCAAAAAAAAAGGGGGGGCGGGGGACGGGTGGGTGCAGTGGCTCACATCTGTAACCCCAGCACTTTGGGAGGCTGAGATGGGCAGATCACTTGAGGTCAGGAGTTCGAGACCAGCCTGGCCAACATGGTGAAACCCCATATCCATTAAAAATATTTAAAAATTAGCCAGACATGGTGGCACGCGTCTGTGGTCCTAGCTCCTCGGGAGGCTGAGGCAGGAGAATCGCTTGAACTCGGGAGGCAGAGGTTGTCATGAGCTGAGCTAACACCACGGCACTTCAGCCTGGGTGACAGAATGAGACTCTGTGTCAAAAAAATAAAAAATAAAAAATCTAAGGGCTCAGGAACCAGTTTGGACTTGATTTTGAATCCCAGTTCATCCCCTTCCTAGCTGTATGACCTTGATTGTGTGCCTTAACCGCTCTGTGACACAGTCTACCTGTCTGCAAAATGGGAAACATAATACCTGCCATCAGGATTGTTGAGGAGTAAATAAATGGAAATTGGTGGACGAGGCTGTTAACCTTCTCTTCAGGTGGGCGCTGGGACACAAGAGCATCGCAGCTTCAATTCTCCCCCTAAAGGTTTGGGGGCAGTTGGTGCAGAGGTGAGACCAGAAGTGGGACCACAGGAGGTGTCTATCCAAAATTCCCTCCACTCTCCATGGTAACCAGAACTGGAGTCCCACCTCCCAAAAAGCACCTGGGCATGGGGGTGGGGTCGTGTGATGTCTCGCCTTGCCTGGAGAGGAGTGAGCCCCAGAAAACTCACGCAGCACGGACGCACTTTATTTATATGTGTACATATGTATACGGAGGCTGTACAGCGCGGGGCCGATGACCCCCTTGGCTATGGTCCCGGGGGTGCGGGACTGGACACTCCTTTTTTGGTCAGGCCTGCTGGGGGCACAGCTTCAGCAGGGCACCGGGAGGTCAGCCCCACTTGAGGCTTGGTGCCTGAGCCCAAGAGGGATGCGGGTGGGACTGGGGTCACTGCACTGCTGGGTGCACTGCACTTCGCTGGGGCTAGGGAGGGTGTCTGGGGCTCCGGGGAGAGCTTTGGGGAGGCGGGCTTGGAGCGAGGACCGCTCAGCGTGGTGCGCTCCTCCACCACCTCCAACACCCAGCGCTCCCGGCCCCGGGGGGCCTCGGGCACGGAAGGCGCCAGGGGTGCGGGTTCCTGCAACCCCTTGGAGTCCGCGCCCAGAGGCTGAGGCACCACAGCCTTAGCCCCGGGCCGCGCAGGCTCTACGACAATGGGTACCAGGGGTGTGCCCGCCTCGCCAGAGCTGCTGCGCCGGCCTGTCTCGTGTTCCTGCACCGGGCTCAGCGCCGCCTTGGCCACAGCCCTGGCCATCCCGCCAGTGCCATCCTCCGTCTGCACGCTCTGATGCCGCGTGCAGCCGACGTCCCGCTCCAGGGTCCGGCCACCGGGGGTCGTCGCGCGGGGTGGGGTGCACGCCTCGGCGCCCCCCGGGGATTCCTTCTCCTTGCTCGACACTGGTGGCCTGGAGGCACCCTCGGGCAGCAACGGGTCCGCGCCCAGGCTCAAAGGTGACTCCTGTCGGCCCAGGCGGCGGACGGCGACCTGCCGGGGCGCGCCAAGGCCCTCGACTGGGGGCGTCTCACCGTCGGACTCGGCAAGGCTATGCAGCGCCAGCTCGCCATGGAAGTCCTTGCGGAAATCCGGGTGGCCCACCTCGAGGCTGTGTTTGCGCAGCGCGCCCTTCTTGTCCGCACTCAAAGAGGCTCCCAGCTTCTCGGCCGACTGCACGCGCTTGAGGAGCGGCGAGCGAGGGGGCTCGGCACTCTTGGGGCGCGGGCGCACGACGGGAGGCGATGAGTGCAGTTTGGCCGGGAAGCTCTGAGTAGTGTGCGAGCTGCCCACCGTGTGGCCCGGCAGTGGCGGCGGTGACGCCTGCGTGGGGGACGGCGTGTGTGCCAGCGGCGATAGAGGGATGTTGCCGGCCGACTTGCATCGCGCAGAGCGGTACTGGCGATGGAGCTTTGGCGACAGTCCGTGCAGCGTGCTGGGCCGAATGTGGTGCGACGCCGACGACGCAGGCGAGTTGGGCGTGCTCGAGGCTGGGGAGCTGCTCTGGGATGAGGCGCCTGCGGGAGACAGGAGGTGAAGCGAGTGAGTACAGCCCAAGCACCAGCCAGGCCACCCCGCGCTGCTCGGTCCCCGCGCAGGTGCAGGAGGTAATACCTAGGTAGGCGGAGTCAGGCGTGGAGCGGTAGCTGTGCGTGGGCGAGCGCGCCGGCAGCCCGTGCGTAGGCGAGCCCGGGAGACTATCGCTGGATGACAGCGAGCGGTTCAGCGACGACAGCGAGCGGCTAGTATGCAGCAGGTTCGACTGCTTCGTGATCTTCCGGAAGAGGGAGCTGCGCTTCTTGCTGCGGGACAGGGAGGGGGCCAAGCGTCCTTGACCTGGACGCCAGAGCTCAGGGCTCCTCCCATTTCACGGCCTCACAACGGTAACCACCCACCCCTTCTGGCCCTTCCCTCTCCAGCTACAACCCACCTATCAAGATAAAGAACTTCCTTTAGCTCAGTGCTGCTTGGCTCCTCCCACTTCAGTCCCCACCCACCCCCTTTGGCCACTCCTAGTCCAAGCTAGAAACAAGCATCCAAACAAAACCAACCTGTTCTGCCCCGCCCACCTCTCTAGCTCCTCCCTCTTCCACTACAATCCACCTATCAAGATAGAACTTCCTTTAGCTCCTCCTACTTCAGGCCCCGCCCAACTTTAGGCCACTCCCAATTCTGGCTACAAACACTCATCCAAACAAAACCATTTTTTTTTTTTTTTTTGAGACGAAGTTTCGCTCTTGTCGCCCAGGCTGGAGTGCAATGGCACGATCTCGGCTCACTGCAACCTCTACCTCCCGGGTTCAAGCGATTACCGTGCTTCAGCTTCGTGAGTAGCCTCCTGAGTAGGTGGGACTACAGGAGTGAGCCACCACTCCCAGCTAATTTTTGTATTTTTAGTAGAGATGGGGTTTCACCATGTTGGTCAGGCTGGTCTCAAACTCCTGACCTCAGGTGATCCACCCACCTCGGCCTCCCAAAGTGCTGGGATTACAGGTGTGAACCACCTCGCCCGGCCAAAAACAACCTCTTCTAGTCCTGCCCACCCCTCTAGTCCCTCCGTCTTTCACTACAACCCACCTATCAAGACAGAACTTCCCTTAACTCAGTGCTGCTTGGCTCCTCCCTCCTCCCACTTCAGGTCCTGCCCAACCTTTTGGCCACTCCCAGTCCAGGCTAGAAACACATCCAAACAAAACCAACTTGGTCCCACCTGCCTCTAGTCCCGCCTCTTCCACTACAACCCACCTATAAGAGTGGGAAGAAATGTACTTATCTCAACCCCGTCTGGCTCCTCTCACCCAAATCCCTGTACTTGTCTGGGCCAAACTCACTGATCAAAACAGAATACTAAAAACAAACAAACAAACAGAATACCCTTCTGGCCCCACCCACCTCCCACCTAGCTCCTCCTATCTATAAGGGAAAATAGGATTTCAGTTGGCTGAACCTTGCCTGGCATGCTCATTCCAGATAGACATTTCTTATTCTAGCCTTTCCCAGTTCTGTCTAAACACATCTAACAGGATAGGACCATCTCCTGGACCCCCTCCGTCTCTGGACATCTCCCTTTCCAGTTCACATCTCCTGGGCCTGCCTATATGTGCAAGACCCTCCTACAATGCTTTTCTCTGATCCTAGAAATTTGGCACAGCTTCCATTCTTGGCTCCTTCCACTTTTACAGCCCCTCTTTTTTTTTTTTTTTTTTTTTTTTGAAAGAGTCTAGCTCTGTTGTCACAGCTGGACTGCAGTGGTGAGATCATAGCTCACTGCAGCCTCGACCTCCCAGGCTCAAGCAATCCTCCCACTTCAGCCTCCGAGTAGCTGAGACCACAGGTGTGTGCCACCAAACCCAACTAGTTTTTTAAGTTTTTTGTAGAGATGGGGTCTCTCTATGTTGCCCCTAATCTTGACTCCTGGGCTCAAGTGATCCTTCTGCCTCAGCCTCCCAAAGTGCTGTGATTACAGGTGTGACTCATCCCAGCCCCTCTTTTTTTGTTTGTTTGTTTGTTTGTTTGTTTGAGATGGAGTCTCACTCTGTTGCCCAGGTTGGAGTGCAGTGGCACAATCTTGGCTCACTGCAACATCCACCTCCCGGGTTCAAGGGATTCTTCTGCCTCAGCTTCCTAAGTAGCTGGGACTGCAGGCGAGCGCCACCATGCCAGGCTAATTTTTGTATTTTTAGTAGAGATGGGGTTTCACCATATTGGCCAGGCTGGTCTCAAACTCCTGACCTCGTGATCTGCCCGCCTCGGCCTCCCAAAGTGCTGGGGTTACAGGCGTGAGCCACCGCGCCCAGCCCGCAGCCCCTCTTAATTGTCCTCTTCCCTTTGCTTGTTGGTCATTTGTTCCCGCCACCTTTCCCGTGCTCTTCCCTTCTCCATCCTCATCTGTGCCCCTCCCGCCTAAGTTCCACCCACTGCTCAAAGACCAGGCTGTTTACGGCTGTGCCCACCTCTCCTGGCCCTCCTTGGCGGAGGGTCGCTTGTTCCTCCGAGCCATTTTAGCCTTGTAGCTGCTGCGCCTTGCGGGACCAATGCGGATAGAGGTATTTTCGAAGGGCGTTGTGGTCACTGCTACCTTGTTGCCACTCTGGGGGAAGAATGCGGGAAAATGCTCTGCTAGGGGCTGCTCAGGCCTCCCCCACCCTCCGCCCAGGGTGCCTCCTTCCCTGCACTCACCTTAAGGATCAGCTCCACGACCTCAGGATGCACCATGCCATGCACAGGCTCCCCATTCACGTGGGTGATGAGGTCCCCAGCACAGAGTCCTGCCTCCTGGGCTGGGCCTCCTTCCTCCACATGCTGGGAAAAGAGCACCCCATAGGGACAGGGTTAGTGGGATTGGTAACAAGGAAAGCTCCTAAACTTATATGCAGGACACTTAGCTCTGCATGCATTAGAATCCTCATAACACCTTGTGAAATAGTTATTATTCCTCCCCCCACATTTTTTTTTTTTTTTTGGACGGAGTCTCACTCTGTCACCCAGGCTGGAGTGCTGTGGCGCAATCCTGGCTCACTGCAACAACACCCGCCTCCCAGGTTCAAGCGATTCTCCTCCCTCAGCCTCCCAAGTAGCTGGGATTATAGGCATGCGCCACTACCTCCGGCTAATTTTTTTTTTTTTTTTTTTTGAGACGGAGTCTCTCGCTCTGTCACCCAGGCTGGAGTGCAGTGGCGCGATGTCGGCTCACTGCAAGCTCCGCCTCCCGGGTTCACGCGATTATCCTGTCTCAGCCTCCTGAGTAGCTGGGATTACAGGCATCTGCCACCACGCCTGGCTAATTTTTTTTGTATTTTTAGTAGAGATGGGGTTTCACCATGTTGGTCAGGCTGATCTCAAACTCCTAACCTCGTGATCCACCCACCTCGGCCTCCCAAAGTGCCGGGATTACAGGCGTGAGCCACCGCGCCTGGCCATTTTTTTTTTTTTTTTTTTTTTTTTTGAGATGGTGTCTTGCTCTGTCGCCCAGGCTAAAGTGCAGTGGCGCAATCTCGGCTCACTGCAAGCTCCGCCTCCCGGGTTCAAGCGATTCTCCTGCCTCAGCCTCCCAAGTAGCTGGGACTACAGGCGCCCACCACCATGCCCAGCTAATTTTTTGTATTTTTAGTAGAGAGGGGGTTTCACCATGTTAGCCAGGATGGTCTCGATCTCCTGACCTCATGATCCACCCTCCTCGGCCTCCCAAAGTGCCGGGATTACAGCCACCGCGCTCGGCCCAATTTTTGTATTTTTAATAGAGACAGGGTTTCACCATATTGGCCAGGCTAGTCTCAAACTCCTGACCTCCAGTGATCTGCCCACCTCAGCCTCCCAAAGTGCTGGGATTACAGGCCTGAGCCACTGCGCCTGGCCTATTCTCCCCATTTTGCAGATGAAGAAACAGTCTCGGCCAGGCACCGTGGCTCACGCCTGTAATCCCAGCAGTTTGAGAGGCCGAGGTGGGTGAATCACGAGGTCAAGAGATTGAGACCATCCTAGCCAACATGGTGAAACCCCGTCTCTACTAAAAATACAAAAATTAGCTGGGCGTGGTGGCGCGCGCCTGTCTGTAGTCCCAGCTACTCAGAAGGTTGAGGCAGGAGAATGGCTTGAACTCAGGAGGCAGAGGTTGCAGTGAGCCGAGATCCTGCCACTGCACTCCGGCCTGGCGACACAGTGAGTCTCCGCCTAAAATAAAAAAGTAAAAGAAAAAAGAAACAGGTTTAGAGAGGGAAGAGGCATAGAGGGTCACAGAGGTGTCTCACCCAGGCTAACTGGTTTGAGCTGGAGGGGCCTTTTCCCCACCACCCTCCACTCTGTGATGGAGACTCCACCCATGAGTACTCACCCAGACAATGTGGTGGACACTATAGACATCCGTGTCACCCATGTAGACACGGATGGCACGCAGTGTGAAGCCATACTTCTTGCCCGAGCGCTGGATGGTGATGGGGGAGCGGAGCCCACTGACAGCTGGTGAGTAGTCCCGGCTGGGTGAGGAGTCCCGTGAGGATGGGTTGGAGGACAGAGATCGTGGAGACATGGGACTAGCAAGGGGTGAACTTCCATGTGGGTCCACTACAGACACACAACCATGGTCAGAAATCAGAACCAAGAAGATAGACATCTCCCTGTATCTGCTCCTCCCTCCTCCCAAGGCAGTGGCAGAGCAGCCTCTCATTGGTCCAGCCTGGAGCCAATCACGGTGGACAGGGAAAATGCAGCATTTTCATTGGTCTGTCCTGCCTCAAATGGGGGGCAGCCCCTCCCCTGCCAGGTGGGGCCCAGCATTACCTGCAGGAATCATGACAGATAAGGCAGTGGCTGAGGCTGATTTGATGACTTTGCCCCCAGTTCGAGAAGGCCTCTTCTCTACTGCCACATCCCCTGACATCTGCTGGTGCCGCGCCCGGCGCAGAACCAAGTCATTGGTAGCCCTTGGGCCTGATGCATCCCCATCCTTCGAGGGTGGGCAGAGGTCACCTGGGCGTGGACGGTCAGCTGCAACAGAAAGCAAGTGTGTTAGGAATTAGTCCAAGGCCAGGGATTTCCCACATACTGTTTCCCTGCCTGGAATGCTCTTTCCACTTTTTACCCTTGATGGATGGTGAGTTTCATCTGAGCAGGTAACCTGCATGCCTCACTGCTCCTCATATAGAGACATAGTCTGTATCGGTCTGTATCACTGACTGACCATGGTATTGGGGTGTTTCTAATGTTAAGAATCCCAAATTGGGCTGGGTGTGGTGGCTCACGACTGTAACCCCAGCACTTTGGTAGGCCAAGGAAGGCAGATCACTTGAGGTCAGGAGTTCGAGACCAGCCTTGCCAACATGAAGAAACCCTGTCTCTACTAAAAATACAAAAATTAGCCGGGGGTAGTGGCGCGCGCCTGTAATCCCAGCTACTCGGGAGGCTGAGGTGCGAGAACCACTTGAACTTGGGAGGTGGAGGTTGCAGTGAGCCGAGATCACGCCACTGCACTCCATCCTGGGTGATGGAGTGAGACTCTGTCTCAAAAAAAAAAAAAAAAAAAAAAATCCCAAATTGCAATGTGAATAGGACCTGAGATCTTTCATAAACAGCACCAGGCTCGTGGGATGCTCACTATATGACCAGTAGGACATTGGGGAAGATTGGGGAAGGCAGCACGATAGGGCACTCACTGGCCTCGGAGTCCCCGGCGCTGGAGGTGCCTTCCCCTTGAGTCTCCTCTTTGGGGGCCCGTGCATCCAGGGATCCCGCGGGGTCGGAGCTGGGCCGGGGAGGCCTGCGCAGCCGGGCCTCATCCTCGTCCTCTTGGGGGGCGCTGAAGCGGCTGGGCTCCAGCAGCGCCGAGAAACGGCGGCGGGCGCCCAAAGGGGGACTGGCCTCTCCCTCCAGGAAACTGGCCTCGGACGCGGAGAATCGCTTGCTGCATGGAGGGGGCGTGGTTATGGAAGACACGCCCCCTTCGACCCCGCCCCCAAACTCCGCCATTCCCCTGCTCACATCTCCGGAGAGCCCCCTCTCCAGGTCTTCTCACGCAGGGTCAGGCCGCCCAGCCCCTCCCGCTTGCCGGCCACCTTCTCCTCGGGGCCCTTGGTGCTCGGCTCCCGCTTGCTGCTCCCTGCAGCTGCTACTGGGGTCTTGGGCTCGTGCTGCGACAGCTGCTCCATGCTGCTATACACCTGTAGGTGGTGGTGGGAGGCAAGTCCAGCCCGGGTTCCACTTTCACTCCGGAGCTAATCAGCTTCCTGGCAGTGGATCCCCCGCAAAACGCACTCCACCCTCCGAGGCCTGGCTCCGCCCAATTGTGCATGATCCCCCAACCTACAATTCTTCAGTTCAGGCCCCACACCACAAAGTTAGGCACTGCGTTTTATTCTAGGCTCTGCCCCGACGATGCCCTGACCAATCTGCTCTCTACACAGCCCCATCTTCCCAGCAACCCCCTTAATTTATGTCTCCTTAGCCCAGGCTAGGCCCTGCACGCCTCTACAAGTTGCTTCTCAAAGCAAGGCCTATGGCTTCTCTGCCCGTTATTAGAAAAAATAAAAATAAATAAATAAAAGCAAGACTTCGCTGGGCTTTACTCCGCCTTCGCTGCTGGCCTCATTCCCACGTCCTGACCCCGCCCCACCCACACCTAGCCCCGCCCCACCATGGCCTCAATCTGCACAACTGTCCTGATTCCTGTTAGATTCCACTCAGTGCCAAAGGCCCGTCCCATAGACTCCCGAACCTGCCTCTTGCGTGGCCTTACCACCTTCCAGACTCCCGCCCCATCAATAACTTCCCGCTCCTGAGACCTTGGGCACCAGGGAACCTGTTTCTCACTGTCTCTCCAAGCCCCATCCCTCCTGGGGTCTCGCCCTGTCCCACACCCAGACTTGGCCCACCTTGCTGAAGCGCGGAGAGCAGGAAGAGAACTGGCGGATTTCCACGGGCTCCTCCTCCGTCGTGTCATCCTCGTCATAGGAGTTCACGTGGTGATACCTGTCTGAGCGGGCTGGGGAGCGGGTATGGGCTGTGACTGAGGGTACGGGGTTCCTCCTCATATCACATCCCCACAGGAGCCCAGTCCTGGTTCAAGACGGGTTTACAAGTCTTCAGGTCAGGCCACGCCCCTGCCTCATTAGTGTATTTAATTTAGGCTCCGCTCCCAGGCAAGGTCCTTGCCCCATTCTCAGTGGCACCGTCTAGCCCCGCCTCCAAAGAGGCCACGCTCCACCTACAGTGCTCTGCACCCTGGCATCACCCCAGGCCATTCTGAGCGCTAGTACCTCTCTCTAGTTCAGTTCCAGGCCCACACTCACAACTCACCCAGGCCAGGCCCCACACCTAGCCCAATCTCAGGTTCTTACCTACATTTCAGCCTGAGCCCCGCCTGTATGTCAGCCCCGCCCCACTTGGCCCCGCCCCCACCAAAATACCACCTTCGCACCTAGGCATCACATCTTGGTACTTAGCCAGGCCCTATCCCAGGCTTTACTTACCCCAGGGTCCCTCTTCCCGGATCCCACCCCTCGACCCAGGTCGTGCCTGGTGTCCCAGCTCACTGTCAAAGTAGCTAGTGTCATCTTCCGACTCTAGGTGGGGGATGAACTCGGCCTTCTGCCTCAGCAGCCCTGTCCAGTCCAGGTCTCGAAAGAAACTGTGCTGCTTCACCTCAAAAGCGCCGCCTGGGACGGAAGGGATTCCAGCCACAGCTGATGGCCAACCCAGCAGCCCAGCCCCGCCCCCCATGTCTTCCGCCCCGGGGCCACAGCACAGGCTGGGCCTGGGGTTTTGGAGGCCTGCTCTCTATCAGTGGGCCCTCAGCTCCTCTGCATGGCGGACTTACCTGCCCCAAGCCTGACCAGAGGGTTGGTCTGCAGGAGGCTGGATATGAGGAGTTGGGCCTCCGTAGGTAGGGCCTCATCCCCCTCGGGCCACAGGATGTCATCTGCAAAACAAAACGGAACTTAGGGGCGGTTTTTGTTGTTGTTGTTGTTTGGACACAGGATCTCACTGTGTCACCCAGCTGGAGTGCAGTGGCACGATCATGGCTCACTGCAGCCTTGACCTCCTGAGTGCAAGCGATCCTCTGGGGGGTCGCTTTTGAAATCCCTGGAACCCTGAGCCTGTCCATCTCTCCGTGCACACCACACTCTGCCCCTGTACACTGCCAAGCCACGTACCACTGATGACCTGTCCAAATAGCTCCTCTGGTGTGTCTCCGAAGAAGGGCACACAGCCCACCAGGAACTCGTAGAGGATGATCCCCATAGCCCACCAGTCCACTGGCTTGCCGTAGCCTTGACGCAGGATGACCTCGGGCGCGATGTACTCTGGGGTCCCACACACCTGGGGGCAGGCTGTCAGCCCACGCCCCAGCCAGAGGAGGGCCCTCAAGGGAGAGCTGTGCCCCCCACCAGGCCCTGGGTTCCCGAGGTCCTGCAGGGTCACTCCACCCTCAGCGACCCCCATGCCCGCACACACACCTGTTTGTCCAGGAACTCTCGGGCGTCCTTCTCGATGTGGCCTTCATATAAGTTGGTGGTGAGGCTCATGAGCCCCATCTTGGAGAGGCCGAAATCTGTGAGCTTGATGTGACCCATGGAGGTGATAAGGAGGCTGTAGGCACAGGTGGGGATCTCAGGGATGAGGCCCGTCCATTCTGCCTCCTGGCCTCCCGAGGGACAGAGGGAGTGATGGGAAAGATCAAAGCTCACTTGTCAGGCTTGAGGTCGCGGTGCACGATGCCATAGTTGTGCAAATACTCCAGGGCTAGCACCGTCTCAGCAAAGTACATGCGGGCCATCTCTACGGGCAGCGCTCCAATATTCTTCAGCAGGGTGGCACAGTCGCCGCCTGCAGGCCAGGAAATGGGCCCGCATAAAAAGGGAGGCATTCCTCTCTCTGGACATGCACCATAGCACCAACTTCTCATGTTATGTTGTACCCGTTTTATAGATAAGGGAAACTGAGGCTCTGAGAGGGGCCTCCCTCCCTCCAGGTCCTCTACTGGGTTCTTCTTGTCCTCTTAGCCATCCTCCAAAGTTGGTGTCATCAGCTCATCTTATACACAAAGGGATGGAGACTCAAAGAAAGGATGGGTCATGCAGGCAGTTGTTGGTAGAGGTGAGGTTTAGTTGGGGAACAAAGGCTACCCACTTATCAACTGCATCTGGAAGCACAGCCCTCTATCTCCTGGTGTCTGAACCTTGGAGCTGGAAGCCTTAGATGCAGATTCTTGGTCTTCACTAGATTTTTTTTTTTTTTTTTTGAGACAGGGTCTTACTCCATTGCCCAGTCTAGAGTGCGGTGGCAAGATCACAGCTCACTGCATCCTCAACCTCCCAGCTCAAGCAATCCTCCTGCTTCAGCCTCCTGAGTAGCTGGGACTACAGATGTGAGCCACCATGCCCAGCTGATTTTTAAAAAATTGTTCAAGGCTGGGCATGGTAGCTCACGCCTGAAATCCCAGCACTTTGGGAAGCCAAGGCGGGTGGATCACTTGAGGTCAGGAGTTCGAGACCAGCCTGGTCAACATGGTGAAACCCCATCTCTGAAAAAAGAATACTAAAGTTAGCCTGGCTTGTTGGCAGACGGCTGTAATCCCAGCTACTCGGGAGGCTAAGGCAGAAGAATGGCTTGAACCTGGGAGGCAGAGGTTGCAGAGATCCAAGATCGCACCACTGCAGTCCAGCCTGGGTGACAGAGCAAGACTCCGTCTCAAAAAAAAAAAAAAAAAAGTTTTTTGTAGAAACGAGTTTCATTGTGTTGCCCAAGCTGGTCTCCAACTCTTGGGTTCAAAGGATCCTCCTGCCTCAGCTTCCCAAAGTGTTGGCCACTGCCTCTGCCCCTCTGCCAGATTTACTGTAATTGGCATTGGTATTTCAGTTTCTCAATATCTATTTCCTTTTTATCCTACAAAGGCTAGATTTCCTTCCATGTGCAGCAACCGGGGCAGTATGTAACCCAAGTTGCTCCAGTGAGTTAGCCCTTGGAATTTTCACTCTTTTCCTGTAAGAATTGCTAAGCTCATAGAATGTAAGCTGAGATCTGCTAGATGGCAACCTTGCTACATGAGGGCTTGTCTAGAAGGAAGCCCACATGTGGGAGTACAGAGCCAAGAGATGGAGAGTTTCCTGATGGAATGGTTTGAGCACCTACATCCAGCCATTCCTGAAGGTAATATTGGTTTTTCAATCACCAATGACCAAGAAAGCTAATGATTTCTTTCTTTTTTCTGTTCTCTTTTCTGCGAGATTTTGCTGGTTTCAGAAACTCTCTGAGGGTGGGGCCCAGGAATCTGCATTTGAGCACATCTATTGTGCACACAGACCCACCATAGAGATACTGATTTGGCCCCCTTCTCTCCTCCTCCTCTGCAATGAACCTGGACTAGAGCAGTCATCTACCTCCTAGTCTCCTGATTCTGCTCTCTCCACAAGAGCCAAATGGATTATCTTTTCTTAATTTTTTTCTTTTTCTCTTTTTTTTTTTTTTTTTTTTTTTGAGTCAGAGTCTGGCTCTGTCACCCAGGCTAGAGTGCAGTGGCTCCATCTCGGCTCACTGCAACCTCTGCCCACTCACCGCCCCCGGGTTCAAGAGATTCTTGTTCCTCAGCCTCCCGAGTAGCTGGGATGATAGGCGTGCACCGCCACTCCTGGCTAATTTTTGTAATTTTAGTAGAAACAGGGTTTCATTGGCCGGGCACAGTGGCTCACGCCTGTAATCCCAACACTTTGGGAAGCCGAGGCAGGCACATCACCTGAGGTTGGGAGTTCGAGACCAGCCTGGCTGACATGGAGAAACCCCATCTCTACTAAAAATACAAAAATAGCCAGGTGTGGTGGTGCATACCTATAATTCCAGCTACTCAAGAAGCTGAGGCAGGAGAATCGCTTGAACCCGGGAGGAGGAGGTTGCGGTGAGCCAAGATCACGTCATTGCACTCTAGCCTGGGCAACGAGTTTAGCCAGAGCGAAACTCTGTCTCAAAAAAAAAAAAAAAAAGGAAAAGAAAAAAACAACAACAACAGGGTTTCACCATGCTGGGTAGGTTGATCTTGGACTCTTGACCACAAGTGTTCTGCCTGCCTTGGTCTCCCACTGTAAGTGCTGGGATTACAGTCGTAAGCTACTATAATGGGCCTCCAAATGGATTTTCTTAAAACATAAATCTGATCATATCAAATCTTCTTAAAACCCTCCATTAGCTGGACATGGTGGTGCCTGCCTGTAGTTTCAGCTACTTTTGGAGGCTGAGGTGGGAGGATTGCTTGAGCCCAGGAGTTCAAGGCTGCAGTAAGCTGTGATCACACCACTGCACTCCAGCCTGGACAATGCACTAAAAATAAAACAAAACAAGGCTGGGCGCAGTGATTCACGCCTGTAATCCCCATACTTCGGGAGGCCGAGACTGATGGATCATTTAAGGCTAGGAATTCGAGACCAGCCTGGCCAACATGGTGAAAATCCGTCTCTACTAAAAGTACAAAAATTTGCCAGATGTGGTGGCACACGCCTGTAATCCTAGCTACTCGGGAGACTGAGGCAGGAGAATCACTTGAACCTTGGAGACGGAGGCTGCAGTAATCCGAGATCACCCCATTGCACTCTAGCCTGGGTGACAGCGTGAGTGAGACTCCATTTCAAAAAAAAAAAAAAAAAAAGGCAGGCACGGTGGCTCACTCCTGTAATCCCAGCACTTTGGGAGGCCGAGGCAGACAGATCATGAGGTGTGGAGTTTGAGACCAGCCTGACCAACATGATGAAACCCCATCTCTACTAAAAATACAGAAATTAGGTGGGCGTGGTGGCGGGCACCTGTAATCCCAGCTACTCAGGAGGTTGAGGCAGGAGAATCGCTTGAACCCGGGAGGCGGAGGTTGCAGTGAGCCGAGGATGCGCCACTGCACTCCAGCCTGGGCAACAGAACGAGACTCTATCTCAAAAAAGAAAGAAAGAAAGAAAGAAAGAAAGAAAGAAAGAGAGAAAAAGAAAAAGAAAAAAACAACAATGCTCCAGTGACCTTCTGTTGCATTCAGAATGAAATCCAATGCCATTCCAGTCTCTGGAATACCCTCCTCATCAGCGCCCCTTCATCCTCATCTCCCCTCCCTTGCTCACTTGCCTTCGGCTCCATGGGCCTGCTTGCCACTCCTCCAAATCTAAATTGTCACCTAAGAGACTTTGTACTAGCAGGTCACTTATTCCATCATAATCCAGGCCTCTGAGAAGCTCCCTGCCTGCCTCCCCATCACCTCCTCCAGCCTCATGGACCTCATGTCCTCACTATGAAATGCCCTGGCTGGGCATGGTGGCTCATGCCTGTAATCCCAGCACTTTGGGAGGCCAAGGTGGGCTGATCACCTGAGGTCAGGAGTTCAAGACCAGCCTGGCCAACCTGGTGAAACCCCTGTCTCTACTAAAAATACAAAAATCAGCTGGGCATGGTGGAGGCGCGCCTTTAGTCCCAGCTACTCAGGAGGCTGAGGCATGAGAATCCTTGAGCCTGGGAGATGGAGGTTGCTGTGCACCAAGATTGCGCCACGGCACTCCAGCCTGGGTGAAAGAGCGAGACTCCATAAATAAATAAATAAATAAATGTCCTTATCTCTTTGGCTTGCTCTGCTTGTTTATTGTCTGTCTATACAGACCAGAATGGAATCTCCATGGCGGGGAGATGTCTGTGCCTGGGTCTCCTCTGTGTCACTGGCACCTAGCACAGCATGTGACACGAGGGAGATGATGAGGAGGTGTTCGTTGAGTGACTGGATGGTTGACTGGAAGGCTTGGAGGAGGCACAGCTGAGGCCCCAGGGATCATGTATGTGTCATAATAGCCACAGCATGTGTGGTTTTGGACAATAGATGGATTAACATTTGGGTGAATACATGCACGGATGGATTAAAAACAATATATGGGCCGCAAGCTATGGCTCACGCCTGTAATCCCAGCACTTTGGGAGGCTGAGGTGGGAGGATCACCTGAGGTCAGGAGTTCGAGACCAGCCTGGCCAACATGGTGAAAACCCTATTTCTACTAAAAATACAAAAAATTAGCCAGGTGTGGTGGCACACACCTGTAATCCCAGCTACTCGGGAGGCTCAGGCAGGAGAATCACTTGAACCTGGAAGGTGGAGGTTACAGTGAGCCGAGATAGCGCCACTGCATTCGAGCCTGGTGACAGAGCAAGACTCTGTCTCAAAAAAAAAAAAAAAAAGAAAGAAAGAAAAAGGAAAAATAGGTGTATAAGCCGGGTGTGGTGGTTCACGCCTGTAATCACAGCACTTTGGGAGGCCGAGGTGGGCGGATCATGAGGTCAAGAGATCGAGACCATCCTGGCCAACACGGTGAAACCCCGTCTCTACTAAAAATACAAAAAAAATTAGTCGGGCATGGTGGCGGGCACCTGTAATCCCAGCTACTCAGGAGGCTGAGGCAGGAGAATGGTGTGAACCTAGGAGGTGGAGCTTGCAGTGAGCTGAGATTGCGCCACTGCACTCCAGCCTGGGAGACAGAGCAAGACGCCGTCCCCCCCAAAAAAAAGAAAAATAGGTGTATAATGGTAAACAGACATACGGATGGATAAACAGATGGACAACCACAAAGACAAATTGCGGGATGTGAGGGATGGATGGAAAGGTGGATTAATAAACAGGTATATGGGATGGGCTCGGTGGCTCGTGCCTGTAATCCCAGGACTTTGGAAGGCTGAGGCAGGACGGTTGCTTGAGCCCAGGAGTTGGAGACTAACTTGGGCAATACAGGGAGACTGCATAAAAAACAAAACAAACGAACAAAAAAAAACAAAAAACAAAAAACTTTTTTTTTTTTTTTTTTGCGGGACAGGGTCTTGCTCAGTTGCCAGGGCTGGAGTGCAATGGCATGATCTCAGCCTAGCCTGGAGTGCAGCAGCACGATCTCGGCTTACTGCAACCTCTGCTTCCTGTGTTTAAACAATCCTCCCACTTCAGCCACGTGAGTAGCTGGGATTATAGGAGTGTGCCATCTGGCTAATTTTTGTATTTTTGGTAGAGTCAGGGTTTCACCATGTTGGCCAGGCTGGTCTTGAACCCCTGACCTTGTGATCTCCCCACCTTGGCCTCCCAAAAATTAGCCGAGTGTGGTGGTCCGCACCTATAATCCCAGGTATTTGGGAGGCTGAGGTGGGAGAATTGATTGAGCCCAGGCATTTGAGGCTGCAGTGAGCTGTGATCGCACCACTACATTCCAGCCTGAGCAACAGAGTGAGATCTTGTCTCAAAAATAAATAAATAAAATAAAATAGGCCTGGCACAGTGGCTCATGCCTGTAATCCCAGCACTTTGGGAGGCCCAGGCAGGCAGATCACTTAAGGTCAGGAGTTCAAGACTAGCCTGGCAAACATGGCGAAATCCTGTCTCTGCTAAAAATAGAAAAATTACCCATGAATGGTGGCACAGGCCCATAATCCCAGCTACTCGGGAGGCTGAGGCATAAGAATCGCTTGAGCCTGGGAGTCGGAGGTTGCAGTGAACCGAGATTGCACCACTGCACTGCAGCCTGGGTGACAGAGCAAGACTCTGTCTCAAAAAATAAATAAATGAATAAATGAATAAATAAATAAATAAATAAAAACAGGTTCATGGATGTATGGATGGAAAAACAGATGGATTAGCACATCAGTAGATAGAAGGATAGATGGATGGATAATGGGTCAGACTGAATGTTTTTATGCTGAATGAAATGAAAAACAAATAAACCAATAGATGACTGAATAAATATATAGGTAGAATGGATGGACAAATCAATGACTGGAGAAATAAATAGATGGATAAACATACAGGCCGACTAATCAATATGGAGACTGCGGCTCAGGCAGGCCACCCCGCAGCCCTGACCAGTGAGCACGGCCCCATCTTCCCTGCAGCCCCGCAGGCAGCCACACCTTCCACATATTCCATGACCATGCAGAGGTGGCGCCGAGTCTCAAAGGAGCAGAACATGCCGACCACAAACGGGTTCTCGGCGAAGGTGAGGATATCGCGCTCCACAAAGGCCTGCTGGATCTGGTTGCGGAGGATCAAGTTCTGCTTGTTGATCTTTTTCATGGCAAAGCGCTGCCGCGTGTCGCGGTGCCGCACCAGGTAGACAGCGCTGCAGGGGGAGAGAGCGAGGACCGGCCGTCACCTCCGAGACACCCGGCCTCCGCCACCCTCCCCCCGCCAGAGCCCCGGGTGGCTCACCCGTAGGCACCGTTGCTTATGAGCTTGATGGTATCGAAGTCATTCTCCCCCGGCGGTTTCTTGGCCTTGCTGCTGCGGCCCTTCAGGAAAAAGATGGAGACCACACCACCATCATCATCATGAGAGCAGGATGCTTTTAATTTCATTTTACACATGGGGAAACTGAGGCACAGAATGAAAGAGTCCTTCATCCAAGTGCCATAATGAAAGAGAAAGTTAGGACTTGAACCCAAGACTGACTCTGAAGACATATTCTCATCTTCTTCCACTAGAAAAGATAGCAGGAAACCAACAAAATAGTCATCCTAATATATAAATATATAAAGAGTTCCCAAAAATCAATAACAAAAGCCTAACAATTGAAGAGAAAAAAGTGGGTGAGGTAAGTAAATTACAGTTAGAGCTTTTTTTTTTTTTTTTTTTTTTTTTTTTTTTGAGATAGGTTCTCACTCTGATATTCAGACTGGAGTGTAGTGGTGCTCACTGCAGCCTCCACCTCTAGGGCTCAAGTGATTCTCCTGCCTCAGCCTCCCAGGTAGCTGGGACCACAGGCACATGCCACCATGCCAGGCTAATTTTAGTATTTTGGTTTTGCCATCTTGCCCAGGCTGCTCTTGAACTCCTAGGCTGAAGCAATCTGCCTGCCTTGGCCTCCCAAAGAGTAGGGACTACAGGCATGAGCCACTGTACCCAGCCAGAGTTACAGCTCTTAAACATACTAAAAGATTCGGGCCTGGAGCGGTGGCTCACGCCTGTAATCACAGCACTTTGGAAGGCCAAGGTGGGCGGATCATGCGGTCAGGAGATCGAGACCATCCTGGCTAACACTGTGAAACCCCATCTCTACTGAAAATACGAAACAATTAGCCAGGCATGGTGGCGGGCACATGTAGTCCCAGCTACTTGGGAGGCTGAGGCAGGAGAATGGCGTGAACCCGGGAGGCAGAGCTTGCAGTGAGCAGAGATCATGCCACTGCACTTCAGCCTGGGTGACAGAGCGAGACTCTGTCTCAAAAAAAAAAAAAAGATTCTTGGCCAGGTGCAGTGGCTTACGCTTGTAACCCCAGCACTTTGGGAGGCCAAGGCGGGCGGATCACCTGGGAGGCTGAGGCTGGTGGATCACCTGAGGTCAGGAGCTCGAGACAAGCCTGGCCAACATGGAGAAACCCCATCTATACTAAAAATACAAAATCAGCTGGGCATGATGGCACATGCCTGTAATCCCAGCTACTCAGGAGGCTGAGGCAGGAGAATCGCTTGAACCCAGGAGGCAGAGGTTGTGGTGAGCCGAGATCGTGGCATTGCACTCCAGCCTGGGCAACAAGAGCAAAACTCCATCTCAAAAAAAAAAAATTCTCAATCTCACTTACAATAACAGAAAGGCAAATTATAACTACCACAAAATACCATTTTTCACCTAGCAGATTGGGAGAAAAAACTCCAAAACCTGATATCCTCTATGGGCAAATATGTAGGTGAACATATATACTTTGCTGTTGGGAGTGTAAATTACTGTTTGATACAGATCAGAATTACAAATACATGTTCCCTTTGACTCAGCAATTTTACTTTTGAATTTATGCTACAGATATACTTGCACATGTGAAAAATGGTATATCTACTATCTTGCTCATTGTGAGATTGGAAATAATAATCCATACGTTAAATTAGCCAAACAAACACATGTGGGGTAGTTAGATAAAGAAACATTGTGCCACTGTTAGAAATAATGAGGAAACTCTCTGTCTATGGATTTAGAAAGTCCTCTATTTTATTAAGTGTAAAAATGCAATAGGCAATATGTATTGTACGTTTATGTGCAAAAAAATGTGGCAAAGGCCAGGTGTGGTGGCTCACACCTGCAATCCCAGCACTTTGGGAGGCCAAGGCAAGTGGATCACCTGAAGGTCAGGAGTTCGAGACCAGCCTGGCCAACATGGTGAAACCCTGTCTCTATTAAAAATACAAAAACTTAGCCAGGCGTGGTGGTGGTTGCCTATAATCCCAGCTGCTTGGAAGGCTGAAGCAGGAGAACCACTTGAACCCAGGAAGCAGAGGTTGCAGTGAGCCGAGATCACACTGTTGCACTCCAGCCTGGGCAACAAGAGTGGAACTTTGTCTAAAAAAAAAAAAAAAAGTGGCAAAATAAAACTATGTAATCATATTTCAGGGCTATAGGGCAATGGGGAAAAAAGGTAGGAGTAAGATTTTTTTCACTGTATATCTTTCTTGAAAATTATTTTGATTTTTCTTAGGGACAAAGAGATTTATTACATAGATATTACATAAAAAGATCTATGATATATAAAAATATTGAACTTATATGCTCCAAAGAATGTAGCCTAAAAATATCTGACATAAAAATTGACAGAATTGGGCAGAGTGTAAGAGGTATCTTATGCTGTATTTTTCCTTTATTGTTTGCAATACTTCGCACACTATTGTATGGAACTCTTACCTATAATCAAATAAAAACCAAAATGGCAAAAAAAAAAAAAAAATTGACAGAATTACAAGGAGAATTTGCTTAAAATAAGGTTTCACATTTCTCTCAGAAACTATTAGATTAATCAGGCAAGATAAATGAATAGGGAGATGGAAGATTTGAATCACTCAATTAACAAGTTTGATTAAAAGGAATAACAGAATCCTACAAACAATGAGAGATAAATACCTTTTTTTAGAGTTTTAGATTTTGAGTGATGTCATTCCATTACCTATTCAAAAAATTAAACAAATGGCATATATTGTGAGATTCCTTTTAAATATATACATAAAGGAAAGGTATGTGTATATATCTGTGTGACTGTATAGACACAATTTGAAATAAAGATTACAAACTTAAGCGTCTTCAGGGGCCAGTAGACCAGGGTGGAGGCCATGGATGACGAAGGGGCAGGTACCCAATATCACAGGACCACCCCCACTCAGCTGGTTCCACCACAGTATTATTAGAACTTCTTCTTCTTCTATTTTTTTTTAAGTAGAGACAGGGTCTTGCTATGTTGTCCAGACTGGTTTCAAACTCCTGGGCTCAAGCAATCCTGCCACCTTGGCTTCCCAAAGTGCTGGGACTACAGGCATGAGCCACTACACCCAGCCCTAGAACTTCTGATTTTTCAAGAGAAGGCCCAAACCCAGATTTTGAAGCAAAAATCTTTCAATTTTTATATTTTGCTTCTTTTATTTATCTATTTTTATTTTTTTCAAGATGGAGTCTCACTCTCTCACCCAGGCTGGAGTGCAGTGGTTTGATATCGGCTCACTGCAATCTTTGTCTCCCTGGTTCCAGCAGTTCTCCTGCCTCAGCCTCCCAAGTAGCTGGGATTACGGGTGGGCACCACCACACCTGGCTAATTTTATGTATTTTTTTAGTAGAGACAGGGTTTCACCATGTTGGCCAGGCTGGTCTCGACTTCCTGACCTCAAGTGATCCACCCGCCGCAGTCTCTCAAAGTGCTGGGATTACAGCCGTGAGCCATCAGGCCCAGCCCAAATTTTTGAAAAATACTAGGCAGTTCAGAGAAAACACATGTGTGGCCATTGGGGTAGGACTCTCCACTAGACATCTGGAACATCTGCCAAAGTGTGGCTGGCCTGGGAATAGAATTGGCAATTTTCCCCATGCTGAGCTGCCATTAACACATACAGCCAGTTAGCTTGCTCGAAAGCCCATGCAGGATTCCTCTATAAGTTAAACATAGAGCTACCATATGACCAAGAAATTCCACCTCTAGACGTATATCCTAAATAACTCAAAGCAGTTGTCCAGCCAAATATTTGTACACCCACATTCATAAGAGCACTATTTACAACAGATGAAAGATGGACAACCCAATGTTCACCAGTGGATGAATGCATCTACCATTCAATGGAATATTACTCGGCTATAAAAATGAATGAAGCAGTGACACAAGCTACAACATGGATAAACCTCAGAAACGTTATGTTAAGTGAAATAAGCCAGTCATAAGAGGCCACAGAGCATACGATCCCATTTATAGGAAATATCCAGAAAAAGGCCAGGCATGTGGCTCACGCCTGTAATCGCAGCACTTTGGGAGGCCAAGGCAGGCAGATCACCTGAGGTCAGGAGTTCGAGACCAGCCTGACCAACATGGTGAAACCCTGTCTTTACTAAAAATACAAAATTAGCCAGGTGTGGTGGCGCATGCCTATAATCCCAGCTACTCAGGAGGCTGAGGGAGGAGAATTGCTTGAACCTGGGAGGCGGAGGTTGCAGTGAGCCGAGATCACGCCATTGCACTCCAGCCTGGGCAACAAGAGTGAAATTCTGTCTCAAAAAAAAAAAAAAAAAGAAATATCCAGAAAAAGCAATTCCACAGAGAGAGAAAATAGATTAGTGGTTGCCAGGGACTGCAGGGAGGGAGGAATGAGGAGGGAGTGTGTAATGGGTGTGAGGTTTCCCTTTGGGGGTGATAAAAAAGTTCTGCAACTACATAGATCTAATGGCTGTACAGCATGGTGAATTACTAAATGCTGCAGAATTGTTTATTTATTACTATTAATCATTATTATTATTATTATTATTATTATTATTATTATTATTTTGAGACAGAGTCTCGCTCTGTTGCCCAGGCTGGAGTGCAGTGGTGGGATCTTGGCTCACACCAACCTCCACCTCCCGGGTTCAAGCAATTCTCCTGCCTCAGCCTTCCAAGTAGCTGGGATTACAGGCATGTGCCACCACGCCCAACTAATTTTTTTGTATTTTTAGTGGAAATGGGGTTTCACCATGTTGGCCAGGCTGGTTTCGAATTCCTGACCTCAAGTGATCCACCCATCTTGGCCTCCCAAAGTACTAGGATTACATGCATAAGCCATTGCACCTGGCCTATTCTTTATTATTTTTAATTTCATTTTTCAAGACAGGGTCTCACCCTGTTGCCCAGGCTGGAGTGCAGTGGTGTGATCATGGCTTACTGAAGCCTTGACTTCCTGGGCTCATAGGATCCTCCCACCTCAGCCTCCCGAGTAGCTGGGACTACAGGGGTGCACCACCACGCCCAGCTGATTTTTTATGCTGCCCAGGCTGGTCTCAAATGCCTTAGCACAAACAATCCTCCTGCCTTGGCCTCCCAAAGTGCTGGGATTACAGGCCTAAGCCACTGCACCCGGCCCCGAATTGTTCATTTTAAAATGGTTAAAAAGGCCGGGCGCGGTGGCTCATGCCTGTAATCCCAGCACTTTGGGAGGCCGAGATGGGCAGATCAACTGAGATTGGGAGTTTGCAACCAGCCTGACCAACATGGAGAAATTTTAGTCTCTACTAAAAATACAAAATTAGCCGGGTGTGGTGTTACATGCCTGTAATCCCAGCTACTCGGGAGGCTGAGGCAGGAGAATTGCTTGAACCCAGGAGATGGAGGTTGTGGTGAGCTGAGATAGTGCCATTGCACTCCAGCCTGGGCAACAAGAGCAAAACTCCATCTCAAAAAATAAATAAATAAATAAATAAAAATAAAATAAAATGGTTAAAAAAGTAAATTAAATTTTATGTTTCATGGATTTTAACATGACAAAGAGGTCACAGGGGAAGAGCAATTATTTTATTTTATTTTATTTTATTTTTTGAGACAGTTTCGCTCTTGTTGCCCAGGCTGGAGTGCAGTGGTGTAATCTCAGTTCACAGCAATCTCTGCCTCCTGGATTCAAGTGATTCTTCTGCCTCAGCCTCACAAGTAGCTGGGATTAGAGGCATGTGCCACCAGGCTTGGCTAATTTTTGCATTTTTTTTTTTTTTAAGTAGAAACGGGGTTTCTCCATGTTGGTTAGGCTGGTCTCGAACTCCCGACCTCAGGTGATCTGCCCACCTTGGCCTCCCAAAGTGCTGGGATTACAGGCATGAGCCAGCATGCCAGGCTCTGGAAGAGCTATTATTAATCCCATTTTATGGATGGGAAAACTGAGGCTCAGAGTGTAGGACCAAGAGATCCACAAAGCCTGAGGGCAAAGAAGCCGGAGATGAGCCCCACCCTGCCCTCCCAGGAACCAGGGTACTGACCGCTTAGCCACCCAGCCTTACCTCAGAGAGATCGTCTTGCTCAGGGGTGTTGGAACCACCACTGTCCTGTTCCTCCAGATGCACCACATCTAGGGAGGGACTGAGAGTGAGCACGAGCTGGGTTCTGGGCCTGCTCACCCCCAGTCCCCCTGCGCCCACCAGCCGGCACCTGGAAAGGGGTCACGGGTGAGGCCCAGCTGGCGGATGATGTAGCGGGGGATGTCCGTCTTCACAAGGTGGCCCTCCTTGGCGTGTCCTTCGGCCGCCTCCAGCAGGTGGTAGAACTCCTCGGGGTTGAATTCCTGAGGCAGGGCAGGAGTGGGCTCACCACAGGCTCCCAGGGTCTACCAACCCACCCCTACCCATGCCCAGCCCCCTCACCAGGCACTCCAGCAGCCTCGCAGGGCGTGAGATGATAATAAGCAACTTCTTCACCAGCTGAGTAACGAAGGCCACCTCCAAGCTCTCAGAGCGTTCATAGGCCTGTGGCAGGGGACACAGAGGGACAGGGCTCATAGGCACTCTGCCTCAGCCCGGCCCCTCTCTCAGCCCCTCAGAGTACATACTGCTGCTACTGTCCCATCTTACAGGTGAGGAGACTGAAGCCCAAGCCACACAGTAAAAATAATGAGGCTGGGCACGGTGGCTCATGCCTGTAATCCCAGCACTTTGGGAGGCTGAGGTGGGTGGATCACTTGAGGTCAAAAGTTTGAAACCAGCCTGGCCAACATGGTGAAACCCCATCTCCACTAAAAACGCAAAATGAGCCAGGCGTGGTGGCAGGTGCCTGTAATCCCAGCTACTTGGGAGGCTGAAGCAGGAGAATCCCTTGAACCTGGGAGGCAGAAGTTGCAGTGAGCCAAGATCACACCACTGCACTCCAGCCTGGGTGACACAGCGAGACTCTGTCTCAAAACAAAAGCAATGACAAACAAACAAACAAACAACAAAACCATAGCGAGACCCTGTCTCTACAAATAATAAAATTAGCCAGGTGTGGTAGTGTGTGCCTGTAGTCCTAGCTACCTGGGAGGCTGAAGTGGGAGAATTACTTGAGCCCAGGGGGCTAAGGCTGCAGTGAGCTGATTATACCACTGCACTCCTGCCTGGGTGACAGAGAGAGAGACCCTGTCTCAAAAAAAAAAAAAGAAAAAAAGAAAAGAAAAAGAGGCCGGGCACAGTGGCTCACGCCTGTAATCCCAGCATTTTGGGAGGCAGAGGAGGGTGAATTACTTGAGGTCAGGGGTTTGAGACCAGCCTGCCCAACATGGCAAAACCCCATCTCTACTGGAAGTACAAAAATTAGCTGGGTATAGTGCCACACACTTGTAATGCCAGCTACTTGGGAGGCTGAGGCAAGAGAATCGCTTGAACCAGGGAGGTGGAGGTTGCAGTGAGCCGAGATCACATCACTACACTCCAGCCTGGGTAGCAGAGTGAGACTGTCTCAAAAAAAAAAAAAAAGAAAAGAAAAAACTAATATCTTATTGCAATACTTGAAAAGCCTAAAATTAATGCCAAAAATCTATCATAAGCCAAAATATCAAAATTTAAGCCAGATGTGGTGGTACATGCCTATAATCCCAGCTACTCAGGAGGCTGAGGCAGGAGGATTGCTTGAGCCCAGGAGTTCAAGACCACCCTGGGCAACATAGAGAGTCCTCCATCTCAAATGAAAAAGAAAAAGAAAAAGAAAATTAAATAAAGACAGAATCCAACAGGCTGTGCCTAGCCATATTGTAACTTGAGCCAAAAAAAAGTATGCACCAACCTATATGTGTTTTAATGTGTCTTTGAAAATGTCTAATGGTTTCAATGAAAATAGTATTATTGATGAGTTTGCTTTCATTAAAACCAGGACAGTAAAATTATAACACATTCTGGCTTGGTTATAAATAAAATATGTAAACTTAAAATAATGTTGGGTTTTCATTTATCTACTTTTCAAGTTTTTCAAAAATTAATTTAATGTTCTGGGGGAAGAAATAATTACTTGCTTTACCCTGGTCCTGGTCTCAGCCCTAATACCTATTGGGTCTTTGTTTGTTTGACTTGTTTTACTGTAGAGACAGGGTCTCGCTATGTTACCCAGGCTGGTCTGCAACTCCTGGGCTCCAGAAAGCCTCCTGTCTCAGCTCCCCAAAGTGCTGGGATTACAGGGGTTAGCTTCTAACGCCTATTGTTTATCTTCTGTCTCTTCCTGCTATTAATAGAATGTCAGCTCTCCAAAGACAAGAATTTTTGTTTTATTTCCAGTTGATTTCCCAGCTTTTAGGCTAGTGCCAGGCCCATAGTAGGTGCTTAATAAATATTGGTGGGGGCCAGGCATGGTGGCTCACACCTGTAATCCCAGCACTTTGGGAGGCAGAGGCAGGTGGATCACCTAAGGTCAGGAGTTAGAGACCAGCCTGGCCAACATGGTGAAACCCTGCCTCGACTAAAAATACAAAAATTAGCCAGGCATGGTGGTGGGTGCCTGTGATCCCAGCTACTCGGGAGGCTGAGGCAGGAGAATGGCTTGAACCTGAGAGGTGGAGGTTGCAGTGAGCCAAAATCGCACCACTGCACTCCAGCCCAGTGGGATAGAGTGAGACTCTGTCTCCAAAAAAAATAAAATAAATAAATAAATAAATATTGGTGGAATTAATGAATGATCAAGTGATCCTCCTGCCTCAGCCTCTCAAGTAGCTGGGACAGCAGGTGTGTGCCACTACACCTAGCTAATTATTTTTATTTTTATTTTTATTTTTTTTGAGACAGAATCTCACTCTGTTGCCCAGGCTGGAGTGCAGTGGCGCAACCTCGGCTCACTGCAACCACTGCCTCCCGGATTCAAGCGATTCTCCTGCTTCAGCCTCCTGAGTAGCTGGGATTACAGGCACGTGCCACCAAGCCCGGCTAACTTTTTTGTATTTTTAGTAAAGACAGAGTTTCACCTTATTGGCCAGGCTGGTTTCAAACTCCTGACCTCGTGATCTGCTCGCCTCAGCCTCCCAAAGTGCTGGGATTAAAGGCGTGAGCAACCTCGCCTGGCTTAAATTTTTTAAATTGTTTTAGAGATGGGGTCCTGCTATGTTGCCCAAGCTGGTCTCAAGCTCCTGACCTCAAGCAATCCTCCCATCTCAGCCTCCTAAGTAGCTAGCTGGGACTACAGGTGCATGCCACTGCAAAGGGACATTCAAGCATCAATTTACCCAACATTTATTGAGTACCTACTGTGTGCTGGGTATTGTTCCAAACAGCAGGGACACAGCAGTGGACAGAACAGACAACTCCACCCCCCCACCCTCACCAACTATGGGGCTGACATTGGAGAAGGATAGACATGAAATAAAATAAGCAAAAATACACAGTATGATGGATGGTGCTGAGTGTCAAGGAGAAACTGAGGAGAAAGTGGGTGATAAATGTGAGTAGAGTTTAATATTTTATTTTATTTCATTTATTTATTTATTTTTGAGACAGAGTTTCACTCTTGTTGCTCAGACTGGAGTGCAATGGTGTGATCTCGGCTCACCGCAACCTCCGACTCCCAGGTTCAAGCGATTCTCCCGCCTCTGCCTCCCAAGTAGTTGGGATTACAGGCGCCCACCACCACGCCCAGCTAATTTTTGTATTTTTAGTAGAGACGGGGTTTCGCCATGTTGGCCAGGCTGGTCTCGAACTCCTGACCTCAGGTGATCCACTTGCCTCAGCCTCCCAGAGTGCTGGGATTACAGGCCTGAGCCACCGCACCCGGCTAAGTTTAATATTTTATTTTATTTTATTTTATTTACTATTATTATTTTTTGAGACGGAGTCTCGCTCTGTCGCCCAGGCTGGAGTACAGCGGCGCAATCTCGGCTCACTGCAAGCTCCGCCTCCCGGGTTTACGCCATTCTCCTGCCTCAGCCTCCCGAGTAGCTGGGACTACAGGCGTCCGCCACCACGCCCGGCTAATTTTGTGTGTGTGTGTGTTTTTAGTAGAGACGGGGTGTCACCGTGTTAGCCAGGATGGTCTCGATCTCTTGACCTCGTGATCCGCCCCCCTCGGCCTCCCAAAGTGCTGGGATTACAGGCCTGAGCCACCGAGCCCGGCCGAGTTTAATATTTTAAATGACTGGGGACCGCCTAAGAAGCCACCTGAAAAGGTGACATTTGAGTAAAGACCTAAGGGAAATGAGCGAGGTGAAATTCCTGCCTCTTCAGTCGGTCAGACCTAGGGAAGGGACCACTTCCACCCCTGAGTCCTCAGCTCCACGCCAGTGCCTGGAACGTGGTAGGAGCTCCCTGAATGTATGTGGGGTGAAGAAAGGGGTGCATTGGGCACAATCTGGCGGTGCTGAGCCTGAGATCAGCCCGGCCTCCGCGTGCACTCACGTCTTGAAGGAGCTTCTCCAGGTTCTCCTGCAATTCATAGAAGTAGACCGTGGTGATGAGGCCGTCACGGGACTTGGTCAGGCAGTCCCGGGCCAGCTCGATGATCTGGTGGTGGATGAAGCTGAGCACGCCATCGGCCAGAGGCAGAACGCTGTCGGGTTCGTAGGCGCGGGTAAAGTCGCGCAGCTTCTCCTCCATCTGCGCAGTGGCCTGCGGGAGGGACGGAGGAGGGGCGCGGGGCTGTGCCCGAAGGCTGCGGCCGCCAGGAGCCTGCGCTGCGCACCGAGGCCGCCAGGGGGCGCGCGGGGATAAGGCGAGCGAGAGTGCAGGCCGCCTGGTCACCCCGTGACCGCCTCGGGTCCCACCTCACCTTCGGGAACCTCTCCTTGTAGACGTGATTCATCATCACGATCTCGTTGTCGTAGGAGGAGGGGGAGCGCCCGGGGCTGCGGGGAGAGAAGCCCATTTTGTCGAGTCCTCTGCCTCCAAGCCCGCAGAGAGCCCCCGCCCCAAGATGTAACCCTTTTATTCGCGGGGACAGGGGTCTCTCTAAGCACAAGTCCTAAGACCACTAGCTTGGTACGAAGGAGGAGGGATGCCTGCCCACCTGAGGCTCCGTGAGCGGGGCCGCACGGCTGGGGAGCGACGGCCACCATCCTCGTCTGTGATGCTCTCGGTGCTCCCGAAGTGTTTGGAGAGGAAGTGGAGCTCGTCCACCGTGGGCTGGTAGGGCAGCTGGTGAAGGCGCTCCTGGGAGGAGCAGGAGGACTGGGGACAGGGGCAGGGCCGGGGTCAGAGCCACCATGGGCCCCCCAACAGCTCAGGACCCTGAGCTGGGACTCCCAAAGCCGATGGGGTCACTGGGCAAGGCCAGGATCAGGACCTGATTTACGATCCTTGGATCCTAGGATCTTGGCTGGGACTCTTGGCCACAGACAGGTGGACAGGGACAGACAGGGGTGGAGACAGTGAGTCTGTTAAAGCTTGGGTCAAGTCATGAGCCTCCTCTGTTCAGAACCCTTGGTGGCTCCCACCTTACTCAGGGTGAACACCCAAGTCCTTCCCCAGTTATACAAGGTCCTGCCTCATCCTGCCCTGGGTCCCTGCCGTGGATTTTTCTCACTCTCCTGCTTACTTCCTCTGCTCCAGCTACAGTGGCCTTCTTTTTTTTTTTTTTTTTTTTTTTTGAGATGGAGTTTCGTTCTTGTTGCCTAGTTTGGAGTGTGATCTCAGCTCACTGCAACCTCCGCCTCCCGCGTTCAAGCGATTCTCCTGACTCAGCCTCCTAAGTAGCTGGGATTACAGGTGCCTGTCACCACGCCTGGCTAATTTTTTGTATTTTTAGTAGAGACAGTGTTTTACCATGTTGGCCAGGCTGGTCTTGAACTCCTGACATCAGGTGATCCACCTGCCTCTGCCTCCCAAAGTGCTGAGATTACAGGCACAAGCCACCGCACCCAGCCTAGTGGCCTCCTTGATGGTCCTTGGACAAGCCAGGCAAGCTCCTTCCTCAGGGCCTTTGCATTAGCTATTCTTTCTGCTTGGAACACATCTACTATGGATCCCTCCTTCTCATCCTTCAAATTTTTGCTTCAATGTCACCCCTCGGGAAGACCTCCTCTGAATACACACCCATTATTCCCTATCCCTACTCTATCTTGTTTCCTCTTGCTTTATTATCATTATTATTTTAGAGAAGGGTCTCCACTGAATATGGTGACTCACACCTGTAATCTCAGCACTTTGGGAGGCGAAGGCGGGAGGATCATTTGAGCCCAGGAGTTTGAGACCAGCCTGGGCAACATAGTGAAACTGTGTCTCTATTTATTAAAATTATTTAAAGTTAAAAAGAGAGAGAGACACGGTCTCCTTGTGTCACCCAGGCTAGAGGGATGTAGTACAATCATGGCTCACGGAAGCCTTGAACTCCTGGGCTAAAGTAATCTTCCCCCCTCTGCCTTCTGTGTAGCTGGGACTACACCATGCTTGGCTAATTCTTTTTTGCAGAGACAGGGTCTCTCTATGTTGCCCAGGCTGGCTTCCAACTCCTGGCTTCAAGCAATACTCCCACTTTGGCCTCTCAAAGTTCTGGGACTGAGGGCAGGGCTCGGTGGCTCACGCCTGTAATCCCAGCACTTTGGGAGGCTGAGGCGGGCAGAAAAACTGAGGTCAGGAGTTCTAGACCAGCCTGGCCAACAGGGTGAAACCCCGTCTCTACTAAAAATATAAAAAAATTAGCCAGGCATGGTGGTGGGCACCTGTAATCCCAGCTACTCGGGAGGCTGAGGCAGGAGAATTGCTTGAACCCAGGAGATGGAGGTTGCAGTGAGCCGGCACGGTGCCATTGCACTCCAGGCCTGGGCGACAGAGTGAGACTCCATCTCAAAAAAAAAAAAAAAAAAAAATTGCTGGGTCACAGGCATGAGCCACTATGCCTGGCTCTCCTCTTGCTTTATTTTATTTTTTTTTATTTCGAGACAGGGTGTTTCTCTCTCCCCCAGGCTGGAGTGCAGTGGCTCGACCTCCACTCACTGCAACCCCCACCTCCTGGGCTCGAGCAATCTTTCCATCTCAGCCTCCTGAGTAGCTGGGACTTCAGGCACAAGCCATCACACCTGGCTAATTTTTTTTTTTTTTTTTTTTTTTGTAGAAACAGGGTTTCATCACGTTGCTCAGGTTGGTCTCAAACTCCTGGGCTCAAGCAATCCTCCCACCTCAACCTCCCGTAGTGTTGGGAATACAGGTGTGAGCCACCATGCCTGGTCATATAGCTTTCACCCAGGCTGGAGTGCAGTGGTGCAGTCTTGGCTCACTGCAACCTCCAGTTCTCAGGTTCAAGCAATTCTCCCTGCCTCAGCCTCCTGAGTAGCTGGGATTACAGGCATCCATGACCACGCCTGGCTCATTTTTGTATTTTTACTAGAGACAGGGTTTCACCATGTTGGCCAGGCTGGTCTCGAACTCCTGACCTCAAATGATCCACCCGCTTCAGCCTCCCAAAATGCTAGGATTATAGGCATGAGCCACCGCGCCCGGCCAGAATGATATTTTTAAACATCACATTGCTCACTCCTCTGGTTAAAATTCCCCACCCCATCCATCTCTTTTATTTTTTTAATTAGTGTGCATTATCTATAGCCTACATAATCACAATTTCAAATGGTTCAAACTGAAATTTTAGTACAATTTAATATAAAGAAATAAAACCATTCCATGGCTTCCCCACTGGATTTAGAATAAAATCTCCCTTGCTGCCCTGGCTGACAAGGTTCCAGCCTGATCAAGGTCACTGCCTGCATCATCTCTATTCCTCCCCCGCATCCCAAATTTTCAGCCCCACAAAGCTACTTTCAACTTTTCAAATGCTGCAAGTTCTGTGGCCTCTAGAGGTTTGCACATGCTCTTCCCCTTCCTGGAACACTCTTCTCCCTTCTCTTCCATCTGCCAAACTCCTGCTGGTCTGTTGTCTTGGTTTCAATGTCACCTCCTCCAGGAAGCCTTCCTTGACAACCCCCCAATCTGAGTCACATGCCTCTCCCCTATCACCTCACCTTGTGCTACTTGCATCAAAGTTCTGACCATTCTATTTTGTGAATGCCTTCTTACTGGCTTGTCTTCCCCCATGAGGGCTGCGTGAATATTTACACTCTGGCCCAGCTTGCAGAACCCGCCTACCACATGACAATCTCATGACAAATGTCTGCTGAACATCATGCCAATGGCTGGATAAGGGAACTATGGGCATGGATAGAAAAGGGAGCAGATGAAGGGACTTTGGGTGTTCCAAGGGGTGAGCAAGTGGGCTCTGGGTGAAAGCTGTGGCCTGGCCCAGCCCAGCTGCTGATATCAGAGTAAATGGCTTAACTCACAGAGCCTTATGTCACCAGCTGTAAATGAGTGAGTCAGAAATGAGTAGGAAGGACCCTCCCAGAAATGTGTTGAGGGCAGAGCATTGGGCTCTGAGTGGGGCGGACCCATAACTCTTTAATAGATGGACAAGTGAACACCTTTGAAGAATGGGGAAACCCAAACTGTCTTTTTTTGCTTTTTTCTTTTGAGACAGGGTCTCACTCTGTCATCCAGACTGGAATGCTGCAGTGCGATCTCAGCTCAACTGTAGCCTATACCTCCCAGACTCCAGCGATCCTCCCGTCTCAGCCTCCCAAATAGTGGGGACCACAGGTGTGCACCACCACGCCCAGATAATTTTTAATTTTTTGTAGGGACAAGGGTCTCCCTATGTTGCCCAGACTGGTCTTGAACTCCTAGGCTCAAGCAATCCTTCTGTCTTGGCCTCCCAAAGTACTGGGATTACAGGCTTGAGTCACTGAGCCTGGCCCTAAACTGTCATCAAGCCCAGCCTGGACTGCTGGCCTGGGTGTGGGTCTTCAGGCTGGAGGGCCCCTGAATTCCTTACCCACCGGCCCACCCACCTACTTTCCACACTCACCGAGACGGTGGAACTGGGCGTGTTGGTGCCATAGCCAGATGAAGGGAGCGAGGCCAGAGACCACCGGCGTCCGTCCGCCCTGGAACCCAGCCAAGGTGCTCAGAGGCCACAAGGCCCCAGCGGTCCCCCAACTCCTCAGGGTGTGGGTGAAGCCACTGGCCAGGGCCAGGGTGGGGGTTGGGGGAATATATCTGCACTCTAAGATTCCTCAAGGCCCTCAGAATCAAGGGGATAAAGAGGGACTCTTCCAGGCAGGCACCGGGAATTGGAGGGAGGATCCGTCTCCACTCTCCTCCCCACGGTCCCCTCTCTTATCATTCAGAGTGGACACCGAGAACTGGAAAAGCCCCCACCCAGTGAAGCCTTTCCAGAGAGATTCTAGAAATTTCCCCCAAGTGAACACTCTCCATGAGAAAGCTCTGAGGGAGACCCTTGGATCTTCTCAGAGAAAAAAGACCCGTCCCACCCCCCAACATGTTCTGACATAGAATATTGTGTCCTTATGCTCTCGTGCACACAGACACAGTCACTGTTGCAGCCAAATCCATTAATGTTGGTGTGACTATCAGGTCAGGCTCACATACTGGCAGTGCACACATTTACACTTCACACACACGAAGACACACACTCACACATGACTCCTCAACACAGACACCCACACGTATTGACTATCCCATCCATGGACCCAAATATCACACTCTCACACACTAATGCACAATCACGCGTGCAAGACCAGACATGCACTCACCTATAGACACATGTGCTTCCACTCAGTACTCACACTCGGACACACAGACTCACCCAAACATACTCCACACTTCCACATTCACACAGATGCACGTTCCAGACACCCACGCTCACTACCACACATTGAAACTTGCACACAGCGACACACTCATTCACACTCGCACGCAGATGCACACACACAGGGACACACATCGGCGCGTGCTCATGTGAGTGCACAACACACATTAGCATGTGCATGTGTAAGCGTGTGGCTGTGAGACAGTAAACTGGACGGGCGCGGTGGCTCATGCCTGTAATCCTAGCATTTTGGGAGGCCGAGGCGGGTGGATCACCTGAGGTCAGAAGTTCGAGACCAGCATGACCAACCTGGTGAAACCCCATCTCTACTAAAAATACAAAAATTAGCCGGGCGTGGTGGCAGGCGCCTGTAATCCCAGCTACTTGGGAAGCTGAGGCAGGAGAATCGCTTGAACCCAGAAGGCGGAAATTGCAGTGAGCCGAGATCCCGCCATTGCACTCCAGCCTGGGCAACAGAGCGAGACTCTGTCTCAAGAAAAGAAAAAAAAAAGAGAGAGAGAGAGAGAGACAGTAAACACTGTGACTCTGTGTTTACTATCTCACAGCCACACACTCACACACGCTTACACCCACACACAGATTGCACGCTCACCTGGAGACATACCTGACTTGCTCCTCTCACATATTCACAGACACTTACAATCCTACAGACACATGTTCACACGTTCACATTCGCAGACTCGTGCCATTGCATAGGCACGTAATCCCTCACACAGTGACAATCACACACACACACCAGCACACTTTGCACAGTTACAAGGACACACACACACCCCATTTATTGGACTCCTCCCTTCCTTCTTCCTCCCAGCAGTCCCCTCGCTCAGTCCTCCCCGCTTGCGGATAAACATGTGAGACCCTATCCCAGAGCCTTGTCCTGGCTCTCTATTGCCCTCAGCTAAATTCCATGGTCAATAGGCGGTTCCCCCACTTTCCCAAGGGAGCTGTCTGTCTTCACAGTCTCCTTTGACTCTCACAACACAGCCTTCATCAGCCTTTGCACTGATCCCCATTCTCTGGCCTGCCTGCCCTATTCGACTCAGAGGGTAGAGACAGGACGTCATTGACCCCATACGCCCAGCTCCTAAGAACATAGCAGGTGTTTAGACACCATTTTTAGAATGAATAGAGTTCAAAGAAAAAGAGACAGGCCCAAACTCCCAGAAACGTTTCTCCAGAAAACATCAGAGAAACCTCTCTGCCTCCCCCAGTTTCACCAAAGGCCCATAGAAAATTCATTTAAGGACACCCCAGAAACCCTAAGAGACCCTTGGAAAGAAACCTGAGATTCCTCCCCTTGAGAAACAGCCCTAGTCGTCCTCCCCCACCTCGGGGACCAAGAGTCCCTCGATAGGCATCGCGCAATCTGCGCTTGCGCACGTCATCTTGGCTGCCCCGTCCTGTTGCTATGGAAACACCTGGCCAGGAGAGCAAGGCTCGGAGAGACTAAGACCCCGCGCCCAGGGCGCACGCGCTTTCGACCTGCCGCAAAGGGAGCCCCACCGCCTTCCCCGTTCCAGATCGGCGATTGGACCCCGCCTTCTTATAGGCCCCGCCCCGAAGGCTAGGCGCTCCTTCCCGCTGAGACCTTGGGGCACTCGCTGGTCCCCTCAGGCCCCAGCTCGGGTGCAATTAGGAGGAGAACAGATGGCGGCCCAGACAGTGGTTGGGGAGGGTCTGCCCAGGGTTCTGGGGCCCTGGAGGGGAGGGACTCACCTTCGGGAGGAGGCAAACGAGAAGTGGGCGGGGGTGTTGGGGGAGAAGTTTCGGGGGCTGTCCAGGGGACTGCTGCCTATGAGAGAAAGAGGGGGCAAATCCTGTCAGGTCTCTCGTTCCCTAAAGCGGCGTGCAAACAGCAGCATGTCCTGTCTTTAGTCTAGTCCCGCCTATTATGGGGAGACCACGCCCCTTCGCCTGTGGCCCCGCCTCTCTAAATTTTTTCGTTGCCGAGTCAGCCTGGCCCCTTCCAAGACGATTCTGGCTTCATCTGGGATGGCCCCGCCCCTCAGGTACGACTCCTCCTTTCTGTCCGTCCCACCTGAGTCTCCGCCCACCTGAGTCTCCGCCCCCCAATGACCGTCCCTCTGCGACTGACCACACCCACACAAGCATGGCCCCGCCCCTTATCCAAACTGGTTCGCCTCCATTCAAACTGCGCCCCTTCTGTAGCATGACCACGCTTCCTCGCCTGAGGCCCCGCCTACTGTAGGCCAGTCTGCACCCACCAAGTCTCTACCACTGGCCTCACCTAGGTGACCTGGCAGCGGGGAGTGGGGTCTCGGTAGCGTGGGTGAAGTGCTGGTCAGGATGAGGCTTTTCCGATTACTGGTGCGGCAGCTGCGGGGAAGGTAAGGCAGGGGGGCCGGGCCGGGCCGCAGCCCAGTGAGTTCTTGAGCCCCACCAGCTGACCTCCTGTCTCAGATCCCCGCCTATCTCCCATCCATGTGTGTTTGGAGGCTCCCTGGGAGGGTTTCTCGAAGAAAGGTGGTGCAGGCCTCGGCAGGACTGTGTACGGCAGGGGATGTGCATATGACATGTGTGTGAGAAACTCTCAGTATGGATTATGTGTAGGGCAGTGTCTGTCATGGTGTGATAGTCACTGTGTCTAGGTGACACCATTGGTGATACTGAGCGTGTCTCAGTCTATGCGTGACATTCACTGTAGGTATCCACGTGTGGTATCCACTGTATGAATTCAACAATGTGTGACGCTGAATGCATTCTAGTGTGATACGTGTGACACAACGTGGGTTTATCTTGTGTGATACAATTTGAGCATTTGTGTGTCTATGTGACACAGTGTGAAATGCCACTTGTCCATAACAATGTGTGCTGTAACACAGGCAGGTTGTATTATTATTATTTTTTTTCTTTTAAATCAATGTCTCGCTCTGTCGCCCGGCTGGAGTGCAGTGTGCAGTGGCTCACTGCAGCCTCAAACTCCTGGGCTCAAGCAATCCTCCCGCCTCACCTCACCCTCCTGAGTAGCTGGGACTACAGGTGCCTGCCACCATGCCTGGCCAGGATGCATGATCCCCCCTACATGTATCTATGTCTTTGTGTGGCATTCTGAGTCTGTGTCCGATACTGTCCTTCCGTCTGGGTGTGACATTCACCATGCTTGTCCATGTGTATGTAGCATCTATTGTGTGAATTTAACATCTTGTGACACTGTGTCCAAACATGTCACCACATTTGACATTCTCTAGGTGAGTCTTGCAATGTGATAACATGTGATTTTGCGTGGTTCTGTCTCTGCAAGATCCCTACATCTGTTTATCCTGATGTCAGTGTGACATAGTATGTGAGATACCTAGATATGACATCGTGTGTTGTGACATTCTTGGATGCATGGATGGGATATTGAAACACATGTTTGCATCTTGGATGACATAACTGTGTGTGTGTGGATCGCCATGTAAGTGACATCTTACTAGGTGTACACGACGTGGTGCCCCTGTGTGTCTGTGCATGGTTCTGACCTGTGGCAGCTGCAAGGCTAGGTATGTGTGGCACCTCCCAGTGTATCTGGGCCACTAGGGCTGTTGTGTGTATGTGTGTGACATCATGTCCTGTGTGACGCTGTGTGTCACTATTTTCAGTGTAAGGCTGTGTTCGGGGGGGGGGGTTGTGTTATGATAAACCCCCCCTTTTTTCTACCCCTCAGCATCCAGCTCCCGAAGAGGGAGCCCCAAGCCCCTCCGTCCGTCCCCTCACCCACAGCCGCAGTGACTGAGCATATTAGCGCGTCCAGGAGCACGCGGCATGGGGGTGGGGGGAGGCCAGGCTGCGGCTATTGTTCTGAGGGTGCCAAGCCCCCCAGCCTCCCCTTCTTCCTCTACCCCCACCAGGCTGTTGGAGCCCGCAGCGCCAGCAGACAAAGGCGCCACAAACCCCCAGTGGCGCAGCCCCCTCCCCCCGCGGCCGTCCTCTCCAGCGTGCAAGCCCCCCAGACTCGGCCCACACCACCCCCCATTCAACCCCAACCCCGGCGGGAAGGCGCAGCTGGGGCACCTCTGGCGCAGCTGGACCGGGCGCAGCATCCCGGGCCCCGCCCTGCAGCAGTACCCGGAGCGGCGGCTTTTGCGGGGAGGGCCGGGACAATGTCTAGGGGATCGGGGGTCTACCTCTTGGTGCGGCGGAACATACTGCCGCCGGGGAAGGAGGGCATCGAGAAATTAGAAAGCGCGGTCCAGAGAGAGTCAGACATGACCCGGCGGCGGCGACATGGTGGCAGGTGCGGCAGCAGCGGCGGAGGCGGCGGCGGCGGCGGCGCGGGGAGCAAGCGCGCGGGGCGGAGGCTGCAGCCGCCGCAGCGGGCAGGGGAGGGCAGGGAAGGGGAGGGCCCTGCGGCTGCAGCCGGCCGGGAGGGGGCGCTGCTGCGTGCCGGCGAGCCAGGCCCCGCCCGCGCACTCGCCTGGCGCCCCCACCCCGGCGGGAGAAGGGGCGGCCAGCCCCCGCCACGTCTCTCCCCAGGCTCACCTGCTGCTTTTCCGGGGCAGGGGCAAATCCTTCTGGAAGGCAAAGGGGCAAAACGATGAAGGTCAGCGTGGACCTGCCGTTGCTGCCCACAAGCATTATCAACTCCCTGGAGGAGCAGAAGCAGGGTAAGACAGGCCCCTCTTCAGCACTGTCACTTTCACCCTTGGCCATGCACTGCGGGCCAAGTTTCTTGGGGGAGAGGATCCCTGGGTGATTCCTCTCCTGACCCTCAGAGACCAACAGAGGCCCACGTACACAGGCGGGGCGCCATATAAAGGCAAGTGAGTTGGCATATCAGCGTGTGTTTGTGCAAATGAAATAGGAATCATTATTTGAAAAATATGTCTTGAGCACCTACTGTATGCTGACCCAATCCTAGGCACTAGGGACACAGTAGTGAATAAATTACAAGTCCGGTGTGGTGGTGTGCACCTCTAGTCCCAGCTACTTGGGAGGTTGAGGCAGGAGAATCGCTTGAGTCCAAGGAAACACCAGCGTGGGCAACACAGCAAGACTCTCTGTCTCAAGGAGAAAAAAAAAAAAGTTTCTGGCCTTTTGGGACTAGTATTTATAGGGTAAAGGGGACATTAAACAAGATTAGTGTAGAAGTGAACGAAATCATTTTAGACAATAATTAGTCTTATGAATAAATTAAACAGGGTGATGTGATGGACAATGGCTAGGATGGAGACACATTGTCAGACAGGGCTGCTCTGTGGAGGTGACTTTTAAGCTGGTTGCTGAAAGATAAGAGCCAGCCATGGGAGGATCTGTGGAGAGAGCATTCCAGGTGGAGGGAACTGCAAGGGCAAAGGCCTGGAGGCGGGAATAAGCTTAGCGTACTCAATGAATGAATGAAAGGTTGAATGAATGAAAGGTTGAAAGAATGAATGACTCATCTACACCTCAGCAGATCTATCTGACTCCCAGCTAGAGTCATAGAGTTGGGGTAGGGGGTGGGGGGTAGGTAAGTAGAGTGACTCACAACTGAGATTTAAAATGGGAACCACGGAGGCTGAGGTGGGAGAATCTCTTGAGCTCAGGAGGTCGAGGTTATAGTGAACTATGATTGCACCACTGCTGGAGTAAGACACCCTCTCAATTAACAATAAATAAATAAATAATAAAAAGTTTAAAAAATAAAAAAATAAAAATGGAAATTCAGGTGATGGCCGCATAGTCATTTTTTATAATGACAATAATAATAATTAGTGAGTATTAACTTTATGTGTCTGCATTTGAAGAAGGTCACCTTCCATTTGTCAAGCTCTTAGGAAGTCACTGTAGGGATCAGGAGATATGGGGTCTTGGCTTTTTTCTGAGGAAAGGAATGGGGTACAAGGGGCAACACCTGCCAGCCAGTTTTCTATCCACAGGGTGAGGTGGAAGGAAGGAAACTGAGTGGGGCTGCAGGTGGAAAGATTTGGGGGAGAGTTTCAAAAGGCCTTTGGAGGGGACTCCAACAAAAGGAAAATGAGGGATGTCCTAGACATTTCTAGGATCTCTAAAAGCAAAAAGCCTAGGTTCAAATCTCAATTCTGCTTTTTATGACCTTGGCAAATGACCTTCCAATAGTCCCGTGTCTCCTTGAGGATCTTAGGAGTTGATGCAGATGCCTAGCCCCTTAGCATGGTGCCTAGCACATAGCAAGTGCTCAATAAATACTAAGTCTGGAGAACAGGCGTTATTAAGGAGGGACATGCTGCATGACAGAGGATGGGCCACAGCGTCCTCCCACCCCGTTGTACAACGGACAAACATATAGGCGGGGCCAAAGGGCAGCCCTGCCCTCCCGAGCCACGGGTGACCGATAATCCAAACCAGGTTTTCCCTCTGTCTTTGCATGACCGGAGTGAATGAGGACCAGTCGACCTGGCTGCGTGTCTGCAATGGCCCAAGCGAAATCAAGACCTGGATTTTCTGGCCACAGAGCCCAGGGTGTCCAGATCCGGGTAACCGGCCTTGGAGGGTAAGCCCCTGGAGGGCTTTTAAGCACCACCCGAAGAAGACCTGGAACCCAGCCCCACCCGCTAGCGCCCCCAAACATTCTAGGGACGAAGAAAGGGTCAAACTGGAGCGGCGGAAGTTCGGGTCTTTGGCGTCAGTGTAAACAGACGCCACCTCCAATCTCAGCTGCAGAGCCGCTCGGCCAAGTGGATTCCGCTTCTCCCGCACAGGATTAATAGTTGACACTGCAGACAGGGCATTCGAACTCAGGATGCTGTCTACATATAAGATCCCAGGGCGTGGTGGCTCACGCCTGTAATTCCAGCGCTTTGGGAGGCCGAGGCGGGTGGATCACCTGAGGTCAGAAGTTCAAGACCAGGCTGGCCAACATGGTGAAACCCACTCTCTACTAAAAATACAAAACTAGCCGGGCATGTTGGCATGAGCCTGTAATCCCAGCTACTAGCGAGGCTGAGGCAGAAGAATCTCTTAAACCCGGGAGGCGGAGGTTGCAGTGAGCCGAGATTGCGTCACTGCACTCCAGCCTGGGCAACAGAGCGAGACTCCGTTTCAAAAAAAAAAAAAAAAAAAAGAGCCTAGCTGCACACAGGGGACCCTCGGGCGCTCAGCAGTGATGCGACAGTTCCTAAGAGGATGCACCAACGTATGTGGGTGTATCCAGGCAGCGAAGTGGTTAATCCCGCCAGAAGGGAAGCGGTGGGGACAGGACTCCGACAGGGATCGCCGGACCCAGAGCAAGCCTGGGGTTGAGTGGGTGGGTGGGTGAGTGGAAGCATTCCGCGTTGGGGGCGGTGTCTCGAGCGGGAGTTTAAAGTCCCGCGTGGCGCTGAGCCAATGAGAGTTGACGCCGGCCTGGAGGGCGGGGACACACCGTGCAGGCCCCGCCTCTTTCCTCCCTTTTCTCAGAAACCCGACGGCGCGGACCCAACCTGGCTGCTGCAGTACTTGCTCTAACTTTGCCGCAGCTGCCTCCCTTCTCTCGGAACCCACTCTCCTAACCCACCCCCGAGAGGCGGAGAGAATGTGGGAGCACTTCAGAGAGGCCTAGGCTCCGGAGATCGGGCCATCTGGGCTCTGAAAGCAAATTAGTTTTCCAACTCATGTCTGGCTCCGGCGTTACCCAGACGCCTGGAAGGTCCTTCCTGCAGTCTGATCACCATTTTTCCTGCTGCACTGACCAATCAGCTCCCCTTGGCCTTCAACCTCGGGAATGATGGATTAGGGGAGTCTAGAAATGGACGAAGCCCTAGGTGAGGGTTTGAATCCTCTTTTCCCAAGATTCAGGCTGGGGATGGAGCCTGAGTCTGGGCCCATTCTCGGCTTTATCTAAACTCCAGATTACCAAGCCTGGGGCTGAGCCCCAAGGAGGCTCAGAAGGGCCAGACCCCAGGCAGGGCCTTGGGGCACAGATATCATCACCTTCCCCTCTGGGATGTTTGGGACCGGACCTCCGTATTAACCCTGAACTTCCGTACTAACCCCTCAGAAACGCAGCTGAAGACGAGCAGAGGACGCTTCTCGGCTACAGAATCCCTCCCCACCTTGGAGGTAGGAGCTCCTGACACCTGAGTTTGTCCCCGCCTTCCCCACACTCCACAGCGATCCTCAGTGTCCCACTCCGTGCAGTGGACGCACGGCTCCTGCGCCTGCGCAGCCTCGAGACCAGCATCTTCTAAGGCTGCAAGGAGCTAAAAATCGCTCCCGCCCACCCACAAGCTGGGCTGGACTTGAGGATCGCGGTGGGGGGGCGGATGTTGTAGTGGAGGAGGTGGAATGAAGAGTGAGAAAGCTGTCTAGGTGCCTGTCCAATTAGGGCAGTAGGAAGAATCCTGATGGCCAGGCAGGTGCGTGGGGGACGCAGGGCGTCCTATGCCTCGGGAGGGGGCTCCTGGGGTGGTGAGGGGCGAGGTTGCCGCACAAACATGTTTACGCCTCCAGCGGCGCCGATGGCCCCGAGGGGCATGAGCCCTAGGGCAATAACTTTGCTCTGCGCCCCCTCACCCCTAGCCTGGCGAGGCGCCAGGGCGATGACTTCGGCCCCAGCCCCATCCCCCTAGGGCGGGCCAGGCGCCCCTCAGGCGATCCTCGAGGGGGAGCGCTAGGCTGCACCCCTCCGGCAGCTCCCTGGATCGCCGGGCGGCGCCTGAGGGGCGGGGTCCCCAGCGCGGCGGGACGCGCGGCCACAGCGTTCCCCGCGGTTAGCGTCCCGAACCTATGGGTGGGGGCGTCCCGGCTGACCCTAGTGCAAGTTCTCCCGCCTCCTGCCCAGCCCCGCCCCAGGGCGCCGACCCCTTCCTCTCCACCCGGGGCCCAGGCAGCCGCGTACCTGCAGCCTCCGGCGGCGGATGAGGCCCGAATCGTCCATGGCGGCAGCGGCGGCGACTTCGGCCCGGGGAGGGAGGAGGGAGGTAGCGGCGGCGGGAGGAGGGAGGAGGGAGGGAGTGAGAAGCCGCGGGGACCGCGGCGGCGGCGGCGGCGGCGGCTGAGGGGAGGGGTGGCGGGGGCGGGGGCGGAGCGAAGTGGGGCGGGCCCGGCGCCGTCACTGCGTCTGGGCGCCCGAGCCCGGGCTCAGCCACCGCTGCCCGCGCTGGCGGGGGGAAGGGGCGGGCGGGGGGGCGGAGCCTCCTGGTGCCCCCATGGGAGCCAAGCTGCCGAGAGACCACTATAAAAAGAGACACCCCAGAGGAGAGATATTCTCAGGGGTAGAACCCTCAGTCAAGAAACACCCCAAAGGAAGCCTTCTCCCTGAGATACATTCCCTCTACATTCATCCCCCAGAGACCCCCTTGGTGAGACACATTCCCAGGGGGAGATAGTTTCCACAGGGACGCCCTGTCCAATCAAGAACTCCCCCAACCCTGAAAATCATTCCTAATAGATATGGTCCCTGAGAGGTGACTTTCCTCTCAAAAGCCATCCCCCTCCCCACGAAAGAGGCATTCCCCGAAGAGAAAGATCCCAGGAGTAACAATTCCCGTGTAAAGGATACCCCCAATCAGAGACCCCTAAAAGCCATATCCTCTGTGGGAAACTGTCCCCACCCACGAGACCTCTACAGCCCCAGGAGAGATCTCATGCTTACAGAGAAACATTTTCACTGAGGAGACCCGTCTTCACAGGAGACGCAACCTCAGAAAAACATGTGCATACATATTATGCCCCCCCACCCACCTGCCCCACAATCAGAGCCTCCTCAGGGAACCCTGCAGCCCCTCTAGCGACCCCTCCCTCACGGTCAGGATTAAGGAGCCAGGCCAGGCCGTCTGTATTTATAGGAGCGATTAGCTGGTAGTTGGAGAGGGGGGCAGTTAAAGCGCTTTTCAGCTCCCTCGCCGCTCCTCCATGTTCACACAGGTGAGGCCAAACCCACCATGCTTCCCAAAGTTGGAGAGGAGAGTGTCCGAGCCCTCCGAACTCCCAGTCTTGGCACTGGGGGACAGAAGGGCTTCCCAAGGGGTGGTGGCCAGTATCTGGCCCCAAGGTCCCGGAGGGCGCGGTCGCTGGGTAACAGCGACCCCTGCTGGACGACGGGGGCGACGGCGAGGCTGGGTCCGGGTATTCACCAGGAGCTTGTCGCCTCAAGTCCGCGCCTTTGCCTGGGTTATCTCTGTCTGTCTCTGTATATGTTTGTCGGCACATTTGTGTCGCCGTCTCGCTGAGTCCCTTGCTGGCACATCTCTCCGTCCATGGCCCGGACTCCGCCCCTGGCGACCTATCTCACGATGGCGACCGCGGGAGCTCTCCTTGGTGCTGGTCTCGCGCGCTCCTGTCCGCGGTGCTGAAATCCAAGCGCAGGGTCGGGGGCTGAGATTAGGGAAGGAGAAAGGGTGCGGAGGCTCTGGCGTGAGGCATAGCCCAGAGGCTGAACAAATCTGACCCACAAGCATCCTGGACCACCTCAAGATGGACCAGGGGAAAGCTAGGTCCGGCAGGTCTTGCTTACTGAGGCCTCCAGCACATCACTGGGTGTACACAGAGGGACCCAGAGACGGTATCTACTGATTTGTTCACTTACCACATATTGAGTACCTACTGTGTGCAACGTAGTGTTTTGGGATCTGGGAGGGAATACAGCAATAAAAGAGAGACAAAAGCCTCTCTTGCCCTGAGATGAGAGGCACACGAACACTCACAGTCACATATTCAGTAAACACAGACACACAAACATTTATTCGAACATACTCTGCAAACATATACTCCACAAACACAGACCCACACATTCTGCAAATTAACACACATACAAACACATACTCAGCAAATGCAGACACACGCAAACATCCAAAAATACAGATACACACAAACTCACATCTGCAGCCATACAAACACATACTTAGGAAACACAGACATACACACAGTCATCCAATGCAAACACACACAAACAACACATATAAACACTTAACCAATGGAAGCACAGTCACATAGTTCCAAAACCAAGGGATGTCCAGTTGCACACAAATTATCATCTAAAACAGACAAATTATTCTCCCAACACAACACATAGACATACACACCCATACCCTCTGCAGGGATGTTTTTCTCATCTGATTCTCCCCCTAGAATGTCAGCTCTATGAAACCTGAGATTTTTGTGTCTTTTATTTTGAGTTTTTGTTTGTTTGTTTGTTTTTGAGACAGAGTTTCACTCTGTTGCACAGGCTGGAGTGCAGTGGAACAATCTTGATTCACTGCAACCTCTGCTTCCCAGGTTCAAACTATTTTCATGCCTCAGCCTCCTGAACTGCTGAGATTACAAGCATGTGCCACCATGCCCAGCTATTTTTGATTATTTTTAGTAGAGATGGGGTTTCACCACGTTGGCCAGCCTGGTTTCAAACTCCTGGGCTCAAACGATCCTTCTACTTCAGCTTCCCAATGTGCTGGGATTACAGGTGTGAACCACCATGCCTGGCTGAAATTTTCATGTCTTGTTCACTACTGCATCCCCAGAATCTAGCACACAGTAGGTGCTCAATAAATGTTTGTTGAATGAATGGATGAGTTAAAGGAGTGTTCACAAGCAACACACATTCACAGAAACTTCAGAAGGACACATAATGTGTGCACACAAACACATCCTGCTCAGCACATGACATTTCTTTGTTCATTCATGGTCAACCTTCATGGTCAAAAACCTTTATCCACTGACTTCCAACATTTTTGCAGGGACACTAACCCAATGCTACATTTCCCCTTCTCACATTTATTAAGATCCTGTTTTATTCAACTGCAAACACATTGCTTGGGACACACAATCCTCCCCCAGATTCTGAACGTATACACACACACACACACACACACACACACACACACACACACAACCACTCCACCAAGAAACACACATAAACATAACCTCATACAACAAAAACACACATACATGCTCAACACACACACAGCCACACAAACAAAAGACACAGGTGCCTGGGAACACACACAGGCTATAGGCCACACAAACACACCTTCCTCACACACATACACACACACACACACACACACACTCCCCACATATATAGATACAGAGCTTAAGCCACAAGCTGAACATAAAAACAAACACAAGGATATATACACACCAGCCCCAAGTCGGCCAGCCTTTGGTCAGCTGGAGTGTGGGCAGGACGGTGGGAGGTCCCGCCCCTGCATTAAGCCACGCCCCTTTCAGCAGCCAGTTTCCTGGACTGGATCCTGAGGTGTCTTAGCGGCCTCTAGACCCCAATCCAGCCAACAGGTGAGGGGCTGAATGCGGGGAGGCGGGAAGGGGACAGTCTTGTCTCCACAGACCGCTAGCTGTCCCTGCCTCGGGGCTTTGGGCCCCAGTGACAGAACCTGAGCCCTGCCACACCAGCCTTGGTCCCAAAGGTCCAGCTCTGGGTGGCCCCTAAGCCGATTGTGGGCCGAGAGAAGGTGACCCAGAGAAGGGCCGGCAGGGAGCGAGAGAGGGAGGAGGGAGGCCGCATAGAAGAGAGGGAGGAATTACTGAACAGGAGAGGGGGATTGGAAGACCTAGGGAGGTCCCCTTCATTCTGAGAAAAGAAGGGGTCTCTTGAAGACTAAAAAGGTGGGAGATCCTGCTGGATGGGAGGAGGGCCACTGTGGTCTAAGCTTGGTTGGGGTGGCACTGAAGGGACATAGAGGACATGGTTCTGATGGGAGGGGGGCTCCTAGGTTGGAGGCAGGCCCTGATGGTCTCCTGGGATTTGAACGTCCTTGGCCACTGCCCCAGCCTCCTCCTCAGCTGCACTTTCCCTACTCTGCCTGGCACTGCTTCTTGGGTATGCACTGGGTGGGTGCCACCCTAAGCTCACAGAAAGGGATGGCTGAACCCCACCCTATGCCTGCCAGCTCTTATCTCAGGTGGACATGGACTGCAGGGTCCACATGCGACCCATCGGCCTGACGTGGGTGCTGCAACTGACCTTGGCATGGATCCTGCTAGAAGCCTGTGGAGGGAGCCGCCCACTCCAAGCCAGGTCCCAGCAACACCATGGGCTGGCAGCTGATCTGGGCAAAGGCAAGCTGCACCTGGCAGGTGAGCACCCCAGACCCTGCCTCACCACCAACACCCAGAAACCCACACCTACCCTGCCATGACAATGTTAGAATTTCCTTATGAGAGGGGCCTAGCATGGCCACCAAGGTGGGAGGCACGGATAGTGCTGAAGAATGGTGGATAAGAATTAGACTGCCTGGGTTCAAATCCCAACTCTGCCACTTTGTAGCTGTGTGATCCTGAGGAAGTCATTTAACCTCTCTGGGTCTCACATGGACCCCCAAAAAGAGAGAAATAACAAATATACCTCGCAGAGCTGTTGTTAAGATTAAGCATATAAGCATATGAGCAGGGCTCGGTGGCTCACGCCTATAATCCCAGCACTTTGGGAGGCTGCAGTGGGCAGATCATTTGAGGTCAGGAGTTTGAGACCAGCCTGGCCAGCATGGTGAAACCCCTGTCTCTACTAATAATACAAAAATTAGCTGGACGAGGTGGCATGCGCCTGAAATCCCAGCTACTTGGGAGGCTTAGGCACGAGAATTGTTTGAACCTGGGAGGTGGAGGTTGCAGTGAGCCAAGATCACGCCACTGCACTCCAGCCTGGGTGACAGAGTGAGGCCCTGTCTCAAAAGAAAAAAAGAAAAAAAAAAAAGGAAAAGGATTAAGTATATGTGTCACTACCAGGCACATGACAAGTAAGTTGATTATTATAAACAAGAAATGATTATTACTACTTGAAGCTGCATTTGCATTCCAAAGGAAGGGTCTTAAGTTATGGGTTTGTGAGGATTGATGTAATTGTTGTCTCCCCTGTCCAGGGGATCCCCAGGCCTCAGTTCCCAAACCTTACCTGAATATCCAAGACCCTAGCTCACAGGGTTCCCCTTTGCCAGGACCTTGTTGTCCCTCAGAGATGGACACAACAGAGACATCGGGCCCTGGAAACCATCCAGAACGCTGTGGAGTGCCGAGCCCTGAGTGAGTACAGCACCCTCCACCGTTTTCTCGCGTACTTTGCCCATTGCCCAGGAACTCCCTCGGGTCCTGACCCATCCGACCCTATCTCTCCCAACGTCCAGATGCGAATCCTTCCTGGAACACCTCCAACGTGCCCTTCGCAGTCGCTTCCGCCTGCGGCTATTGGGGGTACGCCAGGCACAGCCGCTCTGCGAGGAGCTCTGCCAGGCCTGGTAGGAGACGCGGGGGCAAGGGGCGTGGGTTGTGACTTGGGCGGGGAAGAGGGCGGAGCCTGCAGTTTGCTTGGCCTTCTGTGTAAAGGGGAGTGGCCTCCAACAGGGCCAAGGTTTAAGAGATGCAGCTTAATGTTTAGAGCCCAGGTAGATAGGGGCGAGGCATGAGAAGCCCCCAGCTTTTAAGATACCTGCCATATGGCAATGTGGCTTTTCATAGCCCTGCGATTTCTTTTCTTTTCTTTCTTTCTTTTTTTTTTTGAGATGGAGTCTCACTGTGTCACCTAGGCTGGAGTGCAGTGGTGCAATCTCGGCTCACTGCAACCTCCACTTCCCGGGTTCAAGCGATTCTCCTGCCTCACCCTCCTGAGTAGCTGTGGTTACAGGCGCACACCACCATGCCCGGCTAATTTTTGTATTTTTAGTAGAGACGAGGTTTCACTATGTTGGTCAGGCTGGTCTCAGACTCCTGACCTCGTGATCCGCCCGCCTCGGCCTCCCAAAGTGCTGGGATTACAGGCGTGAGCCACCGTGCCCGGCCTTTTTTTCTTTTTTTTTTTTTTGAGATGGAGTTTTGCTCTTGTCGCCCAGGCTGGAGTGCAGTGACACGATCTCAGCTCACTGCAACCTCAGCCTCCTGGGTTCAAGTGATTCTCCCGCCTCAGCATCCCTAGTAGCTGAGATTACATGCTTCCGCCACCACGCCCGGCTAAATTTTGTATTTTTAGTAGAGACGGTGTTTCACCGTGTTGGCCAAGCTGGTCTCAAACTCCTGACCTAGGTGGTCCGCCTGCCTTGGCCTCTCGAAGTGCTGGGATTACAGGGGTGAGCCACCATGCCCAGCCAGGCCCTGAGATTTCTTAAGGAGTGAGTCCTCTTGATTGAAAAGATAAGGTAAAAGGGTGGGTGCCTGTAATCTCAGTCGTTTGAGAGGTCAAGGCAGGAGGATTGGTTGAGGCCAGGAGTTCAAGATCAGCCTGGGGAACATGGCAAGACCCAGTCTCAACAAAAAATTTAAAAATTAATTAGACATGGGCCGGACGTAGTGGCTCATGCTTGTAATCCCAGCACTTTGGGAGGCCAAGGTGGGCAGATCCCCTGAGGTCAGGAGTTTGAGACAAGCTTGGCCAACGTGGTGAAACACCGTCTCTACTAAAAACACAAAAATGAGCCAGGCGTGGTGGTGGGCGCCTGTAATCCCAGCTACTCGGGAGGCTGAGGCAGGAGAATTGTTTGAACCTGGGAGGCAGAGGTTGCAGGAAGCAGAGATTGGGCCACTGCACTCCAGCCTGGGTAACAGAGCAGGACTCCATCTCAAAAAAAAAAAAAAAAAAAATTAATCGGACATGATGGTGCGCACCTATAGTCCCAGGTACTTGAGACACTGAGGTGGAAGGATTGCTCCAGCTTGGGAGGTCAAAGCTGCCATAAGCCATGCTTACGCCACTGCACTCCAGCTTGAGTCACAGAGCAAGACCCTGACTCAAAAATAAATAAAAGGAAAACGAAAGAGTGGGAAAATATGAGGGACTGGCCTGTAACTAATGGTCTGAGGTCTGTAGGGACAAGGCCAGTTGTGACGTGGCCCAGAGTATGGAAAGATCTGATAGAATATGGGGCAGGGTGAAATCTGGAGAGATGGGGTTAGTTAGCAGGGGAGTGGTTCTAAAAGGCGGGGCCTGGATCCGAGGTGGGGGCATATAGTGAACACAGTCTAGAAGAGCCAGAATCGCGCTGGAATGTAACTACAAAGGCTTTACCCACCTCTCCACTCGCCATCTCCAGGTTCGCCAACTGCGAAGATGATATCACCTGCGGCCCGACTTGGCTCCCACTCTCAGAAAAAAGGGGCTGTGAGCCCAGCTGCCTTACCTATGGACAGGTGAGCGTGGGGCAGAAGGTGAAGGGAAGAGACTGAGATCCTCCCCACCAAGTTATTTATTTATTTATTTATTTATTTCTGAGACGGAGTTTCATTCTTGTCACCCAGGCTGGAGTGCAGTGGCGCGATCTCAGCTCGATGCAACCTCCGCCTCCGGGGTTCAAGTGATTCTCCTGCCGCAACCTCCCGAATAGCTGGGATTTCAGGCGCATGCCACCATGCCCAGCTAATTTTTGTATTTTTAGTAGAGTCAGCGTTTCACCATGTTGGCCAGGCTGGTTTCGAACTCCTGACCTCAGGTGATCCGCCCACCTCGGCCTCCCAAAGTGTTGGGATTACAGGTGTGAGCCACCGCCCCCGGCCCCCACCAAGTTCTTTCTTACCGTGTCTAGACCCCAGAGACCGGATTGGTACTCCCCAGGTCCCTGCTCCCACCCTTCCCTAGCCCAACCTCCTACTGGGTTGTGCCCTTTGACCCCAAAAGCTCTCGAAGTCCAGATTTGCCCTTCCCAAGAAACCATTCCTGCTCTGGGTCCATCCACATTTTACCCTGGAGGACCCAGAAGCCCAGTCACTCTCTACAAAACCCCAGCCTTGATACAGACCTCTCTGCGCGCCCCCCAACTGCCCCAACCCTGATTCATCCCGCTAGGGCCCAGTAAGAACATTCACCCTCCCCAAGGACCTGCCCCCACTCACGTTCCGCACATAGACTCCCAGGCCGCACGCTCCGGCTCTGACCCCAATCCCTAAGGAATTTACACATTTTTCCCTTCCCGAGGCCACGCCCCCCACGTCTCTGGACTCCGCCCACTAGGGCCTTAACTCCACTTTTTCCTAGACCTTCGCAGACGGGACGGACCTTTGTCGCTCGGCTCTGGGCCACGCCCTACCGGTGGCTGCTCCTGGAGCCCGTCACTGCTTCAACATCTCCATCTCCGCGGTACCTCGTCCCAGACCAGGACGACGGGGCCGGGAAGCTCCCTCCCGGCGTTCCCGCAGCCCTCGCACCTCCATCCTGGACGCTGCGGGCAGCGGGAGTGGCAGTGGAAGCGGCAGCGGCCCCTAGCGGACGCGTGGCCCTGAGTTGGGGGAGCGACCCTTCCCCCAGCCCCGCCCCTCAGGACACCCAGAACCCCACCCCTCGTCCTCTCGGCCTTCTGTAATAGTTTTGAGATGTCTGTCCCTCCTCCCTGGAGCTCCAGAGACCCACCCCTCTCCAGGTTATCCCAGAAATGACCCAACTCTCTCACTTTTCCCTCTCCCCTTTGAATAAAGTCGCCAGCTAGAGCACGTGACGAGTGTGGCTGCTTCTTGGGGAAATAAGTCGGAAGGAGAATTGCCAGAAAGTAACGGATGTCTCACGTCTAATCCTCAGACCCTAGAAGTAGTGACTGACTCATACTAGAGTGTAAATGATAGATAGCCTGTGCCCTAGAGCAGTCAACATAACTGGGAATACCCAGTTGTTGGAAATGGAGAGGGGGTCAGAACAGGGGCTGACAAGGGCAGGAGGGGTTCCTTCCCACTGTGTGCCACCAGGGCTGCCAAGAAGCTGCCTAACTTGTATAGGCCTCAAGACACACTTCAAGGCCAGGTGCAGAGGCTCATGCCTGTAATCCCAGCAATTTGAGAGGCTGAGGTGGTTGGATTGCTTGAGCCCAGGAGTTCAAGACCAGGCTTCGCAATACGGTGAGAACCTGTCTCCACAAAAAAAAAAAGAGAGAGAGAGAAAGGAAGAAAAAAGAAAAAGAAAAAGAATATTTTTAATTGGCCCAGTGTAGTGACCCGTGCCTGTATTCCTACCTGCTCAGCAGGCTGAGGCAGGAGGATCGCTTGAGCTCAGTTCAGGGCTGCAGTGAGCCACGATCACACCACTGTACTCTAGTCTGGGTGACACAGTGAGAGCCTCTCTCTCAAAAAAAATAATAATAATAAGACATGCAGACACAGAATACCAAGCTGGCCCTGGTAGTATGTGCTGTACTCCCAACTACTTGAGAGGCTGAGGTAAGAAGATCACTCGATCCCAGAACATTGAGGCTACAGTAAGCTATAATCCTGCCACTACACTCCAGCCTGGGCAAAAGCCAGATCCCAGCTTTTTATTTATTTATTTATTTTGAGACTGAGTTTCGTTCTTGTTGCCCAGGTTGGAGTGCAATAGCAGGATCTCAGCTCACTGCAACCTCCTCCTCCCGGGTTCCAGTGATTCTCCTGCCTCAGCCTCCCTAGTAGCTGGGATTACAGGCACCTGCCACCAAGCCCAGCTAATTTTTTGTATTTTTAGTAGAGATAGGGTTTCACCATGTTGGCCAGGCTGGTCTCAAACTCTTCACTTCAGGGGATCCACCCACCTTGGCCTCCCAAAGTACTAAGATTACATGTGTGAGCCACCACGCCTGGCGTTTTTTTTGTTTGTTTGTTTGTTTTTTTGAGACAGAGTCTAGCTTTGTCTCCCAGGCTGAATTGTAGTGGTGCAATCTTGGCTTACTGCAACCTCAGCCTCCTGGGTTCAAGTGCTTCTCGTGCCTCAGCCTCCAGAGTAGCTGGGATTGCAGGCACACACCACCACATCTGGATAATTTTTGTATTTTTAGTAGAGATGGGGTTTCACCATGTTGGCGAAACCTCAGGTGATCCACCTGCCTCGGCCTCCCAAAGTGCTGGGATTACAGACACAAGTCACCATTCCTGCCCAAGACCCCATATTATACATGTACAGACTACAGAATTTGGTGGGAATGACCCCGTGTAGCGTCCACCTGTGTTCACAACCCAGCTCTACCACTTACTTATGCTGTAACTTCGGTTTCACACGTTGCCCAGATTGAGCCTCAGTTTCTTCATCTTTAAAATGGGAATGTGGGCCAGGCACGGTGTCTCATGCCTGTAATCCCAGCACTTTGGGAGGCCGAGGCAGGTGGTTCATTCACTTGAGGCCAGGAGTTCGAGACCAGCCTGGCCAACATGGCGAAACTCCGTCTCTACCAAAAGTACAAAAATTAGCCAGGCAGCCGGGTGCGATGGCTCATGCCTGTAATCCCAGCACTTTGGGAGGCCAAGGCGGGCAGATCACGAGATCAAGAGTTCAAGACCAGCATGACCAACATGGAGAAACCCCATCTCTACTAAAAAATACAAAAATTAGCCAGGCATGGTGGGGCGCACCTGTAATCCCAGCTACTCAGGAGGCTGAGGCAGAAGAATCGCTTGAACCTGGGAGGTGGAGGTTGCAGTGAGCAGAGAACGTGCCATTGCATTCCAGCCTGGGTGACAGAGCAAGGATCTGTCTCAAAAAAAAAAAAAAAAAAATTAGCCAGCTGTGGTGGCACATGCCTATAATCCCAGTTTCTTGGGAGGCTGCGGTAGGATAATCACTCGAACCCAGGAGGTGGAGGTTGTGGTGACCTGAGACAGTACCACTGCACTCCAGCCTGGGTAACAGGGTGAGACCTTGTCTCAAAAAGAAAAATTACAATAAAATAAATAAAATAAAACGGAAATGCATTCCTTTCACAGGATTGAGAAAGGAGAATTCAGTGAGTTAGTGCAAGTTTTTCTGCTTATCTAACACTGCATACCAAACAATTCCAATATAGTGATGAAAAAAAGGTCACTAGGCTGGGCGTGGTGGCTCATGCCTGTAAGCCCAGCACTTTGGGAGTCCAAGGCGGGCGGATCGCAAGGCCAGGATATCGAGACCATCCTGGCTGACATGGTGAAACCCCGTCTCTACTAAAAATACAAAAAATTAGTCGGGCATTGTGGCAGGCACCCGTAGTCCCAGCTACTTGGGAGGCTGAGGCAGGAGAATGGCATGAACCTGGGAGGCAGAGGTTTTAGTCAGCTGAGATCACACTACTGCACTCCAGCCTGGGCGACAAAGCAAGACTCCATCTCAGAAAAAAAAGTCATTATCGGCTGAGTGCAGTGGCTCATGCCTGTAAGCCCAGCACGTTGGGAGGCCGAGGCGGGCAGATCACCTGAGGTCAGGGGTTCAAGACCAGCCTGGCCAACATGGTGAAACCCTGTCTCTACTAAAAATAAAAAATTAGCTGGGCATGGTGGTGCGTGCCTGTAATCCCAGCTACTCAGGAGGCTGAGGCTGGAGAATCACTTGAACCCATAAGGCAGAGGTTGCAGTGAGCCGAGATCATGCCACTGCGCCCCAACCTGGGTAACAGAGCCAGACTCCGTCTCAAAAAACAAAACAAAAAAAAAGAAACAACAACCAGCACTTTAGGAGGCCGAGGCAGGTGGATCACGAGGTCAGGAGTTCGAGACCAGCCTAACCAACATGGTGAAACTCCATCTATACTAAAAATACAGAAAATTAGCCGGGTGTGGTGGCGCATGCCTGTAATCCCAGCTACTCAGGAGGCTGAGGCAGGATAATTGCTTGAACCCAGGAAGCAGAGGTTTCAGTGAGCCGAGATCACGCCATTACACTCCAGCCTGGGTGACAGAGCGAGACTCCATCTCAAAAAAAAAAAAAAAAGTTACTATCTTTCATGGTTCTGGGGTTTGACTTGGTTCAGCTTGGCAGTTCTTCCTGAAGATCTGTCATATACTTGCAGACACAGTGGCTGGGGCTGGAATCACGTTGAAGGCTTCCTTGCTCACATATCTGGTAGTTGGTGTTGGCTGTTGCCTTGAACTTCTGCTGGGGCTGTTGGCCAGAATATCTGCACATGGCCTCTCTGTGGCTTGGGCTTCCTCTCAACATGGCAGCTACGGTCTAAGGGAAATATCCCAAGAGAGCAAGCCAGGTGGGATCTGTTTCAGTTCTGATGACTTAACCTTGGAACTCACACAGTGTGACATCTCTCACTTTTTATTCACTACAGTGAGTCACTGAAGCCAGCTCATATTCAAGGAGAGGCATCATAGACTCCACCTCCAATGGGGGGGATGTCAAATAAAATGCTTAGAAAGTGTGGCACACAATTATCACTCAATGAATGTAGACCGTCTATTATGATTGCTTCTGGTGGATGATGTTACATACTGGGTTACTGATGTTATAGACTGTGTTATTGTGACAAGGAGGAGGAACAAGCATTCAAGGAAGTAAAGCAAGTCTTTAAAGGATCTCCAGTCAGATAATCAAGCCATGGAGGACATTCCAAGTGAAAGGCCTGGAGATTTCATATTCTGGGAACTCTGAGCTGACCAGGAAGCCTGGGATAGACCATGGGAGATGGGATCTGGTCCTGGAAGACACTGGATGCCAGGCAGAGACACTTGAACCTGAGGATAGAGTGTGATGTACCAGGAGCTGTGGCTCACACCTGTAATTCTAGCACTTTAGGAGGCCGAGGCAGATGAATTCTTTGAGGTCAGGAGTTCCAGACCAGCCTGGGCAACAGGGCAAAACCCCATCTCTACTAAAAATTAAAAAAATTAGCTGGGCATGGTGGCACACACCTGTAGTCCCAGCTACTTGGGAGGCTGAAGGTGGGAGGATTACTTGAGCCAGGAGGTGGAGGTTGCAGTGAGCCATCATCTGCCCTCCAGCTGAGGCAACAGATGGAGACCGTGTCTCAGAAAAAAAAAAAAAAGAGAGAGACAGGAGGGTGTGATGCAAGGTTTGGCAGTTCGGGCTACAGTCTCAGCTACTTGGGAGGCTGAGGTGACTGTATTGCTTGAGGCCAGGAGATTGGGAATAGCATGGGCACCATAGCCAGACCTCATCTCCAAAATAAAAAAAAAAAAAAAAGTTAGGCTGGACAAAATTAGGTAGGACAGCTCACGCCTGAAATCCCAGCACTTTGGAAGGCTGAAGCAGGAGAACTGCTTGAAGCCAGGAGTTCAAAATCAGCCTGGGCAACATAGTAAGACCTCATCTCTACCAAAAAAAACAAAAACCAAAAAAAATTAGCGAGGTGCAATGGTTTGTGCCTGTAGTCCCACATACTCAGGACCTCATTTAGAAAAGGAAACATGTGAAAGCCATAGGTTTTTTGTTTTTGTTTTTTGAGACGGAGTCTCGCTCTTGTCACCCAGGCTGGAGTGCAGTGTGGCACGATCTCGGCTTACTGCAACCTCTGCCTCCCAGGTTCAAGCTATTCTCCTGCCTCAGCCTCCTTACTAGCTGGGATTACAGGTGCCTGCCACTATGCCTGACTAATTTTTGTACTTTTAGTAGAGACGGGGTTTCACCATGTTGGCCAGGCTGGTCTTGAATTCCTGACCTCAGGTGATCCACCTGCCTTGGCCTACCAAAGTGCTGGAATAACAGTCATGAGCCACCGTGCCCAGCCTTGTTTTTGTTTTTTTAAAACAGGGTCTCACTCTGTTGTTCAGGCTCTTAAGTGCAGTGGTGCAATCTCGGCTCACTGCAGCCTCAACCTCCCAGGCTCAAGTGATCCTCCCACCTTACCTCCCCAAGTATCTGGGACTACAGGCGCTCACCACCACGCCCAGCTGATTTTTGTATTTTTTAGTAGAGACAGCGGTTTCACTATGTTGGCCAGGCTGGTCTTTAACTCCTGACCTCGTGATCCGCCACCTTAGCCTCCCAAAGTGCTGGGATTATAGGCATGAGCCACTGTGCCTGGCTGAGACCCTTTTTTTTTTTTTTTTTTTTTGAGATGGAGTCTTGCTCTTTAGCCCAGGCTGGAGTGCAGTGGCGCTATTCTCGGCTCACTGCAAGCTCCGCCTCCCAGGTTCACGCCATTCTCCTGCCTCAGTCTCCCGAGTAGCTGGGACTACAGGTGCCCGCCACCACACTGGCTAATTTTTTGTGTTTTTAGTAGAGATGGGGTTTCACCATGTTAGCCAGGATGGTCTCAATCTCCTGACCTCGTGATCCGCCCACCTTAGCCTCCCAAAGTGCTGGGATTACAGGTGTGAGCCACCCGGCCTTTTTTTTTTTTTTTTTTTTTTTTTGAGACGAAGTCTCACTCTTGTCCCCCAGGCTGGAGTGCAAAGGCGCAATCTCGGCTCACTACAACCTCCACCTCCCGGGTTCAGGCAATTCTCCTGCCTCAACCCCTGGAGTAGCTGGGATTACAGGTGCCTGCCACCAGGCCTGGCTAATTTTTGTATTTTTAGTAGAGATGGGGTTTTACCATGTTGGCCAGGCTGGTCTAGAACTCCTGGCCTCAGGTGATCCACCCGCCTTGGCCTCCCAAAGTGCTGGGATTACAGGCGTGAGCCACCGCACCCAGCCAACTCTGTTTCTTAAAAAAAACCTCAAAAACATGACACTCGGGATCTTCAGCAGGCCAGTGTGGAACCCTGGACTCTTTCCAACTCCCGTGTGAGCTTCACGCTGCTGGGACGGGGACCCAGCACTGAGTTCTCACAAATTCAAAGGCTGTTGTTAGAAGTAACATTTGCAGGCCGGGCGCGGTGGCTCATGCCTGTAATCCCAGCACTTTGGGAGGCTGAGGCGGGTGGATAACCTGAGGTCAGGAGTTCAAGACCAGCCTGGCCAACTTGGTGAAACTTCGTCTGTACTAAAAATACAAAAATTAGCAGGGTGTGGTGGTAGGTTCCTATAATCCCAGCTACTCGGGAGCTGAGGCAGGAGAATTGCTTGAACCCAGGAGGCAGAGGATGCAGTGAGCTGAGATCGCACCACTGCACTCCAGCCTGGGTGACAGAGTGAGGCTCTATTCCAGAAAAAAAAAAAAAAGAAGTAACATTTGCAGGCTGCACATGGTGGCTGGTGGCTTTTACTTATAATCCTAGCACTTGGGGAGGCCAAGGCAGGAGACCCCTTGAGCTCAGGACTTCAAGACCCACCCCCTGGTGTCTACAAAAAGTCAAAGAAGGCGGGGCACAGTGGCTCACGCCTGTAATCCCAGCATTTTGGGAGGCCAAGGCGGGCAGATCACGACGTCAGGAGATTGAGACCATCCTGGCTAACATGGGGAAACCCCTTCTTTATTAAAAATACAAAAAATTAGCCAGGCATGGTGGCATGTGACTGTAGTCCCAGCTACTTGGGAGGCTGAGGCAGAAGAATTTCTTGAACCCGGGAGGCGGAGGTTGCAGTGAGCCAAGATCACACCACTGTACTGCAGCCTGGGAGACAAAGCAAGATTCCATCTCAAAAAAAAAGAGAAAAACAAAATTAGCTGGGCGGGGTGGTCGGTGCCTGTAATCCCAGCTACTCAGGAGTCTAAGGCAGGAGAATCGCTTGAACCAGGGAGCCAATGGTTGCAGTGAGCCGAGATTGGGCCATTGCACTCTAGCCTGGGCGATAGAGCAAGACTCAGTCTCAAAAAAAAAAAAAAAAAAAAGAAATACAAAATGAGCCGGATGTGCTCACTTGAACCCATGTGGCGGAGGTTGCAGTGAGCCGAGATGCCACTGCAACACAGCCGGAGCAAGAGTGAGTCTCCATCTCAAAAGAAAAAGAAAAATAAGCTTTTAAGTCAAATAACAAAATAATAACAACAAGACGAGGGTTGGATAGAGGGTGTCTCTTGGGTGGAGACCACACCTCCTCCCGAATGCCTACTCTCACTGCCCTCTTCTTGGGCCCTTTTTTTTTTTTTTTTTTTGAGACGGAGTCTTGCTCTGTCACCAGGCTGGAGTGCAGTGGCATGATCTTGGCTCACTGAAACCTTCGCCTCCCATGTTTAAGTGATTCTCCTGCCTCAGCCTCCAGAGTAGCTGGGACTACAGGCACCCACCACCACACCCAGCTAATTTTTGTATTTTTGGTAGAGATGAGGTTTCACCATGTTGGCCAGGATAGTCTCCATCTCTTGACCTCGTGATCTGCCCACCTCGGCCTCCCAAAGCGCTGGGATTACAGGCGTGAGCCACGGCGCCTGGCCTCTCGGGCCTTCTTGAAGCCAGGTCTCCCATTTCTAGGCCTCAACACGTGCCCAATGCCTGGAACCCCCTCCATCCTCCAGTCACTTATTCCACCGCATTCACCCCGCAGACCTCTGCCAGTCAGTTCCTCAGGCTCTGAGACCCCCAGATCAGAGCTGGGTCCCCCATCATGCATTCCTGGGCACTCTAGCCTCCACTGTCAAAGGACAGTTCTGGGATTCTGGCTGGCTGGTGCAGTGCTGGCTTCTGCGTCCTACAAAGAATTTGCGTGGAGTGGAGAAATGCTCTGTTATGGGTTGAATGGGTCTCCTCCAATTCATATGTTCAAGTCCTAACCCCCAGCATGTCAAAACGTGACTGTGTTTGGAAAGAGCGTGTTTAAAGGGGTAATTAAAGTAAAATGAGGTCATATTTGTGAGCTCTAATTCAATGACAATAAGAAATTAGGACACTTGGCCGGGCACTGTGTCTCATGCCTGTAATCTCAACAATTTAACACTTTGGGAGGCTATGGTGGGAGGATCCTTTGGGCCCGGAGTTTGAGAGCAAACTGGGCAACATAGCAAGACCCCCATCTCTATAAAAAAAATTTTTTTTCTTTGAGACGGAGTCTCACTCTGTTGCCCAGGTTGGAGCGCAATGGCACGATCTTGGCTCACTGCAACCTCCACCTCCCAGGTTCAAGCATTTCTGCCTCAGCCTCCTGAGTAGCTGGGATTACAGGCATCTGCCACCATGTCCAGCTAATTTTTGTATTTTTAGTAGAGACGGGGTTTTGCCATGTTGGCCAGGCTGATCTCAAACTCCTGACCTCAGGTGTTCTGCCCGCCTCAGCCGCCCAAAGTCCTGGGATTACAGGCGTGAGCCACCATACCCAGCCCAAATTTTTTTTTTTTTTTTTTTGTGACTGAGTCTCTGACTATCGCCCAGGCTGGAGTACAGTGGCGCAATCTCGGCTCACTGCAACCTCCACCAGCCGGGTTCAAGCGATTCTCCTGCCGCAGCCTCCTATGTCGGACGTGGGATACAGAATGAGCATCCATCTCAAGAAAAAAAAAAAAAAAAAACTGTATAGGGGCCGGGCGTGTGGCTCACGCTTGTAATCCCAGCACTTGGGAGGCCGAGGTGGGCATGGAGGTGCGCATCTGTAATCCCAGCTACTTGGGAGGCTGAGGCAGGAGAATCGCTGGAGCCCGGGAGGTGGAGGCTTCAGTAAGCCAAGATTATGCCATTGCACTCCAGCCTGGGTGACAGAGTGAGACCTCATCTCAAGAACACAACATACCGTTGGACTCCCAAAGTGCTAGGCCTCCTCTCACATAGGAAGGCCCCATCTCTATGAAATAAAAAACTTAGCTGAGCATAGTGATACACGCCTGCAGTGCTAGCTACTTGAAGGCCGAGGCAGGAGGGTTGCTTGACCTCAGGAGTTTGAGGGCACAGTAAGTCAAGATTGCAACACTGCACTCCAGCCTGGGCAACAAAGCAAGACTCTGTCTCAAAAAAGAGAGCAGGGCAGGCGCAGTGGCCCACGCCTGTAATCCCAAGAACTTTGGGAGGGTGAGATGGGAGGATCGCTTGAGCTCAGGAATTTGAGAGACCAATCTGGGCAACAGGGCGATCCTGTCTCTACCAAATTTTTTTTAATTTTATTTATTTATTTATTTTTTTGAGGCTCAGTCTCGCACTGTCACTCAGGCTGCAGTGCAGTGGCGCTATCTTGGCTCACTACAAGCTCTGCCTCCCGGGTTCATGCCATTCTTCTGCCTCAGCATCCAAAGTAGCTGGGACTACAGGCGCCCACCACCACGCCCAGATAATTTTTTTGTATTTTTAGTAGAGACGGGGTTTCACCGTGTTAGCCAGGATGGTCTCGATCTCCTGACCTCGTGATCCACCCACCTCGGCCTCCCAAAGTGCTGGGATTACAGGCGTGAGCCACCGCGCCCAGCCATTTTTTTTAAATTGGCTGTGCGTGGTGGCATACTTGTAGTTCCACTTACTCACAGGGCTGAGGTGGGAGGACCCTGTGAGCCCAGGCATTCGAAGCTTCAATGAGCCAAGATCACATGGCAACACTTCGGTCTGGGTGACGGAGACCCTGTCTCAGAAAACAAAAACAGACTGGGCACAGTGGCTTACACTTATAATCCCAGCACATTGGGAGACCGAGGCAGGCGGGTCACTTGAGGTCAGGGGTTCAAGACCAGCCTGGCCAACATGGTGAAACCCTGTCACTATTAAAAATACAAAAACTAGCTGGGCATGGTGTAGTCCCAGCTGTTCGGGAGGCTGAGGTGGGAGAATTGCTTGAACCTGGGAAGTGGGGGTTGCAGTGACTTAAGACTGTGCCACTGCACTCCAGCCTGGGTGACAGAACGAGACTCTGTCTCAAAACAAAACAAAATAAAACCAACAAAAACAGAACCAAAGAAAGAAGGGAGAACATTTGAGAAGCTTCCATCCCAACCTGCCCCAAATCACTGGTGGGCTTATCTGTGCCTTCTAGGTCCTTCTGGAGAGAATGCAGCTTGTTCCAAACATTAATGCGCAGATATGCTTTTTTTTTTGAGACATGGTCTTGCTCTGTCGCCCATGCTGGAGCCTACCTCAACCTCCAGAAAAGCTGGGACTGCAGCCACACGGCACCCTGCCCGCCAAGATTTTTGTTTGGTTCGTGACCTTTCTTTATTTTTTCTTATCTTCCCCCATGCAGCCCAGCATTTTTTTTTTTTTTTTTTTTTTTTTGAGACAGAGTTTCGCTCTTGTTACCCTATGTTGTCCAGACTGGTCAAGATCCTCCTGACTCAGCCTTCCAAAGCACTAGGATTACATGTATGAGCCCCTGCGCCCAGCCACATCATGTATTTTACATATTAGTCAGCCAGGTATGGTAGCTCACACATTGAGAGGTCACAGCGGGCAGATCACTTGAACCCAGGACTACAAGACCAGCCTGGGCGACATGATGAAACCTCATCTCTACAAAAAATACAAAAATTAGTTGGGCATCGTGGCGTGTGCCTGGAACCTCAGCTACTCAGGAGGTTAAGGTGGGAGAATCACTTAAACCCAGGAGGCGGAGGTTACACTGAGCTGAGATCGCACCACTGCACTCCAGCCTGGGTGACAGAGTGAGATTCTGTCTCAAAAAATTTTTTAAATAAAAATAGGCAATGCATGGCGGCTCACGCCTGTAATCCCAGCACTTTGGGAGGCTGAAGCAGACGGATCACAAGGTCAGAAGATTGAGACCATCATGGCTAACACGGTGAAACCGTGTTTCTACTAAAAATACAAAAAATTAGCCAGGCCTGGTGGCACGCACCTGTAGTCCCAGCTACTCGGGAGGCTGAGGCAGGAGAATCATTTGAACCTGGGAGGCAGAGGTTACAGTGAGCTAAGATTGAGCCAATGCACTCCAGCCTGGGTGACAGAGCGAGACTCCATCTCAAGAAAGAAAATTTAAAAATTTTTAAAAATTAAAAATATAACTAAAAAGGTCGGTGCAGTGGCTCATGCCTGTAATCCCAGCACTTTGAGAGGCTGAGGTGGGCAGATCACCTGAGGTCAGGAGGTAGAGAGCAGCCTGACTAACATATAGTGAAACCTTGTCTCTACTAAAAAATACAAAAATTAGGCCAGGCGCAGTGGCTCACACCTGTAATCCCAGCACTTTGAGAGGCCAAGGCGGGCAGATTGCCTGAGGTCAGCAGTTTAAGACCAGTCTGGCCAACGTGGTGAAACCCCGTCTCTACTAAAAATACAAAAATTAGCTGAGTGTGGTGGCGCATGCCTGTAGTCACAGCTACGTGGGAGGCTGAGGCAGGAGAATCGCTTGAACCCAGGAGGCAGAGGTTGCAGTGAGCCAAAATTGCATCACTGCACTCCAGCCTGGTGACAAAGTGAGACTCTGTCTCAAATTAAAAAAAAAAGAAAGAAAGAAAAGAAAAGAAAATTAGCCGGGTGTGGTGGTGTGCACCTGTAATCCCAGCTACTCAGGAGGCTGAGGCAGGGGAATTGCTTGAACCAGGGAGGTGGAGGTTGCAGTGAGCCAAGATTGTGCCATGGTACTCCAGCCTGGGCAACAGGAGACTGTGTCTCAAAAAAAAAAAAAAATTAGTTGGGCATGGCACACGCCTATAGTCCCAGCTGCTTGGGAAATTGAGGCAGGAGAATCGCTTGAACCTGGAAGGCAGAGGTTGCAGTGAGCTGAGATTGCCCCATTCTACTCCAGCCTGGGTGACAGAGTGAGACTTCGTCTCTCAAAAAAATAAAATAAAATAAAATAAAATAAATAAAATTTAAAAATGAAAAAAATCAAACCAAATAAAATTAATCAACCAACACCCATTCTATTTAAGGTTCCAAAAGGAAGTAGCTGGACCCGGCTGCAGAGCACACTCCCACCTTGCTTCTGTCCCAAAAGTACATCCCCTACGTGTGGTTCTCCTTAAACAATTTTAATGTCTGGGTTGGGGAAGCAGGTAGAGCGCGTAGAGGCAGCTGCTAGAGGCTGGTTGCTGACTCCAGGCCGCGTTCCAGGAAATATCGGTGGGAAGAACGGGGACGGGCTTGGGACCCTTCATTGAGGAAGTAGGATGTGATCTTCCTGAGTCCCTCCTGATTCTCGGATGCTGAGTCCTCCCTGTGGGAGAGAGGTGATGACAGTGACCACTTACACAGGGAGCAACCCTCTCAGGCAGGGCTGAACGCTGGCCTCCCTCCTTCCTTCCCTATAGCACCCCCAGGACATCCATGACACCCACCATATAACATCTTCCGCCTCTTTCTCCAGGATGGTCTGGGCCGTGCGCCAGCTGAACCGGACAAACTGGGGGAAGCCGAACACAGGCTCCACGTGCTCCTTCAACCACGCTTTTGTCTTGGGATCTGGGGTAGGGTGGGCAATGGTGACAGTCCAAGTTGCACCATAACATTCAAGCTCCCTGCCACTCTTTTTTTTTTCTTTGAGATGGAGTCCCACTCTGTAGCCAGGCTGGAGTGCAGTGGCGCGATCTCAGCTCACTGCAACCTCCACCTCCCGGATTCAAGCGATTCTCCTGCCTCAGCCTCCCAAGTAGCTGGGACTACAGGCGCATGCCACCATGCCCAGCTAAATTTTGTGTTTTTAGTAGTGACGAGGTTTCACCATGTTGGCCAGGATGGTCTCAATTGCTTGACCTCGTGATCTACCCCCCTCGGCCTCCCAAAGTGCTGGGATTACAGGCATGAGCCACCACGCCCGGCCTCCTTGCCGCTCTTCTAAGGCTTCCTCCTGAGTACCTGGGGCACCTCCTATGGTCTGAAGCACCTTCTTGCCACAGGACCTTTACCTGGCCAAGAGCTGCTAAAAGGGCAGTGCAGGGAGACTGCCTCTGAGACATCTCCTTGACCTCCAAGAACAAGTCATTAAACATTTTTATTTTATTTACTTATTTTTTGAAATGGAGTCTTGCTCTGTCACCCAGGCTGTAGTGCAATGGTGCGATCTCGGCTCACTGCAACCTCCGCCTCCCAGGTTCAAGCGATTCTCCTGCCTCAGCCTCCCAAGTAGCTGGGACTACAGCCACCCACCACCATACCTGGCTAATTTTTGTATTTTTAGTAGAGACGGGGTTTCACCATATTGGACAGGCAGGCTGGTCTCAAACTCCTGACCTCAGGTGATCCACCCACCTCAGCCTCCCAAAGTGCTGGGATTACAGGTGTAAACACCACACCCAGCCTTTTTATTTTTTTGAGATAGGGTCTCGCTCTATTACCCAGGCTGGAGTGCAGTGACATTATCACAGCTCAATGCAACCTCTGCCTCCCAGGCTCAAGCCATCCTCTCACCTCAGCCTCCCAAGTAGCTGGGACTACAGGTGCGCACCACCACACCTAATTTTTGTATTTTTTGTAGAGATGGGGTCTTGTCATATTGCCCAGGCTGGTTGTGAATTCCTGAGTTCACATGATCTACCTGCCTCTGTCTCTTAAAATGCTAGGATTACGGGCATGAGCCACCTGGCCCAGCCTGTCATTAAATATTATTATTATTATTATTATTATTATTTTGAGATGGAATTTTGCTCATTTCCCAGGCTGGAGTGCAATTATGCGATCTCGGCTCACTGCAACCTCCACCTCCCAGGTTTAAGTAATTCTCCTGCCTCAGCCTCCCGAGTTGCTGGGATTACGGGCGTGTGCCACCACGTCCAGCTAATTTTGTATTTTTAGTAGAGATGGGGTTTCACCACGTTGGTCAGGCTGGTCTAGAACTCCTGACCTCAAAGGATCCACCTGCCTCAGCCTCCCAAAGTCCTGGGATTACAGGTGTGAGCCACCACGCCTGGCTAACATTATTTTTTTTTTTGACACAAGATCTCATCTTGTCACCAAGGCTGGAGTGCAGTGGCATAATCATAGCTCACTGCAGCCTCCAACTCCTGGGCTCAAGCAACCCACCCACCTTAGCCTCCTCCTCCAGAGTAGCTGGGACTACAGGTGGGCACCACTATAACCGGCTAATTTTTTAAATTTTTTATAGAGATGGGGGTCTCGCTATGTTGCCCAGGCTGGTCTTGAACTCGAGGACTCAAGCGGTTCTCCTACCTCAGCTTCCCAAAGTGCTGGGATTACAGGCATGAGCCACCACGCCTGGTCCCCTTCCCCTTAACAAAGGGACAAATGCCCACCTTGGGTCTCAGTCCATCACTGGGGCTCCAGAAAGACAGCAAAGTGGGAAGCGGGGAAGACAGCAGCAATCCTATGGCCTGGAATTCAGCTCTATCACTCACTGGCTGTGTGGCCATAAACAAATGGCACCACTGTCTAACACTTGGCCTCTTTCACTGTGGAGTAGGGTGACCAGAGCAATTTAGAAAACCTCCAGCCAGGCACAGTAGTTCACACCTGTAATCCTAGCTATTTGGGAGTCCAAGGCAGGAGGATCACTTAAGCCCAGGAATTCAAGACCAGGCTGGGCAACATAGGGAGACCCCATCTCTTTAAAAAAAGAAGAAAAAAAGGGCCAGGGGTGGTGGCTCATGGCTGTAATCCCAGCACTTTGAAAGACCAAGGTGGGAGGACTGCTTGACTCCAGGAATTTGAGACCAGCCTGGGCAACATGACAAGACCCCATCTCTATAAAAACAAAAAATAGGCTGGGCACGGTGGCTCATGCCTGTAATCCCAGCACTTTGGGAGGCTGAGCCAGGCAGATCACCTGAGGTCAGGAGTTCAAGACCAGCCTGACCAACATGGAGAAAACTAGTCTCTACTAAAAACACAAAATTAGCTGGGTGTGGTGGCACATGCCTGTAATCCCAGCTACTCGCGAGGCTGAGGCAGGAGAATCGCTTGAAGCCAGGAGGTGGAGGTTGCGGTGAGCCGAGATCGCACCATTACACTCCAGCCTGGGCAAAAAGAGCGAAACTCCGTCTCAAAAAATAAACAAAAATAACAAATAAAAACAAAAAATAAGCAAAATAAAATGATAAATGACAGAAAGGAAAAAAAGAAAACCTCAGAAGTGTGCTCAGCCCTGGCCATTTCAACATTAGTACCATGGTCACGTGTCTGCTCACCATTGGGGTAGCCTGAGCCATAATCAGTATCCAAGTCCTGCAGTTTCTCCACGAACTGCCATTTCTTCACGGCCTGGTCCCGGGCCACCTGTGGGCAAAACAGGCACCTGGAATCTCCCTCCTTCCCTTTGGTGGCCATGCCTGGCCCCTATATAGTGGGATGGTGGAAGCCAGCCATGGCTAGTAGGGTACTGACCTTGGCACAGATGCTGGCAGCACTAACCACCGGGTAGAGGGCATCTGCTTTGGCCTTGACCGTCACCTCAATCCCGGGAAAACTTTGCTGCAGCCGCGCCTGGTATGTCTCTGGCATCCCTACGGTGTCCACGAATACCTGCCACAGCAACAGACACATATTAATTGAACAAACAACTGTACCAATGCTCTAGCCTCACAGCCCTGGCACGTTCTTCCTGCTACCCAGAATCCTCTTCTCCAGCACGTCCCCAGGATGGATCAATCAGGGATTTCAACTCGAACATCTCCTCCTAGACCAGGCAAAGTTGTTCAGGCCTGTGATCCCAGCACTTTGGGAGGCTGAGGCGGGAGGATCGCTTGATCCTGGGAGTTTGAGGCCAGGCTTGGCAACACAGTGAGACCCCATCTTTATAAAAACATAAAATAAATACAATAAAATAAAGAAAAAACTCACCTCCTGAAGAGGCTTTCTCTATCACGCTGCTTTTACTCTAACTTATTTAGCACCTACTGCATGCCACATACTGTTCTAGGAACTGAGGTGGCAGAAAACACTAGAAAAAAATTGGTAGAGTGCGTTAGCACAAGCCTGTAATCCCAACACTTTAGGAAGCCGAAGTGGGAGGATCGCTTGAGGGCAGGTGGTTGAGACCAACCTGGGCAACATATGGAGACCCTGTTTCTACAAAAAATAAAAAGTTAGCTAGGTGTAGTGGTGAATAAAGGCTTGAAGGAGGTGAGGAAGTGAACTGTGCAGAGATCTGGGGAAGAGGGCTCTAGGTGTGAGAACAGCCAGTACAAAGGCCCTGAGCTGGGACCAGGTTCATGATGCTGGGCCCATGCATGGGGGCCTTTGGCTGCAGCACCGAAGAGAGGGTCCAAGAGCTGCTGGGGGAAAGTGGTATCTCCACAGCACTACTGTTTTCAGAAACAACCTTTATTTTTTGTTTACCAGCTGACCATCTTTCATGTTTTATTTTTTTATTTTTTATTTTTAGTAGAGATGGGGTTTCACCATGTTGGTCAGGCTGGTCTCGAACTCCTGACCTGATGATCCGCCCGCCTCGGCCTCCCAAAGTGCTGGGATTACAGGCGTGAGCTACTGCGCCCAACCTCCAGCTGACCATCTTTCTGCCCAGGCTAGGCCCTGAACGCCTACGGGTAGGGCCCTTGTCTGTCTACACCAGTTACTGTATCGCCAGCTCTGCATTTGGGCCTGGTCCTCAGGTCCCTCCTCAGCAGGGTCTACCTTGCTATAATTCCTTTCTTTCTTCTTCTTTTTGTGGAGATGGAGTCTCGCTATGTTGCCCAGGCTGGTCTGGAACTCCTAGCCTCAACCAATTTGCTCACCTCAGCTTCCCAAAGTGCTGGGATTACAGGCGTGAGCCACCATACCCAGCATACAATTCCTACGTCAAGGTTATTTTGCCTTGTTATTCTCTCAGAACGGTCCATTCTTTCATTGAGAGCATTCGAGGCAATGCTGATTTATGTTTTTCTCTGGTAATTTAATGTAATTCTGCCCCACTCGACTGTGAATTTTCCTGATTTAATTTCCACTGTGATCGGAAAACTAAATGTCGAGATGTGCATTTCAAAAAGACTACCTTCTGTTGCTGCTTGGGGAACAGATTGGAGGGGATAGGAGGGTGAGGGACGAGAGACGACACTCAGCAGGTGTCCAGGGAGTGGGGGGTGTCCTGGGCTAGGACAGAGGTGACAGGTAGACAATGTAGGATTTGTTCTGGAGACTGAGCCTTTAGGATGAGGGAGAGATTAGATGGAGACGGGACTAGGGGCTACACTGTGGTCGTCAGTGTGGCACACATTTAGGGCAGAAACAGGAGCACGAAATCAACAGTAGCAATGAATATGCCCGAGGCACTCCAGACGTATCTGATGCTGAATCTGCACACTGCACATTTTTGCCCACATTTATTTTTTATTTTATTTTTATTTTTATTTTTCGCTCTGTCCCCCAGGCTGGAGTGCAATGGCGCGATCTCACCTCACTGCAACCTCCGCCTCCCGGGTTCGAGCAATTCTTCTGCCTCGGCCTCACCAATAGGTGGGATTACAGGCACCCGCCACCATGCTGGGCTAATTTTTTGTATTTTCAGTAGAGATGAGGTTTCACCATGTTGGCCAGGATGGTCTTCAACTCCTGACCTCAGGTGATCTGCCTGCCTCAGCCTCCTGAAACGCTGGGATTACAGCCGTGAGCCACTGCGCCTGGTCTCCCATTTTTAGTTTATTTTTTATTTTTTATTTTTTTGAGACAGGGTCTTGCTCTGTTGCCCGGGTTGGAGTGCAATGGCACAATCTTGGCTCACTGCAACTTCTGCCTCCTGGGTTCAAGCGATTCTCCTGTCTCAGCCTCCTGAGTAGCTAGGATTACAGGCGCCTGCCACCACGTCCAGCTAATTTTTGTATTTTTAGTAGAGACGGGGTTTCACCATGTTGGTCAGGCTGGTCTCGAACTCTTGACCTCCGGTGATCTACCCGCCGCGGCTTCCCAAAGTGCTGCGATTATAGGCGTGAGCCACTGCGCCCTGCCTCCATTTTTGAGTTGGGGGGCTTCCTTTGTCACCCAGGATGGAGTGCTGTGGCATGATCATGGCTCACTGCAGTCTCGAACTCCTGTTTTGTCCCCATTTTATCCTGAGATGACCAAATGGGGACAACTTACAGTTAACTCACCTGGGTGACGTTCACGCCCTGGTCCAATGCATACTGTATAAGCCCAGTGGCTGTATCATGTGACAGGGAGTTCAGGTTGTATTTGACCCTGTGGTGGGGAACAGAGCCCAGTTAATCTCATTCTAGGAACAAAGCTTGGTCAGCCCATGCTGGCTGCCCCTCCCGGGGACCCCTCACCGCCCAAGCATGCTGGTAGAGATGAGGTTTGGAGACAGCACATCCAGCGCCCAGCCGACAAAGTCCGTGTCCTCCATTTTCGCAAACAGCCTTTCCCGCTCGCTCTCCAATAGGGTCTTTGAGTCTGGGAGGAGGTTTGGAAGAGAAGGGGAACAGCTGGTTCTCCCAGTTCCTGCCCTCCCCTTTCAGTTCTCACCTGCCCCTGCACATACCCAGGAATCCCTTCCCCAGACGCACACCTCGGGCTCACCTGCCACTTTCAGCGCCTCCAGATCTGCCAGGCGAGGCAGGGGACAATAACAGATGGCGTAGACCATGGGGCCTGGGGAGAAGGGGTGTCAGTTTTCTGGCAGCCGGGGTCCAATCACTGAGCCCGTGAAAGTTGCCATTCATCCCTGTTCTATCATCACTGCTTCTTTAGGTGCCATCACCACGACCACATCCCCTCCCTTGGTGCAGTGCAATCCCGACTCCCGTTTCCCGCATCCTCCGTACCACGCCCCTCCCCTCCCTGGCCCTAGGGGCGCACCCAGCACGGGGCCCCTGCCCGCCTCATCGACGCCCAGGACGCAAGGCTCCTTGCGGCACACCGCGGGCACAGGCGAACTCAGGCGACAGCGGCCTGTATTGTCTCTCTCCAGCTCGCTGAGATCCATGCCGCCTCAGCCGCCACCACCAGCTGCAAGAACTAATACTGCAGGAGCGGGTCTCGGCGCGCGTTTTCCGCGGGCCTCGAAGCGGCGCCTGCTTCCGGCCAATCCGCGGGCAGAACACGCCCCTGGCGCTCCCGCCGCCGTGGACGCTTACGCAGCCGACGCCGACGTCGCTGCCGTGCGCCCTCCTGGGAATTGTAGTCCCGAAGGGCTATGGCCGAACACTCAGCTTGGGGAATTCGGTGGACGGGGTCACTTTGCAAGCTCTGCTTCACGGTCTCTGGGGCCCCGCCTGCGTGGCCCGGTGGGAAGAGGGGGAAATAAGAGGGAAACTGAGACGTAGCTTCGAAGACCCAGCCTAACGGGGAACTAGAGAGTCAAATATCACCCCACTCCCAGGACACGGGTCACCGCATCACTGGGTCCCCAACTGCCACTTGGATTCAGGCCCTGTACTTGCGGTCCCTGCTTCTGTACACATTCTAAGTCCCCTGGACCAGGTAGCCCCGCTTCCACTAAACCCAGGCTTTTGGATTTGGAGTCCCCAAACTCCCTCTCTTGGTTGCTCCCTTCGGCCCACCTCCACTCCGTGCAAGATCTGTGCTTCCTAACCTCTGTCTCATTCAGGCCAAGCCTTCCCCACCCCCGTTGGAGATCACAGACCTCGGTGGACTCCTGCTCAGGGTCTCTGCTCCCTATAGAAGCTCATTCCTCCCAACTTAGAATGAATGTCCCCACCCCCACCCCTCGACCCACTTTTTTTTTTTCTTTTTTTTTTTTTTGAGACAGAGTCTCGCTCTTGTCGCCCAGGCTGGAGTGCAATGGCGCCATCTCCGCTCACTGCAAGCTCCGCGTCCCGGGTTCACGCCATTCTCCTGCCTCAGTCTCCCGAATAGCTGGGACTACAGGCGCCCGCCACCACACCCGGCTAATTTTTTGTACTTTTTAGTAGAGATGGGGTTTCACCGTGTTAGCCAGGTTGGTCTCGATTTCCTGACCTTGTGATCCGCCCGCCTCGGCCTCCCAAAGTGTTGGGATTGCAGGCGTGAGCCACCGCACCCGGCCTTCTTTTTTTTTTAGACAGGGTCTCTCTCTGTTGTCCAGGCTGGAGTGCAGTGGCGCGATCTTGGCTCACTGCAACCTCCACCTCCTGGGCTGACGCGATCCTCCCACCTCAGTCTCCCAAGCAGCTGGACTACAGGTGCACACCACACCACCATGCCCGACTATTTTTGGTATTTTTTGTAGAGACGGGGTCTCATTATGTTGCCCAGGCTGGCTTCAAACTCCTGGGCTCAAGCGATCCGGTCGCCTCAGCCTCCCAAAGTGTTGGGATTACAAGCCTGAGCCAGCCACAGTGCCTGGCATCCACCACTTCTATTCCCTGGGCTCACTGGGGCTCATGTCCTCTGCCTGTGGGTTCCCGCCCCTTACCAGGCTCATGCCCCTTCCTCAGGGTCCTAGTTCATTGTCTCTTTATCTCCTTTTACTCCTCTTCGCCTCCCCCTCCACTTTTTTTTTTTTTTTTTTTTTTTTTTTTTTTTTGAGACAGGATGTTACTCTGTTGCCCAGGCTGGATAGCAGTGTAGCGATCTCGGCTTATTGTAACCTTTGCCTCCCAGGCTCAAGCGATCCTTCCTCCCCATCGTACCGAGTAGCTGGGACCACAGGCATGTGCCGCCACGCTCATCTAACTTAAATGTTTTTGTTTGTTTGTTTGTTTGGTTGGTTTTTTTTGAGACAGAGTCTCGCTCTGTCGCCCAGGCTGGAGTGCAGTGGCGCGATCTCGGCTCACTGCAGGCTCCGCCTCCCGGGTTCATGCCATTCTCCTGCCTCAGCCTCCCGAGTAGCTGGGACTACAGGCGCCCGCCACCGCGCCCAGCTAATTTTTTATATTTTTAGTAGAGACGGGGTTTCACCGTTTTAGCCAGGATGGTCTCGATCTCCTGACCTTGTGATCCGCCTGCCTTGGCCTCCCAAAGTGCTGGGATTGCGGGCGTGAGCCACCGCGCCCGGCCTAATTTTAAAAATTTTTATGGAGAGGTGATCTCAACGATATTGCCCAGACTAATCTTGAACTCCAGGACTCAAGAGATCCGCCTGCCTCGGCCTCCCAAAATGCTGGAATTACAGGCGTGAGCCCCGGCGCCCGGCGCCCCCTCCACTTTTCTCCTTTTCTCCCTAGATATCAGCGGGGCTCACGGCTCCTGACTCAGCTTCCCCCTAACCAAATCAGCCTCAAGTCACTCAAGACTTGGAGCCCCAGTTCTCCCTTCCTCAAACTCGCTTCATACCCGCCCCGCACCGCACATCCTCCCTCCGCGCCCACCCTGGGCCCCGCAACTTGCCCCGGCCCTGCTCTCTCACCCGGGCTCAGAGCCTCCAGTCGCAGTCGAAGGGCTTGCAGGATGGACAATCCCGTTGCCGGCAGGGCCGTAACTGGATCAGCTTCTCCGGGTCCATGAAAACCGGGCCCGGCGCTGTGCCCACTACCTCGCGGCTGCGCTCCTGCTTGCCCAGGTCGCAGAGACACCGCCACTTTCCCCACGGGCCAAGGATTGAGTCCTCGACTTCTAGAGAAGGAGGGCAGAGGTGAAGACCTACGTGGAGGGGGCCTACTCCCAATCCCCTCCCCCAGAGAGGGAGAAAGATAAAGATACTAACGAATAAGAGAAGCACATATTCGCTAGACTCTGCTTCTATGCCAGACACCCTGCCACAGATTATCTCATTTAAGCTTTTTTTTTTTTTTTTTTTTTTTTTTTGAGACAGGGTCTCGCTCTGTCGCCCAGGCTGGAGTGCAGTGGCGCAGTCACAGCTCACTGCAGCCTCAACCTCCTGGGCTCAAGCAATCCTCCTACCTCGGCCTACCAAGTAGCTGGGACTACAGGCACATGCCACTGTGCCTGGCTAATTTTTTGTATTTTTTGCAGAGACGGTGTTTCACCATGTTGCCCAGGCTGGTCTGGAACTCCTGGGCTCAAGTGATACTCCCATCTCAGCCTCCCAAAGTGCTGGGATTACAGGTGTGAGCCAGCCACCATGCCTGGCCTCATTTAATATTTCCACGAGTCTCAGGTGGGGAAACCAAGACCCAGAGACAGCAAGCCAACCTTCCAAGCTCATATACGGGGTAAGTGGGCCAGAGGAACTACAACCTGACACTTCCAGGCTGTGCCAGCCTGCCCAGTTGTGAGTGTCCTACAACATCCTTGGTGCCCGCCATTTGAAGCTGACTTCTGTCTTCAGGGGTGTGACCATGGCCCTACCTAGAAGGCACAATGCCACCTGACAGCAGGGTTGTCAAGTGATAAATGGCATAATTGACATAATGAAGGTAAGTAAATCTCCCGGTGCTGTGCTAGCATATACAAACCAATTTATTATGATCAGTTTGTTTATTTATTTAATTTATTTATTTTGAGACAAGATCTTGCTCTGTTACCCAGGTTGGAATGCAAGGGCATAATCATGGCTCACTGCAGCTTCAAACTCCTTGGCACAAATGGTCCTCCTGTATCAGCCTCTTGAGTAGCTGGGACTACAGGCGCATGCCACCATGGCAGGCTAATTTATTTTTTATTTTTATTTATTTATTTATTTTTGTAGAGTAGGGGGTCTCTCCATGTTGCCCAGGCTGGTCTTGAATTCCTGGGCTCAAGCAGTCCTCCCGCCTCGGCCTCCCAAAGTGCTGGGCCATCAAGTCAGGCTAATTTTAAAATATTTTTTGTAGAGATGGAGTCTTGCTGTGTGGGCCAGGCTGGTCTGGTCTCCGAGACCAAGGGATCCTCCCACCTCAGCCTCCCAAAGTGCTAGGATTATAGGCGTGAGCTACCGCGCCGGCCACTGTGATCACTTTAAAGGGCTCTTTACTGAATCTGCCCCTTTCCCCTATGAGACAGATCTTATCCCAACTCCGATCTTATCCCAACTCACCGCTCACCAAGGTCTGACACCTCCTACCCTCCCACACCCATGTCTCTGCCACACCTCACCGACCTCTTTCCATTTCTCCTTCAGGACTTTTCACCTTGGCATTTGCTATTCCCTCTTCCTTGGACATTCTTTCCCCAAATCTTTCCATATGGGACTTTCGCTTGTCGTTCTCGCTGCACTGGTCACGGGTCTTCTGCAATCGGACCCTCTCTGATTTCCCAAGCTTGCCCGCCCCCTTCTTTCTCTGTCTCTGCCCTTCCTGGCACCTATCCCCGAGTGACAGCTTCAGTGTCCTGCCCACACCCTCTCTTCCCCTGGGAGCTGCTTTAAAGCAGTATCTATTTCAATATATCCAAGAGTAAACCGAGCCTTAGAGAAAAGTAACCAGCCCAAGGGGACGCCTCCAGTGCGGAGCTGGGTGGAGATTTGCAGCCCGCCGAGGAAGGTCCCTTTGCAGCCAGCAGGAGAAGTAGGGCAACGGGGAGCCTTTGGGCATCGTCATCCCCGCCGCCTGAGGTTACCCTTTAGATGCTGCAGCCTCAGCTGCTCCCAGCTGTCACCTTCGCCCTGCTGCCCTAAGTACTGATAGTCCTGGTAGACCAGGGCAGGGGTCGCCAGCTGCAGGAGTAGCAGAGGCGCCAGCAGCAGCGCCCCCGGGGTCCGCGCCATGCTGGACTCCAACGGCCCCCAACGCGCTCCCAGGCGGAGTCGTGCGCGGAGTCTGCGGCGGGCGCATTACCCACGCGGGCAGGTGCAGTGGTCCCGGCCGAAGGCAACGCGTCTCCCCCCGCCGCCCGCAGGCGCATGGACCCGGCCGCACGCTCCCCCGCACCTGCGGGCGCAGTGGACCCGACCGCTCCGCTCGTCCGCTCCCTCCCCCGCGCCGTGCACGTCTTGGTTCGGGCCGGGCATAAAAGGCTTCGCGGCCCAGGGCTCACTTGGCGCTGAGAACGCGGGTCCACGCGTGTGATCGTCCGTGCGTCTAGCCTTTGCCCACGCAGGTATGAACACCCGGAGTGCACCTGGCGGGAGGACCCCCTTCAGGCTGCTTTGGCCCGATCCTGACTTTAGTGCTGGCCGCCTTTGCTTTCCATCCGCTATAGTGGCCTCCTTTGTCCTTGCGGGGGAAACCGAGGCCACAGCCTTGCAGCGCAGGCCTGATCGCCCGACTTCCCGCCCCCTGCTCGTGCGGGCCTCACTGTCTCCTTCTGGGCTGGGGGCTTGCGACACCGCCCTCCGGCCGACTCGCTCGTGGGGTGCTGGTGGCAGTGGCTGGGTCACTCGTGCTCTGGTCAGGAGAGCGGGTCTCCGGCAGCCTCCGGGCCTCGTAGACCGGGTACCCGGGAGGGTGAGGGTTAGTGCTGTCGCCTCCGCCGTGCTGACTCAGTCATAGGGCCCAGCACGCAGCGCGACCTTGGGTTGGGAGGACAAAGTGTCTTCCCGGGCGCACTGACCGGGCGGGGGTCTCAGCTTTCAGTCATGGCCTCCGGTAACGCGCGCATCGGAAAGCCAGCCCCTGACTTCAAGGCCACAGCGGTGGTTGATGGCGCCTTCAAAGAGGTGAAGCTGTCGGACTACAAAGGTGAGCGCCGCCCGGAGGGGGCCCAGGTAGAAGCGGGGCCGTGCATGAGAGAAGCTGGGCCCTAACTCCTCTGTGTCCCTCCTCCCCAGGGAAGTACGTGGTCCTCTTTTTCTACCCTCTGGACTTCACTTTTGTGTGCCCCACCGAGATCATCGCGTTCAGCAACCGTGCAGAGGACTTCCGCAAGCTGGGCTGTGAAGTGCTGGGCGTCTCGGTGGACTCTCAGTTCACCCACCTGGCTTGGTATGAGCAGGGGCCAAAGAGGGAGGTTGCAGCTAAGCTCACACCCTCAGGTCCTAGCAGTGTGGCTTCGTGGCCATTGCTCAACCTCTGGAACCTGCGTTTCCCCATCGTGAAAATAATGGAAACATTGCCGCCCAAGTCTTTAAGGATGATGACAGTAATTAGCATTTGACAACTAGTTGCCTGGTATATAGAGTTGCAGATGCAACTCAGATGCAACTCTATCTACTCTATGTACTTAGTTCCCAGGAGGGAGGCTGTGCTGCCCTATTTCATGAAGATGGAAACTCCAGTTCACCGAAGTGAAGGGCTGTACCCCATGACACAGCTAGAGGAGGATGGGGACTCTTAACACAGGCTCTCTGCTGGGTGATGCTGCAAGTTACAAGTACATGTGAAGCCACTTAGCTGGAGCTGTGCCTCTCAAACTCAGTCTTCCCAGCCATGGGGATACAGTCCTTGCACCCAACCCAGGGTGGGGTGGGTGAGGCTCCCAGCGGCCTACTCTAAAGCCCCTTATCTCCGGCCTCCAGTGCTTATCACATTGGGCCCACAGGGTGAGGACCCTGCTGTGCCAGGCATCCTGAGGCCCCAACTCTGTCTCCCCTACTCCCAGGATCAACACCCCCCGGAAAGAGGGAGGCTTGGGCCCCCTGAACATCCCCCTGCTTGCTGACGTGACCAGACGCTTGTCTGAGGATTACGGCGTGCTGAAAACAGATGAGGGCATTGCCTACAGGTACTGTGGGACCCTCAGCCCGGCTCAGGGAGCGCCCTGCCCCCCATTCCTGTGATGCTGGGACCACTCCTGTACAATGTCTTCTCTGCCCCCAGCCCTGTGGCTAGCAGCGGGTGGTTGGTAGTCCCTTCCTTGTCTCTGGCAGTGGGAGCTATCAGCTCCTCACTGGGAACCCTGATGTCTTCAGGGGCCTCTTTATCATCGATGGCAAGGGTGTCCTTCGCCAGATCACTGTTAATGATTTGCCTGTGGGACGCTCCGTGGATGAGGCTCTGCGGCTGGTCCAGGCCTTCCAGTACACAGACGAGCATGGGGAAGGTGAGCAGATACACACATGACACATGGGTACATACTGAGCGCCTCCGTCACTCATGCAAACATTCACTGCCTGTCCTCTTACCTGTCCAGATGGGTGTTAGGGCCCCAAAGAAGATTCAGCTCAGGGCTTTGTCTGCAGGATGTTTCTAATGTGGTAGGAGACAAATAACGCCTGACATTCAACCAAGGTGGACAAAGGGGCCGGGCTCAGTGGCTCACGGTTGTATTGCCAGCACTTTGGGAAGCTGTGGCAGGTGGATCACCTGAGGTCAGGAGTTCGAGACCAGCCTGACCAACATGGTGAAACCCCGTCTCTACGAAGAACACAAAAAATTAGCTGGCCGTGGTGGTGCACACTTGTAATCCCAGCTACTTGAGAGACTGAGGCAGGAGTTCGCTTGAACCCAGGAGGCAGAGGTTGCAGTGAGCTGAGATCGCACCGTTGTACTCCAGCTTGGGCAACAGAGCAAAACTCAGTCTCAAAAAAAAAAAAAATTAGCTTGGTTTGTGAAGCATGCCTATAGTCCCAGCTACTCAAGAGGCTGAGGCTGGAGGATCACTTGAGCCTGGGAGGTCAAGGCTGCAGTAAGCTGTGATCGCACCACTGCACTCCAGCCTGGGTGACACAGCAAGACCCTGTCTCAAAAAAACAAACAAACAGGCCGAGCGCGGTGGCTCACGCCTGTAATCCCAGCACTTTGGGAGGCCGAGGCGGGCAGATCATGAGGTCAGGAGTTTGAGACCAGCCTGGCCAACATAGTGAAACCGCGTCTCTGCTAAAAATACAAAAAAATTAGCTGGGTGCGGTGGCAGGTGCCTGTAATCCCAGCTACTTGGGAGGCTGAGGCAGGAGACTCCCTTGAACCCGGGAGGAGGTTGCAGTAAGCCGAGATCACACCACTGCACTCCAGCCTGGGCGCCAGTGTGAGACTCCATCTCAAAAACAACAACAACAAAAAAACCTGTAGGGGTGGGGCAGAGGGACAAAGATGGGACTAAAGGAGCCAAAAAGACAGGAAGATGCTGTGTCTCATGCCTGTAGATGCTGTGTCTCATGCCTGTAGTTCCACCTACTCTGGAGAGTGAGGCAGAAGATTGCTTAGGCCCAGGAATTTGAGTCGAGCCTAGGCAACATAGCAATACCCCATCTCTTTTTTTTTTTTTTTAAGAGATGGGGTATTGGTTAAAAAAAAAAAAAAAAAAAAAGAGGCCAGATGCAGTGGCTCACACCTGTAATCCCAGCATTTTGGGAGGCCTAGGTGGGTGGATCACCTGAGGTCGGGAGTTCGAGACAAGCTTGACCGACATGGAGAAACCCAGTCTCTACTAAAAATACAAAATTAGCCCAGCCTGGTGGTGCATGCCTGTAATCCCAGCTACTTGGGAGGCTGAGGCAAGAGAATCGTTTGAAGCTGAGAGGCGGAGGTTGCAGTGAGCTGAGATCGTGCCATTGCACTCCAGCCTGGGCAACGAGTGAAGCGAAACTCCGTCTCAAAAAATAAAAAAAAAAAAGAGGCCGGGCACGGTGGCTCATGCCTGTAATCCCACCACTTTGGGAGGCTGAGGCGGGCGGATCAAGAGGTCAGGAGATCGAGACCATCCTAGCTAACGCGGTGAAACCCTGTCTCTACTAAAAATACAAAAAAATTAGTCGGGCGTGGTGGCGGGCGCCTGTAGTCCCAGCTACTCTGGCGGCTGAGGTAGGAGAATGGCGTGAACCTGGGAGGCGGAGCTTGCAGTGAGCAGAGATCGTGCCACTGCACTCCAGCCTGGGCAACAGAGCAAGACTCCATCTTAAAAAAAAAGAAAAGAAAAAAAGAAGAAAAAGGAGAGCTGGGTGGCAAAAAGAAATTGAAGAATTAAGAGTAGGAAAAACACCAGCTAGAAAATACTGAACTTGGCCAGGTGTAGTGGCTCACGCCTGTAATCCTAGCATTTTGGGAGGCCAAGGTGGGTGGATCACCTGAAGTCAGGAGTTCGAGATCAGCCTGACCAATATGGTGAAACCCTGTCTCTGCTAAAAGTACCAAAAAATTAGCAGGGTGTGGTGGCGGGCACTTGTAGTCCCAGCTACTCAGGAGGCTAAGGCAGGAGAATCACTTGAACGCGGGAGGCAGAGGTTGCAATGAGCCGAGATCACGCCATTGCACTCCAGCCTGGGCAACAGAGGAGGACTCTGTCTCAAAAAAAAAAAAAAAAAAAGAAAGAAAGAAAAAAGAAGAAAAGAAAAAGAGAAAATACTGAACTTGGCTAGGCATGGTGGCTCACACCTGTAATCCCAGCACTTTGGGAGGCCAAGACGGGCAGATGACTTGAGGTCAGGAGTTCGAGACAAGCGTGACTAACATGGTCTCTACCAAAAATACAAAAATTAGCCAGGCGTGGTGGTGCACCTCTGTAATTCCAGCTAGGGAGTCTGGGGCATGAGAATCGCTTGAACCCAGGAGGGAGAGGTTGCATGAGCTCAGATCATGCTACTGTACTTCAGCCTGGGCAACAGAGCAAGACTCTGTCTGAAAAAAAAAAAAAAGAAAAAATACTGAACTGGGCTTGGAGGGTTTATCTTAATATCCACATTCCTGGGCCTGGACCACTTGCTTCCAGCATTTTCTTCTGCAACACAGGCCCTTGCTTTGCTTCACCTTGAACCTGGGGCTGTAGCCTTCATGTGCATCCTTGTGTCTTCCCACAGTTTGTCCCGCTGGCTGGAAGCCTGGCAGTGACACGATTAAGCCCAACGTGGATGACAGCAAGGAATATTTCTCCAAACACAATTAGGCTGGCTAACGGATAGTGAGCTTGTGCCCCTGCCTAGGTGCCTGTGCTGGGTGTCCACCTGTGCCCCCACCTGGGTGCCCTATGCTGACCCAGGAAAGGCCAGACCTGCCCCTCCAAACTCCACAGTATGGGACCCTGGAGGGCTAGGCCAAGGCCTTCTCATGCCTCCACCTAGAAGCTGAATAGTGACGCCCTCCCCCAAGCCCACCCAGCCGCACACAGGCCTAGAGGTAACCAATAAAGTATTAGGGAAAGGTGTGAGTCTGTGTTGGTGTGCTCTGTCCTTTCGTCCTCCCCTGCAACCCCCTTCCTTCTTCAGGCTCAGGCTTGGGAAACTGACCCTGTGGTTGCTCATCTTCGCCACACGGTGGCGGTCTTATCACATGCTTAGTGCCTGCTCTTTTCCTGCTTGCGCTCAAGGCGGTTTCGGAGGGGTAGGGTATGCCGTTTGTCCCTTGCAAATCCCAGGATGCCCTACATCCAGAAATCTGGCCATGCAAGGCAAAGCCCACATTTTGTCACCAGCCAGCCTGGGTTCAAATGCCGTTTAAGAGCTGTGATCGTCTCTGGGTCTCTTCAGCAGTAAAATGGGACTGCAAACCCAGATCACCATGCACGTGGTAAAATTTGTAGGAGATAAGTTATGTGAAGCTCGGGGCTGAGGCCCCTGTGTAGGGCCCAGTTCCTAGTTCCTAAGACGGCTTCCTCGAGCTGAAAGGAACCCAGCCCAGTGTAGTCTTATGGGGAAGAGGGTGGGGACCCAGTCTTAAGAGCAGAACCAAGAATGAGAGCCTGAGCTACGTGCAGAGTGCAGAGTCCCTGCTGTGAGCTCTGCCCCACCCCAGGCTGGAAAGGTTGCCTGTCTGCCCCTGGGGTGGGAGGGTGGCAGTTAGGCTAGAAGGCAGGTATTAGCAGCAAGGCAGGGTTCCCAGGGGTGCAGTTTAATATTGTGTGCGTTCAGGAAAGTAGTTTTGCTACTCTATGCCCCAATTTCCTCCTACAGAACAGGGCTAATATGCTCATTTAATCCACAGATCCACTATTAATGCTGGTACCCACCTAATACCCTCTAAGGGTCACTCATCTCCCTTGGAATTTAATCTACACTCCTCCCCAAGGCCCCTGCTCAGTCTCCCTTGACATCTGCCCTGTTGTGGTTCACTCCATTCCAGACAGGCTGGCTTCCTGCTGTTCTTTCACAGGCTCACCTGGCTACATGAATTTTGCCATTTAAGAGCTGCTCCCAAGGCCGGGCGCAGTGGCTCACGCCTGTAATCCCAGCACTTTGGGAGGCCGAGACGGGCGGATCACGAGGTCAGGACATCGAGACCATCCTGGCTAATACAGTGAAACCCCCTCTCTACTAAAAATACAAAAAATTAGCCAGGCATGTTGGCAGGTGCCTGTAGTCCCAGCTACTTGGGAGGCTGAGGCAGGAGAATGGCGTGAACCCGGGAGGCAGAGCTTGCAGTGAGCCGAGATCGTGCCACTGCACTCTAGCCTGGGCAACAGAGCGAGACTCCGTCTCAAAAAAAAAAAAAAAAAAAGCTGCTCCCAGTTGAGCGGGGTGGCTCAGGCCTGTAATCCCAGCACTTTGGGAGGCCCAGGCAGGCGGATCACCTGAGGTCAGGGGTTCGAGACCAGCCTGGCCAACATGGTGAAACCCTGTTTCTACTAAAAATACAAAAATTAGCCTGGCATGGTGATGCACGCCTGTAGACCCAGCTACTTGGGAGGCCAAGCAGGAGAATCGCTTGAATCCTGTGGGTGGAGGTTGCGGTAAACTGAGATCGAGCCACTGCACTCCAGCCTGCCTGGGTGACAGAGGGAGACTCCATCTAAAAAACACAAACAAACAAACAAAAAACTGTTACCTCTGATGCTGTTGTTACCCAGGATTTTCTCAGGACCCCACTTCTTCAAATCTGTTGAAAAGTCATGGCCAGGCACGATGGCTCACGCCTGTAATCCCAGCATTTTGGAGGCCGAGGCTGGCAGATGACCTCAAGTCAGGAGTTCAAGACCAGCCTGGCCAACGTGCTGATACCCAGTCTCTACTAAAGATACAAAATTAGCAGGGCGTGGTGGCAGGCACCTATAATCCTAGCTACTTGGGAGGCTGAGGCAGGAAAATCGCTTGAACCCGAAAGGCAGAGGTTGCAGTGAACCAAGATCGCACCACTGCACTCAAGTCTGGGTGACAGAGCAAGAATCTGTCTAAAAAAAAAAAAAAAAAGTCACTGCAGGAGAAGAGCACTGGCTCACGCCTGGAATCCCAGTGCTTTGAAAGGCCAAGGCGGGAGGACTGTTTGACCCAGCAGTTCCAGACCAGCCAGGGCAACATAGCAGACCCCATCTCTACAAAAATAAACAAAATTAGCCAGGCATAGTGGTGTATGCCTGTAGCTCTAGCTAGTTGGGAAGTTGAAGTGGAAGGCTTGCTTGAGCACAGAAGGTCTAGGCTGCAGTTAGCTATGATTGCACCACTGCGCTCCAACCTGAGCAACAGGACAAAGACCCGTCTCTAAAATATAAAAAAGAAAAAGTCACCCTATTAAAGGTCCATGTTCCCACTCCATTCTGCAAAGCATCTTTCCTCCCTGCCCCATCATTGCCACCTTGACCTTTTTTTTTTGTTTTTTTTTTTTGTTTGTTTTAGTTTGTTTTTTTCCTCTTACTAGCACTTACCACCACCCCCAAAGAACCATGTTTGCTTGTTTATTTATTGTCTTGTCTGGAGTGGTCCAGGCTGTGTCTCCAGGGTCTAGTTGTTCTAGGTATTGTACAAATGAATTGATGAAGTGTCTGTTCCACTCACCCTACTGCCTGTCTGGTTTCTCTACCTGTTTTTCTCCACTGCTCTGGGGGCTTCCAACCCCGAAGCCGGCCAGACTCCCTCTAGGCGGGCCAGCAGCACCAGCACCCCCACCCCCACCTCCACGTGTCCCAGCTGCGCGGGAGGGAGCCCAGCGCGAGGGCGGTGGCGGCGCCCAGCGGCCCGAGCAGCCGCCCCGGCAGGACCAGACCTGGCAGTCGCCCCGCTCCTGGCCTGGCACCCGTGAGGGGAAACTGGCAGGCGGGCGCCGCCCTTCCTGGAGGGGGTGGGGGTAGAGGGGACGGCGTCGGCAAAGCAGCGGAGGCAGCAGCAACCCTCCGCCCCGGTCAGGTCAGACGGAGGGGGCGTGGGCGCGGCGGGGCCTAGGCGCCAGTGTCTTGAAGGTGGCACAGGGGTGGCTCCCGGAGCCCAGGAGCGCTGCCCGCCCACCGCGGGCGCTCTGGACCCAGGCCTGGGGCTTTCCGTGCCCGGGCAGCCGCCTGCCCGGGAAAATCCCGGCCCCCTTCCCGGCGCCGCGGCCCTGCCCGGCAGAGCGGGGGAGGGGATTCCCGGAATCTGCCCAGAGACCGCGGTCGCGTCACTGGGCAGAATCGGTCCTTGTATGGGCAGCGCTTCCGCTGCGTCAGCGGGGAAAGCCCCGGCGCGCGCGGCTGGGCGGGGACGCGCCTGCGCACTCCAAGTCTCGGCCGGAGCACCCTGCCTTCAGCTCCTGGGTCCCTGGACCGCGTCCCGCGCCCCAACCATCCAACCCTGGAGATCTGGGGACGCGGGAAGGGTGGGACTCCTGGGCTGGGACCACAAGATGCCTGCGCCGAACCGACGAGGGGGACACATACAGGACCGAGCCACCAACAGCACTGAGCTGGGGGCAAACCAGTGCTTTTTTTTTTCCCCCCGCCCTCCCAGCTTGGAAAAAAAGACAACAGAAATTAATAAAGAACCAATTTTTTTTTTACTTAAATAGATTCAATAAAAAGAACAAACACACACAAACACAAACACGTCTTAAAATAAACTCTTTAGAGACTAAGTGCGTGTTTCTTTTCCACAGTACGGTGCAGAGAGGGGAGGGCAGGGGGCGGGGGTCCCCTTCCCAATGTCCCCGCGGGCTTGAGTACCAGGCGGCGGGGCCAGCTCCGCCGCGATCGCCCCCTCTTCCCCTCCCTGTTAAATACACAAATATATTATATTCAATATGAATCGAGTCTGTTTCCAGCAGAAAAAAAACATACAAAAAAAAGTGGAAGGGGGGGCTTGTAAACGTCGAGGTGGAAGGACTGGGCGCAGGGTAGGAGGGCCGGAGTCCAGTGTGGTTTGCGGCGCCCCTAGGTCCCAGGGTGGGTGCCCACCGCCTGCTCCCTGGACCCCAGTGGGAGGCGTGTGCCCAGCCGTCCAAGCGAGGGGGTGTCCGTAAAGGGGCAGGGGACGTTCAGAAGGCGTGTCCCTTGACCCCAAGCAGCAGCTGACAGCCGTTGCTGACGTGGGTCATGACCTTCTGTTTGAGCTGGGCCACCTGCTCCCGGAGGAGGCCGGCGGTACTCGACAGCCCCGCGTTCTCGGCCTTGAGCGTCTTCACCTTGTCCTCCAGGCGCGCGATGCGCTCCAGCTTCCGCTTCCGGCACTTGGTGGCCGCCAGCCGGTTCCGCAGCCGCTTGCGCTCCACTTTGATGCGCTCTTGGTCTTCCATGTTGATGGGGGACACCGGCGGCGTGGCGTCCCGGCTGCGCGCCTCCGGCACGGTCTGCGGTTCCTCCTTGAAGGTGGAGGCGCCGCGGCCCAAGCCCAGCTGCGCCGGGTGGCCACCGGCGAAGGGCGGCGCGTGTGGGAGGTAGCTGATGGTGGTCGTCGGGTACGAGCTCCCGGTCCCGACGGCAGCCCCGGCGCCTCCCGAGGACGCAGAGGCTGGGGAGTAGCTGCTGAGGTTGGTGTAAACGGGAGGTGGCTCCGGGCCGGCGTAGACGCCCCCGGGCCCAGCCGGGGGCCCCCCGGTAGCGCCCAGGGACACGTTGGGGGGTGTCACGTGGTTCATCTTGTGCAGATCGTCCAGGGCTTTGACAAAGCCGTCGGCGAAGCCCTCCTGCTCCTCGGTGACGCCGCCCCCTGCGCCCCCTGCACCTCCACCGCTGCCACCCCCGCGGGGGTAAAAGTACTGTCCCGGGGGTGTAGGCGTCGTCGTGATCACGCCGTTGCTGTTGGGGACAATCAGGCGTTCCAGCTCCGAAGAGGCGAGCTTGAGAGACGCGCCGGTGTCCGAGCCCTGACCAGAAAAGTAGCTGCCGCCACCGCCGCCCTCTGGGCCGGGTCCGCGAGCCCCAGGCGCTTTGAGACTCCGGTAGGGGTCGGCCAGGTTGACCGCCAGGCTCGGTTTCAGGAGTTTGTAGTCGTGTAGAGAGAGGCCACCAGGGGCCCGGCCGTATCCCGTAGCTGTGTATGAGTCGTCGTGGTAGAAGGGCTGTTCCATTTTAGTGCACATCCGGGCGGCCCAGGCGGTCTGGGGAGGGTCCCTGCGGGGCCGCTCCGGGCCTCGCTGCAGCGAGCGGCGAGCTCTCCGCTGCGGTGACCGGACTGGGTGCCTGGTCGCGCGTTCTCGGGGGCTGGCGCGGGCGGGTAGCAGCCAGCCGGCAGCTGTGCGCAAAAGCCCTGTCAGGCTTCCCGAGCCCCCGTCGCCCTCTCTGGCGCGATAGCTTTCCTGGCGTCGTTTCCCCCAGCTCCCAGCTCCCTGCTGGCTCCGAGGCTGGCCTGGCCGCTCTCAAGGTCCCAGCCGCTCAGCCTGAGCCACACGCCTTTATACCGCGCTAGTCAGCCACGGAAGTGCGCTCCGATTGGCCGTCGCCGGAGCCGGGCCCCCGCGCCCCCCTCCTCGAGCGTGGGGAAGGGGAGGAGGCGGCTCGCGTCACTGTCAGGAAGCGCGTGTCCTTGTAAACAGCGGCCACGGGCCGGGTGGCTCGGCGGGGCTGCAGGGGGAGGGGCTCAAAGGACCTCGGGGTACGCATGGAAGGAGGTGCTGGGGGGCCCAGGCACATGAGTGAGGGGTTTCAGGGAGGAGGATGATTTCCCTGGAGTCCACTGGGACAAATACCAGGACCTGGTACGCAGCAAGTGGGGTGAGGGTCCCAGTATGTGCGAAGAAACCCCTGAGGTACCCAGAATACGAGAGGGGTAGGAGGACTGACAATCCATTGGGAGACCCCAAAAAGCAGAAATGAGGGTTAAGCACTGTAAATCGGGAGGGTTAAGGAGACACCTGACCCAGGAATTGACTGGGGGTCCCGGGCTCAGAAGGATGCGGGACTGGAATTTTCACAGGACGGAGGAGGGGAGAGATCAAAAGGGGTGAGTGGGTGGAGCTGCATGACCCATTAAATTGCAAGAAATGAGTAGGGGTCCAGGAGCTCATGGGAGCTGAGTCCAGAGTCTGAGGCTCTCCCGTAAGCGGGAAGGAGGCATTAGGGGAAGTCTAGATATGCAGAAAGCTAGTAAGCGGCCTGGGGTACACTGAGGCAGGTAAAATATGCCAGGTAGAAGATGGAGACATGTCTGCCAGAAATTGGGGACCACTGGGGTCATCTGCTAGCCCGGATGAAGGAGAGAGTTAGAAGGGGCCGGACACATCTTCGGAGCAGAGAAGACAATAAGAGGGTACTCAGTTGACATGTGAGGAGGGGGCCTTGAGGGTCCCGCGCACCAGGACTGCTGGATCTTCCACGACTGCTGCTCCCCCTCGATGGTAACCTCTTAGTCATCTGTATTCTCTGTCCCCCATCCTAAAACCCTCCCCTATTGACCCTGGGCTTTGCCCAACACCGTGTCGGCTCCTAGAGCCTGGACCCAGCCCGACGGCTGGGGCGCGGTCGCCCAACCCCACTCCCTTCCTTAGAAACAGGCTGGGGAAAGAGCGCAGAGGCAGGAAGTGTGGCAACAGCCCCGGGGGAAGGAGCCCGGCCCTGTCTCCGTCACTCGGATCCTACGGGACCGTGCGCCCCGCCCTGGGTCCCGCCGCATCCTGCGCCTCGGAAGAGGAACCTGGGCGTGCGAGCCCCCGCGGAGGCCCGGGTGCTTGGAGCCCGCCCAGCCGCGGCAGCCTCCAGCCACCATCCTCTCCCCTCAAGCAATGGTTCCGCCCGCGGTGCCTGCAGGGGACCGCGGAGGCAGGCGGCTTGGGGAGTGTTCCATTGGCCCGACGGCGGGGGACGCAGCCGAGGAGCGGGGCCTGGTCGCCATGGCAACAGGCGGGAGTCCGCGGGCAGGACTGAGCGCGGGCCGGCCCCCGAAGTCTCTCCCCGCCGCCCATATTAGGGCACAGGAAGAGGTGGGACCAGCGCTGTCCTGGGGCCCCGAGCCAGAAGCGGGGAACCCGACTATCTGCCAGGTCCCAGGGCGCGCCTGGGCCCCCAGACTGCTAGTCCCGACCAGCCCCGACCGCCGCCCCCGGGGCCCCCACGGCCGCCTGGCCCGGCCCCGCCCCACCCCGCCGCTTTGGGGCTGCGTCCTGCCAGGCCCGGCCTGGCCCAACCCAGCCCGGCAGGTCCCCGCCTGCCCGCGGGCCTGGGTCGGACTTCGCCCCCGGCCCGACGGGGCGCGGAGAGGGCGGGCCGATGCCTCGAGGCGCCCCCGGCGCCTGGGCGGGCTGGAACGGCGGCTGCCTCCTCCCTCGGGTGGGGTGCCCTTCCCTTCTGCCAGGAGATCTGGAGCTCCGTCCCCAACACCCCCCACTCACTCATGTGAGTCAGGGGCCCCACTCTCGTTTTAGTCTGCAGGTCCCATCCTACTATCATCCAGAATACCTAGAGGGAGCCCCCCTCCTTCCCTAGAGTAGCTCTGTCATCTGAGAGCTTCCCTCCCCGAGTCAGAGAAGACCTGAAAATCTAAGGGGAGAATATGAGGGAACCCAGAGCCCCTTCCCGGGAAGGGCTGCGGCGAGGTGCAGACGGTCAGGCTTCCAGTTAGACTTAAGGTGGGACTTCCGAGCAGTTAGTGTGTGAACCCACTAGACCAAGAGGTGAGAAGCCTAGTGTCTCTGTCTCTGTCTCTGTCTCTCTCTCTCTCTCTTTGTCTCTCTCTCTCTCTCTCAGCTTCCCAGGCCTCTGTCTTCTGGAGGATGAAGAGAGCCTCTCTCTTCTTTAGGGTAGAAAGAGGCTAAGGGATAGGGGTTAAACAGCCATTCCGGGGCAGCCTAGATCTCACCAAGTGTGGGAAAGAGAAGGAAAACGAAAGAGGCGAAAAAGAAACTGAGCTATGTGGGGGCAGGGGGAAGTCCAGCAGTGCAGTGGCCTTGCTGGAGGAAGGTCCCAGCAGAAGCTGGGGGCGTCCCGTCCTTGGAGGGTCCCTGTGACCCCTAAATGCCCCCTCCCTTCTTCCCCTTGCTTGAATGGCTCCCCTCCCCCTCCCCAGGCTCAAGGGAGATTCCGGAGGCCTGTGAGTCTGGCAGGCACACTGCCAGGCCTGTGTCTCCCGCCCAGGCTAATAACTGCAGCTGACATCTGGCTGGGCCCCGCGGGGGCGCAGCGGGCAGCGTTGGGGGGTTGGGCAGGGCAGGGCAGGCCAGAGGGCAGCACCTTGGGAAGCTAACTTGCAGGTCCCAAAAGCCAGGAGGCCACAGTAATTCAGCCCTGGCCAGGGCTGAGGCTGGCCATGCCAGAGGGAGTCCTAGAGAGAGGTGAGGCCATCCCAGACAGAGTCCATCCCAGGAGGAGGGCAAGGAACAGTGGGTGTATGGGGGCAGGGGCGCAGGGCAGGGAGAGATGCCCAGAGAGACAAATGGGTTCAAGGTTAGTGTCACGCAGACAGTGAGACTCAGAAACACTTAAGATAGATAGGCTGAGAAATAATAATTATTATTTTAATAGCCAACACTTACATGGCTCTTACTGTGGGCTAGGCACTCTTCTAAGTGGTTAACATAAAATAAGTCATCGACTGCTTCCAACAATCCAGCAAAATGCATGTTATTTGTATCCCCATGTAACAGATGAGAAACTGAGCCACAGGAGATTAAGGAACTTGTCTGGTGTCCAACAGCTAGAAGCACTAGAGTTGAGATATAATCCAAGCTGTCTGGCTTCAGAGCATTAGCCACTGTGTTGTGAATAATGACAACCAGAGAAGCATGTATGCAGTACCAGCTGCAGGCCGTCTCATGAAGGGCCTCTTTTTTTGGTGTTTTGTTTGTTTGTTTGTTTGTTTGTTTTTTGAGATGGAGTCTTGCTCTGTCGCCCAGGCTGGAGTGCAATGGCATGATGTTGGCTCACTGCAACCTCCGCCTCCTGGGTTCAAGCGATTCTCCTGCCTCAGCCTCCTGAGTAGCTGGGATTACAGGCGCATGCCACCATGCCCAGCTAATTTTTGTATTTTTAGTACAGACGGGGTTTCACCATATTGGTCAGGCTGGTCTCGAACTCCTGACCTTGTGATCAGCCCGCCTGAGTCTCCCAAAGTACTGAGATTACAGGCGTGGGCCACCATGCCCGGCCCTTTTTTTGTTTTTTTAAAGAGAACCTCACTTTGGCCAAACACAGTGGCTCACGTCTATAATCTCAGCACTTTGGGAGGCCGAGGGGGAGGATCACTTGAGCCCAGGAGTTTTTTTTTATTGTTTGTTTTGTTTTGTTTTTTTGAGACAAAATATCACTCTGTCGCCCAGGGTGGAGTGCAGTGGCACAATATCAGCTCACTACAACCTCCACCTCCCAGGTTCAAGCTATTCTTCTGCCTCAGCCTCCCGAATAGTTGGGATTACAGGCGCATGCCACCACGCCAGGCTAATTTTTTGTATTTTTAGTAGAGATGGGGTTTCACCATGTTGGCCAAGCCGGTCTCGAACTCCTGACCTGAAGTTATCTGCCCGCCTCAGCCTCCCAAAGTGCTGGGATTACAGGCATGATCTACCTCGCCCAGCCCTAGCCCAGAAATTTTTGAGACCAGCCTGGGGAACACAGCAAGACCCCCATCTCTACAAAAAAATTTAAAAATTAGCTGAGGTCAGGAGGGTGTGCCTGTAGTTCCAGCTACTCCGAAGGCTGAGGCAGGAGGATCACATGAGCCATGATCTTGACACTGGACTCCAGCCTGGGCAACAAAACAAGACCATCTCACTCTGTTGCTCAGGCTAGAGTTCAGCTACACAATCATAGCTCGCTGCAGCCCTGAACTCCTGGGTAAAAGCGATCCTCCTGCCTCAGCCTCCAGAGTAACTGGGACTACAAGCACACCACAACTGCTAAGTTTTATTTTTTTATATTTTATTGAGACAGGGTCTCATTCTGTTGCCTAGGCTGGTCTGGAAGTCCTGGCCCTAAGGGATCCTCCCACCTGGGCCTCCCAAAGTGCTGGGATTACAGGTGTGAGCCACCGCACCCCACTGAGGGTCTCCTTTAATTGGGGGAGAAATGTGGTGGGGCACAGACAGAGGGGCACGGGTCTCTGTGGACAGGCCAGCATGTGGGAGTAGGGTTCCTCCAAACACTCTGCATGGGTGTTTGAGCACGGGGTGGAGATTGGGCCAGACAGGGAGGGCGGGGGCCCAGCCAAGCTGGTACAGCCGGTTCCAGGCCTCTGCCAGTGTCACCCTTGTGGCCTGGGCACCACCCCCTCAAGCCGCCCCACTGGCGCCAGGCCGGCCCCACGAGGAGGGTGGGAGAACAGCCCCCTCCCCCAACTGGCCTGAGCGTCCAGACTGGCAGCTGGGTACTGCCCAGGCCCTGGGCTCCAGACCAGCACCTGGCTAAGAAGTCCCTGCGCAGGCTTCCCCAGTGCCCCAGGGCCTGGGGCCTAGGGCACAGGATAAGGAGGAAGTTCACCCACCCCCACCCACAAGTGTCTTCGGGGCTTTTGGTCTTGGCACGAGGGACTTCTCCTTCTTATAAATAGCCCGGTGACCCCCCTCCCTGCTGGCCCCACTGACCAGTGGGGCCCTCACTAGGAAACTGGGCTGGGGGCTGCCTGTGAGTCAGCCAGTGGGCAGGCCAGGGCGAGAACCCACAAATCGCAGCACACAGCACCCAGCCTCCCTCCCGTGTCCCTGCCCCTGGGTGTGGATCTGAGGCCCGGCAGGAGCCCTCCCCCAGGAACTCCTGGCCTACCAGCCGCCTCCCTCTCCCACCTCTGTGGTTTGGGGGTCCTTTGCCCCCTCTCCTGGAGAGGAAGCTGCTAGGTTTTCTTGGAAGCAGGAAGGAGAGTCTCTCTCTTTCTCTCTCTCCAGGCTGACATGGTTGGGCATGAGGGGAGTTTCTCAGGAAGCTGCTTCCATCCCTGCCACTGCTGGTGAAGCCTTGGGGGACCTGGGCATCACCAAGACCCTGGGTGACCTCTTTATAGCAGGCCCCCACCCCAGCAGGAGCAGAGGCTGCTGAGCTAGGCCTCCTAGGGGAAGTGGCAAAAGCAAAGAGGGAGGGAAGTGGGGGTGATGTTTGGAGAGAGGAAGTGCCAGGATCTCTGTGGGGCAGAGACAGACTGGGGTGTCCAGTGCCCCCACAGAACCTTGGCAAGGTCCAGGGGGCAAGCGTGTGACTGGCCTATAGGGTGCATGTGAGAGTGTGTGCTGGTCCAACCCTGACACCCAGGCCTGAGAGACAGGAGTAGCCCTCTGCCCGCTTCTGTGCCCAGCCCTGGATGCAAAGGTCTATGTAGGGCTTATCTGTGTAGAGTTCTGTTCCACTCTGTGTGTGTGTGAGCTCTATAGGATGGGTTGCACATGGTCTAGATGTATGTACGTGTAGGTTGTTTCAAAGTTCCTATGGCTAACTTGTGTCGGTGTGTATGTGTGTTTGTGTGTGTGGTCTGTGGCTGGTCTGTATGTGTGTATATGATCTGTTTGTGTGTGTGTAAAAGAGGTCTGTGGCTGGTCTGTGTGTATACGATCTGTAATGTGCATTTGTGTGTGTGTGAAAAAGAGGTCTGTGGCTGGTCTGTATGTATGTGTGTATACGATCTGGTGTGTGTGTGTGTGTGTGAAAAAGAGGTCTGTGGCTGGTTTGTGTTTGGTGTGTGTGTGTGGTCTCTGTGTGTGAGGTCTGTGGCTTGTTTCCATGTGTGTGTTCTGTGGCTGATCTGTATGTTGCCTGTTACTGATCTCCGTTTGTATGTGTGCATGTGTGTGTGTGCAAACAGGTTTTGTCATGGTCTTTCTGTGCCGATGTGTTTATGAATGTCCCACTGTGGCCTGTCTGTGCCTCTCTGCACTGGGTGTGACTGTCTGGCCAGACCATGTCTGTGAATGTGTCAGTCTGCCCAGATCTACCCAATCTGTTGCCAGGTCCCACATGTGTGTGTTCCTGGTGAGATGGTGTGTACCTCTAAGGCTTCGGCTTGGTGTCCCTGGGAGCATCTCTGATGTGTGTGCAACAGTGGTGGGCCAGGGTGCCAGGGACTCTCTGCCATACTGTGAACACATCATCTCTGTCCCTAGGTTTGTCTCTCTTGTCTTGTCTCTATCTTCTGAGTTGGAGATCTGGGGTGTGTGTGTGTTGCCTTCTCTTGCGTGTCAGGATCTGATAGTGCATGCCTGTGTCTGCATATCTCTCGTGTGGCTCTCGGGGTGCTGGTGCTGAAAGTGACTGTCTCTCCTATCAGCATGCACATGTTGCCTGCTTGTCTCACATATAGTTCACTCTGTGTCTGTCTTGCCCCTATGTTTCTAGCCTATTGTGTTTGTCTCCATGTGTGTCACACGCCATTGTGTCTGCCTTGCTGTGTGCCTCTCACCTGAATGTCAGTCTCTGTGTGTTTGTGTCTATCATGCTTATGTGCTGGGTTGATTTATCCCCGCCGCACACGGCCTGCCTGCGTATTTTTGACCAGTGGATGCGTTCATGTGTTTGACGGTGTGTGTCTCTTGCTTGAGGGTCTGGTCTGTCACTGTGTCCATGTGTGACAGTCATTGCTGGATCATCTTACCCAGCTGTATGTCTGACCCTGTCTGTGTGTCCCTGGCTGGCAGTCTCTCTGTGGCCAAGGTGACAGGGGTTTGTGTGTCTGGACTGGCTCTCTCGGGGTGACTGTGTGTACATTCCTACAGCCCCCCGCCCGCCCCCTGTCTGGTCACCCTGGGCCATGTTTACTCTGCCCCCAGTCAATGTCTGCCCTGCCCCGGGAGGGGCTGACCCTCCTCCGTCTGTCCAGCCAGCAGTCCACAGGATGTTCCCGAGACACAGTCTCCATCCGACGTCCCCTCCCTCGGGCCACCCGCGGGTCAGGACCCAGGCGTCCAGGGCGGCGGGGGTGGGGCTGCAGCGTGGGGGGGCCCTCTCAGGGCACTGGAATGAGGGTGGGGGGCGGGGAGGTGACGGGCCCAACAGGTTGTGCCTCATTCCTGCCCCGCCTCTCACTTCCTGGGTGCCTGCCTCGGGCAGGGGGTGGACAAGATGAACCCCATGGCCTTAGAGTGTCTGGGTGGGGCATGGCCTGCCCGGCAAGGACTCGCTTCTGCTGGGCACCCTGACACCCAGGCCTGAGAAACAGGAGGAGCCCTCTTCTGGCTCCCGTGCTCAACCCTGGATGCAGAGTTTCCCATCTATTATTCACCTAATCCCCACAACAACCCAACAAGCTGGACATAATGATCCCTCATTTTCAGATGGGGAAACTGAGGTCCAGGCAGCAATGAGGGCAGAGACAGGATTTGAACCCAGCTCTATATGCTACCCAAGACCCCCAGCCAGCTCACCAAGCGCCATCCTCCCCTCTCTAAAAATGGTACATGTGGGGTGGAGTATGCACCCAGGCCCCCAGGAGGCCAGGCTCGAGGGGGGCGCCGGCTTGCTCTGAGTCAAAATGGGCCCCTGGATGAAATGAATAAGAAAACGGCTTTAACCGTTTCATCGCCGCGACGGGCTCTGCCAAAACTTCCTGTGGGCTGGGAGGAGGGGTTGGGGGCTGGGTTCCCGGAGGTTTGCAGGGGTGGGGGTGGGGGGTCTACCAATTCAGAGGCGGAGTTGGGGGGGGCGCCTCTGGCTTGCTAAGGGGAGTCGCTGGCCCTCGGATGCTCGCTGGTGGGGGAGGCCTTCCCCGCGGAGAGCGAAGTCCCCAGAACTTGGTTCTCGGCCCCACTGTCTGTAGGGGTCCCAGACTCCGCAGCCCCCTCCCCAGGGGCCTGAGTCACACGCGGGGAAAGCCGGGAGGGGTGAGTCACGGGGGCGGAGAAGCGGGAGCGAGGCCAGCTGCGGCCAGGGGACCCCCGGGCTGGCCTGAGTCACGCACGCCCGGGCGACGCTGACCCCAGCCCCCTTCTCCCGGGATCACGAGCGGGAAGCGCATTGTCAGTAGACTAGGCAGCTGGAGGAAAAGCAGGATGGCTGGGCGGGGAAAGGAAACACGCGCCTGGCTACGCGGGAAGCTCTGGTTCCCATGGCAACTGGGGGGGGGGTCTCAGCTCCATGGGAAAGGTCCCTCCCCCAACAGGGACTGCCCTCCCGTCAGGCGCTGGGGAAGCCCCCGGGCGCTCGGTCGAGGGGCCACAAGTTTCGGATCGGGCAGGAAGGGGTTAACGGAGGCCCCCTCCCGGGTTTCACCGGCGCCCCAAGGTCCCGGCCGGGGCGGGGCTGGTCCTGCCCTGCGCGCCTCCGCTCGCCCAGCCCCCGCCACCGCCCACGCACGCGCGCACGCAGCCAGTGCAGAGCTCCCGCCCTTCCACCCCCCGCGCTTGCACGCACGACCGCGTCGGGTTCCACGCACGCAGCGACCCCCGTCGTGTCTCACGTCACGCACGACGCACGCGCCCCCGCAACGCGGGGAGGGCGCCTCCCGGAGGGGAACGGCGGGGCGGGAGGCCCTCTGCGCACATCACTGCGTCCGCGCAGCCTGCTGTCCTCTGTGACTTTGACTCCCACTTCCCGCCCCCTACACACAAAGTCACAAACAAACTCCCCGACCCACAGTGTCACACGGACGCAGGATACACCTGCCACATCTTGGCACCAACCCATTCTAGTCCAGCCAGCCTCGCAGCGAACACGGACACACGTGGATGGAGACGCAGACAATCACACAGGCACGTCAGTCACATAGCGTTTGTGATAGGGACGCAAACAGAGCCATATTCATACATAGGTAGGTGGCAGATACATCCTGATAAAGCAACCCCATCCAGCAAAATAGGACGGGCGCAGTGGCTCAGGCCTGTAATCTCAGAATTTTGAGAGGCCAAGGCCAGAGGATCGCTTGAGGCCAGTAGTTCAAGACCAGCCTGGGCAACATAGCAAGACCCCTGTCTCTACAAAAATATTTTTTCTTAATGAGCTGGGCATGGTGGTGCATGCCTATAGTCGTGTCTATAGTCCCAGGTATGTGGGGGTTGAGGCGAGAGGATCACTTGAGGCCAGGAATTCAAGGCTGCACTGAGCAGCGATTGTGCCACTGCACTCCAGCCTGGGCGACACAGGAGACCCCGTCTCAAAAGAAAAAAAAAAAACAGGAACAGGGAGGGACACAGTTTTGCACACCAGGGCTTGTTTTGTCACACAGCCACACTTCTTCCATGGTGATTGTGGTGGCACAGAGATACATACAGACACATAAGATAGTCATGCCATCGCATGACCCCTGTTACCACAAATAGGGGGCACGAAATGGGATACAGTCACAGAGACAAGACCACGTACAGGGACACTCAAAACGTCAAGTGGACGGCCGGGCGCGATGGCTTACGCCTGTAATCCCAGCACTTTGGGAGGCCAAGGCGGGCGGATCAGGAGGTCTGGAGATCGAGACCATCCTGGCTAACACACTGAAACCCCGTCTCTACTAAAAATACAAAAAATTAGCCAGGCGTAGTGGCGGGCGCCTGTGGTCCCAGCTACTGGGGAGGCTGAGGCAGGAGAATGGCGTGAACCCGGGAGGCGGAGCTTGCAGTGAGCTGAGATGGCGCCACTGCATTCCAGACTGGGCGACAGAGCGAGACTCTGTCTCTTTTTCTTTTTCGTTATTTATTTTTTTTATATTTTATTTTTTTAGACGGAGTCTTGCTCTGTCGCCCAGGCTGGAGTGCAGTGGCATGATCTTGGCTCACTGCAAGCTCTGCCTCCCGGGTTCACGCCATTCTCCTGCCTCAGCCTCCCGAGTAGCTGGGACCACAGGCGCCCGCCACCATGCCCGGCTAATTTTTTTGTAGTTTTAGTAGAGACGGGGTTTCACCGTGTTAGCCAGGATGGTCTCGATCTCCTGAACTCCTGATCCGCCCACCTCGGCCTCCCAAAGTGCTGGGATTACCTGCGTGAGCCACCGCGCCCAGCCTTCTTTTTCTTTATTTTTATATTTATTATTATTATTATTTTTTGAGACGGAGTCTCGCTCTGTCACCCAGGCTGGAGTGCAGTGGAGCCATCTCCGCTCACTGCAAGCTCCGCCTCCCGGGTTCACGCCATTCTCCTGCCTCAGCCTCCCCAGTAGCTGGGACTACAGGCGCCCGCCACTACGCCCGGCTAATTTTTTGTATTTTTGGTAGAGACGGGGTTTCACTGTGTTAGCCAGGATGGTCTCGATCTCCTGACCTCCTGATCCGCCCACCTCGGCCTTCCAAAGTGCTGGGATTACAGGCGTGAGCCACCGTGCCCGGCCGAGACTCTGTCTCAAAAAAAAAAAAAAAAAAAAAAAAAAAAAGGCCGGGCGCGGTGGTTCACGCCTGTAATCCAGCACTTTGGGAGGCCGAGGTGGGCGGATCATGAGGTCAGGAGATCGAGACCATCCTGGCTAACACGGTGAAACCTCGTCTCTACTAAAAATACAAAAAATTAGCCACACCTGGTGGCGGGCGCCTGTAGTCCCAGCTACTTGGGAGGCTGAGGCAGGAGAATGGTGTGAACCCGGGAGGCGGAGCTTGCAGTGAACCGAGATCGCTCCACTGCACTCCAGCCTGGGTGACAGAGTGAGACTCCGTCTCAAAAAAAGAAAAAGAAAAAAAGAATGACACAGATATAGACCCAAAGTGAGGTCCCATATAGACGTATATAGTAGACACAGACACACAACACATGAAGATGCAATTGGAGTGAGAGAGCCCCACCCAAACTCTGCCTGGACCATACAGAGATACACAGGGGCACACACTAGAGGTTCCCTAGTCACCCTAAAATCTGGATGGGTTTTTTTGGTTGTTGTTGTTTTTGAGATGGAGTCTTGCTTTGTTACCTAGGCTAGAGTGTAATGGCGCGTTCTCGGCTCACTGCAATCTCTGCCTCCCAGGTTCAAGCAATTCTCTTGCCTCAACCTCCTGAGTAGCTGGGATTACAGGCGCTCACCACCACGCCTGGCTGATTATTGTATTATTAGTAGAGACAGGGTTTCACTATGTTGGCCAGGCTGGTCTTGAACCCCTGACCTCAAGTGATCTGTCTGCCTTGACCTCCCAAAGTGCTGGGATTACTGGCGCGAGCCACCAAGCCCGGCCCCAACCTGGATGTTACGGACAAGGATGTTACCGACAAGGATGTTACAAATTTCCCCTCCCCCAGTCCCCGAAACCAGCCCTCCCCCCCATCAAATCAGGCACAGCCTGTTGCACAAACTCGAAGGCCTTATGACACAATGGATGCAGGACACATGCCCGTGTACACACAGTCACAGATCCTCCATCTCACACCTACAAAGACCAGCACATTTGGCCAGGCGCCGTGGCTCACGCCTGAAATCCCAGCACTTTAGGAGGCAGAGGCAGGAGGATTACTTGAAGTCAGGAGGTCGAGACCATCCTGGGCAACATAGCAAAACCCTTTCTCTCAAAAACACAAAAAAACCTAGCACATTTCACATGGACTCAGACACACACAGACACAGGGAGGGGGGACTGGCTAGGAGTTCCTGGCAGGATGTCAATATCTGGGCTGTAGGGGGCCTGCCAGAGTCCTCCATGGTGATGATGCATGGAGTCCACCCAGTGGCTGTGGTCAGCCAGGGGAGTGGCAGAGGGGCACTGTTCTCCAGTTGTGGGACTGAGGGTCCCCTTCTCAGCCCTGATGAAGACTGGATCCCTGCCCAGATGTGAACGCTGGAGGGGGCAGGCCGGGGTCCAGCTGTGGCCACAGGGAGGGGTTGAGTCAGCCGCTTCCCAGCAGTACAACCTAGGCTGGGCCCAGCTGTTCCTGGAAACCAGTAGAGGGGGTGGGCTCCCCAATCCAGCTGGGGGCTGCTGGCCCAGACCTGCACACCAGGGCTCTGTGTCCCTACAAATGGCGGCCTTCAGACCATCCCCCAAAACGTTGGGGGCTCTCTTTACCTAAAACAGGGGTTTGGATCCTTCTTCCAAAATGTGGAGGGTTTTTCAGCCCCTCTTGCTGAATTAAAGGTGCCTGGATCTCCGCACAGCGGGGCTCCCTGTGTTTCAAAACAGAGATTGCTGCTGTCTTCCCCGCCGACATAGAAGCTCACTGCTTTTCCCCAAATGTGGGACTCCCTGCCGCCGCAAAATGGAGGGTTATGCTCCTCCCCCAAATTGAGCACACCCAGATTTTCCTTAAGTCTGGGGACTCCTGGCTCCCCGAACATCTGGGACGCCCACAACATCACGCCAACATTAGCACAATTTAAGTCAATTTGCCTAAATATTTGGATTTCCAGATTTCCCCTAAACATCAAAATCCCTGCGACCCCCGCCCTAATGTGGTGATCTCAGCATGTCCAGCCACCCATGCTTGTAACAGCTGTGGTTCCTGGCTCACCTCCCATTGCTACCTGGGAACGGGGTGGCCCTGTTTCCCTGTATTGGCAGCACCCTCTCCTCTGGTGAATGCGAGGTCGGGGAGCCAACGGCAGCTGTTCCCACGACCGCCGGAAGACAGCCCAGTCCGGAAGCCAGCGCTGCCGGCCCTTGTCCCCTTCCCCCACTATCCTCTCCACCCGCTCCCAGGGGCTGGAGTCTGGAAAACCACGCGGGAGGAGGTTGTGGGGATATGGACGAGCATCCGAGGCCCCCGGGTGCGTACGGCTGCGCATGAGTGGGCTGTAATCGGGTGTCTGGGGGTGAGTGACTGCGTTCGTGCGATGCGCGCGGGGAGCAGCTGTCACTTTGCCCACCCTGCTCCGGGGCAAGGTCTCTGGCGCCAGGATCTTCTGGGTGGGTGGGAGCAGCGCCCCTCCCCTCCGATCTGGGCCCGCCCCCAATGCAGAGCCCGCCCCTCCCTCTGGGTACAGCTAATAACCTCTAATTAGTGCACATTACCCCGCCCGTCTACCGGGGAGGGGTTGCAGAGGGACCCTGGGGTCACAGGGCGCGAGCCTGGGCTTCACCCTTCCCCTCAAAACCCGGTCCACTCGGAACCTCTGTTTTCTCGCCGGCAAAGCAGGGAATTAAAACAGCACTTGCCATCTGGAGACATGGGGAGGATTCAATAGTCTATGTATTTAAATCGCTTAGCGCAAGGACTGCATACAGTAAGCACTCCATACATGGTGACTGCAATTTATTGTTAACTATAATTCCCATCACTTTCCATTGACCCCCGCTCCACCGCCCCAGCCGGGGTTTCAGGGCGGGCGCACAGTCTTCCCCCTAGGCCGCGTTCTGCGGTCTCCGCGCCCCCTGGTGGGCCCGGGCGACGCGGCAGCTTCAGCCAAATCCTGGGTTCTGAGGTGGGGGTGATGCCGGGCGCGCATCTGGGGAGGGCAAGGCGCGGGGGGAATATCGTGGAAGACGGATCCAGGCTGGGCAAGGGTGCCTATCCATCAGCCAGGACATGTGTGTCTAACTGACCTCTTCTCGACCTAGGACCATACCCGTGTCCCCTTATCTACTGCTGGAGTCAATAATGCAGGGAGGATCCATTCATTTATTTATTTCTTGAAACAGGGTCTCCCCCCTGACGTCCAGGCTGGAGTGCAGTGGCGCGACCACGGCTCACTGCAGCGTTGACCTCCCGGACTCAAGCGATCCTCCCACCTCAGCCTCTGGAGTAGCTGGGAATAGGCGCGTGCCACCACGCCCAGCTACTTTTATTTTTTATTTTATTTTTGTAGAGACGGAGTCTCGCTGTGTTGCCAGGGCTGTTCTCGAACTCCTGGGTTCAAGCAGTCCTCCCTCCTCGACCTCCCAAAGTGCTGGGATTACAGATGTGAACCATCGCGCCAGGCATTTTATTTTATTTTATTTTATTTTATTTATTTTTTTTGAGACAGTCTCACTCTGTCGCCCAGGCTGGAGTGCAGTGGCGCGATCTCGGCTCACTGCAACCTCCGCCTCTTGGGTTCAAGCTATTCTCCTGCCTCAACCTCCCGAGTAGCTGGGACTACAGGCGCGTGCCACCATGCCCGGCTAATTTTTTGTATTTTTAGTAGAGAAGGGGTTTCACCGTGTTAGCCAGGATGGTCTCGATCTCCTGACCTCGTGATCCGCCTGCCTAGGCCTCCCAAAGTGCTGGGATACAGACGTGAGCCGCCGCGCCCGGCCCTATTTTTAAATTTTTACTGTTTTTTTTTGAGACAGAGTCTTGCTCTGTCACCCAGACTGGAGTGTAGTGGCCCTATCACGGCTCACTGCAGTCTCGACCTCCTGGGCTCAAGCTATCCTCCCACCTCAGCCTCTGTAGAGCTAGGAGCTAGGACCACAGAAACACGCCAACATGTCTGGCTAATTTTTTTTTTTTTTTTTTTGAGGAGTCTTGCACTGTTGCCCCCTGGAGTGCAGTGGTACGATCTCGGCTGACTGCAACCTCCGCCTCCAGGGTTCAAGCGATTCTCCTGCCTCAGCCTCCCGAGTAGCTGAAATCAGGCGTGCGCCACCACGCCCAGCTAATTTTTAGTATTTTTAGTAGAGACGGGGTTTCACCATGTTGGCCAGGCTGGTCTCGAACACCTGACCTCGTGATCCGCCCGCCTCGGCCTCCCAAAGTGCTGGGATTACAGGCGTGAGCCACCGCTACCTGGGTAATTTTTAAATTTTTTGAAGAGAGGCTGGTCTCCAACTTCTATCCAAATTAATTCTCCCTCCTAGGCCTCCCAAAATACTGGGATTACAGTCGAGAGCCACCGCGTCCGGCGGGAAAACCCCTTTAGCATCCCCTCTCCCAGTCCATAGAAAGTGCCAGGGCTCGCCCCTCCCCGCACAACGGCTCCGATTATAAAGTGGTTAGACACAAGAATTTACTTAAGGCCGGGCGCGGTGGCTCACGCCTGTAATCCCAGCACTTTGGGAGGCCGAGGCGGGCGGATCACGAGGTCAGGAGATCGAGACCATCCTGGCTAACACGGTGAAACCCCGTCTCTACTAAAAATACAAAAAATTAGCCGGGCGAGGTGGCGGGCGCCTGTAGTCCCAGCTACTCGGGAGGCTGAGGCAGGAGAATGGCGTGAACCCCAGGGGGCGGAGCCTGCAGTGAGCCGAGATTGCGCCACTGCACTCCAGCCTGGGCGACAGCGAGACTCCGTCTCAAAAAAAAAAAAAAAAAAAAAAAGAATTTACTTAAGTTGCAGGGAAAAGACGTGAATGCGCTTGTGTAACAGGGTGGAGCACCTCCGTCTCAAAAGGATCTTGAGGACCTCCCACCCCAAAAAGGGCCAGGGCGAGGATGGGAGGTGGGACCACCCTCGGATGCACAAGGCTGGGCCAGGCTGACCCCTAGCGGCAGGGCGGGCGCCCGAACGGTGCCCGGATCCAAGATGGCGGGGCTGGAGGCAAGAGCGGGCGTAGGGAGGAGATTACGTTCCGAGGCGGAGCCTGGGCTTGGGGGCGGGGCGGGGCCTGCGCCTAGGGGGGCGGGGCGGGGCGGCGCTCTAGGCCGAGCGGGAGGTCGGGGCTGCGGGCGCTCGCTGGTGGCGGACCCGGAGGCTGCTGCGGCGCCGGGGCTCCGTGGCCTGGATTGAATCCGATCGGGAGCCATGAGCGTGGACAAAGCTGAGCTATGCGGGTCTCTGCTCACCTGGGTAGGTCGTGGGGCGGGGCTAGGGGAAGGTGAGCGCCCGCTCCTCTTGCCCGGGATCCCTGGCCCTGGTTCGGTCAGTCTCTTGGTGCTGGGGCTGGGAGGTGCGGGGTCGTCGACTTGCTGGACCGTTGGACTCTGGCCCGAGCACCCGCCCCCGTCACGTGGCAAGTCTGCGTGGAAAGGACAGGTGAGGCCCCGCCCCTCTGTGGTTGGTTCACGTGGGGCGAGGACACAGGTGAATTGGCCTGGTCACGTGGTGCCTGTGGGGCCCAGGTGACTCGCGATACCACCCTGGCCTGGACGCGCAGGGTTTGTTGGGCAGAGGTGAGGTGAGGCCACGCCCCCTCCGGTCTCAGGTGAGCAGAAGCCAGTCCCTCGCAGAGCTGCTGTGGCGGAGCAGCGCCCGCCCCACCATGTGAGGTTCGCTGACTGGAAAAGTCTGCAAAAGGGGAGCGGTTCGGCGCTCCCAGGCCCTAACTCTTTCCTTGTCCTTTCCTTTACCCCTCAGTTACAGACGTTCCACGTTCCGTCTCCCTGTGCCAGCCCTCAGGACCTGAGCAGCGGCCTTGCCGTAGCCTATGTGCTGAACCAGATGTGAGTGGAGCTGAAGGGGAGGATCCCAAAAGTGTCCCCCAGTCTGCTCATCCCACCTTCTCGCCCCCAGAGACCCCTCCTGGTTCAACGAGGCATGGCTCCAGGGCATCTCGGAAGATCCAGGTCCCAACTGGAAGCTGAAGGTGACAAGTGGACTCCTGATTAGAGGACAGACTGGTGAAGAGATGACCAGGGACGGGCCAGCTAGGCACATGTCCTGGGTGATGGGCAGGAAGAGGGACAGATGTCTGGTGATCAACCATTTGTTCATCCATTCATCTATGGAGTACTCACCCTGTGCCAGGCCTGGGCATTCAGCAAGGAATAACACAGACAAAAACCTGCCCCACACAGCCATCATTCTAGTGACAAGCAACACATACACAACCATAAAAATTAACTTCCAGGCTGGGCGCAGTGGCTCATGCCTGTAATCCCAACACTTTGAGAGGCTAAAGTGGGTGGATCACCTGGGGCCAGGAGTTCAAGACCAGCCTGGCCAACAAGTTGAAACCCCATCTCTACTAAAAATACAAAAATTAGCTGGGTGGGGTGGTGTGCACCTGTAATCCCAGTTACTTGGGAGGCTGAGACATGAGAATCACTTGAACCTGGGAGGTGGAGGATGCAGTGAGCTGAGATTGAGCCATTGCACTCCAGCCTGGGCAACAGAGCGAGACTCTTGTCTCAAGAAGAAGAAAAAAAGAAAAAGAAAAAGAAAAAGAAAAAACTTTTGATGCCAGTAGTTCTGTGAAGACAACAAAAAAGCAGGGCTTTGAGAGAGAGCAATGAGGGCATAGGTGGCTGATTACATCAGATGGGTTAATCTCCAAGTGAAATTTGGGGGAACGGTGTTCCAGGCATAGGGAATAGCAGATGTAAAGGCCGTGATTTGGGAATAAACTTGGTGTGATGGAGGAATGGCAGAGAGGGCAGAACAGAGCAAGAGGGCAAGATTTGTAGGAGATGAGGTCATCAGGGGCCTGGCAGGCCATGGTGGGGGTGTGGATTCTATTTTTAAGTGCTGTGGAAAGTCAAGGCAGGGTTTTAGCAGAGCAAAGATGCAACCTGGCTTGGGCTTTATAAAGCTCCCCCTGGCTGCATGGAGAGAAATAAAATGTAGGCAGCAAAAGTGGAAGAGGAGAGGCAGCTGGTGCACTAATCCAGGTGAGAGGTAAAGATGGATGGGTAGGGCTGAAGGATGGTGGGGCAGGTGGTGAGAAGTGACTTGGTTCTGGAGACATATGAAGGAAGATGGTCAGGCAGGCCGGGCACAGTGGCTCATGCCTGTAATCCCAGCAATTTTAGAGGCTGAGGTGGGAGGATTGCTTGAGCTCAGGAGCTTGAGACCAGCCTGGGCTACATAGCAAAACCTCCTCTCTACAAATAAAAAAAAGTAGTCGATTGTGGTGGCATATGCCTGTAGTCCCAGCTACTGGGAGGCAGAGATAGGAGGATTGCTTGACCCCAGGAGGTCGAGGCTGCAGTGAGCCAAGATTGCACCACTGCACTCCAGCCTGGGTGACAGAGCCAGACCCTGTCTTAAAAAGCTAAAGCAAAAAAAAAAAAAAAAAAAAAAAGAAACAAAGATGGTCAGGCAGACAAAAGGGGCAGACAGCCAGACAGGTCACCCCTAGAGGAAGGCGCACGCAGACAGAATAGGATGAGATGAGCAGGGAAGGAGAAGTGAGGTGGAGAGAGGATGGGACCTACAGATTCAGAGTGGGAGGCCTCTGAACTTGTCCACAGTTCCTTGTTCCTCCCTAGGTCAGCAATCTGAAGATGGTCTTACGGAGCCTAGTAGAGTACTCCCAGGATGTGAGTAACTGTAAAGGGATTCAGGGGGTTGAGTTGGGAGAAGGGTGGGCCCATGAGCCCCTGACACCCCCTTCTCCCCAGGTCCTGGCGCATCCTGTGTCAGAAGAGCATCTCCCAGATGTGAGCCTCATTGGAGAGTTCTCAGACCCGGCAGAGCTCGGCAAGCTGCTTCAGCTGGTGCTGGGCTGTGCCATCAGTTGCGAGAAAAAGCAGGGTATGGGGAGCTTAGGGGGTCCCCAGGGCTGGCCTGAGGAAATCCTCCTTCCTCCCCACCTCACCCCTGGGTCTCAGCCTCCCCCACCTTGATCCCCAGACCACATCCAGAGAATCATGACGCTGGAAGAATCGGTTCAGCATGTGGTGATGGAAGCCATCCAAGAGGTGGGTGGGGGCACTCAGTGTGCAATTGGAAAATGTCAGGAGAGGGGACATCTCTAGGGCAGAGAGAACTGGGCACAGGTCCTGCCCTGGTAAGGTCTGGACTCTGCCTGGAACTCAGCTGGCCAGACATCTCTGTCTCATGTGTCTGCCAGCTCCTCCCAGCTCTAAGTCGCAATCTAGCAGGCTCAAGGGATCTGGCTTCCCTCTGTGTTGGAGGCAGGAGGGCAGCCTCTGGGCTGGGGTTATTGGGCAGAACTGGCCTTGACGGGAGGATGGAGAGGTTCTCAGGTTGGATAGTAGATACTTTGAAGGCTGGCCTCAGATATCCAGTTCATTACAATGCCCCTTCCCACTCCTCAGCTCATGACCAAAGACACTCCTGACTCCCTGTCACCAGAGACGTATGGCAACTTTGACAGCCAGGTAAGAGATTTGGGGGAAAGGTGTTCCAGGCACAGGGATCAGCAAATCCAAAGGCCGGGAGTTGGGGATAAGTTTGCTGTGATTAACCTTGTGACTTAACCTTGTTAAAGGTCCAGACCCCACTTACAGATGCTCAGGGTAGCCTAAGGGGGAGGGGCTTGTCCTTAAGCCTGTAAGCCACGCCCATCTTCCAGGGTGCTAGCCACTTCCTGTACCAGGTCTCCAGTGTTCTGGAATCGCTCTTCCTTCAGTCTCCAACCCCAGCCCTGTTTTCTTTTCTTTTCTTTTTCTTTTTTTTTTTTTTTTTTGAGATGGAGTCTCACTCTGTCACCCAGGCTGGAGTGCAGTGGCACGATCTCGGCTCACTGCAACCTCCGCCTCCCGGGTTCAAGCGATTCTCCTGCCTCAGCCTCCCGAGTAGCCAGGACTACAGGCACACGCCACCACACCCGGCTAATTTTTGTGTTTTTAGTAGAGAAGGGGTTCGCCACGTTGGGCAGGCTGGTCTGGAACTCCTGATCTCAGGTAACCCACCCGCCTCAGCCTCCCAAAGTGCTGGGATTATAGGCGCGAGCCACTGCACCCGGCGCCAGCCCTCTTTTCAATCCTGAGGGTTTCTTGGCCCCCTCCATTTGGCCTCTAGAGATCTCAGCCTCCCTCCCCCCGTCCTTCTCCTGAATCCCTGAGTTCCTCTTCCCCCTCATCTCTGCAGTCCCGCAGGTACTATTTCCTAAGTGAGGAGGCTGAGGAGGGGGACGAATTACAGCAGCGCTGTCTGGATCTGGAGCGGCAGGTAGGGCCCTAGGTGGGGCAGGGTCACTTGAGTAGCCCCTCTCCAAGCCCAAGCTCATCTTTCTGCCCTGCCCGCAGCTGATGCTCCTGTCAGAGGAGAAGCAGAGCCTGGCGCAAGAGAATGCAGGGCTGCGGGAGCGGATGGGCCGGCCTGAAGGCGAGGGTACCCCAGGTCTCACTGCCAAGAAGCTGCTGCTGCTGCAATCCCAGCTGGAGCAGTTGCAGGAGGAGAACTTCAGGTGTGGTCAGCTGGGGACTGGGCCAGGCAAGCCAGGGGACCGGGGGAGGGCAGCCCCCTCATGTGCTCTTCCCCCAACACCCCCAGGCTGGAGAGTGGCAGGGAGGATGAGCGCCTGCGCTGTGCCGAGCTGGAGAGGGAGGTTGCGGAGCTGCAGCACCGGAACCAGGCGCTGACTAGCCTGGCCCAGGAGGCACAGGCCCTGAAGGATGAGATGGATGAACTACGGTGAGTGGTGGGTTCCTGGGTCCCCATCACGGGGGGCGGGGGGTAAACCTGTTTCCAGAGTTCCCCTCTGATGCCATAGCAGCTCTGTAATTTTCATGTGCCCAGTGAACCCCCAATATGCCCCCTGGACTCCACAGTGCCACCCTGAGCCCTACAGAACGCCCAAGGCCACATTGCACTATCCTGAATTCCACCATATCCCCTGGACCCCACACTGCCCCCCCCTTATCCCACAGTATGCTTCCAAGACCCCATAGCATCCCTGTGGCCCCCCAAAACACAAGAACCTCCCCTACAATGCTCTGCAGATCCCACTGCACAGTTTGGGCTTCATAATGCCCCTGGATCCCATGGTACCTTCTAGGACTCCACAATGCAATTACTTTGCACCCCCTTTTGACTCTACTGTGCCTTCTGTAACCACAAAGGGCTCCACTGGGCCCCTATAGCATCTCTGTAATGCGAAGGTACTAGTGCACCCCCCAATTGCACTTCTAAGGACCCCGCAGTCCTCTTGTCCCATACCTCCCCCAATGACTCCAAGGTATCCTTGGCAGATGCTCAGACCTCTCTAGGCTCCCCATCACTCCCCCTATAACCCCACCCTCTGTGTCCCCACAATTCCACCCCAGGGGATACCTGATTATAACCCTGGGCTAACCATTGCTGTAATGACTCTCAACAGCTCCAGGCCCTGATTGACCCCTAACCCTCAACTTTCATGACCCCTTCACCTTGAACCCAAAAGCCTCAGGCTGAACAACACCCTGTGCTCCAAGGGCCACTCCACATCCCAGCTGACCCCTGATCAGAGCTCTCAGCCCTCCCCCTTCCCTCCCACTCCCCTAGGCAGTCTTCGGAGCGTGCTGGGCAGCTGGAGGCCACGCTGACCAGTTGCCGGCGCCGCTTGGGCGAGCTGAGGGAGCTGCGGCGGCAGGTGCGGCAGCTGGAGGAACGCAACGCCGGCCACGCCGAGCGCACGCGACAACTGGAGGATGAGCTACGCCGAGCGGGCTCCCTGCGCGCCCAGCTGGAGGCGCAGCGGCGGCAGGTGCGGCGGGGGCGGGGTTAGGGCCGGGGCCCCGCCCCTGGCAGCAAGTCTCTCACCGTTGGCCAGCCCTCCGCCCACCCCTGATCCCCTCCCTTATTTGTACGTAGGCCACGCTCTCCGGGCCTCTTCCCTCCACCCACGCTGCTCTTCTGTCTGGGTTAGTAAGCCCAGCCTTTCCCTTCCCTTAAGTACCGCTCCTCTAAATTCTTTGATGCCCGCCGCTTCACCATGCTGCTTGATTTCCTTGGGGCTACCTAACCATGTAACAAAACTCGTGGTAAATTGAAAATATCCTAAAATGCATAAAGGCCAGGCCTGGTATCCCAGCGCTTTGGGAGGCTGAGCCGGGAGGATCACTTGAGCCCAGGATTTCGAGGTTGTAGTGAGCTGTGGCTGCATCACTGCATTCCAGCCTGGGTGACAGGGTGAGACCCTGACTCAAACAAAAGAAAAAGACCGGGTGCGGTGGCTCGCGCCTGTAATCCCAGCACTTTGGGAGGCCAAGGCGGGCACCCCATAACTCCTTCTGTAACCCCACATCACTTGAGGCCAGGAGTTTGAGACCATCCTGGCCAACATAGCAAAACCCTGTCTCTACTTAAAAATAGAAAAATTAGTCTGGGCGTGGTGGCTCACTCCTGTAATCCCAGCACTTTGGGAGGCCGAGGCGGGTGGATCCCGAGGTCAGGAGATCGAGACCATCCTGGCTAACACGGTGAAACCCCATCTCTACTAAAAATACAAAAAATTAGCCGGGCGTGGTGGTGGGCGCCTGTAGTCCCAGCTACTCGGGAGGCTGAGGCAGGAGAATGGTGTGAACCCGGGAGGCGGAGCTTGCAGTGAGCCGAGATCGTGCTACTGCACTCCAGGCTGGGCGACAGAGCAAGACTCCGTCTCGAAAAAAAAAAAAAAAAAAATTAGCCGGGCTGGTGGCGCGCGCCTGTAATCCCAGCTACCCAGAAAGCTGAAGCACGAGAATAGCTTGAACCTGGGAGGTGGAAGTTGCAGTAAGCCAAGATCGCATCACTGCACTCCAGCCTGGTTGAGAGAGGGAGACTGTCTCAAAAGAAAAAAGTAAAAGATATTAAAAAAAGAAAAAGAAAAAGAGAGCTGGGCGTGGTGACTCATGCCTATAATCCCAGCACTTTGAGAGGTTGAGATGGGAGATCGCTTGAGGCCAGCAGTTCGAGAACACCCTGGTCAAGATAGCGAGATTCCATCTGTTTTCAAAAAATAAAAATTTTTAAATTTTTTTTAAAAAAGAAAATCCATTGAACATACTTTACCTACTGAGCATCACAGCCTAGCCTAGCCTACCTTAAACATGCTCAGAAAACTTACCTTAGCCTAGTTTGGCAAAATCATCTACCATAAAGCCTATTTTATAATAAAGCGTTGACTATATAACGCAATTTATTGAAGACTAATTCATTGCAATTGAAAAACAGAATGGTTGTATGGGTTCCTACTATTAACATTCACAGTCGGCTGGGTGCAACGGCTCACACCTGTAATCCCAGTGCTTTGGGAGGCTGAAGTGGGAGGACTGCTTGAGGCCAGGAGTTTGAGATCAGCCAGGGCAACAGAGGGAGACCCTGTCTCTAAAAAAAACAAGCAAAAACATACACAGCTGAAAGCACCATAGTAAAGTCAAAAAAATAATAAGTCAAAGCATCCTGGATCGGGGACCATTTGTACTCAGCCCCTGCCCCTGCTCCCAGCCCTGCTGTCCTTATTCCTCCCCTCTCTGTGTTCAGGTGCAGGAACTGCAGGGCCAGCGGCAGGAGGAGGCCATGAAGGCCGAGAAATGGCTATTTGAATGCCGCAACCTGGAGGAAAAGTATGAGTCGGTGACAAAGGAGAAGGAGGTGAGGCTGAGGTTCCACTGCCCAAGCCCCACCCTGCCAATTCTGGGGTAGCCCATTTCCCAGGAGGCCGAGCCTGACCCGTGGAGTGTCTTGTACCCTGTCCCTGCAGCGGCTGTTGGCGGAGCGGGACTCCTTGCGGGAGGCCAATGAGGAGCTGCGCTGCGCCCAGCTGCAGCCGCGGGGGTTGACCCAGGCCGGTGAGATGAAGCCCCATCCCGGGGTCTTACCTGTCCTGGTGTACTGTTTGGGTAGAACAGGTTGTGTCCCAGTGCATGTCTAGGTTGGGGACAGAGCTAGGCCAGGCTGGAGGTGACCAGAAAGAGGTGACACGGTCAAATTGAAGAGAGAGGCTCAGGGTCTCAGGGTGGAGCAAAGGCTAAAAAGCTTGGCCAACCCTCCCGGTTCTCTATCAAGCCGGGGATGGAGCTTGTGTCAAGCCAGACTGTTGGCTGAACTTGAAGCCCCAAAAGATGATCCTTGGGAAGAAGACCCTAGGGGCGGGGACAGGGGATGCGAAGAGACCTGAAGACTTTTCTCGCATTCTTCAGATCCCTCACTGGATCCCACCTCCACACCCGTGGATAACTTAGCCGCAGAGATCCTGCCTGCGGAGCTCAGGTATCCTGGGGTCACTCAAAACTCTGGCCCCACCCAGGCTTGCCAAGGCCCGCCCTCAGCCCCGCTCCCGCCCTCCCATCTTCTGCTAGCCCCGGTTGCTTGGTCTCAGCTCCAGGTGCCAGCCGGGCTCCTAGGCCCACTTACTCCTGATTTGGCTCTGTCCAGCCCTACCAGATGACTTTGCCTCTCAAGGGTCTATCCTTAGTACACAAATTATGTCCAACACCTGGCTCCAGTTCCTGCACAAAAATCCTATGCCCTAGCCCCGCTGACTTTGATCCTTTCCCCCAGCGTCCACCCCTGTTAGTGTAACCTCTGTGAGTTTCAGTCCCCTGTGCCCTGCCGGGATTAACTCTCCCACCCCGGGCCAGGCACGGTGGATCATGCCTCTAAGTCCCAGCACTTTGGAAGGCCGAAGCTGGAGGATCACTTGAGCCCAGGAGTTTGAGAGCAGCTTGGGCAACATAGTGGCCCTCTCTACAAAATAAAAATGATTTAAAAACCCGAAAAACGACCGGGCGCGGTGGCTCACGCCTGTAATCCCAGCACTTCGGGAGGCCAAGGCGAGCGGATCACAAGGTCAGGAGATCGAGACCATCCTGGCTAACACGGTGAAACCCCGTCTCTACTAAAAATACAAAAAATTAGCCGGGTGTGGTGGCACGCACCTGTAGTCCCAGCTACTCGGGAGGTTGGGGCAGGAGAATCGCTTGAACCTGGGAGGCAGAGGTTGCAGTGAGCCGAGATCGCGCCACTGTATTCCAGCCTGGGCGACAGAGCGAGACTCCATCTCAAACAAACAAAAAGCCAAAACTAACCAAACAAACAAACAAAAAAACCCCGAAAAACTGTCCCATCCTAGTTCTTCCCATTTCTGCTTCCCGCTTTCCAGCAGTCCCATCCCAGCTGTTCGAATCCACTCTTGTAGCTCCGCCCCTGCCTAGCCCCACCCACTATCCCAGCTTAGAGCTCCGTCCACTTTAACCCTGGGCCGGGAACCTGAACCCGTAGTAGGTCCTCGGTGCTCCAACCCCATGGTCTGGCTGGGCTCTTCCCCAGGGCTCTGTCCCGCCCCTAGCTCCACTCTCCCTGAGCCCCAGCGAGCCTGCGAGGTGACTCGACCCTGGCCCTGCTCTCTCCTCCCGGGTCTGCAGGGAGACGCTCCTGCGGCTTCAGCTGGAGAACAAGCGGCTGTGCAGGCAGGAGGCGGCCGACCGGGAGCGGCAGGAGGAGCTGCAGCGCCACCTGGAGGATGCCAACCGCGCGCGCCACGGGTTGGAGACGCAGCACCGGTGAGCGCCTGGGGACCTACCTGCGCGGAGCAGGGACAGAGGGGGCCAAAAGTGGGCACAGGCACTAAGCGGCCCCCCACCCTCGCAGGCTGAACCAGCAGCAGCTATCCGAGCTGCGGGCCCAGGTGGAGGACCTGCAGAAAGCCCTGCAGGAGCAGGGGGGCAAGACTGAAGATGTGAGTGTCACCCACCACCTCCCAGCCTGGCCCTCCCTTGTGCCCCGAAGTAACCCTCCTCTCTCTCCCATGCTGCCCGATGCCCCATACAGGCCATTGTAAGTACCATGGGCCCAGGATGGCACCCCCTACCCTCACCCTGGGAAGGAAGAATTAGGGCCTCTCTGGATCCCCCACTCACCTTGCCTCTTCTCTCTCCCAGTCCATTTTGCTGAAAAGGAAGCTGGAGGAACATTTGTAAGTCGCAGAAAGAGGGAACTCCTCGTGGGGGCATGGATTTGATATTAGTGGGGAGTTTCTTAGGCATGTGCCACCATGCCTGGCTGATTTTTTATATTTTTAGTAGAGACGGGGTTTCACTATGTTGGCCAGGCTGGTCTCGGACTCCTGACCCCAGATGATCCACCCGCTTTGGCCTCCCAAAGTGCTGGGATTACAGGCATGAGCCACCGCGCCTGGCCTGCTTTCTTTTCTTTTACCTGTCTGCTATTGAAGAGATTTGTATTCTAGAAAGATCCCTGGCTGCTGGATGGAGTGCTTGAGAGTAGAAGAAGCTAGCAAGGGAAGATGGTGGCTGAACCAGCTTGGGAGCTGTGGGATGGGAAGAAGTGGACAGCAGGGGCTGTTCCGGGGCATACCTGCTAAGGGTGCGGAGGGTTGTGGCTCTGACAGCTGTGGAGCCGGTGGGACCAGGGCACACAGCCCCAGGCATGAGGGGCAGGCAGAGAGGGCTCTGTGGCCATGTAGGGGCATTTCTGGCTGGCGGGGAGGTCTGTGGCTACCACTGGGACAAAAGAGAAGCCAGCCCGGAGGTCAGCCCACTGCTGCTCATCCCCGGCCCACAGGCAGAAGCTTCATGAGGCAGATCTGGAGTTGCAGAGGAAGCGGGAGTACATTGAGGAGCTGGAGCCACCCACTGACAGCAGCAGTAAGTAGGACCTAGTGACCAGAGGGTGGGGAGATCCCAGAGCCCAGCAGCGTGGAGCTGATGGGCCACCTCTTCCGCCAGCAGCCCGGCGGATCGAGGAGCTGCAGCATAACTTGCAGAAGAAGGACGCGGACTTGCGGGCCATGGAGGAGCGATACCGCCGCTACGTGGACAAGGCCCGCATGGTGAGGACGCTGGGTGTTCCCACAAGTTGCCTGCCCTGGCTTCTTACTTTTTGTGCCTCCTATTGAGTCAAACCTCCTGCTTGCACATCTGTGCCCCCAACTCATACCTGTCATACCCCACCATAAGACAGACTTCTGCATGATTCCCCACTGCTACTGATTGTCACATTAAAATACTGCACAGCTGGCTGGGTGCCGTGGCTCATGGCTGTAATCCCAGCACTTTGGGAGGTCAAGGCAGGCGGAACATGAGGTCAGGAGTTTGAGACCAGCCTGGCCAACATGGTGAAACCCCATCTCTACTAAAAATACAAAAATTAGCTGGGCATGGTGGTGGGTGCCTGTAATCCCAGCTACTCAGGAGGCTGAGGCAGGAAAATCATTTGAACCCGGGAGGCGGAGGTTGCAGTTAGCTGAGATTGTGCCACTGCGCTCCAGCCTAGGCGACAGGGCAAGAGTCCATCTCAAAAAAAAAAAAAAAAAAAAAAAAAATTACGCACAGCCAGGCGCAGTGGCTCACGCCGCTAATCCCAGCACTTTGGGAGGCTGAAGCAGCTGATCCCTTGAGGTCAGGAGTTCGAGAGCAGCCTGGCCAACATGGCGAAACCCCGTCTCTACGAAAAATAGAAAAATTAGGCGGGATTGGTAACATGCGCCTGTAATCCCAGCTACTCGGGAGGCTGAGGCAGGAGAATCACTTGAACCCGGGAGGCAAAAGTTGCAGTGAGCTGAGAGTGCGCCACTTCACTCCAGGCTGGGCAACAGAGCCAGACTCCATCACAAAAATAAAAATAAAAATAAAGTAAAAATAAAGTACTGGCTGGATGGGCACAATGGCTCATGCTTGTAACCTCAACACTTTGGGAGGCTAAGGCAGGAGAATTGCTTGATGCCAGGAGTTCAAGACCATCCTGGGCAACATAGGGGGACTCTGTCTCTATAATGAATGAAAGAATGAATGAATACACACACCCCAGTATGTCCCAGGGGGTTTCAAGGCCAAAGTCACCTGGCTATGACTTCCTCAACCTGTAGGTCATGCAGACCATGGAACCCAAGCAGCGGCCAGCTGCGGGGGCACCTCCAGAACTCCATTCCCTGAGGACACAGCTCCGAGAACGGGATGTCCGCATCCGACACCTGGAGGTGGGTGTCCTCGTCCCTTTACGCTGCCTCCAACGTATCTAGGCCCCTGACACTTGCCTCCTTGACAGATGGACTTTGAGAAAAGCCGAAGTCAGCGGGAGCAGGAAGAAAAGCTGCTCATCAGTGCCTGGTATAATATGGTAAGTGTGGGGTCTGGGCTCTAAGATCTCATGGGTAGAATATTGGTGGGGGGGTCCTGTGAGCTCACCTGACCCCAACCACACCTCCTCCTGAAGGGCATGGCCTTGCAGCAGCGAGCTGGGGAGGAGCGGGCGCCTGCCCATGCCCAGTCATTCCTGGCACAGCAGCGGCTGGCAACCAATTCTCGCCGTGGACCCTTGGGACGCCTGGCATCTCTGAACCTTCGCCCCACTGACAAGCACTGACAGACCTCACAATCAAGCCAGCCTGGGCTCCACCCACCCTGGCTTCCTCCAGCTCACATGGCGCCCAGCACTGGGCTTCAGCCAGGTGCTCGAGAGCTTTGAGGCCATGATCTCTGCTCTTCCCTCTCCCAGATTGGTGGGGAGGGAGGGCGGGAGGTAGATATAGGCCTGTTCTTTTTAGCAATGTGATTCTTGTTGTTGATTCTCTCTCTGGAGTTCATGTGCTGCCTCAGGAGACTCTGATTTTATATTTGAGAAAAATAAAGGCGTTCAATCTGCCCTGGCTGTGCTCTGGGCACCAAGGTGAGGGAGAGAAAGTGGGCCAGAGGCTTAGCCCATTGCTTTTAAGAAAAGCTTAGCGGCCAGGTACGGTGGCTCACGCCTGTAACCCCAGCACTTTGGGAGGCTGAGGCGGGTGGATCACCTGAGGTCAGGAGTTTGAGACCAGCCTGGCCAACATGGCAAAACCCCTCCTCTACTAAAAATACAAAAATTAGCAGGGCATGGTGGTACATGCCTGTAATCCCAGCTACTCGGGAGGCTGAGGTGGGAGAATCGCTTGAACCTGGGAAACAGAGGTTGTAGTGAGCTGAGATCATGCCATTGCACTCCAGCCTGGACAACAGAGCAAGACTCCATCTCAAAAAGAAAAAGAAAGAAAAGCTTGGCTTGCATTCTTACTAAAATGTGAGTGACCAATAGCACCAACCAGAGGTAGGTGAGGATCACGTTTGTGTGTCTGTGAATGTGTGGTGGTTTTGTTTTTTGGTTGTTGTTGCTTTTTTTTTTTTTTTTTTTTGAGATGGAGTCTCACTCTGTCGCCCAGGCTGGAGTGCAGTGGCACGATCTTGGCTCACTGCAGCCTCTGCCTCCTGGGTTCAAGGGATTTTCCTGCTTCAGCCTCCTGAGTAGCTGGGACCACCTGCGCATGCCACCACGACTGGCTAATTTTTGCATTGTTAGTAGAGACGGGGTTTCACCATGTTGGCCAGGGTGTTCTTGAACTCCTGACCTCAGATGATCCGCCCACCTCAGCCTCCTAAAGTGCTGGGGTTACAGGAGTGAGCCACCACGCCTGGCCACTAAGCTTTTCTTAAAAGCAGTGGGCTAAACCCTGGCCCACTTTATCTCCCTCACCTTGGTGCCCAGAGTTACCAGAGTGAGCCACCACTGTGGAACAATCATAGCTTGCTGCAGCCTGGGCAACAAGAGTGAGACCCCATCGAAAAAAAAAAAGAATAAAAAGGCCCAGAAAGGAGGCCTCACCAAGGAAGTGACATTATTGAAGCAGATACCTGAAGGAGGTGAGGGAGAGGCCATGTAAGTACCTGGGGAAGATCCAGGCAGAACAGTTTGCACAAAGGCCCTGAGATGACACCTCGCTTGGTGTGCTGGAGGGACAGTAAGGGGACCAGAGTGGCTGGAGTGGAGTGAATAAGAAAGCAGAAGGCCGGGCGTGGTGGCTCACGCTCATGCCTGTAATCCCAGCACTTTAGGAGGCTGAGGCTGGCGGATCACAAGGTCAGGAGATTGAGACCATCCTGGCTAACATGGTGAAACCCTGTCTCTACTAAAAATACAAAAAAATTAGCCGGGCGTGGTGGCAGGTGCCTGTAGTCCCAGCTACTCGGGAGGCTGAGGCAGGAGAATGAACCCGGGAGGCGGAGGTTGCAGCGAGCCGAGATTGTGTCACTGCACTCCAGCCTGGGCGATAGAGCAAGACTCCATCTCAAAAAATAAAAGGAAAGCAGAAGGCCGGGTGCAGTGGCTCACGCCTGTAATCACAGCAGTTTGGGAGGCAGAGGCAGGCAGATCACGAGGTCAGGAGATCGAGACCATCCTGGCTAACACGGTGAAACCCGTCACTACTAAAAATACAAAAAAATGCGGCCGGGCACAGTGGCTCACGCCTGTAATCACAGCACTTTGGGAGGCTGAGACGGGCGGATCACGTGAGGTCAGAAGTTTGAGACCAGCCTGACCAACATGGAGAAACGCCGTCTCTACTAAAAAAAAAATACAAAATTAGCCGGATGTGGTGGCATACGCCTGTAATCCCAGTCACTCTGGAGGCTGAGGCACAAGAATCGCATGAATCTGGGAGGCGGAGGTTGTGGTGAGCTGAGATCATGCCATTGCACTCCAGCCTGGGCAACAAGAGCAAAACTCCGTCTCAAAAAAATAATAATAATAAATAAAAATAAAAATACAAAAAAATTAGCCAGGCGTGGTGGCGGGTGCCTGTGGTCCCAGCTACTCGGGAGGCTGAGGCAGGAGAATGGCGTGAACCCGGGAGGCGGAGCTTGCTTGCAGTGAGCCGAGATGGCTCCACTGGCACTCCAGCCTGGGCGATACAGCGAGACTCTGTCTCAAAAAAAAAGAAAAAGAAAAAGAAAGCAGATGAGGGTGGGGAGATTATTCAGGGACTTGTGGGCTGCAGAGAATACTTTAACTTTTATTCTAAGTGCTGTGGGAGCCACGGAAGAGTCTAAGCAAAGGAGGGATGTGACCTGGCTCGGGTGTTCATAGGCGCCCTCTGGTGGCCACTCTGGGAGAAACAGGCTTAGGAGGCCAGGGCCAGAGCTTGAAGACCTGGTTGGTAGTCCAGGTGGGTGGGTGGGTGATAGTGAGGGCTCTGGCCAGGCTGGGGTCCTGGAGGAGTGAGAAATGGTTGGATTCTAGATACGATTTAAAGGCAAAGCTGGCAGGGCACGGTGGCTCACGCCTGTGATCCCAGCACTTTGGCTGGCCAACATGGTGAAACCCTGTCTCTACTAAAAATACAAAAATTAGCTGGGTGTAGTGGGCGCCTGTAATCCAAGCTACCTGGGAGGCTGAGGCAGGAGAATCACTTGAACCCGGGAGGCGAAGGTTGCAGTGAGCCAAGATCATGCCATTGCAATCCAGCCTGGTGACAAGAGTTAAATTCCGTCTCAAAAATAAAATAAAAATAAAGGCAAATCTCGGCCGGGCGCGGTGGCTCACGCCTGTAATCCCAGCACTTTGGGAGGCTGAGGCGGGCGGATCACCTGAGGTCAGGAGTTCGAGACCAGCCCCAACATGGAGAAACCCCGTCTCTACTAAAAATACAAAATTAGCCGGGCGTAGTGGTGCATGCCTGTAATCTCAGCTACTCGGGAGGCTGAGGCAGGAGAATTGCTTGAACCTGGGAGGTGGAGGTTGCAGTGAGCCGAGATCGCGCCATTGCGCTCCAGCCTGGGCAACAAGAGCGAAACTCCGTCTCAAAAACAAATAAATAAATAAAATAAAAATAAAGGCAAAGCTGATAAGATTTGCTGCTGGGTTGGTGTGGCCACTGGGTTGATGTGATGGCCTGTGGCGGGAATAGGAATCCACATGACTTCTTTTGGCCTTATCACCTGGAAGGACAAAGCTAACACACAGGGTGGGGCAGATTGGGGGGCTGATTAGGAGCTGGATTTCAAGTGTGTTATGTTTGAAGTGTCTGTGACATCTCTGCAAGGAGGCATCCAAGAGGCAGTTGGCTTTCTGGGTCTACAGTTAGAGAAGGGATCCTGGCTGGATTTCTTTTTCTTCCTTTTTCTTTTTCAGATGGGGTCTCACTCTGTTGCCACCCAGGCTTGAGTGCAGTGGCACAATCTCACTGCAACCTCCATCTCTCAGGTTCAAGCGATTCTCCTGCTTCAACCTCTGAGTAGCTGAGATTATAGGTGCCCACCACCTCGCCTGGCTAATTTTTGTATTTTTAGTAGAGACGGGCTTTCACCATGTTGGCCAGGCCTGTCTCCAGCTCCTGACCTCAAATGATCCACCCATCTCCACCTCCCAGCTGGGATTACAGGTGTGAGCCCCACTGCAGCACCAGGCCTCTTTTTTTTTTTTTTTTTGAGACAGGGTCTCACTGTGTTGCCCAGGCTGGAGTGCAGTGGCATGACCAGAGCTCACTGCCTTGGCTGGACTTTTATATTCAGGAGTCATCAGGAGTCCGTGTGATATTAAATTAGTAAAACCTGAAGCCCTGAGGGCCTGAGAATGCAGAGGCTTGAGGCAAGAAGAACCCATGATCCTGGGACAGTGGCTGGCTCATTAATGAGTAATGCCAGGGCACTGATGTGGGTGTTTCAGACAGCAGAGTTTGGGAAGAATTAAGCAGGGCACCATCATAAAACCTGGAAGAGGTGAAACCCCGTCTCTACTAAAAATACAAAAAATTAGCCAGGTGTGGTGGTGCGCACCTGTAATTCCAGTTACTTGGGGGACTGAGGCACAAGAATCCCTTGAACCAGGGAGGTGGAGGTTGCAGTGACCCAAGATCGTGGCACTGCACTCCAGCCTGGGTGATGAAGTGAGACTCTGTCTCAAAGGAAAAAAAAAAACCTAGAATAAGCTGGGCCTGGTGGTTGTGGTGGAGGAGGAGGAAGACGAGAAGGAGGAGAAGGAAGAAGAAGAAAGAAGAAACCTGCAGCAGGGCTTGGTGGCTCACGCCTGTAATCCCAGCACTCTGGGGGGCAGAGGTGGGTGGATCACCTGAAGTCAAGAGTTCGAAACCAGCCTGGCCAACATGGTGAAACCCCCCTCTCTACTAAAAATTAAAAAAAGTTAGCTGGGTGTGGTGGTGCGTGCCTGTAATCCCAGATACTTGGGAGGCTAAGGCAGGAGAATTGCTTGGGCCTGGGAGGCAGAGGTTGCAGTGAGCAGAAATCACACCATTGCACTCCAGGCTGGGCAACAGAGAGAGACTCCGTCTCAAAAAAAAAAAAAAAAAAAAGAACCTGCAAGAACTCCCAAATTTTACTTAGGACAATGGATAATGTCTGGCAGGAGAAATCAGACTAACAACGTTTGAGTAAAAATCACTAGCAATTTATTGAGCACCTACTGTATACCAAATGCTTTAATGCCATTCTTTCATCCTCATGACAACTCGAGGAGGTAGTCAGTCACATCTTCACTTGAAGGAAAGAATTCAGGCAGGACACTGATAGAGACCTCTCAGGCAGTGGGGGTTGGGAAGTAGAGCTGGTGGTCAGGGCGGGCTGGTCCAAGAGTCTGGAAGAACTCCCGCCCCTAGCACAGCGCCAAACACATGCGGGCAGCGAGAGCTGGTCAAAAGTGTAGGTGGACTTTACAAAGGCACACGAGGCTTATGCAGACCGGGACACCTGCGTGGGTGCCGTGCAGGGACCTGGTTCCCTGTCCTTAGGGGGCTGGGCTCTAAGATCTCAGGCCAGATTCTCCTCCTCCTCGCCAATAGGGCTGGGCAGCCAGGGTGGCGCCGGACCCCGGGGCCCGGGCATGGTCACGATGCTGAAGGGCTCGACAGGCCCAGGGATGAGGGTAAGCGGTTCGGGACCCGCAGGGGGCGGGGCCTCGGGCTCCGGCAGGCCGGGGTCGAGCAGCGGGTCCCCGCAGCTGCACTCCGGGGCCGCGCCTTCGGGGACAACCGCGCATGAGCAGCTGGCCCCAGTAGACGCCTCCGACACGCAGCTGTTCTTGCGGAGTAGAAAGGACAGGCGCCGGCCCAGCGGGCCTCCCGCGACCATGCCCGCGCCCGCCGGCAGGAGGCGCTGCAGGAAGTCGCCGGGCGCCTCTCCCATCGGTCCATCCAAGCCGTCCAGCCGCTGGAACTGCATGTCTTCTTTGGCCAGCCTGCGGGACCGACAGTGGGCCAGCGCTGCGGCCTCGCCTCTTGTTGACAGAGCAGGGTCCCAGGCGCGCTGATTTCCCTGACTCCACCCACCGCTTTGTCCCACTTATCCCCAAAGATCTTAGCTCCTAAACCCAGAGCCTGGCCTCACCCTGTGTTTGCACTTCAACTTGGATCTTCAACCTCAGTCGTGGCTCAGCCCCATTTCCTTTTTTATTTTTATTTTATTTTATTTTATTTTGAGACGGAGTCTCGCTCTGTTGCCCAGGCTGGAGTACAGTGGCGCAATCTCGGCTCACCACAACCTTCGCCTCCCGGGTTCAAGCGATTCTCCTGTCTCAGCCTCCTGAGTACCTGCGACTACAGGTGCGTGCCACCACACCGGCTAATTTTTGTATTTTTAGTAGAGATGGGGTTTCACCATGTTGGCCAGGCTAGTCTCTAACCCCTGACCTCGTGATCTGCCCACCTTGGCGTGAGCCACCGCACCCGGCCTATTTTTATGTTTTGAAATGCAGTTTTACTCTTGTGGCCCAGGCTGGAGTGCAATGGCGCAATCTCGGCTCACTGCAACCTCTGCCTCCCAGGTTCAAGTGATTCTCCTGCCTCAGCCTCCCGATTAGCTGGGATTACAGGCGTGAGCCACCAAGCCCGGCTAATTTTGTATTTTTAGTAGAGACAGGGTTTCACTATGTTGGCCAGGCTGGTCTCGAACTCCTGACCTCAAGTGATCCACCTGCCTTGGCCTCCCAAAGTGCTGGGATTACAGGCATAAGCCACTGCGCCTGGCCTTTATTTTCATTTTTTGAGACAGGCTCTTGCTCTGTTGCCCAGGCTGGAGTGCAGTGGTGTCATTATGGCTCACTGCAGCCTCGAACTCCTCGACTCAAGCAATCCTCCCACCTCAGCCCCTGAATAGCTGGGACTACAGGCGTGCACCACCACGCTTGGCTAATTTTTTATTTTTAGTAGAGACGGGGGTCTCACTATGTTGCCCAGGCTGGTCTGAACTCCTGGGCTTGCTCAAAGGATCCTCCTGCCTCAGCCTCCCAAAGTACTGGGATTACAGGCGTGAGCCAGTGCTCCTGGCCTCAGCCCTCATCTCCTTTGGAATCACCACTGACCGGTCTGATCCTCGCTGACCTCAGCCCTTAGCTCTGTCCCCAGTCAGTGGCCCAGTCTCAGACCTTGACCTTGTCCCCTGACTCCTATCTTAGCTTCTGGCGTTATCACAGTCCTGAGACTTTAGCTCTTATCCCCATCTCCAGAATTGATTCCACTTAACCTTTTCAATCAGATGTGCCCCGCAGAGCCATAAGCCCTGCCCCAGGCGGCCCTGCCCACCCAACTGGCTCACGTGATGTCAAAGGTGGAGCCCTGGAAGGAAGGCTGCCGCAGCTGGAAGACAGTAGCCGCTGTGTATGGGGCGCGAGCCTCGGCTGCATCCCAGTACAAGTCCTTCTCCAGCACAGCCAGGTCATCATACATCTCGTCCACTGCCAGCATGGACACCTACGGGTGCAAACACACAGGGTAAAGTGGGGGCAGGGCAACCCGCCGGGACCACAGGGTGGACCCCTTCGGGTGGGTGGGGACCACAGAGGGAAGGATGGTTGGGGTGAGACCTGGCAAGACTTGGCAGGGGTGGGACCAGAACCCTGTTGGGCACTCCGGGATGGTCGCCACCTGGAAGTCTCACCTGGAAACTGAGTCTCACCTGGAAGTTTCTATCGATCAGAAAGTTGGTCTCAAAGTCATCATCGTCCTCTCCGAAGGGGTTGATGAGCTGCTCAGCTACCTGAGAGGAGAGGGAGCAGTTAGGTGGAAACTTGGGAACCCCATGCCCGCCCCACCCACGAAATTCCAGCCTGGATCACCCACCTACCTTGAGCCAGCCGGCGTAGAAGAAGAACTGCAAGAGGGTGAAGATGGGCACACACAGGTCTAGGTCGTGGTCTTTGTAACCCTGAGCCGGGTCCAGGAACTGGCGACCAATGAGGCAAGCCAGGAAGTAGCTGTACAGTGCGATGGTCACCACCTGGGCAGGGCGGGGCAGGGCTCAGGGGGGTCATTGGGGTCCAAGGCTAGGATTAGGCATCATTATGATGGGGGTCTTAGCTAGTTCTTGGTTTCCCCTTGGAAACCAGGCATCAGGGCCACTGACACCGAATATAAAAAGAGGCATGATGGGGTTACCTGCGTGTACACGAGGGGTACGCTAATCCAGTCATAGTGAAAGAGCATTCCACATTTGCCCCGAAAAACATTCAGCTCCTGGGGGTGGATACAGGTCATGAGGAGGCCTGAATGGTGAGCTCACACAGGGATATTAAGTGTAGGTACGTGGGATGGAGGTGGGTGGTCACCTGGTGGGAATTGGGAGTGTGCTTTGGGGGTTCCAGGGAGGGTATTTGGTGGTGAGTGTGCACCTGGATGAGGTACCATGCACCCAGGAGCTGCCCCTCAAGGGCATTGGAATCAGCCCCATGGAGGTAAGAGTGCACCTGGTGAGGGTGTTTGAAATCGGCCTCGTGGGGGTGCTTGGAGGGCCGCCGTTGACACAGCTCCAGGGGTACAATTTCCCTGGTATTCTATATGAATGACCTCCTGGTTGGGCCCACCTCGAGCAGCAGCTTAAGGGCGCTGTTGTCGCGGATGCGGCCCTCGCGTCGGGCCTGTGCCGCCAGGTTGGAGAACCAGACGCAGGGCACCCAGTACTTGTTGTAGGATGAGTTCAGGTTTTCAAACTTCTTGCGCTCCTCGCGGGTCATAAACCCTGGAGGAAAGGGGTCAGGGATAGCTCGCCCCTTGCCCCCCTCCACCTGGTCCTTGCCCGGTCTCTGCCCTGCCTCTGGCCGAGTACTCACCAGCCTCCACCACGTGGTCTATGGTGGGGAAGCGCTTGAACACCGCGGTGCTGACGGAGCGCAGGATGAGCACGGCCGAGAGCCCTGCGTAGCGCATGAGTGTGCGCCGGTAGAGGCGGCCGCGGTCGTCGCGTCCGTGCACGGTGCCCGCCACCACGCACATGAGCGCGTCGGGCAGCGGCATGCATAGGTACTGGCTCCACCAGCGGTTCACCACCAGCGTCACATAAAAGCCTGCAGGGGAGCGGGGAATGGGGGCTCAGTGGGGACACCAGGGCCAGGGGTTTGGGGGCCCAGGTTGTGGGAGAGGGGGCAACGTAAGGTCTGCATCAGGGAAACCCGAGCGTGCTGGCCAACCTGACCACGTTTGGGCTGGGAACTTGGGGGTCCAGCCCTGAGGTCAGAAAGGACAGTTGCCGGGCGCGGTGGCTCACGCCTGTAATCCCAGCTCCTTGGGAGGCTGAGGAGGGTGGATCATGAGGTCAGGAGTTTGAGACCAGCCTGACCAGCATGGTGAAACTCCGTCTCTACTAAAAATACAAAAATTAGCCGGGCATGGTGGCGCACCTGTAGTCTCAGCTATTCAGGAGGCTGAGGCAGAAGAATCACTTGAACCCGGGAGGCGGAGGTTGCAGTGAGCTGAGATCGCACCATTGCACTCCAGCTTGGGCAACAGAGCGAGACTCCATCTCAAAAAAAAAAAAAAAAAAAAAAAAAAAAAAAGGCAGAGCAGCCCTTTGGGTCACTGGCTACTTGGGAGTCACCTCAGATGTGACATTGGGATCCCAGTATGGGGATAGAGGCACAGAGCCCATGTTAGGGGCACGTGGGCAGACTGTTGCTTGCTGTGAAGGCATAGGGACCTAAAACAAGGGGAGAGGGGCCTGGTTTGTGGGGGTGTACATCAGAGACATCTGGTCAGGCTTGTCACAGTAGCCACACCCGGCCCCTGAGCCAGGAACTTCTGAAGGGGTTGGGGACAGGGTCTACATCAGGGAGCCTTGGGCAGGCTAGGGTCACTTGTGGTCACTAGGGGTCCAAGACTTGTCAGAGAAATGCCCCCAGGCTGGAATTGAGAGGATGGAGTCCTATGGGGTCCCTGGAGGGTTAGGGGTTTGTCCCCCCTAATAACACAACAGACACTGGTGAGAATCCCCAGGGTGACCAGGAATAAGTCCTGTGTGTGAGATGGAGCTCTCCTGGGGGCACCTCAGGGGGCACTGTGACCCCAGGTGACACCCCAGGTCTCAGAGTGTAGAGCCACATCTGGCATCTTCATGATATGGATCCAAAAATGGGTGGGCAGTGCTGTCGGGGTTGGATTTGAGGGGGGGGATCTCAGAGGGGCAGGAATGGGGGCTCCTCAAAAGGCATGAATGGATATGGGTTTCTCAGGGACATGGGAACGGGGGACTTGGGGTTGGACCGCACCAAGCACGAAGGAGACAGGGATGAGGCTGGCATACTGGTCACAATAAATCACAAGCTTCTCGAAGTAGCGCTTCTGCCCTTCGGTCAGCACAAAGCTGCGGGATAGAGATGAGGGGTCACAGGTCACAAGGGTGACTCCATCCCCAGCTTCAGATCTCTCTTGCTGTGCCCCTCACCCTGGCTTCTTTTATAATAGCTGCCCCCAGCCGGGTGCTATGGGTCACACCTGTAATCCCAGCACTTTGGGAGGCCGAGGCAGGAGGATCACTTGAGGTCAGAAGTTTGAGACCAGCCTGGTCAACACGGTGAAACCCCATCTCTACTAAAAATACAAAAAAATTAGCCAGGCATGGTGGCTGGCACCCATAATCCCAGCTACTCGGGAGGCTGAGGCAGGAGAATCGCTTGAACCCGGGAGGCAGAGGTGGAAGTAAGAGAAGATTATGCCACTGCACTCCAGCCTGGGTGACAGAGTGAGACTCCATCTCAGTTTAAAAAACATAGATATATATACTTATATATCTCTATATTTTTATAATTTTTATATATTATATATATATAATAGCTGCCCCCCCTCCGCTAGAACATGAGCACCTCAGGGCAGCCTCACCGGTAGGCAGCACTCAGCGCCATGTAGAACCCAAGGAAGCAGAGCAGCTCTCGCCACAGGAGTTTGTAGATGCTCCCACGCCACAGTAGCAGCAGCTGGGAGAAGCCACCGAAGCGGGCGTTCGCCACTCGGGCTGTGTAGGTGACGGTCATCGTGGCACCCGGCAGGTGTGGCCAAGGGAGAGTGGGTGGCCCGGGTGGGGGCTGCGGGTGTGGGTGGAGAGGTGCGGGGATAACTGAGCACAGGGATTCCACCCATGTTCCGGCCCGCCACCCCTTCAGTCCTGACCCTTGCCTGAGTTGCCTTCTCCTCCCAGCTTTACTCAGTCTAGTCCAGCCCCCAGTGCCCCTCCCTGACCTTCATCTCAGGCTGTCCCCTTCCCTGGACTCCTGGCCGTGGGCTCTGGTAACTGCCGTCCCCCACCACCAAGACCCTTGAGTCCCTGCAGTCAGCTCCCGAGTCACCCTCTGCCCGATCCCCTTCACCCAGAGGCCACCTGTAGCATGCCCCATTCCGCAAGTCCCCAGCACCTGAGTTTCTAGGTTCTCAAGGCTCCACCTCTCCCAAATTCTCTCCCTCAGCCCCTATTTCTGGCTCCCCCTTCTCCACTTCCCCAGCTCCCAGTCTTGACCCATTCTGCTCCCTGCACTCCCTCTGAAGCCCTGTCCCTAAGCCTCCAGGTCCCCTAGCCCCCCTGCCCCAGCCTGTGCACCTTCTGCTTAATTGCCCTGGCTCCCCCCACTCCCTTTTCCTCCCGGATCCGCCTTGACCTTTCCTCTCTCCGTTCCCCTCCAGCCTTCCAAGCCCTCCACTCCCCGCCCCGGGAGGACTCCGGATGCATTCCTGCCCGCAGGTTCCCTCTTCCCTCAGGGCCCCCTATTTCCCCAAGCCTGGGCTCATCTCACCTGTGTTGAAGGTGGCCGGTGCAAGGACCCACAGGGACAGGGATGGAATGGGCGGGTGGCTTTGGCGTTGGGTGGGGCTGGGGAGTGGGCGTGCCTCCCTTTCCTGGTCCTCCTCCCTCGGCTAGGCTGTAGCTTCAGAATTTTGTTTGGAGTCCCACAAGTTTGTTACCTGGTACGGGGGGAGAAATCCGCCTTGTCCTCCCTCGCCCCTCCCTGTTCCCCTCCCAGTCGCTCACTGGCAGGTCCTAGGGATCTGGAACCCAGAGGTTGGGGGAGGAGGCAGGGATGGTCTTTTTCCCAGTCCCAGAAACACACACACTGCTCAGTGAGGCTGGGTCACTTCACAGTCACCTGTAATCACACAGTGTCACAGAGATGCACGCAGAAACACACATCATAGTCCCAGAAGCAAATCTAGCTGCTCTTAAGACAGCCTCAGCCAGGCACGATGGCTCACACTTGTAATTTTAGCACTTTGGGAGGCTTAGGTGGGAGGATCACTTGAGCCAGGAGTTCGAGACCAGCCTGGGCAACATAGGGAGATCCCCATCTCTATTGAAAAAACAAAAAGACAGCCTCACATAACTATGGTTACCCAGAGGAGCAGTACACACTGTCACAGAACCTTCCAGGGTCACACAAGACACACCTACCTCGACCCCTCCTGCCTCCATCACGCATATATAAGGCAGGTGGACCCTGACATACTAGGCTCTCCTCTTTCATACACACGGCTCTCCCAACGGTCTGAATTCCGTCATGATCACGCCATGTAACAAAGACACCCACACAACCAGCCAAGTGCCAGACCCCACCCAGACCTCAGAATGCCTTCACACACACAGTCATACTCCACTGCAAGGAGGTTTTACTCCCGATCTTCCCTGTGCAAAGATGCAGCCATGATCACACACCAAATGCAAAAACCCTTTCCTCAGTGCGGTGGCACACAATCCCAGGCTCAGAGCGGGGCCTGAGGTTCACCAATCTTGCAAAGACACACACAACAGCCACCCCTCCCTCAAGGGTCCCCTAGCTATCACCGCTGGTGAAATTCACCAGCATTTGTACACCAATATGTGAAGGCAACCCCCTTTCCAACGCTCCCTCCCGGCGGCAGGCCCACACCCACACCCACAGGTCTCAGATACTCTCAGCATTGCCATGAACACACAAGCTTGGGGACACAAAACCTTGTCCTGCATTTGGCATGGATTCTGGGCAGATGTTCATTCTTCACAGACACACCTCTAAAGGGGACACTCCCAGCCTGGTACAAACAGTACCCACTCCCCCTCCATTGCCCAGCCTGAAGAACATTAACACACAGATTGGTGTGGGAGGGGCAGAAGTTCAGGGGTCAAACCCTGGGATGGGCATCCTAGAGTGCTCAGGAGCCCCTCGTGCATTCTACATAGCCCCGCCCGAGGTTCCAAGCCCAGCAGGCTGGGACGCCGTGTTCCCAGACTGGCAGATGTTCACCCTGCCCGGAGTAATTAGGAACCCGCCTGGGCTGGTCACCCTGTGACCCATGCCTTCGCTGTCCAGCTGCCGGACAGCCCATAAATGGGGGCGAGGGGGCAGCTGGGGCGGTGCCGTCAGCTGCGGAACCTGGCAAGGCGGTGGCAGGCTCGGTGCTGATGAGCTCAGTTCTCGATCAGCAGCCCTCACTCCCTAGGAAGTGTCCTTGCATTCACTGAAGCCCGCTCCTCCTTTTCATCCTCCCTACCCCAGCTCACCCGCATCCCCACACACTTCCGACTGCTGAATTCCCGCAGGGGCTGGGGGCAGGCTTCCTGGGCTATTTGATATGCTTACTAATTGTGACAACGAAAAATAACAAACATTTCTTGCGGTTTCCTGTCTGGTGCTGGTATAAACGCCTTGCGTGTTTCATCTCATGGAATCCTTACGGGCATGCTAAGTTGGTCATCTTACTATCTAAGTAGGGAAACTGAGGCTCCGATGTCACATCTCATCTTGTTCGTAGCACAGCTGGGATTTGGATCCTGGCAGTTTGGCGCGGAGCCGGCTGTACCATCGTGTTTGTTTACACATGCCACCCCAACAGGCCCACACCTGCTTGTGCACACCCCAGGGAGTTGGAGTGACAAGTCTAGGCTCCTGGTGGGGTTCCCCTTACACACACACCCTGGCACACCCAGACTCTGGGTCTGAACACTTTTTTTTTGAGACGGAGTCTCACTTTATTGCCCAGGCTGGAGTGCAATGGCGCAATCTCGGCTCAGTGCAACCTCTGCCTCCCAGGTTCAAGTGATTCTCCTGCCTCAGCCTCGCAAGTAGCTGGGATTATAGGTGGGCACCACCACGCCTGACTAATTTTTGTCTTTTTAGTAGAGAGTAGTTGGAGGCTGGCCTCCAACTCCTGACCTCGTGATCCACCTGCCTCGGCCTCCCAAAGTGCTGGGATTACACGCGTGAGCCACCATGACTGGACCTGAACACCACTTTTGTTTTTTGAGACAGGGTCTTACCCTGTCTTGGCTCACTGCAACCTCTGCCTCCGGGGTTCAAGCGATTCTCCCACCTAAGCCTCTGGAGCAGCTGGGACTACAAGCACCCCAACACCATGCCCGACTAATTTTTGTATTTTAAGTAGAGACGAGGTTTCGCCATGTTGGCCAGGCTGGTCTTGAACTCCTGGCCTCAAGTGATCCACCCACCTCGGCCTCCCAAAGTGCTGGGATTACAGGTGTGAGCCACCGCGCCCGGCCTGAACACCGACTCACGTGTGTCCTCAGGAACCCCCTTTCTGTCCCCCCTAGCCAGCTCTGGCTTGGAACTTGTAAACTCTCAAGGTCATACCCCATCCTGAGTCTCCCAAGTGGGGACAACAATAGCAGCCCAGGCAGTGGCAGAGGGAGGAGCGAAGGGCAGGGGATAAGGGGGTCCACTAGGTGCCTTCCAGGCCTGTGTGCCCACAGCCTGAGACCGCTCTGGAGTCAGGATGAGACTTCAGGAGCCCCTCCAGCCGGAGTCCTCTGTCACCCTGCCCACTAACCAGCCCCCTTGCTGCAGCCCTTTGCTGGGAGGGGCTGATGCCATCCCATGGGGGCAGGAATTGGGGGGTGGAGACTGTTAATCCCCAGTCTGGCAGGCCTGGCCTCTCCCCAGGGCGCCCACTAATTCCCAAACCAAACAGCAGGCAGTGCCGGGCCCACTGCCGGCCTAATCTGCTCTGCTCCCCACCAGCCTGGGGCTGGCCAAGGGGCCTCCCAGTTCCCACGCTCTGAGCCTCCAAGGAAGTGGGAAAATGCCTCTGTCTTCCATTCCAGGCTTCACAGGCCCAACAGGGACACCTTAACCCACACAGAATGAGACAAAGGTATCTCTCACCCAAGACACCCTCCTTCCAAAGTTGCCACAATAAACATGCATCTCTATTAGGTCTCTGTTGTGAATGGGCCCCTCTAGATGTGACACTTCTGTCCAGTGCACAACCTGTGCAACTGTACATAAAGGTGCTTACCCTCACCTCCCAATGTCAACAATACAGCAGTTTAAGATCATTTTATTGAAGAGCAAGAGGTGGGAGAGGTAGGGGGCAACTACAGCTCCCCACCAGCCCCACCAGGGGGAATGGACCCCTCCCTGCCTCCTGCCCAAGTGGCTCCCCCTGTATTATGGGGGGGACTTTGTGCAAACTCTGCCCCGAGGGGGTGGGGAGGGTGGAGGGTGAGTGTGAAATGGCAGCGGTTGGGGCTGGCAGCTGTGCTACTGGGCACTGGGGGGCTTGTAGGGCTCCAGGAGGAGGGCCGAGAAGGTGTTGACCTTGTCTGCCCCCCGCACCTCATGGGGTAACAGCGGCAGCTTCACGATGTGGAAGTCTTCATACAGGTCCTCCATCTGCAGCCAGGGCAGAGGGTAGAAGGCAGTGGTCAGGGGGCAGGAAGGCAGAGACAGAGTGTGGATCAATAGAAGCGGTAAAGCTAGAAAGCTTCCAGAGTCAGGGAGAGAATATAGGGCAGGAGCTTAAGGTGTCATAAGTGGGAGCTGCATCACTATGGTCAGAGATCACTGGGCTAGACCCCCTGCTCTCCAGGGTCACAGGGACCTAGGCCAGGCCAGCCACAGTCCTCTATGGCCGGAATAAGGGTGAAGGATCTGAAATGTGGGGGCAAAGGGCAGGAGGCTAGAGGGCAGAGGGCCAGATGGTGGAGCAAAAGATCAGAGAATAAAGGGGCAGAGGTGCCTCTGCTGAGCCAGTGCTGGGTGGGTGGGCACACCTGGTCCAGATACTTGGCCTGGATCTTGTGACGGGCCTCACACATCTTGCAGGGCTTCTCGGGGTCGGGGAAGACGAGCTGGTTGACAATTATATTGTGTGTGTCAATCTTGCACTTGGCCAGCTCCTGGATCAGCCTCTCTGTCTCATACAGGGACAGGAACTCAGCAATGCATACGCAGATGAAAGTTGTCTGCTCCTACAGGGCACGAGAGAGGACAGTGAGGGGCGGGGTCTGCCCCTGTCCTCAGCCCCCGGGCCTCTCACCGCCAGCCAGACCACCACTCACAGGGTCCTTGAACTGTTCGCTGACTGAGCGGATGACGGGCAGCGTCTCCTCCAGCTTGGAGGCCAGCTGGTCTGCGTTCATGTCCCCCAGGCCCAGCATGTTGCACATCTGCAGGGGGGATGTGGGAGGGCTCATAGCTTACCTGCGGCGACCTCCTGGGTTGGGGGTTCACTAAACACCCGAGGGATGACTCCTGATACCTCCCAGTGGTTAAAGGCTCAGGCCCATAAGCAGATTCCTGGGGTTGGTCAAATACTAGCTTTTCCATTTCTTTCTTTCTTTTTTTTTTTTTTTTGAAATGGAGTCTCACTCTGTTGCCCAGGCTGGAGTACAATGGCGTGATTTTGGCTCACTGCAACCGCCGCCTCCTGGGTTCAAGCGATTCTCCTGCCTCAGCCTCTTGAGTAGCTGGGATTACAGGCGCGCACCACCATGCCCGGCTAATTTTTGTATTTTTAGTACTGGTGGGGTTTCACCATTTTGGCCAGGCTGGTCTTGAACTCCTGACCTCAGGCAATCCACCTGCCTCGGCCTTGCGAAGTCCTAGGATTACAGGCATGAGCCACTGCGGCCGGCCTCAGCTTTGCCATTTTTAGGGAACCATAGCTAAGGGGCTTGACCCTCCTGGAGCCTCAGTTTCCCCATCTCTAAACTTTACCTCCCAGATCTGTTGTACCAGATGAGCTGAAGCATATAATGTGCTGAGAATAGTGTCTGGCACACAGTAAGTGCTCAGTGTTACCACCTGAGGCACAGGTCCCCACAGGGGACACGCACACACCCACACGTGCACATACACCATGGTGGGTGGTGCTGGTGGTGTGCAGCACTGTGGGGGCTTTAGGGTTGTCATCGTAATAATAACCCATGGGGGCTGGGCACAGTGGCTCATGCCTGTAATCCCAGCACTCTGGGAGGTCGAAGTGGGTGTACTGCTTGAGGCCAGGAGTTCAAGACCAGCCTGGGCAACATGGCAAAACCCTATCTCTACAAAAAGTACAAAAATTAGCTGGGCATGGTGGTACATGTCTGTAGTCCCAGCTACTTGGGAGGTAGAGGCACGAGAATCACTTGAACCCACGAGGTGGAGGTTGCAATGAGCCAAGATCGCACCACTGCACTCCAGCCTGGGTGACAGAGCGAGACTCCGTCTCGAATAATAATAATAATAACCCATGGGGCACTCTCATGATCTCCATTTGCAAGACAAGGAAGGTGAGGCCCAGAGAGGTGAAGTGATTTGCTTGAGGTCACACAGCAGTTGGGTCACATGGTGAGTGTAGAGGGTTTGAAGGCAGGTTGCCTGGTTCTGGAATGTGCTTTCTGGCTCTGTCTAGGGTATTTAGCGGGCAGGGGCAGGGACACTGAGTCCTGCCTGTGGGGGAGGAAAGACAGCTCCGTCCCATCCCCTCCAGGGAGAAGTCCAGAGTGAGAAGGGGTGGGAAGGAAAGGGAATTGTTAGTGCGCATTTGAGGGTCTGGGGGCCCGGGCCTACTCCCACTCCCGGCTGCCTGGATGGTGCAGGTGGGGGCCCCCGCCGCCTGCCTGTGAGATGAAAGGGCTGATCTGGTTCTTGATCTGCATAAGCCGGCCCAGGCCCCGCTCCACGATGGTGGGGAAGTTGAGCAGCCTCAGGGTGTGGCCCGTGGGTGCCGTGTCAAATACCACCACCGAGAAGTTCATGCCCTTCACCAGCCTGAGGGGAGACAGGGGTCAGGCCCTCTGTGTCCGCTCTTCCCCTTCCCCAGGCAGCCCCCACCCCTGCTGGCTGGGCCTGACCTCATGACCTCGGCATAGCTCATGGCCTCATCGATGCCGGGAAATGCGCTCATGGCCTCCTGCATCATCTTCTTGCCCATGCTCAGCATGTTGTCCTCCTCGAAGAACTCGTCAGGCAGCTCCGCCACGCCCAGGCTGGGGTCAATCTCCTGGGGGCCAAAGGGATGAGACTGAGGTTGCTGCTACTGCTGGGGGAGCCTTCCCACCTGGGCACAGGGCCAGGGGGAGCCTTCCTACCCGGGCACAGGGCCAGAGGGAGCCTGTGGTGGGCTGTGACCACAGGCATTTCATTAGGTCACGGCTGGGGGGACCCTGAGGTAGTACTTAGGGTTTTGTATGGTTGCATAAAGGGTCAAAAACAAGGGGAAAATTGCAAGCTGTGCCCAGGGCCCTCAAAGGGAAGCTGAAACCCACTGCGGGCCATTTACACTGCTACTCCCCACTTGCAACCTGCCACTTGCAACCCCAGATACTCCCATGACTGGGCCATGACCTCTTCCGGATCATCATCCCTCCACTGAGAGACTCCCTGACCACCCTAAGTAACAGCACAGATCCACCGACACCCCTGCCCTGCCTTCCTTTCTCCTTAAGGTTTAGCCCTTAGGAGCTGGGCAGGATAGCTCACGCCTGTAGTCCCAGGTACTCAGGAGAATGAGATGGGAGGATCGCTTGAGCCCAGGAGTTGGACACCAGCCTGGGCAATATAGCAAGACCTATCTGAAAAAAAAATTAGCCCTTCCTCACATCCCTCATGATTCCCTTATCATGTTTATCATCTGTCTCCATAGCAGGAATGTCTGCCCCTCAGGGGCAGGGGTTTTACCATCTAGTTCACTGCTGTGTCCTTAGCGCTTAGCATGAACAGTGCCTGGCACAGAGGTCGTCAGCACATATGGGGAATCCAGCCAGGCGCGGTACCTCATGCCTGTAATTCCAGCCCTTTGGGAAGCGGAGGCGGGCAGATCACCTGAGGTCGGGAGCTTGAGGCCAGCCTGGCCAACATGGTGAAACCCCGTCTCTACTAAAAATACAAAAATTAGCCATGCATAGTGGCGGGTGCCTATAATCCCAGCTACTCTGGAGGTTGAGGCAGGGGAATCGCTTGAACCCGGGAGGCAGAGGTTACAGTGAGCCGAGATCACGCCATTACACTCCAGCCTGGGTGACAGAGGGAGACTCTGTCTCAAAAAACAAACAACAAAACAAAACACAAACATGTATGTAGAATCTATGAAGGGATGGCCATGGCTGGGGTCCCTGGCCAGTCTCAGACTCAATGCCTCCCTCTTTTTTTTTTTTTTTTCCCGAGATGGAGTTTTGATCTTGTTGCCTAGGCTGGAGTGCAGTGGCGCGATCTCAGCTCATCACAACCTCCACCTTCTGGGTTCAAGCAATTCTCCTGCCTCAGCCTCCCGAGTAGCTGAGACTATAGGCATGCCCCACCATGCCTGGCTAATTTTTTTTTTTTTTTTTTTTTTTGAGATGGAGTCTTGGCCGGGCGTGGTGGCTCACGCCTGTAATCCCAGCACTTTGGGAGGCCGAGGCAGGCAGATCACCTGAGGTTAGGAGATCGAGACCATCCTGGCTAACACGGTGAAACCCCGTCTCTACTAAAAATACAAAAAATTAGCCGGGCGAGGTGGCGGGTGCCTGTAGTCCCAGCTACTTGGGAGGCTGAGGCAGGAGAATGGCATGAACCCCAGGGGGCGGAGCCTGCAGTGAGCTGAGATCACGCCACTGCACTCCAGCCTGGGCGACAGAGCGAGACTCCATCTCAAAAAAAAAAAAAAAAAAAAAAAAGAGATGGAGTCTCGCTCTGTCACCCAGGCTGGAGTGCAGTGAGTAGCTGGGACTACAGGCGCCCGCCACCACACCTGGCTAATTTTTTGTATTTTTAGTAGAGACGGGGTTTCACTGTGTTAGCCAGGATGGTGGCGATCTCCTGACCTCGTGATCCACCCACCTCGGCCTCCCAAAGTGCTGGGATTACAGGCACGAGCCATCACGCCTGGCCATGCCTGGCTAATTTTTGTAATTTTTTTTTTTTCTGAGATGGAGTTTCACTCTTGTTGTCTAGGCTGGACAATGGCGTGATCTTGGCTCACTGCAACCTCCGCCTCCAGGGTTCAAGTGATTCTCCTGCCTCAGCTTCCTGAGTAGCTGGGATTACAGGCATGCGCCACCACCCCAGCTAATTTTGTATTTTTAGTAGAGACGGGGCTTCTCTATGTTGGTCAGGCTGGTTTTCAACTCCCAACCTCAGGTGATCCACCCACCTCAGCCTCCCAAAATGCTGGGATTACAGGTATGAGCCACCATGCCCGGCCAATGCCTCCCTCTTTATCTTCCTCCTCTGTCACCTCTTCTTGGTAACTTCATGGGTCCCATGGGGAAGTACCCAACTCGCTGGCCTTAGGGGTCATTCCCTGTTGGGGAGCTTGCCCACTCATCACTGCACCCTCTTCTTATGCTTCATATATTTTAAGCTTCTTTGGACTACTTCATCCCCTCACCTGGCCCCTGTAAACTGTCAGTGTTCCTCTTGGCTGGCACCCTTATCCAGCCCAGCCTCCACAGGTTCCCTCTGCAAACACTCCCTTTCCCCTTGCTGTTGGCAAAATCCCCCACTCTGGTTACTTCCAGCTTTTTTTTTCTTTCTTTTAGAGATAGCGTCTTGGCCGGGCGCGGTAGCTCACACTTGTAATCCCAGTGTATTAGGAAGCCAAGCCAGGCAGATCATTTGAGGTCAGGAGATTGAAAACAGCCTGGCCAACATGTTGAAACCCCGTCTCTACTAAAAAAAAATACAGGCCAGGCGCGGTGGCTCACGCCTGTAATCCCAGCACTTTGGGAGGCCAAGGCGGGTGGATCACGAGGTCAGGAGATCGAGACCATCCTGGTTAACATGGTGAAACCCCGTCTCTACTAAAAATACTAAAAATTAGCCGGGCATGGTGGCATGCACCTGGAGTCCCAGCTACTCGGGAGGCTGAGGCAGGAGAATCACTTGAAATCGGGAGGAAGAGGTTGCAGTGAACCGAGATTGCGCCACTGCACTCCATCCTGGGCGACAGAATAAGACTCCGTCTCAAAACAAACAAAAAAAACCCCCCCAAAACAAAAATTAGCCGGATGTGGTGGCGGGCGCCTGTAATCACAGCTACTTGGGAGGCTGAGGCAGGAGAATCGCTTAAACTCAGGAGGTAGAGGTTGCAGTGAGCTGAGATCACACCACTGCACTCCAGCCTGGGTGACAGAGTGAAACTCAGTCTCAAAAAAAAAAAAAAAAAAGATACCATCTCATACATAGCTCATTGCAGCCTCAAACTCTTAGGCTCAAATGATCCTCCTGCCTCAACCTACCAACTTACTGGGACTATAGGCACACACCACCATGCCCAGCTAATTTTGTTTGTTTTTTGTAGAGAAAGGGTCTCCCTTTGTTGCCCAGGCTGGTCTTGAACTCCTGACCTCACGTGATCCTCTTGTCTCAGTCTCTGCAAGCACTGAAATGATAGGTATGGCTTTCTAGCTCTTTAGTATCACTGCACTTGAGGGCCGAACACTCCTGAAGAGTATTCCCATCTTGCTCCTCACCCTTTTGGAGACGGAGTCTCGCTCTGTCATCCAGGTTGGAGTACAGTGGCACAATCTCGACTCACTGTGACCTCCGCCTCCCAGGTTCAAGCAATTCTTTGCCTCAGCCTCCCGAGTATCTGGGATTACAGGCGCCCACCACCAGGCCCAACTAATTTTTTTTTTTTGAGATGGAGTGTCGCTCTGTATCCCAGGCTGGAGTGCAGTGGCATGATCTCGGCTCACTGCAACCTCCGTCTCCCAGGTTCAAGCAATTCTCCTGCCTCAGCCTCCCGTGTAACTGGGACTACAGGTGCCGGCCACCACGCAAGGCTAATTTTTGTATTTTTAGTAGAGACGGGGTTTCACCATATTGGTCAGGCTGGTCTCGAACTCCCGACCTCAGGTGATCTGCCCGCCTCAGCCTCCCAAAGTGCTGGGATTACAGGCGTGAGCCACCGTGCCTGGCTTATTTTTGTATTTTTTTTTTTGAGATGGAGTCTTGCTCTGTCACCCACGCTGGAGTGCAGTGGCGCGATCTAGGCTCACTGTAAGCTCCACCTCCCGCGTTCACGCCATTCTCCTGCCTCAGCCTCCCGAATAACTGGGATTAAAGGCACCCGCCATCACGCCCGGCTAACTTTTTGTATTTTTAGTAGAGATGGGGTTTCACCCTGTTAGCCAGGCTGGTCTCAATCTCCTGACTTTGTGATCCGCCCACCTCGGCCTCCCAGAGTGCTGGGATTACAGGCGTGAGCCACCATGCCCAGCTAATTTTTGTATTTTTAGTAGAGATGGAGTTCCACCATCTTGGCTAGGCTGGTCTTTAACTCCTGACCTTCTGATCCACCTGCCTCAGCCTCCCGAAGTGCTGGGATTACAGGCATGAGCCACCACGCCCGCCCTTGCTCCCCTCTTCTGAACACAAATCTCCAATGGGCACTTGATGATCCAGACAATTCTGGTTCCCCCTGCTACCTTAATAAGTGTTTATGTGGTATTTTCTCCCTCCTCAAACTTCTATCCCATTCACTGCTGAGACCCTTGCCTGTTCCTTGGTGAGAAAGAGAAGCCATTGGCTGCCAACACCCTCATCTCTGCCCGGGAAGTGCCCCAATTCCTCCTGTTTCCCTCCCAGTCCCTGACCCTGGCAGCGCCCAAGTTCTGGGTCTGTATGCTGGATGGAGCTCATCCCACCTGAGGACTGTCCTCTGCCAGCATCCTCACTCTGCAGCATCTCTTTATTTTATTTTATTTTTATTTATTATTTTTTGTTGAGTCTCGCTCCGTTGTTCAGGCTGTAAAGCAGTGGCGCGATCTCGGCTCACTGCAAGGTCCACTTCCCGCGTTCACGCCATTCTCCTGCCTCAGCCTCCGGAGTAGCTGGGACTACAGGTGCCCGCCACCATACCTGGCTAATTTTTTTGTATTTTTAGTAGAGATGAGGTTTCACCGTGTTAGCCAAGATGGTCTCAGTCTCTTGACCTTGTGATCTGCCCGCCTCAGCCTCCCAAAGTGCTGAGATTACAGATGTGAGCCACCGTGCCCGGCCTTTATTATTTTTTTGAGACAGAGTGTTGCTCTGTCGCCCAGGCTGGAGTGCAGTGGCGCGATCTCAGCTCACTGCAAGCTCCGCCTCCGGGGTTCACGCCACTCTCCTGCCTCAGCCTCCTGAGCAGCTGGGACTAAAGGCGCCTGCCACCATGCCCAGCTATTTTTTGTATTTTTAGTAGAGATGGGCTTTCACCGTGTTAGCCAGGAGGGTCTTGATCTCCTGACCTTGTGATCCACCCGCCTCGGTCTCCCACAGTGCTGGGATGACAGGAGTGAGCCACTGCGCCCAGCCAATTTTTTTTTTTTTTGAGACGTGAGAAAACCTCGTCTCTACTAAAAATACAAAAATTAGCCGGGCATGGTGGTAGGCACCTGTAATCCCAGCAACTCCGGAGGCTGAGGCAGGAGAATCTCTGCTTCCTGGGTTCTAGCGATTCTCCTACCTTAGCCTTCTGAGTAGCTGGTATTACAGGCACCTGCCACCATGCCCAGCTAATTGGTTTATATTTTTAGTAGTGATGGGGTTTCACCATGTTGGCCAGGCTGGTCTCAAACTCTTGACCTCAAGTGATCCGCCCACCTTGGCTTCTCAAAGTGCTAGGATTACAGGAATGAGCCACCATGCCCAGCCCTCACACAGCTTTAAATGCCACCCTTGAGACAGTGACTTCCAAATCAATGCCAACCTCCTCTGGGCTCCAGACTCACATAAACAAGCTACTGTCATGATGTTTACACTTGGATTTCCAGTGGGCAACTCAGATTCACTGTGGACAAAATGAAATTCTTTATTTGTTCATTCTAAACCTACTCCTTTCCTAGTTTTCCCCATCCCAGCTGCTCAGAGAGACAAGAAAGACATGTAATCAATTCATTTCTTTTTCTCACCCAAGTAATCTTACTGGTTTACTTCCAAAATACATCCCTGGTGCGATGTGGTGGCTCATGCCTGTAATCCCAGCACTGTGGGAGGCCGAGGCAGTCAGATCACTTGAGGTCAGGAGTTTGAGACCAGCCTGGCCAATATGGTGAAAACCTGTCTCCTAAAAAAAACAAAATTAACAGGCAGTGGTGGCGCAAGCCTGTAGTGCCAGCTACTCGGGAGGCTGAGGCAGGAGCATTGCTTGAACCTGGGAGGCGGAGGTTGCAGTCAGCCTAGATCGGGTTACTGCACTCCAGCCTGGGAGACAGAGGAGTCTTGAGTGTCTAAAAAAAAAAAAAACCTCAAGTCTGACTACTTCTCCCCCAACATTCTGCCTCCACCAGAGTCCAGGATGTTGTCATCTCTCAACTGGTTACACCCCCAATCTCCTTGTTAGTTTCCCTGCTTCTACCCTGACTGACAATTAAATCTCCACCTGGCCGTCAAAGGGTACTTTTCAAACATGAATTTGGCCACGACATTGCCCTGCTTAAAACAAACAGCTTCCCGTTAATAACCTGGAGTCAATGCCAAACTTCTTAGTGGCCCATAAGGTCCCACACCATGTGGCTCTGATTGGTCTCTCCAACTTCTCCTTCCCCTACCCTGGCTCACTAAGCTTCAGGCACTCTGGTGTGCTTCCTGCTCTGCAATTCCTCATTGGTTCCCTTGTGAGTATGTTGAGGAAGGAGTGAAACACGAGAGACACAGGATATAGAGTGGATAGGACACGGTGGCTGCTGGTGTGTGCGCACAAGAAAGGCTGGAAGAGGCTTTTCCCAGAAGTGGGGGCTAAGCCCTGTTCCACTCACCATAGCAAAGAGGTTGTCATAGCCTTTGACCTTGGTAGGCACCTTTGAGAACTTCTGGTCAAAAGCATCTGAGATGTTGTGTGCTGGGTCTGTGGAGATGATCAGAACACTCTCACGCCCCTTGGAGAGCTGGACTGCCAGGCTGCAGCTGAGTAATGGAAAAGTCAAAAGATAGGGGATGAGGGGATGGGCTCTGTTCCCTGGGTCTGCAAGGGGAGTGGTAGGTTCCCTGGAGCAGGTGACCCGAATCAGCAGGGGCCTTGAGAGGAGAGTATGGGTTATGGTGGGATTGAGCCTCAGTCCCTACAAAGGAACCCTCTCTGATTTATCTCCTGACCCCTCTATGTGGACTAGAGAGGTAAGGTTCAGCTGACTGAGTCTGTCTGGCCTAGTGCCTGCTTCTTTTTTGCTGGGCACAGTGGCATGGCCCAGCGGTCCAGCCAGCATAGCTTGACTCCGTGCCCCCTTCCTTAATAAGCTAAGGGGTCTCCTGCATTCCCTAGTAAGCACAGGATGGTTCAGTCTGCTTGTCCAGGATAATCTGTCCAACGGACACCTCCTGCCTGTAGCTGCCTGGGACAGTCTCATCACGTGCTCTCTCCCTCGCTTTCCACCCTCACTCTCGCCTTGGGCATAAAACACCAAGGTTCACCAAACTAGGATTGCTTGTTCTGGTGCCGCCCTCACCCACAACTCTGGATTCACTCAGGTACGGTCCAGCTGATGGGGATATCTAAGTGCTTCCCCGTCCCCCGGGCGCTGAGTTCACTGTGGTTCGGCACTTGAGCCCCAACACGGATGGTCCAACTCAGAGGGTGCTAGGGCTGCATTGAGGTCTTTCTCATTTGCTCCAGGTAACTTCCAGAGAGTGAAACCCAAAGACCCCCGCCAGCCCCCATGCCCCGGTCGTGGTGGAAAAGCCGGTCCTTGGCCTCCCCTTCGCCCAGTGGTATATCCTACACGCCTCCTGGCCCCCGCCGCAGCCTCCTTACCTGCAGGTGGTCTTGCCCACACCACCCTTGCCCCCGACGAAGATCCACTTCAGGCTGCGCTGCTCGATGATGTTGCTAAGTGTAGGCTCCAGCGGCTCCACATCAGGAGCATCTTCGAACTCCTCTGCCTCAACCCCCCACCCGGCCACCCCTGCCGCCATTTTGGAACTGGCTCACGTGATCCAGCGGAGCGCACCATACGAAGAACCTACAGGGGAAATTCTCTATCACATTCCTAGCGAAGCTAGGAGCATGAGTTAATTTCCTCATTACTTGCCTTTTAGGAGAAATATAAATTATATTTTCACTATTCTTTGCTTCCAGGGTTCACTTTGTCAACCTCTGGTCTATAATTTTCCAAGGGTTCCCCCTACCTAATGAACACATCGGTACGGTCTAGGCTACTCCCTTTCACTGATTGGGCCCTAGGTCTTGCAGCTCTCCTTTCATTGGCTATGTCTTTTCTTACTTACACCAATCACTCTTATGTTCCGGTAGCGCCAACCTCACCTTAGCAACCAGCCAAACACCCAGTCCATGCCCTTTCGGTGAAGTTAGATTCCCGGTCCTCCTTGGCCTGACTCCATAGGCTCAACTTTATGTCCATCATTTTCCCTCTATTCTTCACGGTAGGTCCCAACCTCACCTCAGGTCCGCCCCCTCTGTTATTCAATAGGCTGTGAGCCTCTTGGCTCTTGCCGCAAACCAATCATAGACGAATTGACTCGGTTGGCGATAGGTCCCCGGGCTGATAGTGGCTTAGAGTGGGCGAGTCCACAGAGTCTTGTCCTGTACGCCCTGATCTCCCATGCCTAGCAGACACCATTCCTGCAATTGCGCTCCGTTTCGTAGAAGGAATTCCTAAAAGTCTCCTTGTATTTCAAGAGAAGACTCCAGTATACCATATTTCATGTTTGAACCTCTGTCTTAGAGCAGGAACAGAAGCTGGGTTCCAGGCCCTTGATGGAGACCCCAGCCCATGACACTCTTAACTTTAGAGGGAGACTACAGACTAGAAATAACCCCGACTTCATCTGAATACTACAGCTCATAAAATAAGCTGATTCTCGGGCCGGGCGCGGTGGCTCACGCCTGTAATCCTACCACTTTGGGAGGTTGAGGCGGGTGGATCACCTGAGGTCAAGAGTTCGGGACCAGCCTGGCCAAGATGGTGAAAACCTGTCTCTACTAAAAATACAAAAATTAGCCGGGCGTGGTGGCACGCGCCTGTAATCCCAGCTACTTAGGAGGCTGAAGCAGGAGAATCGCTTGAACCCGGAGGGCAGAGGTTGCAGCGAGCCGAGATTGCGCCACTTCACTCCACTCCAGCCTGGGTGAAAGAGTGAAACTCCGTCTCTAAATAAATAAATAAAATAGGCTGGGCGCGTTGGCTCACGCCTGTAATCCCAGCACTTTGGGAGGCCGAGGCAGGCAGATCACGAGGTCAGGAATCGAGACCAGGTTGAGGCAGAAGAATCGCTTGAACTCGGGAGGCGGAGGTTGCAGTGAGCCGAGATCACGCCACTGCACTCCAGCCTGGGCGACAGAGAGAGACTCCGTCTCAAAAAATAAAATAAAACAAAATAAAATAAAGTAATAATAACAATAATAAAATAAAAAAGTAAGCTGATTCTCAGACGGGGACTTCAGCTCCACAGAGCCAGCTATGTCCCCAACAAATGTGAGCTTTATCCCAGAGATGGTTACCCAACCCAAAGATACCCCTATTTCTACTTGGGGGGCCCAGACTAGACATGCTCTCTATTCCCCAGTTAGGGATTCAAGTTCCCAGGTGTCAGCTGAGCACACAGCCCCAGATGAGGTCCTTCCACTCATAGAGATTATTCTTGGTGTCGTCAGACGGGGATTCTAGCCCTGGAAAGCGAATCTGTTCCTAGCCCCAAGTGAAACCAACTCCAGAGAGCAAGCTACAGCCCCAGTCTCAGACGACAGTCTCATTCTCCGGGAGCCCCTGTATGGGGAACTCCAGCCTGAGTACTGCTGAATTTTGAAAACCCGAGAGGCAGGGCTCGGTGGCTCACGCCTGTAATCCCAGCACTTTGGGAGGCTGAGGTAAGAGGACTGCTGGAGCCTAGGAGTTTGAGAACAGCCTGGGCAACATGACAAAACCCCGTCTCCACAAATATAAATAAATAAATAAATGAATAAATAAAATTAGCCAGGCGTAGTGGCGCATGCCTGTGTTTCCAGCTACTCGGGAGGCTGTGGTGGGAGGATCGCCTCAGCCCTGAGAGGTCGAGGCTGAAGTGAGCCCTGATCATGCCTTTGCACTCCAGCCTCGGAGACGGAGTGTGACTCTGTCTCCAAAACAAGACAAAAAACCAAAAACCAAAACAGCAAGACTGGGCCCGATGGCTCACGCCTGTAATCCCAACACTTTGGGAGGGGAGGCCAAGGCAGGAGGATCGCTTGAGGCCAGGAGTTCGAGACCAGCCTGGGCAATATAGCCAGGCGCCCGTCTCTAATTTTTAAAAAACAAGGCCAGGCGCGGTGGCTCATGCCTGTAATCCCAGCAGTTTGGGAGGCCGAGGCGGGCGGATCACCTGAGGTCGGGAGATTACCAGCCTGACCAACATGGAGAAATCCCGTCTCTACTAAAAATACAAAATTAGCTGGGCGTGGTGGCGCATGTCTGTAATCCCAGCTACTCGGGAGGCTGAGGCAGGAGAATCGCTTGAACCTGGGAGGTGGAGGTTGTGGTGAGCCGAGATCGCGCCACTGCACTCCAGCCTGGGAAACAAGAGGGAAACTCCGTCTGAAAAAAAAAGAAAAAAAAAAAACGAAACAAAAAAACCCGCGAGACGGGGGCTCCTCCCCCTAGCCCCGCCCCTTCGGGTTGGTTCCCTCATTCGCCCCGCCCCCGCTGCGGGCGCTGGAGGGCCTGACCGCTCTTCCCGGCATGCATTGTTCGGGACGAGGCGAGTCGGGCGCCAAGCGCGGGGCCGGAGCGGCCTTCCCGGAGTCCTTTGCGCGGCACCTGGCGACAAAATGGCTGCCCGAGGGAGACGGGCGGAGCCTCAGGGCCGGGAGGCTCCGGGCCCCGCGGGCGGTGGCGGTGGCGGGAGCCGTTGGGCTGAGTCGGGATCGGGGACGTCGCCCGAGAGCGGGGACGAGGAGGTGTCGGGCGCGGGTTCGAGCCCGGTGTCGGGCGGCGTGAACTTGTTCGCCAACGACGGCAGCTTCCTGGAGCTGTTCAAGCGGAAGATGGAGGAGGAGCAGCGGCAGCGGCAGGAGGAGCCGCCCCCGGGTCCGCAGCGACCCGACCAGTCGGCCGCCGCCGCTGGCCCCGGGGATCCGAAGAGGAAGGGCGGTCCGGGCTCCACACTTAGCTTCGTAAGGAGCCGTGGGGGTGGGGGCGGGCGCCACGGCCTGTCTTGGCAGCGGGAGTCGGGGCCCGTGAAGGGGGATCGGGACCGAAGTCCACTTTCCGTTCTGAATGAGGGGCCCGTCCGGGTCACCCGCTGAGGGTGTGGAACTTGGATTCCCGACAACTGGGGTCTAGGGGCGGGAGTGGGGACTCCAGGAGCTTGCCCGTGGGAACTGGGAGCTGAGGAATTGCCTAGGAATCAGCACTGTGGAGAATGAGGAAACGTGGATATCAGGATTCCTGTTTGAGTGGTACCCGGACCTTGGGTCATGGGACCACCACTAATTGTGAGGAAAGGGAGTAAATTTAAGTCTGGACTCTGAGCTATATGTGTTAGACTCAGACCACGTACTATGTAAGGACAATTACTTATCTAGGACAATTGCTTGACTTCCTTGTATCTTATTCGACCAACCTCCATTTATTGAGCAATTTACCTCGTGCTAGGCATTGTGCTAGGTGCTGGTATGCAGTGGTGAGCTTACAGACAAGATCGCTGCTTTCCTGGAGCCTCTGGGTTTGCCTACCCTCATTTTCCCTAGTTGCAAAAATAGACATCATAGCATCTCTTGATGTGGTGAGGGTTTTATGAGGTGATCCTGGAAAAGTGGTTAGCACAGAGCCTGTCTTCCAGGAAGGGCTAAACTGGTGGTTCTCAATTGGGGCAGTTCCCTCCACCCCCACATTTGGCAAAGTCTGGAGACATTTTTGGTTGTCAGAACTGCGGGAGGGGGTGCTAGTGACATCTATGGGTAGAGGCCAGGGATGCTGCTCAACTTCCTACCATGCGTGGGGCAGCGCCCTCCCACCCCCAAACAAAGAATAATCCAGCTCAAAATGTTATTAGTGCCAGGTTGAGAAACTCTGGATTAAGTAAATAGGGCATATATTGATTTTTGGCTCTGAGCTTGCCATGTCTGTGGTGTTAAGATCAAGTCCCTGTAGTGTGGAGGAAAAAGTGTTGAGAATAACAAGACTGGGGGCTCTAGTTCTGGATCCAGCATGTGATTTTGGGCAAATGATCTAACCTCTGCAAGCCTCAGTTTCTTCATTTGTTAAAAATGGGCGTGGGTTGGGTGCAGTGGCTCACACCTGTAATTCCAACATTTTGGGAGGTCGAGGTGGGTGGATCGCTTAAGCCCAGGAGTTGGAGACCAGCCTGGACAATATGGCAAAAATGCATCTCTACAAAAAAAAATTAAAAAATTAGCTGGGCATGGTGCCACACATGCCTGGAGCTCCAGCTACCCAGGAGGCTGAGACAGGAGGATCGCTTGAGCCCAGGAGATTCAGGCTGCAGTGAGCCATGATTGCACCACTGCGCTCTAGCCTGGATGACAGAACAAGAGAGTATCTTAAAAAAAAAATCGGTGTGAAATAATCCCAGCAGGCCAGGCTCTGTGGCTCATCCCTGTAATCCCAGCACTTTGGGAGGCCGAGGCGGGCAGATCACCTGAGGTCAGGGGTTCAAGACCAGCCTGGCCAACGTGGTGAAACCCTGACTCTACTAAAAATACAAAAATTAGCCAGGCATGGTGGTGCATACCTGTAATCCCAGCTACTCGGGAGGCTGAGGCAGGAGAATCACTTGAACCTGGGAGGTGGAGGTTGCAGTGAGCTGAGATCATGCCACTGCACTCCAGCCTCGACAGTAAGACTCTGTCTCCAAAAAAAAAAAAAAATGGAAATAGTCCCAGCAGCACAGGTTACTGAATGCCTGGTTGTCTGTGAAGACTGTTGGAGCCCCTGGAGCGCAGGAAGCCCTCAATCAATGGGAGAAGGTGGGATACAGGATGAAAGGCTAGAGGAAGACTCTTTGAGGCAAGGGTAAGGAAGGAAAAGCGTCAGGACCAGGGTTGGTGTGATACCTGCGAGTGGAGTCCCTTCATGAATGGGAGTAGCAGTCGTCGTTGCATCTTTTTCATTTGTTCATTGAGGGGCCATTTTGGCTGCACCCTCAAAGAGGCCATGCCAGGCTAGGCACAGGGAAGGCAATGTTGCTTGATGTCTAAGGATGCTGTCCAGAGGCTTCGACCCACCTGACCCTGAATCAGCTCCATTGTTTGTTGTTAGCATGACCTCTCCTGAAAGACTTTCCTCATCTATGAAAAGGGGGTGGTTCTTTTTTTCTTTTCTTTTTTTTTTTTTTTTTTTGAGACAGAGTCTACTTCTTGTTGCCCAGGCTGGAGTGCAATGGTGCAACCTCGGCTCACTGCAACCTCCTCCTCCCAGGTTCAAGCAATTCTTCTGCCTCAGCCTCCCAAGTAGCTGGGATTACAGGCGCCTACCACCACTCCCGGCTAAGTTTTTGTATTTTTAGTAGAGATGGGGTTTCACCATGTTGGCCAGGCTGGTCTCAAACTCCTGACTTCAGGTGATCTACCCGATTCTACCTCCCAAAGTGCTGGGATTACAGGCCTGAGCCACCGCGCCTGGTCAAAAAGGGGGTGGTTCTAACTTTCATCTTAGGGTAGCTGTGAAAATGAAAGGAGATGATACATCCACAGCACTTGGCACAGGGCTTGGCATACAGTACATGCTCAATAAAGGGAGCTGTTGCCACCTCTTGTGGTCCCTGCTAGGGAGGGTGAGGCCTTGGCGTGGAAAGTGAGAACAGAGCTGGTCCCTACTGAGGTGGACACTCTTCTTGCTCCCTGGGAGGGCACCGCGGGCCCAGGGCAGGCGCTGAGTCGCGTGTGCTCCTCTCTGATTGCTGCGCAGGTCGGCCGGCTGGCGGAGCTGGGCGCGGCGTCAGGACGGGCCACCAGGCCGGGCTAGGAAGGTGTAGTGGGCCTCAGCGCCGCCAAGGGCGGTCCCGGCTCCTGTAACCGTTGCAGTCTTCTGTCCCTTCACCCAGGTGGGCAAACGCAGAGGCGGGAACAAACTAGCCCTCAAGACGGGAATAGTAGCCAAGAAGCAGAAGACGGAGGATGAGGTGAGCCAGCTTGGTGCAGGGGGTCCACCCACATTGCCTTTCCCTTCCAGCTTTTGCGCCCAGCCTTCTCCCTCCCTGTCTGGTATCCAGGCCTTTTATGAGTGTGCCTGGCAGGGTAGGAGGGCTGTCAATGGGTCCCCAGATAACTTGACTTTATAATCTTCAGCTCAAACCCAGAGTCTTCTGGGTGACACTGGGAATGGGTCACCTGTCTCAGGGCAGTCCTGACCCTGGTTCCTGGCACCCCCGTCCTAACCCGTATCCCCTTTCCACAGGTATTAACAAGTAAAGGTGACGCGTGGGCCAAGTACATGGCAGAAGTGAAAAAGTACAAAGCTCACCAGTGCGGTGACGATGATAAAACTCGGCCCCTGGTGAAATGACGCCCCTCCCCCACCTGCCCATGGCCTGGGACTCTCTGCGATGTACATAACTATTTAATGCAGCGGCAGCGGCGACAGCCTTCCCTGAGAGGACTTAAAAGCAGAAGGAAACCGAGATGCTTCCCGCAGCCGTGGACGATTCTCCAGGACTCTTTTTTTACCTTGAGCACTTGCCTCGTGAGACTTCATAGAACAGTGGTTTACTGTCCCCCCCTTCTCACCTCCTCATTCTCTCTGGCTCTTTCTGTCTTCCTCTTCTCACCCTCCTCCCTCCCCTTAGCCATCACTTCTGGGAAGTAAAGAACTTGACTTAGTGCCGGAGCTGTGTGCTTGGTTTGTCTTCTTTGCGCTGTCGGACCTAAGCCTTCCCCCTGTTGCTGGCATTGTACCTGTCAAAGCCTGGGCCTGACCCAGTAAGGAGCGGGATATGGAAGGGTTAGGAAGGACAGGGGCACATCCCCTCCTGTAGGCCTGGACTTTCCCCAAGACCTATCTCCCCTCACTGCTGCATCTCTACCGTGCCACCTTAGGCTCACTTTCTCTTCACAGTTCCATTTTGGCTTGGCCAAAGCTGTTGCATTGTGCATTCAGCAGACACTTAGGAGCATCTATTATGTGCCAGGGCTCTGCAAGGCTCTGGGACAACAGCTGGGAGCACGCAGACCACACCCTCCCTGCCCTTACAGAAGGAGACAGACACAAACAAAAAGGGGAAGCCCTTTTGCAGCTAGGGAGGAGGCGGGTATGTCTTTTAGGTGACATTTGATTAGAGTCCTGAGGGAGGTGAGGCAGAGTCCCAGGCAGAGGGAACAGCCAGGTTGGAGACAGCTTGGGCCTGATGGGGGCCTCCTAAGTGAGGAGGATGGATGAATGGATTATGGTGGGGAGAATTCAGGAATTTTTTTTTTTTTTTTTGGGAGATGGTCTCGCTCTGTCGCCCAGGCTAGAGTGCAGTGCTACGATCGCAGCTCACTGCCTCACTGCAGCCTCCACTTCCTGGCCTCCTCCCACCTCAGCCCCGCAAGTAGTAGGGACCACAGGTTCACACCACCATGCTCTGCTAGTTCTTTAATTTTTTTGTAGAGACGGGGTCTCCCTATGTTGCCCAGGCTGGTCTGCAACTGCTAGGCTCAAGCAACCCTCTCACCTCGGCCTCCTAAACTGCTAGGATTACCAGTATGAGCCATTCCTGGCCCAGGATTTTATTCTTTTTTTTTTTTTTTTTTTGAGAGTCTTGTCTCTGACACCCAGGCTGAAGTGCAGTGACGCGATCTCGGCTCACTGCAACATCCACTTCCTGGGTTCAAGCCATTCTCCTGCCTCAGCCTCCCGAGTAGCTGGGATTACAGGTGCCTGCCACCATGCCTGGCTAATTTTTGTATTGTTGGTAGAGACAGGGTTTCACCATGTTGGCCAGGCTGGTCTCGAACTCCTGACCTCAGGTGATCCACCTCGGCCTCCCAAAGTGCTGGGATTACAGGCCTGAGCCACTGCGTTGTGCCCAGGATTTTATTCTTAAGTGAGGAGAAGGCTTTGGGGGGTATTTGAGGTAGCAACATCATACGTTTTATATCTTCAGGGGATCCCTCTGGCTCCTGTGGGGAATAGACTGAAGGGGGCTGAGGGTAGAACCTGGGAGACTGAGGAGGGGAGTGGAGGGGACTGCATCTTGGTAGTAGAGGAGGTGAGGAGTGCTGAGAGCTGGATTCCATGGGGCTGTGTGCTCCACTGGGGGAAGGGCCACTCAGTCCTCTAGCTACTTGAAGCCCTTCCAGGGAGGCTGGAGTCTGTCCCTTCTGTATGCATACACCCTCAAGAGAAAGAGGGCGAGGGGGTTCTCTGTCCAACCTTACAGAACATGATCATTGGCACAGACCTAGCCCTTCCATGCCCTCCTCCTGGCTCCACTGCCCATCCTGTTGGAGCCAGAAGCTGCCTGGCTCCACCTGTTCTCCACCAAACCCACACAGGTTTTAAGATGCCCTTGCCTCCCAACTCCTCAAACCTGCTGGACCTGGAGCAACGTTGGGGGGTCCCCCAGCTATAGGCTCACCCCAGTCTTCCCAGGCAAGAATGGCAGCAGCTGAGCAGCCTTGGCACTCCTACCCAGCTTAGGGCTGGGCCCTCTTCCACTTTCTTTTTTTTTTTTTGAGATAAAGTCTCCCTCTGTTGCCTAGGCTGGAGTGCAGTGGTGAGATTACAGCTCACTGCAGCCTCAACCTCCTGGGCTGAAGCGATCCTCCCACCTCAGCCTCCTGGGTAGGTCTACAGGCATGTGCCATCAGACACGGCTCATTTTTTTTTTTTTATTTTTCGTAGAGACGAAGTCTCACCGTGTTGTTCAGGCTGGTCGGGAACTCCTGGGCTCAAACCATCTTCCCACCTTGGCCTCCCAAAGTGCTGGGATTACAGGTGTGAACCACTGCACCCAGCCCCCTCCTTCCCGTTTTTTTTTTTTTTTTTTTTTTGAGACAGAGGCACACTCCGCCCCCAGGCTGGAGTGCAATGGCGCGATCTGGGCTCACTGCAACCTCTGCCTCCCAGGTTCAAGCAATTCTCCTGCCTCAGCTTCCTGAGTAGCTGGGACTACATGAGTGTGCCACCACACCTGGCTAATTTTTATCTTTTTGGTAGAGCCGGGGTTTCCTGACCTCAAGTGATCTGCGGCCTCAGGGATTACTGGCATGAGCCACTGTGCCTGGCCCCTCCTTCCACTTTCAATCAAAAGAGGACCAAGACTCAGAGAAACACGGCCTCAGCAAGTAGAGGGTGGAAGGCACAGGGCTGTGGTCCTGGGAGTGGGCTGAGGTGGGCCTACCCCGGTACACCACAGGCTCTCAGATTTTGCCAGATGCAGTCTGTGCAGGTTGGGGTGGAGCACTGACTCATGTAACAAATGATGAGCATCTGCTATGTGAAGTCAGCTACCTAAACAGACAAAAACCCTGCCCTGCCAAGAATGGTGGCTCACATCTGTAATCCCAGTGACTGGGGAGGCCGAGACACAGGTGGATCACTTGAGCCCAGGAGTTCGAGACCAGCCTGGACAACACAGCAAGACCTTTCTTGCTACAAAAAATAAAAGTTGGCTGGGCGTGGTGGCTCACGCCTGTAATCTCACCACTTTGGGAGGCTGAGGCAGAAGGATCACTTGAGGCCAGGAGTTCGAGACCAGCCTGGCCAATGTGGTGCAACCCTGTCTCTACTAAAAATACAAAAAATTAGCCGGGCGTGGTGGCGCGCACCTGTAATACCAGCTATTCGGGAGGCTGAGGCAGGAGAATGTCCTGAATCTGAGAAGGCAAAGGTTGCAGTGAGCCAAGATTGTGCCACTATACTTCAGCCCGGGCAACAAAGTGAGATTCCGTCTCAAAAAAAAAAAAAACAAACAGCCTAGCTGTCGTGGTGGCTCACGCCTATAATCTCAGCACTTTGGGAGGCCAAGGCGGGCAGATCACAAGGTCAGGAGTTCAAGACCAGCCTGACCAACATGGTGAAACCCTATCTACTAAAAATACAAAAATTAGCTGGGGGTGGTGGCCCACGCCTGTAATCCCAGCTACTTGGGAGGCTGAGGCAGGAGAATCGCTTGAACTGGGGAGGCAGAGGTTGCAGTGACTACACTCCAGCCTGGGCAACAGAGTGAGACTCCATCTCAAAAAATTAAAAAAAAAAAAAAGAATAGGATACCTTTCCTCTTTCGCTTCCTGCTAACACACAATAAGGTTTTTCTGCTTTACTTTGCATGTGGGCTGAAAGGTCTCTCCCTCCTACTTTGGGGATGCTAAGCTAGCCCAGGTGTGACTTTGGCCTTGGGGGTGGAGTATGGGGGGAGGGAACACAGGAAGCTAATGGAGCCATCCCTACCTCCTCCTCCCCCAAAGCCACCAGCAGAGACTGGATCTTTAAAAAGCAACAGAAGCCTGGGAAGTAGGTCGCCCTGCAGCATCTCAGCCTCTATTCTAGTGTCAAGAGGCAGGAGAGGCTGAAAGTCCAGGCACATCCCTTTACAGTACTTACCTGCTCTGACCTGAGAAAAGTCTGAAGAGGGAGGAGAATCATATCCAGGTTTTGGTGAGTCACACAGCCCTGGCTTCTGACTATTCTAGTGCCTGTTGACTGTGTGATCTTGGGTAAGTCACTTAGCTTTTCTGTACTTCAGGTTCTTCATCTATCAAATAGGGGTAAAATAAAGAAGCATCTCTAGAGTCAAGTTCTAAAGTAAGGGCAATATTCATAGAATCTAACCCTGCCATTGTTTAAAACAGCTAGTGCTTTCCAGGGTGAAGAAGTTGGCTTGCGTTTGGGGACTGTGTTAAGTTAGTTGAAGTGCTGACCTTTGAACTCGGGGGACAGTGTGATGAGAGGCTTGGGAAGGGAGGCTGCTGTAAATTGAGAACACGTTTGTCTCACATTTCAGATTCGCGGTTGGACACCAATTCTTTTTTTTTTTTTTTTGAGACAGAGTCTCGCTCTGTCGCCTAGGCTGGAGTGCAGTGGCGCGATCTTGGCTCACTGCAAGCTGCGCCTCCTGGGTTCACGCCATTCTCCTGCCTCAGCCTTCCGAGTAGCTGGGACTACAGGCGGTCGCCACCACGCCTGGCTATTTTTTTTTGTATTTTTAGTAGAGACAGGGTTTCACCGTGTTAGCCAGGATGGTCTTGATCTCCTGACCTTGTGATCTGCCCGCCTCGGCCTCCCAAAATGCTGGGATTACAGGCATGAACGTGAGCCACCGCGCCCGGCTGGTTGGACACCAATTCTGTGAGTTTCTTTTGGCACAGAGAGCTTCTAATTGAACTAGGGTAAGTTTGCCAGGCATAGGGCTGTTGTGAGATTTGCATGAGATAACATTTGGCCTTTTTTTTTTTTTTTTTTTTTTTTGAGACAGAGTCTCGCTCTGTCGCCCAGGCTGGAGTGAAGTGGTGTGATCTTGGCTCACTGCAACCTCCGCCTCCCGTGTTCAAGCGATTCTCCTGCCTCAGCCTCCTGAGTAGCTGGGATTATAAGCGCAGGCCACCACTCCTGGCTAATTTTTTTGTATTTTTAGTAGAGACAGGGTTTCACTGTGTTAGCCAGAAGATGGTCTCAATCTCCTGACCTCGTGATCTGCCCTCGGCCTCCCAAAGTGCTGAGATTACAGGCATGAGCCACCACATCCGGTATTAATGAGATAACATTTGGAAACCACTTGACATGCAGTAGGTGCTTAAGAAATAGGAAAAAAGGCCAGGCATGGTGGCTCATGCCTGTAATACCAGCACTTGGGGAGGCCAAGGCAGGTGGATCACCTGAGGTCGGGAATTCGAGACCAGCCTGACCAACATGGAGAAACCCGGTCTCTACTAAAAATACAAAATTAGCAGGGCGTGGTAGCACATGCCTGTAATCCCAGCTACTCGCGAGGCTGAGGCAGGAGAATCACTTGAACCCGGGAGGCAGAGGTTGTGGTGAGCCGAAATTGCACCATTGCACTCCAGCCTGGGCAACAAGAGCAAAACTCCACCTCAAAATAAAAAAAAAAAAAAAAAAGGAAAAAAGGCCAGGCACGGTGGCTCACACCTGTAATCCCAGCACTTTTTGGGAGGCCAAGGCGGGCAGATCACAAGGTCAGGAGTTCAAGATCAGCCTCGCCAATATGGTGAAACCCTGTTTCTACTAAAAATACAAAAATTAGCTGGGTGTGGTGGCGGGTGCCTGTAGTCCCAGGTACTCGGGAGGCTGAGGCAGAATAGCTTGAATCCCGGAGGCGGAGGTTGCAATGAGCTGAGATCCCACCATTGCACTCCAGCCTGGGCGACAGGGCAAGACAGTGTCTCAAAAAAAAAAAAAAAAAAAAAAAAAAAAAAAAAAAAAGAAAGAAAGAAAGAAATAGGAAAACTGGGCCGGGCACAGTAATCCCAGCACTTTGGGAGGTCGAGGCAGGTGGATCACCTGAGGTCAGGAGTTCAAGACCAGCCTGGCCAACATGGCAAAACCCCATCTCTATTAAAAATGCAAAAAATTAGCCTGGCGTGGTGGCAGGCGCCTGTAATTCCAGCTACTCGGAAGGCTGAGGCAGGAGAATCGCTTGAATCCGGGGGCGGAGGTTGCAGTGAGCCGAGATTGAGCCATTGCACTTCAGCCGGGACAATGAGAGCAAGACACCATCTCAAAAAACAAAAAAACAAAAAAAGCCAGGCGCGGTGGCTCACGCCTGTAATCCCAACACTTTGGGAGGCCAAGGCAGGCAGATCATGAGGTCAAGAAATCAAGACCATCCTGGTCAACATTGTGAAACCCCATCTCTATTAAAAAAAATTAGCCGGGCGTGGTGGCGCATGCCTGTAATCCCAGCTACTCGGGAGGCTGAGGCAGGAGAATCGCTTGAACCCGGGAGGCGGAGGTTACAATGAGCTGAGATCGCGCCACTGCACTTCAGCCTTGTAACAGAGCGAGACTCCGTCTCAAAAACAAAACAAAACAAAACAAAGAAATAGAAAAACAAAAACAACAAAACAACAAAAACCCAAAACCTTGTCCTGATTCAACACTCAAATTCACCAGCTGGAGAGGAAGAAAAAATTCCGTGACCACACAAGGGCCAACAATGTGGACCACACATGCAGCAGGGGCTACTTTGTTCTGCCCCAAGGCTTGCGGAGGGCCGCTGAAAATTTGCCATATTATATGAAGGGGGTGAACCTTAACAAATTGTCTCCTGCATCCCAAACTCGCTCCCCATCTGATCTTTATCTGGGGCAGCCCCCAAATTTGACCAGAAAGCTCTTATCGTTCACACTCGCTCCAGGAACCCCCAAATCCAGCCCCAGCTCCCCAGTCTCACTCTTCTGCTCCCCATGCACCTCGGTTGGTCTAGAGACCCTCCTGCCAATTTGAGTCTCAGCCAAAACCCCAAAGCGCGGCGACCCTGGCGCATGGCAGGACGGGATTTGTAGTTCCAGGGCTTATCGGAGGGTGGGGGAGAGGGAGGCCTTTACGCATGCCTTGGTGGCGGCTTTCTGCACGTGTTTCTCAGCCCAGGTTTCAGTCCAGCGGAACTGGCTACCTCGGAATCCCAACTGCTCCTTTAGGGTGTCTTCCGCGATTCTCCGAGTGGAGTTAGGCGCCTGCCGACACTTCCCTAACCTTGGAGGCCCGGGACTTGATTTTCATGAATGAACGGAGCCGGGACTGACTTTGCCTACGGCAAGTGGGTTGAGATAGCTGTTCCCCTCCTTCAGGCAGGGGCAAAAATTGACCTCTGCCTCTCTCGAGGGTCAAAAAGTTCCTCAGGGCAGGGTGGGTTGTTCTTTGGGATTAGAGCTGGTGAATTCATTAAATATCGGCTTAGGGAGGGGCTGAATACAGTAAAAGAACAGCCTTGAGCCTTGGAGGGTAAAGCCACGTTTTTAAGGAACAATTCAGAGCTGGCCAGGTCATGCTTAACTTGGATGATCTCTAATCGCGCGAACTGCTCTTATACCCATTTGACAAGTGGGGAAACTGAGGCTTCAAGTGGCAGGAGGTCTCCCACTTTGTTATCGGCAGGGCAGGGAGGGGAAACCAAGACGCTACAGGGTCTCCAGCTTTTTACCATCTGCTCCTCTCTCAAGAGAAGGAAAAACGGTGCCCTACTGTCTTCAGACGTCGCAAGGATCAAGAAGATTTCTTTCTTCATGACCCTGCCCTTGCCAGAATTTCCTGCGCTGTTCCACCTCATTCAACTTCAGGTAGGGAAAGGGATTAGGCGTGGTTCAAAGTTTATTTTATTAGTTCATTTCGTTTTATTCAAAAATTTATATCCTTGTGGCTTTTTCATCTCCTTGTAAAAACTATCAAACAGTACTGGAAAATAATGCAAAAAGTGGCAGAGGCTTCTGTAGGAACCCGGCTTGTCTCAGGCACTTACTTTGTCCTGCTTTCTTTCCTTTGTCTCTGGGGTATAAAGAGCACGCTCAGCTCTTTCCTTGCGCACACACAGCGTACTCCTCCCAAGTACCTCTGGATGGGGGAAGGGAGGCACATTTCAATTTTTAGTGGAGGAAGGTGACAAGGAGGGTGCTGGCTCTGGCCGAGGGGTTCCTGGATCCATCACACACAAAGTCCCCACGCGCTACCAAACTCCTGGCTCCAGCTAAAGAGCTTGCGGTCAGGTCAGTGAAAGATGCTGGGAAAACGAGACACTGGGAGGACCGGCTGGCTAGAGAGGCCAAAGAAACGGCAACTCTTTGGTCACGTGACCGGACCTTGTCTCAGCCCGGGTTTCCCAAGTGCCAGGGCACGTGTGAAGGTTGAACCTTCCGATTGGCTCGGCGGGACCAGTTTGAACGGAGTACGGGAGCCGCGGCGGCTCACCTACGGCCGCGTTTTTCTTTTTTTTTTTTCTTTCTTTCTTTTTTTTTTTTTTTTTTTTTTTTAATTCTCTCTCTTTGGCTCCCTCCTTCCGCGCGAGTCTCTGGAGAAGCCGCAGCGCGAGTTGCCGCCGCTGCTGCCCGGGGCCGGGTAAGTGGGCCTCACTCAGAGCCCGACCCTCTTGGCCCCGGCTTGCGTCGACCCCCGCCGGGCACCGAGCCTGCGCCGCGCGCGGCCCGGGCGTCGGGGCCGCGCCCGACCGGGAAAGGCCGGGAAGCCGGTTGGGCCCGATCCTCCTGGCAGCTAGAACGGGCCGGGCGGGGGAGGGGGGAACCGAGCAGAGCTTAGGGGGTGGGGCCTCGGAGCCAGGCCATGTCGGGGCTCCTCAAGAAGAGGGCCAGTGGGACTGCTGGGGTCGGGCTGGAGGGGATCTGATTGGGGGAAGCGTCTGGGGACTGCTTGGGGCCTGATTGGGGGACGTCGCGAGGATCGGGTGTGTGTAGGGGCCTGTTTCGGTGGGGCTTGGTTGGGTCTGATTGGGGGAGGCCGCACTGAAAAGTTGAGCGGGGTGGGGGGAGGGGAGCTCGTTGGGTCCTGACAGGGAGGGGCGTCAGACTTCGGCCTAGAGGGTTTTCTTGGATCTGACTTCGAGGCGTTGCTGGGATCCGTTGAGGGGAATGCCCCGGGGGGTGTTTACCCAGGCCGAACTGGGGGAGGCTGCAAGGATCGGACCAGGGGGTTACTGACACGAGGTGGTGGGGGGCTCGGCCGAACTTGACTGGGAGAGGCAACAGAGATCCGTCAGCAGGGGTTACTGCTGACAGGGTCGGAGGGAATTTCAGGGAGAGGCTTGGCCAGACCTGATTGGGGAAGGCGACTGGGATCGGTCCAGGGGGCTCCTATAGTGGGTTGGCCGGGCTTGGCTGGCTCTCATTCGAAGAGGCAGCAGAGACCTACCTGGGGACTGCTTTGGGCCTGATTAAGGGGAATCCTTAGAATTTGGCTAGGCCACAGAGGGGGATATCTGGCATCCACTGAGCTTGAAGGGCAGGAACAGGGGACAGGAGAGATCAGGACGATCGTCTTGGGAGGGCGCATCTGGGGAAGCTCAGAAATTGGACTAGGGCAGGAGGCCTCTGGGATCTGGCAGAAGTTAAGGGCAGAGTGTCGGGGGAAGGGGACTCTTCAGGGACTGTGCCTGCATAGAAGAGACCACGGGGGCCGGGGCGCTATCACGGTCTGGGGCGGGGCCCCTGGATGTGGAGGCGGCTGGGCCCTCGCCCAGCCGCTGCGAGGGAGGTGGAAGCCTTCGGGCTCGGAGCCGGGGTCAGCGGCATGGGCCACCCTGGGACGAGGGCTCTTCGCTGGGTCCCATGAGGATCCGCCGGGCCCCGCCGCCGCCGCCTGTGGCCCGTTTCCACATCCCCCCTCCCGCGCTCCCGAGCCCGCGACTGCGCGGCCGAGGATGGCGCAGCTGGCGGGGACCCCGCACTTGGGCGGGCGTGGATCGGAGGCCTCCGCCTGTCCGCCGAGGGCGTTCCCGTCGTCATGCGGCCACCGCGGCCTCAGGGGCTCCACCTGGGTCTCACACGGAGCCCCAGAGACCCAGCGCTGACCCCGGCCCCTACCTCCGCAGCTTGCCTTGCGCCATGGACTGGCAGCCAGACGAGCAGGGCCTGCAGCAGGTCCTGCAGCTGCTCAAAGACTCACAGTCGCCCAACACAGCCACTCAGCGCATCGTGCAGGATGTATCCTTCCTTCCTTCCGGGGCTGGGGGAGCCGGGTAGATGCGTGCAGTTTCCAAAGGCCAGAGAGAGAAAGAGAGGGACTGACTCCCCTAGTCCCCAGATTTTTTCTGCTGTGCGGAGGATCTGCCCTGGACAGAGAAGGATTACAATTCCTGGGTCCCATTTCCAGAGCTGCGGGGATTGTTATAGAAAATGATGAAAATTCCTAATGTTCATCGAACGCTAGCATCTACTCCATTAACTATTAAAGTAGGCCCTGGCCCAACGGGGTGGCTCATGCCTGTAATCGGAGCACTTTGGTAGGCCGAAGCAGGTAGATCGCTTGGGCCCAGGAGTTTGAGACCAGCCTGGGCAACATAGGGAGACCCCATCTCTACAAAAAATACAAAAAATAGCTAGGTGTGGTGGCATGCACATGTAGTCCCAGCTACTTGGGAGGATGAGGTGGGAGGATGGCTAGAGCCCAGGAGGTAGAGGTTGTGGTGAGCTGAGATTGTGCCACTGTACTCCAGCCACCCTGGGCGACAGAGCCAGACCCTGTCTCAAAGAAAAGATATATAGGCCAGGCGCGGTGGTTCACGCCTGCAATCCCAGCACTTTGGGAGGCCGAGGCGGACGGATCACCTGAGGTCAGGAGTTTTGAGACCAGCCTGGCCAACATGGAGAAACCCTGTCTCTACTAAAAATACAAAAATTAAGCCAGGTGTGGTGGCAGAAGCCTGTAATCTCAGCTAATTGGGAGGCTGAGGCAGGAGAATCGCTTGAACCTGGGAGGCGGAGGTTGCAGTGAGCGGAGATCGTGCCACTGCACTCCAGCCTAAGTGACAGAGTGAGACTCTGTCTGAAAATAAATAAATAAATATTTAAACCATGAGCATGACTCACCCCAAAATTTGGATTCCCTCTTTTAAAAAAAAAAAAAAAGTCTTCATGGCCTGTTAGTGGGGATCGCTGACTAGTAGCTGCCACTTTAAGAGGAGTGGGATTCTCCTTCCCTCTCCTGCTCTGGCTGGGTCTTCAGGAGTGGATGGGAAACTCAGACATTTCCACCCAACTCCTTGTATGATTTTTTTTTTTTTCAAGATGGAGTCTTGCTCTGTCGCCCAGACTGGAATGCAGAGGCGCAATCTCGGCTCACTGCAACCTTCACCTGCTGGGTTCAAGCGATTCCCCTGCGTCAGCCTCCCAAGTAGTTGGGAATAGAGGCACGCACACATCATGCCCGGATAATTTTTTTGTATGTTTAGTAGAGATGGGGTTTCACCACGCTGGCCAGGCTAGTCTCGAACTCCTGACCTTGTGATCCACCCGCCTTGACCTCCCAAAAAGTGCTGGGATTACAGGCGTGAGCCACCGCGCCCGGCCCCTTATATGAATTTGACGTGTCTGAGGTGCTCTGTGTCATTGTGGGCTTATTAGGGAGCGGGATCCCCCAGGAGCTGGCAGCCTGGTCCCAGTGGTCAGAGATAGTGTCAGGTACATAATGAGGGGACCTGGCTGGGGGAAGGCCTCTGTCTTCCAAGTCCCTTAACAGCCTGGCAGAAACTCAAACAACTCAATCAGTTTCCTGACTTCAACAACTACCTGATTTTCGTCCTGACCAGACTCAAGTCAGAAGGTACGCCCTCTGCTCCCTTCCATGCGATCGGGACCCTGCTTTCTCCCCCTGGGCCCCTGAACCTCAGCCTTCCTCCTCCCAGATGAGCCAACGCGCTCTCTCAGTGGCCTCATCCTCAAGAACAACGTGAAGGCACACTATCAGAGCTTCCCACCCCCTGTGGCAGACTTCATCAAACAGGAGTGTCTCAACAACATTGGCGATGCCTCCTCGCTCATCCGAGCCACCATTGGTGAGAGGGGCAGCGGGGGTTGGCCTCTGAGGACACACTGAACTCTCACTTCTCAGCATGTTAAGTGTAGTGCTTCATGGAATGCTCTGGCACCCTCTATGGTAGTACTATTACTATTGCCATTTGATAGATGAGGAAGCTGAGGCGCTGAGCTATTAAGGGACCTGTCTGGGTAAGCAGCAGAAGTCAGAAACAGCTGAGGCAGTGCAGGGCCACGCTCTGGAACCACTCCCTCCTGAAACAGTCCTTCTTGGCTCTGAGACAGTCATGCAACATCTAGAATTTTGTGTTCGGCCTTGGGCTGAGTGCTAAGGGTATAGCAGTTAAAATAATGCAGGTATTCATGTTTCAGGTGCAACGGAATTAGGTTTTCAGCAGAGCCTTTTCTGACTCTTGGAAGGTGGCCTGAGGAAGTTACAGAAAGATGACTAAGAATAGGCTCACGCCTGTAATCCCAGCAACTTTGGGAGGTCAGGGTAGGCAAATCACCAGAGGTTGAGTTCAATACCAGCCTGGCCAACATGGTGAAACCCCGTCTCTACTTAAAATACAAAAAACTTAGCTGGCCAGGCATGGTGGCTCACACCTGTAATCCCAGCATTTTGGGAGGCTGAGGTGGGCGGATCACAAGGTCAGGAAATCAAGACCATCCTGGCCAATGTGGTGAAACCCCATCTCTACTAAAAATAGAAAAAATTAGCTGGGCGTGGTGGCACTCGCCTGTGGTCCCAGCTACTCGGGAGGCTGAGGCAGGAGAATCACTTGAACCCAGGAGTTGGAGGTTACAGTGAGGCGAGATGGCGCCACTGCACTCCAGCCTGGCAATACAACGAGACTCCATCTCAAAAAAAAAAAAATTAGCTGGGCGTGGTGGTGAACATCTATAATCCCAGCTACTCAGGAGGCTGAGGCAGGAGAATTGCTTGAACCCAGGAGGCAGAGGTTGCAGTGAGCCGAGATTGCGGCACTACACTCCAGCCTGGGCAACAGAGCAAGACTCCATCTCAAAAAAAACTAAATAAAATAAAAACAAAAAAAATGACTTCTGGCTGGGTGTGGTAACTCACGCCTATAGTCCTAGCACTTTGGGAGGCCAAGGCAGGCGGATCACTTGAGATCAGGAGTTGGAGACTAGCCTGGCCTACATGGTGAAATTCCGTTTCTACTGAAAATACAAAAAATTACTTGGGAATTACAGCTGGTGGGCACCTGTAATCCCAGCTACTCGAGAGGCTGAGGCAGGAGAATTGCTTGAGCCCGGGAGGCAGAGGTTGCAGTAAGCCAAGATAATGCCACTGTACTCTATCCTGGGCAACAGACTGAGATTCCATCTCAAAAATAAAAAGTAACTTTTAGTCCTGCAAAAACCCCCTCCCAGGCCAGTAGTAGGATGTGGACTTCCTGAGCTCATTCTATGTGCCAGGCTCTTTGCTAAGTCATTGAAACTTACTGATCCAGGCTGAGCACAGTGGCTCACGCCTCTAATCCCAGCACCTTGGGAGGCTGAGGCAGGTGGATCACCTGAGGTCAGGAGTTCGAGACCAGCCTGGCCAACATGGTGAAACTCTATCTCTACTAAAAATACAAAAATTTGCTGAGTGTGGCAGCGGGCACCTGTAATCCCAGCTGCTTCAGAGGCTGAGGCAGGGGAATTACCTGAACTCGGGAGGTGGAGGTTGCAGTGAGCCAAGATTGTGCCACTGCACTCCAGCCTGGACTACAGAGTGAGACTCCATCTCAAAAAAAAAAAAAAAAAAAAAGAGAGAAAAAGAAACCTACTGATAACCTTAGTTAGGAGGCTGGTTTTCTTTATCTCTTCTGAGGGCTGGAAGCACTGAGGCACACAGAATGAGGGGGTGTGGCTAAAGTTCCACAATCCTCACTGTGTACCTACCCATTGCAGGGAGCACCTTTCTCTCGTTGAGTTTCCACCCTTGGGAAACACTGCCATCTCATGGCAGCAAATACCATCTCTGCACTTAACAGAACCCATATCCAGCTCTGTCACCAGATATGTGCACTGTCCTGGCACCTCAGATGCCTGCTGTATGTAACTCCTGGATATCTAATAGGCAGTACAAGCATCCCTGCCACCTTCCTGCCCTTACCTCCTTTCCCTCTCTCATCATGCCTGTCCTTACGCCAGGCCTTTGCACCATAGAGTCCCCTGCCTCAGATGCCCTTTCCCCAGAAACCTGGATGATTCCTCCCTCGCCTCCTTCACCTCCTTCAGGCCTTGGCTCAGATATCAAGATGTCACCTCAACGAGGCCTGCTCTGGCCACCCAATTTAAAGTTGCTACCTTCACCTACAGCCCTTTCTCACCATCTTTTCTGCTGTATTTCCCCCCTTAGTCCTTGGCATGTGGCCCCTCCCAGTTGTTTGTTTTTGTTTTGTTTGTTTTTGAAATGGAGTCTTGCTCCATCCCAGGCTGGAGTGCTGTGGCGCGATCTCTGCTCACTGCAACCTCTGCCTCCCAGGTTCAAGTGATTCTCCTGCCTCGGCCTCCCAAGTAGCTGGGATTACTGGTGCCCCCCACCACACCCAGCTAATTTTTGTATTTTTAGTAGAGATGGGGTTTCACCATGTTGGCCAGGCTGGTTTCGAACTCCTGACCTCAAGTGATCCACCCACCTCGGTCCCCCAAAGTGCTGGGATTACAGGCATGAGCCACCCATGCACGGCCCCTCCCAGTTTTTTTTGCTAATTTATCTTTACTTCATAGCTTGCTTCCAGCTCCCAAGGGTGAGGATTTTGTGTTTTGCTCTGTGCTGTGCCTCAGGGCCTGGAACAGAGTTGACTCACAGTAAGGCTCAGGGTGCCTACTGAGTCAAGGAGTACCCTTCTACCTATGTCAAGGCCAGGAGCGGTGGCTCACGCCTGTAATCTCAGTGCTTTTGGAGGCCAAGGCAGGAGGATTGCTTGAGGCCAGGAGTTTTAGGCCAGCCTGGGCAACATAGTGAGATCCCATCTCTACAAACAATTTTAAAAATTAGTTGGGCGTGGTGGCATGTGCCTGCAGTCCCAGCTACTTAGGAGGCTGAGGCAGGAAGATGGCTTGAGGCCAGGAGTTTGAGGCTGCTGTGGACTATTGATTGTGCCACAGCAGTCCAGCCTGGGCAACAGAGCTAATTCTATCTCTTACAAAGAAAAAAAAAAGGAGGGGGGATGTAGAGGGCGTACATGGGCTAGGGAACAGAAAGGCAGCACTGGGGGTGTCCAGTGGGAGGGGGAGGTGCTAGGCAGCCCCTGCCCAGCCTCAGGCAGCGTCCTTTCCCGGCCGCCCCAGGCATTCTCATCACCACCATCGCTTCCAAGGGTGAGCTGCAGATGTGGCCCGAGCTGCTGCCCCAGCTCTGCAACCTGCTTAACTCGGAGGATTACAACACTTGTGAGGTAGGCAAGAAGCCATGGATGGCCAGAGCGAGTACTGGGGGGCTGGGACCACCACCCACCACCCACGTTTGTCTCTCTGCCCCTCTGCACTCAGGGAGCCTTTGGAGCCCTGCAGAAGATCTGTGAAGACTCATCAGAGCTTCTGGACAGTGACGCCCTCAACAGGCCCCTCAACATCATGATCCCCAAGTTCCTGCAGTTCTTCAAGCACTGCAGTCCCAAGATCCGGTGGGTGCAGCTCCCTGGGGGCTTCCAGGGAGCCTGGAGTGGGCAGGGTCAGGGTGACCCACGTGTCTGCTCCCCGCCAGGTCCCACGCCATCGCCTGCGTGAACCAGTTCATCATGGACCGGGCCCAGGCGCTGATGGACAATATTGACACCTTCATCGAGGTGGGCCGCTGGGCTGGGGGTGGGCAGGGCGAGGACTGAGGGCCCCTACAACTGACCCTGTTCCTCCCTGCAGCACCTATTTGCCCTGGCTGTGGATGATGACCCCGAGGTGCGGAAGAATGTGTGCCGTGCCCTGGTGATGCTTCTGGAAGTGCGGATTGACAGGCTCATCCCCCACATGCACAGCATCATCCAGGTGTGCATGGTCAAGGCCAGCCCAGGCGGGCAGGCAGGGGGCCGGTGGCAGGGGTCAGGGAGCCACCCCCAGCCAGGCCAGGCCTCAGCTTCTCCCCCCTACCACAGTACATGCTGCAGAGGACCCAGGACCATGATGAGAACGTTGCCCTTGAGGCCTGTGAGTTCTGGCTGACGCTGGCCGAGCAGCCCATCTGCAAGGAAGTCCTGGCCTCCCATCTGGTCCAGTGAGTGCTGCTGCTGCCCACTGTCCTACCCCAGCTTCGACCCCTTGCTATGCCTCTGCCTTCCCTTCTGGTCACCTGCTGTGCTTCTCTCAGTCCACATCCTTGTCAGTTTACATTCAGTATATATTTATGTGTAAGTGGTAAGAATGCCACTTTTTGAAGACTTCAAAATTAGGTAACTGATAGGTGGAAAGAAATGAAAAATCAATGGCCACATGTGGTGGCTGACACCTGTAATCCTAGCACTTTGGGAGGCCGAGGCGGGCAGATCACAAGGTCAGAAGATCGAGACCAGCCTGGCTAACACGGTGAAACCCCATTTCTACTAAAAATATAAAAAAATAGCTGGGCGTGGTGGCAGGCGCCTGTAGTCCCAGCTGCTTGGGAGGGTGAGGCAGGAGAATTGCTTGAACCCAGGAGGCTGAGGTTGTAGTGAGCCAAGGTCGTGCCACTGCACTCCAGCCTGGGTGACAGAGCAAAACTCCGTCTCAAAAAAAAAAAAAAAAGAAATGAAAAATCAACAAAGGCTTCAGGGGTATGGCTGTATCCAGGAGCTCAAAGGATGTGAAAGGCATCTTTGTGGTCTCAGATCTGCTTCCCTTGTGTTGGCTTCATTCTTAGGCACAACCTTCCCTCTGGGTAGTGCTGTAGCCTTCTGTGCCCTTCCAGCTTAGGAACTTCAGAGTAAAGAAATTTTCGACCAGTGTTTCCAACAAAAGTCCTAAAACTGACCCTCCTTGACAAACTTGGATTGCTTGCCTCTCTCCAAATCATTTTTTTCTTTTTTATTTTGAGACAAGGTTTTGCTCTGTCATCCACGCTGGAGTGGAGTGTCAAAATCATGGCTCACTGCAGCCTTGACCTCCCAGCTGAAGCAATCCTCCTACCTCAGCCTCCCAAGTAGCTGGGATTACAGGCACATCCCACCACACCTAGCTAATCTTTTCTAAGTTTTAGTAGAGATGAGGTCTTGCTAAGTTGCTCTGGCTGGTCTCGGATCCCTGGCCTCAAGCAGTCCTCCTGTCTTGGTCTCCTAAAGTGTTGAGATTACAGGTGCGAGCCACTGTACCCAGCCCCCAGATCATTATTATTATTATTTTGAAATTTCTGTTTTTGAGACGGAGTCTCACTCTGCTGCCCAGGCTGGAGGGCAGTGGCACAATCTCGGCTCACTGCAACCTCCGCCCCTCGGGTTCAAGCGATTCTCTTGCCTCAGCTTCCTGACCTTGTGTTCTGCCCACTTTGGCCTCCCAAAGTGCTAGGATTACAGGCGTGAGTCACCACGCCCAGCATATTGTATGTTTATTTATTTATTTATTTATTTATTTATTTATTTATCATTCATTAGAGGTGAGGTCTCACTATATTGTCCCAATTGGTCTCAAACTTATGGGCTCAGGCAATCCTCCTGCATTGGTCTCCCAAAGTGCTATAATGACAGGTGTGAGCCCCTGTGCCCGGCCCCAAATTATTGATAACAGTCTAGGGCTGGGCAGACGGCTCCTGGGGAGTGATGAGACCTAGATGAGCAGGTGATGAAGGCTCTGTCACTTACAACTCTGGGCTGCAGCTGAGGGGCTGGCTGCCTAGTCTGTTTGCTCCCCTACTCTGGCTAGTCTCTGCCCTATCTCAGGAAAGTGGCCAGGAATAGGACCGCATGTCCCTGCCTTAATGTTGTGCTAGGGACCAGGCACTGTACCAAGATTTTCAGTGTATTCAGGGGTCTATAATCCACTGAGTGGCCAGGCCTGGGTCAAGAGCTTTCCTGCAGGCTGAGTGCCATGGCTCACGCCTATAATCCTAGCACTTTGGGAGGCTGAGGCAGGAGGATTGCATGAGCCCAGGAGCATGAGGCTGTGGTGAGCTGTGATCGCACCAGTGCACTCCAGCCTGGGTGATAGGGTTACGTAGGGACCAGCCCCACAGGGTCGGTGGGTCTCTTCCTGTGTGCGGCGATGAGAGAGTGTAGAAATAAAGACACAAGACAAAGAGATAATAGAAAAGGCAGCTGGGCCCGGGGGACCACTACCACCAATGCGCGGAGACCGGTAGTGACCCCAAATGTCTGGCTGCGCTGTTATTTATTGCATACAAGGCAGAAGGGGCAGGGTAAAGAATGTGAGTCACCTCCAATGATAGGTAAGGTCACATGGGTCACGTGTCCACTGGACAGGGGGCCCTTCCCTGCCTGGCAGCCGAGGCAGAGAGGGAGAGTAGACAAAGAGAAAGACAGCGTATGCCATTATTTCTGCATATCAGGGACTATTAGTATTTTCACTAATTTACTACTGCTATCTGGAAGGCAGAGCCAGGTGTACAGGATGGAACATGAAGGCAGACTAGGAGTGTGACCACTGAAGCACAGCATCTCAGGGAGACGGTTAGGCCTCCGGATAACTGCGGGCAAACCTGACTGATGTCAGGCCCTCCACAAGAGGTGGAGGAGCAGAGTCTTCTCTAAACTCCCCCGGGGAAAGGGAGACTCCCCCACTTTCCTGGTCTGCTAAGTAGCGGGTGTTGTTCCTTGACACCTTTTGCTACCGCTGGACCATGATCCGCCTGGTAACGGGCGTCTTCCCAGATGCTGGCGTCACCGCTAGACCAAGGAGCCCTCTGGTGGCCCTGTCCGGGCATAACAGAAGGCTCGCACTCTTGTCTTCTGGTCACACCTCACTATGTCCCCTCAGCTCCTATCTCTGTATGGCCTGGTTTTTCCTAGGCTATGATTATAGAGCGAGGATTATCATAATATTGGAATAAAAAGTAATTGCTACAAACTAATGATTAATGATATTCATATATAATCATATCTAAGATCTATATCTGGTATAACTATTCTTGTTTTATATTTTATTATACTGGAACAGCTCGTGTCCTCTGTCTCTTGCCTCGGTGCCTGGGTGGCTTGCCGCCCACAGGGTTAGACCCTGCTTCTTAAGAAAAAAAAAAAAAAACCTTTCTCTGGAGGCAGGAGTGGTATCATTTATATCCTAATCATAGCGGCAGAGACTAGATTCCGATAATTCCCCAGAGGGAAATGGATCAATTTGCACCTAGCAGTACCATCATGCTCTGCAGGGTCTGCTCTGTGGCTGATTGGGGGGCTGGTCACTCTGTTGGCACCTGTTTGCCTCCTCCCCAAGCTGTGCCTCCCCCCAACTTTTGCCACGGCCCCTGCATCCCCATAAACAGTCCCTCTCTGTGCAGGTTGATCCCCATCTTGGTGAATGGGATGAAGTACTCGGAAATTGACATCATCCTGCTCAAGGTCAGGCAGGGCCCACCCAGCATGGGTGGGCATGGGCGTGGGTGTCGCGGCTGTGGTCCCCAAAGTACTTAACAGTCTGCCTGTCCCCCAGGGGGATGTGGAGGAGGATGAGGCTGTCCCCGACAGTGAGCAGGACATCAAGCCACGCTTCCACAAGTCACGCACGGTCACACTGCCCCACGAGGCTGAGCGGCCTGATGGCTCCGAGGACGCGGAGGATGACGATGATGATGATGCTCTGTCCGACTGGAATTTGAGTGTGTGCCCCTGCCTGGGGGTGGTGGTGGGGTGGCAAGCCCTGGACTCCCTCTTGGGAGGTGACTAGAAGCTGAGGCAGAAGCTGATTAGAAGCTGATCGTGGCCGGGCGCAGTGGCTTACGCCTGTAATCCCAGCACTTTGGAAGGCTGAGGCGGGCGGATCACGAGGTCAGGAGATCAACACCATCCTGGCTAACACAGTGAAACCCCGTCTCTACTAAAAATACAAAAAATTAGTCGGGCGTGGTGTCGGGCGCCTGTAGTCCCAGCTACTCGGGAGGCTGAGGCAGGAAAACGGCATGAACCCAGGAGGCGGAGCTTGCAGTGAGCCGAGATAGCGCCACTGCACTCCGGCCTGGGCGGAAAAAGTGAGACTCCGTCTCAAAAAAACAAAACAAAAAAAAAGAAGCTGATCGTGAAGATTCTGAGCATGATCTCTGATCCTGGGAGTGCAGTCAAGGAGGGTCGGCCACCTGCCTGAGGGGCCGCCCTGAGCCTCCCCATTGTTCCCCCTTCCCCAGGGAAGTGCTCAGCGGCTGCACTGGACGTCCTCGCCAATGTCTTCCGGGAGGAACTGCTGCCCCACCTACTCCCACTACTCAAAGGCCTCCTCTTCCACCCCGAGTGGGTGGTCAAGGAGTCGGGCATCCTGGTGCTGGGCGCCATTGCTGAGGGTGAGTGCGCCTGATCTCTGAGCCCTGTGCTGGCATGAGACTGTAGGGCTGGCCCACATTACTAGCCACACCAATGCCTCAGTTCTCCCTGGAGGCCTACTCACCCCACTCCAAACAGCTCTGAGATCTCAATTCTCCCCTTGGTTCCTGGGCCTGAAAGGAACCCCTGGAGCCCCACAGTGCAAGGCCTCTTGTTCATTCTTGCAGGCAGGTAGTTCTTTCATGTTGTAAGCATAATTACAGCAACAATGATAATAACAGCAGGCACAGCTGCATGCTTGCCTCGTGCACTTATGTAGACAAACATCCTTGGCCCTCACCACCACCTGATGAGCTGGGTGCCGGATCCCAGTTTCGAAGATGGGGAAACTGAGGTACAGAAAGATTGATGCCACTTCCTTACAGTCACTCAGGGTGTGTCTGGGCCTTAAACCTGTTCCTGGCTGCCGGGCTGGCCTGCCAGAGTCAGTAGTAACCCGTGGTAGGTGGTGTTTCATCAAATTCAACCTGGTGTTCTGTAATCGGTGGGGTTTTCAGGCTCCCATGGTCCCGGTGGGACATAAAACTTGTTACAGGAGGGCTTTGTGAGTCCGTTGGAGGCATCATATACCATTGCCTCAGCATCCAGACCTGTGCCAAAAATTTCAGGCATGGCAGCAAAAACCCTCAACCTTGTAAGCTTTCAAAATTTGTCTAAAATTTGTCTAGTTACTGTGGTGCACGCCTGTAATCCCAGCTACTCAGGAGGCTGAAGCAGGACAACTGCTTTAGCCCAGGAGTCCGAGACCAGCCTGGGCAACATAGGGAAACCCTCTTTCTACAAAAAATTTTTTAAAAAGGCCAGGTGTGGTGGCTCATGCCTGTAATCCTAGCACTTTGGGAGGCTGAGGCAGGCAGATCGTTTGAGCCCAGGTGTTCAAGACCAGCCTGGGCAATATAGTGAGACCTCATATCTACCAAAAAAAAAAAAAAAAAAAACCTGATAAAATTAGCCGGCGTGGTGGTAAGTGCCTATAGTCCCAACTAACTGGGAGGCTGAGGTGAGAGGTCAAGGCTGCAGTGAGCCATGATTGCGCCACTGCGTTCCAGCATGGAGAACAGACTGAGACCCTGTCTCAAAAAAAAATTGTCTAAAGAAATGTTTCGACATGTAATATGTGTTTAATGTATCTCATATCTCATGTTAATAGGGTATATATCACACAATACGCTTACATATGTTAATAGATTACATAAGCTGTGTTATTTATTTATTTATTTGAGACTGAGTCTTGCTTTCTCGCCAGGCTGGGGTGCAGTGGCATGATCTTGGCTCACTGCAACCTCCGCCTTCCAGGTTCAAGTGATTCTCCTGCCTCAGCCTCCTGAGTAGCTGGGACTACAGGTGCATGCCACCACGCCCAGCTAATTTTTTTGTATTTTTAGTAGAGACAGGGTTTCACCACGTTGGCCAGGATGGTCTCTATCTCCTGACCTCATGATCTGCCTGCCTTGGCCTCCCAAAGTGCTGGGATTACGGGTGTGAGCCACCTTGCCCAGCCAGCCACCACGCCTGGCCTCTTTTTTTTTTCTTTTTTTTTTGAGATGGAGTCTCCCTCTTATCGCCCAGGCTGGAGTGCAGTGGTGTGATCTTGGCTCACTGCAACAACATTCTGCCTCCCGGGTTCAAGCAATTCTCCTGCCTCAGCCTCCAGAGTAGCTTGGGATTGCAGGAATTCACCACCAGGCCTGGCTAATTTCTTTTTTTTTGAGACGGAGTTTTGCTCTTACTGTCCAGGCTGGAGTGCAATGGCGCAATCTTGACTCACTGCAACCTCTGCCTCCCGAGTTCCAGAGATTCTCCTGCCTCAGCCTCCCAAGTAGTTGGAATTACAGGTGTCCACCACCGCACCTGGCTGATTTTTGTATTTTTAGCAGAGACGGGGTTTCTTTCACTGTGTTGGTCAAGCTGGTTTCGAACTCCTGACCTCAGGTGATCCATCTGCCTCAGCTTCCCAGAGTGCTGGGATTACAGGCGTGAGCCACCGCACCCGGCCTGTATTACATGTTTATGGTAAAAAGATCTATAGGAGTTGAGCTCAAACTGGTAAACATAGATCTTGTGTCTTGGATTATTGGCAATGTGCTATTATCTTTGTTCTCTTTAAATAAAAGAGCAGAGTTCGTGATATTTTAAAAAAAAAAAAAAACCCTGGGTGTGGTGGCTTAAGCCTGTAATCCCAGCACTCTGGGAGGCCAAGGCGGGTGGATCACCTGATGCCAGGGGTTCAAGACCAGCATGGCCAACATGGCAAAACCCCATCTCTGCTAAAAATACAAAAATTAGCCAGGTGTGGTGGTGCATACCTGTAGTCCTAGCTATTGGGAGGCTGAGGCACGACAATCACTTGAACCTGGGAGGCAGAGGTTGCAGTGAGTGGAGATCACACCACTGCACTCCTCCTTGGGGGACAGAGCGAGACTCTGTCTCAAAGAAAACATTAAAAAATTGTTAAAAATGGCTGGGCACAGTGGCTCACGCCTGTAATCCCAGCACTTTGGGAGGCCGAGGCGGTTGAATCAACTGAGGTCAGGAGTTCGAGACCAGCCTGGCTAACACGGTGAAACTTCGTCTCTGCTAAAAATATGAAAAATTAGCCACACGTGGTGGCCCACGCCTGTAGTCCCAGCTACTGGGGAGGTTGAGGCAGGAAAATTGCTTGAATCAGGGAGGCGGAGGTTGCAGTGAGCCAAGATTGTGCAACTGTACTTCAGCTTGGGCAACAGAGCAAGACTCCGTCTCAAAAAAATAATAATAATAAATTAAAAAATTAAACAAAAATAAGGAGAAATAGAACAATCATAAACGGCCAGACACCTATAATCGCAGCACTCTGGGAGGCTGAGGTGGGATCACGTGAGGTCGGGATTTTAAGACCAGTCTAGCCAACATGGTAAAACCCCGTCTCTACTAAAAATATAAAAATTAGTTGGGTATGGTGGCGGGCGCCTGCAGTCCCAGCTACTTGGGAGGCTTAGGCAGGAAATCACTTGAACCCGGGAGGCAGAGGCTGCAGTGAGCCCAGATCACACCACTGCACTCTAGCCTGGGCAACAGAGCAAGACTCCATCTCAAAAAAAAAAAAAAAAAAAAAAAAAAAAGAAAACTCACAAACATCTTAAGAACTGTTTCAAATGCAAAGTGCTTTTATTCCATTTGGGTCACTGCTGCCCCATAAAACCCCACTCACTATGTAACGGAGCCAATTTTGAATTAACACATGAATTCAATTAACACATGAATTAATGCATGAATTGAATTAACGCAATAACACGGAGCTCTTTGGCTGGGCGCGGTGGCTCACGCCTGTAATCCCAGCACTTTGGGAGGCCAGGGCGGGTGGATCACGAGGTCAGGAGACTGAGACCATCTTGGTCAACATGGTAAAACCCTGTCTCTACTGAAAATATAAAAAATTCCCCGGGCATTGTGGCAGAGGCCTGTAATCCCAGCTACTTGGGAGGCTGAGGCAGGAGAATTGTTTGAACCAGGAGGTGAAGGTTGCGGTGAGCCATGATCGTACCACTGCGCCCCAGCCTGGGCGACAGAGCGAGACTCTGCCTCAAAAAAAAATAAAGATAACCCGGGGCTTTGGGATGAGAGGCTTCTGTTGTTTCCCCTCCTGTGCCTGCCTTTACCTGGCTCTGTGAAATGAGTCTGGGCCAGTGATTTAAACTCTAAGCCTCAGTTTCCCTATATGTTGTGTGCGGCTGACTCTTCTCTCCATACGGTGGGTGTGGCTGGGCCCAATCAAACTGCCCCCTCTTGGTTCCCTTTCCTTGTAGGCTGCATGCAGGGCATGGTGCCCTACCTGCCTGAGCTGATCCCGCACCTGATCCAGTGCCTGTCGGATAAGAAGGCCTTGGTCCGCTCCATCGCCTGCTGGACGCTGAGCCGCTATGCCCACTGGGTGGTCAGCCAGCCACCCGACATGCACCTCAAGCCCCTGATGACAGAGCTGCTCAAACGCATCCTGGATGGCAACAAGAGGGTACAGGAGGCGGCCTGCAGGTGACCCTGGACCCCTGATCCCACAGCCCCCACTCTCCCCCGGCCACCCTCTGGGAAGTGATGACACCTGTGACTGTTGATGTGGAACTGATTTATCGCGTATTCGTACTGGCTGATCCTGAGTTGCCCTCCCCAACTGCCCATGGCCCAGTGTCACCTGCCATGGTCCACTGAGCCCCCGCTTCATCCTCCCTCCCACCAGTGCTTTTGCCACCCTGGAGGAAGAGGCCTGCACGGAGCTGGTGCCCTACCTCAGCTACATCCTGGACACCCTTGTCTTTGCCTTTGGGAAATACCAGCACAAGAACCTGCTCATCCTCTATGACGCCATTGGCACCCTGGCCGACTCTGTAGGCCACCACCTCAACCAGCCGGTGAGACCCCAGAGCGGCTCCCGCCTCCCGATCCCCGTGCCCCTGGGCATCCAGTGACCTGGTGGCAACCCCGTGTTGCACGCCAGGGACGTGGCCGTGACCTCGACAGGCAGACAGACAGACCCGGCCCCGCCCTCGCCCTGCTCCCAGTCTAGTGGGGGAGAAAGACAGTTATGAGACAGCGTGGTAAGTGCTGTGCTTCGGGAACCAGGAGGTGGTAACCCAGGCTCCCGGGGGGTGGGGTGGGGCGGGCGGTGCTTGGACAGGTGAGAAGAATGAAGGCCTCGAGGTCTGGCCAGATGGCAGGCCTTTCAGGGTCCCATGAGCCACGGTGAGGCGCTCAGGCCTCATCACTCGGGCAACAGGTACCTGAGTCACAGTCTGCCACCCCGACCCAGGGAGCGCCCATTTCGTGCTCCCTCTCCAGGAATACATCCAGAAGCTGATGCCCCCACTGATCCAGAAGTGGAATGAGCTCAAGGACGAAGACAAGGACCTCTTCCCCCTGCTGGAGGTGAGTGGGCTCCTGCCCCTCACCCGAAACCCATCCTGCCCACCCTGCCTGAGTTCTCCCCACCTGCCTTCCTCCCTGCCAGTGTCTGTCATCGGTGGCCACCGCCCTGCAGAGTGGCTTCCTGCCTTACTGTGAGCCCGTCTACCAGCGCTGTGTCACCCTGGTGCAGAAGACACTGGCTCAGGCCATGGTGAGCAACCCTAGGCCCGTCACCTGTGCTTCTGCATTGGCCTGCCTCGGGCCTGCTCCACTTACCCGTGCCCCTGTCGGCATCTGTGTCTAGATGTACACCCAGCACCCTGAGCAGTATGAGGCTCCCGACAAGGACTTCATGATCGTAGCACTGGATCTGCTCAGCGGCCTGGCCGAGGGCCTGGGTGGTCACGTGGAGCAGCTGGTGGCCCGCAGCAACATCATGACATTGCTGTTCCAGTGCATGCAGGTGGGTGGGGACCCTGGACAGTGATGACACCCAGCAGCCTGCGTGGGCTGCCCCTGGTGGGGAGTCAGGGCCTGGTTGTGCCCAAAGGAAATCAGGGAAAAGGTGCTGTTCTAATTATTTTAAAGAGTAATCCTGGAGGCCGAGGCAGGATTGCTTGAGCCCAGGAGTTTGAGACCAGCCTGGGCAACATAGTGAAACCCCAGTTCTAAAATTAAAAAAAAAAATTTTTTTTAAAGCAAACAGTATTGAAAATAGAAAATGTGAGGCCAGGTGCTCACGCCTATAATCCAGCACTTTGGGAGGCTGTGGCAGGTGAATCACTTGAGGTCAGGAGTTTGAGAGCAGCTTGGCCAACACGGTGAAATCCTGTCTCTACGAAAAATACAAAAATTAGCCAGGCATGGTGGTAGGCGCCTGTAATCCCAGCTACTTGGAAGGCTGAGGCAGGAGAATTGCTTGAACCCAGGAGGCAGAGGTTGCAGTGAGCTGAGATCATGCCACTGCACTCCAGCCTGGGCAATAAACTGAGACTCTGTCTTCAAAAAAAAAGAAAGAAAAGAAAATAGAAAATGTGAAAGCCCAAGTCCCTGCCCCAGCACAGTTGGCTCTCTGTATCTGTGGGTTCTACATCCCAAGATTCAAGTAACCTCAGATTGAAAATACTCAGAGGAAAAATTACATCTGTACTGAACGCATACAGAAGTTTGTTCTTGTTATTATTCCCTAAACAATACAGTATAACAACTATTCCCATACTGTTGACATTGTATTAGATATAAGTGATTTAGAGATGATGCTAAGTGTACAGGAGAATGTGCATAGGTGCATATGCAAACACTATGCCCCCCCCACCGCCCCCCACCTGTTTTTTGAGACAGAGTCTCACTCTGTCACCCAGGCTGGAGTGCAATGGTGTGATCTCGGCTCACTGCAACCTTCACCTCCAGGGTTCAAGCAGTTCTCCTGCCTTAGCCTCTCAAGAAGCTGGGACTACAGGCGTGTCCCACTATGCCTGGCTAATTTTATTGTATTTTTAGTAAAGACAGGGTTTTGCCATGTTGGCCAGGCTGGTCTCAAACTCCTGACCTCAAGTGATCTGCCTGCCTCGGCCTGCCAAAGTGCTGGAGATTACAGGCATGAACCACTGCGCCTGGCCCTAACACTGTGCCACTTTATATCAAGGACTTGCACATCCGTGGATTTTTATATCTGCAGGGACCTGGAAAGAATCCCCCACGGACACTGAGGGATGACCGTTGGGGCACTGCCATCTCCCATTTGCAGATGTGGGCTGGAGGCTAGGGAGGTTAAGGAACAGCTAGGAGCTCTAGAACTGGAAAGTGGCAGAGGCTGGACATGCACCAGGGACTGTGCCCCCTGAGCTGTCCTGGTTAGAAGGAGGGGAGCCTAGCCACACTGATCTTACTTGAATCCCCAGGACTCGATGCCTGAGGTCCGGCAGAGCTCCTTTGCCCTCCTGGGAGACCTCACCAAAGCCTGCTTCATCCATGTCAAGCCCTGTATCGGTACGACACTCGCCTTGTCCCTAACCCATGACCCCAGCCCCGGCCTCAAGTGATGGAGAGCAATACCCGGGGATGACTGTGACCACATTGGGATGTATTCGTACTGTCTGATGGGGCCTGCTGGACTAGGTCCTGCAGCTTACCCTGGCTGGCCCTCCTTCTCAGCACCCCTGTTTCTCCCCACCAGCCGAGTTCATGCCCATTCTGGGCACCAACCTGAACCCAGAGTTCATCTCCGTCTGCAACAACGCCACCTGGGCCATTGGTGAAATCTGCATGCAGATGGGTGAGTGCCCTGCAAGTGGCAACACGCGCCCCCCATTAGCCTGTTCTCAACCTGGGGGCGGGAGCCTAGCTCTGACTGACAGCTTCCTTCAAGGCAAGTCTCTTGGGGGTCGTCAGGGGTGGAGCCAAGCAGAAAGGTCATTTGTGATTGGCTTCTCTAAAGAGGAGGGATAGGAGGGCTGTTCTGATTGGACCGTTTTGTGTAGTTGGCTAAAAGACTCATTCGGATTGGTTGGGTGACTTTGGCTTTTTTTTTCCTTTGACTTGGGCAGCGTGTTGTCACCTTAGCGACTCCAGAGAAGCCTCTGTTGTTTGGAGGGTGTGGGTCTGTCCCTGGTTGGCCAGGGATTCTGGGTGGGGATTAGCCGGAGAAGGTCTTTTGTTTCCTCACTGGTAGTGGTTGGCCAGTCTCTAGTTGGAACTGGGGCGAGTAGTGAGTGAGGTGGGGCGGCCCCCTGGCCCCTGTGGGTGGCGGGGGCTGTGCAGGGCTCTGACTGGGTGCTCCCCCAGGGGCAGAGATGCAGCCTTATGTGCAGATGGTCCTCAACAACCTGGTGGAAATCATTAACCGACCCAACACACCCAAGACACTGCTGGAAAACACAGGTGGGCACCTGGCCCGGCTGCTGCCTGCACCCCTGCCTGCCTTCTGGAGGTGGGGTTCTGGGCTGGGAAGGGCATCAGAAAGAGCCTTGTCAAGGAACCAAGGAGGGTGTCTGGAAGTACCTGGAAGGGGTCACTGGGAGAAGCCCCAAGAAAGATGCAGCCTCAGGCTGGGTGCAGTGGCTCATGCCTGTAATCTCAGCACTTTGGGAGGCAGATCACCTGAAGTCAGGAGTTCGAGACCAGCCTGGCCAACATGGTGAAACCCCATCTCTACTAAAAAATACAAAAATTAGCCGGGGGTAATGGCACGTGCCTGCAATCCCAGCTACTCGGGAGGCTGAGGCAGGTTGCAATGAGCCAAGATCATGCCACTGCACTCCAGCCTGGGCAACAGAGCAAGACTCCATCTCAAAAACAAAACAAAACAAAAAAAAACAAAAAGGAAAGGGAAAGGAAAGAAAGAAAGATAGATGCAGAGAGACCTGGGAAGTGACTCAGGTGTGATGAGGAGGACCCCTGGCTGGGCCAAGCTTGGGGGACCAGGGTGGCTGCAGTAGCCATTCCCTTGGGGCTCATGGGGCGGGGCTTGGTGCCTTGTGCCAGAGGCCCCGCCACGTACCGTCCCGGGGCCGCTCGGGGTTGCAGGTCGCCTGACGAGTCCCTCTGCCATTCCAGCCATCACCATCGGCCGCTTGGGCTACGTGTGCCCCCAGGAGGTGGCACCCATGCTGCAGCAGTTCATCCGGCCTTGGTGTGTGTCCACGTGTCAAGCCTGCTGTGTGGTGGGCGGGACTGGCCCAACCCCCTCCCTCGCCTGTGCATTTCCAGCCCCATCTGCCTACTGACTCCCTGCCCTGCCCCACCCCCACAGATGCATGTCCCAGGCCCACTCACTGATCCCCAGTGACCCAGCCCTCCACAGATGCATGCCCAGCCTGCCCTCTGACCTCCAGCTGCTCACCTTCCCACAGGTGCACGTCCCTCAGGAACATCAGGGACAACGAGGAGAAGGACTCAGCCTTCCGCGGCATCTGCATGATGATCGGTGTCAACCCGGGGGGCGTTGTGCAGGTTGGGGCAGCTGGGCTCTGAGGGCAGGCGCGGGCGCTGGGCTCGGGCGGCCCCTCACCTGGGATCCGTCACGTTTCAGGACTTTATTTTCTTCTGCGATGCTGTAGCCTCCTGGGTGAGCCCGAAGGATGACCTTCGGGACATGTTTTATAAGGTGAGGCTCTGTCTGGGCCCTGATCTAGTTCCGGGAGCAGGCAGGGGTGAGACCATCTGGTAACAATGGGGCCTGGGGATGGGGGAAGAGGCGCACTCCCCTTGTTCTGCCCCTGCCTACCCCTCACCACCACCCTCCCCACAGATTCTCCACGGCTTCAAAGACCAAGTTGGGGAAGATAACTGGCAGCAGTTCTCTGAGCAATTCCCGCCGCTGCTCAAGGAGAGGCTGGCGGCTTTCTATGGGGTCTAGGTGATCATGGAGACTGCCAGGTAAGGAGACTGCAGCTGGCAAGTCAGCACTGTCTTGGGGGCCGAAAGGTCCCAGGCCATGACCTTCCTCCTCCCCCTGCAGGTTTCTGTCTGCGTCGTCGTCGGAGGGATTACTGGGGAGTGCGCTGCATCCGGAAGTCGCTGTGCCCTGGTTGAGGGGGGTTAGGGAGGAGTGAGTGGGACTCAAATCCAGATGCCTTCCCCGTCCGTCCGTCCGTCCGTCCATCCGTCCACTTGCCCTCCTGGCAGGTGGGTGGGGCCACCATGCTCATCCTACAAACGGGGAGGTGGGGGGGACTTCTGGTGGGCAAGGGCCCCTGGGCTCTAATAGGGTCATCTCTGGCAGCCCACTTGGGCCAGCTACGTGGGAGGGAGGAATTACACAGCTGACCGAATCCGGCTTCGGATGAGGTGAGGGAGGAGCAGGTCAGGAGGGGGGCCCTCGTAGGGACGCGTACACTCACACGGACACACATGGCCACACGCATGTGCGGGTGCCATAACCGGCGAGGCTGGGCCAGCCGCTCCACCATTTCCCCGACTGCATGGAGACAGTAGAATTAGTGAACCCCTGAGTTAACCCGTAAGGCCTTCCGTGTAACCTGCATCTAGAGTTTAAGAAGCTTCTGCTGTTTTGCCGGAATTGGCGGTGACTGGGGAGGGCTGGGTGGGTGGGGGGCCTCAGGCGGGATCTCGGGGCGGGGGGAGGAGGATGGTGACCTTGGGAGTCGCCCTGTCAGCACGCACATGCTTGGGACCCACTCCACACACTCCCTGCCAGCTTTGTTGCAGCCTCAGCTGGTGGTGTCTCCGTCCTTATCCTAGCCTAGCTCGCAGGGTGAGAACCACTGGAGTGGCTGGGGCTGGCCAGAGGTCACCGTTTCTCCTTCCTGTGTGCTCCAGTGGCTTTTGAAGACACTGGGTTGGGACCTTTTTCCTGAAGAGAGCTGGGTGTAGCCAGAGCTACTGGCACCTACCCCGAGCATCTCTCTCTGTAAGCAGCTTCAGGGGCAGTCCGTTTCTCTGTGCTTCTGAAACCCCCTTCTCACGTTTCAGGCCCCAGTTTTAACTCAAGGCCTGGGGCAGGGGCGTTTAATTGATGATGACAGAGGACACAGGTTTTTGCCAGCAAAAAGGAAAACCAAGGCTTGGTGGAAGGGAAAGGTGGTGTGTCCCCTGTTCCCTATTCCATCTCCCTGGGACTTCCTGCTCATCATAGTACCCAGTGAGCCCAGAGATCCTACTAGACTGGGTCAGCAATTCTAGAGAACCTTCCGGAATAGTCTGGGAACATGGTCAAGGTGGAAGGGGCTCCCCTAGAGAGGGTGGGGGTGTAGTTACTTCCCAGTTGGCCAGAAAACTGGGCCTTGCAGACCCCCTTAGCATTTTTTCCCTTTTTTTCCTTCCCTGCTTTCTACTTCTTTGGGGAGCCCCTTGTGTTTTGGAGTCTGACTGGAGTCTCGCATCCTGGGGCCTGCTCCATCCATCCCTCCTGGGCGCCAGACCCTCCATCCAAGCCCTGTGTCTTTCCATAGTCAGGGTCAGGCCCTGCATCTATTCCAAGGGGCACTCAGTACACATTCCATAAATTAGCTGGGTGTCCCTGCACGCCCACCCCATGAAACTCGAGCAGGTCTCTGGAAGCCATTTGTTAAAAAAAAAAAAAAAAGTTTTAAAAATACCTTTTAATTTTCTGGTAATTCCAGTTCTTTGAAGCATCCTCTGCTGGGTCTTGGGGTGTGTGGATGGATTGGCTGTCTGATGGGATTGGTAACCCCTCGCTACTCAAGATGGGGGGATACAAACACCTTCAGGGAAGGGGAGCCTGGTTCTTCTCGTTTTCCTTTTTTTTTTTTTTTTTAAAAAAAAACTATTTAATTTTTTAATTTATTTTTGGTTGTTTTTTGCACAATGAAGTTTCAGCTTCTCAACCTTCTCCCCTACCCAGGGCTGTGGACCCAGACTGGCCTTGAGCCACAGTCCCTCTTTCCCTCCTCACCCTCTTCCCCCTGCGGGCTCCCGGGTCTGTCCATTTGTTACTGTGCTGTGCTGGGGATTGGCGCCGAGGTGGCGTGAGATTCCACTTGTGTAGAACTTTGTTGAGTAAAGATCAGTTTCTTGTGAACTCCTTAGTCTGTGGCTTCCTGTGTCCTTGGCTTTGGTAGTGAAGAAATGTCGGGGGCACCGGGGATACTTGAGAGTGGGAAGATAGACGAATGTGAAAGATGGAAGATTAAATTTGTAACATATATGAAATGTGCAGCTCATTCTCTGGGACTTCAGCTCACTAAGGGTGAGCCATTAGTGTCACAGCCCAGGTTCAAGATGCCCCTCTGCCGTACTCTAAACTGAGTGGTAAGGGGTGAGGCCTTGCCGCACTCTTATCATCAGCTGACCCTGGGTCAAGGTTTTCATAGAAGGTTCAGCCCAGCCCCAGGCCGAGGGTAATTTAATTAATATTAGTTACAATTACTCAGGCAAATGAGAAGTAGTTTCAGCTGTGGGGGGAAACCACAATCTTCAGAATAAAATCTTTCTTTTTTTTGAGACCGGGTCTTGCTCCGTCACCCAGGCTGGAGTGCAGTGGCGCAATCATGGCTCAGTGCAACCTCAACCTCCCTGGCTCAACCAGTCCTCCCACCTCAGCCACCCAAGTAGCTGGGACTACAGGTGCATGCCACCATGCTGGCTAATTTTTGTATTTTTTGTAGAGGGGGTTTTCGCTATGTTGCTGAGGCTGGTCTTGAACTCCTGGGCTCAAGCAATCCACCTACTTTAGCCTCCCAAAGTGCTGGGATTACAGGTGTGGGCCACCGCCCCCAGCCAAAATAAAATCTTACTGCAACCTTGGTGTGGCCCAAAGACCAACGTGGGAAAATTTAAAAATACTGACACACATCCAATATTCAACAAATAAGTCCTGCATTCTAGTGAGAGGATAGAGTATAAAAAGTGGAACTGTGCTAAGTCCTATAGAGAAAAACAGGAAGGCAGAGAGAATGGTGGGGGAAACGGTTGAAATCTTATGTAGGGTGACCTGCAAAGGCCACACTGAGAAGACGATGTTTGAACAGAGCCATGGAGAGAAGAGTGTCAAGTAGAGCAAACAGCAAGGACTGCGCAGATGACCTACGTGGATTGGTTAGCTGCCTGGCTCAAAAGAGGCTTGCAGTAAATACCTGCAGTTTTTTTGTTTGAGACGGAGTTTTGCTCTTGTTGCCCAAGCTGGAGTGCAATGATGCCATCTCGGCTCACTGCAACCTCCGCCTCCCAGGCTCAAGTGATTCTCCTGCCTCAGCCTCTGAGCAGCTGAGATTACAGGTGCCTGCCACCACACCCGGCCAATTCTTTGTATTTTTAGTAGGAAGGGGTTTCACCTTGTTGGCCAGGCTGGTCTTGAACTCCTGACCTCAAGTGATTAACCCACCTTGCCTCTCGAAGTGGTGGGATTACAGGCCTGAGCCACCGCACCCGGCCAACATGCTGTTTTAGTAAGTGTGATGTTAGGCCGGGCGCAGTGGCTCACGCCTGTCATCCCATCACTTCGGGAGGCTGAGGCGGGCGGATCACGAGGTCAGGAGTTTGAGACCAGCCTGGCCAACATAGTGCGACCCCGTCTCTACTGAAAAATACAAAAATTAGCCAGGAGTGGTGGCGCGTGCCTGTATTCCCAGCTACTCTAGAGGCTGAGGCAGGAGAATCGCTTGAACCCGGGAGGCGGAGGTTGCAGCCAGCCGAGATCGCGCCACTGCACACCAGCCTGGGTGACAGAGTGAGACTCCGTCTCAGAAAAAAGAAAAAGGTAGCTTTCCACCAGGCGCGATGGTTCACGCCTGTAATCCTGGTACTTTGGGAGACCAAGTTGGGGGCGGATGGCTTGAGCTCAGGAGTTCCAGACCAGCCTGGACAACGTAGTGAAACCCTGTCTTTACAAAAGAATACAAAAATTAGCCGGGTGTGGTGGTGCGCGCCTGTAGTCCCAGCTACCTGGGGGGCCGAGGTGGAGGATCACTTGAGTCCAGAAAGCGGAGGTTGCAATGAGCCAAGCACTCCGCTTGGAGGACTGAACTGCTGTCCTCCAAGGTTGGGTTGGGGAATGGGGTCTGGAGAGGTAGTTCTGAGGCCCCAGTTCCTTTCTCAAAAAAAAAAAAAAAAAAAAAAAAAGTCACTTAACTGATGCCTCTGCAGTGTAACTGCATATTTCTGGCTCTGGGAAAAGAGGCAAGAGTTCCAATCTCTACTCCTTGAACTCGGAAAGGGGCCTTTGGGTTTCTAAGCTCAGTGTCACATATAACAGATGCCTTCGTTAAAGCAGTGTTTATTTTATGTCTAATTTAAAGAGACAGGGTCTCACTATGTTGCGCAGGTTGGAGTACAGTGGCACAACCATGGCTCACTGCAGTCTCGAACTCCTGGACTCAAGGGATCCTACCCCTTCACCTTCCTGAGTATCTGGAACTACAGGCGCGCGCCACCCCGCCTGGCTTGAGTTTCGTTTTTAGCTAGAGTTGGCTGGCTCTCGGTATCGGCTAGTTTAAAAAGCGCAGAAACAGGAACCTGCATTTTCCAGCCTAAGGCCGACGCAGTTGCAAGAGACCCTGTAAGCGGGGCGATGTTCTGTATTAAGCCAGTGTCTGACTTCGTCGCTTCCGGTGGGCGCATAAACGTCATCAGACAGCGCCGGAAGTGCCCTCGTGCTGCCTAGGAGACAAGACGCGAGGCCGGCAGCGCCCACCCGGTCGCAATGGAGCTTCCCCTAGGGCGGTGCGATGATTCCCGCACCTGGGACGATGACTCGGACCCAGAGTCAGAGACAGACCCAGACGCGCAGGCCAAGGCCTACGTGGCCCGCGTTCTCAGTCCGCCAAAATCCGGGCTGGCGTTCTCGCGCCCCTCGCAGCTATCCACACCCGCCGCGTCCCCGAGCGCTTCGGAGCCTCGGGCCGCGTCCAGGGTTTCGGCCGTAAGTGAGCCGGGCCTTCTGAGCCTTCCCCCGGAGCTGCTGCTCGAGATCTGCTCCTACCTGGACGCCCGCCTCGTGCTCCACGTCCTGTCGCGGGTGTGCCACGCGCTCCGCGACCTCGTGTCTGACCATGTCACCTGGAGGCTACGCGCGCTACGCCGCGTACGCGCGCCCTACCCAGTGGTGGAAGGTGCGCGGGGCCGGGGGCCGGGGACCGGGGGCCGGGGGCGCCCGCCCAGGTCAGGCTTGGGGCGGGGAAGAGGTACATGGGGTGTTCCGGATGCAGCCTCTGGTGCAGGCTTCGTGGCTGTCCTGGCTCAGGCTGGAGGCTAAGGTAGTTACTGGTGGTGCCGAAGCCCCTGAGGACCTCTGGGTGGACCACGAGGCAGTCAGGCACTTGGGGTCCTGAGGCTGTGAAACCCTAACATGGGGCTGTGGTTCCTGGACGACTCAGGATCCAAATATCCTCAGTCTTGGGGTCTTGTGGTACTAAGCCACTGACCCCTGATTGGGGATTGACACAGGGACTTGAAGTCTTAGGCTCTGGAGTTTATGCTGGGGCTCAAAGTGAGCCCAAGGATCCTCAGGTTCTGAGTCCAGCTTAGAAGCTGAGACAGCACCTGTTGATGTCAAAACTCCTGAGCCCTAGAGCCTTGACCCAGTTAGGGGTGAGACAGTGGCTCTTGGCCCTGAGTTGATTGGTTCCTGAGGGAAGACAGCTTGGGACCTTTGAATCGATATTGTTGATCCTGATACAGCTGGATCCTCAGGCCCTTAAGCCAAGATGTATTACAGCTTGGGTGTTTGATACCCTTAACCTGGAAGCTTTGATTCTGCTTAGAGAGGAATCAGGATCACTCCGGGATCAGTGATTCTCAAGGTGTTGCCATCCAACCCCCAGGTCAGACTCTCCCAAACAGCTTAATAAACATAGATGCTTGGACCCCGTCCATATCACAGAATCTGCATCTGGGGCTTGCATTCTGCATCTTGACAAGGCTCCCTGGTTTCCAGATACTGTTTGAGAAACAGCCCCCTTGGTCTGGTTCAGATGGCTGAGGCAGGAAGGGTTAGTCATGAGGTCCCAGCTTCTATGCTGAGCCTGAGGTCAGACCTCAACATCCTGAGACTGCTCTGCCCTGAGTTTGGGTTGGGGGATGGCGCCTGGAGAGGTAGTTCTGAGACCCCAGTTCCCAATTTCTGGAAATTGGAGTGAGTAGTCCTAGACCTGCCTGGGAAATGGGCAGGCAGGTGGTCCCAAGACCACAGCCTGGGTCGGCTTGGGGTGGGAGTAGGGATCTCCATGGGGTTCTGTCCAAGTCTGGTGTAGTGTGGGCTCCCTGGAAGCCAGGGTTGGGCTTGGCCAGCTGGCATGGGTGCTAGGGTCCCTGCCCACTGGGCACCCTACTCGTGGTAACCCACAGAGAAGAACTTTGACTGGCCGGCAGCCTGCATTGCGCTGGAGCAGCACCTGTCCCGCTGGGCAGAGGATGGGCGCTGGGTCGAATACTTCTGCCTGGCCGAAGGCCACGTGGCTTCCGTTGACTCAGTGCTGCTGCTCCAGGTGAGACGGGGTCTGTGGGGGGCCAGGCAGGGTGGGCCAGGGTGGCCCTGACAACATCACCTTGCTCCCTTTCCAGGGTGGGTCACTCTGTCTGTCGGGCTCCCGAGATCGCAACGTCAACTTGTGGGACCTGCGGCAGCTGGGGACGGAGTCCAACCAGGTTCTGATCAAGACCTTAGGCACTAAGCGAAATAGTACCCATGAGGTGAGGAGTCAGGTGGGGATAGGAGGTATGAGGCCTGAGTAGGGCATCTTGGTTAAGGCCCCAGGTTTTGGTACAGGACCGCATAGATTTGAATCTGACTTTTCTAACCTTGGTGTGACTTTGAGTGAGATGTGTGACTTCTCTGTGCCTCAGTTTCTACTTCTGTCCAGTGGGTGATTAGGATGAGGATGAAGGAGATGCATTATGCATTAATGTGGACATGCATTAAGCTCAGGCTTTTTTTTTTTTTTTTTTTGAGACGGAGTCTCGTTCTGTCACCCAGGCTGGAGTGTGGCATGATCTCAGCTCACTGCAACCTCTGCTTCCCGGGTTCAAGCGGTTCTCCTGCCTCAGCCTCCTGAGTAGCTGGGACTACAGGTGCATGCCACCACACCTGTCTAATTTTTTTTTTTTTTTTTTGAGATGGAGTCTCACTCTGTTGCTAGGCTGGAGTGTAGTGATGCAATCTCGGCTCACTGCAACCTCTGCCTCCCAGGTTTAAGCAATTCTCCTGCCTCAGCCTCCTGAGTAGCTAGGACCACCATGCCCAGCTAATTTTTTTATTTTTGGTAGAGACAGGGTTTCACCATGTTGGTCAGGATGGTCTCGATCTCCAGACCTCGTGGTCTGCCCGCCTCAGCCTCCCAAAGTGCTGGGATTACAGGCATGAGTCACCTGGCCTTTATTTATTTATATTTTTATTGAGACAGAGTCTCCCTCTGTCACCCAGGCTGGAATGCAATGGCATGATCTCGGCCCACTGCAACCTCTGCCTCCGGGATTCAAGTGATTCTCCTGTCTCAGCCTCCCAAGTAACTGGGATTACAGGTGCCTGCCACCATGCCCAGCTAATTTTTTTTTTTTAATGGAATCTCACTCTGTTGCTCAGGCTATAGTGCAGTGGCACAATCTCAGCTCACTGCAACCTTGCCTCCTGAGTAGCTGGAATTATAGGCATGTGCCACCATGCCCAGCTAATTTCTTTTGTGTGTGTGTGTGTGTGTGTGTGTGTGTGTGTGTGTGTGTGTGTGTATATATATATATATATATATATATATATATATTTTTTTTTTTTTTTTTTTTTTTTTTTTTCCTTTAGTAGAGACGAGGTTTCGCCATGTTGGCCAGGCTGGTCTCAAACTCCTGGCCTCAAGTGATCTGCCTGACTCAGCCTTCCAAAATGCTAGGATTACAGGCATGAGCCACGGTGCCCAGCCAAGCTCAGGCTTTGACACACAGTAGGTGCTCAATAGACGTCAGGTACACCTTGAGAGGCCCAGTGTAAAGCAGTTATGAGACTACCCTTGGAGATCAGCCAACTCTGAGCATGACTGTCATCTCGTGAGAGGTGGCTGTGGAGGAGCATCTCCACCAGTCGCTAAGGTGGTCAGGCCGGTAGCTGAGAGCTTGGGCTTGGGGCCAGGATGCTGGGTTCAAATTCTCACTGTGCTGCTTCCTGGCTGTGTGACCTTGAGTGAGAAACTCAACCTCTCTGGGGCCCAGTTTCCCCATTTGTAAAATGAGATACACAATATTGCCCTCCTCAGCGGGATTGGTGGGCAAAAAGTCAGCATTCAGCACCCTGTGCATATTAGCTCCTGAGGCAAGGGATGTTTTCTGCCCAATTTGCTGATGAATGAACTGAGGGAGGTGATATGGTTTGCCAGGTCACAAAGTAGAGGCCACACTCTTAATCACTTGTCATGTGGCTTCAAACCACCACTGGTGCTGAGTTCTTGCAGAACTTGACTTAGAAATGTTATTGGGCCAGGGTGCAGTTAGTTGCTCAGGCCTGTAATCCTAACACTTTGGGAGGCCGAGGCAGGAGGATTGCTTGAACCCAGGAGTTCGAGACCAGCCTGGGCAACATGGGAGACCCTGACTCTACAAAAAATACCAAATAATTAGCCAGGCGTGGTGCGTGGGCACCTGTAGTCCCAGCGACTCGGGAGGCCGAGGCAGGAGAATGGCATGAACCCGGGAGGCGGAGCTTGCAGTGAGCCGAGATCATGCCACTGCACTCCAGCCTGGGCGACAGAGCGATACTATGTCTCAAAAAAAAAAAAAAGACCGGATGCAGTGGCTCACGCCTGTAATCCCAGCACTTTGGGAGGCTAAGGCAGGCGGATCATCTGAGGTCAGGAGTTCGAGACCAGCCTGACCAACATGGAGAAACCCCGGCTCTACTAAAAATACAAAATTAGCTGGCGCGGTGGCACATGCCTGTAATCCCAGCTACTAGGGAGGCTGAGGCAGGAGAATTGCTTGAACTCGGGAGGCGGAGGTTGTGGTGAGCCGAGATCGTATCATTGCACTCCAGCCTGGGCAACAGGAGCAAAACTCCATCTCAAAAAAAAAAAAAAAAAATTAGCAGAGTGTAGTGGCATGCACCTGTAGTCCCAGCTCTTTGGGAAGCTGTGGTACAAGGATTGCTTGAGCCTGGGATGTGGAGGCTGCAATAAGCCATGATCGCACCACTGCATTCATGCCTGGATGACACAGCAAGACCTTGTCTCAAAAAAAAAAAAAGAGTTCCTGGGCCAGGCACAGTGGCACATGCCTGTAATCCCAGCACTTTGGGAGGCTGAAGCGGGCGGATCACCTAAGGTCAGGAGTTTGAGACCAGCGTGGCCAACATGGTGAAACCCCGTCTCTACTAATAATACAAAAATTAGCCGGGCGTGGTGGCACAAGCGTGTAATCCCAGCTACTAGAGAGGCTGAGGCAGGAGAATCACTTGAACACGGGAGGCAGAGGTTGCAGTGAGCCAAGATCAAGCCACTGCACTCCAGCCTGGATGACAAAAGTGAAACTCCGTCTCCAAAAAAAAAAAGTTTCTGGGTGGGGTGTGCCTTTCCTGGACTCTGAAGTCAGGCTGACCCATGGACACAAACTTTAATCTGTACTCAACTTGAACTTGCTCTGGTTTCATCTATGCAATGGGGGTGATCACCTGGAGCCAGAGTTGGGTGTTGTACTTGCTGCAGCATCTATCACCATGGGCACTGGGGAGGAAGAGCTATGTGGCTTTGGGTGAGTCTCTTGACCTCTCTGAGCCTTACCTGCAAAAACAGAACGATCCCAGTCTGGGACCCCCATGGGCTGTGGCAGGTGTGTGACTGCTGCTCCTGTCCTGCAGGGCTGGGTGTGGTCACTGGCAGCGCAGGACCACCGCGTGTGCTCCGGCTCCTGGGACAGCACAGTGAAGCTCTGGGACATGGCAGCGGATGGGCAGCAGTTCGGCGAGATAAAGTGTGTGGGGGCCTGGGCAGGGGGCCTGCGGGGATAGGACCCTGTCTGGCCACAGCCAAAGCCCTGTGGTCTGTGTGTCCCTAGGGCCAGCTCAGCCGTGCTGTGCCTCTCCTACCTGCCTGACATCCTGGTGACTGGCACCTATGACAAGAAGGTGACCATCTACGACCCCAGAGGTGGGCCAAGGGTCCTGGGGCCCAGGTTGGGAGATGTCATGTTAGGGAAGGAGACACTGGGGCTTCACAGCCTGGCTGGGGTCATAGTCACTTAACCAAATACTCACCACTCAGAGTGGCCATGCTGTGCTGGTACAATACAGGCAACTTGGGCAGCGGGTGAAGGTGAAGCTTGGGCAGCCCTGGGGGCGGGTTAGAGTTCTGGCTGTCCCACTGCCTAGCTGTGTGACCTCCAGACAAGCTTGAACCTCGGTTTCCCCATCTTTGAAATCCAGATAATAATACCACAGCAGCCCCATGGGGTTAATGGGGGAAGATGATAATAGGAACAGTGGTGGATTAACTACGTTTTTTTATGCTGGATGTGGTGGCGCCTACCTGTAGTCCCAGCTACTCCAGAGGCTGAGGCAGTAGAGACAAGGTTTCACCATGTTGGCCAGGCTGGTCATGAACTCCTGACCTCAGGTGATCCACCCACCTCAGCTTCCCAAAGTGCAGGGATTACAGATGTGAGCCACCGCGCCCGGCCATTTTTCTTTTTTTTAAATGGAGAACGGGGTCTTGCCACGTTGCCCAAGGTGATCTTGAACTCCTGGGCTCGGATGATCTGCCCATATCAGCCTCCCAAAATTCTGAGATTACAGGTGTGAGCCACTGTGCCTGGCCTATTTATTCATTCTACTTTTGTTAATTGAAGGGCCAGTGTACCTTGTCCAGGCAGAGCTGGAGCGGGGCTGCGGGATAGGCATGTTTCAGGCCAACCTGAGGGTGGATGCAAGACTGAGACCACCTTGGTCAGCTCTGTGCTAAGAACAGTAGATGGGATCGGAGGAGGGATATGGGATGTGGACGGGGATGGGCAGAGGCCTGGGGCTCCTGTGGAAGCCTGGATTTACCTGAGGCGGGAGAGGAGAGATGGGTCACTCTGTGGGGTGGGGGAATGAGCAGATCGAGGGTTTTGCCAGACAGGATGGAGACCCGGGATGCTCTCATGGGCTGGGGGGGGCCTTCGAGGGGCTCTGATATCCCTCCTCACCGGCCCATCACCCATGAAGCCGGCCCAGCCCTGTTGAAGCACCAGCAACTACACTCCAGACCCGTGCTGACCCTGCTGGCGGATGACCGGCACATCATCTCAGGCAGCGAGGACCACACCCTGGTGGTGGTGGACCGCCGAGCCAACAGCGTCCTGCAGCGTCTGCAGGTGGGCCCTCCCCAGGGGCCTGGAGGGATGGGGACTGTTGCAGGCCCAGCCCGGCCTGAGCTGTCCCGTCCCTTGTCCCTCTCGTAGCTGGACTCCTACCTGCTCTGCATGTCCTACCAGGAACCCCAGCTCTGGGCTGGTGACAACCAGGGCCTGCTGCACGTCTTCGCCAACCGCAACGGCTGCTTCCAGCTTATCCGGGTCTGCTGGAGCTCCTGCCCCTGACTGTCCCTCCCCCCGGGCTTCCTTCCTACCCGAGCCCCTGGTGGTGTGGGGGAGGGCGGGCCTTGGGAGAGCCTCGACTGAGTGTTGCCTGATCCTCCTCCTGCAGTCCTTTGATGTGGGCCACAGCTTTCCCATCACTGGGATCCAGTACTCCGTGGGAGCCTTGTACACCACATCCACTGACAAGACCATCCGGGTGAGGCTCCTGCCCAGCCCCCACCCCAGGACAGTCCCTGCCTCTCCCCTACCTCCATCAGCCAGGGGCACACCTCTTGACCTCGCCCATTGCCCCTCACTAGGTGCACGTGCCCACAGACCCACCAAGGACCATTTGCACCCGAAGGCATGACAATGGGCTCAATAGGGTAAGGTCCTGCCCCATGTGCCCTGCCCAGCTGGCCAGAGCGCCATCGTCCCTGACTCCTCATGTTCCTCCCCCTTCCCAGGTCTGTGCTGAGGGCAACCTGGTGGTGGCCGGCTCTGGAGACCTGTCGCTAGAGGTCTGGAGGCTGCAGGCCTGAGCAGGTGGGCGTGGATGTGGATACTGCCTGCCGGAGGCTGGGCTTCCTCCTCTGTTCTTGGGGGACCATCCCCAATGTTGGTGCTGCCTCCGCCCCGTGGGCCTAGGGCACAAGGAGTCCCAGCCACATTCGGGTGAGCGTCCTGGCCTGGGCCCTATGCCCGGGGGAAGGGTGAAATTGGGGTTCAGGCCCACCCAGGGGGCCGCTTCCCACTCTTGGGCCCTGGTTTTGTTATGATTTGGATGCCCCGCTCTCAGTTGAGAGCGAAGGAGAAATAAACCTGACATGTTGGTGCTTGGGCCTGGAGTGTGAGTGTGGTTTGCCTGCTGGGGTTCTGCCTGTGCCTGCTTGGGGCTGTGGGGCTGCGGGCCTGCATGGGAGTGACTGGGAGAGATAGCAAGTCTGGGCTGGGGGTGCATGTCAGCTGTTGCTGTGCATTTGAAGAGGGAGAGTCCTGAGGATCGTGGGCATCTGTGTCTATGATGTCACGTGTGTGTGTGATGTGTGACGCGTGTGGTGTATAGATTATGACTCAAATCCTGGCCATTTGTCTGCACGGTGGGAAAGGGTACCTGCTCAGGCTATCCCATGGGTGCTGGCGAGGGCAAGAGGGATGGCGTGCTCTCCGTCTGGGGCTCCAGGGTGTGTGTGTGCTGCTGTGGCTGTGACCCCGGGGGCAGGCAGGGAGGGAGGCTGGGCCAGGTACGCACCTGGCCCCTGCAAGCCCAAAGTCCCTCTGGTCTCCCATCTCAGCCCAGCTCAGCCATGCCCTGAGAAGTATTCACTTCATGTTTATTGAGGCCCCCTGGTTTGCCCAGGCCACAGGGTGGCATTGCCCTGGGTTCATAGGATGGCATAGGGCTTCTTCTCCTTGAAGGAGTTGGTGGCGGCCGGGATGCCCACAAGGAAGGGGTCATTCTTGGCCTGCTCCGTGCAGAACTTCAGCAGATCGGCGGCCATCTTTGGACACCTGCAGACCAACTGGTTCAGCCAGACCAGACCCAGGCATGCACCTGTCCCCTGGCCCATGTGTTCCCACCTCTTCCCGCCTCCTGCACTGGCCCCGACCCTCACCTTCACTTGGTCGATGCCTGCCTCCATCTGGAGCTGCTCCACTGCCCAGAGGGCCTGCCCAATGTCACTGTTGATGGCCACCTTGCTGGACATCTGGGTAAAGTGGGCAGGCCGTGGGCAGCAGGCCCAACCTCAGTCCCCTAGGGGGAGCCTAGGGCTGCCCGAGGGTTCCCACACCTCCTTCTATGTTCCTTGGGGGCTGCAGGATGAGGGTGGCTGCTCCTGGACCCATCAGGCCCACACACCTCGGCTAAGGGCTCCGGCCCAAGTCACCTCTGGCTGCCTGGTCCTCTGGTGGCCACCCTGCTGTGGCTCCCTCCCCAACCCAGCCTGTCCTCTTCAACCCCCTTTTCTCCCTCGGCTACCCCTGCAAAGACTTTGAAGCCAGGGCTCTCATGGAGTGAAATGTCACCAGCTGCAGCAGCAGCTGCTGCCTCGGCTGAGGGGGTCCCTGCCCCAGGAGGCCCTGTGGCTCCTCTGGTGTCATGTGTCACCTGGGTCCCTGTGGGCTAGGTGCCTTGGCTGGGGGAGTGAGGAGGCCCTGGCCTCCCCCTGGCCTGCTGGATCTCCTGCTAACTGTTCCCAACACATCTGCTTTGTCAGCCTCTGCCATCTCCAACATGCAGCCTTGCCTCTCCTCCTGTTGTCGCCACTGCTCAGGCTCAAATCTCCAATGCCTTCGTTCTTTTTTTTTTTTTTTTTTTTTTTTTTGAGAGAGAGTCTTGCTCTATCACCCATGTTGGAGTGCAGTGGTGCGATCTCAGCTCACTTTCAACCTCCACCTCCCGGGCTCAAGTGATTCTCCTGCCTCAGCCTCCTGAGTAGCTGGGATTACAGGCGTATGCTACCACACCCGGCTAATTTTTTTTTTTTTTTTTTTTTTGAGATGGTATTTCGCTCTTGTTGCCCAGGCTAGAGTGCAATAGCGTGATTTCGGCTCACTGCAACCTCCGCCTTCTGGGTTCAAGCGATTCTTCTGCCTCAGCCTCTCGAGTAGCTGGGATTACAGGCATGTGCCACCATGCTCGGCTAATTTTTTGTATTTTTAGTAGAGATGAGGTTTCACCATGTTGGTCAGGCTGGTCTTGAACTCCTGATCTCAGGTGATCCACTTGCCTCAGCCTCCCAAAGTGCTGGGATTACAGGCATGAGCCACTGCGCCCGGCCACACCTGGCTAATTTTTGTATTTTTAGTAGAGAAGGGGTTTCACCATGTTGGCCAGGCTGGTCTCGAACTCCTGACCTCAAGTGATCCACCTGCTTCGGCCTCCCAAAGTGCTGGGATTACAGGTGTGAGCCATCGTGCCTGGCCTTCTTTTCTTTTTTTAAGCCCAGGTTCTCGCTCTGTCGTCCAGGCTGGAGTGCAGTGGTACAATCATAGCTCACTGTAACTTCAAACTCCTGGGCTCAAGTGATCCTCTCAACTCAGCCTCCTGATTAGCTAGAATTATAGGCGTGAGCCACCGTGCCCTGCTAATTTATGTTTTTAACTTTTTGTAGAGATGGTTCTTACTATGTTGCCCAGGCTGGTCTTGAACTCCTGGCCTCAAACGATCCTCTTGCCTTGGCCTTCCAAAGGAATTATAGGCATAAGCCACTGAGCCCTGCCCCGAGATTCTAATATGTGCCCAGCACTGTGCAAAAACCCAAATTAGCAATGAAACAAGACAAAACCTTGCCCTCATGGAGCTGCCTTTCTAGTTAGGCAGGGATGGACAACAGAAAATGTACTCAGTGAAAGAGTATACATGTGAAAGGGCATATGAAAGAAGAATAAAATCAAAGTAAAGGGGAGAGGAGTGGTCAGGGCAGGCCTCTCAGAGGAGGTGACATTTGAACTTAGGCCCAAAGGAGGAGAAGGAACTGAGAAATGGGGTGTTCTAGGCAGAAGGAGCGGCAAGTACCTGACTCCTTGGACAAAAAAGAGCTTGGTGGGTTCCAGGAATAGCAAAGAGGTCTGTGTAGCTGGAGAGGAGAGAGGGAGGGAGGGCCAGCATGGTGGGAGATGGCAGCAGGGAGGTTGAGAGGTGCCCTTTAAGGCCACTGTGAAAAGCTTGGATTTTACTCCCAGGGGGAAGCTACCATTAGGAGGTTTTAACAGTGACATGTTTGATTTATGGTTAAAGAGCTGTGGCATGCACCTGTAGTCCCAGCTACTGGGGAGGCTGAAGTGGGAGGATCACTTGAGGCCAGGAGGTCGAAGCTGCAGTGAGGTGTGATTGTCCCACTGCACTCCAGCCCTGGTGACAGAGTGAGACCCTGCATCAAAAAAAAAAGCTCAGCGGCTGGGCACGGTGGCTCATGCCTGTAATCCCAGCACTTTGGGAGGCTGAGGTGGGCGGATCACGAGGTCAGGAGATCAAGACCATCCTGGCTAACATGGTGAAACCCCGTCTCTACTAAAAATACAAAAAATTAGCTGGGCGTGTGGCGGGCGCCTGTAGTCCCAGCTACTTGGGAGGCTGAGGCAGGAGACTGGCGTGAACCCGGGAGGTGGAGCTTGTAGTGAGCCGAAATCACACCACTACACTCCAGCCTGGGCGACAGAGCAAGACTCCGTCTCAAAAAAAAAAAAAAAAAAAAAAAAGCTCTCTGATTTTAGCTGTTAGGTGGGAGATGGGTTGGAGGATACCAAAGCCAGCTTGCAGGCTATGGGGATAAAGAAAACACCTGGATTTCGGACCTACTTTATAGGTAGAGGTTGGCAGACATGCTGAGAAGGATGGATGTGGGGTGTGAGAAAAGGGGAGACAGCAAGCTGCGCTCCTCATTTTTAATTTTTATTTATCTATTTTTGAGACGGAGTTTCGCTCTGTTGCCCAGGCTGGAGTGCAGTGGCACCATCTCAGCTCACTGCAACCTCCACCTCCCGGGTTCAAGTGATTCTCCTGCCTCAGCCTCCTGAGTAGCTGGGATTATGGGTGTGCGCCACCACACCCGGCTAATTTTTGTATTTTTTAGTAGAGACGGGGTTTCGCCATGTTGTCCAGGCTGGTCTCTAACTCCTAACCTCAGGTGATCTGCCCTCCTTGGCATCCCAAAGTGCTGGGATTACAGGTGTGAGCCACCGCGCCCAGCCCCAATCCCTATTTTTCAGTCTAGTGGATGAGTGGAGGGTGGGGCCGTTTGCTGAGATGCAGAAAGATCAGGGATAGGTGGAGAGGGAGCTGAGGGGGCAACTTTGAGGTCCAAGCGAGGATGTCAAGGAGGATGTCTGTCTCCTCCAACAAGGTAGGCTCATTCCAGCCTCACGGCTTTTGCTGTTCTGTCTTCCCATGTGCAGGAAATGGCCTCTCTGCATCTTCACATACGGGGATTTTCTCAGCCTTCTGGCTTTGGCTCAAATCTCACCTCCTTGGCGTCCTTCACCCATCCCTCCAACTAAAATCCCGAACTCCTCCACCTAAAGACTCAAATTATCCTGTTTAAATCCTGATTGCGCTGGGCGCGGTGGCTCACACCTGTAATCCCAGCACTTTGGGAGGCCGAGGCAGGCAGATCACCTGAGGTCAGGAGTTCGAGACTAGCCTGACCAACATAGTGAAACCCCATCTCTACTAAAAATACAAGAATTAGCCGGGCGTGATGGCTCATGCCTGTAATCCCAGCTACTCGGGAGGCTGAGGCAGGAGAATTGCTTGAAACTGGGAGGCAGAGGTTGCGATGAGTGGAGATCGCGCCATTGCACTCCAGCCTGGGCAACAAGAGCGAAACTCTGTCTCCAAAAAAAACAAAAAACAAAAAAGGCCTGATAGCACTCACCACTATTGTTAACTTTCTATCTTCCCAATCAGATTGTGGGCTCCAGTAGGGCAGGGTCCACATCTTGGTCTTGTTCACCACTAAATCCTTAGTGCCTAGCACGGAGCCCACCATAGAGAATAGACTACATGAATTGTAGAGTGAGTGAATAATCCTGTTGGCCGTATGCACTGTTAGGAGGGTGTGTTTGAGATACAGATGACACCCAGGGTCTCACATTCTTGCAGGAGGGAAAGAGACGTCAGCCCTGGGTCCCAGAAGAGGCCACTGACCCAGTGGGAGTTCAGGGAAGGCTTCCCAGAGGAGGTGGAGGTGACAGCTGCAGCTATAAGGGAAGGAAGAACAGAGCGTTATGCAGCATGTGAAGGCTTTGGAGACTTGTGAGGGCACGAACCGGGCTCACTATCCCATTAGACAAAAGTGGCTGAGGAAGGATGAAACTGTGTCTAACTCTGCCTGGTGACCGAAATCTTGTCCATGGGTGACGCTTAAGAAGTGACCCTCGGCCGGGCGCAGTGGCTCACGCCTGTAATCCTGGCACTTTGGGAGGCCAAGGCGGGCGGGTCACGAGTTCAGGAGATCGAGACCATCCTGGCTAACACGGTGAAACCCCATCTCTACTAAAAACAGAAAAAATTAGCCGGGTGTGGTGGCGGGCACCTGTAGTCCCAGTTACTCGGGAGGCTGAGGCAGGAGAATGGCATGAACCTGGGAGGCAGAGCTTGCAGTGAGCCGAGATTGCGCCACTGCACTCCAGCCTGGGCGACAGAGCGAGACTCTGTCTCAAAAAAAAAAAAAAAAAAAAAAGTGACCCTCATAAAAAAATTAGCTGGGCACGATGGTGCACACTAGTCGGAATGCTGGGGTGGGAGGATGACCTGAGTCCGGGAGTCAGAGGTTGCAGTGGGCCGAGATCGCGTCACAGCACTCCAGCCTGGCGACAGAGTGAGACCCTATCAAAAAATAGCAGCAGGCCAGGCGCGGTGGCTCATGCCTGTAATCCCAGCACTTTGGGAGGCTGAGGCGGGCGGATCACGAGGTCAGGAGATCGAGACTACCCTGGCTAACACGGTGAAACCCCGTCTCTACTAAAAATACAAAATATTAGCCGGGCGTGGTGGCCGGCGCCTGTAGTCCCAGTTACTGGGGAGGCTGAGGCAGAAGAATGGCGTGAACCTGGGAGGCGGAGGTTGCAGTGAGCCGAGATCGTGCCACTGCACTCCAGCCTGGGAGACAGCGCAAGACTCTAGCTCAAACAAACAAACAAACAAAACAGCAACAACAACAACAAAACCATCCTCCCCTCCCGAGGGGACAGAACAGAAACGAATGGGCGAGTGCCGGGCCAAGCAGTGGGTCTCCAGCAGGTGGCATTAAAATAGGAATTTTGGCTGGGGACGGTGGCTCACACCTGTAATCTCAGCACTTTGGAAAGCCCAGGCGGGCGGTCACCTGAGGGCAGAACCAGCCTCGCCAACATGGTGAAATGCCATCTCTACTAAAAATAAAAAATTAGCCAGGCCTGGTGGTGGGTGTCTGTAATCCCAGCAACTCGGGAGGCTGAGGCAGGAGAATCGCTTGAACCAGGGGGGCAGAGGTTGCAATGAGTCAAGATTGCACCACCGCACTCCAGCCTGCGTAACAAGAGCGTGTAACTCTTGTCTCAAAAATAAATTAAATAAATAAATAATAAAAATAAAAAAGAATCTTCATTCATGGGAAGTCGAGAACACATGAAAACAAGTAAAGGCCGAAGCGCAGTGGCTCACGCCTGTAATCCCAGCACTTTGGGAGGCTGAGGCGGGCGGATAACCTGAGGTCGGAAGTTCGAGACCAGCCTGACCAACAGGGAGAAACCCCGCCTCTACTAAAAATACAAAATTAGCCGGGCATGGCGGTGCATGCCAGTAGTCCCAGCTACTCGGGAGGCTGAGGCAGGAGAATCGCTTGAACCCGGAATGTGGAGGTTGTGGTGAGCTGAGATCGGGCAATTGCACTCCAGCCTGGGCAACAAGAGCGAAACCCTGTATCAAAAAAAAAAAAAAGAAAAAAAAAGGAAGAAAAGGCCTAAAGGCGCCGGGCGCGGTGGGTCACGCCTGTAATCCCAGCACTTTGGGAGGCCGAGGCGGGCGAATCACGAGGTCAGGAGATCGAGACCAGGTGAAACCCCGTCTCTACTAAAAATACAAAAAAATTAGCCGGGCGTGGTGGTGGGCGCCTGTAGTCCCAGCTACTCGGGAGGCTGAGGCAGGAGAACAGCGTGAACCCGGAAAGCGGAGCTGGCAGTGAGCTGAGATCGCGCCACTGCACTCCAGCCTGGGTGACAGAGCGAGACTCCGTCTCAAAAAAAAAAAAAAAAAAAAAAAGAAAGAAAGGGCCTAAAGGCTCCTCGCGGCTTCCGTATTACGGAACACACGCACAAAAATGGCGGCGACCTGGTTTACAGGGGCTAAAAATGGTCACGTGATAAACCAACTTCCGGTCTTTCGCCCAAAGCACGTTCCCTACTTCCTGTGCTCTTGCGGAGACGCGCGCGTCGGGGTTTAACGCGTTTCTGGGCCGCCGTAAGCCCGGCCTAGGGGCAGCTTTGACTCGAGAGCCGGCTATAGGCGCATGGAAGGTTCCCTGGAACGGGAGGCGCCAGCGGGGGCGCTGGCCGCCGTGCTAAAGCACAGCTCGACGTTGCCGCCCGAAAGCACCCAGGTCCGGGGCTACGACTTCAACCGCGGTGTGAATTACCGCGCACTGCTGGAGGCCTTCGGCACCACCGGCTTCCAAGCAACCAACTTCGGGCGCGCTGTACAGCAAGTCAATGCCATGGTGAGGACCGGGCGGAATTTCTAGGGACGCGGAGGGGCGTGGCTTGTAGAACCAACGCGGTACTAGACGGGGGCAGCGTTTCCAGTGGAGGGGATATGTCTTTTATTTGAGTTGCCCAATAGTTGGAGGAAGGCGGGACCTATTCTGGGCGGGAGTTTCTGTCCTGGGAAGGGGATTTTGCACTCTGGTAGTTACATGCTGGTACGGTAACCTGAGGAGGCGAGGACTGATTCTTGGTGTGGGGGCGGGTTCTAGGTACATTTAAAGCTTTCTGGAATGGGCGGAGCCTGGGGCAAGACAAATTAAGGGAGGATATGGGAGGAGGAGCCTAAGTCTGGGCGGTTCTTGAATTTAGATTTGCTTTTCCCAGCGGGGAAGGGACCGGATCTGAAAGGAGATGCTCTCTGATTCCTAAAAGGGTGGGGGCTGGCTGGGCGCGGTGGCGCATGCCTATAATCCCAGCATTTTGGGAAGCCGAGGCGGGTGGATCAAGAGAAGAGGAGTTCGAGACAAGCCTGGCCAACATGGTGAAACCCTGTCTCTACTAAAATGCAAAAAATTAGCCGGGCATGGTGTTGCGCGCCTGTAGTCCCAGCTACTCGGGAGGCTGAGGCAGGAGAATCGCTTGAACCCGCGAGGTGGAGGTTGCAGTGAGCTGAGATTGCGCCACTGCACTCCAGCCTGGTGACAGAGCGATACTCTGTCTCAAAAAAAAAAAAAAAAAAAGGCCGGGCACGGTGGCTCATGCCTGTAATCTCAGCATTTTGGGAGGCCGAGGCGGGCGGATCACCTGAGGTCGGGAGTTCGAGACCAGCCTGACCAACATGGAGAAACCCCGTCTCTACTAAAATGCAAAAAATTAGCCGGGCATGGTGGTGCGCGCCTGTAGTCCCAGCTACTCGGGAGGCTGAGGCAGGAGAATCGCTTGAACCCGGGAGGTGGAGCTTGCAGTGAGCCGAGATCGCGCCATTGCACTCTAGCCTGGGTAACAAGAGTGAAACTCCGTCCAAAAAAAAAAAAAAAAGGGTGGGGGCAAATCCTGAACGTGTGTCTTGAGATCTGGTCTGGGAAGGGGCAGAGTTTACACAGGAGATGTTCCTTGGTCCCCTGTAGAACTGGTCCTGTATCCCTGAATGTGCAGGGCCTGGGGTGAAATCTGTTTCTGGAGCCCACCTGGAGTCCTGAGTCTGGGATTTAAGGCCAGTGCTTAACTTGACTTGGCCCTTACTCACAGATCGAGAAGAAGCTGGAACCACTGTCACAGGATGAAGACCAGCACGCGGACCTGACCCAGAGCCGCCGCCCACTTACCAGCTGCACCATTTTCCTGGGATATACATCCAACCTCATCAGTTCAGGCATCCGTGAGACCATTCGCTACCTTGTGCAGCACAACATGGTGGGGACCTGGTGAGGCCGTGGCCTTGGCCTCTGGGTCAATGGGCAATGCAGTTATTGATCGTTTAAGTGAGATGGGCAGATAGGGGTCTGTTATAAGCAGAGGAATAGAATCAAGTTTTGTTTTGTAGCAGAGCTCCCTCATAAGAGTCACTGGACAAGGATGAGGTTAGAAGTTCTGCCCAGAATGAGGGCAGGGGCTTCCTTCTTGGGCCAAATTCACTGCCTTGTGGCTGCAGGTGGACGTATTGGTGACCACAGCTGGCGGCGTGGAGGAAGACCTCATCAAGTGCCTGGCGCCCACATACTTGGGCGAGTTTAGCCTCAGGGGGAAGGAGCTCCGGGAGAACGGGATCAATAGGTGAGAACCCTGAGTGGTGTTGGGCAGGGGAGCTGGACCAAGGGTCCTGGGGCCTGATGCCTACATGCCTCCTGTTCTCAGGATCGGAAACCTGCTGGTGCCCAATGAGAATTACTGCAAGTTTGAGGACTGGCTGATGCCCATTCTGGACCAGATGGTGATGGAGCAGAACACAGAGGTGGGGCTGGGGCAACCTGGAGGGGCCAGTTCAGTGGGAGTCAGGGGAGGCATGGCCTGAAGGTCACATCCTCTCCTAGGGTGTAAAGTGGACGCCTTCTAAGATGATCGCCCGGCTGGGCAAGGAGATCAACAACCCAGAGTCCGTGTATTACTGGGCCCAGAAGGTGAGGACCTAAGCGGGAGCAAAGTAGCCAGACTTTGGCATGTGTTAACTTATTTCATCTTTCCAGCCTCCTGGGGATTCAGTACTGTTATTCTCAGCATCCTCACTCTTAGATGAGGAGACTCAAACACAGATAGGCGTGGTAATTTTTTTTTTTTTTGAGACAGGATCTTGCTCTGTCACCTAGGCTGGAGTGCAGTGGTGTGATCACAGCTCATTGCAGCCTCAACCTCCTGGGGCCAAGCAGTCCTCCCACCTCAGCCTCTCGAGTAGCTGGGACCACAGGCACATGCCATCATGCCCAGCTAATTTTAAAAATTTTTTGTAGAGATGGGGGTCTCCCTGTGTTTCCCAGGCTGGTCTTGAACTCCTGGCGTCAGGCAGTCCTCCCACCTTGGCCTCCCAAAGTGCTGGGATTACAGGCGTGAGCCACTGTGCCCAGCCAGGCTAGGTAATTTTGTCTGAAGTCACACAGATAACTAGTGGGGCCTCAGCATCCTTATGCTCCTCCCAGACTATCTCTGGAACAGTAGAGGCAACACTTAGCAACTCTCCTGGGGCCTGGCTCAGGGTCCCACACTCCCAGATGCTATAAAATAAGAGCTACCCACTCCCTTTAATTAGAGAATCAGAACCTGAAAAAAAAAAAAAAAAAGCTACATAGTCTTTTTTTTTTTTTTTTTTTTTTTGAGACAGAGTCTTGCTCTGTCGCCCAGGCTGGAGTGTAATGGTGTGATTTCAGCTCACTGCACCCTCCACCTCCCAGGTTCAAGTGATTCTCCCGCCTCACCCTCCTGAGTAGCTGGGACTATAGGCACCCACCATCATGCCCGGCCAATTTTTGTATTTTTCTACAGATGGGGTTTCACCATGTTGGCCAGGCTGGTCTTGAACTCCTGACCTCAAGTGATCCACCCGCCTTGGCCTCCCAAAGTGCTGGGATTACAGGGGTGAGCCACCACACCCAGCCTACTTACTCTTTCTTTTTTACGAGACAGGGTCTCATTCTGTTTCCCAGGCTGGAGTGCAATGGCACAATAATGGCTCACTGCTGTCTTGAGCTTCTGGGCTCAGTCGATTCTCCTGCCTCAGCCTGCTGAGTAGCTGGGACTACAGGTGCGTGCCACCATGCCTGGCTAATTGTTTTTGTAGAGATGGGAACTCACCATGTTGCACAAGCTGGCTCTTTTTTTTTTTTTGAGACGGAGTTTTGCTCTTGTTACCCAGGCCAGAGTCCAATGGCGCAATCTTGGCTCACAGCAACCTCTACCTCCTGGGTTCAAGCAATTCTCCTGCCTCAGCATCAAGTTCCCAAGTAGCTGGGATTATAGGCATGTGCCACCACCCCTGGCTAATTTTGTATTTTTAGTAGAGGCAGGGTTTCTCCATGTTGGTCAGGCTGGTGTCGAGCTCCTGACCTCAGGTGATCCACCCGCCTCGGCCTCCCAAAGTGCTGGGATTACAAGCGTGAGCCACCGCGCCCGGCCACAAGCTGGCTCTTTAAAAAAGAATTAGACGGCCGGGCACGGTGGCTCATGCTTGTAATCCCAGTACTTTGGGGGCTGAGGCGGGTGGATCACCTGAAGTCAGGAGTTCAAGACCAGCCTGGCCAACATGGTGGAACCCTGTCTCTACTAAAAAAACAAAATGCAAAATTAGCTGGGCATAGTGGCATGCGCCTGTAATCCTAGCTACTCGGGAGGCTGAAGCAGGAGAATCACTGGAACCCAGGAGGCAGAGGTTGCAGTGAGCTGAGATAGTGCCATTGCACTCCAGCCTGGGCAACGAGTGAAACTCCGTCTCAGGGAATAAAAAAAAAGAGAGAGAAACAGCTCAGCAAGCTAAGAATAGGCTGGTTCTTTATGTGCCAGGCACTATACTAAGTGTTTTCTGTGGGTTTTCTCATATAGGCCTCATCTGTGAGAGGTGTTTCTGTTATGCTTATAATTGAGGAAACAGTCCTAGAGAAATTAGGCACCCCATCCACAGTCAGATAGTCATATAGCCAGCATGGAGACGAGGCTCTGAGCTCCAGCCACTGTCCTGTCATGTTCTCTGCAGAACCACATCCCTGTGTTTAGTCCCGCACTTACAGACGGCTCGCTGGGCGACATGATCTTCTTCCATTCCTACAAGAACCCGGGCCTGGTCCTGGACATCGTTGAGGGTGAGGCGCTAGGGCCACAGAGGAGAGGGGAAGGAGGGCTGGCTGAGTCCAAGGCCTGACTTCGGCGCTCTTCCCCCAGACCTGAGGCTCATCAACACACAGGCCATCTTTGCCAAGTGCACTGGGATGATCATTCTGGGCGGGGGCGTGGTCAAGCACCACATTGCCAATGCCAACCTCATGGTGAGTGGGGGTGGCGCTTCGGCCCACTCTGCAGACATGCTGTGTGGTGGGCCTATGCCATGTGCTGGGTAGACAGCATGAACTAGACAGGCCAGGATCCCTGCTCCCCGGGACTGATGTTCTAGTAGGGGAGATAGCAAACAAGTGACATCCACGTCAGGGGGCAGTCATTGCTACGGGGAATACTAAATGATGGCATGAGAAGAGAAAGGGGTGCTGTCCAACAAGAGGTTTTGGAAGGAGGCTTCTGGAAGTGTGAGCTGGGAGCAGGGGTTTGGGGAGGCATCTCCCAGGAGCTATGTGGTTGTCTCCCGTGCCAGGAGTTTGTGCTGCTGTACTAGCATTGAGCTTCTGGATTGCAAAGTTCCCAGGAGAGGGAACAGCCATTGCAAAGGCTCTGGGGCGCCTGAAGTAATCCAGGAACAGCTGGGTACCTGGTGAGGGGAAGGTGGAGTGGTGAGGGCCAGGAGGTGATGCAGGGAGGTGCCACAGGGAGCCTGCTGGGCCCTGTGGGCTGAGGCGGGGCTTTGGCTTTTGCACTGAGAGAAGTGGGAGAGGACTTGACTCGGGTTCCCATGCTCCCCCTGGTGGCCATGTGGTGAACAGATGGTGGCAGGTGAGTGAGAACTCCAGTCCAGGACAGTGGTGACCATGCAGGGATCAGGAGGCAGGCGGTGGTTGGATTTGGAGGGCTTCTGAAGATAGAGTTGCTGGCAGCTCCTGCCTTGCAGATGGGGCAGGGTTGTTGACACCTGGCTGTTGGGTCTGGGGAAACACAGCCATCGTTGCCCAGCAGCTCTAGTGACCCCAGACATTGACATGGGCCCTGTCTGGGAGCGAATGTCTGTGAAGGGCTTCCTTCATCTGGGACACACCTCTCAGCCTGTTTGGCTACGGTGTCCTCCCTCTGTGTCTGTCTCCTGTGACTGGCTGACTGGGCCCACCGTGCCCCCGCCTCCCCACAGCGGAACGGGGCCGACTACGCTGTTTACATCAACACAGCCCAGGAGTTTGATGGCTCTGACTCAGGTGCCCGACCAGACGAGGCTGTCTCCTGGGGCAAGATCCGGGTGGATGCACAGCCCGTCAAGGTAAGCGCTGGCTGGGTGGGGCATAGGGTCTCTGGGACGATGAGTGTGGGTCCCATGGCTTACCCAGGTTCCCCCCTACCCAGGTCTATGCTGACGCCTCCCTGGTCTTCCCCCTGCTTGTGGCTGAAACCTTTGCCCAGAAGATGGATGCCTTCATGCATGAGAAGAACGAGGACTGAGCGGCTGCGGTCCCAGGAAGGTCTTACCCCCTCTTCTATTTATTAATTTGCAGACCCAGCCCCTCCCCTACTTTTTGGTCAGCTACGTCTCTAGAATAAGATGGTATCTGAAGTCCTTCCATGTCTGTGTCTCGGTCCTTGGTCCTGTTGGTGGGTCCCCTGGCTTCAGCCTGCTCCATCCTCTGCCTCATAGGCCTCCTCTCGCCAGCACTGGACGCTGCCTCCCATGGCGGTCAGCAGGCAGGGCTCTGTTGGGTGGTAGGCCAGCGACTGCACCACACCGGAACCCACAGGCAGGGCCAGAGCCAGCGCACCCTGTGGAGCGAGGGGTAGGGAGTGGTTATCTGTGGCTGGGCTGTACCCTGGTTTCTGAGGTCCCTGGGCACCCCCCATCTCAGTCCTGCCTGAAGCCCTCAGTCACCTCTCCCCGACCTTCAGCCACCTGCCTCTAATTGCCTCCTAGACACTGCAAAATTAATCTACCTCAGACTGAGCCCCTCAGTAGCTCTGTCCTACCAGGTGTTCAGGCCGCAAGTCTTGGGAGCCTCTTATTGATTTTTTATTTTTTAAAATAGCAGAGATGGGGTCTTACCATGTTGCCCAGGCTGGTCTCGAACTCCTGGCCTCAAGTGATCCTCCTGCCTTGGCCTCCCAAAGTGCTAGGACTACAGGTGTGAGCCACCATGCCTGGCTTTGGGAGTCTTTTTCTTTTTCTGTTTTTTTTTGAGATGGAGTCTTGCTCTGTCGCCAGGCTGGAGTGCAGTGGCGCCATCTGGGCTCACTGCAACCTCCGACTCCCTAGTTCAAGCGATTCTCCTGCCTCAGCCTCCCGAGTAGGTGGGATTACAGGCACGCGCTACCATGCCCAGCTAATTTTTGTATTTTTAGTACAGATGGGGTTTCACCATGTTGGCCAGGATGATCTCTATCTCCTGACCTCGTGATCCACCCCCCTCGGCCTCCCAAAGTGCTGGGATTACAGGTGTGAACCACCATGCCTGGCCGGGAGTCTTTTTCTTGTACCACATGTTCCTCTATCAGTTATTCCTCTTGGCTCTGCTTCTAGACCATGTCCAGAGACTGCTGATTTTCTGCCACTACCATGTTTGGAGCATGCCTTGCTCACAGCTTGCCTGTTCCCTGCCACCAGCTGGGCTCCATCCTGTCCATTTGGCAGCCCCAATGATCCCCACTTCCCCTGGTCCCAACACAATGTAAACAGTTCCTCAAGCAAGCCATGCTTCCTCTTTCCACCTTGAAAATGTCCCTTGATGTGCCTGCCCTCCAAGGCAACTTCTGTTCTACTGGGCCCATAAGAAATAGGTGGAACATTCTTGCTACCTTAGTTCCTAAAGCAAGAGCTTGTCCGCCAAGTCTTCAGGGCCCCCCCGGTTCCCTCCATCCTCTTATGGGCCTTAGTTCCCCTGGCCAAGCCCAGCGCTGATGTCTCCTTTGCCGAGATTCCCCCGGCTCTGACCCCACTACACCAGGATGGTCTGTTTCTGGCCTGACTCCCCACCAGGCTGGGACATGTCAAGGACAGGGCTCAGGGCTTGAAACCATGCACAGGGATGCTAAGATGTAGCTCCAGTTTCTTGAATGACTGCAGCCCTATCTCACCCAAGGTTAGACATGGCCGTCGGCTCCCCCTTGCCCAGGGGTCAGTGCCAGTTGCTCGGCCTGGCATCTGCAGCCCAGCCTGACCCCGGATCTTGCCGCACCTGCCGCCACCCTGAAGCCTTTGTTTCCTGACTGATGCATGCGCAGGCTACACCTCTTAACATATGCTGTTCCCTTTGCCTGGAATGCCCTTCCTGCCTCATCTTCTCTCTAGCCCAAGCTGGGCACGGTGTCTCAGGCCTGTAATCCCAGCACTTTGGGAGGCCGAGGCGGGTGAATCACTTGAGGTCAGGAGTTTGAGACCAGCCTGGCCAACATGGTGAAACCCTGTCTCTACTAAAAATACAAAAATTAGCCAGGTATGGTGGTAGGGGCCTGTAATCCCAGCTACTCAGGAGGCTGAGACATGAGAATCACCTGAACCCTGGGGGGAAGAGGTTGCAGTGAGCTGAGATGGCGCCACTGCATTTGCCTGGGCAATAGTCTCAAAAAAAGAAAAAAGGGCCGGGTGTGGTGGCTTACGCCTGTAATCCTAGCACTTGGGAAGGCTGAGGTGGGTGGATCATGAGGTCAGGAGTTTAAGACCAGCCTGACCAACATAGTGAAACCCTGTCTCTACTAAAAATACAAAAATTAGCTGGGTGTGGTGGCACGCACCTATAATCCCAACTACTCAGGAGACTGAGGCAGGAGAATCGCTTGAACTTGGGAGGCGGAGTTTACAGTGAGCCAAGATTGCGCCACTGCACTCTAGCCTGGGCGACAGAGCAAGACTTGTCTCAAAAAAAAAAAAAAAAAAAAAAAAAAGATCCTAGCCTTCAGGCCCTGGAGTGACTGAGGTAAGGACAGGGCTGAGATGGGGCAGGCATCTAGGTATGAAGTAGGGCTGGGGGCACCTCACCTCCACCAGGTCCCAGAAGAACACCTTCCCGTCCTCAGAACAGCTGACCACATGTGTGTCACGCTCGCTCAGGCAGCAGTCCAGCTTGTATTCCTGGTTCTTATGGCCCTTGTACCTAAGGGTGGACAGGATCGGGGGGCTTGGTCCTCTCCAGGGGTGGGAGAGGAGGGAAGGGGATCCCCACGACCACAAGGACTCACTCGCCCAGCAGCTCCCCTGTGTCTTTGTCCAGGAGCCGCAATGTGGAGTCCAGGCTGGACACCAGGGTGCACTGCCCATCCCGGCTGAAGCAGGTGCAGGTGATGGGGCCTTGGGGGAAGGGTGGGTAGGTGAGTGAGGGTGGGGTGCCCCTGGTTGGCCCCCCATCTTCCCTGCCTGTCCCACATCCCCAGCCACACTCACTGCCCACGTAGTCTGAGAAGAGCTGCCCCATCCTTAGGTCATAGCGTCTCACGCGGCCATCCACGGAGCTGCAGGAGAGGGTAGATCCAGCGGGAACCTTGACTACACTCACATGGCTCCAGGCAGCCCTGTGCCTTCCCAGCCCAGTGGGCCTGCTCTTCCAGTGCACAGGAGTGGAATTCTGAAGCTCTGGCCTTGAGACTCAGGCCCAGGGCCAATTACGTCCTACTCCATCATTTCCAAGACCCACACCCCCTTTCCAAGCCCTTGGAGTCCTTCTGATTCCCCCTTTTCTTCCTTTTGTTTGAGACAGAGTTTTGCTCTTGTTGCTCAGGCTGGAGTGCAATGGCATGATCTTGGCTCACCGGAACCTCTGCCTCCCGGGTTCAAGAGATTCTCCTTCCTCAGCCTCCCGAGTAGATGGGAATACAGGCATGCACCACCACGCCCTGCTAATTTTGTATTTTTAGTAGAGACGGGGTTTCTCCATGTTGGTCAGGCTGGTCTCGAACTCCCAACCTCAGGTGATCCGCCCACCTCAGCCTCCCAAAGTGCTGGGATTACAGGTGTGAGCCACCCCACCTGGCCCAATTCCCCCTTTTCCTGCATTCTCCAGCTCCTCCTCCTCAGTACTCAGTCCCACCACTTTCCCCACTACCCAGCACCAGCATCTAGACTGTTCTGGTCTCCCTGCACCCCCCACAGCCACCAGAGGGAGCACTTTTCAAAGTACAGTTGACCCATGAACAACACGGTTTGAACTGAACGCGTCCACTTATATGTGGATTTTCTTCTGCCTCTATCAGCTGTGAGACACCAAGATCAATCCCTCCTCTTCCTCCTCCTCTGCTTTCTCAACACGAAGATCTTTATGACGATCTCTTCACTTCCACTTAATGAATAGAAAATATATTTTTTCCACCAGGCGCGGTGGCTCACGCCTGTGATTCCAGCTCTTTGGGAGGCCAGGGCAGGTGGATCACGAGGTCAAGAGATGGAGACCCTCCTGGCCAACATGGCGAAACCCCGTCTCTACTAAAAATACAAAAATTAGCTGGGCGTGGTGGCACGCGACTGTAGTCCCAGCTACTAGGGAGGCTGAGGCAGGAGAATCGCCTGAACCTAGAAGTTAGAGGTTGCAGTGAGCCGAGATCACGTCACTGCACTCCAGCCTGGCAACAGAGCGAGACTGCGTCTCAAAAAAAACAAAAATTCTTCCTTATGATTATTTTTATGTATTTATTTATTTAATTTATTTACTTATTTTGAGACGGAGTCTTGCTCTATCGCCCAGGAGTGTAGTGGTGCGATGTCGGCTCACAGCAAGCTCTGCCTCCTGGGTTCACTCCATTCTCCTGCCTCAGCCTCCTGAGTAGCTGGGACTACAGGCGCCTGCCACTATGCCCGGCTAATTTTTTGTATTTTTAGTAGAGACGGGGTTTCACCGTGTTAGCCAGAATGATCTCGATCTCCTGACCTCATGATCCGCCTGCCTCTGCCTCCCAAAGTGCTGGGATTACAGGCATGAGCCACAGCGCCCGGCCTATTTTTATTTATTTTTAGAAATCATTTTATCTTTTTTTTTTTGAGATGGAGTCTCACTTTGTCGCCCAGGCTGGAGTGCAGTGGCACAATCTCGGCTCACTGCAACCTCCAACTCCCGGGTTCAGGCGATTCTCCTGCCTCCGCCTCCCGAGTGGCTGGGATTACAGGCTCCCGTCACCACACCTGGCTAATTTTTGCATTTTTAGTAGAGACGGGGTTTCACCATGTTGGCCAGGCTGATCTCAACCTCCTGACCTCAAGTGATCTGCCCACCTTGGCCTCCCAAAGTGCTGGGATTACAGGTGTGAGCCACCGTGCCCGGCCAGATTATTATTATTTTGTAGACAGTCTGTCTTTCACCCAGCATGGAGTGCAATGGTGCCTCGAACTCTTGGACTCAAGTGATCCTTCCACTTCAGCCTCCCAAGTAGCTGGGATTACAGCTGTGTGCCACTGTGCCCAGCTGAGAGTAGGTTTTAATCTGAGCATGGGGGCAGCTATGATTCCCCGTAGCACCTGGGGTGAGACCAGGTCCTGGCTCCACTCACCCTGCCAGGATCTCGTGGTCTGACACCTTCACACTGGACACGCCATCTCTGGCCTCATCCAGCGTCTGCACTGGCTCAGGCCTCCGTGAGCGGCAATCCCAACAGCGGATACTGGAATCAATAGAGCCTGTGAGGCCAGCATGATGGTGAGGTCAGGTTTGGAGGGGGAGGGCAGCACCCTGGGCCCCCGTGCTTAGGCCCCAGACTCACCGGACAGGATAACTGTGGCCTCTTCATTAAACTGCACCGTGTTCACCTTCTGAGAAAGTTATTGCCACTCAGAGGAGGCTGGACTTTGGAGGACTGGGATAAAGGCAGGGTTCCCAGTGTCGGTTAAAGCAAGGGCGAAGGGGAGGTGAAAGGTTTTGGGGGAACAGCAAGGACAGGGGTTGGTGACTGCCTAGCCTGGCATGCGGAGTGGGGGATCGTCATCTGGGGAAGGGATCCTTACGGTGTAATGGGGGTGGCCGTGTCACCACCTATGCGCTAATACGGGTCCCCTCCACTCAAATGAGGGTCTCCAGGCTTTCACTCACCCCTGCGTGGCCCCGGAATTTGCGCACGACCTGCCCTGATGCCACATCCCACAGAACCACCGCCTTGTCCCCGCCGCCGGAGCAGAGACTACTGTTGTCAAAGGAGCTGGAGTAAAGGAGGAGGAGGATCAGCATCGACCTCGGATCCCAGCCTCAGCGCTCCCATCCCAGCCTGGTCCCCGGCTCACCCGGCCGCATCCAGCACCTCGTAGCCGTGGCCGCTGTACGTCCGCAGCAGCGTCCCCCGAAGCGGGTTCCACAGCTTCAGCGTCTTGTCACTGCCGCACGTCAGGCAGTAATTGCCATCCACTGGGGAACACCAGGCGGGGGTTACTGGGCCGTCGATCTCAGGAGGCGGGAGGAGGACCCGGAATGAAGACGAAGGCGCTCACCATTAAATCGTACGGCTCGCACTGCCCCCTGCCCGCAGTCCAGCGTCTTCAACCGTTTCTGCGGCAGCTCTGGAGGCCGCGGCTTTGGCTCAGGGAAAGCCATGCTCCCAGGACTCCTTCCTTGCAGCCTTAAATCGGTCTGTACGGAAAATTCCGCGCCTTAGAAACCCACGCTTGGGTGTAACCTTATTATTGTTCTTCCTGACCTACTTCCTGTTTATCACTTCCGGGTTCATCATTTTGGCATTTCGGTGATCGGGTTGGAACTATTGAAGCCCGCTTTCAGGTTCTTTTCCCCATTTTCCCTTTGAAAGGAAGACTTCTGGCTTCTCCTAAATCTCCGTTCTCTGGGTAAGGGGAGTCCAAGCCTCTGTCATGAGGAACGGAAATGCGAGGGCCTCGGGTGTTACTCTAAAATCCGCCCTCAGCTTGCACGCCGGAAGCTGCGATTCCTGCAGCGGAAGAGGCGTGATCTGGCCTTCGACTCGCTATGTCCACTAACAATATGTCGGACCCACGGAGGCCGAACAAAGTGCTGAGGTGAGGACCCCAGCGTCGTGGGCACGGGTTCGGGTTGTGGGTGTGGATCGGGGCCCTGGGAAGCGCCTGTCTATCCCGGGGGCAGGACCTGAGCGCCCCTGACCCTCGAGCCTGTCGCAGGTACAAGCCCCCGCCGAGCGAATGTAACCCGGCCTTGGACGACCCGACGCCGGACTACATGAACCTGCTGGGCATGATCTTCAGCATGTGCGGCCTCATGCTTAAGGTGGGCGGGGTTGAGCTTCTATGGGTGTAGTTGGACCTGAGAACGAGGCCCGGGGGCGGGTTTGGAATGAAGCGGGGTGTCTTGTCATTGCTGATGGGGCGGGACCTGAGATCGGCCGGGAGTGGGGCTGCGATGACGCTGGGCCGAGAAAGCCCCAGTCTTTGGTGAAGTCAAGGATTCGAGTCAGGTTGGGGATGTGGCAGATTGGTCTGCGAGTGGGGCCAGGCTTTGAAGCAACTTGGAGAGGAGTTGTGGAAAAAGGGCAGGGTCTTAAGCATGTGGGATGTCAGAGTCTCTCTTGGTCCTGAGAGACGCAGGCCAGACAGTAGGACTAGAAACCACGTATCTAGAGTATGCCATGAGCAGGTGGGACTGAGGAATTCCGGGTGGGGCAAGGTCCCAGCTGCATCAGATGGAATCAGTGGGCATGATCTGGTGTCTGGAAAGGTGGCTTCGGGGACTCATTGTTGTGCCTTTCACTAACCTGCCCACCCACTTACCTTTCCCTAGCTGAAGTGGTGTGCTTGGGTCGCTGTCTACTGCTCCTTCATCAGCTTTGCCAACTCTCGGAGCTCGGAGGACACGAAGCAAATGATGAGTAGCTTCATGTGAGACTTGCCCTACAGAACAAGTGACTCTTGAGTAAGGGGTGGGGGGACCCCAGCCTGGCCATCCTAGACTGACACCTCTCTCCTGTCTCAGGCTGTCCATCTCTGCCGTGGTGATGTCCTATCTGCAGAATCCTCAGCCCATGACGCCCCCATGGTGATACCAGCCTAGAAGGGTCACATTTTGGACCCTGTCTATCCACTAGGCCTGGGCTTTGGCTGCTAAACCTGCTGCCTTCAGCTGCCATCCTGGACTTCCCTGAATGAGGCCGTCTCGGTGCCCCCAGCTGGATAGAGGGAACCTGGCCCTTTCCTAGGGAACACCCTAGGCTTACCCCTCCTGCCTCCCTTCCCCTGCCTGCTGCTGGGGGAGATGCTGTCCATGTTTCTAGGGGTATTCATTTGCTTTCTCGTTGAAACCTGTTGTTAATAAAGTTTTTCACTCTGGCTGTCAGCCTCTTCTGTTCAGTGGGGTGTTCCTCCTACCTGGCGGGAAGGGCTCTAGCCCCATAGGCCTGGTGTGGGGCCCCAGTCTGGAGGCTTCTGGCTGTTCATTTGCTTACTTCATAAACCTTGTGTCTTAAGTCAGGTGCTAGGGACAAGACAGTGACTTCTGCCCTCTGGCAACTCACCAGATGGCCCTGCTGACCTAGATAATCTAGGCTTTGGTTTCCTTTTTTTTTTTTCCTTTTTAAGAAAGAAAATGGTCTTGATCTGTCATGCAGGCTGAGTGCAGTGGCACAATCTATGTTCACTGCAGCCTCAAACTCCTGGGCTCAAGCAATCCTCCCACCTCAGCCTGCCACGTAACTGGGACCACAAATGCGTGCTACCATGCCCAGTTAATTCTTGTTTTTTTTGAGACAGAGTTTTGCTCTTGTTGCCCAGGCTGGAGGGCAATGGCATGATCTTGATCTCGGCTCACTGCAACCTCCGCCTCCCAGGTTCAAGTGATTCTCCTGCCTCAGTCTCCCAAGTAGCTGGGATTACAGGCATGTGCCACCATGCCCAGCTAATTTTTGTATTTTTACATTTTGTGTAAAATTACAAATTTTGTGTTTTCAAACCCGTCTCTACAAAACAACCCATGTTGCCCAGGCTGGTCTCAAACTCCCAGGCCCAAGTGATTCACCAGCCTGGCCCTCCCAAAGTGCTGGGATTGCAGGCTTGAGCCACTGCGCCTGCCCTGGGCTTTGTTTTCTTATCAGAGAATGAACTGGTAGGAATTGGGAAAGGCATGAAAGACTCGGGGTCCTTCCCCACTTGTCAGACCCTCTTTTCTCTCCGGAACACCCAGGGATCCTTCTCAACCAGGCTGGATCCCATCCCTGGTACTCCAGGGGTATTTACCCAACGTCCCAATCCCCACAGTATAGGACTCTTCATCAGATCCTCCTCTTAGGCAAGCTAGGTCCTTCCAGGACCCTAGCGCTGAAGGTCCATGGGACGGACACCCTGGATTCCCATGGACACACTACACCGGCTAGGAAAACCCGGCCCCCTTAGGAAAAGCACTTCTGCTCCTACCGGCATTAAGAGGCATTCCGTCTTGGAATTCCGGCATTAAGAGGCATTCCGTCTTCATAGCCCGTGAGACGCCAGTGTCACCTTTAGCCCAACCAGTGCCCTGAGGGTGGCATTTTCCTACCTTCCTGTAACGACCCCCGGGATTGCCCAGGGCTACAGCCTCTCTCCCGTGAGCCTCCAGACCGCGCCCTGGCCCCGCCCCCCACCCCGATTGGCCCGGCCGGGTCTGGGGGCGGGGCGTTTGCCCGGCCTTTCCAGGGCCGGGGAACCCCAGGAGGAAGCTGCTGAGCCATGGGCGCCTACGCGCGGGCTTCGGGGGTCTGCGCTCGCGGCTGCCTGGACTCAGCAGGCCCCTGGACCATGTCCCGCGCCCTGCGGCCACCGCTCCCGCCTCTCTGCTTTTTCCTTTTGTTGCTGGCGGCTGCCGGTGCTCGGGCCGGGGGATACGAGGTGAGTGGGGCCTCCGAGCTGAAACGTACAGGAGGCAGAGTGAAACCCAGAATACAGTCTAGAGGTGTGGGTGGGTCTGTCCTGTGGGTGTCTAGTGAATGGCTGATGATATGACAGTGTGGTCTGAGTGCGTGCTTTGTGTCATTGCGAGGTCTGGCTGTGCGCATCTGAGTATAGGACTGTGTCTGATTGTACCTGCCTCCGTGTCTCCGGGATGCTTGCCTAGACTTTGTCTGCACTTAACTGTGGGATTGGAGGGGCAGGAGGTGGCAGGGGGTGAGCAGTGTATGTGTGGGGGGAGGTGCTGGCTGAGAGCTGGGACTCTGGAGTCTGCCTGAAATTCCAGCCTAGCTCTTACACTTCCTGAGTGTGTGACGTTGGGCAAGTCACCTATCCTCTCTAAGCCTCAGTGCCTTCATCTGGAAACTGGGGATAACATCACCCCACCTCCCACGGTGGCCGTCTGCTGTCGGCAAATGCTGAACAAACATCAGCTACTTCTATTATTATTTTCCCGGAGTGTGAATGAGAGCTGCCCTGTGGGGTTGTGCAAAGTGGAGTTGTATCTATGAGCACAACTATGTATGTGTGTGTCCTGCCTGGGAGGGCCTGGCCTCCTCTGCACATAGGCGAGATCAGGCCTCTCTGAGTCACTCACCTCTAGATCAAGACTTACTCTGCAGCCCCCGACCTCGGGGGTTATTGACAAGGTATGTGTGTTTGGGGTCCCTGTGCAGACATGCCCCACAGTGCAGCCGAACATGCTGAACGTGCACCTGCTGCCTCACACACATGATGACGTGGGCTGGCTCAAAACCGTGGACCAGTACTTTTATGGAAGTGAGTAGAGGATGGGGACTGGTCCCTGGGATCCCCATGGTCCCTGTAATCCCTCTGGGTCCTGGACATTAGGGTGGGGCCAGTGCTACCCTAATATCCAGGGTTTGGGCTCCTCTGTCTAGGAATAACCCCCTTGGCTCTGCTGTTCCCTGAGAGCCTTATCCCTGTTATCCACAGTCAAGAATGACATCCAGCACGCCGGTGTGCAGTACATCCTGGACTCGGTCATCTCTGCCTTGCTGGCAGATCCCACCCGTCGCTTCATTTACGTGGAGATTGCCTTCTTCTCCCGTTGGTGGCACCAGCAGACAAATGCCACACAGGAAGTCGTGCGAGACCTTGTGCGCCAGGGTGAGCCTACCCCAAGGAAGTGAAAAGAGGAAGCCCAGCCCAGCTTCTGCTTCTGCATCTCTGGTTTCTGAGATTTGTCATGCCACGTGCAAGCTGTATAACATGCGTGTCGCTCCGCCTGCCTGGACTCTCCATTTGGAGACCTCCTATACATCCCACAAAGCCCCACCTGCTGTGCATCCTCTGGGAAGCCTGCCATGCAGGGGGCCTCTTTCCCATATCTGGGAACTATGGCCTGGGAGCGACCCCTCTTGTCCTTCCGCCAGAAATGTGTACACAGGCAGGCTTTCACATTCCCAGTATCACCCACCCTACTCCCACTCCTGGCTCTGACCGCTGACCCTGACCTTGCCTGTCCTGGCACAGGGCGCCTGGAGTTCGCCAATGGTGGCTGGGTGATGAACGATGAGGCAGCCACCCACTACGGTGCCATCGTGGACCAGATGACACTTGGGCTGCGCTTTCTGGAGGACACATTTGGCAATGATGGGCGACCCCGTGTGGCCTGGCACATTGACCCCTTCGGCCACTCTCGGGAGCAGGCCTCGCTGTTTGCGCAGGTGCGACCCGGGACCTCTCTTGGGCCCACTTCTTCACTCACTCTGGCTCCTCCCTCGCCCAGTCAAACCCCGCCCTCTCCCTGCAATCTCACAAGGACCAGGCCCAGGCCTAGGCCTGTTGAAGCCCTGCCCCTTGAGTGAGCCGTAAAGCCAGTGGCTTTTGAGCTCTGGCCTCAGCCGGCTATGCCCAGCCCAGGCTGACCCAGCTCCGGCTGGCTCCGCCCTCTCCCCTAATAGGCCCCTCTTGGTGTTCTGGCCCCACCCACTAGCTCGGGTCCTGGCTCCTCCCTAAACCGGGTGGCAAGTGGATGCCTAGGCTGCCTTAAAAACAGGTTCATTACCTGTGCTCAGACCCCATCCATCCTCAGGCTGTGGAAGGGGGAACCTCATTCCTGGAGTCAGGCCTGCTCTGCGCTTTGACAGTGCTGGGGAGGTGAACCTGGGTTCTGATGTTGGACCCGCCCTCTCCCTGCTAGCCCAAGGTGGTGAGTTCTGAAACTTCCCCAAGCTTGGAAATAAGCTGGAGGCCTCTCTGTTTCAGCCCTACGTGTTTTTGTTTTTGTTTTTTGAGACAGGGTCTTGCTGTCATCCAGGCTGGAGTGCAGTGGTGCAATCCTAACTCACTATAGCCTCAATCTCCCGGATTCAAGCGATTCTCCTGTCTCAGCCCCCCTAGTAGATGAGACTACAAGAGCGCACCACTACGCCTGGCTAATTTTTAAATTTTTTGTAGACAGTCTGCCCGTGTTGTGCAGGCTGGTCTCAAAAACTCCTGGGTTTAAGTGATCCTCCTGTTTTGGCCTCCCAGAAGGCTGGGATCATAGGCAAGAGCCACCACATCGACCTAGCACTGCTTTTTAACCTGTGCTCTGACCTGCCCCTCCCAAGCAGAGGGGAGTTTGGTGGTGAGAGGGCTGGGCACTAATTCACACTGCCTTTTCCTCCCTCATCCCCAGATGGGCTTCGACGGCTTCTTCTTTGGGCGCCTTGATTATCAAGATAAGTGGGTACGGATGCAGAAGCTGGAGATGGAGCAGGTGTGGCGGGCCAGCACCAGCCTGAAGCCCCCGACCGCGGACCTCTTCACTGGTAGGGGGCTTGGTGAGGGCAGGGCCAGCCATGGTGCCACACACTCAGAAGGGCCCTGGGCTTGATATCTGCTCTGTTGTCACTGTCCTGGAATTCCTATAGTCTGGGAACAAAGGCCCTGCATTTCCTTTTGCATTGGGACACAAATTCTGAAGCCCATCCTGGGTGGGACATGGCCGGCTTTGAAACCAGGGAAGGTCTGGGTGATGGGCCACCCCTTGAACTTGGTGTGACCTGCAGGTGTGCTTCCCAATGGTTACAACCCGCCAAGGAATCTGTGCTGGGATGTGCTGTGTGTCGATCAGCCGCTGGTGGAGGACCCTCGCAGCCCCGAGTACAACGCCAAGGAGCTGGTCGATTACTTCCTAAATGTGGCCACTGCCCAGGTAACCCTGGTGTCCAGAACCTTCGAGTCCGGTATATACAATACAATGAGCTCTTTCCATGGTACAGGCATCCCCTAACACGTTCTCCTTATTTTTAATTTTTTTGAGACAGTCTTACTCTGTCACCCAGGCTGGAGTGCAGTGGTGCGATCTCGGCTCACTGCAACCTCTGCCTCCTGGGTTCAAACAAGCACATCCAGCTAATTTTTGTATTTTTGCACTGGGGTCTCATCATGTTGTCCAGGCTGGTCTCAAACTCCTGAGCTCAAGTGATCTGCTTGCCTCGGCCTCCCAAAGTGCCGGGATTACAGGCATGAGCCACCGCACCTGGCCTCTATTTTTAACATTTTTATTTATTTATTATTATTTTTTTTTTTTTGAGACAGAGTCTTGCTCTGTCACCCAGGCTGGAGTGCAGTGGCATGATCTCAGCTCACTGCAACCTCCGCCTCCCGGGTTCAAGCGATTCTCCTGCCTCAGCCTCCTAAGAAGCTGGGATTAGAGGCACCTGCCACCACACCCAGCTAATTTTTGTATTTTTAGTAGACAGGGTTTCGTCATGTTGACCAGGCTGGTCTTGACCTCAGGTGATCTGCCCGCCTCAACCTCCCAAAGTGCTGGGATTACAGGTGTGGGCCACTGTGCCTAGTCTATTTTTAACATTTTTATTGAGAATTCCTTTTTTATTTTTTTTAGACTCACTCTGTCGCCCAGGCTGGAGTGCAGTGGCACGATCTCGGCTCACTGCAACCTCCACCTACTGGGTCCAAGCGATTCTTCTGCCTCAGCCTCCCGAGTAGCTGGGATTACAGGTGCCCACCACCATGCTCGGCTAAGTTTTATGTCTTTTTAGTAGAAAGGGGGTTTCACCATATTGGCCAGGCTGGTCTCGAACTCCTAACCTTTTGACCCACAGCCTTGGCCTCTCAAAGTGCTGGGATTACAGGCGTGAGCCACCGCGTCCAGCCTTTAACATTTTTATAATTAAAAAACATTATTTTTTCACAGAGATAAGGTCTCACCATGTGGCCCAGGCTGGTCTCAAACTCCTGAACTCAAGTGATCCTCCTGCCTTGGCCTCCCAAAGTGCTAGGATATAGGTGTGAGCCACCATGCCTGGCATAACACGTTCTCCTTAAAAAAATTTTTTTTTCCTTTCTTTAAAAATTGATGGCTGGGCATGGTGGCTCACGCCTATAATCCCAGCATTTTGAGAGGCCGAGATGGGCAGATCATCTGAAGTCAGGAGTTCAAGACCAGCATAGCCAAAATGACGAAACCCTGTCTCTACTAAAAATACAAAAATTAGTCGGGTGTGGTGGCGCACGCCTGTAATCCCAGCTACTTGGGAGGCTAAGGCAAGAGAGTCGCTTGAACCTGGCAGGTGGAGGTTGCAGTGAGCCGAGATCACGTCACTTCACTCTAGCTTGGGCAGCAGAGTGAAACTCTGTCTCAAAAAAAAAATTGTTTTAGATTAATTTTTTTTTTTTTTCTTGAGACAGGGTCTTGCTGTGTGGCCCAGGTTGGTCTTAAACTCCTAGACTCAAGCGATCCTCCTGCCTCAGTCTCCTGAGTAGCTGGGATTACAGGTGTGAGCCCCTGTAATCATGTTCTCATGCCCCCTGGAGGAAGATGCTATTCTATTCACCATCACAATGTCCCCCTCCTGGATTTATGTGCATTCCTCATTAGAAGAGATAGCATAGGCTGGGCAAGAGATAGCATGGCATGGTGACTGGATGCCCTCTTCTAGGTAGTGGGTCCAAGAGAACTGCTCAACAACTGGTGGCTACTTTTATCTGTGTCCCCACGCTCCCAAGTGCCATACCCCCACCCATGCCTGTGCACCCAACATCCTTGACCCCATATACATCAAAACACAGCTATACACAGGGATGGCCCAGGATCCTCTGGCTTCAGGACTCCCCTCTTGCCTGCAGGGCCGGTATTACCGCACCAACCACACTGTGATGACCATGGGCTCGGACTTCCAATATGAGAATGCCAACATGTGGTTCAAGAACCTTGACAAGCTCATCCGGCTGGTAAATGCGCAGGTCAGTGCGCCTACCCTGTGGTACCCTTGTGCACATGTGCGCTTGCATCCGGGGGCCTTGGGTTATGTGCATAGCTCTCAGTGCTGTCTTTGTTTTCTATTGTTCTATTGTGGTCATTCTATAACAAATGACCACACACTTAGCAGCTCAAAACAACAGAAATACATTGTCTTACAGTTCTGTAGGTAAGAAGTCCAGCATGAGGCCGGGCGCAATGGCTCATGCCTGTAATCCCAGCATGTTGGGAGGCTGAGCCGGGCAGATCACGAGGTCAGGAATTCGAGACCAGCCTGACCAACATGGTGAAACGCTGTCTCTACTAAAAATACAGAAATTAGCTGGGTGTGATGGTGCGTGCCTGTAATCCCAGCTACTCGGGAGCCTGAGGCAGGGGAATCTCTTGAATCCGGGAGGCGGAGGTTGCAGTGAGCGGAGATTGTACCACTGCACTCCAGCCTGGGCCACAGAGAAAGACTCTGTCTCAAAAAAAAAAAAAAAAAAAAAAAATCCAGCCTGAGTCTCACCAGGCTATAATCAAGGTGTTGGCAAGGCTGTGTTCCTTCTGCAGTCTCTAGGAGAGAATATAATTTCCTTGCTTTTTCCAACATCTAGAAGTTACCCACATTCAAAATCTATTCTTGGCTCCATCTTCAAAGCCAGCCACATAGCATCTTTCTGACCCTGTTTCTGTAATCACATCCCTTTCTCTCATTCTCACCTCTTCTGCCTCTCTCTTCCACATTTTATTTATTTACTTAGAGACGGAGTCTCGCTCTGTCGCCCAGGCTGGAGTGCAGTGGCGTGCTCTCGGCTCACTGCAACCTCCGCCTCCTGGGTTCAAGTGATTCTTCTGTCTCAGCCTCCCAAGTAGCTGGGACTACAGTCGCGTGCCACCACGCCCAGCTAATTTTTGTATTTTTAGTAGACAGGGTTTCACCATGTTGGCCAGGATGGTCTCGATTTCTTGACCTCGTGATCCACCCCGCTCGGCCTCCCAAGGTGCTGGGATTACAGATGTGAGCCACTGTGTGGCCTAATTTCCCTACTTTAAGTTTGGCTGATGAACAACCTCAATTCCATCTGCAACCTTAATTCCCCTTTTGCCATGTAATCTAATGTGGTAATAGGTTCTGGGGATCAGGACATGGACACTTTTGGGCAGTTATCATTTTACCCAACACAGATGTGTTAGTGTTTTGCACTAAGTGGCCTGTGGCTGTGGCTGTGTGCACAGTCAGTCACTCTCATCAGCACAGAAACTTGTCTCCCCTCTCCCATCTCAGACACCCCTTCCCATCAATCTTGTCCTCACTACGGTGCAATCTCCATTCCCACCTTCCACTCGCTCCCAGCACTGCTATTTCACCAAAACAGCTCTTTTATGTCATTTATTTTTATTTATTTTTTCTTTTTAAAATTTTATTTATTTATTTATTTATTGAGACAAGAGTCTTGCTTTGTCACCCAGGCTGGAGTGCAGTGGCATGATCTTGCCTCATGGCAACCTCTGCCTCCTGGGTTCTAGTGATTCTCCTGCCTCAGCCTCCCAAGTAGCTGGGACTACAGGCATGTGCCACCAACCCTGGCTAATTTTTGTATTTTTAGTAGAGGCAGGGTTTCACTATGTTGGCCAGGCTGGTCTCAAAACTCCTGACCTCAGGTGATCCGTCCGCCTTGGCCTCCCAAAGTGTTGGGATTGTAATCTGAGGTGGGCGGATCACTTGAAGACAGGAGTTGGAGACCAGCCTGGCCAACATGGTGAAACCTTGTCTCTACTAAAAATACTACAAATTAGGTGGGCGTGATGGCACTCATCTGTAAGACCAGCTACTCGGCAGGCTGAGGCAGGAGAATCGCTGGAACCTGGGAGGCGGAGTTTGCAGCCAGCTGAGATCGTGCCACTGCACTCCAGCTTGGGCGACAGAGTCAGACTCAGTCTCAAAAAAAAAAAAAAAAAAAAAAGTTTATTGAGCACCTACTGTGTACATTGGGGGACACAGCTCGTGCAAAACAAACATCCTTTTCCTCACATAGGTCACTTTCTTGTTCCTCCACCTTGCTCAGGTGAAAGTGCACCTCCATTCATTATAAAAATTGTGTCTAGGCCGGGCACGGTGGCTCATGCCTGTAATCCCAGCACTTTGGGAGGCTGAGGCGGGCGGATCATGAGGTCAGGAGATCGAGACCATCCTGGCTAACACGGTGAAACTCCGTCTCTACTAAAAAATGCAAAAAATTAGCCGGGTGTGGTGGCGGGCACCTGTAGTCCCAGGTACTCATGAGGCTGAGGCTGGAGAATGGCGTGAACCCAAGAGGTGGAGCTTGCAGTGAGCTGAGATTGAGCCACTGCACTACAGCCTGGGCAACAAAGTAAGACTCCGTCCCAAAAAAAAAAAGTTGTGTTTTTTGGTAACAATCTGACAGTCCTGCAAAACGATTATTCCTGCCCTATAATGTCACACTTAGTTTTTCCACAAAAGTTTTTAATAATAAAGTTGGAATTATTGTAAAAGTTTAGTAAAATTTCAGGTTTATTCTTGCATCTCTGAAATCCTTTTAAAAAAGGCTAGTGGTCATGTTTGACTTCAGCCAAAATTCATTTTCACACCCAACCATTGGCTTGCACGCCAAATATGTATTTAGAGAAACTGAACCTATGGGATGCATGAATGTGCACACATGTGTGGAAGTGTGGGCCCCCAGGAAGGTGCGGACTCCCGAGGGCTCACTCCGTCGCCTCCCCCAGCAGCAGGCAAAAGGAAGCAGTGTCCATGTTCTCTACTCCACCCCCGCTTGTTACCTCTGGGAGCTGAACAAGGCCAACCTCACCTGGTATTTGGGGAAACTGGGGAGCTTGGGGGGGTTGGCATGCCCCGTGGGTCATGACCCTGCCCTCAATGCCCCTGCCGCTGTAGGTCAGTGAAACATGACGACTTCTTCCCTTACGCGGATGGCCCCCACCAGTTCTGGACCGGTTACTTTTCCAGTCGGCCGGCCCTCAAACGCTACGAGCGCCTCAGCTACAACTTCCTGCAGGTGGGTAGGAGCCGGGCTAGAGGGGGCATGCAGCCCCGAGGCCCGACAGGCTGGGCGCCCCAACATACCCCTCTGCCTCCAGGTGTGCAACCAGCTGGAGGCGCTGGTGGGCCTGGCGGCCAACGTGGGACCCTATGGCTCCGGAGACAGTGCACCCCTCAGTAAGTGTCGGGCCCAAGAGGGGAAGAGGTTTGCGGCTGAAGTTGGAAACCACCCCTAGGCCGCCCCCCTCGAGTTTCTTCTTTTTTTTTTTTTTTTTTTTTTTTTTTGAGACGGAGTCTCGATTTGTCTCCCAGGCTGGAGTGCAGTGGTGCGATCTCGGCTCACTGCAAGCTCCACCTCCCGTGTTCACGCCATTCTCCTGACTCAGCCTCCCGAGTAGCTGGGACTACAGGCGCCCACCACCACGCCCGGCTAATTTTTTGTATTTTTAGTAGAGACGGGGTTTCACCATGTTAGCCAGGATGGTCTCGATCTGACCTCGTGATCCGCCCGCCTCGGTCTCTCAAAGTGCTGGGATTACAGGCGTGAGCCACCGCCCCCAGCCGTCCTCGAGTTCCTTCTTAAAGCCTCTAAGAATCCTGCCCGCCAGCACCGGACCTTTCGCTTCCCCTTGGGGTCTCAGCTGAGTCCCACAGAACCTCACCGGACTCATTGTCTATGAGCAGATGAGGCGATGGCTGTGCTCCAGCATCACGACGCCGTCAGCGGCACCTCCCGCCAGCACGTGGCCAACGACTACGCGCGCCAGCTTGCGGCAGGCTGGGGGCCTTGCGAGGTGCGCGGGGCGAGACTTGGGAGACACGGGGGTGGAGACAGGAAGGGGCGGGGCCAGGGCCTGGGAAAGGGGACAGAGACAGGTGTGAGGCGTAGCCGAGAGCCCTGTGGCGGGGCTACAAGGGCTCGTGGGGGCGGGGCTTGTAGGAGGCGGGGAAAGATACAGGAACGGGGCGGGGCTTTGGAGGGGGGAAGGAGGCGGGGCGTGGGCAAGAGGAGGCGGAGACAGCTATGGGGTATAGTCAAGGGCAGCAGGGTGGGGCTAGAAGGGGTTTTGGGGCGACTCTTGAGGGAGGCGGGACAGAGACCGGAACGGGGCGGGGCCTGAGGAGAGGGGAGGAGTCAGGCCTGGCGTCCTGAACCCACCGGTCCCTTTGCGCTCTTCCGCAGGTTCTTCTGAGCAACGCGCTGGCGCGGCTCAGAGGCTTCAAAGATCACTTCACCTTTTGCCAACAGCTAAACATCAGCATCTGCCCGCTCAGCCAGACGGCGGCGCGCGTGAGCCGGGACGGGAGGGGTGGATCTAGGGCAGATGGGCTTTAGAGGGGGTAGTTGGAAAATGTTTTTGGAGGACTATACAGGAGTGAAATTACGTGGGCTGCGAAGCTGGGTCAGCAGAGAGAACAACGCATCTCGAGGGGGCTTGGCCTTAAGTGCCGTGACCACACTAGGACCAGCCAGGGGTGTTTCTGTGCAAAGTGGGTGGGTTTGGAGAAGGCCTGCTGTGACCCATGCCCTCTCTGACCCCCGCCTCCCCAGTTCCAGGTCATCGTTTATAATCCCCTGGGGCGGAAGGTGAATTGGATGGTACGGCTGCCGGTCAGCGAAGGCGTTTTCGTTGTGAAGGACCCCAATGGCAGGACAGTGCCCAGCGATGTGAGCCCAAACAACGAATATTCCCCCGCTGGGACTCCTCCCCCAGTGGGCATTTCCTCATCGCCCCCATGGATATCGCCTGCTTCCATGAATACCTCCCACTCATGCATATCTCTTCCCCCCTCTTGTATCTTCTCCCTCTGCCCCTTAATATCAGTCTCCCCTTGGGAACATATGCCTCCTGTGAGTGGTCCTCCCTTTTTTTTTTTTTTTTGAGACGGAGTCTCGCTCTGTCACCCAGGCTGGAGTGCAGTGGCGCGATCTTGGCTCACTTCAAACTCCGCCTGCTGGATTATAGGCATGAGCCACCGTGCCTGGCTGGTCCTCCATTTTAATACCCCGCTTCCCCAGGAAAATTTATTGCTGTTTATGGACATCTCCTTCATTCCAGAAAACGTCCTCCCCCAAACCTCTTCCTCCCCCGAGAACCTGCCTCAAGGGTTTCTTCCCCTACTTCCTCCTTCACTCCCCCGACTCCATGGTCTCTCCACCCTCCCGGTGGGTTTTTTTTTCCACCTGGTGAATCTTCTCTGCAATCATTTCCTTGGAATCTGACTGTCCCCCCACCACACACACCTCCATTTCCTTTCCCCATCTCAGGACTCTTTTCCTTCCTTGAGTTTTTTGTCTCCATGCATGTATAGCTTTCCATGGGTACTCTTGACTCAGTTTCCCTCCTCCTTTATCCGAGGTGGTAATATTTCCCAGCTCAGACAGCCAGGCGCACCCTCCGGAGCTGCTGTTCTCAGCCTCACTGCCCGCCCTGGGCTTCAGCACCTATTCAGTAGCCCAGGTGCCTCGCTGGAAGCCCCAGGCCCGCGCACCACAGCCCATCCCCAGAAGATCCTGGTCCCCTGCTTTAACCATCGAAAATGAGGTGAGACCCCATTTCAATCCCCTTTCCTGCTCCTGTGACAAATTTGAAGTGTCATGGTGAGCTGTGTGGACTCTGGGTCAGCAGGTCCCTAGGCTTATGACCTCCTGTCACAACTCCCCTCATTGTGTGTCCTTGAGCAAGTGACCTTTGTCTGAGCCTCAGTGTCCTTTCCTGGGACTGTTATGAGGACCCAGTGTGATCATGGGTGACACTTGACAGACATGTCAGAGTTGGTGGCAGGTGGTGGTTCGCAATTTTGGCAGGGACGTTTCAGGGAAGGTGTTCCCGATAAAGGTGACATTTAAGATATGACCTGAGGGAGGGAGCCGTGTGGCTATTTGAAGGAAGAGAGATCCAGGTGGGGAGAGAATAACAGGCATAAAAGCCTTCGAGCAGGAGAGTGTGCAGAATTCCAGGAGCCACAAGGAGCTCAGTGTGGCTGAAGCAGGGTGAACGGGTGACAGGTCAGACCTTGAGGGCCTTGAGGACCAACAGGAAGACTTTGGCTTTTGCCAGTCATTGTTGCTCATGTGTCTACTCCTAGCTCTTTGGGAGGCTGAAGCGGGAGGATCACTTGAGCCCAGGAGTTGTCCCAGCTAATTGGGAGGCCCAGATGGGAGGTTTGTTTGAGCTGGGGAGTTCGAGGTTGCAGTGAGTAATGATTGTCCCACTGTACTCCATCCTGGCAACAGAGTGAAACCCTGTCTGAAAAGAATAATAATAAAATAGGCCAGGCATCGTGGATTATACCTGTAATTCTAGCACCACGGGAGGCTGAGGTGGGTGGATCTACTGAGCTCAGGAGTTTGAGACCAGCTTGGGCAACATGGTGAAACCCAGTCTCTACAAAAAATTAGCTGGGGGTGGTGGTACACGTCTGTAATCCCAGCTACTTGGGGGCTGAGGAAGGAGGATTGCTTGAGCCCAGGTGGCAGAGGTTGCAGTGAGCCGAGATCATGCCACTGCACTCCAGCCTGGGTGACAAAGTGAGACCCTGTCTCAATAAAATAAAATAAAAGAAGTTCTGCAGTAGGACTGTTCATGTTAGGAAGAAAACATCTTTTTCATATTTTTATTAAAATAAAATAAAAGAAGTTAAAACGTTCCCACAGGCCCCTAAAAGTCTTGTGAGTTCTGGCATTGTGGTTCACACATCAGATGCCCAAGTTGGCCCTGGTCCGCAGCAGAGGAGGGCTTTGATGGGACTTAGGGTATCACAGGTGTGCTCTGGCTGTTGTGGGGAACAGACTGTAGGCAGCCAGTGTGGAAGTGCAGGGACCTGGAAGGGGTTGACTGCACTGGCCCTGGAAGGCCCTGGTAAGAGGTGGTGAGGTTGAAAATAAGGTTGGGGGGGCCGGGCGCGGTGGCTCACACCTGTAATCCCAGCACTTTGGGAGGCCGAGGCAGGCAGATCACGAGGTCAGGAGATGGAGACCATCCTGGCTAACACGGTGAAACCCTGACTCTACAAAAATACAAAAAATTTAGCCAGGCGTGGTGGCGAGCATCTGTAGTCCCAGTTACTCGGGAGGCTGAGGCAGGAGAATGGCGTGAACCCGGAAGGCGGAGCTTGCAGTGACCTGAGATGGCGCCACTGCATTCCAGCCTGGGCAACAGAGTGAGACTCCGTCTCAAAAAAAAAAAAAAGAAAAAAAAAGAAAAAAAGAAAAGGCTGGGGTGGGCACGTTGGCTCATGCCTGTAATCCCAGGACTTTGGGAGGCTGAGGCTGGCAGGTCACCTGAGGTCAGGAGTTTGAGACCAGCCTGGCCAACACAGTGAAACCTCGTCTGTACCAAAAATACAAAAATTAACTGGGCGTGGTGGTACACACTTGTAGTCCTAGCTACTCGGGAGGGAGAGGCAGGAGAATCACTTGAACCCAGGAGGTGGAGGTTGCAGTGAGCCGAGATCATGCCACTGCACTCCAGCCTGGGGGACAGAGCAAGACTCTGTCTCAAAAGCAAACAAAAAAAAAATCAGGTTGAATGGCTGGGTGTGGTGGACTGCTTGAGCCCAGGAGTTGGACACTAGCCCCAGGCAACATAGTGGGACCCCCATCTCTAGAAAACAAATTTAAATTTTTTTTTTTTTAATTTAGTAGAGATGGAGTTTCACTATGTTGGCCAGGCTGGTATCAAACTCCTCACCTCAGGTTATCCACCCAACTTGGTCTCCCAAAGTTCTGGGATTACAGGTGTGAGCCACCACGCTCGGCCCTAAAAAAATTTTAAATTGAGAAAAAAAGGGGCCAGGCGTGTTGGCTCATGCCTGTAATCCCAGCACTTTGGGAGGCTGAGGGGGGGGTGGATCATGAGGTCAGGAGTTCGAGACCAGCATGGCCAATATTGTGAAACCCTGTCTCTAATAAAAATACAAAAATTAGCCAGGTGTGGTGGCATGTGCCTGTAGTCCCAGCTATTCAGGAGGCTGAGTCAGGAGAATTGCTTGAACCCGGGAGGCGGAGGTTGCAGTGAGCCAAGATCACGCCACTTTCTGCACTCCAGCCTGGGCGATAGAGCGAGACTCAGTCTCAAAAAAAAAAAAAAAACAAAAAACCCAGGCCAGGTGCAGTGGCTCACGCCTGTAATCCCAGCCCTTTGGGAGGCCAAGGCGGGTGGATTACCTGAGGTCAGGAGTTGGAGACCAGCCTGACCAACATGGCGAAACCCCGTCTCTACTAAAAATACAAAAATTAGCCAGGCATGGTGGCATGTGCCTGTAATCCCAGCTACCCAGGAGGCTGAGGCAGGAGAATTGCTGGAACCCAGGGGCAGAGGCTGTAGTGAGCAGAGATTGCGCCCCTGCACTCCAGCCTGGGCGACACAGCAAGTTTCTGTCTCAAAAAAAAAAAATAAAAATCCGGCTGGGCACAGTGGCTTATGTCTGTAATCCTAGTACTTTGGGAGGCCAAGGTGAGCAGATCACTTGAGTTCAGGGGTTTGAGACCAGCCTGGCCAACATGGTGAAACCCTGTCTCTACTAAAAATATGAAAATTAGCCAGGCGGGGTGGTGGGCACCTGTAATCCCAGCTACTTGGATAGCTGAGGCACGAGAATCACTTGAACCCGGGAGGTGGGGGGTGCAGTGAGCCAAGATTGCACCACTGTACTCTAGCCTGGGCTACAGAGTGAGACTCAGTCTCAAAAAAAAAAAAAGAAAAAAGAAAAATTAAAAAAAGAAAACACACACACATACACACACAAACCCATCTGTGGACCCTTTTCTGCCCAGCACATCCGGGCAACGTTTGATCCTGACACAGGGCTGTTGATGGAGATTATGAACATGAATCAGCAACTCCTGCTGCCTGTTCGCCAGACCTTCTTCTGGTAAGGGAAGATCACCAGGCCTGAGGGTGGGGTGGTGGTGCTCGGCATGGAGCTAGGGCCCCTTACCTGACTCTCACCTGCCCCAACTCCAGGTACAACGCCAGTATAGGTGACAACGAAAGTGACCAGGCCTCAGGTGCCTACATCTTCAGACCCAACCAACAGAAACCGCTGCCTGTGAGCCGCTGGGCTCAGATCCACCTGGTGAAGGTCAGGGACTAGGAATGATGAGTGGGCAGTTGGGAATGGGGAAGTTATGGAGCCCAAGAGGGTGGTGGGCCATGTGTAGAGTGAGGGTAGGGGAGGATTTACTTTTCCTTCAGATCAGTGGGCTAAGACCCACAGATCAGCGGGGGAAATATTTGAGGGTCCTTCCATAGAATTGATATTCATAGCTGGTCGTATGAGAGTCTCCCCATAGGACACATCATACAAAGCCATTCACATCTGCTGTGGACGTTTACATACTTAGTTTTGGAAATTGGGGGTGGGGCATTCCCACTTGGCCCATGAATCAGGAGAGCCAAATATCACTGCTTGAAGAATTCACCAAAGTCTGTAGTAAGAGGAGCTTCTATCTGGAGTGAATATTTGAGAGTCCACCCTTGGATTGATTGGGTTTGGGTGAGTCTCAGGGTGAATGCCTATGGGTGCATCTGGCTAGGAACAGTGGTTTCCCAGGGCCTCTCATTGATGTTTGACTTTCATAGATGACAAAACTCACATTTGTCCACATTCAAGAGCCTCGCGTTTCATGTGAGTCCCTTTGAGATGAATGTCTGCATATCTGTATATAGTTTTGCCTGTTCTAACAGAGTTACCCAAATTAACTGTGACTAGAATAAGATAGAAGATTATTTTCTTCTAACAAAAAGTCTGGCTGTTAGTCCAGAGAAAGTGGGGTGGTTCCATAATCACCCAGGACCTCCTCTTCTATCTTGTTGCTCTGCCTTCCCCAATATTCAGTTTCCACCTCATGGTCCAAGATAGCTGCTGAAGCTCCAGCCGCCACATTTGTGTTTGAGTCAGTAGCAGAGGGACAGGGGCAAGGAACATTGTTGACACCACTTGGATCACTTTCTATGGGGCAAACTGGTCACTCAGCTACTGATAGCCTCAGGGAAGACTGGACAATATAGTCTTTATCCCAGGTAGCCATGTGCCAAGCTAGAATCCTATTCTATGGGGCAATGGTGAACAGGAGGCGTTTATGCCACGCTCAAGAGTGATGTGGTAAGCCAGATGCAGTGGCTCATGCCTGTAATCACAGCACTTTGGGAGACTGAAGCAGGAGGATCGCTGAGCATAGGAGTTCAAGACCAGGTGGGAGCATTTGCTGATTAGGTGCCTACATAGTGATGCCCTGTCTCAAAAAAAAAAAAAAAAAAAGAGGCCGGGTGCAGTGGCTCACGCCTGTAATCCCAGCACTTTGCGAGGCAGAGGCAGGCAGATCATCTGAGGTCAGGAGTTCAAGACAAGTCTGGCCAACATGGATAGAAACCCCGTCTCTACTAAAAATACAAAAATTAGCCAGGGGTGGTGGCAGGTACCTGCAATCCCTCTACTCGGGAGGCTGAGGCAGGAGAATTGCTTGAACCCAGGAGGCGGAGGTTGCAGTGAGGCAAGATTGTGCCACTGCACTCCATCCTGGGCAACAAGAGCAAAACTCTGTCTCAAAAAAAAAAAAAGAAAAAAGAATTATGTGGGCCAGGCGCGGTGGCTCACGCCTGTAATCCCAGCACTTTGGGAGGCCGAGGCGGGCTGATCACGAGGTCAGGAGATCGAGACCATCCTTGCTAACACGGTGAAACCCCATCTCTACTAAAAATACAAAAAATTAGCCGGGTGTGGTGGCGGGTGCCTGTAGTCCCAGCTACTCGGGAGGCTGAGGCAGGAGAATGGTGTGAACCCGGGAGGCGGAGCTTGCAGTGAGCCGAGATCGCGCCACTGCACTCCCGCCTGGGCAAAAGAGCGAGACTCCGTCTCAAAAAAAAAAAAAAAAAAAGAATTATGTGGCGGTGACTGAAGGTTGACCTTGATGTAGGCCTTAATGGGGTTTATGGCCAGGGTTGGGGGACATTTGTAGGACTCACCTCTGCTCAGGTACAGACTGACATCCACCTCACCCGTGTGCCCGCAGACACCCTTGGTGCAGGAGGTGCACCAGAACTTCTCAGCTTGGTGTTCCCAGGTGGTTCGCCTGTACCCAGGACAGCGGCACCTGGAGCTAGAGTGGTCGGTGGGGCCGATACCTGTGGGGTGAGTGGCACAGGCTGGGAGAGGGGTGTGGAAGCAAGGGCAGAGGGGTTTATCCAAGGCTCACAACCTTGCCATCCCATTGGGTACAGCGACACCTGGGGGAAGGAGGTCATCAGCCGTTTTGACACACCGCTGGAGACAAAGGGACGCTTCTACACAGACAGCAATGGCCGGGAGATCCTGGAGAGGAGGTGGGGGGTGACTGAGAGCACTGAGGGGGTGGTCTGTGGTGTGTTGGGGCCCAGGGGTGGTGAGGGAAATTTGCTGATTACATGAGTGTGGGAGACAGAGGACGAAGGGAGAGTGAAGGGCGGGGGAGCCAGGCAGGGTGCAGTGGCTCACGCCTGTAATCCCAGCACTTTGGGAAGCCGAGGCGGGCAGATCACAAGGTCAGGAGATCGAGACTATCCTGGCTAACATGGTGAAACCCCGTCTCTACTAAAAATACAAAAAAATCAGCCGGGTGTGGTGGCGGGCACCTGTAGTCCCAGCTACTCGGGAGGCTGAGGCAGGAGAATGGCGTGAAGCCGGGAGGCGGAGCTTGCAGTGAGCCGAGATCGCGCCACTGCACTCCAGCCTGGGTGACAGAGCGAGACTCCATCTCAAAAAAAAAAAAAAAAAAAAAAGAGTTGGGGAGCCAGATCCCAAGCCTGATCAGCTCACCCCCAACCCCAGGCGGGATTATCGACCCACCTGGAAACTGAACCAGACGGAGCCCGTGGCAGGAAACTACTATCCAGTCAACACCCGGATTTACATCACGGTAGCTCTCCCCCATCCTGCACCTCCCCACCTCGATAGAAAGGGAATCACCCCTTATCTGCAGCATCTCAAAGCTGCCTGGGGTTGGGGTTGACTGCCCTCTACTTTCACCCTTCAACTCCCAGGATGGAAACATGCAGCTGACTGTGCTGACTGACCGCTCCCAGGGGGGCAGCAGCCTGAGAGATGGCTCGCTGGAGCTCATGGTGAGTGGGTCAGAGCCCCATCCGAGCCAGGGTCCTCCCAACCTGGACCCCTGCTGGACCTTGAAGGCTGTTTCTGGCCCAGTTCTCTGCTTTCAGGCCCCACTAAGCTGAGGACTCCGTTTCTTTCTTTTCTTCTCTTTGAGACGGAGTTTTGCTCTTGTTGTCCAAGCTGGAGTGCAATAGTACTATCTCAGCTCACTGCAACCTCTGCCTCCTGGGTTCAAGTGATTGTCCTGCCTCAGCCTTCCGAGTAGCTGGGCTTACAGGCACACACCATCACGCCCGGCTAATTTTGGTATTTTTAGTAGAGATGGGGTTTCACCATGTTGGCCAGGCTGGTCTCGAACTCCTTACCTCAGGTGATCCACTCACCTCGGCCTCCCAAAGTGCTGGGATTACAGGCGTGAACCACCGCTCCCGGCCAAGGACTCCATTTCTGTGTGTGGCTTTTCCTCTCCGTTTTTCTCCATCTCCTGCCCAGGCTCCCTCCACGCTCTGGCGTGCCATATCCAGGCCCCCCTGTTAGGCATTTACCTCCTTCCGGCCTGGTTCCCATGCCTACTTGGATCCTGCCTCTGCTGGGGTTGCCCTACCAGACCCTCACCTTCATCCTCATCCGTTCCTCCCACCCTTTAATTTCTTTTGACATTCCCACACGCCCTTACCCAGTTTCTGGCCCAAGGACACCCACAAACCCACGACTCTCACCCCCTCCTGGCCACTCTCCCCCCAGGTGCACCGAAGGCTGCTGAAGGACGATGGACGCGGAGTATCGGAGCCACTAATGGAGAACGGGTCGGGGGCGTGGGTGCGAGGGCGCCACCTGGTGCTGCTGGACACAGCCCAGGCTGCAGCCGCCGGACACCGGCTCCTGGCGGAGCAGGAGGTCCTGGCCCCTCAGGTGGTGCTGGCCCCGGGTGGCGGCGCCGCCTACAATCTCGGGGCTCCTCCGCGCACGCAGGTGAGGGGCAGCGGGGTAGGCAGAGAGGACCGGATTGAAGTCTACCAGGGAGCCGGGTTTGGGTGCGGAGTTTCCTAGGCTCAGCGGGGATCCATTTGGCCATAATTAGCCCCAAACCCTCGGGCCAACCCCATCCCCTGGGCAGTCCCCGCCCAGTGCCAGCCCAGTCCCAACCCCCCTGGACTGTGTAGAGGCACAGCCCTAGCTCATGCCCCTAAACCACCAACTCACCTCCGGCCCCGCCCATTTCACTTTAGCCCCGCCCTCTCACCGCCCCCAGGCTCTGTCCTGCCTCACCCAGCCCCGCGGCTTCAGCCCCGCCGTAACTCCCAAAGTCTCAGGTCACATCAGTTCTGCTCCATCGGGACTCGAACCCTAAGCTTGGGACCGACCCATCTCCCCATTGGCTCAGTCCTCCCTGTCACGGCCCTGGCCGCTCCTCTCGGCTGAGCCTTGCCCCTCTCCGGCGAAACCCCGCCCCTACAACCTAGCCCTGCCTCCTGACCTGGCTCGGCCCCGCCCTTCTCCATCCAGGCCCCGCCCCTCTCCAACTCAGCCCCGCCCTCTCTCCCGCAGTTCTCAGGGCTGCGCAGGGACCTGCCGCCCTCGGTGCACCTGCTCACGCTGGCCAGCTGGGGCCCCGAAATGGTGCTGCTGCGCTTGGAGCACCAGTTTGCCGTAGGAGAGGATTCCGGACGTAACCTGAGCGCCCCCGTTACCTTGAACTTGAGGGTGAGAAGGGCAAAATTGAGAAGGAGATCGGAGAGAGGCAAGAGAGAGGGAGAGAAGAGAAACCTGGCTTTGCCCCAACTCATCTGGGCCCATCCCCTTCCCCGCAGGACCTGTTCTCCACCTTCACCATCACCCGCCTGCAGGAGACCACGCTGGTGGCCAACCAGCTCCGCGAGGCAGCCTCCAGGCTCAAGTGGACAACAAACACAGGTGGGGCCCTGGTCAGGGGTAGGGAAGGGGTGGAGTCTTACCTGGGGCCGGCAGGTGGGGGCAATGTGTGAGGCATGGGATGTTGGCCAGGACCCAAAAAGGTCATGAGGGTATGGGGCAGAGTCCAGACCCAGGTTAGGGGCTTAAAGGATCTGAAATGGGTGCGGCAAACCAGGAATGGGTCTTGAGGTTTGTGGGTGCTGTTTAGTCCCAAGAACAAGATTTGAAAATCCCCATCCATGTCTAGTTCTGGGAGGGTGTTCATCACCCCTGGGGTCAGATTGAGGGTACGAGGACAGTGGCCAGATTGAGGGTATGAGGACATTGGACCTGGGGGTGGTATTCGGGGCCGGGGAAGCAGGTTAAGAGTCTGGGATTGAGGCCCTGGAGACAGATTCGGGGATATGCAGCTGTGTCTAGACCCAGGGGAGGAAGCATCGTGGGGTGAGTCAGAGGAAGTCTGCACCTCCTCACTCCTCCTTCCCCCTGCACCTCTCCAGGCCCCACACCCCACCAAACTCCGTACCAGCTGGACCCGGCCAACATCACGCTGGAACCCATGGAAATCCGCACTTTCCTGGCCTCAGTTCAATGGAAGGAGGTGGATGGTTAGGTCTGCTGGGATGGGCCCTCCAAGCCCAAGCCTCCTGCTCCGGGGGCAGACCAGACTCTGACTCTCCTCTTGGGGCTGCTGCCATTAAAACGCTACTACTAAGACTCAGGTCGCTCTGTGACTGAGTGTGGGTTTTTTTTGTCTGTTATTTGCTTGTTAGAGGGGGACAGAATTTATGACCCAGAGCCGGGTGTGGTGGCTTGCTCCTGTAATCCTAACAACTCTGGAGGCTGAGGAGAGAGAATCACTTGAGCCCAGGAGATCTAGACTAGCCTGGGCCACAAAATGAGGCCCTGTATGTACAAAAAATTTAAAAAATTAGCTGGGTGAAGTGTCTGTATTCCCAACTACTTGGGAGAATTGCTTGAGCACAGGAGGTCAAGGCTGCAGTAAGTGATAATCACACCACTGCACTCCAGCCTGGGCAAGAGAGCCAGATCCTATCTCTTCGTGTGTGTGTGTGTGTGTGTGAGGGACAGAGTCTCCCTCTGTCGCCTAGGCTGGAGTGCAGTGGCGCAATCTTGGCTCACTGCAACCTCCGCCTTCCGGGTTCTAGCGATTCTCTTGCCTCAGCCTTCCGAGTAGCTGGGACTACAGGCGCCCCCCACCATGCCTGGCTCATTTTTGTATTTTTAGTAGAGATGGGGTTTCACCATGTTGGCCAGGCTGGCCTCAAACTCCTGACCTCAAGTGATCCACCTGCCTTGGCCTCCCAAAGTGCTGGGATTACAGGCATGAGCCACTGCAACCAGTCTGGATCCTATCTCTTGAAAAAAAAATTAAAAATTAGAAAATTATCCAGATAGGATGGCGTGCATTTATAATCCCCAGCTACTACTTGGGAGGCTGAGGTGGGAGGATTGCTTGAGCCCAAAAGTTTGAGGCTGCAGTGAACCATGATGGCTCCACTGTACTCCAGCCTGGGTGACAGAGTGAGACCCTGTCTCTAGAAAAAAAAAAAAAAAGTAGGCAGTGCGTGGTGGCTCACACCTGTAATCCCAGCACTTTGGGAGGCTGAGTCACATGGATCACAAGGTCAAGGGATTGAGACCATCCTGGCCAACATGGTGAAACCCCTTCTCTACTAAAAATACAAAAATTAGCTGGGCATGGTGGCACACACCTGTAGTCCCAGCTACTCAGGAGGCTGAGGCAGGAGAATCACTTGAACCCAGGAGGCGGAGGTTGCAGTGAGGCGAGATTGTGTCACTGCACTCCAGCCTGGTGACAGAGTGAGACTCCATCTCAAAAAAATAAATAAATACAAATAAAAAGTTTTTAAGTGTTCTGGGGTCAGTTTGCAAGCACCAACAGCATATGTTTCTTAGGCCCCCTCTGATGACAAGGACTGGCCCAGGGTGGACAGGGAAGCCCAGGGAGGGTGGTATCATGTTGGTCCTCTAATGTTTCCTCTGAGAACCCCTCCAATGGGCCAGTTAGCATGGGCCACCTAGGGATGCCAGGGTGGGGTGCCAGGGGACACTCTGCTGTGGTCCCACTTGGGGCATGGTCACCAGATGTGCTCTTTTTCTTTTTTTTTTTTTTGAGATGGAGTCTCGCTCTGTCGCCCAGGCTGGAATGCAGTGGTGCGATCTCGGCTCACTGCAAGCTCTGCCTCCCAGGTTCACGCCATTCTCCTGCCTCAGCCTCCCGAGTAGCTGGGACTACAGGCGCCTGCTACCATGCCCGGCTAGTTTTTTGTATTTTTAGTAGAGATGGGGTTTCACCGTGTAAGGCGGAATGGTCTTGATCTCCTGACCCCGTGATCTGCCTGTCTCAGCCTTCCAAAGTGCTGGGATTACAGGCGTGAGCCACCGCGCCCAGCCCAGATGTGTTCTTTTTCAAGTTTCCTTCTTGACGGAGGGCTGGGCCAGCTTGTGAGGCCTGAAAAGGGCTCCCTGCACCTGTCTGCCGTATTGGACCTGTTACTGGAGGTATCACCCCCACCAAAAATATTTCTAAGTCCCTCTCCTATGGTAGTGACTGGCCTGGGCTGAGTAAGGAGGACTGTGGAGTACTCTTCAGGCTCAGCCCTGGTCCCACATGCGTCCCTGTTTTAACATGTGACTCCTCCGCAGAAAACTTTTATAAGTCCCTCTCCAGGAAGAGAGATTGGACCTGGCCAACCAGAGAGGCCTGGAGAGGGTGACCTGAGTTTGCCCACAGCCCCATGTGGGCTCCTTCATAGGAGGCTCTGAGTGCAAAGTTTCCTGTGTCCCAGCCAGTGGTAGGGACTGGTCGCAGCCAAAGAAGGAGGCCAGCAGAAGGACCACAGGTGGGCTGTCATCCTGCAGAGGCCTCTGATTGTGGGATGTGCCTCCAGGAAATATTTGTAAGTCCTTGGGGATGGGGTGGGGATAAGGAAACAGCTTAGGTCAGCTAGGAACCATAGGGCAGAGCAACCCAGGCTTAGTTTTGGTCACACATGGGGCCTGGTTCCTGGATGTGCTCCTTGAAAATTTGTCTAAGTCACCCTCTAAAGACAAGGATTATTACAGGTGAGCCAGAGAGGCCCGAGAAGGGCACCCCAGCATAGTTGTCCTGCTGCATAGAATCTGGCCACAGGATGAACCCCCTGAAAACCTTAAAAAGTCTCCGGATTGAGACCATCCTGGCCAACATGGTGAAACCCCATCTCCACTAAAAATACAAAAAATTTCTCTTTCCCTTCAGTGTGCCACTGAAGATCCTGGTGTCGCCATGGGCCGCCGCCCCGCCCGTTGTTACCGGTATTGTAAGAACAAGCCGTACCCAAAGTCTCGCTTCTGCCGAGGTGTCCCTGATGCCAAGATTCGCATTTTTGACCTGGGGCGGAAAAAGGCAAAAGTGGATGAGTTTCCGCTCTGTGGCCACATGGTGTCAGATGAATATGAGCAGCTGTCCTCTGAAGCCCTGGAGGCTGCCCGAATTTGTGCCAATAAGTACATGGTAAAAAGTTGTGGCAAAGATGGCTTCCATATCCGGGTGCGGCTCCACCCCTTCCACGTCATCCGCATCAACAAGATGTCGTCCTGTGCTGGGGCTGACAGGCTCCAAACAGGAATGCGAGGTGCCTTTGGAAAGCCCCAGGGCACTGTGGCCAGGGTTCACATTGGCCAAGTTATCATGTCCATCCGCACCAAGCTGCAGAACAAGGAGCGTGTGATTGAGGCCCTGCGCAGGGCCAAGTTCAAGTTTCCTGGCCGCCAGAAGATCCACATCTCAAAGAAGTGGGGCTTCACCAAGTTCAATGCTGATGAATTTGAAGACATGGTGGCTGAAAAGCGGCTCATCCCAGATGGCTGTGGGGTCAAGTATATCCCCAATCGTGGCCCTCTGGACAAGTGGTGGGCCCTGCACTCATGAGGGCTTCCAATGTGCTGCCCCCCTCTTAATACTCACCAATAAATTCTACTTCCTGTCCACCTAAAAAATACAAAAAAAAAAAAAACAACAACAAAAAATTAGCTGGTCATGGTGGCGGGTGCCTGTAGTCCCAGCTACTCGGGAGGCCGAGGCAGGAGACTGGCATGAACCCGGGAAGGGAGACTGGGACTCCCTCTATCACCCATGTTGGAGTGTGCTGGCCTGATCAAAACACACTGCAACCTCAGAATCCTGGGCTCAAGCAATCCCCCCGTCTCAGCCTCCCAAAGTGTTGGGATGACTTGCTTGAGCTGCCATGCCCAGCCTCTCCCTAATTTTTCTAAGCCAGCCTGTAGAGGCTGGGAATCAGCCCTGGCCATTCAGGGAATCCGTGGAGGGTGGCCCGGGCCCAGCAGGCTACCCTCTGACTGCTTTGGGCCGAGACACAAGTTGGAGTGAGACCCTGACCAGGTGGCATCTGGTCCGGTAGGGGAAGGTCCAGGTCCGGCGCAGTCCCACCGGTGGTCGGGCGCCACTTTGTGATCACTCTGATATCGTCCCCGGAGCTCGGTTGTCGCGTGTGTGGGACAAGATCCGGCCGGAGAGCCCAGGACAGTGTTCCAGGAGACCGAAGGAGATGGCAAGGTCTTCTCGGCCGGCCACACGCGGTGCTGCATAATGGACTCTCCTGAGATAGTTACTGCGGGATCCGGGGGAGCCTGAGATCATTACTGCGGGATGGGAATCTTTGAGAATCGCGGAAGAAGAGTGGCGTATGAAGGTCCCTCTGCCCTTGGAGACCGACTGGTGCCGTCGCAGGTGAATGGGGTAGGGCGCCCTGGGCTCAGCCGCTTTCCCATCTGGTGCCGGGTTGTTCACAGCATCACTGGATACATTTTCGTTCTTTTTTTTTTTTGAGATGGAGTCTCGGTCTGTCACCCAGGCTGGAGTGCAGTGGTGCTCACTGCAAACTCCGCCTCCCGAGTAGCTGGGACTACAGGCGCGGCTTTTTGTATTTTTAGTAGAGACGGGGTTTCACCGTGTTAGCCAGGGTGTTCTCGATCTCCTGACCTCGTGATCCGCCCACCTCGGCCTCCCAAAGCGCTGGGATTACATAGGCGTGAGCCACCGCGCCGGGCCTCTTTTTTTCTTTTTCTTTTCTTTTTTTTTTGAAGACAGAGTCCCGCTCTGTTGCCCAGGCTGGAGTGCAGTGGCGCGATCTCGGCTCACTGCAACCTCTGCCTCCTGGGTTCAAGCGATTCTCCTGCCTTAGCCTCCCGAGTAGCTAGGATTACAGGCACGTGCCACCACGCACGGATAATTTTTGTATTTTTAGTAGAGACGGGGTTTCACCATGTTGGCCAGGCTGGGCTCAAACTCCTGACCTCAAGTGATCTGCCTGCCTCGGCCTCCCAAACTGCTAGGATTACAGTCATGAGCCCATGCCCAGCCTACTGGAAAAGTTTTCTAGGTCCCCTTCCTGGGGCCAGGATCGCAGCCAGGGACCCCAGAGGGCACACAGCTCCTGCCCACCGACTCACATAAGGTACCGTCGCAGAAAGTGCGTCCTGAAATTTTTCCCAAGGCCCCTTTTAAGAAGGGACACTCGCCCAGGCATACAGGGAGGATGAAGGAGGGCACCCAGACCCCAGCTGCAGTTTCCATGGCGACCATTCATCGGACACCTTCAGAAAACGTCTGGAGGGATGACTGGGGCCAAACAGGGAGGGCTAAGGGTGGGCGACTTGGACTTGGTCACAGTCCTATGCAGACGCGTCTGAAGCACCTGCTGAAAACGTTGCCAATTCTGAGTGATAGGAGATAGGAATAGGGGCATGAAGAGAGGGACGGGGAGGGTAAAAGGAGGGGGATCACTGGGAGCCGCAGAAGCAGTGGCGGGGAAAGCAGGGGGAAGGGGAGGTAGAGGGATGGTTTTGATGGGAGAAGGAGGTTCTGAGTAGGATATTGTTGTGGCTTCATTCCCCTGTGGGCCTTCCCAAATGTTCCTTTTTTTTCTTTTCTCTTTCTTTTTCTTTCCCTCCCTCACTCCCTCCCTCCTTTCTTTCTTTCCCTTCCCTCCCTTCCTTCCATCTTGAATGTTCTTCTTCATTTTCTTTCCTTTTTTTTGAGACAGACTTTCACTCTTGTGGGTTATTTTTTATTTATTTTTTTTTTTGGTGTTTTGTTTTGAGACAGAGTTTTACTCTTGTTGCCCAGGCTGGAGTGCAATGGCGGGATCTTGGCTCACTGCAACCTGCTCTTCCCGGGTTCAAACGATTCTCCTACCTGAGCCTCCCTAGTAGCTGGGATTACAGGCATGCGCCACCACACCCAGCTAATTTTTGTATTTTTAGTAGAGAAGGGTTTTCTCCATGTTGGTCAGGCTGGTCTCGAACTCCCAATTTCAGGTGAGCTGCCCGCCTCGGCCTCCCAAAGTGCTGGGATTACAGGCGTGAGCCGCCGCGCCCGGCCTCTTTTTCCTTTTCTCTTTCTTTTTCCCTCCTTCCCTCCCTCCCTCTCTCCCTTCCTTCCTCCCTCCTTCCACCCTCCCTCTCCCTCTCTCTTTCATTTTTTTTGGTTTGTTTTTGTTTTTTGTTTTATTTTTCCCGCGACCGAGTCTCGCTGTCACCCAGGCTGCTGTGCAATGATGCGATCATAGCGCACTGCATCATCTCCAGGGCACATCTCTCCTCCCGCCTCGGCCTCCCAAAGTGTTGAGGTGGTAGGCATGAGGCATCCAGCAGGGCTTCATTCACATTTTCTGTCTGCCTATGGAGGCTGGGATCAGCCCTGGCCATTCAGGGAGTTCCGTGGAGGGTGCCCCGGGCCCACCAGGCCATCCTCTGACCGCTTTGGGCCGAGTGTATTACAGGTTCATGTGGGACCCGAACCAGGCGGTGTAGACTGGGGAAAGTGCCTGTCTGGTGAGGTCCGGCGGGTGTTCGAGCGCCACCTAGGGTCAGTCTGATGCCATCCCCTGAGCTTGGCTGCCGCGTGTATGGGAAGTGATCTGGCTGCAAACCGCAAGAGAGAGTTCCAGGAGGTCGCCGGCGATGACAGAGTCTTCTCGGCTACGACACGCGCCGCCCCATCATGGGCTCTCCTGAGATCGTTACTGCGTGTTGCGGGCGAGCAGTCTCTGAGAATCTCGCGGGCTGAATGTCGCATGAGGTCCCCTCCGCCCGTGGGGACTGGCTGCTGCCGTCGCAGGTGAGCGGAGTAGGGTGCCCTGAGCTTGGCCGCTTTCCCACCTGGTGCCTGCTTGCCCACAGCTTCATTGGCGTTTTCTAGGTCCCCCTGCTGGGGCCAGGATCACAGTCAGGAAGGTCCTCGGACTGCTGTGGGAAGGGCCCCAGGTTCTGCCCACCGCCAGATTGGGCCTGGTAGTTAGATGAGTCCTGAAGACACTTCTAAGCCCCCCTACACAGCTGGGGCCAGGCTGGCCCTGGAGGCTGGAGGGATTAAGTATTCCTGTGATTCTTTGTGGGCCCAGTTATATTTATCCGTTGAACAAGTTTCCAAGACCTCCTGCAGGCTGGCTAGGGATACCTGAAGAAGGCTTCCTGGCTTGGCTGTGGTCACATGCGAGGGGCCTTTTTGATGAATACACTTGAACAAAAGTTTGCTTTTATTAGAAATGGTAGCCAGTTGCGGTGGCTCACTCCTGTAATCCCAACACTTTGGGAGGCCGAGGTGGGTGGATCTCTTGAGGTCACGAGTTCCAGACCAGCCTGGCCAACATGGTGAAACCTGTCTCTACTAAAAATAAAAAAAAAAAGGCTGGGCCCGGTGGCTCACGCCTGTAATCCCAGCACTTTGGGAGGCTGAAGCGGGCGGATCACGAGGTCAGGATATCGAGACCATCCTGTCTAACATGGTGAAACCCCGTCTCTACTATAAATACAAAAAAACAGCCGGGTGTGGTGGCGGGTGCCTGTAGTCCCAGCTACTCGGGAGGCTGAGGCAGGAGAATGGCATGAACCCCGGAAGGGGAGCTTGCAGTGAGCCGAGATTGCGCCACGGCACTCCAGCCTGGGCGACAGAGCAAGACTCCGTCTCAAAAGCAAAAAACAAAAAACAAAAAACAAATTAGCCGAGCGTGGTGGCGGGCAACTGTAATTCCAGCTACTTAGGAGGTTGAGGCAGGAGAATCGCTCAAACCTGGGAGGTAGAGGTTGCAGTAAGCTGAGATTGCACCACTGCACTCCCGCCTGGACGACAGAGCAAGACTCAGTCTCAAAAAAGGATGGGGTCTTGCTATATTGCCCAGGCTGATCTTGAACTCCTGGGTTCAAGCCATATAACGCCTCGGACTCCCAAAATGTTGGGATGACTTCCCTTACCCACCGTTCCCTGCCTTCTCCACGTTTGCTGAGTTGGCCTATTGAGGCCAGGGCCAGCCTTGGCCATTCAGGGAGTTCTGTGGAAAGTGCCCCGGGTCCACCAAGGCAGCCTCTGATATCTTGGGGCCGCGGTACAGGTTAGAGTGAGACCCGGACAAGGTGGCCTCTGCTGAGGGTCGGGGTCCAATCCGGCGGGGTCTTGCCGGTGATTGGGAATTACCTGTTTGTTGGCGTTTATATTTTCTTTTCTTTTTTTTTTTTTTTTTTGAGACGGAGTCTGGCTCTGTCGCCCAGGCTGGAGTGCAGTGGCGCCATCTTGGCTCCCTGCAAGCTCCGCCTCCCGGGTTCACGTCATTCTTCTGCCTCAGCCTCCCGAGTAGCTGGGACTACAGGCGCCCGCCACCACGCCTGAATAATTTTTTGTATTTTTAATAGAGATGGGGTTTCACTGTGTTAGCCAGGAAGGTCTCGATCTCCTGACCTCGTGATACGCCTGCCTCGGCCTCTCAAAGTGCTAGGATTACAGGCGTGAGCCACCACGCCCGGCCTGACGTTTATATTTTCTCCCTGGAGCTAGCCTGCTGCATAGGTGGGATAAGATTCTGCCATGATGCTCAGAATCCAGTTCAGTTCCTGGAAGCCAGGGGCAATGGCAGGATCTTCTCTACAGGCGCCAGTCTGTAGACAGGCTCTCCTGAGATTGTCACTGCAGGACGGGGGTGAGTGATTTCTAAGAATTCTGAAGGCCTACTGGCCCGCGGAGGTCCCCTCCGCTTCTGAGGACCGCCTTGAGCGGTCGCACGTGACTGGGGTCGCCCTCCTGAGGACAGGATCGCAGCCAGGGAGGCCCAGGAAGGCACCTTGCTCCTGGCCTCCAACTCACGTGGGGCACCGTCGCTGAGAGTGAGTCCTGAAATCTTTTCCAAGTCGCCCACCCCGTTTTTTTTTTTTGTTTTTTTTTTTTGAGAGAGTCTCGCTCTGTTGCCCAGGCTGGAGTGCGGTGGTGTAATCTCGGCTCACTGCAACCTCTGCCTCCTGGGTTCAAGCGATTCTCCTGCCTCAGCCTCCCAAGTAGCTGGGATTACAGGCGCCCGCCACCACGCCCGGCTAATTTTTGTATTTTTAGTACGGACGGGGTTTCATCATGTTGGCCAGCTGCTCTGGAACTCCTGACCTCATGATCCACCCGCCTCGGTCTCTCAAAGTGCTGGGATTACAGGCGTGAGCCACCGCACCCAGCCCCAACTCTCCCTCTTAAGAGGACACGGGCTCAGGCTGACAAAGAGGCTTTTAGGATGCCACCTAAAGCTCAGCTGCAGTTCCCACTGTGCGTATTCATCAGACACTTACAGAAAACCTTGGTGATATGGTTTGGCTGTGTGTCCCCAACCAAATCTCATGTTCAATTTTAATTTCTAATACCAGGAGAGGGACCTGCTGGGAGGTGATTAGATCATGGGGGCGGCTTTCCCCTTGCTGTTCTCGTGATAGTTCTCAGGAGATCTGATGGTTTAAAGATGTGCGGCACTTCCCACTTCGTGCTCTCTCCTGATCCCTCCTGCTTCAAGTGAAGACTGACTCGATCCCCAGTAGCCTTCCGCCTTGATAAGTTTCCTGAGGCCTCCCAGCCTTGCTTCCTGTACAGCCTGCAGAACTGTGAGTCAATTAAACCTCTTTTATTCGTGAATTACCCAGCCTCAGGTAGTTTTTTTCTTTTTTCTTTTTTTTGAGACGGAGTTTCACTCTTGTTGCCCAGGCTGGAGTGCAATGACGTGATCCCCGCTCACTGCAACCTCTGCCTCCCGGGTTCAAGGGATTCTCCTGCTTGAGCCTCCTGAGTAGCTGGAATTACAGACGTGAGCCATGACGCCCGGCTAATTTTTTTATTATTAGTAGTAGAGATGGGGTTTCACCATGTTAGTCAGGCTGGTCTCAAACTCCTGACCTCAGGTGATCCACCCGCCTCAGCCTCCCAAAGTGCTGTGATTACAGGCGTGAGCCATCGCGCCCAGCTCAGGTAGTTCTTTATAGCAGCGCGAGAATGGAGCAACACACTTGGGAAGGATCATTCAGGCTAAACAGGGAGGTCAGGGGAGGGCGACTTGCACCTGGTCACAGTCCTGCACAGGCGCATCTGAATCACCTGCTGGAAACGTTTCCAGTTCGGCGGGGCCGCACAGGGGCAAGAGGTGATAAAGTGGGGAAGAGGAGACAAAGTGGGGAAAGAGGGGAAAAAGGGGGATGAAGGCTGGAGGGGGCCAGGATGGGGCGGGGCAGGGTAGGTCTTGGGGAGGGGAGGGCAAAGGGTAGGGATGGCCTTGATGGGACAAGGAGTTTATGATTAAAATGCCCTGGTGGCTTTATTCCCCTGTGCGCCTTCCAAAAATATTTCTTCTTATCTCTCATTTTGTTTTTACTTTTAAGAGACAAGGTTGGCCGGGCGCGGTGGCTCACGTCTGTAATCCCAGCACTTTGGGAGGCTGAGGCAGGTGGATCACCTGAGGTCAGGAATTTGAGACCAGCCTGGCCAACATGGTGAAATCCCGTCTCTACTAAAAATATAAAAATTAGCCGGGCGCGGTGGCGGGCGCCTGTAATCCCAGCCACTCGGGAGGCTGAGGCAGGAGAATCGCTTGAACCCGGGGGGCGGAGGTTGCAGTGAGCCGGTATCGCACCACTGCACTTCAGCCTGGGCGACAGAGTGAGACTCCGTCTCAAAAAAAAAAAAAAAAAAAAAAAAAGGAAAGAAAGAAAGAAAATACATTACAGGGTTCCACCAGGCAGCACACCCAGAGAGGAGCTAACTGCAAGGAGACAAAGGCTTGGTGGGGATTTTAGAGAATGGTGCTTTGGCCGGGTGCAGTGGCTCACGCCTGTAATCTCAGCACTTTGGGAGGCCGAGGCGGGCGGATCACGAGGTCAGGAGATCGGGACCATCCTGACTAACACGGTGAAACCCCATCTCTACTAAAAATATAAAAACAAAATTAGCCAGGCATGGTGGCGGGTGCCTATAGTCCCAGCTACTCAGGAGGCTGAGGTGGGAGAATGGCGTGAACCCAGGAGGCGGAGCTTGCAGTGAGCCAATATCGCGCCACTGCACTCCAGCCTGGGTGGCAGAGCAAGACTCCTTCTCAAAAAAAAAAAAAAAAAAAAAAAGGACTCATAAGTTCTGCCCTAGATCAAAGCAACCTTAATGTGGTACAAATTATAGGCTATGACACACATAGCATTCTTGCCTGTTTTGGAAGGTGGCTGACATGAACTGTGTCACCCAGGTCTGAGTGCAGTGGCATGATCATGGCTCACTGCAGGCTCGAACTCTTGGGCTCAAGCCATCCTCCCACCTCAGCCTCTGGAGTAGCTGGAATCACAGGTGTGCCCCACCACACCCAGCTAATTTTTTACTTTTGTAGAGATGGGGTCTCAGTTCTTTTTTTTTTTCCTTTTTTCTCCTTCCCTTCCTTCCTTCCTTCTCTCATATCTCTGCTTTTCTTTCTTTTGCTTTCTTTCTCTTTCCTTTCTTTTTCTTTCTTTCTCTCTTTTTCTTTTCTTTCTCTCTCTGTCTTTTCTTTTTTCAACACGACTGAGCCTCACTGTCGCCCAGGTTGCTGTGCAGTGGTGTAATCACAGCTCACTGCCACGTGGAACTCCTGGGCACAAACCATCCTCCCACCTCAGCCTCCTAAAGTGTTGAGATGACAGGCATGAGGCACCCAGTACGGCCTCATTCAAATTTTCTAAGTCCGCTTATGGAAGCATGCACCTGCAGTCCCAACTACTTGGGAGGCTGAGGCAGGAGGATCACTCCCCAGAAGTCAAGGTGACAGTGAACTATGATCGCACCGCTGCAATCTAGCCTGGGTGATAGAGCAAGACCTCATCTCAAAAAAAAAAAAAAAGTTTGACAGGTGGTGGAACACACTAGAACTTCAAAACTTTGAGACTCTATAATTCTGATTTACATGAGTTTGGGAAAGACCCTGTGCTCTCTCTGCCTCTGTTTTTTCATGTGTAAGATGGGAGGAATCCCAGCACTTTGGGAGGCTGAGGTGGGTGGATCACCTGAGGCTAGGAGTTCCAGACCAGCCTGACCAACATGGTGAAACCCTATCTCTACCAAAAATACAAAAATTAGCTGGGCATGTTGGCACATGCCTGTAATCCCAGCTACTCGGGAGGCTGAGGCAGGAGAATTGCTTGAGCCTCGGAGGCAGAGGTTTCAGTGAGCTGAGATCGCGCCATTGCACTCCAGCCTAGGCGACAGAGTGAGACTCTGTCTCAAATAAATAAATAAATAAATAAGTCTATGAAACATTTATTTCTGGAATTTTCCACTAAGTATTTTTGGACTGTGTTTGACCATGAGTGACTAAAACCACAGAAAGCAAAACTTTGGATCAGAATTGACTACTGTATTACCATAATTAATTCTGAATACAGGTGTGACCGTGGTGATTGCTGGCAATAGGGCACTGAAAATACCACTGTTTTGAAGAGAATTTTGTTTTATGACAAAATGTAAGTATAAGAATAAAAAACATCTAAGGGAAAAATACCAGAACATTTATGCACATGCTAATATTGAGTCAGAATGTATCTTGACAAAATGACAAAGTTGATCTGAATATTCATAACTGTAATGGGATATTTTAATATAGCCTTTCAGGAAACGGGGAAGACAATTATTTGTTTTTGAACTAATAGAGATGGGGTCTTACTATGTTGCCCAGGCTGGTCTCCAACTTCAGGCCTCAAGCAATCCTGCCTCAGCCTCCCAAATTGTTGGGATTACAGCCATGAGCCACTGCACCCAGATGATGATAATATTTGATAGTATACATGTTGTTTGGAAACAGTTAACAAAATATTTCTAAGAAACATCTAAGAAGCTTTTGCTTCAAATAAATAAAAAATGCATTATTTTAGTTGCATACAACCAAACATAAATGAAAATAAACCGATGGAGAATATTCAGGAATAGTTGGAAACACCCACAATTTGTCTGATATGAGGAAGGTGATTATTCTCAAATGGAAGGATGGGGGAGAGTAGTCACTGTATAATGCAGTAAGAGAACAAACTCCCATATAGTTGTTTTTTTTTTTTTTTACTGTTTTACTGTAGCTGTCATGGTGGAATCAGGAATACATAGTCCCTAGTGGCATTAACAGAACAAGAACCATACAAATTAAAGCTCATAGAAACACAAAGGGAAGACAGAACCTCAGAGAACAATGCCAACCATGACAGTCTGAAATAGATGCTTGGGCCACACATGAAGGCTAGAAGGAAAATCCAAACTGTACGTGGATCTTTGATGCGGAGCTTGTGGAGACAACTGTGGAAACCAACACATCTCTTTGAGAATGGAAGTCAAGCAGCTCAGGGTGTTTTCAGGATACTTTTGATTGGCAGAGAAAATAACCAGGAAAATGAGCAGGAAGCAGGCTGTCTCCCTGTATGGTGGGGTTCCAATACCTGACTAATGTCTTCTTCACTTCTGCCTGGCAAATCTCATGCAAGTGAGGCTATAAGTGAATTTCAACATGGATCTATAAAGGGAACAGATTCTAGGAAATTTACCTGTGTCGACAGGTAGCAGGAGGGCCACGTCCAGCTCTAGATTTTATTGTCCTATCACAGGTGTCCTTCCTGAATTCAAACTCTACTATTCAAATCCCAGACAGAATTATAAAAAAAAGGCGAAAATAATAATTCGCATAAGAATATATGATAAACTTCACATACTTACCAACTTATGCCAGATGTTTAATAAAAAGGAAAATGGAATAAGGCTCTTCTAGCTGAAATTCATTTTATTTATTTATTTATTTGAGATGGAGTCTCGTTCTGCTGCCCAGGCTGGATTGCAGTGGCACGATCTCGGCTCACTGCAAGCTCCGCCTCCCGGGTTCACACCATTCTCCTGCCTCAGACTCCTGAGTAGCTGGGACTACAGACGCCCGCCACCATGCCCAGCTAATTTTTTGTATTTATAGTAGAGACGGGGTTTCACTGTATTAGCCAGGATGGTCTCAATCTCCTGACTTCGTGATCCGCCCACCTCGGCCTCCCAAAGTGCTGGGATTACAGGTGTGAGCCACTGCGCCCGGCAAGAAATTTATTATATTTTAATTTAATTTTTTTGATATGGAGTCTCGTTCTGTTGTCCAGGCTGGAGTGCAGTGGTGTGATCTTGGCTCACTGCAACCTCTGACTTCCAGGTTCAAGCATTTCTCCTGCCTCAGCCTCCCAAGTAGCTGAGATTACAGGTGCCCTCCAACATGCCCAGCTAATTTTTGTATTTTTAGTAGAGATGGGATTTCACCATGTTGGCCAGGTTGGTCTCGAACTCCTGACCTCAAGTGATCTGCTTGCCTTGGTTTCCCAAAGTGCTGGAATTACAAAGGAGTGAGCCACCGTGTCTGGCCAAGAAATTTAAAAAGCAGTTTTTCGGAAAAGGTGAAATAAATATATAATGGGTAATATATGCACCACCTTCCACATGAGGCCAGTAGGAAAAATCCTAGTTACAGTGTGTCAGTATTCAACAATCTCTTTATTCAGAGAACAACTGAAAAACTATACACAAATTAAAACTAATTGTATATTAAAAATACACTTCTACTAACACTGGTCTTTAAAAGAAAAAAAAAATACACTTCAGGCCGGGTGCGGTGGCTCAAGCTTGTAATCCCAGCACTTTGGGAGGCTGAGGCGGTCGAATCACGAGGTCAGGAGATTGAGACCATCCTGGCTTAACACGGTGAAACCCCATCTCTACTAAAAATACAAAAAAAATTAGCTGGGCATGGTGGCGGGCGCCTGCAGTCCCAGCTACTGGGGAGGCTGAGGCAGGAGAATGGCGTGGACCCGGGAGGCGGAGCTTGCAGTGAGCCGAGATCACACCGCTGAACTCCAGCCTGGGCAACAGAGCAAGACTCCGTCTCGAAAAAAAAAAAATACACTTCAGTTTACTCATGAATCAAGACATCAAGAGAAAGAGAAAAGTTTTACTAACTGATTTAATGAGAAAACACAACCTTTTAAACTTTTGACCACTGCTTAAAGAGTACTTACAGAATTATCTCACTTCCAAGACTTCTTGGAAAAGTAGTTAAGTTACAATTCATAGTCCAGAGATGTACTTGAAGAATGAGCCAGTGATAAAAAATTTTTAACTTTTTTTTGGTGTGTGGGATGGAGTCTTGCTCTGTTGCCCAGGCTGGAGTGTAGTGGCACAATCTCAGCTCACTGCAGCCTCCACCTCCCAGGTTCAAATGATTCTCCTGCTTCAGCCTCCCAAGTAGCTGGAATTACAGGTGCATGCCACCACGCTCAGGTAATTTTTGTATTTTTAGTAGAGATGGGGTTTCACCGTCTTGGCCAGGCTGGTCTCGAACTCCTGACCTCAGGTGATCTGCCTGCCTTGGCCTCCCAAAGTGCTGGGATTACAGGCATGAGCCACCATGCCTTGCCTTAACTTTTATATCGTGTGTGATGAATTTATATCATGGTGTGAATTTTCTGGAGCATTTTACAGGCAGAGATTGCTTAATCATGGGTATATGTTCTGAGAAACGTGTTGTAGGTGATTTCCTCATGGTACAAACATCACAAAGTGAACTTACACAAATCTAGATGGTATAGCTACAACACATCTAGACTATATGGTACAGTCTATTGCTACTAGGCTATAAACCATACAACATGTTGTTGTACTGAACACTGTAGGAAATTGTAACAAAATGTTAAGTATTTATGAGTCTAAACACAGAAAATACACAGAGTAAACATGCAGTATAAAAGATAAAAAAGGATGCACCTGCATAGGACACTCCATGAACATAGCTTGCAGGACTAGAAGTTGCTCTGGGTGAGTCAGTTGAGTGGTGAGTGAATGCGAAGGCCCAGGATGTTACTGTACACTAATGGAGAATTTATAAACACTGTACACTTGGACTACACTACATTCATAAAAACATTTTTTCCTCAATAATGAATAAACCTTAACTTACTGTACATTATTTTCTTTATAAACTTATTTTTAAAAACTTTGTAATAATTTAGCTTAAAACACATTGTACAGCTGTACAAAAATATTTTATGTCCATATTCTATAAGCTTTTTCTATTAAATTTTTTTAAACTATTTTTGTTAAAGACTAACTAAGACACAAACACACATTAGTGTAGGACTACACGGGGTGAGGATCATCAATATCATTGTCTTCTGCCTCCATGTTTTGTCCCGCCAGAATACGTTCAGGGGCAGTCCTGCACATGGAGCCGTCATCGCCTATCATAACAAAGTTTTTCCGGGAATATCTCCTTAAGGACCTGCCTGAGACTGTCTTACTGTTAAAAAAACACAGGAATACATTCTAAAACAGGATTGTAAATATATAAACCAGTAACTTAGCCATTTATTATCAAGTATATATTGCACATCTGTGCTGTAATTTTTTTTTTTTCGAGACGGAGTCTCGCTCTGTCACCCAGGCTGGAGTGTAGTGGTAGATCTCAGCTCACTGCAATCTCCACCTCCCGGGTTCAAGCGATTCTCCTGCTTTGGCCTCCCAAGTAGCTGGGACTACAGGCACACCAGAACGCCCAGCTAATTTTCGTATTTCTAATGGAGACAGGGTTTCATCATGTTGACCAGGCTGGTCTTGAACTCCTGACCTCAACTGATTCTCCCACCTCAGCCTCCCAAAGTGCTGGGATTACAGGTATGAGCCACTGTGCCCAGCCAATTTTTTTTTTTTTTTTTTGATACAGTCTCACTGTCACCCATGCTGGACTGCCATCACGTGATCTTGGTTCACTGTAGCCTTGAACTCCTGGGCTCAGGCAATCCTCCTGCCTCAGCCTCCCATGTAGATGGGACTACAGGGTGTGCTACCACACTTAGAAAATGTTTTTATTTTTTGTAGAGACAGGGTCTCACTAGGTTGACCAGAGTAGTCCTGGCATCAAGCAATCCTACTGCCTTAGTCTCCCAGTGTTGGGATCACAGGTGTGACCATGCCCAGCTGTGTTGTACTTTTTTTTTTTTTTTTTTTTTGAGACAGAGTCTCGCTCTGTTGGCCGGATCTCAGCTCACTGTCAGCTCGGCCTCCTGGGTTTATGCCATTCTCCTGCCTCAGCCTCCCAAGTAGCTGGGACTACAGGCGCCCACCACCACGCCCGGCTAATTGTTTGTATTTTTAGTAGAGATGGGGTTTTACCGTGTTAGCCAGGATGGTCTTGATCTCCTGGCCTCGTGATCCGCCCGCCTTGGCCTCCCAAAGTGCTGGGATTACAGGCGTGAGCCACCGTCCCCGGCCGCTGTCTTGTACTTTTATACAACTGAAAGTGCAGCACGTTTACACCAGCACCATAAACACTTAAATAATGTGCTGCACTATGGTGTTACTACTGCTACTAAATTGCGGTTGATAGAAATGTTTTAGGTGTTATATAATCTTATGGGGCTACCAACCTATATGGTCCATTGCTGACTGAAACATGATTATGTGGTACCTGACTATACATGAATCATCTTGTATCTCGCTTTCTATATTACTTACATTGACAGGATTTCTCTCTTCAGTGGGAATTTTCACAACTTTGAAAGCATCTGTTAGAATTGAAAACTTTCTCCTATTTCTCACATTTATAGAGTTTCTATCGATTGTGCATTCTCATATGTTTTTTTAAGGATGTGGACACACTGAAGGCTTTTCCACATTGCTTACATTCAAGAGGTTTCTCATAATTGTGAATTCTTGTATGTCTTTGAAAGGAACTGTGAAGACTAAAGGCCTTCCCACATTCTTTACATTTATAGGGTTTCTCTCCAGTATGCATTCTCATGTGTCCTTGAAAGCTTGTGGGATAAATAAAGGCCTTCCCGCATTCCTTACATTCATAAGGTTTCTCCCCAGTGTGAGTTCTTTTATGTATCCGAATGTAACTAGAACAACTAAAGGCTTTTCCACATTGTTTACATTCATAGGGTTTCTCTCCAGTGTGAGTTCTTTCATGTGTTCGTAACGCACTAGGAAAAATGAACACCTTCCCACAGTCCCTACATTTATAAGGTCCGTCTCCAGTGTGGGTGATCATGTGTCTTCGAAAGTTCTCAAGAGAAATGAAGGTTTTTGCACATTCCTTACACTCATAGGGTTTTTCTCCAGTGTGATTTCTCTTGTGGATTTTCAAATCTAGAGGATAATTGAAAGTTTTCCCACATTTTTTACATTCGTAGGGTTTCTCTCCAGTGTGAGTCCTTTCATGTATTCGAAAGTAACTGATTCTACTAAAGGCTTTCCCACATTCTTTACACTTATAGGGTTTCTCTCCAGTATGCACTCTCACGTGTACTCGAAAGGCTGGGCGTGCACTGAAAGATTTCCCACATTCTTTACATTTATAGGGCTTCTCTCCAGTATGAATTCTTTCATGAATTTGAATGGAGGTGGAACATCTGAAGGCTTTACCACATTGTTTACATTTATAGGGTTTCTCTCCAGTGTGAATTCTTTCATGTACTCGTAAAAAACTGGGAAAAATGAATGCCTTTCCACATTCTTTGCATTTATAAGGTCTATCTCCGTTGTGTGTTATCATGTGTGTTAGAACACTTGTGTGGGAAATGAAGGCTTTCCCACATTCCTTACATGCATAGGGTTTCTCTCCAGTGTGAGTTCTTTCGTGTACTCGAATAGAACTGGAACAACTGAAGGCTTTCCCACATTGTTTACATTCATAGGGCTTTTCTCCAGTGTGAATCCTTTCATGAACTCGAAGCGAACTGGAACAACTAAGAGCTTTTCCACATTGCTTACATTCATAGGGTTTTTCTCCAATGTGAGTCCGCTCATGTCTTTGAAAGGGCTGGTGATATATGAAGGTTTTTCCACATTGTTTACATTTATAGGGTTTTTCTCCAGTGTGACTCCTTTCATGTCTTTGAAAGGATTTGAGATAACTAAAGGCTTTCTCACACTCCTTACATTTATATGGCTTCTCAAATAGCTCGTATCCAGTGTGAGACCTCATGTGTCTAGTAAGGGATGAGAGACGCATGAAGGCTTTTCCACAGATAGTACACTCATATGGTTTTACTCCGGCAGTCTTCTTCGTCACACTGAGATTGGGACTGAAGTTTTCTGCACATTGACTACCTTCTTTACCTTCACAGAGTCTCTCTCCCGTATGGCTTCTGTAAAAAATTAGAAGCACGGTAATACTGGTTGTGTATTAATGATTTTATATGTATTATCGGGTAGTAGAACTAAAGTTCTTTTTTCTTTTTTGAGACGGAGTCTTGTTCTTGTTCCCCAGGCTGGAGTGCAATGGTGCGATCTCAGCTCACTGCAACCTCCACCTCCCAGCTTCAAGCAATTCTCCTACCTCGGCCTCCCAAGTAGCTGGGATTACAGGCATGCGCCACCACGCCCAGCTAATTTTGTATTTTTAGTAAAGCCGTGGTTTCACCATGCTGGTCAGGCTGGTCTTGAACTCCTGACCTCAAGTGATCTGCCCGCCTTGGCCTCCCAAAGTGCTGGGATTACAGGCGTGAGCCACCGCACCCGGCAGCAGAACTAAATTTTTATCATTTTCAGGGAAATAGTTTTCTGCCCCGTCTGACTTGTTTAAAAACGAATATACTCAATGTTCTGCAAGAGGGCTTGTGTCACTGATAGCTATTATCAAAACAGTAATATTGAGGTATGGGTTTTTTTTTTTTTGGTTTCATTTTGAGACAGAGTCTCACTCTGTCACCCGCACTGGAGTACAGTGATGCAATCATGGCTCACTGCAGCCTTGACCTCCCGGGCTCAATCAATCCTCCCACCTCAGCCTCCCATGTAGCTGGGACTACAGGCATGCACCACCACAACTGACTGAATTTTCTGTTTCTTGTAGAGACAGGGTCTCGTCTTGTTGCCCAGGCTGGTTTCGAACTCCTGAGCTCAAATGATCTGCTCACCTTGGCTTCCGGAAATTATATGTGAGGCTTTAAAGTACTGTTTCTGGGCGGGCACAGTGGCTCACGCCTGTAATCCCAGCACTTTGGGAGGCCGAGACGGGCAGATCATGAGGTCAGGAGATCAAGACCACCCTGGCTAACAGGGTGAAACCCCGTCTCTACTAAAAATACAAAAAAATTAGCCGGGCGTGGTGGTGGGCGCCTGTAGTCCCAGCTACTCGGGAGGCTGAGGCAGGAGAATGGCGTGAACCTGGGAGGCGGAGCTTGCAGTGAGCTGAGATGGCACCACTGCACTCCAGCCTGGGTGACAGAGCAAGACTTCGTCTCAAAAATAAAAATAAAAATAAAATAAAATACTGTTTCCACACCTTGGCATGGTGGCTCATGCCTGTAGTCCTAGCACTTTGGGAGGCCGAGGTGGGTGGATCAATTGGGGTCAGGAGTTTGAGACCAGCCTGGCCAACATGGTGAAACCCCATCTCTACTAAAAAATACAAAATTGGCTGGGCATGGTGGCTCACCCCTGTAATCCCAGCACTTTGGGAGGCCGAGGCGGGCAGATCACGAGGTCAGGAGATCGAGACCATCCAGGCCAACATAGTGAAACCCCATCTCTACTAAAAAATACAAAAATTGGCTGGGCATGGTGGCTCACGCCTGTAATCCCAGCACTTTGGGAGGCCGAGGTGGGCAGATCACGAGGTCAGGAGATCGTGACCATCCTGGCCAACATAGTGAAACCCTATCTCTACTAAAAACACAAAAATTAGCCGGGCATGGTGATGCATGCCTGTAATCCCAGCTACCTGGGAGGCGGAGGCAGAAGAATCCCTTGAACCAGGGAGTGGGAGGTTGCAGTGAGCCGAGATTGCGCCACAGCACTCTAGCCTGGTGACAGAGCGAGACTCCGTCTCAAAAAAAACAAAACAAAACAAAAATTAACCCAGTATAGTAGTGCGCGCTTATAATCCCAGCTACTTGGGAGGCTGAGGCAGAAGAATTGCTTGAACCCAGGGGTTAGAGGTTGCAGTGAGCCAAGATCATACCACTCCACTCCAGCCTGGGTGACAGAGCGAGACTCTGTTTCACAAAACAAACAAACAAACAAAACTGTTCCCAAGTACAATATTTTTCTTTCTTCTTCTTCTTCTTTTTTTTTTTTTTTGAGATGGAGTCTCACTCTGTCGCCCAGGCTGGAGTGTAGTGGTGCGATCTGGGCTCACTGCAACCTCTGCCTCCCAGGTTCAAGTGATTCTCCTGCCTCAGCCTCCTGAGTAGCTGGGATGACAGGTGTGTGCCACCACACCCGGCTAATTTTTGTATTTTTAGTAGAGACAGGTTTTCACTGTGTTGGCCAGACTGGTCTTGATCTCCTGACCTCTGGTGATCCGCCCACCTCACCTTCCCAAAGTGCTGGGATTATAAGCGTGAGGCACAGTGCCCGGCCCAAGTATAATATTTTTCAGCCAGTGGACATCTGTGTCACTTGAGAAAACATTTTTGGTAAACATTTTCTGATAATAAATAAATTTGGGGCCCAGTGGCTCGTGCCTGTAATCCCAGCACTTTGGAAGGCTGAGGCGGGCAGATCACCTGAGGTCAGGAGTTTGAGACCAGCCTTGCCAACATGGAGAAACCCTGTCTCTACTAAAAATACAAAAATTAGCCAGGTGTGGTGGCACGTCCCTGTAATCCCAGCTACTTGGGAGGCTGAGGCAGGAAAATCACTTGATCCCGGGAGGTGGAGGTTGCAGTGAGCAAAGACCATGCCACTGCACTCCAGCCTGAGTGACAGAGCAAAACCTCATCTCAAGAAAAAATAAATAAAACAAATAAATAAATAAATTTGGAGCTAAGCTTGCTTCTTGTTTTAAAAGTGTCACAACTTCTTTTTTTTTTTGAGACAGAGTCTCGCTCTGTTGCCCAGGCTGGAGTGCAGTGGCGCGATCTCGGCTCGCTGCAACCTCTGCCTCCTGGATTCAAGTAATTCTCTGCCTCAGCCTCCAGAGTAGCTGGGATTACAGGCGCCCACCACCACAACTGGCTAACTTTTTTTGTATTTTTAGTAGAGACGGGGTTTCATCATGTTGGCCAGGCTGGTCTTGAACTCCTGACCTCATGATCCACCCACCTCAGCCTCTCAAAGTGCTGAGATTACAGGTGTGAGCCACCGTGCCCGGCCATAACATTTTTAAGATTCTTTCAAGGAACACTGTTACTTCTTGTGAGTGCAACTCACCTTAGATTTCGTCCTTGGTTTTTGTGTTGATCTTCAACATTCGGGTCTTCCCATTTTTCCCCTAAAATGTAGATCAAGAATAATCATGATAAATTATTAAAAATTATACAAATATTATTAGATTATAGGTTCACAATGAGCTGTAACCATGCCTGGTTTATTTACAGAAGTGTTTCCTTTTCAGATTCCAAATCTCGGAACAGTGATTATGAGCAAGAAATGGCAGTTCTCTAACTGACGATATGAAAAAATGATGTCACTGGGGTGCGGTGGCTCATGCCTGTAATCCCCACACTTTGGGAGGCTGAGGCGGGTGGATCACCTGAGGTCAGGAGTTCGAGACCAGCCTGGCCAACATGATAAAACCCCGTCTCTACTAAAAATACAAAAATTAGCCGGGCATGGTGGTGGGCACCTGTAATCCCAGCTACTCGGGAGGCTGAGGCAGGAGAATTGCTTGAACCCAGGAGGCGGAGGTTACAGTGAGCCAAGATCCCGCCACTGCACTCCACCCTGGGGAACAGGACGAGACTCAAAAAAAAAAAAAAAAAAGAAGGCCAGGCACAGTGGCTCATGCCTGTAATCCCAGCACTTTGGGAGGCTGAAGCGGGCAGATTACCTGTGGTCAGGAGTTCAAGACCAGCCTGACCAACATGGTGAAATCCCGTCTCTACTAAAAAGAAAAAAATTAGCCAGGCATGGTGGCACGTGCCTGTAATCCCAGCTACTCGGGAGGCTGAGGTAGGAGAATTGCTTGAACCTGGGAGGCTGAGGTTGTGGTGAGCTGAGATTGTGCCATTGCTCTCCAGCCTGGACAATAGTGAAACTCTGTCCCCCCCCAAAAAAAAAAAAAAAGAAAAAAGAAAAAATGATGTCATCCTTACCTATAGATGCCAGGTTCTTGAATGTTTCCTGCATCACATCTCTGTAGAGTTTCTTCTGTGAAGGAGCCAGCAGAGCCCACTCCTCCTGGCTGAAGCTCACAGACACATCCTCAAAAGCCACTGAGTCCTGAAACATCCAATATAAGTAGAGAATAGGTGAGATTGACAAGGATGAGAGGTATCCTCAATTCATAAGAAATTCACACACGATTTTGTGGTCTCCAAACATTTAGTGCATGACTCAATTGTTAGAAATGTAACAGCACATTGAACACATAAACTTATAGCTACATCTTCACTGTGGTCACTGTAAGTCCTATTGCTCTCTAATGGTAGTATCTAGTTCAACTTAGAAAAATGAAAGAAATCCTACACAAATGAGACAAATTTTAGGATCAATTTTTTTTTCTTCCTTTTTGAGACATAGATGGTCTCGCTCTGCTACCTAGGCTGGAGTGCAGTGGTACAATCACAGTTCATTGGAGCCTAGTCCTCCCGGCTCAAGCAATCCTCCAACCTCAGCCTCCTGAGTAGCTGGGACTACAGGAACACACCACTACACCTAGGTAAGTATTTTGTGTATATTTTTTGTAGAGATGGGGTTTTGCCATGTTGCCCAGGCTGGTCTCAAACTCCTCAGCTCAAGCGATTCACTAGCCTTGGCCTCTCAAATTGCTGAGATTACAGGCAAGATCTTCAATTCTTTATGAGATAAATTCTTATTTCTTGTTTGTTTGTTTGTTGTTTTCTAAGAGACAGGGTCTTGCTCTGTCACCTAGGCTCAAGTGCAGCAATCCTAACTCACTGTAGCCTCAAATCCCTGGGCCCCCAAGACATCCTCCTGCCTCAGCTTCACGAGTAGTTAGGACTACAGATGTGCAACACCACTCCCAGATAAATGGGTTTTTTTTCTTTCTTTTTTTTTTTTTTTTTGAGACGGAGTCTCACTCTGTAACCCAGGCAGGAGTGCAGTGGTGCGATCTCGGCTCACTGCAACCTCCGCCCCTCCAGGTTTAAGCAATTCTCTGCCTCAGCCTCCGAAGTAGCTGGGATTATAGGCGCGTGCCACCACGCCCAGCTAATTTTTTGTATTTTTAGTAGAGATGGGGTTTCACCATCTTGGCTAGGCTGGTCTTGAACTCCCGACCTCGTGATCCACCCTCCTCGGCCACCCAAAGTGCTGGGATTACAGGCGTGAGCCACTGCCTCCGGCTGGGGTTTTGTTATATTGTCCAGGTTGACCTTTAACTCTCGGCCCCAAGTGATCCTCCTGCCCCGGCCTCCCAAAGTGTTGTGATAACAGGTATGAATAACCATACCCAGCCCACAGCCTAATTTCTTATTACCCAAATCATTCAGCATTCCTTAAGATATGGGATTAAATGAGGTGGAGGTTTTTTTTTTTTTTTTTTTTTGTTTGAGACAGTCTTTTTTTTATTATTTTTTTTATTTATTATTTTTTTTAATTTATTTTTTTATTGATAATTCTTGGGTGTTTCTCACAGAGGGGGATTTGACAGGGTCATGGGACAATAGTGGAGGGAAGGTCAGCAGATAAACAAGTGAACAAAGGTCTCTGGTTTTCCTAGGCAGAGGACCCTGCGGCCTTCCGCAGTGTTTGTGTCCCTGATTACTTGAGATTAGGGAGTGGTGATGACTCTTAACGAGCATGCTGCCTTCAAGCATCTGTTTAACAAAGCACATCTTGCACCGCCCTTAATCCATTTAACTCTGAGTGGACACAGCACATGTTTCAGAGAGCACAGGGTTGGGGGTAAGGTCACAGATCAACAGGATCCCAAGGCAGAGGAATTTTTCTTAGTGCAGAACAAAATGAAAAGTCTCCCATGTCTACTTTCTACACAGACACGGCAACCATCCGATTTCTCAATCTTTTCCCCACTTTTCCCGCCTTTCTATTCCACAAAGCCGCCATTGTCATCCTGGCCCGTTCTCAATGAGCTGTTAGGCACACCTCCCAGACGGGGTGGTGGCCGGGCAGAGGCGCCCCTCACCTCCCGGACGGGGCGGCTGGCCGGGCGGGGGGGCTGACCCCCCCCACCTCCCTCCCGGACGGGGCGGCTGGCCGGGCAGGGGGGCTGACCCCCCACCGAGGTGGAGGTTTTAATAAGTAAATACACATTGAGAATCTTCTATCCCCTTTTGTTATACATGAGAGGCCAGGAGGCTTGTGGAAATCCAACTTTTAAGAAGGTCTAGCTGCCTATATCGTCCTGAAGTATTTGAGGCCATCAGAAGCACTCAGATTCTGCTGACTGAATGGAAATACTCTTTTAGAGACGTATTAATTTCAACTTGTTTCCGATATATATATATCCCTATGTGTTGGCATTACAGGCATGAGCGACCACGCCCGGCTGTGTGTGTAATATCTATCATAGACCCAGTTTTTCCTTTTACTTTCTGTCCCATTTCGTGAGACTAGGAAGTTACTGGGAAGACAGCTCAGGCACAAGGAAGGGGCCCTCACAACTTAGACTTTCACAAAATCGTTATACCCATGAGCCTCAGAACTGCTTCCAACCAATTTTTAGCACAAATACATATACACATTGAGATAAAATGTCAGAAGAGCACTTTCTGGAAGATCCATAATCATGTCATCTGGGCTTTGCTGACCTTGAAGAATAGATTGACAGTATCAATTTTCAGGGGACTTCACTGATGTCCACAATGGTCTGATGGTGAATTTGCCCATGATTATAAAATTAACAGGTAATTTCATACCTCCAAAAGAACATAAAATCTGGGTCAGGATGGCTCATGCCTGTAATCCCAGCACTGTGGGAGGCCGAGGCAGGTGGATCACCTCAGGTCAGGAGTTCGAGACCACCCTGGCCAACATGGAGAAACCCTGCCTCTACTAAAAATACAAAAATTAGTTGGGCATGGTGGTGCATGCATGTAATCTCAGCTACTCGGGAGGCAGAGGCAGGAGAATCGCTTGAACCCGGGAGGCAGAGGTTGCAGTGAGCCAAGATCGCACCACTGCAGTCCAGCCTGGGCAACAGAGCGAGACTCTATCTCAAAAAAAAAAAAAAAAAAAAAAAAGAACATAAATCCCCTTTCTCCAGTTTCAGGAGGAAGTGATCCCAGACAGACACTCTAGGGGCTGTTGTCCCAGGTTCTCTCATTTCCATGCACTCATGTGCACCATACGTTAAAAGATCCACACAGTTAGAAGGGGTTTTCTTAAGTAATTAGGACTATGGTCTGAGCAGGAAGAAATTTGGCTCCAGGGAGCTCTCCCTCGTGACAAGTCCATCTGCATGCCTGGGTGCTCTCTGTAAGGTTTATTTACATTTACATTTAATAGAAAATAAACATTTTGGCCAGGCGTGATGGCTCATGCCTATAATCCCAGCACTTTGGGAGGCTGAGGTGGGCAGATCGTTTGAGCCCAGGAGTTCGAGACCAGCCTGGGCAACATGGTGAAACCCTGTCTCTATAAAATATACAAAACTTGGCCAGGCGTGGTGGTGCACGCCTGTGGTCTCAGCTACTTGGGAGGCTGAGGTGGGAGGATTGCTTGAGCCTGCAAAGTCAAGGCTGCAGTGAGCCATAACTATACCACTGCACTCCAGCCAAAAATAAATAAAGACAGGCCAGGTGCGGTGGCTCACACCTGTAATCCCAGCACTTTGGGAGGCCAAGGCAGGTGGATCACGAGGTCAGAAGATCGAGACCATCCTGGCTCTACTAAAAATACAAAAAATTAGCTGGGTGCCGTGGCGGGCGCCTGTAGTCCCAGCTACTCGGGAGGCTGAGGCAGGAGAATGGCGGGAACCCGGGAGGCGGAGCTTGCAGTGAGCCGAGATCGCGCCACTGCACTCCAACCTGGGCGACAGAGCGAGACTCCGTCTCAAAAAAATAAATAAATAAAATAAAAATAAATAAATAAATAAAGATTTCATATATAGCCTTTTACTAAATAATAAAAAGAAAAAAAAACAGAAAAAAAAGGTTCATCTCCTTGCTAATGAGGATATAAATGTCAAATAGTTCCCACTTCAAACTGAGTAGGAAGACAAAACTAGTCGATTAAGATAACATTAGTGGCCGGGCGCGGTGGCTCACGCCTGTAATCCCAGCACTTGGGGAGGCCGAGGCAGGTAGATCATGAGGTCAGGAGATCGAGAGCATCCTGGCTAACACAGTGAAACCCCGTCTCTACTAAAAATACAAAAAATTAGCCAGGAGAAGTGGCGGGCGCCTGTAGTCCCAGCTAGTCGAGAGGCTGAGGCAGGAGAATGGCGTGAACACGGGAGGCGGAGCTTGCAGTGAGCCCAGATCGCGCCACTGCACTCCAGCCTGGGAGACAAATCGAGACTCCGTCTCAAAAAAAAAAAAAAAAAAAAAAAGATAACATTAGTGTTGATGACTACAGAGAACAATCATGTACAAACGGAGGATCAACTGATACACTCCACCACTTTTTTTAAGTTTGTAAATTTAAACTTGACCAAGATCCAGTAATTTTTTTCCAACTACCAGAGAATTTATTGTGCGTTTGCACTTGCAGACTGAAACAAAAATAGTAGGAGCATTATTTTCCACAAAGCAAACAAAAACAAAACCGTGAAAAAGTCTAAACACCACAACCATTGGAACGGATAGCCTGCAGCTTCAGATACTAGCATATGAGAAATATACTGAGAGGTGGCCAGGCGTGGTGGCTCACGCCTGTAATCCCTAGCACTTTGGGAGGCCTAGGTGGGTGGATCACGAGGTCGAGACTGAGACCATCCTGACCAACATGGTGAAACTCCGTCGCTACTAAAAATACAAAAATTAGCTGGGCATGGTGGCTCATGCCTGTAGTCCCAGCTACTCGGGAGGCTGAAGCAGGAGAATCGCTTGAACCCAGGAGGCGGAGGTTGCAGTGAGCTGAGATCACACCACTGCACTCCAGCCTGGCAACAGAGTGAGACTCCATCTCAAAAAAATAAATAAATACACACACACACACACACACACACACACACACACACACACACTGAGAGGTAAACAAATCACCACAAAATTATTTATTTATTTATTTTGAGGTGGAGTTTTGCTCTTGTTCCCCAGGGTGGAGTGCAGTGGCATGATCTCGGCTCACTGCAGCCTCCGCCTCCCGGGTTCAAGCAATTCTCCTGTCTCAGCCTCCTGAGTAGCTGGGATTACAGGCACGCACCACCATACCCAGCTAATTTTTTGTATTTTAGTAGAGACAGGGTTTCACCATGTTGGCCAGGCTGGTCTTGAACTCCTAGCCTCAGGCGCGAGCCACCACACTCGGCCTTTATTTTATTTTTGAGACGGGGTCTCATTGTTGCCCAGGCTAGAGTACAGTGGTGCAGTCACGGCTCACAGCAGCCTCGACTTCCCGGGCTCAAGCAATCTTCCCGCCTCAGACTCCTGAGTAGCTGGGACTACAGGTGTGCATCACCATGCCTGGCTAATTTTTTCATTTTTTGTAAAGATGGGTCTCACTATGTTGCCTAGGCTCCAAAAAACCCTTTAAGTGTAATTCCATTAATACTCATTAAATGTTCAAAGGAGGCAAAAATTTAAAAATACAATACTTGTGAAAAAGAATAGATGGTTGGTGGACGTGGTGGCTCACGCCTGTAATCCCAGCACCTTGCAAAGCCAAGGTGGGTGGATCACCTGATGTCAGGAGTTGGAGACCAGCCTAGCCAACATGGTGAAACTCCATCTCTACTAAAAATACAAAAATTAGCCGGGCATGATGGTGTGCACCTGTAATCCCAGCTACCTGTGAAGCTGAGGCAGGAGAATCGCTTGAACCCAGTGGATGGAGGTTGCAGTGAGCTGAGTTCTTGCCTCTGCACTCCAGCCTGGGCGACAAGGACGAAACTCTGTCTCAAAAAAAAAAAAAAAAAAAAAGCAAAATTTAGCCCTGTATGTGGCACGCACCTGTAGTTCCAGCTACTCAGAAGGCTGAGGTGGTGGTTGTAGTAGGCTGAGATCATGCCACTGCATTCCAGCCTGGTGACAGGGTAATACCCTGTCTCCAAAAAAAAAAAAAAAAAAAAAAAAGAGTTCCAGCAGGTAGAAAATCAGAAAGGACAAAGTTTAGTTGAAAGGCAACAACTGGGTTTAATTAAAATCCATGAATGCTTCATCCAACAGAACAACACACATTCTTCTCAAGTTCATGTGGAACATTCACCAAGATAAACCATGTTGTGGACAAAAACACACCTTAACAATTTTCAAAGAATATACATTATATAAAATATGCTCTCAGACCACCATGGTATTAATCTAGAAATCAGTAACAGAAGAATAGTTAGAAAACCATCAAATATTTGGAAATAAAACCCAACACAGTTCTAAACATGAATCAAAAAAATCTCAAGAAAAATTAAATTTGGGCCGGGCGCAGTGACTCATGCCTGTAATCCCAGCACTCTGGGGGGCCAAGGTGGGCGGATCACGAGGTCAGGAGTTCGAGACCAGCCTGGCCAACATGGTGAAACCCCATCTCTACTAAAAATAAAAAAATTAGACAGGCATGGTGGCACGTGCCTGTAATCCCAGCTACTTGAGAGGTTGAGGCAGGAGAATCGCTTGAACCCGGGAGGCGGAGGATGCAGTGAGCCAAGACTGCACCACTGCACTCCAGCCTGAGTGACACAGCAAGACTCCGTCTCAAAAAAAAAAAAAAAAGAAGAAAAAAGAAAAATTAAATGTGAATTAAATGAAAATAGAACTTATCAAAATTTGTGGAATGCAACAAAAATAGTACCTAAGTGAAATTTATACTATTAAACTCTCATACACCCACAAAAAATTTATACATGGATCTTACACCTTTCACAAAAATTAAGCCCAAATCGATCATAGATGTAAATGTAACATGCAAAACTATCCACTTGGCTTTGGTGATGAATTTTTAGATAAACCACTAAAAGCACAATCTATGAAAGGAAAAAATAAGTTTCACTTCATTAAAATGAAAAACTCCTACTCTGTGAAAGAAAGTGTTAAAAGAATAAAAATAAAAGGCACAGACAGATTTTTGCAAATCTTCACAAAAGCACTTATCTGATTAAGGACTAGTATCTAAAATATCCAAAGAATTCTTTTTGTTTTTCTTTTTTTTTGAGACAGTCTTGCTCTGTTGCCCAGGGTGGAGTGCAGTGGTGCAATCTCGGCTCACTGCAACCTCTGCCTCCTAGGCTCAAGCGATTCTCATGCCTCAGCCTCCCAAATAGCTGGGACTACAGGGGTGTGCCACCCACATTGGGCTAATTTTTTTTCTCCGATCCCTTGGCAGCTCCAGCCCCAGCACCACTTCTCAGCTCTGCTCCCCAGCAGCCTGGGTGGCCCCACATGAGCTACCATGCCTAGCGTCCTTTTTGTTTTTTTGAGATAGGATCCATTATGTTGCCCATGCTGGGCTTATAATCCTGGGTGCAGGCAATCCTCCCACTTTAGCCTCTGGAGTAGCTGGGATGACAAGCGTGTACCACCATGCCTGCCTCCAATTCGAACTCTTAAATCTCAACAAAAATAAGACAAATGAACCAGTGAAAAATGAGCAAAAGACCTGAACACACCCCTCACCAATGAAAGATATACAGATGGCAAATACACATATGAAGAGATGCTCAATTATATGTCACTAAGGAGCTGCAAATAAAACTGAAGAGATATCACTTTACACTTATTAGAACGTACAAAGTTCAAAATGCTGAGAACAGCAATGGATAGCAAAGATGTAGACAACAAGAATTCTCATTCCTTGCCAATGGAAATGGAAAATGGTATGTCTACTTTGGAAGATAGGCAGTTTCTAACAAAACAAAACGTCCTCTTACCAGTGGACCATGCAATCACATTCCTTGCTATTTACTCACATGAGTTGAAAAATACTGTTCATACAAAAACCTGCCCATGAATATTTACAGGAGGTTTCTTCATAACTGCCAAATTTAAGACTTAACCAAGACATCATGCAACAGGTTTATGGATAAACAATCTGTGGTACAATCTTTTTTTTTTTTTTTTTTTTGAGACGGAGTCTTGCTCTTGTTGCCCAGGCTGGAGTGCAATGGCACTATCTCGGCTCACTGCAACCTCCACCTTCCAGGTTCAAGCAATTCTCCTGCCTCAGCCTCCCAGGTAGCTGAGATTACAGGTGTGCGCCACCACACCCAGCTAATTTTTGTATTTTTAGTAGAGACGGGGTTTTGTCATGTTGGCCAGGCTGGTCTCAAACTCCTGACCTTGTGATCCGCCCGCCTCGGCCTCCCAAAGAGCTGGGATTACAGGCATGAGCCATCGTGCCCGGCCGGTACAATCTTATGATGAAATATTGTTCAACGATAAGAGAAATCAGGTATCAAGCCATGAAGACACAGAAGGACCTTAAAAGTACATTGCTCAGTGAAGGAAGCCAATCTGTGAAGGCTATATCCTGAATAACTCCACGTGTATTACATTCTGGAAAATATAAAACCTTAAGACAGCAAAAGTATCTTTGGATGTCAAGAAATTGTGGGAGGCCATGCGCTGTGGGAGGCCAGGGCGGGAGAAGTGCTCGAGCCCAGGAGTTCCAGACCAGCCTGGGCAATATGGCGAAACCCCATCTCTACAGAAAATACGAAAATTAGATGGGCATTGTGGTGCATGCATGCAGTCCCAGCTACTCAGAGGAGGCAGGAGGATCACTTGAGCCCAGGAGGTGGAGGCTGCAGTGAGCAATGATCACATCACTGCACTCCAGCCTGGGCGACGGAGTGGGACCCTGTCTCAAAAAAAAAAAAAAAAAAAAAAAAAGTTGAACATAGGAGACTAAGGTGGGAGGACGGCCTGAGGCCAGGAGTTCCAGACCAGCTTGGGCAACAGAGTGAGACGCTGTATCAAAAAAAAAAAAAAAAAAAAAAAAAAAAAAAAAAAGGCCGGACGCAGTGGCTCACACCTGTAATCCCAGCCCTCTGGGAGGCCAAGGTGGGCAGATCACCTAGGTGGGGAGCTCAAGACCAGACTGACAAACATGGAGAAACCCCATCTCTACTAAAAATACAAAATTAGCTGGGCATGGTGGCGCACGCCTGTAATCCCAGCTACCTGGGAGGCTGAGGCAGAAGAATCGCTTGAACCTGGGAAGCGGAGGTTGCGGTGAGCCGAGATTGTGCCATTGCACTCCAGCCTGGGCAACAAGAGCAAAACTCCGTTTCCAAAAAAAAAAAAAAAAAGTTAAACATATTCCCCAGCTTGGACCCAGACTCTCCCAGCTTGAAAAACGTAACCCCGGCCTGGCGTGGTGGCTCACACCTGTAATCTCAGCACTTTGTGAGGCCAAGGCAGGCAGATCACCTGAGGTCAGGAATTTGAGACCAGCCTGGTCAACACGGTGAAACCCCGTCTCTACTAAAAATACAAAATAAATTGGCCGGGCCTGGTGGCACACACCTGTAATCCTAGCTACTCTGGAGGCTGAGGCAGGAGAATGGCTTGAACCCAGGAGGCGGAGGTTGCAGTGAGCCGAGATCGTGCCACTGCACTCCAGCCTGGGCAACAGAGTGAGACTCGGTCTCAAAAAAAATAAAAATAAAGAAAAATGTAACCCCTAGAGTGGGTCAGTACCTGGTAATGGAGGATAGAAGCACCTGATCAGCAAGGAACTATGGGAGCTCCACACCTCCTTCTCTCCTATGGCAGCAAAGAAACATTAGCTTCCCTAGGTTTCCGTTTTCCCAAGTGAGGAAACTCTCAACCAGATTGAGATTGAGGTTCTGATGCAAATGAGCTCCCCAATTCATTAACCCTGTCTCTAGGAAACATAAGTCCTGACCTTCACAGACACTGTCAATATGCACCAATTACACCCAGTACACCTATATTACGGAAGTGAAACTCAAAACGTAATGTCTAAAAACACACCCAAGGAAACCACAATTAAAACCTCAGACATCCTCCCCTCTTCCCCTAACAGCATCTGCCTGTGCATCCTCAGCTTCCAAGTGCTCTGCAGTTTCTTTCAGTACAAGAGGATCCTTCCATGGTGGGCATATGAGTAGCTGGCAGACCTGTAGGGGAGGCTCCCCAGGAAGAACCAATTGGGCCTTCAATGATCTTTCTTTGCAGGCTCAAAGGTGGACTTAGCTTGGAATCACTTATCTCAGGCCTCTGCTCCCCAGTCACAAGGCTCTGGAACACTACTAGTAATTTTAAATGAGACAATTTAATTAAATTTTTTTTTTGTTTTGAGATGGAGTCTCACCCTGTCACCCACGCTGGAGTGCAGTGGCGCGATCTCGGCTCACTGCAAGCTCCGCCTCCCAGGTCCACGCCATTCTCCTGCCTCAGCCTCCAGAGTAGCTGGGACTACAGGCGCCCGCCTCCACGCCCAGCTAATTTTTTGTATTTTTAGTAGAGACGGGGTTTCACAATGTTAGCCAGGATGGTCTCGAGCTCCTGACCTCGTGATCCGCCCTCCTTGGCCTCCCAAAGTGCTGGGATTACAGGCATGAGCCACCGTGCCGGGCCCTTAAATTCTTAAGGATTGTTCCTTAAACATCCAGCAGAAGGCCTGGCACGATGGCTCACACCTATAATCCCAGCACTTTGGGAGGCTGAGGCGGGTGGATCACCTGCGGTCCGGAGTTCGAGACCGGACTGGCCAACATGGTGAAACCCCGCCTCTACTCAAAATACAAAAAAATTAGCCGGGCATAGTGGTGTGTGCCTGTAATCCCAGGTACTTGGGAGGCTAAGGCAGGAGAATGGCTGTCAATATGCACCAATTACACTCAGTGTACCTACCTTACAGATGTGAAACTCAAATGTAATGTCTAAAAACACACCCAAGGAAACCACAATTAAAACCTCAGACATCCTCCCCTCTTCCCCTAACAGCATCTGCCTGTGGCTCCTCAGCTTCCAAGTGCGGAGGTTGCAGTAAGCCAAAATTGTGCCACTGCACTCCAGCCTGGGCAAAAGAGCAAGACTTGGTCTTTAAAAAAAAAAAAAAAAAAAAAAATCCAGCAGAATTACTTAAACACAGTGTTTACGTATAAAGGAAGCAAAAGGCCTGGCGTGGTGGCTCATGCCTGTAATCCCAGCATTTTGGGAGGCCAAGGCGGGAGGATCATGAGGTCAGGAGATCAGGAGATTGAGACCATCCTGGGAAACATAGTGAAACACTCTCTACTAAAAAAAAAAAAAAAAAATACAAAAATTAGCTGGGCGTGGTAGCTTGTGCCTGTAATCCCAGCTACTTGGGAGGTTGAGGCAGGAGAATCGCTTGAACCCGAGAGGCAGAGGTTGCAGTGAGCTGAGATCGTGTCACTGCACTCCAGCCTGGCGAGAAAGCTAGACTCCGTCTCAAAAAAAAAAGTAAATAAATAATAAATAAATAAATAAATAAATAAATAAAGGAAGGAAGCAAGAAAATTTTAAGCCATTTAACAAGAAAACCCACTATTGCTTTCAGAAAATGAGAATGTTGGGCCGGTAATAGTAGCTCATGCCTGGAATCCTAGCACTTTGGGATGCTGAGGGTGGAGGATCGCTTGAGCCCAGGAGTTCAAGATCAGCCTGAGCAACACAGCCAGACCCCATCTGTTAAAAAAAAAAAAAAGAAAATAATAATGTCAGTTAATTATTTCCATGGCAATAAATAGTTTACAAAAGTATTACTTCTATCTGAATGCTTCTAGATGTTGCAAGTTTAAGTCCTGGAATACCATCTGAAACATCAAACTAAAAGAACAGACCTGAGAAACATATTCCATGTGCTCAGGGAAAGAACAAAGAATTTTTAACAAATGTAATATTGGGATGTTTTTTGTTTTCTGAGATTCATTTCTTTTTTGCCCTTTGGAAATATTTTGTACTGTCTCTCAAGTTCTTCTGATAACATATATTTTATATTTATTGGAAAAATGACATTCGAGTGAATAAATCTTTTCAAGGTCATAAACCCAAGGCGGGACAGTGCCAATCTGAAACTGTGCTGAAAAGATAGATTACCCAGGAAAGTTTACAAAAAGGAACCTCAACGCAAAGGAGTTCCCATAGGATGTCTGTGCCCTGGAAAGGTACCAGGATGAGGGCCACAGCATTTTATGCAGATTAGTTCCAAGTGAATAATTTTTCTGATTTTTCTCTGATGTAAAATATCCACAAACAAGAAATAAATCGTTTAAAAGAGGCATCTATTGGAAAAAAGATTATTAAAATACTGCGTGTGTTTGAAATGCACCACACAGGACAAAGAGTTGGTGACGATGTTTTCCACTGGCGAGCGGAAGTAGGCGTTTGGGAATTCGGGGAGGGATCCGGAAATCTAGGGATTAATGGCCCGCCGTGGGAGGAGCTAGGCTGGGGGGACAGGGTAGTGGATTTGAGACTCTGCTTCCAACATCTTTGGAAGACTCAGGGGGAAACAGCCTTTGGGAAGAAAGAAGGGACTGGGAACCCCAGACTGTAGCTCCTCCCACACAAACCAAACACACAAGGCGGGATTCTCCCCAGGACCCTCCCGTGGTCCCTGCACGATCTGGGAAAGACGCGGGGCTGCGGGCGCGGAGTTGTCCAGAGAGGGCTCCGGGGCTGGGACCGCAGTCGCCGCGCAGGGACGGGACAGGACGCTTGGAGTTCCAGCTGCCAGCCCAGCCCCACACTGCGGCCGGAGGTGACCGTGGGGAGGCCCGGGTCCCGCGATCACGGCCGGTTCCAACTAGTCCGGCCCTGCACACTCACCATTTTCCGGCCTCGCGGGTGTCCCGGTGTTGTCCCTAAGGTTCACGGAGCCAGCGCAGGGTACAGCGCATCCGATGCAGGGGTACAGCAACCTGACGCGTCAAGGGGCCAGGAGACCCCAAGCTAAGCACAACCCGATCGCACAGTGACGTAGCACGCATTTGCGCAGCGTAGCCGTACCCTCCTTTCCGGCGCCGCCCCTGATTGGACAATTATACAGCCCCGCCCCTTTTTGTCCGAATGACAGCTAGGCAGCAGGTCTAGTAGCTAGGCAGATCTCGCTTCCGCCGGTGGGACGGAACTGGTGCCCTCCGTGGACAATTGTGTTGAAGCAGAAATTGTTCCGGATCTCGGGTCGGACACGGAAGTCTTCCTGCAGTGTTTCTGGATGCGGGGACAGGGATGCGCAGGAATTCCAGTCTCAGTTTCCAGATGGAGCGACCCCTCGAGGAGCAAGTCCAGAGCAAGTGGTCGTCTAGTCAAGGCCGCACAGGAACAGGAGGGTCTGATGTCCTCCAGGTACCAGGGGCTTGGCATAATGTTGTAAGGCCTCTCGTGGAATAGTGACCCTTGTTTATAAACAGACGGTTACCCCATCATGTGTAATAAAAAGTGTGGTTGCATTTTAATCTTTGACCATAACAGCGTTGAGGCGTCCACCTTTCTTTTCCCCACCTCCACACATTTGGCACTTTAGAAAAGGAACCCCAAGGCAGGGCTTGGTGGCGCACACCCGTAGTCCCAGCTACTGCGTGGTGGGGGCGGTGGGGGAGGTCGGGGGGTGGGTGGGCTGAGGCGGGTGGATCGCTTGACTCCAGGAGTTTGAGTTCAGTCTGGGCAACATGGCCAGAACCCATCCCAAGAAAAAAAAAAAAAGGAAAGAAAGAAAAAACAATCCGTAGGACACCCGAGCACTTGGCTCGGGTGGTAAATTGCAACCCTAACCTGGGCACAGGGACTCTTCAGACCAATCACGATCTATGAGACGTGCTCAGTAAACTGCGTTTTACTCTGGAAGGAAATGGTTTGTTTTCGTTGTTTTTTTGTTTGTTTGTTTTTAGTTTAAGCATGTTTTTATTGCTTTTCATTTTTATTTTTATTTTTGTAGATTTATGGTTACAAATGCACTTGTGTTACGTGGATATATTTCATAGTGGCGAAGTCTGGCTTTTAGTGCACCCATCACCCAAAGAGTGTATATTGTACCCAATAGGTAATATTTCATCCCTCATCCCCCCTCTCTGTCCAACCTATTGGCATCTCCAGTGTCTATTATTCCATTCTGTATGTCCATGTTTACCCATTGTTTAGCTCCCACTTATATGTAAGAAGATGCAGTTTTTGACTTTCTGTTTTTGCATCATCGCACTTAGGATAATGGCCTCCAGTTCCATCCGTGTTGCTGTAAAGTGGAAGGAAATTTATCTCAAATAAGTTTTCTAAAGTGTCCCTACAGAACTTGGAAAGACCAAGAGCCCAAAACCAGCCTGGGCAACATAGCGAGACCCCATTTCTCAAAAAATTTTTAAAAATTAGCTGGGTATGGTGTTCACCTGTAGTCCTAGCTCCTTCGGAGGCTGAGGCAGAAGGATCTCAAGGCTAAGAGTTTGAGGTTACAGTGAGCCAAGATTGTGCCACTGCATTCCAGCCTGGGAGAGAGAGAGACTGTCTCTAAATTTTTTTTTTAAAGTAGAAACATATTTCATTTTTCCCATTATAGAGGAGACAGTGTAATCTTGAAAACTCCCATGATCCACCCTTCTGGTAGCTCTGTGTGTACAGGTAGATGCAGGGGGAACAATGCTTCCAAGGCTGTCAAAGGTCATGTTTAGTTCTAAATTGCTGAAACTCACAAAATGCATCCTCTTGTTTCTAATTAGATGCAGAACAGTGAACACCATGGACAAAGCATCAAGACTCAAACTGTAAGTGAGATCGCTACCTGTCAGCGTGGCTACCTTCCTTGTTTATAATGACCATTTGGGTCTGTCCTTCTATGACCTCTTTGTGGGGGGGTCTTTCGGGTCTTTGTGAAGGCACTCCCATAGTCAAGGCCAATAACCAGGCTCTCAGGTATGTCCTGTTCATTGCCCTCACCCTGTACTTCCATTGTCCCTTACCTTCATTGGCCATCCCAACACAGCCACCTGCATCCTTTGGAATATCACATTTGGGCTGGGTGCAGTGGCTCATGCCTGTAATCCTGGCACTTTGGGAGACTGAGGTAGGAGGATTGCTTGAGTTCAGGAGTTTGAGACCAGTGTGGGCAATGTAGTGAGACTCTGTCTCTACAAAAAATAAAAAAAATGGCTGGGTGTAGTAGCTCATGCCTGTAATCTCAGCACTTTGGGAGGCAAGGTGGGTGGATCACTTGAGGCCAGGAGTTGGTTTCCAACCTGGCCAACATGCTGAAACCTCATCTCTATTAAAAATATTTTTTAAGTTAGCTGGGCATGGTGGGAGGCACACCTGTAATCTCAGCTACTTGGGTGGCTGAGGCATGAGAATCACTTGAATCTGGGAGGAGGAGGTTGCAGTGAGCTGAGATCGCGCCACTGTACTCCAGCCTGGGCAACAGAGTGAAACTCTGTCTCAAAAATAAATAAATAAATAAATAAATAAATACATAAATAAATAAAGATAAAAAATTAGCTGGGCATGGTGGCATAGTCCCAGGTCCTCGGGAGGCTGAGACGGGAGGATGGCTTCAACCTGAGGCTGCGGTGACCTGTGATGGTGCCACTGCACTCTAGCCTGGGCAACAGAGCGAGACCCTGTCTCAAAAAAACACAAAAACCACAAATTTGGAGTCATGTTTACTTGTTTGCATAGTTTGGACAAAACGATCACTGCAGTTCTGACCTTCAAGGTAAACATGCAAGAGACGGATAAGGCACGGGTTAGTGTCGGGGGTACCTAATTTTGTCATTGCTATCAGTTCCCTGATCTAAGTGACTCTGTAATCCCAACACTTTGGGATGCTGAAGTGGGAGGAATTTCATGGGGAATGACTACAGCCTTCATGCATGTGGATACATAATCTGAGCCTGAATATGTCATCTTCACATAAAACCACGATTTGGTTATTGACTGTTCTGTGAATCCTGGGTTCCTTGGCTCATGGGAGCTTCAATGTGGCTTTTCTGGCCAGGAACTTGCCTGACATTTTCAATAAGCCAATCCTTAAGTTCAGCATGCTGGTATTTTTCAGTGTCTGGGTCACCGTCCTTCCTGTCTACCAAAACCCGAAATGGGGAAGCTATCAATCCTGGCCTCCACTGATTTGCTGCTGCTTCTCTGTCTGCAGATGCTATGCTGTTCTTGTTTGTTCCTTTTTTTTTTTTTTGAGACAGGGATCTTGCTGTGTTGCCCAGGCTGGTCTCAAGCTCCTGGCTTCAAGCAATTCTCCTGCCTCAACCTCCCAAAGTGCAGGGATTACAGGTGTGAGTCACTATGCCTGGCCTGAGTTTTCAGTTTTTGACAGTGCTCAGTATATGTGGTGGCACACATTTGGACTTTAATACTGAGAAGTTCCATTATTATTACTGTTATTATATTGTATTACTATTACTATTATGTTCTGTCACCCAGGCTGGAGTGCAGTGGCAAGATCACAGCTCACTGTAGACTCAACTTCACAGGCTCCCTAGTAGCTGGGACTAGTAGCTGGAACTAGGACTAGGTGTGCGCCACCACGCTTGGCTAATTTTAAAAAAATTCTTTTTTTAGCCAGGTGTGGTTGTGCACATCTGTAATCCCAGCTATTTGGGAGGCTGAGGCAGGAGAATTGCTTGAACCCAGAAGGTGGAGGTTGCAGTGAGCCGAGATCATGCCACTGCACTCTAGCCTGGGTGACAGAGTGAGACTCCACCTCAAAAAAAAAAAAAAATTTAAATTTTTTAAATTTTAGAGACAGGGTCCTGCTATGTTGCCCAGGCTGATCTTGAACTCCTGGACTCAAGTGATCCTCCCACATCAGCCTCCCAGTGTTGGGATGGTAGGCGTGAGCTACCACACCTGGCCAATTTCATTATTACTTATGAGCCATATGAGTTTAGACAAGACTTTGTGCTCTCCATACTTAACTTTTTTCATTTGCAAGATGGGAGGTATGATTGGGTGGGGCTAATCAAATGAAATACTAATGATTATGAAATCACATTAGTCACCACAGTGATGTGCAAACATAAATTATTGAAATATTGAATAAAAATGGGATTTTATTTGTTCTTTAGTAAAACACAAAGCTGTTCATTTTTTTTCTTTCCTAACATGTGCTGGAAATCTACCATATGGAAATGATACTTGTGAATGGTCATGGACTTTTAGGCCTTTGCTGATCATTAAAATAAAAATCTTCCAGTGATTCCTTTTATAAAAGGACATCAAAGCCTGGGCAACAGAGTGAAATCCTGTCTCTATAAAAATAAAAAAAATTGGCCAGGTGCAGTGGCTCACACCTGTAATCCTAGCACTTTGGGAGGCTGAGGTGGGTAAATCACTTGAGGTCAGGAGTTCAAGACCAGCCTGGCCAACATGGCGAAACCGCATCTCTACTAAAATACAAAAAATTAGCGGGGCATGGTGGTGCACACCTGTAGTCCCAGCTACTCAGCAGGCTGAGGCAGAAGAATTGCTTGAACTCAGGAGGCAGAGGTTGCAGTGAGCTGAGATCATGCCACTGCACTCTAGCCTGGGCAACAGATAGAGACCCTGTCTCAAAAAAAAAAAAAAAAAAAGAATTACCCAGGGTGGTGGCATGTGCCTGTAGTCCCATAGCAGAGATCCCTTGAGTCCAAGAGTTGGAGGCTACAATGACCTATGATTGTGCCACTGCACTCCAGCTTGGGCAATAGAGTGAGTCTCTGTCTCTAAAATGAAAAAAAAAAAAAATCCTATTTTAGGCCAGGCGCGGTGGCTCATGCCTGTAATCCCTGCACTTTGGGAGGCCGAGGTGGGTGGATCACCTGAGGTCGGGAGTTTGAGACCAGCCTGACCAACATGGAGAAACCCTGTTTCTACTAAAAATACAAAATTAGCGGGACGTGGTGGCACATGCCTGTAATCCCAGCTACTTGGGAGGCTGAGGCAGGATAATTGCTTGAACCCGGGAGGTGGAGGTTGCGGTGAGCCAAGATCATTGCACGCCAGCCTGGGCAACAAGAGCAAAACTCTGTCTCAAAAAAAAAAATTAAATTAAAAAAAAATCCTATTCGAGGGTCTCAAATACACTTTTCTTAAAGGGATAGGAAAACCATTAACAAAATATTTAACAGAATACTTCACTTCTGGTCCACCAATAACCACTTCTCAAGCAGACACCAGCTGGGTGTGCTATATAATTCAATTTAATTGTGACAGTATCTACCTGGAGACGGAGTCCAATACCAAAAGCTAACGGCTCACAAGAATGCCCCTCACTGCAAATGTCAGTTGTAAGTCCCAGGATGTGACCTATGCTTCTGACCAACAAGCTGTAAATCAGGGTTTTCATGACCCACTCTTTGGGTTTGATTAATTTGCTGTAGCAGCCTACAGAACTCACAGAAACACTTTACTTACATTCACCCATTTATTACAAAGTGTTTTTTTTTTTTTTAATAGAGCAGGGTTTCACTCTGTCTCCCAGGCTGGAGTGCAGTGGCAGGATCATAGCTCATTGCAGCCTTCAACTCTTGGGATCAAGCGATCCTCCCTCATCAGCCCCGCAAGTAGCTAGGAATATAGGCATGTGCCACCACACTCAACTAATTATTTATTTTTTGTAAAGTTAGGGTCTCGCTCTGTTGTCCAGGCTAGTCTCAACCTCCAGGTCTCAAGAGATCCTCCCACCTCGCTCCTCTCAAAGCACTGAGATTATAGGAGTGAGTCACTGTGCCTAGTCTTACAAAGGATATTTTATTATTTATTTATTTGTTTACTCTTTATTTTGAGACAGGGTCTCACTCTGTTGCCAGGCTGGAGTGTAGCAGCACGATCTTGGCTCACTGCAACCTCCATCTCCAGGGTTCAAATGATTCTCGTGTTTCAGCCTCCCGAGTAGCTGGAATGACAGGCATCCTCCACCACGCCCAGCTATTTTTGTATTTTTAGTAGAGAAGGGGTTTCACCATGTTGGCCAGGCTGGTCTCGAACTCCTGACCTCAAGTGATCCATCTGCCTTGGCCTCCCAAAGTGCTGGCATTACAGGTGTGAACCACTGCACCCAGCCTACAAAGGATATTTTATTTTATTTATTATTATTATTATTTTTTTTTTGAGACGGAGTTTTGCTCTTGTCGCCCAGGCTGGAGTGCAATGGCGCGATCTCAGCTCACTGCAACCTCTGCCTCCCAGGTTCAAGCAATTCTCCTGCCTCAGCTTCCCAAGTAGCTGGGATTACAGGCGCCCACCACCACGCCTGGCTAATTTTTTTTTTTTTGAGATAGAGTCTCACTCTTTTGCCCAGGCTGGAGTGCAGTGGCACAATCTTGGCTCACTGCAGCCTCTGCCTACCAGGGTCAAGTGATTCTCCTACCTCAGTCTCTCAAGTAGCTGGATTACAGGCCCATGCCACCATGCCCAGCTAATTTTTTTTCTGTGTGTCTATGTTTTTAGTAGAGGCAGGGTTTCACCATGCTGGCCAGGCTGGTCTCGAACTCCTGACCTCATGATCCGCCCACCTTGTCCTCCCAAAGTGCTGGGATTATAGGTGTGAGCCACTGCACCTGGCCTAATTTTTGTATTTTAAGTAGAGATGGGGTTTCATCATGTTGGTCAAGCTGGTCTTGAACTCCTGACCTCAAGTGATCCACCTGCCTCAGCCTCCCAAAGTGCTGGGATTACAGGCGTGAGCCACCACACCTGGCCCTACAAAGGATATTTTAAATGATACGAATGAACAGCCAGATGAAGAGATACCTCCAGGCATATGGTTATGTTCTTATTTACCAACCAGAAGGCTCTCTGAGCCGTGTTTTTGGGTTTTTATGGTGGCTTTATTATGGTGACATGATTAATCACATCATTCACTATGGGTGATCAACTCAACCTTCAGTTTTCTCTTCCCTCCCTGGAGGTGGGGACAGAGCTGAAAGTTTCAAAGCTCCAGTCACATGGTTGGTTCCCTGGCAACTAGCCTCACATCCTGTGGTTTGTAGGAGCTTTCCAAAAATCACCCCATTAACATAAACTTAGCTGTGGTGGAAAGGGGATGGTTATGAATAACTAAAGACATTTCTTCCACCTGTCACTCTGGAACTCTTCTAGAGCTATTTTAAGAACTGAATACAAAAGGCCATTTTTTTTTTTTTTTGAGATAGGGTCTCCTTCACTCTGTCACCCAGTGACAGTGGCACAATCTTGGCTCAATGCAGCCTCCACCCCCGGGTTCAAGCAATGATCCCACCACAGCCTCCTGAGTAGCTGGGACTACAGGTGCACGCCACCACATCTGGCTATTTTTTTCTATTTTTAGTAGAGATGGGTTTTCGCCATGTTGCCCAGACTGGTCTCAAACACCTGAGCTCAAGCATCCACCTACCTTGGCCTCCCAAAGTACTGGGATTACAGATGTGAGCCCCAGCGCCCAGCCTTTTTTTTGTTGTTTGTTTTTTGAGACAGAGTCTTACTCTGTCACCTAGGCTGGAGTGCAGTGGTGTCATCACAGCTCACTGCAGCCTTGACTTCCCTGAGCTCAGGTGACCCTCCCACCTCAACCTCTCAAGTAGCTGAGACTATAGGCACACACCCCTATGCCTGGCCAATTTTTGTATTTTTTGTAGAGATAGGATCTCACTGTGTTGCCCAGGCTGGTCTTGAACTCCTGGGCTCAAGCATCCTGCCTGCCTCAGCCTCCCAACATGGTGGGATTACAGGCAGCCCAAATATTTTAACAAAAGATACTCCAATTGCTCTAGTCGCTTAGGAAATTACAAGGTTTTTAGCAACTGTGAGCCAGGAACCCTGGACAAAACCCAAATTATATATTTCACAATATCACAACTTTCTTTTCCACCAAACTGGGGGGTGGTACTCAAAATGATACCCTCTCTCTGCAGTTTGATTCAATTATAACTTGGATATTCTCTAAGAATCCATAGTTCTTGTCTGTGTGTCAACTGGGAAATCACTGTGGATTTGAATAAGTACTCTGCACATAAGAAAAACCCATGATGGGGCCAGGTGTGGTGGCTCACACCTGTAATCCCAGCACTCTGGGAGGCTGAGGCAGGTGGATTGCATGAGCCCAGGAGTTTGAGACCAGCCTGGCCAACATGGCGAAACCTTGTTTCTACTAAAAATACAAAAAACTAGCCCGGCGTGGTGGTGCGCACCTGTAGGCCCAGCTTCTCGGGAGGCTGAGGTGAGAGAATCATCTGAGCCTGGGAGGTCAAGGCTGCAGTAAGCCGAGATCACACCACTGTACTCTAGCCTGCATAACCATAGTGAAACCTTGTCTCGACAAAAAAAAAAAAAAAGAAATATACATGATGGGCTGCACTGTGTAGATGACCATTACCCTCTAGGAAGACCTCAGTGGTTTTCTTTTTTTGAGACAGAGTCTTGCTCTATTGCCCAGGTTGGAGTCCAGTGGCATCATCTCGGCTCGCTGCAACCTTTGTCTCCTGGGTTTAAGTGATTCTCCTGCCTCAGCTTCCTACATAGTTGGGACTACAGGTGCCTGCCACCATGCCCAACTAATTATTTTTATTTTTTTGGTAGAGATGGGGTTTCACCCTGTTGGCCAGGCTGGTCTCAAGTTCCTGACCTCAGGTAATCCTCCTGCCTCGGCCTCCCGCAGTGCTGGGATTACAGGCGGGAGCTACCGCGCCAGCCAAAGGTTTTCTGATATACAATTTAATTTATGTCACCCAGTCTCCAGTAGCAGCAAAATTTTCATATCAAATACATGAGGCAATTCAGACATAGAGATCAATGGCATGAAATTGAAATTCCAGAAATAGGCCCATATATGTGTGTGTGTGTGTGTGTGTGTGTGTGTGTGTGTGTGTGTGTGTGTGTATATAGTGAACTGAGTTTCAAAAACGGTGCCAGGAATCGGGAAATAATATTATTTTCTTTTTTTACTTTTTTCTTTTTTTTTTGTTGAGTCAGAGTCTTGCTCTCTCGCCCAGGCTGGAGTGCAGTGGTGCGATCTCGGCTCACTGCAAGCTCCGCCTCCCGGGTTCACGCCATTCTCCTGCCTCAGCCTCCTGAGTAGCTGGGACTACAGGAGCCTGCCACCAAGCCCGGCTAATTTTTTTTGTATTTTTAGTAGAGACAGGGTTTCACCATGTTAGCCAGGATGGTCTCGATCTCCTGACCTCGTGATCCGCCCGCCTTGGCCTCCCAAAGTGCTGGGATTACAGGCCTATGCCACCGCACCTGGCCTAGAATATTATTTTCATAAATTGGTGTTGTGACAGTTGGATAGACATACAAAAAATAATAAAATTGGGCCGAGCACAGTGGCATGATCATCTGAGTCCTGGAGTTCAAGACCAGCCTGGGCAATATAGTGCAACCTCATATCTTATAAAAAAAAATTAGCCAGGTTTGTGGCATACACCTGTAGTCCCAGCTGCTTGATGGCTGAGGGAGGAGGATTGCTGGAGCCTGGGAGTTTTGGCTGCAGTGAGCTATGATTGTACCACTCTAGTCTAGCCTGGGTGACAGAGTGAGACCCCAATTCTTTGTTTTTGTTTTTTTTTTTTCAGACGGAGTCTTGCTCTGTCACCCAGGCTAGAGTGCAATGGCGCAATATCGGCTCATTGCAACCTTCGCCTCCCGGGTTCACACCATTCTCCTGCCTCAGCCTCCCGAGTAGCTGGGACTACAGGTGCCCGCCACCACGCCTGGCTAATTTTTTGTATTTTTAGTAGAGACGGAGTTTCACCGTGTTAGCCAGGATGGTCTCGATCTCCTGACCTCGTGATCTACCCGCCTTGGCCTCCGAAAGTGCTGGGATTACAGGCGTAAGCCAACGCACCTGGCCTTTTTTTTTTCTTTTTTTTTTGAGACAGGGTCTTACCCTGTCTCCCTGACTGGAAAGCTGTGAGCCTCAGCTCACTGCAGTCTCTGCCTTCCAGGCTCAAAGGATCCTCCCACCTCAGCCTCCCAAGTAGCTGGGGCTACAGGCGTGCACCACCACACCTGGCTAATTTTTGTATTTTTTGGAGAGACAGGTTGTGTCATGTTGGCCAGGCTGGTCTGGAACTCCTGGGCTTAAGTGATCCACCCACCTTGGCTTCCCAAAGTGCTAGGACAAGAGTCCTGAACATTTTTTCTCTATTCTGATGTCACAATCTCCAAAGTTATCTAAAACTTGCATTCAAGAGCACCTGTTAGAGCTTTATAGCTGATTATAAAACCACCTTCTAAAGAGGACCAAGACAAGACAACAATTATTTATGGATGACAAAGTTTTAGGGTAGCCATAGCTAAAGACACAATTGACAAGGAAATCTGTTACTCTGTGGCACACAATAATTTAACATAATAATTATAATTATTACTGATAACATACACTGATATATCAGAATTACAAGAGTTTTCCATCATTTTGGAACACATACCAATAACATATATATACAGATATAGTCCAAAGAAAGCCATACTCCATTTTATATTTGACTTTGCTTCCTCTATGATTTTTGTACCAAATAAGCCAAATTTCACATTTACATTAGTATACTATTACTGTTAAACCCAATTCTTTTCTTTTCTTTTTTTTTTTGAGACAGAGTCTCGCTCTTTCGCTCAGGCTGGAGTGCAGTGGCACATCTCGGCTCACTGCAACTTCCACCTCCTGGGTTCACACCATTCTCCTGCCTCAGCCTCCCGAGTAGCTGGGACTACAGGTGCCCGCCACCATGCCTGGCTAATTTTTTGTGTTTTTTTTTTAGTAGAGACGGGGTTTCACCATGTTAGCCAGGATGGTCTCGATCTCCTAACCTCGTGATCTGCCCGCCTCGGCCTCCCAAAGTGCTGGGATTACAGGCGTGAGCCACGGCGCCTGGCCTAAACCCAATTCTTAATAAAACCTTATAGACATATTTACCCAATTTTATAGACATATTTACGCCAATGTTTGGCAATTTTTATAGATTTTTTATTACCCTTTACAATTTTTGTTAAAGAGCAGGTTAGTGTTCTAAAAGAAAGCCGTTGTGCTTTTATTTTAATATTCAATTTACAGAAAAACTGGATAATACCCCCTTTAACTTTAGCCAATATGTTTACACACAGAATTTCTTTTACAATCAACCTTCCACAACTTGCTTAAACTTTCAGCTTTATTTTATCTAATTTAATCCATTAACCTTTTATTTAGGCAAAAAAAATCCACATTCCCATGCCTTCTTATAATCTTTTTACCAAAAGTATACTCTACTTTCCTTACACACCTTGCATGTAAAACTGTTTTTTCCAGTAGTCTCAATTACATGTTACAATATTGATTCTTAGCAACTTTTACTTTTGGTGAAAAACCTGGTAAGTGATTTTAATTATGGACCAGGTGGGGAGCCTAGGACCTAGACAGAAGTGCAGATAAGGTCTGACTCATTCTAGCATCTAACTTCTTGTGTCCCAGGCCTTCCCTAGCTGTAAAGCAGGCAGTTGTACAGTTAAGAGTCATAATGGCATTTTATGAAGCATTCAGGAGGCCTAAACACCTTTAAATTCTACAACATTTCTTCCATAAGTTCCCTTTCATAAATTCTTTCATGACTTACACTCTATGATATGCCTTGACTTTCTGACTTGTCCTAAACATCCCTCTTTTTAAACAACCAGTCATTTTTCTTTAGGACAAGAATCTATCATACAAGATCCTTTTTTATATAAAATATCTTTTCTTTATGCTTTTTTTAACCAAAAATACTTATTTATTTTTATAACTTTCTTTATGTCTCTTTTTTTTTCTTTTCTTTCTTTCTTTTTTTTTTTTTTTTTTTTTTTGAGACAGAGTCTTGCTCTGTTGCCCAGGCTGGAGTGCAGTGGCGTGATCTTGGGTCACTGCCCAGGTTCAAGCGATTCTCCTGCCTCAGCCTCCAGAATAGCTGGGATCACAGGCACCCCGCCACCACACCCAGCTAATTTTTTTTTTTTTTTGAGATGGAGTCTCGCTCTGTTGCCCAGGCTGGAGTGCAGTGATGCAGTCTCGGCTCACCGCAACCTCTGCCTCCCAGGTTCAAGCTATTTTCCTGCCTCAGCCTCCCTAGTAGCTGGGACTACAGGTGCGCGCCACCATGCCTAGCTAATTTTTGTATTTTTAGTAGAGATGGGGTTTCACTGTGTTGGCCAGGCTGGTCTCGAACTCCTGACCTCATGATCCGCCTGCCTCAGCCTCCCAAAGTGCTGGGATTACAGGCATGAGCCACCGCGCCCGGCAGAATCCTGGGTTTTAAAAAGGGAGAATTATTGACGGGCATGGTGGTTCAGGCCTGTAATCCCAGCACTTTGGGAGGCCGAGGCGGGCAGATCCCAACCTAAGGTTGGGAGTTCGAGACCAGCCTGACCAACATGGAGAAACCCCGTGTCTACTAAAAATACAAAATTAGCCGGGCGTGGTGGCTCATGCCTGTAATTCCAGCTACTCGGGAGGCTGAGGCGGGAGAATCGCTTGAACCCGGGAGGCGGAGGTTGCGGTGAGCGGAGATCACGCCACTGCACTCCAGCCTGGGCAACAAGAGAGAAACTCTGCCTCCAAAAAAAAAGGGGAGAATTATTATGAGGCTAGATCATGTGATGCTTTTACAGTGCACTTAACAATTTTTTTTCCCAAAGACATTTCTAAGTGTCTAAACCACACTTTTTCTTAAAATCCTGAGTAGCTTCTGTTGCAATAGCTATTTTTTTTAATTGTTGTTTTTTTTGAGACAGAGTCTCGCTCTGCCACCAGGCTGGAGTGCAGTGGCGCGATCTTGGCTCACTGCAACCTCCGCCTCCCAGGTTCAAGTGATTCTCCTGCCTCAGCCTCCTGAGTAGCTGGGATTACAGGCGCGTGCCACCACGCCCAGCTAATTTTTGTATTTTTAGTAGAGACAGGGTTTGACCATGTTGGCCAGGATGGTCTCGATCACTTGACCTCGTGATCCGCCCGCCTCGGCCTCCCAAAGTGCTGGGATTACAAGCGAGAGCCTCCGCACCCGGCCGGAATCTATATTTCTTAATTTTTAATTTTTAATTTTGTAGAGGCGGGTTCTTACAGTGTTACCCAGGCTGGTGTGAAAATCCTGGCCTCAAGGGATCCTCCCGAAGTGCTGAGATTACAGGCTTGAGCCAACGTGCCTGGCCTTTAAATGTCTTAAAAGGAAGTAAATTCTGACACATGCTACAACATCAGGAAGATTGAGGACATTATGCTAAGTGAAATAAGTCAGTCGGAAAAGGACAAATACAGAATAATTCCACCTATATGAGGTACCCACAGTGAAATTCACACAATCAAAAAGTCGAATAGTAGGTGTCAGGGGCTGAGGGTGAGCGGTAAATGGGATGTTATTCAATCAATAAAGAGTTTCAAATTTGCAAGATTAAATCAGTTCTAGAGATTGGTTTCACAATGTAACTACACTTAACACTACTGAATAGGCCACTTAAAAATGGACCTCGGGCAAAGAACAAATTCCTCTTACATGCAAATATCCCCGCCGGGAAAACCCACTCTGGGAAGCTAGCTCGGCTCAACCACGTGCCCTCCTGCATGGCTGTCACTCAGGGGTCAGGGGGCGGGGGCACACAAACTGTCCAGTCAGCATCGGTGTTGAAAAGGCGCTTGCACCCTAGCTCTGAATGCGCGTGTGAACATCCTTATTCTAGCGGTTCGCTAGGATTGCGTCCCAGCCTCGGACTGTCTGTGGCTCTGCGTATGCTTTGTCTCACTGGGACCTGCAGGTAGTGAGGGATCCGTAGGGAGGACTCCTGGAGCCTCCGTAAGCCGAGAAATGGTGAGTGTGCGGGGCCGGGAGTCCCGAGACCTGAGGAGGGGACTTGTCGGAACCGGCTATGGGAAGACCCGAGTCCCCCTGGCGCAGCTGACCCGAGGGTCTCCCAGCAGCGTGGGGCTGGGCCGGCAGCTGGGACCTCAGGCGTTCTGTCCCGTCCCTGCGATTGCGGCCCCGGCCCCGGAGCCCTTTCCGGGCAGCTGGGCGCCCCCAGCCCCGCGTCTCCGAAGATTGTGCAGGGGCCACGGGAAAGTCATGACGGATTCTCGTGTGTTTGAGAATCCATTTGGGTCAGAACATTAAGGTGAATCCACCTGTGAGAATTGAAGCCTGGAGGAGGGAACATTTTTTTTGCAGCTAGGGGAGAGGAGGGCGTGTGGAGCTCCCAGAGTTCGTTCCTGTGGCTGCTCAGATGCCCCTGCTGTCATCACCAGGCACTGACCCACTGTCTGGGCTACCGCTCTCAAGTTTGGGAATTTGTTTGTTTTTGACACGGTCTCGCAGTGTCGCCCAGGCTGAAGTGCGGTGGCGCCATCAAACCTCACTGCATCTCAAGCGATCCTCCCGCCTCAGCCTCCTGAGTAGCTGGGACTAAAGGCATCTGCCACTACTGGCTAATTTCAAATTTTTATTTTGTAGATACAGGGTCTTGCTGTGTTGCTCATGCTAGTCTTGAACGCCTGGCTTTAAGGGATCCTCTTGCCTTGGCCTCCCAAAATGTTGGTATTATAGGCGTGACCATGCCTGGCCCTTGTGAATGTATTTACCTTTCGATTGTGAGTTTTCCATTTTAACGGTGGAGAAGCAATTCCTTATCTAAACAGATTAAAACATTTGCGTTTCTTTCCCTTGGATTCCTTGATCAAATCACTTTTTTTTTTTTTTTTGAGACGGAGTCTTTCTCTGTCGCCCAGACTGGAGTGCAGTGACACCATCTCAGTTCACTGCAACCCCTGCCTCCCAGGTTGAAGCAACTCTTATGCCTCAGCCTCCTGAGTAGCTGGTATTACAGGCGTGTGCCACCACACCCGGCCCATTTTTGTATTTTTAGTAGAGATGGGATTGCATCTTATTGACCAGGCTGTTCTCGAACTCCTGGCCTCAAGTGATCTGCCTGCCTCAGCCTTCTGAAGTGCTGGGATTACAGGTGTGAGCTGCTGCGCTGGCCCAAATCACCTTTTTTTCTTTTTCTTTTTTTCTTTTGACAGAGTCTTGCTCTTTTGCTCAGGCTGGAGTGCAGTGGCATGATCTTGGCTCACTGCAACCTCTGCCTCCCAGGTTCAAGCAATTCTCCCTGCCTCAGCCTCCTGCGTAACTGGGATTACAGTCACCTGCCAACACACTCGGCTGATTTTTGTATTTTTAGTAGAGATGGGGTTTCGCCAGGTTGGCCAGGCTGGTCTCAAACTCCTGACCTCAGGTGATCCACCTGCCTCAGCCTCCCAAAGTGCTGGGATTGCAGGTGTGAGTCGCCACACCCAGCCCTGAAACCTTTTAATGCCACCAGTTCCATGGGTGAGGCCCATAACCTACAATTTGAGGTTTTCTGGAGGAAAAAAATATATTAATAAATATTAAGGTAGGAAGATAACCGGAAGCATATCAAGTGACCACAGAAACAAAACAGAGAAAGATTAAAGAAGGAAGGGCACAAAAGAAAAAAAAATGAAGCATTTTTCTAGGTTTTGACCTAATTGCAACTCCAAAATATAGTAAAAGAATTATGCAACTAAAAAAAAGGCTGGACATGGTGGCCCACACCTGTTATCCAAACACTTTGGGAGGCTAAGACAGGCGGGTCGGGAGCTGACCAACATGGAGAAACCCCCTTCTCTACTAAAAATACAAAATTAACTGGGCATGGTGGTGCATGGCTGTAATCCCAGCTACTAGGGAGCAGGAGAATTTCTTGAACCCGGGAGGCGGAGGTTGTGGTGAGCCGAGATCACACCCTTGCACTCCAGCAGGGACAACAAGAGCGAAACTCGGTCTCAAAAAAAAAAAGAGAGAGAAAAGGACACTGCATGTGCTTGGCTTTCAGGCCTCTCCGACATTAGTTCTGAATTTTATTATTTTTTAAATCATATATATATATTTCTGGTTTCAAACTCCTGGGCTCTAGCAATCCTCCTGCCTTGGCCTCCCAAGGTGCTGGGATTACAGGAATAAGCCACCAGGCCCAGCCTAGTTCTGAATTAATTTTAACATCTCTGTAATGCACTAACTGACAATCATTCATGGGATTAATCAATCCTAGGAATCAGCTATATCTGGAGATCCCACTAAATGTAAGCAAGGTACACTGATTGATTGATGGATGGATTGATGGAGTCTTCTTCCTCTGTTGCCCAGGTGGGAGTGCTGAGACAGACTCTCACTCTGTCGCCCAGGCAGAAGTGCAGTGGTGTGATCTCAGCTCACTGCAACCTCTGCCTACTGCTGTTGTTCCTGTTGGCACCCACAACATCATTTGGGCTTTTTTGATGTTCAGGAGGTAACACAGTCCTTTATAAAGTTTACTTAAGCCCATTTATGCTGTGACTTGCAAATTGGTCATCATTGCCCGGATATCGCTACCACAGAGGCTCTAGACACTGTTTAAGTTGCCATATGGCAGGCACTCCTGTTAGTGCCTCCAGAGCACTATAGATGCTCTTTTTTTCTTTTCTTTTCTTTTTTTTTTTTTGAGATGGAGTCTTGCTCTGTCTCCCAGGTTGGAGTGCAGTAGCAAAATCTCGGCTCACTGCAACCTCTGCCTCCCTGGTTCAAGCAATTCTCCTACCTCAGCCTCCAGAGTAGCTGGGATTACAGGTGTGCACCACCACACCCAGTTAATTTTTGTATTTTTAGTAGAGACGGGGTTTTACCGTATTGGCCAGGCTGGTCTCAAACTCCTGACCTCCAGTGATCTGCCTGCCATGGCCTCCCAAAGTGCTGGGATTACAGGCATGAGCCACCATTCCTGGCCACTATAGTGGCTTTAGAAACCTCCTCTCATGCCTCTTGTAATTATCCATGATGACCATAAGTTGTCCATAGGGCTCTGATGCAAGAAACAGCCCTTGGCCCCACACTATATGCCATTAGAGCTGCAATGATCACCTTGTACTAGGTTATCCTGAACATTGAGGCTCTCCTGGGCCCTGGGCATGTGACTCTACTCAACTGCTCATTTTGCCATGGGTCCTAGAAACAGCAACCTACACAGACCTCCTTTCAAAATTACAGAGTCAAATGTTAGCCTTCAGCATATCCTCTCTGCAGGAGTTGGGGTGGGAGGGTGACTTCTTTTCTTTCTTCCTTGCCAGATGTCATGGTGCTGGAGGAGGTCTACCTTCTCCTAGATCCTTTGCTACTGAGTGAACAGCAGTGGCGAGTGTGTAGACTTGATGGCTGACATGGCCACATTTGTACATGTTGGAGCTGCTGCTTTTTATCCCTTAATTGAAATGGACCTAATAAAGGACTAGATTCAAGGGGCAGTTCATCAGTTAGTCATCTTAGCAGTGGCCAACAATAAATCCCATCTGCACATGTTTACACACTCTTGAGTGATTGTCTAAGAGTTGCACCTTTGTAGTAAAAGAACTCTGGGAATATTAGGCTGGGTGTGGTGGCTCACGCCTGTAATTGCAGCATTTTGGGAGGCTGAGGCGGGTGGATCACTTGAGGTCAGGAGTTCGAGACCAGCCTGGCCAACATGGAGAAACCCCGTCTCTACTAAAAATACAAAAAAATTAGCCAGGTGTGGTGGCTCGTGCCTGTAATCCCAGCTACTCAGGAGGCTGAGGCAGGAGAATCGCTTGAACCTGGGAGGCGGAGGTTGCAGTGAGCCGAGATTGCGCCTCTGCATTTCAGCCTGGGCAACAGAGCGAGACTTCATCTCAAAGGGAAAAAAAAAAAAACCCACAAAACTCTGGGAATCTTTTTTTACCTCACGGCTAGCCATATAAGTCAAGATAATACACACCTCTACAGAGGGTAATCCCACAATCCAAGGCTCCGCCTGGACACTCATATTCGTGCAAGAGTTCCGGACACTACTGATACTAATCAAAGCTCTTATTTCACTTCTCAAAATAGAGAGTGATGGGCTTTTGAACAAGGCATCCTGTGGAACTTTCATTGCCTTTACCAGTCTCTGGCTCACGAAGCACCATAAAGGCTTACTAAAATAAAATTCATGAATTGAGTGAAAGGTTGTATGTTTCATTCATCAACCAGTCATGGTGTGAATTGTCATTAGCCTGTCCTCATCGTTTTTCTTTTTCTAGTAGACTTTATTTTTGTAGAGCTATTTCAGAGTTACAGAAAAATTGATGAGAAAGTGTAGTGTTCCCACTTGATCCCTCTGCCTCCACATAGTTTATCCTTTTTATATTTTCTATTACTTTAATACATCTGTTATAAGTGATGTACCAATATTGATGCCTCAGAGTCCACAGTTTACATTAGGGCTGACTCTGTTATACAATCTGTGGGTTTTGGCAAATGTATAATAACTGCTATTCATCATAGCTGCATCATGTAGGATGCTTTCCCTCACCTAAATATCCCCTGTGCTTCTCCTATTCATTAGTCCCTCCCTCTTCCCAAATTCTTGACAGTCAAAAGCCTTTTTACTCTGTCATAATTTTGCCTTTTCCTGAATGTCATCTTTGAAACTACACAGTATATAACCATTTAGATTGGCTTCTTTCACTTAATAATATATGTTCAAGTCAAGGTTTCTCCACGTCTTTTTTTTTTTTTTAAATTGAGATGGGGTCTCATCATAACACCCATGCTGGTCTTGAACTCCCAGACTCAAGTGATCCTCCTGCCTCAGTGCCCTGAGTAGCTGGTACTACAGGTGAGAGCCACCATACCTAGCCTCCATGTCTTTTCATGGCTTGATACCTGATTCTCCTGCCTCAGCCTCCCGAGTAGCTGAGATGATAGGCAAGCGCCACCACACTCAGCTAATTTTTGTATTTTTAGTAGAGACAGGATTTCACCATGTTGGCCAGGATAGTCTCGATCTCCTGACCTCATGGTCTGCCCTCCTTGGCCTCCCAAAGTGCTGGGATTACAGGCGTGAGCCACCGCGCCCAGCTGATACCTGATTTCTTTTTATCATTCTGTAGGTGAACCAGATGGTTTATCCATTTGTCTATTGAGAGGTATCTTGGTTCACTCTAAGGTTTGCAAGGTTTTGAATAAAACTATAAGCATTCATGTGCAGGTTTTGGCATGAACATAAATTTTCAACTCTTTTTAGTAAATACCTAGGAGCATGATGGCTAGATTACAATTTAAGAGTGTGTTTTTTTTTTTTTTGTAACTGTCTGCCTTTCAAAGTGGGAGTATCATTTTCCATTGCCAGCAGCAAATAATGATGATACTTATTGTTCTCCATCTTCACCATCATTTGGTGTTTTTAGTGTTTTAAAATTTAGCCATTTAGTGAGTGTGGTAATATCTTACTCAGTTTTATTTATCTTAGTTTTTTTTTATTCCCTAATGCTGTGTGACGTTGAGCATGTTTTGATGTGCTGCTTTACCATCTCTAAATCTTCTCTGGTGATGTGTATGTTCATATCTTTTGCCCATTTTTAATTGGATTGTCTTCCTGTTACTGAGTTTTAATAGTTCTTTTAGTAGTTGGAATATCAGTCCTTTGTCAGATAGGTGTTTTGCAAAGAATTTCTCCCTGTCTGTAGCTTGTCTTTTCATTTTCTTAACATGGTCTTTCCCAGAGCAGGACTCTTTTTTGGGGGGGCGGCGGGGATGGAGTCTCTGTCAGTCAGGCTGGAGTGCAGTGGCGTAATCTCGGCTCACTGCAACATCAGCTTCTCAGGTTCAAGCGATTTATTCTACCTCAGCCTGCCAAGTAGCTGGGACTACAGGCATGCACCACCACACCTGGCTAATTTTTGTATTTTTAGTAGAGACAGGGTTTCACCATGTCGGCTAGACTGGTCTCAAATTCCTGACCTCAAGTCATCCGCCCACCTCGGCCTCCCAAAGAGTTGGGATTACAGGCATGAGCCACCGTGCCCGGCCCCAGAGCAGGACTTTTTTATTTTAATGAAGTCAAACTTATAATTTATGTTATAATTCATCATCAAACCCAAGGTCATCTAGATTTTATATATTATCCTCTAGGAGTCTTATTGTATTTTACAGTTACATCTTTGATCTATTTTCATTTAATTTTTCTTTTATTTAAAAAAAATTTTTTTTTTTTTAAAGAAATAGAGATGGAGTGTTGTTATGTTGCCCACATTGGTCTTGAACTCCTGGGCTGAAGTGATCCACCCCATCTTAGCCTCCCAAAGTGCTGGGATTACAGGCGTGAGCCACCACACCCAGCTGCCTTTGGTTCTTCATCAAAGATCAGTTGACTATATTTGTGTGGCTGTGTAGGAAAGGAGTTGGCCTTATATGTTGAGCTTGTGTCCTTCAACCTTGCTCTTATTGGTTCCAGGAATTTTCTTTGTTGTAGATTTTTGAAATTCTCTACATACGCAGTCATGTCATATGCAGATAGACAGCTTTAGTTCTTCCTTCCCAGTTGGTATATCTTTTATTTCTTTTTCTTTTTCTTAGTTTCACTGTTGTACAATATTGAATAGAAATGGTGAGAGGGGCCAGGCACGGTGGCTCATGCCTGTAATCCAGCACTTTAGGAGGCCGAGGCAGGGGTTGGGGGGATCATTGAGGTCAAGAGTTCAGGACCAGCCTGGCCAACATGGTGAAACCCCATCTCTACTAAAAATATACAAATTAGCTGGACATGGTTGGGTGCACCTGTAATCCCAGCTACTCAGGAGGCTGAGGCAGGAAAATCTCTTGAACCCGGGAGGTGGAGGTGGTTACAGTGAGCTGAGATGGCACCAGTGCACTCCAGCCTGGGCAACAGAGCGAAACTCCATCTCAAAGAAAAAAAAAAAAAGGCCAGGCATGGTGGCTCATGCCTGTAATCCCAGCACTTTGGGAGGCTGAGACGGGCGTATCACAAGGTCAGGAGTTCCAGACCAGCCTGGTCAATATGGTGAAACCCCGTCTCTACTAAAAATACAAAAAAATTAGCGGGGCGTGGTGGCACATGCCTGTAATCCCAGCTACTCCGGAGGCTGAGGCAGGAGAATTGCTTGAACCCAGGAGGCGGAGATTGCAGTGAGCCGAGATCGTGCCAGTGCACTCCAGCCTGGGTGACAGAGTGAGACTCTCTCACTAAATAAATAAATAAATAAATACATACATACATACATACATACATACATACATACATACATGAATGGTGAGAGTGTGAGAAGGGTCTTTCTTACCTTGTTCCTCATATTACTGGGAAAACATCTAGTTTTTCACATTAAGCGTGATGTTAACTGCAGGTTTCTTGTATGTACTTTCTCAAGAAGTTCCTCTTGCCCGATGCAGTGGCATGCACCTATAGTCTTTGCTGCTTGCGGGGCCAAGGCAAGAAGATTGCTGGAGCCCACCAGTTTGAGGCTATAGCACTATGACGGCGCCTCTGAATAGCCAATATACTCCAGCCTGGGCAATTTAGTGAGACCTGTCTCAAAAAAAAAAAAAAAAAAGAAGAAGAAGAAATTCCCTTCTATTCCTAGTTTGCTATCATAAATAGATGTTCAATTTTGTCAAGTGCTTCTTCATTTTCCCCCTTTCGTCATATTAACAATCTTTGTCTTTTTGTTGTTAGCTAGCTTGAGGAGACATTTTTCAGTTAATTATTGATATTTTCACAAGACCACCTTTTGGTTTTGTTGGTTTTTCTCTATCTATTTTTTTTGAGACAGAGTCTCGCTCTGTCACCCAGGCTGCAGTGTGATGGCGCGATCTGGGCTCACTGCAACCTCTGCCTCCTGGGTTCAAGTGATTCTCCTGCCTCAGCCTCCCAAGTAGCTGGGATTATAGGCCTGTGCCACCATGCCTGGCTAATTTTTGTATTTTAGAGTACATGAGAGAGTATTTTTGTAATTTTGTATTTGTAGAGATGGGGTTTCACCATGTTGGCCAGGCTGGTCTCGAAGTCCTGACCTCAGGTGATCTGCCTGACTCAGCCTCCCAAAGCGCTGGGATTACAGGCGTGAGCCACCATACCTGGCCTGTTATTAGTTTTTTAAGTTAGACACTGAGATTATTGATTACAGATCATTCTTTGGTGGTATATGTGTTCAATCGTCTACATTTCAGCCAGGCACTCCTTTTGCTGCATTCTACGTGTTTTGATAAGTTCTATTTTTATTTAATTCAAAATAATTTTTAATATCTTGAGACTTTTCTCATCCATGCATTATTTAGAAGTTCAGGATTTAATATCCAAATATTTGTGGGTTTTCAAGCTATCTTTCTGTTATCAATTCTGGATCTGAGAACATGTTTTGTATTCTCTAGTCTTTTAAATTTGCTAGGAAGTATTTTATTTACCAGAATGTGAGATATCTTGGTGAATATTCCATGTGAACTTGAGAAGAATGTATATTCTGCTGTTACTGAATGAATTATTCTGGATTTCAATTAAGTCCAGTTGTTTTGATGGTGCTGTTCAATTTAATTATGTCCTTCCTGATTTCTGCCTGCTGGATCTCTAAATTAATGCTGGGGGTTATTGAAATATACAGCTGTACCAGTGAATTCATGTATTTCTTCCTGCAGTTGTATTAGTTTTCCCCTCATATATTTTGCCACTCTGTGGTTATGTACATACACAGTAAGGATTGCCTTGTCTTCTTGGTGAATTAACCCCTTTGTCAGTATGTAATGCCCTTCTATCACTGATAATTTCATGCTATGAAGTCAGCTTTTTCTGAAATTAATAAGGCTGTGCCAGCTTTTAAAAAATTAGTGTTGGCCGGGCATGGTGGTTCATGCTTGTAATCCCAGCACTTAGGGAGGCCAAGGCGGGCACATCACGAGGTCGGGAGTTTGCCACCAGCCTAACCAACGTGGTGAAACCCTATCTCTACTAAAAATATAAAAATTGACCAGGCATGGTGTCTCACGCTTGTAATCTCAGCACTTTGGGAGGCAGGCGGATCGCCTGAGGTCAGGAGTTTGAGACCAGCCTGGCCAACATGGTGAAACCCTGTCTCTACTAAAAATACAAAAATTAGCCAGGCGTGGTGGCAGGTGCCTGCAATTCCAGCTACTCAGGAGGCTGAGGCAGAAGAATCGCTTGAACCTGGGAGGCGGAGGTTGTAGCGAGCCGAGATTGCGCCATCGCACTCCAGCCTGGGCAACAAGAGCGAAACTTCGACTCAAACAAACAAACAAACAAAAAATATTAGCTGGGTGTGGTAGTGTGCGCCTGTAATCCCAGCTACTCAGGAGACTGAGGCAGGAGAATCGCTTGAACCCGGGAGGTGGAGGTTGCAGTGAGCCAAGATTGCGCCACTGCACTCCAGCCTGGGTGGCAGAGTGAGACTTTGTCTCAAAATAATAATAATAATAATTAGTGTTAGCATAGTATATCTTTCTCTATTCCTTTATTTTTAATATATCTTTGTGATATATTTATTTATTATTACTTTTTATTATTATACTTTAAGTTCTAGGGTACATGTGCACAACGTGCAGGTTTGTTACATATGTGTACATGTGCCATGTTGGTGTGCTGTACCCATTAACTGGTCATTTACATTAGGTATATCTCCTAATGCTATCCCTCCCCCCTCCCCCCAATCTTTGTGATATATTTAAAGTGGATTTGTTGGCCTAGGTATGGTGGCTCGCACCTGTAATCCCAGCATTTTGGGAGGCTGAGGCAGGATGATTGCTTGAGGCCAGGAGTTTGAGACAAGCCTGGGCAACATAGTGAGACCCCATCTCTATAAAAAGAAACAAAATTATCAAGGGATGGTAGTGCACACCTGTAGTTCCAGCTACTCAGAGGCTGAGGTGAGAGTCCTTTGAGCCCAGGAGTTTGAGGTTATAGTCATCTGTCATCCCACAACTGCACTCCAGCCTGGGTGACAGAGCATGGCCCTGTCTCTAAAAAACAAAGTAAAAAAAAAAAAAAAAGCGAATTTCTTGCAGACAACATATATTAGGTATTCTTTTTTCTTTTTCTTTTTTTTTTTTTGAGATGGAGTTTTATTCCTGTTGCCCAGGCTGGAGAGCCATGGCGCGATCTCGCCTCACTGCAACCTCTGCCTCCCAAGTTCAAGTGATTCTCCTGCCTCGTGAGTAGCTGGGATTACAGGCATGTGCCGCTGCACCTGACTAATTTTGTATTTTTAGTAGAGACAGGGTTTCTCCATGTTGGTCAGGCTGGTCTTGAACTCCTGACCTCAAGAGGTCCTCCTGCCTCGGCCTCCCAAAGTTCTGGGATTACAGGCGTGAGCCACGCCTGGCCAGGTGTTCTTTTTTATCCACTATGACAGTATCAGTGAGCTGAGATTGTGTCACTGCAATCCAGCCTAGGCAACAGAGTAAGACTCTGTCTCAAAAAAAAAAGAAAAGAAATAAATTTCTGGTCTGATAATTCCAGCATCTCTTTTATATCTCAGTCTGGTTCTGATGCCTGCACTCTCTCTTCAAACCGTCTAAGTCTTTTAATATATCTTGTAATTTTTGTTGAGATCTGGGCATGGTGTTGAAAAGGAACTGAGGTAAACAGGCTTTAAATGTGAGGGTTTAGGTTTATCCTGTTGATTTTAGGCTGTGTTTACTATTTTCAGTAACTGTAGGTGTCAGATAAAATTGCCTTTGGTGTCCCTGGTTTTCTGTGTTCTGTCATTTTTGGGGTTCTCTAGAGATTTCTTCAATTGTGAAACATGCAGAAAGAAATAGAATATTGTTTCATTGTATTCTACTGTTTTATTTTATTTTATTTTATTTTATTTTTTGAGGTGGAGTTTCGCTCTGTCGCCCAGGCTGGAGTGCAGGGGCACGATCTTGGCTCACTGCAACCTCTGCCTCCCAGGTTTAAGCGATTCTCTTCCCTCAGCCTCCCAAGTAGCCGGGATTACAGGTGCCCACCACACCCGGCAAATTTTTGTATTTTTAGTAGAGATGGGGTTTTGCTATGTTGGCCAGGCTGGTCTCAAACTCCTGATGTCAAGTGATCTGCCCGCCCCCCGCCTCCCAAAGTGCTGGGATTACAGTCGTGAGCCACCACACCTGGCCTGTTCTACTGTTTTAAAACAAAAACCCAGGCCAGGAGTGGTGACTCATTCCTGTAATCCTAGCATTTTGGGAGGCCAAGGCAGGCAAATTACTTGAGGTAGGAGTTCGACACCATCCTGGCCAACATGAAGAAACACCCTGTCTCTACTAAAAATACAAAAATTAGCTGGGTGTGGTTGTGTATGCCTGTAATCCCAGCTACTCTGTTGGCTGAGGCAGGAGAACTGCTTGAATGCTGGAGGCAGGGGTTGTAGTGAGCCAAGATTGCACCACTGCACTCCAGCCTGGGTGACAGAGCGAGACTGGGTCTCAAAATAAAAACAAAACTCTAATGTCACACTGTTACCAGTGGCTGGAGTGGAAACATGATATAATCCTATGAATCATCTGTCTTCTGGTGAGCCTGTGCCCCGAGCCATGATGTTCTTTGCTATGATAAGAAAGACATTTGTTTGGTCTTTGTGTGTGGTTCCTAGTACAGAGTTCCTAAATCTCTTGGAATTTCATGAGTGATAAGGGTAATGGACCCTCTCTTGTTGTAAATAAATGACTACTGGAAAGAATGCCTACCTAACTTCAGGGTGGGGATTGATGTCCCGAAAGACACCCAGTCTTGATCTTCCTCTAGCCCTAGCCCCCAAAGTCGGGGGAGAGAAAAAGGGCTGGAGGTTTAGTGCTTGGACTCCTGACCTCAAATGATCTGCCCACCTCTGCCTCCCAAAGTGCTGGGATTATAGGCGTGAGCCACCCCGCCTGGCTTTTGACTGCTCACAGCTTTAAAACCTCATTCCTCAGTTTCCACTGTGTACCCCACATATGGACGTGGTAGGAAGAAAGCCTGGGTCACCCTCATTTGGTGCTGGCGACAGAGCCAATTCGCATCAGCCTCCACCTGTATGCTTGAACTCACACTAGCCCACTCCCTAATGTCAGTAAAAATCCCCAGCCAGGCTCCTTTTCTTGCTCTCCGAAGCCACTTCACAAGTGCTTGAGAGTTACACAGCTTTGCCTGAGAGCTCAAGCATGCGAGTAATAAACCTTCATGAGTACAGGGGTTTATAGAGGTCCAAGTTGCTGTGCTTTCTTTCCAATAACCTCCTAGACCCATGAAATGAGACAGAAAGGAAAAACTGAACCTATGATAAATATTACACAAACACGTTGAAATTAATACTAATGCAGAAGAATATTTTCATTCAGCCACCTGGATTTGCATGGTTCTAATGGCCCGAGATCCTTCAGGGCAACATGGCCAGTGACTTCTGGCTTTTCACAGACTTCCTGATCTCTCATGTTGTTTATGAAAAAGAAAAATACACAGTTTTTCATCCTCAATGGGAGATGTGCAGCTTATAGTCTAAAGGGTGTATTCATTTATTAAAATCTCATCCAGATTTGACCCCAAGTTTCATGAAATGCTGAGTGGTACAGTATGTAATAAGGTAGAAAATGAAAGAGTTTTTCTCACGAGGAATTGATGATCTTACAATTTGTTTCATTTGTACAGCATTTCTCTCATATATCCAAGATGGTCTTGGGTCTGTATTTAAAGAGCAATAAGGTGGCCGGGCGCGGTGGCTCACGCCTGTAATCCCAGCACTTTGGGAGGCCGAGGGGGGCGATTCACGAGGTCAGGAGATCAAGACCATCCTGGCTAACATGGTGAAACCCCGTCTCTACTAAAAATACAAAAAATTAGCTGGGCGTGGTGGCACGCGCCTGTAGTCCCAGCTACTTGGGAGGTTGGGGCAGGATAATCACTGGAACCTGGGAGGAGGAGGTTGCAGTGAGCCAAGATCGCACCATTGCACTCCAGCCTGAGCAACAGAGCAAGACTCCATCTCAAAAAAAATAAAAAGAAAAAGAACAATAAGGCTTCAAGTGATCACAGTTAAAATATAGAAATAATGGCAGGGTGCGGTGGCTCACGCCTGTAATCCCAGCACTCTGGGAGGCCGAGGCGGGCGGATCACGAGGTCAGGAGATGGAAACCATCTTGGCTAACACGGTGAAACTCTGTCTCTACTAAAAATACAAAAAATTAGCTGGGTGTGGTGGTGGGCGCCTGTAGTCCCAGCTACTCGGGAGGCTGAGACAGGAGAATGGTGTGAACCCAGGAGGCGGAGCTTTCAGTGAGCCGACATTGTGCCACTGCACTCCAGCCTGGGCGACAGAGCAAGAATGTTTCAAAAAAAAAAAAAAAAAAATATATATATATATATATATAGAGAGAGAGAGAGAGAGAGAGAGAGAGAGAGAGAGCGCAATAATTTTTGTATGTTCACGATAGTGTTAAATTTATGAGGAAGTGAGTATGGAAAGAGTCAAGAGTTCTGACAACCAAGTTATACCACTAAACCGAGACTACAGGATTATATGGAATTTCTCAGGAATTCTGAGAATGGATCCTCACTACTGCGAATCTCTCTCCTCCTCCTAAACACACATGGGGGATGTTTTAGGACTCCATCTCCCTTGAGGATGTGGCTGTGAACTTCACCCTGGAGGAGTGGGCTTTGCTGGATCCTGGCCAGAGGAATATCTACAGAGATGTGATGCGGGCAACCTTCAAGAACCTGGCCTGTATAGGTAAGGGTGACATAATTTCTCTACTTAATTAAGGAGGGAACAGGTGTTTCTTGCACAACAACTGAGTTCCAAGGTTTAAAATGGGGGAAGGGGCCAGGCACGGTGGCTCGCGCCTGTAATCCCAGTGCTTTGGGAGGCTGAGGCGGGCGGATTAAGAGGTCAGGAGTCTGAGACCAGCCTGACCAACATGGTGAAACCCTGTCTCTACTAAAAATAAAAAATTAGCCAGGCCTGGTGGCAGGTGCCTGTAATTCTGGCTACTCAGGAGGCTGAGGCAGGAGAATTGCTTGAACCCGGGAGGCCGAGGTTGCAGTGAGCTGAGACCGCGCCATTGCACTCCAGCCTGGGCAACAGCGAGACTCTGTCTCAAAAAAAAAAAAAAAATGTGGGAAGAGAATACTTTAGTAAGTAGATCAGACAGTGTCATAGCTAATCAATAGCTAATCATGGATCTTAGAGTGTTATAATTTTCTATAATTTCTAATAATTTATTGTGAGTTCTCTGGGCTTGTATTTTAGGGGAAAAATGGAAAGACCAGGATATTGAAGATGAACACAAAAACCAGGGAAGAAATCTAAGGTGAGTTGCATTCACAAATAATTATATAGCCCCTGAGAGAATCTTAGTATTTCATAAATTTCAAAAGCCAAGCAAGCAAAACAATAAGCAGAGTTTCAGGTTTATTCATTCTTAGAAAATTTTTACTGAAGGTGTTTCATTGAAACTGTCATGGGCAGCCAGGCGTGGTGGCTCATGTCTGTAATCCCAGCACTTTGGGAGGCTGAGGCCAGTGGATCATGAGATCAGGAGATCGAGACCATCCTGGCCAACATGATGAAACCCTGTCTCTACTAAAAATACAAAAAATTAGCCGGGCGTGGTGGCGTGCACCTATAGTCCCAGCTACTCGGGAGGCTGAGGCAGGAGAATCGCTTGAACCTGGGAGGTGGAGGTTGCAGTGAGCTGAGATCGATCCACTGCACTGCAGCCTGGTGACAGAGCGAGACTCCGTCTAAAAAAACAACAGAAACTGTCATTGGCTGGGTAAGGTAGCGAATACCTCTAATCCCAGCCTTTGGTAGGTGAAGGCTGGAGAATTGCTTGAGGCCAGGAGTTCAACACCAGCCTGGTCAACATAGTGAAAACCTGTCTCTACAGGAAAAAAAAAAAAGCAATAGATGTTCAGGGTGTGAGAAGAAATCACTATGAAACAGCATTTAAAAATCCTGGCTGGGCGCAGTGGCTCACGCCTGTAATCCCAGCACTTTGGGAGGCTGAGGCGAGCGGATCACCTGAGGTCAGGAGTTTGAGACCCCGTCTCTACTAAAAAAGATATAAAATTAGCGGGGCGTGGTGGTGCATGTCTGCAATCCCAGCTACTTGGGAGGCTGAGGCAGGAGAATCACTTGAACCCAGGAGGCGGAGGTTGCAGTGAGCTGAGATCACGCCACTGCACTCCAGCCTGGGCAACAGAGAGACTCCGTCTCAAAAATAATAATAATAATTTTTTTTTAACTATTTTGATAATAGCTATGGTCACGGCCTGTTCTAGACTATTGAGTATATTAGCTTTCAAAACAATTTAGACAGGGCAGATAACATACAGTTTCTGTGAAAATATTTAAAATGTAATTCTGGTACTTGCTAATAAATATAAGATCATTAATACAAAACTATTAATAATACGGTACTCATTCTTTACAGAAGTCCTATGGTTGAAGCACTCTGTGAAAATAAAGAAGATTGTCCATGTGGAAAAAGCACTAGCCAGATTCCTGATCTTAATACGAACCTGGAAACTCCTACTGGATTAAAACCATGTGACTGCAGTGTGTGTGGGGAAGTCTTCATGCATCAGGTCTCCCTTAATAGGCACATGAGATCTCACACTGAACAGAAACCAAATGAGTGTCACGAATATGGAGAGAAGCCACATAAATGCAAAGAATGTGGGAAAACCTTCACTCGCAGCTCCAGTATTCGAACCCATGAAAGAATTCACACTGGAGAGAAACCCTATGAATGTAAGGAATGTGGCAAAGCCTTCGCATTTCTCTTTTCCTTTCGAAACCATATAAGAATTCATACTGGAGAGACACCCTATGAATGTAAGGAATGTGGGAAGGCATTCAGATATCTCACTGCTCTTCGGCGCCATGAAAAAAATCACACTGGAGAGAAACCCTACAAATGTAAACAGTGTGGAAAAGCCTTTATATATTACCAGCCTTTTCTAACCCACGAAAGGACTCACACTGGAGAGAAACCTTATGAATGTAAGCAATGTGGGAAAGCCTTCAGTTGTCCCACGTACTTACGGAGTCATGAGAAAACTCATACTGGAGAGAAACCTTTTGTATGTAGGGAATGTGGGAGAGCCTTCTTTTCTCACTCAAGCCTTCGAAAACACGTGAAAACCCACACCGGAGTTCAACCTTATACATGTAAGAAATGTGGGGAAGCCTTCAAGTCATCTAGTTCCTGTGAAGTGCACGAAAGAACTCATTTTGGAGAAAAACCCTATGAATGTAAACAATGTGGTAAAGCCTTCAATTCTTCAAGTTACCTTCAGTTGCACGAAAGAGTTCACACTGGCGAGAAAACTTACGAATGTAAAGAATGTGGTAAAGCCTTTCTTTATTCCACTCACTTTCGAATCCATGAAAGAACCCATACTAGAGAGAAACCCTATGAATGCAAACAGTGTGGTCGGGTCTTCATTTACTTCAGTCACCTTCGAAGGCACGAAAGAAGTCACACTGGAGTGAAACCATGTGAGTGTAAGCAGTGTGGCAAAGCTTTCACTTGTTTAAATTCCCTGAAAGTACACAAAAGAATTCATACTGGAGAAAGACCCTTTCAGTGTAGACAATGTGGTAAAGCCTTCAGTTACTCAAAGTCTTTGCACGTGCACGAAAGGACTCATAGTAGACAGAAGCCCTAAGAAAGTAAAGTGTGGTAATGCTGTCAGTTGTATTAGTTCCTTTTGGATGTATGAGAGTACTTACGCTGGAGAGAAATTCAAGGAATGTAAACGGTGTGATTAAGCCTTCAGTTGTCCTAATTCCCTTTGAAGACGTGACTCATGCGGCAATGAAATATTTAACAAATGGGGGAGGAACTTGCACTCTCCTGCGGGATTGCAGATATGTGAATGGACTCCATGGACAGAAAAGCTACGAATGTATGGAGTGTAGGAAAGCCTTCACTTCACGTAATCTTTTAAAGACACCTGAGAATATATACTGGAGAGAAACTATAAAGAAAATTCTATATCCATCCCATCTTTTGTGGGGTTTGTTTTTTGTTTTTGTTTTTGTTGAGATGTAATTTTGCTCTTGTTGCCCAGGCTGGAGTGCAGTGGTGCGATCGCGGCTCACCGCAACCTCCGCCTCCCGGATTCAAGCAATTCTCCTGCCGCAGCCTCCCAAGAAGCTGGGATTACAGGCATGCGCCACCACGCCTGGCTAATTTTGTAATTTTAGTAGAGATGGGGTTTCTCCATGTTGGTCAGGCTGGTCTCAAACTCCTGACCTCAGGTGATCTGCCTGCCTCGGCCTCCCAAAGTGCTGGGATTACAGGTGTGAGCCACAGCACCCAACCTTTTTTTCCCCGCCGCACCCCAAGATGGTGTCTCACTCTGTTGCCCCAGGCTGGAGTGCAGTGGTGTGATCCTGGCTCACTGTAACCTCTGGGTTCAAGCAATTCTTCTGCCTCAGCCTTCCAAGTAGCTGGGATTACAAGTGCCCACCACCATGCCCAGCTAATTTTTATATTTTTAGTAGAGACAGTGTTTCACCATGTTGACCAGGCTGATCTTAAACTCTTGACCTCAAATGATCCACCCACCTTGGCCTCCCAAATTGTTCGTTTTACTTTTTTTTTTTTTTTTTTTTGAGCTGGAGTCTTACTCTGTTGCCTAGGCTGGAGTGAAAGTGGCGCAACCTCTGCCTCCCAGGTCAAAGCAATCCTGCCTCAGGCCCCCTAGTAGCTGGCATTACAGGCACATGCCACCACGCCCAACTAATTTTTATATTTTTAGTAGAGACGGGGTTTCACCATGTTGGCCAGGCTGGTCTTGAACTCCTGACCTCAGGTAATCCACCTGCCTTGGCCTCCCAAAGTGCTGGGATTACAGGCGTGAGCCACCACACCCGGCCCCCAGTTCTTTTTTTTTTTTTTTGAGACGGAGTCCTTGCCCAGGCTGGAGTGCAGTGGCGCGATCTCAGCTCACTGCAAGCTCCGCCTCCTGGGTTCACGCCATTCTCCTGCCTCAGCCTCCCGAGTAGCTGGGACTACAGGCGCCCGCCACCACGCCCGGCTCATTTTTTGTATTTTTAGTGGAGACGGGGTTTCACCGTGTTAGCCAGGATAGTCTTGATCTCCTGACCTCGTGATCCGCCCTCCTCGGCCTCCCAAAGTGCTGGGATTATAGGCGTGAGCCACCGCGCCCGGCCTCCAGTTCATTTTAAAACCATGAAACCACCCACACTGGAGAGCCACCTTCTTAAATGTAAGCAATATGGGAACATCTTCAATGACATCTGCAACCATTGTCGAGATTCTTCGTAGGAAGAATTAAAGGAATGGGGAAGAAGGACTTGGGCCCCAGCAGGCCTTTTGTGGCATCCAGTCAGAAGTTAGGAAACACCCTCTAGGGCAGTGCCTGCCCTCAGCTCTCACACATGACTGGAGAGAAGTGAGAAGACTCCCAGAATCTGCCTTTTAAGTTTCCATCAGTGTCCTCGGGTCAGACTGTGGGAATGCTGTACTTCTAAGACAAAGGTTCGCATCTTACAGTTTTTCCCCAAGTGGGATCTGCCTATGCACATCCTAATTCACAGACATTGTCAGCATTGCATTATTCCAGGGCTGTTTTGAGGTCATCTCCAGCTCCATTTCCCATCTCAAACCTACACTTTGGACACTTGTTTAAACATTCACATCTGAATTTCTCTGTGGCAACCGCAGGTGGCTCTGAGGTGAGAGACTGAAGAAGCAGAGCCTGTATCATGGGACACACACCCCTTGACCACACAGCATCCACTCTCCTGCGGTTACCAGCCCTGCACCAACCACCACAGTCAGAATAATCTCAAAACTGCTAGTGGAGTCACAGACACACTCTGCCATGTCTTAGCTGTAGGACACTCAGAATTCTTACCTCCCCTAACTTGCTTTCCCTGTTTTCTGGCACATTCTACCCTGAGATATTCAGCGGCATATGCACTGATGATGCTCCGGCCTTCTCACGTCAGTGCATGTCACATGCATCCTGCTCCAGGACTGGTTTCCTAGCCTCCCGCTAAGACTAGCACTTAGCTCTTCTTGGAAAAGGACCCACCCTGCAGCGCTCCAGCTCTGTTGTGTATGGGAGGTGCTGGTGTCAGGGTTCACAAGCCATGGAACTACCTTGCTTCACATCACAAGGCAAGGTGAACTCAACTCCCAATAAACTGCTTGCTGGAGCCTCCGAATTCTCCGTTTTCTGAATTGCATAGGCACGATAGGGGTCGGGTCTGTCCTTTGTTGGAGTCAGTCCCCCCTTTTCTTAGCAAGTCAGTGTGTTTTAGAAGGGAGGTGGCAGCATTGAGGGAAACCAGGTCACCATCCACCCTCGTAACAACAGTCTCCCTGGGTGGGTCCCAGAAGTGATCTTTGTGTCGCTCGGGTCGGAACTCTTTAGGCCTCTGGCCTCCACCCTCCCCCAACAGCAGGGATGGGTCAGGTGGCAGCATCCAAAACCACGGTGAAGATACTAGGGTCCAGAGGCCGACTGGAGCAAGGTTTGCTGGCAGATGAGGCCTCAGTGGAAGTGACGGCTACTGTGGAGATGCAGTGGAGGACCTGGTGGCTGAGCCAGGAGATGCACACCTTCGCTTCTCTCACCAGGAACATTCGCTTCTCTCACCAGGAACATTTATGGTAGTATGAGGGGTTGGAACATTATTACTCAACCCATTTCAGGTCCTTTCACATTCTTGAGCTGCCATGTTGTGCTTTTGTAGAGAGATGATTATTGTACTGTGGGAGGTCAGGAAGTTCGAGATTCCTTCACTGTCAGAATGGGCTCAAGGAGCCATCTTTTGTGATAGGTATTGGGGAACTAAGGGGTATCTCTGCTACAGGAATGGGAGTGAGAACATTCACTTTTTGAAGGACAAGTATATGTGGGTCTATGATGATGTTTTTGTAAAACCCTTTTGTGTATGTGTCTGTGTGAGTCCTAATATTCAGTAAGTATTTTCCTCTGTGTAACTCCCTCTAATAGGTGTAGTCAACAAAGCTGTGCTAATATCTCTGTCCCCTTGATCCTGGCATTCTGGAAGACACGAAAGCAAGCAAGGATATATAAGGCACTGTGGTGGTTATTCCCGAGGAGCCAGAGAAACCTGGAGAAGAGATCAGAACACCTGGGGTCCTTCTATTTGGGAGAATCTTTTAGTATCTGGGCTGTTACACCTGTGGGTTTGTGAATTTGTGTCTGTCCACCTGTATGTACAGTGATAACGTGTGTGATTTTTGTATATTTGTCTAGAGGGCTGTGTGTATATATATTTATATATATTTTTAAATATGGAATGCTTTTAGGTTTTTTTTTTTTTTTTTTTTTTTGAGATGGATTCTCACTGTTGCCAGGCTGGAGTGCAGTGGCACAATCTTGGCTCACTGCAACCTCCACTTCTCAGGTTCAAGCAATTCTCCTGCCTCAGCCTCCTGAGTAGCTGGGACTATAGGCGCGTGCCACCACAACCAGCTAAATTTTTTTGTATTTTTAGTAGAGATGGGGTTTCACCATGTTGACCAGGATGGTCTCAATCTCCTGACCTTGTGATCCACCCACCTCGGTCTCCCCAAAGTGCTGGGATTACAGGCGTGAGCCACTCTGCCTGGCTGGTTATTTTGTTTGTTTGTTGTTTTTTTGAGACACAGTCTCGCTCTGTCACCAAGCTGGACTGCAGTGGCATGATCTCGGCTCACTGCAATCTCTGCCTCCCAGGTTCAAGCAATTCTCCTGTTTCAGCCTCCTGAGTAGCTGGGATTACAGGCGCGTGCCACCATACCGAGCTAGTTTTTTTATTTTTAGTAGAGACGGGGTTTCACCATGTTGGCCAGGATGGTCTCGCCCTCCTGACCTTGTGATCTGCCTGCCTCGGCCTCTCAAAGTGCTGGGATTAGAGGCTTGAGCCACCAGGCCCGGCTGGAATGCTTGCATTTTCTTGCCTGATTTCCCTGGGAGCACCCCCCTTAACACTGAATGGAGCTGGTGAGAGCAAATATCCTTGTTTCTGATATTAGATATTAAAAATATGGTTTTTCACCATCAAAGATTTTATTGAGTTTTTCATATATGCCTTGTAGCAATTTGAGTAAATTATATTCCTTGTTTGTTGCAGATTTTTAATCATAAATGGGTGTTGAATTATGTCATGCTTTTTTGCATCAATTGAGACTGTCATTTTTCCGTCATTTCCTAATGTGGTGTATTCCACTGATCAATTTCCATATGGTGAACCATCCTTACATTCCAGGGACAAATCTCACTTGGTTATATTGCATAATGCTTTGAATATATTGCTTTATATGCTTTGCTGGCATTTATTTCAAGATTTTTGCATCAGTACTCATAAGGGACAGGAATGCCATCTTCCTTGCTCTCACGCCATGTCACACTTGCTTGAGAGCCCTGCATTGTTCTCTCTGATACCTCATTTTTGTAATAAGCCTTTTCATACTCTCGGTGTGTGTGTGCACCACATAGCTCTCGGTGTCAACCTCTGAAGCACACCTTTTCAGGCAACCGTAACAGTTGGCACTGTCAGCAGGATGTCTAGATGTTGGTCACCATGCAATGGGTCAGCTTTCCCTTTCTCTCAGGTGCTAACCTGCTCTGCTACCTGGTGGCCAGCATGCTCTTTGAGCTGCTGCTGCTTGCTGCTCTGTGTTCCATTGCTGAGGCCGAACAAACTTGTGTTCCAGATTTAGCCAACCGAAGATGGCAGTTTCTATAAGTCTTTGGCATTTAGGAGCAGGAGTATCGGATTTGGGCCCTCCTTAAAATGGTCTGGGCTAGGAGTTTTCACTTTGCCTTTCTATGTAGAATGAAGCTGGGACTGATGCTAGGTGTTGGCCTTGTCCTGTAGGTCTGGTGGTGGGGGCTGGTGGTGAGATTTTATCTTGTGCATGTTGGGGCCCCATTAGTGGTCATTCCTGAAAGAGCAGTCATTTGAAAATGAGAAAGAGCCTGGCGCAGTGGTGGTGGCTCACGCTTGTAATCCCACCACTTTGGGAGGCCAAGGCAGACAGATCACCTGAGGTCAGAAGTTTGAGACCAGCCTGGCCATTATGGTGAAACCCCATCTCTACTAAAAATACAAAAATTAGCTGGGCATAGTGGTGGACGCCTGTAATGCCAGCTACTCGGGAGGCTGAGGCAGTAGAATCTCTTGAACCTGGGAGGCAGAGGTTGCAGTGAGCCGAGATCGCACCACTGCACTCCAGCCTGGGCGACAGAGTAAGACTCCGTCTCAAAAAAAAAAAAAAAAAAGTGAGAAAGAAGGCTAGGCGTGGTGGTTTACACCTGTAATCACAGCTACTCAGGAGACTGAGGCAGGAGTATCACTTGAACCTGGGAGGTGGAGGTTGCGGTGAGCTAAGATTGCCCTACTGCACATAAACCTGGGCAGCAGAGCGAGACTCCATCTCAAAAAAAAGAAAAAAGAAAAAATGCGAAAGAAGAGAAGGTGGGGAAGCTACCATTAGATGGTGTCCTGAAGTTCACACTCAGCTGGACCTTTAAGTACCTCTGCTGCTGCCGCTGCCCATGCCTCTATCTCAACAGAGACCCTGATCCTCTGGGTTATAAGGGACAACCCCTGTGGCATTCCTGTAGCTCAACAAACGTATTCAAACCTGAATAAATCCCAGTATCCTTAAATTATGTAAAGCATCTGTTGTCATCCAGGAAATTCCTGCTAGGGTTTCAATGTCTTCTCCATAGTTATTGAAATATGGTCCAGTGTAGTGGTTTTAGGCCTAGTGGGAGGTGTTTAAGTCATAGGGTAGATGCCTCATGAAAGACTTCATGCTCTTCTCATTAGTAAAATCTTGTTCAGGCTGCATCTGGAGAGGGTTTCACCTGCCTACATTTGCGGCAGAAAGCAGAAGGGGAACCAGCGTGTGCAGAGATCACGTGGTGAGACAGGAAGTAAGAGGACATCAAGGAAGACAGACCCTTTAATAACCTACTCTCGTGGGAACCATTCCTGTGAAAGCAATAACAGAAGGGCGTTAATCTATTGTGATGGAGTTGCCTTTTTGACCCAAACACCTGCCACCTGGCCGCACCTCTCAAAACAGCTGCTTTGGAGATCAGATGTCAACGTGAGGCCAGGCATAGTAGCTCACACCTGTAATGCCAGTGCTTTAGGACACAAGGTGGGAGCATTACTTGATCCCAGGAAGTTGAGACCAGCCTGGTCAGCATAGCTAGGCCCCATTTAATTAATTTATTTATTTATTTATAGATGGAGTCTCCCTGTTGCCCAGGCTGGAGGCGCGATCTCGGCTCACTGCAATCTCCGCCTCCCGGGTTAAAATTTTTAATTTTAACATCTCTGTAATGCACTAACTGACAATCCTTCATGGGATTAATCAATCCCAGGAATCAGTTATATCTAGGAGTCCCACTAAATGTAAGAAGGTACACTCTATAATTTATTTATTTATTTATTTTGAGACAGAGTCTTGCTCTATGGCCCAGGCAGGAGTGCTGAGACAGACTCTCACTCTGTCGCCCAGGCTGGAGTGCAGTGGCGCGATCTCAGCTCACTGCAACCTCCACCTCCGGAGTTCAAGCTATTCTCCTGCCTCAGCCTCCCGAGTAACTGGGACTACAGGCACGTGCCACCACACCTGGCTAATTTTTTGTATTTTTAGTAGAGATGGGGTTCCACCATGTTGGTCAGGCTGGTCTCGATCTCCTGACCTTGTGATCCACCAGCCTCGGCCTCCCAAAGTGCTGGGATTACAGGAGTGAGCCACCTCACCTGGCCTGACTTGAGCTCCCAATAGCTTGCAGGTAAGAGTTTTTGGGTTTTTTGTTTTGTTTTGTTTTGTTTTTCTGAGACGGAATCTTGCTCTGTCACCCAGGCTGGAGTGCAATGGTGCAATCTCGGCTCACTGCAACCTCTGCCTCCTGGGTTTAAGCAATTCTCCTGCCTCAGTCTCCCCCGTCCCCGCCCCCGAGTAGCTGGGATTACAGGCACCTGCCACCACGCCCAGCTAATTTTTTGTATTTTTAGTAGAGATGGGGTTTCACCATGTTGGCCAGGCTGGTCTTGGACTCCTGACCTCGGGTGATCTGCCCACATTGGCCTCCCAAAGTGCTGGGATTATAGGGGTAAGCCACCGCACCTGGCCGCAGGTAAGAGTTTTTAAAGGCAGGAGTATTGTAAAGACAGCAGGGGAAACACACACACAGACACACACGGAAAAGGCAGGGGTAAATTTCAGGAAAGCAGAGGCTACAGGCAAGAATCATAAATCAGTACATGGAGGTTACACAGTGGTATAAGCTTAAAAGAATGGAATATCTTGAAGTGGGGCTCATAAGTCACAGGTAGATTCAAAGATCACATTTGCAATTGGTTAAGGAAGAAAGAAGTAAGCTGGGCGCGGTGGCTCACGCCTGTAATCCCAGCACTTTGGGAGGCCGAGGCCGGCGGATCACCTGAGGTCAGGAGTTCGAGACCAACCTGATCAACATGACGAAAACTGGTCTCTACTAAAAATACAAAAATTAGCCGGGCGTGGTGGTGGGTGCCTGTAATCCCAGCTTCTCGGGAGGCTGAAACATGAGAATAGCTTGAACCCGGGAGGCGGAGGTTGCAGTGAGCCAAGATTGCGCCATTGCACTCTAGCCTGGGCAACAGAGCGAGACTCCATCTCAAAAACAAACAAAAAAAAAAGGAAGAGAGAAGTTTTGTTTAAAAATTTAAGCTAGGCTGGGCAAATGGCTCACACCTGTAATCCCAGCTACTTGGGAGACTGAGGCAGGCGAATCGCTTGAACTCGGGAGGTAGAGGTTGCAGTGAGTTGAGATCACGCCATTGCACTCCAGCCTGGGCAACAAGAGTGAATCTCCGTTTCAAAAAAAAAAAAAAAACTTTAAGTTAGGTGCGGTGGCTCATGCCTGTAATGCCAGCACTTTGCGAGGCCTAGGCAAGAGGATCATTTGAGGCCAGGATTTCAAGACCAGCCTAGGCAACATAACAAGACTTCATCTCTGAGAAAAATGAGGTCATAAGATTAAAAAAAAGAAAAATCGGGTTGTCACGCGTGTCCGTGTGAAGAGACCACCAAACAGGCTTTGTGTGAGCAGTAAAGCTGTTTATTTCACCTGGGTGCAGGCAGGCTGAGTCCAGAAAGAGTCAGTGAAGGGAGATAGGGGTGGGGCTGTTTTATAGGATTTGGGTAGGTAGTGGAAAATTACAGTCAAAGGGGGTTGTTTTCTCGCGGGCAGGAGTGGGGGTCATAAGGTGCTCAGTGGAGGAGCTTCTGAGCCAAGAAAAGGAATTTCACAAGGTAATGTCAGTTAAGGCAGGAACCAGCTATTTTCACTTCTTTTGTGATTCTTCACTTGCTTCAGGCCATCTGGATGTATTCGTGCAGGCTTGGGCTCAGAGGCCTGACAGGGGTCAGTAGAAAAATAACTGGTTACAGGGAGTGACTTTCTCTAATCCCCCAAGGAAGAAACAGAACAAAGGTCAAGTTTAGTCTTCACTTCTTCCTTATCTAGGAGTCTGTGCCAGTGAATGGATCTGTTCAGCGGGGGTCCTCAGTGGGGTTCCAAGCCTCTGAAAGACAACTCCGGGATGTATGTTAAGATGTTATCCTGCCGGGCGTGGTGGCTCACGCCTGTAATCCCAGCACTTTGGGAGGCTGAGGCGGGCAGATCACGAGGTCAGGAGATCGAGACCATCCTGGCGAACACGGTGAAACCCCGTCTCTACTAAAAATACAAAAAATTAGCCAGGCGCGGTGGCGGGCGCCTGTAGTCCCAGCTACTCAGGAGGCTGAGGCAGGAGAATGGCGTGAACCCAGGAGGCAGAGCTTGCAGTGAGCCGAGATAGCGCCACTGCACTCTGGCCTGGGTGAAAGAGCAAGACTCCCTTTCAAAAAAAAAAAAGATCTTACCCTTAGTTTATATGGGGAAAGCAAACATATCTGGGCCTCTAACTTCCTGAGCTATTGTTTTAGATCTATTACCTTCTTGTTTAACAAGTTACTTATTTGCTTCTCATGGCTTCACTAGGTGCCTAGAATTTCCTTTAAACTCAGGATTTTTCTTTATTTCCATGCTTGGGGTCCACAGGCCGCTAATAAAAGGTGTCCCTACTGTCTTCATACCATAGCAATCTTCTTCCCGTTTCTTGTCATATAACCCCTAAAATTTTTTGAGTCTTAAAAGTGATAAGTGACATTTTGTATGCTAATGAGTTGACTGATGGCTTGGGCCTGCTGGATAGCCTCAGGATGGGGGGGCAGGTAGCAAAGGAAATAACCATGTGATTATAGGATTGGAACTTTCAGCTCCATTCCTTTGGACCTCCAGAGTGGGGAGATGGACTGAAGGTTAAGTTGATAAACAATGGGCAATAATGTAATCAGTCATGACTACATAATGATGACTCCATTCAACTTGAAAGGCCTGGGTCCGGGAGCTTCTGGGGAGCTGAACGTGTGGAGGTTCCTGAAAGGTGTCACACCTAGAGTCATACATCTCTTCCATCTGGCTGTTCACCTGTATCTTTTGTAATATTCTTTGTAATAAGTGGGTAAACAAAATTGGGCACAGTGGCATGAGCCTGTAGTCCCAGCTACTTGAGAGGCTGAGGTGGGAGGATCGCTTGAGCCCAGGAGTTCAAGACCAGTCTGGGCAACAAGGCAAGACCCCGTCTCAGAAAAAAAAAAGGGGGGTAAATTAAACTAATATGTTTCTCTGAGTTTTCTGAGCTGTTCTAGCAAATCGTACTAGTCAGGGTTCTCTAGAGGGAAAGACTAGTAGGATATCTGTATATATGAAAGGGAGTTTATTAGAATTGACTCACAGAATCACAAGGTAAAGTCCCACGATAGTCTGTAAGTTGAGGAGCAAGGAAGCCAGTGGTGGATCAGTCTAAATCCCAAAACCTCAAAAGTTAGGGAAGCCGACAGTGTAGCCTTCGGTCTGTGGCCAAAGGCCCGAGAGACCCTGGCAAATCACTGGTGTACGTCCAAGAATCCCAAAGCTGAAGAATTTGAAGTCTGATGTTTGAGGGCAGGAAGCATCCAGCACAGGAGAAAGATGAAGACGGGAAGACTCAACAAGTCAGCTCCTTGCATTTTCTTCTGCCTGCTTTATTCTAGCCACGCTGGCAGCTGATTAGATGGTGCCCACCCAAACTGAGGGTGGGTCTGCCTCCCCCAGTCCACTGACTCAAATGTTAATCTCCTTTGGCAACACCCTCACAGACACACCCAGGGACAGTATTTTGCATCCTTCAATCACGTTGACACTCAATATTAAATATCACACTAATTAAACTCAAGGAAGGGGTTTTCGGAACCCCAGTGTTTAAGTTGGTCCAGAAGTTCTAGAGGCCCTGGCTTGTGACTGGCATCTAAGATGAGGGACAGTCTTGTGGAACATTGTCCTTGATCTTTGGGATGTGATGCTATCTCCAGATAGATAGTATTGGAATTGAATAGAATTTGAGGATATCTAGCTGGTGAATCCTCTGCAGAATTGCTTGCTGGGTGTGTATGGAAAAGCCTAACACTCAGAGAAATTGTGTTGATTTGTTTTTCTCTATATTCTCACAACATCCCCAGTTCATAGATTAGACTACTTAATATTGTGAAATTATCCAATTGTAAATCACTACTCAAACTGATGCACAGATTCAATGCAATTCATAACAAATTCAATGGCATTTTTTTGCAAAAATAGAAAAAAGAATCTGAAAATGTATATGAAACTTCCAAGAATCTGAAATATCCAAAACAATCTTGAAAAACAAGAACAAAGCTAGAGGCCTCACAATTCCTATGTTCAAAACATAGTACCAGCCGGTCACAGTGTCTCACGCCTGTAATCCTAGCCCCTCGGGAGGCCGTGGTGGGTGGATCACTTGAAGCCAGGATTTAGAGACCAGCCTGGCCAAGATAGAGAACCCCCATCTCTACCAAAAATACAAAAATTAGCCGGGCATGGTGCTGTACGCCTGTAATCCCAGGTACCTGGGAAGCTGAGGCAGTACAATCGCTTGAACCTGGGAGGCAGAGGTTGCAGTGAGCCGAGATCGGGCCACTGCACTCCAGCCTGGGTGACAGAGTGAGACTGTCTCAAAAAAACCAAGCCAAAACAAAAAACATAGTACTAAGTGTGACCTTCTGGAAGGTCAAAGAATAAAAACCTCTGCTTATTATGAGTGTTTTGAGAAAGTCAGCCAAAGCTTTGGCAGAAAAATATCCAGGAAAGTTCCACCAGAGAGTCCTTCACCACCATGACAGTGCTCCTGCACATTCCTTTTGTTGAACAAGAACAATTTTGTGAGAGTTTTATTGTAAAATCATTAGGCATCCACTGTACCATCCTGATGTGGCTCCTCCTCCCCGCTCCAATTTTTTTTTTTTGAGACGGTGTCTTGCTTGGTCGCCCAGGCTGGAGTGCAGTGGCGTGATCTCGGCTCACTGCAAGCTCCGCCTCCCGGGTTCACGCCATTCTCCTGCCTCAGCCTCCTGAGTAGCTGGGACTACAGGAGCCCGCCACCACCCTCGGCTAATTTTTTTTGTATTTTTAGAAGAGATGTGGTTTCACCATGTTAGCCAGGATGGTCTCGATCTTCTGACCTCATGATCCACCCGCCTGGGCCTCCCAAAGTGCTGGGATTACAGGCGTGAGCCACCGCACCCAGCCTCCCCGCTCCAACTTTTTTTGGGAGGCAGGATCTCACTTTGTTGCCCAGGCTGGAGTGCAGTGGTAGGATCAGGGCTCACTGCAGCCTCAACCTCCCCAGGCTCAGGTGATCCTCCCACCTCAGCCTCCCCAGTAGCTGAGATTACAGGTATGTGCCACCTCACCTCGATAATTTTTTGTATTTTTTTGTGAAGACAGGATTTCAGCATGTTGGCTGGGCTAGTTTCAAATTCCTGGATTTAAGCAATCAGCCTCCCAAAGTGCTGGGATTACATGCTTGAGCCACCAAGCCCAGCTATTTCCTAATCTTAAAAAAATCTTTAAAAGGAACTCATTTTTGTTTGGTTAATAATGTAAAAAAGACTATTGACATGATTAAATTTCCATGACTCAGTTCTTTAAGGATAGACTAAATGGCTGGTCTCATCACTTGGAAAAGTGTCTTGATATTGGCCGGCACAGTAGCTCATGCCTATAATCCCAGCATTTTGGGATCGACGCAGGAGGGTCTCTTGAGTCCAGGAGTTCGAGGCTGCAGTCAGCTGTGATTGCACTACTGCACTCCAGGGTGAGAGAGTGAGACCCTGTCTTTAAAAAATGCAAAAAAAAAAAAAAAAAAAAAAAGCCTCCATAGGAATAGACGTTCAACATTACAAGTCATAAGAGAAATGAAGATCAAAAGCACAAAGAGATAATTCTTCACGTTCGTCAAAATCACAGAAAATAACAAGTGCTGGTGAGGATCCATAGAATTTGGAATGCTTTTCATTGTTAGTGGGAATGTAAAATGGTGTAGCTATTATGGATAACAGGATTTAGGTTCTCTTAAACACCCACATACCCCTAGATAACGCAATTAATATTTGAATATATTTGTGTGTGTTTTTTTTTTCTTTTTTTGAGATGGAGTTTCACTCTTGTTGCCCAGGCTGGAGTGCAATGGCATGATCTCGGTTCACCGCAACCTCTGCCTCCCAGGTTCAAGGGATTCTCCTGCTTCAGCCTCCTGAGTAGCTGGGATTACGGGCATGCGCCACTACACCCAGCTAATTTTATATTTTTAGTAGAGAGAGGTTTTCTCCATGGTGGTCAGGCTGGTCTCGAACTCCCGACCTCAGGTGATCCGCCCTCCTCGGCCTCCCAAAGTGCTGGGATTACAGGCGTGAGCCACCGTGCCCAGCTTGTTTTAATCTCTTTGTAGATATCGCTTCATCCATCTCGATTTTTACGCATGTTAATATAAATTACACAAGGCTGTACACTTCCCTCCTAATTCTCCATTGCTCACATCATCAACAACAGTTCAATACTTTTTTTTTTTTTTTGAGACGGAGTCTCGCTCTGTCGTCCAGGCTGGAGTGCAGTGGTGCAATCTCGGCTCACTGCCAGCTCTGCCTCCCGGGTTCACGCCATTCTCCTGCCTCAGCCTCCTGAGTAGCTGGGACTTTAGGCGCCCACGACCACGCCCGGCTAATTTTTTGTATTTTTTTTTTTAATGGTACATAGTTCTTTTCTATTTTTATTTATTTATTTATTTTATTTTATTTTATTATTATTATGCTTTAAGTTTTAGGGTACATGTGCACAATGTGCAGGGTAGTTACATATGTATACATGTGCCATGCTGGTGTGCTGCACCCATTAACTCGTCATTTAGCATTAAGTATATCTCCTAATGCTATCCCTCCCCCCTCCCCCTACTCCACAACAGTCCCCAGAGTGTGATGTTCCCCTTCCTGTGTCCATGTGTTCTCGTTATTCAATTCCCACTTATGAGTGAGAATATGCAGTGTTTGGTTTTTTGTTCTTGCGATAGTTTACTGAGAATGATGATTTCCAATTTCATCCATGTCCGTACAAAGGACATGAACTCATCATTTTTTATGGCTGCATAGTATTCCATGGTGTATATGTGCCACATTTTCTTAATCTAGTCTATCATTGTTGGACATTTGGGTTGGTTCCAAGTCTTTGCTATTGTGAATAGTGCCGCAATAAACATACGTGTGCATGTGTCTTTATAGCAGCATGATTTATAGTCAATTTTTTGTATTTTTAGTAGAGACAGGGTTTCACTGTGTTAGCCAGGATGGTCTCGATCTCCTGACCTCGTGATCCGCCAGCCTCTATCTCCCAAAGTGGTGGGATTACAGGCGTGAGCCACCGCACCCGGCTTTTTTTTTTTTTTTTTTTTTTTTTAGACAGAATCTCACTCTGTTGCCTAGGCTGGAGTGCCCTGGCAGAATCTCAGCTCACTGCAACCTCCACCTCCCAAGTTCAGGTGATTCTCCTGCCCCAGCCTCCTGGGCAGCCATGATTACAGGCGCCCGCCACCACGCCTGGTTAATTTTTGTATTTTTAATAGAGACAGGGTTTCACCATGTTGCCCAAGCTGCTCTTGAACTCCTGAGCTCAGGCAATCTGCCTACCTCAGCCTCCCAAGGTGCCAGGATTACAGGCATGAGCCACCGCGCCCGGCCTTTTTTTTTTTTTTTTTTTTTGAGAGGGAGTCTTGCTCTATCACCCAGGCTGGAGTGCATTGACATGATCTCAGCTCACTGCAACCTCCACCTTCTGGGTTCAAGTGACTCTCCTGCCTCAGCCTCTCAAATAGTTGGGATTACAGGCATGCACCACAACGCCCGGCTAATTTTCGTGTTTTTAGTAGAGATGGGGTTTCACCACATTGGCCAGGCTGGTCTTGAACTCCTGACTTCAAGTGATCCACACGCTTCGGCCTCCCAGAGTGCTGGGATTATAGGCGGGAGACACTGCGCCTCACCAGGACTGGTATTTTTTTTTTTTTAAAGACAGAGTTTCGCTGGGCACGGTGGCTCACGCCTGTAATCCCAGCACTTTGGGAGTCTGAGGCAGGTGGATCACAAGGTCAAGAGATCGAGACCATCCTGGCCAACATGGTGAAACCCCATCTCTACTAAGAATACAAAAAAGTAGCTAGGCGTGGTGGCACACACCTGTAGTCCCAGCTACTCAGGAGGCTGAGGCAGGAGAATCGCTTGAACCCAGGAGGCGGAGGTTGCAGAGAGCTGAGATCACGCCACTGCACTCCAGCCTGGCAACAGAGCGAGGTTCCTTTAAAAAAAAAAAAAAAAAAGACAGAGTTTTGCTTTGTTGCCCAGGCTGGAGTGTAATGGCTTGATCTCGGCTCACCGCAACCTCTGCCTCCCAGGCTCAAGCGATTCTCCTGCCTCACCCTCCCAAGTAACTGAGATTACAGGCACCGGCCACCACACCTGGCTAACTTTTTTGTATTTTTAGTAGAGATGGGGTTTCATCATGTTGGCCAGGCTGGTCTTGAACTCCTGACCTCAGTTGATCCACCCGCCTTGGCCTCCCAAAGTACTGGGATTACAGGCGTGAGCCACCACGTCCGGCCAAGACTGGTAATTTTAAATGGAAAAGTATATCACAATTTGGTTGAGTGTAGAAGTAGTGTCAGAATGTTTGAGAGAACATACATTACCACTTATTTGTATATTTATATTTTAGATTTGTAACAACTGGTAAGGACTTCTGAAGAGTTTTATTGATGGAGAGATTTTAAAGGATTAAAGAATAAAATATCGCATTTGTAAATGCCATGTAAAATGTTTAAGTTATTTCAGCACTCCCACTGGGTTAAGTGGGAGCCACAAATGGTTCTGAGCAGGCTGGGCGCGATGGCTCATGCCTGTAATCCCGGCACTTTGGGAGGCCGAGGCGGGTGGATCACTTGAGGTCAGGAGTTCGAGACCAGCCCGACCAACGTGGTGAAACCCCGTCTCTATTAAAAATACAAAAACTAGCTGGGCGTGGTGGCTCACATCTGTAATCCCAGCTATTCGGGAGGCTGAGGCAGGAGAGTTACATGAACCTGGGAGGTGGAGGTTGTAGTAAGCCGAGATTGCACCATTGCACTCCAGTCTGGGCGACAGAGCAAGACTCCGTCCCTCAAAAAAAAAAAATGTTCTGAGCAAAGGAAAGACTGATCTGATTTAGGTTTTGCGTAAATATCCTCCAGCTATGGGCTGCGGGGCGTGTGTCGCTGGGTGGGTGGGTTAGGTGGACAAAACTGGATCCTAGTGCCTATGCGCCCCTTTAAAACGAATAAAAAGACGTAGTTCTCAACCAGGGACGTCCTTGGTGATGCTCTGCTGGTCCTGCAGCCTGAGGGCTTTTTCCAGACGCTTTGACCTGTGCACTTCTGCCCCCACGCGGCCAATGCCTGAACTGCAGCAACGTCCTGCAGACCCAGTTTCCTTTTTTGGTACCAGGCATATGCAGGGCGTGGACAGATCCTACAATGGAACCAGCCAGAGACTGCCCTAGAGAAACTCATATGCCGGGATTTGGATGTTTGTAGGATAACATCATGAGCAGCAGCTTTGCAGGACCACACATGTTCCAGGGAGATTCTCAGAGGAGGGATCTTTGGGCAGTGTCTCCAAAGACCAGTAAGAATATTTCAGGAAGACACAACAAGAAAAAATATTCTAGGCAAAGTGAAAACTGACATTGATACCCCGACCCCAACCCCTCTTAACTGCTACTTCCGACCTGGGTCGTGGAGCTACCATTCAAGCCCTATACCCAATACTCATCTTGAACTACTTAACTACTTATTTATGTATTTATTTATTTATTATTATTATTATTATTTTGAGACGGAGTCTCACTCTGTCACCCAGGCTGGAGTGCAGTAGCGCGATCTCGGCTCACTGCAACCTTCACCTCCCGGGTTCATGTGATTCTCCTGCCTCAGCCTCCCTGGCAGCTGTGATTACAGGTACCTGCCACCATGCCTGGATAATTTTTTTTTTCTTTTTCTGAGACAGAGTTTCACTCTTGTTGCCCAGGCTGGAGTGCAGTAGCATGATCTCGGCTCACTGCAACCTCCACTTCCCGGGTTGAAACAATTCTCCTGCCTCAGCCTCCCGAGTAGCTGGGATTACAGACACGCACCACCACGCCTGGCTAATTTTTGTATTTTTAGTAGAGACAAGAGTTTCACCATGTCGGTCAGCCCAGTCTTGAACTCCTGACCTTGTGATCTGCCCGCCTCGGCCTCCCAAAGTGCTGGGATTACAGGCGTGAGCCACTGCACCTGGCCCCACCTGGGTAATTTTTGTATTTTTAGTAGAGACAGGGTTTCACCATGTTGGCCAGGCTGGTCTTGAATTCCTGACCGCAGGTTATCCACCCACCTTGGCCTCCCAAAGTGCTGGGATTACAGGCATGAGCCACCAAGCCTGACCTACTTATTTCTTCTCACTCCCATCATCCCAATTGCCACCACCCAGGTCTAGACACTCACCTGGGTACCTGTCAAAGTGTCCTCCTTGGTCTCCCAAACTTCAATTCCTAGTCATTCACCTCGGCACCAAAGGGACATTTTTCTCTCTCTTCCCTGCTCACACACCTCCCATGGCTCCCTAGTGCTCTCAAGTGCAAGTCCAAGCTCCTCAGCCTGGCACCTGAAGTCTTGAAGACCCAGTTCTGCCTGTCCCACTATATCATTAGCATGACCAACTAGAAAGACATTAATAAAAAGAATAGCACTACCTCTATTTATTGAGTGCCTACCTGGTGCTAAGACATGTGTCTTGCAGTTTCAAGGTGCACTCACAACAACTTTATTATCTTCGTTTTACAGAAGGGGCTATTGAGGTTTAGAGAACTCAAGGGACTTGTTCAAGGTCCCCGCCTAAGTATGAACTCAATTCTTTCCAACTCCAAAGCTCAGGCCTAAACCCAACGCTCTGTCCCCTCCATGACAAACCTCTAGTGGGATGGGTTTAACTTTCTTGCCATTTCTGTCTTTTACTCTACTTGAGCCACTATAACAAAATACAATACGATTACAAAATAACAAAATACAATAACAAAATACGATTCTTGACACCATGAAGTCCAAGGTCAAAATGACAGTAGATTCTGTTCTTGGTGAGGGCTTTCTTCCTGGCTCAAAGATGGCTACTTTCTGGTTGTGTCCTCAAGTTGGGAAGAGGGCATAGGGGTGACAGAGAGAAAGACAGAGAGAAAGAGAGGTCTCTGGTGTTTTTTCATTATTATTATTATTTATTAGTAGTAGTATTATTTGAGACAGAGTCTCACTCTGTCGTCCAGGATGAAGTGCAGTGGTGCGATCTTGGCTCACTGCAACCTCTGCCTCCTGAGGTCAAGTGATTCTCCTGTCTCAGCCTCCGAAGTAGCTGGGATTACAGGTGCCCACCACCATGCCCGGCTAATTTTTGTATCTTTAGTAGAGATGGGGTTTCACCATTTTGGCCAGACTGTCTCGAACTCCTGTTCTCAGGTGATCCGCCCACCTAGGCCTCCCAAAATGCTGGGATTACAGGTGTGAACCACTACACTCAGCCTATTATTATTATTATTGAGACAGGGTCTCGCTTTGTCACGCAGGCTGGAGTGCTGTGGCACAATCATAGCTCACTGCAACCTCAAACTCTTGGGCTCAAAGGATCCTCCTGCCTCAGCTTCCCAAAGTGCTGGGATTACAGGTGTGAGCCACCACGCCCAGCCTGGTGTCTCTTCTTTTTTTTTTTTTGAGACAGAGTCTTACTCTGTGGCCCAGGCTGGAGTGCAGTGGCGCGATCTCGGCTTACTGCAAGCTCCGCCTCCTGGGTTCACGCCACTCTCCTGCCTCAGCCTCCCAAGTAGCTGGGACTACAGGTGCCCGCCACCATGCCCGGCTAATTTTTTGTAGTTTTAGTAGAGATGGGGTTTCACAGTGTTAGCCACAATGGTCTCGATCTCCTGACCTCATGATCCACCCACCTCGGCCTCCCAAAGTGCTGGGATTACAGGCGGGAGCCACCGCGCCCGGCCCTGGTGTCTCTTCTTATAAGGTAACTCATTCCATCATGCGTGCCCCACCCTCAAGACCTCACCAATTATCTCCCAGAGGCCCCATCTGCAAATACCAGCACACTGGAGAGTAGGGATTTATTATATTAATTTATTGGAGGTGGGAGACAGAAACGTTTAGTCCCTTTAAATGGAGTTTAATTCTCTTCCCTTTGAATGTGGAGTGCCAGTTTGTTGTTGTTGTTGTTGTTGTTTCGAGACAGGGTGTCACTCCCAGGTAGTGCAGTGGCAAGATTATGGCTCATTGCAGCCTCAACCTCCCAGGATCAAGCGATCCTCTCACCTCACTTTTTGAATTTTTGCAGTAGAGATGAGCTGAGATTCTGTGTAACCATTTAAGGGTTCCCGGCACTGCATCTCTTGGCCACTAGCTGAATCTTGACATGGAAAGTTTTAGCTAATGCCAAGTGGAGATGCAGAAAATGCTAAGTTGACTTAGGGGCTGTGCACAGGAACTAAAAGGCAGGAAAGTACTAAATATTGCCAAGAGTATCAACCCCAGGATGGACTTTACCTTCTAGGAGCTCTAAACCGGCACCACCCCCAGTGCTCACCTGGCTGACTTTATCCTCCATGTTCCATTCTACACAGCAAGTGGCAGTGTCTCCACCACCTCATCCATGAGGGCTTTGGTTCCCCGGGCAAAAGCTTCCCATTCAAAAACCCCTACAGAAGGCCGGGCGCGGTGGCTCATGCCTGTAATCCCAGCACTTTGGGAGGCCGAGGTGGGCAGATCATGAGGTCAGTAGTTCGAGACCAGCCTGGTCAACATGGTGAAACACCGGTCTCTACTAAAAATACAAAAATTAGCCGGGCGTGGTGGCACGCACCAGTAGTCCCAGCTACTGGGGAGGCTGAGGCAGGAGAATCACTTGAATCAGGGAGGTGGAGGTTGCAGTGAGCCAAGACCGCGCCATTGCACTCCAGCCTGGGTGACAGAGTGAGACTCCATCTCAAAAAACAAACAAACAAAAAACCCCAAAAAACCCCACAGGACCATTCCACACAATCTGCTTAGCCTGAGTGACAGCCCCAGCATACTTCTTGCTGCTTTCAGGGCCACAGTCCAAGCCCAGCCAGCCAGCAGGTATGCCAGAAGCCACAGTGGCTTGGCCAGTCTTGGTATTCTCATCAAACTTGCCAGCAGTGACAAAGTCAACAGGCAAGATAATCTTCACACCATTCTTCTCAGCTTTGGACATTAGGTCTTTGACAGTCTTGGCTCCCTCTTCATCAAACAGAGAAGTGCCAATCTCCATGTTGCTGAGCACCTTAAGGAAGGTACAAGCCATTCCACTACCAATAATCATCTCATTGACTTTGCCCAGCATGTTCTTGATCAGCTGGATCTTGTCTGCAACTTTAGTTCTGCCCAGGATGGCCAGGAAGGGTCGCTCTGGGCTCTCCAAGGCCTCGGCAAAGTAGTTCAGCTCCTTCTTCATCAAAAAACCACCAGCCTTCTGTGGCAGATTGACTTCTGCCATGGAGCTGTGGGCTCTGTGAGCAGTGCCAAAAGCATCATTGACATAGACTTCCCCTAGCTTGGGAAGTGAAGCTTGGAAAGCTTCTAATTTGGCTGGATCAGCATTAGCCTTGTTCCCAGAAGCATCTTTTCCCTTCCCTCTTCCTCCACATGAAAGCGGAGGTTCTCCCGCAGGATGACAGACCCAGCAGCTGGGTTGGTACAGGCTTTCTCCACTTCTGGGCCTACACAGTCCTTCAAGAACAGAACATCCTTGCCCAGCAGAGATTTGAGTTCTACAGCAACTGGCTCTGAGGAGTACTTGTCAGGCATAGGGACACCATCAGGCCAACCTAGGTGGCTTATAAGGACTACTGACTTGGATCCATTGTCCAAGCAGAATTTGATGCTTGGGACAGCAGCCTTAATCCTCCAGTTGTTTGTTACCTGGTTGTTCTTCATAGGAAAATTGAAGTCGACTCTCATAACGACCGGCTTCCCTTTCACGTCCAGCTTGTCCAGCATCAGCTTGTTAGAAAGCGACATTTTGGAAATACAGCTGGGGAGACAGCTTGGTAATTCAGACAGCCAGGGAGCCGGCTACCGACGTGTGCTCGGGAGGTTTGCAGAATCCAGTGGTATACTTTTTTTTTTTGGAGATGGAGTCTCGCTCTCTTGCCCAGGCTGGAGTGCAGTGGTGCGATCTCCGCTCACTGCAAGCTCTGCCTCCTGGGTTCACGCCAGTCTCCTGCCTCAGCCTCCCGAGTAGCTGGAACTACAGGCTCCCGCCACCACACCCGGCAAATTTTTTGTATTTTTAGTAGAGACGGGGTTTCACCATGTTAGCCAGGATGGTCTCCATCTCCTGACCTCCTGATCCACCCACCTCGGCCTCCCAAAGTGCTGGGATTACAGGCGTGAGCCACCGCACCTGGCCAGTGGTGTACTTTTTAACAAAAATTTATTTTGAGGTCATTGCATATTCACATGTAGGAAATTATACAGCCATTTTCTCTCAATGGTAACATGTTGCATAGCTGTAGTACAATGTCCTAATCAGGAAATTTCATCTCACCCACCTCCGTCAACCCAATGAACAAGTACAGAGAGTACACTGTTCACAGAGGTGGTTCAACAATTCTACTTCCAAAGAGTATTTCCCACCAGTTTTTTTTCTTTTTTTATTTTTTGAGACAGAGTCTCACTCTGTCACCTAGGTTGGAGTGCAGTGGCACGATCTCAGCTCACTGCAGTCTCTGCCTCCTGGGTTCAAGCGGTTCTCGTGCCTCAGCCTCCTGAGTAGCTGAGGGATTACAGGCACTCACCACCAAGCCTAGCTACTTTTTGTGTTTTCAGTAGAGACAGGGTTTCGCCATGTTGGCCAGGCTGTTCTGGAACTCCTGACCTCAAATGATTCACCAGCCTCAGCCACCCAAAGTGTTGGGATTACAGGCGTGAGCCACTGTGCCCCATCAGTTGTTTTTTTTTTTTTGTTTTTTTTTTTGAGACACAGTCTCGCTCTGTCACCCAGGCTGGAGTGCAGTGGCGCAGTCTCAGCTCACTGCAAGCTCCGTCTCCCAGGTTCACGCCATTCTCCTGCCTCAGCCTCCCAAGTAGCTGGGACTACAGGCACCCACCACCACGCCTGGCTAATTTTTTGTATTTTTAGTAGAGACAGGGTTTCACCATGTTAGCCAGGATGGTCTCGATCTCCTGACCTCGTGATCCACCTGCCTTGGACTCCCAAAGTGCTGGGATTACAGGCGTGAGCCACCGTGCCTGGCCCCAGCCCCATCAGTTTTTAAAAGTTATTTACAAAAAGTATTATTTGCCGGGCGCAGTGGCTCATGCCTGTAATCCAAGCACTTTGGGAGGCCTAGGTGGGTGGATCATCTGAGGTCAGGAGTTCAAGACCAGCCTAGCCAACATGGTGAAACCCTGTCTCTACTAAAAACACAAAAGGTAGCTGGGCATGGTGGTGCACCCCTGTAATCCCAGCTACTCAGGAGGCTGAGGCAGGAGAATTGCTTGAGCCCAGGAGGCGGAGGTTGCAATGAGCCGATATCGTGCCACTGCACTCCAGCCTGGGTGACAGAGTGAGACTCCGTCTCAACAAAAACAAAAACAAAAAACAGTGTTATGCTACTACTACTTTTAAATACATGAAGCACTTCCAAATATCTAGAAATACTAGATATTTCATCTAACTTGTCCACCATGTACACGCACTGTTAAATAAAATTCCACACATGTAACCGTGGTTATAATCTGAGGTATCTCCTAAATATGACCATTTTGGCCTTGAACCATTCCCTCCTCACTTCCTTCTCTCTGCTTTCAATCCAGTGGACAAGTACACGCATGTGTAATGCTTAGAGATGGTTGAACAAACTCCTATCCAAAAGTCATCCACAGAAGACAAGTTTCCTATGAATTTCAACACAAAGTATACAAAATATGCTAAATTTACTAAGTACTTTATCACACACTGGCAACCTCTTTAACATCCAGCAATTAGATGTTGCAAAATCAGGATGCATTTGCCCATTGTATATGCTATATACAGAGCAAAACAAAATGCACAAAACATACAGAAAAATAGTGTCTGAAAATGTCCAATTATGAACACACTGGCCTATTACCTTTTGCAATTTCTTCCCTCCCACCTCCTCTAAACTATCGAACAACTATACACAGTACTACACTGCTCACAAAGGTGGTTAAACAATTCAATTTCCAAAAGGCAGTGTTTCCTATAAATTTTAACAAAAAGATATTTACAGTGATATTTCACTACCTCTATATTTAATATACGTGGGACACTTCCAAACATCTAGGTAGACTAGACATTTGAAGTAAGGAGTTAATTTTTCCACTATGTAACAGCAGTCTTGAATAAACTGCAAACATGTGACAACAGTTATAATTTGAAAGTCTTCCAAATATGAACATTCTGGCCTAGAACCCTTTCTGTCTCCATCAACCCAGTGGGCAAAAATGCTCAAATTTTCAGAAGACAATATTTCATAGGAATTTTATTTTTTATTTTTATTTATTTATTTATTTATTTTTGAGACGGAGTTTCGTTCTTGTTGCCCAGGCTGGAGTGCAATGACAAATGTAGAGTTCGTAAATGAATATATTTTGCATATTTTGTTTTAAAATTCCTAGGAAAGGCCAGGCGCCTTGGCTTGCACCTGTAATCCCAGCAGTTTGGGAGGCTGAGGCCAGCAGATCACCTGAGGTCAGGAGTTTGAGACCAGCCTGGCAAATGTGGTGAAACCCAATTTCTACAAAAATACAAAAAAATTAGTGGGGCGTGGTGGTGGGTGCCTGTAATCCCAGCTGCCTGGGAGGCTGAGGCAGAAGAATCACTTGAACCCGCGACGTGGAGGTTGCAGTGAGCTGACATCCTGCCATTGCACTCCAGCCTGAGCGACAGAGTGAGACTCTGTCTCAAAACAAACAAACAAACAAAACAAACAAACCCGGGAGCGGTTGCTCACGCCTGTAATCCCAGCACTTTGGGAGGCTGAGGCGGGCGGATCACGAGGTCAGGGGGTCGAGAGTAGCCTGACCAACATAGTGAAACCCCGTCTACTAAAAATATAAAAATTAGCCGGGCGTGGTGGTGTGGCCTGTAGTACCAGCTACTTGGGAGGCTGAGGCAGGAGAATCACTTGAACCCGGGAGGCGGAGGTTGCAGTGAGCTAAGATTGCGCTACTGCACTCCAGCCTGGGCAACAGAGAAAGACTCTGTCTCAAACAAATAAAATTAAATAAATAAAAAAAATTTTAGGTTGAGGGAGAAGTTGAGCAGCTTTTTCCTATTATAGACACAGGCCTTCTTCTTCTTTTTTTTTTGAGCTGGAGTTTCACTCTTGTTGCCCAGGCTAGAGTGCAATGGTGCGAGCTCGGCTCACTGCAAGTGATTCTCCTGCCTCAGCCTCCCGAGAAGCTGGGATTACAGGCGTCCGCCACCACGCCCGACTAATTTTTGTATTTTTAGTAGAGACCGGGTTTCACCATGTTGGTCAGGCTGGTCTTGAACTCCCGACCTCAGGTGATCCATCCGCCTTGGCCTCCCAAAGTGCTGTGATTACAGGCGTGAGCCACCACCGTGCCTGGCCTACACAGGCCTTCTATAGACGGTCAGTAAATCTTCCCAAAGGGTGCTGGGGATTTCCCAGGACCACATGTGCCAGGCCATTTTACCATTTCTCTCTTCCACATGAAGGTCTGGTAGAACGAAGGCGAACAGCCGCATGGCCGCTAATCGTTCCACTCGTAGTCAGGGGACTCGTTCACCTTCCAGGCCGGTTAAGGCTATTCTCCGCTATCGTCAGGGCTAGGTAGGTCTCGCCCCACTGGGACAGAGAGGTCCCCCAGGTCCCGGATCTGCGCGGCTTCCTGGTCTAAAGCAAGGCGGCCGAGCCTGTGTCCCTAGACCGCCTCCAGGGCCCTCTGCACCCTGACGCCCCATCGCGACCGCCCCGCTTCCCGCCCGCCGCTCCCGCAGCCACCTGGAGGCGCTGCGTCTCGGCTGGGGCTTCGTCTGTGCCCGGCACAGCGAGGGCCCCGGTGTCTGCGGGGCAGGGGCCGCGGCCTGTCCCGGGACATCCCCGCCCTCCAGCTCACCTGCCTGCTTGGGACTCGGCAAGCCGGCCGCACTCTGCGTCTCACCGCGCTCTCTGTACCATTTTACATTTCCACCACCAAAGTAGGAGTAGGAGTAGGAGTAGAATCCAGTTTCTCTTATGTCCTCCCCAGCACTGGTATAATCCTTCCTTCCTTCCTTCCTTCCTTTCTTTCTTTCTTCCTTCCTTCTTCTTTCTCTTTCTCTCTCTTTCCTTCCCTCCCTTCTTTCTTTCTCTCTCTCTTTTTTTTTTTTTTTTTGAGATGGAGTCTCACTCTGTCACCCAGGCTGGAGTGCAGTGGCACGATCTTGACTCACTGCAACCTCCACCTCCCAGGTTCAAGTGATTCTCGTGCCTCAGCCTCCCGAGTAGCTGGGAGTACAGGCGCCCGCCACCACGCCCAGCTAATTTTTTGTATTTTTAGTAGAGACGGGATTTCGCCATGTTGGCCAGGCTGGTCTCGAACTCCCGAGCTCAGGCAATCCACCCACCCCGGCCTCCCAAAGTGCTGGGATTACAGGCGTGAGCCACCGCACTGCACCCGGCCCTCCCTCTTTCTCTCTTTCTTTTCTCTCCTCTCCTCTCTCTTTCTTTCTTTTTCTTTCTCTCTCTCTCCCCCTCCCTCCCTCCCTCTCTTTCTTTCTTTCTTTCGACAGGGTCTTGCTCTGTCACCCAGGCTGAAGTGCAGTGGCAAGATCTCGGCTCACTGCAACCTCTGCCTGGTGGGTTCAATGATTCTCCTGCCTCAGCCTCCTGAGTAGCTGGGATTACAGGCATGTACCACCACACCATGTGCTGCCACGCCATGTGACGCCACACCTAAAACAGTTTTAAAGAAAGGAGACAAAAAATTATTAGGCTGGGCACAGTGGCTCTTGCCTGTAATCCCATCACTTTGGGAGGCGGAGGCGGGTGGATCTCTTGATGTCAGGAGCTCAGGACCAGTCTGGCCAATATGGTGAAACCCCATCTCTACTAAAAATACAAAAATTAGCCAGGCTTAGTGGCACACACTTGTAATCCCAGCTACTCAGGAGGCTGGGGCAGGAGAATCGCTTGAACCCTAGGAGTCGGAAGTTGCAGTGAGCAACTTGAGATCTCGCCACTGCACTCCAGCCTGGCGACAGAGCAAGACTCCGTCTCAAAATAATAATAATAATACATAAAAAGAAAAATATTTTTTTCTGAGACGGAGTCTCACTCTGTCGGCCAGGCTGCAGTGCAGTAGTGATCTCGGCTCACTGCAACCTCTGCCTCCTGGGTTCAAGTGATTCTCCTGGCTCAGCCTCCCAAGTAGCTGGGACTACAAGTAGCTGGGACTACAGGCACGCGCCACCACGCCCAGCTAATTTTTGTATTTTTAGTAGAGACGGGGGTTTCACCATGTTGGCCAGGAGGGTCTCGATCTCTTGACCTCATGATCCGCCCACCTCAGCCTCCTGAAGTGCTGGGATTATAGGCATGAGCCACCGCGTCCGGCCTTTTTATTTATTTTTCATAGAGATGGGGTCTCGACATCTTTCCCAGGCTGGTCTTGAATTCCTGGGCTCGAGCAATCCTCCCTCCGCAGCCTCCCAAAGTGCTGGGATTACAGGCGTGAACCACTGCATCCAACCCCTGTCCAGATAATTTTTGGCTTCTGTGTAGCATTCCTTTCCCCAGCGTACAGGACAGGACACTCTTTGGAGTGAGAGTCTTATGACCCACGATCACATTAGAGTTCTGCAGTGGACAGGTGAATGGGGGGCAGGAGAAGGTCAGAGAGAGAGAGTTTCTGTTTACTGTAACAAGGACTATGGGAGTTATGAGTCAGGAAGCATGGATGGAAACCAATGTATAAATCATAATAGCATAGCTGATATCTTTGTTTTCTCAAAGGAATCATTACTTGCCAGTTTTAAAATCCATATAAAGTATTTTAGAATTTTTTGTCTTCCAGCTTATACATAACCACAGAAGGAAAGCAGGAACTCTGCTAGTTTCTTAAAAACAAACAAACAGCAAAGGGGATTGAAGGTCTTTTTTCTTACCTAAGTGGATCAGTGTTGGTGAGAAGCAAGTGAATAAACTGCAGTGGGCAGGAGAGCCTGAGACCAGTCTGGAGCCTGCAAAGAGAGGGAAAGGGTGCTTCTTGGGCAGCCTGCCCGCCCTTGCAGGTGGCCTCCAGCTGCTCAGGAGTGCAGATTCTTTTTTTAATTTTAATTTTATTTTTTACTTTTATTATTTTTTTGAGGCAGAGTCTCACTGTTTTGGCACCCAGGCTGGAGTGCAGTGGCGCAGTCTGGGCTTACTGCAACCTCTGCCTCCCGGGTTCAAGCGGTTCTCCTGCCTCAGCCTCCCGAGTGGCTGGGATTACAGGCACGCGCCACCACGCCCGGCTAATTTTTGTATTTTTACTATAGACGAGGTTTCACCATTTGGCCAGGCTGGTCTCGAACTCCTGACCTCAGGTGATCCGCCCGCCTGGGCCTCTCAAAGTGCTGGCGTGAGCCACCGCGCCTGGCCAGGAATGTGGATTCTGAGAAGCTGCAGAGCTGTGAAAAGCAGGAGACCCATGTGCAGATGTGGTTGGGTTGGGGGTGGAGGGTTCTGTCTTTTCTGAGGTTGTACCTTTGGCGCCTGGGGCCATTTCCTGGACAGTGTTTTGGTTTTAGCATTCATGGGGTCGCTGAGTCAGGCTGTAATTTGTATACATGAAGAAAATCTGTGAGGGTCAGACTCAGTGAAAAACTTGTTTGCATTGTCCCCTGGAGAAAAGGTTTGGGAACATGACAATTTATTTAGGTCACGACTTTACATTGACTCCGGGTGAGAGTTTCCTGCTGGTACAAATGAAGGTTTTGAAGGAAAGAGTGTTTCCACACTGTGAGGAGAGGACTGGAGGGCACCTTGAGCTCCCAAAGTTGAATTCTTAAGTGTCCCTGTCTCATCACCAGGTTCTGATCCACACTGGGGTTCCATTTCAGCAGTTAGAGTCTGGGTCCCAAGCTTGGGATTATTTTATTTTATATTTCATTTCTTCATTTCATTATTTCATTTCATTTCATATTTCATTTTTTAGTCTCGCTCTGTCGCCCAGGCTGGAGTGCAATGGCGCTATCTCGGCTCACTGCAACTTCCCCCTCCCAGGTTCAAGCGATTCTCGTACCTCAGCTTCCCGAGTTGCTGGGATTACAGGCACCTGCCACCACGCCTGGCTAATTTTTGTATTTTTAGTAGAGATGGGGTTTCACCATGTTGGTTAGGCTGGTCTTGAACTCCTGACCTTAAGCAATTTTCTCACCTTGGCCTTCCAAAGTTCTGGGATTACAGGCGTGAGCCACCGCGCCCGGCGCTTGGGAATATTTTTAACGTTATGATTGTGGGTTTTCCTTGTGAACTGCGGGTGAAGCAGGCTGCTTGTCTGAGCTAGTTCAAATGTTTGCTTACTTCTCTTGGTTTCTTTATAGATGATCGCTGTCATAAAAACTCCAGTTTTTCCTATACATTTAATACTTTTATTTCTTTGTCCGTTTTAATTTTCTTGCCTGAAAGAAGCAAGCCCTCCTCCCTCCTGTTACACTGTGGTCTGGCCTGGCCTGGGCGCGCCTCCTACTCCGAGGCCAGGGGATGGCTCCACTGGACGCCGAGTCTGTCATTCCCTGTGCACACTTGTGACTCTGTGTCCGGGAGGAAAAGGCAGGAAGGGCACCCTGAGTGCAGAAACACGCCAGTGTCACCTCTGCAGAGCCTGAAACACTTTCTGCTTAAATGCAAATATCCTCCCCGGCACAGAAGGTTACAGAAGGAGGAAGCCCGGCCCGCGAAGGGCAGTGGCCAAGACCCTGTCAATCTGTCTTTACTCAGCCACATACCGCATTGCTTCTCCTGTCACTCAGTACCAAGGGGGCAGGACTTGAATCATCACCCAATCAGGGGCACTGGGGCGGGAACCTGCAAACCATCCAATCAGGAACTCTGCAAGGGGGACAGGGGCAATGTTCAACAACTCCGCGGGGTCTTCCTGTTTCGTGTCCGCTGCGTTTGGGTTCCGGTCTCCGCTTCTCCAGTGGCCCCGGTGGCTCCACCGCAGCGTCTGGCGCGCTGGGACCTGCACAGGCCGGAGAGAGCCGTAGGCAGGACCCCGGGACACCCTGGAAGCCAGGAAATGGTGCGTGTGCGGGGCCGGGCGCCTGGAGACTGGGGGAGGGGCTTGTGGGAACCGGCCGGAACCGGCTGTGGAAGCACCCTGGCCTCCCTGCAGCGACTCCAGGGTCTGGGACCCGAGTTCCCTGGCGCAGCTCGGCCCTCTGTCCCCTCGGCCGCAGGGTGGGTTGGGCCGTAGCCAGTACCCCAGGCGTCCTGTCCCGTCCCTGCGCGGCGACTGCGGCCTCGGCCTCGGAGCCCTGTCTGGGCAGCTCCGCGCCCGCAGCCCCGCCTCTCTCCAGATTGTTTGTACTGGGACACGGGAGGGTCATAAGGCGGAATCCCGTCTCGGGTGTGCGGTTCGTGCATGGGAAGAGCTGTGGGCTGTGGCCTTCCCAGTACATCGTCTTTTTTTCCGGGGGACTGGTCTTCCTCCGAGTCTTCCAAACGTACTGGAAAAAGAATCTCAAACCTACGACTCCCGTTTTTTTTAGCCTAGCTTTTTCTGGGGCTGGAAATAAATGCCTAAATTTCCGGTTCCTTCCCCGCATTCCCAAAGGTGACCTCCCCTCGCCAAATCAACATTATCAGCTGTTTTTTGTTTGACATTTAAGACACAGTATTTTAGTTGTTTATAGTTTCTTTCACCATACTCTTTTGAAAGGATTTGTTTTCTGTTTGTTGTTTTTTTTTTCTTTTCAGACAGAGTTTCGCTCTGTCGCCCAGGCTGGAGTGCAGTGGGAAGATCTCAGCTCACTGCAACCTTCGCCTTCCGGGTTCAAGCAATTCTCCTGCCTCAGCCTCCTGAGTAACTGGGATTACAGGCATGCGCCGCCACGACCGGCTACTTTTTGTATTTTTGGTAGAAACTGGGTTTCTCCATGTTGGCCAGGTTGGTCTCAAACTCCAGACCTCAGGTGATCCGCTCACCTCCGCCTCCCAAAATGCTGGTATTACAGACGTGAGCCACCGCGCCCGGCCTCTTGTTTGTGTACTTGTAACCTGAGAGGGAAACGGAGAATAAGAACCTGACACTCTACGGTAAAATTTTTTTTTTTTTTTGAGACAGAGTTTCGCTCTTATTGCCCAGGCTGGAGTGCAATGGCGCGATCTCAGCTCACTGCAACCTCCACCTCCTGGGTTCAAGCGATTCTCCTGCCTCAGCCTCCCGTGTAACTGGGATTACAGGCATGCGCCACCATGCCCGGCTAATTTTGTATTTTTAGTAGAGACAGGGTTTCTCCATGTTGGCCAGGCTGGTCTCGAACTCCCGACCTCAGGTGATCCGCCTGCCTCGGCCTCCCAAAGTGCTGGGATTACAGGCGTGAGCCACCGCGCCCGGCCGTGGTAAAAAAATTTTTGTGCTTCCCCTCCTTTTATCTTTCCTAAGCCCCGACGCCTAATCAGAATGTCTTTGGGTGGAGTTTCCCCTTTGGAAACTTTACAAGGTGATGTGGCCCTCTATCTTTTCCTGGTCCTGATTTTCAGAACTGCCTGGGCCTGACCCAGGATACCCACAGCTGCCACTTCTCTTGGAGGATCTAGTGATTATCAACCCCTGGGTCACTCCTCCCAGAGGACAGCTTAAGGTGTAGGGGTGGGGCCTCTCACGGGAGCAGCTGTATGCCCTGAGGTGGGAGGAGTCTCCCGGTATCCCCTTCCTCTGAAAAGTTTACCCTTTGGGACGCTCAGCTTTTCTTCCTCAACCCCAGTTTCCGTTCCTTAGGGACACATTGATGGTTACCCAATCTTAGGCTGTTACTGAGAGGAAAAGACACAAATGATTCCTGACCTCTGGATTGTTTTTAGTCTAGTGAAGGGAGGAAAACTATCTCAAAGGAGAAGGAAAACCTGCCCCATTGAAATGGTGCGAGAACCTGAAAGTTAAAATGCGCTTGGGGCAGAGTGAGCAGGGCACAATTCACTGTCTTCAGGGAGGTTGGTCACTGAGCACTCAGTGAGCCAGGGTGGGGCTGGGAGATGTCCTAGGGGATAGGGTGACCTCACCTGACATTGGAATCAGATAAATGTCTGTATTCCAGGTCAGCATTGCCTCTCCCTGGGTTTGTAAACCCTTGAAAAGGTTTATTTGCTTATTTGATCCTGTTTTTCATTAAATGTAGAATGTATTTTATCAGTAGTGCTTGAAAGACAAGATAAAGTGTTTGCAAAGGGAGGGTCACAAAGGGGAGAAAGAGGCAGAAAGTAGATTTGAGGGAAAACAATTATCTAGTCTTACATTCAATTTGTTAAAAAATCTTATTTGTGTAGTTTCCTCTCCGCAACATGTATGGTAGGTTTCTCAGGTCTATTTTCTTCTTTTGGGTGATTTCAGATCAATCCCAGAACTTAGCCTTGAGAATGCTACTGCGGATAAGAATCTCAGATAAGTAGGGAAATTCAGTCTTCCATTATGGCTACAGAGAAACGAATACATTTCCACATTAATTGGTGAAATACAGAGATTCTCTAAAATATCTTCTCCTTTGCAGGGTAGAGATTTTGTCGTAATGGATAACTGTTCTGTATCCTTTCATCTGGACTTTGGTGATTAATGCTAAATCCTATCAGATGGGACTTTGAAATATTAAATATTAGTGAATTAAATATTAGTAAAGAAGTTGTCATGGAAGTAACAATAATGTGAGGTCTCTATTGTCTGAAAGGGATAGATAAATGTGCTTTTCATGTTTAAGCTATAGAATACAAATGTCTTGCCAGCCGCGATGGCTGACGCCTGTTATCCCAGCACCAAGGCAGGTGGATCACGAGGTCAGGAGATCGCGACCATCCTGGCTAACATGGTGAAACCCCGTCTCTACTAAAAAATACAAAAAATTGGCCGGGCACGGTGGCTCACGCCTTTAATCCCAGCACTTTGGGAGGCCAAGGTGTGCGGATCACAAGGTCAGGAGATGGAAACCATCCTGGCTAACACAGTGAAACCCGGTCTCTACTAAAAATACAAAAATTAGCCGGGTGTGGCGGTGTGTGCCTGTAGTCCCAGCTGCTGGGTGGCTGAGGCAGGAGAATGACGTGAACCCGGGAGGCGGAGGTTGCAGTGAGCCGGGATCGTGCCACTGGACTCCAGCCTGGGCGACAGAGCTAGACTCCGTCTCAAAAAAAAAAAAAAAAAGAATACAAATGTCTTACAGTTTCCTTTCCTCCTATATACATAAATGGTAAGTTTGAGTGATTTTGCTGGATTCTTCAAACACAGGATATTTTCTTACTTAAAAATAAGTGAAACTGGGCGTGGTGGCTCATGCCTGTAATCCCAGCCCTTTGGGAGGCTGAGGTGGGTGGATCACCTGAGGTGAGTTTGAGACCAGCCTGACCAACATGGAGAAACCCTGTTTCTACTAAAAATACAAAATTAGCCGGGCATGGTGGCGCATGCCTGTAATCCCAGCTACTCGGGAGGCTGAGGCAGGAGAATTGCTTGAACCCAGCAGGCGGAAGTTGCGGTGAGCCGAGATCGTGCCACTGCACTCCAGCCTGAGCAACAAGAGTGAAACTCAGTCTCAAAAAAAAAAAAAAAAAGTAAGTGAATATAGTCTTGTCTAAGGAAGCAGAGGTCTGAGGCCAAGTGTGCCTCAGAGTGACTCCCAACTAAGAGCCTGCAAAGGGAGGTCATTGAAGTCCCAGTTGGTTCTTCCTGGGTAGAACTTGGCAGGCATCCCAGCCTTATCACTCCAACCAGGGGAGGGGTCCTTTATACTGAGAGAAGCTACAGACCACTGGGAAGCTGGGGATGCACACATAGGCATAGTTGGGAGGGTGATACCCTGTCTGAGGTTGTAATAGTTAATTGTTCAGATAATAACAGTAAACCATGGGCTCCCATGATTTGAGAGAGTTGTTTCTAGACATCCTCAAATACAAGAAATCCGGAGTTAGGTAAGAAGTGACTTTATGTGAAAGGAGTATAACGAAAAGGTGAAAGCAGTAGATACAAGATCTGCAAGCATCCCAGAGGTTAGGCAGAAAAAGGCTTTTCTGGTGGAAGTGGCGGCTTACATCTATAATCCCAGCACTTTGGGAGGCCGAAACAGGAGGATTGCTTGAGGTCAGGAGTTTGAGACTAACCTGTACACATAGTAAGACCATCTCTCTACAAAATTAAAAAAAATTGTGGTGGTGCACACCTATAGTCCCAGCCGAGGCTGAGGTGGGAGGATCCCTTGAGCCCAGAAGATCAAGGCTCCAGTGAGCAATGATTCTGGCATTGTACTCTAGCCTGGACAACAGAGCAAGACCCTGTCTCCCCTCCTCTTCCCCTAAAAAAGTTTTTCATTCATGGGGAGGAACAAATAAGATTAGGAATAGGTGGGAGGAGAGGGCAGAGTGGAAAGTGCAAAATCGGATCCTAGGTCAGAGAATATTTTTCCTGAGGTTAGTCTGTTTTTAGGATGGTTTATAAAGGAGGGATTGGGTGGGTGCTTCCTTAGGCTGTGGAGGATGGGTCAAAGTTCAGGGCTGAAAGGAGGAGAGAAACTTAACCATTAAGGTTGGATTTAGAGATATTTTGTTTTGACTGATCAGTGAAGACAAAACTGTCCAGCCAATTGTTTATGAAGTAAACAATGGGAATTTGGAGAGTCTGTTTTGTTTTTTCTTTTTTGAGACAGAGTCTTGCTCTGTCACCCAGGCTGGAGTGCAGTGGCGCGATCTTGGCTCACTGCAAGCTCCACCTCCTGGGTTCACGCCATTCTCCTGCCTCAGCCTCCCGAGTAGCCTGGACTACAGGTGCCCACCACCATTCCTGGCTAATTTTTTTTTTGTATTTTTAGTAGAGACGGGGTTTCACCGTGTTAGCCAGGATGATCTTGATTCTTGACCTCGTGATCCGTCCACCTCGGCCTCCCAGAGTGCTGGGATTACAGGCGTGAGCCACTGCACCCAGCCGCCTGTCTGGCTTTCTTATAGGTAAAATAAAGGACGTCTAAATTAGTAATAGGGTTTTTTCCCCCGCAGTATGCTGCTTCTCTGGAACACCAAGGGTGGTGGTGGTGGTGGAGAGTGTTTTAATCATAGCTATTCTGTAGGATTATAGAGCTTGGGTAAAATTCAACATTGTCAGCAATTTGGTTTTGTATCCACAGAGTTGGTTTAGTCAGAGTGTAATTTCTGCAAATGTCTGTGAGGGTCAGACTTAGAGAAAGACACCTTTGGCTTCTTTCTGCTGGAGAAAAGGTTTATGAATTTACGAGTGTATTTGCTTCTGTGGTGTAATAAATATATTTGGTGTTTGTCTGCAGTTCCTGGGACAGGGATCCTAAAACCCTTGGAATTCCCTAAGTGATAGGTGGAGTGTGTTTTGTTATTCACAACAATCCCCTTTCAGACCATACTTGAGTTTTAAGCTAATGAGGTGATTCTGTGGAACCCCTGGATACTTTCAGAGTGGAGACTGGTGACCAGAAAGACCAAACCCATGACTAGAGGGTTGTTGCTTTAAGCTCCATTCCCTACCCCAGGAAAGAGTGGAGGCTGGAGATTGAGTTGTGTAAAAATTTTTGAGCAAAGACATTCAGAGAGTACTTCCAGGTTGATGAGGACATTGATGTGCTGGGAGGGTGGTGCACCCCAAGATGAGGAGCGTTGCCTATATCCACCCCCCTTTCCCTGCCATTTTTCAGCTCTTATTTGCCTGTTCCTGAGTTATACTTAAGTAACATGTTTTGCTAAGTTCTTTGAATAGTTTTAGCAAATTATTGAACCCGAGGAGGAGATTATGGGAGCTCACGATTTGTACACAGTTGTTCAGAAGTGTGGGTGGCCCTGCGGCTTGTGACTGGCATGTGAACTGGCATGTTGTGAGACTGAGCCCTGAACTTGTAGGTCTGTCCTAATTCTGAGTGGTGTCAGAACTGAACTGTTAGACACCTGCTGTTAGAACTGGTCGGTGTTTACACTTCGGGTGTCACAGAAAGGACACCAGAGGTCAGAACCTTAAACTGACTCCAGGTAAACATCTGGTCACTGGTGAGAATCGAGACCGTGAATCACATCATGAGGAGAGGAGAGTAGGGTGCGTGGAGCTCCCAGGATGTTTCCCTCACTCATTTCTTTTTTTTTTTTTTTTTTTTGAGACGGAATTTTGCTCTTGTTGCCCAGGCTGGAGTGCAATGGTGCGATCTTGGCTCACCACAACCTCCGCCTCCTGGGTTCAAGTGATTCTCCTACCTCAGCCTCCTGAGTAGCTGGGATTATAGGCATGCGCCACCACGCCCAGCTAATTTTTTGTATTTTTAGTAGAGACGGGGGGTTTCTCCGTGTTGGCCAGGCTGGTCTCAAACTCCTGACCTCAGGTGATCCACCCGCCTTGGCCTCCCAAAGTGCTGGGATTACAAGCATGAGCCACCACACCCGGCTCCCTCACTCATCTCTTAGGAGTGGGCCACATCTTCACATGAATGGTCCTCAGGCTTGTTTAACCTTCTGAATGTGGGTTTCCTTGTGACTGTGGGTGAAACAGGCTGCTAGGTAATAGATCCCAGAGAGAAAGGATAGTTCTCCTTGTAGGCCAACAGGAAGAGGGTGGCTGTTTCAGACCTGATATACACACCTAACCAGGGAGCAAGACAGAGGAATCTGGGCAGATGCCTTTATTGGAGACTCTGTGGGAGTTCTAGTTGGTGAGTTTAGAGCAACCAGATGGGAATTTCGTGGAGTCACATGGTGACTGAGAGGTGGTCCCTGCAGCCTCTCTGTGCATTCCTTGTGTAGGGTCAGTTGGATGATTTCCAGCAGTTTGTATCTAGCCGTCTCATGCGGAGGTGGTCACAGGGAGGCGGCTGTGTAAGGCAGATAACTGGATTGACCACATGGAGGAAATGGGAGGAGGCGTAGAACTGGAAACTGTATTAAGGGTGACTAAGCCCTGCTTCTGGTATGAGAAAGTTAAAGCCATATTCAAAGTGGCTTCTGAGGTAGCATACAATTTTAAGAATTCACTGCAATAGACAGCTCTACACTGAATTCACAACATTATGTGGAGATGATGGCAGAAGATGGGTTATCACTGCTGCTGGGGTTTAACTGTCCGTCGTTTCTGTCCCTGACTGACCATACCTGCTCTGTCATAGGTTCACATACCCTACATAGATGCCCTGGTTTCAGAATTTCCCATATTTCTTTGGTTTATCTTTCTGCTACTGCCATAGTGTCCTAATTATTTCATAACCCTGATGTATGGTTGAGAAAGTGCTGTACTGTCTTAGTCACCTGGGGATGCTGTAATACATTGCCATAGGCTGGGTGGCTTGAACAGCACACATGTAGTTTTCACAGTTCTGGAGGCTGGGAAGTCCAAGTTCAAGTGCTGGCAGATGTAGTGTCTGGTAAGGGCCTGCTTTGTGGTTTTCAGATCATCATCTCTCATTATATCCTCACAAGGCAGAGGAGAGAGGAAGCAAGCTGTCTCCTGTCATTTCTTCTAAAGGTGCTAATCCCATTTATGAGGGCACCACCCTCATGGTCTCTAACCCCGATTACCTCCCAAAGATGCCACCTCCTAATGCAACGACATTAGGAGTTAGAATTTCAGTATATGAATTTTGGGAGGGACACACAGATTCAGGCTGTAACATTTTCTAACAGTGTACTGTACGAAGTCTTTGCTGTTTTTAGATATTTGAGTCCTATTTCAGTTGTTTTTTTTTTTTTTTTTTTTTTTGAGACGAAGTCTCGCTTTGTTGCCCCGTCTGGAGTGCAGTGACGTGATCTTGGCTCACCACAACCTCCACCTCCCGGGTTCAAGTGATTCTCCTGCCTCAGCCTCCCGAGTAGCTGGGACTACAGGTGTGCCACCATGCCTGGCTAATTTTTTGTATTTTTAGTAGAGACAGGGTTTCACTATGTTGACCAGGCTGGTCTCGAGCTCCTGACCTCAGGATCCACCCACCTTGGCCTCCCAAAGTGCTGGGATTACAGGCATGAGCCACTGCACCCGGCTATTTCAGTTTTTAGAAGTGGTCCCTTCCCTTTCCCCTTCCCCTTCCCCTTCCCCTTCCCCTCCCCTCCCCTTCTCTCTTTTTTTTTTTTTTCTGAGACGAAGTTTCACTCAGTCACCTAGGCTGGAGTGCAGTGGTGTGATATCAGCTCACTGCAACCTCCACCTCCTGGGTTCAAGCCATTCTCCTGCCTCAGCCTCCTGAGTAGCTGGGATTACAGGTGCACCCCACCACGCCTGACTAATTTTTTTGTATTTTTACAAAGACAAGGTTTCACTGTTTTGGCCAGGCTGGTCTTGAACTCCTGACCTTGGGTGATCTGCCCGCCTTGGCCTCCCAAAATGCTGGGATTACAGGCGTGAGCCACCGCGCCCGGCCCCTTCTTTTCTTTTTTGTGGTGGAGTTTCTCTCTTATTGCCCAGGCCAGAGTGCAACGGCATGATCTTGGCTCACTGCAAACTCTGCCTCCGGGATTCAATTGATTCTCCTGCCTCAGCCTCCCAAGTAGCTGGGACTACAGGATGTGCCACCATGCCCTGCTAATTTTGTATTTTTAGTAGTGACAGAGTTTCACTATGTTGGTCAGGCTGGTGTAGAACTCCTGACCTCAGGTGATCCACCCACCTCGGCCTCCCAAAGTGCTGGGATTACAGGCATGAGCTATGGTGCCCGGCCCTTTTTTCTTTTCCTTCCTTTCTTTCCTTTTTTTCCTTTCCTTCCTTCCTTTCCTTTTTTCTTTTCTTTCTTCCTTTCCCTTTCTTTCCTTCCTTTCTTCCTTGAGATGGTCCCCCTATGTCACCAGGCATGATCTGCACTGGCGTGATCATAGCTCACTGCAGCCTACAACTCTTGGGTTCAAGCGATCCTCCTGCCTCAACCTCCTGAGTAGCTGGGACTACAGACACGTGCTATCATGCCCAGCTAATTTTTAATTTTGGTTGAGGTTTCATTATGTTGCCTAGGCTGATCTTGAACTCCTGGCTTCAAGTGATCCTCCTACCTTGGCCTCCCAGAATGCTGGGATTCCATGTGTGTGCCTGGCCTAGAAGTAGTGTTTCTTAAACCTTTTTTTTTTTTTTTTTTTTTTTGAGACAGAGTCTCACTCTGTTACCCAGGCTGGAGTGTAGTGCCGTGATCTTTACTCACTGCAACCTCTGCCTACCCGGTTCAAGCAATTCTTGTGCCTCAGCCTCCCGAGTAGCTGGGACTACAGGCGCCCACCACCATACCCGGCTAATTTTTGTATTTTTAGTAGAGTCGGGGTTTCACTGTGTTGGCCAGGCTGGTCTTGAACACCTTAGCCTCCCAAAGTGCTGGGATTACAGGCGTGAGCCACCATGCCCTGCCAAGAAATAGCATTTCTTTTTTTTTTTTTTTTTTTTGGACAGAGTCTCGCTCTGTCACCCAGGCTGGAGTGCAGTGGCACAATCTTGGCTCACTGCAACCTCTTCTCTCCCGGGTTCAAGCGATTCCTCGGCCTCAGCCTCCTGAGTATCTGGGATTACAGGTGCCTGCCACTACGCCCAGCTAATTTTTTGTATTTTTAGTAGAGACGGGGTTTCACCGTATTAGCCAGGACGGTCTTGATCTCCTGACCATGTGATCCGCCTGCCTCGGCCTCCCAAAGTGCTGGGATTACAGGCGTGAGCCACCATGCCTGGCAGAAATAGCATTTCTTAAGTTTAATAACATACCAAGCAAATCTGGTTGTGAATTTTATGGAATTAAATAAAGCACTGTATTTGGGACAGCTTAAGCATATATCATGGTAATATTCAGCCTCTTTTCTAAGGATCTATGCCATTTCTCCATGTAGTGCTTCCTAATTTGATTTTTTTTTTCTTTTTTTTTTGAGACAGAGTCTCCATCCCCAGGCTGGAGTCTAGTGGCGCGATTTTGGCTCACTGTAACTTCCGCCTCTTGGGTTCAAGCAATTCTCCTGCCTCAGCCTCCCAAGTAGTTGGGATTACAGGTGCGTTCTACCACGCCGAGCTAATTTTTTTGTATTTTTAGTGGAGATGGGCATTTGCCTTGTTGGCCAGGCTGGTCTCGAACTCCTGACCTCAGGTGATCCGCCCATCTCAGCCTCCCAAAGTGATGGGATTACAGGCGTGAGCCACCCTGCCTAGCTATTTTTGTTTTTTGAGGCAGGGTCTTAACCCCATCACCCAGGGTGGAGTGCAGTAGTGCAGTCAATGGCTCACTGCAGCCTAGACTTCCTGGGCTCAGGTGATCCTCCTCCCTCGAGCCTCTTGAGTAGCTGGAACTGCAGGTGCGTGCCACCACACCCAGCTAATTTTTGTGTTTCTTTTTTTTTTTTTTTTTTTTTTGTAGAGACAGGGTTTTGCCACATTCCTGAGGCTGGGGCTATGCTGTCTTTTTTTTTTTTTGAGACAGAGTCTCTGTTGCCCAGGCTGGAGTGCAGTGGTATGATCTCAGCTCACCGCAACCTCCACTCTTGGGTTCAAGCAATTCTCCTACCTCAGCCTCTCGAGTAGCTGGGACTACAGGTGCCTGCCACCAGACCTGGCTGATTTTTTTTTGAGACGGAGTCTTGCTGTGTCACCCAGGCTGGAGTGCAGTGGTGCCATCTCGGCTCACTGCAAGCTCTGCCTCCCGAGTTCACACCATTCTTCTGCCTCAGCCTCCCGAGTAGCTGGGACTACAGGCGCCCGCCACCACGCCCGGCTAATTTTTTGTGTTTTTAGTAGAGACGGGGTTTCATCATGTTAGCCAGGATGGTGGCGATCTCCTGACTTTGTGATCTGCCCGCCTTGGCCTCCCAAAGTGCTGGGATTACAGGCATGAGCTACCACACCCAGCCGGTTTTTGTATTTTTAATAGAGATGGAGTTTCACCATGTTGGCCAGACTGGTCTCGAACTCCTGACCTCAACTGATCTGTCCGCCTCAGCCTCCCAAAGTGTTGGGATCACAGATGTGAGCCACCACACTGGCCCTATGCTCTCTTTTAAATGTTGACTTCAATGGCTTGATGCTCAAAATTCGGAGTACACTGAGACTTATTTGTGTATTGAGTTTTCATTGTGGAAACTTACTAAACATATTGCATATGAGGAAACTACATAAAACAGTTGCACAGTCAACTGAAACATTGTAAAGGGAATGTCAGTCTCATGACAGCCAGGCCACGACTTTGAAGACTTCTCACCACATGCCCCACTTGAAATGATTCCTAGAAGCCAAATCATCCATTCTCTTTCCAGATGGGGCCAGTGTTATAGATTATAAGATAATTTCCTTGCTTTTCTTAACCTGTGTACTCAACCCTATGTCAATATATTTTATTTTAAGCCAGTCAGTTACATATTTCATTTTTGAATGAATCTTACGCAAGTGGCATTATACTGTGTGTACTATGGAATGTCAGGTTTCTTTTTTCTTTTTTTTTTTTTTGAGACGGAGTCTCGTTCTGTTACCCAGGCTGGAGTGCAGTGGCGCGATCTCGGCTCACTGCAAGCTCCGCCTCCCAGATTCACGCCAATCTCCTGCCTCAGCCTCCCGAGTAGCTGGGACTACAGGCGCCCACCACCACACCTGGCTAATTTTTCTTTTTTGTAGTTTTAGTAGAGATGGGGTTTCACCGAGTTAGCCAGGATGGTCTTTATCTCCTGACCTTGTGATCCGCCCACCTCAGCCTCCCAAAGTGCTTGGATTACAGGCGTGAGCCACTGCGCCTGGCCTTTTTCTTTTTCTTTTTTGTCTTTTTGAGAGGAATTGTCGCTCTGTCGCCCAGGCTGGAGTGCAGTGGCACGATCTCGGCTCACTGCTACCTCTGCCTCCTGGGTTCAAGCGATTCTCCTGCCTCAGCCTCCCAAGTAACTGGGACTACAGGTACGTGCCACCTTGCCCTACTCTTTTTTTTTTTTTTTTGTATTTTTATTAGAGATGGGGTTTCACCATGTTAGCCAGGATGGTCTCGAACTCCTGACCTTGTGATCCACCCGCCTCGGCCTCCCAAAGTGCTGGAATTACAGGCGTGAGCCACTGTGCCCAGCCAGCTTTCTTTTTTTACACTAGAATTTTCCATGAAAGGTTAGTTTATTTGCTTTTTTAATTCATAGTTTACAGAAAAATTTGGGAGCTATTACAGAGCCCCTTTTCCCTACCTCCCCTATTTTTTTTTTTTTTTTTTTGAGATGGAGTCTCGTTCTGTCACCGAGGCTGGAGTGTGGTGACAGGAGGCACGATCTCAGCTTACTGCAATGTCTGCCTCCTAGATTCAAGCGATTCTTCTGCCTCAGCCTCCGGAGTAGCTGGGATTACAGGCGCCCACCACCATGTCCAGCTAATTTTTTTTTGAATTTTTTTAGTAGAGACTGGATTGCGCCACATTAGCCAGGCTGGTCTTGAACTCCTGACCTCAGGTGATCCACCTGCCTCGACCTCCCAAAGTGCTAGGATTACAGACGTGAGCCACCACGCCTGGCCTACCTCCCCTATTTTTAACATACTGCGTTAGTGTAGTGTATTAGTTATGATTATAAACCAACATATTACATCTGATAATGATGAAAATTGGCAAACCAATAACATTATTATTAACTAAAGTTGATACTTTTTTTTTTGAGACAGGGTCTTGCTCTGTCGCCCAGACTGGAGTGTAGTGGCGCAATCATAGCTCACTGTAGCATTGACCTCTTGTACTCAAGTATCCTTCTGTGTCAGCCTCCCAAGTAGCTGGGATTACAGGCTTGTGCCACCACACTCGACTAGTTAAAATTTTTTTATTTTTTATTTATTTATTTTTTTTAGACAGAGTCTTGCTGTGTTGCCCAGGCTGGAATGCAATGGCGCAATCTTGGCTCACTGCAACCTCCGCCTCCTGGGTTCAAGCAATTCTCTGCCTCAGCCTCCCAAGTAGCTGGGATTACAGGTGCCCACCACCATGCCTGGCTAATTTTTTTGTATTTTTAGTAGAGATGGGGTTCCATCATCTTGTCCAGGCTAGTGTTTAACTCCTGACCTCGTGATCCACCCACCTTGGCCTCCCAAAGTGCTGGGATTACAGGCGTGAGCCACTGCGCCTGGCCAAATTTTTTTTTTTTTAATAGAGACAGGATTTCACTATGTTGTCCAGGCTGGTCTTAAACTCCTTGGCATTAAGCAGTCCTCCTGTCTTTGCCTCCTAAAGTGTTAGGATTACAGGTGTGAGCCACTGCACCGAGCTAATATTATTTTATATTTTACTTTATTTTGTATTTATATATTAACAGTGTAAATGTATATTCGTATGTTGAATGTGTGTTATACAATCATTTTATATTTTAACTTACTATTATTTTTTATTCTATTTAAAAAAATCTATTGAGACTTAGTTAACTTTTACCACTACTATTCGCCATAGTACCGGATGTTCTAGTCAGAGTAATTAGACAAGAAAAAGAAAAGATATCAGAATTGGACAGGAAGAAGGAAATTTTTTCCTGTTCACAAATTATGTGATTTTACATGTAGAACTTCCAAGAACTTCCCCCACCCCACACACGCACTTAGAAGTAATAAATGAATTAAGCAAATTGGTAGCATACAAATGGAACCTGCAAAAATCTGTTATTTTTATACATTGTCACTGAACAACCCAAAATGGAAATTAAGAAAACATTTTCTTTTCTTTTTTTTCTTTTTTTTTTTTTTTGAGACGGAGTTTCACTCTTGTTGCCCAGGCGGGAGTGCAATGGCGAAATCTCGGCTCACCGCAACCTCCGCCTCCCGGGTTCAAGTGATTCTCCTGCCTCAGCCTCCCCAGTAACTGGGATTACAGGCATGCGCCACCACACCTGGCTAATTTTGTATTTTTAGTAGAGACAGGGTTTCTCCTTTTTGGTCAGGCTGGTCTCGAACTCCCGACCTCAGGTGATCCGCCCCCCTCGACCTCCCAAAGTGCTGGAATTACAGGCGTGAGCCACCACGCCCGGCTTAGAAAACATTGTCTTCCATATACTTTAAATCATCTTTAGCTCACTTATAATACCTGATACAACATAAATTTTAGGTAAAATAGTTGTTATATTGTGTTGTTTAGGGAATAATAAAAAGAAGAAAAAGTCTGTACATGTTCAGTATATACCTAACCATCATAGACCTAATCACATAGTACATGATCAGAGGGTGGTCGAATCTGAGGATACAGAAACTCCAAGTATGGAGGGCTGACTGTAATACATCATTGGATGATAGATAAAGAAAATGTGTAATATCCATCCAGTGGAATATAATTCTACCATAAATACAAAGTGGGGATGCGTGCTACAACATGGATGTGACTTGAGAAACCTATAATGAAGCCAGTCACATACCACATGGCATGATTCTGATTATATGGAAGTCCATAATAGGAAAATCTATAGAGACCGAAAGATTGCTGCTTATCAAGGGCTGGGGACTGGCAGAAGAAGATGGGAGGATAGGAGATTGACAGGTAAAAAGTACATGGGCTTATTTTTGAGGTGATGAAAATTGTGATTATGATTGCACATATATACTAAAAACCATCTGTTAAAAGTATTAGGAGTTTTCAGGTTCATTCCAAATCTATATAATCTGTTACTGTTTTTCTTGTATTTACCAATGAGAATAAGACTTCAGGGCTGGATGTGATGGCTCACTCTATCGGCTTCCCAAAGTGTTGGGATTACAGATGTGAGCCACCTTGCCTGGCCAATACATATCTTATACGAAGTCCACAATACCATGGATACTCATCCATGTCCGAATTCTAGACAGTACTGATGGTAACCAAGGCCCTAATTTAACTTCTCAGAATATACAGTGCTGGGCTCCTAACTTCTCGGAATATACAGTGCAGGGCTCCTAAACAAGGCATTGGCTGAAGACCTCATTCATGACCATAATGGCTTACTAAAATAAGTTCAAATCAGTTGCATGAAATATGATATGGGCCAGGCGTGGTGGCTTACGCCTGCCATGTCAGCACTTTGGGAGGCCAAGGTAGGCAGATTGCTTGAGCCCAAGAGTTTGAGACCAGCCTGGGCAACATGACAAAACCCCGTCTCTACAAAAAATACAAAAATTTCCTGAGCATGGTGACATGTACCTGTAGTCCCAGATCCTTGGGAGGCTGAGGTGGAAGGATCACTTTAGCCTTGGAGGTTGAGGCTGCAGTGAGCTGTGATCATACCACTGCACTCCAATCTGGGTGACAAAATGAGACCCTGTCTCAAAAAAAGAAAAAACATGGTTCAGTGATTAGTTACTTTTCAGTCATGAGTCTCTTCATTTTAACTTTTTGTAACAGATTTTTTTCAGAACAGTTTTAAGTTTACAGAAAAATTGATCATTAAGTACAGAGTTATTTAATGATCACTCTTCTTTACGGTTTGCCCTATTTTTTTTTTTTTTTTTGAGACGGAGTCACGCTCTGTCGCCACTCTGGAATGCAGTCGCACAGTCTCAGCTCAGTGCAACCTGCACCTCCCGGGTTCAAGCAATTCTCCTGCCTCAGCCTCCCAAGTAGCTGGGACTACAGGCACGCACCACTCCGCCCAGCTAATTTTTGTATTTTTAGTAGAGATGGATTTCACCATGTTGGCCAGGATGGTCTCGATCTCTTGACCTCGTGATCTGCCTGTCTGAGCCTCCCAAAGTGCTGGGATTACAGGCGTGAGCCACCGCACCCGGCCAGTTTGCCCTATTTTTTATATATTGTATTACTGTGGTACATTTACTACAGTTGAACCAATATGGATGCATTAATGTTTACATTTTACATTAGAGTTGACTATTGTATATTCACTGGACTTTGACAATGTTTAATGACATGTGTTATTTCTGTTAGGGTAGTTTCACTGCCCTAAAAATCACCTATAGTTTACACATTCATTCATCTGCCCTTTGCATCCTGAAATCCCTTAAAACCAAAGACTTTTTCATGTCCCATAGTTTTGTCTTTTGCAGAATATCTTATAGTTGGTAATACATTGTATATGGCCTTTTTAGATTGGATTCTATCACTTAGTAACATACTTTTCTTTTTTTCTTTTTGAGACGGAGTCTCACTCTGTCACCCAGGCTGGAGTGCAGTGATGTGATCTTGGCTCACTGCAACCTCCGCCCCCTTGGTTCAAGCGATTCTCCTGCCTCAGCCTCCTGAGTAGCTGGGATTACAGGTGTCCGCCACCATGCCCGGCTGATTTTTTTATTTTTAGTAGAGATGAGGTTTCACCGTTTGGTCAGGCTGGTCTCAAACTCCTGACCTCAGGTGATCCTCCCGCCTCTGCCTCCCAAAGTGCTGGGATTACAGGTGTGAGCCACCACACCTGGCCCAGTGACGTACTTTTAAATTTCCTCTATGTCTTATCATGGCTTGATATCTTCTTTTCATCCATATGATTATATTTAATCATATGGATGTACTGCAGATTGTTCATTTGTTTATCAAGAATCTCTTGGTTAACTCTAAATTCTAGAAATTATGAATAAAACTCCCATAAACATCCATGTACAGGTTTTTGTGTGAACATGTTTTCAGCTTATTTTGATAAATACCAAGGAGCATGATTGTTAGGTTATATGTTGAGTATGTTTTGTTTAGTTTTGTTTTGAGACAGAGTTTTGCTCTGTCGTCCAGGCTGGAGTGCAGTGTCAAGATCTCGGCTTACTGCAGCCTCCACCTCCTGGGCTCAGACAATTCTCCTGCTTCAGCCTCTCGAGTAGCTGGGATTACATGCATGTGCCACCATGCCCAGCTAATTTTTGTATTTTTAGTAGAGACAAGGTTTCACCATGTTGGCCAGGCGGGTCTTGAACTCCTGACCTCAGGTGATCCACCCTCCTTGGCCTCCCAAAGTTGTGGGATTACAGGCATGAGCCACTGTGCCTGGCCGAGTATGTTTAGTTTTATAAGAAACTGACCATCTTCCAAAATAGGTGCACTGTTTTCCATTCCCACAAGTAACAAATGAGGGTTCCTATTGCTTCACATCTTTGCCATCATTTGGTGTTCTCAGTGTTTTAAATTTTAGCCATTCTAATAAAGGTTGTGTTAGTCTTTAATTTTTAAATTTGTAATTCCCCAGTGACAAAATATGCATGTTTTCATATGTTTATATGCCATCTATATATTTTATATAATCATGTCTTATGCAGCAAAGACAATTTTATTTCTTCCTTCTAAATCGATATACTTTTTATTTCCTCTGTCTTGTTGCTTATCTAGGACTTTAAGGATGTTGTTGAATAGTAGTGGTGAGAGAAGACATTCTTACCCTGTTTCTGGTCTTGTGTAGAAAGCATCTAGTTTCTCACTGTTAAGTATGATGTTAGCTGCAGGTTCCTCATTGATGTTCTTTCTGAGGAGGAAGTTCTCTATTCCCAGTTTGCCACCGTGAGTGGATGGTAGATTTTGTCAAATGTTCTTTAGTTTTTACTTTTGCCTCCTTTCATTTCTGATCTTAGTAATTTCTTTTTTCTTACCATGACTAGAGGTTTATCAGTTTTATTGGTGTTCTCCAATAACCGACTTCTGTTTTTTTTTTTTAATCTCTATTGATTTCCTGCCATTTCATTGACTTCTCCAATTATTCTGTCTGTCTGTCTGCTTACTTGGGTTTAATTTGCTCTCTTGTTTTTCTGTTTTCCTGAAGTAGACTCTTTTCTTTTTTCTGTTTTTTTTTTTTTTTTTTTTTTTGGAGACAGCAGCCTGCTGTGTCGCCCAGGCTGGAGTGCAGTGGCATGATCTTGGCTCACTGTAACCTCCATCTCCCAGGTTCAAGTGATTCTTGTATCTCAGCCTACTGAGTAGCTGGGATTACAGGCATGCGCCACCACACCCAGCTAATTTTTGTATTTTTAGTAGAGACGAGGTTTTACCATGTTGTCCAGGCTGGTCTCCAATTCCTGGCCTCAAGTAATCTGCCCGCCTTGGCCTCCCAAATTGCTGGGATTATAGGCGTGAGCCACTGCACCCAGCCCGAAGTAGACTCTTAGATGATTCATTATAAACCCTTGTTCTTTCCTGGTGTAGGTGTTCAATGCTGTAAATATTCCTCTATGCACTGCTTTTGCTGCATACCCTAATTTTTGATAAATTTTGTTTTCATTTTCATTTTAGGTCAAAAATTATTTTTGATTTCTCAGACTTCTTTGATCCATGTGCTTATTTAGAATTGTGTTGTTTAATCTCTAAAGATTTGGGGGAGTTGGTAACTATCTCTGTTATTGATTTCTAGATGAATGACTTGTGGTCTGAGCATACTTTGTATGATTTTTTAAAATTTTTCATATTAAGGTGTGTTTTATGCCCCAGTATTTGGTTTATTTTTGTGAATATTCCTGTGAACTTGAGAAGAATTTGTGTTTTGCTATTGTTAGATGAAGTATTCCATGCATTTCAATTAAATCCAGTTGTTTGATGATGCTATTTACTTTACTATGTCCTTTCAGATTTTCTGCCTGTTGGATCTCTTAATTACTGCTGGAGGGGTGCTGCAGTCTCCAACTATACAAGTAGATTAGTGTATTTTTTCTTTGCAGTTCTATCAGTTGTATTTTGCCACATGTATTTTGCAACGCTTGTTATGCAAACACACACTAAGGGTTGTCAGGTTTTCTTGGCATGTTGAGTCCTTTATCATTATGTGATGCTCACTTATATCTCTTTATTTATTTTAAAAATTTAATTTATTTTTTTTAGAGACAGAGTCTCACTGTGTCTCCCAGGCTGGAATGCAGTGGTGTGATCATATAGCTCTTTGCAGCCTTGAACTCCCAGGCTGCAGCAATCTACCTGCCTCAGCTTCTCAAGTAGCTGACTGCAAGTTTGTGATACCCCAACTGGTTAATTAAAAAAAAAATTTTTTTTTTTTTTTTTTTTTTTTTTTTGAGACGGAGTCTCGCTCTGTCGCCCAGGCTGGAGTGCAGTGGCGCGATCTCGGCTCACTGCAAGCTCCGCCTTCCGGGTTCACGCCATTCTCCTGCCTCAGCCTCCCGAGTAGCTGGGACTACAGGCGCCTGCTACCACGCCCGGCTAATTTTTTGTATTTTTAGTAGAGACGGGGTTTCACCGTGTTAGCCAGGATGGTCTCAATCTCCTGACCTCGTGATCCGCCCGCCTTGGCCTCCCAAAGTGCTGGGATTACAGGTGTGAGCCACCGCGCCCGGCCAAAAAAATTTTTTTTTTTAAATTTTTTTTATAGAGATGAAGGTCTCGCTGTTCCCCAGGCTGGAGTGCAGGGTCTATTCACAATAAATTATAGCGCATTATATCCTTGAACTCCTGGTCTCAGGTGATCCTCCATCTCAGCCTCCTAAGTAGCTGGGACCATAGGCATGTGCCACTGCACCTGGCTTATCTCTGTGTTTTTTCCTTTCTCTGAAGTGTACTTTGTGATATTAAGATAGCCATGCCATGTTTCTTTTAATTAATGTTAGCATTTTATATATTTCCCTATCCCTTTACTTTTAATATGTGTGTCTTTGTATTTAAAGTGGTTTCCTTTTAGCCAACATACTATGTTTTTAAAATCCACTATAACAGCATCTGTCTTCTAATTATATTTGGACTATTGACATTCAAAGTGATTATTGATACAGTTGTATTAATATCTACCATATTTTTTACTTTTTTCTATTAGTTGCCCTTGCTTTTGTTTCTTTTTTTGTCTCTGACCTTCCTTCTTGGGCTTTAATTGAGCATTTTACCTGAGGTGTGACATATTTTGTAATCATATGATTTGTTAGTGAGCCTTTGTTCCTGGCCTGGGTTGTGGCCTTCTGTGGTATTGTAAGAAAGATATGTGGTCTTTTTTCCTCAGTGCCTACCATGGTTCTCCTATTTTTTTTTTTATTTTTTTTGGAGACAGAGTCTTGCCACCCAGGCTGGAGTGCAGTGGCACAATCTCGGCTCACTGCACTTTCCACCTCCCAGGTTCAAGTGATTCTCCTGCCTCGGCCTCCCAGGTAGCTGGGGTAACAGGTGCGCGTCAACATGCTTGGCTAATTTTTGTATTTTTAGTAGAGACGAGGTTTCGCCGTGTTTCCCAGGTCAGACTCAAACTCCTAACTCAAATGATCCTGACTCAAGTGAACTCAAGTGATCTGCCTGCCTCAGGCTCCCAAAGTGCTGGGATTACAGACATGAGCCACCATACCTGGCCAGCATTCAGAATTCTTGTTAAAGGTTAGGGAAGCTATCATGTTGTTCTTCAGAAGACTTTGACCATTGTTAGATATTCATTATTCCTGCTACATTTGGAGAAGAACTTTTTGTTGACTCTTCAACAGTTTTTAGGGGATTTATAGAATTTAAAAAATATTTTGTAAGAGGCTATCTTGAGGACATTTCATTCTTTCTCAGAACCCATCTTTCCAGCCAGGTGTGGTGGTTTACACCTGTAATCCCAGCACTTTGGGAGGCTGAGGCAGGAATTTGAGATCAGCTTGAGCAACAAAGTAAGACCCCATCTCTACAAAAAATTTAAAAATTAGCTAGACATGGTGTCTTGCGACTATAGTTCTAGCTACTTGAGAGACTCAGGAGGGAGGATCACATGAGCCCAGGAGATCAAGGCTTCAGTGAGCTGTGATCATGCCACTGCACTCCAGTGTGGATGACGGAGCAAGTTCCCATTTCTAAGAAAACCAAAAGAACCCATCTTTCCCCTTATTTTATTTTGCCTTGACATTACACAATGTAGTATCACATAGTGACTGGTCAGGAATCATTTCCTCTTGAAATTTGAGAAAGAGGATTTTATGTTCTTTTGGAGAAAAGCACTGCTGATCCCTTCGTGTATTTTATAATCATGGTCAAATTCACCATCAAACCATCTGGACTTGAATGAAATCCCTCAGAAATTGCAACTCTTAACCTGTTCCTCAAGGTTAGCAAGTCATAGGGTACCTTGTTATGTATCTGCCAGAAAAAACTCTTCTGGCATTTTGTCTTCTTAGTATGTTTGTGTATGTAAGGTAAAAATAGGTGGGAAACTGCCCTTGACGTTCATGACTGGGGATTTTGCTGGGTGAGGGGGCGCTGCCTAAGTTGCCATACCTTCTTCTTCATGCCTGAGTTCTGTCTTCCCAGTAGCTTCCTAGCCTAGTGAAATGGGACAGAGTCAAAGGAATCAGTGAGTCTATAACAAATGTTATACATGCAGGTTAAAATGACTTCTTTTGCAGAGGAATATTTTCTTTCAACCAACTTGATCTGTCTACGTCTGATGGCCTGGAATCCTTCAGGAAAGTGTGGTCAGCTGGATTTTGTCAGAACGTGGATTTCTACGGGCCTTCTGGCCTCTCATGTTTGATGAAGGGAACAGAAGAAAATGGTTTCACTTCTTCAGTGTATATTTATTTATTCATGGATACCTTTTTCAGTTTTTATCCTGTGTTTCTTTTTTTCTTTCTTTCTTTCTTTTTTTTTTTTTTTTTGAGACAGAGTTTTGCTCTTGTCACCCAGGCTGGAGTGCAGTGGCACAATCTCTACTCACTGCAACGTCCGCCTCCTGGTCTCAAGCGATTCTCCTTCCTCAGCCTCCCAAGTAGCTGGTATTACAGGTGCCCACCACCACGCCCAGTGAATTTTTTGTATTTTTAGTAGAGACAGGGTTTTGCCATGTTGGGCTGGCTGGTCTCAAACTCCTGATCTCAGGTGATCCGCCTGCCTCTGCCTCCCAAAGTGTTGGGATTACAGGCATGAGCCAGTGCGCCTGGCCTACCCTGTGTTTCATGGAATGCTGATTGGTGTGAGATATGAAAGGAAATGGAAGTTTTTCCTGGTAGGAATGATGATCTTAAATTTTTTTTTTTTGAGACTTAGTCTCTCTCTGTCCTCCAGGCTGGAGTGCAATGGCATGATCTCAGCTCACTGCAACCTCCGCTTCCTGGGTTCAAGCTATTCTCCTGCTTCAGCCCCCCGAGTAGCTGGGATTACAGGTGCATGCCACCATGCCCGGCTAATTTTTTTGTATTTTTGGTAGAGACGGGGTTTCACTGTGTTGGTCAGGCTGGTCTCAAACTCCTGACCTTGTGATCCTCTTGCCTCAGCCTCCCAAAGTGCTGGGATTACAGGTGTGAGCCACCAGGCCTGGCCAAAATTTGTTTTCTTTGTATAGCATTTTATTTGTTTCTCCAAGGTGAACTGGATCCTGCCATTAGAGACCAATAAAACTTGTAGTGACTACAGTAAAAATGTAGAGATCAGTTGCATGTTTTCATGGGGTAATTAAATTTATGAGAAAGTGAATGTAGACGGAATTCTGACAACCATATTTATTTATCATAAAATAAATGTTTGGAGACTGCCACATCGTTTTGTCGACTTTTTTGTTTTGTTTTTTGTTTGTTTGTTTGAGATGGGGTCTCTCTCTGTCAGCCAGGCTGAAGTGCAGTGGCGTGATCTTGGTTCACCGTAACCTCTGCCTCCCTTGTTTAAGCGATTCCCCTGCCTCAGCCTCCTGAGTAGCCGGGATTAACAGGCATACGCCACCACGCCCAGCTAATTCATATATCTGTAGTAGAGATGGGGTTTCACCATGTTGACCGGGCTGGCCTCAAGTTCCTGACCTCAGGTGATCTGTATGCCTTGGCCTCCCAAAGTGCTGGGATTACAGGCATGAGCCACCACACCTAGCCATTTGTGAACTTTTATGAATTGGGTTTACATCCCTGTACTGTCATCTCATTCTTCCTCCTGCATTGCATATTTGGGATGTTTTAGGACTCAGTGGCCTCTGAGGATGTGGCTGTGAACTTCACACTTGAGGAGTGGGCTTTGCTGGATCCTTCCCAGAAGAAACTCTACAGAGATGTGATGCGGGAAACCTTTAGAAACCTGGCCTGTGTAGGTAAGGATGACATCATTCCTTCTTTTAGTCAGTTAGAGAAGAAGTATTTCTTGCTTTTTAATGCTTTTTCATGATGTCTAATGTGGAAAAGGGAATACTTGGGTGAATAAATCAGGGTTGTTTGCACCTTATCATGAACTTAGAATCTAGTCATTTTTCTGTAATGTCTATCAGTTCATAAGGATTTTTTCTGACTATATTTTAGGAAAAAAATGGGAAGACCAGAGCATTGAAGATTGGTACAAAAATCAGGGGAGAATTTTAAGGTAATTTGCACTGACAAGATAAAGCAATGTCTCCTTCTTAGTATGTCATGAAATTTTAAAAATAAGTAAACAAACCAGTAAGCCCAGCTTCAGATTTATTTATTCCTACAACTTTTTCACCAGAAAAAGAAAAAGTGGCATAGATGTTCAGTGTTGCAAAATCATTCACTTGGAAATAGTATTAAGAAACTGTATATATGGATATCACTTTTTTGGTGATAGCTACTGTCAAGCTCTCTTGCAGAGCATTCCATCCATTCACTTTCAAACAATTCATACAGGCCTGAAAACTTACCCTTTCCGCGATTATGGTAAAAATGTAAGTCGAATACCTATTAATAAATATAAAGTCACAAACCACTAAATCTTGCTTTCTATTTTTTCCAGAAATCATATGGAAGAGGGACTCAGTGAAAGTAAAGAATATGATCAATGTGGAGAAGCCTTCAGTCAGATTCTCAATCTTAATCTGAACAAGAAAATTCCTACTATAGTAAGACCATGTGAATGTAGTTTGTGTGGGAAAGTCTTCATGCATCATTCATCCCTTAGTAGGCACATCAGATCTCACCTTGGACACAAACCATATGACTATCAGGAATATGGAGAGAAACCATATAAATGTAAGCAGTGTGGGAAAGCCTTCAGTTCTTGTCAATCCTTTCGAAGACATGAAAGAACTCACACTGGTGAGAAACCCTATGCATGTCCGGAATGTGGGAAAGCCTTCATTTCTCTCCCAAGTGTTCGAAGACACATGATTAAGCACACTGGAGATGGACCATATAAATGTCAGGAATGTGGGAAAGCCTTTGATCGCCCAAGTTTATTTCAGATACATGAAAGAACTCACACTGGAGAGAAACCCTATGAATGTCAGGAATGTGCAAAAGCTTTCATTTCTCTTCCAAGTTTTCAAAGACACATGATTAGGCACACTGGAGATGGACCTTATAAATGTCAGGAATGTGGAAAAGCCTTTGACCGCCCCAGTTTATTTCGAATACATGAAAGAACTCATACTGGAGAGAAACCCCATGAATGTAAACAGTGTGGGAAGGCCTTCATTTCTTTCACAAATTTTCAAAGTCATATGATTAGGCACACTGGGGATGGACCTTATAAATGTAAAGTATGTGGGAGAGCCTTTATTTTTCCCAGTTATGTTCGAAAGCATGAAAGAACTCATACTGGGGAGAAACCCTATGAATGTAATAAATGTGGTAAAACCTTCAGTTCTTCCAGTAATGTTCGAACACATGAAAGGACTCACACTGGAGAGAAGCCCTATGAATGTAAGGAATGCGGGAAAGCCTTCATTTCTCTCCCAAGTGTCCGAAGACACATGATAAAGCACACTGGAGATGGACCTTATAAATGTCAGGTATGTGGTAGAGCCTTTGACTGTCCCAGTTCATTTCAAATACACGAAAGAACTCACACTGGAGAGAAACCCTATGAATGTCAGGTATGTGGGAAAGCCTTCATTTCTCTTAAAAGGATTAGAAAACATATGATACTGCACACTGGAGATGGACCTTATAAATGTCAGGTATGTGGTAAAGCCTTTGACTGTCCTAGTTCTGTCCGAACACATGAAAGAACTCATACTGGAGAAAAACCCTATGAATGTAAAGAATGTGGGAAAGCATTCAATTATGCCAGTTCCATTAGAATACATGAAAGAACTCATACCGGAGAAAAACCCTATGAATGTAAGCAATGTGGAAAAACGTTCAGTTATTCCAGTTCCTTTCAAAGACATGAAAGAGCTCATAATGGAGATAAACCTTACGTAAAGAATGTGGGAAAGCTTTCATTTATCACACAACCTTCGAATACCTGTGAAAATGAATAGTGGAGGACAGGTCTACAAGTATCTACATATCTAAAGAATATGGAAAGTCTTCAGTTTGCTTTCTGGGTTTCAGACTTGTTTGGGAGCTCACCCCTTTCTCCTGTTTCTCACTTTTGGAATAGGAATCTCTATCCTGTGCCTGTCTCATATTTTGGAAATACATGACTAGTTTGGTTTTCACCGGTTCGGAGCTGAAGAAGAATTTTGCCTCAGCATGAATTGAGTCTCATCCATATCTGAGTGATGTGATATTGAGATGACACTTTGGAGTTTGAGTTTAAACATTAGGCTTCATGCTGGAATTAACTGAGACTTTTGAGGCCTTTGGGATGAGATGAATATATTTTACATGTGATGACATGGATTTTGGGGGCCAGAGGTGTAATGTTTTGGCTGAGTGTATGCCACCTCAGATTCATATGTTGAAACCTTACCCCCGTGCCCCCCCTCTCCCCCACAATGTGATGGTATTTGGAGGCCCTGTCTCTGGTGGTTTTTAGGATTGGAGGACATCATGAAGATGGAGGCCTTGTAATTGGGATTAGTTTCCTGATAGGAATCCCTAGAGAGCTAGCTTTGCCCTTCACCATGAGAGGGTGCAGTGAGAAGATAGCTATCTTTGAACCGGGAAGCAGGCCCTTACCAGACATGGACTATGCCAGTGCCTTGATATTGGACTTCCCAGCCTCCCAAACCATGAGAAATAAATGTTTGTTGATTAATTAAGCTTTCCAATTTATGGTATTTTGTTTTAGCAACCCAAGCTAAGACACAATCCAATTTTAAAATGGAGGAAAGGACTTGAATAGACATTTCTCCAAAGAAGATACCCAGATGGCCAATAAGCACGTAACAATGCTCGACATCTTTAGTCATTAGGGAAATACAAATCAAACTCAAGACATACATAGCATCTCATTAGGATTAGTAGTATCAAAGATGGAAAACAAGAAATACTGTCAAGGATGTGGAATGTTGGAGAACATTGTGCACTATCACTGGGAATGTACAGTGGTATAAGCCTGCTGAAAACAGTATGGCAGATCCCCAGATTAAAATATAGAAATAACATATGATCAGCATTTCCATTTCTGGGAAAATAAAAAGATTGAAAGCAGGGCCGGGCGTGGTGGATCACGCTTGTAATCCCAGCACTTTGGGAGGCCGAAGCAGGCGGATCACAAGGTCAGGAGATTGAGACCATCCTGGCTAACATGATGAAACCCCGTCTCTACTAAAAAAAAATTAGCCGGGCGTGGTGGCAGGCGCCTGTAGTCCCAACTGCTCGGGAGGCTGAGGCAGGAGAATGGCATGAACCCGGGAGGCAGAGCTTGCAGTGAGCTGAGGTCGCGCCACTGCACTCCAGCCTGGGTGAGAGAGCAAGACTCCGTCTCAAAAAACAAAACAAAACAAAAAAGATTGAAAGCAAAGTCTCAAATAGGTTTTGTACACCTGTGTACATAGCATCATTCACAATAGGTAAACTCTGGAAACTACTCAGGTTTTCATCAACAGATGAATAAACAAAAGGAAGTTTATACATACAAGAGAATATTACTGAGTCTTACAAAGTAAGGAAATTTACAAATATGCTGCAAGATGAACCTTGACGTGCTAAGTGAAATGGGCCATTCATGTAAAGACAATACGGTATGATTCTACTTATATCAGGTATCTAGAGTAGTCATATTGATAGAAAAAGTACAATACCATTTGCCAAAGGTTAGGGAAATTGGGTAATGGATAGTTATTTCATGGGCATAGAGTTTCAATTTTGCAAGATAAAAAGGGTTCCAGAGGTGGATGGTGGTGATGGTTGCACACTAGTATGAATGTTCTTAATGGCACTGAACTGTACACTTAAAATTGATTATGATGGTGAATTTTATGTATGTTTTACACACAAAAAAGGGAGAAAAGACCACAGTACTGCATAGACCTTGTGGGACCTTCAGCATACCAAGACACTCTAGGTCTCTCTTTTTTTTTTTTGAGATAGGGTCTTGCTCTGTCGCCCAAGCTGGAGTGCAGTGGTGAGATCTTGGCTCACTGCACCCTCTGCCTCCCAGATTCAAAGGCTTCTCATGCTTCAGCCTCTTGAGTAGCTGGGATTACAGGTGCGCACCACCACACCCAGCTAATTTTTGTATTTTTAGTAGAAACGGGATTTCGCCATGTTGGCCAGGCTGGTCTTGAACTCCTGATCTCAAGTGATCTGTCCGCCTCGGCCTCCGATAGTGCTGGGGTTACAGGCGTGAGCCACTGCGCCTAGTCTCTAGGTCTCTTTCCTACTTGTTCTCAGCACTGTTTTTTTCGTTTTTCTATCCATGAGGGACCTGTTCCTACACAGTCCATTTGGATTTTAGTAGGCATTTAGATTTGATCCCCAGGATTGACTTCCCTGTCTCCTCCCCCCTTCACTGTAGACCTGGACCTCACTCCCAGACCCAGGGCCTATGATAACCACTTCCCTTTATTGAAGAGGGATACTTTTAATTTCCTCTGCACACTATTCACAGACATGTATATCAAATATATATCTGATAATTTAAGCAAATAGAAATTCTTTGCTCGGAAATCTTTAAGAATATGAGAAGAAATAGCAGCATATAGTGTCCAGAAAAGGTGGGAGAGAACTTCTTAGGTATGGAAAGTTTATGTAATAGGTAATGTGTAACTATTTACCACTAATTCTGTACCTGGGGTAAAGGTGGTGTTCAAGAAATGGAGAGCCAGGCCTGGTGTGGTGGCTTATGTCTGTAATCCCAGCACTTTGGGAGTCCGAGGCAGGCAGATCACTTAAGGCCAGGAGTTCGAGACCAGCCTCGCCAACACAGCGAAACCCTATTTCCACTAAAAACAGAAAAATTAGCTGGGTGTGGTGGTGCACACCTGTAATCCCAGCTACTTGGGAGGCTGAGGCAAGATAATTGCTTGAACCTGGGAGGCAGAGGTTACAGTGAGCTGAGATCACGCCACTGCACTCCAGCCTAGGTGACAGAGCCAGACTCCATCTCAAAAAAAAAAAAAAAAAAAAGCAGTGGATAAATAAGTCACTGCTTGCACAATAAAGAAATAAATGGGCCAGGCACAGTGGCTCATGTCTGTAATCCAGCACTTTGGGAGGGTAAGGCGGATGGATCACGAGGTCAGGAGTTTGAGACCAGCCTGGCCATCATGGTGAAACCCCAACTCTACTAAAAATACGAAAAATTAGCCATGCATGGTGGCTGACGCCTGTAATCCCAGCTACTCAGGAGGCTGAGGCAGGAGAATTGCTTGAACCCAGCAGGCGGAGGTTGCAGTGAGCCAAGATTGCACCACTGCACTCTAGCCTGGGCGACAGAGTGGGACCCCATCGCAAAAAAAAAAAAAAAAACAAAAAACAACTCTGCAAGGAAATGAAGCAAGTGATCCCTCTTGGAGTGGATTTCATGAAGTACCTTTAAATGGCAGAACATCAGGTTTCCATTTCCAAAATTATTTTTCTTCATGCTCTGACTGAAATAGTGACTGGTGTTGGAGAAACGGGTGGAAGATAGCGTAATAAACCAAATTGTTCTTTCTAGTGGGGAAAGCATGAATCACCCAAAACTAATAATCACGGAATTTACTTACATGGTATGGAAGAATAAGCAACCATAGAAGAAATCAGAATAGTTGTCACAGAACTAATTTACAAGCATTAGTGCTGTTTCCCAGGCCAGGTTCTATCTTGTTCTCAAGGAATAGTTACATCTTCAGTGTAAATTATGGGTACCATTGAGAGAAGTTTTACTTTCTACTTTATGAAAATGATGATGATGACAATAATACCGCAACATGAGTACTGCTAATGGAAACACTTTATGCCCAGGCACAGTGGCTCACGCCTGTAATCCCAGTACTTTGGGAGGCCGAGGTGTGCAGATAGCTTGAGGTCAGGAGTTCAAGACCAGCCTGGCCTACGTGGTGAAACCCCGTCTCTTATTAAAAATATAAAAATCAGCCGGGTGTGGTGGTACACGCCTGTAATTCCAGCTACTCGGGAGGCTGAGACAGGAGAATCGCCTGAACCTGGGAAGCGGAGATTGCAGTGAGCTGAGATCATGCCACCGCACTTCAATCTGTGTGACAGAGTGAGACCCTGTCTCAAACAAAACAAAGCAAAACAAAACGCTTCAGACAGAATTACTGTCAAGCACGTCACGATGCACCTTCTGTGGGTTATCTTACTACATTTTACCTGTCTACTGATGCCCCAGCGTGGCCACAGCCTGAACTGCAGCACCTTCCTGCAGATACCCCTTTTTTAGTGAACAAGTAAATGCTGCTTCTAGTCCCCTTGGTACTAGGTCTGTGCAGAGCACAGAGAAAGATGAATCCAGCCAGAGACTGCCCCAGAGTAACTCCCAGAGGTGGAATGAGTGAGATAATGCTGGGATTGAGATGTTTGATGTAATCTCATGTCTGTTTTTGCTTTTGCTGCCCGTGTGTTTGAGTTCTTATCCACAAAGTCCTTGCACAGACAAGGTCATGTAGAATTTTACTGTTTTCCTTTAGTAGTTTTACAGTTTCAAGTCTTACATGTAAGTCCGTAATCCATTTTGAGTGGATTTTTGTATATGGTGAAAGATAGGGGTCCAGTTTCAATGTTCTGCATGTTGATAATCCAGTTTTCCCATCACCATTCATTGAAGAGACTGTCCTTTCTCCAGTCTGTGTTTTTGGCACCTTTGTCAAAAATCGTTGGTAAGTGTGTGAATTTATTTCTGGTTTCTCTATTCTGTTCCACTGGTCTGTCTATGTTTATGCCAGTACGGTGCTTTTTTGGTTACTTTAGATTTGTAGTCTATTGTGAAGTCATACTCAAGATTGCTTTGGCTATTTTTGTGGTTCCATATGAATTTTAGGATAATTTTTTCGATTTCTGTGAAGTATGGCTCTTGTATTTTGATAGGGATCACACTTGAATCTGCAAATTGCTTTGGGTGGTATGGACATTTGAAGAATATTCTAAGCTGGGCATGGTGGCTCACATCTGTATTCCCAGCACTTTGGCAGGCAGAGGCAGAAGGATCACTTGAGCCCAGTAGTTTGAGACTAGCCCAGGAAACAGTGAGACCTCGTCTCTACAACAAATTTTTAAAAAATTAGCTGGGCGTGGTGGTGTGTGCCTGTAGTCCCAGCTGAGGCAGGAAGGTTACTTGAGCCCGGAACATCAAGGCTGCAGTAAGCTGTGATCACAGCACTGCACTCCAACCTGGGGTGACAGAGTGAGACTCTGTCTCAAAACAAAAAAAAAAAAAAGAAAAGAAAAATATTAATTCTTTCAGTCCATGAACACAGAATATCCTCCTATTTATTTGTGTCCTCTTCAATTTATTTCACCGGCATTTTATAGTTTTTATTGTAGAGCTCTTTCACCTCTTTGGTTATATTTATTCCTAAATATTTTATTTTTGTAGCTATCATCTATGGAATTGGTTTCTTGATGCCTTTTTCTAATAGTTTGCTGTTGGCATATAGAAACACTACTGAATTTTTTTTTTTTTTTTTTTTTTTGAGACAGAGTCTCGCTCTCTTGCCCAGGCTAGAGTGCAGTGGCACGATCTCGGCTCACTGCAACCTCTGCCTCCCAAGTTCAAGCGATTCTCCTGCCTCAGCCTCCCGAGTAGCTGGGACTACAGGCATCTGCCACCATGCCTGGCTAATTTTTTTTTTTTTTATATATTTTTAGTAGAGATGGGGTTTCACCATATTGGCCAGGCTGGGGCCACTACTGATTTTTATATGTTGATTTTCATATCCTTCAACTTTGCTGCATTTGTTTTAGTTCTAACAATTTTTTGGTGGTGTCTTTAGGGTTTTCTTTTTTCTTTTTCTTTTTTTTTTTTGAGACAGAGTCTCGCTCTGTTGCCAGGCTGGAGTGCAGTGGCACGATCTTGGCTCACTGCAGCCTCCGCCTGTCAGGTTCAAGCAATTCTCCCGCCTCAGCCTCCTGAGTAGCTGGGATTACAGGCGTCTGCCACCACGCCCAGCTAATTTTTGTATTTTTAGTAGAGACGGGGGTTTCACCATGTTGGTCAGGCTGGTCTTGAACCCCTGACCTTGTGATTCACCCGCCTCAGCCTCCCAAACTGCTGGGATTACAGGCGTGAGCCACCGTGCCCGGCAAGGTTTTCTATATATACAATCTTGTCCGCAAAAATGTAATTTTACTTCTTCTTTTCCAATTTGGTTGGCTTTTCTCCTTCCTTCCCTCCCTTCCTTTGTTGTTCTTTTTTGTCTAATAATTCTGATGAGGGCTTCCAATACAACATTGACTAGAAGTGGTGGGAGTGCTTATCTTATTCCAGATCTTAGAGAAAAAGCATTCCATTTTTTTCCTGTTCAGTATGATGTTTGCCGTAGGTTTGTCATATAAAGCTTTCATTGTGTTGAGATATGTTCCTTCTATACCTAATTTGTTGTGAGTTTTTTTTGTTTTGTTTTGCTTTGTTTTGTTTGAGACGGAGTCTCACTCTGTCGCCAGGCTGGAGTGCAGTGGCACGATCTCAATTCACTGCATCCTCTGCTTCCTGGGTTCAAGTGATCCTCCTGCCTCAGCCTCCCGAGTTGCTGGGACTACAGGCATGTGCCACCACGCCCAGCTAATTTTTTGTATTTTTAGTAGAGATGGGGTTTCACCATGCTGGCCAGGATGGTCTCGATCTCTTGACCTCATGATCCCGCCTCGGCTTCCCACAGTGCTGGGTTTACAGGCATAAGCCACTGCGCCCGGCCCTGTTGTGAGTTTTTATCATGAATATATGGAATGTTATCAAGTCATTTTCTGCATATATTGAAATGATATTTTTTTCTTGTTGATTCTGTTACTGTGATGTATCACGTTTATTGGTTTCCATATGTTGAACTATCCCTACACCCATGGGATACATCCTACTTGGTCAGGGTGAATGGTCTGTTCAATGTGCTGTTGAATTCAGTTTGCATGTATTTTGTTGAGGATTTTTACATCTATGTTAATCAGGGATGTTGGCCTGTACTTTTTAGTTGTGTTTGTTTGGTAGAATTCAGCAGTGAAGCCATCAGGTCCTGGGCTTTTCTTTGATGGGACACTTTTTATTACTGATTTAACCTCATTACTTCTTATTAGTCTGTTCAGATTTTCTATTTCTTCACGACGCAATTTTGATAGGTTGTACGTGCCCAGGAATTTATCTATTTCTTCTAGGTTTTCCAATTCATTGGTGTGTAGTTGTTCATAATAGTCTGTTTTATAATTCTTTCTATTTCTTTAGTATAAGTTGGAATGACCCTGTTTTTTTTGTTGTTTTGTTGTTGTTTTGAGACAGTCTTGTTCTGTCGTCCAGGCTGGAGTGCAGTGGTGCGATCTCCGCTCACTGCAACCTCCCCGTCCCGTGTTCAAGTGATTCTCCTGTCTCAGCTTCCTGAGTAGCTGGGATTACAGGCATGCGCCACCATGCCCAGCTAATTTTTTGTATTTTTAGTAGAGACGGGGTTTTACCATGTTGGCCAGGCTTGTCTTGAACTCCTGACCTCAAGTGATCCTCCTTCCTCAGCCTTCCAAAGTGCTGGGATCATAGGCGTGAGCCACCACACCCAGCCAACTCCTTTTTTTTCTTTTTCTTTTCTTTTCTTTTTTTTTTTTTTGAGATGAAGTCTCGCTCTTGTCTCCCAGGCTGGAGTGCAATGGCACGATCTCAGCTCACTGTCACCTCTGCCTCCCCAGTTGAAGCGATTCTCCTGCCTCAGACTCCCGAGTAGCTGGGATTACAGGTGCCCGCCACCAAGCCCAGCTAATTTTTGTATTTTTAGTAGAGACGGGGTTCACCATGTTGGCCAGGCTGGTCTCGAACTCCTGACCTCAGGTGATCCACCCGCCTGGCCTCCCAAAGTGCTGGGATTATAGGTGTGAGCCACCATGCCCGGCCAACTCCTTTTTTTTCACATCTGAATTTCTTTATTTGAATCTGCTATTTTTATCTAGTGAGTCAGGCTAGAGCTTTGCTGATTTTACCTTTTTAAAAAAACTCTTCATTTTGTTGATCTTTCTTTCTTTTTTTTTTTTTTTTTTGAGACAGAGTCTTGCTTTGTCACCCAGGCGGGAGTGCAGTGGCGCGATCTCGGCTCACTGTAACCTCTGCCTCCCAGGTTGAAGTGACTCTCCTGCCTCAGCCTCCGGAGTAGCTGGGACTACAGGCACCTGCCACTATGCCTGGCTAATTTTTTTTTTATGTATTTTTAGTACAGACGGGATTTCAACGTGTTAGTCAAGATGGTCTCGATCTCCTGACCTCATGATCCGCCTGCCTTGGCCTCCCAAAGTGCTGGGATTACAGGCGTGAGCCACCACGCCTGGCCTTGTGTTGTTTTTTCATCTCTATTTCATTTATTACAGCAAATACTACTACCTCACCAGTGTGGTTGCCCAGATGATTTATGATGTTAATAAGCTATAGCAACTCAAAGATAACTTGTGCTAATCATGAGAATCACTCTGTATCCTGCCAACTATACCAATTGTAATAATTTAGGATCTTTAAAATGGAGAGCACCCTTTCAATGATTACGAGAGACATAAGATGGAAATAAGGATTTTATTACTTACAGGTCCTGGAGGATACACAGTATACACGGAGGCCACACACACAGAGGGACCACATGGAGAGAAAGGGAGAAATGGATGAACCCATGGGTCAGTACCTTTATTAGAGTCCAGGGTGTTACCGAAAGTTTCCCCTAGGGATACAGCCGGGCGAGGTGCCTCACGTATGTAATCCCAGCACTTTGGGAGGCGAAGGCCGGTGGATCACGAGGTCAGGAGATCAAGACCATCCTGGCTAACACGGTGAAACCCCAACTCTGTTAAAAATAGAAAAAATTGGCCGGGCGTGGTGGTACGTGCTTATAGTCCCAGAGACTTGGGAGGCTGAGGCAGGAGAATTGCTTGAAGCTGGGAGGTGGAGGTTGCAGTGAGCCGAGAGCATGCCACTGCACTCCAGTCTGGGCGACAGAGCGAGACGCCGACTCAAAAACAAACAAACCAAAAAAGACACAAAAGTTTCCCCTAGGGAATTTTAATTGATGGGTTTAAAGCAAGCAGGCACAAGTTCAAGGAGATCACAGTGTGACTGAGAGGTGGTTACTGTAGCACACCTACACAGTTCATATGAAGCGTGGGGGTCAGTGAGGCCAGTATGAACGTTATATCTGGCTGTCCTATAACGAGGTGGTCACTGGGTATCAGTTGTCTAAGGCAGATATATGGATTCACTACATTAAGGAACTGGGAGGAGGTGGAGAACTGGAAACAGTGTTAACAGTGAATAAACCCTGCTTCTCCTATGAGAAAGTTAAACTTGTATTTAAAATGGATGTCAAGGCAACATAAAATTATAAGAATTCACTACAAGTTTTGAGAATCAGTGAAATCCAACCATGGTTCACAGGGTTAATCGCTTTCTTAACAACCTATGAAAGTTAAATCAGCCAGGCACAGTGGCTCACGCCTGTAATCCCAGCACTTAGGGAGGCTGAATCAGAAGAACTGCTTGATTTCAGGAGTTTGAGACCAGCCTGGGCAATATAGTGGGACCTCATCTCTACCAAAAATTTAAATATTAGCCAAACATGTTGGTGCACACCTGTAGTCCCAGCTACTCAAGGGGTTGGGGTGGGAGGATTGCTTGAGCCCAGGAGGTGGAGGTTGCAGTGAGCCAAGATTAAGCCACCGCACCCCAGCATGGGTGACAGACTAAGACCCTGTCTCAAAAACAAACAGAAATGGTAAATCATGTAAATAAAAGCAAACAACATGTTATTTTTATATCTATTAATTGCATATAGTCCTCCAGAAAACCGATTTGAGTCATTTTCCAGAAAGGGAGTCAGTGGAGCTCCTTGTAGTGAGGGCACGTTAATATCTGTATACTCTCCCTGGGGTGTGGATGTTTTAGGGTTGTGCTGAGATCTCCAATGTTTACAGCAGGTTGATGGTCAGCTTAAAATATTCTGTGTTGGCTGGGCGCGGTGGTTCATGCCTGTAATCCCAGCACATTGGGAGGCTGAGGCGGGTGGATCATTTGAGGTCAGGAGTTCGAGACCAGCCTGGCCAACATGGTGAAACCCTGTCTCTACTAAAAATGCAAAAAAATTAGCAAGGTTTGGTGAGGCATGCCTGTAATCTCAGCTACTCTGGAGGCTGACCAGGAGAATCGCTTGACGTGGGAGGTGGAGGTTGCAGTGAGCTGAGATCATGCCACTGCACTCCAGCCTGGGTGACTCCATCTCAAAAAAAAAAGTGAGACTCCATCTCAAAAAAATAAATAAAATAAATTTTCTGTGTCCTCAATGATCAGGTGGTGACACAGGTTTGGGGGAACAGAAGCAAATACAATGAATGAGGTTCCTACTCAAGATATCACAGTCTATCCTGGAAGACAAATGCAAATGATTATATCAGAGGATCTGAGAGAATCACAGGTGTATTCAACCTGAGTCCTCTTTGAAAGGGACAGTTATTTATACAATGCTTAATGTTTAGCTACAGAAATAATTGGGTGGGTCAATGGTGGTGGGGTGGGGTTGAGAGAGATTCAGATGGATAAACTGGACATGAACATCCCCAGCCACAGAGCACCTGGTGACAACCATGTACTGTGAAGGTCAGGTGGCCACTGAAACAGAGAAAAAAGGGAAGAGCTCACATTTGATTAGTTCTTTTCATAAGTGTTAATGTGAAAATAATAGTTCGCTAGCATCTTTGTTTTCTAAAAGGAATGCTTATTTGCCAATTTTAAAATATATTTATTTAAATCTTTTTAGAGACAGAGTCTAACTCTGTTGCCCAGGCTGGAGTGCAGTGGCACAATCTTGGCTCGCTGCAGTGCTGACCTCTTAGGCTCAAGTGATCCTCCTGCCTCAGCCTCCTGAGTAGCTGGGACCATGGATGCGCATCACCATGCACTGCTAAGTTTTTAAATTTTTTTCTAGAGGTGAAAATCTATGCTGCCCAAGCTGGTCTTGAATTCCTGGGCTCAAGCGATCCTCCCACTGCAGCCTCCCAAAGTGCTGGGATTACAGGCACAAGCCATTACTTACGCCCACTCCAGTGTTTTAATCCATATAAAATATTTTAAGATTTTCTTCCTCTGATTTGTATGTAAACACAGGAGGAAACGTAGGACTTTGCTGGTTTCTTTCTCATACAGTACGATAGAGAGTCTTTGTCTCATGTAGCTGATCAGTGCTGGTGAGAAGCAGGTGAAGAACCTGCAGTGGGCAGCAGCGCCTGCAGCCAGTGACTCCAACCTGAGGCCAGTCTGGAGCCTGCAAAGGGAGGGAAATGGAGCTCCTCATGTGGCTTTCTGGGCAGCCTGTTGTCTCCGTAGGTGGCCTCTGGTTGCTCAGAACAGCTACAGGAGTGCAGATTCTGAGAAGCAGAGCCCTGGAAAGCAAAAGATTCATGTGAAGACATGCTTGGGGTGTTCTGTCCTTTCTCAGGCTAACTATTTTCTGGGCAATGTGTTTGTTTTGGCATACATAGGGTCATTGTGGTCCAACTGTAATTTGTATATGTGAAGTAAATCTGGCATGGTCAGGCTCAGATAAAGACTCATTTTGGAGAAAGGATTTATGTAGCTGATAGTTTATGTAGGTTAGAATGTTAAACTGACTCCAGGTAAGAGTCTCCTGCAGGTGTAAATGAAGGTCTTGAAGGAGGCAGCTTTTCCACACTGTGTGGAGGGTACATAAGGGCATGTTGAGCTCCCAGAGTTAAATCCTTAGGTTTCCCTACCTCATCAGGAGGGTCTGATCGACCTGGGCATCCATTTCAGTAGTCAAGAGTCTGACTCCCAAGATTAAGAATATGTTAAACCTGAATGCAGGTGTTCCTTGTGAACTGTGGGTGAAGCCTGCTTGCCTGAGCTAGTTCAAATGTTTGCTTTCCTTTTGATTCCTTTATGGAATAATGCTGCCATATAACTATGCATTTAATAATTTTTCCATGCCTTTATTAATTTTATTCCCACGTTGGCATGGTTTTTGTTGTTGTTGTTTTTTTTTCTGGGCTGAAAATGAGTAGACTAAGAGATAAGGTGAGAAAATGGCTTGGCCATGGCACCAACTGCCCCATCCCAAATTCCTGATCTCTGGAGGACATCAGGCCCTCCCTGCTGTTCCAGTGTGGCCTGGTTTGGACTCGGCTTCCTTTTGCTTTGAGGGAAGGAGATGTCTCCATTGGACACTGAGTCTGGAATTCCTTCTGCTCATCTGTGACCTGGAAGAGGGAGAAAGGGCCCACCGAGTACAGGAAGAGGCCAGTAGTAGTAGCTCTGGAAAGCCTGTGGACAATTGTGTTGATGCCTCCAGCGGAGCCTGATTTGGTTGCCTGGAGGAAGCTGGGCCTGCTATTGGCTGCGGTTACAGCCTATCCCTGCAGCCACCTATTAGATGACTTCTGTGACGCAGGGGGTGGAGCCCGAATCTACCCAATCGGGGGCGCTGGGGCGAGCTCTGAACAGTCCAATGGGGTGTGCCGCCAGGATGCCTGGGCAACGGTCAACAGGTCAGCGGGGCAGGTCCTTTCTGCAGAGGACGCCACAGGTGGCGCCGCTGCAGTCCCTGTCTGCTGTGACCAGCTCTGACCAAAGGAGGCGTAGTAAGGAAGCCAGGACACCTGGAACCCGGGATACGGTGCGTGTGCGGGGCTTGGAGTCCCTAGACTTGGAGGAGGGGCTGGTTGGAATCCAGCAGGATCCAGCTGTGGAGGGACCCGGGCCTCCCCGCGGCGACTTCGGGATCTGGGACTTGAGTCCTCCTGGCGCAGCTCGTCCCTCGGTCCCCTCTGCCGCGGGGTGGGTCTGGGCCGGCAGCCGGGACCCCGGGCGTCCTATCGCGTCCGTCCGTGGCGACCGCAGCCCCGCGTTTCTCCAGATTGTGCGGGGTCACGGGAGGGTCATGGGGGGAATCCCGCCTCGGTTGTGGGGTTAGTGTGGGAGGAGCTGTGGTCTGTGGGATCCTCAGTCCCTCATCTTTCCCGGGGATACTGGTTTCTCTACAGGTCTTCTAAATGTATGGGAAGCAGGGTCCCAAAGACACGACCTCGGCCCTCATACAGGGGCTGGGAATAAATTCCTCCCTGCATTTCCAAAGGCCAGCTTTCCTCCAGTTCACAACTTTATCAGGTTTTTGTCCGTCATTCTACATTTCCAACAAACACAGTATTAGAATTGCTTGTTGGTTACAAAGCAATGGATGTGGATGGCTTTTTTTTTTTTTTTTTGAGACGGAGTCTCGCTCTGTCACCAGGCTGGAGTGCAGTGGTGCAATCTCAGCTCACTGCAACCTCCGCCTCCTGGGTTCAAGCGATTCTCCTGCCTCAGCTTCCCAAGAAGCTGGAATTACAGGCGCGCACCACCACGCCCAGCTAATTTTTTGTATTTTTAGTAGAGACTCGGTTTCATCATGTTGGCCGGGTTGGTGTCCATCTCTTCACCTCATGATCTGCCCACCTCGGCCTCACAAAGTGCTGGGATTACAGGCGTGAGCCACCACACCCAGCCAACTTTATCAGCTTTTTGTCCTTCATTCTACATTTCCAACAAACATAGTATTAGAATTGTTTATTCATTTTTCCCTACAAAGCAATGGATGGCTTTTTTTAAGAGATTTGTTTTCTCTTTGTGGACTTTTCCTCTGAGAGGAAAGCAGAGAGTAAGCACCTGGCGCTCTACCGTAAAAATACTTTGTGCCTCTCCTTTCATCTTCCCTAGGCACAGACACCTTATCAGAATGTCTTTGGGTTGAGGTTCCTTTTTGGAAACTTTACGCCGTGATGTGTCCTTAGCCCACCCTCTATCCTTCCCTGGTCTTAGATTTCAGAACTGCCTGGGGCAGACCCAAGATGCCCTCAGCTGCCAAGTCTCTTGCAGGATCTAGTGAATTATGAGCTCCTCGGTTATCTTCTCAGAGATAGGTTTGGGGCCTCTCAGGGGAGCAGCTGGATACCCTCGGCTGGAAAGAGTCTCCTGGTATCCCCCTCAAATAAATAGCCAACCCCTGGGGCACTCAGCTTTTCTTCGCCAACCCCAGTTTCCATTCCTTTGGGGATACTGGGGGTCACCCAATCAGATGCTGGTATTGAGGGGTATTGATTCTTGCCTTCTGGATTCTCTCAGACTACAGAAGGGAGAAAAACTATACCGAAGGACAAGAAAAAACCCACGCAGTCATGGCAGTGCAAGAAAACTGAAAAGCGAAATGCCATTTTGGGTACACGGGGGTGTACAATGCATTGTCTTATCTTGGGATGGTGATCATTGAGCACTTCATTGAGGGTGAGGGGGTGTCCCATGTGACAGGATGACCTGACCTGACACTTGAGTCAGACATTTCTGTGTTCTAAGTCAGCACTACCTCTCCCTGGGTTCGTCACCTTGAAGAGGTTTGTTCAGCCAGCCGCGGTGGCTCACGCCTGTAATCCCAGCACTTTGGGAGGCCGAGGCGGGAGGATCACCTGAAGTCGGGAGTTTGAGACCAGCCTGACCAACATGGAGAAACCCCCATCTCTACTAAAAATAAAAAATTAGCCAGGTGTCCGGTGGCGCATGCCTGTAATCCCAGCTACTTGGGAGGCTGAGGCAGGAGAATCGCTTGAACCCAGGCAGTGGAGGTTGCAGTGAGCCAAGAACGCGCCATTGCATTCCAGCCTGGGCAACAAGAGTGAAACTCCATCTCAAAAAAAAAAAAAAAGAAAGAAAGAATTAATCATTAGCTCACAGTCCCAGAGCTAATAAGTGGCAAATCCAGGATTTGATACCAGAATTTTTTGACTCTGGTAGAGATGGAGTTTCCTTCATGTTGGTCAGGCTGGTCTGGAACTCCCCATCCGCCTCGGCCTCTCAAAGTGCTGGGATTACAGGCGTGAGCCACTGCACCTGGCTGGGAGCTTATTAGTCTTTGTTCCCCAATACTTAGACTGGTACCTGGCACATAGTAGATACCCCAATAAAAGCTTGTCGAATAGAGAAAAAAAATGAGTACCCTTCAGTGGAGAGCAGAGGCCTTAGGCCAGTGACTCCAAGCTAAGGCCAATCTTGAGCCTGTAAGGGGAGGTCACCGAAGGCCCATTTAGTTCTTCCTGGCGAGACTATGCTGCAGGTTTCCTAGGGGATCCATAGGCAGATGCGGTTGGGGGTGGGATCTGTTGCCCCTTCTGTGGTTGTAGTTGTTATTGCCCTGGGGCTGTTTCTAGACACCCTCAAGTAAAATCCAGATTTAGGTAAGTAGTGACCTTATTTGAATGAAGTATTGTAGTGATAGGAGGAAAGCACCAAGTATAATATTTGAAAGCATCTCAAAGGTTAGGTAAAGTTTTCTTTCATAGGGAGGAGCAAGCTAGATTAGTAATAAAGTGAGAGAGAGAGAGGGCAGGATGGAGGGGAGCAAAATCAGATGCTAGATTAGAGAATATTTGATCCTAAGGTCAGCCTGTTCTTAGGAGGGGTCATAAAGGTGGGGTTGGGTGCTTGCTCAGGCTACTGAAGGTGGGTGGAAGTTCAGGGGCCTGGAAGAAAGAAAGAAACTTAACCAAAGTGTGGGTTCACTGGTATTTTGTTTCAACTGATCAGTGAAGATAAAACTGTTCAGCTAATTGTTCATGAGGCAAAGAATGGGAATTTGGAGAGTGTGTGTCTGGCCTTATACATAGGTAGACAGGGACATCATCTAAGTTGTAATGGGAAGGGTGTTATTTTGTAGTAGCCTGCTTCTCTAGATCACAGAAGATGGTGGTAGTGGTGGGGTTTCCGTTACCTACAGAACTAAGGTAAAATTCAACATGGTCAGCAGTTTGGTTTTCCATCCGCAGAGTTGATTTAGTCAGAGTGTAATTTGTGCAAAATGAGAACATCTGTAAGAGTCAGACACCTTTGGGTTCTGTCTGCTAAAGAAAAGGTTTATGAATTTAAGAGTTTATTTGCGGCCGGGCGTGGTGGCTCATGCGTGTAATCCCAGCACTTTGGGAGGCCGAGGCAGGTGGATCACCTGAGGTCAGGAGTTTGAGACTAACCTGGCCAACATGATGAAACCCCATCTCTACTAAAAATACAAAAAATTAGCAGGACATGGTGGCAGGCACCTGTAGTCCCAGCTACTGGGGAGGCTGAGGCAGGAGAATCGCTTGAACCTGGGAGGCGGATGGAGGTTGCTGTGAGCCAAGATTGCACCATTGCAATCCAGCCTGGGCAACAATAGCAAAACTCTGTCTAAAAAAAAAAAAAAAAAAAAAAAGGCCGGGCGTGGTGGCTCACGCCTGTAATCCCAGCACTTTGGGAGGCTGAGGCGGGTGGATCATGAGGTCAGAGGTCAGGAGATCGAGACCATCCTGGCTAACACGGTGAAACCCCGTCTCTACTAAAAATACAAAAAATTAGCCAGGTGTGGTGGCGGGCGCCTGTGGTCGCAGCTACTAGGGAGGCTGAGGTAGGAGAATGGTGTGAACCTGGGAGGTGGAGCTTGCAGTGAGCCGAGATCGTGCCACTGCACTCCAGCCTGGGCAACAGAGCGAGACTCCGTCTCAAAAAAAAAAAAAAAAGAAAAAAGGTGGAAGCTGTAAGGAATGTGCACACTCCTTGTAGGGAGTAAGCAAGAGATTGATCTTTGAGCTAAAGTCTTTTTGGGGGCCTTGCCCCAATCAGGTATATCTCTTGGAGTTCTGAGCCACTCGGGCAGAGCAGCTTCACACTCATTTTCTTTACAGAATATTGCTGCCATATAATTATAGTTTGCTGAAGCATTCAAGAATTTTATTCCATGATTTGAGTGTAAGAGTTTTATTGTCTTGGTTGACAATCTGGTTGGATTGAGTCATAAGGTCTGAAGAAGCAAAGAGAATTCTGGAAATAAAATACTTATGCTTAGTTTAAATAATAATATAGGCCAGGTGCAGTGGCTCACGCCTGTAATCCCAGCACTTTGGGAGGCTGAGGCTGGTGGATCACGAGGTCAGGAGTTTGAGACCAGCCTGGCCAACATAGAGAAACCCCGTCTTTACTAAAAATACAGAAAATTAGCTGGGCGTGGTGGTGGGCGCCTGTAATCCCAGCTACTCGGGAGTCTGAGACATGAGAATCGCTTGAACCTGGGAGGCAGAGGTTGCAGTGAGCCGAGATCGCACCACTGCACTCCAGCCTGGGTGACAGAGCGAGACTCCGTCTCAAAAAAAAAAAAAAAGAAATTATAACATAAACACCCACGGACTCACCACCCAGCTAAATAGGCTGTTGGCAGCACTGGTATGTCACCCTGATCTCACCTCCCTTCTGCACCCAGAGGTGACCATGATGGTGATTTGTTGTTGTTGTTATTCTTTATAGATTTACCATCTATTTACCATAAAGTAGAGTTTTGGCTATTTTGAGTTTTCAGCAAGTTAGTATTACTATTACAATTAATGTTATGCTGAAAGTTTTTTTTTGTGGTTTTTTTGCCTCAGTCTGTTGCACATACATTACTGTCTGAGGCTTCATTCTATTGCTTGTGGACTAATGTTGTTTCAAGTTTATTTTTTGATCCTGGTGACAATGTCATTCTTATTTATGTCTCCAAGTGCTAAATTATAAATTTTTTACATATTGGGAAAAAATTACTGAGTTGTATATTATGGATAAATTCATATTTAGTAGGAAATACTGATGGAGTATATCAATTAACCATTTGACCACTCATGCATGTGTGTTTATTCCTTGCAATTTGCCAATGCTTGGAATTATCTAACTTATTTATTTGTGCTCCTTGAGTGTTAAACACAGTCTCTGTGTAATTATATGTTGCTTTTTACTGGTTACCATTGCTGTTGAACATTTTTCCTATGTGGTCTTTTATCTTCCATGAAATGGTTTTCAGGCATTTTTTATGTTTAATTTGTTTCCATGTTTATCGTATTCTTTCTTTACCTTTTTTTGTTATTTAGTTTTTATTTCATAATCATAAATTTAACTCTGCAATCCAGCTAGGCATGGAAGGGAATAAGGAAAACATGGAACCTAAAGGGAACTGTAGCAAGAGCACAAAGATTCTAGGATACTGCAAGCAAATGGAGTGGAGGGGTTCTTTCCTGAGCTACAGAAGGAATGGTCTGGTGGGTGGTTAAGATAAAACACAAGCCAAACTTATTAGAGTTGTCCACAGTGAGCAATGGTGATCTTTTTGCTGGTCTTGCCATTCTTGGACCCAAAACACTCCACGGCCTCCACAATATTCATGCCTTCTTTCACCTTGCCAAAGACCACATGCTTGCCATCCAACCACTAAGTCTGGGTAGTGGATGTTATTAGTGCTAAGAGAGCCCCTGTTAATGGCCAAGGGCTAGGATTTACTAGATGGTACGCATGGGTTTGCTGGGTCATTAAGTATTGTCTTGTAGATAGAGGCTCACTAGTAGTGTAAAAACATATGCTTGGATTAAAGCTATGACGAATTCAAAAATGGTTAATATAATCAAGATGTAAATCTGACTGAGGCTGTGGGTAGGTTGATTGATGTTAATACTGTGTGGCGCCTCCAATTAAATGAACAAGCAGAGGGCCAGCTGTAATACTGGCTGTTAGTCACACAGCTAAGGCTATTGGTTGAATGAAGAGGCTGGTGGTTTCTATAATTAGTAGTACGGCAATAAGTAAAATAGGTGTTTTCTGTGGTAGAAAATGGGCTAGGGATGCTTTTGTTTTGTGGTGCAAGCCAGTAATTACTGCTCCTGCTCATAGTGGAATAGCCATACCTAAGTTTATTGACAGTTGAGTAGTTGGTGTGAATGAGTGAGGTAAGAGCCCTAGTAAATTTGTTGAAACAAGAAGATCAGTGAAATTAGTATAAGGGAGCAGGTTCGGCTGGGCATGGTGGCTCACACCTGTAATCCCAGCACTCTGGGAGGCTGAGGTGGGCAGATGCCTTGAGGTTGAGGCTGCAGTGAGCCATGGTGATGCAACTGCACTCCAGCCTGGGTGACAGAGCAAGACTCTGTCTCAAAAAAAAAAACAAAAACCGGGGGTGGGGGCCGGGCGCAGTGGCTCACACCTGTAATCCCAGCACTTTGGGAGGCTGAGGCGGGCGGATCACAAGGTCAGGAGTTTGAGACCAGCCTGACCAACATGGTGAAACCCTGTCTTTACTAAAAATATAAAAATTAGCCAGGTGTGGTGGTGCAAACCTGTAATCCCAGGTACTCAGGAGGCTGAAGCAGGAGAACCTCTTGAACCCTGGAGGCAGAGGTTGCGATGAGCCGAGATCATGCCACTGCACTCCAGCCTGAGCGACAGAGCAAGACTCCATCTCAAAAAAACAAAAACAAAAACAACAACAAAAAAACAAGGGGATCAGATTTGTCCTTTGATATTATGTATTATCATAATTTATTTTAGTATAAGTTGAATTATTAATAGTCACTATTGTATAGAAATTAGCCAGTTTTTTTTTTTTTCTTTTTTTTCTTTTTTTTTTTTTTTTGAGATGGAGTCTCGCTCTGTCACCCAGGCTGGAGTGCAGTGGCGCGATCTCGGCTCATTGCAACCTCCACCCCCCAGGTTCAAGCGATTCTCCTGCCTCAGCCTCCCGAGTAGCTGGGATTACAGGCACGCTGTAATTTTTGTATTTTTAGTAGAGATGGGGTTTCACCATCTTGGCCAGGCTGGTCTTGAACTCCTGACCTCATGATCCACCTGCCTCGGCCTCCCAAAGTGCTGGGATTACAGGCGTGAGCCAACGCGTCTGGGCAGAAATTAGCCAGTTGTTAATCAGATGGCTAGGTGATGGAAATATTTGGAAACAGGATAATTAGAATAACTACAGGAAGTCTGGGCGTGGTGACTCATGCCTGTAATCCCAGCACTTTGGGAGGCCAAGGCAGGTGGATCACCTGAAGTCAGGAGTTCTAGTCCAGCCTGGCCAACATGGTGAAATCCCGTCTTTACTAAAAGATACAAAAAATTAGCCGAGTGTAGTGGTGGGTGCCTGTAATCCCAGTTACTCGGGAGGCTGAGGCACCCGAAGGGCAGAGGTTGCAGTAAGTTGAGATCACGACATTGCACTCCAGCCTGGGCAACAAGAGCAAGACTCAGCCTCAAAAAAAAAGAAAAAAAGAATAACTACAGGCAGTTCTACTATTGTTGGGGTAATGAAAGAGATGTTCATTTTATTTCTTAAGGGGTTTCATGTTTCTATATTTCAAAAGCTTTTAGTGTTGAGTTTGTTGGGTAGATGAATTTTGAAATTTTTAATTGAAATGGTGATAGGATTATGGATATGATAGTAATAAATCGTGTGGATGTGTCTAGTTGGGGCACTTCGTTGTGGAAAGATCATAACTCAGTCTTTAACTTAAAAGGTTAGTACTGATTAGCTCTACAGTGATATTATAATATAGATGCTGACCAGTTTCGAAGTGTTTTAGGGGTACTAAACAAGTTCAAGAACAATGGGTATGAAGCTATGATTAGATCCACAGATTTCCGAGCACTGACTGTAGAAAGGCCTGATTGTGTAAATGTCAGGATTGCTTGGTTTAAACATCCTGGCATTGCATCTGTTTAGGCCTAATGATGGTAAGGTTCATGAACGTAGGATGTCTTTCGACGAACTTAATATTTGAATTGATGTTTCTACGGGGAAGGCTACTTGATTGTCAAATTCAAGTAGCTGCAGCTCTCCTGGTTTTAAGTCTGTTGTAGGAAATCTGTAGGAGTCAAAATTTAGGTCTTCATACTTTGTATATTCATAGCTTCAGTATCATCTATATATATACATATATTTTTTCAAGACAGAGTCTCACTCTGTTGCCAAGGCTGGAATGCAGTGGCACGATCTCGGCTCACTGCAAGCTCCGCCTCCCAGGTTCACGCCATTCTCCTGCCTCAGCCTCCCGAGTAGCTGGGACTACAGGCACCCACCACCACGCCTCGCTAATTTTTTGTATATTTAGTAGAGACGGGGTTTCACTGTGTTAGCCAGGATGGTCTCGATCTCCTGATCTCATGATCCACCCGCCTCGGCCTCCCAAAGTGCTGGGATTACAGGCGTGAGCCACCACGCCCGGCCTTTTTGTTGTTGTTGTTGTTGTTGGGACAGACTCTTACTCTGTCGCCCAGGCTAGAGTGCAATGGAACAATCTCGGCTCACTGCAACTTCCGCCTCCTGGGTTCAAGCGATTCTCCTGCCTCAGCCTCCCAAGTAGCTAGAATTACAGGCCCTGCCACTACGCCCGGCTAATTTTTTGTATTTTTAATAGAGATGGGGTTTCACCACGTTGGCCAGGCTGGTCTCGAACTCCCGACCTCAGGTGATCCGCACACCTCGGCCTCCCAAAGTGCTGGGATTACAGGCATGAGCCACCGCGCCTGGCCAGTATCATCTATAGTTTCTATGGTTAGGGAGGGGTTATTAATTTCATGTTGTATACAGAATATATAACGATGGAAGAGCAATTAAAATAAAGATAATAGGTAGAATAGTTCATACTGCCTCTACTTCTTGGGCATCTATAGCAGTAGATCCTACTGACAGGACATAATGGAAATGTATTACAACATAATATGTATCATGTGGAATGATATCTAGCGATAGTATGATTCCAGTTAAACCTCCCACTGTGAATTGGAAAATGAAGCCTAGTGCTCAGAGTATGGCAGCGGATCATTTAATATTGCCTCCAGGTACTGTTGTTAGTCAACTAAAGACCTTACTATCTGCAGGGATGGCAATAATTATGGTGGTAGATGTAGATCTGATCCTCCCGCCTCAGCCTCCTGAGTAGCTGGGACTGTAGGTGTGTGCCACCATGCCTGGCTAATTTTTGTATTTTTTGTAGAGATGGGGTTTTGTCATGTTGGCCAGGCTGGTCACGAACTCCTGACCTCAAGTGATCTGCCCGCCTTGGCCTCCCAAAGTGTTGGGATTACAGGCGTGAGCCACTGTGCCCAGCCTAATTTAACCTAAATTTCTAGTTTATTGTTGAAAGTATTGGTGAGGGCCAGGCATAGTGGCTCATGCCTATAATCTCAGCACTTTGGGAGGCTGAGGCGGGCAGATCACTTGAGGTCGGGAGTTCGAGCTTAGCCCTGCCAACATGGTGAAACCCCATCTCTACTAAAAATACAAAAATTAGCCAGGCATGGTGGCACATGCCTGCAATCCCAGCTACTCGAGAGGCTGAGGAGGGAAGATCACTTGAATCTGGGAGGCAGAGGTTACAGTGAACCGAGGTCACACCCCTGCACTCCAGCCTGGGTAACTGAGCAAGACTTCATCTCAAAAAAGAAAAAAAACAAAAAAGAGAAAGTATTGGTGAGAGTAAGAGTGGTAGGAATAGGGTCCATACAGTAATGAGTGGTGATAAAAAGAGGGCTTGCTTTATAGTTTCTTCTTCTTTTTTTTTTTTTTTTTTTTTTTTTTGTGACAGGGTCTCGCTCTGTTTCCCAGGCTGGAGTGCAGTGGTGTGGCTTCCTGAGTAGCTGGGACTACAGGACCATTCCACCACACTTGGCTAATTTTTTAATTTTTTGTAGAGATGGGGTCTCTGTTGCCCAGACTGGTCTCAAACTCCCGGGCTCAAGCAGTCCTCCTGCTTCAGCGTCCTAAAGTGTTGGGATTAGAGGTGTGAGCCACCACACCTGGCCTTATATTTTCAAATTGTCATTTTATTTTTATGTTATTAGTTGTTGGGAATATCACTAGTGATGTGGAGTAAATTAGGCGTATGTAGAAACATTGATTAAATAGCGCTGTGACAGCTCTATGTGTGGGTATAATAAGGCTATTTTGTTGTTAATTCTTGAATGATAACTCCTTTGGGTATAAATCCTGTAAGGGGGGTTAGTCCCAGTAGGGAAAATTGATAAGAATTGTGGAAGTAGTAGTGGTAACTTATTTCATATATAATGTAGTGATAATGTTATAGTACTTGTACTTAGATTAAATAATATAAATACTGTAATTGTTAGGGTTATGTAAATCCATAGATTTAGGATTGTGATAGAAGGGTTGTAGGCTAAAATTGTGATTATTCAGCCTATAGGAGCAACTGATGAGTAGGCCAAGATATTTCGGAGTTGTGTTTGGTTAAGTCGGCCTCAGCCCTCTTCGGGACAGATAGTGCTGCAATTGCCAGTAGCATATTTAGGTCTATTAAGGGTAGACTTGAAATATGATGGAGACTGGTGCTAGTTTTTGTTATGTAAGGAGGATTATTTATACCTGATGTTAATGAGATCCCTTGTGTTACTTCTGGGATTCAGAAATAGAACGGGGCACAGGGCGCAGTGGTTCACGCCTGTATTCCCAGCACTTTGGGATGCTGAGGCTGGCAGATCACTTGAGGTTAGGAGTTCCAGACCAGCCTGGCCAACATGGTGAAACCCTGTCTCTACTAAAAATACAAAAATTAGCTGGACGTGGTGTCAGGCTCCTGTAATCCCAGCTACTTGGGAGGCAGAGACAGGAGAATCGCTTGAACCCGGAGGCAGAGGTTGCAGTGAGCCAAGATCGCTCCATGCCACTGCACTCCAGCCTGGGCAACAGAGGAAGATTCCATGTCAAAAAGAAAAAAAACGAAGTAGAAGGGGCTATTCCTAATTTTATCACAAGAGCTATGGTAACTGTTAGGAATGCTGCTTGGGTTAGTATTTTTGTGGTTTTCATTGTCCAGAGTACATTATATTGATAATAACAGCTATGATTAGAATTGTAGATGTGGTTGCTTGTGAAAGGAAGTATTGGTTCAATCTAAATACACAGATAGGTCCTGGCCAAGACATGCACTCAGGAGAGCTTTCAGGAGGGATTCAATCCCAAACTCCTGCTCCCAAATGCCAAGGAACTATCCAAACTGCCAACTCAAGTCAGCGGAATGTAGAACCCAGGCCCGGCAGGGCTCACCATGCAACACAGAGCAGCACACTCAGAGCACCAGCTCCTCCAGCCAGCAGCGCTCACCCCACATGCCAGCCACCACCTGGCAGAGCGAGTTAGTAATTCCAACAAGAGAACACAGACTGATAAGGTGATAAAAGTCTAGGCATCCTGTGCACGGCACCAGTTGCCATGGTCACCCCAGAGGTGCAGTTCCAATGTTGACAGCGATGCCAGTGTGGTTATGGTGCACACATGCTGAGAGGGTATGAAAAGGTTTAATTACTAAGATGATTGAGGTCTCTGAGAAAAGCAGGCCAGGCCCCTCAAGCAGGCAAAATGGCTTGAGAGAGTAAGGAAAGGAGCCTGGACTGGGTGTTTACTGTGATTGGGGGTGGGGCAGTAGGAGAGTTCATTTCCCCTCGAGGGGAAAAGCTTCTTAGGTGGGACTCTCCAGCAAGGCCCAAGGAGGGAACGCCTCAGCTTTCTCAGCTTGTCCAGGTATTGTAAACAAAAAATAAAATCCAAAGCACCCTCCTGACTGAACAGACCCCTTCTTGGCCAAGGGAACCCCATAACAACCCTAAACACTGAATTCCCAGGCCAGGCGCAGTGGCTCACACCTGTAATCCCAGCATTTTGGGACTGAGGATGGCTTGAGGCCAGGAGTTTGAGAACAGCCTGGGCAACACAGTGAGACCCCATCTCCACAAAGAAAGTAAAAATTAACTGGGCATGGTGGCATGCACCTGTAGTCCCAGCTACTCAGGAGGCTGAGGTAGGAGGATAGCTTGAGCCCAGGAGTTCAAGGCTGCAATAAGCTATAATATGACTGTGCCACTGCACTCCAGCCTGGTTAACAGAGTGAGACCCTGTCTTGAAAGAACAAAAACAATAAAAACTGAATTCCCAGCCATGGGAAGGGAGGTCGGACACACCCTGTTATAACCCCTCCCTTTTGGAGTTTAGGCACAACTGACCAGCATTAATGTTAAAATAGAGACCATAAAACTAACAAAACTCTTTATGACAATAAGATACCAAATTATAAATAAGACCTAAGGCCATGCTCTCCAAGGGTTAAGTCACAAACTCTAGGTCATTCCGACCCAGTGTATTGGTTAACAGATTTTCTTATCTTTTTTTTTTTTTTTTTGAGACAGGGTCTCTTGCTTTGTCACCCAGGCTGGAGTACAGTGACATAATCACTGCTCACCACAGCTTGGACCTCCCAGGCTCAAGTGATCCATGTAGTGGGGAATATAGGCATATGCTGCCACACCCAGCTAATCGTTTTTACTTTTTTTTTTTTTTTTTTTTTTTGAGATGGAGTCTCACTCTGTCGCCCAGGCTAGAGTGCAGTGGTGCAGTCTTGGCTCACTGCAAGCTCCACCTCCCAGGTTTACGCCATTCTCCTGCCTCAGCCTCCTGCGTAGCTGGGACTACAGGCGCCCGCCACCACGTCCAGCTAATTTTTTGTATTTTTAGTAGAGACGGGGTTTCACCGTGTTAGCCAGGATGGTCTCGATCTCCTGACCTCATGATCCGCCCTCCTCGGCCTCCCAACGTGCTGGGATTACAGGCGTGAGCTGCTGCGCCCGACCTCATTTTTACTTTTTTTTTTAGATGGAGTCTCGTTCTGTCACCCAGGCTGGAGTGCAGTGGCGCAATCTCAGCTTACTGCAACCTCCACCTCCCGGGCTCAAGGGATTCTTCTGCCTCAGCCTCCCAAATAGTTGGGACCACAGGCACACACACCACACCTAGCTAATTTTTGTATTTTTAGTAGAGACAGGGTTTCACCATGTTGGCCAGGATGGTCTTGAACTCCTGGCCTCAAGTAATCCACCTGCCTTGGGCTCCCAGAGTGTTGGGATTACAGGCATAAGCCACTGTCCCCAGCCTAATGCAATCTGTGTGCCACAGCCTCCCAAAGTGCTGGGATTATAGGCTCCTGAGCCCAGCTGTCTTCCTTAAACATTCCTTTTTTTTTTTTGAGACAAAGTTTCGCTCTTATTGCCCAGGCTGGAGTGCGATGGCATGATCTCACCACAACCTCCGCCTCCCAGGTTCAAGTGATTCTCCTGCCTCAGCTTCCCGAGTAGCTGGGATTACAGGCGCCACCACCACGCTTGGCTAATTTTATATTTTTAGTAGAGACAGGGTTTCTCCATGTTGGCCAGGCTGGTCTCGAACTCCTGACCTCAGGTGATCCACCCGCCTCGGCCTCCCATAGTGCTGCGATTACAGGCATAAGCCACCGCGCCCGGCCCAAACATTCATTCTTATCTAATGACTCCAAATGTTTACTCCTTTAGCCAACTGTAAATCAAAGAACCTCTGAGTCTACCTATAACCTGTAAGCCCCCGCTTCAAGATATTCTACCTTTTCAGGCCAAATCAATGCCTACCTTCCATGTACTGATTTATGTCTGCCTGCAACTCCTGTCTTTCTAAAATGCATAAAACCAAACTGTAGCTGGGTGCTGTGGCTCGTGCCTGTAATCCCAGCACTTTGGAAGGCTGAGGCCAGCAGATCACTTGAGGCCAGGAGTTCAAGACCAGCCTGGCCAACAGGGCAAAACCCCATCTCTACTAAAAATACAAAAAATTTAGCCAGGCATGGTGACGCAGGCCTGTAATCCCAGCTACTTAGGAGGCTGAGGCACAACAATTGCTTGAACCTGGGAGGCTGAGGTTGCAGTGAGCTGAGATTGTGCCACTGCACTCCAGCCTGGGCGACAGAGTGAGACCCTGTCTCAAAAATACCAAATAACTGTAACCTGGCTGCCACTGGTGCACTTTCTCAGGACTTCTTGAGACTGCGTTTTCTGGGCCGTGGTCACTCATACTGACTCAGAATAAAGCCTTAAAATATTTGAGAGTTTGGTGATTCCATTGACAGTGGGCAGCTGTTAGAAAGAAGAGGGGGGTTGACACTGAATCTGCCAACAGTCAAATACCAGAAAGGGTGGAGTCCAACTACTCATTACAAGAGCAAACATGGATAAGAAAAACATGCATTTGCAATTGCTTGTTTTTGTTGTTGTTGTTGTGTGAGACGGAGTTTCACTCTTGTTGCCCAGGCTGGAGTGCAATAGCGTAATCTCAGCTTACCACAACCTCAGTCTCCTGGGTTCTAGTGATTCTCCTGCCTCAGCCTCCCGAGTAGCTGGGACTACAGGCGCCCGCCTCCTGAGTAGCTGGGACTACAGGCACCCGCCACCACGCTCAGCTAATTTTGTATTTTTAGTAGAGACAAGGGTTCTCCATGTTGGTCAGGCTGGTCTCGAACTCCAGACCTCAGGTAATCCGCCTGCCTCGGCCTCCCAAAGTGCTGGGAATACAGGTGTGAGCCACCGCGCCTGGCCTGCAATTGCTTGTTTTAATAAAGAAACACTAATAGGATGCACAAGGAATTACCAAAAGTTTTTACGAAGGGCGGGGTGGCTGGAGCAAGAATCCTGGAATGAACCAGGATATGCTTGACAGTGAGTCTTATGTTAGATTTTCCTGTCTCATAGATTTTTTTTTTTAACCTTCACATGTATTATCTCTCTAAAATGAATGGAGGCCTGGTGCAGTGGCTCACACTTGTAATCCCAGCACTTTGGGAGGCCGAGCTAGGAGGATCACTTGAACTCAAGAGTTCAAGACCAGCCCGGGCAACCCTGCCGGTTGGTGAAACCCTGCCTCTACAAAAAATACAAAAATTAGCCAGGCATGGTGGTATGTGCCTGTAGTTCCAGCTACTCAGGAGGCTGAGTTGGGAGGATCACTTGAGCAGGGGAGGCTGAGGCTGCAGTGAGCTATGATCGATCGTGCCACTGTACTCCATCCTGGGTGACAGAGCAAGACCCTGTCTAAAAATATACATTAAAAAGGCCGGGCACGGTGGCTCACGCCTGTAATCCCAGCACTTTGGGAGGCCGAGGCAGGCAGATCACCTGAGGTCAGGAGTTCGAGACCAGCCTGACCAACATGGAGAAACCCCATCTCTACTAAAAATACAAAAAGATTAGCTGGGCATGGTGGCACATGCCTGTAATCCCAGCTACTCGGGAGGCTGAGGCAGGAGAATCACTTGAACCTGGGAGGTGGAGGTTGCTGTGAGCCAAGATTGTGCCATTGCACTCCAGCCTGGGCAACAAGAGTAAAACTCCGTCTCAAAAAAAATAAAAAATAAAAAAATAAAATGAACGAAGATATTTATCTGCACTATATTTTACTATTAAAGTCTTTAAATAATGTAGTTTTTTTTAAATTTTAAGTTGTCTTCATTAAGATTTAATCCTTTATACACTTTTAAAAGTGTAAACTATACGAAATGTAAAATTTCAAATCTTAAGAGAATCTGCATCATAGCATGTCTGTCCACTGTATCTCACACTGAGGGGTATTTTCAGGAAAGAGTAGCATATTATAGATTGGGCGCGGTGGCTCACGCCTGTAATCCCAGCACTTTGGGAGGCCGAGGCGGGCGGATCGCGAGGTCAGGAGATCGAGACCATCCTGGCTAACATGGTGAAACCCCAGCTCTACTAAAAATACAAAAAAATTAGCCAGGCGTGGTGATGGGCACCTGTAGTCCCAGCTACTCGGGAGGCTGAGGCAGGAGAATGGCGTGAACCCGGGAGGTGGAGCTTGCAGTGAGCCGAGATGGCGCCACTGCACTCCAGCCTGGGCAACAGAGCAAGACTCAGTCTCAAAAAAAGAGTAGCATATTATAATACATTAGGGTTTGGATATAACCATTAAATGTAGTAGAATTTTTCAAAGATTACACAAGCTTTGAGGAGTAGTTTTCCTCGTATCAATTAAAACAGGAATCCATTTGCCCTGGGAATAGTAGAGCCTTTGAAGTTTGAAAGTTTTCTAGGGATATGCACACACACAAACTAATGTAAAAATAAAAATGCACCTGAGAAGTTAAACATATCCATCTCACACCATGAGCTTCTTTTGCCTGAAAGGAATAAAAATTCTATTTGGTTCCAGGATTTGCTTCTCTTACATCATATTTCTCAATCAACTTAAATTTTCAAAGACCAACAAACTAAAAATCCTACAGACTCATACAGGGAATAAAATTACAAAATGTTAAAGGAAACTGGAGTTAAAGTGCTGCAATATTCAATAGAAAAAGGAATCCAAAGGAAAGAAACACAAACATTGAATCAGCTCAGATAAGCAGCCTGCTTCTCCGCAATTCAGAAGAAAAACCAACATCCAGAAGGTTAAACACATACCAAAGCTTGGAGTCCACACTCTCTCCCTGTTAGGGTATAGTCCCTAGAGTGGAATAGTCCCTGGTGACAGCAGGGACACCTGAGCAGCCACAGGAATGAACTCCGGGAGCAGAGAATGCCCCTTCCCACTGGTTCTCGTAAGTGACGAAACTGTCAGCTGGATTCAGATGAAGGTTCTGACACAAATGAACTCCCAAAGTCATTAACACCATGTCCAGGAGACAGAACTTGTAACTTTCACAGACTTTTTCAATATGGAAAAATTACACCACGAGTGTACCCTAATGTGAAAGCAAAACTCAAACCTAATGTCTAAAAGTAGACCCAAGGAAACTACAATTACAACCTAGACAATTAAAACCCTCCCGGTTCTCCTAAAACCGCGTGCGGTTCCCAGCATTCCAGTGCTCTGTAGCTTCTCTCTGTATAAAGAGCTCTTTCCTTGGTGGGTGAGAGCAAGTAGGACACTTTTGGGGAAGGCTCCCCAGGAAGACCCATCTGGGCTTTCAATGACCTCCCTTTGCAGGCTCAAGAGTGGTCTTAGCTTGAAGTCACTAGTCTCTGGCTGCTGCTCCCCAGTCATGGGGCTTTCAACCGCTATTGATGTTTATTTTTTTGAGACAGGGTCTCCCTCTGTCACCCAGGCTGTAGCGCAGTGGCGAGATCATAGCTCACCGCAGCCTCGACCTCCAGGGCTTGGGCTTAAGTGAGCCTCCCACCTCAGCCCCCTGAGTAGCTGGGACTACAAGCACAGGCCATCATGCAGCTAATTTTTGTATTTTTAGTAGAGACGAGGGTTTCACCATGTTCGCCAGGCTGGTCTCGAACTCCTGACCTCAAATGATCCACCCACCTCGGCCTCCCAAAGTGCTGGGATTACAGGCGTGAGCCATCACGCCCAGTTGAAAGACGGGAACTTTCAAAGTTGCTTTTCTGGTAAAAGTTAAAGCAGAGGGGACTTTCTTTATCATGTTGGCTAAAACTGGCCTGTTGGGGATTTGACCAGCATCTCTTTCTCTCCTGATAATTTGTAAGGTCAGATAAACAACTTAGTTTCAGCTTGGTAGCGAGGAACGTCCCCGTGGGTAACTCATTTTGGTTTGGTCTGTTGGGTCTAGTGCAGGAGCTCAGTCTAAACCAATGGCTTCCTACAAATTGTATTTAACAGGGCAAATAATAATATTATGAATTGGAGAGGGAAAGCTTCATTTGGAATGAAAGAAGGAATTGGCAAATTTAGGGATTTCCTGTCAGTCCTAGGAAGAGCTAGGCTGGAAAACGGGGTCGTGGATTTGAGATCCTGTTTTCACACGTTTGTAAAATTAAGGGGCAAACCGGTCCCCCTGGGGAAAAAGAAGAGACTGGGGACCCCACGGACCACCGCTCCTCCCACGCACGAACGCCACACTCGAGCCGGGATTCCTTCTCTCCTATGACCCTCCCGTGATCCCCACACAATCTTGGAAGACGCGGGGCTACGGGCATGGAGCTGCCCACACAGGGCTCCGGGACCCGGGCCTCAGTAGCCGCGCGGGGACAGGACAGGACTCCCGGGATCCTGGCTGCCGGCCCAGCTTCACTCTGCGGCGGGAGGAGGCCGAGGGCCGAGCTACGCCAGGGGGACTCGGGTTCACAGACCCAGGAGTGGCCGCGGGCAGGCCCGGTTCCCGCGACAGCCGGTTCCGGCCAGCAGCTCTTCAGGTCTCGGGATTCCAGGCCCCGCACAGTCACCATTTCCGGGCTTCCGCGGTGTCCCCACCCCCTAACTACGACTCCCTCTGCCAGTGCGGGTCCCAGAGCGACAGAGGCTGCGGCAGAGCCACCTAGCGACGTTCGAGGCAGGAGAGACACAAACTGGAAATCGCGCCACCGTATCCACGCGCCTTTGTACAGGGCGGCCCCACCCACCGCTCCGGCGGCGTCTCCAATTGGACAGTTTGTGAGGTTCCACCCCCTGTTGCCTGAGTCACATCTCAGACGGAGGTCAGGTAGCTGAGCGATCCAGCTTCCACTTTTGTCCCTGAAACTGTCCTGCCAGAGACATTTGCATTATACCAGAACTTTATATGCTAGATATAAAGGCCCTCAGACCGGACACTGGCGTTTACCGAAGAAGCTTCTGAACGGGGACATAGGTGTGCGCGCAGGGAATGCCAGACAAGAGTTTCCAGATAAAGCGAACCCCTTGATGACTGACTCTTTGAGGAGTAAATCCACAGCAAAAGGGCCCTGGAGGCAAGGCCATACTGGATCAGGAGAGTCAGATATTCTCCAGAGGACAGTGGCTTGGCATCATGCTGCCAGGACACTCAGAACTGTGACCCCGTAGGTTCACAGAGACCAGGCAATGTTTACATTTTTAATTTTAAGTTTTGTTGTGGGTACATAGTAGGTGTATATATTTATGAGTTACATGAGATATTTTGATGTAAGCATGCAATGCCTAATAATCACATCATGGTAAATGGGGAATCCATCAACTCAAGCATTTATCCTTTGTGTTACAAACAAGCCGATTATACTCTTTTAGTTATTTAAAAATGTGCAACCAAATTATTTTTTACTATAATCACCCTGTTATGCTAGCAAATACTAGGTCTCATTCATTCTATTTTTTGTGGCCATTAACCATCTTCACTTCCCCTTCCCCCAACCCCCGCACTACCCTTTCCAGCCTCTGGTAACCATCCTTCTACTCTCTATCTCCATGAGGTCAATTGTTTTAATTTTTTGCTCCCAAAAATAAGTGAGAACATGTGAAGTTTGTCTTTCTGTGCCTGGCTTATTTCGCTTAACATAATGACCTCTAATTCCATCCAAATTGTTGCAAATGACAGGATCTCATTCTTTTTTATGGCTGAATAGTACTCCATTGTGTATTTGGAACATTTTTTTTTTAATCCATTCATCTGTTGAGGGACAGTTAGGTTGCTTCTAAATCTTGGGGATTGTGAATAATGCTGCAATAAACATAGGAGTGCAGATATCTCTCTTCAATACATGGATTTCCTTTCTTTGGGGTATTTACCTAAAAGTGGGGTTGCTGGATCAAATGGCAGCTCTATTTTTATTTTTTTTGTGTGTGTGGAACCTCCAAACTGTTCTCTATAGTGGTTGTACTAATTTACATTCCCACCAACAGTGTACAAAGGTTCCCTTTTCTCCACATCCTCTCCAGCATTTGTTACTGCCTGACTTTTGGATAAAAGCCATTTTAACAGGGGTGAGATGATATCTCATTGTATAATAGTTTTGATTTGCATTTCTCTGATGATCAGTGATGTTGGCCTTTTCATATAACGGTTTGCCATTTGCATGCCTTCTTTTGAGAAATGTCTTTTCAGATTTTTTGCCTATTTTTAATCCGATTATTAGATTTTTTTTTTTTTTTTTTTTTTTTTTTTTTTTTTTGAGACGGAGTCTCGCTCTGTCGCCCAGGCTGGAGTGCAGTGGTGTGATCTTGGCTCACTGCAAGCTCTGCCTCCTGGGTTCACGCCATTCTCCTGCCTCAGCCTCCTGAGTAGCTGGGACTACAGGCACCCGCCACCACGCCCAGCTAATTTTTTTTTTTTTTGTATTTTTAGAAGAGACGGGGTTTCACCGTGTTAGCCAGGATGGTCTCGATCCCCTGACCTCGTGATCCGCCTGTCTTGGCCTCCCAAAGTGCTTGGGATTACAGGCGTGAGCCACTGCGCCCGGCCTATTAGATTTTTTCTATAGATTTTTTTGGAGCTCCTTATATATTCTGGGGTTTTTTTTTATTTTGTTTTTGTTTCTGTTTTTTTGAGATGGAGTTTTGCTCTTGTTGCCCAGGCTGTAGTGCAATGGTGCGATCTCAGCTCACCGCAACCTCCGCCTCGCGGGTTCAAGCAATTCTCCTGCTTCAGCCTCCCCAGTAGCTGGAATTGCAGGCATGTGCCATCATGCCCCGCTAATTTTGTATTTTTAGTAGAGATGGGGTTTCTCCATGTTGGTCAGGCTGGTCTCAAACTCCTGACCACGTGATCCGCCCGCCTCGGCCTATCAAAGTGCTGGGATTACAGGCGTGAGCCACTGCGCCCGGTCTATATTCTGGTTATTAATTCCTTGTCAGATGGGTAGTCTGCAAATATTTTCTCCCATTCTGTAGCTTGTCTTTTCACTTTGTTGTACAGAAGCTCTTTACTTAATGTGACCCCTTTATCTATTTTTGCTTTGGTTGCCTGTGCTTGTAGGGTATTACTCAAGAAATCTTTGCCCACTCCAATGTTCTGGAGAATTTCCCTATATTTTCTTTTAGTAGTTTCATAGTTTAAGGTCTTAGATTTGAGTCTTTAACTGATTTTGATTTGATTTTTGTATATGGTGAGAGAGAGAGGTCTGTTTCATTATTTTGCATATGGTTATCCAGTTTTCCCAGTCTCTTTATCGAAGAGACTGTCCTTTTCCCAATGTATGTTCTTGGCACCTTTGTCAAAAATGAGTTCACCATAGATGTATGGATTTATCTCTGGCGTCTCTATTCAGTTCCACTGATCTTTGTGTCTGTTTTTATTCCACTACCATGCCATTATGGTTACTGTAGCTCTAAAGTTAGATAATATGATTTATAGTCATATTTAAATAATTTAAAGTCAGGTAATATGATTCCTCCAGTTTTGTACTTTTTGCTTAGGATAGCTTTGGCTATTCTGGGTCTTCTTTGGTTCCATATACATCTTAGGATGTTTTTTTCTATTTGTGTGAAGAGTGTCATTGGTATCTTGATTGGGATTGCATTAAATCTCTAGATTTCTTTGGTTAGTATGGACATTTTAACAATAGTGATTCTAGGCCGGGCGCGGTGACTCGCCTATAATCCCAGCACTTTGGGAGGCCGAAGCGGGCGGATCACGAGGTCAGGAGATCGAGACCATCCTGGCTAACACGGTGAAACCCCGTCTCTACTAAAAATACAAAAAATTAGCCGGGCGAGGTGGCGGGCGCCTGTGGTCCCAGCTACTTGGGAGGCTGAGGCAGGAGAATGGCGTGAACCCCGGGGGGCAGAGCCTGCAGTGAGCCGAGATCGCGCCACTGCACTCCAGCCTGGGCGACAGAGCAAGACTCCGTCTCAAAAAAAAAAAAAAAAAAAAAATAGTGATTCTTCCAATGCATGAACATGAGTATCTTTTCATTTTTTTGTCCTCTTCAATTTCTTGCATCAATGTCTTATAGTTTTCATTGTAGGTATTGTTCACTTCTTTGGGTAAGTTAATTCCTAGGTATTTAATTGTAGCTATTATAAATGGGATTACTTTATTGACTTCTTTTTTAGATTGTTTGCTGTTGGCATATAGAAATGCTACTGATTTTTGTATGTTGATTTTGTATCCTGGAACTTTACTGAATTGGGTTATCATTTCTAATAGTTTTTCGGTGGAGTCTTTTTTTTTTTTTTTTTTTTTGAGACAGAGTCTCACTCTGTCGCCCAGGCTGAAGTGCAGTGGTACGATCTCAGCTCACTGCAACCTCACCTCCTGGGTTCAAGCGATTCTTCTGCCTCAGCCTCCTGAGTAGCTGGGAGTACAGGTGCATGCCACCATGACCAGCTAATTTTTGTATTTTTGGTAGAGACAGGGTTTCACCATATTGGCCAGGCTGGTCTCAAACTCCTGACCTCGTGATCCACCTGCCTCGGCCTCCCAAAGTGCTGGTTGGTGGAGTCTTTAGTTTTTTCCAGATATAGGATTATAATATTTGCAAATTCAACAACACATTAAAAATGTAATGCATCGTGACCAAGTGGGATTTATCCCAGGGGTGCAGGGTTGGTTCAACATATTGATAGTGTTCTATGAAGCACAAAAGCTATTACTTTTATGAGGCCCAAATTATGTGTGTGTGTGTATATATATGTGTGTGTGTGTATTCTATTGCACACACACATCAATTTTTGCTTTTGCTGTCATATGTAAGAATTCTTTTTTCCTTTTGTTTTTTGAATAGAGACGAGGGTCTCACTATGTGGCCCAGGCTGGTCTCAAACTCCTGACCTCAAGTGATCTTCCCACTTTGGCCTCCCAAAGTACTGGGATTACACGCATGAGCCACCACACTTGGCTGCATATGTAAGGATTCTTTTTTATTTTTTGAGATGGAGTCTCACTCTGTCATCCGGGCTAGAGTGAAGTGGCATGATCTCAGTTCACTGCAACCTCCACCCCCCCGGGTTCAAGTGTTTCTCCTGCCTCAGCCTCCTGAGTAGCTGGGATTACAGGCATGCACCACTATGCCAGGCTAATTTTTTGTATTTTTAGTACAGATGGGGTTTCACCACGTTGGCCAGACTGGTCTCAAACTCCTGACCACAGGCTGTCCGGCCCCCTCGGCCTCCCAGAGTGCTGGGAAAACAAGCATGAGACACTGCACCCGGCCTGCATATGTAAGAATTCTTTGCCAGATCCAAGATTATCAATATTTCCCACCTTTTTTTCCTAGGATTATTATAATTTCACCTCTTATGTTTTGGTCTGTGATCTATTTCAGTGAATTACCATATATTGGGTGATGTAGGGGTCCAACTTCATTCTTTTGCATGTGGCTATCCAGTTGTCTCAGCACCAATTTATGAAAACAATAGTCTTTGCATATTCTTGGCAGCATTTTGAAAGTCATTTGAGTATATATATATATATATATACATATATATATATATGTATGTATATATATATATGTATGTATATATATATATGAGTTTATTTCTGGGATTTCAATTCTATTCCATTGATCTCATCTATTTGACATTATAATTTTGCATTTACTGGAGACTGAATGACACAAATTGTAATCAGAAAACCATGGAGTTCTTCCCAGTTTGGAGAAAGGTAACAGTCATCTGCATAGTGCAAACCATCTCAGGTTTTTCCGATGAACAGGGTGATATCTAGCCAAATCCACAGTGATTTCCCAGTTGACAAATCCAAAAGAACTATGGATGTTTAGAGGGCAATTATCCAAGTTAGAATTGCAGCAAGCTACAGACAGAGGGTATTATTTTGATTTTCATCCCAATTTAGTTAAAAATAAGGTATATGTCTGGCGGCGGTGGCTCACGCCTGTAATCCTAGCACTTTGGGAGGCTGAGGCTGGTGATTGCCTGGGCTGAGGAGTTTGAGACCAGCCTGGGCAACATGGTGAAACCCCGTCTCTACTAAAATACAAAAGAAATTAGCTGGATGTGGCGGTGTGCACCTGTAGTCCCAGCTGCTTGGGAGGCTGAGGCAGGAGAATTGCTTGAACCCAGGAGACGGAGGTTGCAGTGAGCCGAGTTTGCCACTGCACTCCAGCCTAGGCGACAGAGCGAGACTCTGTCTCTACCAAAAAAAAAAAAAGTATATTTGACATTTTCAATCTTTAATGCTTTTTTAAACAAGAGAAGTAGCTGGGTAATTTTTGTTTCAATGATCCACAAAGACCCAAAAGCCCATGAAACTGTCCGCAGGTATCATTTCCATATGGTAGACCTCCAGCACACGTTAGGGAAGATGGAAAAAAAAAAAGTTAACAGCTTTGTGTTTTACTAGAGAGCAATTAAAACCTAATTTTTGTCCAACATTTCAATGACATATATGCATCTCACTATATGTCATTGGAAATTAATGTGATATAATCATTAGTATTTCATTTGACTAGCCCCATCCAACCATACGTCCTATCTTATGAATGAAAAATTTGAAGTATAGGGAGCACAAGGTCTTGCCTACATTCCTATAGCCCACAGTGCTAATGGAATCTCTCCGTCTTTTTTTTTTTTAGATGGAATCTCACTCTGTCACCCAGGCTGGAGTGCAGTGGCGTGATCTCGGCTCACTGCAACCTCCGCTTCCCAGGTTCAAGCGGTTCTCCTGCCTCAGCCTCCCGAGTAGCTGAGACTACAGGTGCACACAACTGTGCCCAGTTAATTTTTTTGTATTTTTGGTAGAGACAGGGTTTCACCATGTTGGCCAGGCTGGTCTTAAACTCCTGAATAGAGACGCCAGAGATAAATCCATACATCTATGGTGAACTCATTTTTGACAAAGGTGCCAAGAACATACATTGGGAAAAGGACAGTCTCTTCAATAAAGAGACTGGGAAAACTGGATAACCATATGCAAAATAATGAAACAGACCTCTCTCTCACCATATACAAAAATCAAATCAAAATCAGTTAAAGACTCAAATCTAAGACCTTAAACTATGAAACTACTAAAAGAAAATATAGGGAAATTCTCCAGAACATTGGAGTGGGCAAAGATTTCTTGAGTAATACCCTACAAGCACAGGCAACCAAAGCAAAAATAGATAAAGGGGTCACATTAAGTAAAGAGCTTCTGTACAACAAAGTGAAAAGACAAGCTACAGAATGGGAGAAAATATTTGCAGACTACCCATCTGACAAGGAATTAATAACCAGAATATAGACCGGGCGCAGTGGCTCACGCCTGTAATCCCAGCATTTTGGTAGGCCGAGGCGGGCGGATCACGTGGTCAGGAGTTTGAGACCAGCCTGACCAACATGGAGAAACCCCATCTCTACTAAAAATACAAAATTGCACATGCCTGCAATTCCAGCTACTGGGGAGGCTGAAGCAAAGTGCTGGGATTACAGGCATGAGCCATCGTGCCCAGCCCCGTAATCTCTCAGTTTTGAAGTTCGAATGTGTGCCACCACCTGTACTGGGCACTGTCAAAAATAGAAAACTTGGCAGGGCACTGTGGTTCACACCCGTAATCCTAGCACTTTGAGAGGCTGAAGCGGGCGGATCACCTGAGGTCGGGAGTTTGAGACCAGGTTCACCAACATGGAGAAACCCCGTTTCTACTAAAAATACAAAATTAGCCGGGTGTGATGGTGCATGCTTGTAATCCCAGCTACTCGGGAGGCTGAAGCCGGAGAATTGCTTGAACCCAGGAGGCGGAGGTTGTGGTGAGCTGAGATGGCGCCACTGCACTCCAGCTGGGGCAACAAGAGTGAAATTCTGTCTCAAAAAAAAAAAAAAACAAAAAAACTCAGAACACTGCAGGTACTGTATCAATGTTTACAAATAAGTCGTCAAATTTGAAAACAGGACTAATAAGACTACTTTGTGTTCCATTTATATGACATTCTGAAAAAGGCAAAGGTATAAAATTGTAAAAGAGAATAGTGGTTAAGAGTGGAGGAGTGGGCCGGGCGTGGTGGCTCACGCCTGTAATCCCAGCACTTTGGGAGGCCAAGGGGGGGCGGATCACAAGGTCAGGAGATCGAGACCATCCTGGCTAACACAGTGAAACCCCAGCTCTGCTAAAAATACAAAAAAAATTAGCCGGGTGTGGTGACAGGCGCCTGTAGTCCCAGCTACTCGGGAGGCTGAGGCAGGAGAATGGCGTGAACCTATGATCAGGAGTTCGAGACCAGCCTGGCCAACATGGTGAAACCCGGTCTCTACTAAAAATACAAAAATTAGCTGGAGTGGTGACGGACACCTGTAGTCCCCAGCTACTCAGGAGGCTGAGGCAGGAGAATCGCTTGAACTCAGGAGGTGGAGTTTGCAGTGAGCTGAGATTTCGCCACTGCAGTCCAGCCTGGGTGACAGGGTGAGAGTCTGTTTCAAAAAAGAAGTGAAAATCAATTGGGAAGAGATCTAGGAATTTAATCAAGATATAGTGTAGACTGTAGGCCTACTGTTTTTCAGGAGATAACTGGAGAATAAGATTTTTCGGGCCAGGCGTGGTGGCCCAGGCCTGTAATCCCAGCACTTTGGGAGGCCGAGGTGGGCGGATCACCTGAGGTCAGGAGTTCAAGTCCAGCCTGGCCAACATGGTGAAACCCTGTCTCTATAAAGAATACAAAAAAATTAGCTGGGCATGGTGGCAGGTGCCTGTAATCCCAGCTACTCGGGAAGCTGAGCCAGGAGAATCACTTGTACCTGGGAGGCAGAGGTTGCAGTGAGCCGAGACTGTGCCACTGCACTCCAGCCTAGGCAACAAGAGTGAAACTCCGTCTCAAAAAAAAAAAAAAAAAAAAAAAGATTTTTTGGGGGAGGGAGGGGGATCTGCAGGTGTCATATCAAAATAGAAATTATTTCTTTAAGCTGGGCATGCTAGTGCACACCTGTAGTCCCACTTACTTGGGAGGCTGAAGCAGTCCAGCCTGGGTAACATAACAAGATTACATCTTAAAAAAACAAAAACAGAAAACAGAAAAATGAACAGAGCCTGAGAAATATGCAGGACACTATTTAGTTGACCAATATGTGTGTAATAGAATTTCCCAAAGGAGAGGAGAAGAGTCTGGCAGCTCTTCAAAGATTAAAGATAGAATTACCATGTAACCCATCGATTCCATTCCTAAGTGTATTCCCAAGACAAATGAAATCCTATGTCTACAGAAAAACTTGTACATGGATGTTTATAGCAACCTTATTAATAACAACTAAAAGGTGGATACAAACCAAATGCCTATTAATGGATGAATGGATAAACAAAATGGGCTATATTGGTACAATGAAATATTGTTTTACTGTAAACAACAAATGAAGTATTGATACAAACTTCAATGTAAATGTCCCTTGAAACAGTTATGCTAAGTGAATGAAGTTAATCTCACAAAGAACACATAGTATATGATTCCATTCCAAGTCTACAATGGGAAAGCTATATAGCAACTGAAAGTAAATTAATGGTTGCTTAGGACAGAGGCTTGGAGGAGGAAGATGGGAAGATAGGACAGTGACAGCCAAAGGCTACAGGGGTTTCCTTTTTTTTTCCTTCCTTCCTTCCTTCTTTCCTTCCTTCCCTCCTTCCCTCCTTCCCTCCTTCCCTCCTTCCCTCCTTCCCTCCTTCCTTCCTTCCCTCCCTCCCTTCCTTCCTTCCTTCCTTCTGACAGGGTCTCACTCTGTCACCCAGGCTGGAATGCAGGATCACAGTTGACTGTAGCCTTGACCTCCTGGGTTCAAACAATCCTCGGGCCTCAGCCTCCCCAGTAGCTGGGACTACAGGTGTGCACCACCATGCCCTGCTAATTTTTAAAAAATTTTCTTAGAGATGGGGGAGGGGGGGGCCTCACTATGTTGCCCAGGCTGATCTCAAACTCCTGGGCTCAAGCAGCCCTCCCACCTAAGTTTCCTAAAGTGCTGGAACTACAGGTGTGAGCCATCATGCCCTGCCCATTAGTAGGTTTGATCCAATATCTTAAGTATATTGAGTTTCCTAGTACATGCCAAATTTACATAATCTTTTGTGGTTTTTTAAATAATCTCAGTGAAAATGGAATTAATTGCCTTATCGATATCATAGCCATTTACATTTCAAAATTCTCTAGGGGCTGGGTGCAGTGGCTCATGCCTGTAATCCTAACACTTTGGGAGGCTGAGGCCAGCAGATCACTTGAGCCCAGGAGTTCAAGATCAGCCTGGGTGAGATAGTGAGATGCTGTTTCTACAAAATAAAAATAAAAAGAAAGAAAGAAATTAGTCAAGCATGGTGGCACGTGCCTGAGGTTCCAGCTACTCAGGTGGCTGAGGTGGGAGGATTGCTTGAGCCCAGAAGGTCGAGGCTGCAGGGGGCTCTGATTGCACCACTGCATTCCAGCCTGAGGGACAAAGAAGGGCCCTGTCTCAAAAACAAAAACCACAAACCAAACAAACATAAAGGATCCACAAAAGTTCTCTAGGGACATAGTCAAAAACTGGTCCGAAATAAATATCCTTCCAGTGTTCAGTTTTACTGAACACATCTCATGGCTTTGGGTTTAACTGAATAATTCCTCACTGGGCACGGTGGTTCATGCCTGTAATCCCAACACTTTGGGAAGCCAAGGAGCATCACCTGAGCCCAGGAGTTCGAGACTAGCCTGTGCAACATAGTGAGACCACCCCACCACCGCCATCTCTACCGAAAAAAAAAAAAAAAGGAACTCCTTCTCTCAGACTAGGGCTGTGGGGTCCAAACTTCCCACTAGAGCAAAGTGTGGGGGGAGGGAAGGGATGGGTGACGGCCTAAACCCTGTCAGTTGTCAAAGATTAAAACGTAGTCACTCTTTGTTAGGTATGATGAGGTCACTCTGTCACTCTAAGTGTCTGTATTTGTAAACAAGAGTCAGAAATCCATGAATGGCCTCGCAGCCTTATGCTAAGTCTGGGAGCGTCTGACCCTTCCGTTCTAGTCTGGCATGGCCCGGGCGTCCTTTTTCGCTGTGGACAAAGAGCCTTTTTCTGGAAACTGAGCCTGGAATTTCCTGCGCTGTGCACGCTTGTGTCTCCGCGCTCAGAAGGAGCTGCAGGAAGACACCAGTGCCCGACCCCGGGTACGTTAACAAATTCTGCTTAGACGCAAATATCCGTGGCAGGGGAACAGATTCCTGACCCCGGACGAATGCAGGTTGCTTAGAGACGCGACTTCCCTACTAGCTGTCACTCAGGCAACGAAGGCGGGTCCAAGAGTGCAATGTCCAATCAGGGGCGCCGCCGGGAAGGCGGGCGGAGGGGCGCTGCGCAAACGGCGAGGGCGTGGCTACCAGCCGCTGCGCTCCGCTCTGGGGTCTCCTCACCCCAGAAGGCCCTCAGGTGGAGGAAGGGCCTCAGGTGGAGGTAGGACCTGTGCTGGCCGCGGGAGAGGTAAACAGAACACCAGGACATCCCAGAGTCTGGGAAATGGTAAGTGTGCGGGGCTGGGGGTCTTGAGATGGGAGAGAGGGGCGGGTTGAAACCGGCCGGATCTGGCTGTGGTGGGACCCAGGCCTCCCCGCCGTTGTCTCCCGGGTCTGTGGACCCGAGTCCTCCTGGCGCAGCTCGGCCCTCGGTCTCTTTGGCCGCAGGATGGGGCTGGGCCGGCAGCCGGGACCCCGGACGTCTTGTCAAGTCCCTGCGCGGCGACTGCGGCCCCAGTCCCGGAGCCCTCTCTGGGCAGCTCCGAGCCCGCAGCCTCGCGTCTCCCCAGATTGTGCTGGGGCACGGGAGGGTCATGGAGGGAATCCCGTCTCGGTCGTGGGGTTCGTGCGTGGGAGGAGCAGTGTTGTGTGGGGTCCTCAGTCCCTCTTTTCTTCCCAAGGGAGGACTCGTTTCTCAAGGTTTCCAAGTGTATGGGAAGCCAGATCTCAAACCCACGACCGTGTCCTCCAGCCTGGCTCTTCCCAGAGCTGGGATTAAATCCCTAAATTTCTAGATCTCTTTCAAATGCCAATGTCTTCTCTCCAGTTCACAACGTCGTTATTTCAACCAGACGCAGTATTTTAATTATCCTTTTTGTACAGAGGAATGGATGGTTCTTTTAAAAAGATTTAACGTATGCTTTGGGGTATTTATATGAGAGGAAAACAGAGGAGAAGGACTTGAAGCTACCTCGTGTAAAATGCTTGTGCCTCTCTTGCCAGTATCTCTCCTGGGACCTGACATCCTATGGGAACTCCTTTGGGTTGAGTCTCCTTTTTGGAAACTTTTCTGGGAGATCTGTCCTTTCCAGCGCAGCACTTCCCCTCCCTGGGCTTATCACCTTGAAAAGATTTACTCACTTAATTGATTCTCAAAAAATGTAAAATATACGTAATTAGGAGACCTACAGCCCAGCCAACATGGCGAAACCCCGTCTCTACTAAAAATATAAAAAATTAGCCGGGCGTGGTGGTGCACATCTGTAATCACGGCTACTCAGGAGGCTGAGGCAGGAGAATCACTTGAACCCGGGAGGCAGAGGTTGCAGTTGAGATGAGATTGCGCCACTGCACTACAGCCTCGGCGACAGAGTGAGACTCTGTCTCAAAAAAATAAAAAAATAAAATAAAATAAACCTTTAGAGTGGATGTAAAATATTTCCAAAGAGGCAAGAAAGAGATGGGTTTCAGAAAATAATAAAATATCAAGCTAGGAGCGTTGGCTCACGCCTGTAATCTCAGCACTTTGGGAGGCTGAGTCAGGAGGATCGCTTGAGCTCAGGAGTTCAAGACCAGCCTAGGTGACATAGAGAGACCTCATCTCTACTAGAAAAAAAAAAAAAAAAAAAAAAAATTAGCTGGGCGTAATGGCCTGCACTTGTAGTCCCAGCTACTTGGGAGGCCGAGGCGGGAGGATTGCTTGAGCCTGGGAAGTTGAGGCTGCTTTGAGCCTTGATCATGCCACTGCACTCCAGGCTGAGCAAGGTCTCACACCTTGTCTCAAAAACAGAAAATAATAATAATGAAATATCCCAGTATGATATTGCATTTATTAAAAATTTTTGTTTCTCTTTTTTTCTTCTGAGAATGTATAGCAAGTTCCTCAGGTCTGTTCTTTCCTTTTCGGTGATTTCAAATGGAATTCCATTCTGGGCTCAGGTTATCCACCTGCCTCAGCCTCCCCTTTGATTTCTTCAAACACAGGGTTTGTCTCATGTAAATATCAGTAGTGGTCCAGGTCACTTGACTGGAGAGCAAAGAGGACTCAGGTCAGTGACTCCAAGCTCTAAGACCAACCCTTGGGTCTCCCAAGGGATGTAATCGAAGGCCCAGTTGTTTCTTCCTAGGGAGCCTCCCCTGCAGGTGTCCTACCTGCTCATACCTACTGTGGAAGGAGCCCTTTGTACTGAGAGAAGCTGCTGAGCACTGGAAAGCTGGGGATCTGAATGCACGTTGGGGGATTGGCTGAATCCAGTGATGCCCTTCCTGAGGGCATAATTGTGGTTTCCTTGGGCCTATTTTTAGACATTAGGTTTGAGTTTTGCATCTGTTGTGTAGGTGCACTCAGTGTAATTTTTCTATAGTGAGAAAGTCTGTAAAGGCCAGGAGATCTGTCTCCTGGACACAGGATGAATGAACTGGGGAGTTCATTTGGGTCAGAACCTTAATCTCAGTCCAGTTGAGAGTTTCCTCACTTACAACAATTGAAGGGGCGATTTCCCTGTCACCAGGGGTGAGGGAATGTGTGGAGCTCGCTGAGTTCATTCCTTTGGCTCCTCAGGTGCCCCTGCCCTCTGTCACCAGGGACTGTCTCACTCTAAAGGTTGTTGCCCAACAGCAAGAATGTGGGCCCCAAGCTTGTGTATGTGTTTAGCTTTCTGAGTGTGGGTTTTCCTTCTGAATTGTGGAGAAGCAGTCTGCTAGTCTGAGCTGACTTGAGAGGGAGAGGGAGAGAGAGAGGGAGAGGGAGAGGGAGCGTGTGTGTGTGTGTGTGTGTGTGTGTGTTTGTGTGTGTGTGTGTGTATTTTAGAGGTGGGTTCTCACTTTGTTGGCCAGGCTGGTCTCAAACTGCTGGCCTCAAACAGTCCTCCCACCTTGGCCTCTCAAAGTGCTGGGATTACAGATGTGGCTTGGCTTTCCTTTCCCTTTCCTTTCCTTCTTCCTTTCCTTTCCTTCTTCCTTTCCTTTCCTTCTTCCTTTCCTTCCTCCTTTCTTTCTTTCCCCTTCCTTCCTTCCCTTTTTTTTTTTTTTAAGTCAGTGTCTCACTCTGTCACCCAGACTAGAGTGCAGTGGTGTGATCATAGCTAACTGTAACCTCGAACACCTTTCTTGGCTCAAATGATCCTCCCACCTCAGCTTCCCAAGTACCTAGGACTACAGGTGTGCACTGTCACACCTGAATTTGTAAATTTTTTGTAGATCCTCACTGTGTCCAGGCTGGTGTTTTTTTTTCCCTTTGGATTCCTTTATTTGCTGACTATTACAGCAGCTGAATTCTAGTTTCTGTTAACACTTTTTAATGTTATTCCATATGTGAGTGTGTTAAATTTTGTTTCTTGGGTTTGAAAATGTAAGTCGATTGAAAGGTATGATGCAACTAAGGCAAGAAAATTCTGAAACCAGGCCGGGTGTGGTGGCTCACGCCTGTAATTTCAGCGCTTTGGGAGGCTGAGGCAGAAGGATCACTTGAGGTCAGAAGTTCGAGACCAGCCTGGCCAACTTGGTGAAACCCTGTCGCTACTAAAAATATAAAAATTAACCAGACATGTAATTTTTGGTGGGTGGCTGTAATCCCAGCTACTCGGGAGGCTGAGGCAGGAGAATTGCTTGAACCCCGGGTTGCAGGGGAGGTTGCAGTGAACCGAGATTGTGCACTGCAATCCAGCCTGGGCAACAGAGCAGGACTCCATCTCAAAACAAAAAAAAAGAAAACTCTGGAACCAAACAGAATATTTGTTTCTTTTAGGCAAGAGAACCTCAAGATAAGAGATGAATGTATTTACATTCTCAGGTACATTTTTCATTTTTAGATCGGTTTTTGTATGTGCATGTCATAGAGTACTTGGAAATTTAAAAGAGGCCAGGCATCGTGGCTCATGCCTGTAATCCCAGCACTTTGGGAGGCTGAGGCAGGTGGATTGCTTGAGCCCAGGAGTTTGAGACTAGCGTGGGCAACATGGCGAAACCCTGTCTCTACAAAAAAAAAAAAAAATTAGCCAAGTGTGGTAATTTTAGCTGGGTGTAGTCCCAGCTACTCAGGAGGCTGAGATGGGAGGATCCCTTGAGCCTGGGAGGCAGAGGTGGCAGTGAGCCAAAATTGAGTCAGTGTGCTTCATTCAGCCTGGGCGACAGATTAAAACCCTGTCTCAAGAAACAAAAACAAAAACGAAAAAACCTCAAAGTCCATATGATTCCTATTGCAAATGAATTTCCACTGGAACTGAAAGGAAAATGCAATTGAACTTTTTTTTTTTTTTTTGAGACGGAGTCTTGCTCTGTCGCCCAGGCTAGAGTGCAGTGGCGCGATCTCGGCTCACCGCAAGCTCTGCCTCCCAGGTTCACGCCATTCTCCTGCCTCAGCCTCCTGAGGAGCTGGGACTACAGGCGCTCGCCACCACGCCCGGATAATTTTTTGTATTTTTAGTAGAGACGGGGTTTCACCGTGTTAGCGAGGATGGTCTTGATCTCCTGACCTCATGATCCACCCGCCTCGGCCTCCCAAAGTGCTGGGATTACAGGCGTGAGCCACTGCACCTGGCCTGAACTTCTTTATTTGGTAGAATAACTACTCAAAGCTTATATATATATTTGAAAATCCTAACATACTTAAGATAAAATGCTAATGCATTATAATATGCTACTCCTTCCCAATAGCACCTCCCAGTGTGAGATGGTAGGACACATAATAATGCACCTTGTCATTATAGTTAGAAAGAGATTTGAAAGTTTTTCACTTTTGTAATTGTCAGTGCTTAAAGTATTAAGTTTTTGTTTGTTTTTTTTTTAAAAAACAGGGTCTCGCTCTGTTGTCCTAGTTAGAGTACAGTGGCACAATCATAACTCACTACAGCCCTGAACTCCTTTCACCTCTGCCTCCCAAGTAACTAGAATTACAGACATGAGCCACCATGCCCACCTAATTATATATATATATTCTTTTTTGTAGAGACAGGGTCTCACTCTCTTGACCAGATTGGTCTTGAACTCCTGGCTTCAAGCAATCCTCTCAACTTGGCTTACCAAAATTCCCTAGTATGAGCCACCACACCCAGCTGGATTCAGTCTTTTTTTTTGAGACAGAGTCTCACTCTGTCACCAGGCTGGGGTGCAGTGGCACAATCTCAGCTCACTGCAGTCTCCTACTCCCAGGTTCAAGCAATTCCCCTGCCTCAGCCTCGCGAGTAGCTGGGACTACATGCGTGCACCACCACGCCCGGCTAATTTTTTTGTATTTTAGTAGAGACGAGGTTTCACCATGTTGGCCAGGATGGTCTCGATTTCCTGATCTCGCGATCCACCTGCCTTGGTCTCCCAAAGTGCTAGGATTACAGGCGTGAGCCATCGCACCCGGCCTGGATTAAGTCTTAGGATTGTTTCATACGTAGAAAATTTTAATCAAAATTTAAAAAGCAAAAGTAAGTTGATTAAAAATGAAGATTATTAAGTAGTAAAATATGGCTTATTTAAATTTAGCTGTTTATTTTAAAGAAATCATGCATGTGGAAGTTAGAAAAAAATCCACAATAGTTGAGTCTAACTTGAAAAGACTCACTGCCAGCATATTCTGGTCCAGTCCAGCCAGGGCACTTGCTCTAGCCACCCCCCAAATACTCACTTTTGATAATTTTTTATTTTTTTTGAGATGGGGTCTTGTTCTGTTGCCCAGGCTGGAGTACAATGACATGATGATAGCTCATTGCAGCCTCAACCTCCTGGGCTCAAGTGATCTTCCCACCTCAGCCTCTTCAGTAGCTGGGACTACAGGTGTGTGCTGCCACTCCCAGCTAATTTTTAAATTTTTTGTAGTGATGGAGTCTTACTATGTTGCTCAGGCTAGTCTTGAACTCCTGGGCTCAGGCAATCCTCCTGCCTCAGCCTGTCAAAGCACTGGTGTTATAGGTATAAACCACTGTGCCTGGCCTTTTAATAATTTCTTAAGCATACTGTCAGTGTTTCTTTTTATAAAAATAAGCAATTGCAAATGCATGTTTTTCATACTCATGTTGGTTCTGTAATGAGTAGTTGGACTCTGCATGTTTTGATTTTGGCTGTGCACATCATAAGCGTCACCCTTCTCTCTTCTCCTCGTGCTGCACACCTGGGCAAGCTGAAAAAGTCTGGGAGCAGGAAATTCAAACCACAGAAGCTCCTGCCCTTGAGCAGGTACTCTCTTGTAGCCCCACCCCCAAACTACAATAAAAACCCAGGCCAGGAGGCTTTCTTTGCTCTCTGAAGCTATGTCACACCTGCTTGGGCAGCCTGCCCTGCTTTCCCCAAGACCTCAATGATCACAGTAGTGAGTCTTTTCATACCCTTTGGTGTCTGTTCTCCACGCTGTTATTAGTGTCAACATTGGAACGACACAGGAATTGTTACCATGAGCATGGTGTTCAGACATTGACTGTCACCCCATGGGTCTGTCTTCTCTTGCACTGAATTGCTACCTGCTCTGTTGCCTGATGGCCAGCATGCACTTTCAGCTGCTGCTTTCTGGGAAGCTACTACTTTGAGTTGTGCTACTCTGTGCTGCATGTTGAGCCCTGCCAAGTCTGGGTTCTATGTTTAGCCAACTGGAGTTGGCCGTTTTGATAATTCCTTGGCTTTTTTGAAGAGGAATATGAGATTTGATACTCCTTAAAGTGGTCCTGGGTAGTGTTTCTTGGCCTGGACTTATCTGTGTGTTTTAGAGTGAAGCTGTGACTGCTGCTGACCTGGCATACAAGGTGCTCATGGGAAAGACTACCTGCCAGAGCAGTCATTTTTGAAAAAGAGACAAAAGAGAGGGGGAAAGGCAGCTGTTAGATGGTGGGCCGAGTCCACACTCCTAATAGCACAGGGCTCCCAAGGACCCTTAAGTGTTGCTGCTGTTGCTCTATTGCAGCAAGGATGCTGACCCTCAGGATTATAGGGCACACTCATGTTTCCTCTGCAGCATTGCAAAGGGTTCATTCAAAGCCAGCTTAAGGCCCAGGTGCTTAAACTTTATAAAGCAACCATGAGGGACAGGCCCCTAAGCCTGATAATAGTGATTTGTGGCTCTCTGGAGGGAAAAGAACACCCCTCCCCTGTAGAGAGGATTTTGCTGTCAAAATATATCCAGGGACAAAAACAAAAACAAAACAAACATGTTAGGAAGGAAAGGAACAAAAGAAAAAAATGCTGAAAAAGAGGTCCACAATTTGACCCAATTGGAAATTCCAAATAGACTAAAGGAATTTAGACGGCAAAAAAGATAAAAGAGCCTCTATATCATAGGTTCTGTATTAATTTTAACATCTTATGTAATGTATTAATTAACACACTATAGGATTAGCCAATACAAGGGCTCAAATTATGGTTATACCTGGGAGACCCACTAAAATTTAAGCAAGGTATCCCCTGATAATCTTAAGGGAGTTACTGAATATAAAATAGAAGACAAATAAGTATGTCTCATCTTAGCCATCATAACTGTGCCTAAATTCCCCATGTTCATGGCACCCAGTGTCCTAAAATACGCCAGAATGAACAGGTAAACTCTAAACCAGTGAGTCATAAGTGAAATTTAAATTAAATCTTTGGCACTTACAAACTGGCTTGACAGAATGAGACCCTGTGGAACTTACTCCCCAGTTAAATTAGTTATGATGGCTCAATATAAATTGAACAGGGCCTTGAAGGGTTGAAAAGTATTATGTAAAACTTGTTTAGTGAGGAAGTGATTATTCCCCGTGCTTCTCGTTTTAAAAGTACAGTTTGGCCTTTCTTAAACTTGGAGAGAATGAATGGCAACCCACAATGGATTACCATAACCTTAATGCTGTGGTCCCACCCATTAAGCCCCTATACCAATATCCAACATGGAAATTACTGACACCATCCAGCTGATCTCACAGATTTCACCATCTCACAGGCTAATTATATAACTTTACCTAGTTTCCCAAGGGAACCTCAACAGCCTTGCTGTTGCACAGTCTTTGCAGGCAAAATCTGAACTGCATCCACCTTTCTCTAGAACACAGGTATGATATTACATTAATGACAGCCTTGTCTGAGGACATTGTTTTGGCATTCATTCAGGACACATAAATACTGAAAAAAAAAATAGAGCTTACAAAAAGTCCATTGCCCCATATATAAAATAAGAGACCTTTATGTTTTGGTTAAGTTCCTAAAAACCATTTGGTAAAAGGAGGGCCGCTCCATCCCTGACACTACTATGAAATAGCTATTGTCCCTCTGACTACCCACAGCATCTTCTAGGTTCTTTTGATGTTCTGGAGGCAACATATTCCTTGTTTATAAATTTTACTTAACCACTTTATGCTGTTAATTGCAAATTGGCCCACCTTAAGTGGGTCCCCCTACCGCAAAAGGCTCTAGAGTCTTTTTCATTCTCTTAACACAGAGCTTTCATAGAGAAGGAGCTTTTGCATTTTAATGAAGTCAAACTTACTGATTTATTTTGTATGGATTTTGCTTATATCTAAACATTTGTCACCAAACCCAGGGTCACCTAGATTTTCTTCATTAACTTTTAGTATCCTATAACTTTACTTTTTTTTTTTTTTTTGAGGCAAGTTCTCCCTCTTGCCCAGGCCAGAGTGCAGTAGTGCAATCTTGGCTCACTGCAGCCTCAACCTCCTGGGCTCAAGCACTCCTCCCACTTCAGCCTCCTGAGTAGGTGGGACTACAAGCGTGCACCACCACACCTGGCTAATTTTTGTATTTTTTGTAGAGATGGGGTCCTACTTAGTTGCCCAGGCTGGTCTCAAACTCCTGACTTCAAGCTATCCTCCTGCCATGGCCTCCCAGAGTGCTGGGATTACAGGCATGAGCCACTGCTCCTGGCCTAGATTTTACATTTAGTTCTGTGATCCATTTTGAGCCAGTTTTTGTTTAAGGTGTAACGTCTGTTTCTAGATTTGTGTTTTTTTCATTGTGTTTTGCATGTGGATGTTCAGTTTTTCCAACACTGTTTGTTGAAAAAGGCTATCTTTTTTCATTGAATTGCTGTTGGTCATTTGTTGAAAATCAGATGACTCAGTGAGTCTATACTATACTAATGTGAGTCTGTAAGAAGGCAATTGACTTTTGTATATTAAGATTATATCCTCAACCTCTAGTTTGAGGAGTTTGTTGTGGATTCTTTGAGATTTTCTACTTAGACAATCATGTCACATGCGACAAAGACAGTGATATTTCTTTGTTCCCAATCTATATCTCTTCTCTCCTCTCCTCCCCTCTCCTCTCATTAGTTACACTTTGAGTACAATCTGTTGAGTAGGAGTGGTAAGAGGGGACATCTTTGCCCATTTCCTCATCTTACCAGGAAAGCATCTATTTTCTCACTATTAAATATGATATTAGCTGCAGGTTTCCTATAAATACTGCTTCTCAAAAAGAGGAAAGTCTATCTCCAGTTTCTTATCATAAATGCATGTTGGATTTTGCCCATAGCTTTTTCATTTTTATTTTTCCCACTTACATTTGTGATATTAGTAATTTCTGTTCTCTGTTTTTCAGTTAGCTTAACCATACATTTATCAAATATATTGATCTTTTCAAAGAAACACCTTTGGTTTTGTTTAATTTCTCTTTTTACTATTTCTTCTGTTGTGTGCTTACTTTGGGTTTAATTTGCTCATATTTTCTTGCTTTCCTCATGTAGATGCTTAGATTTTTTTTTTTTTTTTTTTTTTTTTAAGACGGAATCTCACTCTGTTGCCCAGGCTGGAGTACAGTGGTGCGATCTTGGCTCACTGCAACCTCCGCATCCTGGGTTCAAGCGATTCTTCTGCCTCAGCCTCCCAAGTAGCTGGGACTACAGGTGCCCACCACCATGCCCGGCTAATTTTTGTATTTTTAGTAGAAACAGGGTTTTGTCACTTTGGACAGGCTGGTGTCCAACTCCCGACCTCAGGTGATCTGCCTGCCTCAGCCTCCCAAAGTGCTGGGATTACAGGTGTTAGCCACTGTGCCTGGCCAGGATTTACATCTTTTTAATATTCAGTGTCCATTTTACAAGTTATGGTAGCTATAGTCACTTTAAATACTTTCATCTTTTAGCTTTTATACTAGAGTTGAAAGTGATGTTTGTACCACCATTATGTATAAGAATATTCTGGATTTGACTATACTTTTGCCTTTACCCATGAGTTTTATACTTTCATATCTTTTTGTGTTGCTAATTAGCTTAACACTTTGAATGTATTGTCCCACTCTCTTGACATCCAAGGTTTCTGCTAAGACATATATTTATAGTCTTACAGGTGTTGGTGAGGATTTAGAGAAAAGGGAACCTTGGTATACTGTTGGTAGAAGTTTAAATTTAAATTGATACAGGCATTATGGATAATAGCATAGATGTTTATCAGAAAATTAGAAAAGGAATTGCTACATGATCCAGCACTCTGCTTCTCCATATTTATCTAAAGGAATTGAAATCAACATCTTGAAGAGATATGTGCACTCCCATGTTCATTGCATCATTGTTCACAACAGCCAAGATATGTAAACAACCTAAATGTGTGTCAACAGATGAATGTGTGATGTTTACATAAAATAAAATATGATTTAGCCTTTAAAAAAAGGAAATCCTGCCATTGACAACACCATTGATGGACGTAGGGGACATTATGCTCAGTGAAATAAGCCAAACAGAAAGGCACATTCTTTGTAGTCTCACTTATATATGTAATCTAAAATAATCAAACTCATAGAAGCATAGAGTAGAATGGTAATTTGCAGGGGAAGGGGGAAATGGGGAGATGAAGCTGAAGAATACAAAGCTTCAGTTATGCAGATAAATGAGCTTTGAAGATCTACTATATGGCATAGTACCTATAGCTAACAACACAATGATTTTATAGTTAAACATTCCTTTTAAAAATGTTTAAAAATTTGTATTCATTTTTAAGATGGGATCGTGCCCCATTATCCAGGCTGGAGTGCAATGGCACAATCGTGGCTCACTGCAGCCTCAAACTCCTGGGCTCAAGCAATCCTCCTGTCCCAGCCTCTTAAGTACCTGGGACTACAGGCAAATGCCACCACACCCACCTAAGATTTTTACATTTTTTTCTAGAGATGTGATCTCACTATGTTGCCTAGGCTGGTCATGAATTCCTGGCATCAAGTGATCCTCCCACCTTGGCCTCCCAAAGTGCTGGGGTTATAGGTGTGAGCCACTGTGCCTAGTCTTAAAATTTCTAAAATAGATATTATGTTGTATTCTTAACACATAGAGAGACACACAAATAGTAATAATAATGAAGGGGGAAAGAAACTTTTGTGATGAATATGTCTATGTCCTTATGATACTGAGGGCTTCATAGGTGTATACTTATCCCCAAACTCATTGAGTTGTATACATTAAATATGTACAACTTTTTCATGTCAATCATTGCCTCAATAAGTGATTTAAAAATATAAATTTATAGGTGAGCTTTGGTCAGTCATTAATTAGTCTATTGATGTTCTCCTCTGGCTTATCTCCATCCTGCTTCATAGATGGCCACAGTCTTGATTATTTGATTATTCTTTATACCTTTATCTTCCATTTCACTATGTGATGTTCTTTTAGTTGAGCCTTATTTGAACTTTAAATACATGAGTATTAGTGGAATTAACAATGAAAAGGTTTTTGAGTGGTTTTGCCTCTGTGTTTCACATGATAGTGACAGGCTGGGGGAATCCAATTTTATCATCCAATCCATTGATGGTGGTGTTTGGGCTTTTTCCAGTTCATTTTTTGCTCTTGTGAAAAATACTGATCCTATTGTTTTGGTATCTGTGTCTAAGTACAAATACACAATAACTTCTCTGGATGTTGGAGAAAAATCACTGTGCTATAGATTATGGTCAAGTTCAAATATACAGGAAATAGCAATGGAGTGTATCAGTTGATCTTTCTTCCATTCATGCATAACTATTTGTCTATTGGCAGTGGTCATCAATACTTGGGAGTAGCTAATTGACTGATTTTTGTCCTTCTAATATGTAAGAAATTGGATCTATTTGGTATTTCATTTGGCTGTATCAAGGAAGGAGCGAGATGTACCTTTTCCTTTTTTTTTTTGAGACAGAGTCTCACTCTGTCACCCAGGCTGGAGTGCAGTGGCGCGATCGTGGCTCACTGCAACCTCCACCTCCCATGCTCAAGCAATCCTCGTGTCTTGGCTACCTGAGTAGCCAGGATTACAGGCCCGTGCCACCACACCTGGCTAATTTTTGTATTTTTTGTAGAGACAGAGTTTCGCCATGTTGGCCAGGCTGGTCTCAAACTTCTAACCTCAAGTGATCTGCTCGCCTCGACCTTCCAAAGTTCTGGGATTACAGGCGTGAGCCACCGTGCCCAGCCAGACCTTTTTTCATATATATGGTGTGTCATCCTCTCTTAAATATGTTTTCATTATTTTTCCTTTTTTTTTTTTTTTTTTGAGATGGAGTCTCGCTCTGTCGCCGAGGCTGGAGTGCAGTGGCACGATCTGGGCTCGCTGCAACCTCCACCTCCCGGGTTCAAGCAGTTCTCCTGCCTCAGCCTCCCAAGTAGCTGGGATTACAGGTGCCCACCACCATGCCTGGCTAATTTTTGTATTTTTAGTAGAGATGGGGTTTCACCATGTTGGCCAGACTGGTCTTGAACTCCTGACCTTAGGTGATCCACCCGCCTTGGCCTCCCAGAGTGTTGGGATTACAGATGTGAGCCACCGTGCCTGGCCTGTGTTTCCGTTTTTAAATCATGTGTTCACTTTTTATTTATTTGGCTATTTTATTACTTATTTATTGACAGAGTCTTGCCCTGTTACCCAGGCTGGTGTGATAGCTTACTGCAGCCTCTAACTCCTGGGTTCATATGATCCTCCTGCCTCAGCTTCCTGAGTAGCTAGGACTACAAGTGTGAGCCATCATGCCTGACTGTTCATTTATTTTTACTCTGCATACTAGTTCATTTATATTGCATGTATGTCACATATTTTTTTCCTGCTTTGTGATTTGTCTTTTAACTTTCTTGATTTTAGTATGTTTGAACTTTTCAGTCTCATCCTTTATGGCTTACTCTTACATGAGAAAATTCTCCCTACTCTTGCATTTAAAAAAGTTTGCCTGTGACTTTTGAAACAGTTTTAATTATATTATTCACATTTAAATCTACATTAAATTGATTATTGTCTATGGAAAAGAGCTGATGCAATGCTTTTTCCAGTTAGACAACAGTGTGTCCCTTCTGCATATATTGAAGTGTTAGTGATCTCTTCCACTACCCTACAATGGTTGCTCTATCATTAATCAATTTTCCTTATAAATGCCAGTCCATTGAAGACACTTTTCCCCTCCCTTGTTCTATTTAGCTCTCTGTGTGTCATGCTGTTTGGAGTGTTAATAGTTTGAAAATCCTTGATACATACTAGGCAAGTATTTATGTTGCTCTTCAAAAGACTTTACCCATTGTTTGACATTTATTGTTCCTCTTAGGTTTGGAAAAGTAGTTTTTCTTGACTATTTTAGGGATTTGTAGAATTTTATAAGTCTATTTTAAGAATTTTATAAGTCTATTTTAGGGATTTGTAGAATTTTATAAAGATATCATTTGGGAGCAGTGGCATCTTGTTGACACTGAGTTTGTTCTGAGAACATGTACCAACTTCCACCTTAATTTAATTCTGCTTTGACATTACCCAATAACATTTTTAAAATTAGGATTATTAAATATCCTTTATTAGCCTTATTTAGTCATAGTTGGTGTGGAGGAAAGCAGATGCAACCAAGCCTTTAAATGTTCTTTCCTGATGTAATCACATGGAATGGGCTCAATTCCCCAAGCAACAAGTTGTGATATGATATATTGTCTGCTAGGGAAGCTCATTAGAGACCCAGTGCTCACAGTGCTTTTGGGGGGCGGATCAAGTAGGCATCCTCTGCCTGGCATGTGAAAAAGTCCAGACTCTAAGAAGGAAAAAAGGAGTTCAATATATACTCTATTGATTCCATAAACCATTTAGGCACGCTAAGCCACTCTTTTTTTTTTTTTTTTGAGGTGGAGTCTCGCTCTGTTGCCCAGGCTGGAGTGCAGTGGCATGATCTTGGCTCACTGCAAGCTCTGCCTCCCGGGTTCACGCCATTCTCCTGCCTCAGCCTCCCGAGTAGCTGGGACTACAGGCTCCCGACATCACACTCAGCTAATTTTTTGTATCTTCAGTACAGACGGGGTTTCACTGTGTTAGCCAGGATGGTCTCGATCTCCTGACCTTGTGATCCGCCCACCTCAGCCTCCCAAAGTGCTGGGATTACAGCGTGAGCCACTGCACCCAGCCACACACTAAGCCACTCTTTATCACTTAGGTTGGCGGGGTCCCTCCCAAATTCTCACTTCCCAGATATCAGTGAAGGACAACAAATGTTTGGAGACCACAGAATCATATGTGAACTTTTTATGAATTGAATATATACCCTCAGGCATTTAAAGATAAGTAGTCTTAGGTTAACATTTTACTAATGTTAACAGTCTTCTGCACACTAGGTAGTAGGAATTTCTTTGAACAAGTGCCATAGAACCACTGTACAAGGAACAATTAGAACTTACGTGATCAGCTCATTTTACTCCTTTGACCCAACAACAAGAAAGGTGTGGATATTTCTGTTACTTTACCAAATAGGTAAATTCTAGTATCAGGATTGCTGTTTGGGAGCATTTTTTCTGTCCTTTGCATATGGACATCAGTAGGTTAATGATCTTTTTCAAAGGCCAAGATTTAGGGGAATTATGCCACTGAGGGATTCCTATGCTTTGGTGTCGGGATCTCATGCCACCACGTACCTCACGGGAGCCTAAAATGAGAGACGTTGGGAGGATGGCCAGCCTCTAGAGTAGCTGTTTGCGGATCACTTCTTTCTGAAATTGGAGAAAGGGAATTTCATATCCTTTTGGAGGACAGCACTGCTGAACCCTTTGAATTTTGTAATCATGGGCAAATTCAGTATGAAACCATTGTGGACTTGGGTGAACTCCCTTGCAAATTGAAACTGTTAACCTGTTACTCAAATTCGTTAAGTCTCAGGGTACACTGTTAGGTTTCTGAGGGAAAGAGCTGTTCTGGCATCTTATCATCTCCATCCTATGTGTGCTAACAGTGGTCGCAGTCCTGAGGCTCATGAGTGTGGGGATTTTTTGAAGACTTAATTTTATTTTTTTGAGACAGAGTCTTGCTCTGTCACCCAGGCTGGAGTGCAGTGGTGCGATCTCGGCTCACTGCAAGCTCTGCCTCCCAGGTTCACGCCATTCTCCTGCCTCAGCCTCCTGAGTAGCTGGGTCTACAGGCGCCCACCACCACACCCAGCTAATTTTTTTGTATTTTTAGTAGAGACAGGGTTTCACCATGTTAGCCAGGATGGTCTCTATCTCCTGACCTCGTGATCCACCCTTCTCAGCCTCCCAAAGTGCTGGGATTATAGGCGTGAGCAACCGCGCCTGGTGAAGATTTAATTTTTATGATCTAAGTTGCCATGCCTTTTTCCTCCTGCCTGTGCTCTAACATCCCAGTAACCTCCTGCCTCCATCAAATGGGACAGGGAGAAAAAAGAAACACTGGGTCTGTGATAAATATTATACAAACAAGTTAAAATTAATATTTCACTAAAAGAATATTTTCACTCCACCAGTTGGATCTGACTAATTCTAATGGTCTGCAGTACTTCGGTACAACATGGCCAGCAGGATGTTGTTGCAAGTTGCACGGGCCCTCTGGCTTTTCAGTGTAATCATGGGAATAGAAGAAAAAATGTACAGTTCTTCAGTATATACTTATTCATTAAAATCTCGTGGCTGGGTGCGGTGGCTCACACCTGTAATCCCAAGCACTTTGGGAGGCCGAGGTGGGCGGATCACGAGGTCAGGAGATCGAGACCATCCTGGCTAACATAGTGAAACCCCGTCTCTACTAAATATACAAAAAATTAGCCGGGCATAGTGGCGGGCGCCAGTAGTCCTAGCTACTCAGGAGGCTGAGGCAGGAGAATGGCGTGAACCCGGGAGGCAGAGCTTGCAGTGAGCTGAGATCGCGCCACTGCACTCTAGCCTGGGCGTCAGAGCAAGACTCTGTCTCAAAAAAAAAAAATCTCGTACAGATTTGACCCTGTGTTTCATGGGATGCTGAGTGATATAGTACATGATAAAGCAGGAGATAAAAAGTATTTTTCTTACAAGGAATTGTTGGTCTTAAACTGGAAATATTTGCTTCAATCGTATAGCATTTCTTTTTTTTTTTTTTTTTATTGATCATTCTTGGGTGTTTCTCGCAGAGGGGGATTTGGCAGGGTCATAGGACAATAGTGGAGGGAAGGTCAGCAGATAAACAAGTGAACAAAGGTCTCTGGTTTTCCTAGGCAGAGGACCCTGCGGCCTTCCGCAGTGTTTGTGTCCCTGGGTACTTGAGATTAGGGAGTGGTGATGACTCTTAACGAGCATGCTGCCTTCAAGCATCTGTTTACCAAAGCACATCTTGCACCGCCCTTAATCCATTTAACCCTGAGTGGACACAGCACATGTTTCAGAGAGCACAGGGTTGGGGGTAAGGTCATAGATCAACAGGATCCCAAGGCAGAAGAATTTTTCTTAGTACTGAACAAAATGAAAAGTCTCCCATGTCTACTTCTTTCTACACAGACACAGCAACCATCCGATTTCTCAATCTTTTCCCCACCTTTCCCCCTTTTCTATTCCACAAAACCGCCATTGTCATTATGGCCCGTTCTCAATGAGCTATTGGGTACACCTCCCAGACGGGGTGGTGGCCGGGCAGAGGGGCTCCTCACTTCCCAGAAGGGGCGGCCAGGCAGAGGCGCCCCCCACCTCCTGGACTGGGCGGCTGGCCGGGCGGGGGCTGACCCCCCACCTCCCTCCCGGACGGGACGGCTGGCCGGGCGGGGGCTGACCCCCCACCTCCCTCCCGGACGGGGCGGCTGGCCGTGCGGGGGCTGACCCCCACCTCCCTCCCGGACGGGGCGGCTGGCCGTGCGGGGGCTGACCCCCACCTCCCTCCCGGATGGGGTGGCTGCCGGGCGGAGATGCTCCTCACTTCCCAGACAGGGTGGCTGCCAGGAGGAGGGTCTCCTCACTTCTCAGACGGGGTTGCGGCCGGGCAGAGGCACTCCTCACCTCCCAGACGGGGTCGCGGCCGGGCAGAGGCACTCCTCACATCCCAGACGGGGCGGCGGGGCAGAGGCGCTCCCCACCTCTCAGACGATGGGCCGCCGGGCAGAGACGCTCCTCACTTCCTAGATGTGATGGCGGCCGGGAAGAGGCGCTCCTCACTTCCCAGACTGGGCAGCCAGGCAGAGGGGCTCCTCACATCCCAGACGATGGGCGGCCAGGCAGAGACGCTCCTCACTTCCCAGACGGGGTGGCAGCCGGGCAGAGGCTGCAGTCTCGGCACTTTGGGAGGCCAAGGCAGGCAGCTGGGAGGTGGAGGTTGTAGCGAGCCGAGATCACGCCACTGCACTCCAGCCTGGGCACCATTGAGCACTGAGTGAACGAGACTCCGTCTGCAATCACGGCACCTCGGGAGGCCGAGGCTGGCAGATCACTCATGGTTAGGAGCTGGAGACCAGCCTGGCCAACACAGCGAAACCCCGTCTCCACCAAAAAAAATACGAAAACCAGTCAGGCGTGGCGGCGCGCGCGCCTGCAATCGCAGGCACTCGGCAGGCTGAGGCAGGAGAATCAGGCAGGGAGGTTGCAGTGTGCCGAGATGGCAGCAGTACAGTCCAGCTTCGGCTCTGCATCAGAGGGAGACCGTGGAAAGAGAGGGAGAGGGAGACCGTGGGGAGAGGGAGAGGGAGAGTATCGTATAGCATTTCTCTAAGATGCTGTGTATCCTGTCATTGGAGAGCATAAGACTTGAAGTGATCATACTAAAAATGTAGAAATAATTTCCAAGTATTCATGGTGGTGTTAAATTTATGAAGAAGTAAGTGTGGACGAAGATTTGAGTTCTGATGACAAAGTTACAGGATAAATGGAGAAAATTATATATGAACTTTTAATGAACTGAGTTTATATCCCCAGTGCTGTCAGTCTCACCCATCCTCCCCTATACATGTGGGATGTTTCAGGACTCAGTGGTCTTTGAGGATGTGGCTGTGAACTTCACCCAGGAGGAGTGGGCTTTGCTGGGTCCCTCTCAGAAGAAACTCTACAGAGATGTGATGCAAGAAACCTTTGTTAACTTGGCCTCTATAGGTAAGAATGAAATTATTCCCTCACTTAGTCAATTAGAGAACAAGTGTTTCTTGCTCATCAGCAAGGTTCCAAGGTTTAGAATGTTGAAAGGGAATACTTTGGTAAATAAATCAGACAGGATAACAGCTCATCCTAGATTTAGAATCTAATAATTTTTCTGTAATTTCGAATAGGTTTAATGATTTTTCTGGGCCTGCATTTTAGGGGAAAACTGGGAGGAGAAGAACATTGAAGATCACAAAAATCAGGGGAGAAAGCTAAGGTGAGTTGTACTTACAAAAGAAAATACTGTCTTATGAGAGAATCTTAGCATGCCATTAGGTTTAAAAAATGAATAATTGAAACAAATAAGCCCCATTTCATATTTATTTATTTTTTGAAAATTTTTGCCAAGAACGTTTTCTTAAAAATGGTACAGATGTTCAGTATTTGAAAAATATTTCACCTGGAAACAATATTAAGAAACTCTATATTATGAATTTTGGCCAGGCATGGTGGCTCATGCCTGTAATCCTAGCACTTTGGGAGGCCAAGGTGGGCAGATCACCTGAGGTGTGGAGGTTGAGGCCAGCCTGGCCAACATGGCAAAACCCTGCCTCTACTAAAAATGCAAAAATTAGCCAGGTGTGGTGGTGGGTACCTGTAATCCCAGCTACTCATGAAGCTGAGGCAGGAGAACTGCTTGAACCCAGGAGACGGAGGTTGCAGTGAGCCAAGATTGTGCCACTGCACTGCAGCCTGGGCAACAGAGTAAGACTCTGTCTCAAAAAAAAAAAAAAAAAGAAATAAACTCTATGTGATGAATTTTATTGTTTTGATAATAGCTCTGGTCAAGTACTCTTCCTGAGCATTCATGACATACACTTTCCCTGAAAATGGCAAAAGTGTAATTCTACTACCTACTAATGATTGTGAAATAATCAATAATTATAAAATTATTAATTTTAAAAAGCCACTAATTGTGCGTTTTGTTTTGTTTTTTTCTCACAGAAGTCATATGGTAGAGAGGCTCTGTGAAAGGAAAGAAGGTAGTCAGTTTGGAGAAACCATCAGTCAGACTCCAAATCCTAAACCAAACAAGAAAACTTTTACTAGAGTAAAACCATATGAATGTAGTGTGTGTGGAAAGGACTATATGTGTCATTCATCTCTTAATAGGCACATGAGATCTCATACTGAACATAGATCATATGAATATCACAAATATGGAGAGAAATCATATGAATGTAAGGAATGTGGGAAAAGATTCAGCTTTCGAAGTTCATTTCGAATACATGAAAGAACTCACACTGGAGAGAAACCCTATAAATGTAAACAGTGTGGTAAGGCTTTCAGTTGGCCCAGTTCCTTTCAAATACATGAAAGAACTCATACTGGAGAGAAACCTTATGAATGTAAGGAATGTGGGAAGGCCTTCATTTATCACACAACCTTTCGAGGACACATGAGAATGCACACAGGGGAGAAACCCTATAAATGTAAAGAATGCGGGAAAACGTTCAGTCATCCCAGTTCTTTTCGAAATCATGAAAGAACTCACTCTGGAGAGAAACCCTATGAATGTAAACAATGTGGAAAAGCTTTCAGATATTACCAAACTTTTCAAATACATGAAAGGACTCACACTGGGGAAAAACCCTATCAGTGTAAGCAATGTGGTAAAGCTCTTAGTTGTCCCACATCCTTTCGAAGTCATGAAAGGATTCACACTGGAGAAAAACCCTATAAATGTAAAAAATGTGGGAAAGCCTTCAGTTTTCCTAGTTCCTTTAGAAAACATGAAAGAATTCATACAGGAGAGAAACCCTATGATTGTAAGGAATGTGGGAAAGCATTCATTTCTCTTCCAAGCTATCGAAGACATATGATAATGCACACTGGAAATGGACCTTATAAATGCAAGGAATGTGGGAAAGCCTTTGATTGTCCTAGTTCTTTTCAAATCCATGAACGAACTCACACTGGAGAGAAACCCTATGAATGTAAACAGTGTGGTAAAGCCTTCAGTTGTTCCAGTTCCTTTCGAATGCATGAAAGAACTCACACTGGAGAGAAACCCCATGAATGTAAACAATGTGGTAAAGCCTTCAGTTGTTCCAGTTCTGTTCGAATACATGAAAGGACTCACACTGGAGAGAAACCCTATGAATGTAAACAGTGTGGTAAAGCCTTCAGTTGTTCCAGTTCCTTTCGAATGCATGAAAGAATTCACACTGGAGAGAAACCCTATGAATGTAAACAGTGTGGTAAAGCCTTTAGTTTTTCTAGTTCCTTTCGGATGCATGAAAGGACTCACACTGGAGAGAAACCCTATGAATGTAAACAATGTGGTAAAGCCTTCAGTTGTTCCAGTTCCTTTCGAATGCATGAAAGGACTCACACTGGGGAGAAACCCTATGAATGTAAACAGTGTGGTAAGGCGTTTAGTTGTTCCAGTTCCATTCGAATACATGAAAGGACTCACACTGGAGAGAAACCTTATGAGTGTAAACAATGTGGTAAGGCCTTCAGTTGTTCTAGTTCTGTTCGAATGCATGAAAGGACTCACACTGGAGTGAAACCCTATGAATGTAAACAATGTGACAAAGCCTTCAGTTGCTCACGTTCCTTTCGAATCCATGAACGAACTCACACTGGAGAGAAACCCTATGCATGTCAACAATGTGGTAAAGCCTTCAAGTGTTCCCGTTCCTTTCGAATACATGAAAGAGTTCATAGTGGAGAGTAACCCTATGTATATAAGCAATATGGCAAAGTTTTCAGTTGTCCTATTTCCTTTTTTTTTTTTTTTTTTTTTGAGTTGAATTCTCACTCTGTTGCCCTGGCTGGAGTGCAGTAGAGTGATCTCAGCTCACTGCAACCTCTGTCTCCTGGGTTCAAGCGATTCTCCTGCCTCAGCTTCCTGAGTAGCTGGGACAACAGGTGTGAACGACCATGCCCACTTAATTTTTGTATTTTTAGTAGAGATGGGGTTTCGCCATGTTGGCCAGGCTGGTCTCGAACTCCTGACCTCAGACGATCCACCTGCCTTGGCCTCCCAAAGTGTTGGATTACAGGTGTGAGCCACCACACCCGGCCCCCATTTCCTTTTGAAGACATGAAATTATTCATATTTCAGAGAAACCCTATAAGACATGGGAATACCTTCAGTTATTTACATGTGAATATGAGGAAGCATTCATACTGGACAGGAAACCCTGCGAATGTAGGCAGTGTGGGAAAACCTTCAATGGTCATATGACCTTTTAAGGACCATGAGAAGGCATATGAAGTGTAAAGAATTTTCATATGCCCTATAAATGTAAAGAATTTATAACCTTAAAAATGTAAAGAATGTGGAAAACCCTATAAATGTAAAAAATGTAGAAAAACCTTTATTTGTCTTAGTTTACTTGGAAACCATGAACAAACTCACACTGGAAAGCGACTTCTTAAATATAGACATTGTGAGAAAGCCTTCAGTTGGCCCACATACTAATATGTGAGAATGCAGACTGGATAGAAATCCTATAAAAGTGAGATATAGCAATGTTTTCCATTTTAACAAATGCTCATGTGATACTCCCTTATGTGTGAAACTTCAATCTCATGTTGAAACTCCCACTAGGGAGGTACTGTATAAATGTAGATAATATGGGAAAGCCTGATGCAAATTAATTCATGTATATTGTTCTAGAAAATTCACAACATGTCAGAAATGTGATAAAACATATTATCAGTTACTGATTCTTAAAATGGATCTCTGAATTATGGATTTCTATTACTTTCACAAAAGAACACTGAGATGAGATAATTCTGTAAGCTCTTATACAGTTGTACACAAGTTGAATTGATAGTATTTTTTCATTAAATCAGTTTCTGAAATTTTGTCTTTCCATATTGAAGTCTGTTAGATTCATGAGTGAATTGAAGTGTATTTATAATAAGCTAGCAGTTTTGATTTTTATGTATTTTTTAGTTGTGCTGTAATGGGCCATCAAAAAATGACAATTTGGTAATTTTTAGGATTTCCTACTGGCCTTATGTGGCAGGTACTAGATATCATTATATGTATTTCATCTTTCTGACCAAAAGAGGCTTTTTTAGAGGAAGACAGAGTACCCTTTTTTCTATTTTTTATGCTAAAAAATAATCATAATAAATTTTTGAGTCTGCAAAGTTTATCATACAGTATACTCTCTCATTGGAATTATTATTTTCATCTTCTGTTTGCTGTTTGTAATTCCTTCTGGCTGTGATTTGAATAATAGACTTTGTATTAATAAGAGAGATCTGAGATAGAACCATATAACCTATAGCTGGAAATGGCTGTCCTGGATTGTGTTAACATGGGTTATGTTGTGACCTATGTTTTCTATAATCTAACCTTTTATGGCTCCACGGTATAATTCACCAATAGCCTACTTGCAGGAGATATGGAAGGCAGAAGTGAAGAAAGCATTAGTCAGGTTTTATAGCCACCATATGTGGAGACAGATGGATGCATAGGAGCTTCAGGGACACCTGCTTCCACCACATTGTCCTGATCCTTTGCTCTGCCAATTGAGAGTATTCTTAGAACCACCACTAACTGCTTGACTGCCATATTTTCCTTCCTTCCTTCCTTCTTTCTTTCCCTTTCCCTTTCTTTTCTTTCTTTACTTTCTTTTTCCGAGATGGAGTCTTGCTCTGTCGCCCAGGCTGGAGTGCAGTGGTACGATCTTGGCTCACTGCAACCTCTGCCTTCTGGGTTCAAGCAATTGTCCTGCCCCAGCCTCCCAAGTAGCTGGGATTATAGGTGCCCACCACCAAGCCCAGCTAAATTTTTTTTGTATTTTTAGTAGAGACAGGGTTTCATCATTGTTGGCCAGGCTGGTCTCAAACTCCTGACCTCATGATCTGCCCACCTTGGCCTTCCAAAGTGCTGAGATTACAGGCGTGAGCCACTGTGCATGGCCCCAGCTGCCATATTTTCAAAGATGTAGTTTTCCACAAATTGTCTTCAAAAGTTCTACTCAAAGATGCACTGCAGTTTGGATTTTCCTAGAAACTCTAATGTGTCCACCAGGCAACCATTTAGACTCTTAAGGTTGGGAATATTCTCTGATGCTCTGACTCACCTCATCTCTAGGTTGAATTTATCCAAGGTATTATTTATGTAATAAACACCATGTTTTGTTAACAGTACCAGTGACTATGTGTTTCTGATTCCACCGTGACAACTACAGTGGTGCAGTCAAAAAGAACTACATGGGTGTCTGCTTCTCCACTGCACTGTGCAGGGAATGCACTTACCCAGTCCTACAGTGTAAGAATAAGCACCTTCCTAATATCAAGCAGATTGTCGGTGTTTCCTATTACAGTTGAATGTCATCTCTCAGTACATTTTCAATTTTGTTTCATTATATGTGATTAAAAACCATGTGTATGTTTTTGTTGAACAAAAGCTTCTGTAGATGTTTCTTAGAAATATTTTATTAACTTTTCAAATAACTTGTATGCTATCACTTGTCTATTTAATTTTCTGCAAGGATATATTAAAATATTCCATTGCAATTATAGATTTTCAGATTAAGTTTTTTTATTATTATACTTTAATTTCTAGGGTACATGTGCACAACGTGCAGGTTTATTACATAGGTATACACGTGCCATGTTGGTGTGCTGGACCCATTAACTCGTCTTTTACATTAGGTATATCTCCTAATGCTATCCCTCCCCCCTCCCCCCACCCCATAACAGGCCCGTGTGTGATGTTCCCCTTCCTGTGTCCAAGTGTTCTCATTGTTCAATTCCCACCTGTGAGTGAGAACATGTGGTGTTTGGTTTTTTGTCCTTGTGATACTTTGCTGAGAATGGTGGTTTCCAGCTTCATCCATGTCCCTACAAAGGACATGAACTCATCCTTTTTTATGGCCGCATAGTATTCCATGGTGTATATGTGCCACATTTTCTTAATCCAGTGATTTTCAGATTAAGTTTTTAAGTTTATTGAGTTAATCCTCATATATTCTGAGTCAATATTATGTGCATACAAGATCAAGTATTTTCCTTAGGAATTTTTTATTTTTTATTCTTAATATAGTTATGATTTTTTCCCAGAAAATTTCTCATGCATTCATAATACCAAAAACTTAAATCATGGTTGTTTCAGTGCCTTTTTTTCAAAGATCACCAGGATCACACCTGTAGTCAAGAGAAGAGTGTTAAGAATTGTAGGAATAAGAATGATCATAAACCATAAATGACTCTGGGGAGTATCAGTAAGAGGGTGCTCGGCTGGGCGCAGTGGCTCATGCCTGTAATCCCAGTACTTTGGGAGGCCAAGGTGGGCAGATCACAAGGTCAGGAGTTCGAGACCAGCCTGGCCAACATGGTGAAACCCCATCTCTACTAAAAAATATATAAAAAATAGCCGGGCATGGTGGCGTGCACCTGTAATCCCAGCTACTCAAGAGGCTGAGGCAGGAGAATTGCTTGAACCCCAGGAGGTGGAGGTTGCAGTGAGCCGAGATCACGCCACTGTGCTCCAGCCTGGGCGACAGAGCAAGACTCCTTCTCAAAACAACTTCTTTTTGGATTTGGATTTGTTGGGTGACTTGATTGCTAATCACCAAACTGAGACACTCCTGTGTGTGTTGCCTGCTGTGAGGTGAACTTAATTGTGTCACTGGTAATCATAATTCTTATCTAGAGGCAGGAAGAATGAAGTGGAGCTAAACCTAATTCCTAAGAAACCACTCACTTGGATTAGTGAGTAGAGGGCAATTTTGGTCATTTTAATGGCTTCAACTCTGTTCTCTTTTACCATTTTTAGAGACATGGTTATTGTTTTTGTCTTGATCCATCATGATTGCTGAGTAGCTTTGTCTGATGAAGGAAATGTGACATTTTTCTCTTCAACAGGATAAGACTTGGCCTTATCTGAGTGTGAGGTCAGATCCTAGTCCTGTGGAACTGCTCTTAACCTTTCTTATTATCTAAACATGGAAATATTTCTTATGGTGTATTGGACAATGTTTTCCACAAAATATCTCAGTCAAAATATGTAAGTTCACTGAGTCTTTAGCAAACTATATACTTTTTTTTCTCTTTTGTGCACTAGCAGAGTCCTGTAAGTGTAGATAAGTTTTCAGAGACCACAAACCTAGCAAGGTGCAAAGACAGAATCACTGTTCAAATCAAGCCATCTTGCTCTTGATGCTGATTTTTTTAACCTTTCTCATAGGCCTGGCACTGTAGTATCAAAGCATACACAATTCAGCACAAATAATCAAGACATTGTAGGCTATGGATATAGAAACATGAAACAAGTTCTTGCCTTCCTGTTGCTTATAGATTTGGGAAAAGAGAGATGGTTAATAAAAGGTGAGGATTTGGTTTTTAGAAAGCAATTAAGATCTTTGAAGGAAATGAAATAACAACCAACCTGTGAGATTAATAGGGAAGCTATGGTTGTGTTGGATACCTTAGCTTTGGAGGGTAGGGACCTCCAATATTGTCATTGATCATTTATTTCCATTATCTAACATATCTTTTTTTTTTTTTTTTGAGACAGGGTCTTTCTCTGTCATCAGGCTGGAGTGTGATCTTGGCTCACTGCAACCTCCGCCTCCTGGGTTCAAGCCATTCTCCTGCCTCAGCCTCCGGAGTAGCTGGGATTACAGGCGCCCACCATCACGCCCAGCTAATTTTTTTTTTTTTGTATTTTTAGTAGAGACGAGGTTTCACCATGTTGGCCAGGATGGTCTTGATCTTCTGACCTCATGATCCACCCGCCTCGGCCTCCCAAAGTGCTGGGATTACAGGCGTGAACCACCGCGCCTGGCCTTTTTTTTTGTTTAGACGGAGTCTCACTCTGTTGCCAGGCTGGAGTGCAGTGGCGTGATTTTGGCTCACTGCAACCCCCTCCTCCCAGGTTCAAGTGATTCTGCTGCCTCAGCCTCCTGAGTAGGCTACATGTGTGTGCCACCACGCCCAGCTAATTTTTGTATTTTTAGTAGAGACGGGGTTTCACCATGTTGGCCAGGATGGTCTCAATCTCTTGACCTCGTGATCCACCTGCCTCAGCCTTCCAGAGTGCTGGGATTACAGGCATGAGCCACTGAGCCTGGCCTATCTAACATATCTTATTAAAACACTGAGGAACTGCTCAGGTTTGATGTATGCTGGGGAACAATACAGTCCTACATCCCTGGGATGAACAGTAATGATTCCCCATAAACAAAGGTGTAGATATGGTTCATCTTTATTTTTATAATGGATAAAATTTTTGAGACATGTAAAGCATGATCATGAATTTGGACATGAGTATTTAGGATTTGAGATTTCCTATTGATTTGGGCCACAGGTGTTGATGATGTTTACATTTCTGTTTAATGTCATTTTAAAGATTCTTAAGTTGCCTTGGATATTTGACATGATCATTTTGCTGTTGTGCAGACTGAATGACCCAATATGTACCACCCAAAAAATCTATGGATGTTTAGAGGGTAATTTTCAAGGAATAATGGAGGTGAGCTGCAGACAGGGAATCATTTTGCATAATAGCCTAATTTAATGGAAAGGAAGAATATTTGGTGTCATCATATAAGGAAAAATTTAATGCCTTCTTACAAGAGTAGTAGTTTGAATCTTTTTGTTTCAATGCTTCCAGAAAGTCCCCAGATCCCAATTTGGTATTCACATGTTTGGGAAGAGTGGGGGGAAAGTAAAATATTTGTGTCTTACTAAATTTGAGCAAAGGAAATAAAATCTTTGTCCATTTTTTTTCAGTGGTAACTTATGTTAGTACTTAGCACTGTGATTTCATAATTATAAGTATCTCATTTGATTGCTCAACCAATCAGTTCTCCCATCTTACAGATGAAGAAAGTTAAGTACAGGGCACAGGATCCTACCCAAACTCACGTAACTCAGAATCATGGAATCTCTGGATTTTGAAGTCCTAATGTGTGCCACCACCTGTACTGGGCACTGCCAAAAAAAAAAATTTTTTTTTTTTTGAGACTGTCTTGCTCTGTCACCCAGGCTGGAGTGCAGTAGTGCAATCTTGGCTCAACTGCAACCTCCACCTCCTGGGCTCAAGTGATCCTCCCACCTCAGCCTCCCAAGTAACTGGGACCACAGGTGCACACCACCACAGCTGACTTTTTTCTTTTTTCGTAGAGATGGGGTTTTGCCATGTTGCCCAGACTGGTCTCAAACTCCTGAGCTCAAGTGATCCACCTGCTTCAGCCTCCCAAAATACTGGGATTATAGGCGTGAGCCACCATGCCCAGCCAAAAACTTTAAACTTAGAAGAACATTGCAAGGTTTGTATAATTATATCCTTTTAAAATATTCATATTTTAAAACTTATTTTAAAATTTGTTTTGCAATACTTACACACTTTTTCTGCCACATGGGATGGAAGTGAGAACAATTCACTCTTTTTTTTTTTTTTTTTTTTTGAGACGGAGTCTCGTTCTGTCACCCAGGCTGGAGTGCAGTGGCGTGACCTCAGCTCGCTACAAGCTCTGCCTCAGGTTCACTCCGTTCTCCTGCCTCAGCCTCCTGAGTAGCTGGGACTACAGGCACCCACCATCACGCCCGGCTAATTTTTTTGTATTTTTAGTAGAGATGGGGTTTCACTGTGTTAGCCAGGATGGTCTTGATCTCCTGACCTCATGATCCGCCCATCTCGGCCTCCCAAAGTGCTGGGAATACAGGCATGAGCCACTGCACCCGGCCTAACAATTCACTCTTAAGATCAAATGGATGTGGCCCTATAACGAGGTGTGTGGGTGTGTGTGTATGTGTGTGACAGAGAGCCCCAATAATTCAATACATATTAAACTCTTCTATGTAACATGTCCTTTGTAGGTTTCATAGTGAACAAACCTTAGCTAATAGTGTTCCCTTGAAGCTGACATTCTAGGAGGCAAGAAATGAGATACAAGCAAAATCACATGATGTATCAGATGGTGGTTAGTCCTAAAGAGGGAAAGGAAGCTGGGGAACATTGCAGAGGGCCTGGGCTGTTGATGTCTCTGGGGGCATCTGTTGGTGTATCTAGGGCTTTAATCACTGAGGGTTTGTAAGTTTGGAAGTTTGTGTGTCTGTGTCTGGGTTTGTCCACCTGTATGTGCAGTGATCAAGTCTGTGCGATGTTGTATGTCTGTCTGAGGGGCTATGTATGTATGCCCTTTAATATCTGGAGTGCTTTCATTTCATTTTCTTACCTAATTGCCCTGGTAGCACCTTCTTTAACATGTTGAATAGAAGTGATAAAAGCAGACACTCTTGTTCTTGATCTAAGATAAAAAGCGTTCAATCTTTCACCATCAAGTATGATGTTAGCTGTTTCTCATAGCTGCCTTATAGCACATTGAGAAAGTTCCATCCTATTTGTACTCTATTGAGTATTTTCATTGTAAAATGGTATTGGCCTTTGTCATATTCATTACCTGGCCAGGTGTGAGCCACGCCTATAATTCCAACACTTTGGGAGGCTGAGGCAGGAGGATTACTTGAGGCCAGGAGTTTGAGATCAGCCTGGGCAATATAGCAAGACCTCGTCTTTACAGAAAAATTTAAACATAAGCTGAGTGTTGTGGTGCATGCCTGTAGCCCTAGCTACTCAGAAGGCTGAGGTGGGAGGATCACTTGAGCCCAGGAGTTCAAGGCTGCAGTGAGCTATGATTACACCACTGTACTCCAGCCTAGGTGACAGAGCAAGACCCTGTCTAAAAAAAAAAAAAATCATTTTCTGTGCCTTTTGGGATGATCCTATGATAATAGATCCCTTATTCTGTAAATATGGTATATTAATATATATTTATATGCGAAACCAACATTGCTTTTCTGAGCTCAATCCAACTTGGTCATGTTGTATAGGTCTTTTTATATATTGCTGGATTCAATTTGCTGGTATTTTGTCGGGCCTCTGCAGCTATATTCAAAAGAGATATTTCTGGACCATTTTCTACTATGTAGTATAGCATTATCTAGTATAGCCTATAGTGTGTTTACATGTACATTTATAGATATATTTGTGTATATAATATGTAATATATTACATAATGATATATAATTGTATATATAAAACATAACTGGTATATGTTATGTATAACTAAAATATATAATTACTATTATACTATAATGCATAATACAGTTTTATACTATTATAGCATAGTTATATAGTCTTTGTCTCTTGTATAAGGGGTTTCAGATCCTTGCTAACCCACACATTATTCAAAGAAGTGAATCACATCCTCCCAGGGGAACCAAGGGGTACCTCACCCTTTTGATACTACAAAGCCTGTTTCCCACAGCCATGTTTGGGCCCTCTGCTCCCAAATACATTTTCTTTGTGGATCTGCATGACTTATGGTACCCTCCTCATCTGGGCTGTGAATATATATGACTAATAAACTGTTGTCAGTTGCATTTGTCCAGTGATGGATATCATGTGTTAGCCTACCTAAATAGCCCTAGGGCCCTAATTCCTCTCTCACCAATGGGGTGAGTGGGAGGCTATTGAAACATGCACATCCATGATACCCCATGGTCAGGCACTGATGAGCAAAGAAAAGAAGGTACATTTGGTATCAATCCTTTCCAAAGCATGAGAGGATGTAACTCAACTGTTCTTCCAAAGCAAAACAAGTAGCCAGGGGGCTACATTGTTTTCTGTAGTACTGCTGCTTACCAGCATGTCAAAGGGATAATCTTGAGATCACAAGGCCGTTGGTTCCCACCAGGGTCTTAGGCAAAATTACCTTGTTGGATGTGGGTGCTAATCTCAGAAAGATTGAGTGGCAATCCCTGGAGTCAGAGGTGGTCCTATCCAATGTAGGTTGCTGGTGTCCTGAACTTTTCCCCATAATCACACAGATGGTCCATAATACAGGTGATCAGTCAGAGCCAACCAACCTGAAACTCGCAACTTTATATGAATTCTGAGGGATTTTTTACAGAAAGAAAAGGGAAAAGCAATGATTAGGTGGCATGCTCAGGTCCATAAACCTAATAGCAGATAGAAGCAAATTTCTCCCACTTGATAAAGAACCTCTAAAAAGAAGCCAAGCTAAGATCATACTTAATTTTGATATCTAGATGCTTTCCCACTGAGATCAGGAACGAGGTAAGGATGCCTCCTCTCACCACTGCTATTCATCATCATCCTAGATGTCCTCACTAATGGAATAAAACAAGAAATTTTTTCTTCAATTAATTGAAGTTCCTCTAAGGCCTCTTTGGACAGGGAGCATTTACTGTTTAAGTTAGAATCACCTCGTAAGGTAGAAAAGAGGTGAGACATAGCATAAGTAGGAATGCCTAAAGTGGGACAAATCCAATTAATGTCTCCTAATGATTTTTAAAATTATTTAGTCTATAAATTATCTCTTCTAATTTGAACTTTTTGAGGTTTAATAGTACTTTGTTTTACTTTCATTCGTAAATACTGAAAGGGAGTAGAAGTTTGGATTTTATTGGGGGCTATGATTAACCCTGCTGCAGTTACAGCCTTTTCTAACTGTTTGTAGCATAGCATTAATCCTCCCTAGTTTCAGCTGCACATAAAATATCACCCACGTAGTGGATAATATAACATTTTTTGAATTGTTCTCTAACTAGCTTAATAGCTTTTCCAACATAAGTTTGACAAATAGTCGGGCAATTTAACATGCCTTGTGGCAGTACTTTTCAATGGTATCTGTCCGCTGGTTCTTTGTTATTTATAGTGGGAACAGTAAAAGCAATTTTTTCATAATCTCGAGTAGCTAAAGGAATGGTAGAAAAGCAATTTTTTAAATCTATTACTATGAGAGGTCAGTATTTTGGGATCATTGTTGGAGAGGGCAGCCCTGGTTCAGTGAGCCCATGGGCTGAATTATAGCATTAACAGCCCTCAAATCTGTTAACATTCTCCATTTCCCTGATTTTTTCTTAATAACAAACACAGGAGAATTCCAAGGGGAGAAAGTAGGCTCTATGTGTCCCTTTTGTAATTGATCCTGCACTAATTCTTTTAAAGCCTCCGGTTTTTCCTGTTTCAGCGGCCATTGCTCCACCCAAACCGGTTTGGCAGTTAACCAAACAAGCGGAATGGGAGCCGGAGGCTCAGCAATTGCAGCTCCTAAAAATGATACCCTGATCCAGTTCGATCTGTTTGCCTTTTTAGTTCTAAAGGTTCTGGTTGGCCATTTTTATTTTTTTTTTCCTAGTCCCTTCCCTGGGAGATATCCCATTTTTCTCATCATTTGTTTACTGTTATTATTATACTGATCCATAGGAATAGATATTTTAGCACTCCATTGTTGTAATAAGTCTCTACCCCATAGATTGACAGGAATAGGTGTAACAATAGGTTGAATTGTCCCTTCTTGGCCATCCAGCCCTTGGCATGGCAAAATTAAAGAACTTTAAAAAATTCTGAGGCAGCCCCTACTCCAACAATACCAATGGATGCCTTCTGCTTAGGCCAATGCCGGGGCCATTGATTTAAACCAATAATAGAAACATCAGCTCCAGTATCTACTAACCCTTCAAAGTCCTTTCCTTGAATGGTTACTGTACAAATAGGTCTCTTATCAGACACTTGATTAACCCAATATACAGCTTTTCCTGCTGGATTCGTACCACCAAAGCCTCCTATTTTTTTTTTTTCTACTGTGCCTCTTCCCAGTTTTGCATAAGGTAACAGTAACAACTGAGCAATTCTTTCTCCTGGGAAAGCAGACCATGGAATTGAGGAACTAATAACTAACTGAATCTCTCCGGTATAATTAGAATCAATTATTTATGTACAGCGACACCTCTTAAATTTAAATTAGACCTTCCAAGCAATAGACCAACTGTTCCTGAGGGTAAAGGGCTCCTAACTCTCATGGGACGTTCTTTGGTGGCTCCCCAGGAAGTAGGGAAACGGGAATTGTGCTGCAGAGATCTACAGCAGCGCTGCCTGCTGTGGCGGGGGACAATTGTTGTATGTTTGTAAGGGCACTGACTGTGCCGGATATGCCTCAGTTTGTTGAGGGGCCCAAGGTGGGCCCCTATTCCCGTTTCCCGAAAGAGGTTGCCCATCTTTGCTAGATTTAGAATGACACTGATTTGCCCAGTGATTGCCCTTCTTACATTGGGGGCATACACCTGGACTTTTCTGTTGATTGATGGCAATAGTTTTTGCCTTCTGATTTCCTTTTCTACATTCCTCTTTTATGTGTCCAAATTGCCCACAATTAAAACAAGAGCCTGAGAAATGGGGCATATTTTTTCCCACCTTTAGTCAAGCCATAGCTGGACTAAAATTTTCCCCAGTGCCATCACAAGCCTTAATATATTCAGCCAAATGAGTCTTCCCTCTCATAGGTCTAATGAAAGAAGGATATTTTTACCCTGTAACATTTTTTTTCCATGCCTGTAAGCACACAGTGCATAACTGAACAATGGCAACATTTTTCATTACTGCTTGATTGTCTAATCGGCCCCAATTAGGGCCCAACCCCATTAACTGTTCAAAGGAAACAGGCACAGGCAGCTGTGCTTGTGTGTTTTCTCTTGCCTGAGTTTGAGCTTTATCAGCCCACCAAGTTTTAAACTGCAAACACTGAGATGGAGTGAGAACAGATTTTGTTAAAGTATCCCAGTCATATGGTATTAATCTATTATCAAGAGCCACATTTTTTAGTAAAGTTTGTACAAAAGGAGAATTTGGCCTATATTGACTAATGGCTTGCTTGAATTCCTTTAACAACTTAAAAGGAAAGGTGGCCCAACTAGCTATATTCTGTCCTCCTCTCTGGATTATAGTAATGGGAAATTGCCATGCTTCTAGGTCTCCTTCAGTTCTAGCCTTCTGAATAAAATTTTATATCGCATCACCAATTGCTCCAGGTTTTAATGTTGCAGCTACCGGAGCGGTAAGTTTTACAGCTAATTCATCTTCTCACCCATTAGGGGGAGAGGGAGGAGGTGGCCATTCACTTAATTCAGCAGGTGGAACCGAAGGGCTAGTAAAATATACCTTTTTCAGTTTCCATTTCTTTTCTTTAATTTCTTCCGGTTGCTGTTCCTCATATTCAGAATCTGAAGTTAATTTTTTACACTCATCTACCTCTTCCTCATCTGAATCTGCCTTGTCATCTGTTTGAAATGGCTCAAGAACTGCCTTTATCAACTCCCACACTGACCAAACAGAAACTGGAATTTTGGCTCCTTCTTTATATGCGTTTTTAAAATTTCTGCCAATTCTTCCCCATTCATCTAGCTCCATTGTCCTTTGTTCTGGGAACCATGGGCAAAACTGCTCTACTGTATCAAAGAGTGTTAATAAGTTCTGAGTATTAACTTTCACTCCCCCTCTCCATAATAAATGCCTTAAGAAATTTAAATAAGCAGAATATTTACTTTCATTCTGTTCCATTGTTAACCTGGTTCTTCTGAGTGCTCAGCTTACCCACCAAGCTTCTTTCAGTCGTCCTTGGGTGTCCTCTGACAATGTGTCCTCCGCTTCCGCACACTCTAGTGTTCCTTCACCGGAGTGTTCGTAGCCCCACGTTGGGTGCCAGAAATGTTGGGGTGATCAGACCCAACACCAGGCCGTGGGGGCTACAAACTCCAGCGTAGTCAAAGGAATGAGAAAAGACAAGTTAAGAGTGCATAAGGTGGGTCCAGGGGGCCAACGCTGGTATGGATGCTGCGAAGGCCCTGAGCTCTGGGAGCCCACATTATTTATTGGTGATCAAACAAAGAAGCAGGTCTTGAGGACGTAGGGGTAAACAGGTGAGGGTGTGAGGTTAGAAAGGTAGTGGTGCATCAAGCGTATCTGTGATGGTTTAGCATTTTCTTTGATGCATATATAATATGCTCTGCTGCTTGGAGATAATAGAGAACATGTTTACGAACCTGGGAGAGCAACCAACAAGTCTGTGCACATTCCAGAGGCTACGAGGGGTTTTATGCCCTAAGCCCTGGATTCCATCCAAGCCATGAGGGGTTTTATGCCCTGGGCTTAGATTTGTGGTGCGGCAGGGCAGCCTTCCACCCCTTGGCACAGAGTTTGGTGTTCCAAAGGCCACGAGGGGTTTTAGACCCTGGACCCCAGACATCTTCCAAGACTCTTTTATATTATGACAGATAAGCCAGTCCTGCCTCAGCTCTTCTACCAACAAGTAGAAAGCAAAACCAGGCTGAATTCAGCTGATGCCCACCCACAGAGGGAGCATTTAAATCAGCTCTAGTGGCTAGTAAGGTGAGCTGGATCTTCCTGCCCACTCTCTTAAAAAACTTGAGTTTTGGCCGGGTGCGGTGGCTCACACCTGTAATCCCAGCACTTTGGGAGGCCAAGGCAGGCGGATAACCTGAGGTCAGGAGTTCGAGACCAGCCGGACGAACAAGGAGAAACCTCGTCTCTACTAAAAATACAAAATTAGCTGGGTGTGGTGGTGTATGCCTGTAATCCAAGCTACCTGGGAGGCTGAGGCAGGAGAATAGCTTGAACCCAAGAAGTGGAGGTCACGGTGAGCCGAGATTGTGCCATTGCACTCCAGCCTGGGCAACAAGAGTGAAACTCCATCTCAAAATAAGTAAATAAATAAATAAATAAATAGTCAGCTCTAGTCAGGGGGGAATTACCCATCCCAGTGGCTGGAACTTGAGTTCCAGTGAGCCTCACGACTGTGGGCTAAAATGCTCTGGAATCCTAAGTAAACTTGAAGGGCTGTCTAGGCCACAAGGACTGCAACTCTGAGGCAATTCCTAGTACTGAGCTGGGCTCAGAGCCAGTGGACTTGGTGGGCATGTAACCTAGTAAGACAACAGTTAGGGCAGCTAAGGGAGTGCTTGTGCCACCCCTCTCCCAATCCCAGGCAGCACAGCTCACGGCTCCAAAAGAGACCCCTTCCTTCTGCTTGAGGTGAGGAGAGGGAAGAGTAAAGAGAACTTTATCTTGCACTTTGTATACCAGCTCAGCCACAGTAGGATAGGCCACCAGTCATAGTCATTAGGTCCCCTTTGCAGGCCCTAGCTCCTGGATGACATTTCTAAACACATCCTGGGCCAGAAGGAAACCCACTGCCTTGAAGGAAAGGACTCAGTTCTGGAAGGACCCATCACCTGCTGACTGAAGAGTCCTTGGGCCCTGAATAACCAGCAGCAATACCCTGATAGTACACCATAGGCCTTGAGTGAAACTCAGAACATTCTCAGCTGTGGTGGCTATAGGGAGAGACTCCTTCTGCTTGAAAAAAGTTGAGGGAAAAGCAAAAGAGACTTTTGCATGTTCGGTACCAGCTTGTCCACAGTGGGGTAGGCACCAAGTGGGTTGTTGGGATCCCTGATTCCAGGCCTTGGATCTTGGATGGCATTTCTGGACCTTCCCTGAGCCAGAGGGGAGCCCACTGCACTGAAGGGTGAATCCCAGGCCAGGCAGCTTCACCACAAGCTGACTCAAGAGCCTTTGGTCTCTAAGAGAACATTGACAGTAGCCTGGCAGTACTCCCCATGGGCCTTTGGTGGTGGTGGCCATGGGGTGAGGCTTCTCTGCCTGTGGAAAGGGGAGGGAAGAGTGGAAAGGACTGCATCTCATGATTTGAGTGCCAGCTCAGCCACAGTACAATTAGAACACCAGGTAGACTTCTGAGTTTTTTTACTCCAGTCACTGGCTCCTGCATAGCACCTCTTGACCCACACAGGGCCTGGGGGAACCTGCCACCCTGAAGGGAAGGAAACAAGCCTGGCTGGTATTGCCACCCACTGGTTGTAGAGCCTCAGCGCCTTGAGCAAACACAGGTGGTAGCCAGGTAGTGGTTACAGCAGGCCTTGGGTAAGACCCACTGCTGTGCTCACTTCAGGTCTGACCCGGCATAATCTCAGTGATGGTGGCCACCAGGGTGCTTGTGTCACCCCAGCCCCAGCTCCAGGTGGCTCAGAACAGAGCAAGAGAGAGACATGCTGTTTGGAGTAAAGAGAAGAGACCAGGCCAGGCGCAGTGACTCATGCCTGTAATCCCAGCACTTTGGGAGGCCGAGGCAGATGGATCACCTGAGATCAGGAGTTCGAGACCAACCTGACCAACATGGAGAAACCCCATCTCTACTAAAAATACAAAATTATCCGGGTGTGGTGGTGCATGCCTATAATCCCAGCTACTCAGGAGGCTGAGGCAGGAGAATCGCTTGAACTCAAGAGATGGAGATTGCGGTGAGCTGAGATTGTGCCATGGCACTCCAGCCTGGGCAACAAGAGTGAAACTCCATCTAAAAAAAAAAAAGAAAGAAAGAAAGAAAGAAAAGAAAAGAGAGAACAGAACAAGCATCTCTGCCTGGTAATCCAGAGAATTCTTCTGGATCTTATCCAAGATAATCAAGGTGGTACCTCTAAGAGTCTGCAAGAACCACAGTGTTACTGGGCTTGGGATGCCCCTTAATGTAGAGATGCCTTAGATCACAAGACCTAAGTCCTTTCAAATATCTAAAAAACTTTCCCAACAAGGATGAGTACAAACAAGCCCAGATTGAGAAGACTACAATAAATACCTAACTCTTCAATGCTCAGACAGGGATAAATGTCCACAAGCATCAGAACCATCCAGGAAAATGTGACCTCACCAAATGAACTAAATAAGGCACCAGAGACGAATCCTGGAGAAATGGAGATTTGTGACCTTTCAGGCAGAGAATGCAAAGTAGCTGTTTTAGGAAACTCAAAGAAATTTAAGATAACAGAGAGAAGGAATTCAGAATTCCATCAGATAAATGTAATGAAGAGATTGAAATAATTTAAAAGAATCAAGGCCAGGCACAGTCACTCATGCCTTTAATCCCAGCACTTTGGGAGGCCAAGGTGGGTGGATCACCTGAGGTCAGGAGTTCCAGACCAGCCTGGACAACATGGTGAAACCCCATCTCTACTAAAATATAAAAATTAGTCAGGCATGGTGGCACATGTCTGTAATCCCAGCTACTCGGGAGGCTGAGGCATGAGAATTGCTTGAACCTGGGAGGCAGGGTTGTGGTGAGCTGAGATCACGCCACTGCACTCCAGCCTGGGTGACAGAGTGAGACTTCATCTCACAAAAAAAAAAAAAAAAAAAAAAAGAAGAAGAAGAATCAAGCAGAAATCCTGGAGTTCAAAATGCAGTTGACATACTGAAGAATGCATCAGTCTCTTAATAGCAGAATTGATCAAGCAGAAGAAATAATTAGCTTGGGCCAGGCTCAGTGGCTCACACCTGTAATCCCAGCACTTTGGGAGGCCAAGGTGGGCGGATCACGAGATCAGGACATTGAGACCATCCTGGCTAACACGGTGAAACCCCGTCTCTACTAAAAATACAAAAAATTAGCCAGGTGTGGTGGTGGGTGCCTGTAGTCCCAGCTACTCGGGAGGGTGAGGCAGGAGAATGGCATGAACCTGGGGGGCGGAGCTTGCAGTGAGCCGAGATAGCACCATTGCACTCCAGCCTGGGCGACAGAGCAAGACTCCGCCTCAAAAAAAAAAAAAAAAGAAAGAAAGAATTAGCTTGAAGACAGACTACTTGAAAATAGTCAGAGGAGGCAAAAGAAAACAGAATAAAAAACATTGAAGCCCCAGCACTTTGGGAGGCCGAGGCGGGCGGATCACGAGGTCAGGAGATCGAGACCATCCTGGCTAACACGGTGAAACCCCGTCTCTACTAAAAATACAAAAAAAAATTAGCCGGGCGAGGTGGCGGGCGCCTGTAGTCCCAGCTACTCGGGAGGCTGAGGCAGGAGAATGGCGTGAACCCCAGGGGGCGGAGCCTGCAGTGAGCCGAGATTGCGCCACTACACTCCAGCCTGGGCGACAGCGAGACTCCGTCTCAAAAAAAAAAAAAAAAAAAAAAAAAACATTGAAGCATGCCTACAGGATCTAGAACATAGCCTCAAAAGGGCAAATCTAAGAGTCATTGGCTTTAAAGAGGTGGTAGAGAAAGAGATAGGAGTATAAAGTTCATTCAAAGGGATAATAACAGAGAACTTCCCAAACCTAAAGAAAGATATCAATATCCAACCACAAGAAGGTTATAGAACACCAAGCAGATTTAACCCAAAGAAGACTACCTCAAGGCATTTAGTAATCAAACCCTCAAAGGTCAAGGATAAAGAAGGGACTCTAAAAGCAGCAAGAGAAAAGAAACAAATAACAAACAATGGAGCTCCAATACAACTGGCAGAAGACTTTTCAATAGAAACCTTACAAACCAGGAGGGAGCAGCATGACATATTTAAAGTGCTGAAGGAAAAAAACTTTTATCCTTGAATAGCATATTCAGTGAAAATATCCTTCAGACATGAAGGAGAAATAAAGACTTTACCAGACAAACAAAAGTTGAGGGATTTCATCAACACCAGTCCTATTCTACAAGAAATACTAAAGGAACTACATCAATCACAAAAGGATGTACAATAAGGAATCATCTGAAGATACAAAACTCACTGGTATTAGTAAGTACACACACACAAAAATAATATTGTATGCCGGGCTCGGTGGCTGACGCCTGTAATCCTAGCACTTTCGGAGGCTGAGGTAGGTGGATCACCTGAGGTCAGGAGTTTGAGACCAGCCTGGCCAACATGGTGAAACCCGGTCTCTACTAAAAATACAAAAATTAGCCAGGCATGGTGGTGTGTGCCTGTAATCCTAGCTACTAGCGGGGCTGAGGCAGGAGGATCACATGAACCTGGGAGGTGGAGGTTGCAGTGAGCTGAGATCATACCACTGCATTCCAGCCCAGGCAACAGAGTGAGACTCCATCTCAAAAAAAAAAAAAAGCCTGGGCGCGGTGGCTCACGCCTGTAATCCCAGCGCTTTGGGAGGCTGAGGTGGGCGGATCACGAGGTCAGGAGGTCGAGACCATCCTGGCTAACACGGTGAAACCCCATCTCTACTAAAAATACAAAAAATTAGCCGGGCGTGGTGGCGGGCACCTGTGGTCCCAGTTACTCGGGAGGCTGATGTAGGAGAATGGCGTGAACCTGGGAGGCAGAGCTTGCAGTGAGCCGAGATCGCACCACTGCACTCCAGCCTGGGCGACAGAGACTCCATCTCAAAAAAAAAAAAAAGAATATTGTAACACTGTAACTGTGGTGTGTAAATTATTCTTTTTTTTTTTTTTTTCCTGAGACAGAGTCTCGCTCTGTCACCCAGGCTGGAGTGCAGTGGCGCGATCTCGGCTCACTGCAAGTTCCACCTCCTGGGTTCACGCCATTCTCCTGCCTCAGCCTCCCAAGTAGCTGGGACTACAGGCACCTGCCACCATGCCCGGCTAATGTTTTGTATTTTTAGTACAGACAGGGTTTCACCGTGTTAGCCAGGATGGTCTCGATCTCCTGACCTTGTGATCTGCCCGCCTTGGCCTCCCAAAGTGCTGGGATTACAGGCTTGAGCCACCGCGCCTGGCCGTAAATTATTCTTAAGTAGAAAGAATAAATGATGAACAAATCCAAAATAATAACTACAACAACTTTTCAAAACACAGACAGTACAAGCAATATATAAATAGAAACAAAGAAAAGTTAAGAAGCGGGTATGATGTTAAGGCATAGAGTTTTCATTAGATTTCTTTTTGTTTGTTTCTTTGTTTATACAACAGCATTAAGTTGTCATCAGCTTAAAATTATGGGTTATAAGATAGTATTTGCAAACCTCATGGCAACCTCAAGTCAAAAAATGTACAACAGATACACAAAAAATAAAAAGTAAGAAGTTAAATCATACCACAAGAGAAAGTCACCTTCACTAAAAAGAAGACAGGATGGAAGGAAAGAAGGGAGAGAAGATGAAAAAACAACCAGAAAACAAATAACAAAATGGCAGGAGTAAGTTCTCACTTACTAATAATAACACTGAATGTAAATGAATTAAACTATCCAATCAAAAATCATAGAATGGCTAAATGGATTAAAAAAACAAGACCTAATGATCTGTTGCCCACAAGAAACACACTTCACCTATAAAGAAACCCATAGACTGGAAATAAAGGAATGGAAAAACATATTCCATGCCAGTGGAAACCAATAAAGAGCAGGAGTAGCAATACTTAGACAAAATATATTTCGAGACAAAAACTGTAAGAAAAGTCAAAGAAGGTCACTATGCAATTATAAAGAGGTCAATTCAGCAAGACGATGTAACAATTGTGAACATATATGCACCCAACATTGGAGCACTCAGATATAGAAAACATATATTATTAGGTAAAAAGAGAGAGGGCCGGGCATGGTGGCTTATGCCTGTAATCCCAGCACTTTGCGAGGCCAAGGCAGGTGGATCACCTGAGGCCAGGAGTTCAAGACCAGCCTGGCCAACATGGCAAAACCCCGTCTCTACTAAAAATACAAAAAATTAGCCAGGTGTGGTGGTGGGCACCTGTAATCCTAGCTACTTGGGAGACTGAGGCAGGAGAATTGCTTGAACCTTGGAGGTGGAGGCTGCAGTAAGCCAAGATTGCACCACTACACTCCAGCCTAGGCAACAAGAGTGAAACTCTGTCTCAAAAAAAAAAAAAAAAAGAGAGAGAGAGAGATAGACACCAATACACTAATAGCTGGAGATTTTAACACCCCATATTCAGAACTGGACAGATCTTCCAGACAGTAAATCAACAAAGATTATTTCAATATATACTGAAAAATTGGACAAAAGAAAGATTAAATGGGATTTAATCTACACTATAGATCAAATGGACCTAATAGATATTTACAGCACATTTTATCCAACAGCTACAGAATACACATACTTTTCCTGAGCACAGGAATCATTCTCAAGGATAGACCATATGTTAGGTCAAAAAACATGTCTTAAAACGCTCCGAAAAATTGAAATAATATAAATTGTGTCACAGAATAAGTGGAATAAACTAGAAACCAATGACAAGAGGAATTCTGGAAACCATACAAACATATGGAAATTAAACAATACGCTCCTGAATGACGAGTGGGTCAATGAAGAAATTAAGAAGAAAATTGAAAAGTTTCTTCAAACAAATGATAATGAAAATGCAACATACCAAAACCTATGGAATACAGCAAAAGCAGTACTAAGAGGGAAGTTTATAGATATAAGCACCTACATCAAAAAAGAAGAAGACCTTCAGGCTGGGTGCAGTGGCTCCCATCTGTAATCCCAGCACTTTAGGAGGCCAAAGGGAGTGGATCACCTGAGGTTAGGAGTTCGAGACCAGCCTGGCCAACATGGTGAAACCCTGTATCTACTAAAAATACAAAAAATGACATGGTGGTCGGTGCCTGTAATCCCAGCTACTTGGGAGGCTGAGGCAGGAGAACTGCTTGAACCCAGAAGGCAGAGGTGGCAGTGAGCTGAGATTGCGCCATTGCACTCCAGCCTAGGCTGCAAGAGTGAAGTGAAACTCATCTCAAAAAAAAAAAAAGAAGAAGAAGAAAACCTTCAAATAAACAACCTAAGAATGCATCTTAAAGAATTAGAAAAGCAAGAGCAAACCAAACCCAAAATCAGTAGAAGAAAAGAAATAATAAAAATCAGTAGAAATAAATGAATTTGAAATGAAGAAACAATAGAAAAGAACAATGAAACAAAAAGTTGGTTTTTTGAAAAGACAAACAAAATTGACAAACCTTGAGGTAGACTAAGAAAAAACCAGGCCCAAATAAATACAATTAGAGGTGAAAAAGGAGACATTACAGTTGATACTGCAGAAATTCAAAGGATCATTAATGCAACTAAGAACAACTATATGCCAATAAACTGGAAAACCTAGAAGAAACTGATAAATTCCTAGGCAGATAGAACATAGCAACATTGAACCATGAAGAAATAAAAAACCTGAACAGACCAATAACAAATAATGAGATCAAAGCCATAATAAAAAGTCTCCTAGCAAAGAAAACCCCAGAACCCAGTGGCTCCACTGCTGAATTCTACCAACATTTAAAAAAGAACTAATACCAATCTTACTCAAACTATTCCAAAAAACAGAGGAGAAGGCAATACTTCCAAATTTATTTTACAAAGCCAATATTACTTTGACACCAAAACCAGACAAAGACATGTCAGAAAAAGAAAACTATAGGCCAGTGTCACTGATGAATATTGATGCAAAAATCCTCAACTCAATACTAGCAAACTGAATTTAACAATACACCAAAAAGATCATTCATCATGACCAAGTGGGCTTTATCCCTGGGATGCAAGGATGGTTCAATATATGCAAATCAATCAATGTGATGTATCATTTCAACAGAATAAAGGGCAAACACCATATAATCATTTCAATGTGCACTGAAAAAGCTTTTGATAATATTTAACATCCCTTCATGATAAAAACCCTAAAAAAAAGTGGGTAAAGAAGGAGCATACCTTAACATAATAAAAGCTATATATGGCAGACCCACAGCTAGCATGATAATGAATGGGGAAAAACTGAAAGCCCTTCCTGTAAGATCTGGAACACAATAAGAATGCCCACTTTTACCACTGTTGTTCAACACAGTACTTGAAGTCCCAGCTAGAGCAATAAGACAAAAAAAAAAAAAAGAAAAAAAAAGAAATAAAGGGCATCCATATTGGGAAGGAAGAAGTCAAATTATCCTTGTTTGCATATAATATGATCTTATATCTGGAAATACCTAAAGACTCCACCAAAAAAGTATTAGAACTGAGAAATAAATTCAGTAAAGTTGCAGTATACAATATCAACACACAAAAATCAATAACATTTTTATATGCCAACAGTGAACAATCTGAAGCTACTTGAGAGGCTGAGGTGGGAGGATTGCTTGAGCTTAGGAGGTAGAGGTTGCAGTGAGCCATGATGGCCCCACTGCACTCCAGCCTAGGTAACAGAGCAAGACCCCATCTCAAACAACCAAAAATGTGTAGAAGGATGGTTACCAGAGGCTGCGAAAAGTAGTAGCGAGGAGTAGTTATGGGGGAAGTGGGGATGGTTAATAGGTATAAAAAATAGTTACAAAGAATGAATAAGACCTAGTATTTGCTAGCACAACAGAGTGACTATAGTAAAAAATAATTTAATTGTACATTGAAAAATCTTGAAAAATTTCATTGAAAAAGAGCATAATTGGAGCCAGGCGCAGTTGCTCACGCCTCTAATCCCAGAACTTTGGGAGGCCAAGGTAGGCGGATCACGAGGTCACGAGTTTGAGACCAGCCTGGCCAACATGGTGAAACCCAGCCTCTACTGAAAAATACAAAAATTAGCCGGGTGGTGGCGCGTGCCTGTAATCCTAGCTACTCGGGAGGCTGAGGCAGGAGAATTGCTTGAACCCACCCAGGAGGCGAAGGTTGCAGTGAGCCTCGCACCATTGCACTCTAGCCTGGGCGACAGAGCAAGACTCCCTCTCGAGGAAAAAAAAAAAAAAAGATATAATTAGTTTGTCAGTCCGTGTCCAGGAGGAAGAAGCAGGAGGTCCTATTGAGTACGGGCAGGAAATTCCGCTTAAGTGCAAATATAACCCGGGAGGATTCAGATCAAAGAGCAGGGAGGAAGCCCCCCCTGCCAAGGGCTGTGTCAGGAACTTGCTCATCCGGCTCCACTCAGCTGTGCAAGATCGCTTCTTCTGTCAATCAGCCCTCAGGGGGCGGGACCTGACGCCCTATCCAATCAGGGGCGTGGGGCGGGTTCGTGGGAACTGTCAATCAGGCACTGCCCAGAGAAGTGTGTGTGGTTGAAAAAGCCCGCGGCGTCTGCTCCACCCACCTGCGCTCGGCTCTGGGTTCTGTAGCTGAGAGACGACCTGGAAGTTCTGAGGCAGCCTTTGTCTGGCTGGAACACGCATTGGCAGCGGGAGCTGTCGGTAGGACCTGGGACACCGCGGAAGTCGGGAAATGGTGCGTGTGCTGGGCCGGCGTCCCGAGGCGGGGGAGGGGTTAGGTGGAACCGGCCGTAATCGGCTGTGGCTGGACCCGGGCCTCCCCAAGGGCGACTTCGGGATCTACGGACCCGGGTCCCCCTGGCGTAGGTCGGCCCTCGGCCGCAGGGTGGGGCTGGGCATGCAGCCGGGACCCCGGGCGTCCTGTCCCGTTCCTGCGCGGCGACTGCGGCCCCGGCGCCCTCTCTGGGCAGCTCCGAGCCCGCAGCCCCGGGTCTCCCCAGATTGTGCGGCTGTAACCAACACAGGTTCGCGGCCCGACTCACTGCACCGAGACGCCGAGGGCTGCAGCAGAAACGGTTTAACAGGAGGAGAGGGGAGGACACCCCAGATCCGCCTCCCTGAGGGATTTGGGGTCTGGACGGGGGCGGCTGGGTGTAGCGTCCTTGGTTGGTGGGGAAGTGAGGGGTGAATCCTGGGACAGGAGGTGAAGAAACCGCATTCTGCTGAGAGGGCTCCCTCGTGGGGTCTTCAACCTGGTTGGCGCCAGCCTTTCTGCTGGGATTCAGGATCTGAGAACTCCGGCGACTCTTGAGCAGCACTCGGAGATCTTATCCCCAGGCACAATGGGGAAGCCGGCGGTCAGCGTCTGCTGTGACCTGACTCTCAGGGAGGCGGCCCCTTGAGGCAGCGGGGCTGAGGGCACCTGTTTAATATCTAACTGCAATCTCGCCTCCAGCCTGGCTCGCAGTTCCTGTGAACCCGGTGAGGAGGCTGCACGGTGACGACGAGTCACCAGGTGGAATCCAGACTCGTGTGTGGGGTTTGTGTGTGGGAGGAGCTGTGGTTTCCGTGGTCCTCAGTCCTTTCTTCCTTTCCAAGGGCGACCGTTTCCCCTCTGAGTCTTCCAAAGACGTGGGCAGCAGGGTCTCAAATCCACCACTGTGTTCTCTCATCCTGACTCTTCCTAGGGCTGGCAGCAAATCTCTTGGTTTCCAGAGACTTCCCCAGGCTAACCTTCTGTCCTTAATTCACAGCAACAGTATGAACTGTTTGGCCCCAGGCGATATTTCACTAGTTTGTCATCTTGTTTTCAGCTAGCAATGTATGGCTTTTTCTTGAAAGAATTGTTTTGGGTTCCTGAACACGGTGGGTCATTCCTGTAATTCCAGCACCTTGGGAGGCTAAGGCAGAGGTATTGCTTGATCCCAGTAGTTCCAGACCAGCCTGGGCAACATGGCAAGACTTTGTCTCTAGTGTAAATGATAATAATAAAATTAGCTGGGCTTGGTAGCTGGCACCTGTAGTCGCAGCTACTCCTGAGGCTGAGGTGGGATGATGGCTGGAGCCCAGGAGTTTGAAGTTGCAGTGAGCTATGATCGTGCCTCTGCATCCCAGCCTAGGCAACAGAGGCCGACCCTGTCTCAAAAAAAATGGATGTCCACAGCTGCCAAGTCTCTTGGAGGGTCTAGTGAATATCATCCCCTGGGTCACTCCTCCCAGGGGACAGCCTGAGATGGAAGGTGTGGCCCCCTGGGGAGCAACTGGATCCACTGGGATGGGAGGAATCTTCTGGTATATAATTCCTGTAAAAAGCTAACTCCTGGGACACTCACCTTTTCTTCCCAACCCTAGTTTCCATTCCTTGGAGACACATGACTGAACAGCCAATTTCATGGTCATATTCCATAGGAAAAAAAACGGAAATGATTTTTGCCTTCTGGACTCTCTCAGACTTAAAAGGTAGAAAGTTATATCTAAGGACTGGAGAACCTGCCCTTTGAGGTAGTGCAAGATCCTGAAAAGCACACAAGGCAGTGTCTCCTAGGAGGGTGGTGAGTGTCTCCTAGGAGGGTGGCGAACAGAATAGGGTTAAGGGATGTCCCAGGTGATAGGATGACCTGCACTGATTGTTGCATTAGACTTTTCTGTGTTCCAGTCAGCACTGCTGATTCCTGAGTTTGTTAGCTTGAAAAGATATGTTTACTCTTTTCAGCCTAAATTTTTGATTAACCGTGAAATACATCCTATGATTAGAGATTGTTATTTTATACTTTGAAGACAAAGTATACCCAAAGTTGGAAAGAGTCGGACTTCAGAAAATAAATTTTATAAGTAATACTAGAAAGAGTTGGACTTCAGAATATAAATGGTATATGTAATCTTCTATTCCATTTTTTAAAAGCCTTTATTTATTTTTTTTGCCCCAGAGCTTGTGTAGTACGTTTCTCAGGTGTGTTTGTTTTTCGGATGATTTCAGATGGAATTTCAGGACTTAGTAGTATAACTACTACCAAGGGAAAAACCCTCTTCCATTATGGCTGCAAAAAAGGAATACATTTTTACAAGAAAGTGTAATAGGTACATTGAATTAAAAAGATTTAACAAAAGTTCAGTTCTTCTCCTTTTTAAAAGGGTGGAGATTTTGGGACAATGGAGAAATCTGTTCTGTTCCTGTTATATCTGACAGATGAATGCTAAATTCTGTGGGACAGGACTTTCCAACAGCTAAAGAAGTAAAATATAATTATTTTTTACTATATCACTTACTATCATGGAAATAGTAATTAAATGACATTCATTGTCTGGAAGGGATAGGTATTTGGGCTTTTCCTGTTGAGCTATAAAATGTCAGTGCCTTACAATTTCCTTCCCACCCGTAGACATAGACACTGAATTTGAGTGATTTTCCTGGATTCATCAAACATGAGTATTTTGTTTTTAAATATCCATGTAAAGCATAGAAGGGTAAGAGAGTAGCTTTGACTATGGCAGAGAGGCCTGAGGCCAATGCCCCCACCTCCAGCTAAGACCAATTTTTTTTTTTTTTTTTTGAGACAGCATCTCTGTTGTCCAGGCTGGAGTGCAGTGGCACGATCTCAGCTCACTGCAACCTCCGCCTCCTGCGTTCAAGCGATTCTCTTGCCTCAGCCTCCTGAGTAGCTGGGACTACGGGTGCGTGCTACCATGCCTGGCTAATTTTTTTTTTTTTTGTATTTTTAATAGAGACGGGGTTTCACCATATTGGCCAGGCTGGTCTTGAACTCCTGACCTCGGGCAATCCACCAGCTTTGGCCTCCTAAAGTGCTGGGATTACAGGCATGAGCATCATGCCCATCCCCATATGGCTTTTGATTAGGGCTAGAATGGAGTATATTTTTTCATACCTTTATATTTAATGTACCTGTGTCTTTCTACTTAAAATAGTTTTCTTGAGAGAATAAAAAAAATAGTTTTCTTGCACACATTGGTAGGTCTTGTTTTTTTTATTCTACTCTGTCAGTCCTTGTCTTCTTTTATTGGTATATTCATATAATACACATTTAAAGTGGTTATTGATATACTTGGATTCATGTGTACATATATAATTGTTTTATATTTGTTATACTTGTCGGTTTTTTTCAACTTCCTTTCTTTTTCTGTCTCCTTTTATTTTAACTGAGGTGTCTATATGATTGTGTTTTCTTCTAATAGTATAGTAAGTCTACTTGTTTCTTTGTTTCTTTGTTTCTTTTTTTTTTTTGAGACAGGTTCTTGCTCTATCACCTAGGCTAGAGTGCAGTGGAGCAATCATAGTTAACTATAACCTCCAACTCCTGGGCTCAGGAGATCCTCCCTACTTGCTTTCCTGAGTAGCTGGGACTACAGGTGCAGGCCACCACACCTGGCTAATTTTTTTTTTATTTATTTAATTTTTTACACGTTTCGTAGAGACAGTCTCATTGTGTTGCTGAGTGTGGGCTCAAAGTCTTGATCTTAAGCAATCCTCCTGTCTTGCATCTCAAAGTGTTGGCATTACAGGGCTGAGCCACTGTGACAGGCTGTTGTTTCTTAACATTTTATTATTGAATTCCCTAGCATTTGGAGTAAACCATTCACAACAAATGGACCTTCAGTTTTAAGTAACACTGTACTGGCTTTTAGGGTAATGCTCATATAACCCAGTGTTCAGCATTCCTCCCTCCTGCCCAATTTAACATCACCGTCATCCATTTGCCCTATTATAAACTATAACCACCCAATACATTGTTATTATTTTTTGAACAAACCTTTATGATATCCAATAGGAATAAGAAAAGGAAATAATTTTTGTGCCTTCATTGAATTATTTTCTAATGCTCTTCATATATATGCATATGTGTATATTTGTGTGTGTGTGTGTGTGTGTGTGTGTGTGTGTATGATCTGAATTTCTAACCTGTAACATTTTTCTTCTCTCTGATGAACTTCTTTTAACATTATTGGCAAGACAAGTACACCAATCACATGTTCTCTCAATTTCATTCCTTTTTTTCCCCATTAGATTAATTTCAATTCATTTATCATCATTTTAACTGATTTTTTTTTTGGCTGCTCACATCTGTTGAACACTTGTGAAGATGTCTTCATTTTAGTTGTACCTTGCAGCTGCATAAATTCTATATGGCTAAATTTCTACCCCTTTTTTTTTGAGACAGAGGTTCGCTCTTGTTGCCCAGGCTGAAGTGCAGTGGCACGATCTCGGCTCACTGCAACCTCCACATCCTGGGTTCAAGCGATTCTTCTGCCTCAGCCTCCCAAGTAGCTGGGATTACAGGCGTGCACCACCATGCCCAGCTAATTTTGTATGTTTAGTAGAGATAGGGTTTCACCACATTGGCCAGGCTGGTCTCAAACTCCTGGCCTCAGGTGATCCACACACCTTGGCCTCCCAAAGTGCTGGGATTATAGGTGTGAGCCACCACGCCCAGTTAATTTCTACTTTTTAATAGATATTATTTTATCTCTGTATCTATATTCTGGTTTTCTTTTAGTTATTTGTTCATCATTGCCTTTACTTCATTGAACATATTTAAGATAGTTGTTTTAACGTTTTTATTCAGTGAGTGGTGTCTGAGGTTTCTCAGAGATGGCTTATCTCAATTATATTTTTTCCAATTGATGAACCATATTTTCATGTTTTTCTGTATTCTTCATAATTTTGTGTTGAAAAGTAGATATCGGAATGTTATAATGGGGTACTTCTGAAAATTGGATTCTTCTTCTTTCCTCACTGTTTTCTATTTATGTGTGTTGAAGACTGTAATTGTTCATTTGTTTAATAACATTTTCAAAGTATGTTTGCACAGACTGTATTCCTTATTTGTTGTAGAAACTGACATCTCTGTTCTTTAGTGTGTGTTCATCCAGTGTTCTGGCAGAGATTTCCTGAATGCTAGAAGCTAGTAAAAAAGATGAAGCATACAAAAGCCTGACCTCTTCCAGTCTTTGTGGATGGCTCTGTGCCTGGGGCATCCCTTGAACACTTAGCCAGGCTGTTTAATACTCTACTTATGCTTTATGTTCTGCTTACTTAAAGCTACAGATCAGCCAGAAGCGAAAATGAATGTTTTTCTCCGGTGTCTTTTGTGAAAATGTGTTCTTTACTGTGCATGCATGGGGCTTTCTCAATTCCCTAGGATACCTGGGTGCTTTTGAGTACCCTGATATCTGGAGGACATTTTCTCTTCAGCTCTTTTTCTCCGTGACTTAGTTGGTCTACTGTATGTCTTAATCATAGTCTGTTCTTGCAGTTGTCTACAGGCTTTTTGTGTATTTTGCAACATTTTCATGCAGTTCCTGCCAAATTGGACCCTGATCGTGTTATATTGTAGATAAAGTAGAAGAGAGGGCCTTGGCTGGGCACTGTGGCTCACACCTGTAATCCTAGCACTTTGGGAGGCTAAGGCAGGCGGATCATTTGAGGTCAGGAGTTTGAGACCAGCCTGGCCAACAGGGTGAAACCCCGTCTCTAGTAAAAATACAAATTAGCCAAATGTGTTTGAGCATTCCTGTACTCTCAGCTACTTGCGAGGCTGAGGCAGGAGAATTGCTTGAATCTGGAGTCAGAGGTTGTAGTGAGCCAAGGTTGTGCGTCTGCACTCCAGTCTGGGTGATGTGTCTGCACTCCAGTCTCGGTGACAGAGCAAGGCTCTGTCTCAAAAAAAAAAAAAAAAAAAAAGCAGCCTTGTTTCAGACCTTTGGATAGTGCTTATACAGATTGGAAAATGCAAGGCAATAATTTGCAAATAAGGTCTGATCTGCTGTCTCTAGAGTTAGTGTTCAGGGTTCTATACTGGGAACTCGGGCTGCTGTGTTCAAGAGTGTCATTGATGGGGGAGAGATTGGGCCAAGGACAAATAAAAACTCTACGAGACTTTTCTACCAGTTTTCATTTTTCTTCATATATATATATGTATATGTATATATTTGTCTCTGTGTTAATAGTATGGGGAGCCAAATATTATAGTTTCAAAATTCTTTGTTTTTGGAAAGCTGCACTTTCTTGGTGAGAAAGTTTCCAGCATTTTTTAGATACTGTGAGTTCTATTAGACTTGGTAATGTAATTTTTGTTGACTACTAAAAGGTCCGTTTTAGTTATTTAGGAAGTATTATAAATATTCATGAGAGATGACATTGAGTTCTTTCTAAGAATATATGCAGTCTTTCCCCTTCTTTCCTTCTCCTTTTGGCATTACTCAAGAAAATGTTTAAAATTTTTCCATTGAGATGGTGAAATATCTTTTATCAGTCTCTTGTGATACTTCACTACATTTGATCTAAAGGAAACTAGTTGCCAGCTTCCAAATATTCTCTGTAAGTATAATCACATAGGATGGGCTAAATCCCCCAAATAACAAGTTGCAACAAAACATGTGAAATATTATCTACCCAGAAAGCTCATTATAGACCCAATGCCCAGAGTGTTTCTTTGTAGCTGTCTTAGCCTGTTTCTTGTAATTCATAACAGAATTACTGAACCTCGGTAATTTATAAGAAACAGTATTTAATTTTTACATTTCTGGAGGCCGGGAAGTCCAGGGTTAAGGCTGGGAATCTGATGAGAAACCTTCTTGCTGATGGGGACTCTGCAGAGTCTCTAGGTGGCATAGAGTATCACATGGTGAGGGAGCTGAGTGTCTAGCTCAGATCTCTTTCTTTTCTCAGAAGGACATGAGATAGCTCATTTATTCATTCACCCATTATGGATTAATCTATTCATGAGGTCCAGACCCTCAGAACTAAATCACCTCTTAAAGCCCCCACTTTTTTTTTCTTTTTTTTTTTTTTTCTGCCACTTTGGAGATTAACATTCAGTGTGCATTTTGGAGGGGACAACCATTCAAACCTAGCAGTGGCTGATCAGTGCACTCTGTCTGCTGAGTATGTAACAAAATTCCAGACTCTCAGAAGGAAGATGGGAGTTAACGAAATACTATATTTTTTTTGCATGAACAATTTAGGCACACTCCACCCCTGTTATTATGCTCCTGGGGCCCTCCCCTAAATACACTGTCTAGACACCATGAAAAGCCCAACTTTGTGAAAAAGCATTTGTAAGGACACGCAGTCTCAGCACTGCTAATGGTAACTCCCTTTTGCACAATAAGTAGTAGGACTTTATCGTGCCAAGGACTGCAGACCCACTGTGGAAATCGACATTAGGGGTGATCCAGGCTATGTGATTCACTCACTTAGTTCGCCAACAAGTGGCATGTTTCTATCCCACTGTTAATTTACCAAACGTTTAACTGTAGCTTCAGAGTTACTGTGTAGGAGAAAGTGAGTGTAGACAGAGAATAAGAGTGGGTTTACCATGTCATTGAATAAAATGGTTGGAAACCACAGCATCATGTGAAATTTATGAAGTGAGTATAGATTCTCAGTACTGTGATTTTCACCCTTCCTCCTCTGTACATGTGGGATGGATCAGGCCTCAGTGGCTTTAGAGGATGTGGCTGTGAACTTCACCCGAGAAGAGTGGGCTTTGCTGGGTCCTTGTCAGAAGAATCTCTACAAAGATGTGATGCAGGAAACCATCAGGAACCTGGATTGTGTAGGTAAGGATGACATCGCATTTCCACTTATTTAATTGGAGACATTTGTTTCTTGGTCATTCATGCTGTTCAAAGATTTGGAATATGGAAAGGGGATATGGTTGGCCCTGGAAAAAAAAAAACAGGGTTTAGGGGTGCCAGCTCCTGTAGCAGTTGTACATCCTCATATAACTTTTTGTCCACATCTTAGCCTACTATTGATGGGCAGCATTATCAGTCACATAAGCAGTGATTAATACATATATTTTATGTCGTATTATTACATCGTATATTCTCACAGTAAAGTAAGCTAGAAACAGAAAGTGTTAAAAAGATAATCATAAGGAAGAGAAACTATATTTACTGTTCATTAAGTGGAAGTGCATCCTCGGAAAGGTTTTCATCCTCATTGTCTTCACATTGAGTAGGCTGAGTAAGAGGAGGGGCTGGTCTTAGTGTCTTGGGTAGCAGAGACTGAAGAACATTCATATATATATGTATATACAAATGGACTTGTGCAGTTCAAACCTCTGTTTTTCAAGAGTCAGGTGTACTTCAGTGAATGCATTTTGAACGATTGCAGTGTACATCAAAATGTTACTGTTTGTCTATAATTTTGTAAAAATTTGTAATGATTTTTCTGTGTATACCTTTTAGTAATGAAATGGAAAGACCAGAACATTGAAGATCAATATAGATATCCCAGGAAAAATCTAAGGTAATTTACACTCACAAGAGAAAGATATGTCCCTGGAGCCGTTCTGAGAATGACATGAAAATTTAAAAAGAAGCAAAGAAAATGAACAAGGCTAGCTTAAATTTATTTATTCTTAGAAAATTTTCTCCAAAATATATACTTAAATGTTCCATAGCTGTTCAGTGTTCATAAATTAGTTCCCATGACAACAATATTATGAATCCACATATGAATGTGATTGTCTTGAGAACACCTGGGTCGAGTTACCTTGCACAGCATTCCATCCATTCACATTCAAGCAGGACACGAAGCCTGCACTTCGCATGATAGTGTTAAAAATGTACATCCAATACTTATTAATACCTATACAATTATTTATAGACCGACTTTTAGTGATATATTTCCCATTTTTTACAGATGTCGTATGTTAGAGAGATTTGTTGAAAGTAAAGATGGAACTCAATGTGGAGAAACATCTAGCCAGATTCAAGATAGTATTGTGACCAAGAACACTCTTCCTGGAGTAGGTCCTTGTGAAAGCAGTATGAGAGGAGAAAAAGTCATGGGTCATTCATCCCTTAATTGTTACATCAGAGTTGGTGCTGGGCACAAACCACATGAGTATCATGAATGTGGAGAGAAGCCAGATACGCATAAACAACGTGGGAAAGCCTTCAGTTACCACAACTCATTTCAAACACATGAGAGGCTTCACACTGGAAAGAAACCATATGATTGTAAAGAATGTGGGAAGTCCTTCAGTTCTTTGGGAAACCTTCAAAGACACATGGCAGTGCAGCGTGGAGATGGACCTTATAAATGTAAGTTGTGTGGGAAAGCGTTTTTTTGGCCCAGTTTATTACATATGCATGAAAGAACGCACACTGGAGAGAAACCATATGAATGTAAGCAGTGTTCTAAAGCCTTTTCTTTTTACAGTTCCTATCTAAGACATGAAAGAACACATACTGGGGAGAAACCGTATGAATGTAAACAGTGTTCTAAAGCCTTTCCTTTTTACAGTTCCTATCTAAGACATGAAAGAACACATACTGGGGAGAAACCATATAAATGTAAGCAGTGTTCTAAAGCCTTCCCTGATTCCAGTTCTTGTCTAATACATGAAAGAACTCACACTGGAGAGAAACCCTATACATGTAAACAATGTGGGAAAGCCTTCAGTGTTTCCGGTTCCCTTCAAAGACATGAAACCACTCACAGTGCAGAGAAACCCTATGCATGTCAGCAATGTGGGAAAGCGTTTCATCATCTGGGAAGCTTTCAAAGACACATGATAAGGCACACTGGAAATGGACCTCATAAATGTAAGATATGTGGGAAAGGCTTTGATTGTCCTAGTTCACTGCAAAGTCATGAAAGAACTCACACTGGAGAGAAACCCTATGAATGCAAGCAGTGTGGGAAAGCATTATCTCATCGCTCAAGCTTTCGAAGTCATATGATAATGCACACTGGAGATGGACCTCATAAATGCAAGGTATGTGGGAAAGCCTTTGTTTATCCCAGTGTATTTCAAAGACATGAAAGGACTCACACTGCAGAGAAACCCTATAAATGTAAACAATGTGGCAAAGCCTACCGTATTTCCAGTTCCCTTCGAAGGCATGAAACAACTCATACTGGAGAGAAACCCTATAAATGCAAACTTGGGAAAGCCTGTATTGATTTCTGTTCCTTTCAAAATCACAAAACAACTCACACTGGAGAGAAGCCATATGAGTGTAAGGAATGTGGGAAAGCATTCAGTCGTTTCAGATACCTTTCTCGACATAAAAGGACTCACACAGGAGAGAAACCTTATGAGTGTAAAACATGTAGGAAAGCCTTCGGTCATTATGATAACTTAAAGGTACATGAAAGAATTCACTCTGGAGAGAAGCCGTATGAATGTAAGGAATGTGGGAAAGCATTCTCTTGGCTCACTTGCTTTCTACGACATGAAAGAATTCACATGAGAGAGAAATCCTATGAATGTCCACAATGTGGTAAAGCCTTCACTCATTCCCGTTTTCTTCAAGGACATGAAAAAACTCATACTGGAGAGAACCCGTATGAATGTAAGGAATGTGGGAAAGCATTTGCTTCTCTCAGTTCCTTGCATAGACATAAAAAGACTCACTGGAAAAAAACTCACACTGGAGAGAACCCATATGAATGTAAGGAATGTGGGAAAGCATTTGCTTCTCTCAGTTCCTTGCATAGACATAAAAAGACTCACTAGCATTCTCTCTAAATGTATGGAATGTGGGAAAGCATTTATTAATTTTATTTCATTTCAGATACTTGTACGAAACACATTGGAGATAGACCCTGTGAATGTAAGCACTTGGTAAAGCCTTAAGTAGTTTCAGTTTCTTTCCAGTACAGTCATCCCTTGATACCTGCTGGGTATTGGTTCCAGCACTCCGTGAGCCATGTCCAGTCCCTTTTATAAAATGACATGTTTGTATGTAACTTACCCACATCCTCTTGTATAGTCTCAATTATGTCTAGATTACTTAAAATACCTCATGCATTATAAAAGCTATGCAAATAGTTGTTCTATTGTATTGTTTAGGGAATCATGATAAGGAAAAGAGTCTATGTATTTTCAGTATAGATGCAGTAATTGTGAGCCTATCAACATAGTGTAGTCAGCCAGAACATTAAAGTTTCTTTGTTTCAACTCTCACCTATTTCTTCTGTTTAATGTGTTAACACTTACCAAAACCCTGGGTCTTCTCTCTTGATAACCCAAGTATAGTGATTATAACAATGATGATGATTCTGTGGTGCCCAGTGTTTTGATGTGTTGAGATGACTAGATGTATGGCATTGTGGGTAAGTAGTGAGACATCAGGTTAACTTGAATCTTGACAGGCCATCAGGACTATCATCTATGTTGGAAGAACCAACTTGTGATTATAGATGTGGACTCATTTGAGGAGGCTATGTAATACTAATGTTAGGATCTGTTTGGCTTGAGGGCTGAAGATCTGTAACCATTGAATGTTCCATCTTCTTTGCAGATGCTTAGTTATAGGAAGCTAGTTCTTCTTTTCCTTTGCTTCATTAAAAAAAAAATCTTGTGGTGCTTATAGGCATGTTGTTTCTCAGGTGGATTGAAAGCTTTGTTCCACTGTAGGATCTTTGAGGATCGTACCTCTTTTTCACCTTTGCCTACTGAAAAAACCATTGAATGTTCCGTCTTATTTGCAGATGCTTAGCTATAGGAAGCTAGTTCTTCTTTTCCTTTGCTTCATTAAAAAAAAAAATCTTGTGGTGCTTATAGGCATGTTGTTGTTTCTCAGGTAGATTGAAAGCTTTGTTCCATTATAGGATCTTTGAGGATCGTACCTCTTTTTCACCTTTGCCTACTGAAAAACTGTGGCAAACTTTTCAAGTGTCCAAATCAATGGCTCTGTGTCTTCTAAGTTTTCTAGCTCATCATCATCTGTAGTGGATTTCAGCAGACTTTGAAGTTCCTAGCTGGTAAGGGTTTCTCTTTGCTTTTCGGTGTGTTCCTTAACGTCATCCTCAGTCATTTCAGACAGCGTTCCCCACCAACTTTTTTTGCAACATTTCACATATTCTTAATAACTGCATTAATAGTAGGGAAGTCCTTGAAATCATTGACTCCCTTACCCCATGATGGCTTGTAACATGTATTGGCTGTCCTGGGCTTTAGGGCATCTGTAGCCTTCCCAATAAGCACAATTGTATTTGTAATTGTGAAGCTCTTCAATAAAACCACTGTGGTACATTCAAGGTTAGCATCAAGACTCCATGAATTCACCCAAGGATGTAAGTCACTTGAATGCACTTGATGCCTTGATCTAGTGACGCAGCAGTGATGTAGTTTTAGGAGGCAGAAATATCACTTGCATGTTCTTTTAGGCAAAACAGAGATTGGAGAGATGGCCTGGAGTGTTGTCAATTCTGAGGAAGACCTTGAGTGGCAGTCCCTTCTCTTTGAGGTATTCCATCACATCAGGAGTGAAGCATTGCTAGAAGAAAGCCTTCTTATGTTCTTGCCAGGACACAGGCCAGCAAGTTTTGCTTTTGTCCTAAAGAACCTGGTGATTGCTCAGTAGACGAAGCCTCGCTTGTTCTCATGAACTAATGCATGGCCTGACAGCACCAGAAAAAGGTGGTCTTTCCAGGCCTTGAACCCCAGTACCTGCACTCATGTATGAAGGTACCATTGGGCATCTTCTAGAACATGCCTGATTCATGACAATAGAAGATTTACTCTGGAAGGTAGTGTCTTTTTTCTGTTTTATGAGCTCTTCTAGGAATGCTGTTGTTTCCCTGGCATCAGCCGATGCCAATTCTCCTGTGGTCTTCAAGTTCTTGGGCTGCACTGTGTTGCATAGTTAGCCTAGCCAGAACTTACTGGCTTCAAACTCCTTCCTCTTGCTCTCCTCAGCCCCCTCACAGTGATGCTTACAGAGGCTAAGTGTTTTTTGTTTTCTTTTCTTTCTTTCCTTCTTTTTTTTTTTTCTTTTTTTTGAGACGGAGTGTTGCTCTGTCGCCCAGGCTGGAGTACAGTGGCGTGATCTTGGCTCACTGCAACCCCCACCTCCCGGGTTCAAGTGATTCTCCTGCCTCAGCCTTCTGAGTAGCTGGGATTACATGTGCGCGCCACCACACCCAGCTGTCTTTTGAGTAGAGACTGGGTTTCACCATGTTGGTCAGGCTGATCTCGAACTCCTGACCTTGTGATCCACCCGCCTTGGCCTCCCAAAGTGCTGGGATTACAGGAGTGAGCCACTGCGCTTGGCCTGGCTAAGTGTTTTTTCAAGTATGATGTTACCATCAGTAGGGCTGTGGTTCTGTGACGTGTCCTCTAGCCACACACTTAATGCTTATCCTTAGTTTATCATGAACTAGAGGGATCATTTTTGCCACTGTAGGGGCAGCTCTAACACTTTGAGGAACTTCAGCTTCTCTCTGCTTTAGTGTGTGATTTCTTGGTTTGTTCTTACCTTATGACGAACTTTCCAAGGTGATACACCACTTTTCAAAACATCTTAGGTTTGTATTTTCTTATTGAGAGATACCACTTTTTGTCCCCTGCTAGCCTTTTAGGGATAGGTTTGACCACTTGATTCCTTCTTAGGAGCCATTTTTTAACATTTTTTATTTTTTTATATATGACATCTCAAGGGTCTCTGAATGAACAAAACAGTCTTCAAAAGCCAGAACAATGGCCAGATGTGGTGGCTCACATCTGTAATCCCACCGCTTTGGGAGGCTGAGGCAGGTGGATCATGAGGTCAGGAGTTGGAGACTAGCCTGACCAACATGGTGAAATCGCATCTCTACTAAAAATACAAAAATTAGTCGGGCATGGTGGCGCGTACCTGTAATCCCAGCTACTCAGGAGGCTGAGGCAGGGGAATCACTTGAGCCTGAGAGGTGGAGGTTGCAGTGAGCTGAGATCATGCCACTGCACTCCAGCCTGGGCAACAGGGCGAGACTCTGTCTCAAAAAAAAAAAAAAAAAAAGCCAGAACAAAGTTGGTGAACTCACACTTCCTGATTTCAAAACTTATTACAAATCCATACTAATAAAAACTGTTTGGTACTAGCGTAATAACGCAGAAATAGACAATGCAACAAGATAACACAGAAAGTCTAATAAAGTCTAATAATTTACATAAAGTCTAACAATTACTGAAAAGTCTGCTGTGACTATTCAATGGGGGATAGCTTAATGTTTCTGTAGAATGATGCTGTTGGGCAATGCACATCCACATGCAACAGGATGACGTTGTACCCATACCTAACATGTACAGAAGTTAAAATGAACGAAATATGTGAGTGTCCATCTTAGCTGTATAACTGTTAGATGAAAATACATGGCAAAAGCTGTATTACAGTGAATTTGGCAATGATTTCCTAGATTTGGCACCAAAAGCATGACCCACAAGGGAAAGAATAATTTGGATTTTGTGGACCTTTGGCATCAAAAGGCAATATTAACAGAGTAAATGGGTAACCCATAGAATGGGAGAAACCATTTCCAAATTATATATCTGATAAGGGATTAACATGAAGAGTATTTAGAAAATGATAAAAAGCTACTAATCACTTGTTATGGAATAAATGTTTGTAGAAAATTTTATTTATTTTTCCACTTCCCTGATGTGGCAGTATTAGGCAATGGTTTCTTTGAGATATGATAAGGATTAGGTTAGATTATGAGAGTGGATCCTCAAAAATGAAAGTGGAATGTGCATGGTCGCTCATGCCTGTTATGGCAGTACTTTGAATGGCCAAGATGGGAGGATCGCTTGAGGCTTGGATTTTCCCCCTTCCCCTTCCTCTTCCTTTTCCCCTTCCCCTTCTCCTTCCCCTTTCCCTTCCCTTCTCTTCTCTTCTTCCTCCCCTCCCCTCCTCTCCTTTCCCTTCCTTCCTGGAAATGGGGATCTCAATTTGTTGCCCAGGCTGGAGTGCAGTGGCGTGATTATAGCTCATTGCCACCTCCGACTCCTAAGCTCAACAGATCCTCCTGCCTCAGGCCTCCCAAGTAGCTGGGACTTCAGGTGTGTGCCACCATGCCCAACCGAGGCCTGGAGTTCAAGACCAGTCTGGGCAACATGGTGAGACCTCATCCTTACAAAAAAAGAAAAAAGGAAAATTTAGCTAGGCTTGGTGGTATATGCCTGTAGTCATAGCTACCAGGGAGGCTGAGGTCACCAGATCACTTGAGCCCAGGAGTTCAAGGCTGCAGTAAGCTAGGTCATGCTACTGCACTCCAGCCTGGGCTGGAGAGAGAGTGAGACCCTGTTTCTGAAACAAACTAAAATATATGTAAAAAGAGAATTGAGGTTAATGTTATTACACAATGGAGAAAAGTTGATTTCTTCTTATAAAGTGGCAGAGAACTTTGTGTATCGTGGTCCTGTGCTAGTTTTGTGGAAAGTAGAACTAGGAAGTGATGAAATTGGATATTGAGTTGACAACATTTCTAAGAAGTGTTGAAAAAGGCAGCTTGGTTCCTCTTGACTGCATATACTAATGTGAGGAAAGACTTGACTGGAGATGGAATTATTAAGATGGAACTGAAACAAAAAGATTTGGAAAATTCCCAGTCTATCCATATTACCAAGATGAAAAATCATCTTGGGAAGAGAAAACTCTAAGGGTGTGTCCAAGGACCATTTGATAGGAATAGTAGTTTAGAGGACTTACTCAGCCACCCCAGTAGTAAGACAGCCAGTTTGGTTTTTGTTTGTTTGGTTTTTGTTTTGTTTTCCTTTGTTTTTGAGATGGAATCTCATTGTCTCACCCAGGCTGGAGTACAATGGCATGATCTCGTGGCTCACTGCTTTCTCCACCTCCCGGGTTCAAGTGATTCCCCTGCCTCAGCGTCCCGAGTAGCTGGGATTACAGGTGCCCGCCACCACGCCCAGCTAATTTTTGTATGTTTAGTAGAGATGGGATCTTACCATGTTTGTCAGGCTGGTCTCGAACTCCTGACTTCAGGTGATCTGCCTGCTTCGACCTCCCAAACTGCTGGGATTACAGGCATGAGCCACCGCACCTGGCCTGTTTTTCTTTTTTTACGGATTCAGTGATCTGGACGGGCACATACTACCATGCCATTTTAATTTTTTTGTAGAGATGGAGTCTTGCCGTGTTGCTCAAGCTGGTCTTGAACTTCTGGACTCAAGCAATTCTCCCGCCTCGGCGTCACAAAGTGTCGCAATTACAGGCATGAGCCACTGCACCCAGCTGGACCTTTATTTTTTTGAGACGGAATCTCACTCTGTCGCCGAGGCTGGAGTGCAGTGACACGATCTTGGCTCACTGCATCCTCCGCCTCCTGGGTTCAAGTGATTCTTCTGCCTCAGCCTCCTAAGTAGCTGGGACTACAGGTATGCGCCACCACACCTAGCTAATTTTTGTGTTTATAGTAGAGATGGGGTTTTACCATGTTGGCCAGGCTGATCTTGAAATCCTGACCTCAGGTGATCCACCCACCTCAGCCTATCAAAATGCTCAGGTTACAGGCGTGAGCCACCACACCCGGCTGTACCTTTCTCAATGAGCCAATATGCTGATTGCAAACACATTTATTATGACTAAATAAAGTATTTTCCATTCATTTGGAAAGATATTATTTGCTCAATATAAGATTCTTTGTTGATATCCTTGTTCTTTTAGTTCTTTAAGGATGTTACTCCATTGTCTTCCTGTTTGCATTGTTTCTGATAATAAGTATGTAATCAATGTTACATTTGGTTGTCTGTTGTTAAGGTGTCTATTTTCTCTGGTTTCTTTAAAGAATTTTTTATTATACCTGGTTTTCAGCAATTTGATGCTGTGTCTTGGTGTAGATTTGTTGATATATATTGTGCCTGTGGTTTGTTGAGCATTTTGCATCTGTAGGTTCATAATTTTTATCTGTTTTGGAAAATATGCGACAAATGTTTGTTTGTTTTGAGACAGGGTCTCACTCTGTTACCCAGGCTGGAGTGCTGTGGCATGAATATGGCTCAGTGCAGCCTCGTCCTCCAAGGCTCAAGTGATCCTTCCACCTCAGCCTCCTGAGTAGATGGGACCACTGGTGTGAGCTTCCATGCCTGGCTAATTTTTTTTTTTTTTTTGCGACGGAGTCTCACTCTGTTGCCCAGGCTGGAGTGCAGTGGCGGGATCTCGGCTCAATGCAAGCTCTGCCTCCCGGGTTCCCGCCATTCTCCTGCCTCAGCCTCCTGAGTAGCTGGGACTACAGGGGCCTGCCACCAAGCCCAGCTAATTTTTTTGTATTTTTAGTAGAGACAGGGTTTCACCGTGTTAGCCAGGATGGTCTCGATCTCCTGACCTCGTGATACGCCCGCCTCGGCCTCCCAAAGTGCTGGGATTACAGGTGTGAGCCACCGCACCCGGCAATCTGGCTAATTTTTAATTTTTTTTGTAGAGATGGGGTCTCACCATGTTGCCCAGGCTGGTCTCAAACTCCTGTGTAAAACATATTGTTACTGCTAGTTTTGTTATTGTTGTTTTGTTTTGTTTTGTTTTGTTTTTGTTTGAGATGGAGTCTTGCTCTGTTGCCAGGCTGGAGTGCAGTGGCGCAATCTTGTCTCACTGAAACCTCCGCCTCCCAGGTTCAAATGATTCTTCTGCCTCAGCCTCCTGAGTAGCTGGGTCTACAGGCGCGTGCCACCATGCCCAGCTAATTTTTGTATTTTTAGTAGAGACAGGGTTTCACCATGTTGGCCAGGATGGTCTCAATCTCTTGACCTCATGATCTGCCTGTCTCGGCCTTTTAAAGTGCTGGGATTACAGCAAATATTTTCCAAATTAGATGAAAACTATAAACCTAGAGATCCAAAAAGCTCAATAAACCCCTGAGCCATTGTGCTCGGCCTGAAATATTTATGGAAATATTTTTTGTTTGTTCTGTTTTTACTCCTGTCTTTCAAGGAGTCCTTGTACAATTGTCCCATTACACAGCTCACTGAGGTTCTGTTCATTTTTTTGTCTGAGTGCTATATTTTAAATCGGTTATACTCCTAGTTTTTGAGGTTCACTTATCTTTATTTCAGCAATATCTCCTCTGCTGTTTTGTCCATTCAGTGCATTATTATTATTATTATTATCATTATTATTATTTTTTAAGAGACAGGGTCTTACTAGTTGCCCCTGTTGGGCTTGAATTCCTGAGTTCAAGCGATCCTTCCACCTCAGGCTCTGAGTAGCTGGGACTAGAGGCATGTGCCACCACACCAACCTCCATCCAGTGCTTCTAGATATTGTTGTGTTCATATATAGTAGCTTGAATTGTGTCTTTTCTTTTGTTCATAAATTGTCTTGAAGTAACATGTACTAACATAAAATTTCCACTTTAATCATTTTTAAGTGTGTCATTCAGGAGCATTAAATACATTTACAATGTGTTATAGCCATTACAGCTAATTATCTCTAGATTTTCATCGCTCCACACAGAAACTCAGTACCCATTAAAAAACAACTTCCCTTCTCTACACTCAATCCCTGATGACGTCTAGTCTACTCTCTTGCTCTGTGAATTTGACTAAGTGGAGCATCTAGGGCTGGGCGTGGTGGCTCACGCCTGTAATCCCAGCACTTTGGGAGGCTGAGGCAGGTGGATCACAAGGTCAGGAGTTCGAGACCGGCATGGCCAATATGGTGAAACCCCGTCTCTACTGAAAATACAAAACTTAACTGGGTGTGGTGGTGCACGCCTGTAGTCCCAGCTACTCAGGAGGCTGAGGCAGAAGAATCGCTTGAACCATGGAGGCAGAGGTTGCAGTGAGCTGAGATCGCACCACTGCACTCCAGCCTGGGTGACAGTGAGACTCTGTCTCAAAAAAACGAATCAAAAAAATAAATAAGTGGAGCATACAATATTTGTCCTTCTGTGTCTGGCTTATTTCACTTAGCATGTTTTCAGGTTCCCTCCATGTGGTAGCATATGTCAGTAATTCATTGCTTTTTTATGCCTGAATAATATTCTTTTGTTGTTGTTGTTTTCCGAAGACACAGTTTCACTCTGTCACTCAGGCTGGAGAGGAGTGGTGCAATCTCGGCTCACTCAACCTCTGCTTCCCAGGTTCAAGTGGTTCTCATGTCTCAGACTCCCGAGTAGCTGGGATTATAGGCGTCCACCACCATGCCCAGCTAATATTTGTATTTTTAAGTAGAGATGGGGTTTAATATTGGCCAGGCTGGTCTCGAACTCTCAACCTTGAATGATCCAGCTGCCTCAGCCTCCCAATGTGCTGGGATTACAGGCGTGAGCCGCTGTGCCTGACCTATTTTTATTTTTTTATAGACAAGGTCTCAGTCTGTTGCCCAGGCTGCAGTGCACTGGCATGATCAGCCCCTTGCAGCCTTGAAACTCTGGGATCATGTGATGCTCCTGCCTCTGTCTCCTGAGTAACTAGGTCTACTGAGACATATCTCCACATTCAGCTAATTTTTTTTTTTTTTTTTACAGAGACAGGGTCTTGCTATGTTGCCCAGACTGGTCTCGAACCCCTGGACTGAAGTTATCCTCCCACCTTGGCCTCCCAAATGGCTGGGAGTACAGGCCTGAGCCACCACACCTGGAAATACCTTATCTTTTGGTCAAAAGTGATGGCATTTTTTTTAACCTGTTGATGACATGCTCCAAATATACTAGTTAGTTTTTTTTTTTTTTTTTTTTTGATGGAGTCTTACTGTGTCGCCCAGGCTGAAGTGCAGTGGCATGATCTCAGCTCACTGCATCCTCCTACCTCCCGGGTTCAAGCGATTCTCCTGCCTCAGCCTCCCAAGTACCTGGGATTACAGGTGCCCACCACCATGCCTGGCTAACTTTTTCGTATTTTTAGTAGAGACAGGGTTTCACCATGTTGGCGAGACTAGTTTTGAACTCCTGACCTCAAGCGATCTGCCTGCCTCGGCCTCCCGAAGTGCTAGGATTACAGGCATGAGCCACCATGCCCGGCCACTGGTTAGTTCTTACATGTAGCTAGTCATAGCATCATATTGTTCACTTCATTCCCAAGAATATTTACTCAATCCAGGAATGTAAAGTTTAGATATACCAATAGCTACAGTGCAACCAAAACCCAAAAACTACAGAAAAGGAGATAATCCATGTCTACTGTTGGTAGTATTTCAGATTTTTATAAGGGCCAGGGCTAATGCTTCTGGCCATTGAAGTCCAGTGTTTTGACAGCTATTTCTCTAAAGTCCTTTTTATGTTTAGATTTTTATATTCTCTTTGCTCTGATGGTTAAGGATGGTATGTATTTTAATAAGTCTTCCGTAGTTTTTGCAAGAATGTGGTTTATATCAGCTATAAAATTACCTCCTTGGTTGTGCTCGCTTCAGCAGCACATATAAAATTACCTCATTGGTTTTGTTCTGTCCACAAAAGAATACTAAAACCAGGAATAATTTCAATGATTAATTATTTACCACTGATGGCATCATCATGTCTAGCTGTATAGCATTGCGCCCATCCACTAAACATGGAGACAATCACTAAACAATGAGAATTGACTACAGTTGTAGATAAACCATCCATTTGGAGGGCTGGGAGGGTCAGTGTGGGTGTTGGAGGATTCTGTGAAATTTGTGAGCTTCATCCAGAAATTGGGTGGGTTACAAGTAATGCACTGAGAAATAAGTGGGTCAGTAATTTTGTAGATGCCAGGCCAGTCAGTTGTCTTTCGTTTTCTTAACTCTTTCCCATCTGCCTCTATGTCCAACTTGGTGAGAGATTTGTGTAAGGGAAAAGATTGAAGGAAAGTATTAATAGCACAGGGAGTGTGACTGGCCTAATGTATAATCTCTACAATACTATTTTTCCCTTTTGTATCTATAGATCTTCTTAGATTATGGGACATTTACTTGATAATATCAGTCACGGGTAAAGGCAGTTTTGCAAACTGGATTGGGAAAGAACAAGGTACCATTTTTGGCTTCCTATTTAGCAATCTTTTGAGCCCTATCATTCCCTAGAGATATAGTATAAATCTCCGTAGTATGGACTAGACAGTGAACAGTGGCCATTTTAATAGGGAGGCAAATCATCTGTAATAGTTCACCAGTTATGGGCCGGGCGTGGTGGCTCACCTCTGTAATCCCAGCACTTTGGGAGGCCGAGGTGGGCGAATCACGAGGTCAGGAGTTCGAGACCAGCCTGGCCCACGTGGTGAAACCCTGTCTCTACTAAAAATACAAAAATAAATTAGCTGATCATAGTGGTGGGCACCTATAATCCCAGCTACTTGGGAGGCTGACGCAGGAGAATCATTTGAACCCGGGAGGCAGAGGTTGCAGTGAGCCAAGATCACACCACTGCACTCCAGCCCCAGCAACACAGTAAGACTCCATCTCAAAAAAAAAAAAAAAAAAAATAGTAGCCCAGTTATGTGTCTATCGGCAGTGGGTATACCAGAACAAGTTGTGAATCCACAAATTTTTCAAATTGTGCCAGTTGCATAAGGAATTCCAAAAGCATATCTGCAGTCTGTGTCAGTAGAGGCAGTTTTCCTGTTTGTCAGCGTGCAAGATGTAGTAAGAGCTATGAGCTCTAGGCTCATACTGATTTTACAGTGAGTGAAGAGTATGCCTCAAGTGTTTCATGTAGAGAAAATATTGCCTAGGCCAGGCATGATGGCTCATGCCTGTAATCCCAACACTTTGGGATATCAAGGTAGGAGAATCACTTGAGGCCAGGAATTTGAGACCAGCCTGGGCAATAGAGTGAGACCTTGTTGTTATAAAAAGTTAAAAAATTAGCTGAGTGTGGTGGTGCATGCCTGTCATCCCAATTACTCGGAAACCTGAAGTGGGAGGATTGCTTGAGTAGGGGGACAGAGGCTGCGTGAGCCAATATCACACCACTGTACTCCAGCCTGGGCGACAGAGTGAGACACTGTCTCAAAAAACAAAGAAAGAAAATATTGCATAACCCATTATTATGTTTTCCTTAACAATTCATTTACAGGAGCTATCCCAAAATAGAAGTAAGTCTATGTTGTCTAAGAGTATGTCAAGGAGATCTTCTGGAGGCTTTAGGACCATTTCTATCCGTGCATGACAATCATGTGGAATGGGGTGGAGCTCTCCATCATCAGGTCAAGGACTATAGTAGCCAGACCTACTGGAAAAATGTCTGATACACAGATCAGTAAGACAGAACTGAGAGTCCAGAAATCATCCCCTTTGCCATGGTTTGAATGCTTATTTCCCCTGCAAAATTCATAGGTTAGAATTTAATCCCCAGTGAAACAGTTTTGGGAGGCAGGCCTTTGGCCTTTTGGCAAAGCCCTCATGAATAAACTAATGCCACTACAAGGGCTTGATGGATGGGGTTTGCCCTCTCTTGCCCTTCTGTCTTCTGCCCTGTGAGGATGCAAGCATTTCTTCCCTCCAGAAGATCCAAGAGGAAGGCCCTCACCCGATGCTAGTACCTTTATCTTGGAATTCCCAGTATCTAGGACTGTGAAAAATAAATTTCTGTTCTTTTTTTTTTTTGAGACGGAGTTTTGCTCTTGTTGTCCAGGCCGGAGTGTAATGGCGTGATGTTGGCTCACTGCATACTCCACCTCCTGGGTTCAAGTGATTCTCCTGCCTCAGCCTTCTGAGTAGCTGGGATTACAGGTATGCGCCACCATGACCGGCTAATTTTGTATTTTTAATAGAGACGGGGTTTCTCAATGTTGGTCAGGCTGGTCTCGAACTCCTGACCTCAGGTGATCCACCTACCTCAGCCTCCCAAAGTGCTGGGATTACAGGCATGAGTCACTGCACCTGGCCAATTTCTGTTCCTTATAAGTTACCCCATCTATAGTATTTCATTATATCAGCAGAAACAGATAAAGATACCCTTCATTGACCGTTAATAGATTTTCAGCAAATAGGCCAAGATACATGAATGGGGAAAGTCTTTTCAACAGGGTGCTAGGAAAATTGGATATTTATCGGGGGAGCCAGCCCCCAATATTTCAGTGTAGGTTCTTTTCTATTTTCCTTAAGTGTTGGCCAGTCTGAGAAATAAAGAGAAAGAGTACGAAGAGAGGAATTTTACAGCTGGGCCTCCACGGGTGACATCACATATTGGTAGGACCGTGATGACGACCCTGAGCCACAAAACCAGCAAGTTTTTATTAGGGATTTTAAAAGGGGAGGGGATGTGTGAACAGGGAGTAAGTCACAAAGATCACATGCTCCAAAGGGTGATAAAGATCACAAGGCAAAGGCAAAATTAGAATTACTGATGAGGGTCTATGTCCCGCTGTGCACATATTGTCTTGATAAACATCTTAACAGGAAACAGGGTTCAAGAGCAGAGAACCGGTCTGACCAAAATTTACCAGGCTGGAATTTCTCAATCCTAGTAAGCCTGAGGGTACTGTAGGAGACCAGTGTGTATTTCAGTCTTTATCTCAACCACGTAAGACAGACACTCCCAGAGTTGCTGTTTATAGACCACCCCCCAGGAAAGCATTCCTTCCCCAGGGTATTCCTTGCTGGGAAAATAATTCAGTGATATTTCTCCTACTCACACATCCGTTTATAGGCTCCCTGCAAGAAGAAAAATATGGCTCTATTCTGCCCGACCCCACAGGCAGTCAGACCATATGGTTATCTTCCCTTGTTCCTTGAAAATTGCTGTTATTCTGTTCTTTTTTAAGGTGCACTGATTTCATGTTTTATAATCAATTTGTACAATAGTGATCCTGAGGTGATGTACATTCTCAGCTTACGAAGATAACGGGACTAAGAGATTAAAGACAGGCATAAGAAATTATAAAAATATCATTTGGGAACTGATAAATGTCCACGAAATCTTCACAATTTATGTTCAGACATTGCAGTGAAGACAGCCGTAAGAAATTATAAAAGTATTAATTTTGGGAACTGATAAATGTCCATGAAATCTTCATAATTTATGTTCTTCTGTCACGGTTCCAGCCGGTCCCTCCATTTGGTGTCCCTGACTTCCCGCAACAGATATTGACCTGCAGAGAAGAGCAACTGAGACCCTTATAACAGCATGCATTAAAATGAAGTCACACTGAAATGGTGAAAATATAAATATAAGTTTAGTAGCACATTTAGGAAGATATCTCTATGAATGAGAAAGATTTACAGTTGTGGGGAAAGATTTATAGTTTTCTTTTCTTTTTTTTTTTTTTTTTTTGAGATGGAGTCTCGCTCTGTTGCCCAGGCTGGAGTGCAGTGGCGTGATCTCGGCTCACTGCAAGCTCTGCCTCCTGGGTTCATGCCATTCTCCTGCCTCAGCCTCCCAAGTAGTTGGGACTACAGGTGCCCGCCACCATGACCAGCTAATTTTTTGTATTTTTAGTAGAGATGGGGTTTCACCGTGTTAGCCAGGATGGTCTCTATCTCCTGACCTCATGATATGCCCACCTTGGCCTCCCAAAGTGCTGGGATTATAGGCGTGAGCCACTGTGCCCAGCCTACAGTTTTCTTTTTTAAAAGAAAACCAAAAAGAAACACCCTACCTAAAAAAAAACCATCATGCTGTCATAGAGGTAACTGAAGAATGTAATCGCAGTGTTTCCTGTAGTATATTTAAACTGCTACATATAAATTTTGGTATTTTCCATGAGTGACCTTTTCCACTAAAATGTGTTCTCTCAGGGATCACCTCCAGCCATTTACTGTAGACTTCCTAGCTTCTCTTAGGGTTAAAAAAAATTGTTTTTCAGAGGAATCGAGGAGTCACCATTCCTGAGTTTTTCATCATGGTAACGTGAACATTTATTTTTGTACTAGAGCTTTTGTAAGAATCAACACAGTAGGCTGGGCACAGTGGCTCATGCCTGTAATCTCAGCACTTTGGGAGGCCAAGGCAGGCAGATCACTTGAGGTCAGGAGTTCGAGACCAGCCTGGCCAACATGGCAAAACCCCGTCTTTACTAAAAACAAAAAACAATTAGCCGGGAGTGGTGATGCATGCCTGTAATCCCAGCTACCTGGGAGACTGAAGCAGGGGAATCGCTTGAACCTGGGAGGCGGAGGTTGCAGTGAACCGAAATTGCACCACTGCACTCTAGCCTGGGCAACAGAGTGAGACTCTGTCTAAAAACAAACAAAAAACAAAAACAACATAAATCAACTACTTAACTGGTGCAGTTTGTAAAAATATACAAAATCTGTACATAAACCTCTAACAATCATGTAGTTTGACACACTGAACCCTCTTTTTATACCTGTTTTGGAACAAATAAATATGCTAGCAGCAGTTAATGTGAGGAGTGAAGGGTGGAGCATCTTGCAGAGCAGTAGTTTATCCTTCAAGGAGGGAACAAAATCTTGTGATAATAGACTGTGTGTGTGTATGTCATTTTTTAAGACATGAAAATTATTTGTTGATGAGTTATAATCAGACATCATTTATTTCTTATTTGCCAAACATGCCCATTTTCCCTGTCAGGAAAAGCTACAGTTTTTAAAAATAGAAGATTTCATTTAATCTGATGACACCTCATGTTTGGTTCCTTTCTTTTAGCAATGGATTCCACCTTTCAGTTGATGATGCTTTTTCTTTTTTGAGGTGGAGTCTCGCTTTGTCACCAGGCTGGAGTGCAATGGCACAGTCTCAGCTCACTTCAGCCTCCACCTCCTGGATTCCAGCGATTCTCCTGCCTCAGCCTCCCGGGAAGCTGGGATTACAGGCACGTGCCACCACGCCCAGCTAATTTTTATATTTTTAGTAGAGACAGGGTTTCACCATGTTGGCCAGGCTGGTCTCGAACTCCTGACTTCAGCTGATCCGCCCGCCTCAGCCTCCCGTAGTGCTAGGTAGGATTACAGGCATGAGCCACTGCGCCTGGCCTCACAATGCTTTTATGTCTGGTCCTTAAAAACATGGCAAAACTCATGTTTTCAGATTCAAAGTCTAATGTTTCAGGTTTTGATTGGAGCGTTTAATTCGTTAACATTTAAAGTGTTGAAGAAAGGAGTGTTTCCACAGTGTGCAAGCAGGATAGGAGGGCGAGTTGAGTGCCAAAAGTTAAATGCTTCCATGTCCCTGCCTCATCACTAGATTGTTTCAGGAGTCAGAGTTTGGCTCCTAAGCTTGGGAATCTGTTTGACCTCCTGAAAGGGAGTTTGCTTGTGAACTGTGGGTTCAGCAGGCTGCTGCTTTGAGCTAGTTCATGTTTCTTCCTTTCTTCTCTTTTGATTCCTTTATAGAAGACTGTTGCCTTATAATTCCAGTTTTTCCATGCATGTAACAGTTTTATTTCATTGTTGATGTGCTTTTATGAGCTGAAAATGAGTAGATTGAGAGATAAGGTGGGAGAAAGGCTTGGCCATGTCGCCAGCAGCCCCATCTGAAATTCCTGATCCCTGGAGGATATCAGGCCTTCCCTCCTGCTGCAGGGTGGCCTGTGTGGCTTGGGCTCCCCTCCTGCTCTGAGGCTAGGGGATGGCTCCACTGGACAGTGGTCTGGGATTCCCAGCACAGACTTGTGATCTGTCCAGGGGAAGAGGTAGTAAGAGCTCATTGAGTACAGGTGGGAAATTATGCCCACATGCAAATGTCCCCAGGGGCGGGATAAGGTCACAGCACTAGGAACCACTAGGCAAGAAGATCGCTCTGTGAGGGTCTGGGTCTGGAACCTGTTTTTCTGCCTCCACTCAGCACCAAGAGATACCTTCTTCTGTCACTGAGTTCCCCAGGGGGCAGGACATGGTACACTACTCAATCAGGGACGTGGGGTGGGGTCGTGAGAACTGTGAATAAGGGAGCTGCCGCGAGGAGGCTGTGAGGTTCCAAGAGCCCAGGGCATCTTCTCCACTCCTTGCGCTTGGTTCCCAGCTCTGTTGCTAAGAGACGCCCTGAAAGTTCTGTGGCAGCCTCTGGCACACTGGGACCCGCACAGGCCGCAGGAGCCGTAGAGAAGACCCCGGGACACCGTGGAAGCCAGGAAATGGTGCGTGTGCACGGCCTAGGGGTCCGGAGACGGGAGGAGGGGTTGGTTGGAACCAGCTGTTACCAGCTGGGGCAGGACCCAGACTTCCCTACGGGCGACTACCCGGTCTGCGGACCCTTCCCCTGGACAGCAGAGTCTGAAGTCCACCATCCTGTCTAATCCACCGTCCTGTCTCCTCAACCTAACTCTTTATAGGGGTCACAGTAAGTCCCTTGGTTTCCAGAGCCTTCCCCAGGGGGTAACTTTCTCTCCTCAATATTCCCACTACTGGTCGTAGATTATGGATGAATTTAAGTTTTCTAAGAAATTCTAATGGCATGTGTACATTACCTGTCTGACCGTGTACGCATGTGTGTGTTTATTCCTTACAAAGACTTATCTTTTATTTATCTCCATATGAGTATATATTGGTTTTTACTGATTAGCATTGGTGCAGAACATTTTTCCCTTGTGGGCTTTCATTTTCTGAAATTGTGCCTTTCTGAGAGCCTTCTGTTGACCTAAATTAAGGCTATTGAGGTAGAAGTCATTTTATGTAGGTTTACTGGTCAAATTTGAGGATTGACCCAGGAAGACACACCAGCAAATTTGGATGTGTTCCAACCTCCATTACAAATCAGACGCTTTCCTAAGAACCTTTAGGAGAAGGGAGGGGGACTCCTCATTGGTGAATTGTCCTTTTCATTGGAGGGTACAATTCAGAGGTTATAAACATTGGTTACACATGACAACATACAGGCTAAAAGGTTCTACATGGAAGACAATCAGGAAAACTTCATGATTTAGAAACGAATCAGGATCCTTTTTGATGTCAGTAGGTTACATGTTAATGAGAGCATCAGCAGTTTGAAGAACTCACAATATGATTTGAGGGACTCAGGATAAGATTCTTTTTTTTTTTTTTTTTTTTTGGAGACGGAGTCTTGCTCTATGGCCCATGCTGCAGTGCAATGGTGTGATCTCGGCTCACCATAGCCTCCGCTCACCATCACCTCTGCCTCCCGGGTTCAAGCGATTCTCCTGCCTCAGCCTCCCGAGTAGGCAGGCACGCACCACCATGCCTGGCTAATTTTCTATTTTTAGTAGAGATAGGGTTTCTCCATGTTGGTCAGGCTGGTCTCAAACTCCCGGCCTCAGGTGATCTGCCTGCCTTGGCCTCCCAAAGTGCTAGGATTACAGGCGTGAACCACCACCCCCAGCCCAGGATAAGATTGTTTACTCAGGGACAGGATGTGGGCCGTGGATCAGAAGACCTCCCCCAGGTAGATTAATTTGGAAGCCAGCCAAATGTGACCCTTTAGGTTTTTCTTTTTCCTGGTCGGGGCCTAATAATGCCTAAATGTCAGACTAGTGACCAAGTGTTCCTCTTCAAGAACACTTGTTTTTGCTGACATTTCGTGGGTTTTTTTTTTTTCTGACAAATTTTTATTTTATTTCTACCAAGACAGCCGCAGCCAAGACAATCCTACAAAGAGAGCTTTGATCTGGATAGAACTTAGGTTCAGATGTGTTGGTCAGGTGCGACATAGAAAAGGCAACTCAACAAAATACAGGAAATAATAGAAACAGTGCATTTACATAGACATCCTAGACAGAAGAGATTAGCATGCCTTGAAGACCAAGAGTTAGCGGTCTTGAGTTACATGGACACTTGACCAGTATGTGCGGAACAAGAGAGGGAGGGGGACTCATGAGCTGAAGCCTTTATTGGGGCCCAGGGGTTACCCAACCAGGCTTCTCTTGGGGAGTTCTAATTGGTGTGTTTAAAAGGAAGTATGCGCAAGTTCCCCAGAGTCCAGCTTTGACTGAGAGGTGGTCACTGCTACACATGTCTGCAGTCCATGTGGGCTGTGGGGGGTGAGTCAGGCAAGTTGTATTTAGCTGTCCCATAGGGACATGGTGACAGAAAGATGGTTACGTAAGGGAGATATCTGGATCAACCACATTGAGGAAGGAGGAGGAGGTAGAGAACAAGAAAGTGTATCTGAGATTACAAACCCATTTTCTGCTTGGAGAGTGTTCAAAGCAAATTCAAAATGGAAGCTGGGCTGGGCACAGTGGCTCATGCCTGTAATCTTAGCACTTTGGGAGGCTGAGGCTGGCAGATCACTTGAGACCAGGAGTTCGATACCAGCCTGACCAACATGGTAAAACCCTGTATCTACTAAAAATACAAAAATTAGCGGGGTGTGGTGGTGCGCATCTGTAGTCCCAGCTGCTCAGGAGTCTGAGGCAGGAAAATTGCTTGAACCTGGGAGGTGGAGGTTGCAGTGAGCTGAGATCGAGCCACTGCACTCCAGCCTGGACAACAGAGTGAGTGAGAGTCTGCCTCAAAAAAAACAAAAACGAAAAACCAAAATGGAAACTGGGGCAATATCAAGTGAATAAGAATTCACAAAACAGGTAGGTGTATAGTGAGTTGATTATTGTATGTGAAGATGATGAGCAGAAAATTGATTTTTCTCTTGAAGATAACCATTTGTCCCTGTCTTTTGTGTTGAAGTGTCTCCCATTTATATCGTTGCCTGCTAATACCTGCATGTCATAGGTTCTTGTGTCTTAAATTGGTGATCTTGTTTTAGAATTGGCTATTTTCCATTGGTTTCTCTTTTAGTCATTGTGGTTAATACCATACTCTCCTCATTACTATAGACTTCAAAGCCTTGATGTGTGGTCACCTCAAGCTATTATAACAGATTACCACAGGCTGCATACCATAAACAACAAACATTTCTCAAAGATGTAGAGGCTGGGTTTCCAAGTTCAAGCAGATGAAGTCTCTAGTAAGGGCCTGCTTCTTGGTTTGCAGATAGCAGTCTTCCTTTTATATTCTTACATGGCGGAGATATGTCTGTATCATCTGTCTAGTTGCAGTGCAAGGGCAATGTTGGCCTTATAACATGATTTCTCTCTGCTTCTCTTTTTCAGAAGAGATTGTAGAAAATTGGTGTCATTTCTTCCATAAGTGTTTGCCAGAGTTCACCAGTGAAACCATCCTGGTCTGGTTCCTTTTTCTTGGGACATTTGTTATTTAGTGATTCCAATTTTTAAATAGATTATGCCCGTTCGTATTACATGGGTCTAATTTTGTGAGTTTTGGTAGATTTTGTCTTTCAGGGAATTGGCCCATTCATGTAATTAAACAAATCTGTAGACATGCAATTGCTCTGAATAGTCCCTTATGGTCACTTTAATGTGCATAGGAATAGTAGTGATGGCCCCCTTTTTTTTTCTGAGTTGGCTTGGCTGTGGGTTTAGCAATGTTCTTGGTCTTTTTAAAGAACTAGCTCTTGATTTTATTGATGTTTTTAATTGATATCTTGTTTGCAATTTCATTAATATATTCTCATTGTAATTTTCCTCTGAGTGATTTATCTTGGAGTTCTTTCTTTAGTTTCTCAAAATGGAACTTTAGTTTCTCAAAATGGAGCATTGATTTTAGATCTTTATTTTCCAGAGTTTGCATTCAATTCTTTGAATTTCCCTGTAAACACTGCCTTTGCTACATTTCAAACATTTCGCTAAGGCTGGGCATTATGGTTCATGCTTGTAATCCCAACACTTTGGGAGGCCAAGGTGGTAGGATCACTTGAGCCCAGGAATTTGAGACCAGCCTGGGGAATATAGATCTCATCTCTATGAAAAGTGTTTTTGGCTAAGATATATATATATATATATATATATATATATATATATATATATATGCACACAGACATTGATATATACACAGACACATATGTATATATATGTATGTGTATATGTATGTATGTATGTATGTATGTATATATATATATTTGTTTGTTTGTTTTTTGAGACACAGTCTCACTCTGTTGCCCAGGGTGGAGTGCAGTAGCATGATTTCAGCTCACTGCAACTTCCACCTCCCGGGTTTAAGCAATTTTCCTGCCTCAGCTTCCCGAGTATCTAGGACTACAGGTGTGCACCACCATGCCCAGATAATTTTTTGTATTTTTAGTAGAGACAGGGTTTTGCCATGTTGGCCAGGCTGGTCTCCAACTCCTGACCTCAAGTGATTCACCCACCTTGGCCTTCTAAAGTGCTGGGATTATGGGCGTGAGCCACTGTGCCTGGCCCTAAGATATAGTTTTCTCATCAACTTCAGAATATTTAAATTTCTCTTGACAGTTCGGTTTGTCTTTCATGTATTTTGGATGTTTGTTGTTCAAATGTCGACTTTCTGGAAGATTTTCAACTGTGTTTCTGTTACTGGTTTCTAGATTAATTCTAATATGGTTAGATTGCATACTTTACAGAATATCTATTTTAAATTTGTTAAGGTAGGTTTTATGGCTCAGAATATAGTCCATCCTGGTGAATATGTTATGTAGTTTGGAGAAGAATGTGTACTCTGGTGTTGAGTGAAGTATTCTATAAATACATATGAATTAAATCCAGTTGATTAATGATGCTGTTGAGTTCAGCTATGTCCTTAGTGATTTTTCTACTCAATTGATCAATTATTGATAGAGGGGAATTGTTCTCCTTCAACTATAATTATGGATTTGTGTATTTGCCTTGCAGTTTTATAAATTTATGCCGTATGCCAGGAGTTGCCAGCCTCCAGGCTGTGGACCAGTACTGGTCTGTAGCTGGTTAGGAACCGGGTGGCACAGCAGGAGATGAGCGGCAGGCAGTAAGCATTACCGCCTGCACATGCTGTCAAACCAGTGGCGGTATTAGATTCTCATAGGAGCGCGAACCCTGTTGTGAACTGCACATGCAAGGGGATCTAGGTTGTGCGTTCCTTATGAGAATCTAATGCCTGATGATGTGAGGTGGAACAGTTTCATCAGAAACCATTCCCCTACAGCGCAATTCCATGGGAAAATTGTCTTCCACAAAACCAGTCCCTGGCGCCAAAAAGGTTGGGGACTGCTGCCTTATGCATTTTTTTTTTTTCTTGAGGTGGAGTTTCACAATTATTGCCCAGGCTGGAGTGCAATGGCGCGATCTCGGCTCACTGCAACCTCTGCCTCCTGAGTGCAAGTGATTCTCCTGCCTCAGCCTCCCGAGTAGCTGGGATTACAGGTACCTGCCACCACGCCCAGCTAATTTTTTGTATTTTTAGTAGAGATGGGGTTTCACTATGTTGGCCACACTGGTCTTGAACTCCCGACCTCAGGTGATCCACCCACCTCGGCCTTCCATAGTGCTGGGATGACAGGCGTGAGCCACCACACCCAGCCACCTTATGCATTTTGATGCTCTATTTTCTGGACATACATATCAAGGATTATTATGTCTCTAGGATTGAGCACTTTATCATTATGAAATATCTCTATCTCTTGTAATTTTCCTTGATCTACAACCTGATTTATCTGAGTCTAATGTAGCCTGTTCCATATTCCTTTTGATTAGGGCTAAAATGGCATATATTTCTTTATACCATTGTATTTAATGTATCTGTGTCTTTCTATTTAAAATAGTTTTCTTTATACATTCATGGGTCTTGTTTTTTCCTTCTACTCTATCAATCTTTGTTTTATATTGGTATCTATAGATAATACATGTTTAAATGGCAATTGATATAGTTGGATTACTACGTACATATGTAATTGTGTTATGTTTGTCTGTTTTTTCAACTTCTTTTTTTCTGCCTCCTTTCCTTCCAACTGAGCATTTAATATGATTCCATTTTCTTTCTTTCTTCTATTAGTATAGTAAATCTATTACTATGTGAAATGAAATTTTATGAAAATGGAAGTAGAGTAAGTAGACTTATTATACTATACTACTTGTTTCATTTTCTTTTCTTTTCTTTTCTTTTGAGACAGAATCTTTTTTGTTTTTGAGACAGGGTCTCTCATACATGCTGGAGTGCAGTGGCACAATCATAGCTGACTGTGATCTCAAACTCCTGGGCTCAAGATCCCACTGCCTCAGCCTCCCGAGTAGCTGTGACTACAGTTTGTGCCACCATGCCCAAGATATTTTTAAAATTTTTATAGAGACAGGGTTTCACTATGTTGCTGATGCTGGTCTTGAACTTCTGGGCTCAAGTAATCCTCCCACCTTGGCCTCCTAAAGGTCCTGGGATTACACACATGAGCTACCCAACTAGCTATTGTTTCTTAAATTTTACCAGTAAATTCCCTAGAGTTTGAGTATTCCATTCACAATGAATGGACCTTTAGTTTTACAAAGCATCATACTGGCTTCTGGTATAGTGCCTGTATAACAGAGTGTTCCAAATTCCTCCCTCGTATCCCAGATAACATCACTGTCATTCATTGGCCCTATTATAAGCTAAACTACCCAATACATTGTTGATATTATTAGTTTGAACAAACATCTATTACATCAGATAGGAACTAGAAAAGGAAAGAGTTTTCTTGTGCCTTCATTTAATTCTTTTCATATATTTTATGTAGTTTGCATATGTATGTTTGTATGTATTTGTGTATATATGTTTGTGTGTGTGTGACCAGAATTTGTTCTAGTTCTTTTTTTTTCTCTCTCTCTCTCTTTTTTTTTTTAGATAGGGTCTTGCTTTGTTACTCAGGCTGGAGTGCAGTGACAGGAATATAGCTAACTGCAGCCTCCATCTCCTGGGCTGAAGTTAACCTCCTGTCTTAGCCTTCCAAGTAGCCTGTATCACAGATGTGCACCACCATGCCTGGCTAATTTTTTATTTTTTATAGAGATGGAGTTTCACCATGTTGCCCAGGCTGGCCTTGAACTCCTGGGCTCCAGCAATCCTACCATTTGGGTCTTCCAAAGTGCCGGAATTATAGGCATGAGCCACTGAGCCAGCCCAAATTTCTAACTTGTATCCTTTTTCTTCACTCTGATGAACTTCTTTTGACATTACTGGCAAGGCAGGTATACCAGTCACACATTCTCTCATCCTTGTTCCTTTTTTCCTCTCTCAGACTGGGTAATTTTAGTTGTTTTGTCTTCATTTTAGATGTTTTTCTTTAGTTAGTCACAACTGTTGAACACCTGTAGTGATGTTTTCATTTTAGTTGTCGTATCTTGCACCTGCATAAATGCTATATGGCTCAATATCTACTTTTTTAATTTAATTTTATTTTTTTTGAGAAGAAGTCTCGCTTTGTCGCCCAGGCTGGAGTGCAGTGACGCGATCTCCGCTCACTGCAAGCTCCGCCTCCGGGGTTCACGCCATTCTCCTGCCTCAGCCTCCCCAGTAGCTGGGACTACAGGCGCCCGCCACCATGTCCAGCTAATTTTTTGTATTTTTAGTAGAGACGGGGTTTCATCATGCTAGCCAGGATGGTCTCGATCTCCTGACCTCGTGATTCGCCCACTTTGGCCTCCCAAAGTACTGGGATTACAGGCATGAGCCACCGCGCCAGGCCTCTACTTTTTAATTAATATTATTTTATCCCTACATCTGTTTTCTGGTTTTCTTTTAGTTCTTTATTCATCATTGCTTTTACCTTGTTGAACATATTTGAGACGGTTATTTTAAAGTTTTTTGGTTTTTTTTTTTTGAGACGGAGTCTCACTCTGTTGCCCAGGCTGGAGTCCAGTGGCGCGATCTCGGCTCACTGCAAGCTCCGCCTCCCAGGTTCACGCCATTCTCCTGCCTCAGCCTCCCAAGTAGCTGGGACTACAGGCGCCTGCCACCATGCCCGGCTATTTTTTTTTTTTGTATTTTTAGTAGAGATGGGGTTTCACCGTGTTAGCCAGAATGGTCTCGATTTCCTGACCTCGTGATCCGCCTGCCTCGGCTTCCCAAAGTTCTGGGATTACAGGCGTGAGCCACCGCGCCGGGCCTTTTTTTTTTTCTTTTTTTTTTTTTTTTTGAGACAGAGTCCAACTCTGTCACCAGACATTAGTGCAGTGGCGTAATCTTGGCTCACTGCAACCTCCGCTTCCCGGGTTCAAGCGATTCTGCCTCAGCCTCCCGAGTAGCTGGGTATACAGGCGCATGCCACTACACCCAGCTAATTTTTGTATTTTTAGTAGAGATGGGGTTTCACCGTGTTGGCCAGGATGATCTCAATCGCTTGACCTTGTGATCTGCCCCCCTCGGCCTCCCAAAGTGCTGGGATTACAGGTATGAGCCATCGCGCTCGGCTCTAAAGTTTTAATTCAGTAAGTCCAGTGTCAGGTTTCTCAGAGATGAACTATGTCAATTAAACTTTTTCCATCAATGAGCCACATTTTCATGTTTCTCTGTATTCTTCATAATTTTGTTTGTATCAAAACAAAATTATGCTTACTCTTTGCTATTTATGTTTGTTGAAGGCTGTAATTTGTTTAGTAACATTTTCAAACTGTGTTTGCAGAGACTGTAGTCCCTATTCATTGTAGACACTGATGTCTATTCCTCTGTGTTCATTCAGTGTTCTGACAGATTTCTGGAATGTTAGAAGCTAAAAGTAAAGAAGAAGATGAAACAAACAAAAACCTTACCTCTTTCAGTCTTTGTGGATGGCTCTGTACTGGGGCATTCCTTGAAAACACAGTCAGGCTGTTTAAAATCCTACTTTAGCATTTATTTTCTGTTTAATTAAACCTAGGGATCAGCCAGAGCTGAAAATTAGGGTTTTATCATGTGTTTTGTGAAAATGTGTTCTTTCCTGTGCATGCATGGGGCTTTCTCAATTCCCCAGTATACCTGAGTGCTTTTGAGTACCCTAGTTTACTAGAGGAAATTTTCTCTCCAACTTTTTTCCCCCAGGATTTAGATGGTGTATTAGTCAGGGTTCTCTGGAGGGACAGAACTAATAGGATATATATATATATATAAATGGGAGTTTATTAAATATTAACTTAGACAATCACAAGGTCCCACAATAGGCTGTCTGCAAACTGAGGAGCAAGGAGAGCCAGTCCAAGCCCCAAAACTGAAGAACTTGGAGTCTGATGTTCGAGGGCAGGAAGCATCCAGCATGGGAGAAAGATGTAGGCTGGGAGGCTAGGCCAGTCTCTCCTTTTCATGTTTTTCTGCCTGCTTTATATTCGCTGGCAGCTGATTAGATTGTGCCCACCAGATTAATGGTGGATCTGTCTTCCCCAGCCCAGGGACTCAAATGTTAATCTCTTTTGGCAGCACCCTCACAGAGGCACCCAGGATCAATACTTTGTATCCTTCAATCCAATCAAGTTGACACTCAGTATTAACCATCAGAGATGGTATGTCATAATCATAATCCGTTTTACCAGGTGGTTGCAGGCTTTTGATGTATTTTACAACATTTTTAGGCAATTCCTGCCAAATTTGACAGGGACTGAGTTATTGTAGATGATATAGAACAGAGAGCCTTGTTTCAGACCTTTGGAAAGTCCCCATACCAATTCGAAAATACAAAGGTGATAATTGAGTGAGTAGGATTTTATACTGGGATCTCGGGCTGCTGTCTTTAAGACTGGCACTGAGGGCCGGGCATGGTGGCTCACGCCTGTAATCCCAGCAGGCAGGAGAACTGCTTGAACCTGGGAGGTGGAGGAGGCTACAGTAAGCCAAGATTGCAACATTGCGCTCCAGCGTGGGCAACAAGAGTGAAACTCTGTCTCAAAAAAAAATAAAAATAAAAATAAAAGAGAGAGAGACCAATACAATAATAGCTGGAGATTTTAACACCCCGTTTTCAGCACAGGACAGATCTTCCAGACAGTAAATCGACAAAGATTATCTCAATATATACTGAAAAATCAGACAAAAGAAAGATTAAATGGGATTTAATCTACACTATAGATCAAATGGATCTAATAGATATTTACAGAACATTTTATCCAACAGCTACAGAATACACATATTTTTCCCGAGCACATGCATCATTCTCAAGGATAGACCATATGTTAGTTCAAAAAGCATGTCTTAAAACTCTCCAAAAAAATTGAAATAATTTAAATTGTGTCATAGAATACATGGAATAAACTAGAAATCAATGACAAGAGGAATTCTGGAAACCATACAAACATATGGAAATTAAATAATCTGCTTCTGAATGACCAATTGGTCAGTGGAGAAATTAAGAAGGAAATTGTAAAGTTGCTTGAAACAAATGATAATGAAAATGCAACATACCAAAACCTATGGAATACAGCAAAAGCAGTACTAAGAGGGAAGTTTATAGATATAAGCACCTACATCAAAAAAGAAGAAGACCTGCAGGCTGGGTGCGGTGGCTCCCACCTGTAATCCCAGCACTTTGGGAGGCCGAGGTGAGTGGATCACCTGAGCTTAGGAGTTCAAGACCAGCCTGGCCAACATGGTGGAACCCTGTCTACTAAAAATACAAAAAATTAACCAGACATGGTGGTGGGTGCCTGTAATCTCAGCTACCTGGGAGGCTGAGGCAGGAGAATTGCTTGAACCCAGGAGGCAGAGGTGGCAGTGAGCTGAGATTGCGCCATTGCACTCCAGCCTAGGCTGCAAGAGTGAAGTAAAACTCACATCAAAAAAAAAAAGAAGAAGAAGAAGAAGAAGAAAACCTTCAAATAAACAACCTAAGAATGCATTTTAAAGAATTAGAAAAGCAAGAGCAAACCAAACCCAAAATTAGTAGAAAAGAAATAATAAAAATCAGAGTAGAAATAAATGAATTTGAAATGAAGAAACAATAGAAAAGAACAATGAAACAAAAAGTTGGTTTTTTGAAAAGACAAACAAAACTGACAAACCTTGAGGTAGACTAAGAAAAAAACAGAAAGGCCCAAATAAATAAAATTAGAGATGAAAAAGGAGACATTACAGTTGATACTGCAGAAATTCAAAGGATCATTAATGCAACTAAGAACAACTATATGCCAATAAATTGGAAAACCTAGAAGAAATTGATAAATTCCTAGGCAGATAGAACATAGCAACATTGAACCATGAAGAAATAAAAAACCTGAACAGACCAATAACAAATAATGAGATCAAAGCCATAATAAAAAGTCTGCTAGCAAAGAAAACCCCAGAACCCAGTGGCTTCACTGCTGAATTCTACTAACATTTAAAAAAGAACTAATACCAATCCTACTCAAACTATTCCAAAACAGAGGAGAAGGCAATACTTCCAAACTTATTTTACAAAGCCAATATTACTTTGACACCAAAACCAGACAAAGACATGTCAGAAAAAGAAAACTATAGGCCAGTGTCACTGATGAATATTGATGCAAAAATCCTCAACTCAATACTAGCAAACTGAATTTAACAATACACCAAAAAGATCATTCATCATGACCAAGTGGGCTTTATCCCTGGGATGCAAGGATGGTTCAATATATGCAAATCAATCAATGTGATGTATCATTTCAACAGAATAAAGGGCAAACACCATATAATCATTTCAATGTGCACTGAAAAAGCTTTTGATAATATTTAACATCCCTTCATGATAAAAACCCTAAAAAAAAACTGGGTATAGAAGCAGCTACCTTAACATAATAAAAGCCATATATGGCAGACCCACAGCTAGCATGATAATGAATGAGGAAAAACTGAAAGCCTTTCCTGTAAGATCTGGAACACAATAAGAATGCCCACTTTTACCACTGTTGTTCAGCACAGTACTCGAAGTCCCAGCTAGAGCAATAAGTCCAAAAAAAAAAAAAAAAAGAAATAAAGGGCATCTATATTGGGAAGGAAAGGAAGAAGTCAAATTATCCTGGTTTGCATATAATATGATCTTATATCTGGAAATACCTAAAGACTCCACCAAAAAAGTATTAGAACTGAGAAATAAATTCAGTAAAGTTGCAGGATACAATATTAACATACAAAAATCAGTAACATTTTTATATGCCAACAGTGAACAATCTGAAGCTACTTGAGAGGCTGAGGTGGGAGGATTGCTTGAGCTTGGGAGGTAGAGGTTGCAGTGAGCCATGATGGCCCCACTGCACTCCAGCCTAGGCAACAGAGCAAGACCCCATCTCAAACAACCAAAAACGTGTAGAAGGATGGTTACCACAGGCTGGGAAAAGTAGTAGCGAGGAGTAGTTATGGGGGAAGTGGGGATGGTTAATAGGTATAAAAAATAGTTACAAAGAATGAATAAGACCTAGTATTTGCTAGCACAACAGAGTGACTATAGTAAAAAATAATTTAATTGTACATTGAAATATTTTGAAAAATTTCATTGAAAAAGAGTATAATTGGAGCCAGGCGCGATGGCTCACGTCTCTAATCCCAGAACTTTGGGAGGCCAAGGTGGGCGGATCACGAGGTCAGGAGTTCGAGACCAGCCTGGCCAACATGGTGAAACCCGGCCTCTACTAAAACATACAAAAATTAGCCGGGTGTGGTGGCGCGCACCTGTAATCCCAGCTACTCGGGAGGCTGAGGCAGAATTGTTTGAACCCACCTAGGAGGCGGAGGTCGCAGTGAGCCTCGCACCATTGCACTCTAGCCTGAGCCACGGAGCAAGACTCCCTCTCTCTCTCTCTCTCTCTCTCTCTCTCTCGGAAAAAAAAAAAAAAAAAAAAAAAAAAGTATAATTGTTTTGTCAGTCAGTGTACAGGAGGAAGAAGCAGGAGGTCCTATTGAGTACAGGCAGGAAATTCCGCTTAAGTGCAAATATCCCTCGGGAGGATTCAGATCAAAGAGCAGGGAGGAAGCCCGCCCTGCCAAGGGCTGTGTCAGGAACTTGCTCATCTGGCTCCACTCAGCTGTGCAAGATCGCTTCTTCTGTCAATCAGTCCACGAGGGGCGGCACCTGACGCCGTATCCAGTAAGGGCCGTGGGGCGGGTTCGTGGGAACTGTCAATCAGGCGCGCTTCCCAGAGGAGTGTGTGGTTGAAAAAGCCCGCGGCGTCTTCTCCACCCACCTGCGCTGGGCGCTCGGTGCTCGGCTCTGTAGCTAAGAGACGACCTGGAAGTTCCGTGGCAGCCTGTGTCCCGCGGGAACCCGCATTGGCAGCGGGAGCCGTCCGGAGGACCTGGGACACCGCGGAAGTCGGGAAATGGTGCGTGTGCTGGGCCGGCGTCCCGAGGCGGGGGAGGGGCTGGGTGGAACCTGCAGTAATCGGCTGTGGCTGGACCCGGGCCTCCCCAAGGGCTACTCCGGGATCTACGGACCCGGGTTCCCCTGGCGTAGGTCGGCCCTCGGCCGCAGGGTGGGGCTGGGCATGCAGCCGGGACCCCGGGCGTCCTGTCCCGTTCCTGCGCGGCGACTGCGGCCCCGGCGCCCTCTCTGGGCAGCTCCGCGCCCGCAGCCTCGCGTCTCCCGAGATTGTGCGGCTGTAAGCAACACAGGTTCGCGGCCCGACTCACTGCACCGAGACGCTGAGGGCTGCAGCAGAAACAGTTTAATAGCCAGAGAGGGGAGGACACCCCAGATCCGCCTCCCTGAGGGATTTGGGGTCTGGACGGGGGCGGCTGGGTGTAGGGTCGTTGGTTGGTGGGGAAGTGAGGGGTGAATCCTGGGACAGGAGGTGAAGAAACCGCATTCTGCTGAATGGGCTCCCTCGTTGGGACTTCAACCTGATTGGCGCCAGCCTTTGCTGGGATTCAGGATCTGAGAACTCCGGCGACTCTTGAGCAGTTCTCAGAGATCTTATCCCCAGGCACAATGGGGAAGCCGGCGGTCAGCGTCTGCTGTGACCTGACTCTCAGGGAGGCGGCCCCTTGAGGCAGCGGGGCTGAGGGCACCTGGTTAATATCTAACTGCAATCTCGCCTCCAGCCTGGCTCGCAGTTCCTGTGAACCCGGTGAGGAGGCTGCACGGTGACGACGAGTCACCAGGTGGAATCCAGACTCGTGTGTGGGGTTTGTGTGTGGGAGGAGCTGTGGTCTCCGTGGTCCTCAGTCCCTTCTTTCTTTCCAAGGGCGACCGTTTCCCCTCTGAGTCTTCCAAAGATGTGGTTAGCAGGGTCTCAAATCCACCACTGTGTTCTCTCATCCTGACTCCTCCTAGGGCTGGCAGCAAATCTCTTGGTTTCCAGAGACTTCCCCAGGCTAACCTTCTGTCCTTAATTCACAGCAACGGTATGAACTGTTTGGCCCCCAGGCGATATTTCACTAGTTTGTCATCTTGTTTTCAGCTAGCAATGTATGGCTTTTTCTTGAAAGAATTATTTTGGGTTCCTGAACACGGTGGGTCATTCCTGTAATTCCAGCACCTTGGGAGGCTAAGGCAGAGGTATTGCTTAATCTTAGTAGTTCCAGACCAGCCTGGGCAACATGGCAAGACCTTGTCTCTAGTATAAATGATAATAATAAAATTAGCTGGGCTTGGTAGCTGGCACCTGTAGTCGCAGCTACTCCTGAGGCTGAGGTGGGATGATGGCTGGAGCCCAGGAGTTTGAAGTTGCAGTGAGCTATGATCGTGCCTCTGCATCCCAGCCTAGGCAACAGAGGCCGACCCTGTCTCAAAAAAAAAAAAAAAAAAGGGTGTCCACAGCTGCCAAGTCTCTTGGAGGGTCTAGTGAATATCATCCCCTGGGTCACTCCTCCCAGGGGACAGCCTGAGATGGGGGGTGTGGCCCCCTGGGGAGCAACTGGATCCACTGGGATGGGAGGAATCTTCTGGTATATAATTCCTGTAAAAAGCTAACTCCTGGGACACTCACCTTTTCTTCCCAACCCTAGTTTCCATTCCTTGGAGACACATGACTGAACAGCCAATTTCATGGTCATATTCCATAGGAAAAAAAAACAGAAATGATTTTTGCCTTCTGGACTCTCTCAGACTTAAAAGGTAGAAAGTTATATCTAAGGACTGGAGAACCTGCCCGTTGAGGTAGTGCAAGATCCTGAAAAGCACACAAGGCAGTGTCTCCTGGGAGGGTGATGACCAGAATAGGGTTAAGGGATGTCCCAGGTGATAGGATGACCCACCCTGATTGTTGCATTAGACTTTTCTGTGTTCCAGTCAGCACTGCTGATTCCTGAGTTTGTTAGCTTGAAAAGATATGTTTACTCTTTTCAGCCTAAATTTTTGATTAACCTTAAAATACATCCTATGATTAGAGATTGTTATTGTATACTTTGAAGACAAAGTATACCCAAAGTTGGAAAGAGTTGGACTTCAGAAAATAAATTGTATAAGTAATTCTAGAAAGAGTTGGATTTCAGAATATAAATGGTATATGTAATCTTCTATTCCATTTTTTAAAAACCTTTATTTATTTTTTTTGCCCCAGAGCTTGTGTAGTATGTTTCTCAGGTGTGTTTGTTTTTTGGATGATTTCAGATGGAATTTCAGGACTTAGTAGTATAACTACTACCAAGGAAAAAACCCTCTTCCATTATGGCTGCAAAAAAGGAATACATTTTTACAAGAAAGTGTAGTAGGTACATTGAATTAAAAGGATTTAACAAAAGTTCAGTTCTCCTTTTTAAAAGGGTGGAGATTTTGGGACAATGGAGAAATCTGTTCTGTTCCTGTTATATGGGTTTGACAGATGAATGCTAAATTCTGTGGGACAGGACTTTCCAACAGCTAAAGAAGTAAAATATAATTATTTTTAACTGTATCACTTACTATCATGGAAATAGTAATTAAATGACATTCATTGTCTGGAAGGGATAGGTATTTGGGCTTTTCCTGTTGAGGTATAAAATATCAGTGCCTTACAATTTCCTTCCCACCCATAGACATAAACACTGAATTTGAGTGATTTTCCTGGATTCATCAAACATGAGTATTTTGTTTTTAAATATCCATGTAAAGCATAGAAGGGTAAGAGAGTAGCTTTGACTATGGCAGAGAGGCCTGAGGCCAATGCCCCCACCTCCAGCTAAGACCAATTTTTTTTTTTTTTTTTTTTTTTTGAGACAGCGTCTCACTCTGTTGTCCAGGCTGGAGTGCAGTGGCACGATCTCAGCTCACTGCAACCTCCGCCTCCTGCGTTCAAGCGATTCTCCTGCCTCAGCCTCCCGAGTAGCTGGGACTACAGGTGCGTGCCGCCATGCCTGGCTAATTTTTTTTTTCTTTCGTATTTTTAGTGGAGACAGTTTCGCCATATTGGCCAGGCTGGTCTCCAACTCCTGACCTCAGGCAATCCACCAGCTTTGGCCTCCTAAAGTGCTGGGATTATAGGCATGAGCCACCATGCCCAGCCCCATATGGCTTTTGATTAGGGCTAGAATGGAGTATATTTTTTCATACCTTTATATTTAATGTACCTGTGTCTTTCTACTTAAAATAGTTTTCTTGAGAGAATAAAAAAATAGTTTTCTTGCACACATTGGTGGATCTTGTTTTTTTTCTACTGTGTCAGTCCTTGTCTTCTTTTATTGGTATATTCATATAATACACATTTAAAGTGGTTATTGATATACCTGGATTCATATGTACATATATAATTGTTTTACATTTGTTATACTTGTCGGTTTTTTTCAACTTCCTTTTTCTGTCTCCTTTTATTTTAACTGAGGAGTCTATATGATTGTATTTTCTTCTAATAGTATGGTAAGTCTACTTGTTTCTTTGTTTCTTTCTTTCTTTCTTTTTTTTTTTTTTTTTGAGACAGGGTCTTGCTCTATCACCTAGGCTAGAGTGCAGTGGAGCAATCATAGTTAACTATAACCTCCAACTCCTGGGCTCAGGAGATCCTCCCTACTTGCTTTCCTGAGTAGCTGGGACTACAGGTGCAGGCCACCACGCCTGGCTAATTTTTTTTTTTTTTTACACGTTTCCTAGAGACAGAGTCTCATTGTGTTGCCGAGTGTGGACTCAAAGTCTTGATCTTAAGCAGTCCTCCTGTCTTGCATCTCAAAGTGTTGGCATTACAGGGGTGAGCCACTGTGACAGGCTGTTGTTTCTTAACATTTTATTATTGATTTCCCTAGCATTTGGAGTAAACCATTCACAACAAATGGACCTTCAGTTTTAAGTAACACTGTACTGGCTTTTGGGGTAATGCTTATATAACCCAGTGTTCAGCATTCCTCCCTCCCACCCAATTTAACATCACCGTCATCCATTTGCCCTATTATAAACTATAACCACCCAATACATTGTTGATATTATTTTTTGAACAAACCTTTATGATATCCAATAGGAATAAGAAAAGGAAATAATTTTTGTGCCTTCATTGAATTATTTTCTAATGCTCTTCATATATATGCATATGTATATATTTGTGTGTTTGTGTGTGTGTGTGTATGATCTGAGTTTCTAACCTGTATCATTTTTCTTCTCTCTGATGAACTTCTTTTAACATTATTGGCAAGACAAGTACACCAGTAACACATTCTCTCAATTTCATTCCTTTTTTTTTCCCCATTAGATTAATTTCAATTGGTTTATCATCATTTTAACTGATTTTTTTTTTTTGGCTGCTCACATCTTTTGAACACTTGTGATGATGTCTTCATTTTAGTTGTACCCTGCAGCTGCATAAATTCTATATGGCTAAATTTCTACCCCTTTTTTTTTGAGACAGAGGTTCGCTCTTGTTGCCCAGGCTGAAGTGCAGTGGCATGATCTCAGCTCACTGCAACCTCCACGTCCTGGGTTCAAGCGATTCTTCTGCCTCAGCCTCCCAAGTAGCTGGGATTACAGGCGTGCACCACCATGCCCAGCTAATTTTGTATGTTTAGTAGAGATAGGGTTTCACCACATTGGCCAGGCTGGTCTCAAACTCCTGGCCTCAGGTGATCCACACACCTTGGCCTCCCAAAGTGCTGGGATTACAGGCGTGAGCCACCACGCCCAGTTAATTTCTACTTTTTAATAGATATTATTTTATCTCTATATCTGTATTCTGGTTTTCTTTTAGTTATTTGTTCATCATTGCCTTTACTTCATTGAACATATTTAAGATAGTTGTTTTAACGTTTTTATTCAGTGAGTGCAGTGTCTGAGGTTTCTCAGAGATGGCTTATCTCAATTATATTTTTTCCAATTGATGAACCATATTTTCATGTTTTTCTGTATTCTTCATAATTTTGTGTTGAAAAGTAGACATCTCAATGTTATAATGGGGTAATTCTGAAAATTGGATTCTTCTTCTTTCCTCACTGTTTTCTGTTTATGTGTGTTGAAGACTGTAATTGTTCATTTGTTTAATAACATTTTCAAAGTATGTTTGCACAGACTGTATTCCTTATTTGTTGTAGAAACTGACATCTCTGTTCTTTAGTGTGTGTTCATCCAGTGTTCTGGCAGAGATTTCCTGAATGCTAGAAGCTAGTAAAAAAGATAAAGCATACAAAAGCCTGACCTCTTCCAGTCTTTGTGGATGGCTCTGTGCCTGGGGCATCCCTTGAACACTTAGCCAGGCTGTTTAATACTCTACTTATGCTTTATGTTCTGCTTACTTAAAGCTACAGATCAGCCAGAAGTGAAAATGAGGGTTTCTTCTCCGGTGTCTTTTGTGAAAATGTGTTCTTTACTGTGCATGCATGGGGCTTTCTCAATTCCCCAGGATACCTGGGTGCTTTTGAGTACCCTGATATCTGGAGGACATTTTCTCTTCAGCTCTTTTTCTCCATGACTTAGTTGGTCTACTGTATGTCTTAATCATAGTCTGTTCTTCCAGTTGGCTACAGGCTTTTTGTGTATTTTGCAACATTTTCATGCAGTTCCTGCCAAATTGGACCCTGATCGTGTTGTATTGTAGATAAAGTAGAAGAGAGGGCCTTGGCTGGGCACTGTGGCTCACACCTGTAATCCTAGCACTTTGGGAGGCTAAGGCAGGCGGATCATTTGAGGTCAGGAGTTTGAGACCAGCCTGGCCAACAGGGTGAAACCCCGTCTCTAGTAAAAATACAAAAGTTGGCCGGATGTGGTGGAGCATGCCTGTACTCCCAGCTACTCAGGAGGCTGAGGCTGGGTGGAATAACTTGAACCCGGGAGTCAGGTTGTAGTGAGCCAAGGTTGTGTGGCTGCACTCCAGTCTGGGTGACAGAGCAAGACTCCGTCTCAAAAAAAAAAAAAAAAAAAGACAGCTTTGTTTCAGACCTCGGGATAGTCCTTATACAGATTGGAAAATGCAAGGCAATAATTTGCAAATAAGATCTGATATGCTGTCTCTAGAATTAGTGTCCAGGGTTCTATACCGGGAACTCAGGCTGCTGTGTTCAAGACTGGTATTGATAGGGGGAGGGATTGGGCCAAGGACAAATAAAAGCTCCACAAGACTTTTCTACCAGTTTTCATTTTTCTTTATATATATATTTATCTCTCTGTTAATAGTACGGGGTGCCAAATAAAATCCTTTATTTGTTTTTGGAATGCTGCACTTTCTTGGTGAGAAGGCTTTCAGCATTTTTTAGATACTGTGAGTTCTATTAGATTTGGTAATGTAATTTTTGTTGACTACTAAAAGATTTGTTTTAGTTTCTTAGTAAGTATTATAAATATTCATGAGAGATGACACTGAGTTCTTTCTAAGAATATGTGCAGTCTTTCCCCTTCTTTCTTTCCCCTTTGGCGTTACTCAAAATGTTTAAAATTTTTCCTTTGAGGTGGTGTAATATCTTTTCTCAGTCTGTTGTCATACTTCAGTACATTTGATCTAAAGGAAACTAGTTGCCAGCTTCCAAATATTCTCTGTAAGTATAATCACATAGGATGGGCTAAATCCCCCAAATAACAAGTTGCAACAAAACGTGAAATGTTATCTACCCAGAAAGTTCATTATAGACCCAATGCCCAGAGTGTTTCTTTGTAGCTGTCTTAGCCTGTTTCTTGTTATTCATAACAGAATTACTGAACCTCGGTAATTTATAAGAAACAGTATTTAATTTTTACATTTCTGGAGGCTGGGAAGTCCAAGGTTAAGGCTGGGCATCTGGTGAGAACCTTCTTGCTGGTGGGGACTCTGCAGAGTCCCTAGGCGGCATAGAGTATCACATGGTGAGGGAGCTGAGTGTCTAGCTCAGATCTCTTACTCTTCTCAGAAGGACATGAGATAGCTCATTTATTCATTCACCCGTTACGGATTAATCTATTCATGAGGTCCAAACCCTTAGGACTACATCACCTCTTAAACCTCACTTTTTTTTTTTTACTGCCACTTTGGAGATTAACATTCAGTGTGCATTTTGGAGGGGACAACCATTCAAACCTAGCAGTGGCTGATCAGGTGCACTCCCTGTGCTGAGTATGTAACAAAATTCCAAACTCTCAGAAGGAAGATGGGGTTAAGGAAATACTGTATTTTTTTTGCGTAAACAATTTAGGCACACTCCACCCCTATTATTAGTTACGCTCCTGGGGCCCTCCCCTAAATACACTGTCTAGATACCATGAAAAGCCCAACTTTGTGAAAAAGCATTTGTAAGGACACACAGTCTCAGCACTGCTAATGGTAACTCCCTTTTGCACAATAAGTAGTAGGACTTTATCGTGCCAAGGACTGCAGACCCACTGTGGAAATCAACATTAGGGGTGATCCAGGCTATGTGATTCACTCACTCAGTTCGCCAACAAGTGGCATGTTTCTATCCCACTGTTAATTTACCAAACATGTTTAACTGTAGCTTCAGAGTTACTGTGTAGGAGAAAGTGAGTGTAGACAGAGAATAAGAGTGGGTTTACCATGTCATTGAATAAAATGGTTGGAAACCACAGCATCATGTGAAATTTATGAAGTGAGTATAGATTCTCAGTACTGTGATTTTCACCCTTCCTCCTCTGTACATGTGGGATGGATCAGGCCTCAGTGGCTTTAGAGGATGTGGCTGTGAACTTCACCCGAGAAGAGTGGGCTTTGCTGGGTCCTTGTCAGAAGAATCTCTACAAAGATGTGATGCAGGAAACCATCAGGAACCTGGATTGTGTAGGTAAGGATGACATCGCATTTCCACTTATTTAATTGGAGACATTTGTTTCTTGGTCATTCGTGCTGTTCAAAGATTTGGAATATGGAAAGGGGATATGGTTGGCCCTGGAAAAAAAAAAACAGGGTTTAGGGGTGCCAGCTCCTGTAGCAGTTGTACATCCTCATATAACTTTTTGTCCACATCTTAGCCTACTATTGATGGGCAGCATTATCAGTCACATAAGCAGTGATTAATACATATATTTTATGTCGTATTATTACATCGTATATTCTCACAGTAAAGTAAGCTAGAAACAGAAAGTGTTAAAAAGATAATCATAAGGAAGAGAAACTGTATTTACTGTTCATTAAGTGGAAGTGCATCATCAGAAAGGTTTTCATTCTCATTGTCTTCACATTGAGTAGGCTGAGTAAGAGGAGGGGCTGGTCTTAGTGTCTTGGGTAGCAGAGACTGAAGAACATTCATATATATATGTATATACAAATGGACTTGTGCAGTTCAAACCTCTGTTTTTCAAGAGTCAGGTGTACTTCAGTGAATGCATTTTGAACGATTGCAGTGTACATCAAAATGTTACTGTTTGTCTATAATTTTGTAAAAATTTGTAATGATTTTTCTGTGTATACCTTTTAGGAATGAAATGGAAAGACCAGAACATTGAAGATCAATATAGATATCCCAGGAAAAATCTAAGGTAATTTATACTCACAAGAGAAAGATATGTCCCTGGAGCCGTTCTGAGAATGATATGAAAATTTAAAAACAAGCAAAGAAAATGAACAAGCCTAGCTTAAATTTATTTATTCTTAGAAAATTTTCTCCAAAATATATACTTAAATGTTCCATAGCTGTTCAGTGTTCATAAATTAGTTCCCATGACAACAATATTATGAATCCACATATGAATGTGATTGTCTTGAGAACACCTGGGTCGAGTTACCTTGCACAGCATTCCATCCATTCACGTTCAAGCAGGACACGAAGCCTGCACTTTGCATGATAGTGTTAAAAATGTACATCCAATACTTATTAATACCTATACAATTATTTATAGACCGACTTTTAGTGATATATTTCCCATTTTTTACAGATGTCGTATGTTAGAGAGATTTGTTGAAAGTAAAGATGGAACTCAATGTGGAGAAACATCTAGCCAGATTCAAGATAGTATTGTGACCAAGAACACTCTTCCTGGAGTAGGTCCATATGAAAGCCGTATGAGTGGAGAAGTCATCATGGGTCATTCATCCCTTAATTGTTACATCAGAGTTGGTGCTGGGCACAAACCATATGAGTATCATGAATGTGGAGAGAAGCCAGATACGCATAAACAACGTGGGAAAGCCTTCAGTTACCACAACTCACTTCAAACACATGAGAGGCTTCACACTGGAAAGAAACCATATAATTGTAAAGAATGTGGGAAGTCCTTCAGTTCTTTGGGAAACCTTCAAAGACACATGGCAGTGCAGCGTGGAGATGGACCTTATAAATGTAAGTTGTGTGGGAAAGCGTTTTTTTGGCCCAGTTTATTACATATGCATGAGAGAACGCACACTGGAGAGAAACCATATGAATGTAAGCAGTGTTCTAAAGCCTTTTCTTTTTACAGTTCCTATCTAAGACATGAAAGAACACATACTGGGGAGAAACTGTATGAATGTAAACAGTGTTCTAAAGCCTTCCCTGATTACAGTTCTTGTCTAAGACATGAAAGAACTCACACTGGAAAGAAACCCTATACATGTAAACAATGTGGGAAAGCCTTCAGTGCTTCCACTTCCCTTCGAAGACACGAAACAACTCACACTGATGAGAAACCCTATGCATGTCAGCAATGTGGGAAAGCGTTTCATCATCTGGGAAGCTTTCAAAGACACATGGTAATGCACACGAGAGATGGACCTCATAAGTGTAAGATATGTGGAAAAGGCTTTGATTGTCCTAGTTCACTGAAAAGTCATGAAAGAACTCACACTGGAGAGAAACTCTATGAATGCAAGCAGTGTGGGAAAGCGTTATCTCATAGCTCAAGCTTTCGAAGACACATGACAATGCACACTGGAGATGGACCTCACAAATGCAAGATATGTGGGAAAGCCTTTGTTTATCCCAGTGTATTTCAAAGGCATGAAAAGACTCACACTGCAGAGAAACCCTATAAATGTAAACAATGTGGCAAAGCCTACCGTATTTCCAGTTCTCTTCGAAGGCATGAAACAACTCATACTGGAGAGAAACCCTATAAATGCAAATGTGGGAAAGCCTTTATTGATTTCTATTCCTTTCAAAATCACAAAACAACTCATGCTGGAGAGAAGCCATATGAGTGTAAGGAATGTGGGAAAGCATTCAGTTGTTTCCAATACCTTTCTCAACATAGAAGGACTCACACAGGAGAGAAACCTTATGAGTGTAACACATGTAAGAAAGCCTTCAGTCATTTTGGTAACTTAAAAGTACATGAAAGAATTCACTCTGGAGAGAAGCCGTATGAATGTAAGGAATGTGGGAAAGCATTCTCTTGGCTCACTTGCTTTCTACGACATGAAAGAATTCACATGAGAGAGAAACCCTATGAGTGTCAACAATGTGGTAAAGCCTTCACTCATTCCCGTTTTCTTCAAGGACATGAAAAAACTCATACTGGAGAGAACCCGTATGAATGTAAGGAATGTGGGAAAGCATTTGCTTCTCTCAGTTCCTTGCATAGACATAAAAAGACTCACTGGAAAAAAACTCACACTGGAGAGAACCCGTATGGATGTAAGGAATGTGGGAAAGCATTTGCTTCTCTCAGTTCCTTGCATAGACATAAAAAGACTCACTAGCATTCTCTCTAAATGTATGGAATGTGGGAAAGCATTTATTAATTTTATTTCATTTCAGATACTTGTACGAAACACATTGGAGATAGACCCTGTGAATGTAAGCACTTGGTAAAACCTTAAGTAATTTCAGTTTCTTTCCAGTACAGTCATCCCTTGATACCTGCTGGGTATTGGTTCCAGCACTCCGTGAGCCATGTCCAGTCCCTTTTATAAAATGACATATTTGTATGTAACTTACCCACATCCTCTTGTATACTCTCAATTATGTCTAGATTACTTAAAATACCTCATGCATTGTAAAAGCTATGCAAATAGTTGTTCTATTGTATTGTTTAGGGACTCATGATAAGGAAAAGAGTCTATGTATTTTCAGTATAGATGCAGTAATTGTCAGCCTATCAACATAGTATAGTCAGCCAGAACATTAAAGTTTCTTTGTTTCAACTCTCACATATTGCTTTTGTTTAATGTGTTAACACTTACCAAAACCCTGGGTCTTCTCTCTTGATAACCCAAGTATAGTGATTATAACGATGATGATTCTGTGGTGCCCAGTGTTTTGATGTGTTGAGATGACTAGATGTATGGCATTGTGGGTAAGTAGTGAGACATCAGGTTAACTTGAATCTTGACAGGCCATCAGGACTATCATCTATGTTGGAAGAACCAACTTGTGATTATAGATGTGGACTCATTTGAGGAGGCTATGTAATACTAATGTTAGGATCTGTTTGGCTTGAGGGCTGAAGATCTGTAACCATTGAATGTTCCATCTTCTTTGCAGATGCTTAGTTATAGGAAGCTAGTTCTTCTTTTCCTTTGCTTCATTAAAAAAAAAATCTTGCAGTGTTTATAGGCATGTTGTTATTTCTCGGGTGGAGTGAAAGCTTTGTTCCATTGTAGGATCTTTGAGGATCGTACCTCTTTTTCACCTTTGCCTACTGAAAAACTGTGGCAAACTTTTCAAGTGTCCAAATCAATGGCTCTGTGTCCTCTAAGTTTTCTAGCTCATCATCATCTGTAGTGGATTTCAGCAGACTTTGAAGTTCCTAGCTGGTAAGGGTTTCTCTTTGCTTTTCGGTGTGTTCCTTAACGTCATCCTCAGTCGTTTCAGACAGCGTTCTCCATCAACTTTTTTAGCAACATTTTACATATTCTTAATAACTGCATTAATAGTGGGGAAGCCCTTGAAATCATTGACTCCCTTACCCCATGATGGCTTGTAACATGCATTGGCTGTCCTGGGCTTTAGGGCATCTGTAGCCTTCCCAATAAGCACAATTGTATTTGTAATTGTGAAGCTCTTCAATAAAACCACTGTGGTACATTCAAGGTTAGCATCAAGACTCCAAGAAATCAGCCAAGGTCAGGTGGATGTAAGTCACTTGAATGCACTTGATGATGCCTTGATCTAGTGACGCAGCAGTGATGTAGTTTTAGGAGGCAGAAATATCACTTGCATGTTCTTTTAGGCAAAACAAAGAGATTGGAGAGATGGCCTGGAGTGTTGTCAATTCTGAGGAAGACCTTGAGTGGCAGTCCCTTCTCTTTGAGGTATTCCATCACATCAGGAGTGAAGCATTGCTAGAAGAAAGCCTTCTTATGTTCTTGCCAGGACACAGGCCAGCAAGTTTTGCTTTTGTCCTAAAGAACCTGGTGATTGCTCAGTAGATGAAGCCTCGCTTGTTCTCATGAACTAATGCATGGCCTGACAGCACCAGAATAAGGTGGTCTTTCCAGGCCTCGAACCCTAGTTCCTGCACTCATGACGGAAGGTACCATTGGGCATCTTCTAGAACATGCCTGATTCATGACAATAGAAGATTTACTCTGGAAGATAGTCTTTCTTTTTTCTGTTTTATGAGCTCTTCTAGGAATGCTGTTGTTTCCGTGGCTTCAGCCGATGCCAGTTCTCCTGTGGTCTTCAAGTTCTTGGGCTGCACTGTGTTGCATAGTTAGCCTAGCCAGAACTTACTGGCTTCAAACTCCTTCCTCTTGCTCTCCTCAGCCCCCTCACAGTGATGCTCATAGAGGCTAAATGTTTTTTTGTTTGTTTGTTTTCTTTCTTTCTTTTTTTTTTTTTTTTTGAGACGGAGTGTTGCTCTGTCGCCCAGGCTGGAGTACAGTGGCGTGATCTTGGCTCACTGCAACCCCCACCTCCCGGGTTCAAGTGATTCTCCTGCCTCAGCCTTCTGAGTAGCTGGGATTACATGTGCGCGCCACCACACCCAGCTGTCTTTTGAGTAGAGACTGGGTTTCACCATGTTGGTCAGGCTGATCTCGAACTCCTGACCTCGTGATCCACCCGCCTTGGCCTCCCAAAGTGCTGGGATTACAGGAGTGAGCCACTGCGCTTGGCCCGGCTAAGTGTTTTTTCAAGTATGATGTTACCATCAGCAGGGATGTGGTTCTGTGACATGTCCTCTAGCCACATACTTAATGCTTTCTTAGTCTTTATCCTTAGTTTATCATAAACCAGAGGGATCATTTTTGCCACCCTACGGTGGCAAAAGCTCTAACACCTTCAAGAACTTCAGCTTCTCTCAGTTTTAGTGTGTGGTTTCTTGGTTTGTTCTTACTTTATGATGAAATTTTCAAGGTGATACACCACTTTTCAAAACATCTTGGGTTTGTATTTTCTTATTGAGAGATACCACTTTTTAACCACTGCTAGCCTTTTAGGGATAGGTTTGACCACTTGATTCCTTCTTAGGAGCCATTTTTTAACATTTTTTATTTTTTTACATATGACATCTCAAGGGTCTCTGAATGAACAAAACAGTCTTCAAAAGCCAGAACAATGGCCAGATGTGCCTCACTTCTGTAATCCCGCCGCTTTGGGAGGCTGAGGCAGGCGGATCACGAGGTCAGCAGTTGGAGACTAGCCTGACCAACATGGTGAAATTGCATCTCTACTAAAAATACAAAAATTAATCGGGCATGGTGGCGCATACCTGTAATCCCAGCTACTCAGGAGGCTGAGGCAGGGGAATCACTTGAGCCTGAGAGGTGGAGGTTGCAGTGAGCTGAGATCATGCCACTGCACTCCAGCCTGGGCAACAGGGCGAGACTCTGTCTCAAAAAAAAAAAAAAAAAGAAAAAGCCAGAACAAAGTTGGTGAACTCACACTTCCTGATTTCAAAACTTATTACAAATCCATACTAATAAAAACTGTTTGGTACTAGCGTAATAACGCAGAAATAGACAATGCAACAAGATAACACAGAAAGTCTAATAAAGTCTAATAATTTACATAAAGTCTAACAATTTCTGAAAAGTCTGCTGTGACTATTCGATGGGGGATAGCTTAGTGTTTCTGTAGAATGATGCTGTTGGGCAATGCACATCCACATGCAACAGGATGACGTTGTACCCATACCTAACATGTACAGAAGTTAAAATGAATGAAATACGTGAGTGTCCATCTTAGCTGTATAACTGTTAGATGAAAATACATGGCAAAAGCTGTATTACAGTGAATTTGGCAGTGATTTCCTAGATTTGGCACCAAAAGCATGACCCACAAGGGAAAAAAATAATTTGGAGTTTGTGGACCTTTGGCATCAAAATGCAATATTAACAGAGTAAATGAGTAACCCATAGAATGGGAGAAACCATTTCCAAATTATATATCTGATAAGGGATTAACATGAGTATTTAGAAAATGATAAAAAGCTACTAATAAATCACTTATTGTGGAATAAATGTTTATGTCCTTATAAAATTTTATTTATTTTTCCACTTCCCTGATGTGGCAGTATTAGGCAATGGTTTTTTTGAGACATGATAAGGATTAGGTTAGATTATGAGAGTGGATCCTCAAAAATGAAAGTGGAATGTGCATGGTCGCTCATGCCTGTTATGGCAGCACTTTGAATGGCCAAGGTGGGAGGATTGCTTGAGGCTTGGATTTTCCTTCTTCCCCTTCCCCTTCCCCTTCCCCTTCCCCTTCCCCTTTCCCTTCCCCTTTCCCTTCCCCTTCCCCTTTCCCTTCCGTTCTCTTCTCTTCTTCCTCCCCTGCCCTCCTCTCCTTTCCCTTCCTTCCTGGAAATGGGGGTCTCAATTTGTTGCCCAGGCTGGAGTACAGTGGTGTGATTATAGCTCATTGCCATCTCCAACTCCTAGGCTCAACAGATCCTCCTGCCTCAGCCTCCCAAGTAGCTGGGACTTCAGGTGTGTGCCACCATGCCCAACCAAGGCCTGGATTTCAAGACGAGTCTGAGCAACATGGTGAGACCTCATCTATGCAAAAAAAAAAAAAAAAAAAAAAGAAAAAAGGAAAATTTAGCTAGGCTTGGTGGTATATGCCTGTAGTCATAGCTACTAGGGATGCTGAGATCACCAGATTACTTGAGCCCAGGAGTTCGAGGCTGCAGTGAGCTAGGTCATGCCACTGCACTCCAGCCTGGGCTGGAGACAGAGCGAGACCCTGTCTCTGAAACAAAGTAAAATATATGTAAAAAAAGAATTGAGGTTAATGGCTGGGCATGGTGGGTCATGCCTGTAATCCCAGCACTTTGGGAGGCCGAGGCGGGTGGATCACGAGGGCAGGAGATCGAGACCATCCTGGCTAACACAGTGAAACCCCATCTCTACTAAAAATACAAAAAATTAGCCGGGCATGGTGGCGAGTGCCTGTAGTCCCAGCTACTGGGGAGGCTGAGGCAGGAGAATTGCGTGAACCTGGGAGACAGTGCTTGCAGTGAGCCGAGATCGCACCACTGCACTCCCGCCTCGGCGACAGAGTGAGACTCTGTCTCCAAAAAAAAAAAAAAAAAATTATATATATATATATGTGTGTGTGTATATGTGTATATATATGTGTATATATATGTGTATATATATGTGTGTGTATATGTGTATATGTGTGTGTGTGTGTGTGTGTATATATATAGAGAGAGAGAGAGACTGGCACTGAGGTGGGGAGGGATTGGGCCTAGGACAAACAGAAACTCCACAAGGCTTTCCTTCCATTTTCACTTTTATTTTTATTTATCTTTATCTTTCTGTTAATTTTATGGGGTGCTGAATATTATAACTTAAGAATCCTTTATCTGTTTTTATAATGCTGTCATTTAATGAGAAGTTTTAAGCATTTTTAGACATTTTTGACTTAGATTTGGTAATGTCATTTTTGTTGACTACTAAAGGTCTGCTTTAGGGATTTATGGAATATTATACATATTCATAAGAGATGACTTTGAGTTATTTCTAAGAACATGTGCAATCCACCGTTTCTTTCCTTCTCTTTTGACATTACCTAATAATAAGTTTAAGATTTTTCCCTTGGGATTGTGAAGTATATTTTATTAGTCTTTTGTCCTACTTTACTGCATTTGATCTAGTGGAAACCAGTTGCCAGCTTCCAAATATTCTCTTACTGTAATCGCACATAGGCTGGGCCAGATCCCCCTAATCACAAGTTGCAACAAAGAATATGAAATGTAATCTACCAGGGGTGTTCATTAGACTCAGTGCTCAGAGTGTTTCCTCATGACTGTCTTTCTCTTGTTTTTTTTGCTTATAACAGAATAAGTGAACCTGGGCAATTGATAAGAAATCATACTTAGTTTTTACAGTTCTGGAGACTGTGAAGTCTCAGGTCAAGGCTGGGAATCTGGTGAGAACCTTCCTGCTGGTGGGGACTCTACAGAGTCCCTAGGTAGCACAGAGTATCACATAGTGAGGGGATTGAGCCTCTAGCTCAGATCTTTTCTTCCTCTCATGACATGACCACAGTGTTACTCCTGAGATAACCCATTTATTCACTCAGCCATTATGGATTAATCTGTTTATGAAGTCCAAACCCTCAGGACCCAATCACCTCTTAAAGCCCCACCTTTTATTACTTTCACATTGGAGATTAACTTTCAACATGTGTTTTGGAGGGGACAGACATTCAAACCTAGCAGTGGCTGATCAGGTGCACTTCCTCTGCTGAGCATGAAATAGAATTCCAGTTCTCAGAGGAATATAGGAACTAAGCAAATGCCTTATTATTTTGCATAAATAGTTTAGGTACACTCAGTCCCTTTTACTAGCCACATTGGTGGGGACCCTCCCTAAATCCAGTGCCTAGACACCATAAAAGGTCCAACATTGTAAACAAGCATTTGTGAGGATATGTAGTCTCAGGACTGCTAATGTTAACTCTTTTGCACAATAAAGAGTAGGACTTTGTCCTGATAAGAACTGCAGATCCACTGTAGAAATAGCCATGAAGGTCCATGTAATAATACTGACTTCACTTACCAACAGGAGACCCGTCCCAATTCAATTGTTGCCTTAGCAAACATTTAATTGTAGCATCAGAATTGCCATGTGGGAGACAGTGAGTGTAGACAGAAAATGAAAGTGGATTTACCATGTCACGCTTAGAAACCACACACCCTAGCCAGGTGCAGTGGCTCACACCTGTAATCCCAGCACTTTTGGAGGCTGAGGCAGGTGGATCACAAGGTCAGGAGATCGAGACCATCCTGGCTAACATGGTGAAATCCCGTCTCTACTAAAAATACAAAAAATTAGCTGGGCGTGGTGGCAGGCCCTGTAGTCCCAGCTACTCGAGAGGCTGAGGCAGGAGAATGGCGTGAACTCGGGAGGCGGAGCTTGCAGTGAGCCAAGATAGCGCCACTCCACTCCAGCCTGGGCGACAGAGTGAGACTCCACCTAAAAAAAAAAGAAGGAAACCACGCACCCTGGAAATTTAAGAGGTAAGTGTAGATTCTCAGTACTGTCAGTCTCTGCTTCCCTCATCTACATATGTGGGATGTTTCAGGACTCAGTTGCCTTTGAGGATGTGGCTGTGAACTTCACCCAGGAAGAGTGGGCTTTGCTGGGTCCTTGCCAGAAGAATCTCTACGAAGATGTGATGCAGGAAACCATCAGGAACCTGGACTGTGTAGGTAAGGATGATGTCGTATCTCCACTTAGTCAATTAGGGACATTTGCTTCTTGATGTGCAATGCTGTTGAAGATTTGGAATATGGAAAGGGGGTCTGGTTGACCATGGAATAACACAGGGTTTAGGGGTGTCAGCCCCCCAAGCAATTGTACATCCTGATATAACTTTTTTCCACCACAGTTTAACCTAATGTTCACTGGCACCCTTATCGGTCACATAAGCAGTTGATTAATACATACACTGTATGTCATATATGTTATATATTTCTCACAATGACATAAGCTAAAGAAAGAAAATGGCAATATGGGCCAGGCACGGTGGCTCATGCCTATAGCATTTGGGAGGCTGAGGCAGGCGGATCACTTGAGGCCAGGAGTTCAAGACCAGCCCAGCGAACATGGCGAAACCCCATCTCTACTAAAAATACAAAAAAATAAGCTGGGCATGGTGGCACGTGCCTGTAATCTCAGCTACTTGGGAGGCTGAGGCACAATAATTCGTTTAACCTGGTAGGCGGAGTTTGCAGTGAGCCCAGATCGCACCACTGTACTCCAGCCTGGGTGACAGAGCGAGACTCTGTCTCAAAAAAAAAAAAAAAGAAAAGAAAAGAAAAGAAAACAAAATGGTGATACGAAGATCATAAGGAAGAGAAACTGTAGTTACTATTCATTAAGTGGAAGTAGATGTTCATAAAGGTTCTCATCCTTATTGTCTTCACATTGAGTAGGCTGAGTAAGAGAGACTGGTCTTGCTATCTCAGGGATAGCAGAAACTGAAGAAATTTTGCATATAAATGGACTTGAGCAATTCAAAACTGTTTACAAGAGTCCACTGTAGTTTGGTGAATGAATCCTGCATGATTGCACTATATATAATATCTTACAGTTTTTCTATAATTTTGTAAAAATTTTTTCTGGGTCTACCCTTTAGGAATGAAATGAGAAGACCAGATCAGGGAAGATCAATACGAAAGTCACAGGATAAATGTAAGGTAATTTGCAATCACAAGAGAAAGATATGCCTCTGGAGTCATTCTTCAAATGATAGGAAATTTTACAAAGAAGCAAAGAAAATGAACAAACCCAGCTTAAATTTATTTATTCTTAGAAAATTTTCTCCAAAAGCATATACTTAATGGTTTCATAGCTATTCAAGTGTTTGCATAATAAGTTCCATGGAAGCAATGTTAAGAATCCCCATATGAATATTATTATTGGGAAAGCACCTGCCATTTAGTTACCTTGCATAGCATTCAGTCCATTCACGTTCAAGCAGGCTTCACATGAAGCCTGTGCTTTGCATGATAATGTTAAAAATGTACATCTAATACCTATTAATACATGTAAAATCATTTATAAACAAACCTTTGGCCAGGCGTGGTGGCTCACACCTGTAATCCCAGCACTTTGGGAGGCTGAGGTGGGCAGATCACGAGGTCAAGAGATTGAGACCAGCCTGGCCAACATGGTGAAACCCTGTTTCTACTAAAAATACAAAAAATAGCTGGGCATGGTGGTGTGTGCCTGTAGTCCCAGCTGCTTGGGAGGCTGAGGCAGGAGAATCGCTTGAACCTGGGAGACAGAGGTTGCAGTGAGCAGAGATGGCATCACTGCACTCCAGCCTGGGCGATAGAGCGAGACTCTGTCTCAAAAAAAAAAAAAGAAAAAGAATCCCCATACGAATATCATCATTGAGAAAGCACTTGGGGTCAAGTTATCTTGCACAACATTCAGTGCATTCACATTTAAGCAGGCGTCACCTGAAGCCTGTGCTTTGCATGATAATGTTAAAAATGTACATCTAGGCTGGGCACAGTGGCTCACACCTGTAATCCCAGCACTCTGGGAGGCCGAGTTGGGCAGATCACCTGAGGTCAGGAGTTCGAGACCAGCCTGACCAACATGGAGAAACTCCGTCTTTACTAAAAATACAAAATTAGCCTGGCGTGGTGGCACATACCTGTAATCCCAGCTACTTGGGAGTCTGAGGCAGGACAATTGCTTGAACCTGGGAGGTGGAGGTTGCGGTGAGCCAAGATCACACCATTGCACTCCAGTCAGGGCAACAAGAGTGAAACTCCATCTCAAAAAAAAAAAAAGTACATCTAATACCTATTAATACATATAAAATCATTTATAAACAAACCTTTAGTAATATACTTCCCATTTTTTACAGATGCGATATGGTAGAGCGCTTCGGTGAAAGTAAAGACAGTAGTCATTGTGGAGAAACATCTAGCCAGATTGGAGATACTGTTGTGAACAAGCACATGCCTCCTGGAGTAGGTCCACGTGAAAACAATGAGTGGAGAAGTCGTCACGGGTCTTTCATCCCTTCATTGCCACATCAGAGTTGATGCTGGGCACAAACCACATGAGTATCAGGAATATGGAGAGAAGCGTAATACACGTAAACAATTTTGGAAAACCTTCAGTTATTGCCACTCGTTTCAAACCCACAAAATTTCTCACACAGGACACAAACCATATGATTGTAAGGAATGTAGGAAGTCCTTCAATTCTTTGGGAAACCTTCAAAGACACATGGCAGTGCAGCATGGAGATGGACCTTATAAATGTAAGTTGTGTGGGAAAGCATTTTTCTGGCCCAGTTTATTTCGTATGCATGAAAGAACTCACTCTGGAGAGAAACTATATGAATGTAAGCAGTGTTCTAAAGCCTTTCATTTTTACAGTTCTTATCTAAGACATGAAAGAACACGTACTGGGGAGAAACTGTATGAATGTAAGCAGTGTTCTAAAGCCTTCCCTGATTACAGTTCTTGTCTAAGACATGAAAAAACTCACACTGGAGAGAAACTCTGTACATGTAAACAATGTGGGAAAGCCTTCAGTGCTTCCACTTCCCTTCAAAGACGTGAAACCACTCACAGTGCAGAGAAACCCCATGAATGTAAGCAATGTGGGAAAGCATTTGATCATCTGGGAAGCTTCCAAAGACACATGATAAGGCACACTAGAGATGGACCTCATAAATGTAAGATATGTGGGAAAGGCTTTGATTGTTCCAGTACACTGCAAAGTCATGAAAGAACTCACACTGGAGAGAAGAAACTCTATGAATGCAAGCAGTGTGGGAAAGCGTTATCTCATAGCTCAAGCTTTCGAAGACACATGACAATGCACACTGGAGATGGACCTCACAAAATGCAAGATATGTGGGAAAGCCTTTGTTTATTTCATTGGATTTCAAAGACATGAAAGGACTCACACTAGGGAGAAAATCTATAAATGTAAATGTGGGAAAGCCTTTAGTGATCTTTATTCCCTTCAAAATCATGAGACAACTCATATGGGAGAGAAGCCATATGAATGTAAATAATGTGGGAAAGCATTTGGTTGTTTCCAGTACCTTTCTCTTCATAAAAAAATCATACAGCAGAAAAACCTTATGAGTGTCAAACATGTAGAAAAGCCTTCAGTCATTTTGGTCACTTAAAGCAACATGAAAGGATTCACACTGGAGAGAAGCCGTATGAATGTAAGGAATGCAGGAAAGCATTCTCTTGGCTCACTTGCCTTCTACAACATGAAAGAATTCACACTCGAGAGAAACCTTATGAAGGTAAACAATGTGGTAAAGCCTTCACTCATTCCCGTTTCCTTCAAGGACATGAAAGAACTCATACCGCAAAGAAGCTATGTGAATGTAAGGAATGTGGAAAAGCATTGAGTTCTCTCAGCTCCTTGCACAGACACAAAAGGACTCATTGGAAAGATACTCTATAAATGTGTGGAATGTGGGAAAGCATTCATTAATTTTATTTTACCTGAGAAAATTAAACAAATCACATTGGAAATAAACTCTATGGCTTGGGCACGGTGGCTCATGCCTGTAATCCCTAACACTTTGGGAGGCCGAGGTGGGCGGATCACGAGGTCAGGAGATCAAGACCATCCTGGCCAACATGGTGAAACCCTGTCTCTACTAAAATACAAAAACTTAGCCAGGCATGGTGGTGCGCACCTGTAGTCCCAGCTACTCTGGAGGCTGAGGCAGGGGAATGGCTCGAACACAGGAGACGGAGATTGCAGTGAGCTGAGATGGCGCCACTGCACTCCAGCCTGGCAACAGAGTGAGACTCCATCTCAAAAAAAATAAAAAAAAAGAAAAAGAAATAAACTCTATGAATGTAAACCATGTGGTGAAGGCTTAAGTGATTTCAGTTTATTTCAAATACAGTTTTCCCCTGACATATGCAGGGGATTAATTCCAGCAGTCCCTGATCATACCTAAATCCACACATGCCAAGTTTCTTTTATAAAATTACATATTTGCATGTTATCTACCCACATCTCCCTGTACACTCTAAGTCATCTCTGGATTAAATACCTCATGCATTGTAAAAACTATGTAAATAGTTGTTTTATTGTATTATTTAGGGAATCATGATAGAAGTCTATACATGTTCTGGACAGACCCAACCATTGCAGGCCTACCTGCATAGTACATGTCACCTATAACATTATAGTTTTTTTTGTTGTTGTTGTTCAACACTGGCAGATTGCTTTTGTTTAATTTTCTTCAAGAGCATGTTAATACCAAAATTCTAATCCTTCTTGCTTGATTACCCAAGTATAATGATTATGATAATGCTGATTGCTGTATGGTGACTAATATTACGTGTAGAGGTGACTAGATGTGTGGCATAATAGATAAGCAGTGAGACATCAGGCTAACTTGAATCTTGACAGGATGTCTGGACAATCATTTGTGTTGGAAGAACCAGGTTCTGATTGCAGATGTTGACACTTGGAGGAGGCTAAATAGTACTAATGTCAGGATCTGTTCAATTTGAGGGCCAAAGATCTGTAAGCATTGAAGGGTCTGTCTTCATATTTGCAGATATTTAGTTAGAAACAGCGTTGTAGAAAGCCGGTTCTTCTTTTCCTTTAAATCATCAAAAAATCCTTGCAGTGTTTGTTGGCATGTTATCCCTCAGGTGAAATGGAGGCTTTCTTCCATGGAAGGATCTGACTTGAGGATGGTAATCTTTAATACTTGCACCTTGCAGAGGCTGTAGATGCCCCAAAAACTGCTGCAAATTTTTCAAGTGTCCACATCTCTGGACAACCTCTTCTACGTGTTCGGCATCATCATCGTCCTTATCTGGAGAGGATTTCAGCATATCTTCGAGTTCCTTGTTAGTAAGGATTTCTGTATGCTCTTCTATGCTTTCCTCAACATTGTCTTCAGTCCAGTCAGAGATAATCTTCCCCACCAACTTGCCTTGTAACATTTGGGATATTCCTGCCTACCGTATCAATACCCGAGAAGACCCTGAAATCGTTGACTCCCACACTCCATAATGGCTTCCAGCATGCTTTGGCTGTCTTGACCTTTAGGACATCTACACCCTCTGTCATATGCACAATGGCATCTGCAGTTGTGAAGCTCTTTCCATAAATCCACTATGGTACAGTCATGGGTAGCATCAGGACAACATGAGTTTGGGCCAGGAGCAGTGGCTTACCCCTGTAATCCCAGTGCTTTGGGAGGCCAAGGCAAGAGAATCTCTTGAGCCCAGGAGTTTGAGACCAGCCTGAGCAACATAGATTCCATCTCTAAAAAAATTAAAAGACAACATGAATCCGCCTACAGGTGAGAAAGGTGAAAGTCACCTTAATCTTCCTGATGCCTTGATTAAGTGGTTGTAGCAGTGATGTAGTTTTAGGAGGCAGGAACATCACCTCCACATTTTTTATCAGCATAAAGAGATGGCCAGGAGCATTGTCAATTATGAGGAGGCTCTTGAGTGGCATTCCCTTTTCTTCAAGGTAGTTTTTCACTTCAGGAATGAAGCATTGGTAGATTCAAGTCTTCTTGTGTTCTTGCTGGCACACAGGCAACAAAGTTTTGCTTTTGTTTTAGAGAATCTAGTGATTGTTTGCTCAGTAGATAAGGCTGGCTTATTCTTGTGACCCGATGCATTGCCACATAGCACCAGAGTAAGGTGATCTTTCCTGGTCTTGAACCCCAGGGATTGCTTGACACTGTTTGTTTGTTTGTTTTTTGAGATGGAGTCTTGCTCTGTCACCCAAGCTGGAGTGCAATGGCACAATCTCGGCTCACTGCAACTTCCGCCTCAGCCTCCCGAGTAGCTGGGATTACAGGCGCCTGCCACCACGTCTGGCTAATTTTTGTATTTTTGTAGAGATGGGGTTTCACCATGTTGGCCAGGCTGGTCTTGAACTCCTGACCTCAGGTATCTACCCGACTTGGCCTCCCAAAGTGCTGAGATTACAGGCGTGAGCCACCGCGCCCTGGTTCACACTCTTTTGGATGAAGGGACTATTGGGCATCATCTTTCAGAACATGCCCAATTCATTATGATGGAGGACTTGCTCTGGAAGGTAGTCTGTTTTTTATGAGTTTCATTAACTCTTTTGGGATTTTTTTTTTTTTTTTTTTGAGACGGAGTGTCGCTCTGTCACCCAGGCTGCATTGCAGTGGCGCGATCTCGGCTCACTGCAACCTCCGCCTCCCAGGTTCACGCCATTCTCCTGCCTCAGCCTCCTGAGTAGCTGGGACTACAGGCGCCCGCCACCATGCCCGGCTAATTTTTTTTTGTATTTTTAGTAGAGACGGGGTTTCACCATGTTAGGCAGGATGGTCTCGATCTCCTGACCTCGTGATCTGCCCGCCTCGGCCTCCCAAAGTGCTGGAATTACCAGCATGAGCCACGGGGCACCGCGCCTTGGGTTTTTTTTTTTTAAAGAGACATGATCTCGCTCTGTTGCCCAGGCTGGAGTGTAGTGGCATGATCATAGCTCACTGCAGCCTCAACTCTTCAGGTCAAGCAGTCCTCCTACCTCAATCTCCTGAGTAGCTAGGACTACAGGTGCATATCACCACACCCAGCTAATTTTAAATTTTTTTGTAGAGATGGAGTCTTGCTGTTACCCAGGCTGGTGTTGAACTCCTGGGCTCAAGAGATCCTCCCACCTTGTCACCACCCAGTGGCAATTCTCCTGTGGTCCTTAAGTTCTCGTGTCTGTAGTGCTTTACCTAGCTGACCCAGCTAGATTTCATGGGCCTGAAACTCCTTCCTCTCGCTCTTCTCAACTGTCTCACTGTGGTGCTTACAGAGGCTAATTTTTTTCATGTATCATTTTACTATCAATAGAGATGTGGTTCTGTGACATGTCCTCTAGCCACACTCTTAATGCTTTCTCATTCCTTATATTCAGTTTATCATGATCCAGAAGGATCATTTTCACCATTATAGGAGCAGCTCTAACACTTCCAGGAACTTCATTTTCTTTCTGTTTTTCTGTTTTTGTGTGCGAATGCTTAGTTTGTTCTTACTGAGCCTACTTTCCAAAGTTAAATGCCCCTTTTCTAAGAATCTAAGATTCTTACTTCTCATTGAATAATAGCACTTTTTACTCTCTGCTGTCCTTTTAGTTATAGTTTTGACCTCTTGATTTATTTCTAGGAACCATTTTTCCCCATTTTTTCATTTTTTACATTTGGCATCTCAAGGGCCTCTGAATAGACAAAACAGTCTTGAAAAACAAGAACTAGGTTAGTAGGCTCTAACTTCTGGATTTCAAAACTTAACTGCAAATCTATGCTAATAAAAAGTTTGGGCCAGGCACGGTGGCTCATGCCTGTAATCCCAGCACTTTGGGAGGCTGAGGTGGGCGGATCGCCTGAGGTCAGGAGTTTGAGACCAGCCTGACCAACATGGTGAAACCCCATCCCTACTAAAAATTCAAAAATTAGCCGGGCGTCGTGGCAGGTGTCTGTAATCCCAGCTACTCGAGAGGCTGAGGCAGGAGAATTGCTTTAACCTGGGAGGCAGAGGTTGCAGTGAGCTGAGATCACACCATTGCACTCCAGCCTGGGCGACAAGAGCAAGACTTCGTCTCAAAAAAAAAAAAAGAAAAAGAAATAAGTGATATAACATGGAAATTTCCAAGTTGGATGAATGCAGGAAATCTTGGGGCCATGATCTTATGGAATGGATGTAGAGTCAATGTTTAACTAAGGAAGGACAGTAAATTCTGATTTCACATAATATGTCTTCGCGATGTAGGGGATGATCTATTTTTTGTTATACTTGTTGTGAGATTTTGTAGTGATTAATCGAATGTTTATCATGTAAATGATAATATCACAATTGGGCAGTTTTCCAGTGATTTATGGATAAATTCCAGTGATGTAAAAAACATATTTATCCACCAGACGCGGTGGCTCACGCCTGTAATCCCAGCACTTTTGGAGGCCGAGGCGGGTGGATCATCAGAGGTCAGGAGTTCGGGACCAGCCTGACCAACATGGTAATACCCCGTCTCTACTAAAAATACAAAAATTAGCTGGGCTTGATGGCGCATGCCTGTAATCCCAGCTACTTGGGAGGCTGAGGCAGGAGAATTGCTTGAACCCAGGAGGCAGAGGTTGCGGTGAGCTGAGATCGCATCATTGCACTCCAGCCTGGGAAAGAAGAGCAAAACTCCATCTCAAAAAAAAACAAAAACAAAAACATATTTATCCTGTATAGCTCTATTATATGTTTGCCTTTCTGGGGTGTTTCGTTTCATGTGTAACAACTCTTAGGGTTGCACATCCAACAGTACTTTCTTATAATTATTGCTTTCCCCTTGGTAGTCATTTAGTTAACTCAGGTTTTTACAGTGTTATTTGTGAATATAAAACATACATTACATTTTTATGTGTTCTAGGCCCAAGAATTCACCAACTAGTTATTATTTTACACAGTTGCTTTGTAAATCCATGAGGAGAAGAAAGGTGAGGAAATATACATTTAGTCTGGATATTATATTCATATAATGATCTTTAATGGTGCTCTCTCTCTTTTCTTGCGGATTTTGCCATCCTTTGGTTTCAGACATAAGGACTTTCTTTCATCTTTCTTGTAGGTCTGGTGTGGTAGGAACAAATCGTCTCAATATGTATGTTTTTATTCTTGAAAAAGACTTTGTTTTGTCTTTCATTTTAAACATGAGCTTTCCTTGATGTAGGATTCTTGGTTAAGGTATGTTTCAGAGCACAGCATGATGAGAAACTGTTGTGTGACAGGCTTCCCACTGAAAAGGAGGATCATAAGCTAACAAAAGGAAACATAGCCAGGCACAGTGGCTCATGCCTGTAATCCCAGCACCTTGGAAGGCCAAAGCAGGATGATGACTTGAGCCCAGGAATTCAAGACCAGCCTGGGCAACATAGTGACACCCCATCTCTAGAAAAAATTTTAAAATTAACTAGGCATGGTGTTTTTAACCTGTAATCCCAACTACCCAGGTAGCTGAGGCGGGAGGATTACTTGAGCCCAGGAGGTCAAGGCTATAGAGTCATGATTGCAACACTTTACTCCAACCTGGGCAACAGAGTGAGACCATGTCTCAAAAAAAAAAATAAATAAATAAAATAGTTCTATTTCATTCCTCTCACTATTACAGTAGTCTATAAAACTTATTGTCAAAAATCAATAAACAATATAAAAACTAGGATGGAAAAAAAATTATTGTGTTTAGAGATGATAGCCATATTTGGTTGGGAAACTAAAGACAAAACATTTAAAAGTATTAGAAAACCATTAAAACTTGGGAAGGAGTGAATTTCCTACTTATGGAGTAAATGTATACTGCATTTACAATAACATGTACTGTATGCTATTGAATTAAAATCACATTTCTTGCAAAAATATATAAATTTCTGAGGAATAGGGCTAATTTCTTTTTTTTTTTTTGAAGGTTTTTAAAAAATGTTTATTTTATATACAAAGAACTATCCTGGTTTTTCATTGGGTAGGTGCTTTGGATAACCCTTTGAAGGAAGGTCATTTAGTCCAACTTAATGAAACCTACATCCTTCGCATACTTACAGAAACACTGGCGGCACATATTGAGACCATATTTCCGGATCAGACCATGCTGGTTTGAACAGATGCGACAAGAGTGAGAACCGGTGTCTCCAGTACAGCTGGTGACCCATCTTGCGCTCAGGTAAAAGCCTTTCTTTCTTTTATTTTTAAAGACAGAGTCTTACTTTGTCACCCAGGCTGGAGTGTAATTGGGGGATCACAGCTCACTGCAACCTCTGCCTCCCGGGCTCAAGCGATCCTCCCACCTCAGCCTCCCAAGTAGCTGGGACTATAGGTGTGCGCCACCATGCCTGGCTAATTTTTTTTTGTTTTTGGTAAAGGCGGGGTTTTGCCATGTTGCCCAGGCTGGTCTCCAACTCCTTAACTCAAGCAATCCACCCACTGTGGCCTCCCAAAGTACTGGGATTACAGGCGTGAGCCACTCACTGCGTCCAGCCTAGGGCTAATTTCATGTGCAGCATCTGTCTATGTTTCCTGATGAAATGATGTAAGTGTCAATTGACGTAAGTGTCACCTCCATGGATATACATATTAATACAACTTTGGTAGATTGACGATTCCTTATCATAACTCACACTGGCTAGATATGCTATAAATGTAATTTAGAAAACTCAGATCCGGCTGGGTGCGGTGGCTGACACCTGTAATCCCAGCACTTTGGGAGGCCAAGGCGGGCAGATCACGATGTCAGGAGATCAAGACCATCCTGGCCAACATGGTGAAACCCTGTCTCTACTAAAAATACAAAAATTAGCTGGGCATGGTGGCATGTGCCTATAGTCCCATCTACTCAGGAGGCTGAGGCAGAAGAATTGCTTGAACCCCAGAGGCAGAGGTAGCAGTGAGTTGAGATCGTGCCACTGCACTCTATCCTGGGCGACAGAGTGAGACTCCATCTCCAAAAAAAGAAAACTCACATCCAAATTCACTCGTGCAAAATGTGCCAGAAAATTTGGAACATCAAAGAATTGTCATAAAAGGTGTAACTCTATTGTCTTTATCAGTGCCTCCTGCTTAAAGTGGATCTGGACTATGGATTCCTACATCTTACTTTCAGAAAAAAACACATCAAGGTGAGAGAATTCTGTAAATAAGTTCTCTTGACACATAAATTCATGAGTTGAATAGGTAGTGTTTTTTGATGAAATCAGTTAATAAAAATTTGTCTTTTATATTCCTCTAGATGATTGCATTGATTGAAGTGTATTTCTTTTTTCTCTTTTTTTTTTTGGAGATGGAGTCTTGCTCTTGTCACCTAGGCTGGAGTGCAGTGGTGCTATCTGGGCTCACTGCAACCTCCACCTCCTAGGTTCAAGCGATTCTCCTGCCTCAGCCTCCCAAGTAGCTGGGATTACAGGCGCCCGCCACCATGTCTGGATAATTTTTTTGTATTTTTAGTAGAGATGGGGTTTCACCATGTTGGCCAGGCTGGTCTCAAACTCCTGACCTCAGGTAATCCGCCCACCTTGGCCTCCCAAAGTGCTGGGATTACAGGTGTGAGCCTCCACCCCCGGCCTCTGCATGTATGTCTTCTTTGGAAAAATGTCTATTCATGTCCTTTGACTATTTTTTAATGGTGGTGTTTGTTTTTCTCTTGTAAATTTCTTTGTTTCTTATAGGTGGTAGATATTAGACCTTTGTCAGATGTATAGTTTGAAGATGTTTTTCCTATTTTGTAGGTTGTCTGTTTACTCTGTTGATAGTTCCTTTTGCTGTACAGAAGCTCTTAAATTTAATTAGATCCCACTTGTCAATGTTTTCTTTTGTTGCAATTGCTTTTGTTGTCTTTGCCATGAAATGTTTGCCTGTTCCTGTGTACAGGATGGTATTGCCTAGGTTTTCTTCCAGGGTGTTTATAGTTTGAGGTTTTACATTTAAGTCTTTATCCATCCTGAGTTGATTTTTGTATATGGTGTAAGGAAGGGGTCCAGCTTCAGTCTTCTGCCTATGGCTAGCCAGTTAAACCATAACCATTTATTGAATAGGAAGTCTTTTCCCCATTGCTTGATTTTGTCAGCTTTGTCCAAGATCAGGTGGTCATAGGTGTGTGGCCTTATTTCTGGACTCCATTCTATTCTGAATTTTTTCCTCATGGTTATATGAGTGTTTATTTTTGTCTGGAAGCTTTTGTAAGAATTTAAATCAACACAGTAATGAACTAGTTAATTGCTGCAATTTGTAAAAATATGCAAAATCTGAACATAAACCCCTGACACCACCTTTGACCCACTGCACCCTGTTTTCACAACTGTCTAGGAAAAAGTAAGTATATAATATTACTCCAAAGGCAGTTAATGTGAAAGGTTGATGAAGCATCTTACAGAAAGATGGTTGATTCTTCAGAGAGAGAACAGTCTTGTGATAATAGATTGTGAGTGTGTGTGTGCATGTGTGTGTAATTTTTAAAGGCATGAATATCATTCATTAGTTATAATCAGACATCTTTTTTTTCTTGTTTTTCAAACTTGCCAATTTGTCTTGTCAGGAAACACTACAATTATCACAAGTTGATTCAGGATTTTGTTTCATTGAATTACACTTGATGTTTGGCTTCTTTCTTTTTAGCCATGGGTTCCAGCTTCCAATTCATGATGCTTTTATATCTGGTACTTTTGTTACTGGGCCAGTCCTGGAAAAATAGCTGAGAAAGCAAAACAGCTGAAATGGCTAATTATTTTCTTTTTCTTTTCTTTCTTTTCTTTCTTTTTTTTTTTTTTTGAGATGGGGTCTCACTCTGTTGCCCAGGCTGGAGTGCAATGGTGCGGTCTTGGCTCACTGCAACCTCCGCCTTCCGGGTTGAAGCGACTCTCCTGCCTCAGCCTCCCGAGTAGCTGGGATTACAGGCGCCCACCACCACACCCAGATAATTTTTGTATTTTTAGTAGAGACGGGGTCTCACCGTGTTGGCCAGGCTGATCTTGAACTCCTGACCTCGTGATTCACCTGCCTCGGCCTGCCAAGGTGCTGGGATTACAGGCGTGAGCCACCATGCCCAGCCGCTAATTATTTTCTGAAAAAGTGGATAACATTTTTTTTTCCTAGTCTGTTTATCTTTAGGTATGCTAGCTTACTAGGACTCCAGATGGCCTGGGAGCTTCAGGACCCTTTGCCAATTATCAGAATAAGATAAGGCCTGCTCAAAACCAGAGTAAACCAGAACCAGTGACCCCTTGTTGCCTTTAGATCAGGGATCCCCAATCCCTGGGCCATGGATCGGTACCAGACTGTGGCCTGTTAGGAGCTAGGCCACACAGCAGAAGGTGAGCAGCGGGCGAGTAAGCAAAGCTTTACCTGTATTTACAGCCACTTCCCATCACTCACATTACTACCTGAGCTCTGCCTTCTGTCATATCAGAGGCAGCATTAGATTCTCATAGGAGCACGAACCCTATTGTGAGCTGCGCACACAAGGGATCCAGGTTGCATGCACCTTATGAGATTCTGGAAGATCTGTCACTGTCTCCCACCACCCCCAGAAGGGACCATCTAGTTGCAGGAAAACAAGCTCAGGGCTCCCACTGATTCTATAGTATGGCGAGCTGTACAATTACATCATTATATATTACAATGTAATAATATTTAAGTGCACAATCAATGTAATGTACTTGAATCACCCCAAAACCATCCCCACTCCAGTACATGGAAAAATTATCTTCTAAGAAACTAGTCCCTGTGCCAAAAAGGTTAGGAACTGCTGGTTTAGATCACTGATACCTTATTGTAAGATGAAAATCCCCACCCACAGAAGAAAGTCACGGCAGCTTTCTCGTCGTGTTTTTTTTTTTTTAGATGGAGTCTAGCTTTGTCGCCAGGCTGGAGTGCAGTGACACGATCTCAGCTCACTGCAACTTCTGCCTCCTGGGTTCAAGTGATTCTCCTGCCTCAGCCTCCTGAGTAGCTGGGATTACAGGCATGCACCACCACGCCCAGCTAATTTTTATTTTATTTTATTGTTTTAGTAGAGACGGGGTTTCACTATGTTACCCAGGATGGTCTCGATCTCCTGACCTCGTGATCCGCCTGCCTCAGCCTCCCAAAGTGCTAGGATTACAGGTGTAAGCCACTGCGCCCGGCCCATTGTTTTGTTTTGAGATGGAGTTTCGCTCTTGTTGCCCAGGCTGGAGTGCTCACTGCAACCCCTGCCTCCTGGGTTCAAGCGATTCTCTTGCCTCAGCCTCCCAAGTAGCTGGGATTATAGGCGTGCACCACCATGCCTGGCTAATTTCGTATTTTTAGTAGAGATGGGGTTTCTCCATGTCGGTCAGGCTGGTTTCAAACTCCCGACCTCAGGTGATCCACCCGCCTCGGCCTCCCAAAGTGCTGGGATTACAGGCGTGAGCCACTGCACCCGGCTGGCCTTTTGAACATGTGTGGTATAAAGAGACATGTTTATGATTTGTGAACATCTGAAGTTCCTTTCTACCCATATTACAAACTTCCCCTTCCCATATCTAGCTGCTTAAAATTACCCAGCTTCCCACAGCTCTAGGAGGAGGAAGTATCTTCGGAGCAAGAGCTGACTCTGACCCCTTCTCCTTCTCTGGCCAGAAAATAAATCCTGCTTGCCTTTTTTTTTTGTTCCATTAGGTATTCTTTCTTTGTGACTCATACAAACTAGAGAAAGAACTCAGTTTACCAGTGACACTTGTATTTCATACAAATATGGGAAATCTTTATATTTTCAAATTCTAATGCCTTGGCTTTTGATTGGAGCATTTAATTCATTAATATTTAAAGTCTTGAAGGAGAGAGCATTTTCACACTGCGCAGAGGACACAGGAGGGCAAGTTGAGCTCCCTCATCCCTAAATCCTTCAGTGCCTCTGCCCCATCACCAGGTGCTGATCCCACTTGTAACTGGCAAAAGGGTCTGGCTGCTCACCGCGTGTGGAAAGAAGTCAAAATAATAATGAGTTGTGATAAGAGGGAACGAGATTTCTTTATTATCTGTCCTAGCAGGGGAAGAGCAGAAAGCAATTCCACTGTTCAATTTGTGGAGAGAACCCAGGGGTTTTTAAAGAAAGGGTTTGGAATGCAGAAGAGGCAAGCGGGGCTAGAGGTACCAGGTGGCGTGACTTGCTCTGGTTGCCCCTCTTGAATTATTGTCCCATTTGGTGAAGGGACTTCTCCGTCGTGGATCCTGCCAGGTTATACATTAGTTGCAGTCAATCTTGTAGTCTGTTGCGGGAACTAAGGGACCCCGAATGGAGGGACCGGCTGAAGCCACGGCAGAAGAACATAAATTGTGACGATTTCATGGACATTTATCAGTTTCCAAAATTAATACTTTTATAATTTCTTACGCCTGTCTTTACTGCAGTCTCTGAACATAAATTGTGAAGATTTCATGGACATTTATTAGTTCCCAAAATTAATACTTTTATAATTTCTTATGCCTGTCTTACTTTAATCTCTTAATCCTGTTATCTTCGTAAGCTAAGGATGTATGTCACCTCAGGACCCCGTGATGATTGCATTAACTGTACAAATTGTTTGTAAAACATTTGTATTTGAATGATATGAAATCAGTGCACCCTGAAAAAGAATAGAATAACAGCGATTTTCTGGGAACAAGGAAAGATAACCATAAGGTCTGACTGCCTGTGGGGTTGGGCAGAATAAAGCCATATTTTTCTTCTTGCAGAGAGCCTATAGACGGACATGTGAGTAGGAGAAATATCACTGAATTCTTTTCCCAGCAAGGAATATTAATAATTGAGACCCTTCCAGGTGTGGTGGCTCATGCCTGTAATCCCAGCACTTTGAGAGGCCGAGGCGGGTGGATCACAATATCAGGAGATCGAGACCATCCTGGCTAACACGGTGAAACCCCTTCTCTACTAAAAATACAAAAAATTAGCCGGGCATGGTGGCACGCGCCTGTAGTCCCAGCTACTTGGGAGGCTTAGGCAGGAGAACAGTGTGAACCCAGGAGGCAGAAGTTGCAGTGAGCCGAGATTGTGCCACTGCACTCCAGCCTGGGGGACAGAGCGTGAGACTCTGTCTCAAAAAAATATATATAATAATAATAATTGAGACCCTGGGGAAGGAATGCATTCCTGGGGGTAGGTCTATAGATGGCTGCTCTGCGAGTATCTGTCTTAATGCAGTTGAGATAAGGACTGAAATACGCCCTGGTCTCCTGCAGTGCCCTCAGGCTTACTAGGATTGGGAAGTTCCAGCCTGGTAAATTCTAGTCAGACTGGTTGTCTGCTCTCGAACCCTGTTTCCTGTTAAGATGTTTATCAAGACAGTGCATGCACAGCAGGACACAGACCCTCATCAGTAATTCTAATTTTGCCTTTGCCTTGTGATCTTTTATTGCCCTTTGAGGCATGTGATCTTTGTGACTTACTCCCTGTTCGTACACCCCCTCCCCTATTAGAATCCCTAATAAAAACTTGCTGGTTTTGCAGCCCAGGTGGGCATCATGGAACCTGCCGATATGTGATGTCACCCCTGGAGGCCCAGCTGTAAAATTCTTCTCTTTGTACTCTTTCTCTTAATTTCTCAGATGGGCCGACACTTAGGGAAAATAGAACCTACGTTGAAATATTGGGGGCTGGTTTCCCCGATAGTAGTCACTCTTCAGCTGGGTGTGGGTTCTGTCTTTGAAGTAATCTTTTGTTGGAAAGAGAATTCCAGAGGTGCCTGGTACCTAACAAGATCCAACCCCTGAAGCTTCTAAGGAAATATATGACCAAATAAGAGAGCATGGTGTGTGCTTAATAAGTATTTAGGTAAATAAATGTGCACAGGCCAGGCGTGGTGGCTCACGCCTGTAATCCTAACACTTTGGGAGGCCGAGGCCGGCGGATTGCCTGAGCTCAGGAGTTCACGACCAGCCTGGGCAACATGGTGAAACCCTGTCTCTACTAAAATACAAAAAAATTAGCTGGGCATGGCAGCGTGCACCTGTAGTCCAGTGTGCTACTCGGGAGGCTGAGGCAGGAGAATTGCTTCAACTTGGGAGGCGGAGGTTGCAGTGAGCCAAGATTGAGCCACTACAGTCTGTCCTGGGTGACAGAGTGAGACTCCGTCTCCAAAAAAATAAAATAAAAATAAATGTGCATAAGGCATGGCAGTGTAGTATGGGAAAGGAAAGGGAGTGGAAGTTCACAGCACATTCTGAGGCTGTATTTTAAGATGAGAGGTAACATCTATGCAGTTTATCTCGAAGTTATTATCTTGAGATCAGGAGGGGAAAGAGGAAAAGGGAAAGAAGAAGAAAAAAAAGGTTTAAAACGTGGTTTGAGACTCAGCTGCTAAGCTGCTGGTTACACACTCTGGGACTCAACTTCAGGAGTCAGAATCTGCCTTCTAAGCTTGAAAATATGTTTAACCTCCTGAAAGGGGGTTTCCTGCTGAACTGTGGCTGAAATTTCTCTGAACTAATTCAGGTTTTTTCTTTTCCCTTCTTTTGATTCCTTTATAGAAGATTACTGCCATATAATTCCAGATTTTCCATGCATTTAACAATTTTATTTCATTGTTGATGTGTTTTTATTTTCTGGTCTGAGAATGAGTAGATTGGGAGATAAGGTGGGAGAAAGGCTTGACCATGGAGCCAGCAGTCTCATCCTAAATTCCTGATCCCTGGAGGACACCAGGCCTTCCCTCCTGCTTCAGTGTGGTTTGTGTGGCCTGGGCCTCCCCTACCGCTCTGAGGCCAGGGGATGGCTCCACTGGGCAGTGAGTCTCGAATTCCCAGCACACACTTGTGGGTCCCCGTCCAGGAAGAAGGAGCAGGAAGAGCCCATTGAGTACAGGCAGGAAATTCCGCTTAAATGCAAATGTCCCCTGGGAGGGGTCAGGTCACAGCGAAGGGAGGAAGCCCACCCTATCAAGGGCTGTGTCTGGAACCGCTTCATCTCGCTCCACTCAGCCGTGTAAGATCCTTCTTCTGTCAATCAGTTCCCTGGGGGGGCGGAATTTGGAGCTCTACCCAATCAGTGTTGGGGGCGAGTTCTTGGGAACTGCCAGTCAGGCGCGCTGCCGGGAGGAGGGTGGAGCTTTCTACACCCCTCTGAGCTCCCGCTCCTGGCTCTGTAGCTGAGAGAAGCCCTGGCAGGTCAGTGGCAGGCACTGTCACGCTGAGTCCTATGCTGGCAGCGGGGAACCTTGGGGAGAACACGGGACACCGCGGAAGCCGGGAAATGGTGAGTGTGCGGGGCCCGGCGTCCTGGGGCAGGGCGAAGGACTGGTTGGAACCGGCCAGAACCGGCTGTGGCGGGACCCGGGCGTCCCCGCGGCGACTGCGGGGTCTGTGGACCCGAGTTCCCCTGGCCCAGCCGGCCTTCAGTCCCCTCGGCCGCGGGGTGGGAGCTGGGGGCTGGGCCGGCAGCCGGGACCCCGGGCGTCCTGTCCCGTTTCTGCGCAGCAACTGCGGCCCCGGCTCCCGCGCCCTCTCTGGGGCAGCTCCATGCCCACAGCTCCGCGTCTTCCCAGATTGTGCGGCTGTAACCGGCACAGGTTCGCGGTCCGAGTCACTGCACCGAGACTCCAAGGCCTGCAGCAGAAACAGTTTAATAGGGGGAGAGGAGAGAAGACCCCAGTTCCGCCTCCATGAGAGGTTTGGGGATGGGGGTGTTTAGGGGTCTGGACAGGGGCGGCTGAAGTGTGGGGTCGCTGGTTGGTGGGGAAGTGACAGGCGAATCCTGGGACGGGAGGTGAAGAAACCGCATTCTCCTGCTGAGTGGGTTCCCTCGTGGGGTTTTCACCCTGCTTGGCGCCAGCCTTTCCGTTGGAATTCAAGATCTGAGAAAGAACTTGGGCAACTCGAGCAGCTCTCCGAGATCTTATCCCCAGGCACAATGCAGAAGCCGGCGGTCAGTGTCTTCTGTGACCTGACTCTCAGGAAGGCGGCCCCCGCGAGGCAGTGGGGCTCAGGGTACCTGGTTAATATCTAACTGCAATCAGAATCCAGATTCTTGCGTGGGGTTTGTGCACGGGAGGAGCTGTGGTCTGCGGGGTCCCCAGTCCCTTCTTTTCTTCCCAGGGTGACTGATTCCTCTTCGAGTTTTTCAGAGATGGGGGTAGCAGGGTCTCAAATCCACTACCCTGTTCCCTCATTCTAACTCCTCCTAGGGGTGGTAGTAACTCCCTTGGTTTCCAGAGCCTTACGCAGGCTAACTTTCCCTCCTCAGTTCACAGCAACATCATGAACTCCTCCCTCCTCCGCCCCACCCGTGCTAAATTTCAGAGTCCCAGTATTTTAATTTTCATTTTGTTTTCAGAGAGCAATGGATGGCTTCTTTTTTTCTTTCTTTCTTTTTTTTTTTTTTGAGATGGAGTTGTGCTCTTGTTGCCCAGGCTGGAGTGCAATGGTGCGATGTCGGCTCACCGCAACCTCCGCCTCCCGGGTTCAAGAAATTCTCCTGTCTCACCCTCCCGAGTAGCTGGAATTACAGGCACCCACCACCACACCCGGCTAATTTTTTGTATTTTTAGTAGCGACGGGGTTTCACCATGTTGGCCAAGCTCATCTCGAACTCATGACCTCAGGTGATCCGCCCGCCTCGGCCTCCCAAAGTGCTGGGATTACAGGCGTGACCACCGCGCCCGGCCGGCTTCTTAAAAGATTTGTGTTCCTGAACATTTCACATGTGAGGAAGCAGAGAATAACCTGACACTGCACTGTAAAAAACAAAAAAACAAACAAAAAAACCTTTGTGTCTCTCCTTTTCTTTCCCCTGGGTACGGATACCTAATCAACATTGAAAGTCCCCTTTAGAAACTTTATGGGGTGATGTGTTCTCAGCCCACTCTCTGCCTTTTCCTGGTTCTGTTTCAGAACTGCCTGGGGTTGACCCAAGATACACACAGCTGCCCTGTCTCTGGGAGGGTCCAGTGAATATCAGTCCCTGGGTCATTTCTCCCAGTGAGCAGCCTGAGGTGTTGGGGTGGGGCCTCACAGAGAACAGCTGGATGCCCTGGGTGGGATGGGAGGAATATTCTGGTATACCATTTCTATAAAAAGCTAACCCTTGGGACAATCACCTTGTTCTTCCCCAACCCCAGTTTCCATTCCTTGGGGACACACGGCTGGTCAGCCAGTTGAATGATTGTATTTGGGGGAGAAGACAGAAGTGATCTCTTCCTTCCTGACTCTCAGACTAATGAAGAGAGAAAACAATATGTAAGCACTGGAGAACCCACTCATTCCAGTTGTGCAAGAACCTCCCATTCAGGTCAGGTGTGCATGAGCCTGAAAAGCACACAGTGAAGTATCTCCTGGGGTGGTGGTGGGTGGTCACTGAGCACTTTACTGAGCAGATGGGGGTGACTAATGTCCCAGGAGATGGGATGACCTGACACCTGAGTTAGACTTGTTTGTGTTCGAGTCAGTGCTGCCCATCCCTGAGGTTGTCACATTGAAAAGAGATACTCACTCTTTTCAGCTTCAACGTTTTATTAACTATAAGATTAGAGATTGATAGAGAAAGTATTTCCATAGAGGCCAGAAATAGTTAGATTTCAGAAAACAGGTCACATATGTAGCCATCTATTCCTTTTTTTTTTTTTTTTTTTTTTGAGACGGAGCTTCGCACTGTTGCCCAGGCTGGAATGCAGTTGTGCGATCTCAGCTTACTGCAACCTCTGCCTTCTGGGTTCAAACGATCCTCCCATCTCAGCCTCCCGAGTAGCTGGGATTACAGGCCTGCACCACCACACCTGGCTAATTTTTTTTTTGTTTTGTTTTTTGTATTTTTAGTAGAGACGGGGTTTCACTATGTTGGCCAGGCTGGTCTTGAACTCCTGACCTCAAGTGATCTGCCTCCTCAGCCTCCAATTTTTTTTTTTTTTCCCAAGGCAGAAGAATTTTTCTTAGTACAGAACAAAATGGAGTCTCCCGTGTCTACTTCTTTCTACACAGACACAACAACAATCTGATTTCTCTTTCCTTTCCCCACACTTCCCCCACTTCCACTCGACAAAACCGCCATCGTCATCATGGCCCACTCTCAATGAGCTGCTGGGTACACCTCCCAGACGGGGTGGCGGCCGGGCAGAGGGGCCCCCCACCTCCCAGACGGGGCGGCCGGGCAGAGGCGCCCCCCACCTCCCGGAGGGGGCGGCTGCCAGGCGGGGGCTGCCCCCCACCTCCCTCCCGGACGGGGTGGCTGGCCGGGCGGGAGCTGTCCCCCACCTCCTGGAGGGGGCGGCTGCCGGGCGGAGACATTCCTCACTTCCCAGACGGGGCGGCTGCTGGGCGGAGGGGCTCCTCACTTCACAGACGGGGCGGCCGGGCAGAGACGCTCCTTACCTCCCAGACGGGGTGGCGGTCGGGCAGAGACACTCCTCAGTTCCCAGACGGGGTCGCCGCTGGGCAGAGGCGCTCCTCACATCCCAGATGGGGCGGCGGGGCAGAGGCGCTCCCCACATCTCAGACGATGGGCAGCTGGGCAGAGATGCTCCTCACTTCCTAGACGGGATGACGGCCAGGAAGAGGTGCTCCTCACTTCCCAGACTGGGCGGCCAGGCAGAGGGGCTCCTCACATCCCAGATGATGGGCAGCCAGGCAGAGATGCTCCTCGCTTCCCAGATGGGGTGGCAGCCAGGCAGAGGCTGCAATCTCGGCACTTTGGGAGGCCAAGGCAGGCGGCTGGGAGGTGGAGGTTGTAGCGAGCCGAGATCACGCCATTGCACTCCAGCCTGGGCAACATTGAGCACTGAGTGAACGAGACTCCGTCTGCAATCCCTGCACCTCGGGAGGCCGAGGCTGGCAGATCACTCGCGGTTAGGAGCTGGAGACCAGCCCGGCCAACACGGTGAAACCCCGTCTCCACCAAAAAAATATGAAAACCAGTCAGGCGTGGTGGCGTGCTCCTGCAATCCCAGGCTCTCCGCAGGCTGAAGCAGGAGAATCCAGCAGGGAGGTTGCAGTGAGCCGAGATGGCGGCACTACAGTCCAGCCTCCGCTCGGCATCAGAGGGAGACCGTGGAGGGAGAGGGAGAGGGAGAGGGAGAGGGAGACCGTGGGGACAGCGAGAGGGGGAGGGGGAGGCAGAGGGGGAGGGGGAGGTCCAATTTTTGTAGAAACAAAAAAACCCTTCATTTACTTTTTTTTTCCCCCAGTCTGTCAAGTAAGTTTCTCTGATTATTCAAATGGAATTTCAGGGCTTAACAGTGACAGTATGACTAAGGAAAAATGTTTGGTCGTACTTTCTTTATGGCTGCAGAAAAAGTGAACACATATTAACAGAAAATGTGGTACTTATTTGATTGAATTATAAAGATTTACCAAAACTTTAGTTTCTTTCCTTTTTAGGGTGGGGAATTTAGGACAGTGGATAACTGTTCTATTCCTATTATGTGTACTTGACAGATTAATGCTAAATGCTGTGGCACAGGACTTTCCAACAGCTAAAGAACTCAAATATTATTAATTTACTAAATGCTTTATTATTATGGAAGTAGTAATTAAATGGTATTTGTTGCCTGAAATGGGTAGATACTTGTGCTTTTCCTATTTAGTTTTATTTATTTTTTATTTTTTTGAGACGGAGTTTCACTCTTGTTGCCCAGGCTGGAGTGCAATGGCACAATCTCGGCTCACTGCAACCTCTGCCTCCCAGTTTCAAACGATTCTCCTGCCTCAGCCTCCCGAGTAGCTGGGATTATAGGCATGCACCACCATGCCCGGCTAATTTTGTATTTTTAGTAGAGATGGGGTTTCTCCATGTTGATCAGGCTGGTCTTGAACTCCCAACCTCAAATGATCCTCCTACCTCAGCCTCCCAAAGTGCTGGGATTACAGGCTTGAGCCACCGCTCCCAGCCTACCTTTATTTTTTATTTTTTTATTTTTTTGAGATGGAATCTTGCTCTGTTGCCTAGACTGGAGTGCAATGGCACAATCTTGGCTTACTGCGAGCATCACCTCTCAGGTTTATGTGATTCTCGTGCCTCAGCCTCCTGATTAGCTGAGATTACAGGCGCCCACCACCACCACGGGCGTGGTGGCCCACACCTGAAGTCGCAGCTACTTGGGAGGCTGAGGCAGGAGAATCACTTGAACCTGGAAAGTGTAGGTTGCAGTGAGCTGAGATCGCGCCACTGCACTCCAGTCTGGGTGACAGAGTGAGACTTCATCTATAAATAAATATATACTAACTAAACTAACTAATAAATAAATAAATGCTAACTAAACCAAGTAACTTTCCATGTAAGGCATGGGAGGAAGTGAGTGGGGTGGAGAGGCCTGAGGCCGGTGACTCCCAGTTGAGGCCAGTCTGGAGCCTGCAAAGGGAGGTTATTGAAGGCCCACTTAAATTGGTTCTTCCTGGGAGCCTCCGGATCACTCCAGCCATGGGAGAAGCCTTTTATACTTAAAGAAGCTACAGAGCATTAGAAAGCTGGGGCAGTTGGGGTGATTCCCTGTTTGAGGTTGTATTTGTTACTGTTGTGGGGCTGTTGCTAGACATTCTCAATTAAAATAAATCTGCATTTAGCTAAGAAGTGACTTCATTCTAAAGGAGTACTGCAAAACGGGAAAGCATCAAGTATAAGATCTGAGGCATCCCAGCTGGGCGCGGTGGCTCACAAGAGTGAAACTCAGTCTCAAAAAAAATAAAATAAAATAAAGATCTGAGGCATCTCTAAGGTTGGGCAGAAAAGTTCTTTTCTTGCTAAGGGAAGAGCAACCAAGATTAGAAGGAAGATGCGAAGGGGAGGGCAGGATGGAGGGTGAGAATCAGATTTTTTTTTTTCTTGAGAGTCTCGAGAGCTCTGTTGCCCATGTTGGAATGCAGTGGCGTGATCTCAGCTCACTGCAACCTCCACCTCCCGGGTTTAAGTGATTCTCCTGCCTCAGCCTCCCGAGTAGCTGAGACTACAGGCGCATGCCACTACGCCCGGCTAATTTTTTGTATTTTTGTAGAGATGAGGTTTCACCATGTTAGCCAGGATGGTCTCGATATCCTGACCTCATGATCTGCCTGCCTCAGCCTCCCAAAGTGCTGGGATTACAGGTGTGAGCAACCACGCCGGGCCGAGAATCAGATTCTAGTTCAGAGAGTGTTTTGCTCTAACCTAAGTCTGTTCTTAAGATGGGTTATGAAGGAGGGGTTTTGTGCTGGCTCAGGCTGAGGATGAGTCAAAGTTCACGGTCCTGGAGCAAGGAGAAAAACTTAAGCAAAGTTTTCTTTAGATGTATTTTGTTCAGTATGATCAGTGAAGACAAAACTGCTCAGCTAATCATAAGATAAAAAATGGGAATTTGGAGGTTCTTTATCTGGCTGAGTTATAGTTTAGAGAAGGGGGGAGGGGCATAATCTATGTAAGCAAAGGGTGCTTTTATTTTGTTTTGTTTTACGGCTGCTTGTCCAGAACACAAAGAACTGGGCTTGGGGAGTTGAGGTGATTTTCTGTCATCTTACTTATTTACTAGAATTACAGGCCTTGGGTAAAATTCAACATTATCAGCAGCCTGGTTTTGCATTCACTCAGTTGGTATAATCAGTACAAATTAAAAAGTCTGTCACAGCTGATTTAGAGAAAGACACCTTTTGATTCTGCCTGATGGAAAAAGGGTTTATGAATCTGAGAGTTTATCTGGGTCTTTGATATAATAAAAAATGTATTTGGATTTGCTGGGTGGGTAATGTCAGCCAAGAGGGGAAGGTTTGCCAATCCCTCCCCTTCCTTTGCTGTGCCTCTCTCTTTTTGGCTATTCTTGAGATATCCTTTATAACAAACTGACAACCTTAAGCAGAGTGACTTGCTGAGTTCTGTGGGTTGGCTTGGCACATTATTGACCCTGTAGAGGGAGTCATTGGTTTTATACACATTTGATTAAAAGGATGGTCTCTGGGGCTTGCCACTGGCATCTGCCTGGTGGCTGATTGGTTGTGACATTCAACCCTCAACTTGTGGGGTCTGTACTAATGTGGGGTGGATACCAGTTTTTGTTGGAGAATTGGTGTTCAGCAAATGCCATACATTTGTTGTCAGAAGTTGTGTGAGGTAAGACACTACAGGTCAGAAGCATAACTGACCTAGAGTTTGTATTTTGTTGCTCATTATAGATTCAGTGTGTATTTATCCAGTAGCATAGTTTTGCCTCTTTTCTGTTTTCAGTTAGTTAATGTTACCATTAATATGCACTCAGTATTATGCTGAGTGTCTCAGATATGCTACTGGGTATCTATCCAAAGGAAAAGAAATCAGTACACCAAAAAGATACCTGCACTTATCTGCATATTGCAGCACTATTCACAAAGCAAAGATAAGGGAATCGACCTAAGTGGAGGATTGGGTAAATAAAACGTGGTGTGTATACTCATTGGGATACTATTCAGCCATGAAAAAGAATGAAATCATGTCCTTTGTGACAGCAAGGATGGATTGGGAGGCAATTATCTTAAGCAAAACAATTCAGACACAGAAAGACAAATACCACATGTACTCACTTAAAAGTGGGTGAGTAGGCTAGGCACGGTGGCTCACGCCTGTAATCCCAGCACTTTGGGAGGCCAAGGCAGGTGGATCATGAGGTCAGGAGTTCAAGACCAGCCTGACCAAGATGGTGAAACCCCGTCTCTACTAAAAATGCAAAAAAATTTAGCCAGGCATGGTGGTGGGTGCCTGTAATCCCAGCTACTTGGGAGGCTGAGGCAGAGAATTGCTTAAACCCAGGAGGCAGAGGATGCAGTGAGCCGAGATCGCGCCATTGCACTCCAGCCTGGGCGACAGAGCGAAACTCCATCTCAAAAAAAAAAAAAAAAAGGTGGGCAAATATACCTCCCACGTGTAAATAATGTGTAAACATGGAAGCAGAGTGTGGAATGATGGTCAGTGGAGACTCTAGGAGGGTGGAGGATGGTGGATGATGGGCAGTTGCTTGGTGGATGCATGTGCTTTGCTGCAGTGATGGATGCACCGAAGGCTCTGACTTCATTCACCACAATGCACTATATCATTGTGGCAACATTAGACCTGTACCCCGTGAATATGTACAAACAACATCAAAATTTAAAAAGGAATGCACATTTCAGGATTATACTCTAGTCCTACTGAATTAGAAATTCTGGGGGTAGGGCCGGGCATGGTGGCTCACACCTGTAATCACAGCACTTTGGGAGGCCAAGGTGGGTAGATCACCTGAAGTCAGGAGTTCGAGACCAGCCTGGCCAACATGGCGAAACCCCGTCTTTACTAAAAATACACAAAATTAGCTGGGCATGGTGATGGGCACCTGTAATCCCAGCTACTTGGGAGGCTGAGGCAGGAGAATGGCTTGAACCCAGGAGGTGGAGGTTGCAGTGAGCCGAGATTGCACCATTGCGCTCCAGCCTGGGCGGCAGAGCGAGACTCTGTCCAAAAAAAAAAAAAAAAAAAAAGAAAGAAAAAGAAATTCTGGGGGTAGGATCCAATAATCTGTGTTAAGTCCTCCAGATGCTTGTAATGCACATAAAGTATGAGAACTGCTTCCCAGGAGCAGCTTGTTAAAATGTAATGCAAAAAAAATAGAACTAAAATGCAAAGAAAATAAACAAATTGGAATAATGAAAAATATTTAATTGACTCCAAAGACATGAAGAGATGAAAGGAGAGGGGAGAAAATACGATGAAAAGGTTTTTGATTTGTTTATTTGCTTCAATCTGTTTGACATACGCTGTTGTCTGAGGCTGTGGGTCACCAAGTCCTCACACATTTCACTGTTCATGGGACTTGAGTTCTTTCAGGTTAACCTTATGATGTTGTTGAAAATATTCTTTTTTTGTCCCTAAGTGCTAACACTTCATGACTTTTTTAACTCATTGGGATACTATTCATTGGGAAAAAATTGTTGTATTGTAGATTATGGATAGTTTAAATTTATGAGGAAATCCTAATAGCAGGTGTAGATCAGCTCTCAGACCATGTATGTGTGTGTGTTTATGCCTTGTAAAGATTTATGTTTTATATATCTCCATTGGTTTTTGCTGATTAGCATTGGTGTTGAGCATTTTTTTCTTTGTGGTCTTTCATCTTCTGTGAAGTAATTTTCTGTCTTTTTTCATGTTTAATTTATTTGGATATTATTGCCTTGCCTTGTTTCTCTCTCTCTCTTTTTTTTTTGAGACGGAGTTTCACTCTTGTTGCCCAGGCTGGAGTGCAATGGAGCGATCTCAGCTCACTGCAACCTCTGCCTCCTGGGTTCAAGCGATTGTCCTGCCTCAGCCTCCTGAATAGCTGGGATTACAGGCACCCGCCACCATGCCCGGCTAATTTTGTATTTTTAGTAGAGACAGGTTTTCGCCATGTTGCTCAGGCTGTTTTTGAACTCCCAACCTCAGGTGATCTGCCCTCCTCAGCCTCCCAAAGTGCTAGAATTACAGGGGTGAGCCACCGCGCCTGGCCTTTCTTTTTGTTTTTAAGCATACTGTACATACTAACCAGTTTTCACATGGAAGGATTGCTAGTATTTCTTTCCAGATGGTGGTTTATCTTTTTATTTCATTCTACAGTTTGATGGACTTTTTTTTGAGATAGAATCTTGCTCCGTGACCCCAGGCTAGAGTTCAGTGGCGCCATCACAGCTCACTGCAGCCCCAAACTCCTGGGCTTAAGGGATCCTCCCACCTCAGCCTCTCAAAATGCTGGAATTAAAGGTGTGAGCCACTATGCCTAATTTTAATATAGTTGAATTTGGAAGACTCCTCATTTGAAATCTACTTTCTTTTCTTTGTTTTGGGAGGTTGAGGGGAGACAGGGTCTCATTCTGTTGCCCAGGCTAGAGTACAGTGATGTCATCCAGGCTCTCTGCAGCCTCTGCTTCCCTGGGTTCAGGTGATCCTCCCACCTCAGCCTCCTAGGTAGCTGGGACTACAGGCATCAGCCTCCCAGGTAGCTGGGACTACAGGCATGTACCCCCACTCCTGGACAAATTTTTGTATTTTTTCTAGTGATCAGGTTTCACCATGTTGCCCAGGCTGGTCTTGAACTGCTGGGCTCAAGAGATCCACTTGCCTTGGCCTCTCAAAGTGCTGGGAATATAGGTGTGAGCCACCGTGCCCGGCCTTTATTTTCTTACTTAAGAAAATCCTCGGCCAGGCACGGTGGCTCATGCCTGTAATCCCAGCACTTTGGGAGGCTGAGGCGGGCAGATCACGAGGTCAGGAGTTCAAGACCAGCCTGACCAACATGGTGAAACCCCATCTCTACTAAAAATACAAAAATTAGCCGGGCGTGTGGTGTGCGCCTGTAATCTCAGCTACTTGGGAGGCTGAGGCAGGAGCATTGCTTGAGCCCAGGAGGCGGAGGTTGTGGTGAGCTGAGATCGTGCCATTGCACTCCAGCCTGGGTAATAAGAGCGAAACTCCGTCTCAAAAAAAAAAAAAAATTCTCATTAAATCTGAAAAAGACCTTGTTACTGTTTAAAATACTAGTTTTGTCTTTCTTTTTTTTTTTTTTTTGAGATGGAGTCTCGCTCTGTCACCCAGGCTGGAGTGCAGTGGCGCGATCTCGGCTCACTGCAAGCTCCGCCTCTTGGGTTCACGCCATTCTCCTGCCTCAGCCTCCCGAGTAGCTGGGACTACAGGTGCCCGCCACCACGCCCGGCTAGTTTTTTGTATTTTTATTAGAGACAGGGTTTCACTGTGTTAGCCAGGATGGTCTCGATCTCCTGACCTCGTGATCTGCCTGCCTCAACCTTCCAAAGTGCTAGGATTACAGGCGTGAGCCACCGCTCCTGGCCTAGTTTTGTCTTTAATACGTATTTTTTTTCTCATTTAATCTTGAGGTCTGTACATATTCATATAACTTTTTGTTCACCACAGCTAACCTTCAGTTGACTGGCAGGCTTATTGGTCACAAAAACAATTGATTAACACATATATTGTCTGTCATACGTATTGCGTACTATATTCTCACAGTAAAGTAAGCTAGAGAAAATAATGTTAATAAGAAAATAATGAAGATAAACTATATTTACTGTGCGTTAAGTTGAAATGAATCATCATAAATGTTTTAGCTGAGTGTGCTGGCACACGCCTGTAATCCCAGCTACTCAGGAGGCTGAGGCAGGAGAATTGCTTGAGCCTGGGAGACAGAGACTGCAGTGAGCCAAGATCGTGCCAGGGCACTCCAGCCTAGGCAACAGAGCAAGGCTCTGTCTCCCCCCTCCAAAAAAAAAAAAAATTCTTTATCTGTTCTTGTAAAGCCGTAACTTTGTTGGTGAGAAAGTTTTTAGCATTTTTATACATTTGTGACTTCTGTTAGTTTTGGGGATATCTTTTTTTGTTGACTACTAAAGTTCTGATTTAGCTATTTAGGGAATATTATCGATATTCATGAGAGGTAACATTGAGTTCTTTCTAAGAACATGTGCAATCTGTCCCCATTATTCTCCTTTGACATTACCTAATAAAAAGTTTAAAATTCTTGCATTGGGATGGTGAAGCATCTTTTATTAGTCTTTTGTCTTGCTTTGCTACATTTGATCTAGAGGAAACCTGTTGCTGGCTTCTAAATGTTCTCTCTTAGTGTAATCACATAGGATGGGCTGAATCCCCAAGTAACATGTTGCAATAAACATTTTGAAAAGTTATTTATGGATGTCATTCATTAGAGACTCAGTGCCCAGAGTGTTTCTTTGTGTCTACCTTAGTGTGTTTTTTGTTGCTTATAACAGAATACCTGAAGCTAGATGATTTAAATGAAACAGTGTATATATTTTGTGGTTCTGGAGGCTGGGAAGTCCAAAGTCAAGGCTGGATATCTGGTGAGAACCTCCTTGCTGGTGGAGACTCTGTCGAGTCCCTGTGTGGCACAGGGCGTCATGTGATGAGGGAGCTGAGTGTCTAGCCCAGGTCTCTTTCTCTTCTCATAGGGACATAAGTCCAACTCTGTCACTACCCATTTATTCTTTAAGCCATTAATCCAAGAATGGATTAATCTTGATTTTCTTGAGATCCAAATCCTCAAGACCCAATAACCTCTTCAAGCGCCATCTTTCATTACTGTCACATTGGGGATTAAGTTTCAGCATGCATTTTGGTGGGGACAAACATTCAAACCTAGCATTGGCTGATCAGCTATGCTCCCACTGCTGAGCATGTAACAAAATTCCAAGCTCCCGAAGAGAAGGTAAGAGTTAAGCAAATACTATACTTTCTCCATAAACAGTTTATGCACACTCAGCACCTGTTATTAGTTATGTTGGTGGAGACCCTCTATAAATCCAGTGCCTAGAGTACACGAAGGATCCAATTTTGTTAACCAGCATTTGTAAATATATACAATCTCAGGACTCCTATTCTTGTACAGTAAGTAGTAGGACTTTGTCACGACAGGAAATACAGACCCACTATAAAGTAGACATTAGGGATGATGCCGGCAATAAAATTCACTCATTTAAGTCATCAAAAAGAGACTTGTTCCTATTTGACTATTATGTGTACAACAACATTCAATTCTAGCATCAGAATTGCTGTGTTGGAGAAAGTGATTGTAGACAGAGAATAAGGGTGGATTTACCATGTCATTGAATCATTGCTTAGAAATAATAGTATGCAAAGTTTATGAAGTGGGTGTAAATTTTTGGTACTATCAGTCTCAGCCTTACTCCTTTGTACATGTGGGGTGTTTCAGGATTCAGTAGCCTTTGAGGATGTGGCGGTGAACTTCACCCAGGAAGAGTGGGCTTTGCTGGGTCCATCACAGAAGAGTCTGTACAGAGATGTGATGTGGGAAACCATTAGGAACCTGGACTGTATAGGTAAAAATGACATTATGTCTTCACTTAGTCAATTAGAGACATTTTTTTCTTGGTCATCAATGCTGTTGAATGATTTGAAATACCGAAAGGGGATATAGTTGACCCTTCAACAACACAGGGTTAAGTGGTGCTGGGTCCCCAACCAGTTGTACATATTCATATAACTTTTTGTTCACTACAACTTAACCTTCAGTTGACTGGCAGGCTTATTGGTCACAAAAACAATCAATTAACACATATGTTGTCTGTCACATATATTGCATACTATATTCTCATAAAAATGTAAGCTAGAGAAAATAAATGTTAAGAAAATCATAAAGAAGATAAACTGTATTTACTGTGCATTAAGTTGAAATGGATCATCATAAAGGTTTTCATCCTCATTGTCTTCTCATTGAGTAGGCTGAGTAAGAGGAGGGATTGGTCTTGGTGTCCCAGGGGTAGCAGAGACTGAAGAAAATTCATATATAAGTGGACTTGTGAGCCAGGTGTGGTGGCTCACGCCTGTAATCCCAGCACTTTGGGAGGCCGAGGCAGGCAGATCACCTGAGGTCTGGAGTTCAAAACCCACCTGAAACCCCGTCTCTACTAAAAATCTAGAAATTAGCTGGGTGTGGTGGTGCACACCTGTAGTCCCAGCTACTTGGGAGGCTGAGGCAGGAGAATGGCTTGAACCCAGGAAGCGGAGGTTGCAGTGAGCCGAGATTGCACCATTGCACTCCAGCCTGGGCAACAGAGCGAGACTCCATCTTAAAAAACATAAAATAAGTGGACTTACGAGGTACAAACCTATGTTGTTCAAGAGTCAGCTACAATTCAGTGAATGAATCATGCATGATTCCATTGTACATAAAATCTTGTAGTGTTTTTAGAATTTTATAATAATCTACAGTGTTTTTTCTGTGTCCACCTTTTAGGAATGAAATGGGAAGACACAAACATTGAAGATCAGCACAGAAATCCCAGGAGGAGCCTAAGGTAATTTGCACTCACAAGAGAAAGACATATATCTGTGGAGCAATTCTTAGGATGACAGGAAATTATACAACTAGGCAAAGAAAATGAACGAGCCCAGTACAAACTTATTTATTCCTATACAATTTTCTCCAGAAACATATACTTAAATGTGATATAACTATTCAGTGTTTGCAAAAATAGTTCCCTTAGAAACAATATTAAGAATTCGGCTGGGCACGGTGGCTCACGCCTGTAATCCCAGCACTTTGGGAGGCCAAGGCGAGCGATCACAAGGTCAAGAGATTGAGACCATCCTGGCCAACATGGTGAAACCCCGTTTCTACTAAAAATACAAAAATTAGCTGGGCGTGGTGGCGCATGTGTGTAGTCCCAGTTACTCGGGCGGCTGAGGCAGGAGAAACACTTGAACCTGGGAGGCGGAGGTTGCAGTGAGCTGAGATCATGCCACTGCACTCCAGCCTGGCGACAGAGCGAGACTCCATCTCAAAAAAAAGAATTTCATGTGTTTATCATTGTCAAGAAAACAGCTGGGGTCGAGTTATCTTGTACAACATTCAGTCCATTCACGTTCAAGCAGTGCATGAAGCCTACACGTTGCATGATGATGTAAAAATGTAAATCCAGTACCTACTAATAAACATAAAGTCATTTATAAATAAACCTTTATTAATATACTTCTCATGTTTTACAGATGTCATATCATAGAGAGATTTAGTGAAAGTCGCCAGCCAGATAGTACTGTGAATGAAAAACCTCCTGGAGTAGATCCATGTAAAAGCAGTGTGTGTGGAGAAATCATGGGTTGTTCATTCCTTAATTGCTATATCACATTTGATGCTGGACACAAACCAGATGAGTGTCAGGAATATGGAGAGAAGCCACATACACATAAACAATGTGGGACAGCCTTCAATTATCACCACTCCTTTCAAACACAGGAAAGACCTCACACTGGAAAGAAACGCTATGATTGTAAGGAATGTGGGAAAACCTTCAGTTCTTCGGGAAACCTTCGAAGACACATAATAGTACAACGTGGAGGTGGACCTTATATATGTAAGTTGTGTGGGAAAGCCTTTTTTTGGCCTAGTTTATTTCGTATGCATGAAAGAACTCACACTGGAGAGAAACCGTATGAATGTAAGCAGTGTTGTAAAGCCTTCCCTATTTACAGTTCCTATCTAAGACATGAAAGAACACACACTGGGGAGAAACCATATGAATGCAAGCACTGTTCCAAAGCCTTCCCTGATTACAGTTCCTATGTAAGACATGAAAGAACTCACACTGGAGAAAAACCCTATAAATGTAAACGATGTGGAAGAGCCTTCAGTGTTTCCAGTTCCCTTCGAATACATGAAAGAACTCACACTGGAGAGAAACCCTATGAATGCAAGCAATGCGGGAAAGCATTTCATCATCTGGGAAGCTTTCAAAGACACATGATAAGGCACACTGGAGATGGACCTCATAAATGTAAGATATGTGGGAAAGGCTTTGATTGTCCTAGTTCACTGCAAAGTCATGAAAGAACTCACACTGGAGAGAAACCCTATGAATGCAAGCAGTGTGGGAAAGCGTTATCTCATCACTCAAGCTTTCGAAGTCATATGATAATGCACACTGGAGATGGACCTCACAAATGCAAGGTATGTGGGAAAGCCTTCATTTATCCCAGTGTATTTCAAGGACATGAAAGGACTCATACTGGTGAGAAACCCTATGAATGTAAAGAATGTGGTAAAGCCTTCCGTATTTCTAGTTCCCTTCGAAGACATGAAACAACTCACACTGGAGAGAAACCCTATAAATGTAAATGTGGGAAAGCCTTTATTGATTTCTATTCCTTTCAAAATCATGAAACAACTCACACTGGAGAGAAGCCATATGAGTGTAAGGAATGTGGGAAAGCATTCAGTTGTTTCACATACCTTTCTCAACATAGAAGGACTCACATGGCTGAAAAACCTTATGAATGTAAAACATGTAAGAAAGCCTTCAGTCATTTTGGTAACTTAAAAGTCCATGAAAGGATTCACACTGGAGAGAAGCCATATGAATGTAAGGAATGCAGGAAAGCATTCTCTTGGCTCACTTGCCTTCTGCGACATGAAAGAATTCACACTGGAAAGAAATCTTATGAATGTCAACAATGTGGTAAAGCCTTCACTCGTTCTCGTTTCCTTCGAGGACATGAAAAAACTCACACTGGAGAGAAGATGCATGAATGTAAGGAATGTGGGAAGGCACTGAGTTCTCTCAGTTCCTTGCATAGACATAAAAGGACTCACTGGAGAGATACTCTATAAATGTGGAAAAGCATTCATTAATTTTATTTCATTTCAGAAACGTGAAAGAAATCACATAGGAGATAAGCCTCATGAATGCAAACACATGGTAAAGCCTTAAGATGTTTCTTTTGAATATGGTTATCCCCTAACCATATGCAGGGGATTGGTTCCAGACCCCCTAAGCATACCTAAATCCACAGATGCTGTGTTCCTTTTATAAAAGGACATTTGCATGTAACCTATCCACATCCTCCTGCATCCCATAAATCATGCCTAGATTACTTAATTTTTCACCAACCCAAAGCTTTTGTAAAAGTAAAAATAAAAAGTAGGTTACTAAAATACCTCATGTGTTGTAAAAGCTATGTAAACAGTCATTTTATTGTATTTTTTTTAGAGAATCGTGATATGAAAATAATCCTGTGCTGTTGAGAACAGACCCAACCATCACAGGCCTGCCTACATAGTACATGTCACCTAGAATGTTACAGTTTCTTTTTTTCTTTTTTTTTTTTTTAAGACAGAGTTTCACTCTTATTGCCCAGGCTGGAGGGCAATGGCACAATCTCAGCTCACTGCATCCTCTGCCTCCCGGGTTCAAGCAATTCTCCTGTCTTAGCCTCCTGAGTAGCTGGGATTACAGATGCATGCCACCACACCCAGCTAATTTTTTTTTTTTTTTTTTTTTTTTTGTATTTTTAGTAGAGACGGGGTTTCATCATATTGGTCAGGCTGGTCTCGAACTCCTGACCTCAGATGATCTGCCTGCCTTGGTCTCCCAAAGTGCTGGGATTACAGGCATGAGCCTGTAATCTACAGTTTCTTTTTTTTCAACAATCATAGATTGCTTTTATTTAATGACCTGGAATCGTGTGTTAACACTTATGAAAATCCTGATCCTTCTTGCTTGATAACCCAAGGATGATGATGATGATCATGATCATGATGATGCTGATTACAGTATGGTGCCTAATATGATTCACTGAGGTGACTAGATGGGTGGCACTGTAGATAAACAGTGAGACATCAGGCTCACTTGAATCTTGACAGGATGTCAGGATGATCATCTGTGTTGGATGAACCAGGTTCTGATTGCAGATGCTGAGTTTGGAAGAGACTAAATAATACTAATGTCAGAATCTGTTCAGCATGAGGGCTGAAGATGTGTACACACTGAAGGATCTGTCTTCATATTTGCAGATATTTAGTTAGAAACATTGTTGTAGGAAGCTGGTTCTTTTTCTTTAAATATCCTTGCAGTGTTTGTTGGCATGTTATCCCTTGGGTGACACAGAGGTTTTGTTCCATTGAAGGATCTTACTTGAGGATGGCAATCTTTATTTTATTTTTATTTTTATTTATTTATTTATCATTTGAGACTGAGTTTCGTTCTTATTGCCCAGTCTGGAGTGCAGTGGCGCGATCTCGACTCACTGCAACCTCCACCTCCCAGATTCAAGCGATTCTCCTGCCTCAGCCTCCAGAGTAGCTGGGATTACAGGCACTCGCCACCATGCCTGGCTAATTTTTATTTTTAGTAGAGATGGGGTTTCACCATGTTGGTCAGGCTGGTCTCGAACTCCTGACCTCAGGTGATCCACCTGCCTCGGCCTCCCAAAGTGCTGAGATTACAGGCATGAGCCACCGTGCCCTGCGAGGATTGTAATCTTTAATACTTTTCACCTTGCAGAGGCTGTAGATGCCCCAAAAACTGCTGCACATGTTTCAAGTGTCACATCTTTGATATTACCTCTTCTAAGTCTTCTGCATCATCATTATCATCATTATCTGCAGAGAATTTCAGTATATCTTCGAGTTCCTTGTTAGTATTTATGCTCTCTTATTTGTGTTGGGATAGAAAGATTAAGGAAAGGAGAGATGAGAAGGTGGCTCAACAGTTGAGACAGTTTTATTGGGAGTAAACCTGAGAAGGGCTTCCAGCGGCAGGGTCAGGTGCAAACTTCTCTTACAGCCTGAGGCTTTTTTAAAGGGCCCAGTGGAGAAGTGTGCTTTGAAACAAAATTCTGTTAGGGAGGGGTTGGGGAAGTCCTGGCTGTTCTGTTACAGTTAGGGCCGTTATTCTCTGTTGAAGTTATGGGCGGGGCTGACATTTTCAGTTTTGGCCAGGTGGCCAAATAGAAACTTAAAGCTTAGGATGGTGGAGTGTTATAAAGATGGCGGTGCTCTTGTCCTGTCAATGTGTTCCTCAATAAAGTCTTCAAGCATGTCATAGATTGTTTTCCCCACCAACCTCCCTTGCAGCATTTGAGATATTCCTGATACTTCATCAATAGTGGAGAAGCTCCTGAAATCATTGACTTCCTCACTCCATAATGGTTTCCAACACCCAATGAAGTAGTAGGAGGAAAACATGGGTTTCTTCTCCTGGAAGCCTCCAGAAGAAGGTATTTCAATATGGGGAGAGTGGTCAGCTGTGTCACAGGTCACTGAGAATTTGAATAAGACAAGGAAAAAGGGTTGACTGTAGATTTTGGCAAGTATTTGGTCACTGGGGGCCTTGATAAGAGCTGTTTCATTGAAGTATTCATGAGAATAACTTGTAGTGAAATATATCTCAAATAGACCTCCACGATGTTGCCTAGAGGGCAGTGTTACCCTTTGAACTACCAACATTAACCACTGGAACTGCTCATCTGGAAGCCTCTTACAGTGCTGGTACAAACTAGAATACACAAAGGAAGGGATCATTTTATACGTGTTACTGTGCTACTTGCTCTATCTACTTAGTGTTCCATACATGTAATTACCTATTCCATCCTATCCCAAAGTACTGAAAATCTCCATTCTACTTTCTCTGTCTGTGAATTTGACTATTCATAGAGAGAGAGATATGTGGAAGTATGCATGTGTCCTTCCATGTCTGGCTTATTTCACTTAGAACGTTTTCAAGGTTTATCCATGTGGTAGCATGTATCAGGAACTCATTGTTTTTGTGTCTGAATAAATTTCCACTGTATGGTTAAAGCATACTTTGTTTATCCATTTTTATGTTGATAAACATGGGTTGTTTCCACAGTAATAATTTGACTGCTATCAATAAGGCTGCTGTGGATGTGGTATGTCTATGTCTGTGTGAGTCCCTGCTTTCAATTCTTTTGGATATATGTATCCCTAGGAGTGTAATTGCTGGTTCACAGAATAATTGGTGTAAACCTTTTTCAGGAACAGGTATATTGCTTTACAAAGTGGCTACAATGTTTTACATTCTCTCCAGCAATGCATAAGGGTTTCTATTTTCCACATTGTCACATATACTGGTTGTCGTATTTTTTTCATAATAGCCAATTAATGGTTCTGTACTGCTTTTTCATTGTGGTTTTGATTTGCATTTCCCTAATGACCAATAATAATGCACATTGGTTTTTGTTTTTGTTGGTTGTTTATATATTTTTTGAACCAGTTTGTTTTAAAATCCTTTGCTCATTAAAATTGAGTCATTTGTGTTTTGTTGTTGAGTTATAGGAATTCTTATTTAAAATTTTTAGTTTTTAATATTTAGAAAATTTCTTTCTTTTTTCAGCTCCCAAGTGCTTGGAAGAGAGTTGTAGGAATTCTTTATACACTGTGGGTATTAAGCCCTTATTTGATATGTGATATGCAGATGTGTTCTCCCTTTCTGTAGGTTTTCTTTTCATCTTGAGATTGTCCTTTGGTGCGCAAAAGTTTTTAATTTCGATGTAGTCCAGTTTATCTTTTATTGGTTGTCTGTGCCTTAAATGTCGTATCCAATAAATCACTGCCAAATTTAACAAAATTTTCCCCTATGTTTTCTGCTAAGTAATTTTTTTTTCTCCCTCTGTCACCCAGGCTGGAGTGCAGAGGCATGATCTTGACTTACTGCAACCTCCACCTCAGGTTCAAGTGATTCTCATGCCTCAGCCTCCCAAGTAGTCAAGTAGCTGGGATTATAGGCACCCACCACCACGCCTGTCTAAATTTTGTATTTTTAGTAGGGACAGAGTTTAACCATGTTGGCCAGGCTGGTCTCCAATTCCTGACCTCAAGTGATCTGCTCGGCCTCCCAAAGTGCTGGGATTACAGCCATGAGCCACTGTACCCAGGCTCTTCTAAGTATTTTATAGTTTTAGCTTTTAAGTATAGGTCTTTGATTAAATATAAGTTACTATTTATACATGATGTAATGTGATGGTTCACTTTTATTATTTGCATGTAGATATCCAGTTTTCCCAACACCATTTTTTGAAAGATTGTCCTTCTACCAAAGAACGGTCTTGGCACTGTTGTCAAAAATCATTTCACCCTGTATATGAGCATTTATTTCTAGGCTGTCTACTCTATTCCATTGGCCTATCTGTTTGTCTTTATGCCAGTACCATACTGTTTTGATCACTGTAGCTTTGTAGTAAGTTTTGAAATAAGGCAGTGTGAATTCTTCAACATTGTTCTTTTTCAAGATTGTTTTGGTATTAGAGATCCCTAGAGATTTGAAGTGAATTTTAGAATAGGCTTTTCTATTTCTGTATAAGAAGCTGTTAGGATTTCTATAGGGATCACATTGATTCTGTAGATTGATTTTGGTAGTATTTTAATCTTAGCAATAGTAAGTCTTGGAATCCATGAACATGGGATATCTTTCCATTCATTTATCTTCCTTAATTTGCTTCAAGAATGTTTTGTAGTTTTCAATGTACACATCACTGATTTCTTGGTTTCATTTATTTTTAAGTGTTTTACTTTTTTTGATGCTTTTATAACTAAAATTATTTTCTTAATTTTCTTTTTGGATTGTTTATTCATTGTTAGTCTATTGTTTATTCATTGTTAGCAGCTGATTTTTGTGTATTGATTTTATATTCTGCAACATTGCTGCATTTGTTTTATAAGCTGTAAAATTTTATTTTTCCCTTGTGGAGTCTTCAGTGTTTTCTCCACATAGAATCATGTAATCTGTAAACACAGATAATTTTACTTCTTTCTCTCCAATTTGGATTCCTTTTATTTCTTTTTCTTACCTTATTTCTGTAGCTATAACTTCCATTAGTATGTTGAATAGAACTGTTGAAAGTGGGCATCCTGTCTTCTTGATATTAGAGGGAAGGCTTTCAGTCTTTCAAATTGACCATGTTACCTACAGGTTTTTCATATGTGACTTTTTTCCTATTAAGGAAGTTTCTTTCCATTCCTGGTTTATCAAATGTATTTTTTAAAAGGAACATAAGGTATTTAATTTTGTCAAATTATTTTTCTGTATCATTTGAGATGATAAATGTGTTTTTTGCCTTTTCTTCGTTAATGTGGTACATTACATTGATTGCTGTATATTGAACCACTTTTGCATTCTGGGAATAAATCCCACTTTTTTTTTTTTTTTTTTGAGACAATGTCTCACTCTGTTGCCCAGGCTGGACTGGAGTGGTGCGGGCTCAGGTGATACTCCTGCCTCAGCCTCCCGGGTAGCTGGGACCATAGGCACATGCCACCACACCCAACTAATTTTTGTATTTTTTGTAGAGACAGGGTTTTGCCATGTTGCTCAGGCTGGTCTCGAATTGCTGGGCTCAAGCACTCTGCCCACCTCATCCTCTGAAAGTGCTGGGATTACAGGCATGAGCCACTGTTCCTGGCCAACAAATTCCATATTTATAATCCTTTAAATATGCTGCTGAAGTACATTTGCCAGTATTTTGTTTAGAATTTATGCTTCAATAGGCTGGGCGCAGTGGCTCAAGCCTGTAATCCCAGCACTTTGGGAGGCCGAGGCGGGCGGATCACGAGGTCAGGAGATCAGGACCATCCTGGCTAACACGGTGAAACCCATCTCTACTAAAAATACAAAAAATTAGCCGGGCGTGGTGGTGGGTGCCTGTAGTCCTAGATACTCGGGAGGCTGAGGCAGAAGAATGGCGTGAACCCGGGAGGCAGAGCTTACGGTGAGCCAAGATCGCGCCACTGTACTCCAGCCTGGGCGACAGAGCGAGACTCCATCTCAAAAAAAAAAAAAAAAAAAAAAAGAATTTATGCTTCAATATTCATAAAAGATATTCTGTAGTCTTTTTCTGTTCTCGTAATGTCTTTTCTTGCCTTTCATCTCAAAGTGAGGCTGGCCTCACAAAATGAATTAGAACTTGTTTCTTCTTCCATTTTGTTTCCACAAACCAACTTTTGGTGTCAATAATATTGTCTGTTGTTTTTATATTCTCTTTTGATTTATCTCTGCTCTACTCTTTATTATTTACTTCTTTGTAGTGCCTTTTAAAAAATATTAAAGACAGGGTCCTGCTATGTTGCTTAGGCTAGAGTGTAGTGGCTATTCACAGGCCTGATTATGGTGCACTACAGCCTAGAATTCCTGGGTTCAAGCAATGCTCCTCCCTCAGCCTCCTGAGCAGCTGGGACTATAGGAATGTACCACCACACCCAGTTTGTCTCCTACCTTTTTAAAGAAGTTTGCGCTTCCTTTTCTAGTTCCTTAAACTGAAGAATTAGAATACTTATTGGAGTTCTTTCTTCATTTTCAATGAATGCTTTTTTTTTTTCCTTTTGAGACAGTCTCGCTCTGTCACCCAGGCTGGAGGGCAGTGACGTGATCTCAGCTCACTGCAACCTCCACCTCCCCGGTTCAAGCGATTCTCCTGCCTCAGCCTCTCAAGTAGCTGGGATTACAGGTGCTTGCCACCACACCTGGATAAGTTTTTGTATTTTTAGTAGAGACAGGGTTTCACCATGTTGGCCAGGCTGGTCTTGAACTCCTGACCTCGTGATCCACCCGCCTCGGCCTCCCAAAGTGCTGGGATTACAGGTGTAACCCACCGCACCCAGGCAATTAATGCATTTAAAGCTATAAAATTTTCTCTTAGCACTGCCATTGCTGCATCTCATAAGTTCTGATGTGTTAGATTTTTGTTTTCAGTGGTCTTAAGGTATTTTCTCTTTTTCTTTTCCTTTTTTTTTTTTTTTAATTTTTGAGACATGATCTCACTCTATCATTCAGGCTGGAGTGTGGTGGCCTAATCAGGGCTCACTGCAGCCTCCAACTCCTGGGCTCAAGTGACCCTCTTGCCACAGCCTCCCAAGTAATTGGGGCTATAGGTGCATGTGCATGTCTGGCTGATTTTTTAATTTTTTTTGTAGCGATAGAGTCTTACTATGTTGCCCAGGCTGGTCTCAAACTCCTGGTCTCAAGCAATCCTCCCATCTTGGCCTCTCAAACTTTTGGGATTACAGGTTTGAGGCACCACCCCCAACCTCTTTTTTTTTTGTTTTTTTTGAGACAGAGTCTCATGGCCTTAAAGTATTTTCTATTGCAATTTCTCATTTGACCCATTGGTTGTTGAAGAATGAATTAATTTACACTTATTTGTGTATTTTTTTCCAATAATTATAGTTTTATTTCACTGTATTTGAAAAATATACATCTGAGGCCAGATATGGTGGCTCATGCCTGTAATCCCAACACTTTGGGACACCCAGGTAGGAGGATTGCTTGAGCCCAGGAGATCAAGACCAGCCTGGGCAACATAGTAAGACCTCATCTCTACAAAATTTGAAAAAATTAGCCAGGTGTGATGGCATGCACTCCAGCCTGTGGTCCCAAATACTTAGGAGGCTGAGGTGGGAGGATTATTTAAGCCTGGGAAATCAAGGCTGCAGTGAACTGTGGTCATGCCACTGTACTCCAACTTAGGTGACAGAGCAAGACCCTGTCTCAAAAAGAAAAAGATACATCTTATTATCTCAGTTTTTAGAATTGTATGAAGACCTTTTGTGTTTTATGTCCTAATTATGGTCTGTCTTAGAGAGCGTTCCATGTGCACTTGACCAGAATGTGTATTCTACTGTCATTGGGTGGAGTATGCTTGTATATGTCATTATGTCTGTCTGTTTTGCTTATTGTGTTGTTGAAGTTATTTCATTTCTTTATTGATCTTCTATCTGATTATTCTATCCATTCTTGAAAATGTAGTGTGAAGTCTCAAACTCTTACTGTGGAACTCTCCATTTCTTCTTCATTTCTGTTAATGTTTAATTTATTTTGGGCCTCTGTTGTTTAGTGCAAGTATGTTAATAATTGTTGTATATTCTGTATGTATTGACTCTTTTATAAATAGTGTTCTTCTTTGTCTCCTTTAACAGTTTTTGGCTTAAATTCTATTTTGTATGATAGTGATGTAGCCCCCCCTGTTCTATTTGGATTACTATTTGCATGGAATATTTTTCTTCATGCCCTCCCTTTCAACCTATTTGTGTCTTGAGATCTAAAATGAGTTTCTAGTAGGCAGAATACAGTTGGATCATATTTTTCACCCATTCTGCTTATCTCTGCCTTTTTATTGGTGAGTTTAATTCATTTTCATATAAAGTAATCAATGATAAGAAAGCCCTTAAGGCTGGGCACAGTGGCTCATGCCTGTAATCCAAGCACTTTGGGAGGCTGAGGCAGGCGGATCATTTGAGGTCAGGAGTTTAAGACCAGCCTGGGCAACATGGCAAAACCGCAGATCTACTAAAAATACAAAAAATTAGCTAGGCCTGGTGGCATGCACCTGTAATCCCAGCTACTCAGGAGGCTGAAGTGGGAGAATCACCTGAACCCAGGAGGTCGAGGCTACGGTGAGCCAAGATTGTGCCACTGCACTGCATCTTGGGCAATGGAAGTGAGACCTTGTCCCAAATAAATAAATAAAAATAATAGGTTTTATAATTGTCCATGTATTTCTTTTTACTAAGATCTTTATTTCCACCTACACCTTCCAGATACCATCCAGTGTTCTTTTCTTTTTTTTTTTCCCAGTGTTCTTTTATTTCAAACTGCAAAATACTCTACATTTCTCACAGAGCACATCTAATAATAATTTTTAAAACTACCTCAGTTTTTTCATGTGGGCAAGTCTTAATTTTTTTCTCACTTTTGAAAAACAGTATTGACAGATATTAGATTCGTAGTTGACTTTTTTTTTTTGGAGATGGAGTCTTACTCTGTCGCCCAGACTGGAGTGCAGTGGTGCAATCTTGGCTCACTGCAACCTCCTCCTCTCAGGTTCCAGTGATTTTCTTGTCTCAGCCTCCTGAGTAGCTGGGACTACAGGCTTGCGCCACCACGCCTGGCTAATTTTTGTATTTTTTTCAGTAGAGACAGGGTTTCACCACGTTGGCCAGGATGGTCTTGAACTCCTGACCTCAAATGATCCGCCCACCTTGTCCTCCCAAAGTGCTGGGATTACAGGCATGAGCCATCATGCCTAGCTGACTGTTTTTGTTTTTATGTTTGACATAGGGTCTCACTATATTGCCCAGGCTGATCTTGAACTCCTAAGCCGAAGTGGTCCTACCTCAGTCTCCTGAGTAGCTGTGACTATATGCCTGGTTACATTTTCTTATCTTTTCTTCTTCTTTTTTTCTTTTTGAGACAGAGTCTCACGCTGTTCCCCAGGCTGGAATGCAGTGGCATGATCTCGGCTCACTGCAACCTCCGCCTCATGGGTTCAAGTGATCCTTCTGCCTCAGCTTCCGGAGTAGCTAGGATTACAGGCATATGCCACCATTCCTGGCTAATTTTTGTATTTTCTGTAGAGACCGGTTTTGCCATGTTGGCCTGGCTGACCTGAAACTCCTTACCTCAAGGTATCTGCCCATGTCGGCCTCCCAAAGTACTGGGATTACAGATGTGAGCCACCGCACCTGGCCACATTTATTTTTCTTTTAGCACTTTGATTAACATCTGCCCACTATTTTCTGGTCTCCAACATTTCTCATGAGAAATCTACTGATCTTATGAAGGATCATTTATATGTGATGAATCACTTCTTTTTTGCTGCTTTCAAGATTATCTTTGTTGTCCTTGGCTTTTGACAGCTTTAGTATAATGTGCATTTATGCGTTTCTCTTTGTATTCATCCTACTTAGAGTTCGTTGAGCTTCTTGGATGTCTACATCCATGGCTTTCACTTAATTTAGAATGTGTTCTTCCATTATTTCTCAAAATATTCTCCCTTCACCTTCTCTCTCTCTCTTCTCCTTCTGAAGCTCCCACAGTGCATATATTGGCCTGCTCAATGCCCTCCTACATGTCTCACCTGACTGCTACACCTAATTCCAACTTATTTCCAGGTCAAGGCTCTGTATAGAGTGGCTATTTTGATAGAAATTAACTAGATGCTGGCCAGGCATGGTGGCTCATGCCTGTAATCCCAGCAATTTGGGAGGCTGAGGCAGGTGGATCACCTGAGGTCAGGAGTTTGAGACCAGCCTGACTAACATGGTAAAACCCCGCCTCTACTAAAAACACAAAAATTAGCCGGGCGTAGTGGCGGGTACTTGTAATCCCAGCTACTCGGGAGGCTGAGGCAGGAGAATCGCTTGAACCCAGGAGGCGGAGGTTGCAGTGAACTGAGATCACGCCATTGTACTCCAGCCTGGGTGACAGAGCGAGACTCCATCTCAAAAAAAAAAAAAAAAAAAAAAAAGAAATCAACTGGATGCATGTCAGACAAGAGCCACAAGGACATCGGCCAGTATAACCACCAAGTTTCCTGTGAGGGACACCTGGTCACTGATTGACATTTAAACATTAGTCCCTTCACCAGAATGAAGTGTCCTGTGGAAAGCACACTGTAAACATCACAACGAGATGTCCTGGAGCCCCATCATGGCAGCACTAGAGTTCATAGCCAAACTCCTGAGAGACCCCACTGCCAAACTGGAGGAAAATACATGTGCATGGCTGCCTGCAACAGAGGTAGTGGGGAGAAGTCCAGCTGGTCCTATGCTGAATGTTGAAATGGCCACAATTAACCACAGTTTACCATCCAAATCATTTTCTGGAATTTTCAAGGCTTCAATAGACTGTAGTGTGTTGTTTTGTTTTGTTTTGTTTTGTTTTGTTTTGAGATGGAGTCTCAGTCTTGTTGCCCAGGCTGGAGTGCAATGGTGTGATCTTGGCTCACCGCGACCTCTGCCTCCCAGGTTCAAGCGATTCTCCTGCCTCAGCCTCCCGAATAGCTGGGATTACAGGCATGTGCCACCATGCATGGCTAATTTTGTATTTTTATAGAGACAGGGTTTCTCCATGTTGGTCAGGTGGGTCTCGAACTCCTGACCTCAGGTGATCCTCCCACTTCGGCCTCCCAAAGTGCTGGGATTACAGGCATGAGCCACTGCGCTTGGCCAACTGTAGTGTTTTAAAATAGCTCCATCAAGCCGGGTGTGGTGCCTCATACCTGCAATCCCAGCTCTTTCCGAGGCAGGTGGATCTCTTGAGTTCAGGAGTCCAAGACCAGCCTGGCCAACATGGCGAAACCCCATCTCTACTAAAAATGCAAAAAATTAACTGGGTGTGGTGGTACACACCTGTAATCCCAGCTACTCAGGAGGCTGAGGCACAAGAATCACTTGAGCCCAGGAGGTGGAGGTTGCAGTGAGCTGAGGTTGTGCCACTGCACTCCAGCCTGGGCGTCAGAGCAAGACTCTGTCTCAAAAAATAAGAATAAATAAAATAGCTCCATCAGACAGATTCTGCCAGTAAAACTGTTGTCTAGGTGGGGAGACAGCTTCTTTATGCTTGGTACCCTGCCATCTACCCTGAATCCTCTGCCCTGAGGGTTTTTTGTTTGTTTGTTTTCTTCCTTTCTTTCTTTTTTAGACAGTGTCTCACTCTGTTGCCAAAGCTGGAGTGCAGCAGTGTGATCATAGCTCACTCCAGTCTTGACCTCCTAGACTCAAGTGATCCTCCTGCCTCAGTCTCCTGAATAGCTAGGACTACAGTTCTATGCCACCATGCTCGGCTAATTTTTATTTATTTATTTATTTATTGGTAGACATGGTGGTTTTACTCTGTTCCCCAGGCTGGTCTTGAACTTCTAGCCTTGGCCTCTCAAAGGGCGGAGTTAACAGGTATGAACCACTGCACCTGGCTTTGCCCTGAGTTTTTACACTAATATATTATTTCATGTCTCACATTAAATGTCACCTTCTCAGGGTTCTTCATACCACCTCAGTGACTCTTACATGTTTTTATTTGTAGAATTTTTTTCCTGGCACTTTTTAGATTCAGGGAAATCCAATTAAGGTTGACAGAATGTTTTGGTTTCTTAACTGTTGAAAAGTTAAATCATATAAATGAAACCAAACTGAATGGTGTTATGTTTACTTTTATCATCTGTATTGCTGTGTATGAAAGTACCCCAGAAAACCGGAAAACCATTTTTAAAAGCCTTTTTCCAGAAAGGAAAATAAAATGGCCAGACAGCGTGGCTCACACCTGTAATCCCAGCAGTTTGGGAGGCCAAGGTGGGTGGATCATCTGAGTCTAAGAGTTTAGACCAGCCTGGCCAACGTGGTGAAACCCTATCTTTACAAAAAAATACAAAAATTAGCCAGGCATGGTGGGACATGCCTGCAGTCCCAGCCTCTCGGGAGGCTGAGGTAGGAGGATCGCTTGAGCCCAGGAGGTTGAGGCTGCAGTGAGCCATGATGGTGCCACTGCATTCCAGTGTAGGTGATGGAGCGAGAGCTCGTCTCAAAAAAAAAGAGAGAAATAAGCTAACTGTTGTGGTAAGGGGTGACATTAATATTATTCACACATCCTTTCTCTGGTGCGGATTTCTCAGGGTTGTGCTGAGACCTCCAGTATTTACAGCAGCTGATAGTCACTTAGAATATTCTGTCTGTGCCCTCACTGAGCAGGTAGTGACACAGGTTAAGAAGAACAGAAGCAAATAAAATGGATGTGTCCTCACCCAAGACATTACTATCTGAGAAGACTGTTTCAAATGAATAAATGAAACTGTGGGCATGAGAACCACAGGTGAATTCAACCTGGGCCAGTTTGCTTAAAAGGAAAATGTATTTGTACAATACTTAGGATTTAGATACAGATATGACTGTTTGGGTCAATGGTGTGGGCTGGGGTTGAGAGGGGGTTTCAGATGGATAAATGGGACATGTCCATCCCCAGGCACAGAGCACATGATGTCAACCCTGAGCTATGAAGGTCAGGGAGTGACTGAAGCCAAGGAGAGAGGAGAGCTCACATTTAATTAGTTGTTTTACACAACAGTTTGCTAAGGTAAAAATAATAGTTTGTTAGCATGTTTGTTTCTCAACAGAATAATTATTTACCAGTTGGTTTTGTTTGCTTGTTTGTTTTTGAGACGGAGTCTCGCTCTGTCGCCCAAGCTGGAGTACAATGGTGCGATCTTAGCTCACCACAACCTCCACCTCCTGGGTTCACGCGATTCTCCTGCCTCAGCCTCCTGAGTAGCTGGGATTACAGGCACGCACCACCATGCCCAGCTAATTTTTAGTATTTTTAGTAGAGACGGGGTTTCACCATGTTGGTCAGGCTGGTCTTGAACTCCTGACGTTGTGATCTGCCCGCCTCAGCCTCCCAAAGTGTTGGAATTGCAGGTGTGAGCCACCGCGCCTGGCCTTGTTTTGTTTTTGAGGAACCAAGATCTCCCCGTGTTGCCCAGACTGGTCTCCAATTCCTGGGCTCAAGCAATCCTCCTGCCCCTGCCTCCTAAAGTGCTGGGATTACAGGCCCAAGGCACCATGCCCAGTCCATTTACCAGTTTCCAAATCCCTATTAAATATCTTATATATATTTTTTCCACTACTTTATATATAGACACAGGAAGAAACCCAAGATTGTCAATTTTTTATTCAAACAGTGGAATTGAGGGTCTTTGTTTCAATTAACTCATCAGTGCTGGTGAGAAGCAAGTGAAGACTCTTACAGAGGCCATGGGGAACATTCCCTTTTGCCCTCTGATGTTTTGCTGAATTAATTGGAGAGAAGGCAGATTAATTGGAGGAAAAGCATACAAATTTTATTTAACGCGTATATCCAGGAAGCTTCAGAATGAAGACCCAGAGATACAAAGGAAATTGTTCATTTTAATGCTTAGGCTTAATGTATGGACAGCCGTGTAGAAATGTGATTAGATTGAAAGAGTATGATCCAATGCTAACAGACTGAGTGGGGAAACCCAACAAGGCCTGTGTGTCTAGATTGTTCTTGGCCTTTCTGAGCATGCATTCCTTCCTTCTCAGTATGAGGCAGGACCCACTCTGAAATGGAGGGTCTTATGACCTACAGCAAGCTTGTCCAACCCATGGCCCAGGAAGGCTTTGGATGCAGCCCAACACAAATTCATGATCTTTCTTAAAACATTAGGAATTTTTGTTTTTGCTATATATTTTTAAGCTCATTAGCTATTGTTAGTGTTAGTGTATTTTATATGTGGCCCAAGACGATTCATCTTCTTCCAATGTGGCCCAGGGAAGCCCCAGGGCCACCCTGACCTGCAGTCAAACAAAGTTGGACAGTTAATTTGCTTATGGCCAGTTTTTACACAGAAAGGACAATGGAAAGTTAGAGTAGTATGTTTTGATTTTATGCCTGGATTTAGGGGAAAAGGGTTCTGGATTCTACGACCCACTTTGGAGAAGAGAGATTCTAGTTTCTAAGGCTAGCCTTGGATAGAAGAGTAGGACTAAGAGTCCCAAGAATGGGACTAAGTTTTTCCTCTGCCCTCTGTGGAGAAAAAACTTTTGCTTCTGAGGCTTCTTCCAAGGTCTTCTTTTTGGGGTATTGTTTTCTGAGCCCCAGCCACCTGGAGTGGGCAGCAGAGTTTGAACCAGTGACTCTACACCGAGCCCATTCTGAAGGCTGCAAAGGGAGAGAAATGGAGCCCCCTTTGGTGCTTCCTCAGCAGCCTGCGCACGCCTCCACGTAGCACGAAGCTGCACATAGAATCAGAATTTACCATTTATGTGTTAGGAAAATCTGGGTAAAGGGTTTATGAATTTGACAGTTTATGTAGGTCAGTACCTTAAAGTAACCTTTTTTTTTTTTTTTTTTTTTTTTTTGAGACCAGGTCTCACTCTGTCACCCAGGCTGGAATGCCGTGGCACGATCTCGGCTCACTGCAACCTCCGCCTCCCAGGTTCAAGTGATTCTCCTGCCTCAGCCTCCCGAGTAGCTGGGATTACAGGTGCCCGCCACCATGCCCAGCTAATTTTTGTATTTTTAGTAGAGATGTGGTTTCACCATGTTGGCCAGGCTGGTCTCCAACTGGTGACCTCAGGTGATTCACCCGCCTCGGCCTCCCAAAGTGCTGGGATTGCAGGCGTGAGCCACCGCCCCGGGCCCTTAAACTAACTTTACATGAAACTTTCCTGTTGGTGAAAATGCACATCTTGACGGTGGGGGCATTTCCACACTCTGCAGAGGGCACAGGGAAGTATGTTGAGCTCCCAGAGTCAAATCCTTCAGTGTCCCAGTCTCATCACCAGGTTTTGGTTCACTCTGGGGTTCCATTTCAACAGTTAAGAGTGGCTGCCAAGTTTGGGCATATGTTTAGCCTCCTGAATGGGACGTTTGCTGAAGTATGAGGGCAGCAGGCTGCTTATCTGCACTAGTTCAAGTTTTTGCTTTTTTTTTCCTGTTGTATTTTTGTTTTGATTCATTCATTCATTTATTGCTGCCGTGTGATTTCAGTTCTTCCACACATTTGATATTTTAATACCGTTCTTGACTTGTTTTTATTTCCTTGGCTGAAAATGAGCAGATTGAGAGGCAAGGTGAGAGAGGAAGGCTTAACCTTGCCGCCAAGAGTCTCATCCTCAAATCCTGATGCCCGGTGGACATCAGGCCACCCTCCTGCTGCAGTGTGGCCTGTGTGGCCTTGGGCTCCCCTCTGCTCTGAGGCCAGGGGAATGGCTCCACTGGACTGTGAGTCTGGGATTCCCTGCAAAACACTTGTGACTCCTTCTCCAGGAGGAAAAGGCAGTAAGGGCCTGCTGAGTACGGGCAGGTAATTCTGCATAAATGCAAATGTTCCCTGGGAGGGATCAGGACAGCACAGGGAGGAAGCCTGCCCTGTCAAGGGCTGTGCCTGGAACTCGTTCATCCCGCTCGACTCAGCACTGTGTGATCGCTTCTTCTGTCACTCAGTGCCCAGGGGGCGGGACCTGGAGCCCTATCCAATCAGAGCTATGGGGCGGGGTCGTGAGAACTGTCAATCAGGCGCACGGCTGGCAGTAGGGTGCCAGGTTCAAAGAGCCCGCGGCGTCTTCACGCCCCTGCGCTCAGCTCTAGACTCAGTCGCTCGCTGAGAGACGCCCTGGAACGTCTGTGTAGCCTCAGTCGCTGAGAGACGCCCTGGAACGTCTGTGGCAGCCTCTGTCACAGTGGGACCCGCACTGGCAGCGGGAGGCAGAGGGAGGACCCTGGAACATCCCGGAAGCCGGGAAATGGTGCGTGTGCAGGGTCAGGCGTCCCAAAAGTGGGAAAGAGCTGGTTGGAACCGTCCAGAACCGGCCGCGGCGAACGTGGGCCTCCCCCGCCGTCAGCTCCGGGGTCTGGGACCCGAGTCCCCCTGGCGCAGCTCGACCCTCGGTCCCCTCAGCCACAGAGTGAGGCTGAGCTGGCAGCCGGGACCCCGGGCGTCCTATCCGGTCCCTGCGCGGCAACTGCGGTCCCGGCCTCGGAGCCCTGTCTGGGCAGCTCCTCGCCCGCAGCCCCCCATCTCCCCAGGATTGGGGGAGGGTCACGGAAGGGTCATGGAGGGAATCCCCACTCGTGTGTGGGGTTCGTGCCTGTGAGGAGCTGTGATCTGTGGGATCCTCAGTCTCTGTTTTCTTCCTAAAGGGGACCGGTGTCCCTCTGAGTCTTCAAAGGTTTGGGAAGGCAGATGTCTAATGCTTATCTTGTCCCCTCACCCTAACTCCTGGGGCTGGCAGTAAATCCCTAGATTTCCAGATTTTGCCCTGCATTTCATAAAGCTGACTTCCTCTCCGTCACAGGGGAACGACTGCTATCTGGGCCGGTAACGCCGGGGTAAAATAATTTTTACTAAGACAGTTGTAGGTAAAGTTATTAGCGAAAGAAGCAAAATCCATCGCAAGGGAGGCCATGGGAAGCCTGCAGGAGAGAAGCAGAGGCTTGTGGGTGATTTTATAGAATGGAACTTGGGCTGATTGATAGTGCCAAGGCAGCAGAGTGCCAAGGCAGCAGGGAGCTTAACTTGCATTCCTCTGTCAGCCCCGGTGTTTGATAAATTGAGGCGTTTGATGGTGAGCAGGAAGTCTGTGAATTAAGTGCGTTATCTGGGCAAGAAGGCCATGTCTTGGGCCATAAAGAAAGTTAGACATGTACAGGAGTTCCAGACCAGCCTGGCCAAGATGGCGAAACCCCTTCTCTACTAAAAATACAAAAATTAGCCAGACGTGGTGTCACATGCCTGTAATCTCAGCTACTCGAGAGGCTGAGGCAGGAGAATCGCTTGAACCCATGAGGCGGAGGTTGCAGTGAACTGAGATCACGTCACTGCACTCCAGTCTGGGCCGGCGACAGAGAGAGACTCCGTCTCAAAAAAAAAAAAAAAAAGAAAAAAGAAAAAAAACAAAGTTAGACCCGTAACTTACCTGCATTCTCTTTTGTTTAAATTCTCTGCACATGAAGATAGGCAGATTTATAGCTTTTTTGTTTTATCTTTCTGCTTTCCCCTGTTCCCTTTAGCCTTTCCCTAATTAAGACTTTAATTTAACAGCCTTTTCCCCTGTTCCCCTTAGCCTTTTCCCTAATTAAGACTCTACACTGTCCTCAGTTCACAGCAACATAATGAACTCTTTGTCCCCCAGGCTGTATTTCAAACAAATACAGTATTTTAACTGTCATTTTTTTCCCCAGGTAGCAATATATGATTCTTTTTTAGAAGATATGATTTTTGTTTGTGAATATTTCATATGTGAGGATGCAGAGAATAACCACCTGTCAGGTGGTTTAACCACTCTGCTGTAAAAACCAACAAGAAAAATGTCTGCGCCTCTTCTCCTTTTATCTTCTCTGGGCACAGGCACCTTATCTGGAAGTGTTTGGGTTGAGGTTCCCCTTTGGAAACCACCAGCTGATGAGTCCTGAGCCCACACTATCTTTTCCTGGTACTGGCTTTGATAACTGCCTGGGACTGGCACCAAGTGGATACAGCAGCCTTGTCTTGGAGGGTAGTGAATATCAGCCCCTGGGCCACTCCTCCCAGAGGACAGCCTGAGATGCAGGGCTGGGGCCTCCCAGGGGAAGAGCTGGATACCCTGTGGTGGGAGGATTCCCCTGGTATCCTCTTGTAAAAAGTTAAGCCCTGGGATACTCAGTTTTCTCACCCCAAGCCCAGTTTTCATTTCTTGGAGACATGGCTGGTCAGCCACTCAGGTGCTGGTATTGAGGGGGTAAAATAGAAATGATTCCCATCCTTTGAATTCTGTTAGACTAGTGAAGCAAGAAAAACTATCCGAAAGGTCAAAGATAACTTACCCCAGTGAGGTGGTGTAAGAGCCTGAAAGTACACAGTGCGGTATCTGGTGGTTGGGGGTAGGGAGTAGTCACTGAGCACTTCAGTGAGCAGCACGGGGGTGGGGGATGTCCCAGGTGACAGGAGGACCTGACCTGACCCTTGAATGAGACTTGTCTGTGTTCCAGTCAGCACTGCCCCTCCCTGAGGTTGTCAACCTTGAAAAGATTTGTTCACTCATTTCTGTTCAGTTTTTTCTTAGCTGTAAAATGCATTCTATCATTAGAGATTGATAGAGAAGATGTTTCTAAAGGGACAAGAAAGAGTTGGATTTCAGAAAACAAATTACATATATCTAGTCCTATATGCCTTTAAAAAATTCTTGTTTACTTTTCTTTTCTGTCGTACTACACAGAGCCTGTGTAGTAAGTTTTCCAGGTCTGTTTTTTTGTTGTTGCTGTTGTTTTGTTTTTAATTGGATCATCTCAATAGAATTTCAGGGCTTAGCAGAGAAAATGCCATCAGGGAAAATAAATTGGAAAAAACTTTCTTCCATGATGACTACAGAAAAATGAATACTGTCTCAAGGCTCTTAAAATACTTTTTCTGGTATGAGAAAGGTAGAGAACCACATTCAAAATGGAAGCTGAGGTAATAGAGTGAATAAAAATTCATGAAAACAGGCAGGTCTGTAATTAGTTGATTATTGTATATGGAGGTGTTAGGCAGAAGATTGGTTATTCTTCTGGAGATAACAATTTGTCCCTGTTCTTTGGGTTGAAGTAGCTGTCATTTGTATCGCTGCCTGGCAATACCTGCTGTGCCATAGTTTCTCATACCTTAAATAGATGCTCTTGTTCCAGAATTTGCTGTCTTCCATTGGACTTTGTACCCATCACTTTGCTAACACCATACTCTCCTGATTACTGTAGACTTCAAAGCCTTGATGTGTGGTAGAGAAAGCGCTTCCCTGTCTTAATTACGTAGGATTGCTATACCAGATTGCCATAAACTACGTGCCTTAAACAACAGTTGTTCATTTCTCAGTAGAGGCTGGGAATCCAAGTTCAAGTAGGTCAGATCTCTGGTAAGGGCCTGCTTCCAGGTTTAAAGATGGCAGTTTTCCCCTTATGTCCTCAGTGGTGGAGATATGTCTGTAATGTCTGTCTATTTTTGGTACTAGGGCAATGTTGGCCTTATAACATCAATTAGAAAGTATTACCTCTGCCCCGGGCGTGGTGGCTCATGCCTGTAATCCTAGCACTTTGGGAGGCCGAGGTGTATGGATCATCTGAGGTCACGAGTTCAAGACCAGCCTGGCCAACATGGGGAAGCCCGTCTCTACTAAGAATACAAAAATTGGCTGGGCTTAGTGACAGGCGCCTGTAATCCCAGCTATTCGGGAGGCTGAGGCAGGAGAATTGCTTGAACCTGGGAGGCAGAGGTTGCAGTGAGCCAAGATGGTGCCATTGCACTCCAGCCTGGGCAACAAGAGCAAAACTCCGTCTCAAAAAAAAAAAAGAAAAGAAAAGAAAAGAAAGTATTACCTACCTACCTACTTCTGTTTTCTGGAAGATATTGTAGAGAATTGGGATCATTTCTTCCATAAGTATTTGCCATAAATCACCAGTGAAATCATCCTGGTCTGTTCCTTTTTCTTGGGATATTTATCATTTATTGATTCAATTTATTCAATAGATATAGACCTATTCATATTACTTGATGTTACTTTTATGAGTTTTGGTAGACTGTGTCTTCTATGAAATTGGTCCATTCCATGTAATTTATCAAATATGTGGGCATTCAGTTGTTCCTAATATTCTTTCATGGCACTCTTAATGTCCATAGGGTTAGTAGTGATGGCCTCTCTTTTTTCTGTGTTAACTATGCTGTCGGCTTATCAGTTTTACAGATCTTTTCAGAGAATCATCTGTTGGTTTGTTGATGTTTTCTTTTCTTTTTTTTTTTTTTTTTGAGATGGAGTCTTGCTCTGTCACCCAGGCTGGAGTGCAGTGGTGTGATCTCAGCTCACTGCAACCTGCGCTTCCCGGGTTCAAGTGATTCTCCTGCCTCAGGCTCCCAAGTAGCTGGGATTAACAGGCATGTGCCACCACACTCAGCTAATTTTTGTATTTTTAGTAGAGACGGGGTTTCACCATGTTGGCCAAGCAGGTCTCGAACTCCTGACCTCGTGATCCGCCTGCCTTGGCCTTCCAAAGTGCTGGGATTACAGGCATGAGCCAACGCGCCCAGCCTGTTGATGTTTTCTATTGATTTCTTGATTGCTATTTCATTAATATCTCTTCCCATTGTTATTTTCCTCTGCTTGATTTACATTAATCTTGCTATTCTCTAGTTTCCTAAGATGGAAAGTTAGAGCACTGATTTTAGAGTTTTACTTTCTAGAGAATGCATTCGATTCTTTAAGTTTCCCTCAAAGCACTGCCTTTTCTGCATTCCAGAGATTTTGCTAAAATATATCCTTTTTCATCAGCACCATAATATTTGCATTTCATGTGACAAGTTTCTTTGACATCTGTGTACTTGAGAAATTTGTGGCTTAAATCTCCACTTTTTTGAGACTTTTCAACTATATTTAAGTTATTGGTTTATAATCTGATTACATATTTTATATAATTTCTTTTATTTATTTATTTATTATTTATTTATTTATTTTGAGATGGAGTTTCACTTTTGTTGCCCAGGCTTAAGTACAGTGGCACAATTTCGGCTCACCGCAACCTCCACCTCCTGGGTTCAAGTGATCTCCTGCCTCAGCCTCCTGAGTAGCTGAGATTACAGGCATGTGCCACCATGCCCGGCTATTTGTATTTTTAGTAGACACGGGGTTTCTCCATGTTGGTCAGGCTGGTCTTGAACTCCCGACCTCAGGTGATCTGCCCTCCTTGGCCTCCCAAAGTGCTGGGATTACAGGCATGAGCCACCGCACCCAGCTCTTTTCTCTTTTTTAAGAGACAGGGTGGTGGTCTGTCACACAGGCTGGTAGTGTGGAGTGCCATGATCATAGTTCAATGCAGCCTCCAACTCCTAGGCTCAAGCAATCTTCTTGCCTCAACTTTCAGATTATCTGGGACTATAGGTGCATGCCACCACTCCTGGCTAATGTTTATACTTTTATAGAGACAAGGTCTCACTATGTTGCTCAGTCTGGCCTCAAGCAATCCTTCCACTTTGGCCTCCCAAAGTGGTGGCACCACAGGTGTGAGCCACCATGCCTGGCCTGGAATTTCTATTTTAAAACATTTGTTCTAGTGTGTGTTATGGCTCAGAATTTTGTGCATCTTGGTGACTATTTCATGTGGGCTTGAGAAGAATATATACCCTGCTAGTGTTGAATGAAGGATTCTGTAAACACGTATCAATGAAATCCAGCTGATTAATAGTGCTATTGATTTCAGCCATATCGTTAGTGATTTTCTGACAAACTGATCTGTGAATTATTGATAGAGATGAGTTGTTTCCCTCCAACTATAATTGTAGATGTGTGTATTTTGCCTTGTGGTTTTTGTAATTTTTTACTTTATGTATTTTGATCCTCTATTTTATGGGCATAAATATTAAGGATTATTATGTCTTCTTGTAGGATTGACTTTCCTTATCATTCTGAACTCACTATCTATGCCTTATAATTTTCCTTAATCTAAAACCCGATTTGTCTGAATGTAATAGAGCTGTTTCATGTTCCTTTTGATTAGGGCTAGAATGGCATATATTTCTCTACTTAATGTATCTCTGTCTTTCTGTTTAAAATGTTTTTTATGTACACATTGCTAGGCTTTGTATTTTTATTCTACTCTGCCAGTCCTTGTCTTTTTTACTGGTAAATATAGATAATACACATTTAATGTAGTAATTGACATAATTGAATTAATATGTATATGTATATTACTGTTTTCTATTTGTTGCACTTGTCTGTTTTTTCAACTACCTCTTTTTTTCTTTTTCTTTTCTTTTTTTTTTTTTTTTGAGATGGAGTGTCACTCTGTCGCCCAGGCTGGAATGCAGTGGCACGATCTTGGCTCACTGCAATCTCCGTCTCCTGGGTTCAAGCGATTCTCCTGCCTCAGCCTCCCGAGTAGCTGGGACTACAGATGCCCGCCACCACACCCAGCTAATTTTTATATTTTTAGTAAAGACGAGGTTTCACCATGTTGGCCAGGCTGGTCTTGAACTCCTGACCTTGTGATCCACCTGCCTCAGCTTCCCAAAGTACTGGGATTACAGGCTTGAGCCACCGCACCCAGCTCAACTACCTCTCTATTTCCGTCTTTGATTTTAGTTGAGCAGAATATGATTTTCTTATCCTATTAGTATAGTACTTGGTTCTTAATTTTTTTAGTGAATTCCATAGGATACATATTATACCATTCACAACTAATGGACCTTCAGTTTCAAAAAACACTATACTGGCTTCAGGGGTAGTGCTGGTATAATAAACTGTTTGAAACTTCTTCCTTTCATTCCATGAATCATCACTGTCATTCATTTGCACAATTGTGACCTATAACACCCAATACATTGTTGATACTATTATTTTGAGCAAACATATCTATTAGATCAAGAAAGTATAAGAAAAGTAAATCATTTTTTATGTCTTCATTTAATGTGATGTGAATTTCTAACTTGTGTCATTTCTCTTTTCTCTAATAAACTTCTTTTAACGTTACTGGCAAGGCAGGTATACCAGTCACACATTTTTTCCATTTCATCCCCTGACCTTTCCCGCTTCTGTGAATGGGTAGATTCAATTGTTTTATCTTGATTTTAGCTGATTTTTTTTTTTTTTGAGACAGAGTCTCAGTCGCCCATACTGGAGTGCAGTGGCACAATCTTGGCTCACTGCAACCTCCACCTCCCAGGTTCAAGCGATTCTCCTGCCTCAGCCTCCTGAGTAACTGGGATTACAGGCATGCACCACCACACCTGGCTAATTTTTGTATTTTTATTAGAGACGAGATTTCACCATGTTGGCCAGGCTGGTCTCGAACTCCCGACCTCAAGTGATCCGCTCCCCTCGGCCTCCCAAAGTGCTGGGATTACAGGCGTGAGCTGCCGCACCTGGCCTCTGATTTTTTTCTTTGGTTGTTCACATCTGTGGAACATCTATAGTGAAGTCTTCCTTTTGATTGTTGTACTTTGCAGCTGCATTAGTTCTATATTGCTCAATTTCTAATTTTTATTGATTTTTTAAATCTATTTTCTGATTTTCTTTTAGTTTTTTCTTCATCATTGCCTCACCTCATTGAACATATTTAAGACAGTTGCTTTAAAGTTTTTATTCATTCAAGAAGTCCAATGTTTGAGGTTTCTTAGAGATGGTTTATCTCAGTTCAGGTTTTTCCATTGATGAGCCATATTTTCATGTTTCTCTCTATTTTTCCTAATTTTGTGTGCATTGAAAAGTAGACATTTGCATCTGGAAATCAGATTCTGTCCCCTTCATTGTTTGCTGTTCTTGTTTGATGAAGGCTGTAACTATTCATTTGTTTAGTAACATTTTCAAAGTGTGTTTGCAGAGACTCTATTCCCTATCTGATGTACACACTGAAGTCTCTGTTCTTTAGCTTGTGTTCATTTGTGTTCTGATAGAGATTTCCTGAATGCTACAAGCTAAAAGTAAGAAGGAAGATGAAACATACAAAAACCTGACCTCTTCCAGTCTTTGTGGATGGCTCTTGTGGAGCAATTCCTTGAACACTTAGCAAGGCTGTTTAAAACTCTGCTGTAGCATTTACTTTCTGTTTTACTAAACCTAGAAACATGCCAGAGCTGAAAATAAGGGTCTCCTCACATCTTCTATGAAAATATGTTCTTTCCTATGAGTGCATGTGGCTCTCTCAGTTCCACAATATAATGGGTGCTTTTGAATACCCTAATTCCTGAAGGAAATTTTCTCTCCAGTTTTTTCCTTTTAGACTTAGGTGGGCTAATGTATGTCTTTTTTTTTTTTTTTTTTGAGATGGAGTCTTGCTCTATTGCCCAGGCTGGAGTGCAGTGGCACAATCTCGACTCACCACAACCTCTGCCTGCCAGGTTCAAGCGATTCTCCTGCTGCAGCTACTCGGTTACAGGCATGCGCCACCAAGCGTGGCTAATTTTTATATTTTTAGTAGAGACGGGGTTTCACTATGTTGGCCAGACTGGTCTCAAACTCCTAACCTCATGATCTGCCCGCCTTGGCCTCCCAAAGTGCTGGGATTACAGGCATGAGCCACCGTGCCTGGCCTTAATGTATGTCTTAATTACAGTCTGCTGTCTCAAGTAGTTGCAGGCTATTTGTGTATTTTGCACCATTTTTCAGCATTTCTTATGTTTGACCCTAACTGGATTCCATTGTAGATGAAATAGAAAAGACAGCCTTATTTCACACCTTCTGATCATCCCCATAATGACTGGAAAATACAAAGGCAATAATTTGTGAATAACATCTGATCTGCTTTCTCTAGAATTAGTGACCAGAGTTCCTCACTGGGATCTCAGGCTGCTGTCTTCAAGACTGGCGCAGAGGTGGGGTGTGATTGGGCCAAGGACAAATAAAAACTCCATAAGGGTTTTCTACCATTTTTTCACTTTTATTTATCTATTTGTTTATCTCTTTATTAATGGTATGGGGTGCTGAATATTATAGTTTCAAAATCCTTTATCTGTTTTTGCAAAGCTGTCACTTTGTTGGTGAGAGGGTTTTTTTTTTTTTTTTTTTTTTTTCTTGAGACGGAGTTTCGCTCTTGTCAACCAGGCTGAAGTGCGATAGCGCAATCTCGGCTCACCGCAACCTCTGCCTCCTGGGTTCAAGCAATTCTCCTGCCTCAGCCTCTTGAGTAGCTGGGACTACAGGCATGCGCCATCACGCCTGGCTAATTTTGTATTTTTAGTAAAGACAGGTTTTCTTCATGTTGGTCAGGCTGGTCTTGAACTCCCGACTTCAGGTGATCCGCCCACCTCAGCCACCCAAAGTGCTGGGATTACAGGTGTGAGCCACCGCACCCGGCCAGTGAGGAGGTTTTTTAGCATTTTTAGACATTTGTGACTTCTATTAGATTTGATAATGTAATTTTATTTATTTTTTTGAGACAGAGTCTCACTGTATCACCCATGCTAGAATGCAGTGGCTCAATAATGGTTCATTACAGTCTTCACATCCTGGGCTCAGGTGATCCTCCCACCTCAGCTTCCCAATTAGCTGGGACTACAGGCACACCACCATGCCCGGCTAATTTTTTTGTATTTTTTTGCAGAGACAGGGTTTCGCCATGTTGCCCAGGCTGGTCTCAAACTCCTGGGCTCAAATGGTCCATCTGCCCTGGCCTCTCAAAGTACTGAGATTACAGGCATGAGCCATGGTACCTAGCTGGTAGTGAAATTTTTGGTTATTTAGGTCTGTTTTAGTTATTTAGGGAATTTTATAAATATTCATAAGAGATAACATTGAGTTCTTTTCTAATATTACATTCTCTCATTGACCTTCTTTCCTTCTCCTTTGACATTACCCAATAAGATGTTCAAAAATTTTCCATTGGGATGGTGAAATATCTTTTATTATTTATTTGTCATGCTTAACTACATTTGGTCTAGAGGAAACCAGTTACCAGCTTCCAGATTTTCTGTTAGTATAATCCCAGAGGATGTGCCGAATCCTCCAACTAATCAGTTGCAAAAAAACATGTGAAATTTTATCTACCAGGGTCTCTCATTAGAGACCCAGTGCCTATAGTGTTTTTTGGTGGCTGGCTTAGTCTGTTTTTTGTTGCTTAAGAATAATCTGAACCTGGATAATTTATAAGGAACAATATTTGTTTTTTACTGTTCTGGAGGCTGGGAAGTCCAAGGTTAAGGCTGGGCATCTGGTGAGAACCTTCTTGCTGGTGGGGACTCTGCAGAGTTCTTAGATGGCATAAAGCATTACATGGCAAGGGCCGGAGTGCCTAACTCGGGTCTCTTCCATCTTATAAGGACACCAGTCCCCTTCCTGAGATAACTTATTTATTCATTAAGCCATTGATCCATGTATACATTAATCTATTCATGAGCTCTGAACCTTCAAGACTCAATCACCTTTTCAATCCCCACCTTTTATTACTCCCACTTTGCGGATTAACTTTCAACATGTGTTTTGGAGGGGACAACCATTCAAACTCAGCAGTGGCTGATCACATACACTCCCTCTGCTGAGTTTGTAAGATTCTAAACTCTCAGAACATAGGAGTTAAGAAAATAATGTACTTTTTGCACAAACAGTTTAGATACAATCGAGCTCTGTTATTAGTTACATTGGTGGGGCACTCCCTAAATCCAGTTCCTAGACACCATAAAAGGTCCAACTTTGAGAATAAGAATTTGTAAGGACATGCAGTCTCAGGACTGCTAATGGTAGCTCTCTTCTGCACAATAGGTAGTAGGACTTTGTCAGTAGGACTTTGACAAGAACTACAACCTACTACAGAAATAGACATTAGGGTGATGCAGGCAATAAGACTCATTTAACTCACCAAGAAGAGACCTGTTCCTATTCAACTGTAACTTTACCAAACATGTTGAATTCTACCATCAAAATGGCTGTGTGAGAGAAAGTGAGTGTAAAGAGAATATGAGAGAGTTTACTACATCATTGAATAAATGCTTGGAAAGCACAGCATCATATGAAGTTTATGAACTGAGTATAGTTTTTTCAGTACTGTCACTCAACCTTTCTCCTCTATCTATGTGGGATGTTTCAGGACGCAGTGGCCTTTGAGGATGTGGCTGTGAACTTCACCCAGGAGGAATGGGCTTTGCTGGGTCCATCACAGAAGAATTTATACAGATATGTGATGCAAGAAACCATCAGGAACCTGGACTGTATAAGTAAGGATGATACCATGTCTTCACTTAATCAATTACAGACATTTGTTTCATGGTCATCAGTGCTGTTCAATGATTTGAAATATGGAAAGGGCATATGATGGACTCTTGAACAACACAGAATTCAGAGGTGACAGCCCTGAAAGAAGTTGTACATCCTCATCTAACTTTTTGTCCACCATAGCTTAAGCCGCCATTGACCAGCAGCCTTACTGGTAACATAAACAGTTGACTGGCTGGGCACGGTGGCTCACACCTGTAATCCCAGCATGTTGGGAGGCCAAGGTGGGCGGATCATGAGGTCAGGAGTTCGAGACCAGCCTGACCAACGTGGTGAAACCCCATCTCTACTAAAAATACAAAAATTAGCCAGGCGTGGTGGCGCATGCCTGTAATCCTAGGTACTCAGGAGGCTAAGGTAGCAGAATCACTTGAGCCCAGGAGGCAGAGGTCGCAGTGAGCCAAGATCACGCCACTGCACTCCAACCTGGGTGACAGAGCGAGAATCTGTCTCAAAAAAATAAAATAAAATAAAATAATAAAAAAAAGTTGATTAATCCATATTAATCCACATATTGTAAGTCATGTATTACATACTATATTCTCACAATAAAGTGAACTAGAGAAAGAAAATATTGATAGGAAAATCATAAAGAAGAGAAACTATATTTACTATTCATTAAGTGTATGATTAAAAGGTCTTTATCCTTATCTTTACATTGAGAAGGCTAAGTAAGAGGAGGGATTGATCTTGGTGTCTTAGGGGTAGCAGAGACTGAAGAAAATTCATATGTAGGTGGAGCTGTGCAGTTCAAACATGTGTTGTTCAAGAATCAACTGTAAGGCCGGGTATGGTGGCTCATGCCTGTAATCCCAGCATTTTGGGAGGCTGAGGTGGGAAGATCACTTGAGGTCAGGAGTTTGAGACCAGCCTGACCAACATGGTGAAACCCCGTCTCCAATAAAAATACAAACATTAGCTGGTTGTGGTGGCACGCATCTGTAGTCCCAGCTACTCGGAAGGCTGAGGCAGGAGAATCGCTTGAACCCAGGAGGCGGAGGTTGCTGTGAGCCGAGATCGTGCCACTGCACTCCAGCCTGGGCAACAGAGTGAGACTCTGCCTCCACCCCCAAACTGTACAGAATTAACTGTAGTTTGATGAACGAATCATGTATGATTGCAGTATACATAAAATCTTACTGTTTTATATAATTTTCTAATAATGTATAGTGATTTTCTGGGTCTCCCTTTTAGGAATGATATGGGAAGAACAGAATACTGAAGATCAGTACAAAAATCCTAGGAGAAATCTAAGGTAATTTGCACTCACAGGAGAAAGTTATGTTTCTGAAGTGATTCTCAGAGTAAAAGGAAATTTTAAAAACAAAGAAAATGAACAAGTCCAGCTTAAATTTATTTTTTAATTTTTTAAATTAACTTTTTTTTTTAGTCAGGGCCTTGCTCTGTTGCCCAGGCTGGAGTGCAGTGGCATGATCTTGGCTCACTGAAGACTCGACCTCCCAGGTTCATGTGACCCTCCCACCAGAGCCTCCTGAGTAGCCAGGACTACACGTGCAAGCCACCACACCTCGTTAATTTTTGTATTTTTTGTAGAGACAGGGTTTTGGCATGTTTCCCAGGCTGGTCTTGAATTCCTGGGCTCAAGCAATCTGCCTGCCTTGGCCTCCCCAAATGCTGGGATTACAGGTGTGAGTCACTGCACCAGCCTAAATTTATTTATTCTTAAAAAATTTCCTCCTAAAACATTTTATAAGAATTTACATATGAGGCTGGACATGGTGGCTCATGCCTGTAATCCCAGCACTTTGGGAGGTTGAGGCAGGCAGATTACTTGAGGTCAGGAGTTTGAGACCAGCCTGGCCAACATAGTGAAACCCTGTCTCTACAAAAGTACAAAAGTTAGCTGGGCATGGGGGTATGCACCTGTAACCCCAGCTGCTTGGGAGGCCAAGGCAGGAGAATTGCATGAACCCAGGAGGCGAAGGTTGCAGTGAGCCGAGATTGCGCCACTGCACTCCAGCCTGGCGACAGAGCAAGACTCCGTCTCAAAAAAAAAATTAGCCAAGTGTGTTGGTGCACACCTATGGTTCCAGCTACTCATGAGGCTGAAGTAGGTAGATCACTTGAGTTCAGGAGGTCAAGGTTGCATGAACCATCGTTCTGCTACTGCACTCCAGCCTGGTGACAAAGCAAGATACTGTTTCAAAAAATAAATTAATTAATTAAAAAGAAAAGGAAAAAAAAAAAACCCAGCTGGTGTTGGGTTGTCTTGCATAGCATTCAGTTCATTCATGTTCAAACAGGGCATGAAGCCTACACTTTGCATGGTAATGATAAAAAGGTATATCTGGCCAGGCGCAGTGACTCACTTCTGTAATCCCAGCACTTTGGGAGGCCAAGGGGGGGTGGATCACGAGGTCAGAAGTTCGAGAACAGCCTGGCCAGCATGGCAAAACCCTGTCTCTACTAGAAATACAAAATTAGCTGGGCGTGGTGGCGTATGCCTCTCTAATCCCGGCTACTTGGGAGGCTGAGGCAGGAGAATCGCTTGAACCCGGGAGGAAGAGATTGCAGTGAGCCGAGATCGTGCCGCTGCACTCTAGCCTGGGTGACAGAGCAAGACTCCATCTCAGGGAAAAAAAAAAAAAAGTACATCCAATACCTATTAATACACATAAATAAATAATCATTTAGAAACAACTATTTAGTAACGTACTACTCATTTTTTACAGATGTCATATGGTAGAGAGATTCAGTGAAAGTAAAGACAGTAGTCAGTGTGGAGAAACATTTAGCCTCATTCGAGATAGTATTGTGAACAACAGCATTTGTCCTGGAGAAGATCCATGTCAAAGCGCTGAGTGTGAAGAAGTCATAATGGGTCATTTATCCCTTAATAGCCACATCAGAGTTGATTCTGGACACAAACCACATGAGTATCAGGAATATGGAGAGAAGCCACATACACATAAACAACGTGGGAAAGCCTTCAGTTACCATCACTCCTTTCAGTCGCGTGGAAGGCCTCACACTGGAAAGAAACGCTATGAGTGTAAGGAATGTGGAAAAACCTTCAGTTCTCGTAGAAACCTTCGAAGACACATGGTAGTGCAAGGTGGAAATAGACCTTATAAATGTAAGTTGTGTGGGAAAGCTTTTTTTTGGCCCAGTTTATTACGTATGCATGAAAGAACTCACACTGGAGAGAAACCGTATGAATGTAAGCAGTGTTCTAAAGCCTTTCCTTTTTACAGTTCCTATCGAAGACATGAGAGAATGCACACTGGGGAGAAACCGTATGAATGTAAGCAGTGTTCTAAAGCCTTGCCTGATTCCAGTTCCTATATAAGACATGAAAGAACTCACACTGGAGAGAAACCATATACATGTAAACAGTGTGGGAAAGCCTTCAGTGTTTCCAGTTCCCTTCGAAGACATGAAACCACTCACAGTGCAGAGAAACCCTATGAGTGTAAGCAATGCGGGAAAACATTTCATCATCTTGGAAGCTTTCAGATACACATGAAAAGGCACACTGGAGATCGACCTCATAAATGTAAGATATGTGGGAAAGGCTTTGATCGTCCCAGTTTAGTTCGATATCATGAACGAATTCACACTGGAGAGAAACCCTATGAATGCAAGCAGTGTGGGAAAACGTTATCTCATAGCTCAAGCTTTCGAAGACACATGATAATGCACACTGGAGGTGGACCTCATAAATGCAAGATATGTGGGAAAGCTTTTGTTTATCCTAGTGTATGTCAAAGACACGAAAAGTCTCACAGTGGAGAGAAACCCTATGAATGCAAGCAGTGTGGGAAAGCGTTATCTCATAGCTCAAGCTTTCGAAGACATATGGTAATGCATACGGGAGATGGGCCGAATAAATGCAAGGTATGTGGGAAAGCCTTTGTTTATCCCAGTGTATGTCAAAGACATGAAAAGACTCACTGGAGAGAAACAATATGAATGTAAACTATTATAAAGCCTTCTATATTTCCAGTTCCCTTTGATATCATGAATAAACTTACACTGGACAGAAACCCTATAAATGTAAATGTGGGAAAGCCTTTCATAATTTTTATTCCTTTCAAAATCATGAAATATCTCACACTGGAGAGATGCTGTATGATATAAGGAATGTGGGAAAGTGATCGATTTTTTTTTAACACCATTGTCAACATAAAACAACTCACAGAGCAGAAAAACTCTGTGAGTGTAAAATATGTAGGGAAGCCTTCAGTCATTTTGGTAACTTAAAAGTACATGAGGCTGGGCACAGTGGCTCACGCCTGTAATCCCAGCACTTAGGGTGGGCAAATTGCTTGACCTCAGGAATTTGAGGCCTGCCTGGGCAAAATGGTGAAACCATGTCTCTACAAAAAATAGAAAAAGTAGCAGGTGTGGTGGTATGCCCCTGTAGTCCCAGCTACTTGGGAGGCTGAGGTGGGAAGATCTCTTGAGCCCAAGGGGTGGGGGTTGCAGTGAGCCAAGATGCACTGCACCCCAGCCTGGGCGACAGAGCCAGACCCTGTCTCAAAAAAAAAAAAAAAGTACATGAAAGGATTCACTCTGGAGAGAAGTCATATGAATGTAAGAAATGTAGAAAAGCATTGAGTTCTCTCAGGTCCTTGCATAGACATAAAAGGACTCACTGGAGAGATACTCTATAAATGTGTGAAATGTAGGGAAGTATTCTTTAATGTTATTTCATTTCAGATAGAAATAATTCTCATTGGAGATAAACCCTATGAATGTAAACACATAGTAAAGCCTTAATTTTAAGCCTCAGTTTCTTTCAAATACAGTTATCCCCTAATATTTGCAGGAGCGTGGTTCTACCACCCCCTGGGCATACATAAATCGACACATGCCAAGTCCTTTTTTAAAAATGACATATTTGGTACAAAATTACCCGGATGTGATGGCACATGCCTGTAATCCCAGCTACTCAGGAGGCTGAGGCAGGATAATCACTTGAATCCGGGAGGCGGAGGTTGCGGTGAGCCAAGATCGCGCCACTGCACTCCAGCCTGGGCAGCAAGAGCAAAACAACCTCTGTCACACACACAAAAAAAAAAAAAAAGGAAAGAAAGAAAAGACATATTTGGGTTAGACACAGTTGCTCACCTCTGTAATCCTAGCACCTTAGGAGCCCAAGACAGGTGGATCACTTGAGCCCAGGAGTTAGAGGCCAGCCTGGGTAATGTGGCAAAACCCTGTCTCTACAGAAGATACACAAATTAGCCAGGTGTGGTGACATGTACCTGTAGTCCCAGCTACTAGGGAAGCTGAGGTGGGAGGATCGCTTGAGCCTGGGAGGTTGAGGTTGCGGTGAGTCAAAATCACATCACTGCATTCTAGCATGGGCAACAGAATGAGACCCTGTCTCAAAAAAATAATAACAATAAAAAATATTTGCATGTAACCTACCCACATCCTCCTGTATACTCTAAATCATCTGTAGATTAGTTAAAATACATCATGCATCATAGAAGCTATGTAAATAGTTGTTATTATATTGTTTAGTGAATCATGATATGAGAAAGACCCTACACATATTCAGTACAGACCCACCCACATAATACATGTCACCTAGAGCATTATAAATCTTTTCTTTCAACACTCATAGATTGCTTTTGTTTAATGACCTGAAAATGTGTTAACATTCACCCAACAAAAGTGTAATGATGATTATTGCAATATCGTGCCTAATGTTGTGATGTGTTGAGTCAGCTAGATGTGTGACACCACAGATAAGCAGTGAGACCTCAGGCTAACTCGAATCTTGACAGGATGTCAACATGATCAACTATATTGGAAGAAACAGATTCTGACTGCAGATACTGAATTTTTGGAGCAGTCTAAATAATACTAATGTCAGAATCTGTTCAATTTGAGGACTGAAGATCTTTAAGCATTGAAGGCTGTCTTCATATTTGCAGATATTTAATTAGAAACATTGTAGGAAGCTAGTTTTTTTTTTTTTAAACTTTGCAACGTTTGTGAGCATGTAATCTCTGGGGTGACATGGAGGCTTTGTTCCATGGAAGAATCTTAATTGAGGATGATAATCTTTAACACTTGCGCCTTGTAGAAGCTGTAGGTGCCCTAAAACTGCTTCCAATTTTTCTTTTTTTTTCTTTTTCTTTTCTTTTTTTTTTTTTTTAAGACAAGATCTCACTCTGTCACCCTACAGTGCATGGCTCACTGCAGCCTCAACTTCCTGGGCTCAAGTGATCTTCCCACCTCAGCCTCCCAAGTAGCTGGGATTATAGGCACACATCACGATGCCTGGCTACTTTTTGTGTTTTTTGTGGAGACAAGGTTTCACCATGTTTCCCAGGCTGGTCTTGAACTCCTGGAATCAAGAGATCTGCCTGCCTTGGCCTCCCAAATTACTAGGATTACAGGGTGAGCCACCACACCCAGCCTTCAGATTTTTCAAGTATCAAAATCTATAGCACTGCTTCTTTTTTTTTTTTTCAGACAGAGTCTCACTCTGTCGCTGAGGCTGAAGTGCAGTGGTGCAATCTCAGCTCACTGCAGCCTCCACCTCCCAGGTTCAAGTGATCCTCCTGCATCAGCCACCTGAGGAGCTGGGATTACAATCTCAGCTCACTGCAACCTCCACCTCCCAAGTTCAAGTGATCCTCCTGCCTCAGCCACCCAAGTAGCTGGGAATACAGGCATGCACCACCATGCCCAGCTAATTTTTGTATTTTTAGTAGAGACAGGGTTTCGCCATGTTTGCCAAGCTGGTTTTGAACTCCCTGTGACTTCAAGTGATCTGCCTGCCTTGGCCTCTCAGAATGCTGGGATTACAGGCATGAGCCACCACTTATGGCACTGCCTCTTTATTTATTTATTGAGACTGAGTCTCACTCTGTCACCCAGGCTGGAGTGCAGTGGCACGATCTCGGCTCACTGCAAACACTGCCTCCTGGGTTCAAGCGATTCTCATGCCTCAGCCTCCCAAGTAGCTGGGATTACAGGTGCCCGCCACCACACCCAGCTAATTTTTGTATTTTTAGTAGAGACGGGGTTTCACCATGTTGGCCAGGCTGGTCTTAAACTCGTGACCTCAGGTGATTCACCCGCTTCGGCCTCCCAAACTGTTGGGATTACAGGCGTGAGCCACCACGCCTGGCGGCACTGCCTCTTCTAAATCTACATCATCATCATCATCATCTATAGAGGATTTCAGCATATCTTCTAGTTCCTTGTTAGTAAAGGTTTCTTCTTTGCTCTTCTGTGTGTTCCTCAACATTGTCTTCACTTGTGTCAGAGATAGCCTTCCCCACCAACTTTCCTTACATTTAAGATATTTCTGACTATCATATCGATAGTGCAGAAGCGCCTGAAATCATTGACTTCCTCACTCCATAATGGCTTCCAACACACTTTGGCTGTCTTGAGCTGTAGGGCATTTACAGCCTCCGCAATAAACACAATCGTTTCTGCAGTTGGGAAGCTCTTCCATAAATCCTGTATGACATGGTGAGGGTTATTATCAAGACAGCATAAATCCTTCCAAAAGTCCAGTGGGTGTAAGACACCTTGAGGCACTTGATGATGCTTTGATCAAGTAGTTGTAGCAGTGATGTAGTTTTAGGAGGCAGGAACATCACTTCCCCATTTTTATCGGCATAACAGAGAGAAGAGAGATGCCAGGAGCGTTGTCAGTTATGAGGAGGGCCTTGAGTGGCAGCCCCTTCTTTTCAAGGTATTCATTCACATCAGGAATGAAGCAGTGGTAGAACCAAGTCCTCGTGTGTTTTTGTCAGGACACGGGCAGGCAAGTTTCGCTTTTGTTTTCAAGGACCCACGGATTGTTTACTTAGTAGAGGAGGCTTTGTTTGATCTTATGACCTGCTGCATTGCCACGTAGCACCAGAGTAAGGCAATCTTTCCAAGTCATGAACCCCAAGGCTTTCTTTGTACTCTTGTGATGAAGGTACAATTGGGCATCCTCTTCCAGAACATGCCTGATTCATTACAATGGAGGATTTGCTCTGGAAGTTAGCCTCTTTTTTTTTTTTTTTTTTAATGAGTTTCATGAGCTTTTCTAGGAATGCTGATGTTTCCTTTGCATCAGCCAAGGCCAATTCTCCCATGTTCTTCAAGTTCTTGAAGCTCTAATGCATTGTGTAGCTAGCTAAGCCAGACCTTGCTGGCCTGAAACTCCTTCCTGTAGATCTTTTTTTTTTTTTTTGAGATGGAGTTTTGCTCTTGTTGCCCAGGCTGGAGTGCAATGGCGCTATCTTGGCTCACCACAATCTCTGCCTCCCAGGTTCAAGTGATTTCTTCTTCCTCAGCCTCCTGAGTAGCTGGGATTACAGGCATGTGCCACCACACCCAGCTAATTTTGTATTTTTAGTAGAGACAGGGTTTCTCCATATTGGTCAGGTTGGTCTCGAACCCCGTGATCCTCCCGCCTTGGCCTCCCAAAGTGCTGGGATTACAGGTGTGAGTCACCGTGCCCAGCCAAGGTAAATTCTATCTTATGTGAATTTTGGCACCATGAGAAAATGGCGGGGGGGGGAAGCCACAGAAGTGGGCCGGGTGCGGTGGCTCACGCCTGTAATCCCAGCACTTCGGGAGGCCGAGGCATGCGGATCACGAGGTCAGGAGATCGAGACCATCCTGGCTAACATGGTGAAACCCGTCTCTACTAAAAGAATACAAAAAATTAGCCGGGCGTGGTGGCAGGTGCATGTAGTCCCAGCTACTAGAGAGGCTGAGGCAGGAGAATGGCGTGAACCCAGGAGGCAGAGCTTGCAGTGAGCCAAGATCCTGCCACTGCACTCCAGCCTGGGCGACAGGGGTGAGACTCCGTCTCAAAAAAAAAAAAAAAAAAGCCACAGAAGTGCAAAGACTCCCTTGGACCATGAACTTACCAAGCAGCGCTGGGCCACATTCCTCCTTGTCTGCAGCACTAAGTTTGTTCATTTTCCTGTGTTCATGGAAGACCTGTTCCTACGCAGTCCCTGTTTCTCTCAGGCAACCTTTAGATTTGATCCCAGGCTTAGGTCAGCTACTGCCACACAGCTTTGTTCCCAATCTGAACCATACTCACTTTGGACCCGTGTGGTATGCTAACACCTTCCTGTTTATTTGAAGGGGTAATATTAATTTCTACTTCACAACATTCATAAACATAATTGAGGCCAGGCAAGGCGGTGGCCCACGCCTGTAATCCCAACACTTTGGGAGGCCAAGCCGGGTGGATCGCTTGAGTTCATGAGTTCAAGACCAGCGTGGGCAACATGGTGAAAGCCTGTCTCTACCAAAACAACAACAACAACAAAAGCCTGGGCGCAGTGGCTCTCGCCTGTAATCCCAGCACTTTGGGAGGCTGAGGCGGGCAGATCACGAGGTCAGGAGTTCGAGACCAGCCTGGCCAACATGGCGAAACCCTGTCTAGTAAAAATCCAAAAATTAGCCAGGTGTGGTGGCAGGTGCCTATAATCCCAGCTACTCAGGAGGCTGAGGCAGGAGAATCCCTTGAACCCGGGAGGCAGAACTTGCAGTGAGCTGAGATCGCGCCACTGCACTCCAGTCTGGGTGACAGAGCGAGACTCTATCTCAAAAAAAAAAAAAAAAAAAAAAGGCCGGGTGTGGTGTCTCACGCCTGTAATCCCAGCACTTTGGGAGGCCGAGGCGGGCAGATCACGAGGTCAGGAGATCGAGACCATCCTGGCCAACACGGTGAAACCCCATCTCCACTAAAAAAAATACAAAAAATTAGCCGGGCATGGTGGTGGGCGCCTGTAGTCCCAGCTACTCAGGAGGCTGAGACGAGAATGGCGTGAACCCGGGAGGCAGAGCTTGCAGTGAGCCGAGATCGTGCCACTGCACTCCAGCCTGGGCGACAGAGTGAGACTCCGTCTCAAAGAAAAAAAAAAGAAAAAGCAGGGCGTGGTGGCGCATGCCTGTGGTCCCAGCTGCTCAGGAGGCTAAGGCATGAGAATCGTTTGAGCCCAGGAGGTGGAGGCTGCAGTGAGCTGAGATTGTTTCACTGCACTCTAGCCTGGGTGAGAGAATGAGACCCTGTTTCAAAAACAAACAAACAAAACAAAACAAACACATAATTGAGCCACTTAAAAGTTTTGTTCCTGACTAATCTTCCAAAATATGAGAAAGTTAAGTAGCACAAACTAAAAATAATAAAGTGGAAAAGATCTCCCTAATAATAGAAAATTGAGAAAATGCAATGCAGAAAAAGAGATGATTAACCTGTAATTCTGTACCTGTGTTAGAGGTTGAAGAAATGGATAGAAAGAGATCATGACATGCACAAGAATTTCCTGATTTTAGTAGTAGAGTCAAGGTTGAAGTGGAAATATATAACATGGAAATTTCCACGTTAGATGAATGAGGGAAATCTTCTCCCCATATGTTATGGAATGAATGTACCTGTGTTAGAGGTTTTACCTGTGTTAGAGGTTTTACCTGTGTTAGAGGTTAGAAGGAATGAATGTAGAGTCAATTTTTTGTTTGTTTGTTTTTGAAACGGAGTTTAACTCTTGTTGCTCAGGCTGGAGTGCAGTGGCGTGATCTCGACTCACTGCAACCTCTGCCTCCCGGGTTCAAGCATTTCTCCTGCCTCAGCCTCCTGAGTAGCTGGGATTACAGGCGCATGCCACCATGCCCAGCTAATTTTTGTATTTTTTTTAGTAGAAACGGGGTTTCACCATGTCGGCTAAGCTGGTCTCAAACTCCTGACCTCAGATGATCCGCCCACCTTGGCCTCCCAAAGTGCTGGGATTACAGGCGTGAGCCACTGCGCCTGGCCCAAGTCAATTTTTAATTAAGGAAGCACAGTAAATTCTGCCTTCACCCAGTATATCTTTCCAATGTAGGATGATTTATTTTTCATTACATTTGTTCTAAGATTTTGTAGTGATTACTCTAGTGTTTGTCATGTAAATGTTAGTTTATCAAAATCAGGCTCAGTTCTCCAGTAATATGTGGTTAAATTTCAGTGATGTACACACATATTTGTCCTCTATAGCTCTATTATGTTTTTGCCTTTCTGGGGTACTTTGTTGCATATGTAACAACTCAGTGTTCCACATTCAACAATATATTCTTATAATTATTACTTTTCCACTGGTAGTCATTTAGTTCAGTTTTTATGGTGTTATTTATAAATATAATACATGTATGTTAAATTTTTCTATGTTGTAGGCCTAACAATCCATTACTACTTATTACTTTACACAATTGACTTGTAAATCCATAACAAGGAGAAAGGTGAAGAAACACATATTCAGTTTGTCTTTTCCACTTATATAGTCTTGCATGGTGCTCTCTGCTTTTTCCTGTGGATTTTGACAGACTCAATAATTTTTTTTTTTTTGAGATGGAGTCTTCCTCTATTGTCCCAGGCTGGAGTGCAGTGGCTCTATCTTGGCCACTGCAACCTCCACCTGCCGGGTTCAAATGATTGTCCTGCCTCAGCCCCCCAAGTAGCTGGGACTACAGGCGTGTGCCACCACACCCAGCTAATTTTTGTATTTTTTTTTTTTTTTGTAGAGACAGGGTTTTGCCATGTTTGCCAGGCTGCTCTCAAACTCCTGACCTCTAGTGATCCACCAGCCTCGGCCTCCCAAAGTGCTGAGATTACAGACGCGAGCCACCGCACCTGGCAACTTTGGTCTTGTAGGGCTGGTGTGCCAGGAAAAATTCTCTCAATGTTCATATTTTTAAGCCTAGGAAAATATTTGTTTTGTCTTTCATTTTGAACATGAACATTGTTGGATTCTGGTTAAGGTGTGTTTTGGAGCAGAGCATGATGAGGGACTGGGTGAGGGGCTTCCCAGTGAAAGGAGGAACAGAACCTAGCAAAAGCAAATATGTCTGTTTCACTCCAATCACTTATTACAATAACCTCTATTACTTAATATCAAAAAAAAAGCAATGATCAATATGTTGAAAGGGATGGAAGAAGCAAGTATGATGTTTGACCATAATAGCATTCATTGCTTGGGAAACTAAAGACAAAACAACTGGAAAACTATTAACACTGTTGGCCAGGTGTGGTGGCTCATGCCTGTCATCCCAGCACTTTGGGAGGCTGAGGTGGATGGATCGCTTGAGCCCAGGAGTTCGAGACCAGCCTGGGCAACATGGCGAAACCTCATCTCTACAAAAAATACAAAAAATTACCCAGGTCTGGTGGTGTGTTCCTGTAGTCCCAGCTACTCAGGAGGCTGAGATGGAAGGATTGCTTGAGCCTGGGAAGTCGATGCTGCAGTGAGCCAAGATTGCACCACTGCACTCTAGCCTGAGTGACAGAGTGAGACCCTGTCTAAAAAAAAAAAAAAAACCCAAAACTATTAACACTGTTAATGGATTCAATTTCCTGCTTAGAGATGAAACATATACGGTATTCACAGTAATATACACTATTGAATTAAAATCATATAACTTTCCAAGGACTAGGACTAATTCCATGTGCAGTATCTATCTGCAGACAACTTTAAGAGTTTCCTAATGGGCCAGGCACAGTGGCTAACGCCTGTAATCTCAGCACTTTGGGAGGCCGAGGTGGGTAGATCACGAGGTCAGGAGTTCGAGACCAGCCTGGCCAACATGGTGAAACCCCGTCTCTACTAAAAATACAAAAATTAGCCGGGCGGAGTAGCGGGTGCCTGTACTCAGGAGGTTACTCGGGAGACTGAGGCAGGAGAATTGCTTGAACTCGGGAGGCGGAGATTGTGGTGAGCCGAGATAGTGCCACTGCACTCTAGCCTGGGTGACAGAGCAACACTCCGTCTCAAAAAAATAAAAAATAAAAAATAAAGAGTTTCCTAATGAAATGACTTAAATGTCACCTCCATGAATGTATATATACAAACTTTGCTGGATTGAAGTTTCTTCATCCCAACCCCTGCTGTCTAGAAATGCTATAAATGTAAGTAATTTAGGAAAATCTGATTAAAATTAAGACATGTATAATGCTCCAGAGAATTTGCAATAGGAAAGAAATGAAAACGTATAACTCTATTCTCTTTCTCTTTACCAGTGCCTCATTCTTAACATGAATCTACACTATGAATCCTACTTCTTACTTTCATACAAAAATTGATGTGAGATATTTTTGCAAGTTTTCTTCACATAAAGGTTCATAAGTCGAATAGTGTTTTCTTAATAGAAGCAGTTAATAAAATTTCTTTCCATTTTGTATTCTCTGGGATTCTTGAGTTGCTTGAAGTATATTTCTTTCTTTTTCTTTTCTTTTTTTTTTGAGACAGAGTCTCACTCTGTTGCCCAGGCTGGAGGGCAGTGGCGTGATCTCGGCTCACTGAAACCTCTGCCTCCCGGGTTCAAGCGATTCTCCTGCCTCAGCCTCCTGAGTAGCTGGGATTACAGGTGCCCGCCACCATGCCCAGCTCATTTTTGTATTTTTAGTAGAGACAAGATTTCACCATGTTGGCCAGGCTGGTCTTAAACTCGTGACCTCGGGTGATCCACCCGCTTCGGCCTCCCAAACTGTTGGGATTACAGGCGTGAGCCACCGTGCCCAGCATTGAAGTGTATTTCTAATAGACACTTAGGTTTAATTGCCTCTTCTTTTATTTTTCTGTTTAGAGATAGGGTCTCATTTTGTCTCACCAGGATAGAGTACAGTGGCATGATCATAGCTCACTGTAACCTCGAACCTGGGCTCAGGGCATCCTCTTGCCTCAGCCTCCCAAGTAACTGGAACTAGAGGCACACCCTGCCACGCCTTGCTAATATATATATACGTGTATATATATATACACACACATACATATATATATACATATATATATACACATACATATATATGTGTATATATATGTGTGTGTGTGTATATATATATATATATATATATATTTTTTTTTTTTTTTTTTTTTAGAGATGGGGGCCTCACTTTGTTGCCCAAGCTGGCCTCTAGCTCCTGGCCTCAAGCGATCCTCCAACCTAAGCCTCTGAAAGTGCTGGGATTGCAAGTGTGAGCCACTGTGCCCAGAAATATGTTTAATTCTTAGATGGTTTTAAAATTGCTGTATAGCTAAAGAGCTTATGAAACATGACATTTTGGTGTTTGTTGTGACTTTACCACTGGCCTCTTGGAGCAAAGAAAACCCTTCTTCTCCATCACTTTCAGCCCATCCCCGAGCAGTATGGGCTGGCTGGCAAGGAGGACCCACATACTTTTGCTGCCTGCTGGTGCACACGCTTCCCTGAATACCAAACTCCCAGACTGAGCACATGGGTGGCCATGTGCAAGCGCTACAGCCTCAGCACATTGCTGAGCACACATGCATCCTCCTGATCAGTTCCCGTGAGTGGCCATTCCTGCACTTCAAGAGCAGTGGGCCAGGACATAGCAGTGCTGGGAAGGCGGCCTCGCCCTCGCCACATCATCTTCTTAAGGATGTCTCACTTGTCTCCTCTCCCAGTTCCAGCCCCAGCCCCAGCCCCTTGCTGCCCCCACCTGAGATGTTCTGTTAATTCAAATACCCTAGTGGTGAGGAATATGCAATACCCTTATGGCTGGGTCAGGTTAAGGGGGAAACTTGTAAGACGCACTTCTGAAATTTCACGGGGAACTATAGATCCTCAAATTCAGCTTCTGGCTCAGCAGATTAGGGACAGAGTGTGAGAGTCCACGTTTCTAACTCGCTCCCACGTGTCATCGTGTTGGTCCATGGAACATAGAGTGCTCAGGTAATAAAAGACGTGGTTAGATAGGCAGTAAAGTTACACTTTTATAGGATAAGTTACGCTTTTAAAGATAGGTTACACTTTTATAGTTTTTTTTTTTTTTTGAGACAGAGTCTTGCTCTGTCGTCCAGGCTGGAGTACAATGGCACGATCTCGGCTCACTGCAACCTCTGCCTCCCGGGTTCAAGTGATTCTCCTGCTTTAGTTTCCCGAGTAGCTGGGACTACAGGTGCCTGCCACCATGCCCAGCTAATTTTTGTATTTTTGGTAGAGACGGGGTTTTACCATATTGGCCAGGCTGGTCTCAAACTCCTGACCTTGTGATCCACCAACCTTGGCCTCCTAAAGTGCTGGGATTATAGGCGTGAGCCATCGCGCCCGGCCGTTTATGGGATTTTGAGCAGAGAAGTGATGTTTGGTTTGTGTTTGAAGAAGCTTACTCCTGCTGGTGGGCAGAGAATAGATGGTAGAGGGGACCTGGGAGACCAGCTTAAAAGCCATAGTTGTAGTTTGAAGAGAGGCTGTGCTGGCGTGGGTTTGGGTAATATTAGTGGATATCGACAGAAGGTTGTGTATTGAGAAGTCTAGTTATGAACCCAAGCTGTGTTTTTGGAGCCGGGTTCCAGGGTGGGGAAAGGCCCCATCAATCCCACTGTTTAGCAGTTCTGGACATAAACAAAGGATCAGTGGTGATCGTCTTCAGCGCAGTAGAGAAGAGTGTGTGGCTCTAAAATATGATGGTGGAGAGGGTTCTCACACTAGTCTGAGAGACTAAGGGAGGCTTCCCCAGTGAGACTAATTCTCAAAGCCTGAAGGTGGCCAGGCGCAGTGGCTTACGCCTGTAATTCCAACACTTTTGGAGGCTGAGGTGGGCTGATCACTTGAGGTCAGGAATTCCAGACTAGACCAACCTGGCCAACATGGTGAAACTCTGCCTCTACTAAAAAACACAAAAATTAGCCAGGTATGGTGGCACATGCTTGTAATCCCAGCTACATGGGAGGCTGAGGCAGGAGAATTGCTTGAATCTGGGAGGCAGAGGTTGCAGTGAGCCGAGATCACGCCACTGGACTCCAGCCTGGGCGACAGAGCAAGACTCGTCTCAAAAAAAACAAAAAAAAATTCCTGAAGGTTGACTAGGAGTTACACAGGCAGGGGCAGCTCCCGTAGGATTTCTGATGGAGTGAAGGAGAGAAGAGAGGCAAGGATGAATCCTATTTTCAGAGCCCCTGGGTGCTTCCCCTCACTCAGAGGACCAAGGCCAGGGGAGATGATTGGAGGGGAAATGAAGGGTTATGTTTTGTAATCACTCATGGCATGTTTGAGTCAAACAAGCGAAGTGTTGACCAGGGTATTGGATCTGGAGCCTGAGAGAAAGATCTAAATGAAATTTGGAAAACATTATCATATGGATGCTATTTGATGCCCTGGGTCCAGCAGAAGCCACCTTGTTTCAGGGTAAGGGGCAAAGTGTAGCAGAAGACAAGTGCTCAGGAGGAGACCAATGGCTGTCCACCTCTGAGGTTAGCAGGAGGAGCAGCCTGCAAGAGACTGGGCAGGCCAGTGACTTAGGAGGAGAATGAATTGGGTGTCCCTTCCTGGAATCCTCCAGGAGAAGGTATTTCAAGATGGGAGAGTGGTCACCTATGTCACAGGCCACAGAGAGTTTGAATGAAACAAAACTGGATTGACGGGCGCAGTGGCTCATGCCTGTAATCCCAGCATTTTGTGAGGCCGAGGCGGGCAGATCACTTGTGGTCAGGAGTTCAAAACCAGCCTGGCCAACATGGTGAAACCCCATCTCTACTAAAATATACAAAAATTAGCCAGGTGTGGTGGCAGGCGACTTAATCCCAGTTACTTGGGAGGCAGAGGCAGGAGAATCATTTGAACCCAGGAGGCAGAGGTTGCAGTGAGCCAAGATCGAGCCATTGCACTCAAACCTGGGGGATAAGAGTGAGACTTCTCTCAAAAAAAAAAAAAAAAAAAAAAAAACAGAAAAAAACCCGGATCAACGGCAGCTTTTGGCAAGCATTTGATCACTTTAGGCTTTGATAAGAGCTGATTCTTTATTCAGGGGAATAACTTGTATTGAAATGTATTTCAGGCTGGGCACGGTGCCTCATACCTGTAGTCCCAGCACTTTGGGAGGCTGAGGCGGGCAGATCGCTTGAGGCCAGGAGTTTGAGACCAGCCTGGCCAACGTGGCAAAACCTCATCTCTTCTAAAAATACAAAAAATTAGCCAGTGTGGTGGCGCATGCCTGTAATCCCAGCTACTCAAGAGGCTGAGGTGGGAGAATCTCTTGAACCCAGGAGGCAGAGGGTGCAATGAGCTGAGATCGCACCACTACACTCCAGCCTGGGCAGCACAGCAAGACTCTGTCTCAAAAAGAAAAAAGAAAAGTCAAGAAGTGTATTTCAAATAGATCTTCAAGATGTTGCCTAGGGCAGGGGTCCCTAACCCCTGGGCAACGGATCAGTAATAGGTCCATGGCCTGTTAGGAACTGGGCCACTCACGTTACTGCCGGAACTCTGCCTCCTGTCACATCAGCAGTAGCATTAGATTCTCATAGGAGCACGAACCCTGTTGTGAACTGTGCATGTGAGGGATTTAGGTTGCACGCCCCTTATGAGAATCTAATGCCTGATGATCTGTCAGTGTCTCCCGTCACCTCCAGATGAGACCATCTAGTTGTAGGAAAACAAGCTCAGGGCTCTCACTGATTCTACATTATGGTGAGTTGTATAATTATTTCATCATATATTACAATGTAATAATAATAGAAATAAAGTGCACAATAGATTTAATGCAGCTGAATCCTCCCAAAACCGCACCCCTCCCCCGCAGTCTGTGGAAAAGTTGTCTTCCATGAAACTGCTCCCTGCTACCAAAAAGGTTGGGGACCACTGTCCTAGGGGGCAGTGATACCCTTGGAGCTGCCAAGTTTAACCACTGGATTTCTTTTCTAGTTTCACAGAGGAATCACCATTACTGACTTTTTTCATCATGGTAATGTGAACGTCTATTTTTGTCTGAAAGTTTTTATATGTATTTAAATCAACACGGTAATTGACGACTTAATTGCTGCAGTTTGTAAAAACATACAAAGTCTGTAAGTGAACCCCTGACACCCACTTAGTTCGACACACTACACCCCCTTCTTTTTCTTTTTTTCTTTTTTTCTTTTTGAGATGGAGTCTTGCTCTGTTGCTCAGGCTTGAGTGCCATGGCGCGATCTCGGCTCACTGCAACCTCCGCCTCCTGGGTTCAAGCGATTCTCCTGCCTCAGCCTCCCGAGTAGCTGGGATTACAGGTATGCACCACTATGCCCGGCAAATTTTTGTATTTTTAGTAGAGATGGGGTTTCTCCATGTTGGCCAGGCTGGTCTTGAACTCCTGACCTCGTGATCCGCCTGCCTTGGCCTCCCAAAGTGCTGGGATTATAGGCATGAGCCACCACACCCGGCCTGAGATGGAGTCTCACTCTGTCGCCAGGCTGGAGTGCAATGGTGCAATCTCGGCTCACTGCAGCCTCTGCCTCCCGGGTTCAAGCAATTCTCCTGCCTTAGCCTCCCTAGTAGCTGGGACTACAGGCATGCGCCACCATGCCCAGGTAATTTTTGTATTTTTAGTAGAGATGGGGTTTCACCATGTCTCGATCTCTTGATCTCGTGATCCACCCACCTTGGCCTCCCAAAGTGCTGGGATTACAGGGGTGAGCCACTGCGCCTGGCCCTACACCCGCCTTTTTTTTTTTTTTGAGATGGAGTCTCGCTCTGTTGCCCAGGCTGGAGTGCAGTGGCGCCATCTCGGCTCACTGCAAGCTCCGCTTCCTGGGTTCATGCCATTCTCCTGCCTCAGCCTCCCGAGTAGCTGGGACTACAGGCGCCCACCACCATGCCCGGCTAATTTTTTGTATTTTTAGAGAGACAGAGTTTCACCATGTTAGCCAGGATGGTCTTGATCTCCTGACCTCGTGATCCGCCCTCCTCGGCCTCCCAAAGTGCTTGGATTACAGGCATGAGCCACCGCGCCCAGCCCGCTACACCCTCTTTTAATGCCTATCTGCAAACAACAAAATATGACATTATTCCAGGAGCAGTTAATGTGAGGAGTGAGGAGTGGAGCATCTTACAGAGCAGTAGTTTATTTTTCAGGGAAGGAACAATGTCCTGTGATCTTAGACTGTGTGTGTTTGTGTGTGTGTGTGTGTGTGTGTGTGTGTGTGTGTGTGTGTGTGTCTGTGTCTGTGTCTGTGTGTAGTTCCCTAAGGAAATAGTATCATTTATTCATTAGTTATACTCAGACATCATTTTTTTTTCTTATTTTCCTAACATGCCCACATGTCGCGGCAGAAAACATTACAGTTTTTACAAGTTGACTAAAGATTTTGTTTCATCTAATGACATCTGATGTTTGGCTCCTTTCTTCTTAGCCGTGGGTTCCAGCTTCCAGTTCATAATGCTTTTATATCTGGTACTTCCACTTTATAAAAATATGGGGAAATCCTCATGTTTTCAAATTAAAAGTCAGATGTCTTATCTTTTGATTGAAGAGTTTAATGCATTAACATTTAAAGTAATTTCTGATAAGGAGGATCTTCCGGCATTCTGCTGTTTGTTTTCTGTATTCCTTATAGCTTTTTTGTCCCTCATTTCCTGTATTACTGTGTTCTTTTGCTTTTAGTTGCTTTTTGTAGTGAAACATTTAAATTTCCTTCTTATTTTGTTTTGTGTATATGCTCTTGCTGTATTGTTTATAATTGCCATGGAGATTACATTTACTATCCTAAAGTTACAACACTCTAAATTGATGCCAATTTAACTTCAATAACATACCAAAATGCTACACCATTATAGGTTCATTCACACCTCTTTTAAGTTGATGTCATAAATTTGCATCCTTCTACTTTGTGTGTCAAAAAAAGGATATTTTTAATGCATTTGTTCCTTTTTTCTTTTTTTGAGATGGAGTCCTGCTCTGTCATCCAGACTGGAGTGCAGTGGTACAATCTCGGCTCACTGCCACCTCTGCCTCCCGGGTTCAAGCAATTCTTCTGCCTCAGCCTCCCAAGTAGCTGGGATTACAGGCGCCTGCCACCACGCCCAGCTAATTTTTGTATTTTTAGTACAGACAGGGTTTCACCATATTGGTCAGGCTGGTCTCGAACTCGTGACCTCAGGTGATCCACCTGCCTCGGTCTCCCAAAGTGCCGGGATTACAGGCGTGAGCTACCATGCCTGGCCATGTCTCTTAAACTATATAAAAAATATGGAGTTCCAAGTCCAACTTAAAATAATATTCACTTTTAGACAAATATATTTTATATACATTAGGCTCTTAAGTTATGTAGAAAACAAAACCTGAAGTTCAAAATTATTGTACAATAATACTAGCTTTTATCATTGTCCATGTATTTGTTTTTACTGAGATTTTTATTTTCACATAAGGCCTCCCAATACTGTCTAGTGTACTTCAATTTCACCCTCCAGGGCACCCTTTGCATTTCATGCAGAACACCTCTAATGATTGAAAAAACAAAACAAAATTTAAAAAAACAACAACAAAAAAAACTACTTCAGTTTTTGTTTATGTGAAAATTTCTTAATTTCTTCCTGTTTTTTTTTTTTTTTTTTTTTTTTCTGAAATGGAGTCTCCCTTTGTCGCCCAGGCTGAAGTACAGTGGCGTAATCTCGGCTCACAGAAACCCCTGCCTCCCGGGTTCAAGCTATTCTCTTGCCTTAGCCCCCTGAGTAGCTGAGAATACAGGTGTGCGCCACCATGCCTGCCTAATTTTTGTATTTTTAGTAGAGATGGGGTTTCACCATGGTGGCCAGGCTGGTTTCAAACTCCTGACCTCAGGTGATCCGCCAGCCTCAGCCTCCCAAAGTGTCGGGATTACAGCTGTGAGCCACCGTGCCCTGCCTCTTCCTCACTTTTGAAAGACACTGTTGCCAGATATTGACTTCTTGGTTGACTGTTTTTGTTTTTGTTTTGAGACCGTTTCTGGCTCTGTTGCCCAGGATGGAGTGCAGTGGCCTGATGATGGCTCCCTGCAGCCTTGACCTTCTGGGTGCAAACATTCTAACCACGTTAGCCTCCTGATCTGTGACTATCATGCCCAGGCTTGTGTTGCTTTGCCTACCTAATTTTTTCATTATTTTGTAGAGAAGTTGTTTTGCTATGTTACCCAGGGTGGTCTCAAACTCCTGGCCTCCAGTGATCCTCCTGTCTCAGCATCTCAAAGTGCTGGGATTACAGGTGTGAGCCACCCTCCCCGGCTGTGCCCTGAGTTTTTACACTAATATACATTTCAGGTCTCACATTAAATGTCACCTTCTCAAGGAGACTTCTTCGTACCACTTCAATTACTCCTACGTCTTTCCATTTGTAGAATTTATTTCTTGCACTTTTCATATTCAGGGAAATCCATTTAAGGTTTATAGACTTTATTGCTTTCTTAACCTAGGAAAAGTTAAATTATATAAATGAAACCAAACTGAGTTTCCTTTACTTCTATCTATATTCTCCTGTATAAAAGTCCTCCAGCTGTTTGGGAGGCTGAGTTGGGAAAAATCACTTGAGCCCAGGAGTTTCAGGTTACGGTAAGGTATGATCACACAACTGCACTCCAGCCTGGGCCACAGAGTGAGACCCCAACTCTTTAAAAATAAAGTCCTCCAATAAACTGTTTTTAGCCATTTTCCAGTAAGAAAAATAAAAAGTTCCATGTTGTAGTAAGGGTGGCATTAACATTCACACATTGTTTCTAGGGTGTGGATTTCTCAGGGTTGTGCTGAGACCTCCAGTATTTTATTTTATTTTATTCATTTTATTTTATTTTATTTTATTTTATTTTATTTTATTTTATTTTATTTTATTTTATTTTATTTTACTTTATTTTATTTTATTTTATTCGGGAGGCTGAGGCAGGAGAATGGTGTGAACCTGGGAGGCGGAGTGTGCAGTGAGCTGAGATCGCGCCACTGCACTCCAGCCTGGGTGACAGAGCGAGACTCCATCTCAAAAAAAAAAAAAAAAGAAACCATCTTCCAGTCTAGGCGTGGTGGTTCATGCCCGTAATCCCAGCACTTTGGGAGGCCGAGGTGGGTGGATCCCTTGAGTCCAGGAGTTTGAGACCAGCCTGACAGCCTGGGTAACGTGGCAAAACCCTGGCTCTACAAAAAATACAAAAAGTAGCTGGGTGTGGTGACAGGCACCTATAGTCCCAGCTACTCAGGAGGCTGAAGTGGGAGGATCACCTGTGCTCCAGAGGTCAAGGCCGCAGTGAGCCAGGATCATACCACTGCACTCCAGCCTAGGTGTGGGAATGAGACCGTGTCTCAAAAAAAAAAAAAAAGAGAAAGAAGAAAAAGAAACCACCATCTTCCAGCGTAAGGCTGTGATATCATGGGTAAGTTCCGCATCCATTTTTATTTTTTTCTGTCCTCCTTAACCTGTCACACTACCTGCTTATTGAAAATATAGACAGATTTTTTTTTTTTTTGAGACAGAGTTTCGCTCTTGTTGCCCAGGCTGGTGTGCAATGGTGCAATGGTGCAATCTTGGCTCACCACAACCTCCGCCTCCCAGGTTCAAGCGATTCTCCTGCCTCAGCCTCCTGAGTAGCTGGGATTACAGGCATGTGCCACCACGACCGGCTAATTTTGTATTTTTAGTAGAGACGAGGTTTCTCCATGTTGGTCAGCCTGGTCTCAAACTCCTAACCTCAGGTGATCCGCCTACCTAGACCTCCCAAAGTGCTAGGATTACAGGCATGAGCCACCGAGTCCAGCCAGACAGAATTTTTTTTTTTCTTTTTTGAGACGGAGTGTTGCTGTGTCGCCCAGGCTGGAATGCAGTGGCATGATCTTGGCTCACTGCAAGCTCCACCTCCCGGGTTCACGCCATTCTCCTGCCTCAGCCTCCCCAGTAGCTGGGACTACAGGCACCCGCCACAATGCCTGGCTAATTTTTTGTATTTTTAGTAGAGACGGGGTTTCATCATGTTAGCCAGGATGGTCTCGATCTCCAGACCTCGCGATCCGTCCGCCTCGGCCTCCCAAAGTGCTGGGATTACAGGCATGAACCACCGCGCCCAGCCAGGTTTAGTTTTCATACGGGTTTTTTGTTTTGTTTTGTTTTTGAGACAGAGTCTCTCTTTATCACCCAGGCTTGTGTGCAGTGGCATGATCTCGGCTCACTGCAACCTCTGCCTCCCAGGTTCAAGCGACTCTCCTGCCTCAGCCTCCTGAGTAGCTGGGACTTCAGGCGTGTGCCACCACGCCCAGCTAATTTTTGTACTTTTAGTAGAGACTGGGTTTCACCACGTTGGCCAGGCTGGTCTGGAGCTCCTGACCTCAGGTGATCCACCCGACTCAGCCTCCCAAAGTGCTGGGATTACAGGCATGAGCCACCACCCCTGGCCTGGTTTTAAAATTGTGCAAGCAAGGATCCTTTGAAAGATGACATTTTGGTATTTGTTGTGACTTTCCACTGACAGTATGGCAGGTACTGAATATCCCTGCCAAACTGAACAGTGTGGCCCATCTCTGTCTCACATGGCCTATAATGTCTTTTGGCCCTCAAGGAAAGCAGAAACATTTCACCTCCATCATATCCCATTCCTCCCCAGCTCAACAAACAGGGCCTCCATTTCCTCACTTCTCTGTGTGCCTATTTTCTCTCATTCCAAGTTGCGAGGATTGGTTGGAGTGCGCATGCTCTGGGGCCTGAGTGTGGTGATCAATGGCCCACAGACACTCCTGGTCAGTTATCATGAGTGGTCGTTCCCATAGTGAGGATCAGCGAGCCAGGCCATACCAGTGTTGGTAAAGTGGCCTCGCTTTCATCCACATTGTCTTCTTTTTTTTCTTTTCTTTTTTTTTTTTTGAGACGGAGTCTCGCTCTGTCACCCAGGCTGGAGTGCAACCTCCACCTCCCAGGTACAAGCGATTCTCCTGCCTCAGCCTCCCTAGTAGCTGGGACTACAGGTGCGCACCACCATGCCCAGCTAATTTTTGTATTTTTAGTAGAGACGGGGTTTCACCATGTTGGCCAGCCTGGTCTCGAACTCCTGACCTTGTGATCCACCCACCTCAGCCTTCCAAAGTGCTGGGATTACAGGTGTGAGCCACCGCGCCCGGCCCACATTGTCTTCTTCGGGATGTCTCGCCAGTCTTTGCTTTCAGTTCCAGCCCCAGCCCCTCACAGCCCACTGGATCTCCCCTACCTCAGATACTCTGTGAATTCAATTATCTCACCGGTGAGGAGTATGAAATACCCTTTGGGCTGAATCACTAATCACTGTCAGATGCACTTCTCAAACTTTCACAGGAAACTACAGACCTTCAAATCCAGCTTCTCATTAAGCAGGTCATGGATAAGACCTGATCCTCTGCATTTCTTTTTTTTTTTTTTTTTGAGACGGAGTCTCGCTCTGTCACCCAGGCTGGAGTGCAGTGGCATGATCTCAGCTCACTGCAAGCTGTGCTTCCTGGGTTCACGCCATTCTCCTGCCTCAGCCTCCCGAGTAGCTGGGACTACAGGCGCCCGCCACCACGCCCGGCTAATTTTTTTGTATTTTTAGTAGAGATGGGGTTTCCCCGTGTTGGCCAGGATGGTCTCAATCTCCTGACCTCGTGATCTGCCCGCCTTGGCCTCCCAAAGTGCTGGGATTACAGGCGTGAGCCACCGCGCCCCACCATGCCCAGCTAATTTTTGTATTTTTAGTAGAGACGGAGTTTCACCATACTGGCCAGGCTGATCTCCAACTCCTGAACTTGTGATCCGCCTGCCTCGGCCTCCCAAAGTGCTAGGTGATAGGATATCTCTCTTTCTCTCTCTCTCTCTCTCTCTCTCTCTCTGTGTGTGTGTGTGTGTGTGTGTGTGTCTTTGTGTGATTTTTGAAGGCAAGAGTATCATTTATTTGTTAGCTATAATCAGATATCATTTCTTTTCCTTATTTTCCAAACATGCCCATTTTTCCTGTCTGGAAACACTACCATTTTTACAAATTGAATAAAGATTTTATTTCATCGAATGACACCTGATGTTTGACTCCTTTCTTTTTTAGCCATTAGTTCCAGCTTCCAGTTCATGGTGGTTTTAGGTTTTCTACTTTTGCTTCATAGAAATATGGGGAAACCCTCATGTTTTCAAATTCATTCCCTAATGTTTCGGCTTCCGATTGGAGCTTTTAAGTCATTAACATTTAAAGTCTTGAAGGAAAGAGTGTTTCTACACTGTGCAGAGGAGGGCAAGTTGAGCTCCCAGAGTTAAATCCTTCAATGTCTCTCCCTCATCATCAGGTGCTGATCCACTCTGGGGCTCCATTTCAGGAGTCAAGAGTCTGGCTCTCAAGCTCGGGAATCTGTTTAACTTCCTGAAAGGGGGTTTCCTGCTTACTTCCCTGAACGAGATATTTTTTCTTTTCTTCTCTTCTGATTCCTTTAATAGAATACATGCTGTCAGGCCAGGTGTGGTGGCTCATGCCTGGAATCCCAGCACTTTGGAAGGCAGAGGCAAGCAAATAAACCTGAGGTAAGGAGTTCAACACCAGCCAGGCCAACATGGTGAAACACTATCTCTACTAAAAAAACAAAAATTAGCTGGGCATGGTGGTGTGCACCTGTAGTCTCAGCTACTCGGGAGGCTGAGGCAGGAGAATCGCTTGAACCTGGGAGTCGGAGGTTGCAGTGGGCCGAGATCGCGCCACTACACTCAAGCCTGGGCAACAGAGTGAGACTCTATCTCAAAAACAACAACAACAAAAACAAAAACAACAAAATAAAACAAAAAAAAAACAACCATGCTGCCCTATAATTCCAGTTTTTTCACACATTTAACAATTTCATTTCATTGTTGATGTGTTTTTATTTTCTGGGATGAAAATGAATAGATCGCAAAAAAATTATATCAGTGAGAAAATTATGGCAGTGGAAGAGATCTGAGCCAACACCCGTTCTGCCCCGCCCCGCCCCCCGCCCCTGCCAACCCTCTGTCTTCTCTTTCCCTTAATCCTGGGCTCTTAGGCACAGCTAACTTTGGAAGATAGCTTAAATGATAATAAGCCTTCCCCAAAACTCAACTGCCTTTGTAAAACGAATGAATGGCCATCAGGCTGAGGGATGAAAGGAATCGGAATGCTGCTAAAGTGTAGACATAGATTGCCAGCTATTTCTGCAGATAACACCACTATTGTAGATTAGCATTTGTAGACGTATTTTCAGTTTTTGTTTGTTTGTTTGTTTTTTTTTTGCATGTCTGACACCACCTGCACCTGCCAACTCTGCTCCTGTGGCCCCAACCAGAAGTGATTCAGCATAACAGGATAGGTTTTTTTTTTTTTTGTCTTTTTTTTGTTTTTTTTTGAGACGGAGTTTCGCTCTTGTTGCCCAGGCTGGAGTGCAAAGGCACGATCTCGGCTTGGCGCGATCTCAGCTCACCGCAACCTCCACCTCCCGGGTTCAAGTGATTCTCCCGCCTTAGCCTCCCAGGTAGCTGGGATTACAGACATGTGCCACCACGCCCAGCTAATTTTGTATTTTTAGTAGAGACGAGCTTTCTCCATGTTGGTCAGGCTGGTCTCAAACTCCCGACCTCAGGTGATCCGCCCGCCTGGGCCTCCCAAAGTTCTGGGATTACAGGTGTGAGCCACCGGGCCCGGCCTCTTTTTTTCTTTTTTAAATATGTAGCAGTACAAGCCGCAGACAAGAACCCCTCAGACACCGAGTTGTGGAAGGAAAGGGCTTTATTCAGCTGGGCTGGGAGCATCGGCGGACTCACGTCTCCAAAAACCGAGCTCCCCGAGTGAGCAATTCTTGTCCCTTTTAAGGGCTTACAACTAGGAGTCCGCGTGAGAGGGTCGTGATTGATGGAGCAAACAGTGGGTACGTGACTGGGGGCTGCATGCACCGGTAACCAGAACTGAACAGAACAGGACAGGGATTTTCACAGTGCTTTTCCATACAATGTCTGGAATCATAGATAACACAGTTAGGTCAGAGGTTGATTTTTAACTACCCAGCCCAGGGCACAAGCCGGGTTATCTGCCTGTGGATTTCATTTCTGCCTTTTAGTTTTTACTTCTTCTTTGGAGGCAGAAATTGGGCATAAGACAATATGAGGGGTGGTCTCCTCCCTTATAGTATAGAGACGGAGTTTCACTCTATGTCCAGGCTGGTCTTGAACTACTGGCCTCAAGCGATCCTCCCACCTAGGCCTCCCAAAGTATTGGGATTACAGCGGTGAGCCACCACGCACTGCCAAGAGGACAGATTCCATCCCCAGTGATTTCATCCCCACCCCAACCAGTCAGTAGCAAGCCTAGCTACCTCCACCCTTTCTCCCAAACTGCCCTTGAAAAACCCCTACCAGAGGACCTTGGATGAGAATAATTTGAGTAGTAACTCCGTCTCTCACGTATCGTAGCTGGCCTAGTGTTTATTAAACTTTTTTTTTAACTGCAATACCGTGGTCTTTATTTGCGTAGCGCGCAGAAAGAACCCATCCAGCGCTTATAGTGGAAGAAAGGCTTGACCTTGCAGGCGACAGCCTCATCCCAAATTCCTGGTCCCTGGAGGACATCAGCACCACCCCCCCACCCACCCACCCCCTGTCCCCCGCTGCTACAGTGTGGCCTGTGTGGCCTCGGCTGCCCTCCTGCTCTGAGGCCAAGGGATGGCTCCACTGGACAGTGAGTCTGGGATTCCTTGCACACAATTGTTCAGGAGGAAGAAGCAAAAAGGGCCCACTGCGTACAGGTAGGAAATTCCGCTTTAAGGCAAACGTTTCCCGGGACGGGTCGGGTCACAACGCAGGGAGGAAGCCCGCCCTGCCAGGGGCCGGGTCTGGAACCTGTTCATCCGGCTGCACTCAGCACTGTGAGATCGCTTCTTCTGTCACTCAGTGCCCAGGAGGCGGGACCTGGAGGGCTACCCAATCAAAGTCGTGGGCGGGTTCCTGAGAATTGTCAATCAGGCGCGAGGCAGAGAGGAGGGTGTGACGTTCCAGGAGCTAGTGGCCTCTTCACCCTGGTGACCTCTGTTCCGTATTCTGTCACTGAGAGACGCCCTGGGACATCTGTGGTGGCTTTTGTCGCGCTGGGACCTACCCTGACTACGGGAGTTGGGAGGACCCGGGACACCGCACAGCCGGGAAATGGTGAGTGTGCGGGGCCCGGCGTCCTGAGGCAGGGCGAAGGGCTGGTCGGAACCAGTCGGAACCGGCTGTGGCGGGACCCGGGCCTCGCCGCAGCGTCTTTGGGGTCTGGGACCTGAGCGCCCCCTGCGCACCTCGGTCCTCGGTCCGTTTGGCCGCAGGGTGGGGCTGGGCCGGCAGCCGGGACCCCGGGCGTCCTGTCCCGTCCCTGAGCTGCGACTGCGGCCCCGGCCCCGGCGCCCCTCTCTGGGCAGCTCCGCGCCCTCAGCCCCGCTTCTCCCCAGATTGTGCGGCGGAACCAGTACAGGTTCGCAGCCCAAGTCACTGCACCCGGACGCCGAGGGCTGCAGCAGAAACGGTTTAATAGGAGAGGACACCCTAGATCCGCCTCCGTGAGAGGTTTGAGGATGGGGTGTTTAGGGGTCTGGACGGGGGTGGTTGGGATGTGGGGTCGCTGGTTGGTGGAGAAGTGAGGGGTGAATCTTGGGACTGGAGGTGAAGAAACCGCATTCTGCTGCTGAGTGGGCTTCCTTGTGGGGTCTTCAGCCTGCTTGGCGCCAGCCTTTCCGCTGGAATTCAAGATCTGAGAAAGAACTTAGACGACTCTTGAGCAACTCTCAGAGATCTTATCCCCAGGCCAATGGGGAAGCCGGCGGTCAGCGTCTGCTGTGACCTGACTCTCAGGGAGGCGGCTTCCTGTGAAGCAGCGGGGCTGAGGGCACCTGGTTAATATCTAACTGCAATCTCGCCTCCAGCCTGGCTCGCAGTTCCTGTGAGCCCGGTGAGGAGGCTGCACGGTGACGGTGGGAGGGTCACTAGGCACAAACCAGACTCGTGTGTGGGGTTTGTGTGTGGGAGGAGCTGTGGTCTCTGTGCTCTTCAGTCCTTTCTTTCCAAGGGCGACCATTTCTCCTCCGAGGCTTTCAAAGATATTGGCATCAGGGTCTTTGAGACCTGTCCCTTCATCCTAACTCCTCTTGGGGCTAACAGTAAATCTTTTGGTTTCCAGAGCCTTCCATATGCTAACTTCACTCCTCAATTCCCAGTAACGTTATGAACCCTTTGTCAGCAAGACGATATTTCAAATAGACACAGAATTTTGTCGTTTGTTTTCAGATAGCAATGTATGGCTCTTTTTAAACAGATTTATTTTGTTTTCCTTAACATTTCACATGTGAGGAAGAAGAGAATAACCACCTGACACTGCTGTAAAAAAAACCAAACCTTTGTGCCTCTTTTATCTCCCCTAGGCACAGATGCCTTCTCAGTATGTCCTTTACAGGGTGATGTGACCTCAGCCCACCCTGTATCTTTTCCAGGCCCTGTGTTATGGAACTTTCTGGGGCTACCCTAAGATGCTGGAAGCTGCCAATCTCATGGAGGGCCTAGTGGATATCGGCCCTTGGGTCACTCTTCCCAGAGGACAGCCTGAGGTGTTGGAGTGGGGCCTCCCAAAGGATCAGGTGGATGCACTGGGGTGGGAGGAATCTTCTGGTATATCATTCCTGTAAAAAGCTAACCCCTGGGCTGGGCGCGGTGGCTCACGCCTGTAATCCCAGCACTTTGGGAAGCCGAGGCGGGCGGATCACCTGAGGTCAGGGGTTCAAGACCACCCTGGCCAACATGGTGAAACCCCATCTCTACTGAAAATACAAAAATTAGCCGGGCATGGTGGCAGGTGCCTGTAATCCCAGCTACATGGGAGGCTGAGGCAGGAGAATCACTTGAACCTGGGAGGTGGAGGTTGCAGTGAGCCGAAATCACAATCATGCCATTGCACTCCAGCCTGGGCGACAAGAGGGAAACTCTGTCTCAAAAAAAAAAAAAAAAAAAAAAAAACCTAACCTCTGGGACATTGACATTTTTTTCCCCAAGCCTAGTTTCCATTCCTTGGTGACGCATGGCTTATCAGAAAATTGGATGGTGTTATTCAGGGGACAAGACAAATGATTTCTGCCTTCTGGACTCTCTCCGACTGTGAAGCTAGAAAACTGTTTCTAAAAACTGAAAAACCCACCCAATGAGGTTTTGCATGAGCCTGAAAAAGACATAAGGCAGTGTCTCCTAGGAATGTGGTTGCTGAGCACTTCAATGAGCACCGTGGGGCTGGCGGATGTGCCAGGTGATAGAACGACCTGACCTGACGGTTGAGTGAGACTTGTCTGTGTTCCAGTCAGTTCTGCCCCACCCTGGGTTAGTTACCCTGAAAAGATTTGTTCAGTTATTTCCAATTTAATTTTTTATTAACTGTAAAGGGCATCCTATCATTAGAGATTATAGAGAAGATAAAGTGTTTCTAAAGAGGCCAGAAAGAGTTGGAATTCAGAAAACAAATTATATATATGTAGTTTTCTATTCCTTTTTTTTATTATTTTTATTTTTTATAAGACAGGGTCTCCCTCTGTTGCCCAGGCTGGAGTGTAGTGGCACCATCATGGCTCACTGCAGCTTAGGCAGCCTAGACTGCCTGGGCTCAGCCTCCGGAGTAGCTGGGAATGCCCACCATGCCCTACTAATTTTTGAGTATTTTGTAGTGATGGGGTTTCCTCATGTTGCCAGGCTGGTCTTGAAGTCCCGGGCTCAAGTGATCCTCCTGCCTTGGCCTCCCAAAGTGCTGGGATTACAGGCATGAGCCACTGGACCCAGGCCCTATTCCATTTTTTAAAAACTTTTTTTCTTTTCTTTTCTTTTTTTTTTTTTTCTGAGATGGAGTTTCACTATATTGCCCAGGCTGGAGTGCAATGGTACTATCTTGGTTCACTGCAACCTCTGCCTCCCAGGTTCAAGCAATTCTCCTTCCTCAGCCTCCCGAATAGCTGGGATTACAGGAACATGCCACCATGCCTGGCTAATTTTGTATTTTTAAGTAGAGACAGGGTTTCACCTTGCTGGCCAGGCTGGTCTTGAACTCCTGACCTCAGGTGATCCTCCCGCCTCGGCCAATGAAAGTTCTGGGATTACAGGTGTGAGCCACTGCACGCAGCCTTTTTCTTTTTTTTTTGAGACATGGTCTCCCTCTATCACCCAGGAGTGCTGTGGTACGATCTCAGCTTACTGCAACCTCTGCCTCCAGGGCTCAAGAGATCCTTCCACCTCAGCATCCCAAGTAGCTGCGACTACAGGCGTGCGCCACCACACCTGGCTAATTTTTGTATTTTTGGTAGAGATGGGGTTTCACCGTGTCGCCCAGGCTGGAGCATTTTTAAAAAACTTTTATTTACTTTTATTACCCCAGAGACCATGTAATAGGTTTCTCAGGTCTTTTATTGGATGATTTCAAATGGAATTTCAGGGCTTAGCAGTGTAAATACTACCAAGGGAAAAATTTGGGAAAACTCTTCCATTTTGGCTGCAGAAAAATGAATATATTTTCACAAGAATGTGTGGTAGGTATTTGGTTGAATTATAAAGCTTTATCAAAACTTTAGTTTCTCTTCTTTTTAGGCTGGAGAACTTGGGACAGTGGATAAGTCTGGTCTGTTCCTGTTATCTGGACTTGGCAGATTAATGCAACATTCTGTGGGACTTTGCAATAGCTAAAGAACTTAAATATCCTTTGTTTACTAAAGGCTTCATTATTATGGAAGTAGTAACTGATGTTTATTATCTGAGATGGATAGATACTTGTGCTTTTCTTGTTGAGCTATAAAATAGAAGTGACTTACAATTTCCTTCCCTCCTGTAAACACTGAATTTGAGTGATTTTGATAGATTCATCACACATGGAGTTTTGTTTGTTTGTTTTATGTTTTAAATCCACGTAAGGCATGAAAGGGTAAGCAAATGGCCTTGACTGGGGTGGAGAGGCTTGAGGCCAGTGACTCCAAGTGGAGGCCAATTTTGAGCCTGCAAAGGGAGGTCATTGTGGGCCCAGTTTAGTTGGTTCTTCCTGGGGAGCCTCCCCTGCAGGTGTCCCAGCCTAATCACTCCAGCAATGGGAGGAGCTTTTTTTAAAATTTATTTTTATTTTTATTTATTTATTTATTTATTTATTTGAGGTAGAGTCTCACTCTGTTGCCCAGGCTGGAGTGAAATGCTGTGATCTCAGCTCACTGCAACCTCTGCCTTCCGGGTTCAAGCGATTCTCCTGCCTCAGCCTCTTCAGTAGCTGGGATTACAGGCGTGTGCCACCATGCCCAGCTAATTTTTGTATTTTTAGTAGCGATGGGGTTTCACCATGTTGGTCAGGCTGGTCTCAACTCCTGACCTTGTGATCCACCGGCCTTGGCCTCCCAAAGTGCTGGGATTACAGGCGTGAACCACTGTGCCTGGCCTGGGAGGAGCCTTTTTTTTTTTTTTGTTTAAGACGGAGTTTCACTCTTGTTGCCCAGGCTGGAGTGCAACTGCAACGGCATGATCTTGGCTCACCACAACCTCTGCCTCCCAGTTTCAAGTGATTCTCCTGCCTCAGCCTCCTGAGTAGCTGGGATTATAGGCATGTGCCACCATGCCCAGCTAATTTTGTATTTTTAGTAGAGATGGGGTTTCTCCATGTTGGTCAGGCTGGTCTTGAACTCCCGACCTCAGGTGATCTGCCCGCCTTGGCCTCCCAAAGTGCTGGGATTACAGGCGTGAGCCACCACGCCCAGCCAAAGAGCCTTTTATACTAAGAGAAGCTACAGAGCACTGGAAATCTGGGGATCCACAGGCAGAGGCAGATGGGGTGATGCCATGTCTGAGGTTGTGTTTGTTATTGTAGGGCTGTCACTAGACAGTCTTCAGGTAAGATAAATCTGGATTTAGCTAAGAAATGAGTTTATTCTAGGCCAGGCACGGTGGCTCACGCCGGTAATCCCACCACTTTGGGAGGTCGAGGCAGGCGGATTGCAAGGTCCGGAGATCGTGACCATCCTGGCTAACATGGTGAAACCCCATCTCTACTGAAAATACAAAAAATTAGCCAGGCATGCTGGCGGGTGCTACTCGGGAGGCTGAGGCAGGAGAATGGTGTGAACTGGGGAGGCGGAGCTTGCAGTGAGCCGAGATCATGCCACTGCACTTCAGCCTGGGCGACAGAACAAGACTCCATCTCAAAAAAAAAAAAAAAAAAAGAATGAGTTTATTCTAAAACAGCGCTACATAAGGGAGAAGAGCACTAAGTATAAGATCTGAAAGCGTCTTAAAGCTTAGGTGGAAAGTTGTTTTCAAGGTGAAGAGCAACCAACATTACAAAGGAAATGAGAGGGAGAGGGCAGGATGGAGGGTGAAAATCAGATTCTAGATCACAGAGTGTTTTACCCTGACTCAAGCCTGTTCATGGGATGAGTCATGAAGGAGGGGTTGTGTTTTGGCTTAGGCTGAGGGTGTGTCAAAAATCAGTGGCCTAGAAGAAAGAGAGAAACTTAAATAGTTTCCTTTCTTTTCTGTTTTTTTGTTTGTTTGTTTTTTTGAGACACAATTTCACTCTTGCTCAGACTAGAGTGCAGTGGGGCCATCACAGCTCACTGCAGCCTTGACCTCCCCAGGCTGAGGGGATTGTCCCATCTCAGCCTTCAGGGTAGCTGAGACTACAGGTATACAACCCCATGCCCAGCTAATATTTTTGTATTTTTTGTAGAGACAGGGTTTCACCATGTTGCCCAGGCTGGTCTTGAACTCCTGGGCTCAAGAGATCCACCCACTTCAGCCTCCCAAAGTGCTGGAATTAGAGACGTGAGCCATCAGGCCTGGCCACAAGTTTCCTTTGGAAGCATTTTGTTCAGAGTAATCAGTAGAGGCAAAACTGTTCAGCTAGTTATTTATAAGACAAAGAATGGGAATTTGGAGGGCCTTGTTACAGGTTAAAAAGGCGGGAGCCAGAATTGATGTCAGTGAAGGATGTTTCTTTGCACTGGGCTACTTGTCCAGAACAGAAAGAACTGGGCATGGTGGTGGGGGTCAGGTGATTTCATATATATATATATATATATATATATATATACATTTTTTTTTTTTTTTGAGACGGAGTCTCACTCTTTGTCCCAGGCTGGAGTACAATGGTGTGATCTTGGCTCACTGCAACCTCCGCCTCCCTCCAACCTCGCCTCCTAGGTTCAAGCTATTCTCCTGCCTCAGCCTCCTGAGTAGCTGGGATTACTGGCGTGTGCAACTATGCCTGGCTAATTTTTCTATTTTTAGTAGAGATGGGGTTTCATCATGTTGGCCAGGCTGGTCTCAAACTTCTGACCTCATTATTTGCCTACCTCAGCCTCCCAAAGTGCTGGGATTATAGGTGTGAGCCACTGTGCCTGGCCTCTTAAATCATGTTTATTACCAGGATTACAGGGCTTTTGTAAAATTGAACTTTATCAGCTGCTTGGTTTTGTATTCAGTGAGTTGGTTTAATTAGAGTGAAATTGCACAAATTAAAATGTCTTGGAGGGCTGACATATGTCTTCCATTTAGGTATTCTTGACATATACTTTATAACAAACTGATAACCTTAAGCAACTTGTTTAACTGAGTTCTTCAACTTGTTGTAGCAAATTATTAAATCTGATAGTAGAGTTGTTGGTTTTATACACATTTGGTTAAAAGGGTGGTCCCTAGGGCTTGCATTTGGCATCTGCAGTAGGGTCCCTGTTGTGGAACTGAGCCCTCAATTTGTGGGGTCTGTGGAAATGTTAAGTGGTGTCAGCATTGAATTATTGAACACCAGTTTTTCTTGGAGAATTGGCTCGTGTTCAGCAAATGCTACATATTTGCTGTCAGAAGTAATGTTAGATAAAATACACCATGGGTCAGAACCATAACTCTGAATTTGTCATTGTTACTCATTATAGGTTCAGTATGTATTCACCCATAAGCATAATTTTGCCTCTTCAGTTTCCAGTTAGTTAATACTACCATTAACATACCATCCATATAATGCTGAAAAGCCATTCCTACTACAGGGTGTCTACCCAAAGGAGTGGAAATCATTACATCAAAAAGTTCCCTGCACTCATGTGTTTATTGCAGACTATTCACAATAGCAAACATACAAAATTAGCCTAAGTGTCCATCAACAGAAGATTGAATAATGAAAATGTGGTATATTCACACAGTGGAATACTATTCAGACATTAAAAATAATGAAATTGTGTCTTTTGCAACAATATGGATGGAATGGGAGGCCATGATCTTAAGTGAAACAACTCAGACACAGAAAGACAAATACTGCCTGTTCTCATTTATAAGTGGTAGTTAAAGAATGTGTACAGGGACAGGCACGGTGTCTCACGCTTGTAATCCCAGCACTTTGGGAGGCTGAGGCAGGTGGATCACGAGGTCAGGAGATCAAGACCATCCTGGCTAATGCGGTGAAACCCCATCTCTACTAAAAATACAAAAAATTAGCCAGGCGTGGTGGCACATGCCTGTAGTCCCAGCTACTCGGGAGGCTGAGGCAGGAGAATCCCTTGAACCCAGGAGGCGGAGGCTGCAGTGGGTGACAGAGCGAGATTCCGTCTCAAGGAAAAAAAAAGAAGAATGTGTATATATGTGGACAGTGAAGACTCATGGGGATGAGGGAGGTTATTTGGTGGATAATGGGGGTTGCTCCAGGGATGGATGCACTGAAAGGCCTGACTTTACAAGGCAATATATCAATGTAGTAAAATTGCACTGGTACTCCATGAATATATATATATAATTTATACATATATGTGTATATATATATATATTATACGTGTGTGTGTGTGTGTATATATATATATAAAAGGAATGCACATTTTAGGGTATTACCCAAGGCTACTGAATTAGTAATTCTTGGAATGGGGCCCAATGATTTTTTTTTTATTTTTTATTTTTGAGACAGAGTCTTACTCTATTGCCCAGGCTGGAGTGCAGTGGTGCAATCTTGGCTCACTGCAACCTCTGCCTCAGCCTCCCGAGTAGCTGGGACTACAGGTGTGCACCACCACGCCTGGCTAATTTTTGTATTTTTAGTAGAGATGGAGTTTCACCATGTTGGCCAGGCTGGTCTCGAACTCCTGACCTCAAGAGATCCACCTGCCTCAGCCTCCCAAAGTGCTGGGATTACAGATGTGAGCCACTGCAACCAGCCCCAATGATCTGTTTTCTTTCTTTCTTTTTTTTGAGACCAAGTCTCGCTCTTTCACCCAGGCTGGAGTGCAGTAGCACAATCTCAGCTCACTGCAACCTACCTCTGCCTCCCAGGTTCAAGCAATTTTCTGCCTCAGCCTCCCGAGCAGCTAGGACTACAGGCACCCGCCACCACGCCCGGCTAATTTTTGTATTTTTAGTAGAGACGGGGTTTCATCATCTTGGCCATGCTGGTCTCGAACTCCTGACTTTGTGATCCACCCACCTCGGTCTCCCAAAGTGCTGGGATTACAGGCATGAGCCACCGCGCCCGGCCTCCAATGGCCTGTTTTTTAACAAGCCCTTCAGATGATTCTCATGCATGAGAACTAGTTCATCAGAGCAACCTGTTAAAATATAATGCAAAAAGATATCACTAAAATGTAAATATAATTAGTAACTAAATTGGAACACTAGAGAATATTGATTTGATTCAGAGACATCAAGAAAGGATGAACGGGGGAAAAACACAAAAATTGTGCTGAAAAGATTTTTGTTTTCTTTATTTGCCTCAATCTGTTTGACACATGCTAAAATCTGAGGCTATGGGTCATGCAGTTTACTCACACATTGCAGTGCTCATAGGACTTGACTTTTTTTTGAGTTTTTTTTGAGATGGAGTCTCGCTCTGTCACCCAGGCTAGAGTGCAGTGGCGTGATCTCGGCTCACTGCAAGCTCTGACCCCCGGGTTCACGCCATTCTCCTGCCTCAGCCTCCTGAGTAGCTGGGACTACAGGCGCCCGCCACCACGCCTGGCTAATTTTTTTGTATTTTTAGTAGAGATGGGGTTTCATTGTGTTCTCCAGGATGGTCTCGATCTCCTGACCTCGTGATCCGCCAGCCTCGGCCTCCCAAAGTGTTAGGATTACAGGCGTGAGCCACCGCGCCTGGCCAGGACTTGACTTTTAAGTTAATTTTTTGATGTTGTTGACAATGTTATTTTTGGTTTTGTCTCTACATGCTAACAGTTCATGAATTTTTCAACACATGGGGGAACATTGCTGGGTTATAGATTATAGACAAACTTCAGTTTACTAGGAAATCATAATAGCATGTGTGGATTAACTGTCTGACCAGGCCGGGTGCTGTGGCTCACGCCTGTTGTCCCAGCACTTTGGGAAGCCTTGGTGGGTGGATCACCTGAGGTCAGGAGTTTGAGATTAGCCTGGCCAACATGGTGAAACACCATTTCTACTAAAAGCACAAAATATCCGGACGTGGTGGCGGGCGCCTGTAATCCCAGCTACTCGGGAGGCTGAGCCAGGAGAATTGCTTGGACCCGGGAGGTGGAGGTTGCAGTGAGCCGAGATCGCGTCTTTGCACTCCAGCCTGGGCAACAAGAGTGAAAATCTGTCTCAAAAAACAAACAAACAAACAATGCATACATGTCTGTTTATACATTTTTTTCAGGCTTAATTTACTTTATTTTTCTTGTATGAAAGCCCTATGTTGTAGCCACAGCTGGAGCCTGGGTCCTCTGCACAGAGACTCTGGTGTGGGTCTTAACGAGGTGGTCAGTGAATTCCTGATAGGGAGACTTGGTGAATACAGTCTCCTTCCAGAGGTCAGGGGTTAGGTAGCTGTAGGTCTTAGAGATGACATCAAAGGTGGCCTTGGCGAAGTTGCCCAGGATGGCAGTGCAGCCCCGGGCTGAGGTGTATCAGTCACTGATACCAGCCATCATGAGCAGCTTCTTGGGCACAGGCGCTGAGACGATGCCAGTGTCCCTGGGTGCGGGGATGAGGCGCACCAGCACAGAGCCGCAGTGGCCTGTCACCTTGCAAGGGACGGTGTGGGGCTTGCCGATCTTGTTCCCCCAGTAGCCTCTGCGCACGAGGACAGTGGAGAGCTTGGCCAGGATGATGGCCCCGCGGATGGCAGTGGCTGCCTCCTTGGAGCACTTAACTCCCAGACGGACATGGCCATTGTAGTCCCCGATGGCAACAAACGCCTTGAACCTGGTGCACTGGCCGGCACGGGTCTGCTTCTGCACTGGTGTAATCAAAACCTCGTCCTTGAGAGAGGCCCCCAGGAACAAGTCAATGATCTCAGATTCCTTGATGGGCAGGGAGAAGAGATAGATCTCCTCCAGGGACTAGATCTTCATGTCCTTGACCAGGCAGCCCAGCTTGGTAACGGGCATCCACTTCTTATCCTCGGCCTTGCCTCTCAGAGCTCCGCGGCCCCGGCCCCGGATGCCACTGCCGAAATCTCCGCGGAAGCCACTGCGGTTCCCCATCCCAGGGTCCCCAGGGCCTCTGGACCCCCGCGCTGCACCTGCGTCATCAGCCATTTGGTGTTTTCTTGGAGAAGAAGCTATACCTTTTAATATTTATCTTTTAGTTATCTCCATGTGATTATGTATTATCTCCATATGATTATATATTGTGTTTTTACTGGATTAGCATTCATGTTGAACATACCGCCTTTGTGGGCTTTCATCTGTGAAATAATTCTCAGTCATTTAATTCATTTGCATAGTAAATGCAAATGTTTGCTTTGTTTCTCTCTTTTTGTTTTAGGCATACTTTATACACGAATCCTTTTTTACATGGAGGGATTGGTAATATTTCCTTTCAGATGGTGGTTTATCTTTTAAATTTATTCTACTTAGATGAACTCTTCCTAAATTTTTTATTTTTTTAGATAATGTCCAGCTCTGTCACCCAGGCTGGACTGCAGTGGCATAATCAGCTCACTGCAGCCTCAAACTCCTGGGCTCCCAAGTAGCTGGGACTATAGGCATGTGCCACCACACTTGGCTAATTTTTTAATTTTGTGTAGCCAGAGGGTCTGCCATGTTGCCGGGCTGGTTTCAAATTCCTGGCCTCAAGAGTTCCTCTTGCCTTGGCCTCCCACAGTACTGGGATTATAGATGTGAGTCACTATGCCTGCTTCTTCTTAATGTAATTAGAGTTCAATTTACCAGACTTCTCCTTTGGAAGCTACTTTATTTTCTTATATAAGAAGACTCTTGTTAAATAAGAAAAACATTTTTTCTGGCTGGGCGTGGTGGCTTATGCCTGTAATCCCAGCACTTTGGGAGGCCGAGGAGGGCGGATCATGAGGTCAGAAGATCATGACCATCCTGGCTAATACGGTGAAACCCCGTCTCTACTAAAAATACAAAAAAATTAGCCAGGCGTGGTGGTGGATGCCTGTAATCCCAGCTACTCAGGAGGCTGAGGCAGGAGAATGGCATGAACTCGGGAGGCGGAGCTTGCAGTGAGCCAAGATCACGCCACTGCACTCAAGTCTGGGTAGACAGTGCGAGACTCTGTCTCAAAAAGAAAAAAAAATTTCTGTAATTTCTAAAAGTGTGCTGCTTTTGTCTTTCATAGGTGTTGTATATTCTTCTAATTTAATCTTTAGGTCTGTCTCTTGAAACTGGCTATAAACTTTATCTCTGCTCTGGTGTGTCTCCAGGGATTTGGTTGGGGATGGTTACATTGCGCCTTTCATGGGATACTTTTGTTTACCAAAAATAAGGCCATTGAGGCAGATACAATTTGATAAAGTTTTATTGTAAGCCAAATTTGAGGATCAACTTGAGAAGACACACCAACAAATTTGGATGTGTTCCAAAATTGATTACAAGTTGGATGCCTTTATGAGAAAGTTTAGGAGAAGCTGGAGGACTATTCATACCGGAATTGTCATTTTCCTTGAAGGGTACAATATAGACGTTACAATCATTGCCTATAGATGACAGCTGACAGGCTAAAATGTTCTAAGTGGAAGACAATCAGCAAAACATGATTCAGAAATAAATCAGTGTCTTTTTTGATGTTAGTAGATAACGTTAATCATATCAACAGTTTGAAGAACTCACAATAAGATTTGAGGGACTCATGATAAGATCCTTTACTCACAGACAGAATGTAAGCCATTTAATTAGAAGACTTCTCGCCAGGCGTGGTATCTCATGCCTGTAATCCCAGCACTTTGGGAGGCCTAGGTGGGCGGATCACCTCAGGTCAGAAATTCGAGACCAGCCTGACCAACATGGCGAAATCCTGTCTCTACTAAAAAATACAAAAATTAGCCGGGCATGGTAGCGGACACCTATAATCCCAGCTGCTCGAGAGGCTGAGGCAGGAGAATTGTTTGAACCTGGGAGGCGGAGGTTGCAGTGAGCTGAGATCGTGCTATTGCACTCCAGCCTGGGTGACAGAGCAAGACTCCGTCTCAAAAAAAAAAAAAAAAAAGAAGACTTCTCCAAGTGGGTTGATTTGGAAACCTGCCAAATGTGACCTGTAGGTTATCACTTCTTTATCTTGGCAGGGAGCTTAATGCCTATATGTGAGACCAGTGACCTGATTCCTGTAGACTTCAAAGCCTAATGTGTGTAGAGAAAGAGTCTACCTCTCTTAGTCACTTAGGACTGCTATACCAGATTGCCATACACTGCATGCCTTAGACAACAAACATTCATTTCTCAAAGGTGTAGAGGCTGAAAGTCCAATATCAAGCAGATGAGGCCTCTGGTAAGGGCCTGCTACCTGGTTTGAAGATGGCAGTCTAACCCTTATGTCCTCACATGGTGGAGATATGTCTGTAATGTCTGTCTAGTTTTGGTGTTAGGGCAATGTTGGCCTTATAAAATGGAATAGAAGGTGTTTCCTCTGCTTCTGTTTTCTGGAAGAGATTGTAGAGAATTGGTATCATTTCTTCCATAAACGCTTGCCAGAATTCAGCAGTGAAATCGTTCTGACCTGTTGCTTATTTTTTCTGGGACATTTATTATTTATTAATATCTTCAGTAGATACAGGCCTATTCATATTACTTAGGTCTCTTTTTGTGAGTTTTGGTAGATAGTGTCTTTCAAGGAATTGGTCCATTCTGTGTAATTTTATCAAATATGTGGGCACTTAGTTGTTCCTAATAGTTTTTTATGGTCATTTTACTGTCCATGGGAGTAGTAGTGATGGCTCCTCTTTTTTCTGAGTTAACTTGGCTATGGGCTTATGAATTTTAATGATGTTTCCAAAGAACCATCTGTTGGTTTGTTGATGTTTTCTACTGATTTCTTCATTGCTATTTCATTAATATCTCTTCTCATCGTTACTTTCCTCTGTTTGATTTACATTAATCTTGTCATTTTTCTCTAGTTTCCTAAAATGGAAGGTTAGGGTGTTGATTTTAAACCTTTACTTTCTAGGAAATGCATTTAATTCTTTAAATTTCCCTCAAAGCACTGCCTTTACTCCATTCCAAAGATTTTGCTAAGATATATCACTTTTCATCAACATTGCAATATTTACATTTTGCTTGACAATTCTCCTTGAAGTTTGTGTAGTTGAGAAGTTTGTGGCTTCAATCTCCACTTTGTTGAGGTTTTTCAACTATGCTTCTGTTACTAATTTTTACATTAATTCTAATATGATTTGATCGCATACTTTAAAAAATTTGTTCAAGTGTGTTTTATGGCTGAGAATATTGTTCATCTTGGTGAATATTTCATGTAGGCTTGAGAAGAATATGTATGCTGTTGTTGAATGAATGATTCTATAAATATGTTTCAATTAAATCCAGTTGATTGATAGTGCTGTTGAGTTCAGCTATATCATTAGTGATTTTCTGCAGAACTGATCTGTCAATTATTGATAGAGGTGAGTTGTTTTCCCTCAACTATAATCCTAGATTTGTGTATTTTGCCTTGTGGTTTTATATGTTTTTGCATTATGTATTTTGATGCTCTGTTTTATGGGCATAGATGTTAAGGATTATTATGTCGTGTAGGATTGACTTCTTGATCATTATGAAATCTCTCTATCCCTTGTAATTTTTAAAAAATCTAAAACCTGATTTGTCTGAATGTAATATAGGTCTTCCAAATTTCTTTTGATCAGGGCTAGAATGGCATGTATTTCTTCATACTTGTGTATTTAATGTATCTGTGTCTTTCTGTTTAAAATACTTTTTAAAAATATAGTTTGGGGCCTTGTTTTTTATTTCACTCTGCCAGTCCCTTTCTTTTTTACTGGTGAATATAGATAATACACATTTAAGTGGCAGTTGGCATAATTGGATTCAGATAAACATGTATATTATTGTTTTCTATTTGTTGTTCTTCTCTGTGTTTTTTAACTTCTCTTTTCTGCCCTTTTTCCTTTTAGCTGAGCATTCTATATGATTTTATTTTCTATATTATATATCTATATAGTCTACTTTTTCTTAGATTCTATTAGTGAGTTCCCCAGAGTTTGTAGTATAGCATTCACAACTAATGGGCCTTCAATTTCAAATAGTACTATACTGGCTTCAGGAATAGTGCTGGTATAATAGACAGTTCCGAAGTGTGATAGACTGTTCTTCCTCCCATCACATATAACATTACTTTCATTCATTAGTTCAACTGGGAGCTATAAACTACTGAATACATTGTTGATATTATTATTTTTTCTTTTGAGACAGAATCTCACTCTGTTTCCCAGGCTGGAGTGCAATGGCATGATCTCGGCTCACTGCAACCTCTGCCTCCTGGGTTCAAGCAATTGTCCTGCCTCAGCCTCCCTAGTAGCTGGGATTACAGCTGTGCACCACCACGCCCAGCTAATTTGATATTATTATTTTGAATAAACCTATATCTATTAGATCAGATAGGTATAAGAAGAGTAAAGAATTTTTTGTGCCTTCATTTAATTGTTTCCTAACACTCTTCATATATATGTGTGTGTATACACACACACACACACACACACACAATCTGAATTTCTAACCCATATCATTTTTTTCTTTCTGATGAACTTCTTTTTTTTTTTAACTCAGACCAGGTAATTTCAATTGTTTTACCTTCATTTTAGTTTTTTTTTTCCACTGGTTGCTCACATCTGTTGAATACCTTTAGTGATGTTTTCATTTAAGTTGTTGTATCTTGCAGCTGCAGAAATTCTATATGGCTCAATTTTTAACATATTTTGGTATTATTTTATCCCTACATCAATTTTCTGGTTTTCTCTTAGTTCTTTGTTTATTATTGTCTTTACTAAGTTAAATATATTTAAGACAGTTGCTTTACTGTTTTTATTCAGTAAATCCAGTGTCTGAGGTTTCTCAGATTTATCTCAAATTGTTTCCATTAATGAGTCGTATTTTCATGTTTCTCTGTTTTATTTATTTCTCTGGGGTTTTTTTGGGGGTGGGGGTATTGAAAAGGAGACATTTGAATGTTATAACTGGGTAACTCTGGAAATCAGATTTTTGCCCCTTAATTGTTTGGTATTCTTGCTTGAAGGCTGAAATTATTCATTTCTTTTTCTTTTTTTTAAATAGAGACAGAATCTCACTATGTTGCCCAGGCTGGTCTCAAACTCCTGGCCTCAAGTGGTCCTCCTCCCTCAGCCTCCCAAAGTTCTGGTATTACAGGCTTCAGCCACTGCACCTGGCCTATTCATTTGTTTAGTAACATTTCCAAATTAGTTTGCAGAGACTGTATTTCCTACTGGGTATAAACACTGAAGTCTCTGTTCTTTAGCTTGTGATCATGCAGTGTTCTGACAGAGATTTCCTGACTTTAGCTTGTGTTCATCCAGCGTTCTGACAGAGATTTCCTGAATGTTAGAAGCTAAAAGTAAAAAAGAAGATGAAACAAACAAAAACCTGACCTCTTCCAGTCTTCATGGATGGCTCTCTGCTGGGGCATTCTTTGAGCACTTAGCCACAGTATTTACTACTGTAGCCTTCTCTTTCTGTTTAAATCTGGATGTTAGCCAGAGCTGAAAAACAGAATCCCCACCCATCTTTTATAAAAATATATTGTTTCCTGTGCCTGCGTGGGGCTTTCTCCATTCCCCAGTATATCTGGGTGCTTTCAAATATGCTTATTTGTAAAGAAAAATTATACCCTAGCCTTTTCTCCTGGGACTTAGATGGTCTAATATATGTCTTTTTTTTTTTTCCTTGAAATAGTGTCACTCTTTCACTCAGACTTGAGTGCAGTGGCACAATCGTGGTTCACTGCAGCCTCAACCTCCTAGGCTCAAGCAATTCTCCTACTTTCCTGAGTAGCTGGGACTACAGGCATGCGCCACCATACCCACCTAATTTTGTTTATTTTTTGTAGAGATGAGGTCTCCCCACATTGCCCAGGCTGGTCTTGAACTCCTTGCCTTTAAGCAATCTGACCCCCTTGGTGCCGAGACCAGCTCAGTCGTGGAGAGCCTAACCCAGCGGCACTAGAGGAATTAAAGACACACACACACAGAAATTTAGAGTGTGGAGTGGGAAATCAGGGGGCTGACAGCCTTCAGAGCTGAGAGCCACAAACAGAGTTTTACCCACATATTTATTGACAGTAAGCCAGTGATAAGCGTTGTTTCTATAGATTATAGACTAACTAAAAGCCTTCCTTACGGGAAACAAAGGGAAGGGCTCTGGCTAGTTATCTGCAGCAGGAACTTGTCCTTAAGGCACAGATGGCCCATGCTATTGTTTGTGGTTCAGGAACGCCTTAAGCAGTTTTCCACCCTGGGTGGGCCAGGTGTTCCTTGCCCTCATTCCGGTAAACCAACAACCTTCAGCATGTGCGTCATAGCCATCACGAGCATGTCACAGTGCTGCAGAGATTTTGTTTATGGCTAGATTTGGGGGCCTGTTCCCAACACCTTGGCCTCCCAAAGTACTGGGATTACAGGTGTGAGCCACCACACCTGGCCTTCTAATGTATGTCTTAGTCATCTTGTGTTGTCCTAGGTGGTTGCACACTTTTTGTGTATTTTACAACATTTTAAAGTAGTTCCTGCCCAGTTTGACTCTGATTGGATTCTGTTGTAGATGAAATAGAAAAGAGAGCCTTGTTTCAGACCTTCGGTTAGTCCCCAGACTGATTCAAAAATACAAAGGCAATAATGTGGAAACAAAATGTGATCTGTACACTCTGTGGTGATCAGAGTTCTACACTGGGAACTCTGCTGTCTTCAGGACTGGCAATGAGATGGGCAGAGATGGGGCCAAAGAAAAAACAATACAAGGCTTTTCTATCATTTTTCACTTTCCTGTTTATGTATCTTTTTCTCTCTGTTAATAGTATGGGATGTGAAAAATTACAGTTTTAAATCTTCTGTTTGTTTTTGTAAAGCTGTCTACTTTCTTGATGAGAAGGTTTTTTTTAAGCATCTTTAGACATTTATGACTTCTATAAAAATTGGTTTATGTAATGTTATTGATTATTAAATGTCTGCTGTTGAGATTTATGGAATATAATTGATATTCATGAAAGCTGACACTGAATTCTGTCTAAGAACATTTGCAGTCTGTCCTCTTCTTTTCTTTCTCCTTCGACATTACCCAGTAGAAAGTTACAATTTTTTCTATTTAGTTGGTAAAATCTCTTTTATTAGTCTTTTGTCATACTTAACTACATTTGATCTACAGGGAACCAGTCACCAGCTTCCAAATATTCTCTCTGTGTAATCACGTAGGATAGGCTAAATCCCCCAAGTAAGACATTGAAAAAACAACAACAACAAAAATATGAAATATCATCTACCAGAGTTGCACATTAGGGACCCTGTGCCTAGAGTGTTTCTTTGTGTATGTCTTAGTCTATAAGACTGTTTTTTTGTTACTTACAACAGGATACCAGAACTGGGGTAATCTATAAGAAATGATATTTATTTTTTGCAGTTCTGAAAGCTGGGAAGATCAAGTAAGGTCAAAGTGGGCATCTGGTGGGAATCTTCTTGCTGATGGGGACTCTGTAGAGTCCCTGGGTGGTACAGGGCATTACATGATGAGGGGGCTGAGTGTCTAGCTGAAGTATCTTCCTCTTCTCATAAGGACACCAGAACCTCATCTGTGATAACCAGTTTATTTATTAAGCCATTCATACATGAGTGGATTAATCCATCCATGTGTTCCAAACCCTCAAGACCCACTCACCTCTTAAACCACTACCTTTGATTACTTCCACATTGGAGATTCAGTTTCAGCCTGCATTTTGGAGGGGAAGACATTCAAACCTAGCAGTGGCTGATTGGGTACACTTCCTCTGCTGAGGATGTAATACAATTCCAAACTCTCAGAGGGAAGTTAGGAGTTAAGCAAATACCATAATTTTTACACAAATAGTTTAGGCACACTCCACCCCCTTTATTAGTTATGCTTACGGGGCCCTCCCCTAAATACATTGTCTAGACACCACGAAAGGTTCAACATTGTGAACAAGCAGTTGTAAGGATATGCCGTCTCAGGACTGCTAATTGTAACTCTCTTTTGCACAGTAGGTGGTAGGACTTTGTCATGACAAGGACTACAGACCCACTGTAGAAACAGACATTAGGAGTAATCCAGGCAATAAGATTCACTTGCATAATTCACCAATAAGAGATATGTTCCTACTCAACTGTTATTTTAGCAAGCCCAATTCCAGCATCAGAATTCCAGCATCAGACAGTGAGTGCAGACACAGAATAAGAGTGGATTTACCACGTCATTGAATAAATGCTTGGAAACCACAGCATCATGGGAAGTTTATGAAGGTGAGTATAGGTTCTCAGTACTGTGAGTTTCAACCTTCCTTTTCTGGACATATGGGATGTTTCAGGACTCAGTGGCCTTTGAGGATGTGGCTGTGAACTTCACCCATGAGGAGTGGGCTTTGCTGGGTCCATCACAGAAGAATCTCTACAGAGATGTGATGCGAGAAACCATTAGGAACCTGAACTGTATAGGTATGGATGACATCATGTCTTCATTTGGTCAATTAGAGACATTTGTTTTGTGGTCATCAATGCTGTTCAGTGATTTGAAATATGGAAAAGGGATACAGTTCATTCCTGAACAACACAGGGTGAAGTGCCAGGCCCCAACCTGTTGTATGTCCTCATATAATCTTTTGTCTGCCACAGCTTAACCTACTTTTGACCAGCAGCCTTATCAGTCATATAAACAAGTGACGAGCACATATATGTCATATGTATTGCATACTGTATTCTCAGAATAAAGTAAGTTAGAGAAAGTAAATTTTTTTTCTTTTTTTTTGAGATGGAGTCTTGCTCTGTCGCCCAGGCTGGAGTGCAGTGGCTCCATCTTGGCTCACTACAAGCTCCGCCTCCCGGGTTCACACCATTCTTGCCTCAGCCTCCTGAGTAGCTGGGACTACAGGCGCCCGCCACCATGCCCAGCTAATTTTTTGTATTTTTAGTAGAGACAGGGTTTCAACATGTTAGCCAGGATGGTCTCGATCTCCTGACCTTGTGATCTGCCCACCTCGGCCTCCCAAAGTGCTGGGATTACAGGCATGAGCCACTATGCCCGGCCTAGAGAAAGTAAATATTAATAAGAAAATCTTAAGGAAGAAAAACTATATTTACTCTGCATTAAGTTGAAATGGATCATCATGAAGGTTTTCATCCTCATCTTCACATTGAGTAGGCTAACTAAGAAGAGGGGTTGATATTGCTGTCTCAGGGGTAGCAGAGACTGAAGAACATTTATATATAAATGGACTTGTGCAGTTCAAACCTGTGTTGTTCAGGAGTCAACTATAGTTCAATGAATGAATCATACATGATTGTAGTGTACATAAAATCTTAACAATTTTTGTATCATTTTGTAATAATTTATAGTGAATTTTCTGGATCTCTCTTTTAGGAATGAAATGGGAAAACCAGAACATTGATGATCAGCACCAAAATCTCAGGAGAAATCCAAGGTAATTTGTACTTATAAGAGACAGGTGATGTCCTTGCAGTGTTTCTGAGAATGACAAGAACTTTTAAAAAGAAGCAAAGATTATGAACAAGCCCAGCTTAAATTTATTTATTCTTAGAAAAATTTCTCTATAAAAATATATTATTAAATGTGACATAAATATATTATTAAATGTGACATAGCTATTCAGTGTTTGCAAAGTAGTTCCCATGGAAACAATATTAAGATTTCCCATATGAGGCTGGGTGTGGTAGCTCATGCCCGCAATCCCAGCACTTTGGGAGGCTGAGACAGGAGGATCACTTGAGCCTGGGAGTTTGAGGCTGCAGTGATCTGTGATGGCACTGGTGCACTCTAACCTAAGTGACAGAGCAAGACCCTGTCTTAAAAAAAAAAAAAAGGCCAGGCGCAGTGGCTTATGCCTGTAATCCCAGCACTTTGGGAGGCCGAGGTGGGTGGATCCACGAGGTCAGGAGATCGAGACCAACCTGGCCAACATGGTGAAACCCCATCTCTACTAAAAATACACAAAAATTAGCTGGGTGTGGTGGTGCATGCCTGTAGTCCCAGCTACTTGGGAGGCTGAGGCAGGAGAATCACTTGAACCTGGGAGGCGGAGGTTGCAGCAAGCCGAGACAGCACCAGCTGCACTCCAGCCTGATGACAGAGGGAGACTCCATCTCAAAAAAAAAAAAAAAAAAAAAAAAGAATTAAGAATCCCCATGTGCATATCATTGTCTTGAAAATAGCTGGGATTGAGTTATCTTGCACAACATTCAGTCCATTCACATTGAAGCAGGACATGAAGCTTATAGCTTGCCTGATAATGTTAAAAATGTAAATCTAATACCTGTTGATAAATATAAATTCAATAATAAACCTTTAGTAATGTACTTTTCATTTTTTACAGGTGTGATGTGGTAGAGAGATTTGGTAAAAGTAAAGATGGTAGTCAGTGTGGAGAAACCTTAAGCCAGATTCGAAATAGTATTGTAAACAAGAACACTCCCGCCAGAGTAGATGCATGTGGAAGCAGTGTGAATGGAGAAGTCATAATGGGTCATTCATCCCTGAATTGCTACATCAGAGTTGATACTGGACACAAACACCGGGAGTGTCATGAATATGCAGAGAAGTCATATACACATAAGCAGTGTGGGAAAGGCTTAAGTTATCGCCACTCCTTTCAAACATGTGAAAGGCCTCACACTGGAAAGAAACCCTATGATTGTAAGGAATGTGGAAAAACCTTCAGTTCTCCTGGAAACCTTCGAAGACATATGGTAGTAAAAGGTGGAGATGGACCTTATAAATGTGAATTGTGTGGGAAAGCCTTTTTTTGGCCCAGTTTATTACGTATGCATGAAAGAACTCACACTGGAGAGAAACCATATGAATGTAAGCAGTGTTCTAAAGCCTTCCCTGTTTACAGTTCCTATCTAAGACATGAAAAAATACACACTGGGGAGAAACCGTATGAATGTAAGCAGTGTTCTAAAGCCTTCCCTGATTACAGTTCATATCTAAGACATGAAAGAACTCACACTGGAGAGAAACCCTACAAATGTAAACAATGTGGGAAAGCCTTCAGTGTTTCCGGTTCCCTTCGAGTACATGAAAGAATTCACACTGGAGAGAAACCCTATACATGTAAACAGTGTGGGAAAGCGTTTTGTCATCTTGGAAGCTTTCAAAGACACATGATAATGCACAGTGGAGATGGACCTCATAAATGTAAGATATGTGGGAAAGGCTTTGATTTTCCTGGTTCAGCACGAATTCATGAAGGAACTCACACTCTAGAGAAACCCTATGAATGTAAGCAATGTGGGAAATTGTTATCTCATCGCTCAAGCTTTCGAAGACACATGATGGCACACACTGGAGATGGCCCTCATAAATGCACAGTATGTGGGAAAGCCTTTGATTCTCCTAGTGTATTTCAAAGACATGAAAGGACTCACACTGGAGAGAAACCCTATGAATGCAAGCAATGTGGGAAAGCCTTCCGTACTTCCAGTTCCCTTCGAAAACATGAAACAACACACACTGGAGAGCAACCCTATAAATGTAAATGTGGAAAAGCTTTTAGTGATTTATTTTCCTTTCAAAGTCATGAAACAACACACAGTGAAGAGGAGCCTTATGAATGTAAGGAGTGTGGGAAAGCATTTAGTTCTTTTAAATACTTTTGTCGCCATGAAAGGACTCACAGTGAAGAAAAATCTTATGAGTGTCAAATTTGTGGCAAAGCCTTCAGTCGTTTCAGTTACTTAAAAACTCATGAAAGGACTCACACGGCAGAGAAGCCATATGAATGTAAGCAATGCAGGAAAGCATTCTTTTGGCCCTCTTTCCTTCTAAGACATGAAAGGACTCACACTGGAGAAAGACCCTATGAATGTAAACACTGTGGTAAAGCCTTCAGTCGTTCCAGTTTCTGTCGAGAACATGAAAGAACTCACACTGGAGAGAAGCCCTATGAATGTAAGGAATGTGGGAAAGCCTTCAGTTCTCTCAGTTCCTTTAATAGACATAAAAGGACACACTGGAAGGATATTCTATAAGTGTATGGAATGTGGGAAAGCATTCATTGGTTTTATCACATTCAGATACTTGAAAGAAATAAATCCTGTGAATGTAAACGTGGTAAAGCCTTAAGAAGTTTCCAGGCTGGGCGCAGCGGCTCACACCTGTAATCCCAGCACTTTGAGAGGCCGAGGAGGGCAGATCACGAGGCCAGGAGATCGAGACCAGCCTGGCTAACATGGGAAACCCTGTCTCTACTAAAAATACGGAAAAAAAAAAAAATAGCCAGGCATAGTTGCTCACACCTGTAGTCCTAGCTACTCAGGAGGCTGAGGCAGGAGAATCCCTTGAACCCGGGAGGTGGAGGTTGCAGTGAGCCGAGATTGCACTACTGCACTCCAGCTTGGGTGCTAGAGCGAGACTCCATCTCAAAAAAAAAAAAAAAAGTTTCCATTTCTTTCAAATAGAGTTGCTGCCTGCTATATGCAAGAAGATTGGTTCCAGTACACCCTGAGTATACCTAAATCCACAGATGCCAGCTCTTTTATAAAATGGAATATTCGCATGTACCTACCCACATTCTCCTGTATACTCTATAAATGTCTAGATTAATTAAAATATCTCATGCATTGTAAAAGCTGTGTACATAGTTGTATTGTTTAGGGAATCATAAGAAAAAAAATCTATATGTGTTCAGTACAGACCCAACCATTGCAGGCCTATCTACATCGTATATATCACCTATAATGTTACAGTTTCTTGTTTCAATACTCAGATTACTTTTGTCTAATGACCTGAAAGAATGTGTTAACACCAACCACAATTCTGGTTCTTCTCTCTTGATAACCCAAGTATTACGATGGTTATGACAATGATGATTGCTGTATGGTGCCTAATGTGATGTGTAGAGGTGACTAGATGTGTGGCATCATAGATAAACAGTGAGACCTCAGGCTAACTTGAATCTTGACAGGACATCAAGACCTTCATCTATGTTGGAAGACCCAGGTTCTGATTGAAGATGTTGACTCTTTGCAGGAGGCTAATACTAATGTCAGCATCTGTTCAGCTTGAGGGCTGAAGATGTTTGTGTTGAAGGGTATGTCTTCATATTTGCAGATATTTAGTTAGAAGCATTGTTTTAGGAAGCTAGTTCTTTTTCTTTGAATCCCTAAAAAAACCTTAGTGTTCATTAGCATATTTTCCCTTATATGACACAGAAGCTTTTTTCAATCAAAGGATGTTAGCTGAGGTTGATTATCTTTAACACTTGCAACTTGCAGAGGCTATAGATGCCCCAAGATCTGCTGCAAATTTTTCGCGTGTCCAAATCAATGGCACTGCTCCTCTTCTTAATCTTCTGCATCATCAGCAGCATCATCATCATCATCATCATCATCATCATCACTTGTAGAGGATTTCAGTATATCTTCAGTTTCCTTTCCACCAACTTTCTTTGCAACATTTAAGATATTCCTGACTGCTGTATCAGTCTTGGGGAAACCCCTGAAATCACTTACTCCCTCACTCCAATGGCTTCCAATATGCTTTGGGTGTCCTGGGCTTTAGGGCATCTACAGCCTCTGCAGTAAGCACAGTTGCATCTGCAATTGTGAAGCTCTTCCATAAGTACACTGTGGTACAGTCAGGGTTAGAATCAAGGCAACATAAATTGTATAAATATTGAGGTGGGGCTGGGCACACTTGTTCACACCTGTAATCCTAGCACTTTAGGAGGCTGAGGCAGATGGATCAACTTGAGGTCAAAAGTTTGATACCAGCCTGGTCAACATGGTGAAACCCCATCTCTACTAAAAATACAAAAATTAGCTGGGCCTGGTGTCATGCGCATGTAGTCCCAGCTACTTGGAAGGCTGAGGCAGGAGAATCACTTGAACCCAGGAGGCAGAGGTTGCAGTGAGCCAAGATCCTACCACTGCACTCCAGTCTGGGTGACAGAGTGAGACTCGGTCTCAAGAAGAAAAAAAAAAAGTTGAAATGGGTGTAAATTGCCTTAATCTGCTTGATGATCCTTGACCAAGTGGCTGTGGCAGCGATAACAGTGTTAGAAGGCAAGAACATCACTTACACTTTTTCATCAGCATAACAGAAAAATTAAATTTTTGTTTTGTATTGAACATGAGCTTTGCTGGATATACGATTCTTGGTTAAGCTATGTTTCATAGCAGAGCATGATGAGAGTGTGTGTGAGGCTTCCCACTGAAAGGAGGAATGGAACCTAAGAAAGAGCAAATGTATCTATTTTACCCTAGTTATTTATCATTACAGTAGTCAACTAATGTCACACAACAATGATCAATATGAAGAATGGGATGGAAGAAGCAAATAATGTGGTTGGAGATTATAGCATTGTCTTCTTAGGAGACTGAAGACAAAACAACTGGAAATCTATTAAAACTGTGAAGGAGTCAATTTGCTGCTTATGGAGTGAGCATATCCTGTATTCATGATAGCATATACTATTGACTTAAAATAATATTTCTTGCAAATATATATAAATTTCTGAGGATGGTACTAATGCCATATGCAACATCTATTTGTGGACAAGTATGAGTGTTTTCTGATGAGATGACCTAAGTATCACCTCCATGGATATATATATATACAACTTTGGTGGATTGAAGTCTCCTCATCCCAGTGCTCATTGGGGAGAAATCCCATAATGTAAGTAATTTGGGAAAATCCAATCCAAATTAACTCATGTATAGTGCTCCAGAAAATTTGCATCATCAAAGAAATGTTATAACATTTATAACTATTGGCCAGGTGTGGTGACACAACATCTGTAATTCCAGCACTTTGGGAGGCTGAGGTGGGAGGATCGCTTGAGGCCAGGAGTTCAAGACCAGCCTGGGGAACATAGTGAGACTCCATCTCTTATTTTATTTTATTTTATTTTTTGAGATGGAGTTTCACTCTTGTTGCCCAGGCTGGAGTGCAATGGTGCTATCTCGGCTCACTGCAACCTCTGCCTCCTGGGTTCAAGTGATTCTCCTGCCTCAGCCTCCCGAGTAGCTGGGATTACAGGCACCCGCCGCCATGCCTGGCTAATTTTGTATTTTTAGTAGAGACAGGGTTTCACCGTGTTAGCCAGGATGGTCTCAATCTCCTGACCTTGTGATCCATCTGCCTTGGCCTCCCAAAGTGCTGGGATTACAGGCGTGAGCCACTGTGCCCGGCCTTCTTTTTTAGAATGTGTAAACTAGACACAATTTTTCTCATGTCATGCACATAAAAGCAGTATTTTCCAGCAGTGGTCGCTCACTCTCCTTGCTGGGCAGACAGTCAGTGTATCCAGGGTGCAGTGATTTTGGAGTATCCAGGTGTGGATGAACTATTTACTTGTGGTTGGAGTGCTTCCCAGATTCTCATAGCCAGGGGCCCAGGCATGGTGGCTCAAGCCTGTAATCCCAACACTTTGGGAGGCTAAGGCAGGAGGATCACTTGAGTCTAGGAATTTGAGACTAGTCTCAGCAACATAGGGAGACCATGTGTCTACAGATAATTTTAAAAATTAGTTGGGGTAGTGGTGCACGCCTGTAGTCTCAGCTATTCGGGAAGCTGAGGTGGAAGGATTGCTTGAGCTTGGCAGGGTGAGATTGGAGTGAGCCATGATTGTGCCATTGCACGCCAGCCTAGGCAACAGAGCAAGACCCTGTCTCAGAAAAAAAAAAAAAAAAAAATTAGCCAGGCATGCTGACATGTGCTTGTAGTCCCAGTTACTGGGTGGGAGGATAACTTGAACCCAGGAGTTTGAGGCTGTGGTGAGCTATGATCATGCCTCTGTACTCCAGCCTGGGTGACAGAGTGAGACCCTGTCTCAAAATAAATAACAGTGTAAGTTAAATAATAATAAAGAGATTTTCTCCTGGCTCTGAAACCATTTCTGGACCTGCAAGGCAATCATGTGGAATGAAATGGGGCCATCCATCAACAGGGCAGGTAGTAGATTAGCCAGATTTACTAGTATAATGTTAGACATAGACCAGTAGAACAGAATAGAGAGACCAGAAATAATCTTCATTTATGGTCTGTTGATTTTCTACAAATGCCCCAAGATAATGGGGAAAGCGTTTTCAACATGGTGCTGGGACAACTGGATATTAACCTGCAGAAAGATGAACTGAGACCTTTATCTCATATCATATGTGAAAATTAACACTAAAATGATGAAAAGCAAAAATACAAAGTTAGCATCAGATGTAGGAGAGTATCTTTGTGACTGGGGTGGGGAAGGAGCTTGTGTGTGTGTGTGTGTGTGTGTGTGTGTGTGTGTGTCTGTGTGTGTGTGTAAGAACACCAAAGGCCCATGTAATCCCAGCACTTTGGGAGGCCGAGGCAGGCGGATCACCTGAGGTTAGGAGTTTGAGACTAGCCTGGCCAACATGGTGAAACCCTGTCTCTGTTAAAAATACAAAAATTAGCCAGGTGTGGTCACGCTCGCCTGTAATCCCAGCTTCTTGGGAGGCTGAGACAGGAGAATCGCTTGAACCTGGGAGGCAGAGTTTGCAGTGAACCGAGATCACACCACTGTACTCCAGCCTGGTTGACAGAGCAAGACTCTGTCTCAAAAATTAAAAAAAAAAAAAAGACAATCTGTCAAGGTGAGACTTAGAGACTAAGTCTCATTTGGGTTGTCTCCTAGAAGAAGGGTTTATAAAGTTGACAGTTTAGGGCAGAACCTTAAACTGACTCCAGGTGAGAGTTTCTTGCTTTTGAAAATAAAGATCTTGAAGGGAAGATTGTTCCCACATGAGGTGGGAACAGGAGGACATGTTGAGCTCCCAGAGTTAAATCCTTAGGTTTCTCTGCCTCATCACCAGGGACTGATAGACTCTTGGGCCCCTTTCAACAGAGTCTGACTCCCCAGCTTGGGAATATGTTTGTCACTTGGCGTTTTCCTTGTAAATGGTAGTGCAGTGTAGACTGCTTAAATGAACCAATTCAGATGTTTCCTTTTCTTCCGTTTTTATTCCTTTATAGAATATTGCTGTCATATAACTCCCCTTTTTCCCATATATTAAATAACTGTATTCCCTTGTTGGTGTGTTTTAATTTTTTGGCTGAAAATGAGTAGGCAGGCCGGGCACGGTGGCTCACTCCTGTAATCCCAGCACTTTGCAAGGCCAAGGCAGGTGGATCATTTGAGGTCAGGAGTTCGAGACCAGCCTGACCAACAAGGTGAAACTCCGTCTCTACTAAAATACAAAAATTAGCCTGGTGTGGTGGTGGGTGCCTGTAATCTCAGCTACTCAGGAGGCTGAGGCAGGAGAATTGCTTGAACCCGTGAGGCAGAGGTTGCAGTGACCCGAGATCATGCCACGCCACTGCACTCCAGCCTGGGCGACAGAGCAAGACTCTGTCTCAAAAAAAAAAAAAAGAAAAAAGAAAAAATGAGTAGACTGAGGGATAAGGTGTGAGGAAGCCTTCGCCATGCCACCAACAGCCTTTCTTTCCAAATTCCTGACCCCTGGAGGACATCAAGCCCTCTCCCATGTTCCAGTGTGACCTGGTCTAGGCACCCCTCCTGCTCTGAGGCACGAGGATCGTTCCTTTGGCCACTGAGAATGCAATTCCCTTTTGTCCAAGAGGAAGAAGAAAGAAAGTCCCATTAGTACAGGGAGACGCCAGTGCCAGCTCTGGAAAGCCAGGAGCAAGTTCTTAAATTCCAATGTCCTCTGGCGAGGGCATGTCCTGCTGGTTTCTTATTTAAACAATAGGTTTGAGGATCTTGGACTCATTTAACTTATTGATAGGGGAAAATGGATCAGGGAGGATGCCCAAGCTGGCAAGGGCAATGGTCAAGAATCTGTCATTCTGGCCCCTCTCAGGCGCTTGCCTTACCTCTCCTCTCTGCACTGTGTCCCCCACCCCAGGGGGAGGGGCCTAGGGCACTATCCAATTAGGGGTTCTGAGGGCGGGGCCGTGCCAACAGTCCAATCAGGCGTGCTGTAGGGCAGCAGGCGGGGCGACGCGCTAAAGCCCGTGGGTTTGGGTTTTTTTTCCCTCTCGCCTTGGCGCCCTCGGGTCGCTCTCGGCTTCTCTGAAAGTGCTGAGGGTGTGTCAGCTCAGGGTGTGTCGCGATTTGCCCTGCTGTGGCCAGGAGAGCCATCAGGAGGATGCTGGGACACCCTGGAGTCCAGGAAATGGTGAGTGTGCCGGGCTGGGGTCCCGACACGCGGGAGGAGGGGCTGGCTGGGACCGGCTGTGGCGGGACCCGGGCCTCCCTGCGGGCGACTCCGGGGTCTGGGGCTCTAGTCCCCATGGCACAGCTCGGCCCTCGGTCCCCTTGGCCGCAGGGTGGCCCTGGTCCGGCCGGCAGTCGGGACCCCGGGCGTCCTGTCCTGTCCCTGCGTGGTGACTTCGCCCCCAGCCCCAGAGCCCTCTCTGGGCAGCTCCGCGCCCGCAGGCCCGCGTCTCCCCCAGATTGTGCGGGGACCATGGGAGGGTCATGGGGAGAATTCCCGCCTTGGGTGCAACTTTAGCGAAACGACGTGCACCAGGTTCTAGAATGTTCCTTACATCGTTGATAAGGAAACAAATAGGTTTTGTTATACCATAAAGTCGCAGTTTCTAAGACCCTCTCGACGACTTTTAGGGAAAACTTACTGTGTTTTAATAATCTATTTTCCACAGAGCAAAGGATTAGTCTTTTAGATTTAATTTTGTTGTTGTTCGTGGATATTTTACGAGAGAGGAAAGCAGAGATAGCAGCTTGGAAGTTAGTTGTATGAAATGGTTGTGCCTCACCTCCCAGTATCTTTCCTTGGCACAGACATCTTACGTGTTGAGGATCCTCTTTGGAAATTTTTCTGGGTGATCTGTCCTTGAGCATAGTTGCGGATCAGCACTGAGCCTCCCCGGCTTTATCACCTTGAAAACGTCGACTCGATTGTGTGTTAGTATTTAGGTAAATGTAAGGTGTGTTCAATCACTAGAGCGTGAAGGATGGTACAAAATATTTCCAAAAAGGCCAAGAAAGGTGAATTTCTGGAAAAAAGAAATCCAGTATTACATCCTGCTTTTTTTGTTTGTTTGTTTGAGACAGTGTCTCCCTCTCGCTGAGGCTTGAATGCACTGGGGGGATCAAGGCTTACTGCAGCTTCGACCTCCCCATCTCAACCGATCTTCCCACTTCAGCCTCCCGAGTAGCTGGGACCACCACACCCAGCTAATTTTTTGTAGAGAGCGTGCCTCTTTATGTTGCCCAGGCTGGTCTCGAACTCCTGAGCTCAAGTGATCCTCCCAAAATGTTGGGATTACGGGCATGAGCCACTGTGCCTAGCCTAAATATTATTTTAACCCCTTTTTCTTCTAAGTTTCTGAGGCTCGTTTTTTTCTTTTGGTTGATTTCAAGAGGAATTCCAGGGCTTAGACTTACAATTCCTAGGTGTGTTAAAATATGATTGTTTAGAAAACCACTTCTGGCTGGGCACAGTGACTCATGCCTGTAACCCCAGCATTTTGGGAGGCCAAGGCAGGTGGATCTCCTGAGCTCAGGAGCTCCAGACCAGCCTGGGCAACATGGCGAAACCCTGTCTCTAACAAAAAATACAAAAAATTAGTCAGGCATAGTGGTGCGTGCCTGTGGTCCCACCTATTTTGGAGGCTGAGGTGGGAGGATCGCTTGAGCCTGCAAGGTGGAGGTTGCAGTGAGCCAAGATTGTGCCACTGCACTCCAACCTGGGTGACAGAGTGAGACCCCCTCTAAAAAAAAATTGTTTATAATAATTAACTATTGATTACATTATTAGTTTGACTAATGATTATAGTTTATCATGATTAATGATTAATAGTTTGACTAGTGATTAAATAATCATTTATAATTAACTTCATTTTCCAAAAGGAATAGATATTTGTGGGTTTTGTTTTGAAACTAGATAATGTTTTACAGTTTGCTTCCATGCTTTATACATAAATACTTGGTTTGAGTGATTTTGCTGAATTCTTGAAACACTGGGTTTTTCTCATTTAAAATATCAAAAGTGTTCTAAAGCCGCATGACTAGTGAGCGGAGGCCTGAGGCAGTGACTAGAAGGTAAGGCCACCTTTGACTCTGCCAAGGGAAGTAATTAAGACCCAGGTGGTTCTCCTTAGGGTGCTTCCCCTGCAGGTGTCCTACGTACTCACGCTTATCAAGGAGAGCAGGTGTCCTACATACTCACACCTATCAAGGAAAGACCCCTTTGGTACTGACAGAAACTGAGCATTGGAAAACTGGGGATCCACATGTACGTGGTGGGGAGGGGAACAGCGTGATACTTCTGGGGTTGTAATTGTAGTTTCCTTGGGCCTGTTTTTAGACAGTGGATTTGAGGGGTAGTTGTTGTTTCGTTTGATACAGGGTCTTACTCTGTCACCCAGGCTGGGGTGCAGTGGCACAGTCTTGGCTCACTGCAGCCTCCTGGGCTCAAGTGATCCTCCCACCTCAGCCTCCCAAGTAGCTAGGACTACAGGCACATGCTATCATGCTTGGCTAATTTTTTTTTTTTTTTTTTTGAGACGGAGTCTCGCTCTATCGCCCAGGCTGGAGTGCAGTGGTGCCATCTCGGCTCACTGGAAGCTCTGCCTCCTGGGTTTACGCCATTCTCCTTCCTCAGCCTCCCAAGTAGCTGGGACTACAGGCGCCTGCCACCATGTCCAGCTAATTTTTTGTATTTTTAGTAGAGACGGGGTTTCACCATGTTAGCCAGGATGGTCTCGATCTCCTGACCTCGTGATCCGCCCGCCTCGGCCTCCCAAAGTGCTGGGATTACAGGCGTGAGCCACTGCACCCAGCGCTAATTTTTTTGTTTTTTTGTTTTTTGTTTTTTGTAGAGACAGGGTTTTGATACATTGCCCAAGCTGGTCTCAAACTTGTAGCCTCAGGGACTCCCATCTTGGCCTGCCAGGTGCTGGGATCACAGGCATGAGCCACCACTCCCAGCCTTCTGTTTTGCATCCCCAGTGTTGCTGCATTCAGAGTGTAATATTTACATGTTGAGAAAGTCTGTGAAGTTAGGACTTTTGTCTCCTGGATCTAAGATTGATGAATTTGAAGCCAGGCATGGTGGCTCATGCCTGTAATCCCAGCACTTTGGGAGGCTGAGGCGGGCGGATCACCTGAGGTCGGGACTTCGAGACCACCCTGACCAACATGGAGAAACCCCGTCTCTACTAAAAATACAAAATTAGTTGGGTGTGGTGCCACATGCCTGTAATCCCAGCTGCTCAGGAGGCTGAGGCAGGAGAATTGCTTGAACCCATGAGATGGAGGTTGCGGTGAGCGGGAGATTGCGCCATTGCACTCCAGCCTGGGCAACAAGAGTGAAACTCCGTCTCCGGAAAAAAAAAAAAAAAGATTGATGAATTTGAGAGTTCATTTGGGTCAGAACCTTAAACTGAATCTGGGACTGAACTACTCTAGGTGTTACACCTTAATGGTGAGAGTCTGAACCCCCAGCTTGTTAGGGTGTTTGACCTTCTGTGTGTGGATTTTACAATTCTGAATTGTGGGGAAGCAGGCTGCTAAGCTGATTAGAATATTTGTGTTTCTTTCCTTTGGTTTCCTTTTTCTGTTTATTGTGGTGCTTCAACTGTAGTTTCCCTTAGCATTTTGTAATTTATACATGTGAGTGTGTAGGATTTTCGTTTCTTTGGCTTTGAAAATGAAAGTTGATAAATATGATGTAAGGCAAGACAATTCTGGAACCAAGCAGAATTGTGTTCCTTTTGTGCAAAAGAATCTTAAGATGCAAGATGAGTGCATTGAAGTTCTCGGGTACATTTTTCATTTTTAAGTCAGTTTTGTATGTGCATATGCCCTAGAGGATGTGACATTTAAAAGGCTCTACTCTTTAAGAAAAATGAATTTTGGGCCGGGTGCAGTGGCTCAGGCCTGTAATCCCAACACTTTGGGAGGTCGAGGCGGGCAGATCATGAGGTCAGGAGATCAAAACCATCCTGGCTAACACAGTGAAACCCTGTCTCTACTAAAAATACAAAAATTAGCCTGGTGTGGTGGTGTGCGCCTGTAATCTCAGCTACTCGGGAGGCTGAGGCAGGAGAATTGCTTGAACCTGGGAGACGGAGGTTGCAGTGAGCTGAGGTCACACCATTGCACTCCAGCCTGGGCATCAAAGTGAGACTCCACCAAAAAAAGAGAAAAAAGAAAAAGAAAAATGAATTTTTATTTTAATTGATAAGATGAAAATTCAATTGAGTTCCTATTTTAATGATACGATGGAAACTACTCAAAACTTATGTAATCTTTGAGACTTTTTTACATTTAGAGTTAGGTTTAAATCCATCATGCTTTAAATAGGCTACTCATTCCTGAAAGCACTGCCCTCTGGGATACAGTAGAAAGATAAAATATGATGCAATTTGTCATTTAGTTAGAGATTTTTTTCTTAATTTACACTTTTATACCCATTATTTAAAGGATGAAATCTTACAATGGTTTCCTATGTTTAAAAAAAGTTAAAAGTCAATAAATTTTAGAAACAAGTTAATTAAAAATAATGGCTAATAGTAAAGTATGGTTTATATAATTTTTTTCAATCATTTAAAATACACACAAAGGTTTAAAAAAATCTAAAAGAAAGTGTGGGTTGAGAAAACTTACTGCTAGAATATCCTGGTTTACCCTAGTGCTCTTGCTCCAGCCACCCCCAGATAACCAGTTTTGATAATAACTTGTGCATCTGTTAGTGTTTCTTTATATAAAAACAAGCAATTGTAAATGCGTATTTTTCCTATTCACTATTGTTGAACACATTGTCTTTTTTGTTGTTGTTGTTATTGTTAGAGACAGAGGACATGGTCTTGCTCTGTCATCCAGGCTGGAGTGCAGTAGTGCAATCATAGCTCTCTGTAACCTTGAACTGAGCTCAAGTGATTCTCCCATCTCAGCCTCCTGAGTAGCTAGGACTACAGTCACATGCCAGCACACCCAGCTACTTCATTTTTTATATAGAGATGGGGTCTGGCTATGTTGCTCAGGCTGGTCTTGAACTCCTGGGCTCAAGCGATCCTCCACTTTGGCCTTCCAAAGCATTGGGATTGCAAGCGTGAGCCACCAGAGCCACTATGCCTGGCCCTGTTCAACATTGTTCTTGTAATTAGTGGTTGGACTCTACATTTTTAATGTTTCACAATTGACCACTTCATCCTCTTCCCTTAATGCCCTACTTCTGGACAAGCTGAGAAGGCCTGGGCATCCTTCCTCTGTCATGGGCAGGAGACTCAAACCACATAACCAGCTGCCCATGCAGAGGAACTTGCGCCCAGCCCCACTTCCAACCACAGTAAACACCCTGGGCAAGTTCCCTTCCTTGCTTTTTTAAGCCATTTCCCACCTGCTTGAGAGGCCTGCCCTGTTCTCCCTAGAGACGTCAGTCATGGGAGTAATAAGCCTTTTCATACCCTCTCAGTGTGTGTGAGACCCACTGTCATCAGTGTCATCATTGCAGCCTCGCCCTTCTAGGTGACTAGCAGTTGGTGCTGTGAACAAGATGTCTAGATATTGACCACCACTCATGGGTCTATCTTCTCTTGTTCTGAATTGCTGACCTGCTCTATGGCCCATTTAGAGTTTGAGCTGCTGCTTACTGGGAGCACATGCTTTGTGCTGTGCTGCTCTGTGTTTCTTCCATTGTTGAGCCCTACCAAGTCTGGTTCTAGGTTCAGCTGACTTTAGTTGACAGTTTTTGATAATTCCTTGGAATTGGGGAGCTGGAGTATGGGAGTAGGGCCTTCCTTAAAGTGGTCCTGGGTTTACATCCTGGGCAAGGACCTACCTGTGTTTTTGTTTTGTTTTTTTGTTTTTGTTTTTGTTTTTTGCGGGCATGAGGGGCTGGTGGTGAGAAAGCCAGCTGACTCTTTATTGCTTTGGGGGCAGGGGGCTCAGGAGCTCTTGGTGGCGCGGGTCCGCTTCCGCTTCACCATCACAGGCTTCTGGCTGCACAGGATGGCGCTGACCCTGCGGATGGCTGCCATGCGCAGGTCGGGGCGGTACTTGTTCTTGAGGATCATGTGTCTGATGCTGCTGAGCGTGACGCCAGCATTCTTGTTGATGGTGGTCCGCGCGTAGGAGGTGGCAGGCTTCGGCTGGCCGGATCTCTGCTTCGTGACCACCACCACACCTTTGTCCTCGGCTGCCGGCTCCACGCCCACAGTCTTGTGGTGAATCAGCCCGTTGTAGCGGAAGGAGCTGGGGCCTTCAAGTTACTGGGCTTGGTGCTGTAGGTCGGCATAGTCCTCTTGATCAGAAACTGGAGCAGTTCTGCACGACCATCCATTGCAGATGCGCGGACATGGTGGCGGCTCCTCTCGCAGTGGCGGCCTGAGACCTGTGTATTTATAGTGAAGTTGTGACTGATGCCTGGGTTGCCCCAAATGTAAAGAGTGGGAGTGGAGGGGGGACTGTATACACTGTCAGAGGTTGGTCATTATGTGGCTGCCCCTGGAAGAGCAGTCCTTCAAAAAGAGGACAGGGAGGGAAGGTGGGGAACAGCAGCCATTAGATGATGGACTGAGTCCACACTCTTTAACAGCAGAAGCTTTCCCAAGACCCTAAAGTGCTATTGCTGCTGCTTCATGCGCCTCTCCCACAACAGAGAGCTTGACCTTTGGGTTTAGTGGGGGATAACACCCATGGCATAGTTGTGGCATAACAAAGAAGTTAGTTCAAACCTGACTTAAACCTGGGGTTCTTAAACCTTCTAGAGCAACCATTGCCGTAGGGGAGGTGCTTCACCCTGATGACAGTGATGACACCCTGATGACACAGGCTCTCTGGTGGGGAAAAAAAATATTAGTACCAGGTTAGAGAGGACACACCCTCCCCCAGAGTACATCCAGTAACCAAAAAACAAAGCAGGGAAGGGAAGGAACAAAATAAAAAAACACTGATGAAACAGAAGTCCACAGTTTGACCCAGTTGGAAATGTATTAAAGGAATTTGCATAACAAAAATCATAAAAAGGGCACTCCTTGGGTTTTTGGCCTCTATAATGTAGGTTCTGAATTTTAACATCTGTATCAGTTGATAAACCTTCATGGGATTAATACTAGGGCTCATGTTATAGTTATACCTGGGTATCCCATCAAATTTAATGAAGGTATCCTGATAATCATAGAGGAATTAGTGAATATAAAATAAATAGAGCAGAAATCCCTGTGCCTCTCCTTAGCCATCATAACTATTGTGTTGGCTAAGTCATTCTTGGTTGTATTATAGAACAAATTGTCTTAAAATATCACATAGGGCCAGGTGCGGTGGCTCATGCCTGTAATCCCAGCACTTTGGGAGGCCAAGGTAGGTGGATTGCTGGAGCCCATGAGTTCAAGACGAGCCTGGGCAACATGGTGGGACCCTGTGTCTACAAAAAATACAAAAATTAGCCGGGTGTAGTGGCACGCACCTGTAGTCCTGGCTGCTTGGGAGGCTGAGGTGGGAGGGTAGCTTGCGCCTGGGAGGTTGAGGCTGCAGTGAGCTGTGACTGTGCCACTGCACTCCAGCCTGGGTGACAGGGTGAGACAACAGCCCTTAAAAAATCCCACAGTGACCAAGGAAGCTCTGAACCAGTGAGTTATTTATTTATTTATTTATTGAGACAGAGTCTCGCTCTGTCACCTAGGCTGGAGTGCATGGCGGGATCTCAGCTCACTGCAGCCTCCGCCTCTCAGGTTTAAGCAATTTTCCTGCCTCAGCCTCCTGAGTAGTTGGGATTGCAGGCACTTGCCACCACGCCCATCTAATTCTTGTGTTTTTCGTAGAGACGAGGTTTTGCCATGTTGGCTAGGCTGGTCTCAAACTCCTGGCCGCAAGTGATTCACCTGCTGTGGCCTCCCAGTGTGCTGGAATTACAGGCATGAGCCACTGCACCTGGCCATAAATTCAAATTAGGTATTTGGCAGTTACAAATTAGATTGACAAAATGGGACCCCATGAAACTTACTCCCCAATTAAATTAGTTAATATGACTCAATGTAAATTGATGGGCCTTGAAGGATTGACAGCTATTATACAAAACCATTAATGGTTGTATGGTTGTAGTGAAGGGGCAGTTATCCCCAGTGCTTTTTTTTTTTTTTTTTTTTTTTTTTTGAGACAAGATCTCACTCTGTTGCCCACGCTGGAATCCAGTGATGCAATCACAGCTCACTGCAGCCTCCAACATCTGGGCTGAAGCATCCTCCTGCATCAGCTTCCTGAGAAGCTGAGACCACAGGTGCGCCACCATGCTCAGCTAATTTTTTTTTTTTTTTTTTTTTTTTTGTAGAGATGAGATCTCACTATGTTGTCCAGGCTGGTCTTGAACTCCTGGGCTCAAGCAGTCCTCCTACCTCAGCCTCCCAAAGTGCTGGGATTACGGACATGAGCCACTGCACTTGGCCGAGTATTTCTCCTTTTAACAGCCTAATTTGGCCTGGCCTGTTTTTTTTGTTTGTTTTTGTTTTTTTGTTTTGAGATAGAGTTTCGCTCTATCGCCCAGGCTAGAGTGCAGTGGCGCAATCTTGGCTCACTGTAATCTCCACCAGCCGGGTTCAAGTGATTCTTCTGCCTTGGCCTCCCGAGTAGCTGGGATTACAGGCGTGCACCACAATGCCCAGTTGAATTTTTTTTTTTTTTTTTTTTTTGAGACAGAGTTTTGCTGTTGCCGGGGCTGGAGTGCAGTGGCGCGATCTCGGCTCACTGCAGCCTCCATCATCCGGTTTCAAATGATTCTCCTGCCTCAGCCTCCCAGGTAGCTGGGATTACAGGCACCTGCCACCACGCCCGGTTAATTTTTATATTTTTAATTTTTATATTTTTAGTAGAGACGGAGTTTCACCATGTTGGCCAGGCTGCTCTCAAACTCCTGACCTCGTGATCCACCTGCCCCGGCCTCCCAAAATGCTGGGATTACAGGCACGAGCCACCACGCCTGGCCAATTTTTGTATTTTTTTAAGTAAAGACGGGGTTTCACCATGTTGGCCAGGCTGGTCTCGAACTCCTGACCTCAGGTGATCTACCCTCCTCAACCTCCCAAAGTGCTGGGATTATAGGTGTGAGCCACCGCACCCAGCCTAATTTGGCTTGTTCTTAAATCTGGGTGCCTCAAAGTGGACTGTTGCAATTTACTGCTGTAATCCCAACCTATTGAGCCCCTACACCCAATATCCAACATTATGGAGATTACTGATTCCATCCAATGAACAAGTGGTAGATATTCTGTAGTCACAGATTTGTATAGGTTTTGTTCAGTCTCTATTTCAACAGACTTAGCTGCAGTTTACCTTCACCTTTGAAGGGATGTGGTCCACCTTTATCTGGTTTCTATTCAGGGAACCTCAGTAGCCTTGATATTGCAGTCTTTGCTGGCAAGATCTAAATTTTATCTACCTTTCTTCAGGAGCACAGGCATGGCATTATGTTAGAGTCATTGCTGGCCAGGAGCAGTGGCTCATGCCTGTAATCCCACACCTGTGGGAGGCTGAGGTGGGAAGATCACTCGAGGTCAGGAATTTGAGACCAGCCTGGCCAACATGGCAAAAACCTGTCCCTACTTTAAAAAATGCAAAAATTTGCCCGGTGTGATGGTGAGCGCCTGTAATCCCAGCTACTTGGGAGGCTGAGGCACAAGAATCACTTGAACCTGGGAGGCAGAGGTTGGTTGCAGTGAGCCAAGATTGTACCACTGCACTCCAGCCTGGGTGACAGAGCAAGACTCCGTCTCAAAAAAAAAAAAAAAAAAAAAGAGTAATTGCTCTCTGGGGACAGTCATTTGACATTCATTCAAGACATACAAATATTGAAAGAAAAGAGCTTACAAAAAGTGGAAGGGCTATTGCCCCATCTAGAATGTAAGAGGCACTGACACCTTGGCTAAATTCCTGAAAATTATGTGGTAAGCAGAGGACCGCATCCTCTCTGACATAGTGAAGAAATAGCGTGTTTTTGTTTTTGTATTTTGAGACAGGATCTCTCTGTCACCCAGGCTGGAGTGCAGTGGATCTCGGCTCACTGCAATCTCCGCCTCCCAGGTTCCAGCAATTCCCCTGCCTCAGCCTCCTGAGTAGCTGGGATTACAGGCATACACCACCATGCCTGGCTAATTTTTTTGTAGTTTTAGTAGAGATGAGGTTTCACCATGTTGGCCAGGCTAAGAAATAGCTATTGACTTTCTCACCATCATAATATCTTTCAGATTCTTTTGTTCTTTGTTCTGCTGGAGGCAACATAATCCTTGTGCGCAAATTTTAATTAAATCCAGTTATGCTGTGACTTGCGGGTTGGCCCACCTTGAATGGGTATTTTTACCACAGAGGCTTCTAGACTATTCAAATTGCCATGCAATTAATGCCCTCTGACTCCTTTACTATGTAGGCTGTTTTTTTTTTTTTTTTTTTTTTTTTTTGAGACAGAGTTTCGCTCTTGTTGCCCAGGCTGGAGTGCAATGGTGTGATCTCGGCTCACTGCAACCTCCGCCTCCCCAGGTTCAAGCAATTCTCCTGCCTCAGCCTCCCTAGTAGCTGGGATTACAGGCACGTGTCACCACGCCTGGCTAATTTTGTATTTTTAGTAGAGACGGGGTTTCTCCATGTTGAGGTTGGTCTTGAACTCCTGACCTCAGGTGATCCGCCCACCTTGGACTCCCGAAGTGCTGGCATTACAGGAATGAGCCACCGTGCCCGGCCAGACTACGTAGGCTTTAGCACCCCCTTCTTGTGGCCCTGCAGGTAGCCAGATGGTCATAAGTTGTCCACAGGCTTCTGATGCAACCCCACACTATGTGCCAGTCCCATGTTGAATAGAAATGCTGTGTGAGAGGACTCCCTTGCCTTGTTCTTCATCTTACTGGGAAAGCATCTTGTTTTTCACTATTAAGTATGATGTTAGCTGTAAGTTTCTTGTAGATGTTCTTTCTTAAGCAGTAGTTTCTCTCTATTGCTAGTTTGCTGTCATAAATGGAAGTTGTACTTAGCCAAATGCTTTCTCATTTTCATTTTCCTTTTCATTTGTGATATTAGTAATTTCTGTCCTCTTTGTTTTCCTCAGTTAGCTTGACTAGATTTTTTAATCAATTTTATTCATCTTTTCAAAGAGCTGGCTTTTGGTTTTGATTTTTTTTTTATTTCTTGCAGTTTCACTATTTGAAAAAATTTCTTTTCTTTTGCTTACTATGGTTTTAATTTGCTTTTTCTAATTTCCTAAAGCACATGCTTAGATAATTGATTATATATTTTTCTTCCTTTCTAGTGTATATGTTCAGTAGCATACTTGTCCTCTATGTATATACTTTTGCTGTGTCCCACAAAGGGGTGTGTGTGTGTGTGTGTGTGTGTGTGTGTGTGTGTGTGTGTTTTGAGACGGAGTCTCACTCTGTCACCCAGGCTGGAGTGCAGTGGCACGATCTTGGTTCACCACAACCTCTGCCTCCCAGGTTCAAGTGATTCCCGTGCCTCAGCCTCCCAAGTAGCTGGGATTACAGGCATGTGCCACCATGCCTGGCTAATTTTTTTGTATTTTTAGTAAAGATGGGGTTTTGCCAGGTTGCCCCAGGCTGGTCTCGAACTCTTGACCTCAAGTGATCCATCCACCTCAGCCTCCCAAAGTGCTGGGATTATAGGCGTGAGCCACCACGCCTAGCCCCTACAAAGTTTAATAAGCTGTATTTTCATTCATTTATTTTTTATTTTATTATTATTATTATTATTTTTGAGATGGAGTCTCGCTCTGTCGCCCAGGCTGGAGTGCAGTGGTGCGATTGCGGCTCACTGCAACCTCCACTTCCCTGGTTCAAGCAATTCCCCCGCCTCAGCCTCCCAAGTAGCTGAGATTACAGGTGCATGCCACCATTCTTGTCTGATTTTTTTGTATTTTTAGTAGAGACAGGGTTTCACCAGGTTGGCCAGAGTAGTCTCGAACTCCTGACCTCAGGCAGTCGGCCCACCTTGGCCTCCAAAGTGCTGGGATTGCACGTGTGAGCCACCAGGCCCAGCCTTTCATTCATTTAGGTAAAAATAGTTCTATGAGATTTTGAGGGCTGCTTTTTAACACAAAAGGAAAAAATCTTTAAAAAGGAAAAAACTAGTTTTTAAGTGCCCTTAAAACTACTACTTTCATCCGTGGGTCGTTTAGAGGTGTGTGGTTTAATCTGCAAGTATTTTGAGGTTTTTCAACTGTTTTTTTGTTATTGATTTTTATATTGTCATTGTAGTCTGCAAGCATATTTTATATAATTTTTCTTTCAAGTTTGTTAAAGTGTTTTTTTTTTTTAATCTGCTGTGATCTTCTGGATTAGGTTTGTTTTATGTCCCACAATGTAGTCTATCTTATCTTGGTGACTGTTCCATGTGAACTTGAGAAGTATGTGTATACTGCTGTAGTTGGATGAAGGATTCCATGTATTTCAGTGGAATCTATTGTTTGGTGCTATTCAGTTCACCTGTGTCCTTCTTATTTTTTCCTTTTTCGAGACAGAGTCTCGCTGTGTCACCCAGGCTGGAGTGCAGTGGTGCGATCTGGGCCCACTGTAACCCCTGCCTCCCGGGTTCAAGCGATTCTCCTGCATCAGCCTCCCGAGTAGCTGGGATTACAGGCACCTGCCACCACGCCTGGCTAATTTTTGTATTTTAAGTAGAGATGGGTTTTGCTAGTTGGCCATGCTGGTCTCAAACTCCTGGCTTCAAGCGATCCCCCTACCTCAGCATCCCCAAAGTGCTGGGATTATAGGCGTGAGCCACTGTACTCGGCCTGTCCTTCCTGTTTTTTTTTCTGCCTACTGGATCTCTTAATTACTGGTAGGAGGGTGTTGAAATCTCAACCATAGTCATGGATTCATGTATCTCTCCTTGTAGTCCTATCACATTTTGCCTTGTGCATTTTGCAGTTCTTTTGTTATGCACATGTACGCTAAAGATTATACATAGATTCTCTACGTCTTCTTAGAGAATCAACTCCTTGGGCGGGTACAGTGGCTCACGCCTGTAATACCAGCACTTTGGGAGGCCAAGGCAGGTGGATCACCTGAAGTCAGGAGTTTGAGACCAGCCTGGCCAACATGACAAAACCCTCTCTCTACTAAAAATACAAAAATTAGCCAGGTGTGGTGGCATGTGCCTGTAATCCCAGCTACTCAGGAGGCTGAGACAGGAGAATCACTTGAACCCAAGAGTCGAAGGTTGCAGTGAGCTGAGACCACACCTCTGCACTCCAGCCTGGGCAACAGAGCACAATTCTGTCTCAAAAAAAAAAAAAAAAAAAAGCCAGGTGCAGTGGCTTACGCCTGTAATCCCAGCACTTCGGGCGGCTGAGGCGGGCACATCACCTAAGGTCAGGAGTTCGAGACTAGCTGGCCAACGTAAACCAAAACCCTGTCTCTACTAAAAAATAAAAAATTAGCTGGGTGTGGTGGCACACGCCCATAGTCCCAGCTACTTGGGAAGCTGAGGCAGGAGAATCGCTTAAACCCTGGAGGCGGAGGTTGCAGTGAGCCAAGATTGTGCCAGTGCATTCTAGCCTGGGAGACAGAGTGAGACTCTGTCTCTCAAAAAAAAAAAAAAAAAAAAAAAAAGTTTCTTGTAGGCAACATATAATTAGGTAGTTTACTTGTAGATTACATACTTTTTAATTTTCTTTGTGACTTCAGTGTTTGACTCTTTACCTTACCTGATTTCATTTTTTCCCTCTCTTAACATATTGATTATACTTTTTTTTTTTACACTATTTTAATGGTTGCCCTTGAGTTTTCAGTATACAGCTATCCCAAGCCCTCTTTCTAGCAATCTTAGGCCACTTCACTGGTTGCCCAAGTAACTCATAATAGAGTATTCCCAATTCCTCCCTCATAACAATGCTGTTACTCATTTCACTTATCCATAAACTGTACTTATATGTTGTAGCTATTATTACTTTGAACAACCTGTTATCTGTCACATTAATCAAGGATGAGAAAATGATTATATTTTGCTTCCACTTATGCCTTTTCTATTGCAGTACCTTTCTTTGTTATTTACTTTCTTTCTGGTGAATTTAACATTTCTTGCAAAGCAGGTGTACTGGTGACAGATTCCCTCAATTTTTGTCTCAGAAAGTACTACGGACTCATTTGAAGGATAATTTTGCTTGATACAGATTTTTTCTTTCAGAACTTTAAATATTTCACTCTACTTTCTCGTATGGTTTCTGAAAAGAAGTTCAATTCAACTCTTATCCCTCTTCTCTAGAGTGGCTGGGGAATCACTTCCTTCTTAAATTGGAGAAAGGGCATTTTATGTTCTTTTGGAGGAAACCTCTGCTGAGAACCTTTTATACATTTTATAATCATGTGAAAATTCATCATATCATTGTGGACTTTAATGCACTTTATTGTAAATTGCAAATCTGTTTTTTTTTTTTTTTGAGATGGAGTTTCACTCTTATTGCCCAGGCTGGAGTGCAATGGTGCGATCTAGGCTCACGGCAACCTCTGTCTCCCAGGTTCAAGCAATTATCCTGCCTCAGCCTCCCTAGTAGCTGGGATTACAGGCATGTGCTACCACACCCAGCTAATTTTGTATTATTAGTAGAGACAGGGTTTCTCCATGTTGGTCAGGCTGGTCTCAAACTCCCGACCTCAGGTGATCTGCCTGCCTCGGCCCCCCAAAGTGCTGGGATTACAGGCGTGAGCCAACGCGCCTGGCCTGTAAACTGCAAATCTTAACCTGTTCCTCAAGGTCAGCAAGTCCCAAGGTTAACTGGAATGGTTCTGCTGGAAAGAGCTCTTTTGGCATTTTACCATCTCAGGATGGCAAATATTTGCTAAAAATTGGTAGGAAGTATCCCTGAGGCTCAGAAGTGTAGAGATTTTATCTAAAGTTGTCATGCTTTATTCCTCATGCCTGAGCTCTAACTTCCCAGTAACTTAATAGCTCCATGAAATGGGACAGAAAGAAATAAGTCTCTGATAAATATTAACACAAATAGTGAAAATGAACACTTCTCTGGGGTGGAGAGAAGTGGTGCTATCTCAGCTCACTGCAACCTCTGCCTCCCAGGCTCAAGCTATTCTCGTGCCTCAGCCCCCTGAGTAGCTGGGATTAGAGATGCGCACCACTACACCCAGCTAATTTTTTTTTTTTTTTGAGACAGAGTCTCGCTCCGTTGCCCAGGCTGGAGTGCAATGTGCGATCTTGGCTCACTGTACCCTCCACCTCCCAGATTCAAGTGATTCTCCTGCCTCAGCCTCCTAAGTAGCTGGAATTATAGGCATGCACCACCACACCCAGCTAATTTTGTATTTTTAGTAGAGATGGGGTTTCACCATTTTAGCCAGGCTGGTCTGGAACCCCCGACCTCAGGTGATCCACCCTCCTCGGTCTCCCAAAGTGCTGGGATTACAGGTGTGAGCCACCAAGACAGGGTTTCACCATGTTGCCCAGGCTGGTCTCGAACTCTTGAGCTCAGATAATCTGCCCGCCTCGGCCTCCCAAAGTGCTAGGATTACACGTGTGAGCCATTGTGCCCAGCCAACTTCTCCAAAAGAAATATTTTGATTGAATTGGCTGGATCTGACTACCTCGAATATCCTAGAGTACCTCAGGACAATATGGTCAGGTAAATATTGTTACAAGTTTGATTTCCACGTGCCTCTTGTTCTCATGCTTAGTGATGGGAATAGTAGAAAAAGCTTCTAGTTCTTCAGTGTGCTTTTATTCATCCACGTATTATCCATGTTTGACCCTGTGTCTCATGGAATGTTGAGTGATGTGATGTATAAGAAGAAGATGAGTTTTTCTCACAAAGAATTGATGGTCTTAAAATGGAATTTTTTTGTACAGCATTTCTCTCACTTTTCCAGAGTGCTCTGGATCCTGCCATTGGAAAGCAATATGATTGTGATCACAGTGAAAGTGTAGAAATAATTTTCGTGTGTTCATAAACTACTGAGGGAGTGTGGCCAAAGAGTTAGAGTTCTGACAACAAATTCATAGAATAAATCTCTGGAGATCACAGAATCATCGTGAACATCTTATGACTCGAGTATAGATGTCCAGTGCTGTCAGTCTCACCCATTCTCCTTTACACACATTTGGAATGTTTTAGGACTCAGTGACCTTTGAAGATGTGGCTGTGAACTTCACCCAGGAGGAATGGACTTTGCTGGATCCTTCACAGAAAAAACTCTACAGAGACGTGATGTGGGAAACCTTCAGGAACCTGGCCACTATAGGTAAAAATGAAATCATTCCATCATGTTGTTGAATGAATTAGAGAATACCTTTTTCTTGGATATCAATGCTATTCCAAGATGTGGAATGTGAAAAGGCAAAATTCTTTTGTAAATCAGGCATGGTCACATATGGACCTAGAATCTAATAATTTTTCTGTAATTTCTAATAATTTATGATAATTTTTTCTGGGTCTGCATTTCAGGAACAAAACAAAAAGAATGGAACATTGAAGAGCAGTACAAAAACCAGGGGAGAAATCTCAGGTGAGTCACACTCAGAAAAGAAAGCAGTATTCTAGGAGAAAAATCTTAGTATGTCATTAAATTTGATAATTAAAGAAACAAAACAAGCTGAGCCTCAAATGTATCTGTTCTTAGAAAATATTAACCCAGCTAGCGCAGTGGCTCATGCCTGTAATCCCAGCACTTTGGGAAGCTGAGGCAGCCGGATCACCTGAGGTCGGGAGTTCAAGACCAGCCTGACCAACATGGAGAAACCCCATCTCTACTAAAAATACAAAATTAGCCGGGCATGGTGGCACATGCCTGTAATCCCAGCTACTTCGGAGGCTGAGGCAGGAGAATCGCTTTAACCCGGGAGGCGGAGGCTGCAGTAAGCCGAGATTGTGCCATTGCACTGTAGCCTGGGCAACAAGAGTGAAGCTCCATCTCGGGAAAAATAAATAAATAAAAATAACCCAAAGTGCTTTCTTTTCTTTTTTTTTTTTTTTTTTCTGAGACGGAGTCTTGCTCTGTCGCCCAAGCTGGAGTGCAGTGGCGTGATCTCGGCTCACTGCAAGCTCTGCCTCTTGGGTTCACACCATTCTCCTGCCTCAGCCTCCCGAGTAGCTGGGACTACAGGCGCCCACCACCACGCCCGGCTAATTTTTTGTATTTTTAGTAGAGACGGGGTTTCACTGTGTTTAGCCAGGATGGTCTCGATCTCCTGACCTTGTGATCCGCCCGCCTCGGCCTCCCAAAGTGCTGGGATTACAGGTGTGAGCCACCACGCCTGGCCCCAAAGTGCTTTCTTAAATATGGCATAGATGTTCATGGTCCAGGCGCGGTGGCTCCCGCCTATAATCCCAGCACTTTGGGAAGCCGAGGTGGGTGGATTGTGAGGTCAGGAGTTCAAGACCAGCCTCGGCAACATAGTGAAAAAGTAGCCGGGCGCAATGGCAGGTGCCTGTAATCCCTGCTACTCAGGAGGCTGAGGCAGGAGAATCAGTTGAACCCGGGTGGCAGAGGTTGCAGTGAGCCAAGATCGCACCACTGCACTCCAGCCTGGGCGACAGAGTGTAGCCTGGGTGACAGAGTGAGACTCCGTCTCAAAAAAAAAAAAAAAGAGAAACCCATATATGAAAATCACTGTTTTCATAACAGTTATGTTTGAGCCCTCTTGCAGGGCCATAGCATTCAGTACATTCACCTCACAAGCAATTTAGACAGGACAAAAAAATCTGTACTTTCCCTGAAAGTGGAAAAAATAGTTATTCTAGTATCAGTTAATAAAGAGAAAATCTTTAAAAAATGAACTATTAATGTGCTACTCATTTTTTACAGAAATCATATGGTAGAGAGACTCTGTGAAAGTAAAGAAGGTAGTCATGGCGGAGAAGGTTTCAGCCAGATTGCAAATCTCAGTCTGAACAAGAAAACTCCTTCTGGAGGAAAGCTTTGGGAAAGCAGTGTATGTGGAAAAGTCTTGAGCCATCATTCATCCCTTAACAGGCACATTAGATCTTACACCAGACACAAACTGTATAAGTGTCAGGAATATGGAGAGAAGCCATATAAATGTAAGAAATGTGGGAAACCCTTCAGTTATCTGCAGTCTTTTAAAAAACATAAAAGAACACACAGTGCAGGGATAGTCTACAAATGTAAGGCCTGTGGGAAAGCCTTCAGTTGTCAACGTTCTTTCCAAATACATGGAAGGACTCACACTGGAGATAAACCCTTTAAGTGTAAAGAATGTGGAAAAGCATTCCGATACCACCAATCTGCTCAAAAACATGAAAAGGCTCATACTGGAGAGAAACCCTACAAATGTAAGGAATGTGGGAAACCCTTCATTTACCGCCATTCTGCTCGAGCACATGAAAGGAATCACACTGTACAGAAACGCTATGAATGTAAACAATGTGGAAAAACCTACATATCTTCTGTAGGTTTTCAAGCACATGAAAGAACTCACACTGGAGAAAAACCCTATGAATGTAAAAAATGTGGGAAAGTGTTCGTATATCACAACTCTGCTCAAAGACATGAAAAGACTCATACTGGAGAGAAACCCTACAAATGCAAGGAATGTGGGAAAGCCTTCAGTTACCACTGTACTGCTCAAAAACATGAGAGGAATCACACTGCACAGAAACACTATGAATGTAAACTGTGTGGGAAAACTTACTTGTCTCCTTTAGGTTTTCAAGCACATGAAAGTACTCACACTGGAGATAAACCCTTTGAGTGTAAAAAATGTGGAAAAGCATTTAGATACTACTACTCAGCTCAAAGACATGAAAGGACTCATACTGGAGAGAAACCCTACAAATGTAAGGAATGTGGGAAAGCCTTTTATTGTTGCAGTTCTGCCCGAAGACATGAAAGGATGCACACTGCAAAGAAACAGTATGAATGTAAAAAATGTGGGAAAACATACATTACTCTTGCAGGTTTCCAGATACATGAAAGAACCCACACTGGAGAGAAACCTTATGAATGTAAACAGTGTGGTAAAGCCTTCAGTAGTTCCAGTTATATTCATATACATGAACGAATTCATACTGGAGAGAAACCCTATGAATGTAAAGAATGTGGAAAACCCTTCAGTTTCCTTACAGGCTTTCGAGTGCACATGAGAATGCACACTGGAGAGAAACCTTATAAATGTAAGGATTGTGGCAACGCCTTCATTTGGCGTGCATCCTTACAATACCATGTGAAGAAAGTGCACGCTGAATAGAAACTATAAATGTAAATATCGAAAGTTTTTCAATTTTAACGATTTTCAAAGTTGATATGAAAGTTCATACTGGAGGGTAGTTGCATGAATGTAAGTAATACAGGAAAGCCTGATATAACTTAATTCAGGTAGAATGCTCTAGAAAATTCATGCCATGAAAAAATATTATAAATGTATTTATCAGTGCCACATCCCTTTTTGATTCTTCCTAGTTTTTAATATATTTTTATTTTAAAATATTTTTATATATGTATATATATACGTATATATTTGTAGAGACAGGCAACATTATCTTGCCCAGGCTGGTCGCCAACTCCCCTGACCTCAAGTAATCCTCCCACCTCAGCCCAGCAAAGTGCTGGGATTATAGGTATGAGCCACCACACTGGGCCAGTTTTTTTGTTTTATTTTTTTTTTTGAGATGGGTCTTGCCATGTTGCCCAGGCTGGCCGCGGACTTCTAGGCTCATGAGATCCTCCCACCTCAGCTTCCTGAGCAGCTGGGACTACAGATGTGTGCTGCGTTGCCTGGCTTAGTGCCACATTCTTAAAGTGGATCTCTGCACTCTGGGTTCCTACTTATTTTCATAAATGAACATTGAGGTGAGATTATTCTGTAAATACTCTTTAAGAAATAGTGCAGAAGTATAATTGGTAGTGTTTTTTCCTTAAGTCAGTTAATAAAATTTTTAAATAAAATTCCTTAAGTCAGTTAATAAAATGTTTTAATAGTTCTGGGCCATTGAAAAATGACAGTTTGGTACTGGGAGTTTTCTACTGGCATCCTGTGGCAGGTATTGGCTTTCCCTTATCCATTATATATATATTCCACCTTCCTCAGGAGAAAACCTTTCTTCTTTTTGGTTAGAAGAGCCTTATTTTATTTCCCTTGCTAATGAATAGTGGGCCAAGGTTATACAATATAGTCTTATATACATTATTTCCATATTTTGCTCTTTTTCTTTCTGGCCAAGATATGGATGATAGACTTTGAATTAAGAAGTAAGATCTGTGATAGGACAACACAATCTAGGTTGGAGGTGTGCCTCTTAGATTGTGCTATGTGATTATGGGTAACGTGAACTAAATTTTCTAGAATCTATTCCCTTTTGGATTCCATGCTGGAATTCAGCAGTAGCCTGACATGAAAGTTGGAAGGCAGAACTGAAGAAGGCATTAGTCAGGTTTTGGACCCATCTGCGTGGAGACAGACAGATGCATAGGGACAAATGAGGGCTTGCAGGAAAATCCAAACTGCAAATTATATCTTTGATGTGAAGATGGTGGAGACATCTGTGGAACTCTACCTGTCTGAGAAAACAGAAGTAGACAGTGGTGTTTTAAAGAAACTCTTGATTGTCAGGACAAAGTATCAGGAAAACAGGCAGGAGGCCGGTGTCCACGCAGTCCCCTTGCAGCCTTCTTAAGTTCTGCCTCCCAGCTTTCATGTCATTAGGCTATTGGTGAATTCTAACATGGAAAAAAAAAAGATTCTAGAAAATTTAGTTAACAACATTACCCACATCAACATAATCCACCAGGCAACTAATTAAAACTGTCATGGTTGAGGATATTTTCTGTTGTTCTGACTCCCCTCATCTCTAGATTATATTCAAACAAGATCTAATTTGCATAGTAAACACTTCATTCTGTTAATACTGGTAATAACTGTGTTCCTGATTTCCCTGTGACAGCTACAGTGATACAGTCACATAGAACAACATGGGGGCTTGTTCCTCTGTTGCATTGTGCAGTAACTGCTCTGACACAGTCTATGTGAAAACAAATGTCTTAGGTCAGGCAGATCGTGAGAATTTCCAATTATAGCCAAATGTGATCATGTGCACATTCTCAATTATGTTTGTACATGATAAAAACAATGCATTTTTATCAAACAACTTCTGCAGGTATTTCTTAGAAATATTTTATTAACTCTTTTAAAACAACTTGTATACTAACAACTATTGTATTAATATTTTCCATTACCTGAGAATATATATTAAAATATCCCATTGCAATTATGCATTTTCAGGTCAACTTTGTAATTTTGTCAGGTTATTCATTATACATTCTAAATAATGAGTCAGTATTACCATTTGCATATAAGTCCAAGTACTTTTTTTCTTTAAAAAATGTTAAAGAAAATGTAAAGGAAAAAATTTTTTAAAATTCTTACATGGTCACAATTTTTCTCATGAATCTAATTTCTCATTTAGAATACCACAGGAACAAAGCATGCTTTTGTCTGTGCCATCTTGCCAGAGACCACTAGAATCACACCTATAGTCAAAGAGTGGCATGTAAAGAGTTGTAATAAGGATGAACACAAAGCATCAATGACGGAGGGTTATCCATAAGAGGGTGCTCAAGAGGACTTCTTATAGGATTTGTGTTTCTTTTAGGTGATTTCATTGCCATTCAACAAAGTGAGGTGTTTGTATTGGATGCTGTTAGGTGAACTCAATTCCATCCTTGGAAAATTCTAATAGTTCTTATCTAGGAGGCAGAAAGAATAGAGTGGCACTAACACTAATTCATAAGAAGCACAAGTCATATTAGGAGATTTCTGGTCATTTTTAAAGTTTGGAGTCTGTTTTCTTTTAGGTTATCGGAGACATGGTTACAGAATTTCATTTTGATCCATTATGGTCACCTGGTAGCTTTGTCTGATGGAGGTTTGTTACAGTTTTCAACAGGGTAAGACTTCGCCTTGTGGTGAGTTGGGGAGCAGCTGTCATTGGGAACAGCTTTTGCTTTTCTCATTATTTAAACACTGAAGTATTTCCTGTGGTATAATGGACACTGTTATCTATAAAGTACCTCAGTTAAATTGTTGACCAAAATTAAGTCTGTTGAGGCAGAATAATTTGATAAAGGCTAATCAAAGCCAAATGTGAGGATTGGCCTGGGACGCACCAACAAGTTGTATATGTTTCAAAGTCTATTACAAGTTGGAACACTCATAAGTTTAGGAGGCCAGGTGCCGTGGCTTATGCCTATAATTCCACGTACTTGGGAGGAGTGCCTGAGGCTAGGAATCTGGGACCAACCTGGGCGACATAGGGAGACTTCATGTCTAAAATAAATAAATAAATAAATTATTAGCTGGGCATAGTGGTGCCCAATTGTAGTCCCAGTACTCAGAAGTGTGAGTCAGGAAGATCGTTTGAATCCAGGAGTTCGACACCAACCTGGGTAACATAATGAGACCCCTCTCATCTCAAAAAACTAACAAATTAAGAAAAATAGACTGGTTTCTGCAAGGGGTAAAAACAATAAGAAAAAATAAATTTAAAAACCCTGAGTGGACATTTTTTTCAAAGAAGACATACAAATGGCCGGAAAGCAAATGAAAAGGGACTTAATATCACTAATCATTAGAGAAATTCAAATCAAAACCACAATTACATGTTACCTCATACATGCAAGGATGGGTACTATCAAGAGAGATTAGTGTTAGAGTACAGAGAAAAAGGAAGCTTTGTATACTGTTGGTGGGAATGTACATTGGTACAGCCATTGTGAAAAACAATATGGAGGTTCTGCAAAAAAAAACAAAAACTACCATGTGATCCAACAGTCTCACTCCTGGGTATATGCATATATGACCAAAGGCAGTGATCAGTATTTCAAAGAGATATCTGCCACTCGCATATGTTCATTACAGCATTATTCACAATAGTCAACATATGGAAACAAACTTAGCATCCATTAATGGATGAATAAAGAAAGTGTGATGTATATTTAAACAGAATATTACTCAGCCGTAAAAAGGAAATCCTGACATTTGTCACATGAATAAACCTGGTGGACACTATAAAATAAGGCAGACATAGGCAAATACTTCATGATCCCACTTAATTGTGGAATATTAAAAACTTAAACTCCGAGGCAGAGGGAGGAACGGTGGTTACTAGAGTCCAGAAGGTAGGGAAAATGGAGAAATGTTGGTCAAAGGTTAAAAACCAAGTTGTAAGGTGAACACGTTCTGGAGATTTAATGTACAGCATGGGTGGTCATCAATGTGTTAATTTGACTGTGGTAACCATTACAGAATGTATATATATACATCAAAACATAACTGTACATCATGAACATATACAATCTTTGTGAAGTATTTTAAAATAAAAAAGGAATGTTTACTGAATCTACGCCTGTTGGATCTTTGTATTACTGAGAAGTGTTGAAGTCTTCAGTTAACTGTGAATTTTTCTGTGTCACCTTGCAGTTCTGTGTGTTCTTGCATGACGTATTTTGGCAATTTGTTAAGTGCATGTATTTAAAATTATGTCATTTCTATTGCTGGGTCTTAATTTCTTCCTGAAATATCTGATCTGGTTATTCAATCCAGTGCATATTTTATACCAGGCATTGTTGTTTTCCTTTCTAGTAGCTCAAATTGTGTCTTTAGTTTTTAATTTTTTTTCTTTCAGACAGGGTCTCCCTGTCACCCAGGCTGGAGTTCAGTAGTGTTCTCTTGGCTCACTGAAACTGCTGCCTCCCAAGCAAATGATCCTCCCACCTCAGCCTCCTGAATAGCTGGGACTACAGGTGCACACTACCATGCCCAGGTAATTTTTTAAATCATATTTTTTTTTTTTTTTTTTTTTGGAGAGACAAGGTCTTACTATATAGGTCTTACTATATTGCCCAGACAGGTTTCCTGGGCTCAAGGGATCTTCCTGCCTTGGCCTCTCGAAGTGCTGGGATTACAGGTGTGAGCCGTGTGCCAATGTGCCTGGCCAGTTTTTAATTTTTTTTTTTTTTTGAGCCGGAGTCTCGCTCTGTCACCCAGGCTGGAGTGCAGTAGTGCAATCTCGGCTCACTGCAAGCTCCGCCTCCCAGGTTCACGCTATTCTCCTGCCTCAGCCTCCCGAGTAGCTAGGACTACAGGTGCCCACCACCACGCCCGGCTAATTTTTTGTATTTTTAGTAGAGACAGGGTTTCACTGTGTTAGCCAGGATGGTCCTTGAACTCCTGACCTCATGTGATCTGCCCACCTCGGCCTCCCAAAGTGCTGGGATTACAGGCGTGAGCCACCGCACCCGGCCTTTAATTTTTTTTAAGGTCAAATATAGTAACATAGAATTTACCATTGTAAGTATGCCATTCAGTAGCATTAAATACATTAACAGTGCTTTAGAACCATCACAGCTAGCTAGCTAGTTCCAGAATTTTTTCATTAGTCCAAAAAAAAATTGGTACCCATTAAACAACCATTCCCTATTCCTCCCATCCCCATCCCTTGGTAATCTCTATTTTCCTTTCTTGCTCTATGAATTTGCTGATTCTAGGTGCGTCATGTAAGTAGAAGCATGCAGTATTTGTCCTTATGTGTCTGGCTTATTTCACTTAGCATAATGTTTTCAAGGTTCATCCACATGTTAGCATGTACCAGTAATTCAGTTTTTGTGCCTGAATAATATTCCCAAGTGTGGTATATTGGATACACCACACTTTGTTTATCCATCCATATGTTGAGCACTTGGGTTGTTTCCACAAAACTCTTTTGACTACTCTGAATACTGCTCTAAAATCAGTGCGTATGTGTCTGAGTCCCTGCTTTCCATGGTTGATTGATTGCAACGGAGTCTCGCTCTGTTGCCCAGGCTGGAGTGCAGTGGTGCGATCTTGGCTCACTGAAACCTCCACCTCCCAGGTTCAAGTGTTTCTCCTGTCTCAGCCTCCTGAGTGGCTGTGATTACAGGTGTCTGCCACTATGCCCAGCTAACTTTTTGTATTTTTAGTAGAGACAGGGTTTCACCATGTTGGCCAGGAAGGCTGGTCTTGGACTCCTGACCTCTGGTGATCCACCCACTTTGGCCTCCCAGAGTACTGGGATTACAAGTGTGAGCCACCGTGCCTGGCCTCTATTCTTTTAGATACATACCTAGGAGTGGAATTGCTGGGTCACAGGGTTTTCTATGTTCATGTATAGCCATACTGTTTTTCACAGTGGCTGTGTGTAAAATTCTCCCCAGCAATACACAAGGACTGCAGTTTCTATGCATGCTCACCAACCCTGGTTATATTCTACTTTTTGTTTTAAATGGCAGCCATTCCAACAGTTGTGAACTGTCACTGGTGTTTTGATTTACATTTCCCTAATCACCAGTGGTAATGAGCATTATTCCATGTGGTTGTTGGCCATTTATATATCTTTGTACAAATGTTTTCAAGTCCCTCACTCATTTTTGAATGGGCTCATTGGTTTGTTTTGTTGAGTTGTAGGAGTTCCTATGTATTTTGGGTATTAATCTCTTCCAAGATACGTGATTTGCAAATATGTTCTCATTCTGTATGTTGTCTTTTGGTGCACAAAAGTTTTAAATTTTCATGTAGTTCAGTTTATCTTTTGTTTGCCTGTGCTTTAGATTTCATATCCAAGAAATGATTGTTAAATCCAATGTCATGAAAATTTCTCCTATATCTTCTTCTAAGTCTTCTATGGTTTTGGCTTTTAAGTTTAGATCTTTGACTCAAAATTAATTTTTGTATATAAGGTAAGGGTCCAACTTTATTCTTTAGAATGTAGATACCCAGTTTTCCCAACAACATATGTTTAAAGACCATCCTTTCTCCATTGAATGATCATGGCACTGTTGTCAAAAAATCATTTGACCACATATGCAAGCATTTTCTTTCTAGGATCTGTGTTCTGTATGTCTGTCCCTACACAGTACCATGTGGTTTCGATGATGGTAGTTTTATAGCCAGTTTGAAATCAGGAAGCGTGAGTCTTTGAACTTTTTTTCAAGATTGTTTTGGTATTAGGGGAGATTCCAAATGAACGTTAGGGTTGATTTTTTCTAGTTTTTTTTTTTTTTTTTTTGAGATAGAATCTCACTCTGTCTCCCAGGCTGGAGTGTAGTGGCACAATCTCAGTGCACTGCACCCTCCATCTCCTGGGTTCAAGTAATTCTCCTGCCTCAGCCTCCTGAGTAGCTGGAATTACAGGCACGAGCCACCACACCCGGCTAATTTTTTGTATTTTTAGTAGAGACGGGGTTTCACCGTGTTGGCCATGCTGGTCTTGAACTCTTGACCTCAAGTGATCTGCCTGCCTCAGCCTCCCAAAGTGCTGGGATTACAGGTGTGAGCCATTGTGCCCGGCCTAAAAAGAAGGCCATAAGGATTTTGATAGGGGTTGCATTGTATCTGTAGATTAATTTGGGTAGTATGCTCATCCTAACAATAGGAAGTCTTACAATCCATGAACATGGGATTACTTGCGATTTATTTGTCTGTTCTTTAATTTGTTTCAGCAATCTTTTGTAGTGTTCAGTGTACAAGATACAGGCCTCTTGGCTGAATTTTTACTGTTTTTGGTGCTTTTGTAAATGGAATTGTTTCATTAATTTTCTTTCAGACCGTTTATTGTTACTATATAAAAACGCAACTTGGGGCTGGGCACGGTAGCTCACACCTGTAATCCCAGCACTTTGGGAAGCCAAGGCGGGTGGAGCACGAGGTCAGGAGTTCCAAGACCAGCTTGGCCAACATAGTGAAACCCCATCTCTACTAAAAATACAAAAATTAGCTGCGTGTGGTGGCATGCGCCTGTAGTCTCAGCTACTCAGGAGGCTGAGGCAGGAGAATCGCTTGAACAGGGAGGTGGAGGTTGCAGTGAGTGACACCACGCCACTGCACTCCAGCCTGGATGACAGAGTTAGACTCTATCTCAAAAAAAAAAAAAAAAAAAAAAAAATGCAACTTGGGCTGGGCTTGCTCGGTGGCTCACACCTATAAGCCCAGCATTTTGGGAGGCTGAGGCAGGAGGATCACTTGAGGGCAGGACTTCGAGACCAGCCTCAGCAACATAGTGAGACCCCCATCTTGTTTAAAAAAAAAAAAAAAAAAAAAGGCCAGGTGCAGTCGCTCACTCCCGTAATCCCAGCACTTTGGGAGGCCAAGGCAGGCAGACCACCTGAGGTCAGGAGTTCAAGACGAGCCTGGTCAACATGGTGAAACCCCGTCTATACTAAAAATACAAAAATTAGCTGGGCATGGTGGTGTGCACCTATAGTCACAGCTGCTCGGGGAGGCTGAGGCAGGAGAACTGCTTGAACCCGGGAGGTGGGGGCTGCAGTGAGCCGAGATCACGCCACTGCACTCCAGCCTGGGCAACAGAGCTAGACTCCCTCTAAAAAAATCTGTTTAGTTCAGGTTTAGAGAAAGACTTGTTTGGGTTGTCTTCTGGAGAATGGGTTTATGATTTTGACAGTTTATTTAGATCAGAACCTTAAGCTGATTCCAGGTGAGAGTTTCCTGCTGGTGAAAATTAAGGTCCTGAAGGAGGGAGCATTTCCACACTGAGGGGACAGGAACTCACAGACTGATCCCCTCTGGGGCTGCGTTACAGCAGTCAGAACCTGGCTCTTAAGGTTGGGAACGTGATTCATTTTCTGAATGCGGCTTTTCCTTGTGAAGGAGGATGCTTATCTGAGCTAGTTAAAATGTTTGCTGTTCTTCCCATTTTTTGAAATGAAGTCTTACTCTGCTGCCCAGGCTGGAGTGCAGTGGCACGATCTCGGCTCACTGCAACCTCCGCCTCCCGAGTTCAAGTGATTGTCCTGCCTCGACCTCCTGAGTAGCTGGGATTACAGGCACGTGCCACCATGCCCAGCTATTTTTTTTTTTTTTTTTTTTTTTGAGACAGTCTCTCTCTGTTGCCAGGCTGGAGTGCAGTGGTGTGATCTTGGCTCACTGCAACCTCTGTCTCCCGGGTTCAGGCAATTCTACTGCCTCAACCTCCCGAGCTGCTCTGACTACAGGCACGTGCCACCACGCCCAGCTGATTTTTTTGGTATTTTTAGTAGAGACAGGGTTTCACCATGTTGGCCAGGATAGTCTTGATCTCTTGACCTTGTGGTCCGCCCGCCTTGGCCTCCCAAAGTGCTAGGATTACAGGCGTGAGCTACCGCGCCTGGCCTAGTTTTTGTATTTTTAGTAGAGAATGGGGTTTCACCATGTTGGCCAGAGCGGTCTCAAACTCCTGACCTCAGGTGATCCTCCTACCTTGGCCTCCCAAAGTGCTGGGATTATAGGGTGAGCCATCGCGCCCGGCCCCTTTTGATTTCTTTACAGAATATTGCTGTAGTATAACTTTTTTCCATGCACTTAATTTTTGTTCCCTTGTTGGCATATTTCATTTTCTTCCCTGAAAATGGGTAGACTGAGATAAGGTATGAGGAAGCCTTGGCCATGCCACCAGCCGCTTATCCCAAATTCCTGATCCCTGGAAGACATCTGGGCTCTCCCTCCTGTTCCAGCCCAGTAGCTTCCAGCAAAGGTACTGGCTCAATTGGACACGGAGTGTGGAACTGCCTGCTCACACTTGTGAACCCCCGTCCAGAAGGAAGAAACAGAAAGGGCCCAGTGAGTATAGGAAGATGCCAGGGCCCACTGTGGAAAGCCTGGAGCCAAGTTTTTCTTAAATGCAAATGTCCCCAGTGTGGGGTCACGTCCAAGCTCCAGAAGGAAGCCTGGCCTGGGCGGGGGGGTGGGAGGGCTGTTGCTAGAACCTGTCAATCCTGCTCCACACTTCCGAGTTTTCCGTGGCTTCTCCTGAAACCCGGGCCTAGGGGGTGGGGCTTGATTCCTATCCTAGGGGTACTGGGCGGGGTCGTGTAAATTATCCAATCAGGCGCTCCGCCAGGAGGGTGGGGCCAAGCTCCGCAAGTCTAAGGGGCTCCTGTTCCCCTAACCCACTGAATTCAGCCTTCCAGAGGCCGAGGTGGCTCCACCACAGCTTCTGTCCGGTGGTGACCAGCACTGATCTCCGGAGCCAAGGGAGGACCCGGGACACCTGGGAGCCGGGAAATGGTGAGTGTGCAAGGCCGGGTGGGAGGAGGGGCTGGTTGGGACCTGCTGTGGTGGGACCCGGGCCTGTCAGCAGCGATTCCGGGGTCTGCGGACCCGAGTCTCCCTGGCGCAGCTCGTCCCTGGGTCCCCTCGGCCACAGGGTGGGGCTGGGCCAGCAGCCGGGACCCCGGGCATCCTGAGCCGTCCCTGCGCAGCAACTGCAGCCTCAGTCCGGAGCCCTCTCGGCAGCGCAGTGCCCGCGGCCCCGCGTCTCCCCAGATTGTGTGGGGGCCACGGGAGGATCATGGCGAGGATCCAGACTCATGTGTGGGGTTCTCCTGGGAGGAGCTGCGGTCTGTGGGGTTCCCAATCCTGCCTTTCACCTGTAAAAATTAAAATGCAGCACCGTTAAATATTTAACTATTTAGCCAAGAGCAATTCATGAATAACCCAACCATGGCTTGTTCTTTGGGGTCCCGTCAGGGGGGCTTGAAGGAAAGGCTTTTATAAGGTGTATGAGGAAGCAAGCCAAGTTAAATCTTTGGTTATAAGTCGCCTTATTTGGTCTGTCAACCAAAGGTTAAAAAAACAGGCGTTTTATTCTAAGTCAAGTTTAAGGACAATAGCCTGGGAATGCAGACCCAGCACAAACAATGTGTCCTGGAGTGGGCTACGTGAAGTGTTATACCTTGTGTTACACAGAAAATGGGAGAGGTGGGCAGTGACCTTATAAGATAAAGCAAGTATGTGGTGAAAGTATATGAAAGGTTAACCAGTACACAGGCATCGCAGGGTTTAGACAGGGATGATTGAATCTGTCCTACCTTCGCTTCATCTGATAGGCAAGGTTGTCATCAGTACAGGTCAGTGAAATATTTAACTTGCAGGCTGAGAGTTCAGTTTTATTTCATGGGCCTGGTTTCTATTACCTGTATGTCCAACCTGCAGCCATCTTAGGCCACTTTTTAACAAATTTCTTTCAGTTCTTCCTATTTCTGACAGGTCTATCCAGGTGGAAATGTTCTGGTTATGTAGTCGGAGGCTAAACTTCATTTTCCTCTAAATTGGTAATTTACAAGCTACATTTGTGTCCGATTTTGGTGTCCTTGGGAAGCAACTCAGGGCACTATAGCCATTCCAGTCTGATTGCCTCTTATTTCTTTTAACACTCCCCAGGGGTACCGATTTTCTCGTGTATTTGTTTGCCCTTGCATTTTCCAAAAGTGTGGGACGCAGGTCTCAAATCCACAATTCTGTTTGCCGAACTTAACCCTTCTAGGGTTTGTATGAATTCCTAAATTTCCAATTCCTTCCCCACATTCCCAAGTGCCAACTTTGCTTCATCGATTCAAAATATTATCAACTATTTGTCCTTTATTGTACATTTCAAACAGATGCAGTACTTTATCATTTTTTTCACAGAGCGATAGCTCTTTTTAAAATATTTTTCTGTTTGTGAACATTTCACATGAGGAAAACAGAGTAAGTGCATGAAACTCGGGTGCACTTACTCTTTTGTGCCTCTCCTCCTTTTATCTTCCCTAGGCACAGACACCTTACCAGAATGTCTTTGGATTGAGGTTCCCTTTTGGAAATTTTATAGGGTGATCTGTCCCTGTTCCTGGGTTTTAGAACTTCCTGGGGTTGACCCAGGATACTCACAGTTGCCAGGTATCTTGGAGGATCTAGTGAATATCAGCCTCTGGTTCACTCCCAGAGGACAACCTCTGCCTGCTGGGCTCAAGCAATCTTTTCAGCCTCTCAAAGTGCTGGGATTACAGGCATGAGCCACCGCACCTGGCAATTTCTGAATTTTGAATCAGCCTTGTACACCTGTAATGATTCCCACTTGACTGTGGTGTATAATTCTTTTTATACATTTTTAGATTCAATTTGTGAATATTTGTTGAGAACTTTTAGGATCTATGATCATGAGAGTTACTGGTCTATAGTTTTCCACCTTTGTAATGTATCTATCTAGTTTTGGCAGTAGGATTCTGTTGGCCTCCTAGCATGTATTAGGAAGTGTTTACTCTTGTATTTTATAGAAAGATTGTAGTGAACTGGTGTCGGTTTTTTTGTTTTGTTTTGTTTTTTTCGAGACGAGACGGAGTCTCGCTCTTTCGCCCAGGTCGGACTGCAGTGGCGCGATCTCGGCTCACTGCAAGCTCCGCCTCCCAGGTTCACGCCATTCTCCTGCCTCAGCCTCCCGAGTAGCTGGGACTACAGGCGCCTGCTACCACGCCCGGCTAATTTTTTGTATTTTTAGTAGAGATGGGGTTTCACCCTGTTAGCCAGGATGTCTCCTGACCTTGTGATCCGCCCGCCTCTGCCCCCCAAAGTGTTGGGATTACAGGCATGAGCCACCACGCCCGGCCCCAACCAATCTTTTGTACCCTGTGTAAATCAGACACTGCCTCCTCAAGCTCATCTATAAAACTGCATTTCACTGTGGGAACAGCAACCCACTTCTCTGAGACCCTTCTCTCTGCAGCAGAGAGAGCTCATGTCTTTCTTTCGCCTATTAAACTTCTGCTCAGAACCTCTGTTTGTCCATGTCCTAGTTTTCCATGGCTCCGAGACAATGACACCGCTTCAGTGTGAACTCTCATGAATTGAGTCTAGATCCCCAGTGCTGTCCGTCTCACCTGTCCTCCTCTACACATATCTGGGATATGTCACGGCTTGGTGGTCTTTGAAGATGTGACTCTGAACTTCATCCAGAAGGAGTAGGCTTTGCTGGATTTTTCCGTGAAGAATCTGTAGAGATGTGATGAGGGAAGCCATCAGCACCTGGCTTCTATAGGTGAGGATACTATTTTTTTCCTTTAGTCAATTAGAGAACAAGTGCTTTTTGGCCATCAGTGCTGTTCCAAAATTTGGAATGTGGAAAGGAGGTATTTTGATGAATTGATCAAGCATGGCTGCAGTGCACAATGAACCTACAATCCAGTAATTTTTCCATGCTTTCTAAATGATAATGATTTTTCTCGGTCTACATTTTAGGAAACAAATGGCACAACCAGAACATTAAAGATCAATAGAAAAAGCCTGGGAGAAATCTAAGGTGATTTGCCCTCACAAGAGGAAAATCCCTTGAGGGGATCTTTGCATGTTATCAATTTTTAAAACAAAATTTTCAACACAAATAATATACTTACTGTAACATAGATGTTGAAGTATTTATAACATACTTCACAGGGAAACAGAACTAAGAAACTTCATACATGGATGTTATTATTTTTATAATAGCTATGGGGGAGCCTTGTTGCAGAGTAATCAGTGCATTTACTTTCAAACAATTCATACATGGCAGAAAACCTGCACTTTCTGTGATACTGGTAGCAATGTACGTTCAAAACCTATTAATGAACCACTAATAATGGGCTTGTCATTTTTTTTTTTTTTTTTAAGACAGAGTCTCACTCTGTCCCCCAGGCTGGAGTGCAGCAGCGCGATCTCAGCTCACTGCAACCTCCGCCTCTTGGGTTCAAGCGATTCTCCTGCCTCAACCTCCTGCGTAGCTGGGATTACAGGTGCCCGCCACCATGCCCGGCTAATTTTTGTATTTTTAGTAGAGACAGGGTTTTATCATGTTGGTCAGGCTGGTCTCGAACTCCTGACCTCATGATCCACCTGCCTCGGTCTCCCAAAGTGCTGGGATTACAGGTGTGAGCCACTGCGCCCAGCCAGGCTTGTCATTTTTTACAGTAGTCATTACATTAGAAAGATTGTGAAAGTAGGGTAGTTGGTGTGGAGAAACCTTCAGCTAGATTCCAAATTTCAATGTGTTTAAGTCATGCTCTTCTTTGGTTCTGTGAACATATTTATAATGTACACTTTGAAGTATTTTTCGATTAAATTTGCTATCTGTTCTCACAGGCAGTTTCTATTGTCAGGTTTTTTTTTTTTTTTTTTTTTTGATGTATGGGTTGTACTTGTTGCAAATTGGACATTTTTGATAACATACTGAACCTTCTCAAGTATGTTCAATTTCTCCGGGCCTTGTTATTGTTATTTGCTTTGTTTTGTTTAGAGACCGATTGGACTATTTTGGTGAAGTCTATTTCTGTAAGAGTTAAAGAGGAAAGAAACACAGCTTGATGGTTAAAGACAGGTTTATTTTAGAAACAATCTGAAGGGCTTCTGGCCTATTTTGGTCAGGAGCACTTTTTCTTACAGACTAAGAGTATATATTGGTTTTAGGGTGAGGGGGCTTATTACAAGCTTGGAATGTCTCTGGGCAGAGGGGAGGTTATTTTGGGGCAGACATCTTTCTGGCCGGAGGGGGGTTTCTCAGGGCTGGCATCTTCCCAGCCAGAGTGAGGGTTATCTTGGTGCATGTCTCTGGTCAGGGAGGAGTCTGGAATGTTTTTGGTCAGAGATATTATTTGTGGTTTATGGTCATGCTGACCTTAGCCATTAGGCTGATGCCCTTTGGATTTAGAGTTTTTGATTAAGGTGAATTTTAAAATGAGGTGCTTGTCCACGATGGCGATGCTCTTGCTCTGTCAATTTCTTCTTCATAACTTTAAGTCTCTGATATTGCTCTTGAGGGGAGGGGAAGTGGCTCAGCTTTGTTTCTGCCTGCAGTCATCCTGGCATGACAATGGTACTGTGGGAATCTCTTCCTCTCTTGGACAGCCCTCAGATGTTAAACTGCACTGATTGCTGGCTGATGGTGTGGGGAAAAGCAAGAGAGATCAGATTGTTGCTGTGTCTGTGTAGAAAGAAGTAGACATAGGAGACTCCATTTTGTTCTGTACTAAGAAAAATTCTTCTGCCTTGAGATTCTGTTAATCTATAACGTTAGTCCCAACCCCCTGCTCTCTGGAACATGTGCTGTGTCAACTCAGGGTTAAATGGATTAAGGGGGGTGCAAGATGTGCTTTGTTAAACAGATGCTTGAAGGCAGCATGCTCGTTAAGAGTCATCACCACTCCCTAATCTCAAGTACCCAGGGACACAAACACTGCGGAAGGCCGCAGGGACCTCTGCCTAGGAAAGCCAGGTATTGTCCAAGGTTTCTCCCCATGTGATAGTCTGAAATATGGCCTCGTGGGAAGGGAAAGACCTGACTGTCCCCCAGCCCGACACCCGTAAAGGGTCTGTGCTGAGGAGGATTAGTAAAAGAGGAAGGCATGCCTCTTGCAGTTGAGACAAGAGGAAGGCATCTGTCTCCTGCCTGTCCCTGGGCAATGGAATGTCTCGGTATAAAACCCGATTGTACGTTCTAGCTACTGAGATAGGGAAAAACCGCCTTAAGGCTGGAGGTGGGACATGCGGGCAGCAATACTGCTTTGTAAAGCATTGAGATGTTTATGTGTATGCATATCTAAAAGCACAGCACTTGATTCTTTACTATGATGCAAAGACCTTTGTTCACGTATTTGTCTGCTGACCCTCTCCCCACTATTGTCTTGTGACGCTGACACATCCCCCTCTTGGAGAAACACCCACAAATGATCAATAAATACTAAGGGAACTCAGAGGCTGGCGGGATCCTCCATATGCTGAACTCTGGTTCCCTGGGTCTCCCTATTTCTTTCTCTATACTTTGTGTCTTTTTCTTTTCCAAGTCTCTTGTTCCACCTAACGAGAAACACCCACAGGTGTGGAGGGGCAACCCACCCCTTCAGATAGCTCTATTGTTCTCAAAAAAGTCCAGGGACAAATTTGCCCTGTAAATCCAAATATGTTTTCTCTCCTTTCTAACAATACTATCTGAGATCAGCGTTTAATAGTTGTTTGTTTAGATGCTTAATGGACTCCTCCTAACAGTGTTTTTTTCCTGGTTTTGTCCACAAATTAGCTGGCCTACAGTGCAGGCAGTATCTTCATTAAATCCACAAATCTCCTGTGAATTGTCTTTCACCTCCATTTCCCCATTTCCACTGCATCAAGGATGGAGTGCCCTTTGACTTAAATGTCTCATGATCTGTTGCAATTGAAGTTAATTCTTAGGCAAGAGGTTAGGAGCTATGTGTTTCACAGCTTGCTTCTCTTCCACCTCAAGGCAAAATCTGACAGGGCTCTGAAGCTTGGGTAGGAGCGTTGGCAAGCTGCTTTCTGAGTAATCCTCTCTCTTTAGGAACTGAGTGTTCAGTGGCGGGGAGGGACAGCAGCCTGATGTCCTCTTGGCCTGTGTCCTGGCATGGATCCACCACCTCTACGAGCTGAGGCAAAGTTGATCAGTGTCCTAGTAGTCTGAGTGCACCATACTCACAAACCATGTCCCCACTTTTCAAACATACCCACACAGGACATAACCTCAGTAATGGGTAGGTGGAGGTAAGATGAGAAAAGCTGAAGTTCTGCCCTTCCTGGAAAAAAGCCTTTGACTAGAGGCTGGGTGACCGAGTAGAAGCATCACCATCGTGGACAAGCACCTCATTTTAAAAGTCACCTTAATCAAAAACTGCCTAAATCCAAAGGGCATCAGCCTAATGGCTAAGTCAGCATGATCATAAACCACAAATAACATCTCCAACCAGAAACATTCCAACTCCTCCCAGACCAGAGACATGCTAGCCCCAAGATAATCCACCTCTGCCCAGAGACATTCCAACGCCCCCATAAACTTCTCCCCTACACAGAAACATTCCAAGCTTGTAATAAGCCCCCTCACCCTAAAACCAATATACACTCTTAGTCTGTAAGAGAAAGCACTTCTGACAGAAATCAGCCAGAAGCCCCTCTCAGGTTTTTTCTAAAATAAACCTGTCTTTGACTGTCAAGCTGCATTTCGTGTTTCTTTCCTCTAACTCTTACATTTGGTGCCGAAACCCAGGATGGGTGCTGGGGGCAGAGGCTCTCCTGCAACCCAGGAAGCAGTGGGCAACAGCAGCTTGTCCTGAGTTAATTCCTGGATCCTGGAGGTCTCTGGCCACCACTCGTTGTCTTTTTATTCAGTTCACTTTTCTCTAATCCTCCCTTTTCTCTCTCTCCCTTGTGCAGCTGCAGCCCAAGAGGCCAACTGGAACGTTAACATCAGACACTAATCCAGCTGACTGGTAAGATCTGCCCTCCCCTGGCTTTCTCATGGTATCTGGAAAAAGTCAGGTCTGCCATCTCGGTCCTCAGAGGACCAGTGGGACTAAGCTAGAGGAAATCTTGGGGATGCCCAGTTTCTTCTCAGCTTGACCATCCTCTTTAGAAAGAGAACTCCAGGTCTCTGTCTTTTGTCTGGGGACGCCTAGAACAAAAACAGACACCCTCGGCTTCTTCTTGCCAGTCCACATGGGTGCCAAACAATCCCACATTCCCACACCCTCTCCACTGTGCTGTCTCCTTCACAACCTCGCCAAACTTGGCTTAAGCATGTAGTCTTTTATTGTAACATGGCCTGGCCCCAATACACATTAGATAATGACAGCTGATGGCCCAAAAATGGCACCTTTAGCTTGCAAATTCTCAGGAACCTTAACAACTTTATAACCAAGAACAGCAAATGGCAAGAGGTTCTCTATATTCAGGCTTTCTGCTTCTACTTTAAATCCCAACGCTCCCTGTGTCAAGTTTGCACCTCTCATAAAATCTTTCTTCCTAAATCTTTCTTCCTGGCTGAGCGTGGTGGCTCACGTCTATAATCCCAGCACTTTGGGAGGCTGAGGCGGGCTGATCACGATGTCAGGAGATCGAGACCATCCTGGCTAACACGGTGAAACTCCATCTCTACTAAAAATACAAAAAATTAGCCGGGTGTGCTGGCGGGCACCTGTAGTCCCAGTACTTGGGAGGCTGAGGCAGAAGAATGGCGTGAACCTGGGAGGCAGAGCTTGCAGTGAGCAGAGATCACGCCACTACACTCCAGCCTGGGTGACAGAGCAAGACAAAGTCTCAAAAAAAAAAAAAATATCTTTCTTCCTAATGAAAACCCTCTCCAGGTCTTTCCCTCCTCCAAGCTATGAGTATATTCAAAAGGCTTCTCTTCATAGATCTTGTTTTCCTGGAAAAGGTTTTTTCCCAGTTAACTGAATTACTTTTTTCCACTCTGTCTTGCCACTCTTGGTGCATGTATAAAATCCTAAAACGGTTTCTGGTGGCCTGGGATCCCTTGGGAAAACAGAAAAGGCACCACAAATCCCATTTTGGGAAAAATCTGTTTTCCTTATGGAACCCCTGGAATTAAAGGTGAATAAGTACCTCTCAAAATCTTTGTCTTCCAGCTCTACTTGTTTATTAGGCCCTGGAAACTGTTTTCCTAGCCCTGTTCTTAAAGGGCACCACCCAAAGGCCAATAAGCCAATTGGGAAATTAGGAGAAAAAAAATATTGTAACTACTGAATCTTCTTCTGGTTGTCTGTGTGGTTATATATGTGTTATGTGTGCAATGTCTATTAAAGGAACTCTAATTATAATTGGCAAAAAAAATAAGTGCTTAAATCAAATATTTTTAAGGGAAAAGTAAAAGCTGTGGGATCTTTCAGTTCACATGACTTTAATCTTTAAAACTTACTGGTACAGTAAAGTTAGAACTGTCTTAAGAGTTACCAGCATATGTTTTTGTTTGCATTTATTAATCAAGCAATTTCATTCTTATCTCTGCCAAATACTATAAGGTATCAAAACAAACAAAACTATGACTCAGCCCAAACAAAATAATCTTTGTATAATTTTTTAATAAGTGAAACATTAATATTGGTTTAATGAAAATAGCTACATCCTAAGCCATTTAATATCCTAACTTCTAATCTTATGGACTTAGGCAGTCTAGTCCACAGGCATGAAGGAAGTTTGTTTTGGGAAAGGACTGGTATCTTTTATATTAAAAGATAATTTATATTTAAAAATTTTATATGGTAAATTTTTGTACTAAAGTAAATTAACTGGTTGTTTAAAGAGAGAGATGTTTACAACAAGTCAGAAAGTTGAGGCATGTCAGACTGTGAAAGGCATGAAAAATTTTATAAATGGAATTTATGCAAGAAATGTACAATTTAAAAGTGATTAGGCCTCCTGACTGCTTTATAAAATGCCCCTATAACTCTTACCTGTACAACTTGCCTGCTTTGCAGCTAGGTAAAACCTAGGACACACGGAATTAAATGCTGGACTAAGCCAGACCTTATCTGCACAGAAGTCTAGGTCCTAGGCTCTACACCTAGTACATAATTAAAATCCCAAACTTACCAAGGTTTTCAACAAAAGTAAACTTTACTGAAAGTTAATTATGTGGAAAGTGTGTAAGGAAAGTAAAATACACTTTTGGTAAAAAGATTATAAGGAGGCATGAGAATGTGGATTTTTACCTACATTAAAAAGTTAAACAATTGTTTTGAAGGTTTAAAAAAGTTAAGTTAAACAATTGTTTTGAAGGTTTAAGCACGTTTTGGCAGGTTAATTGTAAAGGAAATTCTGTGTAAACATATTGGCTAAAGTTGAAGGGGTAGCATCTAGTTTTTCTGTAAATTGAGCATTAAAATAAAAACACAACGGGTTTCTCTTAAGCACTAACCTGCTTTTTAACAAAAATTATAAAGGGTTAAAAAGGGTCTATAAAAATCTTACCTTATGGTCAAACATTAAAATTGAGTAAATGCATCTACAAGGTTTTATTAAAAATGGAGTTTAATATTCATAGCACACTACTATAATGGTAAAATTTGGCATATTTGGTATAAAATCATACAGGAAGCATTGTCAAATACAAAATGGTGTTTGGCTTTCTTTGGGCTATATTTGTATAAGTATGTTATTGGTATGTGTTTCAAAGTTATGGGAGACTCCTATAATTCTGACATATCTTAGTGTACCTTATAAGTAATAATTATAATTGTTATGTTAAAATTATTGTGTGCCACAAAGGTAACAGATATCCTTGTCAATTGCGTCTTTAAGTATGGCTATTCTAAAACTTTTTTTCTGAGACGGATTTTCACTTTTGTTGCCCAGGCTGGAGTGCAATGGCACGATCTTGGCTCACTGCAACCTCTGCCTCCTGGGTTCAAGCAATTCTCTTGCCTCAGCCTCCAGAGTAGCTGGGATTACATACAGGTGCACACCACCACACCTGGCTAATTTTTGTATTTTTAGTAGAGACGAAGTTTCACCATGTTGGTGAGGCTGGTCTGAAACTCCTGACCTCAAGGTGATCTGCCTGCCTTGGCCTCCCAAACTGCTGGGATTACAGGCATCAGCCACCACGCCCGGCCTATCCTAAAACTTTCTGTCATCCATAAACAATTGTTGTCTTGTTTTGGTCCTCTTTAAAAAGGTGGTTTTATAATCAGCTATAAAGGTCTAACAGGTGCCCTTGAATGCAAGTTTCTGAAAATTGTGATATCACAATAGAGGAAAAACGTTCAGAACTCTTAAAAAGCTAAAATGTTAATATGAATCAGGACAGGAATTAACTGCATGAACTAAACTGCAGGAGACTGGAGTGATCTTTTTTGTTTGTTTGTTTTTAAGACAGAGTCTTGCTCTGTAGCCCAAGCTGGAATGCAGTGGCATGATCTCGGCTCACTGCAGCCTCCTCCTACATTCAAGCGATTCTCCTGTGTCAGCTTCCCAAGTAGCTGGGATTACAGGCGTTCGCCACCACACCCGGCTAATTTTTGTATTTTCAGTAGAGATGTGGTTTCCCCATGTTACCCAGCTGGTCTTTAACTCCTGACCTCAGGTAATCCACCCACCTTGGCCTCCCAAAGTGCTGGGATTACAGATGGGACCCACCACGCCCAGCCTGGAGTGATCTTTTTAACGTATTGCTTAAAATATTGCTAATTCTTTGTTTTGCTTTTCAAAGTCCAAGAATCTTTTCTTTTGAATTATTGACAGCTTTTAACAATTTAGTATGCTTCCATGAACAAAATTTGGAGCATTCTTGTTTCTCTCTACCTGATTTTCTCCAGAATTTGGAAACTATCTGTATGTATTCTTAAGTTAGGGTAATATAGTTATTTGCATAAGTGCAACAAGAATCTGTTTTCTTTTGTAACAGGACACAATTGGGAAAACTGGTTATTTTACCAAGGCTTTAACTGGAATGGTGTGCCTTCCTTTAAGGAATCAAATTTGACTTATGGAGCCAATAAAGCCCTTGGAAAGCTGGCCTCAGATTTCATGTACAGTCCCTGTACAGGGTTTCCGATCTGTGGTAAGTAAAGAATGTCACTTTCTGACAGGCCAGGAGTCCCAAGTTATCTTAGAACCTCAAGAAGAGAGGATTTCTCCCAACTCATAGGTATTCAGTGGTACAAATCTATGGCTGGCCTTGCCTTTAAAAAGGTCTTATCTCACATTCCTTCTACAAAACAAAGTTCCATCAAAGCCAATTTAAAGGACCTAAGTAACAAATAATTATTCTTGCTCCACTGTATGCAAATAACTAAGCCAAGTATAATAAAGAAAATCAGTCCTACTGGTATGATTTGTCTTTTAATGAAAATGGTAAACTTGAGAGAGAAAATTATGTTTCAAAAACGATAGCACACATGTTGTTAAATCCTGGTGTTGCCTAATGTTTTTCAATTCTTACTATTTTCTGTTTAAATTAAATTCTAATTTTTCTGGCTACAAGTTTCCAAAATAGCTGTGCTTTCTGAAAGCCCTATAAACTGAAAACTTGATGTTTCAGCAGGCGCTGCCTCTAAGCCCCCGACTCTCACCGGAGGAAATAAATAGGAAACCTTAAGCTAAAATAAGTAACCAAGAGAGAATTACTCATCCTATTCAGTCTCACCCCTACCTCATCAAATACTTTTATCGTTCCTACCTCTCCTTTTAAGCCAAATATTAAAACTTTTTAATGGAAATTATTTACTACGCCACCCGTGTGGGAATTGCTTTACTCACTCTACTATTTGCAGTAGGACTATATACTGTAGCACCCTCAGGGTAAAATATCAGACACAGAATCTCAATTACCATAGCATTTCGCTTAATTATTATCCTCATAGCGGGAATAATGGTTACTAACAGAAAATAACACATGGGCCTTTCCAAACCAGCACCTCTGCCTCTTATTAGGAAAGGAATGTTGTTTCTATATCAGCCAATCAGACCTAGTAAAAAGCGCTATTAAAAAAAACAAGCTAAAAAGCTAAGGAGTACCAAAACAAACAAACAGATTCTTGGTTTGGGAACAAAATCATAGATAGCATGGGTCATCCCATTCCTGGGCCCTCTCCTAATAATATACCTAATTATGGGACTAATGTTCTTACCCTGCCTAATTAACCTTTTTCAGAGATTTTTTAAACTGACAGGATCATGGCCATTTCACAGACAACTACCCAAAAATATCTACAGACGGCACTGCTCCTACCAACCCGATACCAGAGAACTCTCTGTCCCCTCGTCAGCAGGAAGTAGCCAGAAAGAACATGCCGCCCCTCGTCCTTTTTATAACTATGAGGTCTGGATTGACAGAGCAGAAGCATCACCATTGTGGATAAGCGCCTCATTTTAAAATTCACCTTAATCAAAAACTGCCTAAATCCAAAGGGCATCAGCCTAATGGCTAAGGTCAGCATGATCACAAACCACAAATAACATCTCCAACCAAAAACATTCCAGACACCTCCCACAGAGAAATGCTAGCCTCGGGATAACCCCTCTCCTGCCGGAAAGATGTCACCCCCAAGATAACCACCCCTCCGCCCAGAACATTCCAACCCTGCCACAAACTTCTCCCCCACACAGAAACATTCCAAGCTTGTAATAAGCTCCCTCACCCTAAAACCAACGTACATTCTTAGTCTGCAAGGAAAAGTGCTCCTGACTGACCAGCCAGAATCCTCTCTCAGGTCTTTTCTATAATAAACCTGTCTTTGACTGTCAAGCAGTGTTCGGTGTTTCTTTCCTCTTTTTTTTAATTTAATTTTTTTTTAAGACGGAGTCTTGCTCTGTTGCCCAAGCTGGAGTGCAGTGGCGTGATCTCAGCTCACTGCAAGCTCCACCTCCTGGGTTCAAGTGATTCGCCTGTCTCAGCCTTCTGAGTAGCTGGGATTACAGGCGCAGGCTGCCATGCCTGGCTAATTTTTTGTGTTTTAGTAGAAACGGTATCACCATGTTGCCCAGGCCGGCCTCGATCTCCTGAGCTCAGGCAGTCTGCCTGCCTTGGCCTCCCAAAGTGCTAGGATTACAGGTGTGAGCCACTGCGCCCAGCCTCTTTCCTCTTTAACTCTAACTCTTACACTAGAAAGAGAGAACCTTGTATCCTTGGCTACACAGTCTAGAGTGGAGTGTTCACCTCACTGGGGTGAGGATGTGGGGTACAGGATCAGGGAACAGTAAGGGTTTAAATACCACAAACTCACATTTCTCACAGAATTTTCACAGATTCTCTTGAATAGGTTTCCTCACTGGCTGTTTGCCTTTAGGATGACTTCAGGGGCTTTAAATGGTTGTTTTAAAGTAACTGTCATAAGTGTCTCTGGGGAGTGGGTTAGTGAAGCTCCTCATACTGTTACGCCATCCTAATGCCTTAAGATTCTGCCCAGATCAAAAAATGCCCTATATGTGATGGCAGTGCAACCTGTAATATCACTTGTAATTTAAGAACCAAATGTTTAAAATTATTTTTTTCATTTCTTTTTTTTGAGACATGTCTCGCTCTATTGCCCAAGCTGGAGTGCAGTGGCACAATCTCAGCTCACTGCAACCTCTGCCTCCCAAGCTCTAAGCCATCCTCCCACCTCAGCCTCCTAAGTAGCTGGGACTACAGGCACATGCCACCACACCTGGCTAATTTTAAAAATTTTTATAGAGATGGGGTTTTGCTATGTTGCCCTGGCTGGTCTCGAACTTCTGAGCTCAAGTGATAAAAAAATTTTTTTGTTAACGTTTATTTTTTAAAGATTCCTGGGATGGAATACACAAACCCACATCTCACAAACATCAGGAATCATATCACAAAAAAAATACATTTCAATTTACCTTCTTAATAATTTCAACTTTTAGATTCAGGGGGTACATATGCAGGTCTGTCACATGGGCACACTGTGACACTGAGGTTTGGGCTATGGGTGAGCCTGTCATCCTGGCAGTGAGCACAGCACCCAACAGGCATTCCCTCAGCCCTCACTCTCCACCATCCCTCCCCCTTCCAGCAGTCCCCAGCGTCCATTGCTCCCATCTTTATGTGCATAACAACTTTTTATGGTTTACAAAAACATACTGCTCACTTCATAAAACTTCTTTAGAGGACCATAAAACACAAAGAACTAGTTACCTGTTAAAAATTAGTCATTTGATTTATGAACTATTAAAATATACTTAATGCAAATTTTCTTAATCATTGTTTATAGTCAATGTTAAGATTCAAAAATTCAGCCTGAGGCTGGGCACAGTGACTCACATCTGTTTGGGAGGGTGAGGCCAAAGGATCACCTGAGGCCACTTCAAGACCAACCTGGGAAACATGGCAAGACCTTGTCTCTACAAAAAAAAAAAAAAAACAAAAAACCCTGTGTGTACACACACACACCCACCCACCCAAAACCCAGCCTGAGATTTAGAAGCAGTCTACCTGAAGGCTCACTCTTAGCATGTCCTCTAGCATTCGTGTCTAGTGGCCTCAGGTTCCCAAAGATAACAATTTTATTACTTTCTTGTCCGGCATTTACATAAAAAGCAATTTAAATTACATATTTTTCTTTCCTCACTATAAAAGGCAACATGGTTTACACACTTTGCTTTTTTGTTCATTTGAAAATAAATCCTGCAGCTTTTTCATATTCATTGGTGCCTTCCCTAATTTTTATAAAGGTTCACAAGATGATAGAAGTTGAGCCAGTTGTGTGGCTCACATGCCTGTAGTCCCAGTTCCTTGGGAGGCTGAGGTGGGAGGATCACTTGAACCCAGGACTTCAAGGCTGCAGTGAACTATGTGCCACTATACTTCCAGCGTGGGCAACAGAGTGAGACCCTGTCTCCCCCCAAAAAATGTTTTAATAAATATATTTTTTTAAAAGATGGAAGTTTATATAGTCAGTTCTCTATTAAACACTGAATATGTTCCCATTCTTTTGCTAGTCATTTCTTGCTGTAATCAAGATGAATAGCAATAGGTACAATCTAAAAGACTTAGAAATCTGTACTGAACTAAGGCAGTGAAATGAGAACTGGGAAGGTAGTTAGAAAACATGGCAAAATAAATATTTGAAAGTTATTTTTCAAACTTAAAGAATTATTTTTTTGGTAGAGATGGAGGTCTCACTATGTTGCCCAGACTGGTCTTGAACTCCTGGCCTCAAATGATCCTCCTGCCTTGGCCTCCCAAAGTGCTGGGATTACAGGCGTGAGCCACCACACTCAGCTGAATTATATTTTTATAGTGAAATATAGCATACTTCTTATAGAATGCGTAGAATGTTTTATGTTTAATCATAACTGTAAACTTCCGTAGACTGGGCACTCAGAATGAACAGACCCTGGGCATGTCACAGCTCCCAGTGCTGCTCCACCTTGACTTTGTTTCCCTCTTGTCCCCAGAGGTGACCACTGCCCTTAATTTTGTGGATATTCTTTATGGCTATGCCATTATTTTATCACCAAGCAGTGTTTTGCTTAAGTTTGCCTCTTTAGCACTTTCTGTGGAAGGAAATCATGGATGGGCGTCTCCTTGGTTTTTGTCCCAGTTGTTTCACACATGCTGGTGTCTGAGGCTTGGGCTACCCAATTTGCTCATCCATTCCAGTATCTATAGGATTCATGTTGCTTCAATTTTGTGTTTTGTTCTTATGGAAAATGCTGCTCTAATCATACTTTAAGTCCCCATGTGCCTGTGCACAGTAAATTCTCTATACATTAGAGAAAACTTGCTGGGTTGTAGATTCTGAGCAACTTTAAGATTGCCACCAAGTCCCAATGGAGTACATGAATTGACCGTCCCACCACTCTTGCATGTATATTTAGATAATTCTAGTGTTGCCAGTCGTGGAATAATGTATTTTTGCCTATCTAGTTTGTAGTTTGTGTGAAATGGGATCACTTTGTGATTTTTTTTTTTTTTTTTTTGAGACAGCGTCTTGCTCTGTTACCCAGGCTGGAGTGCAGTGGCGCAATCTCGGCTCACTGCAACCTCTGCCATTTGAATTACCACAGAAATGAATGTTCCTTTGTTTGCATCTTTGGAAGCATTTGGTGTTATATTTTGGAATTTAGCCATTCTGAGGTGTGTAGTGATACATATTCACCAAATGTTATAGGAATAATGAATAAAAACAGTTTTGCTTTCTGAAAAACAAGATGAGACCTTCCCTAACATACCTCAAATATTTTAAACTATAGAAAGGGACAGAGCAAGATGGCGGAATAGAAAGCTCCCCTGATCATCCTCCTGCAAGGACACCAAATTAACAACTATCACACAGAAAAAACACCTTCATGAGAACCAAAAATCAGGTAAGCACTTATAGTACCTGGTTTTAACTTCATATCGCTGAAAGAGGCAATGAAGCGATTTAAAAAACAGTCCTGAATCACCAACAGCACCCCTCTCCCACCCCCAGCAACAGCAGCATCATGCAGAGAGCAAGTCTAGGTGCTGTGGGAGGGAGAACACAGCAATTGTGAGGCACTGAACTCAGTGCTGTCCTGTTAGAGCAGAAAGGAAAATCAGACCAAATTCAGCTGATACCTGCCCACGGAGGGGCACTTAACCAGCCTTAGCCAGGGAGGAACTGCTGATCCCAGTGGTCTGAACTTAAGCACCTGCAAACCGCATTGCTGAGGGCTGCAGCACTCTCTCTCTCCAAGTAAAGTTGAAAGGCAGTCTAGCCCATGAGGACTGCAACTCTTAGGTGAGTCCTAGTGCTGAATTAGGCCCAGAGTCAGTGAACCGACAGGGGGCAGGGAGGGGTGGTGACATATGGGATCACCCCTCCTTTAACCCCAGGCTGCACAGCTGTCAGCTAAAAAAGAGACCCCTTCTACTTGAGGGAGGAGACAGTATTGGGGGGACTGTATCTTACATCTCGGATACCAGCCCAGCCACAGTAGGACAGGGCACTGGTCAGAATCAGGAGGCCCCTGTTCCAGGGCCTAGCTCGCGGACATTTCTAGACACACCTTGGGCCAGAAGGGAACCTACCGCCTTGAAGGGAAGGACCCAGTCCTGCCAGCAATCACCTGTTAACTGAAGAGCCCTTGGACCCTGAATAACCAGTAACGATACCCAGGCACTACATGAAGGGCCTTTGGTGAGCCTCTGAGACTTGCTGGCTTCAGGTGAGACTCAGCACATAACCAGTTGTGGTGGCTACAGAGGAAAACTCCTTCTGCTTGAGAAAAGCAGAGGGAAAAGTAAGGGGACCTTGTCTTGCACCTTAGGCACCAGCATGGCCACAGAGGGGCAGAGCACCAAGCAGGTTCTTGGGGCCCCTGATTCTAGAACTTGATTCTTCGATAGCATTTCTGGACCTGTCCTGGGCTAGAGGGGAGCCCACTGCCCTGAAGAGGCAGCATTCATGACAAGCTGACTTAAGAGACCTTTAGCCCTAAGGGAACATGAGCAGTAGCAGTACTCTGACAGAACTCCTTGTGGCTTGGGGCGGTGGCTATGGGGTGAGGTTCCTCTGCCTTTCGAGGGAAGGACTTGTGTAGTTTGAGTGCCAGCTCAGCCAAGCCACAATACAACAGGACACAAGGCAGACTTCTAAGGTTTTTTTCACTCTAATCCCTGACTACTGGACAGCACTTCTGGACTCACCTGGGGCTTAGGGGACCTCGTCACCCTGAAAGGAAGGACACAGGCCTGGCTGGTTTTGCCATCTGCTGATTGTAGACCCCAGGGGCCTTCAGTGAACACAGGCAGTAGCCAGGGAGTGGTTACAGCAGGCCTTGGGCAAGACGCAGCGCTGGCTTCAGGTCTGACCCAGTGCAGTCACAGTGGTGGTGGCCACAGGGATGCTGGTGTCATTCCACCCTCAGCCTTGGGTGGCTTAGAACAGAGAGAGAAAGAAACTATGTTTGGGAGATCATAAGGAAAGAGACCAAGAGTCTCTGCCTGGTAATCCAGAGAATTCTCCCAGATTTTGTCCAAGACCATCAAGGCAGCACCTCTATGAGTATGCAAGAACCACAGCATACTGGGTTTGGGGTGCCCCCTAAAGCAGATATAACTTAGATATCTAGAAAGCGTTCCCTAAGAAGGACAGCTACAAATAAGCCCAGACAGTGAAGACCAAAATAAATACCTAACCCTTCAATGCCAAGACACCAAAGAACATCTACTACCATTAACACCATCCAGGAAAACATAACCTCACCAAATGAACTAAATAAGGCACCAGGGGACCAATCCTGGAGAAACAGATATGTGATCTTTCAGACAGAATTCAAAATAGCTGTGTTGAAGAAACTTAAAGAAATTCAAGGGAACACAGAAAAGGAATTCAGAATTCTATTAGATAAATTTAACATAGAAATTGAAATAATTAAAAATTGAGCAGAAATTCTGGAGCTGAAAAATGCAACTGGCTTACTAAAGAATGTATCAGACTCCTTTAGTAGCAGAATTGATCAAACAAGAAAGAATTAGCTTGAAGACAGGCTATTTGGAAATATACAGTCAGGAGACAAGAAAAATGAGTAAGAAACAAGCACATCTACAGGATCTAGAAGATAGCCTCAAAAGGGCAAATCTAAGATTTAATTAAAGAGGAAGTAGAAAAAAGGTTGTAGAAAGTTTATTCAAAGTGATATCAGAGAACTTCCCAAACTAGAGATATGTATCAGTATCCAAGTACAAAAAGGTTATAAACCACCAAGCAGATTTAACTCAAAGAAGACTACCTCAAGGCATTTCATAATCAAACTCCCAAAGTTCAGGGATAAAGAAAGGATCCTAAAAAGCAACAAGAGAAAAGAAACAATAACATACAATGGAGCTCCAATACATCTGGCAGCAGACTTTTCAGTGGAAACCTTACAGGCCACCAGAGAGTGGCAATACATATTTAAAGCGCTGAAGGAAAAAACTTTTACCCTAGAAGAGTATATCTGGTGAAAATATCCTTCAAGCATGAAGAAGAAATAAAGACTTTCCCAGATAAAAGCTGAGGGATTTCATCAATACCAGACCAGTCCTACAAGAAATGCTAAAGGAAGCACTTCAATCAGAAAGAAAAGGACATTAATGAGCAATAAATAATCGCCTGAAGGTTCAAAACTCACTAGTAATAGTAAACAGGAAAATACAGAATATTGTAACATTGTAACTGTGCTATGTAAACTACTTTTTTTTTTTTTTTTAGACAGAGTCTCGCTCTGTTGCCAGGATGGAGTGCAGTGGCACGATCTCAGCTCACTGCAACCTCCAACTCCCTGGTTTAAGTGATTCTCCTGCCTCAGCCTCCTGAGTAGCTGGGATTACAGGCACACACCACCATGCCCAGAAAATTTTTGTATGTTTAGTAGAGATGGGGTTTCACCATGTTGCCCAGGATGGTATCGATCTCCTGACTTCATGATCCACCCACCTCGGCCTCCCAAAGTGCTGGGATTACAGGCATGACCACCGTACCCAGCCCATAAACTACTCCTGTCCTAAGTAGAAAGACTTAAACAGTGAACAACTCAAAAATAATAAACATAATTTTTCAAGACATAGTACAATTAGATATAAATAGAAACAACTAAAAGTTAAAAGGGGGTGAACCAAGTTGTAGAGTTTTTATTTTCTTTTTGCTTGTTTATGCAAATGGTGTTATCAGTTCAAAACAATGAGTTAAAATATAGTATTTACAAGCTTCATGGTAACCTTAAACCGAAAAAACAATGGATACACAAAAAATAAAAAGACACTGAATCTTATCACCAGAGAAAATCACCTCCACTAGAGGAAGACAGGAAGAAAGGAAAAGAGGAAGAGAAGACCACTAAACAACCAGAAAACAAATAACAAAATGGCAGGAGTAAGTCCTTATTTATCAATAACAATAATATAAATGGACTAAACTCTGCAATCCAAAGACACAAACTGGCTGAATGGATGAAAAACCAAAACCCATTGATCTGCTGCCTACAAGAAATACACTTCACCTATAAAGACACACACAGACTGAAAATAAAGGGATGGAAAAAGATATTCCATGCTAATGGAAACCAAAAAAGAGCAGTAGTTGCCATACTTATATCAGACAAAATAGATTTCAAGACAAAAACTGTTAAGAAGAAACAAAGAAGGTCACTATATAATAATAAAGGGGTCAGTTCAGCAAGAGGATATAACAGTTGTAAATATATATGCACCCAACACTGGAGCACACAGATATAAAAAGGAAAGATTATTAGAGCTAAAGAGAGAGGCCCTGATACAATAAGAGCTGGATACTTCAACACCCCACTTTCAGACTTAGATCTTCCAGACAGAAAATCAATGAAGAAACATCAGACTTAATCTGCACTATAGATCAAATGGATCTAATAGATATTTACAGAACATTTCATCCAAAAGCTGCAGAATATACCTTCTTTTCCTCAGCACATGGATCATTCTCAAGGATAGGCCATATATAGTTCACAAAATGAGTTTTAAAACATTCAAAAAGGCCACGCACAGTGGTTCACATCTGTAATCCCAGCACTTCGGGAGGCCAAGGTGGGCAGATCACGAGGTCAACAGATTGAGACCATCCTGGCCAACATGGTGCAACCCTGTCTCTACTAAAAATACAAAAATTAGCTAGGTGTGGTGGCATGCACCGGTAGTCCCAGCTACTTGGGAGGTTGAGGCAGAAAAATCACTTGAACCCGGAAGGCGGAGTTTGCAGTGAGCCGAGATTGCGCCACTGCACTCCAGCCTGGTGACAGAGCGAGACTCTGTCTAAAAATAAATAAATAAATAAAAATTTAAAAATTTAAAAAAATACTGAAATAATATCAAGCATCTTCTCTGACCACAATGGAATAAAACTAGAAATAAATAATGAGGAATTTTGGAAACTATACAGATACATGGAAATTAAACAATATGCTACTGAATGACCAGTGGGTCAATGAAGAAATTAAGAAAATGGGACAACTTCTTGAAACAAATGATAATGGCAACACAACATGCCAAAACCTATGGGATACAGCAAAAGCAGTACTCAGAGGGAAGTTTATAGCTACTACATGCCTACATCAAAAAAGAGGAAGAGGCCAGGCGCGGTGGCTCACACCTGTAACCCCAGCACTTTGGGAGGCCGAGGCGGGTGGATCACGAGGTCAGGAGATCGAGACCATCCTGGCTAAAACGGTGAAACCCCGTCTCTACTAAAAATACAAAAAATTACCTGGGCGTGGTGGCGGGTGCCTGTAGTCCTAGCTACTCGGGAGGCTGAGGCAGGAGAATGGCATGAACCCGGGAGGCGGAGCTTGCAGTGAGCCGAGATCCTGCCACTGCACTCCAGCCTGGTGACAGAGTGAGACTCCATCTCAAAAAAAAAAAAAAAAAAAAAAAAAAGAGGAAGAACTTGAAACAATCTAACAATGCATCTTGAAGATCTAGAAAACAAAAGCAAACCAAACCCAAAATTGGTAGAAGAAAAGAAATAATAAAGATTAGAGCAGAAGTAAATGAAAATACAAAAGACCATTTTTTTTTTTTTTGAGACGGACTCTTGCTCTGTAGCCCAGGCTGGAGTGCAGTGGTGCGATCTCAGCTCACTGCAATCTCCGCCTCCCAGGTCCCAGTTCAAGCAATTCTCCTGCCTCAGTCTCCCTAGTAGCTGGGATTACAGGAACACGCCACCACACCCAGCTAATTTTTGTATTTTCAGTACAGCCAGGGTTTCACCATGTTAGCCAGGCTAGTCTTGAACTCCTCACCTCGTGATCTGCCCACCTCAGCCTCCTAAAGTGCTGGGATTGCAGGCATGAGCTACTGCGCCTGGCCAAAACATCAATTTTTTAAGTTAAACAAAATTGACAAACATTTAGCCAGACTAAATAAGAAAAAAAGAGGATCCAGATAAATTAGAAATGAAAAAGAAGACAAACGATATTACAAAAATTCAAAGCAGTAGTGGCTACTATGAGTAACTATATGCCAATAAATTGGAAAAAATAGAAAAAATGTAAAAAATTCCTAGATACATACAACCTACTGAGATTGAATCAGGAAGAAATCCAAAACCTGAACAGACCAATAACAAGTAACAAGATTGAAGCCATAATAAAAAGTCTCCCGGTAAAGAAAAACTCAGAACCCAACGGCTTCACTGCTGAATTCTACCAAACATTTAAAGAACTAATACCAATCCTACTCAAACTATTCCAAAAAACAGAGTAGGGAATACTTCCAAACTCAATCTGCAAGGCCACTATTACCTTGATAACAAAACCAAAGGCACATCAAAAAAAACAAAACTATAGGCCAATATCACTGATGAATATTGATGTAAAAATCCTCAACAAAATACCAACCAAATTCAACAACACATCAGAAAGAGCATTCATCATGACCAAGTGGGATTTATCTCTGGGATGCAAGGATCAACCTATGTAGATGAACCAGTGTGATACATTGCATGACCTGAATGATGGATAAAAACCATACGATCATTTCAACTGATCCTGAAAAAGCATTTGATAAAATTCAACATCCCTTCATAATAAAAACCCTCAAAAAAGTGGGTATAGAAGGAACATACCTCAACATAATCACAACCATATATGACAGACCCATAGCTAGTATCATACTGAATGGGGGAAAACTGAAAGCGTTTTCTCGAAAGATCTGGAACACAAAAAGGATGCCCACTGTCACACTGTCATTGAACATGGTACCAGAAGTCCCAGCTAGAGCAATCGGACAAGAGGAAAATACAAAGGGCATCCAAATTGGAAAGGAAGAAGTCAAATTATCTGTTTGCTGATTATATGACATTATATTTGGAAAAACCTAAAGAATTCACAAGAAAACAATTAGAACGAATAAACAAATTCAGTAAAGTTGCAAGATACAAAATCAACATACAAAACTAGTAGCATTTCTATGTCAACAGTGAACAATGTGAAAAAGAAATAAGAAATTAATCCCATTTACAACAGCCACATGTAAAATTAAATTTTACCAAGAAACCAACTTAACCAAAGAAGCGAAAGATCTCTATAATAAAAACTATAAAACACTGAGGAAAGAAATTGAAGAGGACACCAAAAAATGGAAAGATATTCCATGTTCATGGATTACACGAATCAATAGTGTTAAAATGTCCACACTACCTAAAGCAATCTACAGATTCAATGCAATCCCTCTCAAAATACCAAGGACATTCTTCACAGAAATAGAAAAAAAAAACCCTAAAATTTATATGGCACCATAAAAGACACAGAATAGCCAAAACTATCCTAAACCAAAAGAACAAAACTGGAAGAATCACATTACCTGACTTCAAATTACACTACAGAGCTATAGTAACCACAACAGCATGGTACTGGCATGAAAGGAGACACATAGACCAATGGAACAGAAGAGAACCCAACAATAAATCAATACACCCACAGTGAACTCATTTTTGACAAAGGTGCCAAGAACATACACTGGGGAAAGGCAGTCTCTTCAACAAATGGTGCTGGGAAAACTGGATATCCATGTACAGAAGAATGAAGCTAGATCCCTACCTCTCACCATATACAAAAATTGAAATGGATTAAAGACTTAGATATAAGACCTCAAACTATAAAACTACTACAAGAAAACACTGGGCAAAATCTCCAGGACACTGGTCTACGCAAAGATTTATTGGGCATACCCCACAAGCACAGGCAACCAAAGCAAAAATGGACAAATGGTATCACATCAAGTTACAAAAGTTTCTGCATAGCAAAAGATACAATCAATAAAGTGAACATACAACCCACCGAGTGGGAGAAAATATTTATTTGCAAACTACCTCTCTGACAAGGGGTTAATAACCACAATATATACAGAGCCCAAACAACTCTATAGGAAGAAAATCTAATAATCTGGTCAAAAAATAGGCAAAGGATTTGAATAGACATTTCTCAAAAGAAGACATACAAATGGCAAACAGGCATATGAAAAGCAACATAGCAAGACCCTGTGTCTACAAAATATACAAAAATCAGCCAGGTGTGGTGGCATGCACCTGTAGTCCCAGCTACTTGGGAAGCTGAGGTGGGAGGATTGCTTGAGCCCAGGAGTTTGGAGACTACAGTGAGTTATGATCATGCCACTGCACTCCAGCCTGGGCAACAGAGCAAGACTACATCTGTATTTTTTAAAAACTTCTAAACCATGATCAAGTGAGATTTATCTCCAGAATGCAAACAGTGCATCCTATGAAAATCGGTCAATATAATATACCACATTAGCCGAATGACGGAAAAATCACAGTAATCTCAATTGATACACAAAAGGCATCTGACAAAATTCAAGACCCGTTGATGATAAACAACAAACTAGGAATGGGAGGAAACTAGGTCAATGTAATAGGCCATATATGAAGAATCTACAAGACTATCATACTTAATGGTGAAATATAAACATGGTGATCTTTTCCCCTAAGATCAGAAACAAGATAGGATAACTGCTTTCACCACTTCCATTCAATATAGTACTGGAAGAGCTAGTCAGAGTAATTAGGTAAGAAAAAGAAAAGGCATCCAGTTGGGCGCAGTGGTTCACGCCTGTAATCCTAGCACTTTAGGAGGCTGAGGCGGGTGGATCACCTGAGGCCAGGAGTTCAAGATCAGCCTGTCCAACATGATGAAAACCCGTCTCTACTAAAATACAAAAATTACCTGGGCATGATGGCGGGTGCCTGTAATCCCAGGTACTCGGGAGGCTGAGACGGGAGAATTGCTTGAACCCGGGAGACGGTGGTTGCAGTGAGCCAAGACTGCACCACTGCACTCCAGCCTGGGTGGCTCAGTGAGACTCTGTCTCAGAAAAAAAAAAAAAAGAAAAACAAAAGGCATCCAAATGGGCAAGGAAGAAATAAAATTATGTTGGCAGATGACATAATCCTATGTGTAGAAAATCCTAAAGATTACATACACATATATGTACACAAAAACTGAACTCATAAATGAATTCAGCAAAGTTGCAGGGTACAAAATTAACATTTAAAATTACATTTTTTTTTTGAGACGGAGTCTCGCTCTGTTGCCCAGGCTGGAGTGCAATGGTGCGATCTTGGCTCACTGCAACCTCCACCTCCCAGGTTCAAGCGATTCTCCTGCCTCAGCCTCCTGAGTAGCTGGGATTATAGCTGCCCACCACCAGGCCCGGATAATTTTTATATTTTTTAGTACAGACGGGGTTTCACCATGTTGGTCAGGCTGGTCTCAAACCCCTGACCTCATGATCCACCCGCCTCAGCCTCCCAAAGTGCTGGAATTACAGGTGTGAGCTACTGCACCCAGCCTAAAATTACATTTCAATACACTAACAGTTAATAATCTGAAAAGGAAATTAAGAAAACAATTACATTAGTAATAACATCAAAAAGAATAAAACAGGCCAAGCACAGTGGCTCACACCTGCAAAATCAGCACTTTGGAAGGCCCAAGGTGGGAGGATCACTTGAACCCAGAAGTTCAAGACAAGCCTGAGCAACAAAGTGAGACCTCATACTACAAAAAAAAAAAAAAAAAAAATTGGCTGGACGTGCTGGCCTGTGCCTGTACTCCCAGCTACTGGGAGGCTGAGATGGGAGGACCACTTAAGCCCAGGAGGTTGAGACTGCAGTGAGCCATGATTTCACCACTGCACTACAGTGCAGTGACAGAATGAGACCCTGTCTCAAAACAAAAACAAAAACAAAAAAACAGCTAGCTATAGTGACACAGACATGCAGTCCTAGCTACTGAAGATCCTAAGATGGGAGAACAGCTTGAGCCCAGGAGTTTGAGACTAACCTGGACAACGCAGCAAAACGCCATGACAAAAAATTAACCAAAAAAGCAAAAGACTTGTATACTGAAAACTATAAAACGTTACTGAAAGAAATTAAAGCTATAAATAAATGGAAAGACATTCTGTGTTCATAATTTAAAAGACTTAATTTTGTTAAGGTGTCAATATATTACTGCAAATGCTCTACAAATTCAAAGCAATCATTATCAAAAGGCCCATGACATTTTTTTCTGGAAACAGAAACACTCATCCTAAAATTCACAGGGAATCTCAAAGGACCCCAAATAGCCAAAACAATCTTGAAAAAGAACAACAGGCTGGACATGGTGACTCACGCCTGTAATCCCTGGACTTTGGGAAGCCAAGGTGGGTGGATCACCTGAGGTCAGGAGTTCGAGACCAGCCTGGCCAACATGATGAAACCTCGTCTCTACTAAAAACACAAAAAATTAGTTGGGTGTGGTGGCATATGCCTGTAATCCCAGCTACTCAGGAGGCTGAGGCAGGAGAATCGATTGAACCTGGGAGGCGGAGGTTGCAGTGACCCGAGATCACACCACTGCACTCCAGCCTGTGCAACAAGAGCAAAACTCCGTCTCAAAAAAAAAAAGAAAAACAACAACAAAGCTGGAAGCCTCACTCTTCCTAGTTTCAAAACTTACTCTAAGTTTTGGCTGGGCACGGAGGCTCATGCCTGTAATCCTAGCACTTTGGGAGGCTGAGGCAGGCAGATCACCTGAGGTCGGGAGTTCGAGACCAGCCTTACCAACAAGGAGAAACCCCATCTCTACTAAAAATACAAAAAAATAAGCCGGGCATGGTGGCCCATGCTTGTAATCCCAGCTACTCGGGAGGCTGAGGCAGGAAAATCGCTTGAACCAGGGAGGCGGAGGTTGCAGTGAGCCGAGATCGAGCCATTGCACACACACAAAATTAGCTGGGTGTGGTGGCACATGCCTGTAATCCCAGCTACTCAGGAGGCTAAGGCAGGAGAATAGATTGAACTTGGGAGGCAGAGGTTGCAGTGACCCGAGATCACACCACTGCAGTCCAGGCTGTGTAACAAGAGCAAAACTCTGTCTCAAAAAAAAAAAAAAAAAAAAAAGAAAAGAAAAGAAAAAGAGAACAACAAAGCTGGAAGCCTCACTCTTCCTAGTTTCAAAACTTACTCTAAGTTTCAGTAATCAAAATAGTGTGGTGTTGACATGACATAAAGGCAGATATATAGAGCAATGGAGGCCGGGTGTGGTGGCTCACGCCTGTAATCCCATCACTTTGGGAGGCCAAGGTGGGCAGATCATTAGGTCAGGAGTTCAAGACCAGCCTGGCCAACATAGTGAAACCCCGTCTCTATTAAAACTGCAAAAAAATTAGCCGGGCGTGGTGGCGGGCACCTGTAATCTCAGGCTGAGGCAAGGAGAATCGCTTGAACCTGGGAGGCGGAGGTTGCAGTGAGCCAAGATCGCGCCACTGCGCTCCAGCCTGGGTGACAGTGCGAGACTCCGTCTCAAGAAAGAAAGACAAAAAAAAAAAAACAGAGCAAAGGAATAGAATAGAGACTTCAGAGAGATACCCTTAATTTAAATCAGACTTAAGCCCACAGTCCTGAAACCCTCTAAAGCAACCACTGCCATGAGGGAGGCCCATAACCATGATGACACTGACTTGAGGCTCTCTAGAGAATGAAGGATATAAATATAAGTAGGGTACACAGAACACCCCTCTCCCTCACCCTGCAATCACCAAAAGAAAAAAGAAAAAAATTGAGACAAAGGTCCATAATTTGATCAAATTAGAAATCCAAAGTTTATTAAAATAACAGCAAAAAAATAAATGGGTGCTGACTGGGTTTCACACCTCTACAAAACAGGCTCCGAATTAACTTCAACATCCGTTGAAATGCATCAGTTGGCAAATTTCCATGTCCTTAATCAATACTGGGGCTTAAATTACAGTTTTACCTTAAGATACCATTGAATTTAAACATGGCACCCCCTCCCCCAGTATAACCTTATAGCAAATTCCTGAATAACAAACAGGTATGCCTCAACTTGCCTTTATTGGATTTCTTTCTAGTGAGAATTTTCACATGACTTTGACAGTATTTGTTAAAACTGAAAAACTTCCTGTATTTCTCACATTTGTAAGCTTTATATCTAGCACATTCTTATTGCATGTTTTTGTAAGGAGGTGGGCAAGTTGAAAACTCCCACTTTACTTACATTCAAGAAGTTTTCTGCCAGGGTGTATTTTTTCATGGCTTCTAAATGAACTGGGATGACTGAAGGCTTTTCCACATTCTTTACACTTTATAGGGCTTCTCTCCAGTGTGCATTCTCATGTGTCCTTGAAAAGTTGTACAATAAATGAAAGCTTTGCCACACTGCTTGCATACATAGGGTTTCTCTCCAGTGTGGGTTCTTTCATGTATTCAAAAGGAATTGTGCCAAATGAAGGCTTTACCACATCGTTTACATACGTGGGGTTTCTCTCCACTATGACTTCTTTCATGTATTCTAAAGGAACTGGAACAACTGAAGGCTTTACCACATTGTTTACATTCATACGGTTTCTCTCCAGTGTGAGTCCTTTCATGGATTTGAAATGAATTAAGACAATTGAATGCTTTCCCACATTCGTTACATTTATAAGGTGCATCTCCAGTATGCATTATCATGTGCATTTGAAAGCTTGCAAGAGAAAGGAAGGCTTTCTCACATTGTTCACATTTATAAGGTTTCTCTCCAGTGTGAATATTCATGTGTCCTTTTAACGTAGTTCGATAAATGAAGGCTTTCCCACATTCGTTACATTCACAGGGTTTCTCTCCAGTGTGAGTTCTTTCATGTACTCGAAAGGAACCAAGCCAACTGAAGGCTTTACCACATTGTTTACATTCATATGGTTTTTCTCTAGTGTGAATTCGTTCAGGTACTTGAAATGAACTAGGACAACTGAATGCTTTTCCACACTCCTCGCATTTATAAGGTCCATCTCCACTGTGCATTATCATGTGTCTTTGAAAGCTTGCAAGGTAAATAAAGGCTTTTCCACATTCCTTACATTCATAGGGTTTCTCTCTAGTGTGAGTTCTTTCATGTATTTGGAAACCTGTAAGAGTACTGAAGGTTTTTCCACATTTTTTACATTCATAGGGCTTTTCTCCAGTGTGAGTCCTTTCATGTCTAAGAACAGATTGACGATAACTGAAGGGTTTCCCACATTGTTTACATTTATAGGGTTTCTCTTCACTGTGATTTCTTTCATGTTTTTTAAATGACTGGAAATAACTGAAGGCCTTCCCACATTCCTTACATCTATACGGCTTTTCTCCATAATCTTGACACTCATATGGTTTGTGTCCAGTGTGAGATCTGATGTGCCTATTAAGGGATGAATGACAAATGAAGACTTTTCCACACACACTGCATTCACATGGATTTACTCCAGGAGGAGTTTTCATACTCAGATTAAAATTTAGATCTGGCTGAAGTTTTCTTCACTTTGATTAGCTAATCCATCTATTTTCACACACAGTCTGTCTACAATACATGACTTTTGTAAGAAATGATAATGATTTCTTTAGTAAAGATTTTATATTTATTAATAGGTAAAGGAATTACATTTTTTACCATTTTCAGAAATTAAAACTTCAGTCCTGCCTGAATTGTTTGAAGATGAATAGACTGAATGTTCTGGAAGAGGGCTCAACCACAGGTAATATCAAAACAGTAATATTCATAAATGGAGTTTCTTAATATTGCTATCAAATGAACTACTTTTCAAACACTGAATATCTATGTCATATTTAAGTAAACACTTTGGGTAAAAATTTTCCAAGAATAAGCCACATTTGAAGGTGGGCTTATTTGTTTTCTTTGCTTGTTTTTAAAACTTCATGACACACTAAGTCTCTCTCATGGAACTCTTATTAGTGCCACTCACCTTAGACTTCTTTCTTGGTTTTTGGACTGATCTTCAATGTTATGCTCTTCACATTTTTTCCCTATGATGCAGACCCAGAAAAATCATTGGAAATCATTATTAATTATAGAAAAACTATTAGATTCTAGATCTAATTAGCTGTCACCATGCTTGGTTTATTTACTGAAGTATTCCCTTTCCACATGCCAGGTCTTGAAATATCGTTGATGGGCAACTTGTTCTCTAAGTGAAGGAATGTTGTCGTCATCACCTACTGAAGCCAGGTTCCTATAGGTTTCCAGCATCACATCTCTGTAGAGTTTTTTCTGCCAAGGATCCAGCAAAGCCCACTCCTCCTGGGTGAAGTTCACTGCCACATCCTCAAAGGCCACTGAGTCCTAAAACATCCCACATATGTGTAGAGGAAAATGGGTGAGACTGACAGGGCTGGGGATCTATAATCAATTTGTAAGATAATCACATGACTCTGTGATCCCAAAATATTTATTTTATTACTATGTCATCAGAAGACATTCTCTGCCCACAGCCACTCATAAATTCACCAGCATCATGGAGACATGGAAATTATTTCTACATTTTTGCTGTGATCACTTCACATCTTACTGCTAATGACAGGGTAGAAGGCACCTTGGTGAAATGACAGAAATGGTACACTAAAGAAGCAATAAGATGCTTCAGCACCTTGTGAGAAAAACTCTTTTCTCTCTTCTCATATTACCTACCATATCACATAACAGTCTATGAAGCAAACAGTTGAATCTAGACAAGATTTTAATGAATAAAAACAGTGACTACTCAGGAGGCTGAGGCAGAGAATCACTAGAGCCACGAGTTTGAGAGCAGCCTGGGCAACACAGTAAGACCCTGTCACAAAACAAACAAAAAAACAAAAACAAAGCAAAAAAAAAAACAAAAACAAAACACACACAATGAAAAACTGGAAGCACCCAAGTCCTCTCCTACAATGCACCTGCAGACCTTGTCATCACAAAGTCCTACTACCTAGTGTGCAGACAGAAGTTCATATAACACTCCTAAGACTGCTTACCTTTAGAAATGCCAGCTTGCACTATTCACAATAGCACAGACATGGAATCAACCTAAATGCCCATCAATGACAGATTGGACAAAGAAAATGTGGTACACATACACCATGGAATACTATGCAACTATAAAAAAAGAATGAGATCATGTCTTTTGCAGGAACATGAATGGAGCTGGAGGCTATTATCCTTAGCAAACTAATGCAGGAACAGAAAACCAAATACTGCACGTTCTCACTTATAAGAGGGAGCTAAATGATGAGAACTGATGAACACAAAGAAGGAAACAACACACAATGGGGTCTACTTGACAGTGGAAGGTGGGAGGAGGGAGAGGAGCAGAAAACATAACTATTGGATACTGGGCTTAGTATCTGGGTGATGAAATAATCTGTACAACAAACCCCCATGACACAAGTTCACCAATGTAACAAACCTTCACATGTACCCCCAAACCTAAAATAAAAGTTATTTTTAAAAAAAAAAAAAAAGAAGAAAAAAAGAAATGCCCACTTGTCAGCCTGGGCAACATGGCAAAATTCTGTCTCTACAAAATATATAAAAGTGAGTTGGGCATGGTGGTGCGTGCTTGTAGTCCCAGCTACTTGGGAGGCTGAGACGGTAGGATTGCTTGAGCCCAGGAGGTCAAGGCTGCAGCGAGCCATGATTGCTCCACTGCACTCCAGCCTGGGCGACAGAGCGAGACACTCTCTCAAACAAACAAACAAACAAACAAAAAGACTACTCTGGGCAACATAGTGAGATTCTGTCTCTACAAAATATAAAAATAAATAAAGAAGTTTAGGCCGGGTGCGGTGGCTCATGCCTGTAATCCCAGCACTTTGGGAGGCCGAGGCCGGTGGATCACGAGGCCAGGGGTTTGAGACCAGCCTGACCAACCTGGTGAAACCCTGTCTCTACTAAAAATACAAAAATTAGCTGAACGTGGTGGCGGGTGCCTGTAATCCCAGCTACTCAGGAGGCTGAGGTAGGAGAATTGCCTGAACCCGGGAGGCGAAAGTTGCAGTGAGCCGAGATTGCACCACTGCACTGCAGCCTGGGCAACAGAGCAAGACTCCGTCTCAAAAAAAAAAAAAAAGTTTAATTTAAAAGACCATTTAAATTCATGACTCATTGGTTCAGACCTTCTCTCACTATGGAATATTTTAGGGCAATAAGTGCTATGACAATGAGGAACTGAGAATTTAGGCATGAAAAAAACTATTCTGTTGGTTAAAGTGAGCAATATCTAATTTGTGCTCCACTTTATATTCAGTAACTTATAAGATTATCAGGGGTATCTTGCTTAAATTTAGTGGGATACCCAGGTATAACTATAATTTGAGTCCTAGTATTGATTAATCCCATAAAGGGTTATCAACTAATGCATTAGAGCAGATGTCAAAATTAATTCAGAATCTATCTTGTACAGGCCCCAAGGCCAAGCAGACGTAACATTTTTGTTTTGTAAATTCTTATAGCCAGGCATAGTGGCTCATGCCTGTAATCCCAGCACTCTGGGAGGCTGAGGTGGGCAGATCACAAGGTCAAGAGATCGAGACCAGCCTGACCAACATGGAGAAACCCCGTCTCTACTAAAAATACAAAATTAGCCAGGCGAGGGGGTGCACGCCTGTAGTCCCAGCTACTCGGGAGGCTGAGGCAGGAGAATCGCTTTAACCTGGGAGGCGGAGGTTGCAGTGAACCGAGATCGCATCATTGCACTCCAGCCTGGGAGACAGAGCAAGACTCCATCTCAAAATGAAAGAGATATGAAAGAGAGAAAAGAGAGAGAGAGAAGAGAAAAGAAAGAAAAGGAGAAAGAAACAAAGAAAAGAACCACCACAATCACTAATGCCATCCATCCTCCTTTACACCATCACACCTACCTCGTCCTAACCCTTGCATATGAATCCCTCTCTCTACACCCCACTTCTTAATACCCCATTTCTGAATATAAATATAGGAGTATTATTTATTCTAGCCACATCAAGTTTAGCCAGCTACCACCCCCCCTTTTTTTTTTGGAGACGGAGTCTTGCTGTGTCGTCCACGCTGGCGTGCAGTGGCACGACCTCGGCTCATTGCAACCTCTGCCTCCCGCATCTACCCTATTTTATCATCAGGATGAGCATCCAATTCAAAATATGCACTAATTGGCACAATCCGAGCGGTAGCCCAGACAATCCCACAGAAGTTGACTTAGCCATTATTCTCCTAACAGTTTTCTTGATAAGCGGGTCACTTTATCAACTCTTATCATCACACAAGAATTTGGATAATTAATTCTACCAACATGACCCCTGGCCATAGTAGGATTCATTTCAATGCTAGCAGAAACTAACTGAGCCCCATTTGACTTAACACAAAACAAATCAGAACTAGTCTTGGCCTTCAATGTCTACTATCCCTATTTTTCATAGCAGAATACACTATTATAATAAATGCCCTAACTGCTACTATTGTCCTAGGAACATTACCTATCTTCACGCTAGAAATATACACATGGTCAGGCATGGTGGCTCTCACCTGTAATCCCAGCACTTTGGGAGACCGAGGTGGGCAGATCACTTGAGGCCAGGAGTTCAAGACCAGCCTGGCCAAAATGGAGAAACCTCATCACTACTAAAAATATAAAAATTAGCCAGGCGTAGTGGCATGCACTTGTAGTTCCAGCTATCCGAGAGGCTGAGGCAGGAAAATCGCTTGAACCCAGGAGGCTCCGAGGTTGCAGTGAGCTGAGATTGCACCACTGTACTCCAGCCTGGGCAACAGAGCGAGACTCCATCTCAAAACAAAAACAAAAAACAACAACAAAAGGAAATATACACAATTTTGTTATTAAAATGCTTCTATTAACAATTTTATTCTTATGAATTCAGGTATCATACTCCCAATTTTGGTATGATCAACTAATGCATCTTCTGTGAAAAAACTGTTTACCTCATATATGAGCCCTATGCATATGACCTATCTCAATGCCCAGGCTGGGCAGTGGCTCACGTCTGTAATCTCAGCACCCTGGGAAGCCAAGCTGGGCATATCACTTGAGGTCAGGAGTTCGAGACCAGCCTGGCCAACATGGTGAAACCCCATCTCTACTAAACATACAAAAATTAGCCAGGGATGGTGGCCTGCGCCTGTAATCCCAGCTACTCGGGAGGCTGAGGCAGAAGAATTGCTTGAACCCTGGAGGCGGAGGCTGCAGTGAGCTAAGATGGTGCCACTGCACTCCAGCTAGATAGACAGAGCGAGACTCTGTCTCAAAAAAAAAAAAAAAAAAATCGGCCAGGTGCAGTGGCTCACACCCATAATCCCAGCACTTTGAGAGGAGACGGGTGAATCACCTGAGGTCAGGAGTTCGAGACTAGCCTGGCCAACATGGTGAAACCCCGTCTCTACTAATAATACAAAAAAATTAGCTAGGCGTGGTGGCACACGCCTATAATCTCAGCTACTTGGGAGGATGAGGCAGGAGAATCGCTTGAACCCGGGAGGCAGAGGTTGCAGTGAGCCGAGATGGTGCCATTGCACTCCAGCCTGGGCAACAAGCGAAACTCCGTCTCAAAAAATAAATAAATAAATAAATAATAAAAAAATAAAAATAAATAAAAAATAAAGCAATGCCCATCCTAATATTTAGCATCCCACCACAAACATAAAAAATATGTATGATAAGTTACTTTAATAGAGTAAATCAGTAAACCACAGAGGTTTAAACCCTCTTATTACTAGCATTGTTTAAAAAAAAAAAAAAGAGAGACATGGGGTCACACTAGGTTCCCCAGGCTAAGAGTTTAAGAGGTCAAGAGATCCCTCCCTCCCTTCCTTCCATGTTTTTATTTTTCTTTCTTTCTTTTTGGTCAGTGGATATACTTCAAGGAAAAGGGGTACTTTCTCTAATGGGACAGTTACAATTTTTTTTCCTCCAGAGAGGCTCAGTTCAGTGTCATCAGAGTTAGGGGCCTCCTCCATGGCAATAGTTCCTTCATAGGGTTTAAGGATCTCTAGCCTATGTCAGGTTTAAACTAACCCCTTTGTTATGCCACTGGGGAATCATGGATATTGTCCCGTCTATGCCCCAGGGTCAGGATATTTGTTGTGATAAAGGTACCTGAAGCAGCAGCAGCAGCAGCAGAGGTCCTTAAGGTCCTGGTGAGCCCTTTGCCTTTTGGGGTGTGGACTCAGTGCGCCACCTGATGGCTGCCTTTCCTCCCTTTCTCTCTCCTCTTTAAATGACTACTGTTTCAGGAGCACCTCTTGTACAGGGTGTATATAGTCCACCCTCCCGCTGCACCCTGGCACCCTGCACACCGGGCCAACCCAGCATCAGGCACAGCTTCACTCTAAACACACAGATAGATCCAGCATCAATTGAAGGAGGGGTCCAATAGCATAGTCCTACTCTTAAATGCCAAAGAATTATTTTTAAAAAGGCAGACTCAGTCAGTTGAATATAGAACCCATACTTGGTAGGGCTCAACATGCAACACAGAGCAGCACACTCGAAGCACCAGCTTTCTAGCCAGCAGTAGCTCACTGGACATGTTGGCCATCAGGCAGGACAGTGGGTTAGCAAGTCAGAGCAAGAGAAGATCTACAAAAATAACTCGGGCGTGGTGATGCACACCTGTAATCCCAGCTACTCAGGAGGCTGAGGCAGGAGAATTGCTTGAACCTGGGAGGCAGAGGTTGCAGTGAGCTGAGATCACACCACTGCACTCCAGCCTGGGTGACAGAGCAAGACTCTGTCTCAAAAAATAATAATAACAATAATAATTAAAAAAATAAAGGCCAGGTGCGGTGGCTCATGCCTGTAATCCCAGCACTTTGGGAGGCCAAGGCAGACAGATCACGAGGTCAGGAAATTGAGACCATCTTGGCTAACATAGCGAAACCTCGTCTCTACTAAAAATACAAAAAATTAGCTGGACGTGGTGGCACATGCCTGTAGTCCCAGCTACTCAGGAAGCTGAGGCAGGAGAATCGCTTGAACCCGGGAGGCAGAGGTTGCAGTGAGCGGAGGTCGTACCACTGCACTCCAGCCTGGGCAACAGAGCGAGACTCCATCTCAAAAAATAATAATAAAGAGATGAAGGACCCACAAGTGGTGATCAGTGTCTGGACAACATGCTCACGGCACCAATCATTGTGGTCACCTTCAGAGACATAGTTCTGACAAAACTGATGATGGTCTGGCACTCACAGAGGGGGTATTAAAAGGCTTATTGCTCACATTGTTGAGATCTTGGGAAGAGCAGGACAGACCCATCAAGCATAACTGAAATGGCCTGAGAGAGCAAAGAAAGGAGCCTGGCCTGGTTGTTTACTGTGGTTGGGGTAGAGTTGGGCACAAGATCCCCTGTATGGGCATGTAGTTACATGGTTTAAATCTCTTGCCTATGACAGAGAAGGGAGCCCTTAGACTCATCAGCTTGTCCAGGTGTGGTCACAAGGGAAAAAGGGAACGCTGAGTCTTAGGTTGTTAGCAAACATTAAATACGGATTCCGGGCCAGGTGTGGTGATTCGCGCTTGTAATCCCAGCAACTTGGGAGGCCACGGTGGGAAGATCATTTGAGGTCAGGGGTTTGAGACCAGCCTGGCCAACATGGTGAAACGCTGTCTTTACTAAAAATACAAAAATTAGCTGGGTGTGGTGGCACACGGCTGTAATCCCAGCTACTGGGGAGGCTGAGGCAGGAGAGTCACTTGAACTGGGAGGTTGCAGTGAGCCGAGATTGTGCCACTACACTCCAGCCTGGGCGACAGAGTGAGACTCTGTCTCAATAAATAAATAAATAAAATAAAATGCATTATGGATTTGGGCCTAATTTAAATATAGCAGGAGTTTCAAAGATTATATAAACTTTAGTAGTTTTCCTCACATCAATTAAAACAAGAATTCAACTGTGTTTTCCTCTTACCAACGGAATCAGGAAGTCATTTGTCTTAGCAACTGTATACCCTTTTAAATTTCAAAGTTCTTTATGGACAATCACATACAAAAACTGATCTAAAAATGAAAAAAGTACCTGAGAACTTAAACATACTCATCTCGTATCTTGAGGTTCTCTGGCCTCAAGAAACAAACATTTTGTTTAGTTCCAGAATTTTCTTGCTTACTCCCACCATATCTAACAACCTTCATTTTCAAAGTGAAAGAAACTAAAATCTTACACACTGACACAGGCAATAAAATTATAAAATAAGGGAAACCAGAGTTGAAGGGCCACAATGCTCAACAGATAAAATAATCCAAAGGAAACATAAATATTCTAATTAGCTCAGATAAGCAGGCTGCTTCCCCACAATTCACAAGGAAAACCCACATTCAAGAGGTTAAACACCTTAACATGCTTGAGGTCCATGCTCTCCCTCTGACATGTAACTTCTAGAGTGGAATAGTCCCTGGTGATGAAGGGAAGAGACACTTGAGTAGCCACAGGAATGAACTCTGGGAGCTCCGTACACCCTAACTGGCCCCTGGCAGTGTGAAAATACTTCCTCTCCCAGGCTTCAATTCTTGGGCAGAAGAAACTCTCAGCTGGATTTACTTTAAGGTTCTGGCCCAAAAATAACCTCCGAAATTCATTAACCCTGTGTCCTGGAGACAGCACTCCTGAACTTCACATGCTTTCTCAGTATGTAAGAATTATACTCTGAATGTGGCAACATTGTGAATGCAAAACAAACCTCATGTCTAAAAAACACGCCCAAGAAAACCACAATTACAACCTCAGAAAGCAACCCCTCCACCCAAAACATGTGCATGTGGATCCCCAGCTTTCCAGTGCTCTGTGGCTTCTCTTGGTATAAAGGGCTTAATGGTATGAACAGGGAGGCTCCCCAAGAAGAACCAACAGGGCCTTTAATTACTGCTCTTGGCAGGCTCAAGGGTGGCCTTAGCTTGGGCAGTGATGTTACTTTGGACCACCACTGATATTGTATTTTTATTTTATTGTAAAGACAGGATTTTGCCATGTTGCCCAAGCTGATTTTGAACTCTTGGACTCAAGCAATCCTCCTGCCTCATGAGCCACCCAAAGTTCTGGGATTAGACATGAGCCAACACAGCCAGCCTAAACAGATACTTTAACTGAGACAAACCCAATGTTTGAAGAATTCTGCAAAATCTCTCAAATCAAGTATTGATGTGTAAAGTGTTAAGAAAATTGTAAGGCACCTTAGCAAACCAGCCCTAGTCCCTGAAATCCACAAATGTCTATTGTTTGCAGAAAATGAAATGTCAGTTATTGGGCCGGGTATGGTGGCTCATGCCTGTAATCCCAGCACTTTGGGAGGCTGAGGCAGGCGGATCATGAGGTCAAGAGATGGAGACCATCCCGGCAAACATGGTGAAACCCCGACTCTACTAAAAATACAAAAATTAGCCAGGAATAGTGGTGGCGCCTGTAGTCCCAGCTACTCAGGAGGCTGAGGCAGGAGAATCACTTGAACCCGGGAGGCAGAAGTTGCAGTGAGCCAAGATTGCACCACTGCACTCCAGCCTGGTGACAGAGCAAGATTCCGTCTCAAAAAAAAAAAAAAAAAAAAAAGAAATTTCAGTTATTATTTCTATGGCAATAAATGTTCTCATAATCATATTTGGATACTTCTAGGTGTTGTATGGCTATGCTCTGAAATTCCATTTGAAATCACCACACAAAAAAGAACAGACCTCAGAAACTTACTACACAACCTAAGGCGAAGAAAAAAAGAAAAAAATGTTCACCAATTTCAGTGTAATACTGAAGTGTTTTATTTTTTATGAAATTCACCTCTTTCTTGCCTCTTTAAAATTTTTTATACTTTTGATGACATAATCTTAATATTTGTAAAAACCTAAAGACTCTACAGGAAAACTGTAAGAATAAACGAGTTCAGTAAAGTTGCAGGATACAAAATCAACAAAAATCAGTAGCATTTCTATATGCCAACAGTGAACAATGTGAAAAATACATTTAAAAAGTAACCCCATTTATAATAGCCACACATAAAATTAAATACCTAGGAATTAACCAAAGAAGTGAGAGCTCTTTATAATGAAAACTATAAAACACTGATAAAGGAAATTGAAGAGGATACCAAAAAAATGGAAAAACATTCCATGTTTATGGATTGTAAGAATCAATATTGTTAAAATGTCCATTTACCCAAAGCAATCTGCAGATTCAATGCAATCCCCATCAAAATACCAAGGATATTCTTCACAGAAATACAAAAAACAATCCTAAAATTGATATGGAACCCCAAAAGACACAGAATAGCCAAAGCTATCCTAAGCAAAAAGAACAAAACTGGAAGAATCACATTACCAGACTTCAAATTATATTACAGAGCTATAGTAACCAAAACAGCATGGTACTGGCATAAAGACATACACATAGAGCAACAGAACAGAAGGGAGAACCCAGAAACAAATCCACACAACTAGAGTGAACTCATTTTCAACAAAGGTGTGAAGAATACACACTGGGGAAAAGACAGTTTCTTCAATAAATGGTACTGGGAACTGGATATCCATATGCAAAAGAATGAAACTAGATCTTTATCTCTTGCCAAATACAAAAACCAGATCAAAATGGATTAAAGACTTAAATTGAAGACCTCAAATCAGGAAACTGCTACAAGAAAACATTGTGGAAAATCTCCAGGACGCTGGTCCAGGCAAAAATTTCTTGAGCAATACCCAACAAGCACAGGCAAGCAAAGCAAAAATGGACAAATGGGATCACATCAAATTAAAAAGCTTCCGCACAGCAAAGGATACAATCAACAAAGTGGACACAACGCAAAGAATGGGAGAAAATATTTGCAAACTACCCATCTGTCAAGGGATTAATATAACCAGAATATATAAGGAGCTCAAACGCTACAGGAAAAAAAGTCTAATAATCCAATCAAAAAATGCACGAAAGATTTGAATAGACAGTTCTCAAAACAAGACATACGAATGGCGAACAGGCATATAAAAAGGTGTTTATATGAAAAAGTGATCATCAGAGAAATGCAAATCAAAACTACAATGAGGCCGGGCACGGTGGCGCACGCCTGTAATCCCAGCACTTTGGGAGGCCAAGACGGGCAGATCACGAGGTCAGCAGATTGAGACCATCCTGGCTAACACGGTGAAACCCCGTCTCTACTAAAAATACAAAAAAAAAAAAAAAAAAAAAAAAATACAATGAGATATCATCTCACTCCAGTTAAAATGGCTTAAGTCAAAAAGGCAGGCAATAACAAAAGCTGGAGAGGACGTGGAGAAAAGGAAACCTTTGTATACTGTTGATGGGAATGTAAATTAGTACAACCACTATGGAGAACGGTTTGGAGGTTCCTCAAAAAACTAAAAATTGAGCTACCATATGCCATGCAGCAATCCCACTGCTGGGAATATACCCAAAAGAAAGGAAATCAGTGTATCGAAGGGATGGCTGCACTCCAGTATCTGTAGCAGCACTGTTTCAATAGCTAAGATTTGGAAGCAATGTAAGTGTCCCTCAACAGATGAATGGATTTTTAAAATGTGGTACAACTTTGGGAGGCCGAGGCAGGTGATCACCTGAGATCAGGGGTTCGAGACCAGCCTGGCCAATATGGCGAAATCCCGTCTCTACTAAAAATACAAAAATTAGCCCCGTGTGGAGGCACATGCCTGTAATCCCAGTGACTCGAGAGGCTGAGGCACAAGAATCGCCTGAACCCTGTAGGCGGAGGTTGCAGTGAGCCAAAATCACACCAGTGCACAGAGTGAGACTCTGCCGGGAAAAAAAAAAAAAAAGTGGTACATATAAACAATGGAGTACTATTCAGTCATAAAAAAAAAAGAATGAAATCCAGTCATTTGTAACATGGATGGAATTGGAGATCATTATGTTAAGTGAAATCAGCCAAGCACAGAAAGATAAACATCACATCTTCTCACTTATTTGTGGGATCTATTATAAAAATCAAACAAGCCGGCCACGGTGGCTCACGCCTGTAATCCCAAAACTTTGGGAGGCCAAGGCAGGTGGATCACGAGGTCAGGAGATCGAGACCATCCTGGCTAACACGGTGAAACCCCGTCTCTACTAAAAGTACAAAAAAAAGTTAGCCGGGCATGGTGGCGGGTGCCTGTAGTCCCAGCTACTCAGGAGGCTGAGGCAGGAGAATGGCTTGAACGCGGGAGGCGGAGCTTGCAGTGAGCCGAGATCGCGCCACTGGACTCCAGCCTGGGTGACAGAGAGAGACTCCATCTCCAAAAAAAAAAAAAAAGAAAGAAAATCAAACAACTGAACTCATGGACTTAGAGAGTAGGGTGGTTATTAGAAGCTGGGAAAGGTAGTGGGAGCCTGAGAGAAAGGAGAGGACAATTAATGGGTGGAAAAAAAAACCACACAGAACTGTACATTTTAAAATAACTTATAGAGTGTAACTGGATTGTTTGCAACTCAGATGCTTGAGGGGATATCCCTTTCTTCACGATGTGCTTATTTCACGTTGCATGCCTGCATCAAAACATCTCGTGTACTCCATAAATATATACACCTACTATGTACCCACAAAAATTAGAAATAAAAAATTATAATACTTTTAGTAGCTATTGATTATATACCTTTCAGATACATGAAGAAAATGACACACAAGTGAGTGGTCAAATCTTTTCAAGAATACAAAGTCAAGGACGGGCAGTGCCGACCTGAAACTGCTAAAAAAGACAGGTCACCCAGGGAAGTTTCCAAAGAGGAGCCCCAACCCAAGAGTTCCTGCAGTGTGTCTGTGCTCAGGAGAGATACTGGAAGGAGAGTCATAAGGATTTATGTAACAATTCCAGGTGGGTATTCTTTGCCTTCCTCCCATGTAAAATATCCGCAAACAAAAAATAAATCCGTTAAAACGAGTCATCCCTGGTTCTTCGGAAAAATGAGAAACACGGCGTCCGTGTGAAATGCACCAGAGGCCAAACAATTGACAATGACGCTGTGAACTGGAGAGGGGGCGTTAGACTTTGGGAATGCGGGAAGGGATCCGCAAACTTAGGAATTTACTGCCAGCCCCAGGAAGAGATAGTCTGGAGACAGGATTATGGATTTGACACCCTGCTTTCCATACATTTGGAAACCTCAAGGGAAGATGGGTGACCTTTATGGAGAAAGGAGGGACTGAGGATCACACAGAACACTGCTCCTCCCACGCACGAACCCCACACACGAGTCGGAATCCTCCCCATGACCCTCCCGGGGCTCCCGTGCAATCTGGGGAGACACGAGGCTGCGGCGTGCAGCTGCCCAGAGAGGGCGCCGAGGCTGAGGCCGGGGCCGCAGGCGTCGCGCAGGAACGGGACAGGATGCCCGGGGTCCCGGATGCCAGCCCAGCCCCACTCTGCGGCCGAGGGCACTGAGGGCCCAGCTGCGCCAGAGGGACCCGGGTCCCAGACCCCAGAGTCGCCGAGGGGAGCCCCGGGTCCCGCCACAGCCGGTTCCGGCCGGTTCCAACCTGTCCCTCCTCAGGTCTCGGGACACCGGCCCCGCACACTCACCATTTTCCGGCTTCCAGGTGTCTGGCCGTCCTCCCTCATCTCCTGTATGCAGCATTGGTCACAACGCGCGTAGCGGGAGATATTACTACGGTCAGGTGATAGTCGAGGTGCCCAGCAACCGCGCTGCGTAACGACGTACGACGCCCACCTCTTTTATGCCGCATTGCCCCACCCACCTTCCACGTGGCGCCTCTGATTGGACAGTTCACGAAGCCCCGCCCTCTTCACATGGAGTGACAGAGCTGCGAAAGGTCATGTCGCCGGGGAAACCCTGCTTCAGTCCGGGGGGAAACCAGTCCCAGCGAGGGGCAGTTGAGTAGAAGCCGAACTTGTTCCCAGCCTCTCGATGGACTCTGGCATCCTGTCGCAGCTGTTTCTGAACGCGGGGACAAAAGTGTGCGCGGCGAATTCCAGCCTCAGTTGCCAGATGTAGTGACCCTTTAAGGAACAAATCCACAGCAAGAGGGTCACCCAGGCAAGTCCAGATTGGAACAAGAGGGTCTGACTCCTCCGGGGGCCAGGGACTTGGCCTGAGTCTAGAGGGCACTCGTGGAACTGTGAGCTCCGTTCACAAACACAGACACTTTAAAAGTGACTTCGCCGTGTGTAATGAGTCTAGCTCCATTCTGACATTGACGGCTAACGGCATTGAGACCTCCACCCATTCCTTCCCCAATCCCCACACATTTACTTTAAATAAAGAATCCCTTGGCCTCCAGAGCCTTTTACACACAATCTCTTTGAACCCCACATCCCTAGCATGGATGCAAGGACGCTTATCAGACTAACCACAGCTGTGAGATATGTTCAATTAAACTCTGAAGTGTACATTTCACACTACAGGAAAATTTATTTTAAATAGGTTACAGATTGTGTTCGCAGAGAACTTTGAAATGTAAACGACTATGATATACCTAAGGTAATTGAATCCCTATTTTCACTGATACAAAAATGAACAATAAAAAGTGATGTAAATTAAGGTATATCTGGAAACTCTTAGTATGCTTAACAGATTAATCAAAAATCTGAAGTCATATTTATTTGAAAAGCTATATCAGAATAAAACACACTACACAATGCATCCCTTTTAAGTGTACAATTCAGTAAAGTATATTCAAAGATGCAAACAGATAATCACCACAGTCAATTATAGAACATTTTCTTTTTTTTTTTTTTTTGAGATGGAGTCTCACTCTGTTGCCCAGGCTGGAGTGCAGAATGCAATGGCGCGATCTCGGGTCACTACAGCCTCCGATTCTGGTGTTCAAGCGATTCTTCTGCCTCAGCCTCCAGAGTAGCTGGGATTATAGGCGCGCGCCACTGTGCTTGGCTGATTTTTGTATTTCTAGTGGAGACGGGGTTTCACCATGTTGGCCAGGCTGGTCTTGAACTCCTGACCTCAAGTGATCCACCTGCCTCAGTCTCCCAAACTGCTGGGATTACAGGCATGAGCCACGGCACCTGGCCTAGAACATTTTCTTTTTTTCTTGTTTGAGACGGAATCTCGCTCTGTCGCCCAGGCTGGAGTGCAGTGGCGCCATCTCGGCTCACTGCAAGCTCCGCCTCCCGGGTTCACACCACTCTCCTGCCTCAGCTTCCCGAGTAGCTGGGACTACAGGGCCTGCCACCACGCCCAGCTAATTTTTTGTATTTTTTAGTAGAGACGGGTTTCACCGTGTTAGCCAGGATGGTCTCGATCTCCTGACCTCGTGATCCGCCCGCCTCAGCCTCCCAAAGTGCTAGGATTACAGGCATGAGCCACCGCGCCAGGCCTAGAACATTTTCATTACCTCAAAAAAGAAACTCCTGGCAGGGCACGGTGGCTCATGCCTGTAATCCCAGCATTTTGGAAGGCCAAGGCAGGAGGATAGCTTGAGCCCAAAAGTTCATGACCAGCCCTGACAAAAGAGCAAAACCCCATCTCTAAAAGAAAAAGAAAAATTAATTGGGCATGGTGGTGCACACCTGTGTTCTCAGCTACTCAGGAGGCTGAGATGGGAGGATTTCTTGAATCCAGAAGTTTGAGAGTGCAGTGAGCCTTGACAGCCTGGGCTACAGAGCAAAACCCCATCTCTTAAAAAAGAAAAATTTAAAAAACAAACAAAAAAGCAAAGCGGCTGCTCTATTTTCCATTCTCACCAGCAGTGTATGAGGGTTCCAAGTTCTCCATATCCTTGACATGTGTTATTATCTCACTTTTTCATTCTACCCATCCTAGTGGGTTTGAAGTGGTATTTCCTTGCCTTTTTGTTTAGCATTTACTTAATGATGTCCAGCATCTTTTCAGGTCCCCTTGCTCAGTTGTTTATCTTCCTTAGAAAAATGTATATTCAGCTGGGTGCTGTGGCTCACACCTGTAATCCCAGCACTTTGGAAGGCCGAGGTGGGCCGATCACTTCAGCCTAGGAGTTTGAGACCAGCGTGGCCAACATGGCAAAACCCGTCTCGACTCAAAATACAAAAATTAGCCAGGTGTCGTGGCACATACCTGTAATCCAAGCTACTCCAGAGCAAGACCATGTCCCCTCCGCCTCCAGAAAAAAAGCTGTAAAACAGGCTCTGGCAGATCATTCAGGAAGTATTCTGAAAGGTTTTTGTCTTTTTGTTTTCTGGGTTTTTTTTGAGACGAAGTCTGGCACTGTCGCTGGAGGCTGCGGCAGGAGAATCACTTATACCAGAGAAGTGGAGGTTGCAGTGAGCCAAGATCGCATCACTGAACTCCAGCCTGGGCAACAGAGCAAGACTCTGTCTCACAAAAGAAAAAAAAAAAAGAATTACTAGGGCCGGGCGCGGTTGCTCATGCCTGTAATCCCAGCACTTTGGGAGGCCGAGGCCAGTGGATCACGAGGTCAGGAGATCGAGACCATCCTGGCTAACACGGTGAAACCCCGTCTACTAAAAATACAAAAAATTAGCCGGGCGTAGTGGTGGGTGCCTGTAGTCCCTGCTACTCGGGAGGCTGAGGCAGGAGAATGGCGTGAACCCGGGAGGCGGAGCTTGCAGTGAGCTGAGATTGCGCCACTGCACTCCAGCCTGGGTGACAGAGCAAGACTCCGTCTCAAAAATAAAAAGAATTACCAAGGGTAGAATTAAGTTCACCTCTTCACTATATCAAATACAGAGAAATTTTTTGCTTCCTTAAATAGGAATCAAGCAACCAAAAAGCAGCATAAGTTCTGCAATAAATTCTTTTAAATACCCTCTTATTGATACACCTTACAGTCATTACTGGTTTGTGGTGGTATTTATTATTTTTTTATTTTTTGAGAGAGTCTCACTCTGTTGCCCAGGCTGGAGTGCAGTGGCGTGCTTGGCTCACTGCAACCTCCACTCCCAAGTAGCTGGGATTACAGATGTGCACCACCACACCAGGCTAATTTTTGTATTTTTAGTAGAGACAGGGTGTTGCTATGTTGTCCAGGCTGGTCTCCAATTCCTGGCCTCAAGTGATCTGCCCGCATTGGCCTCCCAAAATGCTGGGATTACAGGGTGAGCCACCGCGCCCGGCCTGTGGTAGTATTTATTACCACAATTTATTACACCCTGCTTGACAACAGGGACGTCCCTGATAGTCCTTGGAAAGAAATCACTCACAACATGATTTGACTTTTGGTATTATGCATATGAAAAACTACTATCATCATAAAAGTTGTAATCAAATAAGCATGAAAACTAAAATTTATGAGGAAAAAAAGGCCTGAAGTTGTAAGCTCACAGTAATATTGACTCACAATGTTGGACAAATAGCTTAATTATAAAGTTTATCGGATCCATGATTGGAATGGGATATTTTAATATATATTCTCAATAAATACAAAACTCACCAGACAGTATGCAAGTTGCTTGCATACTGTTAATATTTCTAAGAAATGTGTAGAGAACTTTTGTTTGAGGAGGACATGTATATTGTTTGTAATCATATGTACTCAAACATAATTCAAAATAAACTGAGGGACTGCATTCAGCTATGAGTAACAGGAAACACCCACAATGTTTCTATAATGAATAAGGTGCTTATTCTCACATGAAAGAACGGGGTGAGACCCATCTCTGCATAATGCAGCAGAGGAACAAGCTCCATGTAGGGTTTTTCGTTTTGTTTTTGGATAGTGCCATTGTAGCTCTCAACCTGCATCAGTAACACTCACTGTCCCTATGGACAAAAATGTTTATGTACAAACTGGACCGTACAGGAACCAAGTCAGATCATCAGACTATTCCCAACAATGACAATATGAACTGATTACTTGGCAGATATATTAGGGCCTTCAGGAATATCCAAATGGCAGCTGAATCTTTGATATGAAGCTTTTAAAAACATCTATGGAAATCCATAACTTTGAGAACATGGAGGTGAAGTAGCTAGTGGTGGATTAGAGGATACTCTTTTTTTTTTTTTTTTTTTTTTTTTTGAGACAGGGTCTTACTCTGTACTCTGTCACCCAGGCTGGAGTGCAGTGGCATGATCTTGGCTCACTGCAACCTTCACCTCCCTGGCTCAAGCGATTCTCCTGCCTCAGCTGGGACTATAAGCACGCGACACCACACCCAGCTAATTTTTGTATTTTTAGTAGAGATGGGGTTTCACCATGTTGACCACGCTGGTCTCGAACTCCTCACCTCAGGTGATCCGACCGCCTTGGCCTCCCAAAGTGCTAGAATTACAGGTGTGAGCCAGCACACCCGGCTGAGGATACTCTTGATTGGCAGGGCAAAGAATCAGGAAAATGGGCTAGATGACCATGTCCAAACAGCCCATATGCATCTGTCTCTCCGTATGATGCCTCCAAAATCTGACTAATGCGTTCTTCACTTCTGCATTCTAAACTTCCAGGAATTTAGGCTATTGATGCAGTCTACAGGTAACCATGAAAGAAAGAAATTCTGGGCCAGGCACAGTGGCTTATGCCTGTAATCCTAGTGCTTTAAGAGGCTGAGGCTAGAGGGTGACTTGAGGCCAGGAGTTTGAGACCAGTCTGGGCAACATAGCAAGACACCATCTCTACAAAAAAAAAAAAAGATGAAAAACCAAAAATAAAAAGATTAGCTGGGCTTGGTGGCACATACCTATAGTTCCAGCCATTTGGGAGGCTGAGGTCGGAAGGCCACCTGAGCTCCAGAGTTTGAGGTTACAGTGAGCCACAGTCGTGCCACTGCACTCCAGCCTGAGTGACAGAGTGAGACCCTATTTCAGAAAGAAAGAAAGAAATGAAGTCTGAAAAGTTTAGTTCCCATTACCCAGATTGACATGACACAATCCATGAAAGGCATCTCCCATTTTAGATTTTATTATTCTATCATAGCTGTCTCCTTATCCCAAAATCAATTATACAAAGAGCAGCCAGAATAAATAACAAGGAGTAAAGAACAACAGGTTAAAATAATAATTCACGAGACTACAGTCTGTGATAAACTTTACATACTTAGAATTAACAACAACTCTTTAATAGGAAGCAAAATAAAATTATTTGAGCCAAGAAAAAAAAAATGGGCTAGGTGTGATGGCTCACACGTGTAATCCCAGACTTTAGGAGGCTGAGGTGGGTGGATCACTTGAGGTCAGGAGTTCTACCAGCCTGGCCAACATGGTGAAACCCCATCTCTACTAGAAATACAAAAAATTAGCCAGGTGTGGTGGCACATGCCTGTAGTCCCAGCTTCCTAGGAGGCTAAGGTGGGAGAATCACTTGAACCCAGAAGGCAGAGGTTGCAATGAGCCGAGATCATGCCACTGTACTCCAGCTTGGGCAACAGAGCACAGAGCGAGACCCTGTCTCAAAAAGAAAAAAGAAGAAAGAAAAAAGAAAAAAGGAAAAAAAAGGAGCTGTTCCAATAAATATGATGGAATGTATATAATGTGGAAAGGGAATCAAGAACCTGCTAAATGAAGCAAGTAGGTTCATACCAACATTTATTAAGACTTATTTTTCAGTGGTCCTCAATCACAGAACAATTAAGCAACCATATACAATTTAACATACCTGAATATGAGAAACACATTTAAATTCATTGTTGGATTAAACACATTTCAAAATGGAAAGACAAATATTTTATTTACTGACCTAAAACAACACTACCTATGAAATTCATGCACTATTGCTTTCAGATTACTTACAGGATTATATCAATTTAACATTTCTTTGTGAGATTAAGCATTTGAAATCCATAGTCAGAGAACTATTTTAAATATGAGCCACTAATTAACAAAATATACATATAGCTTCTACATTTCCATCAGGTTATGTATTTTCTAGAGACTACATGACCCGCTATGCATGAGGCTTTTTGAAGTACTTACATTTATAGGATTTTGCTGTATTAGAAGTTTTCAAATGACTTTTTTTTTTTTTCTGAGATGAGGTCTTGCTATGTTTTGCACACTGGTCTCAAACTCCTGACCTCAAGTGATCCTCCTGCCTCAGCCTCCCAAAGTGCTGGGATTACAGGTGTGAGCCACCACACCCAGCCAGAGCCAAAACATCTGTTCAAATTCAATACCTCAACTAGTGAGGCCCTGCTGGGATTGAAATCCAGCATCTCCTGTTTGCCAGACAAGTACTTTAACCCACAAAGCCACAGAGCCAGAGCCCTCAAATGACTTTAAAAGTATAATGGAAAACCTTCCTTGTAGTTTTCACATTTATAGTGTTTTGATCCAGGGTACATTCTTACATGTTGTTGAAAGCATGTGGGCTGGCTAAAAACGTGTGGACATTGCTTATATTCAAGAGCTTTCTCTTTTGTGTGTTCTTTCATGGCTTCAAGTGGAACTAAAATGACTAAAGGCTCTCCCACACTCTTTACATTTACCAAGGTTCTCTCCACTACACATTCATGTGTGACAGGGTTGTGTGATGACAAAACCTTTCCTACACCCTTTACCCAGGGTTTCTCTCAAATATGGGTTCCTTTCCAAAAAGCATTTGTTTGGTTTTCTCCATGATGAGTTCTTTCATGTATTTGAAAGGAACTAAAATGATTGAAAGCTTTCCCATGTTACTTACATGTATATGGCTTCTCTCTAGAATTCTTTCATGTATTAAAAAAGGCACTGACAGAATTTCATGCTTTCCCACGTTACTTACATTCATAGGGCTTCTCTTCAGTGAGTATTTTAATGTATCTGACATGAACCCAGAGCATTAAAGGCTTTCCCACATGCATTTATAAGGTGGTCCATCTTCAGCATGTGTTAACATGTGTCTCTGAAAGCTGGCACGGCAAGAATAGGCTTTCCCACATTCCTTGCAATGATAGGGTTTCTGTCCAGTGTGAGTCCTTTCATGTAGTCGAAAGGAACTAGAAGATCTAAAGGCTTTACCACATCGCTTACATTCAAAGGGTTTCTCACCAGTGTGAATCATTTCATGTGTTCGAAAGGAGTTGAGATAACTGAAGGCTTTCCCACATTGCTTACACTCATAGGGTTTCTCTCCAGTATGAGTTCTTTCATGTATTCGAATTGATGTTGAAGAAACGAAAGCTTTACCACAATGTTTACATACATAAGGTTTCTCTCCAGTGTGAGTTCTTTCATGTATTCGAAATGGACTCAGAGAATGAAAGGGTTTCCCACATACCTTACATTTATAAGGTCCTTCTCCAGTATGTTTTATCATGTGTCTTCGCATACTTGGGATACAACTGAATGCTTCCCCACATTCCTTACATTCATAAGGTTTTTCTCCAGTGTGAGTCCTTTCATGTATTTGAAAGGTACTGGCAGATCTAAAGGCTTTACCACATTGTTTACATACGAAGGGTTTCTCACCAGTGTGAATTCTTTCATGTAGTCGAAGGGAGGGGAGATAACTGAAGGCCTTCCCACACTGCTTGCATTCATAAGGTTTCTCTCCAGTATGGGTTCTTTCATGTATTCGTAAGGTTGGGGAACAACTGAAGGCTTTACCACATTGCTTACATTTAAAGGGTTTTTCTCCAGTGTGAATTCTTTCATGCACTTGAAATGAACTCAGAGAATGAAAGGGTTTCCCACATACCTTACATTTATAAGGTCCATCTCCAGTGTGCTTTATCATGTGTCTTCGAACACTTGTGATACAAGTGAAGGCTTTTCCACATTCCTGACATTCATAGGGTTTCTCTCCAGTGTGACTTCTTTCATGTGTTCGAAATCTACTGGGATAATCAAAAGCTTTCCCACACACCTTACATTTATATGGTGTATATCCACTGTGTGTGATGATGTGTCTTCTAATTCTTTTGAGAGAAAAGAAGGTTTTTCCACATTCCTTACAATCATAGAGTTTCTCTCCAGTGTGAATTATCTCATGTGTTCGAAAGGAGTGGTGAGAACTGAAGGGTTTCCAACACTGGTTACGTGTATCTGGCTTCTCTCCATATTCCTGATATTCCTTTGGTTCATGTCCACTGTGATCTTTGATGTGTCTATTAAGGGATGACTGACCCATGCTGACTTCTCCATATACAATGCTTTCACAGAGTTTCACTCCAGGGATTTTCTTGCTCAGATTCTGATTTGCAAACTGGCTAAAAATTCCTCCACGCTGACTACCATCCTTAGTTTGATAGAGTCTTTCTAACATATGACTTCTGTAAAAAATGAGACGGACATTACTAAGGATTTGTTAATCATTTTATATTAATAGCTATTAAACTTGCATTTTCAATATTATCAGGTAAAGCGTAGACTCGATGCCAAGTCTGATTTGTTTGAGCATGAATGAATTCAATGCTCTGCAATGGGCTTGACCGCAACTATCACTCAAACAGTGATATTCTTAAATAGTTTCTTAATTCTGTTGACAAATGAACATTTTTATAAAAACTGAACATCTGTTTACACTGAAGAATATGTATTTGGGGAAAATATTCAAAAAATAAATCAATTTGAAGCTTGGCTTATCAGTTATGTTTGCCTGTTTTTAAAATTTCATGACATGCTAAGGTACTTTCAAGTGAATTTGCTTTCTCTGAGTACAAATTACCTTAGATTTCTCCCTCGGTGTTTGTAGTGATCTTTAATGTTCTGGTCCTTCCATTTTTTCCCTAAAACAGAGACCCAGAAAAATTCTGAATTAGTGCAAAATTATAGAAAAATTATTAGATTCTAGGTTCATGATACCCTGTGACTATGCCTGTTTTAGCCCCCCAAGTACTCTCCCTCCATGATGCAAACCATGGAACAGCATCACTGCACAAGAAGCACTTCTTCTTTAATTGCTAAGTGATGGAAGTATACAATCCTTACCTATAGAGGCCAGATTCCTCATGGTTTCCCACATCACATCTCTGTAGAGATTCTTCTGGGAAGGATCTAGCAAAGCCCACTCCTCCTGGGTGAAGTTCACATCTACATCCTCAAAAGCCACCGAGTCCTGAAACATCCCACATATGTGGAGAGGAGAATGGGTGAGACAGACAGGGCTGGGGAGCTGTACTCAATTCATAAGAAGTTCACATGTTTCAGGGGTCTGCAAACATTTACTCCACTGTTTGGTCATCATACTCACTTCCTTCCACACAGCAACTCTCATACTAGAATGGAACTATCGGGTAGAACAATAGCAGTGTCTGATCATCTTTCTTGGTGGTGGTTGCAAGGAGTAATACGTGCTGCCTGAGTCCCAGCTAATGTCTGCTCATACAGTGGACCTGTAGAACCTGTCATAACGAAGTCCTACCACCTACTATGCAAAAGAGTTTATATTAGCAGTCCTGAGACTGCTTACCCTTAAAAAAAGGCTCCTCACTCCTCACAACATTCATCTGAGGTAGGAGACCAACAGGACTTGTATTCTGATCACAACCCTACTGGCCAAAACAAGATCTGGCACAGGTAGGATAAAGTAAAGAAAGGGGCCAAAACCAGCAGACGACAAGAACAGCGATCTCTAGATGCTCTCACTGCTCATTAGCATAAAACACTCCCACCAATGCTATGACAGCTTACAAATGCCATGGCAATGACCTGAAAGTTATCATTCCTTCCTTAGAAAGTTTTAAATAACCCACCACTTAATTTGCATATAATTGAAAGTGGGTATAAATATAGTTGCCAAGAGACCATATGTTGCTGACTCTGGGTGTACTGCCTATGAGTTAGCACTGATCCACAAAGACCAGTACTGTTAAATAAAACACTGTTATCTAACACCACTGGCCTGCCCTTGAATTCTTCCCTGGGCAAAGCTGGAAACCATCCTGGGATAAGCCCCAATTTTAGGGCGCACCTGTCCTGCATCACATCCATTCCTGGTATCTGGGAAACGGATTTGGGGAAGGAGCCCAATGACCTATGTAAGAGTAGCTCGGTGCCTAAACTCTTTATGGAAAAAATATGAAAATTTCTGGCGTCCCACCTTCTGAGAGTTTGGGAATTTGTTACACGCGCAACACATAGTGCCCACCTGATGAGCCCCCAGAAACACTCCAGGAAGCATTTCGCATGTGTTCTCACAATTGGTTACTGGGAAAATTAAGCCCATCTTCTGTTATTATACTAAGAGAGAATACTTGCAAGCTTGTACCTATCCTGCAGATCAAATATAATTAAGTACTAAATGAGACTAATGAAGGATTTTTTACCTTTTTTTTTTTTTTTTTAGACGGAGTCTGGCTCTCTGTTGCCCAGGCTGGAGCGGCGTGATCTCGGCTCACTGCAAGCTCCGCTTCCCGGGTTCATGCCATTCTCCTGCCTCAGCCTCCTGAGTAGCTGGGACTACAGGCACCTGCCACCACGCCTGACTAATTTTTTGTATTTTTTAGTACAGACAGGGTTTCACCATGTTAGCCAGGATGGTCTCAATCTCCTGACCTCGTGATCTGCCCACCTCGGCCTCCCAAAGTGCTGGGATTACAGGCGTGAGCCACCACACCCAGCCCTCTTTTTTTTTTTGGATGGAGTCTTGCTCTGTCGCCCAGGCTGGAGTGCAGTGGCAGGGTCTTGGGTCACTGCAACCTCTGCCTCCCAGGCTCAAGGGATTATCCCGCCTCAACCTCCCGAGGAGGTGGGAGTACAGGCACGTGCCACCACACCCAGCTAATTTTTGTATGTTTAATAGAGATGGGGTTTCACCATGTTGGCCAGGCTGGACCCAAACTCCTGACCGCAAGTATCTGCCAGCCTTGGCCTCCCGAAGTGCTGGGATTACAGGCGTGAGCCACCACACCCAGCTTGATGAATCTTCACTAAATTGGTGAAAATAAATTGGTGAATTCACCAATTTATCTACCTACTTTCTCATCAAAATGTATCAGTGGCCGGGTGAACTGGCTCACACCTGTAATTCCATCACATTGGGAGGTTGAGGCAGAAGGATTGTTTGAGCCCAGGAATTCAACATCAGTTTAGGCAACACAGTGAGAACCTCCATCTCTACAGAAAAATTTAAAAATTAGCCAGCAGTGGTGGTGCACGCCTGTAGTCCCAGCTACTCAGGAGGCTGAGGTGAGAGGACTGCTTGAGACCAGGAGTATGAGAATGCAGCAAGCTATGATGGGTGCCAATGCACTCCAACCTGGGCAAAAGAGGAAGACCCTGTCTCAAGATAAACATAGATAGATAGATAGATAGATAGATAGATAGATAGATAGATAGATAGATAGATAGATTCAGTTATGTGAAGCCATAATGAAGAGTGATTCTCCCTATTTCTCTGAGCTTTTTCTCCCTGTAGCCTTCTCAAGGCTACACTCTAGGATTCTATTTGAAATCACAAAAAAGGAGCTGGGAGTGGTGGCTCACGCCTAAAATCCCAGCACTTCGGGAGGCCAAGGTAGGAGGATCACTTGAGCTCAGGAGATTGAGACCAGCCTGGGCAACATGGTGAAACCCTATCTCTACAAAAAATTAGCCAGTCGTGTAGCCTGCACCTATGGTTCTAGCTGCTCAGGAGGCTGAGGTGGGAGGATTGCTTGAACCGGGGAGGTGGAGGTTGCAGTGAGACGTGATTGTGCCACTGAACTCCAGCCTGGAGCCAGACTGTGTCTCAAACAAACAAACCAAAAAAAAACAAAACAACAACAACAACAACAAAATCACAAAAAAGAACAGACCTGAGAAACTTACTGCATATATGTTCTGGGGGGAAAAATTAAATACAAATTTTTAACAAATATAAGGGTAGATATTTATTTTTCTGAGATACACCTCTCATCTCTTTGGAAATATTTTAGCCTATCTTTCAAGCTTTAATGGTAAAATACATTTTACATGATGAAGTAAGTAAACAAATCTTCTTAAGGTGACAAAATCAGGGAAGGCCACTCTAACCTGGAACACAGAGAAATCTGACTTAACTGCCCAGTCAGGTCATCCTATCACATGGGACATCCCCCCAACCCCCATCCTGTCACTAAAGTGCTGCTCACCGACCCTTCCCAGAGACAGTGGACTGTGCCCCCACCCCCATGCCTAAGTGCATTTTGCTTTTCAAGTTCTTGCATAACCTGGCAGAGGTGGGTTTTCCTTGTCTTTTGGGATCATTTTTCTCCCTTCAAGTACTCTGAGAGAATCCAGAGGGCAAGAATCATTTTCTGTCTTTCCCCTCAATACTGCCATCCAATTAGCTGACCACTAACATGTCTCCAAAGAATGAAAACTGGGGCTAGAGAAAAACAAGCTGAGTGTCCCAAGAGGTGAGCTTTTCAGAGGAAGAGTAAACCATGTCACTGCTTCTAGGTCCAAGGCATCCAGGGGCTCCCCTGAGGGGCCACATGAGCTGATACTCACTAGACCCTCCAAGAGACATGGAAGCTATGGGCTTCTTGGGGCAGCCCCAGTCAGTTCTGAACCCCAGGACCAGGAAAAGAGAGGACAGGCTGAGGGCAATCAACCCTGCAAAGTTTCCAAAGGGGAACCTCAATGCAAAGGCATTCTGATAAGGGTTTGCACTTAGAGAAGATAAAAGAGAGACACAAAGCTTTTTCACAATGGAGTTTCAGGTGGTTATTCTCTGCTTACCTCTCAGGCGAAAAGGTCACAAACATAAAAGAAATCTTTATAAAACTGTCATCCACTGCCTTCTGCAAAAATGATAAACTTAAAATATGACATCTTTCTCTAATGGAGAAGGAAGGACAAATAGTCAGCTGGGCATGGTGACTCACACCTGTAATTCCAGCACTTTGGGAGGCCAAGGTGGGTAGATCACTTGAGGTCAGGAGTTCGAGACCAGCCTGGCCAACACGGTGAGACCCCATCTCTACTAAAAAACACAAAAAAATGGCCGGGCGCGGTGGCTCACACCTGTAATCCCAGTACTTTGGGAGGCAGAGACAGGCGGATTGCGAGGTCAGGAGATCGAAACCATCCTGGCTAATATGGTGAAACCCTGTCTCTACTAAAAATACAAAGAAATTAGCCGGGCGTAGTGGTGGGTGCCTGTAGTCCCAGCTACTCGGGAGGCTGAAGCAGGAGAATGGTGTGAACCCGGGAGGCGGAGCTTGCAGTGAGCCAAGATCACACCACTGCCCTCCAGCCTGGGCGACTCAGTGAGGCTCTGTCCCCCCCCAAAAAAAATTAGCTGGGCGTGGTGGCAGGTGCCTGTAATCCCACCTACTCAGGAGGCTGAGGCAGGAAAATCGCTTGAATCCAGGAGGCGGACATTGCAGTGAGTGGAGATTGCGCCACTGCATTCCAGCCTCGGCGACAGAATGAGACTCCACCAAAAAAAAAAAAACAAAAACAAATGCAAAAACAAAACAAAACAAAAAAACCAAATAGTTGATAACACTGTGCATCCGAGAACAGAAGCTGGTGTTGGGGACTGCAGAAATTATACCTACAATTTAGCAGTTTGCTGCCAGATCAAGGAGAGTTAGGCCGGGGGTGGATTTGATACCCTGCTTCCCACACATTTGAGCAACTCAGATGAAACAGAATCGGATGCTGATGGCGAGGAGGCCTGGGCCCCTCCAGCCATGTCGGACCCCAGGCCCCTGCACACTTGCCATTTCCCACACTCGCCATTTCCCATCTTCGGGGTCTCCTGGGTCCTCCCTCCGGCTACCACGGCCAGCACAGAGCACAGAGCCAGGGCAGTGGAGCCAGGAGCCAGAAGAAAGGTAATGCAGCCAGCTCAAGAAAAGAAAATTCACCACAAGATCGTACAGGGTGGGGTGAGGTTGGGGGCAGACAGGGCTCTGAGGCGCGCCTGATTGGACAATAAGTAGGATGCCATCCTGGCACCCCTAACTGGATATAACTTCAGGCTCCGCCCCTGTGGCTTAAGGGGCAGAACACTTAAGATGTTTCAACAGGGATCCAACGTGGTTCTAGCACACACCGTATGCAGTGGTGTGCCTTCCTCCAGGTTCCAGATACCCATGTCCAAAGTCAGCATCACATATTACATGCATTAAAATTTTTAACCAATGCAAAAATGACAATAAGCCATACCTATATCTTTACGGGGAATCATTATTGTTAACCTCAAAAAGGCAGGACTGTCTATATTGCTATGCACTATCTACATCCACACTTAAGCAGTTCCTGAAATGGTGCTGAAGATGTATAAGAGGTGGAAATATAAATGACCGATGGTGACATTTCTTCACTCACTGATGTTGCCACCCTCCACAGAGAACATATACACACACCCTCAGCTTCCGTATTATCTCACACCATCATTTACTTTCCTTCAAAGTGCTTATTTCCTTCTTATAAACCAGTCTTACCATTTTTTCAACCCCTCTCCTTTCTCACAAAAATATAAGCACCAGGATTTCAAGAATTTATTCACTTTGTGTTCCCATATCAGAGCCTTCAGTGCCTGCATCATTTGTGCTTAATTCTGGATGTTCTGAGTCTACAGTTCTGGCATATGAGGCATATTGAAAAATTAGCATCAAGAGCATATTATCTGAGCAAGAGAGGCTTGATTAGAATAGTGATCATGTCTCTGTCCCTTGCTAGGTTTATATTCTGACAACTTTCCTAGAGGCATTAGCCTAATTTGACTAATAAGGGAGACTTTTAAAAATTATCAGTAGTTGGCCGGGGGCGGTGGCTCACGCCTGTAATCCCAGCACTTTGGGAGACCGAGGCAGGCAGATCACGAGGTCAGGAGATCAAGACCATCCTGGCTAACATGGTGAAACCCCGTCTCTACTAAAATTACAAAAAAATTAGCCGGGTGTGGTGGCGGGCACCTGTAGTCCCAGCTACTCGGGAGGCTGAGGCAGGAGAATGGTGTGAACCCGGGAGGTGGAGCTTGCAGTGAGCCGAGACTGCGCCACTGCACTCCAGCCCGGGCAACAGAGCCAGACTCTGTCTCAAAAAAAAAAAATTATCAATAGTTAGAATTTATATATTTCAACTGAGGTATCTTATGGGAAGCCATGTCTAATTCATCATAAGAAATATTTCAGTGTTTAGGTAATAAACTTAGCGCCACTCCATCTTTTTTACTTCTGGGTAAGAACTATCATAATAACCAAGGCCAGAAATAACCTTGCTTCTTCATAGTATACAATCCAGAGAAGCTTCTTGCTTTGAATAGCAATCAATACACCTGAAGCAAGCACACGTCCTAGAAGAAATTCTTTTGGGCTGGGTGTGGTGGCTCACGCCTGTAATCCCAGCACTTTGGGAGGCCGAGGCTGGCAGACCACCTGAGGTCAGGAGATCGAGACCACCCTGGCCAACATGGAGGAACCCCGTCTCTATAAAAAATACAAAAATTAACCAGGCATGGTGACCTGTGCCTGTAATCCCAGCTACTCAGGAGGGTGAGGCAGGAGAATAGCTTGAACCTGGAAGGCAGAGGTTGCAGTAAGCCCAGACTGTGCCACTTGCACTCCAGCCTGGCCGACAGAGTGAGACTCCATCTCAAAAAAAAAAGAAAAAAAAAAAAAGAAATTCTTTTGAGCGCTCTCCTATTGATACACCACACAGTCACGTATGGTTTACTATCATATTTATGATGACTTTTTTTTATACCTTCTTTGACAGGAGCTATGGTCCTGATAATCTTTGGAAAAAGGTTAAAAGCTTGATTTAACTTTTGGTATCATAAGTGAATGAGAAATAATTCTTGTGATAAAAACTGTGACTACATGAGCATGAAAATGAAAATTTATGTGAAAAAAACACACCTAAAATTGTATGCACAGAATATTGATTCACAATTTTTCTTTTTTTTTTTTCTTTCTTTCTTTTTTTTCTTTTGTGAGACAGAGTCTCATTCTGCTGCCCAGGCTGGAGTGCAGTGGCATGATCTCGGCTCACTGCAAGCTCCGCCTCCCAGGTTCATGCCATTCTCCTGCCTCAGCCTCCCGAGTAGCAGGGACTATGGGTGCCCGCCACCACGCCCGGCTAATTTTTGCATTTTTAGTAGAGACAGGGTTACACCGTGTTAGCCAGGATGGTCTCGATCTCCTGACCTCATGATCCACCCACCTCAGCCTCCCAAAGTACTGGGATTACAGGCGTGAGCCACCCCTCCCCGCCTGATTCACAATATTTAACAAATAACGCCACAAAATTATAAAGTTTATTATAAAGTTGATCTGATCCATGATTGCAATGGAATTTTTTATATAACTTAGCAGCAAATGAAAAAGACATTAACATTTGTTAGCATACATGCTGTTCGAAACCAGTTAGTAAACTATTTCTAAGAAACATGTCCAAAAATGTTGCTTGAGGAAATAATACATACTATGTTTGATCACATACAATCAAACCTAACTCAGGGATTCAGCTGTGAATAATAGGAAAGACCCACAATCTTCCTGATATGAGGAAGGTGCTTAATCTCACAAAAGAGTTCTGGGTGAAACCAGACACTGCAGAAAGAGTACATAAACAAGTTCCCATGTAGCTGTTTTTGACAGCACCATTGTGGATGTGGATGTCAAACTAAAAAGCTTTTTAGCACAGCAAAGGAAACAATTAACAGAGTGGAAAGGCAGGCAACACACGGAGTGGGAGAAAATACTTGCAAACCATATATCTGATAAGGTGTTAAAATCCAAAATATATAAAGAATTCAAACAGCTCAATAGCAAGAAAACAATCCAATTTAAAACTTTTATTATTTATTTATTTTTGAGATTGAGTCTCACTCTGACACCCACATTGGAGTGCAGTGGCACAATCTTGGCTCACTGCAACCTCTGCCTCCCAGGCTCAAGCCATCCTCCCACCTCAGCTGGGAGTAGCTGGGACCACAGGTACATGCCACAATGCTCAGCTAATTTTTTGTATATTTGGTAGAGATGAGGTTTTGCCATGTTGCCTAGGCTGGTCTCAGACTCCCGAGATCTGGCAATCCACCTGCCTCAGACTCCCAAAGTGCTGAGATTATAGGCATGAGCCACTGGGCCTGGCCTCCAATTTTTCAAATGGGCAAAGGATCTAAACAGACATTTCTGAAAAGAGCAAATATAAATGACAAAGACATTCATGAAAAAATGTTTAACATCTCAAATCATTAGGGAAATGCAAACTAAAACCTCAATGAGACATCACACCTGCGAGAATGACTGTTACCAAAAAGATTTTTCAAAAGTCTGGGTGCGGTGGTTCATGCCTGTAATCCCAGCATTTTGGGAGGCCAAGACAGGTGGATCACGAGGTCAGGAGTTCACGAGCAGCCTAGCCAACATAGTGAAACCCCATCTCCACTAAAAACACAAAAATTAGCTGGGCATGGTGGCATGTGCCTGTAATCCCAGCTACTCAGGAGGCTGAGGCAGGAGAATTGCTTGAACTGGGACCCGGGAGGTAGAGGTTGTAGTGAGCCGAGATCGCGCCACTGCACTTCAGCCTGGGCTACAGAGCGAGACTCCGTCTCAAAACAAAAACAAACAAACAAAAACTTCTATACTTAAGTGGGACGTAGCCCAGAAAAGCAACACTGTTTTCACATTTGAAAATCACAATATTAATAGAATCAGTATCAAAAACATTTGACAAGGGTCAATATCCTTTCAATACCTCTTCCACCATGAAGACATTCAGTAAACTGGAAATGGAAGGGAACTTCCTTAACCTGAAATAAGGTATCCATGAAAACCCCACTATAACATCATACTGATGGTGACACTGAATGTTTCCCCCTAAGATCAAATACAAGACAAGGATGTCTGTTTTTGACACAGCTATTTAACATGCTAAAAGATGCTACCAGGGCAATCAGGCAAGAAAATGAAATAAAAGCATTCCAGATTTTAAAGGGCATACAAACACAGCCTCTGTCTCCCCATCAGACATACAAAATCACTCACACTTTGTCACTGCACATATAGGTGGCCATACCCAGGTAGACACACAAACCCTCAGAGATAACACCTCAGAGACATAAACAGGTGCTTGCAGAGACAAACACAGCCCAGGCCTCTCCACTCCTCCCCAGCTTTCTCTCTCTCCTTAGGACTAAGCACCATCTGACACACTGCATATTCTACTTATATCTTGTTTCTTGTCTCCCACCCTGCTTCAGGCAGATAGGGTTATTTGTTCAGCTCTGTTTAACGCAGCACCCACTAGGAGATCTGTTACAAAAAAGGAGATTAATACTCATGGAAAGGCTGGGCGCAGTGGCTCACGTCTGTAATCCCAGCACTTTGGGAGGCTGAAGCAGATGGATCACCTGAGGTCAGGAGTTTGAGACCAGCCTGGCCAACATGGTGAAAACCCATCTCTACTAAAAATACAAAAATTAGCTGGGTGTGGTGGCAAGCGCCTGTAATCCCAGCTATACGGGAGGCTGAAGCAGGAGAATCGCTTGAATCAAGGAGGCAGAGGTTGCAGTGAGCCGAGATCCCGCCACTGCAGTCCCACCTGGGCAACAAGAGCGAAACTCCATCTCAAAAAAAAAAAAGTACTCATTGAATCAGGAGATCATACACACACAGGGGTTTTACACAAACCTCATCATAGGCCCACATTCACTTGATTTTCAGAGTGAATTCTTTACAACCCATCCCATGTGGCACAGGGGTGTCTCTTAACCTCCAGACCAAAGGTAGGTTTATCCAAATGAGCTGAAAATTTAGGTCCAGGCAAACAATTGTACACAGATGTTTATAGCAGCGTTATTCATAATTTTCAAAATTTGGAAGCAACTGAGATGCCTTACAGTAGACAAATGGATACATAACAGCTACCTCCAGACAATGGAGGTACTAAAAATAAATGAGCTAAAAGGTAGTGGAAGAACCTTAAATGCGTATTACTTTTTAAAAAAAATTTCATGATCACATGCCCGCAAATGCTTATTACTAAGTGGAAGAAACAACTTTGAAAAGACTACATACTGTATGATTCAAACTATGTAACACTGCAGAAAAGACATAATCATAGAACAGTACAAAAATCAGTGGCTGCCAGAAGTCAGGGGGAGAGGGATAAATAGGTGGATGAGAGGGTTTTTAGGACAATCAAACTACTCTGTATTACACCATAACAGAAATGTCACTGTATAGTTGTCAAAACTCACAGAATGTACAACTGCAAGAATAAATTCTAATGTAGGCTAGACTTTGGATGACAATAATGTCTCAAAATAGGTTCAATTGTAACAAATGTACAACTTTGGTGCAGAATGTTGATAGCTGGACGGGTTGTGACTGAGTGGGAATAGGGGGCATAAGGGAACTCTGTACTATGTGTGCAATTTTGCTGTGAACCTAAAACTACTCTAAAAAGTAAAGTATAAGGCCGGGTGTGGTGGCTCACACCTGTAATCCCAGCACTTTGGGAGGCTGAGGCAGGCAGATCACCTGAGGTCAGGAGTTTGAGACGAGCCTGGCCAACATGGCAAAACCCTGTCTCTACTAAAAATACAAAAATTAGCCAGGTGTGATGATGCAGGCCTGTAATCCCAGCTACTCAGGAAGCTGAGGCAGGAGAATCGTTTCAGCCCAGGAGGTGGAGGTTGCGGTGAGCCAAGATAGCATCACTGCACTCCAGCCTGGGTGACAAAGCAAGACTCTGTCCCCCCCAAAAAAAAAAAATCGAAAGAAAACAGAATCTTTCTCTCTGCCCTTCAACTGACCTCCTTTCACTTGCTCTTTTTTCTCTGCAAGGCAGACCATAGAAACCAAAAATACACTCTAATCTACTCTGCCTTTCTGTCTTGGAGCTAGTCAATATGGCGAAACACTGTCTCTATTAAAAATACAAAAAATTAGCTGGGCGTGGTGGCACACGCCTGTAGTCCCAGCTACTCGGGAGGCTGAGGCAGGAGAACAGCTTGAACCGGGAGGCAGAGGGTGCAGTGAGCTGAGATCACACCATTGTACTCCAGCCTGGGCAACAGAGCAAGATTCCGTCTCAAAAAAAAAAAAAAAAAAGAAAGCCATCCTGACTAACATGGTGAAACCCTGTCTCTAGTAAAAATACAAAAAATTAGCTGGGTGTGTTGGTGGGCGCCTGTGGTCCCAGCTACTCGGGAGGCTCAGGCAGGAGAATGGCGTGGACCTGGGAGGCAGAGCTTGCAGTGAGCCGAGATGGTGCCACTGCACTCCAGCCTGGGCAACAGAGCGAGACTCCGTCTCAAAAAAAAAAAGAAAGAAAGAAATTAATGCTTGTTGTTTCAGGCATCCAGTCTGTGGTTATTTATTACAGCAGGCAAAAATGACTAAGATAGGGAGGTTCTTTCTCTAACATACATCGAGGATTTGAAATCTGTAGTAATCAGGAGAGTATGGTATTACCAGAGAGACAGACAGACCAATGAAAAATAGCAAAATCTGAAACAAGAGCATCTATTTAAGGCCCAAGAACCTGTGACAGAGCAGGCACTGTCAGGCAGGGATAGAGATTACAGATACTTCGACACAGGGACAGGGACAAATGGTTATCTACAAGAGAATATTCAACCCTCTGCATATCATCTAAGTGAAAAAAACACACCTTGCTATTCCCCTCACACCACAACTATCAACACAAAAGGCTTCTGTGACCAACTGTGTGGGGATTTCTCCACATCAAAAAGCAAGTAATTGGCCAAATGTGGTGGCTCACGCCTGTAATCTCAGCACTTTGGGAGGCCGAGGCGGGCAGATCACCTGAGGCCAGGAGATTGAGACCAGCCTGACCAACATGGAGAAACCCCATCTCTACTAAAAATAAAAAAGTAGCCAGGTGTGGTAGTGCATGCCTGTAATCCCAGCTACTGGGGAGGCTGAGGCAGGAGAATCACCTGAACCCGAGAGGCAGAGGTTGCAGTGAGCCGAGATCATGCCATTGCACTCCAGCCTGGGCAACAACAGTGAAACTCTGTCTCAAAAAGAAAAAAAAAAGGCAAGTAATCAATTGTGCAGCATATAGCTGCTGGGTGCCTGCCAAACCGATTCGATTATGAAGCTATCTACCTGGGGACAGCAGCAGATGCCACAAGTTGAGGGCTCAGTCCTACGAGACTGACCCCACACATCCGACAGCAGTGGCAAGACCAGGCCTCTGGAACTTCTGACCAACAGGCTTCAAATTGAGGGTCCCATAACACCCTTTTTTGGCTCAATTAACTCGCCAACACAGCTCACAAAATTCGGGAAAACACGTTTACAAGTTTATTATAAAGGCTATTTTAAAGGCTACAAATAAACAGCCAGGTGGAGAAGCATAGGGCAAAGTCTACAAGGGTCCCAAGCACAGGAGCTTCCATTCCGGTAGAGTTACAGTATGACTCGCTCCTGGCATGAGGATGAGTTCTTGATCACCTTCCTATTATAATACAAGACTCCCTGAGTTCAGCTGTCCAGAAGCTCCCCATACCCTATCCTCTTGGGCCTTTTATACAGACATCATTCAATAGGAATGATAAAAGCATGGCGTTTTATACAGACGTCATTCAATAGGAATGATAAAAGTATGGAACACCCCGTAGAACTGCAATTGGACAAAAAGAGTATGGACTAATACTAATAGATTGAGTGGGAAAACCAATAAGGCCTGTCTGCTGACTCTTCTTAGCCTCTGTGCTTCCTTCTTCTAAACACACCAACTAAAACCTCCTGAAGAGAAATTGGGTTAGGTAACACCTTGGACCCCAATAAAGGATTTGGCCCACAATTCCCTCTCTTTCCCTTGCTCCCCACTGACAGGCTGAGGGTATGTGTCACAAATAGTTCCACCTACCTGCTGGCCTACAAGACATGCTACTCTCCTCTCTCCGGGAATTTTTTTGTTTTTTTTTGAGATGGAGTCTGGCTCTGTCGCCAGGCTGGAGTGCAGTGACGCAATCTCGGCTCACTGCAACCTCCGACTCCCTGGTTAAAGTGATTCTCTGGCCTCAGCCTCCCGAGTAGCAGGGATTACAGGCACGCACCATCACACCCAGCTCATTTTTGTATTTTTAGTAGAGACAGGGTTTCGCCATGTTGGCCAGGATGGTCTCGATCTCCTGACCTCGTGATCCGCCTGCCTCAGCCTCCCACAGTACTGGGATTACAGGCGTGAGCCACCACAGCCGGCCTCTGGGATTTATAAGTAATAAACTCCTTCTGTTATTTCCTGTGTTTGTTGAATTGTCTCCTCCGAGTCTCACCTAATTGCCTAACTGACACACCTGACTACTATTTGAACCTAACTACTATCATAATCGGGGCTCTCTTGGTAGGAACAGAGTGGTAGTGTTTATTAGCCACTAATAGATACCGGATTAGTGGCTACTCTAGTCTAGGATTAAACTGACAATGGTCAGACAAGATCTACAAGGTGCCTGCTTGTACAGAGCAAGTATAAACAAGTGTGCTGTGAGAGGGACACCTGGTCATGGGTATAACATCTAGGCATCAGGCCCTCCAACAGAATGAAGAAATATCCCTTGAAAGGCACATTTTAAATATCCTCCAAGAAATCCCCCAGAGCCACACCAGGACAGGGATAAAGTTTTAGCCAGTCTCCAGCTATAAACAAGATCAAATCAGAAAAACACAAACCTCTTAAAAACAAAAGCAGCCAGGCACAGTGGCTCACGTCTGTAATCCCAGCATGTTGGGAGGCCAAGGCAAGTAGATCACTTGAGGTCAGGAACCCTGTCTCTACTAAAACTACAAAAATTAGCCGGGCATGGTGGCTCACACCTGCGATCCCAGCTACTCGGAAGGCTGAAGCACTGGAAACACCTGACGCCAGGAGGCGAAGGCTGCAATGAGCCAACATCATGCCACTGCACTCCAGCCTGGGTGGCAGAGCGAGACTCTGTCTCCAAAAAAAAAAAAAAAAAGAGAGAGAGAGAAAATAAAAAATTTTAAAATTTTAAAAAGTAGCAAACTTTCATAAGTTACAATTTTTTTTCCAACTTGACAGTAGGGAGAGTGTTCTTTATTTAACCTGGGAGCACAGATTCAAGTTGCCCTAAATATACACTCTCTAGAATGTTCTCTTACAAGAAAATTAAGTAGGCCTGAAAGGAAGAGCCAAAGTCAACTCAATTAAAATCAAGAAGAGTACCCTTCCCCACCCTTGATGATGGTGCATGCAGAAGGCGGCCAAAAAAGCCAACAAACAAAAAAATTTAAGAGTCCATCAAAATGTAGAATGGAGTGAAAAGATAAATCACTCCCTGGAACAAAATATTAGCAATCCCTATAAATGAAAAAGAATTAGCCTACAGAGTAAGTTAAAAAAAGAAAAAAGGGAAGAAATGAAGCAATAAATATACAAATGACTTTAATGTGACAAGATGACTGAAAACTATTTTACAGAAGATGAAAGGCCACACAGAAAAAATGCTCAATCCTAGTGTAAAAAGCAACATGTAATCACACAGAGAAAAATAAAGAGAACTACTTATAAGGAGTAAATACACATGCATACATGGTCAGATGGTTAATCCATATATTCCATTGGCATTCCCAAGTCAATCTATCTATAAGCTACATCCCAGGGATTTTTTTTTCCAATGTATAAAAAACTTACAAAGCAGCCAGGTGCGGTGGCACACACCTGTAATCCCAGCACTTTGGGAGGCCGAGGCAGGCAGATCACGAGGTCAAGAGATCAAGACCATCCTGGCCAACATGGTGAAACCCCATCTCTACTAAAAATAAAAAAAATTAGCTGGGTGGGGCCTGGCGCAGTGGCTCATGCCTGTAATCCCAGCACTTTGGGAGGCCAAGGTAAGCAGATCACCTGAGGTCAGGAGTTCAAGACCAGCCTGACCAACATGGAGAAACCCTGTCTCTATTAAAAAAACAAAATTAGCCGGGCGTGGTGGTGCATGCCTATAATCCCAGCTACTCTGGAGGCTGAGGCAGGAGAATCACTTGAACCTGGGAAGCAGAGGTTGCAGTGAGCTGAGATTTTGCCATTGCACTCCAGACTGGGCAACAAGAGTGAAACTCCGTCTCAAAAAAAAAAAAAAAATTAGCTGGGTGTGGTGGCATGTGACTGTAATCCCAGCTACTTGGGAGGCTGAGGCAAGAGAATCACTTGAACCCAGGAGGCAGAGGTTGCAGTGAGCTGAGATCGCGCCACTGCACTCCAGCCTGGCCTGGCGACAGAGCGAGACTCCGTCTCGAAAAAAAAAAAAAAATTTATGAAGCATGGCTGGGCACAGTGGCTCATGCCTATAATCCCAGTGCTGAGCCCAAGGGTTTGAGTGCTGGGCAACATGGCAAGACCCCATCTCTATAAAAAAATACAACCATTAATCAGGCATGTGGCACACGCCTGTAGTCCCAGCTACTTGGGAGGGTGAGATGGAAGGATTGCTTGAGCCTGGGAGGCCAAGGTTGCAGTGAGCTGTGATTGCACCACTGCACTTCAGTCTGGGCAACAGAAGAAGACCTGCCTCAAAAAAAAAAAAAGAAGTTTATGAAGCATTAGCACTTGGAGACAAAAACAACAATTACATTGGCAACAGATAAAATACTAACAACTCAAATCAAGCAGTGGAATGGTTAGTAACCTGGGTGACCCACAGCCTCAGACAGCAGCATGTGTGCAACGGACTGAGGCAAAGAAACCACAAAAGGCCGGGCGCGGTGGCTCACGCCTGTAATCCCAGCACTTTGGGAGGCCAAGGTGGGTGAATCACAAGGTCAGGAGATTGAGACCACCCTGGCTAACACAGCGAAACCCCGTCTCTACTAAAAATACAAAAAAATGGCCGGGCGTGGTGGCTCACGCCTGTAATCCCAGCACTTTGGGAGGCCAAGGTGGGCAGATCACGAGGTCAGGAGATCGAGACCACCCTGGCTAACACAGTGAAACCCCGTCTCTACTAAAAATACAAAAAATTAGCCGGACGTGGTGGCAGGCGCCTGTAGTCCCAGCTACTTGGGAGGCTGAGGCAGGAGAATGGCGTCAACCCGGGAGGCAGAGCTTGCAGTGAGCCGAGATTACGCCACTGCACTCCAGCCTGGGGGACAGAGAGAGACTCTGTCTCAAAAAAAATAAAAATAAAAATAAAAATACAAAAAAATTAGCCGGGTGTGGTGGCGGGCGCCTGTAAGTCCCAGCTACTCGGTAGGCTGAGGCAGGAGAATCGCATGAACCCGGGAGGCTGGGCTTGCAGTGAGCCAAGATCGCTCCATTGCACTCTAGCCTGGGCAACAGAGCGAGAGTCCGTCTCAAAAAAAAAAAAAAAAATTCAGAATCAGTACTGTGGTCACCTCTGGGTACAGAGAAGGAGGATGAAATTAGGGAGACATGCCAGAAATGCCCAAGGCTTATTTGTTTACCTTTACCCACATTCAAAAGTTTACTACACTCTCACTGTGGAGATGTAGCTCAGAGTGGCTTCTCCTAGGCAATGAGTGAGGAATATTTGAGTAATTAGAAAATATAATCCGCAGAGCACTACTCACCCTACTGTCCCCTTCTCAGTGTGGAAATGCTCCCTCCTCCAGGGTCTTAATTCTCACCAGCAACCACTCACCAAGTCGATGTAAGGTTCTGACCTGTGATGTCATTTTTTCTGACAACAAATATGTGGAGACTGCTCAGTATCAACTAACTTTCCAACACCAGCTGGGGATCCAGTAATTCAATTCTGACATCACCTGGCATTAGCCCAGACCCCACAAGTCCAGGGCCCACCCCAGGACACAGCCCCCACTGCAGATGCCAGTCCCGGCCCTGATGTGCTGGGAGGGTGGTACAGCAGGGAGGAGTGGAGGCACCCTTAATTCTAACCAACTGCATAGAAATCCAACAAACGCTCCTCAATTTCAATAATTTGCTAGTACTACTAACAGAACTCAGAAAAACACAAGTTTGCCAGTTTGTTTTAAAGAATGACCCCTATAATCCCAGCACTTTGGGAGGCCAAGGCAGGTGGATCACCTGAGGTCAGGAGTTCGAGACCAGCGTGGCCAACATGGTAAAACCCCATCTCTACTATAAATACAAAAAAATTAGCCGGGCCTGGTGGCAGGCACTTGTGATTCTAGCTACTTGGGCGGCTGAGGCAGGAGAATCGCTTGAACCCGGGAGGTGGAGGTTGCAGGAAGCCGAGATCCTGCCATTGCATTCCAGCCTGGGCAACAAGAGTGAAACTCCATCTCAAAAAAAAAAAGGATGACCCAAGAACAGCCAAATGGAAAAGATATATATGACCAGGGAAGTGGGGGTCCCCTGGAAGGCCCCAGCCCTCTACTTCAACTGTCCTCTGGGAGGAGTCACACAAGGGCCAATATTCACTAGACCCTCCAGGGAAGGGAGTATAGGACCCCCTTCCCTACAGGACTTGAGTACCACCCTCCTAGAACATCACTGCGTTCACCAACCAGGAAGCTCTCCGAATGTCTTCATTCCAGAATTTTTACATTAACAGAACTCAATATCCAGCCTCTCCCCCTTTACTGTGATCAAAAACGGGGCTTGTCGGGGGCGTGGTGGCTCATGCCTGTAATCCCAGCACTTTGGGAGGCTGAGGTAGGCAGATCACCTGAGGTCAGGAATTGGAGACCAGCCTGGCTAATATGGTGAAACCCCGTTTCTACTAAAAATATAAAAAATTAGCCAGGCGTGGTGGTGTGCGCCTATAATCCCAGCTACTTGGGAGGCTGAGGCAGGAGAATCGCTTGAACCCAGGAGGCAGAGATCAGAGTGAGCCGGGATCGCGCCACTGCACTCCAGCTTGGGCAATGAGAGCGAAGCTCCGTCTCACAAAAAAAAAAAAAAAAAAAAAAAAAAAAAAGAAAAAGAAAAGAAAAAAAAATGGGCATTTGTAGTCAGTATCTGGCTTTATTTTTTAAAAAAAGGCCGTGAAGTAATGGAAAAGGTATCTTTGCATGAGTCTGCGTCTGCAAAACAGAAAGAACTGAGTGGTTAACAAGGCAGTGATTTCTATGACCATATCTATTTAACTGGATTATAGGGCTTGAGTAAAACTCAACATTATTAGCAGTTTGGCTTTGCTTTCACAGAATTAGTTTAATTGTAGAATAAACTGTACAAATTGGGAAAGTCTCTGAGGGGCAGACTTAGATGCTTTTGCCTTTTGTACAAAGGTTTTAGGTAGAGACGGGGTGTGGTGGCAGGCACCTGTATTTTTTTTAGTAGAGATGGGGTTTCTCCATGTTGGTCAGGCTGGTCTTGAACTCCTGACCTCAGGTGATCCGCCTGTCTTGGCCTCCCAAAGTGCTGGGATTTCAGGCGTGAGCCACCGCACCCGGTCTTATCTTTTCTTTTTTTTGAGACAAAGTCTGGCAATGTTGCCTAGGCTGGTCTCAAACTGCTGAGCTCAAGCTATCCTCTGGCCTCAGCCTCCCAAAGTGATGGGCTTACAAGCGTGAGCCATGGCATCAGGTCTACAAATGCCCATTCTTTGCTTCATAAAACATTAGCTGAACAGTTTTGTCTTCACTGATCAGTGGGAACAAAACATTTGTTAACCAAACATTCCTTAAATTTGTGTCTCTGACACAGACCATCAAAGATTTGGCTTCATGACTCTTCAATGTACTAGAATGAGATTCTGCTTCTTAGGTGAAAAGCCACAGAACCTACACATATCATGTAGATAATTACTCCAAAATATAGAGAACTACAGATGCAAGCCCTTGACTTGTAAATTTCCTCCAGGCCCTTAACTTTGACCCACTCTCAGCCTGAACAAATAGGCAACACTTCCTAAGAACAGAATAACCTCAGAATAAAACATGTTCTGATCTAGGTCTGATTTTGCACCCTCCATCCTGCCTTCTTCCTCCTCATCTTCTTTCTAATCTGTTTGCCCCTTCCTATGAAAGAAAACACTTTTCTGCCTAAACTTTCAGATCTTTGCAGATCTTATATTTGATTGGTGCCTTCCTTTATGCAGTACTCCTTTGGATTGGCCTCAGTTTGGAGTCGCTGGCCTCAGGCCTCTGCACCCCAGTCAAGGCTACCCACTTCCCTTTACATACCTCATGTGGATATTTAAAGAAAATACCCATGTTTAATGACTCATGTTTGATGAATCCAGCAAAATCAATCTTAATGTTTATGGGAGGGAAGAAAATTAAGGCACATTTACATCATAGCTGAACAGAAAAAGCACAAGAATCTACTATTTTCAGACAAAGATGTCACTTAACTACTATTTCTATGATAACAAATCATTTAGTAAACAAAAATCCTATTAGAGGATTCCTAGTTGTTGCCAGGTCCTGTTCCCTAAGATTTAGAATCTGCTAAGTTCCAATAACAGGAAACAGAACAGTTATTCACCGTCACAAATTCTCCACCTTGCAAGAGAAATTGATGTTTTGGTGAATCTTTGTAATTCCCCAATTTATCTACTAACTTTCTTGGGAAACTATATTCATTTTTCTGAAGCCATAATAGGAGAGTTGGTTCTCCCCACCCCCATTTCTTTTCCCTGATAATATTCTCAAGGTTAAGCCCTGGAATTCCATTTCAAGTCACCCAACAGAACACAGATCTGACAAACATACTACACATATACTACACATGATCTGGGAAAGAATAAAAGAAAATAAGAATTTGTTGTTAAGCAGTTTAAATTTTTTTTCTTTTTTTTTTTGAGACGGAGTCTTGCTCTGTCACCCAGGCTGGAGCACAATAGCATGATCTCAACTCACTGCAACTTCCACTTCCTGGGTTCAAGTGATTCTCCTGCCTCAGCCTCCTGAGTACCTGGGATTATAGGCGCCCACCACCACACCTGGCTAATTTTTGTATTTTTAGCAGAGACGAGTTTTCACCAGGTTGGCCAGGCTGGTCTCAGACTCCTGACCTCAGGTGATCCACCTGCTTCAGCCTCCCAAAGTGCTGGGATTACAGGCGTGAGCCACCGCACCCAGCCAGCAGTTTAAATTTTATTGACCTTCCAGTTTCTTTTAAAAAGTTTAAGGTCACACCGCTAAGTCTGACGTGCTACATACAGATGGTGCAGAATATGAGTATGAAGAGATACACATTGGTCCATGTCCCAAAAGATTACAGAATCATCTCCATAAATACACAAAAGAATTATTGTGAAGACACAAGGGCACTGTCCAGGTTTTCTAAGACACTTTTCTAAGTGACTTGAGGCATAAAATCCACACCACTGTGAACACACACATTGTAGACTTTGTGTCTCTGACACAGACCATCAAAGATTTGGCATCATGACTCTCAAATGTACTGGAATGAGATTCTGCTTCTTAGGTAAAAAGCCACAGCACCTACACATATCATGCAGATAATTACTCCAAAATATGGAGAAATACAGATACAAGCCGTTGAAAATAAGAATTTTTAAAATGTGGAATATAAGACTAATCTCTTTCCCCCTGAAATCTACCTCTTGGGAAATACATTATCTTCTCTATGAAGCTCTACTGATAAAATGCACTTTCAACTAAATGAAATACTCAAGCTGAACTTGTTGTTAAGGCAAGAATCCCAGGGAGAAGCAGTGCTGACCTGGAATACAGACATTCGTCTGACTCCAGTGTCAGCAGAGGTCATCTTATCTATCAGTTGGAACATCCCTCTACCCCCATAGTGCTCACTGAAATGCTCAGTGACCACCCGCCCAAGAGACACTGCATTACGCGACACTGTGTACCCAAAGTGCATTTTGTTTTTCAGGTTATTCCACCACCTCGCTGAGATAGTTTTTCTCCCTTCACAAGGCTGAGAGAATACAAAGGACAGGAATCATTTCCGTCTTTTCCCTTGTCGACCTAAAAAGTAGAGGCTGAAACACAAAATATGACCCAAAGTGTCTGAAAAAGGGGGACAGGATGTGGGCTGATACAAAGTTGTTTGTCAGGAATTCTCACTGATTTACAGAAGTAACATTGATAAGCGCGTGGCTATGCACTGTTAAGCTATAGGGTGTGGGTTCCAGGGTCCCGTGTTGCATTAGTAAGTTGATTATACCTACTTGTGGCAATAGCAGTTTCAAAAGATGAATTCATAGCTTCAGGGAGTTAGAAGGTGATTGCTGTATCACTTGAATGTCTCTATGTGCCCGTTCATTTAAAAGGACCCACATTTATCAGACGAAAATTATTTTTTTGAGGCCGGGTACAGTTACGCCTGTAATCCCAGCACTCTGGGAGGCCAAGGCAGGCGGATCGCGAGGTCAGGAGATCAAGACCATCCTGGCTAACAAGGTGAAACTCCGTCTCTACTAAAAACACAAAAAATTAGCCGGGCGTGGTGGCATGCGCCTGTAGTCCCAGGTACTGGGGAGGCTGAGGCAGGAGAATCGCTTGAATCCGGGAGGCAGAGGTTGCAGTGAGCCGACATCACGCCACTGCACTCCAGCTTGGGCGACAGAGAGACTCCGTCTCAAAAAAAAAAAAAAAAAAAAAAAGTTATCTGGGAGTGGTGGCGCAAAACTGTGGTCCCAACTACAGGGGAGGCTGAGGCAGGAGAATCGCTTGAACCCAGAAGATGGAGGTTGCAGTGAGCCGAGATCACGTCACTGCACTCCAGCCTAGGCGACAGAGCGAGACTCTTTCAAAACACACAAAAAATTTTCTTTTCTCAATCCTCAATACCAGCATCTGATTGGCTGACCACCAGTGTGTCTCCAAAGGATGGAAACTGGGGTTGGGGGAGGAAAAGCTGAGTGCCCCCAGAGGTTGGCTATTTAGAAGCAGGGTATGCTAGATTTATCCTAGTCCCAGGGCATTCTCCCAGCCTTCTATTTCAACTGTCCTCTAGGAAGACTCACCCAAGACCCAATATTCACTAGATCCTCCAAGAGACTTGGCAGCTGTGGGCAGCTTGAGTCAGCCCCAGACAGTTTTGAAACCCAGAACCAGGAAAAAATAAATAGGAGGGGGCGCTGAAGGCATATCACCCTGTAAAGATTCCAAAGGGGAACCTCAACTCAAAGACATTCTGATGAGGTATCTGTGCATAGAGGAGACAAAAGGACAAGCACAAAGGTTTCTTACAGCGGAGTGTCAAGGCTATGAACAGAAAACAAACCTTGATGAAAGAGTAATCCATTGCTTTGTTGAAAAATAAACAATGAAAGCACAATATCTGAAATGTAGAATATAGGAGAAACGGTTGCTAATGTCGTGAATGGAAGGGGAGAGGTTGGCGTTTGGAAAAGCGAAAAGAGAACAGGAAATTTGGGGATTTACTGCAAGCCCTGGAAACAGCAGGCTGGGGGACAGAGTGAGGATTTGGGACCCTGCATCCCATACACTTAGAAAACTCAGGGAAAAACGGGTGTCCTCTGTGGAGAGAAAAGGAACTGGGAACCTCATACACCACAGCTCCTTCCACGCACAAGTCAGGATTTCCCCCACCCCATGACCCTCGCGTGGGCCCCGCACAATCTGAAGAGACTTGGGTCTTCGGGGCCGGGGCCGCAATCGCGGCACAGGGCGGGACGAGGACGCCCGGGGTCCCGGCTGCCGGCCCAGCCCCACCCTGAGGCCGAGGGTACCAAGGGCTGAGCTGCGCCAGAGGGACTCGGTACGCAGACCCAGAGTCGCCCACGGGAAGGCCCGGGCCGCGCCACAGCCAGTTCCGGTCGTCCAACCAGCCCCTCCTCCCTGTCTCGGGACGCAGGGCCCGACACACTCACCATTTCCTGACTCCCGGGTGTCCCAGCTTCCTCCCTCCGGATCCCAAGGCAGGTACAGGAAACCGCGCCACAGAGACTCCAGGCGAGCCACTCTGGGCCTCTGGGACTAGCGAAGCGAAACCAAGTACGGCAGACGCGAGAAATGAAAATCCCGCGAGAAGGTTGAACGTCTGCAGCTGCGTCCCCGACGGCGCGCCTGATTGGACCGATCGCAGAGCTCCTCCCCGGTGCCCCTGATTGGGTACAGCTTCGGGCTCTGCCCCCTGCATCTTGACAGATGTGAATGACAGGAGATGTGAAGCATAGATGAGTGAAGCGGGAATGAGGGGTCTTGGCCCCAGCCCTCAAACGCAGGGTGGACTTCTTCCCCTCGTCCCCTTCACTGTACTTGGTCTGCGGGGGATGGGGAGATGGGAGATACTTGCATTTTAGCAGAACTTAATCCGGGTTTACCAAAGGAGATACTTCCTGTACTCAGTGGGTCATTTCTTCATCTACCTCTTGCATGAGGAGTCACAGGTGTGCGCAGGGAGTTCCAGGCAGGACTGGAACAGAAGAAAGGGCGTGATATTCCCAGGGATCGGAAATTTGGGATGAGGATATGGGAAGCGTGCCCAAGGCTTTCTCATACCATACCTCTTTATCTCTCTCTATTTTTTACTTTATTTACTTATTTATTACTTTATTTACTTATTTATTACTTTATTTATTTATTTGAGACAGGGTCTAGCTCTGCCACCCAGGTTAGAGTGCAATGGCATGATCATAGCTCACTGCAGCCTCCATCTCCTGGGTTCAAGCGAACCTTCCGCTTCAGTCCCCTGAGTAGTAGAGACTACAGGTACATGCCACCAAGCCCGGCAAATTCTTTAATTTTTTGTAGAGACGGGATTTCGTTTGTTGTCCAGGCTGGTCTTGAACTCCTAGCCTCAAGTGAACCTCCCACTTTCGCCTCCCAAATCAATCTACTCATTTTCACCCAAGAAAATAAAAAACTGCCAACAAGTGAATAAAATTATTAAATACATGGAAAAACAAGTTCTATTTCCGTAATCTGTAAAGAAATCAAAAGGGAAGTAAAGCGAAAATTTGAACTAGCTCAGATAAGCAGGGCACTTCAGAACATTTAAAAAGGAAAAGATGAATTCAGAAGGTAGAACATATTCCCAAGCTTAAGAGTCAGTGACTGCTGAAGTGGAGCCACAGAGTACATTAGACCCTGATGATGAGGCAGGAAACCTAAGGATTTAACTCTGGGAGCTCAACATGCCCTCCTGTCACAGCATCACAATGTGGGAACGCTCCCTCCTTCAATACCTTAATAATTTACACCAGCAGAAAACTCTCACCTGTGGTCAATTTAGGCCCCTTGAAATTCCAACCTCTCTAGCTCATAAACCATTTCTCTGGAACGCTACCTAAATGAGTCTCTAAATATGATCTTTACATATTTTCTTCATATATACAAATTACAGCCTGACTGCAGCAACTCTATACATAGAAAAATCAAGGCCGGGCACAGTGGTTCATGCCTGTAATCCCCAACACTTTGAGAGGCCGAGGCGGGCGGATCACTTGAGGTCAGGAGTTCAAAACCAGCCTGGCCAAGATGGCGAAACCCCGTCTCTACTAAAATTACAAAAATTAGCCGGGCGCCTATAATCCCAGCTTCTGGGGAGGCTGAGGCACAAGAATCGCTTGAACCCGGGAGGTAGAGGTTCCAGTGAGCCGAGATCGCGCCACTGCACTCCAGCCTGGGTGACAGAGCAAGACTCCGTCTCAAAAAACAAAAAGTTTTCCGGAAAACTACCTTGGGAAACTAGAGGTACAACCTCAGAAAGGAGAGAAACCCGCACGTGCATTTGCCTGTGAAGTTCCTGCTTTCCAGGGCTCTGCAGCTTCTCAGAATCCACACTCCTGGAGCTGGAGCTGGAGCTGTTCGGAGCAGCTGGAGACTACCTACAGGGGAAGGCAGGCTGCCCAGGAAGCAATCGGGGGAGCTCCCTTTCCCTCCCTTTGCAGGCTCCAGATTAGTCTCAGTGTGGATCACCGGCCTCAGGCTATGCTGCCCCCTGCAAGTTTTCCACCTGCTTTTCACCCACATTGTTCAGTTCCACGAGGCAAACACCCTCAATCCCAGTGTTCGAAAGAGAATCCAGCAGAGTCCCTGCTTTCCTCCTGTGTTTACCGTAAAGTAGAAGAGAAAAATTTCAAGACAGTTTTAAGTGGATTTTAAAACTGGCAAATAATTATTCCTTTGATAAAATGAAGAAGCCAGCAAACTATTATTTCGACATTAACAAACTGTTATATAAAACCACTAATGAAGGTCGGGCGCGGTGGCTCACGCCTGTAATCTCAGCACTTTGGGAGGGCGAGGCGGGCGGATCACCTAAGGTTAGGAGTTCGAGACCAGCCTGACCAACATGGAGAAACCTCGTCTCTAAAAGTACAAAATTAGCCAGGCGTGGTGGCGCGTGCCTGTAATCCCAGCTACTCAGGAGGCTGAGGCAGGAGAATCGCTTGAACCTGGGAGGCGGAAGTTGCCGTGAGCTGAGATCACACCATTGCACTCCAGCCTGGGCAACAAGAGCAACACGGTGAAACTCTGTCTCTACTAAAATACAAAAAATTAGCTGGGCGTGGCAGTGTGCGCCTGTAGTCCCAGCTACTCGGGAGGCTGAGACAGGAGAATTGCTTGAACCCCAGAGGCAGAGGTTGCAGTGAGTTGAGATCGCGCCACTGCACTCCAGCCTGGGCGACAGAGCGAGACTCCGTCTCCAAAAAAAAAAAAAAAAACTAATGAAATATGGACTCTCTTCTGCTTCAGCAGCTCCCTGACCTTCACAGTTGATGGTTGTCACCAGGTGCTCTGTGTCAGGAGATGTACATGTGCAGTTTAGCCATTGAAAATTCTCTCTTAAATCGGGCGCGGTGGCTGCGCTAGGGGGACTCCAGTCCACCGGTCCCGAAGTCGCCCCGGACAGGCCTGGGTCCCGTCACAGCAGGTTCCTGTCCAGCACCTTGCTCCACAGTCTCGGGACATCCCCCCAGCACTCACCATTTCCTGGCTTCTGAGGTGTCTATGGTTCTCCTTATGTCTTTCGTGTTCATTGCAAGTCACAGCTGGAAAGAAGCTGCAGCGAAGCCACCTCTGGTGCTTCTCAGAGCAGCATAGACCTGACACCCACTGTGGGCGGGTGAAAGGAACGCCTCGCAGTTTTATGGAGCTTCGCGGCCTCCTCCCAGAGCCGCGCCTGATTGGACAATTTGCACAGCCACACCCCCCCGCCCCTCCTGATTGGACAGTGCCACGGGCCCCGCCTTCTGGGAGGCGGAGTGAGAGGAGAATTTAACACCTGGCTGAGTGGAGCTTGAATGAAAGGTTCTAGGCCCGACATGTGGCTCACACCTATACAATCCCAGGACTCGGGGAGGGCTGGAAAGGAGAACTGCTTGAGGCCAGGAGTTCAAGACCAGCTTGAGCAACGTAGTGAGACCTCATCTCTAAAAAAAAAAGAAAAAAAAAAAAAATTAGCCCAGCCTGGTGGCCCTGCAACTATAGTCCCAGCTACTTAGCAGGCTGAGTAAAGAGGATTGCTTGAACCTTGAAGGTAGAGGCTGCAGTTAGCTATGATCAGCGCACTGCACTCCAGCCTAGGTGACAGAGTAACACCCTGTCTCGAAAAAAAAAAAAAAGAAAAGAAAAGAAAAGAAAAATATAGATTCTAGCCACAGCCGGATTTCCTCCTTGCACTGCAGCCTGGCCCCCACCCTGGGGATACTGGTATTTCAGAATATGTTTCAGGCTTTCCAGAGCTGACACTGTTGTCTTCCTGTACTCAGTGGGCCCTTCTTTCAGGGGAGGTGGGGGTGGGGGGAGGGGGTTTGAGGTGGGGAGGTTGTCTGCCTTGAGGTCTAGTCAGGCCAACACTGGAAGAGGAGAGAGGCCTGATGTCGTCAGAGATTATAAATTTGGGATGAGGGATAGCCAAAGATTTTTCATACTTTATCTCTCAGTCTACTCATTTTCACTCAAGAAAACAACAAGCCAACAACAGAATAAAACTAAGTGCATGGAAAAGCTGGAATTATATGGCAGCTATATATATACACATATATATACATATATGTGTATATATATACTTATATATGTGTTTGTATATATACACATATATGTGTATATATACAAACACATATATAAGTGTGTGTGTGTATATATATATATATATATATATATATATATATATATATATGTTTTTTTTTTTTTGAAACGGAGTCTCGCTCTGTCGCCCAGCTGGAGTTCAGTGGCACAATCTCAGTTCACTGCAACCTCCATCTCCCGGGTTCAAGCGATTCTCCTGCCTCGGCCTCCTGAGTAGCTGGGATTACAGGCGTGTGCCACCACGCCCGGCTAATTTTTGTATTTTTAGTAGAGACGGGGTTTCACCATGTTGGTCAGGCTGGTCTCGAACTCCTGACTTCGTGATCCGCCCGCCTCGGCCTCCCAAAGTGCTGGGATTACAGGCGTGAGCCACCGCGCCCAGCCGGCAGCAATATTTTATAAAGGAATCAAAAGAAAAGTAAAGCAAACATTTGAAGTAGTTCAGATAAGCAGCCTGCTTCATGCACAGTTCACAAGGAAAACCCTCTGTCAGAAGGTAAATGATATTTCCAAGCTTGGAAGCCAAACTGTGACTGCTGAAATGGAGCCCCCCAGGGCGGGTCAGTCCCAGATGATGAGGCAGAGAAAATTAAGGATTTATCTGGGAGTTTGAAATGCCCTTCTGTCCCCTCCTCAGTTTAGAAATTATTCTCTCCTTTAAGACCTTCATTTTCACCAACAGGAAGCTCTCGACTTGAGTCAGTTTAAGCTAAATTTACTGTTAAATTCATAAACCCGCAGGGCGCGGTGGCTCACGCCTGTAATCCCAGCACTTTGGGAAGCCGAGGCGGACGGATCACGAGGTCAGGAGATCGAGACAATCCTGGCTAACACGGTGAAACCCCGTCTCTACTAAAAATACAAAAAATTAGCCGGGCGTGGTGGCAGGCGCCTGTAGTCCCAGCTACTTGGGAGGTTGAGGCAGGAGAATGGCATGAACCCGGGCGGGAGGCGGAGCTTGCAGTGAGCCGAGATTGCGCCACTGCACTCCAGCCCGGACGACAGAGCGAGACTCCGTCTCAAAAAAAATGATAATAAATACAATAAAATAAAATAATAAATAAAAATTCATAAACCCTTTCTCCAGGAGGCATCCCAAATGGGTCTTGCTCTAATTCTGACCTTCACAGATTTTCTTTTTCTTTTTCTTTCTTTTTTTTTTTTGAGACAGTCTAGCCCTGTCGCCCAGGCTGGAGTGCAGTGGCGCAATCTCGGCTCACTGCAAGCTCCGCCTCCCGGGTTCACGCCATTCTCCTGCCTCAGCCTCCCGAGTAGCTGGGACTATAGGCGCCCGCCACCGCACCCGACTAATTTTTTGTATTTTTAGTAGAGACGGGGCTTCTCCGTGTTAGCCAGGATGGTCTTGATTTCCTGACCTCGTGATCCGCCCGCGTCGGCCTCCCAAAGTGCTGGGATTATAGGCGTGAGCCACCGCTCCCGGCCGTAAAGATTTTTAAATAATAAAAACAGGGGTCTAGGGTGGGGGGATGTGGGAGGGATAACATTAGGAGATATACCTAATGTAAATGACGAGTTAATGGGTACAGCACACCAACATGGCGCATGTATACATATGTAACAAACCTGCACATTGTGCGCATGTACCCTAGAACTTAAAGTTTAATAAATAAAAATTAAAAAAAAAAAACAACAAAACAGGGGTATTCTTGTGTTGACCAAGTTGGTCTTTAACTCTTTACTTTAAGGGATCCTCCAGTCTTGGCCTCCCAAAGTGCTAGGATTACAGGCGTGAACCACCGCACCCTGCCTGTGTTCAGGTCACAATCTCTTCTAGCTTGGATAAAGGGAAAGAAATAAAGGGGGAGAGGGCATGGTTTCATCAATGGAGATTCTCTGCAGATGCAAATTCCCCCCCTCCAAAGACAGCTTTGCCAGTCCACTTTTTTTTGCGGCCGAGCCACAGCCATTTCAAAATCTGTCAAATAAATATATTTTGGCGTAAAATATTTTAATTTCCTTCACCTCCACTGGACTCTGAGTCTGGAATTTCCTGTGCAAGACAAAGGAGCAGGGACAGCCCATTGAGTGAGGAAGACAACGGTACCCCCTCTAGCAATTCGGAGCAAATTTGGCTGAAATGCAAATACCCAAAGAGCAAGACGCAGGGAGGGAGCTCGCTTAGATAATCTGTGGTTGGAACAGGTCATTTCGGTTCTGCCGGGCCTTGTTACCCAGGGCTTCCGCTGTCACTCAGGACCGATGGGACGGGGACTGGAGCCTCATCCAATCAGGGGCGCTGGGGCGGGGTCCTGCCAACTGTCCATCCGGGGAAGGGGAGGCCGCATTCCCGCTTTCCTGACTCCCAGGCGTCTTGCACCAAAGGGAGGTCGGGATCTCGGTTTTCCGGCCCCGAGAGGGACCAGGTGCCTCCGCCATAGCTTCTGTCGCTCCATCGCCCGCACTGTGACTGGACTGTTAGAGGGATCCGTGGAGAGGAGGCCAGGACACCTGGAAGCCGGGAAATGGTGAGTGTGCGGGGCCGGGGGTCCCGAGACGGGGGAGGGGCCGGGAGGAACCGGCTCGAACCGGCTCTAGCAGGACCCAGGCCTTCCTGCAGCGACTTCGGGTCTGCAGAGCGGAGTCCCCCTGGCGTAGCTCGGCCCTCGGTCCCTTCGGCCGCAGGGTGGGGTTGGGCCGGCAGCCGGGACCCCAGGCGTCCTGTCCCGTCTCTGCGCTGCGACTGCGACCCCGGCCCTGGCCCCGGCCCCGGAGCCCTCTCTGGGGAGCTCCGCGCCCGTAGTCCCGCGTCTCCCCAGATTGTGCGGAGACCACGGGAGGGTCATGGAGGCAATCCTGCCTCGGGTGTGTGGTTCGTGTGGGAGGAGCGGTGGGCTGCGGGGTCCCCAGTCCCCCCTTTTTTCCTGAAAAACTAAATTGAAGGCCAGGCGCAGTGGGTCACGCCTGGCAGGTTGAGGCGGGGGGATTGCTTCAGCCCAGAAATTCGAGACCAGCCTAGGCAACATACCGAGACCCTAGTTTCTATTAAAAATAAATTTTTAAAAAATGAGCCGGGCGTGGTGCCGCCCACCTGTAATCCCAGCTACTGGGGGGCTGAGGTGGGAGGATCGCTTGAGGGAGGAGATTGGGACTGCAGTGAGCCGAGATCGCGCCACTGCACTCCAGCCTGGGCGACTGAGCGAGACCCTGTCTCAAACAAAACAAAACAAAAACAACAGCAACAAACTAAACTGAGTCCTCTTAAAAATTAAAGAGTTTTGCTTCTCAGAATAGGAGTTTGAAAAAAATGAATGAGAAATGTTTCCTGAATGAGAAACACCCAGTCATGGCTTGCAGTTTGATAACGGAAAGAGCAAAACTCTGCAAAATAACTTGAACTATGTTCTACGCCGAATATGAGAGAACGTGACCAAGGGAAACAACCGCATGTAGCCTCGAGTAAGTGGTCCCCAGGAGGTTCGATGGCAGTTTGGTTTTATTCATTTCAGCGAGACAGGAATTGCAGGGAAAAGATCAATCAAGGCATGGAAGGCTGACAGGGCAGGACACGTAGAAGCGGGGCTTAGAAGGCACAGGTGGTTGAGGGATTCTGTAGTTGGCAGTTGGCTGAGAGTGTGAAGTTGTGTCTAAAATTTGAAAGGGGTAGGAAGGAATGTTTAAGTGAAGGGAGTCTGTTACCTGCCACGTGATTCCATCCCCACCAAAAAACAGATATGTTTCACTAGATTTTATGAATTCTAAGGCGTGACTTTACCCTTGCCTTGCATGGCCTTAGGTCTTGTTTGCAATTTAGTATTTATTGGTACAAAGGGTTTCTTTGCAGGTTTTTTTTTTTTTTTGAGATGGAGCCTCACTCTCGCCCAGGCTGGAGTGCAGTGGCGCAATCTCGGCTTACGGCAACCTCCGCCTCCTAGGTTCAAGCAATTCTCCTGCCTCAGCCTCCCAAGTAGCTGGAATTACAGGTGCACGCCACCATACCCGGCTAATTTCTGTATTTTTAGTAGAGATGGGGTTTCACCATGTTGGCCAAGCTGGTCTCAAACTCCTGACCTCAAATAATCCGCCTGCCTCCGCCTCCCTCCGCCTCCCAAAGTGCTAGGATTACAGGACTGAGCCACTGTGCCCGGCCTCTTTGCAGGTCTTATGTCTATTTTAATATGAATGTGGGTCAGTTGCTGTGTCTAAACTCCAGAAGGGAGTATGGAGTGTCTGATCTCCCTTACTAATGTAACTGGGAACTTTCAGGTTTTTGGGGGGCCTCCCCTTGGTAAAGAGCCACTCAGTTGACTTGATTGGGGTGGGATGGGGAGCTTAGGTTTTTATTTTTAGTTTACAGGTTGAAGGATAGGCTTTTATATGGTGCATTAGAATAAAAATCAAAAAATACTTTATTGGTTACAGTGATGTAGTCGCCTTGTTTGGATTTTTCTACCTTAAATGATTGAAATGATCAGATTCCTATTATAAGGAGATTATTTAAGTGAAAATCTGAGAATTGCCATTCAAGAAAATACAGACTCTAGGGAAATGGGCTTAGAACTCCGGAGCTAAAAGTTAAACTCTTGACCTAGTGCAGTGTCCCACACCTGTAATCCCAGCTTTGTGAGGCTGAGGCAGGATGATTGCTTGAGACCAGGAGTTGGAGACCAGCCTTGGTAATACAAGACCCATGTCTAGAAAAGAAAAATAGAAAAATTAGACAGGTGTGGTTGCACCCACCTGTAGTTCCTGATACAAGGGACACTGAGGCAGGAGGATCACTGGACCCCAGGAGTTTGATGCTGCAGTGAGCCATTATCAAATTTGACATTCCAGCTTAAGACACTGTGATGGCCATGAAGTCTTTGTGTGAGAAAGGTAAGAGGAAAGTTAATCTATAATGAAGATCAAGAGAAAAGAGGCCCTTCCTGGCTCTGTTCAGGCATTTTCAATATTTTACAAAAGAATATAGGTAAGGGCTGGGCGGGGTGGCTCACGCCTATAATCCCAGCACTTTGGGAGGCTGAGGCGGGTGGATCACAAGGTCAGGAGATTGAGACCATCCTGGCTAACATGGTAAAACCCCGTCTCTACTAAAAATACAAAAAATTAGCCGGACATGGCGGCAGGTGCCTGTAGTCCCAGCTACTCGGGAGGCTGAGGCAGGAGAATGGCGTGAACCCGGGAGGGAGAGCTTGCAGTGAGCTGAGATCACCCCACTGCACTCCAGCCTGGGGGACAGAGCAAGACTCCGTCTCAAAAAAAAAAAAAAAAAAAAGAAATATAAAACTAACATAAGTCTTTTGCCTTTTTGTATTTCTGCCTCAGTTTGTACACCGGTATGGGCAGTGACAGTCTATATGCCTGCCAGAATCACTGCATGTATTTTTTTTTTTTTTTGACACAGAGACTCCCTCTGTCACCCAGGCTGGAGTGCACTGGCACAATCTCAGCTCACTGCGACCTCCCCCTCCCAGGTTCAAGCGATTCTCCTGCCTCAGCCTCCCAAGTAGCTGGAATTACAGACCTGCGCCACCATACCCGGCAATTTTTGTATTTTTAGTAGAGACAGGGTTTTGTTATGTTGGCCAGGCTAGTCTTGAACTCCTGACCTCAGGTGATCCACCCGCCTTGGCTTCCCAAAATGCCGGATTACAGGCATGAACTACTGCACCCAGCCGTGCATGTGTCTTTACTATAAATCTGGAGGGCTTTTCTTTTTTTTTTTTTTTTTGAGATGGAGTCTCACTCTGTCGCCCAGGCTAGAGTGCAGTGGCGCATTCTAGGCTCACTGCAACTTCTCCCCCGAAGTTCAAGTGATTTTTCTGCCTCAGCCTTCCAAGTAGCTGGGATTACAGGCTCCTGCCACCGCACCTGGCTAATTTTTGTATTTTTAGTAGAGACGGGTTTCATCATCTTGGCCAGGTTGGTCTTGAACTCCTGACCTCGTGATCCACCCACCTCGGCCTCCCAAAGTGCTAGGATTACAGGCGTGAGCCACCGCGTCCCGCCTAGGCTTTTGTTTTCTGACCTGGTTGGCCTAGTAGCATCTCCTTTCTCAAGCTGAGTAGAAGGCATGAGAGCAGACATCCTTGTCTGTGTCTCATCTTTGGGAGAAAGCAGTTAGTCCTTCACCATCACGAATGAGGGTAGTTTTGCATTTTTTATATATACCTTATAGTAAGTTAAGGAAGTTACTTTGTATTATTAGTTTATTGAGTTGTTGTTGTTTTTTTTTTTAAGATGGAGTCTCGCTCCGTCATCCAGGCTGGGATGTGCAATGGCATGATCTCGGCCCACTGCAACCTCTGCCTCCTGGGTTCAAGCGATTCTCCTACCTCAGCCTCCTGGGTAGCTGGGATTACAGGCGCATGCTACCACGCCCAGCTAATTTTTTGTATTTTTAGTAGAGACGAGGTTTTACCGTGCTGGCCAGGCTTGTCTCGAGCTCTTGACCTTGTGATCCTCCCGCCTTGGCATCCCAAAGTGGTGGGATTACAGGTGTGAGCCACTGCACCCGGCCGAGTGTTTTTATCATGAAGAAATGTTGAGGTTTGTCATATGCTTTTTCTGCATCTATTATGATGTTCTTGTGTTGTTTGCTGTTGATCCTATACTATTATGGTGTATTGCATGAATGGATTTTCAGAGGTGAGAGCAGCATTGCTTTCCTGAATTGAATGCCACTTCATCACGGGTATGATATTGTTATAGGATTCTCTTTTCCAATATATTGGTGAGGTGTTTTCTTTTGAAATTTAAAGGAGATATTCATGTACAGTATTTTAATAGAATCTAGCATTATCTAGTACAGGATATAGTGTGTGTGTATATATATACACATATACATGTACATATGTTGCATTTATATACAGTATATGGTTTAGTTATGGTAGGTAATTGGTAAATATTACATGTAACGTGTATATGATATATAAGTGCCACATATAAACGGTATTAGCCTATATGGCATTATACTGTTATAGTGTAAATTTATATACTTTTATCCTCCATAGTATAGTGAGTTTCATTTCCTTATTAGCCTGCAGAATACACCAGTCTCATTCTCCTCTGGGAACAAAGGAGAACCTCACCCTCTTGTTGCTACAGAATGTGCCACCCAAAAATATTCATGATCTTAGGTTTAGGAAGAAGAGGCTATAATATGACAAGAGAAACACTAGGAACAGAGAAAAAGTATGTAATTTTGACTACATTAAAATTTAAGCTTTTCTGTTTTGAAAGACACAATGAAGAAATACAGGAGTATGGTCAAGGTTAGTGGTTCACATCTGGAATCCCAGAACTTGGAAGGCTGAGGTAAGGGGATCTCTTGAGCCTAGGAGTTTAAGACCAACCTGGGAAGCATAGTGAGACCATGTCTCTACAAAAAATAAAAAAAACTGGCCAGGCGCGGTGGCTCACATCTATAATCCCAGCACTTTGGGCGGCCGAGGCGGGCGGATCACGAGGTCAGGAGACCGAGACCATCTTGGCTAACACGGTGAAACCCCGTCTCTACTAAAAATACAAAAAATTAGCCGGGCGTGGTGGCGGGGCCTGTAGTCCCAGCTACTCGGGAGGCTGAGGCAGGAGAAAGGCGTTAACCCAGGAGGCAGAGCTTGCAGTGAGCCGAGATCGTGCCACTGCACTCCAGCCTGGGCGACAGAGCGAGACTCCGTCTCAAAAAAAAAAAAAAAAAAAAATTACCCAGGTGTGGTGGCATGCTCCAGTGAGCCCAGGTACTCAGAAGGCTGTGGTGGGAGGATTGCTTGACCCCAGAGGTTGAGTCTGCAGTGAGCTGTGATTGCACTACTGCACTCCAGCCTGGATGACAGAGTGAGACTCTGTCTCAGACAAAAGAAAAAAAAAAAAAAAAGAAATACAAGAGTATAGCTGATCTTAGCAGCTGAGCAGATTCAAGCCTGGTTACTGCATGGTTTATAGAATGCATGAGAATACTGCTTGCTATAGGCTTAAAAAAAAAAAGAAGAAATAAATTGCAAAGAGTATTCACCAAATGGAAGAAAAACTTGAAAATTCTACACCTGGTCCTCACATATATCCATCTCAGTTGGAACCTCAGTCTCCTTTATGACACAAGGTAAGGGCTGAATTGGCAAACAGGACTCCCAGGCATTGTGTCCCATCACTGCAGGAGGCGAGCTCCACCGTAGAACACTGTCTGGGTAATGGTGTATCCACAGTCCCCCATCTCACCCAGTTTATGGAGTGACAACAAGGAGTGGTCATGAGGAGAGAAGTCTGACCCAGAGTTCTGGATATGTGAGTGGGAGATACTCTCAGGACACCCTCCTTCCTTCCCACAGGGAGAGAGCATATTATCCCCTATGCATTCCAGACTTGTGAAGCAGGGTTTCAAGTCTAAGTCCCTGTCCCTTGTAAAAAAAGATTGTACTGAAATCGTGTTAAAAATGTCAAAGAAGGCTTTATTCAGGACAGTTGTGATGTGGGTCATGAGAACTGTAATATGGGAGAGAGATTGACCTCAACCTTGCATGCAGCAACAACAGTATTGAACCTATAGTTCAAGGGTAAATTGAGGGAGAGGATGGAACTTGGTGAGGTATCAAGGGTTACAGAAGAGAAAGCTGATGAGTTATGAATAGGGGTAACAGAACTTCATTGGGTATCACGTTTGGAGGGGCCAGGGTGGGGTTTCTCTGAACTCCCTTAGAAGGATCTTTGCTATAACTGGGTTTTGTAGGACAAGGTCAAAGCCTTGTCAAAGAGGGAGTCCTTGAGACCCCCACAGCTACCTTTTCATGGGGACAACAACAAATCCTTACATTTCTGATTCCCTTCCCACATTCCAAAGCACCCATCTCCCCTCTCTAATCGACATCTTCATCAGTGTGTCCACCATGATGTATTTGAAAGAGCTGTAGTATTTTGTTTTTCATTTTTCCACAGAGCCATGAATGGCTGCATTGGAAACTTTTCTATTTTGTTTATGAATACTTTTCATGAGAGGAAAGCACTCAATAACCACCGGAAACTTTGTTGTGTAAAATACTTAGGTCGGGCCGGGCGTGGTGGCTCACACCTGTAATCCCAGCACTTTGGGAGGTCACAGTGAGCAAATCACCTGATGTCAGCAGTTCAAGACTAGCCTGACCAACATGGAGAAACCCTGTCTCTACTGAAAATACAAAATTAGCCCGCAGTGTTGGTGCATGCCTGTAATCCCATCTACTCGGGAGGCTGAGGCAGGAGAATTGCTTGAAGCTGGGAGGCAGAGGTTGCAGTGAGCCAAGAGCGCGCCATTGCACTCCAGCCTGGGCAACAAGAGCGAAACTCCGTCTGAAAAAAAAAAAAATACTTCTGCCGAATGATTCCTGATGTTGAACCCTTTTTCACGTGCTTACTTGTCACTTGTATGTATCTTTGAGAAACGTCACTGAAATACTTTGCCCACCTTTTAATCAATTAGGTTTTTACTTGGTATTTTATTAATTTTAATAATTATAAAGTAAAAAACTTAAATTTTACCAGCTTATGCAATTTTAACTGTACAGTTGATTTAGTTAGACAACTCTACATAACTTTAATCATACTGTATTTTTCTTTTGGTGACTACCTTGGCTGTTAGCATAGTATCCTAAATTTTCATGCTTGTTGTAACAACGGACAGGTTGTTATTTTAAAAGATTAAATAATATTCCATTGCATATATATATATATACCTATCACATTTTTGTTATTCATTCAGCAATCAATGAATGGACAGGTGGATTGATGCAGCTCTTGGCTACTGATTTTTTTTTTTTTTTTTTTTTGAGACTGAGTCTTGCTCTGTCGCCAGGCTGGAGTGCAGTGGTGAGATCTCAGCTCACTGCAACCTCCGACTCCCTTGTTCAAGTGATTCTCCTGCCTCAGCCTCCTGAGTAGCTGGGATTACAGGCATACGCCACCGCCACCACACCAGCTAATTTTTGTATTTTTAGAAGAGACGGGGTTTCACTATGTTGGCCAGAATGGTCTTGATCTCCTGACCTCGTGATCCACCTGCCTTGGCCTCCCAAAGTTGGCTATTGTTAACAGTGGTTTTCAAATGTGTCTTCAAGATCTGGATTTCAATTTTTTTTTAATTGAAAATAAGTAGACACAAAAGTAGATTGCTGAAAGATATGTTAATTTTGGCCAGGCGCAGTGGCTCATGCCTGTAATCCCAACACTTTGGGAGGCCGAGACAGGTGGATCACAAGGTCAGGAGTTCAAAACCAGCCTGGCCAAGACGGTGAAACCCTGTCTCTACTAAAAAAAATACAAAAATTAGCCAGGCATGGTGGCGGGCGCCTGTAATCCCAGCTACTTGGGAGGCTGAGGCAGAAAATTGCTTGAACCTGGGAGGCTGAGGTTGCAGTGAGCCAAGATTGTGCCACTGCACTCCAGCCTGTGTGACAGAGTGAGACTCTATCTCAAAAAAAAAAAAAAAATGGTAGTTATATTATTTTTTTCAGGCACCGTCATACTATTCCATAGGGGCTGAGCCATTTACCATCCTTTGGACAGAGCACATGGGGTTCATTTTCTCTCTTGATGGTGTTCTCTTACACCATTTCACACAAAAGTTTTTACATTTGATAAATATTTGCCTTTTTGTTGAGACTGGACACCCTGGAGTTTTTGCCTCTCCAATCTTGTTGCCATTCAACCTCCAGCAATTCATCAGTTATAATTCAGGCTTTTCTACCCAAGCACAGTTTCCAAGAAAGGTTTCTGCTCTTGATTTTTTGTTTTAGTTAGTTATGACTCTTATCAGTCAGATTGGTAGGGCCTCAGCCAGGCTTGGTGGCTCATGCCTGTAATCCCAGCACTTTGGGAGGCCAAGGCTGGTGGATCACTTGTGGTCAGGAGTTGGAGACCAGTCTGGCCAACATGGTAAAACCCCATCTCTACTAAAAATACAAAAATTAGTTGTGCGTGGTGGCAGGCGCCTATAATCTCAGCTACTTGGGAGGCTGAAGCATGAGAATCATTTGAACCTGGGAGGCGGAGGTTGCAGTGAGCCAAGATCATGCCACTGCACTCCCACTTGGGTGACAGAATGAGATTCTGTCTCAAAAAATAATAATAATTAAAAAAAAAGAATTTCTTTATGGAAGAGTGAGTGTTGACAGAGTAAAAAGTCTGATGACCAGATCATGGAATAAATGTTTGGAGTCCATAGCACCATGGAAACTTTGTAGGAATAGAGTATAGGAACCCAGTGCTGTCAGTCTCACCCATGTTTCTTTACACATGTGGGATGTTTCAGGATTCAGTGGTCTTTGAGGATGTAGATGTGAACTTCACCCAGGAGGAGTGGGCTTTGCTGGATCCTTCCCAGAAGAATCTCTACAGAGATGTGATGCAGGAAACCTTCAGGAACCTGGCTTCTGTAGGTAAGGGTAACAATATTACTTTCCTCAGTGAATTAGAGAACAAGTGTTTCTAGCTTGTCAGTAGTGTTGAGTGATTTGGAGTGTGGACAGGGAATAGTGAGGACAGGGAATAGGAATGTGAATAAATGCTGCAAGGCTGCAGTGTACCATGAACTTAGAATCTAGTACTTTTTTCATAATTTTGCTAATTCAGGACTATTTTTCTGGTTCTGTATTTTAGGAAAAAAATGGAAAGATCAGAAAATTGAAGATGAGTACAAAAATCCCAGGAGAAACCTAAGGTAATTCGCATTCACAAGAGAAAGTGATGTCTCTCTAGACAATCATAGAATGGAAGAAAATGTTAAAAAGAAGCAAACAAGAAATAAGCCAAGTTCCACTGTATTTATTCTTACAAAATTTTCTCTAGGGCCGGCTGTGGTGGCTCACGCCTGTAATCCCAGCACTTTGGGAGGCTGAGGCAGGCGGATCACGAGGTCAGGAGATCGAAACCATCCTGGCTAACATGGTGAAACCCTGTCTCTACTAAAAATCCAAAAAAATTAGCCGGGCGTGATGGCGGGCACCTGTAGTCCCAGCTACTTGGGAGGCTGAGGCAGGAGAATGGCATGAACCCGGGAGGCAGAGATTGCAGTGAGCCGAGATCATGCCACTGCACTCCATCCTGGGCGACTGAGCGAGACTCCGTCTCAAAAAAAAAAAAAATCTCTAAAAACATATATTTAAGTGTGACATAGGCTGAACATCCTGGCTTAAGCCTATAATCCAGCCCTTTGGGAGGTTCAGGTCAGAGATTGCTTGAGCTGAAGAGTTTGAGGCTACACTCGGCCATGATAGCACCATTACACTCTAGCCTGGGTTAAAGGGCAAGACCCTGACTCAGAAGCAATAAAATTGACAAAGACAGTTAGTACTTGTAAAATAGTTTACCTGAAAATAGTGTTGGCCGGGCGCCCAGGTGTATGCCTGTAATCCTAATGCTTTAAGAGGCTGAGGTGGGCAGATTGCTTGAGTCTAGGAGTTTGAGACCAGCCAGGGAAATGTGACAAAACCCCATCTCTAGCAAATATACAAAAATTAGCCAGGCACGATGGTATGCTTGTAGCCTCAGGTAATCAGGAGGCTGAAGTGGCAGGACGGCTTCAGATCGGGAGATGGAGGTTGCAGTGAGCTGAGATCTCACCACCGCACTCCAGCCTGGATGACAGAGTGAGACCCTATCTCAAAAAATGTTTAAAAAGTACTAAGAAGCCCTATATCAATATTATCTTTCTTGATAACAGGTATAGCTGGGCCATCTTGTAGAGCATGTGTGGTCTGTTCATGTTCAGACAGGGCAGAAAGCCTACACATTGCTGTACAGTGTTAGAAATACAAGTGCAATGACTTGTTAATGAATATCAAATCAGTGATAAAGGAACCCATTATGATATACTTCTCATTGTTCACAGAGGTCTTATGGGAGAGAGACTCTTAGAAAGTAAGAAAGATCATCAGCATGGAGAAATTTTGACCCAGGTTCCAGATGACATGCTGAAGAAGAAAACTCCCCGAGTAAAATCATGTGGAGAAGTCAGCGTGGGTCATGCATCCCTTAATAGGCACCACAGAGCTGACACTGGACACAAGCCATATGAGTATCAGGAATATGGACAGAAGCCATATAAATGTACATACTGTAAGAAAGCCTTCAGTGATCTCCCCTACTTTCGAACACATGAATGGGCTCACACTGGGGGGAAACCTTATGATTGTGAGGAATGTGGAAAAAGCTTTATTTCCCGTTCAAGCATTCGAAGACACAGGATAATGCACAGTGGAGATGGACCCTACAAATGTAACTTTTGTGGGAAAGCCTTGATGTGTCTCAGTTTGTATCTTATCCACAAACGAACTCACACTGGAGAGAAACCATATGAATGTAAACAGTGTGGTAAAGCCTTTAGTCATTCTGGTAGCCTTCGAATACATGAAAGAACTCACACTGGAGAGAAGCCTTATGAATGCAGTGAGTGTGGGAAAGCATTCCATAGTTCCACATGCCTCCATGCACATAAAATAACTCACACTGGGGAGAAGCCGTATGAATGTAAACAGTGTGGGAAAGCCTTTGTTTCTTTCAATTCCGTTCGATATCATGAAAGAACTCACACTGGAGAGAAGCCCTATGAATGTAAGCAATGTGGGAAAGCCTTCAGATCTGCCTCGCACCTTCGAACACATGGAAGGACTCACACTGGAGAGAAACCCTATGAATGTAAACAATGTGGTAAAGCCTTTGGATGTGCCTCGAGCGTTAAAATCCATGAAAGGACTCACACTGGAGAAAAACCCTGTAGCTCCAACACTTCGAAAGGCCAAGGCGAGAAGATTGCTTAATTCACATAAGATTCCTAGAAGCCACCGAATCCAATCATGGTAAAAATGTGTTTCCCTCAAATCATGGGAACCATCGCAAAATTATTCTGAAGCTTCTGCAGTCACTGTCATTTGACAGCATTCAGAAATAAATGCCAGTAGCCCAGGAGCAAAAATTTTTGGGAGTAGTTTAGCTGGGGCCTCACTCAGATACCTAGGACACAGAGTTGGAAATAACTCTTAAGAGAGACACACCTCCAGTAAGACCTTAAGACAGTTCTGTCATAAAAAAAATACGAGGTTTGGCCGGGTGCAGTGGCTCATGCCTATAATCCCAGCACTTTGGGAGGCCGAGGCAGGCGGACCACGAGGTCAGTAGTTCGAGACCAGCCTGGTCAATATGGTGAAACCCCATCTCTACTAAAAAATACAAAAATTAGCCAGGTGTGGTGGCGCCTGTAGTCCCAGCTACTCAGGAGGCTGAGGCAGGAGAATTGCTTGAATACAGGAGGTGGAGGTTGCAGTGAGCTAAGATTGCGCCACTGCACTCCAGCCTGGGTGACAGAGTGAGACTCCGTCTCAAAATAATAATAATAATAATAAGGTTAGCCCAGCAAAGTGGCAGGTATATATATACAGGAAGGTCAGAAAAATCTTTTCCCTCCTATTGAAAGCCCAATACCTAAGTGGCAAGCCCTCATTTTAAGAAACTCACTAAAGGGATAACGGAAGTGCCATTGTCAGACTCACTGCCTCAGAAAGCTTTATCAAAACAAAAGGCTAAAGTTCCTATTCAAAAATATCCTATAATAAATGGCTGGCTATCGGGTACACTACGTATTTTATGCCATTCGTTCTCACGAGTTTTCTTTTTTTTTTTTTTTGAGACAGAGTCGGGCTCTGTCTCCCAGGCTGGAGTGCAGTTGCACATTCTCAGCCCACTGCAACCTCTGCCTCCTGGGTTCAAGCGATTCTTCTGCCTCAGTCTCCCGAGTAGCTGGCTTTACAGGCATGAGCCACCATGCCCAGCCTCTAAACTCTTTTTTTTTTTTTTTTTTTTTTTTTTTTTTTTTTTTGAGACAGAGTCTCACTCTGTTGCCCAGGCTGGAGTGTGTTGGTGTGAGCTCGGCTCAGTGCAACTTCCACCTCCTGGCTTCCCGGGTAGCTGGGATTACGGGCACCCACCACCACGCTAGGCTAATTTTTTATATTTTTAGTAGAGACAGGATTTCACCATGTTGGTCAGACTGGTCTTAAACTCCTGACCTCAAGTGACCCACACCAGTGTCTCCCAAAGTGCTGGGATTACAGGTGTGAGCCACTGCACCCGGCCTTCTAATCTTTTTCCAGCCTTCAAATTTTTTTTTTTTTTTTTTTTGATACAGAGTCTTGCTCCAGGTTGGAGTGCAGTGGTGTGCTGTCGGCTCACTGCAGCCTCCAACTCCCAGGTTCAAGCGATTCTCCTTTCTCAGCCTCCTGAGTAGCTGGGACTATAGGCGTGTGCCCCCACACCCAGCTAATTTTTGTATTTTTAGTAGAGACAGGGTTTCACCATGTTGACCAGGCTGGTCTCGAACTTCTGACCTCAGGTGATCCACCTGCCTTGGCCTCCCAAAGTGCTGGGATTACAGGCGTTAGCCACTGCGCCCGGCCATTTTTGTATTTTTAGTAGAGACGGGTTTCTCCATGTTGGCCAAGCTGGTCTTGAACTCCTGACCTCAAGTGACCCACCTGCCTCAGCCTCCCAAAATGCTGGGCTTACAGGTGTGAGCTACTGCGCCAGGCCTAATATCTTTTTTTTTTTTTGAGACAGAGTCTTGTTCTGTGGCCAGGCTGGAGTGCAGTGGTGCAATCTTGGCTCACTGCAACCTCCGCCTCCCAGGTTCAAGAGATTCTCCTGCCTCAGCCTCCTGAGTAGCTGGGACTACAGGCATGCGCCACCACGCCCAGCTAATTTTTGTATTTTTAGTAGAGATGGGGTTTCACCATGTTGGCCAGGATGGTCTCAATCTCTTGACCTCATGATCTGCCACCTTGGGCTCCCAAAGTGCTGGGATTATAGGCACCACGCCTGGCCCTAATCTCTTCTCAAAGTACTTTTTTCTTTAATGAATGTCTTAAATAAAAACTTTTTTCTAACCACAAACTTTTTTTTAAATTATTTTATTATGTAATTTTTTTTTAGAGAGTTGGTCTTGCTGTTTGGACCCGGCTGGAGTGCAGTGATATTCACAAGTGTGATCTTAGTGCATGAGAGCTTCATATTCCTGGGCTCACAATCCTTCTACCTCAGCCTGCCAAGTAGCTGTCACTACAGGTACCAGCTGCTGTGCCTGGCTTCCACCTTTTTTTTTTTTTTTTCTTTAATCAGTTCCTTTTAAAGACCAAAGAAAACCTGTCCTCTTGTGTGGCCTGAGTTGATCTATGAACATTATTCACTATGACCCAGAAAATCCCACGAAGTCGTGCATGTTAGAAGGATGAAACCCTCATGTTCACTGTAAACTGTGAAGGTGCTCAGGCCATCACAGGTATGCCTATATGAAAAGCCACCAAGTATCTGAAATATTTTCTTTTACAGAAATTATGTGTACCATTTCAGTCTTAGAAAGTGGAGTTGGTCGCTGTACGCAAGACAGACATTGGGGCTGGACTCACCATCAGTGGCCCCGAAAAGGTACTGAAATTTGCTTACAAGTGCAGAGTTATGCTGAACTTAAGGGTATAGATGTAGATTCCCTGGTTATTGAGCACATCCAGGGAAAAGGCACCCATAATGTACCACCTGACTTACAGAACTCATGGGCAGATGAACCCATCCACAAACTCCCCTGCCACATCCAGATGATGCTTAGTGAAAAGAAACACCTTGTTCCAAAAGCAGAAAAGGAGGATGCACGGAAGAAAAAGATACCCCAGAAGAAACATAAACTTAAGAGACAAACAAATTCAGCCAAAAGAAAATGCAAATAAAAGTTCAAAACAAAACAAAACAAAAAAACCTCTAAAATTCATAAAACACAAAATGACAAACTCTATTAAATATGCCCCTATGATATCTCTTAGATAAAAGTTGGCCGTAATAGAGAAAATGAAGATAGGTGTTGGTGACTGGCAGATTCTGGGTCTACGATGAATCAGAGAAGGATGGTTTTCACTTTGTTTTACATTTTTTTAATGCTTGATGTTGACTTGGTAGAAAGATGATAATAAAGAGATTCTTCTGTCTATGTGTTTCTTTTAGATTACTCATGTGGACTGAAGAAAAAAAATTAAATTTGTTAAAGAAAGTGAGTTTGATTTAGGATTGTGACTGAGGACAATAGCCTGGAAGCAGTTCTGACAGATGGCTGCTATGTAATATTTTGGTTCACAGTTTATAAGAGACATGTGGGCCCTGTGCTCTATCTTGTTTTTTCTTCAAAGCATAATTCTGGAGAGCTGGAGAGTCCCAGAGTCAGGAATGTTATAAAGTCAGGCTGGAAACCAGAAATAAGTAACATGACTAAACATTTGTGTGTTTTTTTGTTTTGTTTTGAGACAGAGTCTCGCTCTATTGCCCAGGCTGTAGTGCAGTGGTGCAATCTCGGCTCTCTGCAACCTCAGCCTCTTTGATACAAACGATTCTTCTGCCTCAGTCTCCCGAGTAGCTGGGATTACAGGTGGGCTCTACCACACCCGGCTAATTTTTGTATTTTTAGTAGAGACGGGATTTCACCATGTTGGTCACGCTGGTCTCCAACTCCTGATCTCAGGTGATCCAGCCACCTCGCCCTCCCAAAGTGCTGGGATTACAGGCTTGAGCCACAGCGCCCAGCCACTACTGCCTCACTTTCATGCAGTTAAATAATCTTGGACACTTCCTCCTCGACTTTATACATACACACTGGAGGAGAGCTTTGCTCGTGTGTTATTCTCGCAGTGGGATTGAGGATGTTTGTCTCATGGAAACTGATGAATGATGTGAGAAGCAGGTGAATAACCTGCAGGGGGCAGCAGAGACCGACGCCAGGGACGGGACGCTGAGGCTAGTATGGATCCTGCCAAGGAGTGAAGTGGAGTTCTGGGTGCTTCCTGGGCAGCCGCCCTCCCCTGCAGGTGGCTTGCAGCTGCTCAGAGCAGATCCAGAAAGAGTGTGGGTTCTGACATGCTGCAGCGCCCTGGAAAGCAGGAGACCCACGTGCAGGTGCACTTCAGGAGTTCTGTCCTTTCTGCGGCTGTACATCTGGAATCTGGGGCGGTTTTCGGGAGCAGTGTTTTGGGTTTGACATGCATAGAGTCCCTGGGGTCAGACTGTAATTTGCATATCTGAAGAAAATCCGTAAAGATCAAGTTCAGGGAAATAACTGTTTGGGACCTCTCCTGGAGAAGGGGCTTATGCAGTTGACAGTTTATTTAGGTCAGAAGCTTAAAATCACCAAGTGAGAGTTTTCTGCCGATGAAGATGAAGGTCTGGAAGGAGGGAGAGTTTCCACACTGTGAGGTGGGGTGAGATGTGTGAAAGCCTTGGCCATGTCTCATCCCTAATTCCGGGCCCCTGAAGGACAACTGCCTCTCCTTCTTGGTGCAGTCGTGCCTGGCCTGATCTGGGCTCCCCTTCCTGCTCTGAGGTCAGCACATCGCTCCATTGGACACTCAGTCTGGAATTCCCTGCACACACTTACAACCCTGTGCAGGACGAAGAAGCACTGACAGCCCATTGAATGAGGAAGAAGATAGTGCCCTGTGTAAAAATCAGGAGCAAATTTGGCTGAAAAGAAAATATCCAATGACCAGGGCTCAGGGAAGGAGTTGTCCCTTAGAGAGAAGCTGTGGCTAGAACCGATCAGTCCGGCTTTGCAGGGCTCGTTACCCAGGGCTTCTGCCGTCACTCAGTTCTGAGGGGGCGGGGCCTTGTACCTTGTCCAATCAGAAGCGCCGGGGCGGAGCCCGGCCAACGGTCCGTCCGGAAGGAGGAGGCCCATTCCAGCTTCTACTTTTGTTGCTATGCAGGTTGTTGTCGGGATACCAGATTTCCTACTCCGAGAGGCCCCGGGTCCCTCTGCCACAACTTCTGTCGCTCTGCCGCCTGCACCGTGACCCGCACTATTCACGGGAGCCCTAGAGAGGACACCGGGACACCCAGAAGCCGGGAAATGGTGAGTGTATGGGGCCGGAGTCCCCAGACGGGGGAGGGGCTGGGTGGAACCGGCCGGAAGCGGCTGTGGTGGGATCTGGGCCTCCTCGCCGCGCCTCCTGGATCTGGGACCCGAATCCCTCTGTCTCAGCTCGTCCCTGCGTCCCCTCGGCCGCAGGGTGCGGCTGGGCCGGCAGCCGGGACCCCGGGCGTCCTCCTGTTCTGTTCCTGCGCGGGCGACTGTGGGCCCCGACCCTGGAGCCCTCTCTGGGCAGCTCCGCGCCTGCAGCCCCGCGTCTCTTCAGATTTTGCGGGGACCACGGGAGGGTCATGGGGGAATCCTGCGGATTTTTTTTTCTGTTAAAGAGTTTGGGCCGGGCGCGGTGGACCATGCTTGTAATCCCAGCACTTTGGGAGGCCGAGGCTTGCGGATCACGAAGTCAGGAGATCGAGACCATCCAGGCTAACACAGTGAAACCCCGTCTCTACTAAAAATACAAAAAATTAGCCGGGCATGGTGGCATGCGCCTGTAGTCCCCGCTACTCAGGAGGCTGAAGCAGGAGAATCGCATGACCCCAGGAGACGAAGGTTGCAGTGAGCCGAGATCACGCCACTGCACTCCAACCTAGGGGACAGAGCGAGATTCCATCTCAAAAAAAAAAAAAAATTTAAAGAGTTTGAGCAAACAGCGATTCATGAGTGAGAAACGCCCAGTCATGATTTGTGGTTTTGGTACCAGAAAGTTTTAAGAAGAATTGCATTTTGTTAACGGTGGAGGGGGTCCAGGTTCTTGGCGTCTTGAACAAAGAATTGGACAAAACGCACAAAGCAAGGAAGGAATGAAGGGATTTAACACTCCACAGTGTGCAAGCGGGGCTGAGCACAGGGGCTCAAAGGCCCCGTTACAGAATTTTTGGGAGTTTAAATACCCCCTGGAGGATTCCATTGGTTACTTGGGGTATACTCTATGTAAAAGGAGAGGATGAAGTAAGGTTATAAAATCATTTACTTGGCTTACGCCCTATGGAGTAGGTATTTCCTTTCATAGCTGAAGTTTGAATAGGCCTTATGTTCCCTGCGTCCAGACCCTATTTTCCTGCCTCAATTTGAGTTTGATTTTGGTGTCCTTAGGTAGTTTCTTATAGCACTAAACACACTTCAGTCTAATTGCTGCTGCTTTAAATTTTTTCACACTGTCTATAGGGACTGGCTTCCTCCTGCATTTTCCTAATGTATGGGTCTCAAATCCTCCACCCTGCTACCCCGCCCTAACTCTTCAGCAGTTTGCAGTAACATCTTAAATTTTCAATTACTTTTCCGCATCTCCAAACATTAACTCCCCTTCTCCAACTCACAGTATTATCAACTTTCTTTTTTTTTTGAGACGGAGTTTCGCTCTTGTTGCCCAGGCTGGAATGCAATGGCATGATCTTGGCTCATTGCAACCTCTGCCTCCCGGGTTCAAGTGATTCTCCTGCCTCAGCCTCCTGTATCAACTTTCTTTATTGTAGAGTATATTTCTTCATCCTTTCTTTCACATAGATGCAGTATTTTAGTGGTTTATCATCTTTTCACAAGGTCATGGATAACTTTTTTTAAAATATTTGTGTTCTGTTTCTGAACATTTCACATAGAATAGAGAATAACCACTTGATACTCCAGTGAAAAACCTCTGTTCCTCTCCTCTTATCTTCGTAAGGCACAGACACCATCTCAGAATGTCTTTGGGTTGTTTCCTTTTTTTTTTTTTTTTTTGAGAGAAAGTCTCTCTTTGTAACCCAGGCTGAATTGAAGTGGCGTGGTCTTGGCTCACTGCAACCTCCGCCTCCCAGGTTCAGGTGATTCTCCTGCCCTCAGTCTCCCGAGTAGCTGGGTTTACAGGTATGCGCCACCATACCCCATGTATTTTAAGTAGAGATGGGGTTTCACCATGTTGGTCAGGCTGGTCTCGAACTCCTGAGCTCAAATGATCTGCCTGCCTCAGCCTCCCAAAGTGCTGGAATTTTACAGGCGTGAGCCACCGTGCCTGGCCTGTTTCCTTTTTGAAAACTTTACAGGGTGATGTGTCTTCAGGAGTCCCAATCTATCTTTTCCTGGTCCTGGGTTTCAGAACCGCCTGGGGCTGAACCAAAATGCCCACAGCTCCCATCTCTCCTGGCCTACTGAATATCAGCCCCTGTGTCAGTCCTCCCAGAGGATAGCCTGAGGCAGGGTGTGGGATCTCCCAAAGGAGCAACTGAATTTCCCAAATGGGAGGAGACTCCTGGTACACTCTTCATCTAGATAGCCAACCCCTTGGGATGCTCAGTTTTTCTCCCCCAGTCCCAGCTTCCATTATTTGGAGACACATAGCTGGTCAGCCAGTTGGATGTTGCTATTAAGGGAAAGGTGTAGGTGAAGTGAGCCACAGCAGAGTCATCTCAACAAAGCCATAAAGCCATGACATAACAGTGCATTATCACATCCCAGACAGATGAGGGCAGCACACCTTGCAGGGCAACACAGAGTGGGGGGAACATCCAGGATGCACATTCAACCAGCAGGTGGGGAGAAAGACAGACAGGGACTTTTGGGCCAGAGTTTTTCTTGGGGTCCAGGGCAATGCCCAAGGAGGTTTCTCTTAGGGAGTTGTTTCTGATAGATTTGGAGCAAGCAGGTGCTAGTTCTGTGAAGTCAGGCTGTGATTAACAGGTGGTCTGTGCCATCCACGTGGGTATAAGGGTCAGTGGGGCAAGTCAAGTTGGTCTGTCTAGCTTTTCCACAGTGAGGTCGTCACCAGGAGGCAGCTGTGTAAGTCACATATGTGGGTTGAGCACATGCAGGAACTGGGAGGAGGTGGATAACTGGAAACTGTTGAGGTCAAGTGCAGCTTTCTTCTTCTTCTTTTTTTTTTTTTTTTCTGAGACAGTCTCTTTCTGTCGCCCAGGCTGGAGTGAAGTGGCGCTCTCTCAGCTCACTGCAACCGCCGCTTCCCGAGTTCAAGCGATTCTCCTGCCTCAGCCTCCCGAGTAGCTGGGATTACAGGCACGCACACACCCGGCTAATTTTTGTGTTTTTTAGTAGAGAGGGAGTTTCACCATGTTGGCCAGACTGGTCTTGAACTCCTCACCTGAAGTGATTGGCCTGCCTTGGCCTCCCAAAGTGCTGGGATTACAGGCATGAGCCACTACACACGGCTTGAGTACGGGTTTCTTCTGTTATAAGAAAGTGAAACCCATAATGAAAATGCATGGTAAGGTAACATAAGAAGTCACGGTAACAGGCAACTCTAGAATTAATTCATATGGAGATGATGGGCTTCAAAGATTGTTTGTTCTCCTGTAGGTAACCATCTGTCCCTGTTCCTTCTGGTAAGTGAGGACCACTTGCATAATTGGCTGGTGATACCTGCTTTGTCGTGGTTTCACTATTTTCAGAATCTGCTGTTTTCCATTAGTCTATCTTTCCATCTGTTAATACCATTTTCTCTTGATTAGTATAGATTTTATTTATTTTATTTTATTTTATTTTTTCGAGACGGAGTTTCACTCTTGTTGCCCAGGCTGGAGTGCAATGGTGCAATCTCAGCTCACCGCAATCTCTGCCTCCCGGGTTCAAGTGATTCTCCTGCCTCAGCCTCCCAAGTAGCTGGGATTACAGGCATGTGCCAACATGCCCAGCTAATTGTGTATTTTTTTTTTTAATAGAGACAGGGTTTCTCCATGTTGGTCAGGCTGGTTTCGAACTCCCGACCTCAGGTGATCCGCCCACCTTGGCCTCCCAAAGTGCTGGGATTATAGGCATGAGCCACTGCGCCTGGCCTATTTATTTTATTATTATTTTTTTGAGATGGAGTATTGCTTTGTCGCCCAGGCCGGAGTGCAGTGACGCGATCTCGGCCCACTGTAACCTCTACCTCCTGGGTTCAAGTAATTCTCCTACCTCAGCCTCCCGAGTAGCTGGGACTACAGGCACCCACCACCACGCCTGGCTGATTTTTATATTTTTAGTAGGGACGGGTTTCTCCATGTTGGCCAGGCTGGTCTCAAACTCCTGACCTCAAGTGATCTGCCTGCCTCAGCCTCCCAAAGTGCTGGGATTACAGGCGTGAGCCACCGCGACTGGCCAAAGACCCTCTCTCTTAACAAAAAAAGGGTTGGTTTGTGGGAGGACGTGAGTATAGACAGAAAGTAAGAGGTGTGATGACCAAGTCATGGGATAAATGTTTGGAGTCCACAGTATCATGAGAACTTCTTAGGAATAAAGTATAGGCCTCCAGGGCTGTTAGTCTTACCTGTCCTCTTTTATATATGTGAGATGTTTCAGGATTCAGTGGCCTTTGAGGATGTGGCTGTCAGCTTCACCCAGGAGGAGTGGGCTTTGCTGGATCCTTCCCAGAAGAATCTCTACAGGGATGTGATGCAGGAAACCTTCAAGAACCTGACCTCTGTAGGTAAGAATGACAATATTACTTCCCAGTGAATTAGAGAACAAATGCTTCTAGCTCATCAATGCTGTTCATTGATTTGGAACATGGACAAAAAATACTTTGATGAATAAATCAGGCATGGCTACCATGTACCATGAATACAGAATCTAATGATTTTTAAATAAATTCATACTAATTCTGGATCTGTGTTTTCTCCGGGTCTGTGTTTTAGGAAAAACATGGAAAGTTCAGAACATTGAAGATGAGTACAAAAATCCCAGGAGAAATCTAAGGTAATTTTCTCTCGCAAGACAAGGCAATGCCTCTAGAAAATCTTAAAATGTGAGAAAATAGGCCGGGTACAGTGGCTCACGCCTGTAATCCCAGCACTTTGGGAGGTCGAGGTGGGTGAATCCCAAGGTCAGGAGTTCGAGACCAGCCCGGCCAATATGGTGAAACCCTGTCTCTACTAAAAATACAAAAAAATTAGCTGGGCGTGGTGGCACATGCCTGTAGTCCCAGCTACTTGGGAGGCTGAGGCAGGAGAATTGCTTGAATCTGGGAGGCAGAGCTTGCAGTGAGCCGAGATCGCACCACTGCACTCCAGCCTGGGTGACAGAGCGAGACTCCGTCTCAAAAAAAAAAAAAAAGTGAGAAAATGTTAAAAAGAAGCAAAAGAAATAAGCCCAGTATCAAATTTATGTATTCATAGAAAGTTTTCCTAAAAACATATGTTTAAATGTAACATACGCTGGGCTGGGCACTGTTGCGCATACCCCCAAATGCCAGTCCTTTGGGGCTTTCAGACCAAAGGATTGCTGGAGGCCAGGAGTTTGAGGCTGCAGTGAGCCATGTTGGTACCACTACACTCCAATTTGGACAACAGGGTGAGTTGAGACCCCAACTCAAAAAAAAAGACGCACATGTTTAGTATTTGTAAAATAGTTTACTTGAAAATAGGATTACAAAGCCCCATAGAAATACTAATTTTAAAAAAATATATATACCCAGACCATCTTGTAGAGCATATAGTCCATTAATATTCAAATGATTCAGACAGAGCAGAAAGCTGACACTTTGCCGGGCAGTGTTAACAATGCAAGTGCAATAGTTGTTAATGATATAAATCATGTTTTTTTCTTCTTTTTTGAGACAAGAGTCTCGCTGTGTCACCCAGGCGGGAGTGGAGTGGTGTGGTTTTAGCTCACTGCAACTGCCACTGCTTGGGTTCGAGGTATTCTCGTGCCTTAGCATCCCAAGTAGTTGGGATTACAAGCGCACGCCGTCACACCTAGCCAATTTTTGTATTTTTAGTAGAGACAGGGTTTCGCCATGTTGGCCAGGCTGATCTCAAACTCCTGGCCTCAAGCCATCTGCCCGCCTCAACCTCCCATGGTGCTGGGATTACAGGCGTGACCCACCATACCCAGCCAATATAGATCACTTTTTTATTTTTTTATTTTTTTTTGAGACAGAGTTTCGCCCTTGTCACCCAGGCTAGAGCACAATGGCGCAATCTCAGCTCACTGCAACCTCTGCCTCTGGGGTTCAGGCGATTCTCCCAACTCAGGCTCCCGAGTAGCTGGGATTACAGGCACCTGCCACCACGCCCAGCTAATTTTTGCATTTTTAGTAGAGACGGGGTTTCACCATGTTGGCCAGGATGGTCTCAAACTCCTGACCTCAGGTGATCTGCCCACCTCAGCCTCCCAAAGTGCTGGGATTACAGGAGTGAGCCACTGTGCCCGGCCCTATAAGTCACTTTTAATCAAACCGTTAATAATGTGCTTCTCATTTTTCACTGAAGTCTTATGAGAGAGAAACTCTGTGAAAGTAAAGAAAGTCATCACTGTGGAGAAAGCTTCAACCAGATTGCAGATGACATGCTGAACAGGAAAACTCTTCCTGGAATAACACCATGTGAAAGCAGTGTGTGTGGAGAAGTTGGCACGGGTCATTCATCTCTTAATACGCATATCAGAGCTGACACTGGACACAAGTCATCTGAGTATCAGGAATATGGAGAGAATCCATATAGAAATAAGGAATGTAAGAAAGCCTTCAGTTATCTTGACTCCTTTCAATCACATGATAAAGCTTGCACTAAAGAGAAACCCTATGATGGTAAAGAATGTACAGAAACCTTCATTTCCCATTCATGCATTCAAAGACACAGGGTAATGCACAGTGGAGATGGACCTTATAAATGTAAGTTTTGTGGGAAAGCCTTCTATTTTCTCAATTTATGTCTTATCCATGAACGAATTCACACTGGTGTGAAACCATATAAGTGTAAACAATGTGGTAAGGCCTTTACTCGTTCCACTACCCTTCCAGTACATGAAAGAACTCACACAGGAGTGAATGCCGATGAATGTAAAGAATGTGGGAATGCATTCAGTTTTCCTAGTGAAATTCGTAGACATAAAAGGTCTCACACTGGAGAAAAACCCTATGAGTGTAAGCAATGTGGGAAAGTCTTCATTTCTTTCAGTTCCATTCAGTATCATAAGATGACTCACACTGGAGAGAAACCCTATGAATGTAAGCAGTGTGGGAAAGCCTTTAGATGTGGCTCACACCTTCAAAAGCATGGAAGGACTCACACTGGAGAGAAACCCTATGAATGTAGGCAATGTGGTAAAGCCTTCAGATGTACCTCGGACCTTCAAAGGCATGAAAAGACACACACTGAGGATAAACCCTATGGATGTAAGCAGTGTGGGAAAGGCTTTAGATGTGCTTCACAACTTCAAATTCATGAAAGGACGCACAGTGGAGAGAAACCCCATGAATGTAAGGAATGTGGAAAAGTATTCAAGTATTTTTCTTCCTTGCGTATACATGAAAGGACGCACACTGGAGAGAAGCCCCATGAATGTAAGCAATGTGGAAAAGCATTCAGGTATTTCTCTTCCTTGCATATACATGAAAGGACACACACTGGAGATAAGCCATATGAGTGTAAGGTATGTGGCAAAGCCTTCACTTGTTCCAGTTCCATTCGATATCATGAAAGGACTCACACTGGAGAGAAACCCTATGAATGTAAGCACTGTGGTAAGGCCTTTATTTCCAATTACATTCGATATCATGAAAGGACTCACACTGGAGAGAAACCCTATCAATGCAAGCAATGTGGCAAAGCCTTTATTCGTGCCAGTTCATGTCGAGAACATGAAAGAACTCATACCATTAATAGATGAGAAATCCTTTTAGTGGAAGCAACGGGAGAAGCTTTCTGTTGTCCCACTTCCTTTGAAACACAAGAAAAGAGAGTGGTGAAAGAACCTCTGGATAACTGCTTTTTGAATTGAGAAGAGAGACTTGCGATAGGACAATAAAATCTAGAAGAACTTGGATGGTTTCGTAATACAATTCACCTATAGCCAATCTTGCATGAGATTTCAAAGGCACAGAAAAGGAAGGCATCAGTCACATATTAGAGGCCCCACACAGGGAGAGAGGTGTGTGGCTACCCGCTTCCAGCCCATTTTCCTGATTCTTTGGCTTGTTAATCGAGAATATCCCCCAAATCACTTGTCTCTGTTCCTCAGAGTTGTAGGTCTCCAGATATGTCCCCAGTGCTCCACATTAAAGATACATGCCCACTTTGCTGTTTCTTCAGAAATGTTAAAATGTTTACCAGAGAACTAATAAATGTTGTTATGGCTGGAAATACTCACTGATGCCCAACTCTTCTATAGATTGAGTTGGTTTAAGAGGTCTACTTTGTATTGCAAGCATTGTTGTTTCTACGGATTAGCGAGCCTGTTCTTGATTAAACCAACTAGATGGGAGCTTGTTCCTCTGCTGCATTGTGCAGTGATTGGTCTCACCAAGGGCTTTTATGTGAGAAGAGCCACCTTGCTCTTATCAGGAAATTTCAAGCATTTGCTGTTATTCACAACTGAATGTAATGTCTCACTTCGTTTTTAACTTTGTATGAGTATACCTGACTAAAAACACTAATGCGGTTTCTTGGCAACAAATACTTCTGTTCATGTATTTTAGAAATAAGCTTATTAACTGTTTATAACAACTGCATACTAACAATTATTATTTTTTAATGAAGAAGCTACATTACAACCTCCCATTAACATCATGTATTAGATCAAGTTGATAATGTTACCATGTTATCCGGTGGTCACTGTGAGTCAGTGTTGCCATGTGGATGTCAGGCATATTTTTCCTCATGTAGATTTTACTTTTCATGCTTATATTCTTAGTTTTTATCTGGATCATGAATTTTCATCTATTCTAAATACCAAAGGTGATCTCATGTTCTTATGAGTGACTTCTGACCAAAGACCACCAGTGGCATAAGTGTCGTCAAAGAGGGTGTAATAATATACTGTGGTAATGAATATGACCAAAAGCCATAGATGACTGTGAGATGTGTGAGATATTAAAAGATAGTCACATTTCGTGAGAAGAGAAAAATTTGGGGTATGTTTGCAATTTAAAGTGTTTTCTTCTGTCACATTTCAAGACATGGTTAAAGAATGAGGTTTTTTTTTATTTTAATTTTTTTTTTTTTGAGACGGAGTCTTGCTCTGTCGCCCAGGCTGGAGTGCAGTGACTCGATCTCGGCTCATTGCAAGCTCCGCTTCCTGGTTCACGCCATTCTCCTGCCTCAACCTCCCAAGTAACTGGGACTACAGGTGCCCGCCACCGCGCCTGGCTAATTTTTTGTATTTTTAGTAGAGACAGGGTTTCACCATGGTCTCGATCTCCTGACTTCGTGATCCACCCGCCTCGGCCTCCCAAAGTGCTGGGATTACAGGCATGAGCCACTGTGCCCTGCCAAGAATTAGTTATTTTTGTATTGATCCATCATGGTCACTGAAGAGCATCATCTCACATTGCAGGTGTATGACATGTGCCTGTTCAGGGGCAAAAGACTCGGCCTTCTGGCGAGGGGAGGCCAGCCATCAGACTTCTGGACCAGTTTTTACCATACTATTCTCTAAACCCTGATATATTCCCTACAATTTATGGACATTGTTAACCATAACATACCTCAGTTAAAATCTATAAATTCACTTCTTATCAAGGTATATACTATGATTTTATTTATTTATTTTTTGTAGAGATGGAGTCTCCCTGTTTCCCAGGCTGGTCATTGACTGCTGGATCATGTGATTCTTCTGTCTCCATCTCCCCAAGTTCTGGGATTACAGACATGAGCCACCACAATTGGCTACTACTTTTTTAAAAAAATCACCTTGAGTCCTATGGGGCCAATATGTTTTTGAAAACTGAATTTCCTGCCCAGTAAAGAACAAAGTCAGCATCACTATTCCAATCAAGTCTTTCTTTCTCTGGTAACATGCTGTTGATGCAAACTTGTCAGGAACCCTCTTATGCTAATATTATGAAGCTAATGACATCGTGGAAAAGTCATGCATGGAACAATCCGATCATTTCCTTTAAGGTGTCATGGGTGCTTCTCTTCACAAAAGCTTATTTCAGTCTCCCTAGAGTAAAAATCCCAGTCCCAGCAGACATAGAAGCAATCACTGACTGACCAAACCTTAACTATGTGTGATGACATATGGAAAATACCTTGATTTGTGAGATATGAATTTTTTTTTTTTGGAGACAGAGTCTGGAGGACAGTGGTGCAATCTTGGCTCACCGCAACCTCTGCCTCCTGGGGTCAAGTGATTCTCCTGCCTCAGCCTCCCAAGTAGCTGGAATTACAGGCACCTGCCACCATGCCTGGCTATTTTTTTGTATTTTTAGTAGACAGGGTTTCACCATGTTGGCCAGGCTGGTCTCAAACTCCTGACCTCATGTGATCCACCTGCCTCGGCCTCCCAAAGTGCCAGGATTACAGGTGTGAGCCACCATGCCTGGCCAAAAATTCCTTTTTTTTTTTTTGAGATGGAGTCTTGCTCTGTTGCCCAGGCTGGAGGGCAGTGGCGCGATCTCGGCTCACTGCAAGCCTCCGCCTCCCTGGTTCACGCCATTCTCCTGCCTCAGCTTCCCGAGTAGCTGGGACTACAGGTGCCCGCCACCACGCCTGGCTATTTTTTTGTATTTTTTTTTTTAGTAGAGACAGGGTTTCACCATGTTAGCCAGGATGGTCTCGATCTCCTGGCCTCGTGATCCGCCCACCTCGGCCTCCCAAAGTGCTGGGATTATAAGTGTGAGCCACCACGCCTGGCCCAAAAATTCTTATTTTGACTATTCATGTCTTATTTTTGCACTTTTTCACAAAGCAAGGTCAAAAAGCAAAGGAAAAATCCTTTAAGATCAATGTACTTAGGTTGAAAATGTGTTTTTTCTCAGGAAAAACTTGTAATTTATATAATTACAATCCTCAGTTTATTTGCAGCATCACCAAATTTTCTTACATATTTCAAATGTGAACTTAAGATATATATTTTTCTCATTATTTACATTTTGCTTCCTACCTATGGCTTTTTTTTTTTTTTTTTTGAGACAGAGTGTCGCTCTGTTGCCTAGGCTGAATTGCAGTGGCACGATCTCAGCTCACTGCAACCTCTGCTTCCCAGGTTCAAGCAAGTCTCGTCACAACCTCCCAAGTAGCTGGCACTACAGGCGAACACCACCATGCCCAGTTAATTTTTGTGTTTTTTGTAGAATTGGAGTTTCACCATGTTGGCCAGACTGGTCTCTAAACTCCTGGCCTCAAGCGATCCATCTGCCTCGGCCTCCCAAAGTGCTGGGATTATAGGCATGAGCCAACATGCCTGGCTCCTCTAGACCTTTTAAATCTTTTACTCATGATATTGGTCAGCCCACGGTCAAAATAATTCATAAAAGGTATATACAAAAATTCAACACCACAATGAAAGTTAAATTCATTTGTTTAGAACCACTCAAGCAACTCAGGTGTACACAGATAGACCTGTGGCAACTGGTGAACAATTAAATGGCACAGAAGTGGCTGGGTGCAGTGGCTCATGCCTGTAATCCCGGCACTTTGGGAGGCCGAGGCGGGCGGATCATGAAGTCAGGAGATTGAGACCATTCTGGCCAACATGGTGAAACCTGTCTCTACTAAAATACAAAAAATTAGCCGGGCGTGGTGGCGGGCTCCTATAGTCCCAGCTACTCAGGAGGCTGAGGCAGAGGAATCCCTTGAACCCGGGAGGCAGAGACTGCAGTGAGCTGAGATCGTGCCACTGCACTTCAGCCTGGCAAAAGAGCAAGACTCTGTCTCAAAATAAATAAATGGCACGGAAGTTGCAATAATGACCTCTGCTGTGCAGTACTCTCTTGGCAGAGATACACAAGAACTCCAATAAGGCCCTCATATGATATGCAGAACTGCCTCAAACATCATGTGACCATAGAACTTTGCCAAGGACAGTCTTTTTGTACATCTCTGCACCTGGCTTACCCAAAGATTGGACTGGGCGCATTTCTCAAGCCATTGTCTACTGAACGTTCTTTGTAGCGTGTGGGGCAATGACGATTGCCTAGGTGTAATTTCCTAATCGCTGGGGTAGGTCTGGTTTCTGAGGGCCCAGCAGAGGAACTCAGTTCACAAAAATGGCTTCCTGTAGTTTCTGCTTGATACTTCCTATTCTGCCATCTTCCCAGAATCCTCTTTCCTGACTTCATATACTAACACGTCATTTCAGATCTCACTACAGATGTCACCACCTCAAGACACTGTCTTCTTTTCCGCCCCCCTTACCCCAACTTGAAACTCAAGGTCACACTCTCTCACCCATTACTCCTATTTCATTTAGTGTGTAGAATTTTTTCAACACACTTGTCAGAATCTGGAACATAACGTTCACAGGGTTGATTGCTCTCTGTTTAACAAGGTAAAAAGTTAAGTCATGTAGGCTGGGTGCGGTGGCTCACGCCTGTTATCCCAGCACTTTGGGAGGCCAAGGTAGACAGATCACGAGGTCAGGAGATCGAGACCATCCTGGCTAACATGGTGAAACCCTGTCTCTACTAAAAATACAAAAAATTAGCCGGGCGTGGTGGCGGGCGCCCGTAGTCCCAGCTACTCAGGAGGCTGAGGCAGGAGAATGGCATGAACCTGGGAGGCAGAGCTTGCATTGAGCCAAGATTGTGCCACTGCACTCCAGCCTGGGTGACAGAGCAAGACGCTGTCTCAAAAAAAAAAAAAAAAAAGTCATGTAAATTTAAGTGTCACCTTTCTTTTCTTTTCTTTTTTTTTTTGAACCTTTTCACCAACTGTTACACACTTTTTTTTTTTTTGAGACAGAGTCTCGCTCTGTCGCCAGGCTTGAGTGCAGTGGTGCGATCTCAGCTCACTGCAACCTTCACCTGCTGGGTTCAAGCAATTCTCCTGCCTCAGCCTCCCGAGTAGCTGGGATTACAGGCACGCACTACCACACCTGGTTAATTTTTGTATTTGTATTTGTATTACAGATGTGAGCCACCGCGCCTGGCTTACACCCTATATTAAAAAGTATTTCAGGGGCCAGGCACGGCGGCTTATGCCTATAATCCCAGCACTTTGGGAGGCCAAGGCGGGCGGATCACTTGAGGTCAGGAGTTCTAGACCAGCCTGGCCAACATAGTGAAACCCTGTCTCTACTAAAAGTACAAAAATTAGCCGGCTGGGGTGGTGGCCACCTGTAATCCCAGCTACTCGGGAGGCTGAAGCAGGAGAATCACTTGAACCTGGGAGGCAGAGGTTGCAGTGAGCTGAGACTGCAACACTGCACTCCAGCCTGGGCAACAGAGCAAGACCTTGTCTCTAAAATAACATAACATAACATAACATAACATAACATAACATAACATAACATAACATAACAACATAACATAACATAAATACAGTAGAGTAGAGTAGAGTAGAATTTCCAACAAAGTCCTTTGAACCATTTTCCAGAAAGGCAACGTCAATGAAGCTCCCTCTTGTGGTAAGGGCGGCATTAACATCCACACACTGTTGTGACTGGATTTCTCAAAATTGCACAGGGATCTAAGAGTGGAAAAACTCAAAATGTTTTTCCTGTGCATTCACACAATGCAATATCTCTATGACCAAATATGTGGAAGATTTTCTCACACAGCAAACAAGCCATCCATTCTCCACTGAACACCACCTGAGTGTCCTCTAATTCACGTGTCCCCAACTCTCGGGTACAGACGGGTACCTGTCCATGGCCTGTTAGGAACTAGGCCACACAGCGGGAGGTAAGCAGAAGCGAGTGAGCGTTACTGCCTAAGCTCTGCCTCCTGTCAGAGCAGCAGTGGTATTAGATTTTCTTGGGTTGATAACCCTATTGTGAACTGCACATGTGAGAGATCTAGGTTGCATGCTCCTTATGAGAAACTAATCCCTGATGAGCTGAGGTGAAACAGTTTCATCCAAAAACCATCTCCCCACCCTCCTCTGTGAAAAACTTTTCTCCCACGAAACTGGTCCCTGGTGCCAAAAAGGTTGGGGACTGCTGCTCTAATGCATTTCCCACATTACCTACCCTCATAAAAGTACAAAACTGTCTCAGAAGTTATCTGACCAGGCTGGGTGCAGTGGCTCACACCTGTAATCCCAGCACTTCGGGAGGCCGAGGTAGGCAATCACCAGAGGTCAGGAGTTTGAGAGCAGCCTGGCCAACATGGCAAAACACTGTCTCTACTAAAAATACAAAAATTAGCCAGGCACAAACCCGTAGTCTCAGCTACTGAGGAAGCTGAGGCAGGAGAATCGCTTGAACCTGGGAGGCGGAGGTAAGCAGTGAGCCAGGATCGCACCACTGCACTCCAGCCTGGGTGACAGAACGAGACTGTCTCAAAAAAAGAAAAAAAGAAAAAAATTATCTAACCATATATTCTGGTTTCCCAAGAACAGTCCTTGATCATGACTTTTGTCCCAGCATAAGTTTTTGTTTTTGTGGTTTTTTTTAGAGGGAGTTTTGCTCTTGTCGCCCAGGCTGGAGTGCAATGGCGTGATCTCGGCTCACTGCAACCTCCGCCTCCCAGATTCAATTGATTTTCCTGTCTCAGCTTCCCAAGTAGCTGGGATTACAGGTGAGTGCCACCATGCCTGACTAATTGTTTTGTATTTTTAGTAGAGACAGGGTTTCATTCACCATGTTAGCCAGGCTGGTCTCCAACTCCTGACCTCAGGTGATCCGCTTGACTGCGCCTCCCAAAGTGCTGGGACTTCTGGTGTTAGCCACCGTGCCCAGTCTGTTTTGTGTGTGTGTGTGTGTATTTTTTTTTTTTTTTTTGAGACAGAGTGTCACTCTGTCGCCCAGGCTGGAATGCAGTGGTACAATCTCGGCTTACTGCAACCTCTCCCACCCCGGGTTCAGGCGATTCTCATGTCTCAACCTCCTGAGTAGCTGGGACTACAGGCATGTGCCACCACGCCTGGCTAATTTTTGGTATTTTTAGGAGAGATGGGGTTTCTCCATATTGGCCAGGCTGGTATCAAACTCCTGACCTTAAGTGATCTGCTCACCTTGGCCTCCCAAAGTGCTAGGATTACAGGCATAAGCCACTGCCCCTGGCCCCTACATGCTAATATATAGCTATCTGTGACCTCTCTCCATTGAACATGCTCACCATCTGGCAATCTGTACAGTCAGATCTGCATGCATGGGTCCAAAGCCCCTTTTATGAACTTCTTTCTTGTACCCTTGCTGTGTATTGAATTTAGTCACCCACCAAATTCATACTTTGAATCTCTATACCCCAACATGATGTCATTTGAAGATGAGCACTTAAGGAAATAATTCGGGTTACATAAGGTCACAAGGTTGGACTCTAATGGTGGCATTAGTGACTTCCAACGAAGGCTGGGCACAGTGCCTCACACCTGTAATCCCAACACTTTGGAAAGCCAAGGCGGGCGGGAAGAGAGAGGGAGAAAACACTCACTCTTTCTTCCATATGAGGGTATAGCAAGAAGGTGTCTATATCCCAGCCAGGAACTTGGTCTTTACCAGGAATCATATTGCCTGGCAGCTAGATTTTAGATATCTCATGCTGGAGAAATGTTTAAAAAATAAAAAATAATGTCGCTGTTTGAGAAGCTCAGCCCATGGCATTTCATTAGCACAACCTGAGCTAAGTCACCCCAATGGCCTCATTTTCCTATGTTAACCATACACCATTGTAGGACTGCAGCATATGAATCTACCTGAAATGGTCTCGTTATCTTCCACTTTTGCTTAACACACTGCATCTTTGCATGTTATTGAGACTTCTGTTTTGGACATAGATCAGGAAGGAAGAGTGTAACACTCAAAAGTGTAGTTAAGTGAGAGAAATTATTATTTAAAATACAGAACCAATAGCATTACAGGGAGCCTGTGATATACCCACAAGAGGAGCAGTCCACCAACAGCAGGGAGCAAAGCACATCACTAGGCCTGAGGCAGAGACAAGACAGAGCTGTTATGAGACCCCAGGAACACCCTGAGCTTTAGTAGAGGGCCATTCAGCAGGAGCAGAGGAAAGGATGACTGCCAACCTCTCAGGACAGCAGGGTGGCAGCCAATGGACTAGAGATCCTGATTTTCTCTCCTATTACCTGCTTTCCTGGCAGCACCTCCCATGAACTGGGCCAACCGAAAGCCAGAGGCTATGGGAACCTGACTGCTGTGGTACTTGGAAGTCAGCTTCCGGGGCCACACGGCAGGGTAGGTAAAGAATGTGGACCTCCACCAGGCGCGGTGGCCCACGCCTGTAATCCCAGCGCTTTGGGAGGCCGAGGTGGGCGGATCACGAGGTCAGGAGATCGAGACCCTCCTGGCTGACACGGTGAAACCTCGTCTCTACTAAAAATAAAAAAATTAGCTGGGCGTGGTGGCGGGCGCCTGTAGTCCCAGCTACTTGGGAGGCTGAGGCAGGAGAATGGCGTGAACCTTGGAGGCGGAGCTTGCAGTGAGCTGAGATCGTGCCACTGCACTCCAGCCTGGGCAACAGAGCGAGACTCCGTCTCAAAAAAAAAAAAAAAAAAAAAAACAAAAGAATGTGGACCTCCAGGACCCAAATGAGTAATGAGGGCAATCATTCAAAGTGGGGTTTGGTCTGAGAAATTAGCTAATTTTGTAACACATAAGATAATATCTGATGGGGTTAGTGATTATGCCTCTCTGAACTATGGCCAGATGTACTCTTGCACCCAAACTTAGATGTGATTTTTCACATAATGAATCCTCACCATCTATACATGAGCTGAACCAAAATACTGCATAGGAGCAGTGAGACGGAACTGCTCCCAGGTTATGGATATTTGCCTATAGTCCTCAGTCAGAATTCTAAATCAAATTCACTTTTATTGTTTAACAAACTTTAAACTTTTTTTTCATTAGTTCAAATCAGTAATGTAAAAGAAACAATTAGAATCTTTTTTTTTTTTTTGAGAAGGAGTCTCGCTCTTGTGGCTTAGGCTGGGGTGCAATGGCGCGATCTTGGCTCACCACAACCCCTGCCTCTCAAGTTCAAGTGATTCTCCTGCCTCAGCCTTCCGAGTAGCTGGGATTACAGGCACCTGCCACCACACCCACCTAATTTTTTGTACTTTTAGTAGAGATGGGGTTTCACAATGTTGGCCAGGCTGGTCTCAAACTCCTGACCTCAGGTGATCCACCTGCCTTGGCCTCCCAAAGTGCTGGGATTGCAGGCATGAGCCACTGCGCCTGGCTTTTTTTTTCCTTTTTTTAGAGACAGAGTCTTGCTATGTAACCCAGGTTGGAGTGCAGTAGCTATTCACAGGTGAGATCATGGTGCACTAAATCCTCCAATCCCTGGGCTACGGCGATTTTTCCACTTCAGCCTTTCAAGAAGCTAACACTATAGCCAGCTGCTGTGCCCAACGTCTACTTGAATTTTAAAAACCAAAGAACAGGGCTGGGCATGGTGGCTCATGCCTGTAATTCCAGCACTTTCAGATTTCGAGCTCTGCAGTACAAATGATCCTGTTACCCAGGTACACAGCATAGTACCCAGTAGTATTTCAACACTTGCCCTTCTCCCTTTCTCCTATCTCAAGTAATCCCCAGAGTCTGCTGTTGCCATGTAAAGCCTGATCTTGAAGACATATTTGAAAAGCATTTTTCACAATAGCTAAGAGGTGGACCAATGCACATACCCACTGAGAGGCTAAATGGATAACCTAAATATGGTAAGCATATAAATACAACAGGATATTGTTCAGTCTTGGAAAATAACATCCTGGCCCCTGCTGCAACATGCATGAAACCTCAGACAGGATGCTATAATTGTAAAAAGCCAGTAGCCAAAAAAAAAATAAGTATAATTCATATTAGATGTTATGTAGAGTTCTCAAGCTAATTCAACTGTATACATCAAACTGTTTAAGCTGGTAAATTTTATGTTTTTTATAATAATGATTGATTATTGTATGAAATAAACTAGTTGATTAAAGATAGGCAGGCTGGGTACAGTGACTCACGCCTGTAATCCCAGCACTTTAGGAGGCTGAGGCAGGTGGATCACCTGAGGTCAGGAGTTTGAGACCAGCCTGCCTAACATGGTGAAACTCATCTCTACTAAAAATACAAAAATTAGCTGGGCGAGTGCCTGTAATTCCAGCTACTTGGGAGGTTGAGCAGGAGAATGCTTGAACCCAGAAGGTGGAGGTTGCAGTGAGCCAAGATCGCACCACTGCACTCTAGCCTGGGCAACAGAGCGAGACCCCATCTCAAAAAAAAAAAAAAAAAAGGGAAGCCACAGGAACTCCCATTCACTGTTGATGTGAATGGAATATTCTACAGTCACTCTGTAAGACAGTCTGGTGAGCTCTGAAGATAAGCATGGTCTTACCACATGATTCATCAGTAACCCTACTACATATTGACCCCAATGAATTGAAAGCTCATGTCCCCAGAAAAGTCCTCACAAAGACGTTTTCAGCAGCCTTATCCATATTTCCCAAAAACTAAAGTCAGACAAGATGAGCAAATTTTTTTTTCCCCAAGACATGGGGGATCTCACTGTATCTACCAGGCTGATCTCCAACTTCTGGCCTCAAGCAATCCTCCTACCTCAGCTTCCCATATAGCTGGCAATTCAGGCATAAGGCACCAAGCCCAGCTCAAGATGAACTTTTCAATAAATTATTCAGTGATAAAAAGAAATTAGTGGCCAGATACAGTGGCTCACACCTGAAATCCTCGCATTTTGGGAGGCCAAGGCGGGTGGATCATTTGAGGTCAGGAGTTCGGAACCAGCCTGGCCACAATCCTCATCTTTACTAAAAATACAAAAAATTAGCCGAGCGTGGTGGTGGACGCCTTTAATCCCAGCTACTTGAGAGGCTGAGACAGGAGAATCGCTTGAACCCAGGAGGCGGAAGTTGCAGTGAGCTGAGATTGCACCATTGCACTCCAGCCTGGGCAAAAAGAGTGAGACTCCGTCTCAAAGAAAAAAAAAAAAAAAAAAAAGAAATTAGTGGCCGGGTGCGGTGGCTCACACCTGTAATCCCAGCATTTTGGGAAGCTGAGGTAGGTGGATCACCTGAGGTCAGGAGTTCAAGACCAGCCTGACCAACATGGCAAAACCCCGTCTCTACTAAAAATACAAAATTAGCCAGGTGTGGTGGTGTGCGCCTGTAATCCCAGACACTCAGGCTGAGGCAGGAGAATCGCCTGAACCTGGGAGGCAGAGGTTGCAGGGAGCCGAGATCGTGCCATTGCACTCCAGCCTGGGCAACAAGAGTGAAACTCCGTCTCAAAAAAAAAAACAAAAAAAAGAAGGCCGGGCGCGGTGGCTCACGCCTGTAATCCCAGCACTTTGGGTGGCCGAGGCAGGCGGATCATGAGGTCAGGATATCGAGACCACGGTGAAACCCCGTCTCTACTAAAAATACAAAAAACTAGCTGGGCGCAGTGGCGGGCGCCTGTAGTCCCAGCTACTCGGGAGGCTGAGGCAGGAGAATGGCGTGAACCCAGAAGGCGGAGCTTGCAGTGAGCCGAGATCCCGCCACTGCACTCCAGCCTGGGTGACAGAGGAGACTCCGTATCAAAAAAAAAAAAAAAAAAAAAGAAAAAAAAAAAGAAATTAGTGGCCAGGTGGCCAGGTGCGGTACCTCACCCATGTAATCCCAACACTTTGGGAGGCCAAGGCGGGCGGATCAAGACCATCCTGGCTAACACGATGAAACCCCCGTCTCTACTAAAAATACAAAAAAAAAAATTAGCCAGGAGTGGTGGTGGGTGCCAGTAGTCCCAGCTACTCGGGAGGCTGAGGCAGGAGAATGGCGTGAATCCAGGAGGTGGAGCTTGCAGTGAGCCGAGATCGTGCCACTGCACTCCAGCCTGGGTGACAGAGCGAGACTCCGTCTCAAAAAAAAAAAAAAAAAAAAAAAAAAAGAAATTAGTGGCCAGGCATGGTGTATCATGCCTGTAATCTAACTATTTTGGAAAGACAAGGCAAGAGGATTGCTTCAGACTAGGAATTCCAGAAAACCCTGAGCAAAATAGTGATAACCCCCATCCATAAAGTACTTTTTAAAAAATAAAAAAATAAGGCCGGGTGCAGTGGCTCACGCCTGTAATCCCAGCACTTTGGGAGGCTGAGGCGGGCGGATCATGAGGTCAAGAGATCGAGACCATCCTGGCTAACACGGTGAAACCCTGTCTCTACTAAAAATACAAAAAATTAAAAAATATATATATATATATACACACACACACACACAGAGACACATACACATATATACACACATACAGGTTGTGAAACTATGAAGAAACATAAGGAAATTATAATTTACAATACTGGCTCCATCAGTATTTTGGTTCATTGTGAACTGTTTTATGTATTTGGTGCATATGCAATATTTTCAGTTTCTACAATGCAAACTCTATAAAGAAATAAATCTCAGTGCATGTTGAATTGCCAGCAACAACTCGTTGAATGTAATTTTTTTTTTTTTTTTTTGAGACGGAGTCTTCCTCTGTCTCCCAGGCTGGAGTGCAGTGGCGTGATCTCGGCTCACTGTAACTTCTGCCTCCCGGGCTCAAGTGATTCTCCTGCCTCAGCCTCCCAAGTAGCTGAGATTATAGGCGCACACAGCCACGCCTGGCTAAGTTTTTGTATCTTAGTAGAGATGAGGTTTCACTGTGTTGCCCAGGCTGGTCCTGAACTCCTAAGCTCAGGCAATCCTCCTGCCTTGGCCTCCCAAAGTGCTAGGATTACAGGAGTGAGCCACCGCACCCGGCTGCTAATTTTTATGTTAATATTTTTAGTAAAGACAAGGTTTTGCCATGTTGCCCAGAGTGGTCTTGAACTCCTGGCCTCAAGTGAATTGCCTGCCTTGGCCTCCCAAAGTGCTGGAATTATAGGCATGAGCCACTGCAACCACAATTAACTTTCTTGAAATCCCTAAAATTCTCAGGAAGGATATAAAATAATTATTATGCAAAAAGTATATACTGAAAGACATCAAAGTAAAGGGTAATAAATGGAAAGATGTCATATATCCTTAAATAAAGACTGAATATCACCATAAGGTAACCTGTTTGAAATACATCAGTGGGCCGGGTGCAGTTGCTCACCCCTGTAATCCCAGCACTTTGAGAGGCCGAGGTGGGCAGATCACCTGAGATCAGGAGTTAAAAGACCAGCCTGGCTAACATGGAGAAATCCTGTCTCTACTAAAAAATACCAAAATTAGCTGGGCGTGGTGGTGGATGCCAGCTACGCGGGAGGCTGAGGCAAGAGAATCGCCTGAACCCAGGAGGCAGAGGTTGCAATGAGCTGAGACTGCACCACTGCACTTCAGCCTGAGCAACAGAGCAAGACTCCGTCTCACAAAAAAAAATAAAATAAATAAATAAAATAAGGGTTTTTTCACTGGTGTGTAACATGATTATTCTCTACTTTCCTCTTATGTGAAATGTTCAGAAACAACACAAATATTTTTAAATTGTCATCCATGGACCCTGTGAAAAAATGATAACCATTAAAAACTGCATCGATGTGAGAGAAAGGATGAAGAAATATACTCTACAATAAAGAACAAATCGTTGATAATACTGTGAATTGGAGAAAAAGGGTTAACGTTTGGAGATTTGGGGAAGAAATTGAAAATTTCCTAACATTACTACAAGAGTTAGGCTGGGGTCACAGGGTTGAGGATTTGAGACCCTGTATCCCATAGATGAGGAAAATGCAGGGATAAACCAGTCCCCATAGGCAGTGTGAAGAAATTAAGAGCAGCAATTGGACCAAAGTGTTTGTAGTGCACTAAGGTTCTACCTAAGGAATCGAAACACAACTAAAATGCAATTCTTCTAAATTTTTCGATAACAAACCACAAACCACGACTGGGTGATTCTCATTCATAAATCACCATATGTTCAAACTGTTTAATTTTTAACAGTGCCTCAGTTTAATTTTTTGTTTACCTATATATTGTAAAGGACATTACAAAGGATATAGCTGAACAGCCAGATGAGGATGATAGAGCAAGATGTGGAGTAGGGGGATACAGAGCCTCCCTGCTCTCTCTGGGTGTCCCACCATCCCAGCCTCGCCATGTGTTCAGCAACCCAGAAGCTCCCTTTTTTTTTTTTTTTTTTTTTTTTTGAGACGGAGTCTGGCTGTGTCGCCCAGGCCGGAGTGCAGTGGCGTGATCTCGGTTCACTGCAAGCTCCGCCTCCCGGGTTCACGCCATTCTCCTGCTGCAGCCTCCCGAGTAGCTGGGAGTATAGGCGCACGCCACCACACCCGGCTAGTTTTTTGTATTTTTAGTAGAGACGGGGTTTCACCATGTTAGCCAGGATGGTCTCGATCTTCCGACCTCGTGATCCGCCTGCCTCGGCCTCCCAAAGTGCTGGGATTACAGGCGTGAGCCACCACCCCCGGCCCAGTTTAACAGGAAAAAAACGTACTGGGGGCCCCAGGGACCGCAGCTCCTCCCACACGAACCCTACACCCAAGGCAGGACTCTCCTTATGTCATGTGTGGCCCCCGCACAGACGCGAGGTTGCGGGGGCGGAGCTGCCCACAGAGGGCTCCGGGACCGCAGTCACCAGGCAGGGACGGGACAGGACGCCCAAGGTCCCGGCTGCTGGCACAACCCCACCTTGCGGCCGAGGAGACTGAGGGCCGAGATGTGCCAGAACTCGGGTCCCAAACCCTGAAGTCGCCTGCAGGGGGCCTGGGGTCCCGTCACAGCCGGTTCTGGCCGTTTCCACCCAGCCCCTGCCGGGTTTCGGGTAGCTGGCCCCAAACACTCACCATTTCCAGGCGTCCTGGCTTATCTCTCTAGGGCTCCCGTGACTAGTGCAGGTCACAGTGCAGGCGACAGAGCGACGGCAGTTGTGGTGTAGGGACCTGGTCCCTTTCACAGCGGGAAAGACTGGATCCCAATCTCAGTAGGCAAGGTCACCAAGGTGAGAGCGGGAATGCGTCCCCACCTTCCCAGGACAGACAGTTGGCAGGGCCCCGCCCCAGCACTCCTGATTGGACAGAGGTCCAGGCCCCCATCCCCTCATCCCAGAGTGACAGTAGAAGCCCTGGGTAACTGGACCTGGGGAGCAGAAGTGAGGGGTTCTAGCCACCATCTAAGGGCCAGCTCCCTCCCTACAACTTGGTCATTGGATATTTTCATTTTAGTGAAATTTGCTCCCGAATTTTAGACAGGGCACTATCTTTTTCCTCACTCAAAGAGCTGTTCCTGCTCCTTTCTTCTCCATTGGGGTTACAAGTGTGTACTGGGAATTCCAGACTCAGTGTCCAGCAGGGCAATCTCGTCACCTCAGAGTCAGAGAGGAACCAAGACCAGGTCAGGCATGATTGGACCAGGAGGGAGAGGCAGGTGTCCTTCAGGGGGTGGCAACTGAGGATGAGACATAGCCAAGGCTTTCTCTCATACTCCCCCATCCCCTCCTCACAGTGTGGAAATGCTCCCTCCTTCCAGACCTTCACATTTACCAGCAGGAAACTCTTACCAGGTGACAGTCTAAGCTTCTGAGCTAAATAGTCAACTTCATAAACTGTTTCTGCAGGTGAGGTCCCAAACAATTCTGTCTCCAAACCTGACCTTCACAGATTTTCTTCATATATACAGATTACCGTCTGACCCCAGGGACCCTATGCATGTCAGAACCAAAACACTGTTCCCGAATATGGCCCCAGGCTCCAGAGGTCCAACCACAGAAGGGACAGCGCCCTGCCAAGGACATCTGCACATAGTCTCTTGCTTTCCAGGGCTCTGCGGCTTATCAGAATCCACACTCCTGGAGCTGCTCTGAACAGCTGGAGGCCACATGCAGAATAGGTTGGGCCGCCCAGGAAGCACCCATGGGAGCTCCATTTCCCTCCCTCTGCAGCCTCCATACTGGCCTCAGCCTCTGTTACCCTCTGCAAATTTGCAGTGGTACCTGAAGGGAGGGACCGTGGATGGGTGGGGGGAGAGGCCACTCGAACCATTGGCAGGCCAGGCCTTTCATTTTTTTTCTTTTTTTGAGACGGAGTTTTGCTGTTGTTGCCCAGGCTGGAGTGCAATGGCGCAATCTCGGCTCACTGCAACCTCCGCCTCCCAGGTTCAAACAATTCTCCTGCCTCAGCCTCCCAAGTAGCTGGGATTGCAGGCATGCACCACCACTCCCGGTTATTTTGTATTTTTAGTAGAGATGGGGTTTCTCCATGTTGAGGCTGGTCTCGAACTCCTGACCTCAGGTGATCCGCCTGCCTCGGCCTCCCAAAGTGCTGGGATTACAGGCGTGAGCCACCGCGCCTGGCCTCAGGCCAGGCCTTTCAACAACTACCTGGGAGGCCGAGTGCCATAGCTCAAGCCTGTAACCCCAGCACTACAGGATGCCAAGGTGGGAGGATTGTTAGCAACCCAGAGTTTGAGACCAGAATGAACAACAAGGCAAAACCCTGTAACTACAAAAAATACGAACATTACCTGGGTGTTGTGTCACATGCCTGTAGTCCCAGCCACTTGAGAGACTGAGATAGGAAGATCACCGGAGCCCAGGGAGGTCGAGGCTGCAGTGAGCCATGATCCTGCCACTGCACACCAGCCTGCGTGACAGAGTAAGACTGTCTACAAAAGCTATTAAAAGACAAATTATTAAATAATTTTAAAAGTTAGCTAGCCGAGGTGGCCTGTGCCTGTACTTCCAACTACTGAAGAGGCTGAGGCAGAGCCAGGCACAATGCCTCACAGCTATAATCCCAGCACTTTGGGAAGCCGTGACAGAAAGACTGCTTGAGCACAGGAGTTCAAGACCAGCCTGGGCCACATGGCAAAACCTCATCTCTACCAGTAATACAAAAATTAGCCAAGTGTGGTGGCAAGCACCTGTGGTCCCAGCTACTTCAGAAGGCTGAGGCTGGAGAAGCCCAAGAGTTCAAGGCTACAGTGAGCTATGATTGCACCACTGCTCTCCAACCTGGGTGACAGAGGGAGACTTTCTTTAAAAATGAATACCCATGAGGAGAGTGAAAGCTACGAACAATTCACCAGTGGCAACAGTTCTCCTTCCTATATGTGTATAATACCTGAGTTTACTTATTGGAGTAGTTCTCAAAGAGTTACATTCCACCTTTTGGAGTTAACACAATTTTTGTATATACCTTTTTTGTATTACTTTGACCAGGGTCTGACATATGCCTTGAGTAAATGGTTTAAGAAGCCTATAGAGGCAGGGCACAGTGGCTCACACCTGTAATCCCAGCACTTTGGGAGGCCAAAGTGAGCAGATCACGAGGTCAGGAGATCAAGACCTTCCTGGCCAACATGGTGAAACCTTGTCTCTACTAAAAATATAAAAATTAGCTGGGCGTGGTGGTGCATGCCTGTAATCCCAGCTACTCAGGAGGCTGAGGCAGGAGAATTGCTTGAACCAGGGAGTCGGAGGTTGCAGTGAGCTGAGATTGCGCCACTGCACTCCAGCCTGGCGACAGAGACTCCGTCTCAAAAAGGGGGGGAAAAAGAGGCCTATAGAAAGGGAGACATGTAAATAAAGAGAAAGAATGTAACTTAGCTTCACATTCCCAATTACTACACCTCTTACACGAAATTTGGTGCTTTGCAAATAAAGTGAGTGCTGATTTGTGGGATCAGACATAAATAGCAAGTGTTCTAAATCACATATAATCAACCATAAATAAGAATAAACTGAGGCATTACAAAAAACACTCAAAATTCCCAGATTAAAAGCAAGGTGCTTTTTCTCACATGAAAGTCCTGGGTGACACCACTCACTACACAATGCAGAGAGAAACAAGCTCCCATCTAGTTGGTTTTCAGGGCAGCATAGTAAATGTCAGGCTGAATCATGAACAGGGTCACTGCCACTAGAACAATGCTTGCAAAAGAGTATAGACCTTAACTCACTCTATAGATTAGGGAGTTGAGCATCAGAGTATTTCCAACCATGACAGTTTGAATTAGTTCTCTGGTAATCATTTACTAATATCTGAAATAAAAAAGTCAACTGGAAATGTACCTTTAATGTGAATCATCTGGTGACATCTCTGGAGAACTATAACTCTGAGAAAAGGAAAGTCAAGTGATTTGGAGAATACTCTTAATTTGCAAGCAAGAGAATCAGAAAAAATGGGCTGAAGCATGTGGCCACACACTGCTCTCCCTGTGTGGTGCCTCTAATATGTGACTGATAACCTTCCTTGTCTGTGCCTATGAAATCTCATTAAGATTGGCTATAGGTGGCAGGGCGCAGTGGCTCACGCCTGTAATCCCAGCACTTTGGGAGGCCGAGGTGGGTGGATCACTTGAGGTCAGGAGTTTGAGACCAGCCTGGCCAACATGGTGAAACTCCATCTCTAAAATTAGCCAGGCGTGATGGCGGTTACCTGTAATCCCAGCTACTTGGGAGGCTGAGGCAGGAGAATTGCTTAAACCCAGGAGGCGGAGGTTGCAGTGAGCCAAGATCGTGCCACTGCACTCCAGTCTGGGCGACAGAGCAAGACTCCATCTAAAAAATAAAAAAATTTAAAAAAAGGTTGGCTACAGATGAATTGTATCAGATCTAAATACATCTAGATTTAATTGTCCATTCACAAGTAGCTCTTCTCAACTCAGAAAACAGTTATCTCAGAGGTCCTTTCCCTACTCTTTTTCTGTGTTTCAAAGGAATTAGGATAACTGAATGCATATTAACAGAATGTGTCTCTTCATGTCTCTGACAGGAACTGGAACAAATGAAAGCTTTGCCACATTGCTTGCATTCACATGGTTTCTCTCCGGTGTGTGTCCTTCCATGATTTTGAAGGCTCTTGGCAGATGTGAAGGCTTTCCCACAATTCTTACATTCATATGGCTTCTCTCCAGTGTGCATCCTTCCATGTATAAGCAAGGAAGAGAAATTACTAAATGCTTTTATACACGCCTTACATTTAGCATTTCTCTGTAGTCTGTCTTTTCATGCATTCAAAGCTCCACAGAAGATATGAAAAATCCTTTCCCACATTGTTTATTCACAGGGCTTTTCGCCAGTGTGTGCCCTTTCATATCTACGAAAGGAACGGGAAAAACTGAATACCTTCCCACATTCCTTACATTCATAAGACTTCCCTTTTCTGTGACTCCCTTCATGTTTTTGAAAGGATGTAGGATTATCAAATGCTTTCCCACATTCCTTGCATTCATATGTCTTCACTCTAGTGTGGACCCTTTTATGATTTAGAAAGAAATTGGAACTATAGAATGATTTCCCACGGTCATTAAATTCATAAGGCTTTTTTCCAATATGAGTTAGTCCATGTATTCGAAGGCCACTCCAGTAACGATAGACTTTACCACACTGTTTACATTCATAGGGTTTCTCCCCAATGTGAGTCCTTTCATGTGTTCGTAGGTGTGAGGCAGATCTGAAAGCTCTCCCACATTGCTTACATTCATAGGGTTTCTCTCCAGTGTGAGTCATTTCATGATATCGAATGGAACTGGGCAAATTGAAGCCTTTGCCACACTGCTTACACTTATAGCGTTTTGCTCCAGTGTGACTCAATTCACGACACTGAAAAGCAGTGGAAGAAATACAGGCTTTCCCACATTGCTTACACTCATAGGGGTTCTCTCCAGTGTGGCTCCTTTGATGACGTTGAAAGGCATTGAAATAAATGAAGGGTTTTCCACATTGCTTGCATTTATAGCGTTTTTCTCTAGTGTGAGATCTTTCACATGTTTGAAATGAACTAGGAGAATGAAAGACTTTTCCACGTATCTTACGTTTATGAAGTATCTCTCCAGTGTCTATCTTCATGTGTCTAGGACAGCTTCTATGAAAAAATCCTTTCCCATGCTGTTTACATTCACAGAGTTTTTCAGTGTGTGTCCTTTCATGTCTCCGAAGGGAACTGGAAAAACTGAATACCTTCCCACATTCCTTACATTCATAAGGCTTCCATTTTCTGTGACTCCCTTCATGTTTTTGAAAGGATATGGGATTACCAAATGCTTTCCCACATTCCTTGCATTCATAAGACTTCTCCCTGGTGTGGATCCTTTTATGATTTAGAAAGGAACCAGAACTATAGTATGATTTCCCACATTCCTTACATTCATAAAGCTTTTTTCCAATATGAGTTACTTCATGTACCTGAAGGCCGCTCCAATAACGAGAGACTTTACCACACTGTTTACATTCATAGGGTTTCTCCCCAGTGTGAGTCCTTCCATGTATTCGGAGGCTTGAGGCACATCTGAAAGTTTTCCCACATTGCTTACATTCATGGGGTTTCTCCCCAGTGTGAGTCATTTCATGATATCGAATGGAATTGGGCAAATCGAAGCCTTTGCCACACTGCTTACACTCATAGCATTTCGCTCCAGTGTGATTCAACTGATGATATTGAAAAGAAGTGTAAGAAATATAGGCTTTCCCACATTGTTTACACGCATAGGGTTTCTCTTTAGTGTGAGTCCTTTGATGGTATCGAAAGGCACAGAAACTAATAAAGGCTTTCCCACATTTCTTACATCCATAAAACTTCCCGCCAGCATGAGGCATTTTATGTCTATGATAGAAACCAGAAAAACGGTATGTATTCCCAGAACCCTTACAGGCATGATACTTCCCTCCTCTGTGCATTCTTTCATGTATTTGAAAGGAAGATAAGTTATTAAATGCTTTTTCACATTTCTTACATTTGTAAGGTTTCTCCACACTGAGTCCTTGCATGCATTTGAAGTTCTGAGGCGCATCCAAAGGGTTTTCCAGATTGTTTACATTCATAGGGGTTCCCTCCAGAGTGAGCTCTTTTATGACTATGAAAATAAATGGAAAAACTAAATGTCTTCGCAGAATCCTTACATTCATAGGGTTTTTCTCCAGTGTGTGCAATTACATGTCTGCAAAAGTAGGGGAGACAGCTGAAGGCTTTCTTACAGTATGTACATTTATATGGCGTCTGTCCATATTCCTGATACTCATATGGCTTGTGTCCAGTGTCAGCTCTGGTGTGCTTATTAAGGGATAAATGACCCATGCTGACCTCACACACATTCCTTTCACATGATTCTACTCCAGTTTTCTTCTTCAGCATGTCATCCAGAACCTGGGTCAAAATTTCTCCATGCTGATGACCTTCACTTTCAAAGAGTCTCTCTTCCATAAGACCTCTGTGAAAAATGAAAAGCACATTTAATGGGTTTATCAGTGATTTTATATTCATTCACAAGTCTTACACTTGCATTTTTAACATTATCCAGCAAAGTGTAGGCTTTCTACTCTGTCTGAATTGTTTGAACATGAATGGACCACATGGTCTACCAGATGGCCCAGCCGTATCTATTATCAAAAAATATATGGAGCTTAATACGATTTCCATGTAAACTACTGTACACATACAAAAACTCTTTGTCTTTTAATTTTGTTTCTGAGAATCTTGCCCTGTTGCCCAGGCTACAGTCTAATGATGTCATCATGGCTCAGTGCAGCCTCAGACTCCTGGGCTCATGCAATCCTCTGGTCTGAACCTCTCAAAGGGTTGATTATAGGCATAAGCCATGGTGTCCAGCCTGTGTCACAAATAAATGCATGTTTTTAGAGAAAATATTCTAAGAATAAATATAATGGAACTCAGCTTTTTTGTTTGTTCCCTTCTTTTTAACATTTCCTCCCACTCTAAAATTTTCTAGAGACACTGCTTTGTCCTGTGAGTGCAGATTACCTTAGGTTGCTCCTGGGATTTTTGTACTCATTTTCAATGTTCTGGTCTTTCCATTTCTTCCCTAAAATACAGGCGCAGATACACAGGCCTGGATTAGTATAAAATTATGAAATGATTATTTGATTCTATGTTCATGATACACTACAACCGTGCCTCACTTACTCATCAAAGTATTGCCTGTCCATATTCCAAATTACTCAACAGCACTGATGAATGAGAAACACTTCTCTAATTCACTGAGGGAGTAATATTGTCACCGTTACCTATAGAGGCCAAGTTCCTCAAGGTTTCTTGCATCACTTCTCGGTAGAGATTCTTTTGGGAAGGATCCAGCAAAGCCCACTCGTCTGGGGTGAAGTTCACAGCCACATCCTCAAAGGCCACTGAGTCCTAAAACATCCCATATGTGTAGAGAAGGATGGGTGAGACTGATATCACTGGGCATCTATACCCTATTCCCAAGAAGTTCTCATGATGCTATGGACTCCAAAGATTTCATGACTTGGTCATCAGACCTCTTACGCTGCCTATACTCACTTTCTTCCATAAAGCAATTCCGATGCTACAATTTAACCATGGGGTAAAGGAACAGCAGAATAGGAAAATGTATGAGTTTCCGGTGAATCCACACAGAAAGATGTGCTTTCTGGGCTGCCCCTAATGTCTATTTGTAGTGTGGATCTGTAGTAGCTGCTGTAACAAAGTCCTGTAAATTCGCATGCAGAAAAAAGTTAACATGAGGAGTCTTGAGGCTGTGTATCCTTGAAAATGTCTGTTCCCAAGTTTAAACTTTCATGATATCTAGAAAGTAGATTTCGTTCTAAATACCAGCAACAGAAACAAACAAAAAACTGGATTTTGCGAGGGGCCCATCAATCTAACTAATAAGACAGTTATAAATAACTAAAAAAAAACCAAACTCATGAGAAGAAACGATTCTGGGAATCTCTGCTTGGGTAGTAAAGCCTAAATTGTAACTGAATTGCTCAAAGCTGAATGTCAACAAGATTGAGAGGTAAAAACCCCAGGGTGCCAAATCGTGACAAAAAGGCAAATATTTATCAAACATAAAAACGTTTGTGTGAACAGGCGTGGTGGTTCATGCCTGTAATCCCAGCACTATCGCAGGCTGAGGCGAGTAAATCACTTGAAGCCAGGAGTTTGAGACCAGCCTGGGCAACATGGTGAAACCCGTCTCTACTAAAAATAAGAAAATTAGCTGGGTGTGGTGGAACGTACCTGTAACACCAGCTACTCGGGAGACTGAGGCACGAGAATCACTTGAACCCAGGAGGTGGAGGTTGCAGTGAGCTGAGATCGTGCCACTGTACTCTAGCATGGAGACAGAGCGAGACTCTGTCTGAAAACAAAAACAAAACAAACTTTTGTTTATGAGAGGACACCATTCACAGAGGGAAAAGGCAACCCATGTGCTCTGTCCCAAGGATTATAAATGGCTCAGCCCTTCTGGAAAATAGTATGATAGTGCCTTTAAAAATAACAAAATCATGGCCAGGAATGGTGGCTCATGCCTGTAATCCCAGTACTTTGGGAGGCCAAGGAGGGCAGATCACCTGAGGTCAGGGGTTTGGGACCAGCCTGGCAAAAATGGCAAAACCCCGTCTCTACTAAAAGTACAAAAATTAGCCGGGTGTGGTGGCACACATCTGTAATCCCAGCTACTTGGGAGGCTGAGGCAGGAGAATTGCTGGAATCTGGGAGGCGGAGGTTGCAGTGAGCCAAGATTGCGCCACTGCACTCCATCCAGCCTGGGCGACAGTGAGACTCAGTCTCAAAAAAAACAAACAAACAAACAAAATTACCATATCTTCCAATAGCTGACTTGTAGGTCTATTTATACTGAATTAAAAAAAAAAAAAGTAGAAAACCAGATCATGGAGACATATTTGAAAACCACTGTTGACAATAGCCAAGAGCTGGATCCATCCACATGTCCACTGATGGTTGTATGCATAACAAAAATGTGGTAGGCATCTACATACAATGAAATATTATTTAATCTTAGAAAATAACACCCTGTCCCATGCTTCATACATGAAAATTCACGATGCTATAGAAATTACACAATGGTAGTCACACACAAAACAGATTATGATTCATCTTAGATAAGTTACACAGAGCTGTCTAAGTAAACTGTACACTTAAAATTGCTTAAGCTAATAAAATGTAATTTTATTTTATAGTAATTAAAAATAATAAATTCACTTTGGGAGGCCGAGGCAGGTGGATCATGAGGTCAGGAGATCGAGACCAGCCTGGTTAACACAGTGAAACCCTGTCTCTACTAAAAATACAAAAAATTAGCTGGGTGTGGTGGCACACACCCAGGGTTCCAGCTACTCGGGAGGCTGAGGCAGGATAATTGCTTGAACCTGGGAGGCAGAGGTTGCAGTGAGCCGAGATTGGGCCACTGCACCCTAGCCCGGCAACAGAGTGAGACTCCGTCTCAAAAAAAATAATAAATAAACAAATTACTGTCCCAAGTATAAAACTACTTGATCAAAACATGGGCAATGGGCTGGGTGCAGTGGCTCACAGCTTAATCCCAGCTCTTTGGGAGGCCGAGGCGGGCAGATCACTTGAGGTCAGTAGTTCGAGACCAGCCTGGCAACACGGTGAAACCTCATCTACACTAAAAATACAAAAATTAGCTGGGGGTGGTGGTAGACACCCATAATCCCAGCCCCTTGGGAGGCAGAAGCTGCAGTGAGCCAGGATCATGCCATTGTGCTCCAGCCGAGGCAAGACAGCGAGACTCTGTCTCAAAAAAAAAAAAAAAAAAAAAAGATAGGCAATGTAGTCCAATAACATTTCTCCAAGATAAATCCAAATGACCACAACACACATAAAAAAGGTGCTTAACATCAGGAATTATTAGGTGTACTTATTTTTTTTTTGAGTCAGAGTCTTGCTCTGTCACCCAGGCTGGAGTGCAATGGCACAATCTTGGCTCATTGCAACCTCCACCTCCTGGGTTCAAGCAATTCTCCTGCCTCAGCCTCCCGAGTAGCTGGGATTATAGGTGCCCACGACCATGCCCAGCTAATTTTTGTGGGTTTTTTTGTTTTGTTTTATTGAAATGGAGTTTTGCTCTTGTTGCCCAGGCTACAGTACAATGGCATGATCTCGGCTCACTGCAAGCGCCGCCTCCCAAGTTCACACCCATTCTCCTGCCTCAGTCTCACAAGTAGCTAGGACTACAGGCACCTGCCACCACACCCAGCTAATTTTTTTTTATATTTTTAGTAGTGATGGGGTTTCACCATATTAGCCAGAATGGTCTTGATCTCCTGACCTCATGATCCGCCCGCCTTGGCCTCCCAAAATGCTGGAATTACAGGCGTGAGCCAATGGACCCAGCCAACATAATAAAATTTTAAAGAGAGTCATATATGGCTCTGTGGGAATATAAAAATCAATTAAAATACTGCAGCTCTTTCAAATATGTCAGGGTGGATCCATAATTGAAGATGTCCTTTAGAGAGGGAAAGCGGGTATTTTGGAATATAGCGAGGAAATCAAATATTTAGGGATTGTCCTTCCTAAAAAGAGCCAGCTACGGGAGTCTTACGGACTTCTTCCTTCCTTGACCAAACATGAGTCAGGCTGCTTAGGCCCTCTTCTTGACCCGTTTTGTCCTTCTCCTGCAGAGCCCAGTTACATCAAAAATCCTTCTAAGGGAGTTCAGGGAGAATCCCCCCAAAACTTGATATTCAATCAAGTTCCATTTCCTCAACCCATGATAATTCATCAAGTTTCTCTACCTTGTTTTGAGACAGAGTCTCGCTCTGTCGCCCAGGGTGGGGTGTAGTGGCATCATCTCAGCTCACTGCAACTTCCACCTTCCAGGCTCAAATGATCCTCCTACCTCAGCCTCATGAGTAGCTGGGACCAAAGGCGTGCACCACCACTCCCAGGTAATTTTTTGTATTTTTGGTAGACATGGGGTTTACCGTGTTTTTGAGGCCAGTCTTGAACTCCTGAGCTCCCGCGTCAGCCTCCCAAAGTGCTGGGATTACAGGTATAAGCCACAGCGCTCGGCCCCTTTTCTTTTTTTAAAGTGTACAGCACTCAGTATTCCCAGTATTACTCTCATATAAGTAATAACCAGACCCAATCCTGGCAGGAACTGAGATCAAAAAAGATCAGGTGCATTCAGGCTGGCATGGCTATATGCTTTTCAATGTCTTCCTGGTGTGGTGTCCTTTGAAACACAAAAAAGTTTAAAATTTCAATGCAGTCTCAATTACATACTTTTTCTTTGTTCCTAGTGCTTGTATTGTCATATCATAGAATCTTTCCTAAATCCATGATCACGAATATTTTTGAATGGCACACTGTAGCATCAAGAGGGTAAGATTTTCCTTTGTTCCCGTGGGAGGATGAGAATGTGGTATTTGAATAATTCTGCAGGCTGACATAGAAATGAAACCCACTATACACTGGAGACTAAAACTATATCAATTTTATATACTATAATGTCATAATTCATTAAGTTGTTTACTATAATGCCATTTATATACAACAGCTATATACCACATTACAAGTTATATATAATATTTATGTTATCTATCATAACTAGACTATATACTATATATACTTTATGTGTGCATGTATATAAATGTGTATATATATGCATATTATAATGCTAGACTATAATACTATACATGAATATCTCTTTAAATGTTAACACACAAAGCCGGAGCAATATAATTGCAAAGAGAATCCACCCATATATGACAACATCTGTACTCCATGACAAAGTGGAATTTAATTCATGGAAGCAACATTGCTTACATTTCAAAAATCAACTTATGCAATACACAGTAGTTACAGAATCAACATCAAAAACCACAATCTAAACACATGCAAAAAAAAAGTGACAAACCTCAACACTCCTTCAAAATAGAAATAATCAGGAATACGAGGGAACTTCTACAACCTACTATAAAATATGTATAAAGGCTGGGCACAGTGTCTCACGCCTGTAATCCCAGCACTTTGGGAGGCTGAGGCAAGCGGATCACCTGAGGTCAAGTGCTCGAGACCAGCCTGACCAACATGGTGAAACCCCATCTCTAGTAAAAATACATAATTAGCTGGGCATGGTGGCTCATGCCTGTAATCCCAGCTACTTGGGAGGCTGAGGCAGGAGAATTGCTTGAACCCGGGAGGCAGAGGTTGCAGTGAGCCAAGATGGCGCCACTGCACTCCAGCCTGGGCAACAAGAGTGAAACTTCGTCTCAAATAAATAAATAAATAAATAAATAAATAAAATATGTATAAAAATGCATAGTTACCATCATATTTGGATGATCCACTGACAGTTAACAAAACTCAATATAACTAAGCAAACCTATAAACTAATTATTTTCTCCAAATTGTTAAGCCAACAAAGGCAAGCACTAAAGAAAGATTTTAAAAAATAAAAGGAACTCAGCAAAACCAAACCCTGCCTGTTTACCAAAAACATCACCAAAAACTGGCACTGCCTGCCCAGTGACATGTTTAATGGTGCCAGTATCTTGACTGTACAGGCATAGCATAATCATTTGTTCCCGAAACAGAGACTTGCAAGACTGGTCACATGAGGGTTTAGCTGTCTCTTAATCAGTGCAATTGACCTATCTGTGAAGAGGCAGAAATACTTAAATATGATGAGAAGACTCTACGGAACTTAAATTTATTAGTCCATATATCCAATAATTAACCTAACTTAACAGGTATTAACATTGTATCCAATGAACTAAAAATTTTAGTTGAGGTGACCTCAGAGCAAAATATAACCTCAAAATGATTTTGACTAAGACGTACTAGTCAAAGTAAACTAATCCTTCTTCTTAACAATAAGTTTATAATTAACCTTCTCCTACTTATTTCCCACCATTCTCACTACAGCAATCTTAACATTTGTTGAATGAATAGTTTAGGTTACATACAACTCTGTAAGGGACCTAACATCATAGGCTCATATGGATTATTCCAACCTTTTGCCAAAGCAATAAAGCTGCTCATTAAAGAACCACTACAGGCTGGGCATGGTGGCTCACGCCTGTAATCCCAGCACTTTGGGAGGCTGAGGTGGGCAGATCATCTGAAGTAAGGAGTTTGAGACCACCCTGAACAACATGGAGAAACCCTGTCTCTACTAAAAACACAGAATTAGCCAGGCGTGGTGGCACATGCCTGTAATCCCAGCTACTGGGGAGACTGAGCAGGAGAATCACTTTATAAAAAGTAAAGTAGAGGTTCCTCTTCAAAGACTTTCCTCCCCATCTAATTAAATTATAACTTCTCTTAAAAACAAAATTTATTCAAAATCCTATACTAACATTCTTAAATATATACTAGCTGTAATAAAAAAAACATCAATATACTTTATGTTGGGAGCAGGCCCCCCAAAATCTGGCCATAAACTGGCCCCAAAACTGGCCATAAACAAAATCTCTGCAACACTGTAACATGTTCATAATGGCCCTAACGCCCACACTGGAAGGTTGTGGGTTTACTGGAATGAGGGCAAGGAACGCCTGGCCCACCCAGGGCGGAAAACCGCTTAAAGGCATTCTTAAGCCACAAATAACAGCATGAGCTATCTGTGCCTTAAGGACATGCTCCTGCTGCAGTTAACTAGCCCAACCTATTCCTTTAATTTGGCCCATCCCTTTGTTTCCCATAATGGATATTTTTAGTTAATTTAATATCTATAGAAACAATGCTAATGACTGGTTTGCTGTTAATAAATATGTGGGTAAATCTCTGTTTGGGGCTCTCACCTCTGAAGGCTGTGAGACCCCTGATTTCCCACTTCACACCTCTATATTTCGGTGTGTGTGGTGTCTTTAATTCCTCTAGCGCCGCTGGGTTAGGGTCTCCCCGACTGAGCTGGTCTTGGCAAGTGGCGTCCATTCATGGGGGCTTGAATGCAGGTTGAAGGGTCGCCAGAGCAATGGTTGGAACGGAAAACTAGCTGGAGGACACCCGAGTACTCTTAAAGCAATCCCCATGGTGAGTAAGAAGGGGAGCTCGGAAGCCTCAGGGTAACAATGGGACAAGTATGGGGTCTGGTTCGTTTCACCTTGGAACTTCTTCACACTGATGATGAGGAGGAATGAGTGAATAATGAAGTAACAGAAGAGGTTACAGACGAGGTTTATTTGCCAGTTAAAGCTAAAGCAGGAAAGGAGGGAGAGATTCATCCCTACCCTTCTGTACCCCCTCCTTATTATTTTCAAGAAAAAGACCCTCCAGATCTTTCTTTTCTGGAGGACACTGGGCGAAAAGTAGTTGCCCCAGTGACTGTTTGAGCAGCGCCGAGTGACCACTCTTAGTTCTATTCAGGCAGGAATTCAGCAAGCTAGAGGAGAGGGTGATACAGAGGCTTGGCAGTTCCCTGTTAGAATGAATACACCCCCCAAGATCAACAGGGAAATATTACAGCTACATTTGAGCCTTTTCCTTTTAAATTACTCAAAGAATTTTAAAAAGCTATACATCAGTATGGACCAGGTTCTCCTTTTATAATGGGACTGTTAAAGAATGTTGCTGTTTCCAGTTGGATGATACCTACTGACTGGGATGCTCTTACTCGAGCTTGTCTAACTCCTGCTCGGTTCTTAAAATTTAAAATTTGGTGGGCAGATGAAGCTTCCATTCAGGCTGCTCGCAATGCCCAGGCCCAAACTCAAATTAATGTAACTGCAGACCAACTTTTGGGGGTTGGAGGCTGGGCTGGTTTAGATGCACAACTGGTCATGCGGGATGATGCCATAGAACAGCTTAGAGGAGTGTGCATTAGAGCTTGGGAAAAAATCACTTCAGGTAGAGAACAATACCCTTCCTTTAGTGCTATAAAACAGGGATCCAAAGAACCATACGTTGACTTTATAGCTCAGTTACAGGAGTCTCTTAAAAAGATGATTGCAGATTTGGCTGCTCAGGATATAGTGTTGCAGTTATTAGCTTTCGACAATGCTAATCCCGATTGCCAGGCTGCTCTGTGACCTATCAGAGGGAAAGCACATTTAGTTGATTTTATCAAGGCCTGTGATGATATCAGAGATAATCTACATAAAGCTACTTTGTTGGCATAGGCAATGGCAGGACTGAGAGTGGATAAAGGAAATACTCCACTTCCTGGAGCTTGTTTTAACTGTGGGAAGCATGGTCATACTAAAAAAGAATGTAGAAAAAAATCAGCGAGTCAGGCCGCCAGATGGGGAGAAAAGAAAACTGCTGATTCTGAAATATGTCCAAAATGTAAAAAAGGAAAACATTGGGTTAACCAATGTCATCCTAAGTTTGATAAAGAAGGGAACCCGATTTCGGGAAACGCCATGAGGGCCCCATTCTAAACCGGGGCATTTCTAGCTCAGGCCATTCCCTCACCCCTGTACAATGTCTGTCCACCCCCCCACAGCCAGTAGTGCTGCAGTAGATTTATGCTGCACAAAAGCTGTGAGCCTTCTGCCTGGGGAACCCCCGCAAAAGGTCCCAACAGGAGTCTGCGGACCCTTGCCAGCAGGGACAATAGGATTACTTTTAGGAAGGTCTAGTTTAAGTTTAAAAGACGTACAAATACATACAGGAGACACTGATTCAGATTATAATGGGAAATTCAAATTGTTGTATCTACTTCTGTTCCCTGGAAAGCAGAGCCAGGAGAGCGCACATAGCACAGCTCCTGATTGTGTCGTATGTGGAAATGGGGAAAAGTGAAATTAAACGAACAGGAGGATTTGGAAGCACAAATAAACAAGGCAAAGCAGCTTATTGGGTAAATCAAATTACTGATAAACATCCTACCTGTGAAAATAACTATTCAGGGAAAGAAATTTAAAGGTTTGGTAGATACAGGAGCAGACATTTCAGTCATTTCTCTACAGCACTGGCCGTCCACGTGGCCAATTCAACCTGCTCAATTTAACATAGTTGGAGTTGGTAAAGCCCCTAAAGTATATCAAAGTAGTTATATTTTGCATTGTGAAGGGCCTGATGGACAACCTGGTACTATTCAACCAATTATAACTTCTGTACCTGTAAATTTATGGGGGAGAGATTTATGACAATGGGGAGCACAAGTTCTAATTCCAGAACAATTATATAGCCCTCAAAGTCAACATACAATGCATGAAATGGGGTATGTCCCTGGTATGGGACTAGAAAAAAATTTGCAAGGTTTGAAAGAACTGCTTCAAGCAGAAAGAAAGTTCCTGCCAAAGATTAGGGTATTATTTTTGATGGTGGCCATTGTCAAGCCTCCAGAACCTATACCTTTAAAATGGTTAACAGATAAGCCAATTTGGTAGAACAATGGCCGCTAAGTAAAGAGAAACTGGAGGCTTTAGAGAAATTAGTCATTGAACAATTACAAAATGGACACATAGCTCCAACATTTTCCCCTTGGAATTCTCCAGTTTTCATAATTAAGAAAAAAATCAGGTAAATGGAGAATGTTAACTGACTTAAGAGCCATCAATTCAGTTATACAACCTATGGGAGCATTACAGCCAGGACTGCCTTCTCCTACTATAATTCCAAAAAATTGGCCTTTAATAGTCATATATTTGAAAGACTGTTTCTTTACTATCCATTTAGCTGAGCAAAACTGTGAATGGTTTGCATTTACAATTCTTGCAGTAAACAACCTGCAGCCTGCTAAGCATTTTCATTGTTTTACAGACGGGTCTAGTAATGGTAAAGCTTCTTATTCTGGCTCAAAAAGTAAAGTTTTCCAGACGCCCTATACTTCAGCTCAAAAAGCAAGAGCTTGTAGCTGTAACTGAGGTATTGACTGCTTTTGATATGTCTATTAATGTGATTTCTGATTCTTCATACGTGGTTCATTCCACACAGTTAATTGAAAATGCGCAGTTACGATTTCATACAGATGAACAACTGATTACTTTATTTACCCAGTTGCAAACAGCAGTTAGAAGTAGAATGCACCCTTTTTACATCACTCACATTAGGGCTCATACACCTCTTCCAAGACCTTTGATTGAAGGGAATCAAATGGCTGATCGCCTAGTTGCTAATGCAATATCTAATGCTAGACACTTTCACAATTTAACCCATGTTAATGCCTCTGGCCTCAAACACAGATACAGCATTACCTGGAAAGAAGCTAAAGCTATTATCCAGCGATGCCAACTTGCCAAATGGTACATTCCTCATCTTTTACAGGAGGATTTAATCCTCAAGGATTGGAACCTAACTCTCTTTGGCAAATAGATGTCACACATATTCCCTCGTTTGGTGCCCACATGTATGTGTGGACACCTTTTCTCACTTTGTCTGGGCTACATGCCAACAGGAGAGTCTTCTGCTTGTGTTAAACGTCATCTTTTGCAGTGTTTTGCAGTGATGGGCATTCCAGCTTCTATTAAAACAGATAATGCCCCAGGCTATACTAGCCAAGCTCTAGCTACATTTTTCTCTATGTGGAATATTAAACACATTACTGATATCCCATACAATTCAAGGACAAGCCATAGTGGAAAGAATGAATCTTTCCCTAAAACAGCAGTTGCAAAAGCAGAAAGGGGGAAATAGAGAATATGGAACCCCACAGATACAACTGAACGTAGCATTATTAACATTAAATGTTTTGAACCTGCCCAAAGGCCAGATGTTATCAGCAACTGAACAGCATCTACAGAAACCAGCTGCAAAGAAAGAAGCAGAACAACTGATTTGGTGGAGATATTCAGTAACAAAAAGTTGGGAAATAGGTAAAATAATAACTTGGAGTAGAGATTATGCTTGTGTTTCTCTAGACCAAAATCAATAGCCGATTTGGGTACTATCAAGACACCTGAAACCTTATCATGAGCCAGATGCTGAGGAAGAGACTCTGAGAGGATCCCAAGGACTCCCCGGTTGCAGCCATGTAGAGACTGACGCTGAGGAGGACCCCAACTGTCACGAGCAACACCCATCGAACACAGCCACCCACCTGGGGACAGATCAAGAAGCTGTCACAGATGGCGGAAGAAAACCTGAGGAAAGCGGGACAACCAGTCACAATGAATAATTTAATGGTAGCTATGACAGCAGTTATCACCACTACCTTGAGTATTCCTTCAATAAGGGCTGACACAGAGAATGATTATACTTACTGGGCATATTTATCAATCTTGACTGGTAATAATGCCTGGATGCAATCACTCTATGACACAGTTACACATGCTTTCTAATCTCAGTATTTACCGTAATAAATCTGCTCCTATAATTGAGGCATACCGCCCTCAAAAACCTATTTGTAAACAGGATCGGACCCAGTTAGAAAAAATGAACGTACTTGTTTAGGAAGATTGCATTGCGGAACAGGCAGAGGTGCTGCACAACAATTTCTATGGAATCATTATTAATTGGTCCCCTAAGGGGATGTTTAGCTTAAACTGCACCTCTCAGTCTACATGCCACGGCCACACTATGTTCAGCTGATCTGAACAAAACGGTCAGATGGCAGAAATGATAAGAAGTATGGCAAAAGTTCCTATTATCTGGAACCATGGCGGTATAGTGGCACCTCAACCTCAAATGATATGGTGCATTGTAGGAGCTTAATATAAGGATTTAAAATTAAAAGAACAAATATTTAAAGCATCCCAGGCACAGCTGACCTTAATGCCAGAACTGGAGTGCTTAAAAGGAGCTGAAAATGGATAAAAACACTTGGAAGTTCTGTGATTTCAATGATGACTGTGCTTTTAATCTGTGTTGTCCTTGTATAGTCTGCAGACGTGGATCCTGACTCCTGCGAGAAGTAGCTCACTGTGACAAAGCTGCCCTTGCTTTTATTGATTTGCAAATCAAAGAAAGGGGACATGTTGGGAGCAGGCCCCCCAAAATCTGGCCATAAACTGGCCCCAAAACTGGCCATAAACAAAATCTCTGCAGCACTGTAACATGTTCATAATGGCCCTAACACCCACACTGGAAGGTTGTGAGTTTACCAGAATGAGGGCAAGGAACACCTGGCCCGCCCAGGGCGGAAAACCGCTTAAAAGCATTCTTAAGCCACAAATAGTAGCATGAGCTATCTGTGCCTTAAGGACATGCTCCTGCTGCAGTTAACTAGCCCAACCTATTCCTTTAATTCGGCTCATCCCTTTGTTTCCCATAAGGGATACTTTTAGTTAATTTAATATCTATAGAAACAATGCTAATGACTGGTTTGCTGTTAATAAATATGTGGATAAATCTCTGTTCAAGACTCTCAGCTCTGAAGGCTGTGAGACCCCTGATTTCCCCCTTCACACCTCTATATTTTGGTGTGTGTGGTGTCTTTAATTCCTCTAGCGCTGCTGGGTTAGCGTCTCCCCAGCCAAGCTGGTCTTGGCAACTTTATATTCTTAACTCCCACAAGTTAGCCTAAATACTTGCCCTGGCATGCTTATACTGGTCCAAGCAAACATTAAGTCATAGCCTGTTCCTCTTCCTTAAACGTGTTTTTCCTTTCGCAACATTCCACGAGTTACTTCTTCCTTCCTTTATTCTCCTATGCCTTTGCCTCTTTAAATAGTTCTAAGTTACAGCTGGACATGGTGGCTCACGCCTGTCATCCCAGCACTTTGGGAGACCGAGGTGGGCAGATCACGAGGTCAAGAGATCGAGACCATCCTGGCTAACACGGTGAAACCTTGTCTCTACTAAAAATACAAAAATTAGCCGGGTGTGGTGGCGGGCGCCTGTAGTCCTAGCTACTCGGGAGGCTGAGGCAGGAGAATGGCATGAACCCGGGAGGCGGAGCTTGCCGTAAGCTGAGATTGCGCCACTGCACTCCAGCCTGGGTGACAGAGCAAGACTCCAACTAAAAAAAAAAAAAAAAAGAAAGAAAGTAAAAAACAATTTTATTCTTATGAATTCAGGTTTCAGGTATCATACCCATGATTTTGGTATGATCAACTTATGCATGTTCTTTTTTTTCTTACTTTTAAACTGGTTTTACATGCAAATAATGAACAGATGTTTTCCCCTAAATTCTACTTTCCAAAAACAAGAGCTTTTTAAAAGAAAACCACATAATAGATTTTAAAAGGCAATGAGATTCCTCTGCTTCTAGATAGTTGCTAGTCTAGAAAAAAAGTTGTTCTACCAGGAATCACAAGTTCTGAGTATTCTCCAAAGTGGAAATTCTAGAGAGCAGTGCCATTTCAGGCAAAGATTGTTCAGTTCTCATCCCCAATATCTACAACTACCTATCAGAACAATTAAACAGGTCAAAACAGTCCAGCATAATGAGGCTTCATCAAACAATGCCATTATGCTCTTCTAAGATGCAAATAAACCAAAACAGTAAATACTAAAATCAAAATAATATTTGACACTGTCATACAATTGTTAGTTCCTTGTTGTATTCCCCTTCTATAACTTTAAGTGAATTATTTTACTCTAACTAATATTTTATTTTGTACATCACTAGCCATGAATTTTTGCCATCAGTTATTACAGAAATGCGCCGCGTGCCATTATCCAAACAGCATAACCATTTAAATCCACAATTCACTTCTATAGTTATAAGCAGAATTTTCATGATTTTTACATAAGTACATCTGTCAGTGAAAATTTAACACTGAGATGCAATCTAACATCCGTAATATCTGATGTCTTGTAGACAGTAATGTAGGAAAAATATATTTTAATTACTTTTCATTTGAGTGACCTTATGTAAAAAATAAACTAAGAATTTAGCAGTTCTAATTCTCCAAGGGGCTTTTTCAAATGTACATAAAGAAATGGTTACAGAGATTTTTAAGAAGCACCTTCCATGTCCACATCCTGTTGTAAATGCTATACCATTTTCTCTTCCAACTGCTTCTCTTTGCCTGCAAAAGGGGCTAGGATAAGATGGATGTTTTGCTTGACTTCTTTGATATCCTGAACTTTCTGTAGCTCTTTATTTTTCTTCAATCCGTTCATTATAAATTTAGCTTGCCATTTCTGTTTGATCTCTTCAACTCTCTTCATTGCATCAATAGTTTTATTCCATAGCTCTTGCTGATATTTGATAAGTTCATTTCTATGTTTTTCAAATTCAAATGAATTGTCCACTGTAAGCTCTTTACTAGTTGCTTTCTGGAATGCTTTCGTCCACCTAACCTTGTGAGGATTGCACTTCTTTTTAAAGTTTTTATGACATTTAGATTTACAAAATCTGAACACCTTGCAATTGTTGCAGAAGAACATAATGCCATGGCCAGGGTAGATGGGCCCCAAACAGAAATAACACTTCTCGATATGCATGTTGAACCCGCGTGGGTCCCCACCGACCAAATGCCCAACTTAAGCATCTTCTGTGAAAAAACTGTTTACCCCAGACATGAGTCCTGTGCATATATCTCAATGCCCATCCTAATATCTAGTATCCCACCACAAACATAAAAAATATGTATGATAGAATGGTTACTTTAATATAATAAATTATAGAGGTTTAAACCCTCTTATTACTAGAACTGTAGGAACTGAACCCACTCCTGAGAATTCCAGATTCTCCATGGTACCTAGGACACCATATCCTACAGTAGGGTAAGCTAAATAAGCTACCCAGCCCATACCTTGAAAATGTTTATATCCTTCCTATTCAAATTCATCCCCTACATCTCCTCACTATTCTCTTTATATTATTTTCACAGAGACTCTGATTATAATAATGGACTTACACTGGCTCCTAATCTGAATGAGGTTAGATATATGCTAGCCATTATCCCCATTCTAACTGAAAAAGTGCCTGCTCCACAGAAGCCACCACCAAAGTATTTCCTTACATAAGCAACTGCATCTCTAATACTAGTAGATCCTAGTAGCTATCATCAACAATATGATATACTCCAGACAATGAACAATCACAAAAGCCCTAAACCAAATAGCATCCCTTATAATTATCACAGCACTGGTGATAAAATTAGGACTATCCCCCTTTCACTTCTGAAGTAATGCAAGGGGTCTCACTAATATCAAGTGTAATTCTACTTACATGACAAAAACTAGCACTGATCTCCATTTTATTTCAAGTCTACTCATCAACAGACTTAAACATACTATGGGAGATTGCAACACTATGGGAGATTGGTTAAGGGGACCTTAACCAAACACAGCTGTGAAATATCTTGGCCTATTTGGCAATTGCTCACAACAAATTGAATAATCACAATTTTAACATCTAATCCTTCTTTCACAATCCTAACCTATCAATTTATGTAAATCTAGCAATTACAATGTTTATACTATTTAACCTAATATACACAAAACATTATTATTATCCACATATGTAATAAATGACCACTCCTAACTTCCATGATTCTCCTCACTCCCTAAGGGGGTTACCCCCAGTTACAGGATTTGTGTGCCCAAATAGGTATAGGGTAAATCCCAAAGTGCTGAGATCACAGGAATGAGTCACCATGCCTGGCCAAATGTAATTTTTATTTTTTATTTTATTTTTTATTTATTTTTTTGAAATGGAGTTTCACTCTTGTCACCCAGGCTGGAGTACAATGGAGCGATCTCAGCTCACTGCAACCTCCGCCTCCCGGGTTCAAGCGATTCTCCTGCCTCAGCCTCCTGAGTAGGTGGGATTAGAGGTGCCTGCCACCATGCCCAGCTAATTTTTTTGTATTTTTATAGAGACGGGGTTTCACTATGTTGGCCAGGCTGGTCTCGAACTTCTGACTTCGTGATCCGCCAACCACATTGGGCAACATAGTGAGACCCCATCTCTTTAAAATTTTGTAAAATAAAGAAATAATAAATCTGTTATCAAGCCACATAGACACAAAGATACTTTAAATGCGTATTTTTACGTGAAACAAACAGGCCGAAATGGCTACTTACAACATGATTCCAAGTACATGACATTCTGGACAAGGCAAAACTCTAAAGGCAATAAAATCATCGGTTGTGCCAGGGATTAAGGGGTTAGTGGAAGAGAGGGAGGGGAGTGTGATGGCTACACAAAGCACAAAGGATTTTTAGGGCAGTGAAACTCTTCTGTGTAAGACTGGCAGGTATAGACTGGGCGCAGTGGTTCGCGCCTGTAATCCCAGCACTTTGGGAGGTCAAGGCGGGTAGATCACCTGAGGTCGGGAGTTCAAGACCAGCCTGACCAACGTGGTGAAACCCCAACTCTACTAAAATACAAAATTATCCAGGCGTGGTCGCAGGCACCTGCAATCCCAGCTACTTGGGAGGCTAAGGCAGGAGAATCACTTGAACCCGGGAGACGGAGATTGCAGTGAGCCAAGATCACGCCATTGCACTCCAGCCTGGGCAACAGAGTGAGACTCCATCTCAAAAAATAAATAAATAAATAAATAAATAAGACTGGTGGGCCAGGTGTGGTGGTTCACACCTGTAATTCCAGCACTCTGGGAGGCCAAGGCAGGTGGAGCATCTGAGGTCAAGAGTTCGAAACAAGCCCGGCCAACATGGTGAAACCCCATCTCTACTAAAAATACAAAAATCAGCTGGCAATGGTAGCGCGCACCTGTAACCACAGCTACTCAGGAGGCTGAGGCAGAAGAATTGCTTGAACCCAGGAAGCAGAGGCAGCTGTGGGCCGAGATCGAGCCACTGTACTCCAGCCTGGGCAACAAGAGCGAAATCCTGTCTCAAAACAAAACCAAAAACAAACAAAACCAAAAACAAAACTGGTGGGTATATGACATTTGTGTTGTCAAAACCCCACTGCTATCCTGCTCACTGATGTGCTCAATGACAGTTTCTCATCAACACTGTATTGTGTCATTCCCCACTGCACTGTGTACCCCACATACATTTTGATTTGCTTCACCCTGTTGGGGTGGGTTTTCATTGTCCTGTGGAATCATATTTCTCTGTTAAAAAAAAAAAAACACCATTAAAATACTTCATCTATTTGAAGGAAAGGATGAATATATTGTACAATAAAGAACAAATAGGCCGGACACGCTGGCTCCCGCCTGTAATCCCAGCACTTTGGGAAGCCGAGGCGGGTGGATCACTTGGGGTCAGGAGTTTGAGACCAGCCTGGCCAACCTGGTGAAACCCTGTCTCTACTAAAAATACAAAAATTAACCGGGCATAGTGGTGGACGCCTTTAATCCCAGCTACTCTGGGAGGCTGAAGCAAGAGAATCGCTTGAACCCGGAAGGCGGAGGTTGCGGCGACCGAGATCACACCATTGCACTCCAGCCTGGGTGACAGAGTGAGACTCCATCTTTAAAAAAAAAAAAAAGTACAAATAGTTGAAAATACTGTGAATTGGAGAAGAGGAGTTAATGTTTGGAAATGTGGGAAGGGAACTGAAAATGTAAGATGCTACCGCAAGCCTTTAAAGAGTTAGGCTGGGGTCATAGCGGGGAGGGTGTGAGACCCTGTATCCCACAGATTTGGAAAATGGAGGGAGAAACCAGTCCATGTGGACAGCGTGAAAAAATTTAAACAAGTAAACAGACTGAAGTGTGTGTAGTGCACTAAGGTCCTACCTAAGGGCACTGAAATCCAACTCAACTGCAATATTTCCAAATGTTTCTGGTAACAAACCACAAACCATGACTGCGTGATTCTCATTCATGAATTCCCATTTGCACAAACTCTTGAATTTTTATCAGTGCCTCTTTTTTTTTTTTTTTTTTTAGACGGAGTTTTACTCTTGTTGCCCAGGCTGGAGTGCAACGGCGGGATCTCGGCTCACCGCAACCTCCGCCTCCAGGGTTCAAGCGATTCTCCTGCCTCAGTCTCCCGAGTAGCTGGGATTACAAGCACGCGCCACCACGCCAGGCTAATTTTGTATTTTTAGTAGAGACGGGGTTTCTCCATGTTAGGTTGGTCTCGAACTCCTGACCTCAGGTGAGCCACCGCGCCCGGCCATTTTAACTTTTAAGAGGAGAAAAGACGACTGGGGACTCCACAGACCACCGCTTTTCTGACGCAAGAACCCTACACCCGAGACGGGATTCCCCCCATGATCCTCCTCATGGCCCAGCACAATCTGAGGAGACCCGCGGCTGAAGACGCGGAGCTGCCCAAAGAGGGCTCCGGGTCCGGGGCCGCGGTCGCTGCGAAGGGACGAGACAGGATGCCCCGGGTCCCGGCTGCCGGCCCAGCCCCACAGACCCCGGAGTCGCCGCGGGGAGGCCCGGGTCCCGCCACAGCCGGTTCCAGCAGGTTCTAAGAAGCCCTTCGCCCCCGTCTCAGGACGCCTGGCCCCACACACTCACCATGTCTGAGCTTCCAACTGTCTTCCCCAAGGCTCTTGTGACTAGAGAGGAACACAGCGCAACTGACAGAGCGACAGGAGCTCTGGCGGAGAAACCTGGAGCCTCTCAGAGCCGAGCGTTCCAAGAGCCAGAAAGAGGGTTCCAACGGTCGTTAGCACAGCAACAAGAGACCGCGGGCTTGCAGCCGTCTCCTTCCCCGAAAAAAGTTGGCAGGGCCCCGCCCCGGCGCTCCTGATTGGACCGTGCTCCCCGCCTCGCCTTCAGAGCCCTGAGTGACAGCAGAAGCCCGGGATAACGGGGCCCTGCAGAGCCAGACTGGTTCTATTCACTTCCTCTTTAAGGCCCACCTCCCTCCCTGTGCCCTGATCCTTGGATATCTGCATTTCCGCCAAACTTTCTTGAACTTCATATATATATATGATTGATTGGTTGATTGATTAACTAATTGAGACGGAGTTTCGCTCTTGTCGCCCAGGCTGAAGGTGCAATGGCGCGATCTCGGCCCACTGCAACCTCTGTCTCCCGGGTTCAAGCGATTTTCCTGCCTCAGCCTCCTGAGTAGCTGGGATTACAGGCACCTGCCACCACGCCCAGCTAATTTTTGTTATTTTTAGTAGAGACAGGGTTTCACCATGTTAGTCAGGCTGGTCTCGAACTCCTGACCTCAGGTGATCCGCCCGCCTCGGCCTCCCAAAGTGCTGGGATTACGTGAGCCGCCGCGCCTGGCCTCTTTCCTGAACTTTAGAAAGGGCACTGACCTCTCCTTCACTCAATGGGCTTTCTCTGCTCCTTCCTCCTGCATCAGGTCACAAGTGTATGCAGGAAATTCCAGACTCAGTGTCTGCTGGGGCGATCTGTTTGCCTCAGAGCAGGAGGGGAACCGAGACCAGGCCAGGCACGACTAGACCAGGAAAGAGAGACAGATGTCCTCCAGGGGGACAGGAGTAGGGGATGAGGCATGGACAAAGCTTCCTCACACATCTACCATCTCTCCTCACAGTATGGGAACACTCCCTCCTTCCAGAACTTCATTTTCAACAGCAGGAGACTATCCCTTGGAGTCAGTTTAAGCTTCTAACCTAAATAAACTGTCAACTTCGTAAACCCTTTCACCAGGTGATGTTCCAAACAATTCTCGCACACTGACCTTCACAGATTTTCTTCATATATACAAATTACCGCCTGAACCCAGTGACCCTATGCATGCCAAAACCAAAAACACTGCCCTCCAAATGGCCCCAGGCTCCTGAGGTCCAACCTCAGACATGACAGAACACCTCCCCCTCTGCATGCCCCCTGTCCGCCACCCCAAATGCATCTGCACTTGGGTCTCCTGTGTTCCAGGGCTCTGCAGCTTCTCAGAATCCACTCCTGGAGCTGCTCAGAAACACCCAAGGGAGCTCATTTTCCTTCCCTTTGCAGGCTCCAGGCTGGTCTTGGGCTCTGCTGCCCCCTGCAGGTTATTCACCTACTTCTCTCCCCCACTGATCACGTCCACCAGACCAACATCTACAATCTCACTGTGTGAATAAGACACTAGCAGAATCCCTGCTTTCCTTCTGTATGTACATATAAACTGGGAGAGAAAAAACTAAGATAATTTAACTGCATTAAAAGACTTCCAAATCGCAGTGGCGGCGGTGGCTGAGGCACTAGCAGTCAGGGACACTAGAGATACCAGTGGTGGAGTGGGGCTGGGCTGGGAATGGGTTGGGGAAGGGGCTGCAGGGACAGATAGCTGCCTGGACTCAGCAGCAGTGCAGCTGTACAGCCTAAGGCACCTGGCAAGCAGAGCTGGGGGCTTCTGGGAAATGACTGTGGGGAAGAAAAAGGAGTCAGGCTTGATGGAGCCTGGAGCTGTGGGAGCTGATGCAGACTTATGACAGCTGCTACTATCATAAGTAAGCCCGATTGAGATGTGAGAACTTGGATTCCTTGGCAATTTATGAAGAGGAAGACTGATGACAAAGAAGTCATTGATGAAGAGGAGGATGAGGATCATTGACATGCTTGTCCCACTATGCAAACAAAAGGGGAAAGCGCAGCAACTTCTGCAACATGGGGTGAAAGGATGCAGGGGACTCTCATTGTCAGGTAATATACTGCTGCAGAACAATCAGAGGTTGCAAAACCTTTCAATAAATACCTGGAAGGCCAGTTGCCATGGCTCACATCTGTAATCCCAGAAGTTTGGGAGGCCAAGGGGAGCGGATCGCTTGAAGCTGGGAGTTGGAGACAGCCTGACCAGAGCAAGACCAGCCTGGGCAAAAGAGTGAGACCCTGTCTCTATAAACAAACAAACAAACAAACAAAAAGAAGGTCGGGCGCGGTGGCTCATGCCTGTAATCACAGCACTTTGGGAGGCTGAGGCAGGCGGATCACCTGAGGTCGGGAGTTCCAGACCAGTGTGACAAACATGGAGAAACCCCGTCTCTACTAAAAATACAAAATTAGCCAGGCATAGTGGCACATACCTGTAATGCCAGCTACTCGGGAGGCTGAGGGAGGAGAATCTCTTGAATCTGGGAGGCGGAGATTTCTGTGAGCTGAGGTCGTGCCATTGCACTTCAGCCTGGGCAACAAGAGCGCAACTCCATCTCAAAAAAAAAAAAAAAGAGAGAGAGAGAAATTAGCCTGGCAAGGTGGCCTGTGCCTGTAGTCCCAAGCTACTCAAGAGGCTGCAGTGGGAGGATCACTTGAACCCAGTAGTCCGAGGCTGCAGAGAGCTAGGATCAGGCCACTGTACTCCAGCCTGGGCCACAAAATGAAACCAAGCCGGGCGTGGCTCACACCTGTAATCCCAGCACTTTGGAAGGCCAAGGTGGATGGATCACGAGGTCAGGAGATTGAGCCCATCCTGGCTAACACAGTGAAACCCCGTCTCTACTAAAAATACAAAAAATTAGCCGGGTGTGGTGGTAGGCGCCTGTAGTCCCAGCTACTCCAGAGGCTGAGGCAGTAGAATCGCTTGAACCTGGGAGGTGGAGGTTACAGTGAGCCGAGACTGCGCCACTGCACTCCAGCCTGGGAGACGGAGCAAGACTCTGTCTCAAAAAAAAAAAAAAAAAGGCCGGGCGCAGTGGCTCACACCTGTAATCCCAGCACTTTGGGAGGCCGAGGCGGGTGGATCACCTGAGGTCAGGAGTTCAAGACCAGCCTGGCCAACATGGTGAAACCCCATCTCTACTAAAAATACAAAAAATTAGCTGGACATGGTGGTGGGCACCTGTAATCCCAGCTACTTGGGAGGCTGAGGCAGGAGAATCACTTGAACCCAGGAGGCGGTGGAGGTTACAGTGAGCTGAGATGGCACCATTGCACTCCAGGCTGGACAACAGAGTGAAACACTGTCTCAAAAAAAAAAAAAAAAGAAATGAAACCATCCTACCTGGGGATTCCCGGGACCACTTGGATCATCCAATTGTGGGACACAGTGTGATGGTATTCCCTTATGGACTAGATCATTCTACCCATAAGAGATGCTTGGCCTGCTGAAGATTTACCAGAAGAGATGACGTCCTAGCAGTCAACGGAAGAAATGCTGATGAAGCCATCCCTTTAAATTTTGTCAAATTAATCAATGATGGAGGGAGGGAGAAAATTGAAATAAACAAAGCTTGCTGCACATTCAGCATTAATTATTAGGTCAGCTTGCTCTCTGACCCCCCCGCCAAATTTTTTTTTTATTTTTTTGAAATAGAGATGGGGTCTCACTATGTTACCCAGAATAGTCTCAAACTCCTGGGATCAAGCAATTCGCTTGCCTCAGCCTCCCAAAGTACTGGGATTACAGGCATGAGCCCCCATGCCTGGCCCCCTTCATAGTTGTTTGATGCCTAGCGTCCTAGAATCCTGTAAACCCTAGATGATAATTCCCCTTAACTGCTCTATAGATAAAAACTTGAACATTAAAAAATGTTAATTTTTCCCTTTGAGATATTATTTCAGGTCCTGCATAACAGTGAAACTACTGACTTCAGCTGCTCTGAAGGACCCCAGTAGTAGCTGACTCACCAAAGAAGGTAGTTTTCACATCCTGATGATTTCATTGCCTGTACTTCAATCAACCACCTCAATTTTTCAGCCTCTTGCATGCCACAATCCCCTTAAAAATCCCAGCCTAGTGTGGGTCCAAGTGCAGTGGTGTTTACAACTAATTGATCACAACCAGTTACAGATGTCTTTGTTTCTCCTCCATTCCCACTGCTTCAATTGACTAGTCCAAAAAACAAAAAATCCAGCCCAGAACTTTTTGAGGAGTTGGATTTGAGGGCCCCTCTCATCTGCTTGCTGGGTCACCCCATGATCATTAAACTCTTTCTGTGCTGCAAATCTTGCTGTCTCAGTGTATTGGTCTGTTACTGCACAGTGTGCATATGAACCTGGTGATTCTGTAACCCTGGGGCTTCTTGGAGGTTGAGGAAGGAGGCAAGCCATCTAGGAGTGGCTTTCCATGGGACCAGTAAAGCAGTTTGTACTGCCCAGATTTAAAAAATGCTACAGGGTGCACCAGAGGAATGGCATGGCCCTTTGCTATCTTTCTCGAGTCCTATAGTGGGACAATGTGTATATGATGTGGGAGAAGCACTGCAGATTTGGAGAAATTTAGAAACTCAGGAACAGGGTAAACTCGGTAATCCAACAAGGGCTAACAAAGGGAAAAAAGAAAAATCAACAGAAAGAAAAGGGGAGATAGGGAAAGGGACCAATAGGAGTCACCCATGAGCAAATGTGGCATAATTTGTTGGGGGCAGAAACACCCTGAAGAGAAACAGACAAACAACCTAAGACTTTATTAGTACCCTTATGGTAGAAACTACAGCCTAAACTGCAGTTTCATCCCTTCCCTTCTGCCTCTATGGAAGAATAGGAAGATGACTCAATCTTTCATTTGATCGTCCCACTCTACCAGGAGTGGATTCCACCATAGCTCAGAGATTAGGACTGGGGCAAGGTCAACCCCATGTTCAAGCAATAGGTGGAAACCAGAGGTCCCATATCAAGCTCACCATTTCTTGTTGCCCCCCCAAATAAAAAGATTATTACCTTAGTAATAGTCTGTAATCCTATTACAGGGTGGAATGTACTTTCATCTCTGGAAATCCAGAAACAAATCCTGAACAGTGGCCTGACACTGATGATTATAGAGGACAAATGACTCAGATAAAAAGGACTTTAATACATCTAGGTATTGGGAAGCTCCCCAACCCATATATGGCATTTATTACCCCTATTTTAGAAAACATTTTAGGCATGGATATTCTGTTAGGAAAGACTTCGCAAACTTGAGTGGGAGAATTCAGCTTGAACGTGCTGTAGTAAAGGCTGTTCTCAAGGACAGGCAAAATGGGAACCTGAACAGCTTTCTGCTCCTAGGCGAGTTGTCAAGTTTAAAGAGTACAAATTATTAGGCTGGGCTCAGTGACTCACGCCTGTAATCCCAGCACTTTGGGATGCTGAGGTGGGTGGATTGCCTGAGGTCAGGAGTTCGAGACCAGCCTGGCCAACATGGCAAAACCCCATCTCTACTAAAAATACAAAAATTAGCTGGGTGTGGTGGCGCACATCTGTAGTCCCAGGTACTCGGGAGGCTGATAGCTTGAACCCAGGAGGCGGATAGCTTGAACCTGGGAGGAGGAGATTGCAGTGAGCCGAGATACCACCACTGCACTCCAGTCTGGGCGACAGAGCAAGATTCCATCTCAAAAATAAATAAATAAATAAATAAATAAATAAATAATAGTACAAATTATTTTGGGCGGGGGGGCTGTGGAGGACATGATGAAATAAGTACAACTAGGCCGGGTGTGGTGGCTCACACCTGTAATCCCAGCACTTTGGGAGGCCGAGGTGGGTGAATCACGAGGTCAGGAGATCGAGACCATCCTGGCTAACACGGTGAAACCCCGTCTCTACTAAAAATACAAAAAAAAAAAAAAAAAAATTAGCCACGTGCGGTGGTGGGCGCATGTAGTCCCCGCTACTCGGGAGGGTGAGGCAGGAGAATGGCGTGAACCCGGGAGGTGGAGCTTGCAGTGAGCCGGGATCACACCACTGCACGCCAGCCTGGGCGACAGAATGAGACTCCGTCTCAAAAAAAAAAAGAAATAAGTGCAACTATTGAGGCACTGGTAAGTGGACACATTATCCACCCAGCTCAAACTCATTTTAACAGTCTCTCTGGCCTGAACACAAACCAAACAGTACCTGGTGGATGACTGCAGATTACCAGGAATTGACCAAGGTAACCCCCAACCATACATCCTGTAGTTCCTATTACTCAGGTAGCTGATCACATAGTGTCCCTGCTGGGGATGCATCACAGTGCGTTAGATTTAGCTAATGTTTTTTTCAGCATTCCTCTCTCTAAATAATCACAAGACCAATTTGCTTTTACCCTGCCAGGCTGCTACTGGAATAAAAGGGTTCATGTTCAGCTCTCCACTTACTGGTCCCCCAAAATAGAGAGAAGACTGTCACATTAGTAGATGCTATGGTGGAGTGTGTTTTAATCCATGGAAGTCCAGAAAGATGCCCTGGTGAGTCGGCTGCCATTCAAGGGTTGCTCCAGGGTTATCTCCAAAGTCCTAGGATTTGTCACAGAATGTTGGCTAGAGGCTTGTCTTTGTTCCCATTCCTGTCATCTTTCATGGTTTAATTTTATATATTTTTTTATTTCATTATTTATTATTTTATCTATCTATCTAATTTATTTTGACAGGGTGGGTCTTGCTGTGTCACTCAGGCTAGAGTGCAGTGATGCAGTCATACCTCGCTACAGCCTTGAACACCTGGGCTGAAGTGATTCTCATGCATCAGCCTCTTGAGTCACTGGGACTACAGGCATGAGCCATCTGACCTGGCCCTGGTTTCATTATATTGATGACATCACGTTAACCTCTGAAGACTGTAATGTGTTACAGGAAAGTCTTATACCATTGTGTGCTCGTCTACAGGAATGGGGATGGGCAATCAACCCTCAGGAAATCCAGGGACCACGGCCCGCAGTGAAATTTTTAGGAGTGATATAGTCAGGTAAGACACATTGATATCAGGCATGGTAATTGACAAAGTCCAACACTTTCCTAAAAATATCATTCAATTTACAAAACCTCATTTAGCTCATGTGTAGATAACTCATATATATTTATTCTTTAAGTATAGATACCCATAACAAAGAGAGTGATGACTATGCAAAATTATACTGGGATAAAGGAATAATAAACTGTCCTTAGGAAACCAAGTAGTCACATGATATTTGATGCATTTACATATATGAGGGCTTTTATAAGGAGCTTGTGCTTGCCTAACAATAGAGTATCACACAGAAGCCATAATTCCATCTTACTTACCAGTTACTTGTTCACAAGTGGTCATAGTTCTCTTTCCATATAAACCTAAGTTGTGTGTTAAAGTGATTGTCAAAAATTAAATTTAACCTTTTTTTTTTTTTAGATGGAGTCTCGCTCTGTCTCCCAAGCTGGAGTGCACCGGCATGATCTTGGCTCACTGCAACCTCTACCTCCCAGGTTCAAGGGTTTCTCCTGCTTCAGCCTCCCGAGTAGCTGGGATTACAGGCGCCCACCACCACGCCCGGCTAATTTTGTATCTTTAGTAGAGACGGGGTTTCACCATATTGGCCAGGCTGGTCTCGAACTCCTGACCTTGTGATCTGCCCGCCTTGGCCTTTTATATCATTTGCCTATTGTATATGTCCTACCATGGTCAAAGTAATACAAGAAAGGCATATACAAATGCCAGGTGTGGTGGCTTATGCCAGTAATCCCAACAATTTGTGAAGCCCAGATGGGTGTATCACTTGAGGTCAGGAGTTCGAGACCAGCCTGGCCAACATGGTGAAACCATGTCTTTACTAAAAATAGAAAAATTAGCCAGGTGTCGTGTTGGCCACCTGTATCCCAGCTACTTGGGAGGCTGAGGCAGGAGAATCACATGAACCTGGGAGATGGAGGCTGCAGTGAGCCAAGATCTTACCACTGCACTATAGCCTGGGTGAGAGAGCCAGACTCCGTCTCAAAAAAAAAAAAAAAGAAAAAAAGAAGAAAGTACATACAAAATTCCTTTCAACACCACAATAAAAGTTAAATTTGGCTGTTTGAAATGGCTCAAGCCTATAATCCTAGCACTGTGAGGCTGAGGGAGGAGACCTGCTTGAGGCTAAAAGTTAAAGAGCAGCCTGGGACCACAGTTAGATCACATCTCCACAGAAAATTTTTAAAATCTGGCAGGACATGGTGGCTCACGCCTGTAATCCCAGTAATTTGGGAGGCCGAGGTGGATGGATCACTTGAAGCTAGGAGTTTGAGACCATCCTGGCCAACATGGTGAAACCTCATCTCTACTAAAAATACAAAAATGAGCCAGGCATGGTGGCGTGGCAGCTTCCTGTAATCCCAGCTACTTGGGAGGCTGAGGCAGGAGAATCGCTTGAATCCAGAAGGTGGAGGTTGCAGTGAGCAGAGACTGTGCCAGTGTAGACTCCATCTTAAAAAAAAAAACAAAACAGTTACCTGGGCATGGTGGTGTATGCTTGTAGTCCCACATATGTTGGAGGCTGAGGCGAGAGAATCACTTGAGCCCAAGAGTTAAGGATGCAGTGAGCTATGATCCCACCATTATACCCTAGCCTGAACAACCACCGTGTCTGGCCCAAATTTAGTAAATGTTTCTGAATAAAACATTGTGATACTGCAAACAAACTGGATGATAGGCTGGGCACGATGGCTCATGCCTGTAATCCCAGCACTTTGGGAGGCTGAAGTGGGCGGATTACTTGAGGTTGGGAATTTGAGACCAGCCTGACCAACATGGTGAAACCTCATCTCTACTAAAAATACAAAATTAGCCAGGTGTGGTGGTACAGACATGTTATCCCAGCTACTCAGGAGGCTGATGCAAGAGAATCGCTTGAACGTGGGAGGTGGAGGTTGTGGTGAGCCAACATCGTGGCATTGCACTCCAGCCTGGGCAACAAAAGCGAAACTCCATCTCAAAAAAACAAAACAAAACAAAAACTGGATGATGAAATGTTGGGTCAGGTGTGAATTATAAGTTTTTTTGAGGAAAATTTAAAGTTCACTTATCTTAAAAAGGATTTTTCCTGTTTTGTTATTTGACCTTCCTTCATGAAAAAATACAAAAATAAAATATGCATATTTAAAATATGCATATTTTTTGGCCAGGCGTGGTGGCTCACGCCTGTAATCCCACCACTTCGGGAGGCTGAGGTGAGTGGATTACCTGAGGTCAGGAGTCTAAGACCAGCCTGACCAACATAGTGAAACCCTGTCTTTACTAAAAATATAAAAGTTAGCTGGGTGTAGTGGCGAGTGCCTGTAATCCCAGCTGCTCAGTAGTTCAAAAAAAAAAAAAAAAAAGATAAGGCAAAAATGGGTCTAGAAGTCCAGGAGCTACCTCCTCTCACCACAAGGCCAAGTCTTTTCTTTGTTTGCTTTTTGAGACGGTGTTTTGCTCTTGTTACCCAGTCTGGAGTGCAATGGCGTGACCTCAGTTCACTGCAACCTCCACCTCTTGGGTTCAAGTGATTCTTCTGCCTCAGCCTCCCAAGTAGCTGGGATTACAGGCATGTGCCACTATACCCGACTAATTTTTGCGTTTTCAGTAGAGACGGGGTTTTTCCATGTTGGTCAGACTGGTCTCGAACTCCCAACCTCAGGTGATCCACCCGCCTCAGCCTTCCAAAGTGCTGGGATTATAGGCATGAGCCACCACGCCCGGCCACAAGGCCAAGTCTTATGCCATTGGAAAGACACATGTCATACACCTGCAATGTGAGACAATGCTCTTCAGTGACCATGACGGATCAAGACAAAACAAGGACACTCTGTAACCATGTCTCAAAATAGTATAGAAGAAAACATATTTCAAATTATCAAACTGAGCAAATTTTTTTCAGTAATGTGACTCATTTGTAATTCTCATATATCTCACTGTCATTTATGGCTTTTGATCATATTTATTACTATATTACACCCTCTTTGACAACAAGTATGGTACTGGTGGTCTTTGGCAAGACGTCACTGAGAACATTGAGTTAACTTTTGGTACAATGAATGAATGAAAAGTTAGGACTAAGAGGCTGGGCGTGGTGGCTTACCCATGTAATCCCAGCACTTTGGGAGGCTAAGGCAGGTGGGTCACAAGGTCAAGAATTCTAAACCAGCCTGACCAACATGGTGAAACCCCATCTCTACTAAAAATACAAAAATTAGCCGGGTGTGGTGACCGGCGCCTGTCACCCCAGCTACTTGGGAGGCTGAGGCAGGAGAATCGCTTGAACCCAGGAGGCAGAGGTTGCAGTGAGTGGAGATCGCACCACTGCACTCAAGCCTGCGCGACAGAGCGAGACTGCGTCTCAAAAAAAAAAAAAAAGAAAAAGAAAAAGAAAAAAAGAAAAGTTAGGACTAAGATAAAAAATTTAAGGATAGCCAGGCGCGGTAGCTCACGCCTGTAATCCCAGCACTTTGGGAGGGCGAGGTGGGTGGATCACAAGGTCAGGAGATTGAGACCTTCCTGGCTAACACGGTGAAACCCTGTCTCTACTAAAAAAAATATACAAAAAAATTAGCCGGGCGTGGTGGCAGGCAACTGTAGTCCCAGCTACTTGGGAGGCTGAGGCAGGAGAATGGCGTGAACCCGGGAGGCAGAGCTTGCAGTGAGCCGAGATCATGCCACTGCACTCCAGCCTGGGCGACAGAGTGAGACTCCGTCTCAAAAAAAACAAACAAACAAACAACAAAAAAATTTAAGGATATAAGTGAGTATAAAAAGTAAAATTTTTTTACATGAGAAAAAGCATGCCTGGCATTCTATTCACATGGTAATATTGACTCACAATGTCCAACCAATAACTTGGCAACATTATGAACTTGATCTAATACATATTTTAATATAGCTACTGAATTAATTAAGAAAGAATAATGTTTGTCAGTATACAGTTGTGGAAAAGTTCAACTATTTCTATGACACATGTACAGAAATCTTGGTTGCCAAAAAAATTATTGTTTTTAATCAAATATAATCAAACATAATTGAAAATAAATGGAGACATTACATTCAGAAATGAAACACAGGAAACTCAAAACTTCCTGGGAGGAGGAAGGTGCTTATTCTCACCTTCCTGAAAGCCCTGGGTGAGACCAGTCACTGCAGCAGAGGAAGAAGCTCCTATCTAGTTGGACTGGACAAAAGCATAGTAGCTGTGAGGCTACAAGATAAGGGTCAGTAACAGCAGGAACAAAGGTGCTTGCCAAACAAATCGCATCTCATACTGACTCAATATACAAAGTAGGGGAATTGAACATCAGAGAACAATCTCACCCATGACAGTCTGCATTAGCTCTCTGGTAAAGACATTATACCTAAAGAAACACCAGGCCAGGCACAGTGGATCACGCCTATAATCCCAGCATTTTGAAAGGCCAAGACAGACGGATCACTTGAGGTCAGGAGTTTAAGACCAGCTTGCTCAACATGGTGAAACCCCATCTCTACTAAAAATACAAAAATTTAGCCATGCGTGGTGGTGTGCACCTGTAATCCTGACTACTCAGGTGGCTGAGACACCAGAATCACTTGAAACCAGGAGGCCCAGATTGCAATGAGCCAGGATAATGCCACTCTACTCCAGCCTGGGTGACAGAGAGAGACCTTGTCTCAAAAAAAAAGAAAAAGAAAAACTGTATTACAGATGGGGCTTTTTCATTGTTCTATTCTTTCAGTCTTTTAAAAAAATATCTTAGTCTTTATTTCTCTTCAATTTGCCCTTAACCACTGATGGATCTTTAATGTGGAGCTTCTGAAGACACCTTTACCCAAAGGCCCACACCTCTGAGCAAATTTTGAGGACATTCTTGATTGGCAAGCCAAAGATTCAGGAAAAAATGGGCTGGGAGCAGGGAGTCAGCCTGTATGGATGTGGCACCTGTTTGGTGCCTCTAAAATGTGACTGATGACTTCCTCTTGTCTGCCTTTGAAATTGCATGTAAGATAGGACACTGGTGAATTGTATTATGACATCCTCCAACTCCATTTCTAAATTTTATTGTCCTGTCAGACTTCTCTTTTTTTTTTTTTTTTTTTTGAGACGGAGTCTTGCTCTGTCGCCGCTGGAGTGCAGTGGCGCGATCTCGGTTCACTGCAAGCTCTGCCTCCTGGATTCACGCCATTCTCCTGCTTCAGCCTCCCGAGTAGCTGGGACTACAGGCGCCCACCACCACGCCCAGCTAGTTTTTTTGTATTTTTTAGTAGAGACGGGGTTTCACCGTGTCAGCCAGGATGGTCTTGATCTCCTGACCTCGTGATCCGCCCACCTCAGCCTCCCAAAGTGCTGGGATTACAGGCGTGAGCCACTGTGTCCGGCCAGGCCTCTCTTCTTAATTCAACAGTCAGTTATCTCAGAGGGTTTCTCTCTAGTGTCTCTTCCTGTTTGAAAGGAAGTGGGACAACTGAATGCTTCCTCAATTTTTTTTTTTTTTTTTTTTGAGATGGAGTTTCACTCTTGTTGCCCAGGCTGAAGTGCAATGCTGTGATCTTGGCTCACTGCAACCTCCGCCTCCCAGGTTCAAGCAATTCTCCTGCCTCAGTCTCCCATGTAGCTGGGATTACAGGCATGTGCCACCATGCCCATCTAATTTTTTGTATTTTTAGTAGCGATGGGGTTTTGCCATGTTAGCCAGGCTGGTCTCGAACTCCTGACCTCAGGTGATCTGCCTGCCTTGGTCTCCCAAAGTGCTGGGATTACAGGCGTGAACCACCGTGCCGGCCCCTTGCTTTTTTTTTCAGATGGAGTCTCACTCTGCTGGGGTACAGTGGCGTAATCTCGGGTCACTGCAACATCCAGCTCCTGGGTTCAAGTGATTCTCCTGCCTCAGCCTCCTGAGTAGCTGGGACTACAGGCACGCGCCACCATGCCTGGCTAATTTTTGTATTTTTGGTAGAGACAGGGTTTCACTATGTTGCCCAGGCTGGTATTGAACTCCTGACCTCAAGTGATCCACCTGCCTTAGCCTCTGGAAGTGCTGGAATTACAGGTAAGCTACCGTGCACAGCAATCAATTTCTTATAATAGGATTTCTCTCATATATTAATAGTATGAATTGCTTCATTTCAGGAATGAAGGCTTTTCACATTCCCTTCATTTACAGGGTTTCTCTTCAGCGAGTTCTTTCATGGCTACAAAAGGATCTGATACAATGGAATGCTTTTCCATATTGCTTGCATTCAGAGGGTCTCTCTTTATTGTGCATCCTTTTATGTCTTTGAAAATGAATGGGGAGAAGGCCGGGTGCAGTGGCTCATGCCTGTATGCACAGCACTTTGGGAGGCTGAGGCAGGTGGATCACCTGAGGTCAGGAGTTCGAGACGAACCTGGCCAACATAGTGAAGCCCCGTCTCTACTAAAAATACAAAAATTAGCTGGGCGTGGTGGCGGTCACCTGTAATCCCAGCTACTTGGGAGGCTGGGGCAGGAGAATCACTTGAACCCAGGAGGTGGAGGTGGCAGTGAACAGAGATGGAACCACTGTTCTCAGCCTCAGCGACAGAGCAAGACTCCGTCTCAAAAAAAAAGAAATGAACGGGGAGAGAGGCCTATCTGTCATGTGCAATACCATGTGGGTTTCAATGCCACTCAGATCAGAAAATGCTTTCCCACGCAGCTTACATTCATAGGGTTTTCCTCTAGTGTAAGTCCTTTTGTGAATTATACCCTCTTTGAAGACAGGTATGCCACTGTGGGATATGGCACAAAGTCACTCTGAAGAACATGAGATAACTTTTGGTATTATGAATGAACAAAAAATTAGGACCAAGATAAATGTTCTAAGTATATAAGCATGAAAATTAAAATTTACATGAGGAAAAAGATGCCTGGGATTTTGTCCACTTGGTAATATTGACTCACAATGTCCAAAAAATAATGTGGTAACATAAACTTGATCTAATGCATGATGGCACTGAGATATTTTATTATGGCTTCTCAATTAATTAAATAGAGAATAACAGCTGGGTGCAGTGGCTCATGCCTGTCATCCCAGCACTTTGGGAGGCTAAGGCAGGTGGATCACTTCAGGTCAGGAGTTCAAGACCAGTGTGGCCAATAGGGTGAGACCTCATCTCTACTAAAAATATAAAAATTAGCCAAGTGTGGTGGTGCACACCTGTAATCCTAGGAATCTTTTTCCTCAGGAGCCTGAGGCAGGAGAATTGCTTGAACCCGGAGGCGAGATCATGCCACTGCACTCCAGCCTGGGCAACAGAACAAGACTCATCTCAAACAACAACAAAAAATAGAGAATAACGGCCGGGCACGGTGGCTCATACCTGTAATCCCAGCACTTTGGGAGACTGAGGCGGGCAGATCACGAGGTCAGGAGATTGAGACCATCCTGGCTAACACGATGAAACTCCGTCTCTACTAAAAAATACAAAAAATCAGCCGGGTGTGGTGGCAGGCACCTGTAGTCCCAGCTACTCAGGAGACTGAGGCAGGAGAATGGCGTGAACCCAGGAGGTGGAGCTTGCAGTGAGCTGAGATCACGCCACTGCACTCCAGCCTGGGTGACAGAGCGAGACTCTGTCTCAAAAAGAAAAAAAAAATACAGAATAACATGTTAGTATGCAGCTGCTATAAACATTTAATTGTTTACATTCATTGTCTGTATTTGAAGGTTCTTAGCAAATCTGAAGGCTTTCCCATATTGCTTATATTCATAGGGTTGCTCTACAGTGTGAGTCCTTTCATGCACCAGAAGTTGTGAGACAGATCTGTAGGCTTTCCCACATTGCTTACATTCATAGGGTTTCTCGCCAGTGTGAATCTTTCTATGCATCTGAAGTTGAGTGGCAGATCTGAAGGCTTTACCACACTGCTTACATTCATAGGGTTTCTCTCCAGTGTGAGTCCTTTCATGATATCGAAGGCTACCGGAAGAAATGAAGGCTTTCCCACACTGCTTACATTCATAGTGTTTCTCTCTGGTGTGGGTCTTTTCATGATACTGAAATGCAGTAGAAGACATGAAGGCTTTACCACACTGCTTACACTCATACTGTTTCTCTCCAGTGTGAGTCCTTTCATGGTACTGAATGGAACTGAAAGAAATAAAGGCTTTTCCACATTGCTTACACTCATAGGGTTTCTCTCCAGTGTGAGTCCTTTCATGTCTACGAATGGCAGTGGAAGAAATGAAGGCTTTACCACACTGCTTACACTCATAGGGTTTCTCTCCAGTGTGAATCCTTTTATGACACTGAAAGGAACCAGAAGAAGTGAAGGCTTTGCCACATTCCTTGCATTCATACGGTTTCACTCCAGTGTGAGCCCTTTTATGTCTACGAAAGGAACCAGGCAAACTGAATGCTTTCCCACAATCCTTACATTAATATGGTTTCTCTCCAGTGTGCATCCTTTTGTGTATACGCAAAGAAGAAAAATAATTGAACGCTTTTCCGCATTCCTTACATTCATAGGGTTTCTCTCCAGGGTGTGTTCTTGCATGTACTCGAAGGATCTTGGCAGATATGAATGCTTTGTCACACTCTTTACATTCATAGGCATTCTGTCCTCTGTGCATTGTTGCATGTATTTGAAAGGAAGAGAAATTGTTGAATGCTTTTCCATATTCCTTATAGGGTTTCTCTCCAGGGTGTGTCTTTTCATGAATTTGAAGGTTTCTGACAGATCCAAAGGTTTTTTCACATTGTTTAGATTCATACAGTTGCTTTCCAGTGTGAGTCCTTTCATGCATTTGAAGGTGTGAGGCAGATGTGAAGGCTTTCCCACATTGCTTACACTCATAGGGTTTCTCTCCAGTGTGAGTCCTTTCATGATATCGAAAGGAAGTGGAAAAAATGAAGGCTTTACCACACTGCTTACATTCATAGGGTTTCTCTTGAGTGTGAGTCCTTCCATGCATTTGAAGGTGTGAGGCAGATCTGAAGGCTTTCCCACATTGCTTACACTCATACGGTTTCTCTCCAGTGTGAGTCCTTTCATGATATCGAAAGGAAGTGGAAGAAATGAAGGCTTTACTACACTGCTTACATTCATAGGGTTTCTCTCCAGTGTGAGTCCTTTCATGATAGTGAAAGGAACTGGAACGATTGAAGGCTTTACCACAGTGCTTGCATTCATAAGGTTTCTCTCCAGTGTGAGTTCTTTCATGTCTTCAAAACGAACTGGGAGAATCAAAGGCTTTTCCACAGTCTTACATTTATAAGGTCTCATTCTAGTGTGCATTTTCATGTGTCTTTGAAAGTTAAGATAAGATAATGCTTTCCCACATTGTTTACATTCACAGGGCTTTTTCCCAGAGTGGGTCACTTCATGTCTACAAAGATAACTGGGACACTTGAATGCTTTCCCACATTTGGTACATTCATAAGCCTTCTCCTCACTGTGAGTTCTTTCATGTATTTGAAAGGAATGGAACCATCTGAAGGCTTTTCCACATTGTTTGCATTCATATGGCTTCTCTCCAGTGTGAGTTCTTCTATGTTCATAAAGGGAATTGGGACTACCGAATGCTTTCCCACATTCCTTACATTCATAAGGCTTCTCTCCAGTGTGAGTTCTTTCATGTATTTGAAGGGAAGTTGAATAACTAAAGGCTTTACCACATTGTTTACATTTATATGGTTTCTCTCCAGTGTGAACTCGTTCATGTATAAGATATATGCTGAGACAAGGGCAGGCTTTCCCACAAAACTTACATTTATAAGTTCCATCTCCATTGTGCATTATCATGTGTCTTTGAATGCTTGAATGGGATATGAAGGTTTTTCCACATTCTTTACAATCATAGAGTTTTTCTCCAGTGTGAGCCTTTTCTTGCATTTGAAAGGAGGGGTGACATCTGAAGGCTTTCTTACGTTGTTGACACTTATATGGCTCCTGTCCATATTCCTGATACTCAGACGGCTTGTGTGCAGTGTCAGCTCTAATGTGCCTATTAAGGGAAGAATGACCCACGAAGACTTCTCCACACACACTGCTTTCACATGATTTTACTCCAGGAGAAGTTTTTTTGTTCAGTGTGTCATCTGGAATCTGGCTAGAAGTTTCTCCACAATGATTTTCTTCTGTATTTTCATCAACTCTCTCTCCCAGAAGACTTCTGTGAAAAATGAGAAACACATTATTGAAGGTTTGTTTATAAGTGATTTGATGTTTATTAACAAGGATTACACTTGCATTTTATTTTATTTTATTTTATTTTATTATTAATATACTTTAAGTTTTAGGGTACATGTGCACAACGTGCAGGTTTGTTACATATGTATACATGTCCCATTTGGTGTGCTGCACCCATTAACTCGTCATTTAGCATTAGGTATATCTCCTAATGCTATCCCTCCCCACTGAACTTGCACTTTCAACATTATCCAGGAAAGTGTAGGCTTTCTACCCTGTCTAAATTGTTGGAAGGTGACTGGACCATATGGCTATAAGATGGCCTATCTATACGTATTATTTTTAAAAATCATATGTTTAAAAAAGAAAAACACCATATGAGAATTCTTCATAATATTTCCATGTAGACTATTTTACAAATACTAAACTTCTATATCATTTTCTTGAGTCAGGGTCACCATATAGCCCAGGCTGGAGTGCAGTGGCATCATCATGGTTCACAGCACCCTTGAACTCCTGGACTCAAGTGATCTTCCTGCCTCAGCCTTCGATGTAGCTAGGACTACAGGTATATGCCACAATGTATAGCTAGTTCTTTGTTTGAGATGAAGTCTCGCCATTTTGCTCAGGCTCTTCTCAAACTCCAGGCCTCTAGCAATCCTCCCACCTCCAACTCCCAAACAGTTGAAATTACAGGTGTGAGCCACTGTGCCCAGCCTAGATCACATTTAAATGTAGGTTTTTAGAGTGAATATTTTAAGAGTAAATAAATTTAATGCTAGGCATATTTCCTTTATTTGCTTCTTCTTAACATATTCTCGCATTCTGAGATTTTCTAGAGAGACATTGCTTTGTCTCGTGAGTTTAAATCACCTTAGATTATTCCTGGGATTTTTGTACTGATCTTCAATGTTCTGGTCTTTCCATTTTTCTCCTAAAATACAGAATCAGAAAAAGAATCCTGAATTAAAATAAAATTATGAAAAAATGATTAGATTCTATGTTCACGGGACATTAGAGCCATACCTCATTTATTCATCAAAGTATTGCCTGTCCATATTCCAAATCAAGGAATAGCATTAATGAGCTAGAAACACTTGTCTCATTCACTGGGGGACGTAATACTGTCATTCTTACCTATGGAGGCCAGATTCCTCAAGGTTTCCTGCATCACTTCTCTGTAGAGATTCTTCTGGGAAGGATCCAGCAAAGACCACTCCTCCTGGGTGAAGTTCACAGCCACATCCTCGAAAGCCACCAAGTCCTGAAACATCCCACATGTATAGAGGAGGATGGGTGAGACTGACAGCACTGGGGGTCTATACCCTCTTCCTAAGAAGTTCCCATGATGCTGTGGACTCCAAACATTTATTCTATTTCTTGGTCATCTGACCCATTACTCTCTGTCTACACTTACTTTCTTCTCTAAAGCAATTCTGATGCTGGAACAGAACTAAGCAATAAACGAACAGCAGAATAGAAAAATGTGTCTTTTCATGGAATCCAGGGAGAAAGGTGCGCTGCCTGGGCTGCTCTTAATGTCTGTTTGTAGCATGGGTCTATAGCACCTGTCATAACACAGTCCTCTAAATTCACCTGCAGAAAATGTTAACATTAGCAGTCCTGAGGCTATATATCCTTGAAAATGCCTGTTCACAAAGTTTAACCATTGAAGATTACCTGGAAGGGGGATTTTATTCTGATTGAAGCAGCAGACAACAAAAGCAAAAAAAAAAAACTGGATTTTGCAAGGGGTTCAACCAACCCAACTGATAAGAGAGGCAGAACTATCTAAATAAAAAACTCATGAATAGAAATTTTGTGAAAAACAGTACTGTGGGCCGGGCGCGGTGGCTCACACCTGTAATCCCAGGACTTTGGAAGGCTGAGGCGTGCGGATCGCTTGAGATCAGGAGTTCGAGACCAGCCTCAACATGGAGAAACCCTGTCTCTACTAAAAATACAAAATTAGCTGGGCGTGGTGGTGTATGCCTGTAATCCCAGGTACTCGGGAGGCTGAGGCAGGAGAATTGCTTTAACCTGGCAGGCGGAGGTTGCGGTGAGCTGAGATCGCACCATTGCACTCCAGCCTGGGCAACAAAAGCGAAACTCTGTCTCAAAAAAAAAAAGCAGACTGTGGTAGGAAAACTTAAATTGTAATTGATGAAATGCTGAAGGCTGAATGGAGACAAAGTTCAGGGATAAAAACTCCAGTGCACCCACTCTTAACAAAAAGGCAAATATTTATCAAAATTTAAAAGTTCTGTCTATGAGGGGACACCATAAACAGATGGAAAAGGCACCCCATGATGCTGGAGCAAATATTGGAAAGTCATATATCTGGAAAAGTCTCAATATTCAGAAAATATAATGAATTCTTACATTCAACTAAAAAGAAAAGAAAAATCAAGGCCAGGCGCGGTGGCTCATGCCTGTAATCCCAGCACTTTGGGAGGCCGAGGTGGGTGGATCACCTGAGGTCAGGAGCTCAAGACCAGCCTGGTCAACATGGTGAAACCCTGTCTCTACTAAAAATACAAAAAATTAGCCAGGCATGGTGGTGGGTGCCTGTAATCCTAGCTACTCAGGAGGCTGGGGCCAGAGAATTGCTTGAAGCTGGGAGGCGGAGGTTGCAGTGAGCGTAGATCGCGCCATTGCACTTCAGCCTGGGCAACAACACTGAGACTTTATCTCAAAAAAAAAGAAAAAGAAAAAAGAAAAATCAAACCACCTCAAATATAAAGTTTGGAAAAAACGTTGAGAAATTGGAACCCATGTGCTCTGACCAAAGGATTGCAAAATGGCTCAATCTTTATGGAAAACAGTATGGTGGTGCCTGAAAAACTAGCAAAAAAAAAAAAAATTTTCTTCCAGCAACCCATTTCTGGGTCTATTTATATTCAATTCATATAAATTGAAAGTTGGATCTTTGAAGAAATATTTGAAAACCACTGTTCACAATAGCCAAGAGATGGATCAATCCAAATGTCCACTGATGGCTAAATGGATAAAGAAAACGTGGTATGCATGTACTTACAATGGGATAGTATTTAGTCTTACAAAATAACTTTCTGTCCCATGCTACAAAAAGCATGAAAATTCAGGATTCAGCTGGATGCAGTGGCTCATGCCCGTAATCCCAGCACTTTGGGAGGCCGAGGCAGAGTGGATCACGAGGTCAGGAGTTCAAGACCAGCCTGGCCTAGATGGTGAAACCCCATCTCTACTAAAAATACAAAAATTAGCTGGGCATGGTGGTGGATGCCTGGAATCCCAGCTACTTGGGAGGCTGAGGCAGAGAACAGCTTGAACCCAGGAGGCAGAGGTTGCAGTGAGCCAAGATCATGCCACTGCACTCCAGGCTGTGTGAGAGAGTGAGACTCCATCTCAAACAAACAAAAAAAAAAAAAAGAAAAAAAATTCAGGATTCTATACTGATTGCAAAAGGCCAGTCACAAAAATACAGTATTATTCATCTTAGACGAGTTATATAGATTTGACAAACTAACTCAACAGTACATGTAAAATTCCTAAAGCTAATAAATGTTAATTTTTTTACAATAATAAATTATTGTACCAAGTAAAAAAAAAAAAAAAACCTAATTGATTGAAAGATAGGGAAAGTATCTGAATGACATTCCTGCAAGATATATGAAAAGGGCCAAGAAGCTCATGAAAACGTCAGTGGACCAGGAGTCATCAGGCACAAGGATTTATATAATGTAGTTTTTAGTGGTTATTGAGTGCTTTCCTCTCATGAACAGTATTCATAAAGTAATACATTTTTAACCCATTTCCCATTTAGAAAAAAAAGTGCAGCTTGCTGCCAGCATTCATTGAATTTTACACAAGCATACTCTTTAAAGCTGAAGCAAATCTGATTGACTTTCAATGTGAAAATAAAATTTCTAAACAGAACTTGTTTCTAATCCTAATATAACAAAAACGTATATGATGTTACATTAGGATTAGAGACAAGAGTATTCTCGGGGCACATGGAAAATGGGTTGAATATACCCACCACTTATTGCTTTGTGGAAAAAAATGGTAAGCAATTAAAATACTGCAGCAGTTTCACATGTATCATGGGGGACACATGATTGATAATGATGTCCAGTGGAAAGGGGAAATGAGGGAGTGTTCTGGAACGTGGGGAGGAAACCAGAAACTTAAGGATTTATCATCAGCCCTAGCAAGAACTAGGCTGGGAGGATCTCAAGGACTCCTTCCTTGATCATACTTCAGTGAGGCTCCTCGGAGCCCACTTCCTGACTAGCTTTTGTGTTTGTCCTGCAGAGCCCAGTTATAGCTAAATCCTAATAAGAGAGTTTAGAGAGAATGCCCCCCAACTTGATATCTAATCAAGTTGTTTCCCTCATCTATGATAATTTATTAATATTCTCTTCCCCAACTCTTGACACCTCACCAAGTTCCATCCTCTACGGTACCTTGCTCTTTAGATATAATTGTCTTGTTGATGCATTCAGGTTGAGTTCAATTTCTTTCCCATATTAAATTGTCCTATAACATATAGGCAAAAAATAAGGCTTTATTCAACACATATTGCAATTGTGCTGAATAAAACCTTCCTTGAAATTTTTACCAAGTTTTCAGTGTAATCTCTCTTTACAAGGAATAAAGACTTAGACTTGAGACCCTAATTCATATGTCTGCAATGCATTAGTGATAAGAAGTTCTCTTCTGGTGGGGAGGAAGATGGATTTCTTGGGAGTACCTCCTACTCAAACATCCAAAACACCAGGTCAGATTTCTCTCCTGATGACCACTTCTTGTTGTCACCCTATAAACAGGATGAGATTGGAGACTGTGGTTGCACCACTGCCAGAGAGGACTACAGGGTAGAGTTCACCTCCTGCAGTAATGGGCCAGGATGCCTCAGAGTGCTGGCTACCAATTCATCCCCCATCCTATGTGAAGAAGAAGATGGACCAGATATTCAATATAGAAGTTTTTCTTCCATTTGGTGAATTATCTTGTGAAATCCTTTCTTTTTTTGTTTTTAAGCATAAAACAGCCAGTATTCCTAGGCATTTTCTATACATTTACTAACCAGGCCCAACCCTGCTTAGCTACAGAGAATAGATGTGTTCAGCGTGGCATGACCACACATGCTTCAGTTTCTTTTTTTTTTTTTTTTACGCTTATTTTTATTTTTGTCTTTTTTTTTTTTTCCTTTTTGTGGAGAACGGGGTCTCATTATATTGCCCAGGCAGGTCTCGAACTCCTGGGCTCAAGCTATCCTCCCGCCTCTTGCCTCCCTGCGAGCTGGGATTACAGGCATGAGCCACCGCGCCCGGCCTCTTTTTTTTTTTTTTTTTTTGAGACGGAGTCTCACTGTTGTCCAGGCTACAGTGCAGTTGGCGCAAACTTGGCTCTCCGCAACCTCCGCCTCCTGGGTTCAAGCGATTCTCCTACCTCAGCCTCCTGAGTAGCTGGGACTACAGGCACGTGCCACCACGCCTGGCTAATTTTTGTATTTTTAGTAGAGACGGGGTTTCACCATGTTGGTCAGGCTAGTATCAAATTCCTGACCTCAGGTGATCCACCCACCTCGGCCTCCCAAAGTGCTAGGATTATAGGTGTGAGCCACCGCACCTGGCCTAAAATACAAATTATTAACGAATGAAATTGTATCCTGACCTCCCACTCTCACCTTCTTCCTAACCTTGTTTTCTCCTCTCTGTAAAAAAAAAAAAAATTCCTTTTTGGGCTAACTTTGAGATGCTTACAGATCTTATACTTTCTCCCTTTTCCTTATTTCAATTCTCCTTTAGAATAAAGTCATTCCTGGCTGGGCGCGATGGCTCACCCCTGTTAATTCCAGCACTTTGGGAGGCCAAGGTGGGTGGATCACCTGAGGTCAGGAGTTTGAGACCAGCCTGACCAACATGGTGAAACCCTATCTCTACTAACAATACAAAAAATTAGCCGGGCATGGTGCTGGGCGCCTGTAATCCCAGCTACTCAGGAGGCTGAGACAGGAGAATTGCTTGAACCCAGGAGGCAGAGGTTGCAGTGAGCCGAGATCACACCACTGCATTCCAGCCTGGGTGACAGAGCAAGACTTGGTCTCAAAAAAAAAAAAAAAAAAAAAGGAATAAAAGAATAAAAAGAAAAGTCATTCCTTACCTAAATCCACATCTGTTTCATTAAAAATGTTTAGAAACAACCTTAGGACAACTAGCCTCAGAAAGGCATCGCTGACCCGCTGCATCTGCCTGTGGATCCTCAGTTTTCCAGGGCTCTGAGATTCTCTCAGAATAAAGGGCTCCTCCCATGGTCAGTGTGAGCAGCTGGGTCAGTGTGAGCAGCTGGGACACTGCAGGAGAGGCTCCCCAGCAAGAAACAAGTGAGCCTTCAATGACCTCTTTGCAGGCTTCTGATTGACCTTAGCTTGCAGTCACTGGGCTCAGGTCTGATTCAATGAGAAAATACCCAGTGTTTGAAGAATCTAGCAAAATCCCTCAAACTCAGGTTCAGGTTTACACATGGAAAGGAAATTATAAGGCATTTGCATTTCGTACCACAAAATGGAAAGCAAAAGTATCTAATCATTTCAGACAATACACACATTTGTGGAAGTCAATAATTCCAACCTGAAGCCATTAGAACTTTAAATTATTTTATTTTTTATTTTTTTTGAGACGGAGTTTCACTCTTGTTGCCCAGGCTGGAGTGCAGTGGCACGATCTTGGCTCACTACAACCTCCGCCTTCTGGTTTCAAGCAATTCTCCTGCCTCAGCCTCCTGAGTAGCTGGGATTACAAGCGCCCACCACCATGCCCGGCTAATTTTTGTATATATTTTTTTAATAGAGACGGGGTTTCACCATGTTGGTCAGGCTGGTCTCGAACTCCTGACCTCATGATCTGCCCGCCTCAGCCTCCCAAGGTGCTGGGTTTACAGGCGTGAGCCACCGCACCCAGCCTTTAACCATATTTTTTGAATCTCTATTTTTATTTTTTGAGACAGTTTCTTGCTCTGTCGCCCAGGCTGAAGTCCAGTGGCATGATCATGCCTCACTGCAGCCTCCACCTCTCAGCTCAAGCCATCCTCCCACTTCAGCCTCCCAAGTGGCTGGGTACTACAGACACATACCATCATGCCTGGCTATTTTTTAAGCAGTTTGTTAAGATGAGGTTCTACCATGTTACCCAGACTGGTCTCAAACTCCTGAGCTCAAAGGATCCCACAACCCCTCGCCCACCCACCTTGGCCTCCTAAAGTGCTAGGATGTAGGTGTGAGGCACTATGCCTGGCTATTTTTAAATTAATTTTTAATTTTCTTTCCTTCCTTCCTTCCTTCCTTCCTTCTTTCCTTCTTTCCTTCTTTCTTTCTTTCTTTCTTTCTTTCTTTTTTTTGAGACAGAGTCTCGCTCTGTGGCCCAGGCTGGAGTGCAGTGGCGCGATCTCGGCTCACTGCAAGCTCCACCTCCTGGGTTCACGTCTCCTGCCTCAGCCTCTCTGATAGCTGGGACTACAGGTGCCCACTACCACGCCCGGCTAATTTTTTGTATTTTTAGTAGAGACGGAGTTCCACTGTGTGTGCCAGGCTGGTCTCAATCTCCTGACCTCGTGATCCACCCACCTCGGCCTCCCAAAGTGCTGGGATTACAGGCGTGAGCCACCGCGCCCGGCCTTTTTTTTTTTTTTTTTTTTTTTTTTTGAGACAGAGTTTCACTCTTGTTGCCCAAGCTATAGTGCAATGGCGTGGTCTCAGCTCACTGCAACCTCCGCCTCCCAGGTGCAAGCAATTCCCCTGCCTCAGCCTCCCCAGTAGCTGGGATTATAGATGCACCACCATCACACCTGGCTAATTTTTATATTTTTAGTAGAGACGGGGTTTCACCATGTTAGCCAGCCTGGTCTCGAACTTCTCAGGTGATTGCCCGACCCGGCCTCCCAAAGCGCTGGGATTACAGGCGTAAGCCACTGCACCCGGCCTAATTTTCTTATTTTTGAGACAGGGTCTCACTCTGTCACCCAGACTGGAGTGCAGTGGTGTGATCACGGTTCGGTGCAGCCTTGACTGACTGGCCTCCAGGGAAATCTCATTATTATTATTATTTTACTTGAGAGGGAGTCTCACTCTGTAGCCCAAGCTGGAGTGCAGTGGCGCGATCTCAGCTCACTGCAAACTCCACCTCCCGGGTTCAAGTGATTCTCCTGCCTCAGCCTCCGGAGTAGCTGGGACTACAGGAGCGTACCACCACACCCAGCTAATTTTTTATGGAAATCTCATTATTTTTAAGTTGACAATATTATTTTATTACTATTTCCATGATAATGAAACCACTTTTGCAAAAACTGTAACACTGAAAAAATTATGGCAGTCAAAGAGATCTAGCCAACTGCTTCTCTTGTCTTTACCTTTCAAGCTGCCTTAATTACTCCTAGGCTTAGGCTGAGCTAACTTTAGAAGACATTTGGCCGGGCGAGGTGGCTCACGCCTGTAATCCCAGCACTTTGGGAGGCCGAGGTGGGCGGATCATGAGGTCAGGAAATCCAGACCATCCTGGCTAACACGTTGAAACCCCGTCTCTACTAAAAACACAAAAAATTAGCCGGGCTTGGTGGCAGGCGCCTGTAGTCCCAGCTACTCCGGAGGCTGAGGCAGGAGAATGGCGTGAACCCGGGAGGCAGAGCTTGCAGTGAGCCGAGATCGCGTCACTGCACTCCAGTCTGGGCGACAGAGGGAGCCTCCGTCAACAACAACAACAAAAAAAAAAAAAAAAAAAAAAAAGAAGACATTTATGTTATAGTTTAAATGATAATAGCTCTTCCTTAAACACTGCCTTCCTAAAGCTAATGAAAAACCATGAGTCGGGGCGGGGGGAACAGAGTGGGGAGCGATGAGGAGCCTGAATTTTGCTATGGTATAGACTGGTCCCAAGATACTTCTGCAGATAAGTGTTTTCAGGTTTTTTGCTTGTCTGACACCCATGGCTCCACTCAGGCCCACCAACCCTGCTCCTCTATAAGCAACTCAGCACTCAGGAGGACCATTTCCCACCACCTCTTCCCCGATTCTGCCTTTGAAAAACCCCTGGCCGAGTTCGGTGGCTCACACCTGTAAACCCAGCACTTTGGGGGGCCGAGGTGAGCAGATCGCTTGAGCCCAGGAGTTCAAGACCAGCCTGGGCAACATGGCGAAACCCCATCTCTACCAAAAATACAAAAATTAGCCGCCTGCGCCTGTAGTCCCAGCTACTCGGGAGGGTGAGGCAGCACAATCACCTGAGCTGCTGCTCAGGTGGGTCCAGGATGCAGTGAGCCGTGATCGCGCCATGCACTCCAACCTGGGCGACAGAGTGAGACCTTGTTTAAAAAACAATTTTTAGCCGGGCCAGGTGGCTCACGCCTGTAATCCTAGCCCTTTAGGAGGCCGATGCGGGCGGATCACCTGAGGTCAGGAGTTCAAGACCACCTTGGCCAACACGGTGAAACCCCGTCTTTACTGAAAATACAGAAATCAGCAGGGCGTGGTGGCGTGCCTGTAACCCCAGCTACTAGGGAAGCTGAGCAGAAGAATCGCTTGAATCCGGGAGGCAGAGGTTGCACTGAGCCCAGATCGTGTCATTGCACTCCAGCCTGGGCAAAAAAGAGCGAGACTCTGTCTTAAAAAAAAAAAAAAAAATTGTAAGAAAAAAATATTAAAGAAAAATCCCTAACTATAAGCCTTCGGGGAGACTGATTTGAGTGCTAACTCTGTCTCCGTCTTCGGCGTTGCGTGGTCCATCTCGTGTCAAACATTTTCTTTACTGCAATGCCCTGGTCTTTCTTTTTGCAGCACAGGCAGGAAGAACCCCTCAGGCGATTACAACAACAAAGCATCTAGTACACATTGATCATGATGTGAACAAAAACACGACAGCAGTTGCCAAGCTCTAAGCCACAGACAGCAGGGAAAACATTTATCCGCTGTCACAAGTTCTCCACGCTAGGCCAGGCGCGGTGGCTCACGCCTCTATTCCCAGCACCGGGCCTGTTTAAGTTTTAACAGGAGAAAGGGGGCACTGAGGGCCTCACAGCGCAGCTCCTCCCGCACGAGCCCCACACCCAAGGCGGGATTGCCCCCATGACCCTCCCGTGGCCCCGCACAATATGGAGAGGCTCCGGGCTGCGGGCGCGGAGCTGTCCAGAGAGGGCTCCCGGGCTGGGGCCGCAGTCGCCGCGCGGCGACGAGACAGGGCGCCCAGGGGTCCCGGCTGCCGGCCCAGCCGCACCCGGCGGCCGAATGGACCGAAGGCCGAGCTGCGCCAGCGGGGCTCGGGCCCCAGACCTCGAGTCGCCGCGGGGAGGTCCGGGTCCCGGCACAGCCGGTTCCAGCCAGTTCCAACCAGCCTCCGCCTACCCTCCCCCAAGTCTCGGGACTCCCAGCGGGGGCTCACACTCACCATTTCCTGGCTTTCAGGTGACTCCCACGTCCAAAGCAGTCACAACACAGACGACAGGGCGACAGAAGTATGGCGGTGGCAACCGGTCCCTCTCAGAGCAGGAAAAACGGGGTGCCAACCTCACCCGGCGGGAGGGGCCAAAGACTGAGGCGAACGGCAATGTGACCCGCGGATAAACAGTTGGCCGGGCCCCACCCCGGCGACTCTGATTGGGTGGAGCGCCAGGCCCCGCCCCCTGCATCCTGAGTGACAGCAGAAGTCCTGGGTAACAGGGCCAAGCAGAGCAGGACTGACCGCTTCAAGCCACAGTCCAAGGTCAAGTTCCCTCTCTACGCCCTGCTCTTTGAAAATTTGCATTTCGGCCAAACTTGCTCGTCTTAATTACTAGAAGTGGCTCTGTCAATGGTCTGTCCCTGCTTCTTCGTCCTGCACAGTGTCATAAGTGTGTGCAGGGAGTTCCAGACTCTATGTTTAATAGAGGTGAAAGCAATTAAAATATTTTATTCCAAAATATATTTATTTGGCAATTTCGAATGGCTGCAGCTTTGCCCTTGCACAACTGTCTTCTGGGGGGTGAAATTTGCGTCTATGGAGTATTTCCATTAGTGAAGCCATGCCCCCTCTCCCCTTTTCCCTTTCCCTGATCCGGGAGAAATTGAGAGTCTGACACTTTTAAAAGTCTGGAAAGCCGGGCGCGGCGGCTCACGCCTGTAATTTCAGCACTTTGGGAGGCCGAGGCGGGTATATCACCTGTGGTCGGGAGTTCGAGACCAGCCTGGCCAACATGGTGAAACCACATCTCTACTAAAATACAAAATATTAGCCAGTCGTGGTGGCGGACGCCTGTAATCCTAGCTATGTGGGAGGCTGAGGCAGGAGAATCACTTGAAGCTGGGAGGCGGAGGTTGCAGTGAGCCGAGATCATGCCACTGGACTCCAGCCTGGGCAACAAGAATGAAACTCCGTCTCAAAAAAAACAAAAACAAAAAAAGTCTGGAAAGAGGCCAGGCAAGGTGGCTGGGGCCTGTAATACCAGCACTTTAGGAGGCCAGGGCAGGAGAATCACTTTGGCCCAGGAGTCGAGGGCTGCAGTGAGCTGTGATTGCACCAGTACACTCCAGCCTGGGCAACAGAGTGAGACCAAAAAACAAAATAAGTAAGAAATTCTGGTTTTGCTTTTTTTTTTTTTTTTTTTTGAGATGGTGTCTTGCTCTGTTGCCCAGGCTGGAGTGAGTGACGCGATCTCGGCTCACCGCAAGCTCCGCCTCCCGGGTTCACGCCATTCTCCTGTCTCAGCCTCCCGAGTAGCTGGGACCACAGGCGCCTGCCACCATGCCTGGCTAATTTTTTGTGCTTTTAGTAGAGACGGGGTTTCACCGTGTTAGCCACGATGGTCTCGATCTCCTGACCTCGTGATCCGCCCGTCTCGGCCTCCCAAAGTGCTGGGATTACAGGCGTGAGCAACCGTGCCCGGCCAGAAATTCTTAAAAGAAGCATTTTGCATCCATTCTCTCTGTGGGAGTCTTCATCTATGTTGTGGGTGAGTGGCTACTATCTGGGCCAGTGGCGCAAGGGTAAAAGAATTTATCAAGACTGGCCGGGCGATGTGGCTCACACCTGTAATCCCAGCACTTTGGGAGACCGAGGCGGGCGGATCACCTGAGGTCAGGAGTTTGAAACCAGCCTGGCCAATGTGGCGAAACCCCATCTCTACTAAAAATACAAAAATTAGCCGGGCTTGGTGGTGGGCGCCTGTAATCCCAACTACCCAGGAGGCTGAGGCAGGAGAATCGCTGGAGAATCGGGAGGCAAAGGCTGCAGTGAGTCGAGATTGTGCCACTGCACTCCAGCCTGGGCAACAGAGCAAGACTCCATCTCAAAAAAAAAAAAAAAAAAAAAAAGGGATTTACCAAGACAGTTGTAGGTAAAAAAAAAAAAAAAAAAAAAAAAAAAGGCAGATTTATTAAGGAAAATATGAAAGTACCTTGCAAGAAGGCAACAGGCAGAACCAGCAGAAGGGAGCCGGCTGCAAAGAAACAAAGGTTTGCTAGAGATTTTATAGAATGCAACTTGGGAACTTGCATTGTTTTGTCACCTGAAATGTTTGATAAATCAAGGTTTTTGATGGTAAGCAAGAAATTTGTGAGTTATGTACATTATTTGTTTAGGAGGGCTATTTGTTCTGGGCCGTAAAGAAAGTGATACCTATGGCCAGGCACGGTGGCTCACGCCTGTAATCCCAGCACTTTGGGAGGCCAAGGCGGGCAGATCACCTAAGGTCAGGAGCTCAAGACCAGCTGGCCAACATGGCGAAACCCAGTCTCTACTAAAAAATACAGAAATTAGCCAGGCCTGGTGGCGGGTGCCTGTAATCCCAGCTACTCTGGAGGCTGAGGCAGGAGAATTACTTGAACCTGGGAGGTGGAGGTTGCAGTGAGCGAGATGCTGAGATTGAGTGACTGCACTCCAGCCTGGGTGACAAAGTGAGATTCCATCTCAAAAAAAAAAAAAAAAAAGTTTTTCTGGACTTTGAAAAACAAAAGAATTAGCAATATTTTAAACAAAAAGCTATAAAAAGATTATTTTAGTCTTCCCTTAGTTCAGTCTATGTCATAAACTTCTGTTCTGCTCAATAGTTATGAGCACATTAGTACTCAACAACAGTTTTACAGTTTTAAAATTCTTTTTATTTTTTGTTTCTTGTCCACCCGGGTTTTTATTTTTATTTTTATTTTTTTGAGACGGAGTCTCGCTCTGTCACCCAGGCTGGAGTCCAGTGGTGCGATTTTAGCTCACTGCAAGCTCCGCCTCCTGGGTTCACGCCATTCTCCTGCCTCAGCCTCCCGAGTAGCTGGGACTACAGGCGCCTGCCACCACGCCCGGCTAATTTTTTTTTTGTATTTTTAGTAGAGAGGGGGTTTCACCGTGTTAGCCAGGATGGTCTAGATCTCCTCTGCCTCCTGGGTTCAAGCAATTCTCCTGCCACAGCCTCCTGAGTAGCTGGGATTACAGGTATGTACCACTACACCCAGCTAATTTTTTGTATTTTTAGTACAGACAGGGTTTCACCATGTTGGCCAGGCTGGTCTTGAATCCCTGACGTCGTGATCCACCCACTTCTTCCTCCCAAAGTGCTGGGATTACAGCACTTTGAGCCACTGCACCCGGCGAAGAACATCCATTATTAAGGTCTGGTCATTTCTGTGACACACAGTAATTTCACATAAAAATTATAATTATTACTGATATTTTATTAATGTTAAACCCAATTCATTTTTTTTTATTGGAGATGGAGTATCCCTCTATTGCCCAGGCTGGATTGTGGTGGTGCAATCTCAGCTCACTGCAACCTCCACCTCACTGCCCCAGCCTCCCGAGTAGCTGGGACTACAGGCACATGCAGCCATGCCTGGCTAATTTTTTTTGTATTTTTAGTACAGACAGGGTTTCACCGTGTTGCCCAGGCTAGTTTTGAACTCCTGACCTCAGGTGATCTGGCAGCCTCAGCCTCCCAAAGTGCTAGGATTACAGGCATGAGCCACCGCTCCTGGCCTGAGATTTTACTTCTCTAATAAACTTGCTTTCACTTTACTCTAAGGACTCACCCTGAGTTCTTTCATGAGAACCAAGAACTCTCTCCCGGAGTCTGAATTAGGACCCCTTTCTGGTAATGTAGCAGGACAAACCGCAGACAAAACCCCTCAGACACGGAGTTAAAGAAGGACGCGTTTTACTGGGCAGGGAGCATCGGCAAGACTCCTGTCTCAAGAGCCGAGCTCCCTGAGTGAGCAATTCCTGTCTCTTTTAAGGGCTCACAACTCTAAGGGGGTCTACTTGAGAGGGTCGTGATCGATTCAGCAAGCAGGGGGTACGTGACTGGGGGCTACATACACCGGTAATTAGACCGGAACAGAACAGGACAGGGATTTTCACAGTGCTTTTCTATACAATGTGCGTACTCTATAGATAACATAACTGATTAGGTCAGGGGTCCATCTTTAACTACCAGGCCCAGGGTGAGGCGCCGGGCTGTCTGCTTGTGGATTTCATTTCTGCCTTTTAGTTTTTACTTCTTCTTTCTTTGGAGGCAGAAATTGGGCATACGACAATATGACGGGTGGTCTCCTCCCTTAGTAACAGCCTCAAGATGGTATATAAGCTTTTCTATCTTATTGTTGGGTGGGTCTTCTTACTAAAGGCAGCCCTGTATACATGGTAAATAAATTCATATGCCTTTCTCATATTAATCAGCTTTATGTCAACGATATTTTAGCAAATGTTTTGGGGGTCAAGAGCCTATCGCTCCATCAAAGCTATCCCCTTGCCTCAGAGTAGGAGAGGAGCCCAGATGAGGCCAGGCAAGACTACATCAGGAGGGAGAGACAGATGTTCTGCAGGTCAAGATAATTTGGAATGAGGCAAGGCCAAGGCCTTCTCACATCCACATTCCTCGTCACAGTGTGAAAATGCTCTCTCCTTCCAGAACTTTATTTTCACTGTCAGGAAACTCTCACCTGCGGTGAGTTTAAGTTTGTGACCTGAATAAACTGTCAACTTCATTAACTCTTTCTCAACATCCCAAACAATTCTGTCTCTGAGCCTGACTTACCACACATTTTTTTTGGAGACAGAGTCTCACTGTCACCTAGGCTTAAGTGTGGTGGTGCGATCACAGCTCACTGCAGCCTCCAGGGCTCAATCGTTCCTCCCACCTCAGCCTCCTGAGTAGCTGGGGATACATGCATTCACCACCACAACCAGCTAATTTTTGTATTTTTTGTAGTGATGGGGTCTCACCATATTGCCCAGGCTGGTCTTGAACTCCGGTGCTCAACCTAATCACCCACCTCGCCCTCCCAAAGTGTTGGGATTAGAGACAAGAGCCAGGGTGCCTGGACGCATTTTCTTCATATATACAAATTACACTATTGACCCTAGTGACCCTACACATATCAAAACCAAAGCATTGTCCGGAAAATGGCCCCAGGCTCCAGACAGGCAAACCCAGAAAGGACAGAACCCCCAGGGGATCTGCACTAAGGTTTCCAGCTTTTCAGGCCTCTGCACCTTCTCAGAATCCACAGCCGTTCTGCAGCTGCTCTGCGCAGCTGGATGCCACCTGCTGGGGAGGGAGGGCTGCCTGGGAAGCCCTCAGGGGAGCTCCGTTTTCTTCCCTTTGTAGGCTCCAGGCTGGCCTCAGCGTGGAGTCACCGGCCTCAGACTCTGCTGCCCCCTGCAGGTTATTCACCTGCATTTCACCTCCATGATCAGACAAAAAGATCTTCAACCTCATCTTTTAAAAACAAGAAACCGGCCGGGCGCAGTGGCTCACACCTGGCAAAGTGCTCAATCCCAGCTCTTTGGGAGGCCGAGGCGGGCGGATCACAAGGTCAGAAGATCGACCTGGCTAACACGGTGAAACCCTGTCTCTACTAAAAATACAAAAAAAATCCAGGTGTGGTGGTGTGTGCCTGTAGTCCCAGCTACTCGGGAGGCTGAGGCGGGAGAATGGCGTGAACCCGGAAGCTGGAACTTGCAGTGAGCCGAGATTGCGCCACTGCACTCCAGCCTGGGCGACTGAGCAAGACTCTGTCTCAAACAAACAAACAAACAAACAAACAAACAAACAAAAAACCCAAGAAACCAACAGAGTCCCTGCTTTCCTCCTGTGTGTGTATGTAAAGTAAAGAAGGAAAATTCTAAGAAAATGTAAATGCATTAAAAGACTTCTAGGCTGGGCATGGTGGCTTGCGCCCATAATTCTATCGGTTTGGGAGGCTGAGGCCAGAGGATCACTTGAACCCAGGAGTTCAAGAAATGCCTGGGCAAAATAGTGAGCCCACATCTCTATTAATTAAGAAAAAATTTCCATATCATGGTGGTGGAGGCAATGGCCACTGAGGAACCCACGGTCTGGACACAATGGCACTGGCTGGACACAATGAGGGGACAGGAAGAAAGCAAAGACGGGGAGTAGGGTGGGCGAGAGGCCAAGGGGAGGGATAGCACACATTTTTCAGAGAAAAAGAGGATGCCAGCACTGTTTTGCCTGACTCTTTGGCAGCCTGTAATAAGTTGTGGGGGAGGCCGGGTGCAGTGGCTCACGCCTGTAATCTTAGCACTTTGGGAGGCCAAGGCAGGCAGATCACCTGAGGTCGGGAGTTCAAGACCAGCCTGACCAACATCGAGAAACCCTGTCTCTACTAAAAATACAAAAATTAGCTGGGCATGGTGGTGCATGCCTGTAATCCCAGATACTTGGGAGGCTGAGGCAGGAGAATCGCTTGAACCCAGGAGGCAGAGGTTGCGGTGAGTGGAAATCGTGCCATTGCACTCCAGCATGGACAACAAAAGCAAAACTCTGCCTCAAAAAAAAAAAGTTGTGGCGGAATCGTGTCTGGAAGACTCACCTATGATGTTTGTGTCACATTAAGGGAGAAGACTCCAAGGTGGAGTTTCTACTCTTACTTCAACCATTGTATTTAATTCTTTTTCTAGAGAGGACACACTCATGCCATGATTTGTGTTTCCTTAGGAATACCGTTAAAAACCTAGGCCAGGCACGGTGGCTCACGCCTGTAATCCCAGCACTTTGGGCTGCCCAGGCGGGCACATCACTTGAGGCCAGGAGTTGGAGGCCAGCATGGTGAAACCCCGTCTCTACTAAAAATACAAAAATTAGCCAGGCGTGGTGGTGCATGCCTGTAATCTCAGTTACTCGAGAGGCTGAGTGAGGCACAAGAATCGCTTGAACCAGAGAGGTGGAGGTTCAGTGAGCCAAGATCGCGCCACTGCACTCCAGCCTGGGAGACAGAGCAAGCCTCCATTTCAAAAAAATAAAAAAAATAAATAAAGCAAGCAACTCTTCTTTCCCAGTTCATCTGCATCTCATTATTGGGCACAGAGAATAAGCAGCCCAATCCTCGGTTTGCTGGGAACAAGGGTGCAAGGAGAGCAGGTAGGGTTCAGGCCAAGACCAAAATGAGAGGAGGAAATGTGACCTGCAGAGGGTTTGGGGTTGTGAAAATGAGTTGTTCAAAATCTGAGTAAGAAAGAACTGAGCCCATTTCTTTGAAGTATGTGTTTTCCAGAAAGGCCATTCCCTGCTTTTCACTTTCATAAACTCACAACTGAATTCTGATCCTTTGGACAATGTGAAGCTGACAGGACACACACCCACACACCCACCGCCCACTGACTAAGCCTCCCTGGCCCCCTTCCTTCTCCTCCTGGGCTGCACATCCCTCCCGACCGCCTCCCCTCCCCTATCGTCCCCTCCTGTCCCTTTCCCTTCCCTTCTTTTTTTCCTTCCTTTCTTTTCTTTCTGATGGAGTCTCGTTCTGTCGCCCAGGATGGAGTGCAGTGGTGCCATCTCGGCTCACTGCAACCTCCACCTCTCAGGTTCAAGCTATTCGCCTGGCTAATTTTTTTTTTTTTTTTTTTTTGAGACTGAGTTTCACTCTTGTTGCCCAGGCTGGAGTGCAGTGGCGCGATCTCGGCTCACCACAACCTCTCCCTCCCGGGTTCAAGCGATTCTCCTTCCTCAGCCCCCCAAGTAGCTGGGACTACAGGCGCCTGCCACCACGCCTGGCTAATTTTTTGTATTTTTAGAAGAGACGAGGTTTCACTATGTTGGCCAGGCTGCTGGTCTCGAACTCCTGACCTCATGATCTGCCCGCCTTGGCCTCCCAAAGTGCTGGGATTACAGGCATGAGCCACCGCACCCAGCCTGTTTTTCCTTATGTCATACATAACGCACAGGAGGAGGCCGGGCGCGGTGGCTCACGCCTGTAATTCCAACACTTTGGGAGGCCGACGCGGGCGGATCACGAGGTCAGGAGATCGAGAGCATCCTGGCTAACACAGTGAAACCCCGTCTCTACTAAAAATACAAAAAATTAGCCGGGCGCGGTGGCCGGCACCTGTAGTCCCAGTTACTCGGGAGGCTGCGGCAGGAGAATGGCGAGAACCCGGGAGGCGGAGCTTGTAGTGAGCCGAGATCGCGCCACTGCACTCCGGCCTGGGCAACAAGAGTGAAACTCAGTCTCCAAAAAAAAAAAAAAAAAAAATTAGCCGCGCGTGGTGGCGGGCGCCTGTGTAGTCCCAGCTACTCAGGAGACTGAGGCAGGAGAATGGCCTGAACCCGGGAGGAGGAGCTTGCAGTGAGCCGAGATCGCGCCACTGCACTCCAGCCTGGGCGACAGAGCGAGACTCCGTCACAAACAAACAAACAAAACAAAATAAAAAAAAGCACCACAGGAGGAAAGCAGAGACTCTGCTGGCGTCTTATTCACACACTGGGATTGAGGGTGTTTGTTTCTAGGAACTGATCAATGGGGTAAGAAGCGGCTTAATAACCTGTAGGGGGCAGCAGAGCCGGAGGCCAATGACTCCCCGCTGAGGCTAGTCTGGAGTTTGCAAAAGGAGGGAAAGGGGGCTCCTTTTGCAAACTCCTGGGGGCTTCCCCCGGAGCCCGCCCTCCCTTGAAGGTGGCCTCCAGCTCCAGAAGGAGTGTGGATTCTGGGAAGCTGCAGAGCCCTGGATGGCAGAAGACCCACGTGCAGATGCGCTCGGGGGTTCTGTCCTATCTGGGGTTGTACCTTTCAGAGGTACCTTCAGGCCTGGAGCTATTTTCTGGGCAGTGTTTTGGTTTTGGCATGCACAGGGTCGCTGGGGACAGACTGTAATTGATATATATGAAGCAAATCTGTGAAGGTCAGCCTCAGAGAACAAATTGTTTGGGTTGTGTTATGAACAAAGGGTTTATAAAGTTGACTTTATTTAAGTCATAATGTCAGGGGTGTTTGAAGCAGAGTGAAACCATCTTGAATAGGGGCTGGGTAAAATAAGGGTGAGACCTACTGGGCTGCATTCCCAGGTGATTAGGCGTTCTTAGTCACAGGATGAGCTAGGAGGTCGGCAGGACTGGTATCACAAGATACAGGTCATAAAGACCCCACTGATAAAACAGAATGCGCTGAAGAAACCAGCCAAAGCCCACCAAAACCAAGTTGGCGACGAAAGTGACCTCTGCCACCCTGGGCAACACAGTGATACCCCATCTCTACAAAAAATACAAAAATTAGCTGATTGTGGTGGCCTGTGGCTGTAGTCTCAGCTACTCAGGAGGCTGAGCTGGGAGGATTGCTTGAGCCTGGGAGGCAGGGGCTGCAGGAAGGCAGAGAGGCTGCAGCGAGCTATGATTGCGCTGCTGCACTCCAGCCTGGGCGAGGGAGTGAGACTCTGTCTCAAAAAAAAAAAGAAAAGAAAAGAAAGTGACCTTATGTGGTCCTCACTACTTATTATACACTAATTATAAAGCATTAACATGCTAACAAACACTCCCACAAGCGCCATGGCAGTTTACAAATACCATGGCAATATCCAGACGTTACCCTATGTGGTATAACAAGAGGTAGGAACCCTCAGTTCTGGGAATTGCCTGCCCCTTTCCCAGAACACTCATGAATAATCCACCCCTTGTTTAGCACATAATCAAGAAATAACTATAAGTATACATTGTCAGGCAGACCATGCTGCTGCTCTGTCTATGGAGTAGCCATTCTTTTGTTTCTTTACTTCTGTAATAAACTTGCTTTTACTTTATGGACTCACCCTGAATTTGTTCTTACATGAGGTCCAAGAACTCTCTTTTGGGGTCTGGATTGGTACCCCTTTCTGGTAATAAGATTAAACTGACTCCAGGTGAGAGTTTCCCGCTAATGAAAATGAAGGTGTGGAGAGGAGGGGGAGTTTCCACACTGTGAGGAGAAGATGGGTGTATGTGAGGAAACCTTGGCCATGCCTCATCCCGATTCTTGCCCCACTGCAGGAGATCTGTCTCTCCCTCCTGGAGCAGTCATACATGGCCTTGTTCCCCTCCTGCCCTGAGACAAGGGGATGGCTTTGTGGGGGTGATAGACTCTTCGTGTCCTAAAGGTTTGCTGAAAACTAATTGATCTGAGGCAGATTGATTAATAGAAAAGAAGGCATGCAAATGTATTTAACATGTATACATGGGAACCTTCAGAATGAAGACACACCCAGCTATAAGACAGAGAAGATTATATAGCGACCTGAGGTCAGTAAATTAGGTTTAGTAGCAAGACAGCTTAGTAGACTGAGAAAGGAAGAGGCTTGGCTAGAGGTGGACTGTTACGTAGATGATGTCTCCCCCAGAGAATAGACTTTTTTCCTTTTTATGAGACAAGGTCTCACTCTGTCACCTAGGCTCGAGTGTAATGGTGCAATCTCTGCTCACTACAACCTCCGTCTTCTGGGTTCAAGCAATTGTCCTGCTTCAGCCCCCCGAATAGCTGGGATCACAGGTGTGTGCCACCAAACCCAGCTCATTTTTATATTTTTGGTAGAGATGGGATTTCGTCAAGTTGGCCAGGCTGGTCTCAAACTCCTGACCTCAAGTGATCCACCCACCTCGGCCTCCCAAAGTGCTGGGATTACAGGCATGAGCCACCATGCCTGGCCCTAATCTATTTACTTATCTTTTTGGTAGAGACCTGGTCTCACTGCGCCCGGCCACTGGTTTTTTGTTTTGTTTTGTTTTGTTTTTTTGAGACACAGTCTTGCTCTGTGGCCCAGGCTGGAGTACAGTGGTGCGATCTCTGCTCACTACAAGCTCCACCTCCCGTGTTCTCGCCATTCTCCTGCCTCAGCCTCCCGAGTAGCTGGGACTACAGGCGCCCACCACCACGCCCGGCTAATTTTTTTTTTGTATTTTTAGTAGAGACGGGGTTTCACCGTATTAGCCAGGATGGTCTCGATCTCCTGACCTCGTGATCCGCCCACCTCGGTCTCCCAAAGTGCTGGGATTACAGGCGTGAGCCACTGCGCCCGGCCAGCGCCCGGCCATTTAAAAAAATTTTAAATAATAAAGACAGGGATCGGCGGGCGAGGTGGCTCACGCCTGTAATCCCAGCACTTTAGGAGGCCGAGGCGGGCGGATCACCTGAGGTCGTGAGTTCGAGACCAGCCTGACCAACATGGAGAAACCCCGTCTCTACTAAAAATACAAAATTAGCGGGGCGTGGTGGCGCATGTCTGTAATCCCAGCTATTTGGGAGGCTGGGGCAGGAGAATCGCTTGAACCTGGGAGGCGGAGGTTGCAGTGAGCCAAGATCTCGTGCCACTGTGCTCCAGCCTGGGCGACAGATCGAGACTGTCTAAAAAAAAAAAAAAAAAAGAAAGAAAGACAGGGATCTCGCTGTGTTGATGATGTTGGCCTCAAACTCCTTGCTTCAAGGGATCCTTCCGCCTCAGTTTGCCAATGTGGTGGGATTATAGACATGAGTCACCATGTGCTACCTCTCTTCAGATTTTAAAGGTGTCAAACTCTCAATAGCTTTTAGATCAGGGAAAGGAAAAGAACGGGGGAGCTGGCAGTGCTTCATTAACGGAGATTCTCTACAAATGTAAATTTCCCCCTCAAAAGACAGTTTTGCAAGGCCACCTTTTGTTTGCTGGCCAAGCAGCAGCCATTTCAAAACTGTCAAAGAAATATATTTTGGCAGGGCAATATCTTGGGGCAAAATATTTTAATGTCTTTCACATTTTGTGGACACTGAATCTGGAATTCCCTGCACACTTGTGTCCCGTGTAGGATGAAGGGGCAGGGACGGCCCACGGAGTGAGGAAGACAACAGTGTCCCTTCTAGCAGTTCGGAGCAAGTTTGGCCGAAGGCAAATATTCGAAGTAAAGGTGGGAGGGAGGGAGGGAGCTGACCTTGGAAAGTGTGGCCAGAACCAGTCGCTTCGGCTCTGCAGCGCCCAGTTACCCGGGGCTTCTGCTGTCACTCAGGGAAGGGGGCGGAGTCTAGACCCCTATCCAATCAGGGGCGCTAGGGCGGGGCCCTGCCACTGTCCTCCAGGGAAGGGGAGGTTGCATTCCCGCTCTCTTCACTCCTAGGGCTGCTCGCGCTAGTTAAGGTCTGGGGCTTTCTTGCTCCGAGAGGGACCAGTTACTTCCGCCGTAGCTGCTGTTGCTCTGTCGACTGCGCTGTGACCTGCACTGTTCACGGGACCTTTAGAGAGGACGCCAGAATACCTGGAAGCCAGGAAATGGTGAGCATGCGGTGCTGGGGAGTCCCAAGGCGAAAGGAGGGACTGGGTGGAACCGAGAGGAACCCGCTGTGGCGGGGCCCGGGCCCCCCTGCAGCGACTCTGGGCTCCAGACACAGTCCCCCTAGCGCAGCTCGGCCCTCGGTCCCCTCGGCCGCTGGGTGGAGCTGGGCCGGCAGCCGGGACCCCGGGCGTCCTGTCCGGTCCCTGCGCGGCGACTGCGGCCCCGGCCCCGGCTCCCTCTCTGAGCAGCTCCGCGCCCGCAGCCCCGCGTCTCCCCAGATTGTGCGGTGACCATGGAAGGGTCATGGGGGATCCTGCCTCGGGTGTGGGGTTCGTGTGGGAGGAGCTGTGGGCTGTGGGGTCCCCAGTTCCTTTTTTTTTCCAGTTAAAAATTAAACTGAGGCACTGTTAAAAAATGAGAGTTTATTTTAGCAAACAGCGATTAATGAATGAGAAACTCCCAGTCCTGGCTTGTGGTTTGGTAACGGAAAAACCCAAATCGTGTAGAATAAGTTTATTCTGAGCCGAATAGGAGAGACCTCGGCTGAGGGAAACACAACCCCGCGAAGTCTGGAGTAAGCAATCCCGAGGCAGCTCCTGACAGTTTGGTTTTATTCATTTCAGGGAGACAGGAATTGCAGGAAAATGATGAATCAGTGCCGGGAAGGTGTAAGTTCCTTTGGCCGAAAGGCGGGACACATGGAAGCGGGGTTAGAAGGCACAGGTGGTGGAGGGATTCTGTAGGTGGCAGTTGGTTGAGAGTGTGTAAAGCTTTGTCTAAAATTTGGAGGCTGTAGGAAGGAGGGCTGTTATCTGCCACGTTATTCCATCCCAGTCCCCGCCCCCTTCCCCAAAAGACCTGTTTTTATTTTACCAGATTTTTATATTTTTGAGACGGAGTCTCGCTCCGTCGCCCCAGGCTGAAGTGCTGTGGCGCCATCTCGGCTCACTGCAACCTCCGCCTCCCGGGTTCAAGCGATTCTCTTGCCTCAGCCTCCCGAGTAGCTGGGACTACAGGCGCCAGCCACCACGCCCGGCTAATTTTTGTATTTTTAGTAGAAACGGGTTTCACCATATTGGCCAGGCTGGTCTTGAACTCCTCCTGACTTTGTGATCCGCCCACTTCGGCCTCCCAAGGTACTGGGATTACAGGCGTGAGCCACTGCGCCCGGCCAATTTTTGTATTTTTAGTAGAGACGGGGTTTCATGATATTGGCCAGGCTGGTCTCGAACTCCTGACCTCGTGATCCACCCTCCTCGGCCTCCCAAAGTGCTGGGATTACAGTGGAATGCCCCACTGCACTCCAGCCATGGTGAAAGAATGAGACTGTCTCAAAAAAAAAAAGTTAAGCTCCTTCTTATATAGGCAAAAAACAAAGAAATTTAATTATCGCAACAATTAGTACAACTAAATTAATTGTACAATTAATTTAATACAACTAATTAGTACAACTAAATTAATTATACAATTTAGTTACAGGTTTTTTTGTTTGTTTGTTTGAGACGGAGTTTCGCTCTTGTTGCCGAGACTGGAGTGCAATGGCGCAATCTCGGCTCACTGCAACCTCCGCCTCCCCGGTTCAAGCGATTCTCCTGTATCAGATTACAGGCGTGAGCCACCGCGCCCGGCCCAGGACTTTAAAATTTTCTTTGCAAGGGGTTTTAATTTCTTTTCTTTTCTTTTTTTTTTTTTTTTTTTTTTTGAGACGGAGTCTCACTCTGTCACCCAGGCTGGAGTGCAGTGGCGCGATCTCTGCTCACTGCAAGCTCCGCCTCCCGGGTTCACGCCATTGTCCTGCCTCAGCCTCCCAAGTAGCTGGGACTACAGGCGCCCGCCACCGCGCCCGGCTAATTTTTTTGTATTTTTTAGTAGAGACGGGGTTTCACCGTGTTAGCCAGGATGGTCTCGATCTCCTGACCTCGTGATCCACCCACCTCGGCCTTCCAAAGTGCTGGGATTACAGGCGTGAGCCACCGCGCGCGGCCGGTTTTCATTTCTTTTCTTATTTAAAAAAGTGAATTTAACATTTCCAGCTTCAGAAGATGTGATGGCCATGAAGTCTTTGTGTAAGAAAAGTAAGAGGGAAGTTAGTCTATAATGAAATCAATCCTTAAGAGGGAAGGGGTCTTTCCTGACTTGCTTGTCATTTAAAATATTTTACAAAACAATATAGGTAAGAAAGAAAGCTAATCTGTAATCAGGGAATGGAAGGTTCCCTGGCTGGCTCTGTTACCGCTGCCTGTGAGGTGTCTCAACCCCAGAATGGCATTCCTTTAAACCTCAAGATAATTTAGAGTTCCAGCAGCTTAAATTTTTGAATCACCTATTTTCACATTCTGTACAGGTGAAACTTTTGGTTATGTAATCAGAGATTAATTGACCTATTGTGCCTGGTTAAGCCTAAATTTCATTTCCCTATAAATTAGTCATTAGTGATATTGTTTCCTCAGGCCACAGATTAGAAATTTATGTGAATTGGATTTGAATTTGGCTTCAGTATGCTTGTGAAGGGTCTTAGTGTTCTATAGCCAGTTCAGTTTAATTGCTTCTTATTTATTTATTTATTTACTTTTGAGACGGAGTCTCTTTCTGTCGCCCAGGCTGGAGTGCACTGGCATAATCTTGGCTCACTGCAAACTCCACCTCCCGGGTTCAATCGATTCTCCTGCTTCAGCCTCCCAAGTAGCTGGGACTACAGGTGCATGCCACCATACCTGGCTAATTTTTGTATTTTTAGTAGAGACAGGGTTTCACCATGTTGGCCAGGCTGGTCTCAAACTCCTGATCTCAGGTGATCTGCCTGCTTTGGCCTCCCACAGTGCTGGGATTACAGGCATGAGCCACCGCACCCGGCCAAAATTGGATGTTTTAAAATTGGATGCCATGTCAGTAAGAATATACTTGGGAACACCACCCAGGAAAATGAATAGTCCTTGGGCAGTTCTGGTGTGTTTCTTTGATGTCATCTAACTATGGCACACAAAGGTGGTCAAAATTTTGATTCTTTTGGTTATTCTTTTTTTTTTTGAGATGGAGTTTCGCTCTTGTTGCCCAAGCTGGAGTACAATGGCGTGAGTTCAGCTCACTGCAACCTCCACCTCCCAGGTTCAAGTGATTCTCCTGCCTCAGCCTCCCGAGTAGCTGGGATTACAGGCATGCGCCACCACACCTGGCTAATTTTTGTATTTTTAGTAGAGATGGGGTTTCACTAGGTTGGCCAAGCTGGTCTTGAACTCCTGACCTCATGCTCCACCCGCCTTGGCTTCCCAAAGTGTTGGGATTACAGGTGTGAGCCACTGTGCCCGGCCTGTTATTCTTTTTTTTTTTTTTTTTTTTTGAGAGGGAGTCTCGCTCTGTCGCTCAGGCTGGAGTGCAGTGACACCATCTCTGCTCACTACAACTTCTATCTCCTGGGTCCAAGCGATTCTCCTTCCTCAGCCTCCCAAGTAGCTGGGATTACAGGCACCTGCCACCACACCTGGCTAATTTTTGTATTTTTAGTAGAGATGGGGTTTCACCACTTTGGCTGAGCTGGTCTTGAACTCCTGACCTCAGGTGATCCACCTCCCAAAGTGCTGGAATTACAGACATGAGCCACCGCACCCAGCCTTCTTTTTGTTATTCTTTGTAGCTGTATTATCTTTTTTTTTTTTTTTTTGAGACGGAGCTGCCTCTCGCCCAGGCTGGAGTGCAGTGGCGTGATCTCGGCTCACTGCAACATCTGCCTCCTGGGTTCAAGCGATTCTCCTGCCTTAGCTTCCCGAGTAGCTGGGACTACAGGTGCATACCACCACACCCAGCTAATTTTTATATTTTTAGTAGAGATGGAGTTTCACTATATTGGCCAGGCTGGTCTCAAACTCCTGACTTTGTGATCTGCCCACCTCAGTTTCCCAAAGTGCTGAGGCACCGCGCCCAGCCTTTCTTTCTTTTCTTTTCTTTTTCTTTTCTTTTTTTTTTTTTTTGAGACAGAGTCTTGCTCTGTTGCCCAAGCTGGAGTGCAATGCACGATCTTGGCTCATTGTAATCTCTACCTCCTAGGTTCAAGTGATTCTGCTGCCTCGGCCCCCCAAGTAGCTGGGATTACAAGCGCCTGCCACCATGCCCAGCTGATATTCGTATTTTTAGTAGAGACGTGGTTTCACCTGGTTGGCCAGGCTGGTCTCGAACTCCTGAGCTCAGGTGATCCATCTGTGCCTGCCTCCTAAAGTGCTGGGATTACAGGTGTGAGCCACTGTGCCAGGCCTGCCATATTTTTTCTTTTTTTTTTTTCTTTTTTTGAGATGGAGTCTCGTTCAGTCGCCCAGGCTGGAGTGCAGTGGCTCGATCTTGGCTCACTGCAAGCTCCGCCTCCCGGGTTCATGCCATTCTCCTACCTCAGCCTCCCGAGTAGCTGGGACTATAGGCGCCCGCCACCAAGACCGGCTAGTTTTATGTATTTTTAGTAGAGATGCGGTTTCACGGTGTTAGCCAGGATGGTCTCAATCTCCTGACCTCGTGATCCACCCGCCTCGGCCTCCCAAAGTGCTGGGATTACAGGCATGAGCCACCGCGCCCAGCCCAGGCCTGCCATATTTTCTTTTATCACAAAGTAGAATTTTGGCTGTTTGGAGTTTCCAGTAACTTAGTATTGCAATTAATGTACCTTTCATGTTATACCAAAAGGGTTTGTTTCTGACTTTTTGCCTCATTCTGTTGCAAACATGCCACTGTGTTGAGTCATGGGTTGCCCAGTTTACTTATGCATTTCACTGCTTAATGGGATTTGGGTTTACAGTTTAGTTTTTGACCTTGGTGACAATGTCATGGTTGGTTTTCTTTGCCATATGAAAATGGAACATAAATTTCTCACATATTGGGGGAAAAGTCACTGGGTTGTATATTATGGATAAATTCCAATTTGAAAGATAATGCCAGTAGAGTGTATGTATGGATCAACCATCTAGCCTTTCATGTGTGTGTCTTTATTTTTGTGGTTTACCAACACTTGGGATTATCTATTAGTAGAGACAGGGTTTCATCATATTGATCATGCTGGTCTTGAACTGCTGACATCAGGTGATCTGCCCGCCTTGGCCTCCCAAAGTGCTGGAATTATAGGCATGAGCCACTGTGTCCAGCCCAGTTTAGGTTTTTCTATCTACATACAGTTTCCCAGAAAGGTTTCTTTTTGTGAGTTTTTGTTTTAGTTAGTTATGACTCTCTTATCAATTAGAATTTTTTTTTTTTTTTAACCGATGGAGTCTGGCTCTGTCACCCAGGCTGGAGTGTGGTGGCACGTTTTTGGCTCACTGCAACCTCTGCCTCATGGGTTCAAGTGATTCTCCTGCTTCAGTCTCCCAAGTAGCTGGAATTACAGGAGCCCATCACTATGCCTGGCTAATTTTATTATTTTTAGTAGAGACGGGGTTTTGCCATGTTGGCCAGGTTGGTCTCAAACTCCTGACCTCAGGCGATCCGCCCGCCTTCACCTCCCAAAGTGCTGAGATTTATAGGCATGAGCCACCGTGCCTGGCCAGACTCTCTTATCAGTTAGATTAATAAAGCCCCTTGCCAAACCCAGTTTTTTTGTTTTTGGCTTCTGCTACTGGAATCAGAAGAAAACCCACTTTCTAGTCATCACAAAGGTTCAACTTTGTGAACAGGCGTTTTCAAGAATATGCAGGCTTAGGGCTGCTCACGTTAAATTTGTTTTGCTCAGAAATTCAAAGGAGTTTGTTAAGATAGGTGCTGCAGATCCACACTTCGGACATTAAGGGCAGTCCAGGCAGCACGACTTTCTCCCTGGACTCACCAGAAACACACATTTTTCCTATTCTGCTGTTGCTTTACCCCATCCAGAGTTCAACTCTAGCATCAAAATTGTTTTATGGAAGAAAGTGAGTGTAGACAGAGTAAGGGATCTGATGACCAAGTCATGGAATAAATGTTTGGAGTCCACACACCACAGCATCCTGAGAACTTCCTAGGAATAGGGTATAGAAACCCAGTGCTGTCAGCCTCACTCATCCTCCTGTCCACATGTGGGATATTTCAGGATTCGGTGGCCTTTGAGGATGTGGCTGTGAACTTCACCCAGGAGGAGTGGGCTTTGCTGGATCCTTCCCAGAAAAATCTCTACAGGGAAGTGATGCAGGAAACCTTGAGGAACCTGACCTCCATAGGTAAGAATGACAGTATTACTTCCCTCAGTGAATTAAAGAACAGGTGTTTCTAGCTCATCAGTGCTGTTGAGTGATTTGGAATATGGTCAGGGAATACTTTGAATAAATGAGACACAGGTGCAATGAGCCATGGACATAGAATCAAGTAACTTTTTAAAATAATTTTATACTAATTCAGGACTATTTTTCTGGGTCCGCATTTTAGGAAAAAAATGGAACAACCAGTACATTGAAGATGAGCACCAAAATCCTAGGAGAAACCTAAGGTAACTGGCACTTAAAAGAGAAAACAATGTCTCTGTATACAATCTTAGAATGGAAGAAAAGGTTAAAAAGAAGCAAGCATAAGAAACAAACCTAGTTCCAATGTATTTATTCTTAGAAAAGCTTCCCTAGAAACATATAAAGTGTGACATGGCTTATGTGTATAATCCAGCCCTTTTGGAGGTCAGGATGGAAGATCGCTTGAACCTGGGAGTTTGAGGTTGCACTGAGTCATGATGGCATCACTGGAGGGCAGCCTGGGCCACAGGGTGAGACCCTGACTCAAAACTAAACAGACAAAAAGACAAAGACCGTATTTATAAAATAGTCTACTTTAAAATAGCATGTAAAAGCTGGACATGGTGGCTCACACCTGTAATCCCAGCACTTTGGAAGGCTGAGGTGGGTGGATCATGAGGTCAAGAGATTGAGACCATCCTGGCCAACATGGTGAAAGCCTGTCTCTACTAAAAATACGAGAAATTAGCTGGGCGTGGTGGTGCGTGCCTGTAGTCCTTGGGAGGCTGAGGCAGGAGAATCGCTTGAACCTGGGAGGCGGAGGTTGCAGTGAGCCAGGATGGTGCCACTGCACTCCAGCCTGACGACAGAGTGAGACTTGGTCTCATAAATAAATAAATAAATAAATAAAGCATTTAAAATCCCTGTATCAATATTATCTTTTTTGATAAGAGATATGGCTGGGCCATCTTTGTTTGTTTGTTTGAGACAGTGTCTCGCTCTGTCACCCAGGCTGGAGTGCAGCGGTGTGATCTCGGCTCACTGTAAGCTCTGCCTCCCGGGTTCACACTATTCTCCTGCCTCAGCCTCCCCGTAGCTGGGACTGCAGGCACCTGCCACCACGCCCGGCTAATTTTTTGTATTTTTTAGTAGAGACAGGGTTTCACCATGTTAGCCAGGATGGTCTCGATCTCCTGACCTCATGATCCACCCTCCTCGGCCTCCCAAAGTGCTGGGATTACAGGCGTGAGCCACCATGCCTGGCCTGGCTAGGCCATCTTGTATAGCATGTGTTCCATTCATGTTCAGACAGGACAGAAAGCCTACACTTTGCTGGGCACTGTTAAAAATGCAAGTGTAATACTTGCAAAGGAATTAAAATTAGTGATAAACCCATTATAATGTGCTTTCATTGTTCACAGAAGACTTATAGGGGAGAGACTCTCTGAAAGTAAAGAAAGTCATCAGCATGGAGAAGTTTTGACACAGGTTCCAGATGACACACTGAAGAAGAAAACTCCTGGAGTACAATCATATGAAAGCAGTGTGTGTGGAGAAATCGGCATAGGTCTTTCATCCCTTAATAGGCACCTCAGAGCCTTTAGTTATTCCAGTAGCCTTGCAATACATGGAAGAACTCACACTGGGGAAAAGCCTTATGAATGTAAGGAATGTGGGAAAGCATTCAGGTTTCCCAGTTCTGTTCGTAGACATGAAAGAATCCACTCTGCAAAAAAACCCTATGAATGTAAGCAGTGTGGGAAAGCATTCAGTTTTCCCAGTTCTGTTCGTAGACATGAAAGAATCCACTCTGCAAAAAAACCCTATGAATGTAAGCAGTGTGGGAAAGCATTATCTTATCTTGTAAGCTTTCAGACACACATGAGAATGCACACTGGAGAGAGACCTCATAAATGTAACATATGTGGGAAAGCCTTTTTTTCTCCCAGTTCGTTAAAAAGACACGAGAAAAGTCACACTGGAGAGAAACGCTATAAATGCAAGCAATGTGATAAAGCCTTCAATTGTCCCAGTTCCTTTCAATATCATGAAAGGACTCACAGTGGAGAGAAACCCTATGAGTGTACACAATGTAGGAAAGCCTTCAGATCTGTCAAGTACCTGCGAGTACATGAAAGAAAACACACTGGAGAGAAACCCTATGAGTGTAAGCTATGTGGTAAGGGATTTATTTCTTCCACTTCCTTTCGCTATCATGAAAAGACTCACACTGGAGAGAAACCTTATGAATGTAAAAAATGTGTGAAAGCCTTCAGTTTTGTCAAGGATCTTCGAATACATGAAAGGACACACACTGGAGAGAAACCCTTTGAATGTAAACAATGTGGGAAAACCTTCACTTCTTCCAATTCCTTTCACTATCATGAAAGGACTCACACTGGAGAGAAACCCTATGAGTGTAAGCAATGTGGGAAAGCCTTCAGATCTGCCTCAGTCCTTCAAAAGCACATACGAACTCACACAGGAGAGAAACCCTATGGATGTAAGCAATGTGGTAAAGTCTTTAGAGTTGCCTCACAACTTAAAATGCATGAAAGGACTCACACAGGAGAGAAACCCTATGAGTGTAAGCAATGTGGAAAAGCCTTCATTTCTTCTAATTCTATTCGCTATCATAAAAGGACTCACACTGGAGAGAAACCCTATAAATGTAAACAGTGTGGGAAAGCCTTCATTTCTTCCAACTCTTTTCTCTACCATGAAAGGATTCATACTGGAGAGAAACCCTATGAGTGTAAGCAATGTGGTAAAGCCTTTAGATCTGCCTCAATCCTTCAAAAGCATGTAAGGACTCACGCTGGCTAGAAACTCTATGGATGTAAGCAATATGGTAAAGTCCTTAGATGGGACTCAGAACTTCAAATGCACGGAAGGATTCACTGCAGAGACACCTGTAATCTCAGCATTTTGGGAAGCCAAGGCAGGAGGATTGCTTAAGCTGAAGAGGTTGAGACCAGCTTGGGCAATATGGTGAGACGTTATCTCTATTACATAATAAAATAAAATAGGCCAGGCACAGTGGCTCATGCCTGTAATCCCAGCACTTTGGGAGGTGGAGGCAGGGAGATCACCTGAGGTTGGGAGTTCGAGACCAGCCTGATCGACATAGAGAAACCCCATCTCTACTAAAAATACAAAATTAGCCAGGTGTGGTGGCAGGCACCTGTAATCCCAGCTACTTGGGAGGCTGAGGCAGGAGAATCGCTTGAACCCGGGAGGCAGAGGTTGCAGTAAGCCGAGATTGTGCCATTGCACTCCAGCCTGGGCAACAAGAGTGAAACTCCATCTCAAAAATAAATAAATAAATAAATAAATAAGATGAAATATACATATTTATATTTTGTATATAAATATGCATGTATATTTTAACATATAACTATATTTAAAATGCATAAGGAAAATATATAGGATATTTACATACATACATAGATGTATATATGTATTTGTGTGTGTGTGTGTGTGTGTGTGTGTGTTTTGGGAGACAGGGTGTCCCTCTGTCACCCAGGTTGAAGTGCAGTGGTGCAATCACAGTTCCCTGCAGCCTTGAACTCTTGGGCTCAAATGATCCTCTTGCCTTAGCCTTCTGAGTAGCTATGACTACAGACAGGTATCACCATTCTTAGCTCATTTTTCATTCCTTTCATAGAGACAGGTTCTCATTCCATTGCTCAGGCTGGTTGTGAACACCTAGTCATGAGCAATCCTCCCACCTTAGTTTCCAAAAGTGCTAGGATTATAGCTGTAAGCCACTCTACCTGGCTGATAAACATATTCTGAAAAGTTAACTTTATGATGTCCGTGCAGGTACATATCCTGAGGATAAAACAGTTTTGATTTTAAAGAAGGAAACTACTTCTTTCCTACATGAAAGTGAGAAAGATGTGGGAGAAAGCCTGTCTATTTCCAGCCTTGCAACCAGAGCCCCAGGGGTTGAGGACAGAACTGTGATCCAGTTGCCTTGCCCTGGAAAGCCAGGCATTTACACTGGGGTTTGAAGTGATGTGGAAAAAGCCTTTTATTGCAGAGTCCCAATCAAGGAGGACCACACAGGCATAAAGTCTTTTTTTTTTTTTTTGTATTTTTAGTAGAGATGGGGTTTCACCATGTTAGCCAGGATGGTCTTGATCTCCTGACCTTGTGATCCGCCCGCCTCAGCCTCCGAAAGTGCCGGGATTATAGGCGTGAGCCACTGCGCCCAGCCAAAGTCTTAAATCCTGACCTCCCCCACTGGATTGCAGGCAGGGATTTTTAGAAGCAGGGGTAAGTTTTAGGAATGTAGATGCTACAGGCAAAATAACAAATGAATACATGGAGATTACTCATTGGTTTATGCTTGAAAGGGTGGGATATTTTAAAGCTGGGGCTTACAGTTTAAAGATTTTCTGATTTGCAATTCCTTAGGGAAGAAAAGCTTTGTTTAAAATTTGGGGGTCAGCAGAAAAAAAAGTAGAGGAAGTGACTTTTCACAAGTCCTTCAGGAAGAAACCTAAAACAAAGGAGGATAATTAGAGTGCAGTCTTCACTTCTGCTTTATCTGGTGTCTAAGTACCAGGGAATTCCTTCAGTGGGGGTCCAAGACTTTGACAACTTAGGGACAAATTCGAAGGTGCTATCCTTAGTTTTTCTGCTTAGTTTGTTTTGTTTGGGACAGTCTCCATCTGTCACTTAGGCTGGAGTGCAGTGGCTTGATCACTGCTCACTGCAGCCTATGTCTCCCAGGCCCATGGGATCCTCCCATCTCAGCCTCCCGAACAGCTGGGACTACAAATGTGAGCCACCACACCCATCTAATTTTTTTTTTTTTTTTTTTTTGAGACAGAGTCTTGCTCTGTCGCCCAGGCTGGAGTGCTGGAATGCAGTGGCACGATCTCGGCTCACTGCAGGCTCCACCTCCTGGGTTCACACCATTCTCCTGCCTCAGCCTCCCGAGTAGCTGGGACTACAGGCGCCCGCCACCATACCCGGCTAATTTTTTGTATTTTTTAGTAGAGAAGGGGTTTCACCGTGTTAGCCAGGATGGTCTCGATCTCCTGACCTTGTGATCCGCCCGCCTCGGCCTCCCAGAAGGCTGGGATTACAGGCGTGAGCCACCGCGCCTGGCCCACACCCATCTAATTTCTTTTCTTTTCTATATATTTTTTTTTTTTTGAGACGGAGCCTCGCTCTGTCGCCCAGGCTGGAGTGCAGTGGCACAATCTCAGCTGGGATTACAGGCATGTGCCACAACGCCCGGTTAATTTTGTATTTTTAGTAGAGATGGGGTTTCACCATATTGGCCAGGCTGGTCTCAAACTCCTCACCTTGCGATCTGCCCACCTTGGCCTCCCAAAGTGCTGGGATTACAGGCATGAGCCACCGCGCCCGGCCACACCCATCTAATTTCTTAATTTTTTGTAGAGACCTGGTCTCCCTATGTTGTCCACGGTACTCTAGAACTCCTGGGTTCAAACAGTCCTTCTGCCTTGGCCTCCCAACGTGCTGAAATTACAGGCATGAGCCACCATGACTGGCTATCTAGTTTTCATGGGAAAACAAATATTTCTGAAATTTTAACTTTTTTGGCTATTGTGTTAGGCTGTTATTTTCTTGTTTAATAAATTGCATATTTATTCCTGGGACTAGTTTGGTATGTGGAATTTCTTTCTTTTTTTTTTTTTTGAGACAGAGTCTCGCTCTTGTCACCCAGGTTGGAGTGCAGTGGCGTGATCTCGGCTCACTGCAACGTCCACCTCCTGGGTTCAAGCAGTTCTCCTGCCTCAGCCTTCTGAGTAGCTGGGACTACAGGCGTGTGCCCCCATGTTTAGCTAAATTTTATACTTTTATTTATTTATTTTTTTGAGATGGACTCTTGCTCTGTCGCCAGCCTGGAATGCAGTGGCGTGATCTTGGCTCACTGCAGCCTCCGTCTCCCTGGTTCAAGGGATTCTCTTGCCTCAGTTTCCTAAGTAGTTGGGACTACAGGCATGCGCCACCACACCTAGCTAATTTTTGTATTTTTAGTAGAGACGGGGTTTTCCCATGTTGGCCAGGGTGGTCTTGATCTGTTGACCTTGCGATCCGCCTGCCTTGGCCTCCCAAAGTGCTGGGATTACAGGCGTGAGCCACCACTCCCGGCCTGTTTTTTTTTTTTTTTTTTTTTGAGACGGAGTCTTGCTCTGTCCCCCAGGCTGGAGTGCAGTGGCGCCATCTCCGCTCACTGCAAGCTCCGCCTCCCGGGTTCACGCCATTCTCCTGCCTCAGCCTCCCGAGTAGCTGGGACTACAGGCGCCCGCCACCACGCCTGACTAATTTTTTGTATTTTTAGTAGAGACGGGGTTTCACCGTGTTAGTCAGGATGGTCTCCATCTCCCGACATCGTGATCTGCCCGCCTCGGCCTCCCAAAGTGCTGGGATTACAGGCGTGAGCCACCGCGCCTGGCCAGTTTTTTTTTTTTTTTTTTTTTTTGAGACAGAGTCTCGTTCTGTCACCCAGGCTGGAGTGCAATGGCACAATCTCATCTCACTGCAACCTCCGTCTCGTGGGTTAAAGCAATTCTCCTGCCTCAACCTCCCAAGTAGCTGAGATTACAGGCCCCCCACCACCACGCCTGGCTAATTTTTTTGTACTTTTAGTAGAGACGGGGTTTCACTATGTTGGCCAGGCTGGTCGCGAACTCCTGACCTCCTGACCTGCCAGCCTTGGCCTCCCAAAGTGCTGGGATTACAGGCGTGAGCCACCGCGCCTGGCCAGTTTTTTTTTTTTTTTTTTTTTTTTTTTAAGACATAGTTTTGCTCTGTTGCCCAGGCTGGAGTGAAGTGGCATGATCTTGGCTCACTGCAACCTCCGCCTTCCGGGTTCAAGTGATTCTCCTGCCTCAGCCTCCTGAGTAGCTAGGATTACAGGTGCCCGCCACCACGCCCAGATAATTTTTGTATATTTAGTAGAGACGAGGTTTCACCATGTTGTCCAGGTTGGTCTCGAACTCCTGACCTCAGGTGATCCACCTGCCTCGGCCTCCCAAAGTGCTGGGATTACAGGAGTGAGCCACCCTGCCCGGCCATATTTAGGTACTGTTAATTTTGTAAAATATCCAGGTGTGGTGGCATGTGTCTATGGTCACTGCTTGTCAGGAAGCTGAGTCAGGAGGATTAGTTTAATGCTGCACTGTTCCCCAGTCTGGACTAGGTAGGAAGATCTTGTCTCTAAAAATAAAGAAAAATAAATAAATTTTAAAATAATCAAAAAGTAGAAATGAAGGCCGGGCATGGTTGCTCAGGCCTGTAATCAATCCCAGCACTGTGTGAGAGGTCAAAGTGGGCAGATTGCTGGAGCCCAGGAGTTTAAGACCAGCCTGGGCAACATAGTGAGAATTTGTGTCTACAAACTAACACTAAAATTAGCCAGGCATGGTGGCACGGGCCTGTGGTCCCGGCTACTCAGGAGGCTGAGGTAAGAGGATTGCTTTAACCCGGGAGGTAGAGGTTGCAGTGAGCTGAGATCACGCTAGTACATTCCAGCCTGGATGACAGAGTGAGGCTCTGTCTCCAAAAAAATAAAAAATTAAACAAATAGAAGTGAAAATTAAGGTACTGAAAAGAAAACTTGATAAACAACATAAGTCTCCTTTGCCTCTGCATGACCTCATTGGTCTAGCTATATTCCCATTTATACTTAGTTTTCCATGAGGGAAATAACAATTGCTTAGCTACCTTTGGAGGAGGAAAAAGTGTCTGGAAGTACTAATGTACCTGGCAGAACATTACCAGAGGGAAGAAGCAGAGTAGAAAGTTTTTTTTTTTTGTTTTGTTTTTGAGACGAAGTCTCGCTCTTGTCCCCCAGATTGGAGTGCAGTGGTGCGATCTCGGCTCACTGCAACCTCTGCCTCCCAGGTTCAAGCAATTCTCCTGCCTCAGCCTCCCGAGTAGCAGGGATTGCAGGTACATACCACCACGCCCGGCTAATTTTTTGTATTTTAAGTAGAGACGGGGTTTCACCATGTTGGCCAGGCTGGTCTTGAACTCCTGACCTCAGGTAATCCACCCGCCTCGGCCTCTCAAAGTGTGGGGATTACAGGCATGAGCCACCGCGCCCAGCCTTTTTTTTTTGAAGATAGAGTCTCACGCTGTCACCCAGGCTGGAGTGCAGTGGCGCGATCTCAGCTCACTGCAGCCTCCACCTCCCAGGTTCAAGCAATTCTCATGCCTCAGCCTCCCGAGTACCTGGGATTACAGGCATGTGCCAGCATGCCCAGCTAATTTTGTATTTTTAATAGAGATGGAGTTTCTCCATGTTGGTCAGGCTGGTCTTGATTTCCTGACCTCAGATGATCTGCCCACCTCGACCTCCCAAAGTGCTGGGATTACAGGTGTGAGCCACCAAACCCAGCCCACACCCAGCTAATTTGTGTGATTTTAGTAGAGATGGGGTTTCACTGTGTTGGCAAGGCTGGTCTTTAACTCCTGACCTCACGTGATCTGCCTGCCTTGGCCTCCTAAAATGTTGGGATTATAGGCATGAGCCACTGCATCTGGCCCTCAGAGTGGAATGTTCTTTAGATCACATATTATTGCTGTACTCAGTTTCCATGGCTGAGGAAATAGTGCTGTCAATTAAATCAATAGGGAATGGCACTTCCTCTTGAGGGAACAATTAGTAAACCTTCAACCAATTGTCCTTTTCCAGTCATTTAGTGTCTGTATATGAATTCCAACATCATTGCTGCCAGCAGCTAAAATTATGATTCCATATCTGAAGTCACCTTTGCAAAAAGTATAACATAAGTCTACCTTGTCTCAGAGTGACCCCATCAACCTAGCCATGTTTTCATCTTTGTACAGTCTTCCATAAGGGAAGTAATTGCTTAGCCACATTTGGAGGAGGAAAAAGTGGCAGTGGAAGTAGTAACGTGCCTGGCAGGACTTCACTGCAGAGAAGAAGCAGAGTGGGAACTTCTTTAGATCACATATCATTGCTATACTCAGTCTCCATGGCTCAGGAAATAGTGCTTTCAGGTAAATTAGTAAGGAGTGCCACTTCCACCTGATGGAGCAGTTAGTAAATCCTCAACCAATTATCCTGTTCCAGTGATTTAGTTGCTGTATAAGAGTTCCAACATAAATGTTGCCAGGAGCTAAAAGTATGACTCTACATCTGAAAACCCTTTTGCAAGAATTATAACAGTGAGAAAATTATGACAGTGAAAGAGATCAGATCTAAGCGAACTCCATCTTTTCTTTAGCCTCCAAGCTACCCTTGTTCATTCCCGGGTATAGGTCTTACTAATATTGGAAGGAGTTTAGTTTAGCTTTAAAGCAAAAGTCATAACTGCCGCTTCCGTAAAGAAATTGTCTCCTTGCTTGGGAACCAGATTGCCTTTGTAAAACTAAGAAATTAGCCACAAGATTAGAAATTATGGTTCAGGAAATATGCGGCCAGAGTACACAAGATTCCCAACCTTCTCACTTGCTCCTGTGGATAATATTATTGTTGTAAGACCTAAGATTGGTGTTTGAGGTATTTTTGAGACCCTTCATTCTGATAAATTTGCTGGCATCACACAGACCAATAAACTGGCTCACCTGCTCCAGTGGCCCCTAGCCAAGAACTGACTCAGTGCAAGAAGACAGCTGAGACTTCCTGTGATATCCTTTTCGCGACCAATCAGCATTCCCCATTTTCCAGCCTTCTGCTCACCAAATTATCTTTAAAACCCTAGCCTCGGCCGGGTGCGGGGGCTCAGGCCTGTAATCCCAGCACTTTGGGAGGCCGAGGCGGGTGGATCATGAGGTCAGGAGTTTGAGACCAGCCTGACCAACATGGTAAACCCCGTCTCTACTAAAAATACAAAAATTAGCCGGGCATGGTGGCGCATGCCTGTAATCCCAGCTACTCAGGAGGTTGAGGCAGGAGAATCGCTTGAACCCGGGAGGCGGAGGTTGCACTGAGCCGAGATTGCGCCACTGCACTCCAGCATGGGCGACAGAGAGATTCCGTCTCAAAAAAAAACCAAAAAAACAAAACCTAGCCTCCCATTTTTTAGGGAGACAGAATTGAATAAAAATAAAACTCTTCTCTTTCATTTAGCCGGCTCTATGTATATTAAACTCCACTGCAATTCCCTGTCTTTTTTTTTTTTTTTTTTTTCGGAGACAGGGTCTCACTCTGACATCCAGGCTGGTAAAATCACAGCTCACTGTGGCCTCGACCTCTCTGGGCTCAGGCGATCCTCTCATTTCAGCCTTCCGAGTAGCTGGGACTGCAAACATGTACCACCACGCCCGACTAATTTTTGTATTTTTTGTAGAGGCGGGGTTTTGCTATGTTACCCAGGCTGGGCTTAAGTTCCTAGGCTCAAGCAATCTGCCTGCCTTGGCTTCCCAAAGTGGTGGGGTTACAGGCATGAGCTACCCCCACCCCCCCAGCCCACCGCCGGACGAGCTAAAGTTTCTATTCAACAGTACTCTATGGCAGGGGTCCCCAACCCCCGGTCCATGGCCTGTAAGGAACCAGTCCGCACAGCAGGAGGTGAGCGGCTGGCGGGCGAGCCAGCGGGCATTATCGCCAGAGATATGCTTCCTGTCAGATCAGCAGAGGCATTAGTCTGTCATAGGAGCCCGAACCCTATTGTGAGCTGCACATGCGAGGGATCTAGGTTGGGTTCGCCTTATGAGGATAAAATGCCTGATCTGAGGTGGAAGTTTCATTCCGAAACTATCTGCCCCCGTAGGAGAACTGTCTTCCACGAAACCGGTTCTGGTGCTAAAAAGGTTACAGACCTCTGGCTTAAAGAATCTATCGCTGGATCCGGTCAAACCCGTTTTCAGAGCCCCGTTACCAAGGGCTTCTATTGTCACTCACGGCTGAGGGGGCGGGGCCCGGCGCTTCGTCCAATCAGGGGCGCTGGGCGGGGCCTGCCGAGTGTCCATCGGGGAGGGCGAAGGCCCTGCTCTCCTCGGTTCCCGGCTCCAGGCGGCGAGCTGAGGTTGGGAGCCTGGCTTTCCCCTCCGAGAGGGTTCAGGTGCCTCTGCCATAGCTTCTGTCGCCTGTGCTGTGACCCGCACTGGTCGTGGGAGTCACCTGAAAGGCAAGAAATGGTGAGCGTGCGGGCCAGGGGTCCCGAGGCGGGGGAGGAGCTGGTTGGAACCGGCCGGAACCGGCTGTGGTGGGACCCGGGCCTCCCCGCGGCGACTCCGGGGTCTGGGACCCGATTTCCCGTGGGACAGCTCGGCCCTTGGTCCCCTTGGCCCCACAGTGGGGCTGGGCCGGCCGCCGGGACCCGGGCGTCTCGTCCTGTCCCTGCGCGGTGACTGTCACCCAGTTCCCAGAGCCCTCTCTGGGCAGCTCCGCGCCCGCTGCCCCGCGTCTCCCCACATTGTGCGGGGACTACGCGAGGGTCATGGGGGGATCCCGCCTCGGGTGTGGGGGTTTGTGTAGGAGGAGGGTGGGCTGTGGGGTCCCCAGTAGCGCCTTTCTCCTCTTAAAAATTAAACTGAGACACGTTAACAATTATAGTTTTGCTTCTCAGAATAGGTTTTAAAAAATATATTAATAATTAGAGTTCCTTTGAGATTCCTGAATGATAAACACCCAGTCCTGGCTTGTAATTTGTTAACGGAAAATGCCAAGCTGTGTAAAATAACTTAAAGAAGTTTATTCAGAGCCGAATAGGAGAGGCCTCAGCTGAGGAAAACACAACCCCAGGAGGCCTGAAGTAAGTGGTCCCGAGGCGGCTCAAGACTGTTTTTATTCATTTCAGGGAGACAGGAATTGCAGGGAGAATCATGCATCAATGCCTGGAAAGGTGTAAGTTCCTTTGGCAGAAAGGGCGGGACCTGTGGAAGGGGGGTTAGAAGGTGCAGGTGGTTGAGGGATTCTGAAGGTGGCCGTTGGTGGAGAGTGTGAAGCTTTGTCTAAAACTTCGAGGCGGTAGGAAGGATTGCTTAAGTGAAGAGGGTCTGGTATCTGTCATATGATTTCATCCCACCCAAAACAAAAGACCTGTTTCTTTAGATTTTGTGAATTCTAAGATTTGACTTACCTCTTGCCTTGCATGGCCTTAGGTCTTGTTTGTAATTTGGTTTCTTATTGTCACAGAGAGTCTGTGTTTCCAGTTGGCTGATGTCTGTTTTAACATGAAGGTGGGTCAGTGGCTATGTGGAAACTCCTAAAGGAAGCGGGTATAATGAGGCCTGTCCAGGTATAGTGAAGCCTGTCTGATGGTTAATCTGTAGTCAAGTGTGGGAGGGTTCCAGCTGGCTCTTTCCAGTGTCAGGTGACTCAATTCCAGAGTCACATTACTTTAAACTTCAAGATAATTTAGAGTTCCAACAGCTTCAATTTTTGAATTACTTATTTTCACAGACCATACAGTGGAAAATTTTTGGTTGTATAATCAGAGGTTACTCGACCAATTGTACCTGGTTAAGCCCATATTTCATTTCCCAATAAATTAGTAACTTGTTATTGTTTTCTCAGGCCACATACCGTCACATAAGTTAGTACTTTATATGAATAGCATTTGAATTTGATTTCCATGTTCTTGGCCAAGATCTTAGAGTACTATAGGCATTAAGTTTAATTACTTCTTATTCAAAATTTTCAACACTCCCCAGTTAACTGGTACTTCTCTGCATTTTCCAAATATATGGGAAGTGAGATCTCAAACCCTCCACCCTGTGACCCTGGCCTACCTCTGGAGAGCTTGCAGTACAATACTAAAATTTCAGTTCCTTTCTAAAATTTGCAGACACCAACTCTCCTTCTTCAATTTGTAGTATCAACTATTTGTTTTTGTTTTTGTTTTTTTTTGGAGACAGAGTCTTGTTCTGTCACCCAGGCTGGAGTGCAGTGGCGCGATCTCTACTCACTGCAAGCTCCGCCTCCCGGGTTCACGCCATTCTCCTGACTCAGCCTCCCAAGTAGCTGGGACTACAGGAGCCCGTCACCACGCCTGGCTAATTTTTTGTATTTTTAGTAGAGACGGGGTTTCACTGTGTTAGCCAGGATGGTCTTGATCTCCTGACCTTGTGATCCACCCGCCTTGGCCTCCCAAAGTGCTGGGATTACAGGTGTGAGTCACTGCGCCTGGCCCGTTTTTTGTTTTTGTTTTTTTGAGACGGAGTCTCGCTCTGTCGCCCAGGCTGGAGTGTAGTGGCACAATCTCTGCTCACTGCAAGCTCCACCTCCCGGGTTCATGCCATTCTCCTGCCTCAGCCTCGTAAATGAAAATGCACTGGCCAGGTGCAGTGGCTCATGCCTATAATCCCAACACTTTGGGAGGTTGAGGTGGGTAGATCACTTGAGGCCAGGAGTTTGAGACCAGCCTGGCCAATATGGTGAAACCTTGGCTCTACTAGAAATACAAAAGAAATCAGCCAGGTGTGATGGCACACACCTGTAGTCCCAGCTACTCCAGAGGCTGAGGCCTGAGAATTGCTTGGACCTGGGAGGTGGATTCTGCAATGAGCGGACATCGCACCACTGCACTCCAGCCTGGGCAAGTGAGTGAGACTCTGTCTCAAGAGAGGGGAAAAAAAAAAAAGGAAATGCACTTGGGGCACACAGGGGCACAGTGCAGTGTTGTTGGAAAATAGTCACTCAGCACTTCAGTGAGCAGGATGGGCACAGAGAAATGTCCCATGTGATAGGATGGCCTGACACTTGAGTCAAACATCACTGTGTTCTTTCTAGTCAGCATTGCCCCTCTGTGGGTTTGTCTTTTTGTAAATAATTGTTCACTTATTGCAGCTTCAGGTTTTTTATTAATTGTAATTTGCATTTTTCACTAGACCTTGCAAAATAAGAAAATTTTACACACAGGCCAGAAAGAGGTAGATTTCAGAAAAATGGCTGGATGCAGTGGCTCACACCTGTAATCCCAGCACTTTGAGAGGCCAAGGCAGGTGGATCACCTGAGGTCAGGAGTTCAAGACCAACCTGGCCAACATGATGAAACCCTGTTTCAACTAAGAATACAAAAGTTAGCTGAGTATAGTGGTGCATGCCTATAATCCCAACTACTAGGGAGACTGAGGCACGAGAATCCCTTGAACCTGGGAGGTGGAGGCTGCAGTGAGCTGACATTGCACCACTGTATTCCAGCCTGCACTACAGGGCGAGTCTCCATCTCAAAAAAAAAAAAAAAATCGCTATTTAGTCTTATATTCCATTTCTTAATATGTTTTTTTCTTCTCTGCGGGCAGTGTAGTACATTTCTCAGGTGTATCCTTTTGTTGTGGGTGATTTCCAATGATGTTATAGGGACTAGTTTTAGGAATGCTACTGGAGAAAAATAGGGAAAGTTTACTATTTTAACTGGAGAAAAATGAAATAATTTCCACAAGAAAGTATGGTAGATTGGTGAATTACAAAGAGTACCCAAAATATCAGTTCTGGCCAGGCGTGGTGGCTCACGCCTGTAATCCCAACACTTTGGGAGGTCGAGGCGCACAGATCACCAAGTCAGGAGATCGAGACCATCCTGGCCAACATGGTGAAACCCTGTCTCTACTAAAAATACAAAAAAAAAGCCGGGCATGGTGGCACAAGCCTGTAGTCCCAGCTACTCGGGAGGCTGAGGCAGGAGAACTGGTTGAACCTGGGAGGCAGAGGTTGCGGTGAGCCGAGATTGCGCCACTGCACTCCAGACTGGGCAACGGTGAAACTCCATCTCAAAAAAAAAAAAAGAAAAAGAGAAAGAAAAAAAAAAAACAGTTCTTTGCAGGATGGAGGACTTTTTTTTTTTTTTTTTAAAGGGTCTTGCTGTCACCCAGGCTGGAGTGTACTGGTGTGATCACAGCTCACTACAGCCTTGACCTCCTGGGCTCAAGCAATCATCGTGAGCCTCCCGAGTAGCTGGGCTCACAGGTGCATGCCACTCTGCCCAGCTAGTTATTTTTTGTAGGGATGAGGTCTTCCTGTATTGCCAAGATTTCGTGTCTTATTTCCACAAAGAGTCTGTTTTGTCTTTTGATATTACTTTATTTTTTAGACAGAGTCTCACTGTGTTGCCTAGGCTGGAGTGCAGTGGCACGATCTTGGCTCACTGCAACCTCCACCTCCTGGGTCCAAGCGATTCTTGTGCCTTAGCCTCCTGAGTAGCTGGTGACTGCCACCACGCCCAGCTAATTTTTGTATTTTTTTTAGTTGAGAAGGGGTTTCGCCATGCTGGCTAGGCTGATCTTGAATTCCTGACATCAAGTGATCCGCCCCTTCTTGGCATCCCAAAGTGCTGGGATTACAGGTGTGAGCCACTGTGCCTGGCTTGATATCTATTTTAACATGAATGTTGGTCAGCTGCTTTGTTTTTTTTTTTGTTTTGTTTTTTTTTTTTTTTTGAGATGGAGTCTCACTCTATCAACAAGCTGGAGTGCAGTGGCGCAATCTCTGCTCACTGCAACCTCCGCCTCCTGGGTTCAAGCAAATCTCCTGCCTCAGCCTCCCAAGTAGCTGGGACTACAGGCACGCACTACCACATCCAGCTAATTTTTGTATTTTTAGTAGAGACGGGGTTTCACCGTGTTGGCCAGAATGGTCTCAATCTCTTGACCTCGTGATCTGCCCACCTCAGCCTCCCAAAGTGCTGGGAGTACAGGCGTGAGCCAGCCACACCACTGCAACCCCCACCTCCCAGGTTCAAGTGATCTTCCTGCTTCAGCTTCCCAAATAGCTAGAACTACAGGTGTTTTCCACCACACCCAGCTAATTTTTGTATTTTTCATAGAGACGGGGTTTCACCATGTTGCTCAGGCTTGTCTCGAATTCCTGAGCTCAAGTAATCCTGCCTCCACCTCCAAAAGTGCTGGGATTACAGGCATAAGCCAGTATGCCCAGCTCTTTTAGTTATTTCAAAATGTACAATATATTATTTTTTACTATAGTCAACCTGTTGTGCTTGCAAATGCTTAGTCTTATTCATTTTTTCTGTGTTTTTGTACCCATGGACCCTCTCCATTGGTCTATATTTCCATCTCTCTGTTAATATCATTTTCTCTTTATTAGTATAGATCTCAAAGCTGTGATGTATTCTAGGGCTAGTGCCTATCTATCTTAGTCATCTTGGGCTTTTATATCAAATTCCCATAAACCGGGTGACTTAAAGAATAATTTCTAGGCCGGGCATGGTGGCTCACGCCTGTAATCCCAGCACTTTGGGAGGCTGAGGCAGGTGGATCACGAGGTCAAGAGATCGAGACTATCCTGGCCAACATGGTGAAAGCCTGTCTCTACTAAAAATAGAAAAAATTAGCTGGGCTTGGTGATGCGCACCTGTAGTCCCAGCTACTCAGGAGGCTGAGGTAGGAGGATCACTTCAACCTGGGAGGCAGAGGTTGCAGTAAGCTGAGATCATGCCACTGCACTCCATCCTGGTGACGGTGAGACTCCGTCTCAAAAAAATAAAAAAATAAAAAAATAAACATTTCTTTCTGACAGTTCTGGAAGCCTGGAAGTTATGAAGTCCATGTTCAAGGTGCTGACAGATCTGGTGCCTGGTAAGAGCCTGCTTCCTGGTTTGCAGATGGCTATTTTTTTTTTTTTTTTTTTTTTTTTGAGATGGAGTCTTGCTCTGTCACCCAGGCTGGAGTGCAGTGGTGCGATCTCGGCTTACTGCAACCTCTGCCTCTGGGATTCAAGCAATTCTCCTGCCTCAGCCTTCCGAGTAGCTGGGATTACAGGTGCCTGCTACCGTGCCCAGCTAATTTTTTGTATTCTTTAGTAGAGGCAGGGTTTCACCATCTTGGCCAGGCTGGTCTCAAACTCCTGACCTCGTGATCCACCCACCTCAGGCTCCCAAAGTGCTGGGATTACATGTGTGAGCCACCGCGCCCGGCCAGCTATTTTTTTATTTTTTCACATGACAGAGAGAAAGAGGAAACAAGCTATCCTGTGTCTCATAAGAGTACTAATCCCATTCACGAGGGATCTACTCTCATGCTCTAATCTAATTCTAATGACTTCTCAGAGATGCCATCTTAATTCCATCGTATTACAGGTTAGGGTGTCACTGTATGATTTGGAGTGGGAAAATGCAAACATTTATGTCATTAACATCCCTTAGTCATATTTTATACAACATCCTGGCTTTTTTTTTTTTTTTTTTTTTTTTTTTTGAGACAGAGTCTTGCTCTGTCACCGAGGCTGGAGTGCAGTGGTGCAATCTCAGCTCACTGCAACTTCCGCCTCCCGGGTTCAAGTAATTCTCCCTGCCTCAGCCTCCCGAGTAGCTGGGACTACAGGCACATGCCACCATGCCAGGCTAATTTTTGTATTTTTAGTAGAGAGGGGTTTCACCATGTTGGCTAGGCTGGTCTTGAACTCCTGACCTCAGGTGATGCGCCCACCTCCACCTCCCAAAGTGCTGGGATTACAGGTGTGAGCTACCACACCCAGCTTATGCTGGCTATTCTTAGTCATTGTCTTCTATTTCAGTGTTTAGAAGTAGTTTTTCTTAATTTTAATGAAAAAACAAACCTGCCTATGCATTTCATGGAATATAATAAAATACTAGATGTATTTCAGAGAGATTACATCACAGTGATAATCAGTGTGTGTTTAAGGACATATGACATCTTTACATTTATTACATTTTCCATTGATATCTTTCCATGGGTACTTTTTGGATAATAATAATTTTATATCCTTTCTGAGACTTTTTGGGACTTCAAGAAAATTAATTGCTTTTGGAGGCCAAGGTGGGAGAATGGCTTGAGCCCGGGAGTTTGAGACCAACCTGGACAACATAAAGAGACCCCGTCTTCACAAAAATTAAGAAATTCACCATGTGTGGTGGCAGGAGCCTGTATTATCATCTACTCAGGAAGGTAGGGATAGCTTGAGCCTGGGAAGTCAAGGCTACAGTGAGCTGTCATCATGCCCCTGCACCATAGCATGGGTGACAGTGCAAGAACCTGTCCCTAAACAAAACAAAAATAATAAAAACATTTTTAAAAAGAAAATTAACTGTAATACAAATTTGTTTAACAGGCTATGTTGTCTTTTTAAAAATTATATTCAGTAGGTTGTTGCTGGTATTTCCATGTGCACTGATAGTTATTTCTGCACAGAGTTTCCACTCTAGAAACTAAAAATATTACATATGGTCAAAACACATAAAACAATTTCACAGTGAACCAAAATATTGATGGAGCCAGTATTGCGAATGATAATTATTGTTTTCTTATTTTCTTCATAGTTTCATAACCTGGGTATGCATCCCTATCAGTATATTTTATTTTTACATTTTTTTATGCAGTTGATATCAGATATGTGATATTTTATATCATATTTTATTTTTACTTAGTAACGAACCTTCCATGGAATGGTAGTTCACTTTCTTGATTAATGGATTTTGTTTTTTATAGCAGTAGTCATTTGACCATAACATTGAGCAGATAATCTACATGGGTCCCACTTGTTTTTTCTTAGGTCACAGTTCTTCCTATGGTACTTCAGTCCTATGTACTGGGGAGGCTGTGGTGGGAGGATCACTTGAGCCCAGGTGATTGAAGCCACAGTGAAATATGATCATACCACTGCACTCCAGACTAAGTGACAGAGTGAGACCCTGTCTCAAAAAAACAAAATTGAAAAAAACAAAAAAAGATAAAAGAGTATATGGTCATGCCACTCTGAATGCACCTGATCTTAGCAGCTAAGCAGGTTCAGGCCAGGTTAGTACATGGTTTGTAGAATTCCTGGGAATACTGGTTGCTATAGCCTTAAAAAACAGAAATTGCAAGAGAATTCACCAAATGGAAGAAAGACATGCAAATTCTATACCTGGTCCTGACATATATCTATATCAGCTGAAGCCTAAGTGCCAAGACCAGCTTGGTCATGGAGACCCTAACCCAGTGGTGCTAGAGGAATTAAAGACACACTCAGAGAAATAATAGAATGTGGAGTGGCAAATCGGGGCTGACGGCCTTCAGAGCTGAAAGCCATGAAAAGAGATTTACCCACATTTATTGACAGCAAGCCAGTGATATGCATTGTTTCTGTAGATTATAGATTAACTAAAAATATTCCTTATGTGAAACAAAGGGATGGGCTCTGGCTAGTTATCTGCAGCAGGAACATGTCCTTAAGGCCCAGATTGCTCATACTATTGTTTGTGGGTTAGGAACACCTTTAAGCAGTTTTCCGCCCTGGGTGGGCCAGGTGTTCCTTGCCCTCATTCCAGTAAATGAACAACCTTCAGTGTGGGCATCATAGCCATCATGAACATGTCACAGTGCTGCAGAGATTTTGTTTATGGCCAGATTTGGGAGCCTGTCCCCAACATGTTCCCCCTTTTTGTTTTTGCAAGACAATAAAAGCAAAGGTGGCTTTATCATGGTGAGCTACATCTCGCAGGAGTTGGGATCCACATCTGCAGACTATACAAAGACAACACAGATTAAAAGCACAATCATCATTGAAATCACAGAGCCTCCAAGTGTTTTTATCTATTTTAATGGGTTAATAGCTGCTAATCCATCTGCAGCTCCTTCAAGCACTCCAGTTCCTGGCATTAAGGTCAGGTGTGCCTGGGATGCTTTAAATATTTGTTCTTTTAATTTTGCAATATCCAAGTTTCTAGAGTGTCCTTCTAGATGCTTTTTTATCCTTTCCCAAATTTTGATCTTATTAAGAGCCATTAATAGTTTCCACAAATCCTTATGTTTAGCTCCTACAGCAGGCCATATCATTTGAGGTTGAGGTGCCACTATACCACCATGTTTCCAGATAATAGGAACTCTTGCCATACTTCTTATCATTTCTACCATCTGACCATTTTGTTCAGACCAGCTGAACATAGTGTGGCCATGGCAGGCAGACTGAGAGGTGCAATTCAAGCTAAACATCCCCTTAGGGGAACAATCAATAATGACTCCATAGGAATCGTTGTGCAGCACCTCTGCCTGTTCTGCAATGCAATCTTCCCAAACAAGTACGTTCATTTTTTCTGACCAGGTCCAATCCTGTTTACAAATAGTTTTTTGAGGGCAGTATGCCTCAATTATAGGAGCAGATTATTATGGTAAATACTGAGACCAGAAAGCATGTGTAACTGTGTCATAGAGTGATCACATCCAGGCATTATTGCCAGCCAAGATTGATAAATATGCCCAATAAGTGTAATTGTTCTCTGTGTCAGCCCTTGTTGAAGGAATACTCATGGCAATGGTGATCACCACTGTCATAGCTATCATTAAATTACTCATTGTGACTGGTTGTCCCGCTTTTCTCAGGTTTTTCTCTGCCATCTGTGACAGCTTCTTGATCTGTCCCCAGGCAGTTGTTGCTCGTGACAGTTGGGGTCCTCCTCAGCATCAGTCTTGACATGGCTGCAACCAGGGAGTCTTTGGGATCCTCCCAAAACCTCTTCCTGGGTATCTGGCTCATAGTAAGGCTTTAGATGTCTCAATGGCACCCAGATTGGCTGTTGATTTCATCCTGGGGAAACACAAGCATAACCTCTACCCCAAGTTATTATTTTACCTATTTCCCAACTTTTTGTTATCAGATCTCTCCACCAAACCAGTTGTTCTGCTTCTGTCTTTGCAGCTGGTTTCTGTAGATATTGTTCAGCTGCTGATAGCATCTGGCCTTTAGGCAGGCTCAAAAAATTTAAAGTCAATAATTCTAGATTCAGTTGCATATGGGGTGTCCTGTAGTCCCTGTTTCCCCCTTTTTGCTTTTGCAACTGCTGTTTCAGGGACAGATTCATTCTTTCCACTGTGGCTCATCCTTGAGAATTGTATGGAATGCCAATAATGTGTTTAATATTCCATATGGAGAAAAATGTAGCTAGAGCTTGGCTAGTATAGCCTGGGGCATTATCTGTTTTAATAGAAGCTGGAATGCCCATCACTGCAAAACACTGCAAAAGGTGACGTTTAACACAGGCAGAAGACTCTCCTGTTTGGCATGTAACCCAGTCAGACTGAGAAAAGGTGTCCACACATACATGTACATAAGCTAGTCTCCCAAACGAGGGAACATGTGTGACATCCATTTGCCAAAGAGAATTAGGTTCCAATCCTTGAGGATTAACTCCTCCTATAAAAGATGAGGAATGCACCATTTGGCAAGTTGGGCATCACTGAATAATAGCTTTAGCTTCTTTCCAGGTAATGCTGTATCTGCATTTGAGACCAGAGGCATTAACATGGGTTAAATTGTGAAAGTGTCTGGCATTAGATATTGTAGTAGCAACTAGGCCATCAGCCATTTGATTCCCTTCAGTTAAAGGTCCTGGAAGAGGTGTATGAGCCCTAGTGTGAGTGATGTAAAAAGGGTGTATTCTATTTCTAACTGCTGTTTGCAATTGGGTAAATAAAGTCATCAGTTGTTCATCTGTATGAAATGGCAACTGAGCATTTTCAGCTAATGGTGTGGAATGAACCACATACAAAGAATCAGAAATCACATTAATAGGCATATCAAAAGCAGTCAATACCTCACTTACAGCTACAAGCTCTTGCTTTTTGAGCCGAAGTACAGGGCTTCTGAAAAACTTTACCTTTCAAGCTGGAATAAGAAGCTTTACCATTACTAGACCCATCTGTGAAGACATTTTCAGTACCTTCAATTGGTTTAAATTTAGTTATTTTAGGGAGAATCCAATTAGTTAATTTCAAAAATTGAAATAGTTTTCTTTTAGGAAAATGATTATCGAGAATACCCACAAAGTCAGCTAATGGGTTTGCCAAGTAAGACTGTTTATAAAAGCTTGCTGTATTTGTGTCTTTGTGAGAGGGACAATAATTTTTCCAGGATCATATCCATGTAATTTAACAATCCGAGTTCTCCCATTTCCTATCATAGTAGCGATTTGATCCAGATAAGGAGTTAAGAGTCCATGAGTTAGTATGTGGAAGAAAAAGCCATTCTACTAAGTCCTGCTCTTGGACAATAACACCAGTAGGTGAATGCTGAGTTGAAAAAATTAGCAAATCTAGAGTCTTCTCTGGATCTATTCTATTTATCTGAGCTTTATGGACTTACTTTTCAATCAGCTGTACCTCTGCCTCAGCTTCTTTTGTTAATTGCCTAGTGAGACTAGGATCTCCTCTAAGGATAGAAAACAGATTACTCATAGCATAGGTAGGAATGCCTAGAGCAGGTTGTATCCAGTTGATATCCCTTAGTACTTTTTGAAAGTCATTTAATGTTTTCAATTGATAAGTCTGGCAAATTGTTGGACTGTTTAACACGCCTTATGGCAACACTTTCCAGTGAAAATGCTTAGCAGGCTGCAGGTTGTTTATTGCAGGAATTGTAAATGCAAACCGTTCACAGTCTTGCTCAGCTAAAGGGATAGTAAAGAAACAGTCTTTTAAATCTATGACAATTAAAGGCCAATTTTTTGGAATCCACAGGAGAAGGCAGTCCTGGCTGTAATGTCCCCATAGGTTATATAACTGAATTAATGGCTCTTAAGTCAGTTAACATTCTCCGTTTACCTGATGTTTTCTTAATTACGAAGACTGGAGAATTCCAAGGGGGAAATGTTGGAGCTATGTGTCCTTTTTCTAATTGTTCAGTAACTAAGTCCCCTAAAGCCTCCAGTTTTTCTTTACTTAGCGGCCATTGTTCTATCCAAATTGGCTTATCTGTTAACCATTTTAAAGGTATAGTTTCTGGAGGCTTAACAATGGCCACCATCAAAAATGATACCCTAAACCTTGGTGGGAACTTTGTCTTTCTGCTTGGAGCAGTTCCTTCAAACCCTGCAATTTTTTTCCTAGGACATACCCCATTTCATGCATCATATGTTGACTTTCAGGGCTATATAATTGCTCTGGAATTAGAACTTGTACTCCCCATTGTTGCAGTAAAATCTCTCCCCCATTAATTTATAGGTACAGAAGTTACAATTGATCGAATAGTCCCAGGTTGTCCATTGGGCCCTTCACAATGCAAAATACAGATTCTTTGATATACTTCAGGGGCTTTACCAACTCCAACTCTGTTAAATTGAGTGGGTTGAATTGGCCATGCGGACAGCCAGTGGTGTAGAGAAATGATGGAAATGTCTGCTCCTGTATCTACCAATCCTTTAAATTTCTTTCCCTGAATAGTTATTTCACAGGTAGGACATTTATCAATACTTTGATTCACCCAGTAAGCTGCTTTGCCTTGTTTATTTGTGCTTCCAAATCCTCCTGTTCGTTTAATTTCACTTTTCCCCATTTCCACATATGGCACAATCAGGAGTTGTGCTTTCCTGGCTCTGCTTTCCAGGGAACAGAAGTAGCTATAACAATTTGAATTTCCCATTGTAATCTGAATCAGTGACTCCTGTATGTACTTGCACTCCTTTTAAATTTAAACTAGATCTACCTAGAAGTAATCTGATTGTCCCTACTGGCAAGTGTCCACAGACCCCTGTTGGAACTTTTTGTGGGGGTTCCCCAGGCAGAAGACTCACAGCTTTTGTGCAGCATAAATCTACCGTGGCACTACTGGCTGTGGTGGGGGATAGATATTGTACAAGGGTTAGGGAATGGCCTCAGCCGGAAATGCCTTGGTTTGGAATGGGGCCCGGGACAGGCCCCTCATGGTGTTTCCCAAATTTAAAAGGAAAAGGCTCAAATGTAGCTATAGTATTTTCCTGTTGATCTGGGGGGTGTATCCTAACAGGGAACTGCCAAGCCTCTATATCACCCTCTCTTGTAGCTTGGTGAATTCCTGCCTGAATAGAACTGAGAGCCATTGCTCAAGGTGCTGCTCGAACACTCATTGGGGAAACTACTTTTTGTCCAGTGTCCTCCAGAAAAGAAAGATCTGGTGGGTCAGGCCACTCTTTTTCTTCAAAATAAGGAGGGGGTGCAGAAGGGTAGGGATGGACTCTTCCTCCTTTGCCACTTTAGCTTTAGCTGGCAAACAAACCTGCTCTGTCATCTCTTCTGTTACTTTCCTTCCTCCTCCTCATCAGTGTGAAAAGGTTACAAGATGGAAGGAACCAGAGCCCACACTTGTCCCTTTGTTACCCTGATGCTTCCAAGCTCCCCTTCTTACCACGGGCATTGCTTTAGAGTACTCGGGTGTCCTCCAGCTTAGTTCCACATTCTCCAACTGTTACTCCGGTGACACTTTGACCTGGGTTCAAGACCCACACATGTACACCACTTGCCAAGACCATCTCGGTCATGGAGACCCTAACCCAGGGGCACTAGAGGAATTAAAGACACACACAGAGAAATATGGAGTGTGGAGTGGCAAATCAGGGGGCTGACAGCCTTCAGAGCTGAGAGCCACGAACAGAAATTTACCCACATATTTACTGACAGCAAGCCAGTGATAAGCATTGTTTCTGTAGATTATAGATTAAAAGTATTCCTTTTGGGAAACAAAGGGATGGGCTGAAACAAAGGGATGGGCTCTGGCTAGTTATCTGCAGCAGGAACACGTCCTTAAGGCAGAGATCACTTACGCTATTGTTTGTGGTTTAGGAACACCTTTAAGTGGTTTTCTACCCTGGGTGGGCCAGGTGTTCCCTGCCTTCATTCCGGTAAACCAACAGTCTTCATTGTGGGTGTCATGGCCATCACGAACATGTCACAGTGCTGCAGAGATTTTGTTTATGGCCAGTTTTGGAGCCAGTTTATGGCCAGATTTGGGGGCCTGTTCCCAACACCTAAGTCTCTATCACAGCGTGACGGTTGAATTGGCAGCCAGTACCGCCAGGCATCCTGCATCATCACTGCAGGAGGTAAGCTCTACCCTAGTACCCTGTCTGGGAAATAGTGCACCCACAGTCCCCTATCTTACTAAGTTTATGGGATAACAGCAGGGAGTGGTCTTCAGGAGAGAAATCTGACCTGGTGTTTTGGTTTTGTGAGTGGGAGGTAGTCTCAGCTGTCTCCCCACAGGGAGAGAGCCTATTATCCCTTATGCATTCTAGATTTCTGAAGCAGAGTCTCCAGTCTAAGTCCCTATCTCTTATAAAGAGAGATTGTATTGAAAATGTGTTTAAAATATCAAGGAAGGCTTTATTCAGCACAATTGTAATATGTGTCATGAGAACTATAATATGGAGATTACAGTTCTGTATATTATATTACAGTTCTCACGACACGTAATAGGCTGTCTCCCTGAGTTTAATCTCTCTCCTATATTACAGGGCAAGGCGAGGGAAAGGATGGAACTTGGTGAAGTGTCAGCAGTTAGGGAAGAGAAAGTTGATGGATTATCATGAGTGAGGGAAATTGAACTTGATTGGAAATACTAAGTTTTGGTGGGAGAGATTCTCTGTGCACTGCCTTAAAAGGCTTTTTGCTATAACTGGGCTCTGCAGAAGAAGGCCAAAGCCTAGACAAGAAGAGGGCTGTGAGATCAAGTTTGGTCAAAGAAGGAGTCCTGGCCAGGTGCAGTGGCTCACAGCTGTAATCCCAGCACTTTGGGAGGCTGAGGTGGGTGAATCACGAGGTCAGGAGTTTGAGACCAGCTTGGCCAACATGGTGAAACCCCCGTCTCTACTAAAAATACAAAAAAATTAGCCGGGTATAGTGGTGGGTGCCTGTAATCCCAGCTACTTGGGAAGCTGAGGCAGGAGAATTGCTTGAACCTGGAGGCAGAGGTTGCAGTGAGCTGAGATTGTGCTACTGCTCTCCAGCCCGGGTGGCAGAGTGAGACTACTCTGTCTCAAAAAAAAAGAAAAAAAAAAAAACAGTAAAGCAGGAGTCCTTAAGACCCCTGTAGCTTAGTGCTGTTTTTTTTTTTTTATATTTTTGTTTTTGAGACAGAGTCTCGCTCTGTCGCCCAGGCTGGAGTGCAATGGCGCAATGTCGGCTCACAGCAACCTCCGCCTCCCTGGTTCAAGCGATTCTCCTGCCTCAGCCTTCCCAGTAGCGCGCATCACTACACTCAGCTAATTTTTGTGTTTTTAGTAGAGACAGGGTTTCACCATGTTAATCAGTCTGGTCTCGAACTCCTGACCCCAGGTGATCCGGCCACCTCTGCCTCCCAAAGTGCTGGGATTACAGGCGTGAGCCACCGCGCTCAGCCAGCTCTTCTTAGGAATGACAATAAATCCCTAAATTTCTGCTTTCCTCGATACATTCCAAAACACTCACTCCTCTCTCGAAAGGACGTCTTCAATTATGTGTTTCTCATGATACACTTGAAACAGCTGCAGTATTTAAATTATTATTTTTTACTTTAATAAATGGCTATATTTAAAATTTTATTATTTTATGAATACTTTTCATGAGAGAAAGTGCTCAATAACCACCTGAAACTACACTGTGTAAAATACTTATGCCTGTTGACTCCTGATGTTGAGCACCACTTCATATACTTATTGGTCATTTCTATGTATTGCAGAAATGTCATTCAAATACTTTTGCTTTTTTTTTTTAAAATTTTTTTGAGACAGAGTCTTGCTCTCTTGCCCTGGCTGGAGTGCAGTGGCACAATCTCGGCTCACTGCAGCCTCTGCTGCCCAGATTCAAGTGATTCTCCTGCCTCAGCCTCTTGAGTAGCTGGGATTACAGGAATGTGCCATCATGCCCGGCTAATTTTTGTATTTTTAGTAGAGATGGGGTTTCACCATTTTGGCCAGGCTGGTCCTGAACCCCTGACCTCAAGTCATCCGCCCACCTCGGACTCCCAAAGTGCTAAGATTACAGGTGTGAGCCACCATACCTGGCCTATGCCCATCTTTTAATCAATATCAATTAGTTTTTTTACTTGGTACTGTGATTTATTATTTTTAATTATTGTAAAATAATAAACTTCAATTTTACCAGCTTAAGCAGTTTTAAGTGTATAGTTGCACAACACTACATAACTCATCTAAGGTGAATTATACTGTAATTTTCTTTTTGTGCCTAGCTTTTTGCAATTACCATAGTATCCTGAAGTTTTGTGATTGTTGTAGCATGAGACAGGATGTTATAAGATTAATATTTCAATGTATATATATGCCTAGCATATTTTCATTATGCATGCAGCCATCAATGGACATGTGGATTGATCTGGCTCTTTGATTTTGTGAAGAGTGGTTTTCAAATATGTCTTCAAGGTTCAGTTTTCAATTTTTTCAAATTTAATATAACTAGACCCAAAAGTGGGATACAGGAAAATACAGTAATTTTATTTTTTTAGGCACTACTGTACTGTTTCCATAGAAGCTGAGCCATTTATTATCCTTTAAACAGAGCACAAGGAGTCCCTTTTCCCTTTGTTGATGGTGTCATCTCATGCACAAAAGTGGTTTTTTTGTGATGGAGTCTTGCTGTTGCCCAAGCTGGAGTGCAGTGGCATGATCTCAGCTCACTGCAACCTCCAACTTCTGGGTTCAAGTGATTCTCCTGCCCCAGCCTCCCAAGTAGTGGAATTGCAGGTGCATACCACCATGCCTGGCTTATTTTTGTATTTTTAGTAGAGACGGTGTTTCACCATGTTGGCCAGGCTGGTCACCAACTCCTGGCCTCAGGTGATCCACCTGCCTCAGCCTTCCAAAGTGGTGGGGTTACAGGCATGAGCCACCATGCCTGGCCACAAAAGTTTTTAAAAGTTTGATAAATGTTTGCCTTTTTGTTGAGACTAGGTGCCTGGAAATTTTTTTTTTTTTTTTTTTTTTTTTATTAAGATGGAGTCTTGCTCTGTCACTCAGGCTGGAGTGTGGTGGTGTGATCTTGGCTCACTGCAGCCTCTGCCTCTTGGATTCCCGCGATTCTCCTGCCTCAGCCTCCTGGGTAGCTGGGATTACAGGCACGCACCACCATACCTGGCTAATTTTATTTTTTTGAGACCGAGTCTCACTCTGTTGCCCAGGCTGCAGTGCAGTGGCATGAGCTCATGAGTGTAGAGCTCATGAGTTTTTGTTTTAGTTATTTATGACTCATCATTTAGATTGATAAGACCCCTTGTAAAATCCAGTTTTTTGGTTTTTGTTTCTGCTGCAGCACTCAGAACAAAATTCATTTTCTAGATAACATCAAAGGTTAAACTTTGTCGATAGGCATTTTTTTTTCAAGGATATGCAGCCTCAGGACTGCTAATGTTAACTTTTTCTGCACAGGAATTTGGAAGACTTTGTTATGGCAGGTGCCGTACTCCCACTTTACAAACAAACATTAGGGGCAGCCCAGGCAGCACACCTTTCTGGATTTACCAAAAATACACATTTTCCTATTCTACTGTTGCTTTACCACATGGTTCAGTTGTAGCCTCAGAATTACTTTATGGAAGAAACTGAGTGTAGACAGAGAGTATGAGGTCTGATGGTCATGGAATAATTGTTTTGAGTCCACAGCATCATGGAAACCTCTTGGGAATAGAGTATAGGCTTCCCAGTGATGTTAGTCTTATCCATCCTCCTCTATACATGTGAGATGTTTCAGGATTCAGTGGCCTTTGAGGATGTGGCTGTGACCTTCACCCAAGAGGAGTGGGCTTTGCTGGATCCTTCCCAGAAAAATCTCTGTAGAGATGTGATGCAAGAAACCTTCAGGAACCTGGCCTCTATAGGTAAGGGTGACAACATTACTTCCTTCAGTAAATGAGACAACAAGTTTTTTTTTTTTTCTGAGAACAAGTATTTTTAGCTCATGTATGCTGTTGAGTGATTTACAATGTGGACAGGGAATATTTGATAAATAAAGGAAGCATGCTTGCAGTGTACCATGAACATAGAATCATGTAATTTTTTAATAATTTTATACTAATTCAAGATTATTTTCCTTGTTGTGTGTTGTAGGGAAAAAATGGAAACCCCAGAACATATATGTAGAGTACGAAAATCTAAGGAGAAACCTAAGGTAACTTGCACTCACATGACAAAGACGTGTGTCTCTAGAAAATCTTAGAATGGGAGAAAATGTTAAAAAAAAAAAAAGGAAACAAAAGAAATAAGCACAATTTCAATCTATTTATTCTTAGAAAATTTTCTCTAAACACATATTGAAGTGTGATGTAGGCTTGACACAATGGCCCAGGACTATATTTCAGCCCTTTGGGAGGTTCAGGCTGGAGGATCACTTGAGCCCAGGAGGTTGGGGCCATACTAAGTCATGATGGCATCACTGCACTCCAGCCTGGGCAAGAGTGTGAGACCCTGACCCAAAAAACAAATTTAAAAAGACAGATATTTAGTATTTGTAAAATAGTTTACTTTAAAATAGTACTCAGAGACGCCAGGCGTGGTGGCTCACGCCTGTAATCCCAGCACTTTGGAAGGCCGAGGAGGGTGGGTCACTTGAGGTCAGGAGTTCAAAAGCAGCCTGGCCAACATAGTGAAACCCCATCTCTACTAAAAATATAAAAATTAGCCAGGCATCGTGGTGGACACCTGTTATCCCAGCTACCTGGGAGGCTGAGGCAGGAGAATCGCTTGAACCCAGGAGGGGGAGGTTGCAGTGAGCCAAGTTTGCCCCACTGCATTCCAGCCTGGGCAACAGAGTGAGTCTCCATCTCAAAAAAACAAAACAAAACAAAAAAAACCAAAAAACAGTATTCAGAAGCCTTCTATCATCTTTTTTGATAATAGATATGGCTGGGCCATCTTGTAGAGCCTGTGGTCCGTTCATATTCAAACAATTCAGACAGGGCAGAAAGCCTACAGTTTGCTGGATGATGTTAAAAATGGAAGTGCAGGCCAGGCACAGTGGCTCATGCCTGTAATCCCAGCATTTTGGGAAGCCGAGGCAGGTGGATCACCTGAGGTCAGGAGTTCAAGACCAGTCTGGCCAACATGGTGAAACCCCGTCTACTAAAATACAAAAAATTAGCTGGGTGTGGTGGTATGCACCTGTAGTCCCAGCTACTTATGAGGCTGAGGCAGGAAAATTGCTTGAACTCAGGAGGTGGAAGTTGCAGTAAGCGAAGATCGCACCACTACACTCCAGCCTGGGCAAGAGAGTGAGACTCCATCTCAAAAAAAAGAGAAAAAATGCAAGTGCAATACTTGTGAATGAATATAAAATCACTGATAATCAAACCCATTATAATGTACTTCTTATTGTTCACAGAATTGTGGGAGAGAGACTCTTTGAAAGTAAAGAAGGTCATCAGCATGGAGAAATTTTGACCCAGGTTCCAGATGACATGCTGAAGAAAACAACTACTGGAGTAAAATCATGCGAAAGCAGTGTGTATGGAGAAGTAGGCAGTGCTCATTCATCTCTTAATAGGCACATCAGAGATGACACTGGACACAAGGCATATGAGTATCAAGAATATGGACAGAAACCATATAAATGTAAATACTGTAAAAAACCTTTCAACTGTCTCTCCTCTGTTCAGACACATGAAAGGGCTCATAGTGGAAGGAAACTCTATGTTTGTGAGGAATGCGGAAAAACATTTATTTCCCATTCAAACCTTCAAAGACACAGGATAATGCACCGTGGAGATGGACCTTATAAGTGTAAATTTTGTGGGAAAGCCTTGATGTTTCTCAGTTTGTATCTTATCCACAAACGAACTCACACTGGAGAGAAACCATATCAATGTAAACAGTGTGGTAAAGCCTTTAGTCATTCTAGTAGCCTTCGAATACATGAAAGAACTCACACTGGGGAGAAGCCTTATAAATGTAATGAATGTGGGAAAGCATTCCATAGTTCCACATGCCTTCATGCTCATAAAAGAACTCACACTGGGGAGAAGCCATATGAATGTAAACAGTGTGGGAAAGCCTTCAGCTCTTCCCATTCCTTTCAAATACATGAAAGAACTCACACGGGGGAGAAGCCATATGAATGTAAGGAATGTGGAAAAGCATTCAAGTGTCCCAGTTCTGTTCGCAGACATGAAAGAACCCACTCTAGGAAAAAACCCTATGAATGTAAACATTGTGGGAAAGTATTATCTTATCTTACCAGCTTTCAAAACCACTTGGGAATGCACACTGGAGAGATATCTCATAAATGTAAGATATGTGGGAAAGCCTTTTATTCTCCCAGTTCACTTCAAACACATGAAAAAACTCACACTGGAGAGAAACCCTATAAATGCAACCAATGTGGTAAAGCCTTTAATTCTTCCAGTTCCTTCCGATATCATGAAAGAACTCACACTGGAGAGAAACCTTACGAGTGTAAGCAATGTGGGAAAGCCTTCAGATCTGCCTCACTCCTTCAAACACATGGTAGGACTCACACGGGAGAGAAACCCTATGCATGTAAGGAATGTGGAAAACCATTTAGTAATTTCTCTTTCTTTCAAATACATGAAAGGATGCACAGAGAAGAGAAGCCGTATGAATGTAAGGGTTATGGGAAAACATTCAGTTTGCCCAGTTTATTTCATAGACATGAAAGGACTCACACTGGAGGAAAAACCTATGAATGCAAGCAGTGTGGCAGATCCTTCAACTGTTCGAGCTCCTTTCGATATCATGGAAGGACTCACACTGGAGAGAAACCCTATGAATGCAAGCAATGTGGAAAAGCCTTCAGATCTGCCTCACAGCTTCAAATTCATGGAAGGACTCACACTGGAGAGAAACCTTATGAATGTAAGCAGTGTGGGAAAGCCTTTGGATCTGCCTCACACCTTCAAATGCATGGAAGGACTCACACTGGAGAGAAACCCTATGAATGTAAGCAGTGTGGGAAGTCTTTTGGATGTGCCTCGCGACTTCAAATGCATGGAAGGACTCACACTGGAGAGAAACCGTATAAATGTAAGCAATGTGGGAAAGCTTTTGGATGTCCCTCAAACCTTCGAAGGCATGGAAGGACTCACACTGGAGAGAAACCCTATAAATGTAACCAATGTGGTAAAGTCTTTAGATGTTCTTCACAACTTCAAGTGCATGGAAGGGCTCACTGCATAGACACCCCATAACCCCAGGCTTTAGGAGGCTGAGGTGGGGGGACTGCTTAAGCCCAGGAGTTCAAGACCAGCCTGGGCAACATAGTGAGACTCTGTTATAAAAATTAAATAAATAAATAAAAAGACTTCCAGTTGGTGGTAATGGCAGTTGAGAAATCCGTGGCTGGGATACAATGGCATCTGCTGGGCAGCGCAGAGAAGTCACAGAGGGAGAATGGGTGGGCAGGGGGCTACTGGAACAAAATGGTGGTCTGGGTCTCACAGCAGCAATGACTTTAAAGGCCAGGGAGAGGTGGGAAAAGGTGAGGGCTCCCAGGATGCAATGCCGGAGACATGGTGATGTCCTTAGGTCCAGGACTGCTGGGGGCAATGGCACCTGAGGGAGGTAGGTGTGGAGCATGAAGGAGCACAGGGTGAAGTTCAAATCATGGCTGAGGCCAGTTCAAGCTGAGGGTAAAGGTGCCTGAGGAGGGCACGAGAGTCAAGCCAGGTTTGGGGGACAGGGGAGAGTTTCTAAGTTGTATGGGTCTGCTGAGGGATCCAGCATGACTGGGTCCAGTCAGGGAGTTTGGGGGATTCAGAGTGAAGGGTTGGATCCTGGACATTTGTGCAGGCCAGGAGGGAAGAGGAAGGTGGTGGCAGGGAGCATAGAGTCCATGGGTATTGGGTGTGTGTCCCGTCAACCTCACATCATGCAAAAACGTAGGACTGAGTTGTGAAGAGTTTATTCAAGTGAAAAGCTGGGAATGGCCATTCAGGAAAAGACACACTCCAGAGAAATGGGCACAGGGCTCCAAAGACAAGAGTTCTTTCTTAGATTTTCAATGAATCATTTTCACCAGTCCTAACAGTCTGCGGGTCACCTTTCCTTCTGTTCTAACTGCTCTCCTTGTACCCTTGGGAGGGTTTGTGATGCTGTCCTGTTTGGAAAAGCCATGCTGCTCTCTTTACACTTCACAGTAGCTTGGTTTGGATCATTTCTGTGCTGTGCTCAGATGCTCCTTCCTTCATATAAGGTTGAGGAAAAGGAGACACATCTGACCCATCCATGTGTGTTTGTGAAACAGGCAGCAGCAAATAATTATTCAGTTTTAGGAATTAGGCTCACACTGGAGGGAGAGGTCAGAGCCCTTCGGGGGAATATTTATGAACAAGTAACAGATGATTAAATTCTCCAAAGCAAACAACTTTTCTACTTGAGAATAAAGTGTTTCTAGTTAAATTATGCAATTCATTCAGCAATCTAATGTTTCATGTAATACTGATGATCCTACTAATTTATCCTGATGTTCTCTACTTAATGCTTAATGAAAAATATGGCACTTCAAAATAGCTTCTGCAGCAAGGGAAGATACATTTTAAGACCCTTTACCGGGGTGGGCACGGTGGCTCACACCTGTAATCCCAACACTTTGGGAGGCCGAGATGGGTGGATCACGAGGTCAGGAGATCAAGACCATGCTGGCTAACATGATGAAACCCCATCTCTACTAAAAAAAAATACAAAAAAATTAGCCGGGCATGATGGCAGGCACCTGTAGTCCCAGCTATTTGGGAGGCTGAGGCAGCAGAATTGCGTGAACCTGGGAGGTGGAGCTTGTAGTGAGCCAAGATCACGCAACTGCACTCCAGCCCGGGCGACAGAGCAAGACTCCTTCTCAAAAAAAAAAAACAAAAAAAAAAAACCCTTTTCGCCAAAGCATACTGGAATTCACAATTATAAAGAAATTCACTATTATAAAGAAATGTGGGTCAGGTGCGGTGGCTCATGCCTATAATCTTAGCACACTGAGAGGCCAACCTGGGTGGATTGCCTGAGCTCAGGAGGCAGCCTGGGCAACATGATGAAACCCCATCTCTATTAAAAATACAAAAAAAAAATTAGCTGGGCATAGTGGCAGACACCTGTAGCCTCAGCTACTCAGGAGGATGAGGCACAAGAATTCCTTGAACCCAGGAGGTGGAGGTTGCAGTGAGCTGTGATTGTGTCATTTCACTCCAGCCTGGGTGACTGAGTGTCTTGCTCAAAAAAAAAAAAAAAAAAAAAAGTAGAACAGAACTGAGGTCCACTCATGTTGCCCAGGAAAACTAGATATTTACACTGAGGTTTGATGGGCTAGAAAGAAAGGCTTTTACTGCTGAGCCCTAGGCAAGAAGGACCAGGAAGATAAAGGTTCAAATCCTGGCCTCCCCGAAGGCACGGTGGATCATGCCTGTAATCCCAGTGCGTGGGGAGGCTGAGGCAGGTGGATCACCTGAGGTCAGAAGTTTGAGACCAGCCTGGCCAACATGGTGAAACCCCATCTCTACTAAAAATACCAAATTAGCCAGGTGTGGTGGCGTGCACGTGTAATCCCAGCTACTAGGGCGGCTGAGGTAGGAGAATCACTTGAACCCAGGAGGTGAAGGTTGCAGTGAGCCAAGATCACGCCACTGCATTCCAGCCTGGGCAAAAAGAGTGAAACTGTGTCTCAAAAAAATAAAAAACTGTTATGCTTTGTTTGTTGTGTGTTTGGGAAAGATCTCACTCTGTTGCCCAGGCTGGAGTACAGTGATGCCATCATGGCTCACTGTAGCCTCCAACTCCTGGGCTCAAGCGATCCTCTCACTTCAACCTCCCCAGTAGCTGAGACTACAGGTATTCACCACCACTCCTGGCTAATTTTATTATTTTTTTTTTTGTAGAGATGAGGACTCCCTATGTTGCCTAAACTGGTTTGGAACTCCTGAGCTAACGTGATCTTTCTGGCTAGGCCTCGCAAAGTGCTGGGATTACACTGGGACCTGAAAGCATTCAGAAATATGCCAACAGTCCAAGAGCAAAATTTTTTGGGGGGCGGAGGGGGAAGGGCTATCTTCAATTTCGTTTCAGAGTTAAACTATAAGCTAAATTCCCTCCCAAGGTTAGTTTGGCCTATGCCCAGGAATGAACAAGGACAGCTTGGAGGTTAGAAGCAAGATGGAGCCGGCCGGGTGTGGTGGCTCACGCCTGTAATCCCAGCACTTTGGGAGGCTGAGGTGGGCAAATCACGAGGTCAGGAGTTCGAGACCAGCCTGGCCAACATGGTGAAACCCCGCCTCTACTAAAAATACAAAAAATCAGCTGGGCTTAGTGGCGGGTGCCTGTATTCTCAGCTACTTGGGAGGCTGAGGCAGGAGAATCTCTTGAACTTGGGAGGCAGAGGTTGCAGTGAGCTGAGATCATACCACTGCACTCCAGCCCTGGCGACAGAGTAAGACTCTGTCTCAAAAAAAAAAAAAAAAAGTAAGGTGGAGTCACGTCAGATCTCTTTTCACTGTACTAACTGTCTCATTTATAATTTTTGTAAAGGTAGTTTCAATCTCTCCCTTTGGGTTTCATAACACCTTATTCTTAAGGTGTGGGCTATAAGGATGGAAAAAGGATGAAGACCACTTTAACTTCTTCCTGCTGACAGGGGATGTAGTGGGGGTAGGTGCTTACCCCAAAGTGTGAGTGGAACCACTTTGCAGCCATCTGAGCATGCTCACATAGGCTGGGTTGGGGTTCGAAGGCTTGCATGACAAAGGCATTAGTATTCTCATCTATAGTTTTAGTACAGTATTAATATTTATGCAAACAGCATACTATAGTTTTAGCACAGAACAGTGAACTATAAGGTAAATAATGAGTCCCAGGATAAAGAGTGAAAGTCTTAGCTTCAGAAGCCTTTGTAGAATTGATCTTAAGCTCTGAGGGATACAGGTAAAAAGCCCTGAGAACCGGCCAGGCATGGTGGCTCACGCCTGTAATCCCAGCACTTTGGGAGACCAAGGTGGGTGGATCACCTGAGGTCAGGAGTTCGAGACCAGCCTAGCCAACATAATAAAACCCCATCTCTACTAAAAATACAAAATATTATCTGGGTGTGGTGGCGGGTGCCTGTAATTGGAGCTACTCAGGAAGCTGAGGCAGGAGAATCACTTGAACCCAGGAGGCAGAGGTTGCAGTGAGCTGAGACCCCGCCACTGTACTCCAGTCCAGTCTGGGCAACAAGAGCAAAACTCAATCTTAAAAAAAAAGGAGGAGGAGCCAAGACGGCCGAATAGGAACAGCTCTGGTCTACAGCTCCCAGCGTGAGCGACGCAGAAGACGGGTGATTTCTGCATTTCCATCTGAGGTACCGGGTTCATCTCACTAGGAAGTGCCAGACAGTGGGCGCAGGTCAGTGGGTGTGTGCACCGTGCACGAGCCGAAGCAGGGCGAGGCATTGCCTCACTCAGGAAGCGCAAGGGGTCAGGGAGTTCCCTTTCCTAATCAAAGAAAGGGGTGACGGACGGCACCTGGAAAATCGGGTCACTCCCACCGGAATACTGCGCTTTTCCGACAGGCTTAAAAAATGGCGCACCACGAGATTATATCCCGCACCTGGCTCGGAGGGTCCTACCCGATGGAGTCTCGCTGATTGCTAGCACAGCAGTCTGAGATCAAACTGCAAGGCGGCAGCAAGGCTGGGGGAGGGGCGCCCACCATTGCCCAGGCTTGCTTAGGTAAACAAAGCAGCCGGGAAGCTCGAACTGGGTGGAGCCCACCACAGCTCAAGGAGGCCTGCCTGCCTCTGTAGGCTCCACCTCTGGGGGCAGGGCACAGACAAACAAAAAGACAGCAATAACCTCTGCAGACTTAAATGTCCCTGTCTGACAGCTTTGAAGAGAGCAGTGGTTCTCCCAGTACGCAGCTGGAGATCTGAGAACAGGCAGACTGCCCCCTCAAGTGGGTCCCTGACCCCTGACCCCCGAGCAGCCTAACTGGGAGGCACCCTCCAGCAGGGGCACACTGACACCTCACACTGCAGGGTACTCCACCAGACCTGCAGCTGAGGGTCCTGTCTGTTAGAAGGAAAACTAACAAACAAAAAGGACATCCACACCAAAAACCCATCTGTACATCACCAGCATCAAAGACCAAAAGTAGATAAAACCACAAAGATGGGGAAAAAACAGAACAGAAAAACTGGAAACTCTAAAAATCAGAGCGCCTCTCCTCCTCCAAAGGAACGCAGCTCCTCACCAGCAACGGAACAAAGCTGGACGGAGAATGACTTTGACGAGCTGAGAGAAGAAAGCTTCAGACGATCAAATTACTCTGAGCTACGGGAGGACATTCAAACCAAAGGCAAAGAAGTTGAAAACTTTGAAAAAAATTTAGAATAATGTATAACTAGAATAACCAATACAGAGAAGTGCTTAAAGGAGCTGATGGAGCTGAAAACCAAGGCTCGAGAACTACGTGAAGAATGCAGAAGCCTCAGGAGCCGATGCGATCAACTGGAAGAAAGGGTATCAGCAATGGAAGATGAAATGAATGAAATGAACCGAGAAGGAAAGTTTAGAGAAAAAAGAATAAAAAGAAACGAGCAAAGCCTCCAAGAAATATGGGACTATGTGAAAAGACCAAATCTACGTCTGATTGGTGTACCTGAAAGTGATGGGGAGAATGGAACCAAGTTGGAAAACACTCTGCAGGATATTATCCAGGAGAATTTCCCCAATCTAGCAAGGCAGGCCAACGTTCAGATTCAGGAAATACAGAGAAAGCCACAAAGATACTCCTCGAGAAGAGCAACTCCAAGACACATAATTGTCAGATTCACCAAAGCTGAAATGAAGGAAAAAATGTCAAGGGCAGCCAGAGAGAAAGGTCGGGTTAACCTCAAAGGGAAGCCCATCAGACTAACAGCAGATCTCTCGGCAGAAACCCTACAAGCCAGAAGAGAGTGGGGGCCAATATTCAACATTCTTAAAGAAAAGAATTTTCAACCCAGAATTTCATATCCAGCCAAACTAAGCTTCATAAGTGAAGGAGAAATAAAATACTTTACAGACAAGCAAATGCTGAGAGATTTTGTCACCACCAGGCCTGCTGTAAAAGAGCTCCTGAAGGAAGCACTAAACATGGAAAGGAACAACCGGTACCAGCCGCTGCAAAATCATGCCAAAATGTAAAGACCATCGAGACTAGGAAGAAACTGCATCAACTAACGAGCAAAATAACCAGCTAACATCATAATGACAGGATCAAATTCGCACATAACACTATTAACTTTAAATGTAAATGGACTAAATGCTCCAATTAAAAGACACAGACTGGCAAATTGGATAAAGAGTCAAGACCCATCAGTGTGCTGTATTCAGGAAACCCATCTCATGTGCAGAGACACACATAGGCTCAAAATAAAAGGATGGAGGAAGATCTACCAAGAAAATGGAAAAAAAAAAAAGCAGGGGTTGCAATCCTAGTCTCTGATAAAACAGACTTTAAACCAACAAAGATCAAAAGAGACAAAGAAGGCCATTACATAATGGTAAAGGGATCAATTCAACAAGAAGAGCTAACTATCCTAAATATATATGCACCCAATACAGGAGCACCCAGATTCATTAAGCAAGTCCTGAGTGACCTACAAAGAGACTTAGACTCCCACACATTAATAATGGGAGACTTTAACACCCCACTGTCAACATTAGACAGATCAATGAGACAGAAAGTCAACAAGGATACCCAGGAATTGAACTCAGCTCTGCACCAAGCAGACCTAATAGACATCTACAGAACTCACCACCCCAAATCAACAGAATATACATTTTTTTCAGCACCACACCATACCTATTCCAAAATTGACCACATACTTGGAAGTAAAGCTCTCCTCAGCAAATGTAAAAGAACAGAAATTATAACAAACTATCTCTCAGACCACAGTGCAATCAAACTAGAACTCAGGATTAAGAATCTCACTCAAAACTGCTCAACTACATGGAAACTGAACAACCTGCTCCTGAATGACTACTGGGTATATAACGAAATGAAGGCAGAAATAAAGATGTTCTTTGAAACCAACAAGAACAAAGACACAACATACCAGAATCTCTGGGACGCATTCAAAGCAGTGTGTAGAGGGAAATTTATAGCACTAAATGCCCACAAGAGAAAGCAGGAAAGATGTAAAATTGACACCCTAACATCACAATTAAAAGAACTAGAAAAGCAAGAGCAAACACATTCAAAAGCTAGCAGAAGGCAAGAAATAACTAAAATCAGAGCAGAACTTAAAGAAATAGAGACACAAAAAACCCTTCAAAAAATTAATGAATCCAGGAGCTGGTTTTTTGAAAGGATCAACAAAATTGATAGACCGCTAGCAAGACTAATAAAGAAAAAAAGAGAGAAGAATCAAATAGACGCAATAAAAAATGATAAAGGGGATATCACCACCGATCCCACAGAAATACAAACTACCATCAGAGAATACTACAAACACCTCTACGCAAATAAACTAGAAAATCTAGAAGAAATGGATAAATTCCTTGACACATACACTCTCCCAAGACTAAACCAGGAAGAAGTTGAATCTCTGAATAGACCAATAACAGGCTCTGAAATTGTGGCAATAATCAATAGCTTACCAACCAAAAAGAGTCCAGGACCAGATGGATTCACAGCCGAACTCTACCAGAGGTACAAGGAGGAACTGGTACCATTCCTTCTGAAACTATTCCAATCAATAGAAAAAGAGGGAATCCTCCCTAACTCATTTTATGAGGCCAGCATCATTCTGATACCAAAGCTGGGCAGAGACACAACCAAAAAAGAGAATTTTAGACCAATATCCTTGATGAACATTGATGCAAAAATCCTCAATAAAATACTGGCAAACCGAATCCAGCAGCACATCAAAAAGCTTATCCACCATGATCAAGTGGGCTTCATCCCTGGGATGCAAGGCTGGTTCAATATATGCAAATCAATAAATGTAATCCAGCATATAAACAGAGCCAAAGACAAAAACCACATGATTATCTCAATAGATGCAGAAAAGGCCTTTGACAAAATTCAACAACCTTTCATGCTAAAAACTCTCAATAAATTAGGTATTGATGGGACATATTTCAAAATAATAAGAGCTATCTATGACAAACCCACAGCCAATATCATACTGAATGGGCAAAAACTGGAAGCATTCCCTTTGAAAACTGGCACAAGACAGGGATGCCCTCTCTCACCACTCCTATTCAACATAGTGTTGGAAGTTCTGGCCAGGGCAATCAGGAAGGACAAAGAACTAAAGGGTATTCAAGTAGGAAAAGAGGAAGTCAAATTGTCCCTGTTTGCAGATGACATGATTGTATATTTAGAAAACCCTATCATCTCAGCCCAAAATCTCCTTAAGCTGATAAGCAACTTCAGCAAAGTCTCAGGATACAAAATCAATGTGCAAAAATCACAAGCATTCCTATACACCAACAACAGACAAACAGAGAGCCAAATCATGAGTGAACTCCCATTCACAATTGCTTCAAAGAGAATAAAATACCTAGGAATCCAACTTACAAGGGATGTGAAGGACCTCTTCAAGGAGAACTACAAACCGCTGCTCAAGGAAATAAAAGAGGATACAAACAAATGGAAGAGCATTACATGCACATGGGTAGGAAGAATCAATATCGTGAAAATGGCCATACTGCCCAAGGTAATTTACAGATTCAATGCGATCCCCATCAAGCTACCAATGCCTTTCTTCACAGAATTGGAAAAAACTACTTTAAAGTTCATATGGAACCGAAAAAGAGCCCGCACCGCCAAGTCAATCCTGAGCCAAAAGAACAAAGCTGGAGGCATCACACTACCTGACTTCAAACTATACTACAAGGCTACAGTTACCAAAACAGAGATATAGATCAATGGAACAGAACAGAGCCCTCAGAAATAATGCCACATATCTACAACTATCTGATCTTTGACAAACCTGAGAAAAACAAGCAATGGGGAAAGGATTCCCTATTTAATAAATGGTGCTGGGAAAACTGGCTAGCCATATGTAGAAAGCTGAAACTGGATCCCTTCCTTACACCTTATACAAAAATCAATTCAAGATGGATTAAAGACTTAAACGTTTGCCCTAAAACCATAAAAACCCTAGAAGAAAACCTAGGCATTACCATTCAGGACATAGGCATGGGCAAGGACTTCATGTCTAAAACACCAAAAGCAATGGCAACAAAAGCCAAAATTGACAAATGGGATCTAATTAAACTGAAGAGCTTCTGCACAGCAAAAGAAACTACCATCAGAGTGAACAGGCAACCTACAAAATGGGAGAAAATTTTCGCAACCTATGCATCTGACAAAGGGCTAATATCCAGAATCTACAATGAACTCAAACAAATTTACAAGAAAAAAACAAACAACCCCATCAAAAAGTGGGCAAAGGACATGAACAGACACTTCTCAAAAGAAGACATTTATGCAGCCAAAAAACACATGAAAAAATGCTCACCATCACTGGCCATCAGAGAAATGCAAATCAAAACCACAATGAGATACCATCTCACGCCAGTTAGAATGGCAATCATTAAAAAGTCAGGAAACAACAGGTGCTGGAGAGGATGTGGAGAAATAGGAACACTTTTACACTGTTGGTGGGACTGTAAACTAGTTCAACCATTGTGGAAGTCAGTGTGGCGATTCCTCAGGGATCTAGAACTAGAAATACCATTTGACCCAGCCATCCCATTACTGGGTATATACCCAAAGGACTATAAATCATGCTGCTATAAAGACACATGCATGTTTATTGCAGCATTATTCACAATAGCAAAGACTTGGAACCAACCCAAATGTCCACCAATGATAGACTGGATTAAGAAAATGTGGCACATATACACCATGGAATACTATGCAGCCATAAAAAAATGATGAGTTCATGTCCTTTGTAGGGACATGGATGAAATTGGAAACCATCATTCTCAGTAAACTATCACAAGAACAAAAAACCAAACACCGCATATTCTCACTCATAGGTGGGAACTGAACAATGAGAACACATGGACACAGGAAGGGGAACATCACACTCTGGGGACTGTTGTGGGGTGGGGGGAGGGGGGAGGGATAGCACTGGGGGATATACCTAATGCTAGATGACGAGTTAGTGGGTGCAGCACACCAGCATGGCACATGTATATGTATGTAACTAACCTGCACAATGTGCACATGTACCCTAAAACTTAAAGTATAAAAAAAAAAAAAAAAAAAAAGCAGCTCTGAAAACCAATCAGACATGGGGTCATTAGCAGCAAGAGATTTGGGTCAGAGGTTGTTAGATTGGGATAGACAGAAAAAGGCAAATTTAAATATCTTGTCCCATATCTTTTTAGCCAATTTCCTAGTTCTGAGACTAAACTCTTTTTAAAAATTGGCTTTGCTGAAACTTTGTTCACTAAGGAATCTCAGATTGTACTTTTTAAAGCCTTGAAGCCCAGCCACAGACTTATCTATGCCTGCAAATACCTGTATGAGTTGAGTGAATTTTCCTCCTGTCAAGGTCCCAAGATAACTTGAGGCTCCTGGGCCTGTCAGAAAGTGACATTCTTTTTTTTTTTTTTTTTTTTTTTTTTTTTTGAGACAGAGTTTCACTCTCATTGCCCAGGCTACAGCGCAGTGGCATGATCTTGGCTCACTGGAACCTCCACTTCCCAGGGTCAAGCAATTCTCCTGCCTCAGCCTCCCAAGTAGCTGGGATTACAGGTGCACGCTACCACGCCTGGCTACTTTTGTATTTTTAGTAGAGATGGGATTTCACCATGTGGGTCAGGCTGGTCTGGAACTCCTGACCTCAGGTGATCTGCCCGCCTCAGTCTCCCAAAGTGCTGGGATTACAAGCATGAGCCACCACGCTTGGTCTTTTTTTTTTGTTTTTTTTTAAGGTAATTCAGTTTTAATTTATTTTCATCACTTTTTCTTCATAATCCAGATATTTTAAAATGCAAAGAAAATTAACTTTCAATGATATATTCAGGGACTGGCACTAAAAATTTTCAGACTGCAAATGAGTTATATAAATGAAAATATCAAATGGAGATCCAGTTATCACAATGAAAGCACTCAACATATTAAAAGTTCACAAGTATTTGTATTGAGCACATTAAAAAAGTCAGCTTGCTAAGTGTTGTGATTTTAAAGAACTAATGCAGAAGTTTGAAGAAAATAGATTAGTTAACTTATAAAGAGAATAAAGAGCCTGAAACAAGTATTAAAAAGAAATTTGTGCCTTTATTAGAATGTTGTCAGTCTTTATATGCCAATTTTGATAAATTATTGTTGTTTTGTTTTTTATAAGAAATGATACTACAGAACTGCAATACTGGTCCAACACTCTTGTCTTTACTCTTCTTTTAAAGCAAGAAGCAGTGGCGTGATCTCGGCTCACTGCAACCTCCGCCTCCCAGGTTCAAGCGATTCTCCTGCTTCAGCCTCCAGAGTAGCTGGGATTACAGGCATGTGCCATGAGGCCCGGCTAATTTTTGTATTTTTAGCAGACACAGGGTTTCACCATGTTGGCCAAGCTGGTCTCGAACTCCTGACCTCCAGAACGCCTCCCAGGTTCAAGTGATCCAACTGCCTCTGCTTCCCAAAGTGCTGGGATTACAGGTGTGAGCCACCATGCCTGACCCTATATAGAAATTTTTTTTTTTTTTTTAATACAAAGTCTCGCTCTGTTGACCAGGCTGGAGTGCAGTGGCACGCACGGCTCACTGCAACCTCCGCCTCCCGGGTTCAAGATTGAGGCTGTGCCTCAGCCTCCCAAGTAGCTGGGACTACAGCTGAGTACCACCATGCCCGGCTAATTTTTACATTTTTAGTAGAGACGGGGTTTCACCATACTGGCCAGGCTGGTCTCGAACTCCTGACCTCGTGATCCACTCACCTTGGCCTCCCAAAGTGCTGGGATTACATGCATGAGCCACTGTGCCTGGCCTGGAAATTCTTAATACTATTTTCCCATAGAGTACTTTACAAATACTAAACCTCTATCATTTTTCTTGAATGGGGGTCATCCTGTTGCCCAGGCTGGAGTGTAGTGGCATCACTGTGGTTTACAGCAGCCTCAAACTCCTGGGCTGAAGTGATTCTGACTCAGCCTCCTGAGCAGCTAGAACTACAGGTACATGCCACAGCGTCTAGCTACTTCTTTGTTGTTATGAAGTCTTGCTGTTTTGCCCAGGCTGTTCTCAAACTCCAGGCCTCTAGCAATCCTTCCACCTCTACCTCCAAATAGTTGGATTACAGGTGTGACCCACTGTGCCCAGTTTATGTCACACTGAAATATAGGATTTTAGATAAAATGTGTTAAGAATAAATAAATGTGGCAGCCAGGCGCGATGGCTCACGCCTGTAATCCGGCACTTTGGGAGGCCAAGGCAGGCAGATCAACAGGGTCAGGAGATCGAGATTGGGCCATCGCACTCCAGCCTGAGCGACAGAGCAAGACTCCATCTCAAAAAAAAAAAAAAAAAAGAAAAAGAAAAAGAAAAAGTGGCCAGGCGCGGCGGCTAATGCCTGTAATCCCAGCACTTTGGGAGGCCGAGGTAGGCAGATCACTTCAGGCCAGGAGTTTAAGACCAGCCTGGCCAAGGTGATGAAACCCTGTCTCTACTAAAAATACAAAAATTAGCCAGGGGTGGTAGCGCCCTCCTGTAATCCCAGCCACTCAGGAGGCTGAGGCACAAGAATTGCTTTAATCTGGGAAGCAGAGGTTGCAGTGAGCCGAGATCATGCCACTGCACTCCAGCCTGGGCAACAGTGAAACTCTGTCTCAGAAAGAAAAAATAATTATTATTCTAATAAATAAACAAATTTGATGCTGGGCTTATTTCCTTCATTTGCTTTTCTTATTTTTTTTGTGAGACAGAGTCTCACTCTGTCGCCCGGGCTGGAGTGCGATGGCGAGATCTCGGCTCACTGCAACCTCTGCTCCCAGGTTCAGGCAATTCTCCTGCCTCAGCCTCCCGAGTAGCTGAGACTACAGGCACGTGCCACCATGCCCTGCTAATTTTTAGTAGAGACGGGGTTTCACCGTGTTAGGATGGTCTCGATCTCCTGACCTTGTGATCCGCCTGCCTCAGCCTCCCAAAATGCGCTGTGAGCCACCGCGCCCAGCCTTTTTTTTTTTTTTTAAACATAGTCTCACATTCTAAGATTTTCTAGAAAGACATTGCTTCATTTTGTAAGTGTAAATTACCTTAGATTTCTGTAGTGATCTTCAATATTCTGGTCTTTCCATTTATTTCCTAAAATACAGAACCAGGAAAATAGTCTTAATTAGTATAAAGCTATAATAAAAATAATATTCTATGTTCATGGTACACTGCATCCGTGCCTCATTTATTCACTGACATATTCCCTGTCCATATTTCCAAATCGTGGAACAGCATTAATGAGCTAAAAACACGTTCTCGGCCGGGTGCGATGGCTCACGCCTGTAATCCCAGCACTTTGGGAGGCCGAGGGGGGCGGATCACGAGGTCAGGAGATCGAGACCATCCTGGCTAACACAATGAAACCCTGTCTCTACTAAAAATACAAAAATTAGCCAGGCACGGTGGCGGGCGCCTGTAGTCCCCGCTACTCGGGAGGCTAAGGCAGGAGAATGACATGAACTCAGGAGGCGGAGCTTGCAGTGAGCCGAGATTGCGCCACTGCACTCCAGCCTGGGCGACAGAGCAAGACTCCGTCTCAAAAAAAAAAAACAAAAAAAACCATGTTTTCTAATTCGCTGAAGGAAGGAAGTAATATTGTCACCCTCACCTATAGAGGACAGGTTCCCGAAGGTTTCCTGCATCACATCTCTGTAGAGATTCTTCTGGGAAGGATCCAGCAAAGCCCACTCCTCCTGGGTGAAGCTCACATCTACATCCTCAAAGACCACTGAGTCCTAAAACATCTCACACATGTAAAGGAGGATGGGTGAGACTGACAGCACTGGGGGCCTAGACTCTATTCCTAAGAAGTTCCCATGATGCTGTGGACTCCAGACATTTATTCCATGACTTGGTTATCACTTGGTGTATACCCACTTTCTTCCATAAAGCGATTCTGATGCTAAAACTGAACTAAGCAATACCAACAGCAGAACAGGAAATGTCTTTTCAGTGAATCCAGAAAGAAAAGCACGCTGCCTGGGCTGTCCCTAATGTCTGTCTGTAGTGTGTGTCTACAGCGCCTGTCATAACAAAGTCCTCTGAATTCATATGCAGAAAAATGTTAACATTAGCAGTCCTGAGAGTGTGTTTCCTTGAAAATGCCTGTTCACAAAGTTTAACCATTGAGGATACCTGAAAGGGAGAATTTGTTCTGACTCAATTAGCAGAAAGAAAAAACAAAAAAAACCACAACTCGATTTTTGCAAGGGACTCAACCAACCTAATTGATGAGTCATAACTAACTAAATCAAAAACTGAAGAGCAGAAACCTTTGTGAGAAACAGTATTGTGGTAGAAAAACTTAAATTGTAATTGATGAACTGCTGAAGGCTGAATGGGGACAAGGTTCAGAGGTAAAACCTCCAGGGAGCTCAGTCTTAACAAAAAGCAAATGTTTATCAAAATTTAAAACTTTTGCCCATGAGACGACACTACAAACAGAGGGAAAAGGCACCCTACCGAAAAGGGAAAGTTTCCCTTGTTCCCCTAGCAGGTGTGCAATGGGGTGTGACTTGCTTCTACAGTGCCCCGTTGCTCAAACCTCTAGGGGAGCATACAGATGGGCAGGCTGTGGGGCTCCGACCCCACAGCAGTGGAGCCCCACAGCAGTGTCAAGGGGTGAATGTTTACAGCTCCTGAAGCCCCAGTGGGGGGCGTGTGTTACAGGTGGTCTTTTAGTTTGCCTATAGGCAGCTTGTGTTAATGAGCTCAATGAGACCCTCTACCTTGTCGCAAGGACAGAGGGCTTTCTGTATCCCGGGTTCTTGCCTTAGTGTACCAGAAGAATCAGATCACACGTGGGCTTGGAGAATGAGTGAATAGTTTTATTGAGTGGAAGTGATAGGGGAGCCAGAAGCGAGATGGTCTTCCTGGGAGCTGGGCTGCTCAACGGCCCTGGCTCAGCCAAACTCTGCCTTGTCCCACCAGCCCCGCCAGTTGATGGACTGCCTCATCCGCCAGCTGATGGCCTGCTGGTGTGCCAGTGCCTATCAGTGTGCTCTTCTGCTGGCGTGCTCCTCTTGACAACCAGCTGCTTGTGTGTCTGCCCACTAGGGTCTGGGGTTTTTATAGGCCCAGAATGGGGCATGGTGGGCCAGGGTGGTCTTGGGAAATGCAACATTTGGGCAGGAAATAACTGTCCTCACCTAGGTCTGTGGGGGTGGAGCCCTAGCCAGGGATCACACCCTCCTCTACCCAGCACTTCCCTTACCCACTTCTGTATTATTTAAAGGGACCACGCTCTTCCCTTCCCAACACGTCGGTATCACCATGACATTGGAGCAAATATAAGCAAGTCATGCATCTGGCAAGGTCTTAATATTCAGAAAATATAATCAACTCCTACACTCAACTACAAAGAAAAAAATTCAAACACCCCAAATATAAAGTTTTGGAAAGAATGTTGAAAAACTGGAACTCATGTGTTCTGTCCAAAGGAATGTAAAATGGTTCAACCTCTATGGAAAACAGTATGGTGGTACTCAAAAGCTAATTTAAAAAATGTTATCCTCCAGCAACCCATTTCCAGGTCCTTTTTTTTGAGACGGAGTCTCGTTCTGTCGCCCAGGCTGGAGTGCAATGGTGCGATCTTGGCTCACTGTGACTCACTGCAAGCTCCGCCTCCCGGGTTCAAGCGATTCTCCTGCCTCAGCCTCCCAAGTGGCTGGGACTACAGGCACCCGCCACCACCCCTGGCTAATTTTTTGTATTTTTAGTAGAGACAGGGTTTCACCATGTTAGCCAGGATGGTCTCGATCTCCTGATCTCATGATCCGCCCGCCTCGGCCTCCCAAAGTGCTGGGATTACAGGCATGAGCCATTGCGCCCGGCCTTCCAGGTCTATTTTTATTCAATTCAAATAAATTGAAAACTGGATCTTGAAGAGATATTTGAAAACCATGATTCACAATAGCCAAGAGGTGGATCAATCCATCAATGTCCATTGATGGCTGAACGGATAACCAAAATGTGGTAAGCATATACATACAATGGAATATTATTTAGCCTTAGAAAATAACATCCTGTTCCATGGTATAAGCAATGGTATACTAATCGCAAAAAGCCAGTCACAAAAATAAAAATACAGTATTATTCATCTTAGAGAAGTAGATTTGTCAAACTATCTTAACTGTACATGTAAAATTCCTTCAGCTGGTACATTTTAAGATTTCTTACAATACTTAACTATAATGAATTATTGTACCAAGTAAAAAACTAATTCCTGGCCGGGCGCAGTGGCTCATGCCTGTAATCCCAGCACTTTGGGAGGCGGAGGCGGGTGGATTACCTGAGGTCAGGAGTTCGAGATCAGCCTGGGCAACACGGTGAAACCCCGTCTCTACTAAAAATACAAAATTAGCCGGACGTGGTGACACATGCCTGTAATCCCAGCTATTCAGGAGGCTGAGGCAGGAGAATCGCTTGAACCTGTGAGGCGGAGGATGCGGTGAGCCGAGATCGCGCCATTGCACTCCAGCCTGGGCAACAAGAGTAAATCTCTGTCTCACCAAAAAAAAAAAAAAAAAAAAAAAAAAAAAAAAAAAAAAATACTGATTCCTTAAAAGATGGGAAAGTATCTGAATAACACTTCTGCAAGATACATACAAATGGCTAGTAAGCACGCGAAAGATGGTCGACATCAGGAGTCATTAGGCACAAGGATTTACACAATGTAGTTGAGTGGTTATTGAGTGTTTTCCACTCATGAAAAATATTTATAAACAAAATTTAAAAATTTACACAGAGGTCAGGTGCGGTGGCTCACACCTGTAAATTCCAGCACTTTGGGAGGCTGAGGCGGGTGGATCACTTGAAGTCATGAGTTCAAGACCAGCCTGGCCAGCATGGTGAAACCCTGTCTCTACTAAAAATACAAAAAATTAGCCCAGTGTGGTGGCATACATAGGTAATCCAGCTACTCAGGAGGCTGAGGCAGGATACCAGCTTGAACCCAGGAGGTGGAGGTTGCAGTGAGCCAAGATTGCACCACTGCACTCCAGCCTGGGCGACAGAGGGAGACTGTCTCAAACTTACACAGAGCCACTTATTGCTCTGTCAAAAAATAAACAATATTGCAGCAGTTTCAAATGTATCACTGGGGACACATAGTTGATAATGTCCACTAGAGAGAAGAAATGGGTGTTCTGGAACGTGGGGAGGAAACCAGAAATTTAAGGATTTATCATCAGCCCTAGCAAGAACTAGGCTGGGGGAATCTCAAGGACTCCTTCCTTGACCAAAGTTGAGTCAGGCTCCTCAGAACCCTCTTCTTGACCAGACTTAGAGCTTAGAATGCCCTCAAACTTGGTATCTAATCAAGTTCCATTTCCCCCATCTATGATAATTAATCAGTCTCCCAACTCTTGACACCTAACCAAATTCCATCCTCTCCCTCACCCTACTCTTTAGCTATAATTCTCTTGATGCATTCCAGATTGAGTTCAATCTCTTTCCCATATTACAGTTCTCCTGACACATATTGCAATTGTGTTGAATGAAGCCTTCCTTGACATTTTTAACAAGTTTTCAGTGCAATCTCCCTTTGCATGGAATAAGGACTTAGACTTCAGACCCTGCTTCCTATGACTGGAATGGTTGGTGATAAAAAGCTTCCTTTCTTTGGGGAGGAAGGAGGGTGTCCTGAAGAGTGTCTGTACTCACAAATCCAAACACAAGGTCAGATTTCTCTCCGGATGACCACTTTGTTGTCACCCCATAAACTGGGAGAGACTGGGGGACTGTGGGCACACCACTGCCAGAGAGAACTGCGGGGTAGAGTTCATTTCCTGCAGTAATGGGCCACGATGCCTCAGAGTGCTGGCTACCAATACAGCCTCTACCCTATGTCATGAAGGGGAATGACCAGATTTTCAATATGGAAGGTTTTCTCTCATTTGGGGAATTCTCTTGTCAAATTCCCCACCCTCTTCTTCTTCTTTTTTTCAAAGCATATAGCACCCAGTATTCCCAGGCATTCTCCATCCATTTACTAACCAGGCCCAATCCCGCTTAGCTATGCCAAACAGATGCGTTTAGGGTGGCATGGCCACACAGGCTTCAATTTCTTGATGGTGTTTTTTGAAGCACAAAAGTTTTTTGTTTTTGTTTTTAGACGGAGTCTTGCTCCGTTGCCGCGGCTGGAGTGCAGTGGCGTGATCTTGGCTCACTACAACCTCCACCTCCTGGGTTCAAGCGATTCTCCTGCCTCAGTCTCCTGAGTAGCTGGGATTACAGGCGCGTGACACCACGCTCAGCTAATTTTTCTATTTGTAGTAGAGACGGTGTTTCACCGTGTTGGCCAGGCTGGTCTTGAACTCCTGACCTCATGATCCACCCACCTATGCATCCCAAAGTGCTGGGATTACAGGTGTGAGCCACCATTCCTGGCCAGATGCACAAAAGTTTTAAATTCTGATGTAGTCTAAATGACATACTTGTTCTCTGATCCTAGGGCTCCTGGTGTCATGTCATAGAATCTTTTTCCTAAGTCCAAGATCATTAAGATTTTTGGCGCCAGGTGTAGTGGCTCACACTTGTAATCCCAGCACTTTGGGAGGCCAAGGTGGGAGAATCACTTGAGGTCAGGTGTTGGAGACCAGCCTGGCCAACATGGTGAAACCCCAAATCTACTAAAAATACAAAAATTAGCTGGCAATGATGGTGCATGCCTGTAATCCCAGCTACTCAGGAGGCTGAAGCATGATAATCACTTGAACCTGGGAGGCAGAGGTTGCAGTGAGCAGAGATCATGCCCCTGGGCAACAGAGCAAGACTCTGTCAAAAAAAAGAAGAAGGCTAGGTGCAGTGGCTCACGCCTGTAATCCCAGCACTTTGGGAAGCCGACGCAGCGGATCACAAGGTCAGGAGATCAAGACCATCCTGGCTAACACAGTGAAACCCCATCTCTACTAAAAATACAAAAAAATTAGCCAGGCGTGGTGTTGGGCGCCTGTAGTCCCAGCTACTCGGGAGGCTGAGGCAGGAGAATGGTGTGAACCCGAGAGGCGGAGCTTGCAGTCAGCCAAGATTGCACCACTGCACTCCAGCCTGGGCGACAGAGCGAGACTCTGTCTCAAAAAAAAAAAAAAAAAAAAAAAAAAAAAAAAAAAAAAAAAAAAGAATGTATTCCAATATCAAACAGCAAATTTCAACAATGCAAAAAGCACAATTACTTTTCAATTACTTTTGCACCAACTTTTTCTGTTTGTTTTGTTTTCTCCCACACGTTTTGAGTTTTCTCCCTCAGTATGCATGGGAAAGGCAAAAAAAAAAAAAAGTTTTCTTTCTTTACATTTCTGAGACAATCCAGAGGACAGGAATCATTTCTCTTTCCTCTCAGGAGCAAAATCCAATTGGCTGACCAGCCATGTATCTCCAAATAATGGAAACTGGGGTTGAGGGAGAAAAGCTGAGCACCCCAAGGGGATTGGTTATCTAGATGAAGATTATACCAGGAGTCTCCTCCCACCACAAGGCATTCAGCTACTCCCTTGGGAGGCCCCACTCCTCTACTTCAGGCTGTGCTCTGGGAGGTATGACTCAGGGGCTGATATGTACTAGGCCCTCCAAGAGACATGGCAGTGGTGGGTATCTTGGCTCAGCCTAGGCAGTTCTGAAACCCAGGACCAGGAAAAATTGGAGGGGGAACGGAAGACAGATCATTCTGTAAAGTTTCCAAAAAGGAACCTCAACCCAAAGACATCCTGATGTCTGTGCCTAGGAAAAATAAAAGGAGAGGCACAAAGGTTTTGTTCACTGAGATGTGTGGTGATTTTTCTCTGCCTTCTTCTCATGTGAAATTTTCAGAAATAGCAAACAAATACTTTAAAAAGAATCATCTATTGCTCTGTGATAAAATAATAAACAATTAAAATACACTGCATCTGTTTTAAACGGGATGAATAAATACAATGTTGTACTATAAAGAAGAAATAGTTGATAATATTGTGAACTGGAGAATGGAGTTGATGTTGGAAACGCGGGAGAGAAACTGAACATTTAGGATTTCTACTGCAAGCCCTTGAAGAGTTAGCCTCGGACACAGGGTGGAGAATAGCAGACACTGCATCCAATCTATTTGGAAAATGTGGGGGAAACCAGTCCCCAAGGCGAGTGCTAAAAAATTTAAATAGGCCGGGCGCGGTGTCTCACGCCTGTAATCCCAGCACTTTGGGAGGCCGAGGTGGTTGGATCACTTGAGGTCAGGAGTTCTTGACCAGCCTGGCCAACATGGTGAAACCCAGTCTCTATTAAAAATACAAAAACTAGTGGGGCGTGGTGGTGTGTGCCTGTAATCCCAGCTACTAGAGAGGCTGAGGCCGAAGAATCACTTGAACTCGGGAGGCGGAGGTTGCAGTGAGCCGAGATCACACCACTGTACTCCAGCCTGGGCAACAGAGCTAGGCTCAGTCTCAAAAAAAAAAAAAAAAAAAAAAAAAAAAAAATTAAATGAGGCGATGCACTGTGGCTCACGCCTGTAATCCCAGCACTTTGGGTGAGACACAGAGGCTGATGGATCACTTGAGCTCAGGATTTTGAGACTAGACTGGACAACCTGGCATCTACAAAAAATACAACAATTAAGTCAGGTGTGATGGTGCATGCCTGCAGTCCTGGCTACTCAGGAGGCTGAGGTGGGAGGACTGCTCGCACCCAGAGCCCAGGAGGCAGATGTTGCAGTGAGCAAAACCCTGTCTCAAAAAAACAATAAATAAATAAATAAATGAGAAACAGTAAGACTGAACTGTGTGTAGTGCCCTAGGACCTACCTAAGGACCCTGAAATACAACTCAAATACAATTCTGATAAAATAATAATTTATAGGGAAATGAAATTTAGGCTTAACCAACCAAAATCCCCCAATTAACCTGATTACATAACCAGAACATTTTCTACCTGTACAGTCTGTGAAACTAAAGCCAAAAATGTGAGCTGTTCCATCTCTAAATTATCTTGAGCCTTAAAGCAATGTGATTAAGGTGGCATTGAGTCACATGACAGGCAGCTGGAACTTTCCTTTCCCAGACTGTGGATTTGCCTTTTTGTCTTCATTCTTACCCATATTGTTTCATAAAATTATGTCAATGTTGACATGTAAATGTTGAAGGGAGCCAGGGAAGACCCCTTCCCTCTTCACTCTTGATCTCCATTGTAGATGAACTTTCATCTTACCCTTTCTCACACAAAGACTTCATGGCTATCACACTGTCTTAAGCTGGAATGTTCAACTCACTCTTTTTTTTTTTTTTTTTTGAGACCAACTCTTGCTCTGTTACCCAGGCTGGAGTGCAATAACACGATCTCGGCTCACTGCAACCTCCTGGGTTCAAGCAATTCTCCTACCTTAGCCTCCCTAAGCCAGAAATTTAAAAAATAAATATGCATTCATTCACTCCAAGAAAAGTAACAGGCAAGGCAAAGGTTAAAAAGAAAAGAACAAGTTTTCCTCTGCCTAGCAAGCTCACTTCAAAGACAGTTATAATGCTGTTTGAGAAGTCAAAGCCAAAAGAATAGGTTCCAGACATCCCCCCTCCAGAACGAAGGTGAAGGAAAAAAAAAAAAGGAAAGAAGTCTGTATTTAGTCAGTTCTTGTTTTTCTTTAAATGCAGCTACAAGGCCACCAGCTATGCAAGGCCACAAGTTATGCTATGCTATAGATTACGTGACCTATCACTGTATGATTACTTTTATTTTGCTTCTGTAAGTTTGCTTATGAAAACCTCGCTCAGTCTTTGTTCAGTGCTCAGCTTTTTAGATGTGAATCCACTGAGCCGGTGCGTACCTTAAATGAACAATTCTCCCGTTCCTTGTATCAGTCTCTCTAGTCCTTTATTTCCCACAACATCCCAAGTAACTGGGATTACAGGTGCACGTCGCCACAGCCAGCTAATTTTGTATTTTAGTAGAGATGGGGCTTCATCGTGTTGCCCAGGCTGGTCTCAAACTCCTGAGCTAAGGCAATCCACCCACCATGGCCTCCCAAAGTGCTAGGATTACAGGCATGAGCCACTGCACCTGGCCAAACTCATTCTTTTAAATTGGGAAGGAAATGAAAATCAGCTGTCAAGAAAATAAAGGCCTAGGAGAAAAAAAGCAAACTGTAACAAATTAAATTGTTGTACCTCATACATCAGCCTTCTATGGAAAATGTAATCCTGTTCAATTTCTTTGCCTTTTGCCTATATAGGGAAGAATTTAACATCTGACTTCAGAGCACTGAGCCATTTCTCTGGAGTCTGTGTTTTCCCAAATAGGCCATTCTCAGCTTACTACTTGAATAAATGCTTCAAAACTGGAATCTGATCTTTTCAACTACTTCAAGTTGACAAGTCCAAAGAAGGCAACTGCATCACTGTAAACAATCTAGTATTTAATATGGTTTGGCTCCTCATGCAACATATTGTAAACCAAAAATATTGGAGATGCTTCTGGATCAACTTAGAAGTTTATTTTCCCAAGGTTAAGAATAGACCCAGAAGAAATCAACACGGAATCACAGCAACAGTCTGTGACTTTCTCCAAGGACAATTTTGAGGACTTCAATATATAAAGGGGAAAAGTGTGCTGGATAGGTAAGAGGGAGGGTTAGTATGTAATCCACATACTGCAACAGGAAAGAAGCAGGCAAGAGAATAGTCAGTTAGGTATTTGTGTCTCACCCAGTAAATCAACACTTTACTTGAGATACACAGTTTCCTGTGGAGATATATAACTTTTTTTTTTTTTTTTTTTAGATGCAGTCTCGCTCTGTCACCCAGGCTGGAGTGCAGTGACTCGATCGTGGCTCACTGCAACTTCTGCCTCCCAGGTTCAAGTGATTCTCCTGCCTCAGCTTCCTGATTAGCTGAGATTACAGGCACAGGCCACCATGCCTGGCTAAGTTTTGTATTTTTAGTAGAGACAGGGTTTCTCCATTTTGGTCAGGCTGGTCTCGAACTCCTGATCTAGTGATCCGCCTGCCTCAGCCTCCCAGAGTTCTGAGATTACAGGCGTAAGCCACTGTGCCCAGTCCAAGATATATAACTTTTTATCTGTAGCTATTCACTTAGCAACAAAAAGAAAGGCAACTTCTTGCTTGACTCAGCTTTTAGCTTAATATTTTCCTTTTGGTATAAAAATTGGGGTCCTGAGGTTTTATTTTCCTTTCACATTATAAAAGCCTGTCCTCCAACCTATAAGCTGTTAACAAAATTAAGCAGCTCCCCCACCAACAACTAAGTGAACTGACCTGCTCTTGGCCAAGATCACCAATAAAAACTCTCAAAATGGAGTTCCCCGCTGTGACGGGAAGATCGGAGTAGCCTCCTTATACTGTCTCTCTTTTAGAATATATACACAGCAACTGATCTACATTCATGTTCATTAGACATCGTCAGACTCACAAAACAGATTCTGTGGCAGTAAGACATGAAATTACAAACACCATCTAAAGGGACTTAAGGAAAAGGGTAATTCATGTCTCAGAATTCATAAAATCTGGTGACACAGGCCTGTTTCGTGGGCAGGGATGGAATCATGTGACAAATAACAGCCCCTCTTCCTACAGCATTCCTTCCTACCGCCTCTAAAAATTTAAATACATATATATACATATTTCCATAGGTTTATGGGGAACAGGTGGTATATGGTTACATGAGTAAGTTCTTTAGTGGTGATTTGTGAAATTTTGGTGCACCCATCACTGGAGCAGTATACACTGAACCCAATTTGTAGTCTTTCGGTTTTTGGGTTTTTTGTTTGTTGGTTTTTGAGATGGAGTCTCGCTCTGTCGCCCAGGCTGGAGTGCAGTGGCAGGATCTCGACTCACTGCAACCTGTGCCTCCTGGGTTCATGCAGTTCTCCTGTCTTAGCCTCCCGAGTAACTGGGACTACAGGCACGTGCCACCACACCCAGCTAACACTTGTATTTTTAGTAGAGACGGGGCTTCCCAATATTGGCCAGGCTGGTCTCGAACTCCTGACCTCAGGTGATCTGCCCGCCTCAGCCTCCCAAAGTACTGGGATTACAGGCGTGAGCCACCATGCCCGGCCCAATGTGTAGTCTTTTATCCCTCACACCCACCTTCCCACCCTTTCCCATCCTCCCCAGTCCCCACAGTCCATTGTATCATTCTTATGCCTTTGCATCCTCATAGCTTAGCTCCCACTTATGAGTGAGAACATAAGTGATGCTTGGTTTTCCATTTTAACGAGCTACTTCACTTAGAATAGTCTCCAATTCCATCCAGGTTGCTGCAAATGCCATTAGTTTGTTCCTTTTTATCCACCTCTGAATTTTAGACCAAAACTTCACACTCTCAACCAACTGCCACCCACAGAATCCCTCAACCACCTGTGCCTTCTAACCCCATTACCACAAGTCCCGCCTTTCGGCCAAAGGAACTCACACCTTCCAAGCACTAAGTCATGATTTTCCCTGCAATTCCTGTCTCCCTGAAATGAATAAAACCAAACTGTCATGAGCTGCCTCGGGACCACTTACTCGAGGCTTCCTGGGGTTGTTTCCCTCCGCCAAGGTCTTTCATAACACTGTAACCTTCATCTCCCGGGTTCAAGCGATCCTCCTGCCTCAGCCTCCGGAGTAGCTGGGATTACTGGTACCCACCACCATGCGCAGCTAATTTTTGTATTTTTAGACACGGGGTTGTGGGCAGCAAGCCACCCAGGTGCCAAGGCAAGAGACAGAGGGCACAAGCTGTTGCAGTATAATAAAGAAAATATATAGAATAAGAATATACTAGAAATAGATTATAGATACGATTATATATGAATATCATTAATCATTAGTTTGTAGCATTGCTCTTCACTCCAATATTATAATAATCTTTGTTCTACAATTATAACCTGGGAAAAACCAGGCCATACAGAGATAGGAGCTGAAGGGACACGATGAGAAGTGACCATCGTGGGGCTTAATTCTTGTCTTCTAGCTTCTAGCTGCATTCCTAAACAGTGATAAGGAGAAGAAATCTGGATTTGCTTGATCATAAGCCATAAGTTCTACAAGAAGTCATTGGCCATGGCTATCAGGGATAGCTTTTTCTACTGCGTCTTGAAGATGGGCAATGAAGTCTGCATAGGGTTCATGTTGTCCCTGTCTGACGGGCATAAAAGATGGACATACTTTGCCATCATCTTGAATCTTATCCCAAGCATCTAGGCAACATTTTCATAATTGTTCAATAACCTCATCATTTAGAATAGGATGATAATTTAACCTTAAATATTTCAAAACTTAAAGAACAAATTTTTGAGGCCTCACAGTCTCATTTAACTACTGCCCTGGCTCAGACATTTTTGAGGGAATAACTAAAAGATTGTCTGATCTTAATCCCTTTAAATGGATCAAACCCCTCGGAGGATCATTGTTGTCACTGGCATTATTAATATTGGTATGTTTATGTTGTCTACTTCTAGTCTGCAGATGTCTCCAAGGAGTCCGAGGACAAGTCCGAAGTCAGCGACAAGCAATGATGGCGATGACGATCCTAGTCAATAAAAACGGGGGAGATGTCGGCGGCAAGCCACCCAGGTGCCAAGGCAAGAGACCGAAGGCACAAGCTGTTTCCAGTATAATAAAGAAAATATATAGAAAAAGAATAGTTATACTAGAAATAGATTATAGATATGATTATATATGAATATCATTATCATTAGTTTGTAGCATTGCTCTTTATTCCAATATTATAATTATATTTCTTCCACAATTATAACCTAGGAAAAACATGGCCATACAGAGATAGGAGCTGAAGGGACACGGTAAGAAGTGACCAGAAGACAAGTGTGAGCCCTCTGTTACGCCTGGACGGGGCCACTAGAGGGCTCCCTGGTCTAGCGGTAACGCCAGCGCCTGGGAAGGCACCCGTTACTTAGCAGACTGGGAAAGAGTCTCCCTTTCCCCGGGGGAGTTAGAGAAGACTCTGCTCCACCACCTCTCGGGGAAGGCCTGACATCAGCCAGGCCCACCCGCAGCCATCCGGAGGCCTGACCATCTCCCTGTGATGCTGTGCTTCAGCGGTCACGCTCCTGGTCCGCTTTCATATTCCACCCTGTACACCTGGCTCTGCCTTCTAGATAGCAGCAGCAGAAATAGTGAAAGTACTAAAGTCTTTGAAATGCATAGAAGAAATAATGACATAAGCTGTCCTCTCTCCCCGCCTTAGCTACCAAATAGGGAAGGGCCCCCTGTCTGGCGGACACGTGACTCGCATGACCTTACCTATCATTGGAGATGACTCACACTCCTTACCCTCCCCCCTTGTCTTGTATCCAATAAATAACAGCGCAGCCAGGCATTCGGGGCCACTACCGGTCTCCGCACCTAGGTGGTAGTGGTCCCCCCGGCCTAGCTGTCTTTTCTTCTCTTTGTCTTGTGTCTTTATTTCTATGATCTCTTGTCTCCGCACACGAGGAAAAAAACCCACAGGCCCAGTAGGGCTGGACCCTACATAGGGTTTGTTGGCCAGGCTGGTCTCAAACTCCTGACCTTAGGTGACCCACCCATCTCGGCCAGCCAAAGTGCTAGGACTACAGGTGTAAGCCACCACGCCAGGTCAAAATAAAACTTCTTTAAGTTATTTTACTGTTTGGTTTTTTTTTTCCGTTAACAAGTCATGACCCGGTGTTTCTCCTTCATGATTGGCTGTTTACCCAAAATACTCTTTACTTGTTAACAGTGTCTCAGTTTAATTTTTAACAGAAGAAACGTGCGACTGGGAACCCCACACACGAGGCGGGATTCCCTCCACGACTTCCGCACAATTTGGGGAGACGCGCGGCTGCGGGCGCAGAGCTCCCCAGAGAGAGCTCCGGGGCAGGGGTCCCAGTCGCCGAGCAGGGACGACAGGACGCCTGGGGTCCCGACTGCCGCCCAGACCCACCCTGAGGCCAAGGGGACCCAGGGCTGAGCTGCGCCAGGGGAACTCGGGCCTCAGACCCCCGAGTCGCAACATGGAGGCCCGCGTTCCGATTCCGCGGTTCTGACTAGACCGTCCCCTAACCCCCAAACCCACCTCGGGGTTTCCGGCTCCGCACACTCACCATTTTTCAGCTTCCAGATATTCCGGCGTCTCCTGCAGAACTCCCGTGAGCAGTCCAGGACACGGCGCAGGCAATAGAGAGACAAAAGCTACGGAGGAGGGACCTGGTCCCTCTCAGAGCAGGAAAGAAAGAATCCCGACTTCGGGTTTCCTCTAGCAGCCAGGCAATGAGAAGACCGGCAATGCTGCGCCCTCCTTCCGGCGGATTAAACAGTTGGCAGGGCCCCGCCCCAGCACCCCGATTGGATAGGGCATCCTACCCCGCCCCCTCAGCCCTGAGTGACAGCAGAAGCCCCGGGTAACAGGGCGCTGCAGAGCCGGTCGCTGCTATTCCAGCCGCAGGTTCCCTAAATGGGCTCACTTTCAGCTCCCTGCTCTTCGGATACTGGCATTTGAGCCAAACTTGCTCCTAACTGCTATAAGGGACACTGTTGTCTTTTTCACTCAATGGGGTCCTTCGTCCTGCACAGGGTCACAAATGTGTGTAGGGAATTCCAGACTCAAGAGTCCAACGGAGGTGAAGGAAATTAAATTTTTTTACTCCAAAATATATTTGACTTTTTTTTTTTTTTTTTTTTGACACTGGGTCTCACTTTGTCACCCAAGCTGGAGTGCAGTGGCGCTATCCTGGCTCACGACAATCTCCACCTCCTGGGTTTAAGCGATTTTACTGTCTCAGCCTCCCTAGTAGCTGGGACTACAGGTGTGCTCCACCACCCCTGTTAATTTTTGTATTTTTAGTAGAGACGGGGTTTCAGCCAGGCTGGTCTCGAACTCTTGAGCTCAAGCGATCCGCCCCAGCCTCCCACAGTGCTAGGATTACAGGCGTGAGCCACCGCGCCCGGTTACTCCTTTGACATATTTTGAAATCGTGGCCGCTTGGCCAACAGTGTGGTCTTGCAAAGGTGCCTTTGGGAGGAAAATGCGCATCTGCGGAGAATCTCCGTTAACAAAGCCATGGCCTCCTCCCTGCTTATTTCCCTTCACTGGAACTAGTAGAGATTCGGGGTCTGACGTCTTTAAAACCTGAACACAGGTAGGAAGCCGTGACTCACGCCTCCTATCCCAGCAATTCCGGAGGCCGAGGCTGGAGGATCCCTTAAAGCAAGCTTGTCCAACCTATGGCCTGCGGGCTAAGGACGGCTTTGAATACAGCCCAACACAAATTAGTAAACTTTCTTAAAATATTTAAAAATTTTTTTTGCGATTTTCTGCCGTGCACTGTGGCTCACGCCTGTAATCCCAGCACTTTGGGAGGCCGAGGCAGGCAGATTACAAGGTCAGGAGTTCAAGACCAGCCTGGCCAATATGTGAAACCCCATCTCTACTAAAAATACAAAAATTAGCCAGGTGTGGTGGCAGGCGTCTGTAGTCCCAGGTACTCAGGAGGCTGAGGCAGGAGAATCGCTTGAACCCGAAGGTGGAGGTTGCAGTGAGCCAAGATTACACCACTACACTCCAGTGTGGGCGACAGAGTGAGACTCTGGCTAAAAAAAAAAAATACAGTTTTTTTGCGATTTTTTTTCTTTCTTTTCTTTTTTCTTTTTTCTTTTTTTTTTTTTAGCTCATCAGCTTTGTTTTATGTGTGGCCCAAGACAATTCTTCTTTCAGTGTGGCCCAGGGAAGGCAAAAGATTGGACATCCCTGCCTTAAAGCAAGGAGTTGAAGGCCTGGTCAACACAGGGAGACTCCCACCTTCATTATTTAAGTATCCAAATAAAAAGAAAAATGTTAAAAAGTTGGAAAAGAAGCATTTCTCTTCTCTCTGTGAGAGGCTTCATTTATATAACAGTCCATCTTTGCTAGCCAAGCCCCTTTCTTTCCCTCTCTCAGAAGATGTCTTGCCACTACATCCGATTTGCCAACATAACATGTGATTTTTGGACCATAATGAGTCTGCATTCTTTGCTGTCCTCAGGATGGTATATAAGCTTTTCTGTGTTATTGCTGGGGAGTCTTCATTCTGAAGGCTCTTGTGTGTATACACTAAATAAATTTGTATGCCTTTTCAGAGTTACTCCAACTGCCTCATGTCAATGAGTTTTCAGCAAACCTTTAGGACAGACACCAAGGGCCTATTGCCCCCACAAAGCCACCCCCTTTGCCTCAGAGCAGGAAGGGAACCCAGACCAGGCCAAGAATGACCACACCAGGAGGGAGAAGCAGATGTCCTCCAGAGAGCCAGAAATGCAGATGAGGCAAAGCCAAAGCATCCTCATCTTCGCTCCCCTCACCCCCACTCCGCGCCCCCTCACAGTGTAGAAATGCTCTCTCCTTCCAGATCTTCATTTTCCTCAGCAGGAAACTCTCACCTGGTGATAATTTAAGCTCTGACCTAAATAAACTGTCAATTTCATAAACCCTGTTATAAGACAAACCCAACAAGTCTCACTGAGGCTGACCTTCACAGATTTTCTTCATATGTAACAATTACATTCTGACCCCAGCGACCCTATACATGTCAAAACCAAAACACTTCCCAGAAAATGGCCCCAGGCTCCAGAAGGGCAACCTCAGAAAGGATGGAACCCCCTAAGCGCACCTGCACGTGGGTCTCCTGCTTTCCAGGGCCCTGCAGCTTCTCAGAATCCACACTCTCTGCAGCTGTTCTGGGCAGCTGGAGGCCACCTGCAGGGGAAGGCGGGGAGCCCCGGAAGCCCCCAAGGAACTCCCTTTCCCTTCCTTTGCAGGCCCACACTGGCCTCAGGCTCTGCTGCCCCCTGTAGGTTATTCAGCTGTTTCTCACTTCATTGATCAGTTTCATGAGACAAACACCCTCAATCCCACTGTGTGAATAAGACACCAATAGAGTCCCTGCTCTCCTCATGATTGTGTGTATAAAGTGGGGAAGACAAATTCTAAGATATTTAAATGCATTAAAAGACTTCTAAATCGCAACTTGGTAGTGGCAGCTGAGGGCCCTGCAGCAGCAGCTGTTCTAAAGCACAAGCCAGGCAGTGGGATTGGGGCTCCTGGGATGTGGTGCCTGAGGTGGAGAGAGGCAGCAGCGCCCACAGAGCTCGGGCATGGATCTGATGCCCACCAAAATGGTAGTACCCAAAGGAGAAAGTTCGCATTTTCGGCCGGGCGCAGTGGCTCACATCTGTAATCCCAGCATTTTGGGAGGCGTAGATGGGGGGATAACCTGAGGTCAGGAGTTGCAGACCATCCTGGCCAACATGACAAAACCCCATCTCTACTAAAAGTACAAAAATTAGCTGGGCATGGTGGCAGGTGCCTGTAATCCCAGCTACTCAGGAGGCTGAGGCAGGAGAATCACCTGAACCTGGGAGGTGGAGGTTGCAGTGAGCCGAGATCAGGCCACTGCACTCCAGCCTAGGCGACAAGAGTGAGACCCTTTCTCAGAAAAAAAAAGAAAAAACTTGCACTCATTCTCCAAGCCCACGTGTGATACAATTCTTCCAGTATACCAAGGCAAGAACCTTAGGATACAGAAAGCCCTCTGTCCTTGTGATAAGGCAGGGGTCTAATTGAGCATGGTTCATGGTAGCTTGGAATTCCTGGGCTCAAGCCATCCTCCTGCCTCAGCCTCCCAAATAGCAGGAACTACAGGCAAGTGCCACCATGCGCAGCTAACATTTTTTGTTAATGAGGTGATGTATCACCATGTTGCCTTGGCTGGTCTCACTCCTAGCCTCAAGCAATCATCTGGCTTTGGTCTCCCAAAGGGCTGGGAGTAGAGGTGTGAGCCACTGTGCCTAGCCTATGTCACATTTAAATATTATGTTTTTAGAGAAAATTTTCTAAGAGTAAATAAATGTGATGCTGGTCTTATTTCTTTTATTTGCATATTTTAAACATTTTCAGCCGGGCACAATGGCTCACGCCTGTAATTGCAGCACTTTGGGAGGCCAAGCCAGGCGGATCACCTGAGGACAGGAGTTCGAGACCAGCCCGACCAACATGGAGTAACCCCATCTCTACTAAAAATTCAAAATTAGCCAGACGTGGTGGTGGGCGCCTGTAATCCCAGCTACTTGGGAGGCTGAGGCAGGAGAATCACTTGAACCTGGGAGGCGGAGGTTGCGATGAGCCGCGATTGAGCCATTGCACTCCAGTCTGGGCAACAAGAGTGAAACTCTTGTCTCCAAAAAAACCAAAACATTTTCAGGCAGTATAAGATTTTCTAGAGAGAGAATGCTTTATCTTGTGAGGGAAACTTACCTTAGATTATTCCTGAGATTTTTGTACTGATCTTCAATGATCTGGTCTTTCCATTTTTTTCTTAAAATACAGATCCATAAAAAATAGTCCTGATTATAAAATTATGGGGTTTTTTTTGGAGATGAGGGTCTCACTCTATCACCCAGGCTGGAGTGCAATGGCATGATCACAGCTCACTGCAGCCTCAACCTCTTGGGTTCAGGTGATTCTCCTACTGCAGCCTCTCAAGTAGCTGGGATTACAGGTGCATGTCACCATCCTGGCTAAAAAGTTTGTAGAGATAGGGTTTCACCATGTTGCCCAGGCTGTTCTCAGACTCCTGGGTTCAAGTCATCCACCCACCTTGGCCTCTCAAAGTGCTAGAACCACAGGCATGAGCCACCATGCCCAGCTATTATAAAATTAGTTTAAAAATTATTAGATTCTATGTTCATGGCTCACTGCAGCCATTCCTGATTTATCAAAGTTTTCCCTGTCCATATTCCAAATCACTGAACAGCACTGAAGAGCTAGAAACACTTGTTCTTTAATAAACTGAGGGAAGTAATATTGTCACGTGATAGTTTGAATGTATGTTCCCACCCAATGTCATGAGGAACTGCAATCCCCAGTGTTGGAGGTGAGTCCTGATGGGAGTTGTTTGGGTCAGGGGGACCTATGGCTTGTTTCTCTCATGGCTTGTTGCTGTCTTTGTGATAATCAGTGAGTTCTAGTGAGCTGCACCTTCCTACACCACTCTCTCTGTCTCACTCCTGCTTTCGCCATGTGACTGCCTGCTCCCCGTTCACCTTCCGCTATGATTGAAAGCTTCCTGAGGCCTTCACCAGAAGCTGAGCAGATGCTGGTGCCATGCTTCCTTTACAGGCAGATGCCAGGCAGACGTCACTGTGAATCACTGTGCCCAGCAATGAATAATTCTTTACAAGGGGACAAACCCTGTCTGGACATGGTGACTCATGCCTGGAATCCTAGCACTTTGGGAGACTGAGCTGTGAGGACTGCTTGAGACAAAGAATTAGAGAACAGCCTGGGCAACACAGCATAATCCTGACTCTATTACTTAAAATTCTAAATAAAAGTCTGAAAAGCAGCATTTCCCACCTATTCTCTCTGAGGGAGCCTTCATCTACATAACAAGGTCTCCTTTGCTAGCCAAGCTTCTTCCTTTCCTTTAGCATAATCTGTCTTGCCATTAAAAATGACTTCCCCACCAAACCTGGAATTTTTTTGGCCATGCCAAGTCTGCATTTTTCCTGGCCTCAGAATGGTATGTAAGCTTTTTTGTCTTATTGTTGGGTGGGTCCTCATTCTGAAGGCTCCCATATATACATGTTAAATAAATTTGTATGACTTTTCTCCTATTAATTCGCCTAAGTTCCTTGATCTGAAAATTTTTTTCCTGTTTTCTCACCTTATTTTATTAAAAAAAGTTCAAAAACAAGCATATCTAAAAATGAGCATTTTCATATCCCAGAAATCAAGGTATTTTCCATAGATAACCAGAAAATGCTATTTAGTAATTGCCTAACATCAACACAGAGTGATATTAAAACCTTATTGTGTAAAGTGGAATTCTGGAAGCTTAGCTTTGAATACATTTCATTTTGTCTGTGAAACATTGAAGAGTGTGTGTGGTGTTATGATATGTATTGGTTTTCATCCAGGGTAATAATGTTGGGTGTGTTAGACCTCTGGGGAAGGCCCCTGACCTGCTGCCCTCTTTCCACTCTAATGTTTCCCCACCTTTTTGATTGTGGGTCTTAAAACCCTCCCATGAGAGGGTCCCACTGACTTCATGAAGACTTTTAGCCTTGGAAATACTCGTGATATTCCCTATCTGTAGCTGTGTGTCTGAAGTTAGCTCAGAATAAACCACAAGTGTGTAGATTGCTAAAATAACTTACTTCTAAACACTGAAACTCAAAAACTGCAGATTTCTTTGTCTAAGCAGATGCAGAAAAGCAGAAGTTATAAAGCATCCGGACTCAAACAGGCACCATCACTGCCTTCTAAAATTAGTAGCCTTCCTGGCATATGAACACCCTTTGGGCCTGTGCTCCAGTGTCTCTTTGGGTTGGTCCTTGGGCTTTTTGTGAAACATCAAGACACCTCCATAGTCTAGGCCAATGTCAGGCTCTCCAGTGTGTCCTGTTCATCACCCTCACCCTGCACTTTCATTGTCACTGTCATTGGCCATTCCAACATTGTGCTTGCATCCTGTGGAAAGTCACATTTGGGGTCAAGTGGATGGTGTTGTTTCTACTGTTTGGTTAAAAGTGTCAGGGTGTATTTGGCCTTCAAGGGAGGATAAGGCAGGGGTTGGATTCAGGTGCACCCAACTCTTGTTTTTTTCATTTTGAGACAGAGTCTTGCTCTGTCGACTAGGTTGGAGAGTGCAATGGTGTGATCTCAGTTCAGTGTAACAACCACCTCCCAGGCTCAAGCGATTCTCCTGCCTCAGCCTCCTGAGTATCTGGGATTACAGGGATTACACCACGATGCCCAGCTAATTTATCTATTTCTTAAGGTTTCACCATGTTGGCCAGGCTGGTCTTGAACTCCTGACCTCAAGTGATCCACTCTCCTTGGCCTCCCAAAGTGCTAAGATTACAGGTGTGAGCCACCGTACCTGCTCAGGTGCCCCCACCTCTGTCACTGCCCTGTCTTCCCTGCTGTGAATCATGCTGTGTGATCTGACAATCAATGATTCCACCCTTCACTGATGTGGATACATTATCTGGGACTGGGTATGTCATCTCCACACACAGACAGGGTTTGGTCAGTGATTGATGCTGCATCCCGTGATGCCTGGACTTTGACCTTAGGGAGTTTTAAATAAGCGTTTCTGAAGAGCAGCTTCATTGGAACCTTAATGAAAATGAATTTTTCCATGCCATTGCATAACATATAAAAGTGACTTTTCCATGTTGCCATTAACTTTACATGGCTGAAATAAACAGGCTGTTGACAAGTTAGTATCAACAGCACATTATCAGAGAAAGAAAAGGCTGTATTTAGACAATTTACATTATTATTGTAATTTATTAGCTTCCTGTGACTCACTAAACCAACCTGAAAAAAATAGCTTTCTAAGGTATAAATGAATTTCTATGTTTTACCCAACGTACTTTCTGGTAAACAGCACCCATACATTTTATGAAATATTTTAGTCTTTAGAGAATAAGGCAAAAACAGCTCCAGGAGTCTAGAGCTGACATCCCCTCACCACAAGGCCAAGTCTTTTTTTTTTTTTTTTTTGAGACGGAGTTTTGCTCCTGTTGCCCAGGCTAGAGTGCAATGGCACAATCTTGGCTCACTGCAACCTCTGCCCCCCAGATTCAAGCGATTCTCCTGTGCCAGCCTCCCAACTAGCTAGGATTACAGAAGCAGGCCACCACGCCTGGCCAATTTTTGTAGTTTTAGTAGAGACAGGGGTTTCATCATATTGATCAGGCCAGTCTTGAACTCCTGACCTCAGGTGATTCACCTGCTTTGGTTTCTATCCAGTGTGAGTCCTACCATGTTTTCGAAGGTGTGAGGTAGATCTGAAGGTTTTTCCACATTGCTTACACTCATAGGGTTTCTCTCCAGTGTGAGTCCTTTCATGTTATCGAAAAGAAGTGAAAGAAATAAAGGCTTTCCCACATTGCTTACACTCATAGGGTTTCTCTCCAGTGTAAGATTTTTCAGGTATTTGAAATGACTTGGCAGAATAAAAGCCTTTCCCACATATCTTACATTTATAAGGTCTTTCTACAGAGTGCATTCTTACGTGTGTTTGTGTCCTTTCATGAATTCGAAGGTTCTTGGCAGATCTGAAGGCTTTCCCACATTCCTTACACTCATAGGGTTTCTCTCCAGTGTGAGTTCTACCATGGATTCGAAGGTGTGGGGCAGATCTGAAGGCTTTCCCACATTGCTTACACTCGTAGGGCTTCTCTTCAGGGTGAGTCCCAGCATGCATTTGAAGGATTGAGGCAGATCTGAAGGCTTTCCCACATTGCTTACACTCATAGGGTTTCTCTCCAGTGTGAGTCCTTTCATGGTACCAAAAGGAACTGGAACTACTGAAGGCTTTACCACATTGCTTGCATTCATAGGGTTTCTCTGCAGTGTGAGTTTTTTCATGTCTTTGAAATGACGTGGGAGAATAAAAGCCTTTCCCACATGTCTTACATTTATAAGGTCTTTCTCCAGAGTGTATTCTTATGTGTGTTTGTGTCCTTTCATGAATTTGAAGGTGTGAGGCAGATCTGAAGGCTTTCCCACATTCCTTACACTCATAGGGTTTCTCTCCAGTGAGTCCTACCATGCCTTCGAAGGTGTGGGGCACATCTGAAGGCTTTCCCACATTGCTTACACTCATAGGGTTTCTCTCCAGTGTGAGTCCTTTCATGATACTGAAAGGAACTGGAAAGATTGAAGGCTTTACCACATGGCATGCATTTATAGGGTTTCTCTCCAGTGTGAGTTTTTTCATGTCTTCGAAATGACTTGGCAGAATAAAGGCCTTTCCCACATATCTAACATTTATAAGGTCTTTCTCCAGAGCGCATTCTTAGGTGTGTTTGAAAACTTATAAGATAATGCTTTCCCACACTGCTTACATTCATAAGGTTTTTTCGCAGAGTGGGTCCTTTCATGTCTACGAAGGGAACTGGGATACGTGAATGCTTTTCTACATTCCTTACATTGATAAGGCTTCTCTCCCGTGTGACTCCTTTTATGTCTAAGATAGGATCTGTAACTACGGAATGCTTTATTACATTTGCTACATTCACAGGGCTTCTCCCCAGTGTGAGTTCTTTCATGTATTTGAAAGGAATGACACCAACTGAAGGATTTGCCACATTGTTTACATTCATATGGCTTTCCCCCAGTGTGGGTTCTTTTATGTGCTTGAAAAGAACTGGAACTATGGAATGCTTTCCCACATTGCTGACATTCATAAGGCTTTTCTCCAGTGTGAGTTCTTTCATGTATTCGATGGGTAGCAGAATAACTAAAGGATTTAACACATTGTTTACATTCATACGGTTTCTCTCCAGTGTGAGTTCTTTCATGGATAAGATATAATCTGAGACAATGGACAGCTTTCCCACAAAACTTACATTTATAAGGTCCATCCCCACTGTGCATTACCATGCGTCTTCGAATGCCTGAATGGGAAATAAAGGTTTTTCCACATTCTTTACAAGCATAGGGTTTCTCTCCGGTGTGATTCCTTTCTTGTGTTCTAAAGGAGGGGTGATATCTGAAGGCTTTCTTAGGTTGTTGACACTTATATGGCTTTGGTGCATAGTCCTGATACTCGTATGCCTTGTGCCCAATGTCACCTCTGATGTTCATATTAAAAGATGAGTTACCTATGCCAACTTCTCCACATACAAAGTTATCACATGATTTTGCTTCAGGAGAAGCTTTCTTCTCCTGGAAGTTCAGCCTGTCATCTGGAACCTGGGTAAAAGTTTCTCCACAATGACTGTCTTCTTTAATTTCATTGACATTCCCTTCTATGAGACTCCTGTCAAAAGTGAGAAGCACATTATGAAGGGTTTATGAGTAATTTTGTATTAATCAAGTATTGCACTTGCATTTTTAACATGGTCCATCAAGGTGTAGGCTTTCTGCCCTGGCTGAATTGTTTGAAGGTAAATGGACAACATGTTCTACAAGGTGACATAGTCATACCTATTGTTTAAAAAAATACTCATAAGGGGCTTAATACTATTCCCATGTAAACTATTTTACAAGTACTAAATACTCTGTGTGATTTTTCTTTCGAGTCAGGGTCTCATCCTGTGACCATCCTGGAGTACAGTGATATCATCATTGCTTACCACAGCCTTTAACTCCTGGGGGCTTGAGTGATCCTTCTGCCTCAGCCTCCTGAGTAGCTAGGACTACGATGCATACCACAATGCCCAGCTAATTTTTTGCTGTTGTTGATTTGTGGTCTCATTATGTTGCCCAGGCTGTTCTTGAACTGCTGGCCTCAAGCTATCCTCCTATCTCCACTTCTCAAAGGATTGGGATTACAGGAGTGAGCCCTCAGACTTAGTCACATGTAAATATATGATTTTGAGAAAATATTCTAAGAAGAGATGAATTTGATACTGGACTTAGTTCTTTGTTTTACTTCTCTTCAACATATTATCATATACTAAAATCATCTAGAGACACTGCTTTCTCTTTAAGTGCCAATTACCTGAAGTTTCTCCTGGGGTTTTGGTACTCATATTCAATGTTCTGGTCTTTCCACTTTTTCCCTAAAATACAGACACAGAAAAGTAGTCCTGAAGCAATATAAAACTGTGAAAAAATTATTAGATTCTATGTCTATGATTTACTGCAGCCATGCCTCATTTATTCATCAAAGTATTTCCTGTCTATGTTCCAAATGACTCAACAGCATTCATGAGCTAGAAACACTGGTTCACTAATGGACTGAGGGAAGGAATATTGTCATCCTTACCTATAGAGGTCAGGTTCCTGAAAGTTTCCAGCATCACTTCCCTGTAGAGTTTCCTCTGCGAAATATCCAGCAAAGCCCACTCCTCCTGGGTGAAGTTCACAGCAACATCCTCACAGGCCACAGGGTCCTGAAACATCTCACATGTGTAGAGGAGGCTGGGTGAGAGTGACAGCAGTGGGGGCCTAGACTCTATTCCCAAGAAGTTGCCGTGGACTCCAAACATTTATTCCCTGCTTTGGTCATCACATCCCTTTCTCGCTTTCTGTACTTTCTTCCATAAAGCATTTTTGTTGTTGTTGTTTTGAGATGGATTTTCAAAACAACAACTTGTTGCCCAGGCTGGAGTATAATGATGCGATCTTGGCTCATGACCGGGGTTCAAGCGATTCTCCTGCCTCAGCCTCCCGAGTAGCTGGGATTACAGGCATGCGCCACCACACCCGGCTAATTTTGTATTTTTAGTAGAGACAGGGTTTCTCCATGTTGGTCAGGCTGGTCTTGACCTCCTGATCTCAGGTGATCCGCCAGCCTCGGCCTCCCAAAGTGCTGAAATTACAGGCATGAGCCACCACACCTGGCCAGCAATTTTTTTTTTTTTTTTTTTTTTTTGAGACAGAGTCTTGTTCTGCTGCCCAGGCTGGAGTGCAGTGGCACAATATTGGCTTACTACAACCTCTTCCTCCTGAGTTCATGCAATTCTTATGACTCAACCTCCTGAGTAGCTGAGACCACAGGCATGTGCCACCATGCTCGGCTGGTTCATAAAGCAATTGTGATGCTAGAACTCAACAAGGGGTAAAGCCACAGTGGGTTGGGAAAATGTGTGCATTCACTGAATCTAAGGAGAAAAGGGAGCTGCCTGGGCTGTCCCTACTGTCTCTTTGAACTGTGGGTCTGTAGCACCTGTCGTAATAGAGTCCTATGAATTAATATGCAGAAAAAAGTTAACATTAGCAGTCCTGAGGCTGTGTATCCTTGAAAATGCCTGTTCCCAAAGTGTAATCTTTGATGACATTGTTAGAGAAGGCAGATAGCTACCCAAGAGCAGGAGAGAGAGTCCCTGGGACATCCCACACCCCAGGGACCACCCAAATCCGGCATGCTAGATAGAAGCAGAGAGGAGGGGAGACACCTAAGTAGAAAGAAACATCCATTATGATGCCCAGGAATCATTCAGTTTGCAGTTATCCTGTCAGAGTGTAGCTAGATAGATGCTGATAACAAGGGCAGATGGGACATTCCTAAGAAAAACCTGGCACTGTAAGTACACAAGAGGGCAAACAAGAAACTCCAGTTTATATCCAGGTGTATATATCCAGGTGTAATAAGCATAGATTTAACCACTATACAACCTTCCTGGGGTGGCAGTAATGAGCAGTGCAGCCACCCACATATCCACTGATGACTGAATGGATAAACAAAATGTAGTAAGCATACACATACAATGGGATATTATTTAGTCTTAGAAAGTAACATCTTAAAGGCCGGGGTGCGGTGGCTCACGCCTGTAATCCCAACACTTTGGTAGGCCGAGGCGGGCGGATCACGAGGTCAGGAGATCGACACAGTGAAACCCTGTCTCTACTAAAAATACGAAAAATTGGCTGGACGCGGTGGCGGGCGCCTGTAGTCTCAGCTACTCGGGAGGCTGAGGCAGGAGAATGGCGTGAACCCGGGAAGCGGAACTTGCAGTGAGCCGAGATTGCGCCACTGCAGTCCAGCCTGGGCGACAGAGCAAGACTCTGTCTCAAAAAATAATAATAAAATAAAAAAAAAAATCAATAACATCTTGGCCGGGTGCAGTGGCTCACACCTGTAATCCCAGAACTTTGGGGGGTGTGGGTGGGGCGGAAATCATCTGAGGTTGGGAGTTCGAGACCAGCCTGACCAACATGGAGAAACCCCATCTTTACTAAACATGCGTTTTATCTCAGCTACTCAGGAGAACTGAGGCAGGAGAATCGCTTGAACCCGGGAGGCGGAGGTTGTGGTGAGCTGACATTCCACCATTGCACTCCAGCCTGGGCAACAACAGTAACACTCAGTCTCAACGAGAAAAAAAAAAAAGAAAATAACATCTTGGCCCGTACTATGACATGCAAGAAACATCAGGATAATTGCAAAAGGCAGAACACAATAGAATTCATCTTAGAGAACTTATGTAGATTTCTCCAACTATCTCAACTGTACATGTAAAATTCCTTAAGCTGATAGGTTTTAAGTTTTGTTTCACAGTAAGTAATGAAAATCAATCATGGTAGCAGCCAGGTGTGGTGGCTCATGCCTGTAATCCCAGCACCTTGCAAGGCCAAGGCAGGCGTATCACTTGAGGTCAGCAGTTTAAGATCAGCCTGGCCAACATGGTGTAACTCCATTTCTACTAAAAATACAAAAATTAGCTAGGTGTGGTGGCATGTGCCTGTAGTCCCAGTTACCTGGGAGGCTGAGGTGGGAGAATTGTTTGAATCTGGGAGGTGGAAGTTGCAGTGAGCTGAGATCATGCCCCCGCACTCCAGCCTGGGCGACAGAGCCAGATTACACCCCACCCCCCCGCCCAAAAAAAGGCAAAATATTTCCAACTATACCTCCCCCTAAAGAATGTAATTATGTCAAACAAACATATGACGGGATGCTCAACATTGCATGTTATTAAAGAGTAAATTAAAACAGGCCAGGGGCAGTGGCTCACACCTATAATTGAGCATTTTGGGAGGCCAAGGCGGGTGGATCACCTGAGGTCAGAAATTTGAGACCACCCCGGCCAACATGGTAAAATGTCATCTCTACTAATAATACAAAAATTTATCAGGAGTGGAGGACCACGCCTGTAATCCCAGCTACTTGGGAGGCTGAGTCAGGAGAATTGCTTCAACCTGGGAGGCAGAGGCAGCAGTGAGCTGAGATCATGCCATTGCACTCCAGCCTAGGTAACAAGAACTAGACACAAAACAAAAAACAAAAAAAAAGAGAGAAAGAAAGAAAGAAAGAAGGAAGGAAGGAAGGAAGGAAAGAAAGAAAGAAAGAAAGAAAGAAAGAAAAGAAAGAAAGAAAGAAAGAAAGAAAGAAAGAAAGAAAGAAAGAAAGAAAGAAAGAAAAGAAAGAAGGAAAGAAAGAAAGAAAGAAAACAATGAGGCACCAGCAAACACCTGGTGGGGTAGCCTAAATCCCAAACACTGACACTTCCAAATGCTGGAGACAGTGAACTCTCCTTCACTATGGATGTGAATGGAAAATTCTACAGCCAATTTGGAAGACAGTCTGTGGAGCTCTGAAGAAAATAAGCATGGTCTTACTGATTCAGTAGTCTCAATCCTACATATTAACCTAAATGAACTGAACACTGATGTTCACACAAAAGTCCTCCCACAAACATTTTTAGCAGCCTTACTCATAACTGCCAAAAACTAGAATCAAACAAGGTGAGTCTTTAAAAAAAAAAAAAAAAAATTAACAAGGTCTCACACTGTATCTACCAGGCTGGTCTCTAACTGATGGCCTCAAGCAATCTTCTCACTTCAGTCTCCCATATGCTGGGAATTCAGGGATGAGGCATCACACCAGGCTCAGGATGAGCCTTTCAATAGGTGAATAAAGAAACAAACTATGGTAACACCCATAGAATGGAATGTTAGTGATGAAAGAAAATGAGTGGCCGAACGTGGTGGCTCACAAGAGGAATCCCAGCACTCTGGGAAGCTGAGGTGGGAGAATCACCTGAGCTGAGGAGTTTGAGACCCTGTCTCTCACAAAACAAAATTTTTTTAGATAAATAAAAATAAAAAATAAATGAGTCGTCAAGCAACAAAGGTATCGAGAGACCTTCAAGGCATATTTTTACATGAAAGAAGCAAGTCTGAAATGGCCACTTACAGCATCATTCCAAATATGTGATATTCTGGAAAATGCAAAACTCTAGAGGAAGGAACATCATCATCTGTTGCCAGGGATAAATAGGGGTGGCAAAAGAGGGAGGGGAGAGATAGAATTAGGAGGAGCACAGGGGATTTTGAAGGCAGTGAAACGTTTCTGTATAAGACTGTGATGGTGGATACAAGACACATGTAGTTGTCTTAAACCACAGAACAAAAAGAGTGAAGTTTAATGTAAAAGATGGACTTTAGGTAATAATAATATTGGTTTCTTCAATTTCCATCGTGTTCACATGTAATATATTCTTGCATCAATTGTGGGATATACTACACACAGTCAATATGGTTTAAAATGATTTTTTTTTTTTTTGAAACAGGGTCTTGTTATGTTGCCTAGGCTGAACTCCAACACTGCAGTTCAAGCTGTCCTCTTGCTTCAGCCTCCCTAAGTGGTAGGATTACAGGTATGAGGCACAGCATCTGGCCAGTCAAGATGTTTAAAACAGGGGGAATTATGAGCTTGGAAGAAAAATGTGGGAACTCTGTGGATTATTTGCTCAACGTTTTGGGCAAACAACCACTGTTCTAAATAATAAAATCAATGAAATAAGAAAGTGAATTAACTATCATTCCATGTAAGGTTCATAACTGAGTTAAAATCCAATATAAAATATCACACATTGGTTATCATTTGCATAAAAAATGTGCAAAAATAAAATATACTGATGGGGATGCATACCCAGGTTGTGAAAGTATAAAAAGTAAGGCAATTATCTTATTCCCAATACTGGCTCCATCATTATTTGGATTCATTGTGCAATTCTTTTATGTATTTTGTGCATATGTAATATTTTTACTAAGTTTCTAGAATGCACACTTTATACAAAAATAAATCTCAGTGAATTTCAATTATCAGCCACAACCTGTTGAATGTAATTTTTAAAAGACAACATACTCTATTGAAACTCATTTTTTTCTTTTTTCTTTTCTTCCCTTTTTTTTTCTGAAACAGGGTCTCAGGCTCATTCTGTTGCCCAGGCTGGAGTGTGGTGGTGCAATCATAGCTCACTGCAGCCTCAAACTCCTAGGCTCAACAGATCCTTCTACCTCAGCCTCCTGAGTAGCTGGGACTACAGGTACACATCACCATGACCAGGTATGTTTTTGTATTGACAAAGTTTGCCACGTTACCCAGGCTGGACTAATTTCTTTTCTTTTCTTTTTTTTTTTTTTGAGACAAAGTTTTGCTCTTGTTGCCTGGGCTGGAGTGCAATGACACCATCTTGGCTCACTGCAATCTCTGTCTCCTGGGTTCAAGCGATTCTCCTGCCTCATCCTCCTGAGTAGCTGGGATTACAGGCCTCTGCCACCACGCCTGGCTAATTTTGTATTTTTAGTAGACATGGAAACCTCCACGTTTGTCAGGCTGGTCTCAAACTCCTGAACTGAGGCTATCCATCCACATTGGCCTCCCAAAGTGTTGGGATTAGAGGCGTGAGCCACCGCGCCCGGCCACAAATTTCTATTAAAACTAATTTTCTTGAAGCCCAAAAAAGTCTCAGGAAGGATATAAAATGATTATTATGCAAAAAGTCTACACTGAAAAACATCAATATAAAATGCAATAAATGGAAAAATGTCATGTGTCCTTAAAAGGAGATTAAATAACACTATGATGTAACCTCTTTGAAATACGACTACAGTTATATTTTATTCCATGAAATTTATAAGGCAGTTTGTTTTTTTCACTAAAATTAAGAAAAAAGTACTTCTAAAAACTGAAATAGAAGACAATGACTAAGAACAGCCAAGATGCTCTATAGAATATGGTTGGAGGGTGTTACGGCATGAATATTTGCATCACTCTAAAAAAATCACACATTAATAACCTACCCCCCACTATAGTATTAGAAGTTGACATCTCTGGGAATTAATTAGGATTAGATGAGAGCATAAAGGTAGATGCTTTCCGAATGAGATTAGTGCTCTTATAGGAAGACACAGGACAGCCAGCTTCCTCTCTTTTCTGTCATGTGAAGAAACCACAAGATGACCATCTGCAAACCAGGAAGCGGGCCATTACCAGACACTAGATCTGCCAACTCCCTGAACATGGACTTCACAACCTCAAGAACTGTCAGAAACAAATGTTTATTCTTTAAGTTACCCAGTCTATGGTAATTTGATGTAGCAGCCCAAGATGACTAAGATAGAGAAGCAATATCCCTACTATACACTGCAGCTTTGAACTCTACACTAATTAAGAGAAAATGGTATTAACAGAGAGATGGAAGGACAGACCAATGGAAAACAGCAAATTGTGAGACCAGGGCATCTAGTTTTTTAGTTTTTTTTTTATTTTTTGAAATGAGGTTTCACTCTCCTTGCCCAGGCTGGAGGGCAAAGGCGGGATCTCGGCTCACTGCAACCTCCACCTCCCAGGTTCAAGCGATTCTCCTGCCTCAGCCTCCCAGGTAGCTAGGATTATAGCCATGCGCTGCCATGCTCAGCTAATGCTGTATTTTCAGTACAGATGGGGTTTCACTATATTGGTCAGGCTGGTCTCAAACTCCTGACCTTAGGTGATCTGCCAGCCTCAGCCTCCCAAAGTGTGTGAGCCACTGCACCTGCTCTGGACATCTATTTAAGGTAATATGAAACTATGACAAACCAGGTATTGCCAGCCAATGATACAAGTGGTGAACACTTAACAGAAAAAGCAGGGACAAATGGTTATCTACAGGAGAATAATCAATCTACTACTCATCATCTCCATATACAATAATTTAATTAATTCTAGAGTTACCTGTTACAGTGAATTCTTTTATTTATATGTTACCTTAGCATGCATTTTCTTTATGGATTTAACGTTGTTATAACAGAAGAAAACTTTACTCAAACTCTGAACAGTTTCTGGTTCTCCACCTCCTCCCAGTTCCTCCATGTGGTTAACTCACATATGGGACTTACTCAGCTGCATTCTGGTGACCACCTCCCTGTGGGACAGCTAAATACATCCTTGTTGGAGTGGCCTTTCCTTGTCTTTTGGGATATTTCTCTCTTCACAGTTGAGACAATCCAGAGGACAGGAATCATCTCTGTTTTTCCTCATTAGCAACATCCGATTGGCAGAACAGCCATGTGTCTCCAATTAATGGAAAGTGGAGTTGGGAGACAGAAGCTGAGCACCCCAAGAATTGGTTATGTAGATGAAGAGTATACCAGGCATCTCCTCCACCATAAGGCATTCAGCTGCTCCCTCGGGAGGTCCCACTCCCCTAAGGCACTAATACCCATGAGACCCTCCAGGAGACATGGCAGTTGTGGGGATCTTGAGCCAGCCCCAGGCAATTCTAAAACCCAAAACCAGGAAAAGATAGGAGGGTGTACTGAAGACACATCACCCTGTAAAGTTTCCAGAAAGGAACCTCATCCCAAAGACATCCTGATAAGGTGTCTGTGTCTAGGAAAGATAAAAGGAGGAGAGGCAGAAAGGATTTTTCAGGCAAATGTCTAGTGGTTATTCTCTGCTTTCCTCTCATGTGAAATGTTCAGAAACAGATTTCACTGCAAGCCCTTGAAGAGTTAGGCTGTGGTATGAGGGTGGAGGATTTGAGACGCTGCATCCCATATATTTGGAAAATGTAAGGGGAAACCAGTTGCCCTGGAGAATGTGAAAAAATTTAAATAAGAAGCAATGAGGCCAAACTGTGTGAGGTGTCCTAAGGTCCTACCTAAGGATCCTGAAATCATATTTAAATACAACTCGTGAAAATTACTAATGTATAGGGAAATGAAATTTATGCTTAATCAGGCACAATCCACCAATTAACCGCTGATTACATAACTAGAAATTTTCTACCTATATAGGCTGTGTGAACAAGTAAGTCAGGCCCGGTGCAGTGACTCCCACCTGTAATCCCACCACTTTGGGAGGCCAAGGTGGATGGACCACTTGAGGACAGAAGTTCAAGACCAGCCTGGCGAACGTGATAAAACGCTGTCTTTACTAAAAATAGAAAAATTAGCCGAGTGTGGTGGCACGCACCTGTAATCCCAGCTACTGGAAAGGCTGAGGCCAGAGAATTACTTGAACCCAGAAGGCAGAGGCTGCAGTGAGCTGAGATCACGCCGCTGCACTCCAGCCTAGCCGACAGAGTGAGACCCTGTCTCAAAACAAACAAACAAGCAAAAACAACCAAGTAATTCAAAAATTTAAGCTGATGAATCTCTACATCATCTTGAAGCAATGTGATCATGGGGTTGAGTCACATGACACACAACTTTCACCTAGCTAGCTGGAACCCTCCTTTCCCTGATTACAGATTTGCCTTCTTTCTTACCTATAGTGTTTTGTAAAATGTTGTAAATGACTGAAGGGAAACAGGAAAGACCCTTTCCCTTGTCACTGTCTTTTTAAATTTAATATGATTTTTCACAATTGAGATGGGGTCTCACTATGTTGCCAGGCTGGTCTTCAACTCCTGAGATCAAGCCATCCACCTGCCTCGGCCTCCCAACGTGCTGGGGTTACAGGTGTGAGCCATCCCGCCAGGCCCCTCTCTACTACTGATCTCTATAGTACACTAATTTCCCTCTTAACTTTCTCACACAAAGACTCCATGGCTATCATGTTGTCTTCAGCTAGAATATTAAATTCACTTTTTTAAATTGAAAAGGAAATATAAACCAGCTAGAAAGAAAAGAAAACAAGCTCTGGGGGAAAAAAGCAAACCACTACAAATTAAGTTGTTATCCACATGCATTTGCTCATGTCTATAATCCCAGCACTTTTGGAGGCCAAGGAAGGAGGACTGTTTGAGGCCAGGAGCAAGAGACCAGCCTGAGCAACATATCGAGACCCCACCTCTGTAAAATACAAAAAATTAGCCAGGTGTGCTGGTGGGCAACTGTACTCTCAGCTACTGGGAAGGCTGAGGTGCTTGAGCTGGGGAGGTCAAGGCTGCAGTAAGCCATGATCGCACCACTGCTCCAGCCTGGGCCACAGAGCTAGACATTGTCTCAAAGAAAAAAAAAAATTAAATTATTGTACCTCATACATCAGCCTTCTATGGAAAATGTAATCCTGTTACATTTATTTGCCTTTTGCCTATATAAGTGTTAGGGAAGCAAGTGCCTAGGGGAGCCAGAGAAAGACCAATCAGCTCCATCTTGAGACTAACAAGAAACACTCCTTGCCAGTCACAACCCATGGTCATAACATGTTTGACATTAAGAAAACAGCCTGAAGATGCCTGCAAGTATCCTTACACTCCCACAACGACAGAACATCCGGATGTCCCAATACTCATAATAGTATGTGCTTTCAAGATAATTATAGTTATGTTTTAATGCACTTGTGTGCTAAAAGGTAAAGGATAGTTTTCTTTAAATCAACAGAGTAATAAATTTTGTGACGCTGTCAGCCCACATGCACGTAGGCACAGCTTAGTTTAGTCTTTACATAGACAAGACCCCTACATAACAAAAACTTAGACAGTATGTTCCTCCACTTGCTTTATGAGGATGCCCTACTCTGTAACAGAGAACATTCCTTCTTTTTCTTTTTTCTTTTTTTAAAAATAGAGACAGGGGCCGGACATGGTGGCTCACGCCTGTAATCCCAGCACTTTGGGAGGCCGAGGTGGGTGGATCACGAGGTCAGGAGATTGAGACCATCCTGGCTAACACGGTGAAACCCCGTCTCTACTAAAAATACAAAAAATTAGCCGAGCGTGGTGGCGGGTGCCTGTAGTCCAGCTACTCGGGAGGCTGAGGCAGGAGAATGGCGTGAACCCGGGAGGTGGAGCTTGCAGTGAGCCGAGATCGCGCCACTGCACTCCAGCCTGGGCAACAGAGCGAGACTCCGTCTCAAAAAAAAACAAAATAGAGACAGGGTCTTGCTGTGTTAGCCAGGTTGGTCTTCAACTCTTTCTTGTTTATTTTGTTTTTGTTTTTTGAGATGGGGTCTCACTCTGTTACCCACACTGGAGTGCAGTGGCGAGTCCTCGGCTGGGCTGCAACTTCTGCCTCCTGGGTTCAAGTGATTCTCCCACTTAAGCCTCCCAAGTACCTGCGACTACAGGCACAGGCCACCACACCCAGTTAATTTTTGTTATTTTTGGAAGAGAAGAGGTTTCGCTATGTTGCCCAGGGTGGTCTCGAACTCTTGACCTCAAGTGATCCTCCCGCCTTGGCCTTGAAAAGTGCTTGAATTACAGGCCTAAGCCATCATGCTGGCCCAGAGTAGCTTTCAATAAACTCTCTACACACTGTACATTGCGACTTGTCTTGAATTCCTTCCTGTGTGAGATCCAAGAACCCTCTTGGGGTCTGATGAGGACCTCTTTTCCTGGTAATATAAAGCCAGAACTTAACTTCCAATTTTGGAGGACTGAGTCCTTTTCTCTAGAGTCTGTGTTTTTCCTGTTTGGGCCATTGCTATCTTTCTGCTTGAATAAACTCTTCCAGCTGAAATCTGAACCTTTCGATTATTTCGGAGTGACAAGTCCAAATAAGGCAACTGCATCTCTGCAACCAATCAAGCATTTATCTCATTTGTCTCCTCATGTACCTTATAAAAGCCCAGTCTTCAACCTGCAAACTTAAAAACATACCTTGCGGCCAGGCGAGGTGGCTCACATCTGTAATCCCCGCACACTGGGAGGCCGAGGCAGGTGGATCACTTGAGGTCAGGAGTTTGAGAATAGCCTGGCCAACATGGTGAAGCCCAATCTTTACTAAAAATACAAAAATTAGCCAGGCATGGTGGTGCATGTCTGTAATCCCAGCTACTCAGGAAGCTGAGGCAGGAGAATTGCTTGAACCCAGAAGGCAAAGGCTGCTGTGAGCCGAGATCCAGCCATTGCACTCCAGCCTGGGCGACAGAAGGAGATTCTGTCTCAAACAAAAACAAAAACAAACAAAGTACCTTCCCAGTTAAGTGAAGTGACTGGCTCTTGGCCAAGGGAACCCCCAAAAAACCCTGAAAATTGAGTGCCTCTGTATGACAGGATGGCAGGTGAGACAGGTCTCCTTATACCCTCTCCCTTTAGGAGTTTACATGCAGCAACTGACGCACATTCATGTAAAAACAGACATTATCTGACTGGAAAAACAGACTCCTTGTGGCAAGAAGATACCAAATTACAAACAAGACCTAAGGCCACGCAAGGTAAGGGTAAGTCATGCCTTGGAATTCATAAAATCTCGAGAAACAGGTCTGTTTTTTGGCTGGGATGGAATCAAGTGGCAGATAACAGACCCCCTTCCTTCAGCATTCCTTCCTACCTCCTCCAAACTTTAGACAAACTTCACACTCTCAATCAACTGCCACCTACAGAATCCCTCAACCACCTGTGCCTTCTAACCCCCCTTCCACAGGTCCCGCCCTTTCTGCCAATGGAACTTACACCTTCCAGGCACTGATTCATGATTTTCCCTGCAATTCCTGTCTCTCTGAAATGAATAAAACCAAATTGTCTTGAGCCGCCTCGGGACCACTCACTATAGGCTTCTTGGGGTTGTGTTTCCCTTGCCAAGGTCTCTCCTATTTGGCTACGAATAAACTTTATTTTACATTGTTTGGCTTTTTCAGTTGACAAACCACAAGCCAGGACTGGGTGGTTCTCATTACTGAATTGCTGTTTGCTCAAATGAACTCTTTAATTGTTAATGTACTTCAGTTTAATTTTTAACAGGAGAAAGTGGGAACTGGGGGCCCCACAGACCACTGCTCCTCCCACGCACGAACCCTACACACGAGTCAGGATTTCCCCCATGACCCTCTCGTGGCTTCCGCATAATCTGGGGAGACGCGGGGCTGCGGGCGCGGAACTGCCCAGAGAGGGCTCCGGGGCGGGGCCGCAGTCACCGCGCAGGGACAGGACAGGACACCCGGGGTCCCGGCTGCCAGCCCAGCCCCATCCAGCGGCCGAGGGGACCGAGGGCCGAGCAGCTCCAGGAGGACTCGGTCCCAGACCCTGGAGTCGCCCGCAGGGAGGCCCGGGTCCCGCCGCAGCCGGTTCCGGCCGGTTCCAGGCAGCCTCTACCCCGTCTCGGGACAACCGGCTATGCACACGCACCATTTCCTGGCTTTCAGATGTCCTGGGGTCCTCTCTACAGCTCCTGTGACTACAGAAGGGCACAGCGCAGGAGACAGAGCGATAGAAACCTGGGTAGAGGTACCAGGTCCCTCTCGGGGATGGATACAGCGGATATCAACCACCGGCTGCGCAAGGACAAAGGTGAGGACAGGAATGCGACCCACTCTGTGCCTGGATAAACAATGGGCAGGGCCCTGCCCCGGCACCTCTGATTGGATGGAATGCTAGGCCCCGCCCCTCACTTCTGAGTGACAGCGGAAGCCTTGGGTATCAGGCCCGGCAGAGCCAGACTGACTTGACGGATTCTAGCCACAGCTTCTCTAAGGGCGAGGTGCTTCCTGTACTCTGATTATTGGATATTTGCATTTCAGCCAGACTTGCTACAGATATAAGAGAACACTAGCGTCTTCCTCACTCAAGGGATTTTCCCCGCTCCTTCGTTCTGCACGGGGTCACAGGAGTGTGCAGGGAATTTCAGACTCAGTGTCCATAGGAGCCATCTGCTGGCCTCAGAGCAGCAGGGGAACCGAGACCAGGCCAGGCACGACTGCATCAGGAGAGGCACATGTCCTTGAGCGGGCCGGAATTGGGAATGAGGCATGGCCAAGCCTTGCTCACACACCCCCATCCCCTCCTCACAGTGTGAAAATGCTCCCTGCTTCCAGATCTTCATTTTCACCAGCAGGAAACTCTCACCTGGGGTTAATTTAACCTTCTGACCTAAATAAACTGTCAACTTCATGAACCCTTTATCCAGGTGTCGCCCCCAAACAATTCTGTCTCTAGCCTGATATTCACACATTCTCTTTATATATACAAACAACTCTGCCTCCAGCGACCCCATGCGTGTCAAACCCCAAACCCTGCCCAGAAGACAGCCCCAGGCTCCAGAGGTACAACACCAGAAAGGACAGAACCCCACAAAGGCGTCTGCACGTCTCTTCTGCTTTCCAGGGCTCTGCAGCTTCTCGGAATCCACACTCCTTCTGGAGCTGCTCTGAGCGGCTGGAGGCCACTTGTAGGGGAGGGCGGGCTGCCCGGGAAGACCCCAGGGAATCTCTCTTTCTCTTCCTTTGCAGGATCCACACTGGCCTCGGCGTGGAGTCACTGGCCTGGGGCTCTGCTGCCCCCTGCAGGTTATTCAGCTACTTCTCACCCGACTGATCAGTTCCATGAGACAAACACCCTCAAACCCCTGCTCTCCTCCTATGTTTATGTATAAAATGGGCGAGGAAAATTCTAAGATAACTTAAGTGCATTTAAAAGACTTTCAGATCGCGGTGGAGGTGGCAGCTGAGGGTCCCCTGATCAGTGACACTGCAGCAACTCCAGGCCTGGAGAGAGGGTGGAGAGCTGGAGCTGGATGTGGACAGGTGGAGGGAGCTACTCTGGGAACTGGGCTCTACAGCAGCGCGGATCTAGGGCCCGGAGCCCGGGAGAGCAGAGATGGGGGCTCCCGGGACAGGACGCTTGGGGAGAAGAGAGTCGGGCGGTTTCCATGGGACGGGGGTGCTGTGGCAGCTGGTGTGGGCCTGTGGCTATCATAACTAAGCCCGATTGGGACGTGAAAACTTGGATTCCGTGGGAATTTATGAAGAGGAAGGCTCTGATGACAAAGAAGTCATTGATGAGGAGGGGGAAGAGAGTCACCGGCAAGCTCACCCCCTTATGGAAAGAAAAGTGAACGCTCAACCACTGCTGCAAAATGGGGTCAAAGGATGAGAGTATCACTGTGAGGGAATAAACTGCTGCATAACTCTGAGAGATTGCAAAAACCTTTCAACAACAGCCTGGGAGGCCGGATACCATGGCTCACGCCTGTAATCCCAACATTTTGGGAGGCCAAAGTGGGAGGAGCACTTGAAGACAGAAGTTGGAGATCACCCTGAGCAGTGAAGTGAGACCCTCCCAACTCCATACATCTTTGTTTAGAATTAGCCTGGAGAGGTGGTGTGTACCTATAGTCTCAGCTAGTCAGGAGGCTGAGGCAGGAGGATCACTTGAGCCTCAAAGTTTGAGGCTGCTGTGAGCTATGATCAGGCTACTGCACTTCAGCAAGACACTGTCTCAAAACACACACACACACACACACACACACACACTCTCTCTCTCTCTCACCAAACTACCTGGGGAAACCCTGACCCCCTTGGATGGTCTAATTGTAAAACATAACAGGTGGTGATATTTCCTCATCGACTGGATCATTCCGCCACATAAGAGGCTTGGCCTACTGAGGATTTACCAGGCAGGATGACCTCCTTGCAGTCAATGGAAAAAGCCCCTGGTGAAACCATCCCTTTAAACTTTATCAAATTCATCAGGGAGGATGGGAGGAGGAAAACTTAAACCAAGCTTGCAGCACCTTCAGCATTAATCATTAAGTCAGCTTGTTCTCTGACCTTCCTCATATTTGTTTCATACCTAGTGTCCTAGAATCCCACAGACCCTAAATGATAGTTCCGGTTAACTGCTCTATAGATACCAACTTGAACATTAGATGTTCTCCCTTTGAAATATATCTGTTTCAGGGCTGGGAGTATTGGTCCATGACTGTAATCTCAGCACTTTGGGAGGCTGAGGTGGGGGGGGGTCACTTGAGCCTGGGAGTTCAAGAACAGCCTGGGCAATATAGTGAGACTCCATATGTACAAAAAAATTTAAAAACAGTCGGGCATGTTGGCATGTGCCTTTATTCCCAGCTACTTGGGAGGCTAAGGCAGGAGGATCCCTTGAGCCCAGGAGTTTCTGCAGTGAGCTATGATCCCACCACTGCACTCCAGCCTGGGAAACAGGACATGGAGATGAAACCAGAAAGTCTTGTATTGAACAAGTGCTGGCAGTATATAATGCTTTCCAGCAGGTAGAATCCTTAAGAAAGAATCTTTCTCTCACTATGAGAGTGGGAGTATCATGCCCGGCTAATTTTTTGTATTTTTAGTAGAGACAGCGTTTCACCATGTTGTCCAGGCTGGTCTTGAACTCCTGAGCTCAGGTGATCCACCCCCCTCAGCCTCCCAAGTGCTGGGATTACAGGTGTGAGCCACCACGCCCGTCCTCCCACTAAGTTTCGTTCATTTGGCCGAGCACAGTTTCTTACGCCTTAATCCCAGCACTGGGGTGGCCAAGGCAGATAGATCGCTGGAGACCAAAATCTTGGGCTATGACCACCCTGGGCAACATAGTGAGACCTAGTTTCTATTTATTTTTATTTAAAAAAGAAAACAATATATATGTGTGTGTGTGTGTGTGTGTGTGTGTGTGTGTGTGTAAAAGAGGCCAAGCGTGGTGGTTCACGCCTATAATCCTAGCACTTTGGAAAGCCGAGGCAGGTGGATCACCTGAGGTCAAGAGTTCGAGACCAGCCTGGCCAACATGGTGAAACCCCATCTCTAACTAACAATACAAAAATTATCCAGATGTGGTGGCACGCACCTGTAATCCCAGCTACTCTGGAGGCTGAGGCAGGAGAATCCCTTGAACTCAGGAGGCAGAAGTTGCAGAGAGTTGAGATCGCGCCATTGTACTCCAGCCTAGGCAACAGAGCACAAACTCCATCTCAGAAAAAGAAAAAGAAAGTTTCCTTTTTGTCCCTAGCTGTTAGGCTATCACTACTATTACCAGCAGTTTCCTGTGAAGCAAACCTATTCTCACAATGGGTCCAAGAGGAAAAGCAGAAAATTTGGAGACATTCCAGGTAGATCCAAATGCAGCACTTGTATGACAGTATATGGTTAATGTGAGGACTCTTGGGGTGACTTAGCTCAGGCTAGTATAACAAAACACCATGGACTCAGTTTCTTAAACAGCAGAAATTTGTTTCTCACAGTTCTGGAGCTTGGGGAATCCAAAATCTTGCTGCCAGCAATTTTGTTCCTAGTGAAGGCTATCTTCCTGGCTTGCAGCTAGATGCCTTCTTGCTTTGTCCTCACATGTTGGAGAGACAGAGTTCTCTCTCTCTCTCACTAATCCCATTATGAGGGCCCTCTTTTATAAATGTTATGTGATATCCTAAAAGGTTCGTCGTGTCCAAATATGACCGTGTTGGGGTTTAGGGCTTGTACATATAAATTTTGTTTTTAAGACAGGGTCTCCCTCTGTGGCGCTGGCTGGTTTTAAATTCCTGGGCTCAAGGGATCCTCCTGCCTCGGCCTCCCAAAGTGCTGGGATTACAGGTGTGAGTCACCACACCTGGCCTCTAAGTATATATTTCGAGGAGAGTAAATGCAAGACATGCCAAGGGGCAAATGGAAGTCTATAAAAGAGGCTTTGGAGACAATGTAATCAGACAGGACTTTATCACATAGCAGATGGGGAGCAAGAGTCAAGGAATGAGGTCCAATTTCAGAATGGCAGAAAGAAGGGACATCGAGGTAGCTGTATGACTGTATGAAGGAGCAAAATGCATGCCAGGGCCACTACATGGTAAATTATTTTAATTAGGTAAAAAATGAGAATAAGAAAGAAAAACAAGTAGTCATAATGAAAATGAAAAACAGAATAACCTTGGTTAGTATGCAGTTGTTAAAGATTTTAAATAAAATATTTGTCAGAAACATGTACAGATATCTTGGTTTAAAAAAAAAAAAAAACCGCTCATTGCTGAGCGTGGTGGATCATGTCTGCAATCCTAGCACCTTGGGAGGCGAAGGCAGGAGGATTCATTGAGCCCAGGAGTTTGAGACCAGCCTGGGCAAAACACTGAGACCCCTGTCTCTACAAAAAACTTTTAAAAATTATCTGGGCAGAAAGCTGAGGTGAGAGGATTGCTCAAGCCTAGGAGCTTAATGCTGCAGTGGGCAGTGAGTGGCCACACCACTGCACTCCAGCTGGGCTACAGAGCAAGGTTGTCTCAAATTAAAAACAAGAAAACAAGAGACGGGCGCAGTGGCGCACGCCTGTAATCCCAGCACTTTGGGAGGCCAAGGCGGGCAGATCACGAGTTCAAGAGATTGAGACCATCCTGGCCAACATGGTGAAACCCCATCTCTACTAAAAATACAAAAATTAGCTGGGGGTGGTGGTATGCGCCCCGGGACGCTAAGGCACGAGAATTATTTGAACCTAGGAGGCAGAGGTTGCAGTGAGGTGAGATCACGCCACTGAACTCCAGCCTGGACAACAGAGCCAAACTCTTGTCTAAAAAAAAAAAAAAGAAAAAAAAAACACTACAAATTAGTCAAATGTAAGAGGATGACTGGGAACTGCAACACAGAAGATGAAAGATCATATAGGAAAAATGCTCAACCAATGGCAACCAGTGAAAAAATACATAATCTTACAGAGATTCTACTTAAGAGTAGATGGGCAACAAAAAGTGAGTTAGATAATTCAAAGTGTTGACAAATCACAAGAATAAAGACACGTGCATGAAAGGTGAGATGGTTAATTCAGAAGTTACATTCATACTCTATCGACATTTCATAGTAAATTTGAATTTATCCATAATCTACAAGCCAGCAATTATTTCCAATTAGGGACAAAAACAAGAAGAGTACTATCAATAAGATCAAAAGATAGACTTGAACCAACTCAAGTCCCATTAAGCAGCGAAATAAGAGAATCAATTACATGACCCACAACTTCACAGAGCAGCATGTCTACAACAGGCTCAGGCAAAAAACCCAGAAACACACCCTCTCAGCATAATACTAATGGTGTATTAATGGTAACATTATGTTACTGAGAATTCAAAAGTGGGAAAATTCTGCTTTGTGACAAAGAGATGACAAAGATACAAAGAATAACAAAAAGAATCAAAACTTTGATCACCTTTGCATATCAAAAATAAGTGAGACCAAGGAGACACACCAGAACTGCCCAAGGCCTATTTATTTTTTGGGGTGGTATGTGTCTGAGTATTCATATTGTTATTATTTTGACTTGGCATAAAACAGCTTATTAAAAAACTATTTCCTTCTGCAAAGGTTACCAAACTACTCATTAAGGTTCCAACCAGCTAATTAAAATCCTAACACCCAAATCATAAAACAAAATTCTCAGATGTGGCCAGGTGCAATGGCTCATGCCTGAAATCCCAGAACTTTGGGAGGCTGAGGCAGGTGGATCACTTGAGGTCAGGACTTTGAGACCAGCCTGGTCAACATGGTGAAACCCTGTCACTACTAAAAACACACACAAAAATGAGCAAGGTGTGGTGTCATGTGCCTGTAGTCCCAGCAACTTGGGAGGCTGAGCAAAGAGAATCGCTTGAACCTGGGAGGCAGAGGTTGCAGTGAGCCGAGATCACGCCACTGCACTCTAGCCTGGGCGACAGAGTGAGATTCTGTTTGAAAAATAAATAAATAAATAAATGAGCAAACAAACGAATGAATGATCTGATGCATGCAGAAAGAGCAATTCCATGGTAGCAAGATTCTATAAAAGAAACAAAACGGAGGCAGCTCAGGTAGGCAGCCTGCCTCACCCACAGCTCACAAGGAAACCCACACTCCAATAGTTACACATTCCCAAGCTTAGGAACCACTTGGACTGTGGAGACACAGGCCAGGCTGGCCCACTCCTAGGCAGTGTGTGAGGGAAATGTGAGCAGCCAGAAAATTAATTCTGGGACTTCTACTAACACCCTTGTAGCCCCTCCCCACAGTGTGGACACAGTCCTTCCACCGGGGTCTCAATGCCCACCAAAGACCACTCGCTCACTGTGAGTCAGTGGAAGGTTCTGACCTATGGTGTCTTTTGTTTCTGACACCAGATGTGTGGTGCTTGCTGAACACCAGCGAATTCTCCAGCACTAAGCAGTCATGCAACCACTCAATTCAGAAGCCACCCAGAGTTAGCAGAGACTCCATGAGTTCCTGGCTCACCCAACACAGCCCCACTCAGCAGATGCCACTCAAAGCCCTAGGGGCCACCTGTACTTCTCAGCAACTGCATCTAGACCTGGGTCCTGTACAACACCTTACTCAAGTTCCATAATTTGATAGAACTACCCACAGTTCACTTATATTTACCCACTTACTATGAAGGATACAACTCAGGACGAGTCAAATCAGAGACATGGATAGAAAAAGAGTAAGGGGTGTGGAAAGGAGATGGGGGTGGGTGGGCAATCCTGAAAATGGCTGTGATTCATGAAATCCCCCATCCTTTGTGTTGTGCAAGAGCACCTTACTACAATGAAACAAGCTTCCCATGGTGAATTAGATGGTGCCACGTTTGTTACCTATGACAAACCAGACACCCACTAGATATTCCAGTATTTACCTCACAAACCATTAGGTGAACAGTTTTCTCTTTAGTGATCTTTAGTCAAAATGAAATATCTATCTACCAAAGCATGCTTCAGTTTCTCTCCTTCCTCCAGGTCCCTGAACTTTTTTCTTTTTTTGAGACAGTCTTGTTCTGTAGCCCAGGCTGGAGTGCAGTAGCATGATCTTGGCTCACTGCAACCTCCGCCTCCCTGGTTCAAGTGATTCTCATGCCTCAGTCACCAGACTAGCTGGTGTTACAGGTGTGTGCCACCACACCCAGCTAATTTTTATATTTTTCATAGAGATGGTGTTTCACCATGCTGGCCAGGGTGGTCTTGAACTCCTGATCTCAAGTGATCTGCCCATCTCAGCCTCCCAAAGTGCTGGGATTACAGGCATGAGCCACCACACCCAGCCACCCCTGAATTTTTGACTGATCCCTTCTAGGCTTATATGCAACCCCACTTTATGTATTTATTTAATATTTTTATTTTTACTTGCAAGTTCAGTACCTAGACTCTTTTTATGACCTCTCCTAATGACAAGCTGATTTCAGGGTCATTAAGGTAATTAAAAGTTACTTCTTGGCTGAGCACGGTGGCTCACGCCTGTAATCCCAGCACTTTGGGAGGCCGAAGCAGGCAGATCACGAGGTCAGGAGATTGAGATCATCCTGGCTAACATGGTGAAACCCCATCTCTACTAAAAAAAATAGAAAAAATTAACTGGGCATGGTGGCGGGCGCCTGTAGTCCCAGCTACTCGGGAGGCTGAGGTAGGAGAATGGCATGAAACCGGGAGGTGGAGGTTGCAGTGAGCTGAGATCGTGCCACTGCACTCCAGCCTGGGCGACAGAGCGAGACCCCATCTCAAAAAAAAAAAAAAAAAACTTATTTCTTACTGAAACCTACATTTGTTTCACTAGAAACGTCTAGGAAAAGCTCCATGACAAAAACTGTCACTTGCGGAGGGCATCACTGAGTACTGTATCTGCCTGTGGATCCCTAGCTTTCCAGGGATCTGAGGTTCTGTCAGTATAAAGCGCTCCTCCCATGGTCAATTTGAGCAGCTGAAAACACCTGCAGTGGGAGCACCATGGGAAGAACCAGGTGAGCTTTATTTATTTTTTTGGAGAGTCTTGCTCAGTCATCCAATCTGAAGTGCAATGGTGTGATCTTGGCTCACTGCAGCCTCCGCCCCGAGTTCAAGCAGTTCTCATGCCTCAGCCTCCCGAATGGCTGAGATTACAGGCTTGAGCCCCTACACCTGGCTAATTTTTGTATTTTTAGTAGAGATGGGGTTTCGCCATTTTGGCCAGGTTGGTATCAAACTCCTTACCTGAGATGCTCCATCTGCCTTGGCCTCCCAAAGTGCTGGGATTACAGGTGTGAGCCACTGCGCCTGGTGTGAGCTTTCAATGACCTCTCTTTGTAGGTTTCTCACTGGCTTTAGTTTGCAGTCACTGGACTCAGGCCTCTGTTTCAATGAGAAAATACCCAGTGTTTGAAGAATCCGGCAAAATCTCTCAAACTCGGTTTATTATAGGCTGGAAGGAAATTATAAGGCACTTACCTATCACCCCTCATCAGGGAAAGTATCTAACCCTTTCACTCAATAAACATATTGAGAAATGTGTTTACGCTACCATGTAATTGCTCCTTCCGTGTGCATGTCAAAAAGATTAACTCTCTTCCTTGTTCTTGGGCTATAAGTCATTAGAAAACACTGAGAAGTGCCAGAGGTAGGATCCTTTTGATACCACTACCCCTCCTTACAAAAAGTTAAAGCAATCATCCTTGAAATTTGGTAAGCTGCAATTTGGCAAGCGGCAACCAATGAAATCATTGAAATATATGCATTGGCTTTGTATGGAAAATGTAACCCTATTAAGCATCTTCATTTTGCCCTACAGAAGTGAAGACTTAACTTCTCCAGTTAAGAGTGGGAGCAGTGACCCCACTCTTCAGGATGTGTTTCCCCAGTGGCTACCCTCAAACTTTGTGTTCACATAAACTCAATATTTAATCATATTATCTGAATTTTATTATCTTATTAAGGTGGACATTATTACTTCATTATGATTTCCATAACAAAGCACATACTACACATTAACCATATGTGAATATAAACATATCACAACAGTTGCCAGCCAGGTCTTACCCCACAGATAACAGGAAGAGAAGAGTTATCCACCGTTACAAGTTCTCCAACCTGCAAAGGAGGACTGATATTTTTCCGAATCTTTGTAATTCACTGATTATCTACTATACTTTGTTGTAGAAGTTTATTCCTTTTCTCCAGCTGTAATAAAAGATTTTCCCTATTTCTTTTCCCAAGCAGCATTCCCAAAGCTAAGCCCTGAAACTGTTAGAAATGATGCATAAATGGCCAGGCACGGTGGCTCACACCTGTAATCCCAGCACTTTGGGCATGGTGGCGTGCACCTGTGGTCTCAGCTATTAGGGAGGCTGAGGTGGAAGGATAGCTTAAGCCTGGAAGATGAAGGCTGCAGTGAGCTGAGATTGTGCCACTGCATTCCAGCCTGGGCACCAGAGCCAGACCTTGTCTCAAAAAAAAAAAAAAAGAAAGAAAGAAAAAGAAATCATCCACGAAAAAGGATAGACCAAGAAATGTACTACACGGCCTCTAAGGAAGAAAAAAATTAAACAAGAATTTTCAGGCTGGGCACGGTATCTCACGCCTGTATCCCAGCATTTTCGGATGCCGAGGTGGGCGGATCACAAGGTCAGGAATTTGAGACCAGCTTACCCAATATGGTGAAATCCAGTCTCTACTAAAAATACAAAAATTAGCCAGGCATGGTGGTATGCGCCTGTAGTCCCAGCTACTCAGGAGGCTGAGGCAGGAGAATCACTTGAACCTGGGAGGCAGAAGTTGCAGTGAGCCAAGATTGAGCCATTGCATTCCAGCCTGGGCAACAAGAGTAAAGCTTTGTCTCAAAAAAAAAAAAAAAAAAAAAAAAATTTTTTTGAAACAAACTCTATATAAGACAAATGATATTTTTCTGAAATCTGTCTTTATCTGGGCTCTGTGCAAAATTTTCTTATCTTTCCAATTGTAATGAAAATGCAATTTACAATTCATTAAAAAAAATCTGAAGCTGCAATAAGTGAACAATTTTTTTTGTTTTTTGTTTTTTAACAAAGGCCCTCACTCAATTACCCAGGCTGGAGTGCAGGGGCACAATCACAGCTCACTGCAGCATCAACCTCCCAGGCTTTGGTTCTCCTTCTGCCTCAGCCTCCTGGATATGGTATGTGCCACCACATCCAGCTAATTTTTTGTATTTTTTGTAGAGAGAGGGAATCGTCATGTTGCTGTGGCTGGTCTTGAGCTCCTGGGCTCAAGTGATCCTCCTGCCTTGGCCTCCCAAATTGTTGGGATTACAGATGTGAGCCACTGTGCCCAGCAATGAATAATTCTTTATAAGGAGACAAACCTTGTCTGGGCATGGTGGCTCATGCCTCGAATCCCAGCACTTTGGGAGGCTGAGCTGGGAGGACTGCTTGAGACAAACAATTAGAGAGCAACCCAAGCAACATAGCATAATCCTGACTCTATTACTTAAAATTCTAAATGAAAGTCTGAATGAAAAGCAGAATTTCCCACCTATTCTCTCTGAGGGAGCCTTCATCTGCATAAAAAGGTCTGCTTTGCTAGCCAAGCTTCTTCCTTTCCTCTTGCAGAATCTGTCTTGCTATTAAACTTGACTTACCCATCAAACCTGGGATTTTTTGGCCATGCCACATCTGCATTCTTTCCTACCCTGGAATGGTATATAAGTTTTTGTCTTATTGTTGGGTGGGTCTTCATTCTGAAGGCTCCCATATATACATGTTAAATAAATTTGTATAACTTTTCTCCTATTAATCTGCTTAACTTCCTTGATCTGAAATTTTTTTCCTGTTTTTTCACCTTGTTTTATAAAAAAAGCACAAAAGTAAAACATGCATACGTAAAAATGAGCATTTTCATACCTCATAAATCAAGGTATTTTCCATATATAACCAGAAAATGCTGTTCATATTTAATAATTCCTTAACATCAACACAGAGTAATATTAAAACCTTATTAATTGTGTAAAGTGGAATTCTGAAAGCTTACCTTTGAATACATTTCATTTTCTCTGTTACACATTGAAGAAAGTGTGATGTTATGGTATGTATTTGTTTTCATCCAGGGTAATGTTGGGTGTGTTAGGCCTCTGGGGAAGGCCCCTGACCTGCTGCCCTCTTTCCACTCAATGTTTCCCCACCTTTTTTATTGTGGGTCTTAAAACCCTCCCATGAGAGGGTCCCACTGACTTTGTGAAGAGTTTTAGTCTTGGAAATACTCATGATATTCCCTATCTGTAGCTGTTTGTCTCAAGTTAGTTCAGAATAAACCACGAGTGTGTGGATTGCTAAAATAACTTATTTCTAAATGCTGCAAGTCAAAAATTGCAGATTTCCTTGTCTAACCAGATGCAGAAAAGCATATGTTATAAAGGATCAGGACTCCAACAGGAACCAACATCACTGCCTTCTAAAATTAGTGGCCTTCCTGGCATATGAACACCCTTTGGGCCTGTGCTCCAGTGTCTCTTTGGGTTGCTCCTTGGGCTCTTTGTGAAGGATCAAGACACCCCCGTAGTCTAGGCCAATGTCAGGCTCTCCAGTGTGTCCTGTTCATCACCCTCACCCTGCACTTCTATTGTTACTGTCTTTGGCTATTCCAACACTGTGCTTGCATCCTGTGGAAAGTCACATTTGGGGTCAAGTGGATGGTGGTGTTTCTACTCTTTGGTGAAAAGTATCAGGGTGCATTTGGCCTTCAAGGCAGAAGGATGAGACAGGGGTTAGATCCAGGTGCACCCAACTCTTTTTTAATTTTTTTTGTGTGTGTGTGATGGAGTCTCGCTCTGTTGATCAGGCTAGAGAGTGCAGTGGCGTGATCTCAGTTCAGTGTAACATCTGCCTCCCAGGCTCAAGTGATTCTCCTGTCTCAGCCTCCTGAGTAGCTGCGATTACAGGCACACACCACGATGCCCAGCTAATTTTTGTATTTTTAGTAGAGATGGGGTTTCACCATGTTGGCCAGGCTGGTCTTCAACTCCTGACCTCAAGTGATCCACCTGCCTCAGCCTCCCAAAGTGCTGGGATTACAGGTGTGAGCCACTGCACCTGGTCAGGTGCCCCCATCTCTGCCACTGCCCTGTCTTCCCTGCTGTGAGTCACTTTGTGTGATCTGACAATCAATGACTCCACCCTTCACTGATGAGGATGCATTATCTGAGACTGGGTATGTCATCTCCACACACAGATAGGGTTTGGTCAATGATTGATGCTGCATCCTTTGGTGCCTGGATTTTGACAGTGTTTTTTAAATAAGGGTTTCTGAAGAGCAGCTTCATTGGTACCTTAAGGGAAGTGACTGAATTGTTCTATGCCATTGCATAATATATAAAAGTTACTTTTCCACGTTGCTGTTAACTTTACACTGCTGAGATAAGCAGGCTGTTGACAAGTTAGCATCAACAGCACATTATCAGAGAAAGAAAGGCTTGTATTCAGACAATTTACACAACTGTATTAGCTTCCTATGACTTAGTAAAACAATTTGAAAAAATATAGCTTTATAAGGCATAAATGAATTTGTATGTTTTAACTAAGGTACTTTCTAGTAAACAGTGCCCATACATTTTAGGAAATATTTTAGTCTTTAGAGAATAAGTAAGGCAAAACCCGGTCCAAGAGTCTAGAGCTGACCTCCCCTCATCACAAGGCCAAGTCTTTTTTTTTGAGATGGAGTTTCACTCTTGTTGCCCATGCAGGAGTGCAATGGCGCCATCTTGGCTCACTGCAACCTCTGCCCTCCCCCGAGATTCAAGCGATTCTCCTGTCTCAGCCTCCTGACTAGCTAGGATTACAGGAGCATGCAACCACACCTGGCTAATTTTTGTAATTTTAGTAGAGATGGGGTTTCATCATATTGGTCAGGCTGGTCTCAAAGTATTGACCTCAGGTGATCCGCCTGCCTCAGCCTCCCAATGTGCTGTGATTACAGGCGTGAGCCACAGTGTCTGGCCAAGGCCAAGGCTTTTACCATTGGAGAGACACAAGTCACATACCGGGCATATGAGACGATGCTCCTCAGTGACCATGATGGATCAGGACAAAAAAAGAGAATATTTTATAACTATATTTCTAAATGTGATAAAAGAAAACATATTTCAAATCATAAACATGACCAAAATTTTTCTCTTCTTACTAATGTGACTTGTAATTCTCATACATCCCACAGTCATTTATGACTTGTGGTCATATTTACCACTACAGTATATTACACCCTTGCTGACAGCAGGTATGGCACTGGTGGTTTTGGGGAAGAAGGCACTCAGAGGTATATGAGATAACTTTTGGCATAATGAGTGAATGAAAAATTAGGGTTGAGGCCGGGCCCAGTGGCTCATGTCTGTAATCCCAGTACTTTAGGAAGCCGAGGTGGGCAGATCACGAGGTCCGGAGTTTGAGACCAGTCTGGCTAATATGGTGAAATCCCATCTCTACTAAAAAAATACGAATACTAGCTGGGTGAGGTGGGGCACGCCTGTAGTCCCAGCTACTCAGGAGGCTGAAGCAGGAGAATCACTTGAACCTAGGAGGCGGAGGTGGCAGTGAGCTGAGACTGCGCCACTGCACTCTATCCTGGGCGACAGAATGAGACTATCAGAAAAAAAAAAAACAAAAACCAGCAAAATTAGGGTTGAGATAAAAAATAAGTACATAAGCATGAAAAGTAAAATTTCTTTCTTTTTTTTTTTTTTTTTTGGAGATGGAGTCTTGCTCTGTTGCCAGGCTGGAGTGCAGTGGTGTGATCTCTGCTCACTGCAACCTCCGCCTCCCAGGTTCAAGCGATTCTCCTGCCTCAGCCTCCCGAGAAGCTGGGACTACCGGTGCGCGCCACCATGCCCAGCTAATTTTTGTATTTTTAGTAGAGACAGGGTTTCACCACGTTGGTCAGAATGGTCTTGATCTCTTCACCTCGTGATCCGCCTGCCTTGGCCTCCCAAAGTGCTGGGATTACAGGCGTGAGCCACTGTGCCCGGTGCAAAAAGTAAACTTTCCATGAGGAAAAAGATGCCTGGCATTTTATCCACATGGTAATACTGACTCACAATGTCCAAATAATAACAATGTAACATTATAAGCTTGATCTAATACATAAAACCAATGGGATATTTTATTATACCTTCTTATTTAAAAAGAATAACATGTTAGTATACTTATGATAATTGTTTACATTAATTATCTGTATTCAAAGAATCTTGGCAGATCTGAAGGCTTTCCCATACTGCTTACATTCATAGAGTTTCTCCCAAGTGTGAACCCTTCCATGCCGTTGAAGGTGCGAGGCACATCTGAAGGCTTTCCCACATTGCTTACATTCATAGGGTTTCACTCCAGTGTAAGTCCTTTCATGATATCAAACGGAACTAGAATACACTCATAGGGTTTCTCTCCCGTGTGAGTCCTTTCATGACATTGAAAAGAAGTAAAAGGAATGAAGGCTTTCCCACACTGCTTACATTGATAGGGTTTCTCCCCAGTGTGAGTCCTTTCATGATATCGAAAAGAACTGGAAAATGTGAAAGTTTTGCCACATTGCTTGCATTCATAGTGCTTCCTTCCAGTGTGAGTCTATTCATGTCCATAAAAGGAACCAGGCTAGCTGAATGCTTTCCCACAATCCTTACATTCATATGGCTTCTCTCCCATATGAGTCCTTGCGTGTATATGCAAGGAAGAAAAATAATTGAATGCTTTTCCGCATTCCTTACATTCATAGTGTTTCTCTCCAATGTGTGTTCTTGCATGTATTTGAAGAATCTTGGCAGATGTGAATCCATTCCCACAATGCTTACATTCATAGGGCTTCTCTCCTCTGTGCTTCCTTTCATGTATTTGAAAAGAAGAGAATTTACAGAATGCTTTTTCGCATTCCTTACATTCATAGGGTTTCTCTCCAGTGTGAGTCCTTTCATGCATCTGAAGGTTTGAGGCAGATCTGAAGGCTTTCCCACATTGCTTACACTCATAGGGTTTCTCTCCAGTGTGAGTCCTACCATGCTTTCGAAGGTTTGAGGCACAACTGAAGGCTTTCCCACATTGCTTACACTCATAGGGTTTCTCTCCAGTGTGAGTCCTTTCATGCATTCGAAGGTGTGAGGCAGATCTGAAGGCTTTCCCACATTGCTTACACTCATAGGGTTTCTCTCCAGTGTGAGTCCTTTCATGATATCGAAGGGAATTGCAACATCTGAAGGCTTTACCACATTGGTTGCATTCATAGGGTTTCTCTCCAGTGTGAGTTTTTTCATGTGTTTGAAATGACTTGGCAGAATAAAAGCCTTTCTCACATATACTACATTTATAAGGTCTTTCTCCAGAGGGCATTCTTATGTGTTTTTCTGTCCTTTCATGAATTTGAAGGTGCTTCACATATCTGAAGGCTTTCCCACATTCCTTACATTCATAGGGTTTCTCTCCAGTATGAGTCCTACCATGCACTCGAAGGTGTGAGGTAGATCTGAAGGCTTTCCCACATTCCTTACATTCATAGGGTTTCTCTCCAGTGTGAGTCCCACCGTGCACTCGAAGCTGTGAGGCAGATCTGAAGGCTTTCCCACACTGCTTACACTCATAGGGTTTCTCTCCAGTGTGAATCCTTTCATGATATCGAAAGGAACTGGAAAGATTGAAGGCTTTACCACATTGCTTGCATTTATAGCGTTTCTCTCCAGTGTGAGTTTTTTCATGTGTTTGAAATGACTTGGCAGAATAAAAGCCTTTCCCACATATCTTACATTTATAAGGTCTTTCTCCAGAGTTCATTCTTATGTGTGTTTGAAAACTTATAAGATAGGATAAGCCTTCCCCATATTGCTTACATTCATACGGTTTTTTCCCAGAGTGGGTCCTTTCATGTCTACGAAGAGAACTGGTATATGCAAATGCTTTTCCACATTCTTTGCATTGATAAGGCTTCTCTCCCATGTGACTTCTTTCATGTCTATGATAGGAACTAGAACTATGAAATGCTTTATCACATTTGCTACATTCATAGGGCTTCTCCCCAGTGTGAGTTCTTTCATGTATTTGAAGGGTAGCAGAATAAGTAAAGGATTTACCACATTGTTTACATTCATATGGTTTCTCTCCAGTGTGAGTTCTTTCATGGATAAGATATAAACTGAAAGAATGGAAGGCTTTCCCACAAAATTTACATTTATAAGTTCCATCCCCACTGTGCATTACCATGTGTCTTCGAATGCTTGAATGGAAAATAAAGGTTTTTCCACAGACTTTACAAGCATAGGGTTTCTCTCCAGTGTGATCCCTTTCTTGTGTTCTAATGGATGGGCGATACCTGAAGGCTTTCTTATTTTTAGGTTGTTGACACTTATATGGCTTTGGTCCATATTCCTGATACTCATATGCCTTGTGTCCAGTGTCACCTCTGATGCTCATATTAAAAGATGAGTTACCTATGCCAACTTCTGCACACACAAAGCTGTCACATGATTTTACTTCAGGAGAAGCTTTCTTCTCCTGGAAGTTCAGTCTGTCATCTGGAACCTGGGTAAAAGTTTCTCCACAATGACTGTCTTCTTTAATTTCATTGACTTTCTCTTCTATGAGACTCCTGTAAAACATGAGAAACACATCATGAAGGGTTTGTTTACAAGTACTTCTATATTAATCAACAAGTATTGCACTTGCATTTTTAACACTGTCCATCAAAGTGTAGGCTTTCTGCCCTGTCTGAATCGTTTGAAGGTGACTGGACATGTTCTACAAGATGACCCAGCCATACCTATTGTTTAAAAAAATATTCATAAGGGGCTTCTTAATAGTATTCCCATGTAAACTATTTTACAATTACTAAATACTGTATGTCATTTTTCTTTTGAGTCCAGTTCTTGTCCTGTTGCCCATGCTGGAGTACAGTGATATCATCATAGCTTACTGCAGCCTTTAACTCCTGAAGTCTCGAGTGATCCTCCTGCCTTCGCCTCCTGAGTAGCTGGGACTACCGATGCATACACACCACAATGCCCAGCTAATTTTTTGCTGTTGTTGATATGTGGTCTCGTTATGTTGCACAGGCTGTTCTGGAACTGATGGCCTCAAGCTATCCTCCTATCTCCACTTCTCAAAGGACTGGGATTACAGGAGTGAGCCCTCAGCCTCAGTCACGTTTAAATATATGTTTTTTGAGAAAATATTCTAAGAAGAAATGAATTTGATGCTGGATTTAGTTCTTTGTTTTACTTCTCTTCAACATATTCTCATATTCTAAGATTGTGCAGAGAGACACTGCTTTCTCTTGGAAATGCAAATTACCTGAAGCTTCTTCTGGGGTTTTGGTACTCATATTCAATGTTCTGGTCACTCCATTTTTTTCCTAAAATACAGACACAGAAAAATAGTCCTGAAGCAGTATAAAATTGTGAAAAAATTATTAGATTCTGTGCCCATGATTTACTGCAGCCATGCCTCATTTATTCATCAAGGTATTTCCTGTCTATGTTCAAAATCACTCAACAGCATTCATGAGCTAGAAACACTGGTTTGCTAATGCACTGACGGAAGGAATATTGTCATCCTTACCTATAGAGGTCAGGTTCCTGAAAGTTTCCAGCATCACTTCCCTGAAGAGATTCTTCTGGGAAATATCCAGCAATGTCCACTCTTCCTGGGTGAAGTTCACAGCCACATCCTCAAAGGCCACTGGGTCCTGAAACATCTCACATGTGTAGAGGAAGATGGGTGAGAGTGACAGCACTGGAGGCCTAGACTCTATTCCCAAGAAGTTCTCAGGATGCTGTGGACTCCAAACATTTATTCCCTGCTTCGGTTATCAGATCCCTTTCTCTCCATCTATACTTACTTTCTTCCATAAAGCAATTTATTTATTTATTTATTTTTTGAGACAGAGTTTCACTCTTGTTGCCCAGGCTGGAGTACAATGGCGTGATATTGGCTCACCACCGGGGTTCAAGCGATTCTCCTGCCTCAGCCTCCCGAGTAGCTGGGATTATAGGCATGTACCACCACGCGTGAGTGACCTTTACCCTTTCCCTCTTGTAGTGTGAGTGTTGTCTTGTCTCGAAAGAAAAATGGGTCAGACACAAAGTAAGCCCACCCCACTAGGAACTATGTTATAAAAAATTTCAAAAAGGGATTTAAGGGAGACTATGGAGTTACTATAACACCAGGAAAACTTAGAACTTTGTGTGAGACAGACTGGCCAGCATTAGAGGTGGGTTGGCCATCAGAAGGAAGCCTGGATAGGTCCCTTATTTCAAAGGTATGGCACAAGATTACCTGTAAGCCAGGGTATCCAGACAAGTTCCTGTACACAGACACTTAGTTACAGCTGGTTTTAGACCCCCCACAGTGGTTGAGAGGACAGGCAGCAGCAGTGTTAGTGGCAAAGGGACAGATAGCCAATGAGGGATCTCTCCCCACCCGCCAAGGGAAGTCAGCTCCTAAAGTTCTATCTGACCCAATGTCAGAGGACCCATGGCAGGAAATGGCACAGCAATGCCCCCCGTCCTTACCTAGAAGAGAGACTCCCCACTCCTGAGCCCACAGCACCTGTGCCTCCTCTGGACAGATACACCCCTAGACCACCCAGAACAGACAAGAGAGAATGTGAAGCTGCGGGAGAAACCCCTCCCTTGGCAGCTCATTTACGATCTAAGACTGGAAAGACAAGTGCCCCCAGTTAAAGAAGAAACAAAATGGCTCCAAGCCAGAGGTCTCAGGCAAGGATGAAAGGGCCTTGTTTAATCTGGCAGAAGGGCTACTGGACTAAGGGGGACCAGGCTCAGGTGCCCCTAACGAGCCCATGGTCAGGATGACAGTCAGGGACAAGGACATAGAGTTTCTTGTCGATACTGGTGCTGAATATTCAGTAGTAACCACCCCGGTCACCCCCTTATCCAAAAAGACTATTGATATAATCGAAGCCACACGAGTCTCGGCAAAACAAGCTTTCTGCTTGCCCTGCACTTGTACTATAGGGGTACATGAAGTAATCCACCAGTTCTTGTACATGCCCGACTTCTCCTTGCCCTTGCTGGGAAGGGACTTGCTTAGCAAGCTGAGAGCCACCATCTCTCTTACAGAGCACAGCTCTTTTACAGCTAAAGTTACCCGGAAAGGGAGTCATCATGGCCCTTACTGTCCCCCAGGAGGAGGAATGAAGACTTTTCTTAACCGAGCCAGGTCAAGAGATAAGACCAGCTCTGGCTAAGTGATGGTCAAAGGTGTGGGCAGAAGACAACCCTCCAGGGCTGGCAGTCAACCAAACCCCCGTACCTACAGAAGTTAAGCCTGGGGCCCAGCCGGTCAGGCAAAAACAGTACCCGGTTCCCTAGAGAAGCTCTTGAAGGAATCCAGGTCCACCTCAAGCACTTGAGAGCCTTTGGAATTATAGTCCTTTGCCAGTCTCCATGGAACACTACCCTCCTGCCTGTTCCCAAGCCAGGGACCAAGAACTACAGGCCAGTACAGGACTTGTGCTTGGTCAATCAAGCTCAGAAAGAAAGCAGGTCATCTGCAGCCTATTGCAACCTAAAACCAGAAGGCAGGTGAGAGAATTCTTAGGAGCAGTAGGGTTCTGCAGACTGTGGATCCCAAACTTTGCAGTACTGGCCAAACCTCTATATGGGGTCACAAAGAGGGGTGCTGGGAACCTTTTGAATGGGAATCCCAACAACAGTGAGCCTTTCATGAGTTAAAGGAAAAACTTATGTCAGTCCCAGCCCTGGGGCTACCTAATCTAACAAAGCCTTTTACACTGTGTCAGAAAAAGAAAAAAAGGCAGTTGGAGTTCTAACCCAGACTGTGGGGCCCTGGCCAAGGCCAGTGGCCTACCTTGTACCCACTTATTCTAAAGAAGAAAAGGACTTTCTCCAGGCAGAGGGAGGACAGGTGATGGAAGAAGGATGGATGTGGTTACTGGATGGGAGAGTAGCTGTGCCACAGCTGCTGGGAGCCACAGTCATACTGGCTGTGCATAAAACCACCCATCTAGGCCAGGAGTCACTTCAAAAGTTGTTAAGCCGGTACTTCTACATCTCACATTTATCAGCCCTTGCTGAAACAGTGGCACAGCGATGTATTACCTGCCAACAACACAATGCAAGGCAGGGTCCAACCGTCCCGGCTGGCATACAAGCTTATGGAGCAGCCCCCTTTGAAGATCTGCAGGTAGACTTCACAGAAATGCCAAAATGTGAAGATAACAAGTATTTACTAGTTCTTGTGTGTACATACTCTGGGTGGGTGGAAGCTTATCCAACGCGAACTGAGAAAGCTGGTGAAGTAACCCGTGTGCTTCTTCAAGATCTTATTCCTAGGTTTGAACTGCCCTTACGAATTGGCTCAGATAACAGGCCAGCGTTTGTGGCTGACTTGGTACAGAAGACAGCAAAGGTATTGGGGATCACATGGATACTGCATGCTGCCTACCAACCTCAGAGTTCCGGAAAGGTGGAGTGGATGAATTGGACTATCAAAAATAGTTTAGGGAAAGTGTGTCAAGAAACAGGATTAAAGTGTGTACAAGCTCTCCCTGTGGTATTAAGATTAAATTTACCCCTTCTAGAAAAACAGGATATTCCCCTTATGAAATATTATATCATAGCCCTCCTCCCATAGTATGGGGACTTCCAGGCACTCCCTGAGAATTAGGTGAAATTAAGTTACAGCGACAGCTACAGGCCTTACGAAAAATTACACGAACAATCTCAGCCTAGGTAAACGAGAAACGCCCCATTAGCTTATTCTCCCCAGTTCACCCTTTCTCCCCAGGTAATAGAGTGTGGATCAAGGACTGGAATGTAGCCCCCTTGTGCCCATGGTGGAAGGGACCACAGACCACTCACACCACCGTGAAGGTAGAGGGAATCCCGGCCTGGATCCACCACAGTCATGTAAAACCTGCAGCTCCTGGGAGGCAGGACCAAACCTGGAAAACCCCTGCAAAGTGACTCTGAAAAAGACGACAAGCCCTGCTCCTGTCACACCTGGAAGCTGACTGGTCTATGTGCGGCCAAAGCATGAGGAAACTCATCATGGGACTTATTCTCCTTAAAATTTGGACTTGTAGAATAAGGACTTCAACTGATTTTCCCCACATGGAAGATTGTTCCCAGTGTATTCATCAGGTTACTGAGGTAGGGCAACAAGTTAAAACAATCTTTCGGTTTTCTAGTTATTATGAATGCCTAGGAACTTTAAAAGGAACTTGCCTGTATAACACCACTCAGTACAAAGTGTGTAACCCAGGAAATGCCCGACCTGATGTGTACCATAACCCATCTGAGCCTCCCATGATCACAGTCTTTGAAATAAGATTTAAAAACTAGTTCTTTTCTAGGTAATAGAAGTAAAAAAAATAGCTAAAACAGAAAAAAAAGAGACCCCCATTTACATGCTCAACCGGATCATATGGTTACAAGCTATCTTAGAAATAATCACTACTAAAACTGGCAGAGCTTTAACTGTTTTAGCCCGGTAAGAAACCCAGATGAAAAATGCTATCTATCAAAATAGACTGGCCCTAGACTACTTGCTAGCAGCTAAAGGAGGGGTCTATGGAAAATTTAACCTAACCAATTGCTGTCTGCATATAAATAATCAAGGGCAAGTAGTCAAAAACATAGTTAAGGACATAACAAAGTTGGCACATGTGCCTGTACAGCTTTGGCATGGGTTTAATCCTAAATCTGTATTTGGAAAATGGTTTCCAGCACTAGGAGGATTTAAAACACTTATAATAGAAATAATAATAATAATAGAAACCTGCTTGTTACTCCCCTGCTTGCTACCTGTGCTCCTTCAAATAATGAGAAGCTTTGTCACTACCTTGGTCCACCAAAATGTTTCAGCACAAGTGTATTACATTAACCACTATTGATCTGTCTTGCAGGAAGACCTAGGTAGTAAGGATGAAAGTGAGAACTCCCATTAATAAGTGAGATTCTCAAAGGGGGGAATAAGGAAGGAGACCACCTCTCTTATTGTCTCATACCTCAGAACAAGAAAGAGGAAGCAAAAGTTAAAGGAAGGCAGAAATGAGATCAATAGTCAGACAGCCCGGTGCCACACCCCAGGCCTGGTAGTTAAAAATCAACTCCTGACCTAACCACTTGTATTATCTATAGATTCCAGACATTGTATGAGAAAGCACTGTGAAAGTCTTTCTGTTCTGCTCTGTCCTGTTACCGATGCATGCAGCCCCAATTACACACTCCATCCTTGTTTAATTGATCACGATCCTTTCATGTGGATCCCTGTGTAAGCCTTCAAAAGGGGCAGGAATTTCTCTCTCTCTGGGAGCTCGGTTTTTAAGACGCAAGTCTGCTGACGCTCCTGGCCGAATAAAGCCACTTCCTTCTCTAACCCAGTGTCTGAGAGGTTTTGTCTGCGGCTTGTCCTGCTACAAATCCAGGGAGAAAAACGAGCTGCCTGGGCTGTCCCTAATGTCTCTTTGGACTGTGGGTCTGTAGCACCTGTCATAACGGAGTCCTATGAATTAATAGGCAGAAAAAAGTTAACATTAGCAGTCCTGAGGCTGTGTTTCCTTGAAAATGCCTGTTCCCAAAGTGTAATCTTTGATGACATTGTTAGAGAAGGCAGATAGCTAGCCAAGAGCAGGAGGGGAAGTCCAGGGGAAAGCCCACACCCCCAGGGACCACCCAAAACAGGCATGCTAGATATAAGCAGAGAGGAGGGGAAACACCTAAGTAGAAAGAAACATCCATTATGATGCCCAGGAATCATTCACTTTGCAGTTATCCTGTCAGAATGCAGCTAGATAGATGCTGGTAAGAAGGGCAAAGGAAAGGGGACATTCCTAAGCAAAACCTGGCACCCTAAGTGCACAAGAGGCCAAACGAGAAACTCCTAAGAGATACCAGGTGTAATAAGCACAGATTCAACCACTATACAACCTTCCTGGGGTGGCAGTAATGAGCAATGCAGCCACCCACATATCCACTGACGGCTGAATGGATAAACAAAATGTGGTAAGTATATACATACTGAGAGGTGACAGCATGCTGGCAGTCCTCACAGCCCTCGCTCGCTCTTGGCGCCTCCCCTGCCTGGGCTCCCACTTTGGCGGCACTTGAGGAGCCCTTCAGCCCACTGCTGCACTGTGGGAGCCCCTTTCTGGGCTGACCAAGGCGGGAGCCGGCTCCCTCAGCTTGCAGGGAGGGGTGGAGGGAGAGGCGCGAGCGGGAACTGGGGCTGCGCGCGGCGCTTGCGGGCCAGCTGGAGTTCTGGGTGGGCGTGGGCTTGGCGGCCCCGCACTCGGAGCAGCCGGCCGACCCTGCTGGCCCTGGGCAATGAGGGGCTTAGCACCTGGGCCAGCGGCTGCAGAGGGTGTACTGGGTCCCCCAGTAGTGCCAGCCCACCGGTGCTGCGCTCGATTTCTCACCCGGCCTTAGCTGCCTTCCCACGGGGCAGGGCTCGGGACCTGCAGCCCATCATGCCTGAGTCTCCCACCTCCTCCATGGGCTCCTGTGCGGCCCGAGCCTCCCCGATGAGCGCCGCCCCCTGCTCCACAGCACCCAGTCCCATCAACCACCCAAGGGCTGAGGAGTGCGGGCGCATGGCGCGGGACTGGCAGGCAGCTCCACCTGCAGCCCTGGTGCAGGATCCACTGGGTGAAGCCATCTGGGCTCCTGAGTCTGGTGGGGACGTGGAGAAACTTTATGTCTAGCCCAGGGATTGTAAATGCACCAATCGGCACTCTGTATCTAGCTTAAGGTTTGTAAACACACCAATCAGCACCCTGTGTCTAGCTCAGGGTTTGTGAATGCACCAATCGACACTCTGTATCTAGCTACTCTGGTGAGGCCTTGGAGAACCTTTATGTCTAGCTCAGGGATTGTAAATACACCAATCGGCACTCTGTATCTAGCTCAAGGTTTGTAAATACACCAATCAGCACCCTGTGTCTAGCTCAGGGTTTGTGAATGCACCAATCGACACTCTGTACCTAGCTATTCTGGTGGGGCCTTGGAGAACCTTTATGTCAACACTCTGTATCTAGCTAATCTGGGGGGGACGTGGAGAACCTTTGTGTCTAGCTCAGGGATTGTAAACGCACCAATCAGCGCCCTGTCAAAACAGACCACTCGGCTATACCAATCAGCAGGATGTGGGTGGGGCCAGATAAGAGAATAAAAGCAGGCTGCCTGAGCCAGCAGTGGCAACCCACTCGGGTCCCCTTCCACACTGTGGAAGCTTTGTTCTTTTGCTCTTTGCAATAAATCTTGCTAGTGCTCACTCTTTGGGTCCACGCTGCTTTTATGAGCTGTAACACTCACCACAAAGGTCTGCAGCTTCACTCCTGAAGCCAGCGAGATCACGAGCCCACCAGGAGGAACGAAGAACTCCAGACGCGCTGCCTTAAGAGCTGTTAACACTCACCACGAAGGTCTGCAGCTTCACTCCTGAGCCAGCGAGACCACAAACCCACCAGAAGGAAGAAACTCTGAACACATCCAAACATCAGAAGGAACAAACTCCAGACACGCCACCTTAAGAGCTGTAACACTCACCGCAAGGGTCCACGGCTTCATTTTTGAAGTCAGTGACACCAAGAACCCACCAATTCCGGACACAATACATTGAAATATTATTTATACTTAGAAAATAACATCTTGGCCGGGCACTGTGGCTCATGCCTATAAGCCCAGCACTTTTGGAGGCCGAGGCAGGTCGATCACCTGAGGTTGGAGTTGGAGACCAGTCTGACCAACATGGAGAAACCTTGTCTCTACTAAAAATACAAAATTAGCCAGGTGTGGTGGCACATGCCTGTAATCCCAGCTACTCAGGAGGCTGAGACAGGAGAATTGCTTGAACCTGAAAGGCAGAGGCTGCGGTGAGCCGAGGTTGTGCCACTGAACTCCAGCCTGCTGTCTCAAAAAAAAAAAAAAGAAAACGTCTTGTTACATACTACAACATGCGTGAAACCTCAGGATAATTGCAATAAGCAAAATACAATAGAATTCATCTTACAGAACTTATGTAGATTTGTCAAACTATCTCAAGTGTACGTGTAAAATTCCTTAAGCTGGTAAGTTTTAAGTTTTGTTTTCCAATAAGTAATGATAATAAATCATGGTAGCAGCCAGGTGTGGTGACTCATGCCTATAATTCCAGTACTTTAGGAGGCCAAGGCAGGTGCAATTATGGAGGTCAGCAGTTTGAGACCTGCCTGGCCAACGTGGTGGAACTCCATCTCTACTAAAAATACAAAAATTAGCCAGGCGCAACAGCATGGTACTGGTACCAAAACAGAGATATAGACCAATGGAACAGAACAGAGCCCTCAGAAATAATACCACACATATACAACCATCTGATCTTTGACGAACCTGACAAAAACAACAAATGGGGAAACGATTCCCTATTTAATAAATGGTGCTGGGAGAACTGGCTAGCCATATGTAGAAAGCTGAAACTGGATCCCTTCCTTACGCCTTATACAAAAATTAATTCAAGATGGATTAAAGACTTAAATGTTAGACCTAAAACCATAAAAACCCTAGAAGAAAACCTAGGCAATACCATTCAGACATAGGCATGGGCAAGGACTTCATCACTAAAACACCAAAAGCAATGGCAACAAAAGCCAAAATTGACAAATGGGATCTAATTAAACTAAAGAGCTTCTGCACAGCAAAAGAAACTACCATCAGAATGAACAGGCAACCTATAGAATGGGAGAAAATTTTTACAATCTACCCATCTGACAAAGGGCTAATATCCAGAATCTACAAAGAACTTAAACAAATTTACAAGAAAAAATCAAACAACCCCATCAAAAAGTGGGCAAAGGACATGAACAGACACTTCTCAAAAGAAGACATTTATGCAGCCAACAGACACATGGAAAAATGCTCATCATCACTGGCCATCAGAGAAATGCAAATCAAAACCACAATGAGATACCATCTCACACCAGTTAGAATGGCAATCATTAAAAAGTCAGGAAACAACAGGTGCTGGAGAGGATGTGGAGAAATAGGAACACTTTTACACTGTTGGTGGGACTGTAAACTAGTTCAACCATTGTGGAAGACAGTGTGGTGATTCCTCAAGGATCTAGAACTAGAAATACCATTTGATCCAGCCATCCCACTACTGGGTATATACCCAAAGGATTATAAATCATGCTGCTATAAAGACACATGCACATGTATGTTTATTGCGGCACCATTCACAATAGCAAAGACTTGGAACCAACCCAGATGTCATAGGCTAGATTAAGAAAATGTGGCACATATACACATGGAATACTATGCAGCCACAAAAAAGGATGAGTTCATGTCCTTTGTAGGGACATGGATGAAGCTGGAAACCATTATTCTGAGCAAACTATCTCAAGGACAGAAAACCAAACACCGCATATTCTCACTCATAGGTGGGAACTGAACAATGAGAACACTTGGACCCAGGGAGGGGAACATCACACACCGGGGCCTGTCATGGGGTAGGGGGAAGGGAGAGGGATAGCATAAGGAGATATACCTAATGTAAATAACGAGTTAATGGGTGCAGCACACCAACATGTCACATGTATACATGTGTAACAAACCTGCACATTGTGCACATGTACCCTAGAACTTAAAATATAATATTAAAAAAAAATCAGCCAGGTGTGGTGGTGTGTACCTGTAGTCCCTGTTACTTGGGAGGCTGAGGCAGGAGAATCATTTGAACCTGGGAGATGGAGGTTGCAGTGAGCCAAGATCATGCCACTGCACTCCAGCCTGGATGACAGAGTGAGACTCCGTCTCCAAACGAACAAAAAACGACAAGAATGAATAAATAGAGGCAGAAAAGGTATCTGACAAGCCTTAGCCCATTTATGAGTAGTGTTCCATTTTTGGAACGCTAAGCATGTGGGAGTTATTTATATCCTACTGTTCAAGGTTATTGCCAAAGTCTGATTTCTCACACATCTGCAATTCAAAAAATTGCAATCTCCAGCATAAATGGGTTAATATCTCCTCATGATTAAAAACACTCAATGAACTATACAAGAGAAGATTCCATAAGATGACAGAGAGGCACAAGGAACGTAGAAAAATCTATAGGCCAGGTGCGGTGGCTCACACTTGTAATCCCAGCACCTTGGGAGGCTGAGGCAGGCAGATCATGAGGTCAGGAGATCGAGACCATCCTGGCTAACATGGTGAAACCCCGTCTCTACTAAAAATACAAAAAATTAGCCAAGCGTGGTGGTAGGCACCTGTAGTCTCAGTTACTCGGGAGGCTGAGGCAGGAGAATGGCTTGAACCTGGGAGGTGGAGGTTGCAGTGAGCCGAGATGGCGCCACTGCACTCCAGCCTGGGTGACAGAGCGAGACTCTGTCTCAAAAAAAAAAAAAAAAGGAAAGAAAAAAAGAAAAATCTACTATAAAGACATGTATTAAAAATTCAAAACCAGAGGCCAAGGCAGACAGGTCATTTGAGCCCAGCAGTTCGAGACCAGCCTGGGCAACATAGGGAGACCCCGTCTCTGTAATAAAATAAATAAATAATTAGACATGGTGGCATACAACAAATGGTACTGAAACACCTGGATTAGCAAATGCAAAGAAATGAATTAGATACAGAACTTCACCTTTTACAAAACTACCTCCTAATGAATCATTTACTTAAATGGAAAATGCAAAACTCACAACTTCTAGAACGTAACACTTGTGAAAACCATGACAACCTTGGATTTGGCAATAAGGTTTCACACACAACACAAAAAGCATGATCTGTGAATGAGAAAATCGATAAATTGGACTTCAAAGTAAAACTGTCAGTACTGGGACCAAAACAGATATATAGACCAATGGAACATAACAGAGGCCTCAGAAATAACACCACACATATACAACCATCTGATCTTTGACGAACCTGACAAAAACAACAAATGGGGAAACGATTCCCTATTTAATAAATGGTGCTGGGAGAACTGGCTAGCCATATGTAGAAAGCTGAAACTGGATCCCTTCCTTACACCTTACACAAAAATTAATTCAAGATGGATTAAGACTTAAACGTTAGACCTAAAACCATAAAAACCCTAGAAGAAAACCTAGGCAATACCATTCAGGACATAGGCATGGGCAAGGACTTCATGACTAAAACACCAAAAGCAATGGCAACAGAAGCCAAAATTGACAAATGGGATCTAATTAAACTAAAGAGCTTCTGCACAGCAAAAGAAACTACCATCAAAGTGAACAGGCAACCTATAGAATGAGAGAAAATTTTTGCAATCTACCCATCCAACAAACGACTAATATCCAGAATCTACAAGGAACTCAAACAAACTTACAAGAAAAAAACAAACAACCCCATCAAAAAGTGGGCAAAGGACATGAACAGACATTTCTCAAAAGAAGACATTTATGCAGCCAACAGACACATGAAAAAATGCTCATCAACACTGGTCATCAGAGAAATGCAAATCAAAACCACAATGAGATACCATCTCACGCCAGTTAGAATGGCAATCATTAAAAAGTCAGGAAACAACAGGTGCTGGAGAGGATGTGGAGAAATAGGAACACTTTTACACTGTTGGTGGGACTGTAAACTAGTTCAACCATTGTGGAAGACAGTGTGGCGATTCCTCAAGGATCTAGAACTAGAAATACCATTTGACCCAGCAATCCCACTACTGGGTATATACCCTAAGGATTATAAATTATGCTACTATAAAGCAATATTCACTATTCACAATAGCAAAGACTTGGAACCAACCCAAATGTCCACCAATGATAGACTGGATTAAGAAAATGTGGCATATATACACCATGGAATACTACGCAGCCATAAAAAAGGATGAGTTCATGTCCTTTGCAGGGACATGGATGAAACTGGAAATCATCATACTCAGCAGACTATCACAAGAACAGAAAACCAAACACTGCATATTCTCACTCATAGGTGGGAACTGAACAATGAGACCACTCGGACACAGGGCAGGGAACATCACACACCGGGGCCTGTCAGGGGCTGGAGGGCTGGGAGGAGGATAGCCTTAGGAGAAATACCGAATGTAAATGACAAGTTGATGGGTGCAACAAACCAACACGGCACATGTTATACCTATGTATCAAACCTGCACGTTGTGCACATGTACCCTAGAACTTAAAGTATAATTTAAAAACAAAACAAACAAAGTAAAACTGTCTGTTTTGGAAATGACTTTGTTAACAGAATAAAAAGGTGACAGACTGGGACAAAATAATTGCAGAACGCCTATCTGGTGATGGACTGGTATCCAAAAGGTATGAAGAAGTCCTAAAATTCTATAAGAAAAAAAACAACCAATCAAAAAAGAAGCAAAAAGCCAGGCACAGTGGCTCATGCCTATAATCCCGGCACTTTGGGAGGCTGAGGTGGGTGGATCATCGAGGTCAGGAGTTCGAGATCAGCCTAACATGGTGAAACCCAGTCTCAACTAAAAATACAAAAATTAGTTGGGCCTGGTGGTGTAAGCCTATAATCCCACCTACTCTGGAGGCTGAGGCAGATGAATCACTTGAACCTGGGAGGCAGATGTTGCAGTGAGCCGAGATTACACCACTGCACTCCAGACTGGGCAACAGAGCCAGACACAGTCTCAAAAAAAAAAAAAAAAAAAAACAAGATCTTTCCAAGTATACCTCCCCACAAAGACAGTAATTTTTTTTTTTTTTTTTTTGAGACGGAGTCTCGCTCTGTCGCCCAGGCTGGAGTGCAGTGGTGCCATCTCGGCCCACTGCAAGCTCCGCCTCCCGGGTTCATGCCATTCTCCTGCCTCAGCCTCCCAGTAGCTGGGACTATAGGCGCCCGCCACCATGCCTGGCTAATTTTTTCTATTTTTAGTAGAGACGGGGTTTCACAGTGTTAGCCAGGATGGTCTTGATCTGACCTCCTGATCCACCCGCCTTGGCCTCCCAAAGTGCTGGGATTACAGGCGTGAGCCACCGCACCCGACCAAAGACTGTAATTATGGCAAACATATGACAGGATGCTCTACATCACGTGTCATTAAAGAGCGAAATGAAAACAGGCCGGGCGCAGTGGCTCACGCCTGTAATCCAGCACATTGGGAAGCCGAGGCAGGTGGATGACCTGAGGTCAGGAGTTTGAGACCTGCCTGGCCAACATGGTAAAACCTCATCTCTACTAATAATACAAAAATTGGTCAGGAGAGGCAGCGCACGCCTGTAATCCCAGACACTCTGGAGGCTGAGTCAGGAGAATCGTTTGAACCTGGGAGGCAGAGGCTGCAGTGAGCTGAGATTGCGCCATTGCACTCCAGCCAGGGAAACAAAAGCGAAACTGCATCTCCAAACAAACAAACAAACAAACAAAGAAAAAAAGAAAAAAAAGAAAACAATGAGGCAGCAGCAAATACCTGGTGCAGTAGCTAAAATCCAAAACACTGACACTTCCTAATGCCAATGACAATGAACACTCATTCACTATCGATGTGAATGGAAAATTCTACAGCCAATTCGGAAGACAGTCTGCGGAGGTCTGAAGAAAATAAGCATGGTCCTACTGATTCAGTAGTCTCAATCCTACAATATTGACCCAAATGAACTGAAAACTGATGTCCACACAAAAGTCCTCCCACAGACGTTTTTAGCAGCCTTACTCATAACTGCCAAAAACTAGACTCAAACAAGGTGAGTCTTTTTTTAAAAAAAAATAGATGAGGTCTCACACTGTATCTACCAGGCTGTTCTCTAACTCCTGGCCTCAAGCAATCGTCTCACCTCTGTCTCCCATGTAGCTGGGAATTTAGGGATGAGGCATCACACCAGGCTCAAGATGAGCCTTTCAGTAGGTGAATAAAGAAACTATGGTAACACCCATCCAACGTAATGTTACTCAGTGATGAAAGAAAATGAGTGGCCGGACATGATGGCTCACAAGTGGAATCCCAGCACTTTGGGAAGCTGAGGTGGGAGGATCACCTGAGCTGGGGTGTTTGAGACCCTGTCTCTAACAAAACAAAAACAAATTTTTTTTTTTTTTTTTTCTGAGATGGAGTCTTGCTCCGTCACCCAGGCTAGAGTGCAGTGGCGCCATCTCAGCTCACTGCAAGCTCCGCCTCCTGGGTTCACACCATTCAAAAACAAAATTTTTTTTAGATAAATAAATAAAAATAAAAAATACATGAGTTGTCAAGCAACAAAGGTATCGAGAGACCTTCAATGCATATTTTTACATCGAGGAAGCAAGTCTGAAATGGCCACTTACAGCATCATTCCAAATATTTAATATTCTGGAAAATGCAAAACCGAGGCAGGAACATTATCATTTGTTGCCAGGGATAAATAGGGGTGGCAGAAGAGGGAGGGGAGAGCTATGATTAGGAAGAGCACAGGGGATTTTGAGGCCTGTGACACGCTTCTGTATAAGACTGTGATGGTGGATACATGACACACGTAGTTGTCTTAAACCACAGCCCAAAAAGAGTGAAGTTTCATGTAAAAGATGGACTTTAGGTAATAATAATATTGGCTTCTTCAATTTTCATCGTGTTCACATGTAATATATTCTTGCATCAATTATAGGATACACTACACACAGTCAATATGGTTTCCTTGGTTTAAAACATTTTTTTTTTTTTTGAAACAGGGCCTTGCTATGTTGCCTAGGCTGGCCTCCAACTCCTGAGTCCAAGCTATCCTCCCATTTCAGCCTCTCTAAGTGGTAGAATTACAGGTATGAGGCACAGCACCTGGCCAGTCAAGATGTTTAAAATAGGGGGAACTATGAGCTTGGAAGAAAAATGAGGGAACTCTGGATTATCTGCTCAATGTTTTGGGTAAACAACCACTGTTCTAAATAATAAAATCAACTAAATAAGAAAGTGAATTAACTATCATTCCATGTAAGGTTCATAACTGAGTTTAAATAAAATCCAATATAAAATATCACATATTGGCCGGGTGCAGTGGCTCACGCCTGTAATCCCAGCACTTTGGGAGGCTGAGGCAGGCGGATCACGAGGTCAGGATATTGAGACCATCCTGGCTAACACGGTGAAACCCCGTCTCTACTAAAAATACAAAAAATTAGCCGGACGGGGTGGCGGGTGCCTGTAGTCCCAGCTACTTGGGAGGCTGAGACAGGAGAATGGCGTGAACCCGGGAGGCGGAGCTTGCAGTGAGCCGAGATCACGCCACTGCACTCCAGCCTGGGCGACAGGGCAAGACTCTGTCTCAAAAAAAAAAAAAAAAAAAATCACATATTGGTTTGCATAAAAAACATGCAAAAATAAAATATACTGATGTGGATGGGTACCCAGGTTGGGGAAGTATAAAGAAAAGTAAGGCAGTTATCGTTCACAGTACTGACTCCATCAATATTTGGATTCATTGTGCAACTCTTTTATGTATTTTGTGCATATGTAATACTTTTAGTTAGTTTCTAGAATGCACACTCTATACAGAAATAAATCTCAGTGAATTTTAATTATCAGCAACAACAGCATAGCATATTGAAACTAATTTTTTTGTGTCTTTTCTTTTTTCTTGAAACAGGGTCTCGTTCTGTTACCCAGGCTGGAGTGTAGTGGTGCAATCATAGCTCACTGCAGCCTTGAACTCCTAGGCTCAACAGATCCTTCCACCTCAGTCTCCTGAGTAGCTGGGTCTACAGGCGCACATCACCATGACCAGGTAAGTTTTTGTATAGACAAGGTTTGCCATGTTGCCCAGGCTGGACTAATTTATTTTCTTTCTTTTTTTTTTTTTGAGACAAAGTTTCACTCTTGCTGCCTGGGCTGAAGTGCAATGGCACGATCTTGGGATCTTGGCTCACTGCAACCTCCACCTCCCAGGTTCAAGCGATTCTCCTGCCTCAGCCTCCTGAGTAGCTGAGATTACAGGCCTCTGCCACCACGCCTGGCTAATTTTGTGTTTTTAGTAGAGATGGGGTTTCTCCATGCTCGTCAGGGTGATCTTGAACTCCTGAACTCAGGCTATCTGCATGCATTGACCTCCTAAAGTGTTGGGATTATAGGCGCGAGCCACCGTGCCTGGCCACTAATTTTAAAACTAATTTTCTTGAAGTCCAAAAAAGTCTCAAGAAGGATAAAAAATGATTATTATGCAAAAAGTTTATACTGAAAAACATCAGTATAAAATGCAATAAATGGAAAAATGCCATGTGTCCTTAAAAGGAGATTAAGTATCACTATGATGTAACCTCTCTGAAATATGCCTACAGTTATATTTTATGAAATTTACAGTGCAGTTTGTTTCCCTCACTAAAATTAAGAAAAAGGTACTTCTAAAGACTGAAATAGAAGACAATGACTAAAAATAGACAAGATCCTCTATAGAATATTGTTGGGAGGTGTTATGGCATGAATATTTGCATCAATCCAAAAAAATCATACATTAATAACCTACTCCCAATATAGTATTAGAAGGTGACATCTCTGGGAAGTAATTAGGATTAGATGAGAGCATAGGAGTAAATCCTTTCTGAATGAGATTAGTGCTCTTATAAGAAGACACAGGAGAGCCGGCTTCCTCTCCTCTGTCATGTGAAGAAACCACAAGAAGACGATCATTTGCAAACCAGGAAGCGGGCCCTTGCTGGACACTAGATCTGCCAGCTCTCTGAAGATGGACTTCATGACCTCAAGAACTGCCAGAAATAAATGTTTATTCTTTAAGTCACCCAGTCTATGGTAATTTGATATAGCAGCCCAAGATGACTAAGATAGAGAGGCACTATCCCTACTACACACTGCAGCTTTGTACTCTATACTAATTAAGAGAAAGTGGTATTAACAGACAGATGGAAAGATAGACCAATGGAAAACAGCAAATTGTGAAACGAGGGCATCTATGTTGTTTTTTTTTTTTTTGAGACGGAATTTTGTTCTTGTTGCCCTGGCTAGAGAGCAATGGCGCAATCTCGGCTCACTGCAATCTCCACCTCCCAGGTTCAAGTGATTCTCCTGCCTCAGCCTCCCGAGTAGCTGGGATTACAGCCATGCACCACTATGCTTGGCTAATTTTGAATTTTAATAGAGATGGAGTTTCACCATATTGGTCAGGCTGGTCTCAAACTCCTGACCTCAGGTGATATGCCAGTCTCAGCCTCCCAAAGTGCTGGTATTACAGGCGTGAGCCACCACACCCAGTCTGGGCATCTATTTAAGGTAATGTGAAACTATGACAAACCAGGTATTGTCAGCCAATGATACAAGTGGTGAACACTTAACAGAAAAAGCAGGGACAAATGGTTATCTACAGGAGAATAATCAATCCACTACCTGTCATCTCCATATACAATAATTTAATTAATTCTAGAGTTGCCGGTTATAGTGAGTTCTTATATTGATATGTTACCTTAGCATGCATTTTGATTATAGATTTAACATTCTCATAACAGAAGTAAACTTTACTCAAACTCAACAGAGTTTCCAGTTCTACACCTCCTCCCAGTTCCTCCATGTGGTCAACTCACATATATTTGTTCCACAACTGCATTCTGGTGACCACCTCCCTGTAGGACAGCTAAATACAACCTTGTTGGGGTGGCCTTTCCTTGTCTTTTGGGATATTTCTCTCTTCACAGTTGAGACAATCCAAAGGACAGGAATCATTTCTGTTTTTCCTCAATAGCAACATCCAATTAGCTGATTGGCCATGTGTCTCCAATTAATGGAAACTGAAGTTAGGAGAGAGAAGGTGAGCACCCACGAACTGGGTATCTAGATGAAAAGTATACCAGGCATCTCCTCCACCACTAGTCATTCAGCTGCTCCCTTGGGAGGCCCCACTCCCCTAGGCACAGATACCCACTAGACCCTCCAAGAGACATGGCAATTGTGGGGGTCTTGGGTCAGCTACAGGCAGTTCTAAAACTCAAAATCTGGAAAAGATAGGAGGGTGTACTGAAGACATATCACCCTGCAAAGTTTCCATAAAGGAACCTCATCCCAAAGACATCCTGATAAGGTGTCTGTGTCTAGGAAAGATAAAAGGAGGAGAGGCAGAAAGGATTTTTCAGGCAAATGTCTAGTGGTTATTCTCTGCTTTCCTCTCATGTGAAATGTTCAGAAACAGATTTCACTGCAAGCCCTTGAAGAGTTAGGCTGTGGTATGAGGGTGGAGGATTTGAGATCCGGCATCCCATATATTTGGAAAATATAAGGGGGAACCAGTTGCCCTGGAAAGTGTGGAAAAATTTAAATAACAAGCAATGAGACTGAACTGTGTGTAGTGTCCTAAGGTCCTACCTAAGGACCCTGAAATCGAATTTAAATACAACTCTCAGAAATTACTAATGTATAGGGAAATAAAATTCATGCTTAATCAGGCACAATTTACCTATTACCTTGGAATTACATACCTAGAAATTTTCTACCTACATAGGCTGTTTGAACAAATGAGTCAGGCCGGGCGCAGTGGTTCACACCCGTAATCCCACCATTCTGGGAGGCCAAGGTGGGTGGATCACTTGAGGACAGGAGTTGAGACTAGCCTGGCCAGTGTGGTAAAACCCTGTCTTTACTAAAAATACAAAAATCAGCTGAGTGTGGTGGCACATGTCTGTAATCCCAACTACTTGGGAGGCTGAGGCAGGAGAATTACTTGAACCCAGGAGGCGGAGGCTGCAGTGAGCTGAGATCGCGCCTGCACTCCAGCCTGGGTGACAGAGTGAGACCCTATCTCAAAACAAACAACAAAAACAACAAAGTAATTCAAAAATTTAAGCTGGTAGATCTTTAAATTATCTTGAAGCAATGTGATCATGGGGTTGAGTGACCTGACACACAGCTTTCACATAGCTAGCTGGAATCCTCCATTCCCTGATTACAGATTCGCCTTCTTTCCTACCTATAGCGTTTTGTAAAATGTTGTAAATGACTGAAGGGAAACAGGAAAGACCCTTTCCCTCTCCACTATTTTTTTTAACTTATATTAATATGATTTTTCACAAATGAGATGGGGTCTCAATATGTTGCCCAGGCTGGTCTTGAACTCTTGAGATCAAGCCATCCACCTGCCTTGGCTTCCCACAGTGCTGGGGTTACAGGTGTGAGCCATCCTACCAGGCCCCTCTTCACTACTGATCTCTGTAGTAAGACTACAGAGACTACTTTCTTTTTTTTTTTTTTTTTTTTGAGACGGAGTCTCGCTCTGTCGCCCAGGCTGGAATGCAGTGGCGGGATCTCGGCTCACTGCAAGCTCCGCCTCCCGGGTTCACGCCATTCTCCTGCCTCAGCCTCCCAAGTAGCTGGGACTACAGGCGCCCGCCACTACGCCCGGCTAATTTTTTGTATTTTTAGTAGAGACGGGGTTTCACCGTTTTAGCCGGGATGGTCTCGATCTCCTGACCTCGTGATCCGCCCGCCTCGGCCTCCCAAAGTGCTGGGATTACAGGCGTGAGCCACCGCGCCCGGCCCAGAGACTACTTTCTCACACAAAGATTTCATGGCTATCAGATTGTCTTCAGATGGAATGTTAAATTCACTCTTAAATTGAAAAGGAAATAAAAACCAGCTAGAAAGAAAAGAAAACAAGCTCTGGGGGAAAAAAGTAAACCATTACGAATTAAGTTGTTAGCCAGGTGCAGTGGCTGATATCTGTATCTGTAATCCCAGCACTTTTGGAGGCCAAGGAAGCAGGACTGTTTGAGGCCAGGAGCCAGAGACCAGCCTGGGCAACATAACGAGACCTAACCTCTGTAAAAAATAAAAAATTAGCCAGGTGTGCTGGTGGGCAATTGTAGTCTTAGCTACTTGAGAGGCGGAGGTGCTTGAGCTGGGGAGGTCAAGGCTGCAGTAAGCCATCATCGCACCACTGCTCTAGGCTGGGTCACAGAGCAAGATACTGTCTCAAAAAAAAAAAAAATTGTTGTATCTCATACATCAGCCTTCTATGGAAAACATAATCCTGTTACATTTATTTGCCTTTTGCCTATACAAGTGTTAGGGAAGCAGGTGCCTAGGGGAGCCAGAGTAACACCAATTTAAGTTCAGCTCCATCTTGACACTAACAAGAAACACTCCTTGTCAGTCACAACCCATGATCACAAAATGTTTCCCATGAAGAAAACAGCCTGAAGATGCCTGCAAGTATCCTTACACTCCCACAACAATAGAATGTCCTGATGTCCCAATACCTATAACAATATGTGCTTTCAAGATAATTATAGTTATGTTTTAATGCACTTGGGTGCTAAAATGTAAAGGATAGTTTTCTTTAAATCAACAGAGTAATAAATTTTGTGATGCTGTCAGCCCACATGCACATAGGCACAGGTAGTTTATTCTTTACATAGAAAAGATCCCTACATAAGAAAAACTTAAAGACAGTACGTTCCTCCACTTGCTGTATGAGGATGCCCTACTCTGAAACAGAGAAGCTTTTTCTTTCTTTTTCCTTTTCTATTTATTTATTTATTTATTTATTTATTTATTTATTTATTTAAATAGAGACAGGGTCTCGCTGTGTTGGCCAGGTTGGTCTTGACCTCTTTCCTGTTTGTTTTGGTTTTTGAGATGGGGTCTCACTCTGTTACCCACACTGGAGTGCAGTGGTACATCCTCGGCTGGGCTGCAACCTCTGCCTCTGGGGTTCAAGTGATTCTCTCACATCAGCCTCCTGAACACCTGGGACTACAGGTGCAGGCCACCACACCCGGCTAATTTTTGCTAGTTTTGGAAGAGATGGGGTTTCACTATGTTGCCCAGGCTGGTCTCGAACTCCTGACCTCAAGTTATCCTCCCACCTTGGCCTCCCAAAGTGCTTGGATTACAGGCCTAAGCCATCATGCTGGCCCAGAGTAGCTTTCAATAAACTCTCTTCTCACTGCACTTTGTGACTCGTCTTGAATTCCTTCCTGTGTGAGATTCAAGAACTCTCCTGGGGTCTGATCAGGACCTCTTTTCCTGGTAATACAAGCAAGAACTTAACTTCCAGTTTTGGAGTACTGAGTCTATTTCCCTAGAGTCTGTGTTTTTCCCAAATGGGCCACTGCTATCCTTCCGCTTGAATAAACTCTTCCAACTGAAATCTTGACCTTTCTATTATTTCGGAGTGACAAGTCCAAATAAGGCAACTGCATCTCTGCAACCAATCAAGCATTTATCTGGTTTGTCTCCTCACGTAACTTATAAAAGCTTACCCCTAAACTGGTAAACTAAAAATAAAAACATACCTCTGGCCCGGCGAGATGGCTCACATCTGTAATCCCAGCACTTTGGGAGGCTGAGGTGGGTGGATCACTTGAGGTCAGGAGTTCGAGACCAGCCTGGCCAACATGGTGAAACCCCATCTCTACTAAAAATACAAAAATTAGGAGGGCATAGTGGTGCATGCCTGCAATCCCAGCTACTCAGGAGGCTGAGGCAGGAGAATCACTTGAACCCGGAAGGTGGAGGTTGCAGTGAGCCGAGATCAGGCCATTGCACTCCAGTCTGGGCGACAGGAGACTCCGTCTCAAATAAAAACAAAGTACCTTTCCAGCTAAGTGAAGTGACCGGCTCTTGGCCAACAGGACCCGCAAAAAACCCTGAAAATTGAGTGCCTCTGTATGACAGGATGGGAGGTGAGACAGGTCTCCTTATACCCTCTCCCACACATTCATGTAAAAATAGATAGAATGGAAAAACAGACTGCTTGTGGCAAGAAGATACTAACTTACAAACAAAACCTAAGGCCACGCAAGGCAAAAGTAAAGTCACGCCTCAGAATTCATAAAATCTAGAGAAACAGGTCTGTTTTCTGGCTGGGATGGAATCAAGTGGCAGATAACAGACCCCCTTCCTTCCTACCTCCTCCAAACTTTAGACAAACTTCACACTCTCAACCAGCTGCCACCTACAGAATCCCTCAACCACCTGTGCCTTCTAACCCCCCTTCCACAGGTCCCACCCTTTCTGCCAATGGAACTTACACCTTTCAGGCACTGATTCATCATTTTCCCTGCAATTCCTGTCTCTCTGAAATGAATAAAACCAAACTGTCTTGAGCCGCCTCGGGACCACTTACTCCAGGCTGCTTGGGGTTGTGTTTCCCTCGGCCAAGGTCTCTCCTATTCGGCTCTGAATAAACTTCTTTATTTTACATAGTTTGGCTTTTTCCGTTGACAAACCACAACCCAGGACGGGGTGTTTCTCATTCGTGAATCGCTGTTTGCTCAAATGAACTCTTTAATTGTTAACGTACCTCAGTTTAATTTTTAACAGGAGAAAGTGGGGACTGGGGGCCCCACAGACCACTGCTCCTCCCACGCACGAACCCCACACCCGAGTCAGGATGCCTCCATGACCCTCCCGTTGCTTCCGCACAATCTGGGGAGACGCGGGGCTGCGGGAGCGGAACTGCCCAGAGAGGGCTCCGGGGCAGGGGCCGCGGCCGCAGTCGCCGCGCAGGGACGGGACAGGACGCCCGGGTCCTGGCTGCTGGCCCAGCCCCGTCCAGCGGCCAAGGGGACCGAGGGCCGAACTGCTCAAGGAGGACTCGGTCCCAGACCCCGGAGTCGCCCACAGGGAGGCCCGGGTCCCGCCACAGCCGGTTCCCGCCTGTTCCAGGCAGCCCCTCCCCCGTCTCACGACATCTGGTCCCGCACACGCACCATTTCCCGGCTTTCAGATGTACCGGGGTCCTCTCTACAGCTCCTGTGACTACAGCAGGGCATAGCGCAGGCGACAGAGCGACAGAAGCCTGGGTACAGGCACCAGGTCCCTCTCGGGCTGGTCTGACCGGTTACCAACCGCCGCCCGCGCAGCGAGGAAGGTGAGGAAAGCGACCCCCTCCATTTCCGGATGAACTGTGGGCAGTGCCACGCCCCAGCACCTCTGATTGGATGAAATACTAGGTCCCGCCCCCCACATCTGAGTGACAGCTGAAGCCCTGGGTATCAGGCCCCGCAGAGCCAGACTGACGGATTCTAGCCACAGCTTCTCTAAGGGCGAGCTGCTTTCTGCACTCTGGTTATTGGATATTTGCATTTCAGCCAAACTTGCTATTGATAGAAGAGAACACTAGCGTCATCCTCACTCAAGGGACAGTCCCCGCTCCTTCGTTCTGCACGGGGTCACAGGAGTGTGCAGGGAATTTCAGACTCAGTGTCCATAGGAGCCAACTGCTGGCCTCAGAGCAGCAGGGGAACCGAGACCAGGCCAGGCACGACTGCACCAGGAGGAGAGGCATATGTCCTCGAGCGGGCCGGAATTGGGGATGAGGCGTGGCCAAGCCTTGCTCACACACCCCCATCCCCTTGTGAAAATGCTTCCTCCTTTCAGATCTTCATTTTCACCAGCAGGAAACTCTCACCAGGTTTTGTTTCTGACCTAAGTAAACTGTCAACTTCATGAACCCTTTATCCAGGTGACGCCACCAAACAATTCTGTCTCTAGCTCTAGCCTGATCTTCACACATTTTCTTTTCTTTCTTTCTTTTTTTTTTTTTTTTTTTGAGACGGAGTCTTGCTCTGTAGCCCAGGCTGGAGTGCAGTGGTGCGATCTCGACTCACTGCAAGCTCCGCCTCCCGAGTTCACGCCATTCTCTTACCTCGGCCTCCGGAGTAGCTGGGATTAAAGGCGCCCGCCACCACGCCCGGCTAATATTTTGTATTTTCAGTGGAGACGGGGTTTCACCGTGTTAGCCAGGATGGTCTCGATCTTCTGACCTCTTGATCCGCCCGCCTCGGCCCCGCAAAGTGCTGGGATTACAGGCGTGAGCCACCGCGCCCGGCCACACATTTTCTTTATCTATACAAATAACTCTGACCCCAACGACCCCATGCATGTCAAACCCCAAACCCTGCCCAGAAGACAGCTCCAGAGGTACAACACCAGAAAGGACAGAGACGCCACAAATGCGTCTGCACATGGGTCTTCTGCTTTCCAGGGCTCTGCAGCTTCTCGGAATCCACACCCTTTCTGGAGCTGCTCTGAGCAGCTGGAGGCCACTTGTAGAAGGGGGTGGGCTGCCCGCGAAGCCCCCAGGGAAACTCTCTTTCCCTCCCTTTGCAGGCTGCAGAGACTGTCCTCAACGTGGAATCACTGGCCTTGGGCTCTGCTGCCCCCTGCAGGTTATTCAGCTACTTCTCACCCCATCGATTAGTTTCGCGAGACAAACACCTTCAATCCCATTGTGTAAATAAGACACCAGCAGAGTCCCTGCTCTCCTCCTATGCTTATGTATAAAGTGGGGGAGGAAAAATCTAAGATAACTTAAGGGCATTTGAAAGACTTCCAGATCGCGGTGGAGGTGGCAGCTGAGGGACTCGCAGTCAATGACACTGCAGCACCTCCAGGCCAGGCTGGTGGGAGAGAGGGTGGAGAGCTGGAGATGGATGTGGATAGGTGGAGGGAGCTGCCCTGGGAACTGGGCTCTGCAGCAGTGCGGCTCTAGGGCCCGGAGCCCGGGAGAGCAGAGATGGGGGCTCCCAGGACAGGAAACTCAGGGAGGAGAGAGTCGGGTGGCTTCCATGGGACGGGGTGCTGTTGCAGCTTGTGTGAGCCAGTAGCTATCATAACTAAGCCCAATCGGGACGTGAAAACTTGGATTCCGTGGGAATTTATGAAGAGGAAGGCTCTGATGACAAAGAAGTCATCGATGAGGAGGGGGATGAGGGTCACTGGCAAGCTTGCTTCCTTATGGAAAGAAAAGTGAACACCCAACTACTGCTGCAAAATGGGATCAAAGGATGAGACTCTCGCTGTCAGGGAATAAACTGCTGCAGAACTCTTAGAGATTGCAAAGACCTTTCAACAACAGCCTGGGAGGCCAGGTGCCATGGCTCATGCCTGCAATCCCAACATTTTGGGAGGCCAAAGTGGCAGGATCACTTGAAGCCCGAAGTTGAAGACCACCCTGAGCAGTGAAGTGAGACACTCCCATCTCCATAAATCTATTTTTTAATTAGCCAGGAGAGGTGGTGTGTACCTGTAATCACAGCTACTCAGGAGGCTGAGGCAGGAGGATCACTTGAGCCCCAAAGTTTGAGGCTGCTGTGAGCTGTGATCAGGTTACTGAACTTCAGCAAGACACTGTCTCAAAAAAAAAAAAAATCAAAAACAAAAAAACCCATAAAAAGCCCACCAGACTCCCCGGGGAAACCCTGACCCCCTTGGATGGTCTAATTGTAAAACACAGCAGGTGGTATTTCCTTATGGACTGGATCATTCTGGCCACATAAGAGGCTTGGCCTACTGAGGATTTACCAGGCGGATGACCTCCTTGCAGTCAATGGAAAAGGCCCCTGGTGAAACCATCCCTTTAAACTTTATCAAATTCATCAGGGAGGATGGGAGGAGAAAACTTAAACCAAGCTGCAGAACCTTCAGCATTAATCATTAAGTCAGCTTGTTCCCTGAACTTCCTCATATTTGCTTCATACCTAGTGTCCTAGAATCCCATTGTTGTGGTAAACTGAGGAAGGAGAGACCAATATGGAGTACAGGAGGATTTGTTTATATTTTAGGTACGCACTGGCTCAGACGATTCATATCCAAAAAGCTGAGGACTGAACGAAGACAAAGTGGGGTTTTTATACGCTGTCTTACAGATGCCAAACAAAAGCAGTTAATCATACAGTGACAGGTCATGTAATCTATAGCATAACATAATTTATGACCTTGCATAGCCAGTGTCCTTGTAGCTGCATTGAAAGAAAAACAAGAACTGGCTAAATACAGACATTTGTAAAACATAATAATGCTTAAGAAGACTTGCAAAAGAGTAACAGTAAAAGAATCTGTCTCTTTTTTTTTTTTCCTTCAACATTGCTCTGGAAGGGAGGGGTGTCTGGAGCCCATTCCTTTGGCCTTGGCTATTTGGACATCGTTATCTTCTTGATAAGGTCCTGGAAGTGAGCTGCTAGGCAGAGGAAAACTTGTGCTTTTCTTTTTTCTTTTTAACCCTTGCCTTGCCACACTCTGGGCCTTAGCTTTTACTTTTCTTGGAGTAAATAAATTCAGTACTTATTATTTTTAAATTTCTGCCTCACGATGGACCCTAAATGATAGTTCCTGTTAACTGCTCTATAGATAATAACTTGAACGTTAGATGTTTTCCCTTTGAAATATTTCCATTTCAGGGCCGGGCGCAGTGGCTCATGCCTGTAATCCCAGCACTTTGGGAGGTCGAGGCAGGTGGATCACCTGAGGTCAGGAGTTCAAGACTAGCCTGGCCAAGATGGTGAAACCCTGTCTCTACTAAAAATACAAAAATTAGCTGGGCGTAGTGGCAGGTGCCTGTAATCCCAGCTACTCAGGAGGCTGAGGCAGAGAATCGCTTGAACCCGGGAGTTGGAAGGTTGCAGTGAGCCGAGATTATGCCACTGCACTCCAGCCTGGATGACAGAGTGAGACTCTGTCTCAAAAAACAAACAAACAAACAAACAAACAAACAAAAGAAATTTTCCATTTCAGGGCTGGGAGCATTGGTTCATGACTGTAATCTCAGCACTTTGGGAGGCTGAGGTAGGGGGATCACTTGAGCCTTGGAGTTCAAGAACAGCCTGGGCAATATAGTGAGACTCCATCTGCACAAAAAATTTAAAAACAGCCGGGCATAGTGGCATGTGCCTTTATTCCCAGCTACTTGGGAGGCTGAGGCAGGAGAATCCCTTGGGCCTAGGAGTTTCTGCAGTGAGCTATGATCCCACCACTGCACTCTAGCCTGGGAAACAGAGCCATACTATGTTTCTTAAAGAAAAAAAAAAGGAGAAAAGAAATCCAGACATTTGTTAGTCTTTGGATTATTGGAGAGCATTTATCTGACACTGAGTCCAATGTTTGAGACCAATATATAGACTTATTAGAAAGGGGCACTTTGGGACTGGGACACAGCTCTGCAGGAAGCTTTGGACATATTAACATGTTAGTATGGCAGGCACAAGCCTCAGGCACATCTTTGGAGGGTAGAGCTGTAACTTGGGATGTTACAGCTGCTGCTGAGGGTAAAAATTGGGCCTTATGGCACCCACAGTGTGGTAAATCAGTCCCTTTAGGATTTTGGTTGTAATTATGACATGGAGATGAGACCAGACACTCTTGAATTGAACAAGTTCTGGTAGTATATAATGCTTTCCAGCAGGTGGAATCCTTAAGAAAGAACCTTTCTGTGACTGTGAGAATGGGACTACCATGCCCGGCTAATTTTTTGTATTTTTGGTAGAGATGCGGTTTCACCACGTTGTCCAGGCTGGTCTTGAACTCCTGAGCTCAGGTGATGCACCCCCCTCAGCCTCCCAAAGTGCTGGGATTACAGGTGTGAACCACCGCGCCCAGCCTCCCACTAAGTCTCTTTCATTTGGCCTGGCACAGTTTCCCATGCCTTAATCCCAGCACGTTGAGTGGTCGAGGCAGGTAGATTGCTTGAGCCCAAAAGTTTGGCCTATGACCACCTTGGGCAACATAGTGAGAACTAGTCTCTATTTTATTAAAAAGAGAAATACACACACACATATTTATATACATAAAACAGGGCGAGCATAGTAGCTCACGCCTGTAATCCAAGAACTTTGGGAGGCCAAAGTGAGTGGATCACCTGATATCAAGAGTTCAAGACCAGCCTGGCCAACATGGTGAAACCTTGTCTCTAACTACCAATACAAAAATTATCCGGACATGGTAGTGCACACCTGTGATCCTGGCTATTCTGGAGGCAGAGGCAGTAGAATCGCTTGAACCCAGGAGGCAGAAGTTGCAGTGAGCTGAGATCACGCCATTGCACTCCAGCCTGGACAACAGAGCACAAACTCCATCTCAGGAAGAAAAAAAAAAAAAAAAAAGTAAAAGTTCCTTTTTTGTCCCAAGTCGTTATGGGCTATCACTACTATCACCAGTAGTTGCCTATGAAGCACACCTATTCTCACAATGGGTCCAAGAGGAAAAGTAGAAGATTTGGAGACATTCCAGGTAGATCCAAATGCAGCACGATATCATATACGATAGTATATGATTTATGTGAGGACTCTTGGGATGACTTAGCTGAGGCTGGTATAACAAAATACCATGGACTCAGTTTCTTAAACAGCAGAATTTTTTTCTCACAGTTCTGGAGCTTCGGGAGTCCAACATCTTGCTGCCAGCAATTTTGTTCCTAGTGAAGAGTGTCTTCCTGGCTTGCAGCTAGATGACTTCTTGCTGTGTCCTCACATGCTGGAGAGACAGAGTTCTCTCTCTCTTCTTACTCATCCCATTGTGAGAGCCCTCCTTTATAAATGTATGTGATCTCCTAAAGGGTTCGTGTCCAAATATGACCATGTTGGGGTTTAGGGCTTGCAAGTATAAGTTTTGTTTTTGAGACAGGGTCTCCCTGTGTGGCCCAGGCTGGTTTTAAACTCCTGGGCTCAAGGGATCCTCATGCCTCGGCCTCCCAAATACTGGGATTACAGGAGTGAGCCACCACACCTGGCCTCCAAGTATATATTTTGAGGAGAGTAAATACAAGACACGCCAAGGGGTAAACAGAAGCCCAAAAAGAGGCTTTGGAGACGATGTAATCAGACAGGACTTTATCACATAGCAGATGGGGAGCAAGAGTCACAAAGGAGTGAGGTCTAATTTCAGAATGGCAGAGAGAAGGGACATCGAGGTAGCTGTATGATTGCATGAAGGATGAAAATGCTGCCAGAGCCACTACATGGAAAAGTATTGTAATTATCTAGGAAAAAATGAGAATAAAAAAGAAAAACAAGGGGCCAGGCGCGGTGGCTCACGCCTGTAATCCCAGCACTTTGGGAGGCCAAGGTAGGCGGATCACGAGGGCAGGAGATTGAGACCATCCTGGCTAACACGATGAAACCCCGTCTCTACTAAAAATACAAAAAATTAGCCGGGCGTGGTGGCGGGCGCCTGTAGTCCCAGCTACTCAGGAGGCTGAGGCAGGAGAATGGCGTGAACCCGGGAGGCGGAGGTTGCAGTGAGCGGAGATCGCACCACTGCACTCCAGCCTGGGCGACACAGCGAGACTCCGTCTCAAAAAAAAAAAAAAGAAAAACAAGTAATCATAATGAAAATGGAAAACAGAAAATGAAAAACAGAATAACCTTGGTTAGTATGCAGTTGTTAAAGATTTTAAATAAAATATTTGTCAGAAACATGTACAGATATCTTGGTTTTAAAAAAAAAACCCTAATTGCTGAGCATGGTGGATCATGTCTGCAATCCTAGCACTTTGGGAGGCCGAGGCAAGAGGATTGATTGAGCCCGGGAGTTCGAGACCAGCCTGGGCAAAACCGTGACACCCTTGTCTCTACAAAAAATTTTTGAAAATTAGCTGGGCAGAAAGCCGAGGTGGGAGGATTGCTCAAGCCCAGGAGCTTGATGCTGCAGTGAGTGACCAGAACACTGCACTCCAGCTGGGCTACAGAGCAAGGATGTCTCAAATTAAAATAAAAGAAAACGAGGAGAAAAAGAGAGATAACTACAAATTAGTCAAATGTAAGAGGATGACTGGATACTGCTACACAGAAGATGAAAGATTATATAAGAAAAATGCTCAACCAATGGCAACAAATAAAAAGCAATAAATAATCACACAGAGATTCTGTTTAAGAGTAAATGGGCGACGAAAAGTGAGTTAGATAATTCAAAGTGTTGGCAAATCACAAGAATAAAGGCACGTGCATGAAAGGTGAGATGGTTAATTCATAAGTTACATTCATACTGTACTGACATTTCCTAGTAAATTTGAATTTACCCATAATCTACAACCCAGCAATTATTTCCCAATGTGTAAAACTTTGTGTTGTATTTCCAGTTAGGAATAAAAACAAGAAAAGCATTGTCAATAAGATCAAGAGATAGGCTGGGCATGGTGGCTCATGCCTGTAATCTCAGCACTTTGGGAGGCCGAGGCGGGTGGATCACCTGAGGTCAGGAGTTCGAGACCAGCCTGGACAACATGGTGAAACCGTCTCTACTAAAAATGCAAAAATTAGCTGAGTGTGGTTGCAGGTGCCTATAATCCCAGCTACTCAGGAGGCTGAGGTAGGACAGTTGCTTGAGCCCAGGAGACAAAGGTTGCAGTGAGCCGAGATCCTGCCACTGCACTCCAGCCTGGGTGACAGAGCAAGACTGTCTCAAAAAAAAAAAAAAAAAAGCAGGGTGTGGTGGCTTGTGCCAGCAGTCCCGGCTACCCAGGAGGCTGAGCCAGGAGAATCTGGGAGGCAAGTTGCAGTGAGCCGAGATCACGCCACTGATCCAGCCTTGGCCACAGAGTGAGATTCTATCTGAAAAATAGACAAACAAACAAATAAATAAATTCTCAGATGCGTGGGGAAAGAGCAATTCCATGGCAGCAAGATTCTGTAAAAAAACAAAAGGGAGGCAGCTCAGGTAGGCAGCCTGCCTCACCCACAGCTCACAAGGAAACCCACACTCCAATAGTTACACATTTTCAAGCTTAGGAACCACTTGGACCGTGGAGACACAGGCCAGGCTGGCCCACTCCTAGGTAGTGTGTGAAGGAAATGTGAGCAGTCAGAAAATTACTTCTGGGAATTCCACACACACCCTGCTGGCCCCTCCCCACAGTGTGGACACAGTCCTTCCACCAGGGTCTCAATGCCCACCAAAGACCACTCGCTCACTGTGAGTCAGTGGAAGGTTCTGACCTATGCTGTCTTTTTGCCTGACATCAAATGTGTGGTGCTTGCTGAACACCAATCAATTCTCCAGCACTAAGCAGTTATGTAACCATGCAATTCAGAAGCCACCCAGAGTTAGCAGAGACTCCATGAGTTCCTGGCTCACCCAACACAGCCCCACTTGGCAGATGCAAGTCAAAGCCCCAGGGGCCACCTGTACTTCTCAGCAACTGCATCTAGACCTGGGTCCTGTACAACACCTTACTCAAGTTCCATAATTTGATAGAACTACCCACAGTTCACTTACATTTACCCACTTACTATGAAGGATACAACTCAGGACGAGTCAAATCAAAGACATGGATAGAAAAAGAGTAAGGGGTGTGGAAAGGAGATGGGGGTGGGTGGGCAATCCTGAAAATGGCTGTGATTCATGAAATCCCCCATCCTTTGTGTTGTGCAAGAGCACCTTACTACAATGAAACAAGCTTCCCATGATGACTTAGATGGTGCTACGTTTGTTACCTATGACAAACCAGACACCCACTAGATATTCCAGTATTTACCTCACAAACCATTAGGTGAACAGTTTTCTCTTTAGTGATCTTTAGTCAAAATGAAATATCTATCTACCAAAGCATGCTTCAGTTTCTCTCCTTCCTCCAGGTCCCTGAACTTTTTTCTTTTTTTGAGACAGTCTTGTTCTGTAGCCCAGGCTGGAGTGCAGTAGCATGATCTTGGCTCACTGCAACCTCCGCCTCCCTGGTTCAAGTGATTCTCATGCCTCAGTCACCAGAGTAGCTGGTGTTACAGGTGTGTGCCACCACACCCAGCTAATTTTTATATTTTTCATAGAGATGGTGTTTCACCATGCTGGCCAGGGTGGTCTTGAACTCCTGACCTCAAGTGATCTGCCTGCCTCAGCCTCCCAAAGTGCTGGGATTACAGGCATGAGCCAATCTGCCCAGCGGCCCCTGAATTTTTGACTGACCCCTTCTAAGCCTATATACAAGCACATTTTATGTATTTATTTAATATCTTTTAAGATATTTATTTAATATTTCTATTTTTACTTACAAGTTCAGTACCTAGACTTTTTTGTTATGAACTGTTTTAATGACAAGCTGGCTTCAAGGTCTAGAATTAAAAGTTATTTCTTACCTAAACCCACATTTGTTTCACTAGAATGTCTGGAAAAAGCCCCAAGACAAAAACTATCACTTGCAGAGGGCATCACTGAGTACTGCATCTGCCTGTGGATCCCTAGCTTTCCGGGGCTCTGAGGTTCTCTCAGTATAAAGGGCTCCTCCAATGGTCAATGTGAGTAGCTGGTACACCTGGTACACCTGCAGTGGGGGCATCAGGGGAAGAACCAAGTGAGCTTTTTTTTTCTTTTTTGGAGACAGAGTCTCGCTCTGTCACCCAGGCTGAAGTGCAATGGCGCGATCTCAGCACACTGCAACCTCCGCCTTGTGAGTTTAAGCTACTCTCGTGCCTCAGCCTCCCAACTGGCTGGGATTACAGGCGTGAGCCACTACACCCAGCTACTTTTTGTATTTTTAGTAGAGATGGAGTTTTGCCATGCTGGCCTGGTTGGTCTCAAACTCCCAACCTCAGATGATCCACCCACCTCGGCCTCCCAAAGTGCTGGGATTACAGGCGTGAGCCACCCCACCTGGTGTGAGCTTTCAATGGTCACTCTTTGTAGGATCAGGACTCAAGCAGGCACCAATGTCACTGACTTCCAAAATTAGTGGCCTTCCTGGCATATGAACACCCTTTGGGCCTGTGCTCCAGTGTCCTCTTTGGGGTGCTCCTTGGGCTCTTTGTGAAGCATCAAGACACCCCCATAGTCTAGGCCAATGTCAGGCTCTCCAGTGTGTCCTGTTCATCACCCTCAGCCTGCACTTTCATTGTCATTGTCATTGGCCATTCCAACACTGTGCTTGCATCCTGTGGAAAGTCACATTTGGGGTCAAGTGAATGGTGTTGTTTCTACTCTTTGGTGAAAAGTATCAGGGTGTATTTGGCCTTCAAGGGAGAAGGATGAGGCAGGGGTTGAATTCAGGTGCATCCAACTCTTTCTTTTTTTCTTCTGGAGACAGAGTCTCGCTGTGTCGACTAGGCTGCAGGGTGCAATGGTGTGATCTCAGTTCACTGTAACCTCTGTCTCCAGGCTCAAGCCATTCTCCTGCCTCAGCATCCTGATTAGCTGGGATTACAGGCACACACCACGATGCCCAGCTAGTTTTTGTATTTTTAGTAGAGACAGGGTTTCACCATGTTGGTCAGGCTTGTCTTGAATTCCTGACCTCAAGTGATCCACCCGCTTTGGACTAGCAAAGTGGTGGGATTACAGGTATGAGCCACTGTGCCTGGCCAGGTTTCACTGCCCTGTCTTCCCTGCTCTGAGTCACTTTGTGTGATCTGACAATCAACGACTCCACCCTTCACTGATGTGGATACATTATCTGGGACTGGGTGTGTCACCTCCACACACAGACAGGGTTTGGTCAGTGGCTGATGCTGCATCTTGTGGTGCCTGGATTTTGATCTTAGGGAGTTTTAAATAAGCGTTTCTGAAGAGCAGCTTCATTGGTACCTTAAAGGAAGTGACTGAATTGTTCTAAGCCGTTGCATAATATATAAAAGAAACTTTTCCATGTTGCTGTTAACTTTACACTGCTGAGATAAGCAGGCTGTTGACAAGTTAGCCTCAGCAGCACATTATCAGAGAAAGACAGGCTTGTATTTAGACAATTTACACAAATTTATTAGCCTCCTATGACTCAGTAAAGCAATTGAAAAAATATAGCTTTATAAGGCATAAATGATTTTATGTTTTAACTAAGGTACTTTCTGGTAAACAGTGCCCATACATTTTAGGAAATATTTCAGTCTTTAGAGAATAAGTAAGGCAAAAACAGGTCCAGGAGTCTACAGATGACCTCCCCTCACCACAAGTCCAAGTCATTTTTTTTTTTTTTGAAACGGAGTTTCGCTCTTGTTGCCCAGGCTGGAGTGAATGGTGTGACCTCGGCTCACTGCAACGTCTGCCTCCTATATTCAAGCAAGTCTCCTGCGTCAGCCTCCTGAATAGCTAGGATTACAGGAGCATGCCACCACACCCCGCTAATTTTTGTATTTTTAGTAGAGACGGGGTTTGATCATATTGGTCAGAATGGTCTCTAACTCCTGACCTCGGCCTCCCAAAGTGCTGGGATTACAGGCGTGAGCCACCATGCCCAGCCAATGCCAAGTCTTTTACTGTTGAAGAGACACATGTCACATACCAGGCATATGAGACGATGCTCCTCAGTGACCATGATGAATCAGGATAAAACTAAGGGCATTTTGTAACTATATTTCTAAATGTGATAGAGGAAAACATATTTCAAATCATAAACATGGCCAAAATTTTTCTCTTCTTACTAATGTGACGTGTCATTCTCATACATCTCACAGTCATTTATGGCTTTTGGTCATATTTATCACTATGGTATATTACACACTTGCTGACAGCAGGTATGGTACTGCTGGCTTTTGGGAAGAAGGCACTCAGAGGTACATGAGATAACTGTTGGTATTATGACTGAATGAAAAATTAGGGTTGCGGCTGGGCATGATGGCTCATATCTGTAATCCCAGCATTTTGGGAGGCCGAGGCAGGCGAATCATGAGGTCTGGAGTTCAAGACCAGCCTGGCCAATATGGTGAAACCCTGTCTCTACTAAAAAATACAAAAAATTAGCCTGGCGTGGTGGTGCATGCCTGTAGTCCCAGCTACTCAGGAGGCTGAAGCAGGAGAGTTGCTTGAACCCTGGAGGCAGAGGTTGCAGCGACCTGAGATCATGCCACTGCACTCCAGCCTGGGTGACAGAGTGAGATTTTTTTCTGGAAAAAAAAAAAGATAAGAAAAATTAGGGTTGAGATAAAAATGTAAGTACATAAGCATGAAAAGTAAAATTTCCGAAAAAAAAAAGATGCCTGGCATTTTATCCACATGGTTATACTGACTCACAATGTCCAAATAATAACAATTTAACAGTATAAGGTTGATCTAATACATGACACCAATGGGATATTTTATTATAGCTTTTTTTTTTGAAACGGAGCCTCACTCTGTCGCCCAGACTGGAGTGCAGTGGCGCAATCTTGGCTCACTGCAAGCTCTGCCTCCTGGATTCATGCCATTCTCCTGCCTCAGCCTGCCGAGTAGCTGGGACTGCAGGCACCCACCACCACGCCTGGCTAATTTTTTGTATTTTTAGTAGAGACAGGGTTTCACCATGTTAACCAGGATGGTCTCGATCTCCTGGCCTCGTGATCTGCCTTGGCCTCCCAAACTGGTGGGATTACGGGCATAAGCCACCGCACCCGGCCTTACTATTATAGCTTCTTAATTATTTAAAGATAACATTTGTTAGTATACAGTTATTACAAACAGTTAATTGTTTACATTCATTATCTGTATTCAAAGAATCTTGTCAGGTCTGAATGCTTTCCCATACTGCTTACATTCATAGGGTTTCTCTCCAGTGTGAGTCCTTCCATACATTTGAAGGTGTGAGGCTGATCTGAAGGCTTTCCTGCATTGCTTACATTCATAGGGCTTCTCTCCAGTGTGAGTCCTTTCATGACATCGAAAGCAACTAGAAAAATGAAGGCTTTCCCACATGGCATACACTCATAGGGTTTCTCTCCCATGTGAGTCCTTTCATGATATTGAAAAGAAGTGGAAGAAATAAAGGCTTTCGCACATTGCTTACACTGATAGGGTTTCTCCCCAGTGTGAATTCTTTCATGATATTGAAAAGAACTGGAAGAAGTGAAAGCTTTGCCACATTGCTTGCCTTCATAGGGTTTCCTTCCAATGTCTTTTCATGTCTATGAAAGGAAGTAGGCAAGCTGAATGCTTTTCTGCATTCTTTACATTCATAGGGTTTCTCTCCATTGTGTGTTCTTGCATGTATTCAAAGGATCTTGGCAGGTATGAATGCTTTCCCACAATGCTTACATTCACAGAGCTTCTCTCCTCTGTGCATCCTTTCATGTATTTGCAAAGAAGAGAAATTATGGAACGCTTTCCCACATTTCTTACATTCACAGGGTTTCTCTCCAGTGTGTGTCCTTTCATGAATTCAACAATTTTTGACAGATCTGAAGGCTTTCCCACATTGCTTACATTCATAGGGTTTCTCTCCAGTGTGAGTCCTACCATGTTTTCAAAGGTGTGAGGTAGATCTGAAGGCTTTTCCACATTGCTTACACTCATAGGGTTTCTCTCCAGTGTGAGTCCTTTCATGATATGGAAAGGAAGTGAAAGAAACAAAGGCTTTACCACATTGCTTACACTCATAGGGTTTCTCTCCAGTGTAAGATTTTTCATGTATTTGAAATGACTTGGCAGAATAAAAGCCTTTCCCACATATCTTACATTTATAAGGTCTTTCTACAGAGTGCATTCTTTTATTATTATTATTATTATACTTTAAGTTCTAGGGTACATGTGCACAATGTGCAGGTTTGTTACATATGTATACACGTGCCATGTTGGTGTGCTGTACCCATTAACTTGTCATTCATATTAGGTATATCTCCCAGTGCTATCTCTCCCCTCCCCCTACCCCATGACAGGCCCTGGTGTGTGATGTTTCCCTCCCTGTGTCCAAGTGTTCTCATTGTTCAGTTCTCTCCTATGAGTGAGAATATGCAGTGTTGGTTTTCTGTCCTTGTTATAGTTTGCTCAGAATGATGGTTTCCAGCTTCATCCATGTCCCTACAAAGGACATGAACTCATCATTTTTTATGGCTGCATAGTATTCCATGGTGTATATGTGCCACGTTTTCTTAATCTAGCCTATCATTGATGGACATTTGGTTTGGTTCCAAGTCTTTGCTATTGTGAATAGTGCCACAATAAACATACGTGTGCATGTGTCTTTATAGCAGCATGATTTATAATCCTTTGGGTATATACCCAGTAATGGGATGGCTGGGTCAAATGGTATTTCTAGGTCTAGATTCTTGAGGAATCACCACACTGTCTTCCACAATGGTTGAACTAGTTTACAGTCCCACCAACAGTGTAAAAGTGTTCCTATTTCTCCACATCCTCTCTAGCACCTGTTGTTTCCTGACTTTTTAATGATTGCCATTCTAACTGGTGTGAGATGGTATTTCATTGTGGTTTTGATTTGCATTTCTCTGATGGCCAGTGATGGTGAGCATTTTTTCATGTGTCTGTTGGCTGCATAAATGTCTTCTTTTGAGAAATGTCTGTTCATATCCTTTGCCCACTTTTTGACGGGGTTGTTTGATTTTTTCTTGTAAATTTGTTTAAGTTCTTTGTAGATTCTGGATATTAGCCCTTTGTCAGATGGGTAGATTGTAAAAATTTTCTCCCATTCTGTAGGTTGCCTGTTCACTCTGATGGTAGTTTCTTTTGCTGTGCAGAAGCTCCTTAGTTTAATTAGATCCCATTTGTCAATTTTGGCATTTGTTGCCATTGCTTTTGGTGTTTTAATCATGAAGTCCTTGCCCATGCCTATGTCCTGAATGTTACTGCCTAGGTTTTCTTCTAGGGTTTTTATGGTTTTAGGTCTAACATTTAAGTCTTTAATCCATCTGGAATTTAATTTTTGTATAAGGTGTAAGGAAGGGATCCAGTTTCAGCTTTCTACATACGGCTAGCCAGTTTTCCCAGCACCATTTATTAAATAGGGAATCCTTTCCCCATTTCTTGTTTTTATCAGGTTTGTCAAAGATCAGATGGTTGTAGATGTGTGGTATTATTTCTGAGGGCTCTATTCTGTTCCATTGGTCTATATCTCTGTTTGGTACCAGTACCATGCTGTTTTGGTTACTGTAGCCTTGTAGTATAGTTTGAAGTCAGGTAGCCTAATGCCTTGAGCTTTGTTCTTTTGGCTTAGGATTGTCTTGGCAATGTGGGCTCTTCTTTGGTTCCATATGAACTTTAAAGTAGTTTTTTCCAATTCTGTGAAGAAAGTCATCGGTAGCTTGATGGGGATGGCATGGAATCTACAAATTACCTTGGGCAGTATGGCCATTTTCATGATATTGATTCTTCCTATCCACGAGCATGGAATGTTCTTCCATTTGTTTGTGTCCTCTTTGATTTCGTTGAGCAGTGGTTTGTAGTTCTCTTTGAAGAGGTCCTTCACATCCCTTGTAAGTTGGATTCCTAGGTATTTTATTCTCTTTGAAGCAATTGTGAATGGGAGTTCACTCATGATTTGGCTCTCTGTTTGTCTGTTGTTGGTGTATAGGAATGCTTGTGATTTTTGCACATTGATTTTGTATCCTGAGACTTTGCTGAAGTTGCTTATCAGCTTAAGGAGATTTTGGGCTGAGATGATAGGGTTTTCTAAATATACAATCATGTCATCTGCAAACAGGGACAATTTGACTTCCTCTTTTCCTACTTGAATACCCTTTAGTTCTTTGTCCTTCCTGATTGCCCTGGCCAGAACTTCCAACACTATGTTGAATAGGAGTGGTGAGAGAGGGCATCCCTGTCTTGTGCCAGTTTTCAAAGGGAATGCTTCCAGTTTTTGCCCATTCAGTATATGATATTGACTGTAGGTTTGTCATAAATAGCTCTTATTATTTTGAGATACATCCCATCAATACCCAGTTTATTGAGAGTTTTTAGCATAAAGGGCTGTGGAATTTTGTCGAAGGCCTTTTCTGCATCTATTCAGATAATCTTGTGGTTTTTGTCTTTGGTTCTGTTTATATGATGGATTACGTTTATTGCTTTGCATATGTTGAATCAGCCTTGCATCCCAGGGATGAAGCCAACTTGATCGTGGTGGATAAGCTTTTTGATGTGCTGCTGGATTTGGTTTGCCAGTATTTTATTGAGGATTTTTGCATCGATGTTCATCAGGTATATTGGTCTAAAATTCTTTTTGTTGTGTCTCTGCCAGGCTTTGGTATCAGGATGTTGCTGGCCTCATAAAATGAGTTAGGGAGGATTCCCTCTTTTTCTATTGATTGGAATAGTTTAAGAAGGAATGGTACTAGCTCCTCTTTGTACCTCTGGTAGAATTCAGCTGTGAATCCATCTGGTCCTTGACTTTTTTTGGTTGGTAGTCTATTAATTATTGCCTCAATTTCAGAGCCTGTTATTGGTCTATTCAGGGATTCGACTTCTTCCTGGTTTAGTCTTGGGAGGGTGTATGTGTCCAGGAATTTATCCATTTCTTCTAGATTTTCTAGTTTATTTCCATAGAGGTATTTATAGTACTCTCTGATGGTAGTTTGTATTTCTGTGGGATCGGTGGTGATATCCCCTTTATCATTTTTTATTGCATCTATTTGATTCTTCTCTCTTTTCTTCTTTATTAGTCTTGCTGGCGGTCTATCAATTTTGTTGATCTTTTCAAAAAAACAGCTCCTGGATTCACTGATTTTTTGAAGGGTTTTTTCTGTCTCTGTCTCCTTCAGTTCTGCTCTGATCTTAGTTATTTCTTGCCTTCTGCTAGCTTTTGAATGTGTTTGCTCTTGCCTCTCTAGTTCTTTTAATTGTGATGTTAGGGTGTCAATTTTACATCTTTCCTGCTTTCTCCTGTGGGCATTTAGTGCTATAAATTTCCCTCTACAAACTGCTTTAAATGTGTCCCAGAGATTCTGGTATGTTGTGTCTTTGTTCTCATTGGTTTCAAAGAACATCTTTATTTCTGCCTTCATTTGTTATGTACCCAGTAGTCATTCAGGAGCAGGTTGTTCAGTTTCCATGTATTTGAGTGGTTTAGAGTGAGTTTCTTAATCCTGAGTTCTAGTTTGATTGCTCTGTGGTCCGAGAGACAGTTTGTTATAATTTCTATTCTTCTACATTTGCTGAGGAGTGCTTTACTTCCAACTATGTGGTCAATTTTGGAATAAGTGTGATGTGGTGCTGAGAAGAATGTATATTCTGTTGATTTGGGGTGGAGAGTTCTGTAGATGTCTATTAGGTCCTCTTGGTGCAGAGCTGAGTTCAATTCCTGTATATCCTTGTTAACTTTCTGTCTCATTGATCTGTCTAATGTTGACAGTGGGATGTTAAAGTCTCCCATTATTATTGTGTGGGAGTCTAAGTCTCTTTGTAGGTCTCTAAGGACTTGCTTTATGCATCTCAGTGCTCCTGTATTGGGTGCATAAATATTTAGGATAGTTAGCTCTTCTTGTTGAATTGATCCCTTTACCTTTATGTAATGGCCTTGTCTCTTTTGATCTTTGTTGGTTTAAAGTCTGTTTTATCAGAGACTAGGATTGCAACCCCTGCTTTTTTTGTTTGTTTTCCATTTGCTTGGTAGATCTTCCTCCATCCCTTTATTTTGAGCCTATGTATGTCTCTGCACGTGAGATGGGTCTCCTGAATACAGCACACTGATGGGTCTTGATTCTTTATCCAATTTGCCAGTCTGTGTCTTTTAATTGGAGCATTTAGCCCATTTACATTGAAGGTTAATATTGTTATGTGTGAATTTGATCCAGTCATTATGATGTTAACTGGTTATTTTGCTCGTTAGTTGATACAGTTTCTTCCTAGCCTCAATGGTCTTTACAATTTGGCATGTTTTTGCAGTGGCTGGTACCGGTTGTTCCTTTCCATGTTTAGTGCTTCCTTCAGGAGATCTTTTACAGCAGGCCTGGTGGTGACAAAATCTCTCAGCATTTGAATCTGTAAAGGATTTTATTTCTCCTTCACTTATGAAGCTTAGTATGGCTGGATATGAAATTCTGGGTTGAAAATTCTTTCCTTTAAGAATGTTGAATATTGGCCCCCACTCTTTTCTGGCTTGTAGAGTTTCTGCCAAGAGATCCGCTGTTAGTCTGACGGGCTTCCCTTTGTGGGTAACCCGACCTTTCTCTCTGGCTGCCCTTAACATTTTTTCCTTCATTTCAACTTTGGTGAATCTGACAATTATGTGTCTTGGAGTTGCTCCTCTCGAGGAGTATCTTTGTGGCGTTCTCTGTATTTCCTGAATTTGAATGTTGGTCTGCCTTGCTAGGTTGGGGAAGTTCTCCTGAATAATATCCTGAAGAGTGTTTCCCAACTTGGTTCCATCCCTGTCACTTTCAGGTACACCAATCAGACATAGATTTGGTCTTTTCACATAGTCCCATATTTCTTGGAGGCTTTTTCATTTCTTTTTACTCTTTTTTCTCTAAACTTCTCTTCTCACTTCATTTCATCCATTTGATCTTCAATTACTGATACCTTTTCTTCCACTTGATTGAATCAGCTACTGAAGCTTGTGCATGCATCACATAGTTCTCGTGCCATGGTTTTCAGCTCCATCGGGTCATTTAAGGTCTTCTCTACACTGTTTATTCTAGTTAGCCATTTTGTCTAATCTTTTTTCAAGGTTTTTAGCTTCTTTGTGATGGGTTCGAACATCCTCCTTTAGCTTGGAGAAGTTTGTTATTACCGATCATCTGAAGCCTTCTTCTCTCAGCTCGTCAAAGTCAAAGTCCAGCTTTGTTCCATTGCTGGCGAGGAGCTGCGTTCCTTTGGAGGAGAAGAGGCGCTCTGATGTTTAGAATTTTCAGCTTTTCTGCTCTGGTTTCTCCCCATCTTTGTGGTTTTATCTACTTTTGGTCTTTGATGATGGTGATGTACAGATGGGTTTTGGTGTGGTTGTCCTTTCTGTTTGTTAGTTTTCCTTCTAACAGTCAGGACCCTCAGCTGAGGTCTGTTGGATTTTGCTTGAGGTCCACTCCAGACCCTGTTTGCCTGGGTATCACCAGCAGGGGCTGCAGAACAGCAAATATTGCAGAACGGCAAATGTTGTTGCCTGATCCTTCCTCTGGAAGCTTCGTCACAGAGGGGCACACGGCCGTATGAGGTGTCAGTTGGCCCCTACTGGGAAGTGCCTCCCAGTTAGGCTACTTGGAGATCAGGGACCCACTTGAGGAGGCAGACTGTCCATTCTTAGATCTCAAACTCCATGCTGGGAGGACTGCTACTCTCTTCAAAGCTGTCAGACAGGGACATTTAAGTCTGCAGAAGTTTCTGCTGCCTTTTGTTCAGCTATCCAGAATGCATTCTTATGTGTGCTTGTGTCCTTTACTGAATTCGAAGGTTCTGGGCAGACCTGAAGGGTTTCCCACATTCTTTACATTCATGGTTTCTCTTGATTGTGTGTCCTACCATGCATTCAAAGGTGTGAGGCAGATCTGAAGGCTTTCCCTCATTGCTTACACTCATAGGGTTTATCTTCAGGGTGAGTCCTACCATGCATTCGAAGGACTGAGGCAGCTCTGAAGGCTTTCCCACATTGCTTGCATTTATAGGGTTTCTCTCCAGTGTGAGTCCTTTCATGGTATCGAAAGGAACTGGAACTACTGAAGGCTTCACCACATTGCTTGCATTCATAGAGTTTCTCTCCAGTGTGAGTTTTTTCATGTCTTTGCAATGATTTGGGACAATAAAAGCCTTTCCCACATAGCTTACATTTATAAGGTCTTTCTCCAGAGTGTATTCTTACGTGTGTTTGTGTCCTTTCATGACTTTGAAGGTTCTTCATAGATCTGAAGGCTTTCCCACATTCCTGACATTCATAGGGCTTCTCTCCAGTGTGAGTCCTACCATGCAATTGAAGGTGTGAGGAAGATCTGAAGGCCTTCCCACATTGCTTACACTCATAGGGTTTCTCTCCAGTGTGAATCCTTTCATGATAACGAAGGGAACTGGAATGAATGAAGGCTTTACCACATTGCTTGCATTTATAGGGTTTCTCTCCACTGTGAGTTTTTTCATGTCTTTGAAATGAATTGGCAGAACAAAAGCCTTTCCCACATATCTTACATTCATAAGGTCTTTCTCCAGAGTGCATTCTTATGTGTGTTTGAAAACTTGTAAGAGAGGATAATGCTTTCCCACACTGCGTACATTCATAGGGTTTTTTCCTAGAGTGGGTCCTTTCATGTATACGAACATACTGGGGACACGTGAATGCTTTTCCACATTCCTTACATTGATAAGCCTTCTCTCCCGTGTGAATCCTTTCATGTCTACGATAGCATCTGGGACTATGAAATGCTTTCCCACATTGCTGACATTCATAAGGCTTTTCTCCAGTGTGAGTTCTTTCGTGTATTCGAAGGGTAGCAGAATAACTAAAGGATTTACCACATTGTTTACATTCATATGGTTTCTCTCCAGTGTGAATTCTTTCATGGATAAGATATAAACTGAGACAATGGAAGGCTTTCCCACAAAATTTACATTTATAAGGTCCATCCCCACTGTGCATTACCACGTGTCTTTGAATGCTTGAATGGGAAATAAAAGTTTTTCCACATTCTTTACAAGCATAGGGTTTCTCTCCAGTGTGATCCCTTTGTGGTGTTCTAAAGGAGGGGTGATATCTGAAGGCTTTTTTAGGTTGTTGACACTTACATGGCTTCGGTCCATATTCCTGATACTCATAGGCCTTGTGTCCAATGTCACCTCTGATGTTCATATTAAAAGATGAGTTACCTAGGCCAACTTCTCCACACACAAAGCTGTCACATGATTTTATTTCAGGAGAAGCTTTCTTCTCCTGGAAGTTCAGCCTGTCATCTGGAACCTGGGTAAAAGTTTCTCCACAATGACTGTCATCTTTAATTTCATTGACTTTCTTTTCTATGAGACTCCTGTCAAAAATGAGAAGCACATTACAAAGGGTTTGTTTATAAGTAATTTTATATTAATCAACAAGTACTGAACTTGCATTTTTAACACTGTCCATCAAAGTGTAGGCTTTCTGCCCTGTCTGAATTGTTTGAAGGTGACTGGACAACCCATTGTACAAGGTGACCCAGCCATAACTATTATTTAAAAAACTGTTTATATGGGGCTTCTTAATACTCTTCCCATGTAAACTATTTTACAAATACTAAATACTCTGTGTCATTTTTCTTTTATTTAGGGGTCTCGTCCTGTTGCCCACACTGGAGTGCAGTGATATCATCATAGCTTACTGCAGCCTTTACTGGCTCAAGTGATCCTCCTGCCTCAGCCTCCTGAGTAGCTGGGACTACAGACCACAATGCCCAGCTAATTTTTTGCTGTTGTTGATATGTGGTCTCGTTATGTTGCCCAGGCTGTTCTTGAACTGCTGGCCTCAAGCTATCCTCCTATCTCCACTTCTCAAAGGATTGGGATTACAGGAGTGAGCCCACAGCCTAGGTCACATTTATATATATGTTTTTTGATCAAATATTCTAAAAATAAATGTATTTGATCCTGGACTTAGTTCTTTTACTTATTTTTAATATATTGTCATATTCTAAGATTGTCTAGAGAGACACTGCTTTGTCTTGTAAGTACAAATTACCTGAAGTTTCTCCTGGGGTTTTGGTACTCATATTCAATGTTCTGGTCTTTCCAACTTTTTCCTAAAATATAGACACAGAAAAATAGTCCTGAGGCAGTATAAAATTGTGAAAAAATTATTAGATTCTATGCCCATGATTTACTGCAGCCATACCTCATTTATTCATCAAAGTATTTCCTGTCTATGTTCTAAATCACTCAACAGCATTGATGAGCTAGAAACACTGGTTCACTAATGGACTGAGGGAAGGAATATGTCATCCTTACCTACAGAGGTCAGGTTCCTGAAAGTTTCCAGCATCACTTCCTTGTAGAGTTTCCTCTGGGAAATATCCAGCAAAGCCCACTCCTCCTGGGTGAAGTTCACAGCAACATCATCAAAGGCCACTGGGTCCTGAAACATCTCACATGTGTAGAGGAGGATGGGTGAGAGTGACAGCACTGGGGGCCTAGACTCTATTCTCAAGAAGTTCTCAGGATGCCGTGGACTCCAAGGGTCATCAGATCTCTTTCTCCCTGTGTATACTTACTTTCTTCCATAAAGCAATTCTTTTTTTTGAGACAGATTTTCACTCTTATTGCCCAGGCTGGAGTGCAATGGCGTGATCTCGGCTCACTGCCGGGGTTCTACCACTTCTTCTTCCTCAGCCTGAGTAGCTAAGATTACAGGCATGTGCCACCATGCCTGGTTAATGTTGTATTTTTAGTGGAGACGGGGTTTCTCCATGTTGGTCAGGCTGCTGACCTCAGGTGATCCGCCTGCCTCAGCCTCCCAAAGTGCTGGGATTACAGGCGTGAGCCACCAGGCCTGGCCAGCAGTTGTTTTTTTTAAGACAGCGTCTCGTTCTGTTACCCAGGCTGGAGTGTAGTGGCACCATCGTGGCTCACTACAACCTCTTACTCCTGGGTTCATGCAATTCTCATGCCTCAGCCTCCTGAGTAGTTGAGACCACAGGCATGTGCCACCACACCTGGCTAGTTCATAAAGCAATTGTGATGCTAGAACTGAACAAGGGCTAAAGCCACAGCAGGATAGGAAATGTATTTACCGAACCCAGGGAGAAAAGTGAGTTGCCTGGGCTGTCCCTAATGTCTCTTTGGACTGTGGGTCTTTGGACTGTAGCATCTGTCATGACAGAGTCCTATGAATTAATATGCAGAAAAAGTTAACATTAGCAGTCCTGAGGCTGTGTATCCTTGAAAATGCCTGTTCCCAAAGTGTAATCTTTGATGATATTGTCAGAGGAAGCATGTAGGTAGCAAAGAGCAGGAGGGGGAGCCCCTGGGAAATCACACTCCCCCAGGGACCACCCAAATCAGGCATGCTAGATATAAGCAGAGAGGAGGGGAATAACCTAGGTAGAAAGAAACTTCCATTATGATGCCCAGGAATCATTCATTTTGCAGTTATCCTGTCAGAATGTAGCTAGATAGATGCTGACAGGGCAAAGGGGACATTCCTAAAAAATACCTGGCACTGTATGTACTCAAGAGGGCAAACAAGAAACTCTTAAGAGATACCCAGGTGTCATAAGCACAGATTTAACCACTATACCACCTTCCTGAGGTGGCAGTAATGAGCAATGCAGCCACCCACATATCCACTGATGGCTAAATGGAAAAACAAAATGTGGTAAGCATATATATAAAATGGGATATTATTTACTCTTAGAAAATGACATCTTAGCCGGGCATGGTGGCTGACGCCTGTAATCCCAGCACTTTGGAAGACTGAGGCGGGCAGATCACCTGAGGGACAGAGTTTGAGATCAGCCTGACCAGCATGGAGAAATGCCGTCTCTACTAAAAATACAAAATTACCCGGGCATGGCGGCACATGCCTGTAAACCTAGTTACTCAGGAGGCTGAGGCAGGAGAATTGCTTGAACCCGGGAGGCAGGAGGTTGCGGTGAGCCAAGATTGCACCATTGCACTTCAGCCTGGGCAACAAGAGTGAAACTCCGATTCAAAAAAAAAAAAAAAAAAAAGAAAATAACATCTTGGCCTATACTACAACATGCATGAAACCTCAGGATAATTGAAAAAAGCAAAATACAATAGAATTCATCTTAGAGAACTTATGTAGATCTGTCAAACTATCTCAACTGTACATGTAAAATTTCTTAAGCTGATAAGTTTCACATTTTGTTTTAAGATAAGTAATGATAACAAATCATGGTAGCAGCCAGGCATGGTGGCTCATGCCTGTAATCCCAGCACTTTGGGAGGTTAAGGTGGGCGGATCACTTGAGGTCGGCAGTTTGAGACCACTCTGGCCAACATGGTGGAAATCCATCTCTAAAAAAACACAAAAATTAGCCAGGCATGGTGGCACATGCCTATAGTCACAGTTACTTGAAAGGCTGACATGGGAGAATCATTTGAACCTGGGAGGCAGAGGTTGCAGTGAGCCGAGATCACGCCACTGCACTCCAGCCGGGGCAACAGAGTGAGACTCTTAAAACAAACAAAACACCATAAGAATGTCCTAATAGAGGCAGAAAAGGCATCTGACAAGCCTTAACCAATTTATGCCTAGTGTTCCCTTTTTGGAACGCTAAGCATGTGGGAATTGTTTATATCCTACTGCTTAAGGTCATGGCCAAAGTCTGATTTTTCACACGTCGGCAATTCAAAAAAGTGCAACCTCCAGCATAAATAAGTTAATATCTCCTGATGATTAAAAATGCTCAATAAATTAAATATAAAAGAGAAGATTCCATAAGATGACAAGAGAGGCACTAGGAACATAGAAACATCTACTATAAAGACATGTACTAAAAATGCAAACCCAGAGGCCAAGGCAGACAGATCATTTGAGCCCCTCAGTTCAAGACCAGCCTGGGCAACATAAGGAGACCCTGTCTCCATAATAAAGTAAAAAATTAGGCATGGTGGCACAAAACAAATGGTATTGAAACACCTGAATTAGCAAATGCAAAGAAATGAATTAGACACAGAACTGCACCTTTTACAAAACTACTTCCTAATGAATCATTTACTTAAATGGAAAATGCAAAACTCACAATTTCTAGAACGTAACACTGAGAAAACCAAGACGACCTTGGATTTGGCAATAAGGTTTCACACACAACACAAAAAGCATGATCTGTGAATGAGAAAATCGATAAATTGGACTTCATTCAAAACAAAAATGTTTTGGAAAAGACTTTGTTAAAAGAAGAAAAAGAGAGGCAGCAGACAGGGACAAAATATTTGCAAGACACCTATCTGATCAAGGATTTGTACCCAAAAGGTATAAAGAACTCCTAAAATTCTGTAAGAAAAAAACCAACCAATCAAAAAATAAGCAAAAGGCCGGTTACGGTGGCTCATGCCTTAATCCCAGCACTTTGGGAGGCAGAGACGGGTGGATCACCGAAGTCAGGAGTTTGAGACCAGCCTGACTAACATGGTGAAACCCCGTCTCTAGTAAAAATACAAAAATTAGCTGGGCCTGGTGGCGTGAGCCTGTAATCCCAGTTACTCAGGAGGCTGAGGCAGGAGAATCGCTGGAACCCAGGAGACAGAGGTTGCAGTGAGCCGAGATCACGCCACTGCCCTCCAGCCTGGGTGACAGAGCCAGACTCAGTCTCAAAAAAAAAAAAAGCCCAATCTTTCCAAGTATACCTCCCCCTAAAGAATGTAATTATGGCAAACAAACATATGACAGGATGCCCTACATTACATGTTATTAAAGAGCAAATGAAAACAGGCCGGGTGCAGTGGCTCATGCCTGTAATCCAGCCCTTTGGGAAGCTGAGGCGGGTGGATCACCTGAGGTCAAAAGTTTGAGACCAGCCTGGACAACATGGTGAAACCCTGTCTCTACTAATAATACGAACAGCAGCCATGCATGGCGGCGTACACCTGTAATCCCAGTTAATTGGGAGTCTGAGTCAGGAGAATCGCTTAAACCCGGGAGGCAGAGGCTGCAGTGAGCTCAATCACACCATGGTACTCCAGTCTGGGCAACAAGAACGAAACTCCGTCTCCAAAGGGAAAAAAAAAGGAAAACAAAAATAAAGCACCAGCAAATACCTGGTGGAGTAGCTAAAATCCAAAACACTGACACTTCCAAATGCTGGAGACAGTGAACTCTCCTTCACTAGGGATGTGAATGGAAAATTCTACAGCCAATTTGGAAGACAGTCTGTGGAGCTCTGAAGAAAATAAGCATGGTCTTACTGATTCAGTAGTCTCATTCCTACATATTGACTCAAATGAACTGAAAACTGATGTCCACACAAAAGTCCTCCCACAAATGTTTTTAGCAGCCTTACTCATAACTGCCAAAAACTAGAATCAAACAAGGTGAGTCTTTAAAAAAAAAAATAGATAAGTTCTCACACTGTATCTACCAGGCTGTTCTCTAACTTCTGGCCTTAAGCAATCTCACCTCAGTCTCCCGTGTGCTGGGAACTCAGGGATGAGGCATCACACCAGGCTCAAGATGAGTCTTTCAGTAGATGAATAAAGAAACAAACTATGGTAACATCTGTACAATGGAATGTTACTCAGTAATGAAAGAAAATGAGTGGCCGGACATGGTGGCTCACAAGTGGAATCCAGGCATTTGGGAAGCTCAGGCAGGAGGATCACCTGAGCTGGGGAGTTTGAGACCCTGTCTCTCACAAAACAAAAATCTTTAGATAAAGAAAGAAAAATAAAAAATAAGTGAGTTGTCAAGCAACAAAGGTATCGAGAGACCTTCAATGCATATTTTTACATGAAAGAAGCAAGTCTGAAATGGCCACTTACAGCATCATTCCAAATATGTGATATTCTGGAAAATGCAAAACGGAGGCAGGAACATCACCATTTGTTGCCAGGGATAAATAGGGGTGGCAAAAGAGGGAAGGGAGAGATAGAATTAGGAGGAGCACAGGGGATTTTGAGGGCAGTGAAACGCTTCTGTATAAGACTGTGATGGTGGATACATGACACATGTAGTTGTCTTAAACCACAGAACACAAAGAGTGAAGCCTAATGTAAAAGATGGACTTTAGGTAATAATAACATTGGCTTCTTCAATTTTCATCATGTTCACATGTAATATGTTCTTGCATAAGTTGTAGGATACACTACACAAAGTCAATATGGTTTTTTTGGTTTAAAACAATTATTTTCTTTGAAACAGGGTCTTGCTATGTTGCCTAGGCTGGCCTCCAACTCCTGAGTCCAAGCTATCCTCCTGCTTTGGCCTCCCTAAATGGTAGGATTACAGGTATGAGGCTCAGCACCTGGCCAGTCAAGATGTTTAAAACAGTGGAAACTATGCTGGGCGTGGTGGCTCACGCCTGTAATCCCAGCACTTTGGAAGGCTGAGGTGGGTGAATTATGAGGTCAGGAGTTCGAGACCAGCCTGGTCAATATGGTGAAACCCTCTCTCTACTAAAAATACAAAAATTAGTTGGGTGTGGTGGTGTGTGCCTGTATTCCCAGCTACTCCGGAGGCTGAGGCAGAAGAATTGCTAGAACCCGGGAGACGGAGGTTGCTGTGAGCCGAGATCATGCCACTGCCCTCCAGCCTGGGCAACAGAGCGAGATTCTGTCTCAAAAAAAAAAAAAAAAAAAAAAAGCCAGGAGGAACTATGAGCCTGGAAGAAAACTGCGGGAACTCTGTGGATTATCTGCTCAATGTTTTGGGGAAATAACCACTGTTCTAAATAATAAAACCCATTAAATAAGAAAGTGAATTAACTATCATTCCATATAAGGTTCATAACTGAGTTAAAATAAAATCCAATATGAAATATCACATATTGGTTATCATTTGCATGAAAAACATGCAAAAATAAAACATACTGATGAGGATGCATACCCAGGTTGTGAAAGTATAAAAAAATGTAAGGCAGTTATCTTATTCCCAATACTGGCTCCATCATTATTTGGATTAATTGTGCAATTCTTTTATGTATTTTGTGCACATGTAATATTTTTAGTAAGATTCTAGAATGCACACTCTATACAGAAATAACTATCAGTGAATTATAATTATCAGCAACAGTCTGCTAAATATAATTTTTAAAAGAGCACACTCTATTGAAACTAATTTTTTTCTTTTTTCTTTTCTTTTCTTTTTTTTTTTTTTTGAGATGGAGTCTCACTCTCTCACCCAGGCTGGAGTGCAGTGGCGCCATCTTGGCTCACTGCAACCTCCGCCTCCCGGGTTCATGCCATTCTCCTGCCTCAGCCTCCCGAGTAGCTGGGACTACAGGCGCCCACCACCACGCTCGGCTAATTTTTTATATTTTTAGTAGAGGCGGGGATTCACCATGTTAGCCAGGATGGTCTCGATCTCCTGACCTTGTGATCCACCCGCCTCGGCCTCCCAGAGTGCTGGGATTAGAGACGTGAGCTACCGCACCTGACTCTTTTTTTTTTTTTTTCAAACAGGGTCTCATTCTGTTGCCCAGGCTGGAGTGTAGCGGTGCAATCATAGCTCACTGCAGCCTCGAACTCTTAGGCTCAACAGATCCTTCTACCTCAGCCTCCTGAGTAGCTGGGACTACAGGCACACATCACAGTGACGAGGTAATTTTTTGTATAGGCAAAGTTTGCCATGTTGCCGATGCTGGAATAATCTCTTTATTTTTATTTTTATTTTTATTTTTTTGAGATGGAGTTTCACTCTTGTTGCCCAGGCTGGAGTGCAATGGCGTGATCTTGGCTCACCGCCACCTTGGCCTCCCAGGTTCAAGTGATTCTCCTGCCTCAGCCTCCCAGGTAGCTGGGATTACAGGCATGTGCCACCAGGCCTGGCTAATTTTGTATTTTTAGTAGAGACAAGGTTTTTCCATGTTCATCAGGCTGGTCTTGAACTCCTGACCTCAGGTGATCCACCCACCTCAGCCTCCCAAATATTGGGATTACAGGCATGAGCCACCATGCCCAGCCACTAATTTCTATTAAAACTAATTTTCTTCAAGTCCAAAAAAGTCTCAGGAAGGATATAAAATGATTATTATGCAAAAAGTCTACACTGAAAAACATCAATATAAAATGAAATAAATGAAAAAATGTCATGTGTCCTTAAAAGGAGATTAAATAGCACTATGATGTAACGTTTCTGAAATATGACTACAGTTATATTTTAGTCCATGAAATTTACAAGGCAGTTTGTTTTTTTCACTAAAATTAAGAAAAAACTACTTCTAAAAACCGAAATACAAGACAATGACTAAGAATAGCCAAGATGCTCTATAGAATATGGTTGGGGGGTGTTACGGCATGAATATTTGCATCACTCCAAAAAAATCACACATTAATAACCTACCCCCAATATAGTATTAGAAGTTGACATCTCTGAAAAGTAATTAGGATTAGATGACAGCATAAGAGTCGATCCTTTCTGAATGAGATTAGTGCTCTTATAAGAAGACACAGGAGAGCCGGCTTCCTCTCCTCTGTCACATGAAGAAACACAAGAAGATGACCATCTGCAAAACCAGGAAGCGGGCCCTTACCAGACACTAGATCTGCCAGCTCCCTTAACATGGACTTCACAACCTCAAGAACTGCCAGAAATAAATGTTTATCCCTTAAGTCACCCAGTCTATGGTAATTTGATATAGCAGCCCAAGATGACTAAGATAGACAGGCAATATACCCACTAAACACCACAGCTTTGAACGTTATACTAATTAAGAGAAAATGGTATTATCAGAGAGATGGAAAGATAGACCAATGGAAAACAGCAAATTGTGAAACCAGGGAATCTTTTTTTTTTTTTTTTTTTTTTTTTTTAATGGAGTTTCGCCCTTGTTGCCAAGGCTGGAGAGCAATGGTGTGATCTCGGCTCACTGCAACCTCCATCTCCCAGGTTCTCGTGATTCTCCTGTTTCAGCCTTCCAAGTAGCTGGGATTACAGCCATGCACCATCACGCTTGACTAATTTTGTACTTTTAGTAGTGACAGGGTTTCACCATATTGGTCAGGCTGATCTTAAACTCCTGACCTCGGGTGTTCCGCCCGCCTCAGCCTCCCAAAGTGCTGGGATTACAGGCGTCAGCCACCATGCCCAGTCTGGGCATCTGTTTAAGGTAATGTGAAACTATGACAAACCAGGTATTGCCAGCCAATGATACAAGTGGTGAACACTTAACAGAAAAAGCAGCGACAAATGGTTATCTACAGGAGAATAATCAGTTTACTACCCATCATCTCCACATACAATAATTTAATTAATTCTAGAGTTGCCTCTTATACTGAGTTCTTATAGTTATATGTTACCTTAGCATGCATTTTCTTTATGGATTTAACTTTCTCATAACGGAAAAAAACTTTATTCAAACTTAACAGTTTCTAGTTCTCCACCTCCTCCCATTTCCTCCATGTGGTCAACTCACATATATTTCTTACACGACTGCATTCTGGTGACCACCTCCCTGTGGGACAGCTAGATATAACCAATTTGACTTGTACCACTGACCCTTACACCCCACATGGATGGTACAGACCACCTCTTAATCACAGTATGACTTCACAGAACTAGTGCCTGCTTGCTCTAAATCCACCAGAAACAACTCCCTGAGCGACGTCTCCTTGTTCAATTCCCTGGACCCTGAGAAACGCTTTGGCCCACAGGTCCCTGTCTGTCTTGCTCCCCACCTGCTGGTTGAATGTGCATCCTGGATGTTCTCCCCACTCTGTGTTGCTCTGCAGCTGTGCTGCCCTCATCTCCTGGGATTGTGAGCCATGCACTGTATGTCATGGGCTTTGTTGAGTTGCCTCTTCTGTGTCTTACCTGATCTATGCAATCATTCTTGGATTTGGCTCTAGTGAAAAATGCAACGTAAAGTTAATTTGAAATACTCAAGCTGCAATCTATGAACTATTCTTTACAAGGGACAAGCCCACAGAGGGGCAATACTGGCTGGAACACAGTGATGTCTGACTCATGTGTCAGCACAGGTCACCCTATCACATGAGACATCTCTCCACCCCCATCCTGCTCACCGAAGCGCTCATGACTACTTTCCACCAACACCGCACTATGCCCCGCTGTGAACCTCAATTTCATATTCTGATTTGCAGGCTACTGGTCCACCCCGTTGGGGTGGGCTTTCCTTGTCTTTTGGGGTTTTGTCTTCCTTCACAGTTGACACAATCCAGAGGACAGGAATCATTTCTCCTTTCCCTCAATAGCACCATCCAACTGGCTGACCAGCCATGTGTCTCCAACTTACGAAAACTGGGACTGGGAAAGAAAAGCTGAGCATCTCGAGGGGTTGGCTATCTAGATGCAGAGTATACTAGGAGTCTCCTTCCATCGTAAGGCATTCAGCTGCTCTCTTGGGAGTCCCCATTCTCCTACCTCAGTCTGTCCCCTGGGAGGAGTGACTCAGGGGCTGATACTCACTAGACCCTCCAAGAGACATGGCAGCTGTGGGAATATTAGGTCACCCCATTCTACCACCCAGGACCAAGAAAACATAGGAGAGTGTGCTGAAGACACAATACCCTTTGAAGTTTCCAAAGGGGAGCCTCAACCAAAAGACAATCTGATAAGATCTCTGTTTTTAGGCCAGGTGGGGTATCTCATGCCTGTAATCCCAGCACTTTGGGAGACCAAGGCGGGTGGATCACGAGGTCAGGAGATAGAGAGCATCCTGGCTAACATGGTGAAATCCTGTCTCTACTAAAAGGCTCCTGTAGTCCCAGCTACTCAGGAGGCTGAGGCAGGAGAATGGCATGAACCCGGGAGGCGGAGCTTGCAGTGAGCCGAGGTCGTGCCACTGCACTCCAGCCTGGGCGACTGAGCAAGGCTCTGTCTCAAAAAAAAAAGATCTCTGTTTTTAGGATAGATGAAAGGAGGAGATGCATACAAATTTTCACACGGGAGTGTCTGGTGGTGATTCTCTGAACATTTCACATGAGAGGAAAGGAGAAGTGCTCAATGACTATTTCCCACCAACACTGCATTGTGTCCCCTGTGTACCCCCATGCATATCTTGCTTTGCAGGCAATTGCTCCACTATGTTGGAGTGGCTGTTCCTTGTCTTTTGGGATATTTCTCCCTTCACGGTTGAGACAATCCAGAGGACAGGAATCATTTCTCTTTTTCCTCAATAGCAACATCCAATTGGCTGACTGTCTATGTGTCTCCAATTAATGGAAATTGGAGTTGGGAGAGAGAAGTTGAGCACCCCAAGAATTGGTTATGTAGATGAAGAGTATACCAGGCATCTCCTCCACCACAAGGCATTCAGCTGCTCCCTCGGGAGGCCCCACTCCCCTAAGGCACTAATACCCATGAGACCCTCCGGGAGACATGGCAGTTGTGGGCATCTTGAGTCAGCCCCGGGCAGTTCTAAAACCCAAAACCAGGAAAAGATAGGAGGGTGCACTGAAGACACATCACCCTGTAATGTTTCCAGAAAGGAACCGCATCCCAAAGACATCCTGATAAGGTGACTGTGTCTAGGAAAGATAAAAGGAGGAGAGGCAGAAAGGATTTTTCGGGAAAATGTCTAGTGGTTATTCACTGCTTTCCTCTCATGTGAAATGTTCAGACACAGATTTCACTGCAAGCCCTTGAAGAGTCAGGCTGTGGTATGAGGGTGGAGGATTTGAGATCCGGCATCCCATATATTTGGAAAATGCCAGGGGAAAACAGTCTCCCTGGAGATTGTGGAAAATTTTAAATAAAAAACAATGAGACCGAACTGTATGCAGTGTCCGAAGGTCCTACTTAAAGACCCTGAAAGCAAATTTAAATACAACTCTTCAAAATTATTAATCTATAGGGAAACAAAATTTATGCTTAATCAGGCAGAATCCACCAATTAACCTCTGATTACATAACTAGAAAATTTCTACCTAAGTCAGGCCAGGAAAGCTGGCTTATACCTGTAATCCCACCACTTCAGGAGGCCAAGGTGGGCGGACCACTTGAGGACAGGAGTTGGAGACCAGCCTGGCTAACGTGGTAAAACCCCGTGTTTACTAAAAATACAAAAATTAGCCATGTGCGGTGGCACATGCATGTAATCCCAGCTACTTGGGAGGCTGAAGCAGGAGAATTACTTGAACCCAGGAGGCAAAGGCTGCAGTGAACTGAGATGATGTCACTGCACTCCAACCTGGGCCACAGAGTTGTCTCAAAACAAACAAACAAACAAAAACAACAAAGTAATTCAAATATTTAAGCTGGTGGATCTCTATCTTGAAGCAATGCAATCATGGGGTTGAGTCACATGACACACAGCTTTCACATAGCCAGCTGGAACTCTCCTTTCCCTGATTACAGATTCGCCTTCTTTCTTACCTATAGTGTTTTGTAAAATGTTGTAAATGACTGAAGGGAAACAGGAAAGACCCTTTCCCTCTTCACTTTTTTTTTATTTATTTAATATGATTTTTCACAATTGAGATGGCATCTCACTTATGTTGCCCAGGCTGGTCTTGAACTCCTGAGATCAAGCCATCCACCTGCCTCAGCCTCCCAAAGTGCTGGGGTTACAGGTGTGAGCCATCCCACTGGGCCCCTCTTCACTACTGATCTCTGTAGTAGACTAACTTCCCTCTTAACTTTCTCACACAAAGACTTCATGGCTATCACATTGTCTTCAGCTGGAATGTTGAATTCACTCTTTTAAATTGAAAAGGAAATAAAAAACAGCTAGAAAGAAAAGAAAACAAGCGCTGGGGGAAAAAAGCAAACCATAACAAATTAAGTTGCTAGCCAGGTGCACTGGCTAACGTCTGTGATCGCAGCACTTTTGGAGGCCAAGGAAGCAGGACTGTTTGAGGCCAGGAGCTAGAGACCAGCCTAGGCAACATATCAAGATGCCACCTGCATACAAAAAAAAAAAAAAAAAAAAAAATCAGCCAGGAGTGCTGGTGGGCGACTGTAGTCTCAGCTACTTGGGAGGCTGAGGTGCTTGAGCCAGGGAGGTCAAGGCTGCAGTAAGCCATGATCGCACCACTGCTCCAGCCTGGGCCACAGAACAAGACATTCGCTCAAAGAAAAAAATAAAATTAAATTATTGTACCTCATACATCAGCCTTCTATGGAAAATGCAATCCTATTATATTTATTTGCCTTTTCCCTATACAAGTGTTAGGGAAGCAGGTGCCTAGGGGAGCCAGAGAAACACCAATTTAAGTTCAGCTCCATCTTGAGACTAACAAGAAACACTCCTTGCCAGTCACAACCCATGATCATAAAGTTTCCCATGAAGAAAACAGCCTGAAGATGCCTGCAAGTATCCTTACACTCCCACAACAACAGAATGTCCTGATGTCCCAATACCCATAACAATATGTGCTTTCAAGATAATTATAGTTGTTTTAATGCACTTGGGTGCTAAAATGTAAAGGATAGTTTTCTTTAAATCAATAGAGTAATAAATTTTGTGATGCTGTCAGCCCCCATGCAGGTAGGCACAGCTTAGTTTAGTCTTTACATAGACAAGATCCCTACCTAAGAAAAACTTAGTACATTCCTCCACTTGCTTTATGAGGATGCCCTACTCTGTAACAGAGAATCACTCTCTTCCTTCCTTCCTTCCTTTTTCTTCCTTCCTTCCTTCTTCCTTCCTTCCCTCCCTCCCTTCCTTTCTTTCTTTTCTTTTTTTTTTTTTTTAATACAGACAGGCTCTCACTGCATTGGCCAGCTGGGTCTTGAACGCTTGCCTCCCGAGTACGTGGAACTACAGGTGCAAGCCACCACACCCGGCTAATTTTTGTTATTTTTGGAAAAGATGGGGTTTCCCTATGTTGCCCAGGCTGGTCTCGAACTGCTGACTAGAAGTGATCCTCCTGCCTCGGCCTCCCAATGTGCTTAGAAAACAGATCTAAGCCATCATGCTGGCCCAGAGTAGCTTTCAACAAACTCCCTTCTCACTGCACTTTGTGACTCGTCTTGAATTCTTTCCTGTGTGAGATCCAAGAACTCTCTTGGGGTCTGATCAGGACCTCTTTTCCTGGTAATATAAGAAAGAACTTAACTTCTAATTTTAGAGTACTGAGTCCATTTCTCTGGAGTCTGTTTTTTTTCCTGAATGGGCCATTGCTATCTTTCTGCTTGAATAAACTCTTCAAACTGAAATCTGAACCTTTGAATTATTTCGGGCTGGCAAGTCCAAATAAGGCGACTGCATCTCTGCAACCAATCAAGCATTTATCTGGTTTGTCTCCTCATGTACCTTATAAAAGCTGAGGCTTCAACCTATAAACTAAAAATAAAAATCTATCTTCTGGCCTGGCGAGGTGGCTCACATCTGGAATCTCAGCACTTTGGGAGGCCGAGGCAGGTAGGTAACTTGAGGTCAGGAGTTCGAGAACAGCCTGGCCAACATGGTGAAACCCCATCTCTACTAAAAACACAAAAATTAGGCAGGCGTGGTGGTGCATGTGGGGAAAAGAGAGATCAGATTGTTACTGTGTCTACATAGAAAAGGAAGACATAAGAAACTCCATTTTGGTATGTACTAACAAAAATTGTTCTTCTTTGAGATGCTGTTAATCTGTAACTTTAGCCCCAACCCTGTGCTCACAGAAACCTGTGCTGTATTGAATCAAGGTTTAATGGATTTAGGGCTGTGCAGGATGTGCCTTGTTAACAATATGTTTGTAGGCAGTATGCTTGGTAAAAGTCATCACCATTCTCCATTCTCGGTTAACCAGGGGCACAGTGCACTGCGGAAAGCCGCAGGGACCTCTGCCCAACAAAGCCTGGGTATTGTCCAAGGTTTTCCCCCACTGAGACAGCCTGAGATCCGGCCTCGTGGGAAAGGAAAGACCTTACCATCCCCCAGCCTGACACCCCTAAAGGGTCTGTGCTGAGGAGGAATAGTGAAAGAGGGAGGCCTCTTTGCAGTTGAGATAAGAGGAAGGCTTCTGTCTCCTGCTCGTTCCGGGGAATGGAATGTCTCTGTGTAAAGCCGACCATTCATTCTATTCTGAAATAGGAGAAAACCGCCCTGTGGGAGGCAAGATATGCTGGCAGCAATACTGCTCTGTTACTCTTTGCTACACTGAGATATTTGCATAAAGTGAAACATAAATCTGGCCTACCTGCACATCCAGGCACAGTATCTTTCCTTGAACTTATTCATGATACAGGTTCCTTTGCTCACATGATTCCCTGCTGACCTTCTCCCCACCATCACCCTGTTGTCCTGCCACACTCCCCTCGCCAAGATAGTAAAAATAGTGATCAATAAATACTGAGGGAACTCAGAGACCAGCGCCGGTGCAGGTCCTCGCATGTTGAGCGCCGGTCCCCTGGGCCCACTGTTCTTTCCCTATACTTCGTCTCTGTGTCTTATTTCTTTACTCAGTCTCTTGTCTCTACCTGACAAGAAACACCCACAGGGGTGGAGGGGCAGGCCCCCTTCAGGTGCGTGCCTGTAATCCCAGCTACTCAGGAGGCTGAGGCTAGAGAATTGCTTGAATCCGGAAGGTGGAGGTTGCAGTGAGCCGAGATTGAGCCATTGCACTCCAGCCTGAGTGACAGAAGGAGACTCTGTTTTAAATAAAAACAAAAACAAAGTACCTTCCCAGGTAAGTGAAGTGACCGGCTCTTGGCCAAGGGAACCCCCAAAAAACCCTGAAAATTGAGTGCCTCTGTATGACAGGATGGGAGGTGAGACAGGCCTCCTTATACCCTCTCCCTTTAGGAGTTTACATGCAGCAACTGACGCACATTCATGTAAAAACAGACATTATCTGACTGGAAAAACAGACTCCTTGTGGCAAGAAGATACCAAATTACAAACAAGACCTAAGGCCACGCAAGACAAGGGTAAGTCACACCTTAGAATTCATAAAATCTAGAGAAACAGGTCTGTTTTTTGGCTGGGATGGAATCAAGTGGCAGATAACAGACCCCCTTCCTTCAGCATTCCTTCCTACCTCCTCCAAACTTTAGACAAAGCTTCACACTCTCAACCAGCTGCCACCTACAGAATCCCTCAACCACCTGTGCCTTCTAACCCCCCTTCCACAGGTCCCGCCCTTTCTGTTTTTTGTTTTTGTTTTTGTTTTGAGACAGAGTCGCACTCTGTGCTGAGGCTGGAGTGCAGTGGCACTGTGTGGGCTCACTGCAACCTGTCTCCTGGATTCAAGTAATTCTCTTGTCTCAGCCTCCCGAGTAGCTGGGATTACAGGCGTCCACCATCACGCCCGGCTAGTTTCTTTTTTATATTTTTAGTAGAGACGGGGTTTCACCATGTTGGCCAGGCTGGTCTTGAACTCCTGACCTCAGGTGATCCGCCCGCCTTGGCCTCCCAAAGTGCTGGAATTACAAGCGTGAGCCACCGTGCCCGGCCAGGTCCCTCCCTTTCTGCCTAAGGAAATTACACCTTCCAGGCACTAATTCATGATTTTCCCTGCAATTCCTGTCTCTCTAAAATGAATAAAACCAAACTGTCTTGAGCCGCCTCGGGACCACTTACTCCAGGCTTCTTGGGGTTGTTTTTCCCTCGGCCAAGGTCTCTCCTATTCGGCTCCGAATAAACTTCTTTATTTTACATAGTTTGGCTTTTTCCGTTGACAAACCACAAGCCAGGACTGGGTGTGTCTCATTCGTGAATCGCTGTTTGCTCAAATGAACTCTTTGTTAACGTTCCTCAGTTTAATTTTTAACAGGAGAAAAAGTGGACACTGGGGGCCCCACAGACCGCTGCTCCTCCCAAGCACGAACCCCACACCCGAGTCGGGATCACCCACATGACCCTCCCGTGGCCCCCGCACAATCTGGGTAGACGCGTGGCTGCGGGCGCGGAGCTGCCCATAGAGGGCTCTGGAACCGCAGTCGCCGCGCAGAGACGAGACAGGACGCCTGGTGTCCCGGCTACCGGCCCAGCCACACCGAGCAGTCGAGGGGACCGAGGGCCGAGCGGCTCCAGGAGGACTCGGTCCCAGATCCCAAAGTCGCCCGCAGGAAAGCCAGGGTCTCGCCACAGTCGGTTCCGGTCGGTCCAGGCAGCCCCTCCCCCGTCTCACGACACCCGGCCCCAGACACGCACCATTTCCTGGCTTTCAGATGTCCCGGGGTCCTCTCTACACCTCCTGTGACTACAGCAGGGCATAGCGTAGGTGACAGAGTGACAGAAGCCTGGGCAGAGGAACCAGGTCCCTCTCGGGGCTGGAAAGACCGGATCCCAGCCGCAGCCCGCGCAGGGACAAAGGTGAGGTAAGGAATGCGACCCCCTCAGTGTCTGGAGGAACAGTGGGCAGGGACCCGCCACAATGCCTCTGATTGGATGGAATGCTAGGCCCCGCCCCCCATGTCTGAGTGACAGCGGAAGCCCTGGGTATCGGGCCCTGCAGAGCCAGACAGACGGATTCTGACCACAGCTTTTCCAAGGGCGAGCTCCTTCCTGCACTCTGGTTATTGGATATTTGCATTTCAGCCAAACTTGCTATTGATAGAGGAGAACACTAGCGTCTTCCTCACTCAAGGGACTGTCCCTGCTCCTTCGTTCTGCATGGGGTCACAGGAGTGTGCAGGGAATTTCAGATTCAGTGTCCACAGGAGCCATCTCCTGCCTCAGAGCAGCAGGGGAACCGAGACCAGGCCAGACACGACTGCGCCAGGAGGAGAGGCATATGTCTTGGAGCGGGCCGCAACTGGGGATGAGGCATGGCTAAGACTTGCTCTCACACCCCCATCCCCTCCTCACAGTGTGAAAATGCTTCCTCCTTCCAGATCTTCATTTTCACCAGCAGGAAACTCTCTCCAGGGGTTAAGTTAAGCTTTTGACCTAAATAAACTGCCAACTTCATGAACCCTTTATCCAGGTGACGCTCCCAAACATTTCTGTCTCTAGCCTGATCTTCACACATTTTCTTTTCTTTTTTTTTTGAGACAGAGCCTCGCTCTGTCCCCCCAGGCTGGAGTGCAGTGGTGCAATCTCCACTCACTGCAACCTCCGCCTCCTGGGTTCAAGTGATTCTCCTGCCTCAGCCTCCCCAGCAGCTAGGATTACAGGCACATGCCACCGCGCCTGGCTAATTTTTTGTATTTTTAGTAGAGACAAGGTTTCACCATGTTGACCAGACTGGTCTTGAACTCCTGACCTCAAGTGATCCACCCGCCTCGGCCACCCAAAGTGCTGGGATTACAGGCGTGAGCCACCGCGCCTGGCCCACATTTTCTTTATATATATGAATATCTCTGTCGGATATAAAATGCTTTAGGAATAAATTCTTGGTCCCACGAAGTAAAACTAGCACTTAGGGGAAAGTTTCATTTGTTTAGCAAGGCAATTTACTTCTGCAGAAGTGTGCCACTTGTGTCAATCAAGATCACAAGAGCACAGAGAACAAAGGTCACCGGGGGTTTTTTTATCCTTAATGCGGTCCCTATCTCTGTGTCACTCCTTCATGGGCTGGGGTTCGACCACACAATCTGAGCTGACCCGACTGGCTACTTGTACGTATTTTTCTAAATATAGAAGGAGAGGGGAACGTGAGGTACAGAGATGGAGCGTGTGAGACGTGCAGTTTCGGGGGAACAATGGGTACAGGTAACCAAGGGAACAGATGTGAGTTATTGATTAGAGCTGACGGGAAGGGGGTAGGCTGTTTTACAGTAACTAGGGGCAAGGAGGAACAGGAAAGTTGAGCTGGAGAACAAAAGACAAGGAAGTTAGCAGGCTAAGTCTTTGAAGAGAAACTCAGAGAGGCCAGGCGCGGTGGCTCACGCCTGTAATCGCAGCACTTTGGGAGGCTGAGGCGGGTAGATCACGAGGTCAGGAGATCGAGACCATCCTGGCTAACATGGTGAAACCCCGTCTCTACTAAAAAATACGAAAAATTAGCCAGTCGTGGTGGTGGGCGCCTGTAGTCCCAGCTACTCGGGAGGCTGAGGCAGGAGAATGGCATGAACCCAGGAGGCAGAGCTTGCAGTGAGCCGAGATCACGCCACTGCACTCCAGCCTGGGTGACAGAGTGAGACTCCGTCTCAAAAAAAAAAAAAAAAAGAAACTCAGAGAAATTTACTGTATGTTACAATTCCTCCCTTTTAATTTTCTTATGATTTTTTCTCTTTAAACTTTTTTAACGTGTTTTGGCTTTGCTGTTTGATTTGATCTTTTAAAAGGAAAAGCTTACTTGAATAAGGTGGAGGAGAACTAAGGGAGGTTTCAGTAAATGCTGTTCGTACAATCCTTTGTATTAGCCTACGGATGCATGGTATGACACAACGCCTAACAAGAATAAGTACACCTGTTACGACTGTAAAAGAAATAAGTATTGAGGCTATGATTCTTTATTGACTGAACTACTTTCCTAGCCATCTTGAAATAGGGTCATTGACTCCAGAAATTTTAGCTAATTCATTGGATAAAGCGGTAAGTCTTTGCAAGGCCTTTGTTATGCTCTCACTGGGGGCAGTGTTGTTTGGAATGAAGGTACAACACTGGGTTTTAATCATAACACAAACTCCACCTTTTTTGGCTAATAACATGTCTGGAGCCATTCTGGTTTTTATTTTTTGAGATGGAGTCTCACTTCGTGGCCCAGGCTGGAGTGCAGTGGCACCATATTGTCTCACTGCAAGCTCTGCCTCCCGGGTTCACGCCATTCTCCTGCCTCAGCCTCCCCAGTAGCTGGGACTACAGGTGCCCGCCACTACGCCCGGATACTTTTTTTGTATTTTTTAGTAGAGACGGGGGTTTCACCATGTTAGCCAGGATGGTCTCGATCTCCTGACCTTGTGATCCGCCCACCTTGGCCTCCCAAAGTGCTGGGATTACAGGCATGAGCCACCGCGCCCAGTCAAGTGATTCTGTTTTCTTAAGCTATTTGGCTAGTAGGCCTTAACTGGTCAGCTGTTTTTTGATAAGATCCTTGGTGTAATTCATAAACTGCTGCTAATTATAATAGATGTAATTTATCGAAGCTACATTTTTATTAATAGTTATTCGGGGAAATATGGGTTTAAATCTTGCAGTTATTTGGTCTCAGGTTTTGAACTTGTTAGGCACTCCCCATGGGACTCTAATGGCCTTTATGTAAACTTGAGAGTCAAAAGACTTATAAGGGGCTTCTCTTATTTTTTGGTGTTGTGGCTTTTCTTTTTTTTTGGTTGATGAAATGCCAGTGTGAAAGGGATCGCCAATTGGACAAGAGCGCAAGTGCCGCTCCAGTTACTTGGCAGAGTATCCAGTAAAGGTCCACTACAATACCACCATACATCTGCTTGAGGATGACTAAGGGCAGACTGATGGGTAAGTTTTTGGAAGGGCTTAAGCTTATTGCATCTTGTTAAGCTTCTAAGGAACGCCAGATTCTCCCCTCGTCGTGAGAGACATGAGGTGAAATTGACGTCAGGAGAAGGAAGCTGAATGGCCTTTGGGGGCTGGCCTGCAGGTTGTTGGACTTCGGGATATAGCAGAGAGAGAGCTTGGCATGATTTGTTGCCCCAGGCTGTGGAATTTTGGAAAAGAGCTACCATACAGCCTATGCCTGGTCGGCTGAAGGGCTATCCTAGTGGAAAGGAAACAGTCTGGGCCTCTAGTCTGCCATGCATACAAGCGTAACAATTGCTTTTGTTCAATGTGCGGACGGAATATTGAATCCATTCCAACCAGGTATTTACATCTTGATATCCTGTTTTAATTGCTAGGGTTTGTCTTAAATCTTTTACTTCTACAATATTTACTTTAGTAGTATCATTAGGTAGAAAACAGGTGGCAGTCTGATTAGAAGAAAGCTTAGAAGGAGAAGAGAAGGAAGGGGGTGAAGAGAATGAAGGATTAATAAAACGCATTTCGAAAGATCTTATGAGGTCTGTGCTGGCCAAGTTGGCTCCTGTTCCATAGAAGTGACTTAAAGTAGGTTTAGGGTCAGTAGAGGTGGAAATTTGTATGGGATTACATTGATTATACTGGCAATTGGGGAGGTGCTTTTTTTAGTGAAATGAATGTATGGTTTTAAGGATATACAGCCACCTGCTGATGAGGTCTAGCCTTGACATTTGGTTGTCCATAGGACATCATTCTAGCTATGACAGACTTGTTTTCTTATATTTGTTAAGGAACAAGAGTCTTGGTAGGGGGGGCCTTTCACCTTAAAGGGGCAGAGATACTTTTCTGAGGCTGAGACTTGTCTTTGACTTTGGAGATCTTTACAGGGTATGACTAGACATAGCATTAAACGTGATAACTTGGGGTGAGTTTGATTGAGTTACATTAATGACAAGGTGGTCAGCATTGGAAGGGGAAAAGAAGAAAGAGTAATAGAATAGATGTAAGAGGTTAAATTTTTCTTAGCTTTAGTTTGAGGGGGTTTTCCCCTGGAATAATGGCCTACGACTTTGGGGGTGGCGGTGCTTTCTTGACTCGGGTGTGATGGGTCTATCCTTTCTCTGCTGTCCAGACTGCAGTTTCAATGGTGGGAAGTACTAGGCCAGCTCCTCAGGCCGGTGTTGACGCACTGGGAACTCCAGGAGCCGCACCTGTACTGGAAAATTGTGAGTTTTGAGGGAAGAGAAAGTGGAAGATAAACCAAGTATGTAGGAATGTTGGCAGTGGATTGCTTTGAGAGGTAGTTTGGATTAATAGGAAGACAGAAGACATTTGAGTTATGGCAACTAAGTTTCTAGACTTGTTTGGCTAAGGATGTACATTTTCATACACATATAAACTTTAACTGTGCTATACATAGCTTGAGGTCTTTAATGGGTCCTCTAATTTAGGTGGGATAGGACTTCTTTCATAAGAGGTTTAAATAACATTTGAATTCCCTTCAGTGCCTACAGGAGAAACGGCAGCTGGTTCGGATTATCTGATTTGCTAGGTTATTTTCTTAACTCTTGAAAGATAGGATTTTTGGTGCCTGGGGACGTGGAAAATAGCTTTTTTTTTTTTTCTGGTAACTGAAGGTTATTTAACACTTGGGTTATTAACTCTTCATGAACAAGGCTTTGACCTTTATTATTGTCTGAAATTTTCTAAATGTATGAGCCACGATAAAGGTGTATTTAGAATCAATATAGATTAGTATAGATGGTTCCTTTGCAGTTACTTTAAAGCTTGACTAAGTGCAAACAGCTTACAAATTTGGGTAAACTATTAAACAATTTTTAAATTTTATTTCTCTAGGAACTTCTCTATTTATTATTGAACATCTGTTGAATCCTTTTTCCTTTAATCATTTTTGAAGGGGGTTTCTCTTAAGTTTGGCCGGACATTTGTATGGTAATCAGTTAAATCTAAACATGTGTGCTTCCTTTTTAGATTTGGATCTTTCGTTAAGAAACTTGTTAGGTTAAGCAAATTACTAGTAACATTAAACTATCATTTTTAACAGAATAGCCTCATATTTATACACATGTAATTCTTTTTTGGTGGTACATTTTAACATAGGTGACTTTAAAGAATCAGAGTTCTTTTCTGGTGGATATTTTCACTTTTAACACTGGCCTGACTATAATAAATGCTAGTGGATATATCCGCTGAAAGATTATCTACTTCTTGCTCAGGAAACTTAGCTGCGGGGATGCCAGGCTGCTTGGAGCCATCGCTGAAGCCCCGTATTACTTAGCCTCAGCAAAGTAAGGCAGATATCCTATAATGTAGTTTGCATGGGGCATAGGCTGGGGCCTGGCTCGCATGTCATGCAGAGCTGCCGTCAATACAGTGCCAGGACCTTGGACCAGCCAGTGGGCAGGAGCATGGGCTTTGCCGCTGCAGGGGTGCACTATGGGCCAGACAACGCTGACAACATGTTGCGGCAGATCCTTCATGTTGCTAGCCTGGCAAAAGCCATCTGGTGAATTAGGAGCTTGGAGTTCTTTAGGGGAGAGGGACTTAGGCTGGGGAAGAACAGACTTACTGGGCGATGCCTGAGGGGAAGGGTTGGGTATTAGGTGGGGAATGGTCTAGGGGATCTTGCGAGTTGTTCTTTTTGCTAGGATCCCCCAAGCCCCTTCCTTCACTGTCTTTTTCATTAAAGATGGTTCTATCTTAATAGGGCACATGTACAACTCATTTTCCTCCAAATATTAGTTTTTGACTTGCTCCTTTCAATCCTTGGAGGAGGGGAAAGGACAACTCCTTGCAACTAACATAGGGCATAATTTGTTTCTTCTCAGGAGGCAGGTCTTCTACTAGCAACATTTTCTATTAGAAGTTCACAAATCCATCCCTCATTCGACTTAAATTCTGGCCAGAAAACTAAGGGTTCAAGGATTCGTTCTTGAGTCTAAATGGAACAGCAATATTTTATCACTAATTGCTTTTTCTTATGTTTAGTCTTTTCATTATCTTTCTAATGTTTTAACATGAGACCTAGGGGACTATTAGGGGGGATATCTTTGTTGCTAACTTTGTCTTTTTTGCTTGTAATATTTCCTATACTGGGTCCTGGCTAGGCTCAATCCCTCGTGATAGGAATCTCTTGCCTAGGGGGGCTTGCTGTGGCTCAACCCCTCATATTAAGGATCTCTTGCCTATTTTGGGGGTTCCTTGTGGCTCAGCCTCTCAAATTAAGGATCTCTTGCCTATTTGGGGGGTTCCTTGTGGCTCAACCCCTCATATTAGGAGGTCTTTTGCCTATCCCTCACTGGAAGTGTGGCTAAGGCTCAATTCCACTATCCTTTAGCTCCACCTGCTGGAGGTTCCTTGCACCCTTCTTTCGCTTCATCCACTCTGGCCGCTTCCCTCGCAGGTTTGTTTCAGGTTCCTCTTAGCATTGATGGCAGGTCCGTATAAACCTGTGACAGGACCCCCGCAGGGCTGCCCTAAGCCGTGTGAGGTGACCACAGAACCGCAGATTGGACTCACTCGCTCCGCACAGCAGTAGTGCTTGTTACCATTCATGCACTTTCAACCCCCAGAATGCCCTGACACACCCCTCCGACTACCAAAGAATTACTTTGTTGCCCCTGCAACGTTTCCCACCTTGGTCTGTGCACAGAGTTTACCTGGTCGCTGCGGTATTGCAAGCCTCTCTTCCCCGCGTTGCTGAGAGTCCGGGTTTATTCGTCAAAATGGGTGGGTCTCGATCTCCTGTCCCTGAGGCCACCGCAATGGGGCAGTGGGACGCGTCTCCCCAGGGTAGGGTGACTGAAGAACTCTTCCAAAAGGAGCATGGGGATCTCGGACGATCCCCTAGAATTGTTGGATATAAAATGCTCCCGGAATAAAAGCTTGGTGCCGTGAAGTAAAACCAGCACTCAGGCAAAATTTTAATTCTCTCAGCAAGGCAATTTACTACTGCAGAAGGGTGCCACTCACGTCAATCAAGATCACAAGAGCACAGAGAACAAAGGAGACCAGGAGGTTTTTATCCTTAATGCGGTCCCTATCTCTGTGTTACTCCCCCATGGGCTGGGGTCGGACCGCACAGTCTGAGCTGACCCGATTGGCTGCTTGTACATATTTTTCTAAATATAGAAGGGGAGGGGGATGTGAGGTACAGAGGTGGAGCATGTGAGATGTGCAGTTTTGGGGGAACAATGGGTACAGGTAACCAAGGGAACAGATGTGAGTTATTGATTAGAGCTGATGGGAACGGGGTAGGCTGTTTTAAAGTAACTAGGGGCAAGGAGGAACAGGAAAGTTGAGTTTGAGAACAAAAGACGAGGAAGTTAGCAGGCTAAATCTTTAAAGAAAAACTTAAAGAAATTCACTGTATCTTACAAATCTGACCCCAGTGGCCCCATGCATGTCAAACCCCAAACCCTGCCCAGAAGACAGCCCCAGGCTCCAGAGGTACAACACCAGAAAGGACAGAACCCCCACACATACGTGTGCATGTGGGTCTTCTGCTTTCCAGGGCTCTTCAGCTTCTCGGAATCCGCACTCCTTCTGGAGCTGCTCTGAGCAATTGGAGGCCACCTGTAGGGGAGGGCGGGCTGCCCGGAAGCCCCCAGGAAAGGCTCCTTTCCCTTCCTTTGCAGGCTCCACACTGGCCTCAGCGTTGAGTCACCGGCCTCGGGCTCTGCTGCCCCCTGCAGGTTATTCAGCTACTTCTCACCCCATTGATCAGTTCCATGACACAAACACCCTCAATCCCATTGTGTGAATAAGACACCAGCAGAGTCCCTGCTCTCCTCCTATGTTTATGTATAAAGTGGGGAAGGAAAATTCTAAGATAACTTAAGTGCATTTAAAAGATTTCCAGATCGTGGTGGAGGTGGCAGCTGAGGGACGCACGTTCAGTGACACTGCAGTACCTCCGGGCCTGGCTGGTTGGAGAGAGGGTGGAGAGCTGGAGATGAATGTGGATATATGGAGGGAGCAGCCCTGGGAACCGGGCTCTGCAGCAGCGCGGCTCTAGGGCCTGGAGCCCGGGGGAGCAGAGATGATGGGGGCTCCTGGGACAGGACGCTTGGGGAGAAGAGAGTCAGGCGGTTTCCATGGGACAGGGGTGCTGTGGCAGCTGGTGTGGGCCTGTGGCTATCATAACTAAGCCCGATTGGGACGTGAAAACTTGGATTCCGTGGGAATTTATGAAGAGGAAGGCTCTGATGACAAAGAAGTCATCGATGAGGAGAGGGATTAGGGTCACTGGCAAGCTCGCCCCCTTATGGAAAGAAAAGTGAACGTTCAGCTACTGCGGCAAAATGGGGTCAAAGGATGAGACTCTCACTGTCAGGGAATAAATTGCTGCAGAACTCTTAGAGATTGCAAAGACCTTCAAACAACAGCCTGGGAGGCCGGGTGCCATGGCTCACGCCTGTAATCCCAACATTTTGGGAGGCCAAAGTGGGAGGATCGCTTGAAGCCCGAGATTGGAGACCACCCTGAGCCGTGAAGTGAGACCCTCCCATCTCCATAAAAAATTTTTAATTACCAAGGAGAAGTGTGTGTACCTACAGTCTCAGCTACTCAGGAGGCTGAGACAGGAGAGTCACTTGAACCCCAAAGTTTGAGGCTGCTGTGAGCTATAATTGGGTACTGCGCTTCAGCAAGACACTGTCTCAAAACAAACAAACAAAAAATTAAAATCCCACCAAACTCCCTGGGGAAACCCTGTACCCCTTTGATGGTCAAAGTGTAAAATACAGCAGGTGGTGACATTTCCTTATGGACTGGATCATTCTAGCCACGTAAGAGGCTTGGCCTACTGAAGATTTACCAAGCGGGATCACCTCCTTGCAGTCAGTGGAAAAAGCCCCCGGTGAAACCATCCCTTTAAACTTTATCAAATTCATCAGGGAGGATGGGAGGAGGAAAACTTAAACCAAGCTTGCGGCACCTTCAGCATTAATCATCAAGTCAGCTTGTTCTCTGACCTTCCTCATATTTGTTTCATACCTAGTGTCCTAGAATCCCATAGACCCTAAATGATAGTTCCCGTTAACTGCTCTATACATAACAATTTGAACATTAGATATTTTCCCTTATAAATATTCCTTTTTGAGTTCTGGGTGCATTGGTTCATAACTGTAATCTCAGCACTTTGGGAGGCTGAGGTGGGAGGATCACTTGAGCCTTGGAGTTCAAGAACAGCCTGGGCAATAGAGTGAGACTCCATCTGTACAAAAAATTTAAAAACAGCCGGGCATAGTGGCATGTGCCTTTACTCCCAGCTACTTGTGAGGCTGAGGCAGGAGGATCCCTTGAGCCCGAGTTTCTACAGTGAGCTATGATCCCACCACTGCACTCCAGCCTGGGAAACAGAGCCATACTATTTCTCTTAAGAAAAAAAATCCAGACATTTGTTGGTCTTTGGATTATTGGAGAGCATTTATCTGACACTTAGCCCAATGTTTTAGAAAGGGGCACTTTGGGACTGGGACACAGCTCTGAAGGAAGCTTTGGACAGGTTAATGTGTTAGTATGGCAGGCACAAGCCTCAGGCACACCTTTAGAGGGTAGAGCTGTGACTTGGGATGATATAGTTGCTGCTGAGGGTACAATTTGGGACTTACGGCAACCACAGTGTGGTAAATCAGTCCCTTTAGGATTGTGGTTGTAATTATGACATGGAGATGAAACCAGACACTCTTGAGTCAGTGCAGGCAGTATATAATGCTTTCCAGCAGGTGGAATCCTTAAGAAAGAGCCTTTGCATGACTGTGAGAATGGGAGTACCATGCCCAGCTAATTTTTTTGTATTTTTAGTAGAGATGTGGTTTCACCATGTTGTCCAGGCTGGTCTTGAACTCCTGAGCTCAGGTGATCCACCCGCCTCAGCCCCACAAAGTGCTGGGATTACAGGTGTGAGCCACCGTGCCTGGCCTCCCACTAAGTTTCTTTCATTTGCCCTGGCACAGTTTCTCATGCCTTAATCCCAGCATTTTGGGTGGCTGAGGTGAGTAAATCGCTTGAGCCCAAAAGTTTGGGCTATGACCACACGGGGCAACATAGGCCTAGTCTCTATTTTTATTAAAAACAGAATATACACACACATATGAATGAGAGGCCGAGTGTGGTGGTTTATGCATGTAATCCTAGTGCTTTGGGAGGCCAAGGCAGGTGGATCACCTGAGGTCAAGAGTTCGAGAACCACCTGGCCAACATGTTGAAACCCCATCTCTAACTAACAGTACAAAAATTATCTGGATGTGGTGGCACGCACCTGTAAACCCAGCTACTTGGGAGGCTGAGGCAGGAGAATCACTTGAACCTGGGAGTCAGAACTGGCAGTGAGCCGAGATTGCATAATTGCACTCCAGCCTGGGTAACAGAGCAAAAACTCCATCTCAAAAAAAAAAGCAAGAAAAAAAAAAAAGAAAAACTTTCTTTTTAGTCCCTAGTTGGTAGGCTATCACTAATATCACCAGCAGTTGTCTATGAGGCAAACCTGTTCTCACAATGGGTCCAAAAGGAAAAGTAGATTTGGAGACATTACAGGTAGATCCAAATGCAGCACTTGTACGACAGTATATGGTTAATGTGAGGACTCTTGGGGTGACTTAGCTCAGGCTAGTATAACAAAGTACCATGGACTCAGTTTCTTAAACAGCAGAAATTTGTTTTTCACAGTTCTGAAGCTTGGGAAGTCTGAAATCTTGCTGCCAACAATTTTGTTCCTAGTGAAGGCTATCTTCCTGGCTTGCAGCTAGATGCCTTCTTGCTTTGTCCTTACATGCTGGAGAGGCAGAGTTCTCTCTCTCTCTTACTAATCCCATTGTGAGAGCCCTCCTTTATAAATGTATGTGATCTCCTAAAAGGTCCGTGTCCAAATATGACCCTGTTGGGGTTTAGGACTTGTAACTATAAATTTTGTTTTTGAGACAGGGTCTCCCTATGTGACCCAGGCTGGTTTTAAACTCCTGGGCACAAGGGATCCTCCTGCCTCAGCATCCAAAAGTACTGAGATTACAGGCGTGAGCCACCGCACCCGGCCTCTAAGTATATATTTTGAAGAGAGTAAATGCAGGGCATGCCAAGGGGTAAACAGAAGTCCAAAAAGAGGCTTTGGAGACGATGTAATCAGACAGGACTTTATCACATAGCAGATGGGGAGCAAGAGTCACAAAGGAGTGAGGTCCAATTTCAGAATGGCAGAGAGAAGGGACATCGAGGTAGCTGTATGATTGCATGAAGGATGAAAATGCATGCCAGGGCCACTACATGGAAAAGTATTGTAATTATCTAGGAAAAAATGAGAATAAAAAAGAAAAACAAGTAATCATAATGAAAATGTAAAACAGAAAATGAAAAACAGAACAGAATAACCTTTGTTAGCATGCAGTTCTTAAAGATTTTAATAAAATATTGGTCAGAAACATGGTTTAAAAAAAAGAAAAAACCCTATTGCTGAGCATAGTGGCTCATGTCTGCAATCCCAGCACTTTGTGAGGCCAAGGCAGAGGACTGATTGAGCCCAGGAGTTCAAGAGCAGCCTGGGCAAAACAGTGAGACCCCTGTCTCTACAAAAAAATTTTTTTAATTAGCTGGGCAGAAAGCTGAGGTGGGAGGATTGCTCAAGCCCAGGAGCTTGATGCTGCAGGGAGCAGTGAGTGACCACTGCACTCCAGCTGGGCTACAGAGCAAGGCTGTGTCAAATTAACAAAAAAAGAAAAAAAGAAAGAAAAATAACTACCAATTAGTCAAATGTAAGAGGATGACTGGAAACAGCTAAACAGGAGATGAAAGATCATATAGGAAAAATGCTAAACCAATGGCAACCAGTAAAAAGCAATACGTAATCACACAGAGATTGTGTTTCAGAGTAAATGGGCAATAAAAAGTACGTTAGATAATTCAAAGTGTTGGCAAATCACAAGAATAAAGACACATCTATGAAAGGTGAGATGGTTAATCCATAAGTTACATTCATACTCTGTCGACATTTCCTAGTAATTTTGTATTTATTCATAATCTACAACCCAGCAATTTTTTCCCAACATGTAAGAATTTGTGTTGTATTTCCAATTAGGAACAAAAACAAGAAGAGAATTGTCAATAAGAACAAAGATAGACTTGAACCAACTCAAGTCCCATTAAGCAGGGAAATAGGCAAGTCAATTACATGACCCACAACTTCACACAGCAGCATGTTTGCAACAGGCTCAGGGAAAAACCCAGAAATACACCCTCTCAGCATAATACTAATGGTGTATTAATGGTAGTATTATGTTACTGAAAATTCAAAGGTGGCAAAATTCTGCTTTGTGACAAAGAGATGACAAAGCTACAAAAAATAACAAAAGGAATCAAAACTTTGATCACCTTTGCATACGAAAAATAAGTGAGACCAAGGAGACACACCAGAACTGCCCAAGGCCTATCCATTTTGGGGTGATATGTCTCTGAGTATTCATATTGTTATTATTTTGACTTGGCACAAAACAGCTTATTTCAAGAACTCGATTTCCTTCTTCAAAGATTATCAAAATATTCACTAAGTTTCCAACCAGCTAATTAAAATCCTAACATGCAAATCATAGAATAAAATTCTTAGATGTGGCCAGGTGCAGTGGCTCATGCCTTTATTCCCAGAACTTTGGATGTTGAGGTGGGTGGATAACTTGAGGTCAGTACTTTGAGACCAGCCTGGTCAACACGGTGAAAACTTGCCATAACTTTAAAAATACACACACACACACACACACAAAAGAGCAGGGTGTGGTGGCATATGCCTGTAGTCCCAGCTATTTGGAAGGCTGAGCCAGGAGAATCGCTTGAACCTGGAGGGCACAGGTTGCAGTGAGCCGAGATTGCGCCACTGCACTCCAGCCTTAGCGACAGAGTGAGATTTTGTGTGAAAAATAAATAAATAAATAAAGTAAATAAGTAAATAAAATAAAATAAATTCTCAGAGGCGTGGGGAAAGAGCAATTCCATGGCAGCAAGATTTTGTAAAAGAAACAAAAGGGAGGCAGCTCAGGTAGGCAGCCTGCCTCACCCACAGCTCACAAGGAAACCCACACTCCAATAGTTACACATTCCCAAGCTTAGGAACCACTGGGACTGTGGAGACACAGGCCAGGCTGGCCCACTCTTAGGTAGTGTGTGAGGGAAATGTGAGCAGCCAGAAAATTACTTCTGGGACTTCCACACACACCCTGCTGGCCCCTCCCCACAGTGTGGACACAGTCCTTCCACCGGGGTCTCAATGCCCACCAAAGACCACTCGCTCACTGTGAGTCAGTGGAAGGTTCTGACCTATGCTGTCTTTTTTTCTGACACCAAATGTGTGGTGCTTGCTGAACACCAGCGAATTCTCCAGCACTAAGCAGTCATGCAACCACTCAATTCAGAAGCCACCCAGAGTTAGCAGAGACTCCATGAGTTCCTGGCTCACCCAACACAGCCCCACTCAGCAGATGCCACTCAAAGCCCCAGGGGCCACCTGTACTTCTCAGCAACTGCATCTAGACCTGGGTCCTGTACAACAGCCTCCTCAAGTTCCATAATTTGATAGAACTACCCACAGTTCACTTACATTTACCAACTTATTATGAAGGATACAACTCAGGAGCAGCCAAATCAAAGAGAGTAAGGGGTGTGAAAAGGAGATGGGGGTGGGTGGGTCATCCTGAAAAGAGGTGTGATTCAAGAAATCCCCCATCCTTTGTGTTGTGCAAGAGCACCTTACTACAACAAAACACCCTTCCCCTTATGACTTAGATGATGCCACGTTTGTTACCTATGACAAACCAGACACAGACTAGAAATTCCAGTATTCACCTCACAAACCATTAGGTGAATAGCTTTGTCTTTAGTGATCAGTCAAAATGAAATATCTATTAATCAAAGCATGCTTCAGTTTCTCTCCTTCCTCCAGGTCCCTGAACTTTTTTTTTTTTTTTTTTTTTTTTTCTTTTTTTGAGACAGAGTCTTGTTCTGTAGCCCAGGCTGGAGTGCAGTAGCATGATCTTGGCTCACTGCAACCTCTGCCTCCCTGGTTCAAGTGATTCTCATGCCTCATTCTCCGGAGTAGCTGGGGTTGCAGGTGTGTGCCATCATGCCCAGCTAATTTTTGTATTTTTTTATAGAGATGGTGTTTCACTATGCTGGGTGTTTCACCCATGTTTCAAGGGTGGTCTTGAACTCCTGGCCTCAAGTGATCTGCCCAAAGTGCTGGAATTACAGGTATGAGCCACCACGCCCAGCAGCCCCTGAATTTTTGACTGACTCCTTCTAAGCCTATATACAACCCCATTTTAGGTATTTAATCTTTTTATTTTTACTTACAAGTCCAGTACCTAGACTTTTTTTTTTTAAATGACCTCTTTTAATGACAAGCTGACTTCAAGGTCTAGAATTAAAAGTTATTTCTTACCTAAACCCACATTTGTTTCACTAGAAGTGTCTAGAAAAAGCCCCATGACAAAAATTATCACTTGCGCACGGCATCACTGACTACTGCATCTGCCTGTGGATCCCCAGCTTTCCAGGATTCTGAGATTCTTTTATTATAAAGGGCTCCTCCCATGGTCAACGTGAGTAGCTGGTACACCTGCAGTGGGGGCACCATGGGAAGAACCAAGTGAGAGCTTTTTTTTTTTTTCTTTTTTTTGGAGACAGAGTCTCGCTCTGTCACCTAGGCTGAAGTGCAGTGGCACGATCTTGGTGCACTGTAACCTCTGCCTCCAGAGTTTAAGCGATTATCGTGCCTCAGCCTCCTGAATGGCTGGGAACTGCAGGCATGAGCCACTATACCTGGCTAATTTTGGTGTTTTTAGTAGAGATGGGTTTTGCTGTGTTGGCCAGGTTGGTCTCGAACTCCCGACCTCAGATGATCTGCCCGACTCAGCTTCCCAAAGTGCTGGGATTACAGGTGTGAGTCACCGCCTGACGTGAGCTTTCAATAACCTCTCTTTGTAGGCTTCTCATTGTCCTTAGCTTGCAGTCACTGGACTCTGGCCTCTGTTTCAATGAGAAAATACCCAGCGTTTGAAGAATCCAGCAAAATCTCTCAAACTCGGTTTATGTTTATAGGCTAGAAGGAAATTATAAGGTACTTACCTTTCATCCCTCATGAGGGAAAGTAAAAGTATCTAACCCTTTCAGTCAATAAACATATTGAGAAATGTGTTTACACTACCATGTAATAGCTCCTTTCCTGTGAATATCAAAAAGATTAATTATCTTTGTTGTTCTTGGGCTGTAAATGATTAGAAAAGAGTGGGAAGTGACAGAGGTAGGATCCTTTTGAGACCACTACCCCTCCTTACAAAAAGTTAAGGCAATCATCATTGAAATTTGGTAGCTGCAACCAACCAAATCACTGAAATGTGTGCACTGGCCTTGTATGGAAAATGTCACCCTGTTAAGCGTCTACATTTTGCCCTACAGAAGTGAAGACTCAACTTCCCCGTGTTGGAGCACTGACCCCACTCTTCAGGATATCTGTTTCCCCAGTGGCTATCCTCAAACTTTGTGCTCAGAAATACTCAATATTTAATCATCTTCTCTGAATCTTGTTATCTTATTAAGGTGGACAATATTATTTCATTATGATTTCCATGATAACAAAGCCCATACTACATATTAATCACATGTGAACACAAACATATGACAACAGTTGCCAGCCAGGTGTTACCTCACAAATAATAGGAAGAGAAGAGTTATCCACTGTTACAAGTTCTCCAACTTGCAAAGGAGGACTGATATTTTGCTAAATCTTTGTAATTCACCAATTTATCTACTATACTTTGTTGTGGAAGTTTATTCATTTTTCTCAAGCTGTAAGAAAAGATTTTCCCTATTTCTTTTCCCAAAGCTAAACCCACCAACATCACTGACTTCCAAAATTAGTGGCCTTCCTGGCATACGAAGATCCTTTGGGCCTGTGCTCCAGTGTCCTCTTTGGGGTGCTCCTTGGGCTCTTTGTGAAGCATCAAGACACCCCAATATCTAGCCTAATGTCAGGCTCTCCAGTGTGTCCTGTTCATCACCCTCACCCTGCACTTCTATTGTCACTGTCATTGGCTATTCCAACACTGTGCTTGCATCCTGTGGAAAGTCACATTTGGGGTCAAGTGAATGGTGTTGTTTCTACTCTTTGGTGAAAAGTATCAGGGTGCATTTGGCCTTCAATTCAGAAGGATGAGGCAGGGGTTGGATTCAGGTGCACCCAACTTTTTTTGTGTGTGTGTGATGGAGTCTCGCTCTGTCGACTAGCCTGGAGAGAGCAATGGTGTGATCTCAGTTTACTGTAACCTCCACCTCCCAAGCTCAAGCGATTCTCCTGCCTCAGCCTCCTGAGTAGCTGGGATTACAGGCACACACCATGATGCCCAGCTATTTTTTTGTATTTTTAGACGAGACAGGGTTTCACCATGTTGGCCAGGCTGGTCTTGAACTGCTGACCTCAAGTGATCCACCTGCCTCGGCCTCCCAAAGTGCTGGGATTACAGGTGTGAGCCACCATGCCTGGCCAGGTTTCACTGCCCTGTCTTCCCTGTTCTGAGTTACTTTGTGTGATCCGACAATCAATGACTCCTCCCTTCACTGATGTGGATACATTATCTGGGACTGGGTGTGTCACCTCCACACACAGACAGGGCTTGGTCAGTGATTGATTCTGCATCCTGTGGTGCCTAGATTTAGACTATAAGGATTTTAAATAACTGTTTCTGAAGAGCAGCTTCACTGGACCTTACAGGAAGTGACAGAATTGTTCTAGCCATTGCATTATATATAAAAGTGACTTTTCCATGTTACCGTTAACTTTACACTGCTGAGATAAGCAGGCTGTTGACAAGTTAGCATCAACAGCACATTATCAGAGGAAGAAAGGCTTTTATTTAGACAATTTACACAAATTTATTAGCCTCCTATGACTCAGTAAAGCAATTTGAAAAAAATATAGCTTTATAAAGCGTAAATGAATTTATATATTTTAACTAAGGTACCTTCTAGTTAACAGTGCCCATACATTTTAGAAAATGTTTTAGTCTTTACAGAATAAGTAAGGCAAAAACAGGTCCAGAAGTCTATAGCTGACCTCCCCTCACCACAAGGCCAAGTTGTTTTTGTTTTTGTTTTTGTTTTTTCAGAAAGAGTTTCGCTCTTGTTGACTAGGCTGGAGTGCAATGATGGGATCTCGGCTCACTGCAACCTCTGCCTGCCAGATTCAAGTGATTCTCCTTTCTCAGCCTCCTGACTAGCTAGGATTACAGAAGCATGCCACCATGGCTGACTAAGTTTTGTATTTTTAGATGAGACAGGGTTTCATCATATTGGTCAGGGTGTTCTCGAACTCCTGACCTCAGGTGATCTGCCTGCCTCAGCCTCCCAATGTGCTGGGTTTTCAGGTGTGAGCCACCACACCCAGCCAAGGCCAAGTCTTTTACTGTTGGAGAGACACATGTTACATATCAGGCATATGAGATGATGCTCCTCAGTGATCATGATGGACCAGGACAAAAACAAGGGCATTTTGTAACTGTATTTCTAAAACTGATAGAAGTAAACATATTTCAAATCATAAACATGACGAAAATTTTTATCTTCTTACCAATGTGACTTGTAATTCTCATACATCCCACAGTCATTTATGTCTTCTGGTCATATTTATCACTATGGTATATTACACCCTTGCTGACAGCAGGTATGGCGCTGCTGGTTTTGGGCAAGAAGGTACTCAGAGATACATGAGATAACTTTTGGTATTATGAGTGAAAGAAAAATTAGGGTTGAGGCTGGGCGCAGTGGCTCATGTCTGTAAATCCAGCACTTTGAGAGGCCGAGGCAGGAGGATCACAAGGTCCAGAGTTCGAGACCAGCCTGGCCAATATGGTGAAACCCCGTCTCTACTAAATAATACACATAATTAGCTGGGTGAAGTGGTGCATGCCTGTAGTCCCAGCTACTCAAAAGGCTGAAGAAGGAGAATTGTTCAAACCTGGGAAGCAGAGATTGCAGTGAGCCAAGATCACACCACTGCACTCCAGCCTGGGCAACAGAGTGAGGCTCTTTCTAAAAAAAAAAAAAAAAAAAAAAGAAAAAGAAAAAGCAAAAGGAAAAAAAAAGAAAAATTACAGTTGAAATAAAAATTAAAGTACATAAGCATGAAAAGTAAAGTTTACATGAGGAAAAATATGCCTGGCATTTAATCCAGGTAATGCTGATTCACAATATCCAAATAATAACAATGTAACATTATAAGCTTGATCTAATACATGACACCAATGGATATTTTATTATAGCTTCTTAATTATTTAAAAAGAATAACATTTGTTAGTATACAGTTATTATAAACAGTTAATTGTTTACATTCATTATTTGTATTCAAAGAATCCTAGCCGATCTGAAGGCTTTCCCATACTGCTTACATTCATAGAGTTTCTGCCAAGTGTGAGTGCTTCCATGCATTTGAAGTCTTGAGGCTGATCTGACGGCTTTCCCACATTGCTTACATTGATACGGTTTCTCCCCAGTGTGAGTCCTTTCATGATATTGAAAAGAACTGGAAGAAGTGAAAGCTTTTGCCACATTGCTTACATTCATAGGGTTTCCTTCTGGTGTGTCTTTACATGTCTATGAAAGCAATTAAGCAAGCTGAATGCTTTCCCACAATCCTTACATTCATACGGATTCTCTCTCGTATGAGTCCTTTCATGTATATGCAAGGAAGAAAAATAATTGAATGCTTGTTTGCATTCCTTACATTCATAGGTTTCTCTCCAGTGTGTGTTTTGCATGTATTCAAACGATCTTGGCAGATATGAATGCTTTCCCACAATGCTTACATTCTTAGGGCGCCTCTCCTCTGTGCAACTTTCATGTATTTGAAAAGAAGAGAAATTATGGAACGCTTTTCCACATTTCTTACATTCATAGGGTTTCTCTCCAGTGTGTGTCCTTTCATAAATTGAAAGGTTCTTGACAGATCTGAAGACTTTCCCACATTGCTTACACTCATAGAGTTTTTCTCCACTGTGAGTCCTTTTAGATATCGAAAGGAACTGGAACAATTAAGGCTTTACCACATTGCTTGCATTTATAGGGTTTCTCTCCAGTGTGAATTTTTTCATGTGTTTGAAATAACTTGGCAGAATAAAAGTGTTTCCCATATATCTTATATTTATAAGGTCTTTCTCCAGAGTGCATTCTTATGTGTTTGTGTCCTTTCATGAAATCGAAAGTTCTGGACATATCTGAAGGCTTTCCCACATTTCTTACATTCATAGGGTTTCTCTCCAGTGTGAATCCTACGATGGATTCGAAGTTGTGAGGCAGATCTGAAAGCTTTCCCACATTCCTTACATTGATACGGTTTCTCTCCAGTGTGAGTCCTACCATGCAATTGAAGATTTGGGGCAGATCTGAAGGCTTTCCCACATTGCTTACACTCATAGGGTTTCTCTCCAGTGTGAGTCCTTTCATGATATCGAAAGGAACCGGAACGAGTGAAGGCTTTACCACATTGCTTGCATTTATACGGTTTCTCTCCACTGTGAGTTTTTTCATGTCTTTGAAATGACTTGGCAGAATAAAAGCCTTTCCCACATGTCTTACATTCATAAGGTCTTTCTCCAGAGTGCATTCTTATGTGTGTTTGAAAACTTGTAAGAGAGGATAATGCTTTCCCACACTGCTTACATTCATAAAGTTTTTTCCTAGAGTGGGTCCTTTCATGTCTACGAACATAACGGGGACACATGAATGCTTTTCCACATTCCTTACATTGATAAGCCTTCTCTCCCATGTGACTCCTTTCATGTCTGTGACAGGATCTGGGACTATGGAATGCTTTCCCACATTCCTGACATTCATAAGGCTTTTCTCCAATGTGAGTTCTTTCATGTATTCGATGGGTAGCAGAATAACTAAAAGATTTACCACATTGTTTACATTCATACGGTTTCTCTCCAGTGTGAGTTCTTTCATGGATAAGATATAAACTGAGACAATGGAATGCTTTCCCACAAAACTTACATTTATAAGGTCCATCCCCACTGTGCACTACCATGTGTCTTTGAATGCTTGAATGGTAAATAATGTTTTTTCCACATTCTTTACAAGCATAGGGTTTCTTTCCAGTGTGATCCCTTTCTTGTGTTCTCAAGGAGGGGTGATATCTGAAGGCTTTTTTAGGTTGTTGACTCTTCCATGGCTTTGGTCCATATTCCTGACATTCACATGCCTTGTGTCCAGTGTCACCTCTGATGTTCATATTAGAAGATGAGTTACCTAGGCCAACTTCACACACAAAGCTGTCACATGATTTTACTTCAGGAGAAGCTTTCTTCTTCTGGAAGTTCAGCCTGTCATCTGGAACTGGGGTAAAAGTTTCTCCACAATGACTGTCTTCTTTAATTTCATTGACTTTCTCTTCTGTGACACTCCTGTCAAAAATGAGAAACAAATTATGAAGAGTTTGTTTATAAGTAATTTTATATTAATCAGCAAGTATTGTACTTGCATTTTTAACACTCTCCATCAAAGTGTAGGCTTTCTGCCCTGTCTGAATTGTTTGAAGGTGACTGGACAACACATTCTACAAGGTGACCTAGCCATACCTATTATTTAAAAAAATGTTTATATGGGGCTTCTTAATACTCTTCCCATGTAAACTATTTTAAAATACTAAATACTCTGTGTCATTTTTCTTTTGTTTCAGGGTCTTGTCCTGTTGCCCACCCTGGAGTGCAGTGGTATCATCATAGCTTACCACAGCCTTTAACTCCTGGGGGCTCAAGTGATCCTCATGTCCCTCATGTCTCAGCCTCCTGAGTAGCTGGGACTACGGATGCATACCACAATGCCCAGCTAATTTTTTGCTGTTGTTGATATGTGGTCTTGTTATGTTGCGCAGGCTGTTGTTGAACTGCTGGCCTCAAGCTATCCTCCTATCTCCATGTCTCAAAGGACTGGGATTACAGGAGTGAGCCCTCAGCCTTGATCACATTTAAATATATATTTTTAGATAAAATATTGTATGAATAAATGAACTTGATCCTGGACTTAGTTCTTTGTTTTACTTATTTTTAACATAGTCTCATATTCTAAGATCGTGTAGAGAGACACTGCTTTCTCTTATAAGTGCAAATTACCTGAAGTTTCTCCTGGGGTTTTGGTACTCATATTCAATGTTCTGGTCTTTCCACTTTTTTCCTAAAATACAAACACAGAAAAATAATCCTGAGGCAGTATAAAATTGTGAAAAAATTATTAGACCTATGCCCATGATTTACAGCAGCCATGCCTCATTTATTCATCAAAGTATTTCCTGTCTGTGTTCCAAATCACTCAACAGCATTGGTGAGCTAGAAACATTGGTAAACTAATGCACTGAGGGAAGGAATATTGTCATCCTTACCTATAGAGGTCAGGTTCCAGAAAGTTTCCAGCATCACTTCCCTGTAGAGATTCTTCTGGGAAATATCCAGCAAAGCCCACTCCTCCTGGGTGAAGTTCACAGCCACATCCTTAAAAGCCACTGGGTCCTGAAACATCTCACATGTGTAGAGGAGGATGGGTGAGAGTGACAGCATTGGGGGCCTAGACTCTATTCCCAAGAAGTTCTCAGGATGCCGTGGACTCCAAACATTTATTCCCTGCTTTGGTCATCAGATCCCTTTCTCTCTGTCTATACTTACTTTCTTCCATAAAGCAATTTTTTTTTTTATTTTTTTGAGACAGAATTTCACTCTTATTGCCCAGGCTGGAGTACAATGGTGCAATCTCGGCTCACTGCCGGGGTTCAAGTGCTTCTTCTGCCTCAGCCTCCCGAGTAGCTGGGATTACAGGCATGCACCAGCATACCCGGCTAATTTTGTATTTTTAGTAGAGACAGGGTTTCTCCATGTTGGTCAGGCTGGTCTCGAACTCCCAACCTCAGGTGATCCACCTGCCTCAGAGTCACAAAGTGCTAGGATTACAGGCATGAGCCACCACACCCAGACAGCAATTTTTTTTTTTTTTTTTTTTTTTTTTTTGTGATAGTGTATCGCTCTGTCAGCTGCTTGGGCTGTCCCTAATGTCTCCTTGGACTGTGGGTCTGTAGCACCTGTCATAACAGAGTACTATGAATTAATATGCAGAAAAAAGTTAACATTAGCAGTCCTGAAGCTGTGTATCCTTGAAAATGCCTGTTCCCAAAGTGTAATCTTTGATGACATTGTTAGAGAAGGCAGATATCTAGCCAAGAGCAGGAAGGGTAGCCCCTGGGAAATCCCACAACCCCAGGGACCACCCAAAACAGGCATGCTAGATATAAGCAGAGAGGAGGGGAGACACCTAAGTAGAAAGAAACATCCATTATGATGCCCAGGAATCATTCAGTTTGCAGTTATCCTGTCAGAATGTAGCTAGATAGATGCTGATAAGAAGGGCAAACAGGACATTACTGAAAAAAACAAGACCGTAATTACACAAGAGGGCAAACAAGAAACTCCTAAGAGATACCCAGGTGTAATGAGCACAGATTTAACCACTATACGACCTTCCTGGGGTGGCAGTAATGAGCAATGCAGCCACCCACATATCCATTGATGGCTGAATGGATAAACAAAATGTGGTAAGCATATACATACAATGGAATATTATTTAGTCTTAGAAAATAACATCTTGGCCTGGTGCGGTGGCTCATGCCTGTAATCCCAGCACTTTGGGAGGTGGAGGCGGGCAGATCACCTGAGGTTGGGAGTTCAAGACCAGTGTGACCAACATAGAGAAACCTTGTCTCTACTAAAAATACAAAATTAGCCGGGCATGGTGGCGCATGCCTGTAATCCCAGCTACTCAGGAGGCTGAGGCAGGAAAATTGCTTGAGGTTGGGGTCAGTCAATATTGTGCCATTGCACTCCAGCCTGGGCAACAAGAGTGAAACTGCATCTCAAAAAAAAAAAAGAAAGAAAGAAAACAATATCTTGGCCCATACTACGACATATATGAAACATCAGGATAATTGCAAAAGGCAAAATACAACAGAATTCATCTTAGAGAACTTACATAGATTTGTCAACCTATCTCAATTGTACATGTAAAATTCCTTAAGCTGATAATTTTTAAGTTTTGTTTTATAGTAAGTATTGATAACAAATCACGGTAGCAGCCAGGCGTGTTGGCTTATGCCTGCAATCCCAGCACTTTAGGAGGCCAAGGTAGGTGGTTCACTTGAGGTCAGCAGTGTGAGACCAGCCTGGCTAACATGGTGGAACTCCATCTCTACTAAAAACACAAAAATTAGCCAGGCGTGCAGCGAGTGCCTGTATTCTCTGTTACTTGGAAGGCTGAGGTGGGAGAATCCTTTGAACCCGGGAGGCAGAGGTTGCAGTGAGCCAAAATCCCACCATTGCACTCTAGCCTGGGCGACAGAGTGAGACTCCATCTCAAATCAAACAAAAAATGAGAAGAATGTCCTAATAGAGGCAGAAAAGGCATGTGACAAGCCTTAACCCATTTGAGCCCACTGTTCCATTTCTGGAACGCTAAGCATGTGGGAGTTATTTGTATCCTACTGCTCAAGGTCATTACCAAAGTCTGATTTTTCACACGTCTGCAATTCAAAAAATTGCAACCTCTAGCATAAATGGGTTGATATCTCCTCATGATTAAAAACACTTAATAAACTAAATATACAAGAGAAGATTCCATATGATCGCAAGAGAGGCACTAGGAACATAGAAAAATCTACTATAAAGACAAGTATTAAAAATGCAAAACCGGAGGTCAAGGCGGACAGATCATTTGAGCCCCGCAGTTCGAGACCAGCCTGGGCAACATAGTGAGACCCTGTATCCATAATAAAATAAATAATTAGACATGGTGGCACAAAACAAATGGTACTGAAACACCTGGATTAGCAAATGCAAAGAAATGAATTAGACACAGAACTGAACCTTTTACAAAACTACCTCCTGATGAATCATTTACTTAAATGGAAAATGCAAAACTCACAACTTCTAGAACTTAACACTTGTGAAAACCAAGACAACCTTGGATTTGGCAATCAGGTTTCACACACAACACAAAAAACATGATCTGTGAGTGAGAAAATCGATAAATTGGACTTCATTCAAAATAAAACTCTGTTTGGGAAAAGAGTCTGTTAAGAGAATAAAAAGACAGGTGGCAGACTGGGACACAATATTTGCAGGACACCTATCTGATCAAGGACTGGTACCCAAAAGATATGAAGAACTCCTAGAATTCTATAAGAAAAAAGCCAACTAATCAAAAAATAAAAAGGCCGGGCATGGTGGCTCATGCTTGTAATCCCAGCACTTTGGGAGGCTGAGGAGGGTAGATCACTGAGGTCAGGAGGTTGAGACCAACCTGGCTAACATGGTGAAACCCCGCCTCTACTAAAAATACAAAAATTAGCTGGGCGTGGTGGCATGAGCCTGTAATCCCAGCTACTCGGGAGGCTGAGGCAGGAGAATCACTTGATCCTGGGAGGCAGAGGTTGCAGTGAGCTGAGCCGAGACTGTGCCACGGCACTCCAGCCTGGGCCAGAGAGCCAGACTACAACTCAAAAAAAAAAAAAAAAAAAAAGCAAAATCTTTCCAAGCATACCTCTCTCTAAAGAACATAATTATGGCAAACAAACATATGACAGGATGCTCTACATTACATGTTATTAAAGAGCAAATGAAAACAGGCTGGGCACGATGGCTCATGTCTATAATCCAACAGTTTGGGAGGCCGAGGCAGGTGGATCACCTGAGGTCAGGAGTTTGAGACCAGCGTGACCAACAAGGTAAAATCTCATCTCTACTAATAATACAAAAATTGGCTGGGCATGGCGGTACATGCCTGTAATCCCAGCTACTTGGGAGGCTGAGGCAGAAGAATCACTGGAACTGGGGAGGCAGAAGCTGCAGTGAGCTGAGATCACGCCATTGCATTCCAGCCTGGGCAAAAAGAGCAAAACTCCGTCTCCAAAAGAAGAAAAAAAAAAACAACAGAAAACAACAATGAGGTAACAGTAAATACCTGTTGCGGTAGATGAAATCCAAAACACTGATACTTCCAAATGCTGGTGACAGTGAACTCTCATTCACTAGGGATGTGAATGGAAAATTCTACAGCCAATTTGAAAGACAGTCTGTGGAGTTCTGAAGAAAATAAGCACGGTCTTATGGATTCAGTAGTCTCATTCCTACATATTGACCCAAGTGAACTGAAAACTGATGTCCACACAAAAGTCCTCCCACAAACATTTTTAGCAGCCTTACTCATAACTGCCAAAATTAGAATCAAACAAGGTGAGTCTTAAAAAAAAAAAAATAGAGGAGTTCTCACACTGTATCTACCAGGCTGGTCTCTAACTGCTGGCCTCAAGCAATCTTCTCACCTCAGTCTCCCATGTAGCTGGGAATTCAGGGATGAGGCATCACACCAGGCTCAAGATGAGCCTTTCAATAGATGAATAAAGAAACAAACTATGGTAACATCCGTACAATGGAATGTTACTCAGTGATGCAAAAAAATGAGTGGCCGGACATGGTGGCTCACAAGTGGAATCCCAGCACTTTGGGAAGCTGAGGCAGGAGGATCACCTGAGCTTGGGAGTTTGTGACCCTGTCTCTAACAAAACAAAAAAATTTTTTAGATAAATAAATAAAAATAAAAACTAAATGAGTTGTCAAGCAACAAAGTTATTGCGAGACCTTCAATGCATATTTTTACATGAAAGAAGCAAGTCACCCCATTTCTGCCACCCAGGACCAAGAAAAGATAGGAGAGTGCACTAAAGACACAATACTCCTTTATGTTTCCAAAGGGGAGCCTCAACCAAAAGACAATCTGATGTCTGTTTCCAGGATAGATGAAAGGAGGAGCAGCACACATACTTTTACGGGAGAGTGACTGGTGGTGATTCCCTGAACATTTCACATAGAGGAAAGGAGAAGCGCTCAATGACGATTTCCCACCAACATGGCATTGTGTCCCCTGTGTACCCCCAGGTATATTTTGCTTTTGCAGGCTATTGTTCCACCCTGTTGAAGTGGCCTTTCCTCTTCTTTTGGGATATTTCTCTCTTCACAGTTGAGAAAATCCAGAAGACAGGAATCATTTCTGTTTTCCCTCAATAGCAACATCCAATTGGCTGACCAGCCATGTGTCTCCAATTAATGGAAACTGGAGTTGGGAGGGAGAAGCTGAGAACTCAGAGAATTGGTTATCTAGATGAAGCGTATACCAGGCATCTCTGCCACCATAAGGCATTCAGCTGCTCCCTTGGGAGGCCCCACTCCCCTAGGCACTGATACCCACTAGACCCTCCAGGAGACATGGCAGTTGTGGGGAACTTGAGTCAGCCCGAGGCAGTTCTAAAACCCAAAACCAGGAAAAGATAGGAGGGTGTACTGAAGACACATCACCCTGTACAGTTTCCAGAAAGGAACCGCATCCCAAAGACATCCTGATAAGGTGTCTGTGTCTCGGAAAGATAAGAGGAGGAGAGGCAGAAAGGATTTTTCAGGCAAATGTCTAGTGGTTATTCTCTGCTTTCCTCTCATGTGAAATGTTCAGACACAGATTTCACTGCAAGCCCTTGAAGAGTTAGGCTGTGGTATGAGGGTGGAGGATTTGAGGCCCTGCATCCCGTATATTTGGAGAATGCAGGGACAAACCAGTCACCCTGGAGAGTATGAACAAATTTAAATAAGAAGCAATGAGGCCGAACCGTGTGTAGTGTCCTAAGGTCCTACCTAAGGGTTGGGAGCCAAAGACTTGAGGGTCGTGACCAACTCAGCATTCCACTGGAGGTTATATGATCATACAGTAAACTGTTTATCATCAATGCAGAATGTGGGCAAACTCGTGTCTGCACCTGCCGCCAGAAGGTACACTGAGGACAATCACCCTGGCGCTGTGCTGCTTGAGGTTATCTACTGGGACATCTGGAGCCTATTGTTCAAAGAATGCAGTCATGCAGGCCTGCTCTAAATCAAGCAGCTGACCTACAACCACCCCCTTCTATCTCCTTTAATCAATAAATACGAAGGGCACTAGAAGCTCAGGGCCCTTGTTCACTAGAAGCAAGGTGCCCCCGACCCCTTCTTCCAAACATATTCTTTTGTCTTTGTCTTTATTCCCGCGTTCGTCCTCCTTTGTTCAGTATAGTAGGGTTCATGGCAAAGCGGCGGCCGTGAACAGGGACTTGAGGATGTGAACGAAGAAAGCTTGCTGGAGCAGAGGAAATGAAATTCACCACACAAATGGGGACCCCAGGATATCTGCCGGCAGCTGATATAAAGTCAGTGCCCTAAAGAGATACTGATCAGTGCCCTAAAGAGGTACTGGGAGCAATATAAGGTAGGTGCTCTAAAGAAGTACTGGGAACAGGAAGTTTCTGAATCAGGGTAACATGGGGCAGTATTTGTCTATTGAGGAGCAAGAGACAATTTTTTTTTGTATTTTTAGTAAAGACGGGGTTTCACCATGTTAGGCAGGATGGTCTTGATCTCCTGACCTCATGATCCACCCGCCTCGGCCTCCCAAAGTGCTGGGATTGAGGAGCAACATTATGTGCAGTTGCTTAAAGTTTTACTTAAACAGTCTGGTGCTCAGGTTAGTTCTCAGACACTAAGATGCTGCAGGAGGTTATTATGCATAACCCATGGTTTCTGCAGACAGGCACTTTCGATGTGGAAAATTGGGACACAGCAGGTGAAGGATTAAAATGGGCTCATCAAAAAGGTCTAAAAGTTGATCCTTCTGTTTTCTCCACTTGGAGTTTAGTCCATACTGTCCTTCTGCCGTTATCTCCTTCTTATTCTGCTAGACAGCTGGAATCATATTCTGAGTCTAAAAATCTGAAAGAATCTTTTGTCCCACCCACAGTACCAACTGAAAATAATAAACAGGAGAAGGAGGATAAAAATTGGCCTATACCGCCCCCTCCAATAGCAGAAACATCTGTACTGCCTCCTTCGGTAGCAGAAATAGAGACCCCAAAACAAACAACTTTATGCTCTGCTGCCATAGCTGGAGAGCCCTTAGGACCTTGCGTTTTTCCTATTTCCATAAGGCCCGATTCAAATAATCCACAGCAGTTTATTCATGAACACACCCCCACTAGAGTTTAAGTTGTTGAAGGAATTAAAAGCTAGTGTAGTTAATAATGGAGTACAGAGCCCATTTACTTTAGGATTACCAGAATCTCTTTTTGGTGCTATGCGCCTTATACCCTTTGATGTAAAGCATTTGGCTCAGATTTGTTTGTCTGCTAGCGCATACCTAACACGGAATTTAAATTGGGAAGAAATGTGTGCAGACCAGGCTAGACAGAATCATGCTACTGGACATAGAGACATTACAGAGGATATGCTGTTGGGTAATGGCCCTTATTCAGACCTGGAACATCAAATGGCACTCCCAGACGCTGCTTATAAGCAGTGTGCACTGGCTGCTAAATGTGCCTGGGCCACAATTCCAGAGGAAGGGGTTCCAGTACAATCCTTTTTACATATCACGCAAGGGTTGCAGGAGCCCTGTGCACATTTTCTTGAAAGATTACAAGAGGCAGTGAAGAAACAGATTCCTCATACCATGGCTGCAGAGATGCAAACCGTAACTTTAGCTTTTGAGAATGCAAACGTAGATTGTAAATGTGCACTAGCACCTGTGAAGTATACAGAAGAGTTGGGAAATTTTCTCAGAGCTTCTCAGGATGTAGGAACTGAGCTTTATCATTCTACAATGTTAGGTCAAGCAATGGCTAATTTAGTAGTTGACAAATCTAAAAAGAGCCAAGGGTCAAACCCTAAAATGGGATATCAGAGCAGAAAAGGCTTAGAAAAGTCCCTACAGGGAAACCCTGATCCTATATCAATAAGTGGGCAAACAGATAGAAAAGGGCTAGGAGTCAGGATTTCTGATGGGGGTCATTGATACTTCTCCTTCACCTACTGCCTTACCATTAGAATGGCTCAGTGACAAACCTGTGTGGGTGGATCAATGGCCCCTATCACAGGAGAAACTAACTCAACTTCAGCAGTAGAAAAAGAGCAACTGGATGCAGGCCATAAAGAGGAGTCGGTTAGCCACTGGAATTCACCAGTGTTTGTAATTCCAAAGAAGTCAGGAAGATGGCGACTGCTGCATGATTTGAGAGCTATTAATGCACAAATTAAACTGATGGGTGCATTACAACAAGGCTTGCCATCTGCAGCCGTCATTCCTAGAGACTGGCCTCTTGTAGCAATAGACCCCCTTTTTTTTTTTTTTTTCCGAGATGGAGTCTCGCTCTGTCGCCCAGGCTGGAGTGCAGTGGTGCGATCTCGGCTCACTGCAAGCTCCGCCTTCCGGGTTCACGCCATTCTCCTGTTTCAGCCTCCCAAGTAGCTGGGACTACAGGTGCCTGCCACCATGCCTGGCTAATTTTTTTTTTTTTTGTATTTTTAGTAAAGACGGGGTTTCACCATGTTAGGCAGGATGGTCTTGATCTCCTGACCTCATGATCCACCCACCTCGGCCTCCCAAAGTGCTGGGATTACAGGCGTGAGCCATTGCGCCCGGCATAGACCTTTCTTTACTATACCCTTACACGAGAAGGATAAGCCTGGATCTGCCTTCTCTGTGCCTTCTATTCATCCAAGAGAACCTGTTTCTCTTTATCAAAGGAAAGTTTTACCCCAAGACATGCTTTACAGTCCTACGCTGTCAGCATTTTGTAGGACAAACATTGAAGGAGACTCTGAATATGTTTCCTACTGCTCACATCATTCATTTCATGGATGACATTCTTTTGGCCACTCCTACAGATCAAATCTTACATCAGTTATTCAGAGAAAGGAAGCAGGCTTTGACTAAATGGAATCTCAAAATTGGTCCAGAGAAAGTACAAGCAACTTCCCCATACCATTACTTAGGCACTATTGTTACTGAAAGAAGTGTTCGGCCTCAGAAAGTAGTTCTCCATAAAGACAGGTTACAGATTTTAAATGATTTTCAACAGTTGTTAGGGGATATTCATTGGCTGTGCGCAATGCTAGGTATTGCAACTTATCGACTCAAACATCTTTATCAAACCCTGCAAGGAGATTCTTCATTAGATTTCCCCGCAGCAATTGACCAAAGAGGCAGAAGCTGAGTTGCAACTTGTAGAACAGATGCTTCAGCAGAGACATGCCTCATGGCTGTAGCCGCAAAAGCCTTTGCTTATTCTTCATACCCCTCATTCTCCAACAGGACTCCTGGGCCAGTGCTTAGACAAGTCTGTATCAGTAATAGAATGGCTCTTTCTACCTAATCAAACAGTTAAAACCTTGCAAGCCTATCTTCCTTTAATTACACAACTTGTGACTATAGGTAGGCATAAATTAAAAGTGCTTATGGGGTATGATCCAGACGCAATTATTGTTTCCTTGGATTCCCAACAACAGGCCACAGCATGGGAAATATCGACTGTGTAGCAAATTGCTCTTGCAGATTTTGTGGAAATAATAGACAACCACTCTCCATCGGACAAAGTTTTACAATTTTATAATGTCTATTATTTTATCTTCCCTGTGATTACTCATCACGAGCCTATTCCAGGTGGTCAGGCCTATTTTACCGATGGCTCTTCCAAAGGGCGTGCAGCTATGTTGGGACCTAAACATACTCAGACAATAAGGATCTCTGGACTTTCAGCTCAACGCTCAGAGTTAATTACAGTCATTCTAGTTTTAGAGCTCACAGCTTCAACTCCCATTAACATTGTCTGTGATTCAGCCTATGTCGTAAATGTAGCCAGTCGCATAGAAACTGCTACAATTAAAAGCACACTAGAGCCAGAACTGCTTAGCTTGTTTCTAAGACTTCAACAAGCTGTTCGCTCTCATGCTGCTCCTTTACATATTTCTCATATTTGCTCTCACATACAACTCCCTGGACCACTATCTCTAGGTAATGATAGAGCAGATAAACTGGTTTGTTCTGTATTTCAACAAGCTCAAACTTCTCAGGCAATACTGCCTCAAAACACCTCGCCCTTACTCGTATGTTTCACCTGCCTCACAGCCAGGCTCGAACTATGGCGCAAGCCTGTCCCACTTGTCAGCATGTCCCTGGTGTTATACCTGTGGAAGGATGCAATCCACAAGGCTTGGCTCCAAATGAAATTTGGCAGATGGATGTTACACATATAGCAGCCTTTGGCAAGCTTAGCTATGTTCATGTAACTATAGACACTTAATCTCATATGCTGCATTCTACATGCCAAACAGGCGAGACAGCTGCTCATGTGCGGTGACATTGTCGGTCATCATTTGCTCATATGGGGATCCCTAAACAATTAAAAACGGACAATGGACCTGCTTATACTTAGCCATGTTTTTCAAAACTTTTTACAGTTATGGGCAATCACCCACAAAACAGGAATACCTTACAATCCCTGAGGACAAGGCATTATAGAGTGGGCACATCAAACATTACAATGCATGTTGAAAAAACAGAAAGGGGGTATAGGAGACCAGCTACCACCTCAAATAAAATTACATTTAGCCTTATTTACTTTAAATTGTTTGACTCCTGGTCTGGATGGTAAGACTCCAGCAGAAAGACATTGGCAAGTGTTAGAGGAAAAGAGGAAAGTTTATCTGAAAGTGTTATGGAAATCCCTGGAAGAAGGACAATGGAAAGGTCCGGTGGATTTACTGACATGGGGATGAAGGTATGCTTGTGTTTCTACAGGAGATGGACACACCATGTGAGTGCCCTCAAGGTGCGTGCCACCATGGAACGGGAAACTGGAGGGACCCATGGTGGCCAACAATGGGCTTGGTCCCTCCGGTACAACCCATGAGCCAGCTGAGCCTGAGTGTGAAGACGGAGAGAAGGCTGACCGGAGTCACAACGACATCAACCCCCATAACCTGGGGACAACTCAAGAAAACCATGCAAGAAGCTGAGAAACTACTGGAGCGTCAGGGACAGGCAAAAACCCCTGATGCCATGTTCTTGGCCTGTCAGCCATAATGTCCTGTGCAGTATGTTTTCCCTGTACAGAGGTAAAAACATATTGGGCATATGTTCCCAATCCCCCAGCAGTACGGCCTATACTTTGGAGTGACGCTCTTTCTGAAATCTATCATGATCAGGGACCGTGGGCTCCAGGACCCCTAACTCCCCATGGCATAGAACAGTTAGACTCTTAGAACAATGTCATCAATTATACCACCCCACTAGAAGGACTCCCTTTGTGTATCACCACAGAGATGTCACTCAACAGTAGCTGTCTTATAATTCAAGCTCAAGCATGGTGGAATCACTATGGAAAAGTCATGTACTTATTATGTTTTGGTTCCATTAATGTAACTGGTGTGCTAACCAACCATTCCCGGCCCAGTCGCCCCACCTGTGCTGACTATATGGAATGGATTCCCTTCCATAGTTCCTACCCCCCTCCATGGACCCAGAGTCTTGGCCCATAGAAAACAATCTATGTTAACTGCAGACATTGTGGATTGGGGACCTAAAGGTCAACTACATGGAAAAGATGAAAATTAGAAATCATGGCACAAACTTGGCTGGCATTGGTGGTAAGCTTTTAATACTTCTTCTTTATACCACACCGGGATCCAATCCCAGTCTGCTGCCCAGATTGCTTGGTGTGGAGCAGGCTTTAGCTCACCTCTTCCTCAGTGGCATTATCCAGGCAGGCAAGGACCAATCCAAAAGACGTTATGGAAGGCAGCACCTTCATTTATGAATGGCAGCATCGGGGTTGGGATACTATCCAATAATAGCAATAGTAAGCAACACAGTTTTAATGCTACACTTGTAAAGAATATCACCACTCAGTTTACGGTTTGTGTTTTTAATCCTTATGTCTTTTTGGCAGCTAAGAAGGATTAGCTCCAGGTAAACAATACCCAATTGACCTGTAAATCTTGTCAGTTATATCACTACATTAATCATAGCACATTGCAAATACATAATATCTCTTTTTTTTTTTTGAGACAGAGCCTTGCTCTGTTGCCAAGCTTGAGTGCGGTGGCACGATCTCGGCTCACTGCAACCTCTGCCTCCTGGGTTCAAGCAATTCTCCTGCCTCAGCCTCCTGAGTAGCTGGGATTACAGGTGCCCGCCACCATGCCTGGCTAATTTTTGTATTTTTAGTAGAGACGGGGTTTCACCATGTTGGCCAGGCTGGTCTCGAACTCCTGACCTTGTAATCCACCTGCCTTGGCCTCCCAAAGTGCTGGGATTACAGGCGTGAGCCACTGTGCCTGGCCACAAACACATAATATCTCTACTTTGATGATTTTGGGTTGCATCCCTGGGCTATGGATTCCCATTAATCTGTCCAAGCCTTGGGCTGCCACCCCTGCTTTGCACTTTGTGAAACTTCTTCTAACTCAGCTTACTCATCGTGCCCGTAGAGCCTTAGGCATGATAATTTTGGCTATTGTTTCCTTGGTCACACCAAAAACTTCTGTTGTGATGTACTCCATCACTTTGCATAGTTCTATTCAAACAGTTCAGTACGTGCAGAACTGGATGCATACAGCCAACCAAGTGTGGCTACTTCATAATAGAATTAACACTGAGTTACAAACTGAAGTGGCAATGTTGAAATCCATAGTTCTATGGTTAGGGGAACAAGCACAAAGCTTACAATTGCAACAGCAATTGTGCTGTCATCTTAATGCCACTCATATTTGTGTAAACAACTTAGAATACAACCAAAGTGAGCATCCACGGGACCTTTGATATTGGTGAACTGCAAAACAAAATTCTTGACTTAAATAAGCAAACTCAAGAGTTTCAGCCTTCCTTAGAAGTCTGGAGTGAATTCCTGCAAGGCCTAGAGAGCCTCAATATTTGGACCAATCTAAAGCACTATATTAACATCTCATATATAGTTATTGGAATGATGTTGTTTAGTCTCTGTTTTTTGTTCATAGTCTGTAAAATCAGATGGACCGCCAATCAGAAAATGAGAGCTGCCCAACCTGGCCTTACATTCATTCAATTAATGCATAAACAGAAAGGGAGAGATGTTGGGAGCCCAAGGCCCAAAGGTTGTGACCAACTCAGCTTTCCACTGAAGGCTATATGATAAACAGTGAACTGTTTATCATGAATGCAGAATGTGGGCAAACTCACATCTGCTTCTGCTGCCAGAAGGTATACTGAGGACAATCACTCCCTGGTGCTGTGCTGCTTGAGGTTATCTACTGGGACATCTGGAGCCTATTGTTTGAAAAATGCAGTCATGCAGGCCTGCTCTAAATCAAGTAGCTGACCTACAACCACCCGCTTCTCTCTATCCCCTTTACTCAGTAAACATGAAGGGTGCTAGAAGCTCGGGGCCCACGTTCACTACAAGCAAGAAGCCCCCTGACCCCTTGTTCCAAACATATTCTTTTGCCTTTGTCTTTATTCCCGCATTCGTCCTCCTTTGTTCAATCCAGTAGGGTCCGTGGTACCTAACGACCCTGAAATCAAATTGAAATACAACTCTTGAAAATTACTAATTTAGGCCAGGCGTGGTGGCTCACACCTGTAATCCCAGCACTTTTGAGAGTCCAAGGCAGGTGGATCACGAGGTCAAGAGTTCGAGACCAGCCTGGCCAACATGGTGAAACCAAGTCTCTACTAAAAATACAAAAATTAGCCAGGCGTGGTGGCAGGCGCCTGTAATCCCAGCTTCTCAGGAGGCTGAGGCAGGAGAATCGCTTGAAACTGGAAGGCAGGGGTTGCAGTGAGCCGAGATTGCACCACTGCACACCACCCTGGGCAACAAGAGTGAAACTTCGTCTCAAAAAAAATAAATAAATAAAATTACTAATTTATAGAAAAATGAAATTTATGCTTAATCAGGCACAGTCCACCAATTAACCTCTGATTACATAACTAGAAATTTTCTACCTATATAGGCTGTTGGAAGAAGTAAGTCAGGCCAGCCATGGTGGCTCACACCTGTAATCCCGCCACTTTGGGAGGCCAAGGTGGGTGGACCACTTGAGGACAGGAGTTGGAGACCAGCCTGGCCAATGTGATAAAACCCTGTCTTTACTAAAAATACAAAAATTAGCCGAGTATGGTGGCATGTACCTGTAATCCCAGCTACTTGGGAGGCTAAGGCAGGAGAATTACTTGAACCTAGGAGGTGGAGGCTGCAGTGAGCTGAGATTGCACCACTGCACTCCAGCCTAGACGACAGAGTGAGACCCCGTCTCAAGACAAACAAACAAACAAAAACAACCAAGTAATTCAAATATTTAAGCTGGTGCATCTCTAAACTGTCTTGAAGCAATGTGATCATGGGGTTGAGTCACATGACACACAGCTTTCAAATAGCCAGCTGGAACACCTCTTTCCTTGATTACAGATTCGCCTTCCTTCTTACCTATACTGTTTTATAAAATGTTGTAAATGACTGAAGGGAAACAGGAAAGACCCTTTCCCTCTTTGCTATTTTTAATTTATTTAATATGATTTTTCACAATTGAGATGGGGGGTCTCACTATGTTGCCCAGGCTTGAACTCCTGAGATCAAGCCATCCACCTGCCTCAGCCTCCCAAAGTGCTGGGGTTACAGGTGTGAGCCATCCCACTGGGCCCCTCTTCACTACTGATCTCTGTAGTAGACTAACTTCCCTCTTAACTTTCTCACACAAAGACTTCATGGCTATCACATTGTCTTCAGTTGGAATGTTGAATTCACTCTTTTAAATTGAAAAGGAAATAAAAACCAGCTAGAAAGAAAAGAAAACAAGCTCTGGGGGAAAAAAGCAAACGATAACAAATTAAGTTGTTAGCCAGGTGCACTGGCTAACGCCTGCAATCCCAAGACTTGTGGAGGCCAAAGAAGGAGGACTGTTTGAGGCCAGGAGCTAGAGACAAGCCTGGGCAATGTATCGAGACCCCACCTCCATAAAAAATTAAAAATTACCCAGGTGTGGTAGTGGGCGACTATAGTCTCAGCTACTTGGGAGGCGGAGGTGCTCAAGATGGGGAAGTCAAGGCTGCAGTAAGCCGTGATGGCACCACTGCTCCAGCCTGGGCCACAGAGCAAGACATTGCCTCAAAAAAAAAAAAAAATTAAATTATTGTACCTCATACATCAGCCTTCTATGGAAAATGTAATCCTATTATATTTATTTGCCGTTTCCCTATATAAGTGTTAGGGAAGCAGGTGCCTAGGGGAGCCAGAGAAAGACCAACCAGCTCCATCTTGAGACTAACAAGAAACACTCCTTGCCAGTCACAACCCATAGTCATAAAATGTTTCCCATGAAGAAAACAGCCTGAAGATGCCTGCAAGTATCCTTACACTCCCACAACGACAGAATGTCCCGATGTCCCAATACCCCAATACCCATAATATGTGCTTTCAAGGTAATTATAGTTATGCTTTAATGCACTTGTGCACTAAAATGTAAAGGATAGTTTTCTTTAAATCAACAGAGTAATAAATTTTGTGATGCTGTCAGCCCACATGCAGGTAGGCACAGCTTAGTTTATTCTTTACATAGACAAGATCCCTACATAAGAAAAACTTAAGACAGTACATTCCTCCTCTTGCTGTATGAGGATGCCCTACTCTGTAACAGAGAAGCTTTCTTTCTTCTTCTTCTTCTTTTTTATTTTTTTAAATAGAGACAGGGTCTCGCTGTGTTGGCCAGGTTGGTCTTCAACTCTTTTTTGTTTGTTTGTTTTGTTTTTGTTTTTTGAGATGGGGTCTCACTCTGTTACCCAGGCTGGAGTGCAGTGGCGCATCCTCGGCTGGGCTGCAACCTCTGCCTCCCAGGTTCAAGTGATTGTCCCACCTCAGCCTCCTGAGTAACTGAGACTACAGGCACAGGCCACCACATCCGGCTAATTTTTCTTATTTTTGGAAGAGACGGGGTTTCGCTAAGTTGCCCAGGCTGGTCTCGAACTCCTGAGCTCAAGTGATCCTCTCGCCTGGGCCTCCCAAAGTGCTTGGATTACAGGCCTAAGCCATCATGCTGGCCCAGAGTAGCTTTCAATAAACTCTCTTCGCACTGCACTTTGTGACTCGTCTTGAATTCCTTCCTGTGTGAGATCCAAGAACTCTCTTGGGGTCTGATCAGGACCTCTTTTTTCAGTAATATAAGCAAGAACATAACTTCCAATTTTGGAGTACTGAGTCCATTTTTCTGGAGTCTGTGTTTTGGTCATTGCTATCTTTCTGCTTGAATAAACTCTTCCAACTGAAATCTGAACCTTTTGATTATTTCCGGTTGACAAGTCCAAATAAGGCGACTGCATCTCTGCAACCAATCAAGCATTTATCTGGTTTGTCTCCTCATGTACCTTATAAAAGCCTAGCCTTAAACATGTAAAACAAAAATAAAAACATATCTTCTGGCATGGCGATGTGGCTCACATCTGTAATCCCAGCACTTTGGGAGGCCGAGGGGGGTGGATCACTTGAGGTCAGGAGTTTGAGAACAGCCTGGCCAACATGGTGAAACCCCATCTCTACTAAAAATACAACAATTAGCTGGGGGTGGTGGTGCGTGCCTGTAATCCCAGCTACTCAGGAGGCTGAGGCAGGAGAATCCCTTGAACCCAGAAGGCAGAGGTTGCAGTGAGCCGAGATCGAGCCATTGCACACCAGCCTGGGCGACAGAAGGAGACTCCGTCTCAAACAAAAACAAAAACAAACAAAGTACCTTCCCAGCTAAGTGAAGTGACTGGCTCTTGGCCAAGGGAACCCCCAAAACACCCTGAAAATTGAGTGCCTCTGTATGACAGGATGGGAGGTGAGACAGGTCTCCTTATACCCTCTCCCTTTAGGAGTTTACATGCAGCAACTGACGCACATTCATGTAAAAACAGACATTCTCTGACTGGAAAAACAGACTCCTTGTGGCAACAAGATACCAAATTACAAACAAGACCTAAGGCCACGCAAGGCAAAGGTAAAGTTACGTCTTAGAATTCATAAAATCTAGAGAAACAGGACTGTTTTTTGGCTGGGATGGAATGAAGTGGCAGATAACAGACCCCCTTCCTTCAGCATTCCTTCCTACCTCCTCCAAACTTTAGACAAAGCTTCACACTCTCAACCAGCTGCCACCTACAGAATCCCTCAACCACCTGTGCCTCCTAACCCCCCTTCCACAGGTCCCACCCTTTCTGCCAATGGAATTTACACCTTCCAGCCTTGATCCATCATTTTCCCTGCAATTCCTGTCTCTCTGAAATGAATAAAACCAAACTGTCCTGAGCCGCCTCCGGACCACTTACTCCAGGCTGCTTGGGGTTGTGTTTCCCTCGGCCAAGGTCTCTCCTACTCGGCTCTGAATACACTTCTGTATTTTACATAGTCTGTTTTTTTTCCGTTGACAAACCACAAGCCAGGACCGGGTGTTTCTCATTCGTGAATGGCTGTTTCCTCAAATGAACTTTTTGTTAACGTACCTCAGTATAATTTTTAACAGGAGAAAGTGGAGGCTGTGGGCCCCACAGACCGCTGCTCCTCCTACGGACGAAATCCACACCCGAGTCGAAATCCGCGCATGACCCTCCCGTGGCCCCCGCACAAGCTGGGGCGTCGGGCTGCGGGCGCGGAGCTGCACAAAAGGGCTTCGGGGCCAAGGCCGCAGTCGACGGGCAGGGACGGGACAGGACGCCCGGAGTCCCGGCTGCCGGCCCACCCACATCCAGCGGCCGCGGGGACCGAGGGCCGAGCAGCTCTAGGAGGACTCGGTCCCAGACCCCGGAGTCGCCCACAGGGAGGCCCGGGTCCCGCCAGTTCCAGGCAGCCCCTCCCCCATCGCACCACTCCCGGCCAGCACACGCACCATTTCCCGGCTTTCAGATGTACCGGGGTCCTCTCTACAGCTCCTGTGAGTAAAGCAGGGCATAGCGCAGGTGACAGAGCGACAGAAATCTGGGTAGAGGCACTAGGTCCCTCTCGGGGCTGGAAAGGCCAGATCCCAACCGCCGCCCTCGCAGCGACAAAGGTGACGGCAGGAATGCAACATCCTCCGTGCCTGGATGCACAGTGGGCAGGGCCCCGAGCCAGTGCCTCTGATTGGATGGAATGTTCGGCCCCGCCCCCCACGTCTAAGTGACAGCGGAAGCCCTGGGTATCAGGCCCTGCGGAGCCAGACTGACAGATTCTAGCAACAGCTTCTCTAAGCTTACACGAGCTGCTTCCTGCACTCGGGTTATTGGATAGTTGCATTTCAGCCAAACTTGCTATTGTTAGAAGAGAACACTAGCGTCTTCCTCACTCAAAGGACTGTCCCCGCTCCTTCGTTCTGCACGGGGTCACAGGAGTGTGCAGGGAATTTCAGACTCAGTGTCCACAGGAGCCATCTCCTGCCTCAGAGCAGCAGGGGAACCGAGACCAGGCCAGGCAAGACTGCACCAGGAGGAGAGGCATATTTCCTCGAGCGGGCCGGAATTGGGGATGAGGCATGGCCAAGACTTGCTCACACACCCCCATCCCCTCCTCACAGTATGAAAATGCTCCGTCCTTCCAGATCTTCATTTTCACCTGCAGGAAACTCTCACCTGGGGTTAAGCTTCGGACCTAAATAAACTGTCAACCTCATAAACCTTTTATCCAGGTGACGCCACCAAACAATTGTGTCTCTAGCCTGATTTTCACACATTTTCTTTATATATACAAATAACTCTGACTCCAGCGACCCCATGTATGTCAAACCCCAAACCCTGCCCAGAAGACAGCCCCAGGCTCCAGAGGTACAACACCAGAAAGGACAGAACCCCACAAATGCGTCTGCACGAAGGTCTTCTGCTTTCCAGGGCCCTACAGCTTCTCGGAATCCACACTCCTTCTGGAGCTGCTCTGAGCAGCTGGAGGCCACCTGTAGGGGAGGGCGGGCTGCCCAGGAAGCCCCCAGGAAAAGCTCCTTTCCCTTCCTTTGCAGGCTCCAGACTGGCCTCAGCGTGGAGTCACTGGCCTCGGGCTCTGCTGCCCCTGCAGGTTATTCAGCTACTTCTCACCCCATTGATCAGTTCCATGACACAAACACCCTCAATCCCATTGTGTGAATAAGACACCAGCAGAGTCCCTGCTCTCCTCCTATGTTTATGTATAAAGTGGGGAAGGAAAATTCTAAGATAACTTAAGTACATTTAAAAGACTTCCAGATCGCGGTGGAGGTGGCAGCGGAGGGACCCACGGTCACTGACACTGCAGCACCTCCAGGCCTGTCTGGTCAGAGAAAGGGTGGAAAGCTGGAGATGGATGTGGATACGTGGAGGGAGCAGCCCTGGGAACTGGGCTCTGCAGCAGCGCGGCTCTAGGGCCTGGAGCCCGGGAGAGCACAGATGGGGGCTCCTGGGACAGGATGCTCAAAGAAGAGTCAGGTGGCTTCCATGAAATGGGGTGCTATGGCAGCTGGTGAGGGCCTGTGGCTATCATAATTTGGGACGTGAAAACTTGGATTCCGTGGGAATTTATGAAGAGGAAGGCTCTGATGACAAAGAAGTCATCGATGAGGAGGGGGATGAGGGTCACTGGCAAGCTCGCTTCCTTATGGAAAGAAAAGTGAACACCCAACTACTGCTGCAAAATGGGGTGAAAGGATGAGACTCTCACTGTCAGGGAATAAACTGCTGCAGAACTCTTAGAGATTGCAAAGACCTTTCAACAACAGCCTGGGAGGCCGGGTGCCATGGCTTACACCTGCAATCCCAACATTTTAGGAGGCCAAAGTGGGAGGATCACTTGAAGCCCGAAGTTGAAGACCACCCTGAGCAGTGAAGTGAGACACTCCCATCTCCATAATTTTTTTTTTATTAGCCTGGAGAGGTGGTGTGTACCCTTAGTCTCAGCTACTCAGGAGCCTGAGGCAGGAGGATTACTCGAGCCCCAAAGTTTGAGGCTGCTGTGAGCTTTGATCAGGCTACTGTACTTCAGCAAGACACGGTCTCAAAAAAAAAAAAATCCCACCAAATTCCCTGGGGAAACCCTGACCCCCTTGGATGGTCTAATTGTAAAACACAGAGGGTGGTGACGTTTCCTTATGGACTGGATCATTCTAGCCATGTAAGAGGCTTGGACTACTGAGGATTTACCAGGCGGATGACCTCCTTGCTGTCAATGTAAAAGGCCCCTGGTGAAACCATCCCTTTAAACTTTATCAAATTCATCAGGGAGGAAGGGAGGAGGAAAACTTAAACCAAGCTGGCAGCACCTTCAGCATTAATCATTAAGTCAGCTTGTTCTCTGACCTTCCTCATATTTGTTTCATACCTAGTGTCCTAGAATCCCACAGACCCTAAATGATAGTTCCCGTTAACTGCTCTATAGACATCAACTTGAACATTAGATGTTCTCCCTTTGAATTTCCATTCGAAATATTTCCTTTTCAGGGCTGGGTGCATTGGTTCATGACTGTAATCTCAGCACTTTGGGAGGCTGAGGTTGGGGAATCACTTGAGCCTGGGCGTTCAAGAACAGCCTGGAAAATACAGTGAGACTCCATCTGTACAAAAAAATTTATAAACAATTGGGCATGGTGGCATGTGCCTTTATTCCCTGCTACTTGGGAGGCTGAGGCAGGAGGATCCCTTGATCCCAGGAGTTTCTGCAGTGAGCTATATGATCCCACCACTGCACTCCAGCCTGGGAAACAGAACCACACTATGTCTCTTAAAAAACAAAAAAGAAAAAAGAAATCCAGACATTTGTTGGTCTTTGGATTATTGGAGAGCATTTATCTGACACTTAGCCCAAAGTTTGATACCAATATATAGAATTATTAGAAAGGGGCACTTTGAGACTGGGACACAGCTCTGCAGGAAGCTTTCGACAGGTTAATGTGTTAGTATGCTGCCATACTAACTTCAGCAAGACCTGGTCTCAAAAAAAAAAAAAAATCCCACAAAACTCTCTGGGAAAACCCTGACAACCCTTGGATGGTCCAATTATAAAACACAGCAGGTAGTGATATTTCCCTATGGACTGGATCACAAGCCTCAGGCACACCTTTAGAGGGTAGAGCTGTGAGTTGGGATGATACAGCTGCTGCTGCAGGTACAAATTGGGCCTTATGGCAAACACAGTGTGGTAAATCAGTTCCTTTAGGATTTTGGTTGTAATTATGTCATAGAGATGAAACCAGACACTCTTGAAGTGAACAAGTGCTGGCAGTATATGATGCTCTCAAGTAGGTAGAATCCTTAAAAAAGAACCTTTCTATGACTGTGAGAATGGGATTACCATGCTCGGCTAATTTTTTGTATTTTTAGTAAAGACAGGGTTTCAACATGCTGTCCAGGCTGGTCTTGAACTCCTGAGCTCAAGTGATCCACCCGCCTCAGCCTCCCAAAGTGCTGGGATTACAGGTGTGAGCCACTGTGCCAGGCCTCCCACTAAGTTTCTTTCATTTGGCCTGGCACAGTTTCTCACGCCTTAATCTCAGCACTTTGGGTGAGCGAGGCGGGTAGATCGCTTGAGCCCAAAATCTTGGGCTATGACCACCCTGGGCAACATAGTAAGACCTAGTTTCTATTTACTTTTATTAAAAAAGAGAATATATATATATACACACACATATAAAAGAGGCCGAGCACAGTGGTTCACACCTGTAATCTTAGCGCTTTGGGAGGCCAAGGCAGGTGGATCACCTGAGGTCAAGAGTTCGAGACCAAGCTGGCCAACATGGTGAAACCCCGTCTGTAACTAACAAAACGAAAATTATCCAGGCGTGGTGGTGCACACCTGTAATCCAAGCTACTCGGGAGGCTGACGCAGGAGAATCACTTGAACCCAGGAGGCAGAAGTTGCAGTGACCCGATATCGTGCCATTGCACTCCAGCCTGGGCAACAAGAGCAAAAACTCCATTTCAAAAACAGAGAGAGAGAGAGAGAGAAAGGAAGTTTCTTTAACTCCCTAGTTGTTATGGGCTATCACTACTATCACCAGCAGTTGCCTATGAAGCAAAACCTATTCTCACAATGGGTCCAAGAGGAAAAGTAGAAGACTTGGAGACATTCCAGGTAGATCCAAATGCAGCACTTGTACGACAGTATATGGTTAATGTGAGGACTCTTGGGGTGACTTAGCTCAGGCTGGTATAACAAAATACCATGGACTCATACCATGGACTCAGTTTCTTAAACGGCAAACATTTGTTTCTCACAATTCTGGAGTGCGGGAAGTCCAAAATCTTGCTGCCAGCAATTTTGTTCCCAGTGAAGGCTATCTTCCTGGCTTACAGCTAGATGCCTTCTTGCTTTGTCCTCCCATGCTGGAGAAACAGAGAATTCTCTCTCTTCTTACTAATCCCATTATGAGGGCTCTCCTTTATAAATGTATGTGATCTCCTAAAAGGTCTGTGTCCAAATATGACCCTGTTGGGGTTTAGGGCTTGTAAGTATACATTTTATTTTAGAGACAGGGTCTCCCAGTGTGGCCCAGGCTGGTTTTAAACTCCTGGGCTCAAGGGATCCTCCTGCCTTGGCCTCCCAAAGTACTGGGATTACAGGCATGAACCACCGCACCCGGCCTCTAAGTACACATTTTGAGGAGAGTAAATGCAGGACACGCCAAGGGGTAAACAGAAGTCCATAAAAGAGGCTTTGGAAACAATGTAATCAGACAGTGTTGGAGGCTGAAAGAATGGGGGTCCTGATCAACTCAGTATACCACTGGAGGCTAATGAGCAAACAGCAAACTCTTCTCATGAATGCAGCTTGTTGGCAAACTGACAAACTACGTCTGCCACCCAGAAAGAATGCTGAGGGCAGTTACTCCCCAAGCGCAGTGTTTCTTGTGATTATCTACAGGCACATCTGAAGCCTGTTGTACAAAGAAAGTAATCATGTGAACCTGTGATAAATCAAGCAGCTGACCAACCATTACCTCCTCCTCCCTGCTCTTTCTACCCAATAAAAACAAAGGGCTATAGAAGCTCAGGGCCCTTGCTCACTAGAAGCAAGGAGCCCCCTGATCCCTTCTTTAACATAGATCTTTTGTCTTTATTTCTGCATCTGCCCTTCTTCATTCAGTCCCATAGTAACCATCACAAGACAGGACTTTATCACATAGCAGATGGAGAGCTAGAGTCAAAAAGGAGTGAGGTCCAATTTCAGAATGGCAGAGAGAATGGACATCGAGGTAGCTGTATGATTGCATGAAGGATCAAAATGCATGCCAGGGCCACTACATGGAAAATTATTGTAATGATCTAGGAAAAAAATGAGAATAAGAAAGAAAAACAAGTAGTCATAATGAAAATGGAAAACAGAAAATGAAAAACAGAATAACCTTTGTTAATATGTAGTTCTTAAAGATTTTAAATAAAATATTGGTCAGAAACATGTACGGATATCTTGTTTAAAACAAAAAAAAAAACCCTCATTGCTGAGTGTGGTGGCTCCTATTTGCAATCCCAGCACTTTGGGAGGCCGAGGCAGGAGAATTGATTGAGCCCAGGAGTTCGAGAGCAGCCTGGGCAAAACAGTGAGATCCCTGTCTCCACAAAAAAATTTTTTAAAATTAACTGGGCAGAAAGCTGAGGTGGGAGGATTGCTCAAGCCCACGAGCCTGATGCTACAGTGAGCAGTGAGTGACCACTGCACTCCATCTGGGCTACAGAGCAAGACTGTCTCAAATTAAAAAAAAAGAAAAAAGGAAAAAAAAACCCTACAAATTAGTCAAATGTAAGAGGATGACTGGAATCTGCTACACAGAAGATGAAAGATCATATAAGAAAAATGCTCAACCAACGGCAGCAAGTAAAAAGCAAAAAGAAACACAGAAATTCTGTCTAAGAGTAGACGGGCAACAAAAAGTGAGTTAGATAATTCAAAGTGTTGGCAAATCACAAGAATAAAGACACATGCATGAAAGGTGAGATGGTTAACTCATAAGTTACATTCATACTCTATCCACATTTCCTAGTAAATTTGAATTTATCCATAATCTACAACCCAGCAATTGTTTCCCAATGTGTAAAAATTTCTGTTGTATTTCCAATTAGGAATAAAAACAAGAAGAGCATTGTCAATAAGATCAAAAGATAAACTTGAACCAACTCAAGTGCCATTAAGTAGTGGAATGGGCAAGTCAATTACGTGACCCACAACTTCACGGAGCAGCATGTTTGCAACAGGCTCAGGCAAGAAAACCAGAAAGACACCCTCTCAGCATAATACTAATGGTGTATTAATGGTAATATTCTGTTACTAAAAATTCAAAAGTGGCAAAATTCTGCTTTGTGACAAAGAGATGACAAAGCTACAAAGAATAACGAAAAGAATCAAAACTTTGGTCACCTTTGCGTATCAAAAATAAGTGAGACACACCAGAAATGCCCAAGGCCTATTTATTTTTTGGGGTGGTATGTGTCTGAGTATTCATATTTTTATTATTTTGACTTGGCATAAAACAGCTTATTTCAAGAACTCATTTTCCTTCTTCAAACATTATCAAACTATTCACTAAGTTTCCAACCAGCTAATTAAAATCCTAACACCCAAATCATAAAATAAAATTCTTAAATGTGGCCAGGTGCAATGGCTAATGCCTGTAATCCTAGAACTTCGGGAGGCTGAGGCAGGTGGATCACTTGAGGTCAGGACTTTGAGACCAGCCTGATCAACACGGTGAAACTCCGTCACTACTAAAAACACACACAAAAATGAGCAGGGTGAGGTGGCATGTGCCTGTAGTCCCAGCTACTCAGGAGGCTGAGCAAGGAGAATCGTTTGAACCTGGGAGGCAGAGGTTGCAGTGAGCCGAGACTGCGCCACTCTACTCCACCCTGGGCAACAGAGCGAGACTCTGTCTCAAAAAAAAAGAAGAAAAAAAAAAAGAATCCCCCACCCTTTGTGTTGTGCAAGAGCACCTTACTGCAATGAAACACCCTTCGCATTATGACTTAGATTGTGCCACGTTTGTTACCTATGACAAACCAGATACAGATTAGACATTCCAGTATTTACCTCACAAACCATTAGGTGAATAGCTTTGTCTTTAGTGATCAGTCAGAACGAAATATCTATTAACCAAAGCATGCTTCAGTTTCTCTCCTACCTCCAGGTCCCTGAACTTTTTTCTTTTTTTGAGACAGTCTTGTTCTGTAGCCCAGGCTGGAGTGCAGTAGCATGATCTTGGCTCACTGCAACCTCCGCCTCCCTGGTGTTCAAGTGATTCTCATGCCTCAGTCGCCAGAGTAGCTGGGTTTACAGGTGTGTGCCATCATGCCCAGTTAATTTTTATACTTTTCGTAGAGATGGGTTTTCATCATGCTGGCCACACTTGTCTTCTGACCTCAAGTGATCTGCCCACCTCAGCCTCCCCAAGTGCTGAGATTATGGGCATGAGCCACCACGACCAGTGGCCCCTGAATTTCTGACTGACCCATTCTAAGCCTATATACAACCCCATTTATTTATTTATTTATTTATTTATTTTTCGGGGGGACGAAGTCTAGCTCTTCCACCCAGGCTGGATTACAATGGCGTGATCTTGGCTCATTGCAACCTCCACCTCCCGGGTTCAAGCGATTCTTGTGCCTCAGCCTTCCGAGTAGCTGGGACTACAGGCGCCCGCCACCACACCCAGCGAATTTTTCTATTTTCAGTAGAGACAGGGTTTCTCCATGTTGGCCAGGATGGTCTTGAACTCCTGACCTGGGGTGACCTGCCTGCCTCAGCCTCCTGAAGTGCTGGGATTACAGGTGTGAGCCACTGGGCCTGGCCTTATTTAAAATTTTTTTTTACTTACAAGTTCAGTACCTAGACTCCTTTTATGACCTCTCCTAATGGCAAGCTGACGTCTTTATTTTTTTTCTTTGATACAGAGTCTTGCTCTGTCACCAGGCTGAAGTGCAGTGGCATGATCTCGGCTGACTGCAACCTCCGCCTCCCATGGTCAAGCGATTCTCCTGCCTTAGCCTCCTGAGTAGCTGGGACTACACGCATGTGCCACTACACCCAGCTAAATTTTGTATTTTTAGTACAGACAGGGCTTCACCATGTTGGCCAGGATGGTTTCAATCTCTTGACCTCATCATCAACCTGCCTGGGCCTCCCAAAGTGCTGGGATTACAGGCGTGAGCCACCGTGCTCAACCCGCAGGACAAGCTGGCTTCAAGGTCTAGAATTAAAAGTTATTTCTTACCTAAACTCACATTTGTTTCACTACAAATGTCTAGGAAAAGCCCCATGACAAAAATTATCACTTGTGGAGGGCATCACTGACTACCGTATCTGCCTGTGGATCCCTAGCTTTCCAAGGATCTCAGATTCTCTCAGTATAAAGGGCTCCTCCCATGGTCAATGTGAGTAGCTGGGGCACCTGCAGGGGAAGAACCAAGTGAGCTTTCTTTTTTTTTTTTTTTTCCTTTGAGACAGAGTCTAGCTCTGTCGCCCAGGCTAGAATGCAATGACATGATCTCAGCTCACTGTAACCTCCGCCTCCCGAGTTCAAGCGATTCTCATGCCTCAGCCTCCTAAGGGATGGGATTACAGGCGTGAGCCAATACACCCGGCTAATTTTTGTATTTTTAGTAGAGATGGGATTTCGTCATGTTGACCAGATTGGTCTCGAACTCCCGACCTCACATGATTTGCCCACCTTGGCCTCCCAAAGTGCTGGGATTATAAGTGTGAGCCAATGCGCCTGGTGTGAGCTTTCAATGACCTCTCTTTGTAGGCTTGTCATTGGCCTTAGCTTGCAGTCCCTGGACTCAGGCCTCTGTTTCAATGAGAAAATACCCACTGTTTGAAGAATCCAGCAAAATCTCTCAAACTCAGTTTATGTTTACAGGCAGGCAGGAATTTATAAGGCACTTACCTTTCATCCTCATCAGGGAAAATAAAAGTATCTAACCCTTTCAGTCAATAAACATATTGAGAAATGTGTTTACACTACTATGTAATTGCTCCTTCCCTGTGCATGTCAAAAAGATTCTCTTCCTTGTTCTTAGGCTGTAAATGATTAGAAAAGACAGAGAAGTGCCAGAGGTAGGATCCTTTTGAGACCACTACCCCTCCTTACAAAAAGTTAAAGCAGGCCGGCTGCAGTGGCTCACACCTGTAATCCCAGCACTTTGGGAGGCCGAGGCAGGCGGATCATGAGGTCAGGAGTTTGAGACCAGCCTGACCAACATGGTGAACTCCGTCTTTACTAAAAATACTAAAATTAGCCGGGCATGGTGGCACGTGCCTGTAATCCCAGCTACTCAGGAGTCTGAGGCAGGAGAATTGCTTGAACCCGGGAGGTGGAGGTTGCAGTGAGCTGAGATTGCGCCATTGCACTCCAGCCTGGGCGACCGAACAAGACTCCATCCAAAAAAAAAAGTTAAAGCAATCATCCTTGAAATTTGGTAGCTGCAACCTATCAAATCACTGAAATGTGTGCACCGGCCTTGTATGGAAAATGTCACCCTGTTAAGCTTCATTTTGCCCTATAGAAGAGAAGACTCAAATTCCCCGTGTTGGAGCACTGACCCCACTCTTCAGGATATCTGTTTCCCCAGTGGCTATCCTCAAACTATGTGCTCAGATAAACTCAGCATTTAATCATATTCTCTGAATCTTATTATCTTATTAAGGTGCACAATATTATTTCATTATTATTTCCATGATAACAAAGCACATACTACACATTAATCATATGTGAACACAAACATATGACAACAGTTGCCAGCCAGGTCTTACCCCACAGATAACAGGAAGAAGAAGAGTTATCCACCATTACAAGTTCCCCAACCTGCAAAGGAGGACTGGTATTTTGCTGAATCTTTGTAATTCACCAATTTATCTACTATACTTTATTGTGGAAGATTATTCATTTTCTCAAGCTGTAATAAAAGATTTTCTCTATTTCTTTTCCCAATCAGCATTCTCAACGCTATGCCCTGAAACTCTGTTACAAATCATCCAAAAATGGCCATGCACTGTGGCTCAAACTTGTAATACCAGCACTTTGGGTGTAGTGGTGTGTGCCTGTGGTCTCAGCTACTACGGAGGCTGAGGTGGGAGGATAGCTTGTGCCTGGAAGATGGAGATTGCAGTGAGCTGAGATTGTGCTACCTCATCCCAGTCTGGGCAACAAAGCCAGACCCTATCTTAAAAAAAAAAAAAGGAAAGAAAGAAAGAAAAAGAAATAAAGAAATCATCCACAAAAAAGGACAGACTTAAGAAATGTACTACACCACATCTGAAGAAGAAAAAAATTAAGAATTTTGAGACTGGGTGCGGTGGCTCACGCCTGTAATCCCAGCACTTTGGGAGGCCAAGGCTTGTGGATAACAAGGCCAGGAGTTCGAGACCAGCTTGGCCAATATCGTGAAACCCCATCTCTACTAAAAATACAAAAATTAGCCAGGTGTGGTGGCACGTGCCTGTGATCCCAGCTACTCAGGAGGCTGAGGCAGGAGAATCACTTGAACCCAGGAGGCAGAGGTTGCAATGCCCCGAGATCACACCAATGCATTCCAGCCTGGGTGAGAGAGCGAGACTTTGTCTCAAAAAAAAAAAATTTTTTTTTTGAAACAAATGCTATATAAGACTAATGATTTATTTCTGACATCTATTTTTATCTTGGCTCTGTGCAAAATTTTCTTATTTTTCCAGCTGTAGTGAAAATGCAATTTACAATTAATTTTAAAAATCTGAAGCTGCAATAAGTGAACAAATATATATATATATATATATATATTTTTTTTTTTTTTAGAAGGGCTCTCACTCTGTGGCCCAGGCCGGAGTGCAGTGCTGCAATCACAGTTCACTGCAGCATCAATCTCCCAGGCTCAGGTTATCCTTCTGCCTCAGCCTCCTGGATAGCTGGGAGTACAGGTACGTGCCACCATATCCAGCTAATTTTTTGTATTTTTTGTAGAGAAGAGGTTTTGTCATGTTGCCATGGCAGGTCTTGAGCTCCTGGGCTCAAGTGATCCTCCTTCCTTGGCCTCTGTGAGCCACTGTGTCCAGCAACAAATAATTCTTTACAAGGGAACAAACCCTGTCTGGGTATGGCGGCTCATGCTTGTAATCCTAGCACTTTCGGAGACTGAGCTGGGAGGATTGCTTGAGAAAAAGAATTAGATAACAGCCTGGGCAACATAGCATAATCCTGTCCCTATTACTTAAAAGTCTAAATAAAAGTCTGAAAAGCAGCATTTCCCACCTATTCTCTATGAGGGAGCCTTCATCTACATAACAAGGTCTCCTTAGCTACACAGGAGGTAAGCTTCTTCCTTTCCTCTTCCCTAATCTGTCTTGCCATTAAACCTGACTTACCCACCAAACCCGGGATTTTTTGGCCAGCCAAGTCTGCATTCTTTCTTGGCCTCAGAATGGTAATATAAGCTTTTTTGTCTTATTGTTGGGTGGGTCTTCATTCTGAAGGCTCCCATATATACATGTTAAATAAATTTGTATGACTCTTCTCCTATTAATCCAAGTTCCATGATCTGAAAAAATTTTTCCTGTCTTTTCACCTTATTTTATAAAAAAAGTGCAAGACCATGTATATCTAAAAATGAGCATTTTTGTATCTCAGAAATCAAGATATTTTCCATATATAACCAGAAAATGGTATTCATATTTAAAAATGTCCTAATATCAACACATTGAGGGATATTAAAACATCATTAATAGCGTAAAGTGGAATTCTGGAAGCTTAGCTTTGAATACATTTCATTTTGTCTGTTAAACATTGAAGAGAGTATGTGGTGTTAGGATATGTATTTGGTTTTCATCTAGGGTAATAATGTTGGGTATGTTAGGCCTCCGGGAAAGTCCTTGACCTTCTGCTGCCCTCCTTCCACTCTAATGTTTCCCCACCTTTTTGATTGTGGGTCTTAAAACCCTCCCATGAGAGGGTCCCACTGACTTCATGAAGTTTTTTCCTACAGAGTGTAGCCTTGGAAATACTCATTATATACCCTATCTGTAGCTGTGTGTCTGAAGGTAGTTCCAGAATAAACCATGAGTGTGAGGATTGCTTAAATAACTTATTTCTAAATGCTGAAACAAAAATTTCAGATTTCCTTGTCTAACCAGATGCAGAAAAGCATATGTTATAGATAAAGCATCAGGACTCAAGCAGGCACCAATGTCCCTGACTTTCAAAATTAGTGGCCTTCCTGGCATGTGAACACCCTTTGGGCCTGTGCTCCAGTGTCCTCTTTGGGGTGCTCCTTGGGCTCTTTGTGAAGCATCAAGACACCCCCATAGTCTAGGCCGATGTCAGGCTCTCCAGTGTGTCCTGTTCATCACCCTCAGCCTGCATTTTCATTGTCATTGTCATTGGCCATTCCAACACTGTGTTTGCATCCTGTGGAAAGTCACATTTGGGGTCAAGTGAATGGTGTTGTTTCTACTCTTTGGTGAAAAGTATCAGGGTGTATTTGGCCTTCAAGGGAGAAGGATGAGGCAGGGGTTGGATTCAGGTGCATCCAACTCTTTCTTTTTTTCTTCTGGAGACAGAGTCTCGCTGTGTCGACTAGGCTGGAGAGTGCAATGGTGTGATCTCAGTTCACTGTAACCTCTGTCTCCAGGCTCAAGCCATTCTCCTGCCTCAGCATCCTGATTAGCTGGGATTACAGGCACACACCACGATGCCCAGCTAGTTTTTGTATTTTTAGTAGAGACAGGGTTTCACCATGTTGACCAGGCTTGTCTTGAACTCCTGACCTCAAGTGATCCACCCGCTTTGGACTAGCAAAGTGGTGGGATTACAGGTGTGAGCCACTGTGCCTGATCAGGTTTCACTGCCCTGTCTTCCCTGCTCTGAGTCACTTTGTGTGATCTGACAATCAACGACTCCACCCTTCACTGGTGTGGATACATTATCTGGGACTGGGTGTGTCATCTCCACACACAGACAGGGTTTGGTCAGTGGCTGATGCTGCATCTTGTGGTGCCTGGATTTTGACCTTAGGGAGTTTGAAATAAGCGTTCCTAAAGAGCAGCTTCATTGGAACCTTAAAGGAAGTGACTGAATTGCTCTATGCCATTGCATAATATATAAAAGAAACTTTTCCATGTTGCTGTTAACTTTACACTGCTGAGATAAGCAGGCTGTTGACAAGTTAACCTCAGCAGCACATTATCAGAGAAAGTTAGCCTCAGCAGCACATTATCAGCAGCACATTATCAGAGAAATATAAGACAGGCTTGTATTTAGACAATTTACACAAATTTATTAGCCTCCTATGACTCAGTAAAGCAATTTGAAAAAATATAGCTTTATAAGGCATAAACAAATTTATATGTTTTAACTAAGGTACTTTCTGGTAAACAGTGCCTGTACATTTTAGGAAATATTTTAGTCTTTAGAGAATAAGTAAGGCAAAAACAGGTCCAGGAGTTTACAGATGCCCTCCCCTCACCACAAGGCCAAGTCTTTTTTTTTTTTTTTTTTTTTTTGAGATGGAGTCTTGCTCTGTCGTCCAGGTTGGAGTGCAATGGCGCGATCTTGGCTCACTGCAAGCTCCACCTCACAGGTTCACACCATTCTCCTGCCTCAGCCTCCCAAGTAGCTGGGACTGCAGGAGCCTGAGACCACGCCTCACTAATTTTTTGTATTTTTTAGTAGAGACTGGGTTTCACTGTGTTGGCCAGGATGGTCTCCATTTCCTGACCTAGTGATCCGCCCGCCTCGGCCTCCCAAAGTGCTGGGATTATAGGCGTGAGCCACCGCACTCGGCCCTAAGGCCAAGTCTTTTTTTGTGTTTTTTAAGACAGAGTTTCACTCTTGTTGCCCAGGCTGGAGTACAATGGTGCAACCTCGGCTCACTGCAACCTCTGCTTCCTATATTCAAGCAATTCTCCTATGTCAGCCTCCTGAATAGCTAGGATTACAGGAGCATGCCACCACGCCCTGCTAACTTTTGTATTTTTAGTAGAGACGGGGTTTGATCATATTGGTCAGAATGGTCTCTAACTCCTGACCTCGGCCTCCCAAAGTGCTGGGATTACAGGCGTGAGCCACCATGCCCAGCCAAGGCCAAGTCTTTTATTGTTGGAGAGACACGTGTCACATACCAGGCATATGAGACGATGCTCCTCAGTGACCATGATGAATCAGGACAAAAACAAGGGCATTTTGTAACTATATTTTTAAATGTGATAGAGGAAAACGTATTTCAAATCATAAACATGACCAAAATTTTTCTCTTCTTACTAATGTGACTTGTAATTCTCATACATCTCACAGTCATTTATGGCTTTTGGTCATATTTATCACTATGGTATATTACACCCTTGCTGACAGCAGGTATGGCACTGCTGGTTTTGGGGAAGAAGGCACTCAGAGGTGCATGAGATAACTATTGGTATTATGACTGAATGAAAAATTAGGGTTGCAGCTGGGCATGATGGTTCATGTCTGTAATCCCAGCATTTTGGGAGGCCGAGGTGGGTAAATCATGAGGTCTGGAGTTTGAGACCAGCCTAGCCAATATGGTGAAACCCCGTCTCTACTAAAAAATACAAAAAATTAGCCTGGCATGGTGGCGCATGCCTGTAGTCCCAGCTACTCAGGAGACTGAGGCAGGAGAATTGCTTGAACCCTGGAGGCAGAGGTTGCAGTGACCTGAGATCATGCCACTGCACTCCAGCCTGGGTGACAGAGTGAGATTCTTTCTGGGGGAAAAAAAAAAAGAAAGAAAAATTAAGGTTGAGATAAAAATGTAAGTACAGAAGCATGAAAAGTAAAATTTTCGAATAAAAAGATGTCTGGCATTTTATCCACATGGTTATACTGACTCACAATGTCCAAATAATAACAATTTAACAGTATAAGGCTGATCTAATACATGACACCAATGGGATATTATAGCTTCTTATTTAAAAAGAATATCATTTGTTAGTATACAGTTATTATAAACAGTTAATTGTTTACATTCATTATCTGTATTCAAAGAATCTTGTCAGGTCTGAACGCTTTCCCATACTGCTTACATTCATAGGGTTTTTCTCCAGTGTGAGTCCTTCCATGCATTTGAAGGTGCGAGGCTGATCTGAAGGCTTTCCCACATTGCTTATATTCATAGGGCTTCTCTCCAGTGTGAGTCCTTTCATGATATTGAAGGGAACTAGAAGAAATGAAGGCTTTCCCACTTGGCATACACTCATAGGGTTTCTCTCCCATGTGAGTCCTTTCATGATATTGAAAAGAAGTGGAAGAAATAAAGGCTTTTGCACATTGCTTACATTGATAGGGTTTCTCCCTAGTGTGTTCTTTCATGATATTGAAAAGAACTGGAAGAAGTGAAAGCTTTGCCACATTGCTTGCATTCATAGTGTTTCCTTCCAGTGTGAGTCTTTTCATGTCTATGAAAGGAAGTAGGCAAGCTGAATGCTTTTCTGCATTCTTTACATTCATAGGGTTTCTCTCCATTGTGTGTTCTTGCATGTATTCAAAGGATCTTGGCAGATATGAATGCTTTCCCACAATGCTTACATTCACAGAGCTTCTCTCCTCTGTGCATCCTTTCATGTATTTGCAAAGAAGAGAAATTATGGAATGCTTTTCTACATTTCTTACATTCACAGGGTTTCTCTCCAGTGTGTGTCCTTTTATGAAATCGAAGATTTTTGACAGATCTGAAGGCTTTCCCAAATTGCTTACACTCATAGGGGTTCTCTCCAGTGTGAGTCCTTTCATGATATCGAAAGGAAGTGAAGGAAACAAAGGCTTTCCCACATTGCTTACACTCATAGGGTTTCTCTCCAGTGTAAGATTTTTCATGTATTTGAAATGACTTGGCAGAATAAAAGCCCCTCCCACATATCTTACATTTATAAGGTCTCTCTACAGAGTGCATTATGTGTGTTTGTGTCCTTTCATGAATTCGAAGGTTCTGGGCAGATCCGAAGGGTTTCCCACATTCCTTACATGCATAGGGCTTCTCTCCATTGTGTGTCCTACCACGTATTCAAAGGTGTGGGGCAGATCTGAAGGCTTTCCGTCATTGCTCACACTCATAGGGTTTCTCTTCAGGGTGAGTCCTACCATGCATTCAAAGGATTGACACAGCTCTGAAGGCTTTCCCACATTGCTCGCATTTATAGGGCTTCTCTCCAGTGTGAGTCCTTTCATGATATCAAAAGGAACTGGAACTACTGAAGGAACTACTGAACGTTGCTTGCATTCATAGAGTTTCTCTCCAGTGTGAGTTTTTTCATGTCTTTGAAATGATTTGGGACAATAAAAGCCTTTCCCACATATCTTACATTTATAACGTCTTTCTCCAGAGTGTATTCTTATGTGTGTTTGTGTCCTTTCATGACTTTGAAGGTTATTCACATATCTGAAGGCTTTCCCACATTCCTTACATTCATACGGTTTCTCTCCAGTGTGAGTCCTACCATGCACTCGAAGGTGTGAGGCAGATCTGAAGGCTTTCCCACATTGCTTACACTCATAGGGTTTCTCTCCAGTGTGAGTCCTTTCATGATATCGAAGGGAACTGGAATGAGGGAAGGCTTTACCACACTGCTTACATTTATAGGGTTTCTCTCCACTGTGAATTTTTTCATGTCTTTGAAATGAATTCACAGAACAAAAGTCTTTTCCACATATCTTACATTCATAAGGTCTTTCTCCAGAGTGCAATCTTACGTGTGTTTGAAAACTTGTAAGAGAGGATAATGCTTTCCCACACTGCTTACATTCATAGAGATTTTTCCTAGAGTGGGTCCTTTCATGTATACGAACATAACGGGGACACGTGAATGCTTTTCCACATTCCTTACATTGATAAGCCTTTTCTCCCATGTGAATCCTTTCATGTCTACGATAGGATCTGGGACTATGAAATGCTTTCCCACACTCCTGATATTCATAAGGCTTTTCTCCAGTGTGAGTTCTTTTATGTATTCGATGGGTAGCAGAATAACTAAAGGATTTACCACACTGTTTACATTCACATGGTTTCTCTCCAGTGTGAATTCTTTCATGGATAAGATATAATCTGAGACAATGGAATGCTTTCCCACAAAACTTACATTTATAAGGTCCATCCCCACTGTGCATTACCATGTGTCTTCGAACACTTGAATGGGAAATAAAGGTTTTTCCACATACTTTACAAGCATTGGGTTTCTCTCCAGTGTGATCCCTTTCTTGTGTTCTAAAGGAGGGGCGGTATCTGAAGGCTTTTTTAGGTTGTTGACACTTACATGGCTTTGGTCCATATTCCTGATACTCATATGCCTTGTGTCCAATGTCACCTCTGATGTTCATATTAAAAGATGAGTTACCTAGGCCAACTTCTCCACACACAAAGCTTTCACATGATTTTACTTCAGGAGAAGCTTTCTTCTCCTGGAAGTTCAGTCTGTCATCTGGAACTGGGGTAAAAGTTTCTCCACAATGACTGTCATCTTTAATTTCATTGACTTTTTCTTCTATGAGACTCCTGTCAAAAATGAGAAGCATATTATGAAGGGTTTGTTTATAAGTACTTCTATATTAATCAACAAGTATTGCACTTGCATTTTTAACACTCTCCATCAAAGTGTAGGCTTTCTGCCCTGTCTGAATTGTTTGAAGGTGACTGGACAACATATTCTACAAGGTGACCCAGCCATACCTATTATTTAAAAAACTGTTTATATGGGGTATCTTAATACTCTTCCCATGTAAACTATTTTAAAATACTAAATACTCTGTGTCATTTTTCTTTTGTTTCAGGGTCTTATCCTGTTGCCCACACTGGAGTGTGGTGATATCACCATAGCTTACTGCAGCCTTTACTGGCTCAAGTGATCCTCCTGCCTCACTCAGCCTCCTGAGTAGCTGGGACTACAGACCACAATGCCCAGCTAATTTTTTGCTGTTGTTGATATGTGGTCTCGTTATGTTGCCCAGGCTGTTCTTGAACTGCTGGCCTCAAGCTATCCTCCTATCTCCACTTCTCAAAGGATTGGGATTACAGGAGTGAGCCCACAGCCTAGGTCACATTTACATATATGTTTTTTGATCAAATATTCTAAAAATAAATGAATTTGATCCTGGACTTAGTTCTTTGTTTTACTTATTTTTAATATATTGTCATATTCTAAGATTGTCTAGAGAGACACTGCTTTGTCTTGTAAGTACAAATTACCTGAAGTTTCTCCTGGGGTTTTGGTGCTCATATTCAATGTTCTGGTCTTTCCACCTTTTTCCTAAAATACAGACACAGAAAAAATAGTCCTGAGGCAGTATAAAATTGTGAAAAAATTATTAGATTCTACGCCCATGATTTACTGCAGCCATACCTCATTTATTCATCAAAGTATTTCCTGTCTATGTTCTAAATCACTCAACAGCATTAATGAGCTAGAAACACTGGTTCACTAATGGACTGAGGGAAGGAATATTGTCATCCTTACCTAAAGAGGTCAGGTTCCTGAAAGTTTCCAGCATCACTTCCCTGTAGAGTTTCCTCTGGGAAATATCCAGCAAAGCCCACTCCTCCTGGGTGAAGTTCACAGCCACATCCTTAAAAGCCACTGGGTCCTGAAACATCTCACATGTGTAGAAGAAGATGGGTGAGAGTGACAGCACTGGGGGCCTAGACTCTATTCCCAAGAAGTTCTCAGGATGCCGTGGACTCCAAACACGTATTCCCTGCTTTGGTCATCAGATCTCTTTCTCCCTGTGTATACTTACTTTCTTCCACAAAGCAACTTGTTTTTTTTTTCACTCTTGTTGCCCAGGCTGCAGTGCAATGGCATGATCTCGGCTCACTGCCGGGGTTCTAGCACTTCTTCTTCCTCAGCCTCCTGAGTAGCTAAGATTACAGGCATATGCCACCATGCCTGGCTAATGTTGTATTTTTAGTAGAGACAGAGTCTCTCCACGTTGGTCAGGCTGCCGACCTCAGGTGATCTGCCTGCCTCAGGCTCCCAAAGTTCTGGGATTACAGGCATGAGCCACCATGCCCAGCTAGCAGTTGTTTTTTTTTTTAAGACAGCGTCTCATTCTGTTACCCAGGCTGGAGTGTAGTGGCACCATCTTGGCTCACTACAACCTCTTACTCCTGGGTTCATGCAATTCTCATGCCTCAGCCTCCTGAGTAGTTGAGACCACAGGCATGTGCCACCACACCTGGCTAGTTCATAAAGCAATTGTGATGCTAGAACTGAACAAGGGCTAAAGCCACAGCAGGATAGGAAATGTATTTACCGAACCCAGGGAGAAAAGCGGGTTGCCTGGGCTGTCCCTAATGTCTCTTTGGACTGTGGGTCTGTAGCACCTGTCATGATAGAGTCCTACGAATTCATAGGCAAAACAAAGTTAACATTAGCAGTCCTGAGGCTGTGTATCCTTGAAAATGCCTGTTCTCAAAGTGTAATCTTTGATGATATTGTCAGAGGAAGCATGTAGGTAGCAAAGAGCAGGAGGGGGAGCCCCTGGGAAATCCCACACCCCCAGGGACCACCCAAATCAGGCATGCTAGATATAAGCAGAGAGGAGGGGAATCACCTAGGTAGAAAGAAACTTCCATTATGATGCCCAGGAATCATTCACTTTGCAGTTATCCTGTCAGAATGTAGCTAGATAGATGCTGATAGGGCAAAGGGGACATTCCTAAGCAAAACCTGGCACCGTATGTACACAAGAGGGCAAACAAGAAACTCCTAAGAGATACCCAGGTATCATAAGCACAGATTTAACCACTATACGACCTTCCTGAGGTGGCAGTAATGAGCAATGCAGCCACCCACATATCCATTGATGGCTGAATGTAAAAACAAAATGTGGTAAGCATATACATAAAATGGGATATTATTTACTCTTAGAAAATGACATCTTAGCCAGGCGTGGTGGCTCATGCCTGTAATCCCAGCACTTTGGAAGGCCAAGGTAGGCAGATCACCTGAGGGTTGGAGTTCAAGATCAGCCTGACCAGCATGGAGAAACCCCATTTCTACTAAAAATACAAAATTATCCGGGTGTAATGGCGCTTTCCTGTAAACCCAGCTACTCAGGAGGCTGAGGCAGGAGAATTGCTTGAAGCTGGGAGGTGGAGGTTGTGGTGAGCCAAGATTGCACCATTGCACTCCAGCCTGGGCAACAAGAGTGAAACTTGATTCAAAAAAAAAAAAAAAGAAAAAGAAAAAATAACATCTTGGACTAAACTACAACATGCATGACACCTCGGGATAATTGAAAAAAGCAAAATACAATAGAATTCATCTTAGAGAACTTATGTAGATTTGTCAAACTATCTCAACTGTACATGTAAAATTTCTTAAGCTGATAAGTTTTACATTTTGTTTTAAGATAAGTAATGATAATAAATCATGGTAGCAGCCAGGCATGGTGGCTCATGCCTATAATCCCAGCACTTTGGGAGGTTGAGGTGGGAAGATCACTTGAGGTCAGCAGTTTGAGACCAGCCTGGCCAACGTGGTGGAACTCCATCTCTAAAAAATACAAAAATTAGCCAGGCGTGGTGGCACATGTAGTCCCAGTCACTTGACTGGGACGTGGAGAATCATTTGAATCTGGGAGGCAGAGGTTGCAGTGAGCCGAGATTGCGCTACTGCACTCCAGCCGGGGCAACAGAGTGAGACTCTATCTTTAAACAAACAAACAAAACACCACAAGAATGTCCTTAATAGAGGCAGAAAAGGCATCTGACAAGCCTTAACCAATTTATGCCTAGTGTTCCATTTTTGGAACGCTAAGCATGTGGGAGTTATTTATATCCTACTGCTCAAGGTCATGGCCAAAGTCTGATTTTTCACACGTCGGCAATTCAAAAAAGTGCAACCTCCAGCATAAATAAGTTAATATCTCCTGATGATTAGAAACACTCAATAAACTAAATATATAAGAGAAGATTCCATAAGATGACAAGAGAGGCACTAGGAACACAGAAAAATCTACTATAAAGACGTGTATTAAAAATGCAAGCTGGAGGCCAAGGCGGACAGATCATTTGAGCCCCGCAGTTCGAGACCAGCCTGGGCAACATAAGGAGATACCCGTCTCCATAATAAAATAAAAAATTAGACATGGTGGCACAAAACAAATGGTATTGAAACACCTGAATTAGCAAATGCAAAGAAATGAATTAGACACAGAACTGCACCTTTTACAAAACTACTTCCTAATGAATCGTTTACTTATATGGAAAATGCAAAACTCACAATTTCACACTTGTCAAAACCAAGACGACCTTGATTTGGCAATAAGATTTCACACACAACACAAAAAGCATGATCTGTGAATGAGAAAATCAATAAATTGGACTTCATTCAAAACAAAAATGTTTTGGAAAAGACTGTTAACAGAATAAAAAGACAGGCGGCAGACTGGGACAAAATATTTGCAGAACAGCTATCTGATCAAGAACTGGTACCCAAAAGGTATGAAGAACTCCTAAAATTCTATAAGAAAAAAACCAACCAATCAAAAAATAAGCAAAACGCTGGGTGCGGTGGCTCATGCCTTAATCCCAGCACTTTGGGAGGCAGAGACGGGTGGATCACCGAGGTCAGGAGTTTGAGACCAGCCTGACTAACATGGTGAAACCCCGTCTCTAGTAAAAATACAAAAATTAGCCGGGCCTGGTGGCATGAGCCTGTAATCCCAGTTACTCAGGAGGCTGAGGCAGGAGAATCACTGGAACCCGGGAGACAGAGGTTGCAGTGAGCCAAGATTACGCCACTGCCCTCCAGCCTGGGTGACAGAGCCAGACTCAGTCTCAAAAAAAAAAAAAAGCCCAATCTTTCCAAGTATACCTCCCGCTAAAGAATGTAATTATGGCAAACAAACATATGACAGGATGCTCTACATTACATGTTATTAAAGAGCAAATGAAAACAGCCCGGGCGCAGTGGCTCATGCCTGTAATCCAGCTCTTTGGGAAGCTGAGGCAGGTTGATCACCTGAGGTCAAAAGTTTGAGACCAGCCTGGCCAACACAGTGAAACTCTGTCTCTACTAATAATACAAACAGTGGCCATGTGTGGCAGCATACACCTGTAATCCCAGCTATTCGGGAGTCTGAGTCAGGAGAATCGCTTAAACCCGGGAGGCAGAGGCTGCAGTGAGCTGAGATCGCACCATTGTACTCCGGTCCGGGCAACAAGATTTGAAACTCTGTCTCCAAAAAAAAAAAAAAAAGGAAAAAAAATTAAAAAAGGAAAACAACAATGAAGCACCAGCAAATACCTGGTGGAGTAGCTAAAATCCAAAACACTGACACTTCCAAATGCTGGAGACAGTGAACTCTCCTTCACTAGGGATGTGAATGGAAAATTCTACAGCCAATTTGGAAGACAGTCTGCGGAGCTCTGAAGAAAATAGGCATGGTCTTACTGATTCAGTAGTCTCATTCCTACATATTGACTCAAATGAACTAAAAACTGATGTCCACACGAAAGTCCTCCCACAAACGTTTTTAGCAGCCTTACTCATAACTGCCAAAAACTAGAATCAAACAAGGTGAGTCTTAAAAAAAAAAAATAGATAAGGTCTCACACGGTATCTACCAGGCTGTTCTCTAACTTCTGGCCTTAAGCAATCTCATCTCAGTCTCCCATGTGCTGGGAACTCAGGGATGAGGCGTGACACCAGGCTCAAGATGAGCCTTTCAACAGGTGAATAAAGAAACAAACTATGGTAACATCCGTACAATAGAATGTTATTCAGTGATGAAAGAAAATGAGTGGCCCTGGCCGCGTGCGGTGGCTCACGCCTGTAATCCCAGCACTTTGGGAGGCCGAGCGGGTGGATCACCTGAGGTCAGGAGTTCGAGACCAGCCTCAACATGGAGAAACCCCGTCTCTACTAAAAATACAAAATCAGCCGGGCGTGATGGTGCATGCCTGTAATCCCAGCTACTCGGGAGGCAGAGGCAGGAGAATTGCTTGAACCTGGGAGGTGGAGGGTGCAGTGAGCCAAGATTGCACCAATGAACTCCAGCCTGGGCAAGAAGAGTGAAACTCTGTCTCAAAAAAAAAAAAAAAGAAAAGAAAAGAAAAGAAAAAAAAAAGAAAATCAGTGGCCGGACATGGTGGCTCACAAGTGGAATTCAGGCACTTTGGGAAGCTGAGGCGGGAGGATCACCTGAGCTGGGGAGTTTGAGACCCTGTCTCTCACAAAACAAAAATCTTTAGATAAAGAAAGAAAAATAAAAAATAAATGAGTTGTCAAGCAACAAAGGTATTTAGAGACCTTCAAAGCATATTTTTACATGAAAGAAGCAAGTCTGAAATGGCCACTTACAGTATCATTCCAAATATGTGATATTCTGGAAAATGCAAAACTCTAGAGGCAGGAACATCATCATTTGTTGCCAGGGATAAATAGGGGTGGCAAAAGAGGGAGGGGAGAGGTATGATTAGAAGGAGCACAGGGGATTTTGAGGGCAGTAAAACACTTCTCTATAAGACTGTGATGGTGGATACATGACACATAGTTGTCTTAAACCACAGAACACAAAGAGTGAAGCCTAATGTAAAAGATGGACTTTAGGTAATAATAACATTGGCTTCTTCAATTTCCATCATGTTCACATGTAATATATTCTTGCATCAGTTGCAGGATACACTACACAAAGTCAATATGGTTTCTTTGGTTTCAAACAGTTTTTATTTTTTATTTTTTATTATTTTTTATTTTTTTTATTTTTGGAAACAGGGTCTTGCTATGTTGCCTAGGCTGGCCTCCAACTCCCGAGTCCAAGCTGTCCTGCTGCTTTGGCCTACCTAAGTGGTAGGATTACAGGTATAAGGCTCAGCACCTGGCCAGTCAAGATGTTTAGAATAGGGGGAACTATGCTGGGTACGGTGGCTCACGCCTGTAATCCCAGCACTTTGGGAGGCTGAGGTGGGCGAATCACAAGGTCAGGAGTTTGAGACCAGCCTGGTCAATATGGTGAAACCCTCTCTCTACTAAAAAATACAGAAATTAGTTGGGTGTGGTGGTGTGCGCCTGTATTCCCAGCTACTCGGGAGGCTGAGGCAGAAGGATTGCTAGAACCCAGGAGGCGGAGGTTGCAGTGAGCCGAGATCATGCCACTGCACTCCAGCCTGGGCAACAGAGCAAGATTCTATCTCAAAAAAAAAAAAAAAAAAAGGGTGGTGGGGGGAACTATGAGCCTGGAATAAAAATGCTGGAACTCTGTGGATTATCTGCCCAATGTTTTGGGGAAACAACCACTGTTCTAAATAATAAAATCCATTAAATAAGAAAGTGAATTAACTATCATTCCATATAAGGTTCATAACTGAGTTAAAATAAAATCCGATATAAAATATCACATATCGGTTATCATTTGCATAAAAAACATGCAAAAATAAAACACACTGATGAGGATGCATACCCAGGTTGAGAAAGTATAAGGAAAAGTAAGGCAGTTATCTTATTCCCAATACTGGTTCCATCATTATTTGAATTCATTGTGCAATTCTTTTATGTATTTTGTGCATACATAATATTTTTAGTAAGTTTCTAGAATGCACACTCTATACAGAAATAAATCTCAGCGAATTTTAATTATCAGCAACAAGTTGCTGAATGTAATTTTTAAAAGACAGCATATCCTATTGAAACTAATTTTTTTCTTTTTTCTTTTCTTTTCTTTTTTTTTTTTTTTTTTTGAAACAGGGTATCATTCTGTTGCCCAGGCTGGAGTGTAGTGTTGCAATCATAGCTCACTGCAGCCTCGAACTCTTAGGCTCAACAGATCCTTCTACCTCAGCCTCCTGAGTAGCTGGGACGACAGGCACACATCACAATGACGAGGTAATTTTTTGTATAGGCAAAGTTTGCCATGTTGCCGACACTGGAATAATCTCTTCATTTTTTTTTTATTTTTTTGAGATGGAGTTTCACTCTTGTTGCCCAGGCTGGAGTGCAGTGGTGTGATCTTGGCTTACCGCAACCTTGGACTCCCAGGTTCAAGTGATTCTCCTGCTTCAGCCTCCCGAATAGCTGGGATTACAGGCATGTGCCACCAGGCCTGGCTAATTTTGTATTTTTAGTAGAGACAGGGTTTCTCCATGTTTGTCAGGCTGGTCTCAAACTCCTGACCTCAGGTGATCCACCCACCTCGGCCTCCCAAATATTGGGATTACAGGCATGAGCCACCACGCCCAGCCACTAATTTCTATTAAAACTAATTTTCTTCAAGTCCAAAAAAGTCTCAGGAAGGATATAAAATGATTATTATGCAAAAAGTCTACACTGAAAAACATCAATATAAAATGAAATAAATGAAAAAATGTCATGTGTCCTTAAAAGGAGATTAAATAGCACTATGATGTAACGTTTCTGAAATATGACTACAGTTATATTTTAGTCCATGAAATTTACAAGGCAGTTTGTTTTTTTCACTAAAATTAAGGAAAAACTACTTCTAAAAACTGAAATATAACACAATGACTAAGAATAGCCAAGATGCTCTATAGAGTATGGTTGGGGGGGTGTTACGGCATGAATATTTGCATCACTCCAAAAAAATCACATATTAATAACCTACCCCCAATATAGTATTAGAAGTTGACATCTCTGAAAAGTAATTAGGATTAGATGACAGCATAAGAGTCGATCCTTTCTGAATGAGATTAGTGCTCTTATGAGAAGACACAGGAGAGCCGGCTTCCTCTCCTCTGTCACATGAAGAAACACAAGAAGATGACCATCTGCAAAACCAGGAAGTGGGCCCTTACCAGACACTAGATCTGCCAGCTCCCTGAACATGGACTTCACAACCTCAAGAACTGCCAGAAAGAAATGTTTATTCTTTAAGTCACCCAGTCTATGGTAATTTGATATAGCAGCCCAAGATGACTAAGATAGACAGGCAATATACCCACTAAACACTGCAGCTTTGAATGCTATACTAATTAAGAGAAAATGGTATTATCAGAGAGACAAAGATAGACCAATGGAAAAAGCAAATTGTGAAACCAGGGCATCTTTTTTTTTTTTTTTTAACGGAGTTTCACTCTTGTTGCCCAGGCTGGAGAGCAATGGTGTGATCTTGGCTCACTACAACCTCCACCTCCCAGGTTCTCGTGATTCTCCTGTTTCAGCCTCCTGAGTAGCTGGGATTACAGCCATGTACCACCACGCTTGGCTAATTTTGTATTTTTAGTAGAGACAGGGTTTCACCATATTGGTCAGGCTGATCTTGAACTCCTGATCTCAGGTGTTCCACCCGCCTCAGCCTCCCAAAGTGCTAGGATTAAAGGCATGAGCCACTGTGCCCAGTCTGGGCATCTGTTTAAGGTAATGTGAAACTATGACAAACCAGGTATTGCCAGCCAATGATACAAGTGGTGAACACTTAACAGAAAAAGCAGGGACAAATGGTTATCTACAGGAGAATAATCAATCCACTACCTGTCATCTCCATATACAATAATTTAATTAATTCTAGAGTTGCCTCTTATACTGAGTTCTTATAATTATATGTTACCTTAGCATGCATTTTCTTTAAGGATTTAACTTTCTCATAACGGAAGAAAACTTTATTCAAACTCAACAGAGTTTCTAGTTCTCCACTTTCTCCCAGTTCCTCCATGTGGTCAACTCACATATATTTATTACACAACTGCATTCTGGTGACCACCTCCCTGTGGGACAGCTAGATATAACCAATTTGACTTGTACCACTGACCCTTACACCCCACATGGATGGTACAGACCACCTCTTAATCACAGTGCGACTTCACAGAACTAGTGCCTGCTTGCTCTAAATCCACCAGAAACAACTCCCCAAGAGACACCTCCTTGGTCAATTCCCTAGACCCCAAGAAACGCTTTGGCCCACAGGTCCCTGTCTGTCTTGCTCCCCACCTACTGGTTGAATGTGCATCCTGGATGTTCCCCCCACTCTGTGTTGCTCTGCAGCTGTGCTGCCCTCATCTCCTGGGATTGTGAGCCATGCACTGTATGTCATGGGCTTTGTTGAGTTGCCTCTTCTGTGTCTCACTGACCTACGCAATCATTCTTGGATTTGGTTCTAGTGACAAATGCAATGTAAAGTTAATTTGAAACACTCAAGCTGCAATCTATGAACAATTCTTTACAAGGGACAAGCCCACAGAGGGGCCGTGCTGGCTGGAACACAGTGATGTCTGACTCATGTGTCAGCACAGTCACCCTATCACATGAGACATCTCTCCACCCCCATCCTGCTCACCGAAGCGCTCAATGACTACTTTCCACCAACACTGCACTATACCCCCCTGTGTGCCCCCTTTCATATTCTGATTTGCAGGCTACTGGTCCACCCTGCTGGGGTGGTCTTTGTTTTTTGGGGTTTTGTCTCCCTTCACAGTTGACACAATCCAGAGGACAGGAAGCATTTCTCTTTTCTCTCAATAGCACCATCCAACTGGCTGACCAGCCATAGGTCTCCAAGTTCAGGAAACTGGGGTTTGGAAAGAAATGCTGAGCATCTCGAGGGGTTGGCTATCTAGATGCAGAGTATACTAGGAGTCTCCTTCCATCACAAGGCATTCAGCTGCTCTCTTGGGAGTCCCCATTCTCCTACCTCAGTCTGTCCCCTGGGAGGAGTGACTCCGGCTGATACTCACTAGACCCTCCAAGAGACATGGCAACTGTGGGCATATTAGGTCACCCCAATTCTGCCACCCAGGACCAAGAAAACATAGGAGAGTGCGCTGAAGACATAACACCCTTTGAAGTTTCCAAAGGGGAGCCTCAACCAAAAGACAATCTGATAAAATCTGTTTCCAGAACAGATGAATGGAGGAGAAGCATGCATATTTTGACAGGAAAGTGTCTGGTGGTGATTCTCTGAACATTTCACATAGAGGAAAGGAGAAGTGCTAATTGACTATTTCCCACCAACACGGCATTGTGTCCCCTGTGTACCCCCATGTATATTTTGCTTTGCAGGCTATTGCTCCACCCCGTTGAAGTGGCCTTTCCTTGTCTTTTGGGAGTTCTCTGAGTTCTCTCTTCAGAGATGAGACAATCCAGAAGATAGGAATCATTTCTCCTTTTCCTCAATAGCAACATCCAATTGGCTGACGGTCATGTGTCTCCAATGAATGGAAACTGGAGTTGGGAGAGAGAAGCTGAGCACCCCAAGTATTGGTTATGTAGATGAAGAGCATACCAGGCATCTCCTCCACTATTATTCATTCAGCTGCTCCCTCAGGAGGCTCCACTCCCCTAGGCACTGATAGCCACTAGACCCTCCAGGAGACAGGGCAGTCGTGGGGATTTTGAGTCATCCCCAGGCCGTTCTAAAACCCGAAACCTGGAAAAGACAGGAGGGTGTAGGGCCGGGCACAGTGGCCGGATTACGCCTGTAATCCCAGCACTTTGGGAGGCCGAGGCGGGCGGATCACAAGGTCAAGAGATCGAGAACATCCTGACTAATACGGTGAAACCCCGTCTCTACAAAAAATACAAAAAAAATTAGCCGGGCGTGGTGGCAGGTGCCTGTAATCCCAGCTACTCGGGAGGCTGAGGCAGGAGAATGGCATGAACCCGGGAAGCGGAGCTTGCAGTGAGCCGAGATCGCGCCACTGCACTCCAGCCTGGGCGACAGAGTGAGACTCTGTCTCAAAAACAAACAAACAAAAAGGATACGAGGGTGTATGGAAGACACATCACCCTGTAAAGTTTCCACAAAGGAACCTCATCCCAAAGACATCCTGATAGGTGACTGTGTCTAGGAAAGATAAAAGGAGGAGAGGCAGAAAGGTTTTCTCGGGAAAATGTCTAGTGGTTATTCTCTGCTTTCCTCTCATGTGAAATGTTCAGACACAGATTTCACTGCAAGCCCTTGAAGAGTCAGGCTGTGGTATGAGGGTGGAGGATTTGAGGCCCTGCATCCCGTATATTTGGAAATTGTAGTGGGAAACCACTCACCCTGGAAAGTGTGAAAAAATTTAAATAAGAAGCAATGAGACCAAACTGTGTGTAGTATTCTAAGGTCCTACCTAAGGACACTAAAATCAAATTTAAATAAAACACTTGAAAATTACTAATTTATAGGGAAATGAAATTTATGCTTAATCAGGCATAATCCACCAATTAACCTGTGATTACATGACTAGAAATCTTCTACCTATATAGGCTGTGTGAACAAGTAAGTCAGGCCAGGCATGGTGGCTCACTCCTGTAATCCCAACACTTTGGAAGGCCAAGGCGAACGGATCACTTGAGGCCAGGAGTTCGAGGCCAGCCTGGCCAACATGGTGAAACCCCCACCTTTACTAATAATATAAAAATTAGCCAAGTGTGGTGGTACGCACCTGTAATCCCAGATACTTGGGAGGCTGAGGCAGGAGAATTACTTTAACCCAGGAGGCAGAGGCTGCGGTGGGCCCAGATGGTGCCACCGCGCTCCAGCCTGGGTGACAGAGTAAGATTGTGTCTCAAAAAAAATCAAAAAAACAAACAAACAAAACACAAGTAATTAAAAAATTTAATCTCTAAATTATCTTTAAGCAATGTGATCATGGAGTTGAGTCACCTGACACACAGCTTTTACATAGCCAGTTGGAACCCTCCTTTCCCTGATTACAGATTCGCCTTCTTTCTTACCTATACTGTTTTGTAAAATGTTGTAAATGACTGAGGGAAAACAGGAAAGACCCTTTCCCTCATCACTATTTTTTTAAAATTTAATATGATTTTTCATAATTGAGATGGGGGGGAGGGTCTCACTATGTTGCCCAGGCTGGTCTTGAACTCCTGAGATCAAGCCATCCACCTGCCTTGGCCTCCCAAAGTGCTGGGGTTACAGGTGTGAGCCATCCCACAGGGCCTCTCTTCACTACTGATCTCTGTAGTAGACTAACTTCCCTCTTAACTTTCTCACACAAAGACTTCATGGCTATCACACTGTCTTCAGCTGGAATGTTAAATTCACTCTTAAATTGAAAAGGAAATAAAAACGAGCTTTAAAGAAAACAAGCTCTGGGGGAAAAAAAACCATAATGAATTAGGTTGTTAGCCAGGTGCAGTGGCTCACGCCTGTAATCTCAGCTATTTTGGAAGCCAAAGAAGGAAGACTGTTTGAGGCCAGGAGCTAGAGACCAGCCTGAGCAATGTATTGGGACCCCACCTCTGTAAAAAATAAAAAATTAGCCAGGTGTGCTGGTGGGCGACTATAGTCTCAGCTACTTGGGAGGCGGAGGTGCTTGAGCCGGGGAGGTCAAGGTTGCAGTAAGCCATGATCGCACCACTGCTCCAGCCTGGGCCACAGAGCAAGATATTGTCTATAATAATAATAATAATAATAATTAAATTGTTGTACCTCATACATCAGCCTTCTATGGAAAATGTAATCCTGTTATATTTATTTGCCTTTCGCCTATATAAGTGTTAGGGAAGCAGGTGCCTAGGGGAGCCAGAGTAACACACCAATTTAAGTTCAGCTCCATCTTGAGACTAACAAGAAACACTCCTTGCCAGTCGCAACCCATGATCACAAAATGTTTCCCATGAAGGAGACAGCCTGAAGATGCCTGCAAGTATCCTTACACTCCCACAACAACAGAATGTCCTGATGTCCCAATACCCATAATAATATGTGCTTTCAAGATAATTATAGTTTTTTTTGTTTGTTTCGTTTTGGTTTTTTTTTGAGACAGAGTTTCACTCTTGTTGCCCAGGCTGGAGTGCAATGGCACAATCACGGCTCACTGCACCTCCACCTCCCAAGTTCAAGCAATTCTCTTGTCTCAGCCTCCCGAGTAGCTGGGATCACAGGCACATGCCACCATGCCCAGTTAATTTTTTTTTGTATTTTTAGTACAGACAGGGTTTCATCAGGCTGGTATCGAACCCCTAATCTCAAGTGATCCGCCCACCTCGGCCTCCCAAAGTGCTGGGATTACAGGCGTGAGCCACCACACCTGGCCTGATAATTATAGTTATGTTTTAATGCACTTGTATGCACTAAAATGTAAAGGATAGTTTTCTTTAAATCAACAGAGTAATAAATTTTGTGACGCTGTCAGCCCACATGCACGTAGGCACAGCTCAGTTTAGTCTTTTACATAGACAAGATCCCTACATAAGAAAAACTTAGACAGTACGTTCCTCCACTTGCTTTAGGAGGATGCCCTACTCTGTAAGAGAGGCTTTCTTTCTTTCTTTCCTTTTTTTTTTTTAAATAGAGACAGGGTCTCACTGTGTTGGCCACGTTGGTCTTGAACTCTGTCTTGTTTGTTTGTTTTGTTTTTGTTTTTTGAGATGGGGTCTCACTCTGTTACCCAAGCTGGAGTGCAGTGGCGTGTCCTCAGCTGGGCTGCAACCTCTGCCTCCCGGGTTCAAGTGATTGTCCCATCCAGCCTCCCGAGTACCTGGGACTACAGGTGCAGGCCACCACACCCGGCTAATTTTTGTTATTTTTGGAAGAGATGGGGTTTCACTATATTGCCCAGGCTGGTCTCAAACTCCTGACCTCAAGTGATCCTCCCACCTCGGCCTCCCAAAGTGCTTAGATTACAGGCCTAAGCCATCATGCTGGCCCAGAGTAGCTTTCAATAAACTCTCTTTGCACTGTACTTTCCGACTCGTCTTGAATTCCTTCCTGTATGAGATCCAAGAACTCTCTTGGGATCTGATCAGGACCTCTTTTCCCAGTAATATAAGCAAGAACTTAACTTCCAATTTTGGAGTACTGAGTCCATTTCTCTGGAGTCTGTGTTTTTCCCAAATGGGCCATTGCTATCTTTTTGCTTGAATAAACTCTTCCAGTTGAAATCTGAAACTTTCGATTATTTCGGGTTGACAAGTCCAAATAAGGTGACTGCATCTCTGCAACCAATCAAGCATTTATCTGGTTTGTCTCCTCATGTACCTTATAAAAGTCCAGCCTTCAACCTGTAAACTAAAAATAAAAACATACCTTCTGGCCTGGTGAGGTGGCTCACACATGTAATCCCAGCATTTTGGGAGGCCGAGGCCAGTGGATCACTTGAGGTCAGGAGTTCAGGAACAGCCTGGCCAACATGGTGAAACCCCATCTCTACTAAAAATACAAAAATTAGCCGGGTGTGGTGGCACATGCCTGTAATCCCAGCCACTCGGGAAGCTGAGGCAGGAGAATCGCTTGAACCCGGAAGGTGGAGGTTGCAGTGAGCCAAGATAGAGCCACTGCACACCACCCTGGGCTACAGGAGACTCTGTCTCAAACAAAAACAAAAACAAAGTACCTTCCCAGCTAAGTGAAGTGACTGGCTCTTGGCCAAGGGAACCCCCAAAAAACCCTGAAAATTGAGTGCCTCTGTATGACAGGATGGGAGGTGAGACAGGTCTCCTTATACCCTCTCCCTTTAGGAGTTTACATGCAGCAACTGACGCACATTCATGTAAAAACAGACATTATCTGACTGGAAAAACAGACTCCTTGTGGCAACAAGATACCAAATTACAAACAAGACCTAAGGCCACGCAAGGCAAAGGTAAAGTTACGCCTTAGAATTCATAAAATCTCGAGAAACAGGTCTGTTTTTTGGCTGGGATGGAATGAAGTGGCAGATAACAGACCCCCTTCCTTCAGCATTCCTTCCTACCTCCTCCAAACTTTAGACAAAGATTCAACACTCTCAACCAGCTGCCACCTACAGAATCCCTCAACTACCTGTGCCTTCTAACCCCCCTTCCACAGGTCCCACCCTTTCTGCCAATGGAACTTACACCTTCCAGGCACTGATTCATGATTTTCCCTGCAATTCCTGTCTCTCTGAAATGAATAAAACCAAACTGTCTTGAGCTGCCTCGGGACCACTTACTCCAGGCTGCTTGGGGTTGTGTTTCCCTCGGCCAACGGCTCTCCTATTCGGCTCCTAATAAACTTCTTTATTTTACATAGCTTGGCTTTTTCCGTTGACAAACCACAAGCCAGGACTGGGTGTTTCTCATTCGTGAATCGTTGTTGTTGTTTTGAGATGGAGTCTGGCTCTGTTGCCAGGCTGGAGTGACGCCGTCTTGGCTGACTGCAACCGCCGCCTCCTGGGTTCAAGCAATTCTTCTGCCTCAGCCTCTCAAGTAGCTGGGATTACAGGCACGCGCCACCATGCCCAGCTAATTTTTGTATTTTTAGTAGAGATGGGGTTTCACCATGTTGGCCAGGCTGGTCTTGAACTCCTGACTTCCTGATCCGCCCGCCTCGGCCTCCCAAAGTGCTGGGATTACAGGCGTGAGCCACCGCGCCCGGCCCTAAACTCTTTAATTGTTAACGTACCTCAGTTTAATTTTTAACAGAAAAAAGTGGGCACTGGGGACCCCAAAGACCGCTACTCCTCCCACACGAACCTGTCAGAGATGATAAATTACTTTTCTAAAAGCTTTAGTAAGCTGTTCTTTGTTTCTTGAGACCGACTTCCTTGTCTCCTAGCTACCTGTTCTGTAAACAACCTTCCCGCTTTTGCCGCGCCCAGACAAGTCCAGATACGCCTTCCCGCCTAGTAACGGACAGTCCCTGTTCCTTCCCGTCTCATAGACCCTATTTAATTTGTGTGTGTGTGTGTGTGTGTGTGTGTGTGTGTGTGTGTGTGACGGAGTTGCCCAGTTGTCTCGCTCTGTTGCCCAGGCTGGAGTACAGTGGTGCGATCTCGGCTCACTGCAAGCTCCACCTCCCGGGTTCACGCCATTCTCCTGCCTCAGCCTCCCGAGTAGCTGGAACTACAGGCGCCCGCCACCATACCCAGTTAATTTTTTTGTATTTTTAGTGGAGACGGGGTTTCACCGTGTTAGCCAGGGATGGTCTCGATCTCCTGACCTCGCGATCCGCCTGCCTCGGCCTCCCAAAGTGCTGGGGTTACAGGCGTGACCCACCGCGCCTGGCCAGACCCTATTTAATTTTAAACCTTAGCCTATCGAGTTAGTTTAGATTGTGAGGTCCAACCCTAGCCAATGAGGAAAGGACACAGAAGTGCTAGAAACTGCGTTAAGGAGAAAAACCCCTGCCCTACCCCGCTCGCTGTGCTCTTGTGACTGGCGCAAGCTGCACCCTTGTGTAGAAATAAATTTGCTTTGCTGAGGAATTTTCTGCCTAGATGCTGGTTTTCTTTGCGGCACCGGGCACTTGTTTCTAACAAACCCCATATCCGAGGCGGGATCCCCCCATATCCCTCCCGTGGCCCCCGCATAATGTGGGGAGACGCGGAGCTGCCCAGATTAGGCTCCGGAGCCGGGGCCGCAGTCGCCGTGAAGGGACGGGACAGGAGGCCCGGGGTCCCGGCTGCCGGCCCAGCCCCACCCTGCGACCGAGGGGACTCGCGTCCACGACCCCGGAGTCGCCGCGTGGAGGCCCGGGTCCCGCCTCAGCCGGTTCCGGCCGATTCCAGCCCCTCTCCCAGTCGCCCGGACGCCAGCCCCCTCACACACACCATTTCTCGGCTTCCAGGGTGTTCCGGCGTCCTCTGCGTGGCTCCCGCGACTAGTGTAGGTCACAGTGCAGGTTACAGAGCGACAGAAGCTCTGGTGGAGGCACCTAGTCCCTCTCGAAGCAAGAAAGCCGAGATCCTGACCGCTGTCGGCGCAGCACTAAAGGAATGGACGGAGGGCGACTGTCCCTTCCCCCTTCCCCGGATGGACAGTTGACAGGGCCCCGCCCCAGCACCCCTGATTGGATGGGGCGCCAGGCCCCGCCTCCTCCGTGCTGAGTGACAGCAGAAGCCCTGGGTAACCGGGTCCTGCAGATCATGTCTGACTTGTTCTGGCCACAGCGTCTCTGAGCGAGCAGCCTCTCTAAGCGAGCAGCCTCTCTAAGCGAACAGCCTCTCTAAGCGAGCGCCTTCCTTGAGCCCTGGTCATCAGATATTTGCATTTCAAGGCGACTTGCTCCTTATTGTTAGAAGAGGCACTGTTAGCTTCCTCATTCAAGGGGCTGTCCCTGCTCCTTCCTTCTGCACGGGATCACAAGTGTGTGCAGGGCATTTCAGACTCAGTGTTCAATGGAGAGATACGCTTGCCTCAGAGCAGGAGGGGAGCCCAGACCAGGCAAGGCACGACTGCACCAGGAGAGAGAGGCAGATGTCTTCCAGCGTGCGGGAAATGGGATGAGGCATGGCCAAGGCTTCCTCACACTGCTATGGACTCCAGCAAGGTTTTCCTTGTAAGGGAGCTAACCAAGCCAGAACTTATTAAAGATTTAGAGGCTCTCAGTACTATGTATATCTATCCCTGGTGCATTGACAGTGACTGAAGACCCATTTTTCAGGACATGCTGTGTAGGACTGAGCCAGGGAACATGATATAGCATGGCACTTTTATCTCACATATAACCCCCAAGGAGCAGGGTTAACTGAAATGAAAGATGGTCTCAGGGGAAGCTGTAAATGAGAAATTCTGTCATAGAAATTATGATTTAGGCAGGCCGGGCGCGGTGGCTCATGCCTGTAATCCCAGCACTTTGAGAGGCTGAGGCAGGTGGATCACGAGGTCAGGAGTTCAAGACCAGCCTGGCCAACATGGTGAAATCCTATCTCTACTAAAAATACAAAAATTAGCCAGGAATGGTGGCGCATGCCTGTAATCCCAGCTACTTGAAAGGCTGAGGCAGGAGAATTGCTTGAACCGGGAGGCAGAGTTTGCAGTGAGCCAAGATCGTGCCACTGCATTCCAGCCTGAGACACAGTGAGACTCCATCTCAAAAAAAAAAAAATTATGTTTTAGCCATCTTTTTTTGAGACGGGGTCTCACTCTGTCGCCCAAGCTGGAGTGCAGTGGTGCGATGGCTACTCAATGCAGCCTCAACCTCCCAGACTCAAGCAATCCTCCCACCTCAGCCTCCTAAGTAGGTGGGACTACAAGTGCCTGCCACCATGCCTGGCTAGTTTTTTATTTTTGGTAGAGATGAGGTCTCATTCGGTTGTTCAGGTTGATCTCAAACTCCTGAGCTTAAGTGATCCTCCAGCCTCAGCCTCCCAAAGTGTTGGGATTACAGGTGTGCGCCTGGCCTCTTGGGCATCTTCATTGCTCCACACCTTACAATGATAAATTCAATATTCTGTGAATATTTCCTGGAGAAATTAGCACAGCCATAACTTGTGATAAGGTAAATCAGGTGTTGAAATTTGAACATTCCTGGAAACTTCATTTAATAAACCTAATTTTGCTTATGTGTGAAAGTATTCATACATATTCATTGTTCAGACACAGATAACCATGGCAAGATGAGGTGCTATGAAAAACTATGTTGGGACAACAGGTACTATCAAGGATTATCACTGGCAAACCGGGACACATGGTCAGATGATTTCTGAGGCAGTTTTGTACCTTATGTAAAGGTAGAAAGTGTTGGAACTAGAAGACATCGAGCTGGAGTCAGTTGCAGAATTGATGCTTTGCTTGGCATGTGGGGGACACTTCTCAAATATTTGCATTTGGTCACAGAAGTATTCCGTGTTGTGTGAGAGCAGAGGAAAAAGAGTAGACTTTTTTTCCACTCTTAAGTCTCAGCACAACTCAGAAATCCAGTCCCCCAGACAGGATGTGTGGATGTTAAAGTCGCCCTCACCACAAGAGGGAGCTTCATTGACTTCCCCTATCTGGAAAATGGCTCAAAGGTGTTTTCTAAAAGACTTTTTAATGTAAGGCATATCAGTTATTAGAAATAAAGGTAGGACAGGTGTGGTGGCTCACACCAGTAATACCAGCATTTTGGAAGGCCAAGGTAGGAGGATCGCTTGAGGCCAGGAGTTTGAGACCAGCCTGGGCAACATAGTGGGACCCTGTCTCTACCCGAAAAAAGAAAAAAAGTTAAGGTAACATCACTGAATTTGGTTTCATTTACATGATTTTTCTTTTCTTTTCTTCTTTCTTTCTTTCTTTCTTTCTTTCTTTCTTTCTTTCTTTCTTTCTTTCTTTCTTTCTTTCTTTCTTTCTCTCTCTCCCTCTCTCTCTCTCTCTTTCTTTCTTTCTTTCTTTCTTTCTTTCTTTTTTTTTTTTTACAAGGTCTCCCTCTGTCACCCAGGCTGGAGTACAGTGGTGCAAACAGAGCTCACTGCAGCCTTGATCTTCCGGACTCAAGCAATTCTCCCACCTCAGCCTCCCAAGTAGAGCCTGGGACCACAGGTGTGCGCCACCAAGCCCAGCGAATTTTTGTATTTTTTGTACAGATGGGGTTTCACTGTGTTGCCCAGACTGCTCTCCAACTCCTGGCCTCAAGTGACCCTCCCACTTTAGCTTCCTAAAGTGCTGGGATTACAGGTTCTGAGGCACCATGCCTGGCCAATTTAATTTTTCATAGATTGATTTTTAAAAAGTAATGAACCTGGCTGGGCATAGTGGTCATGCCTGTAATCCCAGCACTTTGGGAGGCTGAGGTGAGTGGATCACCTGAGGTTGGGAGTTCGAGACCAGCCTAGCCAACATGGTGAAACCCCATCTCTACTAAAAATACAAAAATTAGCTGAGTGTGGTGGTGCATGCCTGTAATCCCAGCTACTAAGGAGGCTGAAGCAGGAGAATCGCTTGAACCTGGAAGGTGGAGGTTGCAATGAGCCGAGATCACACCATTGCACTCCAGCCTGGGCAGCGACAAAGAGAGACTCTGTCTCAAAAAAAGAAAAAGAAAAAGAAAAAGAATAAGCAATAAACCCTGTGAACTTTGATTAGATTTCCCAGATCCTAAAAAGTGCAGTGTAACAAAAAACTGAATGGAAAGAAGTAGGACTAACTGAGGTGAGAGGAAGAACCCTCTGTGGAGGTGACATTTGAGGTGACCTGATATAATGTATTAGTATAAAGAAAATGTTAAAATGAACATTATGGGAGGCCATTGTTTTGGACTGAGCTTCTGCACTAGGCACTTAGAAACCAGATCAGACCAAAATGGAGTCACTCATGCTAAATGCCACATAACGAAACTGAAACTTAAAGGAAGCGAATAGATCCCTATACAGATGAATTTTTCCATCGAAAACCAGTTCAGTATCCTGTTGGCCAGACTGGTCTCAATTTGAGAAACATCAAGACACCTCCATAGTCAAGGCTAATAATGTCCAGGCTGTGTCCTGTTCATCACCTAAACCTGCACCTCTAGTGTTCCTTACCTTCACTGGCCATCCCAACACAGTGCCCGCCTCCTGTAGAAAATCACATCTGGAGTGAAGTTGGTGGCGTTGTTTGTACTCTAACCAAACTCTCAGAGTGCATTTGGCCTTCAAGGGAGAAGGATGAGGTCGTGTTTGGTTTCAGACACACCTAACTCTGTATTACCATCTCTTTCTTGATCTAAGCGACACTCTATAAAAACTGATAGGCAATGGGCTGGGTGCAGTAGCTCACGCCTGTAATCCCAGCACTTTGGGAGGCCGAGGCAGGTGGATCACAAGGTCAGGAGTTCAAGACTAGCCTGGCCAACATGGTGAAACGCCGTCTCTACTAAAAATACAAAAATTAGCCGGGTGTGGTGGCGGGCACCTGTAATCCCAGCTACTTGGGAGGCTGAGGCAGGACAATAGCTTGAACCCAGGAGGCAGAGGTTGCAGTGAGCCAAGATCGTGCCACTGCACTCCAGCCTGGGTGACAAAGTGAGACTCCATCTCAAAAAAAAAAAAAATGACAGGCAATGACAGTACCTTTCACTTATGTTGATACCTAATCTGGGGATGGATGTGTCATCTGCACATAGAGTCAGGGGTTGGTCACTCATTGCTGCTCTGTCCTGTGGTACCAGGTTTTGACTCTAGGGGGTTTCAAACAGGCTTCTCTGAAGAAGAGTTTGGCTGGCACTTCAAAAAAGTGATTGGATTGGTCCATGCCACTGCATAATATATAAAACTAACTTTTCCATGTTGCCTATTACTCTACAGTGTGGCATAAAAGGGTTGCTGAACTCCTGTTCGAGATCAGCCTGGGCAACATGGTGAAACCTTGTCTCTAAAAAAAAAAATACAAAAATTAGCTGGGCATGGTCCCAGCTACTTGGGAGGCTAAGGTGGGAGGATCGCTTGAGCCCAGGAGGTGGAGATTGCAGTGAGCCGAGATCACGCCACTGCACTCCACATAGCCTGGGTGATAGAATGAGACCCTGTGTCAAAAAGAAAAAAGAGGGGTGCATCAAGAGCATATTATCTGAGCAAGAAAGGCTTGGTTGGAATAGTGATACTGACTTTCATCCTTCCTAGGCGTGCATTCAGACAGTTACATAAATATATTGACCACACTTGACTCAGTAAGGAATTTCTTTAAAAGTATTATACAGCTTCCTAAGGAGTAAGTGATTTTATATATTTTTAACTGGAGCATTTTGTGGAACAGTGTTCATACACTCTAAGAAATATCTTAGGTTTTGGAGAATAAGTAAAGCAAAAACAGGTCCACAAGTCTGGGAGCTGCCTCCCCTCACCACAAGGCCAAATCTTAAGCCATGTCAGACACCTGCAGTGTGAAGCAGTGCTCCTCAGTGACCATGATGGAGCAGGACAAAAACGAGGGCATTCTGTAACCACGTCCCTAGATGGGATAGAAGAAAACATATTTCAAATCATAAAAATAACCAAAAATTCCAGTTCCCCTCTTCTCATAATGGACTGACCAGCAATTGTCTTCAATTAGGTTTACCTCCAATCCATTCTTTCTCCTTCTAGGTGAGAACTACTATGATTAGCAGTGGTACAATTAAGTTCACATCCTGACAGCATCCAATATACAAAAATGACTCACCTCCTTGAATAGAGAACAATGCACCTAAAACAGAAATCCTGTAAGAAATTCTACAGAGAACCCTCTTATTGGTATGTCCTGCAGTCATTTATGGCTTGTGGTCATATTTATTACTACAATTTATTACATCCTCTTTGACAACAGTTTTTTTAGTACTGGTGGTTTTGGGCAACACAGCACCATAACAGCAAGATTTAACTTCGGGGATTATAAAAGAATGACAAATTATGGTCAAGATAAAAATTGTGGCTGGGAACAGTGGCTCACGCCTATAATCTCAGCACTTTGGAAGACTGAGACAGGAGGATTGCTTTGGCCCAGGAGTTGGAGACTAGCCTGGGGAGCATAACAAGACCTCCTCAGTACTAAAAATTAAAAAAAAATTAGCCAGGCATGATGGTGCACACCTGTAGTCCCAGCGACTCAGGAGGCTGAGGCAGGAGGATTACTTAAGCCCAGGAGCTCAGAGCTGCAATGAGCTATGATTGCACCACTGCACTCCAGCCTGGGTTAAAAGGCAAGACCCTGTCTCAAAAAAAAAAAGGTAAAAATTATAAGTAGATATGCATGAAATGTATAATTTACATCAGGAAATAAATGAGGTTTATACACATGGTGATATTGATTCACAATATCAAACAAATAATTTGGTAACAGTATACATTTGATCTGATCCATGTTGACAAGGGATATTTTAATAGAGCTTCTCAGTATACAAAAAAAAGAGAAAAACATTTGCAAGTACACAACTGAAAAACAGTGAATAAACCTTTTTTTTTTTTTTTGAGACAGAGTATTGCTCTCTTGTCCAGGCTGGAGTACAGTGGCGTGATCTTGGCTCACTGCAACCTCCACCTCCCAGGTTCAGGAGATTCTCCTGCCTCAGCCTCCCGAGTAGCTGGGATTACAGGTATCCACCACCACACCCGGCTAACTTTGGTACTTTTAGTAGAGATGGGGTTTCACTGTGTTGGCCAGGCTAGTCTCAAACTCCTGACCTCGTGATCCGCCCACCTCGGCCTCCCAAAGTGCTGGGGTTACAGGCATGAGCCACTGCACCCAGCTGAATAAACTATTTTTAAGAAATATGTACAGAAATCTTTGCTCCCTCAAAAATACACATTGTCAATCACATATAATCAAAGATAACTGAAAATGAACTGAGGCATTACATTCTCCTGTGGATAACAGGAAACACTGGACATTTCCTGACCAGAGCAAGGTGTTCCTTCTCACATGAGAGTCCTGGATGAGACCAGTCACTGCACAGGGCAGCAGAGCTCTCATCAAGTTGGTTCTGATGGCAGCATAGTAGCTGTCAGGCTGAATCAAGAACAAGGTCACTACCAGCAGGAACAAAGGTGCATGTAAACAAATCACACCTCCTACCAACTCAATCTGCAGACTAGGGGAGTTGAGCATCAGAGAACATTCCCCACCCATGACAGTCTGCATTATCTCTCTGGTATGTACATTACAATACTTAAAGAAAAACCAAACTGTAGATAGAACTTGAATGTGGAGCTTCTGGGGACATCTTTGGAAACCTACACCTCTGAAAAAAGGAAAGTCAAGAGATTTGGAGGATACTCTTGATTGACAAGCCAGAGAATCAGGAAAATGGGCTAGAATCAGGGGGCCACACAGCCCATGTGAATTTGGCTGGCTCTAAAATGTGACTAAGGCCTTCCTCATGTCTGCCTTCGAAATCATATGTAAGATAGGCCACCAGTGAATCCCAGCGTGGCATCACCTAACTCCATCTCTACATTTTATTGCCTTCCTTTATTGACACTTCAAGCTGGGAGGGATGCTTGAGGCCAGGAGTTCAAGACCAACCTGGACAAGATAGTGAGACCCTGTCTCTATTAAAATAAAAATTAAAAAATAGCATTTCTCTCATATATTAATAGTGTGAGTTCTTTCATGTTTTCGACAGTAACTGGAACGAATGAAGGCTTTCCCACATTCCTTACATTGGTAAGGTTTCTCTCCAGTGTGAATTCTTTCATGTATTCTAATATATATGGAACAAGTGAAGGCTTTCCCACAATGCTTACATTCATAAGGTTTTTCTCCAGCGTGAGTCCTTTCATGTCTATGAAAGGAGCTGACACAATGAAATGCTTTCCCACATTGCTTACATTCATAGGGTTTCTCACCAGTGTGAGTCCTTCCATGTATTCGAATGTACTTGGCAGATCTGAAGGCTTTCCCACATTGCTTACACCCATCGGGTTTCTCTCCAGTGTGAGTCCTTTCATGATATTGAAACGAAGTGGAACAAGTGAAGGCTTTCCCACATTGCTTGCATTTGTAGGGTTTCTCTCCAGTGTGACTTCTTTCATGCCTTTGAAATGAACTGGGAGAGTAAAAGGCTTTCCCACATATCTTACATTTATGAGGCCTCTCTCCAGTGTGCATTCTCATGTGTCTTCGAAAGCTTATAAGGCGAGATAATGCTTTCCCATATAGTTTACATTCATAGGGTTTTTCTCCTGTGTGAGTCCTTTCATGCCTGTGAAAAGAACTGGGACAATTGAAGGCTTTCCCACATTCCTTACATTTGTACGGCTTCTCTCCTGTGTGTGTCCTTTCATGTCTGCGAAAGGAACTGGAAAAATTGAATGATTTCCCACACTCCTTACATTCATATGGCTTCTCCCCAGTGTGAGTTCTTTCATGGATTCGAACAGAACTGTGCCAACTGAAGGCTTTACCACATTGTTTACATTCATATCGTTTCTCTCCAGTGTGAGTTCGTTCATGGGTAAGGTATAAACTGAGACAATCCAAGGCTTTCCCACAAAACTTACATTTATAAGGTCCATCTCCACTGTGCGTTACCATATATCTTCGAATGCTTGCAGGAGAAATGAAAGATTTTTCACATTCCTTACAATCAAAAGGTTTCTCTCTAGTGTGAGGCCTTTCATGTGTTCGAAAGCAGTGGCTATGGCTCAAGGCTTTCCTACGTTGTTTATGTTTATATGGCTTCTCTAAAAATTTCTGACACTTATGTGGTTGGTGTCCAGTGTCAGTTCTGATGTTCCTATTAAAGGATGAATATCCCATGAAGATTTCTCCACATGTACCACTTTCACATGATTTTACTCCAGGAAGAGTTTTCTTGTTCAGCATGTCTTCCGGAACCTGGGTGAAAGTTTCTCCACACTGACTACCTTCTGCACTCTCAAAGAGTCTCTCTCCCATAAAATTTCTGTGAAAAATGCCAAGCACATAATTAAGGGTCTGTTTATAAGCGATTTAATATTTGTTAATAAGTATTACACTTGCATTTTTAATGTTTTTGTTTTTTTGGTACAAAGTCTCACTCTGTTACCCAGGCTGGAGTGCAGTGGTGTGATCATAACACACTGCAGCCTTCACCGCCTGGGCTCAAGTGATCCTCCCACCTCAGACTCCCCAGAAAGTTGGACTACAGGTGTGTGCCACCATACCCAGCTAATTTTTTATTTTTGGTAGAGATAGAGTCTTGCTGTGTCTCCCAGGCTGATCTTGGGCTCTTGACCTCAAGTGGTCCTCTTGCCTTGGTCTCCCAAAGTGCTGGGATTACAGGCATGAGCCACCATGTCCAGCTGCATTTTTAACATTATCCCATGAAGTGTAGACTTTCTGCCCTGTCTGAATTGTTTAAACATGAATGGATCACACATTCTACAAGATGGCCTGTCTATATCTATCATCAAAAAAAGAATATTTACATGAGGTTTCTTTTTTTTTTTTTTTTTTTTTTGAGACGGAGTTTTGCTCTTGTTGCCCAGGCTGGAGTGCCATGGCGTGATCTCAGCTCACTGCAACCTCCACCTCCCGGATTCAAGCGACTCTTCTGCCTCAACCTCCCGAGTAGCTGGGATTACAGGCATGTGCCACCACGCCTGGATAATTTTATACTTTTACTAGCGACAGGGTTTGTCCATGTTGGTCAGACTGGTCTTGAACTCCCGACCTCAGGTGATCCGCCCACCTTGGCCTCCCAAAGTCCTGGGATTACAGGCGTGAGCCACCACGGCCAGCTGAGGTTTCTTAATACTATTTCCAAGTAAGCTATTTTATGAACATTAAACCTCTATATCACATTGAAATATATGTTTTTCGAGAAAACTTTCTAAGAATAAATACATTTTATGCTGAGCTTATTTCTTTTGTTGGCTTCTTTTTAACAATTTCTGACAATCTGAGATTTTCTTTAGAGACATTTCTTTGTCTTGTGAGTGTAAATTATCTTAGATTTCTCCTGGGATGTTTGTATTGATCTTCAATGTTCTGGTCTTTCCATTTTTTCCCTAAAAAATAGTCCTGAATTAGTATAAGATTATTTAAAAATCATTAGATTCCATGTTTATGGGACACTGCAGCCATGCCTGATTTGTTCATCGAAGGATTGCCTATCCATATTCCAAATCCCTGAATAGCACTGATGAACTAGAAACATATGTTCTACAATTCACTGAGGGAGGTAATATTGTCACCCCTACCTATACAGATGAGGTTCGTGAAGGTTTCCTGCATCACATCTCTGTAGAGATCTTCTGGAAAGGATTCAACAAGGCCCACTCCTCCTGGGTGAAGTTCACAGCCACATCCTCAAAGGCCACTGGGTCCTGAAACATCTCACATGTGTAGAGGAGGATGGGTGAGAGTGACAGCACTGGGGGCCTAGACTCTATTCCCAAGAAGTTCTCATGATGCTGTGGACTCCAAACATTTATTCCCTGCCTCTGTCATCAGACCTCTTACTCCCCTGTCTACACTCACTTCCTCTCAAACAGCAACTTTGATGCCAGAGTGTAACTATGGGTAAAGCAACAGCAGAATAGGAAAATGTAGCCTTCTGCCACGTGAGGACACAGCAAGAGGATGGAGTTCATGAGGAATGGACCCTCTGGACATGGTACCTGCCAGTGCCTTGATCTTTTTTTTTTTTTTTTTTTTTTTTGTCTGAGATGGGGCCTCACTCTGTCACCCAGGCTGGAGTGCAGTGGCGCGATCTTGGCTCACTGCAACCTCTGCCTCCCGGGTTCAAGCAGTTCTCCTGCCTCAGCCTCCTGAGTAGCTGGGATTACAGGCACGCACCACCATGCCCAGCTAATTTTTGTATTTTTAGTAGAGACGGGGTTTCACCATGTTGGTCAGGCTGGTCTCAAACTCCTGATCTCGTCATCTGCCCACCTTGGCCTCCCAAAGTGTTGGGATTACAGGCGTAAGCCACCGTGCCTGGCGTGCCTTGATCTTAGACTTCCCAGCCTCCAGAACTATGGAGCTGAATTGGCCCTCCTCCCTTGGACCTGTGCTGGACTTAGTGACTCACTTCCAAAGAACAGAGTATGGAAAGGGGTAAAAATAGTAACTTTAAAGTGGAGAAACCTGACAAACACTGCTTCAATCAAGTGATCAAGGTTACTGTCACCAGGTGTATCAAGTGATGAGCCTGGACACTTCACCTTTGTGGCATTCTCCTGCAAAACACCTAACTCCAGTCTAATCATGAGAAAAATTCCAAATTGAGGAACATTCTATGGAATACCTGACCAGCACTCTTAAAACTGTCAAAGTGATTTTAAAAAACAAGGGAAGACTGAGAAATTGTCACAAAGCAGATCAAGGAGACATGAGAACTAAATACAGTGGGGTATACTGGATTGGGTCCTGGAATAGAAAAAGGATATTAGTGGAAAAACTGTTGAAAATCTGGAATTTCATTAATAGTAATATACAAATGATAACTTCTTAGTTTTGTTGGACCATGGTTATGTAAGATGCTCACATTAGAAGAAAATGGGTGACGGGTATATGGGAACTTTGTAGATTATCTTTGCAAGTTTTCTATAAATCTAAAATTATTCCAAAATAACAAATTTATGGCCAGGTATGGTAGCTCACGCCTGTAATCCCAGCACTTTGGGAGGCCAAGACAGGCAGATCACCTGAGATTAGGAGTTCAAAACCAGGCTGGCCAATGTGGCAAAACCCCATCTCTACTAAAAATACAAAAATTAGCCGGGTGTGGTGGCAGGCGCCTGTAATCCCAGCTACTCAGGGAGGCTGAGGCATGAGAATCACTTGAACCCAGGAGGCAGAGGTTGCAGTGAGCCAAGAGAGAGCCACTGCACTCCAGCCTGGACAACAGAGTGAGAGTCCATCTTGGAAAAAAAAAAAAAAAAAGAATAGGAAAATGTCTCTTTTTGGTGAATCCGGAGAGAAAGATGTGTTTCCTAGGTACCCCAATGTCTCTCTGTACATTGGGTGTGTAGCATCTTTTGTAACAGAGTCCTACTAATTCATGTGCAGAGAAAAAGCTCACAACAGCAGTCCTGAGACTACATATACTTGAAAATGTGTGTTCACAAAGTTTAACCTTTGATGGTATCTGGAAAGTGGATTTGATTCTCATTCAAACAGCACAGGCAAATCCAAAAACAAACAAAAACCGAATTTTGCATGGGATCTCACCAACCCAACTGATTAAGAGAGTCATAACTAACTGAAACAGAAACCCATGACCAAAACCATTATGGGAAATAATACTGGGGTAAGACAACATAAATTGTAATTGATGAAGTGCTGAAGGCTGAATGGGGACAAGGTTTAGAGGTAAAAACTCTGTGAGGGGGCAGTCTTAACAAAAAGGTAATGTGATTTATGAAAATTAAGAACTTTTGTGCAAGGGAACACACTATCAACAAGGGAAAAGAAAACTCATCAATTTGGAGAAAATGTTGGTAAGTCATATATCTGGTATGGTCTTAATTTTCAGCAAATATAAAGAATTTCCATAATTCAACTATAAAAAACACATCAAACATGCCAAATGGAAAGCTTTGATGAGCATGCTGACAAACTGGAACCTATGTACACTGTCCAAGGGATTGTAAAATGGCTTAGCTATGAAAAACAGTATGGCAGTGCCTCAAAAATTAAAAACAAAATTACCAAATGTTCCAGCAACCCACTTTTAGGTCGAATTATATTCAATTCAAAAGAATTAAAAGTAGGATCTCAAAGAAATATTTGAAAACCATCGATGGCTGGGTACAGTGGCTGATGCCTGTAACCCCAACACTTTCAGGAGGCTGAGGCAGGAAGATCAATTGAGCCCAGGAATTTGAGACCAGCCTAGGCAACAGAGTGAGATCCAATCTCTATAAAAAATAAAATAAAATGAATTGAAATCCATTGTTCACAACACCCAACAGGTAGATCAACCTAAATGCCAATCAATGGATGAATGGATAATGAAAATGTATATATATATACAACAGGATATTATTTATTCTTATAAAATGACATCCTGTCCCATACTACAACAGGCATGAAACTTCATGATACTAAGCTAACTGCAAAAGACCAGTCAGAAAAAGAAAAATGCAGTATGACTCATCTTAGAGAAGTTATATAAAATTGTCAAACTAACTCAATGGTACACTTAAAATGCTTGAGCTAGTAAAATTTTTAAGGTTTTTCTTATTGTAATTAACTAGAAAAATTATTGTACCAAAAAGGAAAACTAATTGACTAAAATATGGGCAATGGCGCGATCTTGGTTCACTGCAACCTCCGCCTCCCAGGTTCAAGCAATTCTCCTGCCTCAGCCTCCTGAGTAGCTGGGACTATAGGCATGCACCACCATGCCCAGCTAATTTTTGTATTTTTAGTAAAGACAGGGTTTCACTATGTTGGCCAGGCTGGTCTTGAACTCCTGACCTCATGATCCACCCGCCTCAGCCTCCCAAAGTGCTGAGATTATAGGCATGAGCCACCACATCCAGCCAAGCAATGGATTTTAATGACATTTCTCCCAGACATACACAAATGGCCAACAAACACATGAAAAGATGATCAATGTCAAGAATCAGCCATGGAGTTTTACCCAATGTCATTTTGGGTAGTTACTGAATAGTTTCCTCTCATAAAAAATATTCATAAACAAAATATAATTTTTTTCTTTTTAAAATTTTATTTATTTATTTAATAGAGACGGGGTCTCTCTATGTTGCTGAGCTGGTCTTAAACTTCTGGACTCAAGTGATCCTCCCACCTCGGCCTGCCAAAGTGCTGGGATTACAGGTGTAAGCCAGCATGCCAAGCCCTAAAGTTTTTGTTTTTTTGAGGAAAATTTTCACCCTGTCTCCCAGGCTGGAGTGCAGTGGTGCCCTCAAGGCTCACTGCAGCCTTGGATCTTCGGGGCTCAAGCGATCCTCCCGCCTTAGTCTCCCGAGTATAGTAGCTGAGACTACAGGAATATGACACCATGCCCAGCTATTTTGTTTGGTTGTTTTCAGTAGAGATGAGATCTTGCTATGTTGCCCTGCCCACTCTGGTCTTGAACTCCTAGGCTCAAGCAATCCTCCCACCTGGGCCTCTGAAAGTGCTGGGATTACAGGAGTGAGTCACTGTGCCTGGACTAAAATTTTTAAAAAATGTTTTCTTTCCCGTGTCTCTACTAAAAATACAAAAATCTGCCGGGCATGTCGGCACATGCCTGTAATCCCAGCTACTTGGGAGGCTGAGGCAGGGGAATCGCTTGAACCCAGGAGGCCGAGGTTGCAGTGAGCCAAGATAGCACCATTGCACTCCAGCCTGGGCAACAGACACAGTGAGACTGTCTCAAAAAAAAAAAAAAAAAAAAAGTTTTCCTTATTTTCAGAGGTGTTGATAACATTTTTAAATAGTGCTATTCATTTGTCTGTGGAAAAATGATAAAATATGGCAGCTGTTTCAAATGTAGCATGGGAAACACATAATTGATAAGGATGTCAATTGGCGAGGGGAAGTTGGTGTTTTTGAATGTGAGGAGAAAACCAGAAATTTAGGGATTTACTGTCATACCTGGGAAGAACTAGGCTGGGAGAGGGGTCCCAAAAACTCCCTCTTTGATCAAACTAGTCAGGCTCCTCAGAGCCCCCCTCTTCTTGAGTAGACTTTGGCCTTTTCCTGCAGAGCCCTGTGGTAGCAAAAACCCTTCTAAGGGAGTTTAGAGAAAATTCCCCCAAACCTGATATCCAATCAAGTCCCTTTTCCCTACGTTTGACAATCTCTTCCCTAATTCTTGACACTAAACCAACTTCCATCCTCTCCCTCACCTTGCCTATTAGCTGTAAATTCAATACTGTCGTTGATGCAGCCTTCACCTCCTGGGCTCAAGCAATTCTCCTGCCTCAGCCTCCAGACTAACTACAGAAGCGGCCATCATACCTGACTAATTTTTTTTTTTTTTAACAGAGTCTCGCTCTGTCGCCAGGCTGGAGTGCAGTGGCACCATCTCGGCTCACGCAACCTCCGCCTCCTGCGTTCAAGCGATTGTCTTGCCTCAGCCTCCCGAGTAGCCGGATTACAGGCACGTGCCACCACGCCCAGCTAATTTTTGTATTTTTGGTAGAGTCGGGGTTTCACCATGTTGGCCAGGATGGTCTCGAATTCCTGACCTCGTCATCCGCCCGCCTCGGCCTCCCAAAGTGCTGGGATTGTAGACGTGAGCCACCGCGCCCGGCCATACCCGACTAATTTTTTAAAATATTTTGTACAGACGGGGTCTCGCCATGTTGTCCACGCTGGCATCACCTTGCCTTACGCTGGAATGTTAAATATACTCTTTTAAATTGGAAAGGAAATGAAACCCAAATGTAAAGAAAAAAAAAAAAAAGCTCTATGGGGGCGGGGGGAGGGGGGCGGGCCAAACTCTGATTAAATTGTTGTGCCTCACAAACTAGCCTTGTATAAAAAACGTTGTAATCCTGTTAAATTTCTTGCCTATATAAGCAAGAACTTAAACTTTTAAATTTGAAACACTGAGCCCATTTCCGTGGATCCTGTGTTTTCCCAAATGGGCCATTCCCAGCTTCTTGCTTGAGTAAACTTTAAAAAACTGGAATCTGATTCTTTTATTTCAGGTTGACAAGTCCACATACGGCGACAGCATCACTGTAACTAATCAAGTATTTAATCCTGTTTGCCTCCTCATGCAACTTATAAAAGCCTTTTCTTCAATCACAAGCCATGACCGGGTGTTTCTCACTCGGAATCGCTGTTGCTCCAACAAACTCTTTAACTGTTAACAGAGCCTCAGTTTAATTTTTAGCAGAAGAAAGGCGGGACACATCCGACCCCCCATGACCCTCCCGTGGCCCCCGCACAATCTGGGAAGACGCCGGGCTGCGGGCGCGGAGCTGCCCAGAGAGGACTCCGGGGCCGGGGCCGCAGTCGCCGCGTAGGGACGGGACAGGACGCCCGGGGTCCCAGCTGCGGGCCCAGCCCCACCTGGCGGCCGAGCGGACCGAGGGCCAAGCCACGCCATGGGGGACGCGGGTCCCAATCGCCGGGGTCGCCCGAGCGGAGGCCTGGGTCCCGCCACAGCAGGATCCTGTTGGTTCCACCCAGCCCCTCTTCCACGTATCTGGACGCTAGGCCGGGCACTTTACCATTTCCCTGCTTCTTGGTGTCCCGGCGTCCTCTTTATGACTCCGGAGCAGGTCACAGCGCAGGTGACAGCGTCACAGGAGCCGTGGCGGAGGCACCTGGGGCCTCTCGGAGCAGCAAGGACTGGATGCAGAACGCAACGGACCCCAGCAACAAAGGAGTGCAGAGACTCTGAGTGCGGCCTTCTGCTTCCCCGGATTGACAGTTGGCAGGGCCCCGTCCCAGGGCCCCTGATTGGATGGGGTTCCAGGCTCCGCCCCTCAGCCCTGAGTGACAGGGTAAGCCCTGGGTAACGGAGCCCTGCAGAGCCCGGCTGATTAATCCTAGCTACAGCCTTTCTAAGGCTAAGCTCACTCCCTGCGCCCTGGTCGTTGGCTATCTGCATTTCAGCCAAACTTGCTACTTATTGTTAGAAGGGGCACTGTTAGCTTCCTCGATCTTTCAGAAATGTGTGCTGGGAATTCCAGACTCGGTGTTCAATGGAGTCATTCCTTTGCCTCATAGCAGGAAGGAAATCCAGGCCAGGCCAGGCCAGGCAAGACTGCACCAGGAGGGAGAGGCAGGTGTCCTCTACAGGGCGGGAATTGGGGATGAGACTTCCTCACACTCCCCCCGTCCCACCCCTGAATATGGAACCGCTTCCTCCCCCTAGACTTCATTTTCACCAGCAGAAGTTCTCACCTGGGGTCAGTTTAAGCTTCTAACCTAAGTAAACTATTACCTTCACAAACCCTTTCTCCAGGTGACATGTCAGACAAATCTTACTGAGCCTGATCTTCACAGATTATCTTTGTATGTACAAATTACAGTCTGTCGCCGGGACCCTTTGCACGTAAAAACCAAACACTGCCCCCGCAAAACGTCCCTAGGCTCTAGGTACAGCCCCAGTAAGGACAGAACCTCCCCCCAACCCCCCTACACAAAGTGCACCTGCACGTGAGTCTCCTGCTTTCCAGGGCTCTGTAGCTTCTCAGGATCCACATTCCTTCCGCAGCTGTTCTGAGCAGCTGGAGGCCACCTGCAGTAGAGGGCAGGCTGCCCGGGAAACACCCAGGGGAGCTCCCTTTCCCTCCCTTTGCCGGCTCCAGACTGGCCTCAGCAGGGTGTCACTGGCCTTAGGCTCTGCTGCCCCCTACAGGTTATTCACTTCATTGATCGGTTACCTGAGACAAACACCCTCAGTTCCACTGTACGTATGTATAAAGTGGGGAAGGAAAATTCTAAGATAATTGAAGTGAATTAAAAGACTTGCAGGCAGGGTGCGGGGGCTCACGCCTATAATCCCAACCCTTTTGGAGGCTGAAGCGGGAGGACTGCTTGAACCCAGGAGTTCATCATCCTGGAAAACGGAGCCACACCTCGTCTGTACTAAAAATTTAAAAATTAGCAGTGCGTGGTGTCCTGAACCTGTAGTCCCAGCTACTCGGGAGGCTGAGGTGGGAAGATCTTGAGCCCAGGAGTTTGAAGCTTCAGTGACCTATGATCTCGCCACTGTGCTTCAGCAAGAGTTGTGATAGTTGTATCAGATAAAATAGACTTTAAATAAAAAACAGTACAAAAAGACAAAGAAGATCATGAGATACTGATAACAGAATCAATTCAGCAAGATAATATAGTAATACTAAATATATATGCATCCAACATTGGAGAGGCCAAATTAATAAAGCAAATATTTCTAGACCTAAAGAAAGATATAGATAGCAATACAATAATAGTATGGGACTTCAGCACCTCACACACAGTAGTAGATATATCATCAAGACAGACAATCAACAAAAAAATTGGACTTAAGTTGGACTTTGGACCAAATGGAGCTAACAGACGTTTACAGAACCCAACAACTGCAGAATATACATTCTTCTCATCAGTACGTGAAACATTCTCCAAGGTAGACCATATGTTAGGCCACAAAACTAGTCTCGACAAATTTTAAAGTCAAAATCATTTCAAGCATCTTCTCAGACTGCTGAATAAAACTAAAAATCAATACCAAGAGGAACTTTGAAAACTGTATAAATACATGGAAATTAAACAATGTGCTCCTGAATGATCTCTGAGTCAAAGAAGAAATAAAAACAGAAAATAAAAATTTTGTTTGAAATGAACAAAAATGGCAACACAACATATCAAAACCTCTGGGATATAGGAAAAGTCATGCTAAGAGGGAAGTTTATAGAATTATATGCCTCTGTCAAAAAAGTAACAAATTAACAACCTAACATGGTACCCCATGGAACTAGGAAAACAAGAACAAAACAAATCCAAAGTTGGCAGAAAAGAAATAACAAAGATCAGAGCAGAATTAAACAAAATCAAGACTAAAAAACAACACAAATGATAAACGAAACAAAAAGTTGGTTCTTTGAAAATATCAACAAAAGTAATAAACTGCTGGCTAGACTAACCAAGAAAAAAAAGAAGATTCAAATGAACAAAACCAGAATTGAAAAAGAAGACATTACACCAATACCACAGAAATACCATCAGAGACTACTATGAACAACTATATGCTCACAACCTAGAAAACCTATAGGTTTTTTTGAAACGTATAACCTCCCAGGATTGAACCAAGAAGAAACAGATATCCTGAATAGACCAATAATAAGTAGCAATATTGAATCAGCAATAAAAAAATTCCCAAAAATGAAAGCTCTGGGCCAGACAGATTTATACCAAAATTGTACCAAATAGGCCAGATGTGGTGGCTCATGCCTGTAATCATAGCACTGTGGAGCCTGAGACAGGAGGATTGCTTGAGGCCAGGAGTTTGAGACCACCCTGGCCAACATAACAAGATCCCATCTCTAAGTAAAAAAATAAAAATTTAAAAATCAACATTAAAAAAATTATACCAAACATACAAAAAGAACTATACTAATAATCCTGAAACTGTCCCTAAAAATCACAGACAAGGGAAATCTCCCTAACTCATTCTATGAGGCCAGTAACATCCTAATACCAAAAACAGACAAGGACACAACAACAAAACTACAGACCAATATCCCCGATGAACACGGATGTGAAAATCCCCAACAAAACACTAGCAAACTGAATCCAACCGCACATTAAAAAGATAATACAGCATGATAAAGTAGGTTTTATACCAGGAATGCAAAAATGGTCCAACACACACAAGTTAATATATGTAACACATCACAAAAACAGAATGAAGAATAAAAACCATATGATCATCTCAATAGATTTAGAAAACACACTTGATAAAATTCAGCATCCTTCATGATAAAAGCTCAAAAAACTAGGTACAGAATGAACATATCTCAAAATAATAAAAGCCACACATGATAAACACACAGCCAACATCATACTGAATGGGGAAATAGTTGAATGATAAAAACTAGAACAAGATTAAGGATGCCTACTTTCACCACTCTTATTCAACCCTAGTATAGGAAGTCTTGGCCAGAGCAATCAGGCAAGAGAAAGAAATAAAAGACATGCAAATTGGAAAAGAGGAAGTCAAATTATTCCTGTTCAGTGATATATAATCTTACATCTAGAAACGCTTAAGACTCCACCAAAAATCTCTTAGATTAGTTAAATTAATTCAGGAGTTTCAGGATACAAAGTCAGTGTACAAAAGTCAGCAGTGTTTCTATACAGCAACAACAATCTAGCTGAGAACCAAATCGAGAAAGCAATACCACTTACGAGAGCTACCAAATAACACCCCACCCCACATGGGAATATATTGCACCAAGGAGGTGAAAGGCCTCTACAAAAAGAAAAAATCTATAAAACACTGATTAAAGAATTACAGATGACACAAACAAATGGAAAAAACATTTCATGCTTATGGAAAGAACTAATATCAGAAGAATTAATTTCATTAATTATTCAGAAAGAATTAATATCATTAAAATGACTATACTTCCCAAAGCAATCTACAGAGTCAATGCAATTCTTATCAAAATACCAATGTTAGTTTTCACATAATTAGGAAAAACAATCCTAAAATTCATATAGAACCAAAAAAGTGCCCGAATAACCAAAGCAATCCTAAACAAAAAGAACAAAGTTGGAGGCAATGTTACAGGACAGGGGTCCCAATCCAGACCCCAAGAGAGGGTTTTCGAATTTCCTGCAAGAAAGAGTTCAAGGCAAGTCTGCAGTGCAAAGTAAAAGCAAGTTTATTAAGAAAGTAAAGTGGTGAAAGAACAGCTACTCCCCAGAAAGAGTTGGATGTTTCTGTAAGTAAGAGGAGGAACGCATCCACCCTAGGTACAATGATGCTTGTATATATGGGCAGATGTGCTCTGCTATAAGGGTCCATGATAAAGGATTAATTTTCTTAATTACTATATTTTGCAAGAATTGATATTATTATCTTTAAAGCAAAATTAGAAATGCCTTTGTTCTCCAGATATTGGGATATCTGGACACTACCAAGTCTGGGTCTTGGTAAACATTATTAATTTGTTCCTTTAACTGTAAACACCTAGAAGCGAGGTATGCCTAACTTTCTGGGAATGAAGCCCAGCAATTCCCAGCCTCACTTTCCTAGCCCTCAGAATGGAGTCGCTCTGGTTCGAATGCCTCTGACAGCAACACATTACCTAACTTCAAGTTATACTACAAGGCTATTGCAATCAAATCAGCATGTTACTGGTATAAAAATATACACAGAAATAAATGAAACAGAATAGAGAACCTAGAACAAAATCCACATATTTACATCCAACTGGTTTTTTACAAAGTCAACAAGAACATACATTGGGGTAAGGACACCCTTTTCAATAAACAGTGCTGGGAACACTGGATTGCCATACGGAGAAGAATGAAGCTGGACCCTGATCTCTCTCCATATACAAAAATCAATTCAAAATGTACTTAAATGTAAATCCCAAAACTATAAAAATACTAGAAGGAAATCTAAGGAATTCTCTTCTGGACATTGGTCTAGGCAAAAAATGCCGGATTAAGACCTCAAAAGCACAGGCAACAATAACAAAATAGACAAATGTGACTTAAGTAAATGGAAAAGCTTCTGCACAGCAAAATAAATAATCAATAAAGTGAACAAATAACCCGAAGAATGGGAGAAATTAATTGCAAACTATATATTAACAAAACACTAATATCCAGAATATACAAGGAACTCAAACAACTCAACAACAACAAAAACAACCCCATTAAGAAGTGGTAAAGGCTGGACATGGTGGCTCACATCTGTAATCCCAGCACTTTGAGACGCCGAGGTAGGCGGATCACCTGAGGTCAGGAGTTTGAGACCAGTCTGGCCAACATGGTGAAACCCCATCTCTACCTAAAATACAAAAATCAGCCGGGTGTGGTGGCAGGTGCCTGTAATCCCAGCTACTCAAGAGGCTGAGGCAGGAGAATCACTTGAACCTGGGAGGTAGAGGTTGCAGTGAGCTGAGATCATGCCACTGCACTCCAGCCTGGGTGAGAGACTCTGTCTCAAAAAAAATAAAAAAAAAAAGTAAAAAGTGGTCTAAGGACATAAATAGACATTTTTCCTTCCTTCCTTTCTTTTCTCCCTCCCTCCCCCTTTCTTCCTTCCTTCTTCCTTCCTTTCCTTTCCTTTTCCTTTCCCTTCCTTTCTTTCTTTTCTTTCTCTCTTTCTTTTTCTTTTCCTTCCTTCCTTCCTCTCTCTTCTTTCTTTCTTTTCTTTCTCTCTCACTCTTCTTTCTTTCTTTCTCTCTTTCTTCTTTCTCTTTCCTTTCCTTTCTTTTTTCAGAGACAGTGTCTCCCTCTGTCACCCAAGCTAGAATTCACTGGTACAATATTAGCTCACTCAAATTCCTGGGCTCAAGAGATCCACCTGCCTCAGTCTTCTGAGTAGCTGGGATTACAGGCACATGCCATGACACCCAGTTAATTTTTTTTTTTAAGAGACAGGGTTGGGCCGGGTGTGGTGGCTCACGCCTGTAATCCCAGCACTTTGGGAGGCTGAGGTGAGCAGATCATGAGGTCAGGAGTTCGAGACAAGCCTAACCAATATGGTGAAACCCCATCTCTACTAAAAATACAAAAATTAGCCAGGCATGGTGGCACGTGCCTGTAATCGCAGCTACTCAGGAGGCTGAGGCAGGAGAATCGCTTGAACCCAGGCGCCGAAGGTTGCAGTGAGCTGGGATTGTGCCACTGCACTCCAGCCTGGGCAACAGAGTGAGACTGTATCTCAAAAAATAAAAAAAAAAAGAGAGAGAGAGACAGAGTCTCACTATGTTGCCCAGGCTAGTCTCAAACTCCTGGCCTCAAGCAATTCTCCTGCCTTGGCCTCCCAAAGTGTGGGAATTACAGGCGTGAGCCACCATGCCCAGCTGATATTTTTCAAAAGAAGACATACAAAATAGTTAACAAGCATATGAAAAAATGTTCAGCATCCCTAACATCAGAGGAATGCAAATTAAAGCCAAAATGAGATACCATCTTACGCCAGTCAGAATGGCTATTATTAAAAAGAGGAAAAAATAACAGATGTTGGTGAGGATGCAGAGAAAAGGGAATGTTTATATGCTGTTGATGGGGATGTAAATTAGTACAATCTTTATGGAAAACAGTATAGAGATTTCTCAAAGAACTAAAAATAGAACTACCCTTTGATCCAGCAATCCCACTATTGGGTATCTACCCAAAAAACAAGAAATCATTATTTCAAAAAGCTACCTATACTTGTATGTTTATCACAGCACTATTCACAATAGCAAACAGATGGAATCAACCTAAGTGTCCATCAATAGATGATTGGATAAAGAAAATGTGTTATATATACACAATAGAATACTATTCAGCCATAAAAAGAATAAAATTATATCTTTTGCAGCAATATGAATAGAAGTGGAGGCCCAATCTTAAGTGAAACAACTCAGACATAGAAAGACAAACACCGCGTGTTCTCACATATAAGTGGGAGCTAAGTAATGTGCACACATAAACATAGAGTGTGAAATAATAGACAGTGGAGACTTAGAAGGGTGGGGAGTGGGAAGGGAGGAGACAATGAGAAATTACTTAATGAATACAATGTACTTTTTTCCAGTGATGGATACACTCAAAGTCCTGTCTTCACCACTATGCAAATATATCCATGTTACAAAATTACACTAGTACTACATAAATTTTTTCTTTTTTTTGGAGATGGAGTCTCGCTCTGTCACCCAGGCTGGAGTGCCATGGTGGGATCTCGGCTCACTGCAATCTCTGCTACCTGGGTTCAAGTGATTCTCCTGCCTCAGCCTCCCAAGTAGCTGGGACTACAGGCGCCACACCCGGCTAATTTTTTTTATTTTACTAGAGACGGGGTTTCACCGTGTTGCCCAGGCTGAACTCCTGAGCTCAGGCAATCCACCCACCTCAGTCTCCCAAACTGCTAGGATTACAGGGGTGAGCCACTGTGCCTTGGCCTTACATAAACTTATATGAATAAAATTTACATTTTTTTACTTCCTTTTTTATTTTTAATTTTGTGGGTACATAGTAAGTGTATATATTTATGGGTTACATGAGATATTTTGAAAGAGGCATGCAGTGCATAATAATCACATCAGGGTAAATGGGGTCATCACCTCAAGTATTTACCCTTTGTGTTACAAACAATCCAATTATACTCTTTTAGTTATTTTAAAATGTACAACTAAATTATTTTTTACTATAGTCAGCCTGTTGTGCTAACAAATACTAGGTCTTATTCATTCTTTCTCTTTTTTTTATATCCATTAACCATTCCCATTCCCCACCCCCTCTACCCTTCTCAGCCTTTGATAATCATCCTTCTACTCTCTATCTCTATGAGTTCAATTGTTGCAATTTTTAGCTCCCACAAATAAGTGAGAACATGTGAAGTTTGTCTTTCTGCACTTGGCTTATTTCACTTAACATAATGACCTTCAGTTACATCCATGTTGTTGCAAATGACATAATTTCATTATTTTTATAGCTGAATAGTATTCTATTGTGTATATATAACACATTTTCTTTATCCAATCATCATCGATGGACACTTAGGTTGATTCCATATGTTTGCTATTGTAATAAATAAATATGGGAGTGAAAATATCTCTTTGATATACTGATTTCCTTTCCTTCTCTTTGATATATTGATTTCCAATCCCACCCAGCTGTGGGATTGCTGAATTGTATGGTAGCTCTATTTTCAGTTTTATGAGAATCTTCCAAACTGTTGTCCATAGTGGTTGTACTAATTTACATTCCCACTAACAGTGTACAAGGGTTCCTTTTTCTCTACATCCTCACAGCATTTGTTATTGCCTGTCTTTTGGGTAAAAGCTATTTTAATTGAGGTAAGATGATATCTCATTGTAGTTTTGATTTGCATTTCTCTGATGATCAGTGACGTTGAGCACTTTTTTATATGTCTGTTTGCCATTTGTATGTCTTATTTTAAGAAATGTCTATGCAGATCTTTTGCCCATTTTAAAATCAGATTATTACATTTTTTTCTATAGAGTTATTTGAACTCCTTATATATCCTGGATATTAATCTATTGTCAGATAGATAGTTTGCAAGTGTTTTCTCCTATTCTATGGGTTGTCTCTTTGTTGACAGTTTCCTTTACTATGTTGTTTCTTTTTTAACTTGATGTGATCCCATTTGTTCATTTTTGCTTTCATTGCCTATGCTTGTGGGGTATTACCTAAGAAATCTTTGCCTACTCCAATGTCCTGGAGACGTTCCTCAATGTTTTATTTCAGTAGTTTCATGCTTGAGGTCTTGGGTTTAAACCTTTAATCATTTTGATTTGATTTTTGTATATGATGAGAGATAGGGGTCTAGGTTCTTTTTCCTGCATATGAACATTCAGTTTTCCCAGCACCATTTACTAAAGAGACTGTCCTTTCCCCAATGTACATTCTTGGCACTTTTGTCAAAAATGAGTTCACTGTAAATGTATAGATTTATTTCTAGGTTCTCTATTCTGTTCCAGTGGTCTATGTATCTGTTTTTATGCCAGGACCATGCTGTTCTGGTTACTATAGCTCTGTAGTATAATCTGAGGTCAAGTAATGTGATTCTCCAGTTTTGTTCTTTTTGATCAGGATAGCTTTGGCTATTCCAGGTCTTTTGTGGTTCCATATAAATTTCAGGATTATTTTTTCTATTTCTGTGAAGAATGTCCTTGGTATTTTGATAGGAATTGTATTTAATCTGTAGGTTGCTTTGGGTAGTAGGCACATTTTAACAATATTTATTCTTCCAATCCATGAACATGGAATATCTTTCCATTTTTTGTCCTTTTCAATTTCTTGCATCAATGGTTTATGGTTTTCATTGTAGAGATCTTTCACTTATTTCTTAGGTTAAATTAATTCCTAGGTATTTTATTTGTAGCTATTGTAAAGAGGACTTTCTTGATTTCTTTTTCAGATTGTTTACTGTTAGCATATAGAAATGCTATTCATTTTTGGCTTTTTAATTTTTATTTTTTTTCTCCCAGTGATCCTTGTTCTGAAAGAAATGCTACTGATTTTTATATGTTGATTTCGTATCCTGCAACTTTACTGAATTTATTGGTTCTAGTAGTTTTTTTGTGAAGTCTTTAGGTTTTCCCCAAATATAAGATCATGTGATCTGCAAAGAAGGATAATTTGACTTCTTCCTTTCCAGTTTGGATGCCCTTTATTTCTTTCTCTTATCTGATTGCTCTAACTAGGACTTCAAGTACCAAGTTGAATAACAGTGGTGACAGTGGGCATCTTTGTCCTGTTCCAGATTTTAGAGGAAAGGCTGTTTTTCTCCATTCAGTATACTAGTTGTGGGTCTGTCATATATGACTTTTTATTATGTTGAGGTATATTCTTTTTATACTCGGTTTTTTTGAAGGTTTTTTTTATCATAAAGGGATGTCAAATTTCATCAAATGCATTTTCAGCATTATTAAAATGATCATATAGTTTTTGTCCTTCATTCTGTCAATATGATGTATCACATACTATCCTTGCATCCCTGGGATAAATCCCACTTGGTCATGATAAATTATCTTTTTGATGTGTTGTTGAATTCGGTTGCTAGTATTTTGTTGAGGATGTTTGCATGAATATTCATCAGGGATATTGACCTATAGTTTTCTTAATGTGTCTTTGCCTGGTTTTGGTATCTGGGTAATACTGGACTCAGAATGAGTTTGAAAGTATTCCTTCCTCCTCTATTTTTTTTTTCTTGAGGTGGAGTATTGCTCTTTCTCCCAGGCTGGAGTGCAGTGGTGTGATCTCAGCTCACTGCAACCACTGCCTCTCAGGTTCAAGCGATTCTCCTGCCTCAGCCTCCTGAGTAGCTGGGATTACAGGCACGTGCCACCGCACCTGGCTAATTTTTGTATTTTTAGTAGAGACGGGGTTTCACCATGTTGGTCAGGCTGGTCTCGAACTCGTGTCCTCGTGATCTGCCTGCCTCGGCCTCCCAAAGGGCTGGGATTACAGGTGTGAGCCAGCGCACCTGGCCTCCTCCTCTATTTTTCAGAATAATTTGAGTAGGATTGGTATTAGTTCTTTAAATGTTTGGCTCATGCCTGTAATCCTAGCACTTTGAGAGGCTGAGGTAGGTGGATTGCTTGAGCCCAGCAGTCTGAGACCAGCCTGGGCAACACTGCAAAACTTTGTCTCTATAGAAATTAGTTGGGCATGGTGGCATGCACCTGTGGTCTCAGCTACTCAGGAGGCTGAGGCAGGAGGATCACCTGAGCCTAGGAGGTCAAGGCTTCAGTGAATCATGATTGCACAACTGCACTCCAGCCTGGGCGACAGAGCGAGACTGTCTCAAAAAAAAAAAAAAAAAAAAAAGAGTGGACATGGTTTAGTTTGAAAAGTCCTTTGGTAAGTTCAAGCCAAAGGCTGAGGGCTATTTAAAAACATTAGTCATGGAGTGGCAGAAAATTGTTTTGTTGTGAATTAGCAAACTGAATGTTGATCACATAAATTGGGTCATTCTTGCCAAACTCAACTATAAGAGTCAACAGGCCAAGGGGGAAAAGCACTCAGGGCACGTACCAATGCTCCAAGCATGTCATTCTCTGCCAAGCTGCTGAAACAGCCAGTTGTATCCTGAAACCGGTTTTATCTAATAGTTACTGAAACAACTTGCTGTGGCTCTAAGAATAGTTTTACTCATTGCCATCATTTCCCGATCAGAACTTTCCAACTCCCAAAAACCTTACTAGTGCCAATGAACTTTCTTGAAGAACCATATGTAACACTTCTCCTTTTCATGAAACCTCCAATGTTCTCTGTTTTTAAGACATACCAAAGACCACTTGGTCTGTGTGTATGCCCTGAATTACAAGTATTTCTTCCCAAATAAAATGTTTTAATTTCAGAAATTCATCTTTGACATATCTGGCTTTCTGACATTAGACACTTCCATGAGTCTACAGTCCCTTTTCTTCAGTTCTACGAACCAAAAAGCTCTGACAACTCTATTTTGTAAGGTAGGCATGAACCTGACATCAAGAAATAAGAGGCTATTTATTGGCTGTTTTGTTCTGTTTCAAGTATTTACTCATTTTGTTGTAGGAATATTAATGAGTTTGATCTCAGAGTGCTGTTTCAGTTTCTACTGAGAACACTACATTATCTATGATATATTAATTATCTCAGCTTCTTACAGATGAAATAACAGGCTCAAAGAGGCGCAGTGACTTGCCCAAGGTTGTTTCACATCTAGAGAGAGTAAAGAGTAGAATTGAGGTCTTCTGCCCCCTTCACTTGTTTTTTGTTGTTTTTTCCTCATTGCACTGTACTGCTTCCTCATGATATACCTCTGAAGACCATCTTGATAAATTCTTCTGTGTGGAAGAGTTTAAGCAATCACATTCATCTTATTTGACATTTTCTTCTATTTGAGACAGGGTCTCACTGTGTCACCCAGGCTGGAGTGCAGTGATGCCATCACGGATCATTGCAGCCTCAACCTCCTAGGCTCAAGCAATCCTCCCACCTCATCCTCTGGAGTAGCTAGGACTACAGGTACATGTCACTATGCCTGGATCATTAGAAAGAAAATTTTTTTGGTAGAAATTAGGTCTTGGTATGTTGCCCAGGCTGGTCATTCATAGGTGTTTAAAGTGTGATAAATGGATGATTTAAGTCTGATAGAACTTTTACACATATTATACATTTAAGCATATACACATGGAAGCTCCTGGGAGTTGGTTATGTTTACATGGTGGAAAAAAAACCCTTCAAAATAATTATTAGTTTGAGAAAAATACATCAATAAATAATTTCTACGTCAACACATTGTTTTTTGTTGTTGTTGTTGTCGAGATGGAGTCTCGCACTGTTGTCCAGGCTGGAGTGCAGTGGCGCCATCTCGGCTCACTGCAGGCTCCACCTCCTGGGTTCATACCATTCTCCTGCCTCAGCCTCCCGAGTAGCTGGGACTACAGGCGCCCGCCAACACGCCCAGCTAATTTTTTGTATTTTTAGTAGAGACGAGGTCTCGCCGTGTTAGCCAGGATGGTCTCGATCTCCTGACCTCAGGTGATCCACCCTCCTCGTCCTCCCAAAGTGCTGGGATTACAGGCGTGAGCCACCGCTCCCGGCCTTGTCAACACATGTTATATGTAAAAAAGCTAATCAAATGTGAGCTTCCAACAATTCCCTCTGCTTCATTCTTCTGACTTTCAACAGATCATGGTTAACACCAAGGGCTCTGTGTCTGAGGTTTCACATGTTTACGTCACCTATTTTAAATGGTCTCAACCTCACTCCACCACCACTGACCCATCAAATCATTTCCGCAGCTAAATCCGAAGTATTCTGTAAATAGCTTTCCCTTTCAAGGAGTCTAACTGGACTCAGGTTGAACTCCCTTGTGGCTCTCTCATGTTCCTTGATTTATTCATTTGAAATTGTCTTCCAGAGCCGGGCGCGGTGGCTCATGCCTGTAATCCAAGCACTTTGGGAGGCCGAGGCGGGTGGATCACGAGGTCAGGAGATCGAGACCATCCTGGCTAACACGGTGAAACCCCGTCTCTACTAAAAATACAAAAAATTAGCTGGGCGTGGTGGCGGGCGCCTGTAGTCCCAGCTACTCGGGAGGCTGAGGCAGGAGAATGGTGTGAACCCGGGAGGCGGAGCTTGCAGTGACCCGAGATCACGCCACTGCACTCCAGCCTGGGTGACAAAGCGAGACTCCGTCTCAAAAAAATAAATAAATAAATAGTCTTCCAGGAGAGATTGTGATATACTAAGTGAGGACCTCATCCATTTTATTTGCTTCTCTTCTCCCTAACCTGCTACACTACTTCTTCATTGAAGGCACAGAATATTTTAAACTGACCATCACTTGCTGTAAATTCTGGAGATCTCAGCACAATTCAGAAATCCACACCCTAAAGGAGTTATGTGTGGATGTTAATGCCATCCTCACCACGAGAGGGAGTTCGTTGTCTCTTTTTCTGCAAATCGGTGCAAAGCAGTTTTTTTTTTCTTTTGAGACGAAGTTTCGCTCTTGTTGCCCAGGCTGGAGCGCAATGGTGCGATCTCGGCTCACTGCAACCGCTGCCTCCCGGGTTCAAGCGATTCTCCTGCCTCAGCCTCCCGAGTAGCTGGGATTACAGGCGCCTGCCACCACGCCCGGCTAATTTTTGTATATTTAGTAGAGACGGGATTTCACCATGTTGACCAGGCTGGTCTTGAACTTCTGACCTCAGGTGATCCACCCTCCTCGTCCTCCCAAAGTGCTGGGATTACAGGCGTGAGCCACCGCGCCCGGCTTTCTTTCTTTTTTTTTAAATCTACGGGATAACACTTCATAAAAGTAACAGTGACACTATTCAGTTTGGTTCATTTATATGATTTGACTTTTCATAGGTTGTTAAGAAAGCAGTAAAGTCTGTGAACCTAATCGGATTTCCCTGACTCTGAAAAGTGTATTAAAAAAAATGTATATATGGAAAGGAGTAACTGAGGTGACAGAAAGACTTGCTGAGGAGGTGACATGTGGGATGGGACCTGAAGTAATGTATTAGTATAAAAAGTCAGGTCAGAGGATTCAAGGAAGATGGCAGAATAAAAAGCATGAAGAATCTGTATCCCCCACCTGGATTTGCATTGGCAGAATCCAACTCATGTAGCTATTTTGAAACTGCGGATACTATTAAAAGCTTGCAGCTTCCAGGGAAATAATTGGCTAATAAAATTGGGTTAATTTCGGTCAATTTCAACTCTTAGTTGAGTCAGCAGCCCTGACTCATTCCCCCTCCTCAGCTCCATGACAGGTAGCTATGCATAAGTTCTAACAGCAGTCTGCATGCAGTTTTGGGGGGCCAGGGTGGACAAAAAGGACCTGTCTTCCAAATATTGGGGATCTGCGCACTGCTTGATAATTGTTGCTTCTGATCACAGAGTTACAGACAAAGAAGTGGTGGTGACTGTTGCTGCTGCATCTCTCTCCATTTTTTGAAGGCCCTTCCCCTCCATCTGAAGTGACTTCCAGGCTGGTGCCTTTTATTTTTCCCTTAATGCTTTTATTCCTCTCCTTTTGAGAGCCACTGAAGATTAGGTTGTGCAAAAATAACCATACATGCAGAGAAAATTAGACAGTTACCACACATGCCCAGGGACAGGTGCAACTAAGAAAAGACCTGAGAAGAACTTAAGTTTACACCTTAGGCTGTTCCTCAGCCCACAGACACCTGACAATAGTGTTATTTTAAAACTATCTTATATATTTTCTTTTATTGATACATATTTTACATATATATAAGGTACACATGAGCATTTCTTGCATGCATAGAATGTGTAATGGTCAAGTCAGCGTATTTGGGGTATCCATGATCTTGAGTATTTACCACTTCTATGTGTTGGTAACATTTCAAGTCCTCTCTTCCAACTACTTTGAAATATGCAATATATTTTTGCTAACTATAGTTCACTCTAGTATGCTTTCTAACATCAGAACTTATTCCTTTGATCTAAATGGAAATTTGTACATATTCACCAATTTCTCTTCATTTCCCCTTCTCAGCCCCGGATAACTTATTCTATTCCCTATCTCCATGAGGTGAAGTTTTTCACCTCCCACATATAAGTGAGAACATGTGGTATTTGTCTTTCTGTGCCTGGCTTATTTCACTTACCATAATGACCTCAAGTTCCATCCATGTTGTTAGCAATAACATTTTACTCTTTTTTATGGCCAAATAGTATTCCACTGTGTACATAAACATTTTCTTTATCCCTGTGTCCACTGATGGATGCTTAGGTTAATTCCATATCTTTGTTATCATGAATAGTGCTGTGATAAATATGCAAGTGCAAGTATCTCTTTGATATACTGATTTCTTTTCCTGTGGTTATACTTGGTTTGCTGGATCATGTGGTGGTTCTATTTTTAGGTTTTTGAGAAATCTACATACTGTTTTCCACAGTAGTTGTTCTAATTTATACTTTCACCAACAGTGAAAGTTTTCTTTTCTCCACATCCTCATCAGCATTTGTTGTTTTTTATCTTTTTTAGTAAGAACAATTCTAAGTAGAGTATCTCATTGTGGTTTCAATTTGCATTTTCCTAATCATTAGTGATGTTGAACATATTTCCATATACTTTTTGGCCATTTGCATGTCTTCTTTTGAGAACTGTCTGTTCACATCCTTTTCCCACTTTAATGGGATTATTTATATTTTTTGCTGTTGAGATGTTTGAGTTCCTTGTATATTTGGATATTAGTCCCTTGTCGCATAGTTTGCAAATATTCTCTCATATTCAACAGGTTTTCTCTGCACTCTTGTTGTTCCCTTTACTTTGCACAGCTACTTTTTAGTGTAAGATAGTCTCATTTGTCTATTTTTATCTTTGTTGTCTGTGCTTTGAGGTATTAGCCATAAAATCTTTGCCTAAACCAATGTCCTGAAGTATTTTCAATATGTTTTCTTCTAGTAGTTTTACAGATTCAGTAGGTCCAATTGTTAAAGAATGTGATCTTCAGGTACAATCCTGTCATGCAACAAAGGCTCCAGGTCACTTGAAGGATAACAAAATGCCTATAACCACTGGAAGGTTTGGTGATGTAAAGAAAAAGAAGGAACAGCTTCCTATAATATTTGTAGCTAAAGCAGCTGCAATTATGGAGATGAAACCTTCAACACTTAAAGATCTTATACTCGCAAACTCCACAGATCCTGACATTGTTGCTGACATGTACACGTACTTAGGACAATGAATGACAGTTGTATTTGTACTGAACATGTAGACTTTTTTCTTGTCATGATTCCCTAAATAATACAAAAGCAACTTATACAGAATTTACAATGCATTGTGTATTATAAGTAATCTAGAAATGATTTAAGATATACAGAAAAATGTGCCTAGATTATATGCAAATATGCTGTTTTTAATATCAGGGACTTGAATATCTCTGAATATAGGTATTCCTGAGGGTGCTGGAATCAATTCACCTCAGAAACTAGAGAAGACTGTATTCAAAAGAAACTGAAGCTACTAAATGCTTTACCACATTGTTTACATTCATAGTGGTTCTCTGCAGTTTGAAATCTTTCATGTAACTGAAATGAATTAGGACTAGTAAATGCATTTCTACATTCCTTACAGTAGTAAGGTCCATTGCTAGTATGTTATAATAACCACCTTTGAAAGTTTGCTAGACAAAGAAAGTTTTTTCATATTCCTCACATTCATTATATATATATTTTTGAAGTATGAGTTTGGTCATGTTTTCAAAAGGTACTGAAAAAAATGGAAGGTTTTAGTACATTTTTATATTCATACAACTTTTTTCAGTGTGAGTCTCTTATGTATTTGTAAGAAGCTGAAAGTACTTAAGGCTTTCTCACATGTTCAACACTCATAGGGGTTTTCTCTAGTGAGTCATTTCATGTTTATGAAAGGAACTGATACAATGAAATGCTTCCCCACATTCTTTACACTTATAGGGTTTCTCCATACTGTGGGTCCTTTCATGTTTATGAAAGGCACTGGGACAATGGAATGGTTTCCCACATTCCTTACATTTATACGGCTTCTCTCCAGTATGAACTCTTTCGTGTATTCGTAAGTAACTTGAATGACTGAAGGCTTTACCACATTCCTTGCATTCATAGGGTTTCTCTCCAGTGTGAGTTCTTTCATGTCTTTGCACTGAACTGGGATAATCAAAGCCTTTCCCACATATCTTACATTTATGAGGTCCATTTCCAGTATGTGTTATCATGTGTCTTCGAAAGCTTGAGAGATCAGATAATGCTTTCCCACATTGCTGACAACCATAGGGTTTCTCTCCAGTGTGAGTCCTTTCATGTAGTTGAATGTAACTGGAAGACCTGAAGCCTTTCCCACATAGTTTACACTTATAGGGTCTCTCCCCAGTGTGAATTCTTTCATGTCTTCGAAATGAACTGGGAGAATCAAAGCTTTTCCCACATATCTTACATTTATGAGGTCCATCTCCAGTGTGCATTATCATGTGTCTCTGAAAGCTTTTCAGATGAGAAAGTGCTTTTCCACACTGCTTACATTCATAGGGCTTTTCTCCAGTGTGAGTCTTTTCATGTACTCGAATGTAATTGGAAGACCTGAAGGCTTTTCCGCATTGTTTACATTTATAGGGTCTCTCCCCAGTGTGAATTCTTTCATGTATTTGAAGGTAAGTGCAACAAATGAAGGCTTTTCCACATTGTTTACATTTATATGGCTTCTCTCCAGTGTGAGTAGTTTCATGATTTCGAAAGTAATAGAAATCACTAAAGGCTTTCCCACATTCACATTTATAGGGTTTCTCCCCAGTATGAGTTGTTTCATGCCTTCGACATAAACTGGGAGAATCAAAGGCTTTCCCACATACCTTGCATTTATGAGGTCCATCTCCAGTGTGCGTTATCATGTGTCTTCGAAAACCTGTGCAATCAGAGAATGCTTTCCCACAATACTTACATTCATACGGTTTCTCTCCAGTGTGAGTTCTTTTATGTCTTCGAACTGAACTGGGAGAAAGAAAGCCTTTTCCACATATCTTACATTTATGAGGCCCATCTCCAGTGTGCACTATCATGTGTCTTTGAAAGCTTCCAAGATGATAAAATGCTTTCCCACATTGCTTACATTCATAGGATTGTTCTCCAGTGTGAGTCCTTTCATATAGTTGAGTGTAACAGGAACAACTGAAGGCTTTCCCACATTGTTTACATTGATAGGGTTTCTCTCCACTGTGTGTTCTTTCATGTCTTAGAGTGGAACTATAAGCAGGAAACGCTGTAGAACACTGCTCATATTCATATGGTTTCTCTTCAGTGTGAGTTCTTCTAAGCATATGAAATAAACTAGGCCAAATAAAGGCGTTTCCACACAACTTACATATACGAGGTCCATCTCCATGGTGTGCTGCCATGTGTCTTTGAAGGTTTTCAAGAGAACTGAAGCTTGCACATTCCTTACAATCATAGAGTTTCTTTCCATGCTGAGGTCTTTCATGTATTTGAAAGCAGGGCTGATAACTGAAAGCTGTCCCACATTGTGTATGTGTATATGGCTTCTCTCCATATTCTTGATACTCACATGGTTTGTGTTCACTGTCAACTCTAACGTAGCAATTAAGAGATGAACGACCCATGAGGACGTCTGTACACTCACTGCTTTCCCATGGATCTACTCCAGGTATTTTCTCGTTCACAATACTGTCTTGAGTCTGGGTAAAGGGTCCTCCACATTGACTATTATCTTTAATTTCACAGGCTCTCTCTACCATATGACATCTGTAAAAAATAAGAAGTACATTAGTAAAGGTTTGTTTATAAATGATTTTGTATTAATAAGTATTGGATTTACATTTCTTTTCTTTCTTTCTTTTCTTTTTTTTTTCTGAGACAGGTTCTCGCTCTGTTGCCCAGGCTGGAGTGTAGTGGTGTGATCTCAGCTCACTGCAACCTCCACCTCCCGGACTCAAACCATCCTCCCACCCCAGCCTCTCAAATAGCTGGGTCTACAGGCATAAGCCACCACACATGGCTGATTTTTTTTTTTTTTTGAGACGGAGTCTCGCTCTGTTGCCCAGGCTGGAGTGCAGTGGCGCAATCTCGGCTCACTGCAAGCTCTACCTCCCCCGGGTTCACACCATTCTCCTGCCTCAGCCTCCCAAGTAGCTGGGACCACAGGCGCCTGCCACCACACCTGGCTAATTTTTTGTATTTTTAGTAGAGACGGGGTTTCACCATGTTAGCCAGGATGGTCTCGATCTCCTGACCTCGTGATCTGCCCACCTCAGCCTCCCAAAATGCTGAGATTAGATTTTTGTATTTTTTATAGAGACGAGGTTTCACCATGTTGCCCAGGCTAGTCTTGAACTCCTGAGCTCAAGCAATCTGCCCACCTTGACCTCTTGTAGTGCTGGGATTACAAGGGTGAGCCACCATACCCAGCCTTTCTTTTTCTTTTTCTTTTTTTTTTTTTTTTTTTGAAACTGGGTTTTGCTCTGTTGCCCAGGCTGGAGTATAGTAATGTGAACAGGGCTTACTGCGGCTTTGACCTCCTGGGCTCAAGCAACCTTCCTGTCTCAGCCTCCCAAGTAACTGAAACCACAAGCACAGGCCACCATGCCTAGCTAATTTTTGTATTTTTTGTAGAAAGGGCGTCTTGCCACGTTGCCCAGGCTGATTGAACACCTGGGCTCAAGCAGTCTTCCTGCCTCAGCTTCCCAAATAGTTGGGATTACAGGTGTGAGCTATCGCACCTGGCCTGGATTTACATTTCTAACATTATCATGCAAAGTGTAGGTCTCATGCCCTCTTTGAACATGAATGGACAGAATGATGTACAAGGTAACTCAACCCCAGCTGTTTTGAAGATAGTGACATTCATATGGGAATTCTTAATACTGTTTCCAAGGGAACTATTTTGCAGGCACTGAATAGCCATAGCCATGTCACATTTAAGTATATGTTTTTGAAGAAAATTTTCTAAGAATAAATAAATTTAAGGTGGGCTTGTTAATTTTCCTTGCTTCTTTTTAAAATTTTGGGCTGGTCACAGTGGCTCATGCCTGCAATACCTGCCTTTTGAGAGGCCAAGGCAGGAGGAACGCTTAAGGACAGGAGCTGGAGATGAGTCTGGTCAAACACAGCAAGACTCTATCTCTACAAAAACTAAATATGTAGCCACATGTGGTGGTGCATGCCTGTAACCCTAGCTACTCAGGAGGTTGAAATGGGAGGACCATTGAGCACAGGAGTCCGAGGCTACAGCGAGCTATGATCATACCACTGTACTCCAGCCTGAGCAACAAAGTGAGACACTGTCTCTAAAACAAACAAAATAAAATAAAATTTCTGGCATACTATGAATCACTTCAAGGACACAGCTTTCTCTTGTGAGTGCAAATTACCTTAGATTTCTTCTGAGATCTTTGTACTGATCTTCTTCTATATCATGATTTTGCCATATCATTCCTAAAAGTTAGAACCAGAAAAATGACTATAAATTATTATAAAATTATAGAAAGACTGTAAGATTTTATGTACACTACAATCATGCATGATTCACACACCAAACTACAGCTGAGTCTTCAACACAGGTTTGAACTGCACAGGTCTACTTACATATGAATTTCTTCAGTCTCTGCTACTCTTGAGACAGCAAGACCAACCCCTCCTCTTATTCAGTCTACTCAATGTAAAGACAATCAGAATGAAAACTTTGTAATGTTGTATTTTCTATGAATACTAAATAATGTTCCACTTACCTATGGTTTCCTAATGAATATTTTCCTTTTCTAGCTTACTTTCCTGTGAGAATATATAGCATGTAATACATATGACATATAATACATGTATTAATCAACTGTTTATGTTACCAGTAATGCTGCCAGTAAACAGTAGGCTACTAGTGGTTAAGTTGTGCGGGAGAAGATGTATGACTGCTTGGGTGGCTGGTTCAAGGGCCAATTATATACCCTTCCATATTTCAAATAATTGAACAGCATTGATGACCAAGAAACAAATGTCTCTAATTGACTAAGTGAAGACATGATGACATCCTTACCTATACAGTCCAGGTTTCTGATGGTTTCCTGCATCACATCTCTGTAGAGACTCTTCTGTGATGGACCCAGCAAAGCCCACTCCTCACAGGTGAAGTTTATAGCCACATCCTCAAATGCCACTGAGTCCTGAAATATTTCACATGTGCAGAGGAGGAATATTAAAACTGAAGGCACTGGGAATGTAAATTCACTTCATAACCTTCACATGATGCTGTGGTTTCCAAGCATTTATTCAAGAACATGGTAAACCCACTCTTATTCTCTCTTTACACTCATTTTATCCCACACAATTCTGATCCTAGAAATGAACATGTTTTGTAAAGTAACAGTTGAATAGGAACACGCCTCTTGTTGGTAAGTTAAGAAAGTGAGTCTTATTGCCTGAATCACTCCTCATTTCTATTTCTACAGTGGGTCTGCAGTTCTTGTCATGACAAAGTCCTACTACCTATTGTGCAAAAGAGAGTTACCAGCAAGAAGGCTCTCACCAGATGCCCAGCCTTGATGCTGGGCTTCCCACCCTCCAGAAGTGTAAAAAATAAATATCATTTCTTATAAATTACCCAGGTTAAAGTATTCTGTTATAAGCAACAAAAAACAGACTAAGCCATGAAAAAAACACTCTGAGGCCAGGCACAGTGGCACACACCTGTAATCCCAGCACTTTGGAAGGCCGCGGCAGGCAGATCACCTGAGGTCAGGAGTTCGAGACCAGCCTGACCAACAGGGAGAAACACTGTCTCTACTAAAAATACAAAAAATTAGCCCGGTATGGTGGTTCATGCTTGTAATCCCAGCTACTCAGGAGGCTGCGGCAGGAGAATTGCTTGAACCCGGGAGGCGAAGGTTGCGGTGAGCCGAGATTGCGCCATTGCACTCCAGCCTGGGCAACAAGAGAGAAACTCCGCCTCAAAAAAAAAAAAAGGGAAAAAACACTCTGGTCACTGTGTCTGTAATGAGTGACCCTTGTGCCTTGGGGGATTTAGCCTGTGCTATGTGACTACACTAAGAGAGAACATTTGGAAGCTAGCAACTGGTTTACTGTAGAACATATGTAGTTAAGTATGACAAAAGACTAATAAGGATATTTTACCATCCCAATGGAAAAATTAAACTTTATTAAGTAATGTCAAAGAAGAAAAGAAGGGCCAAGATTGCATATGTTCTTAGAAAAAAACTCAATGTCATCTCTCATGAATATCTATAATATTTCCCTAAATCCCTAAACAGACCTTTTTGTCATCATTAAAAATTACATGACCAAATCTAATAGAAGTCACAAACATCTAAAAATGCTAAAATCCTTCTAACCAAGAAAGCAACAGCTTTCCAAAAACAGATAAAGTATGGTGAATATATTATATTCAGTACCCTGTACTATTAACACAGAGATAAACAAATAGAATAAGGAAGGTGACAAATAGTAGGAAAGTTTTGTGGAGTTTTTATTTGTCCTTGTCCCAATCCCTCCTCACATCAGCACCAGTCTTGAAAACAGCAGACCAAATTTCCAATGTGGATCCCTAGAGAGAGCAGATCAGATCTTATTTGTAAGTTATTGCACCTTTGTATTTTTCAATCCATCTGTGGACTATCCAAAGGTCTGAAAGAAAGTTCTCTTTTTTATTTAATCAATGATGGAGCCTAATTAGGTCAAGCTTGGCAGGAACTGCTTCAAATTGTTGCAAAATACATAAAAAACCTTCAAACAACTGGGACAACAAATTATGATTAAGACATATGGTAGAACATCTAAGTCCTGGGAATAAAAAAGGAGAGAACAATTTCCCTCAGAAATTAGGGCATTCAGGCTGAGCGTGGTGGCTCACGTTTGTAATCCCAGCACTTTGGGAGGCTGAGGCAGGTGGATCACCTGAGGTCTGGAGTTTGAGACCAGCCTGGTCAACATGTCGAAACCCCGTCTCTACTAAGAATACAAAAATTAGTCAGGTGTGGTGGCGGGCACCTGTAGTTCCAGCTACTCGAGAGGCTTAGGGACAAGAATCGCTTGAACCTGCGAATCGGAGGTTGCAGTGAGCCGAGATTGAGCCACTGCACTCCAGCCTGGGCGATAAAGCAAGATTCCGTCACAAAAAAAAAAAAAAAAAGGCTGGGCGCGGTGGCTCATGCCTGTAATCCCAGCACTTTGGGAGGCCGAGGTGGGCGGATCACGAGGTCAGGAGATCGAGACCATCCTAGCTAACACGGTGAAACCCCGTCTCTACTAAAAATACAAAAAATTAGCCGGGCGTGGTGGTGGGCACCTGTAGTCCCAGGTACTCGGGAGGCTGAGGCAGGAGAATGGCATTAACTCAGGAGGCGGAGCTTGCAGTGAGCTGAGATTGCCCCACTGCACCCCAGCCTGGGCGACAGCGCGAGACTCCATCTCAAAAAAAAGGGGGCATTCAAAAGCACTCCAGTGTTTTGGGGAATTGAGAATGCATGTACTGGAAATGCATGCACTGGAAAAAACACATTTTCACAAAAGACCTGGGGAGGCCCTCATTTTCAGCTCTGCATCATCTCTCAGTTTGGTAAAACAGAAAGGTAAGGCTAAAGCAGAGTTTTAAGCAGTCTGGCTAAGTGTTCACCAAATACTACATCACAGACCCATCCACAAAGACTGGAAGAGGTCAGCTTTTTGTTTGGCATGTCTTTTTTACTTTTAGCTGCTAGCATTCAGGAAATCTATCAGAATACTGGATGAACACAAGCTAAGGGAACAGAGACTTCAGTGACTACACTGGACAGAGAACACAGTCTCTGCAGACATGCTCTGAAAATGTTACTAAACAAATGAATAATTAAAACCTTCCACAAACCAGAAGGGCAAACAGTGAAGGGAATCTGATTTCCAGATTATAACATTCAAATGTCTGCTTTACAACACAAAAAATCCATAAAGACTATAAAGAAGAATAAAAATATAGCTCATCAATGGAAAAAAAATTTAATTTAGATAAACCATCTCTGAGAACCTCAGACATTAGACTTATTGAATAAAAACTTTAAAGCAACTGTCTTAAATATGTTCAATGAGGTAAAGGCAATTATGAACAAAGAACTAAAAGAAAACCAGAAAAGGGATGTATGAATAAAATCATATCAATACAAAATTAGAAATTGGACCATATTTAATTTATGCAACTGCAAAGCACAACATCTAAAATGAAAATTTCTCTATAGATGTTCAACAGATGTGAGCAACCAAAGTAAAAAATCAGCTAAAATGAAGATAGAACAATTGAAGTTATTTAGACTAAGGAGAAAAAAAAGGAATGAAATTGATAGAATGTATGATTGATACAACTGTCTTGCTAGTAATGTTAAAAGAAGTTCATCGGAGAGAAGAAAAATTAAATAGATTAGAAATTTGGATCACACACCCACACACGAAGACTCTTAGAATTAAATGAAGACATTTGAAATTCTTTAGTTTTCTTATACCTATCTGATCTAATATAATAGATACAGGTTTGTTCAACATAATAATATCAGCAATGTATTGGGCAATACAATAGAGGAATTCAGAATACTTTGTTATATCAGCACTACCCCTGAAGCCGGTATAGTGTTATTTGAAACTGTAGGCTCATTAGTTGTGAATAGTATTCTACCAACTCTAGTGAATTCACTAATAACATTTAAGAAACAAAGAGATTTACTATACTCATAGAAGCAAGCAAATGGAATCATATACATGCTCAGTCAAAATGAAAGAAGGCAGAAAGGAGAAAGTGGAAAAAAACAGATAATGTACAATAAATGGAAAACAATAACATATATGTGATATTAATCCAATTACATCAGTTATGACATAGAATGTGTATTACCTATATTCAACAGTAAAAAAGGCAGGGACTGGCAGAGTATAATGAAAAAGAAGGCCCATCGATGTGCACAAGAAAACCATTTTAAATAGAAAGGTTTGGATAAATATATGCAATTCTAGCCCTAATCAAAAGAAATATGGAACACTGATACTAAATTCAGACAAATAAGATTTTAGGTCAAAAAAATTACACACGATGGAGATATTTCATAATGATAAAGAGATCAATCCTACAAGACATAATAATCCTTAACATTTATGCCCATAAACACAGATCATGAAAATACATAAGGCAAAAACTTATAAAACCACATGACAAAATACACAAATCTACAACTATAGTTGGAGAAAAACAACTCACCTCTTTCAATAATTGACAGATCAGTTTGGCAGAAAATCACTAATGATACATGTGAACTCAAGAATACTATTAATCAACTAGATTTAATTGATGTGTATTTACAGATTCTTTCATTTTACACCAGCAGGCTACACATTATTTTCAAGCCCTCATGAAGTATATACCAAGATAGACCATATTCTGAATCATAAAACACACTTGAACACATTTTTAAAAATAGAAATTCTATAAAATATGCGATCAAACTATATTATAATTAAAGTAGCAATAAATAACAGAAACATACTTGAAAAGCCTAAAAACCTGGAGATTTAAGTGACAAGCCTCTCAACTATAAAAGCGTCAAAGAGAATTCTCAAGCAAATGTAAATATTGCAATGTTGATAAAAAAAGAGTATATCATAGCAAAATTTTTAGAATGTGCTTAGAAGGAAATGTAAAGAATTGAAAGCAGGCCGGGCGCAGTGGCTCACACCTGTAATCCCAGCACTTTGGGAGGCCGAGGCGGGCGAATCACGAGGTCAGGAGATTGAGACTATCCTCGTTAACAAGGTGAAACCCTGTCTCTACTAAAAATACAAAAAATTAGTCGGGCGTGGTGGCAGGCGCCTGTAGTTCCAGCTACTCGGGAGCTAGGCAGGAGAATGGTGTGAACCCAGGAGGAGTTTTGCTTTGTTGTCCAGGCTGAAGTGCAGTGTTATTATCTCACTGCAACTTCTACTTCCTGGGATCAAGTGATCCTCCCACCTCAGCTTCCTGAGTGGCTGGAACTCCCACTACAGCCTCCTGAGTGGCTGGATGTGCCACCCCATCCTGCTAATTTTTTGTGTTTTCTGTAGAGATGGGGTTTCACCATGTTGCCCAGGCTGGTCTTGAACTCCTGGGTTCAAGCAGTCTGCCAATCTTGGTCTCCCAAAGTGCTGGGATTGTGGAAGGTTTTAATTATTCATTTGTTTAGTAACATTTTCAGAGTATGTTTGCAGAGACTGTATTCTCTGTCCAGTGTAGTCACTGAAGTCTCTGTTCCCTTAGCTTGTGTTCATCCAGTATTCTGATAGATTTCCTGAATGCTAGCAGCTAAAAGTGCTGGGATTACACATGTGAGCCACCATGCCTAGCCTACCAGTGCACCCAGCCTGGCCTGGTGTAGGGACCAGCCCCACAGGGTCGGTGAGTTTCTCCCCATGTGCGGTGACGAGAGAGCGTAGAAATAAAGACACAAGACAAAGAGATAAAAGAAATGACAGCTGGGCCCGGGGACCACTACCACCAATGTGCGGAGACCAGTAGTGGCCCCAAATGTCTGGTTGCACTGTTATTTATTGGATACAAAAGCAAAAGGGGCAGGGTAGAGTGTGAGTCATCTCCAATGATAGGTAAGGTCACGTGGGTCACATGTCCACTGGACGGGGGCCCTTCCCTGCCTGGCAGCCAAGGCAGAGAGGGAGAGGAGACAGAGAGAAAGACAGCTTACGCCATTATTTCTGCATATCAGAGACTTTTAGTACTTTCACTAATTTACTACCGCTATCTAGAAGGCAGAGCCAGGTGTACAGGATGGAACATGAAGGCAGACTAGGAGTGTGACCACTGAAGCACAGCATGACAGGGAGATGGTTACGCCTCCAGGTAACTGCGGACAAACCTGACTGATGTCAGGCCCTCCACAAGAGGTGGAGGAGCAGTCTTCTCTAAACTCCCCCGGGGAAAAGGAGACTCCCTTTCCCGGTCTGCTAAGTAGTGGGTGTTCCTTGACACTTTTTGCTACCGCTAGACCACGGACCGCCTGGCAACGGGCGTCTTCCCAGACGCTGGCGTCACTGCTAGACCAAGGAGCCCCCTGGTGGCCCTGTCCAGGCATAACAGAAGGCTCACACTTGTCTTCTGGTCACACCTCACTATGTCCCCTCAGCTCCTATCTCTGTATGGCCTGGTTTTTCGTAGGTTATGATTATAGAGTGAGGATTATTATAATATTGGAATAAAGAGTAATTACTGCCAACTAATGATTAATGATATTCATATATAATCATATCTAAGATCTATATCTGGTATAACTATTCTTGTTTTATATTTTATTATACTGGAACAGCTCGTGTCCTCGGTCTCTTGCCTCGGCGCCTGGGTGGCTTGCTGCCCACAGCCTGGGACTTTTATTATTTATTGATTGAATTTCTTCAATAGTTATAAGCCTTTTCATATTAATTAGTTCTCCTTTTGTGAGTTTTGGTAGCTTGTGTCATTCAAGGAATTGGTCCATTCCATGTAATTTATCAACTATGTGGGCATGCAGTTGTTCCTAATACTCCTTTGAGGTCCTTTAATGTACACAAGATGAGTAATCATAACCCCCCTTTCTTCTGAGTTAGCTTGCCTATGGGCTTATTCATTTTATTGATCTTTTGAAGGAACCAGCTTTTGGTTTGTTAATGTTTTCTACTGATTTCTTGCTTACTATTTCATTAATACCTTCTCTCATTGTTATTTTCCTCTGCTCGATTTACATGTATCCTGCTATTCTTTCTTTAGTTTCCTAAAGTGGAAGGTTTTTAAGCATTGGTTATATATCTTTGCTTTCTAGAGATTGCATTCAATTTTTTTTTTTTTTTTTGAAACAGAGTTTTGTTCTGTCACCCAGGCTATAGTGCAGTGGTAGGCTAGGCGTGGTGGCTCACACATGTAATCCCAGCACTTTGGGAGGCCAAGATCAGCAGACTGCTTGAGCCCAGGAGTTCAAGACCAGCCTCGGCAACATGGTGAAACCCCATCTCTACAGAAAACACAAAAAATTAGCAGGATGGGGTGGCACATCCAGCCACTCAGGAGGCTGTAGTGGGAGTTCCAGCCACTCAGGAGGCTGAGGTGGGAGGATCACTTGATCCCAGGGAGCAGAAGTTGCAGTGAGATCATGATACTGCACTTTAGCCTGGACAACAAAGCAAAACTCCACTTCAAGCAAACAAACAAACAAAAAGTCCCAAGAAAAAGGAACAGGCCAGCATGGTTTCACTGTTGAATTCTGGAAAACACTTATGGAAGAAATGACACCAATTCTCTATAATCTCTTTCAGAAAATACAAGCAGAGGGAACACTTTCTAATTCATGTTGTAAGGCCAACACTGATAATATGGTTTGGCTCTTTGTCACCACCCAAATCTAATCTTCAACTGTAATCCCCATAATCCCCATGTATCAAGGGAAGGACCTGTGGGAGGTGACTGGATCATGGGGGCGGTTTCCCCCACGCTGTTCTTGTGATAGTGGGTTCTCATGAAATCTGACGGTTTTATAAGTGTTTGACAGTTCCTCTTTCACATGCTGTCTTGCCTGCCACCATGTAAGAAGTGCCTGCTTCCCCTTCCGCCACAATTGTAAGTTTCCTGAGGCCTCCCCAGCCATGAGGAACTGTGAGTCAATTAAACCTCTTTTCTGGTAGTTCTTTATAGCAGTGTGAAAATGGACTAATACAACTGCCTTAACACCAAAACTAGACAGACATTACAGACATATCTCCACCATGTGAGGGCATAACAGGAAGAATGCCATCTGCAAATCAAGAAAGAGGCCCAGGCTGGGCACGGTGGCTCACACCTGTAATCCCAGCACTTTGGGAGGCCGAGGTGGGCAGATCATGAGGTCAGGAGATCGAGACCATCTTGGCTAACATGGTGAAACACCGTCTCTACTAAAAATACAAAAAATTAGCTGGGGTGGTGGCATGTGCCTGTAGTCCCAGCTACTTGGGAAGCTGAGGCAGGAGAATCACTTGAACCCAGGAGGCGGAGGTTGCAGTGAGCTGAGATCATGCCACTGTTCTCCAGCCTGGGCAACAGAGCAAGACTCCATCTCAAAAATAAAAAATAAAAAAAAAAAGAGTCCTTTAGTAGACAACTGACCTGCTGCTTGAAACTGAATTCTCAGCCTTTATAGCTTTGAGAAATGAATATCTGTTGTGTAAGGCATGCAGTCTATGGTAAATTTGTTATAGCAACCCAAAGGACTAAGTTAGGAAGGGTCTTTCTCTACCACACATCAAGGCTTTGAAGACTATAGTAATCAGGAGAGTATGATATTAGCAGACTGATGGATACATAAACCAATGAAAAATGGCAAATTCTGGAACAAGAGCATCTACTTAAGGTACAAGAACCTATGACACAGCAGGTATTGCCAGGCAGTGATACAAATGAGGGACACTTCAACAGAAATGATGGAGACAAATGGTTACCTACAGGAGAATAATCCATCTTCTGCCCAGCATCTCCATATACAATGATCAACTAACTATAGACTTTCCAGTTTTCATTAATTTTTACTCAGTTTGTTACCTCAGCTTCCATTTTGAGTGTGGTTTCGTTTTTCCATACCAAAAAAGGGGTTTTATGACCCTTGACACAGTTTCTAGTTCTCTATCTTCTCCCAGTTCTTCAATTTGGTTGATCCATATGCATCCCTTATACCATCATCTCCTTTCACCACCTCCCTATGGGTGCAGAGTGTGTCAAGTCAGGTCCTCCTATCACCTGGAACATCCCCCATCACCATGCTGCTCACCGAAGTGCTCAATAACCATGATCCCAGGAGACACTACATTGTTAGCTTTTCAGGTTCTTGCACCACCTCAGTGGAGTTGGTTTTCCTGTCCTTAGGGATAGTTTTCTCCCTTCATTAGTCTGAGAACATCAGAAGGGAAGAATCATTTCAGTCCTGTCCCCTTAATACCACCATCCAATTGGCTGACCAGCCATATATCCCCAAGGAAGGGATGGGGGAAGAAAAGCTGAGTGTTCTAAGGAAGTAGCTTATTGAGGAAGGGTATACCAGGAGACTCCTCCCACTACAGGGCATCATGCTGCTTCCCTACAAGGTCCCACCATCTCCACCTCAGGGTGTCCTCTGGGAGGAGTGACAAAGGGACTGATATTCACTTGACACTACAAGAGACTTGGCAGCTGTGGGCATCTTGGGGTGGCCCCAGGCAGCTCTGAAACCCAGGACCAGGAAACCATAGAGGATGGGCTGGGGACTCATCACTCTGTAACGTTTCCAAAGAGGAAACTTAATCCAAAGACATTCTCAAAAGGTGTCTCTGTCTAGGGATGATGAAGGGAGGACAGTAACAAAGATTTTATTTATTAATATTCATTTTTTTTACAGCGAAATGTCTGGTGGTTTTTCTCTGCTTCCTCTCATGTGAAATGTTCACAAACACAAAACCTTTTACAAAGAGCCATATATTGCTATGTATAAACAAAATGACAATTAAAATACTAGCCTCTGTTTGAAAAATAAACTGGGGGACAAGGAGTTCATAAAGTTGCTGTGAATTGAGGAGAGAAAGCCTGAGGAAGGCTCTGGAAGCCAAGGGATTTTCTGTCGGCCCTAGGAGGAGTTAGGATGAGAGAACACAGTGGTGGACTTGAGACCCTGCTGCCCACATCTTTGGAAGACTCGAAGGCGAACGGGTCACCCTTGGGAAGAAAGAAGGGACAGGGGACCACACAGACCACAACTCCTCCCACACACAAACCCCACACACGAGTCTGCCTGGTGACCTGTCATCACCGTGCAGCCTCCTCACCGGGTTCACAGAACTGCGAGCCAGGCTGGAGGCGAGATTGCAGTTAGATATTAACCAGGTGCCCTCAGCCCCGCTGCCTCGCGGGGCCGCCTCCCCAAGAGTCAGGCCACAGCAGATGCTGACCGCCGGCTTCGCCATTGTGCTTGGGGATGAGATCTCTGAGAGTTGCTCAAGAGTCGCCTGAGTTCTTTCTCAGATCCTGAATTCCAGCGGAAAGGCTGGCGCCAACCAGGCTGAAGACCCCACAAGGGAACCCACTCAGCAGAAGAATGCGGTTTCTTCACCTCCAGTCCCAAGAGTCACCCCTCACTTCCCCACCATCCAGCGACCCCACGCCCCAGCCGCCCCTGTCCACACCCCTAAACACCCCATCCCCAAACCTCTCAGGAAGGCGGATCTGGGGTGTCCTCCCCTCTCCCCCTATTAAACTGTTTCTGCTGCAGCCCTCGGCGTCTCGGTGCAGTGACTCGGGCCGCGAACCTGTGCCGGTTACAGCCGCACAATCTGGGGAGACGCAGGACTGCGGGCGCGGAGCTGCCCAGACAGGCCTCCAGGGCCAGGGCCGCAGTGGCCGCGCAGGGACGGGACAGGACGCCCGGGGTCCCGGCTGCCGCCCCAGCCCCATCGTGCGGCCGAGGGAACCGAGGGCCGAGCTGCGCCAGGGTGTCGCCGGCGGGGAAGACCTGGTGCCACCACAGCCGGTTCCGGCCGGTTCCAACCAGTCTCTCCTCTCACGCGTCGGGACACCAGACCTCACACACTCACCATTTCCCGGCTTCCGGCGTCCAGGTTCCTCCCTCTGCCTCCCGCTGTCAGTGCGGGTCCCAGCGAGACAGAAGCTGCCACAGACGTTCCAGGGCGTCTCTCAGTGACAGAACCCGGAGCCCAGTGCAGGGGCGTGGAGAAGACTCGGCGGGCTCTTTGAACCTTGCACCCTCCTCCGGTCAGTGCGCCTGATTGACAGTTCTCACGACCCCGCCCCGCGGCCCTGATTGGATAGTGCGCCAGGTCCCTCCCCCGGGCACTGAGTAACGGAAGAAGCGATCTCGGGCAGCGGAGTGGAACCTGATAAACAGATTCCAGACAGGCCTTGAGAGGACTAGCTTCCTCCCTGCGCTGTGACCTGACCCCCTCCCAGGGGACATTTGCATTTAGGCAGTATGTCCTGACCTTCCTCCTTTTTCCTCTTGGACAGGGACCCACAAGTCTGTGCAGGAAATTCCAGACTCACTGTCCAGTGGAGCTATCCCCTGATTTGAGAGCAGGAAGGGAGCCCAGGCCACACTGCAGCAGAAGGGAGGGGCTGATGTCCTCCAGGAATCAGGAGTTTTGGATGAGGCTGTTGGCTGCACAGGCCAAGCCTTTCTCCCACCTTATGTCTCAATCTACTAATTTTCAGTGCAGAATATAAAAACACCCCAACAAAGCCGGGCGTGGTGGCTCACACCTGTAATCCCAGCACTTTGGGAGGCTGAGGCAGGTGGATCACCTGAGGTCAGAAATTCGAGACCAGTCTGGCCAACATGGTGAAATCCCGTCTCTAAAATACAAAGATTAGCCGGATGTGGTGGCGCACGCCTGTAGTCCCAGCTACTCAGGAGGCTGAGACAGAGGAATCACTTGAACCTGGAAGGCAGAGGCTGCAGTGAGAGAGTGGGCGAGACAGAGGGAGACTCCGTCTCAAAAAAAAAAAAAAAGAAAAAAGAAAAAAGAAATAAATAAAATTGTTAAATGTGTGGAAAAACTGGAATTATATGGCGGCAATATTTTATAAAGCAAAAACTTGAACTAGCTCAGATAAGCAGCCTGCTGCATCCACACACAGTTCACAAGTCAACCACTTTCAGGAGGCCAAACATATTCCAAAGCTTGGAGGCCAGACGATAATTCCTGAAATGGAGCCCTAGGGTGGATCAGAACCTGGGGATGAGTCAGGGGCACTAATGGATTTAACTCTGGGAGTTCAATTTGCCCTCCTGTCTCCTAAACACAGCGTGGAAATGCTCCTTCCATCAAGCCTATAAATGTTATTGAATTAAATGCTTCAATCAAAGGCTGAGACATTAGACTTTGAATTTGAAAACATTCATCTTCATATTTTTATGAAGAATACCAGATATAAAAGCATTATGAGGCCAGGCACCGTGGCTCATGCCTGCAATCCCACCACTTTGGGAGGCTGAGGTGGGTGGATTGCTTGAGCTCAGGAGCTCAAGACCGGCCTGGGCAATGTGGTGAAACCCCCATCTCTATTTAAAAACAAACAAAAAAAAAGCGTTATTAACTGGGAGCTGGCACCCATGGTGATACGAAGAAAAAGAGGTTTAATTGACTCACAGTTCAGCATGGCTGGGGAGGCCTCACAATCATGGTGGAAGGCAAAGGAGGAGCAAAAGCAAATGTTACATGGCGGCAGGCAAGAGAGCGTGTGCAGGGGAACTGCCCTTTATAAAGCCATCGGATCTCATGAGACTTACTCACCCAAATCTCATTTTGAATTGCAGCTCCCATAATCCCCACATGTCATGGGAGTGATCCAGTGGGAGGTAATTGAATCATGGAGGCGGTTTTCCCATGCTGTTCTCGTGATAGTGAATAAGTCTCATGAAATCTGATGGCTTTATAAAGGGCAGTTTCCCTGTACATGCTCTCTTGCCTGCCGCCATGTAACATTTGCCTTTGCTCCTCCTTAGCCTTCCACCAACACCTGACCAAATGGATATGACATCTACAGAACTTTCCACCCAAAACCAACAGATTATACATTCTTCTCCTCACCACATGGCACATACTCTAAAATCAGTAACATAATCAGACATAAAATAACCCTCAGCAAATTAAAAAAACAAGCAAACAAAATCATACCAACTGCACTCTCAGACCACAGTGCAATAAAAATAGAAATCAAGACTAAGAAAATCTCCCCAAACCATACAATTATATCAAAATTAAATGACCTGGTTCAGAATGACTTCTGAGTAAATAATGAAATTAACACCAAAATCAAGAAATTCTTGGAAACTGAGAAGAAAGATACAACATACCAGAATCTCTGGGGCACAGCTAAAGAAGTGTTAAGATGGAAATTTATAGCACTAACTGCCCAAATCAAAAAGAAAGATCTGAAATTAATAACCCAATATCACAACTAGAAGAACTAGAGAAGCAAGAGCAAACCAATCCCAAAGCTAGCAGAAGACAAGAAATGACCAAAATCAGAGCTAAAATGACCAAAATCAGAGCTAAACTGAAGGAAATTGAGATACAAAAAAAAAAAAAAACATACAAAAGATTAGCAAATGCAAGACTTAGTTCTTGGAAAAAAATAACTTAAAAAGTCCCAAATAGTCAAGGCAATCCTAAGCAAAAAGAACAAAGCTGGAGGCATCATGCTACCAGACTTCAAACTATATACTACAGGGCTACAGTAAGGTATTTTTACAAAAACTGACACATTACCAATGGAACAGAATAGAGAGCCTAGAAATAATGCTGCTCACCTTCAACCATCTGATCTTTCACAAAGCTGACAAAAACAAGCAGTGGGGAAGGACTCATCAATGGTGCTGGGATAACTGGCTAGCCATATGCAAAAGATTGAAACTGAACCCCTTTCTTAAACCATATACAAAAATCAACTCAAGATGGATTAAAGACACTTTTCAAAAGAAGACATGCATGTAATCAACAAGCAAATGAAAAAAAAAATGCCCAATATCACTAATCATTAGAGAAATGCACATCAAAACCACAATGAGATACCATTTCACACCAGTTAGAATGGCCATTAATAAAAAGTCAAAAAATAACAGATGCTGGGAAGGTTGTGGAGAAAAGGGAATGCTTATACTCTGCTGGTGGGAGTTTAAGTTAGTTCAACCATTATGGAAAGCAGCGTGGTGATTCCTCAAAGCACTAAAAACTGAATTACCGTTTGACCCAGCAATCCAATACCCATTTACTGGGGTATTGGATCCACATACCCAAAGGAATATGGATCATTCTACCATAAAGACACATGCACACCTATGTTCATTGCAGCACTACTCACAATAGCAAATATATGAAATCAACCTAAATGCCTGTTAACAGTAGACTGAATAAAGCACATTTGGCACATATACACCAAGAAATACTATGCAGCCATAAAAAAGAACAAGATCATGCCTTTGCAGAAACATGGATGGAGATGGAGGCTATTATCCTTAACAAACTAACACAGGAACAGAAAACCAAATATCACATATTCTCACTTAATAAGTGGGAGTTACATAATGGGAACATGTGAACACAAAGAAGGGAACAACAGACGCTGAGGCATACTTAAGGGTGGGAGGAAGAAAAGGATAAGAAAAAATAACTATCAAGTATCATGCTTAGTACCTGGGTGATGAAATAATCTATACACCAAACTCCCATGACACAAGTTTGTCTATATAAAAAAACTGCATATGTACCCTGGAACCTAAAATAAAGGTTAAAACTAGACATTTGAATATTATAATAAGAGTAACTCTGTAAATCAAATTCTCCCCCTTCTTTTTTATGCGATTTATGTTCGCTGAAGGCTGTAATTGCTTATTTGTTTGGTAATCTTGTTTATTTCAGAAGTGTATTTATAGAGACTGTATTCCCTGTCCAGTGTAGTCACTGAGGTCTCTGTCCCTTTAGCTTATATTCACCCAGTGTTCTGACAATGCCAGAAACTGAAAGAAAAAGAGAAAATGAAACAAGCAAAAAATTGACCTCTGTCAGTCTCTGTGGATGGATCTGAGCTGGAGAATTCCTCGAATCCTTAGCCCAGCTGCTTAAAGCTCTGCTTCACCCTTCTCTTTCTGTTTAACCAAGCCTCAAGATCTGCCACATCTGAAAACGATGGTCTTGGGTCTTTTGTGAAAATGTGTTTTTCTGTCGTTTGACTGCATGGGGCTTAATTCCTCAGTATACCCTGGTGCTTTTTTTTTTTTTCTTCTTCCAGGTCTCAGGAAACTACCTCCTATAACTGGGTGCTTTATTTTATTTTAAATAAGTAATTAATTAATTTTATTTATTTATTTATTTATTTATTTATTTATTTATTTATTTATATGGGGTCTTGCTCTGTTACCCAGGCTGGAGTGCAGTGGCACAATTATAGCTCACTACAGCCTCGAACTCCTGGGCTCAAGTGATCCTTCTGCATCTGCTTCCCAAATAGCTGAGCCTACAGGGACATGCCACCATGGCTAATTTGGGAGCTTTTGAATATCCCAAGTTCTGAGGGAAATTTTCTCTCCAGCTTTTCTTCCTGGCCATTAGCTGGTCAGTGTATGTCTTAATCATAATCTATAGTCCAATGTGGTTGCAGGCTTTTTATGTTTTTCGTAAAATTTTTAAGATGTTCCTGCTAGTGTTTATTCTAATTGGCTTCCAACATAGATGAAACAGAGAAGACAGCCTTGTTTGAGACCTTTGGAAAGGCCCAAAACAGATTGTAACATACAAAGGCAATAATTTGCACATTAAATCTGATCTGCTCTCTTTAGAATCAGTGACCAGGATCTCACACTGGGAACCTAGGCTGTTGTCCTCAAGACTGTCACTGAAGTGGAGGAGAGATTAGAATAAGAAGAAACTTTAAAAACTCTGCTAGGCTTTCCTACCATTATTCACATTCCTATTTCTATTTGTTTATCTCTCGATTAATAGTATAGTGTCTTGCATATTTCACCCTTGAATCCTTTATGTATTTCAGGCAAGATTTCATGTTTCTGTTCCAACATTTTTCTCACTTTTAGACATTTGTGATTCCTACTAGATTTGCTAATGCAATTTTTGTTCACTATTAAAACAACTGTTTTAGGGATTTAGGGACTAGCATAGATATTTATGAGAGGTGATATTGAGTTCTTTCCTTTTTTTTTTTTTTTTTTTTTTGAGATGGAGTTTCGCTCTTGTTGCCCAGGCTGGCGTGTAATGGCGCGATCTCGGCTCACCGCAACCTCCGCCTCCCAGGTTCTTCAAGCGAATCTCCTATCTCAGCCTCCCGAGTAACTGGGATTACAGGCATGCACCACCATGCCCGGCTAATTTTTTGTATTTTTAGTAGATATGGGGTTTCTCCATGTTGTTCAGGCTGGTCTTGAACTCCCAACCTCAGGTGATTCACTCGCCTCAGCCTCCCAAAGTGTTGGGATTACAGGAGTGAACATGTGCAATCTTTTTCCTTCTTTATTATCCTTTGTTATTACCCAATAAAAAGCGTAAGTTTCCCATTGGGATAGTGAGACATCTTTCATTAGTCTTTTGTCATACTTAACTGAATTTGGTCTAGAGGAAAGCAGATGCCACCTTCCAAATAGTCTCCTATAATGTGTTCAGATTGGATGGGCTTTATCCTTTAAGTAACAAGTTGTGACAAAATGTGGGAAATGTTATCTACCAAAAAAAGCTCATAAGAGACCCAGTGGTGAGTGGTTTTTTCATGCTTATCCTAGTATGTTTTCTGTTGCTTATAACAGAATAGTAGAAGCTGAGTAATTTATTTAAAAAACAATATTTCTTCCAGCCTGGCCAACATAGTGAAACCCTGTCTCTATTAAAAATACAAAAATTATCCAAGTGTGGTAGCATGTACCTGTAGTCCCAGTTACTAAGGAAGCTGAGACAGGAGAATTGCTTGAACCCAGGAGGAGGCAGAGGTTGCAGTGAGCCGAGATCGTGCCACTGCACTCCCATCTGGGCAACAAAGCAAGAGTCCATCTAAAAAGAAAAGCCAAAAAACAACAAAAAAAATTATTTATTATAGTTCTGGAACCTAGCAAGTAAGAGGGCTTCATGTGGTGAAAGCCTTCTTGGTCATGGGGGCTGTGCAGAGTTTCTAGGTGGTTGAAGGTATCACATGGAGAATGGGCTGAATGTGGTAGCTCAGGTTCCCTTCTTTTTTAATATGGCCATCAGTCCCACTCCTGAGATAACTCATTAATTCAGTAAGCCATGAATTCATGAATGGATTAATTTATTTATGAGGTCTGAACCCTTAAGATCTACTCACCTCTTAAAGGCCTCACCTTTCATTAGTGCCACATTGGCGATTATGTTTCAACAAGCATTTTGGAGGGGACAAACATTCAAACCTAGCAGTGAATGGCCGGGCGCGGTGGCTCACTCCTGTAATCCCAGCACTTTGGGAGGCTGAGGTGGGTGGATCACGAGGTCAAGAGATCGAGACCATCCTAGCCAACATGGTGAAACCCTGTCTCTACTAAAAATACAAAAATTAGCTGGGCATGGTGGTGTGCGCCTGTAATCCCAGCCACTCGGGAGGCTGAGGCAGGAGAATCGCTTGAACCCAGGAGGCGGAGGTTGCAGTGAGCCGAGATTGCGCCACTGCACTCCAGCCTGGAGACAGAGCAAGACTCTGTCTCAAAAAAAACAAAAACAAAAACAAAAACAAGCAAAAAACCTAGTAGTGAATGATCAGGTATGCTCCCTCTGCCAAGCATATCACAAAAGTTTGAACTCTCAGAGGGAACATAGGAGTTCAGCAGATACCATATTTTTTACATAGTTTAGGGACACTCATCCTCCATTATCGCTTATGTTGGTGAAGCCCCCTAACTAAATTTAGTTCCTAGATATAGTGAAAGGTTCAACTTTGTGAGCAAGCATTTGTAACAATATGCGGTCTCAGGACAGCTGATGTTAACTCTTCTGCCCATTAGGTAGGAGGACTTTGTCACATCAGGAATTACAAACATCCTGTACACATAGATATTAGGGGTGATCTAGGCAATAAATGTCACTCCTTTAACTCACCAAGGAGTGGCATTTTATAATTCGACTGTTATTTTACCAAACACGTTTAATTCTAGCATTAGAATTGCATTCTGGGAGAAAATGAGTTTAGAAAGAGGGTAAGAGTTGGATTACCGTGTCGTTGCATAAATGTTTGGACACCACAGCATCATGTGACATTTATGTAGTGAGTACAGATTCCCAGTGCTGTCAGTTTCAGCTTTCCTCCTCTGCACGTGTCGGGTGTTTCAGGACTCAGTGGCCTTTGAGGATGTGGCTTTGATCTTTTGCCTGGGAGGAGTGGGCTTTGCTGGGTCCATCATAGAAGAGTCTCTACAGAGATGTGCTACGGGAAACCATCAGGAACCTAGACTGTATAGGTAAGGGGGACATCATGTCTTTACTTAGTCAATTACGAATATTTGTTTCTTCGTCACCAATGCTGTTCAAAGATTTAGAATATAAAAGAAATACGTTTGACCCTTGAACAATGCAGGGATTAGGGGCACCAGCCCTCAATGCAGTCACAAATCTTCAAATAACTTTTTTCTCCCCCGCAACTTGACTACTAATAGCCTACTGTTGACCAGAAACCTTACTGGTAAGATATACATTCAATTAACACATATTTTATATGTCATATGCATTACATATTGTTTTCTCACAATAAACTAAGGCAGAGAAAAATGTTAATCAGAAAATCACAAGGAGAAAAAACTATATTTACTATTTCATTAAGTAGAAGTGGAGCATCATAAATGTTATCATCCTTATTGTCTTCACATTGAGTAGGCTGAATAAGAGGAGGGGTTGGTCTTGCTGTCTCAGTAGTAGCAGAAACTGAAGAAAATTTGTATGTAAGGAGATCTATGCAGTTCAAACCTGTGTTGTTGAAGAGTCAACTGTGGTTTGGTGAATAAATCATCCATAACTGCAGTCTACATAAAATCTTACATTTTTAATATAATTTTATTTTTATTTATTATTATTTTTTTTTTGAGATGGAGTCTTGCTCTGTCACCCAGGCTGGAGTGTAGTGGCACGATCTTGGCTCACTGCAGCTTCTGCCTCCTGGGTTCAACTGATTCTCCTGCCTCAGCCTCCCGAGTAGCTGGGACTACAGGCGCACGCCGCCATGCCCGGCTAATATTTTTTTGTATTTTTTAGTAGAGACGGGGTTTCACTGTGTTGCCCAAGCTTGTCTCGAACTCCTGAGCTCAGACGATCCACCCACCTCGGCCTCCCAAAGTGCTAGGATTACATGCGTGAACCACCGCCCCCGGCCTCAATGTAATTTTATAATAATATATAGTGATTCTTCTGGGTCTACATTTTAGGAATGAAATGGGAAGACCAAAACATTAAAGATTAGTACAAAATTCCCAGAAGAAATCTAAGGTAATTTGCCCTAGGAAGAGAAAGATATGTCTTTGGAATAATTCTTAAAGTGACAGGAAATTTTTCACACCTATAATTCCAGCACTTTGAAAGGGTGGGGGGGTGGGGCGCAGTTCAGGAGGTCGGGAATTCGAGACCAGTCTGGCCAACATAGTGAAACCCTGTCTCTACTAAAGATACAAAAAATTAGCCAGGCGTGGTGGTGTGAACCTGTAGTCCCAGCTACTTAGGAGGCTGAGGCAGGAGAATCGCATGTACCCGGGAGGAGGACGTTGCAGTCAGTCGAGATCATGCCATTGCACTCCAGCTCAGGCGAAAGTGCAAGACTCCGTCTAAAAAAAAAGACAGGAAAATTTTAAAACAAGCAAAATAAATAAATAAATAAATAAATAAAAAAGAATAATCCTGGCTTAAATTTATTCACTCTTAGAAAATTTTCTTCAAAAACATACTTAAATGGGACATAGCTGTTAAGTGTGTCTGCAAAATAATTTCCTTGGAAAACAGTACTAAGAATTCCCACGTGAATATTACTGTTCCGATGATAGCCACAGTTGAGTTATCTTGCACAGCATTCAGTCCGTTCATGTTCAAACAGGGCATGACACCTAAGCTTTGCATGATAATGTCAACAATGTAAATTTAAGACCTATTAATATATATAAAAAACACTTATAAACAAACCTGTAGTAATTGTACTTCTCTGTTTTTACAGATATCATATGGTAGACTGATTCTGTAAAAGTAAAGGAGGTAGATAATTTGGAGAAACTTTCAGCCACATTCCAGGTGGTATTGTGAACAACAAAAATCTCCCTTGAGGCCGGGCTCGGTGGCTCACGCCTGTAATCCCAGCACTTTGAGAGGCTGAGGCAGGCAGATTACCTGAGATTGGGAGTTCGAGACCAGCCTGACCAACATGGAGAAACCCCGTCTCTACTAAAAATACAAAATTAGCCGGGCGTGGTGGCACAATGCCTGTAATCCCAGCTACTCGGGAGGCTGAGGCAGGAGAATCCCTTGAACCTGGGAAGCAGAGGTTGCAGTGAGCCAAGATCAGCCATTGCACTCCAGCCTGGGCAACAAGAATGAAACTCCGTCTCAAAAAAAAAAAAAAGTCTCCCTTGAGCAAAACCACGTGAAAGCAGTGTGTGTGGAGAAGTCAGCATGGGTCGTTCATCTTAATTGCTACCATAGAGCTCATGCTCAACACAAGCCACATGAGTATCAGGAATATGGAGAGAAGCCACATACACATAAACAATGTGAGAAAGCCTCCAGTTATTGCCACTTCCTTTGAATACATTAAAGGCCTTACCCTGGAAAGAAACTTAGTGACTGTAAGGAATGTGAGAAAGTACTTAATCGTCTCAGAAGCTTTCAAACACACATGAGAATGCACAGTGGAGATAGGCCTCATAAATGTAAGATATGTGGGAAAGGCTTCAATTCTCACAGACCATTTCAAAGACATGAAAGAACTTACACTGGAGAGAAACCTTATAAATGCAAACAATGTGGGAAAGCCTTCAGTGGTTTCTGTTACACTCAAATACTTGAAAAGGCTCAAACTGGAAAACAACCCTATGAAGGTAAGCAATGTGTAAAAGCATTTTATCATCTCAGAGGCTTTCAAATATACACAAGAACATACACTGGAAGTAGAAATCATAAATGTAAGATATGTGGGAAAAGCTTTCATTATCTCAGTTTAGTTCAAAGACATGAAAGAACTCACACTGAAGAGAAACCCTATAAATGTAAGCAATGTGGGAAAGCCTTCTTTCATGCACAAGCTTTCAAAGACACATGAAAACGCACACCGGAGATGGATCTCAGACATGCAAGGTATGTGAGAAAGCCCTTGATTCTTCCAGTTTTCTACAAAGACATAAAAGGACACACACTGGGGAGAAACACTGTAAATGTAAATGTGGGAAAGCCTTTAGCGATGTCTGTTCTTTTTGAAATCATTACAGGACTCACACTGGAAAGAAACTCCATGAACGTAAGGAGTGTAAGAAAGCATTTTGTTTTTGTCCTTTTCCCTCCTAAGGCATGAAAGAACTCACTGGAAACAAAACCATGATTGTACGCAATTTGGTAAAGCCTTCAGTTTTTCCAGTTCCCTTTGTATACATGAAAAAATTCACACTGGAGAGAAGCTGTATGAATGTAAGGGATGTGAAAAAGCATTCAGTTCTCCCACTTACTTTAATGGACATAAAAGGACTCACTAAAGAGAAACCCTCTAAATGTATGGAATGTGGGAGAAGCATTCGCTAATCTTATTTTATTTAAGATATGAGGAAGAATTCACATTGGAGATAAGCCCTATGAATATAAAGATGTTATAAAGACTTAAGTAGTTTCCATTTATTTTGAATATAGTTATCTCTTGATATATTCAAGAGATTGGTTCTATCACCTCCCAAGGATACCTGAATCCACAGATGCTAAAGTCCCTTTTTAAAAATGACATAGTTGCATGTAACCTATGCACATCCTCCTGCACACTGTAAATCATTTTTAGATTATTTATAATACTTCATGCATTGTAAATACTATGTAAATAGTTATTATATTGCTTAGGGAATTATTGAGAAAAAGTCTATACTTATTCAGTACAGGGCAACCATCACAGGCCTCCCTAAATAGTACATGTCAGCCAGAAAGTTACAATTTCCTTCAATACACACAGATTCCTTTTGAGAATTGACCTGAAAGAGTATGTTAATATTCAGCAAAATCCTAGTTTGTCTCTCTTGATTACCCAGGTATAGTGATAGTGATGATGATCACTGTATGGTGCCTAACACTGTGATTTGTTGAGGTGGCTAGACATGTGGTATTGTAGATACGTAGTGAGAGATCAGGTTAAATGGAATCTTCTGACAGAACATCCGAACAATCATCTATGTTATAAGAACAAGGTTCTGATTGCAGATGTTGACTCTTTGGAGGAGGCTAAATAATACAGTCAGGATCTGTTTGGCTTGAGGGCTGAAGATCTATAAGTACTGAGGGTTCAGTCTTCATATATGCAAATGCTTAGTTAGAAATGTTGTTATAAGAATCTTATTCCTTTATTTCTTTGAATCATCTACTGTGTTTGTAGGCATGTTGTAATTACTCAGGTGAGGTGGAGACTTTGCTCCACTGAGGGATCTTACTTGAGGATAATAATCTTTAACACCTCTGCCTGTTGAAAAACTGCTGCAATGCGTTCAGGTCCCAATCAATGGCTCTGCATCTTTTAAATCTTCTACATCATCATAATGTCATTATTGTTGTCATTGTAGAGGATTTCAGAAGATCTTTTGAGTTCCTTGTTAGTAAAGATTTGTCTTTGCTTTTGTGTAAGTTTTTCAGTCATCCTTGATCATGTCAGAGAGCCTTTCCCACCAATCTCTTTTCCAGAATATTGAGTCAAAGAGGATTCTTCTTCTTTTTTTTTTTTTTTTTTTTTTTTTTTTGAGACGGAGTCTCGCTGTCTCCCAGGCTGGAGTGCAGTGGTGCGATCTCGGCTCACTGCAAGCTCCGCCTCCCGGGTTCACGCCATTCTCCTGCCTCAGCCTCCCGAGTAGCTGGGACTACAGGCACCCACCGCCACGCCAGGCTAATTTTTTGTATTTTTAGTGGAGATGGGGTTTCACCGTGTTAGCCAGCATGGTCTCGATCTCCTGACCTCAAGATCCGCCCGCCTCCGCCTCCCAAAGTGCTGGGATTACAGGCGTGAGCCACCATGCCTGGCCCAAAGAGGATTATTCTTATATGAAGGTTACCTTCTGGGTTTTTGGCTTGCTTGGGAACTGTCACCACTTCCTCCTTTCATATTTCTCTTCTTTGAAATAGAAGTGTTTTCCTAAGCCTGTCTCAACACTAGGGCACACAACCGGTTTGTTTTCTAAGGCTCACATTTGGAAAAGAATGTTGCCTCAGGATGAATGTTACCTCAACTCTCACCCATATCTGATTCAGATGATATTTAATGGAGTTTGAGTTTAGGCTTTACACCTAATCGTGGACTGACTCAAGACTTTCGATGCTGTTGAAATGAAATAAATGTATTTTGCATGTAGGGATATAAATTTGGGGAGGCAGGGTAGAAAATTATTGAGTTTGTCTCCTGAAATTCAAGTGTTGAAGCCTTACTTCCTAATGTATGGAATGAAGATATGGGATCTCAGGGAGGTAGTTAGAATTAGATGAGATCATGAGGGTAGTCCCTTATGAATGGGCTTATAAGATTCCCTAGGTAGCTTTCTTTTGCTCTTCACCATATGAGAACTCAATGAGATGACAGCCTTGCTTGTACCATGAAGCAGACCCTTATCAGGCACTGAATCTGCCATTACGTTGACCTTGGACTTACTTAATAATTTCTTGTACAGTGAGAATTAAAAGTTGGTGGGTTAATACCCTCAATACTTGGTATTTTATTTCAGCAGCCCATGCTGGGTAAAATACAATTACGTTGAAAAATATGTTAGGGAATTGAATAGACATTCCTCTAATGAAGCATACAAAAGGTGATAATCACATAAAGATGTTCAACATCTCTCTCTCATGGTTAGGGAAATGCAAATCAAAACAGCAATGACATCCACACACCCTCACCTTCATTATTTTGCTACTACCTAAGAACAACAAAATAACAAATGCTGGCAACTATGTGAATTAATCAAAACTCTTGTATGAGGCTGGGTGCAGTGGCTCACGCCTATAATCCCAGCACTTTGGGAGGCTGAGGCAGGTGGATCACGAGGTCAGGAGATCAAGACCATCCTGGCTAACACGGTGAAACCCTGTCTCTACTAAAAATACAAAAAATTAGCTGGGCATGGTGGCGGGTGCCTGTGATCCCAGCTACTCAGGAGGCTGAGGCAGGAGAATGGCGTGAACCCGGGAGGTGGAGCTTGCAGTGAGCCGAGATCGCACCACTGCACTCCAGCCTGAGTGACAGAGTGAGACTGTCTCGAAAAAAAAAAAAAAAGAATCAAGCAGGAATCTTGAGCTGAAAAATGCAATTGACATATTGAAGAATGTATCATAGCATCTTAACAGCAGAATGAATCAAGCAGAAGAAAGAATTAGTGAGCTTGAAGATAGGCTATTTGAAAATACTGTCAGAGGAGACAAAAGAAAGAATAAAAAAGAATTAAGCACACCTATGAGATCTAGGAAACAGCCTCAAAAAGGCAAATCTAGGAGTTATTAGCCTTAAAGAGGAGGGTGAGAAAGAGATAGGGGTAGAAAGTTTATTCAAAGATTTAATGACAGAGAGCTTTCCAAACCTAGAGAAAGATATCAATATCCAAGTACAAGAAGGTTGTAGAACACTAAGCAGTTTTAACCCAAGGAAGACTACCTCAAGGCATCTAATAATCAAACTCCCAAAGGTCAAGTATAAAGAAAGGATCCTAAAAGCATCAAGAGAAAAGAAACAAATAAAACACAATGGAATTCCAATGTCTGGCAGAAGACTTTTTAAGGGAAACCTTACAGGCCAGGAGACAGTGGCATGGCCATATTTTAAATGTGCTGAAGAAAAAAACTTCTACCCTAAAGTAGTATATCTGGTGAAAATGGCCTTCAAACATGAAGGTGAAACAAAGGCTTTCCAAGACAAACAAAAGCTAAGGGATTTCATGAACACCAGACTATCCCACCAGAAATACTAAAGGGAGTTTTTCTGTTAGAAAGAAAAGGATGTTAATGAGCAATAAGAAATCCTCTGAAGGTAGAAAAAAGTCTCTGGTAGTAGTAAGTACATAGAAAAACACAAAATATTAATATTATAATACTGTAATTGTGGTGTGTGTCCTAATCTTAAGTAGAAAAACTAAAAGATGAATCACTCAAAAAATAATAACTATAATTTTTAAGACATGGGCAGTACAGTAGATATAAATAGAAACAACAAAAAGTTTTAAAGTGTGGGACAGTGTAGAGTTTTCATGAGTTTTCTTTTCTCTTGTTTGTTTATACAATCACTGTTAAGTTGTCATCAGTTTAAAATAATGGGTTCTAAGATAGTGTTTGCAAGCCTCATGGTAACCTTAAATTTTAAAAAAGGTACAACAGATACATAAAAAACAAAAAGCAAGAAATTAAATTCTACCATTAGAAAAAAATTACCTTCACAAAAAGGAAGACAGGAAAAAATGAAAGAAGGAAGAGAAGACCAGAAAACGAATGAAAAAATGGCGGGATTAAGTCCATCCTTACCAAAAATAACATTGAATGTAAATGGACTAAACTCTCCAATAAAAAGACATAGACTGGCTAAATGAATAAAAAAGCAAAATCCAATGATCTGTTGCCTACAAGAAACATGCCTCACCTGTAAAGACACATATAGACTGCAAATCAAGTAGTGGAAAAAGATAGATATGACATGCCAATGGAAACAAAAAAAGACCAGGAGTAGATATACTTATATCAGATAAAATAGATTTCCAGACAAAAACTATAATGAGACAAAGAAGGTCACTATATAATGATAAAGGGATCAATTTATCAAGAGGATATAACAATTTTAAATACATATGCACCCAACACTGGCGCACCCAGATATATAAGGGAAATATTATTAGAGCTAAAGAGAGAGATAAACACCAATACAATAATAGTGGAGACTTCAACTCCCCACTTTCAATATTGGACAGATCTTCTAGACAGAAAACCCACAAAGAAACATCAGAATTAGTCTGCACTGTAGACCAAATGGACCTAATAGATGTTTACAGAACATTTCATCAAATGGCTGCAGAATACACATTATTTCCCTCAGCATATGGATTATTCTAAAAAAATAGACCATATGTTAGGTCAAAAAACAAGTCTTAAAACATTCAAAAAATTAAAATAGTATCAAGCATCTTCTCTGGCCACAATGCAATAAAACTAAAAATCAATAATGAGGCATTTTGGAGACTAGACAAATAAATGGAAATTAAGAATATGCTCCTGAATGACCAGTGAGTCAAAAAAGACTTTAAGAAGAAAATTTGAAAACTTTCTAGAAAAAAATCCTAATGGAAACACAACATACCAAAACCTATGAGATATGGCAAAAGCAGTACTGACAGAGAAGTTTATAGCTATAAGTTTATAAACTATAAGTCAAAAAAGTGAAACTGCAAATAAACAAAATGCATCTTAACAAACTAGAAAAGCAAGAGCAAACCAAATCCAATATCAGTAGAACAAAATAAATAATAAATATCAGAGCAGAAATAAATGAAATTGAAATGAAAACAGCACAAAAGATCAATAAAACAAAATGTTAGTTTTTTGAAACATTAAACAAAATTGACAAACTTTTAGACACACTAAGAAAAAAGAGAGAAGATCCAAATAAATAAAATAAGATATGGAAAAGGAGACATTACAACTGATACCACAGAAATTCAAAGGATCATTAGTGGCTACTATAGCAACTATATGCCAATAAATTGGAAAATCTAGAAGAAATGAACAAATTCCTAGACACATACTACCTACCAAGATTGAACCATGAAGAAACCCAAAACCTGAACAAACCAATAACAAGTAATGAGATTGAAGCTGTAATAAAAATTCTCCCAGGAAAAAAAAAAAGGCCAGAACCCAGTGGCTTCACTGGTGAATTCTACCAAACATTTAAAGAAGAACTAATACCAGTCCTACTCAAACTCCAAAAAAAATAGAGAAGGAAATTCTTCCAAACCCATTCTACAAGGCCAGTATTACTCTGACACCAAAACTAGAAAAAACATCAGAAAAAGAAACTACAGGTCAATATCTCTGATCAGATTGATGCAAAAATCCTCAATAAAATACTAGCAAACTGAATTCTACAATACATGAAAAAGATTATTCATCATGACCAAGTGGGATTTATCCTTGGGATGCAAGGTTGGTTTGACATACTTAAATCAATCAACAGAATACATCATATCAGTAGAATGAAGGACAAAAAACAAATAATCATTTCAATTAATACTGAAAAAGCATTTGATAAAATTAAACATCCCTTAATGATAAAAGCCCTCAAAAAATTGGGTTTAGAAGGAACATATATCAACATAATAAAAGCCATATATGACAGACCCACAGCTAATATCATACTGAATGGGGAAAAAATTGAGTCTTCTCTAAGATCTAGAACATGACAAAGATGCCACTTTCATTGCTGTTATTCAACAAAGTACTGAAAGTCCTAGCTGGAGCAGATAATAAGAAAGACAGAAAGAAAGAAATTAAGGGCATCCAAATTGCAAAGGAAGAAATCCAATTATCTTTGTTTGCAGATGATATGTTCTTTTATTTGGAAAAACCCAAAGACTATAAAAAACTATTAGAGCTGTGAACAAATTTAGTAAAGTTGTGGGATAAAAAAATCAACATACAAAAGTCAGTAGCATTTCTGTATGCCAACAGAGAACAATCTGAAAAAGAAATCCAAAGAGTAATCCCATTTATAATAGCCACAGATAAAATTAAATACCTAGGAATGAACTTAACCAAAGAAGTGATAGATCTCTATAATGAAAACTATAAAAACATTGATGAAAGAAATTGAAGAGGACACCAAAAAAATGCAAAGATATTCCATGTTCATGGATTGGAAAAATCAATATTTTTAAGATGTTCATACTACCCAAAGCAATCTACAGACTCAGTGCAATCCCTATCAAAATACCAAGGACAATTTTCACAGAAATAGAAAAAAAAATTCTAAAATTTATATGGGACCATAAAAGACCCAGAATAGCAAATGTCATCCTAAGTGAAACGAATAAAACTGGAGGAATTACATCACGTGACTTCAAATTATACTACAGAGCTATAGTAATCCAAACAGCATGGTACTGGCATAAAAATAGACACATAGATCATTGGAACAGAATAGAGAATCCAGAAACAAATCTACACACTCACAGTGAACTCATTTTTGACAAAGGTGCCAAAAACATACACTGTGGAAAAGACAGTTTTTTCAATAAATGGTGCTGTGGAAACTGGATATTTATATACAGAAGAATGAAACTAGACCCCTACCTTTCACCACACACAAAAATAAAATCAAAATGGATTAAAGACTTATATCTAAGACCTCAAACTAGGAAACTACTACAAGAAAACAATGAGGAAACTCTCCAAGACACAGGTCTGAGAAAAGATTTCTTGAGTAATACCTGATGAGCACAGGCAACCAAAGCAAAAATGAACAAATGGGATTACATCAAGTTAAAAATCTTCTGCACAGTAAAGGAAACAATCCACAAAGTGAAGAAACAATACACAGATTGGGAGAAAATATTTGCAAAGTACTCATCTGTTAAGAGATTAATAACCACATCATATAAGAAATTCAAACAGTTCTATAGGAAAAAATCTAATAATCCAATAAAAAATGGGACAAACATTTGAATAGCCTTTTTTTTTTTTTTTTTTTTTTTTGGGATGGAGTCTTGCTGTGTCACCCAGGCTGGAGTGCAGTGGCGCAGTCTCAGCTCACTGCAACCTCTGCCTTTCAGGTTCAAGCAATTCTCCTGCCTCAGTCTCCCAAGTAGCTGGGACTACAGGCGCAAGCCACCATGCCTGGCTAATTTTTGTATTTTTAGTAGAGGTTTCACTATATTGGTCAGGCTGGTCTTGAACTCCTGACCTCAGGTGATCCACCCGCTTAGGCCTCCCAAAGTGCTAGGATTACAGGTGTGAGCCACCACACCCAGCCTGACATTTTCTTTTTTTTTTTTTTTTGGAGACAGAGTCTCGCTCTGTCACCCAGGCTGGAGTGCAGTGGTGGGATCCCGGCTCACTGCAAGCTCTGCCTCCCAGGTTCATGCCATTCTCCTGCCTCAGCCTCCCAAGTAGCTGGGACTACAGGCGCCTGCCACTGCGCCCGGCTAATTTTTTTTTTTTAATTTTTAGTAGAGACGGGGTTTCACTGCGGTCTCAATCTCCTGACCTCATGATCTGCCCGCCTCGGCCTCCCCAAGTGCTGGGATTACAGGCATGACCCACTGCACCCGGCCCAGCCTGACATTTTCAAAAGAAGACATACAAATGGTAAACAGGCATATGAAAAGGTGCTCAACAACATTGATCTTCAGAGAAATCCAAATCAAAACTACAGTGTGATATCATCTCACTCCAGTTAAAATGGCTTATATTCAAAAGACAAGCAATAACAAATGATGGAGAGGAGGTAGAAAAAGGGAACCATCATGGACTGTTGGTGGGAATGTAAATTAGTACAACCACTATGGAGAACATTTTTGAGGTTCCTCAAAAAATGAAAAATAGAGCTACTATATGATCCAGCAATCCCACTGTTGGGTATATACCCAAAAGAAAGGAAATCAGTATATTCAAGAGACATCTACACTCTCATGTTTGTTGCAGCACTGTTCACAATAGCTAGTATTTGGAACCTAAGTGTCCATAAACAGATAAATGGATAAAGAAAATACGCTACACATACACAATGGAGTATTATTCAGCCATAAAAAATAAGGCTGCTCTACCTATGGAGTAGCCATTGTTTTATTCCTTCACTTTCTTAATAAATTTATTTTCCCTTAAAAAAACAGAATGAGATCCTGTCATTTGCAACAAATGGATGTGACTGGAGATCATTATGTTAAATGAAATAAGCCAGGCACAAAAATACAAACATTGCATATTCTCACTCATCTGTGGATCTAAAATTCACAACAATTGAACTCATGGAGATAGAAAGTAGAAGGATGGTTACTACAGGCTGGGAAGACTAGTGGGGTGGTGATGGAGAGGTGGGGACAGTTAATGGGCACAAAAATAGAAAGATTAAATAATACCTACTGTTTGATAACATAACAGGATGATTATAGTTAACAATAATCTAGTTATGCACTTAAAATAATTAACAGCATAAAATTGGATTGTTTGTAAGCCAAAAGATAAATGCTTCCCCCATTTTTTCCCATGCTTTCCCCCAACTTTTTTTTCTTTTACAAATTCAGTGATCTTTTATTCTAAAAATAGACAGTAGTAAAAACTTCTTTGTATTTACTCAAGTAGTTAGCATTTCTGATGCTTTTCATTCTTCACAGATTTCCATCTGGTAACATTTTTCTTCTGCTCTGGGAATTCAATTGACAATCAGCAAGTATGCTGATTACAAACACTTTTAGCATGACTGAGTAAAGTATTTATTTTCTCTTTGTTTGGAAAGATATTTGCTGAATATAGAATTCTTGGTTGACATATTTGTTTTTTTAGTTTCTTAAAAATTTTTCTCTGGTCTTCTGGTTTGGACTGTTTCTGATGATAAGTATGTAATCAGTCTTTGTGTCTCTATAGTTAAGGTGTCGTTTTTCTCCAGTTTTAAAATTTTTTCATTATCTCTGACTTTCAGCAGTTTGATGATGATGTGTCTTGGTGTAGATTTTTTTCATACATTTTGTGCTTGTGGTTTGTTGAGCTTCTTGTATTTCAAGGTTTATAGTTTTCATCCAATTTGGAAAATGTGTGGCTGATTTTTTTTTTTTTTTTTGAGACAGCATCTCATTCTGTCACCCAGGCTGGAGTGCAGTGGCACAATCTCAGCTCACTGGCAACCTCCACAACCCAGGTTTAGGAGATTATCATGCCTCAGCCTCTGGAGTAGCTGGAATTACAGGCATGCGCCACCACACCTGGCTAATTTTTGTATTTTTTAGTAGAGATGGGGTTTCACCGTGTTGGCCAGGCTGGTCTCGAACTCCTGGCCTTAAGTGATCTGTTCGCCTTGGCCTCCCAAAGTGCAGTGAGCCACTGCACCTGGCCATGGCTGATATATTTTTAACAAAAATTTTTATTCTATGTTTCCTCCTGCCTTTTTAGGAGTCCTTGTAGTTGTCCCATCACACAACTGATTGTTGACAGTCTGATTTTTTTTTTTTTTGAGACAGAGTTTCGTCTTGTTGCCCAGGCTGGAGTGCAATGGCGTGATCTCAGCTCACTGCAACCTCCACCTCCTGGGTTCAAGCAATTCTTCTGCCTCAGCCTCCCAAATAGCTGGGATTACAGGCACGTGCCACCACACCCAGCTAATTTTGTATTTTTAGTAGAGACGGGGTTTCACCATGTCAGTCAGGCTGGTCTTGAACTCCTGACCTCAGGTGATCCACCTGCTTTGGCCTCCCAAAGTTCTGGGATTACAGGCGTGAGCCACACCCGGCCTCTGATCATTTTTTAAAAGTTACATGTTGGCCAGGTGCGGTGGTTCACGCCTGTAATCCCAGCACTTTGGGAGCCCGAGGCAGGTGGATCATGAGGCCAAGAATTCAAGACCAGCCTGGCCAAGATGGTGAAACCCTGTCTCTACCAAAAATACAAAAATTAGCCAGGTGTGGTGGTGGGCACCTGTAATTCCAGTTACTCAGGAGGCTGAGGCAGAGAACTGCTTGAACCTGGAAGGCGGAGGGTGCAGTGAGCCAAGATCACGCCACTGCACTCCAGCCTGGCGACAGAGTGAGACTCTGTCTCAAAAAAAAAGGTTACTTGTAGCTGTGTAGTCACCACCACACAGCTCACTGATGTTCTGTTCATATTTTTTGGTCATTTTTTTGATTGGTGTTTCATTTTAAATACTTTCTACTGCTATTCTCTCTCTCTCTGGTTTTTTTTTTTTTTTTAAGTTGTGGTCTTGCTCTCTCACCCAGGCTGGTATGCAGTGATGTGATCATGCTCACTGAAGCATCAAATTCCTGGGCTCAGGTGATCCTCCCACTTCAGCCTTCAAGTTGCTGGGACAACAGGCATGCACCACCACACTGTACTAAGTTTTAAAATTTATTTAGAGACAAGGTCTCACTATGTGGCCCAGGCAGGTCTTGAACTCCTGGCCTGAAGGGATCCTCCCACACCATCCTCCCAAGTAGCTGGAATTACAGAAATGAACCACCATATGTGGCTTCAGCCAGTGTATTATTATTATTTTATTATTATTCTCTTTAGAGGTGAGGTCTGGCTATGTTGCCACAGTTGGATTTTAATTCCTAAGTTCAAGTGATCTTGCCACCTCAGACTCCAGAGTAGCTACAGGTAGATACCAATATGCACAGTCCTATCCAGTGTATGTTTTTATCCCAGATATAGTTACGTTCATCTCTAATAACTGGAATTGTGTCTTGTCTTTCATTTATAAATTGTGTTGAAGTAACACATACTAACATAAAATTTGCCATTGAAATGTTTTTTTTTTTTTTTGAGGAGGAGTCTCACTCTGTAGCCAGGCTGGAGTGCAGTGGCGCGACCTCAACTTACTGCAACCTCTGCCTCCCAGGTTCAAGAGATTCTCCTGCCTCAGCCTCCTGAGTAGCTGGGATTACAGGCACCCACCACCACGCCCGGCTAATTTTTGTATTTTTAGTAGAGACGGGGTTTCACCATGTTGGCCAGGATGGTCTCGATCTCCTGACCTCATGATCTGCCCGCCTTGGCCTCCCAAAGTGCTGGGATTGCAGGTGTGAGCAACCGCGTGTGCAATTCAGTAGCACTAAATACATTTATGACTCAGTGTGACCACTGCAGCTATCTCCAGAACTTTTCATCACTCCACATAGAAACTCATCACCCAGTAAATAAAAGAACTCCTCATTCCACCTTATTGTCAGGCCCTGATAATCTCTCTTCTACTTTTTTGCTCCATGAATTTGACTATTCTAGGTATTCTAAGTAAAAGCCTACAATATTTGTCCTTCTGTGTCTGACTTATTTCACTTAGCAAAATGTTTTCAAGGTTCTTCCATGCAGCAGAATGTACCAGTGATTCAGTTTTTTATGCCTGAACATTCTATTTTATGGGTAAACCACACTTTGCTTCTTCACTCATAGGCTGATGAACGTATGGGTTATATCCACAATACTGTTTTGGGAATTGTGAATAAGGCTGCCATGAAATTGGGTTACGTGTGTCCATGTGTGTTTCTGATTTCTATTTATTTGGGTGTATACTTAGGAGTTGAATGGCTGGGTTACAGAGAAATTCTAAGTTCACCTTTGTCAGGAATACTTATCCTGTTTTACACAGTGGCTGCAGTATTTAACATTCTCCCCAGCAATGCAAAAGAGTTGCCATTTCTTCCGTCTTCTCCCACATTGGCTGTATAATAGCCATGCTAATGGGTGTGAATTGGAATTTCATTGTGGTTTTGATTTGCATTTCCTTAACGATCAATGATGGTGACCATCATTTCATGTACATAATTGTCATTTATATAACTTCTTTGAACAACTTTGTTTATTTATTTATTTTCCTTTTTGAGACGGAGTTTCGCTCTTATTGCCCAGGCTGGAGTTCAATGGCATGATCTCGGCTCACCGCAACCTCCGCTTCCCAGGTTCAAGCGATTCTCCTGCCTCAGCTTCCTGAGTAGCTGGGATTACAGGCATGCGCCACCACGCCTGGATAATTTTTGTATTTTTAGTAGAGATGGGGTTTCTCCATGTTGGTCAGGCTGGTCTCGAACTCCCGACCTCAGGTGATCCGCCTGCCTCAGCCTCCCAAAGTGCTGGGATTACAGGCGTGAGCCACGGTGCCTGGCCAAACAACTTTATTTCAAGTCCTTTGTTTATTTTGAGTCAGGTCATTTTGTTTGTTTGTTTGTTTTTATCTATATTTTGTGATGCCATTTATTTCTGGAGCCTGGGAATTGGCTCTGACGATCTTCCTTGGTGGTTACCTGTAGAAATGGTCTTCCAATTGTCCTTGAAATGCTGATACATGTCAAGTTTGACATGGCTTACATGAATTCATAGCTCTTATATATAAAACATGGTTCTTATTTTGAATGACAATGGCTCTTATTTTGATGGCAGGCAGGGGTACATCATAATGTTCCACCCAGCAAAGTGTCAGCTCATATTTTCTTCTTCTGGCCATTGATATCCTGTGTTCTGACAGATATTACCCTAAAGCCCCTCTTGCCCTGTATGTTTAGATTTTTACATTTGCCCTGATGATTAAGGATGGTGTAAAATTTTAATAAGTCCTCCATAGTTTTTGGAAGAATGTGTTTTATATCAGCTATAAAATTACTTCCATGGGGTACAGTGGCTCACGCCTGTAATCCCAGCACTTTGGGAGGCCAAGGCGGGAGGATCACGAGGTCAGGAGATCGAGACCATCCTGGCTAACACGGTGAAACCCCGTCTCTACTAAAAATACAAAAATTAGCCGAGCGTGGTGGCGGGCACCTGTAGTCCCAGCTACTCTGGAGGCTGAGGCAGGAGAATGGCGTGAACCCAGGAGACGGAGCTTGCAGTGAGCCGAGATTGTGCCACTGCACTCAAGCCTAGGTGACAGAGCGAGACTCCATCTCAAAAAAAAAAATAAAAAATAAAATAATAATAATAATAATAATAATAATAATAATTACTTCCATGGTCTGATTCAGCCTACAAAGGCATGCCAAAATGAGAAATAATTTCAGTTATTAATTACTTCACCATTCATACATGAGCATGTGTAGCTGTACAGCACTGAGCCCATCCATTAAACATGCAGACAACCACCAAACAATGGGAATGGCCTCAAGCTGGAGAGAAGCTAATCCATCTGGAATATTGTGAGGGGCAGCATGGGCATTGGAGGATTCTCTGAGGTATGTTGGTTTCATCCAGCAATTGGGCAAGTTTACAAGCAGCACACTGGGAAATAATTGGGTCAGATATTTTGTGCATGCCAAGGCAGACAGAGCCAGTTGCCTTTTAGACTATTAAGTATCCATCATTTGCGTCCATGTCCAATCCAGTGGAAGATTAGCACAAGGCAGAACATCAAAAGAAAGGAGCTACAGTGTGATTGGCCTAACGTATAATCTGTGCAATAGTTGTCTCCCCTTTGTACCTATTGATGTTTTTCCGATTATTGAGCTTTTACTTGATAACATAAATCAAGGCTAAAGGCAGGTTTGTGAATTCAGCGGAGATAAGGTGCCATTTTTGGCTTCCTGTTTAGCAGTCTTTTTTTGTTTTGTTTTGTTTTGTTTTTGAGATGGAGTTTCGCTCTTATTGCCCAGGCTGGAGTGCAATGTTGAGATCTCAGCTCACTGCATCCTCCACCTCCCAGGTTCAAGTGATTCTCCTGCCTCAGCCTCCCAAGTAGCTGGGATTACAGGCATGCGCCACCATGCCGGCTCATTTTGTATTTTTGGTAGAGATGGGTTTTCTCCATGTTGGCCAGGCTGGTCTTGAACTCTCGACCTCAGGTGATCCACCTGCCTCAGCTTCCCAAAGTGTTGGGATTACAGGCGTGAGCCATTGTGCCCCGCCTTGTTTAGCAGTCTTTTAATGCCCAGAGATGTAGTAGAAGTCTCCTTAGTATGGGCTAGACAGTGAACAATAGCCATTTTAGTAGAGAGGTGAACAACCTGTAATAGTGCCCCAGTTATGTATGTTCATTGGCAATGGGTGTACCAGAACAAGTTGTAAATGCAAAGGATTTTCAGATTGTGCCAATGGCAAAAAAGACTCCCAAAGCATATCTGGAATCATTGTCAATGGTGGCAGTTTCCCCTTTGCCAACATTCGAGATCTAGTAAGAGCAATGAGCTAGAGGCTCAGGCTGATTTTACAGTGAGTAAAGAGTATGCCTCAATTGTTTCATGTGGAGAAATTATGGCAAAACCAGTTACTATGTTTTCCCTACAATTGTGTTAAGAGAGGCCTTCTCAAAATGATAGTAAGTCTAGGTCATCCAAGGAGGTGTCTAGGAGATCTTCCTGTGGCTTTAGGACCGTTTCTATCTGTGCATGACAGTCATGTGTCATGCTTGACTGTCAGGAATGGGGTGGGGCTCTCCATCATCAGGTAGGTAGTATAGTAGCCAGACTTACTGGGAAGATGTCAGAAATAATATGACAGAATTGAGAGTCCGGAAATAACCCCCTTTGCTATCATTTGAATGTTTGTGTCCCCTCAAAATTCATAGGTGAGAACTCAATCCCCAGCACCACAATTTTGGGAGTTGGGGACTTTTAGTCTTTTGGCAGAGCCCTCATGAATAGACTAATGCCACTATAAAGGGTTTGATGGATGGGGCTCGCCCTCTCTTGCCCTTCTGTCTTCTGCCCTGTGAGGATGCAGTGTTCCTTCCCTCCAGAAGATGCAGTAAGAAGGCCCTCCCTAGGTGCTGGCACCTTTATCTTGGAATTCCCAGCATCCAGAACTACGAGAAAACTAATTAATATTCTTTATAAATTGCCCACTTGGCAGTAGTTCATTATAGCAGCACAAATGGACTAAGACACTCTTCATGGATAGTTAATTAATCTTCAACAAATAGGCCAAGATAAATTAAAGGGGAAAGTCTTTTCAACAAGCTACTAAGGAAGTTGAATATTGACCTTCAGAAACACGAACTGAGCTCCTTACTGCATGCATTAAAGTTAACTCACACTGAAATGGTACATTTAGCAGCAGATATTAGAGGATATCTTCGTGACAGAGGGTTGGGGAAGGAGTTGTGTTTCCTTTTCTTTTAAAAAACTCAGAAATAGCCGGGTGCAGTGGCTCACAACTGTCATCCCAGCACTTTGGGTGGCCGAGGCAGGCAGATCACCTGAGGTCAGGAGTTTGAGACCAGCCTGACCAATATGGAGAAACCCTGTCTCTACTAAAAATATAAAATTAGCCAGATGTGGTGGCGCATGCCTGCAATCCCAGCTACTCAGGAGGCTGAGGTGGGAGAATTGCTTGAACCCGGAGGCAGAGGTTGCGGTGAGCCGAGATTGCACCATTGCACTTCAGTCTGGGCAACAGGAGCAAAACTCCATCTCAGAAAAAAAAAAAAGACAAACTCAGAAATAAACATCCTAACTCAGAAAAGCATGGTGTTGCCATAGAACTGACTGTGAGGAAACTAACAGCAATACTTTCTATATTGTGTTTAAACTTGCACATACAAATTTTGGGCTTTCTAGCTTCTCTTAGGATTTCTTTTATACTTTCTCTGGGGGAGGGGGTGTGGGTCTCACCATTGTTGATTTTTCCTTCATCATGGTAATGCGAACAGCTATTTTTGTCTGGAAGCTTTTATATGTATTTAAATCATTGCAGAAATCAACTACTTACTTGTTGCCATTTGTAAAAATATACAGAATCTGTATATAAACCCCTGACAATCAGTTAGTTTGATACATTGTGCCCTCTTTTAATATGTGTGGAAACAAATAAATAGAACATTGTTCCAGGAGCAGTTAATGTGAGGAGTGAGGGGTGGAGCATTTCATAAAATAGTAGTTTATCCTTCAGAGAGCAGTTTCTAGCATAATAGACTGTGGGAGTGTGTGTGTGTGTGTCTGTGTGTGTGCTTATTATTTTTTTTTAAGGAAACAGTATCATTTATGCATTAGGTTATACTCAGACGTCATTTTTTTCATTCATTTTCTAAACGTGCCCATTTGTCCTGGCAGAAAATGCTATAGTTTCTAGAAGTTGATTGAAGATTTCATTTCATCTATTGACATCTCATGTTCAGCTCCTTTCTATTTAGCCATGGCTACCAGCTTCTAGTTCATAACGCTTTTTTTTTTTTTTTTTTGAGATGGAGTTTTTTTTTTTCCTCGCTCTGTTGCCCAGGCTGGAGTGCAGTGGTGTGATGTCGGCTCACTGCAACCTCTGCCTGCCGGGTTCAAGCGATACTCCTGCCTCAGCTTCCTGAGGAGCCGGGATTACAGGAGCGTGCCACCACACCCGGCTAATTTTGCGTTTTTAGTAGAAACGGGGTTTCATCATGTTTGTCAGGCTGGTCTCAAACTCCCGACCTCAGGTGATCCACCCGCCTCAGCCTCCCAAAGTGCTGGGATTACAGGCGTGAGCCACCGCGCCCGGCCATAACGCTTTTAAGTCTAGTATTTTTACTTCATAAACATATGGAGAAAGGCTAATGTTTTCAAATTCAAAGTGTGATGTCTTGGCTTTTGATTGGAGCGTTTAATTCATTAACATTTAATGGCATAAGGAGGGAGCATTTCCACGCTGTGCAGAGGGGACAGGTATTTTGAGACCTCAGAGTAAAATTCTTAATTGTCCCTCCCTTATCACCAGCTTCTGATCCACCCCGGAGCTCCATTTTAGGAATCATTGCCTGGCTTCCCAGCTTGGGGATATGTTTGACCTCCTGAAAGGGGGTCTGCTTGTGAACTGTGAGTGCAGTAGGCTGCTTCTCTGAGCTTGTTCAAGTTTTTGCTTTTCTTCTCTTTTGATTCTTTATGAAATATTGCTGCCATATAATTCCAGTTTTTCCACATACTCAACTATTTTATTTTGTTGTCCTGTTTTTATCTTCTGGGCTGAAAATGAGTAGATTGAGAGATAAGGTGAGGGAAAGGCTTGGCAACGTCGCCAACAGCCTCATCCCAAATTCCTGATCCCTGGAGGACATCAGGCCCTCCCTCCTGCTGCAGGGTGGCCTGTGTGCCCCGGGCTCCCCTCCTGCTCCGAGGTCCGGGAATGGCTCCACTGGACAGGGAGCCTGGAATTCCCTGCACACACTTGTGAGTCCCTGTCCAGGAGGAAAAAGCAGGAAGAACCCACTGAATACAATCAGGAAATTCTAAAATGCAAACGTCACTTCGGGAGGGGTCAGGTCACTCCGTTGGGAGGAAGCCCGCCTTGCCAAGGGTCGTGCCTGGAACCTGTTCATCCGGCTCCACTCAGCACTGTGAGATCGCTTCTTCTGTCAATCAGCCACCAAGGGGCGGGACCTGGAGCACTATCCAATCAGGGATGAGGGGGCGGGGATTGTGAGAACTGTCAATCAGGCACGCTGCAGGGAGGAGGGTGCGACGTTCAAAGAGCCCGCGGAGTCTTCTCCACGCCCCTGCGCTCTGAGTCCTGGCTCTGGCGCTGAGAGAGAGACGCCCTGGAAGGTCTGTATCAGCGTCTGTCGCGCTGGGACCCACACTGGCTTTTAAGGAGGACACCCGGACACCTGGAAGCTGGGAAATGGTGAGTGTGCGGGGCCCGGCGTCCCGAGGCAAAGAAGGGGCAGGTTGGAACCGGCCGGAACCGACCGTGAGGGGACCCGGGCCTCGCCCTGGGCGACTCCGGGGTCTGCAAATCCCAGTGCCCCTGGCGCAGCTCTGCCCTTGGTCCCCTGGGCCGCAAGATGGGGCTGGGGCGGCAGCCGGGACCCCGGGCGTCCTGTCCCGTCCCTGCTCGGCCGCTGCGGCCCCGGCCCCGGCGCCCTCTCTGGGCAGCTCCGCGCCCGCAGCTCCGCGTCTCCCCAGATTGTGCAGTTGTAACCGGCACAGGTTCACGGCCCGAGTCACTGCACCGAGACGCCGAAGGCTGCAGCAGAAACAGTTTAATGGGGGAGAGGGGAGGACACCCCAGATCCGCCTCCCTGAGAGGTTTGGGGATGGGGTGTTTAGAGGTGTGGACAGGGACGGCTGGAGTGTGGGGTCGCTGGTTGGTGGAGAAGTGAGAGGTGACTCCTGGGACTGGAGGTGAAGAAACCGCATTCTGCTGAGTGGGTTCCCTTGTGGGGTCTTCAGCCTGGTTGGCGCCAGCCTTTCCGCTGCAATTCAGGATCCGAGAAAGAACTGAGGCGACCCGTGAGCAACTCTCAAGAGATCTTATCCCCGGGCACGATGAGGAAGCCGGCGGTCAGCGTCTGCTGTGACCTGACTCTCAGGGAGGCGGCCCCGTGAGGCAGCGGGGCTGAGGGCACCTGGTTAATATCTAACTGCAATCTCGCCTCCAGCCTGGCTCGCAGTTCCTGTGAACCCGGTGAGGACGCTGCACGGTGACAACGGAGGGTCACCAGGCAGAATCCAGACTCGTGTGTGTGGGCTTTGTGCTTTGGAAGAGAAGCTGTGATCTGTGGGTTCCCCAGTCCCTTCTTTCTTCCCAAAGGTGACCGGTTTCCCTCCGAGTCTTCCAAAGATGTGGGCAGCAGGGTCTCAAATCCACCACCCTATCCCCTCATCCTAACTCCTCCTAGGGCTGGCAGCAAATCTCTTGGTTTTCAGAGCCTTCCCCAGGCTAACTGTCTCTCATCAATTCCCAGCAACTTTATGAACTCTTTGTCCCTCAGGCAATATTTCAAACAGAGGCATTATTTTAATTGTCACTTTCTTTTCACATAGCAATGTATGGCTCTTTTTAAAAGATGTGTTTTTGTGTTTGTGAACATTTCACATGTGAGGAAGCAAAGAATAACCACTTGACTCCAGTGTGAAAAAAAAAAAAAAAAAAAAAAAGCCGGGCGCGGTGGCTCACGCCTGTAATCCCAGCACTTTGGGAGGCTAAGGCTGGCGGATCACCTGAGGTCGGGAGTTCGAGACCAGCCTGACCAACATGGAGGAACTCCGTCTCTACTAAAAATACAAAATTAGCCGGGGTGGTGGCTCATGCCTGTAATCCCAGCTACTTGGGAGGCTGAGGGAGGAGAATTGCTTGAACCCGGTAGGCGGAGGTTGCGGTGAGCCAAGATCACGCCATTGCACTCCAGCCTGGGCAACAAGAGTGAAACTCCGTCTCAGAAAAAAGAAAAAGAAAAAAAAAATAGTGCATGTGTGGCTGTCCTTTATCTTGTCTACACAGAGATACCCGAATATTTTCAGTCGAGGTTCCTCTTTGCAAATGGCACAGGGTGATCTGTCAGCCCACCCTCTATGGTGTCCTGGTCCTGGGTTACAGAACTGTTTGGGGCTGCTCCAAGATGCTCATAGCTGCTAAGTCTTTTGTAGTGTCTAGTGAATATCAGCTTTGAGTCACTCCTCCCAGAGGACAGCCAGAGGTGGGGGGTGGGACCTTATAGGGGAGCAGCTGGATGTCGTGGGGTGGGAGGAGTTTCCTGGTATACTGTTCCTCAAAAAGCAAAGCCCTTAAGACATTCAGCTTTTCTTCCCCACCCCAGTTTCCATTCCCTGGGGACACATGGCTGATGAGCCAGCTGGTTGGCGGTATTGAGGGAGCTTCTCCTTGGAGGGTAATTACTCAGCAGTTCAGTGAGCAGCACTGGGGTGGGAGATGTCCCAAGTGATAAGAGGACCTGAACTGACACTAAAGTAGTCAGATTTGTCTGTGTTCCAGTCAGCCCCTCCCTGCATTTGTCATCTTGAAAAGATTTGTTCACTCATTTCAGCTTTTTATTAACTGCAAAATGCATTTTATCATTAGAGCTTAATAAAGAAGATAAAGTATGTTCAAAGAGACAAGAACAAGTTGGGTTTCAGCAAACTCATTACATATTTAGTCCTATATTTTATTTCTTTTTAAAACTTTTATTTACTTTTTTTTGAGACGGAGTCTCGCTCTGTCACCCAGGCTGGAGTGCAGTGGTGGGATCTTGGCTCACTGCAGCCTCAACCTCCTGGGTTCAAGCAATCATCCCACCTCAGCCTCCTGAGTAGCTAGGATTACAGACGTATGCTACCATGCCCAGCTAAAACTTTTGTATTTTTAGTAGAGACGAGGTTTCACCATATTGGCCAGGCTGGTCTCGAACTCCTGACCTCAAGTGATCCACCTGCCTTGGCCTCCCAAACTGCTGGGATTATAGGAGAGAGCCACCGTGCCCAGCCTCAGGTCTGTTTTTTTATTGGATGATTTCAAACGGAATTTCAGGGCCTAGCAGTGAACAGAAATTGGGAAAAACTTTTCCTTTATGACTGCAGAAAAATGAATACATTTTTGCAAGAAAGTGTGGTGGATATATTGATGAATTATAAAGATTTACCAAAATGTTAGTTCGTCTCCTTTGTAGAGTGGAGAATTTGAGACAGTGGATAACTATTCTGTTCCTGTTATGTGGACTTGACAGACTAATGCTAAATTCTGTGGGACAGGACTTTCCAACAGCTAAAGAACTCAAATATCATTATTCATTTACTAAATGATTTATTATTATGGAAAATGATAAATTAATGACATTTGTTTTCTGAAACGGATAGATACTTGTGCTTTTTCTATTAAGCTATAAAATATAGATGCGTTGTGGTTTTCTTCCCTCCTATAAACATAAATGCTGGATTGGAGTGATTTTACTGGATTCATCACACATGGGTATTTTTTTTTTTAAATACCCATGTAAGGCATGTAAGGGTAAGTGAGTAGCCTTGACTGGGGTGGAGAAGCCTGAGGCGACTGACTCTGAGCTAAGGTCAATCTGGAGCCTGCAAAGGGAGGTCATTGAAGACCCAGTTGAGTTGGTTCTTCCTGGGGAACCTCCCTGGCAGGTGTCCCAACCTGTTCATTCCAAACATGGGAGGAGCCTTTTATACTGAGAGAAGCTGCAGAGCACTGGAAAGTTGGAGATCCACAGGCAGAGACATGTGGTGTGATGCCCTGTCTGAGGTCTTTGTTACTGTTGTGGCACTGTTGCTAGACATTCTCAAGTAAAATAAATCTGGATTTGGGCAAGAAGTGACTTCACTCTAAAAGCATATTGCAAAAGGAGAAAACTACCAACTATAAGATCTACAAGAATCTCAAAGTTTAGGCAGAAAATTGCTTTTCTTTTTTTTTTTTTTTTTTTGTTTTTTGAAATGGAGTCTCGCTCTGTTGCCCAGGCTGGAGTGCAGTGGCGTGATCTCAGCTCACTGCAATTTCTGCCTCCCAGGTTCAAGTGATTCTCCTGCCTCAGCCTCCTGAGTAGCTGGGATTACAGGTGACCACCACCACGCCCAGCTAATTTTTATATTTTTAGTAGAGACGGGGTTTCACCATGTTGGCCAGGCTGGTCTCGAACTCCTGACCTCAAGTGATCAGCCCACCTCGGCCTCCCAAAGTGGTGGGATTACAGGAATAAGCCACCATGCCCAGCCAGAAAATTGCTTTTCAAAGTGAAGAGCAAACAATATTAGAAATCTAGAAGGTAGGAGAGAGAGTAAGATGGAAGGTGAAAATCAGATCCTACATCACAGAATGTTTCACCTTGACTTCAGTCAGTTCTTAGGAGAGGTTAAAAAGGAGGGATTGTGGATGGGCGCATGGCTCACGCCTGTAATCCCAGCACTTTGGGAGGCTGAGGCAGGTGGATCACCTGAGGTCAAGAGTTCAAGACCAGCCTGACCAATATGGCAAAACCCCATCTCTACTAAAAAATACAAAAATTACCCAGGTGTGGTGGCACACGCCTATAGTCCCAGCTACTCAGGAGGCTGAGGCAGGAGAATCGCTTGAACCCGGGAGGTGGAGGTTGCAGTGAGCTGAGATCGTGCCACTGCACTCCAGCCTGGGTGACAGAGCAAGACTCCATCTCAAAATAAATAAATGAGAGGAATTGTGTGCTGGCTCAGACTGAGTCCAGCAGGAGGAAGAGAAACTTAAGGAAAGTTTGCTCTACATTAATTTTGTGCAGCCTGGTTGGTGAAGACAGAATTGTTCAGCTAATCATTTCTGAGGCAAAGTGGGAATTTGGTGGGGTTTTTGGTCTTGTTACAGGTTTAAAAAGGGGGCATAGTCGAAGCAATGCGGAGAGTGTTACACTGCATTCAGCTGTTTGTTCAGAACACACAGGACTTAGGTGGTAGAAGACTGAGGTGATTTCTTTTCTTTCTTTCTTTTTTTTTTTTTTGAGACAGAGTCTCACTCTGTTTCCCAGGCTGGAGTACAGTGGCATGATCTCAGCTCACTACAAAACTCCACCTCGCCTCCCAGCCTCAAGCGATCCTCCCACCTCAGCCTCCCCAGTAGCTGGGACTACAGGCATGCACCACTAGGCCCGGCTAATTTTTGTATTTTTCATAGAGATGAGGTTTCACCATGTTGCCCAGGCTGGTCTTGAACTCGTGGGCTCAAGTGATCCGGCTGCCTCGGCCTCCCTAAGTACTGAGATTACAGATGTGAGCCGCCTCACCTGGCCTAAGGTGATTTATTTAATTCTAGCTATTAACCAGGATTACAGAGCTGGGGTTAAATTCAACATTATTAGAAGTCTGGTTTTACATTCACTGTGTTTGTTTAATCAGAATATTGTACAAATTTGAAAGTCTGTTGGGGCTGACTTAGAGAAAGACACCTTTTGGTTCTGCCTGCTGGACAAAGGGTTTATGAATCTGAGAGTTTATTTGGGTCTGTGATATAATTTTTAAAAATATTTGGTCCTTTTTAATTTTTGAAACAGAGTCTTGTTCTGCCATCTAGGCTGAAGTGCAGTGGCATGATCTCGGCTCACTGCAACCTCCATCTCCTGGGCTCAAACAATCTTTTTGCCTCAGCCCCCCAAGTAGCTGGAACTTCAAGCGTGCACCACCACGCCCAGCCAATTTTTGTATTTTTTGTAAAGACAGTTTCGCCATGTTGCCCAGGCTGATCTTGAACTCCTGACCTCAGATGATTCTCCTACCTCGGCCTCCCAAAGTGCTGAGAATACAAGCGTGAGTCACCATGCCCAGCCTAAAACATATTTGGTCATTGTTTCTTTTTCTTTTTCTTTTTTTTTTTTTTTTTGAGATGGAGTCTCACTCTGTCGCTAGGCTGGAGTGCAGTGGCGAAATCTCAGCTCGCTGCAACCTCCGACTCCTGAGTTCTAGCTATTCTCCTGCCTCAGTCTCCTGAGTAGCTGGGACTACAGGCGCGTGCCACCACGCCCAACTAATTTTTGTATTTTTATTAGAGACGGGGTTTCACCATGTTGGCCAGCATGGTCTTGATCTCTTGACCTCATGATCTGCCCACCTCAGCCTCCCAAAGTGCTGGGATTACAGGCGTGAGCGGCTGCACCCGCCTTGGTCATTATTTCTAGGTCCTGGCAAAGTAGTCCTAAACTCCTTGGATTTTTCCGAGTGATGGGAATGTGTTTTGTTATTCCCAGCTCTTGTCAGACCTTAGGTGAAGTTATGCTAATGAGGTGACTCAGCATGAGGTCACTAGGTAACTAACTTGAGGATGGGGACTGGTGACCTGAAAGAGCAAACACATGATGACAGGACTGGAACTTTAAGCCCCATCTTCTGACCCCAGGAAAGGGAGGGAGGCTAGAAATTAAGTTGAATAAAATTTATTGAACAAAGACATCGGGACAGCTTCCAGGTTGGTGAACACGTGGATGCGCTAGGAAGGTGGTGTCAAGAGGGAAAGCTTTGCCGGGCGCGGTGGCTCCCGCCTGTAATCCCAGCACATTGGGAGGCCGAGGTGGGCAGATCACGAAGTCAGGAGATCGAGACCATCCTGGCTAACACCGTGAAACCCCGTCTCTACTAAAAATACAAAAAAATGGCCGGGCGCGGTGGCTCACGCCTGTAATCCCGGCACTTTGGGAGGCTGAGGCGGGCCGATCACGAGGTCTGGAGATCGAGACCATCCTGGCTAACACGGTGAAACCCCGTTTCTACTAAAAATACAAAAAAATGGCCGGGCGCGGTGGCTCATGCCTGTAATCCCGGCACTTTGGGAGGCTGAGGCGGGCGGATCATGAGGTCTGGAGATCGAGACCATCCTGGCTAACACGGTGAAACCCCGTTTCTACTAAAAATACAAAAAAATTAGCTGGGCGTGGTGGCAGTTGCCTGTAGTCCCGGCTGCTCGGGAGGCTGAGGCAGGAGAATGGCGTGAGCCCGGGAGGCGGAGCTTGCAGTGAGCCGAGATCATACCACTGCACTCCAGCCTGGGCGACAGAGCGAGACTCCATCTCAAAAAAAAAAAAAGGGAAACCTTTAACCATCCCTGCCCTTTCCCTTGCTGAATACCTCTTTTCCATTTGGCTGTTGTTGAGAAATCCTTTATAACAAACTAGTAACCTTAAGTTACTAGTGTTTTGCTGAGTTTCATGAGTTATTTTAGCCAATTTTTTTTTTTTTTTTTTTTGAGACGGAGTTTCACTCTTGTTACCCAAGCTGGAGTGCAATGGCACGATCTCGGCTCATCGCAACCTCTGCCTCACGGGTTCAAACGATTCTCCTGTCTCAGCCTCCCGAGTAGCTGGGACTACAGGCATGCGCCACCATGCATGGCTAATTTTGCATTTTTAGTAGAGGTGGGGTTTCTCCATGTTGGCCAGGCAGGTCTCGAACTCCTGACCTCAGGTGATCCACCTGCCTCAGCCTCTCAAAATGCTGGGATTACAGGCGTGAGCCACTGCGCCTGGCCTTTAGCCAGTTATTGAACCAGAGGATGGTGCTGTTGTATTTATACACAGTTGGTTAAAAGGTTAGTTCCTGGGGCTTACAAATGACATCTGCAGTGGGGGCCTGTTGTGGGACTGAGCCCTCTAGCAAGAAACTTATGGGATCTGTGTTAATTCTGGGTGGTATAAGAATTGAACTACTGGACACCCAGTTATTGCTGGAGAATTGGTTGGTGTTCAGCGAACGGCACACCTTTGTTATCAGAAGTCAGAGGCACCACAGGTCAGAGCCTTAAACCGACTGACTGTTATTCAGTATATGTTTATCATGTATGAATCCAGATGCATAGTTTTCTCTCTTCTGAGTTTTCAGTTAATTAATATTACACTTAATATTCCATTAATATGATGCTGAAAAGGTTTTTTTGTTTTTTTGAGATGGAGTTTTGCTCTTGTTATTGCCCAGGCTGGAGTGCAATGGCGTGATCTCGGCTCACCGCAACCTCTGCCTCCCGGGTTCAAGCGATTCTCCTGCCTCAGCCTCCCGAGAAGCTGCGATTACAGGCATGCACCACCACGCCTGGCTAATTTTGTATTTTTAGTAGAGACAGGGTTTCTCCATATTTATCAGGCTGGTCTCGAACTCCCGACCTCAGGTGATCCACCCGCCTCAGCCTCCCAAAGTGCTGGGATTACAGGCGTGAGCCACCTCACCCGGCTGCGGGCGGTTTTTTTTTTTTTTTTTTTTTAGTTTCTTTGCCTCAGTCTGTTTGATTCATGCTGCTGTCTGAGGTGTGGGTCACCCACTTCACTCTCATATTCCACGGCTCATAGGACTTGAATTGTTTCATTTTTGCTGGACTTTGTTGACAATGTCATCTTTGTTTTTGTCCCCAAATGCTAACACTTTATACATTTTGTACATATAGGGGGAAATGTGCTGGGTTGTGGATTATGGATAAATTTAAATGTGCTAGGAAAACCCGTTGGCATGTATGGATTAACTGGCAGACCATGTGTGCATGTGTGTTTATTCCTTATAAATATTTATCTCCATGTGATTAGATGTTGCTTTTTACTGATTAACATCGGTGTTGAGCATTTTTTCTGTATGGCCTTTCATCTACTGTGAAATAATTTTCAGCCATTTTCTCATTAATTAATTAATTAATTTTTAAGTCAGGGTCTTGCACTATCACCCAGGTTGGAGTGCAGTTCTGGGATCATGGCTCACCACAGCCTCAGATTCCTGGGCTCAAACAATCCTCCTGCCTTCGTCTCCTATGTAGCTGGAACTACAGGCACATGCTACCATCCCTGGCTAATTTTTAAATTTTTTGTAGAGATGAGGTTTTGCCATGTTGCTTAGGCTGTTCTCAAACTCAAGCAGTCCTCCCACTCCAACCTCCCAGAGTATTGGGATGACAGGCATAAGTCACGCACAACTCTTCTTCTTAATTTTCAGAGTTGAATTTCTGAGTCCCTTCCTTTGGGATCTACTTTATTTTCTTACATAAGAAAACGGCCAGGCACGGTGGCTCACACTTGTAATCCCAGCACGTTGGGAGGCCGAGGCAGGCGGATCATCTGAGGTCGGGAGTTTGAGACCACCCTGACCAACATGGTGAAACCCTGTCTCTACTAAAAATACAAAATTAGCTGGGCATGATGGCACAGGCCTGTAATCCCAGCTACTTGGGAGGCCAAGGCAGAAGAATCACTTGAACCCAGGCGACAGAGGTTGCAGTGAGCCAAGATCATGCCATTGCACTCCAGCCTGGGCAACAAGTGCGAAACTCCGTCTCAAAGGAAAAAAAAAAAAAAAGATTCTTTACTCAGGGACAAGATATAAGCCCTGGATCATAAGACCTCCCCAAACAGGTTAATTTGAAAGCCTTCCAAACGTAACTTGTAGGATAGTACAAGGTGACCTAATGCCTAAATATCAGACCAGTGACCAAGTTTCCGTCTTAGAGGAAACTTGTTTTTCCTGGTAGACACCTTATGGCCCATTGTCTGACCAGTTTTTCTTTTATTACTACCAAGATAGCCACTGCCAAAATAATCTTACAAAGAAAGCCCTGACTGGGTAGAAATTAGATTCAGGTATATTGGTCAGGTAAGACACAGAGGAAGCAACTCAACAAAATGCAAGAAATAACAGAAACTATGTATTATTTAGAGATCCCAGAAAGAAGAGGTTAGCACACATTGAAAGCCAGTAGGTACTGGGAAGCCATCTAGTACATGTGTATTTTGCTATGTGGTTTTATAAGTTTTGCCTTATGTATTTTGATGATTTGTTTTATGAGCATAGATATTAATGATTATTATGTCTTCTTGTATAACTGACTTCTTTATCTTTATGAAATCTCTTCATCCCCTGTATCTTTCCTTGACCTAAAACCTGATTTATCTAAATTTAAAATAGCTAGTCCATATTTCTTTTGATTAGGGCTAGAATGGCATATATTCCTCCATACCTTTATATTTAATGTATTTGCATCTTTCAGTTTAAAATGGTTTTCATGTACACATTGCTGGGCCTTGTTTTATTTGTTGTTTTTTTTTTTTTTGAGACAGAGTCTTGCTCTGTTGCCCAGGCTGAAATGAGGTGGCACAATCTCGGCTCACTGCAGCCTCCGCCTCCCGGGTTCAAGTGATTCTCATGCCTCAGCCTCCCAAGTAGCTGAGATTACAGGCATGCACTGCCACGCCTGGCTAATTTTTTTGTATTTTTAGTAGAGACGGGGTTTCATCATGTTGGACAGGCTGGTCTCAAACTCCTGGCCTCAAGCAATGTGCCCGCCTCAGCATTCCAAAATGCTGGGATTACAGGCGTGAGCCACTGTGCCCTTCCAGCCTTGTTTTTTTAATTCTATTCAGCCAGTCCATGTCTTTTTAACTGGTATATGTAGATATACACATTCAAAGTGGTATTGACATAATTGGATTAATATGTACATATGTCAATTGTTTTCTATTCTTATACTTGACTGTTTTTTCAACTTCTCCACTTTTTCTGCTTTCATTTTAACTGAGCATTCTATATGATTCTATTTGCTTGCTTCTATTAGTATAGTAAGTCTACTTGTTTCTTAAATTTTATTAGTGAATTCCCTATAGTTTGTAGTATACCATTTATAACTAATGGACCTTCAGTTTCAAATAATGCTATACTGGCTTTGGGAGTAGTGCTGGTATTACTTACTGTTCCAAATTCCATCCTCCCATCCCATATAACACACTGTTATTCATTTGCCCTATCGGAAGCTGTTACTACCCAATACATTGCTAGTATTATTTCAAACAAATTTGTATCTGTTAGATCAGGTAGTATAAGAAAAGTATGCCATAATATACCTGTGTGCTTTTCAGTACCCTAATTTCTGAAGGAAATTTTATCTCCAGCTTTTCTTCCCAAGACTTAGTAGGTCTGCTGTTCGTCTTAACCGTAATCTGTTGTTCCAGGTGGTTGAAGGCTTTCTGTGTATTTTGCAACATTTTGAAGCAGTTCTTGCCATGTTTGACCCTGATTGGGTTCCATCACTGATTAAATGGAAAAGAGAGTCTTGGCCGGGCGCTGTGGCTCACGCCTGTAACCCCAGCACTTTGGGAGGCCGAGGCGGGCGGATTACGAGGTCAGGAGATCGAGACCATCCTGGCTAACACGGTGAAACCCCGTCTCTACTAAAAATACAAAAAAATTAGCTAATCGTGGTGGCATGTGCCTGTAGTCCCAACTACTTGGGAGGCTGAGGCAGGAGAATGGCGTGAACCCAGGAGGCGGAGCTTGCAGCGAGACACTGAACTCCAGCCTGGGCTACAGAGCGAGACTCCCGTCTCAAAAAAAAAAAAGAAAGAAAGAAAAGAGAGCCTGTTTCAGACCTTTGGATAGTCCTTGTACCAACTGGAAAATACAAAGGCAATAATTTGCAAGTAAGACCTGATCTGCTGTCTCTAGGGATCCACATTGAAAACTTGGTCTGCTGTCTTCAAGACGGGCTCTGATGTGAGGAGGGATTGGGACAAGGGCAAATAAAAACTCCACAAAGCTTTTCAACCATTTTTTGCTTTCCTTTTTCTGTTTGTTTATCTCCCTGTTAATAGTATAGGATGCCGAATATTATAGTTTAAAAATCCTTTATCTGTTTTTGGAAAGCTGTAACTTTCTTGGTTAGAAGGTTTTTTTGGGCGGTTTCTTTTTTTGTTGTTATTGTTTTTTGTTTGTTTGTTTGTTTTGAGATGGAGTCTCACTCTGTCTCCAGGCTGGAGTGCAGTGGCATGATCTTGGCTCATTGCAGTATCCGCCTCCCAGGTTCAAGCGATTCTCCTGCCTCAGCCTCCTGAGTAGCTGGGATGACAGGTGCGCCACCACACCCAGCTAATTTTTTTTGTATTTTTAGTAGAGACGGGGTTTCACCATGTTGGCCAGGATGGTCTCGATCTCCTGACCTTTTGATCCGCCCCCCTAGGCCTCCCGAAGTGCTGGGATTACAGTCGTGAGCCACCACACCCTGCCGGTTAGGTTTTTAACCTTTTCAGATATTTGTGACTTTTATTAGATTTGGTAATATAATCTTTGTTGACTGCTAAAAGTCTCTTTAGGAATTTAGGAAATATTATAGATAATCATGAGAGGTGACACTGAGTTTTTTGTTAGAACATGTGCAATCTTTCCCTGTCTTTCCTCCTCCTTTGTCATTATCCAATGAAAAATGTGTAATTTTTCCATTGAGATAGTGAGATATTTTTTATTAGTCTTTTGTCACGCTTAACTACATTTGGTCTAATGGAAACCAGTTGCCAGTTTCCAAATGTTCTCTCTTAGTGTAATTGCATAGGATGGGCTAAATATCCCATGTAACAAGTTGCAACCAAACACGTGAAACGTTAGCTACTAGGGTCCGTCAGTAGTGATCCAGTGTCCAGAGTGTTTCTTCATAACTGTCTTAGTCTGGTTTTTGTTACTTATAACAGGATTACCTGAGCCTGGGTAATTTATAAAAACAAACAAACATTATTTTTTTATACTTCTGGAGACTGAGAAGCCCAAGGTCAAGGCTTAGCATCTGGTAAGAGCCTCCTTGCTGGTGGGGACTCTGCAGAGTCCCTAGGTGGCACAGGGTATCGCATGGCCAGGGGCCCAGTGTTAATTCAGGTCTCTTCCTCGTCTCTTAAGGACACTAGGCCTACTCCTGAGATACCCCATTTATTCATTAAGCCATTAATCTATGAATGGATTAGTACCTCAAGATCCAATCAAGTCTTAAAGCCCCACATTTCATTATTGTCATATTGAGGATGAAGTTTCAGCATGAGTTTTGGAGAGCACAAGCATTCTAACTTGTGCTGTGGCTAACAGGTATTCTCTCTCTGCTGATCATGTAACAAACTTCCAAACTCTCAGAGGGGGAATAGGAGTTAAGTTAAAAAAAAATTTATATATATATATATATATATGTATTTTTTATTTTTTGTTTTTTACTTTTATTATATTTTTTGAGACAGGATCTCATTCTGTTGCTTAGGCTGGAGGGAGTACAGCGGCATGATCACGGCTCACTGCAGCCCCAACCTCCTGCGCTTGGGTGATCCTCTCACCTCAGCATCCTGGGTAGCTGGGACTACAGGCATGCGCCACCACATCTTGCTATTTTTTTTTTTTTTTTTTTTTGTATTTTTTATAGAGACAAGGTCTCACCATGTTTCCCAGGCTGGTCTCAAACTCCTGGGCTTAAGTGATCCACCTGTCTTGGCCTTCCAAAGTGCTGGGATTATAGGCATGAGCCACTGAGTCAGACCTAGTTTTATTTTTTGTTGAGAAAAGGGCTCACTATGTTGCCCATGCTGGTCCTAAACTCCTGTTCTTAAGTGATCCTTCCACTTTGGCCCTGCAAAGTGATGGGATTGCAGGCCTAAGTCACCATGCCTGGCCCCTATATTTTGCATAAACAGTTTAGGCACACTCAGCCTCTGTTATTAGTTACATTAGTGGGATCCGGTGCCTAGACACCATGAAAGATCCAAGTTTGCAAATGAGCATTTGTCAGGATATGCAGTTTCAGGACTGGGAGTGGTAACTCTTCTACACAATAGGTAGTTGTACTTTGTCATGATAAGAACTACACAGACCGCTGTAGAAATAGACATCAGGGGTGACGCAGGCAATAAGACTCACTCACTTAACTCACCAACAAGAGGCAGGTTCCTATTCGACTGTTACTTTACCAAACACATTCAACTAAAGCATCACAATGGCTTTGTGGGAAAAAGTGAGTGTAGACAAAATAAGAGTGGGTTTACTATGTCATCGAATAAATGCTTGGAAACCACAGCATCATGCAAAGTTTATGCAGTGAGTATGGATTCTCAGTGCTGTCCATCTCAACCTTCCTCCTCTGCACATGTGGGATGTTTCAGGACTCAGTGGCCTTTGAAGATGTGGCTGTGAACTTCACACAAGAGGAGTGGGCTTTGCTGGGTCCATCACAGAAGAGTCTCTACAGAAATGTCATGCAGGAAACCATTAGGAACCTGGACTGTATAGGTAAGGATGACATCATCTCTTCACTTAGTCAATTAGAGACATTTGTTTCCTGGCCATCAACGCTGTTCATGATTTGAAATATGGAAAGAGGATATGGTTGACCCTTGAACAACACAGGGTTTAGAGGTGTCAGCCCCTCAAACAGTCTTACATCCTCTAATAACTTTTTTTGTCCCCCGCAACTTAACCACTAATAACCTATTGTTGACTGGCCCACTTATGGATAACATAAACATTAGATTAATCCATATATTGTATGTCATATGTATTACATACTGTACTGTCACAGTAAAGTGGGCTTGGGAAGGAAAATGTTGATGAGAATCATAAGAAGAGAAACTGGCCGGGTGCGGTGACTCACACCTGTAATCCCAGCACTTTGGGAGGCCGAGGCGGGAAGATCATGAGGTCAGGAGATCGAGACCATCCTGGCTAACATGGTGAAACCCCGTCTCTACTAAAAACACAAAAAAAATTAGCCGGGCGTGATGGCGGACACCTGTAGCCCCAGCTACTCGGGAGGCTGAGGCAGGAGAATGACGTGAACCTGGGAGGCAGAGTTTGCAGTGAGCTGAGATCGCGCCACTGCACTCCAGCCTGGGCGACAGAGCGGGACTCTGTCTCAAAAAAAAAAAAAAAAAAAAAGATGAGAAACTATATTTACTATTCATTAAGTGGAAGTAGATCTTCATAAAGGTTTTCACCCTTGTTGTCTTCACACTGAGTGGGCTGAGGAAGGGGAGGGGTTGGTCTTGCTGTCCCAGGGGTAGCAGAGACTGAAGAACATTCATGTATGAGTGGAGCTGTGCAGTTCAAACCTGTGTTGTTGAAGAGTCACATGTACTTTGGTGAATGAATCATGCATGATTGCAGTACGCGTAAAATCTTAGAGTTTTTCTATAATTTTGTAAACATTTTTAGTGATTTTCCTGGGTCTACCTTTTAGAAATGAAATGGGAGGACCAGAACATTGGAGATCAGTGCCAAAATGCCAAGAGAAATCTAAGGTAATTTGCACCCACAAAAGAAAGCTATGTCCCTGCAGTGGTTCATAGAATGATAAGAAAATTTTAAAAACGAGCAGAGAAAATGAACAAGCCCAGCTTAAATTTATTCATTCCAATAATTCTTTTTCTGACCAAGCACAGTGACTCGCACATGTAATCCCAGCACTTTGGGAGGCCAAGGTGGGAGGATTACTTGAGCCTAGGAGTTTGAGATCAGCCTGGGCAACATAGTGAGATCCCCATCTCTATAAAAAAAAATTTTCCCGAGGAACATATAGTTAAATGTGACATAGCTATTCAGTCTTTGCAAAATAGTTCCCTTGGAAATGGTATTAAGAATCTCCATGTGGGCCAGGAGCGGTGGCTCACGCCTGTAATCCCAGCACTTTAGGAGGCCAAGGCGGGTGGATCACCTGAGGTCGGGAGTTCAAGACCAGCCTGGCCAACATGGAGAAACCCTGTCTCTACTAAAAATACAAAATTAGCAGGGCGTGGTGGCGCATGCCTGTAATCCCAGCTACTTGGGAGGCTGAGGCAGAAGAATTGCTTGAATCCGAGAGGCAGAGGTTGCAGTGAGCCGAGACTGTGCCATTGCACTCCAACCTGGGCAACAAGAGTGAAGCTCCGTCTCAAAAAAAAGAAAGAAAGAAAGAAAGAATCTCCATGTGAATATCACTGTTTTGCTAATAGCTGTGATGGGACCATCTTACACAGCACTGTCACTTCACATTCAAACAGGGGATGAAGCCTGTACTTTGCATGATAATGTTACAAATATAAATCTAGTACTTCAATATATAGAAAATCACTTATAAACAAACCTTTAGTAATATATTTCTTATTTGTTACAGAAGTCATACATGTGAAATTAAAGATGACAGTCAATGTGGAGAAACTTTTGGCCAGATTCCAGATAGTATTGTGAACAAGAACACTCCTCGAGTAAATCCATGTGACAGTGGTGAGTGTGGAGAAGTCGTCTTGGGTCATTCGTCTCTTAATTGCAACATCAGAGTTGACACTGGACACAAATCATGTGAGCATCAGGAATATGGAGAGAAGCCATATACACATAAACAACGTGGGAAAGCCATCAGTCATCAGCACTCCTTCCAGACACATGAAAGGCCCCCCACCGGAAAGAAACCCTTCGATTGTAAAGAATGTGCAAAAACCTTTAGTTCTCTTGGAAACCTCCGAAGACACATGGCGGCACACCATGGAGATGGACCTTATAAATGTAAGTTGTGTGGGAAAGCCTTTGTTTGGCCCAGTTTATTTCATTTGCACGAAAGAACACACACTGGAGAGAAACCGTATGAATGTAAGCAGTGTTCTAAAGCCTTTCCTTTTTACAGTTCCTATCTAAGACATGAAAGAATCCACACGGGAGAGAAAGCGTATGAATGTAAGCAGTGTTCCAAAGCCTTTCCTGATTACAGTACCTATCTAAGACATGAGAGAACTCACACCGGAGAGAAACCCTATAAATGTACACAATGTGGGAAAGCCTTCAGCTGTTACTATTACACTCGACTACATGAAAGGACTCACACGGGAGAACAACCCTATGCATGTAAGCAATGTGGGAAAACGTTTTATCATCACACAAGCTTTCGAAGACACATGATAAGGCACACTGGAGACGGACCACATAAATGTAAGATATGTGGGAAAGGCTTTGATTGTCCTAGTTCAGTTCGAAATCATGAAACTACTCACACTGGAGAGAAACCCTATGAATGTAAGCAGTGTGGGAAAGTGTTATCTCATAGCTCGAGCTTTCGAAGTCACATGATAACACACACAGGAGATGGACCCCAGAAATGCAAGATATGTGGGAAAGCCTTTGGTTGTCCCAGTTTATTTCAAAGACATGAAAGGACTCACACTGGAGAGAAACCCTATCAATGTAAACAATGTGGTAAAGCCTTCAGTCTTGCCGGTTCCCTTCGAAGACATGAAGCAACTCACACTGGAGTGAAACCCTATAAATGTCAGTGTGGGAAAGCCTTTAGTGATCTCTCTTCCTTTCAAAATCATGAGACAACTCACACTGGAGAGAAGCCATATGAGTGTAAGGAATGTGGGAAAGCATTCAGTTGTTTCAAATACCTTTCTCAACATAAAAGGACCCACACAGTAGAAAAACCTTATGAGTGTAAAACATGTAGAAAAGCCTTCAGTCATTTCAGTAACTTAAAAGTCCATGAAAGGATTCACTCTGGAGAGAAGCCATATGAATGTAAGGAATGTGGAAAAGCATTCTCTTGGCTCACTTGCCTTCTACGACATGAAAGAATTCACACTGGAGAGAAACCCTATGAATGTCTACAATGTGGTAAAGCCTTCACTCGTTCCCGTTTCCTTCGAGGACATGAAAAAACTCACACTGGAGAGAAGCTGTATGAATGTAAGGAATGTGGGAAAGCATTGAGTTCTCTCCGTTCCTTGCATAGACATAAAAGGACTCACTGGAAAGATACTCTCTAAATGTATGGAATGTGGGAAAACATTCAGTACTTTAATTTCAGAAACTTGAAAGAACTCACTTTGGAGATAGACCCTATGAATGTAAACATGGGATAAAGCCTTAAGTAGTTTCAATTTTTTTAAATACAGTTATCCCCCAATATATTGCAGGGGATTGGTTCCAGCACCCTCTAAATCCACAGATGCCAAGTCCTTTGTTATATGGCATATTTGCATGTAACCTATGCATATCTTCCAGTATACTGTGTAAATCATCTCTAGATGACTTTTAATACCTCATGCATTGTAAAAGCTATGTAAATAGTTGTTTGATTGTATTGTTTAGAGAATCATGACAAGAAAAATAGTCTCTACATGTTCGATGCAGACACAACCATTGCAGGCCCACCTACGTGGTATATGTCACCCAGAACATTAAAATTTGTTTTAACATTCACAGATTGCTTTTGTTTTGTGACCTGAATGAGCATGTCAACACTTATCAAAATCCTGCTTCTCTCTTGATAACCCAAGTATAATGATGATGATGATGATTGCTGGATGGTGCCTAACATTGTCATGTGTTGTAGCATTATAGACAAGCAGGAGACATCAGGCTAACTTGAACCTTGACAGAATATCAGGATGATCATCAGTGTTCAAAGAACTAGGTTCTGATGCAGATGTTGACTTGTTGGAGGAGGCCAAATAATACTAATGTCAAGATCTGTTCAGCTTCAGGGCTGCAGATCCTTAACCATGGAAGGCTCTGTGTTTATATTTGCAGGTGCTTAGTGAGAAGTGTAGGAAGCTAGTTTTTCTTTTTTTCTTTTTTTTTGAGTCATCAAAAAAATCTTGCACTGTTTGTTGGCATGTTATTCCATGGGTGACATGGAGGCTTTGTTCCATCGAAGGATCTTACTTGAGGATGATGAACTTTCTTAACAGTTTTGCCTATTGAAAAACTGCTGCAGGTCAGGCGAGGTGGCTCACACCTATATTCCCAGCACTTTGGGAGGCTGAGACAGGTGGATCACGAGGTCAGGAGATTGAGACCATCCTGGCTAACACAGTGAAACCCTGTCTCTACTAAAAATACAAAAAAATAGCTGGGCATGGTGGCAGGCGCCTGTAGTCCCAGCTACTCAGGAGGCTGAGGCAGGAGAATGGTGTGAACCCAGGAGGCGGAGCTTGCAGTGAGCCGAGATGGCGCCACTGCACTCCAACCTGGGAGACAGAGCGAGACTCCGTCTCAAAAAAAATAAAAAAAACTACTGCAAATTTTTCAAGTGTCCAAATCTGTGGCACTACCTTTTTTAAGTCATCATTATCATCATCAATCTATAGAGCATTTGAGCAGATCTTTGAGTTCCTTGTTGTAAGAATTTATGCCCTTCTGTGTGTTACTCAACATCGTCTTCAATCCTGTCAGAGATAGCCTTTCTTACCAACTCCCCTTGCAGTATTTAAGATATTCCTAACTACTGCATCAATAGTGGGGAAGCCCCTAAAATTATTGACTCCCTCACTCCATAATGGCTTCCAGCATGCTTTGAGTTTCTTGAGCTCTGGGACATCTATAGCCTCTGCAATAAGGACAGTTGCATGTGCAATTGTGAAGTGCTTTCATAAATCCACTATGGTACAGTCAGAGTTAGCATCAGGATGGCATGAATCCTCCCGAAGGTCAGGATCTACTTGATTATGCCTTGATTGAGTAGCTTTCACTGTGATGTAGTGTTAGGCAGCAGGGACATCACTTCCACATTCTTTGTGGCAAAGTAGAGAGATTGGAGATGGCCAGGAACATTGTCAATTATGAGAAGGACCTTGAGTGGCAGCCCCTTCTCTTCAAGATATTTCTTCACATCAGGAATGAAGCCTTGGTAGAACCATTCCAAGGACAAGATGATCATCACCCAAGCCTTCTTATATTTTTGCCAGAAAGGAGGCAGGCAAGTTTTGCTTTGGTTCTAAAGGACCTAGGGATTGTTTGCTCAGTAGCCAAGGCCTGGCTTGTTCTTGTGACCTGCCACATTGCCACACTGCACCAGAGTAGGTGATCTTTCCAGGCCCTGAGCCCCAGGGCCTCCTTGGCAGTCATGGATGTAGGTACCACTGGACCGCTTTCTTTTTCTAGGGCTTGCCCAATTCATTGGAATGGAGGACTTGCTCTGGAAGGTAGACTTCCTTTTTATGAGTTTTGTGAGCTCTGCTGGGAATGCTAATATTGCCTTGGCATAAGCCAGTGTCAATTCTCCTGTGGTCTTTAAATTTTTGAGGCTCTGGCGCTTTATGTAGCTAGCCCAGCCAGACAATACTGGCCTGAAACTCCTTTTCCTTGCTCTCCTCAGCCTTCTCACAGTGGTATTTATAGAGGCTGTTTTTTCCCACTTTATTTTATTATCAAAAGAGATGTTGTTCAGCGATGTGTCCTCTAGCCACATACTTAATGCTTTCTCAGTCTTTTTACTCAGTTTATCATGAAGCAGAGGGGTCATTTTTCCCATTGTAGAGGCAGCTCTAAGACTTCCAAGAATTTCAGCTTCTTTCTGCTTTAGTGTGTGAATGCTTAGTTTGTTCTTACCATGTGGCCCACTTTCAAAAGTGACATGGCATTTTTCAAAACATCTCTCTAAGATTTTTATTTTCTCATTGAGAAATAGCACTTTTTGCTCCCTGCTAGCCTTTTAGGGATAGCTTTGACCACTTGATTAGTTTTTAGGACCCATTTTTCCATTGTTTTACATATGGCATCTTAAGGGACTCTGAATATACAAAACAAGAATTGAAAAACGTCGGGTGCAGTGGCTCACGCCTGTAATCCCAGCACTTTGGGAGGCCGAGGCGGGCGGATCACGAGTTCAGGAGATCCAGACCATCCTGGCTAACACGGTGAAACCCCGTCTCTACTAAAAATACAAAAAATTAGCCGGGCACAGTGGCGGGCACCTGTAGTCCCAGCTACTCGGGCGGGAGGCTGAGCCAGGAGAATGGCTTGAACCTGGGAGGTGGAGCTTGCAGTGAGCCAAGATCGCGCCACTGCATTCCAACCTGGGCGACAGAGCGAGACTCCGTCTCAAAAAAATAAATAAATAAAAAATAAAATTGAAAAACAAGAGCAAAGTTGGTAGATTGACACTTCCTGATTTCAAAACTTAGAGCAAATTTATACTAATAAAAAAATTTAATATCAGCATACTGACAAAGAAATAGACCATTGTGACAAAATAGACAGCACAGAAATACACGTTTGCATAGTGAGTCCAACAATTTTTGACAAGCGTACTATGACGATACAATGGAGGATAGGACAGTATTTCCATAGAATGATGCTGGGGAAAAATGCACATCCATATGCAACAGAATGAAAATGTACCCTTCCCTGTCCAGGCACGGTGGCTCACGCCTGTAATCCCAGCACTTTGGGAGGCCAAGGCTGGCAGATCACCTGAGTTCAAGAGTTTGAAACCAGCCTGACCAACATGGAGAAACCCCGTCTCCATTAAAAATACAAAATTAGCCGGGCATGGTAGCTCATGCCTGTAATCCCACTACTCAGGAGGCTGAGGCAGGACAATCACTTGAACCCAGGAGGCAGAGGTTGCAGTGAGCTGAGATCGCGCCACTGCACTCCAGCCTGGTGACAGAGTGAGACTCCGTCTCAAAAAAAAAAAAAAAAAGTATAAGGCAAAAGCTTTATGAACCTGGATTTTCCAATGATTTCCTAGATATGACACCAAAGGCATGACCCATAAGAGAATAAATGGAAATATATGGAATTTTTAAACTTTCGGCATCAAAATAGACAACCCATAGAATGAGAGAAAGTATTTCCAAATCATGTATCTGACAAGAAATTAATATGCAGACTGCTTAGAGAACTCTAAAAAGTCAACAACAAAAAGCATACCACCTGTTAGGGAATAAATGTCTTCATAAAATCCACTCATTCTAATCCATTTCCCTAACGTGACAGATTAGGGAACGTCTTCTTTGGAATATAATACAGATTGGATTAGACCATGAGAGTGGAGCCTCAATAATGAAATTGGTTACCTATTGTGAGTCCGCCCAGCAGCTTGCTTTTTTGCTCTCTGCCTTGGAGGATACATTAAGATAGTTATCTATGAGGCTAGGCCTGGTGGTTCATGCCTGTAATCCCAGCACTCTGGGAGGCTGAGGTGGGCAGATCACTTGAGCCCAGGAGTTCAAGACCAGCCTGGGCAACATGATAAAGCCCCATTTCTACAAAAAATACAAAAATGAGCTGGGCATGGTGGCACACGCCTGTAGTTCCAGCTACTTAAGAGGCTGAGGTGGGAGGATCACCCAAGCCCAGGGAAGCCGAGGCTGCAGTGAGCCGTGATCACACCACTGCACTGCAGCCTGGGTGACAGAGTGAGACTCTGCCTCAAAAAATAAACAAAAAAGACAGCTGTCTGTGAATCAGAAAACAGGCCCTCATCAGACACTAAATCTGCCAGTACCTAAATTTGTTGTAATTTTGTCTTTGGACGCTGGTAAGAGCTCACAAAAGAGGACAGGCAGGCGGGGTATGGTGGTTCATGCCTATAATGCCAGAACTTTGGGAGGGTGAGGCAGGAGGATCGCTTGAGCCTAGCAGTTCAAGACCAGCCTAGGCAGTGTGGCAAGACCCCTTCTCTAAAAAAATAAAATAAAAAGAGGAATAGAGAAAGCTTCCATCTTACTAGGGCACATAAAAAATCATGTACAAAATTTTGGTGGATATATGGACAATAAAGGCAATACTAATGAGGTCTCAGAATTGAGGACAATATTACTGCATAATAGAGAAAAGATGAACCGTTGCAGAAAGTGGCAAAGAACTTGGTGCATTGTACTCCGGTGCTACTGTTTTGGGGAAACTAGAACTAGGAAGTGATGAAACTTGATATTGAGCTGACAATATTTCTTAGAAGTGTTGAAAAAAACAACCTGGGCCGGGCGTGGTGGGTTCACGCCTGTAATCCCAGCACTTTGGGAGGCCGAGGCAGGTGGATCACGAGGTCAGGAGATTGAGACCATCCTGGCTAACACAGTGAAACCCCGTCTCTACTAAAAATACAAAAAAAATAGCCGGGCATGGTGGCGGGCGCCTGTAGTCCCAGCTACTCGGGAGGCTGAGGCAGGAGAATGGTGAGAACCCAGGAGGTGGAGCTTGCAGTGAGCCGAGATTGCGCCACTGCACTCCAGCCTGGGTGACAAAGCCAGACTCTGTCTCAAAAAAAAAAAAAAAGGAAAAAAAAAACAACTTGGATCCTCTTGACTGCATATACTAAATGTGAGGAGAGGCCGGGCGCGGTGGCTCACACCTGTAATCCCAGCACTTTGGGAGGCTGAGGCAGGCAGACCACTTGAGGTTAGGAGTTCGAGTCCAGCCTGACCAACATGGTAAAACCCTGTCTCTGCTAAAAATACAAAAATTAGCCAGATGTGGTGTCACATGCCTGTAATCCCAGCTGCTCGGGAGGCTAAGGCAGGAGAATCGCTTGAACTCAAGTGGCAGAGGTTGCAGTGAGCCGAGATCGCAACAGTGCACTCCAGCCTGGGCGACAGAGTGAGATTCTGTCTCAATAAATAAATAAATAAAATGTGAGTAGAGAAAAATGTTGGAGATGGAATTATTAAGCAAGAAGAAATTGAGAAATTGAAATGAAAATGTTTAGAAAACAATTATCGCAAAGATGAAAAGGCATGCTGGGAAGACAGCACCAAGGGTGTGTCCAAGACCTTTTGATAGGAAGAGTGGTATTCTTGTTAACCATGGACTTAGCCACCTCAGCAGTAAAATAGCCCCTTTGAACTGAAAGTGAAGGTCACAGGAAAAAATGAAAGTTGTTGGACCTGTATGATTTTACAGGAACCATCCATAGAGCTGAATGCATGGTATTCTTAGAGACAAGAGAAGAAGGATCCCAGTAGCTGTTTAGAGGTCATGAAGGCTGCCTCCTGAGCATCAACAGTAGGGGACATTTTGGAGTTTCCACAAACAAGATGAGCTAAACCCAGAAGTGTGGATGCAGTGCCATCAAACGCTATTTGGGTTTGATCCATGTCTAACAGAGATGCTGGGACACAATTGCTGTGTCACAATTCCTTGAGGGCAGAGTATTGAATGAAAAGGGATTATTATTTAGCCTTAAGATCCTGGCCGGGCGCAGTGGCTCACACTTGTAATCCCAGCACTTTGGGAGGCCGAGGCGGGCGGATTACCTGAGGTTGGGAGTTCGAGACCAGCCTGACTAACATGGAGAAACCCCATCTCTACTAAAAATACAAAATTAGCCAGGCGTGGTGGCACATGGCTGTAATCCAAGCTACTCAGGGGTCTGAGGCAGGAGAATCGCTTGAACCCGGCAGGCAGAGGTTGCAGTGAGCTGAGATCGCGCCATTACACTCTAGCCTTGGCAACAAGAGCGAAACTCCATCTCAAAAAAAAAAAAAAAAATCTCATGAAGTTTACCTTTCCAGGTTTTGGACTTGCTTGGGAACTGTCACTCTTCCACCCCTTATATGGCTCCCCTTCGGAATAGCATTGTTTATCTTATAACTGTTCCACCATTATAATTTAAAAGTACACAACTGATTTGATTTTACATCTGGAGAAGAATGTTGGCTCAGCATGAATGTTACATTGACTCTCACCCTTATCTGATTCAGATGCTATTTAAATGAGACTTTGATTTTAGGCTTCAGAGTTAATGATAGAATGAGTCAAGACTTTTGATGGTGTTGGGATGGAATAAATGTATTTTGCATGTGAGGAAATACATTGGGGTGGAGATTACAATATTATTGAGTTTATTTGTCCCCTGAAATTCATACGTTGAAAGACTACTCTCTAATGTATGGAATGAGGAGATGGGATCTCTGGGAGGACATTAGGATGAAATGAGACCATGAGGGTAGGGCCCTCATGAATAGGGTTAAGAGGGTAAATTTTGTCCAGGCACAGTGGCTCATGCCTGTAATCTCAGAACTTTTGGGAGGCCGAGGCAGGGGGATCACAAGGTCAGGAGATCGAGACCATCCTGGCCAACATGGTGAAACCCCATCTATACTAAAAATACAAAAATTAGCTGGGTGTGGTGGCGCACGCCTATAGTCCCAGCTACTGGGGAGGCTGAGGCAGGAGAATTGCTTGAACCCAGGAGGCAGAGATTGCAGTGAACAGAGATCGTGCCACTGCACTCCAACTTGGTGACAGAGTGAGACCCCTTCTCAAAAAAAAAAAAAAAGAGGGTAAATTTTATTTTATGTGTATTTTTGCACCATAAAAAAAGTCAGGGAGGCCGGGCCTGGTGGCTCACGCCTGTAATCCCAGCACTTTGGGAGGCCGAGGGGGGTGGATCACAAGGTCAGGAGATCAAGACCACCCTGGCGAACACGGTGAAACCCCGTCTCTACTAAAAATACAAAAAATTAGCTGGGCGTGGTGGCAGGCGCCTGTAGTCCCAGCTACTCGGGAGGCTGAGGCAGGAGAATGGCGTGATCCCAGAAGGCGGAGCTTGCAGTGAGCCGAGATTGCGCCACTGCACTCCAGCCTGGGTGACAGAGCGAGACTCTGTCTCAAAAAAAAAAAATTTTTTGAGAACATATAATGCAAAATAAGGGATCGTTGAAATGTAATTCTGTACCTGGGCTAGAAGTTCAAGAAATGGATATAGAGAGATCACGACCTGCACAAGAAACAATTTTCTGATTCTAATTGTAGAGTGAATGTTGAAGGGGAAATATGTAATATAACATGGAAACTTCCAAGTTGGATGAATGAGGGAAATCTTGTCCTCATAATGTTATAGAATGTATGTAGTGTCCATTTTTAATTTAGGAAGGACAGTAAATTCTGCTTTCATCCAATACGTCTTTACAATGTAGGATGACTTGAGGTTCTGTAGTGTTTACTCAAGTGTTTATCATGTAAATAACTTATCCCAATCAGGGTCAATTTTCCAGTGATCTATGGATAAATTCCAGTGATATACAAACATATTTATCCTCTAAAGCCCTATTATATTTTTTGCCTTTCTGGGGTATTTTGTTGCATGTGTAACAATCCTTAGGTTTACACATCCAACAATACATTCTTTCTACTTTGCTTTGGTAGTCATTTAGTTAGCTCACTTTTTTATGGTTTCATTTGTAAATATAATGCACATGTTACATTCTTCTATGTTGTAGGCCCAACAATCCATTGACTACTTATTATTTTACACAGTTGCCTTTTAAATCTATAACGAGAAGAAAGATGAAGAAATACACATACCATTTGTCGTTCCCACTTACATAATCTCTAATGGTGCTCTTTGTTTTTCCCTGTGGATTTTGACTTTTTTTAATTTCAAATTGAAGACCCTCCTTTGATCTTTCTTGTAGGTCTGGTGTAGTAGGAACACATTCTCTCAATATATATATTTTAAGCCTGGGATAGTTTTTCTTTTGTCTTCCATTTTGAAGATGAATTTTTTGGATATCAGATTCTTCATTAAGGTATGTTTCAGAGCACAGCACGATGAGGAACCGGTAGGTGAGAGGCTTCCCAGTGAAAGGAGGAACAGAATCTAATGAAAGCAAATATGTCTGTTTAACCCCACTTATTATTACGGTAGTCTATAGTACTTACTGTCAAAAAATGATCATTATGTTGGCAGGCCGGGGCGGGCAGATCACCTGAGGTCAGGAGTTCAAGACCAGCCTGGCCAACATGGTGCAACCCCATATCTCCTAAAAATACAGAAATTAGCCAGGCATGGTGGCGGCCGCTTATAATCCCAGCTACTTGGGAGGCTGAAGTGGGAGAATCGCTTGAACCCGGGAGGCAGAGTTTGCAGTGAGCTGAGATTGCACCACTGCACTCCAGCCTGGGTGACAGTGCGAGACTCAGTCTCCAAACAAAAACAAAAAAAAAAGATCACTATGAAGAACCAGATGGAAGAAGCAAGTATCGTGATTGGAGATGATAGCACTATTTGCCCAGGAAACTAAAAACAAAACACCTGGAAAAGTATTAAACCTGATAATGGAGTCAAGGTCCTGCTTATGGAGTAAACATATGCTGTGTACACAATAACATAAACTATATAGTATTGAATTTAAATCACATTTCTTACAAATATATATAAATTTCTGAGGAATAGAACTAATTCCATGTGCAGCATCTATCTGCTGACAAGTGTGAGAGTTTCCTGATGAAATGACCTGCTCGTCACTTCCATGGATATAGGTCTACAACTTTGTTGGCTTGAAGGCTCCTCATCCTCACACGACTGGAGGTAAATGTACGTAAGTAATTCAGGAAATTCTTAACCAAATTTACTCATGTATAATGTTCCAGAAAATTTGCCACATCAAAGAAATGTTATAAAATACATAAATATTGTCTTTATCAGTGGCTCATTGACAAAATAGATCTTCACTCTGGATTCCTAAGTCTTATATTAAAAAATTAATGTGAGATATCTTTGTAAATTTTCTTTACACAAAGGTTCATCACAACCATAAAAAAAAAAAAAAATCAGCCAGGGGCAATGGCTCACACCTATAATCCCAGCATTTTGGGAGGCGTGGATCACCTGAGGTCAGGAGTTCGAGACTAGCCTGGCCAACATGGTGAAACCCCGTCTCTAGTAAAAATACAAAAATTAGCCGACTGTGGTGGTGCATGCCTGTGGTCCCAGCTACTCGAGAAGCTGAGGCAGGAGAATTGCTTGAACCTGGTGGAAGTTACAGTGAGCCGAGATTGTGCCACTGCCCTCCAGCCTGGGCAACAGAGCAAGACTCTGTCTCAAAAAAAAAAAAAAAAAGAATAAAATCATGTCGTTTGATGCAACATGGATGCAGCTGGAGGCTGTTACCCTAAACAAATTAACACAGGAACAGAAAGCCAAATACCACATATTCTCACTTAGAAATGGGAGTTAAACAGCTGGGTGCAGTGGCTCACGCCTGTAATCCCAGCACTTTGGGAGGCCGAAGCAGGTGGATCACGAGGTCAGGAGTTCAAGACCAACCTGGCCAACATGGTGAAACCCTGTCTCTACTAAAAATACAAAAATTAGCTGGGCGTGGTGGCAGGTGCCTGTAATCCAAGCTACTCGGGAGGCTGAGGCAGGAGAATCATTTGAACCCAGGAAGTGGAGGTTGCAGTGAGCCAAGATCGTGCCATTGCACTCCAGCCTGGGTGACAGGGCGAGACTCCATCTCAAAAAAAAAAAAAGGGGGGAGTTAAACATTGAGTAAACATGGACATAAAGATGGGAACAATACATACTGGGGACTAGTAGACGGGGGAGGGAGGGAGGTGAAAGGTTGAAAAACCACCTGTTGGGAACTATGCTCGCTACCTGGGTGATGGAATCAATCATACTTTAAACCTCAGCATCATGCAAAATACCCAAGTAACAAACCTGCATGTGTACTCCCTGAATCTAAAATAAAAGTTGATTTTAAAAAGAGCTTTCATAAGTTGAATAGGTGGTGGGTTTGTTTTGGTAAAGTCAGTTGATAAAATTTTTCTTTCAATTTTGTATTCTCTTGGATCCTTGAGTTGCTTGAAGTTTATGTGTAATAGACAAGTAGATTTAATTCTTTTTTTTTTAATTTTTAGAGATCGCATCTTATTCTGTTATCCAGGCTGGAATGCAGTGGTGTAATCATAGCTCACAGCAGCTTTGAGCACCTGGGCTCATGACATCCTCCTGCCTCAGTCTCCCAAGTAGTTAAGACTACTGGTGCATGGTACCAAACTCAGCTAATTTTTTTTTTTTTTTTTTTTTTTTTTTGGAGAAATGAGGTCTTGCTATCTTGCTCAGGCTGGTCTTGAACTCCTGGCCTCGAGCCATCTTCCCGCCTCGGTTTCCCAAAGTGTTGTGATTGCAGGCATGAGTCATGCTGCCTGGCAACAAGTTTAATTCTTATATGGTTTTAAAATCGATGCTTATCTAAAGAGCCTTTGAAACATGACATTTTGGTATTTGTTGTGACTTTACTACTGGCCTTTTGTAGCAGGTACTGGGTATCTGCCCCTACCCCAACCCCGAACTCTGTTAGAGTATCTCGTTCACATGTCAGACAGTGACTTTTGGCCCTTGGAGGAAGCAGAAACCTCTCTCCTCCATCACGTTCTGCCCATCCCCTTCCAGGATCCTCGTGTTTTTCCTGCTTGCCTGTGTGCATGCTTCCCCGAATCCCAGGGTGAGCACATGGGTAGCAGGGTGCGAGCACTCCAGCCTCAGTGTGTGAGCAGAAGGGAGGAGACACCCCTTCATATTGTCTTATGCCCGATTTCTGCCTCCAAAGAAAGAAGAAGTAAAAACTAAAAGGCAGAAATGAAATCCGCAGGCAGACAGCCCGGCGCCTCACCCTAGGCCTGGTAGTTAAAGATCTACCCCTGACCTAATCGGTTATGTTATCTGTAGATTACAGACATTGAAGAGAAAAGCACTGTGAAAATCCCTGTCCTGTTCTGTTCTGTTCTAATTGCCAGTGCATGCAGCACCTAGTCACGTACTCCCTGTTTGCTCAATCAATCACGACCCTCTCATGCGGACCCCCTTAGAGTTGTGAGCCCTTAAGAGGGACAGGAATTGCTCACTCGGGGAGTTCGGTTTTTAAGATGTGAGTCTTGCCGATGCTCCTGGCTGAATAAAGCCCTTCCTTCTTTAACGTGATGTCTGAGGGGTTTCGTCTGCGGCTCATCCTGCTACAAGCACTCCAGCCTCAGTGTGTTGCTGACTGCGCACACAGTCACTCCCGGTCAGTTCCCATGAGTGGCCATTCCTGTACTTCAGGAGCAGTGGGACATGCCATGGCAGTGCTGGAAAGGCAGGCTCGGCCGTGGCCGCATGGTCTTCTTGGGACTGTCTCTCTAGTGTCCTCTCCCAGTTCAAGCCCAAGCATTTTGCAGCCCTCCTGGGTCTACGCCACCTAAGACATTTTGTTGATTCAAATACCTCAGTGGTGAGGAATATGCAATACCCTTAGGGCTGAATCAGGTGGAGGGGGAAGCTTATGAGATGTACTTCTCAAACTTTCACAGGAAATATGGATCTTCAAATTCAGCTTCTGACTCAGCAGATTAAGAGTAGGGCATGAAAGTCTGCATTCCTGGCCGGGCGCAGTGGCTCACGCCTGTAATCCCAGCACTTTGGGAGGCCGAGGCAGGTGGATTGCCTGAGGTCAGGAGTTCGAGACCAGCCTGGCCAACATGGTGAAACCCAATCTCTACTAAAAATACAAAAAATTAGCCGGGCATGGTGGTGCACGCCTGTAATCCCAGCTACTCGGGAGGCTGAGACAGGAGAATCACTTGAACCCGGGAAGTGGAGGTTGCAGTGAGCCGAGATCTTGCCATTGCACTCCAGCTTGGGCAACAAGAACGAAACTCTGTCTCAAAAATGAAAGAAAGTCTGCCTTCCTAACTTGCTTCCAGGTGTCATCTGTGTTGTTGATCCTTGGACCACAGCTAGAGTGCCAAGGTAATAATAGATGGGCTTCAATAGGTAGGCAGGGGCCAGATCACATGGGATCTTGTCGCCATGTTATAGACAGTTACTGGATTTTGAGCAAAGCAGCAGTTTTCATTAGTGTTTGAAGAAGTTTACTCCTTCTCTTGGTTGGGAAAAAAAGATGCTAGAGGGGAGCTGGAAGACCAGTTTGAAAACCACAGTAGTAGTTGCAAGATAGGTCGTGCTGGCCTGGACTTGGCTAGTGTTAGTGGATGTTAACAGAAGGTTGTGTATTTCGAAATCTAGATATGAACCTGAGCAGTGTTTTTGGAGCTGGGTGGGATGGTAGAGAAAGGCCCTACCATTCCCACTATTTAGTGGAGTCTGGACATAAACATAAAGGACCGGTGCTGATAGTGTTCAGTGCAGTACAGAAGGGTGTGTGGATCTGAGAGCATATGATGATGGAGGGGGTTCCCAAACGAGTCTGAGAGGTTAGTGGAGGCTTCCCTGGTGTGGGGACTGATGCTCAAATTAAAACCTGAAACCTGAGTGGGAGTGAACCAGGCAGAGGTAGCTCCTGTAGAACTTCTGATGATGTGAAAAGAGAGAAGAGTCAAGGATGTGTCCTACTGTTCAGAGCTCCTGGGTGCTGCCTCTTACTCAGAGGAACAAGGCTCAGGGGAGTTGACAGGAGGGGAAGTCAAGGGTTACGTTTCATGTTCAGCCATGACATATTTGAGCCAAACAAGGGAAGATTTTTCAGCAGGCCACTGGACCTGGGAGTCTGGAGCTTGCAAGGGAGATCTGGATGGAATGTTGAGAATATTATCATGCGGAAGTTATTTGAAGCCCCGGGTCCAGAACAGGCCAACTGGTTTCAGAGTTAGGAGCGAATTATAACAGAAAATGACTGCTCAGCCAGGTGCAGTGGCTCACGCTTGTAATCCCAGCACTTTGGGAGGCCGAGGCAGGCAGATCATGAGGTCAGGAGTTCGAGACCAGCCTGGCCAATATGGTGAAACCCCATCTCTAATAAAAATACAAAAATTAGCCGGCTTTGGTGGCGTTTGCCTGTAGTCCCAGCTACTTGGGAGGGTGAGGCAGGAGAATTGCTTGAACCCAGGAAGTGGAGGTTGCAGTGAGCCGAGATAGTGCCACTGCACTTCAACCTGGGCAACAGAGCGAGACTCCATCTCAAAAATAAAAATAAAAAATAAATTTAAAAATTGAGTGCTCAAGAGGAGTCCAAGTGCTGGCAACCCCTGAGGTTAGCAGGAGGAAGAGCCTGGAAGAGACTGGGCAGGCTGGTGAGGCAGGAGGAGTAACAGGTGGATGTCCTCTCCTGGAAGCCTCCAGAAGAAAGTATCTAAAGATGAGAGAGTGGCCAACTCTGTCACAGGTAACTGAGAGTTTGAATAAGACAAGGAAACAGGGTTGACGTAGATTTTGACAAGTGTTTGGTCACTGGGTGCCTTGATAAGAGCTGTTTCATTAGAGTATTCATAAGAATAAATTGCATTGAAATGTAATTCAAATAGACTTCCAAGATGTGGCCCAGGGGCATTGTTGCCTATGGCAAGTGTAACCACTGGGACTGTCCATCTGGAAGACCCTTCTTCAATGCTGGTACAAACTAAAATACATACTGGATGGGATTATACTATACATGTTACCATACCACTTGCTATTTCTACTTAGCATCCCATATACATACACATAATTCCCTATTCTCTCCCACCCCCAGGTCCTGATAATCTCTATTCTATTTTCTCTCTGTGTGAATTTGACTATGCTAGGCACCTCATATAAGTGAAAGCATACAGTATTTGTGCTTCTATATCTGGCTAATTTCACTTAGCATAATATTTCCAAGATCCATCCATGTGGTGGCACATATCAGAAATTCTTGTTTAGTGCTTGAATAATTTTCCATTGTATAGTTAAAACACACTGTTCTCATCCATTTATATGTTGATAAACATGTGGGTTTCCACAATCACATTTTGACTACTGTGAATAAGGCTGCTATAGAATTAGAATACATGTGTCTGTGTGAGTCCCTGCCCTCAATTCTCTTGAATATATACATGGGAATGAAATTGTGTGAGATTTACAAGTAAGCAGTGTTGTGTGAGATTTACAAGTAAGTAGTGTTGTGAGAAATAATTGGGTCAGAAATTTTGTAAATGCCAGGGCACAGCCAGTTTTCTTTTCTTTTTTTTCTTTTTTTTTCTTTTTTTAATTTTCTTAACTATTTCCTATCTCTGTAAATGTCCCAGCTGGTAGGAGATTAGTGCAAAGCAAAATATCAAAAGAAAGGGGCTGGTCGGGCATGGTGGCTCACACCTGTAATCCTAGCACTTTGGGAGGCCGAGGCGGGTGGATCACCTGAGGTAGGGGGTTTGAGACCACCTGACCAACATGGAGAAACACTGTCTCCACTAAAAAATACAAAAAATTAACCGGGCGTGGTGGCGCATGCCTGTAATCCCAGCTACTTGGGAGGCTGAGGCAGGAGAATTGCTTGAACCCAGGAGGCGGAGGTTGCAATGAGCTGAGATCGTGCCATTGCACTCCAGCCCAGGCAATAAGAGTGAAACTCTATCTCAAAAAAAAGAAAAAAAAAAAAAAGAGAGAGAGAAAGGGGCTACAAGGAGTATGTTTGGTATAATCTGATTTTCATTAACAATGACAATTGTTAACAAGTTACTATAATTACTAATCATGAGGCATATATAATCTCTCCAACAATTGTTTGTCTCTCTTTTGTATCTATTGGTCTCCTTCAGATTATGGGACATTTACCTGATAGTAATATCAACCAGAGTTAAAGACAGCCTTTACAAAAAATAAAAAAATGGCCGGCCGCGGTGGCTCACGCCTGTAATCCCAGCACTTTGGGAGGCCAAGGTGGGCAGATCACGAGGTCAGGAGATCGAGACCATACTGGCTAACACGGTGAAACCCCATCTCTACTAAAAATACAAACAATTAGCCAGGCGTGGTGGTGGGCGCCTGTAGTCCCAGCTACTCTGGAGGCTGAGGCAGGAGAATGGCGTGAACCCGGGAGGCGGAGCTTGTAGTGAGCCGAGATCGCGCCACTGCACTCCAGCCTGGGCGACAGAGCGAGACTCTGTCTCAAAAAAAATAAAAATAAAAATAAATAAATAAATAAATAAAAATAAAAAAGTAAATTATTTGGGCATGGTGGCACATGTCTGTGATCTCAGCTACTTTGGAGGCTGAAGTTGGAGGATCACTTGAGCCTGGAAGGTTGAGGCTGCACTGAGCTGTGATCATGCCACTGCCCTGCAGCCTGGGTGACAGAGCAAGACCCCACCTCAAAAAAAAAAAAAAAAAAAAGGCAGGCTTATAAATTGGGGGGAGAAAGGATAAAGGGGTACATGTCTGTCTTTCTATTTAACAGTATTTAAGCCCTATCATTCCTGAAAGACATAGGATAAGTCTCCTTAATATGGACTGAACAGTGAACAGTAGCCACTTTGGGAGGGAGATGAATAGCCTGTAATAGTGCATGTATTACATGTCCATTGGTAATAGATGATAGGTAATAAGTAACCAGAACAAGTTGTAAATCCTCCAGGTTTTGAGACTGTGTCCACTGCATGAAAGACTCCCAAAGCGTATCTGGTATCCGTGTAAATTGTAGCCGTTTTCTTTTTCTTTTTTCTTTTTGAGGTGGAATCTGGCTGTGTGGTTCAAACTGGCCTCAAACTCCTGGCCTCAAGAATCCCCTTGCCTCAGCCTCCTGAGTAGCTGAGATTGTGGGTGTGGAAGCTTACTCTCTGTGTCAGTTTTCTTGTTTGCCAATGTGCAAGCTTTCCTAAGAGCTATGAGTTCAGTCCTTGGGCTGATTTTACAGTGAGTGAAGACAGTGCCCCGAGCGTTTCATGTGGAGCAACCATGGCATGACCCATTATTATGTTCTTCAGAAAATTTCTTTTACAGGATGTATCCTAAAATAGAAGTACATCTAGGTTGTCTAAGGGATGCTCTTGCGGCTTTAGAACCATTTCTATGCCTGCATGACTATCATGTGGGACGGAATGGGATGCTTCAGCATCAGGGTGGGTAGTAAAGTAACCAGACTTACTGGCAAATTGTCAGCTATATAGACCAGCAGGGCAGAATTGAGAGTCCCTTAGCTATGGTTTAAATATTTGTGTACTCTCTAAAATTTATAAGTCAGAACTTAATTCCCACTGCAACACTATTGGGAGGAGGGGCCTTTTGGTGATTAGATCATGAGGACTCTGCCCTCGTGAATAGATTAATGGCATTATACAGGGTTTGATGAATGCAATTTGCCCTCTCTTGCCCTCCTGTCTTCCACCCTGTGAGAATGCAGCAATGCTGAAGCCAGATGCCAGTGTCTTCTTGGATTTCTAAGCCTTCTGAACTGTGAGAAAGTCAATTTCTATTCTTTATAAATTACCCAGTCTGTGGTATTCCACGATAGCAGCACAAATGGACTAAGACACTCTTTGTTTATGGCTCATTGATTTTCAACAAATGGGCCAAGATGCTTTCATAGGGAATGGGTTTTCAACAATGTGCTGGGAAAATGGGATATTGACCTGCAGAAAGATGAACTGAGAACCTTTCTCACATTATACACTAAAATTAACTCACATTGCCAGGCGCTGCGGCTCACGCCTGTAATCCCAGCACTTGGGGAAGCCGAAGTGAGCAGATCCCTTGAGGCCAGGAGTTCCAGACCAGCCTGGCCAACACAGTGAAACCCTGTCTCTACTAAAAATAGAAATAAATTAGCCGGGTGTGGTGACGCATGCCTGTAATCCCAGCTACTTGGGAGGCTGAGGCAGGAGAATTGCATGCCTGTAATCCCAGCTACTTTGGAGGTATGAGAATCACTTGAACCTAGGAGGCAGAGGTTGCAGTGAGCCGAGATCGTACCACTGCACTCCAGCCTGGACGACAGAGCAACACTGTGTCTCAAAATGAATAAATAGATAAAGTAATTCCTGATAAGAAAGGACTTGGTTTTGTCATTTTCCTATTTGTTTTCAATATGCCTTGTAGCTTTTTTCTTCTCATTTCATGCATTTCTGCATTATTTTGCTTTTAATTGCTTTTTGTAGTGAAACATTTAAATTTCTTTATTGTTTCCTTTTGTGTATACACTACTGCTCTGTTAATTACCATGGGGATTGCGTTTACCATCCTAAGGCCATAACATTCTAAATTTATGCCAATTTAACATAAATAGCATGCAAATACAATGCTCCATGGCATGCCTGTTCACACCCCTTTCAGTTTGGTGTCATAAATTTACATCTTTATACTTTATGTATTCAAAAACGCAAACATATTTTCGGTGCATTCGTTTCTTTCTTTCTTTTTTTTTTTTTTTGAGACGGAGTCTCTCTCTGTCTCCAGGCTGCAGTGCAGTGGTGCAATCTCGGCTCACTGCAACCTCCGCCTCCTGGGTTCAAGTGATTCTACTGCCTCAGCCTCCCAAGTAACTGAGATTACAGGCGTGCGCCACCACGCCCAACTAATTTTTGTATTTCTTTTTTTAGTAGAGATGGGATTTCTCCATGTTGGTAAGGATGGACTCAATCTCTTGACCTCGTGATCTGCCTGCCTCAGCCTCCCAAAGTGTTGGGATTGCAGGCGTGAGCCACCACGCCCAACCTAGTTTCTTTTTTATTAGTCTCTTAAACTGTGTAAAAAAACAAAATATAGAGTTCAAAAGCCAAGTCTAAAATGCTAGCTTTTAGACTAATAATTTTTAATGGATTTGTATCTTCAATTATGTAAAGACAAAAACTGGAGTTCACAATTATTGTACAATAATATTAGCATTTATAATTGTCCATGCATTTGTTTCTACTGAGATCTTTATTTGGGCTTACGCCTTCCAGATATTGTCCAGTGTTCTATTTCAACCTGTAGAAGGCTTTTGCGTTTCTCACAGGGTACATCTAATGGCAAAAACAAAAAGAACAAAACTACCTCAGTTTTTGTTCATGTGAGCATGCCTTAATTTCCTCCTCACTTTTGAAAGACAATGTTGCCAGATATTGGATTCTTGGCTGTCTTTGTTTCTGAGATGGAGTCTTGCCATGTTACCTAGGCTGGCCTTGAACTCTTGGGCCTTAACTGATCCTCCCACTTCAGACTCCGGAATAGCTGGGACTGCAGGGATGTGCCACCGTGGCCATTTTTTTTTAAGTACCTTGAATACATCAGCCCACTACCTCTGGCCTTCAGCGCTTCTGATGAGAAATCTGCTGATGATCTTATGAAAGATCATTTATATGTGATGATTCACTTCTTTCTTGCTGCCTTCAAGGTTCTCCCTTTATGTTTGGCTTTGACAATTTGAGTATAATATGTCTTCATGTCCTTCTCTTTGCATTCATCCTACCTGGAGTTCATTGAGCTTCTTGGATGACAGCATTCATTCATGGCTTTTATCTAATTTGGAATATTTGCAGCTATTATTTCTCCAAATAGTCTCCCCTGACCTTTCTCTGTCTCTTCTCCTTCTGAAACTCCCACAGTGCATATATTGGCCTGCCTGATGCTGTCTCACACGTCTCACCTGACTGCCACACCTATGTCTAGCTTATTACCAGGTCAGGGCTCTGTAGAGAGTGGGTATCTGGCTATCTTGGTAGAGATTAACTTGGCAGAGGTAGAACCATAAGGGCATCTGCCAGTATAATCAAGTTTCCTGTGAAGGACATTTGGTTATGGGTTAACACTTAAATATTAGACCCCATGAAAGTCACACTGTAAATATCCACAACCAAGTGTCCTGGAGCCCCGTCAATGCAGCACTAAAGTTCTTTTTGTTTGTTTTTGTTTTTGCTTTTTTTGAGACAGAGTCTCACTCAGTGGCCCAGGCTGGTGTGCAGTGGTGCAATCTCGGCTCACTGCAAGCTCTGCCTCCCGGGTTCACGCCATTCTCCTGCCTCAGCTTCCTGAGTAGCTGGGACTACAGGCGCCCGCCACCATGCCTGGCTAATTTTTTGTATTTTTTTTAGTAGAGACTGGGTTTCACCAGGTTAGCCAGGATGGTCTTGATCTCCTGACCTTGTGATCCGCCCGCCTCGGCCTCCCAAAGTGCTGGGATTACAGGCATGAGCTACCCCGCCTGGCCAGCACTAAAGTTTATAGCCACGCTTCTGAGAGAGATCCCGAGGCCAAATTAGAGGAAAACACTCCATGTGCAGCTGCCTGCAACAGGGGTAAGGGTGGGGATGATAGCTTGTATTGTGCTAAGTGATAAAATGACCACAATTAGCCATAGTTTACTGTCTAATCCTTTTTATGGAAGTTGCAAAGCTTCAATAGCCTCCACAGTTATAACATTGCTACATCAGATGATTCTGTCAGTCCAGTGGTTGTCTAGGTGGGGAGACAGCTTTTTTTTTTTTTTTAAGACAGAGTTTCGCTCTTGTTGCCCAGGCTGGAGTGCAATGGTGCGATCTCGGCTCACCGCAACCTCTGCCTCCCGGGTTCAAGCGATTCTCCTGCCTCAGCCTCCCAAGTAGCTGGGATTACAGGCATGCACCACCGCACCCGGCTAATTTTGTATTTTTAGTAGAGATGAGGTTTCTCCACATTGGTCAGGCTGGTCTCGAATTCCCGACCCCGGGTGATCTGCCCACCTCAGCCTCCCAAAGTGCTGGGATTATAGCTGTGAGCCACCACACCCGGCTGAGACAGCTTGGTTTTGTTTTTGTTTTTGTTTTTGCTTTTGTTTTTAGATGGAGTCTCGCTCTGTCGGCTGGAGTGCAGTGGTGCAATCTCTGCTCACTGCAACCTCTGACACCCGGGTTCAAGCGATTCTCCTGCCTCAGCCTCCCAAGTAGCTGGGATTACAGGTGCAGGCCACCATGCCCAGCTAAATTTTGTATTTTTAGTAGAGACGGAGTTTCACCATGCTGGTCAGGCTGGTCTCAAACTCCTGACCTCATGATCTGCCCGCCTCAGTCTCCCAAAGTGCTGGGATTACAAGCGTGAGCCACTGCGCCCGGCCTGAGAAAGCTTTTTTATGCTTGCTACTCTGCCATCTTCCCTGAATCCTCTGCCCTAACGTTTTACTGCCCTAATATATTATTTCAGGTCTCACAGTAAATGTCACCATCTCAGAGAGAATCCTTTGTACCACCTCAGTTACTCCTACATCTTTCCGTTTGTAGAGATATTTCCTTGCACTTCTCATATTCAGAGAAATTCAGTTAAGATTCACAGACTTTTTTGCTCTCCCTCTCTCTCTTTCTCTTTCTTTCTTTCTTTGGTGGAGACAGGGTGTCACTAGGTTGCCCAGGCTCCAGGCTGGTCTCAAACTCCTTGGCTCAAGTGATCCTCCAGCCTCGACCTCCCGAAGTGCTAGGATTACAGAGGTGAGCCACTGTGCATGGACTTATTTGCTTTTTTAACCTAGGAAAAGTTAAATCATAAAAATGAAACCAGGTTGGCCACAGTGGCTCACACCTGTAATCCTAACACTTTGGGAGGCCGAGGCAAGAGGACCACTTGAGCCCAGAGTTCAAGACCACCTGGGCAACATAGTGAGACCCCTACCTCTACAAATAACTTTTTAAAAAATAAGCCAGGCATGGTGGTACACACCCGTGGTCCCAGCTAACTGGAGGTTGAGGCAGGAGCATCACTGGAGCCCAGGAGGTTGAGGCTGCAGTGAGCTGTGATCGTGACAATGCACTCCTGCCTGGGCAATAGAGTGAGACCCTGTCTCAAAGAAAAAAAAAAAGAAAGAAAATGAAACAAAATTGAATGGTGTTACCTTTACTTCTATCATCTATATTGTGCTATGTAAAACTCCAAAATTCTGTTTTTAGCCATTTTCCAGAAGTGAAAATAAGAAGCTCCCTCTTGTGGTAAGGATGGCATTAACATCCTCTCTGGGCTGTGGATTTCTCCAGGTTGTGCTGAGACTCCAGAATTTACAGCAGGTGATAGTCAGCTTAGAATATTCTGTCTGTGCCCTCAATGAACAGGTGGCGACATGGGTTAGGAAGAACAGAAGCAAATAAAGGGAATGTGGTCATCATACAAGATATCACAGTCGATCCTGGAAGATAGTTTCAAATGAATAATTGAAATTGAGGGAAATGAGAGAGCCACAGGTGGATTCAACCTGGGCCAGCTGGACTGCTGAAAGGGAAGAGGTATTTATACAATGCTTAGAATTTAGCTGCAGAAATGATTGGATGGGTCAGTGGTGATGGAGTGGGGTTGAGAGTTTCAGATGGGTAAACTGAACATGTCCATTACCAGGTACAGAGCACGTGATGACAACCATGAACTGTGAAGGTTGGGGAGCTGCTGAAACAGAGGAAAAAGGGGAGAGTTCACTTTTGATTAGTGTGTGCGTGTGCGTGTGTGTGTTTTTGTTTTTTTTGTTTTGTGACAGAGCCTCGCTCTTTCACCCAGGCTGGGGTGCAGTGGCTCAATCTCGGCTCACTACAACCTCCACCTCCCCAGGTTCAAGTGATTCTCGTGCCTTAGCCTCCCAAGCAGCTGGGATTACAGGCATGCACGACCACACCCTGCTAATTTTTGTATTTTTAGTACAGATGGGGTTTCACCATGTTGACCAGACTGGTCTTGAACTCCTGACCTCAAGTGATCTGCCCACCTTGGCCTCCCAAAGTGCTGGGATTACAGGCGTGAGCCACCGTGCCCAGCCTGATTAGTTGTTTTATACAACTGTTAGGAGGAAAATAACAGTTTGTTTTCTCAAAGGAATAATTATATCCAGGTGGTTTTTAATTTTTTTTCTTTTTTTCGAGACAGAGTCTGGCTCTGTCACCCAGGCTGGAGTGTAGTGGCACAATCTTGGCTCACTGCAACCTCCGCCTCTTGGGTTCAAGCAATCCTCATGCCTCAGCCTCCCGAGTAGCTGGGACTACAGACATGGGCCACCATGCCCGGCTAATTTTGTATTTTTAGTAGAAATAAGGTTTCACTATGTTGGCCAGGCTAGTCTTGAACTCCTAGCCTCAAGTGATCTGCCTCCCAAAGTGCTGGGATGACAGGCTTGAACCACCATAGCCAACCATTTTCAGGGTTTTTTTGTTTTGTTTTGTTTGAGACAGAGTCTCACTCTGTCGCCCAGGCTGGAGTGCAGTGGCGCGATCTCAGCAAGCTGCGCCTCCCAGGTTCACGCCATTCTCCTGCCTCAGTCTCCCAAGTAGCTGGGACTACAGGCGCCCGCCACCACGCCCGGCTAATTTTTTGTATTTTTAGTAGAGACGGGGTTTCACCGTGTTAGCCAGGATGGTCTTGATCTCCTGACCTTGTGATCCGCCCGCCTCAGCCTCCCAAAGTACTGGAATTACAGGCGTGAGCCACCGCACCCGGACTCCAGGCTTTTTTTTTTTTTTAACCCATATAAAATATCTTAGAATTTTCTTCCTCTACTTTATATATAAACATAGGAGAAAACCCAGGAGTCTGCTGGCTTCTTATTCAAACAGTGGGATTGAGGGTCTTTGTCTCATTTAACTTATCAGTGAAAGGCAGGTGAATAACCTTGTAGGGGCCATGGGGAAAGTTCTCCTTTACCCTCTCATGTTGCACTGAAAAATCAACTCACAAAAGACTGATTAATTGGAGAAAAGGCATACACATTTTATTTAATGTATATACACAGGAGCCTTCAGAATGAAGACTCAGAGATACAGGGTAAGTTGTACATTTTTGTGCTTGGGTTTAACAATGTGTGAACAGCTATGAAGAAACCTGATTGAACAAAAAAGGTATGATTGAATGCTAACAGACTGAGTGAGGAAACCCAGAAGGCCTGTCTGTCTAGATTTTTCTTGGTCTCTCTGAGTAGCATTCCTTCCTTCTAGGTATGAGACAGAATCTTTTTTTTTTTTTTTTGAGACGGAGTCTTACTCTGTCTCCAGGCTGGAGTGCAGTGGCGCGATCTCGGCCCACTGCAACCTCCGCTTCCTGGGTTCAAGCCATTCCCCTGCCTCAGCCTCCCGAGTAGCTGGGACTACAGGCGCGTGCCACCATGCCCAGCTAATTTTTTGTATTTTAGTAGAGACGGGGTTTCACCATGTTGGCCAGATGGTCTTGATCTCCTGACCTCGTGATCCACCTGTCTTGGCCTCCCAAAGTGCTGGGATTACAGGTGTGAGCCACCGCACCTGGCCAGAATCCTCTCTTAAATGACAGTCTTATGACCTACAGTCAAATAAGGTAGGTCAGATAAATTCTTTGTGACCAGTTTTTCCAAAGGAAGGCACAGGGAAAGTTATCTGTTTGCATTTTATGGCTGCCCTTGGGGAATAGGGGTTCTGGATTCTATGACCTGCCTTGGGGAAGAGGGATTCTAGCTTCTATGGCTACCCTTGGTGGAGAATGGGACTGAGAGACAGGAGGGCAAGAGAAGGTCAGAGAAAAACTTCTGCTTCTGAGACCTGTTTTGAGGATCATTGTTTTCGGAGCCCTAAAAACCTGGAGTGGGCAGCAGAGCCTGAGGACAGTGACTTTAAGCTGACACCAGTCTTAAGCCTACAAAGGGAGGAGAATGGAGCTGGGCATCCTGCCTACCCTTGCGGATGGCCTCCAGCTGCTCAGAACAGCTAAGGACTGTGGATTCTGAGAAGCTGCAGTGCCCTGGAAAGCGGGAAACCCACATGTAGATGCAGCTAGGGGGTTGCGTCCTTTTTGAGACTGTAACTCTGGGAACTTTGGGGCCATTTCCTAGGCAGCTGCAGATTGCATAAATAGCTTTCCTTTTCAAGCAGTCTAACTGGCCCCAGATGAACCCACCTGTGGCTCTCTAAATCCTTTGAAGCAAAGTGCTTTTTAGAAACCATCGCCAGGCACGGTGGCTCACACCTGTATTCCCAGCACTGTGGAAGGCTGAGGGGGGAGGGTTGCTTGAGCCCAGGGGTTCAAGACCAGCCTGGGCAACATGGTGAGACTCCCCCATCCCCCCGCCACGCCGTGTCTACCTCAAAAAATTTTTTTAAATTAGCCAAGCTGGTGGTGCACGCCTGCAGTTCCAGCTCCTTGGGAGGCTGAGGTGGGAGGATGGCTTGAACCCAGGAGCTTGAGGCTGCAGTGAGCTGGGATCACACCACTCACTGCCCTCCAGCCTTGGTGACACAGAGACCCTGTCTCCAAAACAAAACAAAACAACCACAAAAATCCTCCAGGATAGACTGTGATATCATGGGTAAGTTCCATGTCCATTTTATTTGATTTTGTCCTCTCTAACCTGTTATACTACCTGCTCATTGAGGGCATAGACAGAATATTTTAATCTGACCATCTTCTTTTGTAAATATTGAAGATCTCAGTACATTCAAGTGCTTTGCCTTGGGCATGCACAGAGTCACAGGAGGCAGGCTGTCATTTGTATATAGGAGGAAAATCTGTGAAGGTCAGACTTAAAGACTCATTAGATTGCCTTCTGGAAAAGGAGTTATGAATTTGACAGTTTATATAGGTCAATGCATTAAACTGATTTTTAGATGAGAGTTTCCTGCTGGCAAAAAGGAAGGTCTTGGCCGGCACGGTGGTTCACACCTGTAATCCCAACATTTTGAGAGGCTGAGGTGGGTGGATCACCCGATGTCAGGAATTCAAGACCAGCCTGGCCAACATGGTAAAACCTCGTCTCTCTAAAAATATAAAAATTAGTGGGCCGAGTGCAGTGGCTCACACCTGTAATCTCATCACTTTCGGAGGCCAAGGTGGGCAAATTGCCTGAGCTCAGGAGTTCGCGACCAGCCTGGGCAACACGGTGAAATCCCGTCTCTACTAAAATACAAAAAATTAGCCGGACATGGCGGCGTGCGCCTGTAGTCCCAGCTACTCGGGAGGCTGAGGCAGGAGAATTGCTTGAGCCTGGGAGGCGGAGGTTGCAGTGAGCCGAGATCGTGCCACTGCATTCCAGCCTGGGCAACAGAGCGAGACTGTGTCTCAAAAAAAAAAATTAGCTGGGCGTGGTAGCACATGCCTGTAGTCCCAGCTCCTTGGGTGGCTAAGGTAGGAGGATCGCTTGAACCCGGGAGGCGAAGGTTGCGAGCCAAGATCACGCCACTACACTCCAGCCTGGGCGACAGAGAGAGACTCCGTCTCAAAAAAAAAAAAAAAAAGAAAAAGAAAGAAAGAAAATGAAGGTCTTGAAGGAAGGAGCATTTCCACACTCTGGAGAAGGAGTAGGAGGCCACGTTGAGTTCCCAGAGTTAAATCTTTAAGTGCCCCTGCCTCATCAGAGTTTGACTCACAAGCTTGGGAACGTGTATCACCTTCTGACTGCAGGTTTGTGAACTGTGGGTGCAGCAGGCTACTTATCTCAACTAGTTCGAGTGTTTGCTTTTCTTGTCTTTCGATTTCCTTATAAAATATTGCTACTATGTGATTCCACTTTTTCCATACATTTAATGATTTTATTCCGTTGTTGGCATGTTATTACTTCCTTGGCTGAAAATCAGTAGATTGAGAGATAAGGTGGGAGAAAGGCTTGGCCATGCAGCCAACAGACTTATCCAAAATTCCTGATCCCTGGAACACATCGGGCCCTTATTTTTTTTTTTTTTTTTTTTTTTTTTTTGAGATGGTGTCTCACTCTGTCGCCCAGGCTGGAGTGCAGTGGCACGATCTTGACTCACTGCAGCCTTGACCTCCCAGGCTCAAGTGATCCTCCCACCTCAGCCTTCCGAGTAGCTAGGACTACAGGTACAGGCCACCATTCCAGGCTAATTTTTGTATTTTTTTGTAGAGACAGGCTCTCACTATGTTGTCCAGGATGGTCTCGAACTCCTGGGCTCAAGCAATGCACCGGCCTCGGCCTCCCAAAGTGTTAGGATTACGGCTATGAGCTATCACGCCCAGCCTAAGCCCTTATTCTTGTTGCAGTGTGGCCCGTATGGCCTCGGCTCTCCTCCTACTCCGAGGCCAGGGAATGGCTCCACTGGACAATGTGTCTGGGTTTCCCTGCACACACTTGTGATCCCCAGTCTAGGAGGAAAAAGCAGGAAGGTCACACTGAGTACAGATGGGGGATCCTGCTTAAATGCAGATGTCCCCTGGGAGGGGTCAGGTCACAGCGCAGGGAAGAAGCCCGCCCTGCCAAGGGCTGTGTCAAGAACTCGTTCATCAGTCTCCACTCCCCAGCGTGAGATCGCTTCTGTAACTCAGTCGTCAGGGGGCGGGATCTGTCGCACTATCCAATCAGGGCCGTGGGGCGGGGTCGTGGGAACTGTCAATCAGGCGCACTTCAGCTAAGAGGGTGCGAGATTGAAAAAGCCCGCGGCGTCTTCTACACGCCACTTCGCTGGGCTCCTGTCTCTGTCGCTGAGAGGCACTCTGGAGAGTCTGCGGCAGCCTCTGTCACACAGGGACCTGCACTGGTCGTGGGAGCCGCAGAGAGGCCCCCGGGACACGGAGGAATTCGGAAAATGGTGAGCGTGAGGGGCCAGGGATCCCGAGACGGGAGGAGGGGCTGGTTGGAACTGGCCGTGGCGGGTCCCCGGCCTCCCAGCCAGCGACTCCGGGCTCTGTGGACCGGAGTACCGCTGGCGGAGCTCGGCCCTCGGTCCCCTCGGCCGCAGGGTGGGGCTGGGCTGGCAGCCGGGACCCCGGGCGTCCTGTCCCGTCCCTTCGCGGCGACTGCGGGCCCGGGCAGGAGTCCTCTCTGGGCAGCTCCGCGCCCGCAGCCCCGCGTCTCTCCAGATTGTGCGGGGGCCACGGGAGGGTCATGGGGGGAATCCCGACTCGTGTGCGGGGTTCATGCGTGGAAGGAGCTACGGTCCGGGGTCCCCAGTTCCTTCTTTATTCCTTTATTCCTTTTTTAAACCAAATATAAAATTCTAAGCCCCCCAGTCATTTTGAACAGATCCCTCCTCCCGGCGAAGGCACTACAAAATTAACCTGAAAAACTTGTTCAGGCCATCATGGAAGGGTGGTCTGTGTATTCGTCTGTTCTCACACTGCTGGAAAGATACTACCTGAGACTGGGTAATTTATTTTTAAAAAAAGTTTTTAATTGACTCACTGTTCCACATGGCCTTAGGAAACTTACAATCATGGCAGAAGGGGAAGCAAGGCACGTCTTACGGGGTGGCAGGAGGGAGAGAGAGAAGGGAGGAGAGGGAGAGAGAGAAGGGAGGAGCCCAGACACTTATCCAGTAACCAGATCTCGTGAGAACACTGTATCAGGAGAACAGCATGGGGGAAACCACCCCCATGATCCAATCACCTCCCAGCAGGTCCCTCCCTCAACATATGGGGATTACAAATAGGATTACAATTCCTGCAAGCAGGCTCTGTGGCGCAATAGCCTAAATCGAAAGGATTACAATACCAGATGCAATTTAGATGGGGACACAGTCAAACTGTATCAGCTGGACGTGCCCCATTATATTTGCCTCCCTTTTGGAACCCAGGAAAAGCCTATCAGTATTAACATCAACACAGAACTTAAGTCTGATAAGAAGCATTTACAATCTATTCTCTCTGAAGCCTGCCACCTGGAGGCTTCATCTGCATTATGAAACTTTGGTCTCCACAACCATTTATGGGAAAATCCACCTGTGACCTGGGAACCAGACCCCTCCCCCGCCCACTTTGTGTTGTCCCTCCTTTCCAAGTAGAACCAATGTACCTCTTACATGTATTGACTGATGTATTATGTCTCCCCAAAATGTATTAATATAAAAGCAAGCTGTACCCCAACCACCTTGGACACATGTGGTCAGGACCTCCTGAGGCTGTATCATGGATGTGTCCTTAACCTTGGCAAAATAAACTTTTTTTTCTGAGATGGAGTTTCACTCTTCTTGCCCAGGCTAGAGTGCAGTGGTGCCATCTTGGCTCGGTACAACCTCTGCCTCCCGGGTTCAAGTGATTCTCCTGCCTCAGCCTCCCGAGTAGCTGGGATTACAGGCATGCACCACCACGCCTGGCTAATTTTGTATTTTTAGTAGAGACGGGGTTTCTCCCTGTTGGTCAGGCTGGTCTCGAACTCTGGGCCTCAGGTGATCCACCTGCCTCTGCCTCCCAAAGTGCTGGGATTACAGGCGTAAGCCACCACGCCCAGCCAATAAACTTTCTAAATTGAAACATGTCTCAGATACTTTTGAGTTCACATTCCTAAATGGCAAGTGGTATCCCTCTGCATCTTCCAAAGGTTTGGGAATCAGGGTTTCTAATCCACCACTCTCTTCCCTCAACTAACTCCTCCGAGGGCTTAAAATCCCTTGGTTTTTAAGCTCTTTCCCTGCATTTTGTGACTCTGATTTCATCTCCTCAGTTCACAGCAACATTAAACATTCTTTTTCCCTGGTGCTGTATTTCTAGCACCACTGGGTTCATTCTAGCAGTGTCCCTTTATTTCTTTTACTTTTTTCAACTCCAGTGAGAAACAGGCACTAATTATCTACAACATATATTGTAGATAACATAACAACATATATTCTAACATGTAAAATAGTTTCAGAATTGCTAATCCATACCCTTCTAGGGAAAAATACCCATTAGAATCGAGTGTTTGTGTACATTTCTTAAGTCATAGTATTCAATCAAAACGCTGTTTTCTGGGCCAGGCGCGGTGGCTCACGCCTGTAATACCAGCACTTTGGGTGGATCACCTGAGGTCAGGAATTCAAGGCCAGCCTTGCCAATATGGTGAAACCCCATCTCTACTAAAAATACGAAAATTAGCTGGGCATGGTGGCATGCACTTATAGTCCCAGAGCAAGACTCCGTCTCCAAAAAAAAAAAAAAAAAAAAAAAAAAGGAATTCCTTCGTTATCTTGTCATGCTTCAAGGCCCAGGAAAGGCCTGGGCAAAACTCTTGTTGGGCTTTTGTTACATTCCAGCCTTTGTTTAGAGGCATCGGCTCTCTCGACTTTTAATATTTAACCACTCAGTGCTGAAACAGTTGTTATGGAAGCCTGTGTTAGTGAGACTCTGGCCTGCCACATAGTGAAGGGTAAAAACTAACCCTAAGGAAAGGAAAACCCACCCCCCAATGATGTGGTACAAGAACCTCAAAAGCACACAGTGCAGTGTCTCCTGGGAGGGCGGTCACTCAGCACTTCAGTGAGCAGCATGGGAAGGGGTATGTCTCAGATGATAGGAGAACCTGACCTGATACTTGAGTCAGACTTGTCTGTTTTCAGTCAGCACTGCACCTCCATGGATTTGTCACCTTGAAGACATCTGTAACTCATCTCAGATTTACTTTTTTTTTTTTTTTGAGACGGAGTCTCGCTCTGTCGCCCAGGCTGGAGTGCAGTGGCGCCATCTTGGCTCACTGCAAGCTGCGCCTCCCAGGTTCACGCCATTCTCCTGCCTCAGCCTCCCGAGTAGCTGGGACTACAGGTGCCAGCCACCACGCCCGGATAATTTTTTGTATTTTTTTTAGTAGAGACAGGGTTTCACTGTGTTAGCCAGGATGGTCTTGATCTCCTGACCTCGTGATCCGCCCGCCTCGGCCTCCCAAGGTGCTGAGATTACAGGCGTGAGCCACCCCGCGCCCGGCCTCATCTTGTAATTTATCAGATCTATGGGCATGGAGTTAATATTCCTTTATGGTTCTTTTAATGTTCATGGAAATCTTAGAGATGCCCACCCTTTTGTGAGTTAGCATGGGTGTTTATCAATTTTATTCATTTCAGAAAACCAGGATTTGGATTTGTTGATGTTTTCCATTGATTTCCTGTTTGCAATTTCATTAATATCTTCTCTCGTTGTTTTCCTCTCCTTAATTTACATTTATCGTGCTCTTCTTTCTCTAGTTTCCTGGGGTGGAATTTACAGCATTGTTTTTTAGATCTTTACTTTCAAGAGTTTGCATTTAATTATTTAAATAGCTCTCTAAGCACTGCCTTTGCTGTATTCTACAAATTTTGCTAAAAGTTTTTTTCAATTTTTGGAATATTTAAGTATCTCTGGAGAATTCTGTCTGTTGCATAGTTTAGAAGTTTGTGGTTTAAATCTTTACTTTCTGGAGGCTTTTAAACTATGCTTCTGCTATTGATCTCTAGTTTAATGCTAATACGGTTTGATTTCGTATTTTATGGAATTTGATTTTTTTAAATTTGTTAAGGTATGTTTTATGCTATGTGGTCTGCCTTGGTGAATATTCCATGGTCTCCTGTTTCAGCCTCCTGAGTAGCTGGGACTACAGGTGCATGCCACCACACCCGGCTAATTTTTGTATTTTTAGTAGAGACAGGGTTTCACCATGTTGGTTAGGCTGGTCTCAAACTCTTGATCTCAGTTGATCCACCCACCTCGGCCTCCCAAAGTGCTGGGATTACAGGCATGAGCCGCCGCGCCCGGCCTGAATGTGTATTATCTATATACACCAGTAAAAAAGACAGGCACTGGCAGAGTAGAATTAAAAACAAGGCCCAGCAATGTGTAAAAGATAACCATTTTCAACAGAAAGACACAGATACCTTAAATAGAAAGGTATGGTGAAATATATGCCATTCTAGCCCTACTCAAAAGTATGGAACGGCTATATTAAATTCAGATAAATCAGGTTTTTTGGTTTATTTATTTATTTATTTATTTTTCGAGACAGGGTCTCTGGCACCCAGGCTGGGGTGCAGTGGTGTGATCACAGCAACCTGTGCCTCCCGAACTCAAGCAATCCTCCCACCTCATCTGGGACTACAGGCGTGTGCTACCATGCCTGGCTAATTTTTGTATTTATTTTTTGTAGAGACAGGGTCTCTCCATGTTGCTCAGCTGGTCTTGAGAACTCCTGGGCTCAAGTGATCCACCCATCTTGTCTTCCTGAGATGAATCACGAGGTCAGGAGATTGAGACCATCCTGGCTAGCATGGTGAAACCCCGTCTCTACTAAAAATATAAAAAATTAGCCAGGCGTGTTGGTGGGCACCTGTAGTCCCAGCTACTCGGGAGGCTGAGGCAGGAGAATGGCGTGAACCCGGGAGGCGGAGCTTGCAGTGAGCCGAGATGGCACCACTGCACTCCAGCCTGGGCGATGGAGCGAGACTCCATCTCAAAAAAAAAAAAAAATACACATTCAAAGTGGTAATTGACATAGATTAATATGTTCATATATATTGTTTGTTGTACTTGTGCTTTTTTTCTACTTGCTCTATTTTTCTGCCTTTTAATTGAGCGTTCTATATGATTCCATTTGCTTGCTTCTATTAGTGTAGTAAGTCTACTTGTTTCTTAAATTTTATTAGTGAATTCCATAGTTTGCAGTATACATTTGCAACTAATGGACTTTCATTTTCAAATAACACTATACTGGTGTCTGGGGTAGTGCCAATATGTTAAGAGTGTTCTGAATTCCTCTTTCCAATCCCATATAATATCACTGTCACGCATTTGACCTGTTAGAAGCTATAACCACCCAATACATTGTTGATATTCATTTGAACAAACATTTATCTATGAAGGAGAAGAAAAGATAATCATATTTGTGCCCTCATTTAATTATTTTCTAACAAGTTTTATTTCTGAAACATCTGCTTTCCTAACCTGTATCAGTTTCCTTCGCTCTGAAGAACTTTAACATGACTGGCAAGGCAGGTATACTAGTAACACATTCTCTCAATTTCTTTCCTCTTTCTTTTCCACAGACTGGTAATTTTTTTCTTTCTTTTTTTTTTTTTTTTTTTTTGAGATGGAGTTTCACTCTCGTTGCCCAGGCTGGTGTGCAATGGCGTAATCTCGGTTCACTGCTACCTCCACCTCCTTGGTTCAAGCTATTCTTCTACCTCAGCCTCCCAAGTAACTGGGATTACAGGCATGCACCACCACACCCAGCTAATTCTGTATTTTTAGTAGAGACAGGGTTTCTCCATGTTGGTCAGGCTGGTCTCGAACTCCCGACCTCAGGTGATCCACCCACCTGGACCTCCCAAAGTGCTGGGATTACAGGTGTGAGCCACCGCGCCTGGCCCAGACTGGATAATTTTAATTGTTTCATCTTCACAGTTGCTGATTCTTTGTTATGTTAGCAAGTAGTGAATTGGCTCACTTCCAGATGTACACACAAGCCAATAGCATGGCACCAGCTTTTGAAGAAAGAAAAGCTTTACTACAAGTTTGACTGGCAAGGAGAAAGGAAGAAATGCTCAAATATGTCTCCCTGAGCTGGGGGCTTTGGCAAGTTTTATAAGCGTGGGGTAATAAGACATGAACTCACTGCATCTTGCAATGATCTCATGCCAGGTTAATGTGACTCGATTGGATCCTGCCATGGGATGATACCGGGGCCCAACCTGATTAGATCCTAGATTCCACCATGTGGTATCTTTTTTTTTTTTTTTTTTTTGAGACAGAGCCTCACTCTGTAGCCCAAGCTGGAATGCAGTGGCATGATCTCGCTCACTGCAACCTTCACCTCTGGAGCTCAAGCAATTCTGCCTCAGCCTCCCAAGTAGCTGGGACTACAGGTGTGCGCCACCACACCTGGTTAATATTTTGTATCTTTCACAGAGACAGGGTTTTACCATGTTGCTCTGGGTGGTCTTGAACTCTTGAGCTCAGGCAATCCACCCACCTCAGCCTCCCAAAGTGCTGGGATTACAGGCATGAGTCACCGTGCCCAGCATCTACTTTTTACTTTAATCTCCACACCTCAGTCCAAGCATATAGGTTCCACCCATGGTTACACATTTGGTTCATCTGGGCATGCTCAGATTATGTGACCTTGAGTGTTGGGTCCATGGCAACTGAAAACTCAGCTTTGTTATATAGAAGTTGTACCACATAATCTGTTGTGGTTACAAATCCCTCCTATTATGTTCATTCCTAAGTCTTGAAGGAAAAGGAATGATAACTGCTCTAACTACTTTCTGCTGATTAGAGTCATAGACCTTAGAGGAATGAAAGTATTTAGTGCTTTGCTCTGGGAGTTCCCTGGTATCAGCCAGGTGCGGTGGCTCACGCCTGTAATCCCAGCACTTTGGGAGGCCGAGGCACGTAGATCACAAGGTCAGGTCGATTGAGACCATCTTGGCCAACAGGGTGAAACCCCATCTCTACTAAATGACAAAAAATTAGCTGGGCGTGGTGGTGCGCACCTGTCTCTCAGCCACTTGGGAGGCGGAGCTTGCAGTGAGCTGAGATCACGCCACTGCACTCCAGCCTGGGCAACAGAGCAAGACTCCGACTCAAAAAAAAAAAAAAAAAAAAAAAAAAAAAGGAGTTCCCTGGTATCAAGATCACATTTTAGAAGGCGTTATTTCTACATAGTTCTGGGGAAAAGGCATAAGGAGTTTGCAACCTAAACATTATTTGTTCCAGAGAACAAGGGAAAGCTTAGGTTTTATAGCAAAAGTTCCCATCTGGGTTCCTAGTCAAGTGCTTTTATGCAAATGAAGATCTGAAACTTGAAACTCAGTTCTGATTGGTTGATACAGCTGAGCTCTGATTGACTAGCTCAGGTGAGCCCCCAAAGTTAAAAAGGTGTTGGTTTTCAGGAAACTCACAGTGCTTGTGACCCCTAGTTAACAAGTGGCGGCTTAGCTCTTTTTAAAACTTAGGCCCAGTTAGCCAGTGTGAAGGACTGACTCTAACCCGTCCACAGACAGCATTCATAAGTTTTTGTGTGTGTTCTATCATGGTACCAGTGACCTGCTGTGGGTCCATCCCATGCAGGGATCCTAATGGCAGGGCAGTGGCCAGTTGGGCAACTATAGCCATTTACTTATAAGAGGTTCTCAGGAACCTGTTAAATTTTAGCCAAAATCTCTTGGGTTAAGTTGGTTTCAGTGGCCAGCTGGAGTGAGTTTAAAATCTCAAGTATTAGGTCAGCAAGAACCTAGTGGGGGTCTCTTGGAGGCATCTGTTGAAACAAGATAGAACAATTTTAAAGAGGAGCCAAATGCATATTTTAAATAGGATCATTGAGACTTGTAGGGCAGAATGGAGAAGAAATCCTATACCAGGGGAAGAGCCAGCTGAAAATATCTGGAAATTGGAAATGTAACCCAGTAAGTCTAGACAGGAGGGTTTCTGAAGGTGTCCCTTTCAGAGATTTGGCTGGTTTTAAGATCTTATATGTTCCCAATTCAGTCTGACTGGAAGTATTTTACCCAGATGCAGAAGCAAGGGTTAGCACAGACACTACCCTGTAAAGTAGGGAGATAGCTGCAATGTGGTTGTCTAGGGCCATGCAGGCAAGGGAACCTAGAGACTTCTCTTGTGTCCTGATGGCTTCGGTGGTGAAATGGGCAACTCTACTAATGATACAAGAAAGATTTCTGGTTAGATATCCATTCCAAGTAGAACCTAGACTTAACCATGACCCCAGAAACTTTCCTAATCTAGCTCCTCCACTAGGGTTAATCGCTCTGGGTAAACTGCATCCTTGATAATGTCCCCAACTAGAATCTGTGGGACCATCAATGCTTAAATATCTTTGACCCTCAAATTCCGTAGATCCAACATTTGTATTATTGATGAAAGAGTCAACATCTGCAGTCAGAAGTTGGTACCTCCAACATAGATGATACTTCTAATGTCCTGTCAGATGATTCTAGTTTAATTGACATCTCATTGCTTATCGACACTGCCACATATCTTGGCACCTCAACATGTTGCAACTTTAGGCACCACAGAGCAATCACCATCATCCTCATCATCATCATGTGTGGGCTACCAGGAGAAAATAACCAGGGTTTTACAGAAGGTTAACACACGCTTGCAGGTCATTTAATGAAACCAATCCATAACTGTTTTTTAAAAAGAAAATGTTATATTGTAGATGATGTGTACTAGGTAGGTAGCCGTATGGTGGTTGTGTCTGTACTGAATATGTACAGATGTTTTTTCTTGTCATACTTCCCTAAATACAATAAAACAGTTGTCTTCATAGCATTTACAATGCATTAGGTATTATAAGTAATCTAGAGATGATTTAAAGTATACAGGATTGCCTAGTTATAGGCAAATACACTTTTCTGTAAAGCACTTGAGCAAAATTATATATTCTCAAGGGGTGCTGGAACCAATCCCCTGAGAATACCAGGAAATGACTTTATTCAAGAGAAACTGAAACTACACAGGTTTTACCACATTCTTTACATTCATAGAGTTTCCTTTTGAGTAAATTCTTTCATGTATCTAAAACACACAAGGACTAATAAATACTTATCCACACTCCTTACAGTTATAAGGTCACCAGTGTGTCATACCCTGTGCCTTCCAAAGACTGGAAGAGAAAGGAAAGGTTCCCCATATTCCTAACATCACTGTGTTTTTCTTAAATGTGACTTCTTTCATGGTTTCTAACAGTACTGGACGAATGGAAGGCTTTATCACATTTTTTACATTCATACAACTTTTCTCTGATGTGAGTCCTTTCATGTCTTTGAAGGGGACTGAGACAATAAAATACTTTCCCTCATTCTTTACTGCATAGGACTTCTCTCCAGTGTGAGTTCTTCCATGTATTTTTAAGTACTTAGAACTACTGAAGGCTTTTCCACGTTCTGCATTCATAGGGTTTCTCTCCAGTGTGAACCCCTTCATGACTATGAAAGGAACTAAAACAATCAAATGCTTTCCCACATTCCTTACATTCATAAAGTTTCTGTGAAGTGTGGGTACTTTTATGTTTATGAAAGGCACTGGGATAAGTGAATGTTTTCCCACATTCCTTACATTTATACACCTGCTCTCCAGTGTGAATTCTTTCATGTATTCGAAAGTAACTGGAATAACTAAAGGCTTTCCCACATTGCTTACATTCACAGGGTTTTTCACCAGTGTGAGTGTTTTCATGATTTCGAATAGAACTGGAATATCTAAAGGCTTTGCCACATTGTTTACATATATAGGGTTTCTCTCCAGTGTGAATTCTTGCATGTTTTCGAATGGAACTGGAACAACTGAAGGCTTTCCCACATTTATTACATTCATAGGGTTTCTCTCCAGTGTGAGTTCTTTCATGTGTAAGATATAAATGTAGATTATCAAAGGCCTTCCCACAAAACTTACATTTATAAGGTTCATCTTCACTGTGCATTACCATGTATCTTCAAAAGGTTTGAACAGAAATGAAGGTTTTTCCACATTTCTTACATGGAGTTTCTTTCCAGTGTGAGGCCTTTCATGTGTTTGAAAGGAGTGGCAATAGCTGAAGGTTTTCACACACTGCTTATGTGGCTTCTATGTTGCTGACACTCATCTGATTTGTGTCCAGTGTCAGCTCTGATGCAGCAATTAAGAGATGAATGATCCATATTGCCTTCTTCACACACACTGCTTTCACATGATTTGACTCCAGTAAAAGTCGTCTTCACTATACCATTTGGAACAAGGCTGAAGATCTCTTCACATTGACCATCTTCCTTACCTTCAGACTCTCTCTACCATATGACTTCTGTGAGAAATAAGCACAATACCAAGGGCTGGTTTATAAATGATTTTATATTCATTAGTAGGTATTTGATTTACATATTTTGCATTATGATGGAAAGTAGGTTTTCTGGCTTGTCTGAACTGTGTAAACATCAATGGACTGAATACTCTGCAAAAGGGCTGCATTACACTTATTATCAAAACATTGATATTCATAATCAATTTCTTAACACTGGCTCCAAGGCAACTATTTTGAAAACACTGGATATTTATGTCTTGTGTAAGTATATTGTTTTTGGAAAATAGTTATTTTTTTTTTTGGAGACAAGGTCTCACTCTGTCACCCAGGCTGAAGTACAGTGGCATGTTCACGATTCATCACAGCCTTGACCTCCTGGGTTCAAGCCATCCTCCCACCTTAACCTCCCTAGTAGCTGGGACCTCAGGTGCATGCCACCATGCCTGGCTAACTTTTAGATTTTTGTACAGATGGAGTTTCACCATGTTGCCCAGGCTGGTCTTGAACTCCTGGGCTCAAGCAATCTGCCTCCCTTGACCTCCCAAAGTGCTGGGATTACAGGTGTGAGCCACCATGCCCAGCCTGGAAAATTTTTTCTAAAAATGAATGAATTTGAAGCTGGGCTGCTTCATTTTCTTTGCTTGCTTTTAACATTTGTTGTCATTCTAACAATATCTTAAGGGACATAGCTCTAGGTTGTAAGTGCAAATGACCTTAGATTTCTTTTGGAATTATTGTACTGATCTTCAATGATCTGGTCTTCACATTTTATTCCTAAAATGCAGACCCATAAAAGTCATCATAAGTTATTACAAAATTATAGAAAAATTATTAGATTCTATGTTCATGGGACACTGTGGCCATGGCTGATTTATTCACCAAAGTTCAGTTGAACCTTGACCAACATGGTTTTGAACTGCACAGTTCACTCATGCACATTTTCATCAGCTCTTGCCATCTCTAAGAGAGCAAGACCAAACCCTCCTTTTTTGCTCAGGTTACTCAATATGAAGACAACCAAGGAAGAACACCTTGATAATCTACTTGCACTTACTAAAGTCAACATATCTTCTCTTCTAATTTTTTTGATAACCTTTTCAAAAGAAAAGCTTACTGTATTATAAGAATACAGTACATAACATACCAAACAGGCTTGGCATGGTGGCTCATGCCTGTAATCCCTGCACTTTGGGATGCTAGGGAGGAGGAATGCTTGAGGCCAGGAGTTCACGACCCTCCACCTTACAAAAAAATTATACAAAAATTAGCTGGGGATGGTGGCACTCGCCTCTAGACCTAGCAAGGGACCCTGTCTTAAACATATATACACATACGCACTTTTTTTTTTTTTGAGACGGAGTCTCTCTCTCTTGCCCAGGCTAGAGTGCAGTGGCGTGGTCTTGGCTCACTGCAACCTCTGCCTCCCAGGTTCAAGTGATTCTCCTCCCTTACCCTCCCAGGTAGCTGGGATTACAGGTGCATGCCACCACACCAAGCTAATTTTTGTATTTTTAGTAGAGATGGGGTTTCACCACGTTGGCCAGGCTGGTCTCAAACTCCTGACATCAAGTGATGCACCTGCCTCAGCCTTCTAAAGTGATGGGATTACAGGCGCAAGTCACCATGCCCAGCCACACACAGAGTGAGACAAGGACTCACTCTGTTGCCCAGGCTAAACTGTAGTGGTGCAATCATGGTTCACTGCAAGCTCAACCTCCCCAGTTCAAGCGAACCTACTGCCTCAACCTTCTGAATAGCTAGGAACACAGGTGTGCCACCATCCATGGCTACTTTTTTTATTTTTTATACAGACAGGGTATCACTTCATTGCTACAGCCAGTCTCAAAATCCTGAGCTCAAGCAATCCTCCCACTTCAGCCTCCCAAAGTACTGGAATTACAGGTGTGAGCCCCCACACCTGGCCATATATATGTATATAGATATATACCAAACATACAAAATGTATTAATTGACTTTCTGTTATCAATACAGCTTTGGTCAACAGCAGTCTATTAGTAGTTAACTCTTTAGGGACTCTAAATTCACAGGCACCTAACAGACTGTGTGGACGATCAGAGTCTCTAACCCCCACCTTGTTCAAGGGTCTGCTGTATTCCCTACCATGTTCCAAATCATTGAGCAATGCAGAAGACCAAGAAACACTTGTTCTATAATTGACTAAGTGAAGAAATGATGTCACCCTTACCTACAGACATCAGGTTCCTGAAGGTTTCCCACATCACATCTCTGTAGAGATTCTTCTGGGAAGGACCCAGCAAAGCCCACTCCTCCTGGGTGAAGTTCACAGCCACATCCTCAAAGGTCACTGAGTCCTGAAACATCCCACATGGCAGAGGAGGAAGGTTCAGACCAACAGCATTAGGAATCTATACTCACTTCAGAAGTTCACACGATGCTGTGGACTCCAAAAATTTATTCAATGACTTGGTCAGCCTCTTGTCTTCTGTCTACACTCACTTTCTCCATCACAGCAATTCTGATGCTAGAATTGAATATATTCAGTAAAGTGACAGCCAACAAGGACATGCCTCTCATTGGTGATTTCAGAGACTGAGATATGCTGCCTGGATCACCTCTAGTGTCTCTCTGTATAGTGGGTCAGTATTACCTCTCATGAGAAAGTCCCAAACATACTGTCTATAAGAGACAAATTAGCAGTTCTGAGACTGCATATTCTTACACGTTTATTTAGAAAGTTGAACTTTGATGGTATCTAGGGGCTAGATTTGGGAAGATCTGCACCAACATAACTAATAAATGGGGTTGTGTGTGCCTTAACTACTTATGCAAACAATATGGTATTTGCCTAATTCCCATTTTCCCTCTGAGAGTGTGGTATTTTCAGCAGAAGCAGTGTACCTAATCAGCCCTTGCTAAGTGTGAATAATTTCCCCTTCCAAAACTCATAACGAAATTTGATCCCCAATGTGTCAGTACTGAAAGCAGGGCCCTTTAAGAGGCATGAGGGCTCTGCCTCATGAATGGATTAATCCACTGACGAATTGAAGAGGTAATGAATGAATGGGTTATCCTACAAATAAGACTTGTGGCCTTGTAAGAAGAGAAAGAGACCAGAGTTAGCACAATCAGCCCCCGTGCCTAGTGATCTCCACTGCCTCAGACAGTAAAGAGCAAGAAGCTTTCACCAGATGTACCCCATTTGCCCTTGGATTTCCAAACTTTGAGAATTGTACAAAATAAGTATTTTTTATATATTAACCCAAATTCAGGGTTTTTTGTTTTTTTTTGTTTTTGGAAACAGTCTTGCTCTGTTGCACAGGCTGGAATGCAGGGGGGGCAATCTTGGCTCACTGCAGCCTCGACCTCCCAGTTCAAGTAATTCCCATGCTTCAGCCTCCCAAGTAGCTGGGATTACAGGCATGCATGACCATGCCCGGCTTTGTTTTTATATTTCAGTAGAGATGGGGTTTCACCATGTTGGCTGAGCTGGTCACAAACTCCTGGTCTCAAATGATCCACCTGCCTCAGCCTCCCAAAGTGTTGGGATTACAGGCACGAGCCACCGCGCCCAGCCAAATTTCAGGTATTCTATTACAACTAACAGAAAACAAGAGCCATGAAAAAATACTCTGGGCACAGAGTCTGTAATGCGTGACCCTGGCAGGTAACATTTCACATGTTAATCACCACCACATGTTATTTGGGTGACATAGCCCATCCTGTGTGATTACAATGAAAGAGAACATCTGTACAAGAGGTCCTGAAGGGAGTGCTAAATATGGAAAGAAAAAACCATTACCAGCCACCACAAAAGCACACTTAAATACATAGACCAGTGACACTATAAAACAACCACACAAACAAGTCTGCATAATAACCAGCTAACAACATGATAGGATCAAATCTACACATATAAATACTAACCTTGAATGTAAGCAGGCTAAATGCCCCAATTAAAAGGCACAGTGGTGACTTGGATAAAAAAGCAAGATCCAATGGTATGCTGTCTTCAAGAGACCCATCTCACATGCAATGGCACCCTTAGGCTCAAAGTAAAGGGATGGAGAAAAATCTACTCCACAAACAAAACAGAAAAAAGCAAAAGGACATGGTTTGGATTTGAATCTCCACCCAAATCTCATGTCGAATTGTAATTCCCAATATTGAAGGTGGGGCCTTGTGGGAGGTGACTGGATGGTGGTCCTTCATGAATGGTTTAGCACTATCCCTGTGGTGCTGTTCTTGAGATGGTAAGTTCTTGTGAGAACCGGTCATTTAAAAGTCTGTGGCACCTTGCCCTGCTCTCTCTTGCTCCTTCTCTGGCCGTGTGAACTGCTGCTCCCCCTTTGCCTTCCACCATGATTGTCAGTTTCCTGAGGCCTCCCTAGAAGCTGAGCAGATGCCATCCTTCCAGTACCATGCTTCCTGTGCAGTCTGCAGAATCATGGGCCAATTCAACCTCTTTTCTTTATAAATTACCCAGTCTCAGGTATTTCTTTATCATGCTGCAAGAATGGAATAATACAAGAAAATTGGTACTGAGAAGTGGCGCATTGCTATCAAGATATCTGAAAATGTGGAATTGGTTTTGGAACTTCTTAACAGGCAGAGGTTTGGAAGAGTGTGGAGGGCTCAGAAGACAACAGGAAGATGAGGGAGTTTGAGACTTTGTAGAGGCTTGCTGAATGGTTGTGACCAAAATGCTGATAGTGATATAAAGTTCAGGCTGAGGAGGTCTCAGATGGAAAGGACAATACTTATAAGTATTTATTGGGAACTGAAGCACAGGTCACTTTTGTTTTTCCTTAGCAAAGAGCTTGGCTGCAGTGTGCCTCTGCCCTAGGGATATGTGGAACTTTTTTTTTTTTAATTTCGACCAAGTCACACTGTCACCCAGGCTGGAGTGCAGTGGCACAATCTCGGCTCACTGCAGCCTCCGCCTCCTTGGTTCCAGCACTTCTCCCGCCTCAGCCTCCCGGGTAGCTGGGTTTATAGGCATGCGCCACCACACCTGGCTAATTTTTGCATTTTTCCTGGCTCGTAACTGTCACAGCCCCTGTTATAGTGCTGTGGCACTGTAGGCTTCAGAGGCAGGACTGAGAAGACAGAATTTCTCTCACTGACCTCCTGCTGTCCTTCACCTGCCCAAGGAAGGAGTCTAATCTTCCCAGCTTTTCTGATTGTGGGTCATCAGACGCTCATTTCAGAAGGGGTCCTGTCTCATACCCTGGAGGAAGGAATGCTACATAGAGAAGCCAAAAAGAATCTGAACAGACAGGGCTTGGTGGATTTTCCCATTCAGTCTATCAGTATTAGATTCTACCTTTTTTGTCCAGCTAATTTCTACATAGTTATGAATCATGCCTATCCAATGAGGTCTCAAGAAAAGGCCCCAGAGTACAGGATTCAGAAAGCTCCCAGACAGCTCAACACATGCAGGCTTATAGGAAGGTAAACAAGAACTTATCCATCAGCTGGGAGGGTGGCACACCCTAACCCCAGAGACAGAAGCTACTGTGCTCAAGACCCTTCTAGACCTCACCCTATGTATCTCTTCACCTGGATGTTTATTTGTATCCTTTAAAATATCCTTGGCTGGGTGCAGTGGCTCGTGCCTGTAATCCCAGCACTTTGGGGGGCCAAGGTGGGTGGATCACTTGAGGTCAGGAGCTCGTGACCAGCCTGGCCAACATGGTGAAGCCCCGTCTCTACTAAAAATACAAAAATTAGCCAGGCGTGGTGGTGTGCACCTATAATCCCAGCTACTCGGGAGGCCAAGGCAGGAGAATAGCTTGAATCCGGGCAGTGGAGGTTACAGCGAGCTGAGATCGCACCACTGCACTCCAGCATGGGCCACAGAGTGTGAGACTCTTGTCTCAAAAAAAAAAAATAAAAAGAAAGAAACCTGAGAGTTAGGTATGGTGGCTCACACCTGTAATCCCAGCACTTTGGGAGACCAAGATGGGAAGATCACTTGAGGCCAGGAGTTCAGCCTGGGCAACATAGAGAGACTCCATCTCTACAAAAAAAGAAATGAAAGAAGACTGTGAAGATGAGTAAGTGTTTCCCTGAGTTCTGCAAGCCACAATAGCAAGTTAAACCCAAAGAGAGCACAAGAACTCCAACTTGAAACCTGTGGGTTATAATTGGTCCAGACTTACCACTGATACCTGAATGGTAGGGAGTGGCAGGCAGGGAGGGAGGGATGTGGGGACTGAGCCATCAACCTATGGGCTCTGAAACTATCTCCAGGGTAGAGAATGTCAAAACTGAATTGGAAGAGACCCAGTTGCTGTCCACTGCAGGATACACTGCTTGCCTTTTGGTAGGGAGAAAACCCACGCTTTTGGTCACAAAAGTCTTCTGTGTTGATTGTTGTTATTGAAAGAATAGAAAAAGCCCTTTGAGTGTGTTCTTTCCACACAGAATTAGTATTTCCATAATCATTTAGTACACAAAAAATCATAATTGAGTACTTTTTTAGGTGTTGCTAAATGCTGTCCCACAGGATTTAGCATTAATCTGCCAAGTTCACATAACAGGAAACGAACTTATCCACGGTCACAAATTCTTCAACCTGAGAAGGAGAAGAACTGAGGTTATGGAACATCTTTGTAATTCACCAGTATAATCCACCACACTTTCTTTTGAAAACAACTCATTTTTTCTGTAACCAAAATGGAAGAGAGGTTTTTTTCCCTATTTCTTTTCCCTGGTAGTATTTTCATGCTAAGGCCTAGAATTCCATTTGAAATCACCCAATAGAAAAAGGAGCTGAGAAACTTACTACCCAGGCTCTGGGAAGAAAAATAAGAATTTTTATAAGGGAATACAAGACTAGACTTTTTTTTTCCTAAAACCTACCAAAACCTACCTTCTTCTGGCATGTTTGGAAATACTTTAACTTCTCCATCCATCTCTAATAATATAGTGCATTTTACAGTTATTAAAAAACTGAAGCTGCTCTCCCTCGTCTCCCACTTTCCACGGTCTCCCTCTGATGCTGAGCCTCTCCCTCGTCTCCCACTTTCCATGGTCTCCCTCTGATGCCGAGCCGAGGCTGGACTGTACTGCCGCCATCTCGGCTCACTGCAACCTCCCTGCCTCATTCTCCTGCCTCAGACTGCCGAGTGCCTGGGATTGCAGGCGTGCGCCACCACGCCTGACTGGTTTTTGTATTTTTTGGTGGAGACGGGGTTTCGCCGTGTTGGCTGGGCTGGTCTCCAGCTCCTGACCGCGAGTGATCTGCCCGCCTTGGCCTCCCGAGGTGCCGGGATTGCAGACGGAGTCTCGCTCACGCAGTGCTCAATCTTGCCCAGGCTGGAGTGCAGTGGCGTGACCTGGGCTTGCTACAACCTCCACCTCCCAGCCGCCTGCCTTGGCCTCCCAAAGTGCCGAGATTGCAGCCTCTGCCCGGCCGCCACCCCGTCTGGGAAGTGAGGAGCGTCTCTGCCTGGCCGCCCATCATCTGGGATGCGAGGAGCCCCTCTGCCCGGCTGCCCAGTCTGGGAAGTGAGGAGCGCCTCTTCCCGGCCACCATCCCATCTAGGAAGTGAGGAGTGTCTCTGCCTGGCCGCCCATGGTCTGGGATGTGAGGAGCGCCTCTGCCCTGCCGCCCAGTCTGGGAAGTGAGGAGCGCCTCTTCCCGGCGCCATCCCATCTAGGAAGTGAGGAGCGTCTCTGCCTTGCCGCCCATCGTCTGAGATGTGGGGAGCGCCTCTGCCCCACTGCCCTGTCTAGGATGTGAGGAGCGCCTCTACCCGGCCGTGACCCCGTCTGGGAACTGAGGAGTGTCTCTGCCTGAACACCACCCCGTCTGGGAGGTGACGAGCGTCTCTGCCTGGCCACCCCGTCTGAGAAGTGAGGAGCCCCTCCGCCCAGCAGCTGCCCTGTCTGGGAAAGTGAGGAGCCCCTCTGCCTGGCAGCTGCCCCGTCTGGGAAGTGAGGAGGGTCTCCGCCCGGCAGCTGCCCCGTCCGGGAGGGAGGTGGGGGGCAGCCCCCGACCAGCCAGCTGCCCTGTCCAGGAGGAAGGGAGGTGGGGGGCAGCCCCCGCCTGGCCAGCCGCCCCGTCTGGGAGGTGGGGGGGCGCCTCCGCCTGGCCTCCACCCCGTCTGGGAGGTGTACCCAACAGCTCACTGAGAACGGGCCATGATGACGATGGCAGTTTTGTCGAATAGAAAAGGGGGAAATGTGGGGAAAAGAAAGATAAGATTGTTACTGTGTCTGTGTAGATAGTAGTAGACATAGGAGACTCCATTTTGTTCTATACTAAGAAAAATTCTTCTGCCTTGGGATGCTGTTATCTATAACCTTACCCCCAACCCCGTGCTCTCTGAAACATGTGCTGTGTCCACTCAGGTTTAAATGGATTAAGGGCAGTGCAAGATGCGCTTTGTTAAACAGATGCTTCAAGGCAGCATGCTCGTTAAGAGTCATCACCACTCCCCAATCTCAAGTACCCAGGAACACAAACACTGCAGAAGGCCGCAGGATCCTCTGCCTAGGAAAACCAGAGACCCTTGTTCACAACTGTTTATCTGCCGACCTTCCCTCCACTATTGTCCTATGACCCTGCCAAATCCCCCTCTCCGAGAAACACCCAAGAATGATAAATAAATACTAAAAAAAGAAAAAAAAATTCCCCCTTCCCATACAAATATGCCTAGCTCATAAAAGCAATCCTAAAAGAAAAAAAAAAAAAAAACTGAAGCTGATGGCTGGGCATGGTGGCTCACGCCTGTAATCCCAGCACTTTGGGAGGCTGAGGTGGGCAGATCACCTGAGGTCGGGAGTTCGAGACCAGCCTGACCAACATGGTGAAACCCCATCTCTACTAAACATACAAAATTAGGTGGGCATTGTGGCACATGCCTGTAATCCCAGCTACCTGGGAGACTGAGGCAGAAGAATTACTTGAACCTGGGAGGCGGAGGTTGCGGCAAACCGAGATCGCGTCATTGCACTCCAGCCTGGGCAACAACAGTGAAACTCCGTCTCAAAAAAAAAAAAAAAAACCTGAAGCTGAAATGAGTAAACCAATTTTTTCAAGGTGATAAACCCAGGGAGGGGCAGTGCTGACCTGAAACACTCAAGTGTCTGACTCAAGTGTCAGGTCACATCATCCTATCACTTGGGACATCCCCCCACCTCCAAGCTGCTCCCTGAAGTGCTCAGTGACCACCCTCCCAGAAGACACTCAACTGTGTGCTTTTCAGGTCCTTGCAACAACTCATTGGGGGTGGTTTTCTTCTTTCACTAGACTGAGAGAATCCAGAGGACAGAAATCATTTCTTCTTTTTTTTTTTTTTTTTTTGAGACGGAGTCTTGCCCTGTCGCCCAGGCTGGAGTGCAGTGGCGCAATCTCAGCTCACTGCAACCTCCACCTCCCGGGTTCTAGCAATTCTGCCTCAGCCTCACGAGTAGCTGAGATTACAAGGGTGCACCACCACGCCCAGCTAATTTTTGGATTTTTAGTAGAGTCGGGGTTTCACCATGTTGGCCAGGCTGGTCTTGAACTCCTGACCTCAGGTGATCCACCCACCTTGGCCTCCCAAAGTGCTAGGATTACAGGACAGAAATAATTTGGTTTCCTCCATACCAGAATTTGATTGGCTGACTAGCCATGTGTCCCCAAGGAATGGAAACGGGTTGGAGAAGAAAAGGCGTGTCCCAAGGGATTAGTTTTTTACAATAATGATATAGGAGACTGGTCCCACCCCATAGCATCCAGCTGCTCCCTGGGGAGGCCTCACCGCCACACCTCAGGCTCTTTGGGAGGAACGACCTAGGGGCTGATATTCACTAGACTTTCCCAAGAGACTTGGCAGCTGTAGGCATCTTGGGCCAGCCCCAGGTAGTCCTGAAACCCAGGATCAGGAAAAGGCAGAGGGTGGGCTGAGGTCGCATCACTGTAAAGTTTCCAAAGGGGAATCTCAACCCAAGACATTCTCAGAAGGTGTCTGTGCCTAGGGCAGATAAAAAGAGACACAAAGATTGTTTACAGCGGAGTGTCAGGTGGTTTTTCTCTGAAACGTTCACAAACACAAAACAAATATTTTTAAAACGGCCATATACTGCCCTCTAAAAAAATGACGATTAAAATACTGCCTGTGTTTGAAACATAGCCTGGAGGACGAAGAAGTGATACTGTTGTGAACTAAAGGAAATCCGTGTTATAAAATGCGGAAAGGGATCAGGAAATCCCAAATTTGCTGCCAGCCTTAGGAGAAGGTAGCCTAGGGACCACAGTCGCGGATTTGAGACCCTGCTTCGCGTATATTTGGGAAACTCAGATAAAATACAAAAGCCCCTGGTGAGAAAGAGGGAACTGGGGACCCCACAGCCTACAGCTCCTCTCACACGAACCCCATACTCGAGGCAGGATTTCCCCCATGACCCTCTAGTGGCCCCCGTACAATCTGGGGAGACACGGAGGCAGCGGGCGTGACTGGGGCAGCGGGCGCGGAGCTGACCAGAGAGGGCGCTGGGCCTGGGGCCACAGTCAGTTGCACAGGGACTGGACCGGACGGCTAGGGGTCTCGGCTGCCGTCGCAGCCCCACCCTGCGGCCTGAGAGGAACCAGGGCCGAGGTGCGCCAGGGGGACTTGGGTCTCAGAACCCAGAGTCAACTACGAAGAGGCCCGGGTCCCGCCACGGTCTATTCCTGCCGGTTCCAACCAGTCCCATCCTAGTCTCGGGACCCTCAGCCCCGCACACTCACCAATTCCTGGCTTCCAGGTGTCCCAGTCCTCCCTACGGCTCCTGCTGCCAGTACGGGTCCCAGTGTGACAGAGGATGCTACAGACACGTCTGTGGGTGTCTGTCAGCTACAGAGTAGGAGCCGCATTTAGAGGGGTGAAGATGCCGCGCACCCACCTCCCTGCAGTGCGCCTGATCCACAGTTCTCACGACCCCACCCCATGGCCCTGATTGGATACGGCTCCAGGTCCCGCCCCCTGGAGACCGAGTAACAGAAGAGGCGATCTCACTGTGCTGAGTGGAGCGCGATGAACAGGTTCCAGACACAGCCCTTGGCAGGCGGGCTTCCTCCCAGTGCAGTGACCCGACTCTCCTGGGGAGAAATGTGCACTTAAGCAGAATTTCCTGACTGATTGTACTAATGGCCCTTCCTGCTTCTTTTTCCTGGACCAGCAATCACAAGTGTGTGCTAGGAATCCCAGACTCACTGTCCAGTGGCGCCATCTCCTGGCCTTGGAGCAGGAGGGGGGCTCTGTCCTCCAGGAATCAGGAATTTGGCATGAGGCTGCTGGCGACATAGTCAAGCCTTTCTCCCATCTGATGTCTCAATCTGCTTATTTTCAAGAAAATAAAAACACATCGATAACAGGATAAAACTGTTAAATTCACGGAAAAGCTGGACTTATATGACAGCAATATTCTATAAAGGAATCAATAGAGAGAAAAAGCAAAAACATGAGCTAGCTCAGAGAAGCAGTCTTTCAGACGCAGTTCAGCAGGAAAACCCCAATTTAGAGGTTAAACATATTCCCAACCATGGGTGCCAGACTGTTGAAATGGGTCCCCAGAGGCCGGGTGCGGTGGCTCACACCTGTAATCCCAGCATTTTGGGAGGCCAATGCGGATGGATCACCTGAGGTCAGGAGTTCGAGACAAACCTTGCCAATACGGTGAAACCCCGTCTCTACTAAAAATACAAAAATTAGCCAGGCATGATGGTGGGCGCCTGTAATCCCAGCTACTCAGGAGGCTGAGGCAGGAGAATCGCTTGAACCCGGGGTGGGGCGGCGGGGGGAGCGGACAGAGGTTGCAGTGAGCCAAGATTGTGCCACTTCACTCCAGCCTGGGCGAAAGAGCAAAACTCTGTCTCAAAAAAGAAAAAAGATAAGAAAAAGAAATGGGTCCCCAGAGTGTCCCTGCCTCATTACCAAGTCATGGTGATGAGGCAAGATACATAAGGATTCAGCTCTGGGAGTTCAACTTGCCCTCTTGTCCCCTCTGCAGAGTGTGGCTATGCTCCCTCCTTTAAGTGTTAATAAAAGTTTCCAATCAAAAGCCAAGAAACTAGACACTGATTTTGAAAACATAAGGAATTCCTCGTATTTTATGAAAAACAAAGCTATTAGTCATACAGAACACGAATAGTACAATGGCAGACATAATGCCTTCGTTATCGGTAATTAAATGGAATAAACTTGCCAAACAAAAGACAGAGGCAGGGAGAATGAATCTTTAAAATATGATCAAATTGTATCCTGTCTACAGCACATTCATTGTAGATCTCAATACCCAAGTCAGTTGAAAGAGAATGAAAGAAAAAGATATTCCATGCAAATAGTAATGTAAAGAGAGCAGGGGTGGCTATACAATTGTCACACAAAATAGACTAAGTCAAAAACTGTTAAAAGACACAAAGAAGAGCACTATAAAAGGCTCAAATCATACAGAATATATAACAGTTATAAATATAATTGCACTAAATAACAGAGGCCCAAAATATATGAAGCAAACATTTTAAAAATTTAAAAGGAAGGTCAGGTGTGGTGGCTCACCCCTGTAATCCCAGCACTTTGGGAGGCCGAGGTGGGTGGATCACCTGAGGTCGGGAGTTTGAGACCAACCAGACCAACGTGGAGAAACCCCGTCTCTACTAAAAATACAAAATAAATTAGCCGGGCGTGGTGGTGCATGCCTGTAATCCCAGCTACTCGGGAGGCTGAGGCAGGAGAATCACTTGAACCCGGGAGGCAGAGGTTGCCATGAGCCGAGATCACGCCATTGCACTCTAGCCTGGGCAGCAAGAACGAAACTCCATCTCAAAAACAAAAACAAAAACAGGACAGGCACAGCGGCTCATGCCTGTAATCCCAGCACTTTGGGAGGCTGAGGCGGGTGGATCATGAGGTCAGGAGTTCGAGACCAACCTGGCTAACATGGTGAAACCCCGTCTCTACTAAAAATACAAAAAATTAGCCAGGCCTGGTGGCGGGCGCCTGTAGTCCCAGCTACTCGGGAAGCTGAAGCAGGAGAATGGTGTGAACCCGGGAGGCGGAGCTTGCAGTGAGCCAAGATCGCACCACTGCACTCCAGCCTGGGTGACAGAGCAAGACTCCGTCTCAAAAAAAAGAAAAAAGAAAAAAAGAAAAGGGAAACATCCATTACTCTTTACACCAGCAATTCCACTTCTAGGTATATACCCAAAAGAAGTAAAAGCAGGGTCTTACACAGACACATGTATACCAATTTCATAGCCATCTTAATTCACAGTAGCCAAAATATTACTGTAGAAACAACTCTTCCAGTCAATGATTTAATTCAATTACTCTCAAACTAGTTTTTAAATATATTTTTAAAATCTTTACAAAAAAAGAAAAGTGTTTAGAGTAGACACACAAAGTGTGGTTTCTCCGTGCAATGAAGTATCATTCAGACAGAAAAAGCAATGAATTCCTCATACATGATACAACCCGAATGAACCTGGAAAACATTATGCTAAGTGAAATAAGCCAGACACACAAGGACAAATTTTTTGTTTTGTTTTGTTTTGAGACAGAGTCTCACTCTGTCATCCAGGCTGGAGTGCAGTGGTGTGATCTTGGCTCACTGCAATCTCTGCCTCCCAGGTTCAAGCGATTCTCCTGCCTCAGCCTCCTGAGTAGCTGGGATTACAGGTGCACACCACCATACCTGGCTAATTTTTGTATTTTTAGTAGAGACGGGGTTTCACCATGTTGGTCAGGCTGGTCTCGAACTCCTGACCTCGTGATCTGCCTGCCTCAGCCTCCCAAAGTGCTGGGATTACAGGCATAAACCACCATGCCCAGCACAAGGACAAATATTGTATCCTTCCCGTTATATGAGGTGCCTAGAATAGCCAAATTCATAGAGAAAGTAGGATAGACATTATCAGGAGCTGGGGGGAAGGGAGACTGGGGACGTGTTTAATGAGTACCCAATTTCTGTTTAGAGTGATGAGAGAATGCTAGAGATCAATAGCTGCGTTGGTTACACCACATCGTAAATTTATTTACTACAACTAAATGGCACATTTTAAAAATGATCGAAATGGCAAATTCTCTGTTAGTATATTTTACCTCCAAACAATCTAAAAACTAAAGAAAAAAACATGATTCAAGCTACTAGGCATGAAAACAACATCTGGGATAACAAATTACACTGAGTGGAATAAACAGCAAATCAGATACTGCAGAGAAGAAGACGAGTGAACCTTGTGACCTAGCAGTAGAAACTATCCCAAATGAAGCACCCAGCAAAAAAAACAACAACAACAAAAAACAGAAAATCAGTGAGCTGTGTAGTGGGAAAATTACAAGTGACATAATATGCAAATAACAAGACTCTTTGGCAGAGGAAAGAGCATGACAAAAAATATTTCAACAAATACTGGTTTCACATTTGCCAAACTGGATGAAAATTATAAACCCAGAAATCAAAAAAGTTCAACAAACCATGAGCATATATGTATATAAATCTACACCAAGCACATCATCAGTAAACTACTTCACAGCAAGAACAATTAAAATAGCTTTAAGGCAACAGGAAAAAGACACATTAACTACACTGAACCAAAGATAGGATTCATTACATACTTATTACCAGCAACAGCGCAGATCAGGAGACCATAGAACAACTACCTTAAAGTAATGAAAGAACAAGTATATCAACTGAGAATCCTATATCCAGCAAACAATATCTTTCCAAATGAAGGGAAAATAAATTATTAATTCAGCCATAGTGAAAGTGTTTGTAATCAGCATACTTGCTCCATAAGAGACATCCCTAAACTGCATGGGTGCAAAGAAAAATGAAGCCAAGTGGAAATCCGGAAAGAAAGAAGAGGACCAGAAATGATAACCACTTCAGTAAACACAAAGGGTTTTTTACTATTTTTTATTGCTTTAAAAAAAATCATTGAATCTTTTAAAAAAGAAAAAGAAAAAGAACAATGTATTATGAAGTTATAAAATTATGATGAAGGCCGGGCGTGGTGGCTCATGCCTGTAATCCCAAGCACTTTGGGAGGCCGAGGCAGGAGGATCACCTGAGGTCGGGAGTTTGAAACCAGCCTGACCAACATGGAGAAACTCCATCTCTACTAAAAACACAAAATTAGCTGGGCATGGTGGCGCATGCCTATAATCCCAGCTACTTGGGATGCTGAGACAGGAGAATCACTTGAACTCGGGAGGCGGAGGTTGCGGTGAGCCGAGATCGCGTTGTCGTTGTTGTCCAGCCTGGGCAACAAGAGTGAAACTCCATCTCAAAAAAAAAAAAAAAAAAAAGGTGAAAAGTACCTGAAATAACCAAACAAATAGCCAAATAATTCTGAAAAAAAAACAAAGAAAATTTAGCAATCCTAATCAAGACAATGTCTTTGGCAAGTAGACAAATATATCCATGGAACAGAATAAATGTTCCAGTAACATTTCTACACATGTGGTCCAGTAGTTTTTTTTAATCAAAGTGAACAATTGAGTCAAAATTTCTCTTCTCAACAAATAATGCTAAAAAATAGAATATGCATATGCAAAAAGTAAAGACTGTAGATCTGTGTCTTGCACTATATACAAACATTAACTCAAAATGGATCACAAAACTGAATGTATAATCTAAACTATAAAATGTAAAGAAAATGTGGGTGAAATTATTTGACCTTGGGTTACGTTACAATTGCATACATATGACAAAGATGCAGAATCCATTAAAAATTGAGAAATTAAACTTCATTAAAATAAAAATTTGCTTTGTGAAGGATACAGTTAAGGAATTTTTTTTTTTTTTTTTTTTGAGACAGAGTCTCGCTCTGTCACCCAGGCTGGAGTACAGTGTCATGATCTCGGCTCACTGCAACCTCCGCCTCCCAGGTTCAAGTAATTCTCCCACCACAGCCTCCCAAGTAGCTGGGAGTACAGGCACACACCATCATGCCTGGTTAATTTTTCTATTTTTAGTAGAGATGGGGTTTCACCATGTTGGCCAGGCTGGTCTCGAACTCCTGACCTCAAGTGATCTGCCCGCCTTGGCCTCCCAAAGTACTGGAATTATAGGCATAAGACTGCTAAGGATTTTTTTTTTTTTTTTTTGAGACGGAGTTTTGCTCTTGTTGCCCAGGCTGGAGTGCAATGGCGCAATCTCGGCTCACCGCAACCTCTGCCTCTCAGCTTCAAGCGATTCTCCTACCTCAGCCTCCCGAGTAGCTGGGATTACAGGCATGTGCCACCATGCCTGGCTAATTTTGTGTTTTTAGTAGAGATGGGGTTTCTCCATGTTGGTCAGGCTGGTCTCGAACTCCCGACCTCAAGTGATCTGCCCGCCTTGGCCTCCCAAAGTGCTGGGATTACAGGCATGAGCCACCACTCCCGGCCTAGAGACTGCTAAGGATTTTTAAAGAATAGCCGTAGATGGGAGAAAATACATACAAACCATAATCTGATGCAGCAATTATATCCAGAATATATAAAGAACTCTCAAAAACTAATAATCTGAAAACAATCAATGTCATTAATACTTGACCACAGAATATTTTTCAGTGACAAATAAAAACATGAAATATCATTCAACATCATCATTCATTAAGTAAACACAAACTTAAGCCACAATTTTTTTTTTTTTTGAGGTGGAGTCTCGATCTGTCACCCAGGCTGGAGTGCAGTGGCACTATCTCGGCTCACTGCAAGCTCCGCCTCCCAGGTTCACACCATTCTCCTGCCTCAGCCTCCGGAGTAGCTGGGACAACAGGCGCCCACCACCACACCTGGCTAATTGTTTGTATTTTTAGTAGAGATGGGGTTTCACCGTGTTAGCCAGGATGGTCTCGATCTCCTGACCTCGTGATCCGCCCGCCTTGGCCTCCCAAAGTGCTGGGATTACAGGCGTGAGCCACTGTGCCTGGCATTAAGCCACAATTCTAATACCACTACACATATTTGGGAGTCTAAAATTAGTAAGATTGGCTATATCAAATGTTGGTGACAATGCGAAGCAACTGGAACTCTTATGACGTTGGTGGGAATACAAAATGGAACAGCCACTTGGAAAACAGTTTGGAAGTTTCCTAAGAAGTTAAACATACACCTGTCACAACACCCAGCCATTTTATTCCTAGGTAGAATAAAATAAAATCTTCTAAAGAAATAATCAGCTGGGCACAGTGGCTCATGCCTGTAATCCCAGCACTTTAGGAGGCTGAGGTGGGCGGATCACGAGGTTCAAGAGATCAAGGCCAGCCTGGCCAACATAGTGAAACTCCACCTCTACTAAAAATACAAAAATTAGCTGGGCGTGGTGGCACGCACCTGTAGTCCCAACTACTCAGAAGGCTGAAGCAGGAGAATGGCTTGAACCTGGGAGGCGGAGGTTGCAGTGAGCCAAGATTGCGCCACTACACTTCAGCCTGGTGACAGAGCGAGGCTGTCTCAAACAAACAAAAAAGAAATATCATATGTTCTTACAAACACTGGTATGTGAATATTCATATGTTTAATTCTTAATAGCCAAAAACTGAAATTAACCCAAATATCCATCAACAGCTGGAGAAATAAATTTTGCTTCCTCTGAAGATGGAATATTATTCATGTACAATAAAGAACTATTGGATGAAGCTCAATTATGCTGAGTGAAAGATGCCTGACACAGAACAGTACAAACTGCAGGATTCCATCAGGGGTGGCTGAGAGAGAAGAAGCACTAGGGTGGGGCAAGATTACCAAGGACCAGCGGGTAATGTTTGAGTCCGATGGATGGGATCCTTATCTTGAAAAGACTGTTTCACGAATACATATTTTTATGTCATTTAGAAAAATCTCGCTTTTCTGCCCGTGGACACCGCCGAAGAAGCATCGTTAAAGTCTCTCTTCACCCTGCCGTCATGTCTAAGTCAGAGTCTCCTAAAGAGCCCGAACAGCTGAGGAAGCTCTTCATTGGAGGGTTGAGCTTTGAAACAACTGATGAGAGCCTGAGGAGCCATTTTGAGCAATGGGGAACGCTCACGGACTGTGTGGTAATGAGAGATCCAAACACCAAGCGCTCCAGGGGCTTTGGGTTTGTCACGTATGCCACTGTGGAGGAGGTGGATGCAGCTATGAATGCAAGGCCACACAAGGTGGATGGAAGAGTTGTGGAACCAAAGAGAGCTGTCTCCAGAGAAGATTCTCAAAGACCAGGTGCCCACTTAACTGTGAAAAAGATATTTGTTGGTGGCATTAAAGAAGACACTGAAGAACATCACCTAAGAGATTATTTTGAACAGTATGGAAAAATTGAAGTGATTGAAATCATGACTGACCGAGGCAGTGGCAAGAAAAGGGGCTTTGCCTTTGTAACCTTTGACGACCATGACTCCGTGGATAAGACTGTCATTCAGAAATACCATACTGTGAATGGCCACAACTGTGAAGTTAGAAAAGCCCTGTCAAAGCAAGAGATGGCTAGTGCTTCATCCAGCCAAAGAGGTCGAAGTGGTTCTGGAAACTTTGGTGGTGGTCGTGGAGGTGGTTTCGGTGGGAATGACAACTTCGGTCGTGGAGGAAACTTCAGTGGTCGTGGTGGCTTTGGTGGCAGCCATGGTGGTGGTGGATATGGTGGCAGTGGGGATGGCTATAATGGATTTGGTAATGATGGAAGCAATTTTGGAGGTGGTGGAAGCTACAATGATTTTGGCAATTACAACAATCAGTCTTCAAATTTTGGACCCATGAAGGGAGGAAATTTTGGAGGCAGAAGCTCTGGCCCCTATGGCGGTGGAGGCCAATACTTTGCAAAACCACGAAACCAAGTGGCTATGGCGGTTCCAGCAGCAGCAGTAGCTATGGCAGTGGCAGAAGATTTTAATTAGGAAACAAAGCTTAGCAGGAGAGGAGAGCCAGAGAAGTGACAGGGAAGCTACAGGTTACAATAGATTTGTGAACTCAGCCAAGCACAGTGGTGGCAGGGCCTAGCTGCTACAAAGAAGACATGTTTTAGACAAATACTCATGTGTATGGGCAAAAAACTCGAGGACTGTATTTGTGACTAATTGTATAACAGGTTATTTTAGTTTCTGTTCTGTGGAAAGTGTAAAGCATTCCAACAAAGGGTTTTAACGTAGATTTCTTTTTGCACCCCATGCTGTTGATTGCTAAATGTAATAGTCTGATCGTGATGCTGAATAAATGTCTTTTTTTTTTAAAAAAAAAAAAAGAAAGAAAAATCTCAGTACAATATACCTATTTCTTCCTGTGAGCCATGAGAATTGAAATAACGGGGATAGTGAACACCTGGGGTGGAAAGAAACTGGTGCCCCAGTAAGGGGAGTGGAGGGAGGAGTGCCCGTTGGTGCTCTTGACTGTGAGGTGGGTCTCTAGGAAGTTAACAGCTGAGGGAGAACTGTGTGGGGCTCCCTCCTGCTCTGGGTAGGGCTTACTCCAGCCCATCCCCCCATCCTCTTGTGCCCACTGATAGCCTTGCTGCAAGGGGGGCACCAGAACTTCTTAGCTTGCTCTTCCCAGGTGGTTCAGCTGTACCCAGAAGAGAAGTACCAGGAGCTGGAGTGGATAATGGGACCGGTAACCAAGCGATCAGTGGGCACAGGCTGGGATGAAAAGGAGAGAAGGGATAAGATACTACTTGGGTGGGCCAGGCACAGTGGCTCACACCTGTAATCCCAGCACTTTGAGAGGCCGAGGCAGGTGGATCACGAGGTCAGGAGATCGAGACCATCCTGGCTAACATGGTGAAACCCCGTCTCTACTAAAAATACAAAAAATTAGCCAGGCATGGTGGCGGGCGCCTATAGTCCCAGCTACTCGGGAGGCTGAGGCAGGAGAATGGCGTGAACCTGGGAGGTGGAACTTGCAGTGAGCCAAGATGGAGCCACTACACTCCAGCCTGGGCAACACAGTGAGACTCTGTCTCAAAATACAAAATAAAAAAAAAGATAGTACTTAGGTGGTGATCACCTTCCTGCCACCCAGTTTAGCTCAGTGATGCCTGGGGTAGGGAAGTCATCAGTTGCTTTGACATGATGCTGGAGACAGACATTTCTACAGAGGTAGAAGTGGGAGGTAGTAAGGAAGCCAGACCCCTTGGCCTAACAGATCCTACACCAGCTCTCCTGAGCCAGGGTTATTGACTCATCTGGAGCCTCACCAGGCTGGGCTGGTAGCAGGGACCTGAGACCCAGAGAACATCTGCATTTAGGACATGATATCCTCCAGACCCCCGGCCTGACCCTCCATGATACATCCCACCCTCCCATTCTCTAGATTTGGGATCAGACCTTCCTCATAGGCACCATCCCCCCAAACAACCCATACTTCCACGTCCTCTGTCTCCTGCCAGTGATCAAGGCAGGCATGAAGGGCAGCCTTCAGTACTGCCCTCATACACAAGATGGGAACACGCAGCTGACTGTACTGACCAACTGCTCCTAGGTGGACAGCAGCTGGAATGATAGCTTCATAGACATCACAGTGAGCAGCCCCATCCAAATCAGGTCCTCCTACCCAACTTTTACCTGTTTGCTACTCAGGTCACCCCACCTGGCCTTAAGTGAGTTTCCATTCAGATCCTTCCATCCCCAGGCACTGACCCTGGTTTTCACTTAGGTGGCTCCAGGTGGCCTGTGATCCTTCCCCACAGCAATACGGCATTCACATTCTGATTCCCTTACTGGACGTCGGGCCCTTCTTCTCTCCTAGTTGCCCACCAGGTGCACCCCACAGGATGTGGAGTGTAGACCAAGAGCCTTGGACCAACTCTTCTCAGCTGATATCCCTCCTACACCAGCGATTTCTTTTTCCAGTTTATTATCTATTTCTTGCCCTTGCCTGCCCAGAATAATTGTTTAATCCCGATCACCAGGTTGGGTCCTTGTTTTTTCCCCCAGTCCTGATCCTTTTCATCATCTGACTCTTATTTCTTCCTGGTTCCTTTGTCAGAACTTTACCCACAGGCACCTGAGGACTTTAAACTCATCTCCTGGTCTCAAGCCACTTCCAATACCCCATCCACCGACCTCCACCCCAACTTCAGTTCCCTCCATAGTGATGTCCTTTCCCAGGCTCTCACCTCCTACAGGATGGATCTTCCTCCAGGTTCACCAGTGGAGGGTTATCTCAGTATGTTTTACTCAATTCTGGACTGCCAGGGCCTGGGAAATGGGACAGGAGGGTGCTGGACCAGCTGGAACATCTTACCCAAGGCCCACCCTTTTTTGAAGCCTTAGCCCAGTCCAGTCCCTTTTTTGTGTAGCTCGAGGCTGAGTTAGCGGCTGAGTTAGGTCCACTCTCACGGACACATGACCTTGGGAGTTGCAAGTAAGGAAGGCAGAGAAAAGCAATCAGGCACGCAGAGTCCTAATTAGGGGAGAAAAAAATCAGGCTGGCGAGAGCCGCAGAAAGCAAAGAGATAAAGTAAATAAGCTACAAATCTGCCTTTCTTCATGGTCCAGGACATATAAACAAAAAGAGGCAGATAAGTTATAGGTCTGCTTTATGGCCCAGGACATATGGCCCTCCTGCTCAGATAACATACATAACTCAAACTTCCTGCTTATCAACAAACGCTTCAATTTATCAAACACCACAGCGGCCAGAAAAATGCAAATTAGCCCCCTGCTGCCTTGGCGTTATCAATCAGCCAAAGTTCCAGTCCATAAAATCCTCAGCAAGCCTGTTTCCCTGCATTCAGCTTCTCTTCTGCTGACCTGCCTGTTGCTGCCTCGCAACGAATTTTCATACTTTCTCCGATAAACCTGCCTTCCTTTACCTACAATTGTCTTGGTAAATACTTTTACCCCCGGCGCACCACTGCCCCAGATAGTCATAGCTCACCCGCGACGAGGCAAGAGGCGAGGAGGCAAAAGAGGAGTGGGTAACCTGTCTTTGCTTCCACTTTGGCAGAACTTGTTCTGTAGCTTCTTAAAACACAACCCAAACGTCGCTTCTCTGCTCGAAATCCAATAAAAGTCCTTAATACGGCCCACCAGGCTCCATGGGATCAGTCCCTTGCCTGCCTGCCTGCCTAACCAGGTCTATTACTACCTCAGCACTCTAACTGCGGTCCGCGGACCAGCAGCATGGACGACACTGGGGACCGAGTCAGAAATGCAGAGGATCAGGCCTTCCCCAATGACCTGCTGAATCAGAATCTTTTAAAAAGATCTGTAGTTTCTTGTGAAAGTTTGAAAAGAACGACTTACTAGCTTCCACTTTATAAAGAGTATTTTATATTCCTCACCTGTGGGATATTGATCAGAGTGTGCTGTGGAGACCCGGTGAGTTCGAGGGGCTGGGGCTGGAACTGGGAGAAGAGACAAGTGAAACATCCCCGAGATGATGCAGCCGAAGGCGAGGCCGCTTTCGCAGCACTTGTATGGCCTGATGGCCCGGCCCACGGCTCCTGGCGTGCAGGAACAACCACTCGCAAGAACTGGAGCGGCTGTGGGCGATGAACGCGCTCCGGGCCCAGCACAGGCACACTGCGACCAAGCCGCCCAGCCGGGATTCGACGAAATATGCTCACAGGCGAGCAGCAAGGAGCGGGGCCTGCTTCTGGCCTGGAATGGGCGAAACGTGATGGAGGAAAGGGTTTCCGCTTCCGCCAAGAGTAGGCTGCGGCTCTCACCCGTGAAAGAGAGACGGGCCTGCCTGCAGTTCCCGGAGGATATCCGGTACCTGGCACACTGGCCAGTAGGAAAGTCACAGCAAATACAAAAATCTAATGTTTCAAATGCCCCTTATATACACAACAATTTTAAAACCATATAAAAGTGAATCTACTTGGCTATTAAAAATACATTTCAATCAACTCCAAGATCCAAGAGACTACAAAATGAAAACGAAATTTTTTAATTAAATGATTTAGGCAAGAAACTACCTATTCAAGTTATGAACCTTTGTGTTAAAAAAAATTAACAGAATTATCTCACCTCAATGTTTTTTATCTGAAAGTAAAAGGTAGCCCACATCCTCCTTAAGCATTAGGCACTGATAATAAAAGGCTGGGTGAGTTGGCAAGTACTTGTGGTCCCAGCTACCCCAGAGGGAGGCTGAGGCGGGAAGGATCTTTTGAGCCCAGGAGTTTTAGAACAGCCTGGGTGATCAAGCTAAACCATGACTAAAAAAAATTAAAAATAGGCCGGGCGCGGTGGCTTACGCGTGTAATCCCAGCACTTTGGGAGGCCGAGGTGGGCGGATCACGAGGTCAGGAGATCGAGACCATCCTGGCTAACACGGTGAAACCCTGTCTCTATTAAAAATACAAAACCTCAATCGGGCGCGATGGCGGGCGCCTGTAGTCCCAGCTACTCGGGAGGCTGAGCCAGGAGAATGGAGTGAATCCGGGAGGCGGAGCTTGCAGTGAGCCGAGATAGCGCCACTGCACTCCAGCCTGGGCAAAAGAGTGAGACTCTGTCTCAAAAAAAAAAAAATAATAATAATAATAATAATAAATAAAAAATAAGCTGGGAGCAATGGCCTATAATCCCAGCACTTTGGGAGGCTGAGTTGGGAGGATTGCTTGAGCCCAGGGGTTTGAGGCAGCCTGGACTGGACAACATAGTGAGACCCTGTCTCTACCAAAAAAAAAAATTAAAATTAAAAAATGAGTCAGGTGTGATGGCCTATGCCTGTAGTCCCTGCTATTTGGGAGGCTGAGGCAAGAGGCTTTCTGGAGTCCACTAAGTCAAGGCTGCAATGAGGTGAGATCACACCACTGCACTCCAGCCTGGGTGACACAGTGAGGCCCTCTGTCAGAAAAAAAAGTATAAATTTCAAAACATTTCTTTGATGTTGTGAATTTTTCTGGAATATTATACACGAGTTAATTTGGATCAGATTCCTGAATTACTTATATTTAAACCATTTCTCTACAGTGAGGACTGGGATGAGGAACCTTCAATCCATCAAAGTTATATATAAATCTATAGAGGTGACACTCAGGTCATTTCATCAGGAAATACTCATACCTTTCCACAGATACGGCATAGGGTATTAGTGCTATTCTTAGAAATTAATATACATTTTCAAGAAATGTGATTTTAATTCAATAGTATGTTTGCTCCATACACAGCAAATTGCCTCCTTCCCCAGCTTAAAATTTTTTTCCAGTTGTTTTGTCTTTACTTTCCCAAACAACGGTTTCATCTTCAATCACAATATTTCCTTCTTCCATCCTATTCCTATTTATTGCTCATTGTTTTTTGACATTAACTTATATAAACTAGTGTAATGATAAGTGTTTGGGTGAAATAGACATATTTGCTTTTAGTTAGATGCTATTCCTCTGCTCTGAAACATATATAATAGAACATTTCTATATCCACCAAAGCTCACATTCAAATCAGAAGTCAAAACAAAGACTTTCCCAGGTTTAAGCATACATACTAAGAGAACTTATTTCCAGCACACAAGCCTTACAAGAAAGACCAAAGAAAGTTCTTCAGTCTGACATCAAATGATGGCAAAAAACAAGAGAAAACAAAGATGACTATTAAAGAATATTATAACTATAAAAGACAGACTAAATGTGTATTTCTTCACCTGTAAAATAATCAGTTGATAGGTTGTTGGACCTACCACATATAAAAATGTAGTATGTGTGTATTTCATTTGCAAATAACACCATACAGGAAGTGGACAAACCCAGTGACTACCAATGGCAAAGTAATAATCCTAAGAATGTATTGTTATGTGTGGAATCTCAAGAGTTGTTATACATGTAACAAAATACCCCAAGAATGCAAAAATATGAAAGCTATAGTTGATAAATATTTTTGTACATCACTGAAAGTTAGCTATATATCACAAGAAAAGTGATGCTGATGGTAACGGGTTATCATTTACTTGATAAACAACAGAGTAATCACTACAAAAGGTAAGAACAATGATAATGAAAAATAATTCTACATGTAAAGACATTGGATGAAAGCAGAATTTACTGACCTTCTGAAGTAAAAATTGATTCTGCATAAATTCCATATTATTAGGGGGGTAAGATTTCCTTCATTCATCCTACTTTGAAGTTCTCTTGTTACAGCACATATTTCTCCTTCAACATCAGCTCTACTGGTAAAATTAGGAAATTCTTTCCTGTGCATGTAGTGACCCCTTCTGTCCATTTCTTGAACCTCCAGCCCAGGTAGAATTAAAGGTCAGTCATTCCACATTTTGTAGTATGTTTCCTCAATTTTCTGTAGTTAGGAAAATCTGTATCGCATTATTATTATTTTCAGTTTATCTTGCTTAATTCTCACAGTCTGGAAGATTTGTTCATGAACAAAACATTGCAATCCTTAACTTATGTTTATGAGTGTTCTTCAGGGAAAGTTAAAATTATAACTTCTAGACTGGGCGCGGTGGCTCATGCCTGTAATCCCAGCACATTGGGAGGCCGAGGCGAGTGGATCACGAGGTCAGAAGATCGACACCATCCTGGCCAACATGGTGAAACCTCGTCTACTAAAAATACAAAAATTAGCTGGGTATGGTGGCACATGCCTATAGTTCCAGCTACTCGGGAGGCTGAGGCAGGAGAATTGCTTGAACACAGAAGGCAGAGGTTGCAGGGAGCTGAGATCGTGCCACTGCACTCCAGCCTGGCAACAGAGCGAGACTCTGTCTCAAAAAGAAAAAAATAATAATTATCCCTTCTAAACAGATAACCGAAGGGTGTTAGCATACATCATGGGTGTGAAGTGACTGAGGACCATGAGACAGGATAGGTAGCCAAGGAAGTAACCATGTCCTGGAGACTTGGCAATCGTACAGTCAACACAATAAGCCTCAGCATTCGCATTGTAGTCAAGCTCATTCAAGCAAAGCTCTCTCCAGTAGGGAATTTCCCCTGTAGGGAGCACGCGTATTTTTATTTTACCTGTCTTCAGATTGACCCTTTGCTCATTATAATAGTAAAAACCACATCCCTGGGTGGAGATTTAAGATGCTAATGAGATGTGACGTATGAACAAGAATGGGCAGCTACTGTGCATGTGCACCCAGAAGACCACCCAGAATGTGCTTACTAGTAACACCTCTTCCCAGCCCCTTATGAATAATCATGTAAGATTCCCATAAAAGGAGTCTCTCGGCCAGGCGCTGTGGCTCACGCCTGTAATCCCAGCACTTTGGGAGGCCGAGGCGGGCGGATCACAAGGTCAGGAGATTGAGACCATCCCTGGCTAACACAGTGAAACCTCGTCTCTACTAAAAATACAAAAAGAAATTAGCTGGGCGCGGTGGCGGGCGCCTGTAATCCCAGCTACTCGGGAGGCTGAGGCAGGAGAATGGCGAGAACCCGGGAGGCGGAGCTTGCAGTGAGCCGAGATCGCACCACTGCACTCCAGCCTGGACGACAGAGCGAGACTCCGTCCAAAAAAAAAAAAAAAAAAGAAAAGAAAAGAAAAGAAAGCAGTGCCACAGAGTATCCTGAAACACACAGTGCCCTGAGGATGATGGAGGTGGCTCAAACCCTGTGCTTCACAGTTACCTCCAGGGTAACTGTGGTGCCATTTTTGTGTTGAATGGCTTTCCTCCAAGTCAAGCTGGCCTGACTGCACACACTGCGGAAAAGCCACAAGCATCCACTGTTTCACCTCACAAACCTAACCACTTTCCTTAATACTAGCCAGCCTCTGAAGGACTGTGTCTGGAATGTTCTGGAGTCTGTTGCCTCTCGGGCTATGCCCACCTTCCCCCTACCCCCTTCCTCCACAGCAGACTTGAAACCACTCAAAAGAGCTGAAATCTAACTATTAAAATTTTTTTAAAAAGTCTCCCTAGTGCCACTGTTTGCTGTCTCATCCTTATGAGCAGCCTGCCCTGAATCCTCCTCTCTCTCTCAGGGCATACTGTCTGTTCTGCACTTAACTTTCAAAATACTTTTTCGTTTGCAATAAATTGCCATATACTGCATCTCCATTGCTGTGTGTCATTTGAATCCTTTTAAACTAAAAAGGCAACAACCAATGTCTCACAACAGCCATCAACAACCAGATCAGGAGAGAAAAGGTGAGGCAGTTAAGTGAGCTATGCCTGAGCATCAACTCTAAAGGTGACATCAGAGTCAAAGCAAGCATGTGGAAACAGGTCCTTTATGGACAAGGAAAATGGAAAAACAGTGTTGAGGACAAGGAGGGATTGAACCAAGAACTGCTTGGTATGTTGGTGGTCCAGTGGGGTCTTTGCACTACTGTGGCTCCCCACTCTTTTAATGCCGGGTCTGTCCTGCAGACCCTGGCCAACGGATGAAATGAGGACTCAGACACAGGTATTCAGTGTAACAGCAACTAGGTGACTGCCTGGCTCTAGTGGCCAGAAAGCAGCCCCAAGAAGCTGGAGCTGCTTGCTTTTATTCAGTCTAGGCACAATGCCAAAAACCTGGAGCCAACACAACCTGTAGGTAATTAACACTTATTGTTCCCCTTTCAGGGAACGTCAGGCACAGGGATGATGAAAGGTCAGTTCCTGGTCAACACAAGTAAACAAGCCTGTTTAAGATAAATTCCCCCACACTCCCTTGTACCTACTCCATGCCCTCTGCCTCAGGGTTATAGAACAGCCACCTTCAGCTATTCTCCCCCAGGGCTCTGCAGAACCTTCCAACCTCTCAGAAGGTTTGCGTCCTTTCCCTATCCACCACTCTGACCAATCCCACGTATTTTAATGGTACTAAAATACAGAAAAAATACAATTTATCATCTTAACAATTTTTTGTTGTTGTTGTTGAGATGGAGTCTTGCTCTGTCTCCCAGGCTGGAGTGCAGTGGCACAATCTCAGCTCACTGCAACCTCAGCCTCCCGGGTTCAAGAGATCCTCCTGCCTCAGCCTCCTGAGTAACTGGGCTTACAGGCATGCACCACCATGCCCAGCTCATTTTTGTATTTTTAGTAGAGACGGGGTTTTGCCATTTTGGCCAGGCTGGTCTCCAACTCCTGACCTCAGGTGATCCACCCACCTCGGCCTCCCAAAGTGCTGGGATTACAAGCGTGAGCCACTGTGCCCGGCCCATCTTAATTTTTAAGTGTAGAATTACTGGCTTTCAGTACGTTCATATTGGTGTGCAGCCATCACCACCATCTATCTCCAGAACCCTTTTCATCTTGCAATATTGAAACTTTATGCCATTAAATCATAAGTCTCCATTACCCACTTCCCCTATTCCACACAATCACCATTCTACTTTCTTTATGAATTTGACTCCTCTGAGTACCTCATATAAGCAAAAACATTTTGGGTCTGGAGTTTAAGGAGCCCATGTCTGGAGACAGGTTGTAAAAAATCAAGTGACTCGACCTTATAAGGTGTGTCTTTATATGAATGGACTATTTCACTTAGCATAATGTGCTCCAAGTTCATCAATGCTGTAGCATTTGTCAGGTCACCCTTCCGTTTGAAGGCAGAGTAATAGTCTATCCTATGCATATACTACCTTTTGCTTATTCATCCATCTGTCAATATACAAGAGAGTTGCTTCCACATTTTCCCTATTGGTAAGTTATACTGCTATACCATGTATACAAATACCCATTTCAGGCCCCCGTCTCTATTCTTTTGCTTATATTCCCAGAAGGGAAAAATGGTGGATGTTATTTCCATTTTTTCAATGTATTGATTACCTGCCACACAGTTGTTTTTTTTTTTGTTTTTTTGTTTTTTTTTTTGAGATGGACTTTCGCTCTTGTTGCCCAGGCTGGAGTGCAATGGCGCGATCTCCACTCACTGTAACCTCCGCCTCCCGGGTTCAAGTGATTCTCCTGCCTCAGCCTCCTGAGTAGCTGGGATTACAAGCATGGGCCACCATGCCCGGCTAATTTTTTTGTATTTTTAGTAGAGATGGGGTTTCTCCATCTTGGTCAGGCTGGTCTTCAACTCCCAATCTCAGGTGATCTGCCCACTTCAGGCTCCCAAAGTGCTGGGATTACAGGCATGAGCCACCGCACCCGGCCTGCCATATAGTTTTCAAAAGTAGTTGTGACATTTTGCATTTCCATCAATAGTGTACAAGGGTCCTCACTATTCCACATCGTTGCCAGCATGTTATTTTGTTCTTGGACAGAAGCAAACTAATGAGGGTGAGGGGATATAGATGTCATTTTGCTCTTGATTTGCATGTCCCTAAACCATGAGTGATGCTGAACATCTTCTTTATGTAATTATTGTCTATTTGTACATCCTCATTAGAGAAATGTCTATTCAACTCCTTCACCTATTTTTTAATGGGGTTGTGCTTTATCCACCAGGGGCTCCTAAAACAAAATGACATAAGCTGGGTGTATTAAACACCTAACATTTGCTCCTCAGTATACAGGAGATTGTGAACTCCAAGATCAAAGTGATAGTAGATTCAGTGCCTGGTAAGGGCAAGCTTCCTTGTTCAAAGAAGGCTTTCATCTCATTGTGTCCTCACATAATAGAGAGCAAATGCAAGCTCTCTAGGGAACCTTATAGTCCCATTCCTGAGAACTCTACCCTCATGATCCCAAGTAATCCTAATTACCTCCCAGGCATCCTATCTCCTCATTCCATACATTAGGGAGTAAGGTTTCAAAATATGAATTTCAGGGCTGGGCGTGGTGGCGCATCTCTATAATCCCGGCACTTTGGGAGGCCGAGGTGCATGGATCACCTGAGGTCAGGAGTTGGAGACCAGCCTGACCAACATGGTGAAACCCTGTCTCTACTAAATACAAAAAATTAGCCGGGTACGGTGGCGTATGCCTACAGTCTCAGCTACTTGGGAGGCTGAGGCAGGAGAATCGCTTGAAACCAGGAGGTGGAGGTTGCATTGAGCCAAGATTGTGCCATTGCGCTCCAGCCTAGGCAACAAGAGCAAAACTCTCTCAAAAAAATAATAATAATATGAATTTCAGGGGACAAATAAAGCAATAATTTTCTACCTGCTCCCTAAATTTATGACCTCACATGCAAAATACATGCTTACCATCCTAACATCACCAAAAGTCTTGACTTGTTTCAGCATACTCTGAAGCTTAATATCAAAGTCGCTTCCAGGTCACCAGAGATAACATGGCCAAAACCATTGCAAGATGTGTTTGATGATTCAAAGAGAAAGAAAAAACAGCTTTTCCTATGACAACGTTTCCAACTAAAGCATCTGCAATTATGAAGACTGAAACTTCAGCAGGGTGCGGTGGCTCACGCCTATAATCCCAGCACTTTGGGAGGCCAAGGTGGGCAGATCATCAGAGATCAGGAGTTCAAGACCAGCCTGGCCAACATGATGAAACCCTGTCTCTGCTACAAATACAAAATTTAGCTGGGGATGGTGGTGTGCGCCTGTAATCCCAGCTATTTGGGAGGCTGAGGCAGGAGAATCGCTTGAACCTGGGAGGCAGAGGTTGCAGTGAGCTGAGATCGTGCCACTGCACTCCAGCCTGGGCGACAGAGACTCCATCTCAAAAAAAAAGAAAAAAAAAAAGGACTGAAAGTTCGATGCTTAAATATTTTCAGCCCTCAAACACCACAGATCCAAGATTTGTGTTACTGACCTTCCACCAAAGAGGCAACATCTGCAATCAGATGTTGGTTCTTCCAGCAGAGGATCCTCCTGATGTCCTGAAAGAAAATTCTGGCCGGGCAGGGTGGCTCATTCCTGTAGTCCCAGCACTTTGGGAGGTCAAGGTGGGCAGATCACGACGTCAGGAGTTCAAGACCAGCCTGGCCAACATGGTGAAACCCCATCTCTTCTAAAAATACAAAAATTAGCCGGGTGTGGTGGCGGGCACCTGTAATCCCAGCTGGTTGGGAGGCTGAGGCAGGAGAATCACTTGAGCCCAGGAGGTGGAGGTTGCAGTGAGCCGAGATCACACCATTGCACTCCAGCCTGGGTGACAGAGCAAGACTCCATCTCAAAAAAAAAAAAAAAGAAAATTCAAGTTAAACTGATGTCCCCTGACTTATCTACACTGCCACATATCTAAGCACCTCAACACACTGCAGCTTTAGGAACCACAGAGCAATCATCACATGAGGGTTATCAGGAGAGAAGAACCAAGGATTTGGAGAATGTTAACACGTGTTTTTGAGGCCATTAAATGAAACCAATCCAAAACGTTTTTTAAAAAAAAAAGAAAATGTTTCATTGTAGCTGACATATACTATGAGGTGGGCCTGTACTATGGAGGTGGGCATGTGATGGTTATCTGTATTAAACATCTACAGATGTTTTTTCTTGTCAGCATTCCCTAAATAACACAATGAAACAACTATTTTTATATCGTTTACAATGCATTAGGCAGTATGGATAACCTAGAGATGATTTAAAGTGTACAAGAGGATGTGCTTAGGTTCTAGGAAAATACACCATTTTATATAAAGCACTTGAGCATCTTCAGATTTAGATGTTCTGAAGTGGGGAGCGGGGTGCCTGCAACTAATCCCCTGAGAATACCAGGACATGACAGTATTTCAGAGAAACAGAAACTACACAAGGCGTTACCACATTTTTTACACTCATAGTTTCTCTCCAGAGTAAATTCTTTCATGTATCTAAAATAAACAAGGAGCATGGAAAACAAGAATCGTTTTCCATGTTCCTTACAGTTATGAGGTCTATCGCCAGCATGTCACACCATATGCCTTCAAACGATTGAGAGAGAAAGGAAAGGTTTCCCATGTTCCTAACATCATTGTTTTTCTCAAGTGTCAGTTCTTTCATGGTTTCAGAAGGTACTGGAATAGTGGAAGGCTTTACTTTTTTTTTTTTTTTTTTTGAGACGGAGTCTCACTCTGTCACCTGGCTGGAGTACAGTGGCACAATCTCGGTTCACTGCAACCTCCACCTCCCAGGTTCAAGCAATTCTCCTGCCTCAGCCTCCCAAGTAGCTGGTACTACAGGCACATGCCACCACGCCCAGCTAATTTTTGTATTTTTAGTAGAGATGGGGTTTTACCATGTTGGCCATGATGGTCTCAATCTCTTGACCTCATGATCCGCCCGCCTTGGCCTCCCAAAGTGCTGGGATTACAGGCGTCAGCCACCGCACCCAGCCGGCTTTACATTTTTTATATCCACACAACTTTTCTCCGTTGTGAGTCCTTTCATGTCTTTGAAGGGAACTGTGATAACAGAAGGCTTTCCCACATTCCTTACACTCAAAGTTTCTCTGCAGTGTGGGTAATTTTATGTCTACGAAAAGCAACAGGATAACGGAAGGCTTCCCCACATTCCTGACATTCATAAGGTTTCTCTGCAGTGTGGGTAATTTTATGTCTATGAAAGGTCGTGGGATGACTGAAGGCTTTCCCACAGTCCTCACATTCATACGGCTTCTCTCCAGTGTGAATTCTTTTATGTACTCGAAGTGAACTGGAATATCTGAAGGCTTTCCCACATTCCTGACATTCATAGGGCTTCTCTCCAGTGTGAGTCTTTTCATGATTTTTAATAGAACTGGGAAATCTAAAAGCTTTACCACATTGTTTACATATATAGGGTTTCTCTCCAGTGTGAATTCTTGCATGTTTTCTAAGGGAACTGGAACAATTAAAGGCTTTCCCACATTGCTTACATTCATAGGGTTTCTCTCCAGTGTGAGTCCTTTCATGATACTGAAAGGAATTGGAAGAAGCGAAGGCTTTCCCACATTGCTTGCATTCATAGGGCTTCTCTCCAGTGTGGATTCTTTCATGTTTTTTAATGGAACTGGAACAACTAAAGGTTTTCCCACATTGCTTACATTCATATGGTTTCTCCCCGGTGTGCATTCTTTCATGTCTATGAAAGGAGCTGGGAAAACCAAAGGCTTTCCCACATTCATTACATTCATATGGCTTCTGTCCAGTATGAGATCTTTCATGTGTGAGATATAAACTGAGATTATCAAAGGCTTTCCCACAAAACTTACATTTATAAGGTCCATCTCCACTGTGCACTACCCTGTATCTTCGAACGGTTTGGGGAGAATCGAAGGTTTTTTCCCATTCCTTACAATCATAGGGTTTCTCTCCTGTGTGAGGCTTTTCATGTGTTTGGAAGGAGTGGAGGCAGCTGAAGGTTTTTACACACTGCTTACATTTATGTGGCTTCTCTCCATGTTCCTGACACTCATACGGTTTGTGTCCAGTGTCAGCTCTGATGTAGCAATTCAGAGATGAATGATCCACGTTGCCTTCTCCACACACACTGCTTTCACATGGTTTTACCCCAGGAAGAGTGTTCTTGTTCATTATACCATCTGGAATCAGGCTGAAAGTTTCTCCACATTGACCATCTTTACATTCACAGAGTCTCTCTGCCATATGATTTCTATAAAAAATAAGAAGCACATTACAAAGAATTTGTTGATAAATAATTTTATATTAGCAAGCATTTGATTTGCATATTTTACATTATCATGAGAAATGTAGGCTTTATGTTCTGTCTGAAGTGTCTGACAGTGAGTGGACTGAATTCTCTGCAAAGGGGCTCTATTACAGCTATTATCAAAACAGTGATGTTACTAGGCAGTTTCTTTTTTCTTATTCTTTTTTTTTTTTTTTTTTTCCTGAAACAGGGTCTCACTCTGTTGCGCAGGCTGGAATGCAGTGGTATGACCACAGCTCGCTGCAGCCTCCACCTTCCAGGCTCAGACAGTCCTCCCACCTCAGCCTCCCAAGTAGCTGGGCCTACAGGCATGCGCCACCAGGCTTGGCTGATTTTTTTTATTTCTTGTAGAGATGAGTTCTCACTGCATTGCCCAGGCTGGTCTCAAACTCCTGGGCTCAAGCAATCTTCCCATTCAGACTCCCAAAGTACTGGGATTACAAGCATCAACCACCACATCTGGCCACTATGGGGTTTCTTTATTTTTTTATTTTATTTTATTTTTGAGACGGAGTTTCACTCTGTCACTCAGGCTGGAGTGCAGTGGCACCATCTCGGCTCACTGCAAGCTCCACCTCCTGGGTTCACGCCATTCTCCTGCCTCAGCCTCCCAAGCAGCTGGGACTACAGGCGCCCACCACCATGCCTAGCTAATTTTTTTGTATTTTTAGTAGAGATGGGGTTTCACCATGTTAGCCAGGATGGTCTCGATCTCCTGACCTCGTGATCCGCCCTCCTCAGCCTCCCAAAGTGCTGGGATTAAAGGCGTGAGCCACCGCACCCGGCCACTATGGGATTTCTTAATACTGTTTCCAAGGCAACTATTTTGCAAACAATGAATGTGTATGTATTTAAGTATATATTTTTGGAGAAAACATTCTAAAAATTAACAAATTTGAAGCTGGGCTGCTTCACTTTGTTTGCTTGTTCTTTAAATTTCCACTGGGCACAGTGGCTCATGCCTGTAATCCTAGCATTCTGGGAAGCCAAGAAAGGAGGATGGCTTGAGTCCAGGGGTTCAAGGCTGCAGTAAGCTATGATCATGCCACTGCACTCTAGCCTATGTGACAGATTAAGCCTTGTCTCAGATACATGAATACATAAGTAAATAAATATAATTTCCTATCACTCTAACATTATCTCAAGGGACACAGCTTCATGTTATAAGTGCAAATTACCTTGGATTTCTCCTGGAATTTTTGTACTGATCTTCAATGTTCCGGTCTTCCCATTTTATTCCTAAAATGTAGACCCATAAAAGTCATGATAAATGATTACAAAATTATAGAAACATTTTAGATTCTATGTTCATGGGACACTGTGACCATGCCTGACTTATTCACCAAAATATTATTGACCCTTGAACAAAATGGGCTTGCATGGCACAAGTCCACTCATATGCAAACTTTTATCAACCTCTGCTGCCTCTGAGGGAACAAGACCAACCCCTCCTCTTCAGGCTACTCAATGTGAAAACAATGAAAAGGATTCCTTTAGGATGATCCACTTAATCAAGTCAATATGTTTTCACTTCCTTATGATTTTCTTGATAATATTTCTTTTTTCTAGCTTACTTTATTATAAGAATACCATATATAATAGACCAAACAGACCAGGCATGGTGGTTTATACCTATAATCCCAGCACTTAGGGATGAGGTGGGAGGACTGCTTGAGGCTAAGAGTTTGAGACCAGCCTGGGCAACATAGCAAGACCTCCATCTCCACAAAAAATAATTTAAAAATCAGCCCAGCATGGTGGCACTTGCCTACAATCCTAGCTACTCAAGAGTCTGAGGCAGGAGGATTGCTTGACCCCAGGAGTTCTAAGTTGTATTAAGCTATGACCATGCCCCTACACTCCAGCCTGAGTAACAAAGTGAGACACTGTCCTAATATACACTTACACATACACACCAACACACAAAATATGTATTAATTGACTGGTTATGTTACTGATAAAGCTTCCAGTCAACAATAGGCTATTAACATTTAGCTTTTTTTCTTTTTATTTGAGACGAAGTTTCACTCTCGTTGCCCAGACTGGAGTGCAGTGGCATGATCTCAGCTCGCTGCAACCTCCACCTCCCAGGTTGAAGCAGTTCTCCTGTCTCAGCCTCCTGAGTAGCCAGGATTACAGGTGCCTGGCACCATGCTTGGTTAATTTTTTGTATTTTTAGTAGAGATGGGGTTTCACATTGGCCAGGCTGGTCTCAAACTCCTAACCTCAAGGGATCCACCCACCTCGGCCTCCCAAAGTGCTGGGATTACAGGTGTGAGCCCCTGCACCCGGCCAACAGTTAACATTTTATAGAGTCAAAAGTTAAAACCAGATCATCAACTGTGCAGAGGTTAAGAGTCTCTGACACCCACTTTGTTCAAGGGTCTACTGTATTCTTTTTTTTTTTTTTTTTTTTTTTTGAGACGGAGTCTCGCTCTTTCACCCAGGCCAGAGTGCAGTGGCGCTATCTCGGCTCACTGCAAGCTCAGCCTCCTGGGTTCACGCCATTCTCCTGCCTCAGCCTCCCGAGTAGCTGGGACTACAGGTGCCCGCCACCACACCCGGCTAATTTTTTTTTGTATTTTTAGTAGAGATGGGGTTTCACCATGTTAGCCAGGATGGTCTCAATCTCCTGACCTCATGATCTACCCACCTCGGCCTCCCAAAGTGCTGGGATTATAGGTGTGAGCCACCATGCCCGGCCTTACGGTATTCCTTTTTTTTTCAGATGGAGTCTTGCTCTGTGGCCAAGGCTTGAGTGCAGTGGCACAATCTTGGCTCACTGCAACCTCTGCCTCCCAAGTTCAAGCAATTCTTCCACCTCAGCCTCCTGAGTAGCTGGGACTACAGGCGTGCACTACCACGCGTGGCTAATTTTTGTATTTTTAGTAGAGACGGGGTATCATCATGTTGGCCAGGCTGGTCTCGAACTCATGACCTCAAGTGATCCACCCACCTTGGCCTCCCAAAGTGCTAAGATTGCAGCCGTGAGCCACTGCATCAGGCCAGTCTACTGTATTCCCTACCATGTTTCAAATCATTGAGCAGTGTAGATGACCAAGAAACACTTGTTCTGTAATTGACTAAGTGAAGAAATGATGTCATCCTTACCTACAGACATCAGGTTCCTGATGATTTCCCACATCACATCTCTGTAGAGTTTCTTCTGGGACGGATCCAGCAAAGCCCACTCCTCCTGGGTAAAGTTCACAGCCACATCCTCAAAGATCATTGAGTCCTGAAACATCCCACATGGCAGAGGAGGAAGGTTCAGGCTGACAGCACTAGGAAGCTACACTCTAGAGGAAGTTCACACAATGCTATAGACTCCAAACATTTATTCAATGATTTGGTCATCAGACTCTTATCCTCTGTCTATACTCATTTTCTCCAGCACAGCAATTCTGATGCTAGAATTGAACACATTCAGTAAAGTAATAGCCAATACGGACAAGCCTCTCATTCATGATTTCAGGGAGTTGAGATATGCTGCCCAGATCACCTCTAGTGTCTTTCTGTCTAGTGGGTCTATACTAACTCTCGTGACAAAGTCCTACTATGTGTTGTCTACAAGAGACAATATTAGCAGCTCTAAGACAACATATCCCTACACACGTTTATTTAGAAAGTTGAACTATGATGGTATCTCAGAGCTAGATTTAAGGAGAGCTGCACCAGCATAACAAAGAAAAGGAGCTGTGTGCCTCAACTATTTATTAAAACAATATGATATTTGCCACTGGGCATAGTGGCTCACACCTGTAATGCCAGCACTTTAGGAGGCTGAGACGAGTGGATTGCTTGAGCTCAGGAGTTCAGGACAAGCCTGGGCAACATGGTGAAACCCCATCTCTACAAAACATACAAAAATTAGCCAGGCATAATGGCGCATGTCTGTAGTCCCAGCTACTAGGGAGGTTGAGCTGGGAGGATTGCTTGAACCCAGGAGGTAGAGGCTGCAGTGAGCCATGAGTGTGACACTGACCTCCGGCCTGGGTGACAGAGCGAGGCCCTGTCTCAAATTAAATTGAAAAATAAATAAATAAGTAAATAATATGGTATTTGCTTAATTTCCATCATCCTTCTGAGAGTTTGAAATTTTGTGATATAATCAGCAGAGAAGCATACCTGATCAGTCACTGCTAGGTTTGAATGTTTGTCCCCTCCAAAACTCATACTGAAACTTTATCCCCAAGGTGTCAGTATTCAAAAGTGGGGCCTTGAAGAGGTGACTATGTCATGAGGGCTCTGCCTCATGAATGGGTTCATTCACTGATGGATGAAAGGGTTAATGAGTAAATGAGATATCCTGGGAGTAAGACTGGTGGCCTCAGAAGAAGAGGAAGAGACCCCTAAGCTAGCACCCCCTCCCCTAGGAATACCCTTCTTCCATTGCCTCAGATAGTGAAGAGTCCCCACCAGCAAGGCTTTCACCAGATGTGCCACCGTGCCCTTAGACTTCCCAAACTCCAGAATTGTACAAAACAAATATCATTTCTTGTATATTACCCAATTTCAGGCATTCTATTCTAATGAACATAAAACAGACTAAGATGGCCATGAAAAAAAAACTCTGGGTACTAAGTGTCTGAGTGACCTTGGTACGTAACATTTCATATGTTCTGTCAACACTTGTTACTTGGGGGATTTAGCCCATTCTATGTGATTACAATAAGAGAACACCTGGAAGCTGGCAACCGGTTTTCCGTAAACTAAATTTAATGAAGTGTAACGTAAGGTTAATGAAATGTATTTCATCATCCTAAAGGAAAATTTTTAAATACTAGGTAACATCAAAGGAGAATGAAAGATGGATAAAGATTGTACACGTTCTTCTAAAGAACCGCTTGTCAGCCAGGCGCAGGGGCTCACACCTGCAATCCCAGCACTTCAGGAGGCCGAGGTGGGCAGATCACAAAGCCAGGAGTTCGAGACCAGCCTGGCCAACATGGTGAAAACCCATCTCTACTAAAAATACAAAAATTAGCCGGGCGTGGTGGCAGGTGCCTATAATCCCAGCTACTCGGGAGGCTGAGGCAGGAGAATCGTTTGAACCCGGGAAGTGGAGGTTGCAGTGAGCTGGGACTGCGCCATTGCACTCCAACCTGGGCGACAAGAGTAAGACTCCATCTCAAAAAAAAAAAAAAAAAAAAAAGAACTGCATGTCACCAAGGTGTCATCTCTCATGAATATTTATGAAATTCCTTAAATCATTAAAACAGACCTGTTAGTAGTCAATAAAAGCTACTTAAACAAAACTAATGGAGGTAACAAATGTCTAAAAATGCTAAAAATCTTCTAAACCAGAAAGTGACAGCTTACCTAACACACATGAAGGATTTTGAAACTATAATATTCAACACACCACACTGTTGACAGAAAGATGAACAAAGAGAAAAAGGTAAGTGAAAATGTAGAACAGGCCAGGTGCGGTGACCTATTCTACCATCTTATTTGCAAATATTATATTTATTTGCAAATATTATCTTCATATACTCCAATTTCTCCTGGGCCTACGAAAAGTCTGAAATAAGGCTCTCTTCTCTGTTTCAACTACACTAAAGCCTAACTGGGGTCAAAAATTGGCAGGGACTACATAAAAATATTGTCAACAAAAAGCCTGCAACCATCTGGAACAACAGTCTATGACTGAGACAGAATAGACCATCTAAGACCCAGGAAAACAATCTGGAGAGAAAATTAGCTTCAGAAATTAGGCTAATCAAAAGCACTTTGGTATCCTGGGGAATTGAGAAAGCCTCACGTCTGCCCAGGAAATAACACATTTCTAGAAAAAACCTGAGGAGGCCCTAAGTTTCGGCACTGGCTGATCTCTAGGCTCAGTTCAGCAGAAATTGGAGGCTAACGCAGAGTTTTAAACAGTCGGCCGGGCGCGGTGGCTCACGCCTGTAATCCCAGCACTTTGGGAGGCTGAGGCGGGCAGATCAAGAGGTCAGGAGATCCAGACCATCCTGGCTAACACGGTGAAACCCTGTCTCTACTAAAACTACAAAACTTAGCCGGGTGTGGTGGCGGGCACCTGTAGGCCCAGCTACTCAGGAGGCTGATGCAGGAGAATGGTGTGAACCCGGGAGGCAGAGCTGGCAGTGAGCCAGGACCACGCCACTGCACTCCAGCTTGGGTGACAGAGCGAGACTCCGTCTCAAAAAAAAAAAAAAAACAAACAAAACTCAGGCCGAGTGTTCAAGGAATGCTGCACGACAAAGCCATCCACAAAGCCTGGAAGAAGTCAGGTTTGGGCCTCTTTTTGTTTGATTGTTTGTTTGTTTGTTTGTTTTTTGAGACAGAGTTCTGCTCTTGCTGCCCAGGCTGGAGTGCAGTGGTAAGATCTCAGCTCACTGCAACCTCTGCCTCCCAGGTTCAAGTGATTCTCCAGCCTCAGCCTCCCCAGTAGCTGGGATTACAGGGGCCCACCACCACGCCTGGCTAATTTTTGTATTTTTAGTAGAGACAGGGTTTCGCCATGTTGGCCAGGCTGGCCTCGAACTCCTGACCTCAGGTGATCCACCCGCCTTGGCCTCCCAAAGTGCCGGGATTACAGGCATGAGCCACAGCACCCGGCCAGGTCTGTTTTATTTTAGCTCCTAGCATTCAGGAAACCTCTCTCAAAACACTAGATGAACACAAGTTAAAGGAACAGAGCCTTCATTGACTAGAGAGGACAGGGAATACATCTCTGTAAACATACTTTGAAAAAGTTACTACCAGGCACAGTGGCTCACCCCTGTAATGCCAGCACTTTGGGAGGCCGAGGCAGATGGATCACTTGAGGTCAAGAGTTCAAGACCAGCGTGGCCAACATGGCGAAACCCTGTCTCTACTAAAATTATTAAAATTAGCCGGGCATGGTGGCGCACGCCTGTAATACCAGCTACTCGGGAGACTGAGGCACGAGAATCATTTGAACCCAGGAGGAGGTGAAGGTTGCAGTGAGATGAGATCACGCCACTACACTCCAGGCTGGGCAACAGAGCGAGACTCCATCTCAAAAAAACAAACAAACAAGCAAAAACTACAGAAGGTAGAAAAAGAGAAAGTTTTAAAAATAGAAAACGAGGCCGGGAGCAGTGTCTCATGCCTGTAATCCCAGCACTTTGGAAGGTCGAGGTGGACAGATCACCTAAGGTCGGGAGTTTGTGACCAGCCTGACCAACATGGAGAAACCCCGTCTCTACTAAAAAATACAAAATTAGCTGGGCATGGTGGCACATGCCTGTAATCCCAGCTACTCGGGAGGCTGAGGCAGGAGAATCGCTTGAATGTGGGAGGCAGAGGTTGTGGTGAGCTGAGATCGCGCCATTGCACTCCAGCCTGGGCAACAAGAATGAAACTCCGTCTAAAAAAAAAAAAGAAAGAAAGAAAGAAGAAAACAAGTACAACAAACAGAGAACAATTACATATATACATATTAATACAATTATATCAATTACCACTTTAAATGTCTGTTACTTATATACACAAAAAAGAGACACAGATTGACATAGTAGATTAAACAAGCCTCAGTAATGTGTACAAGAAAATCATTTCAAACAAAAAGAAGTGAATAGATTAAATAAAAAGGTATGAAGAAAGATAAGCCATTCTAACACTAATCAAAAGAAATGTGCAATAGTTTTATAAAACTCAGACAAACCACATTTTAGATCAAGGAAAATGGCAAGGAATTTTCCTCATAATTGCCTTGGGCTTGCTTTTTTTTTTTTTTTTTGAGACAGAGTCTCATTCTGTTGCCCAGGCTGGAGTGCAATGGTGCAATCTCGGCTCACTGCAACCTCCACCTCCCAGGTTCAAGTGATTCTCCTGCCTGAGCCTCCCGAGTAGCTGGGATTACAGGTGACTGCCACCACACCCGGCTATTTTCTGTATTTTTAGTAGAGACAGGGTTTCGCCGTGTTGGCCAGGCTGGTCTCGAACTCCTGACCTCAGGTGATCCACCTGCCTTGGCCTCCCAAAGTGCTGGGATTTCAGGTGTGAGCCACCACGCCGGACCATCATTGCCTTGTAAAAGAGATTTTGTAACAGTGAAGAGGTCAATCCTGCAAGAAGACATAATAGGACCAGGCGCAATGACTCACACCTGTAATCCCAGCACTTTGGGAGGCCAAGGTGAGCAGAATGCTTGAGTCCAGGAGCTCGAGGCCAGCCTGGGCAACATGGCGAAGCCTTGTCTCTACAAAAAAAAAACAAAAAAAAACAAAAATTAGCTAGGCATCGTGGTACATGCCTGTAGTACCAGCTACTCAGGAGGCTGAGGCTGAAGGATCACTTGAGCCTGGGCACTGGGAGGTCAAAGCTGCAGTGAGCTGTGATTGTGCCACTGCACTCCAGCCTGGGAGACAGATGGGGACCCTGTCTCAAAAAAAAAAGACATAAGGTATAATAATCTTTATTACTTATATGTATGCCCATAAAATATAACATCAAGATACAAGACAAAAACATAAAACTATAAGACAAAATATACAAATCCAAAATTATAGTTGGAAGCCAACAGTTCACCTCTATCCATAATTAATAGGTCAATACAACAAAAAAATCACTAATGATATAGCTAAACTCAACAGCATCAATAATGTATTAGTCCGTTCTCATTCAGCTAATAAAGACATGCTTCAGGAAACTTACAATCATGGCGGAAGGGAAAGCAAACACGTCCTTCTTCACATGGTGGCAGGAAGGAGAAGAACGAGTGCCCAGCGAAGAAGGAAGCCCCTTATAAAACCATCAGATCTCTTGAGAACTAACTCACTATCACCAGAACAGGATGGGGAAAAACACCCCCATGATTCAATTATCTCCACCAGGTCCCTTCCACAACAGGTGAGGATTATGGGAACTACAATTCAACATGAGATTTGGGTGGGGACACAGCCAAACTGTATCAATTAATCAACTGCATTTAATTAATATGTATTTATAGAATCCTTCATTCAACACCAGCAGAATACACATTCCTCTCAAGTTCACATGAAATATTCACCACAGTAAACTACACTGGAAGCATAAAATATGCCTTAACAAATTGAACAGAAATGCTATAAAGTATGCAATCAAATCATATTAAACTAGAAATTGATAACCAAAAGATAGTTGAAAAGCTTCCAAAAGTAGAGATTTAATCTGCAGCTGAAATAGGTGAACCAATCTTTGCAAGGTGACAAGCCCAGAGAGAGACAGTAAGGACCTAGAACACAGACAAGTCTAACTCAAGTGTCACATCGTATCCTCCTGTCACCAGGGGCATCCCCCATCCCCATCCTGCTCACTGAAGTGCTCAGTGACCACCCTCCCAGGAGACGACACATTGTGCGTCCCCTGTGTTCCTAAAGTGCATTTTGCTTTTCAGGTTCTTGCACCATCTCAGTGGGGTGGGTTTTCCTGTCCTTAGGAATAGTTTTCTCCCTTAACTATGCTGAGAGCATCCAGAAAACAGGAATCATTTCTGTCCTGTCCCTTCAATACCACCATCCAACTGGCTGATGAGCCAAGTGTCCCCAAGGAATGGAATCTGGATTTGGGGAAGAAAAGCTGAGTGTCCCAGGGGATTAGAGCTTTTTTTTGAGACTGGGTCTCACTCCAGTTGCCCAGGCTGGAGTGCAGTGGTGCGATCGCAGCTGACTGCAGCTTTGACCTCCCTGGCTCAGGTGATCCTCCCACCTCAGCCTCCCCAGGAGCTGGGACTAGAGGCACGCACCACCATACCCGGCTAGTTTTTTTGTATTTTTAGTAGAGACGGGGTTTCGCCATGTTGCCTAGGCTGGTCTCGAACTCCTGGACTCAAGGGGTCCACCCGCCTCGGCTTCCCAAAGTGGTGGGATTACAGGCTTCCCAAAATGGTGGGATTACAGGTGTGAGAGACTGTTCCTGGCCCAGGATTAGCTTTTTAAGGAGGGGAATACCAGGGGACTTCTCCCACCCCAGGGCACCTAGCTCCTCTCCTGGGAAGCCCCAACTCCACGCCTCAGGTTGTCCTCTGGGAGGAGTGACCCACCCTCCAAGAAACATGGTAGCTGTGGGCATCTTCAGTCAGCCCCAGGCAGTTCTGAAACCCAGGACCAGGATAAGATGGAGGGTGAGTTGAGGACACATCGCCCTGTAAAGTTTCCAAAGATAAACCTCAACCCAAAGACATTCTCAGAAGGTGTCCGTGCCTCGGGCAGATAAAAGGAGGAGAGGCATAAAGATTGTTTACAGCAAGTGTCAGGTGCTTTTTCTCCGCTTCCTCAAGTGTGAAATGTTCACAAACACACAACAAATCTTTACAAAAAGAGCCATATTTTGCCCTCTTAAAAAAAAAAAAGCCTATTAAAATATTGCGTGTGGCCAGGCGCCATGGCTCACACCTATAATCCCAGCACTTTGGGAGGCCTAGACGGGCGGATCACCTGAGGTCAGGAGTTCAAGACCAGCCTGGCCAACATGGTGAAACCCCGTTTCTACTAAAATACAAAAATTAGCCGGGCATGGTGGCACGCGCCTGCAGTCCCGGCTACTCGGGAGGCTGAGGCAGGAGACCCGCGAGGTAGAGGTTGCAGTGAGCCAAGATCGTGCCACTGCACTCCAGCCTGGGCAACAGAGTGAGGCTCCGTCTCCACCAAAAAAAAAAAAATTATATATATATATTTAATATATATATAATTCATATATACATGAAAAACGTGTGAGGACGGTTGCAGTGGCTCATGCCTGTAATCCCAGCACTTTGGGTGGCTGAGGAGGGTGGATCACCTGAGGTCAGGAGTTTGAGACCAGCCTGGCCAACACGGTGAAAACCCGTCTCTACTAAAAATACATGAATTAGCCGCGCGTGGTGGCGGGCGCCTGTAATCCCAGCTACTCGGGAGTCTGAGACAGGAGAATCGCTTGAACCCAGGAAGCGGAGGTTTCAGTGAGCCGAGATTGCGCCACTGCACTCCAGCCTGGGCGACACAGCGAGACTCTGTCACAAAAAAAAAAAAAAAAAAAAAAAAAAAAAAAAAATATATATATATATATATATATATATATACACACACATATATACATATATACACATATATATATATATACACATATATATATATACACACACACACACATATATATGGCTATGTTTGAAACAAAGCCTGGGGGACGAAGAGTTGACATTGTTGTGGTGAACTGAAGAGGAGGCCAGCTCTAAAACGCGGAGCGGGATCTGGAAATCCAGGGATTTGCTGGCAGCCCTAGGAGAAGCTAGGCCAGGGATCACAGTTGCGGATTTGAGACCCTGCTTCGCATATATCTGGATATCTCAGTAAAAACTCGAGCCCCTTGGAGACAAAGGAGGAACTGGGGACCCCACAGACCGCTGCTCCTTCCACATGAACCCCACACCCGAGGAGGATTCCCCCCATGACCCTCCCGTGTCCCCGCACAATCTAGGGAGACGCGGGGCTGCGGACGCGGAGCTGCCCAGAGAGGACTCCGGAACCTGGGCCGCAGTTGCCGCGCGGGGACCGGACAGGACGCCCGGAGTCCTGGCTGCAGGCCCAGCCCCACCCTGAGGCCGAGAGGACCGAGGACCGAGCTGGGCCAGGGCACTCGGGTCCTCAGACCCCAGAGACAACAGCGAGGAGGTCTGGGTCCCGCCACAGCCGGTTCCGGTCGGTTACAACCAGCTGTACCCTGTCTCGGGAACCCCGGCCTCGGACACTCACCATTTCCCGGCTTCCGAGGTATTCCGGTTCCTACCTACACCTCCGGCTGCCAGTACAGGTTCCAGCCCGACCGAGCAGGGAGCCGAGCGCGGGTGACAGAGAAGACGCCGCGGGCTTTTTCAACCTCGCATCCTCCAGCCTCCTGGACGCCTGATTGACAGTTCTCACGGCCCCGCCCAGCGGCTCTGATTGGATAGTACTCCAGGTCCCGCCCCCTAGGCACTGAGCGACAGAAGAAGTGATCTCCCAGTGCTGAGTGGAGCCAGATGAACAGGTTGCAGACACAGCTCTTGGCATGGGGCGGGCGGGGGAGGGGGGGTTCCTCCCTGGGCAGTGACCTGACCCCTCCCGGGGAATATCTGCATTTAAGAAGAATTCCTGCCAATAGTCTGCGAGCCCTTCCTGCTTCTTCCTCCGGGACTGGGGGGTCACAACTGTGTGCAGGGAATCCCAGACTCACTGTCCAGTGGAGACATCCCCTGGCCTCGGAGCAGAAGGGGAGCCGAGGCCACACAGGCCACACTGCAGTAGGAGAGGGGGTCTGATGTCCTCCAGGGATCAGGAATTTGGGATGAAGCTGCTGGCTGCATGACCAAGCCTTTCTCCCACCTGATCTCTCAGTCTTATTTTTTTATTTTTTATTTTATTTTTTGACGGAGTCTCGCTCTGTCGCCAGGCTGAAGTGCAGTGGCGCGATCTCGGCTCCCTGCAACCTCCGCCTTCTGGGTTCAAGCGATTCTCGTGCCTCAGCCTCCTGAGTAGCTGGGATTACAGGCACGCGCCACCACCCCCAGCTAATTTTTGTATTTTTAGTAGAGGCGGGGTTTCACCATGTTGGCCAGGATGGTCTCAATCTCCTGACTCGTGATCCGCCCCCCTCGGCCTCCCAAAGTGCTGGGATTACAGGCGTGAGCTACCGCGCCCTGGAGTCTACTCGTTTTCACCAAGAAAATAAAAACACAGCAACAATGGAATAAAATTGTTAAATGTGTGGAAAAACTGGAATTATATGGCAGCAATATTCTATGAAGGAATCAAAAGAGAAGAAAAGCAAAAACATGAACTAGCTCAGAGAAGCAGTTTTTCAGCCACTGTTCAGCAGGAAACCCCCTATTCAGGAGGTTAAACAGATTCTTGGGAGCCAGGTTCTGACTGCTGAAACAGAGCCCCAGAACCGATCAGAACCTGGTGATGAGGCCTGAACACTGAAGGATTTAACTCTAGGCTCTCAACATGCCTTCCTGTCCTGTCTGCATAGTGTGGCAACACTCTCTCCTTCCAGACCTTCATCATATTCTCTCTTTTTTTTTTTTTTTTTTTTTTTTTGAGACAGAGTCTCGCTCTGTCGCCCAGGCTGGGGTGCGATAGCGCGATCTCCGCTCACTGCAACCTCCGCCTTCCGAGTTCAAGGGATTCTCCCGCCTCAGCCTCCAGAGTAGCTGGGATTACAGACACCCGCCATCATGCCTGGCTAATGTTGGTATTTTTGTAGAGACAAGGACACCGCGCCCAGCCCCAGACCTTCATTTTCACCAGCAGGAAACTCACCTGGAGTCAGTTTAAGGTACTGACTGACATAAATTGTCAAATTCATAAACCTTTTCTCCATAAGGTAATCCAATGGGTCTTGACCTTAACAGATTTTCTACATATATCAAATCACACTCCGACTCCAGCTATTCTATGTGTAAACCAAAAATAAAATTCAAAGCCCACCCCTCTCTCCCAAACTGAAGGATTCCCCTCTCGGCTAAGGGCATCCCAAAGTAAACCTGAAAATCTAGAAATCTAGTTCAGGCCACGATGGAAAGCAGGGGTCAGACCGGTAGTCCCATCTTAGCACCTATGGTCCCAGTGATCCTCAAGTGGGAGGATCACTTGAGCCAGGGAAGTCAAGGCTGCAGTGAGCTGTGATTGTGCCACTGCACTCCAGCCTGGGCGACAGAGTGAGACTCCGTCTCAAAAAAAAAAAAAAAAATTATAATAAGTGTGGATGAGGACATGGAGAAACGGGAATCCTTGTGCACTGATGTAGAGAATGTAAAACATTGCAGCCACTGTGTAAAACAGTATGGCTGTTCCTTAAAAAGGTGAATTTAGAATTCCCCTGTGACTATTCAACTCCTAGGTATATATCCTAAAAAATCAAAAGCACAACACACAGAGACACATGTACACCAATTTCATAGCAGCCTTATTCAGAATATTACTGTGGAAAAAACCCACATGTTTATCAACAAACAAATGGATGAGCAAAGGGTGATTTATCCCTACAATAGAATATTTTCAGGCACAAAAAAGCAATGAATTACTGACACGTTAACACATGCATGCAACTTGAAAACATTATGCTAAGTGAAATAAGCCAGAGACACCAGAATAAATATTGTATACTTTCACTTATATGAGGTGCCTAGAATAGTCAAATTCATAAAGGGATAAAGTAGAATAGAGATTATCAGGGCCTGTGAATAGAGGAGAATGTGGAGTTACGTGCATGAGTATGAAAATTTAAGTTAAAAACATTGGCGGGGCCAGGTGCGGTGACACATGCCTGTAATCCCAGCACTTTGGGCGGTTGAGGTGGGTGGATACCTGAAGTCAGGAGTTTGAGACCAGTCTGGCCAACATGGTGAAACTCCATCTCTACTAAAAATACAAAACAAAAATTAGCCAGGCATGGTGGTGGCCACCTGTTATTCCAGCTACTTGGGAGGCTGAGGCAGGAGAATTGCTTGAACCCAGGAGGCAGAGGTTGCAGTGAGCCAAGTTCACGCCTCTGCACTCCAGCCTAGGTGACAGAGCAAGACTCCATCCCCCCCCAAAAAAAATTAAGTTAAATAATAGCCAGGCGTAGTGGCATGTGCCTATAGTCCCAGCTACTAGGGTGGTTGAGGCAGGAGAATCACTTGAGCCCAGAATCAGTTGGGGTTGCAGTGATGAGTGATTGAGCCACTGCATTCCAGCCTGGGTGACAGAGTGAGATTCTGTCTCAAAAATAAAAATACAAAAAATTAAAAATAAAAGGCAGTTTTCTTTTCTTTTTTTTGAGACAGAGTCTCACTCTGTTGCCCAGGCTGGAGTGCAGTGGCACGATATCAGCTCACTGCAACCTCCACCTCCTGGGTTCAAGCGATTCTCCTGCCTCAGCCTCCCCAGTAGCTGGGATTACAGGTGCATGCTACCATGCTGGGCTAATTTTTTGTATCTTTAGTAGAGATGGGATTTCACCATGTTGGCCAGGCTGGTCTCAAACTCCTAACCTCAGGTGATCCGCCTGCCTCAGCCTCCCAAAGTGCTGGGATTGCAGGTGTGAGCCACCACGCCTGGCCCTGGCAGCTTTCATATCTCAAATATTGAGTTAATTTTATACATATCCAGAATATCAGTCACACCTAATACTTACCTAATATTGATTGATAGAATGACATTAAAATGTCATTAATTGTGTAAATTTTAAAAAATTTCTTCTCAACACAAGATCTCACCATGTTGCCCACGCTGAACTTGAAGTCTTGGCCTCCAGCAGTCTTCCCACCTCAGTCTCCAGAAATGCTAGGAATGGCCGGGCACGGTGGCTCACGCCTGTAATCCCAGCACTTTGGGAGGCTGAGGCGTGTGGATCACGAGGTCAAGAGATCGAGGCCATCTTGACCAACATGGTGAAACCCTATCTCTACTAAAAATACAAAAATTAGCTGGGTGTGGTGGCGCGAGCCTGTAATCCCAGCTACTCAGGAGGCTGAGGCAGGAGAATCACTTGAACCTGGGAGGCGGATGTTGCTGTGAGCCAAGATCACGCCACTGCACTCCAGCCTGGCGAGAGTGAGACTCCATCTTTTTTTTTTTTTTTTTTTGAGACAGTGTCTCCCACTGTCGCCCAGGCTGGAGTGCAATGTCACAATCTCGGCTCACTGCAACTTCTGCATCCCGGGTTCACACGATTCTCCTGCCTCAGCCTCCTGAGTAGCTGGGATTACAGGTGCACACCACCACACCCGGCTAATTTTTTGTATTTTTAGTAGAGACAGGGTTTCACTATGTTGGTCAGGCCGGCCTTGAACTTCTGACCTCATGATCCGCCCGCCTCGGCCTCCCAAAGTGCTGGGATTACAGGCTTGAGCCACCACGCCCGGCCGAGACTCCGTCTTAAAAAAATAAAAATGCTGGGATTACAGGCATGAGCCATAATGCATGACCAAGACACTCATTTTATACCCCAAGACAAAAAATACTCGAAATGGAATGGAAGATGATATACTTTAAATGTACATCCCCGCAAAATCTCACATTGAATTGCAATCCCCAAGGTTGGAAGCAGGGCCTGGTGGGAGGTGTTTGGATCATGGGGACAGATCTCTAATGAATGGCTTGGGCCATCCCCTTAGTGATAGGTGAGCTCTTCTTCTGAGTTCGCACAAGGTCTGGTGGTTTGAAAGTGTGTGGCACCTCCCCTCTACCTCTCTCTCTCGTTCCTATTTTGCCACGTGAGAGGCCTGCTCCGGCTTCACCCTCCACCAAAAGTAAAAACTCTGAGGCCTCCCCAGAACCTGAGCAGATGCCAGCACCATGCTTCCTATAAAGCTTGCAGAAACATGAGTTGATAAAACATTTCTTTATCAATTATCCAGCCTCAGGTATTTTTATGGCAAAGCAAGAAAAGCCTAATACAGAGGTAAAAAGGTATTCCACGCAAATAGTAACCAAAAGAGAACAAGAGTGGATATGCCATTATCATACTTGACTAGACTTTAAGGCAAAACCTATTTAAAAACACAAAGAACGCTATCTTTTGTGTGTGGGGGGGTACATAGTAGGTGTATATATTTATTGGGTACAAGAGATATTTTAATACAGGCATACAATGTGTAATAACCATGTATTAGTCCGTTTTCACACTGCTGATAAAGACATACCTGAGGCTGGGAAGAAAAAGATGTTGGTCGGGCACGGTGGCTCACGTCTGTAATCCCAACGCTTTGGGAGGCTGAGGTGGGCAGATCATGAGGTCAGGAGTTCGAGACCAGCCTGGCCAAGATGGTGAAACCCCGTCTCTACTAAAAATACAAAAATTAGCCAGGCATGGTGGTGCAAGCCTATAGTCCCAGCTACTCAGGAGGCTGAGGCAGAAGAATTGCTTGAACCCGGGAGGCGGAGGTTGCAGTGAGCTGACATCATGCCACTGCACTCCAGCCTGGGTGACAGAGCAAGACTGCATCTCAAAAAAAAAAAAAAAGAAAGAAAAGAAAAGAAAAGAAAAAAAGAAAAAGATATTTAATTGGACTTACAGTTTCACATGGCTGGGGAGGCCTCAGAATCATGGCGGGAGGCAAAAGACACTTCTTACATGGCAGCGGCAAGAGAAAATGAGGAAAAAGGAAAAGCAGAAATCCCTGATAAACCCATCTCACTACTATGAGAACAGCAGGGGAAAGACCATCCCCCATGATTCAATTACTACCTCTGGATTCCTCCCACAACATGTGGGAATTCTGGGAGATATAATTCAAGCTGAGATCTGGGTGTGGACACAGCCAAACCATATCATTCTACCCCTGACCCCTCCAAATCTCATGTCCTCACATTTCAAAATCAATCATGCTTTCCCAACAGTACCCCAAAGTCTTAACACATTTCAGCATTAATCCCAAAGTCCACAGTCCAAAGTCTCATCTGAGACAAGGCAAGTCCCTCCCGCCTATGAGCCTGTAAAATCAAAGGCAAGCTAGTTGCTTCCTAGATACAATGGGGGTACAGGTATTGGGTAAATACAGCCATTCCAAAGGGGAGAAATTGGCCAAAACAAAGGAGTTACAGGGCCCATGCAAGTCTGAAATCCAGCAGGGCACTCAAATTTTAAAGCTCCAAAATGATCTCCTTTGACTCCAGGTCTCACATCCAGGTCACACTGATGCAAGAGGTGGGTTCCCATGGTCTTGGGCAGCTCTGCCCCTGTGGCTTTGCAGGTACAGCCTCCCTCCCAGCTGCTTTCACGGGCTGGTGTTGAGTGTCTGCAGCTTTTCCAGGTGCACAGTGCAAGCTGTCAGTGGATCGACCATTCTGGGGTCTGGAGGATGGTAGCCCTCTTCTCACAGCTCCACTAGGCAGTGCCCCCAGTAAAGACTCTGTAGGGGGGGCTCTGACCCCACATTTCCCTTCTGCACTGCCCTAGCAGAGGTTCTCCATGAGCACCCCACCTCTGCAGTAAACTTTTGCCTGGACATCCAAGTGTTTCCATACATCTTCTGAAATCTAGGTGGAGGTTCCCAAACCTCAGTTCATGACTTCTTTGTACCTGCAGGCTCAACACCATGCGGAAGCTGCCAAGGCTTGGGGCTTCAACCCTTTGAAGCCACAGCCCAAGCTGTACGTTCGCCCCTTTCAGTCACGGCTGGAGTGGCTGGGACACAGGGCACCAAGTCCCTACATTGCACACAGCACGGGGACCCTGGGCCTGGCCCGTGAAACCACTTTTTCCTCCTGGGCCTCCGGGCCTGTGATGGGAAGGGCTGTGTAAACGTGTCTGATGTGGCCTGGAGACATTTTCCCCATGGTCTTGGGGATTAACATTTGGCTCCTTGCTACTTAGGCAAATTTCTGCAGCCAGCTTGAATTTCTCCTTTAAAAATGGGTTTTTCTTTTCTACCGCATCATCAGGCTGCAAACTTTCCAGAGTTTTATGTTCTGTTTCCCTTTTAAAACGAACGCTTTTAACAGCACCCAGGTCACCTAGTCACCTCTTGAATGCTTTTCTGCTTAGAAATTTCTTCCTCCAGATACCCTAAATCATCTCTCTCAAGTTCAAAGTTCCACAAATCTCTAGGGCAGGGGCAAAATGCCACCAGTCTCTGCTAAAACATAATAAGAGTCACCTTTGCTCCAGTTCCCAACAAGTTCCTCATCTCCATCTGAGACCACCTCAGCCTGGATCTTCTTGTTCATATCACTATCAGTATTTTTGTCAAAGCCATTCAACACATCTGTAGGAGGTTCCAAACTTTCCCACATCTTCTGTCTTCTGAGCTTTCCAAACTGTTCCAACCTCTGCCTGTTACCCAGTTCCAAAGTCACTTCCACATTTTTGGATATCTTTTCAGCAACAACCCACTGCTGGTACCAATTTACTGTATTAGTCCATTTGCAAGCTACTAATAAAGACATACCCAAAACTGGAAAGAAAAAGAAGTGTAATTGGGCTTACAGTTCCACATGGCTGGGGAGGCCTCAGAATCATGGTGGGAGGCAAAAGGCACTTCTTACATGGTGGTGGCAAGAGAAAATGAGGAGGAAACAAAAGCGGAAACCCCAGATAAATCCATCAGATCTTGTGAGACTTAGTCACTATTGTGAGAATAGCATGGGAAAGACCAGCCCCCATGATTCAATTACCTCCCCCTGGGTCCCTCCCATAACACCTGGGAATTCTGGAAGACAGAATTCAAGTTGAGATTTGGGTGGGGACACAGCCAAGCCATATCAAATCACATCAGGATAAATCAGGTATTCATCACCTCAAGCATTTATTGTTTCCTTGTGTTACAAACAATCCAATTATACTCTTTTATTTTTAAATGTAAAATAAATTATTGTTGACTGTAGTCACCCTGTGTGCTATCAAATACTAGATTTTATTCATTCTAAGTATAATTTTCTACCCATTAACCACCCCTATTTTCCTGCCTCCTCCACTACCCTTCCTAGCCTCTGGTAACCATTCTTCTGCTCTTTATCTCCATGAGTTCAATTGTTTTATTTTTAGCTCCCAGAAATTAGTGAGAGCATGTGAAGTTTGCCTTTCCGTGCCTGGTTTATTTCACTTAACATAATGACTTCCAGTTCCATCCATGATGTCGCACATGACAGGATCTCAGTCTTTTTCATGGCTGAATAGTACTCCACTATGTATATGTACCACATTTTCTTTTCATTTCTTTTCTTTTCTATTTTGAGATGGAGTCTCACTCTGTCACCCAGGCTGGAGTGCAGTGGTGCGATCTCGGCTTACTGCAAGCTCCGGCTCCTGGGTTCACGCCATTCTCCTGCCTCAGCCTCCTGAGTAGCTGGGACTGCAGGTGCCCTCCACCACGCCCGGCTAATTTTTTTTGTATGTTCAGTAGAGACGGGGTTTCACCATGTTAGCCAGGATGGTCTCGATCTCCTGACCTCGTGATCCGCCTGCCTCGGCCTCCCAAAGTGCTGGGATTACAGGTGTAAGCCACCGTACCCAGCCAATATGTATCACATTTTCTTTATCGATTCATCTTTTGATGAACATTTAGGCTGCTTCTGAATCTTGGCTATTGTGAATAGTGCTGCAATAAACATCAGAGTGCAGAAAGCTCTTCGATATGCTGATTTCCTTTCTTTTTGGAATACACCTAGCAATGTGATTGCTGGATCATAGGGTAGTTCTAATTCCAGATTTTTGAGGAGCCTCCAAACTGTTCTCCACAGTGGCTTAGTATTTTACATTTCCACCAACAGTGTACAAGGGTCTCTTTTTTTCACATCCTTGCCATCATTTGTTATTACCTCTCTTTGGGATAAAAGCCATTTTAATTGCGGTGAGATGATGTGGTATTGCTGTTGTCTTTTCACTTCTCTGATGATGTGGAGCACCTTTTCATATGTCTGATTTTCATTTTTATGTCTTTTTTTGAGAAATGTCTATTCAGATATTTTGCCCATTTTTAATTTGAATTATTAGACTTTTTTTCCTATTGAGGTATTTGAGCTCCCTCTATATTGTTTATTAATCCCTTGTCAGATGGATTGTTTGCAAATGTTTTCTCCCATTTTGTGGGTTGTCTCTTCACTTTGTTGACTGTGACTGTTTCTTTTGCTGTACAGAAATTTTTTTTTGTTTTTTTTTCTGAGACAGGGGTTTGCTCTGTCTCTCAGGCTGGAGTGCAGTGGTGCCATCTTGACTCACTGCATCCCTGACCTCCTGGGCTCAAGTGATTCTCCCACCTCAGCCTCCCAAGTAGCTGGGACTACAGGTGCATACCACCACACCTGGCTAATCTTTTGTATTTTTTGTAGAGATGGGATTTTTTCATGTTGTCTTGAACTCCTGGGCTCAGCCTCTGAAAGTGCTGGGATTACAGGCATGAGCTACTGCGCCTGGCCTATTCTTCCCTCTCCTTTCCTCCAGCAGCAGGAATCTCTCCCCATAGCCACCACAGGTAGAAAGGTGCTGGGTCACACCTGAAGCCAGTACAGCTCTAAGTCTTACCCAAGGCCCATACAAGTACAGCCTGGCTACCCCTGCTGATCACTCAGGGCCCAGGGGTTCAGAAGGTGATGAATTCTGCCAGGACTGGGTCCTTCTTTTCAAGGCAGTAGGTTCCCTTCTGGCCCAGGGTGTATCTAGAAATGTCCAGGAGCTAGGGCCTGGAATAGAGGCCTCACGCCTCTGCCTGGTGCCCTATTATACTGTTGCTGAGCTTGCATCCAAGTTGCAATATAAGTCCTCTTTACTCTCCCCTTTCTTCTCAAGTAGAAGGAAGTAGTCTCTCCCTGAGCTGCTGGCTGTACTGCCTGGGGTCAGGAGAGTGGTGGCACAAGTATTCCCTTTGCCACCCCAGCTAGTGTCTCACTAGGTCATGTGCACACCAAGTCCGCTGGGTCCAAGCCCACCCAACACCAAGACTTACACAGGAATTGCAGTCCTTGTGATCCTGACTACCTTTCAAGTTTCTTCAGGACACCAGAACATTTTAGCCCACGGTGACAGGGCTTGCCAGAACTCAGGTTCTGGCAATTGGGATGGACAATTCAACTCTGGCTAAGGCTGATCTAAACGCTCCCTCCATGGGCACTGGCTGAGTTCTGCCCCATATTGCTTTCTGCTAATGACAGGGCAGCACTGAGTTCCAATGCAAAGTGCCACAATCACTGCGCTCTCCCTCTCCCAAGCTTACAGATTCACTCTCTATGCCATTTGGCCTCTGCGAGAGGATGGGAAAGTGGTGGCATAGGCAATTCAAGGCTGCTTTCCCACCCTCTTCCGTGCCTCTTTACTTAATATAAGACCAGGCACTGTGATTGCACAGCTGATGTTTGGTTCTTCTTCTTCTTCTCCTCTTTCTTCTCCTTTCTTCTTCTTCTTCTTCTCCTTCTCCGTCTCCTTCTTCTTCTCTTTTTTGATACAGAGTCTCACTCTGTCACCCAGGCTGGAGTGCAGTGGCACGATCTCGGCTCACTGCAACCTCCACCTCCCGGGTTCAAGCGATCCTCCTGCCTCAGCCTCCTGAGTAGCTGGGATTACAGGTGCACACCACCATGCCCAGCTAATTTTGTATTTTTTACTAGAGACGGTGTTTCACCATATTGGCCAAGCTGGTCTTGAACTCCTGACCTCGTGATTTGCCTGCCTCAGCCTCCCAAACTGCTGGGATTACCGGTGTGAGCCACTGCGCCCAGCCTAAGTTACTTTTTGTGTGGATAGCTGTTCAATTTGGTGTTCTTGTTGGGGGAACAATCACTGGAGGGTTCTATTTGGCCATCTTGCTCCTCCTGCTTCTGTATCACTTTTGACCATGGTTTTACCTATATGGTAGGTAAAAGATCCAGCCAGGTGTGATGGCTCACGCCTGTAATCCCAGCACTTTGGGAGGCTGAGGCGGGAGGATCACCTGAGGTCAGGAGTTCGAGACCAGCCTCAATATGGAGAAACCCCGTCTCTACTAAAAATACAAAATTAGCCGGGCATGGTGGTGCATGCCTGTAATCCCAGCTACTCGGGAGGCTGAGGCAGGAAAATTGCTTGAACCCAGGAGGCAGAGACTGCAGTCAGCCAAGATCACGCCATTGTACTCCAACCTGGGCAACAAGAGTGAAACTCTGTCTCAAAAAAAAAAAAAAAAAAAAGAAAGAAACTCAGGGAGACAGACAGTAAGTGAAAGGAAAGAATAAAATAACCTCTGCTCACATTTGAAATTATTAAGTTCTTTTCAATAAAATTTCATGCTGTAGTAAATGAACTGGATGTAATTTTTTGGTACAGGAATGAATTCACAAATTTTTCCTTGAAAATAAAAATGTTTTCAACCTAAGGTCATTTATCCTAAAAATTGTTCTTTTTGACTTTGCTTTATTAAAAACTGCAAATATAAAACATCTCAGGTGTGGTTACTCATGCCTGTAATCCTAGCACTATGGGGGGCCTAGATGGGATGATCGCTTAATGCCAGGAGTTCCAGACCGGCCTGGTCAACATACTAAGGCTCCATCTCTATTTTTTTTTTTTTAACGTATATCTAAAAAGGCAATTTTCACATCTCAAGAACGGAAGCACTTCTGAGGCTGGGCACAGTGGCTCATACCTGTAATCCCAGCACTTTGGGAGGCCACAGCAGGCGGATCACATGGGGTCTGGAATTTGAGACCAGCCTGGCCAACATGGTGAAACCTCATCTCTACCAAAAATTCAAAAATTAGTCAGGAGTGGTGGCACACGCCTATAATTCCAGCTACTCAGGAGACTGAGGCACGAGAATCGCTTGAATCTGGTAGGCGGAGGTTGCAGTGAGCCGAAATCACGCCACTGCACTCCAGCCTGGGTGACAGAGCGAGACTGTTAAAAAAAAAAAAGCCGGGCGCGGTGGCTCAAGCATGTAAGTAATCCCAGCACTTTGGGAGGCCGAGGGGGGCAGATCACGAGGTCTGGAGATCGAGACCATCCTGGCTAACACGGTGAAACCCCGTCTCTACTAAAAATACAAAAAATTAGCCGGGCGTGGTGGCGGGCGCCTGTAGTCCCAGCTACTCGGGATGCTGAGGCAGGAGAATGGCGTGAACCCGGGAGGCGGAGCTTGCAGTAAGCGGATATCGCGTCACTGCACTCCAGCCTGGGCGACAGAGCAAGACTCCGTCTCAAAAAAAAAAAAAAAAAGAAAAGAAAAGAAAAAAAAGGCTGGGCGCGGTGGCTCATGCCTGTAATCCCAGCGCTTTGGGAAGCTGAGGCGAGCGGATCACGAGGTCAAGAGATGGAGATCATCCTGGCCAACACGGTGAAACCCGTCTCTACTAAAACTACAAAAATTAGCTGCGCCTGGTGGCGCATGCCTGTAATCCCAGCTACTTGAGAGGCTGTGGCAGGAGAATCGTTTGAACCCAGGAGGCGGAGGTTGCAGTGAGCTGAGATCACACCACTGCACTCCAGCCTGGGCAACAAGAGCGAAACTCCGTCTCAAAAAAAAAATAAAATAAAATAAATTGAAGCATTTCTCATAACCAGAATACCATAGTCACACCTACTAATTTCCTAATATTAGCTGACAGCATGACACTGGAATCTCATAAATTATATAAACAATTTAAAAAATATTTTGTAGAGACACAGTCTGACTATATTGCCCGGCTGGTCTTGAAGTCTTGGCCTCAAGGGATTCTGCTGCCTTGGCCTTCCATTGCATATGGAAACGCAAAGTGGAAATGTTATCCATTTAACATAAAAGACAACATAACCTTAAAAATATGTGTGACATTCCCTATCCATAGCTCTGTCTGCAGCCAGAATGAAGAATGAGTCCTAGATTGCCAAAATAACTTTTAATTCTAAATTGTTGAAACTTACAAACTGCAGCGTTGCTTTTCTTTTTTCTTTTCTTTTCTTTCTTTCTTTCTTTTTTTTTTTTTTTTTTTTTTTTTTTTTTGGAGACAGAATTTCGCTTTTGCCCAGGCTGGAGTGCAATGGCGTGATCACAGCTCACCGCAACCTCCACCTCCAGAGTTCAAGCGATTCTCCTGTCTCAGCCTCCCAAGTAGCGGGGATTACAGGTATGCGCAACCACACCTGGCTAATTTTGTATTTTTAGTAGAGGCGGGGTTTCTCCATGATGGTCAGTGCAGGGAGCCAAAGGCCGCTGGGACACGACAAACTCAGCATTCCGCAGGAGTCTATATGATCAAACAGCAAACTGTTTATCATGAATGCAGGTTGTGGGCAAACTCACACTGCCCTGCCACCAAAAGGTTTGCTGAGGGACATCACTCCCTGGCACCGGGCTCCTTGAAGTTATCTACTGAGAAAATTAGTGCCTATTGTCCAAAGGATGCAGTCTCACAAGCCTGCTGTGAACCAAACAGAACCAAACGGCCAACTGACAATTACCCGACAATCACTCCCTCTTTTCTCACTATCCCTTTGGCCTAATAAATACGGAGGACTGTGTAAAGCTCGGGGCCCTTGTCCACTAGAGGCAAGGTGCTGCCCCCATCCCTTCTTCCAAATATACTCTTTTGTCTCTTGTCTTTTATTCCCACGTTCGCCCCCCTTTGTTCAGTCCCCCTAGGTCCGTGCAGGTTACACAGTGGCACCCCAAACAGCGACAGGATCGGAAGCTCTATAAGTGGCACTCGAACAGGCGGCAGTCCAAACACGGGACTATGAGGACGTGAACGAAGAAGGTCTGCTGGAGTAGAGGAACTGAAATTGACAAGACGCACGGGGACTCCGGGATGAGTCTGCCGATAGCGTATGTAAGGTCAGTGCCCTAAAGAAGTACTGGGGGCAGTGCTTTAAAGAAGTACTGGGAAGGGGAAGTTTTCTGAATCAGGTTAACAAGGGGAAGAATTTGTCTACTGAAGAAAAACATTATGTGCACTTGCTTAAGTTTCTGTTGAGACAGTCTGGAGCTCAGGTTAATTCGCAGGCACTAACTAACCTCCTGCAGAAGCCACAAATGGTTATTCACGCATCACCCATGGTTTCCACAGGCAGGCACTCTTGATGCGGAAAATTGGGACAGAGCAGGAGAAGGATTAAAACAGGCTCATCAAAAAGGTTTTAAAGTTGATTCTTCAGTTTTCTCCACTTGGAGTTTAGTTCATACTGTACTTCTGCCATTAGCTCCTTATTATTCTGCGGGACAGCAGGCTGAGTCTAAAAATCTGAAAGAATCTGTTGTCCCACCCACAGCGCCAACTGAAAATAAAAAACAGGTGAGGGAGGATAAAAATTGGCCTATACCGCCTCCTCCAATCGCAGAAACATCTGTACTGCCTCCTTCAGTAGCAGAAATAGAGACCCCAAAACAAACAACTTTATGCTCTGCTGCCATAGCTGGAGAGCCCTTAGGACCTTGCACTTTTCCTATTTCCGTAAGGCCCGATTCAAATAATCCACAGCAGTTTATTCATGAACACACCCCACTAGAATTTAAGTTGTTGAAGGAATTAAAAACTAGTGTGGTCAATAATGGAGTACATAAGCCCATGGTTCCCGGAAGAAGGAACGCTAGGCTTAGAACTCTGGGAATGAGTGGGGAGAAATCTTGAACAACATCAGGTGCAAAGGCATCAGGTCCCAGTAAAATCTTTAACGTTATGGGCTTTAATTAGAGCAGTCCTGGCTCAGTTTACACACAGAAGAGCCTAAAAAGAGGAAGGAGGAGAAAACGTCACCTGCCTTATCACCTTCTCTTCCCTCAGCCCCAATATCACTGGGCCAAAAATAACAAAGAGGAAACAGAGGTCTTACCTAAGCCTCCTCCTCCAATAGATAGGAAAAAGGACAGAGGATACGCTACAGCTATCAGTCCCTGTCTTGAGCAGGCAGCATTAGAAGGAGAGCTCTTAACCTGCTCAGTAATGCAAAATCGGCAAGGCAAGCAGGTGTATGTCTGTAAAAAGATAAGAAAGGCCGGGCGAGGTGGCTCATGCCTGTAATCCCAGCACTTTGGGAGGCTGAGGCGGGCAGATCACCTGAGGTGGGCAGATCACCTGAGGTCGGGAGTTCGAAACCAGCCTGAGCAACATGGAGAAACCCTGTCTCTACTAAAAATACAAAATTAGCCGGGCGTGGTGGCAAGTGCCTGTAATCCCAGCTACTCGGGAGGCTGAGGCAGGAGAATCGCTTGAACTTGGAAGGCGGAGGTTGCGGTGAGCCGAGATCGCGCCATTGCACTCCAGCCTGGGCAACAAGAGCAAAAACTCCGTCTCAAAAAAAAAGAAAGAAAAAAGGCATTAGAAGCCGAAACCGCGCGACCAAGCAAGCGGTGGGCGGAATAGAAGGTTCAGCAGCAGAAAAGCTGGCAGCGACCAAGCCCACAAGGTCCGCCCAGGCTGGCAGCATGCCCCACCCCCGGCAAAGGAGGGAGGGAGCGGCGCAGACACAGGCAAAACCTGAGCAAGTACAATGCGGCCGCCGCCAAGGACCTGCACCGCAGCCCTCTGGCTCTGTGAGCAGCCCATAGCAAAAGTTCATGTGTTACGTACGTCCCAGACTATGATTCTCTGCTAAGATTTAAGTAAAATGTAAGAATTTGAAAAACCTCTTTTCTAATAATGGCCACTGTTATCTCTCTCCTACCCCTAAGGTAGCTTTCCAAATTCAATTTAAGTAAAACAGTAACCTCTGAAGGGAAAGAGATTACAGAGGGCCCACGAATTCATTAATGAGTAATTAAAAGCTAGGCATGTAAAACCACACATTACCCTTTAAAGGAGAACTTTAAACCTAATTAAATGATATTTGTCAAATTAGAAGGTAAAAATGTTGTGTCCTTCTCAGAAAGTGAAGAAAAGTTGTAAGTGTAGTGAAAACTTATGCATGAATGACTGTCTTACCCACTGATTACAGATAGTGTGATTTGTACTTGCTAAAAGAGTCCTAAATTGAGTTCCCCAGCCAGTGAGTCACTGTTTTCAAGACTGTTTGCCAGATTAAAGTCCATAAACTTGGTCAGCCCAAAAACTCAATTACAAGATTTAAGCTATTCCGCCCGTGGTTTTAAGCACATGGTTAAAGTATATCATTTAAGTCTCTGCTTCTAGAGACGCGTTCAGATTTTCTTTTTAAACTTATTACTATTTCAGCTAGCAATCTTAATGATTAATGCAGTCCAAATGCTAAGTTATGACCCTCATATCATCAGGATTCGTTTAAGTAAAAGGCAATTCGAAGCGGTATTTCACTCCCCCATACCTAAGGCTTTAACACGGTTTACTGATGGGTCTGGTAAACATGGAAAAGCAGCAGGCTAGTAGAGACCACATAATTCAATCACTCGATCTGAGTTTACTAGCACTCAGAGAGCTAAGGTTACTCTGTTTATTTATTTATTTATTTATTTTTGAGACGGAGGCTCGCTCTGTCGCTCAGTCTGGAGTGCAGTGGTGCGATCTCCACTCACTGCAAGCTCCGCCTCCCGGGTTCACGCCATTCTCCTGCCTCAGCCTCCCGAGTAGCTGGGACTACAGGCACCTGCCACCGCGCCCGGCTAATTTTTTGTATTTTTAGTAGAGACGGGGTTTCGCTGTGTTAGCCAGGATGGTCTGGATCTCCTGACCTCGTGATCCGCTCGCCTCGGCCTCCCAAAGTGCTGGGATTACAGGCGTGGGCCACCGCGCCCGTCCTATCAGGTTACTCTGTTTATTTATTAAAGAACTTTTACAACTTTAAGCTTGCTCTGGACTTTGCAGCCTTATGTTGCAAATATAGCCATCAATTTATGGGGTCGAGACTTACAGCATGGGATAGGAGACTTACAAATGAAAACTTTGATAATCCAGGATTTAAAATGTTGAAGAACATGGGATATCAGAGTGAAAAAGGTTTAGGGAAATTTCTACAATGAAATCCTAACCCGATATCAGTAACTGGAAAAACAGATAGAAAAGGGCTAGGACACAAGGATTTCTGACGGGGGGGTCATTGATATTTGATATTTCTCCTTTGCCCACTGCCTTACCATTAGAATGGCTCAGTGACAAACCTGTGTGGGTGGATCAATGGCCCCTATCACAAAAGAAGCTAGATGAACTTCATCTGTTGGTAAAAGAGCAATTGAACACAGGACATATAGAAAAGTCAGTTAGCAGGCCGGGCGCGGTGGCTCACGCCTGTAATCCCAGCACTTTGGGAGGCCCAAGCGGGAGGATCACGAGGTCAGGAGATCGAGACCATCCTGGCTAACACAGTGAAACCCCGTCTCCACTAAAAATACAAAAAAAATAGCTGGGCATGGTTGCAGGCGCCTGTAGTCCCAGCTACTTGGGAGGCTGAGGCAGGAGAATGGCATGAACCCGGGAGACAGAGCTTTACTCCAGCGTGGGCGACAGAGCGAGACTGTCTCAAAAAAAAAAAGAAAAGTCAGTTAGCCCCTGGAATTCTCCAGTATTTGTGATTCCAAAAAGGTCCCAAAACAATAACGACCTCTGGGGTTTCAGCTCAACATTCAGAGCTAACTGCAGTCATTCAGGTTTTACAGCTCACAGCTTCAGATCCTATCAACATTGTCTGTGATTCAGCTTATGTTGTAAATGTAGCCAGTCGCGTAGAAACTGCTACAGTTAAAAGTACACTAGACCCAGAACTGCTTAATTTATTTCACTTATTCTCAAATGCTGCATGCTACATGCCAAACAGGTGAGACAGCTGGTCATGTATGGTGACATCATCTGTCATCATTTGCTCATATGGGAATACCTAAACAATTAAAAACTAACAATGGACCCACTTATACTGGCCATGCTTTTCAAAATTTCTTACAGCTTTGGGCTATAACCCATAAAATAGAAATTCCTTATAATCCTAGAGGACAAGGCATTATAGAGCAGGCACATCAAACATTACAACACATGTTGAAAAAACAAAAAGGGGGTATAGGAGGCCACTTACCACCTCAATCAGAACTTTTTATTATTTTTATTTACTTTAAATTTTTTTGGCTCCTGGTCCGGATGGTAAGACTCCAGCAGAAAGACATTGACAAGTGTTAGAGGAAAAGAGGAAAGTTTATCTGAAAGTGTTATGGAAATCCCTGGAAGAAGGACAATGGAAAAGTCCGGTGGATTTACTGACATGGGGAAGAGAGCATGCTTGTGTTTCTACAGGAGATGGGCACACCGTTTGGGTGCCCTCAAGGTGTGTGCGACCATGAACGGGAGACGGGAGGAACCCAGGGTGGCCAACCATGGGCCCGGTCCCTCCAGTACGAGCCATGAGCCAGCTGAGCCTGGGTGCAAAGAGAGAGAGAAGGCCTAACAGAGTCACAACACAGTTCTAATGCTATGTTTTCTGTAAAATCAGATGGACCGCCAATCGGACAATGAGAGCTGCTCAGCCTGGCCTTACATTCTTTCAATTAATACATAAACAAAAAGGGGGATATGCAGGGAGCCGAAGGCCCGTGGGACGTGACCAACTCAGCATTCCGCAGGAGTCTATATGGGATCAAACAGCAAACTGTTTATCATGAATGCAGGATGTGGGCAAACTCACTGCCCTGCCACCAAAAGGTTTGCTGAGGGACATCACTCCCTGGCACTGGGCTCCTTGAAGTTATCTACTGAGAAAATTAGTGCCTATTGTCCAAAGGATGCAGTCTCACAAGCCTGGTGTGAACCAAATGGCCAACTGACAATTACCCAACAATCACCCCCCGCTTTTCTCGCTCTTTTGTCTAATAAATACAGAGGGCTGTGTAAAGCTCGGGGCCCTTGTCCACTAGAGGCAAGGTGCCCCCCAACCCCTTCTTCCAAATATACTCTTTTGTCTCTTGTCTTTTATTCCTGTGTTTGCTCCCGTTTGTTCAGTCCAATAGGTCCAAGGCGGGTCAGGCTGGTCTCGGACTCCTGACCTCAGGTGATCTGCCCACCTCAGCCTCCCAAAGTGCTGGGATTAGAGGCGTGAGCCACTGCGCCCAGCCGGCATTGCTTTTCTAATCAGATGAAGAACAGTGTATGCTGTCAACAGAGCATCAGGACTCAAACAGAAAGCCACATCACTGCCTTCCAAAAGTGGTGGCCCTCTGGTTTATGAACACTCTTTGGGCCTGTGCTACAATGTCCTCTCTGGGGTGTTTGTGAAGCATCAAGATACTCCCACAGTCAAGGCCAATAATCAGGCTCAGCTGTGTCCTGTTCATCTCCCTCACCCTGTGCTTCCAGTGTCCCCTACCTTCACTGGTCATCCCCACACAGCACCTGCATCCCAACACAGCACCTGCATCCCGGGCAAAATCACATTTGGAGTCGTGTTGATGGTGGGGTTTCTACTCTGTGGCCCACACTATCACTGTGGGTGTTGCCTTCAAGGGAGAAGGACTCAGTGGTTGGATTCAGTAGCACCTAACTCTGTATTGCCCTCTCTAATCCAAATGACTGTAGAATCTGACAGGCAATGACTCCACCCTTCACTCATGTGAATACATTATCTGGGGCTGAATATGTCATCTCCACATACAGTCATGGTTTGGTTGCTGATTGCTACTCTATCCTGTGATACCTGGGCTTTTGACACTGAGAAGTTTCAACAGGGATTTTCTCAACAAGAGCTTGCTGGACACCTTCAACGAAGTGATTGGATTGTTCCGTGGAAGTGTACAGACAAAAAGCTGACTTTTGCATGTTGCTTTTTACTCTGTAGTGCTGGCATAAGAGGCCTATTGATAAATTAGAAGCAAAAGCATATATGCCAGGAACAGTGGTTCATACCTGTAATCCATTCCAGCACTTTAGGAGGCCGATGCGGCCAGATCACCTGAAGTCAGGAGTTTGAGATCAGCCTGGCCAACATGGTGAAACCCTGTCTGTACTAAAAATACGAAACAAAAATTAGCCGGGTGTGATGGTGGGCACCTGTAATCCCAACTACTCAGGAGGCTGAGGCAGGACAATCACTTGAACCGGGAAGCAGAGGTTGCAGTGAGTTGAGATTGCACCACTGCACTCCAGCCTGGGTGATAAGAGTGAAACTCTTGTCTAAAAAAACAAAAACACAAAAACAAAAACAAAAGCATATTATTGGAGCAAGAAAGGCTTGGTTGGAATATTGATGCTGACTTTGTTCCCTTCCTAGGCTTGCATTCAGAAAATGTGCATAAATATATTAGTCTCATTAGACTCGTAAAGGAGCTTTTTAAAAGTATTATACAGCTTGCTAAGAAGTAAATTTACATATTTTAACTGAGGTACATAATGGAAAACAGTGTCCAGTACATCACAGGAAATACTTCAGTGTTCAGAGAATAAGTAAGGCAAAAACAGGTCCACAAGTCCAGGAGCCAGCCTCCGCTCACTGCAAGGCCAAGTCTTACGCTGTTGGAGAGAAACATGTCAGACACCAGCAATGTGAGACCATGCTCCTAGGTGGCTATGATGAATCAAGACAAAAAAAGGGCATTCTGTAACCATGTCTTTAAAACTGGTGAAAGACAGCATGTTCCAAATCATAAACATGACCCAAATTCCCCTCTTCTCACTAATATGACTGAGTGGTATTTCTCATGAATTACGTTTACCTCCACTCCATTCCTTTTCCCTTCTGGATAAGAACAGTTATGATTACCAAGTTTAGAATTAAGTTTACCTCATCACTGCATCAAATACAGAGAATCATCTTGCTTCCCTGAACATAAATCAATCAACCTGGCCAGGTGCGGTGGCTCATGCCTGTAATCCCAGCACTTTGGGAGGCCGAGGCAGGTGGATCACGAGGTCAGGAGTTTGAGACCAGCCCGACCAACATGGTGAAACCCCGTTCACTACTAAAAGTACAAAAATTAGCCGAGTGTGGTGGTGTGCACCTGAAATCCCAGCTACTCTGGAGGCTGAGGCAGGAGAATTGCTTGAACCTGGGAGGTGGAGGTTGCAGTGAGTTGAGATCGCACCACTGCACTCCAGCCTGGGCAACAGAGCAACACTCTATATCAAAAAAAAAAAAAAAATAGAAATCAACCAACCTATAACAAGCACAAAACCTGTAAGAAATTCTTCTGAGCACCCTCTTACTGATACATCACACAGTCCTTTATGGTTTGTGGTCATGATTATTATTACAGTTTATTACACCCTCTTTGACAACAGGTATGGTCTCTGCGGTCTTTAGCAAGAGAGCACACAAAACAGCATGACTTAACTTTTGGTATTATGAGTAGATGAGAAATTACTATGAAGATAAAAGTTGAAACTATATAAGCATGAAAAGTAAAATTTACATGAGGAGGAAAAAATTCCTTAAGTTGTATGCACATGGTTAACGCTGACTTCACAGTGTCTTAACAATTTGCCAAAATTATAAACTTGATGTAATCCAAGACTGAAGACAGTTAATAAACTGTTTTGAAGAAACATGTACAGAAGTCTTGTTTGAATAAAAAATACATATTAGTCACATATAATCAAACAACTGAAAATGAACTGAGGCATTACATTGAGCTACGAATAACAGGAAACACTTGAAATTTCCTGATAGAGGAAAGTGCTCATTCTCACATCAAAGTCCTGGGTGAGGCCAGTCACTGCACACTACAGCAGAAGAACAAGCTCCCCTCTGGTTGGTTTTGACAGCAGCATGGTAGCTATCAGGCTGAATCAAGAATACAGTCACTACTAGTATGAACAAAGGTGCTTACTACACAAATTAGACCGTATGCCAATTCCGTCTACAGACTAGGGGAGTCAGAGCATCACAGAATATTCCCAACCAGGACAGTCTGAATTAGTTGCCTAGTACAGACATAATAATGTCTGAAGGAAAACCAAAGTGTGGATGGATATTCAATGCAGGGCTTCTGGAGACCTGTGTGGAAGCCTATCACCTCCGAGAAAATTAAAGTCAAGTCGTTTTGAGGATACTCTTGATTGGCAACCCAAAGAAGCAGGAAAATGGGATGGAAGCAAGTGTCCATACAGCCTGTATTCACACAGCTGTCTCCCTGTATGGTGCTTCCAAACCATGACTAATGCCTTCTTAACTTACTTCCGAATCTCATGTAAGATAGGTTACTGGTGAATTGTATCATGGAATCACAAATGGAATGGATTCTGGGAAATCTAGTTCCTAACCTACCAACACTGACATAACACAATCCAGAGATCCAACTCCAACTCTAGGTTTTACTGTCCTATCACAAGTCTCTCGTAATTTAAAGCCAATTATCTTACAGGGTCTTTCTCCACTGTGAATCCTTTCACGTAGTTGAAAGAAACAGAAAGGACTGAAGGCTTTCCCAAATTTCTTACTTTCATGGGGTTTCTCTATGTGACTCCTTTCATGCTCATGAAAGAACTGGGACAACTGAAGCGTTAGGGTTAGGGTTCTCATAGGGTTTCTCTCCAGTATGAATTTTTTCATGTACTCGAAAGTAAGTGGATCGACTGAAGGCTTTCCCACATTGCTTACATTCATAGGGTTTCTCTCCAGTGTGAGTTCTTTCATGGATTCGGAAGTAACTGGAACGACTGAAGGCTTTCCCACATTTTGTACATTTATAGGGTTTCTCTCCAGTGTGAATTCTTTCATGTTTTCGAAACGAACTGGAACAACTGAAGGCTTTCCCACATTGCTTACAATCATAGGGTTTCTCTCCAGTGTGGGTCCTTTCATGGATTCGAAATGAACTGGGGAAATCAAAGGCTTTCCCACACACCTTACATTTATAAGGTCCATTGCCAGTGTGCTTTATCATGTGTCTTCTAACACTTGCAAGACAAGTCAAAGCCTTCCCGCATTCCTTACATTCAAAAAGTTTCTCTCCGGTGTGAGTCCTCTCGTGACTTCGAACAGAACTGGCGCACCTAAAGGCTTTACCGCACTGTTTACATTCGTAGGGTTTCTCTCCTGTGTGAGTTCGTTCATGGATTCGAATGTACTTGGAACAACTGAAAGCTTTCCCACACTGCTTGCATTCATAGGGTTTATCTCCAGTGTGAGTCCTTTCATGTATTCTAATGTAACTGGAACAACTGAAGGCTTTCCCACATTGCTTGCATTCATAAGGTTTCTCTCCAGTGTGACTTCTTTCATGTATACGAAATAAACTGGGATAATCAAAGGCTTTCCCACACACCTTACATTTGTAAGGTACACCTCCCCTATGCGTTAACATGTGTCTTCGAATGCTTACAAGAGAAATAAAGGTTTCTCCACATTCCTTACAATCATAGGGCTTTCCTCCAGGATGAGTCCTTTCACGTACTGGAAAAGAGCGATGATAACTCAAGGCTCGTCCACACTGGTTACGTGTATATGACTTCTTTCCATATTCCTGATATTCATTTGGTTCACGTCCAGTGTGATCTCTGATGTGCCTATTAAGTGATGAAGGACCCATGCCAACTTCTCCACACACACTGCTTTCACACGGTTTTACTCCAGGAGTTTTCTTGTTCAGAATACCATCTGGAATCTGGCTGAAGGTTTCTTCACCTTGACCACCTTCTTTACTTTCACAGAGTCTCTCTGGAATATGACTTGTCAGAAAAATGAGAAGTACATTATTAATGTTTTGTTTATAAATGATTTTATATTTATTAATAGGTATTAGACTTACATATACTTGTTTTTAAATACAGAGACAGAATCTTACTATGTTGCCCAGGCGTGAACCCTGAACTCCAAGGCTCAAGGGATCCTCTCACCTCTGCCTCCCAAAGTGCTGGGATTACAGGCGTGAGCCACCATGCCTGGCCTTGGATTCACATGTTTAACATTACCAGGGAAAGTGTACGTTTTATGCCTGTCTCAACTGTTTGAACATGAGTGGACTAAATGGTCTGCAATAGGTCACAACCATACCTATTATCAAAAAATGATATTCATGGCCAGACGCAGTAGCTTATGCCTGTAATCCCGGCACTTTGGAAGGCCAAGACAGGAGGATCACCTGAGGTCAGGAGTTTAAGACCAGCTTGACCAACGTGGAGAAACCCTGTCTCTACTAAAAATAAAAAATAAAAAAAATTAGCCAGGCGCAGTGGAGCACGCGTGTAATCCCAGCTACTCGGGAGGCTGAGGCAGGAGAATTGCTTGAACCCAGGAGGCAGAGGTGCAGTGAGCCAAGATCATGCCATTGCACTTCAGCCTGGGCAACAAGAGCGAAACTCTGTCTCAAAAAAAAAAAAAAGAAAGAAAGAAAATGATATTCATGGCCAGGTGTGGTGGCTCACATCTGTAATCCCAGCACTTTCGGAGGCTGAGGCAGGTGGATCACCTGAGGTCAGGAGTTCAAGACCAGCCTGGCCAACATGGTGAAACCCTGTCTCTACTAAAAATACAAAAAATTAGCCAGGTGTGGTGGCAGGCGCCTGTAATCCCAGCTACTCGGGAGGCTCAGGCAGGAGAATCGCTTGAATCCAGGAGGCGGAGGTTGCAGTGAGCCAAGATGGCACCCTTGCACTCCAGCCTGGGCAACGAGTTGTGAAATTCCCTCTCAAAAAAAAAAAAAAAAAGATATTCGTATGAAGTTTCTTAATACTATCTATAATTGAACTATTTTGCAAACACTGAACATCTATGTTACACTTAACTATGTTTTTGGAGAAGATTTTCTTTTTTTCTTTTTTGAGACAGAGTCTCACTCTGTCACCCAGGCTGGAGTGCAGTGGTGCCATCTTGGCTCAAAGCAAGCTCTGCCTCCCAATTCACGCCGTTCTCCTGTCTCAGCCTCCCGAGTAGCTGGGATTACAGGCACCCACCACCACACCCAGCTAACTTTTTTTTTGTATTTTTAGTAGAGACGGAGTTTCACCGTGTTAGCCAGGATGGTCTCGATCTCCTGACCTCGTGATCTGCCCACCTCAGCCTCCCAAAGTGCTGGGATTACAGGCGTGAGTCACCATGCCTGGCTTGGAGAAGATTTTCTAAAAACAAAACAGTTTGAAGCTGGGCTTATATGTTGTTTGCTTGCTTTTAAAAATTCCTGCTGGGCATGGTGGCTCAGGCCTGTAATCCCAGCACTTTGGGAGGCTGAGGCAGGCAGATCACGAGGTCAAGAGAACAAGACCATCCTGGCCAACATGGTGAAACCCCGTCTCTACTAAAAATACAAAAAATTAGCTCGGCGTGGTGGCACGTGCCTGTAGTCCTAGCTACTCAGGAGGCTGAGGCAGGAGAATCACTTGAACCTGGGAGGCGGAGGTTGCAGTGAGCCAAGATTGTGCCACTGCACTCCAGCCTGGCGACAGAGCGAGACTTCATCTAAAAAAAAAAAAAAAAAAAATTCCTAACAATACGAAATGCTCTCAAGGAACAGAACTTTCTTTTGTGAGTGCAAATTACCTTATATTTCTCCTGGGAATTTTGAATGGGTCTTCAATGTTCTGGTCTTCCCATTGTTTTCCTAAAATTTAGACCCAGAAAAGTCATTATGAATTAGTATAAAATTATGAAAAAAGTATTAGATTCTATATTCATAATTCCCTGTACCCATGCCTGGTTTATTCCCCAAAGTGTTAAGGAGCTAGAAACACTTGTTCTCTAATTCACTGAGGAAAGGAATATTGTCACCCTTACCTACAGAAGCCAGGTTCCTGAAGGTTTCCCGCATCACATCCCTGTAGAGATTCTTCTGGGAAGGATCCAGCAAAGCCCACTCCTCCAGGGTGAAGTTCACAGCCACATCCTCAAAGGCCACTGAATCCTGAAACATCCCCCATGTGTGGAGGAGGAAGGTTGAGACAGACAGCACTGGGGGCCTAGACTTTATTCCCAAGAAGTTCTCAGGATGCTATGCTTTCCAAACATTTATTTCAAGATTCCACAGTCATCAAACTTACCCTCTGTCTAGACTCACTTCCTTCCACAAAGCAATTCTGCTGCTAGAACTGAACTAGCAACAGCAGAATAGGAGCATGCCTCTCTGGTGGGAGAAGTATGTACTGCCTGGGCCACCCCTAATGTCTCTCTGTAAGGTAGGCCTGTAGCACCTGTTGTAACAAACATGTAGTGGCTGGGCGCGGTGGCTCACGCCTGTAATCCCAACACTTTGGGAGGCCGAGGCGGGTGGATCACGAGGTCAAGAGATCGAGACCATCCTGGCTAACAAGGTGAAACCCCATCTCTACTAAAAATACAAAAATTAGCCAGGCACGGTGGTGGGTGCCCATAGTCCCAGCTACTCAGGAGGCTGAGGTAGAAGAATGGCGTGAACCCAGAAGGCGAAGCTTGCAGTGAGCTGAGATTGCACCACTGCACTCCAGACCGGGTGACAGGGCAAGACTCCGTCTCAAAAAAAAAAAAAAAAAAAAAAATCTAGTAACTAGAGTGCAGAAAAAAGAGTTAACATTAGCCACCCTGAGACTGTGTATCTTTAGAAATGCTTGTTCACAAAGTTTGAGCTTTGACAGTATCTGGGTACTGGATTTTAGACAGGATCCCACCAACCTAACTGATAAAAGAGTCATAACTTACTAGAACAGACTCCCATAGCAAAATCTCTGTGGGAAGCAGTACAGGGGTAGGAAAACCTAAATTGCAACTAATGAATTACTAAAGGCTAAGTGTAAAAATCTGGCTGGGCACGGTGGCTCACGCCTGTAATCCCAACACTTTGGGAGATGGAGGCAGGAGGATCACTTGAGCTCAGGAGTTCAAGACTGACCTGGAAAACATAGCGAGACCTCTTGTCTACTAAATATTTTTTTTAATTAGCTGTTTTTTAAAAAAAAAGAGGTAAAAATCCAGGGGATCCAGTCATAGGGGGCCCCCAGAAATGTGTGAGCTCTACCTCCAGAAACTTCATCAGTTCTCACAGTGAAGATCATAGAAAAATTGCTTCCTGCTTATGGCAGGAAGAGGGTAAGAGTAGTCATCTTGAAATATGCTCAGGGAATTGCTCTTAACAGATACCACCTTCAGGCCAGGGATGGTAGCTCATGCCTGTAATCCCAGCACTTTGGGAGGCCAAAGACCAGAGGATGGCTTGAGGTCAAGAGGTCAAGACCATGCTGGGAAACCAAGTGAGACCCTATGTCAGGAAAGGAAAAAGGAAAGGAAAGGAGAGGGGAGGGGGGGAAGGGAGGGGAGGGGGGAAGGAGGGGAGGGGAGGGGGGAAGGGAGGGAGGGGAGGGGAGGGGAGGGGGGAAGGGAGGGAGGGGAGGGGAGGTACACATTCATAAATGGTAAAATGACTTTTGGCGAGTGTGCCCAGATTCATTATTGGAAAAAAATACTTTTCAAAAAATGGTGATGACATGAGTACAAAGATGAGAACAACAGACACCGCGGCCTACTTGAAGTGGGAGGGTTGGAAGAGGGTGAGGGTGGAAAAGAAACCTATCAGATACTATGCTCACTACCTGCGTGATGAAATACACCAACCCCCAGTAACACGCAATTTACCCATGTAACAAACTTGCACAGGTACTCCCTCAACCAAAAATAAAAGTTGAAAAAAAAAAATGGTTCTGGGAAAACTGGATACCTACATGTGAAAAAATGCAGTTGAGGCCCGGCAAGGTGGTTCATGCCTGTAATCTCAGCACTTTGAGAGGCCGAGGTAGACAGATCACCTGAGGTCAGGAGTTCCAGACCAGCCTGGTCAACATGGTGAAACCCCATCTCTACTAAAAATACAAAAAAATTAGCCGGGCGTGGTGGGCTGGTGTAGTCCCAGAAACTTGGGAGGCTGAGGCAGAAGAATCGCTTGAACCCAGCACGCAGAGGTTGCAGTAAGCTGAGATTGCCCCACTGCACTCCAGCCTAGATGACAGTGAGACTCTGTCTCAAAAAAAAAAAAAAAAAAAGCAGGCCGGGCACGGTGGCTCATGCCTGTAATCCCAGCACTTTGGGAGGCCGAGGCAGGCGGATCACGAGGTCAGGAGATCGAGACCATCCTGGCTAACACAGTGAAACCCCATCTCTACGAAAAATACAAAAAATTAGCCGGGCGTGGTGGCGGACGCCTGTAGTCCCAGCTACTCGGGAGGCTGAGGCAAGAGAATGGCGTGAACCCGGGAGGTGGAGCTTGCAGTGAGCTGAGATCGCACCACTGCACTCCAGCCTGGGCGACAGAGCGAGACTCCATCTCAAAAAAAAAAAAAAAAAAAAGCAGTTGGACCCTTAACTTACATACAAAAATGAAATCAAAATGGATCAAAGACCTAAAGGTAACAGCTAAAACTAAACAACTCTTAGAAGAAAATAGTAAAAATTATGCAGGCCATTTTTTTGGACTAAAATCCTATACTAGTCCCCAACAAATGAGACCAAACCAAAATGGAGTCACTCATGCTAAGTGCCACATAATCAAACTAAAATTTTTAAAGAAGCAGGTAGATCCTCAAACATACCCAGTTTTTCCCCAAAACAGGAGACTCACAGCAACCAATAGGAAAGGGCCCAGTCAATCTCAGCTGGCATAATAAGGACGTCCCCTCTGCTTTACCCTTTCAATAAAAGTAACCTGATGTTAACCAGTCTGCTTTGTTGTTGTTCTGTTTCTCTTGTTCCTTACAAAACCCACCCTTCTGTCACGCCCAGCGGGAGCTCTTATTCTATTTTATAGAATGGGATGGTACCCCAATTCATGAATTGCAAATAAAAGCCAACTGGATCTTTTAACTCTGTTCTAATTTTCCTTTTTAAACAAAAACACACAGCAAAAGTTTCTATTGGGTCTGGCATTGATTTCTTGGATAAAACACCAGAACATGGTTCACAAAAGAAAAAAAAGACAAATTTTATTTCATCAAAATTAAAAACTTGTGTAGGCCAGGCAGCTGGGGGAAGAGGATTCCTTGAGCCCAGGAGGTTGAGACTGGGGTGAGCTCGGATCACATCATCACTGCACTCCAGCCTAGGCAACAGAGCAAGACCTTGTCTCTAAATAAATAATTCTGTGTCAGAAGACACTATCAACACTGGGAAAAGGCAACCAGGGAATTGTAAAAAGTATCAGCAAATCATATATCTGGCAAGGTGTTAGTATCAAGAACATATAAAAAACTCCTATGACTCACAATAAAAATCAACCACTCCAAAGAACAAGTGTTGGCAAGAAGGTCAAGAATTTGGGGTCGGGCACAGTAGCTCACACCTGTAATCCCAGCACTTTGGGAGGCCATGGCGGACAGATCACTTGAGGTCAGGAGTTGAAGACCAGCCTGGCCAACATGGTAAAACCCCGTCTCTACTAAAAATACAAAAATTAGTCAGGTGTGGTGGCACATGCTTGAAGTCCCAGCTACTCCAGAGGCTGAGGCAGGAGAATCGCTTGAACCCAGGAGGTGGAGGTTGCAGTGAGCTGAAATCACGCCACTGCACTCCAGCCTGGCCAACAGAGCAAGACTCAGTCTCAAAAAAGAAAGAAAATATTTCAACAAAGAGTTCAGTGATCTAATTGGCTATTATTAGCGAGTCACGAATCAAGAAGCATCCCATCTATGAAACAGAAAGGCGCTCCATAAGTTTGTTGATCTAAAAGGAAGAAACTTAGGCAAAATCAATACAAATGGACAGTCTATTGGGGCCAGAGCTGAGGACTGCAAACCAGGAGTACAGATTCAAGTTGCCCTGAATATATACTCTAATTAGCAGCAGTTACACAAGGTTTTGTTGTTGTTTTTAGACAGGGTCTTACTCGGTCACCCAGGCTGGAGTGCAGTGGCGTAATCACGACTTATTGCAACCTCGACCTCCCTAGGCTCAGATGATCCTCCCACCTCAGCCTCCATAGTAACTGGGACTGCAGGTGCACACTACCACATCTGACTGTTTTATTTTTATTTTTTGAGGAAAAAAAAGGGCAGCAACTGCTTGAAATGTCATAAAGTAAACAAAAACCCTGAAGCTACCTGAGCCAACAGATTATGGCTGAGACATATGATAGACCATCTAAAGCCTGGGAAGAAAAGCTGAGGAGAAAAATTTCTTTCAGAAATTAGGATACTCAGAAAAACCCAGGTATGCTGGGGAATTGAGAATGCCCCCTTCATGTCCAGGAAAGAACGCATTTCCAGAAAAGACCTTTTCTGGGCTCAGAAGAATTCAAAAGACTTGAATTCAAAAGAATTGCTTGAACCCGGGAGGCGGAGGTTGCAGTGAGCTGAGATTGTGCCACTGCACTCCAGCCTGGGCAACAAAGCAAGACTCCGTCTCAAAAAAAAAAAAAAAAAAAAAATTCAAATCCCACTTTTCAACAAAAACAAAATCATAAAGAAGACAGAAAAATATGGCTCATCAATGGGAAAAAATTGAGATAAACCATCTTTGAGAATCTCCAGTTATTGCGCTCACTGGACGAAGACTTTAAGCAACCGCCTTAACTATGCTCAAAGTAGTAAAGACAACCATGGAGAAAGAAATAAAGAAAACTAAGAAAAGGATGCATGCAATAATATCAACAAAAAATTACAGGCGCGGTGGCTCACGCCTGCAGTCTCAGCACTTTGGGAGGCCAAGGTGGGCGGATCACAAGGTCAGGAGTTAGAGGCCAGCCTGGTCAACATGGTGAAACCCCGTCTCTACTAAAAATACACAAACATTAGCCGGGCATGGTGGCAGGCGCCTGTAATCCCAGCTACCTGGGAGGCTGAGGCAGGAGAATTGCTTGAAATCAGGAGGCGGAGGTTGCAGTGAGCTGAGATCATGCCATTGCACTCCAGCTCTGGGCGACAGGGCAAGACTCAGTCTCGGGGGGGAAAAAATACATATATATATATATATATATATATATATATATATATATATATATATAAAATTTTTTAAAAGACTACCCAGGAAGTACGGATCTGGAAGATGCAAAGCACAACTAAAATGAAAATTTCTCTATAGGTGTTCAATGGCAAATTCAAGCAAGCAAAATAAGAATCAGCTAACTTGAAGATAAAATTAACCACCTTGAAGAAAGAAAAAATAAATTTGAGAGAATGGGAACAATTGCTGGAGTTTGGTTGCACAACAAGGTGAGTATAGTTAACACTACTAAACTGTACACAAAAATGCTTAAGATGGTAGATTTTTAATTGTTTTTATAGCCACAATTAATAATAATAAATTGTTGGACATGGTGGCTCACGCCTATAATCCCAGCATTTTGGGAGGCTGAGGTGGGCACACAGCTTGAGCTCAAGAGTTCAAGATCAGCCTGGACAACATGGCAAAACCCTGTCTCTACAAAAAATACAAATATTAGCTGAGCATGGTGGCATGCCCTCTAGTCTCAGCTACACAGGAGGCTGAGGCAGGAGGATGGCTTGAACTCAGAAGGCGGAGATTGCAGTGAGCCGAGATGGCACCACTGCACTCCAGCCTGGGTAATGCAGCAAGACCCTGTCTCAAAAAATAATAATAATAATAAGTTATTGTAATAAACCAGCAAAAAACACATTGATTAGAAAATGGGCAAAATTGGCTGGGCATGCTGGAACACACCTGTAATCCCAGCTTCAGGAACCTAAGGCAGAAGGATCTTGAGCCCAGGCGTTCAAATCCAGCCTGGGCATCATAGCTCTTTCCAAAAAAAAGTGAAAATAAAAATAAATAAATAATAAATGGGCAAAGAACTTGAATGGACATTTCTCCAGGATATATACAAATGGCCAATAAGCACATACAAATATGCTCAACACCACGAATCATTAGGGACACAGATTTTACACAATGTAATTTCAAATGGCTACTCACCACTTGAATAGCTTTTGTCTCATGTAAAATATACACTGACAAAAAGATAAATCTTTAAAATTGTTATTTATTATTCTATGGAAAATTATAAATAACTAAAATATTACAGCTGCTTCAAACCTAGCATGGGGGAGACATAATTGAAGATAATGTCAACTGGAGAGGGGAAGTTGACATCTGGGATTGTGGCAAGGGAAACCAGAAACTTAGGAACTTATTTTGACCCTGATACGGTTTGGCTGTGCCCCCACCCAAATCTCATCTTAAATTGTAGTTCCCATAATCCCCACATGTTGTGGGAGGGACCCGGTGAGAGGTAATTTAATCATGGGGGCATTTCCCTCCATGCTGTTCTCATGATAGTGAGTTCTCACGAGATCTGATGGTTTCATAAGTGGCTTTTGCCACTCTTCGCTCTGCACTTCTCCTTGCTGCCACCATGTGAAGGACATGTTTGCTTTTTCCTTCCGTCATGATTAAGTTTCCTGAGGCCTTCCCAGCCATGCTAAACTGTATGTCAATTAAACCTCTTTCCTTTATAAATTATCCAGTCTCAGGTATGTATTTATTCACAGCGCAAGAATGGACTAATATAGTAAATTGGTACTGGGTAGCGGGGTGCTCTGCCGTAAAGATACCTGAAAATGTGGAAGCAACTTTGGAACTGGGGAACAGGCAAGGGTTGGAACAGTTTGGAGGACTCGGAAGAAGACAGGAGAATGTGGGAAAGTTTGGAACGTCCTAGAGACTTGGAGGGCTCAAAAGACAGGAAGATGTGGGAAAGTCTGGAACTTCCTAGAGACTCCTTGGATAGCTCTGACCAAAATGCTGGTAGTGATATGGACAATAAAGTCCAGGCTGAGGTGGTCTCAGATGGAGACGAGAAACTTGTTGGTAACTTGAAGCAAAGGTGACTCTTGTTATGTTTTAGCAAAGAGACTGGCGGCATTTTGCCCCTGCCCTAGAGATCTGTGGAACTTTGAACTTGTGAGAGATGACTTACGGTATCTGGTGGAAGAAACTGCTAAGCGGCAAAGCATTCAAGAGGTGACAGAACATTAAAGTTTGGAAAAATTGCAGCCTGACAATGGAACAGAAAAAAAAACCCAGCCAGGCGTGGTGGCTCATGCCTGTAATCCAGCACCTTGGGAGGCTGAGGCAGGCGGATAACCTGAGGTCAGGAGTTTGAGAGCAGCCTGAGCAACATAGAGAAACCCCTTCTCTACTAAATATATAGAATTAGCTGGCCGTGGTGGCACATGCCTGTAATCCCAGCTACTCGGGAGGCTGAGGCAGGAGAATCGCTTGATCCTGGGAGGTGGAGGTTGTAGTGAGCCAAGATTGCGCCATTGCACTCCAGCCTGGGCAACAAGAGTGAAACTCTGTCTCAAAAAAAAAGAAAAGAAAAGAAAAACCCATTTTCTGGGGAGAAATTCAAACCAGCTACAGAAATTTGTGAGTAACGAGAAGCCAAATGTTAATCACCAAGACAATGGAGAAAATGTCTCCAGGACACATCACAGACCTTCATGGCAGCCCCTCCCATCACAGGCCTAGAATCCTAAAAGGAAAAAATGGTTGGTTTCCTGGGCCTGGTCCAGGGCCCCTTGCTGTATGCACCCTAGGGACTTGGTTCCCTGTGCCCAGCCACTCCAGCCATTGCTAAAAGGAGGCAAGGTACAATTCGGGTCATGGCTTCGGAGGGTGCAAGCCCCAAGCCACAGCAGCTGCCATGTGGTGTTGGTCCTGTGGGTGCACAGAAGACAAGAATTGAGGTTTGGGAACCTCTGCCGAGATTTCAGAAGATGTACAAAAACGCCTGGGTGTCCAGGCAGAGGTGTGCTACAGGGGCGGAGCCCTCATGGAGAACCTCTGCTAGGGCAGCGCAGAAGAGAAATGTGGGAACTGGAGCCCCCACAGAGAGTCCCCACTGTGGCACTGCCTAGTAGAGCTGTGAGGAGAGGGCCACCATCCGTCCTCAAGAACCCCAGAATGGTCAATCCACTGACAGTTTGCACCACGCACCTGGAAAAGCCACAGACACTCAGTGCCAGCTGTGAAAGCAGCCAGGAGTGGGGGCTGTACCTTGCAAAGCCACAGGGGCAGAGGTGCCCAAGGTTGAGGGAGCCCACCTCTTGCATCAGCATGACCTGGATGTGAGACGTGGAGTCAAAGGAGATTCTTTTTTTCTTTCTTTTTTTTTTTTGAGACAGAGTCTGGCTCTATCACCCAGACTGGAGTGCAGTGGCATGATCTCGGCTCACTGGAACCTCCGCCTTCTGGGATCAAGCAATTCTCCTGCCTCAGCCTCCCGAGTAGCTGGGATTACAGGCGCGTGCCACCATGCCTAATTTTTTGTATTTTTAATACAGACAGGGTTTCACCATGTTAGCCAGGATGGTCTTGATCTCCTGACCTCATGATCCGCTTGCCTCGGCCTCCCAAAGTGCTGGGATTACAGGTGTGAGCCACCGCGCCTGGCCAAGGAGATTATGTCAAAGCTTTAAGATTTAATTACTGCCCTACTGGATTTGGGACTTGCATAGGGCCTCTAGCCCCTTTGTTTTGGCCAATTTCTCCCATTTGGAATGGGTATATTTACCCAATGACTGTATCTAGGAAGTAGCTAACTTGTTTTTGATTTTACAGGCTCATAGGCAGAAGGGACTTGCCTTGTCTCAGATGAGTTTGGACTTGTACTTTTGAGTTAATGCTGGAATGATTTAAGACTTTGGGGGACTGTTGGGAGGGCATGATTGTTTTAAAATGTGAGGATATGAGATTTGGGAGGGGCTGGGGGTGGAATGATATGGTTTGGCTGTGTCCCCACCCAAATCTCCTCTTGTAGTTCCCATAATCCCTGAATGTCATGGGAGAGAGCAAGTGGGAGATAATTTAATCATTGGGGTGGTTACCTCCATGTTGTTCTCATAATAGTGAGTTCTCATGAGATCTGGTTTTATAATGGGCTTCCCCCACCTTTCCCCCACCTTTAGTCTGCACTTCTCCTTGCTGCTGCCATGTGAAGAAGGACATGTTTGCTTCCCTTCCACCATACTTGTAAGTTTCCTGAGGCCTCCCCAGCCATACTGACCTGTCAATGAAATCTCTTTCCTTTATAAATTACCCAGTCTTGGGTATGTCTTTATTAGCAGCATGAAAACAGACTAATACAGAGCCCTGGGAAAAACTAGGCTGAAGAGGCTGGGCACGGTGGCTCATGAGGTCAGGAGTTCAAGACCACCCTGGCCAAGATGGTGAAACCTTGTCTCTACTAAAAATACAAAAAAAAATTAGTCAGGCCTGGTGGTGGGCACCTGTAACCCCAGCTACTTGGGAGGCTGAGGCAGAGAATTGCTTGAACCTGGGAGGCAGAGGTTGCAGTGAGCCATGATCGCACCACTGCACTCCAGCCTGGGTGACAGAGCAAGACTCCATCTCAAAAAAAAAAAAAAAAAAAAAGAAAGAAAGAAAAACTAGGCTGAAGAGGTCTCAAGTACTCCTTCCTTCACCAAACTTGAGTCAAGCTCCTCAGAGCCCTCTTTTTGACTAGGGCTTGGCACTGGCCTGCAGAAGTCAGTTTCAGCAAGAATCCATCTAAGGTAGTTTATAGAGACTCCTCCTACCTTAATATCCAATCAAGTTCTTTTTCTCCCACCTATGAGACCCAACCAAGTTCCATTCTCTCCCTCACCTTGTACATTGGCTATAAATCCAATAATATTCCTGCTGCATTCAAGGCTGAATTCAATCTCCCTCCCCTATTACAGCTGTCATGACTCACTGCAATTGTGCTTAATAAACTTTTCCTTGACATTCTTAACAAGTTTCCAGTGCAATCTCTCTTTAACAGGGAACAAGGCTGTAAACTTGAGACCCTGGTTCATTTATCTGAAATGCATAGGGGATGACAGGCTCCCTCCCACTGGGGATGAAGGAGCTGGGAACCACACATGCCATTCTGCTGGGCCCACCCAAGTCTGAATCCATGGAGGGGGAGGGTGTCCTGAGAGTACCTCCCACCCACAAACCCAAAACACCAGGCTCAGATTTCTCTCTGGATGGCCACTCCCTGTTGTCACCCCATGATCTGGGTGAGATCCAGGATTGCAGGTGCACAACTGCCCAGAGAGAGGTCCAGGAGGTAGACTGCCTCCTACAGTGATGGGACAGGATACCTGGGAGTCCTGGCTGCCAATTCAGCCCCCACCCTGATGGAGTGTGATGGAGGGGACTGAGACTCAGGCTGCTTCTGGATAAGATGCCCCACCAGACACAGGATTTGCAAGTCGTTCTTCCACTTGGTGAATTATCTTTTCAAGTTCTTGGTGTCCTTTGAAGAACAAAAATTACCAATTTTGATGAAGTGTAAACTTTAGTTAGTAACATATTGGCTCACCAATTCTGATCATCATCATATATGATATATTGGTTCATCAATTATATGATATATATGATATCATATTTACGTACTTTGGGAGGCCAGGATGGGAGAATCACTTGAGCCAGGAGTTAGAGATCAGCCTGGACAACATAGTGAGACCCCCATCTACCAAAAAAAAAAAAAATTAGCCAGATGTGGTGGTGCACACCTGTGGTCCCAGCTACTTGGGAGGCTGAGGCGGCAGGATCACTTGAGCCCTGGAGGTCTAGCCTGCAGTGAGCAGTGATCGCACCACTGCACTCAAGCCTGGGTGACAGAGCAAGACTTCGTCTCTTAAAAAAAAAGAAAAGTAGGGGAAAACAATCACCTGTGGAGGAGAATAAGGAAACTCTAAGTATTATCTGTTCAATTTTTCTGTCAAACTACAACCGGTCTAAAAAATAAAGTTTATTAAGTAAAATAGTGAATAAAATACCATTTCATGGAAGATTCACAGCTATGTGAAATAGACAGATGGCATACAATATAACATATAGGATGATATCACTTCCACAAAAAACAGACAAAAATAAGGCCGGGCGTAGTGGCTCACACCTATAATCCCAACACTTTGGGAGGCATAGCTGGGTGGACTGCTTGAGCCCAGGAGTTCAAGACCAGCTTAGACAGCATGGCAAAACCCCGCCTCCACAAAAAAAAAAAATACAAAAATTAGCTGGTGTGGTACTGTGCACCTGTAGTCCTAGCTTGTTGGGAGACTGAGGTGGGAGAATCACTTGAGCCCGGAGGCAGAGGTTGCGGTGAGCCAAGAGCGCCACTGCACTCCAGCCTGGGCTACACAGTGAGACTCCATCTCAAAAAAAAAAAAAAAAAAGGCTAAGAATAGCCAAGATGTCGTACAAAATACAGTTAGGATTGTTAACAGACTGAATGTTTGTATTCCACCACCATCCCCTGCCCAAACTTTCATTTGCTGAAATCCTAACCCCCAAACTAAATGCAGAAACCAGCATGCGTGAAACAAACAGGCAAAGAAACCAAAAAAAAACTCTTTTTGGCATAATATTAATGGTAATAACTTACTAAAAATTCAAAAGAGGAAGAGCCAAGCAAAATTCAGCCTAATGATAAATAGATGGTAAAACTATGAAGAACCACCTTTTAAAAATGAGGACCTGGTCACCTGTGGGTACAGACGGGAGACAAGATCAGGACATACCAGAAATGCCCAATGCCCATTTATGAACCTGGGTAGTGAGTCCACAGGTGTTTCACACAACCCACTCTCCTCTCCTCACAGTGTGGAAATGCTCCCTCCTCCAGGGTCTCAATTCTCACCAGCGAACACTTACCCAGAGCCAGGTGAAGGTTCTGATCTCTAGTGTCTTTTTTCATATACCATTTCTGACACCAAATGTGTGGTGTTTGCTGAACACAACCAAATCTCCAATTCTCCAACACCAATTAAGCATTCAAATCAATTCTGACACTACCCAGAGTTAACGGGGACCCCACAAGTTCAGGGCTCATTACCATAACAGTGCCCCACTGCAGATGCCAGTCACAAGCCCCAGGGATCACCCATACTTCTCAGCAACTGCATATAAATCAGAAATGGCGAAATGGAAGGGATGGATGTAAGGGAAAATGGCGGCAGAAGATTGGGCAGGTATGTAATCCTGGAAATAGCTATGGTTAAAGAAACTCCCCCGTCTTTTGTATTCTGCAGGAGCAGGTTACGCAAAGAAACACTCTTCTCATTATGACTTAGATGACACTGCTTTTTTACCTATGACAAAGCCATACACAGACTAGAAATTCCCTTTATTTTCCTCACAATTGATTAGCTGAACAGCTCTGTCTTCAGTGATCAGTCAGAACAAAGTACCTGTTAACAAAACTTTGGTTAAGTTTCTCTTCTTCCTCCAGCCCCTGAACTTTGACCCACCCCCAGCCTGAGCCTATATACAACCCCTCTGATGACCCTCCTAAGAAGAGACTGCCTTCAGGATCTAGGTGGGATTTTGCACCCTGCATCCTGCCTTCCACCTCCCACCTTCTTTCTCATCATTTGCTCCTCCCTACAAAAGAAAATCCTTTTCTGCATAAACTCTGAGATGCTTGCAGATTTTTTTTTTTTTTTTTTTTTTTTTGAGACAGAGTCTCACTCTGTCGCCCAGGCTGGAGTGCAGTGGCGCGATCTCGGCTCACTGCAACCTCTGCCTCCTGAGTTCAAGCGATTCTCCTGCCTCAGCCTCCCGAGTAGTTGGGATTACAGGCACGCACCACCATGCCCGGCTAATTTTTGTATTTTTAGTAGAGATGGGGTTTCACTATGTTGGTCAGGCTGGTCTCAAACTCCTAACATTGTGATCCACCCACCTCGGCCTCCCAAAGTGCATGGATTACAGACGTGAGCCACCACGCCCAGCCTGAGATGCTTGAAGATTTTATACTTGGTGCCTTCTCCCCTTTCGATTATCCTTTAGAATAGTCATTCCTGTCTGGTGTGGTGGTGCTCCCCGCCCCACCCCCATAATCCTGGAATTTGGGGAGGCTACGGTGGGAGGATTGCTCGAGGCCAGGAGTTAGAGACCAGTCTGGGCAACATAACAACGTCCTGTCTCTCTTAAAAAAACTTTTTTAAAAATATAAGCCAGGCATCATGGCACATGCCTTTAGTCCTAGGTACTTGGGAGGCTGATGTGAGAGAATTCCTTGAGCCCAGGAGATCAAGGCTACAGTGAGCTATGATCGCACCACTGCACTCCAGCCTAGGAGACAGAGTGAGACCCTGTCACACACAAAAAAAATAAATAAATAAAAATAAAATAAATCACTCCTTACCTAAATCCAGATTTGTTTCATTAGAAACGTCTACAAACAGACCCAAGATAATAGCAAGTACATTCTCAGAAAGGCATCACCTCAACCACCTCTGCCTATGAATCCCCAGCTTTCCAGGGCTCTGAGCTTCTCTCACTATAAAGGGCTCCACCCAAAGTCAGTTGTGAGCAGCTGGGACACTGCAGGGGAGGCTCCTCAGCAAGAACCACTGGGCCTGTAATGTCCTCTCTTTGAAGGCTCAAGATTGGTCTTAGTTTCAAGTCACTAGTCTGCTGTCTCTGTTTCCCAGTCAAGGTTATGCATTTAATTTTCAATGAGAAAATACCCAGGGTTTGAAGATTCCAGTAAAATCACTCAAATTCACTGTTTATAGCAAGGAAGGAAATTGTAAGGCACTTATATTTCATACCTTAACAGGAAAAGTAAAAGTATCCATCCTCTTCAGACAATAAACATGTTATTTATTCTTTCTATGGTAACAAATCATGTACTAAATCATATTGGAACACTTCTAGGAGTTACCAAGTCCTGTCCTACTAGGACTTCGCATTAAACTCTGATGTCTAGATAACAGGAAGAGAACAGTTATCCACTGTCACAAGTTTGCCACCCTGCAAAGCAGAGGAATTGATGTTTTGGTGAATCTCTGTAATTCACCAATTTATTTGCTACACTTACTTGTGGAAATGTATTCATTTTCTGCAGTCATGATAGAAGAGAGTTTTCTCTCTCTCTTTTCCTTAGTATTCCCAACACTAAGCCCTGGAATTCCATTTTAAATCACCACACCCCACCCCCACAAAAAAAAACAACATACTTGAGAAACTTACTACACTTGCTTTGGGAAAGAAAAAAATAATAATTTTTTTTTTGAGATGGAGTCTTGCTCTGTTGCCCAGGCTGCAGTGCAGTGGCGCAATCATGGATCACTGCAAGCTCCGCCTCCCAGGTTCATGCCATTCTCCTGCCTCAGCCTCCCAAGTAGCTGGCACTACAGGCACCCGCCACCATGCCCAGCTAATTTTTTGTGTTTTTAGTAGAGACAGGGTTTCACTGTGTTAGCCAGGATGGTCTCGATCTCCTGACCTCGTGATCTGCCTGCCTCAGCCTCCCAAAGTGCTGGGATTACATGCGTGAGCCATCGCGCCCAGCCATAAGTAATAATTTTTAACAAACATAAGACTAGATATTTAATGTTTTCTGAAATCCACTTCCTTCTTGCCTCTTTGCAAAACTGTCTTATATTTCAAGGTCTACTGATGAAATACATTTATAGTTACTTAAAAAAGAAAAAAACTGAAACTGCAATAAGTGAACAAATCTTTTGCAGGGGACAAACCCAGGAAGGGGCTGCGCTAACCTGGAACAGAGGTACGTCTGACTCAAGTTTCACATCTTTTTTTTTGAGACAGAGTCTCGCTCTGTCACCCAGGCTGGGGTGCAGTGGTGTGATCTCGGTTCACTGCAACCTTTGCCTCCCACGTTAAAGCGATTCTCATGCCTCAGCCTCCCCAGTAGCTGAGATTAGAGGCACCTGCCACCACACCCAGCTAATTTTTGTATTTTTTAGTAGAGACAGGGTTTCGCCATGTTGGCCGGGCTGGTCTCGAACTCATGGCCTCAAGTGATCCGCCCACCTCAGCTTCCCAAAGTGCTGGGATTACAGGTGTGAGCCACCGCGCCCGGCCTAAGTCAGGTCATTCTATCACCTGGGATATCGTCCACCCCCTAACCTGCTCACTGAAGGGCTCAGTGACCACCCTTCCAAGAGACACTGCATTTTGCCTCCATCTGCCTGAAGTACATTTTGCTTTTCAAGTTCTTGCATCACCTCAGTGGGATGGGTTTTCCTGTCCTTGGGATAAGTTTTCTCACTTCACCAGTCTAAAAGAATCCAGAGGGCAAGAATCATATCTGTTTTTCCCCTCAATACCATCATCCATTTGGCTGGACACCAATGTGTCCCCCAAGGAATGGGATCTGGAATTAGGGGAAGAAAAGCTGAGTGTCCCAGGGGTGAGCTTTGAGAGGGAGGGGATATCAAGAGATTCCTCCGACCCCAGGACACCCAGCTCCTCCACTAAGAGGCCCCACCCCGTACTTCAGGCTGTCCAGTGGGAGCAGGCTGATACCAGACCCTTCAACAGATCTGGCTGCTGTGGGCATCCTGTGTCAGCCCAAACAGCCCTGAAGCCCAGGACCAGGAAAGGAGGATGCTCTGAAGACATATCACAGTTTAAAGTTTCCAAAGGGGAACCCCAACCCAAAGACACTGTTTTTTGTTTTTTTTATTTTAGGGTCCGGGTCTCACTATGTTGCTCAGGCTGGTCTCAAACTCCTGGCCTCAGGTGATCCTCCCGCCTTGGCCTCCCAAAGTGTTGGGATTACAGACATGAGCCATGGCACCAGGCCAACCAAAAGACATTCTGAGAACATCCCTGTGCCTAGGAGAGAGAAAAGGAGAAGAGGCACAAAGGTTTTTTCACAGCAGGGTCTCATACATGTATTCTCTGCTTTCCTCTCCTGTGAAATGTTCAGAAACAGAAAGCAAATATTTTTAAAAGACCAATCGATTGCTCCTTGAAAAAATAATACAAATTAATTAGTTTGAAATGTGCAATAAAGGACAAAGAGTTGATAATGTCGTGACTGGAGTTACCTTTTGGGAATATGGTGAAAGAAGTGGTATCAAGAATTATTTGCAAGCGCCAGAGGAGTCAGGCTAGGGGAACAAGGTCAAGGATTTGGGACCCTGTCCCCCTGGGGAGTGTTAAAATAATTAATTTGGAGACAATTAGAGGGCTGTGGCTATGGTGTCCTGGTTTCCTACCCAAGGAAACAGAAATCTAAGTCGAATGAAATTCTTTTATTTGATTTTATATTTTAAAAATTTGTAGTAGTTTTTTGGTCTCAGTCTGAATATGTTCATTTAAAAAAAATTAACAGAGATGGGGTCTCGCTATATTGCGAGGCTGATCTTCAACTCCTGGGCCCAAGCGATCCTCCTGTCTTGGCCTCCAAAAGCGCTGCGATTACAGGCGTGAGCCACCGCGCTCCAGCCTCAAATGAAATTCTTATAAATTACCAGTTTATAAGGAAATAAAATTTAGGGTTAATAAACCACAACCACCAATCCACCTCTGACTACATAAGCAGAAAATGTCCACCTAGATAGAGCAAATAAGGCGACTGCATAACTGTCACCAACCAAGTACTGAATTTGGTTCGCTTCCTCCTGCACCTTACAGCCTTTCCTTCCATTCCCTCCAACGGATCCCCAAGCCACAAACCACGACCGGGAGCTTCTCCATCGATGAGCCGCTGTTTGCTCAAATAAACTCTAAATTTTTAACGGGAGAAAGGCGGGACTGTGGGGGGCGGCCACAGACCGCAGCTCCTGCAACACGAACCACATCCGAGGAGGGATACCCCCATGACCCTCCCGCGGCCCCCGCACCATGTGGGGAGACGCGGGGCTGCGGGGCCGCAGGCGTCGCGCAGGGACGGGACAGGACGACCGGGGTCCCAGCTCCTGGCCCAGCCCCACCTTGCGGCCGAGGGAACTCGGGTCCCAGACCCCGGAGTCGCCGCAGGGAGGCCTAGGTCCCTCCACAGCCGGTTCCGGCCGGTTCCAACCAGCCCCTCCCCCAGGTCTGGGGACGCCTGACCCCTCACACGCACCATTTCTCGGCTTCCAGGTGTCCCGGCGTCCTCCCTACGACTCCCGCGACCTGTACAGGTCACGGCGCGACAGAGGCTGCGGCGGAGACACCTTGGGCCTCTCGGAGAAACGGAGACGCGAGCCCGGGTGGGGACGGTCGCCAGAAACAAAGGCTCCGTAGGGAGGCGCAGGCCCTGCCCTCCTCTCCCGGGCCCATCTGAATGGACAGTTGGCAGGGCCCCGCCCCAGCGCCCCTGATTGGATAGGGTGACATACCCCGCCCCCTAAGGCCTGAGTGACGTAGGAAGCCATGGAAACGTGGCTGTGCGTAGCAGTGTTGACTGGTTCTAGCCACTGCGCCTCTCAGGCCGAGTTTCCTCCCTGCACCCAGCCCGAGGGATATTTGAGGGTTTGTTTTGGTTTTTTTTTTTTTTTTTTTTTGAGACGGAGTTTCGCTTTTGTCGCCCAGGCTGGAGTGCAGTGGCGCGATCTCAGCTCACTGCAATCTCTGCCTCCCGGGTTCAAGCGATTCTCGTGCCTCAGCCTCCCGAGTAGCTGAATTACAGGCACCCGCCACCACGCCTGGCTAATTTTTGTATTTTTCGTAGAGACGGGGTTTCGCCATGTTACCGAGGCTGGTCTCTAACTCCTGACCTCAAGTGATACGCCCACCTCAGCCTCCCAAAGTGCTGGGATTACAGGCGTGAGCCACCACGCGTGGCCTTGTTTTGGTTTCCTTCCTTCCTTCCTTCCTTCCTTCCTTCCTTCCTTCCTTCCTTCCATCCTCCCTCCCTCCCTCCTTTCTTTTTTTTCTTTCAGGGTCTTGCTCTGTCACCCAGGCTGGACTGCAGTGGCATGATCTCGGCTCACTCCAGCCCCAATCTCCCGGGCTCAAACGATCCTCCTGCCTCAGCCTCCCTAGTAGCTGGGACCAAAGTCACGCCCCACCACACTCTGCTAATTTTATTTTGTTGTTGGTGCTGTGTGTGTGACGGGGGTGGGGTGGGTTAGATGGGGTCTCACTATGTTGACCAGGCTGGTCGTGAATTCCTGGGCTCAAGTGATCCTCCTGCCTAGGCCTCCCCAGGTGCTGGGATTACAAATGTGAGCCACCGTGCCCGGCCAATATTTGCATTTAATGCAGAGCTTGCTTCTAGCTTGCCAGAGTAGGCACTGTCTTCTTCTGGCACTCCATGAGCTCTTCCTTCTAATTCCTTCCGGACACAAGGTCACCAGTATGTGCAGGGAACTCCACACTCACTGTGACATGGAGCAATCGCCTTGCCTCAGAACGGGAGGGAGCCCAGGCTAGGCCAGGGAGGACAGGAAGAGGAGGAAGGGCCTGATGTTCCGGGAAACGGGCATTTGGGATGAGGCGTGCCAAGGCTTCCTCCCATACCCTCCGGTCCCTGAAAAAACATCTATACGTGGAAAAAAAAGTAGAAATAACTGAGGTGAGAGGAAGGATGCTCTCTGATGAAGTGATGTGGGATGAGACCCAAAGTAATGTATTAGTATTAAAAGGCAGGTTGGGCTGGGTGCGATGGAGCACGCCTGTAATCTAGCACTTTGGGAGGCCGAGGCAGGCGGATCACCTGAGGTCGGGAGTTCGGAACATGGAGAAACCCCATCTCTACTAAAAATACAAAATTAGGCCAGGCGCCGTGGCTCATGCCTGTAATCCCAGCACTTTGGGAGGCCGAGGCGGGCAGATCACGAGGTCTGGAGATCGAGACCATCCTGGCTAACACGGTGAAACCCCATCTCTACTAAAAATACAAAAAATTAGCCGGGCGTGGCAGTGGGCGCCTGTAGTCCCAGCTACTCGGGAGGCTGAGGCAGGAGAATGGCGTGAACCTGGGAGGCGGAACTTGTAGTGAGCCGAGATGGCGCCACTGCGCTCCAGACTGGGAGAGAGAGCGAGATTCCGTCTCAAAAATAAATAAATAAATAAAATAAAATAAATAAATAAATAAAAATACAAAATTAGCCGGGCCTGGTGGCACATGCCTGTAATCCCAGCTACTCGGGAGGCTGAGGCAGGAGAATCGCTTGAATCGGGGAGGTGGAGGTTGCGGTGAGCCAAGATCACACCATTGCACTTTAGCCTGGTCAACAAGAGAGAAACTGTCTCAAAAAAAAAGGCAGGTTAAGCTGGGCACAGTGGCTCATGCCTGTAATCCCAGCACTTTGGGAGGCTGAGGCAGGAGGATAACGAGGTCAGGAGTTTGAGACCAGCCTGGCCAATATAGTGAAACCCCGTCTCTACTAAAAATACAAAAAATTATTGAACCTGGGAGGTGGAGGTTGCAGTGAGCTGAGATCGTGCCACTGCACATCAGCCTGGGCGACAGAGCAAGACTTTGCCTGAAAAAAAAAAAAAAGGCAGGTTGGAGGATTCAGGGAAGATGGCAGAATAAAAATCATAAAGAATCTATGGCCAGGCATGGTGGCTCATGCCTGTAATCCCAGCAGTTTAGGAGGTCAAGGCAGGAGGATCAGTTGAGCCCGGGAGTTTGAAACCAGCCTGGGCAACATAGTGAGACCAACCCCTAACCCCATTTAAAAAATATGAAAATTAGCCAGGGGCTGAGCACAGTGGCTCATGCCTCCAATCCTAGCACTTTGGGAGGCCAAGACGGGAGGATTGCTTGAGCCTAGCAGTTTGAAACCAGTCTGGGCCACATAGTAAACCCTCCCACCCCATCTCTACAAAAAAATACAAAAATTGGCCGGGTGCAGTGACTCATGCCTGTAATCCCAGCACTTTGGGAGGCCGAGGCAGGCGGATCAGGAGGTCAGGAGATTGAGACCATCCTGGCTAACACGGTGAAGCCCCGTCTCTACTAAAACTACAAAAAATTAGCCAGGCGTGGTGGGGGATATAAAGAGCTGATGCCTTTTATTTTTTTCCCTTTGTCAACCTAAAATAATCGAAAGGCTCAAGATCCAGTTAAAATAGTTTATTCAAGGCCAGGCACAGTGGCTCATATCTATAATCCCAGCATTTTGGGAGGTCAAGGCTGGAGGACGGCTTGAGCACAGGAGTTTGAGACCCGCCTGGACCATATAGTGAGACCCTGTCTCTCAAAAAAATATATTGTTTTTAATAAGCTGGGCATGATAGGGTGCACCTGTAGTCCCAGCTACTCGGGGGGCTAGGACGGGAGGATCACTTGATCTCAGGAAATCGAGGTTGCAGTAAGCTATGATGGCACCACTGCACTCCAGCCTAGATGACAGAGACCTTGTCTCAAAAAAAAAAAAAAAAAAGAGTTTATTCAAACACAGAGTACAAGGGTGGCCATCAGGGACATGCTGACACCGAAGAATAGTGATCAATGATCCCAGTGTGGGGAAAAGTGAAAATTGTCTATATAGGCAAAAACAGAGGTGCTGAACAGAAATACATTTCCATACAGATGTTAATATACAGACATAAGATTTGAGGCTGGGTGCCGTGGATCACACCTGTAATCCCAACACTTTGGAAGACCTAGGTAGGTGGATCACCTGACGTCAGGGGTTCAAGACCAACCTGGCCAACATAGTGAAAATCTGTCTCTATTAAAAATACAAAAAGTAGCTGGGCATAGTGACACATGCCTGTAATCCCAGCTACTCAGGAGGCTGAGGCACGAGAATGGCTTGAATCCAGGAAGTAGATGTTGCAGTGAGCCAAGATCATGCCACTGCACTCCAGCCTGGGTGACAGAGCAAGACTCTGTCTCAAAATAAAAAAAAAAATTAAAATAAAAAAAAAAACAGATGTGATTGACTACTGTTGATTACACTCTATGGGGGTTGCTTAACATTCTATTGTAAAGCGGTAACAGTCGCAAGGGTATACATATCCTACATCATTTAGTATAGGTTTGAATGAAGAACAAGGAGTCTGATGGCTACAGTCTCAAAACAAAGGTAAGGAAGCATCAGTCATGCATCAGAGAAGCTGTATTATAAGACTCAGTTTCTAGGACTTAAGTGCTTAATTTTCCCCTTCGCATAATGAATTTGGAAGGTATTGATTTTTTTCTTTTTTTTTTTTTTTTTTAAGACAAGGTCTTGCTCTGTCACCCAGGATAGCGTGCAGTGGTGCTATTATAGCTCACTGCAGCATCGATCTCCTGGGATCAAGCAATCCCCCCACCTCAGCCTCCCGAGTAACTGGGACCACAGGCAAGTGCCACCATACGCGGATAATATTTTTTTAGGTTTAGTAGAGACAATGTCTCGCTATGTTGCCCAGGCTGGTCTAGGACTCCTGAACTCAAGCGATTTTCGCACCTCAGCCCCTCAAAGTGCTGGGATTATAGGCAAGAGCTACCTCGCTCAGCCGAAATTTTATTTTCTTTTTGCACTTTTGTTATTTTATTTTTCTCTTGGGACCCAGACATTGACAATTAGGTCATTCAAAGGCAGCCACAGAGGAAATTACAGTTACCACAGAGGCCCAGAAAAAAAGAATTAAGAAAAGACCGGCCAGGCACGGTGCCTCATGCTTATAATCCCAGCACTTTGGGAGGCCGAGGTGTGTGGATCATTTGAGGTCAGGAGTTCAAGACCAGCCTGGCCAATATGGTGAAACCCCATCTCTACTAAAAATACTAAAATTAGCCGCATGTGGTGGAGCATGCCTGTAATCCCAGCTACTCAGGAGGCTGAGGCAGGAGAATTGCTTGATCCTGGGAGACGGAGGTTGCAGTGAGCTGAGATCGCACCACTGCACTCCAGCCTGGGTGACAGAGCGAGACTCTGTCTCAAAAAGAAAAAAAGAAAGCCGGGGATGGTGGCTCATGCCTGTAATCCCAGCACTTTGGGAGGCCGAGGCAGGCAGGTCACCTGAGGTTGGGAGTTCCGGACCAGCCTGACCAACATGGAGAAACCCTGTCTCTACTAAAAATACAAAATTAGCTGTGCATGGTGGTACATGCCTGTAATCCCAGCTACTTGGGAGGCTGAGGCAGGAGAATCGCTCGAACTCGGGAGGTGGAGGTTGCAGTGAGCTGAGATCACGCCACTGCACTCCAGCCTGGGCAACAAGAGCGAGATGCTTTCTCAAGAAAAGTAATAAAAATAATTATATTTCTATGATATTGGGCACTCAATATATAAAGATGTGATTTGTGACATTAACAACATAAAAGAGCCGGGGGCGGTGGCTCACGCCAGTAATCCTAGCACTTTGGGAGTCCAGGCAAGAGGATCGCTTGAGCTCAGGAGTTCAAGACCAGCCTGGGCAACATAGTGAGACCTTATCTCTATGGAAAAATTAACAAATTAGCCAGTCATGGTGGTGGGCACCTATGGTCCTAACTACTTGGGAGGCTGAGGTGGAAGGATTGTTTGAGCCCGGAAGGTCCAGGCTACAGTAAGCCGTGATCACGCCACTGCACTCCAGATTAGGTCACAGAGTGAGATCCTACCTCAAATAAATAAGTAAATAAAAATTTTAAAAAATAACATAAAAGAAGAGGAAACTATAAAAATAGAGTATCTGGGCCAGGCGTGGTGGCTCACGCCTGTAATTCCAGCACTTTGGGAGGCCGAGGTAGGCGGATTGCCTGAGGTCGGGAGTTTGAGACCAGCCTGACCAACATGGAGAAACCCTGTCTCTACTAAAAATACAAAATTAGCCAGGCGTAATGGCGCACACCTGTAATCCCAGCTACTCAGGAGGCTGAGGCAGGAGAATCGCTTGAACCCAGGAGGCAGAGGTTGCGGTGAGCCGAGATCACACCACTGCACTCCAGCCTGAGCAACAAGAGCGAAACTCCGTCTCAAAAAAAAAAAAAAAAAAAAAGAAAAGAAAAAAGGAAATAGAGTATGTTTATACCATAACCAGGCATAATGGCACATGCATGTAGTCTCAGCTACTTGGGAGGCTGAAACAGGAGGATTACTTGAGCCCAGGAGTTCAAATCTAAGCTTGGGCAACATAGCAAGACTAGTTCTCAATTAATAGAATAGAATATTTCTATGCTATTGAAGTTAAATAGGTATCATTTAAACCTTTGCTGGGAACAGTGGCCCATGTCTGTAATCCCAGCACTTTGGGAGGCTGAGGCGAGAGGATCACTCGAGCTCAGCAGTTCAAGAGCTCAGGCAACATAGTAAGACCTTGTCTGTACAAAAATTTTTTTTAAAAATTAGCCAGGGATGGTGGCCCTTACCTATAGTCCCACATACTCGGGAGGCTGAGGTGAGAGGATTGCTTGAGCCCAGGAGGTTGATGCTGCAGTGAGCCATGATCACACCACTGCACTCCAGCCTGGGTGACAGATAAGGCTCTGTCTCAAAATAAAATAAAATAAAGTTATATTATTATAACTTAGAATGTCAAATGTAATCCCCATAGTAACCATAAAGAAAATATCTATAGAAAATACACGAAAGGAAATAAGAGAATCAAAAAGTCTCATTACAAAAAGTCAAGTAAACAGAAAAGAAGGCAGTAATGGAAGAAATAAAGAACAAAAAAGCTCCAAGACACACAGAACACAAATGGTAAAATGGCTGAAGTTGGGCCTTCCACCTCAGGAATTCCTTTAAATTGAAATGGGTTAAACTTTCCAATCAAAAAACAGAGATAGGCAGAATAGATGTTTAAAATATGATCCAAGCCAGACACAGTGGTGCCTCCCTGTAGTCCCAGTTTAGGGGATTGAAGTGACAAGATTGCTTGAGGCTATTGAGGCGGGGCACATTGGCTCATGCCTGTAATCCCAGCACTTTGGGAGGCTGATACCTGAGGTCAGGAGTTTGAGACCAGCGTGGCCAACATGGTGAAACCCCATCTCTACAAAAGATACAAAAATTAGCCCGGTGTGGTGGCGGGCACCTGTAATCCCAGCTACTCGGGAGGCTGAGGCAGGAGAATCGCTTGAACCCAGGAGGCGGAGGTTGCAGTGAGCGAAGACTATGCCATTACATTCCAGACTGGGCAACAAGAGGGAAATTGTCTCAAAAAAATAAAAATAAAAATAAATAAAATAAAAAATAAAAACAACCTTGAGACAAATATGAAAATCCAACATATCAAAATGTATGGAATGCAGAGAAAGCAGTGCTAGAAGGAAAAATTTATAGCTGTAAATACATTCATTGAAAAAGAAGAAGCCTGGGCAACATGGCCAAACCCTGTCTCTACAAAAAATACAAAAATTAGCTAGGTATGGTGGTGCACGCCTATAGTCCCAGCTACTGGGGAGGCTGAGGTAGGAGGATCGCTTGAGCTTGAGAGGTCGAGGTCACAGTGAGCAGATGGTGCCACTGCAGTCTAGCCTGGGCAACAGAGTGAGACCCTATCTCAAAAAAAAAAAAAAAAAAAAAAAAAGAACTCAATAAAACATATGTATTCATGGCCTGGCATGGTGGCTTACAACTGTAATCCCAGCACTTTGGGAGGCCGAGGCAGGAGGATCACCTGAGGTCAGGAGTTTGAGACCAGCCTGGCCAACATGGCAAAATCCCATCTCTACTAAAAATACAAAAGAAACAAAACAAAACAACAACAACAACAACAAAACATATGTATTCCTTCCTGCGGATCATGAATACTGAAATAATTGGGGGTACCGGCTGGGCGTGGTGGCTCACGTCTGTAATCCCAGCACTTTGGGAGGCCGAAGCAGGCAGATGACCTGAAGTCAAGAGTTTGAGACCAGCCTGGCAAACATGGGGAAACCCCGTCTCTACTAAAAATACAAAAAGTAGCTGGGCGTGGTGCCGGGGGCCTGTAATCCCAGCTACTTGGGAGACTGAGACAGGGGAATCGCTTGAACCCGGGAGGCAGAGGCTACAGTGAGCCGAAATTGCGTTACTGCACTTCAGCCTGGACTCCATCTCAAAAAAATAATAAATAATTGAGGATGGTGAACAAAACCTTGGGTGGAGAGAAATGGGTGCCTAGTAATAACGGGATTAGAGGAACGAGTGTCCATTGGTGTTGTTGACTGTGAGGTGGGTCGTTGTGGAGTTCACAGCTGAGGGAGATCTGTGTGGGGCTCCTTCCTGCCCTGGCTATGGCTTACTCCAGCCGGTCCCCGCATCCTCCCGTGCCCGCTGACAGCCTTGCTGCAGGAGGGGCACCAGAACTTCTCAGCCTGCTACTCCCAAGCAGTTCAGCGGTACCCAGGATAGAAGGACCAGGAGCTGGAGTGGATAAGTCAGGTAACCATGGAATCAGTGGGCACCGGCTGGGATGAAAAGGAGGACAGGGGTTAGGTGGGGCTTGGGTGGGGTTTTCCTCCTTGCCATCCAACTGGCTCAGCAATGGCTGAGGCAAGGAAGTCACCATTTGCTTTCACTTGATGGTGGAGACGATGGATGTTTTTACTCTGGGGGCTAGAGCTGGTGGATATCTGAGAGGATGTGGGGAGGGGTTGGGGGAGCATGATGGGGTCTAGAGAGTAACGGGAATGTTTGATCACGAGGATCAAACATTCAAACATTCAAATGATCAAACGTTCAAATCATTGAGGAAAGAGGTGGGAGTTAGGTAATATAAAGACCAACTCCTGGCCGGGCGCGGTGGCTCACGCCTGTAATCCCAGCACTTTGGGAGGCCGAGGCGGGCGGATCAAGAGGTCAGGAGATCGAGAGCAACCTGGCTAACACGGTGAAATCCCGTCTCTACTAAAAATACAAAAAATTAGCCGGGCGTGGTGGCGGGCACCTGTAGTCCCAGCTACTTGGGAGGCTGAGGCAGGAGAATGGCGTGAACCCGGGAGGCGGAGCTTGCAGTGAGCCGAGATAGCGCCACTGCACTCCAGCCTGGGTGACAGACTGAGACTCCATCTCAAAAAAAAAAAAAAAAAAGAAAGAAACCAACTCCTTGGCATGACAGACCCCACCTCACCTCTCCCGATTTGGGATTTTGTTTGTTTGTTTGTTTTGGTGGAATCTCGCTCTGTCGCCCAGGCTGGAGTGCAGTGGCACGATCTTGGCTCACTGCAACCTCCACCCCCTGGGTTCAAGCATTCTCCTGCCTCAGTCTCCCGAGTAGCTGGGCTTACAGGCGCCCGCCACCACACCTGGCTAATTTTTTATATTTTGGTATAGACGAGGTTTCACCATGTTAGGCAGGCTAGTCTCGAACTCCTGGCCTCAAGTGATCCACCCGCCTCGGCCTCCCGAAGTGCTGGGATTACAGGTGTGAGCCACTGAGCCCAGCCCCATTTGAGATTATTGACCCACCTGGAACCTAGCCAGACTGAACTGGTGGCAGCAAACTACAACAGTGAACAGCTACATTTACATCATGCCACCCTCCAAACCACCAGCCTGACCCTCCACAGCTCATCCTGCCCTCCCATTCTCCAGACTGAAAATCAGTCCCTTAGCCTGTGCGAGCCCCACCAAATCCATAATTCCACCTCCCGTGCACTGAGGCAGGCATGGGGGTAGCCAGTCACCAGGACACCTTCACACCCATGCAGCTGAACTGTGCTGACTGATAGCGCCAAGGAGCTCATGGCGAGTGAGGCAGAGCCCCATCCAAGCCAGGGTCCTCTTTCCAGGCTTTTACCCAGTGCCTACTCAGAACTGCCTATAGATCCCCTCCTCTGAGAATCTCACCAGAGCAGACACGGTTTGCAATTTCCTGGGAATCCGGCTGCTCATCATGTTATCCTACAAACATTCCAGTCCCAGCATACCTCACTCATCCCACCCCTGGAATTTTCTCTGGGGCAGTCTCTGGCTGGATCCACTGTAGAATCTGTCCACGCCCTGCACAGGCCTAGTGGCAAGTGGGGGGCTGGAAGGAGCATTAATTTCTTCTCCAAAAGGGAAACTGGGTCTGCGTTCGGTGCTGCAGTTCAGGCTGTGGCCATGCAGGGGCAGCAGTGGACAGATAAAAACGTCTGAAAAAGGCGCTCAGGCTGCGGGAACAGTAGACCATCCCCAGGGACTTCACTGCCCAAGGCATCTGCCTAATTTCTCTCTCCTCTCCTCTGCCTAATTTCTCTCTCCTCTCCTCTCCTCTCCTCTCCTCTCCTCTCCTCTCCTCTCCTCTCCTCTCCTCTCCTCCCCTCCCCTCCCCTCCCCTCCCCTCCCCTCCCCTCCCCTCTTTTCTCTCTCTCTCTCTCTCTCCTTTCTCTCTCTCTCTCTGTCTAATCTGTCTATCTTCTATCCATCCGTCTATCATCTATCTATATTGGAGACAAAGTCTCACCATATTGCCCAGGTTGGTCTCAAACTCCTAGGCTCAAGCAATCTTCCCACCTGAGCCTCCCTAAATGCTGGGATTACAGGCAAGAGTAATTTTCATTTTTTGTTTTTTTTTTGTTTTTTTTTGTTTTTGGTCTAAGTACAGAGGACCTTACTGCTTTATTGATAGGCCCTGTTCTTCAGGGGGTCTGGCATGGAAACTGTGTATGGGGAGATTTTCAGTGTGGTGGGGGGCTGAGTGCAGCAGGGACTCCCAAGCAGCTGAGGGCCTCTCTCTTCCTCTCATACTGTCACTGGGGCTCCTGGTCTGAGGGTCTTACTCCTTGGAGACAGTGTGGACCACCACCTTTTTGCTGAAGCCAAATACATTGTCATGCCAGGAAATGAACTTGACAAAGTGTCATCAAGGGCAATGCTAGCCCCAGCACAGAAGGTGGAAGGATGGGTGTCGCTGTTAAAAGTCAGAGGAGACGGCCAGGCACGGTGGCTCAGGCCTGTAATCCCAGCACTTTCGGAGGCTGAGGCGGGTGGATCACTTGAGTTCAGGATTTTGAGACCAGCCTGGCCAACATGGTGAAACCCCATCCCTACTAAAAATACAAAAAATTAGCTGGGTGTGGCGGTGTGCGCCTGTAATCCCAGCTACTCGGGAGACTGAGGCAGGAGAATTGATTGCTTGAACCCAGGAGGTGGAGGTTGCAGTGAGCCAAGATCGCGCCACTGCACTCCAGCCTGGGAGACAGAACGAGACTCCCTATCAAAAAAATAAATAAATATAATTTAAAAACAAAGGCGGAGGATATAACCTTGTTCTCAATGTAGCCCGGGATGCCCTTGAGGGGGCCCCCCCAATGCCTGTTTCACCACCTTCTTGAGGTCATCATATTTGGCAGGTTTCTCCAGATGGCAGGTCGGGTCAACCACCAACACATTGGTGGCAGGGACTCGGAAGGCTGTGCCAGTGAGCTTCCTGTTCAGTGCAGGAATTTGCCCACAGCCTTGGCCGTGCCAGTAGATGCAGGGATGATGTTTGTCACGCCAGTTTCCCAGAGGGGCTGTGGTCATGAGCCCCTCCATGTTGCCAAAGATGTCATGGATGACCAGGGTCAGTGGCTCAGCCTGTAATCTCAGCATTTTGGGAAGCCAAAGTGGGAGGATCACTTGAGCCCAGGAGTTTAAGACCAGCCTGGGCAACAAAGTGAGACCCCCGTCTCTATTTATTTATTTATGAAATAGGGTCTTACTCCGTCACCCGGCTCACTGCAGCCTCAACCTCCCAAGCTCAAGCAACCCTCCCACCTCAGCCTCTCAAATAGCTGGGACTACAGATACACCCCACCATGCCTGGATAATTTTTTTAAACTTTTTGTAGAGACAGAGTCTTGCTATGTTGGCCAGGCTGGTCTTGAACTCCTAGGCTCAAGTGATCCTCCAACCGCAGCTTCCCAAAGTGTTGGGATTACAGGCATGAGTCACTGCACCTGGCCTCCATCCCTATTTAAAACAAAAAAAGAAAAAAGAAAGAAAGAAAACCAAACCAAACCAAAAAAAAACGTTGTCACGGATGACCTTGGCCGGAGGGTAAGCAGTTGGTGGTGCAGGAGGCATTGCTGACGATCATGAGGTTTTTGTATCTCTCATGGTTCATGTCCATCACAAACATGGGGGCATGGGCAGAGGGGGCAGAGATGGTGATCCCTTTGGCTGCCCATCCTAAGCGAGCCCCAGCCTTCCCCATGGTCGTGAAGATGCTGCTGGTGGACTCCATGACATAACCAGTGCCAGCATCGTCACCCAATTTGATTTTGCTGGGATCTGGCTTCTAGAAGATGGGGATGAGATTCCCATTTCCTATTGATGACAAGCTTCCCTTCTCTTTCTCAGTCTTTTCTTTTCTTTTTTTTTTTTTTTAAGAGAGAGAGGATCTCCCTATGTTGCCTAGGCTGGTCCTGAACTCCTGGTCTCAAGTGATCCTCCCACCTCAACCTCCTAAGTAGCTGAGATTACAAGCATGAGCCACCACACCCAGCCCACTTCTCAGCTTTGATGGTGCCGCGGAACTTGCCGTGGGTAGAATCATATTGGAACATGTAGACCATGTAGTTGAGGTCAATGAAGGGGTCATTGAGGTGACAACATCCATTCTGCCAGAGTTAAAAGCAGCTCTGGTGCCCTGGTGACCAGGCACCCAATATGGCCAAATCCATTTACTCCTGTCTTCACTTTCACCACGGTGTCTCGGGGACATGCCTTTTTCACTGCATGAAAAGATGTGGCTGTCTGTCAAATGGGAGGAGCAGAGAGGCTCTGCCTTTTTAATCTTTAAGAAAAAAAATTCAGGCTGGGCATGGTGGCTCACGCCTGTAATCCCAGCACCTTGGGAGGCCAAGGCAGGCGGATCACAAGGTCAGGAGATCCAGACCATCCTTACTAACATGGTGAAACCCCGTCTCTACTAAAAAATACAAAAAATTAGCTGGGCGTGGTGGCGGGCACCTGTAGTCCCAGCTACTTGGGAGGCTGAGGCAGGAGAATGGCGTGAACCCGGGAGGCGGAGCTTGCAGTGAGCCAAGATCGCGCCACTGCACTCCAGCCTGGGTGATGGAGCAAGACTCTGTCTCAAATAATAATAATAATAATAATTTAGATGGGGTCTCACTGTGTCACCCAGGCTTGTCTCAAACTCCTGGGCTCCAGTGATCCACCCACCTCAACCTCCCAAAGTGCTGGGATTACAGGTGTGAGCCACCACACCCGGCCTATTATTATTATTTGAGACAGTCTTGCTCTTGTCGCCCAGGCTGGAGTGCAGTGGCACGATCTTGGCTCACTGCAACCTCTGCTTCCCGGGTTCAAGCGATTCTCCTGCCTCAGCCTCCCGAGTAGCTGGGATTACAGGTGGCTGCCACCACGCCCAGCTAATTTTTTTTGTATTTTTAGTAGAGATGGGGTTTCACCTTGTTGGTCAGGCTGGTCTCAAACACCTGACCTCAGGTGATCCGCCCACCTCAGCCTCCCAAAGTGCTGGGATTACAGGCGTGAGCCACTGCTCCTGGCCCTGTCTTTTAATTTTTAAAGGGTAGGGGGCACCATGACCCATCTTTGCCCACCTAAACCACCTATTCAGCAGCCCATGCCCCGCAGCCCACAGCTGGGGGACATCATGCAAAATCTAAGTCAGATCTGTCCCTCTGATCAGAACCCTCTGTGGCTCCCACCTTACCCAGATAAAAGCCCCCTTCCCTGCAGCCCCCAAGAGCACACGCAACCTGCCCCACCCACACCCTTCTCTGTTCCTTGCCCTTGACCTTGCAGACTCAACCTTCCGGATTCACTTCCCCCTTGCTCACTCTGCTCCAGCCACAAAAGCCAATTTTTGGTTCCTCAAATCAAACTAACTCATGACAGCATTTTGAATTTTGAAGCCTTGGGGCCCCGAAAAAGTCCATCTTTTTTTTTTTTTTTTAAGATCGAGTCTCACTGTGTTGCCCAGGCTGGAGTGCGGTGGTGTGATCTCGACTCACTGCAACCTCTGCCTCCCTGGTTCAAGCAATTCTCCGGCCTCAGCCTCCCAAGTAGCTGGGATTACAGGTGCTCGCTGCCATGCCCAGCTAATTTTTTTGTATTTTAGTAGAGAAAGGGTTTCACCTTGTTGCCTAGGCTGATCTTGAACTCCTGAACTCAGGCAATCTGTCTGCCTCAGCCTCCCAAAGTGCTGGGATTACAGGCGTGAGCCACTGCGCCCGGCCCAAAAATCCATCTTTGTGGGTTCCTTTGTAAATGTGTAGTCAATTTAGAAATTTAGAAACACGGTTTCCCTTAAGCCTTTATTTAGTTACAATCACAACTAACATGTTACTTATACACCTGGCAAAGTGAAACATCAAAAAATTAATTCAGGGCCTGGCCTCAGGCCTGTAATCCCAGCACTTTGGGATGCCAAGGCAGACGGATCACTTGAGGTCAGGAGAATCGCTTGAACCTGGGAGACGGAGGTTGGGACGAGCTGAAGATCACACCACTGCGCTCCAGCTTGGGTGACAGAGTGAGTGAGACTCCATCTCAACAAAAAGAAAAAGAAATATCACTTTAAGAGGTCATTGGATGCATATTTGGGTCCGTTTATAAGTTTAGTGGATTGAAATTAACATTTTACATTTTATAAGTGTGATGCATTTTATTCTATACTCTTTTACTACTATAATAATAATTATTATTATTAATTTTTTTTTTGAGATGGAGTCTCGCTCTGTCACCCAAGCCGGATGGAGTGCAGTGGCGCGATCTTGGCTCACTGCAAGCTCCACCTCCCAGGTTCATGCCATTCTCCTGCCTCAGCCTCCCGAGTAGCTGGGACTACAGGCGCCCACCACCACGCCCAGCTAATTTTTTTGTATTTTTAGTAGAGACGGGGTTTCACCGTGTTAGCCATGTTGCTCTCGATCTCCTGACCTCGTGATCCGCCCGCCTCGGCCTCCCAAAGTGATGGGATTACAGGCGTGAGCCACTGCGCCCGGTCAATTATTATTATTTTTTAGAGACAGTGTATCAGCTCTGTCACCCAGACTGGAGTGCAGTGGTGCAATCATGGCTCACTGCAGCCTCGACCTCCTGAGCAATGCTCCCACCTCAGCCTCCTGAGTAGCTGGGCTACAGGTGCACACAACCACGCCCAGCTAATTTTATTTTTAAGAGATGAGGTCTCTACAAAAAGTGTTGGGATGACAGGTGTGAGCCACTGTGCCAGCTTATTCTTTAATCTTTTAATTTATTATTATTATTTTTTGAGACAGAGTCTTGCTCTACCACCCAGGCTAGAGTGCAATGGTGCGATCTCAGCTCACTGCAACCTCTGCCTCCCGGGTTCAAGCGATTCTCCTGCCTCAGCCTCCTGAGTAGCTGGGACTACAGGCACGTGCCACCACACCCAGGTAATTTTTTGTATTTATAGTAGAGATGGGGTTTCACCATGTTAGCCAGGATGGTCTCGATCTCCTGACCTCTTGATCCACCCGCCTCGGCCTCCCAAAGTGCTGGGATTACAGGCATGAGCCACTGCACCTGGCCTATTCTTTAATCTTTTTAAATGTCTCCACCAAGCAAACACCTTGAGAAGTCCTTATCAGTTATTAAAAATCTACAATGCAAACATACAAATAAAAGGAGAACAGTAAGTTCTCTTAAACATTCTGATACTACTTCTAAACTTAGCCAATAAACTGAGAATGAATGTTAATTTTTTAAATAAACAGGCCAGGGGCAGTGGTTCACACCTGTAATCCCAGCACTTTGAGGGGCTGAGTTGGGAGGATTGCTTGAACTCAGGAGTTCAAGAGCAGCCTGGACAAGGTGACAAATCCCTCTCTCTACAAAAAATACAAAAATTAGCTGGGTGTGGTGGTGTGTGCCTGTAGTCTCAATCCCCAGGAGGCCAAGGGGTGTGGGAGGATCCCCTGAGCCCAGAAGGTCGAGTCTGCAGTGAGCCGTGATCGCATCACTGGTCTCCAGCCTGGGTGACTCTGTTTTAGAAAAAGAAAAAAGAAAGAAAAAAAAAGCTTTCATTAACTGAAGACAGACTGAAAGCAAGAGAAACTGAAAGCAAGATAAATGAGTGGGTGGTTTTCTCAAGCACTGGTAAGTGCTGCAGAGAAAACTACAGCAACAGGAGAGTCAATGATGGGGGCAGGGTGGTGCATTTCAGATAATTTCAGATAAATTATCTTTTTCTTTTTTTTTTTTTTTTTTTGAGACAGAGTCTCACTCTGTCACCCAGGCTAGAGTACAGTGGCACGATCTTGGCTCACTGCAACCTCCGCCTCCCAGGTTCAAGCAATTCTCCTGCCTCGACCTCCTGAGTAGCTGGGACCACAGGTTTGTGCCACCACGCCCAGCTAATTTCTGTATTTTTAGTAGAGATGGGGTTTCACCATGTTGGCCAGGCTGGTCTCGAACTCCTGGCCTCAAGTGATCCACCCGGCTTGGCTTCCCAAAGTGCTGGGATTACAGGCGTGAGCCACCACGCCCAGACTCATTTCAGATAAATTAAAGGAACTTGAACACAATGGGTGACCTCAGTATCTGACTAAGGAAGACCCTTCCAGGCAGGGAGAACAGAAAGTGCCAAGACCCTGAGGCCAGAGTGTATCTGAGACAGTCAAGCAATGCGGAGGAGGTCAGAGGAGCAAGAAACAGGGAAAGCAGGATTGGCAGGAGGAAGGAAGGGAAGGGATTGGGTAGAGACAGCAGCGGAGAACAGGACCTGGATGTATTGGCAACAGGAGGAACTCACTCGTGGGGTTGTTGACATCTGAGATTGACACTGGTGTTGGGAAAATAGGAAAGGGTGGAGGTGGAGGGAGATTCTGAGTCACAGCCTGATCTAGCTCCACAGAAAATCAGCAGAAGAGAGTTCTCCTGGGTGAATGGAGAGAGAAGAGCTTATTCAGCACCCTGGAGGAGACCAGAGAGAGATAGCCAAGAACGCACAGGTTTTATTACATGCTCTGTGCAAGATCAGGTTTATTTTTTTCATTGTGCTCTCTCTCTCTCTCTCTCTCTCTCTCTGAGACAAGAGTCTAGCTGTGTTGCCCAGGCTGAAGGTCAGTGGTGCATTCGTAGCTTATTGCAGCCTCAAACTCCCAGGCTCAAGCGATCCTCCACCTCAGCTTCCTGAGTAGATGGAACCACAGGTGTGCACCACCATGCCTGGCTAATTTTTTTTTTTTTTTTTTTTTTTTTTGTAGCAATGTGGTCTCGCCACGATGCCCAGGCTGTTCCTGAACTCCCGGGCTCAAGCGATCCTCCCACATTGGCTGGGTTTACAGGCCTGAGCCACCATGCTTGGCCAGCTTTTTCAATTTAAAAAATATAGAAAGTGTTAATACAAATTAAAAAGTTATAAAATAGTGCCAATAGTATCCCATTTTTCCGAAGACAAACATAGGCAGAGAAAAATTAATGGATACTGTCTCTCTGGGCAGGGGTATTACTGGCTATTATAATCTTTTTCTTCGTGCATTCCAGAATTTACCAACTTTTCTACAAAGATCATGTAGCACAATAAGATAATAAACATAATTTTGTGTGATCTCAAAATACAGGAAGCATAGAAGCTTCCAAAACACGCCTGTACCCACCACGTGAAGAAACAGATGTTAACATTTGGTCATAATTGCTTCAGATTTCTTTCTTTTTTTTTTTTTCTGTTTTTTTTTTGGGGGGGACAGAGTCTTGCTCTGTCGCCCAGGCTGGAATGTAGTGGCATGATATTGGCTCAGTGCAACCTCCTCCTCCTGGGTTGGAGTGCAGTGGCATGATCTCAGTTCACTGCAACCTCTGCCTCCTGGGTTCAAGAGAGCACCTCCAGCTAATTTTTGTCTTTTTAGTAGAGACAAGGTTTTGCCATGTTGCCCAGGCTGGTCTGGAACACCTGACCTCAAGTGATCCGCTCACCTCGGCCTCCCAAAGTGCCAGGATTACAGGTGTGAGACACCACACCGGCTAAATAATAAGTTTTTAAAAAAACAGGAGACTGGCCAGGCATGGTGACTCACGCCTGTAATCGCAGAACTTTGGGAGGCTGAGGTGGGCAGATCACCTGAGATCGGGCATTGGAGACCAGCCTGGCCAACATGGAGAAACCCCGTCTCTACTAAAAATACAAAATTAGCCGGGCGTGGTGGTGCGTGCCTGTAATCACAGCTACTAGGGAGGCTGAGGCAGGAGAATCGCTTGTACCCGGGAGGCGGAGGTTGCGTGAGCCAAGATTGCGCCACTGCACTCCAGCCTGGGCAACCAGAATAAAACTGTCTCAAAAAAAAAAAAAACAAAAACAGGCCGGGCGCGGTGGCTCACGCCTGTAATCCCAGCACTTTGGAAGGCCAAGGTGGGTGGATCACGAGGTCAGGAGATCGAAACCATCCTGGCTAACACGGTGAAACCCCGTCTCTACTAAAAAATACAAAAAATTAGCCGGGCGCGGTGGCGGCGCCCGTAGTCCCAGCTACTCGGGGGTGCTGAGGCAGGAGAATGGCGAGAACCCGGGAGGCAGAGCTTGCAGTGAGCCGAGATCGCGCCACTGCAGTCCGGCCTGGGTGAAAGAGCGAGACTCTGTCTCAAAAAAAAAAAAACCAAACAAACAAACAAACAAAAAAACAAAACAACAGGAGAAGATGATGACAGACCTCACAAGAGCTTGGCCCCAGGGCTGAAACCCCACCCAGTGCTGTGGTTCTGCGGCTGTGGGCCCATGGGTGCCCCCAAAGGGTCCCAGGCAGATGGAGGCTCCTGGTTGGCGTGGAGGAAGGAAAAGGATGAAATCGGCTCCCCTGGCCACCCCTTCTAGCCCAGCTGCAGCTGCAGTCCGTGGGTCTGAGCCGACCCTTGGGGTTCATCGGCCCATTTTACAGATGCGGAGCCTACAGCCGGGAGGCGTGGCGGCTCTGGGCGGTGCAGGGTTCCGGGGCGGGGAGGCCGAGGCGCCCGCCCTCCCCGCCGGGGCTCACCTGGGTCAGCCCTGAGCCCTCGAGCAGGGCGGATCGGCCGCTGCCTGCTTAAAGCTGGGGCCGCCAGGAGTGCGATCGCCTGCGGATCTGCAGCTGGGCACCGGCCGCAACGCCCGCCCCGCGACGGCAGGTGAGATGCGGGCGGCCCCGTGGGAGGGGTCTCTGCCTGTCCTCGTCACCCACTTCCTTCCCGTTTGTTGCTGCTGCAGGGCTGGGAATGGGGGGGACCAAGCACTTCGCAGGGTGACCCGGGGAGATCTGTGAGCCAGTGGCCTCAGCGTTGAATGAGAGCTCTCTCCCGGGTCCGCGCTCGCAGGGACTGAAGGGACTCCTGAATGTCCGCGGGACGTGTCGCGGCGGCGCCCAGCACGGAGGAGGCAGGCAGGGAGGTGAGGAGCAGGTCAGACCGGCCGCAGGTGCAGGGCCTCCTGCCCTCCCAGGCTGCGGTCCCGTGGAGGGCCTGCAGACAGCTGCTGAGACTATGAGGGTCAGAGGTCTGTGGTCACGCGCGCTATCACCAGCTAGCTGCCTCCTGCCTGGTTCCTCCTGCAGGAATGGGAGTCTGGGGGGAGGGGAGGGTGTGGGCAGGACTTCCTGGAAAAGGGAAGCCCGTTGGTGTTTATGTGTGGGATGGAGAGAGGGCAGGGGGAGGACGGGGACACACGCGGAGTCCCCCACCCAGATGTTGTCAAACACAGCTCCCACACCAGACACGCAACCCATCCTAGAGATGCAACCCAGGCACACACACATGGACACACACAAAACTCCATCCATAGGGATTCCCACCCAGTGCCACGTGAGAACACAGGCGTGCATCGCAGACAAGCCACACAGGCCTCGCAGGCTCAGCATACATGTCTGCAGCAACACCATCAGGTACAGAGCCGAGGCCCAGGTAGGCATGCTCAGCTGCACGCAGGAAGCAAGACACACCCAGACACACACAGGTAAGCCCTTACTCAGAGAAAGAAGGTGCAGGAGATGTGTCTTGGGTAATCACAGCCACAGCCTCTCAAGTGTGCACACACACACACACTCACACTGAGATACACAGACACACAGAGATACCTGGACGTGTCAAGCCTACAGCACAAACAGGCCCCTGCAGGTCCACCCGGAGGCTGTGTGGGCCGAGGCTGCTGCACACGTGTGCCCAGATCCTCCCACCCCCACCCCAATCCCGTGTCCTGCTCCAGGGAAGTCCAGGGCTCACATGACCCAAGGGGAGGGCTCCCGGGACAGCCCTCGGAGAAACTGCATCATCCTCACTAATGATCCACTTCCTCCTCAGGGAATAAAGGCTCAGGGACCGGCAGTTCTACTCTAGAGCCCACCAGCCTCTCAGAGCCTCCGGTGACTGGCCTGTGTCTCCCCCTGGGTGAGTGCTGGGCAGGCTAGGTGGAAGGAGGGTGAAATGGGCCTGCAGGGCCATCTTGGTACAGCTCGCCCTCTCACAGACCGCGCCCCCCTTCCCTAAGCCAGCTTGTGCAGCCTTGTGCAGCTTGTGTGTCCTGAGAATTAGGGCACCAAGGGGTTCCCGCAGGGGCAGCCTGCAGCAAGCAGTCTCCCTCTATCTCAGGGCAGGCGGGGGTCTCAAGGCCTCCCTGCCCTTGTCACAGCCCGGGCCACCTATGCTTGTCTCTCTTCTCCCAGATGGACATGTGGACGGCGCTGCTCATCCTGCAAGCCTTGTTGCTACCCTCCCTGGCTGATGGTGCCACCCCTGCCCTGCGCTTTGTAGCCGTGGGTGACTGGGGAGGGGTCCCCAATGCCCCATTCCACACGGCCCGGGAAATGGCCAATGCCAAGGAGATCGCTCGGACTGTGCAGATCCTGGGTGCAGACTTCATCCTGTCTCTAGGGGACAATTTTTACTTCACTGGTGTGCAAGACATCAATGACAAGAGGTTCCAGGTCTGTGCCCAACAGAGTGGGGCAGGAGGTGGGGGCGGGCAGTGGGGAGAAGCCGCCTTACCTAGTGACCTTCCTTTGGTGAGGGCAGAGGGAAGGTGATGGGGCACCTTTGGGCGCCGGGAGCATTCAGTGTCTCCCTTATCCTGACTTGGTGGGAGGATCGGCATAGCCACTGACCCCAGGGAAGAGGCCTGCCCTATCTGTTTGCTACAGGAGACCTTTGAGGACGTATTCTCTGACCGCTCCCTTCGCAAAGTGCCCTGGTACGTGCTAGCCGGAAACCATGACCACCTTGGCAATGTCTCTGCCCAGATTGCATACTCTAAGATCTCCAAGCGCTGGTGAGCCACCCTCAGCCCTGCCTTCCGAGATCCTCACATAGCAGGGACACAGGGGCCCTGTGGCTTGAGCTGACCCTGGGACTTCTGCGCCCAAGATGTGCACCCACGACCTCTATCCCCTCCACAGGAACTTCCCCAGCCCTTTCTACCGCCTGCACTTCAAGATCCCACAGACCAATGTGTCTGTGGCCATTTTTATGCTGGACACAGTGACACTATGTGGCAACTCAGATGACTTCCTCAGCCAGCAGCCTGAGAGGCCCCGAGACGTGAAGCTGGCCCGCACACAGCTGTCCTGGCTCAAGAAACAGCTGGCGGCGGCCAGGGAGGACTACGTGCTGGTGGCTGGCCACTACCCCGTGTGGTCCATAGCCGAGCACGGGCCTACCCACTGCCTGGTCAAGCAGCTACGGCCACTGCTGGCCACATACGGGGTCACTGCCTACCTGTGCGGCCACGATCACAATCTGCAGGTGAGGGCCCTGTGGGTGGGGTGGGAGCTGGGTGAGGGGGGTCCCCATCCCAGCTGATGTCCACATGGCTGGGGTCCTCCTGCTGTTTGAGGGTCTCCTGTGGCCTTCAGAATGTCTAGACTGTCCCTCAAATCTTGCTGTCTAACCAGGAAAACACTCCAAAGCCAGAATAATATCTTCGAATTGCCAATTTCTTTCTTTCTTTCTTTTTTAAGCTCTTTTTTTTTTTTTTTTTTGGAGACAAGGTTTCATTGTTTTTCACCCAGGCTGGAGTGCAGTGGTGCAATCGGGGCTTACTGCAGCTTCAATCTCCCGGGCTCAGGTGAACCTCCCACTTCAGCCTCCAGAGTAGCTGACACTACAGGCATGGGCCACCACATGCAGCTAATTTTTGCTTTTTTTTTTTTTTTTGAGAGGGAGTGCAGTGGCACGATCTCAACTCACTGCAACCTCCGCCTCCTGGGTTCAAGCAATTCTCCTGTCTCAGCCTCCCAAGTAGCTGGGATTACAAGCATGGGCCACCAAACCTTGCTAATTTTTATATTTTAGTAGAGACGGGGTTTCACCATGTTGGCCAGGCTGATCTCGAACTTCTGACCTCAAGTGATCTGCCCGCCTCGGCCTCCCAAAGTGCTGGGATTATAGGCATGAGCCACTGCACCTGGCCCTTGCGCATTTTTTTTGTAGAGGCAAGGTCTCACTATGTTGCCCAGGCTGGTCTCAAATTCCTGGGCTCAAGCAATCCACCCCCTCAGCCTCCCAAAGTGCTGGGATTACAGGCATGAGCCACCACACCTGGCCACCAATTTCTTACTAAGTGCTCTACCTATGAAATAGGATTAATACACTCCTAAAAGTCAGGAAATTGAAGCCAGGAGGGGTTACATACCTCAAGGTGACTCTGTGGTTAGGGCCAGATCGAGCCCTGGACCTTAGGCAGGGCTCTGCTCAAAGCTGGGTCTCCACTGACCCCTTGTCCTCCATCCTCAGTACCTGCAAGATGAGAATGGCGTGGGCTACGTGCTGAGTGGGGCTGGGAATTTCATGGACCCCTCAAAGCGGCACCAGCGCAAGGTCCCCAACGGCTATCTGCGCTTCCACTATGGGACTGAAGACTCACTGGGTGGCTTTGCCTATGTGGAGATCAGCTCCAAAGAGATGACTGTCACTTACATCGAGGCCTCGGGCAAGTCCCTCTTTAAGACCAGGCTGCCGAGGCGAGCCAGGCCCTGAACTCCCATGACTGCCCAGCTCTGAGGCCCGATCTCCACTGTTGGGTGGGTGGGCCCTGCCGGGACCCTGCTCACAGGCAGGCTTTTCCTCCAACCTGTGGCGCTGCAGCAGGGCAGGAAGGGGAAACACAGCTGATGAACTGTGGTGCCACATGACCCTTGTGGCACAGATGCCCACGTATGTGAAACACACATGGACATGTGTCCCAGCCACAGTGTTATGCTCTGTGGCTGGCTCACCTTTGCTGAGTTCCGGGGTGCAATGGGGGAGGGAGGGAGGGAAAGCTTCCTCCTAAATCAAGCATCTTTCTGTTACTGATGTTCAATAAAAGAATAGTTGCCAAGGCTGAACCAGTGCCACTGGTGTGTTATGTTCTCCTGGTTAGAGTGGCTGGGCTCCCCTGAGCTGCTGTTCCTTGCCTCCATCTCTTACCCCATCCATGACCAAGTTGCCTTATCCATGGATGTGATTATAAAACCCGGCCAGGCACGGTGGCTCACACCTGTAATCCCAGCACTTTGGGAGGCCGAGGTGGGCGGATCACGAGGTCAGGAGATCGAGACCATCCTGACTAACATGGTGAAACCCCGTCTCTACTAAAACTACAAAAAAATTAGCCAGGCGTGGCGGCGGGTGCCTGTAGTCCCAGCTACTTGGGAGGCTGAGGCAGGAGAATAGTGTGAACCCAGGAGGCGGAGCTTGCAGTGAGCCAAGATAGCGCCACTGCACTCCTGCCTGGGTGAAAGAGCGAGACTCCATCTCAAAAAAATAAAAAATAAAAAAAAAATAAAATCCAAGCAGAGGCCAGGCTCAGTGGTTCACATCTGTAATCCCAGCACTTTGGGAGGCCAAAGCGGGTGGATTATTTGAGGTCAGGAGTTCAAGATCAGCCTGGCCAGCATAGTGAAACCCCATGTCCACTAAAAATACAAAAAGTTAGTCAGGCTTGCTGGCGAGTGCCTGTAATCCCAGCTACTTGGGAGTCTGAGGCAGGAGAATCACTTGCATCTGGGAGGTGGAGGCTGCAGTGAGTCAAGATTGCGCCACTGCACTCCAGCCTGGGCAACAAGAGTTAAACTCTGCCTGAAAAAAAAAAATTGGCCAGTTGTGGTGGCAGGAGCCTATGGTCCTAGCTACTCAGGAGGCTGAGGCAGGAGAATTGCTTGAACCCAGGAGGCGGAGGTTGCAATGAGCTGAGATTGTGCCACTGTACTCCAGCCTGGGTGACAGAGCAAGAATCTGTCTCAAAAAAAATAAGTAAATAAAATAGGCCAGGCACGATGGCTCACACCTGTAATGCCAGCACTTTGCAAGGCCTAGGTGGTCGGATCACTTGAGGTCAGAAGTTCAAGACCAGCCTGGCCATCATGGTGAAACCCCATCTCTACTAAAAATACAAAACTTATCTAGGCGTGGTGACACATGACTGTAATCCCAGCTACTTGGGAGGCTGAGGCGAGAGAATCACTTGAGCCTAGGGGGTTTGCGGGTAAAGGGGGTGGAGAGGTGAGGGCGGAGATTGCAGTGAGCTGAGATTGTGCCACTGCACTCCAGCCTGGGTGATAGAGCAAGACTCTGTCTCAAAAAAAAAATTAATTCAATAAAATCCAAGCAGAAAGAAGGGTACAACATAAAGCAAGTCTTCCTCCACCCCAGGGGCAACTAATATTAATCATTTTCTTTCTCTATATAGTCTATGCCTCCATAATCAAAACATTCCCTTTATTATTTTCTTTTTTTTTTCTTTTTTTTTTTTTTTGAGATGGAGTCTCACTCTGTCACCAGGCTGGAGTGCAGTGGCGTGAGCTCGGCTCGCTGAAACCTCCAACTCCCAGATTCAAGCAATTCTCCTGGCTCAGCCTCCTGAGTAGCTGGGATTATAGGCACGCGCCACCACGCCCAGCTAATTTTTTTTTTTTTTTTTTTTTTTTTTGAGATGGAGTCTTGCTCTGTCGCCCAGGCTGGAGTGCAGCGGCGTGATCTCGGCTCACTGCAAGCTCTGCCTCCCGGGTTCACACCATTCTCCTGCCTCAGCCTCCCAAGTAGCTGGGATTACAGGCGTCTGCCACCACACCCGGCTCGTTTTTTGTATTTTTAAATAGAGATGGGGTTTCATCGTGTTAGCCAGGATGGTCTCAATCTCCTGACCTCGTGATCCGCCTGCCTCAGCCTCCCAAAGTGCTGGGATTACAGGAGTGAGCCACCGCGCCTGGCAATTTTTGTATTTTTAGTAGAGATGGGGTTTCACCATGTTGGCCAGGATGGTCCCAATCTCCTGACCTCATGACCTGCCCGCCTCAGCCTCCCAAAGTGTTGGGATTACAGGCGTGAGCCGCCGTGCCCGGCCTATTATTTCTTTAGGGAGAGGGGTCTTGCTATATTGTCCAGGCTGGAGTGCAGTGGTGCAATCATAGCTCCCTGCAGCCTCAAACTCCTGGGCTCAAGAAATCCTCCCACCCTAGCCTCTCAAGTAGCTAGGACTACAGGCACGCACCACCACTCCTAACTAATTTTTAGATTTTTTTTTTTTGTAGAGATGGGAGTCTTGTTCTGTTGCCCAAACCGGTCTTGTACTCCTGGGCTCAAGCAATCCTCCTGCCTCAGCCTCCGAAAGTGTTGGGATTACAGGCATGAGCTATTGCTTCCAGACTGTTTTTCAGAGACAGAGTTTTGCTATGTTGCCCAGGCTGGTCTTGAGCTCCTGGGCTCAAGTGATCCATCTCAGCCTCCCGAGTAGATGAGATTACAGGGGCATGCCACTGCAAACACATTCCCATTTTTTACACCAAAAGCAACACAATATACACATAGTTCTGCACACATTCCCGTTACTGCACTCCACTTTTTTTTTTTTCTTTTTTGAGATGGAGTCTCACTCTGTCACCCAGGCTGGAGTACATGGGTGTAATGTTGGCTCACTGCAACCTCCATCTCCTGGGTTCAACCGATTAAGCAATTCTCCTGCCTCAGCCTCCCAGGTAGCTGGGATTACAGGCCCCCACCACCATGCCTGGCTAATTTTGTATTTTTAGTAGAGACGGCATTTCACCATGTTGGTCAGGCTGGTCTTGAACTCCTGACCTCAGGTGATTCACCTGCCTTGGCCTCCCAAAGTGCTGGGATTACAGGCATGAGCCACTGTGCCCAGTCCTGAATTGTTTCTTGCATAAGATCCAAGAATGCTCTCTTGGGGTCTGGATCGAGACCCCTTTCCTGTAACACTTCGAACAATTTTGCAATCCTCAATGTCATAACAAATGACCTTGTCTACGCATTACCTATGGGGCAGACATGTTTGCAGGATTCCCAGGAACAAGGAAAAAGATCGCACTTCTTTTTGACAGCCACGAAGCTTCTGCCTTATGTCACTGGCTCCTTGCTAGTGCCCCTTGCAGGATTTTATTGGTTTTGGGGGTTGTTTTGAGAGACAGAATCTTGCTCTGTCACTCAGACTAGAGTGCAATGGCAGGATCATAGCTCACTGCAGCCTCAAATTCACAGGGTCAGGTGATCCTCCTGCCTCAACCTCCCAAAGTGCTGGGATTGCAGGCGTGAGCCAAAGTGCCAAAGTGCTCAGCCTCATTGAGGTTTTTTTTTTGAGATGGAGTCTCACTCCATCAGCCAGGCTGGAGTGCAGTGGCACGATCTTGGCTCACTGCAACCTCCGCCTCCCGGGTTCAAGCAATTCTCTGCCTCAGCCTCCCAAGTAGCTGGGACTACAAGCACACGCCACCATGCCCAGCTAATTTTTGTATTTCTAGTAGAGATGGGGTTTCGCCATCTTTGCCAAGCTGGTCTTGAACTCCTGACCTCATGATCCACCCACCTCGGCCTCTCAAAGTGCTGGGATTACAGGCGTGAGCCACCGCACCCAGCCGTGGTCTTTTTAAATCTTTCCTTCTAGGCCAGGCATGGTGGCTCACACCTGTAATCCCAACACTTTCAGAGGCCGAGGCAGGTGGATCACCTGAGGTCAGGAGTTTGAGACCAGCCTGACCAATATAGTGAAACCCCGTCTCTACTAAAAATACAAAAATTAGCTGGGCATGGTGGCGTGTGCTTGTAGTCCCAGCTACTTGGGAGGCTGAGGCAGAGAATTGCTTGAACCCGGGAGGCGGAGGTTGCAGTGAGCCGATATGACGCCACTGCACTCCAGACTGAGCAACAGAGCGAGACTCTTTCTCAAAATACATAAATAAATAAATAATTGTTTCCCTCTTACCAACAAGGCTGCAGTGGTGGTCCCTGGACCAATGCTGTGAAAGTAATGTGTAAGAAAACTTCTAGAAGGAGAATTATCTCAGGGCTGGGCACAGTGGCTCACACCTGTAATCCCAGCACTTTGAGAGGCTGAGGCAGGCAGATCACTTGAGGTCAGGAGTTGGAGACCAGCCTGGCCAACATGGTGAAACCCCATCCCTACTAAAAATACAAAAAATTAGCTGGGTATGGTGGCACGTGCCTGTAATCCCAGCTACTGAGGCTGATGCAGGAGAATCGCTTGAACCCAGGAGGCAGAGGTTGCAGTGAGCCGAGATCACACCACTGCAATCCAGCCTGGGAAACAGAATGAGACTCCGTTTCAGGGGAAAAAAAAAAAAAAAAAAATCTCAGGGCCTGTTTTTCTTATACTGAAAGCAGAGTGCTAGACCTGATGTGACAGTTGCAGGGGAGCCCAGTTCCCCTCTGAGGGAGAGTTAAGTAACACCCACCCCCAGGCAACCCAGGCCATTAGCGCTAGGCAAGGCACAGGAACCCCTCCTTTGGCCCACCCTCAACCGCCACTTGCAACTGCTACACGGCAGGGACCCAGTTGTTTGGCTCCAGCTGCCTGCCTAGCGGAGTGAAATGAATCTGGACAAAATGTAAACAGGGCTGAGTGCAGTGGCTCATGCCTGTAATCCCAGCACTTTGGTAGGTAGGGGCAGGCAGATCACTTGAGGACAGGAGTTCAAGACCAGCCTGGCCAATATGGCAAAAACCCACCTCTACTAAAAAATACAAAAGAATGAGTCAGGCCTGGTGATGCATGCCTATAATCCCAGCTATTTGGGAGGCTGAGGCATGAGAATCGTTCTTGTCTGGGAAGTGGAGGCTGCAGTGAGCTGTGATCACGCCACTGCACTCCAGTTTGGGAGACTATCTCAAAAAAAAAAAAAAGTAACTGAGGTTACTTCTGGGGAGAGGCACTTGGTGAAATTGTCACCTTTCATTTGTTATTTTACTTATTTTTTTTTTTTTGAGAAGAAGTTTCCCTCTTGCTGTCCAGGCTGGAGTGCAGTGACGTGATCTCAGCTCACAGCAACCTCTGCCTCCCAGATTCAAGCGATTCTCCTGCCTCAGCCTCCTGAGTAGCTGGGATTACAGGCATGCGCCACCACGCCTGGTTAATTTTGTATTTTTTAGTAGAGACAGGGTTTCTCCATGTTGGTCAGGCTGATCTTGAATTCCCGACCTCAGGTGATCCACCCGCCTAGGCCTCCCAAAGTGCTGAGATTACAGGCATGAGCTACTGCTCCGGCTTATTTGTTACTTTGCGCGCGCGCGTGTGTGTGTGTGTGTGTGTGTGTGTGTGTGTGTGTATCTTGGTATAATTTGCTACTTTATAGATGTCAATACTGTTGAATTTGTTACAAGGTGTATGTGTTACTGTTACAATTTTTTGGTTTTTTTTGAAACAGTGTCTCACTCTGTTGCCCAGGCTGGAGTGCAATGGTGTAATCATAGCTCACTGCAGTTTCCACCTCCTGAGCTCAAGGGATCCTCCTGCCTCTGCCTCCTGAGTGGCTGGGACCACAGCTTCACCCCACCACTCTTGGTTAATTTTGTGTGTGTGTGTTTTGTAGAGATGGGGTCTTGCTATGTTGCCTAGGCTGGTCTCAAACTCCTGACCTCAAGTGATTCTTCCTCCTTAGCCTCCCAAAATGCAGGATTACAGGTGTGAGCCATCATGTCTGGCCAACTGTTATAATTAAGCAGTGATCTTTCCAAAATGCAATCCTGGCCAGGGGTGGTGGCTCACACCTGTAATCCCAACACTTTGGGAGGCTGAGGCGGGCAGATCACTTGAGATCAGGAGTTCGAGACCAGCCTGATCAACATGGCAAAACGCTGTCTCCATTAAAAATACAAAAATTAGCTGGCATTGTGGCGGGCGCCTGTAATTCCAGCTACTCAGGAGGCTGAGACAGGAGAATCACTTGAACCCAGGAGGTGGAGGTTGCAGTGGGCCGAGGTCGTACCACTGCACTCCAGCCTGGGCAACAGAGCAAGACTCTGTCTCAAGCAAACAAACAAATCCCCAAAATGTAATCCTGAGTTTGTTCCAGCTGCCATTTACCGTCACTTCTGATCCTGGCCCATGAGGCAGGGGCCAGAATCATCCTTGCTTCTCAGAGGCTATTACAGAAGCTCAGACGTGTTTTTGTGGGTTTTTATTTTTTAATTTTTTTTGGTACAATATTTATCTTAGATTGGACGGCTTAACCACTGTGACCAAGGTAATTTCTAGGAAGTGGCAGTCCCTCAATCTTAACCACAACAGTCTAGGGAGGTCACAGCCGCGCTCTTCTCACTGACTCAGAGGCACCAGACAGGCAGGAGTCTGAATCAGAGGTCACCATCATAGCCCAAGGACCCCGTTCTCATGGCCCAGAGCACAGAAAGAAGAAGTGACACATCCAATGTCACACGAAGACTGAGTGGCAGGGGAGGGGGGATTGTAACTCAGGCTCCCTCCTCTACATCAGCCAGACACTTCTACCGAGCACCAAGGACCAAAGCTCTGTGCCAGGCAGCTGGGGACCCAAGGACACTAGGAGGAATAAATCAGGGTGGGCGCTGGCCCTCAGGGAGCTTCTGTCTTGCTGAGGAGACAACACCAGCCAGCACTCAGCCATCTTAATTAATTATTTTATTTTTTTCTTTACTTTTCTGTTTTTTAGACAGGGTCTCACTCTGTTGCCCAGGCTGTCAGGCTGGAGTACAGTAGTGTGATCACAGCTCACTGCAACTTCCGTCTCCGGGGCTCAAGCAATCCTCCCTCCCACCTAAGCCTCCTGAACAGCTGGGACTACAAGCACACACCACCACACCTGGCTAATTTTTTTTTTTTTTTTTTTTTTTTTTTTTTTTGAGACGGAGTCTCGCTCTGTCACCCAGGCTGGAGTACAGTGGCGCAGCCTCGGCTCACTGCAAGCTCCGCCTCCCGGGTTCACGCCATTCTCCTGCCTCAGCCTCTCCGAGTAGCTGGGACTACAGGCGCCCGCCACCACGCCCGGCTAATTTTTTTTTTTTTTTTTTTTTTAGTAGAGACGGGGTTTCACCGTGAGACAGAGTCTTGCTCTGTCGCCAGGCTGGAGTGTAGTGGCCTGATCTTGGCTCACTGCAACCTCCACCTCCCAGGTTCAATTGATTCTCCTGCCTCAGCCTCCCGAGTAGCTGGGACTACAGGTAAGTGCGCCACCATGCCCAGCTAATTTTGTATTTTTAGTAGAGACGGGGTTTCACCATGTTGACCAGGATGGTCTCGATCTCCTGACCTCGTGATCCACCCACCTCGGCCTCTCAAAGTGCTGGGGTTACAGGCGTGAGCCACTGCACCCAGCCAATTTTTGTATTTTTTGTAGAGAGGGGGTTTCACCACTTTGTCCAGGCTGGTCTTGAACTCCTGGGCTCAAGCAATCTGTCCATCTCGGCTTCCTGAAGTGCTGGGATTATAGCCATGAACCACCGCACCCGGCCTAATTTATTTATTTTAAGAAATGGTGTTCGGGCATGGTACATCACGCCTGTAATCCCAGCACTTTGGGAGGCCAAGGCGGGCAGATCACCTGAAGTCAGGAGTTTGAGACTAGCCTGGTCAACATGGTGAAATCCCTCCTCTACCAAAAAATACAAAAATTAGCCAGACACGGTGGTGTGCACCTATAACCCTAGATACTTGGGAGGCTAAGGTGGGAGAACTGCTTGAACCCGGGAGGTGGAGGTTGCAGTGAGTCGAGATCACACCACTGCACTCCAGCCTGGGCAATGGACTGAGACTCTGTCTCCAAAAAAAAAAAAAAAAATGCCGGGCGCGGTGGCTCATGCCTGTAATCCCAGCGGTTTGGGAGGCCGAGGAGGGCAGATCACGAGGTCAGGAGATCGAGACCATCCTGGCTAACACGGTGAAACCATCTCTACTAAAAACACACGCACAAAAAAATTAGCCGGGCGTGGTGGCGGGCGCCTGTGGTCCCAGCTACTCGGGAGGCTGAGAGGCAGGAGAATGGTGTGAACCTGGGAGGTGGAGCTCGCAGTGAGCCAAGATCGCGCCACGGCACTCCAGCCTGGGCGACAGAGCAAGACTCCATCTCAAAAAAAAAAAAAAAAAAAGAGAGATGGAGTCTCCCTAGGTTGCCCAAACTGGTCTTGAACTCCTGTCCTCAAGTGATCCTCTCACTTTGGCCTCCCAAAATGCTGGGATTACAGGCATAGCCACCACACCAGGTTCAGCCATTTTTGGAAAGATGCCTTTTAACCTGCAAGAAACGAGACAGCAGAGTCCCTCAGGCAAGTGGCAGGGTTTCATCTCTTCTCGATCCTCCTGAGCAACCAACCACTCCTGATTTCAGCTGTCACAGACACTATCATCTTGCCACTCTGCTTGTCAAACTAGAGGCTGAAAAAGGGACTGGCATTCTCATGCAGCCAGTAGGCTGTCTGTCACTTGACACTCAGGCCATGTCCACTTCCTAAACAGCATCCCAGGCCAAGAATCATGAATAAGAAGGTGAGATACCTGCCTTACCAATAGCAAAACATACAGTCATCAAAATAGTAACACACTGGCTCAGGGTCAGGTGTGGTGGCTCACACCTGTAATCCCAGCACTTTGGGAGGCTGAGGCAGGTGGATCACCTGAGGTCAGGAGTTCAAGACCAGCCTGGCCAACATAGCGAAACCCTGTCTCTACTAAAAATACAAAAATTAGCCAGGTGTGATGGTGGGCACCTGTAATCCCAGCTACTCGGGAGGCTGCTGAGGCAAGAGAATCACTTGAACCCTGGAGGCAGAGGTTGTAGTGAGCCGAGATTGCGCCACTGCACTCCAGCTTGGGTGACAGAGCAAGACACCGTCTCAAAAAAAAAAAAAAAAGGACATTGACATTGACTCAGGGTAAGGTGTGGTGGCTCATACTTGCAATCCCAGCACTTTGGAAGGCTAAGATGTGAGGATCACTTAAGGCCAGGAATTCAAGACCAGCCTGGGCAACATAGCAAGGCCCCAACTTAAAAAAAAAATACATAAATTAACCAGGCATGGAGGTGTACGCCTGTAGTTCCAGCTATTTAGGAGGCTGAGGTGGGAAGATCCCTCGAGCCCAGGTGCTGGAGGCTACAGTGAGCAATGATCACACCACGGCATTCCAGCCTGAGCCTGGATGATGGAGTGAGATCCTATCTCTAAAATAAAAAAAAATAAAAAAAAACCAAAACAAAACATTGGCTCGGGAAAATATCAAGAGAGAAAGTAGAAACAAATACAAAAACAATATAGCATTGACTCAGGAAAATACTGAGGGAATCCAAGAACAAATTCAGGAAGATTTATTTAAGAACATAATATAGGTTCAAGGTCGCATTGCAACTTCATGGAAAAGGAGGTGTTATTTGCCTTGTCAGTTTGCACTAGAATGAGACAAAACCTGAACCCTACCTTAGACCACATACAAAAATAAATTCCGAAGGAATCAAATATTTCAGGGAGGCAGGATGTGGTGGCTCATGCCTGTAATCCCAGCACTTTGGGAGGCCATGGTGGGTGGATTGCTTGAGCCTAGGGGTTCAAGACCAGCCTGAGAAACATAGTGAATCCCATCTCTACCAAAAATAAAAAATAAAAATAAAAAAGTAAACAGGCATGGAGGTGCTTATCTGTAGTTCCAGATACTCAGGGGGTTGAGAGGGTGGGGTGGAGAGGGTGGGGCAGGGGCTAAGGTGGGAGGATCACTTGAGCCTGGGAGGTCAAGCCTGCAGTGAGTCATGATCATGCCACTGTACTTCCGCCTGGGCCACAGAGTGAGACCCTGTCTCAAAATCAATCAAGCAAGCAAGCAAGCAAGCAATCACAGGGAAAGATGCAAATGAACATCCACACAAAGACCTGTGGAGGGAAGGCAAGATTTCTCCTCTACCCTCTTAGATCTCTGGCGGGGCCTAAGACTTAAACTGACATTTGATCAATTAATAGGAGAAAAGCATAGAAATATATTTAACATAAGTTCTATGGGACATGGGAGCCCTGAAAAGGAAGACCCAAAGAAGCAGTTACAGTCAAACACTTATTTACTGTATTAGACAAACAGTAGAAAATTATGGATGGACATGGTGGCTCATGCCTGTAATCCCAACACTTTTGGGAGGCCAAGGTGGGCGGATCACCTGAGGTTGGGAGTTTGAGACCAGCCTAATCAACATGGAGAAACCCCACCTCTACTAAAAATACAAAAATTAGCCAGGCATGGTGGCACATACCTGTAATTCCAGCTACTTGGGAGGCTGAGGCAGAAGAATCACTTGAACCTAGGAGGCAAAGGTTGCAGTGAGCTGAGGTCGCACCACTGGACTCTAGCCTGGGCAACAGAGCCAGACTTCTCAAAAAAAAAAAAAAAAAAAGTAGTAAATTATAGATGGGCGTGGTGGCTCATACTAGTAATCCCAACACTTTGGGAGGCCAAGGTGGGAGGATTGCTTGGACCCAGGAGTTCAAGAACAGCCTGGACAACACAGGGAGACCCCATCTCTAAAACAACAGAAAATAAAATTAGCTGGGTGGCACGCACCTGTAGTCCCAGGTACTCAGGAGGCTGACGTGGGAGTTTCGCTTGAGCCCAGGAGTTTGAGGCTGCAATCAGCTATGATTGTGCCACTGTACTCCAGCCTAGGCAGCAGAGTAAGGCCCCGTCTCTAAATAAATATATAAATAAATTTTAAAATTATAAATAAATATTATAAATAAAGTTTTAAAAGGGTAGTAAATTATGAAAATGTGACAAGACAAAGGGGTTTGGGCTAGAGCAGTTAATGGTGGAAAAATAACTAGAAAAATAAGGGTTCATTTAACAAGGTTTGTTTGTACATTTTTTCCTCAGCTTTGACTCCCTGTCTTCTGGTGATAAGAATTGTACGCTCTAGGGCTGGGCGCGGTGGCTCAGGCCTGTAATCCCAGCACTTTGGGAGGCAGAAGCGGGTGGATCACTTGAGCTCAGGAGCTGGACACCAGCCTAGGCAACTTAGTGAAACCCTGTGTCTACCAAAAATACAAAAAAATTAGCTGGGCATGGTGGTGGGCGCCTGTGATCCCAGCTATTTTGGGGACAAGGCGAGAGGATCGCTTAAGACTAGGAGGTGGAGGTTGCAGTGAGGTTGCAGGAAGTGGATATCACACCACTTCGCTCCAGCCTGGGCAACAGGATGAGACCCTGTCTAAAAAGAATTTTACTTTCTTCCTGGGATGGGGAGGGCATCTTCCATATGGGGGTTTATCTCGTTTTCCAGAGAAAAGAGGGAGGTCAGAGTGCTTTTCCTGCACCTACTGTTTTTCAAGTGCACTTAGCTGAAACAATCCATATGCCAAAGTGGCATATTTTGGAGTGGTGTCATCTGCCACCCTCAAAATGAAAGAAATGGTTCATAACAGCTCTAATAATTGTTCAACAACCGGCAACAATGCAAAAAACAGGTCACTAACAGGTGAAAAGATAAACAAAGTGTGGGACATTCATATAACAGAATACAACTGAATAATAATCATGCCTATAATCCAAGCACTTTGAAAGGCCAAGGCAGGTGGATTGCTTGAGTCCAGGAGTTCGAGACCAGCCTGGGCAACATGGCAAAACCTTGTCTTTACAAAAAACACAAAAATTAACTGGGCGTGGTGGTGCACAGGTGTAATCCCCGCTACTCGGGAAGCTGAGGTGGGAGGACTGCTGGAGCCTGGGAAGTTGAGGCTACAGTGAACCATGATGGTGCCACTGCACTCCAGTCTGGGTGACAGAGTGAGACCCCATCTCAAAAGAAAACAAAAAAGAAACAAACTGCTGACATATCCAACAACACGAGTGAGTTCCTTTTTTTCTTTTTTTTTTTTTTTGAGACAGAGTCTGGCTCTGTTGCCCAGGCTGGAGTGCAATAGCGTGATCTCGGCTCACTGCAACCTCCGCCTCCTGGTTTCAAGTGATTCTCCTGGCTTGGCCTCCCAAGTAGCTGGGATTACAGGCGCACACCAACACATCCAGCTAATTTTTGTATTTTTAGTAGAAATGGGGTTTCACCATGTTGGCCAGGCTGGTCTTGAACTTCTGACCTCAAGCAATCCACCCGCCTTGGCCTCCCAAAATGCTGGGAACATGAGTGAGTTTCAAACATCTTATGCTGGGGAAAGAAGCCCAGCTCAAAAGGCTACACGTTGTATGATTCAGCTTATATGACTTTCTGAAAAAGACAAAGTTACAGGAACCAAAAACAAATCAGTTAGGGCCAGGGGCTGGAGTAGGGGACAGAGCACAAAAGGGCAAGAGAAAAATTTCTTTTTTTTCTTATTTTTTTTTTTTTAAGACTGAGTCTTGATCTGTCACCCAGGCTGGAGTGCAGTGGCACAATCTTGGCTCACTGCAGCCTCCGCCTCCCGGGTTCAAGTGATTCTCCAGCCTCAGCCTCGCTAGTAGCTGGGACTTCAGGCGTGTGCCACTATGTCTGGCTAATTTTTGTATTTGTAGTGGAGACTACAAGGGGTCTCACCGTGTTGCCCAGGCTGGTCTCAAACTCCTGTCTTCACGTGATTCGCACACCTCGGCCTCCCAAGGTGCTAGGATTACAGGCATGAGCCATCACACTCGGCTACTGGTAAGAGGAAATTTCTTAGGGTGATGGAAATAATTGTCTTGATTATGGTCATGTTTTAATGATATACCTGTATGTCAAAACATGCAATTTCGGCCAGGCATGGTTTAAATATGAGCAGTTCATGTTCAGTCAATTACATCCAACAAAGCTGGGAAGGAGGGAAGTAAGAGAGGGAAGGGATGAAAGGAGAGAAAAAGAGAAAACTAATGTGGCAATCATGAACAAAATGAAAGATATATACATCCTGTGACTCAATGTCTTTGTTTTTTTTTTTTTTTTGAGATGGAGTTTCACTCTTGTTGCCCAGGCTGGAGTGCAGTGGCGCGATCTCGGCTCACTGCAACCTCTGCCTCCCGGGGTTCAAGTGATTCTCCTGCCTCAGCCTCCTGAGTAGCTGGGATTACAGGTGCCTGCCACCATGCCCAGCTAATTTTTGTATTTTTAGTAGAGACAAGGTTTTACCATGTTGGTCAGGCTAGTCTTGAACTCCTGACCTCAGGTTATCCACCCGTCTTGGCCTCCCAAAGTGCTGGGATGGGCCAGGCGCCGTGGCTCACGCCTGTAATCCCAGCACTTTGGGAGGCCAAGGCAGGCAGATCACGAGGTCAGGAGTTCAAGACCAGCCTGGCCAACATGGTGAAACCCCATCTTTACTAAAAATACAAAAATTAGCCAGGCATGTTGGCGCACACCTGTAATCCTAGGTACTCAGGAGGCTGAGGCAGGAGAATTGCTTGAATCCAGGAGGTGGAGGTTATAGTGAGCCGAGATCACGCCACTGCACTCCAGCCTGGGCCACAGAGCAAGACTCTGTCTCAAAAAAAAAAAAAAAAAAGCAAAAACAAAAAAGTGCTGGGATTACAGGTGTGAGCCACCATACCCGGCCATCATTTATTGTTTTTTATTTTATTTTATTTTATTTTTAGAGACAGGATTTCACTATGTTGCCCATGCTAGCCTCAAACTCCTGGGCTCAAGCAGTCCTCCCACCTCGGCCTCCCAAAGTGCTGGGGTTACTGGGGTGAGACACTGTACTCACAAATGTCATTTTTTGAAAACTATGCTTCACTAAAGATCCAGTCTTAAGGATACTGATTCAGGGACATTTACTGCATCATCACAGTGGCAAAACTCAGGAAAGTCCAGGAATTGTCCATCAGTAGGATAACCGTTGATTATACTATGGCAGAGTTGCACTATGAATCATGTAGCTACTAAAAACAAAAGTTAGGTATACGTGTATAGATGGTTAAGTGGAAATAGCAAGTTGCACGGTAACTGTATAGTATGATTCCATCCTGTGTGTATTCTAGTTTGCTCCAGCACTGAAAAAGGGTCTCACAAGAGGGCAGTTCTACTGGTTACACTTGACGGTTACCAGGGTAACACTGCCCCCTAGGGGATATCCTAGAGATCCCTCTACAGACAGCCCCTGACTTGATTATGATAGGTTTATCGGGATGTAACCCCATCGTAAATCAAAGAGCATCTGTATTCGAAATACATTTCATTACAAATTATCTTCCTGAACACTCTAATGCAACAGCTCTTATCAAGGTCCGCAGGGACCAGACCCTTGCCAAACTCAACTGTCAATTCTCTTTCCTCATCTTCTTCAACTCAGGGACACGTGACACAGCTAACCCCTCTCTCTCTCCATCTTGAAATATCTTTTTCAGGCCAGGTGTGGTGGCTCATGCCTGTAATCCCAACAATTTGAGAGGCCGAGGTGGATGGATCACTTGAGGTCAGGAGTTCGAGACCAGCCTGACCAACATGGTGAAACCCCATCTCTACTAAAAATACAAAAATTAGCCAGGCATGGTAGTGCGCACCTGTAATCACAGCTACTTAAGAGGCTGAGGCAGGAGGATCGCTTGAACCCGGGAGGCTAAGGTTGCAGTGAGCCCATATGGCGTCACTGCACTCCAGCCTGGGCGACGGAGCGAAACCCTGTCTCAGAAAAAAACAAAACCAAAAATAAAAACCAATAAAAGTCCTTGGCCGGGCGCGGTGGCTCACGCCTGTAATCCCAGCACTTTGGGAGACCGAGGCGGGTGGATCGCGCCTGTAATCCCAGCACTTTGGGAGGCCGAGGCGGGTGGATCACGAGGTCAGGAGTTCAAGACCAGCCTGGCCAAGATGGTGAGACCCCATCCCTACTCAAAAAAAAAAAAAAAAAAAAAACTACAAAAATTAGCCGGGCGCGGTGACCGGCGCCTGTAATCCCAGCTACTCGGGAGGCTGAGGTAGGAGAATCACTTGAACCTGGGAGGCGGAGGTTGCAGTGGGCCGAAATCGAGCCACTGCACTCCAGCCTGGGCGACAAAGTGAGACTCCGTCTCAAAAAAATAAAATAAAATAAAACAAAAATAAAAAATAAAAATCCTTAACACGGCCCACGAGGCTCCATGGAATCTGGCCCCAGCCTGTCCACTCAACCTCATCTACTACAATCTGGGCACTCAAAATGTGGTCTGCGGATCAGCAGCATGGAAGTCACCTGGGAGCGAGTTAGAACAGCAGCCTCTCAGGCCTCCCTCTTCATCTGCTGGATCAGAACTTGAACTTTTTAGTTTGAGTAGAGCGTCTTCCATGCTTACAAGCTTCCCCTTCACCCTGATTCAGCCATAAGGTTATTTCATATTCCTCACTTGCCGCTCCTGGAAACTGACCAGAAGTACTGGCATCGCGCGTAGGTACAGGCAAATACGCACCGGCTCTTGCGCAGGCGCACTGCGTCTCCGTCGGAGCGCTGCTATTTGAGTACGCGTGCGCTCAGAGGAGCGGCGAAGGAGGCAGGGCCTATTTGCTGGGCTGTCCGGGATGGGGGTGGCCGGGACCTGAAAGTAGGAGAGGGGTTTCCGCTTCCGGCAGGAGTCGGAAGTCACTATCTCCCGGGTGAACGGAGCTTTCGCAGCTGGAGAAGGTGAGTGCTGGTGCGGCTCGTGCGAGTGGGCGTTGGGGGTGGGCAGGACTGGAAGTTCCTCTACTCCGTGCGTTTACGGGGTCCTGGAGGAGGCTCCTGGGACCTCGAGCTTGGGGGAAAGCCGGTCGGGGAGACTGACTCCCCCCGACCCCATCCTTCCAAGCGCGACTACCGGGACGCCTGGCTCCTCCCGGCGGCCGTCGGGAGGCGATGCCGAAGCTTTAGTGAGTCTGGAGGAACAGCCAACCCCCCACCTCTTGGGTACCAGCAGATTCGGGGGATGACTCCTCTGCCATCCCCTTTTGGCGCTCTTGGACTTAACGTTGTCACAGGACAGGCTGAGGCCTCTGCATTCCTTGTGCAAGCCAGACCCCATTCATGGGATGGGGAGACTGTAGTCCCTGGGCAAAATGAGCTTCTGGGGCTCATCCGTAGATTTTGTTTGGACTTTTTTTTTTTTTTTTGAGAGTGAGTCTTGCTGTGTCGCCGAGGCTGGAGTGCAGTGGCGCGATCATAGCTCATTGCAGCCTCGACCTCCTGGGCGCAAGCTTCCCACTTCAGCTTGCCGAGTAGCTGGGACTACAGACTCAAGGCTAATTTTTGTAATTTTGTAGAGATGAAGGGTCTCACTCTGTTTCCCAGGCTGGTCTGGAACTCCTGGCTTCAAGCGATCTTCCCACCTGGGCCTCCCAAAGTGATGAGATTACGGGCGTGACGTCCCAAAGTGATAGAGTTACAAGCAAACTGATTGAGTGATTTATTCAGTAATGGTTATTGCTGGGCACGGTGGCTCATGCTTGTAACGCCAGCACTTTGGGAGGCCGAGGCGGGAGTATCTCTTGAGCCCAGGAGTTCCAGACCAGGCTGGGCAACATGGTGGGTCCCTGTCTCTACAAAAAATACAAAAATTAGCTGGGCGTGGTGCCGCGGCTAATTTATATTTCAGAGGTAGAGGGGCAGGGGGAGGATCGCATAAGGAATGTGTGAGGGAAAAAGACATTGAGGATGAATCCAAGGTTTCTGATTTGATTATCCGGAAAGATGGAATTGCTGTTAGCTGAGATGAGGAAGACTGGAAGAGCAGGTTGCAATGTCAGGGGCTTGGTTTTGGACATGATATGTTTAATCTTAGGTGGAAGTTAGACATCAGGTGGAGGTGTGGCTGAGGCAGATAGATCAGAGTCTGCAGTTCAGACTCAAGGCTGGAGAAGCAGGTGGCCTCAGTGTAGAGTAGGCATGAAGCCCTAAGACTGGGTGAAATCTTCATGTGGTGAGTATAGCCAGAAAGGAGAGGATCCAACAATTAAACTCATGGGCTTTTTGCTCTGTTGCCCAGGCTGGAGTGCCTCGGCTCACTGCAACCTCCGCCTCCCAGGTTCAAGTGATTCTCCTGCCTCAGCCTCCCGAGTAGCTGGGATTACAGGCGTGCACCACCATGCCTGGCTAATTTTTGTATTTTTAGTAGAGATGGGGTTTCACCATGTTGGTCAGGCTGGTCTCGAACTCCTGACCTCGTGATCTGCCCACCTCGGCCTCCCAAAGTGCTGGGATTACAGGCGTGAACCACTGCACTCAGCCTTTTTTTTTTTTTTTTTTAGATGAAGTTTTGCTCTGTTGCCCAGGCTGGAGTGCGGTGGCACAATCTCAGCTCACTGAAACCTCCGACTCCCAGGTTCAAGCGATTCTCCTGCCTCAGCCTCTCTATTAGCTGGGATTACAGGCATGTGCCACCACGCCCAGCTAATTTTTGTATTTTTAGTAGAAATGGGGTTTCACCATGTTGGCCAGGCTGGTCTCCAACTCCTAACCTCAAGTGATCTGCCCACCTTGGCCTCCCAAAGTGCTGGGATTATAAACGTGAGCCACAGCGCCTGGCCCAAACTCACGTGCTCTCTTCATTGGAGCAAGTTGGCAGAGAGGCAGGAGCATAGGAGACTAGCAGGAGCCACCAGTGAGGCAGAGGACAGGGAGCACATGGCATCCTGAGAGCCACATGTGCTCTCAGGGGAGGAAGGACCTCTGGAATGGGAGGACTGCCATTGGGATTTGCAGTATGGAGCCACCAGTAACCTAAGTTTGGAGGCAAGGGGTGCAGAGAGATGGGTGGGAATGCAGATGGCTGTACACTAAAACAGCCTGCAGAGAAAAGGATCATAGCTGGAAGAGGATGAAGAGTTTTTTTTTCCCCCTTTTTAAATGAGGAGAGAGGTAATAACAAGTGTGTGAGAGTGATCCAGTGGAGCTGGAAAATTTGATGTTGCTCAAAGAAAAGGGGATGGGAGCCAGGGCAGAATGAACAAATTGTTTTTGCAGGAACTTACTTCCATAGTAAAGGAGGCATGCCGAAGCTGGGCATGGTGGTGCACACCTGTTGTCCCAGCTACTGAGCAGGCTGAGGCCAGAGGATTGAGGCTTTAGCAAGCTGTGATCATGCCACTGCACTCCAGCCTGGGCAACAGAGCAAGACCTCATCTCTTAGATAAATAAAGAGGGTGGGTGAATGGCTGAATGAGTTGGTCCTAGGAGCTGTCTTTGGATTGCTTCTATTTACTCAGTGAACTGGAAGCATCACAGTTAAGAGTTGGGGGTGTTGGCTGGGCGTGGTGGCTCACGCCTGTAATCCCAGCACTTTGGGAGGCCGAGACAGGCGGATCACGAGGTCAGGAGATCGAGACCATCCTGGCTAACACGGTGAAACCCCATCTCTACTAAAAATACAAAAAATTAGCCACGCGTGGTAGTGCATGCCTGTACTCCCAGCTACTCGGGAGGCTGAGGCAGGAGAATCATTTGAAGCCGGGAGGTGGAGGTTGCAGTGGGTCGAGATCATGCCACTGCACTCCAGCCTGGGCGGCAGAGCAAGACTCCATCTCAAAAAAAAAAGAAAGAGTTGGGGGTATTACATAGGAAGTGATCAGCAGATAATGAATGAAACTCCACTGTTTATTCTGGAAGACACTGGCAGGCTGCTGACCTCCCCGTCACAGTGGAACGATGCTAGAACCAGCAGTCGTGTGTGTGTGTGTTGGAGGAGGCGCCATAGGAGGCTCAGGGATGGCAAACACAGTGCCCTGAGCACCGTGCCTCGCAGGGGAGTTGGGCTCAGTGGTAACTGCTGCCGTTTCCCCACCCACCTGCCTCCTGGACATCTGTTCCTAGATATCCCTCTGCCACCCAACCCCATCATTTTCTCCAAAACCCTGTCCTTCCTATGTGTTAGACATCAGAGAATGATGCCACCTTGTCCCTCTAGCCACTATGTCCCCGCCACAACCTTGGGAGTCATCCTGGACTTTCCTTCTCTCGTCACACTCACTCACTCTGCCGCCATGTCTCCTCTGTCTCTCTCACCCTCTGCCATCTCTACCCCAACAGCCCTGTCCTGGCTGTGACTTTGTCTTCATCCAGATTATGGCTCACACCGCAGTTCCTCAAAAGCACAGGGTGACTTTGTCCTTTCACTCCTTGTAGCTCCCAGGATCCATCCAAACACCCAGAACCCTCCCACCTGTCCCTCCTCTCTCCCTCACCTGCCAGGGGACGGACAGCTGCCCTGAGCCTTCACACAGTGTTCCTCTACTCAGAAGTGCCTGTCCCCACTTCTCTGCCCTGCAGTCTGTCATCTGGATCGAGGCCATCAGATAACCTGAGTGTCACTCCTCCTGGATGGTACTTACATGTCCTTTGCCAAGAGGAGCAGCCAGAATAAAATCACCAGTTCCTAGGCTCTTAGGCTCCACCCGGCCCTGAACAGCTGGCTTGTCTTGGAGTCTCTTGTGCCACCCTCCCCAGGAACAGTGGCTTCCTTGTATTGGCGCCAGCGATGATGGGCCAGCTCTGTGCTAAGTACTTAACTTACCATTCCTGGTGTCAGCCCCACAAGTCTCCTCTGAGATAGCAACCTTATTTCGACTTTTTTTTTTTTTTTTTTTTTGAGACGGAGTCTTGCTCTGTTGCCCAGGCTGGAGTGCAATGGTGCGATCTCGGCTCACTGCAGTCTCCGCCTCTTGGGTTCAGGTGAGTCTCCTGCCTCAGCCTCCTGAGTAGCTGGGGTTACGGGTGCCTGCCACTATGGCCAGCTAATTTTTGTATTTTTAGTAGAGATGGGGTTTCACCGTGTTGGTCAGGCTGGTCTCGAACTCCTGACCTCGTGATCCGCCCGCCTCAGCCTCCCAAAGTCCTGGGATTACAAGTGTGAGCCACCACACCTGGCCTTTTTTTTTTCTTTTTTTTTTTTTATGCAGGGTTTCATCCTGTTGCCTAGGCTGGAGTGCAGTGCCTGGATCATAACTCTGGATCATCACTGAAACCTGAAACTCCTGGGCTCAAGCGATCCTCCCATCTCAGCCTCCCAAGTAGCTGGGACTACAGGCCTGCACCACCATGCCTGGCTAATTTTTAATTTTTTTTTTTTAGAGATGAGGCCTCACTATGTTGCCCAGGCTGGTATCCAGGTCCTGGCATCAAGTAATCCTCTCACCTTAGCTTCCCAAAGTGCTGGCTGGGATCACAGGTGTGAGCCACCATGCCTGGCCTTGTCTCTGTTTTATAGACGAGGAAACTGTGGCACAAAGAGCTTAAATAACCTGCCCAGGTCACGCAGTAAGTGAGAGAGATGGGGTTAGAGCCTCGTCTCACCCCTTCCATCCAGAGTGGGACAGGGAATTGTCCTCCTGCATCAGGACTGAGGGCCTCGTCCCTCAAGGGCAGAGGCCCCGGGACCACGGTGCAAGTCCCAGACCCTCTTTCCGGCCTGCTTTCTAGAGCATTGAGCTGGGGCGCTGCGTGGTTTCCTCAAACCACTGACATCTGCCACTCCCCACAGGCTCATCCACCTGCAGACATGGGGCGCAGAAAGTCAAAACGAAAGCCGCCTCCCAAGAAGAAGATGACAGGCACCCTCGAGACCCAGTTCACCTGCCCCTTCTGCAACCACGAGAAATCCTGTGATGTGAAAATGTGAGTGGGGAACAGGGCAAGGGATCCAGCCTCCCCACTGCCTCTTCCCCGCTGTTCTCCATCCTGCCCCTTGCCTCCCTTGGTGAAGGCGTCATCACCCACAGGCCCAGGACGCATTGCTCACCAGTCCCTTCTCTTGGTCTGTTTCAGGGACCGTGCCCGCAACACCGGAGTCATCTCTTGTACCGTGTGCCTAGAGGAATTCCAGACGCCCATAACGTGTATCCTTGGAAACCTGGGCTTTTTCCAGAGGGTGGGGAGGGGGCTGGAGTCCGGACCCTGCTCATCTGGCCCACTGTGTGCCCTGGTGCAGGGCCAAAGCCGTCCAGAGGAACAGGTGCCACCTAGTGATTTCTGTGGGGTGAGAAGATGCAGGGCAGGGTTCCAATGCCAATGATCGCCCTTGACCTAAGTGGCCCAGATCTGTCAGAACCCGTGGATGTGTACAGTGATTGGATAGACGCCTGCGAGGCGGCCAATCAGTAGCGACACAGAGGACCCGCCCCCTGAGCAGCCCCGCGTACTGTGGATCCAGCTGTTCGGTTCTGGTCCAGAGACATTCCAGGGGTCCAGGGTGTGGGTCCTGGGCTGTCACAGCCGTGTGTGTGTGTGTGTGTGTGTGTGTGTGTGTGTGTGTGTGTGTGTGTGTAGTGGGTGTGCGTGTGGGTGTGGGTGTGAGTGAGTGTGGGTGTGTGTGGCTGCACGTGTCACTGGGGTGGCCGTGAGTGTGTGCTCACAGGTACGCGGTGGTGTCGGGTTCCTGGGCCTGAGGGGCCTGAACTGATCTCACTTGGCTCCGAAAGCCTTTGCTGTGTTCCCTGCAGCCCCTGGCCCCCCAGCCTTGGGGCTCTGGCTCCCCCCGGCGGAATTGGGGGACTGTTTCCTGACATCCTGGACAAGGGAAGCCCACTAGAGGCTGGAACAGGACCTCTCCAGCCTCCTCACCAGCACCGTGCCCATCTCAACTGGACTTCCCGCTCTCCTTCTCCACCTTCTAGTGCCCGTGGCCGGGGATTCAAAGCCGCCGTTCCCCAGGTCCCTGGGCTGGGCCCTGACAGGGAGCCGCCCCCCTCCCCATGGTAACCAGGAAGCCCGTTTCATGTTCAGTTGCTTTTGTAGAGGAAGCAAGGGCTGGGATGGGGACAGCTGTCAATCACAAGCCCTTAAATAAAGCAGCCAGCGCACATCCCTTGCTGTCCGTGATGTCTTGGGTTCTGCGTCTGCCTGGTCACCAGAAGAAGGAGAGGGGACCTGAGGCTCTGACGTTCGGGAGGTGGCCTGGTGGCCCATGTGACCAGCCCTTCAAACCACCCAGCGTTTTATTCAGTCAGTAAGCATTCAGGGTGGTGGAGCAGGCAGACATCTGGCCAGGTGTTTACAGCAGTCACAATAGGAAATGGGGGAGGTGAGACAGAACAGGTGGTCAGAGGAGGCTTCTGGGAGGGGCAGGCTGAGACAGTGACACCGTAGGGCCACCTCTAGCCAGACGCTGACCTCTGGCCTTCCTGCGTCGCCCCAGTGTCCTGACAGCCACTTTGTGGGGCAGGTGCCAAGCTAACCCCAAGTTCAAAGATGAGGAAACAGAGGCTAGAGGTGAAGGAGGTCACTGGCCCAAGACCCTACAGCCAGAAAGTGGCACAGGGGGGATTTGAACCCAGGAAACGAGGCTCCACAGCTTACAGTCTGACTTCTTGTGAGCCCAGAGTCCAGGCTGAGGGAACAGCTTACAGGCCGTTCTGGAGGTAGTGAGTGGAAGAGGGACACGGGAGGGAAACATGAAAGGGGCCTTTATTCAAGGGTGGTGAGGACTCTCAGAAGGCTGGTGTTGGGGCGGGATGTGTGTGGCCGATGGGGAGCACCTGAGGGCTGATGTCCCCTTAGCTGGTCGCACCGGTGACAAGGACCACAACACCCAGCAACCTGGGGCAGTGCCAGACCCTCCACCTGGCCTCATGAGCCCGGGTGGCAGGTGACCTGTGCTTCAGAGTCCTCGTTGCTACAGTGCAGGGGATGAAAGCACCTTCTTCCCGGAGCCATGCTGAGGATGGAAGTGCCAGGCATGGTTTGAGCGGCTCTGGGGCCCACCCAGGGCACTGACGGATGTGAACAGCGGGGGGAGACATTGAGCTGGCCCGGAAGCCCTGGCTGCCAGACTGGGCTGCTGGGTCTGGCCTGTGCACCCCCTCAGGCCCACTCTGCCATGACATGTCTTCCCTGGTTATCCCGCCACCTCCAAGATCCCAGGTAAGGTCTGCTAGCCCTGGCAGGAGCCGGCACACATGCGCAGAGTGGTGGACAGGCACCTAGGTTTAGGGTGATGGCCCTCTGGGATCCAGCAAAAAGGGGGCTCATTCCTCTGGCACCCGAGGCCCTTCCTGCCGCCCGCCCACCCCAGCCTCACAGGCTAAGTGCTAATATGGTGCTGTTTTCCCGAGGAGGCAGGGCCCTGGGCCAGGCCCGGATCCTCCTCAGCATAGCTTCCCCGCGCCGGCCCAGGGGGAGCAGGACTTGCGGTAGCCAGGCCAAAAGCGCCTGGAATCCGGTTTACGAGGCCCCAGGGGCTGCGTGCGTCTGTGCGCGGGTCTTCTGGTGTCTGCCTCCGCAGGTCTCCACGTTCCAGCCTCAACTCCTGCCCTCCCTGGGGAGAAGACAGCTCCGTGCCGCGCTCCTCGCTTCTCTGCCTCCTCTCCTCCTTGGAATCCTGATGGTTGGGGACCTCTCCCTCCTCCCGGGGATAACAGGGTCCCCTCTGAAATGTGAGGAGGTTGAGGCCCTGGACACAGCCTTTTAGAGTCCCGGGTTGGCAGGCTCAGCCTTAAGACGGCTGAGAGCGGGCGGGGCGCACAGAATTAACCGTGCCCTATGGTGCCCTGTGCCAGTCAGTAAAGGGCCATTGCCTTGGCTCAGAAGTGCCCCTCTCCCTGTCCCCTTTCCCCTCCCCACAGTCTGGGGCTAAAGGGTTCACCCTGCCCACAGGGCCCACCAGGACCCCTACTTGTCATCCTTTCTCTATTGATGCCTGGTCTTTACCAGCGATTAAACATGTAGAACATCACCCCATCTGGGGGTGTCATTTCATGACCACAAGAGGCTTACTGTCCCCATTATTTTGATGGGAAAACAGGTCTAGGGAGGGAAAGTGATTGCCCGAGGTCATCCAGGCAGCTGCTCTGTGATTCACATGCCATTTAGCCTGTCCCAGTACTCAGGCTCTTTGTCACCACCATCCACAAGCCTCTGGGAGAGCAGTGTGGGTCGTGTGTGTGTGTGTGTGTGTGTGTGTGTGTGTGTGTGCACGCGCGCGCGCATTGGCTCTCTGGCTGTGCCTTTTTTTTTTTTTTTTTTTTTTGAGATGGAGTCTTGCTCTGTTGCCCAGGCTGGAATGCAGTGGCGCCATCTCAGCTCACTACAGCCTAGATCTCCAGGGCTCAAGTGATTCTCCTACCTCAGCCTCCCAAGTAGCCGGGACTACAGGCATGCGCCACCACACCCTGCTAATTTTTGTATTTTTAGTAGAAACAAGGTTTCACCATGTTGGCCAGTCTGGTCTCGAACTCCTGACCTCAAGTGATCCTCCCATCTCAGCCTCCCAAAGTGCTGGGATTACCGGCATGAGCCACTGTGCCCGGCTGGCTATGCCTTTTTTACATGTCGTAGGGAGTGTGTACTGCCTGTGTGTGCATATCTGTGTGTGAAAGGGGGGAGTGTGTGTGTGTGTGTGGACTTTGCATGTGAGTGTGATGGGGTGCCTGTCCTGTGTCTAGCTGAGTGGCTACAGTGAGGTGTGTGTCTTAGGGTGCGTGTGAGTGTGTATGTACGTCTTAGGGTGCATGTGGGCATGTGTGTCCGTGCAGATGTGTGTGCGGGATATGGCGCATATCTAAAACAGAGCAGCTCTGAGGCCTCAGGAGATTTTACAGCCATTTATTGTGCTCCAGTGAAATAGAAAAAAAAGAAAGTGCTCTCATTACAAACGCCACTGTCACATCCACATAGTATGCCAGTCGCTGCAAACCAAACCGCGTGTGTCCGCTGGGTCTCTGGGCATGCAGTTTGCTCCCACTGCGGGAATGGGGTGGGGGCAGGCCGAGCCTGGGCTCTGGGGGCTTTGCTGGGGGAGCTTCTGGTCCTGGGGGTACCCACTTGTGAGGGAGTGGGGGGACAGCTGGAATAGCGTTGCTCAGTGCGTCCTTTGGGCGCTGTTGGGGACACCCGGCTCTATGTTGGACCCTGTAGCACTACAGAGCGGAGGGTCCCCTTCCCCCCAATGGGCCCCCCGCCAGTCTGCTCTCTCCAAACTCTAACCCTGTAGAGGTTGAGTTCTACAGGGGCTGGAGGATGCCATGCAGGGAGAGGGGGTCGGCTGGGCCTGGCTGGGTCCAGCCAAGAGCAGCAGCAGCCTCCCTTGGGGGGAAAACAGGGAAGGCCTTGTGGCCCTAGGCGGAATTGTAGTAGTTGTGTGCGTGGTGGTTGTGGGCGGGCTCACCCAGCTCTGGGTACTCGGGAGTCAGACAGTACTTGGGGTCGTAGACCTGGCGTGGCAGCCCATACACCGTCATGCCCCGCTGCGAGGCGCCCTTGTTGCTGCCCATCTGCAGGCTGACATTGAGCGTGTCGCAGTGCTCCATGCCCAGCCCCGGCTCGAAGATCTGCCGCTTGGTCCCTGGCGCAGTCATGCCAGCCTGCGAAGGGTGGTGTGGTCAGGCCGTGGGGTGGCCAGGGTCCTGGGCCTTGACGGCGTGTCCCGGGGGCCCCCACTCACCTGGCTGGCTCCTTTGTTGGTGCCCATCTGCAGGCTGATGGTCGCCTGGTCCAGAGGCTGGTCTGTGCCCAGCTTGGGGTCGTAGAGGTGGCGCCGGGTGCCATAGGCCGTCATGCCCTGCTGGCTGGCAAACTTGTTGGTGCCCATCTAGGAAGCCAGAAGGAGAATCACACCAATAATTACAGACCTCATCATGGGCCATGAGGCATAGCTGATGGGAGAGGATGAGGCGCCGCTTTATCATTTTTTTCAATTTTTATTTTATTTTATTTATTTTTTTTTGAGACGGAGTCTTGCTCTGTTGCCCAGGCTGGAGTGCAGTGACATGATCTCAGCTCACTGAAATCTCCATCTTGCACATTCAAGCAATTCTCCTGCCTCAGCCTCCGGAGTAGCTGGGATCACAGGTGGGCATCACCATGCCCGGATAATTTTTTGTATTTTTAGTAGAAATGGGGTTTCACCATGTTGGCCACGCTGGTCTCGAACTCCTGACCTCAGGTGATCCACCCACCTCACCCTCCCAAAGTGCTGGGATTACAGGGGTGAGCCACTGTGCCTGGCCCATTTTTTAGTTTATTTTTATATTTTATTTTGTTCTATTCTATTTTTTTGTTTTATTTTATTTTATTTGAGATAGCATCTCACTCTGTCGCCCAGGTTGGAGTGCAGCGGCACAATCTTGGCCCACTGCAACCTCTGCCTCCTGAGTTCAAGCAATTCTCCTGCCTCAGCCTCCTGAGTAGCTGGGACTACAGGTGTGCCCCACCACACCGGCTAGTTTTTGTATTTTTGGTAGTGACAGGGTTTCACCACGTTGGCCAGGCTGGCCTTGAACTCTTGACTTTAAGTGATCCGCCTGCCTCGGCCTCCCGAAGTGCTAGGATTACTGGCATGAGCCACCATACCCAGCCCATTTTCATTTTTAGAGACAGGGTCTCACTCTGTCGCCCAGGCTGGAGTCCAGTGATGCAATCATTGTAACCTTGAACTCCTGGGCTCAAGTGATTCTCCCACTTCAGCCTCCTAAGTAGCTGGGACCACAGGCAGACACCACTGCATTTGGCTAAACTCTTAAATTTGTTGTAGAGATGGCGGTGGAGGGGGGTTCTATTTTGCCCAGGCTGGTCTGAAACACCTGACCTCAAGCAATCCTCCTGCCTCAGCCTCCCCAAGTGCTGGAATTACAGGTGTGAGCCACTGCACCCCGCCTGAGGCATCCTTTCGAGACTGGAAACTGAGGCCCAGAGTGGGCCTATCACATGACTGACTTCTAGCATTGAAGTTCCAGCCTGCCACGCATCAGCTGGAAGATCTGTGCAAAAGCGAGCCAGCTTCTCCGGGTCTCAGTTTTCTCATCTGCGGAAAGGGTATGTTGATAACAAGCACCTGTCTGCTGGGGTGTTGGCAGAGTGAGTGAGTTTGTGAATGGAAGATGAGCATAAGCACAGTACCCGGCCTATAGTATAGTTAATGCCAAATATCCTGTCCCCAAAAGCCTTCAGACATCAGGGTGCCCTCCTGGCCTCTATGACCTCTGCGCAGTGAGGACAGGGCGGTACCTGCAGCCCAATGATGTTCCGCCCTTCTCTTAGCTTCCCCGGCTCGAATTTCCGCTCCTGCTTCTCTGCGTACTTCACTCCCACGTTCACCTTGTTTCCTTTCGTCTTCGCCTAGGTGGGGCAGGGAAAGCAGGGACTGACAAGGGGGCCTCCAGGCTGCACAGTCCCCTTGGACACTGTTTTTTTGTTGTTGTTGACACAGAGTCTCGCTCTGTTGCCCAGGCTGGAGTGCAGTGGCGTGATCTCAGCTCACTGCAAGCTCCGCCTCCCGGCTTCACACCATTCTCCTGCATCAGTCTCCCTAGTAGCTGGGACTACAAGCGCCTGCCACCATGCCCGGCTAATTTTGTTTTGTAGTTTTAGTAGAGACAGGGTTTCACCATGTTAGCCAGGATGGTCTCAATCTCCTGACCTTGTGATCCACCTGTCTCGGCCTCCCAAAGTGCTGGGATTACAGGCGTGAGCCACCGTGCCCGGCCAACACTGTTTTTTGTTTTTTGTTTTTTTTTTTTTGAGACGGAGTCTTGGCTCTGTCACCCAGGCTGGGCAGTGGCACGATCTCGGCTCACTGCAGACTCCGCCTCCCGGGTTCAAGCGATTCTCCTGCCTCAGCCTCCTGAGTAGCTGGGATTACAGGCATGCGTCACCACGTCCAGCTAATTTTTGTATTTTTAGTAGAGACGGGATTTCACCATGTTGGCCAGACTGGTCTCAAACTCCCGGCCTCAAGCAATCCGCTCACCTTGGCCTCCCAAAGTGCTGGGATTACAGGTGTGAGCGACCGCGCCCGGCCCCCTTGGACGCTGTTGACAGCACCTGCTCCCCGATCCCTGCCCCCCGCTCCGCCACCTTCACTGGGCTCAGGAGCACAAGTGGCCACACCTGCATCCCAGCCCAGGCTGCCCACCACCCCCTGCCCAGCCTGCAACCACACTCACCATGCTGGCCAAAGCCAGGAGGGTGGACTGCACCTGTGTATGGTTGGTGTTCTCAAACAGGTCGTTGGCCTCAAAAATGTCGTGGGGCTTCACCCCATACTTGGTGATGGCCTTGATGAAGTTGCCGATGTTCTCCAGCTAGAGGGGGGCAGGTGGTGGTCACTGGGTGGGGAGGGGAGGTCTGAGGGGCTTGCGGGCAAGGATGGAAGAGATTGTGTCTGGGCTCACCTGGTGCCAATTTTGGGTTGACTCATTGATCTTCTTCACGGAGCCTGGCTGCAGCTTATTGATGAATCTGAGAAGAGTGGGGAAGGGGTAAGAAAGGTGTCCCCCCAGGGTTGGGCACGGTGGCTCACGCCTGTAATCCCAGCACTTTGGGAGGCCAAGGCGGGTGGATCACGAGGTCAGGAGAGCGAGACTATCCTGGCCAACATGGTGAAACCCCATCTCTACTAAAAATACAAAAATTAGCCAGGCGTGGTGGCACATGCCTGTACTCCCAGCTACTCAGGAGGCTGAGGCAATCACTTGAACCCAGGAGGCGGAGGTTGCAGTGAGCTGAGATTGCAGCACTGCATTCCAGCTTGGGGACAGAGCGAGACTCCGTCTCAAAAAAAAAAAAAAAAGAAAGAAAGGTGTCCCCCACTCCCGCTCTCCAGCCCAGCCCAGCAGGAGGAGGGTGACGGGATGACCACAAGGGGCCATGCCATACCCTAGCGTCACTTCTCCCTGCAGTCAGCTCTCAGCTGCAGCCCCTCCAAACCACCCAAGCACACACACAAATGGGACACTGATGCCAAGGAGCTAGACTCAGGTCCCAGTCAGAAAGCCTGCTTATCCAAGGTGTGTCCGAGTCTCTGGGATCTCCGAAGCCTCACTGGCAGGCGTGTCTCAGCATCCTTTTCTCTTGTAGACAGCAGGAAGCCCACAAGGGCCTCTTCTCTGACTCACTCCTTTAATGATCTCGCCTCTTTTTTCTTTTCTTTTCTTTTTTTTTTCTTTTTGATGCAGGGTGTGGCTTTGTCGCCCAGGCTGGAGAGCAGTGGTGCAATCACAGCTCACTGCAGCCTCAACTTCCCAGGCTCCAGCGATCCTCCCACCTCAGCCTTCCGAGTAGCTGGGATCACAGGTGCGCACCACCATGCCTGGCTTTTTTTTTTTTTTTTTTTTTGGTAGAGAGGGGGTTTCACTGTATTTGTATTGCCCAAGCTGGTCTTGAACTCCTGGGCTCAAGCGATCCTCCTGCCTCAGCCTCCCAAAGCGCTGGGATTACAGGCATGAGTGACAGCACCTGGCCTCATTCAGTGTCTTGACTTTAAGTGCCTCCATATGCCAGCAACTCCCTCATCTCCCTGCAGCTTGGGTTTCTTACCATCTCATTCAGCTCTCTCCATGGGTGCCTGGGTGTCTCAAATCAAACTCACCCTGCTCCAGACTCCTGACATGCAGCTTCCCCCTCCAGACTCCCCCCTCCCTCCACCTTCCCTGCCTAGCAGTGCCCCCTTCTAGGTGCTCAGCCAGAGCCCTTGGACTTGCCCCCAACTCCCCCTTTCTCCTTCTCTCAGCCTCATGTCCAGTCCCTCCAAAGTTCTTTGGCTCTGCCTTTTAATGAGTCCAGAAAACCACCCACTGCTCCCCGCCACCTCCACCTGGGTCTCAGCCACCAGAGTCTGTTTCCTGGCCTCTTGTAATGAGCTCCCAACTTCCACTTCATCCCCTACAGACCCACCCTTCTTCATCCAGCAGCCAGAATTTTTTTTTTTTTTTCCGAGATGGAGTCTTGCTCTGTCACTCAGGCTGGAAGGCAGTGGCGGGATCTCGGCTCACTGCAACCTCTGTCTCCTGGGTTCAAGCAATTCTCCTGCCTCAGCCTCCTAAGTAGTTGGGATTACAGGTGCCTGCTACCATGCCCAGCTAAATTTTGTGTATTTTTAGTAGAGACGCGGTTTCACCATGTTGGTCAGGTTGGTTTCGAACTCCTGACCTCAAGTGATATGCCCACCTCAGCCTCCCAAAGTGCTGGGATTACAGGCATGAGCCACTGCCCCTGGCCCAGAATGGCCTTTTTTAAACAGTTCAAGTTACCGTCCAGTTCCAAATCCTCCAGGAGCCTCCCATTGCCTTCAGAATGAAATCCTAAGTCCTCTGCCTAAAATGCCCTCTGTAGAACTGGGCACAGTGGCTCACACCTGTAATCCCAGTGCTTTGGGAAGCCGAGACAGGAGGATGGCTTGAGCCTAGGAGTTTCAGATCAGCCTGGGCAACATGGTGAGACCCGTGTCTCTACAAAAAAAAAAAAAAAAAAAACCCGAAAACTTCACCGGGCGTGGTGATGTGTGCCTGTAGTTCCAGCTACTGAGGAGGCTGGGGCTGAAGAGGCTGGGGTGGGAGGATCAGTTGAGCCTAGGAAGTCGAGGCTGTAGTGAGCTATGATTGCACCGCTGTACTCCAGCCCGGGCACCAGAGCAAGACTCTGTCTCTAAATAAATAAATGAAATAAAATGCCCTCCACCATCTGACTCTCAGTTCACTCTGCGACTTCATCTCCACTTCTGCTCAATCATTTGGTGCTCGTCACGCCAGCCTCCTTCTTGTTTCTTGAACACCCCAAGCACGATCCTACCTCACGCCTTTGCACTGGTGGCCCCCTCTGCTTTGCCTCAGGTCCCCTGAGCCCTCCCTCACTTCATCTAAGGTTCTGTTCAAATGTCACCTCTTCAGAGAGGCCTCCCAGACCACTCTCTAGGAAACTGCAGACTCTCCACCCGCAGACATATACCTGACCCTCCCATCTTCCCTTCCGCTTGAGTTTTCCCCAGGACACTTACGACCACAAATCTGTGATTATTTGATCAATTATATGATTGATCTCCTCAACTGGACTAAAAGTCCTTGAGCTCTGAGTCGAGTCTGTTCTGTTCACTGTTCCCAGTGCCTAGGCCAGAGCCTGGCACACAGCAGGAACTCATAAATGCTTCTTTTGTGAATGAATGAATGAATGAATGAGTGAATGACCGGAGTGCGTGGGTGACTGCACTACACTCTTTTTTTTTTTCTTATACTTTAACTTCTGGGGTACATGTGCACTATGTGCAGGTTTGATACATAGGTATACATGTGCCATTTTGGTTTGCTGCACCCATCAACTCGTCATTTACATTAGGTCTTTTTTTTTTTTTTTTTTTTTGAGACGGAGTCTCGCTCTGTCACCCAAGCTGGAGTGCAGTGGTGGGATCTCGGCTCACTGCAAGCTCCGCCTCCCGGGTTCACGCTATTCTCCTGCCTCAGCCTCCCGAGTAGCTGGGACTACAAGCGCCTGCCACCACGCCCGGCTAATTTTTTGTATTTTTTTTAGTAGAGACAGGGTTTCACCGTGTTAGCCAGGATGGTCTTGATCTCCTGACCTCGTGATCCGCCTGCCTCAGCCTCCCAAAGTGCTGGGATTACAGACGTGAGTCACCGCGCCCGGCCCACTCTTTTATTATTATTATTATTATTATTATTATACTTTAAGTTCTAGGGTACACATGCACAACGTGCAGGTTTGATACATAGGTATACATGTGCCATGTTGGTTTGCTGCACCCATCAACTTGTCGTTTACATTAGTTTTTTTTTTTTTGAGACAGGGTTTCACTGTTGCCCAGGCTGGAGTGCAGTGGCGCGATCATAGCTCACTGCAGCCTTGACCTCCAGGGCTCAAGCGATCCTCCCACCTCAGCCTTCCGAGTAGCTGGGACCACAGGCGCATGCCACCATGCCAAGCTAATTAAAACAAAAATGTTTTGTAGAGATGGAATCTGGCTATGTTGCCCAGGCTGGGACTGCACTGTTTGACGTCTGAGCAGTCCTCTGCCTGAGCTGGGACACCAGCATGCCTACCTCCCCACCTGCCAATTCCTTGTTCCTAGTGGATGGGAATGGAACAAGGTAAACACCCCCCACACCCCTTCTTCCCAGCATCTAGGACTTGATGAAGCTGCACCTTCAAAGTCTTCCCGAGGCCACTCACAGTCACTCTGCCCTGGGTCAGACTCAAATGCAGATCGGGCGCAGGCTGGGTTTAGGGCCCTGCTATGCATTAAGATTGCAGTGGAGCCGGGCGCGGTGGCTCACGCCTATAATCCCAGCACTTTGGGAGGCCGAGGTGGGTGGATCACAAGGTCAGGGGTTCGAGACCAGCCTGACCAACATGGTGAAACCCCGTCTCTACTAAAAATACAAAAATTAGCTGGGCGTGGTGGCGGGCACCTGTAATCCCAGCTACTCAGGAGGCTGAGGCAGGAGAATTGCTTGAACCTGGGAGGCAGAGCTTGCAGTGAGCCAAGATCATGCCACTGCACTCCAGCCTGGGTCACAAAGCAAGATTCCATCTGAAAAAAAAAAAAAAGATTGCAGTGGAACTGGGGCTTGGGAGCTGTTAGGGTTTTCACCTCCCTCAGCAATGAGGTTTTGAGGCGAGGAGAAAACCAGGGCCGGCAGGGTGCAGTGGTTCATGCCTGTAATGCCAGCACTTTGTGAGACTAAGGCGGGTGGATCACTTGAGGTCAGGAGTTCGAGACCAGCCAGGCCAACATGGCAAAATCCCGTCTCTACTAAAAATACAAAAGTTATCCGGGCAAGGTGGTGGGCACCTGTAATCCCAGCTGCTCAGGAGGCTGAGACACAAGAATCACTTGAACCCGGAAAGCAGAGGTTGCAGTGAGCTGAGATCATGTCACTGCACTCCAGCCCGGGTGACAGAGGAAGACTCCATCTCAAAAAAAAGAAGAAGAAGAAGAAGGTCGGGCGAGGTGGCTCATGCCTGTAATCCCAGCAATTTGGGAGGCCGAGGCAGGTGGATCACTTGAGGTCAGGAGTTTGAGACCAGCCCGGTCAACATGGTGAAACACTGTCTCTACTAAAAAAAAAAAAAAAAAATACAAAAATTAGCCAGGCGTGGTGGCATGTGCCTGCAATCCCAGCACTTTGGGAGGCCAAGGCAGGTGGATCACTTGAAGTCAGGAGTTCAAGACCAGCCTAGTCAACATGGTGAAACTCCATCTCTACTGAAAAAAAAAAAAAAAAAACAAAAATTAACCGGGCATGGTGGCACGTGCCTGTAATCCCAGCACTTTGGGAGGCTGAGGTAGGTGGATCAATTGAGGTCAGGAGTTCGTAACCATCCTGGCCAACATGGTGAAACCCCATCTCTACTTTAAAAAAATACAAAAATTAGCCAGGCATGGTGGTGCGTGCCTGTAATCCCAGCTATTGGGGAGGCTGAGGCAGGAGAATCACTTAAACCCTGGAGGCGGAGGTTGCAGTGAGCCGAGATTGTGTCTCTGCACTGCAGCCTGGGCAACAGAACAAGACTGTATCTCAAAAAAACAAAAAGAAAACAGAAAGAAAACCAGGGCCTCCTTTAATTATTGCTGCACATCTCTCCTCACATCACCAAGCCAGCCATGAACAGCTGTTGGCTGCTGCCTTTTAGCTGTGACCGCTCTTTCTGGGGACTCTGGCGGCCACAGATGGGCCTACCCTATATAGCATGGTGGTTAAGATTCTAGAGTCATTTCCCTTGAAACCACGTGGGACTTGGTGCAATGCATTTCACCTGAGCCTCAGTTTTCTGTGCCTGTTAAATGGGCACAATGATTACTGGCCACCCCAAAGGTATCCAATAGAAAGTGTTCAACTCAGTTCCAGGATCATGGTTGTTTTGGGGGTTGAGGGGCTGCATGGAGTTGGGGGATGTTGCAGGGTCTCGGCTTCGAGAGCCTCACTCACTCGCAAAGAATGATGCCATCTTTGAGGCCGTCCATGAAGTTGTTGCCGATGCGACGGCCTGTCACCCCCTCGATCCACTCTCTCAGCTCCTGCTCCCGCTGGTGGTCATACTTCTGGGCCAGCTGGGGCGAGGGGAGGGCAGGGGGCACAGAGAAAGGGGTGAGGATGCATTGGGGGCAGCCTGGGCTCCCTGGGTCCTGTCTGAACTTCCTAGAGCCTGATCTCCCTCGTCCTTCCCAACTAAGGCAATTTTGCCCCAGATCCATAGTTGGGGGATGGGGGCTGGGGCGGGCTGAGAGCCAGGGCTGAGGTGGCACCTGCCCAGGGGGCCATTCCGGGCATTCTGAGGTTTGGCACCAGGGAATGTAGATGAGGGGTGGGGTGTGGGGAGCTGGATCCTCTGAGCTAGAGGGGTGGCACCCGGCACCCTGGTTTTTCGCCCAGGCCAAACTTGGGGCTTCTCTTCCTCTAGCCCTGCCCCCTCTGTGCCCCCTGTTGGAAGAGAGGGCACCTCAGGAAGGGAAGAAGGATGTCTAAGGAGGTGTCCCTGGGTGCTGGCTTGCAGAGGAGTGCTGGTCATACATCTCTGTCTCTCCGTGTCCCCCAGGTCTTCAGCTCCAGGGCTCTGTCTCTGGTTAGTGGTGGGGGCTTGTCTCTGTCTTAGCCCCCACCCCTTGCACGTCTGTATGTCTCTCTCCCTCTTATCCCCCCGACTCCTCTGTCTCTCTCTTCCCCAGCGCTGTCTTTTCTTGGCCCAGTCTTGGGTCCCCATCTCTCTAGGTGGCTAGTCCCTGTCTGGCCAGGGGTAGGGCTCCTGGGTCTTGTATATCTGCCTCTCTAGGTCTTTCTCTGTCTCCAGGTTTCCTGCCTGGGGTGGGGGTGGTGGGGCTCTGTCTCCTCTCCCTGCCCCTCCATCCTTGTCTAGGTCTTATCTCGCTCCTGGCTCGCCCTCCCCCGTCTGTCCCTAGGGTGTCTCAGGCTCCCAGTATCTCTGTCTGCCTCTCCCCCCACCTCCCTGCTTTTCCCTCTCTCCACTGTCCCCCCCCTCCCCCACTCCACTCCCATTTCTCCAGAACCCTCCGCCCAAGCCCAGCCAGGCTCCCAGCCCCTAGGGGACCGGGCTGCCTCTTCTTCTCCCGGGTGAGTGGGGGGAGGTGGGAGGGGCGGCCCCCTCACCTGGCCCTGGCCCTGCCGCCCCCCACGCCACCAGCCCGGCTTTATAAAGCAAACCGGCCCTTATATAGCGTGGCCCGGGCTCCCCGAGGCCGCCTTATAAGGCGCGGCGTCTCTGCGCGGCTCTGCGCGGCTCTGGGGCCGGCGCTGGGGGGGAGGAGGGCGGCGCTGGGATCTGTCTCTCGCCCGAGGACCCGCCCCCCACCAGCCCCCTCCTCCAGCCCCGAGATCCCTCGACCCAGGTTCCAACCCAGTCCCCCACTTCCTCACCATGGGACCCTGGGAAAAGCCACCCTGAGCCTCAGTGTTCCCCTCTGTCAAATGGGGCAGGAACTCCTCCCTCGGCAATACTGTTGGGGCGATTCCAGTGGGCTGGAAACTTAAAGTTCTCCAGCTGGGAGAAGCTGAGCCCATCCTGGTGTATGGGGGGTGAGTCCAGGGTCCGAGCGCTGTACCTGCTTTACCTGGGACCCCAGCTATTTGCCTCTCCTCTCCGAACCTCAGTTTACCCAACCATAGCATGAAGGTGGTGTCCAGGTATCTTCCTAGCTCCACAGTCAGGAGACCCCTGCCGCACTTCTGATGCCCGCTTCCTGCCTTTCACCGTCCCCCTCTGTCTTCAGGATCTCCCACACTTTCACGGCGTCACTTCCCAGGTACCCCAGCACTCAAGCGCTCCCCAATTTCTTTGTCAGGCCGGGGGATATGGAAAAATCAACAAGTCTTCCCCCTATGTTGTTCCCCCCAAGAACACGAAGGGTTAACAGAAGACTGATCAGGTGGGTATCTTTGCAATGGACTGACCCCCTCTGTTTATGTGTGGCTGTGTGCCCCCCCATTCCAGCCCCAACCATAGCTGGGGGCTCCGGGATGTTCAGGGGGAGACAGGCAGCCCCTATCCCATATCACTCCCTTTTCCCCTCTCAGTTTCCAAGTCACATAGGATAGGCAGGAGGGGGTTCAAGGGACCCCAAGCTCAGGGCTCTGGCCTGGCAGGACGTGTGGGCCAGGCCAGGGAGGCCCTCCAGCCCTACCTTGTTCTTAACCTCGGCTGACAGCCCGTAGGCAGGGCCTCGGTTGAAGTGAGCAGAGGACATGCTGGCCGGTGGGCTCTGGCGGGGGCAGTGGCGGCACTGACGCTGAGAACAGAGGCAGCGGCTGAAGTTCCGTCTGCACACTCTTCCCTCCTCACATGTTTTTGAAGCTCCGGAGGCGACCCGGGTCTCTTCCAGGGCCGTTCCATTGGCTGTAGGGGCCTGCCAAGGGGCGGGGCACCTCCCCCCACAACCTCAGCTGCCTTCCCCTCCCCTTGTGATGTCAGGCCCTTGGTATTGGGAGCTGATTGTGTCATTGTTTCCACCTAGGGGGGCAGCCTGCGTTATTCTGGGGGGGCTTGGTCAGACAGAGACCAGCCTTCTTCCACCCACCCCTCCCACTGTCCATTGGGCCTCTGGCTGGGTCTGAGTCTCTTTGTCTCTGAGGTCATCTCTCTTTATCTCTCTGGAGTCTTGAAGCAGGACTGACACCCAAGGTAGTTTAGTGAGCACCATCCCGGGTTTATCTCCAGATACCAACAGTCTATAGCCTTAGGTAAGCCCCTTCTCCTCTCTGGGCCTCTATGGCCACATCTGTAAAATGGGCTAACGATAGTGCCTGCCTCATGGGAGAGTTGTAAAGATCAGAAGAATATGCCTGTTACATGCCCAGCACAGTGCCCGGCACAGCAGAGGGACTCGGGCCATAGCAGTCTTTTTAAGGCAAGGTTTCACTCTGTCCCCTCGGCTGGAGTGCAGTGGCACAATCACAGCTCACTGCAGCCTTGACCTCCCAGGCTCAAGTGATCCTCCCATCTCAGCCCATCCAAGTAGTTAGAATTGCAGACTTGTGCCACCAACCTGGCTAATTTTATTTTATTTTTTTAGAGATGGGGTCTCGCTATGTTGCCCGGGGTCTCGCTATGTTGCCCAGGCTGGTCTCAAATTTCTGGGCTCAAGCAATCTGCCCGCCTTGGCCTCCCAAAACGCTGGGATTTACAGGCATGAGTCACCATGCCCAGCCTATAGCATTCTTTATGCTGAGGGTCCAGCACCCCAGTTCTGTCTCCTCCAGCCCCTCATAAGGACCTGGGGGAGAAGAGATCCTGGGTCTCACCCTCCCCATCCACTTGTGTGTCACCTGAACTACAGGGTGACTTTGTTGGCAAGTCCCAGGCCGTGAACTGTGTCCCTGTCAAACAGCCCTACCCAGCCAGATCTCACCCCTGGACCACAGGGGTGGATGCTATGCCCACATCATGCCCCACATGGCAAGGCCATGTTTGTGACACTTGGATGACATGTCTGCAACCTGCCACACACTAATGATATGTTGAGGATATGCAGTTTATCGGTCACATGCTAATGGCATGGCTGCAATATGCCACAGACTACAGCCCTTATGTCAGGCCATGTTCCAACTCTGTACATATATCCATTCAATTCTCATGACGCCCTCAGAGATGGACACTGTTATTATTATTATTATTATTATTATTATTATTATTTGGAGACAGAGTCTCTATTCCCCAGGCTGGAGTGCAGTGATGCTATCTCGGCTCACTGCAACCTCCACCTCCTGGGTTCAAGCGATTCTCCTGCCTCAGCCTCCCAAGTAGCTGGGATGACAGGTGTCTGCCACCACGACTGGCTATTTTTTGTATTTTTAGTAGAGACGGGGTTTTGCCATGTTAGCCAGGCTGGTCTCGAACTCCTGACCTCAGTTGATCTGCCCACCTCGGCCTTGCAAAGTGCTGGGATTACAGGCGTGAGCCACCGTGCCCAGCTGACACTGTTATTATTAATACAAGTACTTTGCTTTACAGGTGGGGAAACTGAGGCACGGGGGCTTGGAATCACTTTTTCAGCGTCACACAGCAGGCCAGGGGCAGAGGAGAATTTGAGACCATGCTCCATGAACCTCAACTATGAGGCTAAGGTGGGGTTTCTCAACCTCCACACTGTTGACAGCTGAGGCTGGATAATTCTTCATGGTTGGGGGGCTGCCTTGGGCATTCATTGTAAGACTTCAAGCAGCATGCCTGGCCTCTACCTGCTACATGCCAGTAGCACTCTCTTAGTCCTAATAAACAGAAATGTTGAGGCACTGCGGCAGGACCCTGTAGTCCCAGCTACTAAGGAGGCTGAGGTGGGAGGATCCCTTGAGCCCAGGAGTTTGAGAACCATCTGGCCAAGATAGCAAGACCATGGTCTCTAAAAAAGAAAAATTAAAAGAAGAAATGTCTACACACATTGCCAATGTCCCATGATTGGGGTCGGGGTGGAAGCAGATCACCCCTGTTTGCCAACCACTGAGCTAAGGCAATGTGCTAGTTGATGGCATGTCATGATATGTTGAACATACACGAAAATACATAAAATACGAGGCCAAGGCGGGAGGATCGCTTGAGCCCTGGAGTTCGAGACCCGAGACCAGCTTAGGCAACATAGCGAGACCCCGTCTCTATTTAAAAAAAAAAAAAAGAAAAAATAGAAAGTACATAAAATGAGCTAACAATTAGCACCTGCTACGTACTAAGAGCTTTGAGCCTGTTAACTCATTCCTCACGACAGCCTTATGAGGTGGGTCTATACGAGGCACAGAGAGGTGACGCCGAATGGCCGGGTCACACAGCTCGAGGGTGGCAGGGGCGGGATTCGAACGCGCAGATTCCTGGATCCCTCCCAAACTGAGCGGCCCTCGGGGGCCGCAGTTCGCTACTGCGCATGTGAGGACCTGCAGCCGGCGCCCCCTGGCGGCCCGGGAGGGGCGGGGGCGGGACCTGGCGAGGTCCAGGCGGCGGTGACGTCACGCGATGACTCACTCGGCCCCGCCCCCCGGCCCGCGGCCTCTTGGCCATTTATAGAATCTGCACGGACTCTGAAGTCACGGCCCAGGCACGACGGGGGCGGGGTGGGGGAGCTCTTGGCGTGCCCCCCAACGGGGCAGCCCCGGGTACCCCCAGGGGGCAGCCCTTTCGGGGACTGCCTTGTCCCTCTGATTGTAGTAGGTCTGTGTCTCTGTATCTCCGTCTCTGGGTCGCTGAGCCTTTTTCTGTCTCTGCCTTTGTCTCTGTGTCTCTGTTTCTGTGCCTGGTCTTTGAGTCATTCTGTTTCTCTTCATGTCGCTGTCGCTGTATTGTCCGTCTCTCTTCGCGTCTCTGTCTGGTAGATGGGGGTAGAGGCATTAGAGGGGGCTGATCCCATATCGAGGCCCCAATCCCAGTAGACACCCGAGTGTCATCCCTTATTCGCTCCTTTCTGGCATTTTCCAGGCTCTAGCCCCTCTGTGCCTCAGTTTACCATCTAAATGAGAAGTGTAGGATCTTGTAAGAGGCACGGTTTCCCGAAGGGTCTAGGACAGTCATTGTAGGAAAGCCATGCCTCTCCTCAACTTCAGGGGACCCCCTAAAACCTTCCTGATGCTCAGAACCATTTAAAACTCACACTTGGCCGGGCGTGGTTTCTCACGCCTGTAATCCCAGCACTTTGAGAGGCCAAGGCGGGTGGATCACCTGAGGTCAGTAGTTCAAGACCAGCCTGACCAACATGGTGAAACCCCGTGTCTACTAAAAATACAAAATTAGCCGGGCATGGTGGTACATGCCTGTAATCCCAGCTACTCGGGAGGCTGAGGCAGGAGAATTGCTTGAACCCGGCATGTCAGGCAGAGGTTGCAGTGAGCCAAGATCACACCACTGCACTCCAGCCTGGGCCACGGGAGTGAGACTCTGACTCAAAAAATGTAAAAATAAAAATAAAACCCACACTCACACGTGTTTGTCTGTGTGTTTTGGGGAAAGTCAAAGCCCTGCTCTGCACCGGCCTATCTTGGCATCCTGCTCTGCAAGCTCCCTCCTCACGAAGCTTTCCTATCCAGAAATCTGGCAGAGGCTCTTGTTCCTAAAGGCTTCTGTTATGGGAACACTCACTCCATGCCAGCCACAATCTCTTTTAATCCTCACCATCACCTTCTGAGGGTAGAAACTCATAGGTCCATTTTATAGATGGGAAACTCAAGGTTCAGAGAAGCCAAGCCACCCTCCCAGGTAACACTGTTTGTACCTTTTCTTCCAAGTCCCTCCAGATGTGCTGTTTCTTCTTCTTCTTCTCCCTCTTCTTCTTCTTCTTCTTTCTTCTTTCTTCTTTCTTCTCCTTCTCCTTCTCCTTCTTTCTTCTTTCTTCTTTCTTTTCTTCCTCTTCCTCTTCCGCTGCTGCTGCTGCTCCTTCTCCTTCTCCTTCTTCTTCCTCTTCTTCTTCCTCTTCCTCTTTTTCTTCTTGTTCTCCTTCTTCTTCCTCTTCTTCTGCTGCTGCTTCTCCTCCTCCTCCTTCTTCTTCTTTCTTCTTTCTTCCTTCTCCTCCTCCTTCTCCTTCTTCCCCTTCTCCCTTCTCTCTTCTCCCTTCTCCTTATTTCTTCTTCTTCTTCTCCTTTTTTTTTTTTTTTTGAGTCAGAGTATCGCTCTGTCGCTCAGGTTGGAGTGGCATGATCTCGGTTCACTGCAACCTCCACCTCCTGGTTTCAAGCAATTCTGGAGCCTCAGCCTCCCAAGTAGCTGGGATTACAGGCACCCGCTACCACGCTGGGCTACAGATGTGTTTCTTGAGTCCCCAAACATGTTCCCACCTCAGGGTCTTTACAATAGCAGTTCCTGCCACCTGGAACACATTTCTGCAAGATGCCTGCATGGCCTCTCCCCAACTTCATTCAGTCTCTGCTCTAATATCACCTCTCAGAGAGGCCTTCCCTGACCACCTGCTGTAAAATAATAGCATCTCTCACCCCCAGACTGACTGTGAGTGGGTGGACAGGGAGGGAGCTGTTCACTTATAGTCTGGGTGCAGTGGCTCGTGTCTGTAATTCCAGCACTTTGGGAGGCCAAGATGGGCAGATTGTTTGAGGCCAGCAGTTCAAGACCAGCCTGGGAGACATGGCAGGGCCCTGCCTCTACAAAAAAAAAAAAAAGAGAGAGAGCTTTTTAAAAAAGTGCATTTTGGGAGGGCAAGGCAGGAGGATTGCTTGAGCCCAGGAGTTGGAGGCTACAGTGAGCTATGATCATGACACTGCTTATTTTTTTTTTTTTTTTTTTTTTTACAGAATCTCACTCTGTCACCCAGGCCGGAGTACAGTGGCATGATCTCAGCTCACTGCAACTTCCACCTCCCAGGTTCAAGCAATTATCCTGCCTCAGCCTCCTGAGTAGCTGGGATTACAGGTGCCCACCACCATACCGGGCTAATTTTTGTATTTTTAGTAGAGATGGGGTTTCACCATGTTGGCCAGACTGGTCTCGAACTACTGACCTCAGGTAATCTGCTTGCCTTGGCCTCCCAAAGTGCTGGGATTACAGGCATGAGCCACTGTGTCCAGCCATGCCATTGCATTTTAGTTTGGGTGAAAAATAAATAAATAAGAAAAGAAAAGAATGCTTGACGGCCGGGTGTGGTGGCTCACGCCTGTAATCCCAGCACTTTGGGAGGCCAAGGCAGGCGGATCACGAGGTCAGGAGATCGAGACCATCCTGGCCAACATGGTGAAACCCTGTCTCTACTAAAAATACAAAAAATTAGCCGGGCGTGGTGGCGGGCGCCTGTAGTCCCAGCTACTTGGGAGGCTGAGGCAGGAGAATGGCGTCAAGCTGTGGGGCAGAGCTTGCAGTGAGCTGAGATCGTGCCACTGCATTCCAGCCTGGGCGACAGAGCGAGACTCTGTCTCAAAAAAATAAATAAATAAATAAATAAATAAATAAATAAATAAAAGAATGCTTGACAACATGTAACGCAGAGGAGGCTGTGGGAACATTGTTGATGAGTGTGGGCAATTTGTTGATAGTTTCCCAAATGACAAATGTCCTTACCTTCTGAACAAGTATATCCTCTATTTTAGAATATTCCTCAGAAGTACAAGTGTAGGTGTGAAGAATGACATATGTACAGGAACATTTATTGCAGTGGCCTTGTCATAATAAATCACTATAAATCCCATCAACCTGGGACAAGGGAGATAGACAAAGTTGAAGTTAAAACATATAGCATGTTGTTTCAACTAAATGAAGACACTGTAGCGCTGTGGTTAAGAGTGGGGACTCCAGCTGGGTGCAGTGACTCACGCCTGTAATCCCAACACTTTGGGAGGCTGAGGCGGGTGAATCACCTGAGGTCAGGAGTTCAAGACCACCCTGGCCAACATGGTAAAACCCCATCTCTACAAAAACTACAAAAATTAGCTGGGCGTAATGGTGGGAGCCTATAATCCCAGCTACATGGGAGGCTGAGGCAGGGGGTTTCACCATGTTGGTCAGGCTGGTCTTGAACTCCTGACCTTGTGATCTGTCTGCCTCGGCCTCCCAAAGTGCTGGGATTACAGGTGTGAGCCACCGCATCCGGCCCATTGCGTTTCTTTCTTTCTGTCTGTCTGTCTGTCTGTCTGTCTGTCTGTCTATCTATCTATCTATCTATCTATCTATCTATCTATCTTAGAGATGAGGTCTCACTATGATGCCCAGGCTGGACTTGAACTCCTGGGTTCAAGTGATCCTCCTGCCTCAGCCTCCTAAATAGCTAGAACTACAGTGCCACTGTGCCTGGCCCTCATTGCATTTAATTGTCATATCTCCATACATTCCTACAGTCTATAATAGTCCCTGGGTCTTTCAGGACCTTGACACTTTTGAAGAGTGCTGGTCAGTTATTTTGTAGACTGTCTTCGAGTTTGGTTTGTCTTGAATAAACTGAGGTGTTTGCATTACCAGGAAGAATACCAGAGAGGTGATGATGTATCCTTCTAAGTGTGTCATACCAAGGGCTTCATGATATCACCATGACTCATTGCTGGTGATATAAATGTTGGTCCCTTGGTTAAGGTGGTGTCTGCTAGGATCTTTCACTGTGAAGCTACTACTTTTTATAGGGTTCTTTCTGGGACTGTAATGTTAAAGATTCTGCACCAGGGCCTCACATATGGTGTTCTGTGTTAATACATACAGTACATAAAATATGTACATTCTTGGTTTTTTTGTTGTTGTTTGTCTGTTTGTTTTTTTGAGATGGAGTCTTGCTCTGTCGCCCAGGCTGGAGTGCAGTGGTGCAGTCTCGGCTCACTGCAAGCTCCGCCTCCCGGGTTCACACCATTCTCCTGCCTCAGCCTCCCGAGTAGCTGGGACTACAGGCGCCCACCACCACGCCTGGCTAATTTTTTGTATTTTTTTTAGTAGAGACTGGATTTCACCTTGTTAGGCTGGATGGTCTTGATCTCCTGACCTCGTGATCCACCCGCCTCGGCTTCCCAAAGTGGTGGGATTACAGGCGTGAGCCACCGCGCACGGCCTGTACCTACTTGTTTTTAAAAGACTACTGGCCTGGTGTGGTGGCACATGCCTATAATCCCAGCACTTTAGGAGGCCAAGATGGGTGGATCGCAGTACCCCAGGAGTTTGAGACAAGCCTTGGTAACATATTAAGATCCCATCTCTATTTTAAAATAATAATAATAGGCCGGGCATGGTGGCTCATGCCTGTAATCCCAGCATTTTGGGAGGCCGAGGCTGGCAGATCACGGGGTCAGGAGATCAGACCATCCTGGAGAACACAGTGAAACCCCGTCTCTACTAAAAATACAAAAAAATTAGCTGGGCATGGTGGCGGGCGCCTGCAGTCCCAGCAACTGGGGAGGCTGAGGCAGGAGAATGGCGTGAGCCCAGGAGGCGGAGTTTGCAGTGAGCCGAGATCGTGCCACTGCACTCCAGCCTGGGCGACAGAGCAAGACTCTGTCTCAAAAAATAAATAAATAAATAAATAATAATAATGACTGGGCACGGTGGCTAATGCCTGTAATTCTGACACTTTGGGAGGCTGAAGCGGGAGGACTGCTTGAGCCCAGGAGTTGGAGACCAGCCTAGGCAACATGGTGAAACTCCATCTCTACTAAAAATACAAAAATTAGCCGGGTATGGTGGCATGCGCCTGTAGTCCCAGCTACTCGGGAGGCTGAGGCAGGAGAATTGCTTGAATGTGGGAAGCGGAGGTTGCAATTAGCTGAGATTGCACCACTGCACTGCAACCTGGGCGACAGAGCCAGACTCCGTCTCCAAAAATAAAATAAAATAAAATAAAATAAAATATTAAAAGACTAGTTCTGGAAGGATAAATAAGAAAACAAAAGCCATGACCACCTCAAGAGAAGGACACCAATAACTCTGAAGGCCACAGCCAGGTCAGCGACCCCATCATCTTACCCACTCCCCAGCTAAGCAGAGCTGACTCTGCTTGCTTGTAGCTGCGGGAGCCTGGCAGAGGGCAGTAGCGCTCCCAGCCGCTGCCCACGTGCCTGTCAACTTGCCAGAGAGGAGTGCTCCAGCCAAGCAGCTGATTGGCTACAGGTTTTCTCAGATTGCCCAATCACAAGAGTTCTGATGAGGTGGATGTCCTGCGGCTGCGCAGAGTCCTTGAGGCATCCTAAGGGTAGGTTCTTGCATCCTAGTCTCCATGCCAGCTCACTGCGCCACAGAGGCTGAGGGACTGCAGAAATGGGCTTATGAGGGCAGATAGCCTTCCTTCCCGGGGGACACTGTTATTGCCAATAGCCCATTTTATGTGCTTATCCACCTTAGTTATTAACAGCCTAAATCTGGTGCTTTCTGGGGGAGACCAGGAGCCCCCATTACTCAATCTCACCTCGTTTTATCCCATTTCCTCCAAAGACTCCACTCCGACCACACAGAGTCTTTGCTGTTGTTCCCAGTGCCAAAAGCGTTCCCCAGATATCCAGATGGCTCACTCACTTCCTCCGGCCTTTACTCAAAGGACACCTCACTGAGGCCTTCCTATTTATTTATTTACTGAGACGGAGTCTCACTCTGTCGCCCAGGCTGGAGTGCAGTGGTGCTATATCGGCTCGCTGCAACCTCCACCTCCTGGGTTCAAGCAATTCTCGTGCCTCAGCCTCCCGAGTAGCTGGGATCACAGGAGCACGCCACCACGCCCCACTAATTTTTATTTATTTATTTATTTTTTGAGACAGAGTCTCGCTCTGTTGCTGAGGCTGGAGTGCAGTGGTGTTATCCTGGCTCACTGCAACCTCCGTCTCCCGGGTTCAAGCGATTCTCCTGCCTCAACCTCCCGAGAAGCTGGGATTACAGGCACCCACCACCATGCCCTGCTAACTTTGTATTTTTAGTAGAGACGGGGTTTCATCATGTTGGCCAGGCTGGTCTCGAACTCCTGACCTCAGGTGATCCGCAGGCCTCGGCCTCCCAAAGTGTTGGGATTACAGGCGTGAGCCACCGCGCCCTGCCCTATTTATTTATTATTACTATTTTTAGAAACAGGGTCTCACTCTGTTGCCCAGGCTGGAGTGCAGGGGTGCAATCATGGCTCGCTGTAGCCTCGACCTCCAGGGCTCAAGCGATCCTCCCGTTTCAGCCTCCCGAATAGCTGGGACTATGAGCATGCGCCATCATGCCCAGTTAATTTTTAAATTTTTTGTAGATAAGGGGGTCTCGCTATGTTGCCCAGGCTGGTCTCGAACTTCTGGCCTCCCAAAGTGCTGGGATTACAGGCATGAGCCACCGTACCGGCCCCCTTTCACTTTTTGTTTTTTTTTAATTCATTTTCTCATTTCAGCCGCTGGGGCCTGCGACTGGATTCATAGACTATGACTCCCAAGTCCAGCCTCCCGGGCCATTTCAAGGTTCCCAGGTCTGGAGTGCGTCTTGCCTCATTAGAGGCTGGGCCTGGCTCGTTATGAGGCGGGTCCCAGATCCTTCCGCCTTCCTATTGGCCCACCTCGCGTTGTGGGCGGGACCTATTACACCAGCTTTCTTGATTTGCTACCTCCCTGGAGCTCCCTGACCCGGACGCTCTCTGGGCCAATATGGCAGCGCCCAGCAACAAGACAGAGCTGGCCTGGAGTCCGCGGCTGGCCGCGTGAGTAGGTAGGTCGCGCGCGGGTAGGCGAACGCGAACTGCTGGGCTGCAGGCGGGCCCTTCAGGACCCGGCAGCGCGAGAGGGCAGCCCTGGAGGGACCCAGCTGCAGGGCCAGGGCGCCATGACCTTTCGTAGTGGGGGCGGGGACGCGCTGGGAAAGGCCGCCTGTCTTGTGCCAGCCGCCTCACGCCCCCAGTCTCCCATTTTGCAGATGACCTCGCGAGAGGTCACGCCGCAAGTCGGCAACCGGGCAGGATTTGGAATCCGCGTCTGCCTTTTTCCCCCAAGAGACCCAGAATCCTGGCAGCCGGTTTCAAAGCTGTTGTACGTACACCATACCTCGGGGTTCAGATTTATAGGTGTTTTTTTGAAATTGAGGCTTGTTTCCGTTCAGTTGTTACTCGTTAGGCATCTGTCATATACCAGGCACTGTCCTTGGTGCTGGAGACACAGCAATGAGGAAGATAGATAAAAATCTCTCATCTCCTGGGGGAACCAGACTTTGAACAAATTAGAAATAAACGAAACAGGTGATTTCAGATACTGATAAGTTACTAAAAATGCGTTAATGGTGTCGGGAATTTCGCTTGAGCCCAGGAGTTTCGAGACCAGCCTTGGCAACATAGCAAGACCCTGTTCTCTACAAAAAATTATCTGGGCGTAGTGGTGCACGCCTGTAGTCCTAGCTACTCGGGAAGCTGAGGTGGGAGGATTGCTTGAGCCCAGGAGGTTGAGGCTGTAGTGAGCCGTGATTGTGCCACTGCACCCCAGCCTGGGCAACAGAGCAGGACCCTGTCTCCGAAACAAAAATTAATAGGGTGATGAGGGCTTTTAGAATGTGGGGAATGGGAGATGGTCAAAGAAGACCTTTCATTGAAATGACCAGAGACAGCTGTGGGCAGATCTGGAGGAAGAAAGCTCTAGACAGAGAGAAAAGCAAGTACAAAGGTTCTGAGATGGGATAAACTTAGTTTCTTTCAGAAACAGTGTAGCTGAAGCTGCCAGTGGTAGGAGTTGAGTTTAGAGGGGTAGACCCTATCTGATTTTATTTATTTATTTTTATTTTTTAGAGACAGGATCTCACTTGTTCGTCAAGCCTGGAGTGCAGTGGTGCAGTGCACTCCATAGCTCACTGCAGCCTCAAACTCCATGGCTCAAGTGATTCTCCTGCCTCAGCTTTCCCAGTAGCTGGAACTACAGGTGCACACCACCAGGTCCAGCTAATTTTTTAAAATAATTTTTGTAAAGATCGTGTCCTGCTATGTTGTCCAGGCTGGTCTTGAACTCCTGGGCTCAAGCGATCCTCCCCACTTGGACTTCCAAAGCACTAGGATTATAGGCATGAGCCACTGCTCCCTGGCTATTTATTTATTTTTAGAGACAGGATCTCAGTATGTTGCCCAGGCTAGAGTGCAGTGGCTATTCACAAGTGCAGTCATGGTTCACTGCAACCTCTAACTACTGACCTTAAAGGATCCTCCAGCCTCAGTCTCCTGAGTACCTGAGATGACAGGCATTCACCACCATGCCTGGATAATTCTTAATTTTTTTGTAGAGATGGGGTCTCTCTATGTTGCCCAGGCTGGTCTTGAATCCCTGGGCTCAAGTGATCCTCCTACCTTGGTCTCCCAAAGTGTTGGGATTACAGGCATGAGCCAGTGTGCCCAGTCTCTGATTTTAAGTGTGATATGCCGTTAGCGATTTTAGGCAGAAATCACTAATTTTAGTTGATTTATTTATTTATTTAGCGATGGAATCTCGCTCTGTCGCCCAGACTGGGGTGCAGTGGCACAATCTTGGCTCATTGCAACCTCCACCTCCCAGGTTCAAGTGATTCTCCTGCCTCAGGCTCCCGAATAGCTGGGATTACAGGTGCCTGCCACCACACCTGGCTAATTTTTGTATTTTTAGTACAGACGGGCTTTCACCATCTCGGCCAGGCTGGTCTTGAACTGACCTTGTGATCCACCTGCTTCAGCCTCCCAAAGTGCTGGGATTACAGGCGTGAGCCACAGCGCCTGGCCTAATTTTAGTTTAAAAGCTCCCTCTGGCTGGGTGTGGTGGCTCACACCTGTAATCCTAGCACTTTGGGAGGCCAAGATGGGTGGATTGCTTGAACTCAGGAGTTCGAGACCACCCTGAGCAACATGATGAAACCCCATCTCTACTAAAATACAAAAAATTAGCTGGGTGTGGTGGCACACACCTGTAGTCCCAGCTACTCGGGAGGCTGAGGCATGAGAACCAACTTGAACTGGGGAGGCGGAGGTTGCAGTGAGCCGAGATGCGCCATTGCACTCCAGCCTGGGGAACAGAGTGAGACTCTGTCTCCAAAAAAAAAAAAAAAAAGCTCCCTCTGGCCATAGTGGGGAGAACTGACTGGAGGCAGGAAGGGCAAAAGTGGGAGGCTTGATAGGTATCCAAGTCATAGATTGAGGTGGTGGCTTCAGATAGAAAGAGATGCATTTGGGATGGATTTGGAAGTAGTCACCTAGACTAGTTGATGGATTGAATAGGAGAGTGAGGGACATAGTGGACTCAGAAATGTCTCCTAGGTTTGTAGCCTGAATGGCCAGTAGTAGTGGTGCGATTGGATAGGATGGAGAGGATCAAGTTTAAGCAAGGATATCAGTTTGGAGCAAATTATGTTTGAGATGGCTGGGTATATGCCAAAGTGGCAGTTAGGTATAAAGGCTGGGGCCCAGGGATTGAGGTGAACATTGGGGAGCCATCAGCACACAGATCACCACTTCTCAAACTTTAATGCTCACAGGAGATACCAGGGACTCGCTAAAATGCAGATTTGGGCCTGGCGCAGTGGCTCATGCCTGTAATCCCAGCACTTTGGGAGGCCAAGGCAGGTGGATCACAAGGTCAGGAGTTCAAGACCAGTCTGGACAAGATGGTGAAACCCTGTCTGTACTAAGAACGCAAAAATTAGCCAGGCATGGTGGCATGTGCCTGTAATCCCAGCTACTCGGGAGGCTGAGGCAGGATAATTGCTTGAACCCAGGATACGGAGGTTGCAGTGAGCCAAGATTGCACCACTGCACTCCAGCCTGGGCGACAGAGCAAGACTCCGCCTGGGAAAAAAAAAAATGCAGATTCCAGTTCAGTAGGTCTGGGATAGGGCCGAGATTTTGCTTTTTTTTTGAGATGGAGTTTCGCTCTTGTTGCCCAGGCTGGAGTGCAATGGTGTGCTCTTGGCTCACTACAAGCTCTGCCTCCCAGGTTCAAGCAATTCTCCTGCCTCAGCCTCCCAAGTAGCTGGAATTACAAGCATACACCACACCCGGCTAATTTTGTATTTTTTTTTTTTTTTTTTTGTTAGTAGAGACAGGGTTTCTCCATGTTGGTCAGGCTGGTCTCGAACTCCCGACCTCAGGTGATCAGCTGGCCTGGACCTCCCAACGTGCTGGGATTACACACGTGAGTCACCATGCCCGGCCAAATTTTGCTATTCTAATAAACTTCCAAATGTTGCTGACACTGCCAGTCCCTAGAACACACTTTAAGTAGCTGTAGTTTTTTTGTTTTTGTTTTTGTTTTTTTGTTTTGAGTCAGGGTCTTGCTGTGTTGCTCAGGCTGGAGTGTGTGGCATGAACTTGGTTTACTGTAGCTTGGACCTCCCAGGCTCATGTGATCCTCCCACCTCAGCCTCCCAAGGAATGAGAACACAGACAGGTGTATACTACCATGCCTGGTTAATTTTTAAATTTTTTTATAGAGACAGTGTCTGGCTATGTTGTCAGGGCTGGTATTGGACTCCTGGGCTCAACCAGTCCTCCCACCATGGCCTCCCAAAGTGCTAGGATTACAGGCATGAGCCACCGAGCCTGGCCCTGAAAATTTAAATTAAGGTCTTAATCCTAGGTGCATATGAAAGTCATTGCAGTGCTTTTTATGTTTATTTTTATTTATTTATTTTTTTTGAGATGAAGTTGCACTCTGTTGCCCAGGCTGGAGTGCAGTGGTGCAATCTCGGCTCACTGCAACCTCTGTCTCCCAGGTCCAAGTGATTCTCCTGCCTCAGCCTCCCTAGTAGCTGGGATTATAGGCGCCCGCCACCCTGTCCCGCTAATTTTTGTATTTTTAGTAGAGACGGGGTTTCACCATCTTGGCCAAGCTGGTCTTGAACTCCTGACCTTGTGATCCACCCGCCTTGGCTTCCCAAATTGCTGGGATTACAGGCATGAGCCACTGCGCCTGGCCAGAGTGCTTTTTATTTTTTATTTTTTTATTTTTGAGATAGGGTCTCACTCTGTCACCCAAGCCAGAGTGTGGTAGCACAATCATAGCTCATATAACCTTGAACTGCTGGGCTCAAGTGATCGTCCCACCTCAGCCTCCTGAGTAGCTGGGACTACAAATGAGTGCCACCACACCCAGCTGGTATTTTTTTTCTTTCTTTTTTTTTTTTCTTTTTGCTGTTCTTGATCTCCCGGGCTCAAGTGATCCTCCCACTCTGACTTCCCAAAGTGGATAAGAAGCATGAGCCGCTGTGCCCAGCCTTCAGTGGGGTGCTCTATTTATTTATTTATTTTTGAGACGGAGCCTTGCTGTGTCATCCAGACTGGAGTGCAGTGTGGCGCAATCTCGGCTGACTGTAAACTCCACCTCCTGGGTTCAAGCGATTCTCCTGCCTCAGCCTCCCGAGTAACTGGGACTACAGGCGCCTGCCACCACGCCCAGCTAATTTTTATACTTTTAGTAGAGATGGGGTTTCACAATGTTGGCCAGGATAGTCTCGATCTCTTGACCTCGTGATCTGCCCACCTCGGCCTCCCAAAGTGCTGGGATTACAGGCGTGAGCCACCCTGCCAGGCTACTTTTGACACCCCCAAAATCCAGCCAGGTGCAGTGGCTCACCTCTGTAATTCCAGCACTTTGGGAGGCCGAGGTGGGAGGATTGCTTGAGCCCAGGAGTTTGAGATCAGCCTGGAAAATAGAGGGAAACCCAGCCTCTATAAAAATTGTAAAAATTAGTTGAGTGTGGTGGCGCACACCTGTAATCCCAGCTACTCAGGAGGCAGTGGTGGGAGGATTGCTTGAGTTGGGAGGTCAAGTCTGCAGTGAGCCATGATCATACCACTGTACTCCAGCCTGGGCAACAGAGTGAGATCCTGTCTCAAAACAAAAAATCTTAACTACTAATAGCCCACTGTTGTCCAGAGGTCTCAGTGATTACATAACAGTCAATTAACTTATTTTTTTATGTGAGCCAAAGATTTATGTCTTCATTTCTTGCATTTGAAGTACTCTTGGATGACATCCTTGGCCTGAGACTCCTTGCCATAGTCCTTAACTACTACACAACTGCAACCAACCACTTTACAGGGTTTCCCTTCTCTCAATTTTACAGAGCGCTACCCATTCCCCTAGTTTCTTGTTGTCATCAACCTTAATTAAGTTGATTTGGTGCTCAGCACAAAGGGACTCCACCAGCTTGACATACATAGGCTTATCACAGTTGGATCAAGCACACAAAGATGGGCTTGGCGCTTGTCTAAGGCTTTGGCAGCTTCACAGATTCCACGTGCTAGGCCATCGTGGATGAGGGCGGTCTTCAGCACCTCTTGTAAAGCAGTATTAACATCCATTACACCTCCAGCAGCAATGCCTCCCTCGGCCATGGCAGTGGGTTATGGGTGAAGCTGAATCTTGAACATACCCAAGCCTCCGCCTCCGCGCAACTCGGCAGTGGCAGGGAAAGGGTGATTAACATATTTTTTAATGTTATATATATATATAATACTATAATCTTACAATAAGCTGAAGAAAAGAAAATGTTATTAAGAAAATCAGGAAAACACATTGAATTTACTATTCATTAGGTGGAAGTGGATCATCATAAAGGTCTTCATTCTCATCGTCTTCACATTGAGTAAGCTGAGGAGGAGGAGGAAGAGGAGGGGTTGGTCCTGCTGTCTTAGGGGTGGCAGAGGCAGAAGAGGTGGTGGAGGAGGTAGATGGAGAGGCAGGCACATTCAGCTGTAACTTTTTTTTCTTTCACTCTGTCACCCAGGCTGGAGTGCAGTGGTGGGATCTCAGCTCACTGCAAGCTCCGCCTCCCGGGTTCACACCATTCTCCTGCCTCAGCCTCCTGAGTAGCTGGGACTACAGGTGCCTGCCACCACGCCTGGCTATTTTTTTTGTATTTTTAGTAGAGATGGGGTTTCACCGTGTTAACCAGGATGGTCTCGATCTCCTGACCTCGTGATCCACCCGCCTCACCCTCCCAAAGTGCTGGGATTACAGGCGTGAGCCACCGTGCCCGACCTTTTTTCTTTTTACTAGCCCCTCAGTGTTTAAAGTTGTAACTTTTATTTAATTAAATTTAATTAATTAATTTTTTTGAGACAGAGTCTCACTCGGTCACCCAGGCTGGAGTGCAGTGGCGCGATCTCAGCTTACTGTAACATTGCCTCCCAGGTGCAAGCAATTCTCCCACCTCAGCCTCCTGAGTAGCTGGGATTACAGGCATGTACCACCATGACTGGCTAATTTTTTTTTTTTTTACCGGGGCGTTCCTGAGTTTACGTGGGGCACACCTGGGTGAGGGCCCTACCCCTAGAAGAAGGTGTTGGGCCTTTTGGTGGTGAAGCGTGGCTTGTGCTGATGGCGCAGGACCTGGTGGGGCAGCGGGAACTTGATCTTGGAGTCTTGGAACTGCTTGACGGCCAGCCGGTGGGACTTGCTGGCTGCTATCTCCTCCATCTTCATGATCTGGATGGAATGGGTCCAGGTGGGGTACCGGGCGCCCATGTCTCGGTAGCACTGGGTGACAGCGCCCGTGGTGGTCAGGTCCCAATATTCCTGGTACATGTTGTGGGTGCTGCTCTGGGAGTTTGTAGCGCAGCCAGATGCCGAAGTTCTTCACCCGCAGGCGGTACTTCTCGAATGCCTGCCCACAGTTGACAGTCTCCCCGAAGACTTCTTCATCTTCTTTAGCTGAGATACAAAGTACCAGAAGTGGGACTTGGCAACGACATGATCAGGTGCAAAGATTCGCATGTGGTAGAGGGGTGGTGTGTGGCATTTGGGAGTGAGCAGGCAGCAACCCACCACCTTGTACTCTTGTAGTGTGCCCGAGGCCTTCATGGCATCCTCTCCATGCTTGCCGCCACCGGCAAAAGGAGCCTGGCTAATTTTTGTATTTTTAGTAGAGATGGGGTTTTGCCACGTTGGTTGGTTGGTCTTGAACTCTTGACCTCAAGTGATTATCCTGCCTGGCCTCCCAAAGTGCTGGGATTACAGGCGTGAGCCACCACACCTGGTCTTATTCTTATTTTTCAGACAGAGTCTTCCTCTTTCGCCCAGGCTGGAGTGCAGTGGCACGATCTTGGCTCACTGCAGCTTCTGCCTCCTGGGTTCAAGTGATTCTCCTGCCTCCGCCTCCTGAGTAGCTGGGGACTGCAGGAGTGTGCCCCCAGCCTGGCTAATTTTTGTTTTTTTGTTTTTTTAGTAGAGATAGGGTCTCTCCCATGTTGGCCAGGCTGCTCTCGAACTCCTGGCCTCAGGTGATCTGCCTGCTTCGACCTCCCGAAGTGCTGTGATTACAGGCGTTAGCCACCACGTACAGCCATAACTTTTACTGAAAAAAAAAAAAAAAATCCACGTATAAATGGACTTATGCTGTTCAAGCCTTTGTTGATGAAGGGTCAACTGTACGTTGCCGATGGGAATGTGAAATGGTGCAGTCATCCCCAAAAACAGTCTGGCAGTTCCTAAAAATGTTAAACATGTAGTTACCATATGTCTCAGCAGTTTGACTCCTAAGTATATACCCAAGAGAAGTATAAACATGTGTTCACATAAAACTTCTACACGAATGTTCATGGCAGTAGTAGTTATAACAGTCAAAAACATTTGGCAAACAACCCCAAATGTCCATCAATTGATGAATGCATAAATAAAATATGGTTATAGCCATACAAAACCTGGTTATATTCCATTCCAAAAACAGTGGAATTGGCCGGGCATGATTGTAATCCTAGCAATTTGGGAGGCCAAGGTGGGTGGATCACTTGATGTCAGGAGTTCAAGACCAGCCTGGCCAACATGGTGAAACCCTATCTCTACTAAAAATACAAAAATTAGCTGGGTATGGTGGCGGGTGCCTGTAATCCCAGCTACTTGGGAGGCTGAGGCAGGAGAATCACTTGAACCCGGGAGGCAGAGGTTGCAGTGAGCCAAGATCATGCCATTGCAATCCAGCCTGGGCAACAAGAATGAAACTCCATCTCAAAAAAAAAAAAGCCCGGGTGCGGTGGCTCACGACTATAATCCCAGCACTTCGGGAGGCTGAGGCGGACGGATCACAAGGTAAGGAGTTTGAGACCAGCTTGGCAACATGGCGAAACCCCATCTCTACAAAAAAATCTATAAATTAGCTGGATGCAGTGGCACACACCTATAGTCCCAGCTACTCAGGAGGCTGAGGCAGGAGAATCGTGAGCCCGGAAAGCAGAGGTTGCAGTGAGCTGAGATTGTGCCACTGCACTCCAGCCTGGGAAACAAAGCAAGATCCTGTCTAAAAATAAAAATAATAAAAATTAAAAAAAAATCTATGCATGAACCTTGAAAACACGTCAGTGGGCCAGGTGCGGTGGCTCACGCCTGTAATCCCAGCACTTGGGGAGGCTGAGGCTGGCGGATCACTTGAGGTCAGGAGTTCGAGACCAGCCTGGCCAACGTGATAAAACCCCATCTCTACTAAAAATACAAAAATTAGCCGGGCGTGGTGGCATGTACCTGTAATCCCAGCTACTCGGGATGCTGAGGCATGGGAATCGCTTGAATCCGGGAGGCGAAGGTTGCAGTGAGCCGAGATGGCACTATTGCACTTCAGCCTGGGTGACAGAGCGAGACTGCATCTCAGAAAAAAAGAAAAAAGAAAAAAAACATGTCAAGTGAAGGAAACCAATCATAAAGGAGCACTTGTGATTCCAGATTCCATTTGTATGAAATGGCCGGCATAGGGAGATCTATAGAGACAGTGGATGAGTGGTTTCTTGGGGTTGGGAGTGAAGGGAAATTGAGTGCTAATGGGTACAGGGTTTCTTTCTTTTTTTTTTTTCTTCTTTTTTTTTTTTTCTGGAGATGGAGTTTTGCTGTTGTTCCCCAGGCTGAGGTGTAATGGCATCATCTTGGCTCACTGCAACCTCTGCCTCCTGGGTTCAAGCAATTCTCCTACGTCAGCCTTCCCAGTAGCTGGAATTACAGGCGTGCGCCACCATGCTCGGCTAATTTTTTGTATTTTTAGTAGCGATGGGGTTTCTCCATGTTGGTCAGGCTGGTCTCGAACTCCCAACTTCGAGTGATCCGCCCGCCTCAGCCTCCCAGAATGTTGTGATTACAGGCGTGAGCCACCGCGCCTGGCCAGGTACAGGGATTCTTGTTGGAGTGACACAGATTTTGTAAAATTAGATTGTAGTGGCTAGGAGTGCTGGCTCACACCCATGATCCCAGCACTTTTGGAGACAGAGATGGGAGGATCACTTGAAGCCAACAGTTCGAGACCAGCCTGGGCAACACAGCAAGACCCTGGGTCTCTGCAAACTATTTTCAAATTAGCTGGGCATGGTGGCACGCGTCTGTAGTCCCAGCTTCTCGACGCTCTGGGGCTGGAGGATCACTTGGGCCCAGAAGTTGGAGGCTGCATTGAGCTATGATCACGCCCCTGGGGCAGCAGGATTAGGGTGCTGTCCCAAGAACAAAGTCTTTGAGTCATCAGCCTGTTTCTTGGGTAAGGTAAACATTGGGGCTGGTGAGTGAGCCACATAATCTGGAGTGTGCCCTCGACCCTGCGGGGCCCTTGCGTCTGTTAGCATCTGTAAGGTGCCAGGCTAATGCTGAATCTTCTTTTGGGCCAGGTGATTGTCTGACAAGCAGAGGCATGAGCTGGGTCCAGGCCACCCTACTGGCCCGAGGCCTCTGTAGGGCCTGGGGAGGCACCTGCGGGGCCGCCCTCACAGGAACCTCCATCTCTCAGGTAAGCACCAGCCAGGCAGTCTTTTGGGTAGAGGGAGGTAAGCTTGGGATTTGCTCCCAACTCCTTCAGAATCCACTCTGTGAAGCCAGTTCTGGTGAGTCTGGGCTGGCCTATCAGTGCCGAGGTCCCATTAAAAGTCCTTAGTTTATGTATGTATGTATGTTTATGTGTTTGTTTTTTGAGACAGTGTCTCTGTCACCAAGGCTGGAGTGCAGTAGTGTGATTACAGCTCACTGTAGTCTTGACCTCCCAGGTTCAAGCAATCCTCCCGCCTCATCCTCCCAAGTACCCAGGACTACAGGCACATACTACCACACCCGGCTAGTTTTTGTATTTTTTTTGTAGAGACGGGGTTTCACCATGTTGGGCAGGCTGGTCTTGAACTCTGGGCTCAAGTGATCCACCTGCGTCAGCCTCCCAAAGTGCTGGGATTACAGGCGTGAGCCACCGCGCCTGGCCAAAAGTCCATAATTTATTTATTTTTTTGAAACAAGGTCTTGCTCTATCACCCAGGCTGGAGTACAGTGGTGGAATCAGGGCTCACTGCAGCCTCAAACTCCTGGGCTCAAATGAGCCTCCCACCTCAGCCCCCTGAGTAGCTGGGATCACTGATTTGAGCCACCATGCCCAGCTAATTTTTTTTTTTTTAGATGGAATTTTGCTCTTGTCGCCAAAGCTGGAGTGCAGTGGCGTGGTCTTGGCTCACTGCAACCTCTGCCTCCTGGGTTCAAGTGATTCTCCTGCCTCAGCCTGCCGAGTAGCTGTGATTACAAGTGCACATCACCACGCCCAGCTAATTTTTGTAATTTTAGTAGAGACGCGGTTTTGCCATGTTGGCGAGGCTGGTCTCAAACTCCTGACCTCAGGTGATTCACCCGCCTCGGCCTCCCAGAGTGCTGGGATTACAGGCATAAGCCACCGCACCCGGCCGCTAATTTTTTTTTTTTTTAAGTATATGGTCTTGTTGTGTTGCCCAGACTGGTCTTGAACCTCTGGGCCCTCAGTCCTTCCACTTTGGCCTCCCAAAGTGCTAGGATTACAAGTGTGAGCCACTGTGCCTGGACCCTAATTTAAGAGATGCTAGTGCCTACGTGGGTGAGGGGATTGACTTTGAAAATAAGGATGTATGAGCTCGGTGGATTTGTGTGGTGACTGTGAGCAGCTCCTCCTGCATCTACTTGTGAAGATGGGGCAGAAAACTGAATTTCTTTCCTATACCCATAGTGACCAGATGGCGAAAGCAGATTGACAGCCATAGATAGCAATAACGATGATGGTGGGAATATTAATAGTTCCCATATTGAGCACTTACTCTGTGCCCGGCCCCGCACTATGCATTTCATTTACATTACCTCCTTTGCAGTGTTTCCCCCTCGTTAGGCATTTTAGAGCTTCCTTTCTGATTTTTACCCCAAAGTGGTACAATACTACACCACCTATATTATTAATTGACTGAAATTTCAGTTGTTTTTTGTTTTTGAGATGGAGTCTCCCTCTGTCACCCAGGCTGGAGTGCAGTGGCGTGATCTCAGCTCATTGCAACCTCTGCCTCCCGGGTTCAAGTGATTTTCCTGCCTCAGCCTCCTGAGTAGCTGGGATTACAGGTGTGCGGCACCACACCTGGCTAATTTTTGCATTTTTGGTAGAGATGGGGTTTCACCATGTTGGCCAGGCTGGTCTCAAACTCCTGACCTCAAGTGATCCACCCGCCTCTCAAAAGTGCTGGGATTACAGGCACGAGCCACTGCGCCCAACCTGAAATTTTACTGTAAATGAATGCCTTTTTTTTTTTTTAACATTGCCTTATCAAAGAACGATATGGGATGGCTGTGGGGACCGCAGAGTAGGGGGACTGAGGGCACTGACTCCATTCTCAGCTCTGATGCTTTGCAGCTGTGTAACACTGTGCATCCCACTTCATCTTCCTGAGCCTTGGTTTTTCTCATCTGTAAAATGAGTGCAGTAAGAGTACCCCCCACCTAGGGCCTCACATTTGTAAAGTGCTCAACTGTGTCTACAGTGGAAGAATATTTGGTAAATATTGTCTCTTTCTTTTGAGATAGGGTCTCGCTCTGTTGCCCATGCTGGAGTGTAGTGGCGTGATCTTGGCTCACTGCAACCTCGACCCGCCAGTCTCAATTGATCTGCCTACTTCAGCCTCCTGAGTAGCTGGGACTACATACATTCACCACCATGCCTGGCTAATTTTTGTATTTTTTTGTAGACATGAGGTTTCAGCAGGTTGCCCAGGCTGGTCTCAAACTCCTGACCTCAGGTGATCTGCCCGCCTCAGCCTCCCAAAGTGCTAGGATTACAGGTGTGAGCCACCGAGCCTGGACTAATATTGGCTCTTACTTGTTAGCGTTTTGTGTGTGTGTGTGTGTGTGTGTAGATAAACACACACACATTCATTTATTTTTTAGAGATAAGGTTTTACTCTCTCGTTCAGGTTGGAGTGCAGTGACACAATCATAGCTCACTGCAGCCTGGGATTCCTGGGCTTAAGCAGTCCTCCTGCTTCAGCCTCCTGAGTAGCTGGGACTACAGGTATACACCACCACGCCCCGCTTATTTTTTTATTTTTTCATAGAGAGATGGAGTCTCACTATGTTGCCCAGGCTGCAATGCGGTGGTGCAATCAAAGCACAGTACAACCTTGATAACTAGCTGTATATTTTTAAGATGCCTTATATGTAACCCTTCTAATTTAAAAATTCAATTTAAAATAAGAAATTTGTTACTGTGTCATCTAGAACCAGAATTTGGCTACTCTGGAGGCTGAGGTGGGAGGATCACTTGAGCCCAGGAGTTCTGGGCTGTTGTGCACTATGCTGATGGAGTGTCCTGCACTAAGTTTTGCTTAATATTGTGACCTCCTGGGACTTGGGGGACCACCAGGTTGCCTAAGGAAGTGTGAACTGACCCAGGTTGGAAACAGCAGGTCAAAACTCCTGTGCTGACCAGTTGGCTCATGCCTGTGAATAGCCACTGCACTCCCGCCTGGGCAACATAGCTAGACTCCATCTCTTAAAGGGTCCCAGCACTTTGGGAGGCCACGGTGGGTGGATCACCTTAGGTCAGGAATTCGAGACCATCCTGGCCAACATGGTGAAACCCCGTCTCTACTAAAAACACAAAAATTAGGCCGGGCATGGTGGCTCACATCTGTAATCCCAGCACTTTGGGAGGCCGAGGTGGGCGGATCACAAGGTCAGGAGTTCAAGACCAGCCTGGCCAACATGGTGAAACCCTGTCTCTACTAAAAATACAAAAGTTAACTGGGCATGGTGGCATGTGCCTGTAATCCCAGCTACTTGGGAGGCTGAGGCAGAAGAATTGCTTGAACCAGGGAGTCAGAGGTTATAGTGAGCTGAGATCGTGTGACTGCACTCCAGCCTGGCAACAGAGCGAGACTCCATCTCAGGAAAAACAAACAAACAAAACATAAAAATTAGCTGGGCATGGTGGCAGGCGCCTGTAATCCTAGCTACTTGGGAGGCTGAGGCAGGAGAATCGCTTGAACCCACAAGGCAGAGGTTGCAGTGAGCTGAGATGACACCATTGCATTCCAGCCTGGGCGACGAGTGAAACTCTGTCTCAAGAAAAAAAGAAAAAGAAAGAAGGGGCTGGGTACAGTGGCTCATGCCTGTAATCTCAAGACTTAAGGTGGCTACGCCGGGCGCGGTGGCTCATGCCTGTAATCCCAGCACTTGGGAGGCCAAGGCGGGCGGATCACGAGGTCAGGAGATCGAGACCATCCTGACTAACACAGTGAAACCCCGTCTCTACTAAAAATCCAAAAAATTAGCTGGGCGTGGTGGCAGGCGCCTGTAGTCCCAGCTACTCAGGAGGCTGAGGCAGGAGAATGGCGTGAACCCGGGAGGTGGAGCTTGCAATGAGCCGAGATCGCGCCACTGCACTCCAGCCTGGGTGACAAAGCGAGACTCTGTCTCAAAAAAAAAAAAAAAAAGACTTGGGGAGGCTGAGGCAGGTGGATCACTTGAGGCCTGGAGTTTGAGACCAGCCTGGCCAACATGATGAAACCCCATCTTTACTAAAAATACAAAAATTAGCAGGGCGTGGTGGAGCACGTCTGTAGTCCAGCTTACTTGGGAGGCTGAGGCATGAGAATCGCTTGAACATGGGAGGCAGAGGTTGCAGTGGGCTGAGGTCACGCCACTGCGCTGCAGCATGGGTGACAGAATGAGACTCTGTCTAAAAAAAAAAAAAAAAAATTACAAGCAAAAAGGGCCACCAGGCACAGTGGCTCATGTCTGTAATCCCAACACTTTGGGAGGTGGAGACGGGATGATCACTTGAAGCCAGGCGTTCAAGACCAACCTGGGCAAAATAGTGCGACTCCCGTCTCTGCTGAAAATTTAAAAATTAGCCAGGTGTGGTGGTGTACACCGGTAGTTCCAGCTGCTGGACAGGGTGAGGAGGAGAATTGCTTGAGCCCAGGAGTTGAAAGCTGCAGTAAGCCACAGTAGCACCACTACATTCCAGCCTAGGCCACAGAGCCAGACCCCGTCTCAAAAAAAAACCAAAAAAAAAAACCCAAAAAAAAACCGGCATGTGTGTGTCATCACTGTGAATATTACCAAGTTGCCTCCGTGGCAGTTTTTACCAGCTCCCCGTAGCCATGGCTAACAGTGCCTGTTTCCTCCCTACTGTGCCAGCATTGTGTTTTATCGCACTTTGTAATGGCCTCGAATCTTGGGTTTGTAACCACAGTTCCATACCTCCGAGTCCTCAGGGAGGCCACTGGGACCTCTCTGAGGAAAGAGCCAGCCTGGCGGCCCCCCATAGACACTGAGAGGTGCCAGATTCCAGCAGTTCTCCTCCCTCCCCAGGTCCCTCGCCGGCTCCCTCGGGGCCTCCACTGCAGCGCAGCTGCCCATAGCTCTGAACAGTCCCTGGTTCCCAGCCCACCGGAACCCCGGCAGAGGCCCACCAAGGCTCTGGTGCCCTTTGAGGACCTGTTTGGGCAGGCGCCTGGTGGGGAACGGGACAAGGCGAGCTTCCTGCAGACGGTGCAGAAATTTGCGGAGCACAGCGTGCGTAAGCGGGGCCACATTGACTTCATCTACCTGGCCCTGCGCAAGATGCGGGAGTATGGTGTCGAGCGGGACCTGGCTGTGTACAACCAGCTGCTCAACATCTTCCCCAAGGAGGTCTTCCGGCCTCGCAACATCATCCAGCGCATCTTCGTCCACTACCCTCGGCAGCAGGAGTGTGGGATTGCTGTCCTGGAGCAGATGGAGAACCACGGTGAGGCCAGGAGGCTGGCGCAGGGTGGGGAGTGGGCTACACTGATAGCTGGCAGCACCTCTCCTGAGTCTCAGCCCCTCCTTCCTCCATGGCTCCGTCTCTGTCTCTCTCGCTCTTCTCCCTCTCCGAATCCCTCTTTTCATCACTCATCTCTCTTTCTTGCCTCCCTCTGACCTCCCCTCCCCTCCCCCCTCCCTCCCTCTCCTCCCCCCACTCTCCTCTCTTCTCCTCTCCTCCCTGCCTCTCTCTCCCTCCCTTCCTTCCTCTCTTTCTCTCTTTCTTTTAGAAATGGGGTCTCACTATGTTGCCCAGGCTGCTCTCAAACTCCTGGACTCAAGTGATCCTCTCCCCTTGGCCTCCCAATGTGCTGGGATTACAGGCATGAGCCTTTTTCTTTCTAATTCTCTCTGATTCTTTTCTCCCTGTCTGTGATCAATTCCCTCACTTCACTGTTTTCTTTTCTCCTCTTCCCTTCCCTCCTCCCCCTCCATCTCTGAGGTTCTGCCTGCATCTGCCCAGCACAGGTGTGATGCCCAACAAGGAGACGGAGTTCCTGCTGATTCAGATCTTTGGACGCAAAAGCTACCCCATGCTCAAGTTGGTGCGCCTGAAGCTGTGGTTCCCTCGATTCATGAACGTCAACCCCTTCCCAGTGCCCCGGGACCTGCCCCAGGACCCTGTGGAGCTGGCCATGTTTGGCCTGCGGCACATGGAGCCTGACCTTAGTGCCAGGGTCACCATCTACCAGGTATCCGCCCTTGTCTACAGCGTCAGCTGCCACCCCAGGCCAGGCTCCCGCCATTCCTCCCCTGGGCTCCCCTTCTCTCACTCTAGTGATTGTGGTGAATCAAGTTCTTTTTTGAGACAGGGTCTTGCTCTGTTGCCCAGGCTGGAGTGTGGTGGCACTATCTCGGCTCACTGCAGCCTCTGCCTCCCAGGCTCAAGCGATCTTTCCACCTCAGCCTCCTGAGTAGCTGGGACTCCAGTCACACACCACTATGCCTGGCTAATTAAAAAAACTGTTTTTTTTTTTCAGAGACAGGGTCTCACTATATTGCCCAGGCTGGCCTTGAACTCCTGGGCTCAAGCAATCCTCCTGCCTCGGCCTCCCAAAGTGCTGGGATTACAGGCATGAGGCACTGTGCCTGGCCGTGAATTGAGTTCTGATTCTCTGGCTGAGTCCCCTGGTAGGTTCCCATGGTCCTTACTGCTAGCACAGCTTGAGTGACCTCTGCTTCAGTCCGTTCAGGCTGCTCTAACAAAATCTCTTAGCTTGGGTCATTGATGAACAACAAAAATTTATTGCTCACAGTTCTAGAGGCTGGGAAGTCCAAGATCAAGGTGCCACCAGATCTAGGTCTGGTGAGGGTTTGCTCTCTGCTTCAAAGATGACACCTTGCTGTGTCCTCACATAATATAAGGGGCAAACAAGCCCCTCAGACCTCTTCATATTTTTTTTGAGACAAGGTCTGGCTCTGTTGCCCAGGCTGGAGCGCAGTAGCACTATCTTGGCTCACGGCAAATTCCACCTCCCAGGCTGAAGCCATCCTTTCACCTCAGCCTCCCAAGTAGCTGGGACTACAGTCGTACACCACCACGCCCGGCTAATTTTTGTATTTCTTGTAGAAATGGGGTTCCACCATGTTGCCCAGGCTGGTCTCAAACTCGTGAGCTCAAGCGATCCACCCACCTTAGCCTCCCAAAGTACTGGGATTGCAAGCATGAGCCACCATGCCTGGCCCCCTCAGACCTTTGTTTGTTTGTTTTTTTTTTGAGATGGAGTCTCGCTCTGTCGCCAGGCTGGAGTGCTGTGGCGCCATCTCAGCTCACTGCAACTCTGACTCCCGGGTTCAAGCGATTCTCCTGCCTCAGCCTCCCAAGTAGCTGGGATTACAGGCATGCACCACCAGGCCCAGCTAATTTTTGTATTTTTAGTAGAAACGGGGTTTTACCATGTTGGCCAGGCTGGTCTTGATCTCCTGACCTCATGATCTGCCCACCTCGGCCTCCCAAAGTGCTGGGATTACACGCGTGAGCCACTGTGCCCGGCCAAGACCTTTTTTATAAGGGGACTAATCTCATTCATGAAGGCAGAGCCCTTATGATCTAAGTGCCTCTCCTCTCAAAGGCCTGACCTCTTAATCCTATTGCATTGTAGATAGATTGCAACATATGAATTTCAGGGGGCCATAAACATTCAGACCATAGCACCCTCCCATCCTTCTCCCAACACTTGCTACATTCTAGGCATCTTCCTTATTTTCTGTGCCAATTCTCACCACAGGGCTTTGCGTTCTCTGTTCCTTCTGCCAGGAACACTGTTCCCCATGGACTTCATGTTATTCCGGTCTCAGCTCCACTGTTCCTAATCAGGATGCCCTTCCTGACCTCCCTGGCCAAGGCACCACCCCTTCACCGTGCTTGGCTTGGTTCCTCATTCACCATGACTCAGTCTCCCTCCTGTCTCCCAAGGCTGAGCACAGGATTTGGTGCAAAGCTGACACTTGGCAGTGGTTTGTTGAATGACTGAGTGGAGTAACACCCTCAACTCAGTGTCCTGGGAGCCCCCACTCATGCCAGATCACACAAGGGATCCAAAGAGAGCCCCTCACAGCACTTGTCATGTGGTCCTGGACAGATAACAGTTTCCTTAAGAGCCAGTGGTTCTGAGATGGAGAAGCCCGGGGTGCTGTGGGAGCCGAGTGGGCAGGTGGGGCTTCCTGGGGGAGGTAAGGAGAGCAGAGGACGCTGGGCAGAGGGAGCAGTGTGTACCAGGAAATGCGGTGCAGTGAGTGGGGGCACCTGATTAAAGAGCTTGATCTCAAACCTCTTGGTTGGTGGGGAGAGCTATGCCGGGGGTGGGGGGGCAGAGATTTAAGAAGAAGGAATCGGGTTGGAATCATGTTTCTGGAAGAATCTGCAATTGGAAACGTGTCTCCTGGCAGCCGTGTGGATGCTGTTGGATGGGGAGAGGGGCTAGGGGACCAGGGTCGTGGGTCCAGGTGAGAGATGGCTTGAGACCAGCAGCAGAATGTGGGGGGGAGGGTTGTTTTTAGTTCATTTCTTCATTTTGCAAAGCAATGCACTAAAAAGCCAAACAGCATGTAAAAGCACACAGTGACGAGTCCTCTGCTTCTACCCAGGCCCCGTGCGCTGCCCCTGACGCCGCCCGTCTCCCTCCCCAGAGGTGACTATTTCCATGTCTCCTTCCAGAGAGGTTCTATACATTTGCAAGCAGATCTCTCTCTCTCTCTCTCTTTTTTTTTTTGGCATCTGTATCCTTTGTATTTAAATATCCTTCTCCCCCGTCTTATGGAGTAAAATACAGCCAGGCACAGTGGCTCATGCCTGTAATCCCAGCACTTTGGGAGGCTGAGGCAGATGGATTGCTTGAGCCCAGGAGTTCGAGACCAGCCTGGGCAACATGGCAAGACCCCATCTCTACCAAAAAAATACGAAAATTAGCTGGGAGTGGTGGTGCACACCTGTAGCCCCAGCTACTCAGGAGGCTGAGGCAGGAGGGTGGCTTGAACTCAGGAAGTCAAGTCTGTAGTGAGCCGTGATCATACCACTGCACACCAGACTGGGTGACAGAGCAAGATCCTGTCTGTTTAAAAAAAAGAAGTTCTTTAGCCAGGCATGGTGGCTTACGCCTGTAATCCCAGCACTTTGGAAGGCCGAGGCAGGCAGATCACCAGAGGTTGGGAGTTCGAGACCAGCCTGACCAACATGGAGAAACCTCGTCTCTACTAAAAATACAAAAAGAATTATCCAGGCATGGTGGTGCATGCCTGTAATCCTAGCTACTTGCGAGGGTGAGGCAGGAGAATCACTTGAACCCAGGAGGTGGAGGTTGCAGTGAGCCGAGATCGCGCCATTGCACTCCAGCCTGGGCAACAAGAGCGAAACTCCATCTCAAAAAAAAAAAAGTTTCTTTAGTAGCAGGGCATTATATACATGTACCTTGCCTTTTACAAATTTCATTTAATACAACTAGAAGTCACTGATCCATCTCAAATTTTTTTGTTGTTTTTTTGAGACAGAGCCTTGCTCTGTCGCCCATGCTGGAGTGCAGTGGCACAATCTCGGCTCACTACAACCTCCTCCTCCCAGGTTCAAGCAATTCTTGTGCCTCAGCCTCCCATGTAGCAGGGACTACAGGCGTGTGCCACCACGCCTGGCTAATTTTTGTATTTCTAGTAGAGACGGGGTTTCACCATGTTGGCCAGGCTGGTCTTGAACTCCTGGCCTCAAGTGATCCACCACCCTCGGCCTCCCAAAGTGCTGGGATTACAGGCATGAGCCACTGCGCCCGGCCTGCTCATCTCAATTTTTTTTAACTTGAAAGGATGAATGATATATGTTCTAATAGCTGTCCACTGTTTTGTTTCAAAAGCAAGTGCATTTTGTTAAAAAAAAAAAAACTTTGTCAGCGGGGCGCAGTGGCTTATGCCTGTAATCCCAATGCTTTGGGAGGCTGAGGCAGGTGGATCACCTGAGGTTGGGAGTTTGAGACCAGCCTGACCAACATGGAGAAACCCTGTCTCTACTAAAAATACAGACATTAGCCAGACGTGGTGGTGCATGCCTGTAATCCCAGCTACTCGGGAGGCTGAGGCAGCAGAATCACTTGAACCCAGGAGGTGGAGGTTGCGGTGAGCTGAGATCAAGCCCCATTGCACTCCAGCCTAGGCAACAAGAGCGAAACTCTGTCCCAAAAAAAAAAAAAAAAAATTGTCTAGTGTTTTTGAATTATGTTCAAGGTATAAAATTTTAAAAGATAAAAAAGGTATTCCTTCCCACCCTGTCCTCCACAGAGGTGAAAGCTATCATTTGCTTCTAGTGTCTCCTTCCTGGGATATTCTGTATATGTGAAGTTATTTTTCTTTTTTTAATTCACAAGCACTGAGCACTTATTATTTGCCAGGGACTGTGCTACATATTTTACAACCACCCAAAGTTAGGTTCATGCCCATAATCCTAGTGCTTTGGGAGGCCAAGGCAGGCGGATCACCTGAGGCCAGGAATTTGAGACCAGCCAGGCCAACATAGCAAAACCCTATCTCTACTAAAAATACAAAAAATTAGCCGGGCATGGTGGCAGGCGCCTGTAGTCCCAGCTACTTGGGAGGCCGACGCAGGAGAATCGCTTGAACCCAGGAGGCGGAGGCTATAGTGAGCCGAGATCATGCCATTGCACTCCAGCCTGGGTAATGAGCAAAACTCCATTTCAAAAATTAAAAAAATAAAATTAGCCAGGCATAGTGGTGTGCACCTGTAGACCCAGCTACTTGGGAGACTGAGGTAGGAAGATCACTTGAGCCCAGGAGTTCAAGGCTACAGTGAGCTATGATCATGCCACCATTCTCCAGCATGGATGACAGAGAGGGAGACCCCCATCCCTAAAAAAAAAAAAAAAATCGGAATTAAGTGCTGTTATCATCCCTATTGTGCATCTGGAGAAACTGAGGCACACAGGTACAGTGACTTGGCCAAGGTCACACAGCTTGTGACAGAGCCAGGATTTTGACAAAGGTGGGCTGGTTCTAGGGTAGTTCCCTCAGGGTGAGCATCCTAAAGATTGGTGGTTATTGCCAAATGGGACAGAGGGAGGAGGGGACAGGTTGGAGGGCCGTGTACCAGATCCAGGAGAGGTGTCCTGAATTCCCTGGTATCCCCCTTTCTGTTTCTCTGTCCCCAGTTCCTCTGTAGGGGATTGGGGGTTACAAGATTATATCCCTACTCTCCCTTGCAGGTTCCTTTGCCCAAAGACTCAACAGGTGCAGCAGATCCCCCCCAGCCCCACATCGTAGGTAAGTCCGAGAGCATGGGGGCAGCCAAGTCTCTAACCTTACCCAGGCCCTGCCAGGTTCTCGCTGGGCCTAGGCTGGGCTCCCTGGGCCTCTGGGCCGAGTCCCTTGCAGGGCACAGGGCATGTATGTCTCCACACCAGGAATCCAGAGTCCCGATCAGCAGGCCGCCCTGGCCCGCCACAATCCAGCCCGGCCTGTCTTTGTTGAGGGCCCCTTCTCCCTGTGGCTCCGCAACAAGTGTGTGTATTACCACATCCTCAGAGCTGACTTGCTGCCCCCGGAGGAGAGGGTGAGGGCTTAAAGCAAAGCATGTGTTGGGGCTGGGGAGTGGGCTGGCACTACCCTGAGGGTGCATGGGAGAGGCTGGAGGAGGGAGACCGAGAGAGCCCTGGCCTCTGACCCCGCCTGCACTCCCCACCTTGGAGTAGGAAGTGGAAGAGACGCCGGAGGAGTGGAACCTCTACTACCCGATGCAGCTGGACCTGGAGTATGTGAGGAGTGGCTGGGACAACTACGAGTTTGACATCAATGAAGGTAAAAACTGGGCCAGGTGCGGTGGCTCACATGTGTGCTCGTAATCCCAGCCCTCCTACAGGCTGAGGTGGGAGGATCACTTGAGCCCAGGAGTTGAGGTTGCAGTGAACTATTATAGAGCCACTGCACTCCAGCCTACATGATAGACCCTGTGTCAAAAAAAAAAAAAAAAAAGGCAAAAACCTGGACAGGCAGGACTTCCAAACATTCCAAACACCACCCAGGATGAGGGGCGGCCTCTGGGGTCAAGGGGTAGGCCCAGGCTGAGACGCAGTCCACTTACACCCTCGTCCTCCGGCCGCACACACTCATTTGCCCCAGGGGCTCCAGACCTGAGGTCACCCAGCCCTGTTGGCCCTTGTTCATTCCCTCCCTCCTACAACTCTGTGCTGGCTACTGGGTGTCACCAGGACAAACCTAGTCCCTCGAGTCAGCAAGGGAACAGGCAAATTACACTTTGGGGAGCTTAGGAGAGGAGCATGCCTTGAGTGGGGGGTCAGGAGGCCTTCCTGGCAGAATACAGAAAAACCAGGAGTCATCGCCCGGGTGAAGTGTGGAGTGGGCAGCCTAGGCAGCGGGGCTAGCTTGTGCAAAGGTTTGGAGGCACAAGAAAGTGGAAGGAAGCCGGGCACAGTGGCTCACGCCTGTAATCCCAGCACTCTGGGAGGCTGAGGCGGGTAGATCATTTGAGGTCAGGAATTCGAGACCAGCCTGGCCAACATGGTGAAACCCCATCTCTACTAAAAATTTAAAAATTAGCCCGGCGTGGTGCTGTGCACCTGTAATCCCAGCTCCTCGGGAGGCCGAGGCAGGAGAATCACTTGAACCTGGGAGGCGGATGTTGCAGTGAGCCGAGATCTCGCCACTGCACTCCAGCCTGGGTGACACAGCGAGACTCCGTCTCAAAAAAAAAAAAAAAAAAAAAAAGGAAGTGGAAGGGAGTGTAAAATACCTCAAAAAGGTGTAGGCATGGGTTAGCCGCTGCAGCCCCCACTGTGCAAACCTTAAGGGTGCATGTCTTCCAACAGTGGAGGAAGGCCCTGTCTTCGCCATGTGCATGGCGGGTGCTCATGACCAGGCGACGATGGCTAAGTGGATCCAGGGCCTGCAGGAGACCAACCCAACCCTGGCCCAGATCCCCGTGGTCTTCCGCCTCGCCGGGTCCACCCGGGAGCTCCAGACATCCTCTGCAGGGCTGGAGGAGCCGCCCCTGCCCGAGGACCACCAGGAAGAAGACGACAACCTGCAGCGACAGCAGCAGGGCCAGAGCTAGTCTGAGCCGGCGCGAGGGCACGGGCTGTGGCCCGAGGAGGCGGTGGACTGAAGGCATGAGATGCCCTTTGAGTGTACAGCAAATCAATGTTTTCCTGCTTGGGGCTCTCTTCCCTCATCTCTAGCAGTATGGCATCCCCTCCCCAGGATCTCGGGCTGCCAGCGATGGGCAGGCGAGACCCCTCCAGAATCTGCAGGCGCCTCTGGTTCTCCGAATTCAAATAAAAAGGGGCGGGAGCGCTGTTGGTTGTGCGCATGCGCAGTTTCCATTCTTGGTCTCCTTTTGGCGCCCTGGGGCAGCGAGAGACCGTGAGAAATTTCTCGGCGGCGCCGAAGATGCGCGCCACTTCCGGTCTGGCTCCTAACAACGGGGGAGGCTGGTAACCAGGGTGGGGGGGATGGCGGAGCGGGCGCTAGAGCCCGAGGCGGAGGCGGAGGCTGAGGCGGGCGCGGGCGGGGAGGCAGCAGCCGAGGAGGGCGCAGCGGGCCGAAAGGCGCGGGGCCGGCCGCGACTCACGGAGTCGGACCGGGCCCGGCGACGGCTCGAGTCCCGGAAGAAGTACGACGTGCGGCGCGTGTACCTGGGCGAGGCGCACGGGCCCTGGGTGGACCTGCGGCGCCGCAGCGGCTGGAGCGACGCCAAGCTCGCCGCCTACCTCATCTCTCTGGAGCGCGGCCAGCGGAGCGGCCGCCACGGGTGAGGGGGCCTGGCCCCGAGGGAGGGAGGGAGGAGACGCCCCCAGACCCCGCCGGGCTTTACCCCGCCCCCTCCGCTTCTAGGGCCAGCCCCCGGCACCTGCGGACCCCGCCCAGGAGCCGGGCCGGCGGCCTGGGTCTCGTACTGCCTGGCCGGGACGCGCCTGGCTCGTGGCCCCGCCTCCCATCGTTCCGACTGCCCAATCCTAGGGTGCACCCAGCCCCTCGACCCGCCTTCTGAGCGCTTGGCCCCGCCCGCTAGAACTCTGGCGGCCCAATCCTGGGACTGGCCCCACCTCCAGGCCTTGTAACTAACCAGGCCCTGGGGGGGCAGCCCCGCCCCCTCACCGGTCTCATCCTCCCCCGCTTAGTTCCCCACCTGGCCTGGGACTCTGGACACCCTGGGGCACTCAGCCCTGCCCTTCTTGAAGTTCTGGTGCCCCATCTGGGACTCCGTATGGCCCCATTCCCACAACCCTAGATCCAACACATCCGGGGGACCCTTCACAACCTGGACTGCACTCCCCTAAACCTATTTCTGTGAAGCAACTCAGCCCAGGGAGACTCGGATGAAGAGGAAACCCCTAGTTAGCTTGGCAGGTGGAGGGCAGAGAGGCCTGTCTTTGTAAATTCTCAGTCTTGAGAAGGAGCAGTGTGGATGGAGTTTTTCCCTTCCTGCCTTATATGTTGATGTGATGATTGAGTTAAAATAGGCAAAGAGCTTAGAAGAGTGCCTGGCAGGTAGTGGGTTCCCTAAGTATTAACTTTTACGAGGATGACGTTTATTCCGTATCACAAGCAGTGCCGCAAGGAAATCCTTGTTCTGCCCTGGTTTTCAGGTACACATGTTCTCATGTTTCTCTGGGGGGAGATTCTGAGAGTCAAGAATCAAACAGATCCTGCTAAGTTATACCCACCCCTTTCCCAGGACAGCAGGCTGGCTTATATGCTCAAGAGCAGGACTGGAAATGCTGGGAGCGCAAAGATACCTGCCTCATGGAGCGGACATTCTGGTGGGCAGAGGGGATGGCTTGTTCAAAGGTCTGGGGGGTTTTTTTGTTCGTTTTTCTTTTCTTTTCTTTTTTTTTGAGACAGAGTCTTGCTCTGTCGCCCAGGCTGGAGTGCAGTGGCACGATCTCCGTTCACTGCAAGCTCCGCCTCCCGGGTTCACGCCATTCTCCTGCCTCAGCCTCCCAAGTAGCTGGGACTGCAGCCGCCCGCCACCACGCCCGGCTAATTTTTTGTATTTTTAGTAGAGACAGGGTTTTACTCTGTTAGCCAGGATGGCCTCGATCTCCTGACCTCGTGATCCACCCGCCTCGGCCTCCCAAAGTGCTGGGATTACAGGCGTGAGCCACCGCGCCCGGCCCTCGTTTTTCTTTTTGAGACAGGGTCTCACTCTCTCGCCCAGAGTGGAATGCAGTGGCATGATCACGGCTTACTGCAGCCTCAACCTCGTGGGTTCAAGTGATCCTCTTACCTCCGCCTCCTGAGTAGTTGGGACCACAGGTGCACGTCACTCCACCTGGCTAATTTTTGTATTTTTTGTAGAGACAGAGGTTTCCCTGTGTTGCCCAGGCTGATTTCAAACTCCTAGGCTCAAGTGATTCTCCGGCCTCAGCCTCTCAAAGTGCTGGGATTACAGGTGTAAGCCATTGTGCCCAGCCCTGTTTGTTTGTTCTTGAGACAGGGTCTCACTTTGTCACCCAGGCCAGAGTACAGTGGCATGTTCATAGCTCACAGCAGCCTCAACCTCCCAGGCTCAAGGGATCCTCCTGCCTCAGTCTCCCAAGTAGCTGGGACTACAGAGGAGCCACCTCACCTGGCTAATTTTTTAATTTTTCATGGAGATGGGGGTCTCGCCATGTTGCCCAGGCTGGTCACGAACTCCTCGGCTCAAGGGATCCTCCGTCCTCAGCCTCCCGAAGTGCTGGGATTAAAGTCATGAGCCACCATACCTGGCAAAAGGCTTGTTTACTGCAGACCAGAAACATAAGTAAATTGTATCGTCCATGAGAGATAGGGGCTACGGAAAAAACAAAAGTGAAATGAAGAGTGTGAGTTGGAAGTTTAAATAGGGAGTTAAGGTGGTCACATTCAGAAGATAGCATTTCAGTAAAGACATGAAGGAACCTAGGAGGAGCCATGCAGATCTCTGGGGAAGAGTTGAGGCAGAGGGAATAGCAAAGGCAAAGGTCCTGAGGCAGGACCCTGCCTATTGTGTGCCAGGAACACTGAAGAGGCTTGTGTGGCTGGACTGCAATGAGTGAGGGGGAGAAGGGAAGACAAGGACAGATTGGTGACAGGGAAGGTCATCCAGAGCCATGGAGAGGACTCCAGTTTTTCCTCCCAGTGAGGTGGGAGCCTTTTCTTAAGTGCAAGATTTTGTACAGAGAAAGAAGTGGTATGGTCTGCCTTTATTTCCCCTGATGCCCCCCCCACCTTTTTTTTTTTTGAGATGGAGTCTTGCTCTGTTACCCAGGCTGGAGTACATTGGCGCAGCCTCAGCTCACTGCAACCTCTGCCTCCCGCGTTCAAGCGATTCTCCTGCCTCAGCCTCCCGAGTAGCTGGGATTACAGGCGTGCACCCCCATGCCCGGCTAATTTTTGTATTTTTAGTAGAGACGGGGTTTCGCCATGTTGGCTAGGCTGGTCTCGAACTCCTGACCTCAAGAGGTCTGCCTGCCTCGGCCTCCCAAAGTGCTGGGATTACAGGTGTGAGCCACTGCGCCCGGCGGGGTTGCAGATTTAAATGTAAAGATGAAACCATACCCGGGCCTGGGCCTGGCCTTTTATTTCCTTATTTATTTGTTTATTTATTTTTGAGATGCAGTCTTGCTATATTGCCCAGGCTGGTCTTGAACTCCTGGACTCAAGAGATCCTCCCACCTCAGCCTCCAGAGTAGCTGGGACTACAAGTCACACACAGCCTGGTTTGTATTTTAGAAGAAACTGTCTCTAGGATGTGTGTGGCTTGAAGAATGGATGGGGTACACATTGTGATACAAGGTTGGCCAAGAGTTAACAATTGTTAAAGCTGATGATGAGTCCAAGGAGGTTCATGACTCTTGTCAACAATTAAAATAAAAAAAAGGAAGACCAGGCATGGTAGCTCACGCCTGTAATCCCAGCACTTTGGGAGGCCAAGGCAGGTGGATCTCTTGAGGTCAGGAATTTGAGACCAGCCTGACCAATAGGCCAAAACCCTGTCTCTACTAAAAATGCAAAAATTAGCCGGGCATGGTGGCGCACGCCTGTAGTCGCAGCTGCTTGGGAGGCTGAGGCAGGAGAATCACTGGAACCCGGGAGGTGGAGGTTGCAGTGAGCCGAGATCGCGCCACTGTACTCCAGCCTGGGCAATAGAGCAAGACTGTCTCAAAAAGTAAAATAAAAATAGGCCAGGCGCGATGGCTCACGCCTATAATCCCAGCACTTTGGGAGGCCAAGGTGAGCAAATCACGAAGTAAGGAGTTCGAGACCAGCCTGGCCAGCATATTGAAACCCCGTCTCTACTAAAAATACAAAAATTAGCTGGGCGTGGTGGCACACGCCTATAGTCCCAGCTACGCAGGAGGCTGAGGCAGGAGAATCACTTGAACCCAGGAGGCAGAGTTTGCAGTGAGCCAAGATCGTGCCACCGCACTCCAGCCTGGGCAACAGAGCGAGGCTCTATCTCAAAAGAAAAAAAAAAGTTACTAAAGGGATACTTTTAGACAGAAAACACAGGCCTGAGTGTGGCGGTTGCTCTCCTTGGTAAGGGAGGTGAGGGAGAAGCAGCAGCCCGGTGCCAGTGGAGCACTGGGCAGTGGCAGCACCCAGGAGGCCAAAGGAAGTGTCTGCCATGTCCAGTGCTGTTGGGCCGAGTGAAGCCGTCACTGGTGACTGTGATGGGAGAGTGTGTGACGTGATGGAGCAAAGCTCTGACTGGAGGAGTTCCAGTGAGATGGAGGAGAGGACATGGAGACAGCGAGTGTAGACAACTGTGACAAAACGGGGAAATGAAGAAGGAGGCTGGGTGCTAGTGGCTCACACCTGTAATCCCAGCACTTTGGGAGGCTGAAGCAGAAGGATCTCTTGAGCCCAGGAGTTTGAGACCAGCTTGGGCAACATGGCGAAACTCGATCTCTACAAAAAGTACAAAAGTTAGCCGGGTGTGGTGGTGCATGCCTGTGGTCCCAGCTACTCAGGAGGCTGAGGCAAGAGGATCGGTTGAGCCCTGGAGGTCGAAGCTTCAGTGAGCTGTGATGGCGCCACTGCACTCCAGCTGGGGCAACACCACGAGAGCCTGTCTCAAAAAGAAAAAAAAAAAAAAAGATATGGGGAAGGGGCTGGTGGGGAAGGTGGGTATCAAAATGATTTTAACCCAAGATGGGAGAAATCATGGCATATTTAGATGCTGGTGGGAATGACTGAAGACTGAAAGGAAATGGCGGGAAACAGCCAAGCCAGGGCCTGAGTAGCCCCGGAGCTGTGGTCCTTGATGCCAGTGGCCTCTGCTGGGAGTCACAGAGAAGTGGCAGAAGTTGGAGAAGTGGACAGGAGAGGGAAGGCAGTTTGAGGGAGAAAGCCCTGTGTGGGGGTTGGAAAGTGGCGCTCACCAGGTTACATATGACCTTGTTTGGTCCCCATGGTGACCCTGTGTCAGAAGCACTACTACTATTTCCACTTCACAGACGGAGACTGAGGCTCAGAGGGGACAAGACCTGCTTGAGGTCACACAGGCAGTTGAGAGCAGAGCTGAGTCTTGAACTTGGGTCTGGCTGATACCCAAGACTGTCCCCACTGCAATGTGACACTCCCAGCCTCCAGCGGTGAGTGGATGGAGGTGGCTGTGGACATCAGGACTTGGGTTTGGGGCAGGGCATGGTGGCTTACACTTGTAATCCCAGCACTTTGGGAGGCTGAGGCAGGCAGATCACTTGAGGTCAGGAGTTCGAGACCAGTCTGGCCAACATAGCGAAATCCTGTCTCTACTAAAAATAGAAAAATTAGCTGGGCTGATGGCAGGCATCTATAATCCCAGCTACTCAGGAGGCTGAGGCAGAAGAATCGCTTGAACCCAGGAGGCAGAGGTTGCAGTGAACTGAGATAGTGCTACTCCACTCCAACCTGGGTGACAGAGCCAGACTTGGGTCTTGGGTTGGGTGAAGGTCTCTACAGCCAGTGTGGTGCTTTGCAGGGGAGGGTGGAGCCATGGGAAGGGATAGAGTCACATGGAATGGGACCTGGAGTAGCAGAGCCAGAGGCAGGGGCAGAGCCTGGGGCAGGAAAGATGGAAGATCCCCAAGGTGCAGTCCTGGGAACCAGACGGGTGTGGGACTGAGAATTGTTACAGGGCTGGGCAGGAGTCAGACGGGGTGGACAGTTTTGCTGATAAGAGACACTAGACTGGCTGTCAGGATGTTTGTGGCAAGAGCAGGTCTGGGCCACAGCAGGGAGGCCAGGGGGCCCAGGCTCCACGATGATACTGATAATCATAACGATCATTGTACCATTTGCTTATTGATGATTAAGTGACAGGGCTGTACCATGACGAAGATCGTTTTTTGTTTGTTTTTGTTTGTTTCTTTGTTTTTGAGACACGGTTTTACTCTGTTGCCCAGGTTGGAGTGCAGTGGTGTGATCATAGCTCACTGCAGCCTTGACCTCCCCAGGCTCAGGTGATCCTCCCACCTTAACCTCCTGAGTAGCTGGGACTACAGGTGCATGCCACCCCGCCTGGGTAATTTCTGTATTTTTTGTGGAGATGGGGTTTCACTGTGTTTCCCAGGCTGGTCTCCAACTTCTGGCCTCAAGCGATGCACCCGTCTTAACCTCCTAACGTGCTGAGATTACAGGAATGAGCCACGGAGCCTGGCCTTTTTTTTTTTTTTTTTTAATTGTATAAATAGAGGTGGGATCTTGCTATGTTGCCCAGGCTGGTCTTGAACCCCTGGCTTCAAGCAGTCCTCCTGCCTCAGCCTCCCAAAGTGCTAGAATTACAGGTGTGAGACACCACACCCAGACAGTACCCACTGTCTTGCTGGCTGTGGGCCAAGACCACTCTCAGCCTCTCAAGTAGCTGGGACTACAGGCTTGAGCCACTGTGCCCTACAAGATATGTTCCCGTTTGATTAACTCACAGTCACCTAACCAAGGCTTGACATCCAGTCCTACTCACAGGCCTGCCCCGCTCAGGGGAAGAGGATCACACAGGGCATGTGTCCCAGCAGAACTGTGGGGGCCATCTTGGAATTCTGCTTCCACACAAACTTTTCATACCCACTTTGTTACTTCTCTGCTCCCTGACTGTGGGACCCAGGGCAGATGGCCTCACCCCTCCAAGCCTGTTTTTCCTGCTCCTTGAGGTGGATGATGCTAGAGCCCCCTCCCAGGGCTGATGGCAATTGGGGAGAGAGTCCAAGGGAGGGGCCTGGTGACACAGTTCTGGAGTTGGGGAAAGGTACATAGAAGTTCAGATTCTAGGCTGGGCACGGTGGCTCACGCCTGTAATCCCAACACTTTGGGAGGCCGAGGTGGGCGGATCACCTGAGGTCAGAAGCTTGAGACCAGGATGGCCAACATGGTGAAACCCCGTCTCTACTAAAAATACAAAATTAGTCTGTAATCCCAGCTATTCAGGAGTCTGAGGCAGGAGAATCACTTGAACCTGGGAGGCGGAGGTTGCAGTGAACCGAGATCGCACCACTGCACTCCAGCCTAGGCAACAGAGACAGACATTGTCTCAAAAAGAAAAAAAAGTTCAGGGCAGGCGTGGCGGCTCATGCCTGTAATACCAGCACTTTGGGAGGCTGAGGTGGGCGGATCACCTGAGGTCAGGAGTTCGAGACCAGCCTGGCCAACATGGTGAAACTCCGTCTCTACTAAACATACAAAAATTAGCCAGGTGTGGTGGCGTGCACCTGTAATCCCAGCTACTTGAGAGGCTGAGGCAGGAGAATCGCTGGAACCTGGGAGGCAAAGGCTGCAATGAGTCAAGATCTCACCACTGCACTCTAGCCTGGGCAACACAGTGAGACTCCATCTCAAAAAGTTCAGATTTAGTTTCAGTGTACAATGAGCAGTGGCTCTAGCCACTGTTGTTACTCATGGGTCAGACAGGCCCAGCGCTGGTCCCCCGTTCACCCTCTCTGCCTCTTTCTGTTGCAGGAAGCCTTGGGAGCAGGTCCCCAAAAAGCCAAAGCGGAAGAAAAGTAAGTGGAGGCTCAGCCTGGGGGAGGTGGGGAGAGTTGGGAGCGGTGGGAATATGGAGATGGAGGCCCAGAGAGGCCAGGTCGCTGCCCTAGGCAGCACAGTTGGAACCAGCAGAGCCCGACCTCAAACCCGGGTCTGCGTGTCTTGTGTCTCAGGCGCAGTGTCCTTGGCTCCCTCATTCTCTTGCTCCCGGCATGGGAGTCAGCCAGGGGAGAGCCGAGCAGAGGGAACAGCTTTTGCAGAGCCCTAAGGGCAGGGGGAGCCAAGCACTGGTGGTTAGAGGGGAGGTCTGGAGCTTGCTCCTCCTGTCCTGCTGGCCACCAGTTGGTGAGAGCTTGAACTGTCAGGGTCTGCACAGCTCTGAGCCCTGGAGCTGGGGGTCCCAGGCCATGTCCAGCAGGGTGAAGGCCAGCTGGTGGCAGTGAGCCCCTCCCTTCTTAGGTTTCTCCAGAGGCAGGGGTGAGCTATGACCTTGATCCTGAATCCTCAAGGGATGAGGAGCGCATTGAGGAGGGAAAGGGCTGGGCCGGAGAGGCGGCTGTGGGTGACGACTCTGTTGCCCTCATGATTGGAGACTGTGAGCACATTCCCTAGACCCAAACACCTCTTCTGGGCCCCTCTTCATCTCCCGGCCCACAGGGTAGGAGTGGGGGACATGCTGTCCTCGCACTTGGCTGAGGGACCAGGACCATCACAAGAGTCAGATACCATTTCCCAGCACTCACTGTGTGCCCAGCCTTGTTCTGTGTCCTGGCGATGTCTTCACTCCCTTCCTCCTGCCTGGCAGCCCTCCGGGATGGGAATCCCTTATTCTCCCCAGCCTAGAGGAGGCACCTGGGGCTCAGAGAAGCCAAGTCACTTGCCTGGAGCTACCCAGCTTGGAAGGGGCAGAGCCAGGATTCAAACCCAGGCGGTCCGGCTCCACCATGCCCGCCCGCTATGCAGCGTTCTCTCATCCAGCAAATGTTCCTGGAGCACCTGCTATGAACCAGGCCCTTTGGGGGCACTGGGGGTACAGGAGGAGCAAAACAGCAGTGTTCCTGCTCTTGAGGAGCTGACATTCTGGTGGGAGAGACAGACAGGGCACATGTAAACAAATGGCCACAGATGGCATCTAGGTACTACCTGGAGAAAACAGACAGCAAAGTTAAGGTCGGCTAGAGTGACTGGGCAGGGAGTGGCCTCTTGGAGGGGATGCATTTGGGGGAGACCTGAGTGAAGTGGGGAGGGAGCAAGACAGTTATCTAGAGGAAGCAGGCACAGCCTGTGCCAAGGCCCTGAGGCAGGGCCACACCTAGCCCGCTCCAGGAACAGCGAGGAGGCCATGTGGCTGGAGTGGAGTGCAGTCACCAAGTGGGTGAGGGCGGGGAGGTGACAAGTCACAGTGGGCCTTGTGGGCCGAAGGGAGGACTTTGGCTTTTACCCTGAGGGAGTTGGTCTTGCTGTGTCATCCAGGCTGGAGTGCAGTGTTGCGACCTTGGCTCACTGCATCCTCCACCTCCCAGGCTCAAGCGATCCTCCTACCTCAGCCTCCCAAGTAGCTGGGACAAAAGGCATACACCACCATGCCGGCCAATTTTTGTATTTTTAGTAAAGATGGGTTTTCGCCATGTTAGCCAGGCTGGTTTCAAACTCCTGGCCTTAAGTGATCCGCCTGCCTCTGCCTCCCAAAGTGCTAGGATTGCAGGTGTGAGTCATTGCGCCTGGCCCAGTGGATTCTGAGCAGAGGAGGGAACAGACTTGACTCGGGCATTCACAGGCGCCCCCTTGCGGCTGTAGGGGGTGGTTAGGGCGGGAGCCTGGGAGTCCTGGGCCTGAGGACTGCGCTGGTCTAGGCGTTTGATGAAGATGAGAACAATTAACAAGCAGCTAACAATTATTATGCACCTACTGTGCACCAGGCTCCACTGTTTACATGACTTTGCCAATAGAACAGTCCCCGTTACCTCCAGGGGGTGCCTCTCCTCTCTGAGCCTCAGTTTCCCCCTTTAAACTGGGTACAGGCCTGGATGGTACTCAGGAGGGCCTCCAAACCCATGGGACCCATAAAGCCCCGGTGGTTCAGGCAGCCATGTCACCATGGGCTGAGCCCTGTCCCTTATACCCACTCCTCGGCCCTGTGTCCATAGGGCGGCGACGCAACGTGAACTGCCTGAAGAACGTGGTGATCTGGTACGAGGACCACAAGCACCGCTGCCCGTACGAGCCGCACCTGGCGGAGCTAGACCCCACTTTTGGCCTGTACACCACGGCCGTGTGGCAGTGCGAAGCTGGCCACCGCTACTTCCAGGACCTGCATTCGCCCCTGAAGCCCCTCAGCGACTCAGACCCTGACAGTGACAAAGGTAGGTCTGCAGGGCGAGGGCACATAGGGGGCCGCCCATTTCTGGGGGCTTCTTACGAGCCCTAGGCTAGCATCACAAACAGAATAGCAGCCACAGTGGCTCTGGCTCTGGCTCTGGCACTGGGGCAGAGCAGGGACACGATGGGCCAGGCTGAGTCCTTCGTGGCCTTGCCCTCTTTGCGTCCTTACAGAGCTTGAGTGGGGAGGCAGTCCCTCTTTATGGAGCAGTTTGCCAATCTGTGCCCAAGGCCAGTCCCAGGCAGGGCTGGCTGAGGGCCCAGGAGCCCTGGCTTGGCAGCTGGGGCGGGGGCAGGCCTGCTGGGGCAGGGCTCGGCCCCCACAGCGAAACGGCCGCCTAAACCACCCAGGCCTTATGGCTTCATAGGCTGTGATGCTCTCCTGAGCCCTGGCTAAGCTGGCCGCTACCTCCTTTTCGATTTTCTCTGGCTCCCAGTTGCATTCTCTTGCCTTCTGCCTTTCCAGGCTTCGTTTCTTGCCTTCCCCCTCCATTCTGTTTCCCTCCTGTTCCCCATTTCTCCTCCCTTGAGCTGCCTCTGTCTCCTCCTTCCTTGATCTTTCATTTTCTGTCTCATCTCCCTCTCTCTCTTTCTCTTGTTTCCTTCTATTCCCCTTTCTCCTCCTCCCTCCCCACCTTCGCGGTCCCTGCCTCTCTCCTTCCCATCCCACGGGGCAGGGACTCAGTGAGGGAGGCTCAGTTGGCCCCGGTGAGTGGTGAGGGGGCTGCCGGCAGCCTCAGGGGTTCGGCAATGGCTGGAGAAGGAGCGTAGGGCACACTGCCAGGCGTCCTGTCAGGGCTGAGGGTGGGGCGGTCACCAGGGCTGAGCCTGCGCTGGCTGGCATCTCGGAGCAGGTGGCATCCCAGCTGGCCGAGGGGAAGCCGGGGGCGAGAGGTGTTCCGGGTGGGCGCCCCCGCCAACGACCGTCCCACCAAGTGTCGGCCAGGCTCTCAGCGTGCAGTGGCCTCTCGGCTGCCCCATCCCATGATCTGCATTCCGCCCTCCTCTGCCTTTTACTGCCCCCTCACTGTGTGCCACTCCTGGCCCTGCCCAGAGCCACCATGAATCTTCCCCATGGCCTTGTCATCAGCCCCACTTGGCAGTCAAGGAATCCCAAGCCCCAGGAGTGATCTGACTGGCCCATTTGGTGATGGGTCAGGCTGGGGTGTGGGTGGTGCCCAGAGCAGCTTACTTACGCCCCAACTCAACTTTTTATTATTTATTTATGTATGTATTTATTTATCTGAGACAGGGTCTCGCTCTTGTCGCCCAGGCTGGAGTGCAATGGCGCGATCTCGGCTCACTGCAAGCCAAGCCTCAGGTTCCAGCCATTCTCCTTCCTCAGCCTCCCTAGTAGCTGGGATTACAGGCATCTGCCACCACACCTGGCTAATTTTTGTATTTTTAGTAGACACTGGGTTTCACCATGTTGGCCGGCTGGTCTTGAACTCCTGACCTCAGTTGATCCACCCACCTCGGCCTTCCAAAGTTCTGGGATTACAGGCGTGAGCCACTGCACCCGGCCTTATGTTATGTTATGTTATGTTATGTTTTATGTTATGTTATGTTATGTTATGTTATGTTATGTTATGTTATGTTATGTTATCTTTTTGAGACAGATTCTGTCTCTGTCACCCAAGCTGGAGTGCAGTGGTGCGATCTTGGCTCACTGCAACCTCTGCCTCCCAGGTTGAAGCAATTCTCTCACCTCAGCCTCCCTAGTAGCTGGGATTACAGGCGTGAGCCACCATGCCCAGCTAATTTTTGTATTTTTAGTAGACGTGGGTTTTCACCACTTTGGCCAGGCTGGTCTCGAACTCCCAGCCTCAAGTGATCCTCCTGCCTCGGCCTCCCTAAGTGCTGGGATTACTGGTGTGAGCCACCATACCTGGCTTTTTATTTTTATTTATTTTTTTTAAGACAGGGTCTCACGGTTGCCCAGGCTGGAGTGCAGTGGTGCCATCATAGCTCACTTCAGCCTCCAATTCCTGGGCTCAAGTGATCCTCCCACCCTGGCCTCCTGAGTAGCTGGGAACACAGGCACACACCACCACAGCCAGCTGATTTTTAAATTTTTTGTAGAGATGGGATCTCACTGTGTTGCCCAGGCTGGTCTCAAACTCCTGGGATCTAGTAATCCTCCTGCCTTGGCCTCCCAAAGTGCTGGGATTACAGGCATATGCCACCGGGCCTTGCCCATGGCTATTTCTGTTGGTGCTGTCATTACCTGAGGAGAAGTCTGGGGTCAGCCAAACTTAGCAGGTGCTGCAGTCAGGTGGACCCAGACGCGTGCTCTGGCCCTTCCCTCCACTCATTAGGACACTGCGCCCTCCTTCTGGATGGTGCCAGAGAGTTTGCCCACCCTGCAGAATACAGGACAAGGGGAAATTATCCAGAAAGAGGGGCTGATCCTCCTTATCCCCAACCCTGCTGCCACCCCAGGTCCATCAACAGTGGGCATCTCACTGCCCTGAATGGCACTGAGATAATAATAGGAAACTTACAGGGTACATACTTTTAATCTCCTACTGTCCTAAACCCTTATACATATTTACTCATTAAAGACCCAAAACAAAGGCTGGGCACGGTGGCTCACACCTGTAATCCCAGCACTTTGGGAGGCCGAGGCAGGTGGATCACTTGAGACCAGGAGCTCAAGACCAGCCTGGCCAACATGGTGAAACCCCATCTCTACTAAAAATACAAAAATGAGCTGGGCATGGTGGCGCATGCCTGTAATCCTAGCTACTTGGGAGGCTGAGGCAGGAGAATCACTGAAACCCAGGAGGCGGAGGTTGCAGTGAGCCAAGATCGCACCACTGCATTCCAGCCTGGGCAACAGAGCAAGACTCTGTCTAGAAAAAAAAAAAAACACTCCCGAGGGCCGGGTACAGTGGCTCACACCTGTAATGCCAGCCCAGCACTTTGGGAGGCCAAGGCAGGTGGATCACTTGAGGCTAGAAGTTCGAGACCAGCCTGGGCAACATGGCAAAACCCGGTCTCTACTAAAAATACAAAAAATTAGCCAGGTGTGGTGGTGTGTGCCTGTACTTCCAGCTACTTGGCAGGCAGAAGCATCAGAATCACTTGAACCCGGGAGGCAGAGGCTGCAGTGAGCCAAGACTAGGGAGCAGAGATTGATTCATTTATTGGAACGAGCCCTCACTGTGCACCACACAGCCTTCTCGGCACTGGGGGCTCTGCACCGGGACCCCGCAACCTTACGGAGTTTACATTCTAGAGGGGAAGCGGATTGTAAGCAGGATAAACCAATAAAAATATAGAGTGCAGGCTGGGCACAGTGGCTCAAGCCTGTAATCCCAGTGCTTTGGGAAGCCAAGTTAGGATTGCTTGAGGCCACGGCTTAGAGAACAGCCTGGGCAACATAGTGAGACCCCATCTCTAGCAAAAAAATGAAAAAGTTAGCTGGGCATGGTGGTGCACCTCTCCCAGTGCTTTAGGAGGCCGAAGCAGGAGGATCGCTTGAACCTAGGAGCTCGAGGCTGCAGTGAGCTATGACTGTGCCAGTGCATTCCAGCCTAGGTGACAGAGGGAGACACTGTCTCAAAAAAATAAATTAATTAAAATACAGGCTGGGCGTGGTGGCTCACGCCTGTAATCCCAGCACTTTGGGAGGCTAAGGTGAGTGGATCACTTGAGGTCAGGAGTTCGCAGCCTGTCCAATATGGTGAAACATTGTCTCCACTAAAAATATAAAAATTGGCGGGGCATGGTGGGGTGTGCCTGTAATCCCAGCTACTCAGGAGACTGAGGCAGGAGAATCACTTGAACTTGGAAGGTGGAGGTTGCAGTGAGCCGAGACTGCACCATTGCACTCCAGCCTGGGTAACGAGCAAAACTCCATCTCAAAAATAAAATAAAATATAGAGTGCACTGTAAGGTGGTATGTGCTTTGGGAAAAAATAAAGGAGGGAAAAAGGAACTATTTGAGACAGAATGGTCAGGAAATTCCCCCTGAAAAAATACCTTTAATGAAGGATCTGATGGAGGGGAGGGAGGAGCCCTCTCAGGTGTCAGACAGAAGAGGATTCAAGCCGGCCGGGTGCGGTGGCTCACGTCTGTAATCCCAGCACTTTGGGAGGCCGAGGTGGGCGGATCATGAGGTCAGGAGATCGAGACCATCCTGGCTAACACGGTGAAACCCTGTCTCTACTAAAAATTAGCTGGGCGTGGTGGCGGCACCTGTAGTCCCAGCTACTTGGGAGGCTGAGGCAGGAGAATGGTGTGAACCTGGGAGGCAGAGCTTGCAGTGAGCCAAGATCGTGCCACTGCACTCCAGCCTGGGCGACAGAGCGAGACTCCATCTCAAAAAAAAAAAGAGGATTCAAGCCGAGGGAATGGCAGGTGCAAAGGCCTTGAGGCAGGAACCTATCTAGTGTCTCCAAGGACATTAGGAGAGGAGGCGAGGACAGGAGGTGATGGAACACCTCCTGAAACAGACGCACTCCAGCTCTCGTGACCTGGCACAGTGGTTTGTTTCCCACATACAAAGCCTGGTGCTTCCATCCTGCAGACTGCCTTTCATCCCTGGACCCAGGTTCTTTCCTTCCTATGGCTCCAGCCTCCTTGTGGGTCCTGGCTTACTGGTGGGGAGAAAAGTGGAGACTCAACCTTGGGAGCACCTGTCCACTTGCATTCCATTGGCTGGGACTCAGCCACATGGCCACACCTACCTGCAAGAGATGCTGGGAAATGTAGTCGGTGCTGGTGCCAGGAAGAGAGGGATTTAGTGAGTAGCTGGCCTGCTTCTTTCACAGGAGGTAAAGAGTAGGTTCTTAGGAGCCGGGGACCCAAAAGAAGGGACTGCACTGGCCCTGGCAGGGGGCCGGTGGGGCCGCAACTAGCATCTGCAGGGGAAGTGGGAGAAGCGTTCAGGCTGCGGGTGGATGTATTTTGGATGCAGCACCAACAGGTTTTGCTGACAGATTGGAAGTGGGTGTGAGAGAGAGAGAAGTCAACAAGAGCCCCAGGACTTTGGCCTGAGCCACTGGAGAGACTGAGCTGCCTTCCGCTGAGTCAGGGACACCCGTGAGCAGTGCAGGCTTTGTAGAAGGGAAGATACAGAGCCCAGTGTTGCAGATCTGAGTTTGAGATGCCTGTGAGACACTCTTAGGGGGCCAATGAGATGGAAGAATCTGGAGCTCGACATGGAGGTGTAGGCAGAAGCTGCAGATGGAATCACCAGGCCATGGATGGTTGTAGTAATAAGAATACATACTTGGCCAGTCGCGGTGGCTCACACCTGTAATCCCAGCACTTTGGGAGGCCAAGGCGGGCAGATCACCTGAGGTCAGGAGTTCCAGACCAGCCTGACCAACATGATGAAAACCCATCTCTACTAAAAATACAAAAAAAAAAATTAGCCTGACATGGTGGCGTGTGCCTGTAGTCCCAGCTACTCAGGAGGCTGAGGCAGGAGAATTTTTTAAACCTGGGAGGCGGAGGTTGCAGTGAGCCGAGATTGTGCCACTTCACTACAGCTTACACAACAGAGCAAGGCTCTGTCTCAAAAAAACAAACAACAACAACAACAGAACAACAAAAACCCTCTTGAACAGTCCCAGATTGGTGAACAGTTCCAGATTGAGATGCTGGGACGGTGGTACCCCCGGAGAGGGCATGGAAGCCCATACCATACCCCCGTATCTTGCCCTGTGCATCTCTTCCCTTTGGCTGTCGCTGAGTTGAATCCTTTGTAATAAAGCTGTAATTGTAGGTAGAGCCATTTTCTGAGTTCTGTGAGTTGTTCTAACAAATTATCAAACCTGAGGATGGGGTCATGGAAACCCCCCATTTAGAGCCCATTGGTCAGACATACAGGGTAGCCCAGGACTTGCAGCTGACATCTGAAGTCCGGCGGTCTTGTGGGACTGAGCCTTTAACTTGGAGGATTTGACGCCCACTCCGGGAAGATAATGTCAGATTGGATTGAATTATTGGACATTCAGTTGGCATCGAGAATCGGAGGGTGGCCTTTAACCCCATTAGCCTGGGCAAGCCTGGGGGTAAGGTGAGCGCTGAGGAGAGGCCCCAGGCCAAGCCTTCCAGGCCTGCAAGAACCAAATAAACTTGGAAGGAGCCACCAGGAAGGGCCCAGGATACCACAGCGTGGGTCTGGGGGCTAAGAGAGGAGAGTGTCCCCTGGAGTAGGGGTGGTCAGCTGGGTCAGTCATCTTGGAACAGTTAGGGACAGTGGGGATTGAGAAGTGACTGCTGTTTTAAGCAGTGAGAGGGTCACAGTGTCTAGCCCCTGAAGAGCCCTCAACAAATACCAACTGCTGGCCGGGCATGGTGGCTCCCGCCTGTAATCCCAGCACTTTGGGAGGCTGAGGTGGGAGGATCACTGGAGCCCAGGAGTTCAAGGCCACAGCCTGGGTAGCATAACAAGACCTGATCTCTACTTGGGAAAATCAGGGCCACACGAGGTGCCTCATGTCTGTAATTCCAGCACTTTGGGAGGCCCGGGCGGGCAGATCACCTGAGGTCAGAAGTTCGAGATCAGCCTGGCCAAAATGGGGAATCCCGTCTCTACTAAAAATACAAAAATTAGCCAGGTGTGGTTGCATGCACCTGTAATCCCATTTACTCAGGAGGCTGAGGCACAAGAGTTGCTTGAACCTGGGAGGTAGAGGTTGCAGTGAGCCCGGATCGCACCACTGCACTCCAGCCTGGGTGACAGAGGGAGACTCCATCTCAAAACAAAAACAAAATCGGGCCAGATGTGGTGGCTCATGACTATAATTCTAGCACTTTGGGGAGCCGAGGTGGATGGATCACCCAAGGTCAGGAGTTTGAGGCTAGCCTGGCCAACATGGCAAAACCTCATCTCTACTAAAAACACACAAATTAGCCAGGTGTGGTGGTGCACGCCTGTAATCCCAGCTACTCAGGAGGCTGAGGCAGGAGAATCGCTTGAACCCAGGAGGCAGAGGTTACAGTGAGCCAAGATTGCACCATTGCACTCCAGCCTGGGTGACAGAACGAAACTCTGTCTCAAAAAAAAAAAAGAAAAACTCAGGCCGGATGCGGTGGCTCATGCCTGTAATCCCAGCACTTTCGGAGGCCGAGGTGGGCGGATCATAAGGTCAGGAGATCGAGACCATCCTGGCTAACACAGTGAAACTCCATCTCTACTAAAAATACAAAAATTAGCTGGGCGTGGTGGCGGTTGCCTGTAGTCCCAGCTACTCGGGAGGCTGAGGCAGGAGAATGGTGTGAACCTGGGAAGCGGAGCTTGCAGTGAGCCAATATTGCGCCACTGCACTCCAGCCTGTGTGACAGAGCGAGACTCCATCTCAAAAAAAAAAAGAAAAGAAAAGAAAAATTCAGCCAGGCACGGTGGCTCATGACTGTCATTCTAACACTTTGGGAGGCTGAGGCGGGCAGATGACTTGAGGTCAGGAGTTTGAGACCAGCCTGGCCAACATGATGAAACCCCGTCTCTACTAAAAATACAAAAATTAGCCGGGTGTGGGCCAGGCGCGGTGGCTCACACCTGTAATCCCAGCACTTTGGGAGGCAGAGGTGGGTGGATCACGAGGTCAGGAGATCGAGACCATCCTGGTGAACCCCTATCTCTATTAAAAATACAAAACATTAGCCGGGCATGGCGGCACATGCCTGTAGTCCCAGCTACTCGGGAGGCTGAGGTGGGAGAATGGCATGAACCTGGGAGGCAGAGCTTGTAGTGAGCAGAGATCGCGCCACTGCACTCCAGCCTGGGTGACAGAGTGAGACTCCATCTCAGGAAAAAAAAAAAAAGCCAGGTGTGGTGGCGCACACCTGTAGTCCCAGCTACTCGGGAGCCTGAGGCAGGAGAATCACTGGAACCGGGGATGCCAAGGTTGCAGTGAGCTGAGATCGCACCACTGCACTCCAGCCTGGGTGACAGAGTGAGACTCTGTCTCAAAAAAATAAATAAATAAATAAATAAAATAAAATAAAAACTAAATAAACAAATACCAGTGGCTGCAGCTATCATAACCACTCCCTTTCTTCTGTCCCCACAGTGGGCAATGGGCTGGTGGCTGGCAGCTCTGACTCATCCAGCTCTGGCTCTGCCTCTGACTCTGAGGAGTCTCCTGAGGGCCAGCCGGTCAAGGCTGCGGCAGCGGCAGCGGCAGCGACGCCCACCAGCCCGGTGGGCAGCAGCGGGCTCATCACTCAGGAGGGCGTGCACATTCCCTTTGACGTCCACCACGTGGAAAGCCTGGCCGAGCAGGGTACCCCGCTGTGCTCCAACCCAGCAGGCAATGGGCCTGAAGCCCTGGAGACAGTGGTGTGCGTGCCGGTGCCTGTGCAAGTGGGTGCGGGCCCCAGCGCCCTCTTTGAGAACGTGCCCCAGGAGGCCCTGGGTGAGGTGGTGGCCAGCTGCCCCATGCCAGGCATGGTGCCCGGCTCACAGGTGATCATCATTGCGGGCCCTGGTTACGACGCTCTCACGGCCGAGGGCATTCACCTCAACATGGCAGCAGGCAGCGGTGTCCCCGGCAGTGGACTGGGCGAGGAGGTGCCCTGTGCCATGATGGAGGGTGTGGCAGCCTACACCCAGACAGAGCCCGAGGGTAGCCAGCCTAGCACCATGGACGCCACCGCAGTAGCAGGCATCGAGACCAAGAAAGGTCTGGGGGACCTGTCGTGGCCTCTGGCCAGGGGTGGTTGGGCCTGGGAGGGGCCGGGCGAGGAATGGCCCTCGAAGTGGGCACCTCGGCAGCCTTCGTCCCCTGCGGACACCACCCTGTGTCCACCCTGTAGAGAAGGAGGACCTGTGCTTGCTAAAGAAGGAGGAGAAGGAGGAGCCAGTAGCCCCGGAGCTGGCAACAACGGTGCCTGAGAGCGCAGAGCCTGAGGCAGAGGCGGACGGGGAGGAGCTGGACGGCAGCGACATGTCAGCCATCATCTATGAAATCCCCAAGGAGCCTGAGAAGTGGGTGCCGGGGCGGGCAAGGGTGAGGGCGAGGGCTAGAAGCGGCCCGCAGGCCCCCAGCCTGCCTGGTGCGGGAGCCCCGATGTCATGGCCCCTTCCCCTCCAGGAGGCGGCGGAGCAAGCGGTCGCGGGTGATGGATGCTGACGGCCTGCTCGAGATGTTCCACTGCCCATACGAGGGCTGCAGCCAAGTCTACGTGGCCCTCAGCAGCTTCCAGGTGAGGCCGCCACCCGGAGCAGCCTGGGCCAGGCCCACAAGGCCCAGGCCATGGCACCACCAGGATGTCCTACCTCTAGTTTGCCCCTTGAAATTTGACGAGGTGTCCCTGAAGGCAAAGACAGGGACTTGTCACACCCCAGGACCTGGCATGGGAGGATGCAACAACAGGCCTTTGTGCCATGCCATGCATTGATTGAGCATGTATTAAGCACTTAGTGCAAGCCAGGCCTGCAAGCTGGAGCCAGGGTTGTTCTAGTAAGTTAAAGAGTGAAGGAACAAAGGAATGAATCAATTGGGGCTGCCTGTTCCAGGCCCACAGAGGCTGATAGCCCTCAAATCCAGTCCCAGTCCTGCCACTGGCCACCTGTGAGACCTTGGCCAAACCACAGAGCCTTGAACCTCAGTTTCCCCATCGATTAATTGGGCTAACAGCTGGGCCCTTCACAGAGTTGACAGATACCCCAGTCCAGAGCCTGGCATATAGTAGGTGTTCAATAAAGCTGCCCTTGGCCAGGTGCGGTGGCTCACACCTGTAATCCCAGCACTTTGGGAGGCCGAGGTGGGCGGATCACGAGGTCAGGAGATCGAGACCATCCTGGTTAACACGGTGAAACCCTGTCTGTACTAAAAAATACAGAAAAAAATAATAGCAGCCGGGCGTGGTGGCGGGCGCCTGTACTCCCAGCTACTCAGGAGGCTGTGGCAGGAGAATGGTGTGAACCCGGGGGGGTGGAGCTTGCAGTGAGCTGAGAGAACACCACTGCACTCCAGCCTGGGCGACAGAGCAAGACTCCATCTCAAAAAATAAAAAAAATAAAGCTACCCTTTGACCCCAGTTGTGCCCCTGGGAATCTCTGAGCTGGGCAAGGGTACCCCTCTTCCCTCCTCCTGGGGAGGCCAGCCCCAGCCTGCCTTCCAGCTGCCCTCATCTCTCCCCACCTCCCAGAGCCCCTTCTGTGGGCCTATGGGACCCACTTCTGCCTGTCTCGTCTCCAGAACCACGTCAATCTTGTGCATCGGAAAGGAAAGACCAAAGTGTGCCCTCATCCTGGCTGTGGCAAGAAGTTCTATTTATCCAACCACCTGCGGCGGCACATGATCATCCATTCAGGTCAGGCCCTGGGCCAGCTGGCAGCATGAGCGGGGGACACAGGGACATGGGCCTGGGAGCCTGGGCCAGAGCTGGCGGGTCAAAGCCCAGTGCTGGGTCTCCGGGCACAGGACTACACCCCTAGGAGCCTCCTCCCTGTCCTCAGTAAGCTGTAGCTATGTGAGCCACAGCGACAGGAACTATTACCAATCAATCACAGGAATTGGGTGGGGCTGGCCATCTTCCCTCCTATCCCCGCGACCCCATGCCCCATGATCCCAAGAGCAGGTCTCATGCGAGACTTAGGGAGCAGCTGACACCGCCACTGCTCTTCCAGATTGGAACCTATAGCAGCACCTGGGGCCACAGGCTAGACCAGTGCCCACCCAAGCAGCAGCAGGAAGGAGAGCTGGGCAAAGAGGAGCAGCTGGCTTGGGACTGGGCTTCTGTTTCCACTTGTGGCAGAGATGCAGGTCTTCTGCATGGGCTGGGGACATAGTGGAGAGCCATGGTGCCTGTGTCCAGCGATAGGGCATGCCCTGAGGGCCAGAGCTTCTGATATCACAGGAGGTCAGAAGTTTGGGGGTTTTTTTTGTTTTTTTTGGTTTTTTTTAATGTGTGTGTGGTTATTTTTTGCAACAGAGTCTCACTCTGTTGCCCGGGCTGGAATCCGATCTTGGCTCACTGCAGCCTCTGCCTCCCGGGTTCAAGCAATTCTTCTGCCCCAGCCTCCCAAGTATCTGGGATTACAGGCGCTCACCACCATGCCAGCTAATTTTTTTTTTTTAGTAGGGACAGGGTTTCGCCATGTTAGCCAGGCTTGTCTCCAACTCCTGATCTCAGGCGATCTGCCCACCTTGGCCTCCCTAAGTGCTGGGATTATAGGTGTGAGCCACCGTGCTGGGCAGAAGTTTTTTTTGTTTTTGTTTTTGTTTTCATTTTGCGAAATCACCCAAAGTTCAAATATCAGGGACAAGGCCGGGCGTGGTGGTAATCCCAGCCCTTTGGGAGGCTGAGGTGGGCAGATCACCTGAGGTCAGGAGTTCGAGACCAGCCTGACCAACATAGAGAAACCCCGTCTCTACTAAAAATACAAAATTAGCTGGGCATGGTTGGTGGCACATGCCTGTAATCCCAGCTACTCAGGAGGCTGAGGCAGAAGAATCGCTTGAACCCGCGAGACCAAGGTTGTGGTTGCGGTAAGCCGAGATCGGGCCATTGCACTCCAGCCTGGGCAACAAGAGCGAAACTCCGTCGCAAAATATATATATACACACACACAAGACAAATTCAGACCCATGTTGGCTTGGTAGTGTGCACCCTATGCCTCTCAGGGACCCAAGTTCGATCTCAGTTCTGCTTGATGGCGTCTGTGGGCAAATGCACGGGAAGGACGTAGGGTTTGGTCGGCCTGCACCTGCAGTCCTGGGAGATCCAAGGAGACAGCCTGATGCTCCTTCTAGCATCAGAGTCTGCAGCACATCAGAGACACCCCATAGCCCACCGTCCTCAGCCTCGGTCCCCACCGCCCCCAGGTGTCCGTGAATTCACCTGCGAGACCTGCGGCAAGTCCTTCAAGAGGAAGAACCACCTGGAGGTACATCGGCGCACCCACACCGGCGAGACCCCCCTGCAGTGAGTGACAGGCCGCCCCGTGCCGCTAGAGGATTGGGTGGGAGGGGATCCCAGCAGGTCCCAGGGGCGGCTTCGCCCCAACGCAGTGTCTGGGCCCGGTTCCACCTGCGCTCGGCCTTGTAGGGCCCCGCCCCGCCCCGCCCACTCTGACCCCGCCCCGTCCCGCCACGGGCTCCCGGCAGGTGCGAGATCTGTGGCTACCAGTGCCGGCAGCGCGCGTCGCTCAACTGGCACATGAAGAAGCACACTGCGGAGGTGCAGTACAACTTCACGTGCGATCGCTGCGGGAAGCGCTTCGAGAAGCTGGACAGCGTCAAGTTCCACACGCTCAAAAGCCACCCGGATCACAAGCCCACCTGACCCACCTGACCACTGACCGCCCCTATTTATTCGTCCGCTCGGACACCACGCCCGGGCTTGCCGGGGCCTGGACAGCTGCGAGGGCCGCCCGGACCGCGGGCCGGAAGGAGGCGCCCCCGCCCCGCCCCAGAGCTGGGCCCCCTGGGCAGGTTCCCCACCCCGCCCCACCGCATCCTTCTCGGAGCTGGTGCCTGGGGCTGCATTGCTGGAACTGTGTCAAGAGAGCAGAGTGAGATTAAAGAGCGAGAAAGGAGATGCCCTTCCCCTAGGCCTGAATGATTTGGGGTGCCAGGCCCCTCTCTGTCTCCAGCCTACTTGATCCCTTCCTAAGCGAGGCAGGGAACGAGGGATGCCCCTGGGCCCAGCAGCCTCGCACAGCCCCTGCTCCCACAGGATGGGGTGAGGCTTGGGGGTCTGGGGTCTCTGGGCATCTCCCGGAACTCAGGACCCTAATTTCCACTTCCTCCTGTTTTATGGGGCACCCATCTCCCACCCTCAGTGAGCTCCGGGATGAGATGGGGAGGTGTTCAGTAAACCCCTAAAATGAGAAACATTTGCAGCTAGCGACAAGCGCCATGCAAAAGAGAGAGTGATGCGTTGTTTTCCGGGGATGCTGTTTAGGTCGGTGGTCAGGGAGGGCCTCTGAGGAGGTGGCATTTGCGCATAGACCAGAATGACAAAGATCTATCCCAGAAGAAAGCTGGGGGAGGAAATTCTCAGGCCAGAGGAACAACCAGTGCCAAAACCCCGAGGTAGAACTAGCTCGGCGTGTTCCTAAAACAGGAAGCCGCGGGGGGAAGGGGAGTTGGCGGCGGCTGCCCTGGCCCCATTTCCCGGAGGAGGATGCTGAGGCCGCCGCCTCCTGCGGGCCGCTAGAGAGAGGGGCGGGGAGCGAGGCGCGGCCGCTAGGTGGCGTGCGAGGCGCGTAGGCCCTGGTGGCCGCAGCCACGTGACCCTGGGGACCGCAGCCGCGAGCTCAGGCACGTGCCCGGGGGAGCCCTGTGGCGCCACGCGCAGATTGGCCCCGCCGGTTCCTCACCAGTTCGGGGGATGAGGCGGGGCCCCAGCTATGCCTCAGTTCCTGCTGCGGACCGGGGGGCTACCCCAGCCGGGGACAGAAGAATCGGCAAGGATGAGCGAGTCCGGCCGCTGGGGCCGCCCCCGCGAGCTCCCTCCCCCCGCGAGGCAGGTCCCCTCCACTCTCCCCGCACTGCCGGAGCCGGCAGGTTTCCATGGGAACCGCAGCGGGGTCCGCGCGCCCAGGAGCAGCCCCCCTCCTAGCTCAGTTTCCGATGACGGAAACCGGGAGGAACACGGGGTGGGGAACAGACCATCGCTTGGGGCCCCTAGCGCCCGCAGCCAGGTCGCCCCGGCGAGCCCAAGAGGGGCCACCCGGGGATCTGCACCGCCACCGCCCCTATTGCGCGGGCCACTGCGATTGGCCTGCCCTTTCCAGGCGTGGCAGCATCCCCTGGTGCGCGCACTCCCATTGGCTCGATCTCTAGGGCATCTTCCAGTAACTGGTTATCTCAAGGGCCGCCCCTGATTGGGCAAATTAGGCTCTCCTCGCTGGTGGCGCTCTCTGACAGTCTGGAGCCTAAAGGGCGTGCAGGAACGAGGATTGGGTGGGGACTGCCGCTCTCCAGTTAGGGGGTCTGGGCTACCTCGCCGGCAGCGCCCTCGACCGGACTGTCGGATTGCTGTCTGTGGTGCTGAAGCCTCACGCCCTGGCGACCCCGCCCCAGTGTGTGCTAGTTCCCGCGCCCCGACGTAAACATGCACCGGCGCCCGCGCACCAAAGGAGGCTGCGCCACCCCCAACGCCTTAGAGAGAGGCCAGGTTCCCCCTAGCAGAGAGCGAGCATGACTCCACAGTCAGGAGGACCAATCACGAGCCTAGAAAGCCAGGACATTTATGTGGCAGATCCACCCACCCCAGTTCTGTGGGGTCCAAGAAGGATCCGTGGTTTCCCAGAGCTGCATGGCTCCAGCGATGATTGTCCAGAACACTGAGCCCCAAACCTTTTCACCCCCTTCGGAGCAGTGCGGAGTTTCCTTGCACTGGGGAGTGCCAGTCCTTACCTTTTGAACCCTAGAAGGATCCAGCTCACTCAAAACCAACAGCGTCCCAGTCTCCTTCTGCAGAAGACTAGGGCCACAGTAGCCACCCTCCCCCGTGGTCTTGAGGTGGTCTACACTGGTGCCTCCAAATCTGGGGACCCAGGCCTCTGCCTACTAAAATATTGGTTCCTGATCCCCTGTCCAGTTCCCTCAGTGGACAACACCTCTGGAAGGTCGCATATTCAGGCCACTAATACCTCCTCGCTCTGTTGGCTCCTCCAGCTCTAGGAGCTGGACGGAGGAGGGGAGCCCGTCTCCTGGCCCGAAAGCCAGCCCAAGAAGGGGTGCCAGGGTAGGAAGCAAGGGCCTCGAGGGAAGGAGGGCCCAAATCTGGCAACCCGAGCACCTAGGATGCGCTTTTGGGGGATTCAGAGTCCCGACCAGTGCGCGCTCACTTCCACCTGCCGCGCCGTCGGGAGCCGCGAGGAGGCGGAGCTCGGTCGCCGCAGCCAATGAGCGACGCCGGCGCTGGCAGCTGCTGCTATAAAGGGCTGGGGGCGGCGGCGGCGCGGTCCAGAGCGCGGAGCGCGCAGCGCGGGCCGGAGGGAGGGAGGGAGGGTGGGCGAGGGGAGAGGACTTGAACACACGGGACCGGACAGGACCGACCGAGGGGCGGCGGCGAAAGGCAGAGCGCCGCGATCTCTGTCGGGAAGCGCAACCTCCCCGGGCCCCGCGGGGCCGCGCAGGGGGCGTCCTCAACCCCGCGCCCGCTCCCTCTTTCCATCCCCTGCCGCCCGCAGGCCACCCCGGGGCCCGGCCATCCGCGCGCGCATCCCCGGGTTCGGGCCCGTCCCTGGCCCTCGAGGGAGCCGCCGCCTTCATCGCCACATCTGCAGCGGCCGCACCAGAGGCCGCCCGGGCGGGACCCCAGCGTGAGCATCGGGCGCCCCCCTAGGAGTGCACCACCCCCGGAGCCCCCCTCAACACGGACCGCGCCCGCCGGGCACACAAGAATGGTCACTGTAGGTATTCCCCTGTCGCCGAAAGGGAATCGGGACGGGGAGGAGTTGGGCCCAGGCTCCGCGGAGATTGGGCGGGTGCGGCGGGGGGGGTAGGACCAGGCCTAGCTAGGCCCGGGTTGGGGGGGTAGGACCAAGCCTCGGGGCCTGAGAGTGGGCAGGGCCGCGCCCAGAGTGCTGAGGGCGCTTAGAGCTTGGTCTGAGAGGGCCTTAGGGAGACTGACTGCGATTCGGGAGGCGTCCGACGCCGCCCTGGAGGCGGGATTGCCCCCTCTCCAGCAGGCCTGATGGGGGAGGGGCCGCGGCGGCTAAGGATGCTTCCTCCATCCAGGCCCAGACCCCGCAGGCCGCCCAGGCAAACGCAGGGCCCGATCACTGGTGCTGGGCCAAGCCAAAGCGACAAAGCGTCCCCGAGAGCCCTGGGAAAGCGGGTGGCGTCGGATCGCGCGCCCCGGGCCTCGGCCGCACCCGGGAGGCGGGCGTCTCGTCCTCGAGCCCGTCGACCTTGCGGCAAGCGGGGAGGGGAGAGGAGGGGGCGCGCCCGGAGGCCCCGCGGGCCCGCCGCCGCTGCTGCCGCGTCCCTTTGTTTCTCGGCGCTTCTTCGCGGGCCGCAGCCTCGCGCGGGCGCCTCGGGCTGCGGGGAGGGGGAGGGGAGAGGAGGGCCCGCGGGTTGGGGGGGCACCTCTGGGCTCCCGGGTCTCCGCCCCCCGGGAGATGGGGTGGGAGGCCGAGACAGCCCCCTTAGGCCAGGTCCAGGCTCCCCACCTCGCCAAGGCTCTGGGCCGCGAGGTGACCTTGAGCGCGGCCCGCCCGCCTGCTCGCCCGCACCGCTAGCCCCGCGCTCGGTGCTTTCAGCAGCCACGGAGCTGGTCAGCTCCCGAGCGCGCAGCCCCTCCCGCCCTGCCACGCCCTGCCTGGCCACGCCCGGGCACGCCCATCTAGGCCCCGCCCCCAGGGCCCCGGGGGCCCGGCCTCGCCCGAGCCCTCGGATTCCCACTCGGCAGCCCGGGCGTATCCCGGGGGCGGGGCTGGCCAGTTATAGCCCCACCCCGGCTCCACCCCCGCCCCTGCCGCGCGACTCCGCTCCCCGCGCCGCCGCGCGTCCTTTGTCTGGTCCCGGCGCCTGGGCCTCCCTCTTCCACTCTTCCTATCTCTCCGTCTCTGCGTGTGTGTCTCTGTGCATTGTGTCTCTTTCCGGGCCCCTTTTTCGAGTCGTGGCTAGCACTGGGGGTGGGGGCATGATTGGCGCTCCCTCCATGCCTAAGCCTCTCCCCTCCTGGACCCTGGGACCCGCCCACCTGGCTCTGAGAAATGAGGTCCCGGAGGCCTGGCTCACCTGCTGTGTGACCTCAGGCCGTTCCTTTCCCTCTCTGGGCCTCGTGCTGTTCACCCAGGTCTGGGAACTGGAGTGTGGCCTCCTGAGGACCTCAGAACTCCCGCAACAGTCCAGCATCTCCTAAGCGTCCTCTGATCGGTTCTCTCATTTGAAAAAGGAAACTAATGCACAAAGGGAAAGAGGGTGTGGTCAGAGGTCACACAAGGGCCTTGAGGACCTAGGTTCTCCAGTGAGCGAGCCCTGGGGCAGAGATGTATCATGGGGACAGGCTGGGAGGAAGAGAGGTGACAAATTAAGACCAGGAGGACCCTGCATTGAAGAAGGGCCCAGAAGTAGGAGGCTCAGTCAGCACCACGTGGTAGCCCAGCCTCACCATGCATAGCCACTCAATGCCCTATTGTCGCCGGTATCCAGGCATCTGTCACTGTGACTGGGGCCAGGGGCCGCAGCTGGGGGCCGTGGGGGTCAGACACAGGAGGTTTTAAGAAAAAAGTGGCCTCAGGTGTGTTCACTGCAAAACCCATACGTCAGATGTATGTGCGATGGTGGAAAAGAGGAAGAGAGAGTGATGAGGCCAGGGACACAGAACGGTTCAGAGAGAGGGCAGGACAGTGGAGAAGAGAGGGAAACAGAGGAAGAAAGAGGGAGAGAGAAACCAAAAGTCGGGGGAGACTTAGAAGAAGCACTGGAGAGAATGGGAAGCTTCCCTAACCCTCCATCTTTTATCTGCCCTCCTCCTCCCTGACTTTGCCACCCCCCCATCTCTGTCTGGGGCCAGTCGCCGAAGTCCCTTTGATGCCCATGTAGCCACCATCCCAGGCTGTGCACTTACTGCAGGCTGGGGCAGGGCGGGTGTGGCTTCCATCAATCTGATCCCCATTATCAGCTCAGCCGGCTCAGCCACAGAGGAAACGAGATACTGGTCCCGCTAAGCTCTGGCACAAATGGGAGGGAGAACGGGTGGTGGCCAGATTAGCAGGCTAGGCCTCAAGAACCTGGGTCTGAACCACCCAGTCACCTCTTCACTCTGCTCAGGTTGGGGACACCATGGGAGGGGGGCAGCCAGTAACTCTTTCGGCTCTAGGGTCATCGGATCAGGAGTCAGATGTTGACACCATCCCCTCCACCTCCTCCTGTCACCCTGGACAAGTCATAGGTCCCTGTGACTAACCCTCAGTGTCCCCATCTGAGAAATGGAGGAGACCCTTCATACCATTCACTGTGGTTGTGGGAGGTCAATGAAAACTTTGCACATGCTCAGTGGAGTTCAAAAATAGGATCTAGCACGGTGGCTCATGCCTGTAATCTCAGCACTTTGGGAGCCCAAGGTGGGTGGATCACATGAGGTCAGGAGTTCGAGACCAGCCTGGCCAATATGGTGAAACACCGTCTCTACTACAAATATAAAAAGTTAGCGGGGCGCGATGGTGCACACCTGTGGTCCCAGCTACCTGGCTGAGGTGGAAGAATTGCCTGAACCCGGGAGGCAGAGGTTTCACTGAGCCAAGATCATGCCATTGCACTCCAGGCTGGGCAAGAGAGCAAGACTCCATCTCAAAAAAAAAAAAAAAAAAATAGGGATCTAGCATGTCCAGAAGCAGTGGCTTGTGTACTGCCAACTGCTCACTGGGCTCTTATAGCAAATATCAGCAACTCAACATAGAACTCTTACCTCAATGAGCTTAAATGCAAATTCAGAATCCATCTCCAGGGCCAGTCATGGTGGAGCTCACACCTGTAATCTCAGCACTTTGGGAGGCTAAGGCAGGAGGATCGCAGCCTGGGCAACATGGCAAAACCTCATCTCTACAGAAAAAGAGAAAAATTAGCCGGCTGGGTGGTGCAAGCCTATAGTCCCAGCTACTTGGGAGGTTGAGGCAGAAGGAGGTTAAGGCTTCAGTGAGCCATGATCGTACCACTACACTCTAGACTGGGCAACAGAGCAAGACCCTGTCTCAAAAATAAACAAGGAAAAGAAAAACCCCACAAAACTCTTAATGAACCAGGATGCAAATTCAGAATCCAGCTCCATACATGTGAGACCTCTGTGCCATACCTTCCTTAAGGAAGAACAGAAAGGCATAGAGAGGTGACCTAACTATCAGAGGACAGCATGAGGAGGGTGGAGTCTGACATGTGTAGCCCTCAGTAAATATTTGTTGAATTGAATTAATAGACTCAACCGATGGAGTGGGTTTAAATGTCATGATGCCCAGGGCACGGCAGAGAGCAGGTACTCAGCTTCGCTTTGCTGTTATTATTTTGTTATTATATTACTGGTCTTTTCGTTAGGGGAGTGGGCTCTAAAGTCCAAACCCTGGAACTGAATTCTTTTTTTTTTATTTTTTATTTTATTTTTCTAATTTTTGAGACAGAGTCTTTCTCTGTCGCCCAGGCTAGAGTGCAGTGGTGAAATCTCGGCTCACTGCAAGCTCCGCCTCCCAGGTTCAAGTGATTCTCCTGCCTCAGCCTCTCGAGTAGTTGAGATTACAGGTGCCCACCACCATGCCTGGCTAATTTTTGTATTTTTAGTAGAGATGAGAGTTCGCTGTGTTGGCCAGGCTGGTCTCGAACTCCTGACCTCAGGTGATCCTCCCGCCTAGGCCTCCCAAAGTATTGGGATTGCAGGCCTGAGCCACCAAGCCCAGCCTGAATTCTTGTTTCACCATTTGCCGCCTATGCAACTCTGTTCCTATTCCTTCATTTTTTTTTTTTTCCCTTAAGAGTCAGGGTCTCACCCTCTCGCCTAGGCTGGAGTGTAGTGGCATGATCACGCTCCCTGCATCCTCAAACTTCTGGGCTCAAGTTGATCCTCTCACCTCAGCCTCCCAAGTAGCTGGGACTACAGGCATGCACCACCACACTCAGCTAATTTTTTTGGAAATTTTTTGGTGGAAACAAGATCTCACTGTGTTGCCCAGGCTGCTCTCAAACTCCTAGGCTTAAATGATCTTCCTGTCTCAGCCTCCCCAGTCACCCTGTCCCTTCATTGAGACTCTCTTTCCTCGTGTATTAAATGGAGAAAGGAATCTCATCATGTTCAACGGCAGGAGAACCACCTGGAAGTTTCACATGAGGAATTTTTCCTGGCACACAACAGGCACCTCAATACATGGTTACGCGATCAGTTAAGTATTAATGTTAGGAGACGGGAATGCAGAGCTGTGCAGTGCATGTTACTGCATCACTGCGGGTGCCTTGCAGACATTGCTAATCAACCCAATGCATATTCCTTTTGAGGCCGGATGTGTCTTCAGAGTAGTCCTCCAGGCAGCCCTCCCAGGAGCAACTCAGCCAATTGGAGATGCAGGGGAGCTGACCTTCTGTGCCATCTGTTTTACAAGAGTAAATGGGCCAGGCGTGGTGGCTTATGCCTGTAATACCAGCACTTTGGGAGGCCAAGGCAGGCAGGTCATCTGAGGTCAGGAGTTGGAGATCAGCCTGGCTAACATGGCAAAACGGTGTCTCTACTAAAAATACAAAAAATTCACTGTGCATGGTGGTGCGCGCCTGTGGTCCCAGCTACTTCGGAGGCTGAGGCAGGAGAATTGCTTGAACTTGGGAGGTGGAGGTTGCAGTGAGCCAAGATCGTGCCACTACACTGCAGCCTGGGTGACACAGCAAGACTCTGTCTCAAAAAAAAAAAAAAAAAAAGTAGATGGTGACCAGGTGCAGTGACTCATGCCTGTACTCCCAACACTTTGGAAGGCAGAGGCAGGAGGATCCCTTGAGACCAGGAGTTTGAGAACAGCCTGGGCAACATAGCAAGATCCCATCTCTACAAAAAATAAAAAATTAGCTGGGCATGATGAATTGCACTTGTAGTCCTAGCTACTGGGGAGGCTGAGGTGAGAGAATCACTTGAGCCTGAGAGTTCAGGGTCAGCCTGGGCAACATAGCGAGACAAGGCATTGGCCATAATGATGAAAAACAGCTCTGCAAACAGATCCAGGACTGAAATGAATTTCCCTATTCATACGTCTCTGAATTCACTTTTGTCACCTGTAAAATGGAGAATGTGTTCTCAGTCTTTTAAGATTGTTGGGAGAGTAACTGAAAATATGCCTCAAAGTATTTCCCACAGTGCCTGGCACACAGTAGATGCTCAGTGTAGTGGAATGCTCATTAAAATAGCAGTATTAGGCCGGGTGCGGTGGCTCATGCCTGTAATCCCAGCACTTTGGGAGGCCGAGGCAGTGGATCACGAGATCAGGAGATCGAGACCATCCTGGCTAACGGTGAAACCCCATCTCTACTAAAAATACAAAAAATTAGCCAGGCGTGGTGGTGGGTGCCTGTAGTCCCAGCTACTCCAGAGGCTGAGGCAGGAGAATGGTGTGAACCCAGGAGGCGGAGTTGCAGTGAGCTGAGATCGCGCCACTGCACTCCAGCCTGGGCGACAAAGCAAGACTCCGTCTCAAAAAAATAAAATAAAATAAAATAGCAGTATTGCCCCATGCAATGGCACATGCCTGTAGTCATAGCTACTTGAGAGGCTGAGATGAGAGGATTGCTTGAGTCCAGGAGTTGGAGGCTGCAGTGCACTACGATTGCACCTGTGAATAATAACTGCACTCCAGGCTGGACAACATAGAGAGACCCCATCTTTAAATAAAAGAATAATAGGCCAGGCATGGTGGCTCACAACTGAATTCTTTTTTTTTTTGAGACGGAGTCTCACTCTGTCACCCAGGCTGGTGTGCAATGCTGGAGTGCAATGGCACAGTCTCAACTCACTGCAACCTCTGCTTCCCAAGCAATTCTGCCTCAGCCTCCCTAGTAGCTGGAATTAGAGGCACCCACCACTACGCCTGGCTAATTTTTTTGTATTTTTAGTAGAGACAGGGTTTCACCATGTTGGCAAGGCTGGTCTGGAACTCCTGACCTCGTGATCTGCCTGCCTCGGCCTCCCAAAGTGCTGGGATTACAGACGTGAGCAACCGTGCCTGGCTACAACTGAATCCTTAGCACTTTGGGAAACTAAGGTGGGAGGATCACTTGAGGCCAGGAGTTTGAGATCAGCCTGGTAACATAGCAAGAACCCATCTCTACAAAAAATTAAAAAAATTAGCCAGGCATGGTGGCACATGCCTGTAGTCCCAGCTTCTCAGGAGGCTGAGGTGTAAGAATCACTTCAGCCCCGGAGGTTTAGACTGAAATGAGTCATGATCATACCACTGCACCCCAGTCTGGGTGACAGAGCGAGACCCCGTCTCTAATAATAATAATAAATAATGTAGGTGTATTATGAGGTACGGATGATGGATGTGACAAGCCTGCTTTTAATTCCCATGATCATGCCCATGACAGACGTAACTAACCAATTCCAGATGCTTTACAGCATATGGCTTTAGCTACTACCCCAGGCCAGTGTGACTATAATTTGGAGTTTGCAGCAAAATGGAGCAGAGGCTCAGAAGCACTAAGTAGTCTATCTGAGGACACACAGCTGGGAAATGTTAGAGCTGGCACTGTTCTTGGTTGGCAGTGGAAGTTGGAAATGCACACTCTGGATCAGAAAAACTCATATGCAAATCCCTGTTCCACCATTTATATGCTGCATGATCTTTGGCAATTTTTAAAATATCTCAGTTTCCTCATGTATTAAGTGGGGGTGAAGTGGGGGAGGAAAAATTCTCTTTTTAGGATTGTTGTGAATAAGAACAGAAAACTTGCATGTAGAGTGCTTTGCACAGTGCCTGGCACACAGTAGTAGCCAATATTTGGGAACAATTAAGATATTGGAGCTTGAGTCAGGGATGGTTGAGATAATATGTACCTGCTGGCTGTTTCTAGTTGTGTGGCCACAGCAGACATTGCTAATCAATCACAGTGATCTTTCCTACTGAAAACTGTATGTGATTTCTTTTTCTTTTTCTTTTCTTTTCTCTTTTCTTTTTTTGAGAGGGAGTCTCGCTCTGTCGCCCAGGCTGGAGTGCAGTGGTGCGATCTCGGCTCATTGCAAGCTCCGTCTCCTGGGTTCACACCATTCCCCTGCCTCAGCCTCCGGAGTAGCTGGGACTACAGGCGCCCGCCACCATGCCCGGCTAATTTTTTGTATTTTTAGTAAAGACGGAGTTTCGCCGTGTTAGCCAGGATGGTCTCGATCTCCTGATCTCGTGATCCACACGCCTCGGCCTCCCAAAGTGCTGGGATTACAGGTGTGAGCCACCGCGCCCTGCCTCTTTTCTTTTCTTTTTGAGACAGAGTCTCACTCTGTCACCCAGGCTGGAGTGCAATGGTGTGATCTCGGCTCACTGCAATCTCCACCTCCCGGATTCAAGTGATTCTCCTGCCTCAGCCTCCCAAATAGCTGGGATTACAGGTGCCCACCACCCCACCTGGCTAATTTTTGTATTTTTAGTAGAGACGGGGTTTCACCATGTTTGGTCAGGATGGTCTCAAACTCCTGACCTCTGGCGATCCACCCCCCCTTGGTCTCCCAAAGTGCTGAGATTACAGGCGTGAGCCACCACGCCTGGCTTCTTCTTCTCCTTCTCCTTTTCCTTCTCCTTCTCGTTCTCCCTCTCCCTCTCCTTCTTCTTCTTCTTCTTTTTCTTTTTTGTTATACAGTGTCTCACTATGTTGCCCAGGCTGGAGTACAGTGGTGCCATCATGGCTCACTGCAACCTCCACCTCCTGGGCTCAAGTGATCCTCCTGTCTCACCATCCTGAGTACCTGGGACCACAGGTGCAAGCCACCATGACTAGCTAATTTTTAAATTTCTTGTAGAGACAAGATCTCACTGTGTTGCCCAGGCTGGGCTTGAACTCCTGAGCTCAACCAGTCCTCCCACCTCGGCCTCCCAAAGTACTGGGATTATAGGCATGAGCCAGCACGCCTTGCCTAAATGTGGTTTCTGAATTCTTCTTAATTCATTCCTCTAGGAAGACACTACCAATCAGTATGTGTGTTTGTTTTTGAGACGGAGTCTTGCTCTCGCCCAGGCTGGAGTGCAGTGGTGCGATCTTGGCTCACTGCAACCTCCGCCTCCTGGGTTCAAGCACTTCTCCTGCCTCAGCTTCCTGAGTAGCTGGGATTACAGGCGTCCACTACCACACCTGGCTAATTTTGTAATTTTAGTACAGACAGTTTCGCTATGTTAGCCAGGCTGGTCTCAAACTCCTGACCTCAGATGATCCACCTGCCTCAGCCTCCCAAAGTGCTGGCTGGGATTACAGCCGTGACCCACCATGCCTGGCCCAGTTCAGGTTTTCAAGTGAGGGTAAACCTATGTGCCAACTGTGCCACTGAAGAAGATGTAAGGAAATGCTGGCTACTTGACCTTCTTATGTCCCTGACAGATAAGGTCAGTCAAATCCCAGCACTGTTTGCTGCTGATTTCTGAAGTGGCTTTAAAATTCTCCTCTACATAGCCCTTCATATAGCCCTTGCCAATTGTTCTGAATTTTCAGCAAAGTGAAACAGAGGCCCTAGCAGGCATATCCAAAGACGCATAGTGAGTTGTCAGAGCCAGTACCAGCCTGGTTGACTGTTACAGTAAGAAAATTGGGCCAGGTTCAGTGGCTCATGCCTGTAATCCCAACACTTTGGGAGGCTGAGGCATGAGGATTGCTTGAGGCTGTGAGTTTGAGACCAGCCTGGGCGACATAGTGACACCCCATCTCTACAAAAAAAAAATTTTTTTTTTTTGAGACAGAGTCTCTCTCTGTCGCCCAGGCTGGAGTGCAATGGCGCGATCTCAGCTCACTGCAAACTCCGTCTCCCAGGTTCAAGGAATTCTCCTGCCTCAGCCTCCTGAGTAGCTGGGATTACAGGCGTGTGCCACCACGCCCCACTAATTTTTGTATTTTTAGTAGAGATGGGGTTTCACCACGTGGGTCAGGCTGGTCTCGAACTCCTGAACTCATGATCCACCCGCCTCGGCCTCCCAAAGTGCTGGGATTACAGGCATGAGCCACTGCGCCTGGCTCAAAAAAAAAAATTTTTTTTTTTGAGATGGAGTCTCACTCTGTTGCTCAGGCTGGAATGCAATGATGTAATCTCAGCTCACTGCAACCTCCACCTCCCTGGTTCAAGCGTTTCTCCTGCCTCAGCCTCCTGAGTAGCTGAGATTACAGGCGCACACCACCATGCCCGGCTAATTTTTGTATTTTTAGTAGAGACGGGATTTCACCATATTGGCCAGGCTGGTCTCAAACTCTGACCTCGTGATCCGCCCACCTCGGCCTCCCAAAGTGCTGGGATTACAGGCATGAGCCACTGCGTCTAGCCCAAAAAAATTTTTAAAAATTAGCCAGGCATGGTGGCGCCCACCTGTAGTCCTAGCTACTTGGGAGACTGAGGCAGGAAGAATGCTTGAACCCAGGAGTTTGAGGCTGCAGTGAACTACAATCACAACACTGCACTCCAGCCTGGGTAACAAAGCAAGATCCTGTCTCTAAAAAAAGAAAAGAAAATTGTAGAGTGGTCTTCACATTCCGAGGGTCTTCATTTCATTTCCAATGCCAGAGCAGATAGGCTATGTGACTTCAGCACGTTCCTTAACATCTTTAAGCCTCAGATTCTCCATCTATCATAGCAAAGTTAACTTATACCATTTAATAATTAATTATTTTGTTTTATTTTGAGATGGAGTTTCGCTCTTGTTGCCCAGGCTGGAGTGCAATGGTGGGATCTCAGCTACCGCAACCCCCGCCTCCCAGGTTCAAGCGATTCTCCTGCCTCAGCCTCCTGAGTAGCTGGGATTACAGACATGCGCCACCACGCCCGGCTAATTTTTTTTTTTTTTTGTATTTCTAGTAGCAAACGGGGTTTCTCCATGTTGGTCGGGCTGGTCTCGAACTCCCGACCTCAGGTGATCTGCCTGCCTCGGCCTCCCAAAGTGCTAGGATTATGGGCGTGAGCCACCATGCCCGGCCTTATTTATTTATTTTATTACTATTATTTTTAGATGGGGTCTCGCTCTGTCACCCAGCCTGGAGTGCAATGGCACGAGCTCAGCTCACTGCAGCCTCCACTTCCCGGGTTCAAGCAATTCTTGTGCCTCAGCCTCCCGAGTAGCTGGGATTACAGGCGTGTGCCACCACACCTGGCTAATTGTGGTATTTTTAGTAGAGGCGGGGTTTCACCATATTGGCCAGGCTAGTCTTGAACTCCTGACCTCCAGTGATCCTCCTGCCTCAGCCTCCCAAACTGCTGGGATTACAGGCTTGAGCCACTGCCCCCAGCTTTATTTATTTATTTTTGAGACAGGGTCTCACTCGGTCGCCCAGGCAGGAGTGCAGTGGTGTGATTATGGTTTACTGCATCCTTGACCTCCCGACCTCAGGTGATCTTCCCACCTCAGCCTCCCAAGTATCTTTGCTACAGGCACACAACATCACATTCAGCTAGTTTTTAAATTTTTAGTAGAGACAGGGTTTCGCCATGTTGCCCAGGCTGGTCTCGAGCTCTTGAGCTCAAGCAATCCGTCCACCTTGGCCTCCCAAAGTGCTGGAATTACAGGCGTAAGTCACTGTACCCAGCCAACTTCTACCATTTTAGAGTCTTTGTGTGAATTAAATAAACAGCATGTCCTCCTCAACATATATGTAAAAAAATGCTAAACCACCAAAAAATTCAGCAAATTAAATCAAGCAATGTATATAAACAAAACTGCAATATGCATGACCAAGTTTGGTTTATCCCATCAAGATTGATTTAATATTAGAAAATCAATTAACGGCTGGGCACGGTGGCTCACGCCTGTAATCCCAGCACTTTGGGAGGCTGAGGCGGGTGGATCACCTGAGGTCAAGAGTTCGAGACCAGTGTGACCAACATGGAGAAACCCCGCCTCTACTAAAAATACAAAATTAGCCGGGCATGGTGGCGCATGCCTATACTTCCAGCTACTCAGGAGGCTAAGGCAGGAGAATCGCTTGAACCTGAGAGGCGGAGTTTGGGGGGAGCCAAGATCGCGCCATTGCACTCCAGCCTGGGCAACAAGAGCGAAACTCCGTCCCCCCTCCCGCGCAAAAAAAAGAAAATCAATTAACGTAATTCATGACATTAATGTATTAAAGCTAAAAAATGGGCTGTGTGCGGTGGCTCACGCCTGTAATTCCAACACTATGGGAGGCCAAAGCAGGAGGATTGCTTGAGCCCAGGAGTTCGAGACCAGCCTGGGCAATATGCCAAAACCCCGTCTCTACTAAAAATACAAAGAAAAAAAAAGTAGCCAGGCTTGGAGGCGCATACCTGTAGCCCCAAGTACTGGGGAGGCTGACGTGGGAGGATTGCTGGAGCCTGGAAGGCAGAGGTTGCAGTGAACCAAGATTGCCCTACTGCACTTCAGCCTGGGTGGCAGAGCGAGACCTTGTCTCAAAAATTAATTAATTAAAGCTAAAAAATGGTTTCAATTGATGTAAAAAAAAAGTCAATAAAATTCAACATCCTTTTTTAAAAAAGTCTTAGGATCTAGGAATAAAAGAAAATGTTCTTAACCCGATAAAGGCCATCTAGAAAAAAACCCATAGCAAAGATCATGTTTGGCTGCAAAATGTTTAAAGCATCTCCCTTAACAGCAGGAATAAAGGGCCGGGCGTGGTGGCTCATGCCTGTAATCCCAGCACTTTGGCAGGCTGAAGCAGGCAGATCACGAGGTCAGCATTTCAAGACCAGCCTGGCCAGCCTGGCCAACATAGTGAAACCCCGTCTCTACTAAAAACACACAAAAAAATTTGGCGGGCGTGGTGGTGGAAACCTGTAGTCTCAGCTACTTGGAAGGCTGAGGCAGGAGAATTGCTTGAACCTGGGAGGCAGAGGTGGCAGTGAGCCAAGATCGTGCCATTGCACCCCAGCCTGGGTGACAGAGGGAGACTCTGTCTTTAAAAAAAAAAAAAAAAAATCAGGAATAAAGAAGCCACTATCACACTGTAGCCCCTGAAATGACAAGAAAAATAGATAACAGGTATAGACTGAAGATGAAAAAATAAAATTGTCATTATTTGAAGGTGTTTTATGTTATACAATAAAAGCAAAAGAACAAAATAGCTCAGTGGGAAAACTGGGGGTGGCAAGGGGAGATGAAGGCAGGTAAATGACTAGTAAGAAACTTATGCATGAAGCAAAAGACATAATTAGCACATTTGGGATAGGAATTACCTTTGGTGGGAGGAGGCAAATAAATATGTTTAGGGAAGGGCTTATGAGGCTTCAAAGCTACTAAAAGGGCCAGGCATAGTAGCTCACACCTGTAATCCCAGCACTTTGGGAGGCCAAAGTGGGAGGATCACCAGAGCCCAAGAGTTTGAGACCGGCCTGGGCCACATAGTGAGACCCCATCTCTACAAATAATTTTAAAATTAACCAGACATGGTGGCATGCGCCTATTGTTCCAGCTACTTGGGAGGCTGAGGTGGGAGGATTGCTTGAGCCTGGAAGGTCGAGGATGCAGTCAGACTTCATGGCACCACTGCACTCCAGCCTGGGTGACAGAGCGAGACCCTTTTTCTAAAATAAAAGCTACTAAAAATGGGGCCAGACGCGGTGGTTCACGCCTGTAATCCCAGCACATTGGGAGGCGGAGGTGGGTGGATTACCTGAGGTCAGGAGTTCGAGACCAGCCTGGCCAACGTGCCGAAACCCCATCTCTACTAAAAATATAAAAATTAGCTGTGCATAGTGGCATGCACCTGTAATCCCAGCTACTCTGGAGGCTGAGGCAGGAGAATCGCTTGAACCCAAGAGGCGGAGGTTGCAGCAAGCCGAGATCGCACCACTGCACTCCAGTCTGGGTGACAGAGCAACCAACTAACAAACAACAACAACAAAAACAAAGAAAGCTACTGTTAGATTTACTTTTCTGAGAGCGAAAGCATTTATTTTATTTTATTTTTAAGATGGAATTTCACTCCTGTTGCCCAGGCTGGAGTGCAATGGCGCAATCTCGGCTCACCACAACCTCCGCCTCCCGGGTTCAAGCAATTCTCCTGCCTCAGCCTCCCGAGTAGCTGGGATTACAGGCATGCGCCACCACGCCCGGCTAATTTTGTATTTTTAGTAGAGATGGAGTTTCTCCATGTTGGTCTGGCTGGTCTCGAACTCCCGACCTCAGGTGATCCGCCCGCCTCAGCTTCCCAAAGTGCTGAGATTAGGGGCGTGAGCCACTGCGCCCGACGTGAAAGCGTTTCCGGTGTGAAAGCGTTTTTTATTTTGTAAATGCACAGGTTGATTTTAGGCCTCTGTTTGCGTATATAGTAGTCATATAAGGGATTTCTTGCAGTAAAAACATCAGGTGCTTTGTTTCCCCCCAATGCTTATTCCAATATATGGAATCCCATCATTATTCCCATCATTAGAATAATAAAGTGACCCCTCCCCATGACGAAGCCCCTATAAGACATGGCTAATTCATCACCACCAAGCCACTCATTGCCGCAGGCCCCTGGTGTGGGGACTGGGCGGTGAGCGGATGCGACCTGTTATCTCCAGCAGATACTGGGGGCCATGGAGTCTCAGGTGGGGGGGGGCCCGGCCGGCCCGGCCCTGCCCAACGGGCCACTCCTTGGTACAAATGGAGCCACTGACGACAGCAAGACCAACCTCATCGTCAACTACCTGCCCCAGAACATGACCCAGGATGAGTTCAAGAGTCTCTTCGGCAGCATTGGCGACATCGAGTCCTGCAAGTTGGTTCGGGACAAGATCACAGGTGTGGCTGCTGGAGTTGCGGGGAGGAACAGAGGTGGTAGCCTCAGAAATACAGAGGTGATGGGGGCAGGTGGGACCCTTGCTGAGGTGTCTCGGGGGTAATCGAGGCAGGAGGTGGTCTAGGGATGTGAGGTCTGATGGGGAGATGGGTATACCCCCTAGGTGAAGGTCTCAGGAGCGATGGAGGCAGGTGGGACTCTAGCATCGAAGGTGTCATCTGGAAACAGGAAGGTGGAAACTTGGTGGGGAGGGGACAGTCTCTCAGGCCTGAGGTGGGACACTGGCAGGTGTCAAGGCTGGGTGGGAAGGTCATCATTCTGGTTCTGCCCACAGGGCAGAGCCTTGGCTACGGGTTTGTGAACTATTCTGACCCCAATGATGCAGACAAAGCCATCAACACCCTCAACGGCCTCAAATTACAGACGAAGACCATCAAGGTTGGTGCCTCCTTCTCCAATCCCCCATGACCGCCCACCCCAACTGACTGTCCCCAACCCCCTACTGCCACCTACCCGCCCCCATGCATCCATGTCCACTGCCTTTCAGGACTCATCCCCAGAGGGGCTCAAATCTCCCCTCCAAGACTTCCTAGCTGGGGTGGGGGCAATGGCTTTCCCTCTCTAAACCTCAGTTTCCTCACCTGTCAATGGGGACAGTACTGGCTCCACGATCTCTGGAGGCTCAGGGAGTCAGCCAGGCCCTGTAAGGCAGAGTGACCAGGGTCCTGTGAGCAGTCCCCTCCCTGCTTTTGTCATGGAAATGGGGGTGGGGGCCCATCTGCCATCTGGAGCCTAATTAGGGTCTGGGAGGGCGGGATTGGGGCGGCCCATCCCCCATCTTTGTGCAACGCCCCTCCCCCAGGACCTCCCTTCTCAGCAGCTGCAGCTGGGACCCTACAAGCCCAGGTTCCCTGGGGGGGAATCGTCATGGAAACCCCCCTCTCTGGGTTCGCCTGGGGGTGTTTGGGCTCCGCCCTGCAAATCTGCTCCCGGACCCTGGAGGAAGCCAGGGTCGGGGGGGTGGCCCATCTGGCCCCCAGTTCAACATGGGAACAGAGGTGCAGGAATCTCTTCCCTTTCCTGATGTGGGGGGTTGGGGATTGGGGTGGGGGAGTGAAGTTGTGACCCAATGGGTCCCTTCATGGCCAACGAGACCCAGAAGCCTCAGGGCATGAGGACCCCAGACCCCAGTGACATTGAGATGCAGCGTGTATGTGTGTGTGTATGTGTGTATGTATATGTGTACGCATGTGTGTGTGTACGCATGTGTGTGTGGTGTGTGTGCATGTGTGTATGTGTGTGGTGTGTGTGTGTGTGGTGTGTGTGTGTGTATGTGTGTGGTGTATGTGTGCGGTGTGTATGTGTGTGGTGTGCGGTGTGTATGTGTGTGGTGTGTGTGTATGTGTGTGGCGTGTAGGTGTATTACGTGTATGTGTGTGTGGTATGTGTATGTGTGTGGTGTGTATGTGTATGTGTGTGGTGTGTATGTGTGTGGTGTATGTGTATGTGTGTGTGGTGTGTGTGTGTCTGTGTGGGGTGTGTGGGATGTGTGTATGTGTGTATGTGTGTGGTGTGTGTGTGGTGTGTGTATGTGTATGTATGTGTGTGTGGTGTGTGGTGTGTGTGTGGTGTATGTGTGTGTCTGGTGCGTGTGTGTGGTGTGTGTGGTGTGTGTATATGTGTGGTGTGTGTGTGGTGTGTGTTTGTGGTGTGTGTGGTGTGTGTATGTGTGTATGTGTGTGTGGTGTGTGTGTTGTGTATGTGTGTGTCTGGTTTGTGTGTGGTGTGTGTGGTGCATGTGTGTGTGGTGTGTGTGTGGTGTGTGTGGTGTATGTGTGTGGTGTGTGTGATGTGTGTGTGGTGTATGTGTGTGGTGTGTGTGTGATGTGTGTGTGTGTGGTGTGTGTGGTGTATGTGTGTGGGGGGTGTGTGTGTGATGTGTGTATGTGTGTGTCATGTATGTGTATGTGTGGTGTGTGTGGTGTGTGTGTGGTGTGTGTGGTGTATGTGTGTGTGTATGTGTGTGTGGGGTGTGTGTGTGTCATCTTGAGTTGTGAGATACAGTGTTTATGATCCAGGTGTCCCGTGACTCACTGTGGCTCTGGCTGTGACACAATGGTTGTGGGACACAGTGTGCGAGTGGCTGTGGCCAGGCACAGTGGCCCACGCCTATAATCCCAGCACTTTGGGAGGCCGAGGCAGGAGGATCACTTGAGCCCGAGAGTTTGAGACCAACCTGGGCAACGTGACAAAACCCTGTTCCTAAAAAAAAAAAATTTAAATTAGCTGGGCGTGGCATCTTGCACCTGTAGTCCCAACTACTTGGGAGGCTGAGTGGGGAGGATCACTTAAGCTGAGGCGGCGAGGCTACAGTGAGTCATGTTTCACCACTGCACTCCAGCCTCGGCAACAGAGCAAGACCCTGTCTAAAAAAAAAAAAAATATATATATATATATAGAGAGAGAGAGAGAGAGAGAGAGAGAGACAGAGAGAGACAGAGAGAGAGAGAGGGAGAGAGAGGGAGGGAGAGAGAGGCTGCTGTCAAGTGCATCTGTGTATTTAAGACTTCGGGTATATCCCTATGTGTCTGTAGGATAAGGTTTTTTTTTTTTGGTTTTTTGATTTTTTGGGGTTTTTTTTGAGACAGAGTCTCCCTCTCTTGCCCAGGCTGGATTGCAATGGCGCGATCTCGGCCCACTGCAACCTCCGCCTCCCAGGCTCAAGCGATTCTCCTGCCTCAGCCTCCCGAGTAGCTGGGATTACAGGCACCCGCCACCACACCTGGCTAATTTTGTATTTTTAGTAAAGACAGGGTTTCTCCATGTTGGTCAGGATGGTCTTGAACTCCTGACCTCGTGATCCACCCACCTCAGCCTCCCAAAGTGCTGGGATTACAAGTGTGAGCCACCGCACCCGGCCCAGGATGACGTGCTTATTATTTGACAGGTGCATGTGACACTGTGACTCCGGCTGTGACCTGATGGGGCCTCAGGGATGCGTCTGGCTCTGGCAGGATGTTTGTGTGTCACCGCGATGTTGTGTGGGTGTGTCTACCTGTGCCCTGCTCTGAGGGATTGAGTGTGATATCGTGTGTTTGTGCTGCGCTGTGATGGGTATGTGGTTCTACGACCTTCACTGTAATTCTCTGAGACTCCCTCCTGAACGTTGCTGAGAATGTGACAGTGGCCTGTGTCACCCTCTGGCTGGTTTCATCTCTGAGGCTGTGCAGCGGGGCGGCACTGCATGGCCTTCTGTCTGTCCCTGGGTGTTTTTGCCTGTGTGACGGTGTTGCGCGGTCAGTCAGGACTGGGCGCTATGGCAGCTGCCCAAAATATCTCCAGCTGCCTGCCGCGGGCCAGGCCCCATCCCAGGGTGGGGTGTGGGTGGAGTTTGGTCCATCCTTGCCCTTGGGAAACCCATGTCATGGAGGGATGGAAAAGGCCTGTGAAAACCTCCTCTGTGTCTCAGACGGTGTTGGACCTCCAATATCCACCCAGGATCTTACCCCCAAATCTAATCCCTCAACCCAAATCTGATTCATCAGCAAGTACCCTCACAGCTCCTAGCCCCATGGGAGAGAAAAAAAGAAGAGAAAACTGTCAAATACATTGACATGATTTCTTTCTTTCTTTTTTTTTTTTTTTTTTGAGACGGAGTCTCACTCTGTCACCCAGGCTGGAATGCAGTAGCGCGATCTCGGCTCACTGCAACCTCTGCCTCCCAGGTTCAAGCAATTCTCCTGCCTCAGCCTCCCGTGTAGCTGGGACTACAGGCGCCAGCCACCATGCACGGCTAATCTTTGTATTTTTTTTAGTAGAGACGGGGTTTCAGCATGTTGGTCAGGCTGGTCTCGAACTCCCAACCTCAGATCATCCACCCCCCTCAAGCCTCCCAAAGTGCTGGGATTACAGGCGTGAGCCACCGTGCCCAGCATGGACATGATTTATTTCTTAATTAATTTATTTATTTTTCTGAGATGGAATCTTGCTCTGTTACCCAGGCCGGATTACAGTGGTGCGCTCTCGGCTCACTGCAATTCCGCCTCTCAGGTTCAAGTGATTCTCCTGCCTCAGCCTCCTGAGTAGCTGGGATTACAGGCGCCCGCCACCACGCCCGGCTAATTTTTGCATTTTTAGTAGAGACGGGGTTTCACCATGTTGGCCAGGGTGGTCTCCTACTCCTGACCTCAAGTGATCTGCCCACCTCGGCCTCCCAAAGTGCTGGGATTACAGGCGTGAGCCACCGTGCCTGGCCTGGCTGTGATTTTAAAAATCATTATTATGGACATGACAATGGCTGATGTGATTTTTTTTTCTGGAGAACCCCAGGTGCACAAAATTATATTAATCAGACCCTGCCCCCCATTCACTCTCAAACTGCTTTATCTATTTTGTTCATTTTTAAACTAGTTATTTCTTTTTTTTTTTTTTTTTTGAGACGGAGTCTCGCTCTGTTGCCCAGGCTGGAGTGCAGTGGCGCGATCTCGGCTCACTGCAAGCTCCGCCTCCTGGGTTTACGCCATTCTCCTGCCTCAGCCTCCCGAGTAGCTGGGATTACAGGCACCCGCCACCACGCCTGGCTAATTTTTTGTATTTTTAGTAGAGATGGGGTTTCACCATGTTAGCTAGGATGGTCTTGATCTCCTGACCTTGTGATCCGCCTGCCTCAGCCTCGCAAAATGCTGGGATTACAGGCGTGCGCCACCGCGCCCAGCTTTAATTAGTTATTTCTAATGGAGGCATACACTCTCACAACTCACTGTCTCAACTCACTGTCCCAAACAAAAGCCAGAAGACAATGACCCCTATCTATCAAGAGGTTAATTAGAAGAAACAGAAAATAGAGGCTGGGCACAAAGGCTCACACCTGTAGTCCCAGCACTTTGGGAGGCCGAGGGTGGGAGGATTGCTGGAGCCCGGGGGGGTCAAGGCTGTGGTGAACCATGATTGCATCACTGTACTCCAGCCTGGGCAACACAGCAAGACCCCATCTCAAAACAAACCCACAAACAAAAACCTCACTTAACAAGAAAAAGAAAGAGGAAAGGAAGGAAGGGAAGGAGGGAGGGAGGAAAGAGGGAGGGAGGGAGAGTGGAAGGAAAGAAGGAAGGAATGAAGGAAGGAAGGAAGGGAGGGAGGGAGGGAGGGAGGGAGGAAAAATAGATACAGCAGACATAAGGGGGAGAATTGCTGATGACCACGCCCCAGCCTCTTCCCCAGTCCCTGGTGACAGGTCACCCACTGAGCATTTGAGAGGTGGACTTCCCTACCATGCTTCCAGGACATTGATAAACACACAATGAAACAAGGTCACACAATATTCCCTGCTTTGTAAATAGACTTTTCTGTCCCCCATTTTACAATACTCACCAGTCACCACCGTTTCTGGGAAATAAATATATATGTCCATCTTTTTCTCTTTTTTTTTTTAGAGACAGGGTCTTGCTCTGTAGCCCAGGCTGGAGTGCAGTGGTGTGATCATAGCTCACTGCAGCCTTTAACTCCTGGGTTCAAGTGATCCTCCAGCCTCAGTCTCCCGAGTAGCTGGGACCACAGGTGTGCACCACCACACCCAGCTAATTTTTTTTTTTTTTTTTTTTGTAGAGGTTGTGGCGGTGGAGGACGGGGGTGAGTCTTGCTGTATTGTCCAGGCTGGTCTCAAACTCCTGGGCTCCCTTGATCCTCCTGCCTTGAACTTCCAGAGCACTGGGATTACAGCCATGAGCCACTGCACCTGACCCACCATTTTTTTAAACACCTGCAGAGAGTTTCGTTGTTGGGTTGGACTATAATTAATAATGTGATTCAGATAACAGTGCTAAAATGTGTCTAATTCCTAGTTAGGAGAAGTGCTTTGAGAAAGAGTAATAGGGGTGGTGGGGGGAGGACAAATTTAGATGAGAGAGGACAGGGAGGATGTTTCAACTGAGACCCAAAGAAAGAAGAGGAGGAAGAGCATTCCAGGCAGAGAGAACAGGCAATGCCAGGGCCCTGAGGCTGAGACATGCCTGGTGTGTTTGGGAAAAATGGGGGAAGTTCAAGTTGCTGGAACACAGTAATTGGGGCAGGAAGTAGGGGGAGATGAGGGCAAGGATGTCATGGGGAAGAATGTGCAGGGTTTTGCGGTCCAAGGAAAGGACTTTGGCTTTTCTGCTGAGGAAGGTGGGAGCCATAGAGGGTTCTGAGCAGAGGGGGGATGCGACCTGGCTCAGGTGTTCACAGGCGCCCTCTGGCTGCCGTAGGGGGGACAGACAGTGGGGGATGGGAGCAGGGGGGGCCAGGGTGGAGGCTGCTGCACTGGTCCAGGTGATCAGTAGTGAAGGCTGGGCCAGGGTGGGACAGTGGCAGTGGGGTGAAGTGTGTGGATTCTGGATAAGGAGGAAGGTAGAGCCTACAGGATTTAGAGTGGGTTGGATGTGCATGTGAAGAACAGGTGTCGAGAACAACCTGAACCTGGGGACATGAGCACTTAGGAGGACAGAGTTGCCATTAGTGAGTTGGGGCAGATTGGAGGCGGGCGGGAGCAGGAGGCACCCGTGCTGTGTATGAAGTGCCCTTGACACCCCCATGTGGGGCACCTGGATGCAGTTGCCACCAGGGGTGCAGACTGGGGACATTTGGGAGCTGATGACTAAAGACCTGAGTGTCCCTGGGGGGCCCAGTGTAGCTGGGAAGAGAAGGGGCCAGTGTCTTAGGTCCACTCTCTATAGGAGTGGGAAGAGTGGCTGGGTGTGGTGGTGCATGCCTGTAGTCCCAGCTACTTGGGAGGCTGAGGTGGGAGGATGGCTTGAGTCCAGGAGTTGGAGGCTGCAGTGCAGTATGATTGCACCTGTGAATAATAACTGCATTTAGCCTGGGCAACACAGCAAGACTCCGTCTTTCAATAAAATAAAAATAGGCCAGGCATGGTGGCTCACACCTATAATCCCAGTATTTTGGGAGGCCGAGATGGGAGAACTGCTTGAGGCCAGAAGTTCAATACCAGCCTAGGTAACACAGTGAGATCCTGTTTCTACAAAAAAAAAAATTTAAAGATTAGCTGAGGCCGGGGGAGGTGGCTCACACCTGTAATCCCAGCACTTTGGGAGGCGGAGGCGGGCGGATCATGAGATCAGGAGCTCGAGACCAGCCTGACCAACATGATGAAACCCTGTCTCTGCTAAAATTATAAAAATTAGGTAAGGCGCGGTGGCTCACGCCTGTAATCCCAGCACTTTGGGAGGCCGAGATGAGCGGATCACAAGGTCAAGAGGTCAAGACCATCCTGGCCAACATGGTGAAACCCGTCTCTACTAAAAATACAAAAAAATAAAAAAAAAATTAGCTAGGCGTGGTGGTGGGCGCCTGTAATCCCAGCTAGTCAGGAGGCTGAGGCAGGAGAATTGCTTGAACCCGGTAAGCAGAGGTTGCAATGAGCCGAGATGTCGCCATTGCACTCCAGCCTGGCGACAGAGCAACACTCCATCTCAAAAAAAAAAAAAAGAAAAAAAAAATGCTGGTCAGGCGTGGTGGTGGGCGCCTGTAGTCTCAGCTACTTGCGGGGCTTAGGCGGTAGGATTGCTTGAGCCCAAGAGGTCGAGGCTGTAGTGAGCTGAGATCACACCATTGCATTCCAGCCTGGGTAAAAAAGTGAGATCCTGTCTTTAAAAAAAAAAAAAGGTCAATGTTTGTTGATGGACTGTCAAGCATGTGATAGTGATGTGAGCCGGCTATTCAAGGATCCCTTTGGGGTCACATGTCACCCCAGGGAGACATGTCCTCCCTAGGTGGCAGGTCCCCATCACTCTATACAGGCAGTCCAAGTTGTTACAGCCACTGCCATGTCCCCTCTCCCATATCTGACTCAGCCCCACCCCACGGTGACAACTCTAGAGATACTTATTGAGTGACGGATGGGTCACTTCTGCTAACTCCGTGATGGTTTAGACATGGCCTCACTCTCTCCATCTGTGAAATGGGTCTCTGCCTCACCCCTGTCCATCTGACCCCCTCACCCAGGTGTCCTATGCCAGACCCAGTTCAGCATCCATCCGGGATGCTAACCTGTACGTCAGCGGGCTCCCCAAGACCATGAGCCAGAAAGAGATGGAGCAGCTCTTCTCCCAGTACGGCCGCATCATCACGTCCCGCATCCTGGTGGACCAGGTCACAGGTCAGGCAGTCAGGGAGGGTGCACCTGGCGGGGGCGCTGGGCAAAGGCAGTCAGGTGGGACCAACGTGGGGAAACCGACCAAGATGCCAGGGCATGAAGCAGGGAAGGGAGAAGTGGGGTTACACAGGAGGGGACAGGGTCGTCGTGATGGACATCCCTGCCCCCTGGCAGGTGTCTCTCGGGGTGTGGGATTCATCCGCTTTGACAAGAGGATTGAGGCCGAAGAGGCTATCAAAGGACTGAATGGGCAGAAGCCGCTGGGCGCAGCTGAGCCCATCACAGTCAAGTTCGCGAACAACCCAAGTCAGAAGACGGGGCAGGCGCTGCTCACCCACCTCTACCAGTCATCCGCCCGGCGCTACGCAGGCCCCCTACACCATCAGACCCAGCGTTTCCGGTGAGCCCCCTGCCAGCCAGATGGCCCCAGGCCGGGTGCCCCCAAGCTTGCAACCCTCCCTGAACCCCATTCCTGCCGAAGGGAGGGATGCCGGGAGGGTGCGCACACATGGGAGCCAAGGAGCCTATCTGTCAGGTGCCAAGGCCAGCCACTCATATACAGCAGGCCCTCAATGTGTGCTGGCCGCGACGATTGGCATTCTTGGTGTTAAAAGATTTTGGCGTCATCTGGGTTCCAGCTCTGGTGGCCCCTTTCTCTTTTGGGCACGTGGCTGTAGCTCTGTGCCTCAGTTTCCCATCTGTAATAACACCAAATATTTCATGAGTCTTTGCTGTGTGCTAGACACCCTTATTTTTCTGCAACCCGATGAGAACAGAGCTTGTGTTGTCCCTGTTTTATGGACGGGGACCCTGAGGCACAGAGAGGTGTTGGGGTTTGCCTGGCCCAAACAGAGCAGAGACTCAAACCCAGGACCTGGAGTCCAAGCTCATAGCCACTCCAAGGGGAGACAATGGAAGCCCCTTGTGGGCCCCCGGGTGGCCGGGGCAAGTTACCCACCCCCTCAAGTGCTGCGAGAATGTTGGCTGTGGTAGTTACTGTCGCCTTTGTTAGGAGTTATCTTTCCCCAGGGATCCCAGCGCCTGGGCCCAGAGGGGACCCGCCAGCCAGGAGGGGGAGGATGGATGAGGAGGCCAGTGCAGGCTGGACAGCGGTGGGGCAGGCGAGAGGCGGTGCCTGAGTGACCACGGTTCCGTGCCAGGCAGTGTCTAGCCGGGCGGGCGGGGAGCAGGCAGGCGGGGGCAGGGCTCTGCTGCAGGCCTGTTGGGTGGGGGTGGGGAGGGCAGGCCGACGGTGTCACAGCAGGGGGGCGTGACTGGAAGCCACCTCTGACCACCACCTCTGCCTCCACAGGCTGGACAATTTGCTCAACATGGCCTACGGCGTCAAGAGGTAACAGTGACCCCGCCCCACTGTCCCCACCCCTCACCATCCATGCCCCTGATGCACCCCTCCCCAGCTCACCCCCAGGGCTGCAGGCTTAGCCTTGTTTGCCTGGGTCTTGGAGTAGCATGGCCATTGAGAGATGTGACATCAAAGCCAGACGTGGTGGTTCTCGCCTGTGCTCCCAGTGTTTCGGGAGGCTGAGGGGCAAGGAGCACTTGAGGCCAGGAGTTCAAGATCAGCCTGGGCAACATAGTGAGATCCTTCTCTACAATTTTTTTTTAAGGATTAGCCTGATACGGTGGTGCATGCCTGTAGTTCAGGCTACTCAGGAGGCTGAGGCGGGAGGATCGCTTGAGCCTAGGAGTTGGAGGCTGCAGTGAACTATGATGGTGCCACTGCACTCCAGCCTGGGTGACAGAGCGAGACCTTATCTCCAAAAATTAAAAAATGTGGCTGGGCGCGGTGTCTCATGCCTGTAATCCCAGCTACTCAGGAGGCTGAAGCAGGAGAATCGCTTGAACATGGAAGGAGGAGGTTGCAGTGAGCTGAAATCGTGCCACTGCACTCCAGCCTGGGCAACAAGAGCGAAACTCCATCTCAAAAAAAAAAAAATAATTAAAAAATGTAAAAGAAGATCTCAGTCTGAGTCTAGTGGGGGAGGAGACAGAGAAATGAATGGTGATGAAAGCTGTGAAGTAGAAGGGGTAACAGAGGCCGGGCGCGGTGGCTCACGCCTGTAATCCCAGCACTTTGGGAAGCCGAGGCAGGCGGATCACGAGGTCAGGAGTCCAAGACCAGCCTGGCCAAGATGGTGAAACCCCATCTCTACTAAAAATACAAAAATTTAGCTGGGCACGGTGGCAGGCGCCTGTAATCCCAGCTACTCGGGAGGCTGAGGCAGAGAACTGCTTGAACCCAGGAGGCGGAGGTTGCAGTGAGCTGAGATCGTGCCACTGCACTCCAGCCTGGGCGACAGAGTGAGATTCCGTCTCAAAAAGAAAAAAAAAAAAGAAGGGGTGACGGAGACCCAGCAGCAGAGACCCCCCAGTCCCATCTGAGGCAACATCCACACAAAGGCAGAGTGGAAAGGGAGTTCCTAGCAGTGGGAAAAGCCTGTGCAAAGAGGGCCAGAAGGAGCGAGTAGTTTGTTCCTCGTGGTCAGGATTGAATGGTTCAGGCCCTTGGGTCCTCCCTTCCCAGCTGAGGGGTTTAATCCAAGGGCGGGATTGCCAGTGAGGAATGTGAGTGGAGCCAATTCTGTCCTTTCATTAATTCATTCAACAGACACCTCCCAAGTGCTTACTAGGTGTTGTTCAGGGGCTGGAACAAACTCTTGCAGGGAAGATGAAGTTGATGATAATAAATATATGATTTGAAAAGGAAAGCCGGGTGCAGTGGCTCACACCTGTAATTTCAGCACTTTGGAACTCCAAGGTGGTAGGATTGCTTGAGCCCAGGAGTTCGAGACCAGCCTGGCTAACGCAGCGAGACCCCACCTCTACAAAAATTTTTAAAAATTAGCGGGGCATGGCTGGGTGCGGTGGCTCATGCCTGTAATCCCAGCACTTTGGGAGGTCGAAGCGGGCGGATCACCTGAGGTCGGGAGTTCGAGACCAGCCTGATCAACATGGAGAAACCCCATCTCTATTAAAAATACAAAATTAGCTGGGCGTGGTGGCAGGTGCTACTCGGGAGGCTGAGGCAGGACAATCGCTTGAACCTAGGAGGCAGAGGTTGCAGTGAGCTGAGATCATCCCACTGCACTCCAGCCTGGGCAACAGAGCAAGACCCCGTCTCAGAAAAAAAAAAAAAAAAATTAGTGGGGCATAGTGGTGCACCTGTAGTCCCAGCTACTTGGGAAGCCAAGGCAGGAGGATTGCTTGAGCCTGAGAGTTCGAGACCAGCCTAAGCAACATAGTGAGACTGTGTCACCACAAATCATAAAAAAAATTAGCTGGGTGTGAGGGCGCCTGCCTACAGTCCCAGCTGCTCAGGAGGCTGAGGCGGGAGGTTTGCTTGAGCCCAGGAGGTCAAAGCTGCAGTGAGCCATGATTGCACCACTGCACTCCAGCCTGGGTGACAGAGCGAGACCGTGTCTCTAAAAAAAAAAATTGCATTGCAGGGGTCACACCATTCCAAGGTCATGGCACAGTCAGGGGTCATAAAGGTGTGAAGGGTCACAACGGGGTCAGAAGCATGCGGGGGGTCAGGGCAGAGCCCGCGTGACCCCCAAAGTAGTCCCCTGTCGCTCATCGCCAGGTTCTCGCCGATCGCCATCGATGGTATGAGCGGCCTGGCGGGCGTGGGCCTGTCGGGGGGCGCGGCGGGCGCCGGCTGGTGCATCTTCGTGTACAACCTGTCACCGGAGGCAGACGAGAGCGTGCTGTGGCAGCTGTTCGGGCCTTTTGGGGCAGTCACCAACGTCAAGGTCATCCGTGATTTCACCACCAACAAGTGCAAGGGTTTCGGCTTCGTGACCATGACCAACTATGACGAGGCGGCCATGGCCATCGCCAGCCTGAACGGCTATCGCCTGGGCGAGCGCGTGCTGCAGGTCTCCTTCAAGACCAGCAAACAGCACAAGGCGTGAGCCCACCCCGCCTGCCCTCCCACCCCCTCCCCGGGCAGCAGAGAGAGAGAGAGAGAAAGAGAGAGAGAGAGAGAGAAGGGGCCCAAGAGAGACAGCACAGGCAGCCCCACGGACGACGCGAGGGCCCCACGTCCCTGCGGAAGCCACAGGGTGAGCACTCTGGGGTGGGAGGGTCTGCAGGGAATTGGGGGGGTGCCCGGGGATCCCCCGCCCCATCCTCCTGCCCCCACCCCAGGCTGGGCTGTTCACTCTCTCGTCTTGGTTTGGTTCATGGTGAAGGTTTTTGTTTCTTTTTTCGGCTAAAAAGAATGCAGAGATGTGCCCCCACCCCCACCCTCGACCACCCCCGATGGGATGGCTTGGGGGGCTCCAGGGGGTGCCCTCCCAGACCCCCTTGCCCAGGCCTCCCCAGCACCTAGGTGGGGCCTGGGGTAGGAGGAACAGGTTTAAAAATCCCCAAAAAAGCGAACCGTGAGGAGGGGTGTGGGCACCCCCGGCCCAGTGCCCCCTGGTGGAATGCGGGGGAGCAGGCAGTGGGGCTGGAAGCAGAAACAAAATGAAAAAAAAAGGGGGGTGGGAGGGGAAGAAAAACTCTATTTTTGTAAAAAGGGAAAAAGACCTCGTGGAGAATTTTTACTGGGGATTCTTGAACTTGAAAAAAAAAAACACAAAAAAAGACAAAAAAAAAAAAAGAAAATATTTTGGCAGGTTATGTTTACCAACTGGGGCGGGGGTGGGGGGGGCCCAGGGAGCAGGGCTTAGGGGCTAGCAGCCCACGGGGCCACACAGAGAAACAACCACGCAGACAGTCACACCACGGGGACACACGGACAGACGCAGACGGACACAGCGACATGCCCCAGACACGTTAAGGGACTGGTTGGCCAAACTCAGACACGTGGACAGGGATAGACAGAAAGAGACAGAAGCTGGGGCTACGTCCATGTGGACACAGACCACAGATGTGGGCACACGAATCCATCCACCTGTCCACGTGCACACGTGAATGTAGCGATAGATATTTGGACATCAAATTTGGACACCAGGTCACGGAGAAACACAAACACCACCCAGGAACACGCAGACATATGCCCATAGCATCCCACAGGCCCAGGCAGGAGGTCCCACCCCAGACCCTGCCCCAGACGCTCCCTCACCCTCTCGGCCCCCTCGCCCTGGCCCCCAGGTTCTCTGCAGAGATCTCTCCTGGACCCCCAGCGGTCTCCTTGGCGCCCACGAACACAGGCGTGCACACGCAGCGCACATGCATTGAGACACACGATACCTCGTTCCACCTTGGCGTCACGGTGGGCTGGAGGCAGCCCCCCCCCCCACAACACTTGAGGCCAAAGGACACCCCTGTCCCCGGGGCTCAGCCTCCCCCTGGGCCGAGGCCTTGGCCCACACAGCTGAGGGAGAGGCCCAGCCCTGAGCCTCCCCCACCAGGACTGGGCCTCCCCGGCAGCAAGACCCCGGCACTCCCCGCCAGGCCCAGGGTGGGGTGGATGGGCCCAAAGGCCCAGCCCCACACTCCTTTCCCGTCCACTTGTCACCTACCTATCCCCTTTCGGTTTGTTGGGTTTTTCGTCTTTCCAGATTGCAGTGGACACAGCCCCCGATCTCGAGCCCCGGCCCCCGGCTTCTGTCTGGACATTGCATCGCCCTAGTTTTCTTTCTTTAAAAAAAAAAAATTCCAACAGAAGCCACAGGCCGGAGCCCCTGGGAGCCCTCGCACCGCTCCCCACCCCACTCAGCGGCCCCATCGGAACTGAGAATTGCAAAACCCCCGACTTTAGCTATAGTTAAGTTGCCTTCCCCCGGTGTCCCCACGTTTGGTGTCTGGCTATGGCGCCCCCATCTGACTGTCCAGCTCTCTCTCCCCCACCCCTCCCGGTGTTGTTATTAAACGTCTGTGGAGCTTCTGCTGCAAGGAACAAAAAAGAAAAAAATCAAAAAAGCGACAAAAAAACACAAACAGAAGAGGAAAAAAAAGCAACAAAAAAAGAAAACACACAGAAGAGATTTAAAAAAAAAAAAGGAAAAAAAAAAAAGACATAAACTGGCACCAGTTAACTTTCTTGTACTTTTTTGCTGAATTTAGCTTCTTGTAGTTTTAACTTATTGCTATGTTAACTATTTATTCTCCTCGTTGCCCTGTAAGGACATCCGTGTATATTTCTGTTACTTCATCCGGTTTGCAAGTTAAAGGAACGACAATGTTCTCTTTGTTTCTTTAAGTTTTGCCGAGACATGGTTATGCCTAATTTATTTATAAAAGGGGAAGTGGAATCATTAAAGTAATAATAATTATTAATAACAGTAATGGTAGCCGAGTGGCACGCGGGGGCGTGTGCTCTGCGGGACAGTCCCCACGGCCAGCGACGTCCAGGTCACCAATGGGATTCTTTTTGCTCTTGTCTTGAGAATTTTTTCAGTCCTATTTAGCTGGTGAAATCCCTAGCTTGTTCTTGATACACGAACCTATTTATTCTCGTGGTTTTAAGTCCTCCCTGCCCTCTCTCCTCTCCCCTGCAGCAGGGCAGGGACCCCTCTCCCCTGCTGTCTCTTGGGGCTCTCTCCCCTCCGCCCTCTGCATTCGGGAACACGCACGTCCGCGTGGGAAGCTTGCAGCAGGGCGTCCGAGCAATAAGGGCTGGGTTTGTCCCCCACCCTGGGGGGGGCCAGGCTCCAGAGAGGGGGCACCTCCCCACACACCCCCCCCCCACCGAGGCCTAGGCCCCTGCCACCCCCAAGACTGGGAGGGGACTTCTTTTTCTAAAACACAAAACTCAGCCCAGCCAGGCCCCCTCCCTGGAGGCCAGCCCCTCCCCGCAGGGGGCCAGGCCGGGGCTCCCAGGCGAGGGGGACTTGGGGCTTCCACGTCCCTGGGGGGCAGGGGCCAGGCCAGGGGGGAGGGGGCTCAGCCCCTCCACCCCTCCCTTCATCCTGTTATTTATTCGGAAGGTTTCAAATCACGACAGAGTCCATGTTGGAGGTGATAAAAAACTGTAAAAAAAAAAAAAAAAAAAAAGACAAAACAAAAGACAAAAAAAAAAAAAAAACCCAACAAGAACACTTCGCGTTGCGTTTAGACTATTTATTACCGGGATCACAGGCCTGGCCGCGGTAACAGACTTTTACATGGAATTGTTTAATTATTTGTACTTTTCATGCCAGAAAATAAAAGTTCAGAATCTTAAGGCCTTGGGTGATCTCTGCACCGCTGCGCGGGGAGCACGCAGGAGCAGCCTGTGTAGTAGCGCCCAGGCCCCCGTCCTTCTCTGGGCCTGGGTCTGTCTGCAGCAGGGGCTTTGGCCCCGGGAGGGAACCCTTGGCCTCCACAGAGCACAGATGAGACCCAGGGAAGGTGGGACACGGGCCCGGATGGATGCTCAAGACAGAAATGGTCCAGGGTCCATCCACCTGGTATCTTCAGGAGTGATCCCCAGATGGTGGGGGAGGCCCGGGTGGGATCTGCAGAAAGCTGCGTCCCCTGCGCTCAACCCCTGCCCACACCCCGGTCCACACCCCAGCAAAGCGAGGCAGACACAGACAAGTTTGGGTGGGGGATCACATTTATTGTATTGAGGTCACAGGTCAAGTCATTCACTAGTCCCCACTAGGAGGGGTGGCAGGGACAGGGCTGGGGGTGGTGGGGCGAGTCACCAAGGTGGGGGGCCCAGGGAGGGCAAGCTCCTTTACCCATCTTTGAAGGCTGTTGGGGCCTGGGAATGTGGACCAGCCCCGCCTGGGCCCCAGAGCAGGGCACGAAGCCCCACAAAGGTCCTGCCGCCACAGAGGAGGGCAACAGAGCCACAGGCAGGCCCAGAGGGGCGGGTGGACGGCACTGCAGGGGCTGGCTTCATGCCTTCTTGAGGTTCTGGGGCAAGAGAAAGACCAGATTAGAAAGCTGGGGACAGCTGGACATGGTGATGTTTGCCTGTAGTCCCGGCTGCTTGGGAGGCTGAGGTGGGAGGATCATTTGAGGCCAGGAGTTGACCAGCCTGGAGACCTTGTCTATTTTCTCTTATTATTATTATTTTTTTTTTTTGAGAGTCTCACTCTGTAGCCCAGGCTGGAGAGTGCAGTAGCATGATCTTGGCTCACTCCAACCTCTACCTCCTGGGTTCAAGTGATTCTTGTGCTTCAGCCTCTTGAGCAGCTGGAACTACAGGCACCTACCACCACACCCAGCTAATTTTTTTGTATTTTTAGTAGAGATGGGGTTTTACACCATGTTGGTCAGGCTGGTCTCAACCTCCTGACCTCAAGTGATCCGCCCACCTCAGCCTCCCAAAGTGCTGGGATTACAGATGTGAGCCACGACGCCTGGCCTATTTAGTTTCAAAAGTAAAAAAATCTTTTTTTAAAAAGCAGGGGATGGCCAGACATGGTAGCTCAAGCCTGTAATCCCAGCACTTTGGGAGGCTGAGGAGGGCGGATCACGAGGTCAGGAGATCGAGACCAACCTGGTTAACACAGGGAAACCCCATCTCTACTAAAAATACAAAAAAATTAGCCAGGCGTGGTGGCGGCGCCTGTAGTCCCAATTACTCAGGAGGCTGAGGCAGGAGAATTGCTTGCACCCAGGAGGTGGAGGTTGCAGTGAGCCGAGATCGCGCCATTGCATTCCACATTCCAGCCTCGGCAACAAGAGTGAAACTCCATCCAAAAAAAAAAAGGCAGGAGATGGCCGGGTGTGGTGGCTCATGCCTGTAATCCCAGCACTTTGGGAGGCCAAGGCAGGTGGATCATCTGAGGTCAGGAGTTCGAGACCATCCAGGCCAACATGGTGAAACCCCATCTCTACTAAAAATTAGCCAGGCATGGTGGTGCACACCTGTAATCCCAGCTACTTGGGAGGCTGAGACAAGACAATTGTTTGAACCCGGGAGGTAGAGGTTGCAGTCAGCTGAGGTCGCATCACTGCACTCCAGCCTGGGCCAAAGAGTGAGACTCCACCTCAAAAAAACAAAACAAAAAAGCAGGGAACATGGGGACACAGGTTGATAGAGTGGCCATGTGGGTCCATCTTCCTCAGGGCCCGCCGCCTCCCCTTGCTGGGGCAGGCCGACGAGACTCCACCTCCCCGCCCACCTCTGCGCCCATCCAGCTAGAGCTCGTCATGGTCGTCTTCGGTGGGTGCTTCAGGCGGTGGCTCCGGGCAGGCGGCTGGCGTCATCAGCTCCATGAGGTACTCGCAGCGACTGGGCTCTGTGGTGCTGGTCACCATGGTCTCTTTCCCGCACAGGAGGCGCACCTGGGGATGGGCAGACGGGTGCTCGAGAGGGTTCGGCTGGGCCAGGCCTGGGTCTCCCCGCCCCAGCTCCCCTGCCTTGCAGGCACTCACGGTGGTGGAGCGGTTGGGGCCCTGCCAGCAGCCCGTGCCTTGCTCATACTTCATGGCACTGAACTTGTCGTGGTCGGGGCCAATCCATGAGCCCCAGGTGCTGTGAGAGACACAGGGTGCTGAGGGCTGGGCCGGTGTCGGGGCACCAGGAGGAGGCAGAGGGAAGGGGCCAGCCCAAGCCACTCACCCAAGGCTGGTGGGAGAGCCCCCGAGTTTGGGTTTCTGCGAGACAAGCTTGAAGGGGCAGAGGCGGTAGACGTATCTGTGGAGGACCGGGACATATGGGTTGGGGAACGCAGGGATTCCAGCCTCCTCCCACAGCCACCCCCCACCGCCTCCTCCAGTCCCCACACACAGGGTACCTCCAACTCCAATGACCAACCCTAAACCTGGCCCCTGGCTTCTGCTCCCCCTCAATATGGAAGGCAGCACTCTCGGGCCCCACCCGCAGATGGTTCCCCAACCATCAGGAAACTGCCGGTGCCACTTCCGGGGCCACCCGCCTCCCACCCTGCCAGTGGGGGCCCCTGCATTCCTGGGACGCACTCGTTGGTGGTGAGCTCGTAGCACTGGCTGTACAGGTAAGCAAACTCCCCGTTGGGGCCAAAGTCAAAAGAAATCTCTTGCTCCAGGTTCCTGGAAGGGGAGGCGGAGCGGTTAAGGGGCAGCTGGGGACGCCAGTGCCTGACCCAGGACGACAGACACAGGAGGGTCTGGCTGAGCAATGGTGCCCAGGCTGTCCTCCCTGCCACCTCCCAGGGACCCTCCCTGCAGGGACCAGGCCCAGCCTGTGGTTGCCTCAGTGATTCCCCATCACCAGCTCCCCTGGGAGTCAAGGAGCAGTCGCTGTGGGACAGGTGTCCCCGCTCCTCAGCCCCCGCTACCTGATGGACTCCTCCATGTCCTTCAGCGACCGCTCGGCCTCCTCGAACTTGTTGCGGGCCTCCTGGGCAGCTGGGAGAGGGGTTGGAGGTCAGAGATGTCCTCAACCCCATCCAGGAGGATGGGGAACGGGGTTCCATGGATGTGGCTGTGTGCTCCCATACCCTCATTTTGCTCTGGCCAAGGACTTCACCCCGACAGCCTTGAGGGCCTCACCAGCTATAGAGCAGCCCCGACTTGCTGCCCAGGCTCCCAGCTCCTGAGCGAGTGGGGCCAGGAGTGACACAAACAAGCTGCGGCCCTTGGGGAGGCAGAAGGGCCCCTTGGGGCTGGCGAGGGTGGGACTGGCTTACCCTAGGCCCCCTTCCTGGACTCCCCAAGATACTGGGGCTTGTGCTGGCCGAGTCAGAGCAGGGTCTAAGCTCAGGATCTTCCCTCGACCTGTGCCACCACGGCAGGAAACGCTGGGCCCACCCGAGGAGCCTGGCCCCCGCCCACCCTCACCATCGATGAAGGCCTGCGTCTGCTCGTCGTAGGGCGGCATTTTGTCTTCCTCAGCAGGGCTGGCCGGCTGCGGGGGTGACAGTGGCGGTGGGGCCTCCTGGGGCAGGGGCAGGGTCAGTGAGTAGCCCTTCCCCCACCCTCTCTGTCTCCACTTCTCCCCCAAACACGGACCTTGGGCTGCTCCCCCTGCACCTCGGAATCCTCCTCCTCCTCCTCTTCTTCAGCCTCTTCTTCCTCCTCCTCCTCCTCCTCCTCCTCCTCCTCTGTGGGCGACGAGGGCACTGGCGGCTGCTCCTCCTTGGGCTCCGTCAAGTCAGGGGCAGAAGGTGCTGGAAGGTCGGTGGGCAGTGCCTGGCGGGTGAGCAGTGCGGTCGGTGTTGTGGACTCAGGGTCCACCCACACCCTCAGGCTCACACCACAGCCCAAGGGGCAGCCTCGGTGTCTCTGCCCCTCCTGCGGGGCCTGCAGGGAGGACCGACAGCTGGGGTCGGGGGGTCTCGGTGGGGGGTGCTGGGGCCACCCAGCTGGCCAGGGTGGCCAGGTGCCAGAACCAGAGGCAGCTCCTTTGTGAGGCGGGGTGGGGGCAGTGTGGTGGGAGGACCAAGTCCCCTCCCTTCTCCTCCACTGACCTCGGACCGGTACTTGTCCCTGATGGCGGCCCAGACGCGGTCGTAGAAAGAGGTGGCGTCTGTCTGTGTGTCCCCACTGAGGAGGGCCTGTGTGTGTTGGGGGTGGTGTCAAGATCTAGGCCACCACGTGTCCCCCATCTCGGCCACCCCGGCACCCGGGCTGCGGTGCCAGGCACGGGAGGGCTGGGCCCCGGGCCCTGATGACCAGGCCAGGGCCACGCCAGTGAGGCACTGCGGCCAGGAGGGGGCAGCACAGGCCCGTGGGAGGGGAGGAGGAGACCAGGGGCTGGAGTGGTTGGGGGCACTGAGACAGAAAGAGAGAAGCAGATGGACAAACGGACGTACAGATGGAGGAAGAGAGAGCCCAGGACCAGAGAGGGCCAGGCCCTCCAAGGGAGAGGCCAAGGCCCAGGCTGCAGATGGAGAGGGAGAAACCCAGGGGTGGGCAGAGAAGGGAGGCCAGAAGCCAGGGGCCACGGGGAAGGAGGAGGATAGGAAAGGAGACAGACAGGGGACGAGGGTGTGGGGGAGGAGGGGAATAGGGCAGGACAGGGGTGGGGGAGGAAGGGGATTGGGTGCTCAACAGCGGGTAGAGTGGGGGCAGGTGCGGGGAAACGGGCTCCAGCGCGACCTGGCTCCATCCCGGGTCCTGCCAGGCGGGAAGCGGCCCTGAGTGGCTGCCATCCCAGCTCACCCAGAGGAGGCATCCCAGGCCAGCAAGGAGCTTTCCTTGGTCCCCCTCCTGTGCCCTGAGGTCACCCTGGGGCAATGCTCCCTAGAAGTCCCCAACCAAGGGGCAGCCGGGGGTACCTGAGCTTCCGCTTCTGACAACGCCCCATCCCCATCTGTGTCCAGCTCCGGGTGAGTCTGCAGCTCAGTCACCGAGACCCTGCGGGGGCGTGGCAGAAGCAGACTGGAGGGGTGAGGCCCCAGTGGCTCTCAGTTGGGGGCACCATGTGGCCCACCTGTTCTTCCCTGCAGGGCCCCACCCTGGAACTTGCTTCAGGACCTCAAGGTGTAGGGGCCTCCCCACCCTCCTGCCCCCTCCTCAGGACTCCATGACCCCAAAGGAGCTCAAAGTAAGGGGTGGGACTGGGAGATACCTGGACCCCCAAATGTCCGATGACCTCTCTACCAACTCACCCAGGTGGCACCTCCTTCCACCCCAGGACCCGGCACATTGAAGCTGCCATCTGCCTTGGTCCCCCACCCAGCAAAGCCCACCCCCACCCTTGCCCATTCGGTCCCTCTGAAGCCCCCTGCTCCTTGGCACCTGACATCTCCTAGGCTCCCCGTGTGCCTCTCAGCCCCCAAAAGTCCACCCTCCACCAGGTAACCCAGCAAGCTCAGAGGCACAGCCAGGATTCGAACCCAGGTCTGGCTTTCCCCAGAGCGTAGTGGGGCTGGGAAAAGCCATCCGATCACTAGATGCCTAGACACACTCCCTGAGGCTGAGGGTCTGTGCCCAGCTCCTGGGGAGAGGGTGGTCCCCCTATCTCCTCGCCCAGGGCATCCTGGACCTGGCCATCCACGAGTAAGAGGCGGGGTCACACGGGGCTTGGGATCAGCCTGGACCCCACGCCGGGGGAACCCAAGGAGGATCTGGCTGGTTTCTAGAGGCGAGGGTGGCGGGGAGGGAAACCCAGGCCCACGGAAAGGTGGGCAGCTCCAACTAGGGGACACTCACGTCCCGTCCATGTCATCATCCAGCTCCTTGAAGGCATCAGCCGCCAGCTCCTGCTCCTGTTGGGCCTTGGCAGCAGCCAGCTGCTCTGTAAAGAAGCCACCTCTGTCACCCCCTGCCCACCCACCGGCTCCCATCAGCCCCCGCACCCCACAGGGTCGTTTGCCACCAAGCGCCTACTATATGCCTGGCCCCATGCTGGACCCTGAGGACACGACTGTGGAGGAGACAAAGGTCCCTGCCCTTACCAGGGGAGAACAGACGAAGAGCAAGGTGAATGGTTGAAGCCTGGTTGTGTTGGGGGAGACCGGGACAAGGTGGGGAGTGCAGAGGCAGGAGGGCCACTGGTGGGGCTGGAGCAGGGAGGTGGGAACCCAGGTGGCAGAGGGCAGCCCTGTCAGGCCACTGTTGGGACAGAGGTGGGGGCGAGGGCAGAAGCCAGGTGATAACAAGGGCTGGCCCAGGCTGGGGACTGAGGAAGAAGCACGGAGCAGAGGCAGATTCTGGGGAGACGCAGATGGAGTGCGCAGACGGTCAGAGGTGGGAGGTGGGGTTGGGGAGAGGAGAGCGACCACTGAGACTTTAGGTTTAGGACCTGGCAGAGGCATGTCGGGGCAGGGCTGGCAGGAATGAGACTTCATGGCCAAGGATGCTGGGAGATGGGGAGGATACAGGGAGGGAGACCGGTCCTGGGGGCATCTTGGGGGTCCCCAGGGCTGCTCCCAGGAAGAGGGGCCAGCCGGACAGAAGGGGACCGAGCCTCTGTCCCAAAAGTCCCTCCTTTGTCTGTCGCTACTCTAACCTAAGCAGAGCGGAAAGCAGCCACAACAGCGGCTCCAATGATTAACTTCCTACTGTATACCAGGATTCAGTTCCCACTGTATACCAAGCTCCAGCTTGGTCCTCTACAAACAGAATAAAAACAGCTGGTATTTCCTCTAGAGAGTCTTAGGTCACCCCAGGACATCCCGCATGTCCCAGGAGACCCGGCTGACACTGTTCTGAGTCTCACAGATGAGGGCCTGAGGGGTCCCTGACCTTTCTGTGGGTGAAGGGACCTGCCCATAATCACCTAGCCAGTGAGAGGTGTAGCCTGGGGCCCAATCCAGGCCATCTACCCTCGGAGCCCTGGCTCAGCCCCGCCACCCTTTGGGAATCTGGGTCAAAACATGGCGCTTCCCTCTGATTCCACAGCTCCACACTGAGAACACATCCTGAGGAAAATCAGGCCTGAGCTTGCCCAGACCCAAGTGAAAGGAAGCTTGCAACACGACAAAGATTCAGGGGCAGACAGAGCCAGACAGTGAATTCCCTTTCTACATGCAATGTGGCCTTACCAAAAAACACCAGGCTCTAGCACCAAAAACAAATGAAGAAGGGAAATAATATCTTCAGTTGCAGACAGAGCTGGGCACCGTGGCTCATGCCTGTAATCCCAACACGTTGGGAGGCCAAAGCAGGCCACCTGAGGTCAGGAGTTCAAGACCAGCCTGGCCAACACGGTGAAACCCCGTCTCTACTAAAACTACAAAAATTAGCCGGCTGTGGTGGCAGGTGCCTGTAATCCCAGCTACTCAGGAAGCCTAGGCAGGAGAATCACTTGAACCCAGGAGGTAGAGGTTGCAGTGAGCAGAGATCGGGCCATTGGCACTTCAGCCTAGGCGACAGAGTGAGACTCCATCTCAAAAATAAATAAACTAAAAAAAAATCTTCAGTTGCAGACAAAGGGCCAAACCCCAGATAGAAAAAGCTCTTTATTATTTTTTTTAGATGAAGTATTGCTTTGTCACCCAGGCTGGAGTGCAGTGGCGAGATCTCAGCTCACTGCAACCTCTGTCTCCCGGGTTCCAGCGATTCTCCTGCCTCAGCCTCCCAAGTAGCTGGGACCACAGGCAGATGCCACCATGCCAGGCTAATTTTTTTTTTTTTTTTGAGACGGAGTCTCACTCTGTTGCCAGGCTGGAATATAGGGGCGCAATCTCAGCTCACTGAAAACCTCCAACTTCCTGGTTCAAGCAATTCTCCTGCCTTAGCCTCCCGAGTAGCTGGGATTACAGGCACACACCACCATGTCCAGCTGATTTTTGTATTTTTAGTAGAGATGGGTTTCACCATGTTGGCTAAGATGGTCTCAATCTCCTGACCTCGTGATCTGCCTGCCTCAGCCTCCCAAAGTGCTGGGATTACAGGCATGAGCCACTGTGCCCGGCCATAATTTTTTCTTTTAGTAGAGATGGCGTTTCACCATGTTGGCCAGGGTGGTCTCGAACTCCTGACCTCAGGTGATCTGCCCGTCTCGGCCTCCCAAACTGCTGGGATTACAGGCGTGAGCCACCATGCCCAGCCACAAAAAAGCTCTTACAATTAGTGAAGACAAATACCAAACACCTGATAGGAAAAATGGTCACTGGATTAACTAAGTCCTGCTAAAGTCATATAACAAAATCTACATTGATGTTAAAAGGAAGTAGGCGGCCGGGCGAGGTGGCTCATGCCTGTAATCCCAGCACTCTGGGGGGCCAAGGCAGGTGGATCACTTGAGGTCAGGAGTTCAGGACCAGCCTGGCCAACATTGTGAAACCCCGTCTCTACTAAAAATACAAAACAATTAGTTAAATGTGGTGGCAGGTGCCTGTAATCTCAGCTACTCAGGAGGCTGAGGCACAAGAATTGCTTGAACCTGGGAGGCAGAGGTTGCAGTGAGCTGAGATCACGCCACTGTACTCCAGCCCGGGTGGCAGAGGGAGACGCTGTTTCAAAAAACAAATTATTTAAACAATTTTTAAAAAGGAGGCTCCTGACATATGCCACAATCCAAGCGAACCTCAAAGCACACAAGGCGATGGGCAGCATGATCAAAAACCTGCTGAAACTGACAACAGATAATGAGCGGGAGACTCCTAGGCCCAGACCTGCTCCCACCCAGGACTGAAGGTGAGTCCTTGGCCATTTCTGCCATACCTTCCCACAGCTTCTGGTGCTGCTCTTTGGCCTCTCTCTCTGGCTTCTCAGCTTCCTCCTTCACTGTCCGCAGCATCTCCACCTGGTCTTCCAGAGACTTCTTCCCAGCCTGTAGCTCAATGAGCTTTTTCTGGGTGGGCAGAAGGCAAGAGACCAGCTCTCCTCTGTTCTGCCTCCTCCTCATTGACTACTACCTCCCTGCCTCTACTCCACAGGGCAGCAGGGAGATGTTCCAAAACACACACCAAGCTGGGTCTCTCTCCCGAGCTGGGGTTCCCTGTAGCCCTCTGGAGAGAAGCCCAAACGCCTCAATGTAGCCCGCAAGGGCCCAGGTAATCAGGCCCCTGCCTGATTCTCCAGCCCCATTTGCCCCATCCCTATCTTACTAGGATCCAGTCGCCCTGACAACATTCAGACCCCTAAACGCTCTTCTGCCTCCGGTTCTTCAAACATGCTGTTCCTTCAGCCTGGAACACTCTACCTGGCTAACTCCAAATTACCCAACAGATTTCATGTGAGATAGAGGCCTCCTCCTCCAAGAAGCCTTCCTTGCCTCCTGCCCCCAAGGCAGAGAGGGAGAGGAACTGGGCAAGAAGTCTCTACCCCGAATTTCCCTTTGTCCAGCAGCCCTGGCTGGCTGTCCCTCCCACTAGCAATGAATGCCTTGAGGCAAATCCAGGTCGGTTTCCAGCCTCCTGCCCAGTACACAGGCAAGGCAGGGAGAGACACACACCTAGGGACCCCAAAGCACCCACCCTATGGAATTAATCCAGCTGCTACTGGCTGACGTTATCTTTCTAACATCAGAACTGGGGAGTCATCTGGTCATCAGCCCATCTTACAGGCAATGGCACCACAGATCCGGGGTACAGAGAAGCAACCCTCCCATCCCCAGGAGGCAGAGAGGCCCTTCCAGCCTGCTTTAGTCTGATGCCCGAGGCCCTGATAAACACCTAAGCTGACAGCCTCCCCCTCGGGAACTATTATACTTAGCCAATGACTAAACGCCTAGCACACAACTGAGAAAGCAAAGCTCCGAAAGGCAGTCACTTGCCCCAGAACAGCAGTCAGGGGCAAACCCCTCCCCAGCCTTGCAAGCCCACACTATGAGGCCTCAAGGCCCAGATCACCCTGGGGCAGCCCCCGCGGGTTCCTTACCTGCTTCTCCTCCCGTGCCTTCTTCCAGTCCTCAATAAGGATCTTCTTCAGACGGAACCCTTCGCGGGTGACCTCGGCCATCTGCTGCAGGGACTCTCTCTCCTTACGGCCCTTCTCTCTGCGGTGCGGAGACACACAGGCACCACCAGTGGGGCACTTAGGATCCACCAGGTCTGCCTCTTCCAAAATAGCTCAATCCAGCTGTGGCCCCCCACCAAGCCATGCTGGGAAAGATGAGAGCAAGCCTTCCTCCCAGGTTCTCTCAACATCAGCATCCTTCATTCCTGTCCTTGAAAGAGGAACAGTGGGTTCTGTAAGCCCCTGGGGTCAGGGAAGGGACTAGGGAGTGCCAGGAGGTGGAGCTAGATATCAACTCTCAAGAGACAGGAGATCAGCTGGGTGCAGTGGTTCATGCCTGTAATCCCAGCAGTTTGAAAGGCCAAGGCAGGAGGATCACTTGAGCCCAGGAGTTCGCAACCAGCCTGGGCAACATATAAAGACCCTGTCTTTACACATAATTAAAACAAATAAAAAAACCACAGAAGACAGAACAGAAATCATGACTCCCAGACAAAAAGACAATCTGGTTACTAAGTGTGTTGGTTGGCTGGGCGTGGTGGCTCATGCCTGTAATCCCAGCACTTTGGGAGGCCAAGGCGGGCGGATCACCTGAGGTCAGGAGTTCGAGACCAGCCTGGCCAAGATGGTGAAACCCTGTCTCTACTGAAAATGCAAAAATTAGCTGGGCGTGGTGGCGCCCAGCTACACGGTGTAATCCCAGCTACACGGGAGGCTGAGGCAAGAGAATCACTTGAACCCGGATGTGGAGGTTGGGGTAAGCAAAGATCATGCCACTGCACTCCAGCCTGGGCAACAGAGCGAGACTCTAACTCAAAAAAAAGTGTGGGCCAGGGGCGGTGGCTCACACCTGTAATCCCAGCACTTTGGGAGACCGAGGCGGGCAGATCACAAGGTCAGGAGATCGAGACCATCCGGGCTAACACGGTGAAACCCCATCTCTACTAAAAATACAAAAAAAAAAATTAGCCAGGTGTAGCGGCAGGTGCCTGTAGTCCCAGCTACTCGGGAGGCTGAGGCAGGAGAATGGCATGAACTCGGGAAGCGGAGCTTGCAGTGAGCGGAGATCACACCACTGCACTCCAGCCTGGGCGACAGAGTGAGACTCCGTCTCAAAAAAAAAAAGAAGTGTGTTGGTTGTGTTCAATCCACCTTCTATTTAAAAGATGTGGAATCCAGAGAGTTTTACACCATCTGCCAACAACTGATAGGACTTTGTGTTTTTTTTGTTTTTTTTTTACTTTTTAGCTCACTGCAACCTCTGCTTCCCAGGCCCAAGCAATCTTCCTGCCTCAGCCTCCTGAGTACCTGCGACTACAGACACGCACCAACACACCCGGCTAATTTTTTAACAAATTTTCAGCCGGGCATGGTGGCTCACATCTGTAATCCCCGCACTTTGGGAGGCCAAGGCAGGTGGATCATGAGGTCAGGAGTTCGAGACCAGCCTGGCCAATATTGTGAAACACCGTCTCTACTAAAAATACAAATTTTAGCCGGGTGTGGTGGTGGATGCCTGTAGTCCCAGCTACTCAGGAGGCTAAGGCAGAAGAATCGCTTGAACCCGGGAGGCAGAGGTTAGAGTGAGCCGAGATCGCGCCACTGCACTCCATCCAGCCTGGGCAACAGAGTGAGACTCTGTCTCACAAAAAAAAAAAAAAAAAAAAAAAAAAAGAAAAGAAAAATTTTTCTGAGACGGGTCTCACTGTGTTGCCCAGGCTGGTCTCAAACTCCTGGGTTAAGGTGATCCTCTCGCCTTAGCCTCCCAAAGTGCTGGGATTACAGGTGTGAGCCACATGCCCAACCAGTAATTTTTTAAATTATAATTTCCAATTTTTATTTTTACTTTTTAATTTTTTTTTTTTACTTTTTATAGAGATAGGGTATCGCTATTTTGCCCAGGCTGGTCTCAAACTCCTGGGCTCAAGCAGTCTTCCTGCCTCAGCCTCCCAAAATGCTGGGATTACAGGCAGGAGCCACCATGAGCCGGGTCTTATTTTTTCATATCAGACAGGTAATGCGCCAAGGTCGCAACAAGGTTTAAGGGAGGCGTATCTCTCACACGTGCATAAAAACCTAATCATCGTGGCCAAGCGCGGCGGCTTAGCACTTTGGGAGGCTGAGGCGAGCAGATCACCTGAGGTCAGGCGTTCGAGGCCAGCCTGGCCAACATAGTGAAACCATCTCTACCAAAAATACAAAAGTTAGCCAGGCGTGGTGGGGGTACGCCTGTATTCCCAGCTACTTGGGAGGCTGAGGTGTGAGAATTGCTTGAACCCGAAGGGCAGAGGTTGCAGTGAGCCAAGATCACGCCACTGCACTCCAGCCTGGGCGACAGAGTGAGACCCTGTCTCAAAAAATATAAATAAATAAAAATAAATCATCATGCCTATGAACTACAAAAGGATCAGCTGGCAGGAATTGAGAACAGCTGTTCCCCTAGATGCCACAATCCCCACCCCTCCGTATTGCCTCATACTTGGCCTCCTTCTGTTGTATGCTTTTTTTTTTTTTGCTTTTTTTTTGAGACGGAGTCTCACTCTGTTGCCCAGGCTGGATTGCAGTGGTGCGATCTCGGCTCACTGCAACCTCTGCCTCCCGTGTTCACGCCACTCACCTGCCTCAGCCCACCGAGTAGCTGGGACTACAGGCGCCCGCCACCACACCCAGCTAATTTTTTGTATTTTTAGTGAGACGGAGTTTCACCATGTCAGCCAGGATGGTCTCGATCTCCTGACCTCGTGATCCGCCTGCCTCAGCCTCCCAAAGTGCTGGGATTACAGGTGTGAGCCACCGCGCCTGGCCTCCTTCCGTTGTATACTTTACCTGCCTGTGGGTGTTTCGGTTTTCAGGACCTGCTGCAGAGCGTGACAATGGAAAGTTTAGAGTCCAAGTGCCGGCTCTGCTATCTCCTATGTGACCCTGGGGAAGTCATTTCCCTTTCTAAACTTGAGTTCCCCCATCTGTTGAATCGGGAAACAATCCTACCTGCTTCCAGACTAGAGGGAAAGGTGGGGATTAGGATTCACAAGGCACCTGGCACAGACAGAGAACCCGATACAGAAAAGCAGAAGAGAGAGTGGGCCCGATTCACTGGGTGGAGCCAGGCAAAGTCTTGGGGTGGGGTGATGGGAGGGGTACTGTCACCCACGTACTTGCAGGTGTTCTCACAGATGACGCCGCTGTTGTACTCGTCTGTTCCATCGCAGCAGTCTGTGGCAGAGGCAGAAGCCAAGATCAGACCTGGCAGTGCCTCCTCCCTCCCTCCCTCTACCACCTTTCCAGAATCCTGGTGCATCTTCACTTACCACAAACACCATCGTTGACCCGGTTGGAGGGGATATACAGGGGCTTATAGCCAGTGTTGGTGCAGTGGAAGCTGCCATTAGGACAGGCAGCCGTGCCTGTGAGGAAGAAGGGAGGGAAGGTTTTCGGAGTCAGCTCAGGGACAGACATGTCCCATCCATCCACAGATAAGAGCCCCTGACCCACACTGCACACAGCACAAGAAAGGAAAGGAAACCAAAGGAAGGAAAGAGTTGTACACTGCACAGCCAGGGCTCGAAATAAAGCTCTCCAGTGCCGCCTCCTGCCTCTTCTCACTGAGGCCCTTCAAAACAGGGTCTCCACCTGGCACGGGGGCTCACACCTGTAATCCCAGCACTTTGGGAGGCCGAGGCGGGTGGGTCACCTGAGGTGATGAGTTTGAGACCAGCCTGGCCAACACGATGAAACTCCATCTCTACTAAAAATACGAAAAATTAGCCGGATGTGGTGGCATGTGCCTGTAATCCCAGCTACTCAGGAGGCTGAGGCAGGAGAATCGCTTGAACCCGGGAGGTGGAGACTGCAGTGAGCCAAGATCATGCCACTGCACTCCAGCCTGGGCGATAAGAGTGAAACTCCATCTCAAAAAAAAAAATTAAAAACAAAACAAAACAAGGCCAGGTACGGTGGCTCACGCCTGTAATCCCAACACTTTGGGAGGCCGAGGCGGGTGGATCACAAGGTGACGAGATCGAGACCATCCTGGCTAACACAGTGAAACCCTGTATCTACTAAAAATACAAAAAAAAACTAGCTGGGCGTGGTGGTGGGTGCCTGTAGTCCCAGCTACTCAGGAGGCTGAGGCAGGAGAACGGTGTGAACCCGGGAGGCGGAGCTTGCAGTGAGCCGAGATGGCGCCACTGCACTCCAGCCTGGGAAACAGAGCAAGACTCCGTCTCAAAACAAAAACAAAACCAAAGACACGGTCTCATCCAGGCACGGTGGCTCACACCTGTAACCCCAGCACTTTGGGAGGCCAAGGCAGGAGGATGACTTGAGCCCAAGAGTTCCAGGCTGCAGTGAGCTACGATCATGCCACTGTACTCCAGCCTCAGCAACAAAGCAAGACCCTGTCTCTTCAAAACACACAAAAACAAAAAGCCAGGGTCTCCCTTCACCTCTGTCTCCTGCTGGATTGCTCTTGGCCCCACCCTGTCTCCCACTTCTAGGGGTTTGCCCGTGTTGACCCCTCCATCTGCAGCACCTTCGGGATTCAACTGAAACCTCACCTCCTTGGAGGAGCCTTCTCTGACCCCGAGGCTTGGGAGGAGGACGACTCTGGGCTCCTCCAGCTGCCCGGGGCCATAACACTGACCACTGACTTCTGAGCTTGTTTCTGCCCACTCAAAGGGGAGCCAGCAGAGGTAGTATCTTGGTCACACAGACAGGGCCTGGCACTGAGCAGTGTTCAATAAACATCTGATGGATGAACAGAGAAAAGGCTCACCTGGCTCGTCAGAGCCATCTTTGCAGTCGCAATAGTCATCGTTGACCTGATCAAATGGGATGGTGGCCGAACCGTCCAGGCAGGTGAAAGGCTTGGACTCATCGTAGAAGTGATGATCTGCGGGGTACAGGAAGCTCAGCCCAGGGCAGGTAAGCGCCTTCTCCACCAAATACCACCTCTGTCCTCCCATCCCCACCAGCGGAGCACTACCGGGAAACTGAGTCAAAAGGCTGTAAATGCCTATCCCTAAGGCCCAATGTTGGCCCCTCCCACCTCCAGCCTGGCGGGAGGGTGAACAGGAGGACTCACTGGTGAGGGAGACGCCCCGGGGCCTCTTGACCTCCACGGCCCAGCACATGGGTAGCAGCAGCAGCAGCGGCAACAGCATCTCACCAGACGCTCTGAGGCCCGAAACGGGTTCTGTGGGAGGAAGCCTACAGCGGGGAGATGCGCTGTGTCTTCACGCTGCAGGAAGAAAGCGGATCCCGGTCAGTGGGAGAGGGCTACTTCCAGCCAATTGGATTCCTCCATCGCTTCCAGGCAATGAGGCCTCACTTTGTTTCCGATATGGGGGCGAGGGGCAGCGATCTCCCCAATCCTGGCCAGTCTCACTTTGCTCAAATCAATGGCGAGGATCTCAAGATCTCAAAACCTCCGCTCCCTGTGCCCAATTGTGACCCAATTCCCGCCAACAGACCAAAGGGATTAACAGCCTCCGCCGTCCACACCCACACATGCACCCTCCGGTTGCCCCCTGTAAGAAACTGAGGTGCCCTCCCACCCGCTCGTTCACACCTACACGAGGCCGGAGCAAAGGTCAGTATCCACCGCACCCCTCTTGTCCAGCAGCCGCGGTTCCTGCTGCAGAAAGAAAGCGGAAATTTCTGGACCCCGTCACTTCCGGTCGTACGTTCCGCACCGGGAACGGAGACTCAGGGTCGCCATGTTGGGAGAGGCAGGAGTGGGGGCGGTGCCAGAGCCGAGACGGCCATCTTGGGCAGGACTGTGAAACCTTAGAGAGGATAGTTCTGAGGGCTAGCTCTTAATGGCGGCGCAGCGTACCTCCATCTTGGGAGTGGCGGCTTCTCAAGCCGGAAAGAAAGTTCCTGAAAAATGCCCGCGAACCCCCAGGGGCGGGATAAGGTTGGGGGAGGTAGGGAAACGGAATGAGCACGTGACCCCAAAGTGTCCAGACCCTCCGTCCTGCGGCGCGGCTCTACCCCGCCCACTGTTGGGACCGCCCCTCTATGCAGCCTCAGCCAATGAGAACGCAGTGTCAGCCACGGAACGCGGGTGATCTCCATGGAAACAGTGGAGAGAGACGGGGAGGCGGTTACCTGGCAACCGAGAGATGCGGAGCGCAACCACCTAGCGGTCGGAAAGTGCATTTTTCAGAGCCCTAGGAATCCGAGCTGACGGATCCCTGACAGGGGCGACTGACTCCTAGTTATCCCCCTAACCCCTAGGGGCCTTCAGCCCCAACCCCATCATGACATCTCCTCTGTGCAGGGCGGCCTCCGCCAACGCCCTGCCTCCTCAGGACCAGGCTTCGACGCCCTCTTCCAGGGTCAAGGGCAGGGAGGCTTCGGGCAAACCCAGCCACCTCCGAGGCAAGGGCACAGCCCAGGCGTGGACCCCAGGCCGTTCCAAGGGAGGATCCTTCCACAGAGGTGCAGGGAAGCCCTCTGTGCACTCTCAGGTGGCTGAGTTACATAAAAAGATACAACTGTTAGGTAAGATGGCTCCAGAGGGTACAGAGGGTCAGGGGTCAACAGTGCCCATCCAATCTTCATGGTGTGACAAAGGTATTTCTCCAGCATGAGTCTAGGTAAACCGTTTCTGGGCAAAAACTCATACTTAGTTCATGTTTTTCCTTCTCTGTCTCTTAAAACTTCTCATGGGTTCAGAACCGACTGAACTGTACTTCATACTTTCTTGTAATTTATTTTCTCTATTTTTTTTTTTTTTTTTGGCAGAATCTCACTCTGTTGCCAGGTGGGAGTGCAGTGGAACGATTTCGGCTCACTGCAACCTCCGCCTCCCGGGTTCAAGCGATTCTCCTGCCTCAGCCTCTTGAGTAGCTGGGACTACAGGCACACGCCACCACGCCTAACTAATTTTTGTATTTTTAGTACAGAGGGATTTCACCATATTGGCCAGGGTGGTCTCAATCTCTTGACCTCCCAAACTGCTGGGATTACAGGCGTGAGCCCGCCTCGGCCTCCCAAACTGCTGGGATTACAGGCGTGAGCCACTGCACCCGCGTTTTTTTTTGTTTTGTTTTTTGTTTTTTGAGACAGGGTCTTGCTCTGTCGCCTAGGCTGGAGAGCAGTGGCATGATCTCGGCTCACTGCAACCTCTGCCTCCAAGGTTCAAGCGATTCTCGAGCCTCAGCCTCCTGACTAGCTGGGACTATAGGTGCGTGCCACCACACCTAATTTTTATATTTTTAGTAGAGACTGGGTTTCACCATGTTGGCCAGGCTGGTCTCGAACTCCTGATCTCAAGTGATCCACGGCCTTGGCTCCCAAAGTGCTGGGATTACATGTGTGAGCCACCGCGCCCAGCCTTCTTTCTTTCTGACAGGGTCTTGCTCTGCTGTTGAGGCTGGAGTGTAGTGGTTGGATAACAGTTCACTGCAGACTTGACCTCCTAGGCTCAAGCGATCCTTCCACCTCAGCCTCCTGAGTAGCTGGGACTACAGGCATACACCACTGTGCTTGGCTAATTTTCTTACTTTTTGTAGAGATGGGGTCTCACTATGCTGCCCAGGCTGGTCTCAAACTCCTGGGCTCAAGCAATCCTTCCTCCTCAGCCTCCCAAAGTGCTGGGGTTACAGGCATGGGCCGCTGCACCTGGCCTGAGCATAGATTTTTAGAGCCAGATTTTCTGGGTTGGAATCCTGGCTCTGCATAATAGTTGTCCAACCTTGGGGGACTAAGAGTAACCTAATTGTTCTCAGTTTCTCGATGTGTGAAATGGGGATAGTAACAGTACAACATAGGTACCTGAAATGTGTAAAGTGCTTAGAACAGTGCCTGGCACATAGCAAAGTACCATAAGGTGTAAACCAGTGGTTCTTGTTGGAAAAGGGTTGGTTTGCCCCACAGGGGCCATTTGGCAATGTCCTAAGACATTGAGACCAGCATGGCCAACACGGTGAAACGCTGTCTCTACTAAAAATACAAAAAATTAGCCGGGCATGGTGGCATGGATGTCTGTTGTGGGTGTGTGTCTGCCACTGGCATCTAGTGGGCAGAGTTGAAGATGCTGCCCAACATTCTGCAAAACACAGGAGAGCACCCCACGGCAAATAATTATTCGGCCCAGTTGTTGGTCATCCTGAGGTTGCAGAATCCTTGTGTGTAAGCTATTATTATTGCTTTTGTTGATATTATTAAGAGGTAATCATGGCTGGGCGAGGTGGCTCACACCTGTAATCCCAGCACTTTGGGAGGCTGAGGTGGGCGGATCATTTGAGGTCAGGAGTTTGAGACCAGCCTGGCCAACATAGTGAAACCCCATCTCTACTAAAAGTACAAAAATTAGCCGGGCATGGTGGCGCACGCCTGTAATCCCAGCTACTTGGAAGGCTGAGGCAGGAGAGGGGCTTGAACCCAGGAGGTGGAGGTTGCGGTGAGCCAGGATTGCGCCACTGCACTCCAGCCTGGGTGACAGAGTGAGATTCCGTCTTAAAAAAAAAAAAGGGTAATCTTGCATGGTTGCTTGTGACCTTAAGCAGTTTAATCAGCCCAAGCCTCTGTCTTGTCATCTGTGCAAGGGGTATGATATGCGTATGCCATGGATACCTATTGGCACGTGATATATGGCATTCGGAAACCTCTTAGTCCAGCATCCAACACATAATAAATGCTCACAGTGAAGTACAGTTGACCGTTGAACACCATGTGTTCACATATATCATTCATCCTTTCAAGTTAAAAAAAATTGAGATGGGCAGGCCGGGCACAGTGGTTCATACCTGTAATCCCAGCACTTTGGGAGGCTGAGGCAGGAGGATTGCTAGAGGCCAGGAGTTCGAGACCAGCCTGGGCAACATAGTGAGATCCTTGACTCTACAAAAAATAAAGTAGCCAGATGTGGTGGCACATGCCTCTAGTCCTAGCTACTTGGGAGGCTGAGGCAGGAGGACTGCTTGAGCTCAGGAGGTTGAGGCTTCAGTGAGCAGTGATAGCACCACTGCACTTCATTCTGGGTGACAGAGCAAGACCCAGTCCCAAAAAAGAAAAGAAAAGAAAATACAACAGTCCTGGAATGCAAAACCTGAGTATACAGAGGGACAACTGTTTGTATCTGCAGGTTCCACAGGGCTGACTGTGGGACTTGAGTATGGAAGGATTTTGGGGTTTTTTGTTTTGTTTTGTTTTGTTTTTTGAGACAGAGTCTTGCTCTGTTGCCCAGGCTGGAGTGCAGTGGCAGGATCTCAGCTCAATGCAACCTCCACCTCCAGAGGTCAAGTAATTATTGTGCCTCAGCCTCCTGTAGCTGGGATTACAGGCACCCACCATCATGCCCGGCTAATTTTTTTTTTTTTTTTTTTTTGAGGCAGAGTCTCGCTCTGTCACCCAGGCTGGAGTGCAGTGGTGCGATCTCGGCTCACTGCAAGCTCTGCCTCCCAGGTTCACACCATTCTCCTGCCTCAGTCCCCTGAGTAGCTGGGACTACAGGTGCCTGCCACCATGCACGGCTAATTTTTTTTTTTTTTTGTATTTTTAGTAGAGGCGGGATTTCACTATGTTAGCCAGGATGGTCTCGATCTCCTGACCTCGTGATCCGCTCACTTTGGCCTCCCAAAGTGCTGGGATTATGGACGTGAGCCACCGTGCCCGGCCATGCCCAGCTAATTTTTGTATTTTTGTAGAGATGGGGTTTCACCATGTTGGCCAGGCTGATCTTGAACTCTTGACCTCAGGTGATCCGCCCGCCTCTACCTCCCAAAGTGCAAGGATTACAGGAACGAGCCATCATGCTCAGCCTCACACCTGGCTAATTTTTGTATTTTTAGTAGAGATGCGGTTTTACCATGTTGGCCAGGCTGGTCAACGACTGCATTCTTATAATATTAAGTTGATGAGCCTGGCACAGTGGCTCACACCTATAATCCTAGGACTTTAGGGGGCCTAGAACTTTGGGAACACCTGAGGTCAGGAGTTCGAGACCAGCCTGACCAACATGGAGAAACCCCATGTCTACTAAAAATACAAAATTAGCCAGGTGTGGTGGTACATGCCTGTAATCCCAGCTACTTGGGAGGCTGAAGCAGGAGAATCTCTTGAACCCGGGAGGCGGAGGCTGTGGTGAGCCGAGATTGCACCATTGCACTGCAGCCTGGGCAACAAGAGTGAAACTCCATCTCAAAAAAAAAAAAAAAGTTGATGATTGCAAAAAAGGTCTTTCCTCTGGGATGTTGCACCCATGCACCCACCCAGTAACTGTGTGTCTGTCCACCTCACCTGCCTGCCAGAGGGTGACCGGAAGGCTTTTTTTGAGAGCTCTCAGTGGAACATCAAGAAGAACCAGGAGACCATCAGTCAGCTCCGCAAGGAGACTAAGGCACTGGAACTAAAGCTGCTGGACCTGCTCAAGGTAAGGGGCAAAGGGGTGGGTGTAGGGTTCCCGTGGCGGTGGATGGTGGGGGACAAGTAGGTAGCACCTGGCCTTAGCTGGAGGTGGCATGCTGAAAGGTGACTGGACTTCCCTCCTTGCAGGGAGATGAGAAAGTGGTCCAGGCAGTGATTCGCGAATGGAAGTGGGAGAAGCCATACCTGAAGAACAGGACAGGACAGGTTTGCCCACCCTCGCCCCACCTCCTCCTTCATTTCCAGCCTGGGTCCCCTCACCACTGGACTCCAGGCTCACCCTCTCCAATCCTTCCTGCACACTAGCTGCCATTCATGTGCTCATTCAATTAAATCTTTATTACTCACTTTCCTTGTATCTGGCATCCTGGCATGGTAGTAAATGCAGTGAAAAAGCAGACCAAGTCTCCACTTCTAAAAACAGCTCATATCCTAATAGGGAAAACAAGTTAAAAAAAAAAACATCACAGCCAGGCGCGGTGGCCCACGTCTGTAATCACAGCACTTTGGGAGGCCAAGGCGGGCAGATGACCTGAAGTCGGGAGTTCAAGACCAACCTGACCAACATGGAGAAACCCTGTCTCTACTAAAAATACAAAACTTAGCTGGGCATGATGGCACGTGCCTGTAATCCCAGCTACTCGGGAGGCTGAGGCAGGAGAATCGCTTGAACCCGGGAGGCAGAGGTTGCAGTGAGCCGAGATTGTGCCATTACACTCCAGCCTGGGCAACAAGAGCGAAACTCCGTCTCAAAAAATAAATAAAATAAAAATAATTAAAAAAAATAAAACATTTTAAAAGTCATTGAACCCAAGAGGCAGAGGTTGTAGTAAGCTGAGGTTGTGCCACTGTGCTCCAGCCTGGGAGACAGAGTGAGACTCAGTCTCAAAACAAACAAACGAAAACAATGACCAGTGGCACATGCCTGTAATCCCAGCTATTCAGGAGGCTGAGGCTGGAGGATTGCATGAGCCTAGAAGTTTGAGACTATAATGAGCCACAATTGCACCACTGCACTCCAGCCTGAGTGACAGTACAACCTGTTTCTTTAAAAAAAAAAAAAAAAAAGGCTGGGCGCGGTGGCTCACGCCCGTAATCCCAGCACTTTGGGAAACCGAGGCGGGTGGATCACGAGGTCAGGAGATCGAGCCCATCCTGGCTAACACGGTGAAACCCCGTCTCTACTAAAAATACAAAAGGCCGGGCGCGGTGGCTCATGCCTGTAATCCCAGCACTTTGGGAGGCCGAGGTGGGTGGATCACAAGGTCAGGAGTTCTAGACCAGCCTGGCCAAGATGGTGAAACCCTGTTTTTACTAAAAATACAAAAATTAGCCAGGTGTGGTGGCAGGCACCTGTAATCCCAGCTACTCAGGAGGCTGAGGCACAGAATTGCTTGAACCCAAGAGGCAGAAGTTGCAGTGAGCTGAGATCGCACCACTGCACTCCAGTCTGGGCGACAGAGTGAGACTCTGTCTCAAAAATAAATACATAAATAAAAAATAAAATAAAAATAAAAATACAAAAAATTAGCCAGGCATGGTGGTGGGCGCCTGTAGTCCCAGCTACTCAGGAGTCTGAGGCAGGAGAACAGTTTGAACCCGGGAGGCGGAGCTTGCAGTGAGCTGAGACTGGTGCCACTGCACTCCAACCTGGGTGACAGAGCGAGACTCTGTCTCAAAAAAACAAAAACAAACAAACAAACAAAAACAAAAGATAAAAAATTAAAGGCCGGGCGCGGTGGCTCACGCCTGTAATCCCAGCACTTTGGGAGGCTGAGGCGGGCGGATCACCTGAGGTCGGGCGTTTGAGACCAGCCTGGCCAACATGGCGAAACCCCGTCTCTACTAAAAATACAAAAAATTAGCCGGGCATGGTGGTGCATGCTTGTAATCCCAGCTACTCAGGAGGCTGACGCAGGAGAATCCCTTGAACCCGGGAGGTGGAGGTTGCTGTGAGCCGAGATCATGCCATTGCACTCCAGCCTGGGCAACTCTGTCTCAAAATAAATAAATAAATAAATAAATAAATAAATAAATAAATAAAAAATAAAACACAGTCTAGGCATGGTGGCTCATGCCTTGTAATACCAGCACTTTGGGAGGCCAAGGCTGGAGGATCACTTGAGCCCAAGAGTTTGAGACCAGCCTGCCAACATAGTGAAACTTTGACTCTACAACAAATACAGAAGATTTGCCAAATGTGGTGGCACAGGATTGTAGTCCCAGCTACTTGCCAGGCTGAGGTGGGAGGATCACCTGAACTGGGGAGGTCGAGGCTGCAGTGAGTCATGTTCGTGCCACTGCACTCCCGTCCGGGTGACAAAGCAAGGCCTTGTCTGAAAAAATAATTATAAAAATTAAAAGGCTGGGCGTGATGGCTCACGTCTGTAATCCTAGTACTTTGGGAGGCCAAGGCAGGTGGATCACTTGAGCTCAGAAGTTCATGACCAGCCTGGGCAACATGATGAAACCCTGTCTCTACCAAAAATACAAAAACGTACCCAGGCGTCGTGGCATGCATCTGTGGTCCCAGCAACTGAGGACGCTGAGGAGGAAGGATCACTTGAGCTCAAGGGGCGGAGGTTGCAGTGAGCCAAGATCGAGCCACTGCACTCCAGCCTGAGTGACAGGGTGAGACCCCATCTCAAAAAACAAAACAAAACAAAACTGGGCTGGGTGCAGTGGCTCTTGCCTGTAATCTCAGCACTTTGGGAGGCCGAGGAAGGAGGATGGCTTGGGCCCAGGAATTCGCGACCAGCCTGAGCCACATAGCGAGACCCTGCCTCTATAATTTTTTTTTTTTTTTGAGACAGAGTCTCGCACTGTCGCCCAGTATGGAGTGCAGTGGCACGATCTTGGCTCACTGCAAGCTCCGCCTCCCGGGTTCTCGCCATTCTTCTGCCTCAGCCTCCTGAGTAGCTGGGACTACAGGCGCCTGCCACCATGCCCGGCTAATTTTTTGTATTTTTAGTAGAGACGGGGTTTTACCGTGTTAGCCAGGATGGTCTCGATGTCCTGACCTCGTGATCCACCCGCCTTGGCCTCCCAAAGTGCTGGGATTACAGGCGGGAGCCACCGCGCCCAGCCTAAAACATTTTTTAAAAGAAAAAAATGGCCAGAAGATAGCTGGGTGAGGTGGCTCACGTCTGTAATCCCAGCACTTTCGGAGGCCGAGGCAGGTGGATCACCTGAAGTCAGGCGTTTGAGACCAGCCTGGTCAACGTGGTGAAACCCTGTCTCTACCCAAAATACAAAAATTAGCCGGGTGTAGTGGCACATGCCTGTAATCCCAGCTACTTGGGAGGCTGAGGCAGGAGAATTGCTTGAACCTAGGAGATGGAAGTTGCAGTGAGCCGAGATCGTGCCACTACACTTCAGCCTGGGCGACAGAGCGAGACTCCGTTTCAAAAAAAAAAAAAAAAGAAAAGAAAACAAAAACAAAAATTAGCCAGGCGTGGTGGTGGGCACCTGTAATCCCAGCTACTCGGGAGGTTGAGGCAGGAGAATGGCGTGAACCCAGGAGGAGGAGGTTGCAGTGAGCCGAGATTGCACCACAGCACTCCAGCCTGGGTGTCAGAGCAAGACTCCGTCTAAAAAAAAAAAAACGAAAGAAAGAAAAATTTAAAAATATTTTTTTAGAACCCTGAGCCGGTGTAAGATCGCCAAGGTGGTCGATATAGACAGAGAGAAGACTCCGGTGCTCTCTCTACAAAAACAACACAGAAGGGGTGGCCAGGGAGGTGGGTAGAAAACGGGAGAGGGGAGTCCTGGAAGCCACAGTGTGGGAGAAGGAAGGGAGGAAGGGCTAGGTGTGTGTCGGGGTAGGGTGTTGAGGCTCCTGCTTTCGCTCCCCTCCTTGCGGCAGGCCCTGGAGCACCTAGACCACCGGCTGAGGGAGAAGGTGAAGCAGCAGAACGCCCTGCGGCACCAGGTGGTGTTGCGGCAGAGGCGGCTGGAGGAGCTCCAGCTGCAGCACAGCCTGCGCCTTCTGGAGATGGCGGAGGCGCAAAACAGACACACGGAGGTGGCCAAGGTAGGGGCGGGTGAGGCCTGCAGGGCAGAGGGTCGTGTGGGAGGGATTGAGTGCGGAGGGCCCTCAGCCCAGCCCTGCTGCTCTCCAGACCATGCGGAACCTGGAGAACCGCCTGGAGAAGGCCCAGATGAAGGCGCAGGAGGCCGAGCACATTACCAGCGTGTACCTGCAGCTCAAGGCCTATCTAATGGTAGGGACTAGGAGGGCTCGGGTGAGATGACAAACAGGGAGGGCGGGCTTGGCTAGGGACAGCAGTCACAGACCTGCACCATCTCCGCTACCCCTCCCCACCACGCCCCAGGACGAGAGCCTCAACTTGGAGAACCGGCTGGACTCCATGGAGGCTGAGGTGGTGAGGACCAAACATGAGCTGGAGGCACTGCACGTGGTGAACCAAGAGGCCCTCAATGCCCGGGACATTGCCAAGGTGCCACCCCTCTTGCCCTCGGCCATCCTGCCCAGCTGCCGCGGTCTCCCAGCTTGAGAATCTGACCTCAGCTGTCCCTGAGCTTCCCCTACGCCCCCGCCCCCATCTATCTCCCAGCACCCTGCGGCGGGCAGTGGTAGGTGCCAGCTGGTCTCCCTGCTACCCTGCCCGCCCTCCAGAACCAGCTGCAGTACCTAGAGGAGACCTTGGTTCGAGAGCGCAAGAAGCGGGAACGCTACATAAGTGAGTGCAAGAAGCGCGCCGAGGAGAAGAAACTGGAGAACGAGCGCATGGAGCGCAAGGTGGGCGCACCCAGGGGTGCGCGCCTGTGACTCCAGCCCAGCCCAGCACAAACCAGCCATGCCCTGGCTCTCCCTCATCCTAGGCCTTCTCCCATTTTCTGTTTCTCCTAACCCCGCCCCCTCTCTGACTCCACCCCCACTTGGTGCGAAGACCCCTCCCACATCCCTGACCCCGCCTCTCCTCCCCTCCCCTCCTAAGCGACTGCACCATTTTGGCTCTGACATGGCCTCCAGCCTTCCCCTTACTCAGTGACCCCCCTACCCATCCTTTCCCACCTGACTAGACTGCCTGTCCTGAATCTGACCGTGCCTCTGAGCCAACCGTTGCCTAAGGCCCTGCCCCCTCACTCTTGGCCCCGCCCCTGCACCTGCCCTGAGGCTGCCTCCCATCCAGCCCTCACCAAAGCCCTGTCCTGCCTTTTTGTTTTTTGGGTTGTTGTTGTTGTAGTTGTTGTTTGATAGGTTTTTTTTGCATATATATATATATATATACGTATATACATATATATACATATATGCATATATGCATATATACACACACATATATACACATATACATACATATATACATACATACACACATATATACATATATACATACATACACACATATATACATATATACATATATACACACATATATACATATATACATATATACACACATATATACATATATACACACACATATATGTATATATACATATACACATATGTGTATATACACATATATGTATATATACATATACACATATGTACATACACACATATATACACATATGTACATATACACATATATACATATATACACATATGTACATATACACATATGTACACATACACATATATACACATATGTACATATACACACATATACACATATGTACATATACATATATACACATATGTACATATACACACATATATACACATATGTACACATACACATATGTATATATACACATATGTACATATACACATATGTATATATACATATGTACATATACACATATACACATATGTACATATACACATATATACATATATACACATATGTACATATACACATATACATATATACACATATACACATATATACACATATGTATATATGCACATATGTATATATACACATATATACATATACACATATGTACATATACACATATATACATATATACACATATGTACATATACACATATATACATATATACACATAGGTACATATACACATATATACATATATACACATAGGTATATATACACATATATACATATATACACATAGGTATATATACACATATATACATATATACACATAGGTATATATACACATATATACATATATACACATAGGTATATATACACATATATACATATATACACATAGGTATATATACACATATATACATATATACACATAGGTATATATACACATATATACATATATACACATAGGTATATATACACATATATACATATATACACATAGGTATATATACACATATATACATATATACACATAGGTATATATACACATATATATTTATACACATAGGTATATATACACATATATACATATATACACATAGGTATATATACACATATATACATATATACATATATATACATATATACATATATATATGGATTTTTTTTTGAGACACGGTCTCTGTCGCTCAGACTAATTATAGCTCACTGCAGTCTCGACCTCCTGGGCTCAAGTGATCCTCTCACCTCAGCCTCCCAAGTAGCTGGGACTTCAGGCGCCCCACCACGCCCTGCTAATTTTGGTGTTTTTTGTAGAGACGGGGTCTCGCCGTGTTGTCCAAGCTGGTCCCGAACCCCTGGGCTCAAACAATCCTCCCGCCTCAGCCTCCTAAAGTACTGGAATTAAAGGCGTGAGCCACAGCCACCGCCCCCGCGCCCGACCTTGTCCCACTTTCTTGACACCTGCCCGGGTGCCTTTATCTGGCCCCAAGCTTTTGCCCTCTCCCTTCCCTCCAGTTTGAGCCCTGTTCCTCGCGGGCCCCTATCTGGATCCCCCTCCCCGGCCTCCTTCCCAAGCGCTGTCCACCAGCTGACCCTGGCTCTGACCTCAACCCACGAGCAGACCCACCGCGAGCACCTGCTGCTACAGTCCGACGACACCATCCAGGACAGCCTGCATGCCAAGGAGGAGGAGCTGCGGCAGCGCTGGAGCATGTACCAGATGGAGGTGATCTTTGGCAAGGTCAAGGACGCCACTGGCACTGACGAGACGCACGTGAGTTCTGCCCGCAGCCCTCTCCGCCGCGCCCCCCCCCCACCCCAGACGGGCCCCAGGGGTGCCTAAGCCGGTGAAACCGACACACCCTGTCTCCCCTCTCTGCCAGGTCGGTTATTCAGCTCACAAACCTGCTCCTTTCTTGAAAAACATCCCTTCCCCCTCCAGCTACCGTTCAGTTTTTCTGCTGCCCTTCGCAGCAAAACCCCTAGGAGCTGTCTACACTCGCCGTCATTTCTACACTCGCCTTCCGTTCTCTCTTGCACCATGCTAACTCCTTTGCCATGCCAGCTCTAGGAGAACTGGGAGTTTCGTCTCTTGTTCTGTCTCCAGTGTCTGTAACATGGTCTGGGACCCAGTGGACCGCCCAGTACCATCCTCAGATCCTGGCAAGTGGGGTCCCTGCGCCGGGTCCCTCACTGTAAAGTCTTCCTTGCATTATTCTAAGACCGCTGTGTCCCCCTTGGGTCCTGGTTCCCGCCGGTGAACACTGGACCCCAACCCTGTTTCTCCCCTCTGGGTGTCCGCCAACCTGCTGCTCCTCCGATGGGGCCGACCCCTGATGACTTCCGGGACTCCCACCTATAGGAGTACACCTATGGGGTCATCTGGGGCACTGAGGCGCAGCCCCTTTCCAGATGTGGGCCTTGTGAGCGGATGGCTCCGAAGACGGGCGGTATTTCCTGCGGAATCGGGCGAGATTCACGGCCAGAAATTGATGGCACTTTGATTTTGGAAAGAAGCTATGCTCGCCTCTCCAGTTGCCCCCGAGTTTGGGCTGACTCAAATTCCTTATATAGGCCAGAAAGGGCCCCGCAAAAATGATATATCCAGGGCTGCTCACCCTTGAAGCAACCCTGCGTCCAACCCACAGTGTCCCCATACATTGCTGTGCAAAAGGCGCCAGCTCAGGCCACCTGTCCTGCGTGCGAGGGTTCGCAGGGTGGGGGAGAGGAGGTGGAGCGCCCCTACGCTCCCTAGGCCCTGGCTCTGACTGGGGCTGGGTGGCCCGCAGTCGTTGGTGCGGCGGTTCCTGGCCCAGGGCGACACCTTCGCGCAGTTGGAGACGCTCAAGAGCGAGAACGAGCAGACGTTGGTGAGGCTGAAGCAGGAGAAGCAACAACTGCAGCGGGAGCTGGAAGACCTCAAGTACTCGGGGGAGGCCACGCTGGTGAGGTGAGGCACCGGGGCTCTGGGGAGGGCGGCGGGGCGGGCTGAGCCCCCGGGGTGACCTCCCGGCTCCCTGCAGCCAGCAGAAACTGCAAGCCGAGGCGCAGGAGCGTCTCAAGAAGGAGGAGCGGCGGCACGCCGAGGCCAAGGACCAGCTGGAGCGCGCCTTGCGGGCGATGCAAGTGGCCAAGGACAGCCTGGAGCACCTGGCCAGCAAGCTGATCCACATCACTGTGGTAGGCCCCGCCCAGGGGAAGCCCCGACAGGCCCTCCTGGGACCGCAGAGGCGCAGCCACGAAGCGGGGTTCCTGCCACACCAGCTTGCCCGAGGGAACGTGGCCTGCCACATCCTCTGTCCCGGACGTCAGAGGCCCCGCCCACAGGGGAAGCCCCACCCCATTCCTCAGAGTCCCCGCCCCACCTCCCTGGGGAAGCTCTCACTCCCCAAGGAAGCCCAAGACGTCAGAGACCCTGTCCCGTCTCAAGCTCCGCCTCCAAGGGAAAGAAGTCCCACCCTGTCCCCGAAAAGCTCGGAGACCTATCTGCAGTTCTGGAGCAGCCCGAGACAGAAGACCTATCCTGCCCGCAGCAGAGGGCCATTTCTTCAGGAGGCCATCCCACAATGGCCTCCCTCGAATCCTTACTGTTCCCAAGAGGCCTCCCCGAAACCTTTACATATAGAGTTAGAGTTCAGAGGCTCCCCCATCACAGACGTGGCCTTGACCTAAGTCCCCGCCCCCAATGGCTAGGATCGACCCTGCAGGTGGGCCCTTACCTCCTAGGCCCCGCCCCCGAAAGAAAAGCCCCGCCCCTGGGTGGAGCCTTCCAAGAGGCCCCACCCCTCTCGGCTGACCCGGCTCTACCCTGGCCGCAGGAGGACGGCCGCTTCGCGGGAAAGGAGCTGGATCCCCAGGCAGATAACTATGTGCCAAACCTGCTGGGCCTCGTGGAGGAAAAGCTGCTGAAACTGCAGGCGCAGCTCCAGGGCCACGACGTGCAGGAGATGCTGTGCCACATCGCTAACCGCGAGGTGCCCTGCAGCCATGGGGCAGAGCTCCAGAGATCTAGGAGTAGGGCTGGGTCGGAAAACCAGGGAACCGGGGGCAACTTCGGGAGACCAGATTGCAGGCTGATCAGCCAGGAAGGGGTCTCGGGGACAACGGGCGAGGTTTGACGAGCCAGGGGTGAGCCCGAGCCACGAGGGAAGAAACCAGAAGAGGTGCAGGCGGGTCCTGTGAGGCTAGAGGACGCGGCTGGGGTATCCGGATGGGGAGAGGCCTAGTGGCAGGGCCCCAGAGACCAGGGGCGGACCTGAGTGATGAGGGGGTGAAGCTGGGTATCAAGGTGCCTGCTTAAGGAGGGATGGGAGTGGGCAGTGGTCTCCAGTTGGAACTAGGGCATATCTCGGAATGGGGTAGGGAGGAGGGGGAACGTGACTTCTCGGTGGCCCCTGGCCCCGCCCACCTTCCTCTCTCGCTTCCCATCCCCGCTTAGTTCCTCGCCAGCTTAGAGGGAAGGCTGCCCGAATACAACACCCGCATCGCCCTGCCCCTTGCCACTTCCAAGGACAAGTTTTTTGGTCAGTATGGGTGGGGGGATGAAGGGGTGCGGTTGGGGCCCCAAGCTGGGTAGCAGGAGGTTGTCAGATACCCTGTTCAGGGCCAAGGTGGGGGTGGAGTGGGGTGGTAAAGGGAAGGGGAGCCAGGGATGGGGACCTGGATCCCACATCGCTCCCTGCTCATCCCCCCACCCCCCTTAGACGAAGAGAGTGAGGAGGAGGACAACGAGGTAGTGACCCGCGCATCACTCAAGATCCGTTCCCAGAAATTAATCGAAAGTCACAAGAAGCACCGTCGCTCTCGGAGGTCCTAGACTCGTCCTGACACCCACCAGGCGGCCCCCTTCGGAGCCCCCGATCCCTCCGGGTCTAGCGCAGGCCCCACGGGGCCCCTTCAGGGGCTGAACGCGGCCCGGACCGGGAACGGAGGCGGCCAGCGGCGCCCGGAGGGGAGGAAGGGGCCGGGCCAGACGTTCCCACAGTAAATCTCCCCAGCTGGGTCCGCCCCGGCCTCAGAGTTGCGCAATAAATGTTACCGACCATGCCCCTGGGTATTCATCTGTTTTTGACCCTGCACCACCCAAGAGACGGCTGTCCCTGAAAACCCAGGGCCACAGACTGCCTCCTCCAACCTGGGTCATGATGACTCCCATCAGCTAGTGACGCAGATGGAGCTTAAAAATGGGAGATGGCCCGATGTAGTGGTTTTATGCCTGTAATCCCAGTATTTTGGGAGGCTGAGTTGGGAGGATCACTTGAGTCCAGGAGCTCCAGGCTGCAGTGAGCTATGATCGTGCTACTGCACTCCAGCCTGGGCCACAGAGCCAGACCCTGTCTCAATAAATAAAATAAGGGCGGGGTGCAGTGGCTCATTCATACCTATATTCCCAGCACTTTGGGAGGCTGAGCTGGGTGTGTCGCTTGAGCCCAGGGGTTCCAGACTAGCCTGGGCAACATGGTGAAAACCAGTTTTTACCAAAAAAAAAAAAAAAAAAAAAAAAAAAAAAAAAAAAGCTGAGCATGGTGGCATATGCCTGTAGTCCCAGCTACTTGGGAGACTGAGGCAGGAGAATGGATTGAACCCAGGAGGCGGAGATTGCAGTGAGCCAAGATCAAGCCACTGCACTGCAGCCTTGGCAACAGGAGTGAGACCCTGTCTCTAAAAAATAATAAGGCTGGGCGCCGTGGTTCATGCCTGTAATCCCAGCATTTTGGGAGGCTGAGGTGGGCGAATCTCTTGAGGCCAGGAGTTTGAGACCAGCCTGGCAAGTATGGCAAAACCCCGCCTCTACAAAAAATACAAAAATTAGCTGAGCATGGTGGCGGCACCTGTAATCCTAGCTACTTGGGAGGCTGAGGCACAAGAATCCTTTGAATCTGGGAGGCGGAGGTTGCAGTGAGTTAAGATCAAGCCACTGTACTCCAGCATGGGTGACAGAACGAGACTCCATCTCAAAATAATAGCAATAATAATAAAAAGTGGAAGATGCCCCCACACTTGATCAAGCTAGCCCCTTCCACTGGAGGACAGAGGACTCTGGTCTGGGGACACACACATGCCCCCACACAGGAGCTCCCCCACATCTGGGGATACAAAAAAGACCCCTTGGGGACAGATATGTCCTTTCTTCTGGGGACAGATTGATAGGCACCCAGCGGAAGAGCCAGGACCTCTCCTGGGCTGGCGCTGGGTCCGGCTGGAGGCACCCAGAGGCTGGGTCCGGCCTGCCCTGCCCCGCCCCGCCCCAGCAGCTCGGCCGCTCCGCCCCTCTGGCCTCAGCGCCCGGCCACTGCCCGCCGCCCGCCACCCGCCACCCGCCGGCCCTTCCGCCTCACTCAGCGGCGCCACTGAGAGGGACGGGCGCCGGCCATGGAGCGCACAGCAGGCAAAGAGCTGGCCCTGGTAAGGGGACAAGGGATCCCCGGACCCCGCATCCCTGGTGACCCGCAGGTCCAGAAACTCCAAGCGCCCGCCCGTCGGACGGTATCTGCTCCCAATCTGAACTTGCCCTGGAGTCCCCTCCTGGGGACTCGCGGCCCTTGACCCAGTGAAGCGACTGGTTCCTCTTAGGGATGGGGGCGCGAGTCTCTGAGCGCAGTCGGCAGAAAGAGCTAGAGACAGGTTCTATTAGACTGGGCCCTGGGACATCCCCAAATGCCACCCCATGTCCTCAGGACCTGGGAGGAGGGGACCCGCAGCGAGGAGGGGACTAGCCTGGGACCCCAGCCCTAGTCTCGCAGCTTCTGGCCGGGAAGGGGCGTGGGGATGCAGCAGGAGGACTCGGCCCGAGTCCGAGCGGCCAAGGAGGCTGAGGCCCCAGGACCTGTGCCCCTTTGGTGCCCTGAGTCCGCCTGTGCGTCCAGGCACCGCTGCAGGACTGGGGTGAAGAGACCGAGGACGGCGCGGTGTACAGTGTCTCCCTGCGGCGGCAGCGCAGTCAGCGCAGGAGCCCGGCGGAGGGCCCCGGGGGCAGCCAGGTGAGGAGGGGGTTTGGTGGGTGGCGCGGGGCCGGAAGCGACCAGTTGAGGGCGGAGCTGGAGAGCCGAGCACAGGCCGCCAGGTGCAGTGGGCGGAAGGAAGGGAGGGGCTCGGAGGCGACCAGATGAGGCGACCAGGTAGAAAGGGGACTGGGGGCGGCCAGGTAAGTGGGGGGAGATCCAGGGAATGGGGTGGGGCCAGGCGATGGCCGCGCAGTTCCCGAGAGGAGCCTAGGGACAACTTGGTAAGGACAGAACTGGACGGCAGAGTTGGGAAAGGCAGGTTTAGAGGGCCGGGGCTGGAAGGTGGAATGGGGTTGGTTTAGAAGTGGCTAGGTGAGGGCGGATGGGGCAGCCAGTGAAGCGCGACAGGAGGGCTGAGGGAAGCCCTGGGTGGAAAAGAGTGTGTGGGGCGGGGGCGGGGGGGTGGGGGGAGGGGACGGGAGGGGGAGGGGACGGGAGAGGGAGTAGGGGACAGGGCATGGGAGAGGGAGGGTTTCCAGGGCAAGTTGCAGGAGCTATTTGTGGATGGGGAGGAACAATAACTTCAAGCGGGCAGGGAGTGGGGCACACACCTATAATCCCTGCGCTTCGAGAGACCAAGGCAGAAGGCCAGGAATTGGAGACCAGCCTGGACAACACAGCAAGATTCTCTCTAATAAAAATAAAAATTAAAAAACTAGCTGTGCGTGATGATGCCCAGCAGTGGTCCCAGCTACTCAGGAGGCTGGGGCAGAGGGACCGCTTGAGTCTAGGACTTGGAGGCTGCAGTGAGCTATGATTGTGCCACTGCACCCCAGCCTGGGCAACAAAACAAGACCTGTTTCTAAAAAAAACAAACCAAAACAATAACTCCAAGAAGCCGGGAGACAGAGGAATCACATGAAAGAATGGTGCTACAGGCGGGGCGAGGTGGCTCACGCCTGTAATCCCAGCACTTTGGGAGGCCGAGGCAAGTGGATCATCAGGTCAGGAGTTCAAGACCAACCTGGCCAAGACGGTGAAACACCGTCTCTACTAAAAATACGAAAAAACTAGCTGGGCTTGGTGGCGGGTGCCTGTAATCCCAGATACTTGGGAGGCTGAGGCAGAGAATTGCTTGAACCCAGGAGGCGGAGGTTGCAGTGAGCCAAGATCACGCCACTGAACTCCAGCCTAGGTGACAGAGTGAGATTCTGTCTCAAAAAAAAAAAAAAAAAAGTGGTGCTAGGGGCTGGGCACGGTGGTTCACGCCTGTAATCCTAGCCCTTTGGGAGACTTTGGGAGGCCAAGGGGGGCAGATTACTTGAGGTCAGGAGTTCGAGACCAGTCTGACCAACATGGTGAAACCCTATCTCTACAAAAATACAAAAATTAGCTGGGCTTGGTGGTGTGCGCCTGTAGTTTCAGCTACTTGGAGGCTGAGGAAGGAGGATTGCTTGAACCCAGGAGGCAGAAGTTGAAGTGACCCAAGATCGTGCCACTGCACTCCAGCCTGGGCAACAGAGTGAGACTCTGTCTCAAAAAAAAAAACAAAAAAAAAAAGAGTGGTGCTAGTGATGAATGTGACTAGAGAAGGGGTGCTGTGAGGACCACTCCTGCTCTCTCATGGCCACCTCTCCCCTCCTGCAGGCTCCCAGCCCCATTGCCAATACCTTCCTCCACTATCGAACCAGCAAGGTGAGGGTGCTGAGGGCAGCGCGCCTGGAGCGGCTGGTGGGAGAGTTGGTGTTTGGAGACCGTGAGCAGGACCCCAGCTTCATGCCCGCCTTCCTGGCCACCTACCGGACCTTTGTACCCACTGCCTGCCTGCTGGGCTTTCTGCTGCCACCAATGCCACCGCCCCCACCTCCCGGGTCAGTAGCGAACCATAACCTCCGTATTCTCCACCCTAGAACCCCAACTGGGCACCCCCCTCCACCTCCTCAGGTGTGGAACCTGGAAACACCTCCCAGACCCAGAGCCCTCTTCCTAAGCCCCCTCTAGGTTCCCCCTTCTTCACCTGCTGGGGGGCCTCTTCCCAGGGTAGAGATCAAGAAGACAGCGGTACAAGATCTGAGCTTCAACAAGAACCTGAGGTGGGTCCTTCATCCAGATAGGGGAGTGCGGGGAGGGAAATCCAAGAGGTCAAAGGTTAGCAGTCGGACTGGGGTTTTGAAAATTGCAGGTTGGGTAATAAGAGACTGGGAGTCAGGTGGGGCGTGGTGGCTCATGCCTGTAATCCCAACACTTTGGGAGGCCGAGGCAGGTGGATCACTGGAGGTCAGGAGTTAGAGACCATCCTGGCCAATATGGCGAAACCCTGTCTCTACTAAAAATACAACAACAACAAAAAAAGGTAGCTGGGTGTGGTGGCGCATGCCTGTAGTCCCAGCTACTCGGGAGGCTGAGGTTGCAGTGAGTCAAGATCAGGCCATTGCACTGCAGCCTTGGTGACACAGTAAGACTCTATCTCAAAAAAAAAAAAAAAAAAAAGGTACCAGGAGTCATATTCTATGTCCCCCACTCTGGACCCAGCTCTGAGACCCTGCCTCTCTGGCCAGGGCTGTGGTGTCAGTGCTGGGCTCCTGGCTGCAGGACCACCCTCAGGATTTCCGAGACCACCCTGCCCATTCGGACCTGGGCAGTGTCCGAACCTTTCTGGGCTGGGCGGCCCCAGGGAGTGCTGAGGCTCAAAAAGCAGAGAAGCTTCTGGAAGATTTTTTGGAGGAGGCTGAGCGAGAGCAGGAAGAGGAGCCGCCTCAGGTGTGGACAGGTGAGGGGTTTTCAGATCCAGTCGTGTTCTGAGAAGGCCTTTCCTGTCTGCTTCTTCCCACACAGGCTTTCTCTCCCCTCTCAGAGCTACAAAACTTAAGCAAGATTTTAAACTCTAAGCCTCAATTTCTTCATCTTTACAATGGGGATAATAATTCTTTGTCAGCCGGGCGTGGTGGCTCACGCCTGTATCCCAGCAGTTTGGGAGGCCAAGGATGGTGTATCACCTGAGGTCAGGAGTTTGAGACCAGTCTGACAAACATGGAGAAACCCCATCCCTACTAAAAATACAAAATTAGCCGGGCGTGGTGGGGCATGTCTATAATCCCAGCTATTCGGGAGGCTGAGGCAGGAGAATCGTTTGAACCCGGGAGGCGGAGGTTGCGGTGAGTCGAGATCGTGCCATTGCACTCTCGCCTGGACAACCAGAGCGAAACTCCGTCTAAAAAAAAAAACAAATTCTTTGTCTGAAGTATTAGCATGTGTCTAATACTTTTCCCTCCTTGGTGCCGTTGGGTCAGGATGCTCTGTGTTTCTAGCTACAAACCATTGCCTTGATACTTGTCTTTATTTTCTTTTTTTTGAGTCAGGGTCTTGCTCCGTTGCTCAGGCTGGAGTGCAGTGTCTCCATCATGGCTCAGTGCAGGCTCAACATCCTGGACTCAGGTGATCCTCCCGCCTGGGTCTCCAAAACTGCTGGCATTACAGGCGCGAGCCACTATACCTAGCCTGTAAAATTTTTCTTATTTTTGAATTTCTTTTTAAATTTAATTTAATTTAATTTTATTTTTTTATCTATTTTTTTTTTTAGACAGAGTCTCGCACTGTTACCCAGGCTGGAGTGCAGTGGCACAATCTTGGCTCACTGCAACCTCCACCTCCTGGGCTCAAGCCATTCTCCTGTCTCAGCCTCCTGAGTAGCTGGGACCACAGGCGCATGTCACCACGCCCGGCTAATTTTTTTGTAAAGGTGAGGTTGTGCCATGTTGCCCAGGCTGGTCTCAAACTCCTGAACTCAAGTGATCTGCCTGCCTTGGCCTCCCAAAATGCTGGGATTACAGCCATAAGCCATTGTGCATGCGTAGCCTCCTTACTTGATTATTGGCTTTTGCTCATCTCATAGGCTGTGAGTGCATGAGAGGAGGACCTGTTGTTCTTGCTCCCAGCTCTGTCCCCAGGGGCAGGAACAACACAGATTAGTTTGCTGAATAATTGCATCCTGCTTAGGAAGTATCATCTTTCACCCATCTGTATTTGATCTGATCCACATCACAAAAGCATCTCTATCCCTAATCCCCATCGCTTAATCTCCAGATTATAGTGGCCACCTTCCTGTCCAATTTACAAAGTAGCAGCCACTTCTCTATCCCTGGTGACAAAGTCTCAGTTATTTATATATATATAAAGGTATATATATATATATATATATATATATATATATATATATGAAGGTGTATATATATATATATATATGAAGGTATATATATATATGTATATATATGAAGGTATATATATATAAAGGTATATATATATAAAGGTATATATATAAAGGTATATATATATATAAAGGTATATATAAAGGTATATATATATAAAGGTATATATATATATATGAAGGTATATATATATATGTATATATATGAAGGTATATATATATAAAGGTATATATATATAAAGGTATATATATAAAGGTATATATATATATAAAGGTATATATATATAAAGGTATATATATATATAAAGGTATATATATATAGGTGTATATATATATATATATATATATATATATATATATATATATATGATTTCTCCAGCTGATTCCAAGTCATTAGAGCTCCATAGTTCACTGTGGTATCCACTAGCCCCTGTCGCTATTTAAATTAATTAAAATTGGCTGGGCGCGGCGGCTCATGCCTATAATCCCAGCACTTTGGGAGGCCGACGGGGGCGGATCCCAAGGTTCGGAGATCGAGACCATCCTGGCTAACATGGTGAAACCCCGTCTCTACTAAAAATACAAAAAAATATTAGCCGGGCGTGGTGGCGAGCGCCTGTAGTCCCAGCTACTCGGGAGGCTGAGGCAGGAGAATGGCGCGAACCTGGGAGGCGGAGCTTGCAGTGAGCTGAGATCAAGCCACTGAACTCCAGCCTGGGTGACAGAGCGAGACTCTGCCTAAAAAAAAAAAACCAAAAAACAAAATTATAATAATAATTAATTAATTAATTAAAATTAAATAAAATTCAGGTCTTTTCTTTTTAGAGATGGGGTCTTGCCATGTTGCCCAGGCTGGTCTCGAACTCCTGGGCTTAAGCAATCCTCCAGCATCAACCTCTCAGAGTGCTGGGATTGTAAGTGTGAGCTACTGTGCCTGACCCTGCCCTTTTTTTTTTTTTTTTTTTTTTGAGACGGAGCCTCGCTCTGTCACCCAGGCTGGAGTGCAGTGGCGCCATCTCGGCACACTGCAACCTCCTCCTCCCAGGTTCAAAAGATTCTCCTGCCTTAGCCTCCCAAGTAGCTGGGATTATAGGCACCTGCCACCACACCCAGCTAATTTTGTATTTTTATTAGAGACAGCGTTTCACTATGTTGGTCAGTCTGGTCTTGAACTCCTGACCTCAGGTGATCCACCCACCTCGGTCTCCCAAAGTGCTGGGATTACAGGCGTGAGCTACCATGCCTGGCCCGCTTTTTTTTTTTTTTTTTTTCTTTTTCAAAATCCAGTCAAGCAAAGGCAAAAATTCAGGTCTTCAATCCCACTACCCACATTTTGAGTGCTCAGCCACCACACTGGACATAGCAGATAGATAATTTTTCCACCATTGCAGAGAATTATATGGAAAGTGCTGCCCTAGTTTCTTTGAGGTCAGAGGAGAAAATTAACATTTGTTTAAGACCTTCTATGTGCTAGGCCCTGGGACACACTTTATTTCATTTTATTTTATTTTATTTATTTTTACTTTTATTTTATTTTGAGACAGAGTCTCGCTCTGTCGCCTAGGCTGGAGTGCAATGGCGCGATCTTGGCTTACTGCAACCTCCACCTCCTGGGTTCAAGTGATTCTCCTGCCTCAGCCTCCTGAGTAGCTGGTACTACAGGCGCCCGCCACCAGGCCCAGCTAATTTTTTGTAGTTTTAGTAGAGACGGGGTTTCACCGTGCTAGCCAAGATGGTCTCGATCTCCTGATCTCGTGATCCGCTTGCCTCGGTCTCCCAAAGTGCTGGGATTACAGGCGTGAGCCACCGCACCCGACTATGAATTTTATTTTTAGATACAGGGTCTTGCTCTGTTGCCCAGGCTGGACTCGAACTCCTGGGCTCAAGTGAGCCTCCTACCTCAGCCTCCTGAGTAGCTAAGACTACACTTGCACCATGTAGTTTAGAAGAAAGTAGATGACCACCATGCTCATCTATTTTATTTTAACAACTTTATTTTGGGTTCACTTTTTGCTATGGAAAATTTCAGACATATACAAAAGTAGAGAGAATAGTATGAAGAACATTCAGACATCCATCACCTATCATCAACGATGATCAATTTCACAAAAAAATATTTTCAGGATGATTTTAAAACAAATCCCGGGCTTATGTCAATTCATACATAAATGTTTTGGGTACACATGTCTGACAACAGGCTTACTTTTTTTTTTTTTTTTTTTGAGACGGAGTTTCGCTCTTGTTGCCCAGGCTGGAGTGCAATGGCAGGATCTCAGCTCACCTCAACCTCTGCCTCCTGGGTTCAAGTGATTCTCCTGCCTCAGCCTCCCGAGTAGCTGGGATTACAGGCGTGCACCACCACACCCGGCTAATTTTCTATTTTTAGTAGAGAGGGGGGTTTCTCCATGTTTGTCAGGCTGGTCTCGAACTCCTGACCTCAGGTGATCCGCCCACCTTGGCCTCCCAAAGTGTTGGTATTACAGGCGTGAGCCATGGCGCCCGGCCCTTTTATTTTTATTTTTTAATAACCTTCATGTTCATACTTAAAAAAAAATCAGAAATATTTGATATAAAAAAAATCCAATCCAGGCCAGATGCAGAGGCTCCTGCTGGCGATCCCAGCATTTTGGGAGGCCAAGGCAGGTGGATGGCTTGAGCCCAGGAGATTGAGACTAGCCTGGGCAACATGTTGAAACTTTGTGTCTACAAATAATTAGCTGGGCATGGTGGTGACTGCCTATAGTCCCAGCTGCTTGGGAGGCTGAGGCAAGAGGATCATTTTAGCCTGGGATGGTCAAGGCTGCAGTGAGCCGTGATTATGCCACTGTACTCCAGCCTAGGTGACAGAGCGAGACCCTGCCTCAAAAACAGAAAAAATACCCAGTCTATATTCAAATATTCAAATCCCCTGTTTGTGCCTGAACCTTTTTTTGGACACTGGGTTTTCCTATTTTGCCTGGGCTGGGCTTGAACTCCTGACCCTCCCACCTCAGCCTCCTGAGTAGCTGGGACCACAGGTGCCCACCATGGCACCCAGCCCTAAATTTTCTTTTGACAGTTGTTTCTGGCCAGGTGTTGTGGCACATGCCTATAGTCCCAGCTACTTAGGATGCTGAGATGGGAGGATCTCTTGACTCCGGGAAATCAAAGCTGCCGTGAGCTGTGAGCATGCCCCTGCACTCCAGGCGATAGAGCTGGGGGAAGGAGGAATAGTTGTTTCTTCAAATTGAAATCCAAAGATCTACTCAAGGTATTTGGTTGTTTGCTTCTCTTTTTTTTTTTTTTTTTTTTTTTGAGATGGAGTCTCACTCTGTTGTCCAGGCTGGAGGGTAGTGGCGTGATCTTGGCTCACTGCAACCTCCGCCTCCTGGGTTCAAGCGATTCTCCTGGCTCAGCCTCCTGAGTAGCTGAGTTTACAGGTGCCCACCAACACGCCCAGCTAATTTTTGTATTTTTAGTAGTGAGGGGGTTTCACCATGTTGGCCAGGCTGGTCTTGAACTCCTAACCTTTAGTGATCTGCCCACATCGGCCTCCCGAAGTGTCGGGATTACAGACATGAGTCACCACGCCCTACCGGTCGTTTGTTCCTAAGTCTCTTTTATTCTGTAACAGATCCCCCTTGCCTCTTGTTTGAAGCCATTAGAGGGCAAAAAAAATGGGTCATTTTTCCTGAGGTATGTCTCACATTCTTTTCGACTTACCTCATGGTTTCATGCAGCATGTTTCTCTATCCCCATAATTGCTGTAAGATTTAAAGGTTTGATTAGATGTAGGGCATTTTTTTTTCCAGGGCCCACTTTTTTTTGGGGTGGGGGGAGGAGAGACAGTTTCTTGCTCTGTCACCCAGGCTGGAGTGCTATGGCATGATCACAGCTCACTGCAGCCTTGACCTCCTGGGCTCAAGAGATCCTCCCTCCTAAGCCTCTTGAGTAGGTGGGACAGCAGGTGTGCATCAGGATGCGCAACTTTAAAAATTTTTTTATGTAGACATGGGGTCTCACTACGCCGCCCAGGCTGGTCTCAAACTCCTGGTCTCAAGCAATCCTCCTACCTCAACCTCCAAAAGTGCTGGGACTATAGGTGTGCCCAGCCCAGTACCCACTTCTAAAAACTAATATTTTGCAATGCCACCTGTCCTAATTCAAGATGAAAGAGGTAATTACACAGATTTACAAAGATTATTTTAAAATAATAGTATTGGGGCAGGGTGCTATGGCTCATGCCTGTAATCCCAGCACGTTGGGAAGCCGAGGCAGGAGGATCACCTGAGGTCAGGAGTTCGAGACCAGTCCGGCCAACATGGTGAAACCCCATCTCTACTAAAAAAAATAAAAAATAAAATAAAATAAAATAAAAAATAAATAAATAATAAAAAAATATATATATATTTAAATTAGCTGGCTGGGCATAGTGGCACCTCCTGTAGTCCCAGTTGCTCAGGAGGCTGAGGCAGGAGAATTGCTTGAACCCTGGAGGCAGAGGTTGCAGTGAGCCGAGATCGAGCCACTGCACTCCAGCCTGGGCGACAGAGCAAGACTCCATCACAAAATAAAAAAATAAAATAAAATAATAGTATGATGCCATAACTAGTACAAAGGAGAAGGAAAGTGAGAGTAACTTACACAGCAATAAACCATGTTTTCAATGGGTAATGCTTGGGTATGCCCCACTAGGACACATGATGAGGTTGTCCCGTGTCTTTGCCTGTCCTAGCGTCACAGTAGAGTGTCACGGTGCTGTTGTACTGACAGCAACAAGCACCAACGAACGCACAGGAGGGCACTGGTGAGGCAAAGACAGCAACATAGGTTCTGGGGACATCATTTTCCAAACTTGTGAACAACATTTGCAATTTGCAAACAAAACAAAGCCCAGACTTTCGTGGTCCTTGCATTCTTGGAGCCAAAAAAATTTGTGTTTATGAACAAAATAGTCAGGTTCTAGGTGCATATTATTGCAAACATGTTTTTCTTTTCTTTTTGTTTTTGTTTGTTTGTTTGTTTTGTTTTGTTTTGTTTTTTGAGATGGAGTCTCGCTCTGTCGCCCAGGCTGGAGTGCAGTGGCATGATCTCGGCTTACTGCAAGCTCCGCCTCGCCGGTTCACGCCATTCTCCTGCCTCAGCCTCCTGGGTAGCTGGGACTACAGGCGCCCGCCACCACGCCTGGCTAATTTTTTCTATTTTTTAGTAGAGACGGGGTTTCACCATGTTAGCCAGGATGGTCTCGATCTCCTGACCTCGTGATCTACCCGCCTTGGCCTCCCAAAGTGCTGGGATTACAGGCGTGAGCCACTGCCCCCGGCCTTCTTTTCTTTTCTTTTTTTTTTTTTTTTGAGACAAAGTCTCTGTCACCCAGGCTAGAGTGCCGTGGCGTGGACCTGGCTCACTGCAACCTCCACCTTCTAGGTTGAGGTGATTCTCTAGCCTTAGCCTCCCGAGCTGGGATTACAGGCACTTGCCACCATGCTCAGCTGATTTTTGTATTTTTAGTAGAGACAGGGTTTCGCCATGTTGGCCCGACTGGTCTCGAACTCTTGACCTCAAGTGATTCGCCTGCCTTGGCCTCCCAAAGTGCTGGGATTACATGTGTGAGCCACTGTGCCAGACCCCTTCTTCCTTTCTTAAAGACAAGTCAAGTGCAGTAGTGAGAAGGGGGGAAAGAGTAGAACAAGGAGTTCGATCTGTAACTGTGAACAATCAATTGAGATAAGTCACTACCTTGGGACCAGCCACAAACAGGTTTTTCAAAGACACAAATGTCTGGAGATACATTTGGAGGCTAGAGGGCACAATTCAGGATCCCAGTTTCCAAAGTTTCCCCTCCAGGGTGCCACCATCAAAATCCACTAAAGTAAAATTATTCATATTTGTTCAGCACTTTATAGCAGTCTGGTAGCATGATCTTTTTTTTTTTTTTTGAGATGGAGTCTCGCTCTGTCGCCAGGCTGGAGTGCAGTGACACGATGTCGGCTCACTGCAAGCTCCGTCTCCAGGGTTCAAGCGATTCTCCTGCCTCAGCCCCCCGAGTAGCTGGGATTACAGGCGCGTGCCATCACGCCCGGCTAATTTTTGTATTTTTTTTTAGTAGAGACGGGGTTTCACCGTGTTGGCCACGCTGGTCTCGAACTCCTGACCTCAGGTGATCCACCCGCCTCGGCCTCCCAAAGTGCTGGGATTACAGGCGTGAGCCACAGCGCCCGGCAGCATGATCTTAAACGAAAACAAAAACGAAATCCACAGCCAGGCGCACTGGCTCACACCCGCAATCCCAAAACTTTGGGAAGCCAAGAGGGAGGATCGCTTGAGCCCAGGTGTTTGAGACCAGCCTGGCAACATAATGAGACCCTGTCTCTACAAAAAATAAAAAATTAGCTGGGCATGGTGGTGTGTGCCTATAGTCCCAGCAACTCAGGAGGCTGAGGCAGGAGGATCACTGGAGCCCAAAAGGTTGAGGCTGCAGTGAACTGTGATCACACCACTGTACTCCAGCCTGGGTGACCAAGGGAGAGCCTGTTTCAAAAAGAAGGCACAGCTTACCCCTGCAATCCCAGCACTTTGGGAAGTCGAGGCAGGCAGATCACTTGAGGTCAGGAGTTCAAGACCAGCCTGGCCAACATGGTGAAACCCTGTCTCTACAAAAATACAAAAGTTAGCTGGGCGTGGTGGCTCGTGCCTGTAATCCCAGCTACTTGGGAGACTGAGGCAGGAGAATTGGTTGAAACCTGGAGGCGGAGGTTGCAGTGAGCCAAGATCACGCCATTGCATTCCAGCCTGGGCGACAGAGTCAGACTCCGTCTTAAAAAAAAAAAAAAAAGGCACAGAGAGGTTAAAATACATGCTCTACACAGCAAGCTAGTGGACGAGTTTGCATCTGAGTTTGAGACTTTCTGACAATAGCCTTCCCTGAACCAGGAAGTCGTATCACCTCTTTCCAAAAAAAAGAGGTCAGATTAATCTTATCCTAATACATGTTAAAAATCATAAAGCTCTATTTTCTTCTCTGGCCTTTGAGTACCCGGCTTCAAACCCCTGCCCTGCCATTTACCAAAGGTGTGACAAATTGTTCTTTGCCTCCCTTTCCTTAATTGTAAAAGGTGGATAAATAATAGTACCTCCCTCACTGGACTCACAGTAACTCAGTGGTGAGTTACTGAGTAAATCCACACTAGCTGCTTAGTGAACATTACTGTTGCTGTTACATCCTTAAAAACACTCAGGGCCAGGCGTGGTGGCTCACACCTGTAATGCCAGCACTTTGGGAGGCCAAGGCGGGCAGATCACTTGAGGTCAGGAGTTTGAGACCAGCCTGGCCAACATGGTGAAAGCCCGTCTCTATTAAAAATACAAAAATTAGCCGGGCATGGTGGCACATGCCTGTAATCCCAGCTACTCAGAAGGCTGAGGCAGGAGAATCACTTGAACCCAGGAGGCGGAGGTTGTGGTCAGCTGAGATTGCGCCATTGTACTCCAGCTTGGGCAACAGAGTAAGACTGTCTCAAAAAAAAAAAAAAATTTAAGAGAGCTCTCCGTTTTACAAATGAGGAAAGTGAGCCTCAGAGAGGGACAGGGACTCACCCAAGGTCACACAGCCAGTCTTGGATTCAAACTTGAGAGTTTGTAACCCTTTCTAATGATCAGGACCTCCCAGAGTTGCCCAAACTTCTGACCCAGACTCTTCAGAGGCCTGCGCGGAGGAAGAGGAAGGGCTCATGCCTCAAGGTCCCCAGCTCCTGGACTTCAGCGTGGACGAGGTGGCCGAGCAGCTGACCCTCATAGACTTGGTGAGGATCCCGGACAGGGTCGGGATGAGCCACAGTGAGGGGACAGGTTCTGCTAAGCACCAATCCCACACCCCTCCCCTGGCCCAGGAGCTCTTCTCCAAGGTGAGGCTCTACGAGTGCTTGGGCTCCGTGTGGTCGCAGAGGGACCGGCCGGGGGCTGCAGGCGCCTCCCCCACTGTGCGCGCCACCGTGGCCCAGTTCAACACCGTGACCGGCTGTGTGCTGGGTTCCGTGCTCGGAGCACCGGGCTTGGCCGCCCCGCAGAGGGCGCAGCGGCTGGAGAAGTGGATCCGCATCGCCCAGGTGTGTTGCGGGCGCGGAGAGGGGATGCGGGGGCGGGCCCTGGGGCAAGGGGAAAAAATGAGGGCTCCGGAGAGAGATAGGGGCGAGTCTAGGCGAGGGAGGGAACGGGGTGGAAAGTTGATACCTAGGGTGAGACTTGGGTTCAGGGAGGAGGGTCTGGGTCCTGCAGAGAGGCCGCGGGCACGACTAGGTCCCAAGGGAGCTGGGAGAAGTAGGGAGCCCGGACCGGAGAAGTCAAGGTCGGAGGCAGGGGCTGGAGGGGCAGCTGGGGAGGGGCTGGAGCCCGAGGGAGGAGGGAGGAAGGGAATCCTAGGGAATAAGTGGGAGTCTTGGTAGCTTGTCGGATGTGAGACAACACCCAGGGGTCCGACCTGGCGTCACAAGTCACGGGATCAGGCTGGGCGCAGTGACTCACGCCTGTAATCCCAGCACTTTGGGGAGAGGGAGGATCGCTTGAGCCCTTGAGTTTGAGACCAGCCTAGGCAACATAGTGAGACCAATGTTTCTAGAAAAAAAAAAAAAATTAAAAAAATTAAAAATGAGACTTACAAAAAAATTAGCCGGGTGTGGTGGTGTGCCCCTGTAATCCCAGCTACTTGGGAGGCTGAGGCAGGATAATCACTTGAACCCGGGAGGCGGAGGTTGCAGTGACTCGAGATCGGGCCACTGCATTCCAGCCTGGGGGATAAAGCGAGACTCTGTCCAAATAATTAATAATAATAATAATAATAAGCCATGCATGATGGCGCGCGCCTGTAGTCCCAGCTACTGAGGCAGGAGGCTGAGGCATGTGGATCGCTTAAGCCCAGGAATTCCAGGCAGCAAGTGAGCTATGATCGAGCCACTGCACTCCAGCCTGGGCCACAGACCCTATCTCTCAAAAAAAAAAAAAAAAAAAAAAAAAAAAAAAAAAAAAAAAAAAAAGATGAAGAAGTTTCAGGATGAAAGGTGGATAATGCCTGGGTCTGACCTGCGTCCCCACCGCCTGGCAGCGCTGCCGAGAACTGCGGAACTTCTCCTCCTTGCGCGCCATCCTGTCCGCCCTGCAATCTAACCCCATCTACCGGCTCAAGCGCAGCTGGGGGGCAGTGAGCCGGTGAGCTGGGGCGGGACCTGTTCCCCAGCCCATCCCAGGTCTGACCCTCCCAAGCCACTGACCCCTGACCACCCTTCTCCTGTCCTTCCAGGGAACCGCTATCTACTTTCAGGAAACTTTCGCAGATTTTCTCCGATGAGAACAACCACCTCAGCAGCAGAGAGATTCTTTTCCAGGTAGAGATGGATGCAGACTCCAGGGATTTTAGGCCCGGGAAGTCGGGGGAGGGACTTGGGGCCAGGCAGGGGTAATCTCCCTGCTATAGTCAGGACACTCTGTCCTTCCCTACCGCTCAGCAATGACCTTATCCTTGTCCCTGGCGGGTTGCACGTTTTTCTTTCCTCTACTTCCTGCGTTATAGTTGACTGTCAGTGACTGCCCTATTTATTCACTCAGCAAAACACAAGAAGTCACAAAGAAAAGGTTACTTAAGGCCAGAGTCATAGCACAGGGTGGGAACAAAAAAAATGTTCTGAGGACTTTACCTTGATAAGCAAAACTAAAAAATGTGTGTCAAAAGTCTGGCTTATTTATAGGCAAGATTTAGATTCTCATTGCAATCAGGCGCTGGTTTTTAGAGTGAATCTAGAATGGATCCCTGGGCCTGGAACATTCTCCACCCCTCCAGGTTTGCATGCAACTTGCTCACTCACCTCCTTCTGGTCTCTGATTAAATGTCCCTGCCTCTGAGAGGCCTTCCCAGCCTCCATCATCCCCAAAACCACACATCTGGTTTTTTGTTGTTGTTGTTGTTGTCGTCATCATTTGTTTTTTTGTTTCTTTGTTTGTTTGTATTGAGACAGAGTCTCGCTCTGTCACCCAGACTGGAGTGCAGTGGCACGATCTTGGCTCACTGCAACCTCCACCTCCCAGGATCAAGCAATTCTCTCTGCCTCAGCCTCCCATGTAGCTGGGATTACAGGCACCCACCACGACGCTTGGCTAATTTTTGTATTTGGTAGAGACGGGGTTTTGCCGTGTTGGCCAGGCTGGTCTCGAATCCCTGACCTGAGGTGATCCACCTGCCTTGGCTTCCCAAAGTGCTGGGATTACAGGCGTGAGCCATCACTCCCAGCCAAATTTCACCTGGCTAACAGAGTGAAACCCTGTTTTCCTGCCCAGCACCTAGAACAGCACGTGAGCTGGGCTCAGTGACTCACGCCTATAATCCCAACACTTTGGGAGGCCAAGGTGAGAGGATCACTTGAGCCCAGGAGTTCAAGACCAACCTGGGCAACATGGCAAAACCCCATCTCTGCAAAAAATACAACAATTAGCTGGGCGTTTGTGGTGCACGTCTGTAGTCCCAGCTATTCAGGAGGCTGAGGAGGGAGGATCGCTTGAACTTGGGCGGTCAAGCCTTCAGTGAGCCAAGATCAGGCCACTGCACTCCAGCCTGAGTGACAAAGTGAGACTCCATCTCAAAATAAAATGAAATAAAAAGTAAGTAAACAACAGCAAATTCAGGATACCCAGGAGATCCCTGGCAGGCCTGTGCCATCCAGCTGCGGACAAGGATTCTCTCCTTGTTAAGGCCAGCCCTGGGGGCCACTACCCACAAGCCCCACCTCTCATGGGGCCTGCTCCCTGCTGTTTATCTCCTCCCTACCCTCATCCAAGGTGGTCTGGCTTCTAGAGTGGGCCTTAACCCCTGGCTTCTTTTTTTTTTTTTTTTTTTTTTTGAGATGGAGTTTTGGTCTTGTTGCCCAAGCTGGAGTGCAATGGTGCGATCTTGGCTCACTCCAACCTCCGCCTCCCGGGTTCAAGCGATTCTTCTGCCTCAGCCTCCCGAGTAGCTGGGATTACAGAAATATGCTACCATGCCCAGCTAGTTTTTTATATTCTTAGTAGAAACAGAGTTTCACTCTGTTAGCCAGGCTGGTCTCAAACTCCTTACCTCATGTGATCCACCAGCCTCGGCCTCCCAAAGTGCTGGGATTACAGGCGTGAGCCACCATGTCCAGCCCTTTCTTAAAAAAAATTTTTTTGGCCGGGCACGGTGGCTCACGCCTGTAATCCCAGCACTTTGGGAGGCCCAGGCAGGCGGATCACGAGGTCAGGAGATCGAGACCATCCTGGCTAACACAGTGAAACCCTGTCTCTACTAAAAATACAAAAAATTAGCTGGGCGAGGTGGGGGGCGCCTGTAGTCCCAGCTACTTGAGAGGCTGAGGCAGGAGAATGGCGTGAACCCCGGGGGGCGGAGCCTGCAGTGAGCCGAGATCGCGCCACTGCACTCCAGCCTGGGTGACAGAGCGACACTCCCTCTAGAGTGCAGCCTCTGCTTCTCAGGTTCAAGCTATCCTTCTGCCTCAGCCTCCCAAGTAGCTGGGACTACAGGTGTGAGCCACCATACCCGGCTAATTTTTGTATTTTTAGTAGAGACAGGGTTTCACCATATTGGCCAGGGTGGTCTGGAACTCCTGACCTCACATGATCTGCTCGCCTTGGCCTCCCAAAGTGCTGGGATTACAGGCGTGAGCCATCGCACCTGGCCTACCACTGACTTTTGATTACTCAAAGCATGAAGGGTATATATGATGGGTCTGCAGGCATCGTTCCTGAGGAATTGTCCAAGGAGACCCCAGACCTGGCTCAGTTTTTCTCTTCCCTCAGGAGGAGGCCACTGAGGGATCCCAAGAAGAGGACAACACCCCAGGCAGCCTGCCCTCAGTGAGTGATTACAGTTTGGGATGGGGACAAGTGGGACCTTCAGGGAGGGTTGTGGATGGTGATGGGGTCAGTAATGGCCCCAAGTGACTGGAGCTTTGGGGGCTGCAGAAACCACCCCCAGGCCCTGTCCCCTACCTTGGCACCTTCCTTACGGACCTGGTTATGCTGGACACAGCCCTGCCGGATATGTTGGAGGTCTGACCCCTGACCCTTGACCCCTGACCCCAGCTCCACTTGCCCCCAGCACAATGGGCCTCCCAATATCCACCCTTGATCCTACCTGTACTCCTGACACCACCCCACACTCCCTTACTACAGTGGGGCTCCTGACATCCCAGCCCCTGACCTTGACCCTTGACCCTTGACCCTGGGTGCTGCAATTCAGACACACTTTGCCCCCAGGGGGATCTCATTAACTTTGAGAAGAGGAGGAAGGTGAGTGGAGGCTACAGTGGGTGTGGTGGTGCCTGAGGGTGGGGGTGGGGCAGGGGTAGGGTCTTAGAGGCTCGTCCTCCAGGAGTGGGAGATCCTGGCCCGCATCCAGCAGCTGCAGAGGCGCTGTCAGAGCTACACCCTGAGCCCCCACCCGCCCATCCTGGCTGCCCTGCATGCCCAGAACCAGCTCACCGAGGAGCAGAGGTGACCACCCTGTAGCCTGTCCCAGCCCCACCCCAGCTGAGCCTGGGTCACCAACTGGATTCCACCCACTCCATACACACCTCCAGCTCCTCCCAAGACCCCCTCTTGAGCCCTGATCCCCCACTACAACCTGTGACCTTGCAGTATCTCCAGTCGAATCAAATAGACTGGGCCTGGTGGTTTACTCGTGTAATCCCAGCACTTGGGAGGCCAAGGTGGGTGGATCACTTGAGCCCAGGATTTCGAGACCAGCCTGGGCAACATGGCGAAACCCCATATCTACAAAAAAATACAAAAATTAGCTGAACGTGGCTGGGCACGGTGGCTCACACCTGTAATCCCAGCACTTTGGGAGGCCGAGGCGGGTGAATCACATGAGGTAAGGAGTTTGAGACCAGCCTGGCTAACAGAGTGAAACCCCGTCTCTACTAAAAATACAAAAAAAAAATTAGCCAGGTGTAGTGGCAGGCGCCTGTAGTCCCAGCTACTTGGGAGGCTGAGGCAGGAGAATGGCGTGAACCCGGGAGGCAGAGCTTGCAGGGAGCCGAGATGGTGCCACTGCACTCCAGCCTGGGCAACAGAGCGAGACTCCGTCTCAAAAAAAAAAAAAAAAAATTAGCTGAATGTGGTGTTGAGTGCCGTTGGTCCCAACTACTTGGGAGGCTGAGGTGGGAGGATTGCTGGAGCCTGGGAGGCAGAGGTTGGAGTGAGCCAAAATCACGCCACTGCAGTTCCAGTCTAGGTGACAGAGTGAGACCCTGTCTCAAAAAAAAAAAAAAAAAAATAGTCACAATTGACCTCTGACCTCAATTTCAACCCCATCTGATTTTCTGACCTCAACTTTAGCATTCAGCTGGCCATTCAACTCAACTGTCCCATCTGTTGACTTCCCCATCTTTGGTCCTATCTGACCCATGACCTTATTCATGACCCCTCATCTGACTCTCTGACCCCAACCCTTGACCCTCAGTTCTGAGTAACTGACTCCAACTTTTATGTTTGACTGTCCAGCTTGACTATGACAACTGTGTCCTTTCTTTCTATATAACTGTGACCCTAACCATTGACCCCAATGGTGACCTGACCCCAGTCTGACCCTGACTTTATTTTATTTATTTATTTATTTATTTATTTATTTATTTATTTATTTATTTTTGAGACAGAGTCTGGCTCTGTTTCCCAGGCTGGAGTGCAGTGGAGTGATCTCGGCTCACTGTAGCCCCCGCCTCCCAGGTTCAAGCAATTCTACTGCCTCAGCCTCCCCGGTAGCCGCAATTACAGGCGCGAGCTACCACACCTGGCTAATTTTTTTTGTATTTTTAGTAGAGACGGGGTTTCACTATATTGGCCAGGCTGGTTTCGAACTCTTGACCCGAAGCAATCCTCTCGCCTCAGCCTCCCAAAGTGCTAGGATTACAGGCGTGAGCCACTGCACCCAGTCCTGACCCTGACTTTAATCCTGACCCAATTTGATTCCTTAGTGCCACCCTGTGAATCTCTTTGTGACCTCCTGACCAGCCATCCTGTCCCATCTCTGATAAGACCTTGATGCTCAATGACCCTCATTTACCACCCTGACCCTGGCATGTGGGGTGCCACCTCTGGCTGCTCCCCCTTACACCCCAAACCCACCTCCCAACTGATTCCAACTCTTATCTCTCCATCCCCTGTATTTCCTGCCCCCACCACCTCATCCACATATTGACCCCTCAGCTACCGGCTCTCCCGGGTCATTGAGCCACCAGCTGCCTCCTGCCCCAGCTCCCCACGCATCCGACGGCGGATCAGCCTCACCAAGCGTCTCAGTGCGTGAGTCTCGGGGTGTGTGTAGGGGCGGTGATGTGGGCAGATATCAGCAAGGGCTGCTCCTGCCTTAGCCTCATCCCCTGTCCCCATCCTTAGGAAGCTTGCCCGAGAGAAAAGCTCATCACCTAGTGGGAGTCCCGGGGACCCCTCATCCCCCACCTCCAGGTGAGCATTCTGCTTGGTGATGGGACTGGGGATCATGGGATCAGGAGTCAGCACAGCCACCCCACCTCAGCCTCTGCATCTCCCCCAGTGTGTCCCCAGGGTCACCCCCCTCAAGTCCTAGAAGCAGAGATGCTCCTGCTGGCAGTCCCCCGGCCTCTCCAGGGCCCCAGGGCCCCAGCACCAAGGTACCAAGACGGCTTGTGTGTGCATGCGGGCCTGCGGGCACCCAGGCTCTGTGTGTGTGCACGTGTGTGTGCATGCACATGTGTACACACAGGATTGTGGGGCCAGGAGTGTATACAGGAGGCACACTGAGCGCCCGGGGTATCCATCCAGGGGATTGCATGCATCTGCACGGCCCTGTTTGGGTGATCACTCATAAATCCGACTCGTGCTCAGATTTGGACCTGTGTAACTGCTTGCCCATGGGTCATCTAGGGTGCAATCACATCACACCCCTTTTTATTTGAAACAGGGTCTTCTTGCTCTGTCACCCAGGCTGAAGTGCAGCGGTGCAATCTCAGCTCACCGCAACTTCCACCCCTCCCCCAGGCTCAAGCAATCCTTCCACCTCAGCCTCCCAAGTAGCTAGGACCACAGGTGTGCACCACCATGCCCTGCTATTTTTTTTATTTAGTAGAGATGAGGTTTCGCCATGTTGCCCAGGTGGGTTTCGAACTCCTGAGCTCAAACAATGCACTCACCTCGGCCTCCCAAAGTGCTGGGATTACAGGTGTGAGCCACCGCACCCAGCCTACACTTTTTTGAGGACATGTATGTCCCTAAGAATCTGCATACCATGGCAGACACGGTGGCTATTGCCTGTGATCCCGGCACTTTGGGAAGCCAAAGTGGGAGGATTGCTTGAGGCCGGGAGTTCAAGACCAGCCTGGGCAACATAGTGAGACCCTATTTCTATTAAAAGTCAAAAAAATTAGCTGGGTGTAGTCCCAGCTACTCAGCAGGCTGAGGTGGAAGGATCGCTTGAGTTTGAGGCTGCAGTGAGCTACGATCATGCCACGGCACTCTAGCCTGCATGATAGAGCGAGATCCTGTTTATGAAGAAAAAGAGACTGGGCACGGTGGCTCACGCCTGTAATCCCAGCACTCTGGGAGGCCGAGGTGGGCGGATCACGAGGTCAAGAGATCGAGACCATCCTGGCCAACGTGGTGAAACCCTGTCTCTACTGAAAATAGAAAAATTAGCTGGGTATGGTCGCGCACACCTGTAGTCCCAGCTACTTGGGAGGCTGAGGCAGGAGAATCACTTGAACCCAGGAGACGGAGGTTGCAGTGAGCTGAGATGGTGCCACTGCACTCCATCCAGCCTGGTGACAGAGCGAGGCTCCCTCTAAAAGAAAAACAAAAAAAGAAAAGGAAATGAAGGAAATGAAGGCTGGGCATGGTAGCTCATGCCTGTAATCCCAGCACTTTGGGAGGCCGAGGCCAGTGGATCACTTGAGGCCAGGAATTTGAGACCAGCCTAGCCAACATGGTGAAACCCCGTCTCTACTAAAAATAAAAACATTAGCTGGGCATAGTGGCACAGGCCTGTAATCCCAGCTACTTGGGAGGGTGAGGCATGAGAATTGCTTGAACCTGGGAGGCAGAGGTTGCAGTGAGCTGAGATGGCACCACTGCATTCCAGCCTGGGTGACAGAGCAAGACTCTGTCTCAAAAAAAAAAGAAAAGAAAAAGAAAAGAATCTGTGTACCAGAAGAGGAAATGTGGGCCTGAGTATTCATGAGATCATGTGTGGGGTTGTTCATTGGCATGGGCTGTGGGTGTATAACCGCTGTCAGCATATGTATGTACACAGGATTTCTTGTGTATGAGCATGGGTTGTGTGTATATGGACACTGTTCATGTCTGTTTCTATAACAGGTAACCAAAGTCTGTATATGGTAGGGTGGTGTATATGCAGGCTTGTGAATGTACTCCAGTTGCATGTCCCAGGCTCTGCATGTGTAGGGGGTAGTAGTATGTTTTCTTGAGATTTTATTTTATTTTATTATTTATTTATTTATTTTTGAGATGGAGTCTTGCTCTGTCACGCAGGCTGGAGTGCAGTAGCGTGATCTTGGCTCACTGCAACCTCTGCCTCTCAAGTTCAAGTGATTCTCCTGCCTCGGCCTCCCAAGTAGCTGGGATTACAGGCATGCGCCACCAGGCCCTGCTAATTTTTGTATTTTTAGTAGAGACGGAGTTTCACCACGTTGGCCAGGCTGGTCTTGAACTCCCGACCTCAAGTGATCCGCCCACCTCGGCCTCCCAAAATGCTGAGATTACAGGCATGAGCCACTGCGCCCAGCCAATGTTTTCTTGAGATTTTAAATGTGGGGCTATTGAATGCACCAGTGGTGGCTGGGGTGTTCGTGCTTTTCTAGCCCTCAGCATCTGCAGATGGGCCAAGCTGTAGCCTCCACCCCTTACTGCCTGCAGCTGCCCCTGAGCCTGGACCTGCCCAGCCCCCGGCCCTTCGCTTTGCCTCTGGGCAGCCCTCGAATCCCCCTCCCGGCGCAGCAGAGCTCGGAGGCCCGTGTCATCCGCGTCAGCATCGACAATGACCACGGGAACCTGTATCGAAGCATCTTGGTGAGGGGCTGGGCTGGGGGTCTGCTGGAGGCTGCCCTGCCCTTGGGGCCGGGGCCCTCACCTCACCTCCCGCCCCTCTCTTCCAGCTGACCAGTCAGGACAAAGCCCCCAGCGTGGTCCGGCGAGCCTTGCAGAAGCACAATGTGCCCCAGCCCTGGGCCTGTGACTATCAGCTCTTTCAAGTCCTTCCTGGGGACCGGGGTGAGCAGGGATGGGTTGGAGCTCAGGATAGGGGGCAGCGGGGAGGCGAGCAGACTGACCACGCCCAAGGATGGAGCCCAAGGTTACCCGGGTTCACAGGGCTGTGAGGTGCTTCAGGCAGAGAGTAGGGGTAAGATAATCAGTGGAGGTAAGAGGACATAAAATACCTGTAACCCAACGATGTAGGGTCATGAGATTGTCTTGGCTCAGTGTGAGAGAGAGGTACCAAAGGTCATCTTCCTAAAATTTAAAAGACAATAAGATTGTCCAGGGTCCGGCCAGGCGCAGTGGCTCATGTCTGTAATCCCAGCACTTTGGGAGGTCAAGCTGGGCGGATCACTTGAGGTCAGGAGTTTGAGACCAGGCTGACCAACGTGGTGAAACCCCGTCTCTACGAAACATACAAAAATTAGTCGGGTGTGGTGGCACACTCCTGTAGTCCCAGCTACTCAGGAGGCTGAGGCAGGAGAATAATTGCTTGAATCTGGGAGGCGGAGGTTGCAGTGAGCCGAGATCATACCACTGCACTTCAGCCTGGGCAGCAGAGCGAGACTCTGTTTAAAAAAAAAAAAAAAAAAAAAGACTGTCCACGGACAAGTGACAGAAGGGAGTGTTTCTGACCTTCAATTTGTAGGATGGGCTGGGCATGGTGGCTCACAACTGTAATCCCAGCACTTTGGGAGGTCAAGGTGGGTGGATTGTCTGAGCTCAGGAGTTTGAGACCAGCCTGGGCAACATGAGGAGACCCCATCTATACAAAAAATAGAGAAATTGGCTGGGTGCGGTGGCTCAACGCCTGTAATCCCGGCACTTTGGGAGGCCAAAGCGGGTGGATCACTTGAGGTCAGGAGTTCGAGACCAGCCTGGCCAACATGGTGAAGCCCCGTCTCTACTAAAAATACAAAAAAATTAGCTGGGCATGGTGGCACATGCCTGTAGTCTCAGCTACTCGGGAGGCTGAGGCAGAAGAATCGCTTGAACCCAGGAGGCGGAGGTTGCAGTGAGCCGAGATCGCACCACTGCACTCCAGCCTGGCGACTGAGCAAGACTCTGTCTCAAAAAAAAAAAAAAAAAAAAAAAAAAAATATATATATATATATATATATAGAGAGAGAGAGAGAGAGAGAGAGAGAGAGAGAGAGATTAGCTGAGCATGGTGGCATGTGCCTGTATTCCCAACTCCAACTACTGGGGAGGCTGAGGTGGGAGGATCACTTGAGCCTAGGAGGTGGAGGCTGCAGCGAGCTGAGATCACGCCACTGCACTCCAGCCTGGGTGACAGAGCAAGACCCTGTCTCAATTAAAAAAAAAAAAGGGGGCCGGGCATGGTGGCTCACGCCTGTAATCCCAGCACTTTGGGAGGCCGAGGCGGGTGGATCACGAAGTCAAGAGATCGAGACCATCCTGGCCAACATGGTGAAGCCTCGTCTCTACTAAAAATACAAAAAATTAGCCAGGCATGGTGGCAGGCGCCTATAGTCCCAGCTACTCAGGAGGCTGAGGCAGAAGAATCACTTGAACCCAGGAGGTGAAGGTTGCAGTGAGCCAAGATTGCGCCACTGCACTCCAGCCTGGCGACAGAGTGAGACTCCGTCTCAAAAAAAAAGAAAAAATAGATTGTCTAGGGTCGAGTGAGAGAAGGGAGTGTAGAAGTTTGTCTGATCTTAAGTTTGTAGCATCATGAGATTGTTCAGGCTCAACCTGATGGGATGGGAGACTAAAGGGCATCTGGGCTTAGATTTGTGAGAACTAAGTTTGTTCACCACTGGGACCCTGAAGTTATCTGAACTTGGGACGGGAGAGAGGCAAATGGATAGCCGCGGAAGCATGAGATTGTCCTGTCTGACAGGGAGAAGCAAGGGATTGAGCGTATTCACGCTGAAGTACATGGCATGAGGTTGGCTGGATATTAGGAAAGGATGCTTGTGGTTGTTCAGGTGTTGAGTGTGAGGCCACAAGCTCGTGCAGGCTGGAAGTGGGAAGTTATTCAAGTTCATGGTGACAGCAGCATGGGATTGGCTGGGAGTGGTTGTGGGGGAGGGGTAGGGTGAGCAGGAAGTTGTTTGGCGGGGGGTGGTCTAGGGTGGTCTAAGTTTGCCCAAACTTTTACTGCAGGTTGTCGGTTTTGTTTGTTTTTGTTTTTTTTTTTTTGAGATGGAGTCTCGTGCTGTTGCCCAGGCTGGAGTGCAATGGCAGGATCTCGGCTCACCGCAACATCCACCTCCTGGGTTCAAGAGATTCTCCTGCCTCAGCCTTCCGAGTAGCTGGGATTACAGGCATGTGCCACCATGCCTAGCTCATTTTTTTGGTATTTTTAGTAGAGACGGGGTTTCACCATGTTGGCCAGACTGGTCTCGAATTCCTGACCTCAAGTGATCCACCCACTTCGGCCTCCCAAAGCGCTGGGATTACAGGCACGAGGCATCGCGCCCGGCCAGTTTGCTCAAACTTTTACTGCAGGTTGCCTTGTCTCTATGGTGAGGGGGAGAATATTAGGAGGTTGCCCAGGCTTATGATAAGGGAAGGCATGAGGTGGTGCAAGTTTTCAAGTGAGAAGTCGTCCAGGTTCCCAGTGACAGCAGAATGAGCTTGGCTTGGCAGTAGCTGCAGAGGGACCCATGGCTGTTCAGGTTCGCGGGTGAGTGGCAGGAGGCTCCCGGGTCCTCTGTGGGGGTGACACAAGGTTGTGAGGGCCTATTACCACCATCTCCACTCCTGACCAGTGCTCCTGATTCCTGACAATGCCAACGTCTTCTATGCCATGAGTCCAGTCGCCCCCAGAGACTTCATGCTGCGGCGGAAAGAGGGGACCCGGAACACTCTGTCTGTCTCCCCAAGCTGAGGCAGCCCTGTCCTCTCCACAAGACACAAGTCCCACAGGCAAGCTTGCGACTCTTCTCCTGGAAAGCTGCCATCCCCCAGTAGAGGCCACTGTGCTGTGTATCCCAGGACCACCACCCAACTGTAGCCCATTGGACCCCATCTCTTTTTCTGACTCTGTTGGTACTAGATCCATATTCCAAAGACATCAGCCCATGGGTGGCTGGTGGAGAGCTCAATCCCATAAATGTAGAAAGAGGTGGGGCATGGATACGTCAAATCCCTCCCCAGAGAAATCTTATAAATGTTAGAGACGCATCAGAAGTGACAGATGCGGATGAAAATAGTGACCAGAGTTATGAAACAGGTGTCAGTCTTGTTTATTTTGCGCCTGTGTGCCATGTTCACCCTTTATCAAGATAAAGGAAAACAGCTACCACACACACACCCACACACACACACACAAACACACAGAGAGAGAGAAACCTAAGAGCCAAGACCAGCCCGGGCAACATAACGAGATCCTGTCTCTACAAAAAATACAAAAATTTGGCTGGGCGTGGTGACTCACGCCTGTAATCCCAGCGTTTTGGGAGGCCAAGGCAGGCAGATCGCCTGAGGTCAGGAGTTCGAGACCAGCCTGGCCGACATGGCAAAACCCCATCTTCTAAAAGTACAAAAAATTAGCCGGGCGTGGTGTCATGCACCTGTAATCCCAGCTACTGGGGAGGCTGAGGCAGGAGAATTGCTTGAACCCGGAAGGTGGAGGTTGCAGTGAGTGGAAATCACACCACTGTACTCCAGCCTGGGTGACAGAGCAAGACCCTATCTCAAAAACAAACAAACAAACAAATGAACAAACAAAAAATTTTCTGAGTGTGGTGATATGAGACTGTAATCCTACCTACTTGGGAGGCTGAGCTGGGAGAATCACCAGAGCCCTGGGAGGTTGAAGCTGCAGTGAGCAGTGACTGGGCCCCTGCACTCCAACCTGGAGGACAGAGGGAGATCCTGTCTCAAAAACAAAAAAACTAAGAGCCCTAAGAAAGGTGTTGAGTCGGGTATGACACTCAACCCAGATGCCAGAGAGGATCCTGTCTGGCCGGACACAGTGGCTCAGGAGGGTAATCCCAGTACTTTGGGAGGCTGAGGTAAGAGGATTGCTTAAGTTCAGGAGTCCGAGAGCAGCCTGGGCAATACAGTGAGATCACATCTCACTAAATAAATAAATAAAGGATCCTATCACACAAAGAGGGTTTAGGACTTCCTTCCCCAACATTTTTGGGGTGATATGCCTCTTTTCTACTGTATATATGGGAGAGTGACTAACTGAAATTCCATCAGAATTAGAAACAAATAGCATCATTACCCATGAGTCAATAAGGGCTGTGAGGATGGGCCCTTTCACTTGCCCTCACCTTCTTCCTCTTCCTGTCACAGATAACCCATCTGTGCAAAGAAGAGAAAAAGAGGTTGGGTGTGGTGGCTCACATCTGTAATCCCAGCACTTTGGGAGGCTAAGGTGGAAGGATTTTGAGCCCAGGAGTTTGAGACCAGCCTGGGCAACATAGTGAGACCCCATTTCTACAAAAAAATACAAAGATTGGCCAGGCGCGGTGGCTCACGCCTGTAATCCCAGCACTTGGGAGGCTGAGGCAGGCGGATCATGAGGTCAGGAGATCGAGACCATCCTGGCTAGGTGAAACCCCGTCTCTACTAAAAATGCAAAAAAATTAGCCGGGCGTGGTGGCGGGCGCCTGTAGTCCCAGCTACTCGGGAGGCTGAGGCAGGAGAATGGCGTGAACCCAGGAGGCGGAGCTTGCAGCGAGCCGAGATCGCACCACTGCACTCCAGTCTGGGCGACAGAGGGAGACTCCATCTCAAAAAATAAAATAAAATTTAGCCAGGTTTGGTGTCCTGCACCTGTAGTCTCAGCTACTCTGGAGGCTGAAGCACGAGGATCACTTGAGCCCAAGAGGTGGAGGTTGCAGTGAGCCGAGATTACTGCACTCCAGCCTGGGTGACAGAGCGAGATCCTGTTTCAAAAAGCAAAAAAAAGGGCCAGGCGCAGTGCTCACACCTGTAATCCCATCATTTTGGGAGGCTGAGGTGGGCGGATCACTTGAGGTCAGGAGTTCAAGGTCAGCCTGGCCAACATGGTAAAACCCTGTCCCTACTAAAAAATATAAAAATTAGCTGGGCATGGTGGTGGGTGCCTGTAATCCCAGTTACTCAGGAGGCTGAGGCAGGAGAATTGCTTGAATCCAGAAGGTGGAGGTTGCAGTGAACCGAGATCATGCCATTGCACTCCAGCCTGCGTGACAAAGTGAGACTGTATCTCAAAAAAAAAAAAAAAAATGCTGGGCACAGTGGCTCTAGCACTTTGGGGGGGCAAGACGGGTGGATTGCTTGAGGCCAGGATTCCAAAACCAGCCTGGCCAACATGGTGAAACCCCTTCTCTACTAAATATACAAAAAATTAGCCGGGCATGGTGGCAGGCTCTTGTAATCCCAGCTACTCGGTAGGCTGAGGCAGGATAATCACCTGAACCAGGCAGGCAGAGGTTGCAGTGAGTCGAGATCGCTCCACTGCACTCCGGCCTGGGCAACAAGAGCAAAATTCTGTCTGGAAAAAAAAAAAAAAGAAAAAGAAAAGGATTGTGAGGATGAAAAGAGAGGCGTGAGCTCTCTGTCAGCGTTGGAGTACAATAGAGAGGATGAAATGAGCTGTAGGGCGAACTGCTACATAGTCACAACCACAATAATATGCCCACTTATGAGCTCCTACTCAGCAGAGAACATCAGCTATGGTCTTTACATCTCATTGCACTAATCGAGTTCTTTCTGTTGCAAGCGACCAAAAACCCAATTCAAAGAGGCATGTGCAAAAAAGGACATTTGTGGCTTATGCAGTTGAAATGTCCAATGAGTAGGGCTTCAGGCACAGTTGCATCCAGGCACTCATAAGATGTCATCAGGGTTTTCTTGCTGTCTCTTTGCTCTGATTTGCTCTGAGAATGAGATAGTCCATTGTCCCCTCAAATTTAATCACCTTCTTCTATGGTAATGGAACCACTGATTTTTAGCTGGCCTCCCAAAGTAAAAGCCATATTTCCCACCTCCTCTGCAGCAAGGTGTGGTCATATCTGGCCACTGGCTAAGTCTTGGCCAATAAGATATAAAGGGAAAGGATGTGAACAAATTTCAGAACCTGCCCTTAAAGGGAAGCGGTGTGTCCTTCTTTTCCCCCTTTCCTCCCTCCTGCTGGTGGGAATGAAGACGTGGAGTGGATCATTTTGGATTAGGTGGTTCACACTGTCTGAATAGCTGAGCAACAAGCTAGAAGGAGCCTGGGCCTATGAGACCAGGGAGCTACCATATTGGACTGTTGATACTTGGAGTGTTACATAAAAGAGAAATAAATTTTTATCTTACTTAAGCCACTATTATTTGAGTTGCTGTTACAGTAGCCCAAATAATATTTTATTTAATATAGCTGTACTCATAGCTGGGTGTGGTGGCATGCACCTGTAATCCCAGCTACTTGGGAGGCTGAGGCGAGAGAATTGCTTGAACCTGGAAGGCGGAGGTTGCAGTGAGCCGAGATCGCTCCACTGCACTCCAGCCTGGGAGACAGAGCAAGACTCCGTCTCTACAAAAAAAAAAAAAAAAAAAAAAATACACACACATATATATATATATAGCTCTACTCCAAGGCAGGCTCATACCTTGTGGAGGCATAGGCTTATATCCCAACAGCTCCCCCATCCCATGCAAGCAGAGCCCCTCCTTCCCATCAGCTCCAGCAAAAAGTCCCAGAGCAGGCGCCCATTGGGCCAATTTGTGTCATGTGTCCACCTCTAAACCAATCACTGTGTTCAGGGGAATGAGATGTGCTGATTAGCCAGGCCTGGGTCCTGCGCCCACCCTTTGAGCTGGCACAGAAACTTTGAATCACAGGGGTGGAGCCTGGGAGAGTCCATAAGTGGACATTAAATGTGGGGGCTGTTATGAGGAGAAGGGGGAGTTCTGGTGAATGGGCAAAAAATAATCACTAGGTTTTCAAACATTATCCCTGGAGCAATAATGAGGAATGCCCAGGAATTATGTGGGTTGGGAGTAGAGATACAGAAATTTAAGTATCATATAAGGTCTGATGAAAGACCAATTACTAGCACACAACATGCTTTTTTTTTTTTTTTTTTTTGAGACAGAGTCTTGCTTTGTCGCCCAGGCTGGAGTGCAATGGCGAGAACTTGGCTTACTGCAACTTCCGCCTCCCCAGTTCAAGCGATTCTCCTGTCTCAGCCTCTTGAGTAGGTAGGATAACAGGCGTGTGTCACCACGCCTGGCTAATTTTTGTATTTTTAGTAGAGACGGGGTTTCACCATTTTGGTCAGGCTGGTCTCGAACTCCTGGCCTGATGATCCACCTGCCTTGGCCTCCCAAAATGCTGGGATTACAGGTGTGAGCCACTGTGCCTTGCCGCTCCTTTACAGGCTTTTTTTAAATTTTGGTCTTCTGTGAGTATTAAGACCTTAAGACCAGCCAGGCACAGTGGCTTATGCCTGTAATCCAGCACTTTGGGAGGCCGAGTCAGGTGGATCATGAGGTCAGGAGTTCGAGACCAGCCTGACCAACATGGTGAAACCCCATCCCTACTAAAAATACAAAAATTAGCCAGGCGTGGTGGTGCACGCCTGTAATCCCAGCTACTCAGGAGACTGAGGCAGGACAGAATCGCTTGAACCCGGGAGTCGGAGGTTGCAGTGAGCCGAGATTGCACCACTGTACGCCAGCCTGGGTGACAAAGAAAGACTTTGTCTCAAAAAAAAAAAAAAAAAGAAAAGAAAAGAAAAAGAAAAGAAAGACCTTAAGACAATTTGGATATTTTTTGCCCAAATGGGTATTTTTTTCCTCTGTCTCCCAAATCCCAAAGTGTTGGGATTACAGGCATGAGCCACCGCATCCAGCCTCTTAAGATCATTTGGATGTTAGTTCAGCATCCTTCTTGAACTAGTTTAAGCAAATTGCTATACTTACTGAATGCTTATTGTATGTCAAGATACTGTTTTAAGAACTTGACACAGGGGCCAGGCGCGGTGGCTCACGCCTGTAATCCCAACACTTTGGGAGGCCGAGGCGGGCGGATCACCTGAGGTCAGGAGTTCGAGACCAGCCTCAACATGGAGAAACCCGTCTCTACTAAAAATACAAAATTAGCGGAGTGTGGTGGTACATGCCTGTAATCCCAGCTATTCGGGAGGCTGAGGCAGGAGAATCACTTGAACCTGGGAGGCGGAGGTTGCAGTGAGCCGAGATTGTGCCATTGCACTCCAGCCTGGGTGACAAGAGCGAAACTCCATCTCAAAAAAAAAGAAAAAGAAAAAGAACTTGACACAATCTAATTTAATCCTTACCATAGCTCTATGGAGTAGACATTATTTTCACTTTATACATTTTATTTATTTATTTACTTATTTATTTATTTTTAGAGACAGTGTCTTGCTCTGTAACCAGACTGGAGTGCAGTGGTGCGATCATAGCTCGTGGCAGCCTCGAACTCCTAGACTCAGGTGATCCTACTCAACCTCCTGAGTAGCTGGGACTACCGGCACATACCACCACACCAGGCTAATTTTTCTTCTTTTTTGTAGAGTCAGGGTCTTGTTATGTTGCCCAGGCTGGTCTCAGACTACTATCTTCAATTGATTCCCCTGCCTCGGCCTTCCAAAGTGCTGGAATTACAGGCAAGAGCCACCATGTCTGGGCCGGAAGAGACACTTATCGTCCACTATTTTTTTTTTTTTTGAGATGGGGTCTCACTCTGTCACCCAGGCTGGAGTGCCGTGGTGTGAACATGGTTCACTGTAGCCTCCACCTCCTGGGCTCAATTAATCGTCCCACTTCAGCCCCCTGAGTAGCTGAGACCACAGACGCATGCCACCTCGCCTGGCTAACTTAAAAACAAAGTTGGCCGGGTGCGATGGCTCACGCCTGTAATCCTGGCACTTTGGGAGGCTGAGGCGGGTGGATCACCTGAGGTCAGAAGTTCAAGACCAGCCTGGCCAACATGGTGAAACCCTATCTCTACTAAAATACAAAAATTAGCCATGGCGGGTGCCTATAATCCCAGCTACTCAGGATGCTGAGATGGGAGAATCACTTGAACCTGGGAGACGGTGGTTCCAGTGAGCTGAGGTCATACCACTGCACTCTAGCCTGGGCAGCTGAGCGAGACTCCGTCTCAAAAAAAAAAAAAAAAAAAGTTGGCTGGGCGTGGTGGCTCACACCTGTAATCCCAACACTCCAACACTTTGGGAGGCCAAGGCAGGCGCATCACCTGAGGTCAGGAGTTCGAGACCAGCCTGGCCAACATATAGCGAAACCCCGTCTCTACTAAAAAAAATACAAAAATTAGCTGGGCATGGTGGCACACATCTGTAGTCCCAGCTACTCGGGAAGCTGAGGCAGAAGAATCGCTTGAACCCGGGAAACAGAGGTTGCAGTGAGCCGAGATGGCGCCATTGCACTCCAGCTTAGGCGACAGAAAAAGACTCCGTCTCTCAAACAAACAAACAATGTTTTGTAGAGACGGGATCTCACTCTGTCACCCAGGCTGGAATGCAGCGGCATGAACATGGTTCACTGCAGCCTCCACCTTCTGGGCTTAAGTGATCCTCCCACCTCAGCCTCCCGAGTAGCTAGGACCACAGACGGGTGCCACCTCATCTGGCTTACTTAAAAAAACAAAAAACAAAAAACAACAACAAAAAAAAAACGTGTTTTATAGAGACAAGGTCTCACCATGTCAGCCAGGCTTCAGGCAAGGGAGGGTTAAGTAACTTACTCAAGGTCCCATGGTAAGTGGGTGCTGTTCAAATATTGATCCAACTCCAGAAAACATGCATTTAACTCTGGGGCCCGTTTGCCATTCATAACAATTTATTGTGACCAAATTTTGAAACAGGTGTCCATCTTGTTTGTTCCACCTCCCTCTCACATACATGCACAGTCTAAATATCAATTTCCTGAGGAAGAGATTTGCGTTGACTTCCGTTTTTTAAAAGCGCAGGGTTACGCAGGCACAGTTGTACCCAGTGGCTAACACGAGATCAGCTGTTTCTCTACCTCTCTCAGCTTGATTTTCTCTACATCTCTAATCTTTTACTCCACAAAATATTTCTTGAGCTTCTACTGTGCTCCAGGCCCTGTTCTATATGCTAGGGATACAGCAAAGAACAAAAGGGTAAAAAAAAATCCCTGCCTGAGGCTGGGCGCGGTGGCTCATGCCTGTAATCCCAGCACTTTGGGAGGCCAAGGCGGGCGGGTCACAAAGTCAGGAGTTCGAGACCAGCCTGGCCAACATGGCGAAACCCCGTCTCTACTAAAAATACAAAAAAATAGCCGGGCATGGTGGCGGGTGCCTGTAATCCCAGCTACCCGGGAGGCAGAGGCAGGAGAATCACTTGAACCCAGGAGGCGGAGGTTGCAGTAAACCAAGATCATGCCATTGTACTGCAGCCTGGGCAACAAGAGCAAGACTCCACAAATCAATCAATCAATCAATCAATCAATCCCTGGCCGGGCTCAGTGACTCATGCCAGTAATCCCAGCACTTTGGGAGGCTGAGGCGGGGGGATCACTTGAGGTCAGGAGCTCAAGACAAGCCTGGCCAACACAGCAAAACCCCGTTTCAACTAAAACTACAAAAATTAGCTGGGTGTGGTGGCACACACCTGTAGTCCCAACTACCCTGGAGTCTGAGGAAGGAGAATCGCTTGAATCCAGGAGGCGAAGGCTGCAGTGAGCCAAGATTGTGCCATTGCACTCCAACATGGGCAACAGAGCAAGACACCATCTAAAAAAAAAAAAAAAAACCTGCTTTCATGGAATAGTAAGGGCAGCGAATCAATAACAAAACATCAAATACATGTCAGGTGACAATAAGCACATTGGCTACAAACAAAAACAAAAAACCCACCTGCTTAATAGAAACAGGGTAGGAGTATTGCCATTTTATTTTATTTATATTTATTTATATTTATTTATTTATTTTATTTATTTATTTTTTTGAGACGGAGTCTCGCTCTGTTGCCCAGGCTGGAGTGCAGTGGCACAATCTTGGCTCACTGCAAGCTCCACCCACTGGGTTCACACCATTCTCCTGCCTCAGCCTCCCGAGTAGCTGGGACTACAGGCACCCGCCACCACGCCCGGCTAATTTTTTCTATTTTTAGTAAAGACAGGGTTTCACTGTGTTAGCCAGGATGGTCTCGATCTCCTGACCTTGTGATCCACCCACCTCGGCCTCCCAAAGTGCTGGGATTACAGGCATGAGCCACTGTGCATGGACTATTTATTTATTTTTTTGAAACAGAGTTTCAATCTTGTTGCACAGCCTGGAGTGCAATGGTGTGATCTCAGCTCACTGCAACCTCTGCCTTCTGGTTTCAAGCAATTCTCCTGCCTCAGCCTCCTGAGTAGCTGGGATTACAGGCACCCACCACCACGCTCGAATATATATATATATTTTTTGAGACGGAGTCCCGCTCTGTCACCAGGCTGGAGTGCAGTGGCACAATATCGGCTCACTGAAACCTCCGGCTCCTGGGTTCAAGCGATTCTCCTGCAGCCTCCCAAGTAGCTGGGATTACAGGCATGCAGCACCACGCCCATCTAATTTTTGTATTTTTGGTAGAGATGGGGTTTTACCATGTTGGCCAGGATGGTCTTGATCTCTTGACCTCGTGATCTGCCCACCTCGGCCTCCCAAAGTGCTGGGATTACAGGCGTGAGCCACCGCGCCCGGCCTACGCCTGGCTAATTTTTGTATTTTTAGTAGAGACGTGGTTTCGCCATGTTGCCCAGGCTGGTCTCGAACTCCTGACCTCATGATCCGCCTGTCTCGGCCTCCCAAAGTGTTGGGATTACAGGTATGAGCCACCGCGCCCAGCCAATTATTATTATTTTTTGAGATGCAGTCTCACTCTGTTGCCCAGGCTGGAGTTGCAGTGGCATGATCTTGGCTCACTGCAATCTTCATCTCCCAGACTGAAGCAGTTCTCATGCCTCAGCCTCCTGAGTAGCTGGGATTACAGGCACACGCCACCACACCTGGCTAATTTTTGTATTTTTAGTAGAGATGGGATTTCACCATGTTGGCCAGGCTGGTCTCAAACTCCTGACCTCAAGTGATTTGCCCACGTCGGCCTCCCAAAGTGCTGGGATTATAGGCGTGAGCCACCGGGCCCAGCCCAAGAGAATAAAAATGTGGGTGGTAAAAATTTTTTTCCCAAAAATTCGTAAATGAAAATCTCACATATTATGCATACTGCCCAGGAGCATGGCCTAGCACTGTGCAAACACTCAACTGCTGGTCGTTGCAAGGATTATTATTGGCCGGCTTCAGTGGCTCGTGCTGGTATTCCCAGCACATTGGGAGATGGAGGCTGGAGGATTGCTTAAGTCCGGGATTTCAAGACCAGCCTGGACAACATAGTGGGATCCCATCTCTACAAAGAATTTTAAAAATTAGCCAGGTGCAGTGGGAAGATTGCTTCAGTCCAGAGGCTGCAGTGAGCTATGATTGTGCCACTGCACTCCAGCCTGGGTGACAGAGCAACACCCTGAGACAGAGAGAGAGAGGGGGAAGGAGGGAAGGAGGGAAGGAAGGAAGGAAGGAAGGAAGGAAGGAAGGAAGGAAGGAAGGAAGGAAAGGAGAGAGAGAGAGAGAGAGAGAGAGAGAGAGAGAGAAAATAATTTTTATTTATTTCCAGGCTGGGAAGAGATGCTGATTTCTGCGATAAAATCAGTAGGTACATTTTTTGGAATGTTCGCTATGTGCCAGGCTAGATTTTACAGATGAGAAGTCTGAAGCTCAGGTAAGGTAAGTCACCTGTCCAGGGCCACAAAGAAAAAAAAAACGTGTGTCTGAAGCCAGAACGGGAGCTGTTGCGGCCCAACTCCCTCCCCTGCCCCCAAGCGGCCTCTGGGCTCGGGAAGGGCCCCTGCCTCCTCCCGCCAGGCACTTATCTCTACCCAGGCTGAGTGCTGGCCCCGCCCCCTCGGGGATCTGCCACTTAGAGGCGCCTGGTCGGGAAGGGCCTGGTCAGCTGCGTCCGGCGGAGGCAGCTGCTGACCCAGCTGTGGACTGTGCCGGGGGCGGGGGACGGAGGGGCAGGAGCCCTGGGCTCCCCGTGGCGGGGGCTGTATCATGGACCACCTCGGGGCGTCCCTCTGGCCCCAGGTCGGCTCCCTTTGTCTCCTGCTCGCTGGGGCCGCCTGGGCGCCCCCGCCTAACCTCCCGGACCCCAAGTTCGAGAGCAAAGGTAAGGATGAGCTGCGTGTGGACCCCTACGCTGGAGCCTGCAGGACCATGCTGGGGCCTGAACTCCCAGCCTAGGTCCTGGGGGCCATGCCTGTTTCTGGACTTCCTGACCGGGTCCTGGGGGCCAAGCTGGCATCTGAACCCTTAGACTGGGTCCTGGATGGGTGGGGGGCGGGGTGGGGTATGTTAGGATCCAAGACTCCTGATCGCGTCCCGGGCAAGAGCTAGAGTGGGCTTAACATTCCCGTTTTACCTTTTCAGGGAGTCTGGGACATGCTAAATCCTAAGGGGGCTGACTTGGTGCTAAGGTCCCTGGGGGGTGGGGACCAAGCCGACCCTCCCTAGGGGAGGGAGGGTAAAGCCCGGGTCCGAGTTAGAGGGGCCAAGCCACAGGCTACTGTAAACACGGTTTGTGTGAGGGCGCCAGATCACTTGCCCGGCCCGGTGGAGGGAGGGAGGCGGGGGGCACGGTTGGCGCTATCGGTTGGCGGGGAGCCTGCCGGGGCCGATAGGGGGCCCGCCTCTCCGCACACACCCCCAGCCGCGCGCGTGTCCTAGGCTGGGGCGGGGCTGGCAGTCCCGAGCTCGAGGTCTTGAACGCCGCGCCCAGCTCAGCTGGCCGCTGGGTGGGCAGGTGTGCGCCAGTGGTGACGGCGGGGGACAGTAAGGCGAGAAACTTGCCCCTGGGAATTAGGGGGGCACCACCTCTGCGGACCCCTCCAAGGGACCCGCTTGGGAAGATGGCAGGGCGGGGCTTTTTTCTTATCGGGTCCGCCCAGGCTGCGGGAGGGAAGAGGAGGGGGCTGTCTCCCGAGGATAGAGCTCAGACCCCCATGCCCTTCCTTTGTCGCCCCTCCCCAGCGGCCTTGCTGGCGGCCCGGGGGCCCGAAGAGCTTCTGTGCTTCACCGAGCGGTTGGAGGACTTGGTGTGTTTCTGGGAGGAAGCGGCGAGCGCTGGGGTGGGCCCGGGCAACTACAGCTTCTCCTACCAGCTCGAGTGAGTCCGATCCGGCGGGTGCCTCCAAGGGCGGAGGGAGGGGGTGGGGCAGAGCTCCCTGGAGGTCGTAGCCTCGTATGTCCCCTGCTGTTTGAGGCCCGACGGCGCCTCCAGTCGTGGTCACTGGAGGGAAACCTGCGGGTCCAGGGCTGGCACGCCCTCTATGGGCCGGGGCGCGAACACTCCCGCGATCACCGCTGGAACGCGACCCCAAACATCAGGCTGGGATAACAACGCCTCCAAATCGAGGGTAAGGCGTTACTACGTCGGGGCTGGGACGCCTTCTCGAGGTAGTATCCAAAAGGAGGCCAGCAGTGGCTCATGCCTGTAATCCCAACTCTTTGGAAGGTCGAGGCGGAAGAACCGCTTGAGCCCAGGAGTTCAAGACCAGCCTGGGCAACACAGCGAGATCCCCGTCTCTTAAAAAAAAATTAGACTGGGCGCGGTGGCTCACGCCTGTAATCCCAGCACTTTGGGAGGCTGAGGCGGGCGGATCACCTGAGGTCGGGAGTTTGAGACCAGCCTGGCCAACATGGAGAAACTCTATCTCTACTAAAAATACAAAATTAGCCGGGCGTGGTGGCGCATGCCTGTGATCCCAGCTACTCGGGAGGCTGAGGCAGGAGAATCGCTTGAACCCGGGAGGCGGAGGTTGCGGTGAGCCGAGGTAGCGCCATTGCACTCCAGCCTGGGCAACAAGAGCGAAACTCCGTCTCAAAAAAAAAAAAAAAAAAAGCCAGGCGTGGCGCGTGCCTGTGGTCTCAACTACTTGGGAAGCTGAGGTGGGAGGATCCCTTAAGCCCCAGAATTTGAGGCTGCAGTGAGCCATGATCGCGCCACTGCACTCCAGCCTGGGCGACGAAGGAACACCTTGTCACACACACACACAAGGCTAGACCTTGTGTCACACATACACACTGCCCCCCACAGGCCGGGCAATGCCAACTCCCCGGTCCCCCCTCCCAACCTGCTCCCTTCCCTGGGCGCATAGGGATGAGCCATGGAAGCTGTGTCGCCTGCACCAGGCTCCCACGGCTCGTGGTGCGGTGCGCTTCTGGTGTTCGCTGCCTACAGCCGACACGTCGAGCTTCGTGCCCCTAGAGTTGCGCGTCACAGCAGCCTCCGGCGCTCCGCGATATCACCGTGTCATCCACATCAATGAAGTAGGTAAGTGCTCTGGGAATGGAGGAGTGGTCGGAGGAGAGGGTCTCAGTCCTCGCCCACCTGACCAACCCCCATGCCTGCAGTGCTCCTAGACGCCCCCGTGGGGCTGGTGGCGCGGTTGGCTGACGAGAGCGGCCACGTAGTGTTGCGCTGGCTCCCGCCGCCTGAGACACCCATGACGTCTCACATCCGCTACGAGGTGGACGTCTCGGCCGGCAACGGCGCAGGGAGCGTACAGAGGGTGAGGCCAGCCCCTACGGCCCAGCCCCCAAAGCTCCACTGACTACGGCCCAGCCACGCCTCTCGAGGTCGCGCCCGGTGCCGCTTTCAGGGCCGGTCCGTAACATCCCACATCCCATTACCCTGGTGCTGAAGACCGTTCCACGCCCACAGACACACCCCCTTTCCTAATGTCCTCGCAAGCCTGTTGAACCCCAACTTCTTCTCCCTCCGGCCCGTAACCCTAGACCCCTTTAGCGCCCGGGTCCCTCTACGAGTGCTAGCCCAGATATTAAATTGCCCGGGTCCCGCCCTTTCGTACCAGAGACTCTCTCTCTGATTGGCCCTGAGCTTTCTTGGGCTCCTCCCCCTACTCTTATTGGTCCCATTGCAATTCTAGGGCACCGTTTTCCTTTCCCCTGATTGGCTCAGTTCCACCAGGGCCCGCCCCCACGTCATCTATTTTTGTCTGCTACGCGTCCCTCGCCCTGATTCCGCCCCCAGGTGGAGATCCTGGAGGGCCGCACCGAGTGTGTGCTGAGCAACCTGCGGGGCCGGACGCGCTACACCTTCGCCGTCCGCGCGCGTATGGCTGAGCCGAGCTTCGGCGGCTTCTGGAGCGCCTGGTCGGAGCCTGTGTCGCTGCTGACGCCTAGCGGTGAGGCCCCAGGCGGGGGTGTAGGAGGAGCCAGGGCGAATCACGGGGCAAGCCCACCGCCCTGACCTCCTCCCCGCCTCTTAGACCTGGACCCCCTCATCCTGACGCTCTCCCTCATCCTCGTGGTCATCCTGGTGCTGCTGACCGTGCTCGCGCTGCTCTCCCACCGCCGGTGAGCTCCCCATTTGGGCGCTGGGCCCAGACTCCTCCCCGCCAACGGTCCTCTTTCACTATGGAAACCTAGGCTCAGAGAGAGACACGCACTTGCCCAAGGTCACGCAGTAAGGATTCACATCAGTGGCAGGGCTGGGATGCATGCCAGACTAGACCCAGACTCTTCGTTAACATTTTCTGCTCTTGGGGACTTTCACCTGATTTTCCTTCTACATCAGGGGCTGCCATTTCTTGGGTCCCTTTGTTAGTTCCTTTCCCCAGTGTCATCACCTTTGTAAAATCAACTAGATGGATTTAGTGAAAGAATTTAAGACCCTGAATGCCTCCGCACCCCTGCGGTCAAGCTTCTCAGACACTATGATCAGACTAGCCGTTCTGAGGTATTTGTAATTCCAAGCACACACTAGGTGGTTTCACACCCCCAAGCTTTTGCCCATGCTGTTCCCTCTGCCTGGAATGCCCTTCCTGCCTTGTCTGCTAAGCAATCTTCTAGTCGTCTTTCATGGCCCTGTTCATTTACTTGGTTGGAAAATACAAACAGAGTGCCAAACATGTGCCAGGCACTGGAGAGAGAATGGAGAACAAGCTAGACCCTGACCACAAGTCCCTGACCTTGTGGATCTCAAGTCAACAAACAAGGGACCCAAGAAATATTTGATGACAAATTGTAATGAGTGATATCACAGAAACAAACAGAATGTGGTGACATGACAGGATGGTCAGGGAAGGCCTCCAGGAGGAGGTGACATCAGAGTGGAAACCTGAAGATTGGAAGGAAGCAGCCGCTTGAAAAGTGGGGAGAAGAAACAGCAAGTGCAAAGGCCCTGAGGTGGGAATGAGATTGGAACGTTCAGCCAGCTTCAAGAATTGCCACATGGCATGGCCTGGCATGGTGGCTCACGCCTGTAATCCCAGCACTTTGGGATGCCGAGGCAGGCAGATCACCTGAGGTTGGGAGTTCGCGACCAGCCTGACCAACATGGAGAAACCCCACCTCTACTAAAAATACAAAACTAGCCAAGCGTGGTGGCACATGCCTGTAATCCCCGCTACTCGGGAGGCTGAGGCAGGAGAATCACTTGAACCTGGGAGGTGGAGGTTGCGGGTGAGCCGAGATCGTGCCATCGCATTCCAGCCTGGGCAATAAGAGTGAAACTCCGTCTCAAAAAAAAAAAAAAAATTGCCACATGGCTAGAGTGGTATGTAAGGGGGTGTGGCAGATATTGAGATGAGGGAGGTGACAGGGGTCATATAACGCAGGGCCTTCTGCAGGGTGGTGGGGAGGAGTTTGGAATTTTTTTTTTTTTTGAGACAGAGTCACTCTTGTCGCCCAAGCTGTAGTGCAGTGCAGCAGTCTTGGCTCACTGCAATCTCTGCCTCCCAGGTTCAAGTGATTCTCCTGCCTCAACCGCCTGAGTAGCTGAGATTACAGGCGTGCATGCCCGGCTAATTTTGTAGTTTTAGTAGAGACGGGGTTCCACCATGTTGGCCAGGCTGGTCTCAAACTCCTGACCTCAGGTGATCTGCTCACATCAGCCTCTCAAAGTGCTGGGATTATAGGCATGAGCCACCGTGCCTGGCTTGGATTTTATCCTAAATGCCTTCTCTCATTACCCCAGAAGGTAACATAATATTTATCTATGAAGTGACATCATGGACCTCCTGGAAAAATCTGGGCCAGGGTTTTGGGTTTTTTAATTTATTTTATTTTATTTTTTTTAGAGATGGGGGTCTCACTATGTTTCCTAGGCTGGTCTTGAACTCCTGGGTTCAAATGATCCTCCCACCTCAGCCTCCCAAAGTACTGGGATTATAGTGCTGGTGTAAACCACTGCACCTGGCCATGGCCAGGATTAAAGGGAGAATGACCAAGGTATATTGAACTCCTATGCACCCTTCAATACCCTGTTCCATTTACCCTTTTGTAGGGCCTTGCTGATGCTTCAGCCAAAACCCCTGTCCCCTGGCCCTGATGTACTCCTCTGCCTCCATTGTGATCACAGGGACCAAGTGTATCTGTGCCTCTATGACTGGGAGTGGAGGGGGAATTGGTGAGTATTCAATGAGTCATATCTATGTAACTATTTATATTGGCTTCAACAGGGCTCTGAAGCAGAAGATCTGGCCTGGCATCCCGAGCCCAGAGAGCGAGTTTGAAGGCCTCTTCACCACCCACAAGGGTAACTTCCAGGTAGGTGGCCTGGTTGTCCCCTCAGTGCCTGGGCTTCCCTGCTTCTTGCAGCCAAACTGCAGGCCTCTCTGAGCAGGTTGGTGCTATTTCTTCAGCTGTGGCTGTACCAGAATGATGGCTGCCTGTGGTGGAGCCCCTGCACCCCCTTCACGGAGGACCCACCTGCTTCCCTGGAAGTCCTCTCAGAGCGCTGCTGGGGGACGATGCAGGCAGTGGAGCCGGGGACAGATGATGAGGGCCCCCTGCTGGAGCCAGTGGGCAGTGAGCATGCCCAGGATACCTATCTGGTGCTGGACAAATGGTTGCTGCCCCGGAACCCGCCCAGTGAGGACCTCCCAGGGCCTGGTGGCAGTGTGGACATAGTGGCCATGGATGAAGGCTCAGAAGCATCCTCCTGCTCATCTGCTTTGGCCTCGAAGCCCAGCCCAGAGGGAGCCTCTGCTGCCAGCTTTGAGTACACTATCCTGGACCCCAGCTCCCAGCTCTTGCGTCCATGGACACTGTGCCCTGAGCTGCCCCCTACCCCACCCCACCTAAAGTACCTGTACCTTGTGGTATCTGACTCTGGCATCTCAACTGACTACAGCTCAGGGGACTCCCAGGGAGCCCAAGGGGGCTTATCCGATGGCCCCTACTCCAACCCTTATGAGAACAGCCTTATCCCAGCCGCTGAGCCTCTGCCCCCCAGCTATGTGGCTTGCTCTTAGGACACCAGGCTGCAGATGATCAGGGATCCAATATGACTCAGAGAACCAGTGCAGACTCAAGACTTATGGAACAGGGATGGCGAGGCCTCTCTCAGGAGCAGGGGCATTGCTGATTTTGTCTGCCCAATCCATCCTGCTCAGGAAACCACAACCTTGCAGTATTTTTAAATATGTATAGTTTTTTTTTGTATCTATATATATATATACACATATGTATGTAAGTTTTTCTACCATGATTTCTACAAACACCCTTTAAGTCCCATCTTCCCCTGGGCATAGGCCATAGGGATAGAAGTTAAAGTTCTTGAGCTTATTCAGAAGCTGGATCTGCAATCTGAATGCTACTCATAACATAACAAAATAGTATGTTAAACAGCTCTTAAATCTTACTGGCTTACCACATTAAATGATTTCTCTCTCCTAACTCAGCTCAAATGGGCAGCCATCCATGGGATGAGTCAGAGGTTCAGACTCTTCCAGTCTGTAGCTCTACCTTCTCTTAGGGTACTTAGATGGATCCCCTGTTCTACAAACTGCCAGTCAGCAAGGGAAGAAAAAGGGCAGCAATGACCCTCAATGGGCCATTTGAGGGATCTGGCCTGGAAATGGGCTTCCTCTCTTCTTCTCACACCTCACTGGCTGGAAACAGTCACATGACCCCAGTCACATGAAAGGCCAGGAAACTTAGTTTAGCTGTACACCCAGGAAGGGCAAAGCTGTTTAAGGGCCACTAGCTAGTCTCTGCCACTAATAATAATAAAAGTAATTCTGAATCAGGCCATGTTCTAAGAAAGTACTCTGATGACACTTGGTGTCAACAAGTAACTCAGTGGGAGTTTTGCTTTAACTACTTCTTTTTTTTTCTGAGACAGGGTCTCACTTTTGCACAGGCTGGAGCCCAGTAGCTCAAACATGGTTCGCTGCAGCCTCGACCTCCTGGGCTCAGGCGATCCTCCTGCCTCAGCTTTTCGAGTAGCTGGGACTACTGGCGTGCACCACCAAGCCTGACTGATTTTTTTTTTTTTTTTTTTTGAGACAGAGTCTCGTCTTCATCACCCAGGCTGGAGTGCAGTGGCTCGATCTCAGCTCACTGCAACCTCTGCCTCCCGGGTTCAAGCAATTCTCCTGTCTCAGCCTCCCAAGTAGCTGGGAGTACAAGTGCATGCCACCATGCCTGGCTAAATTTTGTATTTTTAGTAGAGACGGGGTTTCACCATGTAGGCCGGGCTGACCTCGAACTCCTGACCTCAGGTGATCCACCTGTCTCGGCCCCTAAAAACACACACACGTACCAGGGCATGTGTGCAAGAATGTTCGCAGCAGTAAATAAGGCAATCTGATGAAGAAATCAGGGTATAGTCACCCATGGAATTATATGCAATATGGAAAAAGGAATGAACTAAAAAAATGTAGATGAATCTTAGTAACAACGTTGAGTGCAAAAAGAAGGAAGTCTCAAACTTTTTTTTTTTTTTTTTTTTGAGATGGAGTCTCGCTTTGTCACCCAGGCTGGAGTGTAGTGGCACAATCTCGGCTCACTGCAACCTCCGCTTCCTGGGTTCAAGCAATTCTCCTGCCTAAGCCTCCTGAGTAGCTGAGACTACAGGCACCTGCCACCACACCCAGCTAATTTTTTTTGTACTTTTAGTTGATACAGGGTTTCATCATGTTGGGCAGGCTGGTCTCCAACTCCTGACCTCTGGTGATCTGACCGCCTCAGCCTCCCAAAGTGCTGGGATTACAGGCGTGAGCCACCACGCCTGGCCTGAAGCTCTTTTTATAAAGTTTAAAGCAATGAAACTATAAACAACATATTGATTGGGTAAAATATATACAAGATAATGCTATACTTTTAAAAGAGAAAAAGCACTTTACATTGTTTAGGTCTTTGGATCTGCATATGTCCCTGAGGTAAGTATTCCAGCCATGGGAAACTGAAGCACAGAGAGGTAGTCACCCACCAAAGCTCAGGGCTGGCCTCCAGAGCTTGAACCCTTGCCTGAGCTGGGGTCACCAGCCTGGGTGGGCCACGGAGCGATCATCATTTCTCCATCTGATCGGAAAGTCACCCACCACTCTGTTCTGGGGCCCAGCCCGCCTGGCTCCAGGCAGGCTCGGAGGCCGTGCTCTCCTGGACCTGGTGCATCTGGCTGCAGCCAGCACTGGGCAGGAAAATACCGCTGGAGCAGTGCCAGGTGCAGGACGTCCCCACTACCTGCTTCCTCCTGGGTCTGGAGGGCCACCATGAGCCCACAATCCCGGCCAGGCCCAAGCCGGTGGCTGAAGTGGGCAGCTGTGTCTAGAAGTAAGGCAATGAGGTAGGCGGCTTCCTGGGGCTCTGGGTCTTCCGCTAGGTACTCTTCTAGGCCGTCGAGCAGCAGAAGGGAGGGGGCTGGCCCCGGGGCCTCATGGGCAGAGCACAGGAGCCGGAAAAGCTCTCGGGTTGAGGGTGGGTACTGGAAGCGGATCTTCTAGAAGGAGAAACAGAAGGAAAGGGCCGGATTCAGCACAGGAAGCCAGACTCCTTAAAAGTAACCCTGCCTCCTTGCATACTTTCCTTGGTTCCAGGATGAACCAGTTCAGAGCTGTTAAATATTCTTATATTCGCCCGTTTTTCCAGCACTCATCACTGCCGAGTATTAGTTGAGGGCAAGCCATTTTTGCTTGTTTGTTTTTGGCCAAATCTCTAGCGCAATTTTTCCACGGAAAACCCTCCCCCAGCATTCTCGGTCTGACCCCATCCTTGACACTAACAGGAACCAACTCAGGTCCAGAATGGACCCAAGCTTAGCCCCGCCCCTTGATGGGCCGGACTTCAATCTCTGGGCACCGCCTCTTGCTAACACCGCCCATCATTGGATGGGCTCTCACTTCAATCTTAACTAAGCTCCGCGTGGTGCCACTCCTCACTCCGCCTGCCTGACTCCGCCCCATCGTGGCTGCCCTGGCTCGCTCTTCCACCGTCCTCTCCATTGGCTTGTCTACCTGTTACTCAATATCCCGGATCTACTCCACCATTGGCTAGAACGCCTCTGCTCCCACCCCCACGGTTACCTGGAGTCGCATTGGGTCTAGAGTCGTTCCGGTCCCGCGGGGCATGCTTTGAAGAGGCCTTCGTGTCAGGAAGAGGACTGGGCCTTGGCCCTCCCCCGCCGCCTCTAGGGCCGCAGCAAATAGCAGCGCTGTTTTTCCAGATCCTGGTGTACCGAGCAGCAGCAAAGGCGGTCCGGCGGCAGGCATGTTCTCCTCCCCGGACCAGGCCGCACCGCCCCTGGTTAGCACCCGCCTCAGCGTCTCCGCCATTCGCCGCGTAGCTCTGACCAATCGGTGGCTCGTTCCCAGCCTTAGTCCCGCCCAAGCCGTGGCCGCATCGGTACAGTTCACTTAGTTTCTCTATTGGTCTAGGAATCTGTCCATCAAAACTCGATTCCTCAGGTGAATGGGCAAATGGTTAGAACCTATGCGGAGGAATGGGTGCATTCGAGGGAAATAAGACCCTTCCCTGAGGGAGGCTGCTGGGGGAACCAGCACGAATACTATTATTGTCAGCTAATCAGACAAATATAAGGGTTGAAAGTTGGAGGAGTAGACCAGAATGAGTGACATATTATTTAAAGGCTCCTAGCCTCAGTTTGCCCTGCTGTAAAATGGGGCTTATGATATCTCAGAGGAGTATTGTGATCGGCATGTATTTGTGTGTGGTTTTGCTGATGTCATCCAATGACAACTGAGAGTTTTGGAGAGGGGGATGAGCTGTGTGCTTGTCTTTCTGTGCACCTGAGTATGGGCCGGAGTGTGTGTCTGGGGACACAGGCTCGTGGACAAAACATCAACGGCCATCCCCGAAAGTCTGTGAGATGAAGCCTCTCAACTTACTTCCTCACTGGCTAAGGGGTTCTGTGGGGCCGCCTTTGTGGTACGGGGGGAAGGCAGGACCGCAGGACAAAGAAGGAAGCAGGAGAGATAAAGAGACAGGAGCTGGAAGACTGAAGGAGAGATACAGCAGGGACATTGTCTTGTTCACTTCTGTTCTCCAGTACCGAGAATAGCACCTAGCACATTTGTAGGTTCTCAAATACGTGCTCGTTAAGACAATGAAGGAAGGGAGGTGGGATTGATGAGAAACAGGGAGAAAGGGAGGAACAAAGTGAATGATCGTGATCCCTGGCTGGATCTTCTCACCCAGACTTCGCCCCAGAGCTGCCACTCACGCCTGTGTTGCCCTGGCAACCTTGTCTCCTGGTAACTCCAAAGTGGTGCCGTTGCCTGGAGACCCAGGGGCAGGGAGAAAGTGAGATTTCCTGGGCTTTCTCTCTCCCTCTGGGACCAGAAAACAGCTCCACGACATCCCCCAACACACCCACTCACACAGCTGGGCTCACTCACACCCCTCTACACACACACACACACACACACACACACCATGGCATCTCTGAATATATTCTACTTTCAGAATCCCCATCATCCACATGCTCCAACCTTGCCCTATCCTGACACAAAGCATCCCATACAAACTCTGTCCCACATTCATCCCCCACACCCTTTCTCTTGCAAAACACGCAACTATGACATTGCCACTACACACACAGACACACACAGTGAAGCACACCGATACACTGCGCTGTCAAACACGCCACCTCAGCCCCCATCCCCCAGCAGATATACAACGCATGATTCACCTCACATTTCAACACTCCAAATGCACATACAGGCCAGGTGTGGTGGCTTATGTCTGTAGTCCCAGTGCTTTGGGAGGCCAAGGCAAGAGGATTGCCTGAGGCCAAGAGTTCAAGACCAGCCTGGGCAATGTAGGGAGACCCCCATCTCTACAAAATACTTCAAAATTAGCCAGGTGTTGGCCGGGCGCGGTGGCTCACGCCTGTAATCCCAGCACTTTGGGAGGCCGAGGTGGGCAGATCACAAGGTCAGGAGATCAAGACCATCCTGGCTAACACGGTGAAACCCAGCCTCTACTAAAAATAGAAAAAAAAATTAGCCAGGCATGGTGGCAGGCGCCTGTAGTCTCAGCTGCTTGGGAGGCTGAGGCAGAAGAATGGCGTGAACCCGGGAGATGGAGCTTGCAGTGAGCCGAGATCGCGCCACTGCACTCCAGCCTGGGCGACAGAGCGAGACTCTGTCTCAAAAAAAAAAAAAAAAATTTAGCCAGGTGTGGTGGCGTGCACCTGTAGTCCCAGCTCCTTGGGAGTCTGAGGCAGGAGGATTGCTTGAGCCCAAGGAAGTCAAAGCTGCAGTGAGCAGTGATTGTGCCACTGCACTCCAGCCTGGGCAACATAGCGAGACCCTATCTCAACAAAAACAAACAAAAATGCACAAATACTCAGTAGTGACACCCACATCACAGAGTCCAGCACAGTTACATACATGGGAGCATGCTGAATACAGCCTCACCACAAGTCCTTTGCACTTGATGTTCTTGTGTGTGCAGCAGTCAGCTTCCAGATATCCTTCTGGCTTTTTTTTTTTTTTTTTTTTTTGAGATGGAGTTTTGCTCTTGTTGCCCAGGCTGGAGTGCAATGGTGCAATCTTGGCTCATCACAACCTCCGTCTCCCAGGTTCAAGTGATTTTCCTGCCTCAGCCTCCCAAGTAGCTGGGATTACAGGCATGTACCACCACGCCCGGCTGATTTTGTATTTTTGGTACAGACGGGGTTTCTCCGTGTTGGTCAGACTGGTCTCAAACTTCTGACCTCAGGTGATCTGCCCGCCTTGGCCTCCCAAAGTGCTGGGATTACAGGTGTGAGCCACCGAGTCCAGCCGACTTTTTTTTCCCTCCACTCTTTTTAGGTCTTTGGTCAAAATATCATCTACTCAGAGAGGCTTCCCCTGACTGCCTGCCCAAAATTGCACACATTTCACTCTTTAACTGATTATCTGTTTTTGTTGTTATTGTTGTTGTGTTGTTTTGTTTTTTCGAGACGGAGTCTCGCTCTGTCACCCAGGTTGGAGTGCAGTGGCGCGATCTCGGCTCACTGCAGCCTCTACCTCCCGGGTTCCGGCAATTCTCCTGCCTCAGCCTTCCGGGTAGCTTGGATTACAGGTACACACCACTATGCCCAGCTTATTTTTTTTTCTTTTGTATTTCTTTCAGTAGAGATGGGGTTTCACCATGTTGGCGAGGCTGGTCTCAAACTCCTGACCTCAGATGATCCGCCTGTCTTGGCCTCCCAGAGTGCCAGGATTATAGGCATGAGCCACTGTGTCTGGCCTGTCTTCACATCTTGACAGAAGAAGATTTACCATAGAGGAGAATCATGGAGGAATGTACCTGCCTGCAGGTAGGGTTGGACCTGGGGCTACAGGGTAGGAACTAGGTGGCTTGGGGTCACTCTGTGCCTATCCTTAGTTTACTGGCATCCTCAAGCAATAGTATCTACTATGTATCAGGGCCCATTCTAGTAACTGTAGACCCCACAGTGAACAGACAACAGATCAAATCTCTGTCCTGGTGGAGCGACATCCGAGTGAGGGAGACCTATAAAGACCCACTGAGCATCACGAGGAATTGAAACACTGTGAGCACATGACAAGCATAGGCAAAAAGACATTTGCACAAGGGACCGGGCACGGCGACTCACCCCTGTAATCCAAGCACTTTGGGAGGCTGAGGCGGGCGGATCACCTGATGTCGGGAGTTTGAGGCCAGCCTGACCAACATGGTGAAACCCCATCTCTACTAAAAATACACAAATTAGCTGGGCGGGGTGGGGCGCCTGTAATCACAGCTACTCAGGAGGCTGAGGCAGGAGAATCACTTGAACCCAGGAGGTGGAGGTTGCAGTGAGCTGAGATCGCACCATTGCATTCCAGCCTGGGTGACAGAGCAAGACTCCATCTCAAAAGAAAAAAAAAGAAAAGAAATTTGCACAAGGAAGGGAAGTTAGAAGGAAGGGCCAGTTGTTTTTTCAATTTTGAATAGGGTGGTTGGGTCAGGCTGGGAAGGCGACATTTGAGAAAAGGCCTGAGAGAGGTCAGGGTGTGAACTGTGCAAATATGCAGGGGAAGAACATTCTAGGTGGAGAATTCATTCAGTGCAAGGGCCCTGAGGCATTGGGAGAAAGTTGGCTTTTACTCGAGTCATGAGGAGACAGGAGAGAGCTCTGTGCCTGGGATAGTTGTGTTGTGACATTCTAAATCAGAGAGCTCTGTTTTAGTCAACTTGAGATTGAGATGCTGTGAGACCCACAGGGGCATGTTGAGAAGGCTTTTGATTTTTGTTGTCGTTGTTGTCGTTTTTTTATTTTTTGAGACCGAGTCTCGCACTGTCACCCAGGCTGGAGTGCAATGGTGCGATCTGGACTCACTGCAACCTCCGCCTCCCGGGTTCAAGTGATTTTCCTGCCTCAGCCTCCTGAGTAGCTGGGATTACAGGCGCATGCTGCCACTCCTGGCTAATTTTTGTAATTGTAGTAGAGATGGGGTTTCACTATGTTGGCCAATCTGGTCTTGAACTCCTGACCTCAGGTGATCTGCCACCTCAGCCTCTCTGAGTGCTGGGATTACAGGCGTGAGCCACTGCTCCAGGCCTAAACGCTTTACTTTTTAGAGAGCAGGGTCTTGCTACATTGCCTAGGCTGATCTCAAACTCCTGGGTTCAAGCAATCCTCCTACCTAGACCTCCCATAGTGTTGGGATTACAGGAATGAGCCACTTGTGCCCAGCTGAGAAGGCTTTCATTTTTTTTTTTTTTTTTGAGCTGGAGTTTCGCTTTTGTTGCCCAAGCTGGAGCGCAATGGCATGATCTCTGCTCACTGCAACCTCTGCCTCCTGGGTTCAAGCGATTCTCCTGCCTCAGCCTCCTGAGTAGCTGGGATTACAGGCGCATACCACCACGCTCAGCTAATTTTTTGTATTTTTAGTAGTAATGGTGTTTCACTATGTTAGCCAGGCTGGTCTCAAACCCCTGACCTCAAGTGATCCGCCTGGCTCGGCCTCCCAAAGTGCTGGGATTACAGGCGTGAGCCACCACGCCCAGCCAATCCCAAACAGGTACAAGCCAGCCTGTGTTCTCTAAGATCATCTATCCCAGTATGGGGGTTGGTGCAAGGCCAGGGCTGCTGTCACCACCCTCCTGAATGGGACCTGATTCTTCCCCCACTATTCCCATTGTTGGCCAGCGCTCTGCGTCAGCATCACAGACAGGGCCTGCTGGTTTGGGTGGTGGCGCTGTCCGTTGTGCTGAAGCTTTGCTTTCTTCCTGGCCCCAGTGGAGACAGCTGTGTGTCAGGAGAGACCACGGGTCTCAGGTGTATAAGCTCTGGAAACAGGAGCCTTGGTCAGTCAATCAGGGGGCCTCATGATGCTGTCTTTCCTCTGCCATCAGCTATCTGATGCTCTCATCTCATCCCCCCAGTGGCCCATGATCAGCTCCACCATCTCCTCAACTTCCCCACCGTCTCCCCAGCCTCCTTTTCTTCTGTCTCCTCCTTGCTCACCCTGTGCCAACTACTACACAGGCCACTTTGCTGTTCCCTGAACACAGAAGGCATGTTCCCACCTCAAGGCTTTCGCACTTGCTCTTCCCTTTGCCTAGAGGTCTCCCCACCACATATTTGCATGGCTCCCTCCCTCCCAGTGTCATCTCAGAGAAAACTTCCTTGATCACTTTTTTAAAAATTGCAAACCATAGCCCAGGCATGGCAGCTCACCCCTTTAATCCCAGCATTTTGGGAGGCCGAAGTGGGAAGATCGCTTGAGCCCTGAAGTTGAAGACCAGCCTGGGGAATATAGTAAGACATTGTCTTTACTAAAAATTTAAAAAATTAGCAGGCATGGTGGTGTGTGCCTGTAGTCCCAGCTACTTGGGAGGATCACTGGATCGCTGGATCCCAGAAGTTTAAGGCTGTAGTGAGCTATGATCATGCCACTGCATTCCACTCGTCGCTCAGCCTAAGCAACAAACAGAGCGAGACCCTCCCTCTCTCTTAAAAAAATTGCAAACCATGTCCCTATCCCACACTTGTCACATCGGCTTCCTTAGCTTGAGTGTTCTCCTTATCACATATCGATATCTAACATATCAGAGATCCCTTAGCTAAATCCATGATCCTGGAGTTGGAAATTCAGGATTTTTCAGATTTTAAAAAAGTAATAGGGTATAAATACTATGTATTTCATACCCCTGGTGGGACCAGGAGTAAAATCCTCAAGTCACTTTATCTTCAGCAAAACACAAGAATATTCACATCAAGTGAAATAAATAAAAGCTATATATAATCTCAGGTCAGTTCAGGTTAGGTTTTGCCATAAATGAGTTATGAAAGGATTTTGGTTTTCAGACTTCTTTTTCTTTTTTGAGACAGAGTCTCACTCTGTCACCCAGGCTGGAGTGCGGTGGTGTGATCTCAGCTCACTGCAACCTCTAACTCCCGGGTTCAAGCGATTCTCCTGCTTCAGCCTCCCTAGTAGCTGGGATTACAGACGTGTGTCACCACACCTAGCTAATTTTTGTATTTTTAGTAGAGACAGGGTTTCACCATGTTGGCCAGGCTGGTCTTGAATTCCCGACCTCAGGTGATCCGCCCACTTCAGCATCCCAAAATGCTGGGATTACAGGTGTGAGCAACTGCGCCTGGCCTGGTTTTCAGACTTCTATAAAAATTTGGAATTGTGAATCTGTATATAGCTCGTTTATTTTTATATTTATTAATTTGTGTATTTATTTATCCAGAGACATGGTCTTGCTCTGTCACCCAGGCTACAGTGCAGTGGCATCATCACAGCTCACGACAGTCTCGACTTCCTGGGCTCAAGGGACTCCCATCTCAGCCTCCTGCATAGCCGGGACTACAGGTACGCACCAACATGCCCAGCTAATTTTAAAATATATATATATATATATATTTGAACAGACGGGGGTCTCACTATGTTGCCCAGGTCATTCTCCAACTCCTAAGCTCAAGCAATCCTCTGGCCTTGGCCTCCCAAAGTATTGGGATTACAGGTGTGGAGACCAGGCCCCATTTACCTTGTTTGTTGTCTTACATATTAGAACGCTCACATCCGTGACAGCAGAGGTTTGTGTCTGTTGTTTACTGCTGTAACCTCCCCCTGCCACAACCCCCACCCTGTGCCTAACTAAACAGCACCTGTGCTTTGGTCTGAATGTTTGTGCCCCTTCCCCCGGTTCATATGTTGAAATCCTAACCCACAGTGATAGGAGGTGGGGGCCTTTTAAAGGTGATTAGGTCATAAGGGTGGAGTCCTCATGAATGGGATTAGTGCTCTTATAAAAGAGGCCCCAGAGAGCTTCTCCACCTTCTGCCATGTGAGACTAGAGTGAGTCTATGAGGAAGCAGGCCCTCACTGGCCACCGAATCTGCTGGGGCCTTGATCTTGGACTTCCCAGCCTTCAAAACTGTGAGCAATAAACTTCTGTTAGGCCAGGGGTGGTAGCTCATGTCTGTAATCCCAGCACTTTGGGAGGCTGGGGTGGGTGAACCACTTGAGCCCAGGAGTTCAAGACCAGCCCGAGGAACATGGCACAACCCTGTCTCTATTAAAAAAATAGGCCAGGTATAGCGGCTCATGCCTATAATCCCAGCACTTTGGGAGGCTGAGGCAGGCAGATCACAAGGTCAGGAGTTCGAGACCACCCTGGCCAATACGGTGAAACCCCATCTCTACTGAAAATACAAAAATTTGCCGGGCGTGGTGGTGGGTGCCTGTAATCCCAGCTACTTGGGAGGCTGAGGCAGGAGAATCGCTTGAACCCAGGAGGCAGAGGTTGCAGTGAGCCGAGATCGTGCCATTGCACTCCAGCCTGGCGACAGAGCAAAACTCCATCTTAACAAAAAAAGACACACACACACAATAAAAATAAGGCAGGCGCAGTGGCTCATGCCTGTAATCCCAGCACTTTGGGAGGCTGAGGCAGGCAGATCACAAGGTCAGGAGATCGAGACCATCCTGGCTAACACGGTGAAACCCCGTCTCTACTAAAAATACAAAAAATTAGCTGGGCGTGGTGGTGCGCACCTGTAGTCCCAGCTACTCAGGAGGCTGAGTGAGGCAGGAGAATCGCTTGAACCTGGAAGGTGGAGGTTGCGGTGAGCCGAGGTCGCACCACTGCACTCCAGCCCAGGTAACAGAGCGAGACTCCGTCTCAAAATAAATAAATAAATAAATCAGAAATTTATTGTTATTATTATTATTATTTTTTTTTTGAGACAGAGTCTTGCTATGTCCCCCAGGCTGGAGTGCAGTGGCACGATCTCGGCTCACTGCAAGCTCCACCTCCCGGGTTCATACCATTCCCCTGCCTCAGTCTCCTGAGTAGCTGGGACTACAGGCGCCCGCCACCACACCCAGCTAATTTTTTGTATTTTTAGTAGAGACGAGGTTTCACCCTGTGAGCCAGGATGGTCTCAATCTCCTGACCTCGTGATCCACCCTTGTCGGCCTCCCAAAGTGCTGGGATTACAGGCGTGAGCCACGATGCCCAGCCAAGAAATTTATTTTTTAATAATTAGTAGAGGAATTTAATAGTAGTAGAGAAATTTATTTTTTAATAATTTAATAAATAAGCCATCCTGTCCATGGTATTTTGTCACGGCAGCTGGAACAGACTAAGACCATCTAGCACACAGTAGGGGTTCTACAGTGTTTGCTTAATGAATGAGTGAATTAATTAAGGAGAGAAGGGAAACAGACTCCCTTTTCCTGGTTCCTGAGTGACTCTGGGTCCCAAATGCCCTGTCTGAAAGCCCTCAGAGCCACAATTGAGGGAGGGGTCCTGTGGCTCCCTCTCCCTGACCCTTTGAACATCCCCAGTATCTGCTGAGTTCTCAGGGGGGTTGGGTCTTGGTGTAATCTCATACTCAGCACCCCTGTTCTCATCCACACAGCCAGGTGTTCCACTTGGAGGTTCTTAGTGCCCCTCAGCATCCCCCATCCCTCTCAGGACCCCCAAGTATCCTCACCCCATTCCTTGTGCCCTCTGTGCCCTGGCCTGAGACACACAGGGCATGTACGGCTCCTGATGTGGGTTTGTGTGCCTTGGTAGCTTGAGTGACTGTTTGCCTTTGATAGATGAAGAAACAAGGGCACAGAGAGGTGAATGAACTTTTCTGAGGCCACAGAGCCCAGAATGCTGAGCCAGGATTTCAGCCCAAGTCTGAAGCTCCATGAAACCGGGCTGCCTTTCCACAATTGTCCTTAGATACACTGCGGCAACACACCCACACCCAGCTCCACAGACATCTAGACCCACGATGAATGTCCTCCGCACCCCCCCACCACCCGGGGGAGGAAGGCAGATGGCCAAACTTCTGTTACAAACAGGTCTTTATTAAAGATGAGAAGCCAGGTCTTTATTAAAGATGAGGAGGGGGCAGGAAAGGGGGGCAGTGCCTCCTCTACCCACTGCCTTTGCCTGCCCGGGGTGAGGGAGCCCCTCTGCTCCACCCATGCCCCCCATGATGGCACATCTGTATGAGGCTGAGGCATGGGGGGCAGTGTGAAGAACAGGGGCAGGTTCCAAGAAAAAGAAGAAAAACCCTTCCCACAGCCCTAATAAATAACAGAAGGGTTTGGGATGACCTGGGCACAGGCAAGGGGAGACACAGCACCCTGAACCCCAAAACCTCTGAAGTGGGGCAAGCCCTACTTAAGTAGGGGATTAGGAGAGAGTGGGTGAGAGGTGGAGAGGCCGCACACAGGGAGGGGCTGAGAGGAAAAGGGGTACCCCAAGGACCCTGCCATGGGGGAGCCTGCCCCCCACCCTACAGCTGGGCTCGCTGATTCTGAGAGAAGACTCAATGACAAACAATGACCTCATCTCCCTCCTCTCCTTTGCACATGCTTAGACACGGGCGGTCCCCCATTGACTGGAATCATGCCCACCCACTCTAGAAATTCTGGAAACCAAGGGCTCCTATTGGCTGTTCAGTCGCTGAACACTGGCTGGAGTTGCCCTCTTGCAGGAGGATTCTAAGAAGTGAGGGGAAGGCTCCCATTGGTTGGAGCCAACTCCTTTTGGTTAAAATTCTGAGAACCAGGGGTTCTCATTAGCCAGGCAATGGCCAATGGGGTCAAGCTTTGGCCCTTAAAAGGGCAATAGTAGGGGCAAGTGCGCACCTTCCATTTGTGCCCATCGGGATATCTCAGAGGGCCAGAGAGGCAGATGTCTCCTAAATGTCCTTCTAGCCATCTTCTAATGTCTGGGTCTGGCTGGCTTGGGGGGCAGGGGACTTTGGCACTCACGTGGCACACGCACACACACGCGTGGCAGGGAAGAAGTGGGGACTGGGCAGATTCTGGGTGGGTGGTCGGGCCTCACAGCAGGTGGTCACGGCTGGCAAACAGGTAAGGGCTGAAGTTGTCCCGGTGGAAGGGGGAGGGATAGAGTCCACTCAGGGTGTACAGGTCCCGCAGCAGGGGCGTGGGCAGCAGCAGCTTCCGGCCACGTCCACCACCCCCGCCTGGCCCCCCAGGTCCAGGGGAGGAAGGCGAGGGGCCCTGGCTGGGGGTGGGCGCTGGCAGGGGTAGGGGCAGGGGCAAGGGCGTCGGCTCAGACCTCAATCGAGGACGGGGCACACGGGGCGACGAACACATGGCTGGGGCCCTGGAGGAGACACAGCTGGGGATCAGGTGGCCACGGCGGGCGCAGTTCTGCGACTCTGGTGGTCAGAAGCCAGATATCAGGGGATCAGAAAACTCGGGAGGCAGCATAAAGGCCTAGGTGAGACCTCTGGGGCAGTGGCTGCCCACCTGGAAGTCCCCCTGTTTAGCCCCCCACTCCCCCAACACTCACTGGATGGGGTGAGCCGTGCCGGTGTCGAATGCGGCCTGCAGACCTCGGGTTCCTGAGACAAAGAGACAGACGGAAGGGGCTAGTGGCCCCCTGGGCCCTACCGGCCACAGCCACAAGGAGCTCATCAGGTGAAGAGCCCCATGGAAAAGACAACCACAGTTCTCATGATTAACCGTGTCCCCCTGGGAAGAAGACGGGGGTGCTCCCTTTCATTCTTTGGGGCTGTCCGCCCAGGACCTATGTCCACAGAGATGGGTGATCCCTCCACTTCCCCATGGTTCTGAGACCCCCACCTCTTGCCTGACTTCCTTCCTGTCTCCTTGGCCCCCTCCACCCACCACCCTCTCCAGCCGGGAGCAGCCCCCGGCCCCCCTTACCTGCGCCACACTTAACTTTTCGAGGGGGCTATCCATGGTGGGGGCTTGGCCCAGGTCCTCCCAGGGAGAGAGCCTTCGGCCAGAGGGTGGCCGGCTCTGAAAGTTATGCACAACGCAGGTGACCTGGAATAGAGGGAGAGGAGAGTGTTGAGGCCTGGGGCAAGTCACATAGGAGCCATGTAAATACCATCCCCATTTTTCAGATAAGGAAAGTGAGGCTCCGGTTTTCAAAAACAGCTAATGCATAGTATGTGCCAGGCACTGTTGGTTCCATTTTACTGAGGTAGGTGCAATTATTATTTATCCCACAGACCCCACACTAGGCTAAAGTAAGTAAGACCAAGTTGTACAGTGGCAGGATTTAATTTTTTTAATTTTTTATTTTTTTGAGACAGTCTCACTCTGTCACCCAGGCTGGAGTGCAGTGGTGCAATCTCAGCTCACTGCAAACTCCACCTCCTGGATTCAAGCAACTCTCTTGCCTCAGCCTCCTGAGTAGCTGGGACCACAGGTGTGCACCACCATTCCCAGCTAATTTTTTTTTTTTTTTTTTTTGAGACAGACTTTCGCTCTTTCACCCAGGCTGGAGTGAGGTGGCACGATCTCAGTTCACTGCAACCTCCGTCCCCCGGGTTCAAGCGATTCTTCTGCCTCAGCCTCCCAAGTAGCTGGGACTACTATGCCTGGCTAATTTTTGTATTTTTAGCAGGGACAGGGTTTGGCCATGTTGACCAGGCTGGTCTCGAACTCTTGGCCTCAAGTGATCCGCCTGCCTCAGCTTCCCAAAGTGCTGGGATTACAGGCGTGAGCCACCGCACCCAGCCTTGATTCATCTTTATTTAGAATTTTTATATTCTGTACATTATGATAGTTTTGTATTAACTTTGATTTTTAAAAATGTTTTGTTAAAATATTAATCTTGATTACTGAGTGTTGGGCACCCTCTTAAAATTTGCATTCAAGGCCTTGCCTCACCCTGATCCTGGTATCTCATTTCACAGATGAGAATATCCAGGAAGGGTAATGTTAAGGGATTGGCCCAAGGTCACACAGAGTCCACACCCTTCTCCATCATGTGGTCCTGCCTCTTGGGTCAGAGAGCTGGTGAGGGTCTTCCATGCTGGGAAGGTTGAGGAGGCAACTCACCAAAAAGGTGGCGATGGCCGCCCCTGTCAGGAAGCCAGCCAGCACGTCCGACCAGTGGTTTCGGTACTCGGCCACGCGGACCACGCCCACCAGGAAGGCCGGGCACAGCAAGGCCAGGCAGAGCGAGGGTTTGACCAGGCGGGAGCCCTTCACGCGGAACACGAGAGTCACGTACATCTGCGGGGAGCCGGACTGGTCAGGGGGATAGCGGAGGCAAGTCGCCGAACCCAAGTGGACGCTCCTTTCTGGGCTAGAGCGCATGGCCAGAGCGTTGGGGCTGGAGGGAGTGGCCAGGGGCTCCAGGGTTGGAGTCATGGGCTCCCAGTGGGCTTTTCCAGGGAGCGTGACCAAAAAGGCAAAGGGGGGGGGGTCAGGGATTGAGGTCTTGGAGTCTCGTGGGCACCACCTGCAGGGCTAGGTGTGGCCAGAGCTCCCAAGAGCAGAGGACAAGGTCTGGGGCCCAGGTGTCCCTGGTCCGGAGTCGCAGATGGGGACAGACACTTACTGGATTAGGGCGTGGCCACAGAACCAGAGGGTGGAGTCAGGGCGAAGGGAGCTGTAGGAGCTGTAGGAGCTGTAGGAGGTGGAGCCCCTGACCCCTAGGGGACCACTGACAGGGTGGGAGCATAAACCCGGATGCCAGAAAAAAGAGTTGAAGCAACAGGGGATGTGACCAGGAAAAAGCAGGGGACAGAGTTAGAAATCCCAGAGCAGTTAAGAGCAAGGGGCGTGGCCAGGGCTACAACAGGAGGGAACAAGGCCCCCAGGAGAGGGGCAAGGGCTCCAGAAGAGGGGCAAGGACTCCAGGGGGCCGTCCCATCTGCCCAGTCTGCCAGCTAATATCTAGCGCCTGTAGCATCCTGGGGGCCTGGCTAGGCTATAGGGGTTCCGAGTCTTGCACATCAGGGACTGTCCTGATGCCATAGGGTAGAGCCAACAGTTTCCCTCGCATTACTGGCTCAGGAGGCGTGGCCAGAGGGCAAGGGGCGGAGTCAATGGACAGCGATAGCCTCTGACTGGGGGCGTGGCTAGGATCTGGGAGGAGGAGGGAGAGCTTCCAACAGGTCGGGGCGTGGAGCGAGAGCTTCCAACAGCACCCGGGGCGTGGAAGAGCAGAGGCTCCAACCCTGGCGGCTTCCTAGCTGCTGGTCGCTGTCCAGCCTGCACACCCATTTCCGACCCCGAAGCTCCCGAAGCTCACCGCTGTGTAGGTGACCGCGTAGGCGCAGAGGGCCGCATCCTTGCAGGGGAAGGCGCGGCGCGCGGCGGCCACGAGGCTGGGACTGCCAGCGCAGGCACCCTGGTCAGTGACAAAGCGGTCGGGACCTGGCCGATCCGGAGAAGGTGGCAGGCAGCCCAGGGCCGTGTAGTTGGGGCGGCACACGGACAGGAAGTGTGGCGTGGGATTGCCGGTCACCACCTGCCCCGCGTTGGCGAAGATGGTCGTGGTGAAGAGGCCGAAGGAGTAGACCCCTAGGGGTGGGATAGTGGAAGGGGTTCATGCGCCAGGCCCTGATGCTCCCACTGATTCCATTGGGCCTCTTAGCTCCCTTTTCCTGTGACTGTCATTAAAGCACACTTGGGACCCTGTAGTTGTGCCAACATCCCCCTTCCTTTAAGACCACCATGAAGGTACTCTGAGGCCTCCTGCCCCCAGGGACCCTCATTATCTGGCCCCTGTCTTTCTAGGATTACCACTATGTCAGGGGCGGATCCTCCCTTGGAGCCCCATTATAGCTGGGCTTGGACCCCCGCCCCAACACCATTACATCAGGATCCACCCCATGCCTAGGACGGCTAGGGAAAACCCTAATGGCATACCTGGGGCTCTTCCTGCCTGCCCCTAAACTGGCTACTACTGAGTTCAACACTCTCCTCCTGGGGCCACTAATAAGTTAGAGCTGGGTCTCCCGCCCTCTGCCCTGGGACCATCATTATAGGTAAGGTCTGCCCCTCCCCCTTTCCCACAGCCACTACTTGAGGCTGGGACCCCATTTAAAGCACAGCCAGAGTCTCACCCAGGGGCCCCAGGGTGTTTGTCCTGTGCCTGTGTCTCTCTTTTGTGCCTGAGACTCTCCTTATGGCATTCTGGGACCCTCTTCCGACAGTTGCCATCATGGTTGGGTTAGGCCCCACCCATGTCCCTAGAACCTCCATTACATCTGGTCTGAGCCTAAGTCCCTTGTTGCTTCCTAACATCCCCATCATGGCAATTCCAGGTCCTCTTCCTTCCCCCCTGGAATTCCCTTTTTTTTAAAGAGGTGGGATCTTGTTCAGTCTCCCAAGTAGCTAGTAATCCCAAGTAGCTGAGTCTCTGCCTCAGCCTCCCAAGTAGCTGGGGCTACAGGCATGTACCACCATGCCCAGCTTTTCCCTGGAATTCTTCTTTTTTTTTTTTTTTTTGAGACGGAGTTTTGCTCTTGTTGCCCAGGCTGGCACAATCTTGGCTCACTGCAACCTCTGCCTCCCGGGTTCAAGGATTACAGGCACCTGCCACACGCCCAGCTAATTTTTTGTTTTTAGTACAGACAGGGTTTCGCCATGTTGGCCAGGCTGGTCCTGAACTCCTGACCTCAGGTGATCGCCCACTTGGCCTCCCACAGTGCTGAGATTACAGGCGTGAGCCACCACACCCAGCCTGGAATTATTATGACTGTCAGGCCCATGACTCTTTTCTTCTATACCCACCTCCCCACCATTACCATGGGGCTGACCCCAGGCCATGTCTCTCACCCAGGAAGCGGACCAGCCTCCGCACTGGGGGGCTGAAGCGGCAGCAGGCCCCAGACACGATGGTGCTCTCCCCGATGACTGGGACGGCTGAAGGTGGTGCAGGGAAAAAGGCACGCGCCAGCTCTCCCAGCAGGATCTGTGGGCAAGACCAAGATGGAGTCTTCTGGCCTTCCAGCCCATCCCCTCACCCACCCTTACCGGCCCACCTGCCTCCTAGGAGGTCTTCATTGTCTCACCGTGAGGGTGGGCCCGGCAGTGACCAGTGCGTAGACAAGAGCAGGAGGCACTCGGCTGGCAGCCTCAGGCCCTGGGTAGGGCTTGGCGTAGGTACTGTCATAGCAGAAGAATCCCTGGGTGTGCACAGGGAAGGTGTCCGTGAACTCCAGGCGGTAAGCAAGCAGGATCACAATGCCCAGCAGCACCGACTGCCACCAAGCCAGGGCGGGGAGAGGTGGCGGAGAGAGAAGAGAGAGGTCAGGACTCCAGCTGAGGCCACAGAGGCAGAGATACAGAGATGGAGAAACATGGGTTAGAGACAGAAACTAGAAGATGGAGAGAGACAGAGACAAGGGGGAGAGAGACTGAGAGAAATGGGGAAAGGAGGTGAGAGAAGGGTCAGGGCTTAGGAGAAACAGAAGGAGAAGGAGACAGAAACAGAGGGGCCGTGTGCAGCGGCTCGTGCCTGTAATTCCAGCACTTTGGGAGGCATAGGCAAGAGGATCCCTTGAGCTCAGGAGTTTGAGATCGCATGACCTTATCTCTGTACAACTATAGTCCCAGCTACTTGGGAGGCTGAGGAAGGAAGATTGCTTCACCCAGAGGATTAAGGCTGCAGTGAGCCATGATGGCACCACTGCACTCCAGCCTGGGTGACAGAGGGAGACCCTGTCTCAGAAAAAAAAGAAAGGAAAAGGAATGGCTGAAAGACAAAAAGAAAGAAAAAAAATTAAAACGTGGCTCATGCTTGTAATCCCAGCACTTTGGGAGGCTGAGGCAGGTGGATTACCTGAGATCAGGAGTTTGAGACCAGCCTGGACAACATGACAAAACCCTGTCTCTACTAAAAATACAAAAATTAGCTGGGTATGGTGGCAGACGCCTGTACTCCCAACTACTCGGGAGGCTGAGGCAGGAGAATCACTTGAACCCGGGAGGCGGAGTTTGCAGTGAGCCAAGATCGTGCCACTGCACTCCAGCCTGGGCAGCGGAGCAAGACTCCATCACAAAAGAAAGAAAGAGAGAGAGGGAGGGAGGGAAAGAAAGAAAAGGAAGAAGTGAAAAAAAAAAAACAGAGAGAGAGGAAAGCCAGGAAAGGAGGGGAGAAGAGGAGAAAGCAAGAGGAAAGAGAAGGGAAAGGAAAAGGGAAGGGAGTTGTAGAGAGAGGGAGAGAAGAGATGGGCATGGGGAGAGTGAGATTAGGGCCAAGGCTCAAATGAGAGACAGACAGACAGGGGGAGGTGGAGAGACTCTCCCACATGGAAAGAAATCAGAGAAGTAGGGGTGCTAGCAGCTACCACAGGTGTAACCCTCACTGTGGGCAGGGGGTCGTACCAAGCTTTGTCCATGAATTAATATATTTTACCTTTAGAACAGCCCTAGGAGGCCGGGCGTGGTGGCTCACGCCTGTAATCCCAGCACTTTGGGAGGCTGAGGCAGGAGGATTGCTTGAGGTCAGGAGTTCCAGACCATCCTGGCCAACATGTTGAAATCCCACCTCTACCAAAAAGTACAAAAATTAGCTGGGCATGATGGCACACACCTGTAGTCTCAGCTACTCGGGACGCTGAGGTAGGAGAATTGCTTGAGCCCAGGAGGTGGAGGTGGCAGTAAACCGAGATTATGCCACTGCACTCCAGCCTGGGTGACAGAGTGAGACCCTATCTCAAACACACGTACACACACACACACACACACACACACACACACAGAGAACAGCCCTATGAGTTGGGACTCTGGTGATGTCCATTTTATGAATGAGGAAACTGTGGCTCAGGAGGGTACCTGTGGTGTCCAGCACCCTGCAGTGTGGATGGGGCAGAGAGGGATTGGACCCCGGGGAGTGGCACTTCTGAATCTAAGCTCATAACCATTTCTCAAGAGAAAGGGGACAGCAAGGGAGATCCCAGAGATGGAAAAGTGGGTACAGATAAGGAGACTGAGGTTGGACAGAGACAGAGATAGGCACGCCGTCTCTGGGAGAGGTACGGGGGTCCTCACCTCCACGAAGACAAAGCAGGGGATGATGGAGAAACTCCTCTTCAGATGCGGTCTCCCTCCCGCCATGGTGAAGGCCAGGCCTGCAGAGGTGGGGAGGGAGTGGGAGTCCCAGGGGGTGTGCCTAGGGGAAGGCTCAGGTCACCGGGACCCTGGCTTCATCCCCTGAGTCCTTTGGCCACACCCCTGGCCCTGAAGACCCGGGGAGGCCCTGACTCTGTCCCTTGAACCTTCTGGCCATGCCTCTGCAATCCAGGTCCTGCCCTGTTGGTCCTGACCCTACTGGGGACACCTGCCTCCTCTGACACCACTCCCCAAGAGTCTACGGGGGTCCCTTCCTTTACAGCCTACATGGGAGGCTCTGACCCAATGCCCTTTAGGAGGTGGGCCTTTAGAAGAGACTCCCCAGCCTCATGGGAACCCCTCCCCCATGGCACTTAGAAGGGTCCCCACTAGTTTTTAGGGGACACCATCCTCTTTCCCAAGGGGCCCCCATCCCTACCAGACCCTTCCCCTGAGTCGCTTCCTCCATGGCCTCTGCAGGGGCCCCTCTCTCTGTCCCCATGGGCTGTGGTGTTGGTGTCTGGTTGGGCTGATAGCCAAGCCCTCCTTCTCTGCCAACTGCCTCTCCCTCCTTCCCCCTCTTCCCAGCCGGTCTGCCTCCCAGTTCTCCTCTTCCCTCCCCCAAGGCTACCCCCAGTCCCCAGCGCTTTAGGGCTCAACACAGTCACACCTGCTTGCATCCATTCTCCCAGCCCCATCTCACCTGTGAAAGCGCCCTATGGCTTCCCCCAGGCTGCATCCACGCCTGAAGACTCACAGCCGCTCCTGGCAGCCAGCAGGGCAGGGATGGTCACCCCCATTGTGCAGATGTGGAAACTGAGGCCCAGGCAGGCGAGGGTAGGCACTCTGGGTCCAGCACCCCAACCACGACACTCACTCTGCAGTGTGATATGGGGTGATGGTTGCCAGAGGTCCTAGATACCCAGAGTCACCCATGCTGTCACCCTTAGGAAGCACAACCCAGCCGCAGCCTCCATCCTGGCACCACACACACACACACACACACACACACACAACCATGGCATAGCGTTCACCCATCCCACAGTGAAGACCGAGCACCTGCCGACTTCCAGGCGCTGTGCTGGGCGCCACTTTGCAGTAAACAAGAGGGGCCCCCTTGTTCAGACAGGTGTCCAACACACACAACACATGTCACTGCATACTCACACACAGTGGGCTCATAGCCTGTCAGAGACACCAAACAGATCAAACAAGTCCCCACCCCCACCCCAGGCCAAACAGAGAGAGACATGTCAGGAGACCCTACACACATCACAGTCCCACACAAGCCCCCACACCGCTACAGTCAGGGACACACAGTCAGGCCTGCAACACACTTAAGAGTCACAGAAAAGAGTCACCGCACACAATGGGGGTCACAGAACTCATCACAGCGTCACACCCCCAATTACAAGGCACTCAGCGACAGCCACACACACACTAACAGTCTCTTATTCACACCAACAGTCACAGGGGAGAGACAAGGTGCCATCTACAACCACATGGCCACATCCATGGACCATGACACAGACTCACAATGCCACACAAGAAAGGTGCACAGCGCACGACCACAGCCACACACACATACACACCATCAGAATGAACACACAACAGGAGCCACACAATGACAGTCCTATGCACACAACCACACGAACACCAAGACAGTCACACACAGAGACAGCAGCCACACGGGGGGCCAATGGCAGTCACAGCATAGCCAGACACACACACACAAACCATCAGAGTGACACCCACAACGACAGCCGCACAATGACAGTGACACACACACACACACACCCGCGGACCTCCCGAAACCACACAATCCCAGTCATGCAGCCACACGATGACAGTTACACAACCACACACAGACACACAATGACAACCACACAATCACAGTTACCCACAGCCGCCCTCACCACCGGTGCTGGCTCCTCGGCCCGGGGTCCCCTCCCCCAGCCCGGTCCCCTCCCCCAGCTCGCCGCCTCCCCTCCCCCGCCCCTCCCCGCGCTGGACCCAGAGGGACCCAACCCTCAGGAACCGGAGACCGACACCGGGGGTGGGAAGCCCACGGGAGGGGATGAGGGGCGCCCCCACCCCCTCCTCTCACCGCGTCGAGGCCGCCGCCGCCTGAGCCCCCGCTCCGCCTAGACTGCCCCGGCGCGGCGGGATGGACAGACGGACTGCCAGCCAGGCTGGCAGACGCGAAGACCGAGACGCGGTCGGCCGGGCCTGGCCGCGCCGCGCAGACTCCGAGGTGGAGGGAGGGGCGGGGCCTCCGGGCGTCTCATTTGCATAGCCCCGTGGGGCGGGGCCTCCGTGATCTTGGAGGCGGGGCGTGTTAGCATCGATTGTAGGAAGGAACCAAGAATGGAAGTAGAGAGGGAGGACCCTGGGGTGGGCGGGGCTCCGAGGGTAATAGGAGGGAGGGGCTTCAGAGTATGTCCCTGGGCCGCGCCTCTCCCTCTCTGGGCCTCAGTTTCCCCATTCGCCAGGGCCCCCCAGAAAGGAAGGCTCTGTGGCCAGTGTGGAAGTCTGTCTGGCTGCTCGTGTCTGGACAGAATGACTCCTTGCCTTGTCATATATTAAATCTGGCTTCAGATGTCCCCTGATTCCAAGCCCACACATCCCGAATGACCCCTGGGGTCTCTACACCCCTCCCCCCCAACAATGAGGGGTAAACTAGGAGGGCAGGGGGATTCCTAGGCACAGGAAGCAGCAAGACTAACAGTCGGGGCTAGAGGAGGGTCTGGGCTAGTTTATTTTCTCTCTGGAGGGGTCTTCAGGGAGAGCAGTCCCGGCTGCTCAAGCTGTGGAGAGAGAGGGTGGGTCAGGGCCTGGCCAGGTCCAGGGGACTCCGGGGCTGCAGGTCAGGGACCGCATGCCCAGATCAGGATCTGGGCCTGTTCTGAGGGTCTAGACTGTGGGAGTCAAGGGCAGGTCAGGAGGGAAATGGGTGGAGGGGGGGACTGGGGAGGATCTGCACCGGGTGGGAAGGAGCGGCCGCTCTTGCTGAAAGGTGGCTGGGAGAGGTCCTGGTCACAGTCGGAGTCAGAGTCCCAGGAGGGGAGTGGAGGGCTCAGGCACTGGTGCCCCTTGTGGCCTGCAGGAGGGACAGGTTCCCTGAATGTGACCCTCAAGTAACCCCCAAATATAGGCCCTGTGTCCCTTCATAGTATACCTCATTGATACTTAAACCATGACCCCCAATTCCCTTGAATGTGATCCAGTGTGACACCAAATTATGACTTCAATGACCCTTGCATTTTACCCAATTGACACTTTTTTTTTTAGAGATGGGGTCTCGCTCTGTTGCCCAGACTGGAGTGCAGTGGCACGATTATGGCTCACTGCAGCCTCAACCTCGCAGGCTCAAGCGATCCTCCTGTCTCAGCCTCCTGAGTAGCTGAGACTACAGGTGTGCTCAGCCACAGGTGCACCATCACCCAGCTAGTTTTTAAATTTTTTGGAGAGATGGGGTCTCACTGTGTTGCCCAGGCTGGTCTCAAACTCCTAGACTCAAGTAATCCTCCCACCTCAGCCTCCCAAAATATTAGGATTACAGGCATGAGCCACTGTGTGGAGTCCCCATGGACTCATATAAGATCCAAGTGACTCTGAATGTGACCATGAATGACTCCTGGATGAAACCTCCAGTGACTCCTTAATGTGACCCCAGAACACTACTTAATGTGACCATAGAATAACACCCATCAGATGTGACTCCCAAATAGGCTCTCTGAACATAGCCTCCCTGTGAAGCTAGACAATGACCTCCCACCCCTGAGCAATTCTCAGCCTCCCTCACCTCTTAGGCTCGAGGCCTTGGGACAGGCCCCCGAGCACAAAGTGAGGCTGTCTATGGAGTTCTGCAGCACGTGCACAGCAGACCTGCAAGAAGACAAGGAGCTGGGGGCGCTGGGAGACTCCACACTGCTCAGGGTGTAGACAGCAGTACAGCTAAGGTTGGGGGCCGTGGTGGGGTGAGTCCTAGGGGGTGAGGGAAGTCTGGACTCAGGTGGGCTCCAGGTTCTGGTGGTCACTGCCAGATCCCGTTGGGGGAACGGGTTCAGAGGAGGGTCAGGGGTCAGACTGCAGGCTGGGCATCACCATATATCACTCAGTTCCTTCTGGAGGTCATCCTTCCAGCAGCCACTGGCTCCCTGCGGTATCTCTTCAGTCTCCGGACAGGCGGCTGTCTCATGACCCTGCTGCTTCATCTTGGTCAGGATCTGGGGTGGGGAGGGATGAGAGAACAGCAGTCATAATAATAATGACAATAGTGCCAGGCGCGGTGGCTCACACCTGTAATCCCAGCACTTTGGGAGGCCGAGGCGGGCAGATCACGAGGTCAGGAGATTGAGACCATCCTGGCTAACACAGTGAAACCGCATCTCTACTAAAAATACAAAAAGTTAGCCGGGCGTGGTGGCGGGCGCCTGTTGTCCCAGCTACTCGAGAGGCTGAGGCAGGAGAATTGCTTGAACCCAGGAGGCAGAGGTTGCAGTGAGTTGAGATCGCGCCATTGCACTCCAGCCTGGGCAACAAGAGGGAAACTCCGTCTCAAAAAAGAAAACAAAATAAATAATAATAATGATAATAGTAAAAGGTGACTGTTATATAGCACTTGTTATATGCCAGACTGCATTCAAGTGCACAGTACTCAGCTAATACAGACACCTGATCAGGTAGGGAGGAGTGTTTTTTTTTGTTTTGTTTTTTGTTTTTGTTTTTGGTGTTTGTTTCTTTTTTGAGACAGGGTCTCAGTCTGTCGCCCAGGCTAGAGTGCAATGGTACTATCAGGGCTCAACGCACCCTGAACCTCCAAGGCTCAAGTGATCCCCCTACCTCAGCCTTCTGAGTAGCTAAGTCTACAGGCATGTGCCACCACACCCTCTTGTTTTTTTTGTTTTTTGTAGAGACAGGGTTTTGCCATGTTGCCTAGGCTGGTCTTGAACTTCTGGCCTCAAGCAATCCAACCACCTCAGCCTCCCAAAGTGCTGAGATAACAGGCATGCCACAGCACCCAACAGGATGAGTTTTCTTTTTCTTTTTCTTTTTTCTTTTTTTTTTTTAAGATGGGAGTTTTGCTCTTGTCGCCCAGGGTGGAGTGCAATGGCACGATTTCGGCTCGCTGTAACCTCTGCCTCCTAGGTTCAAGCCATTCTCCATCCTCAGTCTCCTGAGTAGCTGGGATTACAGGTGCCTGCCACCACACCCAGCTAATTTTTGTATTTTTAGTATAGACGGGGTTTCATCATGTTGGCCAGGCTGGTCTCGAACTTCTGATCCACCCACCTCAGCCTCCCAAAGTGCTGGGATTACAGGCGTGAGCCACCGCGCCCAGCCAAGATGAGTTATTATTACATCCATTATACAGATGAGGAAACTGAGGCTCAGAGAGGTCAAGTGACTTGCCCACAGTCACACAGCAGTGAGTGGCAGAGCTGAGATTTGAACCCAGGCTCCAATCTCATGGTGGAGGCTGGCCAAAATCCCCATCCCTCCCTCTCCCACTCCTCCCCAGGGTCCCCATCTCCTCCACTCACTTTGCGGCATTTCACCTGCGTTTTCTGCATTTTCTGAATGTTCACCAAGTTCTCTGAGATCTCATCCTCCTGCGCTTCTGTGGAGGGAGGGGGCTCAGGCGGACAAAGGCTGAAGAAGGACCCCCTCCCCACACACCGGCTGTGGGCTCCAGGAACTCACGGAGCTTCTGATAGATGAAGGTCACCTCCTCCCGCACCAGTTCCAGCTCCTCCCACAGGAACTTCTTGCTGAGGGGACAGTGCAGCCTAGACCTGCACTCCCTGCCTGGCCCCTGACCTCCCATGCCCCTATCTGTGCCTCCACCCATCCCCGCAAGCTCTGTCCCCTCCCCACACTTCCCTGCCCTTTTCCCCTCCCCTTCTACAATCCCCCTACCCTCATCCCCCTCCTCTCCTTCTGATCCCCAGCCTCCCATTCTCTCAGTCTCTCCCACCCCACTCAGCCTCCTATCACCTGGCCTCCACCTCCCCACCTCCTGTCCCCCGACTTTCTATACCCCCAGTCTCCTGTCCTCTCAGTCTTCCCTGCCATCCCCCTTTCTGATCCCCTGGCCTCCTTTTCCATCCCACCTCCAGCTTTCTGTCTTCCCTGCCTTCTGGCCTCTCAGTTTCCCACTCCCCCGCCCCCACCAGCCACCTGTCTCCCCTGAGCCTCTCATCCCCTCCTCATTTTTTTTTTTTTAGACAGAGTCTCGCTCTGCCGCCCAGGCGCCCAGGCGCCCAGGCTGGAGTGCAGTGGTGCGATCTCAGCTCACTGCAACCTCTGCCTCCTGGGTTCCAGTGATTCTCCTGCTTCAGCTTCCCTAGTAGCTGGGATTACAGGCACCCGCCGCCATGCCTGACTAATTCTTGTATTTTTAGTAGAGATGGGGTTTCACCATGTTGGCCAGGCTGGTCTCGAACTCCTGACCTCAGGTGATCCGCCCATCTCGGCTTCCCAAAGTGCTGGGATTACAGGCATGAGCCACCACACCCGGCCTCATTCCCTCTTCTTGTCCCTCAGGCTTTCCACCATCCCTCAGTCCCCCTCCCCCAGGCATCTGCCATTTCCCCCATCCTGCCTCCATTCCCCAGTTCTGGGTCTCCCTTCCCTCCTGTGGACTCCAAGCTGCCCTCCCGCCATCCCCGACCTGTCCCGGATCTCCTGGGCCAGCAGCTGCAGGCAGCGAGTGGTGCGGGCCCGCTGCATCTCCTCACTGTCACGCAGGGTCTTCTCCAGCCCCTGAAGGCCTTGGGTCAGGGCCCCATACAGCTCCTGCCGGCCCTGCTCCATGCCCCACTTGTGCTCCTCCTTCTCTCCCTGGCGGCCTGTGGGGCTCAGCACCTCTGCAGAGAGTGTGGGACCTTGACTGAGCCCTGATCCCACCCTGAACCCAGCTTGTCCTAATCTTGACCCAGAACCCAGACTCTCCCAATTTCCCTCACCCTGGCCTGGCCCAGCTGATCCCAACAGGACCAGCTTCCAGCCTGACTTTTTTTCTTTTGAGATGAAGTCTTGCTTTGTTGCCCAGGCTGGAGTGCAGTGGCGTGATCTCGGCTCACTGCAACCTCTGCCTCCCAGAAAGCAATTCTCCTTTCTCAGCCTCCTGAGTGGCTGGGACTACAGGTGCATACCACCACGCCTGGCTAATTTTTGTATTGTTAGTAGAGATGGGGTTTCACCATATTGGCCAGGCTGGTCTCGAACTCCTGACCTCAGGTGATCCACCTGCCTCAGCCTCCCAAAGTGCTGGGATTACAGCCATGAGTGACAGCACCTGGCTTTTTTTTTTTTTTTTTTTAAGTAGATATGGGGTTTCACCATGTTGTCCAGGCTGGTCTCAAACTCCTGACCTCAAGTGATCCAACCTCTTTGGCCTCCCCAAATGCTGGGATTACAGGCGTGAGCCACCACGCCTGGCCTAGCCTGACCTTGATCTCTGGTCAGTCCTCACCTTCAAGCTGCTGAATCTTGATTTGCTGCAAGCAGCTCTCCTTCTCCAACATGGTCACTGAGTGGTTCAGGAACTCGAAAGCCTGGGGGAAAGAGGTCAGCCTTGGGGTGGGAGGAAGGAGGGGAGGGCAAGGAGAAACAGAGGTTGCTGGGGGCAGGGCCAAGGTGGTTCACCTTGGTCTGGGCCTGTAACTGGCTCTTGAGTGACTCAAGTTCACATCGCAGGAGCTTCTGGGAGTCGGGAATCATCACAATGGTCTTGGCTGTGGGCAGAGAAGAGGGTGAGCCAGGGCTGTAAGGGGTGGGGTCTGGGGCAAGGGCAGGGCAGAGGTCAGCAAAGGCTCAGAGTAGCAGTAGGGACAGGGGATAAGATATAGAACAGGGGCCCACTCAGCCTTGGGCAGGAGTGAATGGGTGACCATGGCAGGGGGACAGCTGATGCTGGGGCAGAGGGTAGAGGTAGAAACCAGCAGGTCTTCCCCACACAGTTTTGTTGGAAAGGAGATTTCTCACCTTTGACTTTGGAAGAGCTGGTCTCCAAGGGCTTCTAAGGAAGAGAGATGAGATGGGAGTAGAAATTTGTCCCTGAGCTGCCTCCTTGCTCACCTCAACCCAGTTTTGAGGGCTGGACAAGAGTTGGATCTCCTCAGTTCTAGGTGTCCCAAACCGTAAGTGCAGGCAAAGCTGCACTCCAGGCATATTCATGCACCTCCCCCTTGGGCTACATATGCTCAGAAGTGCACTTATGTGGCTGAGAGACGATCACAGCCAAATCCCCATGGAAGACACACAACCACACTCTTTCCTTCCATTCATTCCTTCATCCATTCATTTAAGACTTGCTTAGCCAGGGCCTGCTGAGTGCCAGGTGCTGTTCTAGGTGCTGAAGAAACACAGTGGGTGCATTCATGGGAGTCTCTCTGCCTTACAGCCCCTTCCCTAAGCCCCACAGCAGTAGATTGCAGTGGTTTTCTGCATTGAAGGGGTTTCCCGGGTGGGGGTGACCTTAGCTACGTTGTGATGCCTCTTCAAAATGTCCTGGTCATTACAGCACTGCTTCTGCAGGTCTGGACTGGGGGAGGGGGCAGCCTCATGTGGCGAAGGCCCTGAGCCCCACCCTGGCCTGCAGTCTGCAGTCCTCACTGTGTCCCCAGAAGCAGGGCATCCCAAGGTCTCTGGCTCTGGAGTCCTGGACCAGTGAGCTGTACGCTCCAGAGCCTTGTCCGAGGAAGAGCCTAGGGGTGAGGGCTTCCTTGAGGGACAGTGCAGGGCACTCCTCACATTCCCAGCCCCTCCCAGTGTCCCCAGCCCTATGGGAGCCCCCTAACTAACCCCAGTACTTGTCACACTTCATGTTAGCAGGCAAACACATGCTGGAGGGTGAGGGAGGTGAGTAGAGGCAGGACACAGAGTAGTCAGGGTCCCGGGGTAGGCCGGCCAAAAGAGGGTCGCTGTGAGTAGGGAAGCAGGGGCTGCTTTGAGATAAGTCCCCATGTCCCCAGTGCCCCCAGACCCTCCCTGACATGCCAGAGAGGCCTCAGCCCTAAACTCAAGGCTTCTCAGTTATGGTAGGAGCCAAAGCTGGATAAAAGATGATCCCAAGGCCAGACGCGGCCAGCAATGGTGGCTCACGCCTGTAATCCTAGCACTTTGGGAGGCCAAGGCGGGAGGATCACTTGAGGTCAGGAGTTCGAGACCAGCGTGGCCAATATGGTGAAACCCCGTCTCTACTAAAAATACAAAAACTAGCTGGGCATGGTGGTGGGCGCCTGTAATCCCAGCTACTCGGGAGGCTGAGGCAGGAGAATCACTTGAACCCGGGAGGCGGAGGTGGCAGTGAGCCGAGATTGCACCACTGCACTCCAGCCTCAGCAACAGAGTGAGACTCAGTCTCCAAAAATAAAAAACAACAACAAAAAAGATTATCCCAGCCCCAAGGTTTGGGCTGGGCAGTGAGAAGGACCCAGAAGGCCCCAAAGAAAAAAAATCAGGCCTCAGAAGAGTCCAAAGAAAAAAGGGACCTTGACATTGGCTTAAAGGAAGGCCTTTCCTGGCAGGGAGCAGCATGTGCAAAAGCTTGGAGGTGTGGAATCACATGCTCTATGCTGGTAAATTCATGATGGCTGAATCGAGGTCCGAGAGGAAGCAGCAGGAGGTTAGCAGAGCAGCTCCAGTAAGGCATTGACGGCCAAGCCAGGAGTTTCGACCTGGCCCCACAGGTGAATGCCAGCCATAGAGTGTGAGCAGGAGAGGCAGGGCATATCTGTTCAATAAATGTTAGCTGAATTGGGGCCCAGACCCGTGCTAGAAGAGGCTGGAAACAGGAAACAGCTGAGCTCTGGGTCTCACATTCAACTCCCCTCCCCCTCCAGTATAGCCACATATGGCACAGATGGAGATATCTGGGGCAGGTCTGCCTGGAGAAACTTCTAGGTGAAAGGCACCTTGCCCTGAGTCACACTCAGCCTCTTCCCCCAAATCCTCTAGACCTTTCTCTCTGTCACCCTTGCCAGGCCCTCTGCCTGATTCAGTCGACCTGGAAGACTCCTACACGCTCTTCAGAACTACTCAGGCTGGGCACGGTGGCTAACACCTGTAATCCTAGCACTTTGGGAGGCCAAGGCAGGTGGATCACCTGAGGTCAGGAGTTCGAGACCAGCCTGGCCAACATGGAGAAACCCCATCTCTACTAAAAATACAAAATTAGCCAGGCGTGGTGGCGCATGCCTGTAATCTCAGCTACTTGGAAGGGTGAGGCAGGAGAGTCGCTTGAACCTCAGAGGCGGAGGTTGCAGTGAGCCGATATCATGCCACTGTGCTCCAGCCCGGGCAACGAGAGCGAAACTCCGTCTCAAACACAAACAGACAAACAAAAACTATTCAGCATATCTTCAGTAAAATCTTCCTTAATCCTTTTTTAGGCTCCTATTTTCTGAGCACCTAATTGAGTGCCGGGCATCCCCTAAGCATTCACTGGATCTTCACACCCACCCTGTGATGTACACGTTTTTCTTCTGCCTGAAATGTCCTAAGCTGCCCCTCCGAGAGTCACTGCCTCAGGGAGGTCCTCACTTCCAGGGACAGCAGAGTATGACGGTTAAGCAGGGAAACTCTCCAGCTAGATGGCCTGGGTTCAAATCCTAGCTCTGTCCCTTCCAGCTGTGTAATACTGGTCGCGTTACTGAACCTCTCCATGCCTCAGTGTCCCCAACTATAAAAACGAGATGTCATAATAGTCACCTTACTGGGATGTTGTGATTAGATAAATTAATCCATGCCAGTGCCTGGTATAGAGTAATGGGGAGCTGTGTTTGCTCTGGAATGTCACGCTGAGAACCCGGGACTTAGGGACCATAGGAAGCCTGGGAGGCTTGGAGGGGAAAAGGAGAGGCATTTGAGAACCAGCTTAGGTCCCCAGTAGTGCCTCCTCTCTCCCCGTCCCATCCCGGTTGCTGCTTCCGTGTCCCTCCCGGGAGAATTATTTAGGGAGGGGGCGGGGTCATCATCCTGGCTCCGCCCCCTGGGTTGTGAAATCTACACCCGCCAGGCTCCAGAACCCCACCTACCACATACCACCTGTTCATGCTCTCCCATCAGGGACCACGAAGCCAGTCCTCAGCTGTGACGCTGAAGTTTGATCCCGCGGGGACACCATCGTATTAAAACGCTCAGAGACTGAGTCACAGAGAGGGGTGTGGCCGGCATTTTAGTTCCGCCCCTGCCGGAGTAGCCGAAGGCCTCATTGGCGCCTTCACGCTTCAGCTGCGCTTAGTAGCCGCGGCGTAATTGGATAAAAGCCCGTGGAGGGGGCGGGATCCCAGGGGGGTTTCTACGATTAGTCAATACCCAGGAGGGCGGGATAGAAAGGTGCAGATCTACGACCCGATTGGCTTCGGGCTCAGCTGGGAGGCGGGACGAATTATTGGTTGGGGGAAACCCACGAGGGGACGCGGCCGAGGAGGGTCGCTGTCCACCCGGGGGCGTGGGAGTGAGGTACCAGATTCAGCCCATTTGGCCCCGACGCCTCTGTTCTCGGAATCCGGGTGCTGCGGATTGAGGTCCCGGTTCCTAACGGTGGGATCGGTGTCCTCGGGATGAGATTTGGCGTTTCCTCGGGGCTTTGGTGGGATCGGTGTCCTCAGGATGAGATTTAGGGTTTCCTCGGGGCTTTCGGGATCTTCACCTAATATCCGGTATTATTTTATGAGAGGAGTGGTCTTGGCTGTCAGAACTGGATCCCTGGGGTGATATTTGGGAATTAGTGGAGTGATCTCTGAAGACCTAGGGCTATGATCTGGAGCTGCTGTGGCTGAAATTTGGGGCCTCTGAAGTGGCATGGAGATTGAGGTCCAGAGAGCCTGAGATCTTGAGGGCTGACATTTGGAGAGATGGGGTCGAGGGTTGTCTTTGGGCCTTGACTGCTTTGGGCCTTTCTCACTCTCATTCCCGGGATGCTTTGCCAGAATCTCTGCTGGATTGGCCGTAACCCTGTCCCCGAGCGGGCTCACAGGGTCTGAAGGCCACGCATGAGGCAAAGGTAAAGTTCTGAGCCACCCGGTGCCTCCTTCCCAGGACTGCAAGATGGAGGAAGGCGGGAACCTAGGAGGCCTGATTAAGATGGTCCATCTACTGGTCTTGTCAGGTGCCTGGGGCATGCAAATGTGGGTGACCTTCGTCTCAGGTAGGGACCCTCAGCTTGGATGTCATGGGTACCTGGGGTGGGGATGGAAATAAGAGGGGAACCGGGAAGTGCCCTAACACCCCTGTGGTCCCCATACCCTGCAGGCTTCCTGCTTTTCCGAAGCCTTCCCCGACATACCTTCGGACTAGTGCAGAGCAAACTCTTCCCCTTCTACTTCCACATCTCCATGGGCTGTGCCTTCATCAACCTCTGCATCTTGGCTTCACAGCATGCTTGGGCTCAGCTCACATTCTGGGAGGCCAGCCAGGTACGTGGGTTTGAGTGCCACTGCCCTCTGGAGACTTGTTCCCAGGACCTCAGTCAGCGCCTATGGCTACACCTTTTCCAGGGGGGGAAAAAAAAAGGCTAGGCATGGTGGCTCACGCCTGTAATCCCAACACTTTGGGAGGCCGAGGTGGGCGGATCACGAGGTCAGGAGTTCAAGACCAGCCTGACCAACATGGTGAAACCCCGTCTCTACTAAAAATACAAAAAAATTAGCCAGGCGTGGTGGTGTGCACCTGTAATTCCAGCTACTCAGGAGGCTGAGGCAGGAGAATTGCTTGAACCGAGGAGGCAGAGGTTGCAGTGAGCCGAGATCATGCCATTGCACTCCAGCCAGGGCGACAAAGCAAGACTCCATCTCAAAAAAAAAAAAAAAAAGGAAAGGAAAGGAGAGGAGAGGAAAGGAGAGGGGAGGGAAGAGGAAGGGAGGGGAGGGGAGCCCCTTCTTCCTGGTAGATACAAAGCTGGGCTCTGGATACCCTTGAGCAGTGCACAGCCTGTACAACAGTCCCCAGCAGCCCTGTCTATCCCCCAGCATCTCCCTGCTAGCTGCTGTTCCCTCTCCTCCCGCTGGCTGGGCCTGCTGCCAAGCTGTGGTGACTCAGCTGAGCTGGCACATTGACCCCAGCTTATTGTTTAAAAACCAGCCCGACTGGGAATTTATGGTTTCCTATCCCCTTCCACACATTTTTCTGGCCACAAGGCAAGAAACTATCTCTGCATCTCAGATTTCTCTATTTACTCTGGCCTTCCCTTGCCTGCATTATGTTTCATAGACGTGGGTAAGTGAGACCTGACAGGTGTTTCAAGAATAATCTCACAGACAGGAGGGGATTATGGGTAACTAGAACTTCACAGACTGTTTTTTTTTCCTTTTATTTATTTATTTTAATGAAACAGGCTCAGAAGGTATTCAAATACTTAAAACAGATAGAGATGGTGTTATAGCAATGTGAGAATGGCAAAAACATTTTTCCTAATTAAAAAAAATAGGCTGGGCGCAGTGGCTCATGCCTGTAATCCCAGCACTTTGGGAGGCTGAGGTGGGTGGATCACGAGGTCAGGAGCGCGAGACCATCCTGGCTAACATGGTGAAACCCCGTCTCTACTAAAAATACAAAAATTAGCTGGGTGTGGTGGTGTGCGCCTGTAATCCCAGCTATTTGGGAGGCTGAGGCAGGAGAATTGCTTGAACCCAGGAGGCGGAGATTGCAGTGGGCCAAGGTCACGCCATTGCACTCCAGCCTGGGCAACAAGAGTGAAACTCAGTCTCAAAAAAAAAAAAAAAAAAAAAGATGAGGGTCTTTGCTGTGTTGTTCAGGCTGGTCTTGAACTCCTGGCTTCAAGTGATGCTCCCACCCCCATCTCTGAAAGCACCGGGATTACAGATTACAGGCATGAGCCACCATGCCTGCCTTCAAAGACTTTTTGTTTTGTTTTGTTTGTTTTTGAGACAGGGTCTTGCTCTGTCGCCCAGGCTGCAGTGCAGTGGTGCAATCTTGGCTCACTGCAACCTCTCCTTCCCGGGTTCAAGCAATCCTCATGCCTCAGCCTCCTGAGTAGCTGGGATTACAGGGGGACAGCCCCCACACCTGGCTAATTTTTGTATTTTTAGTAGAGACGGGGTTTTGCCCATGTTGCCCAGGCTGTCCTTGAACTCCTGGCCTCAAGTGATCCACTCACCTCAGCCTCCCAAAGTGCTGGGACTATAGGCATGAGCCACTGCGCCCAGCCACTCAAAGACTTTTTATTCACCCTCTGTGGGTCCAATGTCAGCTTCAGGCGTCTGGGCTGTGGCCACTGAGGAAAGAGATCCTGCTCTGGGGACTTCCAGTCTGAGTATCAGAGGAGAAGAGGCTCGGGAGGTTTTGCGGGGGGATAGAGGAGGTGGGGATGGAGCCTTTCCTTCAGAGCTGCCAGTTTCAGAGTAGAAGAGCTGGAGTTCTGCTTTGGGTCCCTCAGTCTGGGTTCAAGGAAAGAGGGGGAGGCAGGTTTTTTGATCCAGTGCTGTCCCCACCCCCACCCCTGTGCTGTTGAGGATGCAGAAAGACCCTCCCTAGGGCCCCTCTGGCCTCCCAGGCATGGCTCACCTTCTCCTCTGCTCTCCCTGCCAGCTTTACCTGCTGTTCCTGAGCCTTACGCTGGCCACTGTCAACGCCCGCTGGCTGGAACCCCGCACCACAGCTGCCATGTGGGCCCTGCAAACCGTGGAGAAGGAGCGAGGCCTGGGTGGGGAGGTACCAGGCAGCCACCAGGGTCCCGATCCCTACCGCCAGCTGCGAGAGAAGGACCCCAAGTACAGTGCTCTCCGCCAGAATTTCTTCCGCTACCATGGGCTGTCCTCTCTTTGCAATCTGGGCTGCGTCCTGAGCAATGGGCTCTGTCTCGCTGGCCTTGCCCTGGAAATAAGGAGCCTCTAGCATGGGCCCTGCATGCTAATAAATGCTTCTTCAGAAATGGCTGCTGTCTTTTTTTTTTCCCCCATGAGAAGCAGGGGGAGGGGCAGGCAAGGGTAGAGCCAAGAGCCTCAGTTTCCCCATTCATGAAGCATGATGGTTTGGAGTGTCAGCCATTTTATCCTGTAAGCCTCTCCTATAATGATGCCCATTTATTGAGCACCTGCTGTATACCAGACATGTTGTTAACCACTGACATATCATGTATTATTTGTTTTGTTTTGTTTTGTTTTGTTCTGTTTTGAGACGGAGTTTCACTCTTGTTGTCCAGGCTGGAGTGCAGTGGTGCGATCTCAGCTCCCTACAACCTCTGCCTCTGGGTTCAAGCGATTCTCCTGCCTCAGCCTCCTGAGTAGATGGGATTACAGGCATCCGCCACCATGCCTGGCTAATTTTTTGTATTTTTACTAGAGACAGGGTTTCTCCATGTTGGTCAGGCTGGTCTTGAACTCCCGACCTCAGGTGATCCACCCGCCTTGGCCTCTCAAAGTGCTAGGATTACAGGCATGAGCCACCATGCCTGGCTGTTTTGTCTTTTTTTTTTTTTTTTTTTTTGAGACAGAGTCTTGCTCTGTTGCCCAGGCTGGAGTGCAATGGCATGACCTTGGCTCACTGCAATCTCCGCCTCCCGGGTTCAAGCGATTATTCTGCCTCAGCTTCCTGAGTAGCTGGGATTACAGACACCTGCCACCACGCCCATCTAATTTTTGTTATTTTTAGTAGAGACGGAGTTTCACTGTGCTGGCCAGGCTGGCCTTGAATTCCCGACCTGAGGCCATCTGCTCGCTTCGGCCTCCCAAAGTGCTGGGATTACAGGCGTGAGCCACCACGCCCAGCCTGTTTTGTCTTGTTTTTGACAGGGTCTTGCTCTGTCACCCAAGCTGGAGTGAAGTGGCGTGATGATAGCTCATTGCAGCCTCCAACTCCTGGACTCAAGCAATCCTCCCACCTCAGCCTCCAAAGTAGCTCGGACTACGGGCGCCAGCCACCAGGCCCAGATGGTTCTGATCCTAGAGGACAATCATATTTCCCACCCTACTGACATTGGGGGTGGCCATGTGACTTGCTTTGGCCAATGAAATGTGAGCAGAGGTGGCATGTGTCCCTTCCAAGGAGAAGTATTACAAAACAGTACATAATTTGCTGCATTTTCACTTCACAAAACAACCATCATGGGAACCAAACCTTAGCTGTTGGGGCCGTGAAGTCTTTGGGAGTGCTTGTTACTAAGCATAACCCAGCCCTTCCTAACTAATGCACTTCATCCTCATTCATCCACGTGGCAGCTCTTGAGGCAGCTACTTTTGTTCCCACGAGGCAGTGGGGGCTCAGAGAAGTTCAGCAAATTGAGTAAGGTGGAATTGCTGGGATTCCAACACCAGCAAAACCTGGGTATTTCACAAAGGGATCCAACCCACTTTAACTTTCTTTATTTAGAGATAAAGTCTTGCCCTGTCACCTAGGCTGGAGTGCAGTGGCACAGTCATAACCTACTGAAGCCTCTCTCTCTCCCAGGCTCAAGCAATCCCCCTGCCTCAGCCTCCGGAGTAGCTAAGACTACATGTATGTGCCCCCATGGTCAGCTAATTTTTTTTTCTTTTTTCTTTTTTTCTTTTTCTTTTTTTTTTTTTTTTTTTTTTTGTGGCCAGCTAATTTTCAAAAAAATTTTTTGTAGAGTTGGGATCTCTATGTTGCCTAGGCTGGCCTTGAACTCCTGAGCTCAAGGAATCCTCCTGCCTCAGCCTCCCAAAGGGCTGGGATTACAGGCATCAGACACTGTGCCCAGCCTCATTTATTTTTTAATTTTTTTTTTTTTTTTTTTGAGACAGAGTCTCACTCCATCGTCTAGGCTGGAGTGCAGTGGCGCGATCTCGGCTCACTGCAACCTCCACCTCCTGGGTTCAAGCGATTCTCCTGCCTCAGCCTCCCAAGTAGTTGGGATTACAGGTGTGCACCACCATGCTCGGCTAATTTTTGTATATTTATTTATTTATTTGAGACAGAGTTTCGCTCTTTTTGCCCAGGCTGGAGTGCAGTGGCGTGATCTCGGCTCACTGCAACCTCCGCCTTCCGGGTTCAAGCAATTCTCCTGCCTCAGCTTCCAGAGTAACTGGGATTACAGGCATGCGTCACCACGCCTGGCTAATTTTGTATTTTTTAGTAGAGACAGGGTTTCTTCACGTTGGCCAGGCTAGTCTCGAACTCCCGACCTCAGGTGATCTGCCCACCTCGGCCTCCCAAAGTGCTGAGATTACAGGTGTGAGCCACCGTGCCCAGCCCCTAATATTTGTATTTTTTTTTTTTTTTTTTTAGTAGAGATGAGGTTTCACCATGTTGGCCAGGCTGGTCTTAAATTCCTGACCTCAAGTGATCCGCCTGCCTTGGCCTCCCAAAGTACTGGGATTACAGGCATAAGCCACCGCGCCCAGCTCTCGTTTATTTTTATTTATTTGAAACAGGGTCTTGCTCTGTTGCCCAGGCTGGAGTGCTGTGGTGCAATCAAGGCTCACTGCAGCCTCGATGTCTCCAGCAATCCTCCTGCCTCAGCCTCCCAAGTAGCTGGGGTTACAGACGCACGCCACCACACCTGGCTAATTTTTGTTATTTTTAGTAGAGATGAGGTCTCCTTACGATGCCCAAGCTGGTCTCAAACTCCTGGCCTCAAGTGATTCTCCTGCCTCGGCCTCCCAAACTGCTGTAATTACAGGCCACCGCGCCTGGCCTAGCCTACTTTAAGGCCGGCACTGCACTTGACAAACACTAACTCAGATCAGAATCCTCCCACAACTCTGTGAGGTTGGGTACTCTCGCTATGAGCTACTTGACGGATGGGGAAACTGAGGCTCAAAGAGGTTAAGTAACGCGTCCAAAGCCACAAGACTAGAAAGTGGTGGAGCTGGGACTCGAACCAGGCCCAAGACTCTATGCTTTTAACAGCCGTGCGTATAGTAGAAGCTCTTTACAAGCAGCTGGGAAAATGAGATGTTGCTTGGCTAGGACGGGCTCTAGACGCTTGGTGCAGCTTCCAGCCCCTCCCACCCGCTCTCTGAAAGCCCCGCCCAAGACTCGGCCCCTCTTCGTCCTCCCCCATCCCCCGCTCCGGGAACGGCCCTTCCTCCGCCTTCTGGGCGGAGCCCGCGCGGGATCCGGGTGGCTGCAGGCTGCTGGCTTCTGCGGCTGCGGGGTCGGGGTCGCGGCCAGGGCCAAGCCGCAGCGAGTTCACAGGCGGAACCCCTGCAGGCGGCGCCCCCTACGCGAGGTCACCCCTGGGAAGGAGCGCAGCCCACCCGGCCCCTCCGCATCCGAGCAGGTCTGTGGGGTACGGGGGTTTGGGAGGAAGGTAGGGGGTCTGGGGAACAAAGGCGGGGCTGCGGGGAACGCCTCTGCCCTCGCCCCCACCCAGCTGGGCACTTGGGAAGCGCTGATGGGGCGCGGGCGGGGCAGAGAGCCCAGCTGGGGACAGGCGTTGGGACCATATGGTGATGGGGGAAACTCCTGAGTCCACCTGCATTGGCTGGGGCGCCCCAAATCTAGTGAAGGGGAACAGAGGCGAGCCCTCCGGGGCCAGGCTTGAGGGAGGGTCGGCAGATGGTTAGAAAGAGGCGGGACCGACTGACACAGGTGAGCTAAGGCTGGGGGAGGTGGGGGCCCCAGCCTTGCGGCCCTGCCCTGCGTGGGGAAAGGTTTCCTGCCTCTTCTCTTCCCCTCCTTAAACTCGTTCTCCTGGAACACGGGGTGGGGCCGGTTGGGTCCTGGTTTAAAATGGAAAAAAGCCCCAAAGGCAGTTGAGAAATAGCTGTGCCAGGGCTGTCTCTGCCTCTGCCCCGCCTGCATCCAGGCCTTCTGCAGCCTCTCCGTGCGGTTCCCGCAGCGGCCATAGACAGCTGGGGAAACTGAGGCCTGGGAGAGGTTATGAGGGTTGAGGGAGCACCTTGGACTCGGATGAAGCAGCATGTTGGAGTGTGGGCAGATTCAAGGAGCCTAGCCGTGGGACAGATTGCCTGGAAAGACCAAGGGTGGGCGGCAGTGGTCGTGGTGGTGGGGTTGTGTTAATTAAGTGGCTGGGATCGTTTCCTTGGGTATAAGGACTCTCACTCCTGCCTCCGTGGACTGGGGCTGGAGTGAGTCAGCCTTGGGCAGAAGGAGACAGGCCTGGCCCCTTTGACAAATAGAAAATAGCAGTACCCATTTAGGGGGTAGAACTGGACTCTAAACCTGGGCCCTGTACATAGAAAACCCCTTCCCCTTGGAACTCAGAGAAGGGGTTGTATTTGGCATGAGTTGGTGGGCGGCAGGCGCCCCAGTGGCTGACACCTGCCAAAGTCAACACCCAAGCCTTAATCAGGGGCTCTATCCAGCTTATCCAGCTGGCAGGTCCTCCCCCCACCCCACCCCAGCTTACACCTGGGCCACACCGGCTGCACACGCTGGGGCGAAGTCCACACCTGTGCCTTCTCCAGAATCTAGTTCTGCAGGGGCCAGAGCCCCTTACCCTCGGCCTTGCACTTGAACCCTTTGCTAGGCCTCTGGGTTTCCAGATAGGAAAGGTCTCCCCACCCTCCACCCCAATACAGACTCAGTTACGCCACAGGGTGTGAAGATTAAACAGCAGTCACATTTTTTGTGCCCCAGCTCTATACCAGGCACTGTCTAATGACCGTTACGTGTGTTAATACCTTCCCACTGGAAGGAACGTGACCACCCGAGGATGGACTTTTTCTTGTCCTATTCACAGCTGCATTTCCACAGAGAACAGGGCCCGGCAGAGAGTAAGCATTTGTTGAATGAATAAAGAAACACATTTTAGGTCGGGCGTGGTGGCTCATGCCTGTAATCCTAGCACATTGGAAGGCTGAGGCAGGAGGATTGCTTGAGCAGAGGAGTTTGAAACCAGCATGGGCAACATAATGAGACCCCATCTCTACAAAAAAATTTTTTTTAAATTAGCCTGATGTGGTGGCATGTCTGTAGTCCCAGCTACTTGGGAGGCTGAGGCAGGAGGATCACTCGAGCCCAGGAGGTCAAGACTGCAGTGAGCTATGATCACGCCACTGCGCTCCAGCCTCAGGCAACAGAGCGAGATCTTGTCTCTAAAAAAAAAAAAAAAGAAAGAAAGAAACTCATTTTAGGCTCACAACCAACTACTCTTTCAGGAAGGGACTGTGACAAACATCCCATTTTTTAGAAGAGGACACTGAGGTCTAGAGGGGGCAAGCGATGCATCCAGCATCACTTGGTCTCCGAGTGACCGAGCTGAGATTTGAATCCAGGCCTGGTGCATTCACAGGAGCTGTTCTTGATGTTTGATTCCCCTGCAGGACGCCCGTCTCCTCTCCCTGAGGATTTCAGGTCTCCCTGTCCCAGGAGGCTTGTGCCAAGATGGCATCAGCTGGAGACACCCAGGCAGGCCCACGGGATGCAGCAGATCAGAACTTCGACTATATGTTCAAACTGCTACTGATAGGCAACAGCAGTGTGGGCAAGACTTCCTTCCTGTTCCGATACGCGGACGACTCCTTCACTCCCGCCTTCGTCAGTACTGTGGGCATCGATTTCAAGGTCAAGACCGTCTACCGCCATGACAAGAGGATCAAGCTGCAGATCTGGGTAGGCTGGGAGGCTGGCTGTGGGTTGGGGGTGGGGTCCCTCCAGGAAAGTTCATTGGAGGGTTCTTTTTTTTTTTTTGAGACGGAGTCTCACTCTGTTGCCCAGGCTGGAGGGCAGTGGCGGGATCTCGGCTCACTGCAACCTCCATCTCCTGGGTTCAAGCGATTCTCCTGCCTCGACCTTTTTTTTTTTTTTTTCTCTCGAGACAGAGTCTTGCTCTGTCGCCCAGGCTGGAGCACAATGGCACAATGTTGGCTCACTGCAACCTCCGTCTCCTGGGTTCAAGCAATTCTTCTGCCTCAGTCTCCCGAGTAGCTGGGATTACAGGTGCACGCCACCACACCCGGCTAATTTTTTATACTTTTAATAGAGATGGGGTTTCACCATGTTGGCCAGGCTGGTCTCGAACTCCTGACCTCGTGATCCGCCCACCTCGGCCTCCCAAAGCGCTGGGATTACAGGCATGAGCCACTGTAATACTGTGCCTGGCGGGAAACAGTATTATTCCTGGGGGTCTGATTGCGGAGATGATACTAACCTAAGACATGTTTGAAGTACTTGTGACACTAGCGTGGTGGCTTATGCCTGTAATCCCAACACTTTGGGAGGCTGAGGTGGAGCATCACTTGAGCCCAGCGGTTCCAGACCAGCCTGGACAACATAGCGAGATCTCATCTCTAAAAAAAACTTTAAACATTAGCCCAGCATGGTAGCTCCCGCCTGTAGTCTCAGCTATTCAGGAGGCTGAGGCAAGAGGATTGCTTGAGCCCAGGAGTTCGAGGCTGCAGTGAGCTATGATTGCACCGCTGCATTCCATCATGGGTGACAGGGCAAGACCCCATCTATTAAAAAAAGAAAGAAAGAAAAAAGAAAGGTCCCAGGTGCTGGTGACCAACAGGGAAGAGTTTTGGGTACCATCTTAGAGGGGACCCTGGGACCCCCATTGGACCGACCTGGTCTGCAGAGTCACACCTAGCTCCCTCTCCCAACTTAGCCGCTGGTAACAATCATCGTGGTAGCAAGAGTACCAAGGTGTCCTGTCAGGATGGTACCATCTGGCCCAGTTGGTTCTTAGAGACAAGGTCAAAGGGGCTCATAAGTCTGTGAGAGGCCACTGACCCCTGAGACTTGGAACCCCTCAAGGGCAAGCCCAAGTCTCTCCCTCATCAGACTGGGGAGATCCCTTGGTAATGAATCCATGCCTCCCCCATCAGACTGGGGTTGTGAGGGCAGGATCTGTGTATTCTCCATCAGACCAGAGGTTGTACAAGCAAGTCTGTGTCTCCCCCGTAAGGCTGGGGCTATGAGTACAGGGCAGTGCCCCTCTAAGACAGGGGTGGACTGGGAAACAGGTAGTTCCCAGCCAACTGCCACTGCCATTTGTCCAGGACACAGCGGGCCAGGAGCGCTACCGCACCATCACCACGGCCTACTACCGGGGAGCCATGGGCTTCCTGCTCATGTATGACATCGCCAATCAGGAATCCTTTGCCGCTGTGCAGGACTGGTGAGTGCTTGCTGATCATGGACCCCTGATCTTTGCCCTCTCCTCTGACCCCTAACCCCCCCGGCTCATGGCTCACCACTGGTAACTCTGCAGGGCCACGCAAATCAAGACCTACTCCTGGGACAACGCCCAGGTCATCCTGGTGGGGAACAAGTGTGACCTGGAGGACGAACGTGTTGTGCCTGCTGAGGATGGCCGGAGGCTCGCCGACGACCTTGGTTAGTGCCCAGCCTGGGCCACAGGCCCTGGTCTCCCAGAACCAAACCCTCATCCCCATCCTCTGATTCAGGGTCCAACCCAGTCACTGATCCTTTGAGGATCTGCCCAGGAAGATACCCATGTGTATGCCACATGTCCCGTCTAATTGCAGGGGATCCACGCGCAGGAACTCCCACTGCCCCACTGCCTATCCCCTGGGAACCCAGCAAAACCATTTCTGGAAATTGATCCTAGAGATATCCTCACCCATGTGGGATATGGTGTGTGGAGTGTAGTAGTAGTATTAGTAGGAGTGAAACCTACAGATCCCCCCCAGGTGTCTCACAGTTGGAGAACCAAGTGGACATAAAGTATATTCACATGGTGGAATACTATGCAGCCATGGAAAAGGATGGGGATGTTCTTTATTTTTTTATTTTTTATTTTTTTGAGACGGAGTCTCGCTCTGTCGCCCAGGCTGAAGTGCAGTGGCGCGATCTCGGCTCACTGCAAGCTCCGCTTCCCAGGTTTATTTTATTTTTTTGAGTTGGAGTCTCACTCTGTCACCCAGACTGGAGTGCAGTGGTGCCGTATTGGCTCACTGCAGCCTCCACCTCCCAGGTTCAAGCAATTCTCCTGCTTCAGCCTCCCAAGTAGCTGGTACTACTGGCGCGTGCCACATGCCCAGCTAATTTTTTATATTTTTAGTAAAGATGGGGTTTCACCATGTTAGCCAGGATGGTCTCCATCTCCTGACCTCGTGATCTGCCCGCCTTGGCCTCCCAAAGTGCTGGGATTACAAGCGTGAGGCACCATGCCTGGCCTTTTTTTTTAATTTTGCGTGGAGATAGGGTCTCGCTATGTTTCCCAGGCTGGCCTCGAACTCCTGACCTTAAGTGATCCTCCCTCCTCAGCCTCCCAAAGTGCTAGGATTGCAGGCATGAGCCACCACACCAGCCCAAGGGGATGTTCTTTATGGTTTGTTTTTGTTTTTGTTTGAGATGGAGTCTCCCTCTGTTGCCCAGGCTAGAGTGCAGTGGTGCGATCTTGGCTCACTGCAACCTCTACCTCCTGCATTCAAGTGATTCTCCTTCCTCAGCCTCCTGAGTATCCAGGATTACAGGTGTGCGCAGCATGCCTGACTCATTTTTGTATTTTCAGTAGAGATGGGGTTTTGCCATGTTGGCCAGGCTGGTCTTGAACCCCTGACAGGTGATCCACCTGCCTCAGCCTCCCGAAGTGTTGGGATTACAGGCGTGAGCCACCGTGCCTGGCTGTTTTGTTCTAGCAAAATAGTGGATACGACTGCTTTCTTTAGTCCAGGAGTCAGCAAACCTTTTCTTAAAGGGCCAGATAGTAAATATTTTTGGCCATACAGTCTCTATGGCAACTACCCAACTCTGCATGACAGCAGCCACAGACAATGCATAAATGAATGGGTGTGACTGTTTGCCAATAAAACTTTATTTGTGGCCGGGCGTGGTGGCTCATGCCTGAAATCCCAGCACTTTGGGAGGCTGAGACAGGCAGATCACCTGAGGCCAGGAGTTCTAGACCAGCCTGGCCAACATGGCAAAACCCCGTCTCTACTAAAAATGCACAAAAATTAGCCGGGCATGGTGACAGACGCCTGTAATCCCAGCTACTTGGGAGGCTGAGGCAGAAGAATCACTTGAACCTGAGAGGTGGAGGCTGCAGTGAGCCGATATCACGCCACTGCACTCCAGCCTGGGCAATGGGGGGAGACTCTGTCTCAAAAGAAAAAAAAAAAAAGGAAAGAAAGAAACTGATGCTTGCAATCAGTTTTTAACCCCAGCTTTCCCATAAGCCCCATCCAAGCCAGCACCCTATGTGCAAAATTCAGAAGGCACAGGAAGAGACTAAGGCAATAACCCACTCCCCACCTGCAGTTCTGGTCTCCCAGCTTCTCTGATTCTTGTATCTCTTTCCAGAAATATGCTGAGCACCCACAGGCATTGACAACACATTGGCTACTTTTTTGTTTTACACAGATGTTCCCTACTGTATATACCCTTTCCTGCACTTTGAACTTTTCTACTAAATAATATATCCTAGAAATATTTCTCTGCCGGGCGCAGTGGCTCACGCTTGTAATCCCAGCACTTTGGGAGGCCGAAGAGGGCGGATCATGAGGTCAGGAGATCAAGAACATCCTGGCTAACACTGTGAAACTCCATCTCTACTAAAAATACAAAAAAATTAGCCAGGCGTGGTGGTGGGCGCCGGTAGTCCCAGCTTCTCGGGAGGCTGAGGCAAGAGAATGGTGTGAACCCGGGAGGCGGAACTTGCAGTGAGCCAAGATCACGCCACTACACTCCAGCCTGGGTAGAAGAGCAGGACTCTTTCTCAAAAAAAAAAAAAAAAAGAAATATTTCTCCATCAGCCCCAGAGCTGGCTCATTCTTTTGCATGGCTGTGTACTATTCCATTTCGTGTTTCCTTAACCTTTTCCTCTGTTGACAGCCATGGAGATTATTTCTAGCCTTTTCCTCTGACAAATGCAGCTGCAGCAGTCATTTTTACATATATTTCTTTGGACACATGAGGCAAGAAATCTGCCAGCTTGATTCACAGATGTTCTTAACACTTTTTTTTTTTGAGATGGAGTCACTGCACCTGGTTGGTTTTTATAGTCCCGGCCTACACTTTTTTAAAAAAATAACTTTGGCCAGGAATGGTGGCATGTGCTTGTAATCCCAGCTACTCTGGAGACTGAATTAGGAGGATTGCTTCAGGCCAAGAATTTGAGACCAGCTTGGGCAATATAGCGAGACCCTGTCTCAAAAAAGGAAGAAAATAATAACTTTTTGTGATAAAAATGTTCAAATACTCTCAGCACATTGGGAGGGCAAGGTGGGTAGATCGCTGAAGCCCAGGACTTTGAGACCAGCCTGGTCAACATGGTAAACCCTGTCTCTACAAAAAAATGCAAAAATTAGCTAAGCATGGTGGCTCACACCTATAGTCTCAGCTACTCAGGAGGCTGAGGTGGGAGGATCGCTTGAGCCTGGGAGGCAGAGGTTGCATTGAGCCAAGATTGCACCACTGTATGCCAGCCTGGGTGACAGAGTGAGACCTTGTCTCAAAAAACAATGAAATAAAATGAGAAATGTTCGGCCAGGCGTGGTGGCTCACGCCTGTAATCCCAGCACTTTGGGAGGCCGAGGCAGGCGGATCACCTGAGGTCAGGAGTTTGAGACCAACCTGACCAACATGGTGAAACCTCATCTCTACTAAAAATACAAAATTAGCCGGTCGTGGTGGCGCATGCCTGTAATTCCGGCTACTCAGGAGGCTGAGGGAGGAGAATCACTTGAACCCAGGAGGCGGAGGTTGTGTGAGCTGAGATCGCACCATTGCACTCCGGCCTGGGTAAGAAGAGTGAAACTCCATCTAAGAAAAGTTCAAATACATTCACAAGTAGAAAGGAATGTATAATAGACTTTGATAAAACATTATTCAGCTTAATTAGGTCTCAACATTTTTTCAATCTTGAATCATCTATTCCCCCAAAATACTTTTCCTTTTTTTCCTAGAGCATTGAGAGCAAACCCTTGACATCGAAACCTTTTGTCTGTAAACACTTCACTATGCAACTCCAGCTGTTTTGTTGTCGTCGTCGTTTTTTAAATAATAGAGACAGAGCCTCACTCTTTCACCCAGGCTGGAGTACAGTGGTGTGATCCCACCACTTTAGGAGGCTGAGGAGGGAGGATTGCTTGAGCCCAGGGGTTAGAGACCAGCCTGGGCAACATAGTGAGACCCCAACTCTACAAAATAAGTTTAAAGCTCCCTGTAGCCTCAGACACCTGGGCTCAAGTGATTCTGCTGCCTCAGCCTTTCAAGTAGCTGGGACTACTAGTATAAGCCAGCACACTGGCTAATTTTTTATTTTTATTTTTTGTAGAGATGAGGTCTCACTATATTGCCCAGGCTGGTCTTGAACTCCTGGGCTCAAGCAGTCGGCCTGCCTCAGCCTCCCAAAGTGCTGGGATTACAGGCATGAGCCACGGCACCTGGTTGGTTTTTACATTTTTAAGTGGTTGAAAAAAAATAATATGACATGGGAAATTTATATGAAATTCAAATTTGTATCTATAAATGAAGTTTTTCTGAGACACAGCTATACCCTTTTAAAAGAATTTTTTTTTTACACGGAGTCTTGCTCTTGTCGCCCAGGCTGGAGTGCAATGGCGTGATTTCGGCTCATTGCCACCTCCGCCTCCCCAGTTCAAGTGATTCTCTTGCCTCAGCCTCCTGAGTAGCTGGGATTACAGGCACCCACCACCACGGGGCCTGGCTAATTTTTGTATCTTTAGTAGAGATGGGGTTTCACTATGTTAGCCAGGCTGGTCTGGAATTCCTGACCTCAGGTGATCCACCCGCCTCAACCTCCCAACCATTTATTTTTTAAATTTTTTTTTTTTTTTTGAGGCAAGGTCTCTCTCTGGTGCTCAGGCTGGAGTGCAGTGGCACGATCATAACTCAAAGCAGCCTCCAACTCCTGGGCTCAAGTGATCCTCCCACCTCAGCCTCCCAAGTAGCTGGGATGCCAGGTGTACTCCACCACACCTGCCTAATTAAAAAAAAATTTTTTTGCCGGGCGCAGTGGCTCATGCCTGTAATCCCAGCACTTTGGGAGGCCGAGGCGGGTGGATCACAAGGTCAGAAGCTTGAGACCACCCTGGCCAACATGGTGAAACCCCGTCTCTACTAAAAATACAAAAAAATTAGCCGGGTGTGGTGGTACACACCTGTAATCCCAGCTACTCAGGAGGCTGAGGCAGGAGAATTGCTTGAACCTGGGAGGCAGAGGTTGCAGTGAGCCGAGATCGTGCCACTGCACTCCAGCCTGGGCAAGAGAGCGAGACTCCGTCTCAAAAAAGAAAAAAATTTTAAGAGATAGGTCTTGCCATGTTGTCTGGGCTGATCTTGAACTCCTGGGCTTAAGCAGTCCTCCCACCTTGGCCTCCCAAAGTGCTGGGATCACAGGAGTGAACTCACACCCGTGCTCAGTTGATGCCTATTTGTTGATGCATTGTCTATGGTTGCTATTTTTATGGTAATCACACGTCTGTGATTACAGGCTGTCTCAATACAGAAAAGGGTATAAACAGTGCTTCAAGCGTGAAATTGAGTAATTGAGACAGAGACCATATGACCCAGAAAGCCTAAAATATTTACGATCTGGCCTTTTACAGAGGAGGTTTGCTGACCTCTAAGCCATAACCAGTCCCTTTCCCCTTTTATTCTTGCCATTGCTTTGTTGGAGAAACTGGATCTCTGTTCTGTGGGGCAGGGCCCTGGATCCCCAGTTAGCCTGGAAGTGGTGAAATCAGTTAACGCCCGCGATGGGCTGGAATACTTGGAGGTGCTTTCCACACCTACTTGCGGATTATATCTGGGGTCTCGGGGTAAAGGGGGATTCTCACTTTCTGTTATTATGTTTAAAATATTGGAGTACAGGCCAGGTTCGGTGGCTCACGCCTGTAATCCTAGCACTTTGGGAGGCTGAAGTGGGCAGATCACTTGATGTCAGGAGTTCGAGACCAGCCTGGCCAACATGGTAAAACCCTGTCTCTACCAAAAATACAAAAATTAGCTGGGTGTGGTGGCACGTGCCTGTAATCCCAGCTACTTGGAAAGCTGAGGTATGAGAACCATTTGAACCCGGGAGGCGGAGGTTGCAATGAGCCAAGATCGCGCCATTGCGTTCCAGCCTGGGTGATGGAGTGAGCCTGTATCTCACACACACACAAAAAGAAGATTGGCATACAAAGCAGGACACAGAATTTGATCCCAATTTTTTTTTCTTTTCTTTTGTTTTATTTTTTTTTTTGAGATGGAGTTTCGCTCTTGTTGCCCAGGCTGGAGTGCAGTGGCACAATCTTGGCTCGCTGCAACCTCCGCCTCCCAGGTTCAAGCAATTCTCCTGCCTCAGCCTCCCGAACAGCTGGGATTACAGGCATGTGCCACCACGCCTGGCTACTTTTGTATTTTTAGTAGAGATGGGGTTTCACCATGTTGGTCAGGCTGGTATCAAACTCCTGACCTCAGGTGATCCGCTGCCTCGGCCTCCCAAACTGCTGGGATTACAGGTGTGAGCCACCACGCCTGGCCTGATTCCAATTTTGTAGGAAAAAAAGCCAGACACACATACATGTGCACACACACATCCCCTACAAACCTAACCCCAACAAATGACATATTTATATAGAAAAAGACTAAAGGCTGGGCATGGTGGCTCATGCCTGTAATCCTTGCACTTTGGGAGGTCAAGGCAGAGGATCACTTGAGTCTAGCAGTTAGAGACCAGCATGGGCAACATGGTGAAGCCCCACCCCTATAAAAAATACCAAAAATCGGCTGTGTGTGGTGGCACACCCCTATAGTCCCAGCTACTTGGGAGACTGAGGGGGGCCCAAGAGTCAAGGCCGTAGTGAGTTATGATTATACCACTGCACTCCAGCCTGGGCAACAGAGGGAGACTCTGTCTTAAAAAAAAAAAAAAAAAGATGAATAAAGACTAGAAAGCTAAATAGCAAAACGCCAACAGTAATTGTTTCCAAGTGATGAGATTACAAATTACTTTTATCTCTATCTCCATACATTTCTTTGTGTTTTTGTTTTGAGACAGGGTCTCACTCTGTTGCCCAGGCTGGAGTGCAATGGCATGACCTCAGCTCACTGCAGCCTCAACTTCCCTGGCTTAGGTCATCCTCCCACCTCAGCCTCCCAAGTAGGTGGGACTACGGGTGCATGCCACCACACCTGGCTAATATTTATTTATTTATTTATTTAGAGATGGAGTCTTGCTCTGTTGCCAGGCTGGAGTGCAGTGGCATAATCTCGGCTCACTGCAACCTACACCTCCCGGGTTCAAGCAATTCTTCTGCCTCAGCCTCCTGAGTAGCTGGGACTGCAGGCACGTGCCACCACACAAAGCTAAATTTTGTATTTTTAGTAGAGACGGGGTTTCACCGTATTGGCCCTGGTCTCGAACTCCTGACCTCGTGATCCGCCCACCTCCGTCTCCCAAAGTGCTGGAATTACAGGCGTGAGCCACCACGCCTGGCACCCCCCAACCTTCTTCTTTTTTTTTTTTTTTTTTTTGAGATAATATCTTGTTCTGTCACCCAGCCTGGAGTACAATGGCACAATCTCGGCTCACTGCAACCTCCGCCTCCCAGGTTCAAGTGATCCTCCTGCTTCAGCCTCCTAAGTAGCTGGGATCACAGGTGTGCACCACCATGGCCAGCTAATTTTTGCATTTTTAGTAGAGACGGGGTTTCATCATGTTGGCCAGGCTGGTCTCAAACTCCAGACCTCAAGTGATCCGCTCACCTTGGCCTCCCAAAATGCTGGTATTACAGGCGTGAACCACCATGCCTGGCCTTAATTTTTATATTTTCTTTAGAGACTGGGTCTTGCTATGTTGCCCAGGCTGGTCTCAAACTTGTGAGCTCAGGTACCCACCTGCCTCAGTCTCCCAAAGTACTGGGATTATAGGCTGTCTTAATACTTTTCTGTAGTTTCTAGTTTCTCCAGTAAATTTCTCTATTGAATGACATCCAAAAAATGTATTTTTTTTCCTTTTTAAAATTTTTATTTGTTTTAGAGACAGGGTCTCCCTATGTTACCCAGGCTGGTCTTGAACTCTTGGGTTCAAGTGATTCTCCTGCCTTGGCCTCCTGAGTAGTTGGGATTACAGGCGCATACCACCACGCCTGATTAATATCAGAAAAATAAGCTGGGCACGGTGGTTCATGCCTGTAATCCCAGCACTTTGGGAAGCTGAGGCAGGTGGATCATCTGAGGTCAAGAGTTCGATACCAGCCTGGCCAAAATAGCGAAACCCTGTCTCTACTGAAAATACAAAAATTAGCCTGGCATGGTGGTTCACACCTGCAGTCCCAGCTCCTTGGGAGGCTGAAGCAGGAGAATCGCTTGAACTCGGGAGACGGAGGTTGCAGTGGGCTGAGATCGTGCCGTTACACTCCAGCCTGGGCGACAAGAGCAAAACTCTGTCTCAACAAAAAGAAAAATAAAGAACACAGATGGTATGAGGCAAAGCCACGCGTGGATAAGGAAACACCAGATTTGCCCAGGAAGACAGTGGGATGGCTTTGATATCTCTGGGCTGACAGTAGGAGATCTAAGTTCATGTCCTGCCCCTGCTATTGTTCATTTACCCATTCATTCATTCAACCATTCAGCAGACAGTTTCTAAGCACCCTCTCTGTGTCGGGCACTGGGTACAGCCATGGGCGGAAATCCTGCCTGCCTGGAGCTGGCTTTCTAGTAGCGGAGACAGATAATAAATGGGTAATTACACAGCTAACTCATTATGATTCCATTTTCATAGTTCAGCATGACGCACAGAGAAGACAGGTCCACTTACCCTTGGCCACGTGTAACGTGGCAGGCGTTTGTCTGAATTCCTGGCTTACCTTGGTGATGTGGCAGGTGGGGCTGCATGGAGATTCAGGGACAGCTCCTCTCAGGCAGACCCTCAGGAACCTTAAAAGGATGCAGGAAGCCCAGCGTGGTGGCTCACGCTGGTAAACCCAGCACTTTGGGAGGCCTAGGCGGGGGGATCGCTTTAGGCCAGCAGTTCAAGACCAGCCTGCGCAACATAGCGAGACCCCCACCTCTACAAAAGAAAAAATTGAAAAATTAGCCGGGCATGGTGGGGCACACCTGTAGCCCCAGCTACTCAGGGGGCCAAGGCGGGAGGATCGCTTGAGCCCAGGAGGTTGAGGCTGCAATGAGCCATGTTCATACCACTACACCCCGGCCTGGGCAATAGAGAGAGACCGTTTCTCTTTTAAAAAAAGCAATGGAAAATGTGACTTGATGGGTCTCCTGACCATGCCTTTCTGTGCAGCAGAAATTGGGTGGAAGCTGAGCTATAGCCACCTGTGGGCACTGCCATGGCCGCAGGGCAGCAGAACTCTTCATGTACCCTCCCACCTATACTCTTGCAGCCACTGCCTTGTGACAAAGAGATCTTAGGATTGTCCAGACCATGGCTGCAGCCGCAGGGTTTCGTTTTGTTTTGTTTTTGAGACAGGGTCTTGCTCCATCACCCAGGCTGGTGTGCAGTGGTGTGATCATGGCTCACTGCTGCCTTGACCTCCTGGGCTCAAACCATTCTCCTGCCTTAACCTTCCGAGTAGCTGAGACTGCAGGTGAACGCCACCATGCCCCTCTATTTTTTTTTTTTTAATAGAATCTCGCTCTGTTGCCCAGGCTGGAGTACAGTGGTGTGATCTCAGCTCACTATAACCTCCGCCTCCCAGATTCAAGCAATTCTCCTGCCTCAGCCTCCCGAGTAGCTGGGATTACAGACGCGTGCCACCATGCCCAGCTAATTTTTTGTCTTTTTAGTAGAGATGGGGTTTCACCATGTTGGTCAGGCGGGTCTTGAACTCCTGACCTCAAATGATCCTCCCGCCTCGGCCTCCCAAAGTGCTGGGATTATAGGCATGAGCCTCCTCACCTGGCCGCCCATCTACTTTTTAAAAAAATTTATTGTAGAGATAGGGCCTTGCTATGTTGCCCAGGCTGGTCTTGAACTCCTGGCCTCAAGCGATCCTCCCGCCGTAGCTTCCTTTAGTGCCAGGATTACAGGCATAAGCCCCTGCGCCTGGCCTGCCACAGATTTTTATCATTGGTAGGATCATCATTCCCATTTTACAGGTGAGCAAACTGAGGCTTGGAGTGGCAAAGGCACACAACCAAGGTCCCACAGCAGGATAAAGAGCAGAACTAGGCTTAGAAGCCAGGTTTCTGTGATGCCACAGCTGAGACTCTGCCCTCAGGGGTCTTACGAGTGTCCCCACCTTAACATTCATCCAGGTTTCGAGTTCTTTGAAGCCAGTGCCAAGGAGAACATCAATGTGAAGCAGGTCTTCGAGCGCCTGGTGGATGTCATCTGCGAGAAGATGAACGAGTCCCTGGAACCCAGCTCCAGCTCAGGCAGCAACGGGAAAGGCCCGGCCGTGGGGGATGCTCCAGCCCCCCAGCCCAGCAGCTGCAGCTGCTAGAGATGGCCCCCAACCCCCCACCCACCCCTCTCCTGCCTCGGCAGGGACTGTGATCGAGGCGTGAGCCACAGTGGTTATCTCCAAGCTCAGGGCAATCCCTTCCCTCCTGTCAACTGCTCCCCGACTCCTGCATGGCTCATTCCTTCACAATGTCGCCGTGGCTGCCAGGTTCCTCAGGCAGCCCCGGTGGGAGGCTGCGGACCATGGGGACTCAGCTCTGCATGGCAGGCAGAGGCCCAGGGACACTGACGTGCATGAGCTTGCTGCTTTCCAGGGTGTGTTGAGGGTGGCCATGGGTGACACGTCCCACTCTTTCTGATGGAGGGGCATCCGTGGTGCCTTCTAGCTTAGAACCATTTTCCAGGTCTCTTCTGGGTTGGGCAGGACTGATATTCCCAAGCTGGTGGAAGATGGTTCATCTTCCTCGCACAGTGTGGGTTCTTGGAGTTCATCCAGGGAAGGCGGCGCCTCTTTCTCAGGTCCTGCAGGCTGGTCTCTGAGCCTGCCCCCACGAACTTTCTGGATTCCAAGGTGGGATGGTGATCCCTTTGACCCCTGCAGACCCTCTACTTGCGAAAAGCAGCATTGAAGCAGCCTTTTCCCATTGTAGAAGGGACAGGGAGTCAGATCCCCTCAACCCCCCGGCTTCAGGGACCCCAGAAGTGCCTTCCAAGCTTCCCCCAAGATCCACATCACCCACGACCCTGCCACTGTTTTTGCTGTGTTCACCACATCTCTGATCCTGAAGTGAATTCTGGAACTATGGACCACATTAGACTGGGCAGAGATTCGCCCAACCCCTAGCACTCCGGCTCTGGGCTTTCGGCCAGAAGTTAATTAACCTCAGAGCCAGGAGCCTGGGGCTGGGGCCTCCCTCCCAGGCCCTGTTTAGCTGTTTAGCTGGTTGTGTTTTAAGCAAGTTCTTGCCCAATCATGCATCCTGCTAGAAAAGGAAATGAAGCAACGTTCCCAGCCACCGCAGGCAGTTGTCGGCGACTTTCTGATGTAAGCACCTGGGCTCCGACTTGAGGGGGGCCCTTCAAGACCCAATGTCCATTTCCCAATCCTTGTCATCGGCAGGGCCCAGGGATGTGACAATTTTTGCTAATGGAGGAGTCACTTCTTTTTTTTTTTTTTTCTTTTTGAGATGGTCTGGCTCTGTCACCCAGGCTGGAGTGCAGTGGTGCAATCATAGCTCACCACAGCCTCAAACTAGGGGTCACTTCTAAGGGATGCTGGGGGTTGGGCGGAAGGGGTGAGGAGGTAGGATTGAGTAACTTGCTGTCACTGCTTGTACTTTGTAGACAGCCTGAGAGTGGCAGGACCTTATGTGAATGGGGGGGATGGACTGTGATCAGTGCCGGGGAGTCTCTGAAGCTGGGGTCCCCACCTCCAGGGGCTTCTGCTCAGAGGTTACGTGTGCAGTTTGAAGATGTACATCTTGACCTCCGGTTTAGAGGCACTTTCTGCCCATCAGATTCCAAACTCTAGGGGCGCAGCACCTTTTCTTTGCTCCCAAACACCAACCAACACCCCTTCACAGGACCAGCACTGTTAGGATGGCTAAGTGGATGTTTTATGTTCCCACGTCCCTGACTCTGTTTCAGAGGTTGTGTCTGCTCTCCCAGCCCCTGAAGCCAAAATGACTTCCTGCAGCTTTCATGAGCTCAGCCTCTTCCCTGGGGTATGTGTGAGGGGGAAAGCCTGGTTCAAGTTTAGATTTATTTCTAGGGAGCCCTGGTTTCTTCATACCAGAGGCTACCCTTAGAACTTTGGAGTGGGGTATCTTTTTTTCATTTGTTTTTTTGATACAGAGTCTCGCTCTATTGCCCAGGCTGGAGTGCGGTGGCACAATCTCAGCTTACTGCAACCTCCACCTCCAGGGTTCAAGCGATTCTCCTGCCTCAGCCTCCCGAGTAGCTGGCATTACAGGCACCTGCCACCACACCCGGCTAAATTTTGTATTTTTAGTAGAGAAGGGGTTTCACCATGTTGGTGAGGCTTGTCTCAAACTGACTTCAAGTGATCCACTTGCTTCGGCCTCCCAAAGTGCTGGGATTACAGGCGTGAGCCATCACGCCCAGCCGAGGGTATCTTTTATACCAACAAATTAGATGACTGAGGTGTAATGGACAAATCCTATGCACAAAGTGAGGGTATCTGAATATGTGGGCGGGAGTCAAAAATTTTTAGCTACTTTAACACTAAAGTCAAACTAAAGTAGCTTCAAAAAGACTTCTCAAGATGCAGTATGGCCTGCTGAGGTTTTTTTGTTTTTTTTTTTTTTAAGACAGAGAGTCGCTCGTCGCCCAGGCCGCAGTGCAGTAGCATGATCTCAGCTCACTGCAACCTCCACCTCCCGGGTTCAAGCGATTCTCCTGTCTCAGCCTCCTAAGTAGCTGGGACTACAGGCACCTGCCACCACGCCCATCTAAGTTTTGCATTTTTAGTAGCGACGGTTTCACCTTGTTGGCCAGGCTGGTTTTGTTGGCCAATTGTCTCTAAACTGCTGTCAAAAAAAGGAATGGATCAGATTGTCTTGAATAGGGCAGAGCTAACCTGTAATCACCTGTGTGATGAGAAACAGCTTTGACTGCATTTTACTCCTGACCTGGCCTAAGCTTTCTGTTTACATAAGATTTTTCAAGAATTCAACTTCAAGTAGCAGCCGAGAGAGCTGCCTCAGGATTCTCTCAAAAACTGGGAATAATATGGGAACATTTGTTTCTTCTAAAAATAAGGCAAATGTTACATTGAATGATTTGGGGGGTGAGGTTTAATTGGAAATGGTCTCTGGGGACTGAAAACTGATGTTTTTGCAGATTACCTCAGGGAAACGGAGGTTTGTTGAGTTTACAGACACATTAAACCAAAGGCCGTGGGAAAACCCCTCTCCAGCTCCAGGGGATTGGTCAGGACCACCCACTAACCAGTGCCTTCCTTCTTAACATTCACTTTTAGCAGCTTGTGTTTATTTTACATGGGCAGTTTTGATGGGAAATTGCCATGACCACAGGGGTTTGGAGTTCTGCTTTTTTTTTTTCTTCTTCTTTTTCGGGGGACTGGGGGACTCCTCCCAAGATCACATTTTAGCATCTTTCTCTCCTACTCCATTTAGAAAAATAAGTAACAGGTGAAATGTGGTCTCAGTGTTAACGGGATAATTCTGCTACCGGCTCCTCCCTGATGATTCTGAAATACACTACTGAACGAGCTCTGGCTGGTCCTTTCTATCCTGGATGTGGTTCTTCTGTGTAGCAATTCCTTGATGTCCAGTTTGGAAAGATGTACTCTTCTCAACAAGAAAAACTTAAATCCGTCGTGCCCAAATATAGTTGTGCTTTTATTTCCATTAGTGAAGTGCGTTTCTGGGAAAGGGGGTTTGATTTGCAACTAAGCAGATATCAGTCAAGGGCTCTTCAAGACACAGCAGAAACCTCACCGGGCCTCGGGCTGCCTCCCACTGGGTCCCATGGCCACCACCTTGACCTTGGAAAGCTCTGTTATATGGAAGGTAGGGAGGACACTATTTCCCTCAACTACTTCTAGTAAAAAGCTCAGTTCTCTCCCCAGCAGCAAGAGGGCACCTGTGAACACCTGAGTCACAGCGCATTCCTCCTCTGCTTAGAACATTCGATGGCTCCCACCTTACTTGCAGTAAATGCTGAGGTCCTTCCTGTGGCCCCCGGGGCCCTGCATGATCTGATCCATCCCTTCCCTACCCTCATCTCTCCACTGGCCTCCCCACACTTGCTCCCCTCCGGCCACTCTGGCCTACTTGCTGCTATCTGAACATACCAGGCCCCTGCCCCAAGGCCTTTGCCCAGAATGTTCCCCCTGCCTCTGCCTGGATGGCCCTTACCCAAGGTAGTCACAGTTGATATGGTTTGGCTTTGTGTCCCCACCCAAATCTCATCTGGAATTGTAATCCCCATAATCCTCACGTGTCAAGGGAGAGACCAGGTGGAGGTCATTGAATCCTGGGGGCGGTTCCCCCATGCTGTTCTCCTGATAGCAAGTGAGTTCTCACGAGATCTGATGGTTTTATAAGGGATTCTTCCGCCTTCTCTCGGCTCTTCTCCTTCCTGCCACCTTGTGAAGAAGGTATCTGGCTTCCCCTTTGCCTTCTGTTATAATTGTAAATTTCCTGAGGCCTCCCCAGCCATGTTGAACTGTGAGTAAATTAAACCTCTTATGTTTTTTTGGGTATTTTTTTGTTTTTTTTTTTTTGAGACTCAGTCCTACTCTGCCACCCAGCTGGAGTGCAGTGGTGCCATCTTGGCTCACTGCAACCTCCGCCTCCCAGGTTCAAGCAATTCTCCTGCCTCAGCCTCCCGAGTAGCTGGGATTACAGGCACACTCCACTACGCCTGGCTAATTTTTGTGTTTTTAGTAGAGACGGGGTTTCACCACGTTGGCCAGGCTGGTCTCGAACGCCTGACCTCATGATCTGCCCACCTTGGCCTCCCAAAATGCTGGGATTACAGGCGTGAACCACCGTACACGGGCAAACCTCTTTCCTTTATAAATTACCCAGTCTTGGGCAGTTCTTTCCAGCAGTAGGAAAACAGACTAATACAACAAAGCTCCCCTAACTGAACTTCCTCTTTTGGGCTACTGTGCAAATCTCACTTTCTCACTGCCCCCTCCCCTGATTTAGTACTGCAATCTCCCTCCCCAGCATTTCTTTTTTCTTTTTCTTTTCTTTTCTTTTTTTTTTTTTTGGAGACAAGGTCTTGCCGTATGGCCCTGGCTGGAGTGCAGTGGCACAATCATGGCTCACTGCAGCCTCGAACTCCTGGACTCAAAGGATCCTCCCACTTCAGCCTCCTGAGTTTCTGGAACTACAAGCAAGCACCACCACATCCAGCTGATTGAGTGATTGAGAGATGGGATCTTGCTATGTTGCCCAGGCTGGTCTTGAACTCCCAGCTTCCAGCCATGCTCCCGCCTTGGCCTCCCAAAGTGCTAGGATTGGCCAGGTGTGGTGGCTCATGCCTGTCATTCCAGCACTTTGGGAGGCTGAGGCAGGAGGATCACTTGAGGTCAGGAGTTTGAGATCAGCCTGGCCAACATGACAAAACCCCATCTCTACTAAAAATATAACAAATAGCTGGGCCTGGTGGCACATGCCTGTAATCCCAGCTACTCGGGAGGCTGAGGCGGGAGAATCGCTTGAACAAGTGGGGCAGAAGTTGGGGTGTGCCGAGATCGTGCCATTGCACTCCAGCCTGGATGACAAGAGAGAAACTCCGTCTCAAAAAAAAAAAAAAAAGTCCTGGCCGGGCGTAGTGGCTCAGGCCTGTAATCCCAGCACCTTGGGAGGCGGAGGCGGGCAGGTCACGAGGTCAAGAGATCGAGATCATCCTGGCTAACACGGTAAGACCCCGTCTCCACTGAAAATACAACAAAAAAATTAGCCGGGCGTGGTGGCGGGCGCCTGTAGTCCCAGCTACGCGGGAGGCTGAGGCAGGAGAATGGCGTGAACCCGGGAGGTGGAGCTTGCAGTGAGCCAAGATCGCGTCACTGCATTCCAGCCTGGGCGACAGAGCGAGACTCCGTCTCAAAAAACAAAACAAAACAAAACAAAATACAACCTAAATGACAGGTTTGGAGAGCTTCTGAGTTGATGAACACATGGAGGTGCTGGAAGGGTGGTGCCCCCCTCCCCAAGAAAGGGTGTGGAAGTGCTGCACACCATCCCCCACACATTGCCCTCTTTATCACTTCCATTTGGCTGTTCCTGAGTTGTCTCCTTTTTTTGTTTTTTTGTTTTGTTTTGTTTTGTTTTGTTTGTTTTGAGACAGAGTCTCGCTCTGTCGCCCAGGCTGGAGTGCAGTGGCGCGATCTCGGCTCACTGCAAGCTCCGCCTCCCGGTTCAAGCGATTCTTCTGCCTCAGCCTCCGGAGTAGCTGGGATTACAGGGCGTGTGCCACCACGCCCGGCTAACTTTTGCATTTTTAGTAGAGACGGGGTTTCATCATATAGGCCAGGCTGGTCTCAGACTCCTTACCTCGTGATCCGCCCGCCTTGGCCTCCCAGAGTGCTGGGATTACAGGCATAAGCCACTGCGCCTGGCCTGAGTTGTCTCCTTTATAATAAATCAGGAGTAGTAAGTAAAACACTTGCCTGAGATCCGTGAGTCATTCTAGCAAATTATCAAACCTGAAAGGGAGGGGGCTTGTGAGAACCCCCCCTGACTTTGTAGCCACATTGGACAGAAATATGGGTAACCTGGGAACTCAATACTTGATACCTCTGAAGTGAGGGAAGCTCAGTTTTGTGGGACTCAGCCCTTAAATCTGTGGGGTCACACACCAACTCTGGGTAATTGGTGTCAGAACTGAATTGTAGAACACCCAGCGGGTGTCCACAGAGAATTGGAGAATTACTTGGTGTGGAAAACCCCACATGTTTGGTGTCAGAAGTGTGGGTAAAAAAGTTTATTTCTGGCTGGGGGCAGTGGCTTACGCCTGTAATCCCAGCACTTTGGGAGGCTGAGGTGGGAGGATCACTTGAGGTCAGGAGTTCCAGACCAGCCTGGCCAACATGGCAAAACCCCGTCTCTACTAAAAATACAAAAATTAGCCGTGTGTGGTGGCGGGCACCTGTAACTCCAACTATTCAGGAGGCTGAGGCAGAAGAATCGCTTGAAACCAGGAGGCAGAGGTTGCAGTGAGCTGAGATCGTGCCACTGCACTCCAGCTTGGGCGACAGAGCAAGACTGTCTCAAAAAAAAAAGAAAAAGAAAAGGAATTAGATAAACCACCATTTTGCAACCTCTTCTGAAAGAATTGGTTCAGGATGCTATGGTCATTGAATGAACCCCTGAGTTCATTGATGCTCAGCTGTGACCATGACTATATCTTAAAAACCACTAGGATCATCCCCAGACCCACGTCACAGCCCAGTTCAATTAAATTAGAAGATCAGGATCTGGCCGGGCGCAGTGGCTCACGCCTGTAATTGCAGCACTTTGGGAGGCTGAGGCGGGCAGATCACGAGGTCAGGAGATCCAGACCATCCTGGCTAACAAAGTGAAACCCCGTCTCTACTAAAAATACAAAAAATTAGGCTGGGTGTGGTGGCTCACACCTGTAATCCCAGCACTTTGGGAGGCCTAGGGGGGCGGATCACGAGGTCAGAAGATCGAGACCATCCTGGCTAACACGGTGAAACCCCATCTCTATAAAAATACAAAAAATTAGCCGGGCATGGTAGCGGGTGCCTGTAGTCCCAGCTACTCGGGAGGCTGAGGCAGGAGAATGGTGTGAACCCAGGAGGCGGAGCTCGCAGTGAGCCGAGATCGCGCCACTGCACTCCAGCCTGGGGGACAGAGCGAGACTCTGTCTCAAAAAAATAATAATAATAATAAAAGATCAGGATCTGTGGTTCAGGTTTAGGTAGTTTGTTAAAGCTTCCAGGTGATTCTAATCTACAGCCAGGGCTGGTAACTCATGCTTTTCAGGAAATATGTGGACAAGAGGAACAGGGTAAATAACCAAAACCACAAAGAAAGCAGTAAGCCCAGAACATCTGGCACTCCCCAAGCATTTCACACTTTTTTTTTTTTTTGAGACAGTGTATTGCTCTGTCGCCCAGGCTGGAGTGCAATGACATGATCTCAGCTCACTGCAACCTCCACCTCCTGGGTTCAAGCAATTCTCCTGAGGTCAGGAGTTCGAGACAATCCTGGCCAACATGATGAAACCCCGTCTCTACTAAAAATACAAATATTAGCCAGGCATGGTGGCACATGCCTGTAATCCCAGCTAGGCAGGAGGCTGAGGCAGGAGAGTCACTTGAACCCGGAAGGCTGAGGTTGCAGTGAGCCAAGATCGTGCCATTGCACTCCAGCCTGGACAACAAGAGCGAAACTCCGTCTCAAAAAAGAAAAAAGAAAAAAGAAAAAAAATTAGCTGGGTGTGGTGGCGCATGCCTGTAGTCCCATGTACTTAGAAAGTTGACATGGGAGACTCCCTTGAGCCCAGGAGTTAGAGGTTACCCTGAGCAACAATCACATCTCTGCACTCCAGCATGGGTGATAGAGTGAGGCCCTGTCCCTTTAAAAAAGTTTTGAGCCAATTAGGAAGACTCAACAATGGCCTAGGTATTAAGGGATGCCAAACAAGCAATGTTAATTATCCTAGATGTGATAACGGTGTTATGGTTGTGAACGCAAATGAACATATCGTTAGAGATGTGTACTGAAATATAAAGGGAAGAAATGACATTGTCTGAGGTTTGTTTTTTGGAGGGTTTTGTTGATGTTGTTGTCTTGTAGAGATGGAGTCAGGCCAGGCACAGTGGCTCACACCTGTAATCCCAGCGCTTTGGGAGGCCGAGGCAGGCGGATCACTTGAGGGCAGGAGTTTGAGACCAGCCTGGTGAAACTCCATGTCTACTAACAATACAAAAAATTAGCCAGGCGTGGTGGCAGGCGCCTGTAATCCCAGCTACATGGGAGCCTGAGCAGGAGAATTGCTTGAACCCAGAATGTGGGAAGGTTGCAATAAGCCGAGATCACACCACTGCACTCCAGCCTGGGTGACAGAACAAGACTCCATCTTAAAAAAAAAAAAAAAAGGCGGGGGGGGTCTTGCTATGTTGCCCAGGCTGGTCTCAAACTCCTGGGCTCAAGCGATCCTCCTACCTCAGTCTCCCAAAGTGCTGGGATCACAGATGTATCACCACAAAAAAATGATAAGTGAGCCTATAGATATGTTCATTAGCTTGATTTAATCATTCCACATTGTATGCATATATCAAAACATCACATTGTACCCTATAAATATATATAATTATGACTTGTCAATTTAAAAAAGAAAAAATACTTTATCAAGGGTAAAAAGGGGATTGATAAAGCAAATATGTCAATCTTTGCATTGTTGAACCTGGGTGATGTGTATGTTTCTCTGGATGGATGTTCTTGGCTTTTGTGAAAGTTCTAGATTTTTCACAGAATAATTTACAAAACTGGCTGGGTGCAGTGGCTTACACCTGTAATCCCAACACATTGGGAGGCCGAGGCAGGTGGATCACCTGAACTCAGGAGTTCAAGACCAGCCTGGCCAACATGGTGAAACCCCATCTCTACTAAACATACAAAAAATTAGCTGGGCATGGTAGCGAGTGCCTGTAATCCCAGCTACTCGGGAGACTGAGGCAGAAGACTCACTTGAACCCCGGAGGTGGAGGTTGCAGTGAGCTGAGATCGTGCCATTGCACTCCAGCCTGGCAACACAGCAAGACTCTCTCAAAAGGAAAAAAAAAAAAAAACCACACACACACACACACACACACACACACACCAAGAATAATTTACAAAACAGGAAAGTTGTATGAGAAAGGGCATAGTCTCTCATTCAGGCATTTTGAGGTAAAATCATTGCCAAAAATGAAAGTAAGGAGAAAGAAGTCAGGCTGGACAGGGGGTTCCCAAATCTTTTATTAACAGTCTCCCCTCCAGAAGCAGTGAGTGCCACAGAGAAATAAAACTGAGACTGAATCTCCAGCAGCCAGATGGGCCCAGGTGTCTCATCTTCTCCAGGCCTGGGTGTCAGCCCAGCTTGATAAACAGCAGCAAAGTGGCAAGAATTCCTGGCAACTGAAATGCGTGAAGAAAGAAACATGGATCCAATGCTAGAGACCTCCAAACCAGAATCATACTGGAGTTACGGGGACAAGGGGAGCATCCTGTTCCAGAAAGGCGAGGGGCAGGGTTTTACAGATGGCTGAAGAACCGCCTGGGCTAAGTTGGAGCCACTGTGGTTACAGTGCATTCGTCTCCACTTATTTTTTATTTATTATTATTTTATTTATTTATTTATTTATTTATTTTTGAGATGAAGTCTCCCTCTGTCGCCCAGGCTGGAGTGCAGTGGCGGATCTTGGCTCACTACAAGCTCCGCCTCCCAGGTTCACGCCATTCTCCTGCCTCAGCCTCCCGAGTAGCTGGGACTACAGGCGGCCGCCACCACGCCTGGCTAATTTTTTTGTATTTTAGTAGAGACGGGGTTTTATTGTGTTAGCCAGGATCGTCTCGATCTCCTGACCTCGTGACCTGCCCACCTCGGCCTCCCACAGTGCTGGGATTACAGGCGTGAGCCACCGCGCCTGGCCTATTATTATTATTATTATTATTATTATTATTATTATTATTGAGAAGGAGTCTCACTCTGTTGCCCAGGTTGGAGTGCTGTGGCACTATCTTGGCTCATTGCAACCTTCATCTCCCGGGTTCAAGCAATTCTCCTGCCTCAGCCTCCCGAGGAGCTGGAATTACAGGCGCCCAGCACCACGCCCGGCTAATTTTTGTATTTTTAGTAGAGATGGGGTTTCACCATGTTGGTCAGGCTGGTCTCGAGCTCCTGACCTCAGGTGATCCATTCGCCTCGGCCTCCCAAAGTGCTGGGATTACAGGCGTGAACTACCGCGCCTGGCCCATCCTCTCCACTTCGGCCCTCCCCGGAGCCCTACGGACCATATTCCCCAGACTCCACTGCCACATAACTTCCGGTTAGGCTTGGCCAATAGGAAGCACCGGGAGAAGACGGGTGAGCGGGAGGAGAGAATGGTAGGGTATTCCTTCCCCACTTCCTCCCTCTTTTCTTCCCCTCCTTCTGGGCTCCTACCCTCTTCATGCCCTTTCTAGAGCCTTCAGGCCTAGGAGAAATAAAAGTTCCCCATGTCTTTAGCTCCTGGGCGCCTCATTTCACTGAACCCTGTCACCCCTCTGCAAGGAGGCCCCTGAAAACATCTTAAATGGACCATCTGGGGGCTGAATGCTGTTTCCTGCTGGGATCCTTGGGGAGGAAGGTGTTGTATAGTTTACAAGTACATATTCAATATTATAAATTTGTACAATGAAAAAAATTACCCCAAAGAAATAAATATCCCAGACTGGTAAGATAGAGCCTTGTCTCAGTTAGTGGCGATTTGCAGAAAAGACACTACTATGTTGGTAGTCAATGTGCAGAAAGCATGTAGGAAAAATTTCTTGGGCAACCAGGGGCATGGAGCACTTTTTATTAAATAACATTGAGATATAATTGATAGACTATACAGGTTACCTTTCTAAAGTATACAGTTCAATGGTTTTTAGTATATTCAGAGTTGGGCTACCATCACTACTATATAACTTAAGAACATTTTCATCATGAACCACAGAAACGCCATACCTATTATCAGTCACTCCCCATTCTTCCCGTACCCTCTGGTCCCTGGCAATCACTAACTACCTTTTATTTCTATGGACTTGCCTATTCTGAACATTTTATATAATGGAATCATATAATATCATGACTGGCTTCTTACACTTAGCATGATGTTGATATGGGTCATCCACGTTGTAGCATATATCAATAAGTTTTTGTTGTTGAATAATATTTTATTGAATGGATATGCATTTTCTTTATCCATTCATCACTTGATGTACATTTGGGTTTTATCTACTTTTTGATTATTATGAATAATCCTGCTATGAGCATTTACGTAAAGGTTTTTGTATGGATACATGTCTTCAATTATCTTGGATTATAAACATAGGAGAGAAGTTGCTGGGACAAATAATAATTCTGTGTTTAACATTTTAGGAAATGGCTTCACCATTTTACAATCTCATCAACAATGTGTAAGGATTCAAATATCTCCACATCCTTGGCAACACTTGTTATTATCTTTAGCCATCCTAGTGAGAATAAAGTGTTTTTATTGGCATTTCCCTAATTAATGATGGGTGGTAGAGCATTTTTTATGTGATTACTGGCCATCTGTATGCCTTCTTTGGATAAAAATCTCTATTTGAATCCTTTGTCCATTTTAGTTGGGTTACTTGTCTTTTTATTAAGATATAATTTTTTTTTTTTTTTTGAGACAGAGTCTTGCTCTGTTGCCAAGGCTGGAGTGCAGTGGTGCAATCTCGGCTCACTGTAAATTCCACCTCCCAGATTCAAGCGATTCTCCTGCCTCAGCAACCCAAATCCCAGCTGTAATCTCAGCTGAGATTACAGGCGTGCATCACTACGCCCAGCTAATTTTTTTATTTTTAGTAGAGACAGGGTTTCACCATGTTCGTCAGGCTGGTCTCGATCTCTTCACCTCGTGAGCCGCCTGCCTCAGCCTCCCAAAATTCTGGGATTACAGGCATGAGCTACCACACCCAGCCTTGTAGTTTTACTTTCTTATGTCATTGCAATATCTTGTATTGGTGTCATAGAATAAACTGGGAAATATGTCTTCCTCTTTTTTATTGGCAGAGTTTGCAGGTGAAACAATGGTGTTAATTCTTTAAAAGTTTGGTAATATTTCCAGTGAGGATATCTGGGCCTGATATTTTCTTTGTGGGAAGTTTTTTGGTTACTAATTTAATGTCATTACTTGCTGTAGATCTATTTACATATTCTATTTCTTCTTGAGTCAGTTTTGGTAGTTTATGTTTATCTAGGAATTTGTCTATTTCATCTAGGTTAGCTAATTTATTGGCATACAGGTTCACACTTTTCCCTTATAGTTGCTTTATTTCTGTAAGGTCAGTAGTGATGTCTCTCTTTCATTCCTAATGTTACTAATTTGAGTAATCTTTCCCTTTTTTTGCCCTTCAGTCTACTAAAGTTCTGTCAATTTTATCTTTTTTTGTGACATGATCTCACTCTGTCACTCAGGATGGAGTGCAGTGACACAATCATGCCTCACTAGCCTTGATATCCCAGGCTCAAGTGATCCCCCTGCCTCAGCCCCCCAAGTAGCTGGGACTACAAGCATCTGCCACCACACCTGGATAATTTTCTTATTTTTGTTTTTGTAGAGATGGGGAGTCTCACTATGTTGCCCAGGCTGATTTTGAACTCCTGGGCTCAAGCAGTCCTCCTGCCTCAGCCTCCCAAAGTGCTAGAATTACAGGCTGAGCCATTATACCCGACCTGTTTTATCTTTTCAAAGAATCAAATTTTGGTTTTATTGATGTTCTCCATTTCATTTATTTTCATATTTTCACTCTAATCTTTAGCATCTTCCTTCTGCTTGATTTGGGTTTAGTTTGTTCTTCTTTGTTGAGTTTCTTTTTTTTTTTTTTTTTAGTTTTGTTCACTCCTGTGTCCCAGTGACCAGAACAGTGTTTGGCATACAGTAGGTGCTTAATAAAACAGCTCAAAGACCCTAGAGAGGCTGGGTCTTACCTGTATCACTGCAGCTCCCAGAGAGCTCCCACTCAGGGTGAAGCTCTGAGTCTTGGTGATTTTTAGGAGTTTATGGAAACAGCCCTGAGGAAACAAACACCAAAACAAGCAGGAGGTGGTTAGGGGCTTATGGATTGCAAGTCCCCATCAACCCCAACTCATTAGGCCACTCAGACGACTCTCAGATTCTTTGAGGAGAAGCGGGGAGAGAGCCGTGAGGGCCTTCCCTCCATCTCATTTGACTGCCACCCGCTCCCCGCCACCCTAGCATCTTCCCTGTCCTCCTCATTCCCCCAAAAGAATATACCGATGATTCCCTTCTACTTGTCTGTGCTAATGTTCCAGTGTGGCAATTAAGTGTGGTTGGACATCCTCGATTATTACTAGCTGTGTGACCTTGGAGAAGTCGCTATACCTCTCTGTACCTCCATTTTCCCATCTATAAATGGCACCCACTGGATCTGCCTTACAAGAATTTCATGAGGAGTAAAAGAATCAAAGGCCAGGCATGGTAGCTCATGTCTATAATCCCAGCACTTTGGGAAGCCAAGATGGGAGGATCACTTGAGCCCGGGAGTTCAAGACCAGTCTGGGTAACATAGTGAGACTCCCTCTCTATAAAAAATGTAAATATTAGCCTGGTGTGTGGCTGTAGTCCCAGCTACTTGGGAGATTGGGGCAGGAGGATTGCTTGAGCTCAGCCAGTCGAGGCTTCAGTGAGCCATGATCATGCCACTGCACTCCAGCCCAGGGGACACAGCAATACCCTGTCTCAAAAATAAATAAATAGGCTGGGCGTGGTGGTTCATGCCTATAATCTCAGCACTTTGGGAGGCGGAGGCAGGTGGATAACGAGGTCAGGAGATCAAGACCATACTGGTTAACATGGTGAAACCCCATCTCTACTAAAAATACAAAAATATAGCCAGGCATGGTGGCGGTGCCTGTAATTCCAGCTACTCGGGAGGCTGAGGCAGGAGAATCACTTGAACCAGGGAATCGGAGGTTGTAGTGAGCCGAGATTGTACCACTGCATTCCAGCTTGTCGACAGAGTGAGACTCCATCTCTAAATAAAGAATTAATAAGGCTGGGCACGATGGCTCATGCCCGTAATCCCAGAACTCTGAGAGGCCGAGGCTGGCAGATTCCCTGAGCCCAGGAGTTCGAGATTGACCTGGACAACGTAGCGAAACCCCGTCTCTACAAAAAATAAAAAAATTAGCCAGTGTGGTGGTATGTGCCTGTAGTCCCAGATACTTGGGGGGCTGAGACGGGAGGATCATTTGAGCCTAGGAGGTCAAGGCTGCAGTGAGCCATGTTTGCACCACTGTACTCCATCCAGCCTGAGTGACAGAGCAAGAACCCGTCTCTAAATAAATACATAAATATAAAAGAATGAATCTACATGAAATACATTGCAGTGGTCTGACATGTAGCCAGCATTCAATAACTGTTAGTTATTTTTAAGTGCTCTTTACATATGAACAGAAGAGCTGACGTATTCAGTGGCTTCTCCGTCCACATATTTTCTTACTCATTTCTCACTATAACCCCATAATTTGGGTACTCTTCTTTCCTCCATTTTACAGATGAGGAAACTGAGGCTCAGAGATATTAGGATACCAGGCAAAGTGCGTTGGCAGGGCATCCTCCTGAAGATGGTAGGGCCTCCTCTCTCCTTCCTGCACTTTTTTTTTTTTTTTTTTGAGACGGAATTTGGCTCTTATTGCCCAGGCTGGAGTGTAGTGGCGCTAACTTGGCTCACCGCAACCTCCGCCTCCCGGGTTCAAGCAATTCTCCTGCCTCAGCCTCCCAAGTAGCTGGAGTTACAGGCTCCCACCACCACGCCCGGCTAATTTTTGTATTTTTAGTAGAGATGGGGGTTTCACCATGTTGGTGAACTCCTGACCTCAGGTGATCCACACACCTCAGCCTCCCAAAGTGCTGGGACTACAGGCGTGAGCCACCACACCCGGCCTTCTTCCTTCTTCCTGCACTTCCAGAGTAGCTCCCTCTTCTAGGCCCCTGGCACATCTCACCTCTGGAGGCTTGGGCCACATTGAACTTGCTGTTGTCACTGTTCCGTGCCCCCTTTCACATAATAGTTTTTTTTTTTCTTAGATTGGGTCTCGTCCTGTCACTCAGACTGGATGCAGTGGCATGACCATAGCTCACTGCAGCCTTGAACTCCTGGGTTCAAGCAATCCTCCTGCGTCAGCCTCCCAAGCAGCTGAAATTACAGGTGTGCAACAACACCACACCCAGTTAATCTGTAAATTTTTCCTGAAGATGAGGGTCTTGCTATGTTGTTCAGGCTGGTCTTGAACTCCTGTCCTCAAGTGATCCTCCTGCCTTGGCCTCCTAAAGTACTGGGATTACAGGCATGAGCCATCACACTTGGCCACATAATAGGTATTTAAGTGCCTGGCACTGAATTGGACAGTGGCAACCCAGCAATGTATAAAACAGACAAAATTCCTGCCCTCATGGGGCTGACATTTGAGTGGGGAGAACAGCTAACGGCAAGCATAGTGATAATACTGTAAAGTGGTGATAAATGCTGGAAAGACACAGAAACAGGGTATGAAGACAGAGCATGATCACTGGGATGAGGGATACTTTTATAGATGGGAAGTCAGAACAGCCTCACGGAGAAAGTGCCAGTTGAGTAAAGACTTGAGAGGTAGGAAGACGTGAAGGAAGAGCACTCCAGGCAGAGGGAAAGCCTGTGCAAAGGCGGTGAGGCAGGCATGTGCCTGGTGTTTCTGAGCAGTAGCGAGGAGGCCAGTGTGCTGGAACAGAGTGAGCAAGGGGGAAAGGTTAGGAGGTGACAGGTAGGTTGTGTAGGGCCCAGTGGGCCAGTGTCTGGCCCGTGTCTGTCTCTGAGGCCCCTGCCTGGGACTCAACCTGGCTGATTTTCCACAGGGCCTATTTCCCTGCATGAGCCATTCAGTGCAAATGAAGGAATGAACGATTCATATTTCTTCTTCTTTTTTTTTTTTTTGTCTATTTTAGAGAGGGGTCTTGCTCTGTGGCCCAGGCCGGAGTGCAGCGGCACAATCACGGCTCACTGCAGCCTTGACCTCCTGGGCTCAATCGATCCTCCTGCCTCAGCCTCCCAGTTAGCTGGGACTACAGGTTCATGCCACCATGCCCAGCTGATTTTTAATTTTTTTGTAAAAACGGCATCTTGCTATGTTGCCAAGGCTGGTCTTGAACTACTGGACTTAAGTGATCCTCCCACCTCAACCACCAGAATAGCTGGGACTTAGGCATGTGTCACCACACTCAGCTAATATAAAAAATGTTTTTTAGCCAGGCAGGGTGGCTCATGCCTGTAATCCTAGCACTTTGGGAGGCTGAGGTGGGAGGATCACCTGAGGTCAGGAGTTCAAGACCAGCCTGACCAACATGGTAAAACCCCGTTTCTACTAAAAATGCAAAAATTAGGCCAGGCGCGGTGGCTCACGCCTGTAATCCCAGCACTTTGGGAGGCCGAGGCGGGCGGATCATGAGGTCAGGAGATGGAGACCATCCTGGCTAACACGGTGAAACCCCGTCTCTACTAAAAATGTACAAAAAAATTAGCTGGGCATGCTGGCAGGAGCCTGTAGTCCCAGCTACTCAGGAGGCTGAGGCAGGAGAATGGCATGAACCTGGGAGGCAGAGCTTGCAGTAAGCCAAGATTGCGCTACTGCACTCCAGCCTGGGCGACAGAGCAAGACTCCGTCTCAAAAAAAAAAAAAAATGCAAAAATTAGCTGGGCGTGGTAGCACACGCCTGTAATCCCAGCTACTCGGGAGGCTGAGGCAGGAGAATCACCTGAACCTGGGAGGCGGAGGCTGCGGTGAGTCGAGATTGCGCCACTGCACTCCAGTCTGGGTGATAGAGCAAGACTCCGTCTCAAAAAAACAAAATTTGTTGTTGTTGTGATGGGGACTTTGCTATGTTGCCCTGGCTCTGATTTCTATTTCTTCCCTCAGAGAAGATCTCTGTGCTCATTCACTCGTGGAAGAAGTTAAGGGGGAACTGGGGTGTGGCTTGAAACCCAGCTCATTACTCCCTGGACACAGGAAATGCTCTGTACCTCAGTTTCCTTATCTGCAAAATGAGAGAAGAGTAGTTCCCCACCTCAAGGGATAGGATGGGACAAAACTCACAAAGTGAGTGCTCCATCACGTGGCTGGCCCTCACTCCCGCTAGGATGATCACTTTTCATGGTTATTGCTCCATTTAGGGTCTCTAGAAGGCAGGTAGTGTGGTGCCGGCAATGGACTCAGGCCAATGGGGCTTCAAATTCCAACTCTGCCAAAGCTCTGTGATCTTGAACTAGTGATGTCCCCTCCCCGAGCCTCAGTTTCTGAGAGAAGGTAACCGTAAGTCCCTGCTCTGTGTTGTCAAAATAAGCTGAACACTCAATAAGAGTTGATTTCTTTCTCCCTGACCCCCTTTGCAGGGGTCCCCCAAAAGAAGCAATTTTTATTAAAGTTACCAGGCTGGGTGTGGTGGTTCATGCCTGTAATCCCAGCATTTTGAGAGGCTGAGGCAGGAGGATTGCTTGAGGCCAGGAGTTCGAGACCAGCCTGGGCAACATACTAAGGCCTCATCTCTATTAAAAATAAAAATTAAAAAAAAATTAGCCAGGCATGGTGGCACGTGCCTGTGGTCCCAGCTACTCGGGAGGCTGAGGCAGGAGGATCACTTGAGCCCAGGAGTTTGAGGCTGCAGTGAGCCGTGATTGCACCATTGCACTCCTGCCTGGGCAACAGAGTGAGACCCTATCTCTAAAAAAATAAAAATAAGGCCGGGTGTGGTGGCTCATGCCTGTAATCCCAGCACTTTGGGAGGCCGAGGTGGGAGGATCACTTGAGCTCAGGAGTTTGAGACCAGCCTGGCCAACATGAGGAAACCCCATCTCTAGTAAAAATACAAAAATCAGCCGGGCGTGGTGGCACACACCTGTAATCCCAGCTACTCGGGAGGCTGAGGCAGGAGAATCACTTGAACCCAGGAGGCGGAGGTTGCAGTGAGCCAAGATGGCACCATTGCACTCCAGCCTGGGAGACACAGTGAAACTCCATCTCAAAATAACTAACTAAATAAATAAATAAAAAGGCTGGGTACAGTAGCTCATGCCTGTAATCCCAGCACTTTGGGAGGCCAAGGTGGGTGGATCACCTGAGGTTCGAGACCAGCCTGGCCAACATGGTGAAACCCCATCTCTACTAAAAATACAAAATTAGCCGGGTGTGGCGGTGCATGCCTGTGATCCCAGCTACTTGGGAGGCTGGGGCGGGAGAATCACTTGAACCTGGGAGGCGGAGGTTGCAGTGAGCCGAGATCGCACCACTGCACTCCAGCCTGGGTGACAAGGGTGAAACTCTTTCTCAAAATAAGATAAAAATAAAAATGAAGTCACCAGCCCTCAGGGGTCTGTCAAGGCAACACACAAAATCTCCAGTTACCTTCTGGTGGATGACGTTTGGAGACACATCGCGTCCGTCACAGGACACACTTCCGATGGATTTACAGCAACTCCTGGGGTAGGTGTGGCCCGTTGTCATTTCGAAGGAAGAGCCAGAAAAATCTGTGTAGTTATTCACCCCACAGCACTTTAGCTATAGAGAGGAGAAGAAATACTTGGAGAGTCCCTTTCAAATAATAAAAACATCAGAAATCACGGTTACCATGGCTACCGTCTAGTATGGTCACAATATCCCAGAGACTGTGCTAAACATCCTCTTACAAACATCCCATCACAGCCCAGAACCCTCCCTGGCTCCCATCTCACTCAGGGTAAAAGCTGAACTCCTAGCCTGGGCAACAGGGTGAGACCCCATCTCGGCAAAAAAATTTAAAAATTAGCCAGGCATGGTGGCAGATGCCGGTATTCCCAGCTACTCAGGAGGCTCAGGCTAGAGGATCTCTTGAGCCCGGGAGATCAAGGCTGCAGTGAGCTATGACCTCACCACTACATTCCACCCTGGGCAACAGAGCAAGACCTGTCTCTAAAAAGAAAAAAAAGCTGAACTCCTCAGTGATTCTCCTGCCTCAGTCTCCCGAGTAGCTGGGATTTCAGGCACACGCCCCCACGCCTGGCTAATTTTTGTATTTTTAGTAGAGACAGGTTTATGCCACGTTGGCCAGGCTGGTCTCGAATTCCTGACCTCAAGTGATCCACCCTCCTTGTCCTCCCAAAGTGCTGGGATTAGCGGCGTGAGCCACCGTGCCCGGCCCTGCCTTGTTTTTATTCACAGCAGTTATGAACCTGATACCAATGTTTAGTTATTGGTTTCTTGCCCATCTCTCCACTCACATGTCAGTAACGGAAGAACCAGAGATTGCCCATCTCTTCATTCACATGTCAGTAATGGAAGAATGAATTTGAAGTGCAGTGCTGAGATCGTAGCTTACTGCAACCTCAATCTTCTGGGCTCAAGCGATTCTCCCTCCTCTGCCTCCTGAGTAGCTGGGACTACAGGTGCAGGCCATCACGCCTGGCTACATTTTTTATCTATTGTAGAGATGGGTCTTGCTATGTTGCCTGGGCTGGTCTCAAACTCTTAGCCTCAAGCGATCCACCCATCTCAGCCTCCCAAAGTGCTAGGATTACAGATGTGAGCCACTGCACCTGGCCCAACAAGGATTTTATTTTTATTTTTATTTTTATTTTTATTTTTATTATTTTTTTTGAGACACAGTCTCTGTCTGTTGCCCAGGTTGGAGTGCAATGGCGCGATCTTGGCTCTCTGCAACTTCCACCTCCTGGGTTCAAGCAATTCTCCTACCTCGGCCTCCCGAGTAGCTGGGATTACAGGCATGCACCACCATGCCCGGCTAATTTTTGTATTTTTAGTAGAGACGGGGTTTCGCTATGTTGGCCAGGCTGGTCTCGAACTGCTGACCTCAGGTGATCCACCTGCCTCAGCCTCCCAAAGTGCTGGAATTGCAGGCATGAGCCACTGCGCCCAGCACCAACAAGGATTTTTTTTGTACCCTAACAAAAACCCTATAGAGTGCCTGACTCATAGCAGGTGCTCAATAAATATTAGTGGGAGGACTGTATGAATGAATGAAAGAGAGACATTCTGTACCATCACAAGCTTGAGAAGCCAAAAGCAGCATGCAGAAAGGCATCAGCCAGTTGCAGTGACTCATGCCTATAATCCCAACACTTTGAGAAGCCAATTCAGGAAGATCACTTCAGGCGACGAGTTCAAGACCAGTCTGGGCAACACAGGGAGCAAAACTTTTTTTTTTTTAATAAATGAAGCTGGGCGCAGTGGCTCACAGCTATAATCCTAGCACTTTAGGAAGACTAAGCAGGCAGATCACTTGAGCCCAGGAGTTCGAGACCAGCCTGGGCAACATGCTGAAAGGTCTCTACTAAAAATTTTAGGCTGGGCACAGTGGCTCACGCCTGTAATCCCAGCACTTTGGGAGGCCGAGGCGGACAGATCACGAGGTCAGGAGATCAAGATCATCCTGGCTAACATGGTGAAACCCCGTTTCTACTAAAAATACAAAAAATTAGCCGGGCGTGATGGCAGGCACCTGTGGTCCCAGCTACTCAGGAGGCTGAGGCAGGAGAATGGCATGAACCTGGGAGGCGGAACTTGCAGTGAGCCGAGGTCATGCCACTGCACTCCAGCCTGGGCAACAGAGCGAGACTCCATCTCAAAATAAATAAATAAAAATAAAAATTTTAAAAATTAGCTGGGTGTGGTGGTGTGCACCTGTAGTCCCAGCTACTCGGGAGGCTGAGGTACAAGAATCACCTGAGCTTGGGAAGTTGTGCCTGCAGTGAGCCGAGATTGCGCCACTGAACTCCAGCCTGAGTTTTGGGAGTACGACTCTGTCTTAAGTACATAAATAAATTGTTCCCTATCACATGTTCCTTTCAAAGCCTGGCCATCAACCCACAGCAGCTCCTGGACCTACAACTCAGGTGTGAAATGCTCCTGGAGACAGGCAATGGCTTTCCCCACTTTGAACCCTCCCTGCCTGGCCTCAACCACCTGTCTCAAAAGCTTAAATAACACTTAAAGGCCAGTCTTGCTCCTTAAATGCCAAGAATCAAGATGGGAGTCTCACCACCTCACACTCATTAGGATGGCAATGATCAAAATAACAGAAAATTGGCCGTGCACGGTGGCTCACACCTGTAATCCCAGCACTTTGGGAAGTCAAGGTGGGTGGATCACTTCAGGTCAAAAATTTGAGACCAGCCTGGCCAACATGGTGAAGTCCTGTCTCTACTAGAGACAAAAATTAGCCAGGTACGGTAGTGCACGCCTGTAATCCCAGCTACCTGGGAGGCTAAGGCAGGACAATCACTTGAACCCAGGAGGCGGAGGTTGCAGTGGGCCAAGATTGCGCCACTGCACTCCAACTTGGGTGACAGAGTGAGACTCCATCTCAAAAAAAAACAAACCCAGAAAATGACAGGTGTCAAGGACGTGGAGAAATTAGACTCCTGCATTGCTGATGGGAATGGAAAATGGTGCAGCCACTGTGGAAAGGAGTCTGGCAGTTCCTCAAAAAACGTAGGCCAGTGTGGTGGCTACCCCTGTAATCCCAGCACTTTGGGAGGCTGAGTTAGGAGGATCGCTTGAGGCCAGGAGTTTTTTTTTTTTTTTTTTTTAATTTATTTATTTATTTATTTTTTATTGATCATTCTTGGGTGTTTCTCACAGAGGGGGATTTGGCAGGGTCATAGGACAATAGTGGAGGGAAGGTCAGCAGATAAACAAGTGAACAAAGGTCTCTGGTTTTCCTAGGCAGAGGACCCTGCGGCCTTCCGCAGTGTTTGTGTCCCTGGGAACTTGAGATTAGGGAGTGGTGACGACTCTTAACGAGCATGCTGCCTTCAAGCATCTGTTTAACAAAGCACATCTTGCACCGCCCTTAATCCATTTAACCCTGAGTGGACACAGCACATGTTTCAGAGAGCACAGGGTTGGGGGTAAGGTCACAGATCAACAGGATCCCAAGGCAGAAGAATTTTTCTTAGTACAGAACAAAATGAAAAGTCTCCCATGTCTACTTCTTTCTACACAGACACGACAACCATCCGATTTCTCAATCTTTTCCCCACCTTTCCCCCCTTTCTATTCCACAAAGCCGCGATTGTCATCCTGGCCCGTTCTCAATGAGCTGTTGGGCACACCTCCCAGACGGGGTGGTGGCGGGGCAGAGGGGCTCCTCACTTCCCAGTAGGGGCGGCCGGGCAGAGGCGCCCCTCACCTCCCGGACGGGGCGGCTGAGGCCAGGAGTTTTTAAGATCAGCCTGAGCAACATGGTGAAACCCCATATCTACAAAAAAAAAAAAAAAAATTAGCCAGGCATGGTGGCACGAACCTGCAGTCCCAGCTACTCAAGAGGCTGAGGTGGGAAGGTTGCTTCAGCCTGGGAGGCAGAGGTTGCAGTGAGCCATGATCCCCTTACCGCACTCCAGCCTGGGCAACAGAGTGAGATCCTGTCTCAAAAATATATATGTGAATATATATATGTATGTGTGTGTGTGTGTGTGTGTGTGTGTGTATATATATATATATATATGTATGTGTATATATATATGTATGTGTGTATATATATATTTATATACATATGTATATAAATATATATGTATATATACAAAGCAGAATTGCCATAGAATCTAGCAAATCCCTTTTTTTTTTTTTTTTTTTTTTTGAGATGGAGCCTCACTCTGTTGCCCAGGCTGCAATGCAGTGGCATGATCCTGGCTCACCGCAGCCTCTGCCTCCCGGATTCAAGCGATTCTCCTGCCTCAGCCTCCCGAGTAGCTGGGATTACAGGCACACGCCACCATGCCTGGCTAATGTTTGTATTTTTAGTAAAGACACACACTGCCTGATTTCACTCCTAGGAGGTCCCTAGAGTCGTCAGATTCATATAGACAGACAGGAGCATGGTGGGTGCCAGGGGCTTGGGGAGGGAGAATGTGGAGTGAGCGTTTCATGGGACAGAGTTTTAGTTTGGGAAGATAAGGAAGTTCTAGAGATGGTGGTGATGGTCGCACAACAATGCGAATGTGCTTAATGCCGCTGAACTGCACACTTCAAAATTGTTAAATGGGGCCGGGCACGGTGGCTCACGCCTATAATCCCAGAACTTTGGGATGCCAAGGCGGGTGGATCACCTGAGGTCAGGAGTTTGAGACCAGCCTGACCCATATGGTGAAACCCCGTCTCTACTAAAAATACAAAAATTAGCCAGGTGTGGTGGTGGGCGCCTCTAATCCCAGCTACTTGGGAGGCTAAGACAGGAGAATTGCTTGAACCTGGGAGGTGGAGGTTGCAGTGAGCTGAGATTGCGCCACTGCACTCCAGCCTAGGCAACAGAATGAGACTCCAACTCAAAAAAAAAAAAATGTTAAACGATACATTTCATGTTTACAAGATACAGGGTCTTGCTCTGTCACCCAGGCTAGAGTGCAGTGGCACCATCATAGTTCACTGAAGCCTTGACTTCCTGGACTCAAGTGATCCTCCCACCTCAGCCTCCTTAGTAGCTGGGACCACAAGCATGTGCCACTGTGACTGGCTTTTTTTTTTTTTTTTAAACAGAGCCTCCCTCTGTCGCCCAGGCTGGGATGCAGTGGTGCCATCTCAACTCACTGCAACCTCTACCTCCTGGGTTCGAGCTATTCTCCTGCCTCAGCCTCCTGAGTAGCTGAGACTACAGATGCCTGCCACCACACGGAGGTAATTTTTGTATTTTTAGTAGAGACGGGGTTTCACCATGTTGGCTCAGCTGGTCTCAAACTCCTGACCTCAAGTGATCCTCCCACCTCGGCCTCCCAAAGTGCTGGGATTACAGGTGTGAGCCACTTCGCCCGCCCATGTTGTGTACCTTTACACCACAATTTTTTTTTTTTAAGTAAGCCTCACCTTCTCCATGACCAAGTTCCACTGTGTAGAATAGTCGTCTGGCTCGTTGTAACCTCTGTAATTCTTCCTCAGGGTCACGAAGGTGTGTTCCAAGGCCACATCTCCAACCTCACAGAGAGGACAGGAAGTGATCAGTACCCCAACTAGCAAGAGTGGCCCGTTCATTGGCCGAGGTTCTTGAGGATAGAGTGGGAGGTGGGAGCGTCCCTCGTGCTGCCTTCATTTTTCCTACCCTCAGCTCAGGGGTCTGTGCTAGAGGAAGACACACGAAGGCTACTGTGCCCCCACCACAAGAGAGGGAAACAGGGAGACGCGTGGGTCTGGAGCCAAGCGTATCTCTCTGTACCCATCGCACACGAATTTGAATCATCTGCTCTTTGGAATCGCCTACACCCTGCTGCACCCACGATGTGGCTGTAACTCCATTAAAGAATTGAATATCATCTTCCACGGAATCTCTGTCTGCACAAAAGGGGCACATTTAATTTTCTGTTTTTTAAATAAAGGTTTAAAAAATCCTTTTGCAAAGCGATGATAGAGGCACGTGGTTCGAAATTGACATGCACAGGAGAACAGACCATGAAAAGTCTCTCTCCCACCCCTTCCTCCCAGCCAAAAGTTTCCTCCCACTCCATGCCAATGACTGTTAACTGTTTCCTGTGTCCCCAAAGAGATGTTCTTCTATGTGTGTCAAAGCAAAGTATATTTTCACTATTCTTCCTCTTTGGTTTATGCTGCACTCATTTTTCTGCGTCTGGCTGTTCTCGACAGGAGTAGCAGGGGCTCTTGGTGGCCTGCCCATAACTCTGTGGCCCTTGTCAGTTCTGTGCCTACTGGCCTGACTCCCTAGTGCCAGCAAGTGAGGATTCTCTGGCCTCTGAGCCCACATGCCCCCTGGGAGCAGCCCTCCATCAATGGCTGGTTGGAGTTGGTGGATCAATATCCCAGCTCCCTCTCCACTTGAGTGGAATAACCTAGGTGCATGTTCTATGCTGTGCCCAGCATCCCCTTTTGTGGGCTGTCTTCCCTTACCTGCCTCATTTGCCATGTCCCCTGCAGGTGTTTTCTGGGATCACCTCTCAAATAAACCACATGCCTTTGAATTATTGTTTCAGGGTCAGCCTCTGGGGAGGATGCCAATGAGGACGGCACTCTATCCTGGAGAGCATTCCATCTGGTGCCCAGAGAGCCGCCTCCTTCCCTGTACCTGATGTACAGGATTCCACTGTGTCGATGTATTTTAACTTGCCTAAACCCTTATTCATACTCACTAGGTTCTTTGCAATCTTTCTTTTTTCTTTTCTTTTCTTTTTTTTTTTTTTTCTTTTTTTGAGACAGAGTTTCACTCTTGTTGCCCAGGCTGGAGTGCAATGGCACAATCTCAGCTCACTGCAACCTCTGGCTCCCGGGTTCAAGTGATTCTCCTGCCTCAGCCTCCTGAATAGCTGGGATTACAGGCATGTGCCACCAGGCCTGGCTAGTTTTTTTGTATTTTTAATAGAGACGGGGTTTTACCATGTTGGCCAGGCTGGTCTCGAACTCCTGACCTCAGGTGATCCACCTGCCTCGGCCTCCCAAAGTGCTGGGATTATAGGCGTGAGCCACCGCACCTGGCCCTCTTTGCAATCTTTCACATGCCCTGGCATGAATGTGATTCTGCACACCAGCAAGTGAGTTCTTGAATAATTCCCAGAGATGGGACTGCCAGGTCAAAGTGCTGAAGCTTTTGTCATTTGGATGGATTTTGCTAAATTGTCCCTCTATTTTGAATACATTTCAAAACCCCAATCAATATGCAAACACTTCTGATCATCTCCCCTTCTCCTGCCACCAAACCCAAGAGGGATGAACTAAATGAACTCAGCAGGTTTTGTGAGGACTTGGAGAGGCAGGCTGAGGATTTCAGCTTCTCACACCATCAAAGGTGGCACGTGTGATGGGCCCCTCCATCACTGGGTCCCCACAATCGATCATGGGTGCCTGGCGGGGAGGGGCGGACTTCTATTGGTTCTATATCTTTTTTTTTTTTTTAACGGAGTCTCATTCTGTTGCCCAGGCTGGAGTGCAGTGGTGCAATCTTGGCTCACTGCAACCTCTGCCTCCCGGGTTCAAGGGATTATCCTGCCTCAGCCTCCTGAGTAGCTGGATTACAAGTGCGTGCTATCACGCCTGGCTAATTTTTTGTATTTTTGGTAGAGACGGGGTTTCACCATGTTGGCCAGGCTGGTCTCAAACTCATGACCTCAGGTGATCCACCAGACTCAGCCTCCCAAAATGCTGGGATTAGAGGCGTGAGCCACTGTGCCCGTCCTTGGTTCTTTATCTTTCTAATGCTATGTGGGAGGAGCAGGGCTGTACTTACAATTGGAAAGAAAAGAAGGACCACTGTGGCAGCTGTAACTTCCATGATGAGGACAATAACCATTGACAGGATGCACTAAAAGACACACGGGGAGAGAGGGCCTGGGAGCCTGCTCAGCCTCCTCCCGACCTTATACCCTGCAGGTGAGGGGTTGTCTCTGTTCCCCCGACCCTCCACCCCAGGCCACCCTGGCCTCTCCAGTTTAAAACAATTCGACCGGGAGCAGTGGCTCAACACTTGTAATCCCAGCACTTTAGGAGACCGAGGCGGGTGGATCACGAGGTCAGGACTTCAAGACCAGCCTGGCCAACATGGCAAAATCCCGTCTCTACTAAAAATACAAAAATTAGCAGGGCATGGTAGGGGTGCCTGTAATCCCAGCTACTCGGGAGGCTGAGGCAGGAGAATCGCTTGAACCTGGGAGGCAGAGGTTGCAGTGAACCAAGATTGTGCCACTGCACTCCAGCCTGGGCGACAGAGTGAAACCCTGTCCCCGCAAAAAAAAAAAAAATAGGTGACACCAAGCAAAGTTGTTTGCAACACGCACAATAAAAGATTTGTGTGTGTGGGGAGGCAGTTCTGGGGTCTGTGTGCAGATCCAACTTACAAACAAGAGCGTGCCTCTGCTCTCTTTAGTCGCTCCATACCACCCGGCACAGCCAAGCAGTACCGTGATGCATCCCATCACCAGGCACAGGTTGCCAACGTGAAGGAGGTATGCGGAGGACAGCCCGAGGACATTCGTCAGAGAGGCCCCTCCACATTTACCACCAATGCCCAGGCCAACTAGGATGATGCCAGACACCTTTAGAACAGAAACCAGAAAGGAAGAAAAGTAATCTGTTAGTTGTATACAAATAGAACTGGGTGAGTGCGGTGGCTCATGCCTGTAATCCCAGCACTTTGGGAGGCCAAGGCCAAGACTTGAGCCCAGGAGTTCAAGACCAGCTTGGTAAGACCTCATCTGTACCCTCTCCCCAACAAAAAAAAAATAGCCAGTAGTAGTGCGTGCCTGTAGTCTCAGCTACTCAGGTGTCTGCAGTGGGAGGATCACTTTAGCTCATGAGGTTGAGACTGCAGTGAGCTATGACTGTGCCACTGTACTCCAGCCTGGATGACAGATCAAGACCTTGTCTCAAAAAATAAAATAGGCCAGCCACAGTGGCTCACACCTGTAATCCCAGCACTTTGGGAGGCCGAAGCAGGTGGATCACCTGAGGTCAGGAGTTCGAGACCAGCCTGGCCAACATGGCGAAACCCTGTCTCTACTAAAAATACAAAAATTGGCCGGGCGTGGTGGTGGGCACCTGTAATCCCAGCTACTCAGGAGGCTGAGGCAGAAGAATCGCTTAAACCTGGGAGGTGGAGGTTGCAGTGAGCTGAGATCATGCCACTGCACTCCAGCCTGGGTGACAGAGCAAGACTCCGTCTCAAAATAAAATAAAATAAAATAAAATAAAATAATGTCATAGGACAGGGATTAGCAATTTTTTTTTTCTGAAAAACCCAGATGTTGTGGCCTCTGCAGGACTTAAGGTGTCTGTTGAAACTACGCAGTTCTATTGGTGTAGCCCAAAAGCAGCTGTTCACAATCTCCAAATAAGTGAGCACGGCCATGTTCCAATAACACTTTATTTTGTATTATTATTTTTTAAATAGAGATGGGGATCTCACTATAGCTGGTCTCGAGCTCCTGGCTCAATGGATCTGCCCACCTCGGCCTCCCAAAGTGCTGGGATTACAGGCATGAGTCACCACAGCCGGCCTTAATTCTCTTTAAAATGTTACAAGTGAAGAGGAGGAGTGATATTTCATTTCCTTCTCTTTCCTGGCAGCTTTTCCTTAGACTATGCTACAATGAAGACAATTACTTCTTTTTATGTTTTTATTCTTTTATTTTTTTATTGAGACAGAGTCTCGCTATGTTGCCCAGGCTGGAGTGCAGTGACACAATCTCGGCTCACTGCCAACCTCTGCCGCCCAGGTTCAAGCAATTCACATGCCTCAGCCTCCTGAGTAGCTGGGATTATAGGCACGTGCCACCACGCCCATCTAATTTTTTTGTATTTTTAGTAGAGATGGGGTTTCCCCATATTGACCAAGGCTGGTCTTGAACTCCTGACCTCGTGATCCACCCGCCTTGGCCTCCCAAAGCGTTGGGATTACAGGCATGAGCCAGCGCCCCCGGCCTGACAATTCCTTAGCAATGTACATTTCGGGTTACTTTTACGGTAAGGAAAAAAATGTGACAAATTTAAAAGATCAAGAAAATAACCCTTTCTCCTGGCCTTCCCAAACAACTTGGTCGGCTACAGGATTTGACTTAGAGCCAAGCTCTTCCATCACCCACCTGGGCTCCCCCAGATCACACTCATCTGTGCTGGATTTCACCAGCTCTCGGTTGATGGAGGTCCCCACGCTCCCTGCTCCTCCTCCTCCGTCTGCCCTACATCCCTCCTGCTTCTCCAGGGAACCACAGATCTCGATGCCAATTTGGATCAACTTATTTCTGTCTTTCAGGGAGCTGACTGTGGAGGAAGGGCTGCAACAAACCAGGGGCCTGGATTGTGACATACTTACAGCCACGAAGCCATTGAGTAAAGATAACAGTTTCTTCAAGGAAGAATACGGAGTGTGGATTTCAGCCATGCTGAACAGACTGGGGCACCCTGAACATTTAAGTTAACATCTTCCTGAACCTCTGGGCTACTGTTTCCCAAGATGATAGGGATCTGAGGAAGGGGCGCCAATGCTGACTTGCTCTGCCCCTCTGTGTCCTGGCTGCCTGATGGTTGTCCAAGGCGGCCCAGCAGCTGCCCCCTGCCCTGGTCATAAGCCTTTTATCACATCACAATTGGGTTCTGGAGCAAGGCTCATGGTCCAGGGAAATCAGGTGCCCCAAACTGCCCCCTGTTGGCTCCTCATCCTTCAAACAGGTCACAGCAGGGAAAGAGAACAGGCATGGTATGCTACCCTGGTACCCTCCAGATGCCACCAGGACCCTGTGGGCATAGTGCCCAGAGCTAACCACTTGCACAGTTGACATCTCCTAGTAGACTGGGGGATCCAAGCGGGGGAGGGGGGAACTTGGGCTGTCCTATTAACAGCTGTGACCCCTGCCAGGCGCAGTGGCTCACACCTGTAGTCAAAGCATGTTGGGAGGCGGAGACGGGCGAATCACCTGAGGTCAGGAGTTTGAGACCTACTAACAATACAAACAATACAAAAATTACCTGGGTGTGGTGGCACACGCCTATAATCCCAGCTACTTGGGAGGCTGGGGCAGGAGAATCACTTGAACCCAGGAGGTGGAGGTTGCAGTGATCTGAGGTCGTGCCATTCCACTCCAGCCTGGTTGACGGAGTGAGACTCTGTCTCAAACAAAACAAAACAAAAACAAAAACAGCTGTGTCCCCAAAGCCTGGCACTGCAGTACTTAAGAAACCCGCGGAGAATGAATGAATGGATCCAGAGGCTCTGTGATGCAGAAATCTAGCTACAAGCCACCGGGCCTCCCAAGCCCAAGCCCATACTTGGCCCATCCTTCATACAGGGCTCAGAGAGGCCAAGGGAACTGCCTGAGGCCACACAGGAAGCAAGACCAGGCTTTGAAGCCCCAAGAGTAACATGAGGGCAGGAACCTGTAAGGCAGAGAGTCCTGGAACTGTGAGCCATTGGTCACTGGGTTTTTTTCTTTTGAGACAGGATCTTGCTCCATTGCCCAGGCTGGAGTGCAGTGGTGTGATCATGGCTTACTGCAGCCACGACCTCCCTGGCTCAAGTGATCCTCCCACCTTAGCCTCCCAAGTAGCAGGTCATTGGGCTTTTCTCCATGGTGATAGATGTAGTTAGCATTTCAGGACCAAAAACCTTCTGTATGTCAGCACTGAAGACCTCCAGGCCTAGATCCTGCAGTCTGTAGCCCACTTTGCCCCCATACCTCCCCACCCTAACCATAGCAGCTTCACATTGCCCCACCCCGATCCCCTCTCTGTCCAGCCCTGGGCTGGGGTGTGTCTGGGTCCAGGTCCTGCATGGATTGGGGGAAGGCGGATGGTTCAAATGGGAGAAAATACCTTACACTTTAATTAATTTAATGAATGTCTGTCAAATCGCCTGCTTCTTGGAACATGTAGAACTAAGCAAGATGTTCACAGAGGAGTGCTGTCTCCTCCTGGACCACGGGTGCTGTTCACAGCCAGGAGTGTGTCCTTCCACACCTTTATTTAAGAGGTCATTTGAAGCCAGGCGCGGTGGCTCACGCCAGTAATCCCAGCACTTTGGGAGGCCGAGGTGGGTAGATCACGAGGTCAGGAGATCGAGACCATCCTGGCTAATGCAGTGAAACCCTGTCTCTACTAAAAATACAAAAAATTAGCCGGTTGTGGTGGCGGGTGCCTGCAGTCCCAGCTACTCGGGAGGCTGAGGCAGGAGAATCTCTTGAACCCGGGAGGCGGAGGTTGCAGTGAGCCGAGACCACATCACTGCACTCCAGCCCGGGAGACAGAGGGAGACTCCTCCGTTTCAGGAAAAAAAAAAAAAAAAAAAAAAGGTCATTTGAAGTAAGGAACCTCAGAACCAGGGGCTGAGGGCCTGGAAATGGGGGCACAAAAGAGGGTGATAAATGGGCATGCAAGAGAGCATTGGAAAATGTAGGGGGCAAAGGAGGTCTGGGAAATGTGGACTCAAGGGAAAGCAGGAAAATGGGGGTGCAAAGGAGGGTGCAGAGAAGGGGGACGCAAAGATGCGAGATGGAAACTTGGCTGCAAATGAGCAGTGGGAAAACGGGCTTAAAGGACGGTGGGAAAATGAGGCTCAGATACAAGAGAGCTGGGTGAGTAGCAGACGGCGCTGTAGACGTGGGAGCAGCTCCTGGAAGGAACTGGCCGGAAAGGAATCTGGGCCGGCTGCACGCAGCCCCGCCCCTCGACCGCCCCAGCCCCTCTACCCTCCCAGCTTCTCTGCAAAGCCGCATCTACAGCCTCGCGCGTCTCCTGGCGGCGGCCCGTGGAAGCGCGGCCCTACGTGCCGGGGCTGGGCCAGGACTCTCCCTGCCAAACACGTCCAAATGTGCCCGGGTGCCCCAGGGACCCCGCCCAGCCGGTCAGCGTCAGGAAATGAAGCAAGAATAACTTCCCGTGCCCCAGATTCCTACATCACACACCCACGGAACTTTGCAGGCATCCGACGAATTGCAAATGCAAGATACTTGCTTTTTTTTTTTTTTTTTTTTTTTGTAGAGACGCGGTCTCGCTATGTTGCCTGGGCTGACCTCTAAGTCCTAGGTTCAAGCCATCCTCCTGCCTCGGCCTCCTAAAATGCTGGGATTACAGGGATGAGCCACCGCGCCCGGCCAGGACGTTTAATATCATTGTCAAAATCATAGAAGGGCCACTCCAATACACCCTTATGGTGTGTTGAGACATTTATTTCTCCACATGCTTGGTCTCCTTTTTTATTTTTAGGGGATTAAAATTGTTTAATTTTTAATTATGTGGGCACATAGTAGGTGTACATATTTATGGGGATGGGAGATATTTTTTAAAAAGCACAATTAACCAGCCGGGCGCGGTGGCTCACGCCTGTAATGCCAGCACTTTGGGAGACCGAGACGGGCGGATCACAAGGTCAGGAGATCGAGACCATCCTGGCTAACACGGTGAAACCCCGTCTCCACTAAAAAAAATACAAAAAAAAATAGCTGGGCGTGGTGGCGGGCGCCTGTAGTCCCAGCTACTCGGGAGGCTGAGGCAGAAGAATGGTGTGAACCCGGGAGGTGGAGCTTGCAGTGAGCCGAGATCGCGCCACTGCCCTCCAGCCTGGGCGACAGAGCGAGATTCCGTCTCAAAAAAAAAAAAAAAAAAAAAAAATCACAACCAAAAAATGAAATGTGTTGAATACAATCACACACAGAATATTTATGTCAACGACCCATATTAGTCAACAAACTCTCCTCTTTTTTTTTTTTTTTTTTAATTTTCAGACGGAGTCTTTCTCTGTTGCCCAGGCTGGAGTGCAGTGGTGCGATTTCGGCTCACTGCAACCTCTGCCTCCCAGGCTCAAGCAATTCTCCTGCCTCAGGATCCTGAGTAGCTGGGATTATAGGCGCAACGCCACCACGCCCGGCTAATTTTTGTATTTTTAGTAGAGATGGGGTTTCACCACGTTGGCCAGGCTGGTCTCAAACTCCTGATCTCAAGTGATCCACCCCCCTCGGCCTCCCAAAGTGCTGGAATTACAGGCGTGAGCCACCGTGCCTGGCCTGAACTCCTCTTCTTAAATTCATGTGTTTGTTGTCAAGGGCAACAATTGGGTGTTTGGGAGCACTGAACAACAAATAGTGAATGAATGAGACCTGAGCTTGCGCCCACCCTTCAAGGTCAGAGAGGAGCGCGGCAGTAGGTTCGCCTGCTCACTTGTTCATGTAAACTTTGCGGCAGAAATGTATTTGTTTACGCCTCACAAAACCTAGATCCATCCTTGACAAAGGGGCATTTTATGGTTTCAGGTATTTTAATAGCCATCGTTGGGGAAGGAGGCAAATCAGAATCCACCATCCAAAAAAAAAGTCTGGGACACACAAAAGAAAGGTGTCTGTCCTTGCAGAGGCTGGTCCACACCTTTGGCATCAGTCACTTGTTCTAGGAGTTCCCAGGTTGTGCACCTCAGCCCTCACTGGGGACAAGCACAGAAGTGTCACCAAGTTTCAGCATCAGGGGCTGACGTCATTGTGGCAGGAGAGGAGCATGATGGTAATCATTGCTACCAAATGAAAAAAAAACAAACAGCATTTCCACCATTAGGGATTTTTTTGTTTGGCTGGTTGTTTTTTAAAATTGCATTTGTTTCCCCATGTTCACATTCTGCCTTAGGGTTAACACTTTGTGCTCTGTATGGTGGGTTGGGAGGCACTGAGGAGTGATCAGAAGACCCCTGTCAGGCCAGGCACAGTGGTTCACACCTGTAATCCCAGCACTTTGGGAGGCCGAGGCGGGTGGATCACCTGAGGTCAGGAGTTCAAGACCAGCCTTGGCCAACATGGGGAAGCCCCGTCTCTACTAAAACTACAAAATTAGCTGGATGCGGTTAATTACAGGTGGGCACCTGTAATCCCAGCTACTCAGGAGGCTGAGGCAGAAGAATTGCTTGAGCTGGGGAGATGGAGGTTGCAGTGAGCCGAGACCGCACCACTGCACTCCAGCCTGGGCGACAAAGCGAGACTCTGTCTCAAAAAAATAAAATAAAATAAGAAGACCCCTGTCCTACAGGGACACTCACTGCTTTCCCAGTTCCTCTCTCTTGCTACATAAAGAAAGATCTGCAATTTCTACCCCTTCAGCTACCTTAGCTTCTGGCTGGAAAAGAGGGAAGTGAAATTAAGGAGAACCAGGAGATGGGTTTTTGTTTGTTTGTTTGTTTTTTGAGACAGGGTCTCGCTTTGTCTCCCAGGCTGGAAGTACAGTAGTGTGATCTCAGCTCCCTGCAACCTCACCCTCCTGGGCTCAAGCGATCCTCTCGCTTTGGCCTTTAGAGTAGCTGGGACCAATGGCACGTGCCACCACGCCCGGCTAATTTTTTTATTTTTTGTGGAGACAGGGGTCTCGCTATGTTTCCCAGATTGGTCTCGAACTCCTGGGCTCAAGCAATCCTCCTGACTTAGCCTCTCAAAGCGCTGGGATTACAGGTATGAGCCACCACACCCAGCCAAGATCCTTGATAATATTAAAAATATTTAGTATATAAGGTATACCCAGGCAGTGATGAGAAGGGAGGGTTTCAGGGGTATCAACCTTGAAGGGTTAGGAGGACTGGAGGGTCCTGATGAGAGTTCAGGAAGCAGCGAGTGGCCCCAGACCAGTGCATGCAGGTGACACATCTCGAGGGGGCTTCTGTTCTTGTTAGCATGGGGGATCGGGTTCTAATTCCCTCTGTTGTCTGGGCAGCTGGTCCCAGGGTGGCCAAGACTGTTCCCATCCCATATTCCTCAAGTATCTCACTTAAACACATTGAAAAGGTTGGCCAGGTGCAGTGGCTCACGCTTGTAATCTCAGCACTTTGGGAGGCCAAGGCAGGCGGATCACTTGAGGTCAGGAGTTTGACACCAGCCTGGCCAACATGGTGAAACCCCGTCTCTACCAAAAATGCAAAAATTAGCCGGGCATGGTGGTGCATGCCTGTAATCTCAGCTACTCAGGAGGCTGAGGCAGGAGAATCGCTTGAACCCGGGAGGCGGAGGTTGCGTTGAGCCGAGGTCTTGCCACTGCACACGCCAGCCTCGGCAACACAGTGAGACTCTGTCTCAAAAAAAAAAAAAAAAGACCTCATAAATAGCTTTTGGAGATTTTATTACAGGCGGACCTGTAACAACCGCAAATGGACTTTTAAAACCTTGTGGGGAATGTTTCTCCTTCTAGGAATTCCTACTACAGATTTATTCAAATGCACATAGGCCAAGAGCTGGCAGATTTTTCTGGAAAGAGCCAGAAAGTAAATATTTTCAGCTTTGCGGACCATACCGTCTCTGTTGGGACTCTGCTATTGCAGCCATAGAAAATATGTAAATGGACAATATGTAAATATATGTAAATGAACAAGTGTGACTCTGTCAAAATAAAATGTTATTTATAATATGAGATGGTTTTGTTATTTACAAAAATGGGTGGCAGAATGTAGTTTTGCTAATGCCTGCTCTTAAGCCTCGCTTGACTTGTGAATGATTGGAAACAACAACTTAAGTGCCCTTTGTTTTTGTTTTTTTGTTTTTTTTTTAGACGAAGTCTCACTCTGTTGCCCAGGCCGAGGGCAGTGGTGCAATCTCAGCTCATTGCAACCTTCATTTCCTGGGTTCAAGCAATTCTCCTGCCTCGGCCTCCCCAGTAGCTGGGACTACAGGCATGCCCCACTATGCCCAGCTAATTTTTGTATTTTTGGTAGAGACAGGGTTTCACCATGTTGGCCAGACTGGTCTCGATCTCCTGACCTCAGGTGATCCACCTGCCTCGGCCTCCCAAAGTGCTGGGATTACAGCCGTGAGCCATCGTGCCCGGCCTTAAATGCCCTTTGAAAGTATTAGTAGCTGATTAAGTATAAGATTGTCCAACTAGAGGAAAAGATGCTCAAAAGCTGAGAAAATGAATGCAGAAATCTTTGTTGCTTTTTTGCAGACTGGATCTCACTTTGTTGCTCAGGCTGGAGTGCAGTGATGTGATCATAGTTCATTGTAGCTTCAAACTCCAGGGCTCAAGTGATCCTCCCGCCTCAGCCTCCTGAGTAGCTGAGACTACAGGCACACACTACCGCACCTGCCTTTTTTTTTTTTTTTTCCATTTTTGGTAGAGACAGGCTCTAGCAATGGTCTTGAACTCCTGGACTCAAGTGATCTGGCTGCCTCAGCCTCCCAAAATCCTGGGATTACAGGCATGAGCCACCACACCTGCTCAAATTCTTAACTAAAAGAATTGACAACGGGAGCCAGGCGCGGTGGCTCATGCCTATAATCCCAGCACTTTGGGAGGCCAAGGCTGGCAGATCACTTGAGGTCAGGAGTTTGGAGCCTGGCCAACATGGTGAAACCCCGTCTCTACTAAAAATACAAAAATTAGCTGTATGTGGTGGCAGGCGCCTGTAATCCTGGCTACTTGGGAGGCTGAGGCAGGAGAATCATGTGAACCCGGGAGGCGGAGTTTGCAGTGAGCCGAGATCACGCCACTGCACTCCAGCCTGGGCGACAGAGCGAACTCTGTCTCGAAAAAAAAAAAAGACAAATATTGCATGATTCCACTCATTTGAGGTCCCTAGAGTCATCAGATTCATAAAGACAGAAAACAGAATGGTGGGTACCAGGGAATGGAGAGGAGCGTGGGGAGTGAGTGTTTCATGGGGATAGAGTTTCAGTTTGGAAAGATGAGAAAGTTCTGGAGACGGATGGTGGTGATGGCTGCACAGCGATGTGAATGTGCTTAATGCTGCTGAACTGTACTTTTCTTTTTTTTTTTGAGACAGAGTCTTGCTCTGTTGCCAAGGCTGGAGTGCAGTGGCGTGATCTTGCGATCTCAGCTCCCTGCAACCTCCATCTACTGGGTTCGAGCAACTCTCCTGCCTCAGCCTCCTGAGTACCTGGGACTACAGGAGCGTGCCACCATGCCCGGCTAATTTTTGTAATTTTAGTAGAGACGGGGTTTCACCATGTTGCCCAGGCTGGTCTCAAACTCCCGACCTCAAGTGATCCGCCCACCTCAGCCTCCTAAAGTGCTGGGATTACAGGTGTGAGCCACCACACCCGGCCTGAACTGTACACTTAAAATGGTTAAAATGACAAAATTTTAAGTTATATATATTTTGCCACAGTAGAAAAGAAATAAATGTTGTAAAAGGAACAGGACTACAAGGCCTCCTGGTGGGAATAGAGGGAAATGACTCGGCCCGGTACCTGCTAATGTTCTCGCAGTTCCTGTAGAACTTCATGTCCAGCTCTGGTTACCGTGAGCACCACAGTGGGTTAAGTCATGTCACCACAAAATTCATATCCATCTGGAGCCTCAGATGAGACCCTATCTGAAAACAGGGTCTTTGCAGATGTCATTGGTTAAACATCTTGAGATGAAGTCAGCCTAGATTTAGGTCAGGTCCTAAATCCAATATCTGGTCAATATCTGGTGTCTTTATAAGACATAGGAGAGGGGTTAGGGGTGGTGGCTCATGCCTGTAATCCCAGCACTTTGGGAGGGCAAGACCAGAGGAGACAGGAGGCTTGAGGCCAGGAGTTCAAGACCAGCCCGGGCAACATATCGAGACCCTGTCTCTAAAAAAATAAAAATTAGCCAGGTATGGTGGCGTGTATCTGTAGTACTAGCCACTCTAGAGGCAGAGTTGGGAGGATGTCTTGAGCCTGGGAAGTCGAGGCTGCAGTGAGGTATGATGGTGCCACTGCATTCCATCCTGGGCAACAGAGCAAGACCTTGTCTCAAAAATAAATAAATAAGGTTGTTGGTTAAAAAAAAAAAAAAAAAAAAAAAGACCAGGCTCTGTGGCTCACACCTGTAATTCCAGCACTTTGGGAGGCCAAGGCGGGTGGATCACAAGATTAGGAGATGGAGACCATCCTGGCTAACACGGTGAAACCCCGTCTCTACTAAAAATACAAAAAAAATTAGCCAGGCATGGTGGCGGGCGCCTGTAGTCCCAGCTACTCGGGAAGCTGAGGCAGGAGAATGGCGTGAACCCAGGAGGCAGAACTTGCAGTGAGCCGAGATCGCGCCACTGCACTCCAGCCTGGGTGACAGAGCAAGACTCTATCTCAAAAAAAAAAAAAAAGGAGGCCAGGTGTGGTGGCTCATGCCTGTAATACCCAGTGCTTTGGGAGAGTGAGGTGGGTGGATTTTGAGGCAAGGAGTTTGAGGTCAGCCTGGCTAACATGGCAAAACCCTCTCTCTATTAAAAATAGAAAAATTAGCTGGTTGTGGTGGTGGACGCCTGTACTCCAGGCTACTAGGGAGGCTGAGGCAGGAGAATCACTTGAACCCAGGAGGCAGAGGTTGCAGTGAGCTGAGATTACACCATTGCACTCCAGCCTGGGTAATAGAGTGAGACTCTGTCTCATAAAAAAATGAGAGAGAGAAAGAGAGACAGGAGAGGAACATTTGGACACAGACAGAGGGGAGAAGGCCACAAGATGATGGAAGAGGCAGTGATTGGAGTGACGTGGCCACAATCCAGCGACCACCAGGGGCCACCAGAAGTTGGAAGAGGCAAGGAAGGAACCTTCCCCAGAGCTTTTGGGGGCAGCACGGCTCTGTTGACACCTTGATTTCAGACTTCTGGCATCCAGAACAGTGAAAGAATAAATTTTAGGGGGCTGGGCGTGGTGGCTGACGCCTGTAATTCCAACACTTTGGGAGGCCAAGGCGGGCGGAGCACCTGAGGTCGGGAGTTTGAGACCAGCCTGACCAACATGGCAAAACCCTGTCTCTACTAAAAATACAAAAATTAGCCGGGCATGGTGTCACATGCCTATAATCCCAGCTACTCAGAAGGCTGAGGCAGAAGAATCGCTTGAGCCTGGGAGGCAGTGGTTGCAGTGACCTAAGATCGCCCCACTGCTCTCCAGCCTGGGCGACAGAGGGAGACTGTGTCTCAAAAAATAAAAGAATAAATTCTTGTTGTTTTAAACCAGCAAGCTGGTGATGATTTGTTATGGCAGCTCCCAAAAATCTAACACAGACAGGAAGCAGTGGGTGGGTGATGACATATTTCAGCTGCCTGTGGGGGCTGAGAAACACAGCACAAGATTTGGGAAAAGGGTTCACATCCGGTGAAGGAGACCTTTCCTTCCTTCCTTTTTTTATTTATTTTTATTTTTTATTTTTTTATTTTTTATTTTTGACAAGGTCTCACTCTGTTGCCCAGGCTGGAGTACAGTGGCTCCATCATAGCTCAGTCCAGCCTCCAGCTCCTAGGCTCAAGGGATCCTCCCAGCTCAGCCTCCCTAGTAGCTGGGACCACAGCCATGCACCACCCCACCCAGCTAGTTGTTTTTTTTTATATATATATTATTTGTAGAGACGGGGTCTCCCTATGTTGCCTAGGCCACCACCCTGGTCCCTTTCTTCCTTAAGAAGAGAGATAATGTTCATGGCTTGCTGGTGACTTTGACTTTAAAAAAATCAAGGCACGAGGCCAGGCGCGGTGGCTCACACTTGTAATCCCAGCACTCCGGGAGGCCAAGGTGGGAGGATCACTTGAGCCCAGGAGTTCGGGACCAGCTTAGGCAAAATGGTAAAACCCTGTCTTTACCAAAAATACAAAAAATAAGCCAGGTGTGGTGGTGCACGCCTGTGGTCCCAGCTACTCTGGAGCCTGAGGCAAGAGAATTGCTTGAACCTGGGAGGCAGAGGATGCAAAGAGCTGAAATCGTGCCACTGCACTCCAGCTTGGGTGACACAGTGAGACCCAGTTTCAAAAAAAAAAAAAAAACAAGGCAAGCTGTGGTGGCTCACACCTGTAATTCCAGCACTTTGGGAGGCCGAAGCGGGAGGATCCGCTTGAGCCCAGAAGGTCAAGGCTGCAGTGAGCCATGATGGTACCACTGCACTCCAGCCTGGACAACAGAGTGAGACTCTGTCTAAAAGAAATAATAATAAAATAAAAATTCAAAATATTTTCAATGGAGAAGTCTGGATTTGAGGCGTCTCTTGAAAAATCCAGCCAGGCATGGTGGCTCATACCTGTAATCCCAGCACTTTGGTAGGCCAAGGAAGGTGGATCACTTGAAATCTGGAGTTCAAGACCAGCCTGACCAACATGGTGAAACCCTGTCTCTACTAAAATACAAAAATATGCCGGATGTGGTGGTGCACGCCTGTACTCCCAGCTACTCGGGAGGATGAGGCAGGAGAATTGCTTGAACCCGAGAGGCAGAGGTGGCAGTGAGCTGAGATTGCGCCACTGCACTCCAGCCTGGGCGGCAAAGCGAGACTCTGTCTCAAAAAAAAAAAAGAGAGAGAGAGAGAAAGAGAGGAGAGGAACATTTAGACACAGAAGGGAAGAGGCCACGAGACATCAGAAGAGGCAGTGATTGGAGCGACCACTGCCTCTTATCTCAGCATGCACTATGCAGTTATTATTACTATAATAGGATAAAAAGACCAAGAAGAAAAAAAAAGATCTGCCTTTATTATTATTATTTTATTTTATTTTTGAGAGGGAGTCTTGCTCTGTCGTCCAGGCTGGAGTGCAATGGCGCGATCTCAGCTCACTGCAACCTCCGCCTCCCAAGTTTAAGCAATTGTCCTGCCTCAGCCTCCCAGGTAGCTGGGATTACAGGCATGTGCCACCACGCCCCGTTAATTGTTTGTATTTTTAGTAGAGATGGGGTTTCACCATGTTGGCCAGGCTGGACTCAAACTCCTGACCTCAGGTGATCCGCCCGCTTCAGCCTCCCAAAGTGCTGGGATGACAGGTGTGAGTCACCGTGCTCGGCCTATTATTCTTATTATTTTTGATAGAGACGGTGTTTCACCATGTTGGCCAGGCTGGTCTCAAACTCCTGGACTCAAGCCATTCACCCATCTTAGCCTCCTAAAGAGCTGGAATTACAGGCACGAGTACATTGATTATACTCCTGGCCTTACAATTGTTTTTAAAGGGTGACCAAGCTGAATTACAAGTGCTGTCCTCAGCTGAGGCCTCTGCATTCTTGGGTGGGTTTTCTTGCTGTCTCAGCGGACGCTCCCTGCTGCGCCTGGCGGGAAGGGGGTGGGGGCAGGGGGGACACTGGGAACCAGGATCTCCACTTGGACCAGAGCAAATGAGAGAATTTTGGGGGAAAAAAAAACAGCTCTGACCTGAAACTTAGCCAGGTCCTCGGGGTTCATGGAAAATAACCCACCCAGCACAGGAATTCTCCTTCCAGGCTGTGTTCAGACTGTTTTCTGTGCTTCTCTTTCAGAAGATCTGGGAGAGTTGGTGTATACATTTATTGAAGCCTTTACTTCATGCCAGGTGCTAGAATGATCTAGAATCTTCACTCCCATGCTTAGAGGTAGGTGCTATTGTCATGTCCACTTTACAAATGAGGCTTGGCCGGGTGCGGTGGCTCACACCTGTCATCCCAGCACTTTGGGAGGCTGAGGTGGGCAGTTCACCTGAAGTCAGGAGTTTGAGACCAGCCTGGGCAACATGGCAAAACCCTGTCTCTACAAAAAATACAAAAATTACCTGGGCACAGTGGTGCATGCCTGTAATCCCAGCTACTCGAGAGGCTGAGGCAAGAGAATTGATTCACCTTGGGAGGTGGATGTTGCAGTGAGCCAAGATTGCACCACTGCACTCCAGCCTGGGCAGTAGAGCAAGACTCTGTCTCAAAAAACAAAAAACAGATGAGGCTCATTGCCTGGAACAGAGGAGCCCAGATTTGAAGATGGGTCTCCTGACTCCAAGGTCAGTGATTCTTTCTGATGGGTGACATCTGCTCATTCACTAATTCATTCAACCTTTCATTCAATAAGCATCCATTGAGCACCTAGTGTATGCCAATTGTGATGCCAAAAAATACAGATGTAGTCCCTGCCATCCTGAATTCAAATATTTTTTAAATTTTTAACTTTTTTTTTCCTTTTTATTAAGGCAGGGTCTCAGTCTGTTACTGGGGCTGGAATGCAGTGGCGTGATCTTGGCTCACTACTGTCTCAACCTCCCCAGGCGCAAGCAGTCCGCCCACCTCAGCCTCCTGAATAGCTGGGACTACAGGCATGTGCCCCCATCATGACCAGCTAACCTTTTTTTTTTTTTTTTTTTTGAGAAGGAGTCTCGCTCTGTCGCTCAGGCTGGAGTACAGTGGGAGCACTGCACTTTGGGAGTGCCTGACCCATGACCAGCTAAGTTTTAGATTTTTTGTAGAGATGGGGTTTCACCATGTTTCCCAGGCTAGTCTCAAACTCCTGGGCTTAAGTGATCATCCCGCCTTGACCTCCCAAAGTGCTGGGATTACAGGTGTATGCTACTGGGCACTGGCCTATTATTATTTTAAGCTATCTGAGTCCTTTCTACATTGGTTTGTTCACTGTGTGTCTTCAGTGCTTGGTATGTAACAGGAGCTCAATAAAGATCCACAGAGTCTTTGTTAAAGCCTCAATGAAATGAGCAAATCCTGATGTCTGGAGTCTGGATACCTGGGCACCTGCCCCAGCTCTGTGTCTCAGTAGCTGTGGGAGCTTGAGCTCGTTGCTGGGCCTCAGTATATTTTAGTCTTATCTGTAAAATTGGTTAAAGAAGTATTTTCACACAAGGACACAAAGAAATCAGAACCCTCATACACCACTGGTGGGAATGTCAGCTGGGGCAACAGCTTTGGAGAACAGTCTGAGAGCTTCTCAAGAGGTTACACATAGGGCCGGGTGCGGTGGCTCACGGCCTGTAATCCCAGCACTTTGGGAGGCCAAAGTGGGTGGATCACCTGAGGTCAAGAGTTGGAGACCAGCCTGGCCAACATGGTGAAACCCTACTAAAACCCTACTAAAAATACAAAAAATTAGCCGGGCGTGGTGGTGAGCACCTGTAATCCCAGCTCCTCAGGAGGCTGAGACAGGAGAATTGCTTGAACCCAGGAGGCAGAGGTTGCAGTGAGGCAAGATCGTGCCACTGCACTCCAGCCTGGGCGACAGAATGAAACTGTCTCAAAAAAAAAAAAAATTACAGAAAGGGCTGGGTACAGTGGTTTATGCTTATAATCCCAGCACTTTGGGAGGCCAAGGCAGGAGGATCATATGAGTCCAGGAGTTCAAGACCAGCGAGAATCCACCTCTACAGGACAAAAAAAAAAAGATTAAAAGTGGAATTACCATATGACCGAGCAATTCCACTCCTAGGTATATACGTACCCAAGAGAAATGAAATCATATGTCCATGCAAAAATGTGTAACTCAAATGGCGTAAGAGCACCGCTAACAATAGTCCATAGGGGCCATCCACTGATGAACGGATAAATAAAATGTGGTCTATCCATACAATGGAATATTATCCAGCCTTTAAAAGGAATGAATGTCGGCCAGGCGTGATGGCTCAAGCCTGTAATCCCAGCACTTTAGGAGGCAAAGGAGGGCGGATCACCTGAGGTCAGGTGTTCAAGACCAGCCTGGCCAACATGGTGAAACTCCTTCTCTACTAAAACCACAAAAATTAGCCAGGCGTGGTGGCGCATACCTCTAGTCCCAGCTACTCAGGAGGCTGAGGCAGGAGAATCGCTTGAACCCAGGAGACAGAGGTTGCAGTGGGCTGAGATAGCGCCACTGCACTCCAGCCTGGGTGACAGAGCAAGACTCTGTCTCAAAAAAATTAAAAAAAGGAATGAATGTCCAGACACGGTGGCTCACGCCTGTAATCCCAGCACTTTGGGAGACTGAGGTAGGAGGATCGTTTGAGCCGAAGAGTTCAAGACAAGCCTGGACAACATGGGAGATTCCATCTCAATTTTAAAAATTAAAACAAAATTTAAAGGAATGATACAGTCACACAGGCTGCAGATGAATCTTACAAACTTTAAGCTATGTGAAATAAGCCAGACACGAAATGACAGATGTTGTATGATTGCACTCATGTGACAGTCCAGACTAGTAGATTCGTAGTTGCTTAGGGGTGAGGCGGCAGGGACGAGGGGATAGGGGAATGATAGCTAAAGGCTGTGGAGCTGCTTTTTGAGGAGATGAGACAGTGTTCCAAAATAGGCTGGGTGATGGTTGTACAATTCTGAATATAGGAAAAACCATTGAATTGTACACTTTCGAGGGGTGAATTCTATACTGTGTAGACTATATCTCAGTAAAGCTGTTTTTAACAAAAAGAAAGAAAAGTTTTTGCCTCTAGGCTGAGAGTGAGGAGAAGCTGCAAGCCAAACCTTGGCCCAAAGCCAGTCATCCATCCACAAGGCTGAGTGTGCAGCCCAGGGGCTCAACCTTAAATTAAGAGTAAACCTGGCTGGGCGCGGCAGCTCATGCCTGTAATCCCAGCACTTTGGGAGGCCAAGGTGGGCGGATTACCTGAGGTTGGGAGTTTACAACCAGCCTGACCAAGATGGAGAAACCTCGTCTCTACTAAAAAAAAAAAAAACAAAATTAGTAGGGCATAGTGGTGCATGCCTGTAATCCCAGCTACTCGGGAGGCTGAGGCAGGAGAATCGCTTGAAACCGGGAGGCAGAGGTTGCAGTGAGCCGAGATCATGCCATTGCACTCCAGCCTGGGCAACAAGAGTGAAACTCTGTCTCAAAAAAAGAAAAAAAAAAAAAAAAGAGTAAACCTGGGGGCTGAGCGGCAGTGCCTCATGCCTGTAATTCCAGCACTTTGGGAGGCCGAGGCGGGTGGATCACTTCAGGTCAGGAGTTTGAGTCCAGTCTGGCCAACATGGTGAAACCTTGTCTCTATTAAAAATACAAAAAAATTAGCTGGGGGTGGTGGCACGCACCTGTAATCCCAGCTACTCAGGAGGCTGAGGTGAGGCACGAGAATCGCTTGAACCCAGGAGGCAGAGGTTGCTGTGAGCCGAGATTGTGCCACTGCACTCCAGCCTGGGCAACAAGAGCAACATACTGTCTAAAAAAAAAAAGAGTAAACCTGGGCCAGATGTATTGGAGGCAATAGGATTGTTTGAGGCCAGGAGTTCAAGACCAGTGTGGGCAACATAGCAAGACCCCATCTCTACAAAAAAAAATTTTAATTACTGGGTCAGGTGATGGACACCTGTAGTCCCAGCTACTCAGGAGGCTGAGGCAGGAGGATCACTTGAATCCAGGATTTCAAGGCTACAGTGAGCTATGATCATACCACCAGGTTGCATCCAACCTGGGCAACAGAGCAAACCCCAAATAAATTCTTTTTAGAAAGAGTAAACTTGGGCCAGGTGTGGTGGCTTACGCTTGTAATTCCAGCACTTTGGGAAGCCGAGGTAGATGGATCACTTGAGGTCAGGAGTTTGAGACCAGCCTGGCCAACATGGTGAAACCCCGTCTCTACTAAAAATACAAAAATTAGCCACTGAGCATGGTGGCACATGCCTGTAATCCCAGCTACTCGGGAGGCTGAGGCATGAGAATCGCTTGAAGCCAGGAGGCGGAGCTTGCAGTGAGCCAGGATCGCGCCACAGCACTCCAGCCCGGGTGACAGAGTGAGACTCCGTATCAAAAAAAAAAAAAAAAAAAAAAAAAAAAGAGTAAACTTGAAAAACAGGAGAGAGAAGATGCCGGAAGAGAAGATGCACCATTGCCCAGGGTGCAGCAGGAAGGTTGAGGTCAGATCCTCCCAGCAACCCAAGCGAACCATCACCCAACTGGAAACCATTTCCTTTGTGGCCATGAAACAATGGGCTACAACTTTCTTTTGTGGCTCAAAACCACAGAGAAGCTTCCTATTGTGGGATTCACCACCACCACCACAGCAGAAGTTTTTTCTCATGGGTTCTGGGAGCAAATACAATGGCTTCTGAAACTGAGGTCTGGCTCTACTTCCTTGAAGACCTCTCCTTTCCTTTCTCTGCATGACAATGCTCCCCAGAGACTCTCTTCTTTCCCCATGCCACCTTTTGTACCCTGGGGTGGCCTTGTCTTAGTTTGGGTTCCGTGGAAGCCACCACTGAAACAAGGATTTAATACAAGTACTTTGTCTGAGAGGTGGTGATGCCAGGAAGCAGCAGTTGGGAAGAGGGGACGTGTATGAGTTTGCTAAGGCTGTCATGACCAAGCACCACAGACAGGGAAGCTTATAAAACAGGGCATTTCACAGTTCCGGAGGGTGTATGTCCAAGAATAAGGTGTCAGCAGGGTTGATTCTTTCTGAGGTCTCTCTCCTTGGCTTAGAGCCAGTTGCCTTGTTTCTGTGTCTTCACATAGTCTTTCTTTAATGCTTGTCTCTGTGTCCATATCACCTCATCTTTTCTTTTTTTTTTTCTTTTTTTGAGACAGAGTCTTCCTCTGTCCCCCAGGTTGGACTGCAGTGGCACAATCTCAGCTCACTGCAATCTCCACCTCCCAGGTTCAAGCAGTTCTCATGCCTCAGCCTCCCAAATAGCTGTGATTACAGGCATGCGCCACCACACCCAGCTAATTTTTGTATTTTGGGTAGATACAGGGTTTCACTACGTTGGCCAGACTGGTCTTGAACTCTTGACTTCAAATGATCCACCTGCCTCAGCTTCCCAAAGTGCTGGGATTACAGGCACGAGCCACTGCACCCAGCCCATACCTCCTCATTTTATAAGGATAGTGGTCATTTGGATTAGGGTCCATCCTAATGACCTTGTTTTAATTTGTTCTTTATTTTTTCAATTTATTTTTATTTTGAGGGGAGGGGATGGAGTCTTGTTCTATCACCCAGGCTGGAGTACAGTGGCCTGATCACAGCTCACTGCAACATGGAGCTCCTGGGATTAGGCGATCCTCCCACCGCAGCCTCCTGAATAGCTGGGACTACAGGCTGATTTTTAATTTTTTTTTTTTTTTTGGAGACGAGGTTTCTTTTTCTCTTTTTCTTTTTTTTTTTTTGAGACAGAGCCTTGTTCTGTTGCCCAGGCTGTAGTGCAGCAGTGTGAACACGGCTCACTGCAGCCTTTATCTCACAGGGTCAAGGAATGTGGCGCCTCAGCACTAACTTCCCCTCCTCTGTGTTCCTTGGAGATTTCTCTTACTTTTTTGTGAACTTAGCTGATAACTTAAAAGCATGTTTGCTGTATTTCATTCAGCGTTTTTGTTGCTATTGTCTTTTACTCTGTCACCCAGGCTGGAGGGCAGTGGCACAATCATAGCTCACTGCAGCCTCAAATTCCTGGGCTCAAGCGAACCTCCCTTGTCAGCCTCCCAAGTAGCAGGGACCACAGATATGCGCCACTACACCTGGCTAATTCTTTATTTTTTTTATAGACAGGGTCTCACTATGTTGCCCAGGCTGGTCTCAAACTCCTGACCTCAAGCCATTCCTCCCGCCTCACCCTCTGGAGGCACTGGGATCACAGGTGTGAGCCACCACACTCAGCCTTGCCCAGCTCATGTACAGGTTTTTTGTGGTTTTTGCTTGTTTGTTTGTTTTTGAGACAGAGTCTCGGTCTGTCGCCCAGGCTGGAGTGCAGTAGCACCATCTCAGCTCGGTACAACCTCCACCTCTCAGGTTCAATTCAAATGAATTCTGAATGTGCAGGGCTGGGCAGGGCATTCATGCACAATCTAGAAATTTCATGCACAATCTGGAAAAGTTAGGGCGAGAAGGGTTGGAGAGAGGAGGAGGCATGTGGAAACTGGAAGATTCAGCGATTAACAAAATTGCCTGGCTGGGCACGGAGGCTCACGCCTGTAATCCCAGCACTTTAGGAGGCCGAGGCATGTGGATCACCTGAGGTCGGGAGTTTGAGACCAGCCTGACCAACAGGGAGAAACCCCGTCTCTACTAAAATACAAAATTATCCAAGTGTGGTGGCGCATGCCTGTAATTCCAGCTACTCAGGAGGCTGAGGCAGGAGAATCACTTGAATGCAGGAGAATCGCTTGAACCCAGGAGAATTGCTTGAACCCAGGAGGCGGAGGTTGCAGTGAGCAGAGATCGTGCCATTGCACTCCACCCTGGGCAACAAGAGCAAAACTCCATCTCAAAAAAACACAAAAAAACAATTGCCCATGCCTCCCTTGGAATACTTTCTGCTTCTCCCAATCATTCACTCAGAAAGCACTTACTGAGCACCTACTGTGTGCCAGGCTGTGTGCAGCGCACTAGGGATAGAGTGATGCACAAGAAACCACATAGCCAGCTGGGTGCAGTGGCTCACACCTGTAATCCCAGCACTGTAGGAGGCTGAGGCAGGAGGATCACTTGAGGCCAGGAGTTTGAAACCAGCCTGGGCAACATAGCAAGACTCTGGCCTCTACAAAAAAAATTAAAAAGAGCTCTCCCTCTCCCTCTCCCTCTCCCCACGGTCTCCTTCTCCCTCTCCCTCTCTCTCCATGGTCTCCCTCTGATGCCGAGCGGAGGCTGGACTGTAATGCCGCCATCTCGGCTCACTGCAACCTCCCTGCCTGATTCTCCTGCCTCAGCCTGCCAAGTGCCTGGGATTGCAGGCGCGCGCCGCCACGACTGACTGGTTTTTGTATTTTTTTTGGTGGAGACGGGGTTTCGCCGTGTTGGCCGGGCTGGTCTCCAGCTCCTAACCGCGAGTGATCTTGCTAGCCTCGGCCTCCCGAGGTGCCGGGATTGCAGACGGAGTCTCACTCAGTGCTCAATGCTGCCCAGGCTGGAGTGCAGTGGCGTGATCTCTGGCTCGCTACAACCTCCACCTCCCAGCCGCCTGCCCTGGCCTCCCAAAGTGCCAAGATTGCGGCCTCTGCCCGGCCGCCACCCAGTCTGGGAAGCGAGGAGCGTCTCTGCCTGGCCGCCCATCGTCTGGGATGTGAGGAGCCCCTCTGCCCGGCCGCCCAGTCTGGGAGGTGAGGAGCGCCTCTTCTCGGCCGCCATCCCGTCTAGGAAGTGAGGAGCATCTCTGCCCCGCCGCCCATAGTCTGAGATGTGGGGAGTGCCTCTGCCCCGCCGCCCCGTCTGGGATGTGAGGAGCGCCTCTGCCTGGCCGCGACCCCGTCTGGGAACGGAGGAGTGTCTCTGCCCGACCACCACCCCGTCTGGGAGGTGAGGAGCGTCTCTGCCCAGCCGCCCCGTCTGAGAAGTGAGGAGCCCCTCCGCCCGGCAGCCGCCCCCTCCAGAAGGTGGGGGGCAGCCCCCGCCTGGCCAGCCGCCCCGTCCGGCAGGTGGGGGGCGCCTCTGCCCGGCCGCCACCCCGTCTGGGTGGTGTACCCAGCAGCTCATTGAGAACAGGCCATGATGACGATGGCGGTTTTGTCGAGTGGAAGGCGGGGAAGTGTGGGGAAAGGAAAGAGAAATCAGATTGTTGCTGTGTCTGTGTAGAAAGAAGTAGACATGGGAGACTCCATTTTGTTCTGTACTAAGAAAAATTCTTCTGCCTTGGGATGCTGTTAATCTATAACCTTACCCCCAATCTCTTGCTCTCTGAAACATGTGCTGTGTCAACTCAGGGTTAAATGGATTAAGGGCGGTGCAAGATGTGCTTTGTTAAACAGATGCTTGAAGGCAGCATGCTCGTTAAGAGTCATCACCACTCCCTAATCTCAAGTACCCAGGGACACAAACACTGCGGAAGGCCGCAGGGACCTCTGCCTAGGAAAACCAGAGACCCTTGTTCACATGTTTATCTGCTGACCTTCCCTCCACTATTGTCCTATGACCTTGCCAAATCCCCCTCTCCGAGAAACACCCAAGAATGATCAATAAATACTAAAAAATAAAATAAAATAAAAATTAAAAATTAAAAATTAAAAATAATAAAATTAGCCAGATGTGGTGGCACTCCTGTGGTCCCAGATACTTGGGAGGTTGAGGCAAGAGGATTGCTTGAGCCTAGGAATTCGAGACCAGCCTGGGCAACATAGCAAGACACCATCTCTACAAAAATAAAAATAAATTAGCTGGTCATGGTGGTATGCGTCTGTAGTCCCAGCTACTTGGGAGGCTGAGGCGGGCAGATCTCTTGAGGTCAGGAGTTCGAGACCAGCCTGGCCAACAATGTAAAACCCCGTGTCTACTAAAAATACAAAAATTAGCCGGGAGTGGTGGTGCACGCCTGTAATCCCAGCTACTAGGGAGGCTGAGGCAGGAGAATCGCTTGAACCTAAGAGACAGAGGTTACGGCTAGCCAAAATCATGCCACTGCACTCCAGCCTGGGCTACAGAGTGAGACTCCGTCTCAAAAAAAAAAAAAAAAAAAAAAGAAAGAAAGAAAGAGAAAGAAAACTTTGCAAAGTGGGCTGGCTGGCTGCAGGTTGCACAATGGGTCACCCCTATTGTCTCAGCAGGGGTGACTGGGATTTACAAGGATAAATAACCACATTCCTAGAATCTCACGGACCCATTCCCCCTGCAAATGTCTCTCTCTCTAGGTATAAATACAGTAAAATTTCCTCCCGGAGAGGTGGACAGTTCTATGAATTTTAACACATGTCCAGATTCATTGAGCCACCAGGGCCATCAGACAGAGCTGCTGCATCCCCCTGAAGCTCCCTGGCGCTGCCCCTCTGTCATCAGCCCCTCCCCCGAGCCCTAGGCAGGCCCTCATCTGTCTGCTATCTCACACTGTACTTTTGTCTTTTTGAGAATGTTATATAACTGGAATCATACACTATGTGGCCTTTTCAGTCTGGCCTCTTTCAGGCAGCATAATGCATTTGAGATTCATCCAAGTACTTGCCTGTCTCAATAGTTTGCTCATTTTTGTTGCTGAAGAATATTCCATTGTAGGGAAAGACCCTGGTTTGTTTTACATTCACCCACTGAGGGACAACTCCATTGTTTTAAGCCATGGGTGATGATGAATAAAGCTGCTATCAACATTCATGCACAGCCTTTTCTTCTATTTTACTTTTTATTTTTTGAGACACAGGATCTCGCTCTGTCACCCAGGCTGGAGGGCAGTTGACGTGATCATAGCTCACTGCAGCCTTGAACTCCAGGCTCAAGTGATCCTCCTCCCTTAGCCTCCCAAAGTGCTAGGATTACAGGCATGAAGCACTACACTGAGGCTTTTAAATTATTAGTTTATTTTTTAGAGATAAGGTCTTGCTATGTTCCCCAGGTTGGAGTGCAGTGGTGCAATCATAGCTCAGTGTAACCTTGAACTCTCAGCCTCAAGTGATCCTCACACTTTGGTCTCCCAAGTACCCATGCCCAGCTCATGTACAGGTTTTTTTGCTTGTTTGTTGAGACAGAGTCTTGCTCTGTCACCCAGGCTGGAGTGCAGTGGCACCATCTCAGCTCACTACAACCTCCGCCTCTCGGGTTCAAGCTATTCTTGTGCCTCAGCCTCCTGAGTAGCTAGGACTACAGGCACCCACCACCATGCCCAGCTAATTTTTCTATTGTTAGTAGAGACAGGGTTTCACCATGTTGGCCAGGCTGGTCTCGAACTCCTGGTCTCAAGAGATCCACCCACTGCAGCCTCCCAAAGTGTTGGGATTACAGGTGTGAGCCACCACTCCTGACCGTATACAGGTTTTTATGTCAATATCCATTTTCATTTCTCTTAGGTCACTACCCAAGAGTGGGTTTGCTGGGTCATACAGGGCTTGCATGGTAAGCATTTTAAGAACCACCATTTTCCAAAGCAGCTGCACCATTTTGCATCCCCACCAGCAGCGTATGAGGGTCCAGTTTCCCTGAATCCTCCTCAGCACTTGGTGGTGTTGGTATTTTTCATTGTAGCCATTCTAACAGGTGTGAGCAACCGTCTATTAAAGCTGGTGTTGTGAGCTGAGGTGCAGGATTTGAACTCAAGTGTCTGGGTGTCTAACTACTGCGTGATGTCACCTCCTTTTCTTTGCAGAGCTACTGGGCTAAGAAAATGTGGTCCATAGGCTGGGCGCAGTGGCTTGCACCTGTAATCCCAGCACTTTGGGAGGCCGAGGCGGGCAGATTACCTGAAGTCAGGAGTTGGAGACCAGCCTGGCCAACATGGTGAAACCCCGTCACTACTAAAAATACAAAAATTAACCGGGAGTGGTGGCACATGCCTGTAATCCCAGCTACCTGGGAGGCTGAGGCAGGAGAATTGCTTGAGCCCAGGAGATGGAGGTTGCAGTGAGCCAAGATCATGCCATTGCACTCCAGCCTGGCTGATGGGGCAAGACTCTGTCAAGAAAAGAAAGAGAGAAAGAAAGAAAGAGAAAGAAAGAAAGAAAGAGAGAGAGGGAGGGAGGGAGGGAAGGAAGGAAGGAAGGAAGAAAGAAAGAAAAGAAGGACAGAAGGAAAGAAGGAAGGAAGGAAGGAAGGAAAATGTGGTCCATCTAAAAGACAGAGCTTTATCAAAGTCATTGCCACCTGCTCTGAAAGGTTGTGCTAAGAAGGAAATACAGGCCAGGCACAGTGACTCACACCTGTAATCTCAGCACTTCAGGAGGCTGAGGCGGGCAGATCACATGGTCAAGAGATCGAGATCATCCTGGCCAACATGGTGAAACTCTGTCTCAAAAAAATAAATAAATAAATAAAATAACCTCCATCTTTTGGTGGCCCCTTTACTGGCCTTATTTCACTCAATTGTTAGGACACCTTGTCTCTGTGAGATGGGGCCTGCAAGGCCCATTCACCAGATAAAAAATCTTGGACCCCACAGGACTTGGGCTTCCCAGCTGGCAAGTGACAAAATTAAGATTTGAACACAGAGCTAGACTTTGCACCAAGACTATTTCCTTCTTCTTATTTATTTATTTTTTTGAGATGGAGTCTTGCTCTGTTGCCCAGGCTGGAGTGCAGTGGTACAATCTCAGCTCACTGCAACCTCTGCCTCCTGGGCTCAGGCCATCCTCCTACCTCAGCCTCCCGAGTAGCTGGGACTACAGGCATGTGCCACCACACCCAGCTACCTGTTGTGTTTTGGTTTTTTGTTTTGGTTTGTTTGAGAGACAGAGTCTCCCTCTGTCACCAGGCTGGAGTGCAGTGGCGCGATCTCAGCTCACTGCAACCTCCGCCTCCTGAGTTCAAGCGATTCTCCTGCCTTAGCTTCCTGTGTAGCTGTGACTACATGCATACACCACCACGCCCAGCTAATTTTTGTATTTTTAGTAGAGACGGGGTTTCTCCACGTTGGTCAGGCTGGTCTCAAACTCGCTACCTCAGGTGATGCATCCGCCTCGGCCTCCCAAAGTGCTGGGATTACAGGCATGAGCCGCCACACGCAACCTGGGTGGAGGTTATTAAGGGGGAAAGGGGCTGGGCAAGGTGACTCATGCCTGTAATCTCAGCCCTTTGGGAGACCAAGGTGAGAGGATTGCTTGACCTCAGGAGTTGGAGACCAGCCTGGGTAACATAGCAAGACCTTATCTCTACTACCAATTTTAAAAATTAACTGGGTGTGGCCAGGTGTAGTGAGTGGCTCATGCCTGTAAAGCCCAGCACTTTGGGAGGGCAAGGCAGGTGGATCACTTGAGGTCAGGAGTTTGAGACCAGCCTGGCCAACATGGTGAAACCCCGTCTCTACTAAAAATACAAAATTAGCCAGGTGTGGTGGCAGGCGCCTGTAATCCTAGCTAATCGGGAGGCTGAGGCAGGAGAATCGCTTGAACCCAGAAGGCGGATGTTGCAGTGAGCCGAGATCGCACCACTGCACTCCAGCCCAGGCAACAAGAGCAAAACTCCATCTCAAAAAAAAGAGAAAAAAAAAAAAAAAAGCCAGGCGTGGTGGCTCACACCTGTAATCCCAGCACTTTGGGAGGCCGAGGCAGGCAGATCACAAGGTCAGGAAATTGAGACCATCCTGGCTAACACGGTGAAACCCCATCTCTACTAAAAATACAAAAAATTAGCCGGGCATAGTGGTGGGCGCCTGTAGTCCCAGCTACTCGGGAGGCTGAGGCAGGAGAATGGCGTGAACCCAGGAGGCAGAGCTTGCAGTGAGCAGAGATGGCACCACTGCACTCCAACCTGGGAGACAGAGCGATACTCCGTCTCAAAAAAAAAAAAAAATTAGCTGGGTGTGGTGGCACACACCTATAGTCCCAGCTACTTGGGAGGCTGAGGTGGGAGGATCATCTGAGCCCAGGAGATGGAGGCTGCAGTGAGTTTATGATTGTGCCACTCTGCGCTCCAACCTGGGCAACAGAGCGAGACCTTGTCTAAAAAAAAAAAAAGTGGGCCAGGCGTGGTGGCTCATGCCTGTAATCCCAGCACTTTGGGAGGCCAAGGTGGGCAGATCATCTGAGGTCAGGAGTTCGAGACCAGCCTGACCAAAATGGCAAAACCCCATCTCTAATAAAAATACAAAAAAATTAGCCAGGCGTGGTGGTATGTGCCTGTAATCACAGCTACTAGGGAGGCTGAGGCAGGAGAATCGCTGGAACCAGGAAGCGGGATTGTAGTGAGCCAAGATCGCGCCATTGCACTCCAGCCTGGGTGACAGAGCAAGACTCTGTATCAAAGAAAAAAAAAAAAAAAAGGTCAGGATTGCCCAGGGCCTATGGGAAGGGAGAGATGAATTGGCAGATTTTTAGCACAACGAATATGATACTGTGCACTGTGAATATGATACTGTGCACTGTGAATATGATACTGTATGATACTATAATACCAGATACAAGACATATGCACCTTGGCCAGGCACAGTGGCTCATGCCTGTAACCCCAGCACTTTGGGAGGCAGAGGCAGGCAGATTACCTGAGGTCAGGAATTCGAGACCAGTCTGGCCAACATGGCAAAACCCCGTCTCTGCTAAAAATACAAATTAGCTGGGCGTGGTGGCACATGCCTCTAGTCCCAGCTACTCGGGAGGCTGAGGCAGGAGAACAGCTTGAACCCGGGACATAGAGGTTGCAGTGATCCGAGATCGCGCCACCACACTCCAGCTTGGGTGACAGAGCAAGACACCATCTCAAAAAAAAAAAAAAAAAAAAAAAAGCCGGGTGCGGTGGCTCACACCTGTAATCCCAGCACTTTGGGAGGCTGAGGTGGGTGGATCACGAGGTCAGGAGATCGAGATCCTCCTGGCTAACGCAGTGAAACCCCGTCTATACTAAAAATACAAAAAAAAAATTTGCCGGGCATGGTGGCGGGCACCTGTTGTCCCAGCTACCTGGGAGGCTGAGGCAGGAGAAGGGCGTGAACCCGGGAGGCAGAGGTTGCAGTGAGCTGAGATCGCGCCTCTGTACTCCAGCCTGGGCCACAGAGCAAGACTCCGTCCCAAAAAATATATATATATAGCTGGGAACGGTGGCTCATGCCTGTAATCTCAGCACTTTGGGAGGCCAAGGCGGGCAGATCACTTGAGGTCAGGAGTTTGAGACTAGCCTGGTCAATATGGCAAAACCCCGTCTCTACTAAAAATACAAAATTTGGCTGGGTGCGATGGCTCACACCTGTAATCCCAGCACTTTGAGAGACTGAGATGGGCAGATCACCTGAGGTCAGGAGTTCAAGACCAGTCTGGCCAACATGGTGAAACCATGTCTCTTTTTTTTTTTGAGGTGGAGTCTCGCTCTGTCGCCCAGACTGGAGTGCAGTGGCGCAATCTCGGCTCACTGCAAGCTCCGCCTCCTGGGTTCACGCCATTCTCCTGCCTCAGCTTCCCGAGTAGCTGGGACTACAGGCGCCCGCCACCACGCCCAGCTAATTTTTTTGTATTTTTAGTAGAGACGGGGTTTCACCATGTTGGCCAGGACGGTCTCGATCTCCTGACCTCTTGATCCACCGGCCTTGGCCTCCCAAAGTGCTGGGATTACAGGCGTGAGCCACCGCGCCCGGCCGAAACCGTGTCTCTACTAAAAATACAAAAAATTAGCCAGGCGTGGTGGTGTGCACCTGTAGTCCCAGCTACTAGGGAGGCTGAGGCAGGAGAATGTCTTGAACCTGGGAGGCAGAGGTTGTAGTGAGCCGAGGTCCTGCCATTTGCACTCTAGCCTGGGTGACAAAGCGAGGGTCTGTCTCAAAACAAACAAAAAAAAATTAGCTGGGCGTGGTGGCAGGTGCTTGTAATCCCAGCTACTCGGGAGGCTGAGGCAGGAGAATCTCTTGAACCCAGGAAGCAGAGGTTGCAGTGAGCCAAGATCGCGCCATTGCACTCCAGCCTGCGCGACAGAGCGAAACTCCATCTCAAAAAAAAAAACATATGCACTTGCCAAAAACCAGTAGGATGTACAACAGGAACAGTGCATCGGAATGTAAACTATATGAATAATGATGTATCAAGATTGGGTCATCAATTATAACAAATGTTCAGCAGGATGCAAGTTGTTAATAGGGGAAACTGCTCTGGGCGGGGGTGGAAACTCTCCTCTGTCTGCTGTATCTTCTGTCATTTACACGACTCTAAGCAATAAATCTGTCAGTTAAAAAACAAAGCATCCCTCCTGCTCGTCCTCCAGTCCCACCAGTTTCTTGGAAGTCTGAAGAGAATGTCTGGAAAACCAAGGAAATACAGATATATACATTTTTCCAAATATTTTACACAAAAGTGGCCTCAGCCAGGTGTAGTGGCTCATGCCTGTAATCCCAACACTTTGGGAAGCTGAGGTGGGAGAATCGCGTGAGGCCAGGAGTCGGAGACCAGGCTGGGTAACATAGTGAGACACCATCTCTAAAAATAAAGTATTTTAAAAAGAAGCAAGTTCCTTGGACAATGCACACATGTCCGGACAGACAAGCATCTGGTGGCTGGGCCATCTGTTCAAAGAAAAACAGGAAGCCTGTGTCCTGCCCCTCTGACCTGTCTAGGCCCAGCTTTTGTCTTTGTAACTTAAACTCCCAAAGGCAGGCCTGGACACCCTGTGTTGGCTTCTGGCTTCCTTCCCCGGCTCCGGAAACAGCAGAAAAAACAATCCAACACGTCAGTGTCTCCCTTGGTTTTGTGCTCTCCTGACGCCACCTCACTGGCCCCGTGCCAGTGGAGCACTGAGGTTGCTGCGCCCACTTTGTAGATGAGGAAACTGAGGCCCAGAGAGGTCCAGGTCACGCAGTCCAGCTGTGTGGCCAAGCCAGAACTCCAATCCACGTCTCTCGGGACTCCAAATCCTGCTCATTCCTGTTCCTACTCTGAGCTCACCACTGACTGCAAGACACCCATTCATTCACTCAAGTAATTCACCAATTGCCGAAATGCATCTGAAAAACCACAGGAGAGAGTTCCCTGAAGTTGACAGACGTGGGTTCGAGTCCTACGACTCCAGTGTTATGTGATTTTTTTTTTTTTTTTTGAGACGGAATCTTGGTTTGTCGCTCAGGCTGAAGTGAGGGCAGTGGCGCAATCTCAGCTCACTGCAGCCTCTGCCTCCCAGATTCAAGCCATTCTCCTGCCTCAGCCTCCCGAGTAGCTGGGACTATAGGCGCACACCACCACACCCAGCTAATTTTGTATTTTTAGTAGAGAAGGGGTTTCAACATGTTGGCCAGGTTGGTTTTGAACTCCTGACCTCAAGTGATCCGTCCACCTCAGCCTCCCAAAGTGCTGGGATTACAGGCGTGAGCCACCGTGCCTGGCACACCAGTGTTGTATGATTTGAGGCTGGTGACTGCTCCTCTCTCAGCCTCAGTTTCCTGCACCTGTAGGATGGTGACCCGGGATGATGATTCCACCTCCCGGGGTGAGTCGGCGCCTGCAGATGGTAGATGCTCCGCGGATGCCTGTTGCATGGATGTGCCTTGCATGCTCTTGCTCCTCAATTCTCCACGTAGCAGCAGGGTCCTCTGCCTATGGGCAGGATGGGGCAAGTGTCCTAGGCTGGCTGGGCCCACCATTTTCACCACAGGCACCAGGGGCCAGTGGGCAGCCTCACTCAACCTCCCTCTTCACCATCACCCCCGACACCTCTCAGTTTGGGAGGCCCAGGCAGACTCCCTCTCCACAAGGAAGCTATCTCCCTGCTGTGGGACTGGTTGCTCTTGCCACACTGATGGTATCAATAGCGGACACCAGGGGACAGAGAGGCACTGAGGTCCTCTGGCCAGTGAGGCCCTGTACTACTCTGGCTCACTCATTCTCTTACTGAGCACCTATAGTATGCACAGCTGCGTCCTGGGTGTTGGGGATACAGCAGTGAATAAGGCAGAGAGGCCAGGAACGGTGGTGGCTCACGCCTGCAATCCCAGCACTTTGGGAGGCTGAGGTGGGAGGATCGCTTGAGTACACGAGTTGGAGATTGCAGTAAGCTATGATCATGTCATGGCACTCCAGCCTGTTTGACAGAGCAAGACCCTGTCTCCAAAAAAAAGCCTGGGCAACGTAGTGAGACCCCATCTCTACAAACAATTTAAAAACTAGCTGGGCATGGTGGCATTCACCTGTGGTCCCAGGAGGGGACCACAGCTACTCAGGAGGCTGAGGCAGGAGGATTGCCTGAGCTCAGGAGATCAAGATTGCAGTGAGCTATGATTGCATCACTACACTCCAGCCTGGGCGACAGAGCAAGACCCTGTCATGGAAAGAAGGAAAAAAGAAAAAGAAAAATTTCTGTCCTCATGGAGCTGACATTGGAATGGGAGGAGCAGACACCACAGAACCAGACAGTTATTCTGAGGGTGATCAGGACTGCGATGGGGAGACCCAGGGGCTGGAGGGGACGGGAGCCCAGAGGAGCCCTTGACCCAGCTTCCACAGGGGAGAGAGGTGGTCACGGAAGGCTTGCAAGAGGCATCAGACCTGAAGAATGAATAGAAGTTTGTTTAGGTGGCAGGGCGCAGTGGCTCACACCTGTAATCCCAGCACTTTGGGAGGCCGAGGCGGGCGGATCAGCTGAGGTCAGGAGTTCAAGACCAGCCTGACCAACATGGAGAAACCCCATCTCTACTAAAAATGCAAAATTAGTCGAGCGTGGTGTCGCATGCCTGTAATCCCAGCTACTTGGGAGGCTGAGGCAGGAGAATTGCTTGAACCTGGGAGGCGGAGGTTGCAGTGAGCCGAGATCATGCCATTGCACTCCAGCCTGGGCAACAGGAGCAAAACTCTGTCTCCAAAAAAAAAAAGTCTGTTAAGGTAAGGAGTCCGGGAACCATGTTCTGGGCAGAGGGGATGGCCTGTGCAAAGGTCTGGAGGCAGCTGCACCCAGCACAGAAAGATACAGAAGCATATTATGATGCTACAGTGATTCCAACAGCGAGGTCGGGGACAAGCTCTGAGCAGCAGATCAGGAAAACAAAAGAGGGCACGTCTGTAATCCCAGCACTGTGGGAGGCCAAGTTGGCAGCATCTCTTGAGGCCAAGAGTTTGAGACCAGCCTAGGCAACATAGTGAGACCCCTGTCTCTACAAAAAAAATCAGAAAAATTAGCTGGCCATAGTGGTGCATGCCTGTAGTCCCAGAGTTGGGGACTGAGGTATGAAGGTTGCTTGAGCCTGGGAGGAGGAGGCTGCAGTGAGCCATATTGGAGCCACTGCACTCCAGCCTGGACAACAGAGTGAGACCCTGTCTCAAAAAAAAAAAAAAAAAAAAAGAGCAAAACCAAAAAGTCAGTATTTATGGAGCTCCTACTAAATGTCAGGTGCTGGGAACCCCACAGAGAAAGGTAACCCAGCAACTGGGGCGTGACTGGGGCCTCCATGGCGGAGGCAGCGGGCAAAGGCAGGGATGTCCAAGCTGAGATATAAGGGACAAAGAAGGGTGCAGGCAGACGAGGAGTGGATGGAACAGCATTCCACGTGGAGGGAGCAGCATTAGGCAGCAGCGTGGGTGAAGGAGACGGTTTTTGACTCCTCTCTTACTCTAACTTGCAGATGGACTCACTGTCCAGCCACCAGTGAGCCATCTGCTCAGAGCCCACCGACTTCTCACCTCCCCTGTATCCTCACCCCATCCAGGCCTATCATCCCTAACCTGGACCAGTACAGCCCCTCCTCCCTGGTCCACCAGCTCCAGCCTCATGTCCGCAACGTGTTCTCCACGCAGTAGAGCAGAGGAGGCCAAAGTCCCCGCCACCACGCTCAGCCTCTGTTTGATCAGCTGTCAGGGGCACCCCAGCCACACCCAGCTGAGTCAGGGCTGGTGGTGCTCTGGAGAGAAATAGCCTCACCAGTCAGGTCTGGCAGGCACTGGGGCGGGTACTGTGCTCGAGGCATCTGGGGTAGGGCCTTTGATTGGAGCAATCTCTGAAGCAGCGTTTCCACCAAGGCAGGACATGGAGTCGCTGAGCTCAAAACCCCCTTGGGCTTCGACAGGGAATGGGCCCTGACAAGGCCCTGAAGTTTGCTGCTCCATGGCTCAACCTACCTCCTGATGTCTGGGTCTCAAGCTGTGACCAACCACGAACTCTCAGGGAGCAAACAAGGAAACTGGGGCTCAGAGAAGTTGAGCAATTTATCCTGGGTCACACAGCCAGGTCTGATGGAGACCCAGTGAGACTTTAGAGACAACCGCTTTGGGATCAGGCTCCCTGGAGTCAAATCTTGGATCTGACACTGATTCACTAGGCTACATTAGGGCGAGTCCCCTCTCTGGGTGTTCTTCAGTTTCCTTATCTGTAAAAGGGGGCTACTGGCAACGCCCATATGTGGGAAAGGGAACAGAACATGCAAAGGTCCTTGAGTGGAGCTGTGTCCTGGTGTTTAGAGAAGCATCCAGGAGGCAGGGGCAGCTGGAGTGGAGTGAATGAGGGAAAGAAAAGGAAGAGGCAAGCCAGGGAGGTGACAGGGTTGATCATGCTGGGCCTTGTGGGTTGTGGGAGGACTTTGGTTTTGTTTGTTGGTTGTTTTGTTGTTGTTGTTGTTTTGAGACAGGGTCTCACTCTCGCCCAGGCTAGAGTGCAGTGGCGCAATCTCAGCTCACTACAACCTCCACCTCCTGGGTTCAGACGATCCTCATGCCTCAGCCTCCCGAGTAGCTGGGATTCAGGCTCCCACCACCATGCCCGGCTATTTTTTGTATTTTTAGTAGAGACGGGGTTTTGCCATGTTGGCCAGGCTGGTCTGGAGCTCCTGACCTCAAGTGATCCACCCGCCTCGGCCTCCCAAAGTGCCAGGATGACAGGGAGCCACTGTGCCCGGCGGGTTGTGGGAGGACTTTGGCTTTTACCCTGAGTGAGGTGGGAGCCATGGAAGGTTCTGAACAGAGGAGGGAACTGAAGTGATGCAGGTGTTCCCAGGCTCTTCCTGGCCACTGATGCAGGAACAAGCTGGGGGGAGGATGAGAAAGGAAGCTGGGAGACCGGATATAAAGGGGGCTGGACTGGAACTAGGCTAAGAAATGTGCAAATCTTCGCTCATCTGCATATTTCCTGCCCAGCCTAGCTCCCAGCAGCCTGAGAGGCAAGGCGGGGACACTTGGTGGGGCATGGCGGGGAGTGATGGGCGGAGCTCCACCTGGCCAAAGTGGCTGGACCACTCCGGGCAGGCACGTGGGCTGTGTGCACATGTCACATGCCAGGCTGTGAGCAGCCCTACTGCGGCCTGACTAGCAGGATGCTATCCTGCGTCTGACTGGCAGGGTTTGGGGGTTCCCCTACAATCCAGGCCTCTTTCCTGTGGGTTCAAGGTCTGACATGGATTCATTGGGCAGCAAGGCAAGAAACTGTGTCTCGGGGGTGCATGGTGACTCAGGGTGGGCATGTGGCTCATTCCTGTAATCCCGGCACTTTGGGAGGCCGAGGCGGGTGGATCACCTGAGGTCAGGAGCTCCAGACCAGCCTGGCCAACATGGTGAAACCCCGTCTCTACTAAAAATACAAAAAATTAGCCAGGTGTGATGGTGGGTGCCTGTAATCCCAGCTACTCGGGAGGCTGAGGCAGGAGAATCGCTTGAACCTGGGAGGCAGAGGTTGCGGTGAGCCGAGATTGTGCCATTGCACTCCAGTCTGGGCAACAAGAGCGAAATGCCACCTCAAAATAAATAAATAAATAAATAAATAAATAAATAAATAAATAAATAAATAATAGAGGATAAAATGCCAGCAACCCATAGATGGGAATGAGAACAGCACGTGCAAAGGCCCTGAGGCAGAGCCACGGCCTTGTCTGATTCAACCTCAAATTCTCCCTGGGGCATTTGCTGACCAGGGAAAGAAGGGCTGTCCAGGAGGAAGGACCTGCCGGTGCAGAGGCATGCAGGTGAGAAAGGGGTGAGCTCCTCCAGAGGGGAGTGTCGGCTGGAGAATTCTCTAAAAATGCTGCAGCAGTGCTGGGAGAGAGGCCAGTGGGGAGAGATTTGAGACCATAGATTAACCAAGACATCCCCACCTCTTCCTCTTGGTAGAGGCGGCCCCGAAAGTCTAGACTCCCAAACTGGCTCACTCAGGTCCCACCACCTGGACCTGGGGCACATCTCCGAGCACTCCAGTGCCTAGCCAGGCTCCTCTGACTCCCATGCTGTAGACTGGGAGCACGGACAATGCAGGCGCTGGAGACCCCTGTGAGTCACACTGAGCAAGCACCCGAACACCTCTGTGCCTCAGTTTACTCATCTGTAAAAGGAGGAAAACAATAATTTCTTCTGCATGTGTGAATTGCAGGGCCAGGCTCAATGACATCTTAGCAATTAGACTTTTTGAGACAGGGTCTCGCTCTGTCACCCAGGCTGGATTGAAATGGCACAATCACAGCTCACTGCAGCCTTGACCTCCCAGGCTCAAGCGATCCTCCTCCCTCAGACTCCCAAGTAGCTGAGATTACAGGCACACACCACCATGCCTGGTTAATTTTTGCATTTTTTGTGGACACGGGGTCTCATTATGTTGCCCAGGCTGGTCTCCAACTCCTGGGCTCAAACAATCCTCCTGCCTTGGCCCCCCACAGTGCTGGGATTACAGGCATGAGCCACCATGCACGGCCACGATTATACTTACAGGTATGATTATTAGATACATGAACATCGTTATTGTTTTCCAGCCAGGAGTCAGAGGGCAGAAAGAGCGCCCCCCAAACCCCGGAAATCTGGGGCCTACCCAGCCTGGGTCCCAGCGCCTCCCCTCCCTCCCTCCCTCCTGAGCTTCAGTTTCCCCAGCCCTGCTCCTGGGGTGGTAAGACCACCCCACTAAACCCCGGGAGCCTGGGGTCCACCTAGCCCGGGTCTCAGCGCCTCCCTTCCCTCCCTCCCTCCTCAGGCTCAGTTTCTCCAGCCCAGCTCCCAGGGTGGAAAGAGCGCCCCCGCCAGCTCGGGAGTCTGGGGCACCCCCAGTCTGGGTCCCAGCGCCTCCTCTCCCTAACTTCCCTCCTCAGCCTCAGTTTCCCCAGCCCTTCTCCTAGGGTAGAAAGAGCGTCCCCCCAGCCCGGGAGTCTGGGGCCCGCCCAGCCTGGATCCCGGGGCCTCCTCTCCGTCCCCAGCCTCAGTTTCCCCAGCCCCCAGGACTCCAGGCGACCCCTCCGGCCTGCAGGGGCAGCACGGAGCGGCCCGGGCCACCCGGAAGGGCCCCGCCCCCGCGCCGGCCCCGCCCCGCCCCGGCTGCCCAGAACCGGGAGGCGGCGGCGGCGGCGGGGCCGGGGCCCGGGGCGGCGGCGGCGGGACGCGAGGACCATGGCTGCCTCCGAGCGCCGCGCCTTCGCGCACAAGATCAACAGGTAGTGTGGCCGCGGGGCCCCCTCCCACCTCCCCCACGTGGCCCGGCTCCGCCCCGGGGCGGTGCGACCCTCCCCGCCCGGGCGCCCCCAATTCAACCCCTTTCCGCCTCGGCCCGGGTCCCGCCAGCTTCCTCCGGCCGGGGCTGGGAGCGGGAGAAGGCGGGGAGGGCCGCGGGGGTCCCGGCGGGGGTCCCAGATGGGAGTCGCGTCGGGGCTGGGAGCGCGATGGCGGCTGCCGTTCTGCCTCCGTGACGCGCGGGGGTGTGTCCGGAGGGCTTCCCGGAGGAGGTGGCGTGGGGATGCGGATGACGGGCGCCCCCTGAACTCCCTGCGCTCCCCGTCCGCCTCTCGGCCCCTCACTGTCCCCGCGCTCTCGGAGATCGGGGTGGGCCGGACTTTCTGTTCCTTCCTCAGTGCCTGGTTTGGGGCAGGGAGGCTCCAGGCTCTGAGATTTGGGGACAGAGATGGGCTCCTTGGTGGCGTTTGAAACCCCTCGAGGAGTTTCCCGTGCCCTTCCCCCTCCAGGGTCCAGTGCCCAGCTGTCGGGGGGGGGGAAGGGGGACAGCTGTGGACGCCCCCCCACCTTCTGCTTCAGGCTCTCCCGTCACGGGCTGGACCGCGCTGGGGATGGATGGGTGATTGAATGGAGGGAGTGGGGGCTGGGGACAGAACCAGCTGGTGGGCAGACGGGGGAGGGGACAGGCCCCAGGCGCTGGGGGATCCATTTCCGTGGCCACTGGGGATTGTGAGAGTCACAGCCTGGGAGGGGTATATCAGACTCTCTGGGGCTGAAAAGCCTCGCCCCCAGTTGGCGGGGGGTCTTTGCGACAAGGGTGCGTTCAGAAGCTCAGGTATCCTCTCCCCGGGGGACCTGTCCTGACTGCCCCCAGGTGAAAGAGCTGCCCTGTGGGTTGGGCCCTGGTCTTATGGAGACAAAAGATCCCCCTCTTGGGATATAGTGGCGGAGAGAGACCAGAAGCCTGATCGAGTAGATTACCTGTCAGTGACAAGTGCTGTAGGGACAAGAAGACAGGGAAGGGGGATGGGAGGGTGGGGGCTGCTTGAGATGCGGGAGGTGGGTCAGGAAGGCCTGGATGAGCAGGTGCCTTTGAGCAAAAACCTCAAGGAGATGAGAGAGGGATCGATCGAGGCCAGTTTGTGGGGGGAAAGAGTGGGAAGGGTTTGTGCAAAGGCCCTGAGGCAGGAACAGAGAGCTGGAGGGGGACAGTAAGAGTAGAATGTACAGGGTCGTGTGGGCTGTGCAAGGGACTTTGACTTTGGACCCCAGGTGAGGTGGGAGCCATGGGGAGTTCTCAGCAGAGGAGGGATGAGACTTGGTGGCTGGGGCGTAATGGCTGGGCAATTTTTATGTTCTATCATTATCTTTGTCTGTAAATTGGCTTTCAAAATGTCTTAGACCTTTGGCGTCTTTGAGGCTGCAAACATTATTGCTGTCTGTTTCTTTTTCTTTCCTTTTCTTTTTCTTTTCTTTCTTTCTTTCTTTTTTTTTTTTTGAGACAGAGTCTCGCTCTGTCACCCAAACTGGAGTGCAATGGCACAATCTTGGCTCACTGCAACCTTCGCCTCCTGGGTTCAAGCGATTCTTGTGCCTCAGCCTCCTGAGTAGCTGGGGTTACAGGCGCCCACTACCACACCCAGCTAATTTTTGTATTTTTAGTAGAGAGGGGGTTTCACCATGTTGACCAGGCTGGTCACGAACTCCTGACCTCAGGTGATCCGCCCACCTCCCAAAGTGCTGGGATTACAGGTGTGAGCCACTGCACCCAGGCTTTTTTTTTTTTTCCTTTTCTTTTTTTGAGACAGGGTCTTGCTCTGTCACCCAGACTGGAGTGCAGTGGTGATACCTTGGCTCACTGCAGTCTCAATCTCCCGGGCTCAAGTGATCCTCCTGCCTCAGCCTCCCAAGTAGCTGGGACTACAGGTGTATGCTGCAACACTCAGCTAACTTTTTAACCTTTTGTAGAAACGGGATCTCACTATCTTGCCCAGGCTGGCCTCAAACTCCTGGGCTCAAGTGATCCTCCTGCCTCGGCCTCCCAAATGCTGGGATTACAGGCGTGAGCCATTGCGCCCAGCTTGCTGTCTGTTTCTTTGCATTTTGGTCTGTATGTCCTTGGGTCCTGGTTTTTACTCAAGTGAGAAAGAGGGGTTTTGGATACTGTAGAGCTCAGGGTAAGAGTAGAGAATGATCCTGGGGCCCTAGTGAACTGTGAGGGAGTGGCCCAGGGCTTCCAGAGCAACTTCGCTCTTGGGCACCCAGGTGTCTACATACTCAGAGCTGGTCCTATATTCATCTGTTCATCCATTCAGTCATTTATTCCACAAATACCAGATTAACCCGAATATTAGACAATCTTCCAGCTACTCCAGAGGCTGAGGCAGGAGGATCACTTGAACCCAGGAGGTGGAGGTTGCAGTGAGCAGAGATCGTGCCACTGCACTCCAGCCTGGGTGACAGAGTAAGACTCTGTCTCAAAAAAAAAAAAAAAAAAAAGGCCGGGCGCGGCGGCCCAGGTCTGTAATCCCAGACTTTGGGAGGCCGAGGCAGGTGGATCACCTGAGGTCAGGAGTTCGAGACCAGCCTGGCCAACATGGTGAAACTCCGTCTCTACTAAAAATACAAAAAGTTAGCTTTTTGTAACTTTACAAATTTACAAAAGCGTGGTGACGCACGCCTGTAATCCCAGCTACTCGGGAGGCTTAGGCAGGAGAATTGCTTGAACCTGGGAGGTAGAGGTTGCAGTGAGCCGAGATCCCGCCACTGCACTCCAGCCTGAGCGACAGAGCGAGACTCCATCTCAAAAAAAAAAAAAAAAAAAGAAAAGAAATAATGATTCATTGGAGGGGTGGGAAGAAAATGAGGTATTTATTGACAAATTTCAAAATCCCAAAGTTACCACTGAAATTTCAGGTAAACATCTCTCTCTCTCTCTCTCTCTCCCCCATCCTTGAATATATTGGCAAACACAAGCACATACATATATTGTTATTTTTTACCATTTAAACAACTGTAACATACAACATTCATACCAAAAACTACAAATTTTGGGCCAGGTATGATGGCTCACACCTGTAATCCTACCACTTTGGGAGGCCAGGAGTTCAAGACCAGCCTGGGCAACATAGCGAGACCCTGTCTCTGCAAGAAACAAAATTACCCAGGTGTGATGGTGGCTCATACCTGTAGTCCCAGCTCCTGGGGAGGCTGAGATGAGAGGATTGCTGGAGCCCAGGAGGTTGAGGCTGCAGTGAGCCGTGATTGCGCCACTGCACTCCAGCCTGAGTGACAGAGTGAGACCCTGTCTCAAAAGAAAGAAAAAGAAAGTAGCCTGGGTATGGTGGCTCATGCCTATAATCCGAGCACTTTGGGAGGCTGAGGCAGGTGGATCACCTGAGGTCAGGAGTTCGGGTCTGTAGATGGTGAAACCCCATCTCTACGAAAAATATAAAAATTAGCCAGGCATGGTGGCGAGTGCCTGTAATCCCAATTACTGGGGAAGCTGAGGCAGGAGAATCACTTGAACCCGGGACGTGGAGGTTGCAGTGAGCTGAGATCACGCCACTGCACTCCAGCCTGGGTGACAGAGACTCCGTCTCAAGAAAAAAAAAAGAGAGAGAAAGAAAAGTTTAAAGAATAGTTATAGGCCGGGCGCGTTGGCTCATGCTTGTAATCCCAGCACTTTGGGAGGCTGAGGTGGGCGGATCACCTGAGGTCAGGAGTTCGAGGCCAGCTTGGCCAACATGGTGAAACCCCATCTCTACTAAAAATACAAAAATTAGCTGGGCATGGTGGTGGGTGCCTGTAATCCCAGCTACTCAGGAGGCTGAGGCAGGAGAATCGCTTGAACCCGGGCCGTGGAGGTTGCAGTGAGCTGAGATTTCACCACTGCACTCCAGCCTGGACGACAGAGACTCCATCTCAAGGAAAAAAAAAAAAGAGAGAGAGAGAGAAAGAAAAGTGCGAAGTTTAAAGAATAATTTGAAAGCAAAGGGCAAGGAAATGAGGAAATGGCCACTTGGTCAATTTCCCATGGGGACTATCTCCACCTTCCTGGCTCCCTCCCGCATGCCAGCACCCCTACCTGATCTGGCCTGTTTTAGATTGTCATATAAACTGAATCATGAGGTGTTGCATCCATGTGCCCAACTTTGTTCACTCAGCATCATGTCAGGAAGGCTCAGCTGGGCCATTGCCTGCAATCCTTTTTCATTGCTGGGTAGTATTCCCCTGCCTCATGCATTTATTTCCCTCTTTGGTCAGTGAACATGTGAGTTTCACTTTGGAGCTGTCATGATCAGAGGTGTCAACATTCTTGGCCATGTGTTTCCTTCTGAGTAATCCACACCTTGGAGTAGAATTGCTGGATTGGCATATTTTCAACCTTGCTTAATAATCACAGATGGTTTTTTCTGTGTGCGTGTGTGTGTGTACATTTGTGTTTATTAGAAATGGGGTCTCGCTATGTTGCCCAAGCTGGTCTTGAACTCCTGGCCTCATGTGATCCTCCCACCTCAGCCTCCCAAAATGCTGGGAGTATAGGCATGAGCCACAACACCTGGCTTATAGATGGATTTTTTTTTTTTCTTGAGACAGCGTTTCTTTCTGTTGCCTAGGCTGGAGTACAGTGGCGCAATCTCGGCTCACTGCAACCTCCACCTCCCGGGTTCAAGTGATTCTCTTGCCTCAGCCTCCCGAGTAACTGAGATTACCGGCATGTGCCACCATGCCTGGCTAATTTTTGTATTTTTAGTAGAGATGGGGTTTCACCATGTTGGCCAGGCTGGTGTCAAACACCTGACCTCAGATGATCTGCCCGCCTCGGCCTCCCGAAGTGCTGGGATTACAGGCATAAGCCACAGTGCCCAGCTTTTTTTTTTTTTTTTTTTTTTTTTAAGAGACAGTGTCTCTGTAGCCCAGGCTGGAGTGCACTGGTGCCATCACTGCAGCCTCAAACTCCTGGGCTCAAGCGATCCTCCCGCCTTGGCCTCCCAAAGCACTGGGATTACAGGTGCAAGCCACCATGCCTGACACTCATGGTTGCCATCTACATCTCACCTTGGTGTAAAAACAGGGTCAGAGGCCAGGCACAGTGGCTCACACCTGTAATCCCAGCACTTTAGGAGGCTGAGGCGGGAAGATCACGGAAGGTCAGGAGTTTGAGACCATACTAGGCAACATAGTGAGACCCCATTTCTACAAATAATAATAATAATAATAATAATTAGCCAAGCATGGTGGTGTGCATCAGTTGTCCCAGCTACTCAGGAGGCTGAGGCAGGAGGATTCCTTGAACCCAGGAGGTTGAGGCTGCAGTAAGCCGTGATTGCACCACTGCATTCCAGCCTGGGCGACAGTAAGACCTGTCTCAAAAAAACAGACACAAAAAAACAAAAACAGGCCGGGCTCGGTGGCTCACGCCTGTAATCCCAGGACTTTGGGAGGCTGAGGTGGGTGCATCACCAGAGGTCAGGAGTTCGAGACCATCCTGGCCAAGATGATGAAACCCCATCTCTACTAAAAATACAAAAAATTAGCCGGGCATGGTGGTGGGTGCCTGTAATCCCAGCTACTTAGGAGGCTGAGACAGGAGAATCGCTTGAACCCTGGAGGTGGAGGTTGCAGTGAGCTGAGATCATGCCACTGCGCTCTAGCCTGGGCAACAAGAGCTAAACTCTGTCTCAAAAAAATAAATAAAATTTTTTTAAAAAACGAAAACAAAAAACCAGGGTCAGAAATCCCAGCTGCCTAGGATTGTCTTTGAAGACAACATGGTGGCAGCAAGCCCTAATTGAGCACTTACTGTGTGCAAAGCCTTACACTCAGAACAGCTCAAGAAGGTGGTCAGTGGCCTGAGCCCTGAGGCTGAGAGACTGATGGTCACTCATCCAAGCTTGACGGCTCTCCGTGCAGAGTCCTGTGATGCAGTCAGCTGGCTCTGTGGCTGTGGTGTTGCAGACCCGGCGTTTTCCCACTGCAGGGGCCTCTCTCCAAGGCCAAGGGGAAAAGGAAGCTGGAGGCCCAGCCGTCCCTCCTCCCCTCTCCCTCCTCTGGAGCAGCAGCTGCAGAACAGCTGGGACCAGGGCACAGCTTTGTCCCCTGTCCCAGCATCTTTTGTAAATTATCCCCCAGCCCCTGTGTGCCCACGGTTCTGGAGGCAGCAGCCCGACTTTAGGAATTTGAAGACAAAAGCCCTAATTTTTCACATCCTTTGAATTCCCCACAAGCGCTTTTCTCAACCCCCCCAGTCAGTAGAAGCAAGACTCCAAGACTGTTAAGAGCAAAAATGGGGCCGGGCAAGGTGGCTCACACCTGTAATCCCAGCACTTTGGGAGGCCGAGACGGGCGGATCACCTGAGGTCAGGAGTTCGAGACCAGCCTGGCTAACACGGTGAAACCCTGTCTCTACTAAAAATACAAAAAATTAGCTGGGCGTAGTGGTGGGCGCCTGTAGTCCCAGCTACTCAGGAGGCTGAGGCAGGAGAATGGCGTGAACCCGGGAGGCGGAGCTTGCAGTGAGCCGAGATTGCGCCACTGCACTCCAGCGTGGGCAACAGATCGAGACTCCGTCTCAAAAAGAAAAAGAAAAAAATTTACAATTACACAGGGAATTGGGAAGCAGAAGGGAGTAAGCCCTGAAAACCCAGGCAATCAGCTTGTCTATTTTAAGAGGGACTAAGGCCCAGAGAGGGTATCCTACCTGCCCAAAGCCACACAGCCAGAAGACCTGGGGCTTCCCCTCACTCAGCAGATTTGGGCAAGTTGTAGAAGAAGACTGGAAGGGACTCACTCATTCTGTCAAAAAAAAGTACAAGGCGGGCAGATCGCTTGAGCTCAGGAGTTCGAGACCAGCCTGGGCAACATGGCAAGACCCTGTCTCTACTGAAAATAGAAAGATTAACCAGGCATGGTGGTGCACACCTGTAATCACAGCTACTTGGGAGGCTGAGGCTGAGGTGGGAGGAGGATCGCTTGAGCCTGGGAGGCGAAGGTTGCAGTGAGCCGATATCGTGCCACTACACTCCAGCCTGGGCAACAGAGCAACCCTGTCTCAAAAAAAAAAAAAAAAAGTAGGCCGGGAGCGGTGGCTCATGCCTGTAATCCCAGCACTTTGGGAGGCTGAGGCAGGTGTGTCACCTAAGGTCAGGAGTTTGAGACCAGCCTGGCCAACATTGTGAAACCCCGTCTCTGCTAAAAATACGAAAAATTAGCCAGGTGTGGTGGCACATGCCAGTAATCCCAGCTACTCAGGAGGCGGAGGCAGGAGAATCGCTTGAACCCGGGAAGCAGGTGTTGCAGTGAGCCGGGATTGTGGCCATTGCACTCCAGCCTGGGCAACAAGAGCGAAACTCCATCTCAGAAAAAAAAGGAGTGTGTGCCTAGTATGTGCAAGGCCCTCTTTGGGGGACACACAGCCCTAGCTCCTGCCTTCACAGAGACCCCAGGGAGCAGGAGTCTCCACACTCAAAGCACGGAGCCCGAACTCAGGTCCTTTGCACCTGCTGTGCCCCCTGCTGGGCACCCTCTACCCTCAGGTAACTGCATGGCTCTCTCATCCACTTCTGAGCTCAGCCAGAGGAATTGGAGGGCTGAGCCATCCCTGTCCCCACTGGCTCTGCTCCACATTCCTGCAGAGTCCCCTCTACTGCGAGTCTTGCCCCTTTACCCCCATCCTCCCTGATTTTTTTTTTTTTTCGAGACAAAGTCTTGCTCTGTTGCCCAGGTTGGGGTGCAGTGGCGCGATCTCGACTCATTGCAACCTGCGCCTCCCGGGTTCAAGCGATTCTCCTGCCTCAGCCTCTTGAGTAGCTGGGACTACAGGAGTCTGGCTAATTTTTGTACTTTTAGTAGAGGCAGGGTTTCCCCTTGTTGGCCAGGACCTTCTTGAACTTCTGACCTCAGGTGATCCGCCTGCCTCAGCCTCTCAAAGTGCTGGGATTATAGGTGTGAGCCACCATGCCTGGCCATCCTCCCTGATTTTGAAGGCCTGCTCAGATCCAGGTGGCCCAGGAAGGCCCCAGGGCCCACCTTGGTTGCTTGGGGTTACTTAGAAGGCCTCCCAGCTCTGGGCCCCGCAGGCCAGGTTGACCTCTGACACAATGGCCTCATCTCAGGATCTCTGTGACTTCAGGCCAGGCCCCAGGCTCCGCTCTGCCCAGCAGCTCTGTGAAGTCAGGGCATCAGCTACAGAAGGGTAAACTGAGGCTCAGAGGTGGAAATGACTTATCCAAAGCCCCAAAGCAAGGATGGGAAGGGATGTATGTTCTGGATGGGGTCCAGGGGCAGGGCTGGGTGTGTTGGGGAACAGCAGGATGGACAGAGGTCCCCCAGATGAGGGAGCAGAGGCCAGGGACCCGTGGGCCTCCCTCCAGACCTGGAAGGCCACAGGCCCAGCCGGGAGGGGAAGGAGAGTCCGTGATGGCTTCAGACCCCACTGGTGGCAGCATTCTCATCTCCTGATCTGTGCTTGATGGGGAACGCGTTGGGGGAACTGGGGAGCTGTGGGCCCTTAAAGCCTCAGCACTCCTGGTTCTCTTGGCCCTCGGCCTATTTATTTCGTTCCACAATCTGGATTTTCCTCATAGAAAGAATCTGTCCGCTCCGCTGCCTGAGTTTTCCCGTCCCCAATGGCCCCCTCCCTATCTTTCCAGGACGGTGGCCGCAGAGGTGCGGAAGCAGGTGTCCCGGGAACGCAGTGGCTCCCCCCACTCCAGCAGGCGCTGCAGCAGCTCCCTGGGGGTAAGTATTTGGGGGGTCCGCCCCCAGCCCTCTGCCCTCTCTCAGACAGAGGTAGGGGCTTCCTTGGCCTAGGTTCTATCCCACCCCCTCCCTCCTGTGGCCTGTCCTGGGGGGAAACCGAGAGGGACCCAGCAGTGTCGGGGGAGGGAGTGCCTGTCCTGGTCCTAGTAGTCTCACCAATTCCTGTGGCCACTCTCCCTGCCGCTGCTTGTCACCCTGTGGGTGGTCAGGGGAGTGGCTCCCTCCTGATGTCCCCCATCTCCAGCCACCTGGACCACCTAGATGGGGATGGAGGAGGGAGAAGTTGGGGAGGGGAGTGACTTTCGCCTGAGAGGGGTGGGGCCATGTTGCCCACAGGGTTGCGGAGGCTTTAGGAATTGTCTCTTGCCTGGCCTCTGTCAACATTTCTTTCCTTCCACTGTTAGTTTCTGCCCTTCCAGGCATGGGGTGTGATTTCCTTCCTGGAGCCCCTGGAGGGAGGGGCAGGGCAGGGAAAGCTGAGGTGGGGGTGGAGAGTCTGAGGTCATCATCCTCCATGGTTCCTCCGTAACTCCAACACCCTCCATGGCTCCCACCGCCCTCCTATTTGAGTTTGAAGCCAGCGCGCACCCACCCCTGCCTCGTGCCCCCACTCTCAGCCTCCTAGGTAGTGCGATCACAGCCACTTTGCTCCAATCCAGGTCCCACTGACTGAAGTTGTCGAGCCCCTGGACTTTGAGGATGTACTTCTGAGCCGGCCACCAGATGCTGAGCCCGGGCCCCTCAGGGACCTGGTAGAATTCCCAGCTGATGACTTGGAGCTGCTGCTGCAGCCCCGGGAATGCCGGACCACGGAGCCCGGGATCCCCAAGGATGAGTGGGTTCAGCCCCACGCCCTCTCTGCCTGTGATTCCACTCTGTCTCTGCCAACCCCATCAACAGCCCGACTTCAGCTCCTGGCTTGGCCGTGACGTTGGACAAGCCATGCTTTTTCTCTGAGCCTCCATCTCCCCTTGTCTGGAATAGGCAGGACAGTGCTAACCTTACAGGCTAGCAGAAGGATTCACAGAGGCCTTGTCTCTGTTTACCCTGATCTTCTTTTGCTGCAGAAAACTGGATGCCCAGGTGAGGGCCGCGGTGGAGATGTATATTGAGGACTGGGTCATTGTCCACAGAAGGTGAGTCTGACTTAGGGGCAGCTCAGGGGGTTCGGAACCCAAAAGGGCTGAGCTGATGTCTGCAGCCGGTCCTACTGTGTATCTGCCCATTGTCCCTGCAAGAGCAGGCAAACTTGTCTGGTGGAGCACAAGGACGGTGGCTTTGAAGGTGCCATGTAGGTGTGTCAGAACACACTGGGGACCCCCTGGGGGCCCTCAGCCCTCCCTACCTGCCCAGCCCCGTTTCCTGCTAGGTATCAGTACCTGAGTGCAGCATACAGCCCCGTCACCACAGACACACAGCGGGAGCGACAGAAGGGCCTCCCCCGCCAGGTCTTTGAGCAGGATGCTTCTGGAGACGAGAGGTCCGGCCCTGAGGACTCGGTGAGGAAGCCCCTGGCTGGGGTCACTGAAGGGGTATGTGTGGAGGCTCCGGCCTCAGCTTTTGGTCACATGTGACAGGAAATGACCCAAACAGCCTTGAGCTCAAAAGGAATTGCATCAGTCCCCATGAGTAAAAAGTTAGGGGTCATAATTATAAACATTTATTGAGTGCTTAGGGTGTACTGAAGGCTTCATATGTGTCCTCTGCTTTCATCCTAGGAGTCAGGGCAGCCATTACACCCAGGTAAGGAAACTGAGGCACAGCAAGGTTCTTAGAGGCCGTGAGCCTGTATTTTGTCAATCAACATTTACTGAGCACCTACTGTATACCAACCATAATTATTCCAAAGATTATTGTTGTTTTCATTATTATTATTATTTTAATTAATTAATTATTTTGAGATGGAATCTCACTCTGTCGCCCAGGCTGAAGTACAGTGGTGCAATCTCAGCTCACTGCAACCTCCACCTCCCGGATTCAAGCGATCCTCCCACCTCAGCCTCCCGGGTAGCTGGGATTACAGACATGCGCCACCATGCCGGCTAATTTTGTTATTATTTTTAGATGTACATAGGGAAACTGAGGCCCTTAGAGTTGGGGGTCAGAGACCCAGTGTCACAGAGCTGAGCTGGGATTTGATCCAGTGCAGGAAGGTCAGGAAGAACTCTCTCCTTCCCTGGCGACAGTGAACAAAGTCCCAGGGAAGGCTTTCATTGGCCCAGCCCAGGCCCTTGGAGCCAGTCCCTAGGGTGGGTAGATGTGTTTTGATTGACCAGATAAGGATCACCTAAAGCCCCAAATGTGGGATAAGGAGTAGCCTCCCCCAGCAATGGTAAAAGTTGGGAGGCTCTCCAGACAGAAGTTTCTGGAAAGAGGGTAGGCAAAACCCCCAGGTGACCCTTAGAGTGATGACCCTCACCCCCTGACCCTCAATTTCCCCATCTCTAGAATGAGTATGAGGACACTCTCACCAGAGTGAGGTGAAGGTGTATACAGCTGGCACTCAGTGCTTGCACATTCTCCACTGGCAGAATGACTCCCGGCGTGGCTCGGGCTCCCCGGAAGACACCCCTCGAAGCAGTGGTGCCTCTAGCATCTTCGACCTGAGGAACCTGGCAGCTGACTCATTGCTGCCCTCTCTGCTAGAGCGGGCGGCCCCAGAAGATGTGGACCGGCGCAATGAAACCCTTCGACGGCAGCACCGGCCCCCGGCCCTGCTCACCCTCTACCCGGCACCTGACGAGGTGGGTGCCCCTTCCCAGATATCAGCCAACCAGCATTTACTGGGTGCCTATTGTATACTTCATGTTTATTCAATAGCTTCTATAGATGGACATCTACTATATACACCTGTATTAATCCGATCAGTGTTTATTGGGCACCTACTGTATATCCTATGTTTATTCAATAGCTTCTATATGTGGACACCTACTATATACCCCTATATTTATCCAACCAGCATTTATTGGGTGCCTATTGTATACCCTATGCTTATTTAATAGCTTCTAGGCCGGGCATGGTGGCTCATGCCCGTAATCCCAGCACTTTGGGAGGCTGAGGTGGGCAGATCGCTTGAGGCCAGGAGTTCAAGACCAGCCAACATGGTGAAACCCCATCTCTACTAAAAATACAAAAGTTAGCCAGGCATGGTGGCAGGTGCTTGTAATCCTAGCTACTCAGGAGGCTGAGGCATGAGAATCGCCAGAACCCGGGAGGTGAAGGCTGCAGTGAGCCGAAATCACCGTCACTGCACTCCAGCCTGGGCAGCAGAGCAAAACTCTGTCTCAAAAAAAAAAAAGTAGCTTCTGGCTGGGCGTGGTGGCTCACACCTATAATCCCAGCACTTTGGGAGGCTGAGGCGGGTGGATCACCTGAGGTCAGGAGTTTGAGACCAGCCTGACCAACATGGTGAAACCCCATCTCTACTAAAAGTACAAAAATTAACCAGGCATGGTAGTGGGCACCTGTAATCCCAGCTACTCTGAAGGCTGAGACAGGAGAATCACTTGAACCTAGGAGGCAGAGGTTGCAGTGAGCCAAGATCGCACCACTGCATTCCAGCCTGGGCAACAGAGCGAGACTCTGTCTCAAAAAAAAAAAAGATAGCTTCTGTATATGGACACCTACTATATACCTTTATAGTTAGCTAACCAGTATTTATTGGGCACCTACTCTATCCCCTGTGTTTATTCAATAGCTTTTTTTTTTTTTTTTTTTTTGAGATGGAGTCTCGCTCTTGTCGCCCAGGCTGGACTGCAGTGGCGCTATCTCGGCTCACTGCAAGCTCCGCCTCCCGGGTTCACGCCATTCTCCTGCCTCAGCCTCCCGAGTAGCTGGGACTACAGGCGCCAGCCACCACGCCCGGCTAATTTTGTATTTTTTTTAGTAGAGACGGGGTTTGGCCATGTTGGCCAGGCTGGTCTCGAACTCCTGACCTCAGGTGATCCGCCCACCTCGGCCTCCCAAAGTGCTGGGATTACAGGCTTGAGCCACCGCGCCTGGCCTCAATAGCTTTTATATATGGACACCTACTATATACTCCTATATTTATCCAACCATCAACACCATAGGAAAGGTAAAAAAATATATAAAATAAATTTTTTTTTTTGAGACAAGTCTCGTTCTGTCACCCAGGCTGGAGTGCAGTGGCGCCATCTCAGCTCACTGCAACCTCCACCTCCCAGGTTCAAGCGATTCTTCTGCCTCAGCCTCCTGAGTAGCTGGGACTACAGGCACGTGCCACTATGCCTGGCTAATTTTTGTATTTTTAGTAGAGATAGGGTTTCACTATGTTGGCCAGGCTGGTCTCAAACTCCTGACCTTGTGATCTGCCCGCCTCAGCCTCCCAGAGTGCTGGTATTACAGGCATGAGCCACTGCGCCTGGCCAGAAAATAAATTTTTAAAAATTATTTATCCAACAAGCATGTATTGGGTACCAACTGTATATCCCTATATTTATTCAATACATGAATGCCTACTGTATAGTTCTCTATTTAATCAACCAATATCTATTGAACACCTACCACATATGTCTATTTTTATCCAACCAACATTTATTTGGTACCTAGTATATACTCCTGTGGTTGTATTTGGCCATTTATTGAGTGCTTACTATATACACCCATATTTATTCAATCAGTACTTACTGGGTGCGTTATTGGGTGTATATCCCTATATCTCCAGTCAACATTTATTGAATGCTTTCTGTATATGCTTATGTTCATCCAACTAACTTTTAGTAGGTACCTATTGTATACCTCTATAATTATTCGACTAACATGTTTGGGTACCCACTGTATTGTTGGCATTGGGGATATAGCCATGAATAGAGAGACCCAGTCCCTGCCTTCAGAGTTCACTAGCGGAGGAGAGACCTCTCTACTAGGAACGTATAACCCAGACAGAGTAGTGCCATGATGAGGTGCTGGTAATTGTCCCTCACACGGTCCTCAGTGTCCCAGCCACCATGGCTCCTTACACCAGGACATTGTGGGCACCCGAAAGAGGTGCCTGCCCAGGCCTCAGGGGTCAGGGAGGACTTCCTGGAGGAAGTGTTGGCTAAGCTGCAATCCCAGCTACTCCGGAGGCTGAGGCAGGAGAATCACTTGAACCTGGGAGGCAGAGGTTGCAGTGAGCCAAGATCACACCACTGCACTCCAGCATGGGTGACAGAGCGAGACTCCATCTCAAAAAAAAAAAATAAGCTTCTATATATGGACACCTACTATATACCTCTATATAGTAGAAGTATATATGAACAGTGAGCAGACATTAGCGAGACAAGGAGGAGTGGGAGAAGATGGGCATTCCAGGCAGGGGAACAGCACGTGTAAAGGCTCAGAGGCAGGGATGGAAAGACGGTTAGTCAGGCTGGGGTAGAGCTGGTCTGAGGCTGGGCATTCCAGACCCTTCCTGGAGGATGTCCCAGCTCCTCCCGCCCAGCTCCCACCCCCCACTCTTGGCAGGATGAAGCCGTGGAACGCTGTAGCCGCCCAGAGCCACCCCGCGAGCACTTTGGACAAAGGATCTTGGTCAAGTGTCTGTCGCTCAAGTGAGTATACTGACATGTCTCTCTTCTTAGATGCGTGAAGCAACCACATGGGTTCCGGCGGGGTACACACTACATGAGTAGTGCCATTACCGTGTGCGGCCCTGTCACCTATGTGGCCACCTATGTATGGGCTTTTATGGGGGAAGGAAGACTTCCTTTTTCATTATCCCGAGTCTCCAATCCTTAAGTGCCAATTGTATGCCAGGATCAGTTCTCAGCCTTTCATGTATATGAACCCGTCTTATATTCACCACAACCTCATGAAGTGGGCACAGGTGGGGAAACTGAGGCACAGAGTGGTGACATGACGCCAAGACCATACAACTTGTAAGGCTGGAGTCTGGCGCTTGCCTGCTCTGCTGCTGGGATCCAGGGTTTGGCCGGGAGGCTTTGGGGCGGGTGCTAGTGACCCTGGGCCTGGCTCTCAGCCGCCCAGGGCCCCTCCACACCAGCCCCCGGGGAGCAGCAGAAGTGCGTGGGAACAGAGTTGAACAGGATGTGGACTTGGACCTGAGCCTGGCCCTGCCGCTCCCCACCCCGAGTTCTTGCCTGGATCGGGGCAGGAAAGGGAGGCTCCATTCTGGCCTGAGGCCTGGGTGGGCCTCCTGCCCTAAACACAAGGATTGGGACCTGGCTCTGTGGGCTCATCCAGTCATTCAACAAACACTTATTGGCCGGGCACGGTGGCTCCCACCTGTAATCCTAATACTCTGGGAAGCCAAGGCGGGCGGATCACCTGAGCTCAGGAATTTGAGACCAGCCTGGCCAACATGGCAAAACACCATCTCTACTGAAAAAAAAAAAAAAAAATTAGCCAGACGTGGTGGCAGGCACCTGTAATCCCCACTACTTGGGAGGCTGAGGCGGGAGAATCTCTTGACCCGGAGGGCAGAGGTTTCAGTGAGCCGAGATTGTGCCACTGCACTCCAGCCTCAAACAAACAAAGAAACAAAAATAAAACATTTATGAAGTCCCTACTGTATACAGGACACATAACCATGCGATGACCACACAGAGCCGGGATAAGCGATGCTGAAAGTGCCTAGAGTCCTGGAGGAGTCCCCTGGCCCAGCTTGAGGGGTGCGAGCGGGTATCTGGGACAGCTTCCCTTGCAGGGGGACGTGTACATGGAGACCCAGTGAGGAAGAGGAGCTGGCTGAATAGAGAGGATGGAAGGGGTGTAACGGGGAGTGCTCAGTGTTTCAGTTTGGAGGTGCGTGGTGAGCGGAGGCCAGCAAGGTGGAGTAAGACAGGGAAGGACTTTTATGGTGGCCGTTCAGGTGAGCGAGATGGGAACTCCGTGCAGAGTGACAATGGCGGCAGATGACACCCCAGAAAGGAGGGATGGGGAAACCCGGAAGTTGAGAATTTCAAGATGTGGGGATTGTTGAGCCCAAAACTGCCCCCATGCCAACGGAACAAGGGCCGTGGTTGCAGGGAGGAGGAGCTCTGTGTGAGTTACTTACTGAGGGTGTAGGGAGGGGGAAAAAAACTTCAGTGTCGGCGGGGCGCGGTGGCTCACGCCTGTAATCCCACCACTTTGGGAGGCTGAGGCGGGTGGGACCAGCCTGGCCAACATGGTGAAATCCCACCACGCACTTCAGCCTGGGCAACAGGGGAGACTCTGTCTAAAAAAATAAAATAAAAAATTCACAGCAAGCCGGGGACGTGATGGCTCATGCCTATTATCCCAGCACTTTGGGAGGCAGAGGCGGGGGCATCACTTGAGCCCAAGAGTTTGAGACCAGCCTGGGCAACACAGCGAGACCCCGTCTCTATATAATAAATAAATACATACATAGAAACCCTGTCTCTACTAAAAACACAAAAAATTAGCTGGGCATGGTGGCACGTGCCTGTAGTCCCAGCTACTCAGGAGGCTGAGGCAGGAGAATTGCTTAAACCCGGGAGGCAGAGGTTGCAGTGAGCCGAGATCGCACCACTCCACTCCAGCCTGGGCAACAGAGCGAGACTCTGTCTCAAAAAAAAAAAAACCAACAAAAAACTTCAGTGCCTCAGTTTCCCCTTTTGCAAAATGAGATGTACCTTTTCTGCAAGCCCTTAAGTGGCGGTTCCATGTGGCCCAGTGGGAGTCAGATGCCCCCCACCTTGGGCCTCAAGAGGGAGTGGGGTGTGTGGACAGCGGGAAGTGTTAAGGAGAGCCCCCTCCCTCCCATTTACTTGTAGGTTCGAGATTGAAATTGAGCCCATCTTTGGGATCTTGGCTCTGTATGATGTGCGGGAGAAAAAGAAGGTAGGAGGCCCTTTTTTCTCTTTCCTCCCCTTCCTTCTCCTTGTTGGGGGGCTGTGGGCTTCCCAGAGGTGGTGGCCCAGCTGCCTCTGGTGTCCCCAGATCTCGGAGAACTTCTACTTCGACCTGAACTCGGACTCCATGAAGGGGCTGCTTCGGGCTCATGGCACCCACCCTGCCATCTCCACCCTGGCCCGCTCTGCCATCTTCTCTGTGACCTACCCCTCACCTGACATCTTCCTGGTCATCAAGGTGCCTGCTGGGGCTGGGCAAGGGGGTGGTAATGGCGAATGTCACTGATTTAGTCCCTGCCTTCACAGAATGAGACAGATACATCACCAAGAAGGGTAATCAGGGCTGTTGTGGGGGAAACACAGGCAGGGAGGAGGCCCCTGATCCAACTCAGGTGGGGAGAAATCACCAAGGGCTTCCAGGGAGAGGCGACAGTTGAGCTGATAACTATACGTGGGCAGCCTGGGGAGAAAAGCCATCCCTAGGCACATGTGACAGGCTGGGGTCCTCGGAGGTGGGTGAGATGCTGTTGGGAAGTTTGTGGACAGATGAAAGACATAGTTGGCACCCTCATTTGAGATTTTCTGTTTCTGGGAGGGAGGTCAAATTTCTTTTCTCAAAACCTTCTATTAGTTTGCAATGATGAAATGAATCCAGTATCCACAGGCAGGTGCTGCTATGGTCACGCTTCACAGGGATCCCTCCTTCAGTCCTCACCACAGGGCCTAAGGTGGAGGGGTGCCATGGTTCCCATTTTCCAGATGGGGAAACTGAGGCACAGAGTGGATAGGGTCCCACTGCCCAGGGTCCCACAGCCCCTGAGTGGTCAGGATTGGAGTCTAGGCCTCATGGCTCAGAGCCATGCCCAGAGTGGCCTCTATTTACACTAACAAAGAAAAATGTAGGGAAGGCCAGGCACAGTGACTCACAACTGTAATCCTAGCACTTTGGGAGGCTGAGGCGGGAGGATCGCTTTAGCCCAGGAGTTTGAGACCAACCTTGCCAACATGGTGAAACCCATTCTCTACTAAAAACACAAAAATTGGCTGGGCGCGGTGGCTCACGCCTGTAATCCCAGCACTTTGGGAGGCCGAGGCAGGCAGATCACCTGAAGTTGGGAGTTCCAGACCAGCCTGACCAATGGTGAAACCTCGTCTCTACTAAAAATACAAAAATTAGCGGGACGTAGTAGCAGGCGCTTGTAGTCCCAGCTACTTGGGAGGCTGAGGCAGGAGAATTGCTTGAACCCGGGAGGCAGAGGTTGCAGTGAGCCGAGATTGTGCCATTGCACTTCCGTCTGGGTGACAGAGCGAGACCCCATCTCAAAAAAAAAAAAAAAAAAAAAAAAAAAGCCAGGTGTGGTGGGTCATGCCTGTAATCCCAGCTACTCAGGAGGCTGAGGCAGGAGAATTGCTTAAACTCAGGAGGCAGAGGTTGCAGTGAGCTGAGATCCCATCACGCACTTCAGCCTGGGCAACAGGGAGACTCTGTCTAAAAAAAAAAATTCACAGCAAGCCTGTTATCCCAGCACTTTGGGAGGCAGAGGCAGGGGCATCACTTGAGCCCAAGAGTTTGAGACCAGCCTAGGCAACATAGCGAGACCCCTGTCTCTATATAATACATACATACATACATACATAAATGTAAATAAATAAGTAAATTTAGGGAAAATATCACCAGCTAAAGGTAGGCTTGGAGGTTAGGGGTAGATCTGAAGAATGGGAGGGAGTAGCCACCAGGCAGGCCAACACTAACCCTTGATCCCAAGGACAGCGGGAGCCATGGGAGGTGTTGGAGCAAAGGCCTTCATATGTTAGGAGTGTCCGAGGGCCCATGAGGGGTCCAGGAGGCTGGGGAGCCAGCACGGGGGAACAGAGCGTTCGGGCAGCGCCTCACTGGATTCATTCATCTGCCCCGCAGTTGGAGAAGGTGCTTCAGCAAGGGGACATCAGTGAGTGCTGTGAGCCTTACATGGTGTTGAAAGAAGTGGACACAGCCAAGGTAAGCGTGTGGAGGCTGGACTAGGGGCAACAGATCCCTGACTCAGCAGGGCTAGGATGCTGAGCTGGCAGGGGACGGGGTCTCCCCACAGAACAAAGAGAAGCTAGAGAAGCTGCGCCTGGCGGCCGAGCAGTTCTGCACCCGCCTGGGCCGCTACCGCATGCCCTTCGCCTGGACGGCCGTGCACTTGGCCAACATCGTGAGCAGCGCTGGGCAGCTGGACCGGGACTCTGACTCGGAGGGCGGTGAGGAGGCGGGGCTAACAGGCTTGGGGCGGGGCTAAAGGGTGGTGCTGACAGGCCTGGGGCGGGGCTACGGGGCGAGGGGGTGCGCCCTCTGCTGGCCGAACTGTGCCGCCCCTGAGTCTCCCTGTTTCATCTTGGTCCCCCTTTTGTCATTGTCATTCCCTCCCCTAGAGCGCCGGCCAGCCTGGACAGACCGCCGCCGTCGGGGGCCCCAGGACCGGGCGAGTAGTGGGGACGACGCCTGCAGCTTCTCTGGCTTCCGTCCAGCCACGCTAACTGTCACAAACTTCTTTAAGCAGGTGTCCTACCCTGGGGCCAGGGACTCTCCCACTCCCCGCTGGCTGCATTAGCCCTGGGGACCCCTAGCCCCCTGGCCCAGGCTGACGGGAGTGGGTCCCATGTAGGAGGCTGAGCGACTCAGTGACGAGGACCTCTTCAAGTTCCTGGCTGACATGAGGCGCCCGTCGTCCCTGCTGCGGCGACTACGTCCTGTGACTGGTGCGTGGCACACCCCATACACAAGAAGTATCACTCTCACTCAGCCACTCAACAAACCTACACTGAGAGCACCTACTGTGCCAGGGGCATCAGAGACCCAACGATGACCATGATGGACAAATCCCTGACCTCAGGGGCTGGCTACAGCTTCTAATGGGGACCATAGACAAGAAGCAGAATAAATAAGATGGATACAGCGTCAATAGGTGGTTAATGGCAGCGGGGCAGGCAGGGGTCCTGGGGGCAGAGTTGATCAAATGTAGGGGTAAGGCTGGGGTGCAGTGGCTCAAGTCTGTAACGCCAACACTTTGGGAGGCTGAGGCAGGAGGATGATTGTTTGAGCCCAGGAGCTCAAGACCAGCCTGGGGGCCAGGTGTGATGGCTCATACCTGTAATGCCAGCACTTTGGGAGGCCGAGGCGGGCAGATCACTTGAGGTCAGGAGTTTGAGACCAGCCTGGCCAACATGGTGAAATTCCATCTCTACTAAAAATACAAAAATTCACCAGGTGTGGTGGCACACACCTGTAATCCCAGCTACCTGGGAGGCTGAGGCAGGAGAATCACTTGAACTGGGGAGGCAGAGGTTGCAGTGAGCCGAGATCGCCCCACTGCACTCCAGCCTGAGCAACAGAGTGACTCCACTTAAAAAAAAGAAAAACAAAAACGAAAAAAAATTTAGGGTGACAGACAGCAGAGTTGAGGGCAATTTCTGGCCTTGGCGCCTGAGGGACACAGCCCCCAGTCCCCAGAGAACATCATGGGAGAGTCTGCCCTGACTACACAGCCCAGAAAGGGTGGGCTGAGCCAGGAGGCTCCCAGGCAGGTGCAAACCGGTTCTTCCCTTCCCAGCCCAGCTCAAGATCGACATTTCTCCGGCTCCTGAAAATCCCCACTTCTGCCTCTCCCCTGAGCTGCTTCATATCAAGCCCTACCCGGACCCCAGGGGCCGGCCCACCAAGGAGATTCTGGAGTTCCCCGCCCGCGAAGTCTATGCCCCCCATACCAGCTACAGGTACGGCCTCTGGGGCCCAGCTGGGCACTTGAATGGGAGGTATTCATACATCATGCTGGGTGGGGTCTCCCTAAGCCAAGGACACACACAGACACCCTGGGTGAGATGCCACGACTCTGCTTTAATGAGGGGTGTGTAGGCATGAAAGGGTACATGTCCTTCCTCCACCCCTCCCCAATGGGGCTACATCCTCTGCCTTTGTCCCCGCCTGCGTCTGTCTCTGCTCTGTGCTCAGAAGTGGGGCCCGGCGCCCTGGCTGATCCCAGTGAACAGGCAGCTCCTCCCTGCACAGGGGCCTCACGGGGCGTGGAAGTGTTCCTTGCAGCATGATTGGTCCTCAGTTCCATCCAGGCAGATTCAGGCTGGGAGCGCCGCTGTGTGGAGTCTGGGGAGGGAGATGTGGCTCAGCCCAGGTGAGGGGGCCCCTTTCCAGCTGCCCTGTGCGCCCCCCATCCAACTGCCCTGCCTGCCAAACCCCTGCCAGGCTCACCTCTCCTGGATCTGTCGCAGCCGATGCTGCTGTGCCACCATCTCCCGCCTCTGCCGCTGCACGTGGCCTGTGAGGGCCCATAGGATGTGGCTCTGCTTGTCAGCGTGAGCCTGTGGGGGTCAGAATGGAAACCTCAGCCGACAGCCACCTCACCTCCCATCCCCTGACCCTCTGCCCCAGCCCCTCATTGTATCTGTGTGACCCAGCAAGTCAACAATGCTCTTTGGCCTCAGTTTCCCCATCTGTAAAATGGGGATAAAATAGGACTCACTTCATGGGGAGGTGATGAACATCCTATGGATTTTTTTTTTTTTTTGAGTCTCTCTCTGTCACCCAGGCTGAGTGCAATGACACGATCTCAGCTCACTGCAACCTCCACCTCCCAGGTTCAAGCGATTCTCCTACCTAAGCCTCCTGAGTAGCTGGGACTACAGGCATGTGCCACCACGCCCAGCTAATTTTTTGTATTTTTAGTAGAGACGGGGTTTCACCATGTTGGCCAGGGTGGTCTCGAACTCCTGACCTTAAGTGTTCCACCCACCTTAGCTACCCAAAGTGCTGGGATTACAGGCATGAGCCACCATGCCCGGCCATCATATGGATTATTAAAGGGCATAGAACAGTGCTGGGTACTTACTGGGTGCTCACAAAATGTTACCAGTTTCTCTAGTAGTAAGAATTTATTGGCCAGGTGTAGTGGCTCACACCTGTAATCCCAGCACTTTGGGAAACCGAGGCAGGCAGATCCCTTGAGGTCAGGAGTTCGAGACCAGCCTGGCCAACATGGTGAAATCCCATCTCTACTAAAAAATACAAAAATTAGCTGGTGCACCTGTAATTCCAGCTACTCAGGAGGCTGAGGCAGGAGAATCACTTGAACCTAGGAGGTGGAGGTTGCAGTGAGCCAAGATCACACCACTGCACTCCAGCCTGGGCAACAGTGAGACTCTGTCTCAAAAAAAAAAAAAAAAAGAATTTATTGAGCACCAACTGTGTGCCCGCCCCATGCTGAATATTTTACCTGCATTGAGTACCTGGCCCTACTGTGAGATATCAGGTGTTGCCCTTATTTGCAACTGAGGCACACAAAAGGGAAACTGAGGCACACAAAAGGACTTGAGTTTTGTCTGGGGACATGCAGGGTAGAGGCCACAGAGCTGGGAGGCTGATCTGGGAGGTCTTTGGGACTCAAGGTGCAGAAGCGAGTTCTGGCCGGAAATCAGGGTCTCAGCCCACTAGGGTTGGGGGAGCTCCTTACCTTTAAGACCTCAAATTCTCGGTAGGCAGGGCCCAGCCAGGCGCTCCTCAGCTGGACTTCTAGCCGCTGCACGCTGTCCCGTAGCACCTTCTGTGCCTGGGCCACCTCCCCCAGCACCTCAGCTGTGGCCTCTGCCTGCAGCTGCAGAATATCCTCCTCCATCTGCTTAATAAACAGTGGGTCACTAGTAGGATGTCCAACTCATCTTTGTGTACCTAAGGACTTGCCTGAGTTTATCGCTGAAAATCTTGTATCCCAGGAATCCCTTCAGTCCTGGGCAAACCAGGATGGTTGGTTACCCTAGACACGAACTCCTCTTTGGACTCCTGGCCACCCCACAGTGTCGCAGCTACGGTGCCCACCTGAGTCTCCAACAGGCTTGCCCGAAGTTCCTGGGCTGCATCCCGGCCCCGGCTGACCTCCTGCCCCAGGAGTTCTATTGTGCGGCCATAGAGACCCAGGCTGTTCCTGGCCTTTGTCAGCCGTCCCTCCGTGGTCCTGTACACACCGTTGAGGGCCTGGCCCAGCTGCAGGGTCCCATGGAAGAGCAGGGTCAGCTCCTCATGCTGTGCCAGTTCTGGGCCGCCCATGGGGGCCGCTGAGGCAGGCCGGGTCACCATTGCCAGGGCCCAGAGCAGGCACAGAGCAGGCACTGGCATGACTGAGGGTCTAAGGTATAGCCACAGCACTGTCACTGAAGCCTTTTATGCCTCATACCCCCACTGATCCCCAGTCAATCGTTAACTGGCCGACCTGGTGCCCCGCATTGCACAAGGGCCTGGCAGTGGTGCGATAGTTGCATCAGGCGAATGTCCGGCTAGGCCACGCCGGGATCACGCTTCCTGGGGCTCAGGGCCAGGTGTGGGTGGGGGGCATTGGGAGAGGACGGGCCCCAGACCCTGCTGGGAGTTCCTGAGACTCACCATGCTGAGCCTGTTTCTCCATCTATGAATAGGCATCGCAATGATGATGGTAATAACAGTAAAGATTTTATAAGCATTGATGGTTTGCCCTGAGCTGTTTGACCTGCCATTACAATATCTGCTCTTGTTCCCCTCCCACATACTTGCCACGTGGGGGCTTTTATTGGCCTGGTTAGTATCCAAGGGGGCAGGTGCAGGTGGCAGAGACTCTCCCAAGGTCACACAGCCTGATCTCCAAGACCTGCATATGCCCAGATCACCACTGACTGCCATTTTACTCCGTGGGTGATTGTGCAAGTACCTCAGTTTCCCTGCTTGTAAAATGGCGGTGATGTTAGTCCTGCCTCATGAGCTACTTGTGAGAAGTAAATGAGTTATTTCATGTTGAGTGCTTAGAACAGAGCCTGGCACACAGTAGGCGCGATTATTTCATTGTTGTAGTAATAGTGTTTGGTGCAATTATTGTCATTGTTGTTATTTATCATCATCAGTATCATTACAAAGGCTCAGCTGGAAGGCCTGAAGTGCCCATTATACACATAGGGAAACTGAGGCCCAGAGAGGGGTCAAGGCTTGCACAGAGTTGCCCCTGGGGGAAGGAGGCAGGACTCGGACTCTGGCCTCAGTTTCCCCACCTGAGAAACAGGCCACATAACTCTAGTGACCTCCTGGGGGAAGGGCAGTCAGGCCCTTGGGTGGGGCTTAGGCTTGACCACTGGCCACCTGAGGTACCTTGGAACTCTGGCCCTGAGTGCCTCGCTATTCTCTGCCTTCTGTGTGTCACTGTGCCCCATGAGTGCCTCCAATGTCCTTCTGTATTCCCACCCTCTACCACACTGTTCCCAATCTGTGTTTTTAGGGTGCTCGCTTGTCCCCCACCCTCTGCCCTCTGTCCTATCTCCTGACTGATACCTGTATTACCTCTCACCGGGCCCTCAATGCCCCAGCCTCATGACCTACTCTTCCTGGACTGTCTGTGCTCCCAGCCAGCCTTGTCCCATCACCCCAGCCTTGTATGTGCACCTTCAGGGCCCCTGTCCCTCTGACACCCCCATCCTGCCCCCCACAGGAACCTGCTGTACGTGTACCCGCACAGCCTCAACTTCAGCAGCCGCCAGGGCTCCGTGCGCAACCTTGCTGTGCGAGTGCAGTACATGACAGGCGAGGACCCCAGCCAGGCTCTGCCGGTCAGTGGCTGTGCCCCAGGGAAGGGGGGTAGGGCATCCCCCATGGGTCCCTCATGAATCCACTCTCCCAGGTCATCTTTGGCAAGTCCAGCTGCAGTGAATTTACCCGCGAGGCCTTCACACCGGTGGTCTACCATAACAAGTATGTAGGGGGACACGTGAGGAACTTGGGGGCACTCATGGGGGTAGGAGGATGTCCCTTATATATACACATAAGGCAGCATCGATGGGAAGATGGGGGACAGGAAGAAGAGAGGTAGAGGCTCCCAGAGTGCTAATGAGGGAAGCTGAGGCAGACAGCAGAGACAGTGGGGCCTAGCAGCAATAAGGGCGTGGCATGGCAGAGGTGATGGGGCAGACAGTGGGGACCCCAGCCCCCAGCAGATCCCCCAGCCCGATTCTGCCAGGTCCCCCGAGTTCTACGAGGAGTTCAAGCTGCATCTTCCAGCCTGCGTGACAGAGAACCATCACCTGCTGTTCACCTTCTACCATGTCAGCTGCCAGCCCCGGCCGGGCACTGCCCTGGAGACACCCGTGGGCTTTACTGTGAGCCGTCCCCTCCCTCCCTCCCCCTGAGCCCTCCTCGTCCCCCAACCTGGCCGCAGACCTGACCTCCAGCCTCTCCCCAGTGGATCCCACTGCTGCAGCACGGGCGCCTGAGGACCGGCCCCTTCTGTCTCCCAGTGTCTGTGGACCAGCCGCCGCCCAGCTATTCCGTGCTCACACCCGATGTATGTGCCCTGGAGCTCCTGCCTGCCAATGCACTGTCCCCAGAAGCACTCCCGAGTCACCTGCCTTCCTTCCTGTCAATCCTGGGAGGCTTGTTATCCTCTACTGGTGCCTCCAGGGCCCCCGTGTAGCTCATTATTCCCCTATTAATGCCTCTCTGTGTCCTACATGTCCTCCCCAAAGATTCCCATTGCCTCTCTGCTCCATTCCCACTTTAGCCACCCTGACTGCCTTCCTGATCACTGTCCCCTGCCCTCGTAGTACCTTATCATTCCCCATGAATGCACCATTGTTAATGACCCTAGGCCTCAAATCCTCCTATCCTGTTTCCTGACCTACTCAATGAATATTCATTCACCCTGTGTCTCCATTCTCTGCCCCCGTCTTGGCATGTGGATTTCCAGCCTGCCCAGTGGACCCTCTCAGTCTACTGGGACCAGGGCTGGGGGCAGGGTGCTTGGCTGCACCCCCAGACCGGGCTACACTCACGCTGCAGTGTCGCAATGGCTGGGGCCGCTGGGTGACCTGATCAGTCAGGGAGGGCTGACCAGTGCCCACCTGGTGCCTCCCTCCCACAGGTGGCGCTTCCGGGCATGCGCTGGGTGGACGGTCACAAGGGCGTGTTCAGTGTGGAGCTCACAGCCGTGTCCTCTGTGCACCCCCAGGTACGGGGTGGGCCGGGAACCAAGAGTCCCGCCCTGCTCCCCTCTTGCCTGCCCTACGATTGAGTAACAGTTGCCGATGGCCGGGGAGGTCTGGCCTCAGGCCTTGGACGTGACTTTGGTCAGCTGGACCCAGCTTTAAGGGAAGCTGCTGATTCAGGCAGGGGTGGTCTTCATTCCCTGAGGCCCCACCCTGCTCACTCCACATCCCTACCCAGGACCCCTACCTGGACAAATTCTTCACCCTGGTGCACGTCCTGGAGGAGGGAGCCTTCCCATTCCGGCTCAAGGACACTGTGCTGAGCGAGGGCAACGTGGAGCAGGAGCTGCGGGCCAGTCTTGCAGCACTGCGCCTGGCCAGCCCCGAACCCCTTGTGGCCTTCTCCCACCACGTGCTGGACAAGCTCGTGCGTCTGGTCATCAGGCCCCCGATCATCAGTGGCCAGATTGGTAAGCGAATGTGGCCTCAGACCTCAGTTTCCCCATCCACATGGCTTCTCAGTCCTGAGGTCCTGAGGGATCTTCTATAAGCCCATTTACCTCTCTGGCCATTTTTCTCATCTGAAAAATGACCTCCAGTCCCCTGCACCCAGAGAAGGTCTTCTGTGACCCTTTGGCCCGGGTGCAGCGGTTCACGCCTGTCATCCCAGCACTTTGGGAGGCCGAGGCGGGCAGATCACCTGAGGTCGAGAGTTTGAGACCAGCCTGACCAACATGGAGAAACCCCTTCTCTACTAAAAATACAAAATTAGCTGGGCGTGGTGGCGCATGCCTGTAATCCCAGCTACTCGGGAGGCTGAGGCAGGAGAATTGCTTGAACCTGGGAGGCGGAGGTGACAGTGAGCCGAGATCATGCCACTGGACTCCAGCCCGGGCAACAGAGCAAGACTCCATCTCAAAAAAAAAAAAAAAAAAAAATTTGTGACCCCTTAATGAGCACATGATCCCTCAAATCCTGATGTCTTTATATTTGGAAAGTGGGCGGGGAGGTGAGAGGCCTTGGGCCCTGGAACTTGACCTCTGCTCTGCCCTGCAGTGAACCTGGGCCGTGGAGCCTTTGAAGCAATGGCCCATGTAGTCAGCCTTGTTCACCGGAGCCTGGAGGCAGCCCAGGATGCCCGCGGTCACTGCCCACAGCTGGCTGCCTACGTCCACTACGCCTTTCGCCTTCCTGGCACTGAGCCCAGCCTCCCGGATGGTGAGTTTGTAGAAATCCCTGTGAGACGAGAAATATCTGGGAGAAGAGGCTGGGTGCGGTGGCTCACGCCTGTAATCCCAGGACTTTGGGAGGCCGAGCTGGATGGATCATTTGAGGTCAGGAGTTCGAGATCAACTTGGCCAACATGATGAAACCCTGTCTCTACTAAAAATACAAAAATTAGCTGGGGCCAGGCATGGTGGCTAATGCCTATAATCCCAGCACTTTAGGAGGCCAAGGCAGGGGGATCACTTGAGGGGGTCAGGAGTTCAAGACCAGCCTGGCCAACATGGTGAAACCCCGTCTCTACTAAAAATACAAAAATTAGCCAGGCATGGTGGTAGGTGCCTGTAATCCCAGCTACTAGGGAGGCTGAATCATTTGAACCCAGGAGGCAGAGGTTGCAGTGAGCCAAGGTCATGCCACCGCACTCCAGCCTGGGTGACAGAGTGAAACTCCATCTCAAAAAACAAAAACAAAAACAAAAATTAGCCAGGTGTGGTGGCGCACGCCTGTAGCCCCAGCTACTCAGGAGGCTGAGGCAGAAGAATCACTTGAACCCGGGAAATGGAGATTGCAGTGAGCTGAGATCACGCCACTGCACTCCAGTCTGGGCAACAGAGCAAGACCCTGTTTCAAAAAAAAAAAAATAAGAAAGAAAGATCTGGGAGAAGAGCATCCAGGTAGTGAGAATAGCATGTGCAAAGGCCCTGAGGCCTCACAGGCCTTGGCTGGTTTGAGCAACTTGCAAGAGAGATAATGTTTTGCCCACTTTTGCCCCATCCCTGGGGTGTGGCTTCTGTGTGCTTGGCTGGAAAACGATTCAGATAGTCAGCAAGCCTCTTCAGTAGCTTGGAGCGGAGACTGAAGCTGAGCTGCCTAGATGTGAATCCTGGCCCTGCCACCTACAGTCTCTGTGACCTTGGGCAAGTGACGTCACTTCTCTGAGCCTGTTTTTCCTTTTGTAAAACAGGGATAATAATAGTACCCACCTCATGGGGGCACTGGTAATAGTAAGTGACATAGTAATCCACACAAAATGGTTAGCACATAGTGAACCCTCAATAGAGTTGGATTTTTTTTTTTTTTTAATTTGCCAAATAAACACCAATCCCTATGTGTCAGGCATTATTCTCAGGGTTTTTTTCTTTTTTCTTCTTTTTTTTTTTCTTTTTTTTAAGAGTCAGGGTCAGCCAGGCATGGTGGCTCACGGCTGTAATCCCAGAACTTTGGGAGGCTGAGGCAAGTGGATCACCTGAGATCAGGAGTTTGAGACCAGCCTGTCTCAAAAAATAAAATACGCCAGGCACAGTGGCTCACGCCTGTAATCCCAGCACTTTGGGAGGCTGAGTCAGGCAGATGACAAGGTCAACAGATCGAGACCATCCTGGCCAACATGGTGAAACCCCGTTTCTACTAAAAATGCAAAAATTAGCTGGGCATGGTGGCTCACGCCTGTAGTCCCAGCTACTTGGGAGGCTGAGGCAAGAGAATCACACAAACCCAGGAGATGGAGGTTGCAGTGAGCCAAGATCTCCCCACTGGACTCCAGCCTGGCGACAGAGCAAGACTCCGTCTCATTAAAAAAAAAAAAAATTAGCTGAGCATGGTGGTGCGTGCTTGTAATCCTAGCTACTCAGGAGGCTGAGGCAAGAGAATTGCTTAAACCCGGGAGGCAGAGGTTGCAGTGAGCTGAGATCGTGCCATTGCACTCCAGCTTGGGCAACAAGAGTGAAACTCTCTAAGAAAAAAAAAAAAAAGTCAGGATCTTATTCTGTCGGCCAGGCTAGAGTGCAGTGTCACGATCATAACTCACTGCTGCCTTAAACTCCTGGGCTCAAGTAATCCTGTTGCCTCAGCCTCCCCAGGTAACTGGAACCACAGGCGCGCACTGCCATGCCCGGCTAATTTTTTCATTAATTTTTTTGTAGGGACAGAGTCTCGCTATGTTGGCTGGGCTGGGCTTGAACTCTTGGGCTCAAGTGATCCTCCTGGCTCGCCCTCCCAAAGTGCTGGGATTATAGGCATGAGCCACTGTACCTGGCCTATTCTCAGTTTTTCAGTGCCCCCCCAATCTCTGTGAGGCGGCAGCCATTATGCCTATTTTATAGATGAGGAACTTAGAGGCTCAGAGAAGGAAAGTGATTTTGCAGAGATTAGCTGAGTAGGAAGGGACTGGGAGGCATCACATCAGGTGGGTGGGTGGTTGACCCTATTCACTCCATCCTCAGGGGCCCCTCCAGTGACAGTGCAGGCTGCCACACTGGCCCGTGGCTCTGGTCGCCCCGCAAGCCTCTACCTGGCGCGTTCCAAGAGCATCAGCAGCAGCAACCCTGACCTCGCCGTGGCCCCTGGCTCTGTGGATGACGAGGTTTCCCGCATCCTGGCCAGCAAGGTAGGGCAACGGGGGCCCTGGAATCTCCAGCCTCAGTGGTTGTGGTTGCCACGTGTGTGGGCGAAGAATCTGTTGATGAAGCATGGGAAACAACAGAGACGACAACGTGAATGAAGGCGTCACTCTGGGCAGCAGAGTTGGGCTGGGCTGTCACAGGTTGTGGGGTATGGATCAGACTTTGTGTTGAGCTCTACTCCGTGACTGACCCGAGGATGGGTGGCGGAGCTTGGCGTGGCTGAACAAAGAGCAATATGTACCTAGTGTAGCAGGTGCATATACACATTCACCTCATGCATATACCTACACAGGTGCATATACACATTCACCCCCCATGCATATACATACACAGGTGCATATACACATTCACCCCATGCATATATGTACATGGGTGCATATACACATTCACCCCCACATGCATATACCTACACAGGTACATAGGCACATTCACCCTATGCATATATGTACATGGGCACGTATACGTGTTCACCCCATGCATGTGTGGACACAAGTGTGTATACATATTCACCCCATGCATATACAGACACGGGTGCGTATACACATTCACCCCATGCATATACTTACACAGGTGCATATACACAGTCATCCTGTGCCTGTATGTACCTGGGTCTGTATACACATTCACCTGATGCATATATGTGTACGGGTGTGTATACACATGCACCCCATGCACAGACTTACAGGGGTGTGTATGCATGCACCTGTGGACCCACATACACAAGTTATGTAAAGGCATGCACCCAATGGACCTATATACACGTGCACATTTTTCAGGATTGTGTGTAGGTGCACATGTGGGCACATGTATGGTCCAGAACCATGTCCACGCTTGGTATTTCATGCTGCTTTCCCTGCCCTCCACTGGGGATGCTACCACTTCTCCGTGTATCTCCAGGGCATCGATCGCTCACACTCCTGGGTGAATTCCGCTTATGCTCCAGGAGGCAGTAAGGCTGTGCTGCGGCGGGCGCCCCCTTATTGTGGGGCCGACCCCAGACAGGTGCCCTTCCTACCTGTCCCTGCACTCATGTGACACCACCTCAGCATGAGCTCCTCCCACCTTCCTGGCTGCATCTGACTAACCTAGGGGGGCTGCCTGAAGGAGGTGGCAGACCCCTCTCCTGCCTTTGTTTGGGGCTGTGAAGTCTGTGTTTAGGTATCACTGGGTCATCCTAACTGGCTTTTTGCTGCCACATAGGCCACAGTCTCAGATGGAGACAGAAGGCACAGGGGTAATATGCAAATCGCATGCAAACGAAGTGCAAATCCAGTCACCCATAACCTCACTGCCCTGCATGGCCTGTTCACCTCCCTTTAATCCACCCCTGATGATGGGACTCTCAAAGGGCTGGAATGGAACCTCTCGGCTCCCCTATCCCATTTTAGACAAAGAGCTCCCCTTACCCTGCCTCTTTCCAGGTACCTGGTGTAGGGGGACGCTTTGCCTCCAAACAGACCTGGGTTCAAGTCCTAGCTCTGCTATGAGCTCACCCCATGCTCTGAGCAATTGGATGCATCTTCCTGAGCCTCAGTTTCTTCATTTGTAAAATGGAGATAACACTCCAAATTTTCGGATGCAGTTTGGACTCAAAATATAGTGCTCCCCCAGCAGTCCTGAGCCTGTGCTTGAGTTAGGGCTGAGGGCACTGCAGTGGGATTTTGTTGGGATGATAGATTCTTGGTCTGGCCTTGACCCTGAGCTTCCAGCTAGTTGGGGAAATAGACACGGATCAAACAAATGCATAAGTATATGATCACACAGCGTGGAAAGGAAGCAAGTAGCAACCGAATACCAGCTTCCCTCTGGGTGGTCTTGGGGGCTTCTCCAGGGGAGTGACATCTTTTGCTGGGACCCGAAGGGTAAGATAGAGTCAGCTAGGGAAGGGTGGGTGGGTGTGGGTGTTCAGGAAGAGGGAAAGGCATGTACAAATATTGGGACCAAGGTCAGAGGACTGTACGCACAGAGAGGAGGCCACAGGGCTTGCTTCCTTACACACTTGGCCCTAGGGCCTATTCCAGCTCTGTGCCCATCACCAAGGTAACCTGTACCCTATGACAGGCCCAGGGGACTCCTAGCAGAACAAGCAGGGGGGGCCTTTGGGCAGTCATTTCCTTGGATTGCTGGGAATCTGGAAATCTGGGTGACACTGAGGCTGGGCCTTTTCAATGGAAGGCCCTCACGGTGCACAGTGAGTTGCCAGGGTATGGCTGGGACTGGGGTAGCTAGAGAGCCCTCAAGTGTCAGAGTAGGTCCCAGGGTTGGGTCGTCTCTGTCATCAGACCTCCTGTTCCTGCGAGCAGCCTCACCCCCTAACCAGCGAAGGAGGAAGCGAGAGTGGAGCTTGAACTCCTCTGCCTATACCCATTTCACAGATGGGGATACTGAGGCCCAAGCCAGGCTTGGGCAGGGCCAGGCCTGGAACCTTGGGCTCTCTCTGCTATTCCTGGCACCTCACCAACATCTCACCTCCTCTGTCCTTATCTTCCTGCCTTGTCTTTCTCCTCCTTCCCCATCTTGTGTTTAACCTCCTCTGTCCACACTCACCCTCCTCCACCTCTGCATCCTCCTCTCTGTCCTCTAGACTCACTGACTCGGTCACACTCTACACCTCGTCTACACTCACCCTCACCTTCTCTGGCCACACACATTCTTGCTGTCTACACTGATTTCATCTCCTCTGCCTTCACCCCACACACCATGTACCCATTCCCAGCCTTCGTGTGTTCTCGGTCCCACTCCATCCACACTCCTCCTGCCTGTTGTGGTTGCACTGCTGTCACTGGTCACTGGCGTACTGTGTTTTCATTGTTATTCTCACCTCCTCCATCACGTTCTTTTTTTTTTGAGACGGAGTCTCGCTCTTATCACTCAGGCTGGAGTGCAATGGTGCAATCTCGGCTCACTGCAGGCTCTGCCTCCCAGGTTCAAGCGATTCTCCTGCCTCAGCCTCCCAAGTAGCTGGAATTACAGGTGCCTGCCACCACGCCCAGCTAATTTTTGTATTTTTAGTAGAGACGGGGTTTCACCATTCACCATGTTGACTAGGATGGTCTCGATCTCCTGACCTCGTGATCTACCTGCCTCGGCCTCCCAAAGTGCTAGGATTACAGCATCCTCCTTTTTTTTTTTTTTTTTTTTTTGAGATGGAGTCTTGCTCTGTCACCCAAGCTAGAGTGCAGTGGTACCATCACAGCTCACCGCAACCTCCAAGTCCCAGGGTCAAGCAATCCTCCTGCTTTGGCCTCCTGAGCAGCTGGGACTACAGGCACACGCCACCAGGCCCAGCCATATATATATATTTTTGTTTGTTTGTTTGTTTTTGTCTTAGTAGAGTCAATGTCTGACTATGTTGCCCAGGCTGATCTTAAACTCCTGGGTTTGAGCAGTCTTCCTGCCCCAGCCTCCCAAAGTGCTGGGATAACAGGTATTGAGCCACCCCGCCCAGCCTCACGTTCTTCTCCCATACCCACACACCTTGATCTTGACTCACCCAGCTCTCTCCAGCGACTCTTTTATTTGTCCCTGCCTCCACTGCCCCGTCTACTCCCACAGCACCCTGGCCATTCCAACCAGCCTCCCCTCCCAACCCACGCCGGCCCATCTCTCTTTCTTGCCTGTCCCCATTGGCATCCATGGCCCTGGTCCATCCATGTGGAAGCATTTCTCTCTCTATATTCACACTAACCTACCTCTTTTCCCCATCCCTGTCTGTGTGAACACGTCTTTCCTCCAACCACATACCCCTTCACCTCATCCACACTAACCTTCTCCTCGCCATCACATCCCATCATAGGCCATCGACTGCAACTCTAGCCGAGCCTCCTCCTACCTCGAGGGTTCCTCCTCGGCCCCACCAGCCACCCAGCTGAGACCCACTGTGCAGAAGGTAGTGGGGGGAGGTGCGGATGACGCTATTTTTGTCCTGGTCCCCAGCAAAGGGGTCCAGTGCTCCTCCCCCATCCAGAGTCCAGGGGGGTCTGGCGAGCCCAGGGAAAGGGCACTTCCACTCCTCTTGTCCCCCTCCTCCTGCCTGGCTCCTGCTGCACTAACCCCGAGCCCTCCAGCTGCATCTTCCCCTGGCATGTCTCCAGAGGGGGTACGGGAAGGGGTGGCACCTCGCACTCTGTGACCCCTGCCTCTGTCCCCAGCTGCTTCACGAGGAGCTGGCTCTGCAGTGGGTGGTCAGCAGCAGTGCCGTACGCGAGGCCATCCTCCAGCACGCCTGGTTCTTCTTCCAGCTCATGGTGAGACCCCCTCCTCCCTGCCTGGTGGCAAGAGACCCCCAGTGGAGCCCCTTCCTTTTTTAAAGAGAGAAGCCCCCTGGCCAGGCATAGTGGCTCACACCTGTAATCCCAACACTTTGGGAGGCCGAGGCGGGCGGATCACGAGGTCAGGAGATCGAGACCATCCTGGCTAACACGGTGAAACCCCGTCTCTACTAAAAATACAAAAAAAAATTAGCCAGGAGTGGTGGCAGGCGCCTGTAGTCCCAGATACTCGGGAGGCTGAGGCAGAAGAATGGCGTGCACCCAGGAGGAGGAGCTTGCAGTGAGCCGAGATCGTGCCACTGCACTCCAGCCTGGGCGACAGAGCGAGACTCTGTCTCAAAAAAAAAAAAAAAAAGAGAGAAGCCCCCTGAAATTGCACCTGAGATATTTGAGAAATGGCCCCAAGAGACCCCCCCCCACAACCTAGGGAGGTGAGAGGCACTTAAGGTGGTGTCTCCCTGGAGAGACTGTACCTGAAACCACCTTTAGAGAGAGCCACCCTTCCCCATGAGACTCTTTAAGGAGAGAAACCATTAAGAGACCCTCACCTAGACAGGAGACCTGCATCCTGCAGGAGATATTCCTGGATAGAGAGAGAAAGCTGTGGTCAGGCACAGTGGCTCACGCCTGTAATCCCAGCACTTTGGGAGGCCGAGGCGGGTGGATCACTTGAGGTCAGGAGTTTGAGACCAGCCTGGCCAACATGGTGAAACCCCATCTCTACTAAAAATACAAAAGTTAGCCGGGCGTAGTAGTGCGTGCCTGTAATCTCAGCTACATGGGAGACTGAGGCAGGAGAATCGCTTGAACCCAGTAGGCAGAGGTTGCAGTGAGTCAAGATTATGCCACTGCACACCAGCCTGGGTGACGGCAAGACTCCATCTCAAAAAAAAAAAAAAAAAAAGAGGGAAAGCTTTCTGATCAAGGTAAGACACATCCCTAAAACTCTTCAATAGGTTATTTGAAGCCTCCTTCCCAGGGCCTGCTGGCTGCATCCCCTCTGGGCCTCCAATAAAGCTCCCTTCAAATCCAGTGCCTCAAGCCCCACCCTTTGTCCCACCTCTGACTTGCCCTGGGGAGACCCGCATAAGCCCCTCCCACATCCTCTCAGCCTTCCCACTCTCTACACTTTGCCTGGGATGCTCACAGGATCTGCCCACGGCTTTCTTAAGCCCCATCCATAGGTCACAAGCCCCACCCACATCCCTCAGGCCCCAGCTTCTACCTGCAGCTACAGGGCTCAAACCTACCTTCAGCCCACCTCCATTGCTAATAAAGCCCCGCCCCTCCTGTCAAGCCTCCTCCACCCACAGCCCTTCAAGCCCCACCCACAGTCCTTCAAGCCCCACCCACAGCCCTTCAAGCCCCACCCACAGCCCTTCAAGTCCTACCCACAGCCCTTCAAATCCCACCCACAGCCCTCTCACCCCACCCCCAGGTGAAGAGTATGGCGCTGCACCTGCTGCTTGGCCAGCGACTAGACACACCCCGCAAGCTGCGCTTCCCCGGACGCTTCCTGGACGACATCACTGCCTTGGTGGGCTCTGTGGGCCTGGAGGTCATCACCCGTGTCCACAAGGTGAGAGATGCAGGGTCTCAATGTGGGAAGAAACCTGAGGGAGGACATAGAGCCAGCCAGGTGGGGGCGCCAATCCTGCCCAGTGTCTCCTGGCCGTAAGACCAGGAATCCACTTTGCTGGGTGGATCCGTTCATTCATTGTCTGTTTCTTAAGTGCCTGTAACGTGCACAGCCCTGTGCTGGGTGTAGCAATATAACAATAAACAAAACAGACCCAAATCCTTACCCTTGTGTAGCTTTTAAGGGGAGACTTGAAGAAAGTAAGGGATCATTCCATGCAATGTCTGGGGAAAGAGCATTCCAGGCAGGGGGAATAGCAGGTGCAAAGGCCCTGAGGCAAGACCATGCTTGGGCTAACAGTAGAGCAGTAAGGATGGCTAGATTGTAGTGAATGAGGAAGGAAATGAGGGTTGGTGGGAGCGGGGAAGTGACAAGGCAGATCCATTAACCCTTAGCACAGTCAGAGTATACAGCAAGTGCTCAATAAATGGATGTTGATGTTCTGAGACCCTGACAGTGGACTTGTTCAGGCCCTGGATTACCAATTCCAATGCCCTCAGGGGCTAGGCAGGCAATACTAATCATAATAGTAATAATATGGAGCATTTATTGAGCACTTACTGTATATCTAAGCATTTTATGTGGATCGTATCATTTTTTTGTTGTTGTTTTTTTTCTGAGACAGAGTTTCACTCTTGTTGTCCAGGCTGGAGTGCGATGGCGCAATCTTGGCTCACCACAACCTCCGCCTCCCAGGTTCAAGCGATTCTCCTGCCTCAGCCTCCCAAGTAGCTGGGATTACAGGCATGCACTACCACGCCCAGCTAATTTTGTATTTTCAGTAGAGACAGTGTTTCTCCATGTTGGCCTGGCTGGTCTGGAACTCCTAACCTCAGGTGATCTGCCCGCCTTGCCCTCCCAAAGTGCTGGGATTACAGGCGTGAGCCACCGCGCCCGGCCTTGGATCGTATCATTAAATTCTCACAACAACCCATGAAGTTAGTATTATTGTTATCTCCATTTTACTGATGGGGAAACTGAGGCATCGAATGAGTGGTAGCTTAACCTTGTACCACACGACTGAGAAGGGGCAGAATGAGGCTTTTGAATCTGAGCCACCAGCTCCAGACCCCTCACTGTCAATACCAGTTTCAGCTGGGAAAGTGGGGCTTATGGTGGAGCAGAGGGCAGATGTCCCACCTAACAGGGGTGACCATCACTCAATCCAGCCAACAGAAACCCTGCAGGAATGTGGCTCAGCTATGTCCAGATTGGCTGTTTTTGTTTTTGTTTGGAGATAGGGTCTTGCTGTGTTGCCCAGGCTGGAGCGCAGTGGTGCGATCATAGTTCACGGCAGCCTTGACCTCCTGGGCTCAAGGGATCCTCTCTCCTCAGCCTCCCAAGTAGCTGTGACCAGAGGCACAAGCCAACATACTTGGCAATTTTTTTTTTTTTTTTTTTTTTTTTTAGTAGAGTCAGGGTCTCACTATGTTGCCCAGACTGGTCTCCAACTCCTGAGCTCAAGGGCTTCTCCCACTTTGGCTTCCCAAAGTGCCGGGATTACAAGCGTGAACCATGCCTGGCCAGATTGACTGGGGTTTTTTTGTGTGTGGTTTTGTTTTTGTTTTTTTATTTGTTTTTGTTTGAGACACGGTCTTGCTCTGTTGTCCAGACTAGAGTGTGGTGGTGTGATCATGGCTCACTGTAGCCTCAAACTCCTGGGCTAAAGCAATCCTCCCACCTCAGCCTCCAGAGTAGCTGGGGCTACAGGTGCGTGCTACCATACCCACCTATTTTTGTGTGTGTGTGTGTGTGTAGAGATGGGGTCTTCCTATGTTCCCATGCCAGGAGATGGCCTGGTGTCTAAGGAGAAATGGGACCTCTGGATTTGCTGGGAACTTTCCAGATTTTTGAAATGGCGTTCTGGCCCAGGCCAACCCTTACACAATCACATGTGACCTCCAAGCTGGTCTCAAAGGTTCTGGCCTTGTCTCACTGGAGCCTTCCCAAAGACTGACATTCCCAGGGGCTGATCCAGATGGTGAGGAAACTACCCCAAGAAAGAGATCCAGAGAAGAACAATGCCTGTGATAATCCACTTTTTTTTTTGAGATGGAGTCTTGCTCTGTCCCCGAGGCTGGAGTGCAATGGCACGATCTCGGCTCACCGCAACCTCCGCCTCCCAGGTTCAAGCAATTCTCCTGCCTCAGCCTCCTGAGTAGCTGGGACTACAGGGGTGCGCCACCATGCCCGGCTAATTTTTTTTTTTTTTTGAGACGGAGTCTCATTCTGTCGCCCAGGCGGGAGTGCAGTGGCGCAATCTCAGCTCACTGCAACCTCCTCCTCCTGGGTTCAAGCGATTCTCCTGGCTCAGCCTCCCAAGTAGCTGGGACTATAGGCGCCCACCACCACCCCTGGCTAATTTTTTGTATTTTTAGTAGAGATGGGGTTTCACCATATTGGCCAGGCTGATCTCAAACTCCTGACCCTGTGATCCACCCACCTCAGCCTCCTAAAGTGCTAGGATTACAGGCAGGAGCCACCATGCCTGGCCGGGTTGCAGGGATTTGAGGGCCACTGAGGCTAACTTGTGAGGCCTCAGAGTGGCTCAAGAGAGTATGAGGGCAGAACGAATACCAGCTGGGCCTCAGGGCCACATCAGCCACCTCACTGTTCCCCGGACTTGCTAGGCACATCCTGCCTCAGGGCCTTTGCACTGACTGTTCCCTTAACCCAGGATGCCATTCTCCCCATGGCTCTTTGGTATCCTTCAGTATCTCTGAAAATGTCACCCCCGTCTGTTAAGGTTGGTGACAAGTAATTATAGGCTGGGCATGGTGGCTCACGCCTGTAATCCCAACACTTTAGGAGGCCGAGGAGGGCGGATCACCTGAGGTCAGGAGTTTGAGACCAGCCTTACCAACATGGTGAAACCCTGTCTCTACTAAAAACACAGAAGTTAGCCAGGTGTGGTGGTGCGCACCTGTAATCCCAGCTACTCAGAAGGCTGAGGCAGGAGAATCGCTTGAACCCAGGAGGCAGAGGTTGCAGTGAGCCGAGATCGCGCCATTGCACTATAGCCTGGGCGACAGAGCAAGACTCCGTCTCAAAAAAAAAAAAAAGAAAGAAAGAAAGAAAGAAAGAAAAGTAATTACAGTTTTTGCCATTGAAAGTAATTGCAAAACTGCAATTACTTTTGCACCAATTTAATATTGTCTTTGAAGCACATAGAACTATCTGAAATTCTTGTTTATTTTGTGTCTCCCTGCCCCCGCCCCACACACACACACTGGATTGAGTTGGACCCGCAGCAGGGATGGCATCTGCCTCATTCACAGGGATTGGCACAGAGTAGATGCTCAGTAAAGCTCACATTAAATGGTGCTGAGAGGCCGGGTGCGGTATCTCACGCCTGTAATCCCAGCACTTTGGGAAGCCAAGGGAAGCAGATCACCTGAGGTCAGGAGTTCGAGACCAGCCTGACCAATATGGCAAAACCCCATCTCTACTAAAAATAAAAAAATTAGCTAGGCGTGGTGGTGGGTGTCTGTAATCCAAGCTACTGGGGAAGCTGAGGCAGAAGAATCGCTTGAACCTGGGAGACAGAAGTTGCAGTGAGCCGAGATTGTGCCACTGTACTCCAGCCTTAGTGACAGAGCAAGACTCCATCTCAAAAAATAAATTAATTAATTAAAATTAAAATAAAAATAAATGATGGTAAGAGTCGATCAGTTAGGGCAGAGGCTAATTCGCTTCAACACAGTCACAAGTGATTTAAATAACCATAGCTTATTTCTGAGTATTAAGTAGGTTGTAGAGGCATCACTGTGTGGGCCTGGCCCTGGCAGTTCCCCGGCACCCACCTGCTTCTGCCATATAAGTGGCCACCTCACTTTCCCCTCAAATCCCATTGGCCAGAATTGGTCATGTGGTTCAACTGGAAGGGAGGCTGGGAAATATAGTCTCTCCCCAGCTCTGAACTCTGGACAGAGAGAGCGAGAGGATCTTGCAGGGAGTTAGCCCATATCTGCCTTGGTGTCTTAAGGAGCATGGGAGGGGAAGGCAGCCTGAGGAGGACAACCAGGAAGTCCCAGAGTCACCACAGCCCACAGACAAAGGCTTTGGGGCAGTGATACAGCTCCTAGGGGTGGCAGATGATCTTGGTGAGAGCCAAGCCCCTGTCGGGGCTGAGGTTTGGGTGTGTGGGTTGACAGGCACCTGTGTCCCCAGGATGTGGAGCTGGCCGAGCACCTCAACGCCAGCCTGGCTTTCTTCCTCAGTGACCTTCTGTCCCTGGTGGACCGGGGCTTTGTCTTCAGCCTGGTCCGGGCCCACTACAAGCAGGTAGGAGTGGGCGTGGGCAGGGTGGGCATGGCATGGATGGAAGGCGGAGCAATGTTGACATCACTGATGGCCACCCCTCTCCTGCAGGTGGCCACGCGGCTCCAGTCGTCCCCTAATCCAGCAGCCCTGCTGACCCTGCGCATGGAATTCACCCGCATCCTGTGCAGCCACGAGCACTACGTGACCCTCAACCTCCCCTGCTGCCCCCTGTCACCTCCAGCCTCGCCCTCCCCCTCTGTGTCCTCCACCACCTCCCAGGTGGGCTGCCTTCACTTCTGCCTCCTCTCTTTGACCTACAACCTCTCACCTTCAGTCCATCTCCTATGGTTCCCTCATCTCTGTCCCTTTCACGGTGGACCACTGCCTAGGTGAACTAATCCCTTATGTTTGACTTTTGACTTCTGACCCTTCACCTCTCTTGCCATTCTCAGCAATTTCCCAGAAGGACTAACCTCTGATTTCTCTCCCCTAAATCCTAACTCCCAGCCCAGTGTTCCATCTGCTATTTCTCAGTCCTCTGACTTTTGACTCCGTGCCCTGTTACATCACAGATGGGTTAACGTCAGCCCCTCACTTCTGGCCTTGAAACCCATGCCCACTGTCACCTCCAGATGACTTAACATCAGTCTTTCATCTGTGGCTATTGGCACCATGATTTCTGTCACCTCCAAGATGGCTTTAATGGTGACCTGCCACCTCTGACCCTTGACCGCTGGCATCCCCCATTTTTCCCCCACTCTGCAGAGCTCCACCTTCTCCAGCCAAGCCCCGGACCCCAAGGTGACCAGCATGTTCGAACTGAGTGGACCATTCCGGCAGCAGCACTTCCTAGCTGGGCTCCTGCTGACGGAGCTGGCACTGGCCCTCGAACCTGAGGCTGAAGGGTGAGCAGAGCTCCTGTCTAGCCCCAGGACAGGTGGGACAGTCCAGGAGCCATGTCCACCCTGTCCTGAGCACCTCATTACCCCATAGGGCATTCCTGTTGCACAAGAAGGCCATCAGTGCTGTGCACAGCCTGCTATGTGGCCATGACACTGACCCCCGCTACGCCGAGGCCACTGTGAAGGCTCGTGTGGCCGAGCTGTACCTGCCACTGCTATCGATTGCACGGGATACCTTGCCACGGCTGCATGACTTTGCTGGTCAGTGGGCCAGGGGAAGATGGGGTCACATGATCCAGGGACTTGGTCACAGAAGGCACAGGATAGTAAAGGTGGGAGAACACAGTCACTGGTATGAGTATAGACATTAGGATTAGCAGAGCAGGTTAAAGTGCTAGGACAGACTACTTAAGTCATAACATCTCTGAGCCTCAGGTTTCTCCCCTGTAATGGAGACAGTAACAACACCAACTACTTCATAAGGTTATGTGAAAATGTGGGGGGCTGTAGTACTGAGATATTGTCAGCCTACAATAGATGGGAGATATTATTGTACCATTTATTATTTTCTAAGAAGAGCAAAAAGTAGGGAACATCCAAGTGAGAAAATGATTGGAGTACATTCATTCACTCATTTTCAACAAACATTTATAGGCATTGTTGAGGGGGGTGGTATAACAGTGGTTGGAAGTACAAAATTGGGATTTGTGGGTGGATGCCTTTCATCAGTTTGGGGAAATTCTTAGCCATTCTCACTTGAATTTTTTTCTGCCTCATTTTCACTCTTCACTCCTGGGACTCCAATTACACATATATTAGGCCTTTTGATCACATCTGTTATGTCCTGTTCTGTTTTTTCCATTCTTTCCTCTCTGTAATCCAACTGGGAAGTTTTTTGTTCACTTGTCTATGAGTTCACCACTTATGTCTTCTGTTGTGCCCAGTGTCCTGTTGACCCCATCCGTTGAGTTCTTAATTTCAGATATTAGGCCGGGCGCAGTGGCTCATGCCTGTAATCCCAGCACTGCAGGAGGCTGAGGCAGGCAGATCACGAGGTCAGGAGATCGAGACCATCCTGGCTAACATGGTGAAACCCCGTCTCTACTAAAAATACAAAAAATTAGCTGGGCATGGTGGTGGGTGCCTGTAGTCCCAGCTACTCGGGAGGCTGAGGCAGGAGAATGGCATGAACACGGGAGGCGGAGCTTGCAGTGAGCTGAGATCGCACCACTGCACTCCAGCCTGGGCGACAGAGCGAGACTCCGTCTCAAAAAAAAAAAAAAAAAAAATTCAGATATTATATATTTTTTTCCAGTGTAAAATATCCATGTGATTTTTTTGTAGATCCCAATTCCCTGTTGAAATTCTCCATCTTTTGTCTCATTTTTGCTCATCTTTTCTTCTAACTTTAAAAGTTTCTGTTTGCTGACTTCCAGATTTGATCATCCATGTGTCTGCTTCTGTTGTCTCTTTTTCTCTCTTATCCACCACATTTTCCTGCCTCATCCCTTGCCTTGTAGTTTTTTATTATATTCTGGACATTGTATAAAAAAGAACCATAGGGATGAAGCAATGTCATCTTTGCCCAGTGAGAAGTGTCCTTTCCCTCTCTTAGGCAGATAGGATAACAGGCTGATCACCTCAGTCCAATCAGGAATTGAGCTAGGCTGGACTGGGCTAGAGCTTTATTTACACTCAGTCTACCTTTTGTTTCAGGAGACTCTAGGGCAAGATCTGCTATATATTTGTTGACAACTCCTCCCTCTGTTGAGACTTTTTAGGGGAGAGAATGGGGGTTACCTTTTTAAGAGCATAGACTTGGGAACCAGACTGTTGAGGATAAAATTGTAGCTTTTGGGCTGGGCACATGTGGTTCATACCTGTAATCCCAGCACTTTGGGAGGCCGAGGCAGGTGGATCACCTGAGGTCAGGAGATCGAGACCAGCCTGGACAACATGGTAAAACCCTGTCTGTCCCAAAAATACAAACATTAGCTCGACGTGGTGGTGGGCACCGGTAATCCAAGCTACTTGGGAGGCTGAGGCAGGAGTATCGCTTGAACCTGGGAGATGGAGGTCGCAGTGAGCCGAGATTGTGCCATTGCACTCCAGCCTGGGCAACAAGAGCAAAACTCTGTCTCAAAAAAAAAACAAAAAACAAAACAAAAAAATTGTAGCTCTTCCATTTACCTGCTATGTGACCCTGGGCAAGTAACTTAACCTCACTGTACCTCAATTTCTTCGTCCATAAAGTGGGACTAATGAAAGTACTTATCTCCATATGGTTGTTTTGATGATTAAGAGTAAATTTTTTTTTTTTTTTTGAGACAGAGTCTCGCTCTTGCCCAGGCTGGAGTGCAGTGGCGCTATCTCGGCTCACTGCAAGCTCTGCCTCCTGGGTTGACACCATTCTCCTGCTTCAGCCTCCCGAGTAGCTGGGACTACAGGCGCCCGTCACCACGCCTGACTAGTTTTTTTTGTATTTTTAGGAGAGACAGGTTTCACTGTATTAACCAGGATGGTCTCGATCTCCTGACCTTGTGATCCTCCCGCCTCGACATCACAAAGTGCTGGGATTACAGGCGTGAGCCACCACGCCCAGCCGATTAACAGTGATTTTTTTAAGCCGGGTGCAGTGGCTCATGCCTGTAGTCCCAGCACTTTGGGAGGCTGAGGTGGGCGGATCACAAGGTCAGGAGTTTGAGACCAGCCTGACCAACATGGTGAAACCCAGTCTCTACTAAAAATACAAAAAAAAAAATTAGGCAGGCATGATGCTGCATGCCTGTAATCCCAGCTACTTAGGATGCTGAGGCAGGAGAATCACTTGAACCCGGGAGGCAGAGGTTGCAGTGAGCCGAGATCGCGTCACTGCACTCCAGCCTAGGCAACAGAGCAAGACTCCATCTCAAAAAAAAAAAAAAAAAAAAAAAAAAACCGGGCGCAGTGGCTCATGCCTGTAATCTCAGCACTTTGGGAGGCCGAGGCGGGCAGATCATGAGGTCAGGAGTTCAAGACCAGCCTGGCCAACATAGTGAAACCCCATCTCTACTAAAAATACAAAAATTAGCCAGGCATGGTGGCACGCACCTGCAGTCCCAGCTACTTGGGAGGCTGAGGCAGGAGAATCACTAGAACCTGGGAGGCGGAGGTTGTGGTGAGCCAGGATCATTCTACTGCACTCCAGCCTGGGCAACAGAGTGAGACTCCGCCTCAAAAAAAAAAAAAAAAAAAAAAGTGATTTTTTTTTTTTCTTGAGCTCCTATGATTTGAAAGAGTGAATATTTTTAAAGTCCTTAGAACAGCATCTGGCACATAGGAGATACCATATAAGTGCTGATTGATGCTATAGTAATAACATCAAGGCCAGGTGCAGTGGCTCATACCTGTAATCCCAGCACTTTGGGAGTCCAAGGTGGGCGGATCACTTGAGTCCAGGAGTTGAGGACCAGCCTAGACAACCTAGTGAGACCACGTCTCTGCAAAAACTACAAAAATTAGCTGGGCGTGGCAGCACGCACCTGCAGTTCCAACTACTCAGGAGGCTGAGGTGGGAGGATCACTTGAGTTCAGGAGGTTGAGGCTGCAGTAAGCCAAGATTGTGCCACTGCACTCCAGCCTGGGTGACAGAGTGAGATCCTGTCTGAAAAAAATAAAATAAAATTGGCCAAGTGCAGTGGCTCACGCCTGTAATCCTAATACTTTGGGAGGCCGAGGCGGGCAGATCATTCGAGGTCAGGAGTTTGAAACCAGTCTGGCCAATGTGGTAAAACCCCATCTCTACTAAAAATACAAAAATTAGCCATGCACGGTGGCGCGCACCTGTAATACCAGCTACTCGGGAGGCTGAGGCACGAGAATTGCTTGAACCCGGGAGGCAGAGGTCGCAGTGGGCCAAGATGGCGCCACTGTACTCCAGCTTATGTGACAAAGCAAGACTGTATCCAAAAAAAAATAAAATAGGCCAGGCGCCATGGCTCATGCCTATAGTCCCAGCACTTTGGAAGGCTGAGACGGGCAGATCACAAGGTCAGGAGTTTGAGACTAGCCTGGCCAACATGGTGAAACCCCGTCTCTACTAAAAATACAAAAATTAGCCGGGTGTGGTGGCGGGTGCCTGTAATCACAGCTACTCCGGAAGCTGAGGCAGGAGAATTGCTTGAACCTGGGGGGCGGAGGTTGCAGTGAGCTGAGATCAGGCCACTGTACTCCAGCCGGGGCAACAGAGCAAGACTCCGTCTCAAAAAACAATAATAAATAAAATAAGTAAAATAAGTGAATTCCAGGAGCAGACAACCAGAAACCCACTCTTGGGGACTGTTGTGAGGGAAGACTTCTTTTTTTTTTTTTTTTTGAGACAGAGTGTCGCTCTGTTGCCCAGGCTGGAGTGCAGTGGCGCGATCTCGGCTCACTGTAACCTCCACCTCCCAGGTTCAAGAGATTCTCGTGCCACAGCCTCCCGAGTAGCTGGGATTACAGGCGCCCGCCACCACACCCAGCTAATTTTTTGTAATTTTAGTAGAGATGGGATTTTGCCACGTTGGCCAGGCTGGTCTCGAACTCCTGACCTCAGGTGATCCACCCGCCTCTGCCTCCCAAAGTGCTGGTATTACAGGCGTGAGCCACTGTGCCTGGCCATGAGGGAAGACTTCTGAAATTTGAGACAGGGACAGCACTTACCAAGGGTTTATCTTTCTTTCCCTCTGTCTTTCCCTGCCAGAGGGCCCAGGTCAGCGGTCAAGACTGGCCTCAATGCTTGACTCAGACACAGAAGGCGAAGGGGACATTGCGGGTACCATCAACCCCTCTGTGGCCATGGCCATTGCTGGTGGCCCCCTAGCCCCTGGCTCCCGGGCCAGCATCTCCCAGGGGCCACCAACGGTGAGTAGGGAGGCTTGTCCCCATAGACATCATCCACTTTGAATGAGAGAAGTCATGTATCAAGATACAGATTGGCCAGGATTCATCTCACATGGAGAAAATGGAAATTGACTTTGATTCCTCTCTGGCCCCAGGCTTCTCGCGCAGGCTGTGCCCTCTCTGCTGAGTCAAGCCGGACCTTGCTGGCGTGTGTGCTGTGGGTGCTGAAAAACACCGAGCCGGCGCTCCTGCAGCGCTGGGCCACTGACCTGACACTCCCCCAGCTGGGACGTCTGTTGGATTTGCTGTACCTTTGCCTAGCTGCCTTTGAGTACAAGGTTTGAGGGCGTGGGCAGGAGATGATGGAGGAGGCAGGCTAAGGATGTACCCAGGGACCCAGCGTGCTGCGGGCTGAGTGGGAAGGGGTGGACTGTCTTTGTGCAGAGGACTCTGTGGGACTGAGAGGAAAGGGGTGGACTGTTTCTGTGCTGAGGCAAGGAATAAAGTCAGAAGTGCCTTTGTGAATAGAATTTGGAAGGTGGAGGCCGGGTGCAGTGGCTCACACCTGTAATCCCAGCACTTTGGGAGGCCGAGGCAGGTGGATCGCCTGAGGTCAGGAGTTCAAGAGCAGTCTGGCCAACATACTGAAACCCCGTCTCTACTAAAAATACAAAATAATAGCTGGGTGTGGTGGCGCGCACCTGTAGTCCCAGCTACTTGGGAGGCTGAGACAGGAGAATCACTTGAACCCGGGAGGTGGAGGTTGCAGTGAGCTGAGATTGTGCCACTGCACACCAGCCTGGGCAACAGAGTGAGACTCCATCTCAAAAAAAAAAAAGAAGAAAAGAAATTTTTTTAAAACAGGGCCTGGTGCGGTGGCTCACGCCTGTAATCCCAGCACTTGAGGAGGCTAAGGCAGGCAAACTGCTTGAGCCCACGAGTTTGAGACCAGCCTGGGCAGCATGGTAAAACCCCATCTCTACGAAAAATACAAAAATTACCTGAGCATGGTGGCACATGCTGGTAGTCCCAGCTATGGAAGTGGCTGAGGTGGATTGCCTGAGCCCAGGAGGTGGAGGTTGCAATGAGCCAAGATCATGCCACTGCTCTTCACCCTGGGCGACAGAATGAGAGAGACTCTGTTTCAAGAAAAAAAAAAAATTTTTTTTTTGGTAAGTGCTAAGAATTTAGAGGAAAAAGGCAATCTGTCTTTAAGCACAGGGGCCCGGAGGTGAGAAAGAGCACAAAGAAAGGGATGGGGCCAGCCCAGGTCCCCCCGAAAAGAGCAGAGTCAGCCTGGAACCCCAGTTCTCTGCACCCCCAGGGGAAAAAGGCCTTTGAACGCATCAACAGCCTCACATTCAAAAAATCTCTGGATATGAAGGCGCGGCTAGAGGAAGCCATTCTGGGTACCATCGGAGCTCGACAAGAAATGGTTCGGCGAAGTCGTGGTAAGAGGGTGACATACCCACGTGTCCCCATCCCACCAGCTGCTCCCACCTTGTGTCAAGGGGACCCCATGAAGGGGGCCATCCCTAGCTTACTTTCTGCCTCACTTTTCCTGGAGAGAAGTCCACAAATCATCACCGTACACATGCGCCTGTGCGTCCCCATCTGTCACTCGTGTTTGCCCCTGTGCGTCCACCCGGCAGGCTTCTGCTCCACCCAGTGCCCTCATGGGTCAGCCCACCTGAATATCTTCATGCCTGTGCATTTCTCCTGATGTTCACGTGTGCCCTGTGTTTTTACGCATCTGTGATCGTGCACCCACGCGTCTCAGAGAGGAGCCCGTTTGGGAATCCGGAGAATGTGCGCTGGCGGAAGAGCGTCACACACTGGAAGCAAACCTCAGACCGCGTGGACAAGTAGGTGTGGGCAGGAGGGTGTCTGCTGAGTTCAGAACAGTTTGGGCCGAGGCAGGAGGATTGCTTGAGTCCAGGAGTTCGAGACCAGCCTGGGCAACATAGTAAGACCCTCTCTACCAAAAATTTAAAAATTAGCCGGGCATGGGCCGGGCGCAGTGGCTCATGCCTGTAATCCCAGCACTTTGGGAGGCCGAGGCAGGCGGATCACAAGATCAGGAGATCGAGACCATCCTGGCTAACGGTGAAACCTTGTCTCTACTAAAAAATATATAAAAAATAAGCCAGGTGTGGTGGCAGGTGCCTGTAGTCCCAGCTACTAGCGAGGCTGAGGCAGGAGAATGGTGTGAACCCGGGAGGCGGAGCTTACAGTGAGCCGAGATCGCGCCACTGCACTCCAGCCTGGGTGACAGAGCGAGACTCCATCTCAAAAAAAAAAAAAAAAAATTAGCCAGGCATGGTGGCATGTGCCTGTGGTCCCAGCCACTCATGAGTCTGAGGTGGGAGAATGACTTGAGCCTGGGAGGTTGAGGCTGCAGTGAGCTGGTGATCACACCACTGCACTCCAGCCTGGGCAACAGAGCAAGACCCTGTCTCAGAAAACAAAAAAAACAAAAACAAAAAACAGAACAGCTTCCAGGGAGCCAGTGCCCCCTGGGCTGCCAGGGGAAGGAGAGAGCTCAGCCATGGAGTAGGATCTCACCCCGAGTGGGCCCCCAAGACCTCCTTTCCCCTTCCAGGACCAAGGATGAAATGGAACACGAGGCCTTGGTGGAAGGGAACCTGGCAACCGAGGCAAGCCTAGTGGTTCTGGACACACTGGAGATCATCGTGCAGGTAGGGCTTGATCCAGCATCTGCCTTGTGCTCTGAGCCCAACTGCAGTGCCCTGTGGTCTCTGACTCCATAATCCCTCTCCTTCCCTTTCCCCATAACCACCCTAGGCTCTAACACCTGGATTTCTGACCCCCTTCCCTCCAGACGGTGATGCTTTCAGAAGCCCGGGAGAGCGTCTTGGGGGCAGTGCTGAAGGTTGTGCTGTACAGCCTGGGCAGTGCCCAGAGTGCCCTCTTCTTGCAGCATGGCCTGGCCACCCAGAGGGCCCTTGTGTCCAAGGTGAGCACCACTCAACAACCATGATTCTTAGAAAAACAGTAGCAGCTCTAGGCTGAGCACAGTGGCTCATGCCTCTAATCCCAGCACTTTGGGAGGCTGAGGTGGGAGGATCGCTTGAGGCCAGGAGTTTGAGACCAACCTGGGCAACATAGTGAGGCCCCTGTCTCTACAAAAAAATTAAAAATTAGCTAGGACTAGGCACGGTGGCTCACACCTGTAATCCCAGCACTTTGGGAGGCTGAGGCAGGAAGATCATGTGAGCCTAGGAGTTCGAGACCAGCCTGGGCAACACGGTGAGACCCCATTTCTACAAAAAAATAAACTGAGTGTGGTGGCATGCACCTGTGGTCCTAGCTACTCGGAAGGCTGAGGATCACTTGAGCCCGGGAGGTCAAGCCTACAGTGAGCCATGATCGTGCCACTGGACTCCAGCCTGGGCAACACAGTGAGAGCCTGTCTCAAAAAAAAAAAAAAAAAATGTTAGCCAGAGAGGATGGCACACACCACCTGAGATCCCAGCTACTAGGGAGCTACTAGGGAGGCTGAGGCAGGAGGATGGCTTGAGCCTGGGAGTTCAAAGCTGCAGTGAGCTGTGATTGTGCCACTGCACTCCAGCCTGGGAGACAAGAGCAAAACTCCGTCTCAAAAAAAAAAAAAAAAAAGGAGCTCATTCATTGAGCACTTACTGTGTGCTCTGCAACTCCATGGAGCTGACTGCTTTGCCACAGTTTACAGTGGAAGGAAGGCAGAATCAGAGTGGCCAAGTCACTCACCTGGGGTCACACAGCAAGGGGCTTAAACCCAGGTCTGACTCCGAACCCAGTGGTACTTGGCCAAAGAGGACAGAACACAAACCCCTGCCCAAGCAGTCCTCATTTGGGCCAGTCCCCTTCTGAGCCAGAACGGGGAGGGGCTGGACAGTGTCTGTCTGGGTCCTTGGGGGCAGTTCCCGGAGCTGCTGTTCGAGGAGGACACGGAGCTGTGTGCCGACCTGTGCCTGAGGCTCCTACGACACTGTGGCAGCCGCATCAGCACCATCCGCACGCACGCCAGCGCCTCGCTGTACCTGCTCATGCGACAGAACTTCGAGATCGGCCACGTGAGTGGGGGCTAGGAGGCATGGTCCACACATGGCTCTGGTCAGGGTGGCCAGTGGGGTCTCAACCATACAGGGAGTGAGGGAGGGGGAGACAGTCATTGAGCATAATGAGCAGGAGGAGGGCTCAGAATGCAATTGGGGGTCAGGTGCCGTGGCTCATTCCTGTAATCCCAGCACTTTGGGAGGCTGAGGTGAGAGGATCACTTGAGGCCAGGAGTTTGAGGCTGCAGTGGGCCACGACTGTGCCACTGCACTCCAGCCTGAGCAAGAGTGAGACCTTGTCTCAATAAAAAAAAAAAAAAAAAAAAAAGGGCCAGGCACAGTGGCTCATGCCTGTAATCTCAGCACTTTGGGAAGCTGAGGCAGGTGGATCACTTGAAGTCAGGAGTTCGAGACCAGCCCAGCCAACATGATGGAACCCCGCATCTCTACTAAAAATACAAAAATTAGCTGGGCATGGTGGCGGGTGCCTGTAATCCCAGCTACTTGGAAGGCTGAGACACGAGAATCGCTTGAACCTGAGAGGCGGAGGTTGCAGTGAGCCAAGATTGCACCACTGCATTCTAGCCTAAGTGATAAAGTGACACTCAGTCTCAAAAAAAAAAAAAAAGAAAGAAAGAAAGAAAAGAAAAAATGCTGGGCGCAGTGGCTCACACCTGTAATCCCAGCATTTTGGGAGGCCTAGGCAGGTGAATCACTTGAGTTCAGGAGTTCGAGACCAGCATAGCCAACACAGTGAAACCCTGTCTCTACCAAAAATACAAAAATTAGTAGGGCGTGGTGGCATATGCCTGCAGTCCCAGCTACTCGGGAGGCTGAGGCAGGAGAATTGCCTGAACTCGGGAGATGGAGGTTGCAGTGAGCTGAGATCATGCCACTGCACTCCAGCCTGGGCGACAGAGTGAGACCCCCATCTCAAAAAAAATAAAGAACGCAAGGGCCATGTCGGCAGGTTGAGCAGACTCTGATGTGGGGTCTGGGGTCTGAGACTCCCGGCTCCACCCTCCCGCCCCTGTCCCTGCAGAACTTTGCCCGTGTGAAGATGCAGGTCACCATGTCTCTCTCGTCCCTGGTGGGGACGACGCAGAACTTCAGTGAAGAGCACCTGCGACGTTCACTCAAAACCATCCTCACCTATGCTGAGGAGGACATGGGGCTGCGGGACAGCACCTTCGCAGAGCAGGTGACACCTGCTGGGTCCCCGCCCCGCCTCCCCTTCATATAACTCCCAACCCCACCACCTTGGCTCCCTTCACTTCCTAATGCTCTCATTGGCCCCTGGACGTTCCCCGGCTCCAGGTCCAGGACCTGATGTTCAACCTGCACATGATCCTGACGGACACGGTGAAGATGAAGGAACACCAGGAGGACCCTGAGATGCTCATCGACCTCATGTACAGGTGAGGTGGGCCAGCTGGCACCTTCAGCCACGCCCACGCCCCAACAGGTGCAGGGAGAACAGGGATGAGAGTAGATGTCTAAGGAGGTGAGGAGGGAGCAGGGGAGCATACAGTCCCTAACAGAGGCAAGTGAGGGGGACAGGTGAGCAGACAGCTGAGCAGACAGGTGAGGGGGACAGGTGAGCAGACAGCTGAGCAGACAGGTGAGGGGGACAGGGGAGCAGACAGGTAAGGGGGATAGGGGAGCAGACAGGTGAGGGGGACAGGTGAGCAGACATGAGGGCACAAGTAAGGAGAGAACAGATGAGCAAACAGGTAAAGAGGATGCCAGGAGAATGTACTGATGAGGATGACAGATGAGAGCCAGGACAGGTGAGGGGGACAGGTGAGGTGCTTACAGGTGAAGGGAAATGAGATCCAGAGAGTAGACCCATTGAGGAGTGTAGGAGAGGCGGACGGGTGATGGAGATGGGGGAGGTGGGGCATATGGGAGGGATAGGTGGATAGACAAGTGAGATGGTGCACAAGGAAGGGGAAATAGTGAGTTCAGGTGACTCAAGTTTCCACAGGTAGAGTCAACTCAAGAGCGGAGGGTCAAGTGAGAAATGAAAAGGTGGGGCAGGGGGGTGAAGGGATAGACAGGTGAGGGGTTGGATAAGCGAGGAGACAGGTGAATAGAGGAAGCGGGGAGATGCTGCATAGGTGAGGAGACAGGTGAGTAGGATGGATGGGTGAGGAGACAGGTAAGTGGGAAGACAGGAAAAGGGTTGGACAGGCAGGTGAGTGGGTGAAGAAATGGACAGGTGAGGACACAAGTGAGGGGGTGGACATGTGAGGACACAGGTGACAGGATAGACAGGTGAGGGGATGGACAGGTCAGGAGGTAAAGAAGTCAGGAGGTGAACAGGTGAGGAGACAGGTGAAGGGATGGACTGGTGAAGAGATGGCCAGATGAGAAGATGAACAGGTGAGGAGGTGGACAGATAAGGAGACAGCTGAAGGGATGGCCAGGTGAGGTGAACAGGTGAGGGGGTGGACAGGTGAAGAGACAGTGAAAGGATGGACAGGTGAGGGGTAGATAGGTAAAGGGGTGGACAGATGAGGGGATAGACAGGCGAAGGAATGGACAGGTGAGAGGGTGAACAGGTGAGGGGACAGACAGGTGAAGGGATGGACAGGTGAAGGGATGGACAGGTGAGGGGATGCACAGGTGAGGGGGTGGACAGGTAAGGGGATGGGCAGGTGAAGGGATGGACAGGTGAGGGGGTGGACAGGTGAGGGGATAGACAGGTGAGGGGGTGGACAGGTGAAGGGGTGAACAGGCAAGGAGACAGGTGAAGGGGTGAACAGGCAAGGAGACAGGTGAAGGGATGGACTGGTGAAGAGATGGCCAGATGAGAAGATGAACAAGTGAGGAGGTGGACAGATAAGGAGACAGGTGAAGGGATGGCCAAGTGAGATGAACAGGTGAGGGGTGGACAGGTGAAGAGACAGTGAGGGGATGAACAGGTGAGGGGTGGACAGGTGAAGAGACAGTGAGGGGATGGACAGGTGAGGGGTGGACAGATGAGGGGACAAACAGCTGAAGGGATGGACAGGTGAGAGGGTGGGCAGGTGAGGGGTGGACAGGTGAGAGAGTGGACAGGTAAGGGGATAGACAGGTGAGAGGTGGACAGGTGAGAAGGTGGGCAGGTGAGGGGATAGACAAGTGAAGGGATGGACAGGTGAGAGGGTGGACAGGTGAGACGGTGGACAGGTGAGAAGGTGGGCAGGTGAGGGATGGGCAGGTGAGAGGGTGGACAGGTGAGGGCGGGCAGGTGAGAGGGTGGACAGGTAAGGGGATAGACAGGTGAGAAGGTGGACAGTTGAGGGGGTGGACAGGTGAGGGGGTGGACAGGTGAGGGGATAGACAGGTGAAGGGATGGACAGGTGAGGGGGTGGACAGGTGAGAGGGTGGGCAGGTGAGGGGATAGACAAGTGAAGGGATGGACAGGTGAGAGGGTGGACAGTGAGGGGGTGGACAGGTGAGGGGGTGGACAGGTGAGGGGATAGACAGGTGAAGGGATGGACAGGTGAGGGGATAGACAAGTGAAGGGATGGACAGGTGAGGGGCTGGACAGGTGAGGGGATAGACAGGTGAAGGGATGGACAGGTGAGAGGGTGGACAGGTGAGGGGATAGACAAGTGAAGGGATGGACAGGTGAGGGGGTGGACAGGTGAGGGGATAGACAGGTGAAGGGATGGACAGGTGAGAGGGTGGACAGGTGAGGGGATAGACAAGTGAAGGGACGGACAGGTGAGGGGGTGGACAGGTGAGGGGATAGACAGGTGAGTAGGATACACGTGAGGAGACTGGCTGGTCAGTGGGAGACAGCAGGACAAGTGAGGAGGAAGATGACTACAGGAATACGTAAGGTAGGCAGGGGAGGAGACAGGTGAAGACAGATGACTGGCCAGCAGGTAAGAAAATAGGCGAAGGGGAAGACAGGTGGGGAGATAGATGAGGGATGGCCAGGTGAGGGAATGAGTGAGGGGATGGGGTACAGGTGAGGAGATTGGCTGGTCCTTGGGGCGGACATGGGGGTAACCAGTGAAGAGAATGGACAAGTGGGAGGCAGGTGGGGAGGACCAGGTGAGTCCCCTCCTCACATCCCCCCTCACCTGGACTCCAGAATTGCCCGGGGCTACCAGGGCTCACCGGACCTTCGGCTGACCTGGTTGCAGAACATGGCCGGGAAGCACGCGGAGCTGGGCAACCACGCCGAGGCCGCCCAGTGCATGGTGCACGCGGCCGCCCTCGTGGCTGAGTACCTCGCCCTGCTCGAGGACCACCGCCACCTGCCCGTGGGCTGCGTTTCCTTCCAGGTGAGTGGCCAGGGGTTGGCAGGTGGCGGACGGCACGAGTGCAGTGGGGACCAGGGTCTGACGCCACCTCTCCCACCCCAGAACATCTCATCCAACGTGCTAGAGGAGTCCGCCATCTCCGACGACATCCTGTCGCCCGACGAGGAGGGCTTCTGCTCCGGGAAGCACTTCACTGAGCTGGGGCTGGTAGGGTTGCTGGAACAGGCAGCCGGCTACTTCACCATGGTGAGGCCTTGGGGACTGGGTGCAGGAGAGGGGGCTCGGGCCAGGGAGGTGCCATCAGATCTGCTTCCTAGACCCTTCCAGCAGGGGATTTAGAAAGAAGGAGAATAGGCTGGGCGCGGTGGCTCACGCCTGTAACCCCAGCACTTTGGGAGGCGGAGGCAGGCAGGTCATGAGGCCAGGAGTTCGAGACCAGCCTGGCCAGCATGGTGAAACCCTGTCTCTACTAAAAATACAAAAATTAGCCGGGCGTGGTGGCGCACGGCTGTAATCCCAGCTACTCGGGAGGCTGAGGCAGGAGAATCGCTTGACCCAGGGAGGCAGAGGTTGCAGTGAGCCAGAATTGCGCCACTGCACTCCAGCCTAGGTGACAGAGTGAGACTCTGTCTCAAAAAAAAAAAAAAAAAAAAGGAAGGAGAATTGGGTTTCTCAGAGGCCCTGTTATTTGCCTATGTCTCCATGAGACCCTTGATGCAGGCCTGATATAGCAAGCCTTACATACATTAGAGATGCTTTCAATTTTCCTTTCTTTTCTTTTTTCCTTTCTTGTTTTTTTGTTTGTTTGTTTTTGACAGAGTCTTGCTCTTTTGCCCAGGCTGGTGTACAGTGGTGTGATTGTAGCTCACTCAGCCTCGAACTCCTGAGCTCAAGTAATCCTCCCACCTCAGCCTCCCAAGTAGCTGGGAACACAGGCACATGCCACCATGCCTGGCCAATTTTTAAATTATTATATATATTTTTTCTTTGTGATATTTTTTGAGACAGGACCTCCATTCTGTCACCTAGGCTGGAGTGCGGTGGCGTGATCATGGCTCACTACAACCTCGGCCTCCAGGGCTCAGGTGATTCTCCCACCCTGGCCTCCTGAGTAGCTGGGACTACAGGCACACATCACTATGTCCGGCTAATTTTTTGTATTTTTTTGTAGAGACGGGGTTTTGCCATGTTTCCCAGGCTGGTCTTGAACTCCTGAGCTCAAGTGATCTGCCCGCTTCAAACTCCCAAAGTCATGGGATTACAGGTGTTGTGCCACTACACCCTGCCAATTTTTAATTTTTTCATAGAGAGGGAGTCTTACTATGTTGCCCAGGCTGGTCTCAAACTCCTGGCCTCACTCAATCCTCCCACCCAAGCCTCCCAAGTAGCTGGGACACCCAGCAATGCTTGAAACTTTCTATACTAAAATAAAAATGAGTCAGGTGCAGTGGCTCATGCCTGTAATCCCAGCACTTTGGGAGGCTGAAGCAGGAGGATCACTTGAGGCCAGGAGTTCAAGACCAGCCTGGGCAACATGGCAAACCCTGTCTCTACAAAAAAATACAAGAAATTAGCTGGGTGTGGTGGCATGCACCTGTAGTCCCAGCTACTCAGGAAGCTTGAAGCGGGAGGATCACTGGAGCCCAGGAGGTTGGGGCTACAATGAGTTGTAATCGTGCCACTGTACTCCAACCTATGTGACAGAGTGAAACCTTGTCTCAAAAAATAAATAAAATAAAGATTTGGGATATTCGCATGCATCTTCAAGTTGGAGAAGCTCCAGCTTAAAGCAAATCCCAGGCTGGGCGCAGTGGCTGACTCCTGTAATCCCAGCACTTTGGGAAGCCAAGGCAGGCGGATCACGAGGTCAGGAGTTCAAGAATAGCCTGGCCAACATGGTGAAACCCCATGTCTACTAAAAATACAAAAATTAGCTGGGCATGGTGGCAGGTGTCTGTAATCCCAGCTACTCGGGATGAGACTCGCTTGAACCCGGGAGGCGGAGGTTGCAGTGAGCTGAGATCATGCCCACTGCACTCCAGCCTGACAGACAGAGCAAGACTCTGTCTCCAAAAACAAAAAACAAAAAAAAAAAAACCACCACAAATCCCAGCTATTTTCCCACCACTCCCACAAGTACCCCCTGTGCAACCCTTCCTGATAAAGACCCTTTTATAAAACTTTTATCCCGCGTGGCCAAGTTAATGGTCATCCTTTATTTCATTGCACTCTATATTTAGATGTCCCAGATGATCTCTGATGTATCTTTTCTGGGGTGACTTGGTTTGAATCAGGATCCATTAAGGGCCCACAATGGCTGTCGCTGATCTGTATCCTAAGTCTCTTTTTTCTTTCTTTCTTTTTTTTTTCTGAGACAGGGTCTTACTCTCTCACCCAGGCTGGAGTGCAGCCTGGCTCACTGCAGCCTCTATGTCCTCGGCTCAGGTGATCCTCCCACCTCAGCCTCCTGAGTAGCTGGGACTATAAGTGCGCACCACCACACCCAACTAATTTTTTTTTCTTCGTTCATTTTTTTTTTTTAAGAGATGGGATCTTGCTATGTTGCCCAGGCTGGGCTTGAACTCCTAGACTCATGCAACCCTCTCGCCTCGGCCTTCCAAAGTGCTGGGATTACAGGCGTGAGCCAGCATGCCCGGCAACTGATTTTCCACTGTGGAAAAGGGGTTTTCTTCTCTAGTTTGCTTGTTTGTATGAGGGCAGTTGGTGGTTTCTACATTTAACTTGCAGGAGCCCTGGGGCCTTTGCTCCGTGTGTTTTTCTGGTTTGTGTGGGGCTGGCTGTGTCCATGTGATGTCATTTTACCTGTTTCTCAGTTCCTCACATTTTGGGGAACTGGCAGTTACATTTGAGAGCTCAGTGAGATTCAAGGTCACACTTGAAGTCAGGTGTTCCAGTGAGATTTCTTCTGTGGTGCTGGCCCTTTAGTGACATTATTTTCATTATTGTCACTTTGCTGGATTCTTGGAGACGAAGGCCTCAGAGGAAGGGCCAGGTGCGGTGGCTCACGCTTGTGATCCCAGCACTTTGGGAGGCCGGGGCGGGCAGATCACTTGAGGTCGGGAGTTCAAGACCAGCTTGGGCAACATAGAGAAACCCTGCCTCTACAAAAAAAAAAAAAAATACAAAAAATTAGCTGGGCATGGGCGCAGTGGCTCATGCCTGTAATCCCAGCACTTTGGAGGCCGAGGCAGGCGGATCACGAGGTCAGGAGTTTGAGACCAGCCTGGCCAATATAGTGAAACCCCATCTCTACTAAAAATACAAATATGGCTGGGTGCAGTGGCTCACGCCTGTAATCCCGGCACTTTGAGAGGTCGAGGTGGGTAGATCACAAGGTCAGGAGTTCGAGACCAGCCTGGCCAATATGGTGAAACCCCGTCTCTACTAAAAATGCAAAAAAAGTAGCTGGGCGTGGTGGCACATGCCTGTAATCCCAGCTATTAAGTAGGATGAGGCAGGAGAATTGCTTGAACCCAGGAGGCAGAGGTTGCAGTGAGCCGAGATCATACCACTGGACTGCAGCCATCTCAAAAAAAAAAATACACGGGTGGGGTTAAGGGGAGGGATAGCATTAGAAGAAGTATCTAATGTAGGTGACAGGTTGATGGGTGCAGCAAACCACCATGGCACGTGTATACCTATGTAACAAAACTGCACGTTCTGCGCATGTACCCCAAAGTATTAAAAAAAAGATTACGAAAAAAAACCATACACACACAAAAGCCTCAGGGGAAGAAACCAGGGGGTGGACACAGGCCTTCTGACAGTCAGCAAACCTCACAGGATGCCTGTTTTGAGCCAGGCTTGATGCCAGCACCCGCTGGGGGTGAGGGGCATATTACCACATGCCAGAAGGCAGTTGGGCATGGAGGTCATGGGCACAGGGCCAGATGGGTGGGTGTTTGGGTCTTGGCCCTGGGGAATGCCTCTGTCTCTGAGACTCACTTTCCTCTTTGAGGAATAGGAAAAAAAAACTGCTTCTCCCATCAATGAGGGAAGACAGATGGGTGAAGTGCAGATGTACATCGTACCTGTGCCATAGAATATTCTTGCTAAAAGTGGTGAAGGGCTGGGAGAGTGGTGGCTCACACCTGTAATCCCAGCTAATCAAGAGGCCAAGGCAGGAGGATCACTTGAGCCCAGGAGTTCAAGACCAACTAGGGCAATATAGTGAGACCCTGACTCTACAAAAACTAAAATAAAATTATTTGGGCATGGTGGCATGTACCTGTAGTTCCAGCTATGTGGGAGGCTAGGGTGGGAGCATCTCTTGAGCCCAGGAGTTGGAGGTTGCAGTGAGCTATGATTGTACCACTACACTCCAGCCTGGGTGATGGAGTGAGACCCTATCTCAAAAAAACAAAAAAGATAAGTAGCAGTGAAGACCATGGAGCCCTCTGTGGGAGCTGAGTGGAAAGGCTCAACCCCTATCTGGGATAGGGGTGGTCAGGGTGGGCTTCCTGGAGGAGGTGATGGAGGGTGGGTAGGAGCACGGAGGCTCACAAGGGAGATGGGTAGACAGGAGCACAGTGGAGAGAGGAAGACAGTTTGGGGAATCCTGACCCCACCTCACCCTCAGGGCGGGCTCTACGAGGCGGTGAATGAGGTCTACAAGAACCTCATCCCCATCCTGGAAGCCCACCGTGACTACAAGAAGCTGGCCGCGGTGCACGGCAAACTGCAGGAGGCCTTCACCAAGATCATGCACCAGGTGGGCCCAGGACCCCCTCCCCAGACCCCACCCTCAGCCCCACTCCTCATCCCCACTCCTCATCCCCAGGGATCTGCTGACCTTGACCCTTCTCTTCCCCACAGAGTTCCGGCTGGGAGGTGAGTCAGCCTTGGTGGACAGCCACCTGCCTCTGGGACCCCCGTGATGACTGGCCAGCAGCCATCAGTGAACACCAGGGGGCACCAGAGGAGCATGGCCGCTGGCCCTTGGGGCTGGGGCTGTGGCCACAAGGGACCCACCCCATTATTTCCCTCCCTTCCCCAAAAATGCCCCCACCCCCCGCCCCAGATCTCGAGGGCAGCTTGTGACTCACCCAGCTGGGAGCTCTCCAGAGACACCCCTCCCTCTGCCAGGGCCAGCTTGGTCACTGCAGGGGGGTGGCGGGGTGACTCTTGACTCCCTCATGGTCTCTTGGTCTCTTTCTCATCTCTCCCCAGTCTATCACGTGGCTCTCCCTATCTTGGTATCTCACTGTCTCTTAGTCTCTGTCTCTCCCTGCGTACCCAGCTTCCAGCCTCCCCCAGGCTCTCTGCTCCTCATTTCTGGTTAATGTGTCCTCCCGCTCCAGCCCCCCCGAATCCCGCTTCTTCCCTGCTTAGGTCTATTTTTAGGCATCTCCTAGTTTGGGGAGAATGTTCTGGCCAAAGATGGCAGAAACCCAGAGCCCAGGCAGGCAGGCTGGGTGGGAGCTGGGTGGGGAGGGCAGGTCCTCTTCGCCCCCGCCCCCCTCCCGTCTCTGATCTCTCCCCCCACGGAATGATTCTCACGGGGCAGTGTTAACCAGGACCCTGGGGGTTGAGGGAACTCTGACCTCTGACCTCTCCCATGACATTGTCTCTCTGTCCCCCACACCTCTGGCCCCACCATGTCTGCCCCATCCTCCCCGGATCGGCCTTGGTAAGTGAACATCCAGCCATTCTACTTCCTTTCCAGTCATGGGGTGGTGTTTTTAGGGTGGTAGGGAGGGGGTTCCTTCTTCCAAACTTAGGGCTGGGGACAGGAGCAGGGGAATGCCATGGAACAAGGGAACCAGAGCCACTGTCCTAGAGTGAGACACAGCCATCCCTTCCCTCAGCCATCCAAGCATTTATGGGGTACCTACTGTATACCCATTCTTGTGGGCCTCAGGGCACAGGAAGGAGAATGCCCTAGAACAAAGGAGGCAGAGCCTCCATCCTAGAGTGAGAGACAGCCATCCCTCTCCTCAGCCATCTATGCATGTATTGGGTACCTGCTGTATACCCTGTCCCACGGGCATTAGGGACACACCCGTAAACAATACAGCCCCAGTCCTAACTTCCTATTGCAATCCATGCCCCAATGTTCTCAGGGCCCCCTGCCTGTGCCCATGCCCTGATGTTCTCGGGGTCCTCACACTCCCATCCTGATATTCGAGACACCTATCTCTGGGGCAGGGAGACCTCCAGCAGGGGCCTCCCGGACAACCACACCCTTTCTCACAGCCCCAGCGCGTGTTCGGGACGTATTTCCGCGTGGGCTTCTACGGCGCCCACTTCGGTGACCTGGATGAGCAGGAGTTTGTGTACAAGGAGCCATCGATCACGAAGCTGGCAGAGATCTCACACCGGCTGGAGGCACGTCCTTGTGGTTGGGGGTGGAACGGGGCATGGGGCTGCCTTGGGGCTGGAGTAGGGGCTGTCCCTGGGTGGCCCCGAGTCAGCCCTGTGTCTCCAGGAGTTCTACACGGAGAGATTTGGCGACGACGTCGTTGAGATTATCAAAGACTCTAACCCTGTGGACAAGTCCAAGCTTGACTCACAAAAGGTGGGTCCCCCAACCATTTCCCCAAAATCTTAGATTCACAGAGACTCCAAGTGCTGTTTCCTGGGGACCCTCAAATCCTCTTTCTCTGGGAAACCCCAAATCATATTTCACTGAGGGACCCCAAAACCTATTCCTCAGGGGATTCCCAAACATCCAGACATAGGAAGACTTGGAAATGACAAAGTCCCCAGATCCCCTCTCTCCAGGAACAGGGCTTGGGCTGTGCGTGCTGGGGCTGTGGGATCCTCACACCTGACCCTGCGCCCAGGCCTACATCCAGATCACGTATGTGGAACCGTACTTTGATACCTACGAGCTCAAGGACCGGGTGACCTACTTTGACCGCAACTATGGGCTTCGCACATTCCTGTTCTGCACGCCGTTCACGCCGGATGGGCGCGCACACGGGGAGCTGCCCGAGCAACACAAGCGTAAGACGCTGCTCAGCACCGACCACGCCTTCCCCTACATCAAGACTCGCATCCGTGTGTGCCACCGGGAGGAGGTGGGTGGGGATCCTGGGCCTGGCGGGGGTGGGGAGGTGAGGGGACATCAGACCCTGGGAGGGGAGGGGAGGGTAGACACAGGGACCCAGACCCAAGGTGGTTCACGGACCTCAGACCCAGAGAGGGGTGGCACAGGGACCCTAGACCAGATCCCCAGGGAGGGGAGGGGAGGAGACCAGACCCAGGGAGACCTGGGAGGCAAGATGCAGGGACCCCAGACCCAGGGTGGCCCAGGGATTCCAGACCCAGAAAGAGGAGGCAGAGGGAGCCCAGATCTAGGAAGGCCCAGGGAGGAGAGGTGTGGCCCAGGAAGAGGCCCAGGTACCCCAGAACTGGGCTGAGAAGATATGGAGACCCTGCATTCCAATCTCTAAACTGAAACCTCTACCTCCAGACCCAGGAGGACCCAGGGATTCTAGACTCACAAAGGGGAGGCACAGGGACTCCAAATCTAAGAAGGCCCAGGGAGGAGAAGCCCAGGGATTCCAGACCCAGAGAGGAGAGGCGTGGACACGCTAGACCCAGAAATTGGCTCATGTACCCCAGAACCAGGTTGGGGACCCCAAACTCCAACTTCCAGTCCAAATCTCTACCTCCAGACCCAAGGAAGTCTGGAGACCCCAGAGGTAAAGCCCCTGGACCCCAGGGCACCAGACCCAGCAGACCCAAGGCTGGACCCCCCCAGAGTCAGACCCAGGAAGGCCCCCAGATTCTGTTCATTGCCTGGGTTCTTGGACCCCTCTCACTCCCAGCGGGGTCTGAGCTGCCCCCGACTGGCTTCGATCAGGACCTCCTCAGGCCCCAGCGAGTACACACCCCTCCCCTTACCCCACAGACGGTGCTGACGCCAGTGGAGGTGGCCATCGAGGACATGCAGAAGAAGACACGGGAGCTGGCCTTTGCCACCGAGCAGGACCCACCAGATGCTAAGATGCTACAGATGGTGCTTCAGGGCTCTGTAGGGCCCACCGTGAACCAGGCACGGCTGGTGGAAGGGGGATGCAAGCCGCACGGGGGACTCCAGGTGCCATGCAGGCTGGCTCACCAGTCCCTCTCACCCCACAGGGTCCCCTGGAGGTGGCCCAGGTGTTTTTAGCAGAGATCCCGGAAGACCCCAAGCTCTTCCGGCATCACAACAAATTGCGGCTCTGCTTCAAGGACTTCTGCAAGAAGTAGGCGCAAAACCCCCCAGGAGGGGTCTCGTGTCTGCCTAACCTGCATAGGCCTGCTCTCTGCCCATCTGATCTCTGCATGGCTCCCCCATCTGCCCGATTCCCATTAAGTCCACTCTCCCAACCTGACCTCCTATTGCGGGTCTTTCTGCAGGCCTGGTCCCGCCTTATGGGTGCCCCCACCCCTAGTCTTGCTTTCAGTCCCGTGTGCGAGTCTCTGAGCATCTCCCACCCTCTGGCCCTCAGATGTGAGGATGCGCTGCGGAAAAATAAGGCCCTGATTGGGCCGGACCAGAAGGAGTACCACCGTGAGCTGGAGCGCAACTACTGCCGCCTGCGGGAGGCTCTGCAGCCCCTGCTTACCCAGCGCCTGCCCCAGCTGATGGCACCCACCCCACCCGGCCTCAGGTGCCTGACCTAGTGCCCCCATCCTAGAGACTAGAGAGGGGATGCAGAGGCAGACCAGGACAGGTACAGGATGGGGGCTGTTGTACACATACACAGCAACATGTTTGCTGGTAGCTTGGACTTTGTTTTGTTTCCGGTTTTTTTTTTGTTTTTTTTTTTGAGAGACTCTCCCTCTGTTGCCCAGGCTGGAGTGCAGTTGGCACAGTCTTGGCTCACTGCAACCTCCGCCTCCCAGATTCAAGCGAGTCTCCTGCCTCAGCCTCCTGAGTAACTGGGATTACAGGCATCTGCCACCACGCCTGGCTAATGTTTTGTATTTTTAGTAGAGACAGGGTTTCACCATGTTGGCCAGACTGGTCTCGAACTCCTGATCTCAGGTGATCCATCCGCTTTGCCCTCCTAAAGTGCTGGAATTACAGCATGAGCCACCACCACGCCTGGCTGCGGTGGCTTCAATTTTGCATAAGCATCTGAATATGTCATCCAGATGTACAAAGGCAGGGCAGGCTCTGAGCAGTCATTTCCCAGATACATGAATTCATCTTTCTGAGCCTCAGTTTCTACATCTGTAAAATGGGGATGATTCATACCTTCCGTGGTGGACTGCAAGAGAGAATCGGAGAATCCCACAGCCAGATCAGGGACAGGAGAGATCCCAGAAGGATCCTTGGAGGAAGACGAGGAGGAGGAGGAAGAGGATGTGGGCTGGGAGGTCTATGGAGTTGGGGGCCCCATGGCCATGCTGACCCACCCTCATTCTTTTTCCAGGAACTCCTTGAACAGAGCAAGTTTCCGAAAGGCAGACCTCTGAGCCCACAAGGACCAAAGCTGTACCTAGAGGAACCAGCACCCGGGCCTCAGCTGTCTGTGCTGCGAGGGGAGTCTGCCCTGGTGCCCACTGGGCTGTGGGGTGACCACACTGTACTTGGGGCTGGGCCCTCTGCCCCTGTGTCCCCATCTGTGTGCACTGATGCTTCCTCCCTTTTTTAATTTAAAATGGTTTTTATAAGCAACCTGTGCCATGTGGTGCGGTCACTAGGGGCTGGGTCACATGCTCATCACATGCTCACAGTCCACTGCCCCATATCCACACATCCCTGCATCATCAATGGGGACACCAAGAACATACTGGGTGCCAGGGACATCGTGGTGACAACAGGCAAAAATTCCTGCCCTTGTGGAGCTGATGTTCTAGTAGGGAAGGCAACACACAAATAATGTCACATGCTTACCTGCAATAACAATACCTGGTTTTTGTTTGTTTGTTTTTAACAGACGCTCTCACTCAGTCCCCCAGGCTGGAATGCAGTGTCACAGTCATAGCTCACTGCAGCCTCAAACTCCGGGGCTCAAGCCTCCTGAGTAGCAGAGATTATAGGCACATGCCACTGTGCCTGGCTTTTTTTTCTTTTTCTTTTTTTTTTTTTTAGACAGAGTTTCACTCTGTCACCCAGGCTGCAGTGCAGTGGTGCAATCTCGGCTCACGGCAACCTCCACCTCCCAGATTCAAGTTATTCTCATACCTCAGCCTCCCGAGTAGCTGGGATTACAGATGTGCACCACCATGCCAGGATAGTTTTTGTATTTTTAGTAGAGAAGGGGTTTCACCATGTTGGCCAGGCTGGTCTTGAACTCCTGACCTCAGATGATCCACCCACCTCGGACTCCCAAAGTGCTGGGATTACAGGCATGAGCCATTTCTCGGCCCCAGGTGGTTTTTTGTATTTTGTTTTTTGTAGAGATGGCGTCTTACCATATTGCCAAAGCTGGTCTCCAACTCCTTGGCTCAAATAATCCGCCCACCTTGGCCTCCCAAAGTGCTACGATTACAGGCATGAGCCACTGCGCCTGGCCTAATTTTTTTTCACTTAAAAATTTTTTTGCATAGACAGGGTCTTGCTATGTTGCCCAGGCTGGTCTCGAACTCCTGAGTTCAAGCAGTCCTCTTGCCTTGGCCTCCCTAAGCACTGAGATTACAGGTGTGAGCCACCTCGCCGGCTTAATAATATTTATTAAGCCCTTGCTGAGTGGCTGGCTGTGTACTAAAAGGGCTCCCAGAAAGATCTCTGCAAAAGTAGGCCACTCCATTTATGAGAGTTTTTAACCCGAAGGGCCTCCTTCCTGATGGTTAGGCCCCTTCCTAATGGTCAGTGAATCTTCTCAACGCTCCTATCAGGTAGCTAACATGATCATCTCCATTTTACAGATGAATAAACTGAGGCACAGAGCAGCAAAAGTTTGGTGGGTCTGGGATGGGAATGCAGGTCTGGCTGGCGCCGGCGCCCAGGACTCTGCAGCCTCCCTTCTCGCGCGGCGGTCACGCCACCGTGTGCCAGGACTGCGCTGGGCCGCTTCCAGCCCTGGGCCGCCTGGGGGAGGGGTGACCTCCCGCTGCCGCGCCCGCCCCGCGCGCCCTCCCCGAGCTGGGCCCCGGCCAGCTCCACCCCCTCCCGCCGCCGAGCCGTTCCGCCCCCCGCAGCGGCCCAGGGACAGCAGGCGGTGGGGGGGAGGCCGGCAGTGGGAGGACCCTGCCTCGGGGACTTAGGGAGGAAGGAAGGACGAGGCCGGACACCCCGGCGCGCACACACACCTGCTGTCCAGGTGAGATCCAGTCTCCAACCAGCGTCTCTCCATCCCCACCCCCCACCGCGGCCGGGGCGCCCGGGCGGCTGGAGGGGGCGGTGCCGGCTGGGGGGGCGGGACCAGCCGGAGGGGGCGTGGTGCGGGCGGAGCCACCTCCGAGGGCCGGGCGCCCAGGCTGCGGCGCGCGCGAAGACGCTCGGGCGGCGGGACCCAGGGAAGGCAGCGGCCGGAGCGCGCAAGGCGAGTGGGACCCGGGGCTGGGTAGGGGTTCAAGTCTGGTTCGGGGATCGAGTGTGCACCCCCTCCACACACACCTACTACCCTACCCCCCGCCTCCAACCCTGGGACACGACCTCGCTGGTCTCAACGAGCCGCTGCCTCCAACTCCACCTTCTGTGCCCAAACTTTCCAGACTTGGAGTGTCTGTCCCCGCGTCCCTGCCCCCTCCTCGTCTTTGACCCCATACCCCCATCGATTCCTCCCAGTACCCCCCATCGATTCCTCGTGCCCTGCCCGTTTCTCCTGTCTTGGCTCCCCTCTGCCCGCTCTCCCCTGTCTCTGTCCCACTTTCTGCCTCTGTTCCTCCCCGGCTCTGCCCTCTCCCCGCACTGTCCCCCCTCGCCCTCCTCCGCGGCCATGCCCCAGACGGCGGGAAGGCGGCCGGGCGTCCGGCCGGGCTGGGCCTGGGCTTGGCGGCTGGGCCGGCGTGGGGAGCGGCAGCTGTTTGCCATTAGCCCGGGATCCCACAGGCCCCGCCCCCTCTCTGCACGGGGCGGGGTCCTTCTCGCCTCCCCCCACCCCGAGTTTGGGGCGGGAAGACCCCCCCCCACCACCACCACCGACCTCCGCGATGTGCAGGCCGGTCTTGGGTGGTGGGTTGGGGAGACCCGCGCCCCTTCCCTGCGCTCCCTACCTGTCCCCTCTTATAGGCTCCAGTCTCTCCATCTCTGTCTTATCCTGTCACCCCTTCCCCATTCCCCAGGGGTCCCATGGCGAGAGAAGGGTCTCAGCCACAGACATCCATCTCCCCCACCACACCCCCTCGTCTCCTTTCTCTTCCCCTTACTCGGGACGTGCTGGTCCTCATCGAGGGCGGTGAGATGACTGAGTACCCTCAGACCTCAGTCTCCGTATCTGGGAAACGGGTAGAGATATCTGATGTGGAGTCTGAGGGTGGTGGCTTGGTGGGCAGTGGGGGGATCCACCAGGCTTAGGTTCATGTTCAGGCCCAGCCACTTCCCCATGGCCCCAGTGACCCCGAGGAAGCCACTGTACCTTTCTGTACCCTCTGCATCCCCTGTCTGTGAAACGGGGCGATAAGTGCCCATCTCATAGAATTGTCATGACAATTAAAAGAGTTGATGTTAGGCTGGGTGCAGTGGCTCATGCCTGTAATCCCAGCACTTTGGGAGGCCAAGGCGGGCGGATCACCTGAGGTCAGGAGTTCGAGACCAGCCTGACCAACATGGAGAAACACCATCTCTACTAAAAATACAGAATTAGCTAGGCGTGGTGGCAGGTGCCTGTAATCCCAGCTACTCAGGAGGCTGAGGCAGGAGAATCGCTTGAACCTGGGAGGCAGAGGTTGCCGTGAGCTGAGATCGCGCCATTGCACTCCAGCCTGGGCGACAAGAGCAAAACTCCGTCTCAGAAAAAAAAAAAAAAAAGAGTTGATGTTAGTATTACTGTTACTATACTATTTACCCAGCAGCACCCTCACTTCCCCCACCCCCAGCCCACCCCGCTCGGCTATTCCAATCCTGCTCCAATCCCGCTTGCTCCCTGCTTCTCCATCTCTCTTTGGTGGCCAGAAAATATTTTCAATCAACTTTCTGTTGCTCAGGGGTGAGCCTCCAGGCAAATGGAAAACGGAATTTCCTGCAATTGGTGACCATGTGTTCCAGGTGTTGAAAGACAGAGAAGCGAAGACAGAGACGTGGAAAGACAGGGAGAGAGACACGGAGAGAGACGCAGAAGGACAGAGACGTGGAGAGAGACGCAGAGAGACAGAGACGTGGAGAGACACAGAGAGACGTGGAGAGACACAGAGAGACTTGGAGAGAGACAAAGCAAGACAGGACGGGAGAACAAGGACAAGCTCAGGTGCCCCTGGAGCCCCAGCCCTGCCTTCATGCCCAGCAGGTGCCCTACCTGGCCCATCCTCCCAAGGTACCTGCCGGCCCCAGCACTCAAAGGCCAGAAAGGATTTACTCTGATGGTGGGATGGGCTGGGGCCTCTGCAGCATGATGGCTGGAGGTCAGATAACAGAAAGGACCAGCCAAGTTCAGATGGGTTATATTGGGGACAAAAGAGCCCTGGCCGGCCTCCAAGGCTGAGGGGGGTTTAGTGAGAGGCTCTGACTGTCCCTCCCTTTTGCAGCCTCCAGGCGCCCCCTCTTACTTCCTCCCCTCCACCCCCAGGACTTCCTGGGCCTCCACCCGGCCCTCTATCCCTACTGCGCCCCTGGGCCCGGACGCATCCTAGGCGGGCAGGAAGTTCTGTGTAGCCCGGCAGTGAAACTGTTTATTTTTAGAGAAAATTGTTTCCATAAAGGGGAAAGGCTTCACTCCTAGCTGCCTCCCCAACTTTCCCTACCCCTTCCCCCCGACCCAGTCCAGGCCTGACCCAGCTCTCAGCTTTGGGGTCACTGGGGGTCCCCTTCGCCATGCTTTGCCTCTCTTTGTCCCCCTGCGTCTCTGTCTCCTCAGATCCTTGCAGGAAGACGAGGTTCCCTTCTTCCCCAACCCCTTAGCGCCTCAACCCCCATCCTTCCGTGTGGCCAGCTCCGGGCCTGGGCTGAGGGGAGGGGGTGCAGGAAGGGTGGGGCCTGTTGGGCTTGGGGCCCCCCAGCCCCAGGGCTATGTGGAGGCTGGGCTATGGGAACAGCTGGAGCCTGTCCAGGGCCTGGACAGATGTGCAAGCAGGCAGTGAGGTTTGGTTTCTTTGTTCCAGACCTGCGGGGGGGAGGGGGTCGGGGGGGGCCCTTCCGCAGCCAGGCTGGGTGTGCGTCTATGAGTGGGTCCCAGACCTGGGTTGGGGGGCTGGGTGAACCAGCTGTGGAGGGGGCTGGCCTCATCTCCTCCCCTCCCCCTACAGACTCCTAACTCCCGGCGCCGTGGTTCTCTTTCCCCAGGTAAGCCTCAGCCGGTGCTGCAGGCAGTCTGACTCGCAGTCCCTCAAGTGACTTCCAAGGAGCATCTGTAGAAAAGAAGATGGCCCAGGTCCTGCACGTGCCTGCTCCCTTCCCAGGTCAGGGGACTCAGGGAAGAGGGCCCTGCCCCGGGGAGCTTCAGTTCTGGAGGCCTGAGGGGGCTGGGGACCTTGCCCTGGGGACTTTGAGGGTGGGACACAGCCCAACAATTAGAGGTCTGAGGGAGGAGGCAGAGTCCTGCCCTGGGAGGGTCTGAAGGGGGAGGCAGAGTCTTACCGGAAAAAGGGGGTAGTCTAAGCCGAGGGATAGAGCCCTGTCCTGGGGGATTTGAGAGGCGACATAGCCTAGCGCCGGGAGTCTGAAGGGGAGGCATAGCCCTGCTCTGGAGGGTCTGAGAGCAGACGCGGTTGAGTACCAGGTGGGCTCCCATCTCTTCGGCAAATAAACCCCAACTCTCCCCAGGCATCAGTCTTCACCCTGAGAATGGGGACAAGAGGATTCAAAGGTCCTGGTGTTTCTCCCATCCCCAGGGACCCCTGGCCCAGCCTCCCCACCTGCCTTCCCTGCCAAGGACCCCGATCCACCCTACTCCGTGGAGACCCCCTATGGCTACCGCCTGGACCTGGACTTCCTCAAGTACGTGGATGACATCGAGAAGGGCCACACGCTGCGACGCGTGGCAGTGCAGCGCCGCCCCCGCCTGAGCTCGCTGCCCCGTGGCCCTGGCTCCTGGTGGACGTCCACTGAGTCGCTGTGCTCCAATGCCAGTGGGGACAGCCGCCACTCAGCCTATTCCTACTGCGGCCGTGGCTTCTACCCTCAGTATGGTGCTCTGGAGACCCGCGGTGGCTTCAATCCGCGGGTGGAGCGCACGCTGCTGGATGCCCGTCGCCGTCTCGAGGACCAGGCGGCCACACCCACCGGCCTGGGCTCCCTGACCCCCAGTGCGGCCGGCTCGACAGCCTCCCTGGTGGGCGTGGGGTTGCCACCCCCGACACCACGGAGTTCAGGACTGTCCACACCGGTGCCTCCCAGTGCCGGGCACCTGGCCCACGTGCGGGAGCAGATGGCGGGTGCCCTGCGGAAGCTGCGGCAGCTGGAGGAGCAGGTGAAGCTGATCCCTGTGCTCCAGGTGAAGCTCTCGGTGCTCCAGGAGGAAAAGCGGCAGCTCACAGTACAACTTAAGAGCCAGAAGTTCCTGGGCCACCCCACAGCGGGCCGGGGTCGCAGCGAGCTCTGCCTGGACCTCCCCGATCCCCCAGAGGACCCAGTGGCACTGGAGACCCGGAGTGTGGGCACCTGGGTTCGAGAACGGGACTTGGGCATGCCTGATGGGGAGGCTGCCCTCGCCGCCAAGGTCGCTGTGCTGGAGACCCAGCTCAAGAAGGCGCTGCAGGAGCTGCAGGCAGCTCAGGCCCGGCAGGCTGACCCCCAGCCCCAGGCCTGGCCACCGCCGGACAGCCCGGTCCGCGTGGATACAGTCCGGGTGGTAGAAGGGCCACGGGAGGTGGAGGTGGTGGCCAGCACAGCCGCTGGCGCCCCCGCACAGCGGGCCCAGAGCCTGGAGCCTTACGGCACAGGGCTGAGGGCCCTGGCAATGCCTGGTAGGCCTGAGAGCCCACCTGTGTTCCGCAGCCAGGAGGTGGTGGAGACAATGTGCCCAGTGCCCGCTGCAGCTACCAGCAACGTCCATATGGTGAAGAAGATTAGCATCACAGAGCGAAGCTGCGATGGAGCAGCAGGTAAGCGGTCGCAGGCAGGCAGGGGAGAATGGCTTGGGGGGGGGGGGCCTCTTTCTTCCCATGGCTCATCCTGGACTCTCAGAACGCCAGGGTCCAGGCAGGGTGCGGTGGCGCATGCCTGTAATCCCAGCACTTTGGGAGGCCGAGGCGGGCAGATCACTTGAGGTCAGGAGTTGGAGACCAGCCTGGCCAACATGGTGAAACCCATCTCTACTAAAAATACAAAAATTAGCCAGGTGTGGTGGCGTGCGCCTGTAAACCTCAGCTACCCAGGAGGCTGAGGCAGGAGAATCGCTTGAACTAGGGAAGCGGAGGTTGCAGTGAGCTGAGATTACACCACTGCACTCCAGCCTGGGCAACAGAGGGAGACTCTGTCTCAAAAAAAAAAAAAAAAAAAAAGAATGCCAAGGTCCAGCCCCAGCCCCCGACCTTCCACCAGACACATCAGTCCAACTCTTAGAGTCTCTGTCTTATCATCCACAAAAGGAGGAGAATTGTGCAGCCAACCCTCAGGGCTGTAGCAACCATGCAGAGAAATTAGGTGACTGCCACTTTGTCAGTATCCAGAAAGTGGGAGGTATTTGGGGGAAAGTTCCCCAAGGCTGTTGGTTTACCAGGCAGAAACCTCCCTGTTTATTCAGTAAGTGGCAGGAATCAATCTCGGAGCTGTTCAAGCAGTGAAAAGGAAATGTGTTATTACGTAACTGATGACAGCTTCAGGCATGGCTGGATCCAGGTGCACAAATATCTTGTTCTTGTTGTCGTTATTAAGAGATAGAGTCTCGCTCCATTGCCCAGGCTGGAGTGCAGTTGGTGTAATCATGGCTCACTGCAGCCTTGACTTCCTAGGCTCAAGCAATCCTCCCGCCTTAGCCTCCCAAGTAGCTGGGTCTACAGGCATGCACCACTGTGCCTCGTTAATTTTTTTTATTTTTTGTAGAGACAAAGTCTTGTTATGTTGCCCAGGCTGGTCTCAAACTTCTGGGCTCAAATGATGCTCCTGTCTTGGCCTCCCAGAGTGCTGGGATTACAAGCATGAGCCACCACGCTGGCCTCAGTGCTCAGATATCATCAGGAATCTAACTTGGTGCCTTTCTCTTCTTGTTTTCCCTGGGAGCTTCTCTTTCAGGCAGGCAAGGGAAAGTGACCTCACTGCTCCAGGCATCTGTCTGTCCAGTTTAGTGGAGAGGGAGATCCTTAATCCAAAGAGCACCAGTAAAAATCCCAGAGGGGGCCCTCATTGGCTGGCCTGGGTCATGTGCCCATTGCTGAGCCAATCACGGTGTCCCTGTCTGCCTAGCCATGGACGCCGGGGGTAGGGGAGCCCCACCCAAGCCCTGTGGCCTTTGAGGGAGGAAGGGGGTGCTTCCCAGAGGAAGTACTGAGTCCTCATGCCAGGAAAGGGGATGCCGGCTGTGCAGAATGTCAGCTGCTGGGTTGTCCTGAGGTCCCTGGGAGAAGCCACCCAAATGACTCATAATAATGACAGCTGGGCCGGGCGCAGTGGCTCACGCCTGTAATCCCACACTTTGGAGGCCAAGGCAGGTGGATCGCTTGAGGCCAGGAGTTCAAGACCAGCCTGGCCAACACAGTGAAACCCCATCTCTATTAAAAATACAAAAATTAGCCGGGCGTGGTGGCGCACACCTGTAGTCCCAGCTACTCCGGAGGCTGAGGCAGGAGAATCGCTTGAACCCGGGAGGCGGAGGTTGCAGTGAGCCAAGATCACACCACTGCCCTCCAGCCTGGGCGACAGAGTGAAACTGTATCTCAAAATAATTAATAATAATAATGACAGCTGGCTGGGCACGGTGGCTCACGCCTGTAATCCCAGCACTTTGGGAGGCAGAGGCAGGCAGATCACTTGAGGCCAGGAGTTCAAGACCAGCCTGGCCAACATGGTGAAACCCTGTCTCTACTAAAAATACAAAAATTAGCCGGGCGTGGTGGCCGGCACCTGTAATCCCAGCTACTTGGGAGACTGAAGCACAAGAATCGCTTGAACTTGGGAGCCGGAGGTTGCAGTGAGCTGAGATTGTGCCACTGCACTCCAGCCTGGGCAACAGAGTGAAACTGTGTCTCAACAATAATAATGACAGCTGTTCTTCTGGAAACATGGTCAGGGAGGCTCTGCCAGGTGCGTTCAAACTCATGCTGTGTGATACTGGTGAGCAACATCACCTCTCTAGCCCTAAACGTCCCTATCTGTGAAGTGGCATGATAATGCTCTCCACCTCTAGAGAGGTGGAGAATTTATGAATTAATGCACACGGTTAAGTACTGGTTGCTGCTTCTGCTGATAATGTTCTGGTCAACCTGTTCATACCTGGGGAAACTGAGGCTTAGGGAGGAGATTCATTTGTCCTGTGTCACACAGCCAGGAAGTGGCTCAACTGAGCCAGTATCCAAACCCAGAACATCAGGCCTGTAATCCTAGCACTTTGGGAGGCCGAGGTGGGTGGATAACCTGAGCTCAGGGGTTCAAGACCAGCCTGGCCAATATGGCGAAACCCTGTCACTACTAAAAATACAAAAATTAGCTGGGCGTGTTGGCACACGCCTGTAGTCCTAGCTAGGCTAAGGGAGGAGAATTGCTTGAACCTAGGAGGCGGAGGTTGCATTGGGCCGAGGTCGCACCACTGCACTCTAGCCTGGATGACAGTGAGACTCCATCTCAAAAAAAAGAAAAGAAAAGAAAAAAGAAATAAATAACCAGGACAGCTTGAATCTGCAGCAGGGCTCGAAGGTAGGGCCCAAGTTCTCATCCCAGCCTCAAATGTCAGGTGGCCAGAGCCCCTACCAACAGACTGGAGGGCACAGGCTGGAGGGCAGGGACCCAGCTGTGTTTTCTCGCCGGCCCGTGTTGTTCCTGGCCAGCTCTGGACACCACCCGCCTGTTCTGTGTCTATCCCAAACACCAGGTCCTGAGGTTCTGGCCCCCTGCCAGAGGCTCCGCCTGGCCCAGCCTCGGAATCTCTGAGAGGCAACCACCATTCCAGACGTGCCTCCCAGAGCAGCTGAGAGGCCTTCTGCCTGCAGGACAAACAGACATAGCGATGTCCACCTTCTTTGCATTCAAGCTGCTGCCTGAAAGTTCTTCCTGGAGTCTCATTTTATTCCCTCTTGCTGCAGCCAGCCCCAATCTCTGCCTTGCTTGAGCCAAGCTGGAATGTCTTAATTCATTTCTATATCTTCCTTTTTTTTTTTTTTTTTTTTTTTTTTTTTTTGAGACAGAGTCTTGCTCTGTCGCCCAGGCTGGAGTGCAGTGATGCAATCTCGGCTCACTGCAACCCCCGCCTCCCGAGTTCAAGCGATTCTTCTGCCTCCGCCTCCCGAGTAGCTGGGATTACAGGCATGCACCACCATGACTGACTAATTTTTGTATTTTTAGTAGAGATGGGGTTTCACCATGTTGGTCAGGCTGGTCTCAAACTCCTGACCTCAGGTGATCCAACCTTCTCGGCCTTTGAGCAAGCGATGAAATCTCTCTATGCCTCAGTTTCCTCATTTGCAAATCGGGGGTCCTGATGGCACAGTGTCACTGGAATAATGTGAGGCTTTAATATGTCAATTCAGCCAGGCGCAGTGGCTTATGCCTGTAATCCTGGAGCTTTCGGAGGCCAAAACAGGAGGACTGCTTGAGCCCAGGGGGTCGAGGCTACAGTGAGTTGTGACCACGCCACTGTACTCCAGCCTGAGCAAGACCAATCTTGTGGGCGGGGGTGGGGGGGGAGAGAATCAATTCATGTCAAGTGTTCATCATGGTACCAGGCATGGTTGATACTTGGTGCCCAAGGTCAGCTCTTGGCCCTATAGCCTCTCAAAGGAGCATTTTTTTTTTTTTTTGAGATGGAGTCTTGCACTGCCACCCAGGCTGGTGTGCAATGGCGCTATCTCCGCTCACTGCAACCTCCACCTCCTGGGTTCAAACGATTCTCCTTGCCTCCACCTTCCAAGTAGCTGGGATTACAGGCACCCACCACCACACCCAGCTAATTTTCTTGTACTTTTAGTAGAGACGGGGTTTCACTATGTTGGCCAGGCTGGTCTTGAACTCCTAACCTTGTGGTCTGCCCGCCTCGGCCTCCCAAAGTGCTGGGATTACAGGCATGAGCCACGGCACCCACCCTCCAAGGAGCATCTTTGAATGAAGACATGAAAGAAGTCACCAGAAGAGGTGGAAAAAACAATGTTCCAGGGAGGAGCACAGCAGGGACAAAGGCCCTGAGATAAGCAAAGGCTCGGGCTTATCAAGGGGTTGAACAAACTGGAATGAGCTACCGCACCCAGCCTAAATTAAAAAAAAAAAAAAAAAGAATTTACATGGGCCGGGTGTGGTGGCTCATGCCTGTAATCCCAGAACTTTGGGAGGCCAAAGTGGGCAGATCACCTGAGGTCAGGAGCTCGAGACCAGCTTGGGCAACATGGCAAAAACCCCTACTAAAAATACAAAAATTAGCCAGGTGTGGTGGCACACACCTGTAATCCCAGCTACTTGGGAAGCTGAGACAGGAGAATCGCTTGAACCGGGGAGGCGGAAATTGCAGTGAGCTGAGCTCGCATTGCTGCACTCCAGCCTGGGCGACAGAGTGAGAGTGAGACTCCGTCTCAAAAAAAAAAAAAATTATTTTGGCCTTCAGGAGTCCAAAACTGAGTTCATCTCATTCCTCAGCTCCTGACAACCATCCACGTTAGCCTGTGCAGACCACTTCTCTTGTATTACTTATTATTTTTTCACCTTCAGCCTCCACCTTCAACCTTCAATGCTAAGGGTCAGTAAATATTTTCACTTTTGCAGGTCATACGGTCTCTATTGCATTGATTCAACTCTGCCTCAGTTCTTTTTTCCTCCCCACTTTATTTTTATTCCTTTCATCCTTTTTATTGAGATGAGGTCTCACTATGTTGCCAGATGAGGTCTCACTATGTTGCCCAGGCTGGTTTCGAACTCGGGGACTGAAGTGATCCTTCCACGTCGGCCTCCTAAATAGCTGGGATTGCAGGCGTGTGCCACCGTGCCCAGCTTTTTCTGATTTTATTGACGTATACTTAATATGCAAAAAAATGCACATATTTAATGTATACCTTTTTGAATTTGGTGCTTCAGGGCCTTCATTTTGCAGTTGCAAAAGCAGCCGTAGACAATATGGAAATGAACGAACGTGGCTGCGTTCCAATAAAACTTTATTTGCAGGACCCTGAAATTTCTATTTCACATACTTTTCATGAGTCCCAAATTAAATTCTTCTTTCCCATCCATTTAAAAATGTAAAAACAGCACCCACAGACTGAAGCTCACCACCCTCCGCTCTCCACCGTCAGTGCCACCCCCACCCCATCTAATCCCATTCCTTACAAACCACCTTCCAGAAACTTATTTAGACATTTGAGTGTCCTTGAAAAATATGCCTTGTGCGTGTTTCATTTCCTTAAATGGTGTTGTGCTTCAGAAAAAAATCTCTTTCTGTTTCTTATTTTTTCCTCTCCTTACACTATTTTTGAACTCTCCACACTGAGGTTTGTAAATCTGATTTATCACTTTTTATTTTCTTTTTTTTCTTCCTTTTTTCTTTTGAGATGGAATCTCGCTCTGTTGCCCAGGGTGGAGTGCAGTGGCGTGATCTCAGCTCACTGTAACCTCTGCCTCCCGGGTTCAAGCAATTCTCCTGCCTCAGCCTCCCAAGTAGCTGGGATTACAGATGCCCTGCTACCACGCCTGGCTAATTTTTGTATTTTTAGTAGAGACGGGGTTTCACCACGTTGGCCAGGCTGGTCTCGAACTCCTGACCTCATGATCTGTCCGCCTTGGCCTCCCAAAGTTCTGGGATTACAGGTGTGAGCCACCCCACCCACCTACCCTCTTCTCTAATCCCTTCACAGTAGGTATCTGGTTACTTCTAATTTCCGGCCACCACGAACAATGCTGGAGTCATCTTCACACGACCCCTTCTGTGGGACTGCCCATTCCTAGAGGATTTGCAACTTCACTCCAAGTCCTGTCTGATCCTTTCCAAAAAAGGCTGTCCCTATCCGCACTCCTAACACCGTGCTCCGGTTCAAGTTGTCCATTTTCTCATATCCTCACCAACATATGGCTTTATCTGTCTTTCTAATTTTTCTTCTTTTTTTTTGAGACAGAGTTTCACTCCTGTTGCCCAGGCTGGAGTGCAGTGGTGTGATCTTGGCTCACCGCAACCTCCACCTCCCGGGTTCAAGCGATTCTCCTGCCTCAGCCTCCCGAGTAGCTGAGATTACAGGCATGCGCCCCACCACGCCTGACTAATTTTGTAGTTTTAGCAGAGACGGGGTTTCTCCATGTTGGTCAGGCTCGTCTCCAACTCCTGACCTCAGTTGATCTGCCCGCCTTGGCCTCCCAAAGTGCTGGAATTAACAGGCGTGAGCCACCGCGCCTGGCCTCTTCTTTCTTTCTTTTTTTATTTGTTGAGACAGAGTCTTGCTCTGTTTCTCAGGCTGGAGTGCGGTGGCGCGATCTTGGCTCACTGCAACCTCCGCCTCCCAGGTTCAAGCGATTCTTGTGCCTCAGCATCTCTAGTAGCTGGGATTACAGGCACCCGCCACCACACCTGGCTGATTTTTGTATTTTTAGTAGAGACGGGGTTTCACCATGTTGGCCAGGCTGGTCTCAAACTCTCATCCTTAGGTGATCCACCCGCCTTGGCCTCCCAAAGTGCTGGGATTGCAGGTGTGAGCTACCACGCCCGGCCCTGTCTTTCTAATTTTTTTTATCCATCTGACAGCTGCTACATAATGGTATCTCCTCATTGTTTTGTTTGTTTTTTGAGACAGGGTCTCATTGTGTCACCCAGGCTGGAGTGCAGTGGCACAGTCACAGTTCACTGCAGCCTAAACCTCTCGGGCTCAAGTGATCCCTCCACCTCAGCCTCCTGAGTAGCTAGGACTAAAGGCAAGTGCCATCCCATTCAGGTAATTTTTTGTAGAGATGGGGTCTTGCTCTGTTGTTCAGGTTGGTCTCGAACTCCAGGGCTGAAGTGATCCACCTCAGCCTCCCAAAGCCCTGGGATTATAAATGCGAGCCTCGGAATTCAGCCCTCCTTATTGTTTTCATTGGCATAGCTCTGATAGGCAGTGAGAGATAGGGCTTCTCTGTGTATGCCTAATAAGGTTCCTCTGTAAGTCAATTACTTGTAGCCTTTCTCCATTTTTTCTCTGAGCAGTTTTTAGAAGTTGCTGGTATCTTCCAGAGTCAAAACTGGCAAACTACGGCCTGTGGGCCAGATACAGCCTGAAACCTGTTTTTCTACAACCCACAGCTAAGAATGATTTTTACGTTTTTTTTTAATGGTTGAATGATTTTAAAAATATATTTTGGGCCAAGTACAGTGGCTCACACCTGCAATCCCAGCACTTTGGGAGGCCAAGGCAGAAGGATCACTTGAGGCCAGGAGTTTGAGACCAGCCTGGGCAATATAGTGACACCCCATCTCTACTAATTAAAAATTAGTTTGGCATGGTGGCGTGCAGCTGTAGTCCCAGCTACTTGGGAGGCTGAGGCAGGAGGATTCCTTGAGCCCAGGAATTTTGTTGTTGTTGTTGTGGAGATGGGGTTCCACCATGTTGCCCAGGCTGGTCTCAAACTCCTGGGCTCAAGCGATCCACCCACCTCGGCCCCCCAAAGTGCTGGGATTACAGGCGTGAGCCACCATGCCCGGCAAGCCCAGGATTTTGAGGCTGCAGCAAGCTATGATTGGACTCCAGCCTGGGCAACAGAAGTTGCCTGAAGTAGACTGGGCGTGGTGGCTCAACTGAGGTCAGGAGGTCGAGACCACCCTGGCCAACATGGTGAAACCCATCTCTACAACAATACAAAAATTAGCCGAGCATGATGGCGGGTGCCTGTAATCCCAGCTACTCGGGAGGCTGAGGCAGGAGAATCACTTGACCTCGCGAGGCAGAGGTTGCTAGTGAGCTGAGATCACGCCATTGCCCTCCAGCCTGGGCAACAAGAGCGAGACTTCATCTCAAAAAAAAAAAAGAAAAAAAAGAAGTTCCCTGAAGTCACTGCCTGCTTCTCTGTTGGGGCAGAATGGGATTTAGGCGCTGCTCTAGTTTATTTATTGATTTTTTTTTTTCACATTAAAAAAAAAGTAGAGTCTTGCCCTGTCTCAAAAAAAATATTTCTTGACATGACAAGATTATGTGAAATTCAAACTTATTGGATACAGCCACGCGGAATCACTTACATACTGTCTGTGACTGGTTTTGTGTTAGAACTATGCCACAGTTGAGCAGTTGCAACCGAGTCCTTATGTGTGACGTAACCAAAAATGTTTGCTATCTAGCCCTTCCCAGGTTTGTTGACCCTGTTCTAGAAGATTATCCCTTGCCAATTTTTGCCTGTGCCAAACTCCGGCACTCCCCCACCGCACCCATGAGGATCTCAGAGGTCTTCATTTTTGTTTTTGTTTTTGTTTTTGAGACAGAGTTTCGCTCTGTCATCCAGGCTGGAGTGCAGTGGCACGATCTCGGCTCACTGCAACCTCTGCCTCCCAGGTTCAAGCAATTCTCCTGCCTCATCCTCCCGAGTAGCTGGGATTACAGGTGCCTGCCAGCATACTCTGCTAATTTTTGTATTATCAGTAGAGACTGGGTTTCACCATGTTGGCCAGGCTGATCTCGAACTCCTGACTCAAGTGATCCGCCCACCTTGGCCTCCCAAAGTGTTGGGATTACAGGCATGAGCCACCATGCCTGGCCAGAAGTCTTCATTTTGAATATAGGTAAAACCATTATATTTTGCATATGTGGATTGTGCTTGGAAGAATTTTTAAAAGAATCTTAACTGGGCACATTGACTCACACCTGTAATCTCAACACTTTGGTGGGAAAATTGCTTTGAGCCCAGGAGTTCCAGGCCAGCCTAGGTAACATAGTAAGACCCCCATCTCTACAAAAAATACAAAAATTGGCCAGGAGTTCAAGACCAGCCTTGCCAACATAGTGAAACCCCATCTCTACTAAAAATACAAAAAAATTAGCTGGGCATGGTAGCGGGCACTTGTAATCCCAGCTACTCGGGAGGCTGAGGCAGGAGAATCACTTGAATCAGGGAGGCGAAAGTTGCAGTGAGCTGAGATGGCTCCACTCCACTTCAGCCTGGGGTGACAATGCGAGACTCTCTCAAAAAAAAAAAAAATTAGCTGGGCATGGTGGTGCATGCCTGTAGTCCCAGCTACTCGGGAGGCTGAAGTGGGAGGATCACTTGAGCCGAGGAGTTCGAAGCTGGAATGAGCTGTGATCACGCCACTGCGCTCCAGCCTGGACAACAGAGTGAGACTGTGTCACTGGATGAATGAATGAATGAATGAATCTTTCCCTTTCCTGAGTCCCTGATAGTCTGCTACATTATCTCCCTTTAGCTTTGTAGTTGTACCTTCATCTTAATTCTTCACAGTTTCTTTCTTGTGTATGCTATGAGATAGAGATCCAGCTTGGCTCTTCTCATGTAAAGTAAGCTGCTTCTCCTAAAACCACACCACAGAATCCACCGTCTCCCACTGGCTTGGGGAAACCCCCTCTGTCTTACCCTCAGTGCCCAGAGATTGGAGCCTGTCTTCTCTGTCCCATTGGTCCATTTATTAATGCAAAAATGCCCTGCTGTTCTCATGGTTGTAGCTTTGAAATATGTTTTACTCTCTCACAGACCAACTACTCCATCTGTGCTCTTGTTTTGTAGAATTGTCTTAGCTTATCAATGGACTTTAGTTCTTTTGTGTAAATTTTAGTGTCAGTTGGCCCCATTCCCCAGTGGGATAACAATAATAAGTATCATCAATTTTATTATTACTTCTTGTTATGCTAGCATTCCAAGTCTAACCTTCAATTCCTTAGACTGGAAGGAGCCATCCCAGGTTTTGAAGTCACTGCCTGCTTTTCTGTTGGGGCGGAGTGGGCTTTGGTTCTGCTCTAGTTTGTTTGATTTTTTTTACTTTTTTTTTTTTTTTTTTTTTTGAGGCAGTCTGACTCTGTCACCCAGGCTGGAGTGCAGTGGCATAATATCGGCTCACTGCAAGCTCTGCCTCCTGGGTTCAAGCGATTCTCCTGCCTCAGCCTCCCAAGTACCTGGGACTACAGGCACGTGCCACCATGCCTTCCTAATTTTTTATATTTTTAGTAGAGATGGGGTTTCACCGTGTTAGCCAGGATGGTCTCGATCTCCTAACCTTGTGATTGGCCTGCCTTGGCCTCCCAAAGTCCTGGGGTTACAATCGTGAGCCACCGCGCCTGGCTTTTTTGTTTTGTTTTGTTTTTTTGTTTTTTTTTTTAAAGATAGGGTCTCACTCCGTCACCCAGGCTGGAGTGCAGCAGTGCTGTCATAGCTCAATGTAACTTCAAACTCCCGGGCTCAAGCAATCTTTTCATCTCAGCCAAGTATAGTCCCAAGTAGTTAGAACTATAGGCGCACTCCACCACACCTGGCTAACTTTTTAATTTTTTGCAGAGATAGAGTCTTGCTATGTTGCCCAGGCTGGTCTTGAACTCCTGGCCTCAAGCGATCCTCCTGCCTCAGCCTCTCAAATTTTTTCGCCATTTACAATATTGTGGTAACATAGATAGAACATAAAATTTGGCATCTGGCCGGGCGTGTTGGCTTAAGCCTGTAATCCCAGCACTTTGGGAGGCTGAGGCGGGTGGATCACTGGAGATTGGGAGTTCAAGACCAGCCTGGCCAACATGGCAAAACCCCATCTCTACTAAAAATATAAATTAGCCAGGCATGGTGGCACACACCTGTAATCCCAGCTACTCAGGAGGCTGAGGCAGGAGAATCGCTTGAACCCAGGAGGCAGAGGTTGCAGTGAGCCAAGATCGCATCACTGCACTCCAACCTGGATGACAAAGCAAGACTCCGTCTCAAAAAAAAAAAAAAAAAAATTAACCATCTTATCCATGTTTGAGTATGTAATTCAGTGGCATTAAGTACATTTGCATCATTTTTTTGTTTGTTTGTTTTTTCTTGTATTTGTTGGGGATAGGATCTCCCTATGTTGCCCAAGCTGGTCTCACACTCCTGGGCTCAAGTGATCCTCCCCCTTCAGCCTCCCAAAGTCCTGGGATTATAGGTGTGAGCCACTATGTCCAGCCCATTCACACTGTTGCGCAACTGTCACCATCATCCATCTTTAGAACTTTCTCATCTTTCCAAACTGAAACTGTCCCCATTAAACACACTTCCCATTCTCCTTCCCCCAGCCCCTGGCACCCACCATTCTATTTTCTGTCTGTTTAAATCTGATAATTCTAGGGCTGGGCGCAGTGGTTCCCACCTGTAACCCCAGCACTTTCGGAGGCGGAGGCAGATGGATCACTTGAGGTCAGGAGTTCAAGATCACCCTGGCCAACATGGTGAAACCTTGTCTCTAGTAAAAATACAAAAATTAGCCGGGCATGGTGGTTGGCTCCTGTAATCCCAACTATTCAGGAGGCTGAGGCAGGAGAATCACTTGAACCTGGGAGGCAGAGGTTGCAGTGAGCCGAGATCACGCCACTGCCCTCCAGCCTGGACGATGGAGAAAGACTGTATCAAATAATAATAATAATAATAATAATAATAAATCTTGACAACTCTAGGGAACTCCTGTGAATCAAATCATGCAATGTTTTTGTCCCTTTTGCATCTGGCTTCTTTCACTTAGCATAATATTGCTCCACCTCATTTTTTGGCTCTCCCAGAATTTTTTTTTTTTTTTTTTTTTTTTTTTTGGAGACAAGAGTCTCGCTCTATCCCCCAGGCTGGAGTGCAGTGGCATGATCTCGGCTCACTGCAACCTCCGCCTTCCGGGTTCAAGCGATTGTCCTGCCTCAGCCTCCCAAATAGATGGGATCACAAATGTCTACCACCATGCCTGGCTAATTGTTATATTTTTAGTAGAGACGGGGTTTTGCCATGTTGGCCAGGCTGGTCTCTTAATTCCTGACTTCAAGTGACCCACCCACCTCAGCCTCCCAAGGTGCTGGGATTACAAGCGTGAGCTACTGCGCCCGGCCTCTCCAGGATTTCAAGTTAGGCGCCCTGCATTTTGGGCAGAGATTGAGATTGTGAATCTGTCTCCTGGCCATGCAGTATGTTTGTTTGTTTCACGTGAATTTATTGCCAAGTTTAAAAAGAAAAATCATAGAGGGACATAGCAACTGGCGTTTGCTCTCGCTCAGTTCCCCACTCATGAGTTCAAGCCTTGGCTCTGGCATGGTTTTTATGTTTTCTGTGGTATGAGCTGGCCACACCCTGGTCTGGGGATGCTGTTGGCCATGCCGATGACCGAGTGTCTCATGCAGCCGGCCCTGTCTATGTTACTCTTTGCCTATGTCCAGCATTTGGTCACCGTTCTGTACTAAAGTTGAATATTGCCTGTGGGCCTCAGGAAGTCACTGTATATGGCAAAAAAAAAAAATTTAAGGCTGGGCATAGTGGCTCATGCCTATAATCCCAGCTATGCGAGAGGCTGAGGTGGGAGGATCCCTTGCGCTCTGGAGTTCTAGAGCAGCCTGGACAATATAACAAGACCCTGTCACAAAGAAAAAAACCCCAACAACCTTTTTAGCCATTAAAGGGAATTCAAATTAATTGGTCTTCAGAGTTGGCGCCCCGGGGGACAGGAAGGGGAACCCCCGAGGAAATGCTGACACAGAAACCATGCATGGGCTGGGCGGTGCTGCTCCGGAGGTAATCCCAGCACTTTGGAAGGCGGATCACTTGAGCTCAGGAGTTCAAGACCAGCCTGGGCAATATAGTGAAACCCCATCTCTACAAACATTACAGAAAATTAGCTGGGCACAGTGGCATGCGCCTTTACTGCCTGCCGCTCAGGGGGCTGAGGCAGGAGAATCACTTGAATCCGGGAGGCACAGGTTACAGTGAGCCAAGATCGCATCTCTGCACTCAAGCTTCAGTGAAGGGAGTGAAACCCTGTCTTACAAAGCAGCCATATGTGGCCCAGGGGGACCTGAGTGGATTCCAAGACATTGGTGGCTACACAAAAAGGAAACTGGACTTTTATTCCACGCTGTTGGCTGGCAGTCCAGGACCTCAGCATCCAGGAAGTCACCTTTGTCCTCAGACCAACCTGGGTGGGTGTTTTTTGTTGTCTTTTGTTTTCTTTTGTTTCGTTTCGTTTTTTTAGTCAGGATGTGTTTTTTTTTTTTATTTTTTATTTTCAGGACAGTCTCTCTCTGTTACCCAGGCTGGAGTGCAGTGGTGTGATCTCTGCTCACTGCAACCTCTGCCTCCCGGGTTCAAGCAATTCTCCTGCCTCAGCCTCCTGAGTAGCTGGGATTACAGGCATCCCCCCACCACGCCCAGCTAATTTTTGTATATTTAGTAGAGATGGGGTTTCACCATGTTGGCCAGGCTGGTCTTGAACTCCTGACCTCGTGATCTGCCCGCCTCAGCCTCCTAAAGTACTGGGATTACAGGCATGAGCCACTGTGCCTGGCCACCAAGACGTGTTTTTATCTCTGATTTTTTTTTTTTTTTGAGAGGCAGGGTCTTGCTCTGTTGCCCAGGCTGGAGTGCATTGGCGTGATCTCTGCTCACTGCAACCTCCGCCTCCCGGGTTCAAGCAATTCTCCTGCCTCAGCATCCTGAGTGGCTGGAACGACAGGTGTGCACCACCACGCCCGGCTAATTTTTCTATTTTTAGTGGAGACGGGATTTCACCATGTTAGCCAGGCTGGTCTCGAACTTCTGATCTCAGGGGATTCGCCCGCCTCAGCCTCCCAAAGTGCTGGGATTACAGGCATGAGTCACCGTGCCCGGCCAAACCTTATTTTTAGCGATCACTCAGGCTCGAGCCAGGAATATGGGGCCACAGGGTTGTCCCTGTCCCTGACTAGCTGCTGGGCAGGCACCAAACTGGATTCTGCCACCTGCTCAAGGGGTTACCTTGGCAGCTCTGTGCCTCAGTTTCCTCATCTGTAATAATCCGATTTCCCTCCAAGGGGCAGGAAGACTGGATGTGGTAACACAAAAATCAGCCCTGTTACAGCTCCTGGCCCAGGGTGTATGACCCGCAGGGCTGTGGTGGTTTGGCTTTTATGACCAAGAGCAGACACTCATTTCCTGTCCCTCCAGGCCTCCCAGAAGTTCCTGCCGAATCGTCTTCGTCACCCCCGGGGTCCGAGGTAGCCTCCCTTACACAGCCTGAGAAGAGCACAGGCCGAGTGCCCACCCAGGAGCCCACCCACAGGGAGCCCACCAGGCAAGCAGCCTCCCAAGAGTCCGAGGAGGCCGGGGGCACCGGTAAGTGGTGGGTGGCCGCCAAGAGGGACGGGGCACCGGGATGGCGCCAGTTCGGAGTCTGGCCCTGAAGGACTCTCACAGCACCTCCGCTGTCCTCCCCTCCAGGCGGGCCCCCGGCAGGCGTGCGATCTATCATGAAACGGAAAGAGGAGGTTGCAGACCCCACGGCCCACCGGAGGAGCCTCCAGTTCGTGGGGGTCAACGGCGGGTGAGAGGAGAAGACCCCACCCCCCACCCCATACTTCCCGCCCCTCCTCCATTCATCCACGCACGAGAGCCTCCTAATTACCTCATTCTGAGCTCCTTGCTTTGGTTAATTCGTTTAATCAAACCACAACACAGAGATGAGGAAACTGAGGCATAGGAAGGCTAAGCGCATTTCTGGAGCTCACTCAGTGACCCAGGAGTCAGCCCTGCGTGCCCTGGCTCAAGAGCTCAAGGTGTAACCACTGCACAGCTCTACCCCACAGAAGGTGCCGGACGCCGCTTCCTGCCCTGATAGAGCTCCTGGTCCAGTGGGGAGCTGGGTGCTGATGGGTGGTTGGAGCCGTGATGGGGAACACTCAGGTGGTGCAGGTCCTCAAGAAAGACACAGGTGGCCCTAGGGGAGTCCCAGAAGGAGGAGACACAGGTGGTACGGGAGAAGTAGGAGCTAGCAAGGTGAAGAGAGGGTGTGGGGAGGGCTCTTCTGGCAGGGGCACAGCGTGGGTAAAGGCTCAGAGGTGGGAAAGCAGAGTGACACGAGAAGTGGGAGGTGCAGGGAGTGATGGTTGGTTTGGGGCCTTGAATGCCGAGCCTAGAAGCTTGATTAGGTTTTGTCCAGAGCCAGCAAGAAACACGAGAGAGCCCTATTTGCAGTGGAACAGGAGTCTGAATCACCTGTGTTAAAAGGGCTAGAAGTGGCCGGGCGCGGTGGCTCACATCTGTAATCCCAGCACTTTGGGAGGCTGAGGCGGGTGGATCACTTGAGTTCAGGAGTTCGAGACAAGCCTGGCCAACATGGTGAAACTCCATCTCTACTAAAAATACAAAAAATAGCTGGGTGTGGTGGGTGCCTGCAGTCCCAGCTACTTGGGAGGCTGAGGCAGGAGAATCGCTTGAACCCAGGAGACAGAGGTTGCAGTGAACTGAGATTACACCATTGCACTCTAGCCTGGGCGACAGAGCGAGACTCCGTCTCAAAAAAAAATGGCTAGAGGTGGCTGTGCGCAATGGCTCACACCTGTAAACCCAGTTCGAGATCAGCCTGGCCAACATGGCAACATGGCGAAACCCCGACTCTACTAAAAAATACAAAAATTAGCCGAGCACAGTGGTGCAAACCTGTAGTCCCAGGTATTTGGAAGGCTCAGGCAGAAGAATTGCTTGAACCCAGGAGGCAGAGTTTGCAGTGAGTGCCACTGTACTCCAGCCTGGGCAACAGAGCAAGACTCCATCTCAAAAAAAAAAAAAAAAAAAAGGAGGGTGAGTATGCTAGAAGTGTCAAAAGGCAGGAGGTGAAAAGCAGTGCCCCTCCCCCCGAGCATGATCATAATCACTGCTAATGTTTATTGAGCGCTTACTGTGTGCCAGTTGCTGTAAACCACATCCCACAACCCTGGAATGTCAATACTGCCATTGAACAGATGGGGAAGCTGAGGCCCACAGAGGTCAGATCACCAGATCCCTGCCTTCCTTTCCCACCATTTCTCATCCCACCTGCAGCATCTCCCCCTCCCCGCTCGTTCCTCCCCAGGTATGAGTCGTCATCCGAGGACTCCAGCACAGCAGAGAACATCTCAGACAACGACAGCACAGAGAACGAGGCCCCAGAGCCGAGGGAGAGGGTTCCGAGTGTGGCCGAAGCCCCCCAGCTCAGGCCTGCAGGGACGGCAGCGGCCAAGACCAGCCGGCAGGAGTGTCAGCTGTCTCGAGAATCTCAGCACATACCCACTGCTGAGGGGGCATCAGGATCAAACACGGAGGAGGAGATCAGGTCAGTTTTCTGGGTAGGAGGGATTCAGGCAGGGCCGGGGGTGGATGACCTCTGCCTCAAACCCCCACCGTTCAAGCCCTTTGAAGGACCCTCCTATCAGTCATGCACACTTTAGTCTGAATTAGCAAACGAGCACTTGCTCCTTCTGGGCATCTGAAGTTCTGGAGGCTTTGCTAAAGGGCCTGGTGGAACTATTTTGGGCTGCCGGGGTTAGGATTTAGGGGACCAGCCAAAGTTTATCCCAAAATCACCCACCTACTTTGGGACGTTTCCTCTACCTGTCTGTTCTATTTATGTCTCTTTTTTATTCCCCTGGTGAAAAAATTTGCCCTTGGGAAATATTTTCCATCTGCCAGTGGGCATTTGGAATAAACTTTGGCTTGTGTGTCCACTCTCCCTTGGGGGTCTGCATGTTCCCCACAGCTGCCCCTTGGGGTGCAATGTAAATGTGTGTCCCGGGTGAAGGAGGGTCTGAGATGCCACCATTCAGGTGACCCTATTGTGAGTGACGTGGTGCAGAATGTCAAGTCCCTTCCCAGGCACCGCAGCGGGGCTTACTTAGTTCCCCGCTTTGTCTGTTCCTGGCAGGATGGAGCTAAGCCCTGACCTCATCTCAGCCTGCTTGGCCCTGGAAAAGTACCTGGACAATCCCAACGCCCTCACAGAGCGGGAGCTGGTACGATCTGGCCCTGGGCCTAGGTTGGCCACCCCCCGGACCCCTACCTCCACCCCACCCGTGGCCTCTCCTCATCCTCAGTGACTTCCTGCTCCTGCCTAGTGGGGACCCTGACACTGAAGCCCAGAGCATGGGGGTGGTGGTGCTCAAGTCATGGGCCTCGGAGAGAGGCCAGGGAGATGGGGAGAGGCTGGAGGATGAACACTCACTGGCCAAGCCTGGCCTTGGGTTCCTGTTCTTCCTGGGGGCTTCAGGGGCGGGGCACCCAGATTTCCCTTTTTGGGCATCTACACTTGACTTTGGCGATTATAACCAGGGCTGGGCGCAGTGGCTCATGCCTGTCATCCTGGTGCTTTGGGAGGCCAAGGCAGGAGGATCGCTTGAGGCCAGGAGTTCAAGACCAGCCTGGGCAACATAGTGAGACCCCATTTCTACAAAAAAATTCTTTTTTTTTTTTTTTTTTTTTTTTTTTTTGAGAGGGAGTCTTGCTCTGTCACCCAGGCTGGAGTGCAGTGGTGCGATCTCAGCTCACTGTAACCTCTGCCTCCCAGGTTCAAGCAATTCTCCTGCCTCAACCTCCCAAGTAGCTGGGACTATAGGCATGTGCCACCACGTCTGGCTAATTTTTTGTATTTTGAGTAGAGATGGGGTTTCACCATGTTGGGCAGGATGGTCTCGAACTCGTGACCTCAAGTGATCCGCTCACCCTGGCCTCCCAAAGTGCTGGGATTACAGGCGTGAACCACTGCACTCAGCCTCTACAAATTGTTTTAAAAATTAGCTAGGCATAGTGGTGCACGCCTGTGGTCCCAGCTACTTGGGAGGCAGAGGCGGGAGGATAGCTTGAGCCTAGGAGGTTGAGGCTGCAGTGAGTCCTGATCATGTAACTGCACTCCAGCCTAGGCAACAGAGCGAGACTCTGTCTCACAAAAAAAAAAAAAAAAGAGAGAGAGAGAAATTATATCCAGGGTGGAGGTGCTCACACCTTCCTTGGGGAACGTGTTGGGGATTGCAAAGTCCACACCTCACTCCAAGGGTCTTATTGGGACAGAGATGTCTACACTTCCCTTTGGGAGGGTCTGCACTTCCCTTGAGATCGTTTTCCAGGACAAGGGCACCACGCTTTGCTCCGGGGGCGCATCTGGGGTGGGGGGTGTCCCAGTGGGCCTCCCCCGCCCTCACATCCTCTCCCACCTGACTCGCATGCAGAAAGTGGCCTACACCACAGTGCTGCAGGAGTGGCTGCGCCTGGCCTGCCGCAGCGACGCACACCCCGAGCTGGTGCGGCGGCACCTGGTCACGTTCCGGGCCATGTCTGCGCGGCTGCTGGACTACGTGGTCAACATCGCCGACAGCAACGGCAACACAGCCCTGCACTACTCCGTGTCTCATGCCAACTTCCCCGTGGTGCAGCAGCTGCTCGACAGCGGTGAGCCCAGCGGGGAGGACGAGGCGGCTCTAAACCAGCCAGCTGTCCGCCATGCCCAGTCTGATAGGGAAGACACTGCCCTCCCCATCTGATGGGGAAGATGATGGAGGAGACGCGGCCTTCTCAGTATAATAGAGGGAACACCTCTCTCCCAGTCTGATGTGGCAGATGCCACCTTCCGATTGGATGTGGAGGGACACCAGCCTTCCAGTTTGATAGAGGAGACGGCACCTTCCCAGTTCAATGGGGTGGGGTATATGGCCCTCCCAGTCTGATGGAGGAGATGCCGCCCTCCCAGTCTGATGGAGGAGATGCCACCCTCCCAGGCTGATGGAGGAGACACCTTCCCAGTTCATTGTGGTGGGGATGTGGCCCTCCTAGTCTGATGGAGGAGATGCTGCCTCCCCAGTCTGATGGGGGAAATGTGACTTTCCCAGTTTGATATGGGAGATGCCACCCTTCCAGTCTGATGGGGGGGGCACCACCCTCCCAGGCTGATGGAGGAGACACCACCTGCCTAGTTTAATGGAGGAGACATCATCTTCCCGGTTCATTGTTGGGGGAATGTGGCCCTCCCAGTCTGATAGAGGAGACGCTGTCTTCCCAGTCAAATGGCAGAGACACCACCCTCCTAGTCTAATGAGTGAGACACCACCTTCCCAGTCTAACGAGGGAGACATGACTCTCCTAGTCTGATAGCAGAGACTCTACCCTCCTGGTCTTATGGGGGAGATGCTGTCCTCCCAGTCTGATGGAGGAGACACTTCCTTCCCAGTCTGGTGGGGGAGGCACGGGCCCTACCTTTAGCCAGCATAATGGAAAAGGCAGAAGTGATGTTAGGGAAACGTGTGAACCTAACACGCCTGCATGATGGAGGTGACATCTCTGGAGCCCTGGTCTAAGAGAGGGATGCGTCCTCAAGTCTGGGGCTTGGAAAGAAGACGTGGTCCTCAGTTAGTAAGAAACTTGCCCTTCCCTCTCCTACTGGGGGAGACAGCCTCCCGGGCTGATGAAGGACTCAGGGCCCACAATCTGATGGGGGAGACATGGGCCAGTCTGAGGGTAAATGGCTGTTCCAAAATTAACAGGGGAGACCCAGTTTCTATTCTCAGCCCTAAATATAGATGCCAGCATCAGGGGCCCCAAATCTGATGGAGGAGGAACTGTCTCCAACTTTAGGAGCCCCAGGTCTAATGGAGATGGAGACCTCTAGGGCAGAGTGGGGTCCTCTGAGAAAAGGGAGGGATTAGGGCATGCCTAGACTGATGGACGAGACGTGGTATCCACGTTCCTTGGGGCAGTCCACTAGCAGCGATCCCTGGTCTGAGGGTTCACACCATGTCTCTTAGGTGTCTGCAAGGTGGACAAACAGAACCGTGCTGGCTACAGCCCTATTATGCTCACCGCCCTGGCCACCCTGAAGACCCAGGACGACATCGAGACTGTCCTTCAGCTCTTCCGGCTTGGCAACATCAATGCCAAAGCCAGCCAGGTATGGGGACCCCGGCTGCTGCAGATCCAGGTGGCTCTTCCTACTTTATGACATCCCAGCTGAGTGACAGGCCCAAACCCAGGTGGTCTAACTCCAGAGCCCTGCTCTTCATGGCCAGGCTGTCTCTGACACAGGACCTTCTTGTGGAAACTAGAAGGAGTAGAGGATATGAGGGTCCTTACCTTTCTTAATATGACCCCATCCCACATCCTGCTGGACAGTTCATTGAGCAGCAGCTGGGTTCCCTGGGCCGAAAACTGGGGACTGAAATGGCGAACAAGCAGGCATGGTCTCCTGAAGCTCACTAGCCCGTTCTTCAAGCCATAAGCATTTTAGGGAGCACCGGGACTCAAGCCAGTTTGGACTCAGGGCTGCAGGAAACCGCCAGGGGAATTTAGGCAGGGAAGTGGCGTGGCCTGATTCCTGGTTTGAGCGCTCCCTTCAGCTGTGTGTTGGGAAGCAGAAACAGGCACTGTGGAGGTGACTGGGGCTTATGAACAGGTGTCTGGGCAAAAGAGCAGGGAAGCCAGGACCCACTGAGGACAGTGAGGAGGAGAGGGATCGTCAACAGTCTGAAGACAGCAAAGGAACAAAATGGAGCTGTGACGGGGCATAACAGGCATGATCCTGCCTTATCTTTATTGATTTAATTTTGTTTTAATTTCCAAGAAATTTTTTTAGTGGCTTCATTTTCAAAAAATTAAGGCCAGGCGCCATGGCTCATGCCTATAATCCCAGCACTGTGGGAGGCTGAGGTGGGTGGATCACCTGAGGTCAGAAGTTCAAGACCAGCCTGACCAACATGGTGAAACCCTGCCTTTACTAAAAAATTAAAAAATTAGCTGGGCGTGGTGGCACGTGCCTATAATCCCAGCCACTCGGGAGGCTGAGGCAGGAGAATCGCTTGAACCTGGGAGGTGGAAGTTGCAGTGAGCTGAGATCGCACCACTGTCCTCCAGCCTGGGCTACAGAGTGAGACTCTGTCTCAAAAAAAAAAAAAAAAAATTAGCCGGGTGCGGTGGCTCATGCCTGTAATCCCAGCACTTTGGGAGGCCAAAGTGGGCAGATCACGAGGTCAGTAGTTTGAGACCAGCCTAATCAACATGGTGAAACCCCATCTCTACTAAAAAAAATATATAAAAATTAGCTGGGCATGGTGGCATGTGCCTGTAATCCCAGCTACTCAAGGCAGGAGAATCGCTTGAACCCAGGAGGCGGAGGTTGCAGTGAGCCGAGATCGCACCACTGCACTCCAGCCTGGGTGACAGAGTGAGACTCCATCTCAAAAAAAAAAAAATTAAGGTGAGGCTCACCAAGGTGGCTCATGCCTGTAACCCCAGCACTTTGAGAGAACAAAGCGGGATAAATTGCTTGAGGTCAGGAGTTCCAGACCAGCCTGGGGAACCTAGAGACACCCCCCCACCCCCACCTCCTCTCTATTAAAAAAAAAAAGAAGGTGAAATTCACAAAACATAAGATTAACTCCTTTATTTCTAACTTTTTATTTTATTTTATCTCTATTTTTTATTTTTTTGAGACAGGGTCTCACTGTGTCACCCAGGCTGGAGTGCAGTGGTGCAATCACAGCTGACTGCAGCCTTGACCTCCCATGCTCAAACAGTCCTCCAACCTCAGGCCACCAAGTAGCTGGGACTGCAAGCGTGCGGCACCATGCCCGGCTAATTTTTTTTTAGAGTTGGGGTTTTGCCAAGTTGTCCAGGCTGTATTTTATTAATTTTATTTTTTACTAGAGACATGGTCTCGCTATGTTGCCCAGACTGATCTCTAACTCCTGGGGTCAAGCAGTCCTCCCACCTCGGCCTCCCAAAGTGCCAGGATTACAGGCGTAAGCCACAGTGCCCAGAATTAACCCTTTTAGGCTGGGCACGATGGCTCACGCCTGTAAACCTAGGCGGGCGGATCACGAGGTGAAGAGATTGAGACCATCCTGGCCAACATGGTGAAACTCTGTCTCTACTAAAAATACAAAAATTAGCTGGGCGTAGTGGCACACGCCTGTAATCTCAGCTACTCAGGAGGCTGAGGCAGGAGAGTTGCTTGGACCCAGGAGGTGGAGGTTGCAGTGAGCCGAGATTGCGCCACTGCACTCCAGCCTGGTGACAGAGCGAGACGCCATCTCCAAAAAAAAATAATTAACCCTTTTAAAGGAACAATTAGCCTGGGCAACATGGCAAAACCCTATCTATACAAAAGATACAAAAATTAGCCAGGCATTGTGGCGCATGCCTGTAGTCTCAGCTACTCGGGAGGCTGAGGTGGGAGGATCACCTGAGCCTGGGGAGGTTGAGGCTGCAGTGAGCTGCGATCGTGCCACTGCACGCCAACCTGGGCAACAGAGCAAGACCCTGTCTCTAAAATAAAGCAAAACAAAACCAAAAGCACTACTGGCATGAAATACATTCACCCTGTTGTGCAACCAACACCTCCGTCTAGTTCCAGAACGTTCTCTTCACCCCCAAAGGAAACCTGTATCCATCATTTCCTCCGCCCCCGCTTCTCCCAGCCTCTGGCAACCACTCATCCGCTTTCTGTCTCTGTGGATTTATTACTCCCCTGGTGACGGGAGGGTTGTTTGAGATTCAGGAGGAGATCAGCAAGTTGAGGGTACATTTCACCATCAGAGTATGTGGGAGCTACAGCAGGTTCTAGACCAGGGGGTGTCCTGCCCTGGGGCCTGCATGAACCATAATCCTGTTCCTTGCCCTCCCCAGGCAGGACAGACGGCCCTGATGCTGGCCGTCAGCCACGGGCGGGTGGACGTTGTCAAAGCCCTGCTGGCCTGTGAGGCAGATGTCAACGTGCAAGATGATGACGGCTCCACGGCCCTCATGTGCGCCTGTGAGCACGGCCACAAGGAGATCGCGGGGCTGCTGCTGGCCGTGCCCAGCTGTGACATCTCACTCACAGATCGCGTGAGTCTCCAACCAGGTGCACCCCGGGGAGGGCGGGAGCACAGCATGGGGACGTCATTCATAGCACCGGATACTTTGCAGGATGGGAGCACAGCTCTGATGGTGGCCTTGGACGCAGGGCAGAGTGAGATTGCGTCCATGCTGTATTCCCGCATGAACATCAAGTGCTCGGTGAGTCTCAATCCGGCCGGGTAGGCACGGGATGGGTGGGTCTCTGAAAGGACAGAGATTTGTTGTTTTTGTTTTTGAGGCAGAGTCTCACTCTGTCGCCCAGGGTGGAGTGCGGTGGCACGATCTGGGCTCATTGCAACCTCCGCCTCCCGGCTTCAAGCCATTCTGCTGCCTCAGCCTCCTGAGTAGCTGGGATAACAGGTGTGCACCACCACACCCGGCTAATTTTTGTATTTTTAGTAGAGACGGGGTTTCACCATGATGGTCAGGCTGGTCTCAAACTCCTGACCTCGTGATCCACCTGCCTTAGCCTCCCAAAGTGCTGGGATTACAGGTATGAGCCACCATGCCTGGTCTTGTTTTTGTTTTCAGACTGGGTCTTACTCTGTCACCAAGGCTGGAGTGCAGTGGCACAATTAAAGCTCACTGCAAACTCCACTTCCTGGGCTCAAGTGATCCTTTCACCTCAGCCTCCTGAGTAGTTGGGACTACAGGCGCACGTCACCACACCTGGCTGAGTTTTTTTTGTTTTGTTTTTTGAGACAAAGTCTTGTTCTATCACCCAGGCTGGAGTACAGTGGCACAATCTTGGCTCACTGTAACCTGTATCTCCCAGGTTCGAGCAATTCTCCTGCCTCAGTCTCCAAAGTAGCTGGGATTACAGGTGCACACCACCATGCCCGGCTAATTTTTGTATTTTTAGTAGAGATGGGATTTCACTGTGTTGGCCAGGCTGGTCTTGAACTCCTGAGCTCAAGTGATCTGCCCGCCTCTGCCTCCCAAAGTGCTGGGATTACAGGCGTGAGCCACTGCACCCGGACATTTTTTAACATCTTTTGTAGAGACTGGGTCTCACTATGTTGCCCAGGCTGGTCTTGAATACCTGAGCTTAAGCCATGCTTCCTCTTCTGCCTCTGAAAGCGCTGGGATTACAGGGGTCAGCCACTGTGCCTGGCCAGAGGAGACGGATGTTTATGAAGAGCTGATTGTGCATGGGGTTCACGCTAAGGATAAAGTCAGAATATGGTCAGCTGCTTGCTGAACCTTCATAGTGCCCCAGTGAGGAAATTAGTCACAGAGAGGCTGCATGGTCATGGTTGGCATAACAGTATTCACGCCTGGGTCTGTCTGGTTCCAAATGCGTGTCTTAGTCACCATTCACTCATTTGAAAAATATTTATTGAGCGCCTGCTGCATGTTAGGCCCAGTTCTAGGTAGTCCCCAGTGGTCACAGCACTGATCAAAACAGAAAACAGTATCCACCCTTATGGAGTGAGCATTCTGGTAAGAGACACAATCAGGCTGGGCGCGGTGGCTCACGTCTGTAATCCCAGCACCTTGTGGGGCCGAGATGGAAGGATTGCTTGAACCCAAGAGTTCGAGACCAGCCTGGGCAACATAGGGAGATCCTGTCTCCCCCAAAAATACAGGTGCATGCCTGTACTCCCAGCTACTCGGGAGGCTGAGGCAGGAGGATCACCTGAACCCAGGAATTTGAGGCTGCAGTGAGCCATGGTTGCATCACTACATGGTGACAGAGTGCCGCCTTGTCTGGGAAAAAAAAAAAGAAAGAGGCCAGGCGTGGTGGCTCATGCCTGTAATCCCAGCACTTTGGGAGGCCAAGGTGGGCGGATGATTTGAGATAAGGGGTTCAAGACCAGGCTGGCCAACATGGTGAAACTCCATCTGTACTAAAAAAACAAAATATTAGCCGGGTGTGGTGGCGCATGCCTTTAATCTCAGCTATTCTGGAGGCTTAGGCGGGAGAATCACTTGAACCCAGGAGGTGGAGGTTGCAGTGAGCCAGAGATCATGACATTGGGCAACAAGAGCAAAACTCTGTCTCAAAGAAAAAAAAAAAAAAAAAAAAACAAGGACGTGGGATGGCGAGTGATGGGGAAGCTATTGGAGTCCCTCAGAGAAGAGATGACATTTGAGTCAACACCTGGAGAAGTTAGGGAGTGAATCACATGGTCTTCCGGGCAGCAGGAACAAGCAGTGCAAAGGCCCTGAGGCAGGGGTGTGTCTGACGTGTTTAAGGAGCATTCAGGCCAGACTCACTGGTTCACGCCTGTAATCCCAGCACTTTGGGATGCCATGGCGGGCAGATCACCTGAGGTCAGGAGTTCGAGACCAGCCTGGCCAACATGGTGAAGCCCTGTCTCTACTAAAAATACAAAAATTAGCTGGGTGTGGTGGTGGGCACCTGTAATCCCAGATACTCGGGAGGCTGAGGCATGAGAATTGCTTGAACCTGGGAGGCAGAGGTTGCAGTGAGCTGAGATCGCGCCACTGCACTCCAGCCTGGGTGACAGAGTGAGATTCCGCCTCAAAAAAAAAAAAAAATTAGCTGGGCCTGGTGGTGCATGCCTATAGTCCCAGCTACTCGGGAGGCTAAGGCAGGAGGATTGCTTGAGCCCAGATAGTCAAGGCTACTGTGAGCTATGATTGGACCACTATACTCCAGCCTGGCAACAGAGCAAGACCCTGTCTTTAAGCAAAAAAAAATCTAGGCCGGGCACGGTGGCTCACGCCTGTAATCTCAACACTTTGGGAGGCCAAGATGGGCGGATCACCTGAGGTCAGGAGTTTGAGACCAGACTGACCAACATGGAGAAACCCCATCTCTACTAAAAACGCAAAATTAGCCGGGCGTGGTGGCGCCTGCCTGTAATCCCAGCTACTAAGGAGGCTGAGGCAGGAGAATCACTTGAACCCAGGAGGCAGAGGTTGCAGTGAGCTGAGATCATGCCATTGCACTCCAGCCTAGGCAACAAGAGTGAAACTCTGTCTCAAAAAAAAGAAAAGAAAAAGCCAGGGTCCTCTCCAAAGCCCACCAGGCCCTGCACAACCACCCTCACCTTCCCCACTACTGTTTCTCTCCCCCTCTAGCCACACTGGCCTTATTGCCACACCCCTCTGCACTTATCCCAGGGCCTTTGCACGTGCTGTTTCCGCTGCCTGGAATGCTCTTCCCTGCTCGCTGGCTCCTTGATGCCGTTCACAGTCAGCTGAGAACTCACCCTCCCTGACCAGCCACTGTCCACCCTCATTCCTTTGCATCCCTCACCCCCGGTGAACATCCTCAACCACAGTCATGAGTTTGCTTCTTCAAGGCGGTGCCCCCAGATCGCCACCTCCTTGGGGCCAGGGGCCACGCCTCCCTCCTGCTTACCCATCATATCTACCAGGCCAGCCACCACGTTGGCGCCTCGGGGGATTGGAAAGGATCCCAAACAAAAAGAATTCTGCTTCTCTGTTTCAGTTTGCCCCAATGTCAGATGACGAGAGCCCTACATCATCCTCGGCAGAAGAGTAGCCGTGAGGGAGGCGGGGACCAGCCAGACCGGGAGCAAACCGTCCCTTGTCCCCGTCTCCTCCCTGTTCCCGTTCCTCCCTGGCCCACCCCACTCACACTCCCCAAGGCCCACGGCTCAAAGGCAAGCGAGCTCTCCCTCTGCTTCCCTGGGGGAGCCCCGACGGCCACAGGACTCCAGCTCCAAGTGGGTTTTCTTGGCTCCCCTGTTCAAAGTGGCCACAGCGCAGACCGAAGCAAAATTCTTGTATACATTGGCGCCAGGGCTGATGCTGGGGTGTGGGTTTTATGAAGAACATTGAGAACAATCAGCTGGTAATTATGGATGGAGGAAGAGGGAGAGGAAAAAAATATTGTATTTTTGAATCATTGTTGCAGGAGGGGGTGGGAATCTTAGGATTTGTTGCCAGATTTGAAAGTCACTGGAACTTGCATATTTTCATTTTAATCCTAAGTGTTATTACGCACCAGTTGGGGTTCACCCTTCATCCCCCACATTTAATTGTCTGATATAGAATAGTGTTGTGTCCACTGCCCCGCTAGACGGCTTTCTTAGGGGAATTTTCTTCTGGTTGTTTCACAAGACAGATTCTGTCCTTGTCACCCGGGACAGAAAACTCAGTCTTTTCACCCTCATTCAGATGAAGGGACTCAGGACAGGCTCTGTGACTTACAGGGACCCAATCAATTCACAATGAGAAATTACCGGCCAGGCGTGGTGACTCACGTCTGTAATCCCAGCACTTTGGGAGGGCAAGGCAAGAGCTTGAGCTTGAGCCTAGACGTTAAAGACCAGCCTGGGCAACACAGCAAGACCCATCTCTACAAGAAATTTAAAAACTAGCCAGGCGTGGTGGTGCGCGCCTGTAGTCCCAGCTACTTGGGAGGCTGAGCCCTGGAGGTCGAGGCTACAGTGAGCTATGATCACACCATTGCACTTCAGCCTGGGCGACACAGCGAGACCCTGTCTCAAGAAAGAAAAGAAAAAGAGACAAATTACCCAGAAACCCCTCCCTTCCCCACATGGAGGCCTTGGCAAATGTTAATTTTCCTAGAAAATCCTTCAGACCTGAAGACGCAGGAAAAGAATCTGGCTCTCAGGGTGGCTTCTGCGTCCCCGCCGCCAGGCCCCAGACTATGGTCACAGGGCCGTCCTGTTCCTCCCCGGGACTCCAGAATTTCTCTCCTCAAAGGAAAGAAAACAGGGCATGCGCTTGTTGGCAAAACGCAGGGCCGGCTCCCAAAAACCCCATGTGTGTACGATTAAAAGTTGGCCGTCCCCAGGCCTCCCAGCGCAAACTTCAAGAGACAGGGCTTTGCTGAAAACCAAACATGGGCCAGCTGGGCTTTTTAACAACCTAGAGACTTTCCGGAGCTGCCTGGAACAGAGCCTGCGGGAAACGGGGCTTGCCAGAGACACTCACAGTTTCCTTCATGGCCTGTTTTGGTCCCCTAAGAATCTCCACATCATTGTCTTTCTTGTGCCTTTTCCTTGGTGAGCAACAGAAAGGGAAGGGTTCCAAGCCTCTAAAAATGTGCTTTGTGATCAGGAGTGCGCTCCAAACCAAATACGCGCGCTGCCCTTTCGAGGCCAGTGAGCTCAGCCTCCAAGGCTTTAAAGCCACATTTCAGCAAGAGAAAGCGCTGAGAGCTCGCAGGTTCATTAAAGAAGGCAAAGCACTGGTTTCTCTCCTTAGAAAAGTAGGTTTCTTGGCTTGATGTAGACTGGCTTGCTTTGATTTTTAGTGAAGGGAATGTACGTAAAACAAAATAGGGCTTGGCTGGTCAAAGGAGACAAGCAGGATGGATGGATGGATGGATGGATGGATGGATGGATGGATGGATGGATGAATAGATAGATGGTGTTTGCATGTAAATTGCAGAGAAAACAAAACCAAAGCTGATTGGAAACAATTAATTGTGGGTGTCTGAGGGGGAAGGTCGCAGCTTTGGGCAGCTTTGAGAAGCGGTACAAGAGTTCTGTGCCTGTGTGTCCAGCCCTGGAGCCAGCCAGTGCATTTATTTTAAGCTCTTAGAAGCAACTCCTTGGCCCAGGAATGCGTGACCCCTGAGATGGGTCCACGCATCTCTCTACACTTCCTTCTCTCCGTGGGATACTGGACTCGTGCCTCTGCGCCCATTCTCTTCTCACGCATATCCATGAGCTTTAATTTCACTTTCTGATCACGGTACGTCCATAAAGCCAGTATTACACTTAAATGAAGTATTCTTTTTTGTAATCGTTTTTTTTAGAAGGTAAACAAATTTAATAAAGCTACCAATAATGTTGATGATTCTGTGTCTTTTCTTTTTTCGCTGTGCTCCCTTTTAAGCTTTAAGATAGATATCTTTCCTTTTTTTTTTCTTTTTTCTTTTTTTGAGACGGAGTTTTGCTTCTCGTCACCCAGGCTGGAGTGCAGTGGCGCGATCTTGGCTCAGTGCAACCTCTGCCTCCTGGATTCAAGTGATTCTACTGCCTCGATTCTCCCAAGTAGCTGGGACTACAGGTGCCCACCACACTCGGCTAATTTTGTATTTTTGGTAGAGACGGGGGTTTCGCTATGTTGGTCAGGCTGGTCTCAAACTCCTGACCTCAGATGATCCACGCGCCTCAGCCTCCCAAAGTGCTGGGATTACAGGTGTGAGCCACCACTTTTTGTTTTTGGAGAGTCTCACTCTGTCTCCCAGGTTGGAGTGCAGTGGTGCGAATCATAGCTCACTGCAGTCTCTACCTCCAGGGTTCAAGCGATCCTCCCACCTCAACCTCCCGACTAGCTGGGACCACAGGCTGCGCCACCACCCCTGACTTTTTGTTGTTGTTGTTGTTGTTGATACGGAGTCTCCCTCTGTCTCCCAGGCTGGAGTGCAGTGGTGTGATTTAGGCTCACCGAAACCTCCGCCTCCTGGACTTAGGCAATTCTCCTGCCTCGGCCTCCCAAATAGCTTGGATTAGAGGCACCCACCACCACACCCAGCTAATTTTTGTATTTTTAGTAGAGATGGGTTTTCACTATGTTGGTCAGGCCAGTCTTGAACTCCCGACCTTGATCAAGTGATCCACCCGCCTCGACCTCCCAAAGTGCTGGGATTACAGGCGTGAGCCACTGCGCCTGGACTAATTTTTAAATTTTTTGTAGAAACGGGGTTTTGCTATGTTGCCCAAGCCACTCTCCCACCTCGGCCTCCCAAAGTGCTGGGATTACACACGTGAGCTGCTGCAAATCTCTTTTTCAAAATGGACTTATTTTGGAGAGTGTTCAAAGCTACAGAACAGTTGCAAGAATATCACAGTAAACACCTTCATGCTCTGTCCTAGACCAGCACCCAACAATAGTGTAGCCGCTAGCTACATGTGGCTATTTTCATTTAAAAGTACATGAGGCCGGGCGCGGTGGCTCGCGCCCGTAATCCCAGCACTTTGGGAGGCTGAGGCAGGTGGATCACCTGAGGTCAGGAATTCAAGACCAGCCTGGGCAACATCGTGAAACCCTGTCTCTACTAAAAATACAAAAAATTAGCTGGGCATGGTAGCGGGCATCTGTAGTCCCAGCTACTCGGGAGGCTGAGGCCAGAGAATCACTTGAACCCAGGAGGCGGGGGTTTCAGGGAGCTGAGATTGCCCCACTGCACTCCAGCCTGGGTGACAGAGCAAGACTCCATCTATAAATGAATGAATGAATTAATTAATTATAATTAGCAGGCTTGGTGGCTTGTGCCTGTAGTCCCAAGCTACTCAGGAGGCTGAGGCGGGTGGGAGGATCACTCGAGGCCAGGAGTTCGAGGCTGCAGTGAGCTATGATTGTCCCACTGCACTCCAGCCTTGGTGACAGAGTGAGACCTTGTTTCTAAAAAAAAAAAAAAAAATCTTAAGTAAATGAATTATGCCTGGCGCGGTGGCTCACGCCTATAATCCCAACACTTTGAGAGGCTGAGGCAGGTGGATCATTTATGTTTGAGGCCAGCCTGGCCAACATGGTGAAACCACATCTCTACTAAAAATAGAAAAAAATTAGCTGGGCATGGTGGTGCATGCCTGTAATCCCAGCTACTGGGGAGGCTGAGGCATGAGAATCACTTGAACATGGAAAACGGAGGTTGCGGTGAGCTAAGATTGCAGCACCGTACCCCAGCCTGGGCGACAGTGAGGCTCCAACTCAAAAATAAGTAAATAAATAAAGTCAATGAATTATAATTAGTTCTCGATAGCTTTACGTGGTTGGTGGCTACTGTATTGACTTGCAGAGATACTGAATATTGCCATCGTACAAAGTTTTGTTGAACACCTGCTGTGAACACCTCAGGAAAAAAAAATCAATCTTTTTCTTTCTTTTCTTTTCTTTTTTTTTTTTGAGACAGGGTCTCACTCTGTTGCCCACCAGGGTAGAGTGCAGTGGTGCGATCATAGCTCACTGCAGCCTCAACCTCCGGGGCTCAAGCAATCTTCCCACTTCAGCCTCCAGAGTGGCTGGGACTACAAGTGTGTGCCACCATGCCTGGCTAATTTTTTTTATTTTTTGTATAGACGGAGTCTCTCTATGCTGCCCAGGCTGGCCTCAAACTTCTGGGCTCAAGCGATCTCCCCACCTCAGCCTCCCAATGTGCTGGGATCGTAGGCATGAACTACTATGCCTGGCCTAAAACTTGGCTCTTCGGTGACTTTTGTATTCTAATGCCAAATAATTTATAGCGATTTATTATAAAAGTCAAAATTCAGCCGGGCACAGTGGCTAACCCCTGTAATCCCAGGACTTTGGGAGGTCAAGGTGGGCATCACCTGAGGTCAGAAGTTTGAGACCAGCCTGATCAATACGGTGAAACCCTGCCTCTACTAAAAATACAAAAATTAGCCAGGTGCATTTGCACACGCCTGTAATCCCAGCTACTCAGGAGGCTGAGGCATGAGAATCGCTTGAACCTGGGAGGCACAGGTTGCAGTGAGCCGAGATTGTGCCACTGTGCTCCAGCCTGGGCAACAGGGAGACTCCGTCTCAAAAAAAAAAGTTAAAATTCGAGCCGGGTGCAGTGGTTCACGCCTGTAATCCCAGCACTTTGGGAGGCCAAGGCGGGTGGATCACCTGAGGTCGGGAGTTCGAGACTAGCCTGACCAACATGGCGAAACCCTGTCTCTGGCCGGGCGTGGTGGCTCACGCCTGTAATCCCAGCACTTTGGGAGGTCAAGGCGGGTGGATCACGAGGTCAAGAGATCGAGACCATCCTGGCCAACATGGTGAAACCCCATCTCTACTAATAAATACAAAAAATTAGCTGGGTGTGGTGGCGTGTGTCTGTAGTCCCAGCTACTCGGGAGGCTGAGGCAGAAGAATGGCGTGAACCCGGGAGGCAGAGTTTGCAGTGAGCCAAGATCGCACCACTGCACTCCAGCCTGGGTGACAGAGTGAGACTCCGTCTCAAAAAACAAAAAAAAGGCCAGGAGTGGTGGCTCACGCCTGTAATCCTAGCGCTTTGGGAGGCCAAGGCGGGCACATCACGAGGTCAGGAGCTCGAGATCATCCTGACTAGCACGGTGAAACCCCATCTCTACTTAAAAAAATACAAAAAATTAGCCAGGCGTGGTGGTGGGCACCTGTAGTCCCAGCTACTGGGAGGCTGAGGCAGGAAAATGACGTGAACCCGGGAGGCGGAGCTTGCGGTGAGCCGAGATCGCACCACTGCACTCCAGCCTGAGCGACAGAGTGAGACTCCATCTCAAAAAGAAAAAAATAAACCTTGTCTTTACTAAAAATACAAAATTAGCCGGGTGTGCTGGCACACCCCTGTAATCCCAGCTACTCAGGAGGCTGAGGCAGGAGAATTGCTTGAACCTGGAAGGTGGAGGTTGTGGTGAGCCGAGATCACGCCATTGCACTCCAGCCTAGGCAACAAGAGAGAAACTCCATCTAAAAATAAAAATAAAAATTCAAACAATACAGCAGTGTTTAGTCCTTGCAGCATGCCATAATCCCACTTGGTAGGAATACCATTGTCAACAGTTTGGAGCATCTCCTACCAAATCTTTTTCTAATATATTTGGTCTTAATTTTTTTTTACAGTTCTTTTTTCTTCAGGTATAAAATGAATACATTCTGTGCACAAATGGTGCACAAAAGTGTACAGTTCCTTCCATGGCTTTTTTGCAAACGGCACCCCCAAGTTGCCGGCACCAGAACTGGAAAAGGAATATCATTGGCCCTAGCAGCCCACGGGCCCCTCCCCTCAGATCTCCCAGCGGTAATCATATCTCCTGACTTCTCATTTCCTCTGTTTATCCACTAGGCTGTTCAGTCAGGAGATAACAGAAGGTTTTTGGAAGACCCAGAAATGTTATGCTAAGGAGTGTATTTCTAGGCAGAAGGTCCATTACTCGTGTCAGTTTCCTCTGGCTTTGTGAGCCAAGAAGGGTTCTTAGGAAATAAACTTTCTCACAAAGCCATTGCCAGGACCATTTGTCATTATCTTTACTTCTCTTGTTCAGCTCACCTTTAAGACCTATTCCCGCCATCACACAGTTTCTTGCTTTGCTTTTTTTTTTTAGTATATTTTTAATTTTAATTGTGGTAAAATATACATGACATAAAATGTACGACTTTAACCATTTTAAAGTGCAGAGTTCAACGGCATTAAGCACATTCCCACTGTTGTGCAACCAGCACTACCATCCATCTCCAGAACATTCTCAGTTTGCAAAACTGAAACTCTGTCCCCATGAAACACTCACTCCCCATACCCCTCCCCAGCCCCCGGGACCCACCATTCTACGTTCTGTTTTTATGAATCTGACGACTCTAGGGACCTCCTCTAAGTGGAATCACGCAGTGTTTGTCTTTTTGTATCTGGCTTATTTCACTGAACATGTCTTCATCCACCTCGTGGCATGTGTCAGAATTTCCTTTCTTTTTTTGCGGGGTGGGGATGGAGTTTTGCTCCTTGTCGCCCAGGCTGGAGTGCAGTGGCGCCATCTCATCTCACTGCAACCTCCGCCTCCCGGGTTCAAGTGATTCTCCTGCCTCAGCCTCCCATGTAGCAGGGATTACAGGTGTGCACCATCATGCCTGGCTAATTTTTGTATTTTTAGTAGAGACGGGGTTTTGCCATGTTGGCCAGGCTGTTCTTGAACTCCTGACCTCAGGCGATCTGCCTGCCTCAGCCTACCAGAGTGCTGGGATTACAGGCGTGAGCCACTGGACCTGGTCAGCATTTCCTTCCTTTTTTTTTTTTGAGACAGAGTATCACTCTGTCACCAGGCTGGAGTGCAGCGGTGCGATCTCGACTCATTGCACCTTCCACCTCCCAGGTTCAAGCGATTCTCCTGCCTCAGCCTCCCAAGTAGCTGGGACTACAGGCACGTGCCACCAGGCCCAGCTAATTTTTGTATTTTTAGTAGAGACGGGGTTTCACCATGTTGGCCGGGATGGTCTCAATCTCTTGACCTCGTGATCCGCCCGCCTTGGCCTCCCAAAGTGCCAGGATTACAGGCGTGAGCCACCGCACCTGGCCTCCTTCCTTTTTAAGGCTGAATAATCTTCTGTCCTATGGGCCAGACATGGTAGACACGGTGACTCATACCTGTAATGCCAGCATTTTGGGAGGCTGAGGCAAGAGGATCATTTGAGCCCAGGAGTTGGAGACCAGCCTAGGCAATACAATGAGACCCCTGTCTCTAGGAAAAAAAAAATAATTAGCTGGGTGTAGTGGCATGTGCCTGTAGTCCCAGCTACTTGGGAGGCTAAAGTTGGAGGATTGCTTGAGCCCAGGAGGTTGAGTGAGCCATGATTGCGTCTCTGCACTCCAGCCTGGCAGAGAGATCCTGTCTCATAAAAAAAAAAAGGAAAAAGAAAAAAAAATTGTGTCCGGGCATGGTGGCTCAAAAAAAAAAAAATTGCGTTGTACAGATGAACCAAAAAAAAACAATTGTGTTGTAGAGATGAACCACGTTTTATTAATTCTTCTATCTAAGGACACTTGTGCTGTTTCCACCCTTTCGCTATAATGGGTGCTATGAACATAGACTTGCAAATATCTGCTCTATGACTTGCTTTCTTTCTCTTTCTTTCTTTCTTTTTTTTTTCTTTTTTTTTTTTGAGACGGAGTTTCCCTTTTGTTGCCCAGGCTGGAGTGCAATGGCGTGATCTCAGCTCACCGCAACCTCCGCCTCCCATGTTCAAGCGATTCTCCTGCCTCAGCCTCCCTAGTAGCTGGGATTACAGGCATGCGCCACCACGCCTGGCTAATTTTGTATTTTTAGTAGAGACGGGGTTTGTCCATGTTGGTCAGGCTGGTCTCGAACTCCCGACCTCAGGTGATCCGCCCGCCCCGGCCTCCCAAAGTGCTGGGATTACAGGCATGAGCCACTGCGCCCGGCCCAACAACCTGCTTTCAATTCTTTTGGGGCTATACCCAGAAGTGGAATTGCTGATATGGTAATACTATTTTTAATTTTTTGAGGAACTGCCATACTGTTTCCCGCAGCAGCTGCACCATTTTACATTCTCAGCAAGGGTACACAGCATTCCAATTTCTCTACATCTTGGTCAACACTTGTTATTTTCCAGGTTGCTTGGCTGGTTGGTTGGTTTTGGACAGTAGCCATCCTAATGGCTGGGAAGCGGTTCTCGCTTTGCTTTTTTGGAAGGGAGGTGGGCGGGTGGCATTTTTCCACAGGAGCCTTTAGATCTATCAGGCTCGAGTTGCACAATCTTGCCTGGCTTATCTCTGGGACACCTCCTGGCAGCTAATAAGAAAGGGCTATCTTTAGCCACTATGGCTTAGAAAGGTTAGGAACCTGCCAAGGTCACAGGTAAGCTGCAGCATCAGAAAGTGAACCTGAAGTCTTTTCCCCTCTTGATTTCACTCTGCCTAATTGTTATTCACTGCCTTTAGGCACAAAGAAGTGAGGTCTATGCCAACATTACACAGCTGGTTCAAGAAGCCATGCTCTCAGGCACCAAAGGGTGACACACACCTGTAGTCCCGGCTACTTGGAAGGTTGAAATGAAAGGATCACCTGAGCCACTGCACTTCAGCCTGGGGGACAGAACAAGACCCCATCTCAAAAAAAAAAAAAAAAAAGAAGGAAGAAAAGAAGGCCGGGCACAGTGGCTTACGCCTGTAATCCCAGCACTTTGGGAGGCCGAGGCAGGTGGATCACCTGAGGTCGGGAGTTCAAGACCAGCCTGACCAACATGGAGAAACCCCGTCTCTACTAAAAATACAAAATTAGCTGGGCATGGTGACGCATGCCTGTAATCCCAGCTACTCGGGAGGCTGAGGCAGGAGAATCACTTGAACCTGGGAGGTGGTGGTTGCAGTGAGCTGAGATCGCGCCATTGCACTCCAGCCTGGGCAACAACAGCGAAACTCTGTCTCAAGAAAAAAAAAAAAGAAAAGAAAAGAAAAGAAAAAAAAATCATAGGAAAGCAATGAGATGTTCTTTAGGTGGTAGCACACATAAAAATGTTGCCACGCCAGGCGCGGTGGCTCACGCCTATAATCCCAGCACTTTGGGAGCCTGAGGCAGGCAGATCACGAGGTCAGGAGTTCAAGACCAACCTGGCCAACATAATGAAACCCCGTTTCTACTAAAAATACAAAAAATCAGCTGGGTGCGGTGGCGGGCACCTGTAATCCCAGCTACTCGGGAGGCTGATGCAGGAGAATGCCTTGAACCCAGGAAGCAGGCTGGAATGCCTTGCACTCCAGCCTGGGCAACAGAGTGAGACTCTGTCTTAAAAAAAAAGAGAGAGAAAGAAAAAAAGATGCCATCTTAACATCTTGTTTCTTGCAGAAATACCAGTGTCTAGCATGGAACCAGCACCTTAGAGTCAGCACTGATCTTTTCTTTGTTTTGTTTTGTTTTGAGACAGGCTAGTCTCAAACTCCAGGGCTCAAGCGATCCTCCTGTCTTAGCCTTCCAAAGAGCTCAGACTTACAGGCGTGAGCCACTGCACCCAGCTACATGCTAGGATTCTATGTATGTTTCATTAAACAACTATATAGCACCTACTGAATAGGAGACACTATCACGCCAGGCTGGGCTCGGTGGCTCACGCCTGTAATCCCAGCACTTTGGGAGGCGGAGGCAGGAGGATTGCTGGAGGCCAGGAGGTCGAAGTTGCAATGAGCTATGATTGTGGCACTGCACTTCAGCCTGGGTGACAGAGCAATACCTTGTCTCTAAAAAAAAAGTAATAAGAAGAATTCTCACGCCAACGCTGACACAGGCACTAGTATGACCCTCATTTTACTAAGGAGGAAAGTACCGCACAGAGAGGTGAAGTCTGTCCAGGGTAACACAGCTAGTAAGTGGCAACGCTGGGATTCGAACCCAGTAAATCTGGCTGCAGACGCCATTTTGCTATGCAGCCTCTCATAGAATCTACTTATTCTCTATGCTTATTGTGTATCCCACGCACACACTGTAGGATGTAAGTTCCAGGAGAAGCTGCTCGCTGCTTTGCCGTTAGAACCCCACCCTGCACAGAGCAAGCGCTCGACCTATGGAGAAATAAACAGCCGCTTTCTCTCCCGCGCAGGCGCATCGGGAAGGATAACGGAGCCTCCCCCTTCCTGCGCCGATTGGTCATCACCGATGACTGACGGAGGAGTGGTCGCAGGCGCACCAGGCCAGACCAAAGGCGGCTTAGCCCAGTCTAAGATCCTGTTCCCCATGCCTATTGGCCATTGCTTATGACTGACGTATCAAAAAATCCAATGGAAAGCAACCTCTTCTGGAAGAGGGCGGGCCCCGCGGACAGTCAAATTTGCGCGGGTTGGAGCCTGGCGTAGTCATGGCCGCCTTCCGCGACATAGAGGAGGTGAGCCAGGGGCTGCTCAGCCTGCTGGGCGCCAACCGCGCGGAGGCGCAGCAGCGACGGCTGCTGGGGCGCCACGAGCAGGTGGTGGAGCGGCTGCTGGAAACGCAAGACGGTGCCGAGAAGCAGCTGCGAGGTGAGGGTCGGAGCGTGGTCGCGGGCCCACGGGGGAAGGGGCCCGGGTGCTGGGAGGGGGCGACCAGGCCCACCTCAAAACCCCTTCTCTCCTGGACTCTCCCATCTCCTGCCCTATGCCCCCTGGGACGGCCCCCTCTGAGCCTTAGTTTCACCATCTGAGAAATCGGCTTTATGACAGCAACCATCCCCCACCCCCCAGGGGTTTAGTGGTAAATATAGGAGTCTGGAGGGGTTGGCCCCTTCTGAGCTCTCCGTGAGCAGGAGCTGGGGGTCTCAGGGTTTGAACTGGGGCTCAGGAGTCAAAGCTCCGGGTTTGAATCCTAGCACCCATCCCCATGTCCGCTGTGAGACTTGAGGTGAGTTTCTTAAATTCTCTGTGCCTCAGCTTCCTTCCTTGTCAAATGGTTGTGACAATAGCCCATCCCTTCTTCCTGAAGGCATTCAGATGTTTTATGGAGCATCTGCTGCTGCCAGGCCCTGGGCTCACCGCAACCTCCACCTCCCGGGTTCAAGCTATTCTCCTGCCTCAGCCTCCTGAGTAGCTGGGATTACAGGCGCTTGCCACCGCACTCGGCTAATTTTTGTATTTTTGGTAGAGACGGGGGGTCACCACGTTGGCCAGGCTGGTCTCAAACTCCTGACCTCAGGTAATCTGCCTGCCTCAGCCTCCCAAAGTACTGGGACTGCAGACGTGAGCCACTGTGTCCGGCCCATCTTCACTATCTGTAACTGCACAGTTCAGTGGCCTTAAGCACATTCACACTGCTGTGCAACCATCAGCACCATCATCCATCTCCAGAACTTTCTCATCTTTCCAAACTGAAGCTCTGTCCCCATGAAACACTCACTCCCCATCCCCTTCTCAGACCCTGGCACCCACCAGGGTTCTACTTTCTGTCTCAAATTTGACTCCTCTAGGAACCTTACGAGGAATTGTACAATATCTACCCTTCCTAGTGGAATCATACAATATCTACCCTTTTGTGTCTGGCTTATTTCATGGAGCATAATGTCCTCCAGGTTCATCCATGTCATAGCCTGTATCAGAATTTCCTTTCATTTTGTGTACTTACTGTGAGACAGAGCCTCGCTCCATTACCCTGGCTTGAATGCAGTGGTGTGATCTTGGCTCACTGCAACCTCTGCCTCCCAGACTTAAGTGATCCTCCCACCTCAGCCTCCCAAGTAGCTGAGAACACACTTATGCGCCACCATGCCCAGCTAATGTTTGTATTTTTAGTAGAGATGGGGTTTCACCATGTTGGCTAGGCTGGTCTTAAACTCCCAGCCTCAAGTGATCGCCCACCTCGGCCTCCCAAAGTGCTGGGATGACAGGGGTGAGCCACTACGCCTGGCCAGAATTTCCGTCCATTTTAAAGCTGAGTCATATTTCATGATATAGAAGGATGGACCGCATTGTGTTTATTCATTCATCCATCCATGGGCACTTGGGTTGTATCCACCTTTTGGCTGTGTTGAATAACGCTGCTATGAACACGGGTGCCCAAATATCTCTTCAAGACTGTATTTTTTTTTTCCTTGAGACGGAGTCTTGCTCTGTCACCCAGGCTGGAGTGCAGTGGCGCAATCTTGGCTCACTGCAAGCTGCGTCTCCTGGGTTCACGCCATTCTCCTGCCTCAGCCTCCCGAGTAGCTGGGACTACAGGTGCCCGCCACCACGCCCGGCTAATATTTTTATATATATTTTTTTAGTAGAGACGGGGTTTCACCGTGTTAGCCAGGATGGTCTCGATCTCCTGACCTCATGATCCACACGTCTCGGACTCCCAAAGTGCTGGGATTACAGGCATGAGCCACCGTGCCCAGCCATATTTTCTTCTTTTTTTTTTTTTTCCCAGGACAGTCTTACTCCGCTGCTCAGGCTGGAGTACAGCAGCGTGATCTCTGCTCACTGCGACCTATGCCTCCTGGGTTCAAGCAATTCTCCTGCCTCAGCCTGCCAAGTAGCTGGGATTACAGGCACGTGCCAACATGCCCAGCTAATTTTTGTATTCTTAGTAAAGATGGGGTTTCACCATGTTGGCCAGGCTGGTCTCAAACTCTTGACCTCGTGATCCGCCCGCCTCGGTCTCCCAAAGTGCTGGGAATATAGGCATGAGCCACTGCGCCCAGCCCAAGACTCTATTTTCTTTTTTTTATTTTTTTGATATGGAGTCTCGCTCTGTCACCCAGGCTGGAGTGCAGTGGCGTGATCTTGGCTCACTGCGAGCTCCGTCTCCCGGGTTCACACCATTCTGCCTCAGCCTCCCGAGTAGCTGGGACTACAGGCACCCGCCACCACGCCCGGCTAATTTTTTTTTTGTATTTTTTTTGGTAGAGACAGAGTTTCACCGTGTTAGCCAGGATGGTCTCGATCTCCTGACCTCGTGATCCACCTGCCCCGACCTCCCAAAGTGCTGGGATTACAGGCGTGAGCCACCACGCCCAGCCAAGACTCTATTTTCAGTTCTTTTTTGTATTCAGCCAGAAGCAGATCAAATGGTAATTCAAAGTTTGATTTCTGAGGAACCGCCATACGGTTCTCCCTGACAGCTGCAGTGCCAGGGGTTTCAGGTGCCTTATACAGTCACATTTTATGAGGAGGCCTGGGCTGAGCCTTGATTGGCCTATGGAGCCAGTCCACGGGGTGGCTCAGGAACGGTGTTCCTGGCAGCGTGGATTGCAAATGCAAAGGTCAGGAGGTGAGAATGAACTTGGCAAGCAGAAGATGAGCTCAGCAGCCGCCTGACTGCCAGGCCTGGAGAGTGCCCAGGAGGAGTCTGAATATTATCCTGAATGTGATGTCCCAAGCAGGCTCTTCCCTCCTTCCCTCCTCCTTCTTCCACCCCTCCATTAACTCCCCCTCCTTTGATGGCTTGAGGAGAAAGATGTGACTCGGCCAGCCTGGCTGTTAGCAGAATGGATGAATCTGGGGCCAAGAAAACTGAGAATCAGGATCCAGGGATCCTAGGCTTTGGGTCAAACAGATCCAGTTCACATCCTAGGTTTGGAGCTATGTACCTGTGGGCGAGTCACTGAACTTCTGTCTCTGGACCTGTTTTTCATGTCACAGATGTGGGGCAGAGGAGTTAAAGTACACCCTCAGGCTGGGTGTGGTGGCTCACGCCTCTCATCTCAACATTTTGGGAGGCCGAGGTGGGTGAATCACTTGAGGACAGGAGTTAAAGACCAGCCTGGTCAACATGGTGAAACCTGGTCTCTACTAAAATTACAAAAATTAGCTGGCCGTTGTGGCGCATGCCTGTAATCCCAGCTACTCGGGAGGCTGAGACAGGAGAATTGCTTGAACCTGGGAGGTGGCGGCTGCAGTGAGCTGAGGTCACACCACTGTATTCCAGCCTGGATGACAAAGCAAGACTGTCTCAAAAAAATAGGCCAAGCACAGTGGCTCATGCCTGTAATCCCAACACTTTGGGAGGCTGAGGCAAGCAGATCACCTGAGGTCAGGAGTTCAAGACCAGCCTGGCCAACATGGTGAAACCCCATCTCTACTAAAAATAAGAAAATTAGCCAGGCATGGTGGTGCATGCCTGTAATCCCAGCTACTCGGGAGTCTGAGGCAGGAGAATAGCTTGAACCTGGGAAGCAGAGGTTGCAGTGAGCTGAGATCATGCCACTGCACTCCAGCCTGGGCAACAGAGCAAGACTGTCTCAAAAATAATAATAAAAGTTTAAAAAAAAAAAAAGGCCTGGTGCGGTGGCTCACACCTGTAATCCCAGCACTGTGGGAGGCCAAGGTGGGCGGATCACAAGGTCAGGAATTCTAGACCAGCCTGGCCAACATGGTGAAACACCGTCTCCGGTAAAAATATAAAAATTAGCCAGGCGTGGTGGTGGGTGCCTGTAATCCCAGCTACTCAGGAGGCTGAGGCAGGAGAATCACTTGAACCTGGGAGGCGGAGGTTGCAGTGAGCTGAGACCGTGCCATTGCACTCCAGCCTGGATGACAGGGCAAGACTCCATCCCCCCCCCCCAAAAAAAAAGTATCCCCTCAGCTGTGTGAGAATATGTCAGGTAGGAGCACCTTATAATGAACAGCCATGGGGTAGAGATTACTACTCAGGGAAGAATTCAAGAAGACTTGGTTGTCCTTCGGGAGGGCGGACAGACAGCGGGTGGGAAGGCTGTGTGAGCCAGCCAGAGCCTCAGCTGTCCTAACAGGAAATCAGCAGGCCCCATCCGAACCAGACCGATCAAGAAATAGCAGCATAAGCAAGTTAACTTAGAAATGTGGAGGCCAGTGCCAGAGAAAACAGCTAAAACTTGAAAGTGGCTGCTTCAGAGGGACGGAGAGGCTTGGAGAAGGGTGTGTGCGTGTGTGTTCATGTTTGCAGAACCATATACATGTCATACTCTGATTAAAAATAATGTAAGTTTCTAAAACTTAAACATGGGCCCTTTGGGAAGCATTTTTTTTTTTTTTTTTTTTTTGAGACGGAGTCTGGCTCTGTCGCCCAGGCTGGAGTGCAGTGGCGTGATCTTGGCTCACTGCAAGCTCCGCCTCCCAGGTTCACACCATTCTCCTGCTTCAGCCTCCCAAGTAGCTGGGACTACAGGCGCCCTCCGCCACGCCCAGCTAATTTTTTGTATCTTTAGTAGAGACGGGGTTTCACCATGTTAGCCAGGATGGTCTCGATCTACTGACCTCGTGATCCACCTGCCTCGGCCTCCCAAAGTGCTGGGATTACAGGCATGAGCCACCGCGCCTGGCCTGGGCATTTAATCTGCATTCTCTGAGTTGGCAGGTTTCTAGGAAGGAACAGTAGCCATCTTTGTTTTATTTTGGTTTGCTTTGGGTTTTTGAGAAAGGGTCTCTCTCTGTCACCCAGGCTGGAGTGCAGTGGCACAGTGACAGCGATTATGGCTCACTGCAGCCTCAACCTCCCTGGTTCAGGTGATCCTCCCAAGTAGGTGGGACTACAGGTGCACACCACAATGCCCAGCTAATTTTTTGTGTTTTTAGTAGAGATGGGGTTTTGCCACATAGCCCAGGGTGGTCTCAAACTCCTGTCCAAGTGATCCTTCTGCCTTGGCCTCTCAAAGTGCTGGGATTCCAGGCATGAGCCACTGTGCCCAGCCACCAGTAGCCTTTTTTCTTTTTTTTTTTTAAGATGGAGTCTTGCTCTATCGCCCAGACTGGAGTGCAATGGCGCGATGTCGGCTCACCGCAACCTCCGCCTCCCAGGTTCAAGTGATTGTCCCGCCTTGGCCTCCCAAGTAGCTGGGATTACAGGCATGCACCACCACGCCCAGCTAATTTTGTATTTTTAGTAGAGATGGGGTTTCTCCATGTTGGTCAGGCTGGTCTCGAACTCCTGACCTCAGGTGATCTGCCTGGGCCTCCCAAAGCGCTGGGATTACAGGTATGAGCCACCACACCTAGCCTTTTTTTTTTTTTTTTTTTTTTTGAGATGGAGTTTCCTCAGCCCCCTAGGCTGGAGTGCAGTGGCACGATCTCGGCTCACTGCAGCCTCCACCTCCTGGGTTCAAGTGATTCTCCTGTCTCAGCCTCCCAAGTAGCTAGGATTACAGGCGCCTGCCACCACACCTGGCTAATTTTTTGTGTTTTTAATATTGACAGGGTTGCCGTGCGCAGTGGCTCACGCCTGTAATCCCAGCACTTTGGGAAGCTGAGGCGGGTGGATCACGAGGTCAGCAGTTTGAGACCAGCCTGACCAACATGGTGAAACCCCGTCCCTACTAAAAATACAAAAAATTAGCTGGGTGTCGTGGCAGGCGCATGTAATCCCAGTGACTTGGGAGGCTGAGGCAGGAGAATCACTTGAAACTGGAAGGCGGAGGTTGCAGTGAGCCAAGACTGCGCCACTGCACTCTAGCCTGGGCAATAAGAGCAAAACTCCGTCTCAAAAAAAAAAAAAAAGACAGGGTTTTACCATGTTGACCAGGCTGGTCTCAAACTCCTGACCTTAGGTGATCTGCCCACTTCGGCCTCCGAAAGTTCTGGGATTACAGGTGTGAACCACCATGCCCAGCCTAATTTTTTTTAGTTTTGTAGAGATGGGATCTCCCTATGTTGCCCAGGCTTGAACTCTTGGCCTCAAGCGATCCTCCCGCCTCAGGCTCCCAAAGTGCTGGGATTACAGGCATGAGCCACCATGCCTGGCCAACTATTTTGTTATATTTTAGGTGTGTGAAGGACGAGGCTTTATTTTTAGTGTATTTAAATGTGTTTTGGTGAAACAGTAGTTGTACAAGTTGCCAGTAGAACTCTCTGGACACAGGGCTGCAGACAAGGGGCATGTTTCTTGCCAGTGGAGGCAAGTGGAACCACCTTCTCTCTGCTCTCCTTGGGGAAGGACAGACCCTAGGGAGCCTGCTTCTCTCCACCCTGCAGAGATCCTCACCATGGAGAAGGAAGTGGCCCAGAGCCTTCTCAATGCGAAGGAGCAGGTGCACCAGGGAGGCGTGGAGCTGCAGCAGCTGGAAGCTGGGCTTCAGGAGGCTGGGGAGGAGGACACCCGTCTGAAGGCCAGCCTCCTATATCCTTTTCTGCTAGGGGATCAGCCTTGCTAGAAAACACGCATAGGGCCAGGCGCAGTGGCTCAAGCCTGTAATCCCAGCACTTTGGGAAGCCCAGGTGGGAGGATCACTTGAGCCCAGGAGTTGGAGACCAGCCTGGACAACAGAGACCCCGTCTCTACAAAAATAAAAAAATTAGGTCAGGTGCAGTGGCTCACGCCTGTAATCCTAGCACTTTGGGAGGCCGAGGCAGGTGGATCACGAGGTCAGGAGATCGAGACCATCCTGGCTAACACAGTGAAACCCCGTCTCTACTAAAAATACAAAAAAAAATTAGCCGGGCGTGGTCCCAGCAGGAGAATGGCGTGAGCCCAGGAGGCGGAGCTTGCAGTGAGCTGAGATCATGCCACTGCACTCCAGCCTGGGCAACAGAACAAGACTCTGTCTCAATCAATCAATCAATCAATAAGCTGGGCATGGTGGTACACACCTGTAGTCTCAGCTACTTGGGAGGCCGAGGTGGGAGGATTACTTGGTCCTGGGAGATTGAGGCTACACTCCAGAATAGGTGAAAGAGCAAGACCCTGTCTCAAAAAAAAAAGAAAAGACCAGGCGCGGTGGCTCACACCTGTAATCCCAGCACTTTGGGAGGCCGAAGCAGACAGATCAGTTGAGGTCAGGAGTTTGAGACCAGCCTGGCCAATATGGTGAAACCCTGTCTCTACTAAAAATACAAAAATTAGCAGGGCATGGTGGTGTGTGCTTGTAATCCCAGCTACTCGGTAGGCAGGGGCTCCAGAATCACTTCAGCCTGGGAGGCAGAGGTTGCAGTGAGCTGAGGTCGTGCCACTGCACTCCAGCCTGGGTGACAAAGCAAAACTCTGACTCAAAGAAGAGAGTGTGCGTAAATAGAGCCAAGACCCTGGGCCTCCCAGCTGCAGTTAGCGCAGGGGCAGCCCTCTCTCGAAAGCCGGGGTCCTTAACGACCTGCCCTACTCAGCTCACCAGAGAGCTGGAAGAGCTCAAGGAGATTGAGGCGGATCTGGAGCGACAGGAGAAGGAGGTCGACGAGGACACGACAGTCACAATCCCCTCGGCCGTGTAGGTTCTGCCAAAACGTGTGCCTGCCTGTGCCTCCTTGTGCAGTCCGGCTCTTGGTTGAAGTTGGTGCTGGGTAACTTTCTTTTTTTTTTTTTTTTTTTTTTGTCTTCCTGTACAGGTACGTGGCTCAACTTTACCACCAAGTTAGTAAAATTGAGTGGGATTATGAGTGTGAGCCAGGGATGGTCAAAGGCAGTATCCTTTTTGGGGAGCCATTTTAACCCTTGTGCACTGTAGGTAGGGACATAAAATGGTGCATAGCAGGACCCTGTAAAAATTAGCCGGGTGTGGTGGCGTGCATCTGTTGTCCCAGCTACCTGGGAGGCTGAGGTGGGAGGATCACTTGAGGCCAGGAGTTTGAGACCAGCCTGGGTATCAGTGAGACCCCACGTCTATAATAAATATAGTAAAGTATAGCAGGCCAAGTGTGGTACCTCACGCCTGTAATCCCAGCACTTTGGGAGGCCGAGGTGGGCAGAAGACCTGAGGCCAGGCGTGGTGGCATATGCCTGTAGTCCCAGCTACTCAGGAGGCTGAGGCATGAGAATCACTTAACCACTGGAGGTGGAGGTTGCAATGAGCCGAGATCGCACCACTGTACTCCAGCCTGGCCTACAGAATGAAACTTTGTCTCAAAAAAAAAAAGTAAAGGCAGTATCCTTTTCCCCGTGGGGTTGTGTGAGGGGCTGTGTGTCCCGGGCTTTCCTTACATCTGTGCCTCAGTCCATCATGGCCCCAGTGTGGCCCAGCCCATCCACCTGGACAGCACCCAGCTCTCCAGGAAATTCATCAGCGACTACCTCTGGAGTCTGGTGGACACCGAGTGGTAGCCAGGAGCCTCGTGGCTGCGTCTTGCACCCAGCGGGCATCTGCCGTGGTCAGATCCATTTCAAATGAAATGTGGGGACATAGATCTTTTTTTTTTTTTTTTTGAGACAGAGTTTCACTCTTGTTGTCCAGTCTGGAGTGCAATGGCACAATCTCAGCTCACAGCAACCTCTGCCTCCTGGGTTCAAGCGATTCTCCTGCCTCAGCCTCCAAAGTAGCTGGGATTACAGGCATGCGCCACCACACCCAGCTAATTTTTTGTATTTGGTAGAGATGGAGTTTCACCATGGTGGTCAGGCTGGTCTTGAACTCCTGACCTCAGGTGATCCACCCGCCCGCCTTGGCCTCCCAAAGTGCTAGGATTCCAGGCGTGAGCCATCGTGCCCAGCTAGACGTCTTCCTTTTTTTTTTTTTTTTGAGACGGAGTCTCACTCTGTCGCCCAGGCTGGAGTGCAGTGGTGCGATCTCAGCTCACTGCAAGCTCCGCCTCCTCCCGGGTTCACGCCATTCTCCTGCCTCAGCCTCCTGAGTAGCTGGGACTACAGGCACCTGCCACCATGCGCAGCTAATTTTTTGTATTTTTAGTAGAGACGGGGTTTCACCATGTTAGACAGGATGGTCTCCATCTCCTGAGTTTGTGATCTGCCCGCCTTGGCCTCCCAAAGTGCTGGGATTACAGGTGTGAGTCACCGCGCCTGGCCTTTTTTTTTTTTTTTTTTACTGGATTTCTTTTTCTCCTGATTTTCGGCCTCAGCTCCTAGAGTGGCCTCAGCTAGGTAACCAACGGGAGTCGACTTATCTATGCCAGGCCTGCAGTTTCACATCTGTGACGGGATGGGACAAATGACACCGTGGTATTCGATGACAGCTCCCAGGTACTTCAAGGTTGGCCCTTACTCATTCAGGGGGTATGTTTGAGTGCCACGGTGTGCCCAGACTCTGCTAGGCACCAGAGAGACAAGATACGAGTGACATGGTTCTCCTCCCACTGCTGACGGAGGAATTAACACAAAAGCAGACAACACTCTAGAACTGGAGAGAGGTCCAGATTGCGACAGGAGCCACACCAGAGTGTGCAGGCTTCATGGAGGACAGAAGCGACTTTTGTGCCGGGACTTAAAAAGATAAGGAGGCCAGGTGTGGTGGCTCATGCCTGCAATCCCAGCACTGTAGAAGGCAGAGGCCGGCAGATCACTTGAGCCCAGGAGTTGGAGACCAGACTGGGGAACATGGCAAGACCCCATCTCTACAAAAAAATTAAAAAATTTGGCCTGGTGTGGTGGCTCATGCCTGTGATCCTAGCACTTTGGGAGTTAAAATACAACACTTCCCAGCTGCCCTTATAGTTAAGGTCTGGCCAGTGAAATGTATGTGGAAATGTTACATGACACTTCTAGAAGGATTCTTAAAAGACAAATACACCCTTTCTTCCCCCTTCCTATTTCCTGGAATGTGGGTGTGATGGCTGGAGCCCTGGCAGCCATACTGCCACGTGTACAGACGAGTGCCGTCCTTTAGGGATGACAGGAGCCTGGTTCCCTGATGATGGCAGAGCCAGATATCAGCACAAACTTATTTAAATGGGAGAGAGAAGGGGAGAACCAATCTCAACTTCTACCTTGTGTAAGCTGCTGGTTTTGGGGGTTTTCTATGACAGATACCAAAATAAACCCTAACTGAACATGTACTCCAGTCCAGGGCCGGCCAATCAATGTGTTCATCACTCTCCCATCCTCGGTGTTTTGGGTACCGCTAAGGAAAGGAGGCGTGCACACCACCTGCCTGCCTGAGGGAGGAGAGAGGGAGGTTGGGTCCCACTGACAGTTGTCCCCAGATACAGCTTTGCCCTTGAATGTGTTAGTTCCGTGAACTTGGGCTTGGGTTTCATCATGTCCCTTTCCACGACTGAACTTAAGTGCAGTTCTTAATCAGAGAGGGGCGTTTTTAGGCAGAGGGAACAGTAAGCTTTAACAGCGTCTGGTGGTGCTTGCCTGTAGTCCCAGCTACTCGGGCGGCTGAGGCAGGAGGATCACTTGAGCCTGGGAGGTTGAGGCTACAGTGAGCCATGGTAGTGTCACTGCACTCCAGCCTGGGTGACAGAATGAGACCCTGTCTTAGAAAGGGGCCAGCTGTTGTGGCTCATGCCTGTAATCCCAGCACTTTGGGAGGCCTAGGCGGGCAAATCACTTGAGTCTAGGAATTTGAGACCAGCCTGGGCAACATTGCGAAACCCCACCTCTACTAAGAAAAAAATAAATTAGCCGGGCATGGTGGTGCCTGCCTGTATCCCCCGCTACTTCGGGGCCTGAAGTGGGAGGATCGCTTGAGCCCAGGAAGTTGCCGTGGTGAGCTACGACTGCGCCACATCACTCCAGCCTAGGGGACGAAGTGAGACCCTGTGTCAACAACAAAAAAAAAGGGGGCCGGGCGCGGTGGCTCATGCCTGTAATCCCAACACTTAGGGAGGCCGAGGTGGGCGGATCACAAGGTCTGGAGATCGAGACCAGGCTAACACGGTGAAACCCCATCTCTACTAAAAATACAAAAAGTTAGCCGGGCATGATGGTGGGCACCTGTAGTCCCAGCTACTCAGGAGGCTGAGTGAGGCAGGAGAATGGCGTGAACGCAGGCGGCAGAGTTCGCAGTGAGCCGAGATCGAGCCACTGCACTCCAGCCTGGGCGACAGAGCGAGACTGTCTCAAAAAAAAAAAAAAAAAAAAAAAAGAAGAGACCAGGCATGGTGGCTCATGTCTGTAGTACCAGCAACATTGGGAGGCCAAGGCAGGTGGGTCACCTGACATCAGGAGTTCAAGACCAGTCTGGCCAACATGGTGAAACCCCATCTCTACTAAAAATACAAGTTAGCCAGGCATGGTGGCGGGCACCTGTAATCCCAGCTACTCTGGAGGCTGTGGCAGGAGACTTACTTGAACCCAGGAGGTGGAGGTTGCAGTGAGCCGAGATCGTGCCATTCCACTCCAGCTTGGACAAGAGTGAAACTCCGTCTCAGAAACAAAATTTTTTTAAAGGGATTTTTGAGTCTAGCCCTGAAATGTCAGGAGTCAGTCCATGCAGCTTGCAGAGCTTCTAAGAACGGCGGGCCTGGGTTTAGATGTGCAGTTAACTGTTCCTAGATGCCCTTGGGGCTGTTTTAATTTTCCAAGTTGGTGGGTTTTCTCTCTTTTTTCTTTTTTGAGATAGAGTCTAACTCTGTCGCCGAGGCTGGAGTGCACTGGCATGATCTCGGCTCACTGCAGCCTCAACCTCCTGGGCTCAAGCAAACTTCCCACCTCAGCCTCCCAAGCCGCTGGGACTACAGGTGCATGCCACCGTGCCCAGGTAATTTTTGTACTTTCGTAGAAATGGGATCTTGCTATGTTACCCAGGCTGGTCTCAAACTCCTGGGCTCAAGCGATCCTCCCACTTCGGCCTCCCAAAGCGCTGGGATTATAGGCATGAGCGACAGCGCCCGGCCGGTTCTTTTATGTGAGCTGAATTGGGAGCAGAGTCCTCTATTTGCATCCTTGACCCCCAAAGACCTGAAGACCTGAAGCAGAACAGGGCTGTTCCACCTCAGCTCTCGTGACATTGGGCCAGGCTGTTGTGTGTGTTGGGGGCTGTCCTGGGCGTAGTAGAACAGTTAACGTCATCCCTGGCCTCCACCCACCAAATGCCAGCAGCTCCCCCTCAGCCTTAACAACAGGAAATGTCTCCAGCTGTTGCCAGTGTCCCTTCGGGGAGGAAGTCACACACACAAAGCCTCTCGCCTGCCTTGAAGCCTCAGGCAGGGAGCAGTTTGCAAGTCAGGTGTCAGCGCCAGGGTTGGCTAAGCGCTGCTGTCACCTTGGCGGTCATTCCTTTCCCGCACACGGGACAGGATGCCTCCACTGGCCGGTTCACTGGGGCAACTGTGGGCGCCGGGAGTGGAGTGGGCCCAGCCCACGCACGGCTGAGCGTCCTGGGATGGGGGGATTGGGCACGTCTCCCTCTCGTCCTGCAAACTGCAGCTCTGAGTGCCCTGGAGAGAAAGCAGGCATGGGGCAGGGGTGCCGCTGTGACAAGGGTTCTGGGAGCCCAGGCTTATCTGTACCCCTGACCCAGGGCCCGTGCCCCCCCCAACCCTGGGGTTGGCGCTCCCTCCCCACAGGAATGACCTGGCTTTGTTCCCGGAGGGGGCCGAGGAGCCATTGCCCTGCCCTGTCACTCCACATCCCCTCCACCCCAGCAACCTGGGCCTCAGTTTCCCCAAGGAAGAGACGGTCCCATCAGGCGGCCTGTGCCGGGGCTCAGAGAGGCCCTGTGCCCACCAGCCACATCCCCATCCTCGTCCCCCCCAGGCAGGTCCAGGGTCCCCTCTATGGGGAGAGCGAGTGGGAGAGGAACGCGGCCTGGTGGGGGCCCAGCAGGCGGGTTCCGGGAGGTGCCTGATCTCCGGGGCTGGGAGAGGCCCCACTCCACATGCCTGGCCCCTGACTCACTGCCCAGCACTGGCTGGATGCCCAGGACAGCCTGAGGCCGGTGGCCTCCGGCCCCGCCCCCATCCCACCCCCGCCCCCGTTTGTTCTCCCTCTGAGAGCTGTGCCTTCAGCCACCGGCTCTTTCCTGAATGATGGAGGCCGGCCAGAGGCTTGCTGATGGCTCAGCCCAGCCCTGCTGAGGTGGGAGTAAGGTTTCAGGCACCAGGACACAGGGTTCCACACTAGTCCCTGCAGCACTGAGGCTCAGCCCCAGGACCATCCATTTTACAGATGGGGAAACTGAGGCACACAGGACAAGGACCACCCTGGAGTCTGAACTTCAGCAGTGAAGCCCCCAAGCCCTCCCTAGGGGCAGGGTGATCTAACTCAGGACCAGGGGCAGCGTGTGTATATCAGTAGCCCCTGGAGGATTATGCTGGCTTCTCAGATGGGAAGCAGCCCCTTTGAGGAGTCCACCCTGTGTCCGAAGCCACCCAGGTGAGAAGAGGCCAAGCCAGGGTGGGCACCCACACCTGCACCTGCTCGAGCTCCAGAGGGCAGCAGTGGGGCAGCCTGAAGCTCTAGCCACTTAGTCATTACGGCAAGAGGTGTGCAGGTCATGAATTCACACCATGGCCAGCCCCCTGCTCGTAACTGGTGTTTCTGGGGACGGGAGCCCAGGGGCTATGGAGTCTCGAGGTTGAACCCTTCCTCGGGCCCTAGTGCTCCCTGGGCGGCTTCTCCTGAGGACTAGACTTGGGTACCTTTCCCCAGGACTCCTCAGGCCCTGGCGGGGATAAAGTGCATCCTCAGGCCAGTAGTGGGGGCCACCTAGAGGGGCAGGCAGCTGGGAGCAGCTTGGGATGGCTGAGCCATTTTTTTTTTTTTTTTTTTAGAGACAGGGTCTCACTCTATTGCCTAGGCTGGAGTGCAGTGGCGCGATCACAGCCTCACTGCAGCCTCGAATTCATCAGGTCAAACAGTCCTTCTGCCTCAGCCTCCTGAGTAGCTGGGGTCAAGCCTTTCATGCAACCCTCCTCCAGCCTGGCATTCAGTGCCCCTTCCCTGATAGTTCTGGACTAAGAGGTGGTCAAAGTTCTTCCCAGTTTACGGTTAAAAGAAACAGATCGCAGCCGGGCACAGTGGCTCACCCCTGTAATCCCAGCACTTTGGCAGGCTGAGGCAAGCAGATCACGAGGTCAGGAGTTCGAGACCAGCCTGGCCAAGATGGTGAAACTCCCGTCTCTACTAAAAATACAAAAATTAGCTGGGCACGGTGATGGGCACCTGTAATCCCAGCTACTTGGGAGGCTGAGGCAGGAGAATCGCTTGAACCTGTGAGGCGGAGGTTGCAGTGAGCCGAGATCACGCCACTGCACTCTAGCCTGGGTGACAGAGCAAGACTGTCTCAAAAAAAAAAAAAAAAAAAAAAAGAAAGAAAGGAAAAGAAAAGAAACAGATCGCAATGGGGCTTGCCTGTGCATGGGAAGTTTTCAAGGCTGGATTTGAACCCATGGTTGTCGGATCTGAAGTCTCAGTCTCCCTTCTAGGCTGGACAGGATGGGAGAGGCCAGGAAGACCAGTTTTGTGTCATTGGCATGACAGTGTTTGGGTTCCGGAGGGGACCCCCCTGAGGTCTGGGACTACAGCCTCCAGGCAACTCATCTAGGAATGTGGGCCACCCTTGTCGACTCTCATGGTGGCCCCACAACCTCCAGTGGCCTCCCTTTTTTTTTTTTTTTTTTTTGAGATGGAGTCTTGCTCTGTCACCCGGGCTGCAGTGCAGTGATGCGATCGCGGCTCACTGCAACTTCTGCTTCCCGGGTTCAAGTGATTCTCTTCCCTCAGCCTCCTAAGTAGCTGGGACTACAGGCACCTGCCATCACGCCCCGCTAATTTTTGTATTTTTTGTTTTATTTTGTTTTTTTGAGACGGAGTCTCACACTCTCACCTGGGCTGGAGTGCAGTGGCACCATCTCGGCTCACTGCAAGCTCTGCCTCCCGGGTTTACACCATTCTCCTGCCTCAGCCTCCTGAGTAGCTGGGACTACAGGCTCCTGCCACCATGCCCGGCTAATTTTTTGTATTTTTAATAGAGACGGGTTTCACCGTATTAGCCAGGATGGTCTCGATCTCCTGACCTTGTGATCTGCCGCCTCAGCCTCCCAAAGTGCTGGGATTACAGGCATGAGCCACCACGCCCGGCTAATTTTTGTATTTTTAGTAAAGACGGGATTTCACCATGTTGGCCAGACTGGTCTGGAACTCCTGACCTCAGGTGATCCACCCACCTCGGCCTCCCAAAGTGCTGGGATTACAGCCACTGCACCTGGCTGGCCTCCCATATTTACTTAGAAATGTGGACTGGGCCAGGTGCTGTGGCTCACGCCTGTAATCCCAGCACTTTAGGAGGCCAAGGCAGGAAGATTGCTTGAACCGAGGAGTTCAAGACCAGCCTGGACAACACAGTGAGACTCCTGTCTCTACAAAAAAAAACTAAAAAATTAGCCAGGCATGGTGGCGTGCACTCGTAGTCCTGGCTACTTGGGAGGCTGAGGTGGGAGGATTGCCTCAACCCTGGGAGGTCAAGGCTGCAGTGAGCTAGGATTGCACCACTGCGCTCCAGCCTGGGTGACAAAGCAAGACCCTGTCTCAAAAAAAAAGAGGGGGGAGCGGGGGGAAGAAAGAATGAAGGAAGGAAGGAAGGAAGGGGAAGGGAAGGAAGGAAGAAAGGAAGGAAAAGGAGAAAGAGGAGAGGGAGAGGAGAAGCCGGTGTGGTGGCTCACGCCTGTAATCCCAACGCTTCTGGAGGCCGAGGTGGGGCAGATTGCTTGAGGTCAGGAGTTCAAGACCAGCTCAGCCAACATGGTGAAACCCTATCTTTACTAAACACACAAAAACTAGCCAGGCGTGGTGGTGCGTGCTTGTAATCCCAGCTACTCAGGAGGCTAAGAGAATCGTTTGAACCCAGGAGGTGGTGGTTGCCTTGAGCTGAGATCGCACCACTACACTCCAGCCTGGGCGACAGAGCGAGACTCCGTCTCAAAAAAAAAAGAGAGAGAAACAAAGGAAGAAAGAAGGAAGGAAGGGAGGGAGGGAGGAAGGAAGGAGAGAGAGAAAGGAAATGAAGGAAGAAAGAAAAGAAAAGAGAAATGAGTACTGTAAGCCTGTGGCCCGCCAGACCCTCCTTCATGGAGCCACACCCCAGTGGAGGCCACTGTGTCAGTTTTTCTGTAGACGGGTGGCAGAGCCAGGGCTTTAATCTGAGCTGAGTGTGTTCAGAGCTTGTGCTCTTAATCCTGACCCACAAATGAACGCTGTGGGGTGGTGGGGGGTGACGCTCTGTGGCTCTGTGGGAGGCCCAGGGAGGAGGTGTCATTTGTCCCAGACTTGAGCCCCCAGGGGATAAAGGTGTGGAGACTGTGAGCCAGGCAGGGGAAACAGCAAGGCTGGCATGGAGGAGACCAAGGGGGATGGCAGGAGGGCAGGGGTCCTTGATCACGCCAGGCCTGCAGTCCACAGGGCAATGTGGGGAGGATTTTCCAATTCCAAGACAAGCCCCAGCTCTGGGAGAAGGGAACCTGACATGGCCCCTTGACACAGTGGCCCCGCCTGTCTAGGTGGCTGATGTCACTATTTACTCCCAAGCTCCCCGCTCCCCATCCCAGGAACAGCCCCAGAGCAGCCCAGCCCAGGGGAGGGACGGCTCCGGATGGAGCAGAAAGTTGCCAGGAAACCCCAGCGGCCATGCTCAGTGGGGTGATGGGGACCAGGGACTCCCACTCAGAACCCTCCGTGGCTTTTTTATTCCTTCATCATCACGGAAAATCACTGCCTGCAAGGGAGGAGGGTGCTGACCCCAGACTGGGGAGCGGGGAGGGGATTAGGCCAGGGCCAGCTGCAGGGCAGGGCAGCCTGCACCCCTCTCCCCACCTCCCTCTGGCAGCCGCGGCTCAGCCCAGAGGCTCCAGGCTGACTCACTGCAGACAGCTGTGGTCTGGGATGCCTCGGGCTGCTGGAAGGGGAACGGCCTGGGGACAGGAGAAGGGGAGGGACAGCAGGGGACACTAGTTGTGGGTGTCAGACTTGCTGGGAGTGGGACAAATTCCTCCCACCTTCCACCCTGTCCTGGCCAGAGCTGTTGAGCCTGCGGAGACAGGACAGGACCACCAGCCTGCAGGGGTGGCGTTCCCCAAGCTGCAGGCTGCCCCCAGCCCTGCAGGACAAGTGGGTGGGTGGGTGGGTGCTGAGCCTATAGACCAGGGAGCCAGCAGCGCATTTTACCAGGGCCCCGTTCTGAGCCAGAGAACTGGAACCGGCGAGGATCAGAATCCAGCCACAGTGACCCGAGCCTCCTATTTCTCTCTGTAAAATGGGTGGCTGTCAACCCTCCCTCCCTTTGGCGACCATCGGGGCAGAACGATGGATTGTCAGGAAACTGAATGTCTGCATGTCTGTGTCACCCTCAAAGCTCTGATACAAGCTCCCAATGCAGCAGCCAAGGCCGAATACCAGAACCTTCCATCACCTCTGGCCTCTCCTCTGGGCCATGCCCCACCCATGCTGTGCTCCCAGTCCCCACCCCTGCCTGGGGATGCACCCCGGTCCTGCCCACCCTCCCGTCTCAGTCTCAGCACCCTCGAGCCGCCACCTCCCAGGCCCTCCCGTTTTCCTGGCCATCTGAGCCCGCTTATCCTGTTTGCCACTTGGTTGAGCACCAATTTCGTCAATCGAGCAATTATCGAGCGCCTGTGTGCAGGCTCCAGGACGCTTCCTGTGTGGGCTGCTCAGTTTTCCCTCCCAGGGGCGTTTTGGAAGCGTCCCAAAACAAAAGGCGGAAGGCAGGAAGGAAGTGCCACCCCGTGGACGCAGGAAAGATGACAGGCCCTGCCTTTGTCTCCGAGCGCCTGCGCAGCCCCATCCTGCCCCACTTCCAGAGCCCCTGGGGAGGGGGAGATTAGCTTTGTCTCCATTGTCAGGTGGGGAAACTGAGGCTCTGAGGTGCCTGTCACCCAGCGAGTCAGTGGCAGAGCCAGGTTATGAACCCAGACGGCCTGGTCAGTCTGCTCTTTTTGGGTTTTTGTTGTGTTTTGTTTTGTTTTTTTGAGACAGAGTTTCCCAGGCTGGAGTGCAATGGTGCAATCTCGGCTCACCGCAACCTCTTCCTCCCAGGTTCAAGCAATTCTCCTACCTCAGCCTCCCGCGTAGCTGGGATTACAGGCATGCGCCGCCACACCCAGCTAATTTTGTATTTTTAGTAGAGATGGGGTTTCTCCATGTTGGTCAGGCTGGTCTCAAACCCCCAACCTCAGGTGATCCGCCCACCTTGGCCTCCCAAAGTGCTGGACTCAAGAGATCTTCCCACCTCAGCCTCCAAGTATCTGGGACTACAGGTGTGCGCCATCGCATCCGGCTGGTAATTTTAAAACTTTTTCTGTTGTTGTTGTCTGTTTTTTTGACGCAGTGTCTCGCTCTGTCAGGCTGGAGTGCAGTGGTGCGATCTTGGCTCAGTGCAACCTCGGCCTCCCGAGTTCAAGCGATTCTCCTGCCTCAGCCTCCCAAGTAGCTGGGATTACAGGCATGCGCCACCACACCCAACTAATTTTTGTATTTTTAGTAGAGGCGGGGTTTTGCCATTTTGGCTAGGCTGGTTTTGAACTCCTGACCTCAGGTGATCCGCCTGCCTCGGCCTCCCAGAGTGCTGGGATTATAGGCATGAGCCACTGAGCCCAGAAATTTAAAAACGTTTTTTAGAGATGGGGTCTTGCTATGTTGCCCAGACTGCTCTTGAACTCCTGGGCTCAAGCAATCCTCCTGCCTCAGCTTCCCAAGGTACTGGGATTACAGGCATGAGCCACGTTTGTGGACCTAACCACCCCAGTGTCGTGTCACCCCTGGGCCAACCCTGTCCCTCCTTCGATCCACCCAGTAAGGCACCATTGCCTGGGCTTCATCAGCCTGTCCCTGTTGGGCTCAGCCCGTGGGAGGCACTGGTGGGAGATAGAGCCTGGAGCGGGGGACAGGCTGGGCTCTTCCCCGCCTCGCTCTGCTGGGGACCATGTCTGCAGCACTTCTTTCCCTCCTATGAGTTTCTGGCTCTCACCAGCTCCCAGGCTCCAGAAACCACATCTTCCTCTCCTGGTTTTGTGGTGGTGGCGCTTTCTGCTGTTGCTTATTTCTGGGTTACCTCACCGTCCCCCTGTTTAATCTTGAACATTTTTTATGGTGCAGTCACCTGCCAGCATACCCGGCTAATTTTTTTGTATTTTTAGTAGACAGGGTTTCACTATGTTGGGCAGGCTGGTCTCGAACTCCTGACCTCATGATCCGCCTGCCTCAGCCTCCCAAAGTGTTGGGATTACAGGCTTGAGCCACCGCACCCTGCTTTTTTTTTTTTTTATTGAGATGGTGTCTCGCTCTGTTGCCCAGCCTGGAGTGCAATGGTGCCGTCATAGCTCACTGCAGCCTCAAAATCTTACCCTTTTTAGTAGAGACATGGTTTCACCATGTTGGCCAGGCTAGTCTCAAACTCCTGACCTCAAGTGATCTGCCTTCCTTGGCCTCCATTTTTAGAATAGATACAAAAAATTGCTACATTTTAGAAGAATATTCTAGAAGAATATTAAACAGAGTATGGGGACAGAAAAGCAACTGGCAGGAAGGAAGTTTTCTTCAGGGGGAGTTTCTCTAATGAAGTAACATTTGGCTTGGTGCGGTGGCTCACACCTGTAATCCTAGCATTTTGGGAGGCCGAGGCGGTAGACGACTTGAGGTCAAGAGTTCAAGAATAGCCTGGCCAACATGGCAAAACCCCATCTCTACTGAAAATATAAAAATTAGCCGGGTACGCGCCTGTGATCCCAGCAACACAGGAGGCTGAGGCAGGAGAATCGCTTGAACCCGGGAGGTGGAGGTTGCAGTGAGCCAAGATTGTGCCACTGCACTCCAGCCTGGGCAATAAAGCAAGACCTTGTCTCAAAAAAATAAATAAAATAAAATGATGTCAGGTCCTTAAGGACAGACAGGGAGATTTTCATTTCTTTTTTGTTTTTTTTTTGAGACAGAGTCTCGCTCTGTCGCCCAGGCTGGAGTGCAGTGGCGCGATCTCAGCTCACTGCAAGCTCTGCCTCCTGGGTTCATGCCATTCTCCTGCCTCAGCCTCCCAAGTAGCTGGGACTACAGGCGCCCGCCACCATGCCTGGCTAATTTTTTGTATCTTTAGTAGAGACTGGGTTTCGCCACGTTGGCCAGGATGGTCTCGATCTCCTGAGCTCGTGATCCGCCTGCCTTGGCCTCCCAAAGTGCTGGGATTACAGGCATGAGCCACCGTATCAAGACTTCATTTCTTTTTTTTTTTTTTGTAGATGGAGTCTTGCTCTGTTGCCCAGGCTAGAGTGCAGTGGTGCGATCTCGGCTCACTGCAAGCTCCAACTCCCAGGTTCACGCTATTCTCCTGCCTCAGCCTCCCAAGCAGCTGGGACTACAGGCGCCCACCACCACGCCTGGCTAATTTTTTGTATTTTTAGTAGAGATGGGGTTTCACTGTGTTAGCTAGGATGGTCTCGATCTCCTGACCTCATGATCTGCCCGCCTCGGCCTCCCAAACTGCTAGGATTACAGGTGTGAGCCACCACACCCGGCTTTCATTTCTTATATCCCCTGTAGTGTCCCACAAGCCTACGGCAGAGCATGGTTCGCACTTAGCACTCAACAGATATTTGTCGAGTGTATGAATGGATGAGCAGGGGACTTGACAAAATCTCCAACTCAGAGAAGCGACAGCAGAGAACACAATCACCAGCTCAGCCATCACAGCACCTGCCAGGCACTGTGGCAGCCCACGGAGATTGCATCTTGCCCGGAGTTCTGGGAGTCTTCCCCTTCTGGGTCCTTCTCCTGGGGAGTCCAATCCACAAACAGATGACAGAAGGAAGTGAGGCCAGGCGCGGTGGCTCACACCTGTAATCCCAGCACTTTGGGAGACTGAGGCAGGCAGATTACCTGAGGTCAGAAGTTCAAGACCAGCCTGACCAACATGGTGAAACCCCGTCTCTACCAAAAATACAAAAATTAGCCAGGCTAGGCCAGGTGTGGTGGCTCACACCTCTAATCCCAGCACTTTGGGAGGCCGAGACGGGTGGATCACAAGGTCAGGAGATCAAGACCATCCTGGCTAACACGGTGAAACCCTGTCTCTACTAAAAATACAAAAAATTAGCCGGGCGTGGTGGCGGGTGCCTGTAGTCCCAGTTACTCAGGAGGCTGAGGCAGGAGAATGGCATGAACCCGGGAGGCGGAGCTTGCAGTAGGCAGAGATCACGCCACTGCACTCCAGCCTGGGCGACAGAGCAAGACTCCATCTAAAAAAACAAAAAAATTAGCGTTGGCCACCCGCGGTGGCTCACGCCTGTAATCTCAGCACTTTGGGAGGCCGAAGCAGGTGGATCACAAGGTCAGGAGATCGAGACCATCCTGGCTAACATGGTGAAACCCCGTCTGTACTAAAAGAAGTACAAAAAAAAATTAGCCGGGCGTGGTGGCAGGCGCCTGTGGCCCCAGCTACTCAGGAGGCTGAGACAGGAGAATGGCATTAACCTGGGAGGCAGAGCTTGCAGTGAGCCGAGATCACACCACTGCACTCCAGCCTGGGTGACAGAGCGAGACTCTGTCTCAAAAAAAAAAAAAAAAAAAAAATTGGCCAGGCGTGGTGGCACTCACCTGTAATCCTAGCTACTAGGGAGGCTGAGGCAGGAGAATTGCTTGAACCTGGGAGGCGGAGCTTGCAGTAAGCCGAGATCATGCCACTGCACTCCAGCCAGGGGTGACAGAGCCAGGCTCCATCTCAGGAAAAAAAAAAAAACAAAAAGAAGCGCGCGAACAGAAGAACGTGCATCGAGTTTAGACAAATTGGTTCATTTAAGAAATTTAATTGATCACAGTAAGACATTCAGGCTACAAAAACCTTCTATACAGTGGTTTAAAAAGTGACACCCATCTCCCAGAAGCCACTCATACATACAACGGGGACATCATTCTCCCAAAAAGCGTTGCACACAGTCCAGTTCGTGCAAATAATCTTTGTACATAAAGAAGAGGCATTTCAGAGGCAATAACCCCCTACACAGGGCCCCGAGAATAGTCACTGAACAAATACAGCAACCAGGGTTTGCAAAAATAAATAGATTTTATATATATGTGTGTATATATATATATATAAGTGATAACAGTTTCAACCAATATACAAAGTGCAAACATAACAAAAAATCCCCACTATCTGTACAGGGACGCATTTACGTGCTCCGAAACCAGAAAGGCTTATCACGGTTCCCTGCACTGGGGGGGACACAGTGTTTTGTCCCTGGGGACAATTGCCAATCCCTTGTGACATCTTCACGCGGGAGTCTGACGGAGGCTGTCACTGTCTCTCCGGACATCAGTGCAACAGTAACACGGCGATTTCAGAAAGAACCTGAAGTCCCGTCAAACGATCCAGACTGGAGGATTTATTTATTTTTTTATAGTTGTATTTCTGAAATAGGGTCTTCATCTGTTGCCCAGGCTGGAGTGCAGTGGCTCGATCATGGCTCACTGCAACCTCCACCTCCTGGGCTCAGGCGATCCTCCTGCCTCAGCCTCCCAAGTAGCTGGGATCACAGGCACGTGCCACCGTACCCAGCTGATTTTTAACTTTTTGGTTTTTGTAGAGATGGGATCTCGCTTTGTTGCTCAGGCCTGGTCTCCAACTCCTGAACTCAAGTGATCCAGCTCAGCCTCCCAAAGTGCTGGGATTACAGGCGTGAGGCACCTGTGTCTGGCCAAATTCATTTTTTAAGAGATGGGGTCTTACTATGTTGCCCAGGCTGGAAAGCAGTGGCATAATCATAGCTCACGACAGCCTCAAATGCCTGAGCTCAAACCATCCTCCCACCTCAGCCTCGCCATGCCTGGCCAGAGGCCATGGGCTGCTGATGCACCATGCATGGTTTTTTTTTGTTTTTTTTTTTTGAGACGGAGTCTCGCTCTGTCGCCCAGGCCAGACTGCGGACTGCAGTGGCGCAATCTCGGCTCACTGCAAGCTCCGCTTCCCGGGTTCACACCATTCTCCTGCCTCAGCCTCCCGAGTAGCTGGGACTACAGGTGCCCGCCACCACGCCCGGCTAATTTTTTGTATTTTTAGTAGAGACGGGGTTTCACGTGTTAGCCAGGATGGTCTCGATCTCCTGACCTCATGATCCACCCGCCTCGGCCTCCCAAAGTGCTGGGATTACAGGCGTGAGCCACTGCGCCCGGCCTCACCGTGCATGTTTTAAACACATACCCATCAACGACAAGATTGGGGAAGTGAATGGCTTGGAGGCATTTGCATAGAAGTGGAAGCACTAGGTGGGCGGACATAAAGACGACAATGGCAGTTCTCGATATTCACGATCACGGCTTTGAAGTCCCGGTCAACCTGCCCCTCTCTGTCCCCGGCATTCATTGACACGGGCTTTCCCTGGCCTGGGATCCCATCCCAACACACACGACAGAAAACAGTGCAAAATAATAACACAAATGCCAAATGTACACAGTGTACAACTCTGAACTGAGAAAGTGCAAGGAGACCACGGGAATGGAAGTGGGTAGGGGTCGGGAGGATGGGCACCAGGCTGGTGTCCTGACAGCCACACCTGGGTGCAGGCCACGTGTCCTCACGGCCAAGGTAACCGGGTGTCTCAGGCACTTAATAAATATTAAGGGTGACCAGTGACTCAGGCTCTGCCTCTGGGAAGTGGCATCATTTGGTGAATGAGTTTGGTCTCGGTGCCACCACGGATTCAGCCAGATCATTTCCGACGCCATGAATCCCTTTCCTGGCTTAAGGAAGGTACAAACCCACCTCGAAAGACACTGGGTGGGTCATGATTCGGGGGTGACAGGGCAAAGGCTAACCTGGCTGTCTAGCAAGGCTTGCATAGAAGAGGTAAACACGTTGACTCCTGAGTTTAGGGGTTTGGCTTAGAGATTGGTGGATGAGGCAGGGCCAGGGGGTCCCGTTGGTGCCATCTGCTGTTGTGTGTTGAAAGCCACTTGCTTCTCTGGGCCTGACATCCCCTCCCCTTTCATCTTCCATGTTTGAGGATTGTGTCACGGTGGAGAGAAACTCAAAACTTCCTGGAGAGAAATGGAGGTGTCATCCTGGTCCCCCCGGGCCTGTTTCTCTTATCCTTCACGAGGAAAGGAAGAAACCAAAATCCCAACCCAAGCCATTGCATGGGCACTGTCCGAAGCCTGTTCTGCCTCCCAGATGAATAAATATATAAAACAAAGCTCTGGCAGGCAATGCTTTGGTCTTCTCTGTCTTTGAATAAAACAAGGCCGGCGAGGTCTCAGGAAGGGTTCTGGGCAGGGACGGGACTCCAGGCAGATGTTCACGCCACGTCATCCTCCAGACTGACCATCTGTCTCTGCCAACAAATGGTAAACAGCGGAAACTATCAGTCCAGCATTCAGGAAACACGGCTGGAGGCCACCTACTTCTCACCTCCTGGGCCTGGCAGCCTCCCCCAGCCTGATCCCCAAGCATGTTCCCCCAGGAGCCGCCAGAGGGAGACGGTGAGTACCGGATTCAGTCACTTCCCACCGCTCTCAGGGCAAAAGCCAAAGTCCTCCCCAGTGGCCCACAAGGCTCTGCACAACCTGCCTGGTAGCCTCCTGCCTTTTTACCCCTCTCTCTGTTTGCTCCAGCTACAACGGCCTCAAACCCAACAGGCACGGTCCAGCCTCAGGGCCTTCGCACAGGCTGTTCTCCTGGTTCAGAGAAGGCTACCTACCCTAAACCCCTTGTGTAAAGATCAAGGCGGGCGCAGTGGCTCACGCCTGCAATCCCAGCACGTGGGGAGGCCAAGGCGGGTGGATCACTTGAGGTCAGGAGTTCGAGACCAGTCTGGGCAACATGGCGAAACCTCGTCTCTACTAAAAATACAAAAATTACCCGGGCATAGTGTTGTAATCCCAGCTACTCAGGAGGCTGAGGCTGAGGCATAAGAATTGCTTGAACCCAGGAGGCAGAAGTTGCAGTGAGCCAAGATCACAGCACTGCACTCCAACCTGGGTGACAGAGAGAGACTCTGTCTCAAAATAAAAAATAAAAGCAAAAAAATAAAACACCTCCTCTCCCTTCCTCCCTCCTGGCCCTCTGGAAACCCTTCTTTGAATTTTTTTTTTTTTTTAAGAGACAAGGGCTTGCTCTGTCACCCAGGCTGGAGCGCAGTGACGCAATCACAAGTCACTGCAGTCTCAATCTCCTACCTTAGCCTCAAGCAATCCTCCTGCCTTAGCCTCCCTAGTAGCTGGAACTAGGCGCTCATCACCACACTGGGCTAAATTTTTATTTTTTGCAGAGATGGGGTCTTGCTGTGCTGCCCAGGCTGGTCTTGAACTCTGAGCTCAGGTGATTCTCCTGCCTCAACCTCCCCAAGTTCTGGGATCACATGTGTGAACCACCATGCCGGGCCTCTGAACTCCTTTTTTTTTTTTTTTTGAGATGGAGTTTTGCTCTTGCCTCCCGGGCTGGAATGCAGTGGCGCGATCTCGGCTCACTGCAACCTCTGCCTCCTAGGTTCAAGCGATTTTTCTACCTCGGCCTCCCGAGTAGCTGGGATTACAGGCGCCCACTCCCACGCCTGGCTAATTTTTTGTATTTTTAATAGAGACGGGGTTTTGTCATGATGGCCAAGCTGGTCTCAAACTCCTGACTTCAGGTGATCCGCCAGCCTCGGCCTCCCAAAGTCCTGGGATTACAGGCATGAGCCACCGCGCCCGGCCTCTGAACTCCTTTTGACTTTCTTTGCCCTGTCACCATCTGATGGAGCTCTCTATTTGCTTATCCAACATTCCTCTACACCACCAAGGCCATTGTCCGCTGACATTCTGAATGAGCGCACAGAAGCATTCACCTAATGCTGTCCTCGATCTGGAGGGCTGGGGAAGCCTCGGCCTGGTCCCTTGAGGATCATATGCCTCCAGCTGGGAGGGGGCCGCCATGGGCTCTGGCTTTCTAGAGAGGGTCACTCACCGAGGGGTAGCTGTAGCCGTCCTGGTTGTGGCAAATGTGGACCTCATCCTCTGTGGTCTTCTGATAGACGGGGTTGTCAAAGTTGATGCTGTTGATGTTCTTAAGCCGCCAGTTCTTCCATAGAAGGAAGACCCCCAGGCAAAGGAAGACGAGGAGCACTGTAGGGAGAGGCACGCTCTGTCACACAGCTGCCCCCGAGACCAGAGACCCAGCTCCGTGGCTGGAGTGAAAACACGGGCATCGTACCATAACCTTGACTCCTGGTCTTTTATGTTTGTTTAGAGATCGCCTTGCGGCCTGGGCCTGGTGGCTCACGCCTGTAATCCCAGCATTTTGGGAGGCTGAGGCGGGCGGATCATGAGGTCAAGAGTTCGAGACCAGCCTGGCCAACATGATGAAACCCAGTCAGTCTCTACTAAAAATACAAAAATTAGCTGGGCATGGTGGCGGGCGCCTGTAGTCCCAGCTACTCAGGAGGCTGAGGCAGGAGAATTGCTTGAACCCGGGAGGCAGAGGTTGCAGTGAGCCGAGGTTGAGCCACTGTACTCCAGCCTGGGCGACAGAGCGAGACTCCATCTCAAAACAAACAAACAGAAAAGAGGCAAATCTATGCATAAGAATTTTTTTCTTTCTTTTTTTTTTTTTGAGACGGGGTCTTGCTCTGTCACCAGGCTGGAGTGCAGTGACATGATCTCAGTTCACTGCAACCTCGACCTCCCAGGTTCAAGCGATCCTCCTGCCTCAGGCCCTCAAGTAGCTGGTACCACAGGCACGTGCCACCTGCCCAGCTAATTTTTGTACCTTTTCTAGAAACAGGGTTTCGCCATGTTGCCCAGGTTGGTCTCGAACTCCTGAGCCCAAGCAATCCACCCACTTCAGCCTCCCAAAGTGCTGGGATTACAGGCATAAGCCACCACACCCAGCCTCATAAGTATAAGAAATATCTAACCTGAAGCCCACTGGGTGAGCCACGCCCCAGAAGTAGCTGACTTCTTCTAGATTTCTGTCCAGGATTAGCCACACACAGGGCTGTGACTTTTTAAGAAATAGGAAGTGGGGTATAGTGGCTTGCACCAGCTACTCAGGAGGCTGAGGTGGGAGGATCGCTTGAGCCCAGACATTGAGGCTGCAGCGAGGCATGATGGTGCCACTGCACTCCAGCCTGGGTGACAGAGCAAGACTCTGTCTCTCAAAAAAATTAAATTTCTTTTTTCTTAAAATTTAAGAAAAAAAGAAAAAAGAGATGTGATGGTAACCGAGTTAGGATGAGCATGGGTGAGGCAGGGAGAGCGCGCCTCTCCACACAGCCCCCTGCAAGGGAACCAGTTCCCCAGAAGGCACTCAAATCTCGGTGAGGCTATTCCACAGCACGGGACCCAGCTCCACATCCTCCATCTGACCCCTTAGCTGTCTGATCTTGTCACTGTCAGCCCCAAGCCAGGAGAGGCCGTGGGGGTGATAAAGGACACCAGTGGGGCTGTTCCCTGTCCAGGAGAAAAAGTGAACAGGCCCAACCAGCCAGGCACGAGGTCACATAGCGGGAGGCTGTGACCTGGGGGACGCTGGGGGACCGGCCCGCGCTTACCGATGGGGAGGACAATGGACAGAGCCCTCACGCTACTGGGCTTCTTCTCATTTCCTCTGCCAGCAACGTCGCCCAGAGCTGCAGGAGAGAAGCAAGAGTGAGGCCCAGGTCTAAAGGAAGGCCACCAAGAAATGGAGCAGGCAGAGGACGGTGGTCACGGCAGGAAAGCGCCTGGCACATCTCCCTGGACACTTGGAGAACTTCCCAAGTCTGTGAGAGGCCACACGGGCTTATTTGTGAGTTATCGAGGTTGTAGGACTCAATTCCGGTTTAAGAAGGTTCTTTTTGTGGGGGATAGAAACAGAGGTCTGGCTATGTTGCCCAGGCTTGTCTTGAACTCCTGGCCTCAAGAGATCCTCCTGCCTCAGCCTTCCAAAGTGCAGGGATTACAGAAATGAGCCACCGAGCCCAGCCTAAGAAGGTTCTTGAGCCTCACATTGATGAGTCTTTAGGGGAGGGCTGCAGAGGCTTTTATTCTAGGTGGTTGACAAGGTTGCAGGTGAAATTCTTGTCAACCTACTTGTGCATTTTATTAAAATGAGCATATTTTGGTCTGGGCGCGGTGGCTCACACCTGTAATCCCAACACTTTGGGAGGCTAAGGCGGGCAGATCACCTAAGGTCAGGAGTTTGAGACCAGCATGATCAACATAGTGAAACCCTGTCTCTACTAAAAATACAAAATTAGCTGGCCGTGGTGGCATGCACCTGTAATCCCAGCTACTTGGGAGGCTGAGGGAGGAGAATCACTTGAACCCGGGAAATGGAGTTGCAGTGAGTCAAGATCGCGCCATTGCACTCCAGCCTGGGCAACAGAGTGAGACTCCCTCTCAAAAAAAAAAAAAAAAGGCCAGGCCCAGTGGCTCAAACCTGTAATCCCAGCACTTTGGGAGGCTGAGGTGGGCAGGTTGCCTGAGGTCAGGAGTTCAAGACCAGCCTGGCCAACACGGTGAAACCCTGTCTCTACTAAAAATACAAAAATTAGCCAGCTGTGGCGGTGGGCACCTGTAATCCCAGCTACTCAGGAGGCTGAGGCAGGAGAATCGCCTGAACCCGGGAAGCAGAGGTTGCGGGGAGCTGAGATCGCACCACTGCACTCTAGCTGGGGCAACAGAGCAAGACTTCGTCTCAAAAAAAAAAAAAAAAAAAAAAGAAGAAAAGAAAAAGAGGGTATTTTGAAGGGGACAGGGGAGCCACCTTCGGACCCCACAATGCCCAGCATGCTCAGTCCTGAGGTTGAATGGCACAGAAGCTGATTGTCCTGCATCAACTGTCCCAGGCATTATGGGATGGGGTTAACCTTGGTACAGAACCATACAAGTGGACCTGGGCCATTCAACATAAGGGCCCTGGGCAAGGCAACATTTCAAGTCCACTAGAGCTAGGCACGGTGGCTCATGCCTGTAATCGCAGCACATTAGTAGACCAAGGCAGGAGGATCACTTGAGGCCAGGAATTTGAGACCAATCTAGGCAATATAGCCAGATCCCCCTCGTCTCTACATAAATGAATGAATGAATGAATGGCTTTTTTGCCAAATTTGAGGAGTCCTGGATGGGCTGGTCTGTGAAGCGATTAATTCTAGCAGTGCCCCACCTCCCCCAAGCAAGAAGGTTTCTCAGCCTCTCCCAGGCAGTTTCCATTTTATCCTGCTTGTAACTGAACAAAGATTTCAGCTACTCTGGAACCAAAAAAAAAAAAAAAAAGAATGGTCTGAAATTTGCCGATGTGCCATTTTTTTTTGTTTGTTTGCTAAAAGTCTAGGAGCACCATTTCCCAGCAGCTCAAAGCAGTTTGGGCGCCCTCTGGTGGACAAACGAATGACATCCTGACCCACACCTGGGTCTCATCACATCCAGGGAGGACAGTGAGGCCAGGTCAGACACTCACCACCCCAGCCCCCAAACTAAAGGGGGAGCCAAAAAGCTTAGGAATCTGATAATATTCCTTTTCTTTGCAGAGGGGAATGGAGTTTCACTCTTGTCCTCCAGGCTGGAGTGCAATGGCGCAATCTCAGCTCACTGCAACCTCCGCCTCCTGGATTCAAGCGATTCTCGTGCTTCAGCCTCCCGAGTAGCTGGGATTACAGGCACCTGCCACCACGCCTGGCTAATTTTTGTATTTTTAGTAGAGACGGGGTTTCACCATGTTGGCCAGGCTGGTCTCAAACTCCTGACCTCAGGTGATCCACCCACCTCAGCCTCCCAAAGTGCTGGGATTACAGGTGTGAGCCACTGTGCCCTGCCCAGGAATCCAATAATATTCTAATGCATTATTTTTATTTTTAGAGATGGGGGTCTCGCTATGTTGCCCAGGCTGGACTTCAACTCTTGGGCTCAAGCAAGTCTCCCGCCTCAGCCTCTGGGAGTAGCTAGGACTGCAGGCGTGCACCTCCACACCAGCCTTTAATATGTTATTTTTTAAAATTTAAATTAATGAAAAACCACCCAATGAACAAAATATCAAAATTTTCAAGGATAGACTGTGATCTTACACCTGCAAGATTCGGCCTCACTGGTCCACTGGCTCCAATAAAACTTTATTTACAAAAGTAAGTGGCCAGGCCTTGGCTGTAGTGTGATGATTTGAAAAAAAAAAAAAAAAAACAATTTTTTTGGAGACAGAGTTTTGCTCTGTCACTGAGGCTGGAGTCCAGTGGCATGATCTTGGCTTACTGCAACTTCTGCCTCCCAGGTTCAAGCAATTCTCCACCCTCAGCATCCCAAGTAGCTGGGATTACAGGCACCCACCACTGTGCCCAGGTAATTTTTGTATTTTTTTAGTAGACAGGGGGTTTCACCATGTTGGCCAGGCTAGTCTCGAACTCCTGACCTCAAGTGATCTGCCCACCTTTGCCTCCCAAGGTGTTGTGAATACAGGCATGAGCCACCAGGCCTGGCCAAAAAATTTTTTAAATTGCATTAATCTCAGCACTTTGGGAGGCCAAGGTGGGCAGATCGCTTGAGCCCTGGAGTTAGAGACAAGTCTGGGCCACAAGGTGAAACCCTGTCTCTACAAAAAAATTCAAAAATTAGCTGGGTGTGGTGGCTCATGCCTGTAGTCCCAGCTACCTGGGAGACTGAAGCAGGAAGATCACCTGAGCCCAGGGAGGTTGAGGCTGCAGTGAGCCATGACAGCACTCTATCACTCCAGTCTGGGGTACACAGTGAGACCGTGTCCCAAAAAAATAAAAATAAAAAAGTTTTGGCTGGGCACGGTGGCTCATGCCTGCAATCCCCAGCACTTTGGGAGGCCGCCGATCCTCGGGCAGATCACGAGGTCAGGAGTTCCAGACCAGCCTGCCCAACATAGTGAAACCCCATCTCTACTAAAAATACAAAAATATTAGCTGGGTATGGTGGTGGGTGCCTGTAATCCCAGCTACTCGGGAGGCTGAAGCAGGAGAATCACTTGGACCTGGGAGGCGGAGGTTGCAGTGAGCCAAGATGGCGACACTGCACTCCAGCCCGGGTGACAGTGAGAGACTCCGTTTCAAAGAAAAAAAAAATTTTTTTAATATATTGCATTGCCATGTTGAATAGTTGGGTTTTAAAAGAAAAAAAATTAGTTTATTTATTATTTATTTTGTAGTAGAGATAGGGTCTTGCTATGTTGCCCAGGCTGGACTTGAACTCCTGGGCTCAAGCCATTCTCCCACCTTGGCCTCCCAAAGTGCTGAGATTACAGGTGTGAGCCACCAAAGAATAAACTGTAGGCCAGGCGCGGTGGCTCACATCTATAATCCCAGCACTTTGGCAGGGCCAAGGCAGGCAGATGACTTGAGGTCAGAAGTTTGAGACCAGCCTGGCCAACACTGTGAAACCCCATCTCTACTAAAAATGCAAGAATTAGCCAGGCATGGTGGCGGGTGCCTGTAATCCCAGCTACTCTACATGGGAGGCTGCGGCAGAAGAATCACTTGAACCTGGGAAGCGGAGGTTACAGTGAGCCCAGACTGCGTCACTGCAGTACAGCATGGGCGAGAGCGAGACTCTGTCTCAAAAAAAAGGCCAGGCGTGGTGGCTCACACCTGTAATCCCAGCACTTTGGGAGGCTCAGGCGGGTGGCTCACCTGAGGTTGAGAGTTCACGACCAGCCTGACCAACAGAGAAGCCCCTTCTGTACTAAAAATACAAAATTAGCCGAGCGTGGTGGCGCATGCCTGTAATCCCAGCTACTCGGGAGACTGAGGCAGGAGAATCGCTTGAACCCGGGAGCCAGAGGTTGCAGTGAGCCGAGATCGTGCCACTGCACTCCAGCCTGGGCAACAAGAGCAAAACTCCGTCTCAAAAAAAAAAATTGTAAAATTGTGTTAAAACGTTACTGGATTCCTTAGCCTTTTGGAGCCTCTGTGAAAAGCTGAGTACTGAGGAATCCCTCCCTCTCCTTGCCTTAGTCCTGGCCTTTTTGGGCAGATGCCTGAAGCTGAGGCAACGAATGTGCCTTGATAAAATTTTGGGACCCACACGGTGCGTGGCTGACTTTGGGAACCAGGAGCCTGAAGGACCTGGCCCCTCATATGATTTGGCCCATTTAATCCTTGCAAAGAGGGCAAGAACTGTTATTAGACCCACTTTACAGATAGGGAAACTGAGGGCCCAGAGACACACGGCCCAAGTGAGAGAAGGTCAGCAAGGGAGTGAGGACGACACCTGGACTCCATCTCGTGACCAAAATGTTCGTGGCCACTGAAGGGACCCGTCTCTGGGTGAAGAGGGGCCTAGGGAGGGCCCAGTCTTTACCTTGGTGAGACATTGTCACTATCTCCACCGTGGTGAGCCCAGGGGTGGCCCCAGGCAGCCGGGAGGTGTCGGGAACAGGTCGGGTGGTTGTGTGCTGTGTCCTTACGGCTGTGGAGCTGACCTTTAGCCTGACGGTGGATGTCTCCTGGGTGGCCACTGCAGCCTCAGCCTCTGAAAGAATAAATAAACGTCTTCTGAGTGCCACGTGCCTGCAGGCCCTTCTCATAGGTGTGCGCCTAATGACGAAAGTCTCAAATGACCTTGGGAGGCCAAGGCAGGAGGATCTCTTGAGTGAGTCCAGGAGTTTAAGACTAGCCTGGTCAACATGGCAAAATACCATCTCTATATACAAAAAAAAAAAAAAAAATTAGCCAGGTGTGGTGGTGCACACCTGTACTCCCAGCTACTCAGGAGGCTGAGGGGGGAGGATCGCTTGAGCCCAGGAGGTAGAGGCTGCAGCAAGGTATGATCCCATCACTGGGATGACAGACAGACAGGATGGCCTGGATGACAGAGTAAGACCCTGTCTCAAAAAAAAGAAACCCAAAAATAATTATTAATAAAATTTTTAAAAAGTCCAAAATCAGGCCAGGCACAGTGGCTTAGGCTGGGTGAGGTGGCTCAGGCTGGGCGAGGTGGCTCACACCAGGCGAGGTGGCTCATACCTTTAATCCCAGCACTTTGGGAGGCCGAGGCAGGTGAATCGCCTGAGGTTAGGAGTTCAAGACCAGCCTGGCTAACATGGTGAAACCCCGTCTCTACTAAAAATACAAAAAAATTAGCCGAGTGTGGTGGCGGGCCCCTGTAGTCTCAGCTACTTGGGAGGCTGAGGCTGGAGAATGGCGTGAGCCTGGGAAGTGGAGCTTGCAGTGAGCTGAGATCATGGCACTGCACTCCAGCCTGGGCGACAGAGCAAGACTCCGTCTCAAAAAAAAAAAAAAAAAAAAAAGCCTGGCATGGTGGCTCACGCCTGTAATCCCAGCACTTTGGGAGGCCGAGGCGGGCGGATCACAAAGTCAGGAGATCGAGACCATCCTGGCTAACACAGTGAAACTCCATCTCTACTAAATATACAAAAAAGTAGCCGGGCGTAGTGGCAGGCGCCTGCAGTCCCAGCTACTCAGAAGGCTGAGGCAGGAGAATGGCATGAACCCAGGGGGCGGAGCTTGCAGTGCGCAGACATCGCACCGCTGCACTCCAGCCTGGGCGACGGAGTAAGACTCTGTCTCAAAAAAAAAAAAAAAAAAAAAAGAAATAACTAAAAAAGGCCAGACACGGCCAGGCGCGGTGGCTCATGTCTGTAATCCCAGAACTTTGGGAGGCCGAGGTGGGTGGATCACCTGAGGTCAGGAGTTTGAGACCAGCCTGACCAACATGGAGAAACCCCGTCTCTACTAAAAGTACAAAAATTAGCCAGGCGTGGTGGCAGGTGCCTGTAATCCCAGCTACTCGGGAGGCTGAGGCAGGAGAATTGCTTGAACCCAGGAGGCAGAGGTTGCAGTGAGCCGAGATCACACCATTGCACTCCAGCCTGGGCAACAAGAGCGAAACTCCATCTCAAAAAAAAAAAAAAAAAAGGCCAGGTGCAGTGGCTCATGCCCATAATCCCAACACTTTGGGAGCCCAAGGCAGGCAGATCACGAGGTCAGGAGATCGAGACCATCCTGGCTAACATAGTGAAACCCCATCTCTACTAAAAAATACAAAAAATTAGCTGGGCGTAGTGGGACGTGCCTATAGTCCCAGCTACTGGGGAGGCTGAGGCAGAAGAAGCGCTTGAACCCAGGAGGCGGAGGTTGCAGTGAGCCAAGCGCTTGAACCTGGGAGGCAGAGGCTGCAGTGAGCCAAGATCGTGCCACTGCACTCCAGCCTGGGCAACAGAGCAAGACTCCGTCTCAAAAAAAAAAAAAAAAAAAAAAAAGAGTACTGAAAATAAACACTATGAATATCTACTTTGTGATCGTATTGTTTCTTTTTCCTTTTTCTTTTTTTGTTTTTTTCAGACAGGGTTTCACTTTGTCCCCCAGGCTGGAGTGAAGTGGTGTGATTATAGCTCTCTGTAGCCTTGACCTCCTGGGCTCAAGCAATCCTCACACCTCAGCCTCCCGAGTAGCTGGGACCACAGGTGTGAGCCACCACGTCTGGGTCATATTGTTATTTGTTGTTGTTCAAAAGGGAGATTCAATTCACTTGAGGGAGGTGCTGGCCTCAACTGAGACTTTCTCAGAGGATGAGAAAAGTCAACAAAGGGGGATGGGCGCGGTGGCTCATGCCTGTAATCGTAGCACTTCGGGAGGCAGAGGTGGGAGGATCACCTGAGGTCAGGAGTTCAAGACCAGCCTGGCCACCATGGAGAAACCCTGTCTGTACTAAAAATACAAAACTTAGCCAGGCATGGTGGCGCATGCTTGTAATCCCAGCTACTTGGGAGGCTGAGGCAGGAGAATTGCTTGAACCCAGTGGGAGAGGTAGCAGTGAGCCAAGATGGCACCACTGCATTCCAGGCTGGGTGACAGCAAATCTCAAAAGAAAAAAATAAAGAAAAAGAAAAGTCAACAAAGGGGACCATTTCCTCCCTCAGGGCTCCTGTCAGAAATCAGATCACCTCTTCAGGGGGCCGGGAAAGAGGAAACCAGGCATCAAAGGGGAACTGGGTAAATGTCAAGCCCGGTGCTGATGTGTCCATCCAAGAAAAGTATGGTTATCCCGACTCATGAGTCCTTACAACGACCTTGAGGTACCCATTTGACAGATGAGCAGAGAGAGGCTCAGGAGGGGGCAGTTGGAGGACACAGGACGCAGAAACAAGGCGTGTGCCACACCTGTGAGGCAGCTCCTCATGTCCCTGGCCAGCAGCATGCCGTCCGGGCAGGCGCAGGTAAACTTGGGCGAGTGGGGGTTGATCTGCGGGGCAGGGAGGCACAGATACTGGCAGCCGCCATTGCTCAGGGTGGTCCTCTCACACCAGTTCACTCCTGGGGCAGAAGAAGCGGAGTCAGGGCAGGAACGAGATCATCAGCTATACCAGAAGATTCCAGAAATTTCCAGAACATTCCAGAGTTTCCACAAGGAGGTTTCAAGGTTGGGGGGGTGGGGCTGACCCACCCTTACCTCTTGGCTGGGTGAGGTTGTGGAAGAGAACCATATCCTCTGGGGACAGTAGGTTTTCAGCCAACAAGTTGACATCGGAACCTGTGAGGCGGTTGGCACTGAAAATGGCTTCGTTGATGATATCTGTCCAAAATACTTTGTCCTAAACAGGCAGCAAGGAAGATGACAAATCCCGTTAAACACTGGGATGAGACACAGGCCACCCTCTCTCCACAACTAGTTTTTTTGTTTGTCTGTTTGTTTGTTTGTTTGTTTGTTTCAGACAGAGTTTCACTTTTGTTGCCCAGGCTGGAGTACAGTGGCCCAATCTCGGCTCACTGCAACGTCCACCTCCTGGGTTCAAACGATTCTCTTGCTTCAGCCTCCCGAGTAGCTGGGATTACAGGTGTGCCAACATACCTGACTAATTTTTTGTATTTTTAGTAGAGACGGGCTTTCACCATGTTGGCCAGGCTGGATTCGAACTCCTGACCTCAGGCCATCCACCTACCTCGGTCTCCCAAAGTGCTGGGATTACAGGCGTGAGCCACAGTGCCTGACCCACAGCTAATTTTTTTTTTGGTTTTTTTTTTGAGACGAAGTCTCACTCTGTCGTCCAGGCTGGAGTGCAGTGGCACGATCTCGGCTCACTGCAATCTTAGCCTCCCAGGTTCAAGCGATTCTCCTGCTTCAGCCTCTCAAGTAGCTGGGACTACAGGCATGTGCCACCACGCCTGGCTAATTTTTGTATTTTTAGTAGAGATGGGGTTTCACCATGTTGGCCTGGCTGGTCTCGAACTGCTGACCTCATGATCCACCTCCCTCTGACCTCCCAAAGTGCTGGGATTACAGGCATGAACCACCACACCTGGCCCACAACTAGTTTTTAATTGTGGTGAAATACACATAACATAAAATGTACCATCTCGACTATTTGTGAGTGCACAGTTCGGTGGCCTTAAGCAGATTCACGCTGTTGTGGAAGTATCACCATCACCACCATCCATTTCCAGAACTTTTTTTTTGTTGTTTTTTGAGACAGAGTCCCACTCTGTCGCCCAGGCTGGAGTGCAGTGGCATGATCTTGGCTCACTGCAGCCTCCACCTCCTGGGGTCAGGCAATTCTCATGCCTCGGTCTCGAGAACCCAGGATTACAGGTGCCTGCCACCACACCTGGCTACTTTTTGTATTTTTTTTTTTTTTTTTTTTTTTGAGACGGAGTCTCAACTCGGTCACCCAGGCTGGAGTGCAGTGGCGCGATCTTGGCTCACTGCAAGCTCCGCCTCCCGGGTTCACGCCATTCTCCCGCCTCAGCCTCCCGAGTAGCTGGGACTACAGGCGCCTGCCACCACACCCGGCTAATTTTGTTTTTGTATTTTTAGTAGAGACGGGGTTTCACCGTGTTAGCCAGGATGGTCTCGATCTCCTGACCTCGTGATCCGCCCGCCTCGGCCTCCCAAAGTGCTGGGATTACAGGCGTGAACCACCGTGCCTGGCCTACTTTTTGTATTTTTTGTAGAGACAGAGTTTCGTCATGTTGGCCAGGCTGGTCTCGGTCTCACACTCCTGGACTCAAGCGATCCTCCTGCCTCAGCCTCCCAAAGTTCTGGGATTATAGGCATAAACTGCCATACCCAGTTTAAATCTCTTTTCTTTATAAATTACCCGGCCTCAGCTATTCCTTTACTGCAATGCAAATGGACGAACACACTTGGGGGGACTCCACTTTTGGCTGTTGGTAATCATGCCAGGAACGTGGGGTTATAAAATAGCGCCATTTCCTTAGAGCAGGGTTTCCCCACGATGGCTCTATCTAGGGCCTGCTACTTCCCTGTTCTGGGTGTTCAGCAGCGTCACCAGCCTCTACCCACTAAATGCCAACAGTCTTCCCCATTGACTTGTGACAACCAAAAAATCTCTAGAAATTGCCAAATGTCCCCTGAGAGCCAAGATCACATGTGACAGAGGATCACTGCCTTTCACGACTCTCAGTAAAAAGAATACAAACCACCGGGCACGGTGGCTCACGCCTGTAATCCCAGCACTTTGGGAGGCAGAGGTGGGCGAATGACCTGAGGTCAGGAGTTCGAGACCAGCCTGGCCAACATGGAGAAACCCCATCTCTACTAAAAATACAAAATCAGCCGGGCGTGGTGGCACATGCTTGTAATCCCAGCTACTAAGAAGGCTGAGGCAGGAAAATGGTTTGAACCCAGGAGGCAGAGGTTGTGGTGAGGCGATATCGTGCCATTGCACTCCATCCTGGGCAACAAAGGTGAAATTCCGTCTCCAAAAAACGAAAAAAAAAAGAAAACAAACCGGCCGCAGTGGCTCATGCCTGTAATCCCAGCACTTTGGGAGACTGAAGTGGGAGGATCACTTGAGGCCGGGAGTTTAAGACAAGCCTGGTCAACATACTGAGACCCCATCTCTAAAAAAAAATACAAAAATCAGCCAGGTATGATGGCACACATGCCTGTAATCTCAACTACTCAGGAGGCTGAGGCAGGAGAATCGCTTGAACCTGGGAGGCAGAGGTTGCAGTGAGCCAAGATTGTACCACTGCACTCCAGCCGGGGTGACAGAACGAGACTGTCTCAAAAAAAAAAAAAATACAAAAATGAGCTGGGCATGGTGGTGTGCACCTGTAGTTCCAGCTACTTGGGAGGCTGAGGTGGGAAGATCACTTGAGCCCAGGAGGTTAAGGCTGCAGTGAGCTATGATCACAGCACTGCACTCCTGCCTGGGGACAGAGTGAGATCCTGTCTCTTAGAAAAAAAAAAAGAAGAAGAAGAAAGAAAGAAAACAGAAATAGCTGGGCGCGGTGGCTCAAGTCTGTAATCCCAGCACTTTGGGAGGCCGAGGCAGGCAGATCACCTGAGGTCGGGAGTTCGAGACCAGCCTGACCAACATGGAGAAACTCCGTCTCTACTAAAAATACAAAATTAGCCGGGCATGGTGGTGGTGCATGCCTGTAATCCCAGCTACTGGGGAGCCTGAGACAGGAGAATCACTTGAACCTGGGAGGTGGAGGTTGCGGTGAGCCGAGATCATGCCATTGCCCTCCAGCCTGGGAAACGAGAGCAAAACTCTGTCTCAAAAAAAAAAAAAAAAAGAAAGAAGAAAATAGAAATAACTCAGGTCTAAGACCTCCTCCTAGTCACAACCAGTTTTCTGCGTTCATCTTGGCTTGAGTGATCTATAGTCTGTGTCTATCCGCCACCTAAGTGCTTGCATCTCGTACGTAAGCCACACCTCAAAGACGGCCAAGGAGAAGGGGTGGGCCAGCCTCTTTTCATCCTCCAAGATGGTCTTCCGGTTGCCCCCGTTGACATCGATGCTTGAGATGGAGTGAAGTTTGGAGTCAACCCAGTAGAGGCGGCCACTGAGGAGATCTAGACACACAAGTGGATAAGGAGAGGTCACGTGCTGATGCCAGTCCCAGAGGGTCCTGAGGGCCTGGCCACGCTGCTCCGGGCAGGAAGACCCCCTGCCAGGGACCTAGCAGAAAAGCACCTGGAGAGGCAGCTCCAACCACATGTGAGCCTGAACCCCTCCCCTGTGACGCCCTCTCCAATGGGCAGGTAGGGGAGTTGCAGGTCAGAAAAACTTCAAGGAGGCTGGGTACGGTGGCCCACGCCTGTAATCCCAGCAGTTTGGAAGGCTGAGGCGGGAGGATCGCTTGCACCCTGAGTTTGAGACCAGCCAGGCCAACATAACAAGACTTTGTCTCTTCCCAAAAATAAAATAAAATTAGTCTGCCGTGGTGGCACGTGTCTGTAATCTCAGCTACTCAGGAGGGTGAGGCAGGAGGATCACTTGAGCCTGGGAGGTGGAGGCTGCAGTGAGCTACGATTGCGCCAGTGCACTCCAGCCTGGGTGACAGACCAAGACCTCATCTCAAAAAAAGAAAAAACAAAGAAAAGAAAGAGGGAAACCTTCAGGGAGCAGCTTGGGCTTGTCCCAGAGCCACCTGGCAACCCCCGTCTGTCCTCCAGCCTGTGCCCGGCCCTGGCTGGGACGGCTGTCCTGCGAACATACCTAGGGTGATGCCATTGGGCCACTGAATGTTTTCAGTCACCAGCGAGTAGATGTCCACACCATTCAGGCCCCCTTTCTTGATCTTGGCGGGAGTTCCCCAGTCAGTCCAGTACATGAAGCTGGTGGGAGGACAGAGAATAGCTGTGAGGCTGGAGGGCGGGGGAGGATCCCAGCCAATGCGTGCAACGAATTCTGGAAGAAACAGCCAGGCTCAGGCTTGGGAAATAGTCCTGCTGGGAACCCCAAACTCCAAATGTGGCTTGTTTGGGTTTTTTTTTTTTTTTTTTGAGACAGAGTCTGTCTCTGTTGCCCAGGCTGGAGTGCAGTGGCACGATCTTGGCTTGCTGCAACCTCCACCTTCCAGGCTCAAGCGATTCTCCTGCCTCAGCCTCTGGTGTAGCTGGGATTACAGGCGCCCACCACCACGCCTGGCTACATTTTTGTATTTTTAGTAGAGACGGGGTTTCACCATGCTGGCCAGGCCCGGGAGGCTGAAATCAAGAGGATTGCTTGAGCCCAGGAAGTTGAGGCTACAGTGAGCTATGATCACACCACTGCACTCCAGCCTGGGTGGCAGACTGAGACGCCATCTCGAAAGAAAAAGGAAGAAACACAAGAACACAAGCCATGCGCAATGGCTCGCACGTGTAATCCCAGCACTTTGGGAGACCAAGGCAGGAGGATTGCTTGAGGCTAGGAGGTCAAGACCAGCCTGGGCAACATAGTGAGACCTCATCTCTACTAAAAATAAAATAAATTAGCTGGGCACAGTGGTGTTCACCTGTAGTTCCAGCTACTTGGGAGGCTGAAGTGGGAGAATCAACTGAGCCCAAGAGTTTGAGGCTGCAGTGAACTCTGATTGCGCCACTGCACTCCAGACTCAGTGACAGAGCGACACCCTGTCTCAAAACAAACAAATATGAGACCAGAACACACGCACACAACACACACATTTGTATCTGAGTGGAGACAGTCTGAGAGTCTCTTTCCCTCTGGCCTGGCAGTTATGTGGCCAAACACACTGGGCCACATGTACCCCACCCATTGTTCTGTGGCAACAGCGAGCATTGTCTTGTTTAAAAGAGATCCAGGGTTGGGTTGGGCACAGTGGCTCATGCCTGTAATCCCCGCTGTTTGGGAGGCTGAGGCAGGCAGATTACTTGAGGCTAAGGGTTCGAGACCAGCCTAGCCAACATGGTGAAACCCAGTCTCTACTAAAAATACAAAAAATTAGTCAGGCATGGTGGTACATGCTTGTAATCCTAATTAGTTGGGAGGTTGAGGCAGGAGAATCACTTGAACCTGGGAGGCGGAGGCTGCAGTGAGCCGAGATCACGCCACTGCAATCTAGCCTGGGCGACAGAGCGAGACTCCGTCTCAAAAAATAAAAAATAAAAAGGGGGCCGGGCGTGGTGGCTCACGCTTGTAATCCAAGCACTTAGGGAGGCCGAGGCGGGTGGATCACAGGGTCAGGAGATTTAGACCATCCTGGCTAACGCGGTGAAACCCCGTCTCTAATAAAAATGCAAAAAATTAACCGGGCGTGGTGGCGGGTGCCTGTAGTCCCAGCTACTCGGGAGGCTGAGGCAGGAGAATGGCGTGAACCTGTGAGGCGGAGCTTGCAGTGAGCCGTGATCGCACCACTGCACTACAGTCTGGGCGACAGAGCGAGATTCCATCTCAAATAAATAAATAAATAAAAATAAAAAGGGACGCTGGCCATAGCGGGCCCACCTTCACCCGCAGGCATCTGATGATGCTCTCTTCCCTGCTTTTCCCTTCCAGACACCAAGTGTGCCTTCTCCAGTGTTCTCTGCTGGAAACCCAACATTCACCTCCTGATTGTAGCTGCAAGGACAGTGTGCGTCCCGGGTTGTCAGCACCACACTGAAACTGTGAAATGCCACCTCTCACGTGCTTAGGTAGCAGATGTCACCTGACAGGTACAGAGTACACCGGGCAGGTGGCAGGGGCGATGCTTCCTGCCAGGGGACACAGGTCACAGTGTCTTGACCCAGGAGCTGCTGAGTCAGCCATGGGCTTGGAAGATACCATCCTGTTGTCTAGCCACTAACCAGTTTTTTGTTTAGTTTTTTTTTTTTTTTTTGAGACGGAGTCTCACTCTGTCACCCAGGCTGGAGTGCAGTGGGGCTGTCTTGGCTCACTGCAACCTCCATCTCCCAGGTTCAAGTGATTCTCCTGCCTCAGCCTCCCGAGCAGCTGGGATTACAGGTGCCCACCACCACACCCGGCTAATTTTTGTATTTTTAGTAGAGACGAGGTTTCACCATGTTGGTCAGGCTGGTCTTGATGATCCACCCACCTTGGCCTCCCAAAGTGCTGGGATTACAGGTGCTTTGAGCCACCATGCCCAGCCCACTAACCAGTTCCTGAAGCTCCTTCCTGCTCCCTCCATTCCCTCTGCAGCCCTCAGCGTCGTGGATACGCACCCATGAACAGGATCCACCACGATGGCCCTTGGCTTGGAGCCGTTCTCCCTGAATAACGTTTTCCTCTTCACGCCCTTGGTATCCGCAACAGAGACAGTGCCCAGGACAGAGTCGGTCCAGTAGATGTTGCTGTGGATCCAGTCCACAGCCAGCCCGTCGGGGGCCTGGATGTCTCTGCTGATGACGGTGTCATAGGAAGAGACGCCGTGGGCTCTGTCAAGCTGGGTGCTGAGGCAGGAGGAGAGAAGGGCATCAGCGCCAGGAGCCCTCATCTCACCTGCGGGCCAAGGCTGCAGGCAGGGGCGACGCTCACCTGCAGATCATTCTCTGGGACAGGTCAGACCAGTAGATTCTATTGCTGGCCACCTCCGTGTCCAGAGCGACCACGTTCCTCAGGTTGGGGATGAGGCTGGTGTACTCGCTCCGGTCCAGCGTCATCTTCCTGACCTCGTGCCGGTTGGTGAAGAAGAGGTAGGCGATGGAGCCTGGGGGTCCGGGGAGCGAGGTCAGGGGGTCAGAGGGGACCCGTCGATGGAACCAAGAGTGCCTCCCCATCCCCTTGTGTCATCCTGCAGGGTGCGGCTGAGCCAGAGGAGGCACCCAGAAAAAGAGGGTGGAAAAGACCTCCCAACGGGAACAGGCACAGTGGCGCCCACCTGTAATCCCAGCACTTTGGGAGGCTGAGGGAGGAGGATCACTTGAGGCTAGGAGCATAAGGCTAGCCTGGGCAAGACAATGAGACCTTATTGCCACAAAAAAAAAAAAAAAAAAAAAAGCCAGGCACGGTGGCTCAAGCCTGTAATCCCAGCACTTTGGGAGGCTGAGGCGGGAGAATCGAGACCAGCCTCACCAACATGGTGAAACCCTGTCTCTACTAAACATACAAAAACTAGCCAGGTTTGGTAGCCGGAACCTGTAATCCCAGCTACTCAGAAGGGTGAGGCAGGAGAATTGCTGGAACCTGGGAGGTGGAGGTTTCAGTAAGCCAAGATCGCACCACCGCACTCCAGCCTGGGTGACAGAATGAGACTCTGTCTCAAAAAAAAAAAAAAAAAAATTAACCAGGCATGGTGGCACATGCCAGTACTCCCAGCTCCTCCAGAGGCTTAGGCGGGACGATCACGTGAACCCAGGAGGTCAAGGCTGCAGCGAGCTATGATGGAGGCTGCACTGCACTACAGGCTGGAAGATAGAGCAGCACCCTGTCTCTAAAAAATAATAATAGCCAGGTGTGGTGTCTGTAATCCCAGCACTTTGGGAGGCCAAGGCAGGAGGATCACTTGGGTTCAGGAGTTCAAGACTAGCCTGGCCAACATGGTGAAACCCTGTTTTTACTAAAAATATGAAAATTAGCGGCTGGGCGCAGTGGCTCACGCCTGTAATCCGAGCACTTTGGAAGGCCGAGGTGGGCGGATCACGAAGTCAGGAGATCGAGACCATCCTGGCTAACACAGTGAAACCCCGTCTCTACTAAAAATACAAAAAAATTGGCCTGGTGCAGTGGCGGGCTCCTGTAGTCCCAGCTACTGGGGAGGCTGAGGCAGGAGAATGGCGTGAACCCGGGAGGCGGAGCTTGCAGTGAGCCGAGATCCTGCCACTGCACTCCAGCCTGGGCAACAGAGCGAGACTCCGTCTCGAAAAAAAAAAAAAAAGAAAAAAGAAAATTAGCCAGGCATAGTGGCATGCACCTGAGGTCCCAGCTACTCCGGAGGCTGAGGTGGGAGGATCAACCAATCCTCCTGCCCTCAAGCAATCCTCCCGCCTCAGCCTTCTGAGTAGCTGGGACCACAGGTGTGTGGCACCATGCCCAGCTAATTTTTTTTCTTTAACCCCTTGAAGTCACTCCCCAGGTTGTCCCTGAAAGGAAAGCCGGTTCCTGTTCCACCAGTAGGGCTGAGGGTTCCGTTAACTGGATATTCCCAAAAACTAGGACATATGCAGGCATCCCCCTGGCAAGCCCAAGTCCTAACAGGGCGGCAGACTCCCCTGCCAGAGCCCTCAGGAGCAAACAGCCTCCCGGTCAGGGGATATGAGTCTGTGCAAAGTTCAGAGGATGAAACTCCCCCACCACTGCTGCCTGCAAGGGGTGAGGCCGCCCCCACCCGCCGCCTTCCCGTGCTCACCCACAGCCTTGCAGGCCTTCGTGTGGGGGTCCAGCTGGAAGCCTTCCTCACACTGGCACTTGTAGCCACCCTCCAGGTTCACGCAGAGCTGGCTGCAGGTGTCGGGATCCTGACACTCATCGATATCTGGAAGAGAGAGAAAGAGGCTTGGTGGGGAGGCTCTTCCCCAATGGCTAGAGACGGAGCGATGGGGCCCAGGCCAAAACCCACACCTTCGAAGGCAGCCAGGAGACAGCCCAGCCTCTCGGGAGATGTAATCAAGGAAACAGCCAGGTGTCATCCCCAGTCATCACCTGACCTCATCATTCACCACGGGAACCCAACCAAGAGTGTGAAGCTGTGTCAGCTGAAATTTCTTTTCTTTTTTTTCTTTTCTTTTCTTTTTTTTTTGGATGGAGTTTCACTCTTGTTGCCCAGGCTGGAGTGCAATGGCACGATCTTGGCTCACCACAACCTCCACCTCCCAGGTTCAAGTGATTCTCCTGCCTCAGCCTCCTGAGTAGCTGGGATTATAGGCATGCACCACCAAGCCCGGCTAATTTTGTATTTTTAGTAGAGACGGGGTTTCTCCATGTTGGTCAGGCTGGTCTGGAACTCCCGACCTCAGGTGATCTGCCCGCCTCGGCGTCCCAAGGTGTTGGGATTACAGGGATTACGCACCCGGCCTGAAATTTCTTAATTACTAATCCCCAGAGGCAAGAAACTCTGGCCAGCCAATGATAGTTTTCCATGCAGGTGGAATCTCATGAAACCCTCCTAACTGCTTTCAAGCACACTTAACAGATGGGGAAACTGAGGCATGAGGGGTTTGGTTGCCATGTCAGGAAGCGCAGAGGGGGCCCAGGGCTCAGTCCCACCCGGGAATCACCTTCGCATCTTCGCTGGGCCACCAGCTGGAAGCCGTCGGGGCACAGGCACTCGTAGCCGATCTTAAGGTCATTGCAGACGTGGGAACAGCCGCCGTTGTTGTCCAAGCATTCGTTGGTCCCTGCGCAGGGCCAGGGGATGCAGACTGGTCACTCTCGGGCCCCTACCCATCCCTTCGCCGCCAACCTTGGCTCATTACAACCTCCACCTCCCGGGTTCAAGTGATTCTCCTGCCTCAGCCTCCCAAGTAGCTGGGACTACAGGCATGTGCCACCATGCCCAGCTAATTTTTTTGTATTTTTAGGAGAGACGGAGTTTCACTCTTGTTGCCCAGGCTGGAGTGTAATGGCACGATCTCGGCTCACTGCGACCTCCGCCTCCTGGGTACAAGCGATTCTCCTGCCTCAGCCTCCCACTTAGCTGGGATTACAGGCACCCACGACCATGACAGGCTAATTTTTTGTATTTTTACTAGAGATGGGGTTTCACCATGTTGGCCGGGCTGGTCTCGAACTCCTGACCTCAGGTGATGCGCCCGCCTCGGTCTCCCAAAGTTTTGGGATTACAGGCGTGTGCCACCGCACTTGGCTCAGTGAAATAAGCCAGTCAAAAAAGGAAAATGCTGTCTGATTCCACTCAGAGGAGGTCCCTAGAGCCATCACATTCATAGGGACAGAAAGTAGAATGGTGGGTGCCAGGAGTTGGGGAGGGGATGGAGAGTGAGTGTTTCATGGGGACAGAGCTTCAGTTTGGGAAGATAAAAGAGTTCTGGGGCCGGGCGCAGTGGCTCATGCCTGTATTCCCAGCACTTTGGGAGGCTGAGGTGGGAGGATCACTTGAGGTCAGGAGTTCGAGACCAGCCTGGCCAACATGGTGAAACCCAGTCAGTCTCTACTGAAAATACAAAAATTAGCTGGGCGTGGTAGGACGGGCACCTGTAATCCCAGCTACTGAGGGGGCTGAGGCAGGAGAATTGCTTGAACCTGGTAGGTGGAGGTTGCAGTGAACCGAGATCGCACCACTGCACTCCAGCCCGTGCGACGAGTGAGACTCTGTCTCAAAAAGAATAAAAAAAAAAAAAAAAGTTCTGGAGATGGTGGTTGTGATGTTGTACAACAGTGTGAATTTGCTAATGGCACAGAACTGTGCACTTAATAAGGTTTGAGAAGGTAAATTTTATGTTACATGTTTTTTACTGCAGTTTATGTATATATATAAAACAAGTTATATATATACATAAAACAAGTTATATATAGATATATAGATATAAAACAACAAAAGTCCGGGCGCTGTAGCTCATGCCTGTAATCCCAGAACTTTGGGAGACCAAGGCAGGCAGATAGCTTGAGCCCAGGAGTTCAAGACCAGCATGGGCAAACATTTTTTTGTTTGAGGCGGACTCTCACTCTGTCGCTCAGGCTGGAGTGCAGTGGTGCAACCTCGGCTCACTACAACCTCCGCCTCCTGCATTCAAGCGATTCTCCTGCCTCAGCCTCCTGAGCAGCTGGGACTACAGACGCGCGCCACCAAGCCTGGTTAATTTTTTGTATTTTTAGTAGAGACGGGGTTTCACTGTGTTGGCCAGGATGGTCTCGATCTCCTGACCTCGTGATCCTCCCGCCTCGACCTCCCAAAGTGCTGGGATTACAGCTGTGAACCATCCTGCCAGGCCTAAAAATGGCTTTTACATATTTAAATACTTGAGAAGAAAAATAAAAATAAAAAGGGAAATCATTTTCATGACACAAAACAGTTATATGAAATTCCAATTTTTGTGTCCATAAATAACATTTTCTGGGCCCACAGCCACGTGTATTGGTTTGCGTTCTGTGCGTGGTTGTGTTCACCCAACAGCCATGTTGAGAAACTGCACCAGAGACCGTATGGCCCACAGTGTCCGAAATACTTACTTTTTTTTAGAGATAGGGTCTCTTGCTCTGTTGCCCAGATTGAAGTGTGGTGGTGTGATCACAGCTCACTACAGTCTCCAACTCCTGGGCCCAAGCGATCCTCCTTCCTCAGCCTCCTGATTAGCTGAGACTACAGGAGTATGCCACCATGCCCAAGCCCACTCTGGTATATGACAGAGAAAACTTGCCACTGCCTTCTCTATACTGTACAGTTATCCTAATATGGTCTTTCAGTATCCACCACAGAGGGTTGGGGAAAAAAAAAAACCCTCACCAGGACGAGGTGGCTCACGCCTGTAATCCCAGCACTTCAGGAGGCGGGCAGATCACTCGAGGTCAGGAGTTCGAGGCCAGCCTGGCCAACATGGTGAAACCCCATCTCTACTAAAAATACAAAAATTAGCCCAGCAAGGTGGCATTCAGCTGTAATCCCAGCTACTCAGGAGGCTGAGGCAGAAGAATCGCTTGAACCTGGGAGCCGGAGGTTGTGGTGAGCCAAGATCATGCCACTGCACTCCAGCCTGAGCGACAGAGCAAGACTCTGTTTCGAAATAACAACAACAAACCTCAAGACAGAAGCAGGCATCTAAGGAAAAGAATTCATGTATTTCAGAATTCGCTTTTTTTTTTTTTTTTTTTTTTGAGACAGAGTCTCACTCTGTCACCCAGGCTGGAGTGCAATGGTGTGATCCCGGCTCACTGCAACCTCCACCTCCTGGGTTCAAGCGATTCTCCTGCCTCAGCCTCCTGAGTAGCTGGGATCACAGGTGCCTGCCACCACACCCGGCTAATTTTTTGTAGTTTTAGTAGAGATGGGGTTTCACCGTATTAGCCAGGATGGTCTCAATCTCCTGCCCTCGTGATCTGCCTGCCTCAGCTTCCCAAAGTGCTGGGATTACAGGCGTGATCCACCGCGCCCAGCATCGCTTCATTTTTTAATTTTTTTTCATGGGGTGGGTCACGCCTGTAATCCCAGCACTTTGGGAGGCCGAGGTGGGCGGATCATGAGGTCAGGAGTTCAACACCAGCCTGGCCAACATAGTGAAACCCCATCTCTACTAAACATACAAAAAATTACCCGGGCTTGGTGGTGGGCGCCTGTAATCCCAGCTACTCAGGAGGCTGAGGCAGGAGAATCACTTGAACCTGGGAGGCAGAGGTTGCAGTGAGCCGAGATCGCGCCATTGCGCTCCAGCCTGGGCGACCGTGCGAGACTGTCTCAAAATGAAAAAAGGAGCCCTTTGCACAGGGTGGGCAGAGTGGAGTTCCCAAAACCCTACAGCACTCATGTCTCAGTCCCTTTCCTGGCTCCCCACAAACTCTGCAAGCCGCCTGCACCGAGACTCACCGCACTCTTTGATGGGTTCATCTGACCAGTCCCGGCAGTCTCTAGCCATGTTGCAGACTTTGTCCAGGGTGATGCATTCGCCGCTGTGACACTTGAACTTGTTGGGTCCCTCGCAGAGTGTCACTGTGAGAGCCAGAGAGAGGAAGGAGGAAGGTCAGGTGTGTCTGAGCCTCAGTTTGCTTGGCACTCATTCATATAATAGTTTATTCACATAAGAACGCATGCAAATGGATTCATTAAGAAAACGCGTCGGGCACGGTGGTTTGTGCCTGTAATCCCAGCACTTTGGGAGGCCAAGGCAGGCAGATCGCTTGAGCCCAGGAGTTCGAGACCAGCCTGGGCAATATGGCAAAACCGCATCTCTACTAAAAATACAAAAAAATTAGGCCTGGCGCAGTGGCTCACACCTGTAATCCTAGCACTTTGGGAGGCCGAGGCGGGTGGATCACCTGAGACCAGGAGTTCAAGACCAGCCTGGCCAACATGGAGAAACCCTGTCTCTAATAAAAATACAAAAAATTAGCCGGGCGTGGTGGTATACGCCTTTAATCTCAGCTACTCGGGAGGCTGAGGCAGGAGAATCACTGGACATCAGAGGCAGAGGCTGCCGTGAGCTGTGATTGTGCCACAGCACTCCAGCCTGGGTGTCAGAGCGAGACTCCGTCTCAAAACAAAAGGAAGTGAGGCTCTGAGAAGTCAAGTCACTTGCCCACAGACGCACAGCTGGTGCAGAGCTGACCAGGGAAGCGCCCTCTGGCTTCACAAATCATTTGCAAGCAGCAAGGCACAGAGAATGGGGGATGGAAAACCAGATGGCCAGCGCTCACCATTAACGCAGCCAACTTCATCGCTCATGTCCTTGCAGTCATATTCCCGGTCACACTGCCGGCTGCCATGGATGCAGTTTCCATCAGAGCACTGGAATTCGTCAGGGCGACAGGTGGCCACAGCTGGAAAACAGGACAGAGTGTGTTGATTTTCTCAAGAAGAGACAACCAGAGAAAAAGAAGCAGGGCCTTTTGCCGGGTGCAGCGGCTCATGCCTGGAATCCCAGCACTTTGGGAGGCCAAGGCAGGAGGATTGCTTGAGCCCAGGAGTTCAAGACCAGCCTGTGTCTGTACAAAAAAATTGGCCAGGCTTGGTGGTACAGCCTGTGGTTCCAACTGCTTGAGAGGCTGAAGTGAGAGGATCGCTTGAGCCAAGGAGATCAAGGCCGCAGTGAGCCATAATCGTGCCACCTTACTTCAACCTGGGTGACAGCAAGACCCTGTCTCAAAAAAACAAAAAAAGGCTGGGTGCAGCAGTGCACGCCTGTAATCCCAGCACTTTGGGAGGCCGAGGCGGGTGGATCACCTGAGGTCAAGAGTTCATGACCAGCCTGACTAACATGGTGAAACCCCATCTCTACTAAATAGAAAAAAAAATAGCCGGAGGTGGTGGCACATGCCTGTAATCCGCGCTACTTGGGAGGCTGAGGCAGGAGAATGGCTTGAACCCAGGAAGCGGAGGTTGCAGTGAGCTGATCGCGCCACTGCACTCCACCCTGGCGACAGAGCGAGACTCCGTCTCAAAACAAAAACAAAAACAAAAACAACAAACAACAAAAAACAACCAGCACCTTCCAAACAGTGATTTCCCAATAAGCTAACAGCAACCATCGGCCAGCCTGGGGCCTCATGGTGGCCATATGGATGTAGGAAATTTAGAGATGAAAAAAATCACAGAGTGAGACTCCATCTCAAAAACAAAATAAAGAAAGAAAAGAAAAAAAAGAAACAAACATGAAATGGGAATACTTTCTTGGCATGTTGTTGGAAATCCACTTCGGCACCTAAATCACTGCATGTCCCACACCTGGGGGAGCCCAGGGACAGGTGATAGGACGCCCCGCCCCCACCCTGGCCCCGCCCATACCGCAGTTTTCCTCGTCAGATTTGTCCTTGCAGTCGGGGCCACCATCACAGCGCCAGCTGGAGTGGATGCACTCGCCACTTAGGCAGTGGAACTCGAAGGCCGAGCAGGGGCTACTGTCCCCTTGGAACACGTAAAGACCCCTACAGCGCTGCGGCCACTCATCCGAGCCATCTTCGCAGTCGGGGTCGTTGTCGCAGGCCCACAGCTGGGGGATGCAGGTGGAGCTGTTGCACTGGAAGCTGGCGGGACCACAGGTGAGCACCGGGCAGGAGGCCTCGTCTGAGCCGTCCAAGCAGTCCCGGTCTGAGTCACAGACGAACTGCCGAGAGATGCACTTCCCATCGTGGCAGCGAAACTCGTCCTGGGAGCACGTCTTGGGGGCTGCAGGGATGGATGGGCCGAGACCACCATCACCGTGTGAAGTCTCCCAACACCAGCCCATTCTATAGCCGGGGACGCTGCCGCAGTGAGGCCAGGCCCCTGGAAAGGCGGGCTGGGGAGCAGTCAGGGGCCATGGACTCTGAACCACTGCCCTCTCGGTGCCTCAGTTTCCTCATCTGTACACATTTCCCAGCACTGCTATGAGCACTGGTGCGCTAATAGGTGTAAAGCTGTTAAACTGAGACCTGCAAGATGGTAGCACAATTTATAGAATTGCTGTCCTTATTTTGGGTTGAGTATCCCTTCTCTAAAATGCTTGGGACCAGAAGTGTTTTGGATTTTGAATTTTTTTGGATTTTGGAATATTTTCAGAGTTGGAATATTTTTCTGATTTTGGAATGTTTCAAATTTGGAATATCCTTAATGTTGTGGGTGAGCACTGACTATCTGGACCAGTGGTGTGGGGGTAAGAATTTATCAAGACAGTTGTAGGTGCAGCCGGCCTCAGTGGCTCATGGCCGTAATCCTAGCGCTTTGGGAGGCTGAGGTGGGAGGATCACTTGAGGTCAGGAGTTCAAGACCACCTTGGCCAACATGGTGAAACCCCGTCTCTACTAAAAATACAAAAATTAGCCTGCGTGCTGGTGCACGCCTGTAATCCCAGCTACTCGGGAAGCTGAGGCAGGAGAATCGCTTGAACCCAGTAGGTAGAGGTTGCAGTGAGCTGAGATTGCACCACTGAACTCCAGCCTGGGCAAACAGAGTGAGACTCCATCTCAAAAAAGAAAGAAATTTTAAAAAAGGTAGTTGTAAGTACAGAAAGACAGATTTATTCCAGAAAGTAGGTAGGAAAATACCTTGCAAGAAAGCAATGAGCAGGTCAGCAAGAGAGGAGCTGACTGCCAGAAGACAAAGGCTTGCTGGGAATTTTTTTTTTTTTTTTTGAGACGAAGTCTCACTCTTGTCCCCCAGGCTGGAGTGCGATGGCAAGATCTCGGCTCACTGCAACTTCCACCTCCCGGGTTCAAGCGATTCTCCTGCCTCAGCCTTCCAAGTAGCTGGGATTACAGGCACCTGCCACCACGCCTGGCTAATTTTTTTGTATTTTTAATAGAGACGGGGTTTCACCATGTTGGCCAGGCTGGTCTCAAACTCCTGACCTCAGGTGATCCGCCCGCCTCAGTCTCCCAAAATGCTGGGATTACAGGTATGAGCCACTGCACCTGGCCGCTTGCTGGAGATTTTATAGAATGGTGCTTGTGCTGTGCGCTGAAGAGGGCTTTGTGCAGTACTTATAATGCCGAGGTTGCAGTGAGCTAACTTGCAATTTTCTATCAGCCGAGGTGTCTGATGATAGCTGGGAGCAGGAAGATAAGGAGTTATTTACGCAGGAGGGCTGTGTGTTCTGGACCATGGAGAAAGGCAGAGTTACATAGTTTGTCGGCCTTCTTCTTCTTTTTTTTTGAGACAGAATTTCGCTCTTGTCCCCCAGGCTGGAGTGCAATGGCGTGATATTGGCTCACTGCAACCTCTGCCTCCCAGGTTCAAGTGATTCTCCTGTCTCAGCCTCCCGAGTAGCTGGGATTACAGGCAGACGCCACCATACCTGGCTAGTTTTTGTATTTTCAGTAGAGATGGGGTTTCACCGTGTTGGCCAGGCTGCTCTCGAACTCCTGACCTCAAGTGATCCACCCGCCTCAGCCTCTCAAAAGGCTGGGATTACAGGGGTGAGCCACCGTGCCTGACCCTATCTGCCTTCTTTTATTGCTTTCCTTTGGTTCGGTCAGCCTGGTTTTTTTCCTAATTAGGACTCCACACTCAGTGGTAAAAATCCGAAATCCAAAATGCTCCAATAAGCATTTCCTTCTAAAGGTCAGTGCTCAAGACGTTTCAGAATTTCGGGTGCTCAAGACTTTGAATTTCGGGGTTTTGGATTTGGATGTGCCACTTGTATTAAGACAGCCAAGAAGACGCCCAGCTTCAAAGTCCATTTCCCTTCGGGATTCTTGGCCTTGCTCCTTGGCAGAACTTTCTGGCTTTTCCCCCTTCATGTTACGTGGGTCATTGAGGCTTGGCTAGCAAGCGTCACTATGTGTTCAGCCTCACGGGGCGGGGATCACAGGATCACGGGGATCACGACCAGCGGGAATCACAGCGGCTTGCCAGTGTGTGTGCCAGGTGGCTAGCCCTCGGCAGGGACAGCCTCCCTGACTGTGCGTGACAAACCCGAAGAGGTAGCACCATCCCCACTTTGTAATGCCTCCTGGTCAAGGGGGGATTTGAAGGGCGGAAGAGGCTTGGTATGAGCCCCCAAGAGATGGAGCCCAGTTCGGGGCAGCTGCCTTGCAGCTCGAGCAGGACCCCGTAGAGACAAAGTCAGACCACTCCCCAGGACTCAGATAGGCTCAATAGCAAAGGCAGGGCCACACTTACGACAGCCTTGCTCGTCTGAGCCGTTGTCGCAGTCCACTTGGCCATCGCACCTCCAGAACTGAGGAATGCAGCGGTTGACACGGCCCCCACAGCTGAAGTCCCCGGATTTGCAGGTGACAGACACTACAGAAGAGACAGGATTGAACTGTCACTCAAAGGAAAGACCCACTGAGGCCGAGCACAGTGGCTCACGCCTGTAATCCCAGCACTTTGGGAGGCCAAGGCGGGTGGATCACGTGAGGTCAGGGGTTCAAGACCAGCCTGGCCAATATAGTGAAACCCTGTCTCTACTAAAAATACAAAAATTAGTTGGGTGTGGTGGCGGGCACCTGTAGTCCCAGCTACTCGGGAGGCTGAGGCAGGAGAATCACTTTAACCTGGGAGGAGGAGGTTGCGGTGAGCCGAGATCCTGCCATTGCACTCCAGCCTGGGTGGCAGAGTGAGACTCCGTCACACACACACACACAAAAAAGACCCACTGGCCTTGCCAATCCTGTCTTTGCAAAGGAAAACCCCAGAACTTTGAAGAGAATGTCAATCCCACTTTTTTTTTTTTTTTTGAGACAGAGTCTTGCTCTGTCGCCCAGGCTGGAGTACAGTGGCACGATCTTGGCTCACTGCAAGCTCCGCCTCCCGGGTTCACGCCATTCTCCTGCCTCAGCCTCCTGAGTAGCTGGGACTACAGGCACCCGCCACCACGCCTGGCTAATTTTTTGTATTTTTTTAGTAGAGACGGGGTTTCACCGTGTTAGCCAGGATGGTCTCGATCTCCTGACCTCATGATCCTCCTGCCTCGGCCTCTGAAAGTGCTGGGATTACAGGTGTGAGCCACCGTGCCTGACCTAATCCCACTTTTTTTTTTAGTAGAGATAGAAGTTTCATCATGTTGAGCAGGCTGGTCTCAAACTCATGGCCTCAAGTGATCCGCCTACCTCAGCTTCCCAAAGTGCTGGGATTCTAGGCATGAGCCACCATGCCTGGTCTCCCATTTTAAAAAAATATATATATACATACATATGGGGCGGGCTCAGTGGCTCACGCCTGTAATCCCAACACTTTGGGAGGCCAAAGCTGGCGGATCACGAGGTCAGGAGATTGAGACCATCCTGGCTAACGTGGTGAAACCCCATCTCTACTAAAAATACAAAAAATTAGCTGGGCGTGGTAGTGGGCGCCTGTAGTCCCAGCTACTCGGGAGGCTGAGGCAGGAGAATGGCATGAACCCAGGAGGCACAGCTTGCAGTGAGCTGAGATCGCGCCACTGCACTCCAGCCTGGGCAACAGAGCAAGACTCCGTCTCAAAAAAAAAAAAAAAAGAAAAGAAAAAGAAAAAAACAAAAACAAATATTTATTTATTACTTATTTTTTAGAGATGAGGTCTAGCTATGCCACCCAGGTGGCCCTCAAACTCCTGGGCTTTATAAAGCAATCTTTCTGCCTTTCTGCCTCAGCCTCCCAAGTAGCTGGGACTACAGACACAAGCCATTGTGCCCGGCCAAGCCTACCCCTTTATGGGTCAAAACGGAGGGCATTTAAATGGAGCTTGTTAAAAACTGGACATTAGGCTGAGTGCGGTGGCTCACACCTGTAATCCCAATACTTTGGGAGTTCGAGGCAAGAGAATCACTTGAGCCCAAGAGGTCAAGGCTGCAGTGAAGTATGATGGTACCACTGGACTCCAGCCTGGGCAACAGAATTAGACTCCATCTCTTAAAAAAAAAAATAGGCCGGGCATGGTGGCTCACGCCTGTAATGCCAGCACTTTGGGAGGCGGAGGCAGGTGGATCACGAGGTCAGGAGATCGAGACCATCCCGGCTAACATGGTGAAACCCCATCTCTACTAAAGATACAAAAAATTAGCCGGATGTGGTGGAGGGTGCCTGTAGTCCCAGCTACTCGGGAGGCTGAGGCAGGAGGATGGCGTGAACCTGGGAGGCGGAGGTTGCAGTGAGCTGAGATCACACCACTGCACTCCAGCCTGGGTGATGGAACGAGACTCCGTCTCAAAAAAAAAAAAAAAAAAAGACATTAGGTTATGCAAAGTTTTGGAACAAGATAGAGGTGGTGGCCACACAGCATTGCAGATGTATTAATGCCACTGAGCTGGTTAATTTCATGTTATGTGAAATTCACATCAATTGAAAAAACAATAGAGCCATTTAATGGCTTTAAGGAAAGCTCCAATAATTCATTCTCTCCCCACCTCCTAATTCATGATTGAATACATCAAAATCCACTGGCCACTTTTCCAGCCGCCATCATCAAAAAGGGGTTAAGAATCGTGTCACAGGCCAGGCGTGGTGCCTGTAATCCCAGCACTTTGGGAGGCCGAGGCCAGCGGATCACTTGAGACCAGAAATTCAAGACCAGCCTGGCCAACATGGCGAGACCCTGTCTCTATTACAAAAATAAATGCATATCATGCCCAAAGGGGACTCACAGCACGTCTCCTGGGACTCATCAGAGCCATCCTGGCACTCAGCGCTGCCATCGCAGACCCACTTGTAGGAGATGCATTTCCCGTCTTGGCACTGGAACTCGTTTCTTTCGCATCTGTCGCCCACTGAGAGAGAGGAAAAGGAGAAAGGGTCTCTCAACGCCAGAATCAGAAACTGACCACGTTTCCTGTGTCTATTTCCTGCCAACTAAAGAATTAACCAGAAATGTCATCCGATCAGGAACAGTCTGATTCCCAGGGAATTAAGCAAGCACAACAAATGAAATTTTATGAACCCCAAAATTCAGTGGAGGACACAAAGAAGGAACCCAAGAGAGACACTTGTCAACAAAGGCTAGTGTTGTTGATTCCAAAATATGGACTCTCTGGGGTATGGGAAAAAAATATTAGAACTTCCATGCACATTAATAAAGAAAGGAAGAGTATTTAGCATATTAAAACCTGTACTACAGCTGGGCATGGTGGCTCATGCCTGTAATCCCAGCACTTTGGGAGGCCGAGGTGGGCAGATCACCTGAGGTCAGCAGTTCGAAACCAGCCTGGCCAACATGGTGAAACCCCGTCTCTACTAAAAATACAAAATTAGCTGGGCGTGGTGGCACATGCCTGTAATCCCAGCTACTCAGGAGGCTGAGGCAGGAGAATCACTTGAACCTGGGAGGCAGACTTTGTGGTGAGCCAAGATTGTGCCATTGCACTCCAGCCTCGGCAACAAGAACAAAACTCCGTCTCAAAAAAAACCTGTACTGCCCAGGCATGTTGGCTCATGACTGTAATCCCAGCACTTTGGGAGGCAGAGGTGGGTGGATTGCTTGAGCCCAGGAGTATGAGATCAGCCTGGACAACGTAGTGAGACCCTTTATCTATTATAATTTTTTTAAAAGTTAAAACAAAACAAACAAAACCTGTGTTGTTCTATCCATCTGACCATTAAAAAAACAAAAACAAAAAACTTGTACTGTAAAGAGTCATGAAGAAAACTCACAGACACAGCATAATCATTAAGGTGGAAGAAAACTTGAGTTTTCTTCAGTAGGTAGGGAAGAAATACTTAGATAAAGAATTATGAGAAATTATAAATGTAGAGGCCAGAGAACACAAATTTAGCAGTGAAGATAATCATGTATCTGAAGATCAGATCAAAAGAAATGGGAGAGAAACATTAACAAAAGATATAATAAGAGAAAACTTTTCCTTAGAAAACCAAGACTTAGATTATTACATTAAAATGAGAACAAAGTAACTGGAAAATTTCCCAAAATATATTTACACCTTGGAAAAGAGATCAAAGTCTTATTGAATGTATTTAGTTTTCTTCTATTTTCTTTTTTTTTGAGACAGGGTCTCACTTTAGAGCGATCAGTGGAGCGATCACGGCCCACTGCAGCCTCAAACTCTGAGGCTCAAGCAATCTTCCCATCTCAGCCCCCTAAGTAGTTGGGATTAAAAGCACTCACCACCATGCCAGGCTAATTTTTCTACTTTTTGTAGAGATGGGGTCTTACTGTGTTACCTAGGCTGGTCTTGAACTCTTGGGCTCAAGCAATCCTCCCACCTCAGCCTCCCAAAGTGTTGTGATTATAGGTATATGCCACCACACTTGGCCTGCATTTAGTTTTATATATTAAATTTGGATTTAGAATACTTTTTTTTTCTTTTTTTGAGACATAGCTTCGCTCTGTTACCCAAACTGGAGTGCAGTGGCAGGATCATGGCTTACTGCAACCTGGATTGAACCTCGTGGGCTCAAGTGATCCTCCTGCCTCAGCCCCCCAAATAAATGGGACTACAGGCACATGCCACCATGCCCAGCTAATGTTGGAATTTTTTGTAGAGACAAGGTCTCACTATGTTGCCTAGGCTGGCCTCAAACTCCTAAAGTGATCCTCCCTCCTCAGCCTCCCAATATGCTGGGATTACAGGCATGAGCCACCACACTGGGCCCTCTAATACCTTTATATGAAAGATTCTGGTTCTGTGAACTAGAATCAAAGCAACTTTTATAAATCAAAGTATAAACTTTGATTCCCTATGTAAACTAAGGCAATAAAAGCAATAACAAATTATTATTATTATTATTTTCAGACAGAGTCTCACTCTGTCACCCAGGCTGGAGTGCAGTGGTGCAATCTTGGCTCACTGCAACCTCTGCTTCCCAGGTTCAAGCGATTCTCCTGCCTCAGCCTCCCAAGTAGCTGGGGATCACCAGCAACTGCCACCATGCCCAGGTAATTTCTTGTATTTTAGTAGAGATGGAGTTTCACTATATTGGCCAGGCTGGCCTTGAACTCCTGACCAAAGTGCTGGGATTATAGGCTGGAGCCACCATGCCCGGCCGCAATAACAAATTATGATTGCTTATCTCAGCATGCACTATGCACTTATTATTACTATAATAAGGTAACAATACCAAGAAGAAAAAAAAATCTGCCTTTTTTAAAATTTTATTTTATTTTATTTTTGACACAGAGTCTCACTCTGTCGCCCAGGCTGGAGTGCAATGGCACAATCTCAACTCACTGCAAACCTCCACCTCTGGGTTCAAGTGATTCTCCTGCCTTAGCTTCCTGAGTAGCTTGGGAATACAGGTGCGTGACACCACACCCGGCTAATTTTTGTATTTTTTGTAGAGACGGGGTTTCACCATGCTGCCCAGCCTGGTCTCAAATTCCTGACCTCAAGTGATCTGCCTGCCTCAGCCTCTCAGTGCTGGGATTACAGGTGTGAGCCACCATGCCCAGCCAAGTCTGACTTTTTATCTTTGTGAAGATGTAACAGATGCTATCCAGGAAAATCACATACAAGGGTTTGTTTTTTGTTTTTGAGACAGAGTCTCATTCTGTTGCCCAGACTGGAGTGCAATGGTATGATCTTGACTCACTGTAACCTCTGCCTCCCAGGTTCAAGCGATTCTCCTGCCTTAACCCTTCCAAGTAGCTGGGATTACAGGCACGCGCCACCGTGCCTAGCTACATAAGTACATCAATAAGTTCTGATCGATGGTTGAAACTTTGGGAGGCCAAGGTGGGCGGATCACCAAATCAGGAGATCGAGACCATCCTGGCTAACATGGTGAAACCCCATCTCTACTAAAAAAATTAGCTGGGCATGTTGGCGGGCGCCTGTAATCCCAGCTACTCAGGAGGCTGAGGCAGGAGAATCGCTTGAACCCGGGAGGCGGAGGCTGCAGTGAACTGAGATCACGCCACCATACTCCAGCCTGGGCGACAGAGACTCTGTCTCAAAAAAAAAAAAAAAAGAAAAAGAAAATATGACCACATGACCAGGTGCAGTGGCTCATGCCTGTAATCCCAACACTTTGGGAGGCAGAGACAGGATTGTTTGAGCCCAGGAATTCCAGACTGGCCTAGGCAACATACCAAGACCCCATCTCTACAAAATAAAAAAAAGAATAATTTTAAAAAAAGAATATAGGACCGCATCTTCTGTGATAATCCTTTCAGAAGGCAGAGCCTAATTCGTCTCCCCTGGAGTGGCACTGGACTTTTAATGACTTGCTTCTGATAGGAAAATGTAGAGACGACAGGGAGTGGCTTCTGAGCCTAGTTCATGGCCATGCTCATTGTTGGATCGACTGCTCCAGGGGAGGCCAGCTGCATGTCATGAGTCCACTCAAGCAGCTGGAGGGAGAGCTCCACGCAGCAGGGAACTGAGGCCTCCAGCCAAGAGCCACTGAGTGCGCCATCTTGGAAGTGGATCCTTCAACCCCAGCCAAGTCTTCCTATGCCTGCAGCTTCTGAAAATATGTTTTTCTCTCCTGCCAATATTTTGATTGCAACTTCATGAGAGACCCTGAGCTGGAACCGTCTAGCTGTGCTGCTTCCAAATTCCTGACACGCAAAAACTGAGAAATCATAAATGTGTTGTTTTAAGCCACTACATTTTGGGCTAATTTGATATGTAGCAAGAAATGAGTCATTTCCTCCTTTAAGCACAGTTGAAACTGAGTTGTAGGTAATTAACATACAACCTAACTTTAAAAGATGTATCTATGTCTTTTTTTCTTTCTCTTTCGGACACCGGCTTTCACTCTGTTGCCCAGGTTGGAGTGCAGTGGCATGACTGAGGCTCACGGCCGCCTCCACCTCCCAGGTTCATGCGATCCTCCTGCCTAAGCCTAACTCAACAGCTGTGACTAGAGGGGTGCACCATCACACTCAGCTAACTTTTTATTTATTTTTTGCAGAGACAGGTGTCTCACTATGTTGCCCAGGCTGGTCTCAAACTCTTGGGCTCAAGCAATCCACCCACCCATCTCGGCCTCCCAAAGTGCTAGGATTACAGGCATCAGCCACCGCATCCAGCCCCCTTTATCCATTTCAACTTTGATGGTTGACCCAGCACATTCATGTGGATTCCCTGAAAGTTAGAGTAGTAAGGGGGTTAGATAGACAATCCTGGGCTTCACTGGCTTTCCAGGCCATTTAACTAGAACAACTTGGGTAACTGACTAAATCCTTCTGGGACTCAGTTTCCTGATCTGTAAAATGGGGGAGAATGGCAGTCTCTACTTCCTAGAGGGTGTTTTGAGAATTAAAGAACAGAACAGGCTGGGCGCGGTGACTCACGTCTGTAATCTCAGCACTTTGGGAGGCCGAAGTGGGCGGATCACCTGAGTTCAGGAGTTCGAGACCAGCCTGGCCAACATGGTGAAACCCCGTCTCTACTAAAAATACAAAAATTAGCCGGGCGTGGTGGCGGGCGCCTGTAATCCCAGCTGCTCAGGTGGCTGAGGCAGGAGAATCACTTGAACCCGAATGCCTGTAATTGCAGCTACTCGGGAGGCTGAAACATGAGAATCATTTGAACCCAGGAGGCAGGGGCTGCAGTGAGCCCAGATTGTGCCACTGCACTCCAGCCTGGGCAACAGAGCGAGACTCTGTCAAAAAAAAAAAAAAAAAGAAAAGAAAAAAGGGAAGGAAGAGAGAAGAAAATGAGTCGAGCTTTGGAATCTGCTGTGGTCACAAACTCTGATAATTCTCTTGCCCAACTACAGATCTGTCAATACTGTACACACCCCGCTTTGACAATATCGTACACACCTCACTGACTCACAGCTCAATTTCAACTGTGCTTAAAGGAGGAAATGACTCATTTCTTGTGCTGACACACCGGGTGGGCAAAAAGCAATTGAGATTCCAGGAGGCTTGCGATAAATAAAAAGGAAAGTTGGGCCAGAGGCGTTGGCAATCAAGATCTTAAGGGAGGAGCCTCTGATCACCCCACTAGGTGACCGCAGCTTTGGTGACCACTAATCCAATGCTCTCACCTCCCTACCTCTGTACGAGGGCCCAGCTTACAAACTAAATGTGCCACTGGGTAGACCGGGAATGTCAGTAACACCTGAAGGTCCTTTAAGGAGGGATAAAGAACAATAAAAACCTTTCCCTGAAGAAAAACAAAACCTTTCCCTGGACCTCAAGCTCTCCCCTGACTATTATTCTCCAAATATTTGCTGGCCACAGGTGGCTCAAGACTGCACCCATGGGAAGGACCCCACGATGACCTATTTCTGTGATCTACCACCTGGGCAACTCTCCAGACAATGTTTCAAAAGTGGATTTCCCCAGCACCTTGGGAGGCTGAGGAGGGAGGACTGCTTGAGCCCAGGAGTTTGAGACCAACCGAGGCAACAAAGCGAGAATCCCTTGAACCCCATCTCTACAAAAAATACACAACTTAGCCAAGCATAGTGGCACACACCTGTAATCCCAGCTACTTGGGAGGCTGAGTGGGGAGGATGGCTTAAGCCTGGGAGGTCAAGGATGCAGTGATCTGCGCTCCAGCCTGGGCGGGAGACTCTGTCTCAAAAAATAAAAACAAACGAACAAACAAACAAAAAATTTAAACTTAGCTGGGAGTGGCCGGGTTCGGGGGCTCACGCCTATAATCCCAGCACTTTGGGAGGCTGAGGCGGGTGGATCACCTGAGGTTGGGAGTTCGAGAACAGCCTGAACCAATGTGGAGAAACCCCATCTCTACGAAAAATACAAAATTAGCCGGGCGTGGTGGTGCATGCCTGTAATCCCAGCTACTCAGGAGGCTGAGGCAGGAGAATCGCTTGAACCAGGAGGTGGAGGTTGCGGTGAGCCGAGATCGCGCCATTGCACTCCAGCCTGGGCAGCAAGAGCAAAACTCCATCTCAATAAATAAATAAATAAATAAATAAACAAACAAACTGAGGTGGGAGTGGTAACACGTGCGTATAGTCCCAGCTACTCAGGAGGCTGAGAGAGGAGGATCAGTTGAGTACAGAAGCTGGAGGCTGCAGTGAGCTATAACTGCACACTTCAGCCTGAGCGACAGGGCAAGACCCTGCCTCCAAAAAATAAAGGCAGATTTTACTGCCACAGGCGCAGCCAGACAGCAGTTGCCTGCCAAATGAGCTCCCTTGGCCTAGCTAGTGGGGACAGTGCTCAGGAACGGAACAGTGCTGAGTGAGAGCACGTCAGGGAGCTGTCCTCACAGTTGCTGCCCTTTCCGAGCAAGGGGACAAAACCAGTCCTGTTCCAAACATCAACGGCCCAACGAAACCGCACCTCTTTCTTATTCTTTCAAGCAAGGTTGGCGTTTTTCATATTAGACCATTTGAATTTCAGGAAAAGCAAATTAGGCCAAGCGCGGTGGCTCACGCCTGTAATCTCAGCACTTTGGGAGGCCAAGGCAGGCGGCTCACCTGAGGTCAGGAGTTCGAGACCAGCCTGGCCAACGTGGCGAAACCCTGTCTCTACTAAAAGTACAAAATTAGCCAGGCATGGTAGCGGGTGCCCGTATCCTAGCTACCCAGGAGGCTGAGACACGAGAATCCCTTGAACCCCGGAGGCAGAAGTTGCAATGAGCTGAGATTAGGCAATCTAAGCGAGACTCCATCTCAAAAAAAAAAAAAAAAAGGAAGTAAACTAGAGCATGGATCCCCAGATTTTCTCACGCTAGGGAAGCCTAAAAAGCAATGAGCTCCTCTCAAAAACACAAAAACACAAAAAGGCCGGGCACGGCGGCTCACGCCTGTACTCCCAGCACTTTGGGAAACTGAGGCGGGTGGATCACGAGGTCAGGAGTTCGAGGCCAGCTTGACCAATATGGTGAAATCCCATCTCTACTGAAAAATACAAAAATTAGCTGGGTGTGGTGGCGGGCGCCTGTAGTTCCAGCTACTCAGGAGGCTGAGGCCGAAGAATCGCTTGAACCTGGGAGGCAGAGGTTGCAGTGAGCCGAGATTGCGCCACTGCACTCCAGCCTGGGCAACTCGAACAAAAATAAACAAACAAAAAAAACACCTCTATAAATTCTAGTCCTCTAGCCCTCTGATCTCTCAAGTCACGAGTAACAAGTCAGGAACAAGGTCATCGAAACAAAAAAAGAGAATACACATTTCTGCTTTTTCCCCCAGCACACAAATGAGGTGGTGAATGCTTTCGATGTTTTCTTTCCCTGTGCTACTGAAAACAGTTGTACAAGGAAATCAAAACTGTAGCTAGAATCATTTCCTTGAAGGGGAAACAAACAAACGAAAATCCCCTGGCTTAAGGGAACAGAGCCAGCTGAAAATGAATGAGAAATCAATTGATTGGCTGGCACAGTGGGTCACGCCTGCAATCCTTGGACTTTGGGAGGCTGAGGCGGGTGGATCACGAGGTCAGGAGTTCGAGACCAGCCTGGCCAACGTGGTGAAACCCCATCTCTACTACAAATACAAAAATTAGCCGGGTGTTGTGGCAGGCGCCTATAATTCCAGCTACTCAGGAGGCTGAGGCAGGAGAATTGCTGGAACCCGGGAGGCGGGGATTGCAGTGAGGCGAGATTATGCCATTGCACTCCAGCCTGGGTGACAGGGCGAGACTCCAACTCAAAAAAAAAAAAAATAGACATCAATTGATCAGTGCTTCTTTCCAAATAAGGTGGGTATTTTCCCCAGAGTGATCTCAGCAATTGATTTTGCTTCCGGAAGAGAGAGCCTGACTCACTGTTTGCTGCTGGTCGGTTACATCTGCAGTCTCTTAGCAACAAAAGGCTATTTGCTTGACAGTTGGGACAGAGTGTGGAAGGAAAAGGGACATCAAAAAGCCCATCAAAATAATAATAATAATAATAATAATAATAATAAAGCCCATCAAAGCACCCATCAAAGCAAGGAGCAACCGACCCATCTAGAATTGGATCTTATCAGGGAGGAAGTCTACAGATAAGAGCAGGAATGAGGAACAGAATTCCCCTACAGGTTTTCTGTCTCAACAAAGGTCTCCCTGTTTTTTCCCAGTGTTCCCTGGAAGATAGGTATTTCCGGAAATGACAAGGGAATCACCCTGCGGCTCGTTAAAGCAGCCAACTCCCTTACTCAAATTTGGGTGAGTCATTGACACGTTTGGAGCTGCGCTCACCGCTGTTGCCTGATTTTGGTCTAAGTGAAGGCTTGCGGTTCAGATTCCAACAACTTCCCTTTGTAAAGGAAATGGACAAGAAACTCCCCCCTGGATATGCCTTGAAGCCAGCTACAGCGTGAGGTGGTGCAGCTAGAAAGTGCTAGAAACACACACCAGCTCTCAGAAGTCTGGAGGAAAACATCAGGGGTGTAGTCTCCTTGACAACAGAGGAAACATCACATTCTCAGCCATCCCGGGAGAGAGAAACTAAAGTGATGAACAAACAAGGCCTTGCCTAAGACTTCCTTAACATTTTCTCTTAAGGAAGAGGTTGATTGGTGAGTGAGATACACATTAATCCAGTGCCTCTCTTTCTTTTGTAAAACTGAGTGGCAGAATGTTTGCAATCATCATCATCCCCGGTGGGGCGCGGTGGCTCACTCCTGTAATCCCAACACTTTGGGAGGCTGAGGTAGGAGGATCGCTTGAGGCCAGGAGTTCAAGACCAGCCTGAGCAACCAAGCGAGACCTCATCTCTACAAAAAGTTAAAAAATAAATAAGTAAATAAAAATAAAAGAACAATCATCCGTATTTCATTACACCCTCCCTCCCTCTCTGGCCTCCCAGAGGAAACTGGTGTGTTAGTTACAGCGTGAATTTCAAGGCAGTTCAAAGCTCTCCATCCAGTCAAAGCCAACCCCCTTGCCAATTAAAAAAAAAGTTTCCTGCAATCCTTGTGTTCATCAGGCAATCCCAATCCTTTTCTAGGCTAGGCTGGTTCTCAGGAGGGAAAGGGCCATGTAGCTGTTGTCTAGGGCGAGGCTGTCTCTCTGCAACTAATTTAAAGCCACCTAAAAAGCTCTAACTCAGGATCATGCACTAACCAGCCTCTTGTGGAAATCTAAAATCTAATCCATTTCACCCAGAGGAAAAATCGCCGCTTGGACAGCTGAACCGAAGCCATTCACAGCCTCTGAAGAAGCGAGGCCACCCCAGGGGGTCGGTCCCGGGGGATAGCTGCCCCACCGTGGCTGAAGATCTCGGCTGCAGACCAAGGAGGGGCGGGGAGATTCTGAGGCAACGTTTCAACCTCGTAAGGAACCGAGGCCTTGAGGGTGGCCGGGGGCCCCTCTGTGAACTTGATCGGGGCTGGTGGGGCGAGGGCGCCCCCCAGGACAAGGTGGGGACGGAGGTGTCGCCACAGAGCACAGCGGAAACCGGGGACTTCGCCAGGAGGGCCCAGGATAACGGAGGGCGACTCGTGTATGTCGCGGAGGCGGCTCCGGGGACCCGGGACTTGTCGTCGCCTTTGTGACAGGAACCGCGGAGGAACGCCAGGCCTCCCCTGCATCCGCCTCGCCCCGGACAAGGTGAGGCTCAGACTTCCGCGCCAGCCCCGCCCCGCTCGTACACAAGCCCCGTCCTCCCGACGCCCGCCTCCGCCTCCACCGCCTCACATTGGACAAGGGGAGTGGCTCGAGGGTGGCCTGTTGGACTACACCCAATGGAATTCGGGGGGCGGGCCAAAGGGGCGGGGGCAGGGGCGGGAGGGGGTGGCCCCCGTCCCGGAGCACGCGGCGGAATCCCGGGACTGCACCCAACTCAGGATGGCAGTGGCGCCCTGGGGTCGCGCAAAGCGGATCGGGACCCCTGAGCCCGCGGTGACCTCCAGGCTGGACATCCGGGTCTCCAGTCGCCCTCGCCCCCAGAAGGACTTAAGGCGGGGGTGGGAGTGATCCCTTGTTTTAGGACTGGAGGTCCCCACACCCAGCTCCGAGTTAGAAGAGAGGGTCCCGGCCGGGCGCGGTGGCTGACGCCTGTAATCCCAGCACTTTTGGGCAGATCACCTGAGGTCGGGGTTCGAGACCAGCCTGGCCAAAATGGTGAAAACCCGTCTCTACTAAAAATACAAAAATTAGGCGGGCGTGGTGGTTGGGCGCCTGTAATCCCAGCTATTCGGGAGGCTGAGAGAGGAGACTCGCTTAAACCCGGGAGGCGGAGGTTGCAGTGAGCTGAGATCGTGCCACTGCACTCCATCCTGGGCGACAGAGCTAGACTCCGTCTCAAAGAAGATGCGGTCCCTCACCCTGTGGAGACTTGGGGGACAGCGGTGCCCCGTTTCCCTTAAATCCCTCAGACTCCTCCCGACCCTCGCGCTCCCCTCAGCGCCCCCCTCCAGCGCCCCCTCCAGCCGTTTGGGAAGGACCCCGTGCCATTACCCCACAAGTCTCCCAGGGATGGAGTGATTATTTGTACCCAAAAAAATAAATTCCCAAGGGCCCCCCGGGGGCTCCCTCTCAACCTATTCTGGCGCCTGGAGCAAGCCTTACCTGCAGTCCCCGCCGCGGCGAGGAGCAAGGCGACGGTCCAGCGCAATTTCCAGCCCCAGGGCCCCATGCTCGCAGCCTCTGCCAGGCAGTGTCCCGACCCGGATCACGACCTGCTGTGTCCTAGCTGGAAACCCTGGCTTCCCGCGATTGCACTCGGGGCCCACGTCATTTACAGCATTTCAATGTGAGGTTTCTAGCAGGGGGAGGAGTTTGCAGTGGGGTGATTTTCAAATGTCTTCACCTCACTGCAAGAGGAGGAGTTTCGAACGGCCGATGTGACATCGGCTTTTTAACCCGTGAAGCTCTGATTCCCACTCCAGTCCTTCGAAAGTGTCGCCAGGGCAGGCGACTTGATTTGTTGTATTTGGGTCTCCGGTGAAGAGCTGACGCCCCCTCAAAATTGGAAACGCATCTTCTGAAAGATCCTCCTGAAATTTCTCGATGTTTAACTGTTAACATTTTGCTGTTGTTGTCCACAGAAGGATAACAACAGCCTTTCAAGATCCTCCAATAGCCTAATGCCATTGTCCTCTCTGCCTCAAAAGGAAAACACTAAAAATGTTGGGAACTTCCGCCACTTTCTATATTTGCCTTTTCCTTTCTAGGAATTGTGTATAGATTTTTAGCTTCCTTTCGTTGTATATTGTTTTTACATTGTTATTCCAAATCACCTAATAGACACTGATCAATCAGGAATTTAAATAAAATCTTCACAAAAGTACAGCCAAAAAAATATTTTTTGTTTTGTGGGATCCCGCCTTTGGCTGAGTATAAACATCTGAAAAATCAATTGTACGGATACCTGGAGTCTGGACGTAAATATTGATTTCTCCCCTTAGGAGAAGGAGTTGAACAAACAGAAGGGCGGTTTCCTCTCCCTCAAAGCAAAATCAAAACAAAACAGGGCTTTCACAGTTGAACTTGAACCCCTAAGCCACAGAGAGCTGGTGGAGACCAACTTTTAGAATTGAGTCTCTTTGGGGACTCATGGGGTTGCCAGAGGCCTCTTGCCAAAAAGGCACATGTGAGAAACTTGCCTGAACCCCACACAGGGCTGGGCAGTCTTGGCGGTTCCCCCAGGAATAAGCTGGATTTCTCTGGGATTTTGCAAACTGACTTTGGCAGGCAGTGCTAACCTCTCAGCAGGATTTTAGGGAAACCTAGGAGACCAGGCAGAAAAGGGACAAATTGAACTCTCAGAAGGACAAAAAAAAAGATTAATCAGGGAAAATAATTTTTTAATTATTTTTATTATAATTTTTTAAATAATTATTTATTATTTATTTATCATTATTTCCAGCTGTCACTCAGGCTGGACTGCAGTGGCGTGATCACAGCTCTCTGCAGCGTCAACCCTGGGCTCAAGGAATCCTCCCACCTCAGCCTCCTGAATAGCTAGGACCACAGGAGTGCACCACCATGCCCAACTAATTTTTAATTTTTTTTTATAGATGGGGTCTCACTATGTTGCCCAGGCTGGTCCCAAACTCCTAGCTTCACTCAATCCTCTTCCTCTTGCATCATGATGCCTCTCAAATTGCTGGCTTTACAGGCATGAGCCACTGTGCCCAACCCAGAAGAAGAAATTGATGATAAGAATTTTTGGCAGTTAAGACTCAGTTTCAGAATTCGGCCTTGGACAGATAAATTAGCTTTCCCAACCTGTAAAGGGGCCATCAAAATGCTTGAACCTACTTGGCAGGCTCAGTGTCAAGGTCAAATTGAAATAATTAGCGGGCTGGGCATGGTGGCTCACGCCTGTAATCCCAGCACTTTGGGAGGCTGAGGCAGGTGGATCACGAGGTCAGGAGATCAAGACCATCCTGGATAACACAGTGAAACCCCACCTCTACTAAAAAAAAATACAAAAAATTAGCCGGGCGTGGTGGCGGGTGCCTGTAGTCCCAGCTACTCGGGAGGCTGAGGCAGGAGAATGGCGTGAACCCGGGAGGTGGAGTTTGCAGTGAGACGAGATTGCGCCACTGTACTCCAGCCTGGGCGACAGAGTGAGACTCCGTCTCAAAAAAAAAAAAAAAAAAAGAAGTAATTAGCAATCACCTAGAGAAGTTTACAAGGATAGGCAAGTTCTAGGAGCTGCTGCAACGTTTATAAATGTGTCCCCATTGAATCCCATTCCTTATGCCATTTGCGACATTAAACAAAAAAGTGAAGTCTGGATGTGGTGGCTCATGCCTGTAATCCCAGCACTTTGGGAGGGTGAGGCGGGGGGATCACTTGAGCCTAGGAGTTCAGAACAAGCCAGGGCAACACAGTGGGACCCTGTCTCTACAAAAAATACAAAAATAAGCTGGACATGGTTGTGTGCGCCTGTAGTCCCAGCTACTCGGGAGGCTGAGGCGGGAGGATGGCTTGAGCCCAGGAGGTCAACGCTGCACTGAGCTGTGGTTGTACCACTGCACTCCAGCCTGGGCGACAGAGTGAGACTGTGTCTCAAAAATAAAGATAAGTTTAAAGATTCAACTTAAAGCAAAAAATAAGTAAATAAAAATTTAAAAAGTAAGTATCACTGGATTTTTTTTTCTTTTTTTTTTTGAGACAGAGTCTTGCTCTGTCACCCAGGCTGGAGTGCAGTGGTGTGATATCGGTTCACTGCAACATCCTGCTCCCAGGTTCAAGCGATTCTCATGCCTCAGCTTCCCGAGTAGCTGAGATTACAGGTGCATGCCACTACGCCCGGCTAATTTTCTTATTTTTAGTAGAGACGGGGTTTCGCCATGTTTGCCGGGCTGGTCTCGAACTCCTGACCTCAGGTGATTCACCTGCCTCAGCCTCCCAAAGTGGTGGAATTACAGGTGTGAGCCACTGTACTGGCCCAATATCACTGGGTTTGATTTCCCTTAAAAAAAAATTTAAGGCTGGGTGCGGTGGCTCACGCCTGTAATGCCAGCATTTTGGGAGGCCGAGACGGGTGGATCACGAGGTCAGGAGATCGAGACCATCCTGGCTAACAAGGTGAAACCCCATCTCTACTAAAAAAATACAAAAAAATTAGCCGGGCGTGGTGGTGGGCGCCTGTAGTCTCAGTTACTCATGAGGCAGAGGCAGGAGAATGGCATGAACCCAGGAGGCGGAGCTTGCAGTGAACCAAGATCGCGCCTTTGCACTCCAGCCTGGGCGACAGAGTGAAACCCTGTCTCAAAAAAAAAAAAAAAAAAAAAAAAAATTTAAGATGGCCAGTCACAGTGGCTCATGCCCTATAATCCCAGCACTTCAGAAGGCCAAGGCAGGTGGATCACCTGAAGTCAAGAGTTTGAGACCAGCCTGGCCAACATGGCAAAACCCGGTTTCTACTAAAACTACAAAAATTAGCCAGGCATGGTAGCAGGCGCCTGTAGTCCCAGCTACTTGGGAGGCTGAGTCAGGAGAATCACTTGAACCTGGGAGATAGAGGTTACAGTGGGCCGAGATCACGCCACTACACTTCAGCCTGGGTGACAGAGGGACACTCCCTCTGAAAAAAAAGAAAAAAAAAATGCGCCGGGCGTGGTGGCTCACAGCTGTCTCACACCTGTAATCCCAGCACTTTGGGAGGCAGAGGTGGGCGGATCACCTGAGGTCAGGAGTTGGTGACCAGCCTGGCTAACAAGGTGAAACCCCGTTTCTACTAAAAAAAAAAAAATACAAAAAATTAGCCAGGCGTGGTGGCGCATGCCTGCAATTCCAGCTACTAGGGAGGCTGAGGCAGGAGAATCGCTTGAACCTGGGAGGCAGAGGTTGCAGTGAGCCGAGATCGCACCATTGCACTCCAGCCTGGGCAAGAAGACCGAAACTGTCTCAAAAACAAAAACAAAAAATTATAAGACGTAGGCTCAGTGTGTGTCATGAGTCCACATCTGGTTACCCAGAAAGAGTTACCAGGAGAGGGACTCCCTTCCCGGAAGGCACTTGGCTTACATAGTTCCCAGAGCTAGAGGTCAGGGCAGGTCTGGAAAAGAGCCACAAAAACTCTGAAAAGCACATTCCTCGGGTGCCAAGGCCTGGCCAAGGTTTCCAGAACAGCGTTCCCCAGGCCCCTGACCTGCCTGCCATGCACGGACACGGCCATACATGGCTCTGAGGACTGAGTCATGCTGATAAATTTTTCTGTTTCTTGGTTTCCATTTGTGCTCCTGTAACTAGCTCACAGGGCTCTTGTAAGGATTAAGTTAAAATATATAAAGCGACTAGAGGCCAGGCGAGGTGGCTCATGCCTGTAATCCCCAGCACTTTGGGAGGCAGAGGTGGGAGGATCACTTGAGCCCAGGAGTTGGAAACCAGCCTGGGCCACATAGTGAGACCCTGTCTCTACAAAAAAAAAAAAAACAATTAGCCAGGCGTGGTGGCTCACACCTGTGGTCCCAGCTACTCAGGAGGCTGAGGTAGGAGGATTGCTTGAGCCAAGGAGGTTGAGGCTGCAATGAGCTACGGTCGCGCCACTGCACTCCAGCCCAATCAACAGAGCCAGGCTGTCTCTCAATTAAAAAAAAAAAAGTGATTAGAGCCACACTCGGTGCATAATAAATACCATATATGGGTTTGCTTTTCTCTGTGGCTGCTTTTGTGTTGCAACTGCATTTTTTTTTTTTTATCTCTTCAGGGAAGACCTGCCAGTTCCTGCTGTTTTTTTTTTTTTGTTTTTTTGTTTTTTGTTTTTTGTTTTTTGACGGAGTCTAGCTCTGTCACCCAGGCTGGAGTGCAGTGGCGCGATCTCGGCTCACTGCAACCTCCGTCTCCCGGGTTCAAACAATTCTCCTGCCTCAGCCTCCCAAGTAGCTGGGACTACAGTCACGTGCACGTGCCACCACGCCTGGCTAATTTTTTGTATTTTTTTTTTTTTTTTTTGAGACGGAGTCTCTGTCTGTTGCCCAGGCTGGAGTGCAGTGGCGCAGTCTCGGCTCACTGCAAGCTGCGCCTCCCGAGTTCACACCACTCTCCTGCCTCAGCCTCCTGAGTAGCTGGGACTACAGGCGCCCGCCACCACACCTGGCTAATTTTTTTTTGTATGTTTAGTAGAGATGGGGTTTTACCGTGTTAGCCAGGACGGTCTCGATCTCCTGACCTCGTGATCCGCCCGCCTCAGCCTCCCAAAGTGCTGGGATTACAGGCACGAGCCACCACGCCCAGCCTAATTTTTTGTATTTTTAGTAGAGACGGGGTTTCACTTTGTTAGCCAGGATGGTCTGGATCTCCTGACCTTGTGATCCACCCGCCTCAGCCTCCCAACGTGCTGGGATTACAGACATGAGCCAACACGCCCGGCCTGTGCCTGCCTTCTTTCTATTAGGGAGTCAGTAAGTAATCCTGCTGTGGAACCCACTTTATTGGAAAGTTCCTGAACTCCCAAAGTTATCTAATACAACTCAGGGTGGGCATTTTCCTCGCTGTAATAGCCCACCTGCCCCCGTCCTCCCATTTTCTACCTCTCTAATTCACCAGGAGGCTCAGTCCGGAATAGGTCTCTGCCCCAACGAGCCTGGCCTTTGGCAGAGGTGAGCCATTGCAGCTGTGGTCTGGCCTTAAGCCCATCAATCCACAGAGAAACCATCAGTAACAGCAGAGACCTCGGTGCCTGCCAGTGGGTGGAATCAGGAACCTGCCTTGGCTCAGCTGGCATCAGTTATCTTCACAAAATGCCCAAAGCCGTGTGCTGACAGACCTCATGGCTTGCTGAAATACAGCAATACTAAAATTCCACAGTGCAATTCCACAGTGCCTCCTAGAATATAGCAATAGTGAAAATTGCATAAATAAGTGAAAATAAGGCCGAGTGTAGTGGGTCACACCTGTAATCCCAGCACTTTGGGAGGCTGAGGTGGGCGGATCACTTGAGGTCAGGAGTTCAAGACTAGCCTGGGCAACATGGTGAGACCCTGTCTCTACTAAAAACAAAACAACAAAACAAAACAAAACAAAAAACCGGGAGAGTGGAGGGCTAGGGAAGGGATAGCATTAGGAGAAATACCTAATGTAGATGACCGGTTGATGGGTGCAGCAAACCACCATGGCACATGTATACCTATGTAACAAACCTGCACGTTCTGTACATGTATCCCAGAACTTAAAAGTATAATAAATACACATATATTTTTAAAAAGTAGCTGGGCACAGTGGCGCACACCTGTAGTCCCAGCTGCGGAGAGGCTGAGGCACAAGAATCGCTTGAACCTGGGAGGCAGAGGTTGCAGCGAGCCAAGATCACACCAGCCGGGTGCAGTGGCTCACGCCTGTAATCCCAGCACTTTGGGAGGCCGAGGCAGGCGGATCACGAGGTCAGGAGATCGAGACCATCCTGGCCAACATAGTGAAACCCTGTCTCTACTAAAAATACAAAAATTAGCCGGGTGAGGTGGTGGGCGGCTGTGGTCCCAGCTACTTGGGAGGCTGAGGCATAAGAATGGCACGAACCTGGGAGGCGGAGCTTGCAGTGAGCTGAGATCGTGACACTGCACTCCAGCCTGGGCGACAGAGCGAGACTCCATCTCAAAAAAAAAAAAAAAATAGATCACACCACCACATTCTAGCCTGGGCGACAAGAGCGAGAGTCTGTCTCAAAAAAAAAAATTGCCTTATAATCCAGAAATTCCACATCTGAAATATCCCCAAAAGCATTGAAAGCAGAGACCCAAAGATATATGTGTATACCATGTACATAGAAGCTTCTTCAAAATGGCCAAAGGTGGAATCAACCCAAGTGTCCATCAGGATAAACAAAATATGACATATTAATATAATAGAATAAAATTTAGCCTTAAAAACAAGGAAATTCAGGCATCCTCCAACATGGATAAACCTTGAGGATATAAGGCCGGGTGAAATAAGCCAGCCACAAAAGGACAAACAGGTTTGACTCCACTTCTATTAGGTCCTAGAATAGGCAAATTCATACAAAAAGTAGACAAAAAGTAGAATAGTGATTACCAGGGGCTGAGAGGAAGAACGGGAAATTGGGTATGGGGTTTTCACTTTGCAAGATGAAAAACTTCTGCAGGTGAGTAGTGGTGACAGTTGAACAACAATGTGAGTATACTTTAATGCCTCTGAACTTGAAAATGGTTAATATGGTAAATTTTAGGGCTGAGCGTGGTGGCTCCTGCCTGTAATCCCAGCACTTTGGGAGGCCGAGGGGGGCGGATCACTTGAGGTCAGGAGTTTGCGACCAGCTTGGCCAACTTGGCGTAACCCCGTCTCTACTAAAAATACAAAATTAGCCGGGTATGGTGGCAAGCACCTGTAATCCCAGCTACTCGGGAGGCTGAGGCAGGAAAATCGCTTGAACCCAGGAGGCAGAGGCTGCAGTGAGCCAAGATCATGCCACTGCACTCCAACCTGGGCAACAGAGTGAGACCCTGTCTCAAAAAAAAAAAGGGTAAATTTTATATCTATTTTGCTACAATAAAAAGATTTAAAAAAAAAAAGCAAAAGGGCTCAAAAGGTGGACACATGGAAAAACCTCCATCCCATGCAGGTCCCCTGCCCTCTGACAATTAAGACTGCTGACCTTTTTTGTTTTTTTTTGAGACGGAGTCCTGTTCTGTCACCCAGGCTGCAGTGCAATGGCACAGTCTCGGCTCACTGCAACCTCTGCCTCCCGAGTTCAAGCGATTCTCCTGCCTCAGGTTCCAAAGTAGCTGGGACTACAGGCACATGCCACCGTACCCGGCTAATTTTTGTATTTTTAGTAAAGATGAGGTTTCACTATATTGGTCAGGCTGATCTAGAACTCCTGACCTTGTGATCCGTCCGCGTTGGCATCCCAAAGTGCTGAGATTACAGGCGTGAGCCACCACGCCTGGCCAGGACTGCTAACCTTTTAAGCATATCCTTCTAGAACATTCTAAGCATATACAAGGAGGAGAGTATATCATATTCCCCTCCATTTCCCCCTGTACATTGTAGTACCCATTCATACTGCTCTATACCCTCTGGTTTCATTTATTGAGGTATCTTAAAGAATGTTCCAGGGGAAAAAAAAAAGAATGTTCTGGAACAACAGAAATCAGACTATGGATGGACAGGATTTCCGCAGGTAGGAGCAGCGCCGAGGTGGAAATGGCAGATCAGTGAAAGCTGGCTGAGGCAAGGCATATGTGTGGAACGCTGGGAGGTTGAAATAAAATTGGGAGAGACACTTTCACATCCCCTGGGAATGAAAGAAACTATTTTTGGGGCAGTGAGAAGACTTTGAAAAAAAAAATTAGAGTTCTTATGCGGGTGCATGACTTCTCGGTTCGGTCATGGGAGTGGGGCTACCAGAGGGAAAGGAGACTGATCAATCAGGTTGGGACTTGGGGTGAGGTGGGGCGAGGACAGCAGGACAGAGGAAAAAGTATACACCTCTTACGTTAGACTTTATATTTATCTCTCGAGCAGGTCATTATTTGAATCATTAAATTAAACTTTCTTTCTTTTTTTTTTTTTGAGACAAGAGTCTTACTCTGTCACCCAGTGGCGCAATCTCAGTTCACTGCAACTTCCATCTCCCAGGTTGAAGCGATTCTCCTGCCTCAGCCTTCCGAGTAGCTGGGACTACACCCGGCTACTTTTTGTATTTTTAGTAGAGACGGGGTTTCACCATGTTTGTTGGCCAGGCTGGTCTTGAACTCCTGACCTCAAGAGATCTACCCACCTTGGCCTCCCAAAGTGCTGGGATTACAGGTGTGAGCCACCGTGCCCGAACTTTTTTATGTTTTTTTTGTTGTTGTTGCTGTTGTTGTTTCTTTTTTGAGACGGAGTCTTGCTCTGTTGCCAGGCTGGAATGCAGTGGCACAATCTCCTCTCGCTGCAACCTCTGACTCCCTGGTTCAAGTGATTCTCCTGCCTCAGCCTCCCGAGTAGCTGGGATTACAGGTATACGCCACCACGCCCAGCTAATTTTTGTGTTTTCAGTAGAGACAGGGTTTCATCATGTTGGCCAGGATGGCCTCGATCTCCTGACCTCGTGGTCTGCCCACCCCAGCCTCCCAAAGTGCTGGGATTACAGGCGTGAGCCACCGCGTCCGGCCTTATTTTTTTATTTTTATTTTTTTGAGGCAGCCTCTTTCTCTGTCACCCAGACTGGAGTGTAGTAGTTCAATCGTAGCTCATTGCAGCTCAACCTCCTGGGCTCAAGAGATCCTCCTGCTTCAGCCTCCAAAAAAGCTAAAACTAGAGGCATACACCACCATATCTACCTAATTTTTAAATTTTTTGTAGCGACAGGGTCTCACTATGTGGCCCAGACTGGTCTTGAACTCCTGGACTCAAGCAATCCTCCTGCCTGGGTCTTCCAAAGTCCTGGGATTATAGGCGTGAGCCAACATACCCGGCCGTAAAAATTTCATTCATGAAGTGTCCTTGTCTTCTCATCGTTTATGAATTGTATCTGTGTGAAACACATTGTTTACAGACTACTCCTAGTTAGATTTCACGAATGATTTCTGGAAATATCTAGAATGATCTGGAAGAGTCTGGAAAGCTTTGGAGGGATGGGAAGTCTGGCCAAAATTAGGAAGAGTCAGATTTCCATCTTGATTACGTTGCTTCTGTGACCTTCCTCGGACGAATCATTTCTTTCTGGGTCTTCTATTTACTCTTCATTCAAGCAACTTTTCTTGGCCAGGCGCAGGGGTTCACACCTGTAATCCCAGCACTCTGGGAGGCCGAGGCAGGTGGATCACGTGAGGTCAGGAGTTTGAGACCAGCCTGGCCAACATGGTGAAACCGCATCTCTACTAAAAATACAAAAATTAGCCAGGCATGGTGGCGGGCGCGTATAATCCTAGCTACTTGGAAGGCTGAGGCAGGAGAATCACTTGAACCCGGGAGACAGAGCTTGCAGCTTTTTTTTTTTTTTTTCTTGCGATGGAGTCTCACTCTTTTGCCCAGGCTAGAGTGCAGTGGCGCGATCTCAGCTCACTGCAAGCTCCACCTCCCGGGATGAAGCGATTCTCCTGCCTCAGCCTCCAGAGTAGCTGGGATTACAGGCATGCAGCATCATGCCCGGCTAATTTTTGTATTTTTAGTAGAGACGGGGTTTCACCATGTTGGCCAGGCTGGTCTCGAATCCCTGACCTCGTGATCTGCCCGCCTCATCTTCCCAGTGTTGGGATTACAGGTGTGAGCCACCATGCCCGGCCATATTTTTATTTTTATTTATTTTTATTTATCTGCTTTTGGGACAGAGTCTTGTTCTGCAGTCCAGGTTGGAGTGCAGTGGCGCAATCTCGGCTCACTGCAACCTCTGCCTCCAGGGTTCAAGCAATTCTCCTTCCTCAGCCTCCCGAGTAGCTGGGATTACAGGTGCCCGCCACCATGCCCAGCTAATTTTTGTATGTTTAGTAGAGACGGGGTTTCATCATATTGGTCAGGCTGGTCTAGAACGCCGGACCTCAGGTGGTCTGCCCACCTCAGCCCCCCAAAGTGCTGGGATTACAGGCGTGAGCCACTGCGCCCAGCCAGATTCTGCTTTTATTTTAGCTGACATGGCTGATGGTTCCAAAGGCCAAGGTCAGGTGTTTGTTGACCACAATCTAATCTTGGTCTACAAAGACCTGGGCTGCAAGGTCTTCCATTTCCCAGTGGTGGGCAGATCCGTTGCAGTTGCTGGGGAACAGACTCGCCGTTATCTGGCATGTGCGTAACTGTGGAAAAACCAAGATAGAAGGAAGGACATTGGCAGCAGCCAAGATGGGCCAGAGTCCTGTAATCCCAGCACTTTGGGAGGCTGAGGCGGAAGGATCACGGGGTCAGGAGTTTGAGGCTAGCCTGACCAATGTGGTGAAACCCCGTCTCTACTAAAAATACAAAAATCAGCCGGGCGTGGTCACAGGCACCTGTAATCCCAGATACTCAGGAGGCTGAGGCAGGAGAATCGCTTGAACCCGGAAGGTGGAGGTTGCAGTGAGCCGAGATCGCACCATCGCACTCTAGCCTGGGTGACAGAGACTGTCTAAAAAAAAAAAAAGAGGCCGGGCGCGGTGGCTCACTCCTGTCATCCCAGCACTTTGGGAGGCCCGAGGCAGGCGGATCATAAGGTCAGGAAATCTAGACCATCCTGGCTAACAGGGTGAAACCCCATCTCTACTAAAAAATACAAGAAATTAGCCGGGTGTGGTGGCGGGCGCCTGTAGTCCCAGCTGCTCGGGAGGCTGAGGCGGGGGAATGGCGTGAACTCAGGAGGCAGAGCTTGCAGTGAGCCGAGATCGCACCACTGCGCTCCAGTCTGGGCGACAGAGCGAGACTCTGTCTCAAAAAAAAATAAAAAATAAAAATAAAAGAGGGGCCAGAGTCCAGGACTCCAACCTGGCTGAGACTGAACTTCAACTACCCAAGTAGCAAGTGGCTACAACGTTTAAAATTGCACAGCCCCAGGTTCTGATCTGGAGATGGGGGTGGGGGCGTGGGGGCGGTGGTGGGGGCAGTGGGTGGGGGAAGGGTGTCTTATATGTTGCACTTCATTGCACAGATGTCGTATTGGCCGGGCACAGTGGCTCATTCCTGTAATCCCAGCACTTCGGGAGACCGAGACAGGAAGATCACTTGAAGCCAGGAGTTCAATACCAGCGTGGCCAACGTGGTGAAACCCCGTCTCTACTAAAAATACAAAATTTAGCCAGGTGTGGTGATGGTTACCTGTAATCCCAGCTACTCAGGAGGCTGAGGCAGGAGAATTGCTTGATCCTGGGAGGCAGAGGTTGCAGTGAGCCAAGATTGCGCCACTGCACTCCAGCCTAGGTGACAGAGTAAGACTCCGTGTCAAAAAAAAAAAAGAATGTCGTATGTATGGATTACCTGTGTGATTAAGAGGAGAAAGGTGGGCCGCGCCTGTAATCCCAGCACTTTGGAAGGCCAAAGTGGATCGTCTGAGGTCAGGAGTTCGAGACCAGCCTGGCCAACATGGTGAAACCCCGCCTCTACTAAAAATACAAAAAAATTAGCCGAGATCACGCCATTGCATTCCAGCCTGAGCAACAAGAGCGAAATTTTGTCTCATAAATAAAGAGGAGAAAAGTGAAATAAGCCAGTCACTGAAGTGGAGACACTGTAGGATTCAACTTATAGGCGGTCCCCAGAGTAACAGATTCACAGAAAGCAGATTCACAGAGTAGAACCTGGAGTAGAATTCTGGTTTGACCGTGATTAGGGAACGAGGCTGTGGGCTGGTTCTTACACTCGAGCATGTGTTGAGACTTGCCTGGTTTGAAATTCCCCTAGCACCAGAATAAAATGGGGGGTGCCAGGGGCTGGGGAGGTGGAATGGGGAGTGAGTGTTTCACGGGGACATAGTTACATTTGGGAAGATGAGAAAGGTGCAGATGGCTGGGAGCAGTGGCTCACGGCTGTAATCTCAGCAGTTTGGAGCAGACCACTTGAGGCCAGGAGTTCAAGATCAGCCTGGCCAATATGGTGAAACACCATCTCTACTAAAAATGCAAAATAATTAGCAGGGCGTGGTGATGTGTGTCTGTAATCCCAGCTACTGGGGAGACTGAGGCAGGAGAATAGCTTGAACCTGGAAGGCAGAGGTTGCAGCGAGCCAAGACCGCACCACTGCACTCTATACTGGGCGAGAGAGTAAGACCCTGTCTCAAAACAAACAAAAAAAAAGAGAAAGCTGGAGATGGACGGGGGCTGATGGTTGCACAACAATGTGAATGTGCTTAATGCTGCTGAACTGTGCACTTAAAAATGGTTAAGAGGGCTGGGCGCGGTGGCTCATGCCTGTAATTCCAGCACTTTGGGAGGCTGAGGCAGGTGGATCACTTGAGGTCAGGAGTTCGAGACCAGACTGACCAACATGGTGAAACCCCATCTCTACTAAAAATACAAAAATTGGCTGCGCATGGTGGCTCACGCCTCTAATCCCAGCACTTTGAGAGGCCAAGGTGGGTAGATCACTAAGTCAGGAGTTTGAGACGAGCCTGGCCAACGTGGTGAAACTCTGTCTCTACTAAAAATAAAAAAATTAGCCGGGCTTGGTGGCGGGCGCGTGTAATCCCAGCTACTCGGGAGGCTGAGGCAGGAGGATCGCTTGAACCCGGGAGGTGGAGGTTGCAGTGAGCCGAGATCACGCCACTGCACTGCAGCCTGGGTGACAGAGCAAGACTCCGTCTCAAAAAAAAAAAAAATTAACCAGGTGTGGTGGCACACGCCTGTAGTCCCAGCTACCTGGGAGGCCAAGGCAGGAGGATTGCTTGAACCCAGAAGGTTGAGGGTGTACTGAGCTGTGATCGTGCCACTGCCCTCCAGCCTGGGCAACAGAGCAAGACCCTGTCTAAAAAATAATAATACTAATACAAAAAGAAAACCAAAAAAAAAGAAAAAAAGGGAGGAAGGAGAGAGGAAGGAAAGAAAGGAGAAAAGAAAGGGGGCAGGAAGGGAGGAAAGAAGGACAGACAGATGGAAAGAGAAAGAAAAGAAAAGATTGTTTAAAACTCCTCCAAACCATCTGGCTAACCTTGGCTCCCAGCTTCTCTGCGTCAGCAATGACGAACTCTGGCCCTCCGGCTCAATGTCAAGGGCGCCACAGCCTCATGCATCTGTCTTGCCAGCCGACCTAACTCTGTTCCCCAGAACCCATAGGAATCCAGGGGGAAAAAGCCAGTGAGAAACCCCTGCAGGGGCCCCAAGACCTGTGTCTGTGTCTGCTCTTCTCCATCTGCATCTTAGTTCACAAGGCGACCCCATTGCCCTGCCTGGAATTGGGGCTCTGTCCTCGGTTGAATTGGTTAGAACTTGTGGTCTTAGGTCAAGGAGGAGACATCATCCCTGTCTCAGGGTGCGCTGGACAGGGCTAGGTGCCTGCCACACGAGCACTCTCCTTTTCTTTCCTTTTTAAATTAAAAAAACCTTTTTTTTTTTTTTTGAGACAGTTTTGCTGTGTCCCCCAGGCTAGAGTGCAGTGGCGTGATCTCAGCTCACTGCAAGCTCCGCCTCCCAGGTTCATGCCATTCTCCTGCCTCAGCCTCCCGAGTAGCTGGGACTACAGGTGCCCACCACCATGCTCGGCTAAATTTTTGTATTTTTAGTAGAGCCAGGGTTTCACCGTGTTAGCCAGGATGCTCTCAGTCACCTGACCTCGTGATCCACCCGCCTTGGCCTCCCAAAGTGCTGGGATTACAGGTGTGAGCCACTGCACCTGGCAAAAAAAATCTGTTTTTCATGTGTGTTTGTTTGGAGACAGGGTCTCACTCTCTCACCCAGGCTGGAGTGCAGTGGTGCAATCATGGCTTGCTGCAGCCTGGACCTCCCTGGGCTCAGGTGATCCTCCCAACTCAGCCTCCCCAGTAGCTGGGATTACAGACGTGTGCCACGACACCCGGCTAATTTTGTACTTTTAGTAGAGACGGGGTTTCACCATGGTGGTCAGGCTGGTCTCGAACTCCTGACCTCGTAATCACCCACCTCAGCCTCCCAAAGTGTTGGGATTGCAAGCGTGATCCCCCATGCCCGGCCCATCTTAACCACTTTTTTTTTTTTAGACGGAGTCTCACTCTGTCGCCCAGGCTGGAGTGCAGTGGCGTGATCTCGGCTCACTGCAAGTTCTGCCTCCCGTGTTCACGCCATTCTCCTGCCTCCGCCTCCCAAGTAGCTGGGACTACAGGTGCCCACCACCATGCCTGGCTAATTTTTTGTATTTTTTAGTAGAGATGGGGTTTCACCGTGTTAGCCAGGATGGTCTCGATCTCCTGATCTCATGATCCACCTGCCTCGGCCTCCCAAAGTGCTGGGATTACAGGCATGAGCCACCGCGCCCGGCCCATCCGAACCACTTGTAACTGCACAATTCAGAGGCATTAAGCGCATTCACACAGTTGTGCAACCACCACTACCGCCATCCATCTCCAGAACATTCTCAACTTCCCAAACTGAAACTCTGGCCACACCCCCTCCCAGCCCGTGGCACACACCATTCTACAATTCTAGGGACCTCTTATGAATGAGATCAGGCAGTATTTGTCCTTTCATGTCTGGCTTATTTCACTGAGCATAACATCTGTGTTGGAGCCTGTGTCAGAACTTCCTTCCTTCCTTCCTTCCTTCCTTCTTTTTTTTTTTAAGACAAGAGTCTCGCTCTGTCACCCAGGCTGGAGTGCAGTGACGCAATCTCGGCTCTCTGCAGCCTCTGCCTCCCGGGTTCCAGCGATTCTCCTGCCTCAGTCTCCCGTGTAGCCTGGCTTACAGGTGTGTGCCACCACACTCGGCTAATTTTTTTGTATTTTTAGTAGAGACGGGATTTCACCATGTTGGCCAGGCTGGTCTTGAACTCCTGACCTCAGGTGAACCGCCCCCTCCCCCCTGCCTCAGCCTCCCAAAGTGCTGGGATTACAGGCATAAACCACTATGCTCAGTGAGAATTTCCTTCCTTTTAAAGGCCAAATAATGTTCCATTGAATGGATACACCATCTTTTGTTTACCTGTTCTTCCATCCACGGACTCTTGGGTTGATTCAGCCTTTTGGCTGTGATGAATAATGCTGCTATGAACATGGACATGCAAATAATCTCTTTGAGCTCCCACTTTTTTTTTTTTTTCTGAGACGGAGTTTCTTTCTGTTGCCCAGGCTGGAGTTCAGTCGCGTGATTTCCACTCACTGCAACCTCCGCCTCCCGGGGTTCAAGCGATTCTCCTGCCTCAGCCTCAGTAGCTGGGACTACAGGTGTGTGCCACAACTCCCAGCTAATTTTTGTATTTTTAGTAGAGACAGGATTTCACCATGTTGGCCAGGCTGCACTTGAACTACTCCTGGCCTCAAGTGATCTGCTTGCCTCGGCCTCCCCAAGTGCTGCAATTATAGGTGTGAGGTACTGCGCCTGGCCATCCTGCTTTCAATTATTTTGGTGATATACCCAAAAGGGGAACTGCTTGGGTCCTATGGTAATTCCACTTATTTTCTGGAGAGGGAACCACCACACAGTTTTTAGTTTTTTGTTTTTTGTTTTTGAAATGGAGTCCCACTCTGTCACCCAGGCTGGAGAGCAGTGGCGCAGTCTCGGCTCACTGCAAGCTCTGCTTTCCGAGTTCACGTCATTCTCCTGCCTCAGCCTCCTGCGCCCGCCACATGCCCGGCTAATTTTTTGTATTTTTAGTAGAGACGGGGTTTCGCCGTGTTAGGATGGTCTCAATCTCCTGACCTCGTGATCCGCCCGCCTCGGCCTCCCCAAGTGCTGGAATTACAGGCGTGAGCCACCACGCCCGGCCTATTTTTGTATTTTTAGTAGAGATGGGGTTTCGCCCGTTGGCCAGGCTGGTCTCAAACTCCTGACCTCAAGTGATCCGCCCTCTGCGGCCACCCAAAGTGTTGGGATTACAGGTGTGAGCCACCACTCACCACCCCCGGGCAATCCTACTGATTTAAATGGGTTGGTGTAACTGATTGCAATTCTGACATACAGGCTTCAAAGAAAAAGTGCCACCTGCCCTTACGGGGCCTTCTGAGAGAGTATTTTACCTTAACTTTGATTTTGTGGACAGCCGTTTAGAATCACAATGAGCAGAAACCCTACCTCTGTCTTTTACTGTGTGACCTTGGGCAAGTTATTTTTCTTTTCTTTTTTTTTTTTTGAGATGGAGTCTCGCTCTGTTGCCAGGTTGGAGTGCAGTGGCTCTCGATCTCGGCTCACCACAACTTCCACCTCCCAGGTTCAAGGGATTCTCCTGCCTCATCCTCCTGAATAGCTGGGACTACAGGTGCTCACCACCATACCCTGGTAATTTTTGTATTTTTAGTAGAGACGGGGTTTCACTGTTGGCCAGGCTATTCTCGAACTCCTGACCTCATGATCTGCCTGCCTTGGCCTCTCAATGTGCTGGGATTCCAGATGTGAGCCACCGCGCCTGGCTTTCCTTTTTCTTTTTTAAAGGTTAAAGTAGGTTTCTTCTGGTCTGTTCAATAAAAGAACATAGTTTATGATCCATTTCAGTGATGCTGGTGTTTTTTTGTTTGTTTGTTGTTTTGTTTTGTTTTTGAGATGGATTTAGCTCTTGTTGCCCCGGCTGGATGGCGCAATCTCATCTCACTGCAACCTCCACCTCCCAGGTTCAAGCGATTCTCCTGCCTCAGCCTCCCAAGTAGCTGAGACTACAGGTGCCCGCCACCACACCTGGCTAATTTTTGTATTTTTACTAGAGACAGGGTTTCACCATGTTGGCCAGGATGGTCCCGAACTCCTGACCTCAGGTGATCCACCTGCCTTGGCCTCCCAAAGTGTTGGGATTACAGGCGTGAGCCACTGAGCCTGGCCAAAATTTCAGTCTTTTTAATGGCAGTGTAGTACTACATTGTGTATATACACCACATTTTCTTTATTCATTCAAACATTGATGGGCACTTAGGTTGATTCCATATTTTGGCTATTGTGAACAGTATGCTAATAAATAGGAGAACGTCTTTTTTTTTTTTTTTTTTTTCCTGAAACAGAGTCTTGTTCTGTCGCCCAGGCTGGAGTGCAGTGGCGCAATCTTGGCTCACTGCAACCTCTGCCTCTTGGGTTCAAGCAATTCTTCTGCCTCAGCCTCCCGAGTAGCTGGGATTACAGGCATGCACCACCATGTCCAGCTATCATTTACTTATTAAGAGGATTTATAACCAGTTTTTTTCTTTTTCTTTTGAGACAGAGTCTAATTCTGTCACCCAGGCTGGAGTGTAGTGATGTGATCACAGCTCACTGCAGACTTCACCTCCCGGATTCAAGCAATCCTCCTACCTCAGCCTCACGAGTAGCTGAGATCACAGGTGTGTGCCACCATGACCACCTAAGTTGTGAATTTCTTTTGTAAAGGTAAGGTCTCATTTTATTGCTCAGGCTGGTCTCAAACTCCTGGGCTCAGGTAATCCTTCTTGCTCAGCCTCCCAATGTGCTGGGATTACAGGTTTGAGCCACCACACCCGGCTTTTTTTCCCCCCTTTCTTCTTCTTCTTCTTTTTTTTTTTTTTTCTGAGATGGAGTCTTGCTCTGTCCCCAGGCTGGAGTGCAGAGGCGCAATCTTGGCTCACTGCAACCTCTGCCTCCCAGGTTCAAGCAATTCTCCTGCCTCAGCCTCCCAAGTAGGTGGGATTACAGGAGCCTGCCACCATGCCCGGCTAATTTTTGTATTTTTAGTAGAGACGGAGTTTCACCATGTTGGCCAGGATGGTCTTGATCTCTTGACCTCGTGATCCGCCCGCCCCGGCCTCCCAAAGTGCTGGGATTACAGGCTTGAACCACTGCGCCCTTCTTTTAAAAATAAAGACAGGAGGCTGGGCGCAGTGGCTCACGCCTGTAATCACAGAACTTTGGGAGGCTGAGACGGGCGGATCATGAGATCAGGAGATCGAGACCATCCTGGCTAACACGGTGAAACCCCGTCTCTACAAAAATCACAAAAAAATTAGCCAGGCGTGGTGGTGGGCGCCTGTAATCCCAGCTATTCAGGAGGCTGAGGCAGGAGAATGGCGTGAACCCGGCAGGTGGAGCTTGCAGTGAGTTGAGATTGCACCACTGAACTCCAGCCCGGGTGACAGAGTGAGACTCCGTCTCAAGAAAATAAATAAATAAATAAATAAATAAATAATAAATAAATAAAGACAGGACTCTCACTATGTTCCCCAAGGGGGTCTCAAACTCCTGACCTGAAGCGATCCTCCCGCCATGGCCTCTGAAACTGATTATAGGTGTGAGCCACTGTGCCCAGCCTGAACAGTTTTTCTAATGCACTCGTGTTTCTTCTTTGCAGTTCTTTTTTGGGGCCTCTAAAGAAATAAGAGGCCGGGCGCAGTGGCTCATGCCTGTAATCCCAGCACTTTGGGTTGCCAAGGTGGGCAGATCATCTGAGGTCAGGAGTTCAAGACCAGCCTGATCAACATGGCAAAATCCCGTCTCTATTTAAAAAAAAAAAAAAGCCAGGTGTGGTGGCGGGTGCCTGTAATCCCAGCTACTCAGGAGGCTGAGGCAGGAGAATCTCTTGAATATGGTAGGGGGAGGTTGCAGTGAACTTAGATCCAGCCACTGCACTCTAGCCTGGACGAGAGTGAGACTTCATCTCAAAAAAAAAAAAAAAATAGAAGTAGGAGGAACTTCTCTTCTGTCAATTTCTCTTTTTTCCTTTTGTAGAGACAAAGTCTTCCTCTGTCACTCAGGCTGGAGTGCAGTGGTGGGATTACAGCTCACTGCAGCCTTGCCCCCCTCAACCTAAGTTATCTTCTCACCTCAGCCTCCTGAGTAGCTGGGACTACAGGCGGACACCACCATGCCTGGATAATTTTTTTTTTTTTTTTTTGTAGACACGGTGTCTCACTATATTGTCCAGGCTGATGTCAGACTCCTGGGCTCAAGTGCTCCTCCTGCCTCAGCCTCCCAGTGTGCTGGGATTACAGGTGTGAACTACCATGCCTAGCCTCCCTGTCAACTTCTCAAAGTGCTTATTTATTCAGCATACACACTAGCATTTCCTTTTCTGTTTTCTTTTTTTCTTTTTTTGAGACAGAGTCTCGCTCTGTCGCCCAGGTTGGAGTCCAGTGGTGCAATCTGGGCTCACTGCAAACTCTCTGCATTCCGGGTTCAAGCAATTCTCCTGCCTCAGCCTCCCAAGTAGCTGGCTGCTACAGGCGTGCACCACCACACCCGGCCAGAAATATGCTTTGAAAACTGAGCTTTGTAGGACTTTTTTGTAGAGCCTAGGCTGCTCTTGAACGTCTGGGCTCAAGCGATCCTCCTACCTCAGCATCCCAAAGTGCTAGGATTATACGCGTGAGCCACAATGACCCGCCCCAAGTGCTTCCTGCCCCAGATTACCAAAGAAGGCAAGAAGGGGCGGGAACTGATGTCTGAGGGCTCTGAGGGAGATTCACCACATGAGGGGTTGCAACAACAGGCCCCTGCGCATGCCAGTGTCTAGAAGTATGTGGTATAGAATTTTAGCTGAGGCTTAGAGAAGGCTGGGCAGGTGCCAGGCTCAGCTGACCAGGCCCCCTTGTGCATTGAGGAACTGCAAGAGTTTAGAACCCTCTGGCCACATGGAGCGCAGCGTGGGTGGAAGCGGAGAAACCAAGGAGTTGACCATGCTGGTCTAGGCCAGCTATAGGCTGAGGCTGGTGCAGGTGAAGGTCAAGGGTGGAGAGAGAGGTGGGTGGGTTGAGGGGATATTTAGGAAGGAGAATGAGTGGGTGAGGGGGGATCGGCTGGTGTGGCCTGATGGAAAGGGATGGCAGCTGACATGGACTCCTTGTAGGCCAGTGGCCACTTGTGAGGTGGGGACACAGAAGCAGAATCAGACATGGGTGGATCAGGAGGAGCTGGGCTCTGGACACCTCATTCATATTAACGCTCCAGCAGGTAAGAATTTTTTTTTTTTTTTTTTTGAGTCATAGTCTTGCTGTGTTGGGCAGGCTGGAGTGCAGTGGCATGACCTTGGCTTATTGCAACCTCCGCCTCCCGGGTTCAAGCGATTCTCCTGCCTCTGCCTCCTGAGTTGCTGGGATTACAGGCATGCACCACCATGCCCCGCTAATTTTTGTATTTTTAGTAGAGATGGGGTTTCACCATGTTGGCCAGGCTGGTCTCAAACTCCTTGCCTCAAGTGATCCGCCCACCTTGGCCTCCCAAAGTGCTCAAATTACAGGCTTGAGCCACAAGGCACGACCAAGAACGGTCTTATTTCAGTAGAAATCTTTGAGACCATGACAGAAACTAGAATCCAAGTGTGCTGTTGACCAAAACATTGGTGAGGAATCAAGAAGAGGTTCTGGCTGGGCGCAATGGCTCACACCCTATAATCCCAGCAATTTGGGAGACTGCAGTGGGAGGATCCCTTGAGCTCAGGAGTTCGAGATCAGCCTGGGCAAGATAGTGACACCTTGTCTCTATTCAAACATACAGAAACTGGGCCAGTACTTTGGGAGGCTGAGGCAGGCAGACCACTTGAGATCAGGAGTTCAAGACCAGCCTGGCCAACATGGCAAAACCCTGTCTCTATTAAAAATACAAAAAATTAGCTGGGCATGGTGGCACGTGCCTGTAATCCCAGCTACATGGGAGGCTGAGGCAGGAAAATCGCTTGAACCCGAGGCAGAGGTTGCAGTGAGCCAAGATTGCACCACTGCGCTCATGGCTGGGCCACTGAGCAAGACTCCACCTCAAAAAAAAAAAAAAAAAAAAAAAGGGATCTGCCCAACTCGGCCTCCCAAAGTGCTAGGATTACAGGCATGAGCCACCACACCCGGCCCAAAAAGTGGCTCTTAAAATGGCCAGGCAGCCGGGTGCAGTGGCTCATGTCTGTAATCCCAGCACTTTGGGAAGCCGAGGTGGGTGGCACGAGGTCAGGAGTTTGAGACCAGCCTGGCCAACATGGCAAAGCCCCGCCTCTACTAAAAATACAAAAATTAGCTGGGCGTGGTGGCGGGTGCCTATAATCCCAACTACTTGGGAGGCTGAGGCAGGAGAATCACTTGATCCTGGGGGGAAAAGTTGCAGTGAGCTGAGATTGCGTCACTTCATTCCAGCCTGGGCAAAAGAGCAAAACTCTGTCTCAAAATATATATATATATATATATATATATATATATATATATATATACAAAAATAAAAAATAAAAATAAAAAATAAAATGGCCAGGTGACCTCACCATCTTGGGGAATCTCTTAACGCCACCCTTCCCTCCCCCACTGCCAAGGGTAACAGCAGCAGTTCAGGCTGTTTTGTGTTTGGGGTGGGTCCTGACACAGCTTTCTCTAAATGTGATGTACTAGTGACATGGTCCAGAACACATATCCAGGATCCAGTGTGTGTCCATCTTGCTGGACATTTGCTTCACTGTGCAGCCTGCTGTTCTATCCTCAACAATGTTCTCAAGATCCTTCCACGTTTAATTAGATCCCTGTCATTTAAAAAATTATTTTATGATGTTCCAGTACTGTTGCTGCCTAACAGCTTAGTGGCTTAAAACAATGTGTTTATTAGCTCTTGTGGTTTCTAAGGGTCAGGAATGTGGGAAGGGCTCAGCTCGGCGGTACGGGCTCAGGGTCTCTGATGCAGCTGGTGACAGCTGAGGGCTAGGGCTGGGGCAGCCATTGCTTTCTCTTCCCGTGGTCTTGGTGGCCTTATAGCATGGGCTTGGTTGGGCCTCCTCACAAAATGGCAGGCTCCAGGAAGTCAGGCTGTTACATGGCAGCTGGTGATTCAAGAGTGAGCGAGCAAGCAAGGCGGAAGCTGTGCTTTCTGTGACCTACTCTTAGTAGTTACATGATGTCACTTCCATTGAACTCTGTTGGTTACCAGTGAGTCCCAAGTACACTCAAACTCCAGGGAAGGAAAAGGAGACTCCATGACTTGATGGAAGCAAGACTCTAGGAGAGGCCGGGCCTGGTGGCTCATGCCTGTAATCCCAGCACTTTGGGAGGATGGGGCAGGCGGATCACCTGAGGTCAGGAGTTTGACACCAGCCTGGCCAACATGGCAAAACCACGTCTCTACTGAAAATACAAAAATTAGCTGGGTGTGGGTGCGCGCCTGTCGTCCCAGCTACTCGAGAGGCTATGGTGCCACTGTACTCCAGCTGCGCAACAGGGCGAGACTCTGTCTCAAAACAAAACAAAAAGAATCTAGGAGAGCCAGCCTAGATGGCTGGATGGGAAAGCGCATGACCCCCTGCCACATATGATGTCCCGTATTATTCTTCCCACCCCCTCCTAGTCCAGGCCGTGTCAGGTCCCATCATGCCCTGACCATCCGGCGTTTCAGCTTTAAGGTCCTGCTCACTCCTGTCTTGTGGCAGCCTCTCCTGACTCCTGGGGACACACCGACCTGCCCGCCATTGCTTAGTCCACCACCTGGTTCCAGGCGCCATTTCAACTTTCAAGTCTCAGGGTCCTTGCTCCAGACCCCAGAGCAGGTGGCAGCCCCTGAGGAGTCTCATGTCCCCCAAACCCAAGCTCAGATCTGTGTAGCCTTAGGCCACTGGCTCAACCTCCCCGAGCTCCACTTGTGTCATCTGGGAAACAGGAATGAAGTCCCCCAGCCCTTGGGGTTGTTGGGAGAAGGGCACTGGCCAGCGGGACTGAAAGACAGAGGAAAGGCCTGCGAGAGGGGCAGGTGTGGAGAGCAAAGGTCAGGAAGGGCAGCAGCCAGCCAGCAGCTGTCACCAGGTCACACAGGTGAAGGCCCCTGGCTTGGGGCCACTGCCATATGGGGACCAAGCTGGTTCCAGGCCCTCAGGCCAAAGCCGATGTCTGAGACCTGAGTCAGACAGGCCTGCAGCCCGGACCACTCATCTGCACCACAGCTAACATGTCCCTGTGTCCCCATGACATGGGTTTTGCACAGGTGGACACTCAAAGTTATTTCTGTAGGCTCCCCTCATTTTTTTTCTTAAAAAATTTTCCTTAAAAAATTTTTTTTTGAGACAGGGTCTTCCTCTGTCTCCTAGGCTGGAGTGCGCTGGTGGGATCACAGCTCACTGCAGCCTCGAACTCCTGGGCTCAAGTGATCCTCCTGCCTCAGCCTCCCAAGTAGCTAGGACTACAGATGTGTACCACTGTGCCTGGCTAATTTTTTTATTTTTGTTGTTGAGATGGGGGGTCTCTATGTCGTCTAGGATGGTCTCAAATTCCTGGCCTCAAGCAATCTTCACAATCTTCCTGCCTCAGCCTCCCAAAGTGCTGGGATTATGGATATGGGCCAACACCCCCAGACTAAGGCACTTATTTTTAAATTGGCCTCATTCTGAAAACCATGAAATCATAGGTTTGGTGAGTTGGTTTTCCATAAACGTTAAAATAAATTCTGGCTGGGAGTGGTGGCTCACATCTGTAATCCCAGCACTGTGGGAGGCCAACGTGGACAGACTGCTTGAGCCCAGGGGTTTGAGACCAGCCTGGGCAACGTGGCAAAATCCTGTCTCTACTAAAAATACAAAAAAATTAGCCAGATATGGTGGTGCACGCCTGTAATCCCAGCTACTCAAAAGGCTGAGGTGGCAGAATTGCTTGAGCCCAGGAGGCGGAGGTTGCAGTGAGCAGAGATCATGTCACTATACTCCAGCCTGGGTGACAGAGCAAGACCCTGTCTCAAAAATAAATAAATAAAAAATAAATAAATTATAATCTATTAAAATAAAGCCAAAGCTATTGCAACAAACGAAATGTGGATTTTCCCAAATGGTGGAGTGAAGATCTTGGCAAATCCTCTCCCTAAAAGCAACAATAAAGCTAAACAGAATTGTCCAAAGCAACCATCCCAGGACTGTGAAGATCTCGTCAAAGGTGTTCACCCAGTGAGGAAATGTTTATTCCAGAAAAAGTACTGAGTGGCAGGGAAGAGCAGCGGGAGGTGATTTTTGCCTGGGGCTGCTCCTGGCCTGGGCCCCCAGCTCCAGCCAGGCCATGAAAATCAGCAGCCTCACTGCTGGAGGGCCTCACTGTTGGAAGCTGCAGGGATCTCGGGAGGAGAGGGCCAAGGTCATCAGCTGGCCTAAGGATGAAACAGATTGGTAAACTAGCCAGAAATGGAAAAGGAGGTCGAGACAGAGACTGCCCCAGCTGGCCCCAGGTATCCCTAGGGGTTTGGGAGGCCACGCGCAAGCGCAAGACAGCACATATGCCCTGGAGAGAGTCTGATGCACGTCTCCCTGCCCAACAGAACTGAAGTGCGTGCCCTGATAGGAACCACAGGCAGAAAGCAAAGGTAGGGCCAGCCTGCAGACTGCCCGGGCAGAGGTGCTGACTCAGCATTTGGGCCCGGGCAGAGCCGCTGACTCAGCATATTTGGGCACAAGTTCTGACCAACCACCAACTGATGTCTCAGCTTGGCTGACCCAGGGGTGACTCCTTCTAAATAAAAATGAGAATTGGGCCAGGCGCGGTGGCTCACACCTGTAATCCCAGCATTTTGGGAGGCAGAGGCGGGCAGATCACTTGAGCCCAGGTGTTCAAGACCACCGTGGGCAACATGGAGAAACCCTGTCTCTACCAAAAAAAAAAAAAAAAAAAAAAAATTAGCTGGGTGTGGTGGCACAAGCCTGTAGTTCCGGCTACTCGGGAGGCTGAGGTGGGAGGATGGCTTGAGCCCGGGAGGCTGTAGTGAGCTGAAACTGCACCACTGCAGTCCAGCATCAGTGACAGCGCAAGACCTTGTCTCCGAGGGGAAACATGAAAGAAAGAAAAGAAAAACAACAATTAAGAACAAAACAAGGCCAGGCGCGGTGGCTCGCGCCTTTAATCCCAGCACTTTGGGAGGCCAAGGTGGGCAGATCACCTGAGGTCAGGAGATCGAGACCAGCCTGGCCAACATGGTAAAACCCCGTCTTTACTAAAAATACAAAATACAAAAATTAGCCGGGCGTGGTGGCGGGTGCCTGTAATCCCAGCTACTCCAGAGGCTGAGGCAGGGGAATCGCTTGAACCCAGGAGGCGGAGGCTGCAGTCAGCCGAGATCGCACCACTGCACTCCAGCCTGGGCGACAGTGAGAGACTCCATCTCAAAAACATAACAAAATTAAAAACAAATAAATAAAAATACAATGTCTACTTTCTGACAACAAAAGCTTGCCAGACATGTGAAGAAACAGGAAAGTGTGACCTACGCTGAGGACAAAAAGGAGTCAACAGAACCTTTCTGTGGAGGAATGGATCCGGATGTTGGACCAAAAGGCTTCAAAGCAGCTACTAAAAACAGGTTCAAGCTGGGCTGGGTGGTGCATGTCTGTGGTCCCAGATACACTGGAGGCTGAAGAGGGAGGATCATCTGAGCTCTGGAAGTTGAGCTACCATCCCACCACTGCACTCCAGCCTGGGCAACAGAGCAATACCATGTCTCGATTAAAAAAAAAAAATAGAGCGGCTGAGGCAGGAGGATCACTTGAGCTCAGGAGTTCAGACCACCAGCCTGGGCAACAAAGCGAAACATTATCTCTACAAAAAAAATAATAATAATAATAATTAGCCAAGTGTGCTGGTGTGCACCTGTGGTCCCAGCTACTCAGGGGGCTGAGGCAGGAGGATCACTTGAGCCCAGGAGGTCAAGGCTGTTGTGAACTGTGATGACACCACTGCACTCTAGCTTGGGTGACACAGCAAGACCTTGTCTCAATTAAAAACAAAACAAAAAAAAAGGTTCAAAGAGCTAGAAGAAACCACATCTCAAGAATTAAAGCCAAGTATGACGACAGTGACCCACTAATAATGGCTCTTAATGAACAGACAAAAATGATAAGAATTCAAATTGGTTAGGCACAGTGGCTCACGTCTGTAATCTCAGCACTTTGAAAGGCTGAGGCGGGTGGACTGCTTGAACCCAGGAGTTTGACACCAGCCTGGGCAACATTACAAAACCCTGTCTCCACCAAAAACAAAAACAAAAACAAAAATTACCTGGGCATGGTGGCGTGCACCTATAATCCCAGCTACTCAGGAGGCTGAGGTGGGAGGATTGCTTGAGCCCAGGAAGCATAGGTTGCAATGAGCCAAGATTGAGCCACTGCACTCCGGCCAAGACTTACTGTAAAAAAACTCAAAGCACGGTGGCTCATGCCTGTAATACCAGCACTTTGGGAGGCCAAGGTGGGTGGATCACTTGAGGTCATGGGTTTGAGACCAGCCTGGCCAACATGGTGACACCCTGCCTCTACTAAAAATACACAAATTAGGGGCTGGGCACAGTGGCTCATGCCTGTAATCCTTGCACTTTGGGAGGCCGAGGCAGGTGGATCACCTGAGGTCAGGAGTTTGAGACCAGCCTGGCTAACATGATGAAACCCATCTCTACTAAAAATACAAAAATTAGCTGGGCATGGTGGCGCACCCCTGTAATCCCAGCTACTCAGGAGGCTGAGGCAGCAGAATCACTGGAACCCAGGAGGCTGAGGTTGCGGTGAGCCGAGATCATGCCACTGCACTCCAGCCTGGGTGACAGAGACTTCGTCTCAAAAACAAAACAAAACAAAACAAAAAAACAAAAACTCAAATTATGTTCTGGATTTGAAAGGGAGCAGGCGGCTCCGTCCCTTCCCTCACTGACCACCTGGGCTCCCATTATGCCCTGAGCTTCCTGCATCATGGCCCTGAGAGCTCTATGTGGCATCTGCCCATTTCTGTGATGGTCTCCCCAACCCAGGCTGGGCCACGGGCAGGGAACGGATGGAGCTGCCTGCTCCCTGCACTGTAGGTCTCAGCTGAACAAATGCTGGAGACCTGCAGTGGCAAAGGCCACACGCGTGACCAGACAAGTCCTCTTCCCCTGCCGGGGCCTCAGTATCCTCCTCTGTGAAACGGGCCCCATGGGTTCTGGTGCCAGGAGAAGGACAGGGACCTGGACATGAGGTGGCCCCCGCCACTCCTGCTGGCAGAAACGGTGGGAGCCAGGCACAAGTCCACCTGCAGGCAAGGCTGTGCGTTTTGTTGTTGGTTTAATTTATTACTGTTTGACATCCAGTGACACTGACATACCCTCGCCGGGCCCCCGGCGAGTCTGACCTGTCCAATAAAATACAGTAGGAGGAGTGGACGGTGACGCACATGCATCCACACTTAACTACAGTGACTCCAAACTGCGGCGCAACAGTACTGCCAGCAACGGAAAAGAAAAACAGGTATCGTGTGTTCCCCAATTCGGAATTCTCTCTCTCTCTCTTTAAGACAGTTAATGCTGTTACAGATGCTACTGATGCCAGGACAGGGCCAGTCACAAACAGTCCTACAGCTTCTCTGCTGTATAAATATGGAAGATTCTTTTGTTTATACAGTTTTACTCCAAGTCTGAAACTACATCTGCTGCTACCCGTTACTGCTAAGGCCTATGCCATCTCAGCTCTGGAACGAGGGGCTCGGGGTCGAGACTGGAATGTCGGGGCTCAGTCTTCTTCGCTGCCACTTCCTGAGCGGTCCTGGAGAGGGGACAGGAGGAGAGAGTGTGCGTTGGCCACCCCTGCCAGGGCACCTTGCCAGGGACCTGCCAAACTTTAAATAAACTTGCTCAAGAAAACACTGATGTGGGCCGGGCACGGTGGCTCACGCCCGTAATCCCAGCACTTTGGAAGGCCAAGGCGGGCGGATCACGAGGTCAGGAGATCGAGACCATCCTGGCTAACACGGTGAAACCCCGTCTCTACTAAAAAATACAAAAAATTAGCCGGGCGTGGTGGCGGGCGCCTGTAGTCCCAGCTACTTGGGAGGCTGAGGCAGGAGAATGGCGCGATCCCGGGGGGTGGAGCTTGCAGTGAGCCGAGATGGCGCCATGGCCATGCCCAAACTTCATGTTTCTCTACAGGACGAGTCCCTGTGACCACACTCGGCCCTCTCGGGACCTTCGAGGCTCCACGTGCCTTCCCTGCTCTGTCCCATGTCACCTGCCTGGCCCTTGGCCCCTGACCTACAGCTTCCAAACCATCTTGGTTCTTCCTGACTGTGAAAGATCTTTGCTCTTTCATATATATATATATATATATATATATATATATATATATTTTTTTTTTTTTTTTTAAAGACAGGGTCTTGCTCTGTTGCCCAGGCTGGAGTGCAGTGGTGCTATCACGGCTCACTGCAGCCTCGACCTCCCAGGCTCAAGTGAGCCTCCTGCCTCAGTTTCCCAAAGTGCTGGGATTACAGGTGTGAGCCACTGGACCTGGCCTCATAAAACCTTTTTAAACAGCCTGGCATGGGCCATAAAACACCCTGCTCTGGATTAGGCAAGAGAGACAGCATCACAGCCCAGACCCTCCTGCCTGACACAGGGGCCTCCCCTCCACATGAGGACTTCATGAATGTCCTCAAACGTCACGTGCGTCTTTCGTCAGACTAATTCCCAGGCACTGAAATTTGCTGCTTCTGTGATGACAAAATGGCATTCGCTGGGCTTCAGCGGGAGCCAGGCCCTTCGGTGGGGGCAGCCCCCTAATCCATGCAGCCTCCTTGCTTTGCATAAGAGGAAACTGAAGCTTGAGAAGCAAAGTGACCTGCCAGGTCCCACAGCCAGGAAGGGCCAGAGACAGAGGTGAGATTATTTAAAGCCAGCAAGTGGATCTTCTCCGGCTCCCCACTGCACCCCAAAAACTATCCACTGTGGTCTTGGCGTTTCTGCCCATTCTCTATGCCACTGAGGAGACGGGGCACTGTCTGGTGGGTCCCCAATCCTAGCACCTCCTACCCAACCCTAATCAAGCCCTGGCCTGCCCGGCCTCAGCCCAGGAGCCCTGGTGCCCTGGGACCGCCTGCTGCCTGTCCTGAGGACTCACGTGTCCCCCAGTCCCCAGACACCCACGGGTACTGAGAGCTGGTTCCGGGGTCACACAGGCTTGGCTTTGAGTGGCAGCCCTGCCACATACTGGCTGTGTGACCTGGGGTCAGCCATGGCAGGTCAAGCCTCAGCTTTCCCACCTGCAGCGTGGGGGCGTGGGAGCACCGCCCCACAGGGCTGTCCCATCAGGGCCCCGGGATGCCTCCTGCCACATGCCAGCTCTGCCTGCTCGGGGGCCCGGCCTCACCTCCTCTTGTTCCTCCTCACTGTCATCGTCACTCACGACCGGCTTGGCTCGGGACCCTCGGCTCGGCCGCCGCCGGCCGCCCTTCAGCCGGTCCTGTGCCTTCTCCTTCCGGCCAAGCTTGATCTTCACTTTGACGGACCGAGCTGGAGGGGACCGGGAGGGAAAGACAGCCTTGAGCTCTGGGAATGCAGCACCCCCACAGCAAGGGGCGTCTGGGAGCCGGGAGGGCTGTGAAAAGCTGGGGCCTTGGGGGCTCTCGGGCCAGCGTGAACCCCGGCGTCCTGAACCCCCCCGGGACTCACATTCGGATTCGGAGCCTTCCTCCTCGCCCTCTTCCTCCTCCTCACTCTCCTCGCCTTCACTGTCATCCTCCTTCTCGATTTTCTGCCGCACGCTGGTGAAGACCGACTGCAAGACGATGGAGTCTTCATAGATCTGGGCAGAGACACCAGGGGCTTGAGTGGATGGGCCCGACTGGAGGGCTGCCTGCCCGGCCCTGGCCCCAGCCCCAGCCCCAGCCCTGTGTTGCCCCTGGACAGCTGATCAGTGGCCAATGCGAGCCTCAGCGGGTCGGGGCTTCAGCCCACCCAGGGTGGAAGGCCCTCTCCATAATCTTCCTCCATAGGGGCCCGAGCATCAGACTTCTGAAATGCTCCAGGGTGAAAGGTCAGGCACACTGGTTTGGGAATAGCTGCAGGTGCCTCCCTCCTTCTGCACAATCTCTGAGGTCTGCAATAACATTGGAAATACATGCCCCTTGTTGAAGCCAGCATCTTTCCCAAACTCATCAAAGTCAAGTCTTTTTTCTGAGAGGAATCAATCCCAAAGACACTTAAGAAAGTTTGCCAAGTTGAGGCTGTGTATGTGTCAATTCTATCACAGGAAAGAACAAACCCACAGGATTCCTTTGAAGAGAATGTGCCCCAGGGAATTTAAAATAAAATTCCAACAGACAGAGGACTCTGAGTCTATTTCTTCTGTTGTGCCTATCTTTATTTTCTTCGGTAAATACATACTGCTTTTGTAATTGCTAAAATATCCCAAGTTGGAAATTTTTAATTTTTTCTTTTTTTTTTTTAAAGACAGGGTCTTGTTATGTTGCCCAGGCTGGTCGTGAACTCCTGGTCTCAAGTGATCCTCCCGCCTTGGCCTCCCAAAGTGCTGGGATTACAGGCACGAACCACCACAGCTAGCGGGACTTGTTTTTAACCCATCAATTCAGAAGGGAAGGAGGGGCGGGTTGGGTCAAAGCCCAGCTGTGGGAGTGGCCCATCCCCAACCCCCAGCGGTGCCCTCACCAGGGAGCCCTCCAGGTTGAAGGTCTGTGCGTTCTGGCACAGGAGCATGACGTCCTTCTCTAGGTCGTTGAGGCTGCGGTACTTGTGGTTGCGAATGCGCTCCTGCAGTGGACGGGAGGAGCAGGTCTTACCTCAGGACCCCGCCTCGCCTGCCCGCAGGCCTGGCTGTGTGCTGGAGACCCCACGGGCTAGGATTCCTCGTGCCTATGAGGATGTGGCCGAAGCGCCAGCCTCGGTAACCTGGCTCACTAGGCATGGGAACTGCATGACTGAGGCCCAGCACTAAGTGAGTGGGACCTTGAAGGAACACCCAACACCGACTGCCCACTGACATCCCTCAGGACACCCCCAACCCTTACAAGGAACCCCAAAAGCCCACGACCAGGTCCCTAACCAGGTAGCCCAAGGCACCGCCTAGGTGGTTTCTGGTCATTCTGCCCACACACCACAGCTCTCAGATGGGGGTGCCCCTGGGTCAGACTCCCCTCCGGGCACATGCGGGGCGCAGGTACAACGTCAGGGTTACCTTTATCTTCTTGAAGTCCACGGGCTTGCGGATGAGCTCGTAGTACTCGGGCAGCTCCTTTCGCGAGGGCAGCTGGATGAAGACCTCGCTGAGCTGACGTCCACTGCTGCTGCAAGGCAGAACCGGCGGCTATCACCCCCGAGTCCGCCCACCCGGGAGCCCCCACCCCACCTCAGCAGGTTCCCACATTGTTTAAGGATGAGAAATTCCAACTCAGCTCAGGAGCTATTTCTTGCACATGCGCTTTTTTTTTTTTTGAGACGGAGTTTCGCTCTTGCTGCCCAGGCTGGAGTGCAATGGTGCGATCTCGGCTCACTGCAACCTCCACCTCCCAGGTTCAGGAGATTCTCCTGCCTCAGCCTTTGGAGTCACTGGGATTTTTTACAGTCGTGCACCACCATGCCAGGCTAATTTTGTATTTTTAGTAGAGACAGGGTTTCTCCATGTTGGTCAGACTGGTCTCAAACTCCCGACCTCAGGTGATCAGCCCGCCTCAGCATCCCAAAGTGCTGGGATTACAGGTGTGAGCCACCATGCCTGGCCTGCACATGTGCTTTCTTGTAGCTTCTGGAACATTTCCCAGAGACAACCACACAAACAGGCCTGTGATACATTTTTTTGTTTTTTGTTTTTTTTGAGACAGAGTCTTGTTCTGTCGCCAGACTGGAGCGCAATGGAATGATCTCGGCTCACTGCAACCTCTGCCTCCTGGGCTCAAGCAATTCTCCTGCCTCAGCCTCCCGAGTAGCTGGGATTACAGATGCCAGCCACCACACCCGGCTAATTTTTGTATTTTTAGTAGAGACAGGGTTTCACCATGTTGGTCAGGATGGTCTCGATCTCTTGACCTCGTGATCTGCCTGCCTTGGCCTCCCGAAGTGCTGGGATTAGAGGCAGAAGCCACTGCAGCCGGCCTGGGATGCATCTGGATCTCTGCTCTGTCCTCACTGGGGACTGATCTAACCCCCTGAACACCACAGGAAGCGCCCTTGTGCACTCGGTACAGCGGCAGTGATGAGATGCTGCCAGGCCTCGTGCACAGCGCTCCCAGCTCTTACCCATACCTGAGCCTGGCTCAGCAGGACAGGGTGGGTGGGGACAGAAGCTCTGAGAGCTGACCTTGCTCTGACAGAACCCAGCCCGCAGGCTGGGAAAATGAGAACGCATGGCAAACGCGCTCTCCTCTCTGCTTTGGCCCAGAGGAAGGGCCTAGCCAGGGAACGGCCCCAAGCAGGGAGCCACCAGGCGGACGAAGCCTAAAAGTGGCCAACGGGGCCTGATGGGAAGGAGGAGCTGAGCTTGGGTCCTGATAACTCCAGCTGCCTCATCAGCACCGCTTCTTTCCTTATGTTCTTTCCCAGAAAATTCCAGAGGGCAGGGCAGCCCGCCCATGCCACTGGCTGGCCCCGCCGTCTGTTTGGGTGTCCTGAGTGCGCCTTGTCTTGCTTCTGTTTACCACGCTGGAAAATGGCAGCGACAACATGGTGGCTTCCCTGGTTCTGTTGCTGGGGTCCTGATGTCACCAAGGGGCAGACGGGCCAGGCTTGCCTCCAGGAAGCTGCTCGTGAGCAGGATCCCGGAAGGCCTCCTGCTTGTTTGGTGTTTGTGTGCATCACGAAGCCCCTGACCCAGCTTCTAACATGAGAGCCTCCTGAGATGCAGACGTTACACACGGGAGCCAGAATCCTGTCCCTGCACCTCCCCTGGCCTTGACAACCGCCATCATCCCCTGCTTGCTGGGCCAGCCACACTTTACACACACTAAACTCTGAAGCAGGCACCAGTGCCAGGCCAGCCGTGCTGAGGAGGAAATTGAGGTGGGAGTGAATCTCCTGGCCTGGACACAGCCCGCCTTGAGCCTCTGCCTTCCAGGAGTGTCCTTCCCCAACGTGTGTTCATGAAGTACATCTCCCCATCTCCTGCCAGGAGGTGTTTTTGGTCCTGGGTGTGGGACCAGCCGGTCCAGCATGGGAGCACATACCCTTCTCAGACTGCATTCCCATCGTGGGCCCTCCCTGGAGGCACAGGCTTCCTTTTTCCTATGAGCGGGCTGGTGGCCGGCTCTGCCACAGGCAACTGTTGGTAAACCCAGTCCACAGGCTCAGAAAATAAGAACACACAGTGGATGCGCTTGCTGCTCGGTGACCCTGGAGAAAGACACGACTCCCCTCTGAGTCGGGAAATGTGTGTCCCATCTGCAGCTCGGGCAGAGCGGGCCTGTACCTCTTCCCTCTCCTAAGCCGGCACATCCTGTTCTCCACTCTACGGAATTTTATAAGCAAAGAGCTCTCCTCTCTCTTCATGATGGCAGCATCCACCCTATACCTGTTACAATAAGGCACAGCAAGAGTTGCGCTTTACACTGTGAAGCAGGACGTGCAGCACAGGCAGGGGCAACAGAAGAACCCCAATGCGATAGTCTCTTCTATGAAAAGCAGCGCGCTTTGCCATTTTCCATTCTATTACATTTTTAAAGATATGGTGGCTCGTGCCTGTAATCCCAGCACTTTGGGAGGCCAACGTGGGAGGATTGCTTGAGCCCAGGAGTTTGAGACCAGCCTGGACAACATGGCAAAACCCCATTTCTATTTGACTGGGGGAAAAAAAAGCCAGTTTTGTGATCCATTCAATGCCCTTAGTGGCCAGCAAACAGTGCAGACTCTTGGCTTGAAACGCCCTGCCCTGTGGCCATGGGGGGCTTACTGCACACTGTGGCCCTTGCCCTGGAGGGCGGCTCCCTATGCAGAGAGCCCAGGAAGTGAGACCCCAGGGCTGTGACAGCAGAAGGCTTTATAATAAGCACCCCACCACCCCAACAGCCACCTCCATCAGGCTAATGAGAAACAGCTACAGGCAGCAAAAAAAAAACAAGGTGCGGCTGGGCGCAGTGGCTCACGCCTGTAACCCCAGAACTTTGGGAGGCTGAGGTGGGTGGATCACGAAGTCCGGAGTTCAAGACCAGCCTGGCCAAGATAGTGATACCCCGTCTCTACTAAAAATACAAAAATGAGCCAGGCGTGGTGACAGGCACCTGCAATCCCAGCTACTCGGGAGGCTGAGGCAGGAGAATCACCTGAACCTGGGTGGCAGAGGTTGCAGTGAGCCGAGATCGCACCACTGCATTCTAGCCTGGGCGACAGAGTGAGACTCTGTCTCAAAAAACAAACAAAAACAAAACACAAAACCAAGGTACAAGAGCACCCCTTCCCAGACCTCTAGGAGAATTACGTTCTGGATGAATCAAGACCACCCAGTTGCCGGTCTGAGGATTCCGCTCTGGTGCAGAGTTCCCTGGAGGTCCTGTCCTCAGGCTTCCCTGCAACAGGCAGGGTGCTGAGAGCCTCCCTCACCTCTATATTAAAGAGGGACATGCTGCAGCCTCCCCGCACTTGGAATGAAACCCGGAGTCCTCTGGATAGGCGCCACCACCTTTGATGTCAGTGCCCCTAGCTCCGCTCCCATGCTCGTGTCAAGGCCTACAAAGGGGAGTCCACCCCCATGGGAATGTGGGCTCTGACCTCATCTCAGGGCAAACATCACCTCCTCTGACCCCCACACACACCCAGCCCACACCTCTTAATAGCTGACTTAACACCAATGCACACATCATGCAGTGGCGTGATCTCGGCTCACTGCAACCTCTGCCTCCAGGGTTCAAGCGATTCTCCTGCCTCAGCCTCCAAGTAGCTGGCATTACAGGTGCACCACCACACCTAGCTAATTTTTGTATTGTTAGTAGAGACGGGTTTCACCATGTTGGTCAGGCTGGTCTCGAACTCCTGACCTCCTGATCCACCCACCTTGGCCTCCCAAAAGTGCTGGGATCACAGGCTGAGCCACCGCACCTGGCCCAATGCACAGATCTTAAGCATGAGGCTAAAGATGCGCTCCTGTCAGTCCTTCCCCCAGGGATGATCCTGGGCCGAGGTTGGCTGCTTCTTCAAGTTGATGATGCAGAAACACACAGGGGAGCCCCCAAACCTGGCCTGGCCTCCTGCCTCCTTGCTGTCCCTGTTGCCGAGTGCAGCAGCAGGTCCCGAGGTGGGCACACACCAGCCATGCCCAGTTCCCGCTGCCGGGCATCTGGGCTGTGCTCAGGGTTGGACACCAGGAAGCAAGTGTCTGTGGACACTCAGGAACAAGTGTTTAGTTTGCAGTTCTCCTAGGAATTTATCTGGGAGAAGATACTCTAGGTCACAGGGTGGGGAAATGCTCTACTTGGGAGATACTGAGCCAGCGTGAGTGGTGCTTGTCCTTGTAGCCATTCTACAATGTGGCCCTAAACACGTTTCCTTGTTGTGCAGAGAAGCCAAGCACTGTTTCACAGGCTCTTCCAAGCAGCGCTTGTTCCCATCTTTGGCCCATTTCCTTCCCTGGGGAGTCCTTTGCTGGATGCACTACTGCAAACACCTGCTGCAGTCTAGGAATTGTCTGTTTCTTTTCTCTCTTTTTACAGACACGATCTTGTTCTGTTGCCCAGGCTAGAGTGCAGTGGTGCCATCCTAGCTCACTGAAGCCTCCAACTCCTGGGCTCATGAGATCCTACTGCTTCAGCCTCCCAAGTAGCTAGGACTACAGGCACACGCCACAACACCTGGCTAATTTAAAAAATATTTTGTAGAGATGGGGTCTCACTAGGTTGCCCAGGCTGGTCTCAAACTCCTGGGCTCAAGGGATCCTCCCACATCAGCCTCCCAAAGCACTGGAATTACAGGTGTGAGTCACTGCGCTCAGCTCAGTGTAAATATTTGAGGCTTGCTGGGCCTGCCTCTGTTGCAACTGCTCAGTTCTGCCACTGTTCCATGAAGGGAACCACAGACAACGCAGAAATCGGTGGGCTTTGGCTGCATTCCAACAAAACTTCATTTATCGACACTGAGATTTGAATTTCTTTCTTTTTTTTTTTTTTTTTGAGACGGAGTCTCACTCTGTCACCCAGGCTGGAGTGCAGTGGTGCAATCTTGGCTTACTGAAACCTCCGCCTCCCGAGTAGCTGGGATTACAGGCACCCACCACCATGCCCGGCTAACTTACGTATTTTGAGTAGAAACAGGGTTTTGCCACGTTGGCCAGGCTGGTCTGGAACTCTTAAATTCCAGCGATTCGCCAGCCTTGGCCTCCCGAAGTGCTGGGATTATAGGCATGAGCCTAGGTTCCGTTTTTTGTAACTCCTGACCTCAGGTGATCCGCCCGCCTCGGCCTCCCAAAGTGCTGGAATTACAGGCGTGAGCCACCGTGCCCAGCCTCCAAGTGCAGTTTTTAAGAAACCCTGATCTCACTCCCCACCAAGAACCCAAGTTTGGAAACCACTTAGTTTGATGCCCTATATCTGGAGGCAAGAACCTGAGCATGGCAAGAGGCAGATGCCAGATGAGAACCCAGGTGTGGCTCCTGTCTCACGTGCCTGTGCTGGCTGCCCCAACACTGCGAGGCGGGGACTGGCCTTTTACACGACGAAATGAGAGCACTGTGACAAAGGGTGTTATACATGGCACCACCCAGAGCATTTCCCAGTGCCAGGGGAAGATGAAAAGGAAAGGCCAGCCCCAGCTCCCCTACGCCGCAGGCAGGTGCAGTCGGTCCTGAGTGCAGGGAGGCCCATGGCCACTGTCTGCAGGGCTGGGGGAGGGCAGCTTGAGGGGCGTTCGCTCTTTTCTGAATTCATCACTACTGGTGTCCCTGTTGTCACCACAGGAGGTCCTGGAATCCTGAGTGGCTCTGAGTCAGAAAATGCCTCAAGTCCTTTCTGAAGAGGCAGAAATCACAGGATCCCGACATTGGGAAGTGAGCAGGCAGGGGCGCCCTCTGGGCTACCAGGAGGAAAGGGTGGGTGTTTGTAGGGGCCGTTGGCTCAGAGAATGTGCTGCTCAGTATGGCCAGGTGGAGGAAGGAGGGTGTGGACCCTCCTTCACACCCCCTGGAGCCCCACATGCCAGCCTCTCTTCCTGCTGCTTTTTGAGACAGGGTCTCACTGTGTCACCCAGGCTTGAGTGCAGCGGTGCCTCCAACTCCTGGGCTCACGTGATTTTCCCGCGTTGGCCTCCCAAGAAGCTGGGACTACAGGTGGATATCACACCTGGTTCACCTTTCTATTCTTTGATCTAGCTATTTCCTGACTTTATTTTAAATCTGCCTATTGTTGATGTTTCACAGTCACTCAATCTTGTCTCCTGACCTTATTTCTTTTTTACTTCCTTTTTTTAAGCTGCTTTGAATCTTCTACTTCATCCCTCCTGTCTATGATCATCTATTTTTATTTATTTATTTTTGAGACGGAGTCTCGCTCTGTTGCCCAGGCTGGAGTGCAGTGGCACAATCTCGGCTCACTGCAACCTCTGCCTCCTGGGTTCAAGCGATTCTCCTGCCTCAGCCTCCCTCGTAACTGGGATTATAGGCAAGTCTCACTACGCTCGGCTAATTTTTGTACTTTTAGTAGAGATGGGTTTCACCATCTTGGTCAGGCTGGTCTTGAACTCCTGACCTCGTGATCCACCCGCCTCAGCCTCCCAAAGTGCTGGGATTACAGGCCTGAGTCACAGCACCCGGCCTCATCTGCTATTTTAATAAACATTTCCGGCCGGACATGGTGGCTCACTCCTGTAATCCCAGCACTTTGGGAGGCCGAGGCTGGCGGATCATGAGGTCAAGAGATCGAGACCATCCTAGCCAACGTGGTTAAACCCCATCTCTACTAAAAATACAAAAATTAGCTGGGCGTGGTGGTGCATGCCTGTAGTCCCAGCTACTCGGGAGGCTGAAACAGGAGAATTGCTTGAACCCAGGAGGCAGAATTTGCAGTGAGCTGAGATCAGGCTACTGCACTCCAGCCTGGCGACAGAGTGAGACTCTGTCTCAAAAAAAAAAAAAAAAAAGGAAATATGTCCCCACTGTGTTCCCTCGGACGACTGCGGCACAGGCTCACTGAAAGGAAGGGCCTCCTCAAGGCAGGGGGCTGCTCCGAGTTCCAAGGGAGGCCAGGGCAGGAGGGAAAGGCACGAGCGGCTCCCCCAGGCCTCCTGCTGCCAACTCCACACACCTGCACCTCTGTCTCTAATTGTCCTGTCCTAAGCTTTCCTTAAACACGCCATTCTAGTTTTCAGACTCATTCTTCTAAACCAGTTGCCTTGTTTATTTGTGTTATGTAAAGGTCTCTATCACTGAGGGGGAGACTTGGGGGTAGGGCCCGACTCACAAACAGAGGAGGGGGAGCTTCTTCCAGCAAATCCTGGGGCAGGCGCAGAACCCCAGCACGGCTCCACAGGGAACCTGACCGCAGGCTGCGTGGGCAACTCCATCCATGACTTTTAGGCCCCCTGAGCCCTCTGCCATGGTTATGTTGGACCCAGTGCCCTGCACCCAGCCTATGCCCATAAGTGGGCATGCCTGGGGCTCATCTGCTCGGTGCCCTCATCCAGCCAGTGCCTGCACAGCACCAGGGTCCAGGCTATGTGCCAAGCAGACCATAGACCTGGAACCACAGGCCAAGGGCCAGACAGCCCTGAGGAGCCCCCCTGTCCCCAAGGAATGGCTCCCACTCCTGCCCACCCTCCACCTGCACCCTTCCCTCAGGGGCCCTGCCCTGGGGGCTTGAAGGAGTGTGACAAACACTTTCAAGCCTTGGGATGACCTCTCCTGCAGAATGTTTCAGGCAGGTCTGAAACATTCAGACAATCTGTTTCATTGTTTTTCTTGCACAAGGTATAACCACTCAACTCTGAAGAGCCAGGAGGGACAGTGCTTGTGGAAAGGCAGGGAAACAGTGCAGACAGGCCTTCAGCAGTAGCAGCCAGCCCCTGCCAGACCCAGGCCAAAGCTGTCACCACGAATTGGCAAGGCAGCAGCTCAGGCCCTGGGCTAGGGACCATCGTCCCCTCCCACAGTGCACACAGTGCTGGCGTCTGGGCTGTGTGCCTGGCCACGTTATTTCAGTCAGGCCCCTGTGCTGCAGACGTGGAGACTGAGGCACAGAGACAGGTGTGGAGTGCAGATCTTCACTGCATTCAGGTCCCTCCTACAGTAACCACAGGGCTGCTGCCTCCAGGCAGTGGGGAGTGGGAATGGAACCCAGAGGGCCCGCCTGGTGGGGCCAGAGCTCTTGTGAGGCTTAGCTGCGGCAGCCTGGACCCGTCACCGTCTTTCCGAGCTGCCCGAGCATAGTCTGCAGCCATTGTGCCCCTCTAGCCCTGAAGCTGTGCACGTGTCTCCTGACCTCAGCACAAGCATCAAGTTCAAGTTCAACACCACCGTCTAGCACAGTCTTTTTTTTTGAGACGTAGTCTCACTGTCACCCAGGCTGGAGTGCAGTGGTGCAATCTTGGCTCACCGAAACCTCCTCCTGGGTTCAAGCGATTCTCCTGCCTCAGCCTCCCAAGTAGCTGGGATTACAGGCGAGTGCCACCATGCCTGGCTAATTTTTGTATTTTAATAGAGACGGGGTTTTTGCCACGTTGGCCAAGCTGTTCTCAAACTTCTGAGCTCAAGTGATCAGCCCGGCTTGGCCTCCCAAAGTGCTGGGATTACAGATGTGAGCGCCTGCGCCTGGCCCGCATGGTCTTTATTGTAGCAGCATCTCTGCCCTATCACTGTCGCAGGCAGGCTGGTGGCTGGCGGGGTGGTCTTTAGCAGGCTGCTGGCTGAGCCCACATGGACCAGCAGATGCCCTTCTCTGAGCCCTTACCAAGCACACCAAGGGTGTGCCCCCTGACACACATGCGGCCTTGACACTTGGACACAGTGCCCCAAATGCCTCAGCCACCAGCTGCTGACTGCTATAAAGAACCCAGGGAGGGAGGCAGAGGTTGCAGTGAGCCAAGACTGTGCCACTGCACTCCAGCCTGGGCTACAGAGCAAGACTCTGTCTCAAAAAAAAAAAAAAAAACACAGAACCCAGGGAAGAAGGTATCAACTGGCAGTGTACAGCCCCACAAGCCCGAACCTGACCCGAAGCCACAGAGAACGTTTCTGCATGTTCTGATTTTAAAGTAAAATCTCCTACATGTAACTTAATTTCTTAATTCTGGTTTCGATTTCTGGCAGGTTCCTCAATGTGGTTTGAGATTTCAAACCACCAAGGAGAAACGCCCTTGGCTAAGGGCAGGTGTGTGGCCCAGGGCCCCTGTGAGGCCCCTGGTGCTGGCGCAGCCCCACTCAAGCCCCTAGCCTCCCTCCAGCCTCTGCATGCACTGTGTCCTCTCTGCCTGGGACACTTGTCCCTCTCCTCCCAGTGGACACTGCTCACACTTCCTGTTCTGCTTACGTGGCCCTTCCCACTGGAGCCACCACAAGCCCCTGGACAGCAGAAGCCAGCACTGCCGGCATGGTACCACAGAACACTCCAGCCTGTTCCTACTGTGGCCCCTGAGCAGGAGGGGCATGTCACTGCACTCTGTGTATACAATGTAAAGGACCGTGGCTGTGACAGCTGGCAGTGCCACACTCCAGGGCCTTGGGAGGAGCGGCCTCATGGCTGTGAATCTGAGTGCAGAAGAACAGAGTATAAGATTCCCAGGCAAGACAACTGTACACGTATGATGAGGTCAACACAGAGGTCACGTCAAACACAATTCTGCCAGAATAAAACACGAACTAGGGGGCTGCAAGTATCTCCAACGATCAAAAGCAATATTTGAAAAGATTCCACCTGACAGGAAGGGCGTCCCTGCCTCTCCAAAAGGGTCTGGCCCCAACACAGCAGCGGGTGCCCAGCTAAACCACTTCTGTCCTCAGGTGTCGCCACCTAGACGGACCATGTGGCTCCCACCTGCAGTCATGGGCACACTCTCCAGCTCGGCGAGGCAGGCTCCTGACACCGAATCCAGAGGACAACGTCCCGTGTTCACTCTTTGAATTGTTAGAACTCAGGTCTACACAGATGCCAGTCTCTTTTCAGGCTTCACATTTAACTCAATTGCAGAGCTGAACTACTTAGAGGGTTCTGGAGAGCCAACTAAAAAACAAAAATTCCGGCCAGGCATGATGGTGGTGTGCACCTGTAATCCCAGCTACTTGGGAGGCTGAGGCAGGAGAATCACTTCAACCTGGAAGGTGGAGGTTGCAGGGAGCCGAGATTGTGCCATGGCACTCCAGCCTGGGTGACAGAGTGAGACTCTGCCTCAAAAAATAAATAAAAAAAAAAATCCAATTAAACAAAAAGAAGTTTTTTTTCTTTTCTTGGAAAGGAGCAATTCAAAGTTGGAGACAAAAAAGTGAGCTGTTAGCTGTGTCTGACTTTATTCCATTCAAGCTCTTCTCAGCCTGGTGCAGCTGTGTGGGGCCAAGGAAGGGCCGAGTGACATGAGCACCACCTGCCATGCAGTCGGTGGCGAGGAAGCTTCCAGGGATCTGACAGATGTGTCATACAGAATGTAACTTCTAGACAATGATGGGCAAATAATAATAATAATAAAAAAGAATGTAACTTCGCCCCAAATGAGGTCTGGCTTTTGCCTGGGGCTCCTGGGAGGTGATCTCTGAGTCCTTAGAATGTCACACCTAATGGCTGTCTTTGTTTACGTGGGGTCTGGGACCAGTCCTAGGTTGGGGCTTTGGGCTATGTAGTTTCTGCTCACCTGCAGAGGGGCTGGAGATGGAGGTCAGCCACGTGGGTAGCCAGCTGTGTCTTTGTGACCAAGTCCCAGTAAAAATGCTGGACACAGGGTGGGTACGGTGGCTCATGCCTGTAATCCCAACACTTCGGGAGGCTGAGGCGGGCGGATCACTTAAGGTCGGGAGTTCGAGACCAGCCTGGCCAACATGGTGAAACCCCATCTCTACTAAAAAATACAAAAATTAGCCAGGCGTGGTGGCGCGAGCCTGTAATCCCAGTTGCTCAGGAGGCTGAGGCAGAAGAATCACTTCAACCCAGGAGGCAGAGGTTACAGTGAGCCAAGATAGTGCCACTGCACTCCAGCCTGAGTGACAGAGTGAGACTGCATCTCCAAAAAAAAAAAAAAACCTCTGGACACGGAGGCTTCTCTGGTTGGCAGTGCTCTGTGTCAACGTCACCGGGAACATCAGCGCTGTCTTCAACTCCACAGGGAGGAGACAAAGGAAAGCCCTGTGTCTGGAACCGTCCAGATCACCTCAAGTGATCCGCCCACCTTGGCCCCCAAGAGGCCCCATACATCTCTTGCCTTGGTTGATTTTAATCTGTAGCCTTGCACTGTAATAAATCATAACTGCAAGCGTAACAACCGCTAGGGCTCTCGGGGTCCTAGAGAATGACGGCACTTGAGGGTGATCTTGTGGACTTTTCCCACCCTGTGGACCCTGAGTTTGTCTTCCCTCACAGCTTCAAATTTAGTTAAGAATATCAGAAATATCCATTAAGTACACCAATTTTGTACCCAAACATCATGTTTGAAATTATTGCTAAATGGAGGCAGCTTTTCTTTTGCTTTTTTTTTTTTTTTTTTTGCAACAGGGTCTCACCTCTGTCACCCATGGTGGAGTGCAGTGATGTGATTATACCCCACTGCGGCCTTGACTTCTTGTGGTCCTTCTGCCTCAGCTTCCTGAATAGCTGAGTCAACAGGAGTGCACCACCACGCCTGGCTAATTTTTGTATTTTTTGCATAGGCGGGGTCTCCCTGTTTTGCTCAGGTTGGTCTCGTACTCTTGGTCTCAAGGGATCCACAAGCCTCACAGCCTTACAAAGTTCTGGGATTACAGGCGTGACCACTACGCCCAGCTGAGGTAGCTTTTCAACGACTATCTTTCCTGAGTTGATGTGCCCTATGTGATGTTTTCCTGTGCAAATCACATTACAGTGAGTGGACAGACCCACGCCTGCTGTGCTTCCAGCACTCAGGAGGCTTTCTTTAATAGTCATCTTTGTTGTCCTACTTGTAATTCCAACGTAGTTACTCCCAGTCCAATGGGCGACCCCCAGGTCTGTGAATCCATCCATTCCAGTAAGATGTGAGGTTAAATTGAAAACACAGATCAAATCCCCCACTGAGGCATCCTCCCACATGGATCCCAGGTAAGACAGGAGCATTGCTGTGTGACTGAAATGTTGGTGTCCTCTTCAAAGCAGGTCTCAAAATCTCTACCAGAATCAAATGTCCCGAAACAGAACAGTTTCGATAAAGCAGTCACTTAGCAGTAAGAGTTAAGATTTGGGGTTTTTTTTTTTTTTTTGAGACGGAGTCTCGCTCTGTCGCCCAGGCTGGAGTGCAGTGGCACAATCTCGGCTCACTGCAAGCTCTGCCTCCCGGGTTCACGCCATTCTCCTGCCTCAGCCTCTCGAGTATCTGGGACTACAGGCGCCCGCCACCACGCCTGGCTAATTTTTTGTATTTTTAGTAGAGACGGGGTTTCACTGTGTTAGCCAGCATGGTCTTGATCTCCTGGCCTTGTGATCCGCTCGCCTCAGCCTCCCAAAGTGCTGGGATTACAGGCGTGAGCCACCACACCCAGACTTTTTTTTTCTTCTTTTTTTTAAATAGAGACAGAGTCTCACTATGTTGGCCAGGCTCATCTGAACTCCTGGGCTCAAGTGATCCTCCGCCTCGGCCTCCCAAAGTGCTGGGATTATGGGCGTGAGCCACTGTGCCCAGCCGAAAGTTTTAATTTATTGTATGATTTATCATCAAATCTTACAAAGGCTACAAGACTGACTGTAGCAGCTGGGTGAGCCATTCCCTCTTTTGTCAGATGATATACAACTAAATATGACCCTAAGAGGGCTCTGTGAGTCTAAAACTAAAAAAAAAAAAAAGTGGACTAACACTAGACATACTTTTTGTCTGAAAATATTCAGGTTCTTAATAAGCTGAGCATGCTGTTTCTGTCTTTTCAAAAACCAAGGTGTAATGGAATACAGAGAAGTGTACATATCTCATGTGTACACCTTGGTGAATGTACACATCATATACACATCCAGATCTATAGAGAGAATATCCCCAGTATCCTAGAAGGCTCGTCGTGTGGCTTTCCTGCTATTCCCTCTCTCAAGGTAAGCACTGCTTGGCAGCCATTACTGTGGATCAGCTTCTGACCCTCACAGAACTGGAGGCACACAGTAGGCCCTCTTTTTTTTTTTAGACGGAGTCCCGCTCTGTCGCCCAGGCTGGAGTGCCGTGGCGCGGTCTCGGCTCACTGCAAGCTCCGCCTCCTGGGTTCATGCCATTCTCCCGCCTCAGCCTCCCGAGTAGCTGGGACTACAGGCGCCCACCACCACACCCGGCTAATTTTTTGTATTTTTAGTAGAGACGGTGTTTCACCATGTTAGCCAGGATGGTCTCAATCTCCTGACCTCGTGATCCGCCCGCCTCGGCCTCCCAAAGTGCTGGGATTACAGGCGTGAGCCACCGTGCCCGGCCAGTATGCCCTTTTTAGTGTCTGGCTTCTTTCACTCAACAAAATGTAAGCTTCTTCCAGGTAGCAGTACTATGTCTGTTTTCACAGCTGTTTGGGGCCCTGTACGATTAGGCCTCCACTGATCCATGCCCCTGTAGATGGACACTGGGCTGATTCTTGTTTTGGGAGATTATGACCAAAGTGGCTATGGACACGTCTGTCGGTGTGGACAGATGCACTCAGCTCTCCTGGGTAGAACGAGGGCTGCAGGCTGCTGGGTCAGAGGGTATGTACAGGCTGAGCCTCAGAAAATATTATCTTCTGCAGTTCGATGGTTAAAAACAAACAAAGCAAAACAGAAGAGATTGCCAAAGAGCTGCATACTCCTACACGCAGGGTGTGAGGCCAGACTGCTTCAGACTTGCCAGCACTGATGGGCATTCGGCCGTTCTGGGGCGGGTGCTGGTGCAAGTCACTCTGGTTTTAACGAGCATTTTCTTGAAGTTGTGATGCTAATGCAATGACGTGAGCACCTTTCCCCACATTGATTAGTCCTGGGATGTCCTGTGTAAGGAGGCGTCTGTTCCCGGCTCTTGTCCAGCTTTAAATTGTGTTGTCTTTTCCTCATCTATGAGGAGTTTTCACTGTCTCCATCAGCGTGTCCATTAATAAACAGATGTTATTAATTTCAGTGAGGTCTAATTTCTCAATTGTTTGTGATTAGTGGCTTTTGGCTCCCGTGGAAGAAATCGATGCCTACTCATGAAGATTTTCTCCCGTGCTTTCTTCTAGAATTTTGTTTTACCTTTCACGTTCTTACATCCACAGTCCATGTCACGTGGATCCAAGTGCATGGTGTGTGCGTGTGTGGGGGTGGTCGAGGCTCATCCTCTCTACGTGGATACCCAGGAGACCAGTGTGATGGAGACACCCGTGCTTTCCCCACTGCGCTTCAAGGGTCTTCTTTAGGTTGGTAATGTTAAGTTTCCCTCACAAGATTATCATTAGAAATAAAACATGGGGAGGGTCTGTCATTGTCATTAGATTTCTGCGAATTCCCTTTTTTTGTTTTTGTTTTTTGTTTTTCAGGTATTGTCTCACTCTGTCACCCAGGCTGGAGTGCAGTGGTGCAATCTTGGCTCACTGCACCCTCTGCCTTCTGGGTTCAAGCGATTCTCGTGCCCAGCCTCCCGAGCTGGGAGCTCAAGCACGCATCACCATGCCAGTTTAATTTCTATTTTTGTATTTTTTGTAGAGATGGGGTTTTGCCATGTTGGCCAGACTGGTCTCAAACTCCTAACTTCAAGTGATCCGCCCACCTCAGCCTCCCAAAGTGCTGGGATTACACGAGCCACTATACCTGGCCCATGTTTTAAATAAGTATTCTGTATTTATTTCATTTTTTTAAGATACAGGGTCTCATTCCATCACCCAGGATGGAGTGCAGCTGTGTGATCATGGCTCACTGTAGCCTGGACCTGCTGTGCTCAAGTGATCCTCCCACCTCAGCCTCCCAAGTAGTGGGGACCCCAGGCATGTGCTACTGCCCGCAGCTGTATCCCGCACTTTAAGTAACTTAAGTCCTCCACTTGCTTTCCTCTTTGAGGACTTAGCCTTGGAGTTAGGTTTGTGAATTAGAGTCTATATATTTTTTTCTCAATACTGACAACACATGACATTTTCAGATCTGGCATTGAACTTGAATATGTCTCCTTTCCTTCATCATCTGTTTCTCTTCCAATAATAAAAGAACCTTTCTTTTTTTCTCTTTTTGAGACGGAGTCTCACTCTGTCCCCCAGGCTGGAGTGCACTGATGTGATCTTGGGTCACTGCAACCTCCGCCTCCCAGCTTCAAGATTCTCCTACCTCAGCCTCCCGAGTAGCTGGGATTACAGGCATGCACCACTACGCTCGGCGAATTTTTGTAGTTTTAGTAGAGAGGGGGTTTCGCCATATTGGCCATGCTGGTTTCAAACTCCTGACCTCAAGTGATCCGCCCGCCTTGGCCTCCTAAAGTGCTGGGATTACAGGCATGAGCCACCGCATCTGGCTAAAAGAACCTTTTTAAGCAGTATTTTGTTTTTGGAGTGGGCGTCTTGCTCTGTCACCCAAGGCTGGAGTGCAGTGGTGCAATCTTGGTCCACAGCAACCTCCACTTCCTGGGTTCAAGTGATTCTCCTGTCTCAGCCTCCCAAAAAGCGTGCCACCACGCCCAGGTAATTGTTTTCCTATTTTCAGTAAAGATGGGTTTTCACCATGTTGTCCATGCTGGTCTCAAACTCCTGACCTCAAGTGATCCTCCCACCTCAGCCTCTCAAAGTGCTGGGCTGACAGGTGTGGACCACCACAGCTGGCCTTGCGCGGTAATTTTGACTCATTAATTTAGGCACTCCAATTGTTACCATCCTCTAAAACTTCACACTTGGTAAGATTCTCTCCAAACCATGCATGTGGGCTCCCTTCACTTTCCCCTCCAACAGATACAATTCCCCCACGCTCTGCTTCATGACTAACAGCAAACTGTTATTTAAAATCAAACAGTACAACCCTCCCATTACGGGGACAGCCGTACTGGCCAGTGTGTACCAGGAAGTGAAATAAGACCTTGGAGAGTGGAAGACTGGGTGAGTCCTGGGCCAGGCATGGGCCTTACACCTTTGCTGGCTCCTGCCCAGCTCTGTGACCTGCCCTGGGCTGGCAGAAGGTGCACATGCCTCCCTGGGGAGTTGCTGAGAACATTCCTTTCTTCTTATTTAAATGGTACCCATATAGAGTCGCTCACGGAAAAGGATATTAGTAAATGAAAAACATATAAATGGCACTCATGATCCACCAACACGTTATGATCCGCCGCTGGGCCGTGGCCACAGCTGGAACCGCATGCTGCCTCGTATATAGGACATGTCTGTGAGGACAGCGATCTCCAGGCTTGGAGCAGGGCCTGGCAGAGAGCAGGAGTGTGGCCACCATCTCACCAACACAGAGATGGCACAGGTAGCCTGGGAGGGTGCAAGGACAGGAGAGGGCTGCCACTTTCTCTGCTCCAGACATGCCAGCCTCTTGTCCCCAACCTCCTGGCCACACGGGCAGCACCCATTACTGCCATATAACCCCTCATCCCACCTCATCCCTTGAGGCCACCAGGCCACAACTTTGGCAGAGCCTCTCCGCCTGCTGTGGCCTCTGCTGGTGCACTCTCCCCAACCTCCCCTCTCTCAAGGCTCTGCTGCAATGTCCCCTTCTCCGAGACCCGCACCCCTGCCTCTCCTCTCGACCACATGTGACATTCCCTCTCATCACCGCAGATACATGTGTGCTTCCCTGTTCCAGAAAGCATGTTCCTCAGGGCCAGGCTCAAAGACACAGAGATTCAGTCAGTGTTTGTGGATGAGTGAAAGAGTGAGCGGCCCAAGCCTGAGTGTGCAGAGTCAGAGTGCAGATGCCAGGCCTGCTCCCACGGGGACCCCTACAGCCCCCGCCCTCCCCGCCTCCTCGCTTACCTGTCCTTGTACTTGATCACGGCATCCACAATCTTCTTCATCTTCTTGGTGAGGTTGGGTGGGTTAGGGGAGAGTTTCTCGGCAGGCGGCCGCCCGCGCTTCTTCTGCTTCTTGCTCTCGTCGTCCTTGTCGCGGCTGCGGGTGCTGGTGGTCGGGGTGGAGGAGCCGGCGTCGCTGTCTCGCTTGCGCTTCCGTGATGATTTCTTCTGCCGGACCTCCTCTTCGATCTCCTCCAGCGTGCCCTCCTCGATGGCCTTCAGGGTCAATAGTAGTAAAATAGGACAGCCAGCACCCAGGTCGACAAGCAGAGGCCGCGACGCAATCCCAGGGGCCGGGCTGGGACACGGAGGAGGGCCCCCGCACCCGCTCTCCCTTCAGCTTGACTGGCTCGGGGCATAACACACACTGGGACTCTCAAGGGGTGCCTGGGCTGCAGTGAAAGACCAGCACTGCCCCCAGCAGGCACCCCACCCAAGCTTGTCTTTAAAAAACTAATGGTTGAATTTCTTGACCAAAAAAAAAGAACTATCTTCTCTGTACAGAAAAGAACGTGCTCCTGAAATCCCTTCACCCGGAGGTGATGTTGACACCTCTGTTCCACACTCTCCCCATCTATTTCTTTTATTTACTTATTTATTTTTAGAGACAGGGTCTCGACCTGTTGCCCAGGCTGGAGTGCAGTGGCACCATCATAGCTCACTGCAGTCTTGAACTCCCAGGGCTCAAGAGATCCTCCCACCTCAGCCTCCTAAGTAGCTGGGACTACAGGCACGTGTCACCACACTCAGCTAATTAAAAAAATTTTTTGTAGATACGGGGTCTCATAATATTGCCCAGGCTGGTCTTGAACTCCTGGTCTCAAGCAGTGCTCCCATCTTAGCCTCCCAAAGTGCTAGGATTACAGATATAAGCCACTGGGCCTGGCCTCCATCTATTTCTTCTTTTTAAGATTTTTTTTTTTTTTTTTTTGGAGACGGAGTCTCACTCTGTCACCAGGCTGGAGTGCAGTGGCATGATCTTGGCTCACTGCAACCTCCGCCTCCTGGGTTCAAGCAACTCTCCTGCCTCAGCCTCCTGAGTAGCTGGGATTACAGGCGCAAACCACCACGCCTAGCTAATTTTTGTATTTTTAGTAGAGACAGGGTTTCACCATGTTGGTCAGGATGGTCTCAAACTCTTGACCTTGTGATCTGCCCGCCTCGGCCTCCCAAAGTGCTGGGATTACAGGTGTGAGCCACCACACCCGGCCTTTTTAAGACATTTTAAAAATTATTTTTATATTTTTGAGACGGAGTTTCGCTCTTGTCACCGAGGTTGGAGTGCAGTGGTGCAATCTCGGCTCACTGCAACCTCCGCCTCCTGGGTTCAAGCAATTCTCCTGCTTCAGCCTCCCAAGTACCTGGGATTACAGGTACGTGCCACCACACCTGGCTAATTTTTGTATGAAAAATTATTTTTAAATTTTCTTTTTTGTTGTTGTTGAGACGCAGTCTCGCTCTGTCACCAGGCTGGAGTGCAGTGGTGCAATCTCAGCTCACTGCAACCTCCACCTTCCTGGTTCAAGCGATTCTCCTCCCTCACCCTCCTGAGTAGCTGGGACTACAGGCGCCCACCACCACGTCCAGCTAATTTTGGTATTTTTAGTAGAGACAGGGTTTTACCATGTTGGCCAGGATGGTCTTAATCTCTTAACCTCGTGATCCACCCATGTCGGCCTCTCAAAGTGCTGGGATTACAGGCGTGAGCCACCGCGCCCAGCCGATTTTTAAATTTTCTTAGACATGTGGTCTTGCTACATTGCCCTGGTTGGACTTTAACTCCTGGGCTCAAGTGATCTTCCCATCTTAGCCTCCTGAGTAGCTGGGCATTTAAAAAAATATATTATAAATCATATATAACATAAAATTTACCAAAGCAGCCATGTTTTAGTACACAGTTCAGGGGCATTAGGCACGTCCCCAGTGTTGTGCAGCCCTCAGCGCCACCCACCACCAGAACTCTCCCCACCTTTGACGCACGTGTGCAGAACTGAAGGCCACGCTGGAATTGTAGCCCACGTGCCACACTGCTGGCTGTGTCATGGATATCTTTTCCTGTAATTTTCTACAACAAAATTTTTTAATGTCTGTTTAGTGTTTCAGTGCACAACGTGCCCTAATTTAGCCTCCCCTTGTTCTTGGGCATTTAGGTCATTTCCCTTTTTTTCAGAGACAGGGTCTCATTCTGTCGCCCAGGCTGGAGTGCAGTGGTGCGATCTTGGCTCACTACAAACTCCAACTCCTAGGTTCCAGTGATTCTCCTGACTCAGCCTCCCAAGTAGCTGGGATGACAGGTGCCCACCACCATGCCTGGCTAATTTTTGTATTTTTAGTAGAAACGGGTTTTTGCCATGTTGGCCAGGCTGGTCTTGAGCTCCTGACCTCAGGTGATCTGCCCACCTCGGCCTCCCAAAGTGCTTGGGATTACAGGCATGTGTCACTGTGCCTGGCATTTTTTTTTTTAATAGAGACAAAGGTCTTGCTATTTTGGCCAGACTGGTCTCAAACTCCTGAGCTGAAATGATCCCCCCGCTTTGGCTTCTCCAAGTGCTGGGATTACAGGCACAAGCTGCCAGGTCTGACCACCTTTTTTTATTGTTGTTGCTATTTTAAATAACGCTATTGACAACTGACATTGTTTAAGACAGATTCCTCATGGTAAAACTGCTGAGAAGAACATGAATATGAACAATATTAAGAGAATCCCCAGGTATTAATTTTCAATGGTACTAATAACTTATCCCAATGGTAAAAAATGCAGCCGGGGAGCCAGGTGTCCAGGGAATCTGAGGCTGTGCCAGTGAGCTGGGCACTGTGCCTGGCGCTGAGGACAGAGCTGTGACTTGAACCAGCCAGGGCCCTTTCCCCTACCCTTGGAAGGAAGATGGTGATCAGACAGCAACACCCCACAAGTGGGGTAACAAACGTGTCAGGTGCCAGGAAGGAGGGAAGAGAGAGACACCAGAATGATGGAGCAGACATGTCTTAGAGAAGATGGGAAGCTGAGAGCCTGAGGGGCCCAGGAGGATGGAAGGCAACCGGGTCAAAGAAGCAGCATGGAGGGCACAGCAGGCAGGAGGCACCAGGAGAAGGCCCCCTGCAGACCCAGGGCGGAGCGGCGGGTGCCCCCCAGACTCATGTCTACCTGGAACCTCGGAATGGGACCTTCTTTGCAAATGAGGTCTTTACTTTTGGGATTAAGTTTTAAAAATTGTTCTTAAAAGACACAGAAGGGGACACAGAGGAGAAGTCCCCATGAAGACAGAGGCAGAGATGGGGTGACGCTGCCCCAAGCCAGGAGGCTTCTGGAACCATCAGAAGCTGGAAAAGCCAAGGAAGGGTCCTCTCCTAGGGCCTCGAAAGGAACACAGCCCTGCCCACACCGTGGGTTCAGACTTCTGGCCCAGAATGCAGAGAAAATAGTTCTGTTGCTTTAGGCTGCCACAGTCATGGCCATGTCCGATGGCGGCCATAGGAGCATTTTGAAGGCTTTGAGTTCACTTGGCAACAGATGGCTGCCAGAAAAGTGGTGCCAATTCCACAGCCAACAGTAGTGGGGAGACAGTGTTTTGTATAATATTTTTCACAACTGTGAATTTGAATATACTGTGTAATAAGATGGGCTCAATGGGAAAAAATAGTCTCTTCAACAAATGCTGCTGGGACAACTGGATTTCCAGTTGGATGGATGAAGATGGACCCCTACCTCACATCATGTATAAAATTTAACTCAAAATGGATCTTACATGGATCTACATGGAAGAGATCAAATTATAACCCTCCTAGGAGAAAAGACAGGGGCAAGTCTTCGTGACCTTGGATAGGCGATGGTTTCTCAGATACAACACCAAGGCACAGGTGAAAAAGAAAAATCGACTGTAAGTACAATGAAACACTTCTGTGCTTCAACGGATATCACGGAAGCGAAAAGAGAATGTGCAGAATGGAACAAAATATTTACAAATGATATCTGATAAGGCACTTGTAAATAACTTACAATTCAATATTAAGATAAATATATTTTAAATTTGGGTAAAGGATGATGTGACTAGACATCTCTTTCTAGAGGATACACAAAGGGCCAAGAAGCATATGAACAGATACTCCACACCATTAGCCATCAGGGAAATGCAAATCCAACCACACTCAGATGGCACTTCATACGTGCTGGGATGGCTAGAATCAGCGGGCGAGGGAACAGCAAGGGTTGCTGAGGATGTAGAGAAAGAGGAATTCTCATACACAGCTGGTGGAACTGTGAACTGGCGTAGCCACCAAGGAAACCAGGCTGGGGTCCCTCAAAAGGTTAAATAGAGAACTAACATTGTTCCGGCAACTCTACGCCTAGGCACATATTAAAGAGAAATCAGATATTAAAGAGAAATCACATATTAAAGAGAAACGCGTGCACGCAAAAACGTGTACGTGAATGTTCACGGTAGTATTGTTTGTAATAGCCCGAAAGTGGATACAACCCAAGTGTCCATCAAGAATGGACAGAAAAACCGAATGTGACAAATCTGTACGAGGCAGGATTATTTCACCATCAAAGAATGCAACACACCTGCTGCATCATGGGTCAGCATGTTACATTGCGTGAAAAAAGCCTGACACCAAAGCATCCCACGCTGTAGGACTCCACTGACAGGAAACGCCCAGAACAGGTAAAACTATATGGACAGAAAGTACATCAGTGGTTGCCTGGGGCTGGGGAGAATCCATGAATTACCAGGAATGGCAAATCGGGGCAGGGCTTCTTTTGGGGGCGATGAGAATGTTCTAAAATGGACTGTGGTGAGAGATGCACAACTCTTGGATACACTGAAGATGATTGTATCATATACCCCAAAAGGGTGAACTGTATGGTATGTAAATTACACCTAGAAAAAAATGTACATAGAGCAGCCACGTATGAACTGATCTTAAATTTAAAAGGTACTCACTGCCTCAAATATGCAGGGCTGAGCTGGGCACCGTGGCTCATGCTCGTAATCCCAGCTACTCTGCAGGCCGAGGCGGGTGGATTGTTTGAGCCCAGGAGTTTGAGACCAGCCTGAGTGACACAGTGAGACCCCCACTTTACAAAAAATTTAAAATTAGCCAGGCGTGTTGGTGTGTACCTGTAGTCTGAACTACTCAGGAGGCTGAGGTGTGAGGATCACTTGAGCCCCCAGGAACTGGAGGCCAGCCTGGGTAACACAGCAAGACTTTGTCTTTATTAAAAAAGAAAAAAATGCAGGGCCGGTGACACTCATACAGCAGCCAAACAGCTCTGCTGTCACACAGGTCTGTGGCAGGGCTCACACTGTCTTTTCAGGGTTTCTCTTCTGGGTCCTGGAGCGCTGTGCTTGGGAGGCTGGCTGGGGAACAGGATGGCCTGTCTGTCACCTGGGCTCCTGGTGTGTTTCAACAGCGCCCTCTGGTGCACAGCTTGGCAGGCAAGCTCATGAGTCTGGGCTGCTGAGGTCCCAGGAGGGAACCGGGGCTGTTTGGCCACATGGGCTAGGCCACATGGCTCTTTCCTGGGTGTGGCACTTTGCATGGCATAGCCAAAAGCTGCCACCTGCCTTCTCGGAATTATTGCTTCAGGACATTTTTATGACACAACTTCAGGGATGGATTCTGAATCATCGTCTCTATAACTCAGAGCCCCTGAGCTGGGAAGGGGTCTGATCTGTCACCGTAACCCCAGTGAGGACATCAGTGCCAGGCATCTGTCACAGTGTGCCTTGGGCTGGGAAAGTTGGGTCGGGTGAAGCCCCAGGAGCACCGCACGACTGACTCAAAGACATCTGCAGCTGCTGTTGCAGGGCCAGCTGCCATCTGCTGAGAACGGGCCCTCACGTCAGCTCCACAAGCAACTGCCAGCCCCGTGCAGCACCTGCCAGGTTCAGAGGCCCTTGGGGGCTTGCCCTCTCCTCCCTCCCCATGACTGAGTCTCCCCAGCTCATGGGGGGGGACTTGCCCAAAGTGAGGCTGCCTGCAGCCAGCAGTGCAACGCTTTGCAGGGCGCCTCAATAGTCCATGATTCACCCTTGTGCCTCCCTCCTGGCAGGTACTGGGAAAGCCAGCAGTCCACTGAGATCAGCAACATGATTTTTAACCTCGGGAAGAGGTAAACCCTTTTACTTGAAAGACCAACCATAACCAGCAGCAGGTTTTGAGCTGCTCAGGAACCGTGGGTCCTTCTTGCATTCCAAGGCAGAGCCAAAAGGACCTGACCATCCCTGGCCCACATCGGAAGGCTCTCGGCTGCCTGCGGAGCCTGGCCAGGAGTGGCCCAAGGAAAGCATTTTGGACCCAGGCCTGAGTCCTGGCGGTGGGCCCTTTGTCTCCCCAGCCCTGCCTGGCGCTGGCCTGCGGCAGCTGCTGGGCCTCTCCAGCATGTACCTTGAGCCACTGCTTCTCCGTCAGTGAGTCGCTGTAGTCCACCTCCTTGCGGTGGCGGGAGCCACGGCCGAACATCTTCTCCTCCTCCTCCTCACAGGTCAGCCGCTCCACCTCCGCGTCGTCCTTGATGATCCACGAGGGGAGCTCGTCCTCCTCCATGAGGCGCGGCTTCCGCTTGGGGTTGCGGGCCTCCTCGCGCCTGCGGTCCAGGTCCATGCGCTGGTGGGCAGGGAGGCAACGGGAGAGGCATCAGCATGCAGGCACCAGGGGCACGCTAGAGCCAGAACACCGAGAGTTCAGAAGGGCCTTTCTCTGCCCGTGGGGCTCCACGCTGCTGCGAGAGTTAAACAGTAGCTCTCGATTTTTCAGTGGCTGACCTGGCCTGGCTCCGTCAGACCCTGACTAGAGGCTCTGCCTCAGGAGGCAGAGGAAACTCGAAAAGATGGAAGGTTGCACAAGAGGGCTGCAGACCCCAGCAGGGGGGCAGCAGCTGCGTGGCCCAGCGTTGGTGGAGGCATGAGGCCTGCGGGCCAAGGGGCCCCTGCTTGGGTGGCTTATTTCCTGTTTCCCACCCAGGGGCAAGGGGGCTCTGCGACTGAAGGCCTGGTCAGTCCCTTGGCCTTGGATAGGGCGAACTCCCTCTGAAAGGGAGTGCATGAAGCCCTGGAGAGCCCGTTAGAAAACAGAGCTGGTGGGGCAGGTCTCGGGTCACATGCAGAAGGCTGGGTGTGCATCTCGCCCTCCGATGCCATCCTCAGGAGACTGGGGGTGGAAGACGGGTCAGTCTGGAGGTGGGAGTGGGCTGCACTGTGAGCTGTCCCTGGCTCCCTGACCTGCTAGGGATACCACCATGGGCACTAGGACGTCTGCTTTGCTCCTGGTGGCAGCAGAGTGGGATGCCTGAACTGCCCCATCCAGCCTGCAGCGCTTACCATGAACAGATCAAACTCCTCCTCGTGCCGGGCGATCATCTGGTTGACGGTCTCGTCGTCGGGCACCTCGTCTTCCTCCTATAAGATTGCAAACTGTCAGTGCCGCTGAGGAGGGGCCGGGGTGGGCGGCGGCCGAGCTCAGAGGCGAGCGGCGGCGTCCGTGGGAATGAGCTGGTGGTCCCGGCACGGCTGCGGTGGATGGGGACCCACACGGCAGCGAAAGGCACACACACGCACACGCACACGCACGCTCCGTGGGACCAGGGCCCTTGCTGGCCGTCTCAGCCGAGAAGCCGAGGATTGAATGGGCATGGAGACTGAACTACCCCTCTCACCTTTAGAGGTGGCTCCTCCAAGTCGGGGTTGACGCCCGCTGGCGGAGGGGCAGTGTGGGCGAAGCTGGCACTGCCGCTGCCCGTGCTGCAGTGTCTGCTCTGTGGATAAATAGAGGACTTCAGTCTCCAGGGCTGTCAATCCGGCGTCTTTCACCAGCAGTTTAGAAAAAAAAACCACTTCAAAGAAAAAGCAAGTACTCATCCTCTTTCCGTTCAGCCCACACTCCCTTTACTCCAAAGGGATGCAAAAAAAATAAGAGTGCAAAAAAGGTAAAAAAACAAAAATGAAAGCCGCTCACGCGTCCACCATTCACGCTGGGGAGGGGTCGGGGCCGGTGCTGGGCTCACCTCATCCTGCTCCTCGTGCTCCAGGATGGCCTGCAGGAAGGCGCGCCGCTCATGGCTGGAGGACTTCTGGTCGAACATGCCGGCCTGGATCACCTTCTGGTCCACGTTGAGCTTGTACTTGGCTGCAGCTAGGATCTTCTCCTCCACGCTGTTGACGGTGCAGAGGCGGAGCACACGCACCTCGTTCTGCTGCCCGATGCGGTGGGCTCGGTCCTGCGCTTGCAGGTCCTGGGGGAAGAGGTGCCAGTCAGTCCCAAAGGAGCCCAGGAGGTCATAAAAGGGAAGGTGGCCTCTGACACTAGCTGGAGAGGTGTGCTGTGCGTGCCACCCTCGGCCTGACAATTCTGCCCAGCCTGACCTGCCGCCGCATGAAAACAGAGCTGGTGGAGCCTGGGCCGCCATGTGTCCCTCGGGGGAAGGGGACTCTCATCACGTTCCTCCAGAAGTGCCACCTTCTACCTTATTGGGACCCCACAGATATTCGGGAAGAAAGCACCAACCCCCCAGGGGATTATATTCTCAAGCAGCTCCCGTGGCAGCGGCACAGCTCCCCACAGCGTGGACCTACACAGTCGAGCACCATTTACAACAGGGGGCCGAAGCTCGGCCGTGTTGTGGCAGTGCTTGGTTTGGCTGTGGGCCCTGCCACTCTCACAGTGCACACAGAACCGGAACCAGGTCTCACCTCTGTGAGCCTCAAAACTCCCTCAGCCTACATGGGGCCCAACCCGTGGCTACTGCATACCTCGAATGAGTGAATAAGCACCAGGAGTGTGGCCCAGTGACTGGTGCAGTTAGCTCCCAACAATGCAGGTGCCGTGGATGGGCTTTTTTTCTTTTTTTTTTTTTTTGAGACAAAGTCTCGCTCTGTCGCCCAGGCTGGAGTGCAGTGGTGCGATCTCAGCTCACTGCAACCTCTGCCTCCCGAAGTTCAAGCGATTTTTCTGCCTCAGCTTCCTGAGTAGCTGGGGCTACAGGCATGCACCACCATGCCTGGCTAATTTTTGTATTTTTAGTAGAGACAGGGTTTCGCCATGTTGGCCAGGCTGGTCTCGAACTCCTGACCTCAGTTGATCCACCCACCTCGGCCTCCCAAAATGTTGGGATTTCGGGTGTGAGCCACTGCGTCCAGCCTGGGTTGTTAGTTTTATCATCACCCCAGCACAGTACGAGGAGGCTAACACGAAATCCTGTCTCTGGGCCCAGGAGCTGCAGGACCAGGGTGAGTACCAGTGATGCTCTGAAACTTAAGACTGGCACCCATGGGGTGGCAGAGGCCACAGCTGGTGGGGACCAGGAGTGCCTTGTGTCTGCCGCTCAGCCCTCCTGCCCTGTCAGCACACTTCCTGGCAGGGCCAGCCCTCCCCAACGCGCCCCCAGCCCTGAGGTGCAGCTTCCGCCTGCTGCCGGCCTGCCAACGGGGACACACAACTCAACCACCTCCTAAGAAACTGGCTGGTCACCAGGGTCTGGGCAGAAGCTACACCCCAGCCTGATCGTAAAAGGGGCCACCAGTGACCACCACGGCATTCACCCATCAGACAAGCGACAATTTACACACTGAGAACGCTGCTGCCCTCACGCTGCAGGGAAGGGCAGGGTACATTCACACCCCAGCGTAGGAGTGAAACCACTTTGGCAGTAGCAACCAGAACACGAAGAGGACAATGTCTGGGGTGGAGCGACCCCATGTCTGAGGGCTGCGCAGACCTAGGGTGTTTGCACAAGCACTCTGAGAGAAAGAGGGACCCTGCTGGGTTGGTGACCAGGCTGATCAACAGAAAAGACGGATGCCTGCCAACCAGAGTTTGAGAGCAGACGTCCAGGGGTGGCCATCTGCCGGGACGCCTGGTGGCCGATTAGATGGCTGGGTAGCTTCCGATGTGCACTCGGCGGTTGACACCCACTGCTTGGTGGAAGAGGCACATGCTAGGCCACGCCGCATCTGTGTTAATCTCAGTACATACATGTGCGAAGGCAGATGGGCTGGCAGAGGCTCAGAAGAGAGCACGGTTGGAGAGGAAGGGAAAAGGGACTCCTGACTGTCACTGGTGTTTACATGTTAAAAACAATAAGAACTTATCAGTCTTATAATGAAACACAGAGAAAAGTTTAACTCATTTTCAAATTCTTGTAGCTATGTAACAGCATGACCTGGTATCCACCGATGCCGAGGCCCATGAGGGGTACATGGTTATGGAACAAGAGGAGGAAGTAAACGAAGTGGCATGGAGTTTACCCCCAATTGTGTCTGAACAAGCGCCAGTGTGTGTGCTCACAGGGCACACTGCAGGGGCCGCCCCACAGTGACGGCGCAGATTGATCAGGATACTTTCCACCTCCTCATGGGTGCCATTCCAAGATTTAAGAAAAACCAAACCGACGGATGGCTTATACACTGCTTTCCCAATCAGAGGGAAAGGCTGTTTGTATTTTGGGAAACAGGAGGACCCCGCCTCTTTTCTCCCTGATGACCTATGGAGATATGGGTGCAGCTCCTCCCGGCTCCTGGGGTCCAAGACAATGTGGAGGAGGCTGGAGGACCCTCAAGCCAGGGCCGTCTCCTCGAGGTTTTGCAGGCACCCCCTTCCTTCTCCTCGACCTGGGGCCCGGCCCGCTTTTACCTGGTGAGGATTCCAGTCGCTGTCAAAAATGATCACAGTGTCTGCCGACTGGAGGTTCAGGCCGAGCCCCCCAGCCCGGGTGCTGAGCAGGAAGATGAAGTACTCAGAGCCGGGCTCGTTGAAGGTTTTCAGCAGCATGCCCCGGTCCTCCGCCTTCGTGGTTCCTGACGGGCACAGAGGAGAACAGGGTCAGCGGGGTGACCTCAGGGGTAGAGTGGGGACACCAAGGAACACCTGCTTCTGAGAGCAGGAGCAGGATCAGCACCTGCCAGCATCCCCAGATCCCTGGCTCCGCACTCTCCACACGGGCCTGTGGGCCACTGGCGAATAACTGGATTTCCAGTGTTTCACCACAAAACGTCTCTCCACACATCCCAGAAATGAAAACAGGCCCCGCTGGGAGAACTAGAGGAGGTGGGCCTGGAGCACAGAGTCCAGCACCCAGCCCACAGCTAGGCCACAGCGTCCAGCGTCAGCACAGCCACCACCACCACAGCCCTGGATTCTCTCCTCTACTCTACCCTGTGCCATTCCATGGGGAGCGGAAGACACAGCGGCCAATGCCGGCAACACCGCCGCTCGCAACACAAGGGACCTGGGGGTGGGTGGACAGTGACTGTGGGTGCACCTGCCTTCAGCCCTGTCTCAAAAAGTTTTGTGGTTCACAAAGAGAATCTTCTACGGTAAAAGCATGGAGACCTTATAAAGGGGGCTCGTGTCCTTTCTGGCAGGATCAGTGTCCCCATGCCCCAGAAAACCCAAGTCAAGGAGCCAGAGCAGGTCTCCTGGGTGACAACCCACGATGCCCTCAGCGTTGTGGGCATTAAGGCAATGTCAACACTCCCTGCGCTGCTGGGAGTTCGGACAGAGGTGCCCCTGAACACTGAAGTCATTTTGGTGATGAAATAAAAACTGGCAGGCCGGGCGCGGTGACTCATGCCTGTAATCCCAACACTTTGGGAGGCTGAGGTGGGTGGATCGCCTGAGGACAGGAGTTCGAGACCAGCCTGGCCAACATGGTGAAACCCCGTCTCTACTAAAAATACAAGAAAATTAGCTGGGCGTAGTGGCGGGCGCCTGTAATCCCAGATACCAGGGAGGATGAGGCAGGAGAATCGCTTGAATCCAGGCGGCGGAGGTTGCAGTGAGCTGAGATCATGCCACTGCACTCCAGCCTGGGCAACAAGAGTGAAACTCCGTCTCAAAAAAAAGAAGAAATAAAAACTGGCCATTTCCTGCCACCAGCCTACACATGCCCAGGCACGGTGCAGAAGCCCACAGTAGCCTGGCCATCCACCTGCCGTCCCACCCTCTCTCAGGCACCAGATGTGCCCCTGCTACTCCAGCTCGGAGGAGGGGCTGAGGTGAGGGGCCACCCGGCTCCCAGATGCCAGCCCACCCATGGGAGATGCAGTCTCAGGAGACTTCACTGAGCTCCTACCCTTCCTCTACTCGCAATGGATTCTCTGGCCCTGTGGCCATGACCACATCACATGCAGAGGACACATCTGTAGTTCAACTGACCAAAGTCCTTGTCCTTATGGAGTAGGCAGAAGGGCACTGGGATGGGTGGGAACCAGGCTCTCTCCTGGGGGAGTCAGGGACACGACACAGACGGGATGGCCCTCAGGAAGCCTTGGCCCTCTCGAGGACGGGAGAAGCCGCTGGAGAGACCGTAGGAGAGGAAAGGGTGGGGGGTGGCCCGGCCATGAGGACCCTGAAGGATTTTGGTTTTCAGCCTCAAAGCTGAAAGTGGGAAGCCCCCAAGGAAGAAGGCAAGCCGGGGAGACCCCTGCAACAGACTCGTGTCTGTAGAGTGGTCCTGGACAGAACCCCGGGGAGGACCTGCAGTTTGGAGGGACACACAGGGCACACTCCGGGTGGCACCTGGGCAGGTTGGCCCAGCAAACACAGGTCCAAGTGATCAACGGGACAAGGGGTATGGAGGTCTGGGGTGTCCTGCTGTGAGACAGACCTTGCACAGGAGCTTCAACAAAGGCTCTGGGAGGTCGTGTAGGGAACAACAAACTGGCTGAGCCGTGTCTGTCTCAGCAGCTCATGCTCGTGTTTCTCGTAAGCCCAGTTCTAGTAACTCCCACGAAGAACTCACTCCAGGGCTCCCTGACCCACTGGGACTGACAGACATGTCTCACGTGCCCTGTCGGCATCTCACAGCCTCTCCTCCCTGAGCTCCCGTGTGCTGGGGCAGGCAGGCGCAGAAACACAGGCGGTGACCTTTCCCATCAGGGACCGCAGGGCAGGGGGTTGGGCTGAGAGCCTCTCTACGGCAGCTGCTGCTCCTGCCTGGCAGTGCTTGCTTCCCTCCCTCCGTGCTCACCACAGAGTCTGATTCCAGGTCCAGGCCTGACCTGTGGCAAGGTGGCAGTCACTGGGCTGCTACGAATGGCCCAGGGATGGGCATGCGGCTCACAGCAGCTAAATGAGAGCCAGCCTGGGACCTGCCTTTGTTGGGGACACTGAGCAGGTGGAAAGGAAGCCAAGATGGAAGAAGGCAGAGCAAAGAGCTGGAGAAAAGTCTCTCCAATATCACCTGCATGCCTGGATCCAGCTGTGCCTGAAGGATGTTTAACCTCCTGGGGTTAGAGCTATGTAAGCCTATTGGTGCTTTCTTTCCTGTGTCCACATGGTATGGAATTCTGTCACTTCCAGCTAAAAGTGCACAGGGCACCCCTTCCCCAGTGCGCCCAGCATTGTCGTGGAAAGACTGTCAGCCTAGGAGTCAGGACACCCGGCGTCCAATCCACGGCCTGTCCCAGTGCCGAGTGCCCAAGATGCTCAGCCTGTGGCTAGGCCCACTCTGGCCACTGGACCCAGAGCGCCTGGGCCTCACCCTGCCTCACAGGAGGGAATGCCAGTGAGGAGCTTCTGTGGCAGCCACAACAACAAAACCCTGTAAGAAACGCCTCACTGGCTCATACTCACCATCAAGCCTGAGGTATTTAAAGCCGCGATACGCAAAGTAATCTTCCATGATGGTCATGAGGGAGGTCATTTGGCAGAACAGCAGCACTTTGTGGTTGGTTGCTCGGAGTTTGGGAAGAATTCTATCAAGAAGCTCAAATTTACCCGAGGCTCGGTACAGGTCCAGCCTGGAGTGTGGAGGAGGCAGGAGAGAAGGCGCAGGATGTTAAACCTGGAACCCTGCAGGCAGGTAAGGCAGGAGGTGCATCGCCCGCCTCCAGGCCAGGCGCCGGGTTCAAGGGCACAGACATGCATCCTAAGCAGACGTCACCCACCCAAAGCTTCAGCAAAGCCATTTCCCCCAACTGAAATAAGCCCGGCCACCCTCGCTGGGGAGGCGTATCACCAGGGTGGCACATGTATTTCTCGTCAAACCCAGACACTCATGAAAATGAGAGGAGCTGTGAGTCACATGGCCGGCACAACACGGGGCTGGAACAGGGATGCTCCGGGAAGCCAGACCTTGTCCCCTTGCCCGATAAAGAAGCCCCAGGAGCAAATGCCACACTGGAGACACCCATGCTCTGCTAGACCCAGAAGGAAGGGCCACCTCGGCTTCTCATGTTCTCTCCAGCCAAACCCCAAGTGTTGTAGATGTGGACACTGAGGCTGGCAGGGGGACGACGTGATATGGCTGACCACATGTCCAAGCCAGGCCTCCCAGCCTTGAAGCCAGGTGTACAGGACCCTGTTCCACAACTCAGTATAAAAAAACACATCAAAAAGAATTTGTGATGTTTTCATTAGGCGCCTCTCTTCTTGCAAATGGCTTACTACCCCAGGGGAATTGAATGGAGGCTTTAGCTGGAAGAATGCTTTTAGCAAGGTTCTTTGCAATGGTGAAAATCTAGACACAGCATCCACATCCATTAGGGGCTTAAAGGAGTCTGGGCTGCCCCTTACAAAGGGTGCTATAGAAAACACCCACATGATGTAAAGAGTGCCTCTGTACTAGTGAGCAGAGTTTAGGCTCAGAGAGGTTAAGAAAGCTGTCTAGAGTCACAGAGCTTGGAGGCGGCAGAGTGGGATCTGTAAGCCAGGTCTGCCTCAGGAATCCTGTCTCTTGGGGTTAATAGTGGTCAGCTCTCCAAGCACTAAAGATTTGTATAATGGGGCCGGGCGCGGTGGCTCACACCTGTAATTCCAGCACTTTGGGAGGCCAAGGCGGGTGGATCACTTGAGGTCAGGAGTTCAAGATCAGCCTGGTCAACATGGTGAAACCCCATCTCTACTAAAAATACAAAAAATTAGCTGGGTGGTGGCAGGTGCCGGTAATCCCAGCTACTCGGGAGGCTGAGGCAGGAGAATCATTTGAACCCAGGAGGCAGAGGTTGCAGTGAGCCGAGATTGTGTCACTGCACTCCAGCCTGGGCAACAAGAGCAAAACTCCACCTCAAAAAAAAAAAAAAAAAAAGATTTGTATTATTTGCTTTGGATTCTTCTGTATTTTCTAATTTTCTGCCTTTGAAATTGGACAACATAACAGCAGCAATAAAGCCAACAAAACGACAGAAAACCTCTGGGTGGACCACCTGCCCACCCCATCCAGTTGGGAAGCTTCTCACCCTTGGACAATGCCGCCAGTGAACCCCAAGTGCTCGGAAAAGGACTCCTGCAAGGCAAGGAGAGAGGGGTCAGTGACAGGCAGGAGCAGGCCACCGGGCCCCGCTGCGGTCCGCACACACCGCTCGTGCTCAGAGGACAAAGCCCCCACACTGTGTGCTCGGCACGGGCCCACGGCGGCTCTGAGACCAGACACAGATGCCAAAACCATCTTTCTTAGTCCACTGACATCCTTTCCCTCACACTCCTCCAACGAAGGAAAGGACATCCCATACAGCACTCTTCACACCCTGAATGCACGAGGACGTCATGGGGCCACAGCCACGCTCAGGGTGCTGAGACAGCCCCAGGGGCTCTCGGGGCAGCAGGCGGTCTCCAACGACCCTGACACTTTACACCAAGAAACACGAACATATGCATGCTTCTAAGAACCCAGATTCTCAAAGCCACCATGACCAAAAAGGGTTCTGACTCCCCCACACTTCACTGAAGACGGTGGTGACTCTTGACGCCCCGCAACGTGAGAAAAGCCAGTGAGCCAAAGAGACGCAGCAGGACCCCACTGTGGGGGGACACATCCCCAGAGAAGTCTCCAAACGCTCCTGCTCTCTGAGGGCAAGCTTTCAGGGCCCTATATTCCTATCGCACGTTGCGCCCTAACTGCTGGGATTCTTCCCGTAAGCACTGGTGAAGCGAAGACCAAATGAGAGACAGATGTACAGGCATTACCTAATGAAAATATTCGAGTCTGTTTTTAAAGAGCTGTCGAGGAGAAGCCAGCTCTGCCTAGGAGCTCAGCAGACAGCAGGGCCTGAGCCGTCCCAGCCGCGGCGGGCTCACCTCGATGTGCTGGAACATGTAGGGGTGGTTGCAGATCTTCCGCAGCTGCATGATGGTGTTCATCAGGGTCTTGGTGCCGCCTTTGCCCTGGAAGGCAGATGAGAGGGACCCAAATGGGGTCTTGCCCTCCTGGGGTGGGGTGGGCTTGGTGGATGGGTGGGTGTTGGGAGAAGGGCCATGGGGACGCTCTAGTGGGGAAGAGTGGCTTTTGGCACAGCAATTGGGAGTGAGGAGATGGCAGGCTGGAGGCCCGGAGGCCCCCAACAAGCCCTGGGAAACAAATGACTGCCTGGCACAGCAGAGGGCAGATGGCAGGGACAGGGCCAGCAGGACGGGACGGAAACAAGACTGGCAAAGGGCTGAGGCAGAGTCCCCGATGCTTTGTGATGCCAGCTTTGTTCTGGGCACTGTTACTGTGGGGGTCCCTAGAGGGTCTCAGCTGGGCAAGAGGGCCTCAGCCGGGTGAGCCATGACTCAGGGCTCCCTGGGCTCCAGGATGAGGAAGGAGGTGGGGGCGGGGCGGGGGGTGCATGCTCTGGGCTGGGAATGGACTAGGGAACACACTGCTGCTCAGCTCAGGGGAGAAGGGGCACAGACACAACGTCTCGGGGAAGCCAGGCCGAGGTCAAGGCCTTGGGGGCAGAATCAAGGGGTCTGGTGCATTTCCTGGGAGGATAATTTCACTGCTGGTGAGGAGAGCCAGGCAGGTGGGGCCTGGGGCCTGGGATTCTCAGAGCAGCCCCTGCAGGAGACAGCCCGCTCCCTTCCTTTCACTTAATAACAGAGAAGGGGGGCATTCTAGAACACTCTAACCCTGCTGGGGTTAGTGCTGGGCCCAGGCTGCCAATTGCAGAAGGAGCCAGTGTTTCATAGGCAAAGGAGAAGCCACTGGCAGCTGAGTCAGTGTGTCCTGACACAAGCCACCAGCCATCATAACCAGGGCTGGCCAGATGCCCTGGGGATCATGACCAGATCATGACCCGATGGTCAGAGCACGCTCTGCTCTGCCTGCCACGCTGCCGGCCTTGGACACCCAGTGGGGAATGCAGTTGGGGGACTCTGGGGCCCACCTTCTTGTCCTTCTCGGAGCCATCAGTCAGCAGCACGCCCTTGGCCTGCATGTGGCGGTAGAGCACTCGCTGCAGCGCAGACATGTCGCACTTGATGACGTACTCCACCTGCAGGGGACACATAATGCTCACGAGGGCCCAAGGTGGCTTGAGGCCTGACTCCCCCCATCCGAACCCAGCTCTGACCCCCTCGGCCCTGTCATATGAGCTCTGACCAGAGCACACTGGGGTGTGGGTGAGGAGACCCTCACAGCTGGGGAGAAGAGGGGAGACCTGGGCAATGAGAGGAAGCACCAGGCAGAGATACCAGAGGGTTACTGGGCCAGAAAGGGCCCCCCAGCCATCTTCTGGGGGCCTCTCTACAGCCAGCCAGGAAACAAAGAGCCAAGAGGGACAACTGCAGCCGGGGACCCCGAGTCCATGGGTCTTGCTGTGGGAACTGGGCCCAGGGGTGTGGCTGCAGCAGGCCTTGAAAACCCAGAGCCATGATGGGGGGCCGGGGGGCAACCCCAAGCCCACGGCCCCTCCTGATGTGGCCAGGAGAGCCCGCACAGGCACCTGGCCCCCTGACAGGAAGTGGGATTTTGTGCTCTAACCTATTGTGAGCTATGTGAGCCTATGAGTGCTTTTCAATCCCTACAACAGCAGCACAGGGCTTTACAGACCCAGTGGCGTCATCGCCACCCCCAAGCTGGATTGACCAGGGCAGGCCTGGGACTGTGGGGAGAGGCCCTGAGCACGCCCAGCCCTGGAGAAAGCCCCCACGTGAGGCTGCTTCACTGGTGGCTCCCCTCAAAACTCCATCACCTTTTCGGGCAACTGGGCCTCGACTTCCTTCTTGAGTCGTCGGAGCAAGAAGGGCCGCAGCACTTTGTGGAGACGCCGGATGATGAGAATGGTTTCCTCCTCATTCAGGTCCACCTGGAAGCCCCCAAGACAGGAGAAGCAAGCGTTACCTCCAAAGGAGGGCGACAGAGGTCTCACTAGAAGGTGCGGATGTGGGGACAGGGTGGACGGGGTCCCCTGGGGTGATCTTGCCCTTGGCACGTGGCTTTTCAGCCTGCTTTATGCTTTCTGGGAGCCAGGCAGGGCACCCTCTTCCTTAGGAAACTGTGAGGATCTGGTTCCCTCCATGTAATTCCTGGGACATGGAACCGCAGTACCCAGAGCACTCTGCTCCCTGTGCCTCACCAGAAAGACCCCCGGCAGCGGGCATGCTGCTTCTCCACGAGTAACACAAACTGGAGTGTCCACAGACCCACCCCACGCCAAGCTCATGCCAGGAGCGCTGCAGGGGCCAGGCTGACCACATGGGGCTTATAGCGGGTGATTCTCAGGGAGGGCTCTGCCACCGGGAGCCCCAAGGGACTCTCATTCAGCCTGGGTGGAACCAGGTGAAAGAAACCCTGACCTCCCACGGCGCCTACTCCTCTACTAATAATTAACTTTTAAAATGTTTTAATTAAAAAAGTTAAAGGAAAATGAGACGACGCCAAAACTTTTCTTCTATTGCTTCCCTGGCAATCCTTTGGCAGAGCTTTTGCTCGGCTCAGAAAGTGACAAAACTATAGCATCAGATCCTGGCCCTTAGTGTGGGGGTCCCGGGAGTCTAAAAATTGGGGACTCCTTTATCACGAGGCTTTGGGGAATGCCTCGGTTTCGCCATCAGAAGAGTCTCTGCCTTGACCAGCAGCCGAGAGGGCAGGGAACTCACGCATGAGGCCAGGAAGGCCCCAGCTGCCCTGGACCTGTCTAAGGTGGGAAGAAGGGGGTGGGCCCAGCCGTGCTGGGCAGGGCACTTCGAGGTAACCTCTGTAGTTCTGCCCACACTTCAGCATCTGGTTACTTAAACCCCTCAGCAGGAAACACAGTCTGTCCCACAGTTTCAACCTCCAACAGCAAGGAGCTCTAGGCTCAGGGATCAGTGCTGGTGTGGGACCACTCATCAATGATGATGCTGCCATGCCACAGTCTGGCTGATGGTGCCACCCAGACATTGAGACACACTGGCCACTGAGCTTTTTGAAAACAACGTAAGACAGAACCTGACCATGTGGCCCCGCTAACTGGAATCTTCCAAGTTTCCTTCCCACTGCCCTGAGGGTGAGTTCTGAGGGCACCTAAAGGGGCCTACAGCACGCTACAGCCTCTAGCTGTGCTCTCCACACGCTTGCGGTCCCACAGCTGCCTCAGGGCCATCTTCCTCACCATCCACTCTGCACCTGGAGCATAGGGTCAGAGACGCCCCGAGCATTCCGAGATTCACCACCATGACCTCTGCCCTGCTCCCCTGGGGCCCTTGTGGCTGCCCCAGCCTTGGGTTCCAGGGCTCCCCTGCTCCATGCAGATGCAGACTCTCACCAGGCACCCAGCACAGGCCCAGCCAGCTGTAGCTGGTGCTCAACACGTTCCAACCAGCAAAGCCAGCCGCACCTGGAACCGTCAGCATGGGCACAGCTGGGCAAACCCACCTTTTCCCCGGTCATGGCAAAGGGTGCGTTAAACCACTGCTCGAAGGTGCTGCAGCTCTTGAAGATGGTGGGCAGCAGGAAGTTGAGCAGCGCCCAGAGCTCGGGAAGCTTGTTCTGCAGCGGTGTGCCCGTCAGCAGCAGGCGGCGGGGTGCCACATAGTGCGTGTTGAGCACCTGCGTCAGCTTGCAGTGGTGGTTCTTCATGCGGTGACCTTCGTCCACAATCATGTACTTCCAACGGATCTGCGGGCCCCAGAGTGGGCAATCAGGGCAGGGGGCAGCAGGTGGCCCGGCACATGGGGAGAATCTCCCACTCTGCGCCCAGCAGCCAGGAAGGCTCCAGGTGGAAGAGCGCAGCTGGGTGGAGAGCACAGGCCTGACGTCCTGCCCCGGGGCTGACTCACCGAGTTGGAGCCACACAACGTAGCCTCTTGCAAGCCTTGGGCAGAGACAGGCCCGTGACCCCATGACTATTGGCAGGTGAACAATGCAAATTGCAAAAAAGCAATCTGGCTTCCCTGCAAAATCACACATATGAATCTACAGCACAGAAAAATGCCGAGCACGTTCTGGCAGAAGACACATCTTGCTGACTGGGGGACTTGTCCTGCTGGTGTGGAGGGTCTCAGGGGAACTGGGTTGGTGACGGTACATTTCTAATGAGCAGCCTGTGGTTCAGAATGTGGGCCCCATGGGGTAGGGGCCAGCGCCACTACATACAGGGCCATGCGGGTCGGGAGGGGGCGCAGTGGCCGCACTCAAAGAGCACTCCCACTGCAGGGTGATTACATCAACTGAGCCACTGGCAGGGGAGCACGGGGTTTCAGAGCCTGGTTCCTGTGCCTGCCAACGGCCTGGCTTTGTAAGGAGTCAGCAGGGGTGAGCCACAAAGGAGGCACCTGAAGCATGGACCTGAGGTAAGAGCCTGCACGTGGGATACCCAGCTCCCTGGGCCTCAGTTTCCTCCCTTGTTGGCTCCGGGATAAAGCACCCAGTCCTCGGAAGGCTGAGGCAGGAGAATCACTTGAACCCAGGAGGCAGAGGTTGTTGCAGTGAGCTGAGATCGCTCCACTGCACTCCAGCCTGGGTGACAGCTGTGAGACTCTGTCTCAATAAAAAAAAAAAAGAAGAGAAAAAGAAAAGAAAACACCCAGTTCACAGCCCCAGTATTCCAGTACTGTCACTCCAGCCATGCACTGAGAGGCGGAGCCACCCATAAACAGCTCCTCCATCCCCCCATACCTGGGTCAAGAACTCTACTGTTAGGCCAGACACAGTTGCCCAGTGCTTTGTGAGGCCAAGGCGAGAGGATTCCTTGAGGCCAGGAGTTTGAGACCAGCCTGGGCAGTACAGCAAGACCCCATCTCCATAAAAAATAAATTTAAAAAAGTTAGCTGGGAGTGGTGGCGCACACCTGTAGTCCCAGCTACTCAGGAGGGTGAGGTGGGAGGATCGCTTGAGGCCAGGAGGTCAGGCCTGCAGTGAGCTGTGATCACATCACTGCACTCCAGCATGGGCAACAGAGCGAGACTCGGTCTCAAAAAAAAAAAAACCAAAACGCAAAAAACTCTCTACTGTTCAACACTCACTCAGCTGGATGTTTAGGGGTGAGACCAGGTACATCTTTACCCCTCCTCAAATGAGGAACATGAGTTTTTGGAGGCAGAGGGCTATGTCTGTTTTCTATCTGGGCCGTATTCTCAGTCATGGCCACGCTGGGACTCCCTTCACAGTTTCGTCCCAGAAGAGGCTTCCAGGACAGTAGGACCCTCACAGAACAGCCCGAACCAGCTGCCCAAGGCCAGCAGGCAGTCATGGTATTTGGCCCTCGAGCTCTCCCCCACATGCTGAATCTCAGCCCATGGCCTGTGGTGAGAAGCCAGGGCCCCAGGGAGGGACGGCCAAGGCAATGAGACAGGAGGACAAGACTGGTCTGGCCAAGGCCCCATGGGGACTCTGTAGGCGGGTCAGGAGACGCCTTGGTGCTGAGGCTCTCTGGGCAGAAGGCCCGAGAGGAGGCAGAGCGCATGCTGTGTAGATGGCCCCAGCTTCTGGGCCTGACTCAGGGCCTGCCTGGAGACAGTTAGGGAGGTAAACCTGAGGTCGCCCCCACCTAGGCCTTTCCCCTACACAGGGCAGCTGTCTTCACGCACATGCAGGTGGGACTCCGGGAAGAAACTTGTAGGGGCTTTGGAGGAGACGGGCAGCGTGACCCACGTGTGAGCACTCGGCCCATGGCCTGGCATTTCCCACAGGGACACGTTACCTTGGCGAGGATGTGCTTGTCTTTGATGATGTACTCGTACGTCGTCAGCAAGACGTTGAACTTCCCACTCCGGAGCTGGGGGACAAAGGCCCGTCTTGCTGCTGGGGATCCCTGCAAGGGAAGCAGGATGCACAGCTCGGCTTTTGGAGCCGGGTGGCCAGGTGGCAAGAGGGGCACAGGCACCCCCTGCAACTGCCCAGTGACACGGCGGGAGGGCTCGTCCTCACAGGGGTAGTGGGGAAAGGGGCTGGCAGGGCCGCTGGCGCGTCCCCAGACCTCACCACGCAGAACACGCGCTGCAGGGGGAAGAGGAAGCAGTGCAGGCCAGCGGCGGCCGGGGCCTGAGGGAACCACGCAGCCTGCACCGCCATCTGCACATTCCTGGTGGCTGACAGGCTCCCCTCTTCCTGGGTCCCCATCTCAGGCGCCTGAGCTGGCCTCTGAGTGCTGGCCACCATGCTCACTCCTGTCTCCTCCCCAGTGAGCTAATCTGCCCTGTCCCTGCCCAGTCCAAACTCCCGGATCCATGTGACTGGAGTTCCAGGCTGTCCTGGAGACTCCATGCGACTGGAGACCCAGCATTCTCAGGTTCACTGTCCAGAGGTATGTGTGGACGTCCTGCCCACCACCGCCTGCACCTCCGTAGCAAGAGAGGAAACCTCAGTGGCTGTGACCTACCTTGTAAGACACCTTCACCACGGAGGGGGCCCACTTGTCAAACTCGTACGCCCAGTTGGACAGCGTTCTGATGGAACAAGGAAATGAGAGTCAAGTGCCGGTCTCTCATCAATGGCTCACTGTGCAAACCCATAGCCACTGGCTGTCAGGGGCGAGGCCAACATGGCCACAGCCCTCCGAGTGGGCAGAGAAACTGTGTTTAGGGCAGCTGAGGGAGGGAGGGAGGAAGAGAGACTGGCGAGGACGTGAAGGGCTCTGCCTCAGAGGACAGAAGGGAGGCCACTGGGAAAAGAGGGCAAGGCCCTTTAGAGTGAGAAGTAGGGACACAGAGATGTGATGGGGGACAGAAACAATGCTGCCAGGGCTGGGGAAGCCTGGACCTGCTGCCGGGAAAATGCAGCTTCAGAGCACAGGCTTCACGCCCAGAGCCAGGCTAGCAACAGTGCTGTGGAGACCTGAGGATATAGGAGACACCAAACAGTCTTTCTGCCACCCTCCAGCCACGGAAGGTTCCTGACTGTGAGAGAGAACGAGGACAGTGAGGGGCGAGGCGGGGCCTGGCTCAGGTGGCAGGCGGGAGGACAGGGATGGGAGGGAGCGGCAACTCGTGGCTGTTCCCCTGTGGGATGACCAGGGCTGGAATGAGGGAGGACATGGGGGCAGGCAGAATGCAGTGGGGAGGGGTGAGTCACCTGAGACCGACAGCCTAGAGACTGAGGAGAGGGTGGAGGCGGTAATAAAGCTGAGTCCCAAAGGGGACGGGCTCTGGGAGGAACTCTGGGGCAGGGAGTTTTCAGTGGGGGAGGGAAGCCACTCAGAAAGTCTAGACGGGGTGGTCCGTAAAGACAGGGCTCGAAGCTGGAGTCCCAGGGACTACTCGTGGTTTGCCCCCAAGCAGCTCCACGAGGGAGGTGCTGTGTCCACCATGAACCCATCTCCAGCCCCGCTGGAAGCCACAGCCAACCAGGCGGCACAGCCAATAGACAGAAGGACGCATGGCTGTGGTGAAGGCTGGGGAGAGTTCCTGAAGAAGCGTGGGGAGCAGAGGCTCAGCAGCCTTGCGCTTCTGCTGCCTTTTGCCCTGCCCACTCTCCTAGAACTCTTTCCTGCCCACTCTCCTGCATGAGGCGAGGGAGGCAGTGCAGCCGTCCTGCAACCATGAGGTAAGGAGCCTGAGGGTTGGAGTCACCCAAGAATGACTGGGCAGAAACCTGGGGGAGGCTGGGTCCCTGATGGCATCTTGGAGCCACCGGACCTGGCCCGTAGGGCCTGACCCTGTGCTTCCGCTGACTCAGGAACAGTGAAACCTCCCTGGAGTGATGGGGACAGTCAGCGCACCAAGGGAGAAGCCGGAGGTGTGCGGAGCATCTGCACTGGGAGGGAGAAGAGCCAGGAGCAAGGGTCAGGAGGGGACTGAGGGGACAGGTCCCAGAGACAGAGGTCCAAACGGAGGCAGGACAAGCAGCTCATGGCAGGAGGCAGCAATTCCCAGTGAGAGGGCCGGCACAGCCGGATGCCCATACGCCGTAAACATTTCCTAGCGCGCGGGCCCTCTTCTGGCCTGCAGGAGCTGGCGTTCCACAGCATGGACGCTTGCCCAGGTGGGGCGCAGTGGGAAAGACTGCAGGAGCACCCACCTCACAACCTCACTGAAGTAGGGGAAGAAGGTGACCTCTATCACCCTGGAAATGGAATCTGACTGCAATCTGGAGGTCTGAACACACAAGGAACTGGCCCCAAGGCCTGCGCTCTAGTGGCTCAAGATGCTTCCCGGAGGTACCGGCTCACTACTCTGAAACTGTTGTCCACGGAAGCTGAGAATGGGCGCACACACAGGGTGGAAGTGTGAGAAGGAACCTGTGGTCCTCACTCAGAGCCGCAGACAGTGGTATGAACTCACGTTCAGCTTAACACAGAAACAGATGCCGAGGCAGAGAAGGCCTTTTAGACGATACGTGCACAAAGCATCAGCACGCGCACATGAATCTCCTAGCACTGACCACTGAGAGGGCCCCAGGAGCAATGACACCCCAGAAGCAACAGGCCCATCCAGGACCCAGGTCTTGGTTCCCAAAACCATTCTGTAAGAAGGGAAACCAGGGCTCCTTGGAGAAATGGCTGATTTGAGGGAGTGGGCGGGAAATAGACTACATGAGCCTGCAGCATCTCTTGGTGCCAAAAAGCAAGAAAGTCCTCAAAATTCACCCGATGCTGGGGGCGTGTCAAAGGACAGAAGAGCCAACTGAAAGCACTCCCAGTGGCCAAAGCTGGATGGATTTGAGCCACAAAACAAAAAAAACCCAGCCACTGGTGCGTAGCCTGGAGTACTAAATAAATATCCGTGGGTCCATACTCATATTAACAAATGACTGAATACATAGAGAAGACACAATTCTTCCAGGGAGAATTCTCCCAGGCCAAATCTGAAAAAAACTGAAGCAACAAAATAAATAATATTTGTTCACGCCCACACTGATATAATAATTACCCAAACAAGCACATGGGGGAGACGGGAAAGCTCTTCCTAACGGTGGAATTCCAATTAATTTGTAGAGAAGAGCGGACAGAAACAGGTAACCATGTATTTGGCAACTCTCATGTAATTATTTTTTCAGGCAAGACTTATCTGACGTTTGCTGCTATAGTTTGGGTATCTGGCACCTCCAAACCTCATGCTGAAGTCTGATTTCCAATGTTGGAGGTGGGGCCTGGTGGGAGGCATCTGTGTCATGGGGGCCTCCCTCGTGAACGGCCTCGTGAACCCTCGTGAACGGCCTGTACTGTACTGGGGATGGGGGATGAATGAGTTCCTGCTCTCTGAACTCTCGTGGGAGCTATGGTTAAAAGGAGCCCGGCACCCCCGCCTCCCTCGCCTCCTCCCTCCCCATGGGATCTCTACACACTGGCTCCCCTTTGCCTTCCACCAGGAGTGGAATCCGCCTGAAGCCCTCACCAGGTGCCCAGTCTTCCAGCCAGCAGAATCATGAGCCAAATAAACCTCTTTTTTTTTTTGAGAAGGCGTTTCATTCTTGTTGCCCAGGCTGGAATGCAATGGCACGATATTGGCTCACTGCAACCCCCGTCTCCCAGGTTCAAGTGATTCTCCTGTCTCAGCCTCCTGAGTGGCTGGGATTACAGGCATGCGCCACCATGCCTGGCTAATTTTTTTTTGTATTTTTGGTAGGGACAGGGTTTCACCATGTTGGTCAGGCTGGTCTCAAACTCCTGACCTCAGGTGATCCGCCTGCCTCGGCCTCCCAAAGTGCTGGGATTACAGGAGTGAGCCACCGCGCCCAGCTAAACCTCTTTTCTTTATCACCTAGTCTCAGGTATTCCTTTATGGCAACATGAAATGGAGTAGAAGAGATGCTGAAATTATTGAGGAAAGTAGGAAGAGAAATGAGATATTCACAAGTGTCGAAGTACGTTCCCACGAGACAGTTATTAACGGAAAGTGTAACTCCTAGGTTTACAGTGGGAAACCCAGCAGGCACCTTGCCCGAGACACCAAGGCCTCAACATCTCATGCCTTCCCCGCTAAGGCACATCAAGCAGGGCGTGGTGTTGCTCCACGCGATCACATCGGACAAACCCAAATTGAAGGAGAGTCTACCAAAGGTCCGATCAGGATTCAACAGCGTCAAGCTCGACCAGGACAAAGACGAAATGAGGAACTGCCACAGGCATGCCACACAGACGTGACAGTGTGGGATCCTGGACCAGAGCAAGGCCACTTGTGAGAAAACTGACAAGATTGGTAAATAAGGCCTCTGGTTTGCTATTAGTCCTACGTCCATGTTATCTTCCTGGTTTTCATAATTGTCTTGGGGTTATGAAAGAATGGGGAAGATGGGTGAAGGGTGCATAGCAATTCTTTACACTAACTCTACAATGTTTTCTAAGAATGAGGTCGCCAGGCACAGTGGCTCACTCCTGTAATCCCAGCACTTTGGGAGGCCAAGGCGGGCAGATCATGGGGTCAGGAGTTCAAGACCAGCCTAGCCAACATGGAGAAACCCTGTCTCTACTAAAAATGCAAAAAAGTTAGCCGGACATGGTGGCGCGTGCCTCTAATCCCAGCTACTCGGGAGGCTGAGGCAGGAGAATCGCTTGAACCCAGGAGGCAGAGGTTGCAGTGAACCAAGATGGCACCACTGCACTCCAGGCTGGTCAACAGTGCGAGACTCCTCAAAAAATAAAAAAAAATAAAAATAAATGAGATCATTTCAAAATGAAAAGTTTAAAAAAATTTTTTAAAGCAAAAAATTAACAACTAAGAACCAAGGCTGCAAAACAACAGCACCCTGGAGAGCGGCGTTCCAGCAGAGATGGTGATCTGAGAAGTCTGTAAGTGAAAGGAGGGAAAATCGGGAACTGCAGAGGGCGACTGCCACTGCACCCATCAGCCTCCAGGGGAAGAAGGGCAGAGGGGAGCCAGGAGGTGGGCAGAGCCGGAAGGAACAGCCTCCAGACACAGACAGGGGACAGAGCTCAGGCAGGTGCAGCAGGAACGCTGTAGCAATCTGGGTCTGACCACGAGGGGAGGTGCAGCTACCTGCAGCGCTGTGCACAAGGACGCCCTGCTCCTTCAGAGCAGTCTGTTCTACCCGCCACGTAGGAAGCAGGGAGATAGAAGAAAGAAACAGTTCCACAGTAAACCTGGGAGGGTTCTGGGGTCCTCACCTTTCCTCCAGTCCTCCCTGCAACAGTCAGGACGTCAGGCCTACCCTATGGGTGTGTGACCCATGGGGCCTGGCTGTCTTATAGGCAGAAGGGCATTTTCCCATGGGGTTGGAGCATGGGCATGCCGCTCCCCAGCCTGCCAGGAGTTGGGGGTCCGCTGCTGACTCGTGGCTGTAGTGGTCCCAATGAGTGCCTGGTTGGAGTTAGGGGCTGTGCTCTAGGGCCAGACCAAATGCTATGCTGAAGTTTGCCCAATCAGACCAGACTAACCCCCAGGCCGGTGACTGTCTGCTTGCTGGACATGTGACTTGAACTGGACCAGTAAGAGCCGGCCCTGGGGCTTTCTGGGAAAACCCTAGGCAGGTCCCCCTTTAGTGCAGGGGCTGAGCTGGGTAGAGAGATGTCGAGAGAGGTGGGCAGGGGGGCGGACTCTGTTTGCAGGGAGAAAAAGGCCGGTGGAGCCAGGCAGTGGCAAGTGAGAGCCTCTCAGGGTGTCCGGATCCCACCATGCCCAAGGACCTGGGCCATGCTGGGATGTGCCCGAGGGCTCTGGTGGCCCTTGCAGGGCACTGCACAGTGAGGAAGTAGAGACTGTTCAATGGAGCCTCAATGGCCTCACCCTACTTTTCTAGTGGGAGGTTCTTGTCTCCTGCGACTCCCCTGCATGGACTTTGCTGGTTGTGGGACTTGAAAAGGACACCAAGGACATCCCGGGAGAGGGACCCCAGGCCTCCCCAGGGGTGGAGGGGATGCACAGTCATGCCCCCACTTGATCCGGGACCCAGAGGCAGAGGCTGTGACGGGTGGAGCTGTGCACAGCCCCGAGGCTGGTGGAGCAGTCCTGACCCCCAGCAGCTCAGGATGCGACTGTACCTGGAGACAGGGCCAATACAGAGGCAATGAAGTTAAAGCAGGCCATTAGGATGCACCCTCATCCAACCTGACCCATGTCCTTCTAAGAAGAAGAGATGAGGACACAGACACGCACAGAGGAAGGACCATGTGAAGACACAGTGAGATACATGTAAGCACGTATCCCTGCAAGCAGGAAGAGAGGCCTCAGGAGGAAGCAACCTGCTACACCTTGACCCTGGACTTCTGGCCTCCAGGAAAACAAATTTCTGTAATTAAGCCACCTCGTTTGTGGTATTCTACTGCGGCAAACTTAGGAAACAAACACAGGAGCGTGTGAGCGGCGTGTGGGATGTTGCTGGCAGCGGGTACTCACGAGAGAGGCACGATGATGAGGAAGGGCCCATTGATGCGTTTGTGCTCCATGAGGTACGTGATGAGCGCGATGGTCTGGATGGTCTTCCCCAGGCCCATCTCGTCGGCCAGGATGCCGTTCAGGTTGTTGTTGTACAGGGACACCAGCCACTCCAAACCTTTGATCTGCAAGGACAGATGCGGCCACGCCAGGACTGAAGGCCGGGTCGGACACCAGAGGGTCCTCCCACTTCAGAGAGTCAAGACACCGCCAGCCACGAGTTCTGCCTAAGCCACATCCCACCCTCTACTGCCTTTACCACGGATTTTTCCTCTGAACCAAACTGATTCTTTATCGCTTAGCCTCATCCTTAGCAATAACGTCTGTGAAGCTGCAGGATGACTGTGCGAACGATGGACACGTGTGACATTTCTAATACACATCTCAACAGCTCACTCCCACCTGTTACATTGTCTGCCTGTCCATGCCCCACACAGCACACAGGAAAAACCTGCCCACACCACGGGACACTTGCACTCAGGAAACCAAGAGGGCTTCAGGGCGACTTCGTGAGGAATTCACTGCCTGAACATCATTTCAAGATTAAGAGAGGGATTTCCAAAGCCTGGGAGCTTTCTGAAATACAGGCCTTAAACAGAAGACTATTTGCAAACTGAAGATAACGTTATGAAGGAAAATTTGGAAATGTTCGTAATGGATTGAGGAAGTAAGTTCTGGCCAAGTTCTAATTCATTTTTTTTTTTTTGAGACCGAGTCTCACTCTCACCCAAGCTGGAGTGCAGTGGCCCGATCTTGGCTCACTGCAACCTCTGCCTCCCAGGTTCAAGCAATTCTGCCTCAGCCTCCCAAGTAGCTGGGATTACAGGCATGCACCACCATGCCCAGCTAATTTTTTGTATTTTCGGTAGAGACAGGGTCTCATCATGTTGGCCAGCCTGGTCTCAAACTCCTGACCTCAGGTGATCCACCCGCCTTGGTCTCCCAAAGTGCTGGCATCACAGCCATGAGCCACTGCGCCTAGCCAAGTTCTAATTATTTTAATTGCATGGGACTCTTGGAAAATTCCACTAACCATGAGCTTTGCCTTTGTTTCATTATTGTTTTATAGAGATGGGGTCTCGCTATGCCACCCAGGCTGGAGTGCAGTGGCTCTTCACAGGGACTATCTCACTACGGATCAGCACATCAGTTTTGACCTGCTCCATTTCTGACCTGGGCAGATTCGCTCCTCCTTAGGCCACCTGGTGGTGCCCCACTCCTGGAAGGTCATCATATTCATGCTGAACTTAGTACAGACACCTGATCGACATAGGGCGCTACAGCTCAGAAGTCCTGGGCTCGGGCTCTCCTCCCACCTAAGCCGCCCAACTATCTGGGACTACAGATGTGTGCTACCACCCCCAGCTAATTTTTAAAATATTTTTGTAGAGGCAGTGTCTCACTATGTTGCCCAGGCCCACTTTCAACTCCTGGGCTCATGCGATCCTCCCATCTCAGCCTCTTAAGTAGCTGGGACTATAGGTGCATGTGCAGCTTTGAATGTTGATACTAGCACAAAAGGTTTAAGAGTTGTCTTAAAGAAAGTTGGGGCTGGGTGCACTGGCTTACATCTGTAATCCCAGCACTTTGGGAGGCCAAGGTGGGCGGATCACCTGAGGTCAGGAGTTTGAGACCAGCTTGGCCGACATGGTGAAACTCTGTCTCTACTAAAAATACAAAAACTAGCCGGGCGTGATGGCACGCACTTGTAGTCCCAGCTACTCAGGAGTCTGAGGCAGGAGAATCACTTGAACCCGGGAGGCAGAGGTTGCAGTGAGCTGAGATCGCGCCATTGCACTCCAGCCTGGGCAACAGAGAGGCTCCGTTTCAAAAAAAAAAAAGAAAAGAAAAGAAACAACCAAATTGAAAACCAGAGAGAGCTGTTCTTTGGTTGGAGTTGTACTGGTTGTCTTGTGGGGCCTTGTAATGAGCTCTGGATGGCAGGCCGCATTAAGAGCATGAGCAGCTCTGTTTCGTGACTGTCCCAAGTCAGGCCCAGGTGAAGAGCTTCAGAGCCACCAACTTTTCACCCTCACACAGGACCTGCTACCTCATCCCCAGAAGAAAGAGCGGAGTCCAGGGCTGCCGGCTCCTAGATCTAAGCTCCTGACGCTCGCCGTTTCACACCACACAGAGCTCAGGTAACCTGTCCTGAGCATGCAGATGCCCAGATCTGAGCTCCGGCCCTGGTTCAGTCCTACACACGGTGCGATGCTGAGGAGGTGCTGCACCTCTCTGCTCCTCAGGTGGCCCCGTCTCCTCTGTGAGGCCACTGGAGTGCAAATCGCTCCCACTCTGCCTGGCACATCGGGCACCCAGTAGACACTGACTTTCTGCTGTTGCACGTCCTCCTGGCAGCTAACCTACCAGACCACATCTCTGCTTTACACATGGGGAAACCGAGGCTCAGAGGGGAAGAGTGCATTGCCCACAAAGAGCAAAAGGTGAACTCAGGTCTGCCTGAGGTCTGAAGCCCGCACCACCTGGGAACACCTGCACCGAGGCAGCTACGTGGCGGTGGCCTCCCCACCCCCTACCTCACCTGGTACTGTTTGAGGACACCATTGACCATAAGCGCTGACTGCTTGTCCACTCTCTCAGTGACAGCATGGGCCACGGCATAGTAGGACTGCAGGCCACGTGCAAGGGCCTGGGACACGCCATATTCATCATCGACATCTTGCTTGGCATTCCTGGGAGTGAGATGGAGGTGCCGGGTAAGGACACACATTCCTATCTGTGACAATGTGCTGGCTCCTGACACAAGCTCTGCGGAGTGGCCCTTTCTGCTGAATGACCTGTGGCCAGCACTGTAAGACACATAGAGGTGCAGCCGGACAGTGTGAGGCCAGGCAGGGCAGCCCGCACTAAGCCTGAGGGGTCCAGACTGGACTCCTGGGAGCTCTGGGTCCTGATTGCACCACCACAGTACAAGAATTCTGTCACTCTGATGGGCGTGGTGGCTCACGCCTGTAATTTCAACACTTTGGGAGGCTGAAGCAGGTGGATCACTTGAGGCCAGGAGATCAAGACCAGCCTGGCCAACATGGTGAAACCCCATCTCTACTACAAAAAACAAAAATTAGGCTGGGCACAGTGGCTTACACCTGTAATCCCAGCACTTTGGGAGGCCAAGGCATGTGGATCACCTGAGGTCAGGAATTCTAGACCAGCCTGGCCAACATGGTGAAACCCCGTCTCTACTAAAAATACAAAAATTAGCCGGGCGTGGTGGCAGGCGCCTGTAGTCCCAGCTACTTGGGAGGCTGAGGCAGGAGAATGGCATGAACCTGGGAGGCGGAGCTTGCAGAGAGCCGAGATCGTGCCACTGCACTCTAGCCTGGGCGACAGAGCAAGACTCTGTCTCAAAAAAAAAAAAAAAAAAAGTTAGCCGGGCGTGGTGGTGCATGCCTGTAACCCCAGCTACTCAGGAGGCTGAGGTAAAAGAAACACTTAAGCCCGGAGGCAGAGGCTGCAGTGAGTCAAGAGATCGAGCCACTGCACTCCAGCCTGGGCGACTGAGCAAGACTGTCTCAAAACAACAAATAGAATGCTGTCACTTGCCACAGCACAGAAAGACACTCTGCACCTAGCCAGATGCTGATCATCATAGAACCCACCCTTTCTAAGAACAATTCATGAGCCTAAAGGTGAAAAGAAACACAGACTGAACAGGTTCATACAAAACCAGAGCTGTTAAAACTTAGGCAATTTGTAATCTAATCTGAATGTTTTTCTTTTAAAAAGTAACTCTGGCCAGGTGCGGTGGCTCACGCCTGTAATCCCAGCACTTTGGGAGCTCAAAGTGGGTAGATCATGAGGTCAAGAGATCAAGACCATCCTGGCCAACATGGTGAAACCCCATCTCTACTAAAAACACAAAAATTAGCTGGACGTGGTGGCCCGCGCCTGTTGTGCCAGCTACTCAGGAGGCCGAGGCAAGAGAATCACTCGAACCCAGGAGGTGGAGGTTGCAGTGAGCCAAGATCGCACCACTGTACTCCAGCCTGGTGAAGAGCAAGACTCTATCTCAAAAAAAAAAAAAAAAAAAAAAAAAAAAAAAAAAGTGACTTTTATCCACCTACATTTTTTTTTTTTTTGAGATGGAGTCTCCCTCTGTTGCCCAGGCTAGAGTGCAGTGGCGCTATCTCAGCTCACTGCAGCCTCCTCCTCCCCATTTCAAGCGATTCTCCTGTCTCAGCCTCCCAAGTAGCTGGGACTCCAGGTGCACGCCACCACGCCCAGCTAATTTTTGTATTTTTAGTAGAGATGCGGTTTCACCAAGTTGGCCAGGCTGGTCTTGAACTCCTGACCTCAAGTGATCCACCTGCCTTGGCCTCCCAAAGTGCTGGGATTACAGGCCTGAGCCACCACGCCCAGCCCTCACTTGCTTTTTAACAGGATCTATTAATTCCTTACCATAAGCAATGAAGAGATTACTGTGTTAACTGTGATGTGTTACAGGAGCAAAAGATGACAAATATAACCTAAACGCTTGTCACCAAAGGACAGGCTACGAAAATGAGAATATAACGTGACGCAGTATGACACTGCACGCTGAGGACCAGACTGGAAGCACTCTGCACGGACACAGGATGACCTCCAAGAGGGAAGGTTCAGTGAAAATAACAAGGTGCACACCAATGTACACTGGAGATATGTATGCAAATGAAGACAAAAATATGCACATTTTGCTTGCTAATGCAGACAGCATCTCTGGAAGATGACACACAAGGCTGGAAAGTTTCCCCAGGGAGGGTAGTGGAAAGGGAGGGAGCCGGGGAGCAGAGAACGGGGTGAGGAGGGCTTCTCCCGCACACCTGACTGTACCTCGTAAGCATATGGTGAACCATGCGAATGCAATTGCTCTATTAAATCCCTATAAAATACATGAAATGTGAAGTAAATAAATTTGGTCTCTGTAGTTCCACAGTAGCAGCTGGCTGGACAGTGCTGAATGTCAGCTAGGGATGGCTGGGATTCTAGCCACTCCCACCAGCGCCACCTCACAGGAAGCTGGCACAGAACAACCTGTGTCGGGACCCCTTACTCAATGATGTGCCGCGCGTCCACCTCAGAGACGTCATCGCTGTCTGGATCTGGAATCTTCTTCTTCTCCTCCACGGGCAGGGTGGGAGGCTGTGCTGCCTGCGGCTGCTCTTCCTCCTCCTCCTACCAAGAGACAAGCCCATGTCACCTCAGTTCATCCCCCAGAGAGGGGGGACGGGACTCCCATGGGGAGAACAGTCTCAGAAGCAAGTGATCTTCTTACAGCCCTCACCCCCTCTACCTATCCTGGAATGTGTGCTGTTTATTATTTACATCTTTGTTTTAAAATTATGTATTTATTATTATTTTTTTTAATATATGGGAGTCTCAGGATGTTGCCCAGATGGCTTTGAACTCCTCAGCTCAAGCAATCATCCTGCCTCAGCCTCCCCAGCAGCTAGAACTACAGCTATGCACCACCACACCCAGCTCAAATGTTTTGAATTTTTGTAGATATGTAGTCTCGTGACATTCCCCGGGCTGGTCTCAAACTCCTGGGCTCAAGCAATCCTCTCGCCTCAGCCTCTCAAGTAGCTGGGACTACAGGCAAATGCCACCACACTGGCTACATCTTTTTTTTTTTTTTTTTTTTTTTGAGACGAAGTGTCACTCTGTTGCCCAAGCTGGAGTGCAGTGGCGTGATCTCGGCGCAGTGCAACCTCCAGCTCCCAGGTTCAAGCGATTCTCCTGCCTCAACCTCCCAAGTAGCTGGGATTACAGGCATGCGCCACCATGCCTGGCTAATTTTTGTATTTTTAGTAGAGACGGGGTTTCACTATGTTGGCCAGGCTGGTCTTGAACTCCTGACCTCGTGATCCGCCTGCCTTGGCTTCCCAAAGTGCTGGGATTACAGGCGTGAGCCACCGCACCCAGCCCAGTAAACCGTTTTTGGTTTCCCCACCACAGATTCCTGACACTTCCTTTTTTTTGTTATTGTTGAGATGGGGTCTTGCTCTGTCACTCTGGCTGGAGGGCAGTGGTGCTATCTCAGCTCGCTGCTACCTCCACCCACTGGACTTAAGCGATCCTCCCACCTCAGCCTCTCGAGTAGCTGGGACCACAGGCGTGCACTATGACACTTGGCTAATTGTTTTGCATTTTTGGTAGAGACAGGGACTCACTATGTTGCCCAGGCTGGTCTCAAACTCCTGAGCTCAAGAATCTGCCTGCCTCAGCCTCCCAAAGTGCTGGGATTACAGGTATGAGCCACTGCACCCGGCCCCGACGCTTCTTTTAAGGCTATCTCAGGGTATTGTGGACTTTCATTACTAATTAGAAGTAGACTCCATATCTCTCCTACCCCTGTTATACAATGAACATTACACGTCTATTCTCTGCTGACCTACTAAAGCAGTTTATCAGTTGATTCTCTTGGATTTCCTAGGTATTAAATATCTTAGAGCCCACCATCACCCCGGCTAATTTTTGTATTTTTTAGTAGAGACGGGGTTTCATCATGTTGGCCAGGCTGGTCTCGAACTCCTGACCTTGGATCATCCACCCAACTTGCCCTCCCAAAATGCTGGGATTACAGGCGTGAGACACCGCGCCTGGCTTTAAATATCTTAGAACCAACTTTCAATATTTATTGCTTGTAATTTACTTCCAGCTTTACTGACAAGTCTCAACCATCTACAATATGTCTGATAACACTGGCGACAAGAGGCATCTCAGTTTACTGCAAGTTATCTACGAACTTGTTTAATCATTCATGTTGCATCATTTAATGGCTTTCCAGCCTTTACTGCGATTTTGCATAACACATATTGATAACATAGACAAGAATGCATTTCCTTATCTTAAACTATTCTTGTATTGCCATTTAAATCCTACAAATACAACACAGTTGATTGTTCCCTCATCTATAATGGAACTGCTACAAAGCTTTAAAAATATGATCTGCAATTAATCTGTTAAATAATTCCAGTGAAAAGCCAGTAGGATTTCCCTTAGGTCACAAAAAATGATTTTACAGATCACTTGGAATAAACAGGTGGTAATAACACCGACATTTTAGGCAAGAAAATCAGAGCTGGTACAGACATGCTGGAATTAAAATAGGAGTGAGACTTCTGGCTAAACCCAAATGAGGAGGTGGGCAAATTTCCTCCCCAAAAGCAACTATAAAGCCGGACAAATTGACAGAGTGAGCATTTCAGAGCTCAGCGAGTTGACCAAAGGTCTACTAGAATCATTGAACCTTAAAAAACTGAACTTCAGGTGGGAAGAGTGGGAGTTTGTAGCACTTTTACTGTGGGCCACTTTCACTTCTTCTGCCTCAGCTCTGGACACATGAACCTCTTACAGCTGGAGAGCTGCAGGCCATGAGGCTTGGCAGGGAGGTGGAAGGGGCTCAGTCACTTGTAGAAGGAAGCAATGCCCACAGCCAGTGGCACTGCTAATGGAGGTGAGATCAGCCACGGTAGGGAAAAGCGTATCACTGGCTGAGGCTGAGTCTGTGCATATGCAAAGAGACGCCAAAGGACTCAGCAAAGCATAAGTGCCAGGGAGAACCCGACAATGGCCCAAATGTGGAATGCACCTCCTCATACAACTGAACCATCAGCAGGAGAAAGAAGGCGCGTGTCTGAGCACAAACTGTGGCCAATCTTTGGATGACCACTAAGTGACAAAGAAACACTGCCTGCCCCTAATGAACCAGGAAAAAAATCACGAATAAGATAAAACCAAAAAATGTTTAAAAGAATTGAGGAAATACAGCAGAGGCTATACACACTATGCAGGAACCAGATTTCACAGACTGAGCCCCAGGAAATTACTAAACAGACTAGACGCCACCACAACCTCCCAGAGTTTTAAAAGTCAGACTCCAGGGTAGCTAAAGTACGCTTCAACTAAACATGAAGAGGTAAGCAAAAAAATAGGAGAGGCCAGGCGTGGTGGCTCACGCCTGTAATCCCAACACTTTGGGAGGCCAAGGCAGGCAGATCACCTGAGGTCAGGAGTTCGAGACCAGCCTGACCAACATGGTGAAACCCTGTCTCTACTAAAAATACAAAAAAAAATTAGCCGGGTTTGGTGGCATGCACCTGTAGTCCCGGGAGGCTGAGGCAGGAGAATCACTTGAACCCGGGAGGCAGAGATTGCAGTGAGCCGAGATTGCTCCACTGCACTCCAGCCTGGGTGACAGAGCGAGACTCCGTCTCAAAAAAAAAAAAGGCACTATAAAAATAAAAATCTAGGGAAAAAAAACATTGAACACAAAAGGCAGTAAAGGAGGAACAAAAACAGGAGGCATAGAAAAGAAATAGCAAATGTAAGCCCAATCATATCAGAAATTACAGTAAATATAAATGGTCTTAAAAACTCAGTCAAAAAGCAGTCACTGTCATACTAGCTGAAAATGCAAAACCCATATGCTGTTGTAGATTCAGGTTGAAAGTAAAAGAAGGGAAAAAGATGTACCATGTGAACAATAATCATAAGAGGGTTAGAGTGACTAACACAGAACAGACTTTGACGCACTGGTTCGTGCCTGTAATCCCAATACTTTGGGAGGCCCAGGTGGGTGGATCGCTTAAGGTCAGCAGTTCGAGACCAGCCTGGCCAACATGGTGGAACCCCATCTCTACTAAAAATATTTTAAAAATTAGCTGGCATGGTGGCGGGCGCCTGTAATCCCAGCTACTCAGGAGACTGAGGCAGGAGAATCACTTGAACCCGGGAGGCGGAGGTTGCAGTGAGCGAGATCGCGCCACTGCACTCCATCCTGGGCTATAGAGTGAGACTCTGTCTCAAAAAAAAAAAAAATCACCAGTCAAGAGTTCAAGACCAGACTGGCCAACATGGTGTAACCCTGTCTCTACTAAAAATACAAAAATTAGCCAGGCATGGTGGCAGGTGCCTGAAGTCCCAGCTACTAGGGAGGCTGAGGCAGGAGAATCGCTTGAACACGGGAGGTGGAGGCTGCAGTGAGCCAACATCGCGCCACTGCACTCCAGCCTGGGCAACACAGCAAGTCTCCATTTCAAAACAACAACAAAAAAATCATAAGTCGGACGTGGAGGTTCATGTCTGTAATCCCAGCACTTTGGGAGGCTGAGGCAGGTGGATCACTTCAGGTCGGGAGTTTGAGACCAGCCTGGCCAATATGATGAAACTCCATCTCTACTAAACATAAAAAAACTAGCTGGACGTGGTGGCAGGCGCCTGTAGTCCCAGCTACTTGGGAGGCTGAGGCAGGAGAATTGCTTGAACCCGGGAGGTGGAGGTTGCAATGAGCTGAGATTGCACCAGTGCACTCCAGCCTGGGTGACAGAGTGAGACTCCGTTTCAAAAAAAAAAAAAAAAAATGGGCAAATGAGGCAGACCATTCCCAGATAAGGGATGCCAAGCACCTGAAATGCAGCCAGTGTGAAAGAGAAAATGAGTCTTAAATTTTATGTAATGTGACTGATTTAATTTAAAATGGAAATGGTCACATGTCGCCAGAAGCTGCCCTATTGGATAGGACAGCTCTAAAGCACCGACTTCGGGCAGGCCTGGGCCCTGCTGTTCCCTGCCCCACAAGATGCCCAGCCAGGGCAGGAGACGGTCACAACACACAGGGTGGAAGTCACTGCCAGTGGGCACTGAGAGCCTTGAAAGCCAGGAAATGCACTCTTACCTCTTCCTCTTCTTCTGAGCCACTTTCTTCACTATCAGACCTCGGAGCTACTTCATACCTAGAAAAAATGTAAGGGCTTTCATACAAATCTGCTCAGAGCCAGCAGAATTCACTTTCCCTACCAAACCTGCCGGGAATTCAAACAGAAGTAAAATTGCTCCTGGCTGCCACCTCCCTGGAACAAGGCCCACCGAGGACTTGGATCCCCACTGCATCTGGAATGCAAGGCCCAACTCACCCCGGGTTCATCTCGAGCCAGGCCTCCAGCTGCCCGGCTTTGGGGGCATCTGTGCCTGTGAGGATCTTCCCACTCTCCACGTGGATCACCTTCACCGGGAGGTCGCTCATCTGGCTGGTCTCGTCCAGAGGCTGAAAAAGAGTCATTCGTGTGACACTGAGGTTGCAGGGCCTCCAGACCAAACACTTACAGAGGCCAAGGTGGGAAGCACCCACTCAACTGTTTGCACAGAAAATGGCAGGCAAACATGGCCAGTGGTGGGAAAATGCGTAAACTGTATACTCAGTAATCCAGTAAAAATATATAACCCATCAACCTTGGCTGACACTTGTTTCTTCTTTTTTTTTTTTTTTTTTTTTTGAGACGGAGTCTCGCTCTGTCACCCAGGCTAGAGTGCAGTGGCGTGATCTCGGCTCTCGGCTCACTACAACCTCTGCCTCCTGGGTTCAAGCAATTCTCTGCCTCAGTCTCCCAACACCTGTTTCTTTAAGGTAACTGGCATATACATTGTAATTTTCAAATAGTCCAGACACTCATAGCTGAAAATTCAGGCCGGGCTGGTCTCAAACTTCTGGCCTCATGTGATCCACCCGCCTTGGCCTCCCAAAGTGCTGGGATTCCAGGCGTGAGCCACTATGCTCGGCCCATTTTTATTTTTTATTTTTATTTATTTATTTTTTTGAGATGGAGTCTCACTCTGTTGCCCAGGCTGGAGTGCAGTGGTGCGGTATCGGCTCACTGCAAGCTCCACCTCCCAGGTTCATGCCATTCTCCTGCCTCAGCCTCCAGAGTAGCTGGGACTACAGGTGCCCATCACCATGCCCAGCTAATTTTTAGTATTTTTAGTGGAGACGGGGTTTCACTGTGTTAGCCAAGACAGTCTCGATCTCCTGACCTCGTGATCTGCCCGCCTCGGCCTCCCAAGGCCCATTTTTATTTTTTTAACGAAAACTGAAGAGCATCATGTGGGCTCTCCCCATTCTTCTGTGCTCCAGCCTAAGTTTTTCTCTTCACAGTTTTCCACTGGTATCAGTTTCCTGTCCATCCTTCCAGATCAATTCCATGGATAAGAAACAAGGACTTAGACGTTTCCACTTTCTCCCTCTTTTTTACACTAACGGTTATATAATTTACATTCTTTGGACCTTGATTTTTTCCCCCACTTATACTCTATTTGTAGATCTCATCAAGGGTCCTCATTCTTTTTTGTTAAAAAGCTAATTGAAATATTTCAAAAATAATTCCTCTTAGCAACAAATATGAAACTCCTCCTGTTGAGATTCAATGGATAAACATTTTCTCCCTCATCAATTCTTGTATATTTCCTAGAAAAAACTTCCAGGATGGAGAAAAAGTTATTGGTTTAAATTTTGGTTTTCATCTTCCAGGAATTTATAACTACCTGCAAAACTGCTGCGCTCACAGTGTCAATACCGTCCACACAGCGGAGGGATATCAGTCTCTACGCGCTAAAAGCTCACCCACAGAGCGGCCACCATAAGAGCAACCTCTTACCCCAACAATGGGCTCTGCAGGCTGCCTCAGTCAGGGACTTTCAACTCCACATCCTCTCTGGGATCACTGGGAGGAGCAGTCAAAGATGCCGATTGCTGCATGCCTCCCCTACACCCAAAATTCTGATTGAACTCCTCTGGAGTGAGGCTTGGGCATCCTCGCTTTTTAAGATTTTTAATTTACTTTTTATTTTTTGGAGACGGGCTCAGTACCATGGTTATTCACAGGTGTGATCACAGCCTCAAAGCCCTGGGCTCAAGTGATCCGCCTACCTCTGGCTCCCAATCAGCTGGGACCGCAAGTGCACACCACCATGCCCAGGTAATTATTTTATTTTTTGGAGAGACAGAGTCTCCCTATGTTGCCCAGGTTGGTCTTGAACTCCTGGACTAAAGCAATCCTCCCACCTCAGCCTCCTGAGCAGCTGCAACAACAGGCACATGCCTTCATGCTCAGCTACTACTTAGAAAAAGGTCCTCGGAGGATCACTTGAGCCCAGGACGTCAAGGCTGCGGTGAGCCATGACCTCATCACTGGACTCCAGCCTGGACAACAGAGAGACCCTGTCTCAAATAATAGTAGTAATAATAATAGAGAGCTCCCCAGGTGACTAGAACACACAACAGAGGCTGAGTACCACTGTCCGAGAACAAGAAAACCCACAAGCAGCAGCAAGTGCCGGTGCCTGTTCTCAACACTCCACAGGACAGGCAGCCACAGCAGGACTGAGCACAAGCTCCCACTTCATGCACTTTCCCACTTCATGACTTTTTTTTTTTTTTTTTGAGACAGAGTCTCACTCTGTCGCCCAGGCTGGAGTGCAGTGGTGTGATCCGCCTCCCGGGTTTAAGTGATTCTCCTGCCTCAGCCTCCCAGTAGCTGGGACTACAGAAGCCTGCCACCACGCCTGGCTAATGTTTGTATTTTTAGTAGAGACTGGGTTTCACCATACTGGCCAGACTGGTCTCGAACTCCTGACCTCATGATCTGCCTGCCTCGGCCTCCCAAAGTGCTGGGATTACAGATGTGAGCCACCGCACCTGGCCCATTACTTTTTTCTTGAGTCCTCCAGATGGCTTCAGAACTGTGAGACAGAACTGGCTGACAGAGAGAGACCCTGTCTCAAGTAATAAAAAGCTCCCCAGGCTGGAATGCAGTGGTACAAACACAGTGCACTGCAGCCTGGACCTCCTGGGCTAAGTTATCCCCCTACCTCAGCCTCTCGAGTAGGTGGGACTACAGGCGTGCGCACCAAGCCTGGTTAATTTTTTGTAGAGATGAGGTTTCACCATGTTGCTCAGGCTGGTTTCGAACTCCTGGGCTCAAGCGATCCACCCACCTTAGCAACCCAAACTGCTGGGGTTATAGGCATGAGCCACCACACCTGGTCCAAAGTAACTTCTTTTTTTTTTTTTTTGAGACAGAATCTCACTCTGTCACCCAGGCTGGAGTGCAATGGCCATGAACCTGGCTCACTGCAACCTCCACCTCTCAGGTTCAACCAATTCTCCTGCCTCAGCCTCCCAAGTAGCTGGGACCACAGGCGTGTGCCCCCACACCTGGCTAATTTTTTGTATTTTTAGCAGAGACGAGGTTTCACTATGTTGGTCAGGCTGGTCTTGAACTCTTGACCTTAGGTGATCCGCCCACCTTGGCCTCCCAAAGTGCTGGGATTACAGGCATGAGCCACCGCACCCGGCCCCAGTAACTTCTGGACACAGTATTTGGAACACATATCCTGAGGTAGAGGAACTCTATAAATACTGAACTCTAACTAGGAGACTTCTGCATAGAGGTGTCCATTAGCACTTTGGAACGTACTTTCTGTGTATTCTAAAATGGAGCAGGTAAGTAAGCCTATTATTGCTAAGGGAAATCAGGTTGCTGATTTTAGAATTATGGAAAGGCGGAAAGGATAAAAATTAACCCTGTGCTGTTGGATTAGAATTGGAGGTGTCAGTATAACCTCAAGATTCTTTTTGCGTGTGAGATAGGGTCTCACTGTCTTGACCAGGCTGGAGTGCAATGGTGAGATTACAGCTCACTATAGCCTCAAACTCTTGGACTCAAGTGATCCTCCCACCTCAGCCTCTCAAGTAGCTGGGACCACAGGTGCATGCCACTACACCCAACTAATTTTTAAAATTTTTTATAAAGACAAGGTTTTGCCATATTGCCCACACTGGTCTCGAACTCCTGGGCTCAAGTAGTCCTCCCATATTGGCCTCCCAAAGTACTGGGAATACAGGCATGAGCCACCATGCCCAGCCACAAGTTTTAATATATACAAACAGCAATGCAGATGAGTATGTGTACATACATCTATTTCCCAGATCCGGCTGCTCAGAGGGCCTAGAAGCAGTGATGGCCCACTAGCAGGAAGCACCCCCAAAGTCAGATCTTGGCATGTAAATATTCTTCTGTAATAATACGAAATATAGCCAGGCATAGTGGCTCATGTCTGTAATCCTAGCACTTTGGGAGGCCAAGGCAGGTAGATTGCTTGAGCTCAGGAGTTCGAGACCAGCCTGGGCAACATGGTGAAACCCTGTCTCTACAAAAAAATACAGAACACTTAACCAAGCATGGTGGCGTGCGCCTGTAGCCCCAGGTACTCAGGAGGCTGAGGTGGGAGGATCGCTTCAGTCCAGGAGGTTGAGACTACAGGGAGCCATGATTGCACCACCACACACTCCGGCCTGGGTGACACAGGGAGACCCCGTCTTGACAGACAAAAAAAAAAAAAAAAGGAACCAGGACTCCCTGGAGAAAGAGTTGGCTCCAGAGAGCTCAGGCAGGGAAAGCAGAAGAAAAGTCTGATGAGGAAGGAAGTGCTCCAGGAATGGTGGGCATGTACCAAAAGCAAACAGGAGCCAATGGCAAGGGGCTCCTGCTGGCTAAAGCTAAATGACCAAAAGAAATCATTTTAAAGGATCGGAATCCATTCATTCAACTAAACAAGAATCCGTAAGTCTACACCAGGGGTTGGCAGACCATGGCCACAGGACTAACAGGACCAAAGAGAAAGCTTTTCCTACTATAGAAAAACAAACAAATCAATGCAGAAAGAACGATGGAAATAAAAGTCACCATCCTGTAGCCATCAGAGCAAAAACTGATACAGGCAAAAAAAAAAAAAAAGATACTAAAAGGAGTAGCTGGAATTCTGAGGAGTTACAACATAGTTACAGAGTCTCAAGTATCTCCCTACAGGGTACTTACTGATTACAAAAGAAAAAAACAGTAACTGGACAGTGGAGATCCCTTGGCAGGGGTTCAAAGTCAGCATCACCAGTGACCTTATTTGCTAACCTCCGCCATGCACTCTCGATATGACACCCTGAGAGGGACTCAGGGCCATGTTGGGTCTGCCTGCCAGAGACACATAACCCAACTCCAACCACAAGGAACATCAGACAAACCAAAGTCCGGGGCCACTGGATGACATAGCTGGCCTGAAGCCAAGCGTGGTGGCTCACGCCTATAATCACAGCCTTTGGAAGGCCGAGGTGGGAGGATCACTTGAGCCCAGGAGTTCAAGACCAGCCTGGGCAACATGAGACCCCATCTCTGCAAAAAAACAAACACACACACAAGGAGCTCTTTAAGACTAAAGCTGACTAAAGGGACCTCCACTAAATGTGACCCAGGATTCTCTGCTGCTGTGAAGATAACTGGAAAAACTGGCCAAACCTCATACGAAGGCCTATAGATTGGATAACAGTGCTGTACCAATGTTCACCTCCTGTGTCCGTCACCTCGGTACAGTGTGCAGAAACAACCTTGTCTTTATGAAGTAGATAATGAATTACATGGAGGTAAGGCGCTGTCACGTCTGCATTTGACTCTCAAAGAGTTTAGGAAAAAACACAGGTGAAGGCCAGGTGCGGGGGCTCATGCCTATAATCCTAACACTTTGGGAGGCTGAGGCAGGAGGATGCCTGAGCCCAGGAATTGGAGACTAGCCTGAAAAACATATGGAACCCCCGTCTCTATAGAAAATAAATTTTAAAAAATTAGGCCAGGCGTGGTGGCTTATGCCTGTAATCCTGGCACTTTGGGAGGCCAAGGCGGGTGGATCACTTGAGATCAGGAGTTCAAGACCAGCCTGGCCAACATGGTGAAACCCCGTCTCTACTAAAAATACAAAAACTGGCTGGCCATGGTGGATCAAGCCTGTAATCCCAGCATTTTGGGAGGCCGATGTTCACGAGGTCAGGAGATTGAAACCATCCTGGCTAACACGGTGAAATCCCATCTCTACTAAAAACACAAAAAATTAGCCGGGCGTGGTAGCAGGTGCCTGTAGTCCCAGCTACTCGGGAGGCTGAGGCAGGAGAATGGCGTGAACCCAGGAGGCGGAGCTTGCAGTGAGCAGAGATTGTGCCATTGCACTCCAGCCTGTGTGACAGAACGAGACTCCGTCTAAAATAAATAAATAAATAAATAAAAATAAAATTAAATGGGCGTGGTGGTGGATGCCTATAATCCCAGCTACTCAGGAGGCTGAGGCAGGACAATTGATTGAACTCGCGGGGCGGAGGCTGCAATGAGCCAAGATTGCACCACTTTACTCTAGCCTGGGCAAAAGAGCAAAACTCCATCTCAAAAAAAAAAACAACTTAGCTGGGTGTGGTGGGGCATAACCGTAATCCCAGCTACTCGAAGGGTAGGATCACTTGAGCCCAGGAGGTCAAGGCTGCAGTGAGCCATCCGCCACTGCAATCCAGCCTGGGTGACAGAGAGACCCTGTCTCAAAGAAACAAAACAAAACACAAAACGTGAAAATGGAGACTCTGGGTGAAGAACACACAGGACATCTCTGGACGGTTCTTGCACCTCTCCTGTAAGTCGGACGTTACAACAAAGTAAAACCTGAAAGATGAATCCTGTGGCACATGCATAGAAAAAGGTCTGGAAGAAAACACAACATGTGGGATGTGGGGTCGGGTGGGATGGGCGTCAGAGGACACCCTGGGATTCTCACCATCATCACATATCATTGTTCGTAATTTTAAAAGAACACAGGTTTTAAAGTCTGAAACAGACCAACGCCTTAGGGCTAGCTTGATACTTCCACAAGAAACCCTGCTTCCTCACCTCGCCATCCGGCCCAATGGCAGGCGTCTGTCCTTCTGCATTTTCTGCCTTCTGGAAATAGAGAGAGACACGGTCAGGCCCTGACCCACAAGGCTGAGGCCACACACGTGAAGACGGCTGCTCCCATCCCACCCGCGGCGGGCACCATGCCAGGCCCAGCACACCTTCTTTTTCTTTTTCTTCTTTTTCTCCTTGGCGACCTGGGCAGCCTTGTGCTGCCGCACCAGCTCCGTGAGGTTAGCCACGTACTCGTCTGTCTGCTGCAAGAGGTAGGCCAGGCGCTTGTCCTTCTTCTGGTCGATGAGCTTGCGGTACCCCTCCTCATCTTCAGCCTACAAAAGCATGGGGGTTACTGCAATGTGGTGGCACAATGTGCATGTCTGTGAGCACCCATGGCCAGTCAATCCAGAAGCGCACTGAGGGCACGCGTAGCTCACGCGGGTGCCGTGCCACCAGCCCTTCACACGGCAATCGACTCCTCATTCAGGAATCATTTCCTCAAAACCCACCAAGGGCTAGGTTCCAAGGGCACCCGCTAGGCAGACAGTCCCGCCAGCAGCCATTTACAGAGGCCATGAGCCAGTCCTACCCACTCTGTCCACGAAATACACCCCAAACCCGAAGCCTTCTCTCCACCAAGTCCAAGGTGCATCCCTCCCACCACCTCCTACAGCAGCCCCCCACCTTTCTAAGAATACATCAGATCACATCACCCCACAGCCAAAACCCTCCCGGGTGAGGCTCCCCTTCATGATCAGAACTCAACCCAGAGTCCTCCCAATGGTCTGAAAGGTCCCACCTCCCACCTGCCCCTGTAAGCTCTGACCTCACCTCCTGCCCCACACAACGCTGTTCTGGGAGCCCAGGGCTACCGGCTGCCCTGGCACATGGCTGCCTGCCACCTCAACCTTTGTCCGCACTGCCTGGGGCTCCTTCCCTGGGTCTCTGCGTTTGTGCATCAGGGCCACCCTTTGGGCCTCTGTTTCAAGGCTTTTACTTACTACCCTGTCCCTCCCCTTCCACTCCACTTCCCCCTCCTCACTGTAGCGGTCACCATCCACTACTCTGTTTGCTTCATTCGCGTATCTGCCCCTCAAGCACAACCAGGAGCCCCCACAAAGGCAGGGGCCATGTCCCCGTACACAGAGCAGCACCTGGCCCAGAACACGCTGCCAATATCTGCCCAACCAGCGACTCAGTCACAAATAAATGGTCAGAGATGTTTATGCTAGGGGTCGGGGGTCTGGATCACACCACCTGGCTCTCACAGAACGAGGGAAGGGGGCACCACCTCCATTTTCCAGAGAAGGCAGAGGAGCCGGCTAAGTGGCCTGAGGTCACACAGTCATTCTGATGATCAGAGAGATCAGCAAATATCCGAGCCCAGGACTGACTCCCAAGCCCGCGCCTGCTCTTTTCCCTCTGTCCCACCTCTAACTCCGAGCTGTGAAATGCCTTGGCGTAACCCTGGGGAGTGACCCCTGGAGCCCGCAGTACCAGCTACACATGTAGAAGAGCGCACGTCAAGAAGGCAGGACCATACCATGAGCCTCCGCATGCGCTCCTTCTCGATCCGCTCGTTCTCTTTCTTCTGCTCCCGCTCCGTGTTGGCATGGTACGTGGCCACTGCCTTGGTCAGCTTCTGGATTTTGCCTGTGACGGATCTGTGATATTCCTTGAAATCCTTGGCATGCTGGAGAATGCTATTGAGGTATTCCTGCAGGAAAGCACAAAAGAGAAGGCTGACCCTTCAGCAGCATGGTGGACACATCTCCCCGCAAGGCTTGTTTAAAACCTAGAATATTGGCCTGTAATCCCAGCGCTTTGGGAGGCAGAGGAGGGCAGATCACGAGGTCAGGAGATCGAGATCATCCTGGCTAACACGGTGAAACCCCGTCTCTACTAAAAATAAAAATAAAAAAATTAGGGCTGGGCACAGTGGCTCATGCCTGTAATCCCAGCACTTTGGGAGGCTGAGGCGGGCGGATCATGAGGTCAGGAGATCGAGACCATGGTAAAACCCCATCTCTACTAACAAAAAAAATTCAAAAAATCAGCCGGGCGTGGTGAGGGGCCGCCTGTAGTCCCAGCTACTCGGGAGGCTGAGGCAGGAGAATGGCGTGAACCCGGGAGGCGGAGCTTGCAGTGAGCCGAGATCGTGCCACTGTGCTCCAGCCTGGGCAACAGAGTGAGACGCTGTCTCAAAAAAAAAAAAAAAAAAAAAAACCTAGAATATCGCTTTGGGAGGCTGAGGAGGACAAAATGCCTGAGGTCAGGAGTTCGAGACCAGCCCAGCCAACATAGTGAAACCCCATCTCTACTACAAATACAAAAAATATTAGCCAGGTGTGGTGGCACATGCCTGTAATCCCAGCTACTCAGGAGGCCAAAGCAGGGGAATCGCTTGAATCCAGGAGACAGAGGTTGCAGTGAGCTGAGATCGCACCACTGTACTCCAGCCTGGGTGACAGAGTGAGACTCCATCTCAAAAAAATAAATATAATACATAAAATAAAAACGAGACTATTATGAAAACAATAAAGGGACACCCTTTGCCTGCCGCGGTTGGGTTTCTCTCTCTGATGATAAAACTCAGCACTGGCGGCAGGGCGCGGTGGCTCACGCCTGTAATCCCAGCACTTTGGGAGGCCGAAGTGGGCAGATCACAAGGTCAGATCGATACCATCCTGGCTAACATGGTGAAACCCCGTCTCTACTAAAAATACAAAAAATTAGCCGGGCGTGGTGGCTGGCACCTGTAGTCCCAGCTACTCAGGAGGCCGAGGCAGAAGAATGGCATGAACCCAGCAGGCAGAGCTTGCAGTGAGCCGAGATCGCGCCACTGCACTCCAGCGTGGGCGACAGAGCGAGACTCCGTCTCAAAAAAAAAAACAAACTAAGCACCGGCAACTGTGGGTGGGAAAGGCCCTCAAACACAGCAGGTAGGCACACAGTGCAGTCGACTGGCAGGGCAGCATGGCACGGATGTGAAATGTCTCAAAAATGCTTCCAACCCTTCACCCAACTTATTCCATTACTACAAATTTATTTTAAGGAAATATCAGAGACCAGCTCCAAAATGTTCAAGCCAAGAATTCCGGTCCTAGCATAATTTTTAATTTTCAAAAGCTGAAACATGCTGCATGTCCTCAAACAGGAAAAAGGTGACATAAATGATTAGATCCTGGACACATAGAAATGGAATACAGTGTAGACATCAAAAGTCATGTTTCCATGATACTTAAAAACAAAGCGATGTGGCCAGGAGCAGCGGCTCACGCCTGTAATTCCAGCACTTTGGAAGGCCAAGGCAGGCGGATCACTTGAGGTCAGGAGTTCAAGACCAGCCTGGCCAACAGGGTGAATCCCCATCTCTACTAAAAGTACAAAAAGTAGCCAGGTGTGGTGGTGCACACCTGTAATTCCAGCTGCTCAGGTGGCTAAGGCAGGAGAATCGCTTGAACCCAGAAGACAGAGGCTGCAGTGAGTGGAGATCGTGCCACTGCACTCCAGCCTGGGCAACAGAGTGAGATTCTGACTCAAAAAAAAAAAAAAAAAAAGCAAAGTTTTAGAAAAAATTTAAAAAGGGCTATTTAACCTTGTATTAATATACAAGAAAAAAGGCTGAAATAATATATATAAAAAAATGTTGGTGGTCAGGAGCAGTGGCTCACGTCTGTAATCCCAGCACTTTGGGAAGCCGAGGCAGGCGGATCACGAGGTCAACAGTCTGAGACCAGCAGCCTGGCCAACATAGTGAAACCTCATCTCTACTAAAAATATAAAAAATTAGCCAGGCATGGTGGCAGGTGCCTGTAGTCCCAGCTACTTGGGAGGCTGAGGCAGGAAAATCGCTTGAACCCAGGAGGCAGAGGTTGTGTCGAACCAAGATCGCACCACTGCACTCCGGCCTGGGCAACAAGAGTGAAACTCTGTCTCAAAAAAAGAAAAAAACAAACAGGTGTGGCGGCGCACATCTGTAATCCCAACTACTTGGGAGGCTGAGGCAGGAGAATCCCTTGAACCCAGGAGGCAGAGGTTGCAGTGAGCCAAGATCGTGCCATTGCACTCCAGTCCGGGTGACAAGAGTGAAACTCCATCTCAAAAAAAAAAAAAAAAAAAAATGTTGGCCAGGCACGGGGGATTACGCCTGCCATCTTAGCACTTTGAGAGGCCAAGACGGACAGATCACTTGAGGTCAGGAATTTGAAACCAGCCTGACCAACATGGTGAAACCCCATCTCTACTAAAAATACAAAAAAAAAGTTAGCCAGGCATGGTGGCAGGTGCCTGTAATCCCAGCTACTAGGTAGGCTGAGGCAGGAAAACTGCTTGAACCCAGGAGATGGAGGTTGCAGTGAGCCGAGATTGCACCACTGCACTCCAGCCTCAGTGACACAGCGAGACTCCATCTCAAAAAAAAAAAAAAAAGTTAACAGAGATTGCTGTGTTGACTGTCTAGATTATTTTACACTACACCAATAAGATATTAATTATAGAAAATCTCTAGAAAATCTATAAATGACCAAATCAGCACAATCATCCCCAAATCCTTACTTGATTTTAGATTTGAAGATTTCCGTCTTACTGATTCATCTTGGGAAACCCTGAGTCAGATCAGTCCCTGCACTGCCCAGAACCCTCTATGGCTCCCACTTTACTCAGAGCAAAAGCCCAAATCCTCCATGCAGCTCGCAAGGCCCTGCATCACCTGCTCGTCACCTCCCTGCGCTCCCTTCCTCCAGCTCTCCCCGCCACTCACTCTACTCTGGCTCATGCAGGTCCTTGCTTTCCAGAGAAAACACAGGCACATTCCAGCCCCAGGGCCCTTGCACCTTCTCCTTTTCCCAGAAAGCTCTTTCCCACAGATCTGTGTGCCTCCCTTCCTTGGGGGTCTGCCCAGATGTCACCTCCAAAAGAAAGAACTCCCCCAACATCAGTTCTACAACAGCCCGTTCCTTCCTCTCTATCCTGGCTTGATTTTTCTTTGTGCCCTATCACCTTCCAGACGTGCTACGCGTGGATTTCATCACTATCTTCTCCCTACCATTGGGTTTTTACACCAATACACTCTCAGTACCTAGAATACTGTTACAATGAGCAAAAGAGAGAGACAAGCAGCATGTTTAGGAACAAAGCAAACACAGCCCCGTGGCAACCGCTGGACAAGCCAGGCAGCCAGGTGGGCGGGCTGCAGGGCCTTGGGGCCACCGGAGCGTACCTGGTGCTTCTGCCGGCGCTTGCGCTCCTGCTCGATCTTCTGCTGCTTCTCCAGCTTCTCAGTGATGCGGGCCTCGCGCAGGGACTGGCGCTTGCTGCGCTTGTAGGCCTTAGCATTGAGGGCTGTCTCCAGCGCTGTGTCCCTCCGCATGCACACCACCACCTCCTGGCGCAGCTGTAGGAGGGAAGAGGACAAGCCCGCGCACTGCACAGCTCTGTGGCATCCACAATGACAAACACGTATGGTGATGTCACATGCTTCACCGCTAAAGGAGCATTGTAAGTGCCTTACACACCCAGTCCGTGTGTGCAGGGGACGTCTAGCAGGTGCCCCCGGGCAGGGCGAGCACAGGACAGAAGGTGATCACTTCTGGACATCTATCCAGGGGGTCCTCTCGGACCTCCAGCTTGCCTCCCCTCTACCACACACACGTCTTAGGAGTCATTCAGAAGTATAACACTCTTGGCTGGGTGTGGTGGCTTAACGCCAGTAATCCCAACACTTTGGGAGGCCAAGGTGGGAGGATTGCTCAAGCCCAGGAGTTTGAGACCAACCTGGGCAACATGGAGAGACCTCACTTCTACAAAAACTAGAAGAAAAATTAACTAGGCGGCCAGGAGCAGTGGCTCATGCCTGTAATCCCAGCACTTTGGGAGGCTGAGACAGGTGGATGGCTTGAGCTCAGGAGTTCGAGACTAGCCTGGGCGACATGGCGAAACCCTGTGTCTATTAAAAATACAAAAACCAGGCCTGCGTGGTGGCTCATGCCTGTAATCCCAGCACTTTGGGAGGCTGAGGCAGGAGGATCACCTGAGGTCAGGAGTTTAAGACCAGCCTGGCCAACATGGTGAAACACTGTCTCTACTAAAAATACAAAAATTAGCCAGGCGTGGGGCACATGCCTGTAATCCCAGCTACTCAGGAGGCTGAGGTGGGAGAATCACTTGAACCTGGAAGGCAGAGGTTGCAGTGAGCCAAGATTGTGCCACTGCACTTCAAAAAAATCAGCCCGGCATGGTGGTGCACACCTGTAATCCCAGCTACTCAGTGGCTGAGACAGGAAAATCACTTGAACCACAGAGGCAGAGGCCACAGTGGGGTGAGATGGCACCACTGCACTCCAGCCTGGGTGACAGAGTGAGACTCTGTTTCAAAAAAAAGAAAAATATAGCCAGGTGTAATGGTGCACGCCTATAGTCCCAGCTACTCAGGAGGCTGAAGCGGGAGGAGGACATGAGCCTGGGAGGTCAAGTTTGCAGTGAGCTGTGATCTCTCCACTGCACTCCAGGGTCTAAGCACAGTACCCTCAGAAATAGACCCATGCAGGACAGCACGTGGTGGCTCATGCCTGTAATCCCAGCACTTTGGGAGGCCAAGGCAGGCCGATCATTTGAGGTCAAGAGTTTGAGACCAGCCTGGCCAATATGGTGAAACCCTGTCTCTACTAAAAATATAAAAATTAGGCATGGTGGCACACGCTTGTAATCCCAGCTACTTGGGAGGCTGAAGCAGAAGAATTGCTTGATCCCAGGAGGCGTTGGTTGCAGTGAGCAGAGTTTATGCCACTGCACTCCAGCCTAGGTGATAGAGCAAGACTGTTTCCAAAAAAAAAAAAAAAGGGAAAGGGAAAGGAAGAAAGAAGCCCATACAAGTCTGCTTTGAGGCGGCAAGTGCTTTAGGGTAGTGAGGTCCACGTCCCCAGCACTGCGCAGGCCGTAAGAGGAAGGCTCTGCAGTGATTGAGTGCCCATGGATGGCCACGGCTGCTTTTCACAGCCCAGGCAGGTGTAATACTAGCCAGGCAAGCCGTATTTGGAGCCTTAGCAGCAGTGTTGGTGACAAAGGCCCTTTTCGGAAAGCTGCGGCCATGCCAGCACCCACCTGCCTCTGGAAGTTCAGCAGCCTGAGGGCCTTGAGCTCAATGGTCGCTTTGGTTCGCAAATCCCCGGCCAGGGACCCGGGAAGGTTTTCAAGTTCCTGAATTCGGTGTGCGATGCGAGCCTGCAGCCTGGGAGCAGAGACAAGGAGCAAAGGCGGTGAGAGGGTTGCCAGGGCACCCAGTTACAGCTGGAGCTGCAGGGGACCCATCCCTCGAGAGAGGCAGGCACTAGTCATGAGGCAAGAGATGCCTCAGAAGAGGATGCTGGCCGCAGGGCACAGCAGAGAGGGAGATAGCCCGGGGCACTCCTCAGGACCGGGCCTCAGGGGACAGCAAACAAGATTCCTGATAGACGCGCCCAGGTCATGCCTTTTCAGTGGTGTGAGCCAGGTTCTGGCGTCAGGCGGGCCAAGGTTTTCATGCAGCTCTGGCATGGATGAGGCGCAGGGCGGTGGGAATCTATTTCAACTGCACACCTCAGCATTCTCACCTCAAAACTGAGGCAACCCCTCGGAGTGACCCTAGAGGCTTGGTCTGAAGGTTACGAAGGTTACATGCGAAGGTTATGTGGGCTAATTCTCTTAATCAGTCTTTCTGCACATACTCATTGAGCACCAACTGTATGCCAGGGACCATTTTAAGTGCAGGGCCTTAGCACTAAACAAGAACAACAAAGCAAGGAACTCTCAGTCTCATTAGAAAACACAGGCCATAAAGGAGATTTAAAAAAAATAAAATATCCACTGCAATTCCAGAGAGTGGCTGGAAGTGACAGGAAGGGCCTCCATGAGGAGGGAACCCCAGCAATCAGGCCTGAATGAGTAGAAGGAGCCATGCACAGCCTGTGCAAAGGTCCTGGGGCAGGAACAAGTCTAACTTGTTAAATAAATGAAAAGAGGAACAGAGAGACTGGGATGGGTGAGGAAGGATGCTGGGCAGGAGTGGACATAAGGCAAAGCTTATTGGGCAGATAATTGAAGCTACAGGCAGGTTTTAATCCACGGAGTAGATCTGATATCAATCATAAAAAGAGAATTCATGCCAGGTGCGGTGGCTCATGCCTGTAATCCCAGCACTTTGGGAGCATCTGAGGTCAGGAGCTCGAGACCAGCCTGACCAACATGGAGAAACCCTGCCTCTACTAAAATAAATACAAAATTAGCCAGGTGTGGTGGCGCATGCCTATAATCCCAGCTACTCAGGAGGCTGAGGCAGAAGAATCGCTTGAAGCCAGGAGATGCAGGTTGCAGTGAACCGAGATTGTGCCATTGCACTCCAGCGTGGGCAACAAGAGTGAAACTCCGTCTCAAAAAAAAAAAAAGAGAGAGAACTCAAACTGCTGTGTGGGAAACAGACCGCAGCCAGGGTGGGAGCAGGGAGGTGAGGAAGGAGGTGTAGGCCAAGTGGCAGTGGTGGGCACAGGGCACTGTTTGCTAGAGTGGGGGAGAAAGTTGAGTGGCTTCCCCAGGGGGACATGGGGGACACAGGGCAGTGACCTTGGCAACTGGGCCCCGCCCTCACCTGTACTCGCGCTCCTGCAGGATCTCCACAGGGTCGAGGCCCCGCGGCTTCTGGATGGGGGTGATGCGGCTCTGCTTCTGGTGCAGTGGCACCATGGGCGCGGGCTGGGCCGGCTGCCCGGGGGACTGGGTCTGCGGTGGCATCACGGGCGAGGCGGCGGGTGGGACGGCAGGGGGCGCGGGGGAAGGGCGGCCCGTTGGCTGCGGGGGAATCAGCTTCTGAGGGGTGCTCGTGGGGGCAGCAGCATTCGCCATGGGTCCTGGGAGAAGGCAAGGGGCCAGGGCGTCATGTTGAGCTCTGGGGCCCATCCCGGGCTGGAAATGGAAAGCTGCTGAGCTGCTTGAGGCACTGGGGACAGGCAGACCCCGCCCATCTCCCACCTTTCACCCAGGGGTGTCCTTCACACCTGCCTTGGGCTCCAACCTCCTCCAGATCTCAGCCTCACCCTCGTCCTTCACACCCTCCACTGGGGCCAGCCCCAGGCTCCCAAGGCCTTTTTGTTCTGTCTGTGGCTCTATGGCAGCATTTCCTGTCATCTCCTCCTAGTGCCAACTAAATCCAGTGGAAGCAATTTGCCCCTCAATGCCCATCGCTAAACCTCAGGCTCCAAGAGGATGGGTAATGAGTCCCACTGCCTCTTTGAGCCCAACAGATGGGAGCCTGCAGCACTTACTGAGCAATTACATATACAGGGCTCAGGGACTGGGTGAAGGCCACAAGCTGTCAGAGGAGGGATGAACGACAGCCTTTGGGAACTGACTGGCTACAGGGGAGACCCGGGGACCACCACAAGAAAAGTACAGGCTGCAGTTCAGCCTGACCACCCTCGGCCCTTTCTCCCTGACAAAGCTCATCTCAAGGACCCAAGCTTGAGATGGGGAGTAAGGGCACGGGTGCACCACCATAGAAGAGGGAGCTCACCTTCAGGCCAGGGCTTGGGAGGCCCTCCAGGAGGCTGGCCTGGCATCCCGGGGGGCACGCCCGAGGGTCCTGGGGGAGGCATGTTGGGCCCTCCCATACCTACATGTAGGGAGAAACAAAAGAGAAAACAGTGCGTCCCAGGTTTATGCCTGCGCCCAGCCCCGTGGGCAGCCCTGGCTCCAGGGGACACAGCAGATACACCTATTAACCAGCGGCCCCAGGGGAAGCGGGGAGCTGGGGAAGCAGCATTTAGCTGCCCCCACCACCCGAGCACCCAGAAGTGCAGTATGGGCCCGTGCAATCCCAAACCGGGGAACCCAGTCGGCAACAGAGCACGGTCTGTCCACCCCGCCACCCACGCCCCAGCCATTCGCTCTGAGACACCTGAGGGCCAGGGCAGCCAGTCTTACCATGAGGCCTGCTGTAATTTGGAGGTGCCGGGCCGGGACCCGGGCCGGGGCCAGGGCCAGGGCCAGGGCCGGGTCCTGTTGCGGACACCGAGGGTGGAGGTAGCGTTGGCATCTGCTGCTGCATCCCGGGCATCGGCCGCTTGCCCTGCACCGCCATCTGCAGGTGGTCGGGGAGGGGCTGCCCCCTGGCCAGCATCTTGTAGGCCATGATCTGAGCTCTGAGCTGGTGCAGCTGGTTCTGGTTAAATGGGGTTGGGCCCCGGTTCTGCTGCCCCAAGGCCTGGGGGTCAGCACCATCCAGCGGGGCACCTCCTGGCCCGGAAGACATCTGGGGCCCCGAAGACGGGCCACTGGCTGGAACTGGACTAGAGGCATGCTCAGAGCCACCCAGGGGCGAGGGGTAACCTGCAGAGAAAGGTCAGCCCACTGGTCACTCGGCAGCATATGTCTGTGATTTTTACAGCCTCTTCCCCCTACACCAGCTCCTACTCTGAGACAGGGCACAGCCAAATGGCATCCTTCTCTTGAGTCAACCAGGGGCACCTGGAGGGCACATGCTGAAGGCACCTCAGCCCAGCAGCCGACCTGGTGGATTTGGTTTGGCCCACGTCTCAGTAAGGTGCTTCTGGTTAATGCTGAGAACCTGTGCATGAAATCACGGCTCTCTCCCGGCTTCCGCCTGCCTGTCCACAGGCGGGGTCCACATCCTCGGGCTCGCCAGGCCCACCCCCAACACTTCCATTCCCAGTGCAGCCCCTGAGCTTCCCACCCCTGATGACAGCAAGGCCTTGGAAAGTCACCCACCATATCACTTCTCAATTGTCCTCGTACAGAAAAGGCACCTGCTGGGCTCATTAAAGCAGAGTCCCAGGCCCCAGGAATCTGTATTTCCAGTAAGTTCCTGGGTGGCACGGGGCTGCTGCCCTGCACAGCCCTCCTCTATCACCCATGCTGAACATGGTCTGCCCCCCAACCAGCATTTCCCCTTCCAGGGCTGCTCCGAGACGAGGTGGCCAGAACAGAGCACCAGCCACGCCATGCCAGACAGCTCTCTGTGGCGGGCCACCCACCCGGCTACATCATCCTAGGTACTCCCTGAATCCATCCTGTGGGAACCCAGGGGAGGAAAATGATCTGAGGACTCTGGAGTATGACAAACACAAGGCAGGAAGGAACGCAGTTCTGTACCTTGGGAGTGCTGGTCCATGGGGCTGGGCGGGGGCCCCATCCCAGCATGGCCCCCTGACCGCATCCCCATTCCTTTCATCTGGTTGTAGCGCGGGTCGTCCGACATGCCCTTCTCATGCATGGACTCCATGGGCTGCGAGAGGGACCATGGCAAGGCAGGGTCAGCATGTGGAACGTGAGGTGGCAGCGCAGCTATGCGCTGCCCGAGAGAAGCTCGAGGGCACCGAGAACAGCCACCCGAAGATGACGCGCATCTCCCCAGTCCCCAGCATGACTCCAAGGCAAGGTTCTGACACCTACTTAGGCCTCGAGACAGGTACACAAAATAAATGTCGCCCAGTGGAGCACGAGCATATGGGAGACTGTGGTCAAGCAATCCTCATCTTCTACCACCCGGGACCTCCTGTGGCCCGTGACACTTAGAAATGTCACCTTTTCTCATGGATGCTAATATGACCTTTCCTTTCAGATGCTGTATGTATAAGGGAATATGTCCTCTAACCACATCCAGGGACATGCAAAAGAGACTTGTGACCATAAAGAGCCTTCTCCACCTTGCTGACTGAAGGCCCTGCTCAGCGCAGGTGAGGTAAAGACAGTGGCTGAGGGGCACGCCTTGGAGGAAAGGGAACCCGCTGCTCGGCTCTGCGAGCTGCACAGGTGAGCCTGACAGCCAGAACGGGGGAAACCACGTGGCTAAAAGCCTTTTTAGGAATTTGGATGTTTTTCTTCATTACCAAAAGAAAACTTTGTAGTGATATTCCCAAATTTCACATGCAGAAAGCAAGGGAGCGGGAAACGGTGGGGCAGGTGCCCGCGGGGCCCAGATCATGCGCCAGCACAGGCTGGGGTCTGACGAGCTGAACCTTCTGTTCATGGCCGTGGGCCCTGGGGTAGGGGGCTGAGCCAAGGCAGGACACCTCCAACAAGAAGGCTTCCCCCCATCCTCCAAGTAAGGCCCTCGGTCCAGAGGCTGCCTGCAGCCCTAGTGGGCAGAGGCCGCAGGTGCGAGGCGGGCACAGGGATCCCTACCTTGTGCATCTGGTGCATGTTGTCCTGAGGGTACCCTCCAGGCCCCTGGGTGGGGATGGGGTGTCCTGCTGAGGGCGGCCCTGGGCTGGGCCCCATCATGCTGTGGGCGGAGCCCGGCGAGGGACCCGGGCTAGGGCCCAGCATGGCTCCAGGGGAAGGGCCAGGGCCCGGGGAAGGACCTGGCCGAGGAGTTCCGCCCAGGGGTGGGTCTGGAGTGGACATCTTCACGGGAGCTGCAGACAGTGGCCTCCTGCTGGAAGACAGTCCTGGTCAGTCTGGGGTTCATGACCAAGGGCGAGGCAGGACAGGGATAGCAAGGGACAATCATACGGTCACATCAGAATCTACATCCCACAGGAAGCCAGTACCTTCCCCACCAGCCACCCAAACCGTTTCTCCATGATCACTCTCAGAGGAAGTCCTACATCTCAGGCACACAAGATCAGTCAGTCTACCCAGGAAGGGGTGGGCCACGCTCACAGACAAGCACTGCCCCACAGGGGCCTTCAGGGGCTCCTGCCATATTCCTGATCACGGCAGAGGGTGTCTCAGGGGGTGCTGGTCTACCCTTCACACTGCTCTCCACTTGCTTATCTTCCTAACAGAAAGAACAGGACTATAGCTCAAATAGCCTCTGACTGGCCGGGTGCAGTGGCTCACACCTGTAATCCCAGAACTTTGGGAGGCCAATGCGGGCAGATCATTTGAGGTCAGGAGTTCGAGACCAGTCTGGCCAACAAGGCGAACCCCATCTCTACTAAAAATACGAAAATCAGCTGGACATGGTGGCACACGCCTGTGGTCCCAGCTACTCCGGAGGCTGAGGCAGGAGAATCGCTTGAACTTGGGAGACGGAGATCGCGGTGAGCCCGGATCGCACCACTGCACTCCTGCCTGGGCAATAGAGCGACACTCTGTCTCAGAAAAAAAAAAAAAAAAACAAGCCTCTAACCGAAATTCCATCAATTCAGCCAAAACAGATATTTATGGCAAATACTGCTGGTTTTCCATTGAAAGTAGTAAGACCAAGTTTCCCTTAAAATAAATGAACTTAAGTTTAAAAAGGATAAAGTATTACACAAATAATGGCACTTTTTGGTCCCTGACACTTGGAAACGTCACCTTTTCCTTTAGATGCTAATATGCATAAGGGGATGTCCTCCAACCACCCAGAGACAAATGGGAAAGGAAAGATACTTGTGTCTGTAAAGAGGCTTCTCCGCCTCGCTGGCTGAAGGCCCTCGCTGGCTGAAGACGCACCCACACTCAGTGAAATTTCTCAATACATTCTAGGCTTTCATATAATCTTACCCATGGCAATTCTTATCATTTAATAGTCTTTAAAACACAAATTCTAAAAGCTACACTGCATTTCCTGGCTCTGACACCCTGGGTTTTTTGATAGCCCCTCTCTGGTTAAGCATGTCGCAAATCTGTCTTGTTTCTGCTGCCTTTTGGAATGAATCTCTTTGCCCCTGAACTCTCCGGCATATTTCTGGTTCTAAGGATAAATTCTGTAAGAAGTGTAGAAACATTTTTAATTCTCTTGATTTAAAAAGTTCCATTTTTTGGCCAGGCGCGGTGGCTCACGCCTGTAATCCCAGCACTTTGGGAGGCCAAGGCGGGCAGATCACGAGGTCAGGAGATCGAGACCATCCTGGGTAACATGGTGAAACCCTGTCTCTACTAAAAATACAAAAAAAAAGCTTAGCCGGGCATGGTGGCAGGCACCTGTAGTCCCAGCTACTGGGGAGGCTGAGCCAGGAGAATGGTGTGAACCCAGGAGGCGGCGCTTGCAGTGAGCCGAGATCGTGCCACCGCACTCCAGCCTGGGCGACAGAGCAAGACTCCGTCTCAAAAAAAAAAAAAAAGTTCTATTTTTGTTTTATTTATGTTTTTGAGACGAAGTTTCACTCTTGTTGCCCAGGCTGGAGTGCAATGGCGTGATCTTGGCTTACGGCAACCTCCGCCTCCCAGGTTCAAGCAATTCTCCTGCCTCAGCCTCCTGAGTAGTTGGGATTACAAGCACACACCACCATGCCCAGCTAATTTTTGTATTTTTAATAGAGACAGGCTTTCACCATGTTATTCAGGCTGGTCTTGAACTCCTGACCTCGTGATCCCAACCGCCTCGACCTCCCAAAGTGCTGGGATTACAGGTGTGAACCACCACGCCAGGCCAATTTTTTTATTTTTAGTAGAGACGGGGTTTCACCACATTGGCCAGGCTGGTCTCGAACGTCTGACCTTCAGGTGATCCACCCGCCTTGGCCTCCCGAAGTGCTGGGATTACAGGTGTGAGCCACCGTTCCTGGCCAAAAATTACATTGTATTAGGTGATCTAGCGGAAAAAGTTTTAATTTGAAAGGTAGGGGTTTTTGTTTTGTATACAGAGTCTTACTCTATCACCCAAGCTGGAGTGCAGTGGAGCCATCATAGCCCACTGCAGCCTTGACCTCGGGGGCTCAAGCCGTCCTCCTGCCTCAGCCTCCCGAGTAGCTGGGACCATAGGAGTGCATCACCATGCCTGGCTAATTTTTCTTAATTTTTTTGTAGAGACAGGGGTCTCTCTATGTTGCCCAGGCTGGTCTCAAACACTTGTTGATCCTGGCTCAAGGGATCCTCCAGCCTGGACTTCCCAAAGTGCTGGAATTACAGGTGTGAGACACTGCACCCAGCCATAGGGATATATTCTTAGACAAGAGATGAAAGGCTCAAAATGACCTCATTCCACTTTCATGGCTAACAGCAGGAGAGAGGACCAGGAAACTCAGCAGGGGAGGAACCAGTGGCTGGCACTCCAGCCAATCCTGAAAAGATGGCCCCTGACATAAACAAACCTAAATGTGTTACTGCAAGGAAATTCATCTGGAGGCAAAATCTGACCTGATTCTGCTCCGTGTGGATATTCGCACATTCTGCTACAGAAACAGGATCTGTCTGATTATGAGATGCCGCCCTGGCCTCTGCCATGTGACAACAGTCTGAACCTTGCGTTTATGTTACTAAGATGCTGATTTTGGAGCCTGAAGCCTCTGGTCCATGGGTATGTCTGCAGGGAGGATGCGCCTGCAGCTACCTCCATAGGTGGGAAGCCCAGCAACGTGGGCACGGCCAGGGCAGGGGGAGGCACTGGCTCCTTGGCGCTCCCCTCTGGGCCTTCTGTCCCCACAGTCTTCTCAGGTCCACAGAGTGTTGCAATGAGGTAGGAAAAGGGACAGCAGGACTGCCACATACTTCATAGATCCTGTGATATTCAGGGACCTATAGCTTCTTCCTCACTTGAAGGTCTTTATTCTAAGTCAAATAAACTGAAACTGACAGCAAAATACAATCCAGCACGCCTGTAATCCCAGCACTTTGGGAGGCCAAGGCAGGGGGATGGCCTGAACCCAGAAATTCAAGATCAGCCTGGGCAACATGGCAAAACCTCATCTCTACAAAAAATACAAAAATTAGCCATGCTTGGTGACACATGCCTGTAGCCCCAGCTACTTGGGAGGCTGAGGTGGGAGGGTTACCTGAGTCCAGGAGGTTGAGGCTGCAGTGAACCATGACCGCACCACTGCACTCTAGCCTGGGCAAAAGGGCGAGACGCTGTCTCAGAGGAAAAAGAGAAAAAGATCCAGGTCATTGAGGGCAAACCATCTTTTCCCTCTCTGAAGGTGGACAAGCCAACGAGCATACACTGGGAAGTGACTGAAATTATAGCTCTCCTCATTGTACATTTTTTTTTTTTTGAGACAGAGTCTCACTCTGTCGCCCAGGCTGGAGTGCAGTGACATGATCTCTGCTCACTGCAACCTCCGTCCCCGGGGTTCAAGCGATTCTCATGCCTCAGCCTCCCGAGTAGCTGGGACTACAGGCGTATGCCACCTAATCGTACTTTACACTGAGCATTAGAACTTCTCCCCTCTCCCTTCCATCAAATCATGCGATGCCGTCACAGCCTCCAGGAACGGCTCCAACTCAAAGCAGCGCTAACTTTGTCAACGGAAAAACAGAGTACACTGAAGATGCTGCCCCAAAAAACCATTTTGTGCCCGAATAAGGCAAGTCTGCTTTTTAGAAGCACGGGGTTTCACAGAGGCTTGTTAGAATGGCCTCTCCTCCTGAAAATGCTGCCTCTAGAGTCAGGCTGCAGTGAAACAGGAACGCGGGTGCCACCAGCATCCGCAAATTCATTTCCGGATTGAAAGCTCAGACACGTGCAGAGTGACAGTAAAGGGGATCCCAACAGCCCGGGAGTGATGCAAAGCCATCCCCAGCAGTATCGCCCAGTGCCAAAGCCTGTGATGAGGTTGCTGGTGCCTGCACTTGAACAAGCACTGGCCGACTTGCAGCACAAAGTGGAGAGCCGTGGAGCGACTCCACGTCCTCAGCTCAGTACTGAGGGGAGCAGCGTGTGATTCTGCTTACTCTCACTGACTTGTACATGCCCTGATCGCAGGATCATAGGTGAACAGCTTGAAGAACACTGCGTCAGACATCCCTCCTGACGTTCCAGAAGGCATTCTTGGGCCCCCCCAGTCAATACCACTCTCCCAGGGAAACCACTATTTTGACTATCACTGTGGCTTCCTTTCACCTGTTATTGAACTTCCAATAAAATGACGGGTGTGGTGGGTCACGTCTATAATACATATATTATATAATATACAATATATACTTATAACATATAATATATGTAACATATAAATAATATAATGTTGGGGGCAGTGGGTCATACCTATAATCCCAGCACTTTGGGAGGCCAAGGCAGAAGGATCGCTTGAGTCCAGGAATTCAAGACCAGCCTAGGCAACATAGCAAGACCCTGTCTCTACAAGTTTTTTTTTTTAAATTAGCTTATACTCAGGAGGCTGAGTAGGGAGAACTGTTTGAGCCCAGGAGGTCAAGGCTGCAGTGAGCCATGATCGTGGGCAACAGAGAAAGACCCTGTCTCAAAAAAAAAAAAAAAAGACAATCACACAGGGTCACCATGTCTGGGAGAGTCATCCGTTCTTTTTATGTGAGCATTCTCATTTTCATAGACATTGTACTCTACCAGGTTCTGGCCAGCACAAATCAAGCTGCTATGAGAGTCATTTGGTGAACACATGCATTGGTTCTTCTTGGGTGTCCAAGAATGAAACTGGTGGTTATAAAGGGAGGCATAAACTTAGCTTTGCTAGTTTTCCAAAATAGTTGTATCATCTACACACACGGTCCCACCTCCCACACAGGGACAGCATTCCAGGTGCTCTTCATCAACCCCAACACTTGCTGCTGTCAGTCCTTACAACTTTTAACAATGTTGCCAATGTCCAATCGCATCTTCTTATGGTCTTCATTTGCATGTCCCTCACAACTAATGGCACGGAGCACCTTTCTGTATGCTTACTGGCTATTGAGATATCTATCTATCTATTTATTTATTTATTTAGAGACAGAGTCTTGCTCCATCACCCAAGCTGGAGTGCAGTGGCGTGATCTCGGCTCACTGCAACCTCCGCCTCCTAGGTTCAAGCGATTATCGTGCCTCAGCTTCCCGAGTAGCTGGGATTACAGGCACGCACCACTATACCTGGCTAAAATATATATATATATATATTTTTTGTATTTTTAGTAGAGACGGGGTTTCGCCATGTTGGCCAGGCTGGTCTTGAACTCCTGATCCACCTGCATCAGCCTCCAGAAGTGCTGGGATTACAGGCACGAGCCACCACATATGTGGCCGGTATCCACTTTTAAAAAGTAGAAAGTATCGGCCGGGCGTGATGGCTCATACCTGTAATCCCAGCACTTTGGGAGGCCGAGGCAAGCAGAGGTCAGGAGTTCGAGACCAGCCTGACCAAAATGGTAAAACCCGTCTCTACTAAAAATACAAAAATTAGCCAGGCGTGGTGGGTGCATGCCTATAATCCCAGCTACTTAGGAGGCTGAGGCAGGAGAATCACTTGAACCCGGTAGGTGGAAGTTGCAGTGAAGCCGAGATTACATCATTGCACTCCAGCCTGGGCAATAAGAGTAAACCTCCATCTCAACAAACAGAAAAAAAGAGAGAGAAGCTCTTAATTCTAATGAAGGCCAGTTCATCAAGTTTGGTCTTTGAGGTTTAACATTTCTGGGGTCCTATTTAAGAAATCCTCGTCTACCGTAAGGTCATGCTGACAGAGGAAGGGAAGGGATATTTGCAAATCCAGCGGGGACTGTGGCTTGCCTTCACCTCCCTGTGATTTACAACTGCTGAGGATGTCTCAGTCACAAAGAAATGGCAAGGAAGGAAGATCTAGCCAGGAGGTAGGGGCCTCAGCCTACTTGATGGTAACAACTGAGACTCCCCGCACTGGGCCCTCACCACCACACAGGGACTACAGTGGTCCTGCTGGCCAGCTGACAGATGACAGGGAAGTGGAAGAGTTCAGGTCACAAGGCCAAGGCCACAGTGGAACTCACTGCCATGCATCCCACACTCTGAACATGGACTGTGAAGCCACGGTGCCACCTGCCTCACGGGTAACCTCCCTGTGGCTCCACCTCCTCCTCCACAGGCTGGAACATCGAACCATCACTCACAGGCAGGAAGTGCCAGCCGCTCAGCTGGTGAAACCAAGGTGCCCCATCTCTCCCCAGGTTTACTGAGCAGCTGCTTAGCACGTGAAAGGTATCGCACTAGGAGCATCACACAGATGAGGTCCTCAGATGCTCCCATCAAAATGTGAAGCAGAGGCTCCTTTCCCTGAACAGAAATGAGAAAACTGAGTCATGGGCTGGGCATGGTGGCCCATGCCTGTAATCCCAGCACTTTGGGAGGCCGAGGCGGGCGGGTCACTTGAGGTGAGAAGTTCAACACCAGCCTGGCCGACTTGGTGAAACCCCGTATCTACTTAAAAAACAAAAAGTAGCTGGGTATGGTGGTGCATGCCTGTAATGCCAGCTACTCGGGAGGCTGGGGCAGGAGAATTGATTGAACCCGAGAGGCAGAGGCTGCAGTGAGCCGAGATCACACCACTGCACTCCAGCCTGGGCAACAGAGCAAGAGTTCATCTCAAAAAAAACAAAAACAAAACAAAAAAAAACTCGAGTCCGTAACGCAGCCTCCCCCCAGCACAAACCGCAGGTAACACTCCTGCCCCGCAATGCTCAGGAACAACAGACTGGCTTCCCCTCTTGGGCGCGCATCAGGTAGAAGCAGCTGGCTGGAGAGCAGCAAACCCCTAGGTGCGATCCAGGACCTGCTGTCAGCCATGACACGCCCACCCTGGCAAGCAATGCACACAGATTTGGCCGGCTGCCAAGAATTTTGTTCTTGTTATTTGTTTATTTATTTGTTTTGGAGACAGAGTCTCGCTCTGTCACCCAGGCTTAGCGCAGTGGTGCGACCTTGGCTCACTGCAACCTCCGCCTCCTAGGTTCAAGCGATTCTCCTGCCTCAGCCTCCCGAGTAGCTGGGACTACAGGCGCACACTGCCGAACCTGGCTAATTTTTTTGTATTTTAGTAGAGACAGGGTTTTTGCCATGTTGCCCAGGCTGGTCTCAAACTCCTGAGCTCAGGCAATCCGCCTGCCTCGGCCTCCCAAAGTGCTAGGATTACAGATGAGAGGCACCACGCCCGGCCCAATTTTTTTTTTTTTTTTGAGACAGGGTCTCGCTCTGTCTCCCAGGCTGGAATGCAGTGGCGCCATCACAGCTCACAGCCTTGAACTTCTGGGCTCAAGTGATCCTCCCATCTCAACTTCCCGAGTAGCTGGGACTACAGGCTCATGCCACTATGCCCAGCTAATTTTTGTATTTCTTTATAGAAATGAGGTCTCGCCGTGTTGCCCAGGCTGGTCTCAAACACCTGGGCTCAAGTGATCCGCCCACCTCAACCTCCGAAAGTGCTAGGACTACAGGCATGAGCCACCGCACCTAGCCCAAGCCACAGTGCCTGACCCACAAACATCTCTTATCCCTCCTTGCTCCCACAGCCATAAGCATGGTGTTGTTCTCAGCCCTCAACCTCCTCCTGGCCAGCTCACCCTCCCTGAAGGGCTGGGGTGAGGCCAGCCCTGTAGAAGCTGGATGGGGTGTGGGGCTGGGTGCACCTTGCTCCGGCGAGATGTCTACACGGGAAGGCCAAACGAGCACGGCCAGGAAAGGTGTCTAAGGACAAGGAACACCTCTCTCTCTACCCCTTCTTACCCCATCGCCAATCATCCCTGCCCTTCTATACAGGAAACGAAGGATTTGGCATTTTCAGCAAAGTCCTGGGGTGGCCAAAGGTCGTCCCTAAGGTGTCTTACACGGTGCCGCTTAGAGTCCTGCAATGGGGCCCTCAATGATAAGTCACTAGCAGGGGAAATTCACGCAGCAATGAAATCCATTGCAGACCAGGAGGCCACACCTACTCAGGTGGAAAAAGCAAAGGATGAGGGGATTCAGGGGCCAAAAGGGCAAGAATAGTTAGTACAGCGTGTGGAAGCCAAATCCAGATGTGTGCGGCCCTTGGATCGGGTGCTGCCGGGGCCTCCACAAGGAGAAAACAGAGCCTGGGAATCCAGGCCAGCAGCCAGAAGGAATGACCGGAAGTGAAACTACTCTGGCACAAGAATCTAAAAGCTAAGATGTAAAACACTCAGTTAAAAGTCCAGGAGGTTAACCCTTTCCCTGGGCCAAAGGGTCTAGAAGTGGTGTGGCCATATTGCCTCAATTTCTTGAGAAGCTCCTCAATTGCCCAGCAATCAGAACCCCCACACAACCCACGCTGCAGAAGTCTTGGCACATCAAAAAAGAATTGAGAGGCTGGGCGTGGTGGCTCACGCCTACAATTCCAGCACTTTGCGAGGCCAAGGTGGGCGGATCACAAGGTCAGGAGTTTGAGACCACCCTGGCCAACATGGTGAAACCCTATCTCTACTAAAATACAAAAATTAGCTGGGCGTGGTGGAGCTGGCCTGTAGTCCCAGCTATTCGGGAAGCTGAGGCAAGAGAATCGCTTGAACCCGGGAGGTGGAGGTTGCAGTGAGCCAAGATCGCGCCACTGCACTCCAGCCTGGCAACAGAGAAACACTCAAAAAAAAAAAAAAAAAAGTAAGGTTGGATATGGTGTTAATGCCTATAATCCCAGCACTTTGGAGGCCAAGGAAGGCAGATCACCTGAGGCCAAGAGTTCGGGACCAGCCTGGCCAACATAGCAGAATCCCATCTCTAGTAAAAATACAAAAGTCAGCCAGGGGTAATGGTGCATGCCTGTAGTCCCAGCTACTCAGGAGGCTGAGGCACGATAATCACTTGAACCAGGAAACGGAGGTTGCAGTGAGCCAAGATCACGCCACTGCACTCCATCCTGAGCGACAGAGACCCTGTCTCAAAAAAAAAAAAAAAAAAAAAAGAATAACTATATATGCATATGGCTGGGCATGGTGTCTCACAGCTGTAATCCCAGCACTGTCGGAAGCTGAGGCGAGCGGATCACCTGAGATCGAGACCAGCCTGGCAAACGTGGTGAAACCCCATCTCTACAAAAACACAAAAGTTAGCTAGGCGTGGTGGTGGGCACCTGTAATCACAGCTACTTGGGAGGCAGAGGCAGGAGAATCACTTGAACCCAGCAGCCAGAGGTTGCGGTGAGCCAAGATCGCACCACAGCTCTCTAGCCCAGGCAATAGAGCAAGACTCTGTCTCAAAAAAAAAAAAAAAAAAAAAAAAAAAAAAAAAAATATATATATATATATATATATATGCATGTTAATCCATGCATAGAAATTACCCCAAAGAAAACATGCACAAACCGCTGTCAGCACAGCCAGTAGCTCTCTCTGATGGCATGTGATGAGGAACTTACCCTTTCCATATCACAGATGTCTGGCGCTTTTTATTTATTTTTTACAATAGCCATCTATTACTTTTTATATTCAGATTTTTAAAGAAAAACTTCCAAGAAAAAAAAAAAAAGCCTAAATCAGAATACCCATGAAATAAATACCCACAAGAAATGCCCAGGAAGTGTCTTTGTGGAAATAAAAGAGAAAGATCAAAGGATGTGAGAACTACCATGTTCTCATTATTTTCAACTTCATCAAAATTATCATCTAAAATAGAAACATCTGTTGACGTTCAAATGTGGAAGGAGACTGCTTGAGGAAGAGAAGAGGTCTGGTCTCTTCTTTCACGCCACCCCTAGCTTTTGTCTTAAAGCACTGCGGTGACCAGCCCCAGGCAGGGCAGGTTGCTAACCAGCAATCGGATCCCTTGGAAATCTGTTTGTTGGAATTATGGTGGTTGTTTTCACCTTGCATGAGAAACTAGCATTATATTTAAGTTTGGTCCCAGGATATCTGCTATTGTGTTTTTTGGGGCTTGGGGAAATTTGTTCACGGACACATTTCAGCAGCAGACCAACGTGGGAGTCAGGTTATGGCAGAGGCTTGGGCGGAACAACAGCAATGGGCAGGATGGCTTCCGCAGAGCCAGCCCCGTTTACTATGCGTGAACTACAAAACAAAATGTTCCCCTCGGTGGTCTATAAGAAAACCTCCAGGCCGGGCGCGGTGGCTCACGCCTGTAATCCCAGCACTTTGGGAGGCCAAGGCGGGTGGATCACGAGGGTCAGGAGATCGAGACCATCCTGGCTAACACGGTGAAACCCCGTCTCTACTAAAAATACAAAAAATTAGCCGGGCGTGGTGGCAGGCGCCTGTAGTCCCAGCTACTCGGGAGGCTGAGGCAGGAGAATGGTGTGAACCCGGGAGGCGGAGCTTGCAGTGAGCCAAGATCATGCCACTGCACTCCAGCCTGGGTGACAGAGCAAGACTCTGTCTCAAAAAAAAAAAAAAAAAAAATTAGCTGGGCGTGGTGGCGGGGGCCTGTAGTCCCAGCTACTCGGGAGGCTAAGGCAGGAGAATGGTGTAAACCTGGTAGGCGGAGCTTGCAGTGAGCCAAGATTGCATCACTGCACTCTAGCCTGGGTGACAGCGAGACTCCGTCTCAAAAAAAAAAAAAGAAAACCGCTTAAGAGCACCTACCCAAGGGACCTAAAAGCATCCAGGACGGTTCTCTGCCTTAGGGGAGTGTCCTCTAACCCCACAGGGACGTGTGGTGTCTACACTGCAAGCCTGCAAATGCTATCCTAGCTATCAATTAGATGGATGTTTTTCAAGCTCTTCTGATCATGTCTCCATGTGACAATGTGACCCAGCAGAAACATAACACGCAGAGTAACCGCATCAAGTGTCACAAATCCATCCTGACCCACGCTCCCTGTGGAACATCAATAACCCCATTCTTTTTTTTTTTTTTTGTAGATGGACTCTGGCTCTGTCACCCAGGCTGGAGTGCAGTGGCACAATCTCAGCTCACCGCAACCTCGGCCTCCCGGGTTCAAGCAATTCTCCTGCCCCGGCCTCCCAAGTAGCTGGAACTACAGGCGCACACCGCCATGCCCAGCTAATTTTCGTATTTTTTGTAGAGATGGGGTTTCACTATGTTGGCCAGGCTAGTCTCAAACTCCTGAGCCGATGATCCGTCCACTTTGGCCTCCCAAAGTGCTGGGATTACAGGCGTGAGCCACTGTGCCCGGCCCCTATTCTTTCTTTTCGGCTGGCCGAGGCCCACTGGATGGATGTCCTGCGCCACCACCGGGTCTGCTGTGTTATCAGCTATATACGCAACACTGAGCGTGAGGAGTGACACTGTGTGGAGACGGCAAGAGGAGTCCCCACAACAGAGGCATGCAAAGGCCAAGAGTGGGCAGGGAGATGCAGAATCCATACCTGCCCAGTGTCACTCGTGACAGGCCTTCCCCACCGCCACAGCAGAGGACTTACTGATGACTACCCCCAAATACGAACAGCGCTGAATGCACCAAGCTGGTTCCAAACACCAGGCATCTGGCAGAGAACAACACAATTCCTACCTGGAGGAGTGGACAGCAGAGTGACAGAAATAGCCAAACATGACACAATGTCACATAGAAAGTGGAAGTGTTATATTAAAAAAAAAAAAAAGTATTCAGGGCCGGACGTGGTGGCTCATGCCTGTAATCCCAACACTTTGGGAGGCCGAGGCAGGTGGATCACCTGAGGTCAGGGGTTCGAGACCAGCCTGACCAACATGGTGAAACCCCATCTCTACTAATAATAAAAAAATTAGGACCAGGCTTGGTGGCTCATGCCTGTAATTCCAACACTTTGGGAGGCCAAGACGAGTGGATAACTTGAGGTCAGGAGTTTGAGACCAGCCTGGCCAACATGGTTAAAACTCATCTCTACTAAAAATACAAAAATTAGCCGGCATGGTGGCAGGCGCCCGTAATCCCAGCTACTCGGTGTGGGGGCTGGGACAGGAGAATCGCTTGAACCCAGGAGGCGGAGGTTGCAGTGAGCTGAGACTGTGCCACTGCACTCAAGCCTGGGTGACAGAGCGAGACTCCGTCTCAAAAAAAAAAAAAAAAAATTAGCCAAGCGTGGTGGTGCACGCCTGTAATCCCAGCTACTCAGGAGGCTGAGGCAGGAAAATTGAAATCGCTTGAACCCGGGAGGCGGAGGTTGGAGTGAGCCAAGATCGCACCATTGCACTCCAGCCTGGGCGACAAGAACAAAACTCCATCTCCCCCCTCCAAAAAAAAAAAAAAAAAGTATTCAGGGTGGGCATGGTGGCTCACGCCTGTAATTCCAGCACTTTGGGAGGTTGAGGCAGGTCGATCACTTGAGGCCAGGAATTTGAGGCCAGCCTGGGCAACACGGTGAAACCTCGTCTCTACGAAAAATACAAAAATTAGCTGGCATGCGGCTGTAGTCCCAGCTACTTGGGAAGCCAAGGTGGGAGGGTCCAGACTGCCATGAGCTATGATTGCACCACTGTACTCCCCGCTGGGTGACAGACCAAGACCTTGTCTCAAAGAGAAAAAAAAAAAAAAAAGACACAATGTCACATAGAGGGTGGAAGTGCTATAAATCTAATCAAGCAGGGTTCGCAGGGTTAACAGATGAGAAGCACTCCTTCTATGGTAGCCTGGGACACCTCAGTGATGAAGATGTCTGAGCAGAGATCTGTAGTGACATGGGCACCATGTGGTTATTTATCTACCACAGAGGAACAGCAAGTGCAAAGGCCCTGGACTGTGCTTGGCATATTCCAAGGCACAGCAAGTCAGCCAGTGTGGCTGGAGCAGGGAAGGTGGGAAAACACACTCTGTTTCTTTTTTTTTTCTTTGAGATGAAGTTTCACTCTTGTTGCCCAGGCTAGAGTGCAATGGTGCGATCTCAGCTCACTGCAACCTCTGCCTCCTGGGTTCAAGTGATTCTCCTGCCTCAGCCTCTCAAGTAGCTGGGATTACAGGCACGCGCCACCACGCCCAGCTAATTTTGTATTTTTAGTAGACTAGGTTTCTCCATGTTGGTCAGGATGGTCTCAAACTCCCGACCTCAGGTGATCCACCCGCCTCAGCCTCCCAAAATGCTGGGATTACAGGCGTGAGCCACCGTGCCTGGCCCACACTCCGTTTCTCTACACTCTCACACAGCACTTTTGACACCAACTCAGAGAAAACCAGTTTTCTTCTACTATACTCTCATAACCGAGAACAATTCTGTGACCAGATGCGTGGGTCTTTTCCAAGTAATTCTCCAAGTCTCCAAACACCAGCTGGGTGTCCTACAATTTAACTCAATTCAGACTCTATCTCCCACAAGTTAAGGACTTTATCGGCCAGATGCAGTGGGCTCACCTAAGCACAGTGCTTTGGGAGGCCAAAGTGGGAGGACTGCTTGAGGCCAAGAGTTTGAAACCAGCCTAGGAAGTATAGCACCCTGTCTCTACAAAAAATTTAAAAATTAGCTAAGCCTGGCAGTGGTGCACACCTGTAGTCCCAGCTACTCGGGAGCATGACATGAGCCCAGGAGCTGGACACTGCAGTGAGCTATGACTGTATCACTGCACTCCAGCCTGGGTGAGAGTGACACTCTGTCTCTAAAAGAAAAAGAGCTGTCCCATAAGACTGCTCCCACTACAAATGCCATTTGCACATCCCAGGGTCCAGTACTTCTGCCCAGCCACCTATAAATTGGGAATTCCCACAACCCCCTCCTCGATTTGATTGATTTGCTAAAGCAGCGCCCAGAACTAAGGCAGGCACTTCACTTCCCATTAATGGTTTATTATAACGGATACGACTCGGGGTCAACCAGATGGAAGCAATACAGACAGCTTCAATGGCCCCTCCGTACATGCCACCCTCTAAGCACTTGGTCTTTCTGGTAACCAGCCCCATCCTGGGCTATCTAGGAGCCCCATCCTAAATCACCTCATAAGCATAAACTCAGCTGTGATCAAAAGGGGCTCATTATGAATTTTAAAAGACACACCTATCACTCCTATGACATGTGGCGCAAAGACCAAATATATTCCATATCATACCTCAGAGGGCAAGTGGGTGCGGCCACAGGTGGGGCATAGGGGAGAAGTCACAGGCCTTGAGGGCCACAGTAAAGGGGTTCCAGGAGCATCCAGTGCAGTGGGGAGCTGCTAGAATGTTCCAGGCACGGGAGTGGCACGGTCTGATAATGACTTTAATTTCTCTGGACATGCTGATGGAATGGATGTGCAAGTGAGGGCAAGAGATGAGGCAAGGGTGAACACCAGGGTCTCGGCTGGGACGTGCTGTTAGAAACATAAAAAGGGGGCCAGGTGCAGTGGCTCATGCCTGTAATCCCAGCACTTCGGGAGGCTGAGGCAGGTGGATCACCTGAGGTCAGGAGTTTGAGACCAGCCTGACCAACACGGAGAAACCCCGTCTCTACTAAAAATACAAAATTAGCCAGGTGTGGTGGTGCATGCCTGTAATCCCAGCTACTCGGGAGGCTGAGGCAGGAGAATCGCTTGAACCCAGGAGGCGGAGGTTTCAGTGAGCCGAGACCCCGCCATTGCACTCCAGCCTGGGCAACAAGAGACAAACTCTGTCTCAAAAAAAGAAAAAAAAAAGAAAGAAATATAAAAAGGCGCCAGGCGTGGTGGCTCACGCCCATAATCCCAGCACTTTGGGAGGCTGAAGTAGGCAGATCCTTTGAGCCAAGGGGTTCAAGACCAGCCTGGGAGATAACATCAAGACCTCCACTTCTAAGAAAGTAAAACCTAAAACATAAATTTTTAAATAAACATAACAAGGCCCCCCTTCCTCGAGGCTGACCAAGCCCTAGAGCAAGGCTTGGCAAAGACAGGCAGGGCCGGGGTTCAGCCCCTGGTTCTTGAGGTAGAGGGTGGAGGCCAGGGAGATTCTGAGAGGAAAACGGAATTCTGAGTTCAAAGAGGTTAAGCCATGCAGAACAGAATCCCGCCTCAAGTCTCTTTGACTCCAGGGCCTGAGTAACTGATTCAGGCCGAGGATCAAAAGGAATAGGATGAGAACCTTGAAGGTCGAGGAAGGGCAGAGTCAAGAGGAAGGGCAAGTAAAGAGCCACTCCCACAGGCACCCAGGAGATGCCTCCAGGAGGCAGGCAAGGCCTTCAGGTGCCCAGCCAGTCCAGGCTGTGCCAGAATCACATTTGATCATCACAGGGGCAGTTTCAGCTCCCTGGGCACAATGAGACATCCACTATGCCCCTTTACTGGGACTTTCGGAGCAAGATGGGTCGCACACAGCAGACCCTCCCCCTCAAGTCTCCCACTGGAACAGGTGAGCAGCAACTGTCACATCAGCCACCTGCTTCCTGAGCCACTGGGGCGTGACTTGCCAGTGGCAAAGAGAAAACTTAAAAAACTCCCAAGAGCTAGCACAGTGGATCACGCCTGTAATCACAGCTAGTCAGGAAGTGGAGGCTGGAGGATCACTTGAGTCCAGGAGTTAAAGACCAGCCTAAGTAACACAGCGAGTCTCCGTCTCTAAAAAAATAAAAAGTGGAAAGAAAAAAAAAACACCTCCTCAAAGAACCATTTTAAAGTCGATCACTATTAAAAACGGGGCCCGTGCTACTCTATCACACTCACAGCTGGCTGCACACAGAGCAAAACGGTTCACAGTGACAAGTGTCCACATACATAAATGAAGCTATGCCCCTTTAGGGAGGTAACAGAGTCCCCAAAAGCAAAGCTCTGGAAACCAGTCTGGGACTTAAAAAAACATTTGAGGCCAGGAGTGGTGGCTCATGCCTGTAATCTCAGCAGTTTGGAAGGCCAAGGCAGGCGGATCACCTGAGGTCAGAAGTTTGAGACCAGCCTGACCAACACGGAGAAACCCCGTCTCTACTAAAAATACAAAATTACTGGCCGGGCGCAGTGGCTCACGCCTGTAATCCCAGCACTTTGGGAGGCTGAGGCGGGCGGATCATGAGGTCAGGAGATCAAGACCATCCTGGCTAACATGGTGAAACCCCCGCAGGGCATGGTGGTGGGCGCCTGTAGTCTCAGCTACTCGGGAGGCTGAGGCAGGAGAATGGCATGAACCCGGGAGGCGGAGATTGCAGTGAGCCAAGATCGTGCCATTGCACTCCAGCCTGGGCAACTAAGCAAGACTCCGTCTCAAAAAAATAAATAAATAAATAAAAATTAAAAAAAAATACAAAATTAGCCGGGCATGGTGGCGCACGCCTGTAATCCCAGCTACTCAGGAGGCTGAGGTAGGAGAATTGCTTGAACCTGGAAGGCAGAGGTTGCAGTGAGCCGAGATCACACCGCTGCACTCCAGCCTGGGAGAAAAGAGTACAACTGTCTCCAAAAAAAAAAAAAAAAACCACACATTTGAAAGGGGCCAGGGTTGGTTTCCACCCTACTAACATTTACCTATTTTCTAAAGAAAGCCCCCTTCCAGTCGGGCGCAGTGGCTCACGCCTGTAATCCCAGCAGTTTGGGAGGCTGAGGCAGACGGATAACGAGGTCAGGAGATCAAGACCATCCTGGCTAACATGGTGAAACCCCGTCTCTACTAAAAATACAAAAAATTAGCCGGGCGTGGTGGCGGGCGCCTGTAGTCCCAGCTACTCAGGAGGCTGAGGCAGGAGAATGGCGTGAACCCGGAAGGGGGAGCTTGCAGTGAGCTGAGATCGTGCCACTGCACTCCAGCCTGGGCGACAGAGAGAGAGCAAGACTCCATTTCAAAAAATAAAATAAAATAAAATAAAATAAAAACAAGAAAGCCCCCTTCCCTGAGGGAATTGGAGGGAAATCAATGTGTCCCTTCTCTCTGCCCTGTAACAACAAACCCAGCTACACCTGGCACTTCCATCCAGGCCCTTTCCCATATATGAAGAAGAGTTGAGGCCACAAATCACATGCCCATCAATCCCACACCCTGAAAAATTAATGATTAATGTCCTTAGGATGCAGTTAACAGAAAACTTCAATCAAGAAATCACTGGGCATACTAATGAGTCCGCTATGTCTCCTTAGGGTTGACACCTATGAGGGTGGCAGCACCTGAAGCTCCATTCAGCCTCAGGCTTCATTCTGACCTGTTCCCTCTCATACCTTCCCCCAGTATTCCAGCAGCTGTTATCCTTCCCAACCCCCGGCTTTTTTTTTTTCTTTTGTAGAGACGTAGTCTTGCTCTGTCGCCCAGGCTGGAGTGCAGCGGCACGATCTCGGCTCCCTGCAACCTTGGCCTCCCGGGTTCAAGCAATTCTCCTGCCTCAGTCTCACAAGTAGCTAGGACTACAGGCGCACACCACCATGCCCAGCTAATTTCTTTTGTATTTTCGTAGAGACGGGGTTTCACAATGTTGCCCAGGCTGGTCTTGAACTCCTGAGCTCAGGCGATCCGCCCGCCTCGGCTCCCAAAGTGCTAGGAATACAGGCATGAGCCACCGCGCCCAGCCCAACCCCCGGCTTTTTTAAGATAGGGTCTTGTTGTGTCACCCAGGTTGGAGTGCAGTGGTGCGATCACAGCTTACTGCAGCCTCCACCTCCTCGGCTTGATCCTCCCACGTCAACCTCCCAAGTAGCTGGGACTACAGGTGTGCAACACCATGCTTGGCTAATTTTTTAACTTTTCTGTAGAGACGGGGTTTCGCCATGCTGCCCAGGCTGGTCTTGGATTCCTGGGATCAAGTGATTTGCCCTGCTGGGCCTCCCAAAGTGTGGGAATTACAGGCATGAGCCACCACACTCGGCTGAACATTTGATATTTTTAAAAACCTGGCCGGGCGCGGTAGCTCACGTCTGTAATCCCAGCACTTTGGGAGGCTGAGGCAGGTGGGTCACCTGAGGTCAGAAGTTCAAGACCAGCCTGGTCAACATGGTGAAACCCCGTTTCTACTAAATATACAAAAAATTAGCCAGGCATGGTGGCGGGCACCTGTAATCCCAGCTACTCGGGAGGCTGAGGCAGGAGAATTGCTTGAACTCTGCAGTCGGATGTTGCAGTGAGCCAGGACCGCATCATTGTGCTCCAGCCTGGGCAACAAGAGCGAAACTTCACCTCAAAAAAAAAAAAAAAAAAAAAAAAAAAAACCATGCCACTAAACACACTCTCCCTTTTCCAATGCCTTATGGTGAAATTTCAAAGCATGGTTTTCTTCACCACATAACATTTTGGTCAATGATGGACCAAATATACAATAGTCCCATAAGATTATACCTTCCTCCTTGAATTGTCTAATTAGAAAAATTTTTTAAAGATCATAATACTGTATTTTTCCCATACGTTTTCTGTTTAGATATATTTAGATACACAAATACTATCGGGTCACAACTGCCTACAATAATCGGTACAGTGACATGCTGTACAGGTGTATAGCCTGGGAACAATAGGCTATACCACAGAGCCTACATGTGGACTAGGCTCCACCATCTAGACGTGTGTAAGCACACTCTATCATCTTCACGCAACCACAAAATCATCTCACAACGCATTCCTCAGAATGCATCCCTGCTGTTAAACAATGTGCAGCCATTAAGGACAAAATGGAGGAGCTGACTCCTTTGCTACCACTTTGAAACATACAGAACTTATGACTAGAGGAAAAAGTATATTATCTGTGTCATCCCACCAGGCTGTTGCAGGAATCCTAATAAATGATGAGCACTAACAACTGTTTAGCACTATGTGCCAGGCACCATTCTAAGCACTTCGCATTTGTCACTGGTTGTTCAGCTCTTGCAGCAATCCTACAAGCTGGGTACTAGTACTGTCCCCCTTTGCAAGTCAAGAGTGGGGTGTGAGCTACTAAGAACAGGACCCTTGTCTGCCTGTTCCCCATGGAATCCCCAGCTCCCCAGCAGTGCCTGGCACATGGCAGGCGCTCAATGCATGCTTGTTCGCCACATAAATGGGGAAGAGTGGCTGGGTCATTTCTTGCACAACTCCAGGGGGCACTATTCACATTGTGTTCTGTCTACAGGCACCATGAATGGGTCCTTCTGTGCCATGGCAGCCTTGATGACCGAGGGATGGAAAGACAAAACCAGGAGTCAAACCCAGGTGGTTGACTTGACAACCCTTGTGGAAAGAAAATAACCCTAGGCCTCAGTTTCCTTACTGATAGAAAGTTCCACCAGACTGGCTGGGCACGGTGGCTCACGCCTATAATCCCAACACTTTGGGAGGCCGAGGTGGGCAGATTACAGGAGGCCAGGAGTTCGAGACCAGGAGTTCTGGCCAACATGGTGAAACCCGGTCTCTACTAAAATACAAAAATTAGCTGGGCATGGTGGTGCACGTCCTTAGTCCCATCCACTCCAGAGGCTGAGGCATGAGAATCGCTTGAGACCAGGAGGCGGAGGTTGCAGTGAGTCAAGATCGCACCACTGCACTCCAGCCTGGGCGACAGAATGACTCTGTCTCATAAGAAAAAAAAAAAAAGAGGCCGGGCGCGGTGGCTCATACTTGTAATCCCAGTACTTTGGGAGGCCAAGGGCCAAGGTGGGTGGATCAGTTGAGGTCAGGAGTTCAAGACCAGCTTGGCCAACATGATGAAATCCCATCTCTACTAAAAATACAAAACTTAGCCAGGTGTGGTGGTGCACACCTGTGATCCCAGCTACTCAGGAGGCTGAGTCAGAAGAATCGCTTGAACCCGGGAGGCAGAGGTTGCAGTGAGACGAGATCGTGCCATTGCACTCCAGCCTGGGCAACAAGAGTAAGATTCCGTCTCAAAAAAAAAAGAAAGAAAGAAAGAAAGTTCCACCAGACATCTGCCCAAAACCCTAGTCCCTCCCATGCTCCCACCTCCCACAAACAGCCAAAACATGGAATGGTCTAAGGTTATCTCCTGGTGTTTTGAGGGTTCCCAAGGAGAAGCAAAGGTACACAAATAAATTGTAAATAAATACACATATGTTGGAATGCTCCTCACTGACAAGAAGTTTAGAGACCACTGCACTGCCCTATATCACAATTCTGATGACATCACCTCCCCTGCTCAAAAGCCTGCACGATCAACATTTACGTCTCCTAAAGGGCTGGACACAAAATGATTTTAGGTGGCCCATGCAAAACCATTTATTACTTTCCTAACTATGCATGAATTAATTTTTATTCCTTTTTTTAGACAGGGTCTCGCTTCGTCACCCAGGCTGGAGTGCAGTGGCTCAATCATGGTCCACTGCAGCCTGTACCTCCTGCCCCAGCCTCTCAAGGAGCTTGGGACTACAGGGGCATTGCACTCCAGCCCGGATGACAGAGCGAGACTCCGTCTCAAAAAAAAAAAAAAAATCAAGTGTTCACTACGCATCAGGTGCAGCAGTGTGTTAGCGGCTTCCCATGTGACCTCATTCAACCCTCACAAGAAGCCTGTGAAGTTTCGGGCATCCTCGTCCTACCTGTTTCACAAGTGGGGGGCCCTACTGCTAAGCGCCTCGCTTGAGGTTAAGCTACGATTTAGAGAGCTGGGTGTGAATTCAGGAGGTCTGATTCCAGAATGAGTACTCCTTACCACCACCCCACGCTAACCACCACCCCACACTTTGTAGGGGAGATGAGGACAACTGAGGTTCAGGAAACAATGGCTTGGAAAGTGCAAAAACTGTTCAAACAACTAACCTGTATCCCTTACAATCCACCCCCAGTCCTGCACCAAGCTTTCTTTTTCTTTTTTTTTTTTTTTTTTTTTGAGACAGTCTTACTCTGGTGCACAGGCTGGAATGCAGGGGCACAAGAATGGCTCACTGCAGCCTCCACCTCTCTGGCTCAAGCAGTCCTCCTACCTCAGCCTCCTGAGTAGTTGGGACCACCGGTGCATGCCACCACACTCGGCTAATTTTTGTATTTTTTGTAGAGATGAGGTCTCACTATGTTGCCCAGGTTAGTCTCAAACTCCCGGGTTCAAGCAATTTTCCCGCCTCAGCCTCCCCAAGTGCTGGGATTTCAGGTATGAGCCACTGCACCTGGCCCTGCACCAAGCCTTTTACACAGATGGTCACGCGATCTTCCACAGGACCCCCTCATTCAATCCACATAAGTTCGCTAAAGACCTACTATGTGTCAGGCCCAGGGTACTGTGGGGCCAGCCAGGCAGACACAACCCCAGCTCTCACGGTGCTGGGGGTGACAGCTACACCGGAAAGGACCAAGTTGATGTATGAATGTAGCTGAGGGGAACAATGGCTAGTCCGAGGTGGCCAGGGAAAGTCAAAATACAATCCTGGCGCAGTGGCTCACACATGTAGTCCTAGCACTTTGGGAGGCCGAGGTGGGTGGATCACCTTAAGTCAGGAGTTTGAGACCAGCCTGGCCAACATGGTAAAACCCCATATCTACTAAAAATACAAAAATTAGCCAGGCGTGGTGGCGGGCGCCTGTAGTCCCAGCTACTCAGGAGGCTGAGGCAGGAGAATCGCTTGAACCCAGGAGGCGGAGGTTACAGTGAGCGGAGATTGGGACTCTGAACTCCAGCCTGGGCGACAGGCAAGACTCTGCCTCAAAAACAAAATACAATCCTACACACCCTCCCTGATTTTGAGGCCCCCTCTTCCAAGCAGCCCCCGTGATCTCTGGCTACCACCGATCCCCTGCCTGTCCGCTGTGTCCCTCTCACAGTGCAGGTTCAGAGCAATAAACGATAGGCCAAGAGAGTTTGTTCCCACATTTACCACCCGCTCCCCTCCAAGACTGCAGAGGCTCCAGGATCCAACCCCCGACCATCCAACACTTAGTAGGGCCTCAAGAAGTTATCTGCTGAACAATGAGGGAGATTGGACCAGACAATTACAATAGTGCTTCCCGCTTGCGAGGAACCATTTTACAGGCTTTCACCAATTCCATTTGGGAGATTACCCCCTTTCACAAAGGAGCTTTCACAAAGGAGGAAAACTAAGAGGTTCAGAGAGGTTAAGCCACTTCCCTAAAGTGACAGTGTGCTAAGTGACTGACAGCACCAGGAATCAAGCTTGAATGCAGCCTATCAATCCAAACTGAAAACTTGCTTCAAATTCCTGCGAAGCGGCTTTTCCGCTTATTCCCTTGCTACTTTCCCCAAGGAGTCACTGACCAAAAAAAAAAAAAAAAAAAATCAAGACTGGTATCTTCAAGATCGGGACAAAACACTCGCCCAAAAGGTCCACGTTGAAAATAAAAGCCTTAATCTGAAAAACCAATTGGGAAGGAGAAAAAAGGATGCAAAAGAAAAGCAATGCTTTTACACAGCAAAGGATTTCCTCCGTGCTCCCCTACTTGCCGCCGACCCCATCCCCAACCCCAATTCGGGCAAACATTTTGAAGTCACTAACTGCAAGGCATCGGGGGAGTCCTTTACCTTTCCTTGAAAATCTGGAATGACACGTTTTTAAGACAATTTGAGGTCGGCTAGCCCAAGGGGACCGCTAATGCCCGTGTCCGGCCGACGCCGGACATATCTGGAGGTTTGGCTGAGCCCCGATCGCAGCTTCGCCAAAAACGCAACATTCGGGTCGGACCCGTTACCACGCAGCCAGAAAAGCCCCAACGCCTGCCTATTGTTGCAGCCGCTGTAATTGGGAGGGCGACTGTAGGGGTGCCGGGCGAGGGGGGCGAGCTTTGTCCGGCGACCCCGGCGAGAGCGCGCGCGGAGAGGATCGCGCGGCCTCCACGCGGCCCGGGCCCCCCACCCACCCCGCCGCTCCGCGGGGGCCGCCGCTGCCACGGCCTCGCGACACTGTGGCCTTCCCCACGCGCGCGGCTGCCGGCTGGGCTTCTTGACCCTCGGGCGCCGCCGTACCCCGGCCCCGCACAGGGCGCGCCGGCAGCCCCCTCCCCCCTCGGCGCCCCGGCTCCATTCAAACCGCCCTCCCCGGCCCCGCGCCGCGCTGCCCCCGCGGCCCGCGTTCCTTACCAGGAGCCGCCGGCGCCGTCGACTTCCCGGCGCCTCCCCCGCCCCTCCGCGCGGGGCCGGGGGCAGAATGGGCGTCTCGCTTCTCTTCACGAAACAAAGAAGCCGCCGCCGCCGCCAAACGAGGGGAAGCCTCGCGCGCGCGCCCGCCCGCCTCGGCCACCGCCCCCCCTTCACACACACGCGCGCCACCCGCGCCCCCGCTGCGCGCGCGCTCGCCGGCTCCCCTCCCCCTCAGCACCGCGGCGGCCTCTCCAGCTTCCGCCGCCTGCCCGGCCTCGTGCGCGCGCCAGCCCGCCCTTCCGCTCCCGGCGCGCGTGCGCGCCCGTCCCTGGGCGGACGGGGGTGGGCGTGGCCCGGAGGAAGCACGCGCGTCCGATGCACCGCCCCACTCGGGCCGCGATGGCCCCGCGCCTGCGCACGCTTCGCCTTCTGCACGCCTCGCGTCTTGACGCCCCGGAGCATGCGCAGAGCGGACGCCACTGCGGCGGCGGTGGCGGCGGCCGCGGTGACGATGGGGCAACTGGAGAATGGGATCCCGGTGGCCGTGGGGTCCGTGGGGAAAGGAGGTCCCTGAGGCTCGGAAATAGGAACCCTGGACCGTAGGACGGGCCGCCTGGACCAAGACCGGGCAGTGGTTTCCCGCGGGCCAAGGGCGCGCCTGGGAACCGCTTTGATCCCTGACCTGGGGCGGCGAGGCCTATTTGGGGAGGCAAGGCGGGGCCCGACCGTGGCCGCCTTCTCTGCAAAACTTCCCAAGTGCCATTAATTAGCTTAGCAAATATTTATTGATCTGCTACTGTGTCCCAGCCGCCGTGGAGCCCTCGGTCTAGTGGGGAAGGAGGACAAGAAGCAAGATTAATAAGCAAAATAGTGCAGTATGAGAGGCCGGACTTGGTGGCTCACGCCTGTAATCCAGCACTTTGGGAGGCCGAGGCGGCCGGATCACCTGAGGTCGGGAGTTAGAAACGAGCCTGACCACCATGGTGAAACCCGTCTCTATTAAAAATACAAAAATTAGCCGGGCGCGGTAGCTCATGCCTGTAATCCCAGCACTTAGGGAGGCCTAGGCTGGTGGATCATGAGGTCAGGAGATGAGACTATCCTGGCTAACACGGTGAAACCCCGTCTTTACTAAAAATACAAAAAATTAGCCGGGCGTGGTGGCACACGCCTGTAGTCACAGCTACTCGGGAGGCTGAGGCAGGAGAATCGCTTGAGCCCAGGAGGTGGAGATTGTAGTGAGCCGAGATCGTACTATTGCACTCCAGCCTGGGCAACAAGAGTGAAATTCCGTCTCAAAAAAAATAAATAGTACAGTGTGAGGTGAACACTGGGAGGATCATGGACATTTTAAATAGGGCAGCCACGGAAGTCGTCGTTGCAAAGAACACGTTTGAATGCATACAGGCTGGTGGTGAAAGAGAGAAACCTTCCTCCGAGAGTGAAGGCCCTGAGCCTCTTGGCCTCTTCTGTGTGTTTTCTTTTTTGTGTGTTTGTTTGTTTGTTTGTTTGTTTGTTTGTTTGTTTTGAGACGGAGTCTTACTCCATTGCCCAGGCTGGAGTGAGGTGGCACGATCTCAGCTCACTGCAACTTCTGCCTCCCAGATTCAAGCGATTCTCCTGCCTCAGCCTCCCGAGTAACTGGGACTACAGGCGTCCGCCACCACGCCCGGCTAATTTTTGTATTTTTAGTTGAGACAGAGTTTCACCATGTTGGCCAGGCTGGTTTTTAACTCCTGACCTCAAGTGATCCGCCCACCTCAGCCTCCCAAAGTGTTGGGATTACAGGCGTGAGCCACCTCACCTGGGTGGGTTTTTGTTTAATTGTTTGTTTTATTAGAGACAGGGTCTTGCTCTGTAACCCAGGCTGGAGTGCAATGGTGTAACCACAGCTCAGTGCAGCCTCAAACTCCTGGACTCAAGGGATCCACCTCAGCCTCCCAAATAGCTGTGACTACAGGTACATGCCACCACCACCAGCTTTTTTTTTTTTTTTTTTTTTTTGTCTGTTATGTTCTGTAGAGCTGAGGTCTGCTGTGTTACCCAAGCTGGTCTCAAACTACTGGGCTCAAGCAGTCCTCCTGGCTCAGCCTCCCAGTGCACTGGGATTACAGGCATGAGCCACCAAGCCAGGCCCCAGAAGGACCTGGGTTTAAAACACGACTCCATTTCTACTACCTGGGTGATGCATGGGTAATACCAGGCAGGTTTACCAGAGCATCTACACCTCACTTTCTTCACCTGTGAAACAAACAATAAGGCTGGGTGCGGTGGCTGACATCTGTAATCCCAGCACTTTCGGAAGCCAAGGTGGGCAGATGACCTGAGGTAAGGAGTTCGAGACCAGCCTGGCCAACATGGTGAAACCCCGTTTCTACTAAAAATACAAAAAAATTAATTAGCCAGGCATAGTGGCAGGTGCCTGTAATCACAGCTACTCGGCAGGCTGAGGCAGGAGAATTTCTTGAACCCAGGAGGTGGAGGTTACAGTGAGCCAAGATCATGTCATTGCGCTCCAGCCTGGGTGACGAGAGTAAAACTCCATCTCAAAAAAAAAAAAAAAAAAAAAAAATGCTGGGCCCAGTGGCTCACGTCTGTAATCCCAACACTTTGGGAGGCCAAGGCAGGTGGATCATGAGGTCAAGAGATTGAGACCATCCTGGCCAATGTGGTGAAACACCATCTCTACTAAAAATACAAAAATTAGCTGGCTGTGGTGGCGCGTGCCTGTAGTGCCAGCTACTCAGGAGGCTGAGGCAGAATTGCATGAACCCAGGAGGCGGAGGTTGCAGTGAGTCGAGCGTGCCACTATACTCCAGCCTGGTGACAGAGGGAGATTCCGTCTCAAAAACAAAACAAGACAAAACAAAAAAAACCCACCAGAAACAATAATGGCTCCCACTTCCACTGTTTGGTTATGAGGAATCATGACAGCAGGTAGCCCACCTGCTAGCTCTCTGATCCTCAGCTAGTGTTATTGAATAGTGCACAGTAAGTGAGCAAGTAGAAGTGGGATCTGAACTCGATTCCTCATTCATTCAAGTAGTTATTTTTTTGTTTTTTTGTTTTTGTTTTTGAGACACAGGCTTGCTGGGTCATCCAGCCTGGACTGCGGTGGCACGATCAGTACTCACTGTAGCCTCGACCTCCTGGGCTCAAGCGATCCTCCTGCCTCAGCCTCCCGAGTAGCTTGGACTACAAGGGTGGGACACCACACTCAGCTAATTTTCTTAAAATTTTTTGTAGAGACAGTCACACTATGTCGTCCAGGCTGGTTTCAAACTCCTGGGCTCAGGTGATCCTCCCACCTCAGCCTCCCAAAGTGCTGGGATTACAGGCGTGAGCCAAGGCGCCCGGCCAAATAGTATTTCTTATGCTCTCTCCAAATGCTAAGCATTGAGCTAGGAATACCCTGCAGCAATGCATGGAGGAGGCAGGGTTGCTGCCCATGGAGTGGATGGTATGACTGTTCTCTAATTGTCTTTTATGCTAATCACACTAATATGCAATAGTGTAAAGAAAAACAGGCCGGGCCAGGCGCGGTGCCTCACGCCTGTAATCCCAGCACTTGGGAGGCCGAGGCAGGCGGATCACCTGAGGTCAGGAGTTCAGGACTAGCCTGACCGACGTGGAGAAACCCTGTCTCTACTAAAAAAATACAAAATTAGCCGGGTGTGGTGGTGCATGCCTGTAATCCCAGCTACTTGGGAGGCTGAGGCAAGAGAATCGCTTGAACCCAGCGGGCAGAGGTTGCGGTGAGCTGAGATCATGCCGTTGCACTCCAGCCTGGGCAACAAGAGCGAAACTCCGTCTCAAAAAAGAAAAACAGGCCGGTTGTGGTAGCTCATGCATGCCTATAATGGCAGTACTTTGGGAGGCCCAGGCTGGCAGATCACTTGAGGACAGGCGTTCAAGACCAGCTTGGGTAACATTGTGAAACCCCATCTCTACAAAGCAATACAAAATTTGCCAGGTGTCTCAATTAAGAGCACAGTTCTTAATAATGAACTGCCCCTGGGACCTTGGCCCCATGTCTGCATTGACACCCTTGGCTTCCAGACTTTAAAAAAAAAACATCTACAGGCTGGGCGCAGTGGCTCACGCCTGTAATTCCAGCACTTTAGGAGGCCGAGGCAGGCAAATCACAAGGTCAGGAGCTCGAGACCAGGTCAATATGGTGAAACCCTGTCTCAACCAGGCACGGTGGCTCACGCCTGTAATCCCAGCACTTTCTCTGGGATCGCAAGGTCAATATGGAGTTCGAGACCTGGTCAATATGGTGAAACCCCGTCTCAGCTGGGCGCAGTGGCTCACACCTGTAATCCCAGCACTTTGGGAGGCCGAGGCGGGCAGATCACGAGGTCAGGAGATCGAGACCATCCTGGCTAACACAGTGAAACCCCGTCTCTACTAAAAATACAAAAAAATTAGCCAGGCGTAGTGGCAGGCGCCTGTAGTCCCAGCTACTCAGGAGGCTGAGGCAGGAGAATGGCGTGAACCCGGGAGGCACAGCTTGCAGTGAGCTGAGATCCCGCCACTGCACTCCAGCCTGGGCGACAGAGCGAGAGTCTGTCTCTAAAAAAAAAAAAAAAAGAGAGACCCCGTCTCTATTAAAATACAAAAATTAGCCAGGTGTGGTGTCAAGCACCTGTAGTCCCAGCTACTCGGGAGGCTGAGGTAGGAGAATCGCTTGAACCCAGGAGGCGAAGGTTGCAGTGAGCCAAGATCACACCACTGCACTCTAGCCTGGGCGACAGAGACTCCATCTCAAAAAAAAAAAAAAAAGAAGGGGAGGAGAGGGCAGGGCAGGGGAGGGGAGGGGAGAGGAGGGAACGGGAAGTGGGGGAGGGGAATCATCCCAGAGGAGAATGGATTTTTTTTTTTTTTTTTTTGGCGCAATTTCCGCTAACTGCAAGCTCCGCCTCCCAGGTTCACGCCATTCTCCTGCCTCAGCCTCCTGAGTAGCTGGGACTACAGGTGCCCGCCACCACGCCAGGCTAATTTTTTGTATTTTTAGTAGAGACGGGGTTTCACCGTGTTAGCCAGGATGGTCTCGATCTCCTGACCTCGTTATCTGCCCACCTTGGCCTCCCAAAGTGCTGGGATTACAGACATGAGCCACTGCGCCCGGCCTTCTTCTTTTTTTTTTTTTTTTTTGTTTTTTGAGACGGAGTCTTGCCCTGTCACCCAGGCTGGAGTGCAGTGGCTCAATCTTGGCTCACTGCAACCTCCACCTCCCACCTCCCAGGTTCAAGAGATTCTCCTACCTCAGCCTCCTGAGTGGCTGGGATTACAGGTGGATTCTTCTCTTTTACTCAAAGATGAGGGCTTGAAATAACAACTCACCCAAGTCCAGAACATGAAAATGTAAAATACATTGACTTCAGTTGCCACTGCAAGTTAAACACCTTTTCAGTAATATCTCCAGATCTTCCTTGGAATATGAAATCACTCATTAGTTAACAAAATGTGCATTTATTCATCAAAAATGACCTCTTGTGCCTGGGCACAGTGGCTCACACCTGTAATCCTGGTATTTTGGGAGTCTGAGACGGGCAGATTGCTTGAGCCCAGGAGTTCAAGACCAGCCTGGGCAACATGGCGAGACCCCATCTCTACTAAAAATACAAAAATTAGCATGGCATGGTGGTGAGCACCTGTAATCAGAGCTACTCCGGAGGCTGAGGCAGGAGAATCACCTGAGCCCAGAAGGCTCTCTAGCCTGGTGATAGAGGAGACCCTGTCTCAAAGAGAAAAAAAAGAAAGAGGTCAGGCGCGGTGGCTCACACTTGTAATCTCAGCACTTTGGGAGGCCAAGGCGGGCAGATCACACGGTCAGGAGTTCAAGGCCAGCTTGACCAACATGGTGAAATCCTGTCTCTACAAAAAATACAAAAATTGGCCGGCGTGGTGGCGCATGCCTGTAATCCCAGCTTCTCAGAACGCTGAAGCAGGAGAATCGCTTAAACCCCAGAGGCAGAGGTTGCAGTGAGCTGAGATCGCACCATTGCGCTCCAGCTAGGGCGACAGAGCAAGACTGTATCTCCAAAAAAAAAAGGAATTGGCAGGGCTCAGGCCTGTAATCCCAGCACTTTGGGAGGCCGAGGCGGGCAGATCACGAGGTCAAGAGATCGAGACCATCCTGGCCACCATGGTGAAACCCTGTCTCTACTAAAAGTAGAAAAATTAGCTGGGCGTGGTGGCGGGCATCTGTAATCCCAGCTACTCGGGAGGCTGAGGCAGGAGAATCGCTTGAACCCAGGAGGCAGAAGTGAGGTTGCAGTGAGCCAAGATCGCCCCACTGCACTCCAGCCTTGTGACAGAGGGAGACTCTGTCTCAAAAAAAAAAAAAAAGGTGATTTCCGTAAACCTAGCAGTGAGATGTACGATGCAGAAAACAGTTCTTCCAAGACAGAAACTCAGGGCAATAGCTTTATTTTATCCAGTAGCTGTGGTTTTAACACAATTCAGGAAATCCCCAGCATTTCACATCATGTTTATACTAAGCATCCCACTTCTACCAACTACATATGGAAACCTGACTGCCCACATTTGTTAGAAATTTTGTAGGTGTTTTATTTTAGCTATATTGTTTTATCTTAAGTTGAATTTATTAAGCTCTTCTAAGATTCTGGCTCTGAATGATGGCACTTTGGGTCTCCACCAAGAGTAATCACCAAACTGGGTGCGGTGGCTCATGCCTGTATTCCCAGCATTTTTGGAGGCCAAGGTAGGAGGATCGCCTGAGCCCAAGAGTTTTAGACCAGCCTGGCCAACATAGGGAGACAGTATCTCTAGAAAACTTTTAAAAATAAGCGAGGCGTGGCAGCACATGCCTATAGTCCCAGCTACTCGGAAGGCTGAGGAGAGAGAATCACTTGAGGCCAGGAGATCAAGGCTGTGTGAGTCATGATTTCATCACTGCACTCCAGCCAGGGCCACAGAGCAAGACCCAGTCTCAAAAAAATAAATAAAAAGGAATAAACTATTGAGATGCACAACAGATGAGATGAATGAATCTCTCTTTTTTTTTTTTTTTATTTGAGACGGAGTCTTGCTCTGTCGCCCAGGCTGGAGTGCAGCAGCGGGATCTCGGCTCACTGCAAGCTCTGTCTCCTGTGTTCACGCCATTCTCCTGCCTCAGCCTCCTGAGTAGCTGGGACTACAGGCACCTGCCACCACGCCTGGCTAATTTTTTGTATTTTTAGTAGAGACGGGGTTTCACCGTGTTAGCCAGGATGGTCTCAATCTCCTGACCTCGTGATCTGCCCGCCTCGGCCTCCCAAAGTGCTGGGATTACAGGCGTGAACCACGGCACCCAGGCGAGATGAATGAATCTCTAGGGAATTATGCTTTGGGCGGGAACCGGGGAGGGGAAGCCAATCTCAAAAATGTTACATACTATCTGATTAAATTTTTTTGTTTTGTTTTGTTTTGATTTGATTTGTTTTGAGATGGAGTCTCGCTGTGTCTCCCAGGCTGGAGTATAGTGGTGCAATCTTGGCTCACTGCAACCTCCACCTCCTGGGTTCAAGCAATTCTCCTGCCTCAGCCTCCCAAATAGCCGAGATTGCAGGAGCCCACCACCACGCCCGGCTAATTTTTGTATTTCTAGTAGGGATTGAGTTTTACCATGTTGGCCTGGTGGATCTCAAACTCCTGACCTCAAGTGACCCACTCGCCTCAGCCATGATCAGTATTTTGAATGTGGGCGTGAATATGCAAACCTACATAGGAAGCAAATTGTATACAATTTACTACACACGCGCGCGCGCGCGCACACACACACACACACACACACACGAGTACAAGTAAAATGGAGAAAATCCACCTAAGATTGCGCTGGGCGTGGTGGCTCATTCCTGTAATCCTAGCACTTTGGGAGGCTGAGGCGGGCAGATCACTTGAGGCCAGGAGTTTGAAACCAGCCTGGCCAACATGGGAAAACCCTGTCTCTACTAAAAACACAGAAATTAGCAAGTCTTGGCGGCGGGCACCTGTGGTCCCAGTTTTACTCGGGAGGCTGAGACAGGAGAATCTCTCCAGCCTGGGAGGCGGAGGTTGCAGTGACTGAGATTATGCCACTCCGCTCCTGCCTGGGTGACTGAGTGAAAGTCCATCAAAAAATAAATAAATATATAAACCTGGGAGTGGCATCCACAAGACAGTGGCAGAACAGGTTTTCCAACCCTGAACTGGAGCTACTGGAAGTGTCCCAAGGCAAGCCAAGCCGGGGTTTCCCAAACATCACCTGCAGATGTGCTCTCAGTCTGAGAAGAGTGAGTCTGGGCCTCAGCAGGTCTGCTTCTCTCAGAAAAAGCATTTTGCTGTTCTGGGCTTATCCAGCTATTACTTTTCCCTGGGGCTGCACACAAATTCTTCTAGTGACTTTGTAAACATTTAATTAGGTAGGTAGTTAGTTACTTTTTGAGGCAAGGTCTCACTTGGTCACACCCAGGCTGGAGTGCAGTAGCACAATCATGGTTCACTGTAGCATCAACCTCCAGAGCTCAAGCCATCCTCTCGCCTCAGCCTCCTGAGTAGCTGGGGCTACTGGTGCGCACCTCCACACCTGGTTAATTTTTTTTATTTTTTGTAGAGATGAAGTTTCACCATGTTGCCCAGGCTGGTCTTGATCTCCTGAGCTCAAGCAATCCTCTCACCTCAGCCTCCCAAAGTGCTGGGATTAAAGGTATGAGCCACCATGCTAGGCAATTTTGTAAACTTGAAATGCACTTCTCTGAAAACAGAAGACAGCAACAGCCTCTTAAAAATCGTAAGTGTAGGCCGGGTGCAGTGGCTCACGCCTCTAGTCCCAGCACTTTGGGAGGCCAAGGCACACAGATCACAAGATCAGGAGTGTGAGACCAGCCTGGCCAATATGGTGAAACCCCGCCTCTACTAAAAAAAAAATACAAAAATTAGCCAGATGTGGTGGCACACACCTGTAGTCTAGCTATTCTGGAGGCTGAGGAAAGAGGATCGCTTGAACCTGGGAAGTAGAGGTTGCAGTGAGCCGAGGTCGTGCCATTGCACTCCAGCCTGGGCGACAAAATGGGACTCCATCTCAAAAAAAAAAAAAAAAAAATCGGCCAGGCGCGCGGTGGCTCAAGTGTGTAATCCCAGCACTTTGGGAAGCCAAGGCGGGTGGCTCACGTGAGGTCGGGAGCTTGAGACCAGCCTGACCAACATGAAGAAACCCCGTCTTTACTAAAAATAAATAAATTAGCTGGGCATGGTGGCAGATGCCTGTAATCCCAGCTACTCAGGAGGCTGAGGCAGGAGAATTGCTTGAACCCAGGAGGCAGAGGTTGCAGTGAGCCTAGATTGCGCCATTGCACTCCAGCCTAGGCAACAAGAGCTAAACTCCATCTCAATTAAAAAAGAAAAAGGCTAGCCGGGCGCAGTGGTTCACGCCTGTAATGCCAGAACTTTGGGAGGCAGAGGCGGGCGGATCACGAGGTCAGGAGATCGAGACCATCCTGGCTAACACAGTGAAACCCCGTCTCTACTAAAAATACAAAAAATTAGCCAGGCATGGTGGCGGGCGCCTGTAGTCTCAGCTACTGGGGAGGCTGAAGCAGGAGAATGGCCTGAACCCGGGAGGCGGAGCTTGCAGTGAGCCAAGATTGTGCCACTGCACTCCAGCCTGGGCGACAGAAAGAGACTCCGTCTCAAAAAAAAAAAAAGAAAAGGCTGGGCACGGTGGCTCATGCTTGTAATCCCAGCACTTTGGGAGGCCGAGGCAGATGGATCACAAGGTCAAGAGATCGAGACTATTCTGGCCAACATGCTGAAACTCCATCTCTACTAAAAATACAAAAATTAGCTGGGTGTGGTGGCTTGGGCCTGTAGTTCCAGCTATTTGGGAGGCTGAGGCAGAGGCGGAGGCTGAGCTTGCAGTGAGCCAAGATCGCGCCACTGCACTCCAGCCTGGCGACAGAGCGAGACTCCGTCTCAAAAAAAAAATCATAAGTGACAACTTTAGGAAGCCTACGGGGGCAGATGACTTGAGGCAAGGAGTTTGAGACCAGCCTGGCCAAAATGGTGAAAACCCATCTCTACTAGAAATTCAAAAATTAGCCAGATGTGGTTATAGCTACTTGGGAGGCTGAGGCATGAGAATTGCTTGAACCCAGGAGGCAGAAACTGCAGTGAGCTGAGATCGTGCCACTGCACTCCAGCCTGGGCAACAGAGCGAGACTCTGTCTCAAAAAAAAAAAAAAAAATTCAGAAGTGGCAGCCACCTCACACCATTAGGAGAGCTACTGTTAAAAATAAAATAAGGCTAGGCATGGTGGCTCATATCTGTAATCTCAGCACTTTGGGAGGCCCGGGTGGGGGGATCACTTGAGCCCAGGAGTTCAAGACCAGCCTGGGCAACAGAGGAAGACCTTTTTTCAACTAAAAATAAAAAATTGGTCTGGCCACGATGGCTCACCCCTGTAATCCCAGCACTTTGGTAGGCCGAGGTGAGCAGATCACTTGAGGCTAGGCTGGCCAACATAGTAAAACCCCATCTCTACCAAAAATACCCAAAAGAACCTGTCTCTACCAAAAATACTCCATCACTACCAAAAAAAAAAAAAATCAAAAATTAGCCAGGTGTGGTGGTACATGCCTGTAGTCCCAGCTACTCGGGAAGCTGAGGCACCAGAATCACTTGAACATGGGTGGCAGAGGTTGCAGCAAGCCAAGGTTGTGCCACTGCACTCCAGCCTGGACAATGGAGTGTGACCCTGTCTCAAAGAAAAGGGAAATTTTATGTAATGTGTATTTTACCACAATTTTTTTCTCTTTTTTTTTTTTTTTTTTTTTGGCACAGGTTCTCACTCTGTTGCCCAAGCTGGAATGTCATGGTGTGATCATGGCTCACTGAAGCCTCAACCTCCCAGGGGTCAGGTGATCCTCCTACTTCAGCCTCCCACTACAGGTTGGTGCCAGCACACCCAGCTAATTTTTGAACTTTTTTTTTTAGAGATACATCTTGCTATGTTGCCCAGGCTGGTCTCAAACACCTGGGCTCAAGTGGTCCTCCTGCCTTGGCCTCCCAAAGTGCTAGGATTACAGACATGAGCCACCGTACCCAGCCTTTTTTTTTTTTTTTTTCCTGAGATGGAGTCTCACTCTGTCGCCCAGGATGGAGTGCAGTGGCGCGATCTTGGCTCACTGCAAGCTCTGCCTCCCGGGTTCACGCCATTCTCCTGCCTCAGCCTCCTGAGTACCTGGGACTAGAGGCGCCCACCACACACCCGGGTAATCTTTTTGTATTTTTTTTTTTTAGTAGAGACGGGGTTTCACCATATTAGCGAGGATGGTCTCGATCTCCTGACCTCGTGATCTGCCCGCCTCTGCCTCCCAAAGTGCTGGGATTACAGGCCTGAACCACTGCGCCCGGCCTTCTTCTTTTTTTTTTTTTTTTTGTTTTTGTGAGACGGAGTCTTGCCCTGTCGCCCAGGCTGGAGTGCAGTGGCGCAATCTCAGCTCACTGCAACCTCCACCTCCCGGGTTCAAGCTACTCTCCTGCCTCAGCCTCCCGAGTAGCTGGGATTACAGGTGCATGCCACAATGACAGAGCTTTTTTTTTTTTTTTTTTGTATTTTTAGAAGAGACAAGGTTTCACCATGTTGGCCAGGCTGGTCTCGAACTCCTGACCTCAGGTGATCCGCCTGCCTTGGCCTCCCAAAGTGCTGGGATTTTATAGGCGTGAGCCACCATGCCCAGCTTTACCACAATTTTTTTGTTTGTTTGTTTCTTGTTTTTTGAGACAGAGTCTCACTCTGTCGCCCAGGCTGGAGTGCAGTGTCGAGATCTTGGCTCACTGCACCCTCCACCTCCCAGGTTCAAGCGATTCTCCTGCCTCAGCCTCCTGAGTAGCTGGGATTACAGACACGTGCCACCACACCGAGATAATTTTTGTATTATTAGTAGAGATGGGGTTTCACCATGTTGGTCAGGCTGGTCTCAGACTCCTGACCTCAGGTGATCCACCTGCCTTGCCCTCCCAAAGTGCTGGGATTACAGGTGTGAGCCACTGCACCCAGCCTGCAGAATTTTTTAAAAAGTCATAAACAGCAATACTCCAGGCCACCCAGCTATCCACCACTGAACTCTGCCTAGGTCCTTGTGATCAGTTTCAGGTGCCAGCTGAGAGATGTGAGAAATCTTCAAACGAAAAGAATCAGCCCCAGTTAACTGAGAATTGACTGCTGATCGGGTCGCCCTGGGAAATTTAAGAGACTGATTTCATCTGATTAAGAACATGGATTCTGGGCCAGGTGTGGGGGCTCAAGCCTGTAATCCTAGAACTTTGGGAGGCTGAGGTGGGCAGATCACCCGAGGTTAGGAGTTCGAGACCAGCCTGGCCAACATGGTGAAATCCCGTCTCTGCTAAAAATACAGAAATTAGCTGGCATGGTGGCAGCGTGCCTGTAGTCCCAGCTACTCGGGAGGCTGAAACATAAGAATCACTTGAACCCAGGAGGCAGAGGTTGCAGTGAGCCGAGATCGCACCATGGCACTCCAGCCTGGGCGACAGAGTGAGATTGTGTCTCAAATAGAAAAAAGAAAAATATATATGGCTTCTGTATTTCTGGGCTATTTCCAAAGCGAGGGGACGCGGAGGTGCTTGTCATGGACTCACATCGTGGGACCTTCTGAGATTAGTTTCGTGTTCCACGTGACAGAATGGAATTAGGAAGGCACCAGGTGGCAGTGAGTCAGCCAGCAGGCGTGGGAATTACTGCCAAGAGGCCTCACTTGGAAGAAAAGCTGTTCTTTTGGGGTGCCAAATCTGGTTTTCCTTTTTTTTTTTTTTTTTTGAGATGGAGTCTCGCTCTGTCACCCAGGCTGGAGTACAGTGGTGCAATCTTGGTTTACTGCAAGCTCCACCTCCTGGGTTCACGCCATTCTCCTGCCTCAGCCTCCTGAGTAGCTGGGACTACAGGCGCCTGCCACCACGCCTGGCTAATTTTTTGTATTTTTAGAAAAGACAGGGTTTCACCGTGTTAGCCAGGATGGTCTCAATCTCCTGACCTTGTGATCTGCCCGCCTCGGCCTCTGAAAGTGCTGGGATTGCAGGCATGAGCCACTGCGCCTGGCCTTTTTTTTTTTTTTTTTTTTTTTTTTTTTTTGATGTAGGGTCTCACTCTTTCACCCACACTGGAGTACAATGGTGTGATCTCGTCTCACCGCAACCTGTGCCTCCCAGGCTCCAGCGATTCTCCTGCCTCAGCCCCCAGAGTAACTGGGATTACAGGTGCCCACCACCACGCCTGGCTAATTTTTGTATTTTTAGTAGAGACAAGGTGTCACCATGTTGACCAGGCTGGTCTCGAACTCCTGACCTCAGGTGATCCTTATATCTATACCTCGGCCTTCCAAAGTGATGGGATTACAGGCATGAGCCACCAGGCCCGGCCAGTACTGGAATGTTAATGACATTTTTTTTTTCTTAATTTTCTTTTTTTCTTTTTTGGGATGGAGTCTCATTCTGTTACCCAGGCTGGAGTGCAGTGGCTCACTGCAACCACTGTGTCTCAGGTTCAAGTGGTTCTCCTGCCTCGGCCTCCAAGTAGGTGGGATTATTTGGTGCCCCCCACCATACCCGGCTAATTTTTGTATTTTCAGTAGAGACAGGGTTTTGCCATGTTGGCCAGGTTGATGTCAAACTCCTGACCTCAGGTGATCCGCCTGCCTCAGCCTGCCAAAGTGCTGGGATTAGAGGCGTGAGGCACTGTGCCCAGCCTTTTTTCTTAATTTTCTTGTAGAGAGGGGTCTCATTATGCTGTCCAGGCTGGTCTCAAATTCCTCAGCTTAAGTGATCCTCCTGCCTCAGACTCTCAAAGTGCTGAGATTACAGGCCTGAGCCACCGTGTCTGGCCAAATATTTTAATTTCTGATTATGAAGATTTTTGTTTGTTTGATCTGATAGCAAACCAGGTTGTGTAGTCTACCCTCCTGCTGCGAACTAAAAGAGCTATTCCAGGAATTTTAATGTTGGCATTATAGGCATTTTGGCTTAGTTACTTCTTGGTTGAGGGGGATTTCCTGTACATGGTAGAATGTTTAGCAGCTCATTAGTCCCAGTAACACCCCTCCTCCAGTTCTGACAACTAGAAATGTCTCCAGATATTGTGAAATATTTCCAGGGAGGTCAAAATTTCCCCTGCTTGAGAACCAGTGGACAAAACAAAACATTTAATTTAATTGATTTTTCTTTGTGTGTGTGTGTGTGTGTCTGTGTGTGTGTGTTTGAGACGGAGTCTCGCTCTGTCACCCAGGCTGGAGTGCAATGGCGGATCTTGGCTCACTGCAAGCTCTGCCTCCCGGGTTCACACCATTCTCCTGCCTCAGCCTCCCGAGTAGCTGGGACTACAGGCACCCGCCACCATGCCCGGCTAATTTTTTGTATTTTTAGTAGAGATGGGGTTTCACCGTGTTAGCCAGGATGGTCTCGATCTCCTGACCTCGTGATCAGCCCGCCTTGGCCTCCCAAAGTGCTGGGATTACAGGTGTGAGCCACCGTGCCCGGAGTTGTTTTTTTTTTTTTTTTTGAGACAGAGATTTGCTCTGTCACCTAGGTTGGACTGTAGTGGCACAATCTTGACTCACTGCAACCTCCGTCTCCTGGGTTCAAGTGATTCTCCTGCCTCAGCCTCCCGAGTACCTGCGATTACAGGTGCCTGCCACCATGCCCGGCAAATTTTTTCTATTTTTAGTAGAGATGGGGTTTCACCATGTTGGCCAGGCTGGTCTCGAACTCCTGACCTCAAGTCATCTGCCCACCTCGGCCTCCCAAAATGCTGGAATTACATGTATGAGCCACGGCGCCTGGTCCATTTTTCTTTTTTCTTTTTCTTTGAGACGGAGACTCACTCTGTCACCCAGGCTGGAGTGCAGTGGCGCAATCTTGGCTCACTGGCACCTCTGCCTCCTAGGTTCCAGCGATTCTCCTGCCTCAGCCTCCTGGGTAGCTGGGACTAGAGAAGTGTGCACCATGCCCAGCTAATTTTGTATTTTTAGTAGAGACGGAGTTTCACCATGTTGGCCAGGCTGGTGTCGAACTCCTGACCTCAGGTGACCCACCCCCCCCCCCCACCCCTTGGCCTCCCAAAGTGCTGGGATTAGAGGCTTGAGCCACTGCACCCAGCCTTCACCTTAAAATATTTTTGGGCGAGCATGGTGGCTCACACCTGTATTCCCAGCATTTTGGGAGGCTGAGGCCAGTGGATCGCCTGAGGTCAGGAGTTTGAGACCAGCCTGGCCAATGCAGTGAAACCCTGTCTGTACTAAAAATGCAAAAATTAGCCGGGCGTGGTGGCGGGCACCTGTAATCCCAGCTACTCGGGAGACTGAGGCAGGAGAATCACTTGAACCCAGGAGACTGAGGTTGCAGTGAACCGAGATCACGCCACTGCACTCCAGCCTGGGCGACAGAGCGAGACTGTCTCAAACAAAAAAAAAGAAAGCATTTTTAAATAAGAAATATTTTCTTAACATCGCTTATCATTAGGGAAATGCAAATCAAGACCACAATGAGATACCACTTCACACCCAAACAAAACACAACAGAAAATAACAAGTATGGGTGAAGACATAGAGAACTCGGAGTGCTGTGCAGCATGATTGGTAAGAATGTAAAATGGTGCAACCTTTGTGGAAAGCAGCAGGGCGCAAATTGAAAAAGACAGAGGCAAATGGCCATTAGCTGATAGCAAACATCTGCATTAAAGGAGCTTTTTTTTTTTCTTTTTTGGAAGGTCTCCAAAAATGAAAAAAAAAGCTCACCACAGCCTCAACTTCTTGGGCTCAAATGGTTCTCCCGCCTCAGCCTCCTGAATAGCTGGGACCACAGGCATGCGCCACCACACCTAGCTAATTAAAAAAAATTTTTTTTGGTCTGGCACAGTGGCTTATGCCCATAATCCCAGCACTTTGGGAGGACAAGGCAGGCGGATCACCTGAGGTCAGGAGTTCGAGACCAGCCTGGTCTACATGGTGAAACCCCGTCTGTCTAAAAATACAAAAATTAGCCAGGTGTGGTGGTGTGTGCCTGTAATCCCAGCTATTCAGGAGGCTGAGGCAGGAGAATTGCTTGAACCCAGGAGGTGGAGGTTGCAGTGAGCTGATACCATGCCATTGCACTCCAGCCTGGGTGACAGAATGAGACTCTGTCTCAAAACGAAACAAAACAAAACAAACAAAACACTAGCCGGCCATGTTGGCACACGTCTGTAATCCCAGCTACTTTGGAGACTGAGACACAAGAATCGCTTGAATCCAGGGGGCAGAGGTTGCAGTGAGCTGAGATCACGCCACTGCTCTCCAGCCTGGGCGACAGAATGAGACTGTGTCTCAAAAAAAAGCAAAAAAAAAAAAAAAACCCAAAACACTAGCCAGGTATGGTGGCACACATCTGTAATCCCAGCTACTTGCGAGGCTGAGGCACAAGAATCGCTTGAATCCAGGAGGCAGAGGTTACAGTGAGCTGAGATCGCACCACTGCACTCCAGCATGGGCGACAGAGTGAGACCCCATTTCAAAAAAAAAAATATTTTTTTTTGTTTAGAGATAGGATCTCGCTCTCTGGCCCAGGAAGGTGTCAAAATCCTGGCCTCAAGTGGTCCTCTTGCCTTGGCCTCTGAAAGTGCTGGGATTACAGGCATGAGCCACAGCACCCAGCCTTGTTTTGTTTTACTAGCTATTCTCATGGGTGTGACATGTTATCTCTCCCTCTTTTTTTTTTCGAGATGGGGCCTCGCTCTGTCACCCAGGCTGGAGTGCAAGGGCGCGATCTCAGCTCACTGCAACCTCCACCTCCCAGGTTCAAGTGATTCTCCTGCCTCAGCCTCCCGAGTAGCTGGGACTACAGGCACGTGCCACCACGCCCAGCTAATTTTTTGTATTTTTAGTAGAGACAGGGTTTCACCGTGTTAGCCAGGATGGTCTTGATCTCCAGACCTCGTGATCCACCTGCCTCGGCCTCCCAAAGTGCTGGGATTACAGGCATGAACCACCACACCCAGCCTCTCCCTCTTTTTTTTTATTTTTATTTTTTTTTTGAGACAGAGTCTCACTGTTCAACTAGGCTGGAGTGCAGTGAGATGATCATGGCTCACTATGGAGTCAACCTGCGGGGCTCAGGTGATCCTCCACCTCAGCCTCCCAAGTAGCTGGGACTACAGGAGCACACTACCTCACTCAGGTAATTTTTTTTTTTTTAGAGGGAGTCTTGGTCTGTCACCCAGGCTGGAGTGCAGTGGCGCGATCTCAGTTCACGGCAACCTCTGCCTCCCAGGTTCAAGCGATTCTCCTGCCTCAGCCTCCGGAGTAACTGGGATTACAGACACCCACCACCATGCCTAACTTTTTGTATCTTTAGTAGAGATGGGGTTTCACCATGTTGGCCAGGCTGGTCTCGAACGCCTGACCTCATGATCTGCCCACCTCGGCCTCCCAAAGTGCTGGGATTACAGGTGCGAGCCACTGTGCCCTGGCTATATTTTATTTTAGTATTTATTTATTTATTTGTTTATTTATTTATTTATTTATTGAGAGGGAGTCTTGCTCTGTTGCCCAGGCTGGAGTTCAGTGGCATGATCTCAGCTCATTGCAACCTCTGCCTCCCAGGTTCAAGTGATTCTCTCACCTCAGCCTCCCCAGTATCTGGGACTACAGGCACATGCCAGCACATCTGGCTAATTTTTGTATTTTTAGTAGAGACAGGGTTTTTACTAAATTTTTCATATTTTTAGTAGAGATGGGGTCTCCCTATGTTGCCCAGGTCAGTCTCAAACTCATAGCTCAAGGGATCCATCCACATTAGCCTCCCAAAGTGCTGGGATTACAGGCATGAGGCACTGTGCCCCACCGTGACAGTTTACTTCATTGTGGTCATCCTCTTGATATTTTGAAAGCATTCAAACTCTACAGTGGCTTTTATATAATTAAACAACAATTTTAAAGAGATGGAGGTGTCACTATGTTGACCAGGCTGGTCTTAAACTCCTGGTCTCAAACTCCTCGTCTCAAGCAATCCTCCCATCTCAGCCTCCCAATGTGCTGGGATTACAGTGTGAGCCACCACGTCCAGCCTATAGTGGCTTTTGTAAAAACCCCTACAGAGTGAGGCCTATCATATTATTTCAAAAGCCTACACCCAATATCTAACTGTTCTCAGAAGAAATAGGGAGACTTTTCAGAGCATCACTACCTAAGCAAGGTCACAGATTGGAGCCCCAGCTGGGAGGAAACAGAGCTATCAACATTAGATGTGCCTCAACAAAGACCAGTGCAGTCCCTGCAGGGGATGATGAAAACTTTTCAAAGCCAGCTGTCCCACGAGTAAAGTTTAAACCAATCCACAGAGCACAGATCCTACACTGATAAGCAATAACACTACAGCAGAACTCAAGCAATGGAAAATCCTACAAGTTTTAGCATGAATAACATCCACAAGAGCTGGGTTATTAGAGCAGAGCACCTCTCCCTGGTTTTGATTCAAAGAACTTGCCAGAATTTAAATTAATTATTTTTTCATGTAATTATTTGCTGCAAGGCTGGGCACGGTGGCTCACGCCTGTAATCCCAGCACTTTGAGAGGCCGAGGCGGGCGGATCACAAGGTCAGGAGATTAAGACCATCCTGGCTAACACGGTGAAACCCCGTCTCTACTGAAAATACAAAAAAATTAGTCATGTTGGCCTGGCTGGTCTCGAACTCCTGACCTCAGGTGATCAGCCCGACTTGGCCTCCCAAAGTGCTGGGATTACAGGCGTGAGCCACTGTGCCCGGCCCCTGCATTTTATTTCAATGGAAGGATGTCTAACTTAATTTTCCCACAAATGGTTTCCAGATCATCTCTCATTCAGGGCAAACACCAGATCAGGCCTCTACAAGGAACGACAGATTAGTGCAGCTGGGAAATGGGTAACACCCACCTGATAGAGAAAGGGGGTTCTTGCTCCCTCTAGTGTTCACCACACACTACAGATGTCCTGCTGTTCCCCTGTAAGGCGACCAGTAATACCTACCATGTCAGCTTTGAAATAACCAAGATGTCACTAAGTAGATGGGTGAATAAACCAACTGGGGTCCATGCAGACAATGGAATATATTCCGTAAGATAATATATTACACTAGAAAAGAACTAGCTGCTCAGGAGGCTGAGGTTGGAGGATCACTTGGCCCAGGGGTTCGAGACAAAAGCCTGAGACCCCATCTCCATGAAAAAAAAAAAAAAATTAGCTGGGCCTGGTGGCACATGCCTGTAGTCCCAGCTACTCAGAAGGCTGAGGCAGGAGAATCGCTTGAACCCAGGAGGCGGAGGTTGCAGTGAGCCGAGATTGCGCCACTGCACTTCAGCCTGGTGACAGAGCTAGACTCCATCTCAAAGAAAAAAAAAAAAAAAATCTGCCGGGTGCGGTGGCTCACGCCTGTAATCTCAGCACTTTGGGAGGCCGAGACGGGCAGATCACGAGGTCAGGAGATGGAGACCGTCCTGGCTAACGCAGTGAAACCCCGTCTCTACTAAAAATACAAAAAAAAAATACAAAAAAAAAAAATTAGCTGGGCGTGTTTGCAGGCGCCTGTAGTCTCAGCTACTGGGGAGGCTGAAGCAGGAGAATGGCCTGAACCCGGGAGGCGGAGCTTGCAGTGAGCCGAGATCCTGCCACTGCCCTCCAGCTTGGGCGCCAGAGCGAGACTCCATCTCAAAAAAAAAAAAAAAAGCTCCATAGGTACCTACCCTGTGTTCACTTTATCTTATGGAAAGTGACCATTTACTGGGCGCCAGACGAATACATAATTGACTATCCCCCTACCTGCTCCTTTTCTGTAGGAATATGTGAATTACATATGGATACATTTGGGATACATTACATATATGGATTTTATTACACATGGACACATTACTCTCCCATTTGCCCTCCAGCCCACTTTTCCCCTTTAAATACTGAAGCCCTCAAAATAATTTTTGGAGAAAGACACAGATTATGAACTGTGTCCGTGATTCTATGTTTCGTTCTTTTTCTCTTTTTCTTTTCTTTCCTTCCTTTCCTTTCCTTTCCCTCCCTCCCTGCCCCACTCCTCCCTCTCTCCCTCCCTGCCTCCCTCTGTCTCTCTCTGTCTCTCTGTCTCTTTCTGTCCCTCTGTTGCCCAGGCTGGAGTGCAGTGGTGCACAGCGATTCTCCTGCCTCAGCCTCCTTAGTAGCTGGGATTACAGGTGCCCACGACCGCGCCCGGCTAATTTTTGTATTTTTAGTAGAGATGGGGTTTCACCATGTTGGCCAGGCTGGTCTCAAACTCCTGACCTCGGGTTATCTGCTCGCCTTGGCCTCCCAAAACGCTGGGATTACAGGTGTAAACTACTGCACCTGGCCCTGTGTTTATTTCTTCCAGGCATGTCCTAAACCTTGGCAAAATGAATTTCTAATTTGATGGAGACCTGTCTCAGATACTTCAGATACTATTCATTTTCAAATAATGAATAGCTATTCATAATCATCACTGTGGGCCAGGCATGGTGGCTCACACCTATAATCCCAGCACTTTGGGAGGCCGAGGCAGGCAGATCACGAGGTCAAGAGATCGAGACCATCCTGGCCAACATGCTGAAACTCCGTCTCTACTAAAAGTACAAAAATTAGCTGGGCATGGTGGCATGCACCTCTAGTTCCAGCTACTTGGGAGGCTGAGGCAGGAGAATCGCTTGAACTTGGGAGGTGGAGTTTGCAGTAAGCCAAGACTGCGCCACTACACTCCATCCTGGCAACAGAGCGAGGCTCCATCTCAAAAAAAAAAAAAAGAAAAAGAAAAAGAAATTGTCACTGTGGCCTGCCACAACATGGGAAAGGAACACAGCATCCTTGTGGCTGCCCTGAGGGAAACCTCAAAAGGCAAGTCAAGGATGTCTTCTGTAGATGGCTGTGAATTCCCCAGAAACTCCTTCTGGTAGGACATGATTGTGAACCAATGTTCTCTGAAAAGGAATTTGGAGGGAATAGATTGTATTCCAGTCAACAGTTTGCAAACTGAAGAGACACAGTATTTGGTGTAAAATGAAGGTGCATTCCAGAGAACAAAGGGAGGGTTCAGGTTTTTTTTTTTTTTTTTTTTTTTTTTTTTTTTTTTTTTTTTTTTTGTGAGACAGTCTGGCTCTGTCACCCTGGCTGGAGTGCAGTGGCGCAATCTGAGCTCACTGCAACCTCTGCCTCCTGGGTTGAAGCAATTCTCCTGCCTTAGCCTCCCGAGGGTTCAGGTATTATAGCAAAAATTCCAGCCCAGGTTCCCACTCAAGTCTGTTTATGCAAATCAGGGAGTCAAACTTGCCTAGTTTTTACTGGTTGACACATCTGAGTTCTGACTGATTGGTCCAGGAGACCTCTGAATGTCCAAAAGTTAAAACGGAGGCGTGAGTTTTGGGGCAACTCAGAATACATGTGTGACCTCTATTCAGCAAATGGTTGCTTGGGTGTACTTAAAATTGAAGCCCAGTCTGCCACTCCAGATCCATCTTGAAGGACTGGCTCTTTCAGGTTTTTATTTGTTCACCTGGTGAATCAGTAACAGGAAATGTGAAATGCCTGTGGCTCACCAGCTATAAATAAGATTGCAAGAACAAAAGAACTGGCTTCTTTGTACAGCTATTAATGAAACGATTGACCTGGGCACCCATCAGAAGTGATAAAATTGGGCCGGGCACAGTGGCTCATGCCTGTAATCCCAGCACTTTGGGAAGGTGAGGCGGGTGGATCACTTGAGGTCAGGAGTTTGAGACCAGCCTGACCAACATGGTGAAACCCTGTCTCTAATAAAAATACAAAAATTAGCCGGGCGTGGTGGCAGGTGCCTGTAATCCCAGCTACTCAGGAGGCTGAGGCAGGAGAATCACTTGAACTCGGCATGGGGAGGTTATACTGAGCTGAGATCACGCCACTGCACTCCAGCCTGGGCGACAGAGTGAGACTCTGTCTCAGAAAAAAAAAAAAAGTGGTTTTCTGCAACACATCAAAAGTGTATGCATAGGGGGCACTCTTCTAGGTTAAAAGAGACTTAAGAGGCCGGGCATGGTGTCTCAGGCCTGTAATCCCAGCACTTTGGGACGCCAAGGCGGGTGGATCACGAGGTCAGGAGATCAAGACCATCCTGCCTAACATGGTGAAACCCCATCTCTACTAAAAATACAAAAAAAAAAAAAATTAGCCGGGTGTGGTGGTGGGAGCCTGTAGTCCCAGCTATTCGGGAGGCTGAGGCAGGAGAATGGTGTGAACCTGGGAGGTGGAGGTTGCAGTGAGCCGAGATCGCACCACTGCACTCCAGCCTGGGCTACAGAGCAAGACTCTGTCTCAAAAAGAAAAAAAAAAGGACTTAAGGTTGGGCGCAGTGGCTCATGCCTGTAATCCCAGCATTTTGGAAGGCCGAGGAGGGAGGATCACCTGAGGTCAGGAGTTCAAGACCAGCCTGGCCAATGTGGCAAAACCTCATCTCTACTGAAAATACAAAAATTAGCCGGGTATGGTGGTGGGTGCCTGTAATCTCAGCTACTCAAAAGGCTGAGGCAGGGAGAATCACTTGAAGCCAGGAGGCGGAGGATGCAATGAGGTGAGATTGTGCCACTGTACTCCAGTCTGAACGACAGAGCGAGACTCCGTCTTAAAAAAGAGAGACTGAAAAATCACAACAACGAAATACAGTATGTGAACTTTGTTTGGATCATGAATCAAACAAACCAAGTGTAAAAGGACACTTTTGAGATCCTCAGGGAAATGTAATATCAGATGATACCAAATAATAATTGTGGACTTTGATAGGTGTGATAATGGTAGTGTCATGATATAAGAAAATGAAATTATAGGCCAGACGTGGTGGCTCACACCTGTAATCCAAACACTTTGGGGGGCCAAAGGGGGCAGATAACCTGAGGTCAGGAATTCGAGACCAGCCTGACCAATATGGTGAAACCTCTGTCTCTACTAAAAATACAAAAACTAGCTGGGCGTGGTGGCGTGCACCTGTAGTCCCAGCTACTCAGGAGACTGAGACAGGAGAATTGCTTGAACCTGGGAGGTTGCAGTGAGTCGAGATCATGCCACTGCACTCCAGCCTGGGCAACAGAGCGAGAATCTGTCTCAAAAAAAAAAAAAAAAAAAGGAAGAAAGAAAATGAAATTATAGGGGTAATATGACAGGATATCTGGGATTTGCTTTAAAATACTTCGGTTGTCAACGGTAAAGTTTGGGACCAAAAAAAAAAAACAAAGAACTTCTGTTGGCTGGGTGTGGTGGTTCACGTCTATAATCCCACCACTTTGAGAAGCTGAGGCAGGATCATTGCTTGAGGCCAGGAGTTCGAGATCAGCGTGGTCAACTGCAGCCTCAACTTCTCTAACTTAGGTGATCCTCCCACCTCAGCCTCCCAAGTAGCTGGGACTACAGGCACGCACCACCACATCTGGCTAGTTTTTGTATTTTTTTGTAGAGACAGAGTCTCACTGTGTTGCCCAGACTGGTCTTGAACTTCTAGGCTCAAGCAATCTGCCCCTCTCGGCCTCACAAAGTGCTGAGATTACAGGTGTGAGCCAGGGCACCCCCAGCCCATCTTACACATATTGACCGATGTCTCATGTCTCACTAAAATGTATAAAAGCAAACTATGCCCCAACCACCTTGGGTACATGTTCTCAGGATCTCCTGAGGGCTGTGTCCCAGGCCATTGGTTACTCATATTTGGCTCAGAATAAATCTCTTCAGATATTTTCGGAGTCTGGGCCAGGCGCGGTGGCTCACGCCTGTAATCCCAGTACTTTGGGAGGCCGAAGTGGGTGGATCAGCTGAGGTTGGGAGTTTGATAGCAGCCTCACCAACATGGAGAAACCCCGTCTCTACTAAAAATACAAAAAATTAGCCGGGCATGGTGGCTCATGCCTGTAATCCCAGCTACTTGGGAGGCTGAGGCAGGAGAATCGCTTGAACCCGGGAGGCAGAGGTTGCGGTGAGCCAAGATCGTGCCATTGCACTCCAGCCTGGGCAACAAGAGCAAAACTCCGTCTCAAAACAAAACAAAACAAAAAAAAAAACAAAAAAAGATTCAGAGTCTGACTCTTTTTGTGGACATAAGTAGGTAAAGGTGCAGGTTCCAGAGATGAAGGTGGCCCCTCCGTGGGGCCTCGACTTCTGCCATCATCTATCCAATTCCAAGGCACAGTAAACTGGTGCAAGTGGAAGCTGCACGACCTCCACTTGCTGCTGCCCGCGGACAAAAGGAACCTGCGTTGAGCCATTCCATGGGGGCTAAGTAAGGCAGGATGGAATCAGCTACGTTCTGTCTCCGAACTAAGTCTCTGATGCCCTCTGCTGGTCTTTCTAATCACAACAGTGGGAAAGATACTTTTTTTTTTTTTTTTAAGACGGAGTCTTGCTCTGTCTCCCAGGCTGGAGTGCAATGGCACCATCTTGGCTCACGGCAACCTCCGTCTTCCAGGTTCAAGTGATTCTCCTGCCTCAGCCTCCTGAGTAGCTGGGATTACAGGCGCCCACCACCATGCCCGGCTAATTTTTGTATTTTTAGTAGAGACAGGGTTTCGTCATGTTGGTCAGGCTGGTCTCCAACTCCTGACTTCAGGTGATCCTCCCATCTCGGTCTCCCAAAGTGCTTGGATTACAGGCGTGAGCCACCACGCTCGGCCGAAAAGTACTTTTCAAAGGACGTGCTGGAGGGCAACTCCTGGGCTAGCCTGGAAAGCGGAAATAATTAAAGCTAACCAAGAATCCAAGAATATTTTATTTCCTTGGGAGGCTGAGGCAGGAAAATCACTTGAGCCCAGGAGTTTGAGATCAGCCTGGGCAACACAGTGAGATCTCATCTCTACAAATAACTTAAAAAATTAGCCGGTGTGGTGGTGTGTGTCTGTGGTCCCAGCAGCTTGGGAGGCTGAGGTGGGAGGATTGCTTGAATCCAAGAGGTCGAGGCTGCAATGGGTCGTTAATGCACTCCAGCCTGGGTGACACAGCGAGACCCTATCTCCAAACTGCTCCCCCCCGCCCCCGCCTTTTTTTTCAAGGGAGAACTCAGGCCGGGTGCAGTGATGCACACTTGTAATCCAGCACTTTGGGAGGCCGAGGTGGGAAGATCATTTGAATTCAGGAGTTCGAGAACAGCCTGGGTGACATAGCGAAACCCTGTCTCTACAAAAAAAATACACAAAAGTTAGCTGGGCATGGTGGTGCACACCTGTAGTCCCAGCTACTTGAGAGCCTGAGGTGGGTGGACAGCTTGAGTCCAGGGAGGTCGAGGTTGCAGTGAGCTGAGATTGCATCACTGCACTCCAGCCTGGGAGAGAGAGTGAGACCGTCCCTGAAAACAAGGTGTGGGGGAGAACTCAGAAATGTTCATATTAGATTCGGCTGTCACTTGGATCTGAGAAAGAAGCGTGCCTTGGCTCTATCCTATCAGACATTGGGCCCTCCCTACATGGTGGCCCTGCACCACTAGGCAGGGTGCATCAGCCCCTCCACAACCACTTAGGAAGGTCACAGCATGGATTCGGAGCCATAATCTTCCCTGCACAGCCGCACCACAGACTGTGAATGCCTACTCTGTACCAAGTGCTTTAGTGGGCTTTTAAATTTTTCTGACAAGCCCACACTTAGAGATAAGGAGCCCAAAGCATGGAGAAGTGACTTCACTCACAAAGCAAGGAAGTGTAAAAGCTGAGTTCCAAATCCTGGCTTTAAAGCCCACTTATGCCTCCTGTCCTCTGCCTTACACCAGAGCATGGGCTGAAGTACAGTGAGACCTCTGGGAAAAGCTGACCCTCTGCCCAAAGCCAAGACACAAAGCCTTCAGGCTGCCCAAGCTCCACAATTCCTACCAACAGCGCCGACCACTGCCCTCAGCTTCAAGCTCCCAGCAGCTTCAGATGATCTTCCTGGAACACACCCTGGCGAGAAGTCAAAAGTGGCATTTAATAACTGACTCAAGCAATGATGGTGTGGACCCTTTCCAATACTTCTGATCAATGAGAAACAAGTGTCTTTGATGACACCTTAAAACCCTTCCCTGAAGTTGGCTAATGTCTAACAGAGGGCAGATTTGGGGACAGAGATTTTTGGCAGGTAATGGTGTAGAGATAGCATTTAGTTAGTATCATCTCGACGTCTTTTGTTTCCTTTCATTTTTGGGGGTTAGAGGGGAGATAGTGTCTCACTCTGTGGCCCAGGATGGAGTGCAGCGGCATGACCAAGCTCATTGCAGCCTCAAACTCCTGGGCTCAAGGGATCCTCTCACCTCAGCCTCACAAGTAGCTGGGACCACAGGCACACACCGTCTCACTTGGCTATTTTTTTTTTAATTATTATTTATTTATTTATTGGGACGGAGTTTTGCTCTTGTTGCCCAGGCTGGAGTGCAATGGCATGATCTCGGCTCACTCCCGAGTAGCTGGGATTACAGGTGCTTGCCACCATGCCCGGTTAATTTTTTGTATTTTTAATAGACACGGGGTTTTACCATGTTGCCCATGCTGGTCTTGAACTCCTAACTTCAGGTGACCCACTCGTCTTGGCCTCCCAAAGTGCTGGGATTACAGATGTGAGCCACCACACCTGGCCTATTTTTATTTTTAGTAGAGACGAGGTGTTGCTATGTTATCCAGGCTGTGTCTTTTGGTTTTATTGCATTTCTTTTTTATATATGTATTTCTTTTTTTCTTTTTTCTTTTTTTTTTTTTTTGAGAGGGAGTTTTGCTGTTGTTGCCCAGGCTGGAGTGCAATGGCACGATCTCAGCTCATCACAACCTCCCGGGTTCAAGCGATTCTCCTGCCTCAGCCTCCTCAGTGGCTGGAATTACAGGCATGTGCCACCACGCCTGGCTAATTTCGTACTTTTAGTAGAGATGGGGTTTCTCCATGTTGGTCAGGCTGGTCTCGAACTCCCAACCTCAGATGATCTGCCCACCTCGGCCTCCCAAAGTGTTGGGATTATAGGCGTGAGCCACTGCACCCAGCCTATATATGTCTGGTTTTTTTTTTTGTTTTTTTTTTTTCTGAGACAAGTCTCACTCTGTCGCCCAAGCTGGAGTGCAGTGGCTCGATCTCCGCTCACTGCAAGCTCCGCCTCCCGGGTTCACGCCATTCTCCTGCCTCAGCCTCCCGAGTAGCTGGGACTACAGGCACCTGCCACCACGCCCGGCTAATTTTTTAAATATTTTTAGTAGAGACGGGGTTTCACTGTGTTAGCCAGGATGGTCTCGATCTTCTGACCTTGTGATCTGCCCGCCTCGGCCTCCCAAAGTGCTGGGATTACAGGCGTGAGCCACCACGCCCGGCTTTATATATGTATTTCTATATCCAATTTTTATTTATGGCAACTGATAGCAGTATTTAACTATTTCTGACAAGAATTATTAGGATCAAAGTCCACAAGTTTGAGGATTAAGTCACAGAGCTGGGAGTTACAGTTCGAATCTTGGTCCTGCCACAGCCTTGGAAAAATAAATTTTCTGAACCTCAGCTTTTCCTCTGTAAAAGTGAGATGCTGACTTAAACCAACACCTGTTCAACCCACTGATTATGAATGCAAGGGTCAAATGCCAAAATTTGAAAGTAGCAAACACACAAAAACAAGTATCACAAACAAAGATAGTTGTTTTACCACCTGGTTTTATTAACTTGCCACAGGCCCCTGAGGTAGCATCACTCCCTTAATACTTCAGTTTTATGTTATTTATTTTTTCTCTTTTTTTTTTTTTGTGTGACGGAGTCTCACTCTGTTGCCCAGACTGGAACGCAGTGGCGTGATCTCGGCTCACTGCAACCTCCACCTCCCGGGTTCAAGTGATTCTCCTGCCTCAGTCTCCCAAGTAGCTGGGATTACAGGCGTGCGCCACCACGCCCAGCTAATTTTTGTTAGACGGGGTTTCACCATGTTGGCCAGGATGGTCTTGAGCTCTTGACCTTGTGATCCACCCACCTCAGCCTCCCAAAGTGCTGGGATCACATGCGTGAGCCACCGCATCCAGCCTTATTAATTTTTTGAGACGGGGCTTGCTCTGTCACCTAGGCTGGAGTGCAGTGATGCAGTCTTGGCTCACTGCAGCCTCAACCTCCCAAGCTCAAGCAATTCTTCCACCTCAGCCTCCTGAATAGTTGGTAGTACAGGTGTGTACCATACCCGATTAATTTTTGTGTATTTTGTAATTTTGTGTATTTTGTAGAGACAGGATTTCACCATGTCGCCTAGGCTGGTCTCGAACTCCTGGACTCAAGCGATCCTCCCACCTTGGCCTCCCAAAGTGTTGTAGTTACAGGTGTGAGCCACTGCGCCGGCCATAAATTACACTTAAAAAAAATAAAAAGTATTGAGGCCGGGTGTGGTGGCTCACGCCTATTATCCCAGCACTTTGGGAGGCCAAGGCAGGTGGATCACAAAGAGTTCAAGACCAGCCTGGCCAAGATAGTGAAATCCCGTCTCTACTAAAAATACAACAATTAGCCGGACGCAGTGCCAGATGCCTGTAATCCCAGCTACTTGGGAGGCTGAGGCAGGAGAATCGCTTGAACCCAGGTGGCAGAGGCTGCAGTGAGCCGAGATCATGCCACTGTACTCCAGCCTAGGCAATAGAGTGAAACTCTGTCTCAAAAAAAAAAAAAAAAAAAAAAAAATATTGGCCGGGCGCAGTGGCTCACACCTATAATCCCAGCACTTTGGGAGGCCGAGGTGGGAGGATCACTTGAGGTCAGGAGTTTGAGACCAGCTTGGCCAACATGGTGAAACCCCATCTCTACTAAAAATACAAAAACTAGCTGGGCATCATGGCATATGCCTGTAATCCCAGCTACCCAGGAGGCTGAGGCAAGAGAATCACTTGAACCTGGGAGGCAGAGGTTGCAGTGAGCCGAAATCGTGCCACTGCACTCCAGCCTGGGTGTCAGAGTGAGACTCTGTCTCAACAACAACAACAACAACAAAAATACAATTTACCATAACCTAGCTAAGTACCAGCTGTGTACACTAACTTACTTCTTTTCATAGAATTCTGTTTCAGGGTTACTGAAGTACAACATAACCAGAATCTATGATTCCATATAGATTTCCAGACCAGAAAATGCTTTATCCTTCCAAGCCACCTCCAGTAACTTACAATGCTCATCTGGTAAACAGGTTGTTTTACAAAAAACTTCCCTGTAACATCCCAATAGTCATGACACTGTCAATTGCCTGGTTTTGTATTTTTAATAGGGAACGAGGGCCGGGCACGGTGGCTCACGTCTGCAATCCCAGCACTTTGGGAGGCTGAGGCAGGCGGATCACCTGAGGTCAGGAGTTTGAGGCCAGCCTGACCAACATGATGAAATCTCATCTCTACTAAAAAATACAAAAATTAGCCGGGCGTGGTGGCATGCGCCTGTAATCCCAGCTACTTGGGAGGCTGAGACAGGAGAAACGCTTGAACCCAGGAGGCGGTGGTTGGGGCGAGTGCCACTGCACTCCAGCCTGGGCAACAAGAGCGAAACTCTGTCTCAAAAAAAAACTTAAAAAAATCAAAACAAAAATGTTACTTATTTATTTATTTTTTTGAGCTGGAGTCTCACTATGTTGCCCAGGCTGGAGTGCAGTGGTGCAATCTCTGCTTGCTGCAAGCTCCACCTCCCGGGTTCACGCTATTCTCCTGCCTCAGCCTCCTGAGTAGCTGGGACTACAGATGCCTGCCACCACGCCCAGCTATTTTTTTTTTTTTTTTTTTTTTGAGACGGAGTCTTGTTCTGTCGCCCAGGCTGGAGTGCAGTGGCGCAATCTCGGCTCACTGCAAGCTCCGCCTCCCAGGTTCATGCCATTCTCCTGCCTCAGCCTCCTGAGTAGCTGGGACTATAGGTGCCCGCCACCACGCCCCGGTAATTTTTTGTATTTTTAGTAGAGACGGGGTTTCACCATGTTAGCCAGGATGGTCTCGATCTCCTGACCTCGTGATCCACCTGACTGGGCCTCCCAAAGTGCTGGGATTACAGGCGTGAGCCACCGCGCCCGGCCAATTTTTTTGAATTTTTAGTAGAGATGGGGTTTCACCGTGTTAGCTAGGATGGTCTCCATCTCCTGACGTCGTGATCCACCTGCCTCGGCCTCCCAAAGTGCTGGGATTACAGGCTTGAGCCACCGGGCCCATCCACTTATTTTACTTTTTGAGACAGTCTCACTCTGTTGTCCAAGATGGAGTGCAGTGGCACGATCGTGGCTCACTGCAGCGTTGAACTCCCAGGCTCAGGTGATCCTCCCATCTCAGCCTTCCTGAATAGCTGGGACTACAGACATGGTCCAACATGTCTGGCTAATTTTTCTATGTATACATATTTTCAATTCTCATTCAACACCTTTGGTAAATTTTTGTACTTTTTGTAGAGACGGGGTTTTGCCATATTGCCCAGGCTGGTGTTGAACTCCTAAGCTCAAATGATTTGCCTGCTTTACCCTTCCAAATATTTTAGTTTTTGAGAAAGCTCTCACTATTTTACCTAAACTGGTCTTGAACTCCTGATCTCAAGCAATCCTCCTACCTCAGCCTTCCAAAGAGCTGGGAATGGCAAAAATGTTACTTATCAAAATGAAAGGCCAGGTGTGGTGGTTCACTCCTATAATCCCAGCACTTTGGAAATGCGAGGCAGGTGGATCACCTGAGGTCAGGAGTTCAAGACCAGCCTGGCCAATATGGTGAAACCCCATCTCTATTAAAAATACAACAATTTGCCAGGCATGTTGGCACAGGCCTGTAATCCCAGCTACTGAGGAGGCTGAGGCAGGAGAATCACTTGAACCTGGGAGGCAGAGGTTGCAGTGAGCCGAGATTGCACCACTGCACTCCAGCAGGCAAAACAGAGCAAGACCCTGTCTCAAAAAAAAAAAAAAAAAAAACGAGAGAGAATAGGTCATAGAATAAAAACATTTCAGCTCAAATTTTATTTAGTTAATTACTATTATTATTCTTTTTTGTAGCATCGGAGTCTTGCTATGTCACTCTAGCTGGCCTCAAACTCCTGGCCTCAAGCGATTCTCTTGCCTCAGTTTGCAAACTGCTGGGATTACAGACATCACCATGCCAGGCCACAACCCAAACTTGAAAAAGAAAATCTAAGTGGCCTTAGAAGAGTTTGCAAGTCAGCTGACCAATGTGGTACCTCCTTAAGGAGGGCCTCTGAGGCCCGATGAAAAAGGCTTATATAAAAGGCTCATGACCAGCTCTGCCAGTGATGAACATGTGTCAAGTCGTTCTGCTGTCCCCAACTCCCGGACCCAGGTGGCTCTGAATTAGCTTCAGCTAATAAAGAACAAAGACGGGGGGCAGAAAGGCTCCCCAAACTTGTGCAAATCCAGTGAGAAAACACTTTGCACATCATCTGTCTCAGCTGTTCTGCAGGTGAGGCACACTCAGAACTGCACCACCCCAGGCAAGCAGTTTGCCAGGACTCGGGGGCCTCAGGGTTTCATCTCGGGGCCTCCGCCTGCACCAGCGAGTGGGCCTGGCTCAGGGCGAGCCTGTCCTTCTTCTCCTTCTGCAAGACCTGCTCCTCCCACAGCGCCTGGTCCACCTGATCGTCGGTGAGCACGACAGGCTTGTACTTCTCATCGAAGAGCCGCTCGTTGGTCTCGGAATGCAGCTGCTGGGGCCCGACCACCCGCAAATGCGCCGGCAGGTGCAGGAATTCGTCGTCGTTGATGTCGCAGTCGCGCATCCAGGCCCCCAGCACCCACCAGCGACCCACGAAGCCCACGTCCAGGACCCGGCCGGGGAAGTCGGTCCAGCGGGGCTGCAGGTAGCGGCAACGCGCCTGGTAGAGGCTGGCCTGGGCGTCGAAGGGCGCCTCGTACACCAGCGAGCAGAGCCCCAGGTTGACGTAGCGCAGGCGGCCACGGCCCCGCAGCCAGAGCAGCCTCTGCACGAAGGCTTCGGACTCGCGGTTGCGGGTGGCCGGCGCCAGCAGCAGGAGGGTCCCCGACGCCTCCAGCAGCGCCTCCTCGAAGGCACCCTCGCTGGGCGCCAGCGTGAAGCAGGCCGCCGCGCCGCCCAGCAGACCCACATACACAGCGGCGCGCCCCGGCCGGGCCCTAGCCTCCGCCGAAGCGTCCCTGCAGGCCTCGGCGTAGTCCCGGAGCAGCGCGCGGGCCCAGGACCCTGAGGGGAGAGGAGCGCGGTAAGAGTGATCCGGCCGCGGCGGCCACCCACCCTGTCGCGGCGGCCACCCACCCTGCCGCCTTCCGCCGCTACTCACCCAGCCGCGCCCACACTCCCGGCTTCGCCACTACCGCGTCGCCCGCCTCTGCGCGGCGCCGGGACCAAAATCTCCTCAGAGCCGCCGCGGCCATCCTCTTCCGTCTTGGGGGTCCTTGCTCCGGGAAGAAACTCCTGATACCCGACGTTAAGAGCCCGGGAGTCTCTTCTGCGCAAGCGCCAACTTTACCGGAAGTGGCTTCCCAACGGGAGAGGATAGAAAGAGGACAGGCGCCGGATGTTGCTGTCAGGTCTGAGTCGGTTGGAGTCTGACGGGTAGGCGAGACGCGCAGGCGCAGAGAGCCCCAGCCACGCCGGCCCAGGTGGCCTCAGGTGAGGGGGGGCGGAGCGCACCTGTGGGGACGGGACGACGAGTTCAAGCCTCCGTGGGTGCAGTTGGTCGCCAGGTAGGGCTGGGGGCCGAGGGACCGGCTCGGGGGCGGGGGGGAAGTGTGCCTGACCGGTCTCTGTCCTCAGCGAGGGATGCGGAGACGCCCCTGAACGACCATGGCATCGGCCGACGAGCTGACCTTCCATGGTGAGTGCGGCCCCGACGTGGCCGGATCTCCCACTCCCGCCCCGGGCCAGAACCTCCCCCCGATACGGCTTCCAATTTCTCTACCCCGAAGCCTAGGCGGCTGTGAACCCTGACCCAGGAGTGAGACCCATCTCTGACTCGAACCCCGCCCCCGCCCTGAACTCAGACCTCAAACCCGAGCCTCTCGTCCCCAGACCCTGACCCCATCCCAGCGTCAACCCTAAGTTGCAGTTCCACTTTAGGAGGAAGGGAACAGATGTCCTCCGGATGCCTCCAAACTGAGGAAGTTGGGCCCCACCTTGGGGGAGATCAATGGCTCAGCAGAGCCTCCGCCCCCAGATGAGCATCGGTTTAGCTTGGGCCCAGTCGAGTTCTTTCCACCCCTCAAACGTGCGTGTGTCCCATATACCTCCTCCACAGAATTCGAGGAGGCCACTAATCTTCTGGCTGACACCCCAGATGCAGCCACCACCAGCAGAAGCGATCAGCTGACCCCACAAGGGCACGTGGCTGTGGCCGTGGGCTCAGGTGGCAGCTATGGAGCCGAGGATGAGGTGGAGGAGGAGAGTGACAAGGCCGCGGTGAGTCCCTGTGTCCTGCCTCCTTGCAGCCCCCAGCTGACCCAGGCTCTCCGGGCAGGCACTGAATGCCCGCAATGTGCAGCTCCTGCAGGAGCAGCAGCAGCAGCAGCAGCCGGGATTCTGGACCTTCAGCTACTATCAGAGCTTCTTTGACGTGGACACCTCACAGGTCAGGCTGGGGAGGCAGGTGGGATGGGGCTCAGAGTTATGCTCAGGGTTCAGCCACTCTTCCCCTGGGCAGGGTGCTGGTGATGGTGGGTGCTGGTGAACGAACTGTGGTGCTCTCAAAGGGTTATGGTGGGACTGGTTATGGATCGGGACTATGGGAACACAGGGGACACACACAATCTGGTGGGTTAGAGAAAGGCCTCCTGGGGGAGGTGAGGAATTGGCTGAGACCTAAAGGAGACAGAAGGCTTCCCTGGGGAATAGGGTAGGGAAGCAGGAGTATATGTTCCAGGCACAGGGAACAGCATATGCAGAAGACCAAAGATGGACTGGGCGCAGTGGCTCCTGCCTGTAATCCCAGCACTTAAGGGGGCCGAGGTGGGCAGATAACCTGAGGAGTTCAAGACCAGCCTGGCTAACATGGGGAAACCCCGTCTCTACCAAAAATACAAAAACTGCCGGGTGCGGGGTGGCTCATGCCTGTAATCCCAGCACTTTGAGAGGCCTGGGTGGGTGGATCACCTGAGGTCAGGAGTTTGAGACCAGCCTGGCCAAACATGGTGAAACCCCGTCTCTACTAAAAATACAACAAAATTAGCCGGGCTTTGTGGTGGGCGCCTGTAATCCCAGCTACTCTGGAGGCTGAGGCAGGAGAATCGCTTGAATCCGCCAGGCGGAGGTTGCAGTGAGCCAAGATCGTGCCAGTGCACTCCAGCCTGGGCAAAAAGAATGAGACTCTGTCTCAAAAATAAAATAAGATAAATAAAATAAAATTAAATAAAAAATAAAATAAAATAGAAAAATTAGCCAAGTGCAGTGGTCGGCGCCTGTAATCCTAGCACTTTGGGATGCCGAGGCGGTGGATCACTTGAGGTCAGGAGTTGGAGACCAGCCTGGCCAACGCGGTGAAACCCCATCTCTACTAAAAATACAAAAATTAGCCAGGCATGGTGGCACACACCTGTAGTCCCAGCTACTCAGGAGTCTGAGGCTCGAGAATCACTTGAACCTGGGAGGCGGAGGTGGTAGTGAGCCAAGATCGTGCCACTGCACTCCAGCCTGAACAGAGTGAGACTCTGTCTCAAAAAGAAAAAGGGGGTGCTGAGGCCGGGTGCGGTGGCTCACGCCTGTAATCCCAGCACTTTGGGAGGCCAAGGTGGGAGGATCATGAGGTCAGGAGATCGAGACCATCCTGGCTAACACGGTGAAACCCCATCTCTACTAAAAATACAAAAAATTAGCCGGGGGTGGTGGTGGGCGCCTGTAGTCCCTGCTCTTTGGGAGGCTGAGGCAGGAGAATGGTGTGAACCCAGGAGGCGGAGCTTGCAGTGAGCCGAGATGGCACCACTGCACTCCAGCCTGGGTGACAGAGCGAGACTCCGTCTCAAAACAAAAAAAAAAAGAGGGAAAAAAAAGAGGGGGCTGGGAACGGTGGCTCACGCCTGTAATCCCAGTACTTTGGGAGGCCGAGGTGGGTGGATTACCTGAGGTCAGGAGTTCGAGACCAGCCTGGCCAACATGGTGAAATCCCGTCTCTATTAAAAATACAACTATTAGCCAGGCGTGGTGGCACACGCCTGTAATCCCAGCTACTCGGGTGGCTGAGGTAGGAGAATTGCTTGAGCTCGGGAGGCAGAGGTTGCAGTGAGCCGAGATCATGCCACTACTCCATCCAGCCTGGCCGACAGAGCAAGACTCTGTCTCAAAAAAAAAAAAAAAAAAAAAGAGAGGGAAAGGCTGAGTTCTTTCAGGTGGGGCATGGAAAGAGAAGGGTGGAGGTCAGCAGGGAAGGAGCCTCTCAGGACAAGGGAGAAGCTCCTGGCAGACTTCCATCCTTGACCTTGGCCTTGCCCCCAGGTCCTGGACCGGATCAAAGGCTCACTGCTGCCCCGGCCTGGCCACAACTTTGTGCGGCACCATCTGCGGAATCGGCCGGATCTGTATGGTGAGTGAGGTTGTGCATTTGGTTCCTTGATGGATCACTCAACAAGTGTGGCCTGAGTTGCAGATGCCAGTGTATAGCTGCGGACAAATCAGTCACTCAGACAGTGTGACTTACCTGCTGTTCAGGGAGACAGAGACATGAAGGACTGCAGAGGGTGGCGGGTAGAGAGCAGCAGAGCAGACAGGAGGAGTGGCCCTGCAGTTCTGCAGGGTGCAGCAGGGCAGGCCTCCCTGAGGAGGGTGAGGGAATGAGCCTTGTTGGCAACAGGAGGGGTGGGGGAGACCTAGGAAAAGAGGCTTCCAGAAACGACGTAAGCTTCATGGCAGGAACTTGCATGAACTGCAGGGCGGCATTACCACTGGAGCGAGTGAGCTGCAGGGAGGTCACAGGCGAGGGGACAGATCACACAAGCCTCCCATGCTGTGGCAAGAAGAGATCTTTTTTTTTTTTTTTTGAGACAGAGTCTCACTCTGTCACCCAGGCTGGAGTGCAGTGATGTGATCTCAGCTCACTGCAATCTTCCCCTCCCGCATTCAAGCGATTCTCCTGCTTCAGCCTCCTGAGTGGCTGGGATTACAGGCACGTGCCACCATGCCCGGCTGATTTTTATATTTTTATTAGGGACGGAGTTTCACCGTGTTAGCCAGGCTGGTCTCAAACTCCTGACCTCAGGTGATCCACCCGCCTCGGCCTCCTAAGTGCTGGAATTACAGGTGTGAGTCACTGTTATCTGGCCGAGAATGGATCTTTAAGTGTTTTCGGGGTCCCTCTCGCCATCATGAGTGGCGAGGGCGGAAGCCAGGAGGCTGGGGTGGAGGCGGCCACATGGTGGGGACTGTGGATGTGGAGAGTGGCACTGGATTCTGGAACGTGCTGGGGAAGTAGAAGAGACTGGCTTTGTGGCTAGATAGGTGGGGGTGGGGGGAGTGGGAGGTTAGGAGCGGAGGCAGGCTCTAGGGATTTCTGCCTGGACTAACGGGATGGATAGAGTTGCCACGTATCCACGGGACCAGCTTGGCAGTGAGGGCAGAGGGCAAGGGTGTGGATGAAGCCGGAGATGCCCACCCGGGAGCTTGAACTGGAGCCTGCAGTGCTCAGGGCAGAGCCCTGGGCTCTAGAGGAGGCATAAGGCCCTGGGCTTGAAGGAGGTCATACTATGGGTGAACGCAGACATGGAAGGGGCCAAGAACTGGGCCTGGCTGCTCCCCATGGCTGAAGGGGTCAGAGAGTCAAAGAGGAGGTGACAGGGGTTGAGGAATTGGCACCAATGAGGTGAGACACAGGCCAAGGGTGTGCAGTCCTGAGTGTTTCGGGGAGGGGGATGAACTGACAGCCAGCACTGGGCTCAGCCACCAGGAGGCCCCCGGTGTCCTGGTGAGTCAGGCAAGGTGCTTAGGAAGAGGCTGGGGTCTCAGCACAGCTCAGTCAGGATACATGTCTGCTTGTCCTGGGAGTGCAGGGCCCGGGACCCTGACTGTGCCCCCTACCCCCAGGCCCCTTCTGGATCTGTGCCACGTTGGCCTTTGTCCTGGCCGTCACTGGCAACCTGACGCTGGTGCTGGCCCAGAGGAGGGACCCCTCCATCCACTACAGCCCCCAGTTCCACAAGGGTAAGCAGACGGGCAGGCCCAATGCCTGGCAGGGCCCTGGGGTACAGGGGGTGACTGCTCACCTTGCCCCCCCCAGTGACCGTGGCAGGCATCAGCATCTACTGCTATGCGTGGCTGGTGCCCCTGGCCCTGTGGGGCTTCCTGCGGTGGCGCAAGGGTGTCCAGGAGCGCATGGGGCCCTACACCTTCCTGGAGACTGTGTGCATCTACGGCTACTCCCTCTTTGTCTTCATCCCCATGGTGGTGAGTGTGGCCTGGCGCGGAGTGGGTGGTGGCTGTGTGGGGACACTGGCATGGTCACCTGCCGCCTCATTCCCATGGTGGTGAGGGTGGCCTGGTGCAGAGTGGGTGGTGGCTGGGGGGACTGGCATGGTCACCTGCCGCCGTGTTGCTCCCAGGTCCTGTGGCTCATCCCTGTGCCTTGGCTGCAGTGGCTCTTTGGGGCGCTGGCCCTGGGCCTGTCAGCCGCCGGGCTGGTATTCACCCTCTGGCCCGTGGTCCGTGAGGACACCAGGCTGGTGGCCACAGTGCTGCTGTCCGTGGTCGTGCTGCTCCACGCCCTCCTGGCCATGGGCTGTAAGGTACGGGTCTGGGGTGGCCACAGGTGGGGCCGAGGGGCTAGGGGGGCATGGGCTGGCCCTGCCTCTGACCCCAGGGGTCTTGTGCAGTTGTACTTCTTCCAGTCGCTGCCTCCGGAGAACGTGGCTCCTCCACCCCAAATCACATCTCTGCCCTCAAACATCGCGCTGTCCCCTACCTTGCCGCAGTCCCTGGCCCCCTCCTAGGAAGGCCCGGGTCCCACAGGTAAGGACTATTCCCAGCTGGGCTAAGGGGGCTGCCCTCCCACTCCCAGTCAAGGCGAGAGGTTCTGGGGCCACTCCCAGACAATTCTTTCTTTCAGGCAACACCTAAGTGGACCAACCCCTCTGCCTGTCCTGCCCCCCAGACGATGACTGAAGGCTCCTTTGACACCTTGAGATGATTCTGCTACTTTCCAGACTTTTCTTACAAAGCAAACACTTTTATTTTCTATGCAAAGGTGATTCAGAGAATTTATATAAAGGCGGGCGAGGGGCAGCCGAGCAGGGAGCTTTGGGACAGGGCTGGGGCCCCCATATCCCCCCCGGGCCACCTGCTTTCCCTCCTATGGCTCCCCTGGAACAGGAGGGAGAGCCAAGGGGGCGGCCCAGCCTGGACAGCGCCCGCTCCTGCCTGGGTGCACACACGGCGGGCCTGAGCTCCAGCATCTGAGTTTGGGGGTATGAGAAACAGGGGAGCAGAAGGAGAAGAAAACTGCCTGTGCTGCAACACGTTTCCTCATTTATTTTTTCTTTCTTTTTCTTTTTTTCTTTTTTTGGAGGGAGAGGTCCCTGCAAGGTCCCTTCCCGGGCAGGGGAGGGATGGAAATGCCGTCACAGTAGTAGGGACTGGAGCGTCTACAAGGATGGAGGGGAGCTACTCAGGCCTAACGTTAGCTACAAGGAAAAAGGACGCCTTCCGTGACAGATCCTTGAGGTGTCTGTGTCTGCCCCAAGTGGCCGGCAGTGGCCTTCCCTCCGGGCCCAAGGCCTGCAGCCACCTGCTCTAACTCTTGAGTGGGGGGGCGGGGGGGGACCTGCAGGGGCTCGGGGACAGGACAGCAGCAAGAGGCAGGGGCCGAGGACGGAGGCCTTCCCGACAGTGGGGTGGGTTGTACATTCAAGTGTGAGGTGAACCCTTTGGTGGGGAGGGGGCCCCTGAAGCCTCGGCGGGGCCACCCCTCCCCGCGGCGCCTCTGAGTCTAGGGAGAGGGGCTGCTGGCTCGGCCCGGCCGGCCTGGCTTCACAGAGGGTCTGCGGATTGACACTGGTTCTTTTCATAAAAAAATAAAATTAAAAAAAGCAGCATGTCACGTCCGTTGTGACCGAGGCCTGGTCGTCGAAGGGGAGGCCCCGCCTGGCCAGGCTACCTTCCCACTGGAGACAGGCAGGGGGACAGGTGCTAAGGGACCTGGCAGGCAGGGCTGGCAGGCCCCATGGCGCCTGTTCCAGCAGATGACAAGCCCAGGTCAGGGTAGAGCGGGCAGGAGGGGGGACGAGGGCTCCCACAACATGATTTTGTGTAAAATATGGCAGCGACACACGCTCAGGGCCGGGAGGTGGGGGTTAGGGTGGGGACGGCGGCAACATCGTGTAAAAAAGTGTCCCAGTTCCCATAGCAAAGAGAGCTGTGACCGGGTGTTCGAGCTTCTCCAGTACAAGGGGGAAAGCCGCCCGGCGGGGGCGGCGGGCAGGGACATCATTTGGTTTCCTGGTGCTGTCAGTCCGCGGGGCGGGCCCCTAGCTCCCGTAGTGCATGGTGTTGGTCGGGATGGACATGGGCGACGCCATGGAGATGGCGGGGCCGCCCATGGTGAACTGGCTGTTGACTGCATAGTGGGCACTCGTGCTGCCACCACCACTGCCCTGGGCGCCGGAGGACCCTGTGGAGCAGGCAATGGCAGTGAGGGGCTGCCCTGGCCCGCCCAGCCCCCAGGCAGAGTCACAGAGAGAGAGAAAGGGCAGGCAAGAGGGCAGGCGGGCGGCCGGACAGAGGATGGCGACTCACACGCTAGCTCGGCCCCCACGGGCCCTGCCCCCGCCACCCTCGTTACCTTGGACAATCCCCGTGCTCATTATGGAGCCCATCCGGGAGTGGGTGTGATTGACAATCCCCGTGTTGGCTGCGCAGCGAGAGGGAGGAAAGAAGGAAGGGAGACGGCGTCACCGCCCCCAGCCACCCAGCCCATGCACAGCAGCAGGCTGCAGAGCGAGGCAGAGAGGACGGAGAGCCTCGGCCGAGAGCCCCCAGGAAGAGGAAAAGGTGAAAGGACCAAGCAGAGGCCGACCCTGGTCACCACAGGCCCTTCCCGGCCCCTGGGCAGTCCTGGGCATGGCTCCCTGCTGCCCCTGGCCCTGGGGGACACTCACCTAAAGGAATCAGGTTGTTGTGGCCCACGCTGGAGCCACTGGCAATAACACTGCTCAAGTCATAGGCGGTCGGCATCCCTGTGTCCAGAGAGGGAGACGTCAGGGCTGGAGGCAGAGGGGCCAGGCCTGCGGCGAGGGCGGCCTCCCGGGTTGGCTGGGCATTGGGGTGGGCCCTGCTCACCTGCCACGGCCATCCCGCTGCTGAGGTTGTAGGTGCTGCCCGTGTTCCACATGTTTTCCGAGGGAGATGTGTAGTGGGAGCCGGGTGGGGGTGAGGGCGTTGTGCCCGTGTATCTATGGCAGAGACAGAGCCATGGGCAGGGGCAAGGGGGTTGCAGGGCCGGGGCGCCCCCCTGTGCAGGCAAGGGGCCCCTCCTACCTAAAGAAGGGGTTTTTCAGATCCAGGAGGTTACTGGACTTGGAGCCGGTCTGGTCCACCTGGGCCACAATACTGATGTCGTAGCTCTGTCTGCGGACAGGGTGCAGGCCGTGGCATGAGCTGCTGGGCAGATGGACCCCTGCCCACCACCACCAGCCCCAGGGAGCAGTCGCACCTTTTGTTGGCAATAAGCAGACATGTCCCTGAGAGCGTGTCCCCTGCCTTGGCGAACAGTGGTGACTGGAACAGGCACCGCACCTGGTACCAGTGGGTCAGGGGCTCTGTCGGGGCTGTGGACAGCCACACGGTCATTCTGTGGAGCAGGGACAGGCACATACTTGACTGGGCCGGCGCCACCACTGGAGCCACCACCTTGTATGCCTTGAGTCCTCCCCAAGCACCTGCCCCCTCTGCCAGGGACCCCTGGGACCCTGGAGCAGAGACAGGCTGGCCCCCAGGCAGTCCCAGACACAAACATGAGCAGGCATACATGTACACACGAGGGGCCCGCAACCACGAGATCCCTACTCACCCTGACATGTGCCAAGAGACAGACACAGACCCATGAGGGACAGACACTGGGAACACAGGACACACACACACATACACACACACACACACACACCCCACCCACAACAGTCTCTTGCTCCGAGACAGGCTCTCACTCCCATTGGAAGGGATGGTGGAACCTGGAGCCATGTTCCACCCCCCCAGCCAGGTTGCAGCTGCAGGAAGCCCTGGGAGTGGGGAGGAGGCAGCATGGGCTGCTCTGCGGCACTCACATGGAGCCGATGAAAGCAACGTCAAACCAGAAAGCCAGGCCGTGGACCAGCCCTGAATGCAGCATGTGGAATTTGAATGGGATTTCTATCCTGGAAGGCAAAGGGCAGTGGCTGCTGGGGAAGCCAGACAGGCGCTGCCGAGAGAGAAGAGGGGGTGCCAGGTGCAGAGGCCTGGGGCCCCCGCCCACCATCTGCCCTGGGACGGCAGGATGCCGGCGGGAGCCAGGGGTGGCCCTGACCTTCGGCCTGAGCCAGGCCTGGGAGGATGGAGTGTGGGTGCCAGTACCTGTGCAAATCTCCTTCTTTGGCTTCTAAGAAGTTCACCGTGTACTTGACAGACTTGGCCATCAGGATCCGGATGTCAAATGTGTCCTGGGAGAGACCACAGGTGTGACGTGGCATCTGACGCCAGGGCCAGCATGGGAGGGGAGAGCCCTGCCCCTTCCCCCAGGTCTGCCCACGGCTTCTAGGCTGTGCAGCTAAAACGAGCTTGCTCTTCCCAGACACGCCGTGAGGAGGGGACCGGCACAACGCCACCGAGGGCAATCAGGTGACAGCTCTCCAAATGACAAGTGTTTATCCACATAAAAGATTTGGCACTACAGGAGTTTAACCTCCAGATACATGAACACATCAACAAACTTACATGTATAATTAGATTGTCCGTGGTAGCGACACACTGGAAACCATCTAATTAAACCAGTGATGGCTCTCCCATCAAAGACCATGCGGACGTGAGAAAGAATGAAGAGGCTCTTTATGAACAGATGAGGAAAGATCTCCAAGCTAAATCATTAAGCAAGTTAACCAAAAAAGCAAGTTAAAGAACTAGGTGCTAGCTGGGTGTGGAATTGTATGCCTGTAACTCCAGCTACTCAGGAGGCTGAGGCAGGAGGATCGCTTAAGCCCGAGAGTGTGAATCAAGCCTGGGAAACACAGGGAGACCCTGTCTCTTAAAAACAACAACAACACTAGTGCTGCTGTCCACTCCCAGCAATGTTTATATCCGACTAACACACCTGCCATGAACTATGTAAACCGAATAAAATCCAAAGAAAAGAATAAACCAGTTGTTGGAAGCACTGGTGACCAACCAGAGCGGCCAGGATTTTGGGGATCAAGCTCCTGGAAAGGAGGGAAATGCCCTTTCTGGAGGGAGCCCTTTCTGGCCTCTACCTTTTCCCCATGGGGAGGGCAGAAAACGGCCACCTCGACCTTTCAGCAGCTTCCTTGGGTGGGGAAAGCAAAATGGGAGCTCAGGGTTACCAAGGCAGCTCGGATTCAAGGGGCTGTGATGTCAAAGCAAAGGGAAATAAGTGCAGGAGGGCAAGGTGGGCGGTGCACACTCAGTGCGCTTGTGAAATTGGCCAACTCCTGAGCTTTGAGCGAGGCAGGGCATCAGAGGCTAAGACACCAAGCAGAAAGCCGCTAATAAGAGGCTCAACGCCAGGTGCAGTGGCTTATGCCTATAATCCCAGCACTTTGGGAGGCCGAGGCGGACGGATCACCTGAGGTCAGGAGTTCAAGACCAGCCTGAGTAACACAGTGAGGCCCCATATCTACAAAAAAATAAATTAGCCGGGCATGGTGGCACACTCCTATAGTTCCAGCTACTTGGGAAGCTGAGGCAGGAGGATCACTTGCGTCTGGGAGATCGAGGCTGAAGTAAGCCATGAAGTGATTGAGCCACTGTACTCCAGCCTGGGGAACAGAGTGAGATCCTGTTTCAAAAAACAATAAAAGCTAACGGGTGGTTCAGCAGCATATTGGTAATGAGGCTAACCACTGGACTTGCATTAACATTACCAAAGGCTGTACCATAAAGCAGCACCTTCTCAAACTGTGGCCTCTTCCAAGGCACCCTCATCATAATACAAAATTTGCATAATACCACCAAAATATTTCCTGCTTTTTTCACTCATTCACTCCCCAGTGATATCACAAAAGACTGAACACGCTGGGCATGGTGGCTCACGCCTGTAATCCCAGCACTTTGGGAGGCCGAGGCAGGCGGATCACCTAAGGTCAGGAGTTTCAGACCAGCCTGGCCAACATGGCGAAACCCCATCTCTACTAAAATTACAAAAAACTAGCTGGGAGTGGTGGCAAGCGCCTGTACTCCCAGCTACTCAGGAGTCTGAGAATCGCTTGAGCCCGGAAAGTGGAGGTTGCAGTGAGCTGACATCATGCCACAGCACTCCAGCCTGGGCAACAGAGCAAGACTCCGTCTCAAAAAAAAAAAAAAAAAGAAAAAGAAAATGAGAGAAAAAAATGGATGGAAAAGACAGAAAAGAGTATAACAATCATCTGAGATATGGTGAAAAGGTTCACTGTACACGTAATTGGAATCCCAGAAGGAGAAAGAATGGGGCAGACGTAGTGTTTAAAGAGATAGTATCCAAGATAGTCCAAGAGTCTCCCAAAACGAATGAAAAACATCAAGAGCAGGGGGAAAACAGAATAAAATGGAACCTTTTTTTCTTTTTTTTTGAGACGGAGTCTCACTCTGTCGCCCAGGCTGGAGTGCAGTGGTGCGATCTCGGCTCACTGCAAGCTCTGCCTCCCGGGTTCACGCCATTCTCCTGCCTCAGCCTCCTGAGTAGCTGGGACTACAGGCGCCCGCCACCACGTCTGGCTAATTTTTTGTATTTTTAGTAGAGATGGGGTTTCACCGTGTTGGTCTCAATCTCCTAACCTCGTGATCTGCCCGCCTTGGCCTCCCAAAGTGCTGGGATTACAGGTGTGACCCACTGCACCTAGCTTTTTTTTCCTTTTGATTTTTAAATCATGGATCTATGTATCAAAAATCTCAAGTAAAATCAATCAATAAATCACATCAGCTCACCAAGGATAAATTCATCTAGTAATGGTTCTTTTTTATTTTTATTATTTATTTATTTTAATTTTAAAAATAGCGATGGCGTCTCTGTGTTGCCCAGGCTGATCTTGAACTCCTGAGCCTAAATGCCCCCTCTGCCTTAGCCTCACCTAATAATGTTCCACATGTATTGCATGTGTGCTGTGTGCTAAGTGTCTACATGCATTGACACTTTTGGCCCAAATCTCTGTGAGAGCGCTGTGCAGGGCAGAGGAGAGGGCTCAGAGAGGGGCTGTAGCTTCCTGAGGGCTGCACAGCTGCACAGCAATGGCAAGTGATCACTGCAGCAGTACCCTGGAGGCCCTACTCACCACCACAGGCTGCCGGAAATACTCATCCACCGCGGCACCTCGGAGGGCCGACAGGTCCACTCCATGGAAAGATGGCTGGTACCTGTGGACAGGCCCCACCCCCACAGCAAGGTCAGGGCTGCAGAAGAGGCAGGTGGGGTAGCCCTGCCTTCTCTCCCAGTCAGCCCTCATCTAGCCCAAGTCTTTCAGAAAAAGAGGAGTGCAGGCTCTCTGGGGAGCTGGGGCTGTCCCTGAGAAGGCAGGCTGTGGGGCCCAGGCGGGACACCCAGGGCACACTCACCAGAAGTTGGCCTTGGTGAACTGCTCCATGTAGAGCTGTTCATCCGTGAAGGGTGCAAGGTGGACGTCACCAATGGTAGGAAACATGTTTCCTGGGAGTGGGGCAGGGAGGGGTGCTGGCGTCAGGTGACACATCCCACACTGCCTGGCAGAGCTTCCAAAGGACCCCAAGACCCCCAACCCTGGGTGCTCCCAGCCTGTCATCCATTCGTTCCTGCACTCCTGTGACAGTGGCACCGAGCGCCTATTCTGATCAGTGTTTCATCACCACCACGGGTACCTGACCTGCACCAGCTCACGAATTCCACCTGAGACTGGGAGGCTGGTGGCTCATCTTTATGTCCTATTACTAGACCTGGCAGGTGTGAGGGACCTGCCAAAGACTCACGGGGAAGCAGGCAGTGCCCGGGATGTGGCCAGGCGCTGCCTCTCAGGCCCTGCCGTCTGTGCATGTGTGCAGCCGGGAAAGCATAGCAAAGTTGCTCTGGACAGAGGGAGGGTGGTGGGCCCCGGGCTACCCCAACGCCGCTGGGGACCTCAGTTGAGGCCAAGAGCCAGGTGGGGGAAGCCAAATCCACACCACAGGGACTGCCTAGGTTCTGGCACAGGCACCCAGCCGGCAGGATGGGCCACTTGGCCTGCCTGGTCTGGGCACACAGACTGAGGGAAGGGCAGGGCCTCCCTCTGTGACTCAAGGGTAGACGCATGAGTCAGGGCCAGTGGCAGGGAGGATCAGGGCCCCGCAGCCCCGCCTGCCCCAAGGAGCACCTGGCCTCCAGATGTGGGCCCCCCAGCCTTGCAAGCTGGGGGAGGAGATCCTGAGGTATCAGTGGGACTCTGCCTCCTCCTTACGCCACCAGGCTGTACCCGAGGCGAGAGCTGCAGGGCTGCAGCTGCTGGAACGGGGAGGGAGATGCACATGCTGCGGCTTCTGCCCTGGGGGACCTGGGGGCACCATGGGAAGTGACCCAGCCTGGAAGGAACCTCTGGCTCCTGCTGACCAGAAGACATGTGACTGGGAGAGGGGAGGGCTGCCTTTAACCCCTGGAAGAGCTTCCTGAGCTGGACAGGAGTCCTCCTTGCACAGGCCTGGCCTCCCCCCTCCCTGCAAGCTGGCTGCTGGGACGTCGGGGGCACATGCAGCTGCCCACAGAGCCTGACTGCCATCTGGCTTCATGTCCCATCGGGAGGGGCCCTCTCTGCTGGGGCTGTCCCCACCCCCATCCCCACCATCAGGGCAGAAGGGGAGGAGAGTGGGGCCCACAGCCCCTGGAGCAGCCTTGCTTCCCATACTCACACCCAAGACATGAGACACAGCTGTGGGACGCCACCTCCCACCTCCAGGAGCACAGCCAGCCAGGACCCTAGGGCCTGGATCCAGGGCGGGCCAGAGATGAGAGTGGAAGCTTCCCCCCTGCCCCTGCCTGCACAAGCCCCACCAGCCTGCTGCTGCCCACGCTCCATCCCATGGCTGCTACCCTGGCTGGGGACCTGTACCCTGCCACACGCACACACAGCTGCTTGCCTGTACAGAAATGCTCAGACGCTCACATACCTAGCATGAGAAGAGCCACAGGCACATGCCTCAGGCGTCAGGGCTGCACAGACCCCAAGACAGATGGGCAAATAGAAACAGTCACCCAGGCCAGGCACAGTGGCTCATGCCTATAATCCCAACACTTTGGGAGGCTGAGGCGGGTAGATCACCTGAGGTCAGGAGTTCGTGACCAGCCTGACCAACACGGTGAAACCCCATCTCTACTAAAAATACAAAACTTAGCTGGGCGTGGTGGTGCACACCTGTAATCCCAGCTACTCAGGAGGCTGAAGCACAAAAATTGCTTGAACTGGGGAGGTGCAGGTTGCAGTGAGCCGAGATCGCACCACTGCACTCCAGCCTTGGCAACAAGAGTGAAACTCTGTCTCAAAAAAAGAAACAGTCACCCAGTGACCAGAGGCCATACCCAGAGGCACGGATGGGAAGTGACAGATGGGCTTGCCAGACAGCTACCTCACCTCCTCACACACGTACACTCGCACCCACACCCCTGCATTTGCACACATGCTCGCCCACCCCACCTCCTGGACTGTGAGGAGAGCAGGGCTTGTTGGGGAACTGCTGACCACAGAACCTGTCCCAATCCCCACTCCCAGCCAGAGGCTGTCCCGCAGGAGCAGGACATGGGACGGCAGAGGTGCCAGGAGATCCTGTGTACCCTGTCTGGGCGAGTGGGCAGCTGGGTGTCTGGCCGTGTTTGGGGCCCAGGGCTCCAAAAGCCACAGCTGGCTGGAGTGGGGTTGGGGTGGGAGCGGGGGAAAAGCCCAGGCTTCCCTACACCCCGGGCCACCGACAGTAAGCAGGGAGCTGAAGCACTGATGGCCTGGCTCAGCGGCAGCCAGGGCCTCCACCGAGGGGCCTGGCCTGTGTACCCCCCAGTGCTCACCGCTGGGCTTCAGGTACTTCTTGGCGTGGAGGTAGCTCTCCAGCATGCGCTCGTTGAAGAGCATGTAGCCCATGGGCTCCGAGATGATGATGTCCACCTGCTCGGGGAGTGACACCTCCTCCACCTTGCCCGGGATGACCACGATGCGGTCCGTCAGGTTGTTACTCTTCACCAAGACCTGCAGGCGGGCAGGGCCATGTGGGCTTCCCTGCGTCTTCCTGCCATGGGGCCCTCCCTAGACCTGCTCTCAAGGGACAGCCTCCATCCACACATGGGCATTGGGTGCCCCTCTGCCTGCTTCGCTGGCGCCCCAACCATGGCTGCGATTGGCCATAGCCTGTTAAGAGCTCACTGTGGGCCGGGCACGGTGCCTCATGCCTGTAATCCCAGCACTTTGGGAGGCCGAGGCAGGCGGACTGCTTGACCTCATAAGTTGGGAGACTAGCCTGACCAACATGGAGAAACCCTGTCTCTACTAAAAATACCAAAAAAAAAAAACTATTTTTTTTTTCTTTGAGACAGATTCTCACTCTGTTGCCCAGGCTGGAGGTGGTAGTGGCGCCATCTCGGCTCACTGCAACCTCTGCCTCCCGGGTTCTAGCGATTCTCCCACCTCAGCCTCCCGAGTAGCTGGGACTACAGGCACCCACCACCACGCCTGGCTAATGGGGTTTTGCCACGTTGGTCAGGCTGGTCTCGAACTCTTGACCTCAGGTGATCCGCCCACCTAAGCCTCCCAAAGTGCTGGGATTACAGGTGTGAGCCACCATGCCTGGCCTAAAAATACAAAAATTAGCCAGTTGCAGTGGTGGATCCCAGCTATTCAGGAGCCTGAGACAGGAGAATCACTTGAACCCGGGAGGTGGAGGTTGCAATGAGCCAGGATCGCACCACTGCACTCAAGCCTGAGCAACAGAGTGAGACCCCCCCCAAAAAAAAAGAGAGTTCACTGTGACCCCGGCCCTGCCTCAGGGCCGTCCCCTGCTGCGGCCTCCTAGGTCCCCCACCCTGCGTCGACAACTGCTGGTGGCTGCAAAGAGGGGGACGAGCAGACATCACAACAGCCACCAAAGCTAAAGCTGGATGCACCCCCAACCCAGCGATTCCAGGGCTAGGGTGTGTCCTACAGACACAACCGCATGTGGGAGAGGGGCTCAGGACAGCAGCGTTGGCCACGTGAAGACCTGGAAGGAGTCTGAGTGTCGCTGCGGACACAATGCAGCTAAAGCAACAGCGGCACGGCTGGGCACAGGGGTGCTCTGCGGCGGCAAGACAGAACAAAGATGGCCCCTCCACGACCCCGGCGACCCCAGATCCATGGGAGAGGCAGAGCAGGGAATGGAGGGTGCAGCCTCCACTGGTGCGAGAGGACGCTCACGGAATAGCTCTGCTCAGACTTTGTGGCCGTAGCTCCTCTCTCATGATGGGGCTGGGGGTGGGAGCTGGGGTGGGGAAGGAGAGCACGCTGTCTGCTCTTTTTTAGCTTTTATGTTTTGAACTTTGTGAATGAAGGTTTCAGTGCAAAAAAAAAAAAAAGAAAACAGGGAAATGACATGTGGCCCTGACTACCGGCCATGAGAGAAAATCATCTCAGGCCCTGAAGCCCCTCCCTGAAATGACTGTCTTGGGGACAATAAAGAGACCAAAGCACAGAAGTAATGTCCCCAGGCCCCTGGGGGTTCCCAAGCTTCTCTAGGCTGGGGCCGGCATGGCACTCATGGGCGAGGACGAGGCTGGGTGGGCACCAGCGGGCCACTGACCTCAGCGTGCTGGGCCATGGTGCTGGCCTCCACCGCGTAGATTTTCCGTGCTCCAGCTTGGGCGGCAAAAAACGACAGGATCCCAGAGCCACAGCCAACATCAAGAACGATCTGAGGGAGGAGTGGGAGGTGAGAGCGAGACATAGGAGGCGACGGTGATGGGGAGGTGACAGTGATCATAAGGGATGTGCACATCATGAGGCGTCTGTCTTCACTCTCAATGTTTGCCCTTTATGGGCTCTTGGTCAAAATGAAGCGAGAACTCAAGATGAGCCATGGGCCAGTCCTCCGGGAGGAGAAGCCCTGGGGAAGCTCCCGCTCGGCCCCAACCCTGTGGCCTGCAGGCCTCCGGATCGTCTGGGGTGAGTGGCACGGGCCTCCCCTGGAAGCTCACTGGCAGTTGAAAAGCATTTTTCCGGGGCCTCCGCAGTTCTAGCATGGAGGAAAGGGGCCCGAGTTGTTGGTGGCAGTGTCTCCCAGCTCCATGCTGACTCATGCCTGGAGAAGCAGCCCGTCTTGGCTGGGGCAGGTGAGCCGCCCAAGCCCTGGGGCCGGCTGGGCTCCCCGCAGGGCTACTGGCCCGTGGTGGTCACTCATGGCAGAGTCCAGGCCAGGGTCTGGGAGAACACACCACCTGTTCTGGATTTGTGGGATTGCTTCCACACGAGCAGACCAAGGACAGACATTCCTGGTGGTGACAGGCATGAGCTTTTGAAGGACAAATGCTCTGGGCATGGTGAGTGCCTGCAGGGGAAGCTGGGGTCAGGTGGGAAGGCCTCAGGGTACTGATCAGAGCTCCAGATGAACCAGGAAATGGATCTCCATCCTTGGGGAGCAGGAAGGGACTTCACCAACGGAGGACGTCCTTCCCAGACCTCAGTGGCCAGGAGGAGGCTCGGGATGGCCCTGCCAGGGCAGACACTCTTGTGTCAAGACAACTCCTCCCCAGGGCCCAAGGCCTACCATCCTCTGGGACGGTAAGCGATGCTAGGGGGGCGTGACCCAGGCGCTGGATGAGGCAGATCCATGCAGATCCACGTGGAGAGATCCCCAAAATACTTGGAGGAAAAAAACAGGCTCCCATTTGATTCAAAAGAGAAAACAGGCCAGGTGCGGCGGCTCACACCTGTAATCTCAGCACTTTGGGAGGCTGAGGCGGATGAACTGCTTGAGGCCAGAAGTTTGAGACCAGCCTGGGCAACATGGCAGAACCCCATCTCTACTAAAAATACAAAAATTAGCCGGGCATGGTGGCACATGACTGTAATCCCAGCTACTTGGCCGGCTGAGGCACAAAAATCGCTTGAACCCAGGAGGCAGAGGCTGCAGTGAGCTGAGATTGTGCCACTGCATTCCAGCCTGGGTGACAGAGTGAGAATCTGTCTCAAAAAACCCCCCAAAAACAGAAAGAGAAAACAAAAATTCTGAGTAAGCCGGGTGCAGTGGCTCATGCCTGTAATCCAAGCACTTTGGGAGGCTGAGGTGGGTGGATCATGAGGTCAAGAGATCTAGACCATCCTGGCCAACATGGTGAAACCCTGTCTCTACCAAAAATACAAAAATCTGCTGGGCTTGGTGGTGTGCGCCTGTAGTCCCAGCTACTCAGGAGGCTGAGGCAGGAGAATTGCTTGAACCCGGGAGGCGGAGGTTGCAGTGAGCCGAGATTGTGTCACTGCACTCCAGCCTGGTAACAAAGCAAGACTCCATCTCATAAAAAAAAAAGTAAAAATAAAAAAATAAAAAAGGTAGACACCAAAAACTCTGGCAAATGGGATGAGAAGGGAATACATTATACATTTCTACTTTTTTTTTTTAAGACGGAGTCTTGCTCTCTTGCCCAGGCTGGAGTGCAGTGGCACAATCTCGGCTCACTGCAACCTCCGCCTCCCAGGTTCAAGTGATTCTCCTGCCTCAGCCTCCTGAGTAGCTGGGACTACAGGTGCCTGCCACCACGCCCAGCTAATTTTTGTATTTTATTTTAGTAGAAATGGGCTTTTGCCATGTTGGCCAGGGTGGTCTCGAACTGCTAACCTCAAGTGATCCACCTGCCTCAGCCTCCCAAAGTGCTGGGATTACAGGTGTGAGCCACTGTGCCTGGCCGATTTCTACTTTTGAATACAGACGTTCTGCTCTGTTCTCTCTCTCTTTAATCATGAGTGCACATTATTTGGTGATATCAAAAAGCTTATTTATTTTGTTTTTGAGGCAGGGTCTCGCACTTTGGCTCAGCCTGGAGAGCAGTACCCCAATCACAGCTCACCGCAGTTTCAACTTCCTGGGCTCAAATGATCCCCCTGCCTTGGCCTCCCAAAGTGCTGGGATTACAGACAGGTGTGAGCTACTCTGCCCAGCTCAATAAAATAATTGTAAAATATACGCTGATGTCTGTATGGGGAAAAATCTTGAAGAAGAGACCTCATACTGAGGGGTAGCGGCTATCTTGGAGGGAACTGATAGAGGCCTCTCAAGCCTATAATGTACATGCTGTGTTGAGTTTATATATCAAATGCATTTGTTTTTCTTGCTTTTTGTTTTTTTTGTTTGTTTGTTTGTTTTTTGAGATGGAGTCTCACTCTGTTGCCCAGGCTGCAGTGCAGTGGCGCGATCTCAGCTCACTGCAAGCTCTGCCTCCTGCGTTCATGCCATTCACCTGCCTCAGCCTCCTGAGTAGCTGGGACTACAGGCGCCCACCACCACGCCCAACTAATTTTTTTGTATTTTTTAGTAGAGACGGGGTTTCATCGTGTTAGCCAGGATGGTCTCGATCTCCTGACCTTGTGACCCGCCCGCCTGGGCGTCCCAAAGTGCTGGGATTACAGGCGTGAGCCACCGCGCCTGGCCTTGTTTATTTGTTTTTTTTTAAGAGACAAGAGTCTCGCTCTGTCGCCCAGGCTGGAGTGCAGTGGCAGAATCATAGCTTACTGCAGCCTCAAACTCATGGACTGAAGCGATCCTCCTGCCTCAGCCTCTGCAGTAACTGAGATAAATGCATTTCTAATCTGAGAAAATTAAAGATAAAATCAATGAGCAAAGAAAAAAAAAACCGAGACAGAAGCAGAGAGGTGGGCACATGCGCGGGCCACTCACCTTGTCCTTGAAGTCGGTGTGGTTTTGCAGGATGGCGCGCTGGTAGGTGCCTGTCCGCACGTAGTCCTGCATCATGTTCTGCTGCTGGGACAGGTAGCCATAAAACTGGAACAGAGACATACCGATGGCACGGGGCACATGGTGGCACGAGGCAGCCAAGGCCCTGGCCAGCCCTGTGATAGAGCAAGGGGCCATCTAGGGCACAAACCTCCCTCGGGAGGTCGTGCACCCTCTGCCTGGGCCCCACTAGCAGCTCCAGGAGAGGGAGCAGGAAGCCGGAGGGCAGCCCCCAGGAGGACACCGCCACTATCACTGCAGCCGATGGCAACAGCTGATGCCGCCTGGACCTGGAAGCCGCCCAGGAGAACTCAAGATTTGCCACAGGCAGGGTTCTGGCATCGGGGGCCACCTGCCTCATCTTGAGGGCCCCAAAGAAGAAGAGAAGCAGATCGAACAGAGCCCTAGAACTCAGAGCGCCAGGCAGGTGAGGTGTGGTGTCTCTCTGTAAGACAACGGGCGATCGGGAGGCAGCGTGGCACCTGGGCAGGGGCACAGACTTTGGCATCAGGCAGACCTGGCTTCCCATCTTGGCTCTGTTGCATATAGCTGTGTGACTTGGAGCAAGTCACTTAACCTCTCTGAGCCTCAGTTTTCTCATCTGTAAAATGGGGACAATAATAGCACTTACCTCCTAGCGTTGTTGGGAGGGTCCAAGTGCTTCTGTGCATGTGACAGCGCTTAGACCAGGGCCTGGCATGCAGGGAGCGCTCAGGGCATTGTAACTGCTCTACCGTTATTCACAACGCCTGTGGCCCTGAGCTCCACCTGTGCTCAGATCCTTCCAGCAACCCTCTCAGGCAGGCACCTGCATCTCCGCTTCACAGATGAGGAAACTGAGGCCCAGCCAGCAGAGGAAACCTGCCCAAGGCTACATGGCCAGTAAGGGACAGAGCCAGGACGGGAACTTGGGTGGGCCTTCCCTGTGCTGTGTGGCCTCCTGCGGGTGAGTGGCAGGGGGGCTGCCGGGGGGAGGCGGCCTGGCTGAGGGGGAGTACAACCCACCTGGAAGTACTGCACGGCAGAAGACTCCTCCGTCCGCTCGCTGAACACAGACCGCTCCAGGGTGTGGCCCCGGCAGGTTTTCAGGATGTTGTAGAAGGAACAGAAATCTGGAACAGGGAAGCCAAGTCACCGGGGGGCGGTCAGCAACCCAGCATGTGGCCATCTGGGAGGGAAGGTTCTGGATGGCCGTATGTCCTGACGTTTCTCCCTTGAACATACAGGGCTGGTGATTTCTCTTCCCCGAAAAACAATTTTCAAAGTTCAAAGAAAAGATGAAGGGCAGCCATGCCTGCACTGTGGTGACTGACATGAGAAGAGGGCAGGTAGCCTGCATGTGGGGCTGCTGTCTGGTGGGAGTGGGCCTGGGGATTCCTCACCAAAGGGCAGCTTGGTGAAGCTCTCTCAAGCACACGCCCACCGGCCCAGGAGTCAAAGCTCTGGCAAATAAGCCCAAGTCCACCCAGAAGCTCAGGGCAGCATCTGTGTGGGGGCAGCAGACACTGCAATGTCCAGTAAGAGGGGACTGGACAAATGCCAGGGGCACAGAAAAGCACAGTAGAGGCCAGGTGCAGTGGCTCATGCCTGTAATCCCAGCACTTTGGGAGGCTGAGGTGGGAGGCTGAGGTGGGCAGATCAGCTGTCAGGAGTTCCAGACCAGCCTGAGCAACATAACAAGACCCTGCCTCGTTAAAAAACAAAAACAAAAACATGAAATAAAAAATTAAGAAAAGCATGGCAGAGAATCACCAATCACCACCCTTCCCAGAGATGCAATGGTATGTGGCCCTTTAAAGCAGGCTCTATCTATTTGGCTGGGGACAGTGGTTCTCAACTGTAATCCCAGCACATTGGGAGGCTGAGGCGGGTGGACTGCTTGAGCCCAGTTTAAGAGGCCAGCCTGGGCAACATAGCAAGACCCTGTCTCTACAAGAAATAATAAGCCGGGCACGGTGGCTTATGCCTGTAATCCTAGCACTTTGGGAGGCTGAGGCGAGTGGATCACTTGAGGTCAGGAGTTCGAGACCAGCCTGGCCAACATGGTGAAACCCTGTCTCTATTAAAAATACAGAAATTAGCCAGGGGTGGTGGCGGGCACCTGTAATCCCAGCTACTCAGGAGGCTGAGGTGGGAGAATCACTTGAACCCGGGAGGTGGAGGTTGCAGTGAGCCAAGATTGTGTGACTGCACTCCAGCCTGGGCAACAGAGTGAGACTCTGTCTCAAAATAAAATAAAATAAAATAAAATAAAATAAAATAAAATAAAATAAAATAAAATAAAATAAAGCTATATTTATTAACATAGAATAATAGCCACTAAATTATATCAAGTAAAAAACAAAACAATATTTAAAAGACAATCTCTTTAAAAATTAAAAGACACGGTCAGGCATGGTTGCTCACGCATGTAATCCTAGCACTTTGGGAGGCGGAGGCAGGCGGATTACCTGAGGTCAGGAGTTCAAGACCAGCCTGGCCAACATGGTGAAACCCCCGTCTCTACTAAAAATACAAAAAATTATCTGGGTACAGTGGCACGTGCCTGTAATCCCGGCTACTCAGGGCGCTGAGGCAGGAGAATCGCTTGAACCTGGGAGATGGAGGTTGCGGTGAGCCGAGATCGCGCCACTGCACTCCAGCACTCCAGCCTGGGTGACAGAGCGAGACTCCGTCTCAAAAACAATGAAAAGACACAGTTCGGGATGAGCAAGTTCTGGAGATGGGCGGTAGTGACAGTTGCACAACAATGTTAATGTGCTGCTTGCTACCAACCTACACACTTCAAAAGGGTTAAAATGATCACATTTTGTTATGTAGATTTTAGCACAACTTTTAAAAACTGACAGAACTGAAATAAAAAATATTAAAATACAAATAGTCTTAAGAGTGGGAACGGCCGGGTGCAGTGGCTCATGCCTGTAATCCCAGCACGTTGGGAGGCTGAGGCGGGTGGATCACTTGAGGCCAGGAGTTTGAGACCAGCCTGGGCAATATGAAAAACTCCATGTCTACTATATTAAAAACACAAAAATTAGCCAGGCACGGTGGCACACACGTGTAGTCCCAGCTACGCGGGAGGCTGAGGCATAAGAATCGCCTTGAACCCGGGAGGTGGAGGTTGCAGTGAGCTAAGATAGCACCACTGAACTCCAGCCTGGGCAACAGAGTGACACTCTTTCTCAAAAAAAAAAAAAAAAAAAAAAAAGGGGCCGGGCACGGTGGCTCACATCTGTAATCCCAGCACTTTGGGAGGCTGAGGCAGGTGGCTCACTTGAGGCCAGGAGTTCAAGACCAGCCTGGGCAACACAGTGAAAACCCATCTCTACAAAAAATTAGCCAGGCATGGCAGCTTCACACAGCTGGCCCCGAGGGCTCAGGCTGCCCAAGGTACATCTGGGTCACTGCACAGCTACCTTGAGACAAGGGGGAGGCCGGCAGTGGCTCATGGGCACGCAGCCTCTCCACCTCCAGCTGTCCTCGCACCAGCACCTGTGTCAACCACTGGACTCACTTCAGGTCTCTGGTAACCAAGCCTGCGGTGGGACCTTCAGACCATCTCCAGCCCTGGGCATTCCTGGACACCTCTCTGCTACCCTGGCTGCATCCACCTGGGGTTCTCCCACCCCTAGTCAGGAATCTTGTGTCCACCTGTGCCCCCAAGGTGGGTTGGTTAAGCCCTTCTGGTGGCTTCTCTGCGCCCTGAGCAAACTCTTCCTGCCTCTAGGACCTCGCCTCACTCCATCCACAGCTGGCCCAGTCACAGCTGGCCCAGGGCTGGCCACTGCCAGAAAGACTGGTCCCAGGTGGTCAGGATGGGCCTCTTGGAGGTGGGGACATAGAAGCCAAGCCCCAAAAGACCCGGAGGAGCCGGTGAGGGAGGGTCTGGGATCCAGGGTCTGCCCAGGCCAGAGTGTATTCTGGGCATACCTGCATGTGGGAATGTGGTTTTGAGGGCAGTGGAGCCTTCTTAAGGATGCACGGGCCACCCCTCAGCCAGGCTCTACGCCCCTGCCCACCAGGGCTCTGGGCGCTTTGGGCTGGTGTCACCGGAATGGAAGGAGGGCCACGTACCGTTGGGTGTGGCGAACTGGATGAGGACGCTGTTGCAGCCCAGGGTGATGATGAAGGACTGCTTGCCCACACGGCTGCACTCTGTCTCTCGGGACACTGAGCACTTAAAGACACACACATCTTCATCTACGAGAGAAGACAGGCTGGCGTGAGCGGTGCAGCCCTGTCAGCTGCCTTCTTTTGAGCCTGGGTCCCTGTCGCCCTCCTGCTGCCTCCCCTTGGTGCCCCCAGATTCTTCCAGAGTGCCACAAAACCACCCTGGCAGCATTGCCGGGTGCCCTGACTGCCCAGCCCACATGGAAGACAAGGGAGCGACTGATCAGACAGCAGGAACACAGCCTGTGTCCTCAGGATGATCAGGGCTGAGACGGGCATGGTGAAGGCTGAGGTGGGCAGACAGGGCCACAAGGCATGGTGCTGGCCCACAGGAACTCAGAGCTGGAGCTGCCTCTGCCCTGCTCGGCTGAGCCCTTCTGTTCTTGGATGGGCGCAGAGCAGTGACTGCATGTGGCCAGTGGAGTCAGACCGCTGGGTTCACACCCCATCCATGCCATTTGTTCACTGTGACACAGGCATGTCCCTCAGCCTCTCTGGAACTGGGGTTCTCACCATCAGATGGGGCTAATGGCGGGGCAGTGGTCTAGTGAATTAGGACACTGTCTCCCTGTACCCATCATGATAGCTGTTACCAGTCATTCATTCCACAAACCTGCAGCCACTCCACTCCAGCCAAATGGTGAAACTTAGCGATGCCAGGAACGGGCCAGCCCAATCAGGCACTGTGCCCCTGCCTGCCATACTGCAGTGGGACAGGTGCATCATCTGTAGTATTCTTGGCAAAAATGTTTGCCCTAGTCTCATCTTCAAGGGACAACAGAAAAGGACAAGTTGTGGGGCAGGCTACAGGACAACCAGCCTGGTCTCCTTGAACAGGCCAATGTCAGGAAAGACCAAAACGGTGGGAGCTATTCCAGAGTGCAGGAGACAAGAAAGAGGGGAGTGCCCAATGCAATGCAAAGTGGGACCCTGGGCTGGAGCCAAACGAAAAATGTTTTTAAAAGTTATACAGGACAACTGGGGAGGCTGGGCCCACACCTCTAATCCCAGCACTTTGGGAGGCCAAGGCAGGAGGATCACTTGAACCCAGGAGCTGGAGATCAGCCTGGGCAGCATAGCAAGACCCCATCTCTACAAAAAAATTTAAAAATTAGGCAGGCATGGTGGCATGCGCCTGTTGTCTTAGGGACTCAGGAGGCTGAGGCTACAGTGAGTCATGACTGTGCCACTGCATTCCAGCCTGGGTGACAGAGCAAGACCTTGTCTCAAAAAAATAAATAAAGGACAACTGGGGAGCTGGACAGAGTGGCTCACACCTGTGGTCCTAGCTACTTGGGAGGCTGAGGTGGGAGGATCGCTTGAGCCCAGGAGGTTGAGGCTGTAGTGAGGTATGATGGTGCCACTGCACTCTAGTCTAGGCAACAGACGTGAGATCCTATTAAAAAAAAAAAAAAAGACAACTAGGGAAATGTGAGTGTGGACTACATATTCCATAATTTTAAGTTATTTGGATGTGACAATGGTATTGTGGTTTTGTAGAGAAATGCATATTTTCTTAGAAAACATATGCGGAAGTATTTATGGCAAATTCCCATGATGTCAGTAGCTTGCTTTTGAATAGCCCATCATAACAACAACAACATGAGTGCAAATATGGCAAAGTGTTCTCAATCACCCTGAATAGCCAAAACAGTCTTGAAAAAGAATGAAGTTGGAGGATTCCCATGTCTCAATTTCAAATTTTACTACGAAGGTACAGTAATGAAAACAGTGTAGTGGTACTGGCAAAAGAAAGGAGACACAGATCAATGGAACAGAATCAGAGTCCAGAAATAAACCCTTATACTTATCCTCAATTGATTTTTGATAAGGATGCCAAGAACATTCAATGGGGAAAGAATAGTGTCTTCAACAAACACTGTTGAGAAAACTGGATAACCACAGAGAAAAGAATGAAGTTAAACCCCTACCTCACACCATATACAAACAAAACAGAACTCAAATGGAGCAATGACCTAAATATAAGAGCTAAAACAAGAAAACTCTTAGGAGAACTATTTGCAAATCATCTATTGTTAAGTATTTAGTGTCCAGAATATATAAAAAACTATTTTAGGGTCAGGCATGGTGGCTGACACCTGTAATCCCAGTACTTTGGGAGTCAGGCAGATTACTAGAACCCAGGAGTTTGAGACCAGCCTGGGCAACATGGTGAAATCCCGTCTCTACTAAAAATATAAAAATATTAGTCGGTGTAGTGGCATGCGCCTGTAGTCCCAATTACTTGGGAGGCTGAGGTGGGAGAATCACCTGAGCCCAGGAAGTTGACACTGCAGTGAGCAGAGATGGCAACGCTGCACTCTAGCCTGGGTGACAAGAATAAGAGCATGTCTCAAAAAAAAAAAAAAAAAGTCTGGGCACAGTGGCTCACGCCTGTAATCCCAGCACTTTGGGAGGGCAAGATGGGTGGATCACGAGGTCAGGAGATCAAGACCATGCTGGCTAACACAGTGAAACCCTGTGTCTACTAAAAATACAACAAAACAAAACAAAACAAAATTAGCTGGGCATAGTGGCAAGTGCCTATAGTCCCAGCTACTCAGGAGGCTGAGGCAGGAGAATGGTGTGAACCCGGGAGGTGGAGCTTGCAGTGAGCCAAGATCACACCACTGTACTCCAGCCTGGGCAACAGAGTAAGACTCCGTCTCAAAAAAAAAAAAAAAAAAAAAGAAACAACAATTATTTTGTATCTATTTTTATTATATTTATTTTTTGAGATGGAGTCTCACTCCATCACCCAGCCTGGAATGCAGTGGCACAATTTTGGCTTGCTGTGACCTCTGCCTCCCAGATTCTAGGGATTCTCCTGCCTCAGCCTCCCGAGTAGCTGGGGGACTACAGGTGTGCACCACCACGTCCAGCTTATTTTTGTAGTTTTCGTAGAGATGGAGTTTCACCATGTTGGTCAGGCTGGTCTTGAGCTCCTGAGCTCAAGCGCTCTGTCTGCCTCGGCGTCCCAAAGTGCTGGGATTACAGAGGTGAGCCACTGTGCCCGGCCTATATATTTTCTTGAGACAGATTCTTGATCTGTTGCCCAGGCTGGAGTGCAGCAGCACTATCTTGGCTCACTGCAACCTCTGCCTCCTGAGTAGCTGCGTTCAAGCGATTCTTATGCCTCAGCCTCCTGAGTAGCTGGGATTACAGACATGCATCATCACACCCAGTAATTTCTGTATTTTTGGTAGAGACGGGGTTTTGTCATGTTGGCCAGGCTGGTTTTGAAGTCCTAGCCTCGTGTGATCTGTCCGCCTCGGCATCTCAAAGTGCTGGGATTACAGGCATGAGCCACTGGGCTGGGCCAAGAACTTTTTTAACTCAACAACAAAGAGATAGCCAGGGCCAGGCACAGGCTCATGCCTGTAATCCCAGCACTTTGGGAGGCCAAGATGGGAGGATAACTTGAGGCCAGGAGTTCAAGGTCAGCCTGGGCAACATAGTAAGACCCCATCTCTATCGCTACAAAAAAATAAACAAAATTAGCCGGGCATGGTGGTGCATGCCTGAGATCCCAGCTACTCGGGAGGCTGAGGTGGAAGGATTGCTTGAGCCCGGGAGCTCAAGGTTGCAGTTAGCTATGACTGCCTGTGAACAGCCACTGCACTCCAGCCTGGGCAACATAGCAAGACTCCACCTCTTTAAAAAAACAAAAACAAAAACAAACAAACAAACAAAAAGCTGGCCAAGTGCAGTGGCTCATGCCTGTAATCCCAGCACTTTGGGAGGCCGAGGCAGGCAGATCACCTGAGGTCAGGAGTTCAAGACCAGCCTGGTCAACATGGCAAAATGCCGTCTCTACTAAAAACACAAAAATTAGCCAGACATGATGGTGGGTGCCTGTAGTCCCAGCTACTCAGGAAGCTGAGACAGGGAGAATTGCTTGAATCAGGGAGGTGGAGGTTGCAGTGAGCTGAGATAGCGCCACTGCACTTTAGCTTGGGCAACAGAGTGAGACTCCGCTTCAGAAAAAAAAAAAAAAAGTCCGGGTGCAGTGGCTCACACCTGTAATCCCAGCACTTTGGGGGGCCGAGGCGGGTGGATCACAAGGTCAGGAGATCGAGACCATCCTGGCTAACACGGTGAAACCCCGTCTCTACTAAAAATACAAAAAATTAGCCGGGTGTGGTGACGGGTGCCTGTAGTCCCAGCTACTCGGGAGGCTGAGGCAGGAGAATGGCAGGAACCTGGGAGGCGGAGCTTGCGGTGAGCCGAGATCACGCCACTGCACCCCAGCCTGGGCGACAGAGCCAGACTCATCTCAAAAAAATAAAAATAAAAACAAAACAAAGCAAAAAAAACCAACAGACACTCGTATGCAAGCATTCACAGCAGTACTTATTCACGACAGACACAAGATAGAAATACAACCCAAATGTCCATAAACTGACAAACAGATAAACAAATATGGCTTATCTATAAAATGAAACATTATTCAGCCATAAAAATAAAGGAAGCACTGAGCCATGCTGCAACATGAATGAATAGCAGAAACATCATGCCGAAAGAAGCCAGACACAAATGATTCTATTTATATGAAATAGTCACAGAAGGCACACTGCTGGTGGCTGAGAGCTGGGAGAAGGCAGGAATGGGGAGCAACTGCTTAATGGATGTGGGGTCTCCTTTTGGGGTGACAAACATATTTTGGGAGTAGATAGAGGTGATTGTTATGCAACATTGTAAAAGGGCTAATTTCATGTTATGAAACAACAGCTCTTGACCTCCCAGGCTCAAGACATCCTCCCACCTCAGCCTCCCGGGTAGCTGGAACCTCACGCACATGCCACCACCCCTGGCTAATTTTGTTTATTTTTTTGTAGAAATGAGGGTCTCACTATGTTGCCCAGGCTAGTCTGAAACTCCTGGGGCTCAAGTGATCCTCTCACCTTGGCCTCCAAAGTGCTGGGATTACAGGTGTGAATTTTGTTTCAATAGAAAATGAAAAATGGGCCAGGCGTGGTGGCTCACGCCTGTAATTCCAGCACTTTGGGAGGTGGGCGGATCACTTGAACCCAGGAGTTTGAGACACACCTGTCCAACATGGCAAAACCCCGTCTTTACTAAAAATACAAAAATTAGCAAGGCATGATGGCGGGTGCCTGTAATCCCAGCTACTCAGGAGGCTGAGGCAGGAGAATCGCTTGAACCCGGGAGGTGGAGGTTGCAGTGAGCCGAGATGGCACCACTGCACTCCAGCCTGGACGACAGAGTGAGACTCCGTCTCAAAAAAAAAAAAAAAGAAAAAGAAAAAGAAAACTGTTCCTAACTGACGAGTCCAGGTATGAGGGCCTACAGATATGAGACCTGAAGGGCAGCTCCCCGGCCACACCCAGCCAGTCCTGCCAGACTCTCTCCCACCCCAGGAGCCAGGTGCCGCCCTCCTGAGGGCAGGGCATGGAGGAACCTCCTGAGCCCTGCCAGGAGGGTGTCAGCAGGCCACTGCCCCAGACTCACAGCCTCACTACACCCACAGAGGCCCAAGATAAAGTGCTCCCAGCTGTGGGTGGGTCCCAGGAAGGGACATCCAACCTTGGCATGGTGCCCACACTCATACCCGTCCTGGGGCAGGAGATACTGTCGATCTGTTAGCCACACCTGGGCGACAGCAAGTGGGCCCAGGGAGGCCTGTTTACCAAGCAGCCTGGCAACCCGATGTTGCCTGAGGCGTCCCTCTCTGACCTGGCGCCAGGCAGGCAACTACAGGACCTGTGGCCAAGTGAAGCCTGGCTGTGCCCAGCCAGGGCTAGGGCTGGGCTTGGGCCAAAGATGCCGGGGCTGAGGGCAAGTGGATCGCTTCATCACAGCAGCAGCTGCTAAAGCCCGCGGAGCCGGCAGCTTCTCAAAGTCACAGCTTTATCCCCAAGTTAGTCCCTGGCACACAGAAGACACCTGGGAAATACTGACAAACCAAAAAAAAAAAAAAAAAAAACAAGCTAAGCCGTGTTCCTCTCTTTGTTCAGGAGACTCCCGAGCCTCTGAGCTCTGTGCCCATCATTCCTCATGGCTCTCCCCGTCTTGGCCCCTCCCCATGGACACACTCAACCCTCTAGTCCCTACATGGGCCAGGCCCCAGGCCTCTGCACATGCTGTTCCCACTTTCTCCCTTCCTCTCCCCTCCCTCTGCTACTATGGGTCCAGTGGGCCATCGCACACCTGGCCCAGGGTCACCTCTGAGTAGGCAGGGAATGCACAGCCTGTCTCCTGGCTTGCGAACAGCACCCCAGGAGGAGGGTAGAAGGGAGCCTTGGGGCCCGGGACGCACAGGCATCTGGATCCAGCAGTGGCGATTCAGTGCTCGCCACAGATGCAGCCCTGCCCGCAGGAAACTCACTGTGGCATCCTCTCAAGGCCAGCAACCACCTCCCAAAGCGGCCATTCAGCTGGGGAGGAGCAGTATGGGAGCCGCGGAAGGGGGCAGGACCCCAGGATTCAGAAAGGCCCTCTGTGTTGGCCTCTAGAGACAAATCCAAAAAGCACCACTGTTGCGGCATCAGCCGGCGCATGTTGGGGACTGTGTGCACATGGCCTGGAGAGGTGGGGGACAGGCTGCAGGGCTAGCAGGCAAGGGTGACCAAAAAGCAGACTCTAGAGCCAGGAGGCCGTGGTGAGTTCAGGCCAATTGAGGCCAGGCCACAGCTGGGGTATCTTTTTTTTTTGAGACTAAGTCTCACTCTGTCGCCTAGACTGGAGTGCAGTGGCAAAATCTCAGCTCACCGTAACCTCCATCTCCCAGGTTCCAGCGATTCTCCTGTCTCAGCCTCCCGAGTAGCTGGGATTACAGGCATGCACCACCACACCTGGCTAATTTTTGTATTTTTATTAGAGACAGGGTTTCTTTTTTTTTTTTTCTTTTTTTTGAGACGGAGTCTCGCTGTCTCCCAGGCTGGAGTGCAGTGGCGCAATCTTGGCTCACTGCAGGCTCCACTCCCTGGGGTTCACGCCATTCTCCTGCCTCAGCCTCCCGAGTAGCTGGGACTACAGGCGCCCGCCACCTCGCCCGGCTAATTTTTTTTGTATTTTTTGTAGAGACGGGGTTTCACCGTGTTAGCCAGGATGGTCTCGATCTCCTGACCTCGTGATCCGCCTGCCTCAGCCTCCCAAAGTGCTGGGATTACAGGAGTGAGCCACCGCATCCAGCCTAGAGACAGGGTTTCACCTCGTTGACCAGGCTGATCTCAAACTCCTGATCTCAGGTGATTCACCCACCTCGACCTCCCAAAGTGCTGAGATCACCGGTGTGAGCCACCGTGCCCGGCCCAGAGCTAGCATTTCTTTACCCTGCAGTAAAAGGAAAGGGACTGGGATCTCCAGGTGGAGTCTCCAACGGGGAACGTAAAGAACACAAACCCGGACTGAGTGTTACGCTTTGGCCACCCCTGGACCCAGCCTGGGGCTACTCGCTGGCCTGCCACACTGCAGTCGGCCCTGATGAAGCTCTGGGGCCAAGGGAGGAGGGGCTGGAACTGCAGGGAAGGGGGTAGAAAAATTGCCCCATCTTTGAGGCAGCCTTTCTTGCTTCCCAGGAAGCAGCCCTCCACCATGTGAATCCAGGTCACAAACCCCCAGCTGCCATGAGCCAGGCCTGCCCACACCCTGCAGAGGCTGGGATGTCACATGACATAAGAGTGACAACACTCTAACAGCCAGGCTCTGTTCCGGTGCCTTATGTCGACCTCCTGTTTCCTCTTCTCATCACTTCTGGGAGTATCTACTCTCACTATGCCCTTATTTGCTCAGAGAGGTTAAGTGTCTTGCTCAAGGTCACACAGCAAGAGTGGCCGAGGTGACTGGCACCAGCATCCCTATTCCTCACCAATGCACCACCCAATGTCTCTGCGCTTCCTAGAGCAGGCCTTGGCTGACTTTCTGTGTAAAGGACCAGACAGTAAATATTGTGTGCTTCCTGGGGAATCTGATCTCTGCTGGGGAATCTGATCTCTGCTACAATGATTCTATTCTGCCTTGCAGCAGACAATATGTAAACAAATGAGCATGGCTGTGTGCCCATAAAGCTTCATTTGCAAAACCCGGAAGGATTACAGGTGCAGAGCAGAGGCTGGACCCTCAGCATCCTCGCCACCCACTTCCCTATCTGCTCACTAGGCACTCGGCAATGGAGACACACTCCCCATCCTAGAGGCGGTGAGGACAGCCGAGTGGCAGACTGACAGAGATCCCCAAGTGGTGGACTCTGTAGGTGCCTGGAGGTGGCACCTGACCCAGCCTGGGAAGGAGACTGGGGACAGATATGCCAGTAAGGGGAAGAGTGCAGGAACGCAGGGAAACAGGGGTGGCCCAGACAGTGTGGTGAGCCCTGGGAGGCTACTGGGACAGACCTCCAAGAAACGTGGGTTGATGTGGGTAGGGGCGCTGTGGAGGGACTGCAAGAGGCCCCAGTGGACTGGTGGCTTGGCTCTGGGCAGCACTGGGAGGGATCTTGCGCAGGGTGGGGAGAGACCCACCGTCACACAGGATAGGGAAGGAGCCAAGTGCTATGGCTGGCCAGGCAGGAGGCAATGGGGATGGGGAAGAGGGCAGCTCTTGGTGGACTGGCTGCTGTTCCCCACCTGCCTTAGAGTCAGCATGCTGCACATCCCCTCCTTATTGGCCCCCCAGGGCAGCAGAATCTGGGGGACTCTAAGGTATAAGGATTCCCTAGCCCCAGACTTGAAGAAAATACACTAGAGAATGGTGGGTGGGGCAGCAAGCAGCTCCACGGCAGCCCTGGGTCCCAGCATGCAGGAGGGTCTTGGAAGAACGGGGAGACGTCTCTCAAGGGTCTCACTGAGCAGATGGTGCCGGGCGACATACCATGCCTCAGTCACCTCCCAGTCCACCCTTCAAGCCGCACAGTGTCTAACACAACCCGCCTGCTTCACACCGCCCCACGGTTCCCCAGCACCTTCCGGAACCAGCCCCCTGCCAATGTCTGCAGTCTCACTGCTGCCCCCTGGGTCACTCCAGCCAAACCTCGCTGGCCTTCAACACTCTCTCCCGGTCAAGATCATGGGCAGAGGTTCTCTCTGGCCTCTGATGCTCCTTAGAGATCACCCTCCCCTCTTCCCCTGCTTCCTTGTCACCTCCTCCTAGAGGTCCTCCAGCATTTCCCGGACAAGCCCTCACTGCCTGGCAGCTCATTATTTAATGCCTACCTGACAGCCCCACAAAGCGCAGATCCAGGGCTCTGGGCATGACCCACACAGTACCTAGCACACAAGGGGCACTCATGGGTACTGACCAGAATGCCCTCCCCGGGATAGGGGCAGGGGCAGCCCAGCCTCTTCCCTAAGCACAGGGGGCAGTGGGTTCAGGGGTCTAGGTGTCCAAGTTGGAGTGCTAGCCTGCCCTCACTGTGCGCATGGCCTTGATTGGGGAAGTGGCTTCACCACGCAGAGATGTTTAGCATCAGGTGGCCACACAGCAGCACTATTTGTTCACCTCCTTCCCCTCCCCCTTGCTTCCAGAAAGCAACGGAACAAGCAGGGGGTCTTTGGGCCCTTGAGGCTCGTTAGACCTGGGTCAGGGGGACCTGGAGTCCCTTCAAACCTCCCATCCCTAGGCCAGGCACAGTGGCTTGCGCCTGTAATCCCAGCACTTTGGGAGGCCAAGGCACGTGGATCGCTTGAGGCCAGGAGTTTGAGACTAGTCCGGCCAACATGGTGAAACCTCATCTCTACCAAAAATACAAAAATCAGCCAGGAGTGGTGGTGGGCACCTGTAATCCCAGCTACTTGGGAGGCTGAGGCACGAGAATAATTTGAACCTGGGAGGCGGAGGTTGCAGTGAGCAGAAATCACGCCACTGCCCTCCAGCCTGGGTGATAGAGCGAGACTCTCTCAAAAAGAAAAAAAAAGAGAACCTCCCATGCTGTCGTGACATCAGGGCCACATTCTTTGGCAGATAGAGAATAAGGAGGCCGGCTGGGAACAGTGGCTCCCGCCTGTAATCCTAACACTTTGGAAAGCTGAGCGGGGAGGATCACTTGAGCCCAGGAGTTTGAGACCAGCCTGGGTAACACAGTGAGACCCCATCTTCTACAAATAATAATAAAAAAATTAGCTGGGCATGGTGATGCGCACCTGTAGTCCCAACCATGTGGGAAGTTGTGGCAGGAAAATCCCTTGAGCCTGGGAGGTCAAGGCTGCAGTGAGCTGAGATCGTGCCACTGCACTCCAGCCTGGGCGACAGAGTGAGACCCCATTTCAAGAAGAAAAAAAAAAAGAGAGAGAGAGAAAAAAAAAAAAAACACAAGGAGGTGGAGGGCAAGAAGAAAAGCAGCAGCAGCTCGGGGGAGAAAGGCCACATTTCAAGCTCTTGCATCTCCAGGGGGAACACAACTGTAGCCACCAAATGGAGGAATAATTAAAGCTATTTATCTCGGCAAACCTGGGGCGGGGGAGTAGCTGGTAGCTGTAGAAGCCGTTGTCCAAATGGTACGTCTTGTATTAAATCGCCTCCTGCTGCCAAAGACAACATGGGCTCTTCACCTTCCAGAGGAAAATATTCCCGATCAAAGGAGGAGAGTTAGGTAAAAAGAGGGAGACACCCCGACCCCCCGTGGCCAACTCCCATCCCACAGGCACGGAAAAAAAAACACGCTTTCTGAAGCCCACTCAGCTGGCATCTCTGCTCAGCCTGCTCTGCCCGGACCACATGCAGGCACAGAGGACCTGGCGGTGAACCAGAGAGCCACCCCCGGCCCTCCCATGCTGGGAGTCCACAGTGGGAGGCAGACAGCACCCAGCAGGGCAGTGAGGAGACGGACAACAGGAACTGGCAGTAAGCGCTGAGAGGAGGGAAAGCACGGAAGCTGATGCATGCGGACCAGGCCCAATTCAGATTCCAGGCAGACTCGGGAGGAGGCGACACCTGAGCCAGGCCCCACTGCCCTGGCAGAGGTGACCTTGTTTCCAAACTGGGAACCAGAAGCTTCCCCCCATTCCTGTGTGGCTTGGCACCCATGTGCCCAAGAGGCGGCAGAGATGACCCTAGGGTCACCCAGCAGGGAGATGGCTGAAAGGATGGGCTTTGGCATCAAGGAGGACTTAGGTTTATCAAGGAGGGACTGGGTTCAGGGCCGAACCCACTGTTCTCCAGCCCTGGCCTTGGCTTCCTCATCTGTTCAACCACCACCCTGACACATCCCAAAGGGTGAGGTGACATAACCCACGTGGAGGGCCTGACAGCCCGGCCCCAGGGCACCATCCTGGAACTTCACTAGGTCAGAGCCCACATGCAGCAGAGTCTGGCAGGGCTTGGATCCCCCGAACTAGCACCTGCCTTCACCCCTGGCCTCAGGAGCCCCATCTATAAAATGGGCACAATGACAGGGGGCGGTGGCTCACGCCTGTAATCTCAGCCCTTTGGGAGGCCAAGGCAGGCGGGTCACAAGGTCAGGAGATCGAGACCATCCTGGCTAACACGGTGAAAACCTATCTCTACTAAAAATAAAAAAAATTAGCCGGGCGTGGTAGCGGGTGCCTGTAGTCCCAGCTACTCAGGAGGCTGAGGCAGGAGAATCACTTGAAGCCAGGAGGTGGAGGTTGCAGTGAGCCGAGATCGCACCACTGCACTCCAACCTGGGGGAGAGAGTAAGACTCTGTCTCAAAATGAAATAAAATAGGCACAGTGGGGGCAGTGGCTCACGCCTGTAATCCCAGCACTATGGGAGGCCGAAGCAGGTGGATCATGTGAGGTCAGGAGCTCGAGACCAGCCTGGCCAACATGGTGAAACCCCGTCTCTACTCAAAATATAAAATTAGCCAGGCATGGTGGTACATGCCTGTAATCCCAGCAACTCGGGAGGCTAAGGCAGGAGAATCACTTGAACCTGGGAGGCAGAGGTTGCATTCCACTCCAACCTGGGCAAAAAGAGCAAAGCTCCATCTGAAAAAAATAAAAATAAAAATAAATAAATAAAATGGGCAGGGCCGGGAGTGTTGGCTCACGCCTGTAATCCCACCACTTTGGGAGGCTGAGGCGGGTGGATCACCTGAGGTCAGGAGTTTGAGACCAGCCTGGCCAACATGGTGAAACCCCATCTTTACCGAAAAATACAAAAAATTAGCCAGACATGGTGGCGGGCACCTGTAATCCCAGCTACTCAAGAGGCTGAGGCAGCAGAATCACTTCAACCCAGGAGGCAGAGGTTGCAGTGAGCAGAAATCGTGCCATAGCACTCCAGCCTGGGCAACAAGAGCAAAACCCTGCCTCAAAAAATAAAATAATATAAATAAAATAGGCACAAAATGGGGATGAAAACCCCTCCCTGCAGTGAGGATTCCTAGGTAATGGAGGGAGCTGGAGGTGTTAAGTACTTCATAAACAAGAGCAGCTGCTGTTACCATCATCAGCAACAGATCAATGCCAGCCTCGGAAGAGAATCCCAAACCCCAGAACCCTAACCCGGCCTGGCCTCCCTCTCCTGCCGTAACCTGAGTCGGATCCTCCGATGTCGTCCTCGGAGAAGCTCTGGAGCAGCTGTTCCACTGTGCTGCCCAGCCCCGGGTATCTGAGGACCATGAGGTCACCCTGGGCTCCTCTGGCGCAGCCCTGGCCTCTGGGCGAATCCCAACCCCACTCCAGCACCGGAGCTGGGTGTCCAGGAGCCCTGCAGCCATGGCCCTGAACGGGCACTTCCCCAGCACATCAGAACTATGTCTGAGCAACTGATCAAAAACTTCCGGCCCAGAAATCCCTTTGCAGGGCCTTATGTATGCTACAAGCTCTACTTGCAGAGATACACCTGGATCTGAATGCCCCCAAAGCAGAAAACCTAAATATCCATCAATTAATCAAAGAATGAATAAATGAAGATGTGGCAAATTAAAAGAGATCAATTTCCATCGGTACACACTGACATGTTAAATGATCGAGCCACAACGTAAGGCACAGAGTGGTGTAAAACCTACGCACCACAGGTGTACAGATGGGCGGGGAAGGGACAGAGGGAGGAGGGGCAGTGCACACTGCATTCATGGGGCTTGTCTGGAAACACAATAAAGTGACTTCAGTGCTGCCTCCGGGAAGCAAGTCATACTTTTCAATCCGCACCCTCCTTTGCCATTGTGTGAACGTGCATAACTTGAAGCCCAGCAGGTTGGAGGAGAGATTTATGCGTGCGCGCTTGTATGTGCCTGAGAAACCACAGGTCACGGGCAGTGCGGAGAGAAGGAGAGACTGACTTTTCATGTTACACCCTCCTGAGTGGCTTGAATTTCTCCCTTGTACATGAAAGATAGCCAGACAAAAGGCAATGGCGAAGGCTGGGGGCGGGAGGGCCGGCGTCTACGCAAGTTATCTGGGCCCCTCCCTAGAGTGGGCAGGCCGGACTGGGGACCACCCCCCCAACATCCTTTTGGACCCTGCTGGCTGGGGGAGGGGAGTGGGAACAGGCCCTGAGCCTCTTCTGTGACCCAGCTGGAGGCTGGCGGACAGCCCTGCTTTCCTCAGCTTGGAATCTCCCAGAACAAGCCCTGCACCCACCCCACGGCCCTCAGTGGGTGTGATGGACGTGGGGCAGTCAGCCCAAGGGCATCGGGGCTCCCTGACCTGCATTCCAGCAAGGGAGGCCTCCCAAACGAGCCAGGTGCAGTAAGATCCAGGTTTGAACCTGAGCTCTGCCACCTGCAAGCAAGGGACCATCACCTCCCGACACCTCAGCTTTAGTGTCTAGAAAAATAAAATAACACATGGTTCACTGTGTAGCCATGAGGACGAACCCACCCATGCCCGGCCCAAGACCCACGGGCACACAGTAGTGTGGCATTGGCACAAAACACCAGTCTTGGTTCCTGTGTCCCCACAGTGCTCCGGCTCAAGGCAAAGGGTCGAGAGAAGGAGCCACCGAGAGAGTTCTGGACACAAGGCCATATTGGGCCCAGAACAAGTGTCTGGCCCTGTCCCCCAGGTGGCCACCCCTGGGACCCAACCCATCTGGCACGTGGCTGACAGAGAATCAGCTTCACACACTGCTTGGGAACACTGACTCAGTTTTGGTCTCCCTCTGTCACCCAGGCTGGAGTGCAATGGCCCGCCCAGTCATAGCACACTGCAGCCTCGACCTCCTGTGCTCAAGAAGCAATCCTCCCACCTCCGCCTCCTAAGGAGCTGGGACTTCAGGAAGGATAGAGCTATACCAAGAAAAAAAAAAAAAAAAAAAAAAAAATATATATATATATATATATATGTGTGTGTGTATATGTGTGTGTGTATATGCATGTGTATATATGTGTCTATATATTCATGTGTATATATGTGTGTGTATATATGTGTGTATATATGTATATACGTATACACATATATACGTATATACATATACATATATATATGTAAATAAAACAAAGTAGCTGGGACCACAGGTATGTACCACCACACAAAACTAATTTTTAGGCTAGGCGCGGTGGGGTGGCTCACACCTGTAATCCCAGCACTTTGGGAGGCCGAGGCAGGTGGATCACCCGAGGTCAGGAGTTTGAAACCAGTCTGGCCAACATGGTAAAACCCCATCTCTACTAAAAATACAAAAATTAGCCAGGTGTAGTGGTGGGCGCCTGTAATCCCAGCTACTTGGGAGGCTAAGACAGGAGAATCACTTGAACCCGGGAGGCGGAGGTTGCAGTGAGCCAAGATCGCGCCACTGCACTCCAGCCTGGACAACAAGAGCGAAACTCTGTCTCAAAAAAAAAAAAAAACAAACAAAACAAAAAACAAAAAAACCACCTAATTTTTATATTTTTTGTAGAGACAGGGTCTCCCTATGTTGCCCAGGCTGGTCTCAAACTCCTGGGCTCAAGCAATCCACCTGCCTCAGCCACCTGAGTACCTGGGACCCCAGGCTTGCATGCACCACCATGGAAGGCTAATTTTTTATTTTTCTGTAGAGATGGGGTCTTGCTATGTTGCCCACGCTGGTCTCAAACTCCCAGCCTTAGGCGATCCTCCCGCCTCAACATTTACATCCCACCTGTAAAGTTTAAGCTTTACAGGTTACAGGTTAGCTTTTCAGGCCATTTATGGCCCCTCCAAAAGCCGACCACCAGAGTTAGTATAAAGCTGTTCCCTGGGGAGGGGATTGGATGGGGGGCTTCATTCCATGGGCAAGGTTTCCTTAAAATGAGGGTGGGAAGTGCACAGGTGTTGGCTGCATTCGTCTTCATTCCTTCAAAAATATTTCATGAGAAAAAACAGCCACCTCTTCTGCTGGCCCAAAAGGCCAGGGTCCACGGTTGGATCCGGGCTTGGAAATGCATTGGCAACTCACAAAGTCAAAGTGTTGAATCTACTTCAGGAGTCCCCAAGAATGTAGGATTACAGAAGGTAATAAACAATTCTGGGCCAGGCATGGTAGCTCACGCCTGTAATCCCAGCACTTTGGGAGGCTGAGGCAGGCGGATCACCTGAGGCCAGGAGTTCGAGACCAGCCTGGCCAACTTGGAGAAACCCCGTCTCTACTAAAAATACAAAAAAAAAAAAAAAAAAATTAGCCGGGCATGGTGGTGAACACCTGTAATCCCAGCTACTTGGGAGGCTGAGGCAGAAGAATCCTTTGAACTGGGGAGGCGGAGGTTGCAGTGAGCCGAGATTGCACCATTGCACTCCAGCCTGGGTGACAAAGGGAGACTCTGTCTCAAAAAAAAAAAAAAAAATTCTCAAATTGCGCAGTGACAGGACACTGGGTGGTGTATGGGCAGGGCTGAGAGGCAGCCACCTACGGAACAGAGGTGTCTGTGGGTGTCCTGTTGGCATCTCAGGTAGGCCAAGGCCTCCATGGTGCCCCCAAGCACTACTTGGGGCAGCTGCCCTTTCCCCCTGCCCCAGACTGCCAGGTCAGATCTCAGGAGACAGAGCACTCAATGCGTGCCCCATCTAGGTGGGCTCTGGAGAAAGCCCCCTGAACTGAGGACACCCAAACCTCATAAATCACTGTGAAGCTTCTTCAGTCAGAGGCCTGGGGGGCACTCAGTAGGGGGCTCCCTCTAAGGTCTGGTCCCTAAGCTCCACCTTCAAGGGTCGACAGCTTCCCCTGTAGTCCTGACCTGTGGGTGACAGTCTGCTCAGTTGTGGGGTGTGCGAAGGGCAACCCCAAGAATAGAAGGCCAAGACAAAGAGCTTGGCTTTTCTGAAAAAGAGACGGGGCACCCCCTTCACTGGGAGCTATTACATGCAAATGTCTCCTGCATCCATGCTAATCAGCTGCCACCGCCTGGGGCTTTGTGCACTACAAAAGAGACAGCAGATGTGAGCTGGGGTTCCACAGCCCCAGAAAGCGCGGGAGCTTAGTGGATAATTATGAAAAGCATGGGGTTGTGGAGGGTAGGGGGTGGGGGCGCGGTGCAAAGCCACAAAACCGGCCTGCACCAGCCCCCTCGCTCCACATGCTGTCTGCTGGGCCAGCTCGCCCAGTCTTTCTTCTCCCGCGGGCCAAGACTTTGAAGCTGTGATTTATGGAGCCCCAGGAAGCACTCTTAGGTGTTGGCTGTGCAGGGCCTCGGTTAGTGCTCAAACCACCCTCCAGGTCGACCTTAGTCCTATTTTTAAGAGGGGAAACCAAGCAACAGAGCGATGACAGTCTCCAGGTGGCTCAGCTGGGGACCCAGAAGCTGGTCCAAAGACAGCCAAATTCCATCCCAGCCTCCAGAGAGCCAGCTGGGAGGTACTGGGGGCCACGCTCAGGGGACCCCAGGTTCTACCTGTGCTCTGGGCCTGGGCAATGCCAGGCCAGGCTAGTTGACCCCTGAGCCTCACCACTACAAGGAGGCAATCAAGCCTGCTTCCTGGTGCTAAAGAGGGTCTGTCACATTGTGACACATGGCAGGAGCTGGGCTGCAGCTCTCTATGGGGACTAGGCCAGCAGGAGGCCCTTTGCAGAGGAGACACCCACAGTGGCCTGGAAGGTCGGGCTGAATGAGGCGTGTCATGGAGCGGCAAGAAGACCCCAGGCTGCTGAGGGGGATCATCTCCCAGAGCGACTGGGACCCTCCACACCCTGGCTCTCATTGCCAAGGACAGAGAGCTCAGTGCAGCAAGCTGGGCTGGGGCCTGCCTTCAGGCTGGCAAAAGGGCCTCACCCAGAGGAGGGGAGTACAGGGGGGCGCTCCAGAGAGGCTGGAGCGGAGGCAGCCTCCAATGGAGGAAATCGAAGTTGGGTCAGGGAGAAGCTGCCCTGGGGCTGAGGCCCACTTGAAGTCCCTGCCTAGTGCACCTCTTGAAAGAGTCTGAGTCAGAGCATGCTGGCACATGCCTGTAATCCCAGTGCTTTGGGAGGCCAAGGCAGAGAGATGGCTTGGGACCACGAGTTTGAGACCAGCCTGGGTGACAAAGCAAGACCCTGCTTCTACAAAAAGTAAAACATTTAAAAAAAAATAAAGAATAAGGAAAGGTTTTGACCATCAGCCAGAGACACAGGATGTCCTGGGCCACAAAGCTGCAGGAAGGCCCTCTGCCAGGTCCCAGGGCGCTCCAGGAGCCCTTCTGGCCCCACCAAGGCTCAGAGAACAGTATGTTTGGGTTAGGAAGGCCGCCTTCCGCCCCAGGACCTGCAGGCTGCTTCGCCAGATGTGATTCCAGATGTGGCACAGGCGAAGGGGGCAGACACTACTGATGCCACAAAGAAATCAGGCACACGGCAGGAACCAGGGGAGACGGGACCCTGGCTTTGGCGAGCTCTGGAAGAGGTCGCTATGGCCAACACGGTGACACAGGACAAGGACCAGGAGCAGCAGGGGTAAGCCTTGGGCAGGCACTTCCTCCATGGCCTTGCACTGCCCTGTGGAGGAGTCAGAGAGTGGGAAAAGTGGCAGGAGGGGCTGCAGGGCTGATGGCCAAGTGAACGGATCAGGGCCAAACCTGGGTTCACATCCCAACTCTGCCACCAAAGTTTTAGTGCCTCAGTTTCCTCTTATACAAATTAGGGAGTGAGCTGGGCATGGTGGTGCCCCCCTGCAGTCCCAGCTCCTCAGGACACCGAGGCAGGAGGCCCAGCTCCTCGGGACACCGAGGCAGGAGGCCCAGCTCCTCAGAATGCTGAGGCAGGAGGCCCAGCTACTTGAGAGGCTGAGGCAAGAGGATCATTTGAAGCCAGGAGTTTGAGACCAGCGTGGGCAAAATATTGAGACCCCATTTTTTTTTTTTGAGATGGAATCTCATTCTATCATCCAGGCTGGAGTGCAGTGGAGCGACCTCGGCTTGCTGCAACTCCTGCTGCCCAGGTTCAAGTGATTCTCCTGCCTCAGCCTCCAGAGTAACTGAGATTACAGGTGCCTGCCACTGCACCCGGCTAAATTTTTTTTGTATTTTTTAGTAGGGATGGGGTTTCACCATCTTGGCCAGGCTGGTCTTGAACTCCTGACCTTGTGATCCACCTGCCTCAGCCTCCCAAAGTGCTGGGATTACAGGCGTGAGCCACCGCACCCAGCCCCCATCTCTAAAAAAGAAAAAAAAAGATAAAAGATAAAAATGAGGGAGGGGGCGGGGCATGGTGACTCACGCCTGTAATCCCAGCACTTTGGGTGGTCGAGGTGGGAGGACTGCATGAGCCCAGGAGTTGGAGAGCATCCTAGGCAACATGGTTGAGACCCCGTCTCTACAAGAAATACAAAAATTAGGCCGGGCACGGTGGCTCACGCCTGTAATCCCAGCTACAGGCTGGGAGGCTGAGGCGGGTGGATCACCTGAGGTCAGGAGTTCGAAACCAGCCTGACCAACATGGAGAAAACCCGTCTCTACTAAAAATACACAATTAGCCGGGCGTGGTGGCGCATGCCCGTAATCCCAGCTACTGGGGAGGCTGAGGCAGGACAATCACTTGAACCCAGGAGGTGGAGGTTGTGGTGAGCTGAGATCACACCATCGCACTCCAGCCTGGGCAACAAGAGTGAAACTCCATTTCAAAAAAAAAAAAAAAAAGAAAGAAAGAAAGAAAAAAATTAGCCAGGTGTGGGGCCACCTGCCGTCCCAGCTACTCGGGAGGCTGAGGCAGGAGCATGAACTGAACCTGGGAGGTTGAGGTTGCAATGAGCTGTGTTCACACCGCTGCACTCCCTGTCTCAAAAAAAAAAAAAAAAAAAAAAAAAATGAGGGAGTGAGCTGTGGCTGCTGTGGCTCCCTGTGGGGGGCTGTCCTGATAGCGAGACTTGGAGTGTGTGAGCGGGAGTAAGAGCCAGGCATCCCATCATCCTGCATCTAGGGGCTCCAGGGCTCAAAGGCAGAGCCAGGCTCCTGCAGAGGGTCCCTCAAGGGCACAGGATGGAAATCTGGAAGCTCCAGCCTATCTTCGCCTTCCCGTCCTGTTCAAGGAAGAATGCAGCAAATTCTCTGGAATGTCCCTCCCTCAGTCTGCAAGAGGCACCCCAGTCTTTGATTATTTATTCACATGCCCCCTGCCCGGGATGGTTAACAAGAGCATCCCTCTTTCACGAGAGCACTGATTGGCCAGGGGCCTTTCTGCAGTCCTCGCCAGGAGTAGCACCCATGCCCACACCGCTGGGCAGGTTTTCTATACATAAAACCACTACGCTTGCACATGTGTAACACATCCGGCAAAAATGAACCCCAGCTCCGAGAACACAATTAGCGGGAGAAAGACCTGCCAACGACATAAAGGAAAACAGCTCAGACCCACGCCTGCCAAGGCTAATGAATCGCTTTAAAGAGACAGACAAAAAGGAAGAATAAAAGGGGGTTCTCCTGGCAGGGGTGGGGGGGCACAGAGCCCCCCAAACCCAGTCTGGACCTGTTTACAAGAATGCCCCGCCTGGCAGCAGGGGACAAATGATGAGAGGAACAGACAGGGAAAGAGGGGCTGTCCCACTGAACAAACCTACCCAGAGGGGAACAAGTTCCATGTCTGGCTTTGGGTGGTGGTGACATGGGTGTCCATAATTGTCAAAAGCATCAAACAGAACTAAGGCCTGGGCATGTGTGTGTACTGACTAAACAACAATTAAAATAAATAAGCGGCCAGGCATGATGGCTCACGTCTGTAATCCCAGCACTTTGGGAGGCCAAGGCTGGTGGATCACCTGAGGTCAGGAGTTTGAGACCAACCTGGCCAACATGGGTGAAACCCCGTCTCTACTAAAAATCCAAAAATTAGGCAGGCGTGGTGGCACGTGTCTATGATCCCAGCTACTCGGGAGGCTGAGGGAGGAGAATCGCTTGAACCCGGGAGGCGGAGGTTGCAGTGAGCTGAGATCACGCTACTGCACTCCAGCCTGGGGGACAGAGCAAGACTCAGTCTCAAAAAAAAATAATAAAATAAAGAAGCGATGCAGAGAATCAACACCAGAGGAGACACAGGAGGGGCCTAGAATCTCCAGACCCAACTCCTTCAGCCCTGGGTTAGGCCTGGTCTCCATTTCCTTCATGTAACTGCTTTTTGGGGAACAAAGGCAAGCACAGGGGGAGGGGGGGCAACTGGGGACTCCAGATTCTTCAACCAAAAGTCAGAGCTGTGTAGTGTCAAAGTGGCAGGTTGGGCTGGGCACAGTGACTCAGGCCTGTAATCCTAGATCTTTGGGAGGCCAAGGAGGGGAGGACTGCTTATGTCCAGGAGTTTGAGACCGGCCTGGACAACATACTAGAGAGCCCATCTCTATGTCTTTTTGTTTTTTTTTTTTTTTGAGACGGAGTTTTGCTCTTGTTGACCAGGCTGGAGTGCAGTTGTGTGATCTGTGGTCACCACAACCTCCATCTCCTGGGTTCAAGAGATTCTCCTGCCTCAGCCTCCAGAGTAACTGGGATTACAGGCATGCGCCACCATGCCTGGATAATTTTTGTGTTTTTAGTAGAGAAGGGGTCTCCACATTGGTCAGGCTGGTCTCGAACTCCTGACCTCAAGTGATCCGCCCACCTCGGCCTCCCAAAGTGCTGGGATTACAGGTGTGAGCCACTGCACCTGGCCCGTAATTAAAAAAACAAAAAACAAAAAACGAAAAAAAAAAAAAAAAACAGAGTCTCGCTCTGTCACCCAGGCCGGAGTGCAGTGGCATGATCTTGGCTCACTGCAACCTCCGCCTCCTGGGTTCAAGTGATTCTCCTGCCTCAGCCTCCCAAGTAGCTGGGATTACAGGCGCACACCACCGCGCCCAGCTAATTTTTGTATTTTTAGTAGAGATGGGGTTTCACCATGTTGGCCAGGCTGGTCTTGAACTCCTGACCTCAAGTGATTCACCTGCCTCAGCCTCCCAAAGTGCTGGGATTACAGGCGTGAGCCACCACTCCCAGCCAATTTTTTTAAAAAATTAGCCAGCCGTGGTGGCGCATACCTGTAGTCCCAGCTACTCAGGAGGCTAAGGCAGGAGGATTGCTTGAGCCCAGGATTTCAAGGCTAACAGTGAGCTATGATCGCACCACTGCACGCCGGCCTGAGGAACACAGCAAGACCCTGTCTCTTAAGCCAAACAAAGAAGTGGCAGGGCCGGCACCGTGGACTTTCTGGGCAGATCTGGAGGCTGCTGAGGGTCCGCCCTGCGCGATCCTTGAGACTGAAACGTGAAGCTCCCCAAGCAGTTCCCCAGAGTGAGATCAGGAAGCAGATCCAGAGGGTGCCGGAGAAGGCCCCTGGGACAGATAAACTACACCGGGGAAAGGGACTCCTCCTCAATCACTGGGGACGAGGGGGTCTTGGGCAGGATTCCCAGGGCTACTCTGTGTCCTACCTACCCCCACACCTGGACAACTTGGGATACATCTTCTCTTCCAGGCCACATAGCAGGCTCAGGAGACCAAGGATTCACCTATGTTGGGTGTGGGCCAATCCTCGAAAGCCCCCTCCATTTAATGGGAGGAAACTGGAGGGAGAACCACGGTTCCCTGGACAAGGTCCCAAGGTGAGGCTCCCATGTGTGCTAATCAGGACCGCCTGCAGCCTCTAACCCAGAGAGTGCTGGGAGGCCAGGGATAGCATTCCAGCCAGGAAAGGCAGAGAGTAGCAGGGCTGACCACAGACACCCTGCAGGCCCCTGGGTCCCCCTCCTTTGCAGCTCACCTCTCTCTGGCCAGGCCAGCCTCTCCCCTACCTCTCCTTAGCTGCCATTCTCTTCAAGGTGCTCCCTAGACCACTTCCCCAGCAGAGGAGATGGGGTTCTCTGTCTGCCTTCTCTCTGCTCCCCAAGACTGAGGTCGGGCACGGTGGCTCATGTCTGCAATCCCAGCACTTTGGGAGACCAAGGCGGGCAGATCCACTTGAGGTTAGGAGTTCGAGGCCAGCCTGGCTAACATGGTGAAACCCCGTCTCTACTAAAAACACAAAAATTAGCCGGGCATGGTGTCACATGCCTATAGTCCCAGAGACTCAGGAGGCTGAGGCACAAGAATCACTTGAACCTGGGAGGCGGAGGTTGCAATGAGCAGAAATCGCTCCACTGTATTCCAGCCTGGGCGACAGAGTGAGACCCTGTCTCAAAAAAAAAAAAAAAAAAAAAAAAAGACAGAGTGCACTGGAGATTGGGGGGCTGTGTCCGACTTGGGCAGGGCTCTGTATACAGTCCAGCCACAGATGTCTACTCTGGCCAAGGCCACTTTCCACCAGGGAAGCCACTCACCGAATCCTCCCACCAATAAGGAAGCTGAGATTCGGGGACACTGAGGCATTTGCCCATGATCGCCCCGCCAGGAAAGCACAGCGGGCCACAGCATGGCTGGAGCCCAGCCTCCATCACAGGCGTCCCTTGCCTCCCCATCCCCCCCACTGCATGCCCTTGGCCATGCCAGGCCCACAAGTTCATTCCCAGAGGAGGTCTTCCCTCCTGCAGTGCCAGACGCTATTTTAAGCACTTTACTTCTATCAGCTCGCCACTCACAACAACCCTCTAGGGTAGACGATGTCAAGATCCACAACTGACAGCCAAGGAAACTGAGGCACAAAGTGGTCACCGGGATGCTAAGGAGTGGATCAGGACTTGCCAGCTGGCCCCTGCTAGAGCTCTTACCACAAGCACGACTCTGCCCTCAGCCTCCCTCTAAGCAGAGCCCCTCCCCCAGCATCCTGGAGCCCCTCAGCTTGTTTTAAGTGATTGCTGATTTAGCGCTCCTCAGACAATGTCCCCAGGCCTGCAAATGTGGGACCTTGTGTTTATCTCGGGTGTCACCACATCCCTGGGCTCCTAAAACAGTAACTGGTGCACAGCAGACGCTTGGTGAATTTCTGCTGACCATTTCAAGCTGGCTGGATGGGAGCTACCGCACTATGGAGACGGCGAGTCCACTTTCGCTGCCTGTTTCTGGCTGAATGAATGAAAGAGTGGGTCTCAGTGGGCTGGGAAAGGTCACCGTCCCCCCTGCTCTCTCTGCAGCTCCACTGTCACCTCCCCCAAGACCTGCCATCTGGCTGGCCCCTCCCCCACCCCAGCCCTCCAGGGGACTGCTCTCTGAGGTCACCTGTGACCTCCTGCTCAGAAATCCAGTGACCGCCCCTTGGCTCTCACTCTGACCTCTCACGGCATCTGACCTTGCTGCCCTCTCCTTCCTGCCCTTTCAAAGCTTCTCGCCTGTCCCTGGAGAGATGTCCTGGCCCTGCGCAGAGAGCCCCCAATCCCTTACCAGCCAGGGCAGACTCCACTCCCCAATCAGGTGCTGTCCTCCAGGAACTGGTACCCTTTTTCAGTCACAGATCCTTCTGAGAAGCTGACCGAAATCAGGGGAGGTTCTGCACAGAAAAATGTGCAGAGAATCCACAGCTACACCACGGCCAATTTATGGAGCACTTACTTCGGGCCAGGCACACAGGGCAAAGCTTTTCTTTTCTTTCTTCCTTTTCATATATCACAAGTCATCAAGCAAGAAGCATTTTTTTTTAGAGACAAGGTCTTGCCCTGTTTCCCGGGATGGAGTGCAGTGGTACGATTATGGCTCAATGTAGCCTCAAGCTTCTGGGCTCAAGCAATCCTCCCGCCTCAGCCTCTGGAATAGCTGGGACTAGAGGCATGTGCCACCATGCCGGCTAATTTTTTTAAATTATTTTTTAAGAGATACAGTTTCACTGTGTTTCCCGGGCTGGTTGTAAATTCCTGGACTCAAACCGCCCTGCTGCCTCGGCCTCCCAAAACCTGGGATTACAGGCATGAGCCTCTGTGCCCAACTGGGGTGAAGTATTTTACATGTGTTTCCTCCCCTCCACGAAAACCTCCAGGGAGGTGCCACTGTCACCCCCTTTCAGGGAGGGAAAGTGAAGCTCAGAGGCTCATCCACAGTCACAGCTACCGATTCTTGTCCTTTTACCCCTTTGCAAAACTGTGTCCAATTGTGAGGGGCTCATGGGACCGCCCCCAGGGGCCATCCACAGACCAGATTAAGAACCCGAGCTCTGGAGCCGTGGCTGCCATGACTCACACCTGTAATCCCAGCACTTTGGGGGCCAAGGTAGGAGAATCGCTTGAGCCCAGGAGTTCCACATCCGCCTGAGCAACATAGTGAGACCCTGTCTCTACAAAAAAAAAAAAAAAAAAAAATTAGCCAGGCATGGTGATGTGCGCCTGTGGTCCCAGCCTGTAGAGAGGCTGAGGGAGGGAGAATCCCTTGAGCCTGGGTGTTCAAGGCTGCAATGAGCTATGATCGTGTCACTGCACTCCAGCCTGGGTGACACAGCAAGACCCTGTCTCAAAAAAAGAAGAAAAAAAAATCCTAGCTCTGAGCTGATGGAACTGATGGAAACCCCTCCCAGCCTCAACTCGCCACCTCAAGCAGCCAGGTGTGGCCCAGGTGGGCCCCTCCATCCTGCCCTCGCTTAAGTGGCTGCTTCCCTGGATGTCTTTGCAAACTCACCACCTCCCAGGTTCTCCAGCAGACCTTAGAAGCAGCAGGTTTCCGCAGAAAGGAGACACACCTGCCACAGAGGTCTTCCTGAGCCTCTCCACCTGCTAAATCCAACCTGGTCTGAGGTGTGTGAGGCTTGGCATCTCAAAGTCATTAGCAAGTTCACACCACACTCCAGCTTCTGTTGAAAGGCCTTGCCCACCCATCTCATCCAGACCCCCTACACAGAGGGCCAGTGCTTGGTGACCAGGAGCTGCTCACAGCACTGGACACCTTCCATTAAGATTTCACCTGAGGCTGGGTGCGGTGACTCATGCCGGTAATCCTAGGACTTTGGGAGGCCAAGGCAGATGGATCACTTGAGGTCAGGAGTTCAAGACCAGCCTGGCCAAAAGGGTGAGACCCCCGTATCTACTAAAAATACAAAAATTATCTGGGTGTGGTTGCACGCACTTATAATCCTAGCTACTTGGGAGTCTGATGCAGGAGAATGACTTGAACCTGGGAGGCTAGAGGTTGCAGTGAGATGACATTGAGCCACTGTGCTCCAGCCTGGGTGACAGGGCGAGAATTCATCTCCAAAAAAACCAAAAAAATCCTCGATTCCAACCCAGCCCTGTTTCCACTTTTAGCCCCTCCACTCCTCACAGGGGACCCTGTGCTCCAAGCCAGGTGGCTGTCTCCAGCCCTGGCCCACTGGAGCACCTCTCCATAACCCAGAAACGTCCTTCCCAACATTCTGGCCAGGTCCAGATCCTACCCACTGTGGCCAAGGTGACTCCCTGTATGTTCTCTCTTTGTCCATGGAAACTGGAACCCTAAATTCAGCTGAGCACATGGCCGCTCAGATTGAAAACTACATTTCCCAGCATCCCTTGCAGCTGGCAGTGATCATGTGACTACATTCTAGCCAACAAAATGAAAGCTGAAGCACCTTGCATCAGCTACCGGGAACCTTTCTTAACAAACACCTGGATGTGACCTTTGCACCCTTTCTCCTTTGTCCCTTCCTCTGTCCTGCTGTCTGGAAGCCAGGGTGTAATGGCGGGACTCCAGCAGTCATGCTGAAACCTGAGGACAAGACCTCACCTTAAGAATGGTGGAGGATCAGCCTGGGGCAGTGGCCTGTAATCCCAGCACTTTGGGAGGCCGAGGCGGGTGGATCACCTGAGGTCAGGAGTTTGAGAACAGCCTGGCCAACGTGGCGATACCCCGTCTCTACTAAAAATACAAAAATTAGCCAGCCGTGGTGGCACACGCCTGTAGTCCCAGATACTTGGGAGGCTGAGGCAGGAGAATCGCTTGAACCCGGGAGGCAGAGGATGCAGTGAGCTGAGATCACACCACTGCACTGCAGCCCCTGGGCAACAGAGCGAGACACCATCTCAAAAAAAAAAAAAAAGCCGGGGGGAGGACCTGGATCTGGGAACTTCCAAGAGCCCAGGAGACTTTGGCACCTGACAATCTTCACACTTTAGCATTAGAGCACAAAAAATAAAATGCCATCGTGTTTAATTAAGCCTCTGCTACTTTGGGTCTTTGTGATGAACAGATAAATGTCACTGAACCACTTATATATGCATTTAAGGTGGGCATCCAGTCACCCAGAATGCCAAAGCCATCTCTGCTGCCTGCCAACCACATCACTTTGGCCAGTCAAGTTCTTTCATTTCTGTTTTTCCACCAGTAAATTGGGGTTGGTATCTCTGACCTCACAGAACTCTTTTCAGAGTAAGTGGTAACATACAGTAAGCGCCACAATTGGCACAAGGGGCTCACACAATTCAGAAGTATGCTCTATTCGGCCTGAGGATTTTTTGGTTTCTCTTTTGGCTGGGGCCAAACTCCCCACAGACCCCAACTCCTGCCTGCCTCATTCATTTATCCCAGGGGTCTACAAGCTTCCCCTGCCTCGGGCCAGTGAGTAAATATTTCAGGTTTTGCAGGACACTGTGGTCTCAACTGATTATTGTTGTTTGTGGATTGGGTTTTAGTTTTTTTCCCTAATCAATCTCTCAAAAACTGTAAAAGCCTTTCTTAGCTTTGTCTGTACAAAAATAGGCCACACCGGGCCCAGCGGTTCGTGACTATAATCCCAGCTACTTCTGAGGCTCAGGCAGGAGGAGGATGGTTTGAGGCCAGGGGTTTGGGGCCAGCCTGGGAAACACAGCAAGACTCTGTCTCTAAAAAAATTGCTTAAATTAGCCAAGGGTGGTGACATGTGCTTGTAGTCCCAGCTACTTGGGAGGATGAGGCCAGAGGATCACTTGAGCCCAGGAGTTAGAGGCTGCAGTGAGCTACTAAAATACAAAAAATTAGCTGGGCATGGCGGCATGTGCCTGTAATCCCAGCTACTCGGGAGGCTGAGACAGGAGAATCGCTTGAACCTGGGAGGCAGAGGTTGCAGTGAGCCGAGATTGCGCCACTGCATTCCAGCCTGGGCAACAGAGCGAGATTCCATCTCAAAATAAATAAATAATAAAACACAGGCTGGGTGCGGTGGCTCGCACCTGTAATCCCAGCATTTTGGGAGGCTGAGGCAGGCAGATTATTTGAGGTCAGGAGTTCGAGGCCAGCCTGGCCAAGATGGTGAAACCCTGTCTCTACTAAAAATACAAAAATTAGCCAGGGTGGTGGCACAGGCCTGTAATCCCAGCTACTCAGGAGGGTGAGGCATGAGAATCACTTGAACCTGGGAGGTGGAGGTTACAGTGAGCCAAGACCATGCCATTGCACTCCAGCCTGGGCAACACAGTGAGACTCTGTCTCACTAATAAAATACAAACACAGATAAAAATAGGCCACAGGCTCAATGTGGCCCATAGGCCTAATTTATATCACTGCCCTTTCCCTAGCTGCCCCCAAGGTCAAGCATTTTGAGTCAACACAAGTTTATGCACAGTCTGGTACGGGATAAATGCTCAATAAATGACGGTATCCATTAGCCACACGCAGGCACCGCTGAAACACAAATGCCTTTCTGGGGTTACTAACTTTCCCTGTTGTCACTCCAGCTTGACACCGAGATGTCCTAAAGATGGGGCACATAACAAGCTCTTCTATACCCCTGCCCCAGCTGTCAGGGGGATCCCAGGAGTGTAACCAAAGGAAGTCACAAGGGCCCCTGGTTCGGTGACAGCAGGCCATTCTTCACCTTCTTTGGACAAAGGGTTTTTCTCTGAACTTTCCACCCCATGGCATGCCCCTCACAAACTGAAGTTTAGCCCCTGACGGAGCCCATGCTGCTGTGTAAGCTTCTGAGCCAAGGGGATGGGAGAGTCTAAAGCACTGGCCACACTGACTCGTGCTGACCAAGAAAGAAAAGTGACACAGTCATTTCCAGAAAGAGCGCCACAGGGCTGGGGAAGTGAGAGTTTGTTCTGTTCTCTTTCCCGGCACCCCTCCCTGAGAAACTGCCTCCTTTCCAAGGGAGGGCAGCCTATGCCCAGGAACTCCAGAGGCCATGCCAAAGCTTCCTCAAGCCCAGGAAGCCCACGCCAAAGGGCCTCCCCCTCTGCACAGGGAAAATGGCCTGGTGTTGGTAGTTGCCATTTGGCCAATCTCATGGACGTAGGCCAGGGTGACTTCAGATGGCAAGAAGTAACTGTTCACTACAGAGTGACAGAGACAGGCCCTTCTGCAGCTGTCATCCTTCCCCTGGAGGGTGCAGACGTCAAGGAACAGGGCTGGAAGTCCTCCCCACGTGCCTCTCCTGGGCCTCCTATGTTAGGTACAGATCATGGCCCAGGACTCCCTCCCATGGCCGGTGAGCCAAGACAGCGGGGCAGCCCTGGAGCATAGGGGGCTCCTCCTAGAAAAGCTAGCTCATTCCCATGCCACACCAACGAACACTGCTGTCAGTAACATGGACATAAATATTTATTGGCCGGGCGCAGTGGCTCACGTCTGTAATCCTAGCACTTTGGGAGGCCAAGGCAGGAGGACTGCTTGAGCCCAGGAGTTCAAGACCAGCCTGGGCAAAATAGTGAGACCGCATCGCTAGAAGAAACTTAAAAATTAGCCATATGTGAGGCTGGTGGCGGTGGCTCACACCTGTAATCCCAGCACTTTAGGAGGCCAAGGTGGGCGGATCACCTGAGGTCAGGAGTTCGAGACCAGCCTGACCAACACGGAGAAACCCCATCTCTACTAAAAATACAAAAAAAATTAACCGGGCATGGTGGCACATGCCTCTAATCCCTGTAATCCCAGGACTTTGGGAGGCCAAAGCAGGCGAATCGCTCGAACCCGGGAGGCAGAGGTTGCAGTGAGCCGAGATCACGCCATTGCACTCCAGCCTGGGCAAAATTCCATCTCAAAAAAAAAAAAAAGACAGACATCCAAGTTGTAACCCCTGGAATCTGTGAAGGTGACCTTATTAGGAAATAGGGTCTTTGCAGATAAGGATCTTGAGATGAGATCATCCTAGATATAAAGTGGGCCCTAAATCCAATGCCCAGTGTCCTTATAAGAAAAGAACAGCTGGGGCCGGGCACGGTGGCTCAAGCCTGTAATCCCAGCACTTTGGGAGGCCAAGGTGGGCAGATCACGAGGTCAGGAGATGGAGACCATCCTGGCTAACACGGTGAAACCCCGTCTCTACTAAAAATACAAAGAATTAGCCGGGCGTGGTGGCGGGCGCCTGTAGTCCCAGCTACCCGGGAGGCTGAGGCAGGAGAATGGCCTGAACCCAGGAGGCAGAGCTTGCAGTAAGCGGAGATCGCGCAATTGCACTTCAGCCTGGGTGACAGAGCCAGACTCCGTCTCAAAAAAAAAAAGAAAAGAAAAGAACAGCTGAGGTGGGAGGATCACTTGAGCCTAGGAGTTCGAGACCAGCCTATAACACGGCGAGACTCCATCTCACTTTAAAAAAAAAAGGAAAAAAGAGGACACAAGACACAGGAGTGAAGACAGACGCAGGGACTTGGGTTTCGCTGCTGCAAATCAAGCAACAGCTGGATCCACTGCAATCTGGAAGATGCAAGGATTTTCCTGTAGAACCTCTCCAGGGATTGTGGCCCTGCCAGTACCATGATTTCAGACTTCTGACCATGAACTGAGAGAGAATCCATTCCTGTTGTCTTAAACCAAAAATCTGTCATAATTTGTTATTGCAGCCATGGGAAATTAATACACCCAGCACTGATCACCTCCAACTCCAGAACCCATGCTTTTTTTTTTTTTTTCAGACAGGGTCTTGCTCTGTCACCCAGGCTGACATGCAGTGGTGCAATCTCAGCTCACTGTAACCTCTGCTTCCCTGGTTCAAGCGATCCTCCCACCTCATCCTCCGGAGTAGCTGGGACTACAGTCGCAGGTACCACCACACCTGGCTAATTTTTGCATTTTTAGCAGAGACGAGATTTTGCCATGTTGGCCAAGCTGGTCTCAACCTCCTGACCTCAAGTGATTCGCCTGCCTCAACCTCTCAAAGTGCTGGGATTACAGGTGTGAGCCACCACGCCTGGCCAAGAACCCATGTTTTTTATCTCCATATCAATGTTACTTAAGGATAAAGAGGGCGGTGCGGTGGCTCATGCCTGTAATTCCAGGACTGTGGGAGGCCAAGGAGGGAGGATCACTTGAGCCCAGGAGTTTGAGACCAGCCTGGCCAACACAGTGAAAACCCTTTCTCTACAAAAAATATGAAAGATTAGCTGGGTGTGGCACATGCCTGTGGTCCCAGCTACTAGGGAGGCTGAGGTATGAGGATCACTTTAGCCATGGAAGGCTGCAGTGAGCTGAGACTGAGACTGTACCACTGCACTCCAGTCTGAGCAACAGAGTGAGGCCCTGTCTGAAAAAATAAAAAATAAAAATAAAAAAAATAAAAAAGAAAGAAAAAAAACAAAAAAGTGTAAAAAAAAATTATTTCAGAACCCTAAGGATATATCATCTGGGAATCTGGGACTGAGGCTCTCTGAGGAATGTGGACTTTCTCCTTTTTATGAATGTTTCCGGTCAGGTGGGGTGGCTCACACCTGTAATCCCAGCATTCTGGGAGGCAGGAAGATCACTTGAGCTCAGAAGTTGGAGACCAGCCTGGGCAACACAGTGACATAGTGAAACCTTGTCTCTAATAATAAAAAATGTTTCAGTTACCAATTACCTCTCAAAGAGAAGTGCTGTCTTAATAACAAGTAATACTTTCAAGAGTATCAACAAAACAAAAACAAAAACACAAATACAAACACAAAATGTTACTCCAGGAATAAGATGGTAGGAACATCTCACTATGTTGCCAATACATCTATAAGACTAAAATTGTTCTGGCCGGGCGGGGTGGCTCATGCCTGTAATCCCAGCACTTTGGGAGGCCAAGGCGGGTGGATCACGAGGTCAGGAGATCAAGACCATCCTGGCTAACATGGTGAAACCCCGTCTCTACTAAAAACACAAAAAATTAGCCGGGCATGGCGGCAGGCGCCTGTAGTCCCAGCTACTCGGGAGGCTGAGGCAGGAGAATGGCGTGAACCCAGGTGGCAGAGCTTGCAGTGAGCCGAGATTGAGCCACTGCACTTCAGCCTGGGGGACCGAGCAAGACTCTGTCTCAAAAAAAAAAAAAAAAAAAAAAAAAAAAAAAAACTAAACTAAAATTGTTCTAAAAAAAATTTTTTTTTTGAGATGGAGTCTCACTCTGTCTCCCCGGCTGGAGTGCAATGGCACGATCTCAGCTCATTGCAACCTCTGCCTCCCAGGTTCAAGTGATTCTCCTGCCTCTGCCTCCCGAGTAGCTGGGACAGGCACATGTCACCACACCCCGCTGTTTTGTATTTTTAGTAGAGACGGGGTTTCACCATGTTGGCCAGGCTGGTCTCGAACTCCTGACCTCAAGTGATCCTCCCAAAGTGCTTAGCCTCCCAAAGTGCTGAGCTACCCCGCCTGGTCCTAAAAAAATTTTTTAAAGGTTTACTTAAAAATGATAGCCAACTCTCCTGGAACTCCTTTGAGGATAAGCCCTGGGACCCTAGTTTTGGAAACGCTGCCCCGCTTTGTTCTGTTCAGGACAAAGTTGGCTACCAATGCTTGCCCAGTGAATAGGTTTTGCTTATGATCTGGGGTTCTGTTGAGCTGAGTGTCTGCCTTGAACTCTGAAACCCCCGCTGAAATACCCTCCTTCCCCTCTCATCTGGTCCAAGAAGACCCAGGCTCTGCACCAGCAAAAAGAGACGGCACCCTCGGACAGCAGACACAACTCCTTTAGTCCACGTTTTCAAAGTCGAGGTGCAGGGAAAACCCAGTGTGAACGGACTGCTCCTCGGGCTTTCCTTTAATCGGGCCGTTTCCAAAGTGGCAAAAAATTCACACAGGACCCAAGCTAGCTAGAGGCCTCCTGAGGGGTTCCCCAGGGCATCAGTGCAAGAAGCCCTGAAAGACAAAGCCAAATGACACAGAGTAGCAAAATGTGAACAAGGAATCAAAGAGAAGAGATAAGAAGGAGTAACAAGAAGAAGAATGAACTACAAAGACTGGGAGCGGGGGTGGGGGGTGCTGGCAAACGCATTTGTGATTTTCTTTTCCCCCCAGTGAAATGTCAGTTTTGAAAGCAGCTTCGGAAAATGTAACCAGCTTCTCACATCCCCCAAAAGAAGATGGGAGGAGGCTGTTAGCTCTTACTTCGAAGCCCGGCATCAGGAAGGGGCCCGTCCCGTCCACGTTTCCACGAGGAGCTCACCCTGCGGCTCCCACCGTCCCCGCATGGGCCCTCTCCCCAGATCCTGAAGTTTCCCATTCGGGGGTCCTGAACGCCACACCTCGCACAGCGGTGGAACTCGGTACTCGCGGGCGCCCCAGACCAGCAAACACTTTCCAACCGTCCTGAGCTATCCAGGGGGTCCCCAGAGGGATCCCGGGCCGCCCACGCCCCACCCTCCTCCCTGCAGAGGCGGCCACGCCCGCCCCCGAGACGCCCACCTCTCCCGCACCCCGGACCTCCCTCCCCCACGCTTAAGCCCACCACGCCTGGCGTCCTCCAAATTCCCCTTCCACTCAGAGCCCCCCACTTCCTGCTCACCCACCCCTCCCAAATCTCAGGCCCTTCACTCCCCATTTCGCGCTCCCTTGCTCACTCTGGGCACCTTGCCCCTCCGGCCACCACGCACGCCCTCTTTTCTCTGTCTGTCCCCTGGCACCGGCCCTCCACGGTCGCTCCCTGCAGGCCACCGGCTCAGTCCCGGGGACCCCACGCCAGGCCCCCGCGCTCAGGGCCCCTCCCCGCCGGCCCCCGCCCCGGGCCGGCCTCGTGAGCAGCCCCGGCCCTGCGCCTGCCCCGGGGCCCCGTACTCACGGCTGTAGAGGGCGATGCCCGCCGAGTCCGGGCCGGCGCGCACCTCGAGGCGCAGCGCCTGCTGCTCCGCGTGCCGCTGGATCTCGCCGTTCGCGTCGCCGATGGTGAGGAGGCGGGCGCCGGGGAACACCGACACGGTAGCGCAGGGCCCCGCGCCGCCCGGGACCGCCGACCCCGCGCCGCCCGCGCCCGGCCCCACCGCCGCCGCCGCCGCTGCCATCTTAGATCCGGCTCCAGGCCCCGCCGCCGCCGCCGCTGCGCCCGGGCCCAGGCCGCCGCCGCTGCCGCCGCCGCCGCCGCCGCCGCCGCCGCCGCCGCCGCCGCCGCCGCCGCTGCCGCTACCGCCGCCGCAGCCGCCGTGCAGGCCGAGGCCGAGCCGGGCAGCGCCGCCTGCCGGCCACGCGCCGCCTCGCCGCCGCCGCCGCCACCGTCGCCGCGGCCCGGCCCCGTGGCGCAGCGCCCTCTGCCGGCCGTCCTGGGCGCGGGGAGCTAGCGAGCGAACGAGAGGGCACCCCGTGGGGCGGGACCGGCTACGCCCCGCCCCGCGAGAACGGTCGCCGCTTTGTGAGGTGGCTCCACCGCCCGGGAACTGCGGGGCGGGAGGGTACGTCGGGGGCGGTGCTCGGGCGCGCGGGCACGCCCCTCGGAGGCCTGGGCCCCGCCCCCAGGCCGGCGCCTCATTAACGGCTGCTTTCGAGTGAGGCGGTGCGGGGACGGCGGGGGCGGTGCTCGGCCGCGTGGACACGCCCTGTACCCCGCCCCACACAAGCAGCCGCGCGTCGTGATGCGGCTTCCCTGCCCCGACCTGGACACGCCCCTGAGACTGGGCCCCACCCCCCCGGGCCCGCCCGGCTTTGTGAGGCAGCCCTCAGGGAGGCGTGGCCCAGCCGCGACGAGGCCCCGCCCCCGTGCCTGCCCGCGCCCTCCCACCCGGACTCGCTTTGTCAGCCGCCCCGCTCTGGGGAATGGGCGGGGGAAAGGGCGTGGCCAGCGCCCGGGCCTCGCCCCCAACCCTTCCCCCCACCGCCCCCGCACCGACGATTTCCGATGAGCCCTGGCCTCCAGGAGCAACCTGAGCCCGGTTGAAAGGACCCCTCCCCGACATTCGACCGCTCCTCCTCCCTTCCCCATCATCTCTGCCCACATTGCCTTCTTAATCCTTAATGTTTGACTGTCTCCTTTCGCACAAGATATCCTTTGACCCCCTCCTCTCTCAGCCCCTCCTCCAACGATGCTGAGTCCAGCCTGGCCCGGCGCAGGGCCCCTCTCCCGCCACACAAACCCGTCTTCTCTCTGCATCCCCCTTCATTTTGGGTGGCCCCATCTCTTTTGGGCGACCCAGTGAGCTTGGGCCACTTCCTAGCACTCCAGCTTTAACTCTTCCCTAGACCTCATTTACGCCTCATTCCTTTTTTTTTTTTTTTTTTTTCTTTGAGACGGAGTCTCGCTCTGTCTCCCAGGCTGGAGTGCAATGGCTCGATCTCAGCTCACCGCAACCTCCGCCTCCCGGGTTCAAGTGATTCTCCTGCCTCAGCCTCCCGAGTAGCTGGGACTACAGGCATGCTCTACCACGCCCAGCTAATTTTTTATTTTTAGTAGAGACGAGGTTTCACCATGTTGGTCAGGCTGGTCTTGAACTCCTGACTTCAGGTGATCCGCCCGCCTCGGCATCCCAAAGTGCTGGGCCTACAGGCATGAGCCACCGCGCCCGGCCCCTTTTGTTTTTTGAGACAGGGTCTCACTGTGTTGCCCAGGCTAGAGTGCAGTGGTGCCATCATAGCTTACTGCAGCCTCAACCTCCTGGGCTCAAGCAACCCCCTGCCTCGGCCTCCCAAAGTGCTGGGATTATAGGTGTGAGCCACTGCGAGGGGCCCTCATTCTCCTTCATGTCCCTCACCCGTAGCCCCTGTCATTCCACCTCCTAAACCCTCTAATGCAAGTACCGTTGCAGAGACCCTGGCATGGCACTGCTGCACTCCCCACACCCCCAGGAGGCTCCGCATACACCACCCTGACTGCCCTTGAGAGATGCTTCAAATTTGGTGAATTCAGACACGCTCCACCCCCCAGCCATCCAACCATGGGATCCAGAGGTCCCCAGCTTGAAGGATTCCACTCCATAGAGGCCTGGGAACACCTTGACCCGTGTTATAATTAATAACTTAAGCAAGCCAGCAGGCAGACACACAACACACCCAAGGGCACCCTATGCTCAAAAACCCACTGGGGAAGGGAGGAATTCCACGGGTGTGCAGAGACCTGGGACGTCTTATGGCCCAGCTGGGGGACAAGAAGGGGTCCTGACATCTCCTTCTCTGGTGGTCCTGAGGAGCCGAAGGTCGAGAGGGGAACTTCCTGTTGTCTGTATAGTGCCAGGCCCATGCCTGTGTCCCCTCTCCCACTCCTCTGTGATGAAAATCCCAAGGCCAGGGTTCCCCTTCCTTTCCTCTGTCCAATTCCCTGAGAAAGTGGCTGACAGAGCCCCCCCAGAAGTAGCTGGAGGGACCTCAGGCCCCCGAATGCCTGGAGACAGAGGGGTCCCCCAGTCCTCAGCCTCACTGGCAGGCCCGGAAAGTGCTGAATTCGGGGGTCTCAGGCGAGGAGGACGTGGAAGTGGGCCTCTTCCGGGTCCTGGAGTTGCTGGGGGTGGCAGTGGTGCCTGAGTGATCATCCAAGGTGGCCGGGTCTTCTTCTGGCATCGTTTTCTTTGTCCATGTAAGAAGAAACACAGAAGTGGGTGATTTGGGGTTTCAGGATCTAGGGTTTCTCCATGTTCTGAGCCTGAGACTCTGCCAGCCCAGCAGGTCTCCTCTCATCCCGCCCCCACCCACACCCACCTGTCCTGGTCTTCCCTTCTCCTGCCTTCCTCTCTGCTAAACTGGGGACCAGAGAGCATGGATTCAAACACCAGTTCCTTCACTTTATAGCAGTGTAACCTCAGTTGTGTGGCTTCACCCCTCTATACCTCAGTTTCCCCTTCTGCAAAACGGGCAGAATGCTAGTACCCACCACTTCCTAGGGCTGCTATGAGGCTTAAAAGAGTAAAACTGATAAAGCAAATGGCACATCGTAAGCTCTTCTTTGCTAAGTGAACACAACCATTCATATTATCTCCTCTGTTGGGCCCAGTGGCTCACGCCTGTAATCCCAGCACTTTGGGAGACCGAGGTGGGTGGATCACCTCAGGTCAGGAGTTCGAGACCAGCCTGGCCAACATGGTGAAACCCTCTCAGAAAAATACAAAAATTAGGTGTGGTGGTGCACGCCTGTAATCCCAGCTACTCGGGAGGCTGAGGCAGGAGAATCACCTGAACCCAGGAGGTGAAGGTTGCAGTGAGCTGAGATCCTGCCACTCCTCTCCAGCCTGGGGAACAAAGTGAGACTTGGTCTCAAAAAAATAAATAAATAAAAAATAAATAGTATTATCTCCTCCTCCCCTCCCATTTGCCCATGGGCAAAACATTCCTCAAAAGTCTACCTCCTCCTCTGCCTTGGAGGCTCCTGACCCTGATCCTAGTTAAAGAGAGATGAATTTGCTAGAACTAAAGCCACTCAGTTGACAGCAGGCTGGGGGTTCCACCCACAGTCCTGTCCCTCCCAAGCTGGGTGACCCTAGGCCCATTATCAGCCTCAGTGTCCTTGTTCGTAAAAAGAAAATAATCGATCCCACCTGAAAGGGTGTTACAAAGTTGCATATCAGACACTCAGCAAGGTAATGGGGAAAGCTAGAGACAGGTCAGCTGCTGCCTTACCATTTCAGCCAACGACAAAGCAGTATAAGGCTTCAAAAGGAAACTAGAAGTGAAAGCAGAGACTCCAAAAGAAATTTGCATACCCATGGTCATGGCACGGTTCTGCACAACAGCCAAAAGGTGGAAACAACCCAAGTGTCCATCAACAATTGAATGGATCAACAAAACTTGGTGTATCCATACAACACAATATGATTCAGCCTTAAAAAGGAAGAACAGGCTGGGCACGGTGGCTCACACCTGTAATCCCAGCACTTTGGGAGGTCGAGGCGGGCGGATCACCTGAGGTCAGGAGTTCAAGACCAGCCTGGCCAACATGGTGAAACCCCATCTCTACTAAAACTACAAAAATTAGCCGGGCATGGTGGCAGGCGCCTGTAATCCCAGCTACTTGGGAAGCTGAGGCAGGAGAATCGCTGGAGGCTGGGAGGCAGAGGTGGCAGTGAGCCGAGATCACACCACTGCACTGCAGTCTGGGCGACAGAGTGAGACACTGTCTCAAAAAAAAAAAAAAAAAAAAAAAAAAAAAGAATGTTCTTCCTTTTTTTTTTCTGAGATGGAGTTTCGCTCTTGTTGCCCAGGCTGGAATGCAATGGCGTGATCTCAGCTCACAGCAACTCCGCCTCCTGGGTTCAAGTGATTCTCCTGCCTAAGCCTCCCGAGTAGCTGGTATTACAGGCATGTGCCACCATGCCCGGCTAATTTTTTTTTTTTTTTTTTGTAGTTTTAGTAGAGATGGGGTTTCTCCGTGTTGGTCAGGCTAGTCTCGAATTCCCAACCTCAGGTGATCTGCCCGCCTTGGCCTCCCAAAGTGCTGGCATTATAGGCATGTGCTACCGTGCCTGCCATGAAGGACATTCTGACACAGGCTACGTATGGCATGAATGAACCTTGAGGACATCAAGCTCAGCGAAACAGGCCAGTCACAAAAGGAAAAATATCATGTGATCTCATATCCATGAGATGTCCAGAAGAGGCAAATCCACAGAGACAGGAGAATGGTGGGTGCCAGGGGCTGGGGGAGGGACAACGGGGAGTGGGTGTTGCACGGAGACAAGTTTGGGAGGATGAGAAATTTCTGGGCCGGGCACGGTGGCTCATGCCTGTAACCCCAGCACTTTGGGAGGCCGAGGCGGGCAGATCACTTGAGGTCAGGAGTCTGAGACCAGCCTGGCCAACTTGGTGAAACCTTGTCTCTACTAAAAATATACAAAAATTATACAAAAATTAGGCTGGGTGCAGTGGCTCATGCTTATAATCCCAACACTTTGGGAGGTTGAGGTGGGTGGATCACCTGAGGTCAGGAGTTCAAGACGAGCCAGGCCAACATGGTGAAACCCTGTATCTACTAAAAATACAAACATTAGCTAGGTGTGGTATCAGGCACCTACAGTCCCAGCTACTTGGGAGGCTGAGGTGGGAGAATCGCTTCAACCCCAGAAGTGGAGGCTGCAGATGGCACCACTGCACTCCAGCCTGGACGATAATTGCGAAACTCCGTCTCCAAAAAAAAAAACTTTAGCCAGCCGCGGTGGCATGTGCCTGTAATCCAAGCTACTCGGGAAGCTGAGACATGAGAATTGCTTGAACCTGGGTGCAGCAAGCCAAGATCGTACCACTGCACTCCAGACTAGGCAACAAAGTGAAACTGTATCTTAAAAAAAAGGCCGGGCCTGGTGGCTCACGCCTGTAATCCCAGCACTTTGGGAGGCTGAGGCAGGTGGATCATTTGAGGTCAGGAGTTCGAGACTAGCCTGACAAACATGGAGAAACTCCGCTTCTACTAAAAATACAAAAAAAAAAAAAAAAAAAATTAGCTGGGCATGCTGGCGCTCGCCTGTAATCCCAGCTACTCGGCAGGAGAATCGCTTGAACCTGGGAGGTTGAGGTTGCAGTGAGCCAAGATGGCACCACTGCACTCCAGCCTGGTGACAGAGCGAGAGTCCGTCTCAAAAAAAAAAAAAAATTAGCCAGGCATGGTGGCAGGCACCTATAATCCCAGCTACTTGGGAGGCTGAGGCAGGAGAATCACTTGAACCCAGGGGGGGAGGTTGCAGTGAGCCAAGATCATGACATCCCTTTACTCCAGCCTGGGCGAAAGAGCAAAACTCCATCTCAAAAAATTAATAAAATAAAATTTAAAAATAAAAAGGAAGAAAAATAAATAAATAAATATATATATAAAAATAAACTAGCTGGGCATGGTGGTGGAAGTCTGTGGTCCCAGCTACTCGGGAGGCTGAGGCTGGAGGATCTTTTGAGCCCAGGTGATCAAGGCTGCAGTGAGCTATGATGGTGCCCCTGCACTCCAGCGTGGGAGACAGAGCAAGACCCTGTCTCAAAAAAAAATTGGCGGGGGTGGTGGGTGAAGGTACAGATCCACTTCTGCGTGTATTTGCCACGTGCAGCTGCTAACAGTGGTTACCTGTATGTCTGCAGAAAGGAATACCAATGGATGAAGAGGCATGGCTTAGTAAGAAAACTTTATTGTATATTTTGACATGTGAATGCTTTTCATACGGAAATTTTTTGTTTGTTTGAGACAAAGTCTTGCTCTGTCACCCAGGCTGGAGTGCAGTGATGCAATCATAGCTCACTGCAGACTCAACCTCCCAGGCTCAAGCAATCTTCCCACCTCGGCCTCTTAAAGTGATGGGATTACAGGCATGAGCCACCACGCCTGGTCCTTAATTTAAGAAAAAAAAAGTAAAAAAACAAATAAAAGGCCGGGCATGGTGGCTCATGCCTGTAATCCCAGCACTTTGGGAGGCCAAGGCGGGCGGATCACCTGAGGTCGGTTGTTGGAGACCAGCCTGGCCAACATGATGAAAACCCGTCTCTACTAAAAATACAAAAATTAGCCGGGCGCGATGGCAGGCGCCTGTAATCCCAGCTACTCGGGAAGCTGAGGCAGGAGAATCGCTTGAATCCAGGAGGTGGAGGTTGCAGTGAGATCAAGCCACTGCACTCCAGCCTGGGTGACAGAGCAAGACTCCATCTCAAAAAACAAACAAAAATAAATAAAAACTACCTCAAAAAGTGGGGAGAGGGGGCATCACCAGGCTGGTGTTCTGTGCGGTGTGGATTCTCATGGAAACGTTTAGATTGAGCCCTGCCTGCCGGGTTTTTCTTATGGCCTCAGGATTTATTCTGGAAGCAGAGACCTCAGAGGGCTGCACAGGCCCGTGCCAAGCCCCCTTCCTTCCTACCATCTGTATCCCAGGCACTCCTAGTCTATCTCTAGAACTGACCTCTCTCCTGAACTGTAGACTCCCCTCTCCATCTGCTCCCAGGCGCCATGGGTTGAGGTGGCTGACTCCACACTCCTGACCCTCCAAGCCTCACCCTCCTTGGCCTCCCTCTTCTCCCTTGGCCCCCTCATCAAAAATCAGCTCTGTGTTTTCTCTCCCCTATATCTCCCCTAACCTGCATCTGATCACTTCTTCGAACTCCACTGCCAACATTTTGGACCAAACCACCCACCCTTTGGTGCACGCTTGGCCCAGCTCTTCAGTCTCCAGGCTCCTGCCTTCCACTGATCCCCGCTTTCCCCAAATCTGTCCTCCTGCAGAAGCCACCAGAGGGCGCCTGTGTGCACCTGAATCCGGTCCCCTCCCTCCTATACTAGGAACCCTTCCGGGATCCCAGCTCAATAGCAGTAAAATCAAAGTTCTTCATGGGGTCCCCTTCGACTCCTCACTCCACCCCAGCTTACTGGGCTGTGCCAAAAATGTGTCCTCAGCCTGGATCAATCATCCCCAATCTTCCCCACCTCCTGCTTGTCACCCATCTCAGACTTTCCTGATCTCCTGTCTAAAGCAGCTTCCGCAGCCAGCCAGCATGGTGGCTCACACCTGTAATCCCAGTGGATCACCTGAGGTCAGGAGTTTGAGACCAGCCTGGCCAGCATGGTGAAACCCCCGTCTCTACTAAAAATACAAAAATCAGCTGGGTGTGGTAGCATGTGCCTGTAATCCCAGCTGCCCGGGAGGCTGAGGCATGAGAATTGCTTGAACCCGGGAGTCGGAAGTTGTGTGAGCCGAGATCACACCACTGTGCTCCAGCCTGGGCGACAGAGCTAGACTCTGTCTTGAAAAAAAACAAATCCCTCCCTCTGCTTTTGGGGGATATTGTTCCCCATTGTCACACAGTGTCAGGGCTGGGATTTAAACCTGGGTCTATGGGACTCTCTGCACAGCTACATTTTGGGGTAGCCTTGGCATTTGTACTTTTTCATTTTTATCTGTTTGTTTGTTTTAGATGGAGTTTTGCTCTTGTGGCCCAGGCTGGAGTGCAATGCCTCAATCTTGGCTCACTGCTACCTCCACCTCCTGGGTCCAAGTGATTCTCCTGTCTCAGCCTCCCAAGTAGCTGAGATTACAAGCATGCACCACCACGCCCAGCTAATTTTTTGTATTTAGCAGAGATGAGGTTTCACCATATTGGTCAGGCTGGTCTCAAACTCCTGACCCACACCCGCCTCGGCCTTCCAAAGTGCTGGGATTACAGACGTGAGTCACCGCACCCAGCAACTTCATGCTTTTCTTTATACCCAGAGGGGACCGACCACAGCCTGTCACAGATTGTGACACAGATTGTCACAAGCCTCTATGAGAGGCCACCAGGTCACCCTGAATCCTCTGTCACCATTCTGAGGGGCTGTCATGACTGAGACCAAAGGCAGCACTGACCAGGCCAGGACATACCACCAAGGGGCCTGCCTGCCTGTGGCCACAAGACAGCCTGACGTCACCACCTTCAATTAACACACCCCCTGGGATTTTTTCACAGCCAACTCTCGGCTCACTACTGAGTCCCTGTTCAGTGATTCTGGGCTTTTCCTAGCCCCCCCGCAGCTTAGAGACAGCAGGTCAACTTAGCCTCGTGGTGCCCCTTGAGCCCGCCCCGTTCTCCCGGTAGGACGGTCAGCAGAAAACCGGTTCCAAGAAAAAGAACCACTCACCGCGGAGACGGTAAACAGGGAGTTATCGAAGGACATGTCTGAAACAGAAAGAGAAAGAAAACCCAGGATTGGGGGCCAGTTGTAACTTCCCTGCTCCCTGCCATCCCCGCACTGCCCCCCAGCCCACAGGGAAGCAATTGGGGTCCATCTCCCAGCATCCTCTATGGCGCCTTTCCAACCCATTCTGCACGGTGAACTGTTCACAGCTACAAAGTGAACCAAGTCCTTCTACACACAGTCTTCCTAGGGGTATCTCTCACTGCCCTCAGGAAAATGGGTGTCTTATCTCAGGCCTTCCAGAAGGAGCACCTGCCAGCTCCTCCTCCTCCCCAGGCTCTCCTCCAATTGCTCCATCACCCATTTTTTTTTTCTTGTTTTTGAGAAGGAGTCTCACTCTGTTGCCCAGGCTGGAGTGCAATGACAGGATCTCGGCTCAATGCAACTTCCGCCTCCTGGGTTCAAGTGATTGTCCTGCCTCAGCCTCCTAATAGCTGGGATTACAGGCATGCACCACTACACCTAGCTAATTTTCATATTCTTAGTAGAGATAGGGATTCACCATGTTGGCCAGGTTGGTCTTGAACTCCTTGCCCCAAGAGATCTGCCTGCCTCGGCCTCCCAAAATGCTGGGATTACAGGTGTGAGCCACCACACCCGGCCTCCATTACCCATTCTTGTAGGTCTCTGCTTAAACATCACTTCTAGCCAGGTGAGGTGGCTCACGGCTGTAATCCCAACGCTTTGGAAGGCCAAGGAGGGAGGATCACTTGAGCCCAGGAGTTCAAGACCAGCCTGGGCAACATAATTTTTTGTCTCTAGAAAAAAAAATTTAAAAAGTAGCTGAGTGTGGTGGTGTATGCCTGTGGTCCCAGCTACTCAGGAGGCTGAGAGGGGAGGATCACTTCAGCCTAGGAGGTCGAGGCTGCAGTGAGCTATGATTGCGCCACTGCGTTCCTGTCTGGGTGACAGAGCAAGACTCTGTCTCAAAAAAAAAAAAAAAAAAAAACAGGCTGGGCGCGGTGGCTCATGCCTGTAATCCCAGCACTTTAGGAGGCTGAGGCGGGCAGATCACGAGGTCAGGAGATCGAGACCATCCTGGCTAACATGGTGAAATCCCATCTCTACTAAAAAAATACAAAAAATTAGCCGGGTGTGGTGGCGGGCGCCTGTAGTCCCAGCTACTCAGGAGGCTGAGGCAGGAGAATGGCTTGAACCCAGGAGGCAGAGCTTGCAGTGAGCCCAGATCGCGTCACCGCACTCCAGCCTGGGCGACAGAGTGAGACTCCGCCTCAAAACAAAAACAAACAAAAAACAACAACAACAAAAGGGCGGTGGCTCACGCCTGTAATTGCCTGTAATCTCAGCACTTTGGGAGGCTGAGGTGGGTGGATCACCTGAGGTCATGAGTTCGAGACCAGCCAGGCCAACATGGTGAAACCCTACCTCTACTAAAAATACAAAAATTAGCCGGGCATGGTGGCACGTGCCTGTAATCCCAGCTACTCGGGAGGCTGGGGCAGGAGAATCACTTGAACCCGGGAGGCAGAGGTTGCAGTAAGCTGAGATCGTGCCACTGCACTCCAACCTGGGCGACACAATGAGACTCCATCTCAAAAAAAAAAAGAAAAACATCACTTCCTCAGGGGACCACCTGCCTTGTCCCAGACACAGTCTGGTGCCATCACGGGCTGTTTCCCATTGGAGAATGGGCTTGTGGACAGACAGCACATCTGTCTTGGTTACGAAAGGACCCTCTCAGATCTTAGCACATAGTAAGTGCTCAATAAGTGTGTGTGTTGGACCAGGAATGAAGTACAGAGAATACATTTCTCTGCTTGGGGTGCCTTCAAGAGAATATCCTGCATGACAGACTGGCTGCCTTTCGCCCCCTTGGGGAAGCTGGCAGAATGGCATGTTCTGGAAGGCAAGTGTGGCCCTGGAGTCCCGGAGATAGACATGGTCCTTTCCCCATGGAGCTGGCCGTTCAGCAGAGGAAATGAGTATGAAATATGCAAGCACCCAATGATCACTTAATTGTTTCATTTTTGTTTCTTTCTTCCTTTTTTGAGATGGAGTCTCACTCTGTCACCAGGCTGGAGTGCAGTGGCGCAATCTTGGCTCACTGCAACCTCTGCCTCCTGGGTTCAAGTGATTCTCCTGTCTCAGCCTCCCAAGTAGCTGGGACTACAGGAACACGCCACCATGCCCAGCTAATTTTTGTATTTTCAGTAGAGACAGGGTTTCACCATGTTGGCCAGGATGGTCTCGATCTCCTGACCTCGTGATCCACCTGCCTTGGCCTCCCAAAGTGCTGGGATTACAGGCGTGAGCCACCGTGCCTGGCCCTTTCTTTTTTTTTTTTTTTTTGAGATGGAGTCTCGCTCTGTCGCCCAGGCTGGAGTACAGTGGCGCGATCTGGGCTCACTGCAAGCTCTGCCTCCTGGGTTCACGCCATTCTCCTGCCTCAGCCTCCTGAGCAGCTGGGACTACAGGCACCCGCCACCACGCCCACCTAATTTTTTGTATTTTTAGTAGAGATGGGGTTTCACTGTTTTAGCCAGGATGGTCTCGATCTCCTGACCTCGTGATCCGCCCACCTCGGCCTCCCAAAGTGCTGGGATTACAGGCGTGAGCCACCACGCCTGGCCTTTTTTTTTTTTTTTTTTTTTTTTTGAGATGGAGTCTGGCTCTGTTGCCCAGGCTAGAGTGCAGTGGCGCAATCTCAGCTGACTGCAACCTCCGCCTCCCAGGTTCACATGATTCTCCTTGCCTCAGCCTCCCAAGTAGCTGGGATTACAGGTGTCCGCCACCACACCCTGCTAATTTTTTTGTATTTTTAGTAGAGACGGGGTTTCACTATGTTGGCCAGGCTGATCTCGAATTCCTGACCTCGTGATCTGCCTGCCTCAGCCTCCTAAAGTGCTGGGATGACAGTTGTGAGTCACCGCGCCTGGCCGCCTAATTGTATTTCTACCGAGGGGTAAGAAGAATGGTCGGACCTGGGGTCCTGTAAGTAGCAGGCACAGACCCTGTCTAGGGAGTCAGGGAAGGCTTCCCAGAGGAGGTGACCTTTAGGTTAAGTCAAAGGAGAGAAGGTGAGAACCCAGGGGAAGAGGTGGCGAGGGTGTGTTTTGACCCTAAAGGGAACAAGCAGTCACAGAAGAAATTTGATTGGTGTGTGATGAGGCCTGATGGCATTTGGAGGTGTAATCCTTTCCCCACTGGAGTCAGGAGTGTGGAGGCACAGACCTGTGCTGTCGAAGTTAATCTGGGCCCAGCAGGATTCTCGATCTCTGCAAAGGAATTCAGGAGAAAGTGACAGGGATCAGGGTTGCCCCTTGAGTCAGGAGGCTTGATCGGGAAAGCCCTGGCCCCAAACCACACCCAAAATGTAGCCTTTGCTCCCCACCCACTGACCCATGGGTCTTCCCCACAGAAGAGCAGTAACATCCTGATTTCTGGAGCTGTCACACTGTGGGACAGCCCCTTGGCCGGGGGAAGAAAAAAACATGGAAATTCTCTTGGGCCAGGCGCAGTGGCTCACGCCTGTAATCCCAGCACTTTGGGAGGCTGAGGCAGGTGGATCACTTGAGGTCAGGAGTTCAAGACCAGACTGGACAACACAGTGAAACCCCGTCTCTACTAAAAAATACAAAAATTAGCCAGGTGTGGTGGCATGTGCCTGTAGTCCCAGCTACTCAGGAGTCTGAGGCAGGAGAATCGCTTGAACCCAGGAGGCGGAGGTTGCAGTGAGCCGAGATTGCGCCACTGTACTCCAGCCTGGGCGACAGAGTGAGACTCCGTCTAAAAAAAAAAAAAAAAATATATATATATATATATATATATATATATATATATACACACACACACACACACATACATACACACACACACATACATACACACACACACATATACACACACACATACACACACACACACACACACACACACACACACACATATATAAAAGCCAGGCACGGTGGCTGATGCCTGTAATCCCAGCACTTTGGGAGGCACAGGCGGGCGGATCACCTGAGGTTGGGAGTTCAAGACCACCCGGACCAACATGGAGAAATCCCGTCTCTACTAAAAATACAAAATTAGCCGGGTGTGGTGGCACATGCCTGTAATCCCAGCTGCTCAGGAGGCTGAGGCAGGAGAACTGCTTGAACGCAGGAGGCAGAGGTTGCGGTGAGCCAGAGATCAGGCCATTGCACTCCAGCCTGGGCAACAAGAGTGAAACTCCATCTCAAAAAAAAAAAAAAAAACATATATATATTCTCCTGGTTAGGAGGCCCACAGCCAGGTGAAGCTGGGATTCAATCCCCAGAGCAGGTTTTCATCTCCAGGCAGCAGGATGTCTCCCCACTCTCGGAGGAGAGAAACTGAGGCCAGGGCCAGTTAGGACATCCTGGTGCCCAGGAACCTGGGCCATCACCTACAGTGCAATTGGGCACTGCACAACCCCAGGGGCATTCTTTAGAAACTGACTGTGGGTGTCTAGAGTGATTGTGACCGTTTTCTGGCAGCTGGAGGTAAAGGGGTGTGGGGAAGGGCCTCTCCCTGGGCAAACTGCTCACTCTGTGACTGAGTGCTGAGCCTCAGTCCTCTCTTCTGTAAAATAGGGCTATTCATGGTGCCTGTTTCCAGGGCTGCCATAAGGATAAGGAGCTCCAGCTTCAGAGAGTCCCAGCTCAGTCCTCCAGCACACAGGAGGCACTTAATAAATGGCTCCTGTTCCTATTACGCAGCATGCCCACCAGGAGGCGCTGTTTGTGGGGGGCATGGAGTGCCCACCCTGCCAGGGAAGTGTCCTTCTTTCCCCAAACCACCCTCTGTGGGTCTCCAGGGATGATCTCACCTTTTCTTCTGTAAATTTCTGAGTTTAACTGGAACAAAAAAGAAATGAGCATGTGTTAGATTTTGGTCCTAATTGTATCCGGCAATTTCTGTTTTTTTTTTTTTTTTTTTTTTTTTTAGACAGAGTCTCATTCTTTCACCCAGGCTGGAGTGCAGTGGCTCAATCTTGGCTCACTGCAACCTCTGCCTCCTGGATTTAAGCAATTCTCCTGCCTCAGCCTCTCGAGTAGCTGGGATTACAAGTGTGCATCACCAGGCCAGGCTATTTTTGTATTTTAGTAGAGAAGAGGGTTCGTCATGTTGGCCAGACTGGTCTCGAACTCCTGACCTCAAGTGATCCACTTGCCTCGGCCTTTCAAAGTGCTGGGATTACAGGCAAGCCACCCCACCCAGCCTGGAAGGCCTCAGATTTTTCTTTCTTTCTTTCTTTCTTTCTTTCTTTCTTTCTTTTTTTGTTGTTTTTTGAGACAGAGTCTCGTTCTGTCGCCCAGGCTGGAGTGCAGTGGTATGATCTTGACTCACTGCAACCTCTGCCTCCCAGGTTCAAGCGATTCTTCTGCCTCACCCTCCCATGTAGCTGGGACTACAGGTGCACACCACCACGCCCGGCTAATTTTTGTGTTTTCATTAGAGATGGGGTTTCACCATATTGCCCAGGCTGGTCTCAAACTCCTGACCTCGCGATCTGCCCACCTCGGCCTCCCAAAGTGCTGGGCCATCCTGGACAACATGGTGAAACCCTGTCTCCACTAAAAATACAAAAGTTAGCTGGGTGTGGTGGCACGCACCTGTAGTCCCAGCTACTCGGGAGGCTGAGGCAGGAGAATCACTTTAACCTGGGAGGCGGAGGTTGCACTGAGTCGAGATTGTGCCACTGCACTCCAGGCTGGCAACAGAGCAAGTGAGTCGAGATCGCCTCACTGCACTCCAGCCTGGGTGACAGGGCAAGACTCCATCTTAAAAAAAAAAAAAAAAAAATATATATATATATATATATATATATATGTATGTGTGTGTGTGTGTATGTATATATATACACACATATATATATACATACACACACATATATACCCACACACATACACACACACACAAACACACATAATTTGGCTGGGCATGGTGGCACATGCCTGTAATTCCAGCATTTTGGGAGGCTGAGGCAGGAAGATCACTTGAACCCAGGAGTTCAAGACCAGCCTGGGCAATATAGCAAGACCCTATCTCAACAAAAAATATTTTTTAAAAATTAGCCAGGTGTGGTAGTGTGTGCCTGTGGTCCCAGGACTTTTGGGAGGCTGAGGTGGGAGGATTGCTTGAGCCCAGGAGTTACCCAGCCTGGGCAACACAGCAAGACCCTGTCCTAAAAAAAATAAATAAATAATTAGCTGCATGTGGTGGCACGCACCTGTGGTCCCAGCTACTTGGGAGGCTGAGGCAGGAGAACTGCTTGAGCCCAGGAGGTCAAGGATGCAGCGAGCTATGATCCTGCCATTGCACTCCAGCCTGGGTGACAGACTGAGTCTCCAAATAAAAAATTTTTAGGCCGGGGACTGTGGCTCATGCCTATAATCCCAGCACTTTGGGAGGCCGAGGTGGGCGGATCACCTGAGGTCAGGAGTTCCAGACCAGCTTGGGCAACATGGCAAAACCACATCTCTTCTAAAAATACAAATATTGGCGAGGCATGGTGGTGCACGCCTGTAATCCCAGCTACTTGAGAGGCTGAGGCAGGAGAATTGCTTGAACCTCGAAGGCGGAGGTTGCAGTGGGCCGAGATCGTGCCACTGCACTCCAGCCTGGGCGACAGAGCGAGCCTCTGTCTGAAAAGAAAAATAATAAATAAATAAATAAATACTTTTAAAAGGGGTGTGATGAACAAATTACTGAACCTGAAAACAAAATGGTGTGAGTTGTGAGTGTAAGCACATCTTCACGTTCCAGAAGTTGTCAACTGGCAACTTGTGTGCCAGGCTTTGCGTGCTGTTACCTTTTCTGACCACCAGGGCAACAGCCACCAGCCCAGCAAGGAGGAAGAGGGCACCAGCCAGGCTCAGGGAGAGCACCAAGATCCAAGTGGGCACTGGAGGAAAATCAGAAAAGAGAGTGGGCAGGTCAGTGTCGTCTCTCCAGGTTACCTTTGAGTAGCCAGCCCTTACCCCATAACCCCCAACCAAAGAACATGAATGCAGCTGGACCCAAGAGACTTAGCAAACTTTGTGTCTGGCCAATTAGCCTATCCCCCGCTCCTGGCTATTGTGATTGGTTCAGGATGAGCATGTAACCCAAGTGGAGCCAATGAGAGCTAACTCTGGGACTTTGGTGGTACCACTGGGAAAAGAGGTTTACTCCTCTGGCTAGCATTGCATAGGATAGATATCTTAGGCCAGGTGCGGTGATTCATGCCTGTAATCCCAACACTTTGGGAGGCTGAGGCAGGTGGATTACTTGAGGCCAGGGGCTCAAGACCAGCCTAGCCAACACAGGGAAATTCTGTCTATATTAAAAATATAAATAATTGGCCAGGCGCAGTGGCTCACGCCTGTAATCCCCACACTTTGGGAGGCCAAGGCAGGTGGATCACTAGGTCAGTAGATCGAGACCATCCTGGCTAACACTGTGAAACCCCGTCTCTACTAAAAATACAAAAAATTAGCCAGGCGTGCTGGCACGTGCCTGTAGTCCCACTTACTCAGGAGGCTGAGGCAGGAGAATCACTTGAACCCGGGAGGCGGAGGTTGCAGTGAGCTGAGATGGCGCCACTGAACTCCAGCCTGGGTGACAGAGCAAGACTCTGTCTCAAAAAGAAACAAACAAAACAAAAAACAACAAAACCCCACAAATAATTAGCCAGGTGTGGTGCACACCTGTAATTCCAGCTACTTCAGAGGCTGAGGCACAAGAATAGTTTGAACCCGGGAAGTGGAGGGTGCACTGAGCTGAGATCGTGCTACTGCACTCCAGCCTGGGTGACACAGAGAGACCCCATCTGAAGAAACAAACAAAAAAAGAGATGGCTGGGCACGGTGGCTCACGCCTGTAATCCCAGCCCTTTGGGAGACTGAGGTGGGTGGATCACCTGAGGTCAGGAGTTCGAGATCAACCTGGCCAACATAGTGAAACCTCGTCTCTACTAAAAATACAAAAATTAGCCAGGTGTTACGTGCCTGTAATCCCAGCTACTTGGGACGCTGAGGCAGGAGAATCGATTGAACCCAAAAGGTGGAGGTTGCAGTGAGCCGAGATTGGGCCATTGCCTTCCAGTCTGGGTGACACAGCTAGAATCTGTCTCAAAAAAAAAAAAAAAAAAAAAAAAAGAATATATATCTGAAGCTTCAGGGCACAATCTTGCCTCCATGAGGGGGAGAAACTACCTGAGAATAAGACAGAAGAGGAGCTGAGAAGGCAAATGCTTTCTGTCATTTTTCAGCACCTGGATCCAGCCATATCTGAAGTCAGCCATGTAAACTGACTTCAGCTCAGTGAACCAACAAATCCCCTCTTGCTGGTAGAGCCAGTGTGAGTCAGGTTTTTATTACTTGCAGTCTGGGTGCCAGTGGCCAGATGACATCCACCCCCAGCCCAACGGTAGACCCTGAGATCCACCCAGAAGCTAGTCACACAGGCATGGGAGTGGCAGTTCCAGAGTCACCTTCTCAGCACAAGACTTCGCTTCCCCTTCCTGGAGAAAGAGGAGATGCCCTGACCCCAAGGGAGGTGAGGAGCTAAGCCAGAAGAGGGAAGAAGACAGACGCTTGGTATTCTCACAATGTCAGCCTTGTTCATTGATTCACCTGGGGCAGAAGGGGTGTTGTCAGCTCCCTACTCCAAGGCCACAAGGCCAAGGTGAGAGAAGGGGGCCTTTGATAGAGGAGCCTGAGGCCGGGAAGGACAGAGAACTGCCCTGTCATAGCTGCATGTTGGCCTCGGCTGGCAACAAGATTATTTTTTGCAGTGAAAAAGTTCTTTTTAAAAGTTTTTTTGGGCCAGGCGCGGTGGCTCATGGCTGTAATCCCAGCACTTTGGGAGGCCGATGTGGGCGGATCACTTGAGGTCAGGAGTTGAAGACCACCCTGGCCAACATGGTGAAACCCCATCTCTACTAAAAAATACAAAAATTAGCAGGGTGTGGTGGTTGGCGCCTGTAGTCCCAGCTACTCGGGAGGCTGAGGCACGAGAATCGCTTGAGCCTGGGAGGCAAAGGTTGCAGTGAGCCGAGATTGGGCCACTGCACTTCAGCCTGGGCGACAGAGTGAGACTCTGTCTCAAAAATTAAAAAAAAAAAAAAGTTTTTACAGACAGGGTCTCCCTCTGTCACCCAGGCTGGAATGCAGTGGTGCGATCATGGCTCACTATATCCTCTACCTCCCCGGCTTAAGTGATCCACCTGCCTCAGCCTACTGACACATGCCAGCAGTCCCTCCTAATTAAAAAAAAAAAAAAAAAAACATTAGCCGGACGGGGTAGCTCACGCCTGTAATCTCAGCACTTTGGGAGGCTGAGGTGGGCGGATCACAAGATCAGGAGATTGAGATCATCCTGGCTAACACTGTGAAACCCCTTCTTACTAAAAAAAAAAATACAAAAAATTAGCTGGGCATGGTGGCACATGCCTGTAGTCCCAGCTACTCGGGAGGCTCTGAGGCAGGAGAATCGCTTGAACCCGGGAGGCAGAGGTTGCAGTGAGCCGAGATCGTGCCACTGTACTCCAGCCTGGGCGACAGACCGAGACTGTCTCAAAAAAAAAAAAAAAATTGGGGGGAGCTGGGCATGGTGGCTCACGCCTGTAATTCCAGCACTTTGTGAGGCCGAGGCAGGCAGAACACCTGAGGTCAGGAGTTTGAGAGCAGCCTGGCCAGCATTGTGAAACCCCATCTCTACTAAAACTCAAAAAGTAGCTGGGCATGGTGGTGCACGCCTGTAATCCCAGCTACTCGGGAGGCTGAGGCAGGAGAATTGCTTGAACCTCGGAGGTAGAGGTTGCAGTGAGACTCGAGAGGCTGAGGCAGGAGAATTGCTTGAACCTCGGAGGTAGAGATTGCAGTGAGCTGGGGTCACACCACTGCACTCCAGCCTGGGCGACAGAGTGAGTCCCTGTCTTTACAAAAAATAGACATATTAGCCAGGCGTGGTGGTGCACGGCTGTAGTCCCAGCTGCTAGGGAGACTGAGAAGGGAAGATTGATTGAGCCCAGGAAGTGGAGGCTGCAGTGAGCTGTGATTGCGCCACTGCACTCTAGCCTGGTCAACAAAGCAAGACCCCTATCTAAAAAAAAAATAAAATAATTTTTTTTTTTTTTTGTAGAGACAGGGTCTCACTATGTTGCCCAGGCTGATCTTGAACTCCTTGGCTCAAGGAATCGTCCTGCCTCAGCCTCCCAAAGTCCTGGGCTTATAGGCGTGGGTCATTGCACCCGGCCAGGAAAGTTCTGACTGATGGTAACACAGAAGGCCACCAAAGGCTCCTCCCTCCTGCTTCTTGACCCATAACCCATGTCCAGCCTCCTCATTCAGAGATCAGAAAAGGACATCAGCCCTGCCAGGGTTCCCTCACTCAGGTGAAAAGATCGAATCCTTGCTGTGGTCTACAAGACCCCCCACGATCCTCCTGGTGAACTCCCTGCCCCGCCTCTCCCCATTTTCCTCCTTGTTCACCATCCTTCAGCCATACTGGGCTCCTCAGACACACCAGGGAAGCTTCAGCCTCGGGGCCTTTGCACATCCTGTATCCTCTGCCTGCAACACATGCCCTGGATATCCACATGATTGGCTCCTCCTCATCATTCAGTTTTTTGCTCAAATGCCACCTCCTCAGAGAGGGCTTCCCTGATTGCCCTACTCTACTTCAGAGTCCAGAGGGCTGACCATTAGAACATGGGGCCAGTCGCCCTACTCTACTTCAAATAATGACATCCTCACCCAGGTGGATTTCATCTGGTGCCCTGCTGGCAGGTTGAATATATATTGGATTTCATGTTTATCATCTGTCCTCATCCGCCTGGAATGTCAGCCTGGAATGTCTTTGGGCAAGCCCAAAGACAGTTCTTGGTCCATAGTAAGTGCTCAGAAACCTTATGTGGCTCATGCTGGGCATGGTGACTCACATCTGTAATCCCAGCTACTCTGGAGGCCGAGGTGGGAGGATCACTTGAGGTTAAGAGTTCAAGACTAGCCTGGTCAATATCTTTTTTTTTTTTGAGACAGAATCTTGCTCTGTCACCCATGCTGGAGTGCAATGGCACTGTCTTGGCTCACTGTAACCTCCGCCTCCCAGATTCAAATGATCCTCCTGCCTCAGCCTCCTGAGTAGCTGGGATTACACACGCATGCCACCACACCCAGCTATTTTTTGTATTTTTTTTTTTTTTTTTTTTGAGACGGAGTCTCGCTCTGTCGCCCAGGCCGGACTGCGGACTGCAGTGGCGCAATCTCGGCTCACTGCAAGCTCTGCTTCCCGGGTTCACGCCATTCTCCTGCCTCAGCCTCCCGAGTAGCTGGGACTACAGGTGCCCGCCACCGCGCCCGGCTAATTTTTTGTATTTTTAGTAGAGACGGGGTTTCACCTTGTTAGCCAGGATGGTCTCAATCTCCTGACCTCATGATCCACCCGCCTCGGCCTCCCAAAGTGCTGGGATTACAGGCGTGAGCCACCACGCCCAGCCTATTTTTTGTATTTTTAATAGACATAGGGTTTCACCATGTTGGCCAGGCTGGTCTTAAGCTCTGACCTCAGGTGATCCACCTACCTCAGCTTCCCAAAGTACTGGGATTACAAGCATGAGCTACCATGTCCGGCCCTGGTCAACATTTTAGACCCTCATCTCTAAAATAATTTTTTAAATTAGCTGGGCATGGTGGTGCACACCTGTAGTCTCAGCTACTTAGGAGGCTGAGGTGGGAGGATCACTTGAGGATAGGAATTGGAGGATGAAGTGAGCTATGATTGTGCCATTGCCCTCTAGTCTGCACGACCTTGTCTCATTTAAAAAAAAAAAAAAGCCAGGTGCAGTGGCTCATGCCTGTAATTCCAGCACTTTGGGAGGCTGAGGTAGGCGGATCATGAGGTCAGGGGTTCGAGACTGGCCTGGCCAACATGGTGAAATCCTGTCTTTACTAAAAATACAAAAATTAGCCGGGCATGGTGGCACACACCTGTAATCCCAGATACTCAGGAGGCTGAGGCAGAAGAATCGCTTGAACCAGGAGGCAGAGGCTGCAGTGAGCCAAGATCGTGCCACTGCACTCCAGCCTGGGCAACAAGAGCATAACTATCTCAAAGCAAACAAACAAAAAAAGTATGTGGCCAAGAGGGGAAGTAATGTATGTCACGGAGGTGTAATTCATGGTTTTTGGAAGGCAATGGCATCCCAGACTGGCTACCTGTTACCTGTGTACAAGGTGTGTACCTCCTGTGCCTCAGTTTCCTTATCTGCAAAATGGGAAGAATCACAGCACCAATTTTGGCACCAAGAGGGAGACGGGCTGCCTGACAATAAGACGGAGAAGAATGTGGAGCAGAGATGGGGCAAATGGTCCCTGACAGCTTTCAGCACCTGGATCTAGCCATACCTGAAGTCGGCCCTGTGAGCTGACTTAAGCTCAGTGAACCAACAAATCCCCTTTTGGGCTGGCTGAGAAGATTGAAAAAGGAAAGGCGAGTAAGTCCTGGCAGGGTGTAAGCCTGGCTTTTTCTGGGAAGGCCTCTGAGTCAACAGTACACACAAGAGGTCCATGTGAGAAAATTAAGCCCCCGGCAGTGAGATCCCATAGAAGGGCCTTACCTGGGAAGGAGACGTTCACGGGCTCGCTGAGGTCTGACAGCTGGGACTGGTTGAGCTCACCTAACACTCCATACTGGCAGTGGAAGGGTCCCCCTGGAGCCTTGCTGCTGCCGCCGCTCAGGTTAAATGTCACCCCGCGCTGGTCCGTGGGGGCCTGCAGGAGCTGGACCACCTGCCCCCCTCGATACAGTGTGAAATTCGCCCCCGGGAAGTTCCCAGGGGCCATGCATGCGATGTGGATGGGGTCCTCTTGGCTGCTTGGGTACGGGGGCACCAGCCGGATGGATGGTGCTGGGATCGCCAAGGAGCCTGCAATGCAGAGGGTAAGGTGGGTGGGTGCGTGGTGAGAGTGGAGGCTGCCCTGGCTATGTGGCCTCGGGCAAGTAGACCACCCTCCCTCAGCCTTGTGTTTTCTGTGAGTCAGGAGGCTAGTGACCCTACCCCACACTGCCTGGCACATGGTGACGGCTCCCTGTAGTTGAATTACTTTTCTTTTTTCTTTTTTTTGTGAGTCGGAGTCTCACTCTGCCACCCAGGATGGAATGTAGTGGTGTGATCTCGGCTCACTACAGCCTCCACCTCCCGGGTTCAAGTGATTCTCCAGCCTCCCAAGTAGCTAGGATTACAGGCATGTGGCACTATGCCTGGCCAATTTTTATATTTTTAGTAGAGATGGGGTTTCACTATATTGGCCAGACTGGTCTCGAACTCCTGGCCTCGTGTGACTCCCCCCACCTCGGCCTCCCAAAGTGCTGGGATTATAGGCGTGAGCTACCATGCCTGGCCATCAGTTTTCAATAATAGCATTGGTTATTACATAGCAACACAACTATACTCTTATTTTTTATTTAATTTATTATTACTTTATTTATTTATTTAGAGACAAAATCTTGCTTTGTCGCCCAGGCTGGAGTACAGTGGCCTCAGCCTCCTGAGTACCTGGGACTATGTGCCACCATGCCTGGCTAATTTTTATATTTTTAGTAGAGACGGGGTTTCACCATGTTGGCCAGGCTGGTGAACCTGGCTAGCTAATTTTGCTTATTTTGTGTAGAGATGGGATCTCACTATGTTGCCCAGATCCTCACCTCAAGTGATCCTCCCACCTTGGCCTCCCACGAGCTGAGTCCTGAGTGGTGAGGAAGGACCCATTTGGAGAGCTGGGGAAGGGCATTCCAACAGAGGGAACAGCATAGGCAAAGGTCCAGGGGATGGAAGGGGAATGGGGGTGTTTAAGGAGGAGCAAACACCTGATGCAGTGGCTCACGCCTGTAATCCCAGCACTTTGGGAGGCCAAGGTGGGAGGACTGCTTGAGCCCAGGAATTTGAGACTAGCCTGGAGAACACAGTGAGACCCTGTCTCTATTTAAAAATAAAAATAAATATTAAAAAAGGAGCAGCAAGGAGGCCATCATGGCAGGAGGGAGGGGGTGAGTGAGGTGGGTGGCAGGAAGGGGAGGGGGTGAGTGAGAGGGAGGGCAGGAGAAGGAAGGGCAGAGGACTTTTATCTCCTTTCCCAGGCTTGGGTGAAGAATACGGATTTTGGAGCACGGCTTCCTGCAGGATGGTCTCCTGGGGATCCATCTCTCTCCTGATTGCCCACAGGCTTCTGAGCAGAGTGTCTGGCCAGGTGAGGTCTATACAAACCCTCCCTCGTCCAGCCTCCAACCCCCACCCACCCCTGCCACACTGATATCCCCCTAGGTAGACCCTCCTGCTGCCCCAGCACTCAAGGAGCCTTCAGAGACGAAGCGGGGCTGAATCATGGGGTGTGGGCACAGCTGACTCCAGAGGGGTGATATTTCTGATATTCATAAACTTGGGGGTGATGAGGAGCCTAAGAAGAAAAAACCAACACTACTGGAGAGTTTCCAAGGCTCAGGGGGAAAACCCATCTGCCAAGGGCTCAGCCTCCTCGATGCCCTGAGAACGGCAGCCCCTGCACTGGTTTCTGCCCCTGGAGCGGCAAGGTGGACAGAGGATGGGGGGAAAGGCGTGGGGGATCTGAGAGGGGGGCTTCAGACTCACCAGCTGCAAAGAGCAAGATGGTCCAGGGCATCTCTCTCTGCGTTTGGCTGGGAAATCCGGCTGAGGCCAGAGGGGCCCAAGGCTCCCCGCCAACTCCTCCTGTGAGGCCAGATCGGGGAAAGGAGAACCAGGGCTGATTCTCGAGCTGAGAGTTTCCTCACTGGCAGGAAGTTGCACACACAGGCTTGGGCACTGAAAGGGACTCTCTCCCCTCCCCACCCCTTCCCCAAACACACATCAGACCCGCGCACCTCTCTGGTTGCGGTTCTGCAGATTAGAGGGGAAAAAAATGGATGAGATGTTTAGGTGGTTTTCACAATTTTTTCCTCTTTTTTTATTTTTATTTTTTGAGACAGAGTCTTGCTCTGTTGCCCAGGCTGGAGTGCAGTGGAGCGATCTCGGCTCACTGCAGCCTCCACCTCCCAGGTTCGAGTGATTCTCCTGCCTCAGCCTCCTGAGTAGCTGGGACTACAGGCAGGAGCCATCATGCACAGCTAATTTTTGTATTTTTAGTAGAGACGGGGTTTTGCTGTGTTGGCCAGGATGGTCTCGATCTCTTGACCTCATTATCTGCCCGCCCCAGCCTCCCAAAGTGCTGGGATTTCAGGCGTGAGCCACCGTGCCCAGCCTTTTGTCTCTCCTTCTAAGAGAACTCCTGGGAATGAGACAGGGTGACAGCAGTGGGATGTTTGGAAACCCATGCCCAAGACACAAACCATAGCCTAACCAGCACCAACATTTAAACAAATATGGGCAGGAGTGGGAGGACATGGTGGTTAGGGCTTGGCCTCTGTGACCTCAGGCATGGCTTACCTCCTTTGAGGCTTCAGTATACTGCTCTGCAGAATGGGGCTAAGAGTAGTAGACATTAGGCCAGACGTGGTGGCTCACGCCTGTAATCCCAGCACTTTGGGAGGCTGAGGTGGGCAGATCACCTGAGGTCAGGAGTTCGAGACCAGGCCAACGTGGTGAAACCCCGTCTCTACTATATACAAAAAATTAGCCGGGCGTGGTGGCACACGCCTGTAATCCCAGCTACTCGGGAGGCTGAGGCAGGAGAATCACTTGAACCCAGGAGATGGAGATTGTGGTGAGTTGAGATCGCGCCATTGCACTCCAGCCTGGGCAACAAGAGTGAAATTCCATCTCAAAAAAAAAAAAAAAAAAAAAGAGCAGTGGACATTAGATTCAAAGAACTTGTAGTAGGAAATGCAACGCCTAGTGGGTAGTGCATGCTCACAAGGTAAAGTTACAGGGAGGAAAAAGACTCAGAAGTTTGATCAGCCACATGAAAGGGAATACCAGTTCCAGATCAATTCTGGATATAGTTTGTGATATAGTTCACAGGATAAACTGCCTCCTGTTTACAGCCCAGAAACTTCCAAGTTTCTCTTACTACTGGGTTTGCATTTATCTTTTTAAACATTTCTGTTCAAGCCAGTCAGGTTTGCTTGGGGGTTTGGACCCAAGAAGGATGTGGCATGTGGTCATCAAACACCAAAATGCGTCATTAGAGTAAACTTTTTTCTTTGGACACAGAAAGTTCAATCCAACCTCAGGGCCTTTGCACACACTATTTCCCTGGCCTGGAACACAATTCTGTCAACCTGGTCAAATCCTGCTTCTCCTTCAGGTCTCAGTTTAAATAGCACTTCTGGGAAAACTTTCCAGGCCCCTCTGGACTTAGAACAATCCCCTAGCTAAATTCTCCCACAGTGCCCTGTAATATTCCTTTATTGCAATTGGCATGCTTGTATCTTCAAGGAATTTGCTCATTTCATCAGAGTTGTCAAATGTATTGGTGTAAAGTTATTTATATCCCCTTACTATCCTTTTAATGTCTGTAGGGTCTGTAGTGATGTTCCTTCTTTCATTCCTGACACATAAATTAGTGAAGTCTCCTTGTCTCTTATCGGTCTTCCTAGGAGCTAATCATTGTTATTGATCTTTTCAAAGTGCCACAGTTTGGATTTGTTGTTTTATTTTCTATTTTATTGCCTTTTGACTTGACTTTATTCTTTTCTTTTTTCTGGTTACCTTATGTTCAATTGGCTCTTCTTTTCCTAGCTCATGTTTTGTTTTTAAATTTAAACTTCACCAGCAGAAATTTGTATTAATAGCTTCTTAAGATGGATGCTTATATAAACTCTTTTTATTAAAAAAAAATTTTTTTTAATTAGCCAGATGTGGTAGTGGGTGCCTGTAGTCCCAGCTACTCGGGAGGCTGAGGCTGGAGAATGGCGTGAACCCGGGAAGGAGAGCTTGCAGTGAGCTGAGATCATGCCACTGCACTCCAGCCTGGGCAACAGAGCGAGACTCTGTCTCAAAAAAAAAACAACAAAAAAACATTTTTTTTTTGAGACAGGGTCTTGCTCTATTGCTCAGGCTACAGTGAAGCAGCATGATCATGACTCACTGCAGCCTCACCCTGCTGGGCTCAAGAGATCATCCCATCTCAGCCTCCTGAGTAGCTGGGACTACAGGTGTCCACCACCACACCTGGCTAATTAAAAAAAAAAAAATTGTAGAGACAGGGTCCTATTATGTTACCCAGCCTGATCTTGAACTCCTGGGCTCAAGCAATCCTCCTGACTCAGCCTCCCAAAGTGCTGGGATTACAGGCAGCTCATTAACTTTAAACCCTCTTTTTTTTTTTTTTTTTTGACGGAGTCTTGCTCTGTCGCCCAGGCTGGAGTGCAATGGCGTGATCTCGGCTCACTGCAAGCTCTGCCTCCCAGGTTCACGCCATTCTCCTGCCTCAGACTCCTGAGTAGCTGGGACTACAGGCACCCACCACCATGCATGGCTAATTTTTTGTATTTTTAGTGGAGATGGGGTTTCACCATGTTAGCCAGGATGGTCTCGATCTCCTGACCTCATGATCCACCTGCCTCGGCCTCCCAAAGTGCTGGGATTACAGGCGTGAGCCACCGCACCCGGCCCACCTTTATCTTCTAATACAAGCATTTAAAGGTACACCTTTCCCTCCAAGAACTGTTTTAACTGCATGCCACACATTTTCATATATTGAGCGTCATTAAGTTAGAAATATTTGCTTATTTCCATTGTGCTTTCTTTTCTATGATCCAGAGAATATGTGTGTTGCTTAATGCCCAAGTACTTGGGCTTTTTGGGGGGCAGCTTACTGTTAATGATTTTTAACTCCTTTGTGGTCATATAATTTCAATACTTTGAAATGTACTGACTTTTTAGAATGGTGCAGGGTATCTCGATCCACATTGTACGTACGCTAGAAATTCAAGTACACGGTGTAGTTGTTTGGTATAATATTCTCTAAATATTAATACAATTTGGTCAAGGTAGTACACAGAATATTCTTGAATTTATTGAATTCATCCTCATGCCTTTTTTTTTTTTTGGAGACAAGGTCTTGCTTTCTTGCCCAGGCTGCTGGAGTGCAGTGGTATAATCATGGCTCACTGCAGTCTCCATCTCTCAGGCTCAAGTGATCCTCCCACCTCAGCCTTCCAAGTAGCTGGGACCACAGGCATGCACGGCACCTGGCTAAATTTTTTTTTTTTTTTTGTAGAGAAAGGGTCTCACTACATTGCCTAGCTGGTCTCAAACTCCTGGGCTCAAGTAATCCTCCCACCTTGGGCTCCCAAAGTGCTGGGATTACAGGCGTAAGCCACCACCACGCCCAGCCTCCTTCATTTTTTTTTTTTTTTTTTGAGATGGAATCTCGCTCTGTCGCCCAGGCTGGAGTGCAGTGGCGCAATCTCGGCTCACTGCAAGCTCCACCTCCTGGGTTCACGCCATTCTCCTGCCTCAGTCTCCCGAGTAGCTGGGACTACAGGCAACCGCCACCACGCCCGGCTAATTTTTTGTATTTTTTAGTAGAGACGGGATTTCACTGTGTTAGCCAGGATGGTCTTGATCACCTGACCTTGTGATCTGCCCGCCTCAGCCTCCCAAAGTGCTGGGATTACAGGCGTGAGCCACTGCACCCGGCCTTTCTTTTTTTTTTTTAAACAGAGACAGGGTCTTGCTATGTTGCTCAGGCTGGTCATGAACTCCTGAGCTCAAGCAATCCTCCCACCTTGGCCTCCCAAAGTGCTGGGGTTACAGGCGTGAGCCACCACGCCTAGCTTTTTAAATTTTTTTTTTTTTTTTTTTGAGACGGAGTCTCACTCTGTTACCCAGGCTGGAGTGAAGTGGTGCGATCTCATCTCACTGCAAACTCCACCTCCTGGGTTCAAGCGATTCTCCTGCCTCAGCTTCCTGAGTAGCGGGGATTACACGTGTGCCACCATGCCTGGCTAATTTTTGTATTTTTAGTAGAGACAGGGTTTCACCATGTTGGTCAGGCTGGTCTTGAACTCCTGACCTCGTAATCTACCCACCTCAGCCTCCCAAAGTGCTGGGATTACAGGCGTGAGCCACCGTGTCCAGCCTTTTTTTTTTTTAGACATGGTCTCACTTTGTCGCCCCGGCTGGAGTGCAGTGGCGCAATCTCGGCTGCACTGCAACCTCCATCTTCCGGGTTTAAGTGATTCTCCTGCCTCAGCCTCCTGAGTAGCTGGGATTACAGGCATGCACCACTACGGCTGGCTAATTTTTGGATTTTTAGTAGAGACAGGATTTCACCATGTTGGCCAATCTGGTTTTGAACTCCTGACCTCGAATGATCCGCCCACCTCCCGAAGTGTTGGAATTATAGGCATGAGCCGCCATGCCCAGCCTTCATGATATCTTAACACAGCTTTCCTCCTCCTCTCGGAGCACAAGGATGGGGTCTGTGTTGTTACCTGCAGTGTCCCGTGTCTCCCACCATGCTTGGCACATCATAAATATTTCTCAATCATCTGACCTGACAGCGAAAAAAAACATCCATTCAAGCCACTTCTGTGGCTGTATACTGGGTGTACAGGAGATGGAGTTAAGAGAGATTCCTGGCTTATTTTTTCCACCAACTGAGTACTGAGCATCATCATGTTCCCAGAATTGTGCCAGAGACATTAGGATGAATGAAAATGGCTCCTGTCCTCAAGGAGCTCAGCGTTCAAGAGTCAGACAAGAAGACAAGGAGAGTCCAGTGGTGAAGTGCAGTAACAGAGGCAGTGGCCGAGGGGGCTCAACCCAGCTACAGCAGGGTCAGGGAAGCCTTCTGATTGATATTGATAGTGGCAAGAGGCAGACAAATGCCTAGGCAGATAGGGGCAGGTCCCTGGTGAAACCCCACCTCCAAGCCAAAGACAGTTTAAAGCCTGAAAGCAAAGCTACAAGTCAAATCCAGGGACTGGACAGAGAATCTGTCTTCTATTTGGCGTGCTTTCCTCAGATTGATCCCCACCCTCCACCTAGTTTGCATATACCTACCCTTTCCTAATTGGTTTTCTATACTGTTGGACCCACCTTTGAGTGGTGTCTTCGCTTTAACCTTTTTTGCACACTCACAATCCAATCAGCACACATTCCCCATTCTGAGTCCATAAAAAGCCCCGGATCCAGCCACACTGAAAGATAAACCACACCCCCACATCTCCTCTTTGCTGAGAGCTGTTCTGTCGCTCAAAAAAATTCTCCTCCCATCTTCACCCTTCAATTGTCAGCATTTCCTCATTCTTCTTGGATGCAGGACAAGAGCTTGAGAACTGCCGAATGCAGATACAAGCTATAACACAGGTGGGCTGAGTGGGCAGGGTGCCTCCAGTGTCATGCCCTTGCGGGTGGTAGGGGGCACTGCCGGCCATAGATGTCCCCGGCTGGCAAAGTGGCTAAGAAAAATCCTGAGTCAATATGGTGAAGGAATCTACAACCTGGAATTCTGGTTTTTTTTTTTGAGACAGGGTCTCTCTCTGTTGCACAGGTTGGAGTGCAGTAGTGCAATCATGGCTCACTGCAGCCTCAACCTCCTGGGCTCAAGCGATCCTCCTGAGTCAGGTTCCTGTGTTGCTGGGACTACAGGCGTGTGCCACCATGCCCAGCTACTTTTTTTTTTTCCATTAAAAATTATTTTAGCCAGGCGCAGTGGCTCACGCCTGTAATCCCAGCACTTTGGGAGGCCAAGGCCGACGGATCACGAGGTCAGGAGAACAAGACCATCCTGACTAACACGGTGAAAACCCATCTCTACTAAAAATACAAAAAATTAGCCAGGCATGGTGGCGGGCACCTGTAGTCCCAGCTACTCGGGAGGCTGAGGCAGGAGAATGGTGTGAACCCGGGAGGCGGAGCTTGCAGTGAGCCAAGGTCGCGCCACTGCACTCCAGCCTGGGTGACAGAGTGAGACTCCGTCTCAAAAAAAAAAAAAAGTATTTTATTCAAATTATGTTTTCCAAGAGATGGTTCTGTGGTAGTCATCACTGAAAGTTTTCATACCATTTCAGAACCACATTTGCCGGAATGAACATTTCAGATGGGCTTGGTGTCATCTGGGCCTGAGTGAATGAGTCAACTGAGGATACAGCAGCATTACCTACGGGAGTCTGCTGAGCCATACTGTCCAATAATTCCACTGAAATTCCAATCTGAGCAACAGATGGAGTTCGGACAATATTCATGGCTCCAAAAGGATGTTGGCTTCCTTCTCCAGATTTAAGACCTGAAATTTTGAAGATGGCACTTGGCTTCCCATTCGTGACAAATCCTAGGAGTTGCCACACTGGCATTCCATTTGAATCAGGATAAGAAAAGTAGACAGATCCTCCCATTCCCTCAGGAAATGGGATTGTTCCCATGCCCAGCTAATTTTTTAAAAAATGTTTTTGTGGAGATGGGATCTCACTATGCTGCCCAGGCTAGTCGGGAACTCCTGGGCTCAAGAGATCCTCCCAACTTGGCCGCCCAAAATGCTGGGATTACAGGCGTGAGCCACTCCACCTGGCTTTGACAGTGTCTGTTTTATTCACTGTCAGAGGCTCAGTAAATATTTGGTGAATAATTAGGGAGGAGAGTTTTTGGTTTTGTTTACTCAAGGGACATGGTCTCGATCTCCTGACCTTGTGATCTACCCACCTCGGCCTCCCAAAGTGCTGGGATTACAGGCGTGAGCCACTGTGCCCGGCCGCGAGAGGGTATTTTTTTGTGTGTGTTTATGAGACAGGGTCTCACTGTCACCCAGGCTGGAGTGTAGTGGGCCAATCATGGCTCACTGCAGCCTTGAACTCCTGGGCTCAAGCGAGCCTCCCACCTCTGCCTCCTGAGTAGCTAGGACTATAGGTGCATGCCACCACAACTGGCTAATATTTTATTATTTTGTAAAGATGGTGGTAGGAGCGGGAGAGTCTCTCTACGTTGCCAAGGCTGGTCTCAAACTCCTTGGCTCAAGAGATCCTCTGGCTTCAGCCTTCCAAAGTGCTGGGATTACAAGCATGAGGGTCCAGCTAGAGAAGTTTTTTTGTTTCACTTTTCTATCTTTTCCTCTCTATAATATGTGTTTAAAAAACCTCCTACAACAAAAAGATGAACAACCCAATTTTTAAATGGGCAAAAGACATGAATGGATACCTTTCCAAAGAAGATATACACACCACCGAGAAGCAGATAAGAAGATGCTCAACCTTACTAATCATTTGGGAAATGCACATACACTAGGTTGGCTATAATAAACAAACAAACAAACAAACAAAAAATACAAAACAGGGCCGGTCACAGTGGCCCACGCCTGTAATCCCAGCACTTTAGGAGGCCGAGGTGGGCAGATCACTTGAGGTCAGGAGTTCGAGACCAGCTTGGTCAACATGGCAAAAACCTGTCTCTAGGCTGGGCGCGGTGGCTTACGCCTGTAATCCCAGAACTTTGGGAGGCTGAGGCAGGCAGATCACGAGGTCAAGAGATTGAGACCATCCTGGCCAACATGGTGAAACCACGTCTCTACTAAAAATACAAAAATTAGCTGGGCATGGTGGCATGCGCCCATAGTCCCACCTACTCAGGAGGCTGAGGCAGAAGAATCACTTGAACCTGGGAGGCAGAGGTTGAAGTGAGCCAAGATGGTACCACTGTACTCCAGCCTGGCAATACAGCAAGACTCCGTCTCAAAACAAAACAAAACAAAAACAAAAACAAAAACAAAAATCTGTCTTTATTATAATTACAAAAATTAGCTGGGTGTGTTGGCATGTGCCTGTAATCCCAGCTACTTGGGAGGCTGAGGCAGGAGAATTACTTGAACTTGGGAGATGGAGATTGCAGTTACTGCACTCCAGCCAAAGTGAAGGAGTGAGACTGTCTCAAAAACAAAACAAAACAAAAAACAAAATGCAAAGTAACAAGTGTTGGTGAGGATGTAGAGAAACTGGAACCCTCATACGTGGTTGGTGGGAATGGAAAACAGTACAGCCACTGTGGAAAACACTTTGGTTGTTCCTCAAAAAGTTAAACATAGAAATACCATAGGATCCAGCAATTCCACCACGAGATCTATACCCCAAAGAACTGAACGCAAGTAATAAAATACACATACATACATGTTAACAGCAGCTGTACTCACAATAGCTAAAAGGTTGAAATAACTCTACTGTCCCTCAATAATGAATGGCTAAAGAAATTGTGGGGCCAGGCACAGTGACTCACAACTGTAATCTCAGCGCTTTGGGCACTGAGGCAGGAGAATCACTTAAGCCCAGGAGTTAAAGACCAGTCTGGGTAACACAGGGAGACCTCTTGTCTCCACAGAAAAATAATTAGCCAGGTGTGGTGGCGTGCACCTGTAGTCCCAGCTACTTGGGAGGCTGAGGTGGATCACATGAGTTCGGGAAGTGGAGGGTGCGGTGAGCTGTGATCACACCACTGCACTCCAGCTTGAGTAACACAGCGAGACTGTCTCAAAAAAAAAAAAAAAAAGAACAAAAGAAAAATTGATTGTGGTATGTACATACAATAGAATACTACTCAGCCATAAAAAGGAATTAAATATTGATACATGGTCTAACCCTAGAAACATGCTAAGTAAAAGAAGTTCAATACAAATGGTGACACATTGTCTGCTTCTATTCATATGAAATATCCAGAGTAGGTAAATCCCTAGAGGCAAAAAGCACATAGCTAGTTGAGAGGCGGGGGGCAAAGTGTAATGAGGAGTTGATACAGGAGATAGAAAGTATTTAGGCAGGCAGTGAGGGCAAAGAGTCCTCAGCAGAATTTCTTTTCTAACAGAAAGTAGCCCCTGATATCATTTCTTTTCTAATAAATAGCAGCCTGAAAACTCAAGCTGCAAACATAGATAAGGAAGCTGGAAGCTTGCACGTGGGAATGCTGGCAGCTGCACCAACAGAAAATGGCTACCTGGGAGCCAGGCATATCCAACACGGAGGCTCCATCTCCCCTTTTTTGCTACCACGTGTACAGGAACTAAGAAATGGGCAACATGGGGCTGGTCAAGGTGGCTCACACCAGTAATCCCAGCACTTTGGGAGGCCAAGGTGGGCGGATCATGAGGTCAGGAGTTCAAGATCAGCCTGGACAACATGGTGAAATCCTGTCTCTACTAAAAATACAAAAAATTAGTTGGGCGTGGTGGCAGGCACCTGTAATCCCAGCTACTGAGGCGGGAGAATCCCTTGAACCTGGGAGGCGGAGGTTGCGGAGAGCCTAGGTCACGCCACTGCACTCCAGCCTGGGTGACAGGGCAAGACTCTGTCTCAAAAAAAAAAAAGAAAAAAAAAGAAAAAGAAATGGGCGATGTGGCACAGCTCAGGTAGAGACCCCGGCTGCATAATAAAAGATTAGCAGATACCAGAAATTCACACCCTATGCAAATGGCACACCTGTTCTAACCAGTTTTTCATCCCCTATGTAAATCAGGCTAAGTCTCCTCACCAGCTCATCTATAAACCCCCCTGTATTTTGCTATGGACCAGCAACCCATTTTTCTGGGACTCCTCTCTGTAGCAGAGAGCTATACTCTCCGTTGCCTATTAAACGTTCGTTCTCAACCTCATTCTTTTGTGTGTCCTGGTCCTTGTTCTTCGTGGCTGTGAGACAACGACCCCGGGTGTTACTCAAGACAACGAGGCCGTTTCAGAATCACTGCTTAATGGGTACAGGGATCTTTACTGAGCCGATGAAAATGTTTTGGAACTACATAGAAGTCACTGCACAACACTGGAATGTACTAAATGCCACTGAATTGTTAATTTTAAAATGGTTATTTTTATTTTCTTTTTGACACGGAGTCCTGCTCTGTCGCCCAGGCTGGAGTGCAGTGGCATCATCTGGGCTCACTGCAAGCTCCGCTTCCCAGGTTCACACCATTCTCCTGCCTCAGCCTCCAGAGTAGCTGGGACTACAGGCACCCGCCACCACGCCTGGCTAATTTTTTGTATTTTTGGTAGAGACGGGGTTTCACTGTGTTAGCCAGGATAGTCTCGATCTCCTGACCTCATGATCCGCCTGCCTTGGCCTCCAAAAGTGTTGGGATTACAGGTGTAAGCCACCACACCCGGCCTTAAAATTGTTAATTTTATGCAATGTGAATTTTACTGTATTTAAAAAAATCAATTTTAGTAATCCCAACACTTTGGGAGGGTGAGGGAGCAGGCAGATGGCTTGAGCCCAGGAGTTTGAAACCAGCCTGGGCAACACAGGGAAACCTCATGTCTACAAAAAATTAGTTAGGCATGGAGGTGTACACCTGTAGTCCCAGCTACTCAGGAGGCTGAGGTGGGAGAATCACTTGAGCCCAGGAGGTAGAGATTGCAGTGAGCCATGATGGCGTCACTGCACCCCAGCCTGGGCAACAGAGCAAGACCCTGTCCTAAAAAAAATCCGGCCGGGTGCAGTGGCTCACGCCTACAATCCCAGCACTTTGGGAGGCCGAGGTGGATGGAACAGAAGGTCAGGATATCGAGACCATCCTGGCTAACATGGTGAAACCCCCTCTCTACTAAAAATACAAAAAATTAGCCAGGTGTGGTGGCACGTGCCTGTAGTCTCAGCTACTCGGAAGGCTGAGGCAGGAGGATCGCTGGAACCCCAGGAGACGGAGGTTGCAGTGAGTCGAGATCGCGCCACTGCACTCTAGCCTGGGCAACAGAGGGAGACTCTGTCTCAAAAAAAAAAAAAAAAAAAAAGGAAAAAAAAATTAAAAAAAAAAAGAAAAAAAAGAAAAGGAGTCACCCGTTCTCCACTGTTACTTCAAATTGTCCAAGCAGTGAGTGTAAATGATAGAAAAAGTTGGAGTGAAAAGGAATACCAAACTGATATTACAAAGAGCTACTTCCCCAAATTCTCCAAATGCAGGAAAGTGCTGACAACAGCCAGCTGTATTTGAGGGATCTTTGTCATCACCTGCCAACCTTTTCCGGGTTTATCTTTGAAGACTAAACATCTCCCTGTACACAGTTTATGTTTAGACGGGAACCAAATAACAGATTATTATTTACTGAGGGCCTGTGATGTCCCACGCACTGCGGAAGCAAGCACTCAACAAGCATTTCACGTATCCTAAAGACAGCCCAGTAGCGTAGGCCTATTATCCCCATTTTGCAGAAGAGGAAACTGAGGCTCAACAGAGGGAATGCCTCAAGTAATGGGTGGGGCAGGAGCTGAACCAGGCAACGTGGCTCCCAGTCCCACACTGTCCTTATCTCTTCCTACCTGGGCTGTCGTTTTTCTGACCCGAGGCTACTGTAATGGCTCTATTTACCTGCTGGCCCTTGAGTCTGAGACCCTTGGGGTGCATGGTGGGGCCACGCCCCTCCACTGTCTATAAGCCAGGAAAGCTGAGCACTCAATATGAACCAAGCCTCATCTCAATTCTCACAGCCGCACTACAGGGTGGTCGTTCCATCACTCCCGACTTACGAGGAAACTGATACGCTGATGCCTCTAAGGCGCAAAAGGCGTCGAACCTGGACCACGCTCACAGAGCAAGCAAAACACGACGCCACAGGTATCTCCGCCCCGCCCCAGCCCTTTTATAGGCGAGCCCTACGGGTCGCGTACAGGGCCACGCCTAGACGCTATTTTTGGGTCCACTCCACCACGTCGGTCCCGCCAAAGGTTGTCACGCGCGGCGCACTCTGGGAAAACCACGTGGAGGTGACTAAAAAGGACCCTGCCGCCTGTAACTTTAGTTGTCTTAGCTACTGCCTACAAAAGATGCGCCATCATGGCACTTATTTTTGTAATTTTCCTCCACCAGCGGCCGAGAAGAGAGCCGAAGCCTTTGAGAAAAATATTCCCAGACGGTTGAGTGTTTCTGGGCACATCAGGCATTCATTCGGGCCGCCTGCCCTCTAGTGGGGGGGTCCTTCACTCCTGGCACCTCTGGTTACGGACAACATACAGAAGCCACTGCCAATGAGCTCCGCCGAGTAGCACCGGGGCAGGGCTAGCGCTTAAAGGAGCCGCGACCCCTTTGCAGACCAGAGGGTGACCCGGATGATGGCGGCCGGCGCGGCCCTAGCCCTGGCCTTGTGGCTACTAATGCCACCAGTGGAGGTGGGAGGGGCGGGGCCCCCGCCAATCCAGGACGGTGAGTTCACGTTCCTGTTGCCGGCGGGGAGGAAGCAGTGTTTCTACCAGTCCGCGCCGGCCAACGCAAGCCTCGAGACCGAATACCAGGTAGAGGGTCGCGGGCTGGGCGGCCAGCAGAGTCAGGGAGAGGGGGCGTGGCCAAGCGGTCGAGGCGAGGCGCGCTTTAGGAGGAAGGGGGAGGAATCCGTGCTTGGGAGCGCGGGGGCGGAGCTAGAAAGAGATGGACAGATGGGGCGGGGACGGTGTGTGGGAGCGGAAGGGGAGGGAGTAATGAAGCAGGCGGGGCTAGAGTAAGAGATCCAGAGGGGGCGGGGCCATCGATAAGTATAGGGAGCCTCTGAGAGGACAGGACTCTGGCTGGTGGGCGTGGCGATAGTGCTGATAGGTCAACTGCGGGGGCGTTGCCCACACAGGCCTTTCTCGGGGGTTAGACTAAGGAAAAAGGCTGGGCCTATCCTCTTTCGGAGGCGGAGCCAACCAGGGGCGTGGTCAGGTAAACGTCCATTAAGTACTTTTGGTAGGTGCGTGGTCAGCTGAAAGTATGGACCCCAAGCTGTCATATCAATGAGGGTGGAGGCAAGGGGCGCAGCCACTGGGACAGGTTGGGGCGGGTGTGGGTGTGCCGCCGTTCAGGTAAGCCCTTGGTGGTCTGTATTGATCAGTGTTGGTTCAGCCGTAGCCCTCTTCGGCAGGCGCCCTTGGCCTACCGCTAGCCCTCCACCCGCTCTTACCTGCCCCCCAGGTGATCGGAGGTGCTGGACTGGACGTGGACTTCACGCTGGAGAGCCCTCAGGGCGTGCTGTTGGTCAGCGAGTCCCGCAAGGCTGATGGGGTACACACGTGAGTTCAGTCTTGATGCCTGCCTGGGTTCAGTTACAGCCCTGCCCTTCCCAGGCGGCCTCAGGTTACCGCCCTGACTGCCCCGCTGAGTCGGCTGGCTGGCCACCCTGGGTCATGTCTGTGTGTCTGTCTGCCCAGGGTGGAGCCAACGGAGGCCGGGGACTACAAGCTGTGCTTTGACAACTCCTTCAGCACCATCTCCGAGAAGCTGGTGTTCTTTGAACTGATCTTTGACAGCCTCCAGGATGACGAGGAGGTCGAAGGATGGGCAGAGGCTGTGGAGCCCGAGGAGATGCTGGATGTTAAAATGGAGGACATCAAGGTGTGTCCAGGCTGCGCTGGGGCCACTCCTTCCAGATCTCTAGGATTCACCTGGGGTGCCCCCCTTGGGCTGACCCAGCCTCCCCTCCGTAGTTGTGCCCTCCAACTGAATTATAGTAAGAGTAGCAGCTCTTAAAATAAGTAGTTCATTTCAGGCCGGGCACGGTGGCTCACGCCTGTAATCCCAGCACTTTGGGAGGCTGAGGCGGGTGGATCACCTGAGGTCAGGAGTTTTGAGACCAGCCTGGCCAACATGGTGAAACCCCGTCTCTACTAAAAATACAAAAATTAGCCGGGTGTGGTGGCGGGCGTCTGTAATCCCAGCTACTCAGGAGGCTGAGGCCAGAGAATGACTTGAACCCAGGAGGTGGAAGTTGAACCTGGGAGGCAGAGGTTGCAGTGAGCCGAGATCGCACCATTGCACTCCAGCCTGGGCAATAAGAGCAAAACTCCGTCTCAAAAAAAAAAAAAAAAAAAAAAGTAGTTCATTTCTAGGTATAAACCCTGGTGTAAAGGTTTAAGGAACTCATATCATAAATAACTCATACCGTAAATCTCCAAACCACCTTGTGAAGCAGACCCTGTGCTCAAGTCATCCCCATTTTACAGGTGGAGAAAGTGAGATACAAGATGGCTGAGCAACTCACGGCCACACAGACCAACTAGCAGAGTTGGTATTGAACCCATGCTGGTTTCAGCAACTATGCTCTTAACCACAAGCAAATATGTTCTGTACATTTATTAGTATTTTAATTAACTACTTATTTATTTATTTTCTAACAGATCTCTCTTGGTCACCCAGGCTGGATTGCAGTGGCACGATCTCAGCTCACTGCAACCTCTGCCTCCCAGGTTCAGCCAATTCTCCTGCCTCAGCCTCCTGAATAGCTGTGCCACCACGCCTGACTGACTAATTTTTGTATTTTTAGTAGAGACAGGGTTTCACCATGTTGGCCAGGCTGGTCTCGAACTCCTGACCTCAGGGGATCTGTCTGCCTTGGCTTCCCAAAGCTCTGGGATTACAGGTGTGAGCTACGGCGAGGCAAGGTCTTGCTGTGTCACTCAGGCTGGAGTGCAGTGGTGTGATCATAGCCCATTGCAGCCTCAAACTCCTGGGCTCAAGCAATCCTGCCACCTCAGTGGGACTACGGGTGTGCACCACCATGCCTAATTTTTTGTTTTCTGTAGAGACGAGGTTTCACCATGTTGGCTAGGGTGGTCTTGAACTCCTGGGTTTAAGTGATCCTCCTGTGTTTGGATTACAGGTGTAATCTTGCTTCAGCCTCCTGAGTAGCTGGGATTGCAGTTGCACATCACCACCCCTGGCTAATTTTTTGTAGAGATGGGGTTTTGCCATGTAGCCCAGGCTGGTCTCAAACTCCTGGGCTCAAGCGATCCTCCCACCTCAGCCTTCCAAAGTGCTAGGATTATAGGCATGAGCCACCATGCTCATCCTTGTACATTTATTTAGGCATTAAATGTTCACAGCAATTTGGAAGCTTATAGAAGAGGAAACAGGCTCAGATAGGTTAATTAAGTTGCTCATGGTCACAGCCAGTGAGTGGCAGGGTGAGGATTTGAACTTAGCCTGAACAAGTCTGTGTTTGCAGCTGTACCTCCCAGGGTTAATACAGCCTCCCTCCGTATCCCCCGGTTTTTTTGGTCTCTGCTCCCTGATGGGTGGAGGGAGGCCTGACCCTTCCCCTCCCGCTGCCCTGTAGGAGTCCATTGAGACCATGCGGACCCGGCTGGAGCGCAGCATCCAGATGCTCACGCTACTGCGGGCCTTCGAGGCACGTGACCGCAACCTGCAAGAGGGCAACTTGGAGCGGGTCAACTTCTGGTCAGCTGTCAACGTGGCGGTGCTGCTGCTGGTGGCTGTGCTGCAGGTCTGCACGCTCAAGCGCTTCTTCCAGGACAAGCGCCCGGTGCCCACGTAGCCCCTGCCATGGAAGGAAGAACGGGACAAAGGAGGGGCAGCAGGGTGTGTGCATATGAGACTTGGGGGTCCCTCCCCAATTTTAGTTTCCTGCCAAAACGGGAGTGTGCAGTCAGGGCCTGCGGTCTGGCCCCATGAGTCTCCTTCCGTCCTCAGCGGGCAGGGAACACCTCTGGCTTGTAGAAGGGACGGCTCAGTGGCTGCACCGACGGTCCTGGAAATCTCACATGGTGGGCACTGCAGCGTTGGAACGTGAGCCTCGGATTTCCTGGCCCCTCTACTGTAAATGTGCCTTAGCCTAAGCCTCCCATCCTGTGTTAGCGTTGCCTGGTGCGGGGCAGGGCCTAACAAGGAAACCTGGGCCCTCCAAGCCAGGTTGAGGTCTGGTAACAGAATGCCAGGAAGGGGGCCTGGAAGACCACCTGCCCCGGCCCCTCTCCTGCAGGGGCCCCACACAGGCATGAGGGATGGCCCGGCCAAAGTCTAGGCAGAAGCCTCCTATAACAAAGGGTGGTGTGGCCTGGGCATTGGAGTCAATAAATTATGGTCAGAAAATCACAAGAGCCTGCTGATTGGGGCTCAGGGACACCAGCCAGGACAGACCGGCCCCCGAGGGGGCAGCCAGACAGGTGGGAGGGGCCTCCCACGAAGCTCAGAAGAAAGGTCGTGCGGGAGCCGATGGAGGTGGTCGCCTGGCACAAGAGAAAAATCAGAAAGCAAAGTTTAACTGAGCCCCAGTTGGGCCACGAGGCTTGGGCTTCCCCACGAGGTGAGAGAAGCAGGGCCTGAGGGTAGGAAGGGGGTGGAGCGCTGGGGTCCCCGCTTCACCAGGCAGCAGCCAGGCCTGTGCACGTGGGGGTGTGCAGGGGGTCAGAGAATATCTGCTCCCACTCCTCACATGCTAAGGAAAGTAAAAGCTCTCCCCTGTATCGAGTGGCTTCCTCTGAAAGGTGACACCCCCGAAAGCAGAGCCCTCAGGGAGATGGGAGGCACTTATGAGTGCAGGGACTTGGGCATCCTTATGGGAGGCCTGATGGAGGTGGCACCCATGTCCCCAGCCTGAACACTAACACAAGAGGCCCACACAGCAGCCACCAGCAGCGTCTTCCCTTTATTTTAGTTTATTAATAGAATACAGAGTGCAGGCACTTACAGTGGTCAAACTGAGCGAGGAGTGGGTGAGGTCTCCTCAGAGAGAGGCCGCCCTGGGCCCACCCATCAGGGAGGCATGGGCGGGAGCTGAGAGGCCCCCAAGACCCCCCGCCACCACCACCCACATAGCCCAAGCCCAGCCACCCTGGGGGACCCAGGAGGAGGAGGAGGAGAGGAATAGGGCAAGGCCGGCCCGGGCCAACGGCTCCGGGCCTAGCAAAGGCACCTCTGGCAGCCGAGGCTGGGCCAGGCTCAGGCTGTGTGGTTAATATGGCCGGGAAGGACTATGTACACCTCAGGCCTGCCAGCTGGGCACTACCGAGCCCACTGGGCCAGGCTTGCCGCTGGGGAGCTCCTGCTAATGGGAAGTTGATATACCCCTGCACCCCAGCAAGGCCTGGGGATGTAGGCGCCCTTGGTGCCCGCACTTATAGAAGGCCTGCCCTACATGGGCTTTCCCAGCCCAAGAAGACCTTGGTAGAGTCCCCCCCAGGCTGGACCCCTCATTCAGGATGGTGTCAAGGGTTCTGGTCCCCCCTCTGCCACCCTGAGACTCCATCCCCCAAAGTGCAACACCCCAGCGCCCCCTGCCTGGAGCTCCAGGGCCCCTTTGCGCAGTGCGGTGTCCAGCCAGGCACAGGGGCCGGCCCTGGACCGGGGCCAGCGTTAAGGAAGAGGCCAGGGCTGCCCACTGGGAGCCTGGTCCCAGCATAGGGGCGGCGGAGGGCCCCAGACCACTGAAGCTCCTGCGCCGCGGGTGCGTGAGGCCCCCCCGAGAGCACGCCCCCCTCGAGGCCTAGTCGAGCAGGGATGGCTCGGCTGGGCGGATAATGGTGGGCCGGCTGGGCGCAGCAGGGGGTCTTCTGCTGCAAAGAGAATAAAGACAGGTGGGGAGGGGGAGACGGCAGTGAGGCCGGGAGCAAGAGGCAGGCCTGGGTTGAGGACCCAGCCCCCACCCACACACCACCCCAGGGTGTTCCCAGGCTGACCTCCGCAAGCCACCAGGGTGTCGGGCAGGAGTGCCAAACCTAGGCATCAACTCGCCTGCTGTTTGACCCTCAGTGAGCCCCCTGCCCTCCCTGGGCCTCAGCTTCCCCACCGGAGAAGTGGGGAGAATAAAGCCTGGCCCACGGTAGGTTGAGGCAGGCAGGAGCAGGAAGGAGAAGAAGGTAAACAGTGGGAGGAGGTGCCCAGTGTGAGGGTTCCCCAGCTGCCTGGTGGCACACCCCAGTAGGCAGAGGGCAAGCTGGGAGCCCCGGAGTCACCAGGGCTCCGCTACTCTGTGACACTGAACAAGCCTCTTGGCCTCTCTGGGCCTGTTTCCTCGCAAGCCAAATAGGGATGAGGACGATTCCTCCACTCCAGCAGCTGGGCACGTAGTGAGAGCTCACTGGGAGGAAGTGAGACAGGAGGAGAGACCCCAGGGTGCAGGCAGTTGGGGTGGAGGGCAGGGGGTTGGCCTTACCTGGGCACTCCTGGGGGAATCCCTGGGGGGATCCGAACTGGCCGAGATGGGATCTGAGGCGGGGCTGGGAAGAGGTCACTGTTGGCAAACACGCTCTGGGGTCCAGGCCGGGATGGGATTGGGGGCGCCGAGAAGGAGGCTGCTGCCCCCACGGGAACAGGAATCAGGGGGGGCCCTGGAGTGGGGCCCCTCACTGCTGGGGGCCGGCCAGGGGGGTGTATGCTGGACACCGGTCGGCGCTGTGGAGTGGGGCTGTGAGGAAGGAGAGGGTGTGAGCTACAGATACAGATGGAGTAGGAGCCCCCGCCATGCCACTGTGGCTGCCAGAACCTGAGGTGGGGGCTGGCTATGGGGACAGCGCAGGCGCAGTGGGATCCTCCCACCCCAACCTGAGCGCCAGTCCCACCTTCCCTTGCCCTCGGCCCCCTCAGGCACTTCCCACTCACAGGGCCCCCTCAGGCCTTGGGCCTGGGATCCACCCTCACAGCCAAAGACACTTCCAGAGTCCTCCAGATCAAGCCCTAATATCTCTAGGGGCCGTGGAACCTGCAAGCCCTGTCCAGACATCCAGATTCCCTCCTGGGCCTCAGTCCCTGCCACCTGCAGGCCTGGGTGCGATATCCTCCCCTTAAGGAACTCCATGGCTCCCCCAGGGCTCTGCAAGGCAGCCCCCTCTGAGGTTCCCTGCCCGACGGCCTCAATGGACAACTCAGGGGCGGCAGCAGCTCTGGCCACGCCTTGCGTTTGCCCCTCCAGAGCCTCCCATCTGCCCTTCTCTGTGCTCCAGGAGGCTCATCTCTCTCCTGTGGCTGCTGCCCCTCCAGCCTCTTACCCCAGCTTCCATTTGGGCTGTGCCAATGGAAGGCACCAGCAGAGGGCAGGCGGGGTATTTATTCACAGGGTCCTGCCCTAGAGCTGTAGGGCTGGCTCGCCCCCATACCCCTTCTCTCCCTCCTCCGGCCTCAGCAGGGCAGCAGCTCCCACAGTGCCCAGCCCTGGGTGCCACCCTTGGGCTGTGTCCTGTTTCCTGCCAGGACCCTGCAGGACACACAGGGAGGGCAGGAACCTGCAGGCCGAATGCTTGAGGGTAGGGGAACCAGGCTTCCGGACCTGTGGCTGCTGGCGCTCTGGAGCCAGGTGTCATCGACAGGCGGGGGTACAGGCGTGGACACAGTGCTGGTGCTGATGTCACCGATGATGTTGAGCGCCTCCTTGAGGGCATGGTACATGCGCAGCATGTCGTCCCGCCGCTGTGCCTGGTCAGCCGACTCCTCCATGAGGCTGCTCTGGTCTGCCGAGGAGTATAGGTAGGCCAGCAGCTCGTGGTGGATGAAGGCCTTCGTCTGCGGGCAGGGGTTGGGGAGGGTCAGGCTTGTGTATCACCCCAACCCAGAACCCACAGTGACTGCTGGAAAAACATCTCTCACAGGGCGGGGCCACCCCCAGACTTTTTTGAAAAAGAGTCTTGCTCTGTCACCCAGGCTGGAGTACAGTGGCTCAATTTCAGCTCACTGCAACCTCCGCCTCCCGGGTTCAAGTAATTATCCTGCCTCAGCCTCCCAAGTAGCTAGGACGACAGGCACGTTGACACCATGCTTGGCTAAGTTTTGTAATTTTTTTAGAGATAGGGTTCCACCATGTGGCCCAGGCTGGTTATGAGATTCTTATTCAACTTATTTCTAGTATCTTGCCTCTTCCATTGATGTCTTTTCTCCTGTTTTAGCTTATTTATTTATTTCCTTAACCTTGGCAGAATAATCCTGTTATATCTTTTTTGTTTTTGCTTTTTTTTTTTTGAGACAGTCTCACTGTCGCCCAGGTTGGAGTGCAGTGGTGCAATCTCAGCTCACTGCAACCTCCGCCTCCCGGGTTTATGCCATTCTCCTGCCTCAGTCTCCCAAGTAGCTGGGACTACAGGCGCCTGCCACCACGCCCAGCTTATTTTTTGTATTTTTAGTAGAGACAGGGTTTCACCCTGTTAGCCAGGATGGTCTCGATCTCCTGACCTTATGATCCGCCTGCCTCAGCCTCCCAAAGTGCTGGGATTACAGGCGTGAGCCACCGCGCCCAGCCAATCCTGTTATATCTTTATTTTTTTGTGACAGAGTCTCACTCTGTCACCCAGGCTGCAGTGCAATCTTGGCTCACTGCAACCTGCGTCTCCTGGGTCCAAGCAATTCTTGTGCCTCAACCTCCCAAGTAGCTGGGACTACAGGCGTGCCCCCCAACCCCCGGCTAATTTTTGTATTTTTAGCAGAGATGGGGTTTCACCATATTGGCCAGGCTGGTCTTTAACTCCTGACCTCAGGTGATCCACCCGCCTTGGCCTCCCAAAGTGCTGGGATTACAGGCGTGAGTGAGCCACTGCGCCCGGCTAATCCTGTTACATCTTCCACCTGGCTTCTGTTCAAACACTACTAGTTTCTGTTCATGAATTTTATACATTGTCCTTTCTGGAACCTCCTACTGGATACAGAAGTTTTTCAGTTACTTTTTTTTTTCTTTTTTTTTGAGACAGAGTCTCCCTCTGTCACCAGGCTGGAGTACAGTGGCATGATCTCCGCTCATTGCAAACTCCACCTCCTAGGTTCAAGTGATTCTCCTGCCTCAGCCTCCAGAGTAGCTGGGACTACAGACGCGTGCCACCACGCCCAGCTAATTTTTGTATTTTTAGTAGAGGGGGGTTTCAGCATGTTGGCCAGGATGGTCTCAGTCTCTTGACCTCGTGATGTGCCCGCCTCAGCCTCCCAAAGTGCTGGGATTACAGGCATGAGCCACCACACCTGGCCGTCACAACTTTTTTTTTTTTTAGATAGGGTCTCACTCCTATCACTCAGGCTGGAATGCAGTGGAGCGATCTTTGCTCACCGCAGCCTCGATCTCCTGGGCTCAAGTGATCTTCCTGCCTCAGCTTCCCGAGTAGCTGGGCCGACAGATTTATTATTTTCTTAAATAATAAAATATTTTTATTTTATAAGAGTCTATTAAAAATGGATAATTATGTCCCATCTTTGGCTGCTATAAAACATCATGGAAAACAATAAGCATGTATAAGCTCACTTTGCACGTGGGCAATTGTCTCTCTTAGAGAAGTTCCTAAAAGTAAACTTGCAGGGTCAAAGGATATATGCATTTTAAATTTCATAGCAGAAGAACCGTATATGTCTCCGATCCTATCGGTATATGAGGAAACATACCAGGACACCATGAAACTGTGAACACTGATCACTACTGAGAATGGGAGCAACAGGGTGGGAGGGCATGGCACGTGGGAGGTGTGTGTGTGTTTTAAATAGGGATGGGGTCTCACTATGTTGTCCAGGCTGGTCTTGAACTCCTGGGATCGAGTGATCCTCCTGCCAAGCCTCCCAAAGTGCTGGGAGTACAGATGTGAGCCACCATGCCCAGCCACACCCTGTGTGGGAGTTTTACTTAGATCCGCAGGTTTCTGTGGTTGACATTCATATACAAAACCCAAGACACTTTTTTTTTGAAAGAGGTTCCTGCTCCATCACCCAGGCTGGAGAGCAGTGGCGTAATCATGGCTCACTGCAGCCTCAACCTCCTGGGCTCAAGTGATGCTCTTACCTCGGTCTTCTGAGTAGCTGGGACTACAGGCATTTGCCACCACGCCCAGCTAATTTTTAAATTTTTTGTAGAGACTGGGGTATGGCTATGTTGCCCAGGCTGGTCTTCAGCTCCTGGGCTCAAGTGATCCTCCCTCCTCAGCCTCCCAAAGTGCTGGGATTACAGGCATGAGCCACTGCTCCGGCCCCAAAGCTGGTTTATAAAGCTTCCTGAGTGGCTAGTGCCATGCCAAAGGCCTGATACACAAGTGCCCTGAGCCCTCTAGCAGCCTGAGCTGGAGATACTATCAGTACAGCTGCATTTCACTGAAGAGGAGCCCAGAGCCCTGAGAGTCTCCAGGGAACCCGGGGCCAGGCGGGTGACGCCCATGAGGAAGAGGCTGGGCCCCAGATCATTAGGACACAGCGGCTGCCCAACACAACCCAAGGGTATGGTTGCAACCAGGGTAAACGTGGGTTTGAATCCCACTTCCCACTTTCCTAAGGAACTTGGGGCAGGTTACTTGATCTCTCTGGCCTTGTTTTCTGTCTGTGAAATGGGGAAGATGGCCGTTCTCCCTCCTGCAGTTATTCTGATGCCAGCCTAAGTTAATTCAGAGAAGGCGCACACCTGCAGTGTTCACTCCAGTTAGTGGACTTGATGGGACTATGGACCCAGTGTGGCTCGGAAACCCTAGGGTTTCCCAAAGAGGATGGCCGTGCAGATTCTGGTGTTCAAAGGGTGGTGATTCATTCAAATTTGTTGTTGCTGTTGTTGGACACAAGGTCTTGCTCTGTCGCCCAGGCTGGAGTGCAGTGGCATGATCATAGCTCACTGCAGCCTCAACCTCCTGGGCTCAAGTGATCCTCCTGCCTCAGCCTCCCAAAGTGCTAAGACTACAAACAGGTATGGCCTAGGGTGCCTGGCCTCCTTCTCATTTTTTTTTTTTTTTTTTTTTGAGATGGAGTCTCGCTCTGTCAACCAGGCTGGAGTGCAGTGGCACGATCTTGGCTCACTGCCATCTCCATCTCCCAGGTTCAAGTAATTGTCCTGCCTCAGCTTCCCGGGTAGCTGGATTACAGGCACCCGCCACCATGCCCGGCTACTTTTTGTATTTTTCTCTCTCTCTCTCTCTCTTTTCTTGAGACGGAGTCTCACTCTGTCGCCCAGGCTGGAGTGCAGTGGTGCACTCTAGGCTTACCACAACCTCTGCCTCTTGGGTTCAAGCGATTCCCCTGCCTCAGCCTCCTGAGTAGCTGGGATTACAGGCGTGAGCTACCGTGCCCGGCTAATTTTTGTATATTTAGTAGAGATGGGGTTTCACCATGTTGGTCAGTCTAGTCTCGAACTCCTTAGCTCGTGATCCGCCCGCCTTGGCCTCGCAAAGTGCTGGGATTACAGGTGTGAGCCACCGCGCCCAGCCTAATTTTTGTATTTTTAGTAGAGATGGGGTTTCACCGTTTTGGCCAGGCTGGTCTTGAACTCCTGACCTCAAGTGATCCGCCCGCCTTGGCCTCCCAAAGTGCTGGGATTACAGGCGTGAGCCACCGCACCCAGCTACCTCCTTCTCATTTTTAGTTCTCCACTCACATTGTTGATCATGAGGTGCATGATGGTCTTTGGCATGAGGTCGCGGATGGACTTGTTGATGATGGCCACGTATGAGTCCACCAGGTTGCGAATGGTCTCCACCTGCCGCTCCAGTTGGGGGTCCATGGAGAAGGTGTTCTCCTGGGCCCCATCCTCGTTTTCTGCCTGCAAGCGGGAGGGGAGGTGCTGAGGGGTGACTGTGGCCTGGGCCAAGTCCTGGTTCTCTGGAAACCATCTGCCCTATTGTCCCACCAATAACTGACCTCAGGCTGGCCCCTGACAGCCCCACTGGCACCAGATAGGCCTGCTTGCCCTGGGCCAGAGCTGCCCAAACAATGGGGTGACCCTGGCTGATGCTGGGGTGGATCCCCTCACCTGGGCATTGGAACGTTGTTTTTTTGTTTTGTTTTTTTTTGACACAGTCTTGCTATGTCACCCAGGCTGCAGTGCAGTGGCACAAACACAGTTCACCGCAGCCTCAACCTCCCAGGGAGAGCTCAAGTGATCCTCCCACCTCAGCGCCCTGGAGTAGATGGGATTACAGGGGTGCGCCACCATGCCTGGGTATGTTTGTATTTTTTGGAGAGAAGGGTTTTGCAACATTGCCCAGGCTGTTTTCGAACTCCTGGGCCCAAAGGATCTGCCCACATTGCCTCCCAAAGTGTTGGGATTGCAGGTGTAAGCCACCACACCCAACCTTGGGACATTTTATTTTATTTTTGAGATGGAGTCTTGCTCTGTCGCCCAGGCTGGAGTGCAATGGCGTGATCTCAGCTCACTGCAACCTCTACCTCCCGGGTTTAAGCGATCTCCTGCCTAAGCCTCCTGAGTAACTGGGATTACAGGCACGTACCACCATGCCTGGCTAATTTTTGTAGTTTTAGTAGAGACGGGGTTTCACCATGTTGGCCAGGCTGGTTTCGAACCCCTGAGCTCAAATGATCTGCCCACCTCAGCCTCCCAAAGTGCTGGGATTACAGGGGCGAACCACCCACCGTGCCCGGCAAGGCATTTTAATATTGGGGCCAAGGGTGGCCATGTTCACTCTACCTCAGGATGGAAGGGGAAAAGAGAAGAGAACAAAGCAAGTGGGACCCCATCCCCTGTGTGCCCCGGTCACTGGCTTCCGTGAGGGAACTTTCTGGGCCCTGATGACAAAGTACCCCCAATTTCTCCTTTGCTTGCTCAAGTGGGCATCTGCTACATGATTTCAGAGACTCCTGGCTAACATGGCCTGAAAATGACCTGTCCTGGGGAAAGCCAGCCCTGCTTCCTCTCCCAGGTGGGGGCTCTGGGCCTGGCTGCGCAGGACGGCTCCTCACCTGGTCCTTCTCGGGGTAGACGCCAGCTCGGAGGAACGAGGCCTTCCAGCTGTCCACGTCTTCCTGGGAGTCACAGGCCAGCTCGATCTGCCGCAGGTCCTTGTAGACGTTTCTGCGGGGGGGTGGGGAAGGAGGGGCACAAGCTTGACCCTGCCATGGGTCTGGCAGACTGCCGAGAGGAATGGGCTCTAGGGGTCTTTCTGACTGATCAGGAACCCAAACCCAACCCAGGCTTCACCTGGTCATGCTGAGGGGTCACCGTGAGTGACGCCTACACAGAAGAGCGCTGTGCACAAGCTCGGCAAGTGTCTGAGTTTCTTTGTTTCTGTTGGATCAGCTGACTCTTCTCTTTTCCTGGGCCCCCAGAGGTGGGCATGTGACCCTCGACACCAACTGTGGCTGGGAAGCTCCCACTGGGGCATTTTCAGGAAAGCCCAGAGCAGCACTGTCCACCAGAACTTTATTATTATTATTATTATTTATTTTTTTTTTTTGAGACGGAGTTTCGCTTTTGTTGTCCAGGCTGGAGTGCAATGGCGCAATCTCGGCTCACCGCAACCTCCACCTTTCGGGTTCAAGCGATTCTCCTGCCTCAGCCTCCCGAGTAGCTGGGATTACAGGCATGCGCCACCACACCTGGCTAATTTTAGTATTTTTAGTAGAGATGGGGTTTCTCCATGTTGGTCAGGCTGGTCTCGAACTCCTGACCTCAGCTGATCCGCCCACCTCGGCTTCCCAAAGTTCTGAGATTACAGGTGTGAGCCACTGTGCCCGAATGTGTTTTGTTTTGTTTTTGAGACAGAGTCTTGCTCTGTCGCCCAGGCTGGAGTGCAGTGGCGCGATCTTGGCTCACTGCAAGCTCCGCCTCCCGGGTTCACACCATTCTCCTGCCTCAGCCTCCCGAGTAGCTGGGACTACAGGCACCTGCCACCACCCCAGCTAATTTTTTGCATTTTTAGTAGAGACGGGGTTTCACCGTGTTCGCCAGGATGATCTCGATCTTCTGACCTCGTGACCTACCTGCCTCGGCCTCCCAAAGTGCTGGGATTACAGGCGTGAGCCCCCGTGCCCGGCCTGTGTGTTTTTTATAAAAAAAGTTTTGGCTGGGCACAGTGGCTCACGCCTGTAATCCCAACACTTTGGGAAGCTGAGGCAGGAGGATCAACTGAGGTCAGGAGTTTGAGACCAGCCTGGCCAACATGGTGAAACCCCGTCAATACTAAAATACAAAAAATTAGCTGGGAGTGGTACTGCATGCCTGTAATCCCAGCTACTCGGGAGGCTGAGGCAGGAGAATCGCTTAAACCTGGGAGGTGGAAGTTGCAGTGAGCCAAGATTGTGCCACTGTCTCCAGCCTGGGCGACAGAGTGAGACTATGTATCAAAACAAAACAAAAAAATTTTTGTAAAGTTTAGGCATGGTGGCTCATACCTGTAATTCCTGCACTTTGGGAGGCTGAGACAGGGGGATTGCTTGAGCTCAGGAGTTGGAGACCAGCCTGAGCAACACAGCAACACCCCCATCTCTACAGAAAATACAAAAATTAGCTGGGCATGGTGGTGTGCGCCTGTAGTCCCAGCTACTCGGGAGGCCGAGGCGGGAGGATCACTTGAGCATGGGAGGTGGAGGCTACAATGAGCTGAGATCATGCCACTGCACTCCAGCCTGGGTGGGTGACAGAGGAAGACTCCATCTCAAAAAAAAAAAAAAAAGAAAAAGAAAAAGAAAAAAGAACCAGGGTCTCAAAGCTGGGAGATAAATGGAATGGATGCTAAACAGTGCTTGCAGATGGTGGTCTACAGGCCAGGCCCCGTGCCACATGCCACGCACATTTTCCTGTCCCACATCCAGGTGTGGTTAAGACAGCCAAGCTGCCCACAAAGCCTTTAAGTGAGAGTTGGGTTTGTGGTCAGCAAGTGGCTGCCCCGAACGACCTCTGGATGAGGTTGTGTGGGGAGAGGCATGCCCTTGTAGCTCCTCCTCTCCTTCCTGCTGCTGCCTGGGACATCATCACAATGGCTGGAGTCTGGGCAGCCATTTTGGACAAAGAAGTAGAAGTCGGGGTTTTGGGCCAGGTGCAGTAGCTCACACCTGTAATCCCAGCACTTTGGGAGGCCGAGGTGGGTGGATCACCTGAGGTTGGGAGTTCGAGCCCAGCCTGACCAATATGGAGAAACCCCGTCTCTACTAAAAATAAAAAATTAGCCAGGCGTGGTGGTGCATGCCTGTAATTCCAGCTACTTGGGAGGCTGAGGCAGGAGAATCGCTTGAACCCAGGAGGCAGAGGTTGCGGTGAGCTGAGATCGCACCATTGCACTCTAGCCTGGGCAACAACAGCGGAACTCCGTTTAAAAAAAAAGTCAGGATTTCATGGCAGGCCTGTCCCACCGCAGAGCTCGGCTTCTGCATATCAGGTGGAATCCTGAGGAACATGCAGGGCCTGGACCCTGATGCCTGTGGAGCTGCTCCACTTTGCCCGGGATACTAAAGTCTGGACTTAATTTACACAAAAAACTATCAACCATCTTATCTTGTTTTTGCAGCTACTACTCTGGGTTTCCTGAACCTGCTCTTAAAAGATATATCAGATAATATTGTCACCCTCCCTGTACAGGAGGCACACGGCTCAGGGACCTGGGACAGCTGCCAGGTGTCATATGGCCAGGGGCAAGCCTAGAAGAGCTATGAAGGTTTTCACGGCCAGCTGGTGGACAAATGGGTCTCGAGCTTTAGGCCAGCCAGAGCAAAGCAGGAGGGAACCAGGAGACTCAGCTGGAGTTGGTGGGTGTAGCCAAGCAGTAGGCAAGGAGGTTCTGGGGCCAGCAGGGAGGACGTCAGTGCCTGCCTACAGGTCTCAGGGTACCACCGGGCCTTTACTGACAGCTAATCCCTGACTCAGGTGGGCCCTGCTTCCTGGATGAGCGTGATTGTGTGAGCATGGGAAGAGCCCTCCTGCCAGCTGGGTTTCTTCCTGAGAGCAGTGTCTCTGCTAAAGTCTCCAGCTACGCCTCATGGGACAGATGTACTGTGAGCTTCCTGGGGCCTCCCATTCTCCAGCTTCACTCTCCTGGGAGCTCATCTGGTTTCGTTCCTTGAAATACCATCCACGCAATGGTGACTGCCCAGTTCACATCCCAGACTGGAGCTCGTTCCTGGACATCACACTCCTCGATCTACCCAGGTGCCTCCCTGATGCACCCTCTCCCTTGGCATGGCCTAAATGGAGCTCTTGGCTGTCTCCAGGCCTACCTGCCGCTGCCTTCCCCACCTCGGCCAATGGCAGCAGCTGGGCAGTGCAGGAGCTCAGGCCCACGTACTCAGGGTCACAATTGGTGCCTTTCTCTCTCATATCCATGCCCACCAGGGCTCCGCCTGACTCTTCTACCCAGAATCTGCACCCTCCTTCCCTATGGGTTCTGGCCCCATCATCGCCCACTTGGACAAGGCAGCGGCCTTTGCCCTCGTCCCCCATCTCTCACCCTCTCATACTGTTTCCCTCTCAGCCACCAGAGGGCTCCTGCAAGCACCTGAGCCAGGTCCTGGTCACCCTGTGCTCAGAACTCTCCATGGCTCCCACTGACTCGGAGCCTGCCTTCATCCTCATCTCTGCCCAGAGAGGTCATCTCTGACCCAGCACGGGAAGCATCCCTGGCATTTGCTATTTCTCACGTGACTCCCCTTTCTAAAAGCTGGGTCCCAAGGGCAGGGACTGCTGACAGCCAGGTGCTCAGTGCTCAGTGAAGGTTGTGGAGTGTGAATGAGGCCATTGGTCTTCACCCCGAGCCATCCCCAGGCCCCTGGGCCCCTCACCTCTGCTCCGTGTTGAAGATGGCGAAGACGTGCTTGTTGGACATGAAGCCCTTCTCCACATCACGGATCTTGAGGTTGTCCAGAGGCAGCATGTACTTCTTCTCTTTCTCCTGAGGGTGGAGGGAAAAGAGTCACCCTGAGCGGTCCACGTGACAACTCAGGATGCCCCAGGCCAGAGCGTGTAGCATGCGCCACCACCAGCCCCGGGGGCTTCTCAATGCTGGTCGCTGCTGTATATGAGCCCATCTGCCGGCCCTTCCCCGTCCGTCACTCTGTCCCAGCCACGCTGCCCTCCATGATGCTCCCTGAGTATCCCACCTGGGTTCCTACCCCAGGGCCTTCGGACGACCGGGCTACTGCCTGATCCTGACACTTGCATGGCTCCCTCCTGCCCTAACTCTACCCGCACCCTCCCCACCTCCATCCTCCTTTTCCCTCACACAACACGTCACGTATCCTGCGCTTGTTGACCTAGGTGCCTGACTGCCTGTGCTTATTGACCTAGGTGGCTGACTGCCACTGGACTGACTCAAGTTTCTCCAGGGCAGGGACTCCTGTTGAGTTCACTGCTGACATGTGGCTGACGGCACGCACAACACAACTGCCCCTCGCCTTGCACGAAGTGAATGGAACTTTTATCTGGGCTCCATCTTTGAAACGAGCCTAGGAGTGAGTTACCTCTGTGATGCCATTTTACAGAGGGGAAGACTGAGGCAGAGAGGAGCAGGGCTGGGATTTCAACCTTGGCCGCTTTAGGACATCTTGGGGCTGGATAGGTCCTGGGCCAGGTGCTGCAGAAGCCTTACTCCCTTTCTTTATTATTATCATTATCATTATTTTAATAGAGATGGGGTCTCGCTATGTTGCCCAGGCTGGTCTTAAACTCCTGGGTTCAAGCGAGCCTCCCAGAGTGCTGGGATTACAGGTGTGCACCACCGCACCTGCCCTATCACTTGCTTTCTAAGGTTGGCCCTGTTCAGGAAGCACCAAGTGCCAGCCACGGCTGTCCAGACTGCTAGGGAGGCAGCTCAGAGGTGGGCCCCTCGGCCAGGGGCAAGGGGCTGGCGAGTCACGGAGCTGGGGGTGGCACCCTGGAGTCCCACACTCACCCAGTGATGTGTGTGCCCACCCGCCACAGCAGCAGCTCTTGGGGACCCATGCCATGCACTGCTTGGTCTCAGTTCACGGATCCCTCCTAGCTCAGAGAGGGAAGCTGGCTGCCGAAGGCCACACGGCAGGCAGCGCAAGCCACAGCAGGACTTCAGAGGCCAGGTCTCTGTGACCCAAAGCCCAGTCCTCCCCACAGTGCCCCTGGCCCTTCTTCTCCCTGGGCCGTCTCTGGAAACTCCTCTCATGTCCCCTCACTGCGCTGCCCCAGCACAAAGCCTAACCTGGCTGCCGCCTCCAAGTTCAGGAGCAGCCACAGTGACTGTGGAGAAGGCAGCGGGGGCTCCCTGGCAAGTGGGGGCCAGCTGGGACTGTCAGGACTTTGCAAGGGGAGCCAGGATGAAGCAGTGGGCTTGGCACATGGGCTCAGCCTCAGGGCGTTAGGAGCTCAGCATGGTTGAGGTGATGCCAGCCCTGCCCTTTCCTGGCCGTGTGCCCTCGGGCAAGCCACTTCCCCGCCACCTCCCATTTCATCTCAGTTTCCTCATCTATCCAAGGAGGATGGAGGAGCTTGGTGCCCACTGCAGAGCTGGTGCCCATGAGCACCCGGGATTTTCTTTGGTTGCTCTTGTGAGCGGCTCCAGGATTAGCCTGCCAGGCTCTAGGCAAAGAAGTAGGGCAGAGCATAGGAAGAGGGGCCCGGTGGCCATGGAGGGAGCAGAGCATAGGAGAGGGGCCCGGTGGCCATGGAGGGAGCAGAGCATAGGAGAGGGGCCCGGTGGCCATGGAGGGAGGGATGCCGCTGCGGACCCAAGGGAGGGAAGGTGATGAAGAAAGCCTGCACCCGTCATCCCAGGCAAGGCTGGGTAACACAGGGCCTGGGTCCCTCCCACCTTTCGGGGAAGAGTTTTGGGGGCTTTAGAAGGGGCTAGGGGAGGGGGCTCTGCAGAAGCCCTGCCCCCGGCTCGGACGTTTGCCCAAGGGCCTTTGCTGCCCTGACCCTATCATATCACGCGGCCGGAAGCTTCCAGCCAGCAGGGCCAAGTAACTGAGTCACAGGCCATTCCAGCTAATGCCACATCTGGAACTGTTTACAGTGCGATTCCGCCGAGAAATCAGTGGCCGCCTTCCTGGTGCTGCCGGCACGCACGCGTGCGCGCGCGCGCACACACACACACACACGTGTGTGTGCGCCCCTCCTCCCCACCCCCGACCCCCAAAGAGTCAGACATTCCTCCTGAGCCCAGAAGCCACGATCCCAAACCCTGCCTCCTGCTCCGCCTCCCCCACTCTTTAGGATTTCCTGAAAACCCAGAACTTTCTCCAGATGCGAGCCGGCCCCAGCCTTGCCACGTCAGAAGGGACAGAGCGGATCGTCTCGGGAAGAGTGGTGGTTTCCTTGGCTGCTCAGAGGTGCTGAGGCACGGCCTGGCCTGGTGGCCCCAGCGTCTGCCTGGGGGGTTCTGCAGGATGGATAGCCGGCCCCGCCAACCCAGTGTTCAGACTACCTGTTCAGGAGGCTCTCAATGTGTACAGTAGTCTGCACATTGGTTAGGCTGGGCTTGGGTGAGCGGCTCGTCGAGACAGGCCCCCCAAACTCGCCGGCAGGTGAGTGTCATTTTCCACCACCCCGTTTCCCACTGTGGCAGAGCCTCGCATAGAAGATTCGAGGGCCTGGGTGGGAGAAGAGGCACTGGGGAAAGGCAGAGGGAGCCCCGAGGCCGGCCGAGGGGTTGGAGGCCCTGGCCCTATCAGTCTGCCATCCCCACCCCATGGCTGTAAATGTCTTGTTTATTTTTTAAATAAAGAGATATTGATGTCTTGTGTCTCACTGAGGCATCTAAGAGGGTGGCCTCCTCCTCAGGGGTGGCTGCCACGTGTGTGACTCCAAGGGTCCCTGCTGGGATCCTAACTTGGGTGGTGGCGGGGGTCAGGTTCCATGGCTGCCCCCTCCTGAATGGAGCCTGCTTTGTGTCTGGGGCTCACACAGGGCCCCTTTCACAGGTCGGCTGTTTCTCATTACGGCCGGCGCCCGGCCCTTCTCCCACTGCTGCTCCAGACTCCAGTGTGGGGCTCCACGGGAGGGTCGGGGGCTCTGGCTTTCAACTCTCAGATGAGAAAAACACGAAGGGCCCCTCACGTGAAGGAAGAGGAGATCTGAAAACTAGACTTGCAATGCTGCCAGGCAGAGAGCTGCCAGGCTGAGGTTCAGGCCCAGAGGCTCCTCCAAGGCTCGCTGCCCCAGGCCTGGCATTCCCACCCAGGGGACCCTGGAAGGTCCCCACAGCCCTGAACTGAAAGGCAGGGCACCAGCTCTCAGCCGGCCTGACAGCCCACACACCACAGCGCAGGCTGGTTTCTCACTGCAAGGCGGAAAGAGGGGAGAAAAAGAGAAAGGGCACCCTACCCCACCCCAGCCATTTTGAGGAGCCATCCGATCTGGACACGTGAGTTCCTAGAGGTGCCTGAGGCGGGGAGAAGGCTGCAGACCACGCCTGGCTCCACACTCCTCCCACATCCCAACCCCATGAGGTTCGCTGGATCTGAGGTTCTGGAAGCTTCCACAGGGACCCCAGAAATGCTTGTATGGTGGCTCAGCAGACTCCACCACCCTGGGTTTAGAAACAGCGCCCCAGAGTCCCGCAGAAGCCTCAGGGCTCCTGAGGTTTCAGGAACATTCCAGAGATGAGCGTCTGGCCTCATGTGGAGCGGGATGATCCTTTCACCCCCAATGTCCTCAGTCAAGGGGACATCAGGCCTGGGCTGCAGCGGAGGTGTTCGGATGTCGGGCTGGGGTGTCCCTCAGGTCAGGGAGCATGGGCCCGCAGACGTGCACTGGGGAAGCCTCCACCCCAGGGGGACCCTCCCCCGCTCCATGATGTGGGGCAAGTCACCGCTCAGAGCCTTAGATGGGGGTGACCACAGAGCCACCCGAATAGCAAGCGTGAGGGTTTCCTCACGGGGAGTAGGGTTCTCCTCAGGTGTGGCCTCAGTGGGCTCTCTTAGCCAATGAGCCCAGCACAGAGCAGGGGTCCATAGCCAAGAGGCCCGCCTCTCTTTGCTTCTCCCTGGGGCCAGCCGGGGCCCCCCAGCCTGCCTTCTCTCTAAGTCTGGGACTTCCAAGCCCAGTCCTGCCTATCCTGGGGCTGGGTTGGGTGCCAGCAAGTCCCCAGTGGGGGGCACTCCTACAGAGCATTCCCCCAAACCCAAGGGGAAGAGAGCCAGGCAGGGCGGCTCCAGGGGCCTCAGGCAACCCCAGCCTCTCCACTGAGGTTGCCTGGACTGAGTTGGTGGCTGTGCCATCCCAGGGACCATGGGGACTGGCCAGCTGGCCCTGCACCTGACACAGCCTCCAGCTCCTCCTCTGTGCACTGGGGGTAGGTGGGTAGGTTCCCTCCTACAGAGAGGAGCTGGGAGGACTTGATGCTGGTAGTTACCAGGACAAAACCTGGGACACATGCAGTGAGCCAGGCACAGTCCTGGGCTCAAGTACCAGAATTCCCCCACTGGTTCCCGCAGTCCAGAGGGGACAGGCCAGAGTCCTGACTTTATAGGTGGGGAGACGAGACACGAAGGGTTGACACCACCCAACCAATATCCTGGTGACTTCCGGGTGTCAAGCCCCAGCTGTCACGCTCAGAAACAACCAATATCCACTTCCTTCTTAGAAAGTGCTAGAACTGTTAGCTGGACTCACAGTTCCCACACACAGAGGCCCTTCTTTCCCTTCTTGGGCTGCTAGAGGCTACATGGTGATGGGTATGGGGCAGCCATTTTAAACTATGAAGGGAGCCCTGTGTTAAGGTGGCAACAGGAGACGCGGAGCCAGGCCCTGGACAGCCTTGCAGCACAGGGTCACCAAGCTCACTGAGACGTGAGCAAGAAACAGACTTCATCTCTTTAAGAGCCTTCATTTTGGGCCTCTGTTACAGACGCAAATCCATTGCCCACATAACACAGCCATGGCTCACAGGACAGCCTGCAGTCTTCTCCCAGAGCAACCAGGACAATGAGAAAAACACAGCTCTCTTTGCCAGGGACTCTTGAAAGCCAACCTGGACCGCATCAGAGTAGCAACAAGCTATCACACAGAAGTGGCTTCCCTTCCAGGCCACTAAGCCATGGTTACGTCAAGAGAATTAAGCAAGAAACGGGTTGATCAGGGCCATAGAAAAGAATGAGATCCTGTCATTTGCAGCAACATGAATGGAACTGGAGGTCATTATGTTAAGTGAAATAAGCCAGGCACAAAAAGACAGATCTTGCATGTTGTCACTCATACGTGGGAGCTAAAAAAATAAAAGGTAGAAGAGCGGATCTCACAGAGGTGGAGAGTAGAAGGATAAATACTAGAGGCTGGGAAAGGTGGGGACAAGTAGGGGGTAAAGAGAGGTGGGGTTAATGGGTACAAACATACAGTTAGAGAAAAGGCATTAACTTCTATTGTTCAACAGAAGAGTAGGGTGACTGCAGTTAAGACTATAGTTAACAACAATTGTCTGGTGTTTTTTTTTCTTTGAGACACACTTTCACTCTTGTTGCCCAGGCTGGAGTGCAATGGCGCAATTTTGGCTCACCGCAACCTCTGCTTCCCAGGTTCAAGCGATTCTCCCACCTCAGCCTCCTGAGTAGCTGGGATTACAGGTATGCGCCACCACGCCAGATTAATTTTGTATTTTTAGTAGAGACGGGGTTTCTCCATGTTGGTCAGGCTGGTCTCGAACTCCCGACCTCAAGTGATCTGTCTGCCTTGGCCTCCCAAAGTGCTGGGATTAATGGCGTGAGCCACTGCGCCCAGCCTGTTTTTATTTTTGAGAGGGAGTCTCTCACTCTGTCGCCCAGGCTGGAGTTCAGTGGCACCATCTCGGCTCCCTGCAAACTCCACCTCCACCTCCCAGGTTCCGGTGATTCTCCTGCCTCAGCCCCCCAAGTAACTAGGATTACAAGCGTGCGCCACCACACCTGGCTAATTTTTGCATTTTTAGTAGAGAAGGGGCTTCACCGTTTGGCCAGGCTGGTCTTGAATACCTGACCCCAGGTGATCCACCCACCTCAGCCTCCCAGAGTGCTAAGATTACAGGCATGAGCCACTGTGCCCAGCCAACAATGCAACAACGTATTGTCTATTTCTTCTTCTTCTTCTTTTTTTTTTTTTTTGAGACAGTGTCTTGCTCTGTGGCCCAGGCTGGAGTGCAGTGGTGTGATCATAGCTCACCACAGCCTCCATCTCCTGGGCTCAAGTGACCCTCCCACCTCAGCCTCCTGAGTAGCTGGGACTACAGGTATGCACCACCATGCCCAGCTAATTTTTTTTGGGTTTTAATAGACACAGGGTAATGCTATGTTGCTCAAACTGGTCTTGAACCCCTGAACTCAGGCCATCCTCCCACCTCAGCCTCCCAAAGTGCTGGGATTATAGGCCTGAGGCACCGTGCCCAGCCTTGTGTATTTCAAAGTAGTCAGAAGAGAGGACCTGAACTGTTCTGAACACAGGAAAATGAGGAATACCAAAGTGACAGACACCACAAACACTCTGCCGTGATCATTACATACTCTGTACATCTAATAAAACATCACAGGGACCCCATAAATATGTCAAACATTATGTATCTTTTTCTACATAGGACCATCAGGAGGGATGCTGGGTCAGCATGGAGAGCAGAGGCCGGTTGGCAGTATCCTTGCTCAAGGCCTGCCCCCTCACTCGCAGTGAACGAGTCCCTCCCATGACTCAGCACTCAACACTGCTCCCTGCAGTCATCACCCAGGGGCCTCTCCACTTCCTTCCCATAATGACGAGCATGTGGGGATCGTTCTGCACACTGTGGCCAAGCACCGCACAGTGGGCAGGGACCATCCTAGACCACTTCGCAGATAGAAAAACTGAGGCCCAGAGAGGCAAGGGGCCTGACTGAGGTGTAAGTGATGGAACCCCGGTGCCCCTGGAGGCTGGCTGCATGCCTGAGCCCCTGACCCTTGGGCATGGCCCCTTCTCTTGAGCACGGGGCAGTCACAGTGGCACTGGAGGTCAGGGCCTGTTTCTAGCCTGCTAGTGACTCCATCACCCTCCATCTCCCTTTTGCACTCTAGGAGCTGGTCCCATGGGGGCCAGGTACAATGTAAGCCTTTTGGCACATGGTGGCTGCTCTCCAGCCCTGGGTTACGGTTGTTTTTTGTTTGTTTGTTTGTTTATTTTGAGATGGAGTCTCGCTCTCTCGCCCAGGCTGGAGTGCAGTGGCGCAATCTCGGCTCACTGCAACCTCCGCCTCCCGGGTTCAAACGATTCTCCTGCCTCAGCCTCCTGAGTAGCTGGGATTACAGGCGCGTGCCACCACTCCTGGCTAATTTTTGCAATTTTAGTAGAGACGGGGTTTCATCATGTTGGCCAGGCTGGTCTCAAACTCCCGACCTCGTGATCTACCTGCCTCGCCCTCCCAAAGTGCTGGGATTACAGGCGGGAGCCACCGTGCCCGGCGAGTTACAGTCCTAATGGTGACTCAGGGCAGAGTGGCGCAGTGACTGAGTTCTGCCCAGAGGGAGCGCCCACCCGCTCTTCCCTGGCTGCCCCACCTACCCCAGCAGCCCTGCTCCCGCCTGCCACTCACCTCCTCATCCTTGTACCAGGACAGTGACTCGGCAGTCAGCACAAACCAGTACTCCTTGGAGCCGCCTTTCATCAGGCTGATGTTGTTGATGGTCAGCCAGCCCCTGCGGATCACCTGGGGGAAAGCGCGCAGCTTAGCAGGGAACCTCGCTCCGTGCCCCAGCCATCCCCCAGCGCAGCAGCCTTGCCCACAGCTCAGTGGGAAGCCAGGGACCGCAATAGAGACACCTCCAGCCCCAAAGCCCAGGAAACCCAGTTCCACCCTGTCCCAAGCATTTCCAGCAGGAAACCAACATGAGGCGCCACCTGGGCAGGTGGGCGGACAGACAGACTCACTGGGCCAGGGGCTGATGGGGTATAGACTCACAGAGGCCTGATGGAAAGGGGCCCATGGGAGGAGTCCCTGGGGCTTGTGTGTGGGGCTGTGGCACATGAAATGTGACATCTGAGGAACTGCACTTGTTTGCGTGAGATAAGGTTCCAAGGGTAGCATCCACACAGAGGGCTAGGGTCAAAGGTGTGAGCCCAGGGGCCCTCCCCAAGGACATTGAAGGAGCGCGGCTCATGTCCCAAGCTGGCTGCAAGCCTGGTGGTCATCCTTTTGACTGACACATCAGGGTTTCAGGCTGGGAGACCCCATGGATGGGGATTGTGTGGCTGTAGCTGTCATCTGCGTGGGGGTCAGAACCCAGGCCTGCGCAGGGACTCACCTGACAACTAACGGCAGGCAGCCTGGGGGCTGTGCTCCCATGCTCCCTGGCCGCTGGAGGCATGTGTGGGCAGAGCCCCCCACCCCACTCAGGACGAGGGCCCTGGGAGCTGCAGGAAGCACACGGAGGCACGCACAGGGCGGCCTGGGACCCAGGCACTGACAGACTTGGCCAAGCTACAAAGGGTGGGCTGAGCATGGCCATGGACAGCTGCGAAGGGCTGGCCTGCATCCCCCAGTGCAGGGCATGGCAGGGCACGGCACGGCAGGAGCGCCAGAGATGGGGCCTCCAGGAATCCCTCTGGGGCCCAGATGCTGTCCTAGTCGGGGGCGGTCCTCTGGAGGGGCTTCATCCGGACTACCCCGACCCACCCCGGGCCTGACATTCTGAACCAGGGCCACCAGCCCACAGCTCCAGCGGCTCCTTGGTGGCTGGATGTGAGTGCTAAGCCCCAGGTGGCCATGAAGACGGAGGTGGCTAAAGAGTACCCAGGGACCCCTGGACCATGCAGAAGTCACTGCCCAGGCTGGGGACAGCATGAGATGCCACCGGGCGCCCCTTGTTAAGGCCAAGGGTACAGACTTATCCCTCCCTGGGATGAGCAGACAGGACTCTCACAGTTGTTTGGAGCAGGCAGTGACCCCTGGCATCTGGCCATTCACGGGCTGCCTGGTGGTGGGTGAGGGGGCTGAGGCCAGCAGCCCCTGTGAGGTCACAGCATCCCCTCTGGGAACGCAGTGACGAGCTCTTCCTGGTCTGTCCAGGACGTCCTGGTGTTAGCACCAAAGGTCTGGCAGTCTGGGAATGCCTCCATTCACCCGGGGGGAGCGGGGTGGGGGCACTGCCTTGTCTCAGCCCAGAGCTGGGCACAGAACGAGTGCTTAGTAGACCCTGGTTCCATGACTGAATGACAACCAGGTGAGGGAAAACAGGGAGACAGGCTGTCGGTGCTCCCCCAGAGAAATGTGAGGCCTCCATACTCCTAGGCCTGGCCCGGTTTCTAAGGAGAGGGATGTGCCCGCACACCCCTCGGTGGCCTGGCTCTCCTGCCTCCAGCCGGGGTTAGTGTTGGTCAGAGCTGGAGCACAGGGCCCACGCTACACTTTGGGGTGCATGGCCACAGGGCCAGGGCACTGATCGGGGCCATGCTGGGGATGGCACACCAAGCCTTGGGGCAGGACGTCTGGCAGAAGCCCTGAGGTGCCCTTCTCCACACGGGTTCAGAGACAAAATCCCACCCTAGGGAGCTGCAAGCTGTGGGTGGCAAACAAAGGCCCGTTAGCCATCCACCACTTGTGAGCCAGAGAAAGGGAGCAGCCAGGCCTCAGCAGAAAGTCAGGTTTGCATCCAAGGGACACATCCCAATGGGACTGGGCTTAGAAGGAAGTAGGGGTGGGAGAGACAGAAGAGGCGGCAGGCCGTTGCGGGCTAGGGTGCACAGTGACAGGCAGGCAGGCACATGGGGCGGTATGGGTGGCAGGGCAGGCAGGGGGCGGCAAAGCAGGGATCCTCTGGCAGGCTGCTCCAGTCTCTTTCCTGGGTGAGGGTCCTGGCCTGAGTCTCCCGGGTAGAGATGGGAACCACAGATGGGAGACCCAGAGGCCACGGCCACGCTCATGACGGGGCTGGGCTATGTGGCCTCTGGTAGGAAAAGAGGAACCCCTAAACCTCTTGGGGTACAAGGGAGAAGCAGGTTCCTGGTCTTGGCCTGGCAAATTCAAAGGGACTGGGGGGAACACATGAGGAACCTGAAAACCACAAGCCCGAGGCCAACTAATTCCTCCCGTCACTGCCCCACCCATGGCCCTATCTGCACACCCAGGCCCTGGGAGCAGCGAGGCCCTGGCATAGGATCGGCTCAGCTACAAGAAAGACCCTGGGATTGCCAGAAGAGCCCCGCCAGAGGGCAGTGGCAGGGATGACCAGCGCCTTGGTGGCTGGCAGTGGGAGAATGTCCAGCAAAAGGGAGCCCCTGCTAGGACTGGAGGCCCAGGCTGTGCTGTCCAAGTGTAAGAGCCGGGCTGAGGCCGGCTGCCTAGAGGTGAGCTCCTTGAGCTGGGTTCAGTTCTCAGCTATGAGTAGCAGGCTGCTTCCCGCTGGGCTGGGCTGGACTGGGCCTCACGCCCATCTCACGCCCCACACTGGGCCCCAGCTGAGGGTTCTGCACAAAGGAAGGAGGTGTTACCCACAGCAGGGATGGACAGCAAATATGATTCATCTCGGGAGCCATGTCAATCGACTGGTACAAGATACCTGAAGCACTGTGGTGAGAATTCTGGGCGTGGCAGGAAACGGTGCTAGGATCAATTAGTGTTGCCTGTCACAGGCCAAGGATAGGAGAAAGGGTAAGTGGAACAGAAGAGCCTCATCAATTTATCTGGAGGACAAGAGGCAGCATCTAGGAAAGAGGCTCCTGATTGACTAGTCATGCCTGCCATGCATAGAGAAGAGGGTATCATATAGGGAGAAAAACAATACCTTAATCACTTAGCCACATCTGCTATAGAACAGGAGTGCTGGCAAGCTTATTTGGAAAGAATGCTAGGATTGCTTAGCAATGTCTGCCATGGGCGTGTGCTAGAGGAGCGGCACAAGGCAAAGAGTGCTAGATCAACTAGCCATGTCTGCCATGGGCACAAGAGGGCAAGATTTCTGCCATGTGGAAAAATATGCTCTGATCCATGAGTGACATCTGCATAGGAGATAGAAGGAGGAGGGGCAGTGCCAAGAATGAATTCTGGTCTGGCTTAAGCGAGATCTTCCACAGCCAGGGATGTGAGGGGAGGCAGGGGCGGTGTGTAAGTATTTGCCATCCCTGACCTACAGGAAACCAGGAAAACCTGCCAGGAACTGGCTGCAGAAGTGCGCCTTCAAGGGTGGCGGTCCAGTTAGTGCCTGTGTGAGTCGACTTATACCCAGGGCAACGTGCAGTCCAGCGCCGGCTGCGGCATGGGGTTTCCAGGTTAGCTCGATTTTTAGTATTTTTGTTATTTGGAGGGGATGGGGAACAGGGAATATTAGGGGTGGGCGGGGTCTCCATCACCACTAGATTCTCTAATGTTTGCTACCACACTAAGCATGTACTTACCAGGATCTCCCCCTTTGAATATGCAAAGTTAGGGTTGTGGGTAAATCAGGGAAGAGCAGGCAAAGGAAAAGAGATGGAAGGGACGTGAAGGGGACAAAGAAAAAGCAGGAAAAGCACAAAAACAGGAGAAGAGAAGAGCAGGGGAAAAAACAGCAAAAGAAAAAAAATTACATGCTATTAATCATATTCATGGTGTTAATATTTAATTCATTATTATCTCAAGAAACAAAAAAGCAACAACATATGTATTACCTACGGCAAGCGCAAAAATAAATCATGCAATGGTTACGTTCTTCCTTCCAGTAGGCTCTATGATCGTGCAAGGTACATGGTGGAGTCCCCGCCCCCACCCCTGCCCAATGGGGAGAAGGGAGGGACATAGGCAGAAATTTTGCGAAGATTATGGTTTCCTTTTCTTTCTTTCTTTTTTTTTTTCCTGATATGGAGTCTCGCTCAGCCGCCCAGGCCAGAGTGCAGTGGTGTGATCCTGGCTCACCACAACCACCATCTCCTGGGTTCAAGTGATTCTCCTGTCTCAACCTCCCGAGTAGGTGGAATTATAGGCACCCACCATCATGCCAGGCTAATTTTTTGTATTTTAGTAGAGACGGGGTTTCACCATGTTGGCCAGGCTGTTCTCTAACTCTTGACCTCAGGTGATCCGCCCGCCTCGGCCTCCCAAAGTGCTAGGACTACAGGTGTGAGCCACCGTGCCCGTCCAGGTTTTCTTAAAAATTAATGATAAAGGCTGGCATGATAATCCCAGCACTTTGTCCGGGCGAGGCGGGTGGATCACCTGGGGTCAGGAGTTCGAGACCAGCCTGGCCAACATGGTGAAACCCTGTCTCTACTAAAAATACAGAAATTAGTCAGGGGTGGTGGCAGGCTCCTGTAATCGTCGCTACTCAGAAGGCTGAGGCAGGAGAATCACACGAAGCTAGGAGGCGGAGGTTGTGGTGAGCTGAGACCGCGCCACTGCACTCCAGCCTTGGTGGCAGAGTGAGACTCTGTCTCAAAAAAAAAAAAAAAAAAAAAAAAAAAGGCTGGACGTGATGGCTCACGCTTGTAATTCCAGCACTTTGGGAGGCCGAGGCGGGTGGATCACCAGGTCAGGAGTTTGAGACCAGCCTGGCCAAGATGGTGAAACCCCCTCTCTACTAAAAATACAAAAAAATTAGCTGGGCGTGCTGGCGGGCGCCTGTAATCCCAGCTACTCAGGAGGCTGAGGCAGAGAATTGCTTGAACCCGGGAGGTGGAGGTTGCAGTGAGCTGAAATCGTGCCACTGCACTCCAGCTGGGACACAGAGCAAGGCTCCATCTCAAGAAAAAAATAAAAAAAAATTAGCCTGGTGTTGTGGTGAGCACCTGTAATCCCAGCTACTGAGGAGGCTGAACCAGGAGAATCGCTTGAACCTGGGAGGCAGAGGTTGCAGTGAGCCAAGATTGCGCCACTGCACTGCAGCCCAGGTGACAATGCGAGACTCTGTGTCAAAATAATAATAATAATAATAAGGTACTGAAGGCAGGCATTGATACAGCCGTTCATATTTCACAAGGCCTCTAGCTGGGTTAAGATGTCAAGGTACAACCCTTTGTGGCTCAGGGCTTCTCCAGGTGTGGGGCTTCAACTATCCCAAGCTCCCCTGAGCTGCTAGTGACAATGTAGTTTCCAGCGGCTCTCACCTAGGGGCTCCCAATCCCTGGGGCTGTGTTGGAAAGCTCAAAGAGGTCACAGACCCCCGCTCAAGGGAAAAATTCTTATTTATATCTTTATTATTATTATTTTTGGAGACAGAGTCTGGCCCTGTCACCCACACTGGAGTGCGGTGGCGCAATCTTGGCTCACTGCAACCTCCGCCTCCAAGGTTCAAGCAATCCTCCTGCCTCAGCCTCCTGAGTAGCTGGGATTACAGGCGCGTGCCACCACGCCTGGTTAATTTTTTGTATTTTTAGTAGAGATGGGGTTTTTGCCATGTTAGCCAGGCTGGTCTCAAACTCCTGAGCTCAGGCAATCCGCCCGCCTCAGCCTCCTAACATGCTAGAATTACAGGTGTGAGCTATCGTGCCCAGCCTATTATTAATTTTTAAGATGAGGTCTCATTGTATTGCCCCGGATGGTCATGAACTGCTGGGCTCAAGTGACCCTCCCACCTTGGCCTCCTAAGTAGCTGGGGTGATAGGCATGAGCCCACCACTCCCAGGTAATTTTTAAATATTATTATTTGTAGAGACAGAGTCTTTCTATGTTGCCCAGGCTGGTCTCAAACTCTTAGCCTCAAGTGATCCTCCCACCTCGGCCTCCCAAAATGCTGGGATTACAGGTGTGAGCTACTGTGCCCAGCCAAGAGTCAAGTTCTAACCCTGGCCTTGGATGGCACATAGGGCCTTCTGGGTGGGTAAAATGTGCCCACTAGGCCCTGCCAGAGTGTTGGCTCTCAGGCCATCTCCCAGAATTATCAATTCCTAAGTGGCCTCTAGAGAGAGCAGATGGCCTGGTACTGAGGCTGTGGGGTGGGGCTTTACACAGGCCGAGCTCCATCACGGGGGCTTAGCTGTCACTTAGCGTCCTCCCGCCCCCAGGGTAGAGCGGGAGACTGCAGAGGGGTGTGCTACCTGATTGGGGATGGCTCTCTTCTTGTTCAGCTGCGTGCTCCTCTGCTGGGCACTGAAACCAAAGAACAGACAGGGTTCACGTGGACAAGATGCCGGGGGGGAAGAAGGGGAAGAGGCGAATGTGGCCGTTCTCTCCCTGGGGACCAAGTGAGCAGCCACAGGTAGAGGCAGAGAGAAGCCCCCTGCACACACAGAGCTGCGCAAGGGAAACGGCCTGGGCACACGGAACAAGTAAATGTATCTGGTTCAATTGAGGCTTCTAGGCCCTCATCTCAGCCGACTTACTAAAGCGCAGGTTACTTCCAGATGTCACTAGAATCCCGGAGTTTCTAAGGGGAAGTGTGAGAAGGTGTTGCCTAAGATGAGTGCAGTGGCGCAATCACAGCTCACTGCAGCCTTGACCCTCCCGGGCTCAAGTAGTTCCCCTGCCTCAGTCTCCCGAGTAGCTGGAACCACAGGTGCATACCACCATGCTCAGCTAATTTTTGATTTTTTGTAGAGACGAGGTTTCACTGTGTTGCCCAGGCTGGTCTTAAATTCCTAGACTCAAGGGATCTGCCTGGCTCCACCTCCCAAAGTGCTGGCATTACAGGCATGAGCCACTGCACCTGGCCCTTCTTCCTACTCTTCTCATCATTTGATCCCAACACCAGCCTGTAAGTGGCTCTAACCACAGAGCCATCCAGTCTTAGACATCAGACTGTGGGACAGCTGCTGGTCATGAAATGACACATATCTTGCATGACTCCTGACCCAAATTTAGAGGACATCCAAGGTCGACAGGGTGTGTTTCTATAAGGTTCCTTATTCATCCACAATCCCAGATCTCTTTTCTTCTTTATCCATCCTACTTCCTGGCTAGTTCATGCCGGCATAGACAAATCCCACTATATTTTATATGTGGACACCTACTCCACCACCTTACGGTTCTAATATATTTTCTACTCTGACAATCATATCACCACTTGCAAACAACATATATCTCCTGTTACTTATCCATCATATTTTCTTGTCTTTTCTTATTGCTTTGGCTGAAACTTTCAGAACAATATGGAAAAGCAAGTCAGCTTGGTCACCTTCCTTTGCTGACTACCTCGGGGGTTTTGTTTTAAAGTCCAAGTTGGCTGTAGGATAAGGGAGAAAGTAGGCTTCTGTTTCTAGATCAGGAAAGGCTGGAAAACTAAGAACAAAGGCAGAATTTTATCCAGTGATATTCCCAACATTCAGTAAGTTTATTATAGGGCTTCTTATCTGGGCTATTTATTTACTTATTTATTTTTGAGACAGAGTCTCACTCTGTCACCCAGGCTGGAGAGCCCTGGTGTGATCATGGCTCAGCACAGCCTTGACTTCCTGGGCTCAGGTCATTCTCCCACCTCAGCCTCCTAAGTAGCTGAGATTACGCACCACCACCATGCCCAGTTAATTTTTGTATTTTTTGTAGAGACAGGGTTTCACCATGTTTCCCAGGCTGGTCTCAAACTCCTGGGCTCCAGCAATCGACCCACCTTGGCCTCCTGCAAAGTATTGGGATTACAGGCATGAGCCACTGCGCCAGGCTTGGGCCCTGTTTATAATATACATTTGGAGGGCAATGGGAAGCCCAGAACATTCAAGCACAAGAAGGATTTTCATCAACAGCATCTGAAGGAGGTGGCACTGAGCTGAGCCAACCTCCACAGTGATGGCTGGGTGACAGTGAGGTTCCAGAGGTGCTATTTCCTAAGGGCCTCCTGGCTCCCATCCTTGCCAGGGCTCCCTCAAATAGCAGCCCACAAGGTGGCCCCTCTCCTGGGCCTGGATCTAATCAGAAGCATCCTGGTGTCTTGGGGGAAAATCCAAAATCCTCCCCTGGACCTGCAGGGCCCTCCTGGCGATGGGGCCTGGCCGCTGGCTCTCTTACCTCTACCTGCCTGGTCTGGTAGCCTTCCTTCCCTGGGTCCAATTCTCTGGGTCCCCCTGGCATCACCTGACTTCTTCAGGAAGATCTCTCCAGGCCACATTCCCAGCTCCCCTTTCCCATAGTCTATCCCCTACCCTCTCTTCCTACTCTCATCATCCTTGTGACAATTTGTTTAAGGACTCCACCTCCCCAGCCTGCAGGCTCTGAAACAGCAGGGGCTACAGCTGGTGCGGTCAAGGTCCTGGCCCAGAGGCCCAGCACTGGCCCTGGCTCTGAGAGAGCACCCCGTAGCTCTTCAGCGGGCCCCAGGGATGTCCCACCCAGGGCTGGGGCCACCCAGCCAGGGCGTACCCCGTTCACACACCAGGGCAAAGGCACACAGCAGGCAATACCCACCAGGTCACCAGCTGCTCAGTATAGTAACAGCTGGGGTAAGTGGGAAGGCCCAGGAATCCAGAGGAAAGAGTGGTCAAAGGAAAAACAGGAGAGATTGTGAGAAGGAACTGTGGATGAAGTGTGAGAAGCAGAGACATCAAGGTGAGGAAAACAGCAGCAAACCAAAGATGGGGACCAGCGCTGTGAGCCCACACACACCCGGCGGCCGGGAGCACAGGGCCGGGGGCTGCCACCCACAGGCAGGGGAGGCCCAGTCAGGGACTTCGGCTCATCTCTAGGAGGGGTTCTGATGAGGCCCTCATTCCTTCGTTTTCCTTCCTCCCTTCTCCTCACCTACCTGGTGCCCAGCACGGAACAGATCCTCAATCAGCTTTGTCAGGTGCACCGATAAATGTTGTATCTGGTGACTCCATAGCCTGAGATTTGGCTCTAGAGGCCCTCCCCTAGGAAGCCTGCCTGACCCCTCAAGGCAAGGCCCAGTGGCCGCCCTCTGGACACCCACAAGCCCTGCACGGCCCCGCCCAGCACTAAGCACACTACACCTTAACGCCCTGGGTCCCCATCGGTTCCCTGCATGTGGTCTTCCTCTGAGGGTGGGGAGCTGGGTGTGGGTTTGCCCACTGCTCTATCACAGGGCCCAGCGAGAGGGCATACCAGCGGCACCACCCGGCCTGCCTCAGGCAGGAAGGCCTGCGTGAGCCTCTCCAACAATCTGAGTGAGGCCTAAGCATGCCAAGGGGCTGAAGGAATCAGCGGGTGATGCCTGAGACCACGCACACTGAATCGACATCCTGCTGAAATCAGGGCTCCCCGATGTGGGCCCTCATCTGGGTGCCACGGAAGGTTCTGGTTTAAATCTACAGTGTATGCCTTGAAGCTAGGGAGACCCCAGGCAGCATTTCCCAAAGAGCAGCTTCCGGAGCCCTGAGCCCATGAGATGCTGTCCATGAAGTGGCAGAGTCTGGGAAAAGCTGCACACTGGTCGCTAAAGGCTCTGAGAAGTCCTGAAGGAGAGGGGGTGCAGCAGCTGGCTGGCTTCCCCCTCTCCCTGCAGATCTGAACATAGCACTGCCCTCTCCCTAAACTAACCATGGGGATGCCTCACAGAAGGCGTGTTGGTTGGGGACAGTGGACCACTATCAGCCCAGGAGAGCTTCCAGATATTCTCAGTTGGCTCTGCCTTCACCCCAGGACCCCCGACAGAGACTGTCTGACACCTGCCCTCTCAGAGAATCCCAACTCAGTCACCTCCTTGGATCTGAGAGTGAGGATTGGTGCCGCCCGACCAGCCAGTCTCTAAAAGTACCTACTTGGCAAACCCGATGAAGTCCTCATGGTTCGTGTTGATGTAGGACTGCTCAATGTCGATCAGCAGAAGAATCTGGGGGAGAGCGGGGGTCACTGTGAGTACAAGGCCAAGCCTGGCAAGGGGGGGCAGCGGCAAGAGCATTTCCTGGCCTTGCCAGCAGGGAAGGCGTGGGAACCAGGAGGCTTCCCAGACAGGAGAACAGGGGCTGGCGTCGCACTCCCCACACCCTCATAGGCAACAGAGCCTGGGACAACAGAGCACAGCCACGCAGCCCAATGTGCCAGTCACAGGCAGGGCCGCTGTCCCCAAGGTCTGGAGTCTTGATTGAGCCACTAATTGGCCGTGTGACCCTGGGCCTCACGTTACTGAGCTGTGGAATGGGGTGACAGGAGGCCCAACTGCCAAGGGTTTAATAATGTGCAGTTGTTTTTTTTGTTTTTTTTTTTTTTTTCTTCGAGACGGAGTCTTGCTCTGTCGCCCAGGCTGGAGTGCAGTGGGACAATCTTGGCTCACTGCAACCTCTGCCTCCTGGGTTCAAGCGATTCTCCTGCCTCAGCCTCCCAAATAGCTGGGATTACAGGTGCCTGCCACCACGCCCAGCTAATTTTTGTATTTTTAGTAGATACAGGGTTTCACTGAGTTGGTCAGGCTGGTCTCGAAATCCTGACCTCATGATCCGCCCGCCTCGGCCTCTCAAAGTGCTGGGATTACAAGCATGAGCCACTGCGCCTGGCTTTTTTTTTTTTTTTTTTTTGAGAAAAGAACTTACTGTCTCCCAGGCTGGAGTGCAGTAGAACAATCATAGCCTCAAACTCCTGGGCTCAAGCAACCCCCTGCCTCAGCGTCCCAAGATGCTGGGGTCGCAGGCATGTGCCACCACACCTGGCTGATTTTTCTTTTTTTGTAGAGGTGGGGTCTCACTATGTTGCCCAGACTGGTCCTGAACTCCTAGGCTCAAGTGATCCTCCTACCTTGGCCTCCCAAAGTGCTGGGATTACAGGTGTGAACCACTGCAAGCCACTGCCTTGTATTTTTTTCTTTTTCTTTTTTTTGGGAGACAGAGTCTCACTGTGTTACCCAGGCTGGCGTGCAATGGCGTAATCTCGGCTCACTGCAACCTCTGCCTCCTGGGTTCAAGCAATTCTCCTGCCTCAGTCTTCCGAGTAGCTGAGACCACAGGCGCACGCCACACCACCTGGCTAATTTTTTGTATTTTAGTAGAGACGGGTTTTCACCGTGTTGCCCAAGCTGGTCTCGAACTCCTGAGCTCAGGCAATCCACCTGCCTTGGCCTCCCAAAGTGCTAGGACTACAGGCGTGAGCCACCGTGTCCAGCCTGTAAAGTCTTTAGCGCCTGGCGTGTTCAAAGTGTTGCATTAAAACTGCGAAGCTAATTTGTCCAATTATGAACACTAAAATAAAACACACACGTGCACGTGCACGCGCGCACACACACACACGCTCAAGCTATCAAGCTAGAAAGGTCTCATGTGAGGAGCAGGGCTTATGAGTCCACTGCACTTGCTGAAACTCTCCCTCCCTCATCCTTCTTGTCTTTTGCCCAGGATGAAGTTGGTCTATGGGAACCATGGATCCAGGCAGCTCACTGGCTTGATTCCCATTTATAACAGGCCAGGCTGCTGGGGAGGAGGCGCTGGGATGCGCGTCACTGGACTCCCCTGGCCCTTGGCCAGTCACTTCCCCTCACTGCACCTCCAAGTTCCTGAGAATAAAGTAGGGCAAGGCACTCGGACCTGTCGCCTGCTGGAAAATGCCAGGGTGCTCCATCTGTGGGAGCGAGCGTGGCTGGTTTAGTAAGGCCTGAGTCTCCTCAACCCAGCGCTCTCAGATCCGGCCTGGCAGCATGGCAGGTGGGCACCAGGGGCTGTGGAAGGGCCGGCAGCATTCTTACCAACAGTAACAACAAAAAGAATCAGACTCTTCCAGACTTTTGATACAATTTCCAAGCTACAGCAGCTATGAGGCATAGGTGGACTGGTGCCCTGAGGGAGCAATTGGCCAAATCAAAACTGGGCGCCTCCCTGCAGGACAAATGAGCCCATTTCATCCCCATCAATGGCAAGGGGAGAGGGACCATTTTAAACAAAGTGACATAGCAAGCAAGGGCTTAATTAAGCTCTGGTTTCAACAAACAGTTGTAAAAAGAACACAGAGGACAACTGAGAGAAAGTGACTCAAAACAGATCTGGGAGCAGTGGCTCACACCTGTCATCCCAGCACTTTGGGAGGCTGAGGTGGGTGGATCATTTGAGCTAAGGAGTTCAAGACCAGCCTGGCCAACATGGCGAAACCTCATCTCTACTAAAAATACAAAAATTAGCCAGGCGTGGTAGCTCACGCCTATAGTCCCAGCTACTTGGGAGGCTGAGGCTGCGGCTGCAGGAGAGTATAAGGACGGCCCAGTGCTTCGTGGGTGACAGTCTCAGCTGAGGGGTAGGCAGCAACTTGGGGTGTGTGCTTGCATGCCTTTGCAAGAAAGCGTTAAATGTTAAAAAAAGAAAAAGCAGGCTGGGCGTGGTAGCTCACCCCTATAATCCCAGCACTTTGGGAGGCCAAGGCGGGCAGATCACCTGAGGTCAGGAGTTCAAGACCAGCCTGGCCAACATAGTGAAAATCTCTCTCTACTAAAAATACAAAAATTAGGTGGGTAAAGTGGCATGTGCCTGTAGTCCTGGCTACTTCGGAGGCTGAGGCATGAGAATCACTTGAACCTGGGAAGTGGAGGTGGCAGTGAGTCAAGATCGTGCCACTGCACCCCAGCCTGGGCGACAGAGCAAAACTCTGTCTCAAAAAAAAAAAAAAAAACAAAAAACCACAACACAAAAAGCACCCCAAACACCCTCCAGCAGGCAAGTGGAGGTCCTTGCTGTGCTCCATCCATTCCCTGGAAGATTGCTTAGTAATCAAGGCAGCAAACTACAGATACAACAAACAACACGCTTGGCTCCCAAATGCAGACGCCGAGGGGAGGGAGGGAGGGAAGAAGGGTGGCAGGAAGGGAGTCAAGAGTCAATGGGCCTTACGTTGTGGGAGTCCACTTGAAGGACTGTAGGATAGGGAGCGGGCTGGTGGTGGCCAGGGCCTGGGGATTTCCTTTGCTGCTTCTTTTTTAAGAGACGGGGTCTCGCTCTGTCTCCCAGGCTGGAGGGCGATGGCACGACCATAACTTACTGAAGCCTTGATCTTGTGGGCTCAAGGGATCCTCCCACCTCACCCTCCCAAGTAACTGGGACCACAGGCATGCGCCACCACGCCTGGCTAATTTTTTTATGTTTTCGTAGAGACAAGGTCTTGCTATGTTGCCCACGTTGGTCTCGAACTCCTGGGCTCAAGCAATCCTCCTGCCTGAGCCTCCCTAAGTGCTGGGATTACAGGCGTGAGTTACTACACCCAGCCTGGCCTGTGGGTTTTTGAGAGGTTGACTACAAAGGGGCATAGGGACAGGGATTTTAGGAGGTGACGGAACCGCTCTGTATCTTGATTGAGGTAAGGGTTACTTTGCCATATGCAGCTGTCAGCATGATAGGGACAGGGGTTTTAGGAGGTGACGGAACCGCTCTGTATCTTGATTGAGGTAAGGGTTACTTTGCCATATGCAGCTGTCAGCATGATAGGGACAGGGATTTTAGGAGGTGACGGAACCGCTCTGTATCTTGATTGAGGTAAGGGTTACTTTGCCATATGCAGCTGTCAGCATGCACAGAACAGTACACTTGACATTTACTGCATGTAAATTATACCCAATAAAGAAGACAAAAGGCCAGTACCTGGTCCTTCGTTCTCCCCTCCCGTTCCCGGATGTAAGTGGTGACGATTCGCTCTGTCTCCTCTCGCAACCGGGGGTAGGAACTGAGCTGGGGGAACAAGCAGAGTGGTCGCATTGGCGGGGTCCTCGTGGCACGGGAAGCAACATGAACCACACAGGTAGAAAATGCGGAGGGGGGTGGGGAATGAGATATGAGGGGGCCCACCGAGCCCACACCTTGCTCCTGGCCCCCAGTGAGTCCAGCTGGGAGCTAAGAGCAGAAGAGTGGGGGCACCGTGGACCGGAGACAGCAGGAGAGCAGAGCTGCTTTTCCAGCCAGTGACCGGGGGGCAGGAGGCAGGAGGCAACATGAAAGCAGAAAAGCAGGGGCATGTTTGCCATGCAGGGCTTCAGGGCACCCCCCTCTTGCCCAGCACTGGGTGAGAGCAGGAACCCTGAAGGGCCTCGCCAGCGTGAGTGAGTAGCGTCTGTTCTAGAATGGTAAGGCGGGTATCTGGGCCATCAGCCTCGATAGGAACTCCTTGCAGAGAACCACTCCTGATCACTGTATCTGTGGCACACACTCGCCAAATGCCCCCACCTCCCCAGGCTTCATCTGCAGCACCAACTTAACCAGACCTCATGCACAGGGGAGTCCCATCTTCTGCAGTGTGGGTCAAGTCCACGAGTCGGGGAAAATGGAATGGTTACTCTCAGGTGGCCTAGACTGTGAGAACATGCAGGGCTATACAGATGATGTGTTTCCTGTGTTTTGCTGTTTTGGTGCTGGCTGGGAAACCCCTTTCTCTAGGGGTTCCAGGAAAGGGCACTGCTTAGTAAATGCAATGCGTTTGGCAACAACAAAGGCTGACCGCCCCCACGGGCAGCCACAACCCACGTGTGATGCCACTCCCCCCATTCCATCTGCCAATGCAAGGTGGCGACATCTCTAAGTGACAACTGGTAGGCGGAAGGGGGTTCCTGCCGAGGCTGAATTTTCCAGATGCTCGGGTTGAGACTAACACATGGAGGGGGAGGACGGGGACAAATGCGGAGATGAGAACAAAACCTGTTACCTTCTCGGCACACTTTTTTATGACCGTGGCCAGCTCTGAGACCACGAGATCAACACACTTCAAACTCGGCTCTTTGAGTTTTACAATCTGTTTTTTCACAATGGCTTCAAAGGCCATGTCGGGGGTGAAGAGCCCCGTCCTGGGTCATGCGGAGGGCAGGATGAGGCAGAAAGACACCCAGGGACAGTGCAGGCCACACACGCAGGACAGGAGACAGAGAGAAGAGAAGAAACGAGAGTCATCTGATTAGTCCATGCATGGGGGAGCCTGCGCCCGCATTTGCCCCGGAAGCTGCTTCGGATCAAAGAGGTCTGGGGTTTGGGGGTGTGGGCTCGGTCTGGGGTGTAGTTACAGAAGGGCCACGGGGGGTTGTCATTGCACAGACAGACAGCCAAGGTGTGCGGAGTCCTCTAACATTCATGTCCATGACACCTGGCTCTAGGACGAGCGTTTTCCAACCTGTTTGGACTGTTTTCCCCCTCCCTTTTCTAATCGAAGAAGCTTAAGCAGCAAATGTGGGCTTTTCCAGACTAAGAACAGAGGGGCTCAAGCAGAAATTCCCTGGCAACCCGGAGCGCTGGGGACACTGTGGTCGCGCAAGCACAGACTGCCCACTGGGAGGCATTTCAGCTGCTTGGCCAAAGCGTGCTGCCCTGGGAACCAGGCCCGCGGCGTTGGCGCGGGTTGGGGGAGCCCGGCGCGTCCTGCTGAGTGGAGGCAGTGGCTCGTCGAGAGCGCATAGAGGCACTGTGACTAAGTGGATCCAAAAATGGGCTGCCCCTGGGGGACAGCGTGGGGTGCAGGGGGTGGGCAGGGGCACTTAGGACCCCAGCTGGCTCTCATGATGTCGCTGGCATTCAGGCCATTCCCGGAGCTGAGGGACAGAGAAGTCGGTGGCTCCAGGGAAGTCTGAGAATGCCGGGCATTGGTCAAGAAGGGGTGACAGCCAGGGAGCTTCAAGGAGCTCAGCCTCCAGCAGTTGACGCGGGGGGTCCCTCTCTGCTTCCCAGGAGGCAGCAAAGCAACAGCCCAGTGAAACCCCAATTTCATCAGACACATGCTAGGCTTGGTATCAGGGTCCCAGGGACAACTGTGCATCTGTCTGGCCAGTCCAGGAGGCCTGGCACTCCCCTGTGTGCCTGGGCCCAGGCCTACATGCTCCTGCCCCAGCCTCTGGGGAGAGGCCAAGTTCACGGACACAAAGCGATATGGGGAGAAAAGGCACCAGTGGGGGCCAATGAGGCGCTGGGAGCCTGATACCAAACCCCCGTACCCCCGTTTCCACAAGGTCAGGAGTCACCCTGCCGAGGGAGCAATACCTTACTGGTACACTGCCTAACTGTATTGATTAGCTCCTGGATAACCAGGTCGACACATTTCAGACAGGGCTCTTTCAGCTTGACGACCTGCTTTTTCACAATGGCCTCGAATGCCAAGTCCGGGGTGAAAAGCCCGGTCCTGAAACCGTCCAGACCCGGGGGCAGGGGAGATAAGTCAGAGAGAAACAAAGCATGGTCAGCAATTTCATTGGCCCTGGCCGGGTCCCCAACAAGGAATGAAGGTTGTGTCATGTGTGGGGTCGGATGCCTGAGTCCACTGCCCGGAAACCCTCAGGGTGACCCGAGGACCCCACGGCGATGGAAGGGCAGACACCTGGAGCAACTACCTTTGTTAGAATAAGGAGGGGACCCAAGAGGCTCACGAGGAAGCCATGATGGGGACTCATGCTGGCTTCCCAAAACCCTGATTCAGTGCCGCCCCGCCCCTCCCCAGGCAAATCTGCAGTGAGCATTCTTAGTTTAGCATGAGGTTCACACCAACCGACTGGGCAGGAACTAAGCCCTATTTGATCAGGAGCTGCAGACAGCCCTGAAGCCTGCAATGGACGCAGGACTAAGACACATCCACCCTCATGTGCCCTTGGAGACCCTCAGGGAGGGGCTCGCAGCTACAGAAAACCATCCAAGAGCCCTCTTAAGGCCTAACGATTAGGGACTCAGAGGTGTGGGTGACCCAATTAGCTGGGGGGTCGCACCACGGAGAGGAAGGAACAGTGGTGACTCTCCTCGTGGAACTTGCCTGACTCCATGGATGTTCTTAATGGCATAGCTGATCTCCCGTCGTAAGTCCTTCTCGTCAAACTCCATCTGAGAAGAGACAAACCAAGCACATGCATGGAGGCACCCGGGGCGCCCCCGTGGCAGGCGTGCATCTGGGGAACGTTCTCTCCCACGTGTGGCTATATTCACAAGGCAGAATATTTAACTCGTCAAAATTTTATTTAAAAAATTGAAAACTGGCCAGATACAGTGGCTCACACCTGTAATCTCAGCACTTTGGGAGGCCAAGGCAGGCAGATGGCTTGAGCCCAGGAGTTTGAGACCAGCCTGGGCAACATAGTGAGACCCCATCTCTACTAAAAATACAAAAATTGGCCAGGTGGGCTGGTGCACGCCTATAGTCCCAGCTACTCGGGAGGCTGAGGTGGGAGGATCATCCGAGCCCAGGAAGGTCGAAGCTGCAGTGAGCTGTGATTGCACCACTGCACTCCAGCCTGGGTGAAAGAGCAAGACCCTGTCTCAAAAAAAATAAAAATAAACAAACAAATTAATTAATTAAAACCCAGTTTCAGAAAGCATGACATGACACCAACTCTCTCATCATATTGGTGGGAATATAAATTCATGTAAACTTAGATTTTTCAGACTATCAGTATGCACCACCACACCCAGCTTTTTCTTTTTTCTTTCTTTTTGTTTTTTTTGTTTTTTTTTGAGATAGGGTCTGGCTCTGTCACTGAGGCTGGAGTGCGGTGGTGCCATCTTGGCTCATTGCTGCATCCTCTGCCTCCTGGGCTCAAGTGATTCTCCTACCTCAGCTTCCCAAGTAGCTAGGACTACAGGCACATGCCACCACACCTGGATAATTTTTGTATTTTTAGTAGAGATGGGGTTTCACCATGTTGCCCAGGCTGGTCTTGAACTCCTGGGCTCAAGTGATCAGGCCCCCTTGGCCTCCCACGGATTATAGGCGTGAGCCACTGCATTTGGTCTTGCTCCTCTGATTTTAAAAAACTGTTTGTTTTTTTAATAAAAAATGCTATGTGCTCATTGTAAACAGTATAAAACTTCAAGCAAATCACACACACACACACACACACACACACACACACACGGAAAAAGAAGTCCCAAATCCTAGCACCCAGGGCTGACATTTTTGCAAACATCCTTGCAAATACAAAGAAACACTTGTAGACAGACATCCATGTTCAGTTTCATACATAAGGATGTTGTATATATCAGCTCAGTGCTATGTTGCACATGCTGGCTCCAATGCCTATTTTTTCCTTCTTCAATGACATGCTAGGGACATCTTCTCATGTAAATTTATCTGTATTTTCTATGTATTTTGCAAAGAATGTATATTGGCTTTTGTCAGAGGAAAAACACAGGGGTTTTCATATTGTTCTGCCCAAAACCTCAAAGCTGAGTGTCAGAAAAGGAAGCCCATGGGGACACCTCATCCAGGCCACACCCTGCCCACCACAAGTTCAGGCCTAGAGGTAGGAGCTTGAGACCTTATTGCCTGGGAGGAGGCCTGGCTTGAGGCCAGCAGGAGGGTGCCTGACCAGAGACGGGAGGGCCCAGCCCCGGGGGGCACTACCTTCACCAGCTCAAATGGGAACCGCTCGTGGAAGATGCGATTGATTCGGGCGCCCCCGGAGAGCTCCAGAGTGTCCACCTGATCTCCTGAGCCCTCGATCCTCTTCTCAAAATCCACCCCAAACTGCTGGACCATCCTATGAGGAAAAGGAAAAAGCAAGCATCAAAACGGAGGTTTCCACACTACTCTGGAATGATGTTCCAAGTCAAGCCAGGGTTTACTGTTCTTTTACCATTTTTCAGCAGCAAAATGTCTTCTGTCTATATTAAGACAAATAAACCAAATTCAAGAGCTCCCAATGGCAAATGCTGGCTACGAGTCAGGCTCAAGCTAAGCCTGTTCCGATTATTCACCCATTCGATCTGAGAAGGCCCACTTATTCCTCCCACTTTGCAGAAGACAGGAGTGAAGTTCAGGGGTCAAAGCTCAGCACCTCTGCCCTGAAGCTCAACTTGATTTACAGGATGCTGGGAAGGAAAGGTAGCCACTTCCCCACAATTCAGGTGGCTTCCATAGGTTCCCGCCACCTCCCAGCCTGCTGGGGTTGGTCCTGACCCATCGATGGGATGTGAGGCCTTGGACAGGACTTTGCCCCTCTGAGCCTCCGATTCCTCATCTACAAAATGGGTTGAGGGTAACAACATCTACCTCCTTCGTGGAGACTGAAGATGTTTTTAGATCTCATTACCTCCAAGAAGTCACTGATCCTAAAATGCACTGTTATTTTGTGTGCCCACAAAAAAAGAAAAAATGCTGCCACTAATGGTAATTCTGCAAAGACACCTGGTTTCACACAAGTTAAAATGTTTTATTGGCCGGGTGCGGTGGCTCATGCCTGCAATATTAGCACTTTAGGATGCTGAGGTGAGAGGATGGCTTTAGTCTGGGAGTTCGAGACCACCCTGGGCAACACAGTGAGACCACATTTTATTAAAAAATATATATATATACTGGACACGGTGGCTCACACCTATAATCCCAGCACTTTGGGAGGCTGAGGTAGGCAGATCACCTGAGCCCAGGAGTTTGAGATTAGCCTGGACAACATGGCGAAACCCCGTCTCTACTAAAAATACAAAAACGAGCTGGGTGTGGTGGTGCACGTTTCTAGTCCCAGTTAATCGGGAGGCTGAGGCAGGAGAACCGCTTGAATCTGGGTGGCGGAGGCTGCAGTGAGCCGAGATCGCACCACTGCACTCCAGCCTGGGCGAGACAGAGTAAGACCCTGTCTCAAAAAAAGAAGAAAAAAAAGAAAGAAAATTTTTGTTGGTAAACAATTGCTCATCTAATGGACAAAAAGTGGTAATAACATGTGTCGCCCCTTAGAACGGGCCTGGCCCTTAAAAAGAGTCTCTCAGCATTGCCTATTGGCATCGTGAATAGTAAAAAAGTAGGATGATCTTGTTCACGTTTTAGTTTTCCTAAGCATTCCTAATTGCTCTCCTTAGGGTACTGGGCTGTCTCCCTTCATCAGTTTCCCTCCCAAAAATCATGATCTACTGAAGTACCTGGGGACTTGCTCCTAAAGGGGAACTGCTCAAATGGTGACCACTGTCAGGGCCACCAAGGCTGGGCTGCCAAAGAAAGGGGGGTCTCCTTCATACCCCAACTGGGAGAGGCAAGCACAAGCTGCCCAGATCCCCAAAATCTCTTTCCTCACATGAAGTAAAGGGTGTGCACATTTAATTTCCTTCCAGGAGACACACAAAGGCCTAGGTTAATGCTTCACCTGGAATGGGGAATTTGTTTTTTTTGTTTTTTGTTTTTTGAGCTGGAGTCTCACTCTGTCGCCCAAGCTGGAGCGCAATGGGACAATCTCAGCTTACTGCAACCTCCGCCTGCCGGGTTCAAGTGATTCTCCTGCCTCAGCCTCTCCAGTAGCTGGGAATACAGGTGCCCGCCACCATGCCCAGCTAATTTTTGTGCTTTTAGGAGAAATGGGGTTTCGGCATGTTGGCCAGGCTGGTCTCTCAATCTCCTGACCTCAAGTGATCCGCCCGCCTTGGCCTCCCAAAGTGCTGGGATTACAGGCATGAGCCACTGCACCCAGCCTGGAATGGAGAATTTGAATTGTGGACCAAACCAGGACCAAGGTCAGCAAAGGCATAGCACTAAACTAATGACAGACAACAGACTGGGCGACGGGGGGAGGGGGAGGGTTAGGCAAGGATGGAGACTCTGGGGACCTGCTCTCAGCCACAGGGGACAAAGCACACCTGGGCACCAGCCTCCTGGGGGCCCTGGAGGTGATTTACAGGCCCAACCCACGCTGCACAATCAGAGCATTCTGGACAATTGTGACCGGCTGGTCGGTGTCCCGCGGAATTCGGGTTGAATCCTGCCCCCCTGTACCTCGGAATGTACTCTTATTTGGAAACAGGGTCACTGCAGATGTAATCAGTCAAGAGAATATCACAGGGTGTGCTCATAGCCAATATAACTGGTGTCCTTATAAAAAGGGGGAGTTGGGCTGGGCATGGTGGTGCACTCCTGTAATCCCATCACTTCGGGAAGCTGAGGTAGGAGGATCGCTTGAGCTAAGGAGTTTGAGACAGCCTGGGCAACATAGTGAGATCCAGTCTCTAGAAATACTTTAAAAATTAGCCAGGTGCTGTGGTGCACGCCTGAGGATCAGGCTACTCAGGTGGCTGAGGCAGAAGAATTGCTTGAGCCCAGGAGGTCCAGGCTTCAGTGAGCCGTGATTGCACCAGTGCACTCCAGCCTGGGCAACAGAACAAGAGACCTTGTCTCAAAAGAATAAAATAAAATAAATAAAAATTAAAAAAACAAGGCCAGGCGTGGTGGTTCACGTCTGCGATCTCATAGTTGGAAAGTTCAGGCAGGCGGTTTGCTTGAGGTCAGGAGTTTAAGATCAGCCTAGGTAACATAGTGAGACCTTGTCTCTACAAAAATACAAAAATTAGCTAGGCATGGTGGCGCATACCTGTATTATTCCCAGCTACTCGGGAGGCTGTGGTGGGAGGATCACCTGAGCCCAAGTGGTGAGGCTGCGGTGAGCCGGGATTGCACCACTGCACTCTAGCCTGGGCAACAAGGCGAGACCCCGTTTAAAAAACAAATACATGAGGTCCGGGCATGGTGGCTCATGCCTGTAATCCCAGCACTTTGGGAGGCCGAGGTGGGCAGATCACCTAAGGTCAGGAGTTCGACACCAGCCTGGCCAACATGGTGAAACCCCTGTCTTTACTAAAAATACAAAAATTTGCTGGGTGTGGTGGCGCATGCCTGTAATCTCAGCTACTCAGGAGGCTGAGACAGGAGAATCGCTTGAACCTGGGAGGTTGCAGTGAGCTGAGATCATGCCACTGCGCTTCAGCCTGGGTGACAGAGCGAGACTCTATCTCAAAACAAAAACAAAAAAAACCACCAAATACATAAATAAAATAAAATGAAAAATTAAAAATCAATTTTAAACACGTATGTTCCTTAACCCAAGATCCCTCTGCTGGGGTCTTTGCCCTGCAGGAATCCTTGCCTGTACAGTCACAGATGAACTTACAAGCATCGGTTAAGGCCAAAAACAAACAAACAAACAAACAAAAAAACCCTGGGTGTCCCCATGGGCACTGGGATACATGAACAGTCTGTGGGCTGCACCAGGCGGAGACAGAAGGCTCCAGGCTTTGCTTTAACAAGAAGAGAAAAGCCAAGTGCAGAATTCAGGCTGGGGGAAGTCTATTACCGTAATTCCCGTTCTCTTGTAAGGCGTGAACCGAGAAAGACCGCCCATGTCTGCATGAGGACCTTGGACCCTCAGATAAAATGCTAAAGCAAGAAGGCCCAGCTCTTGACAGGAGACACAGATAACAGTGGCGCTTCTCCATGGTGAGAGTGCCTGGGCAGGGAGGGCCCTGCAAGGCAACTGGTTACAAATGACGTAACGTGCTAAGCCCCGGGGGACAGGGACTGTTTGTGATGGGCATCCCCTGGCCCAGTCCTGCCATAGGCTTAACAAGTAGTATTTAAATTTATTTATTTATTTATTTACTTATTTATTTTTGAGATACAGTCTCGCTCTGTCTGCCCAGGCTGGAGTGCAGTGGTGTGATCCTGGCTCACTGCAACCTCTGACTCCCAGGTTCAAGTGATTGTCCTGCTTTAGCCTTCCAAGTAGCTGGGACTACAGGTGCCCACCACCACACCTGGCTAATTTTTGTATTTTTTCATAGAGACAGGGTTTCACCATGTTGGTGAAGGTGGTCTTGAACTCCTGACCTCAAGTGATCCATCCACTGAAGCCTCTCAAAGTGCTGGGAATACAGGCGTGAACCATCGTCCCCAGCCTAATTTTTTTTTTTTTTCTTAATTTCAGAGACAGGATCCCACTTTGTTGCTCACGCTGGTCTCAAACTCCTGGCTTTAAGCAATCCTCCTGACTTGGCATCCCCATGTGCTGGGATTACAGGCACCTTGTAATCTGCCAGTTTGTCCCCATGGCCATGTGAGATGACAGCTGCTATGACCCTCACTTTAGAGGTGCAGAAAATGAGGCTCAGAGAGGTCCAATCACCTGCCTGTGGTCACCCAGCAGGCCCAGGTCCACCCTTAGGCTGAATCCTCCACAACAACACTTCCTTCAGTCTAGTAGGCTGAATCTTGTGTTTTGTTTGTTTGTTTGTTTGTTTCTTTGTTTGTTTGAGACAGAGTCTTGCTCTGTCACCCAGGCTGGAGTGCAGTGGCACAATCTTGGCTCACTGCAACATCCACCTCCTGGGTTCAAGCGATTCTCCTGCCTCAGCCTCCCAAGTAGCTAGAATTACAGGGGTGCACCACCATCCCCGGCTATGAATTTCCTCCTGAAGCCTGCAAAGGGCCACTATCTGCTCTGTAGAAAGTGTTTTGTAACGTAGTCAAGGCTGTCTGAGCATAAAAGCACTCTGGCCCCTTAGCCCACGACCATGCACTACTGCCTGGCAGAGGGGGTGGGGGGATGCCAGGGCTGTGATGGCCAGAGGAGGCGGTGTCCTCCTGGTGTCCCTGTGGGAAGTGCCTCATGCATGGCACTGTCTGCAGTATGAGCTACCCAGGTGTCCCTGTCACCTGCTCTGGTCCAGCTGTTCCAGTGCCTCAAGGTCCCTTACAGGCCAAAAGCCAAAAGGTCAGAGGCAGAAGAGTCCCCGAGTGAGAATTTGGGATTGTGGGGGCACACCTGCTTCCCAATCTCACAGCTAAGCAGCTGCACCAACCAAGTCATGGGGTGGATCTTAAGAGGCCAAGCTGGAGAGGGACCTAACCTAGCCAAGGTCTGGCTCCCACCCGCTCTCCCATGTCTCTTCTCCCACCACGGCTAGGGAGCCTGTGAGCACCTGAGTCAGTCCTGACTCTCCTGCGCTCAGAACTGTCCATGGCTCCCACCTCACTCACAGCAAAAGCCAATGTCCTCCCTGAGGCCCCACAAGGCCCTGCACAACCTGCTCTATCACCTCCTCCCACTCCCCTCACTCACTCCATCCAGCCACAGGGTCTTCCTCTGACATGCCCGGCCCAGTCCTGCCCCAGGGCCTTTGCACTGGCCGGGCTTAATCCCACACGGCTCCTGCCCTGCCCTCACCTGCTTCAGGTCTTCGCCTGACACTCAACTTCTTTTTTTTTTTTTTTTTTTGAGACGGAGTCTTACTCTGTTGCCCAGGCTGATATGCAGTGACACGTTCTCAGCTCACTGCAACCTCTGCCTCTTGGCTTCAAGCGATTCTCTTGCCTCAGTCTCCCGAGTAGCTGGGATTACAGGCGCCTGCCACCACACCTGGCTAATTTTTGTATTTTCAGTAGAGACAGGGGTTTCACCATGTTGGCCAGGCTGGTCTTGAACTCCGGACCTCAAGTGATCCTCCCGCCTCGGCCTCCCAAAATGTTGGGATTACAGGCGTAAGCCACCACCCCTGGCCAACACTCATCTTTTTTTTTTGGAGACGGAGTCTTGCCCTATCACCCAGGCTGGAGTGCAATGGCACGATCTCGGCTCACTGCAACCTCAACCTCCTGGGTTCAAGCAATTCTCTTGCCTCAGTCTCCCAAGTAGCTGGGATTACAGGCATGTGCCACCATGCCTGGATAATTTTGCAATTTTTTTTTTTTTTTTTTTGAGACAGTCTTGCTCGATCACCCAGGCTGGAGTGCAGTGGCGTGATCTCAGCTCACTGCAAGCTCCGCCTCCTGGGTTCATGTCATTCTCCTGCCTCAGCCTCCTGTGTAGCTGGGACTACAGGTGCCCACCACCGCGCCCGGCTAATTTTTTTGTACGTTGAGTAGAGACAGGGTTTCACCGTGGTCTCAATCTCCTGACCTGGTGATCCACCCACCTCAGCCTCCCAAAGTGCTAGGATTACAGGCGTGAGCCACCGTGCCTGGCCTTTTTTCTTTTTTTTAAACAGAGTCTCACTCTGATGCCCAGGCTGGAGTGAAGTTGCGCAATCTCGACTCACTGAAAGCTCCACCTCCTGGGTTCACGCCATTCTCCTGCCTCAGCCTCCCAAGTAGCTGGGACCACAGGCGCCCACCACCACGCCTGGCTAGTTTTTTGTATTTTTTTTTTGGTAGTGATGGGGTTTCACCACGTTAGCCAGGATGGTCTCGATCTCCTGACATGATCCGCTCGCCTCGGCCTCCCAAAAGTACGGGGATTACAGGTGTGAGCCACCATGCCCAGCCTAATTTTGCAATTTCAGTAGAGACGGGGTTTCACCATGTTGATCAGGCTGGTCTCGAACTCCCGACCTCAGGTGATCCACCCACCTTGGCCTCCCAAAGTGCTGGGATTACAGACGTGAACCACCGCTCCTGGCCGGCCAATGCTCACCTTCTAAAGGAGGCTGTTCCCGACAACTCCCACACTAGCACCACTTTCATATTTTGACATTTAACACACTATACATTTTCTTTCTTGTTTTTTGTCCCATTCGTCCCACTTCCCCCCATTCTGAGCACTCCAGGGGCAGGGACGGACACCTGTCCCCTCCACTGGGGCGAATGCCATGCTTAGGATGGAGCCTGGCACGCAGAAGGCTTGCAGCAAGTGTCTGCTGAATCAATGAGTGGACGAGTGATGAGTGGTGCCCAGCCTAGGGGGCCCTGTGGCTGATGGAAGGCAGGGGCCAGGGTGGTGGTGGTGGTGGGTGCCGGGGTACATACTGCAGCAGGGCTTTGGTTTTGCGGGTGGGGTCGTCGGGCCGAAAGTTCTTGTACTCCTCCACCTCCTTCTCCAGGGACAGCAGCTGGCTCTGTAGTTTGCTACGTAGGGCCGGCAGCGACTCCCGGATGTGGTTGGTCAGTTGCTGCAGGAGAGAGGTCAGAGATCAGAAAGGGTGGCATGGGCAGGATACCAGGGAGTGGCAGACACACTCCCCCCAACCAAGGGCCAACACCAGGGTGCCACTATGCGGCCACCACACCACACAGCCTTGAGAGACAGCAACAGATAAATCAAGCCACAGACACACTCATGTCTGGGAACGGAGACGGCACGGAGCTGCCCATGAGTGTAAGAGGCTACAAACAGCCCACGGGGCCGACATCAGGCACTGGGCCTATCCACGCCTTGGAGGACAAGCAACAGCTTGCAAGGACAGTCCATCCAGACCACGGAAACGGGGGCCAATGAACACACATGGGGACAGGCCCTACAAACTAAGATGGAAAGATCGCCCCTGAAAAGGTGGAGAATGCACTCAAGATGAGCTCCCCGGCTGCATCTGCATCTACAGAGAAAAGCAAGGAAGATTCAAAATAGACAAATGTGGGCCAGGCATGGTGGTACACACCTGCAATCCCAGCACTTTGGGAGACTGAGGCAGAAGGATCACTTAAGATCAAGAGATCGAGACCAGCCTGGCCAACACAATGAAACCCTGTTTCTACCAAAAAATACAAAAATTATCTCGGTGTGGTGGTGGGTGCCTGTAGTCTCAGCTACTTGGGAGGCTGAGAAAGAACTCGGGAGGTGGAGGTTGCAGTGGGCCGAGATCACACAATGGCACTCCAGCCTGGGTGACAGAGCAAGACTCTGTCTCAAAAAAAAAGAAAAAGAAAAACAAAGCCATAAAATCAGCCTATACTTGCAAAGTGTAAAGCAGAGTTTGGCCATCTGTCCTACAACAGAGAAAGCTGGGTGCAGTGGCTCACGCCTGTAATCCTAGCACTTGGGGAGGTTGAGACAGATCACTAGAGGATAGGCGTTTGAGACCAGCCCAGGCAATATGGTGAGACCTTCTCTCTACAAAAGATAAAAAAAGTTTTAAAAATTAGCTAGGTGTGGCAGCACACACCTGTAGTCCCAGCTACTCAGGAGGCTAAGGCAAAAGGATCGCTTGAGTACAGGAGGCTGAGGATGCAATGAGCCGTGTTTGTGTCACTGCAATCCATTCTGGACAACAGAGTAAGACCTTGTCTGAAAAATCAAAAAGGCTGGGCATGGGCCGGGGGCAGTGGCTCACACTGTAATTCCAGCACTTTGGGAGGCCAAGGCAGGCAGATCATGAGGTCAAGAGATCAAGACCATCCCAGCTAACACGGTGAAACCCCGTCTCTACTAAAAATACAAAAAAAAAAAAAAAATTAGCCGGGTGTGGTGATGGGTGCCTATAGTCCCAGCTACTCGGGAGGCTGAGGCAGGAGAATGGTGTGAACCCGGGAGACGGAGCTTACAGTGAGCCGAGATTGTGCCACTGTACTCCAGCCTGGGCAACAGAGCGAGACTCCATCTGGGGTTGAGGGGAAGGCCGGGATGGGTACAGTGGCTCACGCCTGTAATCCCAGCACTTTGGGAGGCTAAGGCGGGCAGATCACCTGAGATTAGGAGACAAGCCTGGCCAACATGGTGAAACCCTGTCTCTGCTAAAAATACAAAAGTTAGTTGAGTGTGGTGGCGCACGCCTGTAATCCCAGCTACTTGGGAGGCTGAGGCATGAGAATCACTTGAACCTGGGAGGTGGAGGCTGGAGTGAGCTGAGATCATGCCACTGCACTCCAGCCCGGGCAACAGAGTGAGGCTCTGTCTCAAAAAAAAAAAAAAAAAAAAAATCATCAAAAAAATAAAAAATAAATACAAAGTGTCTGGCGAGCTAGAAAAGAGGCATGAAGGAACCTCACATCTATGGCATGGAGCAAGTGGGGTAACCCAAAGACCTCCGTGACCAAGGGTCCCTGCCCTGCAGCCCTGGCCATCGACCCCCGTCTATGTGGGCTGCCTAGAAAGGCAGGGAGCTACGCTGGCCTTCCCTTGGTCTGTGACAGGATACTAGGGCACTTAAGTCATGAGCAAATGGAGAGGAAGGGGCGCTGCTGCTCTGGGAAGCACCCCACGTGGAAGGAGGCTGAGCCCCCTCCAGGCTCCCTGGAGGCCAGCTGGACTTTTCACTGCTGGCTCTCAGGAGGCCCCAGCCAGCTGCGGAGTTTTACTTCCCTTCCTCTCCCTACTCCCGTTTGTAAGCACCCCAGCTTCCTCTCCTGGAGGGCCCCTCCCTCTAGACACTGACTTCCCTCTTTGCTCTCCTGAGCTGCCTTCTCTGGGTGGCTCTTTTCCCGGCCCCCGCGCCCCTACTGGATTCTTGATCGTGCATTTATCTGGCGGTTTGTTGGGTGTCAGTCTCCCCCATTAGAATTATGCCTTCTACAAGGACAGGAACCTACTCTCGTGTGGACACTGTGTCCCCCTGATATGTGCATGAAAAGATGACTGCTGGAGTGCTGCTGAGGCCCTGCTGCCACCCTGGAAGGTGCTAGAAAACAGCGAGGAGGAGCGTCTTGCCCCTGCTACCACACACTGGCCCACTGTATAGCTTTTAATACCATTTCTGTTTATGCACCATGTGAATCAATTACTTACAAGAAGAGAACGATAGGCCAGGCATGGTGGCTCATGCTTGTAATCTCAGCACTTCAGGAGGCTGACACAGGCGGATCACTCGAGCTCAGAATTTGAGACCAGCCTGGCCAACATGGTGAAACTCCATCTCTACTAAAAATACAAAAATTAGCCAGGTGTGGTGGCACACGCCTGTAATCCCAGCTACTCAGGAAGCTGAGGCAGGAGAATCACTCGAACCTGGGACGTGGAGGTTGCAGTGAGCCAAGATCATGCCACTGCACTCTAGCCTAGGTGACAGAGTGAGACTGTGTCTCCAAAAATAAAAAATAATAATAATAATAATAATAATAATAATAAATAAAAAAGAGTTATTAACCCCCTGTCACCAACCCCAGGCAATGCATACAGTCTTCTGGGTAAATGACTGAATAATTACAATGATAATTAAAATTTTGGTAATAATAACAGTGATGGTTGTAATAGTAGCAGCACCAAGTCACTGAACATCTGCTCTTCACCAGACCCTGAATCAAGTACATTTCTTTTATTTAGTTATTTAAGTTTTTGAAACAGGGTCTCACTCTATTGCCCAGGCTGGAGTGCAGTGGCATGAACATGGCTCACTGAAGCCTTGATTTTCCAGGCTCAAGTGATCCTCCTGCCTCAGCCTCCTGAGTACCTGGGACTACAGGCATGTGCCACCATGCTTAGCTAATTTTTTCTATTTTTCCTAGAGATGGGGTCTCCATATGTTGCCCAGACTGGTCTCAAACTCCTAGGCTAAATGTGGACTGAACCCATTTTGCTAAAACAAGTGCTGCTCTAGCCTGAAACAAGTGCCAGTGAGGATTGCAGCTGTTGTGCAGTGCACAGCCTATGCCACTGCACACTACGTGCAAACCCTTGCAGTACCTGATTCAGCGTCTTCTGCAGATGTGGCGTGCCCATGCGGTCGGCCATGTGCCGGTAGGCCGGGTGGGAGAGGAAGAACTTCCTCTCAGCTGCCAGTGCTGCACGGATGTCCTTCTTGCCCTCAATATCCTTCTGGCTGCGGTTCACCACGCCAATGTAGCCTGTGGGGAGAGGCAGTCAGGTCAGGGGCAAAGCTAGGTGAGCCAAGTGGACCTGGCACGGGGATGGGCAAGATTCAAGTATAGAGATGGATCCTGTCCCACGAGGCACTCACAGCTGTCATAACATGTTACTCAGAAACAACACAGAGGGTGCGAATGCACATGGCAGCTGCGAAGAGCAACATTAAGTATTTGGAGGAAGGAGAGCTCACATCCAGCCTGTGTGCGCAGGGACAGAAAAAAGCTTTGGGGCAGATGAAATCTACAAGCTGAGATTCAAAGATAGGTGAGAAAAAAATCTCGGCCGGGAGCGGTGGCTCACGCCTGTAATCCCATCACTTTGGGAGGCTGAGGTGGGTAGATCACAAGGTAAGGAGCTCGAGGCCACCCTGGCCAGCATGGTGAAACCCCGCCTCTACTAAAAATACAAAAAATTAGCCGTGCATGGTGGCGCGTGACTATAGTCCCAGGTACTCGGGAGGCTGAGGCAGGAGAACCGCTTGAACCCGGCAGGCGGAGGTTGCAGTGAGCCAAGATCATGCAACTACACTTCAGCCTGGGCGACAGATCAAGACTCTGAATAAAAAGAAAGAGAAAAAGAAAAAGAAAAAGAAAAAAAATCTCAAGGCCAGGTGCGGTGGCTCACGCCTGTAATTCCAACACTTTGGGAGGCCGAGGCGGGTGGAACGCTTGAGCCCAAGAGTTCCAGACCAGCCTGGGTAACATGGCAAAACCCCATCTCTACAAAAATATACAAAAATTAGCGAGGCGTGGTAGCACACGTGTATAGTCCCAGCTACCTGGGAGGCTGAGATGGGAGGATCACCTGAGCCTGGGAGTTCGAGGTTGCAGCAAGCTGTAATCACCCCACTGCACTCCAGCCCGGGCAACAGAGCGAGGCCTTGTCTCACAAGAAAAAAAAGAAATAACATCTTAAAAACAAGAGCAATAGGGAAGAGCTAAAATCCACTATCAAACGAGTATATTTTAAACAGTTGGGTACATCAGGGTATTCATGTCCAGAGAGATCAATGGAACTGAAAAGAAAGTCCAAAACTACACCGAGAAGGAGGTAGAACTGAAAGTTAACGCTTCAGTATATGGGGGAGAAAAGCTGGATAATTCAATACACACTGTTGCAAAGAATCCAAGTGGAATGCCTACCATTGCACTCCTGGCTAGGTTTTTGTTTTGTGGGGTTTTTTGTTTTGAGACAGAGTTTCACTCTTGCTGCCCAGGCTGAAGTGCAGTGGTGCAACCTCAGCTCACTGCAACCTCCACCTCCTGAGCATCTGGGATTACAGGCGTGCGTCACCACGCCTGGCTAATTTTTGTTTTTTTAGTAGAGACGGGGTTTCACCATGTTGGCCATGCTGGTCTCGAACTCCTGACCTCATGATCTGCCCGCCATGGCCTCCCAAAGTGCTGGAATTACAGGCGTGAGCCACAGTGCCTGGCCTGTGCTCCCTTTTCTTTGTAGTGGGGTTGTGCATGTTTCTCTTGAGAAGCAAGGGAGAGGTGCCGGTCATCTATCCTGTAGGGTCTTGTGGGATGTGACTGCTCTTCATCCTCGCCAGATCTCTCTTGGATCCAAGAGGGAGGAGGGAAACGAAGACATGCCAAGGTGAGGTCACAGTAGGAGACCCAAGATCTGAACCTAGATCCCTGTGAAGCCAGAGTCACCATCACCTGTGTGACAGCACAAAGAAGGAAACAGCAGGGGCCAGTAAAAAGCATCTGGCTTGGATTTGGCTTGATTTACTTAATTAAGAGATGGAGTCTCGCTCTGCTGCCCATTCTGCATTGCAGTGGCACAATCATAGCTTACTACAGCTTTGAACTCCTGGGCTCAAGCCATCCTCCGGACTCAGCCTCCTGAGTAGCTGGGAGTACAGGCACGTGCACCATCACACACGGATTTTTTTTTTTTTTTTTTTTTTTAAAGACAGAGTCTCACTCTGTCACCCAGGCTGGAGTACAGTGGTGCAATCTCAGCTCACTACAACCTCTGCCTCCTGGGTTCAAGCGATTCTCATGTCTCAGCCTCTCGAGTAGCTGGGATTACAGGCATGCACCAACACACCCAGCTAATTCTATTTTTAGTAGAGCTGGGGTTTGATCCACCCGCCTTGGTCTCCCAAAGTGCTGGGATTACAGGCGTGAGCCACTGTGCCCAGCCTGGATAATTTTTTAAGAGAGAGATGGGGTCTTGCTGTGTTGCTCAGGCTGGTCTCAAACTCTGGGCCTCAAGCCATCCTCCCAACTGTGCTTTCCAAAATCCTGGGGTTATAGGCATGAGCCACCACGCCTAGCCTGGGTTCCCGTAAAGGAGGAGGAGTTGTGAGTCATTAGTACGCCAGGAAAAAGGGTCCAGTGGGAGGGCTTCTGAAGCCTGAGGTCACAAAACGGGAGCAGGCCTACAAGTGAGCTGAGAGTGGAAGCGCCTTCGTTCTTAGAAACAGGAAGGAAGGCAGAGAAGGGCAGCTGTGGACATCAGTGAGTCAGGAGGAAGGGGAAGAGGCCCATATCACCAAATCCTCAGCCTGGCTAGTGCCCACAGACCCCAAAGGCCCTTAGGATCCAAGATGGAGGCCTAACAGTGTCCAAGGGCAGCCGGGTCGGGGTGGCTGTAGTAGGGCGTGGGGTTGGGTAGGGTCTGCTTTCCTCTCTAGCACCAGCAAATCCTCCCCAAACCTCAGCCAGCCACAGATTTGCTTCTCAGCCCCGGATCTTCACAGCTAAACAGGGTTTTGAATTTAGCCCTGACAGCATTCCCCTGGGATCCGGGGTCGCCTCACCACTCAATATCTCAGCAGTGCTGGGGGATGCTGGCAACCAAGGTCTGAACTTTTCCCCACATCTATCTCAGACATCGAGGTGGAAAACCCAGGAGTAAAAGAAATGCTCTAAATGACTGCGGCTAAGCATGAAGGGAAAGGCAGGAGGTGCCCGCAGCTTAGAGTAGATGCCAGAGGGGAGGAATGGCTTTAAAAAAACACAAAAGAAGGCTGGGCACGGTGGCTCATGCCTTTAATCCCAGCATTTTGGGAGGCTGAGGCGGGTGGATCACATGAGGTCAGGAGTTCAAGACCAGCCTAGCCAACATGGTGAAACCCCATCTCTACTAAAAACACAAAAATCAGCTGTGTGTGGTGGCGAGTGCCTGTAATCCCAGCTACTCAGGAGGCAGAGGTTGCAGTCAGCTGAGATTGTGCCCCTGCACTCCAGCCTGGGCAACAAGAATGAAACTCTGTCTGAAAAAAATAAAACAAAACAAAATAAAACCTAGCCAGGAGCAATCGCACATGCCTGTAATCCCAAATACTTGGGAGGCTGAGCTCGGAGGATCACTTGAGCCTGGGAGTTTAAGGCTACAGTGAGCTATGATTGTCCCAGTGCACTCCAGCCTAGGTGACAGAATAAGACATCGTCAAAAAAAAAAAAAAAAAAAAAAAAAGAAAGAAAGAAAGAAAGAAAGAAAGAAAAAAACTTATAACAGCAAGAGTGAACCCTGATGTCAACCATGGATGTGGGGTGGGGTGGTGACAATGGGTCAACGCAGGCTCATCAGTTCTAGCAAATGCACCGCTCTGCTGGGCACGTTGAAAGTGGGAGAGGTTACAGATGTGTGGGCTATAGGGCTGATAGGAAATCTCTGTATCTCCCTCTCAGTTTGGCTATGAACCTAAAACTGCTGCTCCGATAAAATAAAATGCTTGAAAAATTTTTCTTTTTTTTTTTTTTTGAGACAGACCCTTGCTCTGTGGCCCAGGCTGGAGTGAAGTGGCGCCATCTCAGCTCGCTGCAACCTCCACCTCCTGGGTTCAAGCGATTCTCCTGCCTCAGCCTCCCGAGTAGCTGGGACTACAAGTGTGTGCCACCACGCCTGGCTAATTTTTTGTATTTTTAGTACAGACAACATTTCACTGTGTTAGCAAGGATGGTCTTGATCTCCTGACCTTGTGATCCGCCTGCCTTGGCCTCCCAAAGTGCTGGGATTACAGGTGTGAGTCACCATGCCCGACCCAAAATATTTAAAATATTTTTAAAATAAAATAAAAAATACTTAGGTTACTCCTATCAGAAGATCTGTACCTGAACTTGAACCTGAACCTGATCTAATTACCAGCTAACAGAGAACAATAATTGGCCAAATCCCAAATGTGGGATGTGGTCTGGTTTCTTCCACAAATGAATGGTATAGAAAAAAACAAATGGGATGGCAAGGGGAAGTATTTGAAAAGAAATGTGGGTATTTATGTGTAAAATGCTACAATGCCTAGGATTTATAGAATTTTTTTTTTTTTAGAGGCAAGATCTTGCTCTGTTGTGCAGGCTAGAGTGTAGTAGTGTGATCATAGCTCACTGCAGCTTCGAACTCCTGGGCTCAAGCAATCTTCCCACCTCAGCCTCTTAAGTAGGTGGGACTATAGGTGTATGCCACCATGCCCAGCTAACTTTTTAATCTTTAGTAGAGACAGGGACTTGATATGTTGCCCAGGCTAGTCTTGAACTCCCAGCCTCAAGGCATCCTCCTGCCTCAGCCTCCCAAAGCACTGAGATTACAGGCGTGAGCCACCTCGCCCAGCCAGTGCCTAGGATTTGTGTTAAAATCTTCCAGGAAGATGGCCGGGTGCGGTGGCTCACACCTGTAATCCCAGCACTTTGGGAGGCCGAGGCGGGTGGATCACGAGGTCAGCAGTTCGAGACCAGCCTGGCCAACATGGTGAAACCCTGTCTCAATTAAAAATACAAAAATTAGCCACGCGTGGTGGCTGGCACCTGTAATCCCAGCTACTCGGGAGGCTGAGGCAGGAGAATGGCATGAACCTGGGAGGTGGAGGTTGCAGTGAGCCCAGACTGCACCATTGCACTCCAGCCTGGGCAACAGAGACTCCGTCTCATAAATAAATAAATAAATAAATAAATAAATAAATAAAATGAAAAAATAAAATATTCCAGGAAGAAAATAATAATAATAACCACCGAAGCTGGGGAAGCCATCCACGAGGATTCTTTGAACTTTTTTCCACACTTTTGGGAATGTTTGAAAATGCTCATAATAGGCCGGGTGCGGTGGCTCATGGCTGTAATCCCAGCACTTTGGGAGGCCAAGGCAAGTGGATCACCTGAAGTCAGGAGTTTGAGACCAGCTTGGCCAACACAGTGAAACCCCGTCTCTAGTAAAAATACAAAAACTAGCTGGGCGTGGTGGTGCCCACTTGTAATCCCAGCTACTCAGGAAGCTGGGGCAGGAGAATCAGTTGAACCTGGGAGGCGGAGGTTGCAGTGAGCTGAGATTGTGCCACTGTACTATAGCTTGGGTGACAAGAGCAAAAACTCCGTCTCAAAAAACAAAAAGGAAAAGGAAAAGGGAAGGGAAGGCTCATAATAGAAAGTAATAAAAAAATTAATTAAAGTTATAAACCCTGGGGAGCTGGGAGCTGCAGATTCACCAGTGGCTGTCTGGGGGAAGTGTGGCTGCGGGTGAGTTTAGTTTCCTCTTTCTATACACTTGTTTTCTAATGTTTCAGAAACCAGCAGGTGTTAATTGTGCACTTGAAAAACGAATGCATACAAATCAGAAGAAAAAGATACATAGCTCAAAGGGAAAAGAAAGAAGGAGTTACGGTGAAATGGAGAAGCAATGACTTCCAGGCAGGCAGGGAACAGGTGCTGGGGTTTCAGTAATGATAAGGACCCCACCCATCCTCCTGCTTCCCCAGCACCCCCAAAGCCACACCTCTTCTCAACGGGAGCAACTTGTTCTCCAAGACGTCCCTGGCGTCGGTGCCCTCGTCCATCAGGTCAAGCTTGGTGATGACACCGATGGTCCGTAGGCCTGAAAGAGCCCAGAGGTCAGAGGTCAGAGGCTGCCACCAGGAAAGAGCATCAGCTGGCAGCTGCAAGCCACCTGGGGTCCAGTTGGCCCTGAAACTTCCAGGTCACATCACCTGGGAAAGCCAGAACGTCACAGGCCTGGACCCCAGTTTCCGACATGTCGAATGAAGATGGTCACAGCCCTGATCTCACAGGGTGGTCATAAGGGTGAGCCTGGCACACGGCAAATACTCAACAAATGCTGGCCGTTATTGTCATTTGTGTTATTAAGGACAACCTCTGCTGCTGCAGGCTTTGGGAAACCTCACGTAAACATGATTCCTGGGCCAGATTTTGATGCTGGACTTTCCAAGTGCCGGCAAAGTCCCAAGGGAACATTTGAGTTTGACACGACTGTTTCCAGGACTACCTCTTGCCTGAATGGCTAAAATTCCACTCTGGAAACCATCCCATCCAATTCCACCTCTCCACAAGTCATTCCAGAGTCAAGGATGTCTTTCTAGCAAAGTCTCACCTCTGCAGATCAACTGCTCCCACGGGGGCTGAGGGCCTGGCTCTGTGCTAACCGTGTGTGTTATATGTGTGGCATGTGCATGAGACACTGGGGACAGATGGAAGCCAGAGTGAAGATCTCTGGTGGGTGCCAATTTGGGCATCAAGGGGGCCACAGCTGTGCCCTCCCTGGGGCCCCTTCCTGCTCACATTCTGCAGTGAGGGTTCAGTAGAAGGATCTGACTAGAGGGGCCCAGGGGTGTCAACTCGAAGGGAAATAGACGATCTCACCATGCAAAGATCAGAAACAACCCAAAAGTTCAACAGTCCTCACATCAGCTATCTGGGTTAGGACTGAAGTTCCCGTTCTGACTAAGAGGGGACCATGTCTCAGGGAGCAGAGTAACAGCTAGATGGGACCTAAGATCGCATCTGGGCGATGGAGCGCTGGGCCCTTCCTTCAGCCCTAGGCTAGCTTCCCACTCTGGCAACATGGGCACTGCCATGTCCAAGGAGGACCGTCCAACTGCCACACAGTGACTTCCCAGGGGATGCCCACCAGCACTGCTGGTTCTCGGAGGAAGTGCCATGTTCCAGGAGGCCTTTTCCTACAGCGGCCATGGATTAAAGAGAACGCCAGTGACTTGGAACCAAGGATGCTGGGCACATCCCATGCTCAGAGGCACCTGGAAGAGGGGACTGCCCTAGGCTCAGGGTTACCTTGGGGATCGACTTCCTTGGCCAGCTTGAGGGCGTCGGAGTTGGCCAGGTCCATGTTGGCGGGCGTGACAGCCAGAATGAGGCTGCTCTCCCGGCTGATGAACTGCAGGATCATGTCCTTGATCTGGTACTCGATGTCTGGAGGCTGGTCGCCCACAGGCACCTTGGTGATACCCGGGAGGTCGATGAGGGTCAAGTTCAACACTGGGAGGGAAACCAGAAGGAAAGGCATTCAGAGCCAGGAGAGGGGAGGCACAAACAGGCCCGCAGCCACCCAGCTGACTACCAAAGTTCCTGCGCGGGGCTCAGACTTGAGGATGTCGCCTGACACTCTGCCTGAACCACACCTTTGATCCAGTAACTCCCCTTCTAGGATCCCATCCTACAGATACCTTCTACCTACTCCATTTCAATGGCACAGTTCTAAATCAGGACAGTTCAGACTGGAATAGACCTAAATGACTGAATAAATTTCAGCCCATCCATTCAGCCAATACCAAAGAACCATTACAGACAAACAGATGAGGCTGGGTGCGGTGGCTCACATCTGCAATCCCAGCACTTTGGGAGGCCGAGGTGGGTGGATCACTTGAGGCCAGGAGTTCTAGACCAGCCTAGCCAACATGGCAAAACCCCATCTGTACTAAGTATACAAAAATTAGCTGGGCGTGGTAGCACACACTTGTACTCCCAGCTACTCTGGAGGCTGAGGCATGAGAAACACTTGAACCCAGAAGGTGGAGGTTGCAGTGAGCTGAGATCATACCACTGCACTCCAGCCTGGGCGACAGAGCAAGACTGTCTCAAAAAAACAAAAACAAAAGACAAATGGATGAGGCCAGGCGCGGTGACTCATGCCTGTCATCCCAGCACTTTGGGAGGCCATGATGGGTAGATCACTTGAGCTCAGGAGTTCGAAACCAGCCTGGGCAAGATGGCGAAACCCTACCTCTACCAAAAATATAAAAAATTAGCCTGGCATGATGGTGTGCATCTGTTGTCCTAACTACTCAGGAGACTAAGGCGGGAGGATCGCCTGAGCCCAGGAGAAGAAGTGAGCCAAGATCTCACCACTGTACTCCAGCTTGGCCAACAGTGTTAAACCCTGTCTCAAAAAAAAAAAAAAATAAATATATAATAAAGAAACATTCTGAGAGGCATACAAAAAAAAAAAAAAAGCATAGGCCAACGCAGTGGCTCACACCTGTAATGCCAGCACTTTGGGAGGCCAAGGCAGGCGATCACCTGAGGTCGGGAGTTCGAGACCAGCCTGACCAACACGGACAAACCCCGTCTCTACTAAAAATACAAAATTAGCCGGGTGAGGTGGCGCATGCCTGTAATCCCAGCTACTCAGGGGGCTGAGGCAGGAGAATCACTTGAACCCGGGAGGTGGAGGTTGCGGTAAGCCAAGATTGCACCATTGCACTCCAGCCTGGGCAATAAGAGTGAAACTCCATCTCAAAAAAAGCATAAGTGATTTTTATGTTATGCTAACAATTTAAGGAAAAGGAGTGATAAACACATACACAACATATACATAGATACAATCACAATTGCTTACATGTTTTTTGCTTACACATTTTTTTTAAGATAGAGGGTCTTGCTATGTTACCCAGGTGAAGTGCAGTAGCTATTCACAGATGTGATCATAGCTCACTGCAACCTCGACTTCCTGGGCCCAAGTGACCCTCCTGACTCAGCCTTTCAGGCAGCTTGAATGACAGGTGTGTGAAACCACACCCAGCTCATGTTTGCATTGTCATCTGAAGAACCTAAAATATGTGTGCAAAACTGGTTGACAAGGTAGGTTTTTGCGATATACCTTTCTGTAATTTTTGAATTCTGAGCCACATGCAGGTGTCATTTATTGAAAAACAAATTTAAAACTTATCGCAAGGAACCCATCATGGTAGCAATCTGTGCCTCTGGGCCAGAGGATGTCTATGGCCCCGGGCTGCTGTTTGAATGCAGAGTTTTAAAATCAGGATATTTGGCTGGGCAAGGTGGCTAAAACCTGTAATCCCAGCACTTTGGGAGGGGGATGCAGGCGATCACCTGAGGTTAGGAGTTCGAGACCAGCCTGGCCAACATGGTGAAACCCCATCTCTACTAAAAATACAAAAAAGTAGCTGAATGGGCTGGGCGTGGTGGCTCACGCCTGTAATCCTAGCACTTTGGGAGTCTGAGGTGGGTGGATTGCCTGAGCTCAGGAGTTCGAGACCAGCCTGTGCAACATGGTGAAACCCCGTCTCTACTAAAAATAAAAAAAATAAAAAATAAAAAAAAAATTAGCCAGGCAGGGTGGTACACACCTGTAATCCCAGCTACTCGGGAGGCTGAGGCCAGAGAATTGCTTGAACCCGGGAGGTGAAGGTTGCATTGAGTGGAGATTGCGCCACTACACTCCAGCCTGGGCAACAGAGCGAGACTCTGTCTCAAAAAAAAAAAAAAAAATTTGGCCGGGCGCGGCGGCTCACGTCTGTAATCCCAGCATTTTGGGAGGCCAAAGTGGGCAGATCACAAGGTCGGGAGTTTGAGACAAGCCTGGCCAATATGGTGAAATCCCATCTCTACTAAAAATACAAAAAATTTGCCAGGCGTGGCGGCAGTTGCCTCTAGTCCTAGCTACTTGGGAGGCTGAGGCAGGAGAATAGCTTGAACCTGGGAGGCGGAGACTGCAGTGAGCTGAGATCACACCACTGTACTCCAGTCTGGGCGACAGAGCGAGACTCCATCTCAAAAAAAAAAAAAAAAAAATTAGCTGGGTGTAGTGGTGCATGCCTGTAATCCCAGCTACTTGGGCGGCTGAGGCACAATAATTGCTTGAACCTGGGAGGTGGAGGTTGCAGCGAGCAGAGATCACACCACTGAACCCCAGACTGGGCAACAGAGCAAGACTCTGTCTCAAAAAAAAAAAAAAAAAACCCAGGATATTTTACAGAAGACTGGTTCTGGCCTCTCTTGAGGCACCAGCAGATCTGGCTGCCTTGAGCCAAGTGGTGGCTGCCCTTGGTAAAAGGGGGAAATGGCTGCAATCCCCCACCACTCCAAACAACTTCTTGGCATGCTCTTTCTTCAAGCTGAGACAGAGGTCTGGGTACTACATACCTAGCACAAGTGGGAAGATACAGATCAAGGGGCTATGTGTGTGTGAATATCAACTGTTTGTGAATGGGCACATGATACCCATGAGTGGAAGTACACAGGCTCACCCATAGCACTGTCCATGAACGACCAGAAACGGTCAGTGATGGGTCCCCACCCGTGCTGCCTACCGTGTGGCGAGTAGACTCGAAGGTTGATGGGCACTGGGGAGATGCCTTTGTTGGTCCCCGTGACCCTGTCGGTCTCTGCTTCAATCTCCTGCCGGACTTCATCAAAGTCTGTAAACTTTTTGGACTTGCAGTGCAAAAACTCGGCATGTTCTAGAAAGGGAAGAGAGATGCTGAAAATGAGAAAGAGCTGTGGGCAGGGTGCGCATGGACTGCGGGGAGAAATGCTTTGTTGAATGAAAGTAATGACCCAGGCTGGGCACAGTAGCTCACGCCTGTAATCCCAGCACTTTGGGAGGCAGAGGTGGGCAGATCACAAGGTCAGGAGATTCAGACCATCCTCACTAACATGGTGAAACCCTGTCTCTACTAAAAATACAAAAAATTAGCCTGGCATGGTGGCACATGCCTGTAGTCTCAGCTACTCAGGAGGCTGAGGCAGGATAATTGCTTGAACCCGGGAGGCGGAGGTTGTAGTGAGCCGAGATTGCGCCACTGCACTCTAGCCTGGGAGACAGAGAAGACTCCATCTCAAAAAAATAAAAAAATAAATAAAATAAAATAAAATAAAATAAAAAAGAAAATAATGACCCAATCATCGTCACTCTAGGAATTTGGGAGTGAAAGATTCGTTCTCATGACAAGGGTCTTGGGGGAGGCGGGGGTTCCTATAGACTGAATAGACTGAGCCTCTTTCCAGATCCTGAAGATTACGTTCCCATGTGGCACTTTGCAAACTGTTAATATACGTCATGACATATTATGAATCCCCCTCCCCCAAAAATAAACAGGTAGACATAACCAATGACCAAAGTTTCTGGGATTACAGGCATATGCCTCCACGCCCAGCCATTTATTTGTTGATTGACTGATGAACAGAAGAGGAAGCACCAGGATACATCACCCAGAGAGGGTGAGTCCATTTGATTAAGGTGATGCTGCAGAGCCTCCCTTGCTGTGGGTCCCAGTCAAGGGAGTTCGATGCCCAAGTCCTTGTGGATTCATGGTCCACCAGCACATTCCAGCTCCACAAAATCCCCAGGGGTATTTCTCATGGCACTCACTTGTCCTTCTTCCCCAAGGAGCCCACAAGGTAGAGGGAAGGGGCACCCCTGCCGCCTCCTCAGAGCTGGTCTTGAGTCTTTCTTTCTCCCCCTGACTATTCAAGAGGGCCCCCTACCTAGAGACAAATCCCCCAGGAGAAATGTTTTCTGGGTATAACCCTGAGTGTATATAAGACCCGGGGGTATCTGAAAGTCACAGCAAGACTGGGATGAAGGGGAACAAAATAAGTAATTGACAAGCAGTGTGGGTCCCACCAGGAAACAAGAGAAATCCAGTCCCGAATCACAGATTGAGGACAAAGCAAATATAAGGCATGTTCATCACGGAAGGTGGCTGCCGAGTACACAGGTGTCCACTGTACAAAGCCTTGACGTTTCCAGATGTTCGAATTTTCAGAGTAAAATGTTGGGGAGGGGATATCCCCAAAGCTCAGAGATCACAGCTACTGTAGTGATGCTAAAAATAAGGGGGAAATGGCTGGGCACAGTGGCTCACGCCTATTATCCAGCACTGTGGGACGCCGAGGAGGGTGGATCACTTGAGCCCAGGAGTTCAAGACCGGCCTGGGTGACACAGTGAGACCCCGTCTCTACAGAAATTTAAAAAATTAGCCAGGCATGTTGGCGCACACCTGTAGTTCCAGCTACTTGGGAGGCTGATATGGTCTGGCTCTGTGTCCCCACCCAAATCTCATCTTGTAGCTCCCATAATTCCCTTGTGTTGTAGCAGGGACCCAGTGGGAGATCAATGAATCATGGGGGTGGGTCTTTCCCGTGCTATTCTCGTGATAGAGAATAAGTCTCACGAGATCTGATGGTTTTAAAAACAGGAGTTTCCCTGCAGAAGCTCTCTCACTCTCTTTGCCAGCTGCCATCCGTATAAGATGTGACTTGCTCCTCCTTGCCTTCTGCCATGATTGTGGGGCTTCCCCAGCCCAGCTGTGTGGAACTGTAACTCCATTAAACCTCTTTCTTTTGTAAATTGCCCGGTCTCAAATACGTCTTTATCAGCAGCATGAAAATGGATTAATATCGGCTGAAGTGGGAGGATCATTTGAGCCAGGAGCTGGAGGTTGCAGTGAGCTATGATCTATGATCACACCACTGCATTCCAGCCTGGCGACAGAGCAAGACACTGTCTCAAAAAGAAAAACAAAGAAAGAAAGGGGTAATAAGTCACACTGGCAAAGAGGTCAGAGACCTGACCCACCCCGGAGATGCGAAGATGCGCACTGCCCTGTCGTTTTTAAGAGTAAAAAAATGAAAATGGCCTCAACGTCCACCAGGAGGAGACCTGGCGACGTGAATAACACAGCCATGCCATAAACTGCCTCAAGCAAAGGCAAAAAGGGAGATGAACACCCAGCCAGGTCTAGAATCTTCAAGGCAGAAAGAAGAGTGTGAGGAGTTTCACCGTCCCATCATGGCAACCGAAGAAACTACGGCACTCTGGCCAGGCCCTGCGTGTGGTCCCGTTGCGCCTCACAAGTCCCTTGACAGGTAGGCATCTCTAAGATCCCCATTTCAAAGATGACAAAACTGAGGCCCAGAGGGGTTAAGGGCCTTGGGCCAAGTTCCGTGATGGAGCTGGGACTTGGAACTCAGAAATTCTGGCTTCAGGTAATGGCTCCTAAGCCAGATAGCCTTTGTGAGGCCACTGGAAGGAACTTCGCCTCTTTGAAATTCTCTGCAGGGTCAGGGGGAGACTCAGTGGGCTCCGATGACTGAGGACCGTGTCCAGCACAGGCACTGGCCACCCAGATCAGGGCAATGAGGACATCTGCTGGAGGATTCAGGATCCCCACCCCCACCCCCAGCCCTGCTATCAGCTGACCCAGTTCCCAAGGACAGTTACACTCCAGCCTTCTGCAGGGACAAGGGGAAACACTCGGCCGCTCTTCCTGTAGCAGCCACTAAAAATGGAACAGCTCCCAACCCCCCACAGCAAATCTCAGTTCTCTTCTGGCTCCAGGACCCCAGCTTAGCCCCAAAAGAGACCATCTCCCTTCAAAGAGTGCAGGGGGACATGGCGTGGAAGATGGGCTGGTGGCAAGGACACAGGCCCTCTCCCTAGCAGGCCTCTGTCCCACCAAGTGTGGTGTCTACAAAGCCCAGCCCTACCTCCTCCTACTCCCAGGTCTGCCTGGCTACCACCTCTCCCAGGAAGACTTCCCTGAGTGGGGCATCTTGGCCTCTTCCTCATCAGAGCCAGCTCACTTTGGATTGTATTGATGGGGCCAGGACCTGCGGCTCCAGCACCCCAGAGCCCAGCATGTACTGGCAGCACGCTGTGTGCAGTAATGAGCTCAGTCTGTAGTCAGAGGGCCTGCCCAGGTCTCAGTCTACTGATCTGTAAAATGCGCATCATAACAGGCTGTATGAGGACTCAGAGTCAATACCTGCACAGGAAGAGCATAGCCAGCACAGCTACGGTCTGAGCAGCTGGTGGGCAGAAGTCCCCAAGGAATGATGTGGCAAAGACAGCACCAGGGGCAGTGGGCGCCATCGTTCCCCCAGCACACACAGGCAGGAGCCCAGAGAGGGCAAGCTACTCTCTCAAGTCACACAGCATCCCCACCTCCTGCAGATCTCTCTCCCCACAGCAGCTGCTCCACCCAGCCCCCTCCTCCCCTGCCTTCGTTTCCCCATAACACTTACTACCATCTGACAAAGGGTGAGAAGAAATCTAATATAGAGAGCTTTACCTTGAATGTCCATGCCACCAGGGAAGGGACGCCCATCTGCCTTGGTCATTGCTGTGTCCCCAAGGGCACACTCACGCATGTTAGGTGAGAAATGGAGGTTCTGCCTGCCCGGCTGCCACAGGCTTCCCCAGCAAGCTGAATCTAGGTGTCTGAGCTGCAAAAGGTTCCCCCGGAACCTCAGGCCATTCCCCAACGCAAGGACCAGGAAACGGGCCCAGGAAGGACCACCTGCCCCACCCAAGTCCGCCCAGTCAGGGGCAGACACGAGATGGGGCTGGAACCAGGCAGCCAGACTCACATGCCAGACTTTGGAGCACGGCACCTTCCCCGGTTGTCACATGCAGGCTGGGAACCAACAGGGGATCAGAGAAGACAGGGGCTGTTTTTTTTTGTTGTTGTTGTTTTTTTTGAGACGAAGTCTCGCTCTGTCACCCAGGCTGGAGTGTAGTAGTGCAATCTCGGCTCACTGCAAACTCTGCCTCCTGGGTTCATGCCATTCTCCTACCTTAGCCTCCTAAGTAGCTGGGACGACAGGCGCCCGCCACCACGCCCAGCTAATTTTTTTGTATTTTTAGTGGAGACATGGTTTCACCGTGTTAGCCAGGATGATCGCGATCTCCTGACCTCGTGATCTACCCGCCTCGGCCTCCCAAAGTGCTGGGATTACAGGTGTGAGCCACCGCGCCCGGCCAGCAGGGGCTGTTCTTTGTGATCTCTCCTCCAAGATCCTTCTGCTGTCGGCCAACCCCTCCATGTGGGCGAAGGATATGGACAGCAGGTGCCAGAAAACCGTTTCTTCCCTAGTGGGTCAGTGAGCAACAGAACCACACCAGAGAAAAAGGCCCAGGCACCGACCAGGTCTGCCGCAGCTGCCTGCCTTTCTTCACAGGGCTCCCTGGCATGGTGAAAGTAAATGCTGAATGCCAGGTCAACAGAGGTTTTTTGTTTGTTTGTTTTGAGACTGAGTCTTGCTCTGTCACCCAGGCTGGAGTGCAGTAGTGAAATCTCGGCTCACTGCAACCTCTGCCTCCCCGGTTCAAGCTATTCTCATACTTCGGCCTCCCAAGTAACTGGGATTATAGGCGCATGCCACCACGCCTGGCTAATTTGTATATTTTTAGTAAAGATGAGGTTTCACCATGTTAGCCAGGCTGGTCTCGAACTCCAGACCTCAGGTGATCCGCCCACCTCGGCCTCCCAAAGTGCTGGGATTACAGGCATGAGCCATCATGCCCAGCCCAATAGAGGTTTAAAAGCTTCCACCAGGCCGAGAGCAGTGGCCCATGCCTGTAACTCCAGCACTTTGGGAGGCTGAAGTGGGAGAATCATTGGAGGCCAGCCTGGGCAACATAGCAAGATCCTACATGTACAAAAAAATTAAAAATTAGCTGGGCGTGGTGGCGCAAGCCTGTAGTTCCAGCTACACGGGTGGCTGAGGTGGGAGGACTGCTTGAGCCTGGGAGGTTGAAGCTGCAGTGAGCTGTGATCACGCCACTGCACTCCAGCCTGGATGACAAGGGGAGGCCAGAGACCCTGTCTCAAAACAATGACAAAAAGAGAAATAGAGTGGAGGGCCTAGCCTGGGCCTCTGGAACGCTGCATGCGCTCAAGTGCTGGAGATGAGATGATTTTTTTTTTTTTTTTAACAATCCACTGGCCCAAAGAATCAGCCAGAGGCCTTAACACTGAGTTCCCTGTCAACTTGTCCACAGCAGCAGCAGCCGAGGCCCAGCCAACAAGCCACTGAGCCACCCCTGGCTCTGCCTGTCCCGGTCCCTGCCATCAAGCTGCACCCCACAGCCACCCTCTGCAGACAGGCATTTCCAGATACCAAAGCCAGTTCCTGTAATTCCTCGGCAAACTGCAAAGCATTTTGATAGCTCCACACACACCCCCACTGTCACCCGGCACCCTGAGCCAGGAGGGCTCCCTGGGAGGAGGGTCAGCCCGGGCCCCCTCAGAGAGGTTCGCAGCTGGCATGTGATCAGGCCCTGGGGACTCTGAGGGACCCAGCCTGGCACACAGCAGGAGTAAAGGATTAATCTGGGCAGTCATCCAGCAATCACGCTGCCAAGGCCAGGGAGTCAGCCGTCCTCGCCCACCACAGGGCCTCCTAACTGTGGGCCCACTGGTTGTACTTGCGGGTTTTTCCAGAGAGAGGTTCTGCCTCCCTCCCAAGCCTGTGTCCCCTACTGAAGCTGGAGCTCTGAGAGAGCAGAGACTTGGTGTGATCACAGTTCCCCCTAGCATCTCGTATACAGCAGCTGCTTAATTAAAATCCATGAAAAAAGAATCTGTGCTCTAACCTAGGAGGACATCACTCCCAGGAACCCCCAACTGGGGCCCCACTGTGCTAAACAGTCAATCCCCTGCACCTCAGGCCCTTTGAGGTGTCCCCAGAAGGGAGCCACAGGTGCAAGCTGCCACCTTCTCAGGGTCAGGGGGCCTGGGACATGAAGAAGCAGCCCCTTGCCAGAGGCCACAGTCACCTCTGGCCTGGAGACCCTGGAGGTCTTCGGAGCCTCCTGTTTCAAAGGAGCTTGTGGAGCCCCAGAGTGACCGAAGGCCCTTGGTCAGAGAATGGCCCTCCCTATCTTCAAAGCACACTGGTCACGTGCCCGCTGGCACTACTTAAGAATTTTGAAATGCCCAGGTCCTGCTGGGAAGACCTGCCTTCAGCCCAACAGAAAAGACAGCAGGGTTTGGGGAGGTGAGGAGAGGGAGAGAGGGAGGAGAGTTTTCGGGGTGCCTCGTGGTTTCACAGCCTAGCGACACCCAGCTCCGGGTTCCTACCCTTCTCTCAGCACCTCAGTTTCCCCAAAATGCAATGACACAGAACCCAGTGCCGGGGCTCCCATATGACTGCGATCAAATCCCATCAGGAGCACAAACACGGCTCAGCTGTTAGTCTCAGGGAACCCTCAGGGGCTGGGCTAGGGTCCCAGTGCTTTGCACACTGGGGCTCTGCCCTGGATCTTCTCACCGTTCCCCCAGCAAAGAACACAATGACGAGGCTGGCCCTGAAGGCAAGGAGAGGAGATCTGCCTTTCCCAAACCTGCTGTTGGCAGGCAGGACCAGGGGGAACAACTTGGGGATCTGCCACCATCAGGAGACCCTAGCTACCACGCCAGCAGGCAGGATCCACTCATGCAGGACTTTTGAGAGCCTTCAGCAGACCAAGAAGTGGGCACAGCACACAACACTTCCCATGCCCATTTAGCCCTTGAGTTCTCTCTAATCCGAGGCAATACGCAAATATCTCCCAGTCCAGGACAAATTGCCACTGGGAAGGTGTCAGCCTGGGCAGGCATCCCAGCCAGCCCACAGCCTGACGCACGCCAGCTTGGTCTGCTCTCTAGATACAAGGCTGCAGATGGAATGGCAGAGTGATGGACCAGGCTCACCAGGGGAAGATGCTTGGTAAAGTAACCCCCATCACTTCCCGCCCAGTAGGCAAGAAGGGGCACAGCACCAGCCCTTTGAGCTCGTTCACTCGGCCGTGCATGCGGAGCACCTGCTCGGCGCCAGGCCCTGTGCTGGGCAGAGCCGATCTGCATGCCTGTTCTCGTGTGCTGGCGCAGAGAGAGTCCATTAAGAAAAAACAGGCCGGGCGTGGTGGCTCACGCCTGTAATCCCAGCACTTTGGGAGGCCGAGGTGGGCGGATCACGAGGTCAGGAGATCGAGACCATCCTGGCTAACACGGTGAAACCCCGTCTCTACTAAGCATACAAAAAAATTAGCCGGGCGAGGTGGCGGGCGCCTGTAGTCCCAGCTACGCCGGAGGCTGAGACAGGAGCATGGTGTGAACCCGGGAGGCGGAGCTTGCAGTGAGCTGAGATGGCGCCACTGCACTCCAGCCTGGGCGACAGCGAGACTCCATCTCAAAAAAAAAAAAAAAAGAAAAAGAAAAAACAAGAACAGGATAACTCGTGCTGCCGGGGACCGGGGAACGAAGGCGGCAAGTGACCAGGTGCGGGTGAGCAGCAGACAGTGGCAGGTAGGGAACAGGGCGTTCCAGGCAGGCAGCACAGTGAGCACAGAGGCCAAGCAGTGGGAACCAGCAAGCTGGGCCTGAGAATCAGGAGGGAGATGGATGGGGGCAGTGGCTGGGGACCAGGAGGAGGTGAGGTCCCAGAGACTGGCAAGGGCCACAAGGCCTTGAGAAGGAGGCTCGATTTGATTCTGAGGCCAATGGGAAGCCCTGGAGCCAGGTCCTGACATCTCTTCCTTGGTTCCGGTGAGCACACCAAAGGCCAGTTCAAGGCCAAGGGCGGTGGGGAGGGGTGGTTCACAGGGCCTCACTGTGCACATTCCACACAGGAACAGTCCCAGGCACTCAGAGTTTACGGGGCTGCTTCCCAGTGAGGGCAGGGTTCACTCATGGGCCACCAAACTTCCTGGTGGTTATGGTCTTAGGTAATGTTTAAACTTCTATGGCTGGAAGTTATGGTTCACTGGGGATGGCTGGAATGAGGGCAAGCTGCGGGAACCAGAGGGGAACGTGGGCTGCGCCCTGGGGGCCCTGTCTTTGGACATCAGACCCCACAGGAAGAGACAGCATACCACAGCCAATGGGGTGCCATGGCCACGATGGCAGCGCCACCATCACCCCCATTTTACAGATGAAGCTACCAAGGCACAGAGAGGGAAGTCACTTTAACAAGTCCCGGGCCAGTAAAGGGTGGCAGCCTGGTTCTGAGTTTGGTCACAGAGAGCCAGCTGCCAATCCCTAGGAGCCACGTGGTCTGGTGTATACCCCACAAGGCCCCGCCGGCCCCAGCAATCACTGATGCCCGCAATGTGTTCATTTTCCTCTCCTCTTAGTAAGGCGTCCTACCTCCCACCCACCTCCCCCAGCAAGGGTGCCTATGCTGCTTAATGCCTTGCCTGGAAGACAGTCTAGACTGCCTGGCATCTGCCCGCACCACCAGGGCCAGGCCCCCATTGCCTCTTGCCTGGCGCCATGCCAGCCTCTCTGCCACTCCCTATCCCCCACTCCCCGCTTGCATTCTGGTCCCTGACTGTCCCTCCTGAACATGGCAGCCAGTGGTCTCCCGCCACCATGCATGCCACCCCAGCTCCCACTGCCTGAATCCTCAACATGCCTTCCAGTCCCAGTCCCTCCTGCCTTCTGGCCCCTCCCAAGCCTCACCACCTCCCCACACTGCTTTGCTAATGCTGTTTCCCTACCTAGAATGTTCTCTCTGGGCCCCCAACCCCAAGGTGAATCCAACAGACACTCACAGGCTGGGCTCGGGGGCTGGGACCATGCCAGGTGCTCACGCTGCCTCCCTGGAGATCAGCTAAGGCCCAGCACCAAGTGGGCACCTACTTGGAGCAATAAGAGATTGGAGCCTGGTCGGGCGCAGGGGCTCACCCCTGTCATCCCAGCATTTTGGGAAGCTGAGATGGGAGGATTGCTTGAGCCCAGGAGTTCAAGACCAGCCTGGTCAATATAGCAAGACTTCATCTCAATTTAAAAATTTGCCAGGCGCGGTAGCTCATACCTGCAATCTCAGCCCTTTGGGAGGCCAAGGTGGGCAGATCACTTGAGGCCAGGAGTTCAAGACCAGCCTGGCCAATATGGTAAAACCCCGTCTCTACTAAAAATACAAAAATTAGCCAGGCTAGGTGGTGTGCGCCTATAGTCCCAGCTATTTGGGAGGCTGAGGCAGAAGAATTGCTTGAACCTGGGAGGTGGAGGTTGCAGTGAGCCGAGATCGTGCCACTGCACCCTAGCCTGGGCCACAGAGCAGAACCTTGTCTCAAACAAAACAAAACAAAACAAAACAAAAAAGGAGACAGAGACTGAAAATGCCATGATCAGGCGGGGCTGAGGGGTGCAAGCTGGGAGGCAGGAAAAGGCCCCACCCATGTGGGACACTTCTGGAACTCCCTTTTCAACCAGCCCAACAGGATGCAACTATGCATCCACCTCCACCACAGCTGCCACACCCATCCCCCACCTGCCCCCACCCCTTCCAGCACCTACTCCTGCCTCCTCCAGGGCACTGGCCTCAGCACTGGCCCCTGTGGTCCCTTTTCCACCAACAGCCACAGGATCTGGTCAAGTCACACCTTGGCCTAAGGCCACATTCCCCCAAGAGGTGGCTTAAGGGTGGGCTTTAAAGACAATGTTCCCATGTGCCCTAAGGCAAGTGGTCAGGAAGCCTTGGCTCCCTCCTCTGTAAGGTGGGGACAGACATCAGGAACCCATCATCGTTCATCCGGGTCAGGTACTGGGTAGGCCTGCGCTCTGTGCTCCCTCCTGGCCAAGGCTCTCTGCCTGCTTCTCTCCCCTCCTCCCTGACATGTAGTAAATAACGTGTGCTTTAAGGCTAACAAGGTGGTGTTATTGTCATCACTGTCCAGACAGGAAACACAGTGGTGGTCCCTCCCTAGGAGCTGGGTTGGGAACCTGGGCAGTCTCCGCTCCAAGCCTAAACCAAGCAGGGCAGGCTCTCCCAGTGGTGTGGCCAGAGACTGGCAGCATCACCAGGGACTCATTAAAAATGCAGTTTGTGGCCGGGCCCAGTGGCTCACGCCTGTAATCCCAGCACTTTGGGAGGCAGAGGCGGGCAGATCATTTGAGCTCAGGAGTTCCAGACCAGCCTGGCCAACATGGTGAAGCTCTGTCTCTACTAAAAACACAAAAAATTAGCCGGGCGTGGTAGCTCATGCCTGTAGATGCTCAGGAGGCTGAGGCATGAGAATTGCTTGAACTTGGAAGGCGGAGGTGGCAGTGAGCCAAGATCACCCGCCACTGTACTCCAGCTTGGGTGGCAGAGTGAGACTCCGTCTCAAAATAAAATAAAATAAAAATGCAGTTTGCACATCTGTCCCCATCCTGCTCAATGAGAAACAGAAAACTACCAACACTGATTTCTATAGTGACTCTCAGGACTTTGGGGCTGCCCATTCCTGGCACAGCTGATTGGACGCCTGAACCCAGAGGTGGCAGCCCATTGGCCCATCGGTGGCGTACGAAATAGCAGAGCTCATAAAGAAGAGGTGGTGGGCCCATCGGCTGCTGTCTCTCACTGGAGACACGCCTTCTTGCCAGGTTGGGCGGGGCCAGAGGACGAAAGTGAGGAGTCTTGGGAGGCCAAGCTGAGAGCTGGCGTTGAGGTCAGATCTGCCTGGATGCAGGTCCCAGATCTGGGGCCCATTGGAAAGGCAGGCAGCATGGCTAAGCCTCAGTTTCCCCATCTGTAGAATGGGGGTGTGTGTGTCAGCTGCCTTCCCAGTGTGAGAGTATTTAAAAGGGCCGCAAGAAGACATTAACACAAACTGAGTGTTGAACGCCCAGAGCTGATGTTGCAGATTAGCAGGGAAGGGGCACGGAGACCCTTACCTCTCCCGGGTCTAGCTTCTGACCCAAGATCCTTCCCAAGGAGGCCCGAGGGGGTTTCCAGCTGGGATATACGCCCACCTCATGTCAGCCTCGGGTGGGAAGAATAGAAATACACTGAGATCAGGGAAGGAAAGAACAGGAAAAAATCCACACATAGGCCATACTATATTCAACAGGCTGGGTCTCCCTAAGAGTCAAAGTCTGATTAAAAAGCAATGGTGGCCGGGCGCGGTGGCTCACGCCTGTAATCCCAACACTTTGGGAGGCCGAAGTGGGCGGATCACGAGGTCAAGAGATCAAGACCAGCCTGGCCAACATGGTGAAATCCCATCTCTACTAAAAATACAAAAATTAGCCAGACATGGTGACACACACCTGTAGTCCCAGCAACTCAGGAGGCTGAGGAAGGAGAATCGCTTGAACCCAGGAGGCGGATGTTGCAGTGAGCCGAGATCACGCCACTGCATTCCAGCCTGGCGACAGAGCAAGACTTTGTCTCAAAAAATAAATAAATAAATAAAATAAAAAATAAAAAGCAATGGTAGAGGGCTGGTGTGATGGTTCATGCCTATAATCCCAGCACTGTGGGAAGCTGACGCAGGAGGATTGCTTGAGGCCAGGACTTCAAGACCTGCCTGGGTAACATAACCCCCATCTCTACCAAAAAAAAAAAAAAAAATCAGCTGGGTGTGGTGGTGTGTGCACCTGTAATCCTAGCTACCCGAGAGGCTGATTGGAGAGGATTGCTTGGGCCCAGGAGGTCGAGGCCGCAGTGAGCTATGACTACACCACTGCACGGCCTGGGGAACAGAGTGAGACCCTGTCTCTTAAAAAAAATAAAAAAAGTGATTATGGGGAGGCTGCTTTAATGAAAAGAGAAGAAGAGATTACAAAAGAGTATAGCATTGGATTGAGCAGAGCAGCTATAAAACCAGCCAGATATCTGGGGGACAACTGGCGACATGCTGAGTAGAAACTGGGACGTGGATGACATGCGGGAATGACTCGTTCTCTGGGGCATGGTGCTGGGACTTTGTAGACAGGCGTCTTTATTGCATGGGGAGGTGCACTGGGGCGTGAAGGATGGATGTGTCACCACGTCTGCTACTGACTTTGAAAGCGTTCAGCAAAATCGGGTTATCTATAACACATGAAAAGCACACATGGGGCCGGTGTGGTGGCTCATGCCCGTAATCCCAGCACTTAGGGAGGCCGAAGTGAGAGGGTCACTTGAGGTCAGGAGTTCAAGACCAGCCTGGCCAACAGGGTGAAACCCTGTCTCTACTAAAAATACAAAAAAAAAAAAAAAGCTGGCCATGGAGGGTCACACCTGTAATCCCAGCTACTTGGGAGGCTGAGGCAGGAGAATCGCTGGAACCTGGGAGGTGGAGGTTGCAGTGAGCCAAGATAGCATCACTGTACTCCAGCCTGGGTGACAGAGTGAGACTCTGTCTCAAAAAAAAGAAAAAAGAAAGCACACATGGCACCTGGCATTCTGGTCACAGCTGAGGGCTTGCAGTGTGGGTGTGTAAGTGTTCACTGAGCCGTTTTTCAATTTCCTCACACATGTGGAACACGTGAATTCAATGTCCAATGACAGCCCAGGACCCAAGTTCCACCCTCCGCCCCCAGCAACTCCTGGCAACCACACATCCACATCCACTTCCTGCTGAACCTCAGGCCGCCCCATTTTACCTGTTTTTGAGAAGATGAGCTGCAGAATGAGAGGCCGCCGGGTGACGATTCCTGAACCGCGGGGAAGGAAGTCCCTGTGAGGGGGGGAGAGGGACAGAAATTACTCTTGCGTCCGGATCGAGGGGCAGGAAGTGTGACCACATGTGGTGGAGCAACTCTGTCTTGCAATTTGGGCGACCTCAGCAAAGGCACCAACCCCAGCTGGGCCCTGGGGAATGCTCTGGTCTTGGAGGGTCCTGAGGCCTGAAGAGCTCAGGAAGGTATGCATGGAAGGTCATAGTGACCAGAACCATTTCCCTCTGGCAGGCTGTGCCCCACCCCCCGTACTCCCAGGGGGCCCATTCCCTGGCATGTATTTGTTAAATTTCCCCCATACCCAGGAGATCAACACATTTCCTATGTGTTTTAAATCAACACAATGCCACATGTATATGGGTAAAATACGAGGAAAGTTATTGATGACAAAATAGGATGTGTTTCATGTCCAGAAAAGTCACATCTACAGAAGCAGAAGGCAGATCAGTGGATACCTGGATGTGGGAACGGGGGTGACTGCCAATGGAGGGGAAGGAGCTTTCTGGGGTGATGAAAATGTTCTACATCTGGACTATGGTGATGTTTACTAAAATTAACTGTAAAAGCCTGGACAAGATAGTAAGACCCCATCTCTACAAAAACTAAACTAAACTAAACTAAACTAAAATTAGCTGGGCGTGGTGGCCCACGCCTGTGATCCCAGCTACTAGAGAGGCTGAGAGAGGAGGATGGCATGAGCCCGGGAGGCTGAGGTTGTACAGAGCCATGACTGCACTACTGCACTCCAGCTTAGGCAATAGAGCGAGACTCTGTGTGGGAAAAAAAAAAGGACTGTAAAATGACTAAAGACCACTAATTCTGAAATGGATCGATTTCGCGGAATGTAAATTACTATTCGACAGAGCTGTTTAAGAAAAGTACATATCCTGGCCGGGTGCAGTGGCACAGGCCTGTAACCTCAGCACTTTGGGGAGGCCGAGGTGGGCGGATCACTTGAGGTCAGGAGTTTGAGACCAGCCTGGCCAACATGGCGAAACCCCGTCTCTACTAAAAATACAAAAATTATCCAAGTGTGGTGGCACACGCCTGTAATCCCAGCTACTCAGGAGGCTGAGGCAGGAGAATCGCTTGAACCCAGGAGGCGGAGGTTGCAGTGAGCTGAGATCGTGCCACTGCACTCCAGCCTGGGCGACAGAGCAAGACTCCATCAAGGAAAGAAGGGAAGGGAGGGAAGGGAGGGAGGGGAGGGAAGGGAGGAAAGGGAGGAAAGGGAGGAAGGAAGGAAGGAGGGAGGGAAGGAAGGAGGGAGGGAAGGAAGGAGGGAGGGAAGGAAGGAGGGAGGGAGGGAAGGAGGGAGGGAAGGAAGGAGGGAAGGAAGGAGGGAAGGAAGGAGGGAGGGAAGGAGGGAGGGAAGGAAGGAGGGAGGGAAGGAAGGAGGGAAGGAAGGAGGGAGGGAAGGAAGGAGGGAGGGAAGGAGGGAGGGAAGGAAGGAGGGAGGGAAGGAAGGAGGGAAGGAAGGAGGGAAGGAAGAAAGGAATCAATTCCATGTCTTTCACAATGGAAAAGACTCAGGCACAACCACCCCAGAAGATAGAGGGAGTAGCCTGCTCCGACTTACAGTGAATACACCAGGATTCCAGCAAGGAGGAAGACAGGAAGTCACCCTGTACACTCAGAAAGGAAAATGAAAGCTTTCCAGTGAGGACTGAAGTAGAAACAGTGGGCTCGGGGTACATTAAAGGCTCGAAAGGAAATTCTGTTGTTTCATACAAAATGGTGAAAGGTTCTAGGCACAGGGAATTTCTTTTTCTTTTTTTTTTTTTTTTTTTTTTGAGACAGAGCTTCGCTCTTGTTGCCCAGGCTGGAGTGCAGTGGCTCGATCTCAACTCACTGCAACCTCTGCCTCGGGTTCAAGCGATTCTCCTGCCTCAGCCTCCTGAGTAGCTGGGATTACATGCACGCGCTACCATGCCTGGCTAATTTTTTTGTATTTTTAGTAGAGACAGGGTTTCACTATGTTGGCCAGAGTGGTCTCGAACTCAACCTCAGGTGATCTGCCCGCCTTGGCCTCCCAAAGTGCTGGGTTTACAGGTGTGAGCCACCGTGCCTGGCCAACACAGAGAATTTCAAACAGGTTTTGCACCTAGATGTTTGGATCGTTGAAAATTTGTACAGGACACAGGGCAATTGGTACTGTACAGCTGTGCCCTGTACAGAACGAGACAGCATCCTGGGTCCCTGAGTGAGTGTCACTAGCACTACAATCATTCCCAGCTGGCAGGTGGCCCTACCCATGCTGGGAACCCCTGATGAGGGTGCTGGAGGGTTCCAGAAGACCTGTTTCTCAGCTGGGGCTGGGCACTGGAAATTCCTGGGAATGTATTACCCAGTGGCTGGCGTCGGGGGGGAGATGTGCTCTTTCCACACACCCTGGATGATGGGTTCTAGCCCGTCAGCCGGGGGGCTGTCCCACCACTTCTGGCTGGGTGCAGAGACACAGCACTGACTACACAACAAGTCAGCCCAAGCCCTCGGCGGGGGCTTGCAGCCTGGACTGCATGAGAAAAGGGATCGTGATGGGCAACAGGGCTACGAAGACCCCCCAGGGGCGCTGCTGGCAGAGCAGGGCTGAAGTTTTAGAAGCAGCCTCCAGTGGTCAGCGCTGGGGGGTTGAGGGTGGCAGTGCTGGGGATTATGATGAGGAGGCTGGTCATCACTGTTAGAGCAATGCCACCAGCTGGGATTTAGGGATGGATTACAATAAATGTTAAGCTTTAGCCAGATTATTAACAAATGTAAGCTTTTAAACCCCCCTCTGGCTGATGCAGGGCAGAGGAGAGGGCAGGAGCAGGAGGCAGGTGGGGGTGACCGCTGTGGTTCATGTGAGTGACATCAGGGGCGAAACCAGAGAGATGGCAGGCAGGGGTACGGAGGCCAGTGGACAGGCCGTAGGCAGATTCCAGGGCAGTTTGGGAGGTGGATGGTCACAACCTGAGGGCAGGCCGGATAGAGAAGAGCCAGAGAGTGGGAGGAGGCAAGACAGAGGGGAGCGCCCTACAGACACTTGCAAGGCTCTGGGGGACGAGCCCTGGCCTCTGCATCCTGTCTCTGCAGCCACAGGCAGCACAGTCAGCTCTCCAGGCCTGGGATGCTACCTGTCTTCGAGCCACACTCCTGAGGATGACAAAGAGCCCGAGGGACCTGCCTGCCAGGCACTAGGCCTGTCACGCCACGTGCCCCAGTTCAAGCTGATGCCTGAGCTCTAATCCCTTTCCGTCAGCCTCCCATTCGGCTGATGAGGAGCCTGAGGCACAAACAGGATACGAGACTTGGACAACATCACAGCTCATGGCTTGCATGAAAAGGAGCGAACCTTTCTCACTGGCTCCTGAGCACTTGGGGAGGTGCTGGTGACACTGGCGCCAACATTCTGACGGGGGTGGGTGCGAGGAAGACATACTGCAGGGGTGAGAGGGGTTGGGGGCTGGGATAATTGGAGAGGGTTCTCTGAGCAGGGGGACTGAGGGAACAAGCTACATCAATTGGGAGGCGGAGTGAACTGAACGAGGGAAACAGCGAGCGGGCGCCCCCATGCAGGTGACAGACCCCAAAGTCACCTCTTAGCATGGCCCCTTGTCTTTCCGTCACAGTAGTCACAGTGGACACCAGGCTGTCCCAGGGTATTAACCTCATGAACGCCACAAGTAGCCTTGGCCCTGGCCCTACCAGAGCCCCAGGCCACCTAGCTCACAGGTAGGGACCTGAGGGGCAGGGACACTTGGCATCTTGCACATCAGAGACGCAGTGTCTCAGGTCAGGCACAGTGGCTCACGCCTATAATCCCAGCACTTTGGGAAGCCAAGGTGGGTGGGTCACCTGAGGTCAGGAGTTTGAGACCAGCCTGGCCAACATGGTGAAACCCCGCCTTTACTTAAGATACAAAAATTAACCGGGTGTGGGGGCGCAAGCATGTAATCCCAGCCACTCGGGAGGCTAAGACACGAGAATGGCTTGAACCCGGGAGGCGGAGATTGTAGTGAGCCGAGATCGCATCACTGCACTCCAGCCTGGGTGACAGAGTGAGACTCCATCTCAAAACAAAAACAAAAACAATACAAAATACAAAAAAAAAAAGACAAAAAAAAACCCTGGCCGGGTGTGGTGGTGGACACCTGTAATCGCAACCACTTGGGAGGCTGAGGCAGGAGAACCGCTTGAACTTGGAAGGCAGAGGTTGCAGTGAGCTGAGATCGCGCCACTGCACTCCAGCCTGGGTGACAGAACGACTCTGTCTCAAAAAAAAAAAAAAGACAAATGCAGCATCTCAGAAACCATGCGGCGCTGGCTAGACACTGAATCACCAGCAGCGGCGGTGACAGCACGTGCCCCTCACAACAGTGCCCCTGCTCCATCCTTTCAATGACTATTTTTGAAGTGTGCAAGTGGAAGATGTCAACGATAAAACAACACAGGAGCAGCATGTGATGCAATCACAGACATCCTGTCTGCTTCGTGTGTCTGACGTTCATTCCTTTTCGTGGTCGAATCTGTCCATTGCACTGATGGACTACAGTCTGTTCGTCTAGTCACCATTGGATGGACATTTGGGGTCTTCCTAGCTTGAATTTATTACAAATAAAGCTGTTCTGAACATTCTCATATGCGCTTTTTGTAGACACATGTCCTTGTTTCTCTTGCTGAGTCACAGGGTGGACTTGAACTTGAACCGGCAAAGCTAGTCTCTGGAGATAGAAATCAGGGCAGTGGTTCCCTTTCGGGAAATGGACTAGAAGGGGCAGGAGGGACTTTCTGAGACCATGAAGAAGTCCTGCATCTTGATCTAGCCAGTAGGTACCAAGGTACAATCATTTATTAGAAAATCAAAACTTGCAGCAGTGGCTCACACCTGTAATCCCAGCACTTTGGGAGGCCAAGGTGGGTGGATCACTTGAAGTCAGGAGTTCGAGACCAGCCTGGGCAACATAACGAGCCCCTGTCTCTACAAAAAGTAAAAAGTAATTCACTGCGGATGGTGGCATTCCCCTGTAGTGTCAGCTACTCGGGAGGCTGTGGCAGGAGGATTACTTGAGCCCAGGAGACTGAGGCTGCAGTGAGCCATGATTGCGCCGTTGCACTCCAGCCTGGGCAACAGAGGGAGACTGTCTCCAAAAAAGAAGAAGAAGAAGACAAGAAAATCAAGGTATATGTTTAAGATTTATGCGATTGGCCAGTTGTAGTGGGTCACGCCTATAATCCCAGCACTTTGGGAGGCTGAGGCGGGCAGATTATGAGGTCAGCAGATCAAGACCATCCTGGCCAACACGGTAAAACCCCGTCTCTACTAAAATACAAAAAATTAGCCAGGCGAGGTGGAGGGTGCCTGTAGTCCCAGCTACTCAGGAGGCTGAGGCAGAATCGCTTGAACCTGGGAGGCGGAGGCTGCAGTGAGCTGAGATAGCGCCACTGCACTCCAGCCTGGCAACAGAGTGAGACTCCGTCTCAAAAAAAAAAAAAAAGACTTAAGCGATTAACTATATCTAACTGAAATCTCAGGAAAAGGTCACAAGTCAAGGAGAACATGTTCGTGAAGATTCAGATACAAAAGTACAGGGTGGACATTCCATTAAAATTTGCCCACAGAATTGTTACAACCCTGTTAGTTTCTCAATAAGACGAAAAATTCAGATCTCAAAGAATTTTAAAGCCCAGCAACAGGGGACTAGTTAAATATAAATTACGTTCAACCTAAGGAAGCTGACTGAAAATATGTTTTCTTTTTGAAAACATATATTTTCAATCACCTTATATATAAGATATATTGCTGGGCATAATGGCTCACGCCTGTAATCCAAACACTTTCAGAGGCCGAGGTGGGTGGATCGTTTGAGGTCAGGAGTTCGAGACCTGCTTGGCCAACATGGTGCAACCCCATCTCTACTAAAATTACAAAAATTAGCCAGGCGTGGTGGTGGGTGCCTTTAATGCCAGCTACTCAGGAGGCTGAGACAGGAGAATCGCTTGAACCCAGGAGGCAGAGGTTGGAATGAGCTGAGATCGCGCCATTGCACCAGCTTGCACAACAAAGAGCGAAACTCCGTCTCGGGGGAAAAAAACAAAACAAAAACCTTTAAAATAGAATAAAATACGTGTATTTATATATAAATTATGGCCTATCCATGCTGCTATGCAGCAACAGACACACAAAAAGAGCCTGTCCTTTCTAGACATGTAACTCCCTTTTTGGTGTACTAAGTGAGAAAAAAAGAAAAGGTTTGTAGTGATCAGTTTTACTGAAGAAAGAAAAGGAAAGGAAGAAGAGAAGGAAAAGGGAAAGGGAAGGGGGAAGGGGAAAGGGAAGTGGGGGGGGGAAGGGAAGGGGGAGGGGGGAAGGGGAAGGAAAAGGTACAGAAGAAAGTCTGTACTTTGTGACTAAGACAACCAAAGGGAAACAAAACAGGACCCGGGGCGGCTGGGGCCTGGTGGGGAAGGAGCCACTGCATGTTTTCCGACATCTTTGAATTCCGCATCATACACACGCATTACTGAGTTCAAAACATTAGAGTAGCTAATAGCTATTCAACACTGACTCTATGCCAAGCAAGGCATTGAGAACTTTTCATGATTATTAACCTTTTTGATTTCTTTTTAAATAGAGACAGGGTCTCACTCTGCTGCCCTGGCTGGAGTGCAGTGGTAAGGTCACAGCTCACTACAACCTCCAACTGTAGGGCTCAAGTGATCCTCCCGTCTCAGCCTCCCAAGTAGCTGGGATCACAGGTACCCACCACCACCTTAAGTTTTTTGGTTTTTTTGTTTGTTTGTTTCTTTAACAGACAGAGTCTCACTGTGTCACCCAGGCTGGAGTGCAATGGAGTCCAAAGTGCTGGGATTACAGGCGTGAGCCACCACACCAGGCCACCTTAAGTTTCTTGTAGAGGCAAGGTCTCACTATGGTGTCCAGGCTGGTCTTGAACTCCCTGCAATGACCCCACTGCACCTGCCTATTAACCCATTTAACCATGACAGGATCCATTAAAATGGGTCTGCTGGCTCCATTTTACAGATGCAAATGAGGCCCAGAGGGTGGGGGCCTGCCCAGGGTCACACAGCATCTGGGGGTGGCATGAACATGGACTGAAGGCACAGGGCCTGAGCTGTCTAACCACCAGGGCACCTGGCCTTCTGAGCAAACACATCTTAGGCAGACCCTCCAGTAACTCCCAGCCAGGGCCCGGCTTTGGACCTCTGGTGTTTGCCTGTGGCCTGTGCTGTCCTGTGACTCCACTTTGTGTCTGAGGCGCCAGGCACTGTGAGGACAATGGTGATGCCCCAGACGCCACCAGCGCCCAGCTCAGACAACGGACAATCACAGCTTCAGAACATAGGGCGGGAGTGACGCCCAAGAGAACACAGAGCTGTGGGCACAGGCAGGAGAAGGTGACTTTCTGGGCCTGGGGTATTTGTAGTGTGGAATATGATGAGGTTTCTCTTCAAACAGGCTGATCAATCTTTTAATTCATAGTACCCCACACACACATACACACTCTTTTTTCCTTTTTCCTTTCTGGCTTTGTTAGATGCCCAGGCACGCCACAGTACCAGGCGTTACCAGTACCAGCTCACATTCCTTCCCTTATTTACAAAGAAGACTAACTTTCTAGTTCACTACAGACATCCCTTCCCCTTTCCTCTCTCTTTTACGTGCCCACCTTATCTACAAAAATTCAAATGTTTAGCCAACCAAAATTGGTTTAGATTGTATGACCCGACCCCGGCCAATGGGGAGAGGGTACAGGAGCAGGACTTGCATCAGGAATAAAGGCTCTCGTGTCCCTTTGTTCAGGTGTGCTCTCATGGCGACTGGCCAAGGACAAGCACCCCTCTGTACAGAAGTAAAATTGCTTTGCTAAAAATCCTTTGTTCGAGTGTTTAATTTCCTTAAAATTTTGAGTGTTATTCCGAACAGTTCTAAGTCGGGCACAGGAGGGCACAGCCTGGGCGACGGAGACGCAGCTCTCAGGGGAGAGTTTGAGGACAGGGCAGGGCAGGCGCAGAGGGCCTCGCATGCCAGGCTGAGAGCGCCAGGAGCCCTGGGACTTATCCGATTTTGCTTCTAAAAGTTCCCAGACTGCTGCATGCAAAGGGCACCAACATTCACCCTCGGCCTGGACTGCCTCCGAAATGAGCCCCCCAGAAGTCTCCTAGGAGCTTGGTGAGCAGGGGCCTGGCCCTAAGGGTTTTCTGGGACACAGCAGCAGGAGTACTTGGAGCCTTCCAGAAACCACCTCCCAAGCAGCTCTGCCTGGAACACTGACACTGGCCACTTAGCAGGAAGTGACTTTCCAGCCTCCGTCATCTACTTCCTCCTCGTTGATCCCATCCGCATTCTGAGAGTACTGAAATCTACCTACTCCTCTCCTCTCCCTTTGCTGCTGCTACAGTGCCCTCTGTGCACCCAGGCTGCCCTGCATTCCAGTCCCTGCTTGGCCACCTCTGTGCTGTGTGATCCTGGGCGGGCTTCCTGGCCTCTCTGGTCTAGGTTTCCCGTCAGTAAGACAGGGTAACCTTGCCAAGCTCAGAGTGATTCCGCTCGAATGACATTTCCTCAGAGACTTCTCTCACCCCCATTCACACCTCTCCCACCTCCACCCCCCATGCCTCATTTTTCTCTGTGGAACTAACACATGCTAAATGTCACTTAGCTGCATTTTGTTCTGGCTCACATACAGACCCCATACCCCCATCTGAGCTGTGTGGGGAGCTCACACACAGCTCCCCAAGGTGGGATCCTCCAACATTCCATCCCCAAAGCATAGAGTAGGGCTGGCACACAGGAGATGCACAATTAAGTAGTTTATTAACTTTTTTTTTTTTTGAGATGGAGTCTTGCTTTGTCACCCAGGCTGGAGTGTAGTGGCGCAATCTCAGCTTACTCCTGCCTCAGCCCCCCAAGTAGCTGGGATTACAGGCGCCCAGCACCACACCCGGCTAATTTCTTTGTATTTTTAGTAGAGATGGGGTTTTGCCATTTTGGCCAGGCTGGTCTCGAACTCCTGGCCTCAGGTGATCCACCTGCCTCAGCAGCCCAAAGTGCTGGGATTACAGGCATGAGCCACCGCGCCCGGCCTTATTTATTTTAGAGGCAGGATCTCACTCTGTGCCCAGGCTGCATCAGCAGCACAATCACAGCTTACTGCAGCCTCAAACTCCAGGGTACAGGCAAACCTCAGTCTCGGCCTCCTGAGTAGCTATGACTACAGGTATATGTCACCATGCTTGGCTAATTTTTTTTTTTTAGAGATGGCATCTTCCTATATTGCCCAGTCTGGAGTGCAGTGGCACAATCATACCTCACTGCAGCCTTGAACTCCCGGACCCTAGTGAACTTCCCACCTCAGCCTCCCAAGTAACTGGGACTGCAGGCACACACCACCATGCCCGGCTAATTTTTTTATTTTTTGCAGAGACAGGGTCTCGCTATGTTGCCCAGGCTGGTCTCAAACTTCTGGCCTCATGCAATCTTCCCGCATCGGCCTCCCAAAGCACCGGGATTACAGGTGTGAGCCACTGCACCTAGCCTAGTACTATTGCATCATTTCAGTACCTGGCCTCCTATCCATGGGCCCAGGCCAGGCCCCAGGGTCCTGGCCCAACCTCCCACCTTCCCCAGTGACCTTTCTAAAATGAAGATCCTGCCTCCAAGCTTCTCTCTTGCAGAAACCAAGTGACTGGTCCTAGCCCGTCCTGTCCAGTCCTAGTCCCAGTGCTGACCGGGTTCCCCAGCCCCACCCCCTGCACCTGCCTCCTCTGAGTTCTCTCTGGCACTGCTGGCCTTCAGGCCTTTGCAGGGGGTGTTCCCTCTGCCAGGAAACCCTCCCATAGGCCCTGCCTACCTGGCCATGGGCAGGTGTGATGGCTTGCGCCCCTCCCTCCCAAATACACACCCCTTCCCACTCCCAGCAAAACGGCCTCTGATGAAGGTCTAGTCCTGTGACACGCCAAGACTTCTGCACCTGGCCTGGTCACTGCTAGATCCTCAGCACCTAGAACAGTGCCTGCCAGACAGTGTGTGCTCATTAAGTATTTGTTGAATGGGTAAGAAGAATCCAGACTGTGGAGCCAGGCAGCCTGGGTTCAAAGTCGAGCTCCGCCCCTCCTGGGCTGTGTGGCCCTGGACAGGTCTCTACCCCTCTCTGGGCACTGACTTGGCCATCCATGAAATGGGAGGACACTTCCAGTCTGCCACAGAGGGCCCAGCCACCGGCTTGGCCTGGCTCAAGTCACTTCACCCCACCAGAGCAGGTTTCAGAGCTCTAAAGTGGGCCACCTCTCCCTGGAAGGGGATAAGCGCTCCAGGAAGGCGGTAGGGGACAGGCAGGGAAGGGTGCAGCTGGGAGGCAGCACCCAGCAGCGATGGGAGAGGTGCCAGGTTGAGTCCAGCAGATCAGAAGCCCAGGCTGTTTATTTACCGTTTTTTGAACAGACCACAAGGCTCCACCAGGCGCCTTTTGACTTCCAGCCCCTATGAGGGTGGGGACGGCTACGTGCAGGAACGATGCAGGCTCAAACCCAGAGCCTTCCCATGGGAGGGAGAATCAACAGATAAGCCCACAGAGGGTGAGTCAGCAGTGTGGCCCAGAGCCAGCACCCCAGGGCAAGCCACCCCTCACCTGTGCAGCCTGGTGCTGGCAGGGCCTGGCCAGGACCCTGGGCTGGGATCCCTTCCTTGTCACCATATGCTCAGCACAGTCTCTTTGAGCCTGAATGTGGCTGGGAGGGCTCACGTGACACCACAGCCAGCCTTCAGCATGGCACTGGCCACAGGAAGAGGCTTCGGCAGGAGCCCACACTCCAGGGCCAATTTCCACCCTGGCCTCTTCTCTCAGGACTCTGATAAGAGCCACACAAGGAACGCTGGCCACCCAACAGGCTGTCTCTAACCCCATCTCGGGCAACATAGCGGCAAATCCTCTGACAACCCCAGAGGGGTTGAAAGTCACAAGGATGCCAGGGCCAAAAGTCCCATTTCAGACAGGTGGACTGAGGTTCAGTCTCAGGACTTGCCCAGGACGCTCAGCGAGGGAGGAGCAGAGCCAGGACACGAATGTGGGTGGGACACCAATGAGGCAGACCCGCAGTCACCCGCACCCACCTCAGGGGCTTCTCTGTCGCTCTGTTGGAGCAGAAGTGGGGACCCATGCCCAGTCTCCTCTGCCCACCTCGGTCCCTGCCTCATCCTTCCAACAATAGCCATTGGTCACCCAGCAAGGACGCCCAAGCCTTACAGTGCTCGGCCCACACAGTGTCCGCAGGTAGGTGCCACTGCATCCCTGTGGTCACCCCAAAGGGCAGGGAGGGGAGAAACCCCTCACGAGGCTGCAGACCTGGGGCTCCCCTGGCCCTCACCCACCCGCCTTGTCCAGCCGCGAGTCCTGCTGGTTTCACCTCCACATCAGGCCTGATTCTGCTCAATTCCCTCCACGTCCAAGGCTGTCAGCGTGTCCCACTGTCACCTGCCTACACCAGTGCAGTCGTGCCCTTGGTCCCCACAATCTGCCTCCCACAAAGCAGCCACAAGGTGCCTGTGCACACCATGTCACTGTAAACCCCTTTGTTATGGGCCCTCCTTGGGCTCCCGCTTCACTTGGAATAAAAGCCAGACTTTTCCCTGCAGCCCCCCAAGCCCTGCACGACCTGTCCTGTCACCTTCCTGTCCTCACCTCCCCCTACTCTCTGTCTTGCTGGCTTTACTCCAGCCACATATGCCTCCTCCATGTTCCCGAAACACACCAGACACTGTCCTGCCCCAGGGCCTTTGCCCAGGCTGTTCCCTCAGCCTGGAACCTTCTTCCTGCAGCATTAACAGAGCAGGCGGGCAGCTCCCAGCAAACTGCACCCTCCCTCCCCCCGCCATAGGAAGCTGCTCCCCTTCTTTCACACATCAACCCGCTCAATGCTCAGTGCCACTCACAACTGGCATCTTCCGGGTTCCTGATGTGTTCACCCAGCTGCAGTCTGTCCCTGCCCCCACCTCAACATCCTATTAGAGTGGCAGCCTCATGGGCGCAGGGTCCCGTATCGGCCCCTTCTCTGCTCTCTCCCCAGTACCCAACACACACCCAGGCAGGAGGCAGATGACCAATGCTTGCAGAACAATGGGCCAAATCTGCCATTTTACAGATGAGGAGACTTCTCACTTCCACAATCCACTCCTGGCCTCACTCCTCCCCAACATTCCCAGCCCAGCAGCCCCTCCCTGATCAGGAATCCTGCAGCTCCCGGCTCGAGGCCCGCCCTTGGCACTCAAGCCGTGGCATCACCTGCTCCCTGGTCTCATCCAAGGGACACAACAGGCTGGGAGCAAAAGCAGGAGGTGACCTGTGGCAATTCGTGATCGTGGCTCTGGGACTCTCCAGGCCCTGGCTGGAATCCAGTATTTCCTTTCTGGACAAGATGGGCAGGTCAGGTAACCTCTTTGTGCCTCAGTTTCCCAATCTGTTATGTGGGAATGATGCCACCTGCCTCAGAGAGGAGGTGGAAGGGTTTGTGAAACTCTTACCATGATACCCAAAAGAGAACATTCGCCCCATCGAATCAAAGTAAAACTCAGGCTGAGCACAGTGGTTCGTGCCTATAATCCCAGCACCTTGGCACGCAATCTCTTGAGCCCAGGAGTTTGAAACCAGCCTGGGCAACATGATGAGACCCTGTCTCTACTACTAAAAAAAAAAAAAAAATTGGTTGAGTGCGGTGGCTCATGCCTGTAATCTCAGCACTTTGCGGGGCCGAGGCGGGCAGATCACCCGAGGTCAGGAGTTTGAGACCAGCTTGGCCAACATGGAGAAACTCCGTCTCTACTAAAAATACAAAAATTAGCCAGGCGTGGTGGTGGGCACCTGTAATCCCAGCTACTCGAGAGGCTGAGGCAGGAAAACCGCTTGAACCCAGGAGGCAGAGGTCACAGTGAGCTGAGATTGTGAGATCATGCCATTGCACTCCAGCCTGGGCAACAGAGTGAGACTGTCTCAAAAAAAAAAAAAACAAAAAACAAAAAAAAAGCCGGCACGGTTGCTCACACCTGTAATCCCGGCACTTTGGGAGACCGAGGCAGGTAGATCACCTGAGGTTGGGAGTTCGAGACCAGCCTGACCAACAGGGAGAAACCCCGTCTCTACTAAAAATACAAAATTAGCCAGGTGTGGTGCATGCCTGTAATCTCAGCTACTCGGGAGGCTGAGGTGGGAGAATCGCTTGAACCTGGGAGGCAGAGGTTACAGTCAGCCAAGATCACACCATTACACTCCTGCCTGGGCAATAAGAGTGAAACTCCATCTCAAAAAAACAAAAAGGAAAACTCGATACAATGTAAGAACATGACCCTCCTCTGCTCATAACATTTGACGGTTTGACAGTTCCCAAGTGCCCCCCATGGCCCTGTCACCTCCGTGCCCTCCTCCCCCACCACCCCCTCACTCCCTGCCTCCAGCCACATTGGTGGTCAAGAAACAGCAAAAAGGCCGGGCGTGGTAGCTCACACCTGTAATGCCAGCACTTTGGAAGGCCGAGGTGGGTGGATCACCTGAGGTCCAGAGTTCGAGAGCAGCCTGGCCAACATGGTGAAACCTTGTCTCTACTAAAAATACAGAAAAATTAGTGGGGTGTGGTGGCGTGTGCCTGTACTCCTAGCTGCTCAGGAGGCTGAGGCACGAGAATCGCTTGAACCTGGGAGGCAGAGGTTGCAGTGAGCCAAGATCATGCCACTGCACTCCAGCATAGGTCAGAGTGAGACTCCGTCTCAAAAAATGAAATAAAAAGAAACAGCAAGGAGGCCAGACATTGCTGTCGCAGGGCCTTTGCACATGCTGGCCTCCTGCTTCGAAAGACCATCTCATCTCCTCCAAGTATTTCCACAATCCTGGCTATCTCCGGTTACCAGGGACTCAACTCAGATGTCACCTCCTCAGAGAGGTCTGTCCCCTACTGATGCCCACCTCCCCTTCATGTTGCCCTGTTTTCCTTCTAAACACAGCACTGCCCACTAGTTGGTACTTTTCTGGTTTATTTGCACCTCTTTTTTCAGAGACAGGATCTCACTCTGTCATCCAGGCTGGAGTGCAGTGATGCAATCATAGCTGACTGCAGCCTCAAACTCCTGGGCTGAAGCGATCCTCCTCCCTCAGCCTCCTGAGTAGCTCGGACTACAGGCACTTGCCACCACGCCCAGCTAACTTTTTTTATTTGTGTTTTTCTGTAGTGATATGCTGCCTAGGCGATCCTCCCACCTCAGCCTCCCAAAGCCCTGGGATTTCAAGCGTGCCCAGCCTAATTGCTCATTTATCTAACAGTCCCAACTAGAATATCAACACCTTGAGGGCAGGGGTCTTAAGCGCCCTTTCCCCAGCACCCAGAAACATATTAATGCAGTGGTTTGGCAAGGACAGCCGACTCCCTGAGGGCAGTACTTTGTGGAATGAAAACCGATAATGACCTAAATGTCCACTGGCAGGGAACTGGCTAAATCAATCTTGGGAGCTAGTCCGGGGAGCAATGCAGGCTGCAGTGCCGAAGGTCAAGTGCGATGCACGGACTGGATTATGCGTGGGGGATGATGTCCTCCACTTCGGGTTTTTTTTCCGCACATCCCCATTTCCTGTGTATGGACAGCAGGCTTGAGGTCATGTGAGGTGTGCAAATGAAAAACTTGCTGTTTTATAGTCTCCAACGTGATTTGAATGTCAGGCTTTTATAACTTTTTTATAACTGTGATTGCAGGCCAGTGTTGACCTTGTAACTTTCAGCAGTACTGAGAAACCCCAAAGAAACTGGCCGGCCCAGCAGCATTTTCAAGAGTGACGGGGAAACTGCTCAAATGTGGGGTCCTGGAGCTCACAACTCCGCCCTCCTAGGGGTGTCCTCGGTGTCATCCTAACTGCTCCCCACTGCAAGGGGTGGCCTGAGTACCCCAGCCAGCCTGGTGAGTGCCAGCTGTGGGACCTTGTTAGCAAAGTCTCTCCCATCTTGCAACAGGTGTCCTGCTCTGTAAAACGGTTGTGGTGAGGACTGGAGGAGACAGTTCCAGTTGCCAGGGCAAAGTGAACGCTCACTGTGTCTGCAGCCCTTACAGGGTGGTCAGCCATGTATGGATTTCCAGCTCTGTACCACCCTGAGGGCCCAAGTGAACTAGAGGCAGGCAGCCGGGCACCACCCACAGTCTGCATTCCACAGCCAGCCTCCTGGAGCCCCTTCCTTCCAGGGGAGTAGGTAGTGACCTCCAGGCAAACACGTTCTAGTTCCCTCCACCCCGAGACTCTCCCGGGGTGATGGGGAGCCAGCCCATAAGGAAATATCCAGGCAGACTCAGTCCACAATGTCACAAGTGACAGGAACAGCCCGGACCCGTTCTTGAGGTCTTTGTCCCACCCCCACAGCGTATCTCTCGGCAGATCCTGCCTTGGATATCCAGACCCATCCCCTCCTCCTCTGTTTCGCTCTAATGTCCTGAGGCCAAGTCTCCCATCTCAGGGCAAAGCCTCCCCCAGGCTCCCTGCCCCACAGGCTTGGAAAACTGCAAGTCAGATCACACTGTGTGCCTGATTTTTAAAGAATTTTTTTTTTTTTTAGATGGAGTCTGGCTCTGTCACCCCAGCCGAAGTGTAGTGGCAGGATCTTGGCTCATTGCAACCTCCGCCTCCTGGGCTCAAGTGATTTTCCTGCCTCAGCCTCCTAAGCAGCTGGGACTACGGGCGTATGCTACCACGTCTGGCTAATTTTTGTATTTTTTTTTTTTTTCTGGAAACAGTCTCGCTCTGCTGCCCTGGCTGGAGTGCAATGGCGTGATCTTGGCTCACTGCAACCTTGCCTCCCGAGTTCAAGCAATTCTGCTGCCTCAGCCTCCCAAGTAGCTGGGACTACAGGCGCACGCCACCACACACGGCTAATTTTTTTTTTTTTTTTTTTTTTTTTTTTGAGACAGAGTCTCGCTTTGTCACCCAGGCTGGAGTGCAGTGGCGCAATCTCGGCTCACTGCAAGCTCCGCCTCCCGGGTTCATGCCATCCTCCTGCCTCAGCCTCCTGAGTAGCTGGGACTACAAGCACCCGCCACCACACCCGGCTAATTTTTTGTATTTTTAGTAGAGACGGAGTTTTACCATATTAGCCAGGATGGTCTCGATCTCCTGACCTTGTGATCCACCTGCCTCCGCCTCCCAAAGTGCTGGGATTACAGGTGTGAGCCACCACACCCAGCCACACCTGGCTAATTTTTGTATTTTTAGTAGAGACGGGGTTTTGCAAGGCTGGTCTCGAACTCATGACCTCAGATGATCCGCCTGCCTCAGCCTCCCAAAGATCTGGGATTACAGGTGTGAGCCACCATGCCTGGCCGCATGATGTTTTTTCTCACCCGAGCACCTGTGCTTCCTTCCCACCCCTCAGGCCCCCAGCTAGAGCATCAGCTCCACAGGACAGGGATCTCGTCTGTCTTGTTCACTGCCCTGCCTCCAGCACACTATCTGGCACACAGCAGGTGTTCAGCAAATGCTAGCTGCACGGCAAAAGAAGCTGGCATCACGGCCGGGCGTGGTGGCTCACACCTGTAATCCTAGTATTTTGGGAGGCCATGGCAGGCGGAACACCTGAGCTCAGGAGTTCAAGACCAGCCTGGGCAACATGATGAAACCTCGCCTCTACAAAAAATTAGCCGGGCGTGGTGGCACACGCCTGTGGTCCCAGCTACTTGAGAGGCTGAGGTGGGAGGATCACTTGAGCCCAGGAGGTTGAGGCTGCAGTCAGCGGAGACTGAGCCACTGCACCACAACCTGCATGACAGAGGGAGACTCTGTCTCAAAAAAAAAAAAAAAAAAGAAAGAAAAACAAGCTAGCATCTCCAGGGCACTGCACAAAGCTCCAGGCACACAGGGCCTTCTTCCACCTTCACAGGGCTCTGGCCAACCCTGTTTTGCAGATGGGGAAACCAAGGATAGAGAGATTAAGTCATCCGGTCTATTGGCACACAGCTAAGAGCAGCCCTCCTGACCAATGAGGCACCAATCCAACCTGCGTCTAATCTCCATCTGCCAGGCACCATCCCGGTCACCACACAGCACTTCCAGGGGCACACAAGGAAAGGAAACCTTGGACTCCAGAGACAGGAAGGCCAGGCTCAGCTTCCTCATGGGGACAACTGAGCAAGATCATTGGGTGAAGACTCTGCAGCCTGGCAGCTCAGCCACAGCCTCACGGCAGGAACTGAATGAAGGCTGCCACTTCCCCAGCCCTCAGTTTCTCTATGAAATTGGGATAACAGCACCTACACTATGGGGTTGTCAGCAGGACAAACCCAGGGTCTAGCACGCATAAGGCCCTATTCCACAGGACTAGTTCACTAGTTCATGAGGGTGACGGGGGTGGGAGTGAAGGATGTCAATGCCTGGCACCACAACAGGCACAGACCCTTCTTCTTGGCACCCCAGCAAAGAGCCTTGGCACAGCCTTTCCTGGTGGGCCTGGCAACATCACTCTAAATCCACTTCTGATGCAACATGGCACTCCCTTGCAGGGTATCCACCCTGAGCATAGCAGACACACAAGCCTGCGGACCCCCAAGTCTCTGGCAGGAGGGGAAAAACTAGAAATAACCTAAAAATTCAAGGGGGAGAGTGATCAGTGTTAGTGGGAGTAGGCTCGACCCAGGAATACTTGCAGCTATAAAAAAGCACAGGACTCTCTCATGATGCTGCAATCAAGCAAAAACAAAGAAAGAAAAAAAGAAAGAAGGAAAAGAAAGAAGGGTAGAGGAAAAAGAAAAGAACAAGAACAAAAAGGAAGGAAGGAAGGAAAGAAGGGAGGGAGGGAAAGAGGAAGGTAAAGAGGAAGGTAAAGAGGAAGGGAGGGAGGAAGGAAAAAGCACAGAACAAAAGAAATATTGGCCAGGCGTGGTGGCTCACGCCTGTAATCCCAGCACTTTGGGAGGCAGAGGCGGGTGGATCACAAGGTCAGGAGATAGAGACCATCCTGGCTAACACGGTGAAACCCCGTCTCTACTAAAAATACAAAAAAAATTAGCCGGGCATGGTGGCGGACACCTGTACTCCCAGCTACTTGGGAGGCTGAGGCAGGAGAATGGCGTGAACCCGGGAGGCGGAGCTTGCAGTGAGCCAAGATCGCGCCACTGCACTCCAGCCTGGGCGACAGAGCAAGACTCTGTCTCAAAAAAAAAAAAAAAAGAAAGAAATATTGGCCAATTTGGGGCTGAGCACAGTGGCTCATGCCTGTAATCTCAGCACTTTGGGAGGCCAAGATGAGAGGATCACTTGAGCCCAAGAGTTCAAGGCCAGCCTGGTCAATATAGCAAGACCCTACCTCTAGAAAAAATACAAAAATTAGTCGGGTGTGGCACACGCCTGTGGTCCCAGCTACTCGGGAGGCAGAGGTGGGAGGATCATGTGAGCCCAGGAGACAGAAGCTACAGTGAGCTATGATCATGCCACCACGTTTCCAGCCTGGGAGACAGAGCAAGACCGTGTCTCCAAAAAGAAAAGAAAAAAGAAAGAAAGAAAGTTGGAGACTTCAATACCCCACTTTCAATCATGGATGGATATCAGCATTGGTATCAGGCAAGAAAAATAATAATAATGGATGGAACAACCAAATAAAAGATAACAAGGAAATAGAAAATACGAAACCAATAAGACCTGACAGATGTGTACAGAACACTCCACCCAAGAGTAAAATACACATTCTTATCATGTGCATATGGAACATTCTCCAGGACACACCGTATTCGAGGCCAAGCCATAAAACATGACTCAATAATTTTAAAGAGATTGAAATCATACAAAGTAGTTCCTCCAACCACAGTGAAATGAAGTTAGAAATGAACACAAGAAAGATGTTTTTCAGAAATTCTCAAATATATAGAAATGAACATACTGCTAAATAACCTATGTATCAAAGAAGAAATCATAAGAGAAATGAGAAGATATGCTGAGATAAATGAAAATGAAAACACAACATATCAAAACTTATGGATGCAGCTAAAGCAGGTTTACAGGGAAATTCATAGATGTAAGCAACTGTATTTAAAAAGAAGGAAGATTTTGGCCGGGCGCGGTGGCTTACGCCTGTAATCCCCACACTTTTAAGAGGCCGAGGTGGGTGGATCACCTGAGGTCAGGAGTTTGAGACCAGCCTCACCAACATGGTGAAACCCCGTCTCCACCAAAAATACAAAAATTAGCCAGGCATGGTGGTGGGTGCCTGTAGTCCCAGCTACTCAGGAGGCTGAGGCACGAGGATGGCGTGAACCTGGGAGGCGGAGCTTGCAGTGAGCCAAGATCGTGCCACTGCACTCCAGCCTGGGCGACAGAGCGAGACTCCGTCTCAAAAAAAAAAAACAAAAAAAAGAGAAAGATTTCAAATACTTTCAGATTTCAATAATCTTCCACTTCAAGAACCTCAGAAAAGGAGGGTAAACCAAATCCAAAGAGAAAAGAAGGAAATAATTAGAGAAGAAATAAAGAGACTAAAAAAATGGAGAGAGAAGTTAACACCACCACAATTTGCTCTTTGAATAGATCAACCAAACTGACAAACCTTTAGCTAGATTAACCAAGAGAAAAAGAGATAAGACTCAAATTACAAAAATCAGAAATAAAGAGGAGACATCACTACCAACCTTTCAGAAATAAAAAAGATGATAAGGGAATACTATTCTAACAAATTAAATACACCCTAGATGAAATGGACAAATTCCTAGAAAGACCCAAATTACTGAAACTGACTCAAGAAGACACAGAAAAACTCAATAGATGTACAAGAAATTTAATTAGTATTCAAAAAACGTCCCACAAAGAAAAGTCCAGGCCCAGGTGGCTTCATTGGTGAATTCTTTTTTTTTTTTTTTTTTTTTTTTTTGAGAGAGAGAGAGAGTCTTGCTCTGTTGCCCAGGCTAGAGTGCAGTGGAGTGATCTCGGCTCACTGCAACCTTGCCCCCCAGGTTCAAGAGATTCTCGTGCCTCAGCCACCCAGAGTAGCTGGAATTACAGGCATGTGCCACTACACCCAGCTAATTTTTGTATTTTTAGTAGAGAAGGGGTTTCACCATGTTGGGCAGGCTGGTCTCATCAATTCCTGCCCTCAAGTGATCTGCCCGCCTCAGCCTCCCAAATGCTGGGATTACAGGCGTGCGCCACTGCACCCAACCAGCATGGATGAATCTTGAAAACATGATGCTAAATAAACAAAGCCACACACAAAAGGCCATATACTGTAAGATTCCATTTATAGGAAATATCCAAAATTGGCAAATTCACAGACAGAAAGGACATTAGTGGCTTCCAGGTGCTGGGGGAGGGAGGAACTGCTTCATATGTATGGGTTTAGGGGAAATGAAAGTGCTACAAAATCAGATAGTGGTGCTGGTTACACAACTGTGAATATACTAAAATCCACTGAATAGTATATTTCAAAAGGATTAGGTATTATGGTATGTGAATTATATTTCAATAAAAATATTTCAGGAAAATAAAACAGTACAGGAGTTCCCCATGTCCCCATAGAAGAACAAGGGAACACGTCCTTCTTTTATTTATTTATTTATTTTTGAGACGGAGTCTCGCTCTGTCGCCCAGGCTGGAGTGCAGTGGCGTGATCTCGGCTCACTGCAAGCTCCTCCTCCAGGATTCAAGCCATTCTCCTGCCTCAGCCTCCTGAGTAGCTGGGACTACAGTACAGGCGCCCGCTACCACGCCCCGCTAATCTTTTGTATTTTTAGTAGAGACGGGGTTTCACCGTGTTAGCCAGGATGGTCTCAATCTCCTGACCTCGTGATCCGCCCACCTCGGCCTCCCAAAGTGCTGGGATTACAGGCGTGAGTCACTGAGCCCAGCCTTTTTTTTTTTTTTTTGCGATGGAGTTTTGCTCTTGTTGCCCAGGCTGGAGTGCAACGGTGCGATCTCAGCTCACAGCAACCTCTGCCTCCTGGGTTCAGGCACTTCTCCTGCCTTAGCCTCCCAAGTAGCTGGGATTACAGGCACCCACCACCACGCCCAGCTAACTAACTTTTTTTTGTATTTTTCATAGAGATGGGGTTTTGCCATGTTGGCCAGGATGGTCTTCAACTCCTGACCTCAAGTGATCCACCCGCCTCAACCTCCCAAAGTGCTGGGATCACAGGCGTGAGCCACCACACCAGGCCAGGTCCTTCTTAAAGAGTAACAACCGCTGGGATCCCCAGGAAGGGCCTGGCCTCCAACTGTGGCCAGTCCTCATCCCACCCTCCTGTAGCCCTCCCTCCCCTGTTTTTTTTGTTTTGTCTGTTTTTGTTGACATGAGGTCTCACTATATTGCCCAGGCTGGTATCAAACTCCTGGGCTCAAGCAATCCTCCCACCTCAGCCTCCCAAAGTGCTGGGTCTATGGGCGTGAGCCACCATGCCCTGCCACCTCGTGCCCTTTGATACTGATCTCAATGAAAGTCTCCACTTCCTTTTTATTTATTTATTTATTTATTTATTTTTTGAGATGGAGTCTCGCTCTTTCACCCAAGCTGGAGTACAGCGGCGTGATCTTGGCTCACTGCAACCTCCACCTCCCAGCCTCAGATGATCTGCCCACCTCGGCCTTCCAAAGTGCTGGGATTACAAGCATGAGCCACCACGTCCGGCCTACTTCCTTCTGTTGTGAGACTAATGCTTGTCTCCTCTGCCAGGCCTAACTCCTCTTGGTGGCAACCAGGCCTGTTTGACTCCAGAAGGGTGGCAGTTCAGGTCAGAGCCTGGCACAGAGCAGGCTCAGCAGACATTGCTGAGTGGGTCTTGCTCAGTGATTGACAAGTACATCAATGAGTGCATCCCGAGAGGGAGATGGGTGCCCCGATTACCTATCGCATGCCAGGCACCATGCAAGGGACTGCGCTACAGCCAGGGGCACCGCCCTACCATGGGGCATTCCCCTTCTAGTGGGGGGAGACAGAAAGAGAAATCAAACAAATAGGCCGGGTGCGGTGGCTCATGCCTGTAATCACAGCACTTTGGGAGGCCAAGGCTGGCAGATCACCTGAAGTCAGCAGTTCGAGATCAGCCTGGCCAACATAGTGAAACCTCGTCTCTACTAAAAATACAAAAATATACGGGCATGTTGACGTGCGCCTGTAATCCCAGCTACTTGGGAGGCTGAGGCAGGAGAATCGCTTGAACCCGGGAAGCAGAGGTTGCAGTGAGCCAAGATCGCCACTCCACTCCAGCCTGGGAGTCAGAGCAAGACTCCACCCCAAAAAAAGAAAACAAGAAACCAAACGCATAGGTGGAACAATGACAGGAATGACAAGTGGTTCCAAGAAAAATTAAGCAGGGGAAGGGGACAGAGAGAACAGGGTGGGGCGTTTGAGCAGAGTGGCCAGGGGGAGAGCCTTTTGAGAAGGAGGCTTTTAAGCAGAGGCCTTAGAATGCTGATGAAATGAGCCACAGGGTTATCTGGGGGAAGGGCAGTGCAGGCAGTGGAAGCAGCATGTGAAAAAGCCATGAGGTAGGACAGCGCCTCACCTGCATGAGAACATCATGGAGCCTCAGGGACGACTTCATTTTTACCCTGAGGGAACTGAGGGCCAGGGAGGATTCCAAGTAGAGGAAGGATATAGGGTCTCCCTCTGTCTCCCCGGCTGGAGTGCACTGACAGGATCACAGCTCACTTCAGCCTCAAATTCCTGGGTTCAAGCAATCCTCCCACCTCAGCCTCCTGAGTAGCTGGGACTGTAAGTATGCGCTGCCATGCCTGGCTAATTTTTAAATGTTTTGTAGAGATGGGGGTCTCGTTATGTTGCCCAGGCTGGTCTCGTACTCCTGGGCTCAAGAGATCCTTCCACCTCGGCCTCCCAAAGTGCTGGGATTACAGCGTAAGCCACGGCGCCCAGCTAGGAAGGATATTCTTAACAGGCTCCCTCTGTCCACTGCAGGGAGAACAGCCTGGGGGTGAGGACAAGGTTAAAGGTGCAAGACTGAGGAGGCAGAAACTGTACTGGTCCTGGGGAAGTAGTGACAGTGGATGGAATAATACACAGTTATAAAAACCAGTACCAGCTGGGCACAGTGGTTCACGCCTGTAATCCCAACACTATTGGCACACCAGCCTGGGTGCCAGAGAGAGACTTTGTCTAAACAAACAAACAAACAAACAAAAAACTAATACCGTGGCTTTCCACGTACTAATACACAATGATCTTTTCTATGAAATCAACAAGCTGATTCTAAAATATATATGTGGAGGCAAAGGAACTAGACTAGACAAAACAATTTTGAGAAACAAGAAAAAAGAGGACTCACATGGCCTGATTTCAAGTCTTACTATAAAGCTACAGCAATATAGAAATGAGTGGGCGTGGTGGCTCACGCCCATAATGCCAGCACTGTGGAAGGCTGAGGCAGGAGCATCACCAGCCCAGTAGTTTGAAACCAGCCTAGGCAACATTGTGAGACCCCATCTCTATTTTTTTCTTTTTTTCTTTTTTTTTTTTTTTGAGACAGAGTCTCACTCTGTTGCCCAGGCTGGAGTGCAATAGCGCGATCTTGGCTCACTGCAACCTCCACCTCCCGTGTTCAAGTGATTCTCCTGCCTCAGTCTCCCAATTAGCTGGGATTACAGGCACCCACCACCACGCCCAGCTAATTTTTTTGTATTTTTAGTAGAGACGGAGTTTCACCATGTTGGCCAGGCCAGTTTCAAACTCCTGACCTCAAGTGATCCACCTGCCTCCAAAGTGTTAGGATTACAGGCGTCAGCCACTGTGCCCAGCCCCCATCTCTATCTAAAAAGAGAAGAAAGATATGTGGTTTTGGAGAAAGGACAGAGCCATACATCAACGTCACAGAACAGACAGTTCAGGTTGGACCCACACAAATATGGCCAACTAATTCCAGACAAAAGCAACTTTAGGGAGAAAGGATGGTCTTTTCAATAGTGCCAGAAAAGGCCGGGCACAGTGGTTAATGCCTGTAATCCCAGCACTTTGGGAGCCAGAGGCAAGAGGATTATTACATGAGTCTAGGAGTTTGAGACTAGCCTGAGCAACACAGCGAGACCCCATCTCTTGAAAAAAAAAAATTAGCCGGGCGTGGTGGTGGGCGCCTGTAGTCTCAGCTGCTCAAGCGGCTGAGGCAGGAGAATCGCTTGAATCCGGGAGGCGGAGGTCGCAGTGAGCCAATATCACACCATTGCACTCCAGCCTAGATGACAGAGCGAGACTCTCCAAAAATAAAATAAAAATAAAATTTTCCATGATCCCAAAGGATAGAGTATGAAAAGAAGAAAACTAGTAACTTTCCAGTGGGGAAACCTAGCAAGCCTACCTCAGCCAAGAGATCAAGGTCAGCATCATCAGTTATCACTGTCAATAATTTATCAGTCTTGTTGGTATCCTATACTCCTGATAAGATTCACAGAAGATGGCTGGACGAGGTGGCTTACGCCTGTAATCCCAGCACTCTGGGAGGCAGAGGCGGGCAGATCATGAGGTCAGGAGATCGAGACCATCCTGGCTAACACGGTGAAACCCCGTCTAAAAAAAAATACAAAAATTAGCCGGGCATGGTGGCAGCCTGTAATCCCAGCTACTCGGGAGGCTGAGGCAGGAGAATGGCGTGAACCCAGGAGGCAGAGCTTGCAGTGAGCTGAGATCGCGCCGCTGCACTCCAGCCTGGGCGACAGAGCAAGACTCCATCTCAAAAAAACAAAAACAAAAAACAAACAAACAAAAAAAGATTCACAGAAGAGAGGGGCACCTCACCAATGGCCTTCTTCCCCAAAACTCACACCCCAGGCTCACCATGAAGAATTCCAGATAAGCCCTAATTGAGGGACATTCCATGACTTACCAAGGTTATAAAAAACAAGGAAGGGCTGAGTTGCTTCCCAGACCAGAAAAAGGCTTAAGGAGATCCGACAACTAGATGCAATGTCCAGTCCTAAGACAGGAAAAGGGGTGATTTTGTTTGAAAAATAAAATTTCTCAGTATGTATACTTCCAGACAGCAAGACCCCCATCTCGATAAAAAAAAAAAATTTTTTTTTAAATTAGTCTCATATGGGAAAAATTGAAGAAATCTGTACATTCTGGCTTTGGCTTTTTTTTTTTTTTTTTTTTTTTGAGACAGGGTCTGGCTCTGTTGCCCGGGCTGGTGTGCAATGGTGCAATCATCACTCACTGCAGCCTCAACCTCCAGGGCTCAAGTGATCCTCCTGTCTCAGCCTCCAGAGGAGCTGGGACTCCAGGTGAGCACCACCAGGCCAAGCTAATTTTTTTTTTTTTCTACACACGAGGTCTCACTATATTGCCCAGGCTGGTCTAAAACTCCTGGGCTCAAGCAATCTAGCCTCCCAAAGTGCTGGGATTACAGGTGTGAGCCACTGTACCTGGCCTCCCTTCCTTTTTTTTTTTTTTTTGAGACAGAGTCCCCCTCTGTTGCCCAAGCTGGAGTGCAGTGGCTTGATCTCAGCTCATGGCAACCTTGGCCTCTCAGGTTCAAGCAATTCTCCTACCTCAGCCTCCCGAGTGGCTGGGACTACAGGTGTATACCACCACACTCAATTTTTTGTAGAGACAGGGTTTTGATATGTTGTCTAGGCTGGTCTCAAACTCCTGGCCTCAAGTGATCCACCCACCTTGGCCTCCCAAAGTGCTGAGATTACAGTGTGAGCCACAACATCCCGCCAGGCCTCACTTAATAGTAGTATACCAAGGTTAATTTCATTCATTCATTTTTTTTTTTTTATTTTTTGAGATGGAGTCTCCTTTTGTTGTCCAGGCTGAAGTACAGTGGCGCGATCTCGGCTCACTGCAGCCTCCGCTTCCCAGGTTTAAGCAATTCTCCTGCCTCAGCCTCCCAAATAGCTGGGACTACAGGCACATGTCCCCACACCTGGCTAATTTTTTGTATTTTTAGTAGAGATGGGGTTTCGCTATGTTGGCCAGGCTGGTCTTGAACTCCTGACCTCAGGTGATCCACCTGCCTCTGCCTCCCAAAGTGCTGGGATTACAGGCGTGAGCCACCATGTCCGGCCTCATTCATTTATTTTTAGAGAAGAGGTTATGTTGCCAAAGCTGGGCTTTAACTCCTAGACTCAAGCAATCCTCCCGCCTCAGCCTCCTGAGTAGCTAGGTTAATTTCTTGGTTGTAAGAAATATAAAATTAGAGGACACTGGTGAAGGATGTACAGGAGCTCTCTGTGTTATCTTTGTACTTTCTGTAAATTTGAAGCTTATTTATTTTCTCTAAATCTAAAATTATTTCTAGGCAGGGCGTTGTGGCTCATGCTTACAATCCCAGCACTTTGGGAGGCTGAGGCAGGCAGATTACCTGAGCTCAGGAGTTCAAGACCAGCCTGGGCAACATGGAGAAACCCTGTCTCTACCGAAAATAAAAAAAAAATGCCGGCCATTGTGGTGCGCGCCTGTGGTCCCAGCTAGTTGGGAGGCTGTGGTGGGAGAATGGTTTGAGCCCGAGAGGGGGAGGTTGCAGTAAGCCGACATCATGCCACTGCACTCCAACCTGGGTGAAAGAGTGGGACCCTGTCTCCAAAAAAAAAAAAAAAAACCACACCAGCCCAGGCGCGGTGGCTCACACTGGTAATCCCAGCACTTTGGGAGGCCGAGGAGGGTGGATCACCTGAGGTCGGGAGTTCAAGACTAGCCTGGCCAACATGGTGAAACCCCATCTCTACTAAAACTACAAAAATTAGCTGGGCATGGTGACAGGTGTCTGTAATCCCAGCTACTCGGGAGGCTGAGGCAGGAGAATCGCTTGAACCTGGGAGGCGGAGCTTGCAGTGAGCCGAGATCGCGCCATTGCACTCCAGCCTGGGGAACAAGAGCGAGACTTTGTCTCAAAAGAAAAAAAAAACAGAAAACAAAAGCCAAACATTCTTGGAGGCACTAAATATAGCAGGGACCTGGTGCAAGACAGTCACATTCTGTTGAGACTTTGGACTGTGGAGCGGGAGCGTTTGTTACTAGACTTATAGGCTCACTGGTTGGATGAGTCGGGGGTAGTCACACCTAGAAATATATATATATATATAAAAAATCTGGCAAGAGCCACAGACTGCTAGAGGTCGTTCCCATGCAAAGGACACCCAGCCTTACTCTGTGCACTTCCGGACAGGGTGAATTGTTTTTCCTTTTTTTTTGAGACGGAGTCTCGCTCTATCACCCAGGCGGGAGTGCAGTGGCGCGATCTCGGCTCACTGCAAGCTCCGCCTCCTGGGTTCACACCATTCTCTTGCCTCAGCCTCCCGAGTAGCTGGGACTACAGGCGCTCGCCACCACGCCCAGCTAATTCTTTGTATTTTTAGTAGAGGTGGGGTTTCACCGTGTTAGTCAGGATGGTCTCAATCTCCTGACCTCGTGATCCGCCCGCCTCGGCCTCCCAAAGTGCTGGGATTACAGGCATGAGCCACCGCCCGGCCTGTTTTTTTTTTTTTTTTTTTCTCCACAACGAGTAAACAGTTGAATAACTCCTTTAACAGAAAAGAGTTTAAGGGCGCGGTGGCTCATGCCTGTAATCCCAGCACTCTGGGAGGCTGAAGCAGGCGGATAACCTGAGGTCAGGAGTTCAAGACCAGTCTGGCCATGGTGAAACCCAGTCTCTACTAAAAATACAAAAAATTAGCCGGGTGTGATGGTGCACGCCTGTAATCACAGCTACTCGGGAGGCTGAGGCAGAAGAATCGCTTGAACCTGGGAGGCGGAGGTTGCAGCGAGCCGAGATTGCACCATTGCACTCCAGCCTGGGCAACAACAGCGAAACTCCGTCTCAAAAAAAAAAAAAAAAAATCAAGCCTGTGCATCAATTTTCACCCAGTGCTGGGAGCACATTCCAGGTGGGGCCTCCCCACCTCAGAAAGCAGCCTGACCTGAGCTTCCCAGCAACCTGTCCAGGCCACCAGGGCAGGCACCACAGAAGCCGGGCTTCCGTCTGACTGGCTTCCGCCCAGACAACGGGGAACTCAGTGTTGCAAGACAGAGAGATACATCAACCCAAACCACAGGAAGCCTTCGTCAAGCTGAGCCAGTGGCTCGTGGCCTCTCTCAGTCACTGTCCCCTGATGTTGATGTAGAAAAGAACAACCTGGGGGCCGGGCACGGCGGCTCACGCCTGTAATCCCAGAGCCTTGGGAGGCCGAGGCGGGTGGATCACCTGAGGCCAGGAGTTCGAGACCAGCCTGGCCAACATGGCAAAACCCCATCTCTACTAAAAATACAAAAAATTAGCCAGGCGTGGTGGTGCACACCTGTAATCCCAGCTACTCAGGAGGCTGAGGCAGGAGAATCACTTGAACCCAGGAGGTGGAGGTTGCAGTGAGCTGAGATCATGCATTGCACTCCAGCCCGGGCGACACTGTGAGACTCTGCCTCAAAAAAAAAAAAAAAAAGAAGGAAAAGAAAAGAACAACCTGGAAAGGCAGTGTCCTGGTGGCTGCAGGATCCTGGCTGCGCGGCCAGCTGGTAGGCCTCCCGGGGGTGGAGGCTGTGACCCTCTAGAAGGACCCTGTGTATCCATACAAAAGACAGAAGTCTCATGGCCAGGACAGCTGTGTCCCTCCCTGATCCGCCCTGGGGGCTTTCCCCAGGGCTGGCCTGGTCGTGCCAGGGCGTATCACCCAGCAGGCAGGGTCACCCTGGCTGGGGCTGCTCCTGCCCGCTTGACTGGCCCGCCAGGATCGCAGCCCTGAGAAGCTCTCATCACCGCGAAAGTGTGTCACAGGGCAGGCTCCAAGTAGCCTGCTCCTCCTTCACCTGGGCATGGAGGTGTCACCAGGGCCTGGGACAGCTCTGCTGGCCTCTTGTCTACCGCCCCATAGGTCTGCCATGGGAGCGTGTTCAGATTTATCCAAAGGAGGTCTCTTGTAACAGAAAGAGCAGTGGTGCCTGCCCCTGCCAGGGCCACTGAGCAGCCAGGCAGGAAGCAAAAGTCAGAGGGGGCACCCCGCAGGTTGCCATACAGGGCCTCACTCCCACCCTGGAGGGGACGCTGCTAGCCCCATCTTACAGCCCTCGAAGCCAACGCAGATAGACACCCACGCTGCCCAGCCTCAGGGTCTCAGCCTATTACTGTTATTACTCTTTATATAGATGGAGCAAATCTCCACTTCCTCCAAAGGAAGATGTCCTTGCTTCAGGGTCCCTGCATCCCCAGGCAGGCTGTGAGTCTCCAAAACCAAGACCCAGGGCTGTCCTCTGCCTGGTCCCCTCCATGACTGTGCAGTGAAATTCACTCCATTCTGGTTTTTAGCTACTTTTTTTTTTTTGAGACAGGGTCTCGCTCTGTCACCCACGCTGCAGTGCAATGGCACAGTGTGGGCTCACTGCAAGTTCCACCGCTACCCTAGCTCAAGGGATCCTCGCACCTCGGGATTCCAAGTAGCTAAGAGTACAGGCATGCACCACCACGCCTGCTAATTTTTGTATTTTTGGTAGAGACGAGGTCTCACCATGTTGCCCAGGCTGGTCTCAAACTCCTGAGCTCAAGCCATGTTGCCTCGGCCTCCCATAGTGCTGGGATTACAGGCGTGAGTCACCACTTCCAGCCTTTAGCTACTTTCATTCAACAAATATATGCACGTGGCTGGGAGAGGTGGCTCATGTCTACAATCCCAGTACTTTGGGGGGCCAACGTGAAAGGATCGCATGAGCCCAGGAGTTTGAGACCAGCCTTGGCAACATAGAGAAACCCCATCTGTACAAAAGATTATAAACATTAGTTGGGCGTGGTGGCATGTGGTTGTTGTCCCAGGTACTCAGGAGGCTGAGGTAGGAGGATGGCTTGAGCACAGGATGTCAAGGCTGCAGCGAGCCATGACTGTGCCACTGCACTCCAGCCTGGGTGACAGAGTGAGACCTGTTCCAAAAAAAAAAAAAATAACCACCCATAATGGTGCCACGTATTCTCTATAGGTACCAGCATGTACCTAAGTACAGAAACACCAGAGGGGTCTGGCTAGACATACCCTGAAGTGACAGTGGTGCTCCCAGGTAGAGCTGGAGGAAGGGACGGGCTGGGCAGTGTGCTCTTCCTCATCTGTAATGGTTTCCCTTTTTCCAAGAACACTGTCTCCACGCTCTACTTGCGTAATTCAAATTTAGAAAAGTCGGCATTCCACGGGCAGCGTCCTAACTCTCACGTGCCTACTGGTCCTTTCCGGTCCGCAGGGGGCACTCAGCGGGCCGGGTGTGTGCGAGGCCTCTGCACCTGCTGTTTCCCTGGCCTGCGATGCTGTTCCCCCAAGTCCTGGCGGGGCTATTCCACTGCAGGACACCCATCCCAACAAGCCACATGTGAAGCAGCCCCCTGCAGCCATTCCCCCACCCAATGCAGTACAGGGCAAACCGCTTCTCACTCTTCAGAATATTTTTATTTTTGTTTTTTTTGAGATAGAGTTTCGCTCTTGTTGCCCAGGCTGGAGGGCCGTGGCATGATCTCGGATTACTGCAACCTCCACCTCGGATCACTGCAACCTTCAAGTAATTCTCCTGCCTCAGCCTCCCGAGTAGCTGGGATTACAGGTGCCCGCCACCATGCTTGGCTAATTTTTTATATTTTTTTTTTTTTTTTTTTTTTTTTTGAGACGGAGTCTCGCTCTGTCGCCCAGGCTGGAGTGCAGTGGTGCGATCTCGGCTCACTGCAAGCTCCGCCTCCCGGGTTCACGCCATTCTCCTGCCTATATTTTTAGTAGAGATGGGGTTTCGCCATGTTGGCCAGGCTGGTCTCGAACTCCCACCTCAGCCTCCCAAAGTGTTGGGATTACAGGCGTGAACCACCGCATACAGCCTTTTTTTTTTTTTGAGACCGGGTCTTGCTGTCACCCAGGCTGGAGCGCAGTGGTGCAATCATAGCTCAATGCAACCTCGAATTCCTGGGCTCAGGAGATCCTCCCACCTTAGCCTGCTAAGTAGCTGGGACGACAGACAAGTACCACCATGCTCAGCTAATTTTTGTATTTTTGGTAGAGATGGGGCTCGCCATGCTGGCCAGGCTGGTCTCGAACACCTGGCTTCAAGTGATCTGCCCGCCTTGGCCTCTCAAAGTGCTGGGATTACAGGTGTGAGCCCCTGTGCCTGCCCCAGAATGTTCTTGCTCATTTAACTGTTCACCTGTCCTGTCTGTCCCAGTCCCTGCTGGGTGCCCAGCAACTGGTGTAGAGTGGTTGCTGCTTACCACACGCAGGCTGGACACAGAGCTGACAACCTCGATGCATATCCAAAGCCACGCGTTGCTCACTCCCTCTGTAATCTTGGCCCAGTCCTCAGATACAAACGCCATGGTGCCCACCATTCAGCCCTGCTCTCAAGAGTCAGGCCCACACCTTCCCACCCAAAGCCGCCATATGTGTGGCTCTAGAGGGCCCACATCCAGTTCAAGCTCCAACTCCTCTGTCCTCCTCCCTGTGTGACTTCAGGCCAGTCTCCCTCTCTGGCCTCAGTTTCTCTACCTATAAAGCAGGGATGCTAAGAGCAGCAGCTGCCACCCCTGGGCAGAGAAGACACTGGTCAGATCTTGCACATGTGGCACACGGTGATTCTCCATAAACACTGGCTCTTAACATCATAAATGTCCAGCAGCAGATGAAACTGAAACAGTCATCCAGCTCCCGGTTCAAGCTACGGGTGACGCCACAGGGGAAAATTTCCCACCACCCAGCAGGGACCTAGTTACCAATATTCACAGAAACCCAAAACGCACCCGGAAGCAGGCGTCTTTCCTCTCTTTGCAGTCCTGCTTCAGACGCAGGGCCACATTTTCCCTTTATTCAGATTGTAGCTAATGCCCTATAAATATCTCATTATTGGCTTGGATTTTTCCAAAGCTTTAACACAATAAGGGCTTAATTACAGCTTGTAGTTGGCAATCCCAGTAAATTACGGTTTACATGATGTTCTCACTTTTTTTCAGCAGCCGAGGGGCCTATAATTTCAGCACTTTCATTCAAATCGGGCAGAAGTTTGGCAGATGTGGCTCTGAGCCAAATATAAACGCTGAGAGCGACAGCGAGACAGGGTTCCATTCAAAGGCCAGCCTCTACCGCCTAAGCCAACTCTGAAAACTCTAAATCTAACCTAGGCCGGGTGCCGTGGCTCTTGCCTGTAATCCCAGCACTTTGGGAAGCCGAGGCAGGAGAATCACTTGAGCCCAGGGGTTTGAGACTAGCCTGGGCAAAAAATAATGAGACCCCACCTCTACAAAAAATTTCTTAAAATTAGCTGGGGGTGGTGGCGCACACCTGTGGTCCCAGCTAATTGGGAGGCTGAAGTGGGAAGATCCCTTGAGCCCAGGAAGTTGAGGTTGCTGTGAGCTGTGATCACGCCACTGCATTTCAGCCTAGGCAACAGAGTGAGATCCCGTCTCAAAAAAAAACAAAAAAAGAAAAAGAAAAGAAAAGAAAACCTCCTCTCTAAATCTACAACTGTCCCCAAGGCCATCTTCCGCCCTCATCCAGAAACAATCCAGGTTATTACCAGGGGATTTCAATGTTATGAACCTATCAAGGGCTGTTATCCGTCAATAAGTAACTCTGAAAAAGCACTTGGACAGCCTAGAGCGCAGCTTTGGAGAAATCTGTCTTCCTGATTATAAACCTAATCCCCAAACCAGCAAAAACAAACCAAGAATCACATGGGGAGACGATTCACATGTGGGGTTAGGGCAGAGTATGTCTTTCCGGTCTTTTCACTGAGCAAATACAATCGTTTTAAACAAGACAGGATCCCACAGCCCATTTCATCTGGTACCTAACAGGTCTTGTGCAGCTTTCTGGGTCATTAAAGATTCTTCTAGATCCCTCTGAGTAGCGAGTTGATAGTCGGTTGTCTGGACACGCTTATCTGGCCAAATCCCCTATCATTGGTTTTTGTTTGTTTGTTTGTTTTGAGACAGAGTCTCGCTCTGTTGCCCAGGCTGGAGTGCAGCGGCGCAATCTCGGCTTACCGCAACCTCCGTCCCCCAGGTTCAAGCGATTCTCCGCCTCAGCCTCCCGAATAGCTGGGATTACAGGCGCCTGCCACCACGCCCGGCTAATTTTTGTATTTTTAGTAGAGATGAGGGTTCACCATGTTGGCCAGGCTGGTCTCGAACTCCTGACCTCTGGTGATCCGATGCTGGGCATTTTTTCTCCCATTTCTCATCACCGTACACAAAATGTGTGTAAATAACTCTCACGGCCAATTACTTGTTTGCAGCCATGATTCCCACTTAGAAAGGAACCAGGAACAACTTCTGGTCGATATTTCAGGATCTGGGGAACAGGGCGTGCCTGCATGTCCTGGTCCTGGCTGTATCCCCAGAGCAAGAACATTGCCTGCACTGATAGGCACTCCATTTATATCAACAGAGTAATGATGAGTTCCTTCTCTTTAAGGAAAAAGAAACTAAGGCCGGGTTCGGCGGCTCACACCTGTAATTCCACCACTTTGGGAAGCCAAGGCAGGAGGATCGCTTGGGCCCAGGAGTTTGACACCAAACTGAGCAACAAAGTAAGACCCTGTCTCTAAAAAAAAAAAAATTTTTTTTTTTTGAGGCAGAGTCTCGCTCTGTCGCCCAGGCTGGAGTGCAGTGGCACGATCTCGGCTCACTGCAACCTCCGCCTCCCAGGTTCAAGCGATTCTCCTGCCTCAGCCTCCCGAGCAGCTGGGACTACAGGTGAGAGCCACCACACCCACCTAATTTTTGGATTTTTAGTAGAGACAGGGTTTCACCATGTTGGCCAGGATGGTCTCAATCTCTTGACCCCGTGATCCGCCCGCCTCGGCCTCCCCAAGTGCTGGGAATACAAGTGTGAGCCATCGCTCCCTGCCAAAAAAATTTTTTTGTAATTAGCCAGGTGTGGTGGCTCATGCCTATAGTCCCAGCTACTCAGGAGACTCAGGTGAGAGGACCACCTGAACCCAGGAGTTGGAGGCTGCAGTGAGCCATGATTACGCCACTGTACTCCAGTCTGGGGGACAGAGCAAGAGAAAAGAAACGTACACCTGTCATCAGAGTCCTGATCCCAGATAAAAGGAGACAAAAGCCAACCAACGAGATCACAAATGCTGCCTGTTTCACAACAATTTGCTACGTGATTCTCAGTCCACTCCCAGTAGGCAGAGACCACCATGTTCCCATTTTCCAGATGAGGAAACTGAGGCCCAGAGAAGTGAGGTCACTTTTTTGGTGTGTGGCAGAACCAAGCCTTCCATATTCCCACAGATCCCTCTGGACTGTACCAATTCCAGCAGGCCCAGCACTGCAGACCACCCTAACCGAGCCTTGCATGGCCTTTCCTTTTTTCCTTTTTTTTTTTTTTTTGAGATGGAGTCTCACTCTGTCCCCCAGGCTGGAGTGCAATGGCGTGATCTCCGCTTACTGCAAGTTCCTCCTCCTGGGTTCAAGTGATTCTCCTGCCTCAGCCTCCCAAATAGCTGGGACTAAAGGCATGCGCCACCACACCTGGCTAATTTTTGTATTTTTAGTAGAGATCGGGATTCACTATGTTGGCCAGGCTGGTCTCAAACTCCCAACCTTGTGATCTGCCTGCCTCGGCCTCCCAAAATGCTGGGATTACAGGTGTGAGTCACCATGCCCGGCCATGTATGGCCTTTTCAAGATGCAATTTGTCTTTGCCCAAAAGGAAAGTCACTGGAAACAGAAGATGTCATTTCCAAGTGGCTCTAAACTAATAAGATCTGTTAAAGGGACAAACCAGCCCAAGGAACACATCACGTGCCCCTCCATCTGTCAGGGACAGGAGCCAACGGGCATCCGATGTGCACTGGTGCAGCACCCACTGAGGCACAGGCAGTGCCCCCGCGGCTCATCCACATATCCCTGGAGGGACACATCACCAAAGGCCAAATAAAAACGCAGCTGGAAACGCCAGCATCCCCGGCACAGCTGCTTCTTATTAAAAGAAAAATGGCACGGGGCGCCTACATGCCTGTGGAGTCTGCTTACTGAGAAAACTGAGTTGAAGCTGGAAATCAAAGGAGAGAGCCCTCAGCTTGGCCAGGTCCAGAGGGACAGCAGTAGCGCCACCAGCTTTACTTCCCTCTGCTCAGACAGCCTCCCTGCCCACAATGTTCCTAGAGGCCTGGTCCCACCCTAATATCTCCCAGATCTGATCTCCCTCCACTGGCCTGCTAAACTGGCCTCCGGGCATCCTCCCACATCAGGACCTTTGCACTGGATTCTCTTCCCGTCTCCAGGGGTTCCTTCCTCGCCTCCTTCAAGGCTCTGCTCAAATGTCACCAATTTCCCTATTTAAAATGTACCCCCTCTGGCCAGGCGCAGTGGCTCACGCCTGTTATCCCAGCACTTTGGGAGGCCGAGGCGGGCGGATCACGAAGTCAGGAGATCGAGACCATCCTGGCTAACATGGTGAAACTCCATCTCTACTAAAAATACAAAAAATTAGCCGGGCCTGGTGGCAGGCGCCTGTAATCCCAGCTACTCGGGAGGCTGAGGCAAGAGAATGGCGTGAACCTGGGAGGCGGAGGTTGCAGTGAGCCGAGATCGCGTGACTGCACTCCAGCCTGGAAGACAGAGTGAGACTCCGTCTCAAAGAATAATAATATAATAAAATAAAATGTACCCCCTCCAACTGTGATCTCTCCCTCATCCTGCTCCTTGATCCTTTTTTCCATCATACTTATCGCCTTTTTTTTTTTTTTTGAGACGAGGTCTCGTTCTTCCGCCCAGGCTGGAAGGCAGTAGCGTGATCAGAGCTCACTGCAGCCTTGAAATCCCAGGCTCAAGCCATCCTCCGGCCTCAGCCTCCTGAGTAGCTGGGACTACAGGTGTCACCATGCCCAGCTAATGTTTTTATTTTTTGTAGAGACGGGGTCTATGTTGCCCAGGCTGGTCTCCAACTTCTGGGCTCAAGTGATCCTCCCGCCTGGATCCCAAAGAGCTGAGATTGTGGGCCTGAGCCACTAAGTGGCCCATGCTTCTCCTTTATTTGCTTCCTGCTGAAAGGCCAGCTCCTCCAGAGCAGAAGTTCTGGTAACTTGCTCAGGGCCATGTCCCCAGGCACACAGTAAAAGTACTCAGGAAACATTTTTTAATGAACGAACAACACCTAATGTTTTAAGCACTTCTTCTATGCCAAGCACTCCAAACTGTCTCACTTAATCCCTATTCAAGAAAGGGAAAGAAGTGCTATTATAACTCCTATTTTAAAGAAGACGGGGCTGGGCGCGGTGGCTTACACCTGCAATCCCAGCACCTTGGGAGGCCAAGGCAGGAAGATCACTTGAGGTCAGGAGTTTGGAACCAGCCTGGCCAACATGGCGAAACCCCATCTCTATTAAAAATAGAAAAATTAGCCGGGCACGGTGGCTCACGCCTGTAATCCCAGCACTTTGGGAGGCCATGGCCGGCAGATCACCTGAGGTCGGGAGTTCGAGACCAGCCTGACCAACACGGGAAAACCCCGCCTCTACTAAAAATACAAAATTAGCCAGGCGTGGTGGTGCATGCCTGTAATCCCAGCTACTCAGGAGGCTGAGGCAGGAGAATGGCTTGAAACCAGGAGGGGAGGTTGCGGTGAGCCAAGATCGTGCCATTGCACTCCAGCCTGGGCAACAAGAATGAAACTCCGTCTCAAAAAAAAAAAAAAAAAAATTAGCCAGGTGTGGTGGCTCGCAACTGTAGTCCCAGCTACTCGGGAGGCTGAGACAGGAGAATCACTTGAACTCAGGAGGCGAGATTGCAGTGAGCCGAGATCGCACCACTGCACTCCAGCCTGGGCAACAGAGCCAGACTCCGTCTCAAAAAAAAAAAAGAAAGGGAAAGAAGTGCTATTATAACTTGTATTTTAATGAAGAGGAGGCTGGGCGCAGTGGCTCACACCTGTAATGCCAGCACGTTGGGAGACTGATGCAGGAGGATCATTTGAGGCGAGGAGGTCGAGACCAGCCTGGGCAACACAGCAAGGCCCTGTATCTACAAAAAATGAAAAATTAGCCAAGCGTGGTGGCACGTGCCTGTAGTCCCAGCTACTTAGGAGGCTGAGAGGTAGGAGAATCGCTTGAGCCCAGGAGGTCAAGGCTGCAGTGAGCAGAGATGGTGCCACTGCACTCTAGCCTGGGTGACAGTATAAGACCCTATCTCAGGCCAGGCGCGGTGGCTCACGCCTGTAATCCCAGCACTTTGGGAGGCCGAGGTGGACGGATCACAAGGTCAGAAGATTGAGACCATCCTGGCTAACATGGTGAAACCTCGTCTCTACTAAAAATACAAAAATTAGCCAGGCGTGGTGGCGGGTGCCTGCAGTCCCAGCTACTCGGGAGGCTAGGGTGCGGGAATGCCTAAGGCCTTCCTTCTGGCCAGCCCCTGAGGCTAAATGACAAGGGTCAAGAGGGAGTGATGCCCTCCTTTCTCCTTAGGGCCAAAGTTCTATCTGCTGGTGCACCGCAGACAAGCCAGGGGTCTCAAACTCAAAGGTTCCAGGGCCAGGAGGCTCCAAGCAAAATGATCTAGGCCTGGGTGAGTGCTAGGGAGTAGTGGGGACTGTGGCAGCTGGAGTGGCCACTCTTAGTCTGATGGGACAGTGACTGGTGCTTCTGAAATCGAAGCCATTACTGCCACAAGGGACAAAGGCTCAGCAACGCCAGGTGAAACTGATTACAACAACAGCCACCATGCGTATAAGACACATGCACTCGGCACGCATCACCCAATCACCCATCTAGGCCCCAGGGTACCAGTTACCACCCTCAGCTTACAGAAAAGGAATCTGAGGCCCAGAACGCCAAATCCACGTGGCCGAGTCGCACAGCCAGACATGGTGGAACCAGGCCTTAGGCCCACAGCCTTTGCATGACAACTCAGAACTCTATAGATCTGAGTGTCTTAGAGCCACAAGAAATCCGGATATTGACTGGAAATCTAACACTGGAAAGTCTTATTAAAAACAAAAGCTACGCAGGTAAAACAAAAGACCCAGCAGGCAGGCCTTGGCCCCCAGAGCCAGTGATCTGGACTTCCAGCTATAGGGCTGAACTAACTGGGCTGTTCCCACTCGGACCACATCCTTAGAAAATCCAGGCTCGGCGCAATGGCTCACACCTGTAATCCTAGTGCTTTTAGAGGCAGAGGCAGGAGGATTGCTTGAGCCCTGGAGTTCGAGGCTGCAATGAGCTAGGACTGCACCCCTCCACTCCAACCTCGGCAACAAAGAGAGACCTTATCTCTTACACCCCCCCAAAAAAAAGTAAGCCTTGTTTGAGCCCCTCATACCCAAAGAGAGGCCTTTTTACAACTTTGGCTTTCAGGTACTGAATTAATACTCTTAACGAGGCCAGCCATGGTGGTTCACACCTTTAATGCCAGCATTTTGGGTGGCCGAGGTGGGCGGATCACCTGAGGTCAGGAGTTCAAGACCAGCCTGGCCAACATGGTGAAACCCCATCTCTGCTAAAAATACAAAAATTAGCCGGGTGTGGTAACGCGCGCCTGTAATCCCAGCTACTCGGGAGGCTGAGGTATGAGAATCGCTTGAACATGGGAGGTGGAGGTTGCAGTAAGCTGAGATAACACCACTGCACTCCAGCCTGGGGAACAGAGTGAGACTCGGTGTAAAAATATATATATAATGAGCAACTCCTGCATTGCAGGATTCTAGGAGGTCGCCACAGGAACCAGCTCCATACTGGCCGGCAGCTGCCAGACACCATGGTAGACAGGAGAGAAAGGCAAGGGGTAGAGGGACTGAGGAGAGGTAAGGATGGGAGAGAGACCCAGGTTCCCAACCCAGAACACCTAACTCCTCACTTTACAGCCTCCAGTGAGAGTGTTCTGCTCAGCTATCTGAGCCTCAGTTTCCTGCTCTGTAAAATGGGGATTATAGCAATGCCTCCCTCATAAGGCTTAAGTGTGTAACGTGAAAGCACTTTCATTCTGGTTAGCTTTTGTCCCTGATAGCAAAGGAACCAGCCAGATAAACAACAATAGCCCCATCCATGTAGACCTACTATGTGCCAGGCAGTGCGTTAGGTAAGTAAGCACTTTTTCTTTTCTTTTTTTGAAACCGGATCTGGTTCTGTCACCCAGGCTGGAGGGTAATGGTGCAATCACGGCTCACTGCAGTCTGGACATCCTGGGCTCAAGCAGTCCTCCCAGGGCCAGCCTCCTGAGTTGCTGGGACTACAGGTGTGGGACTACCACCCTACCTGGCTAATTTTTTTATTTTTTGTAGAATGGCATCTTGTCATGTTACCCAGGCTGGTCTTGGAACTCCTGGGGCGAGGCTTGGTGGCTCACACCTGTAATCCCAGCACTCTGGGAGGCCAAGGCATGAGGATCACTTGAGGTAAGTAGTTTGAGACCAGCCTGGCCAACATGGTGAAACCCCGTCTCTACTAAAAATACAAAAATTAGTTGGGCTTGGTGGTAGACGCCTGTAATCCCAGCTACTCGGGAGGCTGAGGCAGAAGAATGGCCTGAACCTGGGAGGCAGAGGTTGCAGTGAGCCAAGATTGCTCCACTGCACTCCAGACTGGATGACAGAGGGAGACTCTGTCTCAAAAAAAAAAAAAATAAATAAATAAATAAAATAAAATAAACTTGTTTAGGAGAGTCAACCAAGACTTAGAGAGGCCAAGACAACCTGTGCAAGGTCACAAGGCAAGTGAAAGAGACAGAGCTTTGCAAACACCCCCCACCCCCGTCCCAGAAGCCTGGGCAGGCAGGAAGATGGTCACTCAAAGGGGCCCACACCACAGTCCAGCCTGAGATCAGGCCAGGCCCAGCTGGCTGCAAGTCCACACCTTTCCACCACGGTAGACAGAAGGCAATGAGCTAGAGACAAGGTAGCAAAAGAGGAGATTTGTGCTGCTTGGAGCAAAGCCCCAAGGCTCTGGGATGGCAGACACAAGGCCTTACGCCAGCCTAGTGGCCTTGGGTGATCACAGTCCCTTCTGAGCCTCCCAGCTCAGCTAAGGTGGGGATGATAACACAGCCTCCACCCCACTCCTTACTTGGGATTCAAGATGTTGAATCAAGAAGGGACATTATCCCTTGACAATGATAACAACAATAACAATGACAATAATGACAGGAGGAGGATGTTATCATTTGGCAGCCACACCACCACAAATGAGTAGTTCCTGGAATGGAGAAGTGGCCGCCCATCTGGGAGACAAGAAAGGCAAGAGGGGTTGGTGGGAGGGAGAGGTGGCTGCACGGGCTGTTCTCATTCATTTGCTTCCTGAATCCTGGAAACAGCCCCAGAGAGTGGAGTTTGCCCACTGGACAGATGGGCACACCGCGGCTTCTCAAGGCTGTCCAGAGAAGGCTACATCCCAGCGCTAGCCACTGAGGCCTGATCACGCAAGAAGCCCCTTCCCAGGCTCCAAAGGAGGGCCCCCAATTTGTAGGCTGTAGCTGGGAGGCGGGCCCCTGTGTTCTAGCACTCGGAAAGGAATCCTGAAGTAAGGTACCCCCAGAGTCCTCCTTCCAGCTGAGAGGGGAAGTAGGGTCCAAACCTCCTCCTTCAGCTCTGTTCTCCCCTCTACCCTCCTACCACCCCTTTCCAGAGCCGTTGTGCCAGACACTCAGGGGTAGTCATGGGCAGACTAGGAGATGGCCAGACAGACAGAAGAATTCACACGGAAGAGAGGAGCCAGCGCTAGCCAGGAATCAAGCTGTAAGAGTCAGCCAGAGAGAATCAAACAGGGTCCCCTAGGAGTCAGCTAGCCAGTCAGACAGTAGAGGCCAGCTGGTGTCACCCAACAGAGGGACTGCTCAGTGTTAAAGTCTGTGAGGGGCACGGATGGGCGGCCAGACAGCAGAGGTCACCCTGGACAGCTAGCCAGACAGCAGGGGGCTGCCAGGTGGGACTGGACAGATGGACAACCAAATGGTGGTGGCAGGGAGGCTTGCCCAGGACAGAGAGACAGCCAACCAGACGGCGGGGGCAGCTCCAGATACAAGAACAAGCCAGCCAGACCGCAGCGGTCGCCCCAATAGATATCTAGATGGCCGGTTTCACCTCTGATGGACAGCCCGAAAGAGCAGAAGAGGGATCTACCCCAGACCCACGGCCAACCAGATGGCAGACTTCACCCACGAAAGCTGGGACCAGATGGACCGCAGGGTTCCAGCGCACCTCCTGTCCTACGGCGCCCTGGCCCGTGACACCGCCCCTGGGGCCCGGGCCTGCTCCGGAGCCCCTGCAGGGAGTCCTCTGCCCAGGGCGTCCCACAGGGCCCGCCTCCCCGACCCCGTCCGGTTCCCCGCCGCGGGCACGCAAGCGCCGCAGTTACGCCGGCGGCGCACGGCGCGCCATTCCCGGTCCGCCCTCCGCGCCCTAGGCCGCCACCCGCCCGCGATCCCTGCCGCGCCCGCTCACCGGCCCACGAAGTTCTCCAGCACCGAGCTCTTGCCGGCGCTCTGGCCGCCCACTACAGCGATCTGCGGCAGGTCCAGGTGGCAGCTCTGGCCGATGGAGCTGAAGGCGTCCTGCAGTTTGTTGACCAGCGGGATCAGCTCTTCCATCCCGCGGTTGCCCATGGCGCCGGCGGCCCCCGGCCCGAGCGCCCTGCGCTCCTCGCCCGCCGCCGACCCTCAACGACCTGGCCCCGCGGCGTCTGTAGCCGTTGCTCCCCGCCCGCCCGGGCCTCGGCAAGACGCCCGCTCCCGGCTCGGCCTCACGGTCGCCGCCTCATCCGGTTCTCAGGCGACACCCGACCCGAGCGACCTCCCGCCCCGGCCCCGGGGGCTGCGCCCAAAGCACTCGCGCCGCACGCGACTGGCCTGCTGCACCGCCACTCGGATACACTAGCCAATAAAAACTAGGCACGGGCCTATGGTTGAGTAAACCTTCCCCCTGGGGACCGTCTTGCTGACTTATTGGACAAAAGAACCGTCACTGTTGTGCAACAGCCAATAGCGGCAGAAAGCAAGTTGTCAAGAGAGGAAGGGGGTGTTTCCGAAAAAGGCACGTTGGCTCTGCCCATTGGCGAAGTTCCACCATCTTATTGGCAGGCAGACGTGCCAGTAGACAATGTGGACCAATGGTGTTGGGGATTGAGCTACTACCTCGTTCCCTAAGAATTTCCCATTGGTTCATATAAATATCACTTCGTTGCTCCAGCCAACCAGGCAAAAGAGGGCGGGCTTTAACATCCGAATCTTGACTATCATTGAGAACCATATCTGTCAATCAGAAAAACTCCCGTTCTTCCTTGTGATTGTTGGATGTCTGCAACAGCCTTCTGAAGTATAGGATAGATCCCACCGTACTCGCTCAAGGGCGACACCTCGTGGTGGGATCCGATGTCTCGATTTTTGAGTTTCCTGGCACTGGGGAAAACTACAAGTCCCAGAGCGCATCTCAGTTCCCAGACTGCAAACCAGCTCTGGGAGCAGGGTCCCAATGCGCTCTGCAAATGGTAGAGGCCAAGTCATTGCTTCCTAGGGATAGAACGCAATAAAATCACTCCTCCACGCCTTTGCAAATGCTGTGCCCTTTCTGCTCACGCCCGATCTTGACGCCGCTAACACTCCAATGTTTTCCCCCACTTCTTCAACTTTAGCAGATCATGAATCTTTTTTCTTTTCTTTTTTTTGAGGCGGGGTACTCACTCTGTCACCCAGGCTGGAGTGCAGTAGCGCGATCTTGGCTCACTGCAACCTCCGCCTCCCCGGTTCAACCAATTCTCCTGCCTCAGCCTCCCGAATAGCTGGGATTACAAGTGTGAGCCACCACGCCCAGCTAATTTTGTATTTTTAGTAGACGGGGTTTCACCATATTGGCCAGGCTGGTCTCGAACGCCTGGCCTCAAGTGATCCGCCCGTCTTGGCCTCCCAAAGTGTTGGAATTACAGGTGTGAGCCACCGCGTCTAGCTAATGAATCTTCTTTTCTTAGAAACTGGGTCCTTACTCTGTTGCCCAGGCTGGGGTGCAGTAGTGCACTCATAGCTCAATTCAACAAGCACCTGGGCTCAAACGATCCTCCCGCCTCAGCGTCCCGAGTAGCTGGAACCACAGACGTGCGCAACTATGCCCAGCTAATTATTTTTATTTTATTTTTTATAGAGACAGGGTCTTGCTGTGTTGTCCAGGCTGGTCTCAAACTCCTGCGCCCAAACGACCCTCACAGGCCGGCCTCCCAAAAGTGCTGGGATTACATGTGTGAACCCCCCCAACTGGCTTTAGATCTTTTTGAGTACCCACTAAAACTCAACAAATCCTCTCCCCGTGAAAAGACACGCTATTTTGTAGGCAAAATTGGGGTTCTGGGAACTGGAACTCCTGACAGTGGACAGAGACAAATAGGAGGATTTGAAGTGTTTTGACCCCTCTGGAGACAAATAGGCCAGAGACAAGGAAACCCAGTGAGAAGGCAGGAGCAGGTAAGTGCTCTGACCTGAGGCAGCACAAGAAGATGGAGAAAGAGGAGGAGGGTGGCTCATGGCATTTGCCTGTTTTGTGACCCAAAACCCCAGGTCTCAAAGAAATAGGCAAAAAGCGCCAGGTGCGGTGGCTCATGCCTGTAATCCCAGCACTTTGGGAGGCCAAGGAGGGCAGATCACCTGAGGTTAGAGGTTCGAAACCAGCTTGGCTAACATAGTGAAACCACGTTTCTACTAAAAATACAAAAAATTAGCCAGGCGTGGTGGTGCGTGCCTGTAATCCCAGCTACTCGAGAGGCTGAGGCAGGAGAATCGCTTGAACACGGGACGCAGAAGTTGCGGTGAGCTGAGATCGCACCGCTGCACTCCAGCCTGGGCAACAAGAGCAAAACCCCGTCTCAAAAACAAATAAACAAACAAACAAAAACGTTGAGGAAACTCTTCATGTACTGAAGTATAAATAATTTGAGATATACTAAGAGGAAAAAACAAGCAAGGTACAGAACTGTGTGTGAAGGATGCTGACATGCATGAAAACCATATGTACACACGGAAAATTGCTGGAAAAATACATAAATTGATAAAAGTAGTTGCACTTTTGATGTGATTTGAATTGTGGATTACATACATGTATTACTTTTTCACTTTTTTTTTTTTTTGAAACAGAGTCTTGCTCTGTAGCCCAGGCTGGAGTGCAGTGATGCAATCTCAGCTCACTGCAACCTCCGCCTCCCGGGTTCAAATGATTCTCCTGCCTCAGCCTTTCAAGTAGCTGGGACTACAGGCGCCTGCCACCATACCTGGCTAATTTTTGTATTTTTAGTAGAGATGGGGTTTCACCATGTTGGCCAGGCTGGTCTCGAACTCCTGACCCAGATGACCCTCCCTCCTTGGCCTCCCAAAGTGCTGGGATTGCAGGTGTGAGCCACCGCGCTTGGACTTTTTTTTTCTTTTCTTTTCTTTTTTTGAGATGGAGGCTTGCTCTGTCTCCCAGGCTGGAGTACAGTAGTGCGATCTTGGCTCACTGCAACCTCCAAGTCCTGGCTTCAAGCGATATTCCTGCCTCAGCCTCCAGAGTAGCTGGGATTACAGGCACGTGCCACCACACCCAGCTAATTTTTGTATATTTAGTAGAGATGGGGTTTCACCATGTTGGCCAGGCTGGTCTTGAACTCCTGACCTCATGATCTGCCCTCCTTGGCCTCCCAAAGTGCTAGGATTACAGGTGTGAGCCACCACCACGTCCAACCTTTTTTTTTTTTTTTTTAGACGAAATCTCGCTGTCTCTCAGGGTGGCGTGCAGTGGTGCGATCTCGGCTCACTGCCACCTCCACGTCCTGGGTTCAAGTGATTCTCCTGCCTCAGCCTCCAGAGTAGCTGGGATTACAGGTGTGAGCCACTGCACCTGGCCTACTTTTTCCATTTCAAAAACTTCATTTTTGAAGAGCACTGGTTTTTGTTTTTGAGACAGAGTCTCACTCCGCTGCCCAGGCTGGAGTGCAGTGGTGCAATTGCAGCCTCAACCTCCTGGGCTCAAGCAATCCTCCCACCTCAGCTTCCTCAGTAGCTGGGAGCACAGATGCACACCACCTGTATTTTTTGTAAAGAAGGAGTTTCACCGTGTTGCCCAGGCTGGTGAAGATCACTAGCTCTGTAACTGATCATATCTGGGTTAGATCCTGGGCCTGTTTATTTACTGATTATTATGGTCTGAATGTTTATAGACCAGCCCTCTACCCCATCACCCACCACACCAAGATTGACATGATGAAACCTAATCCCCAACATGATGGTAATTGGAGGTGGAGCCTTTGGAAGGCGATTAGGTGATTAGGTGAATGGGATTTGTGCCCTTATGTATTTTTTTTTCTTTTCACAAACCTGCTGAGCTTCTCACTGCGCCTTCATAAAAGAGACCCCAGAGAGCTGCCTTGCCCCTCCCGCCATGTGAGATTAGAGAAAAGATCGCCATCTAGGAAGTTTGCCCTCAACAGACACTGAATCTGCTGGTACCTTGATCTTGAATTTCCCAGCTTCTAGAACTGTGATAAATAAATTTCTGCTGTTTATAAGCCACCCAGTTGATGGTATTTTGTTATATATGGCAGCCAGAACGGACTAAGAAAGTGACAGTGACCATGTAAACTTCATTCCTCTGTGCCTCAGTGTCCTCCTCCGTAAAATGGAACACGACTGTACATGCAACATCAAGTTGCAAGAGTAGACCGGGTGTGGCGGCTCCAGATCGAGGCTACAGTGAGCCGTGTTTGAACCAATGCACTCCAGCCTGGATGACAAAGGGAGACAGTCTCAAAAAAAAAAAAAAAAAAAAAAAAAAGAGGCTGGGCACTGTGGCTCATGCCTGTAATCCCAACACTTTGGGAGGCTGAGGCAGGCAGATCACTTGAGGTCAGGAGTTTGAGACCAGCCTGGCCAACATGGTGAAACCCCATCTCTATTAAAAATACAAAAATTAGCCAGGCGTGCTGGCACGCGCCTGTAGTCTCAGCTACTCGGGAGGCTGAGGCAGGAGAATCGTTTGAACCCGGGAGGCGGAGGTGGCAGTGATCCGAGATCCTACCACTGCACTCCAGCCTGGGTGACAGAGCGAGACTCAGTCTCGGAAAAAAAAAAAAAAGAAAGAAAAAAATAGGAGATTAAGCCTCATATTTATAAAAGTCAGACTAGGAGTGTATGCCTTAAAGCCAAGATACCATTTCTTTGATGGTGATGACCTTGGGCAAGTTCCCTCCCTTCCCTGGGCCTGCTTCCTCAGCTGTAAAAAAGGAGAGGCCAACAGTACCTCCCTCCAAGGTGGCTGGGGGGCCTGGGCCCCAGGAAGCAGGTGGCAGCTCCCGCTCTAGGGGCACGCCCTACATGCTGGGCACTGGCAGGTGGTTTCCAGCTATCCGCTGCTGCCACAGTGACGTGTTATGATTGGTGAGAAGGGGAGATATTCCACTGCAATGACGCTCAGACTGGGAGGGGGACCCAGACAGGCCACTTCCTCAAGAAGACACAGACACACTCTGTAAGTTACAATAAAAAAAACCTTTCAAAAAGGAATCCTTCAGTATCTTCCAGCCCCTCCCTCCCTTCCTTCCTCCCTCCCTCTCCCAATGCCAGGTCAGCCCAGTGTGATTCCCACAGAGGCCAGAGCGTCAGTGGCCCAGGTGGGACAGAGGGTGGGATCCCCGTACATGGCGCCCATGAAGTCCCGCACGAAGTCCGGGAAGCGCTTCTCCACGATGCTGGTGCGGACGGCGCTCATGAGCTGCAGCTGCGGGGAGGGGAGGTCAGCGTGGGGCATACGCACCTAGGACACCCCCGCCCACCTTGCCCCGGGCACTGGCTCACCTGGTAGGCGATGTTGTGGACCGTGAGGTGGTGCAGCGCGGCCGTGTTGTCACTGTGCAGCAGTGCGTGCAGGAAGGCGCGGCTGTGCCTGTAGAGCGGCAGGGGACAGCTCAGCACGGCCAGGCCCTGTCCCCTCCATGCCCTGCCCCAGCTCCCAGTGCCATCCTGCCTACTTTTGGCACGTGGGGCAGGTGCACTCCGGGTCTATGGGGCCGAAGTCCTTCTCAAACACCTTCTTCCTCAACTGCAGGTTCCCAGTGGGCACCAGGGCAGAGCCAAAGCGCTGTGGGAGAGGAAGGGCAGGGAAAGGGGCGTCACCCAGGGCTTCATTCTCCCCACCCCCCACCCCTAACCTTGCCTCCCTAGTCCCCCACCCGTCTCCCGCCCTGACCTCCTTCTGCCAGAGCCTCACCGCTGTCCGTGTGGGGAAGACGCAGTCGAACATGTCACATCCAAGAGCCACGCAGACTACCAGATCAGTGGCATAGCTGGGGTTGCAGCCATGACGGGAGGGGGCAGAGAACCTCAGGGGCTTCCCAGGGCCCCTCCCAACCCTCACACTGCCCCAGACTGGGCCATATTCCCTCAGAATGGCCCCCAAGGGACAGCCATGTCTTCCTAGTCTCCTCAGATCAGACCTGTGTCCGTTTCCCCCAAATGCCACCTCCCCAAGCAGGGTAGGGGGTCCCCAGGAATCCACTTCCCACAGGTAGGGCTCTGGCTTCCCTATCCACAACATACCCAACCCCCATCAGATATCGGGGCTTGTCCTTCGGCAGCCGAGAGGTGCTCAGCGCCACCATCCGCCAGAACTGCGACTTGCTCTCACCCCCGCTCAGGCCCCCGATGGCGAAGCCAGGCACGTCTCGCTTGGTCATCTCTGAGGGTACAGGGTAAGGTGAGGGCCACAGAAGAGGAAATGCGCCTGGTCTTCAATCCCAGAACACACCCTGCCCAGACTTCCAGAGTCGCTCAGGGAGAGAGTCAGAGAAACAGACAGAGACAGACAGACAGAGCCAGAGACGGAGAGGGAGACGGAGAGGGAGACAGAGGAGAGGGTCCATCAGTTTGTCTGTCTGTCTAGGGGCTGGGACTACTGCTGATCTCAGCTAACATTTATTGAGTGCCTGCTGTATGCAAGACCTTTTCCTTCAGTACTCAGAAGAGGCACAGCCCACAGTCCCTTAGCTGAAACTGTTGGAACCAGATGTGTTTCAGAATTCAGAGTTTTCCAGATGTGAGAACAGTAAACATCCCACATGCTGAGTAACAGCTGTCATGTTAGGCGCAGTGGCTCACGCCTGTCATCCCAGCACTGTGGGAGGCCGAGGCAAGCAGATCACTTGAAGTCTGGTGTTGAAGAACAATCTGGCCAACATGGTGAAACCCTGTCTCTACTAAAAATATGAAAAGTAGCCAGGCGTGGTGGTGCACGCCTTTGGTCCCAGCTACACAGGAGGCTGAGGCAGGAGAATCGCTTGAACCTGGGAGGCAGAGGTTGTAGTGAGCCAAGATCACACCACTGCACTCCAGCCTGGGTGACAAAGTGAGACTCCATCTCAAAAAAAAGGGCCGGGCGCGGTGACTCATGCCTTCAATCCCAGCACTTTGGGAGGCCAAGGCAGGCAGATTACGAGGTCAGGAGTTCGAAAGCAGGCTAACCAACGTGGTTAAATCCTGTCTCTACTAAAAAATACAAAAATTAGCCAGGTGTGGTGATGGGCACCCGCAGTCCCAGCTACACAGGAGGCTGAGGCAGAAGAATCGCTTGAACCCGGGAGGTGGAGGTTGCAGTGAGCCGAGATCAGATGACTGCACTCCAGCCTGGGCGACAGAGCGAGACTCCGTCTCACAAAACAAAACGAAACAACAACAACAACAAAACACCCAATAGCCTGTCATCAAACACTGTAATATTTGTACAACAAAATATGTTAAGACTTGGTGGAGGAAAGGGGAGTGAGAGCATTAGGACAAATACATAACGCATGCGGGGCTTAAAACCTAGATGACGGGCTGATGTGTGCAGAAACCACCATGGCACATTCATAGCTGTGTAACAAACTTGCACGTTCTGCACATGTATCCCAGAACTTAATTTTTTTTTTTTTTTTTTTGAGATGGAGTTTTGCTCTTGTCATCCAGGCTGGAGTGCAATGGCACCATCTTGGCTCACTGCAACCCTCGCCTCCCGGGTTCAAGTGATTCTCCTGCCTCAGCCCCCCGAGTAGCTGGGACTACAGTCGCCCACCACCATGCCCGGCTAATTTTTTGTATTTTTAATAGAGACAGGGTTCCGCCATGTTGGGCAGGCTGGTCTTGAACTCCTGACCTCAGGTAATCCGCCCACTGCAGCCTCCCAAAGTGCCAGGATTACAGGCATGAGCCACCACGCCCGGCCAAAGTAAAATTTAAAAAATAAAAATAGGCTGGGCACATGGCTCACGCCTGTAATCCCAGCACTTTGGGAGGCCAAGGCAGGTGGATCACGAGGTCAGGAGTTCGAGACCAGCCTGGCCAACATGGTGAAACCCCATCCCTACTAAAAATACAAAAATTGGCCAGGCGTGGTGGCTGGTGCCTGTAATCCCAGCTACTCGGGAGGCTGAAGCAGGAGAATCGCTTGAAACCAGAAGGCAGAGGTTGCAGTGAGCCGAGATGGTGCCACTGCACTCCAGCCTGGACAACAAGAGCAAAACTCCATCTCAAAAAAATAAAAAATAAATAAAAATAAAAATATGTGAATACTTGTAACAACTGGGATAAAAAATGAGAGATCTAAGTTAGCCATGAAATGAGTTGCAAATTTTTCAGGGCATTCTAAGTTTTTTCTCTTTTCTTTTCTTCTTTTTTTTTGAGACAGGGTCTCACTGTGTTACCCAGACTGCAGTACAGTGATGTCATCATAGCTCACTGCAGCCACCAACCCCTGGGCTCAAGCGATCCTCCCACCTCAGCCTCCCAAGTATCTAGGATCACAGGCACACACTCCCATGCTTGCGTGCTAATTTTCTTTTTTTCTTTTTTTTTGAGACAGATTCTTGCTCTGTCGCCCAGGCTGGAGTGCAGTGGTGTGATCTCAGCTCACTGTAACCTCCACCTCCCGGGTTCAAATGATTCTCCTGCCTCAGCCTCCCGAGTAGCTAAGATTACAGGTGCCCACCACCATGCCTGGCTAATTTTTTTTTTTTTGAGATGGAGTCTCACTTTGTTGCCCAGGCTGGAGTGCAGTGGCACAATCTCGGCTCACTGCAAGCTCTGTCTCCCAGGTTCACGCCATTCTCCTGCCTCGGCCTCCCGAGTAGCTGAGACTACAGGCGCCCGCCACCACGCCCAGCTAATTTTTTCTATTTTTTAGTAGAGATGGGGTTTCACCGTGTTAGCCAGGTTGGTCTCGATCTCCCGACCTCAATGATTTGCCCGCCTCAGCCTCCCAAAGTGCTGGGATTACAGGCGCGAGCCACCACGCCCGGCCTAATTTTTGTATTTTTAGTAGAAACGGGGTTTTACCATGTTGGCCAGGCTGGTCTCGAACTCCTGACCACGTGATCTGCCCGCCTTGGCCTCACAAAGTACTGGGATTACAGGCGTGAGCCAGCGTGCCTGGCCCAATTCTCTTTTTTTAGAGATGGGATCTCACTATGTCACCCAGACTGGTCTCAAGCAATCCTCTTGCCTTGGCCTCCTAAAGTGCTGGGATTCAGGTGTGAGCTATGGTACCCGGCCAATGTTCTGGATTTTAGACTTTCGCTCTGAGGACCTGGATGACACAGAAGGGGCTGCAGAATTGTGCTATTGTTCAACTTGCCTGAAACAAGAGGAAATTGAGGCTTGCAGAGCTTAAACCACTAGTCCAAGGCTACATATGCCAAAGGCTGGATTCAAACCTGGGTCTGGCCTCCAAGTCCAGGCTTATCTTGTGCCCCAGCTGCCCAGTTCAACCCGAAGAGGCCATGCCATCAAGAACGCAGGTGTTGGCCAGGTGCAGTGGCTCAAGCCTGTAATCCCAGCACTCTGGAGGCCAAGGTGGGGGTGGATCACGAGGTCAGGAGTTCAAGACCAGCCTAGCCAACATGGTGAAACCCTGTCCCTACTAAAAATACAAAAATTAGCCAGGCATGGTGGTGCATGCCTGTAATCTCAGCTACTCAGGAGGCTGAGGCAGGAGAATCACTTGAAACCGGAAGGTGGAGGTTGCAGTGACCTGAGATCACGCCACTGCACTCCAGCCTGGGCAACAAGAGCGAAACTCCGTCTCAAAAAAAAAAAAAAAGAAAAAAAAAAAAAGGAATGCAGGCGTTGTCTGGGGCCAGGTTTTGAAGGTAATGTGAGCATCCTCCAACTGGACACAGGGTGTTTACATGCAGATTCCTAGGCCTTCCCTAGCTCCAACTCTGGTCGGATCATGGGAAGGGGAGCTGCATTTTACCAGGACTTTCAGTAGTTTGTGCTGGGGCAGGTAAGCCTCAGAGCACTTTGAGAAGCACCCCATGGGGCGGTGCTTGTCAAACTGCAGGTGGTTGAGAAATGACTTTGATGACGCACGGGTTGTTGTCGTTGTTTTTAAATGAAAGAGAAAAGAAAACACCAGAAAGCATTGCATGTAAAAGGTAATGCATGGCTGGACACACCGGCGTGCACCTATATTCCAAGCACTTTGGAAAGCTGAAGCAGGACTGCTTGATCCCAGGAGTTTGAGGCTGCAGTGAGCTTTGACCTAGCCACTGCACTCCAGGAGGAGCAACAGAGTAAGACCGTGTCTCAAAAATAAATAAAGAGGCCAGGTACGGTGGCTCACGCCTGTAATCCCAGCACTTTGGGAGGCCGAGGCAGGCAGATCACAAGGTCAGGAGTTTGAAACCAGCCTGGCCAAAATGGTGAAACCCTGTCTCTACTAAAAATACAAAAATTAGCCGGGCCTGGTGGCGGGTGCCTGTAGTCCCAGCTACTCAGGAGGCTGAGGCAGGAGAATAGATTGAACCCGGGAGGCGGAGGTTGCAGGGAGGCAGAGGTTGCAGTGAGCCGAGATCGCGCCACAGCACTCCAGCCTGGGCGACAGTGCAAGACTCCACCCTCCAAAAAAAAAAAAAGTAAAATAAATAAATACATAAATAGGCTGGGCGCGGTGGCTCATGACTATAATCCCAGCACTTTGGGAGGCCAAGGGGGGTGGATCACCTGAGACTCCGTCTCAAAAAAAAAAACAAAAACAAACAAACAAAAAACCTAGAAGATCATTAACTACTGGAATCATGGCCATTCTCTCAATACATTCTACTGCACGTGGCCCGAGAGCCTTTGCTCCGGCTATTTTTTCTAGCGCAGTGCCCTTCTACACATTAGCAATCCAGTCCCGCCATACGCCAGGCCCATGTGGGGACCTCCGCGATGGCCAAGCCCTGGGCCTGCCAGCGCATGGCTCTACCTTCAAGGCAGGTGGCCCGGAGATCTGCGTCCAGCCCACCCTGGATAATGGCGAAGAGGTTCTGCTTGTCCGGCCGCTGATGGGCTGCAATGCACCGGTCCAGCCAGCGGATTGACCTGCAACAGGGCCCCAGTCACAAGCCCCAGGGGCCTGGTGAGGGGGTAGGAGACAAGGCTACAGGGACCAGGATCCCCTCCCACCACATATCCCACACATGCACACAGCATATACACACCTGTACATGGCCTCCTCCACACGTGGCCCAGTCACAGTACTGCTAACCACGTCGTCCAGCTGCATGATGATGTCCGAGCCTGATGGTGAGATGGGGGCAACATCACTGGGAAAGCCCGCAATGCTTGGGGAAAGCCTGCCGTCACATGGGGACAAGTTGGACTTCCCCAAGAGCATCCCCCCATCCCCCGTCTTGCTAACTCCCACGTGACTTTCCCGGTCTGTTTATACAGCAGCCAGAAGGAGCTTTACAGAATGTGCCTTTGATCCTGCCTCTCCCCAGCTTAAAATCCTATCCTGTTACACAAAATAAAATCCTAAAATATACAAAGGGATCCCTTGCTATGTGGCGTGCCACAGCAAGACCGGGAAACCAAACGTCCATCAGCAGGGCTCTGCTGACTGGGCGCAGTGACTACGCCTGTAATCCCAGCACTTGGGGACGCCGAGGCAGGCAGGTCATCTGAGGTCAGGAGTTCAAGACCAGCCTCGCCAACATGGTGAAACCCCATCTCTCCTAAAAACACAAAAATTAGCCAGGTATGATGGCACGTGCCTGTATTCCCAGCTGCTTGGAAGGCAGAGACAGGAGAATAGCTTGAATCTGGGAGACAGAGGTAGCAGTGAGCCAAGATTGTGCCACTGCACTCCAGCCTGGATGACAGAGCAAGGCTGTGTTAAAAAAAAAAAAAAAAGGTTAAAAAAAAAAAAACAGGCGCGATGGCTCACGCTTGTCATCTCAGCACTTTGGAAGGCCAACCCAGGTGGATCATTTGAGGTCAGGAGTTCGAGACCAGCCTGGCCAAGGTGGTGAAACCCCGTCTCTACTAAAAATACAAAAATTAGCCGGGCGTGGTGGTATATTCCTGTAATCCCAGCTACTCAAGAGGCTGAGGCAGGAGAATCGCTTGAACCCGGAAGACGGAGGTTGCGGTGAGCTAAGATTGCACCACTGTACTCCAGCCAAGGCGACAGAGCGAGACACCGTCTCAAAAACAAAACAAAAGTGCTAAGATTATAGGCATGAGCCACGGTGCACAGCATAGTGGTTTAGTGGCATAAAATGAAACTTGATGACCTATAATCCAAACACTTTGGAAGGCCCAGGCGGAAGGATCACTAGAGCCCAGGAGTTCGAGACCACCCTGGGCAACACAGAGAGACCCCATCTCCATTATTAAGAAAATAAATAGATGAAAACAATTTAAAATAAAAAAGAACAGGCCACAGCCGGGCGCAGTGGCTCACGCCTGTAATCCCAGCACTTTGGGAGGCCAAGGCGTGTGGATCACCAGGTCAGGAGATTGACACCATCCTGGCGAACACAGTGAAACCCTGTCTCTGCTAAAAATACAAAAAATTAGCCGGGCGTGGTGGCGGTCACCTGTAGTCCCAGCTACTCGGGAACTGAGGCAGGAGAATGGTGTGCACCCGGGAGGTGAAGCTTGCAGTGAGCCGAGATCGCACCACTACACTCCAGCCTGAGTGACAGAGCGAGACTCTGTCTCCACAAAAAAAAAAAAAAAAAAAAAAAAAAAAAAGAACAGGCCAGGCCTGGTGGCTTGCGCCTGTAACCCCAGCACTTTGGGAGGCCAAAGCAGGTCAATCACTTGAGATCGGGAGTTCAAGACCACCCTGGCCAATATGGTGAAACCCTGTCTCTACAACAAATACAAAAATTAGCCCGGCATGGTGGCATGCACCTGAAGTCCCAGCTACTTGGGAGGCTGAGGCAGGAGAATCGCTTGAACCCAGGAAGCAAAGGTTGCAGTGAGCCGAGATTGCACCACAGTACTCCAGCCCGGGTGACAGAGCGAGATTGTGTCTCAAAAAAGAAAAAAAGGGGCAGGCGTGGTGACTCACGCCTGTAGTCCCAGCACTTTGGGAGGCCGAGACGGGTGGATCACCTTAGGTCAGGAGTTCGAGACCGGCCTGGCCAACATGGTGAAACCCCGTCTCTACTAAAAATATAAAAACTAGCCAGGTGTGGTGATGGGCACCTGTAATCCCAGCTACTCGGGAGGCTGCAGCAGGAGAAGTGCTTGAACCCAGAAGACAGAGGTTGCAGTAAGCCAACACAGTGCCACTGCACTCCAGCCTTGGTCAAAGAGTGAGACTCCTTCTCAAAAAAGAAAAAAAAAAAGAAAAGACGAAAAAATAAATATGGGGCTGGGTGCGGTGGCTCACGCCTGTAATCCCAGCCCTTTGGGAGGCTGAGGCAGGTGGACCACCTGAAGTCAGGAGTTCAAGACCAGCCTGACCAACAAGGTGAAACCCCGTCTCTACTAAAAGTACAAAAATTACCAGGCGTGGTGGCAGGCACCTGTAGTCCCAGCTGCTGGGGAGGCTGAGGCAGGAGAATAGCTTAAACCCGGGCAGCAGAGGTTGCAGTGAGCCAAGATCGAGCCACTGCACTCCAGCCTAGGTGACAGAGCGAGATTCCACATCAAAAAAAAAAAAAAAAATTACGACATTCATTAAAAAGCTAGAACTTTAGCTGGGCATGGTGGCTCACACCTGTAATGCCAGCACTTTGGGAGGCTGAGGCAGGCGGATCACCTGAGGTCGGGAGTTCAAGACCAGCCTGACCAACATGGAGAAACCCCGTCTCTACCAAAAATACAAAATTAGCCGGGCATGGTGGCGCATGCCTGTCATCCCAGCTACTCGGGAGGCTGAGGCAGGAGAATCGCTTGAACCCAGGAGGCAGAGGTTGCTGTGAGCCGAGATTGCGCCATTGCACTCCAGCCTGGGCAACAAGAGCGAAACTCGGTTTCAAAAAAAAAGAGGCCGGGTGCGGTGGCTCACGCCTGTAATCCCAGCACTTTGGAAGGCCGAGATGGGCGAATCACGAGGTCAGGAGATCGAGACCATCCTGGCTAACACGATGAAACCCCGTCTCTAGTAAAAGTACAAAAAAATTAGCTGGGCGTAATGGCGGGTGCCTGTAGTCCCAGCTACTCCGGAGGCTGAGGCAGGAGAATGGCATGAACCCAGGAGGCGGAGCTTGCAGTGAGCCGAGATCGCGCCACCGCACTCCAGCCTGGGAGACTAAGCAAGACTCCATCTCCAGAAAAAACAAACAAACAAACAAAAAACACATGGGGGCTGGCACAGTGGCTCATGCTTGTAACATGAGCACTTTGAATGGTCAAGGCAAAGGACTGTTTGTAGCCAGGAGTTCAAGACCAGCCCAGATAATGTAGTGAGACTCTAATCTCTACAAAAAATATTTGGCCGGGCATGGTGGCTCACACCTGTAATCCCAGCACTTTGGGAGGCCAAGGCGGGCAGATCGCTTGAGGTCAGGAGTTCAAGACCAGCCTGGCCAACATGGCGAAACCCTGTCTCTACTAAAAATACAAAAAACTAGCTGGGCGTGGTGGCATGCACCTGTAATCCCAGCTACTTGGGAGGCTGAGGCAGGAGAATTGCTTGAGGCCAGGAGGCAGAGGTTGCAGTGACCTGAGATTGTGCCACTGTACTCTAGCCTGGGTGACAGAGTGAGACTCTGTCTCAAAATAATACATAAAAATAAATAAACATAAAAAAATAAACTTATAGGCCGGGCACAGTGGCTCATACCTGTAATCCCAGCACTTTGGGGGACCAAGATGGGCAGATCACTTGAGGTCAGGAGTTCGTAACCAGCCTGGCCAACATGGTGAAACCCCATCTCTACTGAAAATACAAAAATTAGCTGGGTGTGGTAGCGGGCACCTGTAATCCCAGCTACTTGGGAGGCTAAGGCAGGCGAATTGCTTGAACCAGGAGGCAGCTGTTGCAGTGAGTCATGATCGCGCCTCCGCCTCCCAAAGTGCTGGGATTACAGGCGTGGCCACCGCACCCAGCACGTGGCTTCTTTTCTTATAAGGGTTTTTGTTATAGGGGCTTCAGCCATGAATCTAAGAAGAAAAAATATTTCTTCCTCCCTACAGCATCAATCTATTAGAATGATGAGGGGAAGAGGGGTTTTGACCCTGTGTTGCCATGGTTCTTTATCAAGAAATGGGGATATTGGGCCAGGCGTGGTGGCTCACACCTATAATCCCAGCACTCTGCGAGGCCGAAGCAGGTGGATCACCTGAGGTCCGGAGTTTGAGACCAGCCTTGCCAACATAGTGAAACCCGTCTCTACAAAAAATACAAAAATTAGCTGGGCATGGTGGCAAGCAGTTGTAATCCCAGCTACTCAGCAGGCTGAGGCAGGAGAATCACTTGAACCCAGGAGGTGGAGGTTGCAGTGACTGGATATCACACCATTGCACTCCAGCCTGGGCGACTCTGTCTCAAAAAAAAAAAAAAAAAAAAAAAGCCAGGTGTGGTGGCTCACGCCTGGAATCCCAGCACTCTGGGAGGCCGAGGCAGGCGGATCACCTGAGCTCAGGAGTTTGAGAGTAGCCTAACCAACATGGAGAAACCCTGTCTCTACTAAAAATACAAAATTAGCCAGGTGTGGTGGCGCACACCTGTAATCCCAGCTACTCGGGAGGCTGAGTCAGGAGAATCACTTGAACCCGGGAGGCAGAGGTTGCAGTGAGCTCAGATCGCAAAATTGCACTCCAGCCTGGGCAACAAGAGCAAAATTCTGTCTCAAAAAAAAAAAAAAAAAAAAAAAAAAAGAAGGATATTGAGGATATGGGAGAAGCCTAAAGCCTCCCCAATCCTCTTGTTGCCACCATTATTTCAACAGATATTTGTCCAATTAATTTGTTTTTTTTATTTTTTATTTTTTATTTTGGTAGAGACAGGGTCTCCCTGTATTGCCCAAGCTGGTCTCCAACTCCCGGCCTCAAGTGATCTTCCCGCCTCAGTTTCCCAAATTGCTGGGATTACAGGCATGAGCTTCCACGTCCAGTCTTAATTTGCTAATGAGAGAAAAACTGCAATAATAATACTTAAGCTACTACATGGCTGGGATGGAGATTTACTGACATCATCTCATATGTACTTGTCAACAATTCTACCAAAGACCTGCTACTATTTACCCCCGCTTTGAGTTGGTTCAACTGAAGCTCAGCGAGGAGTGACCTGCTCAAAGCCACACAACAGCTAAAAAACAGGCCCCGTGTAAACTTCACCCCCTGACAGACAGGGTAAGGAGGCGGCTCCCCAGGGTCCTCTCACCCAGCGCATTCTGGATCTGCACGGATTTCTCCGGGCTCAGCAGGGTCTCATTGCCGTCGTAGGGGGAGCGGAAGCGGACGCCCTCCTCCGTCACCTCGGACAGAGACACCAGCGACACCATCTGGAAACCGCCGCTGTCCTAAGGGAAACCCCACCGCAAAGCTGTCAGGGGGTGGAGATGGGGACCCTTCACTCCAGAGAAGGGCCCTAGAACGTCGGCTCTCTCCTCAGCTCACCGTTAGCAGATTATGAGGCCAATTCATGAAGCCGTGGAGACCGTTGGCTTTCTGGATCAGCTCGGGTCCCTGGGTTGATGGAAGAAAGTGTCAGGTTAGGGGTGACCGCGTCCCTGGGGGCCCTTCTTGGGAGACAGATCTGGCCAGCTTTAGTCCCTGCTGCTCTTTCACGCCCAGTACAAGGCCTGGTCATTGGGGGCGCTCAATACAGCTGGTCGATTGACTTTGGGAGGAGTGTCCGGGCCTGGAGGACGCTCCATGGCTCCCCACGCCTCGCCGCCTCGCCGCCTCCCCGCGCGGGCAGAGCCCACCCACCGGCCTTAGACCCAGATGGTAGGTATTGCCCAGGCAGATGCGGCAACCCAGAGCGTCCAGCTGTTCGGTCGTGATGCCCTTCATGGTGGCCTGCGTGCCCACTGGCATGAACACAGGAGTGGCCACTGTCCCATGCGGCAGCCACAGCTCGCCTGCCCGGGCCCTGGAGCGGCTGCATTCGGCCACCAGCCGCATGATCCGTGGGGCCGACTCCAGGGAAGCCTGGGTAGCTGCTCCCGCCATCTTGACTGTCGGAACCACGTGGGCCGTACCACACAGTGGGCGGCGCCATGTTGGCCGCTGTCACGTGACCACGCGATCCGTTCTGGAGCCCGGGAAAGCGTCGGGGGACCATGGCAACGGATTTGAACCCCTGGTCCTGGCTGGGGGCCCATTTAACTCCTACCCACAACACGCTAAAGCGAAGAATCAGAATTGAACTGGGAACGAATCCCATCCCTAGCACTTTCGAGCTACAATCAGAGACTCTCTTAGCCATAATTTTCTCTTGGATAAAATGTGGCGAATTACAGCATCTCGGCATAAAGACTTTGTAAAGATTGAATAAAGGGCCGGGGGTGGTGGCTCACGCCTGTAATCCCAGCACTTTGGGAGGCCGAGGAGGGAGGATCACGAGGTCATGGGATGGAGACCATCCTGGCTAACACAGTGAAACCCCGTCTCTACTAAAAATACAAAAAATTAGCCGGGCGCAGTGGCAGGCACCTGTAGTCCCAGCTACTCCGGAGGCCGAGGCAGGAGAATGGCGTGAACCTGGGAGGCAGAGCTTGCAGTGAGCCGAGATCGTGCCACTGCACTCCAGCCTGGGTGACAGAGCGAGACTCCATCTCAAAAAAAAAAAAAAAAAAAAAATTAAGCTGGTGTGGCTGGGTGCGGTGGCTCACGCCTGTAATCCCAGCGCTTTGAGAGGCTGAGGCGGGCGGATGACCTGATGTTGGGAGTTCGAGACCAGCCTGACCAATGTGGAGAAACCCCGTCTCTACTAAAAATACAAAATTAGCCAGGCATGGTGGTGCATGCCTGTAATCCCAGCTACTCCGAAGGCTGAGGCAGGATAATTGCTTGAACCTGGGAGGCGGAGTTTGCAGTGAGCCGAGATCGTGCCATTGCACCCCAGCCTGGGTAACAGGAGCAAAACTCTGTGTCAAAAAGAAAAAAAAGTTTTAAAAATTAAAAAATTAACAGGTTGTGAGCCAGGCACGGTGGCTCACGCCTGTAATCCCAGCACTTTGGGAGGCCAAGGCGGGCGGATCACGATGTCAGGAGTTCAAGACCAGCCTGGCCAGTATGGTGAAACCCCGTCTCTACTAAAAAAATACAAAAATTAGCCGGGCGTGGGGGTGCGTGCCTGTAGTCCCAGCTATTCGGGAGGCTGAGGCAGGAGAATCGCTTGAACCCGGGAGGCGGAGGTCGAGCCACGATTGCGCCACTGCACTCCAGCCTGGGCGACAAAGCGAGACTTCATCTAAAAAACAAAAACAAAAACAAAATCAAAACAAAAACATTAACATGGTGTGGTGGCACGCCCCTGTAGTCTCAGCTACTCAAGAAGCTGAGGCAGGAGGATCACTTGAGCTGAAGAGTTGGAGGCTGCAGTGAGCTATGATTGGGCTACTGTACACCAGGCTGGGCAACAGAGTGAGACCGAAACCCTAAAAAAAAAGATAATAATAATATACAATATTATATAGTAATTGTTATCATTACAACTGGATCTGATATCTGTCCTGGCCAGCAGAGAGCGCTATTGTCCCAGAAGATGTCCTTTCAATTGTCTTAAACTGAGCTACTCTGGCCAAGAGGGTGTCTAAGGGAGCCTCAAGCCCCCTATCCTGTAAGAAAGGCTAAGGATGCCGGTTGCCCAGATGGTGGGGCATCCTTAGTAAGGCCACACCCGGAAAACCCGCCTGGAAAACACCCCTGCCCACCAGCAAGCCAACCTCAGGGCCTTTGCACCTGCCTTTGTCTACAACACTCATCCTTTCTTTTCTATTTCTTTTCTTTCTTTTCTTTTCTTCTTTTTTTTTTTTGAGACAGAATCTCACTCTGTTGCCCAGGCTGGAGTGTAGTGGCACAGTCTCAGCTCACTGCAACCTCCGCCTCTCAGGTTCAAGCGATTCTCCTACGTCAGCCTCCCAAGCAACCGGGATTACAGGTGCCTGCTGCCACACCCGGCTAATTTTTTTTTTATTTTTGAGATGGAGTCTTGCTCTGCTTCCCAGGCTGGAGTGCAGTGGCACAATCTCTGCTCACTGAAAGCTCTGCCTGCCAGGTCCACGCCATTTTCCTGCCTCAGCCTCCTGAGTAGCTGGGACTACAGGCGCCTGCCACCACGCCCAGCTAATTTTTTGTATTTTTAGTAGAGACCGGTGTTCACCATGTTAGCCAGGATGGTCTTGATCTCCTGACCTGGTGATCCACCTGCCTTGGCCTCCCAAAGTGCTGGGATTACAGGCGTGAGCCACCGCACTCGGCCGTTTTTTGTTTTTTTTTTTTTTGAGACGGAGTTTTGCTCTTGTTGCCCAGGCTGGAGAGTGCAATAGTGCAATCTTGGCTCACTACAACCTCCACCTCCTGGGTTCAAGTGATTCTCCTGCCTCAGCCTCCTGAGTAGCTGGGATTACAGGCATACGCCACCACGCCTGGCTAATTTTTTTGTATTTTTAGTAGCGACAGGGTTTCTCCATATTGGCCAGTCTGGTCTCGAACTCCTGACCTCAGGTGATCCTCCCACCTTGGCCTCCCAAAGTGCTGGGATTACAGGTGTGAGCCACCGCGTCCGGCTAATTTTTGTTTTTAGTAGAGATAAGGTTTCACCATGATGGCCAGGCTGGTCTCAAACTCCTGACCTCAAGCGATCCACCCATCTAGGCCTCCCAAAGTGCTAGGATACAGGTGTGAGCCACCGTGCCCAGCTAATATTTCTATTTTTCAAAATGTTTACCAGGCGCAGTGGCTCACGCCTGTAATTCCAGCACTTTGGGAGGCCAAGGTGGGTGGATCATATGAGCCCACGAGTTAGAGACCAGCCTGGGCAACATGGCAAAAAAAAAAAAAAAAAAAAAGTTAAAAAATTACCCATAATTCCAGTTACTTGGGAGACTGAAGCAGGAGGATTGCCACAGCGCCTGGCCAATATGTGTTTAAGTCTGCTTCTTGCCAAGCTTTCTGTGTTATTCTGATGCCCACTCGTTTCAGAACCACTGTTTTTCACTCTTGGCTGCACATAGAATTACCTGTGGAGTTTTTAACTATCTCTATGCCCAGACAACTTAAACTAAAATCTATGGTGAGTAGCTTATGTACTTTGGGACGATGAAGTAGGAGGATTGCTTGAGGCCAGAAATTAGAGTCGCCCAGGCTAGGGTGCAATGGTGCGATCTCGGCTCACTGCAACCTCCACCTCCCGGGTTCAAGAAATTCTCCTGCCTCAGCCTCCTAAAGTAGCTGGGATTACAGGCGCCCACCACCATGCCCAGCTAATTTTTTGTATTTTTAGTAGAGACAGGGTTTTGCAATGTTGGCCAGGTTGGTCTCGAACTCCTGACCTCAGGTGATCCACCTGCCTCAGTCTCCCAAAGTGCTGGGGTTACAGGTGTGATCCACTGCACCTGGCCGATCATCTCTTAAAAAAAAAAATCTATGGGGATGAGACTCAGTCATCAATTTTCTTTTGTTTTTTGTTTTAAGCCTCAAGGAATTTCTGTGTGCAGCCAATGTTGCCTCTCAGTGGTTTAGGTTCCAAAAACAGCATTTCATTATCTTATCCAAAGTGAGTCTCTTTCTTTTCTGGGTGACCTTATCTTGGAGCTCTGACCTGCCTGCAATTCTTGGTTATCCAAAGCTTCTGGGATGTTGGAGGGAATCCTCTGCATTTTAGAATGCAATCACCATGATTGGATGAATGGCTGATTGGATTAAGGGTTGCCTGGATTTGCTGTTCTGAAGCTAGTATAGCCCCTTCTTTTCTTGGCCACCTAACACCTGACCCCGCTCATACACCCCTGCATTGAGAGAATGTCATATTTTTTAAGGCTAAGCCTGCCTTTCCATAGAAGTTATAATTGACAGTTACTTTCCCAGCCTGCCCTGCAGCCAGGCTGCACAAGGCTCAGGTTCTGCCATTCACAATTTGGATCAAAAGCCAGTGGTGGTGGCCGGGCACAGTGGCTCACACTTGTAATCCCAGCACTTTGGGAGGCTGAGGCGGGCGGATCACCTGAGGTCGGGAGTTTGAGACCAGCCTGGCCAACATGGAGAAACCCCATCTCTACTAAAAATACAAAATTAGCCGGGCATGGTGGCATATACCTATAATCCCAGATACTAAGGAGGCTGAGGAAGGAGAATTGGTTGAACCTGGGAGATGGAGGTTGTGGTGATCCGAGATCGTGCCATTGCACTCCAGCCTGGGCAAGAAGAGTGAAACTCCGTCTCAAAAAAAAAAAAAAAAAGAAAAAGAAAAAGAAAAAAGCCAATGATAAGGAGAAACAGGCCCTTGGGCTCGAAAACACTAGGGACAGGAGTTGGAGGCAGCTACATCCATGTCACAGAGATTCATGAAAATAAGAACAGTTTATGTCAAAACTGAAGCTACACTCAGGAAGTTTATAGGTGGTTGCACATCTGGTCTCCAGCCACAGTAATCCTTGTAGCATCAACTACAGTCTCTGTACTTAGTCATTGTGAGATTGGGCTATGTGTGGGGTTGGCGTTGGGGTACCACCACTAGCTGTGTAGCCCCTGATGCTGGTTCTCTGCCCCTCCTGGAGATCACTGTGCCACCTGACATTCTTCATTACACACTTTTCAAGCATAGACAAACGGACAGAGAATTGCATAGTTATCACCTTGTAACCAATGACCCAGCTTCAACAATTATCAAAAGAGGCTTAATCCACCCACTTAAACAAATATATTCTAGTCCGGATGCAGTGGCTCACGCCTGTAATTCCAGCACCTTGGGAGGCTGAGGCAGGTAGATCGCTTGAGCCCAGGAGTTGGAGACCAGCCTGGGCAACACGGCGAAAACCTCTGCTGTACTAAAAATACAAAAATTATACGGGCGCAGTGCTGCACACCTGTAGTCCCAGCTACTCGGGAGGCTGAGGCAGGAGGATAGCTTGAGCCCGGGAGGTGGAAGCTGCAGTGAGCTATGATCGCACCACTGCACTCCAGCCTGGGCAACAGAGCAAGATCCTGTCTCGAAAAAACTAAAAATAAAATTATATACATACATACATATAGAGAGAGGTCAATGTGTTCAGTAGGACAGGATAGTCAGGGCTGGGCTCACTGAGACGGTGGGATTTGAGCCTGAAAGGAGGATGGAGGAGTCATGCGGAATCGGAGAGAGCACTCCAGGCCTCGTGAACAGTTAAGAGCAAAGGCCTGGAGGTGGGAATGTGTCTGGATTGTCTGTTGTGAGCGCGGAGGTCAGTGTGGCTGGAGGTGAGCGGATGAGGGTGTGGAGGTGACGGCATGAAATCGCGGGAAGCCTTGGGCTTTCCTCTGAGCTGGATGGGACGGTAGGGCTTTCTCAGCCAACGTGGAGGGAAGTGGGCTCTACCTATTACCAAGAGATAAACTGGGGATAGGGCGCAAAGGAGGCTTAGTGGTCCCTGCTTTAGGGTGTTGGCACCGCCCACTTAGGAGAGCTGGGGGCGCCGTGAGCCTGCAGCTAGAGGCGGCGCTTGGTGTGCGGCTTCAGCACAGTGGACAGCGCCGTACGCGTTGCCTGGAGACCAGGAAAGCGGCCGCTCAGGGAGCGGAGCCTGCGCAAGCGCCCTATGAGGAGCGGCGCGCTCCACGCAGTGGCACACTCTGTGGGGGCGGGGCCTGCGAGTCCGGCCAATTAGAAGAGTTTGTTGCCGGGCGTGGTGGCGCTTGCCTGTAATCCCAGCTACTCAGGAGGCTAAGGCGGGAGAATTGTTTGAACCAGGGAATCAGAGGTTGCAGTGAGTGAGCGGAGATCGCGCCACTGCACTCCAGCCTGGGCGACAGCGAGACTCCGTCTCCAAAAAAAAATTTTGTTGACAACCCCAGGACGAAGAGAGTTTATACACAGGGCAGGGCCTGCGAAATCCCATCTGGAGTTGGAGCTTGTTGATTGCGCAAAGGAAGGAAGGAAGGGGCGGTGGGCACCCGGAGCCTAGAGACCGGCGGGAAGTTTGGAAGCGGTGGTTTGCAGCAGCTAGGCCTGGGGCGGTTTCCGCGCTCTTCACATGGAGGCTTGCGCAGCACCCAGGGTCGTGACTGGGGCTGTCAGATCCCGAAACTTGCCTTCTCTGGGATCGCCCGCGACTGCTCAGGGGAGCCCCCAAACAGGGGACTATATGGTTGGCCTTAGGGAGCGGGTGCTGAGGTCCTGGGTCCAGGATACGGACTTCTGAGCACTGACTGAGGAATACAGAACATTCAGGAGAGGAGAGTTAGGGGTTTTGCTGAAATAATGGTCCTTGGAGCCCTGAGTTCGGGTGGTCGTCTCGATAGCCTGGAGGATTTCTCCAGTTTATTCATCGGACGTGTGGGGACCGTCCCTCTGTGACATTGCCACCCACCTACTGCCCTGTTGCCAAGCAAGAAGACCTTAGGCGCCAGATCTTTTGAGAAGACAAAAGCACTGGCCCAAGACCTGGGAGTTCATGGACTTCTTGGCTACTCCGTGGAGAGAATGCTGGTCTCCCTGAGAATGAGAAGGACGGGCCCCTTTTCTTTGACATACCGTTTTTAACCCTCTTGAGTCTAGAAACTCTTCCCTTATCAAGACCAGTGGACTCAGCTGCAAAAATCACTGTAAACCTCAGCTCCGATGTTCCAAAAGTCAAGCCTCTTGTCGTCTCCAGGGCCCCCATTCTCACCTCTCCCATACACCTACTCAGCTCAGCAACCAAAAGAACTGTACTGAGGCGCGGTGGCTCACAATGGTTAATTCCAACAGTTCGTGAGGCTGAAGAGGGGATGGCTTGAGGCCAAGAATTGGACATCAACCTGAGACCCTGCCCCTATGAAGAAAAACAAACATTAGCCAGGCAGTGAGGCCTGTAGTCCTAGATACTCAGGAGGATGAGTGAGCCATGATGGCACCACTGCATACCAGACCGAGACCCTGTCTAAAAAATAGTTTCAGCTGGGAGCGGTGGCTCACGCCTGCAATCCCAACAATTTGGGAGGCTGAGGCAGGCGAATCACAAGGTCAAGAGTTCAAGACCAGCCTGGCCAACATGGTGAAACCCCATCTCTACTAAAAATCCAAAAATTAGCCAGGCATAATGCTGGGCACCTGTAATCTCAGCTACTCGGGAGGATGAGGCAGGAGAGTAACTTGAACCCGGGATGCGGAGGTTGCAGTGGGCCGAGATCACTCCAGTGCACTCCAGCCTGGGCAACAGAGCGAGAGACTATCTCAAAAACAAAACAAAACAAACAAAAAAACTGTAGGCCAGGCGCCGTGTGGCTCACGCCTGTAATACCAGCACTTTGGGAGGCCAAGACGAGTGGATCACGAGGTCAAGAGTTTGAGACCAGCCTGGCCAGCAAGGTGGAACTAAAATACAAAAATACTAAATACTAAATACTAAAAATACTAAATACTAAAAATACAAAAAATTGGCTGGGCGCGGTGGCTCACTCCTGCAATCCCAGCACTTTGGGAGGCCGAGGCAGGCGGATCATGAGGTCAGGAGATCGAGACCATCCTGGCTAACACGTGAAACCCCGTCTCTACTAAAAATACAATTAGCCGGACGTGGTGACAGGCACCTGTAGTCCCAGCTAATCGGAAGGCTGAGGCAGGAGAATGGCGTGAACCCGGGAGACGGAGCTTGCAGTGAGCGGTATCATGCCACTGCACTCCAGTCTGGGCGACAGTGAGACTCCGTCTCAAAAAAAAAAAAAGCCGGACATGGTGGTGCATACCTGTAATCCCAGCTACTAGGGAGGTTGAGTCAGGACAATCACTTGAACCCAGAAAGCGGAGGTTGCAGTAAGCGGAGATCATGCCACTGCACTCTAGCCTGGGTGATAGGGCAAGACTCTGTCTCAAACAAAAGTTAGCTGGGCATGGTGTCACACACCTGTAGTTACCGCTTCTCGGGAGGCTGAGGCAGGAGAATTGCTTGAACCTGGGAAGCGGAGGTTGCAGTGCGCCGAGATTGCTCCACTGCACTCCAGCCTGGCGACAGAGCAAGACTCCATCTTAAAAAATAAACAGCCAGGTGCGGTGGCTCACACCTGTCATCCCAGCACTGGGAGGCCGAGGCAGATGGATCACCTGAGGCCGGGAGTTCGAGACCAGCCTAACATGGAGAAAACTTGTCTCTACCAAAAATACAAAATTAGCCAGGCTTGGTGGCACATGCCTGTAATTCCAGCTACTGAGGAGGCTGAGGCAGGAGACTCGCTTGAACCCGGGAGACGGAGGTTGTGGTTAGCAGAGATCGTGCCATTGCACTCCAGCCTAGGCAACAGGAGCGAAACTCCATCTCTAAATAAGTAAAATAAATAAACAAATATATACTCTTGGGAGCCTGAATGGGCCTGAAGTCTTCCCAGGTCAGAATCCATCCATGGCTCCCCACTGTCCTTAGAAAGAAGGCAAGAACTCCTGTGCCTGGCACTCCACTTGGGGGCCCTCAAGATCCCACTGACCTCCAGCCTCATTTCCCAGCATTCCTTTGTTTTGCATCAAAATGCTCTACCCACCTGACTTCAGCTTCTTGAAGCCCATCCTCATCCCCCAGCTGAATTTTTGCTCAAGCTATTCCCTCTGCCTGGCCTCCCCTTCCCTTCCTAACACTCTTGGGTCCAACTCACCCATCCTCTCACCTGAGGGGAAAGCCTTGACAGGCACTTCCTGTCCCACTGTGACACAGCCCTCTTTGTGCCTGGAAGCTACATGTGGGTTGGGAGCAGGTTCACCATTTCGTTCCCAGCAACCAGCACCAGACTTGACATGTAATCACTGTGCAATAATAAACACGACAGCAGGGCACAGTGGCGCTGCCTGTCATCCCAGCTACTATAGGGAAGCTGAGTTGCTTAAGGCCAGGAGTTCAAGACTAGGCTTGGCGACCCACCTCTACAAGAAAATTAGTCAGTCATGGAGGCACAGCCCTGTGGTCCCAGCTACTCCAGAGGCTGTGACGGGAGGATCGCTTGAGCTCTCGGGTTCAAGACTGCAGTGAGCTACGATGATACCACTGCACTTCAGCTTGGATGACAGAGCAATATCCTGTCTCTCTTAAAAAATGAACGAACGCATGTTGAGTGAATGAAACAATGAACACATGAAGTCTCCATTTATTCTGGGATGGGTTAGAGTAAGCCTCTGAGGCTGCCATCAGGCTGGCTGAGTTGTTGCCCAACATTGTATCCAGCAGTCTCAGGCCCGCGCAGTGCACAGCCAGCATGGGGCTCACAGGTGCAGATGGAATCCAGAAGCTCCCAACTATGCTGCAAAGGCCAGGCCTAGGGGTCCGGGTACATGCAGTGAGTCCTTGGGGCAGGGCCAGCCCTGCTGACTACACAAGCAAGGTTGGTGGTGAGACAAGGGGTGTATGTTTCCCTGCCAGGACAGAGGGCAACACACAGGTGGGTGGCGACCCTCAAGGCTGACGGCATCCCTGCCCAGAGTGACGACCAGGGCCTACTAGCTCTACTAAATTCAGGGTGGCGGAAATCCTGGATGTGCCCCTTGTCATGGCTCAGGGGCCTCCTTTCATCCTAGTTCATGAAGCCCCAACACTTCCTCCCTGGGATCAGTACCAATCCCCTGCAAGGCCCTGCCCCTCCCTCCAACTTCATCCCAGTCAACCACACACGTCCAATCGTGTAGTCTGTTGCCCTTCTTTCCTTCCTGGGGCATCCTGAGCCCTCTGGGATGGCGTGTGCCCAGTTCCAGCTCACGGACCTCCATGGCCCATCCACCAAGCACCCCATCGTATCAACTTGCCATGTAAGGGTGTGGACCCCTTCCCCGCTCATGGATGCTCCTGGTGGCCTCCACTGAACATGTAGGAGACCGTCCACCCAAAGCATATTGGTCAAGGTGTCTCATTTCACAAGCCAGCTGTTGCCCAGCTCTTGCTGGGCCCGTTTGTAGGCCCTCCTGCAGGTCGGCTACCTGCGTTTGGAAGGCAACTAGCCTGGAAGGCCACTGTCAGTGCTCAAGGTGATAGCCACATATTCCTGAACCCGGTGTCGTCCTGTTGTAGCTGGGATACTGTCTCAGGCCAGCAGCATGACGGCATCATCAGCACTGGTGAGGATCGTGAGCGGGGTGAGGGCTCCAAGGGTGCTGTGCTCAGGAGCTGTTCTCTCCAGGCACGTGCCTGCTGTGCCGCATGTATCTGCAGCAGGGCGGGCGGGTGGAATCCATCCCTCGTGGTGGGTCTGCATTCAGAAACCTGAACGTGGTGGTGGTCACTGATCCGGAAACTGTTAAGGGAAGTCCTGTGTTGAGAATGCAGGCGCCTGCCCAGAGTTTGGAGGTATTTAGCAGGTGGGGCCAGGAAGTGTCCCTCTCCATGAGTGTTGCAGGCAGGCATTCTCTCCTTAAACACGAGGTCTGCTGATCTCACAGGAGTCTCTTCTTGTCCCAACCCCTTAATGTGTCCAGGAGAGGAGATAGGACATGAACACATCCCATCAAAATCAGGGGTTAGGACCCATCCATCCTCATCCCTCCACTGTGTGCGCTGCTGGGATCTCGGGGTACTCCAGGCCACCTCTTCTCCCAGCCTTTCCTGGGAGGCGCCACTTGGTATCTGGGACCTCCTCTGCTCTAACACAAATAAGAATTCCTCAAAAGTTTTCTAGCACACAACTTGTTCTTTCACCTCTTTCACCTCTCCAAGAAAGTCAAACACGGTCCTTGCTTTTCCCAGTGGCCATGGTTACCCAAGCACAGGAGGCCAAGGCCTGGGGCTCAGGCCAGCAGAGCAGGATCTCTGCAGACGTGTGGTCCCAGGCTTGGCCAGTACAGTTCTTCCTGGATGGCCGACACAGATCCTGGGGAAAGGCAATCCCGGCACTGCTCTGAAACCAGAGCTCCTCCTCCCTCCCCGGGCAGGGTGGAGCTGAGAAGGGCTGCTCTAGCGTTGGGACTCCACCTCCATACACCTGATATTTTGATAGGGCAGGTCCCTGCTATGGGCCACTGTTCTGGGCAGTACAGTATGCTTGACAGCATCCTTGGCATCTATCCACCAGATCCCAGAGCACCCGCTACTAGCTGTGACAACATCCTCCAAACATTGCAAAATTTCCCCTGGGAGGCAAGATTGCCTCAGATGGGAGAATCACGCTCTAGGGAAATCTGCTGGTATGAGAACCCCAACTCCCCACTCCACTGAGCCTCCAGATGGCGAGCAGGCTGCAGCTCCAGCACAGACACGAAGCTCCCTCCAGCCACTGACGGTCCATGGCTGGGGTTACCCAGGCCTCACCTGCCCTTTCTTTTGTAACTGCGTTATGTTCCACCACAGGCACGCCCCTACAGAGGACATCACTGTGTACTTAGAACTACACCAGAATCGGGGAGCAGAAAAAGCCTATTTTGTGATGGGTTCCCCAAGACCAGAATGGGCGCTGTAAGCCCCTCTGTAGATGGTGGGAGCCTGGAGCCTGGTGGGACACCGGGTCTACACAGCCCAGGGGACCAGGAACCAGCCTTCGCTGAGCATGAGTAAAATGTCTAGAAGCCTGAACTGGACCCTCTCTAAGGACCAGGGACCATCCTGATGGCCCACGCTGCTTTCCCAAGAGCAGGAATAGAGTGGGGAAACCTGCCCATTGCACTGCTGGTGGGTCAGACACCCAGGCCTAAGACGGGCGCAGTTTTGTTTTTCTTTATTTGTCTACATTCAGCTTAATTCAGATGTACTGCCTGAATGACCCAGACATAAAAAGAAACCCCCCACTCTTTCCCACTGGTTTTTAAAATAAAATCTTCACTTATAAAACTGAAACACTAAAGCATTAAAATACAGAAAGCTCGTTTAACTCACTTCACAAAAGCATTAACAAATGACGTATCCCTTCTGTAACTATTTAAAGACAAACTGAGTTACCACTAACACGAAGTGTGAATAGACAGAGGGATACTGAACTGCAAAAACTCAAAAACTCTACCCAGACAAAGTTGTAATGGCAACTAACAAACCATTGAAGACACGGAGTCCCAAACACGGCTAAATATGGGTCACAGGACGGGCCACAGGGTGACCCGCTGCACCTCACGACACAGCAACGTGGACGGGATGGGGGCGGGGGCCTGGAGGGCCAGCTGACATGTTAACTGTGATGCATAAAACTCGATCTTCTGATGGGGAGTAAGTGCAGAAGGTAGAAATCTCCGCCCCGCGGGGGCTTATCTGTACTGGTAGTTCATGCTGTGGTCTGCGTTTCTGCCATAGCCGCCTTGTGAGGACTGGTAGGAGCTGGGAGGGCCACTGTAGTTCTGGCCGGACCCCGGGGAGTTGTAGTTCGACTGTGAGTAGCCTCCTAGGAGAGAGAGTGGTGGATTAGAGCCGAGGGGCCCAGCCAGCGGGGCTCAGGTTAGGCAGCCCACACCCAAGCCTCGGCCAGGATGCAGGTGGGCAAGACTTATGGGCTCCTGTGCGGCTCTGCCTGCCTACCACACATCACTGGATCAGGCTGGCACCAAGACTCTGAGAGGTGGGACCACTGTGACCCTCGTTTCTGGGAGAAGCTACCTGAGCCCAAGGCTGAGCTACTGGCCAGAACCGGGGGAACAGCTGTTTGGCCTTGGTGTCACCCACATTTCACACAGGTACCAGGGGTTAAGCGTGGGGACACTGCTGGCTCTCCGGCTGCTCCCGAAAGCCTTAGCAGCTGCCAGTGCATCCGAGTGCGTGTTCTCACAGGGCCCACCTGCCACTGCAGCCCTGCCCACGCTGCTGTCTGCTCCCACCAGGTCCATATCCCGCTTCACAGCAGCTGCCAGGCCCCCCATGCTGTGCCACCAGGGGCTCCAGGCCCACCTTGTTTGCCTTGGTATGAGGAGCCGCCCCCAGAACCTCCGCCGTAGCCCCCGTGTGACCCTGGGTTGTAGGATGCCCCGCCTGAGCCGTAGCTGTTCCCGCCGCTTCGGCCTCCACTACCACTGTAGTCTGGGGGAGAGAAGACAGGATGGTTAAGGGGCCCCAGGAAAGACACACCTTGGGCGGCCCGGGGGCCTTGTGGTGCGCCTCAGACGCGGCCGGCCCCTGGCCCAGACCCTGGGCCTCTAACTCTTCTCCCTGCCTGCTTCAATGTCGCACATCAGCCCATCAGGTAAGTACCAGGGGCCAGCTGGAGCCCTGCAGGGTCACCTGGCCCTGGGCTGGGCTGGTCACCAAGCTCCAAAGCCCTGCTCTGGGGTGCCTTCCCATCTGTTCCTGCAGCCCAAACTTCCCAGCAGCAGCTGAGGAAGTGCTTGAGACCCCAGCAGCCGCCTCTCCTCAGCCAGCAGCACCAGACACACAGCACCCCCTTCTGACCCACCAGCACAGCCTCTGTCAAGTCCCTGGCCTGCTGCTGACAGCTGCTGGGTCCCAAGGACACACCTACTCAGCCCCACTGGGTCACTGGTGCAGCCCGGGCCTGCTGGGTCTGCGCATGAGGAAGCGGAAAGGCGGTGGCGGAGAGGTCAGGCTCTTGCAGGGGCTGGATGCAAAACTCTCTAGAGCAAGTCCCAGGAAGTCACCTTGCAGCCTCACCCACAGCCAGGGCCTCGGGACAGAGGCCTCAGCTACCCTGCCTTCGGAGAACACACCAGAGAGAGTGGCGGAGACGGCACCATGAGGTCCCACGCCCCATCTTCCTAGCACCCGCCCGCAGCCAGCACCACTTGTCCTCCTCCTAAGGCCCTCAGCCAGAGGTCTGGGCAGTGCCGAGCTTCTGCCACTCCGTGGGCTGCACTGCTGGGGCCTGGACCCTGGCCCGGCCGAGGGGCTCTGGAAGCCAACTCACTGAATTTGCTCTCGTAGTTGTAGTCGGATCCGCCCCCGCCCCCGGGAGAGTTGTAGGAGTTCGAGTAGGAGTAGCTGCCTTGTCCATGGTTATAGCCTTTCTGCTTGCCCTGTGGAGGGCCATAGTTGCTGTAGGGGCTCTGGTTGTAGGACTGCTGCTGGCCCTGGTGGGACTGGTAGCCCGAGCCGTAGGAGGGCTTCTGCTGGCCCCCGTGCGGCTGCTTCTTCCCAGCGTGTTTTGGGGGCACCGGTGAGTTGTAGTTGTCACCTTGGTAGTAGGAGCCATAGCCGGAGGAGCCACCACCGCCCCCGCCGCCACCGCCACTGGCATTCCCAGAATGCCCTCCGTTGCTGTAGAACTGACCTAAACAGGGAGGCAGTGGGTCAGGCGGAGGACGGGAAAGGGCAGGGGGAAGGGAGGGAAGGGCAGGCGGCAGCCATGGGTCCTGAAGGCTGACCCACAAGCCCGGGTCAGAGGCAGTAGGACAAGGAGGGAGAGGAGCAGTGGCTCCGGTCCTTAGCACAGCCGTTTGGGCTGGCCCAGCCTTCAGCTCCACTCACCCAGCAGCTGATGACAACAATGGGGCTTTGCCAAGCAGCACGCGCCAGCAGCTTTTGCAGCGGATGTCAACATTACAATGAGATGGACTCCGAGCGCGGGACGACATTCACAGCTAGCTGACGGCTACCCAGAGATCCCCAATGGTGACAGGAAAAGCAAAGCCCCAGAGAAGCAGCAGCCACCCCCCTCCTCCCTGCTGTGCTGGGAACAGGCTCCACAGGCACAGGCCTGGAGGCCCCTAAAAGATGCTATTTAAAGAGGCCCCGGACCGTCATCATCCTGAGAAGACCAACTGGTCTGAGCTGGTTTGGTTCTTGGAAGACAAATCGAGACTCAGTCAATGATGCAGGCACCTCCCTTGCGATACTCATGCAAGCATGTGACTCAGGATGTGACCAAGCCCCAGCCTGGCTGGCAGAGGGCAGTGGCCACGGCTGGGGCAGGAAAGCCGGGTGAGGCCTAGACCTACAGCCCTAATGACTCCCGAGGCCCCTTCCTTGTCCCCAGCACAGCTGCTGGGTGCAGGTGGGGCTGAGCAGCAGGGCTGAAAGTGTGCAGTGCAGCCACTACATTCTCAGCCGCAAGCTGAAAATGTAGCAGTGAGACCCCACTTCTGGTCACTAGGTTTGTCAATACACGGCCCCGCCAGAGGCTCGAGTGGAACAAAGGGGACGGCACTGGCTGAGGGAATGCTGCACCCCAAGCCTTGCAAGGGAGCCCCACACAGGGAGCCTCCACAGTGGGTGTGGGAAGGCTCAGAGGGTGGGTGAGGTGGGAGGCTGGGTCATGGTGGTGGCTCTCCAGCCAAGCTGGCCAACGCCCAAGCGCTCACCAGGCGCAGCTGAGTTCCTGGGCTCTCAGAGCGGGTCGGCTTGTGAATGCAGCCACCTTTGCCCAGTCAGGCTGCCCAGACCTCCAGGCCCAGGGTGGGTGGGAGGGAAGGGGAGGCTCCCACGCTGCCTGTCCTTCCTTCCCAGATTGAGGACACTAAGGGCCCACCGCCTCCTGGGTAGGGTAACTGGGAGTCCTCACGTGCCTCCACCCACTGGAGATGTGTACCCCACGCTGGTGTGGTGGGCTGCCTGCATGACAACGTGGACAGAACTATCTGCAACCTTCAGTTTGTGTTCTTCAGGCAGGCCTCCTCCCTCGCCCGCCATCACAAAGCCAAGACACCAAGGGGGAGGATGTGTCCCACAATGCCAGAAAGCGAACATGCGGCAGCTCAGCGAGGAGACTGGGAGGATGGGATCTTCAGAACCCCCCCACCAGGACCCACACCCCACAGCCCCACAGCCCCAGCTTCCCCAGTGTCCTGCACTGAGCACACCACCTCGCCCCGCCTGAAGCCGGGAATGAATGAAGACGCAAGGGCCGAGGGCTTGTTACTTTCACATGTATTGATTAAAAAAAAATAAAGGGGAGGGGGAGTTTTCAACGTCATTCAGGATAACTATTTTCCTGGTATAAAAAGACATTATTCTCAAACAATAACTTTCTAAAAAAAAAATACATCATGCAATCAAAGTTTTAAAAAGTTTCACTGAATGTTTCAAACCTCTGGGAACAAATCATGTAGTAACCATTTTGACCAGTTTTTGCCTGAATAAACGCAAAATCTTGCAAGTCAACACAGATGCAGGCTTTGCTGCAAAAAGAACCGCTGATCAGAGCCAAAACCAGTTTCCAAGGAGGGCACCTGCCAGAAAACAGGGGCCTCAGCAGAGAGCCAGAATGACTCCGTGTGTTGGCACAAACTTCTACGCCTTTGGAGTCTGTGGCAGCTGCACACCCAGCAGCACCACCTCTGCCCAAGCAAAAGCCAGTCCTTTACTGGAGAAACAGGGAACATCACGGTTCTTTCTCCTCAATTACTTTTAAAGTCCCATTAAACTAAAAAGCAACAAAAAAATCCAGAATCCCATGCATCTGCAGCTGTAATTAAGACTTGCAAAATTTCACGTCATCTACCCCTTAAAGCCTGTCTGTTTCTTGCACTAATAATGGAAGCACAGTTTTGATACCTTTGAGAGTTCACTCTCTAGCTAAACCAGCCACAAAATATCGCATTCCCAAACAAGAACCCACCAGAGCATTACAAGAGGCGGGAGAAGTTAATTCAGCGCAATATACAATTCCCCACATGTTCCCAACGTTTTAACATGCTCGCAATAAGAAAAAAAGCCGGTTTCTCTGGATTCAGATGTGGTGAAATCGTTTTCATCACTGTCAAAGGCATCAACCAGATTTGGGAGTTTGTTAAAAGGTTAAAAATTCATACAAAACCTGCTGTAAATTAAGACAAAGGTAGATTAAAATGCGTCATTGTCTGTCTCTTTAAATAAAGTAATGCTTTCCATAAAAAGCAAAGGTGGGCTTTTGCCTTGATGCCGAACAACGCTGTCTCTAGAATTCTGTGCAATTCTGCACAAAAATACATTCTCTGAAAAAATTGTTTTCCACTTATTGTGAACTTCAATAGGACCAAGTTCAAAGGCAAATCACGATAAAAACTGCCATTGTCTTAAATTCTGCAGGCTAAGAGTTTCAGACAAGCTGCGGTGAAAAGCCACGGTTGAGAAACCCAGTGAAGCACAGGGACACAGCACGGACACTTTGGGTTTTGGAGTTGGAGGAAATTGGAGTAAAAAGTTGATTTTGTGTGCAATACTTTTAGACGCTCTAGGAAGACCCAAAATCATGATAGCCGTAGCAGTCTGTGAAAAAGTCACCTACAAAAGGGGGAGACAGAGCAGAGAGAAGAAATTAGAATTCTTTTGAAAAAGGGCACAGAGCGCCACATTTGAAATTCATGTTTTAGATTTCTCTGCTCCTGTAACCCCCCAATGAAGGCTCCTTCTCAAGACAAGAGCTGTGCACTGGCCGGAAAAGCGTATTCACAAGATTGGTGCTTCGCATGGCTTAAAGCAGAGAAATTTAAAATTCTAACTTTTAAGGAACTTTGCAGTTACACGAGTTCGTGTATTAACACAATCAATCCCACTGTGGGGCCGGGAAGGGGTGGGGGTCGAGGGCCGTCTGACCTAATCACCGCAAAAAGGTGTGTGCCCCTTCTACAGCCTCCTCGAGGCTGCTCTGGCCACCCTTTGCTAACTCAGGCCCAGACGCTACACTGCAGCTGCTTCCCAGGTCAGACAGACAGAAACGCACACTTACTGTAGCCTGCTGTCGCCGAGTTGCCTCCGTACCCATAGCTTCCATACCCAGCACCTGGAAAGGGAAAGACAGGGTTACCGGGGTCCAGCAGTGTCTCCGGCCCACCCCAGGAGCCCCACACATTTGTTCCCAGAGCATGCACGTGGGGAAGGCGGGGACAGTGCAGTATGAGGGCCCTTACCGGCATTCATGTAGCCTCCATGGTTGGCGCCACCAAATCCTCGCCCGCGCCCTCGTCCCCGGATGCTCCCGCCTCTTCCCCGCCCTCGAAGGTTGGGGGGTGGGGGCACTTCGTTGTGCATGGGGCCTCCCATGCCGAAGCCAGGGTTATGTGGCTAGAAGAGAACACAGGGAAGTGACATTCCCTTCGTGCTCACATTGCAGAAGAACCCATGCCTGGGCAAGGAGGTTCAAGGGCCACTGCTCACCTTAGCAGCAAATTTCGGTCCCCCTCTGACGGGTACTGGGGCTCTCTTCTTTTTGTTGGCATCAAGGGCGAGAGGGGTGTCAGGGAAAAGCTTTTCTAGGGCAGCAAGAGCAGCGTAGGCCTTCGCCACCTTTTTGTTGGAACCAGCACCTTGGAACTTCTGTCCATCCACTTCGACCTGGAAAGTGCAGATGGAGATGACTCAGTGCCTCCCTCCAGGGGCAGGGGGACCCCAGGCCTCCCCATGGGACTGCCCCAGCAGGCAGCTTCAGGCTGCGCACCTCCATGACGAAGCGCTTGTCGTGGCTGCCCCCGGTCTCGGAGATGAGCTCGTACTTGAGCCCACGCCTCTTCTCGTTCAGCTCCATGACTGGGTTCTTGCCGTGCTTTGTCAGGATCGGCCCCTGCTGTTTTACGTTCTCAGGGAAAACAGAAAAGAAGACCGACAAACTCAGCTATGGGCATTCCAGTCACATGGGAGGAGTGGCAGGACTGAGGCAGGGCCTCTGCTCTTCATACACTGCCAGCCCTTGCCAGAGTCTCCACTGACTCTAGTGAGGGCCTTCCAGCAATGTGCCCCCTTCCTGTGCCTCCCCTCTGAACAGCACGTTATCAACCCAAGGCCACCCCAGTGTAGCCTATAGGATGCTGGGACAACATCCACAAGGCCCTCCCCGACACGGCTCGGAGGGCAGCACCCAGCTTCCTGTGCGGACTTCTGGCCTGAAAGGTCCACTTTTTGGGGCAAATTAACAAGGACCAGTAACCACCTCACTGACAGGACACATGGCTGCCTGCTCTGTCCAGGCAGTCACTCCCAGCGCCCACCATGTGCTCACCTCGGCAGTGGCATCTGAGGGAAAGGCCGCACTAGGGGTGGAGACAGCTTCTACCACTGGGGCAGGGGCCACCACTGCTGGCTTCGCCTCGGTCTCCTCAGCCGAGTCCTCCCCCTTGCTCGAGTCCCTGCCTTCAGCACCCGTCGGCAAGCCCATGTCCTGTAACACCTGCAGAGGTGGCAAGACCCCCAAGGTCCCAGTGAAGCAGGGCTGCATGCAGGGCCTCCTCATGGCCTACAGGCACCCACCCGGGAAGCCATCTGGAGGAGGGCTGTTTCCTTTCAGCTCCTGCTCCCAGGAGGCCCTAATGCCCCAATCATGTTTGGGGACCCCTCTGCCTGCCAGCCACAGTGGGAAGGCGTTCTTGCCACGTGACTTGGCAAATACTCGCCATCTAACCATGTGTATTTTTAGAATCTACATGCCCTCCCTGAGAGACAATGGCTCAGAAGGGGCCCAAAACAAAGACCATGGTTCTGCTATTAGAAGACAGTGATGCTGGCCACACTCACCTTAACGGCCACGTGCAGCTTGGCCGTCTTTTTGGAGGGCCCAGAGGCCTCGAATGAATTGCCATCAACCTCCACAGACATGGTAAAGATGGGGGCATGGACGGGCCCAGTCTGGGACACCAGCTTGTACTGCAGCCCTGGCTTCAGCTGGTTCAACCGCATCAGGGCATTCATAGCCTGGGGGGGCTCTGCCTTCTCCTCTACAGAGAGAATAGCAAGGTGGCTCTGGATCAGCACGATGGCAGGTCTCCACGAGAGCTCTGCCAATCCTAACCCCCAGGGCTGCCTCTGTGGCGTAACACAGTGGGTGGGGCAGCCACACAAACTGAGCCCAGCTTGCACCTCTCCTGTGGCCTCCAGCTGTAGCACCACCATCCTACTCATCTTCCACATCCCCAATCATGCCTCATCATTGTTAAAAGGACTCAGAAATCACAAGTGAGAAAAATGAAACAAAAGCAGCCATCCCATAGCTTCAGGGTGAGCCTTCACAGGACCAGATGGATAAAGCAGCAGCACTAGTGGAGGTCTGCACCTTCCTGCTTTTTTACCTATTTAGCTTCTAAAATTTTTCAACACTGATTTTAAGCAAGGTCTCGCTCTGTTGCCCAGGCTGGAGTACAGTTGCTCACTGCAACCTCCGCCTCCCAGGCTCAAGCCATCCTCCCATCTCAGCCTCCCAAGTAGCTGGCACTACAGGTGCGCCACCACACCCAGCTAATTTTTGTATTTTTTGTAGAGACGGGGTTTCGCCATGTTGCCCAGGCTGATGGTCTCAAAACTCCTGAGCTCAAGCGATTCTCCCGCCTCGGCCTCCCAAAGTGCTGGGATTACAGGCGTGAGCCACCGCGCCCGGCCTGTACCTTTCTTCTGAATCTTCTTCTTCTTTTTGCTGGGCGACTTCTCCTCCCCGTCCTCCTCCATTGGGCGTTTCATGGGCGTAATGGCATAGGTGGTGCTTGGTGGGATCTGAACTGCAAGGAGAGACCAGGGCATGGCTGGGAGATGCAGATGGTGACTCTTCCTGGAGCCCCAGCCATCAGGCAACCGCCGCAGGCTTACCGGTGTAGTCCACTGGGTTTTCATTCTTTGGTTTCTTGGGCATCTTGGAAGGCAGAGGGTCCATGCCTAGGACTTTATGGAGCTGGCCGAAGGCAGCGAGCCGCAGTGCGTGCTGGAGAAGGGGAAGAGGCTCTGACTCAGCTGCCCTGTGCTCCCGGCCATGGAGTGTGTGCTCACTACTGCCTTCTGAGGAGGGGCAGAGCTGAAGGGCTGCTAATGGTCTCCCTTACGACAGCAAGGGGTCCCCCACCAGCCAGGGGAGAGCCTGACTGCTCAAGCCCAGCCTTGCTGTGGGGGAAGGCCAGCCTGTGACCACCCCCCTTCCAAAGGAATACAGGAGACCCCAACCTGGGGACTGGTTGCCACACGGAGCCATGTGGGGGCCTGCAGGGGAAGGTCCCCCCGGAGCAGTCCGCACAGCAAACACATCTCCCAGCACCACTCACAGTGTCTGAAAACGGCACTCGAGCAAGCCAAGGGAGGGGGCAGATGAAAACCACGCATGGCACCAGGGGAAAGAAGCAGCCCAGATTGGGGCGCCCTGTATCAGACACAATCCTTTTGCCTTCAGTCCCCGACCTGAGCCTACGAGTCCAGGGGCTACCCTGGGAATACCCAGTAATGGAACTGGAAGCCAGTGATTACAGACTGGGTCAGGGCGCACGTTGGCAATGGCGATGACTATACCTGCGCACTCTGTGTGATATCTTCCCGTTGCTGTCTGTCTAGATGCCCAATAGCATCAGTGGCTTCTTTTTCACAAGGGTCATAAATGCCAGAACCATCTGAAGGCAGGAAACAAGGAAGATATGCAGAGGATTATCTTTTAGCATCTCTGAAGAGGTGTGCTGGCTGAGGGAACTAGGTGTGTTACCCCCCGCGCCCCATCCACACCCAGCTCTGGAAAACATGCCTAGCTCGGTGACCCACTCGGCGTCCAGCCCTTGACAGAAATAATTCACAAGTGTCTCAGAGCAAGAAAGTCACGTGGGAGTGGGTCACCACTGCCCCGGATCCGCCCTCTGAATGACGGCTGCGGACCCGGTCAGGGCTGGATATGATGGTGCCAGAGGGTAGTCACATGCTTCAGCTCTAGGGGGTGGACACGGGGCTGCTGCTGTCCTAACCCAGTCAGTGTACCCGCCAGGAGGCGGCCTGGAACCCTGTCCTTTCCCTGCAACCTGCAAAGCACAAGGCCCCAACCTGGCATCACGATGCCCGACGCCAGGCACTCCAGCACTCTCCGCAGGGCCTCGCCAGCACCCATCGGTCTGTTGGCCGTGCCAATGGATTTCTCACACAGGAGCTCGAGAGGCTGAAAGGGAAGAGGGACAGTGAGCCAAGAGCCTACAGGATGGGGCCGGCCGCCACTGGGGAGCTGTCACTGCATGAGTGGGTCGGGGCACACGTGGGACTCATAGCCAACCAGTCGGGTAAAGTCAAAGCCTCAGGGCTAAGCCTGAGCCAGGGCATCTAGGACAGGGGCCTTCAAGGACCAGACATGACATCCTAGCAGGCTGTGTGAGCTCAGAGACCAAGCTAAGGTTATGATGTAGTACTTCTTACTTAAAATCTAACCATTTATTTACAAATATAAAAACCACCTCAACTGCAAGCTGAAAAAAAAAAGGGTGCAACTGCCAAAAACTGGTCCTGCGTGAGACTATCTACAAACCTTCCCAGAGGGATCATTCCCACCTCCTGGTCAGCCCCCACTCCTGGGATTGAGCTGTGCGACCCTGCAGAGGGCCCCGACCCACACTGCCCCAACCCCAACCCCAGGTGTGGCAAGCAGGAGCAGCTCCACAGGCAGCTCTGGAGAGTACACACCAGCCACGCGTCAAGAGGCCACTCCTGCCCCGTGACCATCAAGTGTTCCTGGGATATCCAAAAGACTCTGCACACACCACCCCCAGTAGCCACAGCAACATGCCTTACCCAGCCTCGGAGGGGACCCCAGGTGGGCACGCGAGTGCACAGGTCCCTCAAGACCCGGATCACAATGACACAAGACTTCAGCCCGTTGGCTCTGGCCTAGGGGAACAAAACACAGGCTCTTCAGTCTGAGGCACCGCCCAGGGCACAAGTCAACATGAACGACACAAGTGTCAGGTTGCTGCTTTGCCAAGGGTAAACAGTCAACACTGGCGACCACCAAGGCTGTGGCCAGCCGCAATGTCACTACGTGTACAAGAGAGTGTTACTCTTAACACAAAGCAGCAGCAGCAGCAGCAGCCCACCAACTCAGTCTCAGCCTCTTTTGGGGTCGAATTTGTTGAGGTGCACTCCTTTAGGACCTGCGCAGCTGCAGGTGCTAAGCTCGGCACGGCTATCGTCAATGTTAAGGAATCTTTATGGTGACAGTTAGCCAAGTTAAAACTTAGGAATTCTCTACCAAAAGACAAATAGAAGAACAAAATGCAAACCTGGAACCACTTGGCGTGTCGGAGGGACGCCAAGGCAGCAAGGCATTTCTGCCTGTCCAGAACGTCCGGGGGGTCGTTGACTGATAGCGTTTCTATTCATGGATGGAATAAGAAGACAAGGCACAGTTTGACCAAGGGGTTTCTGTCAGGTGGAAAGGGGATGTGGCAGCTTTCTAAAGGGCAGCTGAGTTTCCCAGAAGCTGAATTCATCTCCACCCTGGACCAGGGAAGGAGAAACTAGAGCACATTCAACTCTGCCCTGTGAGGAAATTGTAAAAATTGGAGGCCCCCTCCAAAAATAAAAAGAAAAAGAAAAAAGAAAGAAAAAGAAAAAATAAAACAAACATAAAAACAAAAGTGGGGAGTTATTCTAAAAGGAATAATCTCATGAGGGAGGGGAGAGATAGGTGGAGCCTATCTTCTAATCCTCTTCCCTTGCCTCCTCCCCATGTTCTCCCAATAAATTAGCTATGCTAAAATGTTCAATAGGAAAAAATTTAAAAAGGCCGAGGGAGAGGAAATGAACTCCCTCTCTGCATCACACAACAGCCATCCCAAGGCATCTGCAGCAAAGGGGACCAACTCCGCCCACCAGGCGGGACTGCCCTAGCCCCAGCCCTTGACAGAGAGAGTCCTGTTGGTCAAAGGTCCAGCGTCCCTACGTTGATCAACTAGAAGGGCTTTGGTAGTCGGAATCAGCTATGAGAACCAAAGGTAAACAGCAACAAGGGCGCTATGCCAGCCTATGCTGCGGCCAAGCAGAGCGTTTATCTTCTCTGCCATCTGCACACCAGGGGTTTGGATAAGGCCTGAAGACAGGCATGCGAGCGGCGGGCCATGGACTGCGAGCACATTATTAGCGTGAGGTCCAATGATGTGGTTTGAAAAATTGGACAACAGTTTAAAACTTTATCCAAAACTCTGTATCAGCTCTTTGTGCTTCTGTCACTTTAAATGATAAAAGAGCCATGACAGAGGACAAACGAAGAGGCCCTCAGCTCAGCTGCAGCACAGGCTGTTGGTAAACTCCAACGTGGTGCTCATGCAGAAACCATCTGGTTGTCTCATCTTTAAAACCATGGAATCACCAGGGACACTTCTCCACAGCCAGAGAATGGCTCCATAGAAAAGCAACTTCCACATTCATGTTTGAGAACGTTCAAGGATGAAGATAAAGGAAAATGGTGCAGTCCCCTATGAAAAGTGCTACTCACTTTTAGTGCGACTGTTTTGTCAAACTCCCAAGTACTCAAAGCCAACGGGAGATGTGATCTCAGAGTAAAGGTGGTCAATCTACACCGTATACCAAAGCAGTCTAAAACTGAATAGCACATTTGAATAGTGAGGGAACACCACATTTTCAAAGTCCTGCCGGCGTGTCTCGGCCTCCCTACCTCCAGCTAATACTTTCTCCATTTCTTCTCTGACAACAGGGGATGTCAGGTGGATGGTCAGGGACAATGGAGGCTCTTTTGTGTTTTTTATCACAATCGCAGCATCGTCGACAGATTGCAGTATTTCGTACTTGTCTTCTGTTACAGCCTAAAAAATAAAATGCAACTTTCAAAACACTTTCTCCTCAAAGCAATCAACAATTTTATCTGGCTCCACCTATTCCTGCAACAGAAAGGCCAACGTCTTGAGTATGATGACCCGGAAGTGATTTCACCTGGGATGTCAGGGTCTCTCTAATTGGCCAGGTCTTTGGCCACGTTTTGGGTACTTGAAAGAGGGATAACTAGTGAAAGAAGCGATTTCCAAACGGTGCTTAAAAATGCAATGGTAGGGCTGGGAGCCGTGGCTCATGCCTGCAATCCCAGCACTTTGGGAGTCCGAGGTGAGTGGATCACGAGGTCAGGAGATCGAGACCATCCTGGATAACCCGGTGAAACACCATCTCTACTAAAAATACAAAAAACTAGCCGGGCGTGGTAGCAGGCACCTGTAGTCCCAGCTACTCGGGAGGCTGAGGCAGGAGAATGGCGTGAACACGGGAGGCGGAGCTTGCAGTGAGCTGAGATCACACCACTGCACTCCAGCCTGGGCGACAGAGCGAGACTCTATCTCAAAAACAAAAACAAAAACAAAACAACAAACAAACAAAAAAGCAATGTTAGGCCAGGTGCAGTGGCTCACGCCTGTAATCCCAGCACTTTAGGAGGCTGAGGTGGGCGGATCACAAGGTCAGGAGATCGAGACCATCCTGGCTAACAGGGTGAAATCCCATCTCTACTAAAAATACAAAAAAACTAGCTGGGCGTGGTGGCGGGTGCCTGTAGTCCCAGCTACTCAGGAGGCTGAGGCAGGAGAATGGCGTGAACCCGGAAGGCAGAGCTTGCAGTGAGGCAAGATCATGCCACTGCACTCCAGCCTGGGCAACAGAGCGAGACTCTGTCTCAAAAAAAAAAAAACCAAAAAAAAAAAAAAAAAAAAAAAAAAACAAACAAACAAAAAAGCAATGTTAGGCCAGGTGAGGTGGCTCACGCCTGTAATCCCAGCACTTTGGGAGGCTGAGTGGGCAGATCAGCTGAGGTCAGGTCAGGAGTTCAAGATCAACCTGGCCAACATGGTGAAACCCCATCCCTACTAAAAATACAAAAATTAGCTGGGTGCAGTGGAAGCGTGTAGTCCCAGATACTCAGAAGACTGAAGGAGGAGACTCGCTTAAACCAGGGAGGCAGATGCTGCAGTGAGCTGAGATCGCGCCACTACATTCCAGCCTGGGTGACAAGAGTGAGACTCAGTCTCCAAAAAAAAACCAATGGCAAAGAGTTTCGGATCCAGGAGCCAGGAGGAGGAGACCCCCCTTTTGCCCTTTAGTAGTTGATCAACTTTGGATAAATCACTCTCATACAGACTCTAATCTGTATAATGGACTTAATGACACGAACTACACCACAAGGCTGCTGGAAGCCTCAAACAGACGCTGCGGGGAAAGCGGTGGACACTGCAGAGTGGGCATCCAGCCACTGCTACTTCCATGCTGGGATGAGCAGCCAGTGTAGAATAAACCCTGTGTGCAGTGAAACAGTCAGTGTGCAGTATCCTATGGTGCATCTAAACGTATGTACTTGCTGCAAATGCACATCTACAAGGACACTCACGACTATTTTCATTCTTGATACCACCTTCTTATGACTTGACAAAGAAAATTCAAGCTTTTGGCTGAGGGTAGTGGCTCGCACCTGTAATCCCAGCACTTTGAGAGGCCGAGGTGGGTGGGTCACTTGAGGTCAGGAGTTCGAGACCAGCCTGACCAATATTGTGAAATCCTGTCTTTACTAAAAATATAAAAAATAGCCCGGCACGGTGGCAGGCCCTGTAATCCCAGCTACTTGGGAGGCTGAGGCGGGGAGGCGGAGGCTACAGTGAGCTGAGACTGTGCCACTGCACTCCAGCCTGGGGGACAGAGCAAGACACAGTCTCAAAAAAAAAAAAAAAAAAAAAACAAAACAAAGAAAGAAGAAAATTCAAGCTGAAGGAAGTTAAGTAAATATGTTGGGAGGAGAATAAATACATTGAAAAATCTGAAACAGGATTTCTCAACCTCAGTACAACTGACCTTCTGGGCTGGATAATTCTTGGTTGGGGGGACTACTCTGCACATGATAGGGTGTTCATCTCTGGTCTTCACCTATCAGGTGCTGACAGCACCACAGCACCCCAACACCGCATTGTCAACAGACACTACCAAATGTTATCAGGGGAGGAGAGTGATTCACCCCTCTTAAGGAACCACTGAAAATGATTTTAAAAATACCTATTATTTTCATCTTTAAGGAATAATTATTGGCCAGGCTCAATGGCACATGCCTGTAATCCCAGCACTTTGGGAGGCTGAGGCAAGCAAATAGCTTAAGGCCAGGAGCTCAAAACCAGCCAGGACAACATAATGAAACCTCGTATGTACAAAAAATTTTAAAAATTAGCCAGACATGGTGGCACATGCTTGCGGTCCCAGATACTCAGGAGGCTGAGGTGGGAGGATTGCTTGAGGCTGCAGTGAGCTGTGATTGCACCACTGTACCCAAGCCTGGGCAACAGAGCAAGAGACCTTGCCTCCCTTAAAAAAAAAAAAAAAAAAAAAAAAAAAGGTCAGGAGATCGAGACCATCTTGGCTAACACAGATGAAACTTCACCTGGTAAAGACCAGAGATGCTACGAAAAATACAAAAAATTAGCTGGGCGTGGTGGCAGGTGCCTGTAGTCCCAGCTACTCGGGAGGCTGAGGCAGGAGAATGGTGTGAACCCAGGAGGCGGAGCTTGCAGTGAACCAAGATGGCGCCACTGCACTCCAGCCTGGGCGACACAGCGAGACTCCACCTCCAAAAAAAAAAAAAAAAAAAAAAGGAATGGTTTCTCACAAATGTTTTTACTGTAGAAACATTTATGACAATTTACTTCACTTAATATCCTTGCTAGATAGAGACAAGAATAAAGTTAATTTAAGAATTACTACTATGGACGGGCGCAGTGGTTCACGCCTGTAATCCCAGCACTTTGGGAGGCCAAGACGGGCAGACCACCTGAGGTCGGGAGTTCGAGACCAGCCTGACCAACATGGAGAAAACCCATCTCTACTAAAAACATGAAAGTAGCTGGGCGTGGTGGGGCATGCCTCCAATCCCAGCTACTCAGGAGGCTGAGGCAGGAGAATCGCTTGAACCCGGGAGGCGGGGGTTGCAGTGAGCTGAGATCGCCCCACTGCACTCCAGCCTGGGCAACAACAGCGAAACTCTGTCCCGCCCCCACACCCCCCTCTGCCAAAAAATTACCACTATGGGCCGGACACAGTGGCTCACGCCTGTAATCCCAGAACTATTGGGAGGCAGAGACGGGCATAATACCTGAGGTCAGGAGTTCGAGACCAGCCTGGCCAACATGGTCTCTACTAAAAATGCAAAAATTAGCTGGACATGGCAGCGGGCACCCATAATCCCAGCTACTCAGGAGGCTGAAGCAGGAGATTCACTTGAACCCAGGAGGCGGAGGCTGCAGTAAGCCAACATCGCACCACAGCACTCCAGCCTGGGTGACAGAGCAAGACTGTTTCAAAAAAGAAAAGGAATTACCTCTATGCTGATGTACCTTCAGGAGAAAAAAAAAGAAAATTGTCACTAGAAAAATTTCACAGCTTCATCTACAATAGCTCCGCAGAAGTATCTAATGCATTTACATTAGCTCCGTATTTTAATCCTGATCTTTGTCCTGAACCCAAAATCGTCAGTCCCATGTGAAAGAACACAAATCTGCATTGTGAAAGTAAATCAGGTTTTTCTTTCCAAGGAATAAGATTCAAAGATTCAAAGGCTGTGGTGGCTCAGGCCTGTCATCAAGAGTTCAAGAACTGCCTAGGCAACATGGGAAAACCTCGTATCTACACACACACATACACACAGACAATACAAAAAATAGCTGGGTGTGGTAGCACACACCTGTAGTCCCAGCTACTTGGGAAGCTGAGGTGGGAGAAACACTTGAGCCAGGGAGGCAGAGGTTGCAGTGACCCCAGATCAGGCCACTGCACTCCAGCCTGGATGACAGAGCAAGACTCTGTCAAAGATTTATAGATGATTGTACACTTCTTTTTTGCTTATCCTATAAATAAATTCAGGGGGACTGTGTCCTGAGGAGGCAACAGCTGGCAGAGGTTCTGATGCCTCCAAACAGCCCAGCCGTGGGTCTTGGGATCCACTCCTCAGCTGCCCTGCAGCTCTGTCACATCATCTGTCCCACTTAGAGGAGGATGAAATAACACACATGAAGAGCACATCTGGCTGAGGGCCTGACTTTAGCAAACACTCAATAAACAGAAGCCATTATTTACGCAATACTTTCACAATGAAACAAATAAATGTTTTTTTTTTTTTTAAAAGATCTTTTAGCTCGGGGTGGTAGTACATGACTGTAGTCCTAGCTACTCAGGGGGCTGCAATGGGAGGATCACCTGAGCCCTGGAAGTGGAGGTTGCAGTGAACCATAATTGCGCAACCACACTCCAGCCTGGGCTACAGAGCGAAACCTTCCTCATCTTAAAAAAATAAAAACGGCCAGGCGTGGTGGCTCATGCTTGTAATCCCAGCACTTTGGGAGGCCGAGGTGGGCGGGTCATTTGAGGTCATGAGTTCAAGACCACTCTGGCCAACGTGGCGAAACCCCATCTCTACTAAAAATACAAAAATTAGCTGGACGTAGTGGCATGTGCCTGTAATACCAGCTACTCGGGAGGCTAAGGCAGGAGAATCGCTTGAACTCAGGAGGCAGAGGTTGCAGTGAGCCGAGACTGCACCACTGCACTCCAGCCTGGGCAACAGAGTAAGACTCCATCTCAAAAAAAAAAAAAAAAAAAAAAATTGTTTGTGGTGGCTCACACTTCTAATCCCAGCACTGTGGGAGGCTGGGGACAGGAGGACTGCTTGAGGGCAAGAGTTTGAATCCAGCCAGGGCAATATAGCAAGAACCCATCTCTATTTATAAAATAAAAAATAAACATATAGAAAAGATTTTCAGCTGGGCGAGGTGGCTCATGCCTGTGATCCCAGCACTTTGGGAGGCTGAGGTGGATGAATCACCTGAGGTCAGGAGTTAAGAGGACAGCCTGACCAACATAGTGAAACCCTGTCTATACTAAAAATATAAAAATTAGCTGGGTGTAGTGGTGCATGCCTGTAATCCTAGCTACTTGGGAGTCTGAGGTAGGAAAATTGTCTACCTCAGAGGCAGAGGTTGCAGTGAGCTGAGATCGAGCCACTGCACTCTAGGCCTGGGCAACAGAGCGAGACTCCGTCCCAAAAGAAAAAAAAAATTCTTTACATTCAGCTTTGGATCCAATGGAAGAGATAACAACTCTGCTATCTATCTAGCCATCCATCCAATGGAGCCTAGACGTGAAGTTTATGCCCAATGACCTCGGGCTGGTGCAGCCTGGCACACAATAGGCACGGGGTCCTTATGACCCCTGCAGTCAGGTTCCACAGAATCTCTGTGGCTTGGTGGTGTCCTGGTTGTCACCTACTGAGAAGGCACACGCACAGCAAGTGCCAGGGCAAGTGTGGCATGTGCTTCTTGGAGCACAGCCTAGCAGGACACTTCTTCCTGGGCCCCACATCCTCAATCAGCATGCCTACCACCCCCCCACCCACCTACCCGGCAGTGGTGGCCACACTTACAGCAAGCTGGATGGCCAGGTTGTCGGCCACCTTGTCCAGGAGGGCGGTTGTGGGCTTCTCCTTACACAGCAGCACCAGCTCCAGATCCAAGTCCCCCTTGAGTAGGAGGCCCTTTGCCACCAGGCCCACCCGCATCACTCCCCGCAGGGTTCTGGTCATGTGCTCCGTCTTCTGTTCCCTGAGGGACAGACCAACACCCAGCTCAGTGAGGAATTCAGTCTGACCACAACCCAGAGGTCCCCAGAGAGGCTGGAGTTTCTTAGAAAACAGGTGCCAACCTCTACCCTGGCTACCCTACAAAAAAGAAAAGGACAACGGAAAACCTCACTTACCCAGCCCCTTCTTTACTGTCGTCCTCTGGGGGCACATCCATGTTATCGGACTCTGCCTGCTCGCTGCTACCCTTTTCCTGCTCGTCTATCCAGTCGGACACAGCTTTGAGCGCCCGCTCCGTGTGGGACACCATGTTCTGGACTGCCTCCAGCTCCTCTTGTGTTGGATAAACGGAAGAATGCTTTGCCATCACATGGCGGTCATCATTCACAAAAATTCGCATTGGACGCTAGGGATGTGAGAATTAAGTTAAAAATGATGTAAAGAGAGCAAGCAGCCCAACGTTCATCTTTTAAGCTGCACAATTCAGAATGATGCTATATCGCTCGTGTGTAAAAGCAAAGCCTGCAGGAGCACAACTGAAGAACCAAGGAGGGACAAGCAAACTGAAAAGCTGTTGTCTCTGGGCAGTGGGAGTAATGGGGCACTGACTTCGTTCCTACACTATCAGAATGGAATACAGAATAGATAATATTGCTTTATAATCCAAAAGGGCTAATAAAAATGGTAATGGAAGCAAATGCTTTGGAAAAGGCTACAAACATCTCTGTACATGAGTGAAGAAACAGTATCTGTGATCAAAAACAAACTTACCATTTTTACTTCTTCTGTAGTGTCTGGAAATCAAACTTTTGCTTATCTTTTCAAATTGTGATAGAGTTCCTTGGTGTTATCAATACTTCAACTCTATAAGATCAGAAAATCTTTTTAGTTTCATATAATTTATAGGATTCATTTCAGCAGCTAGGTACACAGTAGCAAGAATGACATGTGTGCTGCCTCATGAAGGGCCTGTCAACACAGCAGGACACATCTTTATTTCCAAGTAACCACTGCTAAGCCAAGGCATTAACTACGTAACACCCTAAAAATGAAAACAGATGGTTTCTAGAAGCCAGAACTGACTTCAGGCCCACAAGCCACTCAGATGGTATTTTACTTCTTTTATCTTCCTTTACATAAATATGCCCATTTTTACAAGTATGAAAATATTAACAGCTCTCCAAAAAACACTACAGGTAGAAATGTTCACATCATGCTAGGCACAGTGGCTCACGCCTGTAATCCTGCCACTTCGGGAGGCTGAGATGGGTGGATCACTTGAGGTCAGGAGTTCAAGACCAGCCTGGCCAACGCTGTAAAACCCCATCTCTACTAAAAATACAAAAATTAGCCGGGCGTGGTGGGCACCTGTAGTCCCGGCTACTCGGGAGGCTGAGGCACAAGTATCGCTTGAGCCCAGGAGGCGGAGGCTGCAGTGAGCAGAGATCACACCACTGCACTCCAGCATGGGTGACAGAGCAAGACTTCATCTCAAAAAAAAAAAACAAAAAAAAAAAGATGTTCACATCAAAATCTTGGTGCTTGGGGAAGGAAAAGAGAGGGAAGGAGCTCTGACCTCTGATGGTAATGAAGAGGTGGAAGGAAGAAAGACATATGACAAAGGGTCCCAAAAGGCTTCTGTAAAATGAAAAAGAAAGAACCTCCCGAAAAGTGAACATTTGAAATATCAGGTGGACGATGACAACCACATCACGTTCAACTCTGAAGAGGCTGAGACAACTGAAGTGCACGACAGAATCCTTCAGGACAAACGAAGCCATAATTACTATTTCGGTCTCAGAATCATGCCGACTCCAACCTACTCAATTCCCACTCTACACAAACAGTCTGGTCCATACTGAAATCTTCCAAATGAGTAAACAACCAAAAAACCCCATCAGCATAATACACACCAGATGAATCTACCCCCTACAGGCAACTGCCAGCCCCTTCCGACTAAACTAGTTCCGAGCCAGCAGAGCAGGCTCAAACCTGAAAGGCCCAAGCATCAAGGATAAAGTCTGACATGCTGCCAAAACAAGAACTTCCCAAAATACCCAGGACTACCTAGCAAATCTAACTGCAAAATTTAAACACCCCAAGGTTAAACTTTAAAACCTAAGGGTGCTTGAGCGAGGTGGCTCACGCCTGTAATCCCAGCACTTTGGGAGGCCAAGGTGGGTGGATCACTTGAGGTCAGGAGTTAGAGACTAGCTGGGCTAACATGGAGAAACCACATCTCTCCTAAAAATACAAAAATTAGACAGATGTGGTGGCGTGCACCTGTCATCCCAGCTACTAGGGAGGCTGAGGCAGAACAGCGTGAAACCGGGAGGCAGAGGTTGCAGTGAGCTGAGATTGCGCCACTGCACTCCTGCGTGGCAAATAGAGTCTCCACCTCAAAAAAAATAAATGAATAAATAAATAAAACCGGCCAGGTGCGGTGGCTCATGCCTGTAATCCCAGCACTTTGGGAGGCCAAGGCAGGCAGATCACGAGGTCAAGAAATCGAGACCATCCTGGCTAACACTGTGAAACCCCATCTTTACTAAAAATACAAAAAATTAGCCGGGTGTGGTGGCACATGCCTGTTGTCTCAGCTACTCAGGAGGCTGAGGCAGAAGAATCACTTGAACCCGGGAGGCAGAGGTTGCAGTGAGCTGAGATCGCGCCACTGCACTCCACCCTGGGTGACAGAGCGAGACTCCGTCTCAATAAATAAATAAATAAAACCTAGGGGTCACCAGGCGCGGTGGCTCACGCCTGTAATCCCAACACTTTAGGGAGGCCGAGGCAGAGGCATCACCTGAGGTCGCGAGTTCAAGATCAGCCTGGCCAACATGGTGAAACCCTGTCTCTATTAAATATACAAAAAATGAGTCGGGTGTGGTAGCACATGCTTGTAATCCTAGCTATTCAGGAGGCTGAGGCCTGAGAATTGCTTGAACCTGGGAGGCGGAGGTTACGGTGAGTCGAGATCACACCATTGCACTCCAGCCTGGGTGACAAGAGCAAAACTCTGTCTCATTTAAAACAAAACAAAACAAAAAACCCCTAGGAGTCAAATGATGCCCCTGCAAAGCCCAGCAACAGGACATGGTGAGGTCAAAGGCTTCATGTCAGGGTAGGGATGCAGGAGGGAAGGAGTGTGAGGGGGCATGGGATGAAAAGGGCAGAAAGCCAGTCCCTGGGCTCAGTGGCTCAACATGCCTGAGACTCACACCATGGGGCAAGCCACTCGATCGATCGCCCAAGGAAAGCTTCTGCACAGACTTGGACCTGAAACCCCACTTGCCCAGCCACTAGCTTCCTTCTTGCATTAGCAACACGGAAGAGGCCCCTCTACTCTCGGCAGGACTAGGAAAATGAAACAAGTCAACCTACTTGAAGCATGCAGCACATATCCCATAGACCTAACAATTGGTACTAGATCCTACTGTTGAAAAAAATCTGCCTTCCCAGGCTGCAATGAGGGCCAGGCGTGAGTGATGTGTGTGCAAAGGGCATCCTCTCCTCCATCACCCATGTCTCTTCACCGAGCCAGAGTCAAGCTCCACAGGGCCTTCTTTCGCCACTGATTCTGCCAAGCCTGTTCCCTTGGCTATGGTTTCCCTGGATAGTCGCAACGACACTGGGAATCTTGTTCATGAAGTGAATCCTTATGAAGGAATTATAGTTACTTCAGTTAGGGGAATAATACTGTGGTTGTGCTGGAAAGAACCAACTTTAACTGTTCCACACATATTTAAGACAAATTTATGGCTAAAATTATATACCTGGTATTTGCTCTGAAATATACCAGGGAGCAGAAAGTAGAGAAGGATGAGGCCGGGCGTGGTGGCTCACGCCTGTAATCCCAGCACTTTGGGAGGCCAAGGCGGGCGGATCACGAAGTCAGGAGATCGAGACCATCCTGGCTAACACGGTGAAACCTCGTCTCTACTAAAAATACAAAAAATTAGCCAGGCATGGTGGTGGGTGCCTGTAGTCCCAGCTATAGGGAGGCTGAGGCAGGAGAATGGCATGATCCCGGGAGGCAGAGCTTGCAGTGAGTGAGCCGAGATCGTGCCACTGCACTCCAGCCTGGGCGACAGAGCAAGACTCCGTCTCCAAAAAAAAAAAAAAAGGAAAGTAGAGAAGGATGAAACAAGACTGTAGAACACTGACAGCTGTTGAAGCTGGGTGATGGATACTGTAATTCTTTTGTGCATGTTTTAAAAATTCCATAATAGATTTTTTGTTCTTAATTATTTGTAGAGATGGGTTGCTGCCATGTTGCGTGGGCTGGTCTCAAACTCCTGGGCTCAAGTGATCCTCCCAGTTCAGTCTCCCAAAGTGCTGGGATTACAGGTGTGAGCCACGATGCAAAGCCAACACTTTTTGTTTTTTTGAGAGAGTCTTGCTCTGTCGCCCAGGCTGGAATGCAGTGGTGTGATCTCGGCTCACTGTAATCTCTGCCTGCCAGTTTCAGGCAATTCTCCTGTCTCAGCCTCCCTAGTAGCTGGGACTACAGGTGTGTGTCGCCACACCCGGCGAATTTTTGTATTTTTAGTAGGGACAGGGTTTCACTATGTTCACCAGGCTGGTCTTGAACTCCTTGACCTCCTTGAACTGGGGAGGAGACTGCCATGAGCCGAGATTGCACCACTGAACTCCAGCCTACCTGACACAGCAAGAGAATGTCTCGAAATAAATAAATAAACAAAAATATAACAACAACAAAAACCTACTGAAAGCAGCTCCCGGGAGAAGTGGACCGTAATCTGCAGCAGGGGATATACCAAGTGAGCCTGGATCCTACCGGAGCGCCAGAAAGCAACAAAGCACTGGTGACTATAGCAGTCTTGTCCTGAGGACATCGGAGCTGACTTGTGAGGTGTCCCACTGGCTACATTTGGAACAAATTCAAAAAGAATCATGCTTCCACCTACATAAAGTTCTAGAATAAGCGAAACTAATCAGTGATGGGACAGCCTCTGGGGAACGGTGGTAGGGATCACATGGGAAGGGGCCCTCCCAAGCTTTCTGAGATGAAGGTTACATTCTCCCTCCTGACAAGAGTTGGGTATATGCAGTGGCCAGAATTCACTGACTGGTATACTAAAGATCTGTGCATTATTTAAAAAGAAAAAAGAGGCTGGGCATGGTGGCTCACCACGTTGGGAGCAGCACTTGTCAGGAGTTCAAGACCAGCCTGAGTGAATCTACAAAAAAAATTTTTAAAGAAAAAAATAAAAACCTAGCTGCAAATAAATACTAAATTCTTGTTAGTATGTAGAGGGAAGATTAGAACTTTCTGTTATTTAGTTGGAAATGCATCATAAAAATAAAGTGAGGCAGGAGCAGTGGCTCACGCCTGTTATCACAGCACTTTGGGAGGCCAAGGCACTTGAGCACAGTAGTTCGAGGCCAACTTGGGCAACATAATCAGACCTGGTCTCCAAAAAAATTTTTTTTTAAATTAGCCAGGTAGGCAGGGCGCGGTGGCTCATGCCTGGAATCCCAGCACTTTGGGAGGCTGAGGCAGGTGGATCACCTGAGGTCGGGAGTTTGAGACCAGCCTAACCAACACGGCAAAACCCCGTCTCTATTAAAAATACAAAATTAGCTGGGCATTGGTGGCACGTGCCTGTAGTCCCAGCTACTCGGGAGGCTGAGGCAGGAGAATCGCTTGAACCCAGGAGGCGGAGGTTGCAGTGAGCCGAGATCACACCATTGCACTCCAGCCTGGGCAACAAGAGCGAAACTCCTTCTTAAAAAAAAAGAAAAAAAAAATTAGCCAGGTATGGTGGCACCTGCCGTTAATTTCAGCTACTCAGGAGGCTGAGGGAGGAGGATCACTTGAGCCCAGGAGATGGAGGCTGCAGTAAGCCAAGACTGTGCTACTGCACTCCAGCCTGGGCAAAAAAAGTGTGTGAGACCCTGACCCCCGCCACCCCAAAAAAGAACTGTAAATAAATATTAAATTCTAGTTAATAATATGTAGAGGGAAGACTTGCAACTTCCTGCTACTTAGTTTGAAATGCATCATCAAAATAAAGTGGCCAGGCGCAGTGGCTCACACCTGTAATACCAACACTTTGGGAGGCCAAAGGTGGGTGGATCACCTGAGGTCAGGAGTTCGAGACCAGCCTGACCAACATGGTGAAACCCTGTCTCTACTAAAAATACAAAAATTAGCTGGGCGTAGTGGAGTGCACCTGTAATCCCAGCTACCCAGGAGGCTAAGGCAGAAGAATCGTTGGAACCAGGGAGGCTGAGGCTGCAGTGAGCTGAGATCGCGCCATTGCACTCCAGCCTGGGCGACAGAGCAAGACTCTGTCTCAAAATATAAAAATAAAATAAAAAACAAAAATAAAATTTAAAAAAATATATACAAAAATATATATACATATATTTGGCCAGGCATAGTGGTTCACGCCTATAACCCCAACACTTTGGGAGGCTGAGACGCGAGGACTGCTTAAGCACAGGAGTTTGAGATGGCACTGAGCTATGACTGTACCACTGCACTCCAGCCTGGGCAACAAAAGTGTAACCCTGTCTCTGATCAATCAATAAAGTGAAAAGTGAAAAGAATTATAAGTGGATGGACAAATATGTGAAACACAAGCAGTTAAATGCCCACAGCAAAACCTAGGCTGTGCATACAGGTAGGTGTTCATTAAATTTTTTATTTTATTATTATTATATTTTGAAGTGCAGTTTAACTCTTGTTGCCCAGGCTGGAGTGCAACAGCACGATCTCGGTTCACTGCAACCTCTGCCTCCCAGGTTCAAGAGACTGTCCTGCCTCAGCCTCCCAAGTAGCTGGGATTACAGACATGCACCACCACACCTGGCTAATTTTTTTTTGTATTTTTAGTAGAGACGGGGTTTCATCACATTTGTCAGGCTGGTCTCGAACTCCTGACCTCAAGTGATCTGCCTGCCTCGGCCTCCCAAAGTGCTGGAATTACAAAGGCGTTGAGCCACTGCGCCCAGCTTAAATTTTTTATTATTATTATTTTTGAAACGGACTCTCACTGTGTTGCCCAGGCTGGAGCGGAGTGGCGCGATCTCGGCTCACTGCAACCTCCGCCTCCCAGGTTCAAGTGATTCTCCTGCCTCAGCTTCCCGGATAGCTGGGATTACAGGCACCTACCACCATGCCAGGCTAACTTTTGTATTTTTAGTAGAGACGGGGGTTTCAACATGTTGGCCAGGCTGGTCTCAAACTCCTGACCTCAAATGATCTGCCCACCTCGGCCTCCCAAAGTGCTGGGATTACAGGCAGTGAGCCACTGCCCCCGGCCTAAGTGTTCACTAAAATTGTATCACCCTTTTTTCTATGTTTGAACATTTTCAAAAGATGTTACTAAAATAAAACAGATTCAACACATTAAATTTATATATATCCATAACTCCATACAGATACTTTAAAAAAAACTAACTTCCCACATTAGAGGTGTTTACATCCAAACTTCATAGTCTGAAAATTGTTAAAAGACTAAAGTTCACCCCCAGTTGATACAGACAATCTATTAAAAAAAGCCATGTGACACATTAGAGAGTTAGAAGTAGAAAATCACCCCACTATCAGGCACAGTGGCACACACCTGTAATCCCAGCACTTTGGGAGGCTGAGGCTGGTGGATCATGAGGTCAGGAGATCGATAGCATCCTGGCTAACACGTTGAAACCCCTCTCTACTAAAAATACAAAAAAATTGGACGGGAGCAGTGGCTCACGCCTGTGATCCCAGCACTTTGGGAGGCTGAGGCGGGTGGATCACGAGGTCAGGGGTTCGAGACCAGCCTACCCACATGGTGAAACCCCACCTCTACCAAAAATACAAAAATTAGCTGGGCGTGGTGGCAGGCGTCTGTAATCCCAGCTACTCAGGAGGCTGAGGCAGGAGAATTGCTTGAACCCGGGAGGCGGAGGTTACAGTGAGCCGAGATCGCGCCACTGCACTCCAGCCCGGGCGACAGAGCGAGACTCCATCTCAAAAAAAATGCAAAAAAATTAGCCAGGCGTGGTGGCAGGTGCCTGTAGTCCCAGCTACTCAGGGAGGCTGAGGCAGGAGAATGGCGTGAACCCAAGAGGCGGAGCCTGCAGTAAGCCGAGATCGCGCCACTGCACTGCAGTCTGGATGACAGAGAGAGACTCCATCTCGAAAAAAAGCCACCCCATCAACCATTGAAGCACTGAAGAACAAGGTATCATTCGGTCAAAATATCGCCCCACCCAAAATGCCTCAGAGGACACACACACGCCCCCAACACACCTGTCTTCAGCAAATGCCCTACATGTGGCTTTCCATCTGCTTTCTTCACTGTTCAAAATGAGAAACGTGGGTGTGCCCTTGCTATAACGACTGCCTCACTTCATCTTCCTCTGCTCCCCAAGGCAGACCCTTGAAAAGACCCCTGAAGGGCCTCGCTGGCCTCCAGCTTGCTCTGACCACCACAACTGGCCAGCATGCAGTCCGTTACATGCCTGGGTCCTCCTCCCTTAGACCAGGCAACAGCAGCAATGCTTTCTGACTCAGGTGGACACAATGAATAAGGGCAGTAATTATCTGAACTAAAACAAATGTTTAAAAACTAGAGTTATCGCTCCTTTTCAGGGCAACAAATCCATTCCTCTCTATGAGCCCAAGACCAATTTGACATCCAAGCCAGCTTCTTGGAATTTGTCTCACTAACTGATCCAGCAGTCTTCAGGGTGAGCAGAAACTTCCCTTTCAAGAGGATATTTAGTGAGGCACACTGCTGGCAATAAGCCTACAGCACCCACCCACACGCAACACTCCGCTGCCCCTACTAATCTAACTTTAAACGAAAGCTGCGAAACGATGAACAATGCTGTTCTTGCAACCACATTTATTCAAACCTGGCACCAGCAAAGCCTATTCTTACAATTTTTATGATTCAATCCTGGGCACCAGCAACATGCAGCTTCTCTGAAAACAAACCCAAGGCAGGATCAAGTGGTAAATGAAGTATTGGGATTTTAAACATGACTTCTTGGTGGTTTGGGATGGTTTAACACACAGGGATTCATTTTTCTTTTGTTCCTGAATCCAGCCCACCCACAACATGCAGTTACAGAAGCTTCAACCACAAAACATTATGTTTGTGGTGCAATGGCCATCTTTCTGACCTCTCACTAATTACACTATGAGGTTCATGGCACTTGTTGGAAAAGAAACATGCCCAAGTTAGTTCAGCATGAGTGGATGAACAGATGTTTGTGGAATGGACAGGTACAGTGGCAACACCCTCACAGGTATGGCCCCACCTGTCTTCGGGGTATTTCATAAGTCTTACAGCCTTCCCAGCAACTCTAGGGAATGGTCCTGAAGTGGATATTCACTTGAGAGAGACCAAATTAGGCTCTGAAATTCAGAGACTCAACCCACCTCCTGGTTTCCTGACCTCTGGAGCTGGCCCATCCTGGGCTGTGAGCTGAAATGATACACTTGAGCTAGGAGTCTTGGTGACTCCTTGAACTTTGACAGAGTCACGCCATCAAGGGCACATTGAAAATTATTCTTAGAAAGCAACCGGCCGGGCACAGTGGCTCCCACCTGTAATCCCACCACTTTGGGAGGCTGAGGCGGGTGGATCACCTGAGGTTGGGAGTTCCAGACCGGCCTGACCAACTTGGAGAAACTCCATCTCTACTAAAAATACAAAATTAGCCCGGTGTGGTGGTGCATGCCTGTAATCCCAGCTCCTCGGGAGGCTGAGGCAGGAGAATCGCTTGAACCCGCGAGATGGAGGTTGCAGTGAGCCGAGATCGCGCCATTGCACTCCAGCCTGGGCAACAAGAGCAAAACTCCGTCTCAAAAAAAAAAAAAAAGCAAGCAACCGAGCGAGGCAATGCCAGTCTAAAATCTTGCTATCAATGCCATTCTGAAATATTTAAAAATGTGAAGTCCAGTGCAATGGTTCATAGTTCAGACTGCAACAGTATTATTATATCAAAGAGCTTTTTTTTTTTTTCTCTTTGAGACAGAGTCTTGCTCTGTCACCCAGGCTGGAGTGCAGTGGCGTGATCTCAGCTCAACTGCAACTTCCGCCTCGTGGGTTCAAGCAATTCTTCTGCCTCACTCTACTGAGTAACTGGGATTACAGCCACAGACCACCATTCCTGGCTAATTTTTGTATTTTTAGTACAGACGGGATTTCACCATGTTGGCCAGGATGGTCTCCAACTCCTGACCTCAAGTGATCCGCCAGCCTCGGCCTCCCAAAGTGCTGGGATTATAGGCGTGAACCACCGCGCCCAGCCAGAAATAAAGATTTTAGTAAATATTTTCAACTTAAAGGACTGTCCTTTATTTTATTCCTATAGTTTTGGTGATAAAGACAATCTTGCTAATTATGAAAAACGGAAATGGTGAATGATCACTAATTTAAAGATATTTTCCTTGACAAAATAAAAAGTTGGCAAATACAGCCGGGCATGGTGGCTCACACCTGTAATCCCAGCACTTTGGGAGGCCAGGGCAGGCAGATCACGAGGTCAGGAGTTCAAGATCAGCCTGGCCAACATGGCAAAACCCTATCTCCACTAAAAATGCAAAAATTAGCCGGGTGTGGGGGCGGGCGCCTGTAATCCCAGCTACTCAGGAAGCTGAGGCGGGAGAATCGCTTGAACCCAGGAGGCGGAGGCTGCAGTGAGCCGACAGCACACCACTGCACTCTAGCCTAGGCGACAGAGTGAGACTCCATCTCATAAAAAAAAGTTGGCAAATACAAGTTGTTCCTCAAATGTTTCTGGAGACCCGGGACTCCAGGCTCACTAGTGTTGTGGAGTGCCCACAGTCCTAGAGTCAGAAGCCTGGAATTTGCCCCTGGGCTCTCCAACCTGGCAGCTTTGGGACCTACAGCAAATCACTTACCTTTCTGGTGGTGGGTGAAAAATGAGGATGAAAATACCACCTGCCTCAGGCTGCAGACAGCAAGGATTAAAGGTGGCACTATGGGGAAATGTTTTGTGAACTACAATACTACAAATGCAATGTATGAAGAGGATTAAATTGGGTACAGTTGTGAATGCCTGTAGTACCAGCTACTCGGGAGACCGAGGCAGGAAGATTCGTTGAGCCCAGAAGTTCAAGACCGGCCTGGACAACATAGTGAGAGCCAGTCCTTAGGAAAAAAAAAAGAAAAACATTAACTGCTCTTGGATGAACCAACAGAAATGCTTTAAAATCTGCCACCATAGAAAAACATTCAACATGACTTCAAGTGGGAATTATCAAACCCTCTTTCCAGCATGCTCTCAGGCAGCAGGGGGGCAAGGGAAGCATGGTTGAGAGATCCTCCCATATCTGGGTGGAGGCAGAAGCAATCCTTCCCCATGTATTCCCAGAGCGAAGCCTTGGATTATTTTTTTTAAACTTAGTATACAGTTCAATGTTTACTTCTCCCAGAACTGTATTTTTCCAGTTAAGATTTTTTTTTAAAAAGACCATCTCTCACATGGACATTAAATACTAACATCCAAACATGTTAACTGTTTAGTAAAACCTTTTTACTTTGAAATAACTGCAGGTCAGGTATGGTGGCTTATGCCTGTAATCCCAACACTTTGAGAGGCCGAGGCAGGCAAATCACTTGAGTGACGCCAGTTCAAGATAGCCCTAGCCAACACGGCGAAAACTCAGTCTCTATATAAAAATACAAAAATTGGCCGGGCACGGCGGCTCACGCCTGTAATCCCAGCACTCTGGGAGGCCGAGACAGGCGGATCACGAGGTCAAGAGATTGAGACCATCCTGGCTAATATGGTGAAACCCCGTCTCTACTAAAAATACAAAAAAATTAGCCGGGCGTAGTGGCGGGTGCCTGTAGTCCCAGCTACTTGGGAGGCAGAGGCAGGAGAATGGCATGAACCCGGGAGGCGGAGCTTGCAGTAAGCCGCGCCACTGCACTCTAGCCTGGGCGACTGAGCGAGACTCATCTCAAAAAAAAAAAAAAAAAAAAAAAAAATTAGAACCGGCGTTGTGACTCACACCTGTAATTCCTGCACTTTGGGAGACTGAGGCAGCAGATCACTTGAGGTCAGGTATTCGAGACTAGCCCGAGCAAAATGGTGAAACCTCATCTCTACTAAAAATACAAAAAATTAGCTGGGCGTGACGGCAGGTGCCTGTAATTCCAGCTACTTGGGAGGCTGAGGCAAGAGAAATGAGGCAAGAGAAACACTTGAACCCAGGAGGCGGAGGTTGCAGTAAGCCGAGACCGTGCCACTGCACTCCAGCCTAGGTGACACTGTGAGACTCCATCTCAAAAAAAAAAAAAAACAACACTCTGATATGAGAAACTAGTTTTATAGGCAAGCAGCAGAAAAGAAAGTGGCCTGGAAGACTTACTCATCTCCAAGACCTTTTATCTTTATCTAAGTAAGACCTTAACCTTCAGCTTCAAGCAAAATCCTCGAAAAGATAAGGACAGCTGTTGGGCATGTTCAGTGAAAATTATGTACTTCACACTGCAAAGTAGAACTTTTTTTTTTTTTTTTGAGACAGAATCTTGCTGTCGCCCAGGCTGGAGTACAGTGGCACAATCTCTGCTCACTGTAAGCTCCGCTTCCCGGGTTCACGCCATTCTCCTGCCTCAGCCTCCTCAGCAGCTGGGATTGCAGGCACCCGCCACCACGCCCGGCTAATTTTTTTGTATTTTTTAAGAGAGACGGGGTTTCACCGGGTTAGCCAGGATGGTCTCGATCTCCTGACCTTGTGATCCGCCCGCCTCGGCCTCCCAAAGTTCTGGGATTACAGGCCTGAGCCACCGCGCCTGGCCAGAACTTCTTACTATCACTTAAAATTATAAAAATAATTTGGAGCAAATTTGCATACTGTAATACATTCAACTTTATGACTAAATGATACATGGTGATCACGCATTCCACAAGAGAATGGCCCTCAGACAGTAAACATATTTTTGTCTTAAAATTAGTGCCACTGGGCAAGGCGGCTCATATCTGTAATCCCAGCACTTTGAGAGGCTGCAGGAGGATCACTTGAGCCTAGGAATTTGAGACCAGCCTGGGCAACATAGTTTAAGACCCTATCTCTACAAAAAAATAAAATTAGATTAAAAATTTAAAAAAAACTAGTAGCTACATTTTCAATGTCTTCACTACGTAAACATTTAATGAGAAGAGAAAAAAGGTAAATTCTGGCCAGGAGTGAGGGCTCACTCCAGTAATTCCAGCTTTTTGGGAGGCCAAGGTGGGCAGATTGCTTGAGCCCAAGAGTTCTGAGGCCAGCCTGGGCAACGTGGAAAGATCCTGTCTCTACAAAAAATTCAAAAAATTAGCTGGGTGTGGTGACATGTGCCTGTGGTTCCAGCTACTTGGGAGGCTGAGGTGGGAGGATTGCTTCTTGAGCCTCAGAGACAGAGGCTGCAGTGAGCGGAGATCACGCGACTGCACTCCAGCCTGGGTGACAGAGTGAGACCCTGTCTCAAAAAAAAAAATTAAATTAAATTTTAACTGGACATCACTTTTACACGATGCCTAAATACAGCTGATGCTAAATGTATCTGAATTTCCAATTGTTATTATTTTTTTTTCATACGAAGTCTTGCTCCATCACACAGGCTGGAGTGCAGCGGCACGACCTCAGCTCACTGCAACCTCCGCCTCCTACGTACAAGCGATTCGCTGCCTCAGCCTCCCGAATAGCTGGGACTGCAGGTGTGTGCCACCGTACCTGGCTAATTTTGTACTTTTTTTTTTTAGTAGATACGGGGTTTCACCATGCTGGTCAGGCTGGTCTCGAACTCCTGACGTCGTGATCCGCCCACCTCAGCCTCCCAAAGTGCTGGGATTACAGGCGTGAGCCACCGCACCCGGCCACCAATTGCTATTCATAATGGAATCACCCGTGAAGTGTTCTCATGGAAAAGTTTCACAAGGATTTATAACAGATCATAAATATCATAAAAATTTCTTAAAAATCAGCACCGATGAGGCCCCCTAACCACCACCTACCTGCCTACTCTACTTTCACAACCATTTCAACAGCAGCTTACTATGTATAATAATACAGATCGGCAATCTACTTGTTTCAGATAAAACGGACAAATGCTTCAGTAGGAAACTAAAGTTTGCCTCGTGCCTCCCAGGCCCCAAATCTCTACTCATTCATTGTGTGAAGATGACACTCAAACCACTATCTGCCTCAGATTCCAAACTTCCTGATGGAAACAAATCAAATCTTTCTCTGCCAGGACTTTGTTAAGATAAAAAGCATCCAATAAACAGAACCTAGAAGGCTGGGCATGGTGGCTCACGCCTGTAATCCCACAACTCTGGGAGACCGAGGCCGGTGGATCACCTGAGGTTCGGAGTTCGAGACCAGCCTGACCAACATGGAGAAGCCCCATCTCTAGTAAAAATGCAAAATTAGCTAGGTGTAGTGGAGCATGCCTGTAATTCCAGCTACTCGGGAGGCTGAGGCAGGAGAATCGCTTGAACTCGGGAGGTGGAGGTTGCGGTGAGCCGAGATCGCGCCATTGCACTCCAGCCTGGGCAACAAGAGCTAAACTCTAACTCAAAAAAAAAAAAAAAAAAAAAACCCTACAAAATCCTAGTTCCTGTAAAGGTTTAATAAAAGCAAGATTCAAATATTAAGGTCACAATTTCCTGGGCCATAAATGCTAATACTAAATGTTAACACTTACACATCTTTCAAAACTGCACAAGGTGAATTAACTTGCTGACAAAATGTAGCAGGATGACAAGTCCAAGAGGTATAAATAAGGGAAGGGATCACTCCTCTGGGGCCATGAAAGGTAATCAAAAGAAACCGAGAAAGGGTGACAGCAGTCCCTAAGAGAAGAGGCCCCAGCCCAAAGAAAACGACTAAAGGCTTTTCCAAGAATAGAAGACTTCTAACCCCCACATCTTGCTAAAGCCTAAAGGGTAATCTACTGTCTACCCAAAGGAAAGGGACTTACAGAAGGCTTCTTCCCCATCACTGACTCTACCTGTCCCCTACCTGGAGGCCTTAACCAGGGAGCACCGTCTGTATCTGTGTGATCAAAATATTAGCAGCTGTCCTTTGTCAACGTGGTATTTAACATGAAAATTTAGGAAAAAATAACAGACTTAGATTCCTCATGCTCAGGAATATGGGCCTTCAAGACCCTGAAAATACTAGAAGGAGCCAAAGGAATTTTTGCCTAGAGGCACCAAACAAGTTCAATCAGAAAAACCACAAACAATTAGGCACCTCTCAGCTCCAGGAAGACTCGGCTAAGCTCCAGGAAGATAGGGAGAGTGATAAATAGCGCCCAGTGGCGGCAAGGCCAAGCCTGGCAGTCATTGCTAGCCTCCAATCTGAACTAAAGAATATTCCAGACAACACTGGGGCCTGCAGACTCCATTCACAAATCCCAGGGACCAAGAGCCACCCACATAAGCAAGGGGCCCCAGCACCACGGAACAGGGAGAGGAGCACCTGCCAATGTCCTGCGGCCTCCTCCTGCTTTCCAGCTGTGAATGAGGCCCTGGTTCCCACACTTCATTCACAGTCTGGGCGGCTACTGTAACTACATCCCACGAGACCACACACAAAGCATCACGCACAAGGGACAGTGGCAGCACTCTGAGCAATCCATGGAGATTCCCATCCACAAATACCTGAGGAAAAGAGAGCTTAAAGTCCTAAATTTGAATCCTAACTTCGGATGGCACCTCGCGATTCCATGTGGACCACAAATATGCCATCACACCACTCATTTTAAAGAGAGCAAAATCTTGAAAAAGATTCAGCAGCAGTGAATTACCGGAGTCCAGAAAAAGAAACCACTGAAACCGACGCTTCGTTGCTGATCCATGTCACCTAAGCAGCAACTGGCAAACAATGTTGGAAATGTGGAGAAGAGATCCCTCATTCTCCTCAAATTTGGCCACTGAACTGGGGGAGGAGCATGCAGACCGCCGTACACCCCAAATAATTCATCCAGGCGGTGAATTAACTGGGGCAGAACCTCATGAGTAACCTCGAGAATCTCAATCGTTCAACTACTTGAGAAAATAAAGGTAGAAATGGGTTTTAAGCATCCACGTTTCGGGGCCCAGGCTTGCACCCAAGTAGATTGCCGGTCTAGAGAAGGCAAATACTAACAATCTGGAAAAACATTCAACAATGAAAACAAACTAACTAAAGAAAAAGCTGAAACCCTCTCAAGTTTTGACCCTGATCTGAGAGAGGCCTGGCTGACCAGAGATTTGGAAACCCGACGAACCCACAAAGGCTTCCTCAGCAATCCGCGTGGGAAGGGGCTTCCAAGGAGGGGGTCCGCCTCTCCGCGACCTGTGAGGACAAAGGAGGCGACTTTTCCCGCCTCGGGAACCTGGGACTCTCCTGGAATCGGGGGCGGGACCGGGACAAAGAGGAGGAGGGGGTAGGGAAGGAGTGAGGAAGGGGGGTCGCCCCGCCGCGGAACTCGGGACCCGAGGGGGTGTGTGCTCCAAGCACGTGCGCGCGTCCCCAGGACCCCCGCAACAGACAAAAGCCCAGCCGCGGGGAGGCGGCAGCCGGGGGCCCGGTGCGCGCGCACCCCCCCGCGCGTGGCGCCGCCGCCGGCCGAGGGGCCGCGTGCGGGGGGGAGCGGCTGCGCGCGCACCGAGTCCTCGCCGCCGCCGCAGCCGCCATTTTGTTTCCTCCGCACAATGGAAGAGAGTTAACGGCCGAGCGCGGGAGCGAGGCCGGCAAGGGAGGAACGGGCCAGGCGCCGGGATGAGGGAACCGGGCGGAGGCGGCGAGCGTGGGATCCCTCCAGCCTTGTCACCGCGAACCCTCAGTGGGGATCTCACTGAGGGCGGGCGGGGGGAGGGGCAGAGGCGGGAGCGGGCCCGGCCGCCGCCACATTGACGCTTACCTTGTCGGCGTCCCCTTCTTCGACCGCAGCCGCCGCCGCCGCCCTCCTGCCACAGCCCGCCGGGGTCTGCCCCCAAAAGCCACGCGGTGCGCGCCGGGCTGCTGGGTCCAACTGCAATGGCGAGAAGAGGAGGAGGAGGAGTCCGGACCGGGGGCGAGCGGGCGGGCGGGCAGGCGCGCGCCGGGGAGGTGCGGGAACACGTGACCGGCTGAAGCCCCGCCCCCTTTGACGCCGCGTTGCGCCTCGACGCAGGCCCAACCCAAATGGGAGGGAGGGGCGAAAAGAGATAAGGGGGGGGCTGAGGGGGTGGGCGTGAGTTGCACGTGGTGCAAGCGGGAGTGTTTGCGTGCGTAGTCACGTGACTTCGGCACCTTTCCCTCCGCTTTCGATAGGTTGCTCCATCATGTGACAATGGCGAATTTCGCGGTTTCCTTCGCCATCTGACAACTTTTGGCGCCTTCCCTTTGCCGTACTGGGAGTCCTCCATCACGTGACGAGGGCACGCTCTGGTTTTCGCTAAGGCGTTTTTTGAGCGGCCATTACCACGTGATGCAAGGCAAGCGTCAGAGGCGGAGCCTCCCTACGGCTGCGACATTTTGCGCCTGCGCGGCCGCCATCTTACGCCCGTCGCCCTGAGTACGTTAGCGGAAATGGCTCCGAGAGGCTTTGACGCATGTGTACCTTTTTAGTGGCGGTATCTCGGCCGGGGATTTTCGGGCTCCAGTGGAGGTGGCTATGCTCACCCCATCTCCCTTGAGAGGCACAGAAGGTTAGAGATGTGTGCGAGGAACGGCCAGGTCCAGCGTCTCCTCGTTGCTGCCCCTTGAGCCCGGGACCGGCGCCAATGCGCGCCCGGGTTCTTGGGTTCTTTCGTCCCGCAGACCTGCCTTGGTGTGGCGTCCCTGGGCCGTAGCTTCCGAAGGCTGCAGCCGACCTGGTCGGGGTCCTCTAGCCCGCCTTCCCCTTCCCCCATTGACAGATGGAGAAACTGAGGCCCAGGCCAAAAAATATCTCACTAGAGGGCTCACCGCCATTTCCTGGAAAAATTGGGGCTGGGACTCAACGGACGCTCGTCCAGCAGCAGCGCGGAGCTCCGAAGTAAAGGCGCCCGTGACCGAGTGCTTTGTCCTTACAAGCGTGGTGTTCTTGAATGCTTCCAGGCGCCTTATGAGGCCCCCGATGTACAATCTGTGCTTAACTAAACCCCACTGTCTTCCAGGGTCAGGTTGGCCATCCGCAGGCGTAGTTGCTAGGAAGGTTTGACAGATGTCCGCCTGTTGATTCAGACGTTCCCAGGATTTGGAGCAAGAAGAGCAAGGAAGGCCAGGCGCGGTGGCTCACGTTTGTAATCCCAGCACTTTGGGAGGCCGAGGCGGGCGGATCACGAGGTCAGGAGTTCGAGACCAGCCTGGCCAGCATGGTGAAACCCCGTCTCTACTAAAAATACAAAAGAAAATTAGCCGGGTGTGGTGGCACATGCCTGTAGTCCCACCTACTTGGGAGGCTGAGGCAGGAGAATTGTTTGACCTGGCAGGCGGAGGTTGCAGTGAGCCGAGATTGCGCCACTGCACTCCAGTCTGGGCGACAGAGCGAGACTCTGTCTCAGAAAAAAAAAAGAGCAAGGAGGTGTTGAAAATGGGTTTCCTGGCTGGGCGTGGTGGCTCACGCTTGTAATCCCAGCACTTTGGGAAGCTGAGGTGGGCGGATCACTTGAGGTCAGGAGTTTGAGACCAGCCTGGCCAACATGGTGAAACACCGTCTCCACTAAAAATAGAAAAATTAACTGGGTGTGGTGGAGGGCGCCTGTAATCCCAGCTAATCAGGAAGCTGAGACAGGAGGATCGCTTGAACCCAGGAGGCGGAGGTTGCAGTGAGCCGAGATTGCTCCATTGCACTCCAGCCTGGGCGATAGAGTGAGACTCAGCCTCAAAAAAAAAAAAAAAAAAAAATTCGCCAGGTGTGGTGGTGTGCGCCTATAATCCCAGCTACTCAGGAGGCAGAGGCACAAGAATGGCTTGAATCACTTGAACCTGGGAGGCAGAGGTTACAATGAGCCGAGATGGCACCACTGCACTCCAGCCTGGGCGACAGAGCGAGACTCCGACTTCCCATCTTAAAAAAAAAAAAAAAAAAAAAAAAGAAGTGTAAAGATGTGATTATGTGGCAGGGGGTAAGGGTTAAAAAGAAAACAAGAACAAGTTTTCCTCTGCTTAGCCAGCTTACTTCAAGGACAGTTATAACACTGAAAAGTCGAGGCCAAAGGAATGGGCTCCAGACAGCCTCCTCCGGAGCAAAGTTGAAAAGAAAAATTCCTTTACTGTCTCTCCTTTTCTGAACCATTAAATATGACTGTTTGCCAATGGTTGTATTTAGTAAGATTTGTAGACTCTGTTTTTCTTTTGACACAGCTGCAAGGCCAACAGCTGTGCAAAGCCACAAGTTATGCTAAGTCAGCAGTTATGCTATAGATTACATGACCTGTGACTGTATCATTAACTGCTTTTGTTTTGCTTCTGTAAGTTTGCCTATAAAAACCACACTCAGTCTTTGTTCAATGGTCAGCTTTTCAGATACAAATCCACTGAGCCGGTGTACATCTAAATAAATCCTCCTGTTTCCCGTGTCAGTCTCTCTGGTCCTTTGTTTCCTGCAACAATTACAGAAATGAGTGCCTAGCCGGGCATGGTGGCTCACGCCTGTAATCCCCACACTTTGGGAGGCCGAGGCTGGAGGATCCCTTAAGCCCAGGAGTTTGAGGCCAGCTTGAGCAACATGGCAAAACCCAGTCTCTACAAAAATTAGCTGAGCGTGATGGCCTGTGTCCATAGTTCCATCTACTTGGGAGGAGTAGGTGGGAGGATCACTTGAGCTGTGGAGGTCCAGGCTGCAGTGAGCCGTGATGGAGTCACTGCACTTTTCAGCCTGGATGGCACAGCTAGACCGTCTCAAAAAAGAAATGAGTGCATGCTGTACCCTCTGCTTTTCTATTTTATTTACATTTTACTGTGGATTTTTAATAGGTAGCATAGTCACATGATACGTCAAATGTGCCAAAGACGCCGGGCGCGGTGGCTCACGCCTGTAATTCCAGCACTTTGGGAGGCTGAAGTGGGCGGATCACGAGGTCAGGAGATCAAGACCATCCTGGCTAACACAGTGAAACCCCGTCTCTACTAAAAATACAAAAAAAAATTAGCCGGGCGTGGTGGTGGGCATCTGTAGTCTCAGCGACTCGGGAGGCTGAGGCAGGAGGATGGCATGAACTCGGGAGGCAGAGGTTGCAGTGAGCTGAGATCGTGCCATTGCACTCCAGTCTGGGCGACAGAGTGAGACTCCATCTCAAAAAAAAAAAAAAGTGCCAAAGACATGAGAGCACAAAGTCTTCCTCAGACATCCAGTTCCCTCCCTCTTAGAAGCCATTGTACAGTTTTGTTTTTTGTTTTTTGTTTTTGAAACGGAGTCTTGCTCTGTCTCCCAGGCTGGAGTGCAGTGGCACGATCTTGGCTCACTGCAAGCTCCGCCTCCTGGGTTCACGCCATTCTCCTGCCTCAGCCTCCCGAGTAGCTGAGACTACAGGCGCCCACCACCACGCCCGGCTAATGTTTTGTATTTTTAGTAGAGACTGGGTTTCACCGGGTGAGTCAGGATGGTCTCGATCTCCTGACCTCGTGATCCACCCGCCTCGGCCTCCCAAAGTGCTAGGATTATATGCGTGAGCCACCGCGACCAGCCATTGTACAGTTTTTTGTGTAACTACAGTAGAGTTTTATTTTCAGAGGTGCATAATCATATTCTTGTTTTTCACATAAATTGATAAGTTATTCTGCACCAGGCTTTTTAATTTCATTTCCTGTGCCTCAGATCTGTCTCACAAATAGAGCTGGAAATTGAAGAAAGGTTTGGTAAGATGATTGGGGCATGCACTAAGATAAAATTGGTTAAAATGCCAGGGCATGGTGGAACACACCTGTAGTCCCAGCTACTCAGGAGGCTGAGGTGGGAGGATCATTTGAGCCCAGGAGGTTGAGGCTGCAGTGAACTGAGATTGGGCCACTGCTCTCTAGCCTAGGCAACAGAAGCCCTGTCTCAAAAAAACAAAAACAAAACCAAAAAATTGGTTAAAGCTTTAAATTGTTGAAGGTCACTGTGATAATAACGAATGTTAATAACAAAGCCTAGACTGGCTTTTTTTCGGAACAGGTCAGTTTTAGTGACTTGCTTGAGCTAACAGCACTGCCAAATGGCAGAACGAGGATGGTTACTAGTTTTCTGACTCCCAACTCCAGAGAGCCTAAGGTTACTTAAAACGCTTTTGAAGATCTCATTCCGCTAAGGCGTTTCTTGCCCCAGGGACCCCAAACACAGTAAAGGGCGGATAGGGTCATGATGACAAGCACAGTCTTTGGATCAAACCCAAACCTCCTAGGGTTTGATTTGGAGGAGGACTGATTCGGAGTTAATTCAACATCAAGGGGTTGCTTCAGTACCTGGCATGGAGTTAAAGCTTCAAAAACAGTAATGGTTATGATTGTTACCTCTTGAACGGGTGCCCCATCCAACCAGAACTTCCTGAAAAATGTTGTCTTGGCCAGGCATGCTGGCTCATGCCTGTAATCCTACACTTTGGGAGGCTGAGGCAGGGGGATTGCTTGAGCCCAGAAGTTCAAGACCAGTCTGGGCAACATAGTGAGACCCCATCTCTATGTTTTTTATCTATCTATCTATTTATTTATTTTTGAGATGGAGTCTCGTTCTGTAGTCCCAGCTAGGGTGCAGTGATAACAATCTCAGCTTACTGCAACCTCCAATTCCCGAGTTTAAGCAATTCTGCCTTAGCCTCCCAAGTCACTGGGATTGCAGGCGTACACCACCATGGTCAGCTAATTGTTGTATTTTTAGTAGAGACTGGGTTTTGCCATGTTGGCCAGGCTGGTCTCAAACTCCTGACCTCAAGTTATCCACCCACCTTGGCTTCCCAAAGTGCTGGGATTACAGGCATGAGCTACTGCACCCAGCCCCATCTCTACATTAAAAAAAAAAAAAGTTTTCAAGAATAAAAACAAAAAGAAGGCTGGGGGCAGTGGCTCATACTTGTAATCCTAGCACATTGGGAGGCCGAGATTGGTGGATCACTTGAGGTCAGGAGTTCAAGACCACCCTGGCCAACATGGTGAAACTCTGTCTTTACTAAAAGTACAAAAAGTAGCTGGGCATGATGGCTGGCATCTGTAATTCCAGCTACTCGGGAGGCTGAGGCACGAGAATCGCTTGAACCTGGGAGGTGGAGGTTGCAGTGAGCCGAGATCAAGCCACTACAGTCCAGCCTGGGTGACAGGGAGACTGTGTCTAAAAAAAAAAAGAAAGGGCCAGGTGTGGTGGTTCACCCTCTAATCCTAGCACTTTGGGAGGCCGAGGCGGGTGGATCACTTGAGGTCAGGAGTTCGAGACCAGCCTGGCCAACATGGTGAAACCCCATCTCTCCTTAAAATATAAAAAATTAGCTGGGCGTGGTGGTACGCACCTGTAATCCCAGCTACTCGGGAGGCTGAGGCAGGAGAATCACTTGAACCCAGGAAGCGGAGGTTGCAGTGAGCTGAGATTGCACCATTGCACTCCAGACTGGGGGACAAGAGTGAGACTTCGTCTCAAAAAAAAAAAAAAAGGAAAAAGAAAAAAATTTTTTGAAGTAAAAAGTTTTCAGCCCAACTTTCCAATAAACCCCATCCATCAGGTTCCTAGTCCCTGGTCACCGTAAAGGATGGAAGACACAAGATGCCATCTGCCCTGTCTTGCTGAACTGCTACCCTGACCCGACCTCGCACCTCTGCCCTTGTCCTTCCACCACTCAGTGGTCACAAACCCTGTATACAACACCATTCTCTCCTCCTTGCCTTAGTGACATCATCTGTCATCTGGCTATTCCTTCTCTCTTCCCTCCCTCCCACTCATTGGTTGAAGATTGAGGTCATCCCCCTCTTGTAATCTGTCAGTCTAGACAGGTCCTGTCACTCTCAGTGACTCTGCTGTCCTTACAGCCTCTCTATTCATTGTCTTCCTCATCTTGAAAGATTCCACCCACTCTCCCAATCACACCCAGTTAACTTCCCTCTCGAAAGCTTTTTGTCCTATGCCTGTTCCCTTCTTGCCCCCCCCCAGGGTGGACATGGGTGACCACTCTGGGATGGACACTGTGGGATGACCACAGTTGTTGGGGAACCATTCCTCTCCCTTGATCAAACTGTAGTCTAGATGGCAGGTCCCTGCTGCCTGACTCCCAAACTAGGCCCACACCTTGACTACAATGATTGACTCAATGATTTACAATGAGTAAATGATCATAATCAGGCTGGTCAGAGTCAGTGAGCTCCAGGCCTGAGACTTAGGAGCAAGAAAAGACTTTTCTGGCCCTCTAATCCCAACACTTTGGGAGGCCGAGGTGGGTGGATCAAGAGTTCAAGAGTTCAAGAGCAGCCTGGCCAAGATGGTGAAACTCCATCTCTACTAAAAATACAAAAATTAGCCGGGCATGGTGGCGGGCTCCTGTAATCCCAGCTACTCGGGAGGCTGAGGCAGAGAATTGCTTGAACCCAGGAAGCGGAGGTTGCAGTGAGCCAAGATCATGCCACTGCACTCCAGGCTGGGCGACAGAGCGAGACTCCGTCTCAAAAAAAGAGAAGACTTCTCATCTTAAAGCCAGGAAAATGTAGCTGCGTGCGGTGGCTCATGCCTGTAATCCCAGCACGTTGGGAGGCCAAGGCAGGCGGATCATGAGGTCAGGAGATCGAGACCATCCTGGCTAACATGGTAAAACCCTGTCTCTACGAAAAATACAAAAAAATTAGCCGGGGGTGGTGGCGGGCAGCTGTAGTCCCAGCTACTCAGGAGCTGAGGCAGGAGAATGGCGTGAACCCGGGAGGCGGAGCTTGCAGTGAGCCTAGATCGTGCCACTGCACTCCAGCCTGAGTGACAGAGCAAGACTCCATCTCAAAAAAAAAAAAAAAAAAAAAAAAAGGCCAGGAAAATGTATGATGTGTGTATTACTAGGTTTCTCCGAGAAAGCTAATAGGAGGTAGGTAGATGAGAGGGGATTTAGCAGAATAATTGGCTCATGTGATCATGGAGGCTGAGATGTCCTACCACATGCATTGACTGCAGACCCTGAAAAGCCAGCAGCTCCAGTAGCTGAAGACCCTGCAAAGCCAGTAGCGAGGCTCAGTCTGAATCCTAAAGCTTCAGAGCCAGGGACACCAATGGTGTAATTCCCAGTCCAAGGCCGAAGGCCTGAGAACCAGGGATCACTGGTATAAGTCTTGGAGTGTCAAGACAGGAGGAGAAGAGTGTCCCAGTTCTGAGGAGGAAAATGCTTTCTCTCCTTTTTCTGTTCTGTCGGAGCCCCAGCAAGTTGGATGGCGCTCACCCAGAAATAATGCTTTATCAGACGTGTTGCTCTGTCGCTCAGGCTGGAGCACAGTAGTGTGATCTCAGCTCACTGCACCCTCCACCCCCTGAGCTAAAGTGACCTTCTCACTTCATCCTACTGAGTAGCTGGGACAACATGTGCATGACCACCACACCCTGCTAATTTTCATAGTTTTTGTTGAGACAAGCTTTCCACATGTTGCCCAGGCTGGTCTCGAATTCAAGCTCAAGCGATCTGCCCACCTCGGCCTCCCAAAGTGCTGATTGCAGGCGTGAGCCACGGAGCCCAGCCACTGTTTTTTTTTTTTTCTTTGTCTTATTTTTACCACATCACAGCTCAAATCTGAGTATTTTCTAATCCAGCCAAGTTCACACCTAAAATTAACTATCACAGCACAGTGTGGTTGGAGGCAGGGAATATACCCAGATAAAGGAACTTGGCAGAGAGTGAAGCCAACCCAGAAGTGGAGCCAAAGCATGAAGCCAGAAAACACTATGGTGGTTCCTCAAAAAATTAAACATAAACCAGGCACAGTGGCGAGTGCCTGTCATCCCAGCTACTTGGGAGGCTGAGGCGGGATGATCCCTTCAGTCCGGGAGCTCAAGGCCAGCCCAGGTAACATAGTGAGACCCAGTGGCTTAATAAATAAGAAAGAGATGGAGATGGCAAATTTTATGCTATATGTATCGTACCACAAATCTTTTTCTTTCTTTCTTTTTTTTTCTGAGACAGAGTTTTGCTCTGTTGCCCAGGCTGGAGTGCAATGGTGTCATCTTGGTTCACCACAACCTCTGCCTCCTGGGTTCAAGCGATTCTCCTGCCTCAGCCTCCCGAGTAGCTGGGATTACAGGCATGTGCCACCATGCCTGGCTAATTTTTGTATTTTTAGTAGCAGCAGGTTTTCACCATGTTGGCCAGGCTGGTCTCAAACTCCTGACCTCATGATTCACCCGCCTCAGCCTCCCAAAGTGCTGGGATTACAGGCATGAGCCACCGCACCCGGCCGCCAGGAGCTATTTTTTAGGTGGGCATGGTAACAGGAGCTGGGGCTGAATAAAATGCCAGATTCAAAGGATCCAGGGAAACAAAGGCATCGAGGAAGGGGTCAGTGCCAGCATAGGGTAGAACTTGAGGACTCTGGAGCCAAGACCTGGGTTCAAATGCCTTCTTGGAAACAAACAAACAAAAATGCTGGCCAGGCTTGGTGGCTCATGCCTGTAATCCCAGCACTTTGGGAGGCCGAGGCAGGTGGATCACATGAGGTCAGGAGTTTGAGACCAGGCTAGCCAACATGGTGAAACCCCGTCTCTACTAAAACTACAAAAATTAGCTGGATGTGGTGGTACGCGCCTGTAATCCCAGCTACTCAGGAGGCTGAGGCACGAGAATCACTTGAATCCAGGAGGTTTAGTGAGCTGAGACTGTGCCACTGCACTGTGGCACTATGCACTGTGGCCTGGGCCACAAAGGGAGACTCTGTCTCAAAAAACAAACAAACAAACAAAAAAAACCAGCATGGGCAATATGGTAAAAATCAATCTCTACAAAAAATACAAAAATTAGTCAGGTGTGGTGGTGTGTACCTGTAGTCCCAGCTACTCGGGAGGCTAAGATGGGAGGATCACCTGAGGCTGTGGTGAGCCATGATTGCACCACTGCACTTTAGCTTCAGCCAGAGTGAGATCCTGTCTCAAAAAAAAAAAAAAAAAAAAAAGGCTGGGCCAGGTGGCTCACGCCTGTAATCCCAGCACTTTGGGAGGCCGAGGCCAGCGGATCACCTGAAGTGAGGAATTTGAGACCAGCCTGCCCAACATGGCGAAACCTGGTCTCTACTAAAAACACAAAAAATTAGCCAGGCGTGGTGGCAGGCACCTGTAATCCCAACTACTCGGGAGGCTGAGGCAGAAGAATCGCTGGAACCCGGGAGGTGGAGGTTGCAGTGAGCCGAGATCGCACCACTGCCCTCCACCCTGGGTGACAGGGCAAGACTGTCTGAAAAAAAAAAAAAAAAAAAAAAGTGGATATTGAAGAAAAATTCCCTGAGAGGAGGTGGAAAGAATTGAAATGTTGGGGCGGATTGCCTGGAGGTGACTGACACTGGCAGCTGGCACGAGGGGGCAGCAGCGAGCTTCCAGGCAGTGGGGCCCACCCCAAGGGCAGTCAGTCCCTTCGCAGATCCAAAGTAGCTGGGGAGCATAGTGACTGCAGGACCTCAGGTGCCTGGGCCCTGAGAGAGGGGAGGCCTGGGGGCGTGTGTCCAGGATGGGTGATGGCGGAGGTGGACAGGCTGCCTCTGCCTTCTGGAGTCCAGGGATTAGAGCCTAATCGGGAAATCTGAGCTGCCTGAAGGTTGGAATTCAGGCAGAGCCAGCAGCCAGTGGGTTTCCTGCCCCCTCCTCGTTCCCTTTGAGAGAATCGCCCTAGTTCAGAGACTCCTAGGGCCTTGGAAGCTGGGGTTCCCCCTACCAGCCGCCACTGGCTCACTGCCCCCAACAAACACACCAGGCCTGGACCTGTACAATAGGCACTTTATTAGTGGTTGGAATGCAGTTACACGCAGGGGTGTGCAGACGCAATGGGGGCAGGGCTGGTGCAGGCACAGGAAACGGGAGACCCCCCCCTCTTTCCCCTGGGGCCAGGAGTTCTCCCTCTCCAGGATCCTGGGACAGTGCTGATGAGCAGAGACATGAAGTCTGAGGGGGACTTGGAATATGGCAAAGGGGCAACTGGGAAGCCAGTTCCCCTGAGTTTGACAAGTTTGGCAAAAGGATCAAGTGAGGTGTGTGGGCAGAGGGGCCCGGTTTGCCCAGGACATCTGCCCTCCACCTCTCCCCCTGACATCATCCCTTGGGTGGGTTTAGTTTCTTTCCTCTCTTACAAAGAGAGCTGTGTCAATAACTGGCAGAGGAAGTCGGGAAATTCAGCCTAACTCCCTCCAGCCCAGCAGGTTTCCATTAAACAGCTATTAGCCATCTCCTCTCCAGCCTGCTCTCCACTGCCAACCCCCGCAAAACTCTCCCTCCCTTTCCCTCCTTCCCAGCCAGGAGACACCCCCACCTGGGCACACACACTCCCACCCGTCACTCCCAGCTAGGAGGGAGCAAAAGGAAGGCACTCCTTGGCGGCCCCATCTCAGCTGTTGAGACAGACGGAAAGAAAGCTAATAGACCCTTTAATGCATGTCCAGGTTAAAAAATAATAATAATAAAGAAATGCTTCTGGTGGCCCTTGAGCCAACTGTTCAGGTGTGGAGAAGGGGTTCAGTCCTGGCCGGAGCAGGCAGGAATAAACGTGGGTGTTCACTGTGGCCAGCAGCTCCCTCAGACACAAACACCGTCCTTCCTGTGGTCTGGCCCGTTGTCGTGTAAGCGGGGGACAGGAAGCATGAGGGAGCTTGTGGAGGTCGGGCCACGTGCCATCCCAGACATCAAGAGGCCCCAATGGGTTTTTACTTGTTTCTCGCAGTCTGGAGGGGCAGCCATGAAAACTCCAAGCGCCCCTTGGCATAAGAAGGAGATGCCCCAGACTCTCCACGTCCAGAAACTGGTGGGATCTGGCTCATGGGGAGGGGCAGAGCGGCAGTGATAGGACTTCAGGTGAGCCCAAGGGGCTGGGGGAACAGACCCAGCTACTGAGCACCCTGCGGCATGAGACTCCTTGAGAGGTGGGGAGCACGGGGCCTTCAGGACTCCGCTGCCTTCTTGTTGGTCTTGTTCAAGAGTTTCTTGAGGGTGGAAGACATGAAGTAAGGCCTCTCGGCCGAGCCGTCATTCCTCTCCAGGTCCTCCACTGTGGAGAGAGGTCCCAGAGCAGGAGGCATGAGGGGAGCCCACGGGCAGGGGCCTCAAGGACAGGGTAGGTGGATGAGGGTCACAGAGAAGCCTCAGAGGGTTAGAAAGCAGACACACTGGGACCAGAGAGGGGCAGACTGTAGTGGGCTCCGAGGGACACACAGGATCCCCACACTCGCAGGCCAGGAACCCCCCCGCTTCATGCACCCCCAGTCTACATGGAGGAAACCTGGCCCCCACGCCAGTCTCCCTCACTCTCTACTCCTCGGCTTCTGCCCGCTTCCCCTCCTCCGCACTCCCCTTCAACAGGATGTCTCTCAGCTCGGGCGACATGAAGTAGGGTCGCTCCTGAGAGCCGTCATTCCTTTCCAGGTCCTCACCTGGGCTCCCCCCGGGAACCGGCAGGGGGAAAATGGGGTGGTCGGGAAGGGAGGGAAAGAGGGAGGCAGGGAAGAACAGGGAAGCCAGCAGGCATGGAGGAGAGGAAGAGAGAAGAAAAAAACAAACAAAAAAAACAGATGGAGAGACCAGAGTTAGTGGCAGCCACAGATCCCCTCCCCCCAGTCAAAGCCAGAAACTGCGAAGCGCGGGCGGGCTCCAGGGCAGCGTCCAGGCTGCAGCCTGGGCCAGTGGACAGGAGGTCGGAGCTGCTTCTAAGCGCAAAAGGAAACCAGGAAGACAGGCTGGGGACCCAGGACGAGGGACAGCCAAGCCCTGGGGAAGCTGGGGGCAGGCAAGCGTGTTGCCCCGTTGGAGGGTGATGTGATGCCCAGTGGAAAGAAGGGATTCGGGGCCCAGCAAGGTTTGGGGTGAGGGGTCACTCACAGAAGCAGAGGAACAGCGTGTCCACACACATGCCATAGACGCTGAAGAAACCGTGTGCAATCAAGTAGGAGCCAACGATCACCGTCTGGGCAAGGAGAAACGAGCTGTCCCTGCTCCGTGTCCTTCCCAGAGCAGCCCCCACCCCCTGAGTCCATCCTATGCTGGGACCACATCCTTCCCCTGCTGAGAAACCCTCTTTGGATTAGTGACATCCCAACCCCTCACCCCCGCTGGCAGGGCCCCACCATCCACACAAAATCCTCTTTCTCTCTCTCCGTCTTTTTTTTTTTTTTTTGAGACGGAATCTCACTCTGTTGCCCAGACTGGAGTGCCATGGTACGATCTTGGCTCACTACAACCTCTGCCTTCCAGGTTCAAGCAATTCTGCCTCAGCCTCCGGAGGAGCTGGGACTACAGGCACGTGCCACCACGCCTGGCTCATTTTTGTATTTTTAGTAGAGACGGGGTTTCACCATGTTGGCCAGGCTGGTCTCAAACGCCTGACTTCAGGTGATCCACCTGCCTCGCAGCCTCCCAAAGTGCTGGGATTACAGGCGTGAGCCACCGCACACCCGGCCTTTTTTTTTTTTCTTTTTTTGAGACAGGGTCTCACGGTCTCACTCTGTAGCCCAGGCTGGATTGTAGTGGTGCAATCTCAGCTCACTGCAACCTCTGCCTCCTGGGCTCAAGTGATCCTCCCGCCTCAGCCTCCGGAGTAGTTGGGATTACAGATGTGCACCACTGTGCCCGGCTAACCTTTGTATTTTTTGTAGAGATGGGTTTTTGCCACGTTACCCATTACCCATCCTGGGCTTAAGAGATTCGCCCACCTTGGCCTCCCCAAGTGCTGGGACTACAGGTATGAGCCACTGCACTCAGCCTCACCCTTGCTTTCTTTAACCCCTGGGCCTCTGCATGTGCTATTGTCCTGACTTAAATCTAATTTATGCCCCATCGACCTTCTGCTTTCAGCTCAAAGAGCAAGTCCTCAAGTCCCACCTCCTCCAGGAAACCACCTACGACACCTAGAGTGGGCGTTTTTTTTTTGTTTTTTTTTTGAGACAGGGTCTCACTGTGTTGCTCAGGCTAGAGTGCAGTGGCCCCATCTCAGCTCACTGCAGCCTTGACCTCCCAGGCTCAAGTGATCCTTCCACCTCAGGCTTACAAGGAGCTGGGACTACAGGCATGTTCCAGCATACCCAGCTAATTTTTGTATTTTTTTGTGGAGATGGGGTTTTGCCATGTTGCCCAGGCTGTTTTCAAACTCCTGAGCTCAAGCGATCTGCCTGCCTCGGCCTCCCAAAGTGCTGGGATTATACATGTGGGCCCCTGCGTCTGGCTGAGAGCCTTTTTTTTTTCCCTCCTGAGACGGAATCTTGCTCTGTCACCCAGGCTGGAGTGCAGTGGTGGGACCTTGGCTCAGTGCAACCTCCACCTCCCGGGTTCAAGCGATTCTCTTACCTCAGCCTCCTGAGTAGCTGGGACTACAGGTGCGTACCAGCACACCTGACTAATTTTTTTGTATTTTTAGTAGAGATGGGGTTTCACCATGTTAGCCAGGATGGTCTCAATCTCCTGACGTTCATGATCCGCCTGCCTTGGCTTCCCAAAGTGCTGGGATTACAGGTGTGGGCCACCATGCCCGGCCTCTAGAGCCTATTTTATGTCCTCCTAGCACTGGGCACCCCTCCTGAGCTCTTGGTGCAGCTGCAATTTTATGCATGTTTAGGGCTTTCAGGTTTAATGCTCACATCCTCACTAGACCCAGTCCCATTTACTGCTGCATCCCTAGCAATCTGGAGACTCACACGGCCTTGGTAGCTGCTAGATAAACATTTGTTGACTGAAGTCAGTGGACCTGGCTGGGCGTGGTGGCTCATGCCTGTAGTCCTTGCACTTTGGCAGGCTGAGGCAGGAGGATCCCTTGAGTCCAGAGTTCAAGACCAGCCTGGCAATATAGGGAGACACTGCCTCTATTATTATTGTTATTATAGTAGAGCCTGAGCCACAACACCTGGCCTATCTCTATTATATTAAATTAAAAATTCAAAACAATGAAATGGCCAGGCACAGGGGCTCATGCCTTTATTGGCAGCACTTTGGAAGGCCGAGGTGGGTGGATCACCTGAGGTCAGGAGTTCGAGACCAGCCTGACCAACAGGGTGAAACCCCGTCTCTACTAAAAATACAAAAATTAGCCGGGCACAGTGGCATATGCCTGTAATCCCAGCTAGTCAGGGAGCTGAGACAGGAGAATCGCTTGAACCCGGGAGGTGGAGGTTGTGGTGAGCAGAGATCACTCCATCGCACTCCAGCGTGGGTGACAGAGCAAGGCTCTATCGCAGAAAAAAAAAAAAAAAAAAAAAAGTCAGTGGACCTTAGAGGATTAAATAATTTGCCCAAGATTACTCTTACTCATCTTAGAACTACTAAATAGAGGAACTAAAATAAGAAACTAGGTCAATGGGCTTCAAGACCTACACTGAGATACAATACTGCCCTTGCAATGAAGGCTCAATCCCTCCACAGCCTTGTTAACCTCCTTGGCCGTATCTCCACTTTTTTTTTTTTGAGAGAGAGTCTCACTCTGTCACCCAGGCTCGAGTGCAGTGGCGCGATCTCGGCTCACTGAAACCTCTGCCTCCCAGGTTCAAGCAGTTCTCCTGCCTCAGCCTCCCGAGTAGCTGGGATTACAGGTGCCCACAACCACGCCCCGCTAATTTTTGTATTTTTTTTGTAGAGACTGGGTTTCGCCATGCTGGCAAGGCTAGTCTCAAACCCCTGACCTCAGGTGATCCACCTGCCTCAGCCTCCCAAAGTGCTGGGATTACAGGTGTGAGCCACGGTGCCTGGCCCTTATCTCCACTTCTTTACTCCTTCCACGTCAGCCCCACTGCTTCCTGGCACACTCCCACCTCAGGGCCACTGTACTGTTCCCTCTGCCTGGATATTGCCTGCAGCTTCAGATCTCAGATCCAACATCACCTGCATGGCACCACCTGGACCCCCCCCACACCTGCCCAGCCCCCACCACAGTTTCAAACAGTTCCCTGTGCTATACAGACATACTCGTGGCATGTCCCAGTTTGCAATCATACATTCACCAATATCATTATGGAGGAGTATCTGTTTACCCCCAAACTCTAAGGCCTTTAGAGGGAAGCCCTCCACCTCGATGCCTGACACACAGTAGGTGCTTGATAATGTTTGTGGTCTGAGGTCGGGCGTGGTGGGTCACACCTGCAATCCCAGTACTCTGCGAGCCCGAGGCGGGCGGATCACTTGAGGTCAGGAGTTTGAGACCAGCCCAGCCAACACGGTGAAACCCCATCTCTATTAAATATACAAAAATTAGCCAGGTGTGGTGGTTCACGCCTGTAATCCCAGCACTGTGGGAAGCTGAGGCGGGTGGATCACCTGAGGTCGGGAGTTCGAGACCAGCCTGACCAACATGGAGAAACCCCGTCTCTACTAAAAATGTAAAATTAGCCACACGTGGTGGCTCGTGCCTGTAATCTCAGCTACTCGGGAGGCTGAGGCAGGAGAATTACTTAAACCTGGGAGGCGGAGGTTGCAGTGAGCTGAGATCACCCTATTGCACTCCAGCCTGGGCAACAAGAGTGAAACTCCATCTCAAAAAAAAAAAAAAGTTAGCCAGGTGTGGTGGCAGGTGCCTGTAATCCCAGCTACACAGGAGGCTGAGGCACAAGAATCGCTTGAACTAGAGAGGTGAAGGTTTCAGTAAGCCAAGATCATTTCACTGCACTCCAACCTGGGCAACAGAGTGAGTCTGTCTCAAAAAAAAAATTAAATTAAAATTAAAAAATAAATATACAAAAATTAGGCAGGTGTGGGGGCAGGCACCTGTAATCCCAACTACTCGGGAGGCAAAAGCTCGAGAATTCGCTTGAACCCGGAAGGCAGAGGTTGCAGTGAGTCAAGATTGCACCACTGCACTCCAGTCAGGGCGACAGGGCAAGACTCTTGATTCAAAAACAAACAAAAAGTTTGTGGTCTGAATAAATAATCAATTCCCCACCTCTGACCTCTATCCACATTTATCTAGTCAAAGAAGACCAAGCAAATCCCAACACCTCTTTCTTCCCAAACCCCCATCTCTCCCCAGAGGTCCATACCAGTATAGGAACCCAGTAATAATTGAGGGGTGGTGCTGTATCCTGCACGATCCTGATACGGTGGGTGAAGAAGAAGAAAGCCAGGATCCCTGGAGAAGGAGAAGAAAGCAAGATGGCGAAGGGTTCTGGATATAGGAAACAGCCTCCTAAGAAGATGACACTCATCACAGAAGACAGAAATCAGGCTCCCACACCCCGAGAGGCTAGGTGGGCGGCACTCACCCACACTACCAACGATCAGAAGTTTGCCCAACAGGAAGAGGAAGTCAGTAACTTTATCCAGGACAGCCACTCTGCAGGGGACAGTGAGGGGCAGGTGTGAATGCTGGCTTCAGGGACTAGGGGAAGAGGCGGGTGGCAGGAGGAAGATGATAATGATTCCCGACCTGATGATGTTTCTCATGAGCAGGAAGAAGGCATTCCTGGCCGAGGTGCAGAAATTGGTGCCGTAGATGGCAATCTGGAGGAGAGTGGGAGGGAGAGATCAGACCCACTGGGTGGGCATGGGGGGTGGTCCTCTCACCCAGCAGGAGCTGGCGGGTTGGTTGGGGGTCCCAGGCCCACTCACCATGATGTAGGCATTCCTATTAAGGAATTTGATGAACTTCTCCAGGCACCAGAAGCAGCATTTGAGACAGGTCATGAGGCACTTGGCAAACTTGTTCTCTGCAGCTGGAAGAGAAGGGAAGGGATGTGGAAGTGAGGGGACACCAGCCTGACTTGGAAGGGATCCCCTCTTCCCTATCACACACACTTGCCAATGTCCAGGTCTCCTGAGTCCACGCTGTCAAAGAGACAGGGACTTAAGCCCAGGAGTTTGAGGCTGCAGTGAGCTATGATGGTGCCACTGCACTCCAGCCTGGGTGACAGGGTGAGAGATCCTGTCTCTAAAACAAAGTACCATCAATCCCAGCCCCAGAGCCCTTCCTCTAAGAAAAATAAACCAGTTTTTTTTCCTTTTTTTGAAATGGAGTCTCGCTCTGTTGCCCAGGCTGGAGTGCAGTCGCTCGGTCTCGGCCCACTGAAACCTCAACCTCCGGAGTTCAAGTGATTCTCCTGTCTCAGCCTCCCGTGTAGCTAGGACTGCAGACGCACACACCACCATGCCTGGCTAATTTTTGTATTTGTAGTAGAGACGGGGTTTCACCATGTTGGCCAGGCTGGTCTCCTGACCTCAGGTGATCCGCTCGCCTCAGCCTCCCAAAGTGCTGGGATTACAGGCGTGAGTCACGGCGCCCGGCTAATAAACCAGTCTTATTCCTGCTCTCTTCAGCGCAAATATATACCACTCCAATTCACTCTGGTAATAACCAATGGTGGGCCAGGCCTCTTGGGCCTGTCCCCTCAACAGCAAGAATTCCACCCAGTAGGTTCTCTGGTTTGCTCCTCCATCGCAGGACTCAATCACGCCAACTCCTGAACTCCACCCCGTCATAGACAGAAACCCATCACTGCTCTATTATCTTGGCCCCGCCCACCTCCAAGCAAGACCCAATCCTGGTTCGCTATTCAGCCTCGCCCCGCAACAGGAGCTAATGCGAACCGTGGGTGGGACGTACCTTTCAGCCGCTGATCCAGGTACTCGAGTATCACACGGATGATCTGCACAATGGCCAGGATGAGCGCGCCAAAGGCCAGGGAGCCTGTGTGGTACCTGCGGGCCGAGGGAGTGGTCGGTGGCTGGGCCAGGCCTCGTCCTCCACCCCATCCTGCCTGCAACGCCAGCCCACCTGAGCGCCCGGCCAAAGGCAGAGAAGAGCGGGAAGGCCGGCAGGTCGTCCGGCTTGCGCAGGGCCCAGTAGTAGGAGGCAAAGGCCCCGGCCAGCGTGACCTGGCCCAGCGCCAGCACGAAGTTGGCCAACCAGAAGAACATGAAGGCATTGAAGATCTGCAGGCCCAGCAGGGCCCGGTGGTAGCCCGACTCACCACCGTAGAAGGCGAACTGGCAACGGGCATTGGGGCATTGGCGGGACTCATTGGAGGAGGGGAAGGTCTGTGGGAGAGAAGGGAGAACCGAGTCCAAAAAGAGGCACCAGGGGTTCACAGTGGGCTCTGAGCATCAGGTGTGGGGCCAGGAAAACCATGAGGTAGGACAGGAGACATAGGGATTGAAGTTAAGGGAAGGAATTAAGAGTTCAGAATATGGCTTGTGCAAAGGAAGGGATTCTAGAAACAAGACGTGGCCATCACTGGGGTCAAGAAGAGGGCATGGAGACAGGAAATGAAATGGGGAAAAATGGGCCGGGCGAGGTGGCTCACACCTGTAATCCCAGCACTTTGGGAGGCAGAGGCAGGTGGATCACGAGGTCAGGAGATCGAGACCATCCTGGCTAACATGGTGAAACCCTGTCTTTACTAAAAATACAAAAATTAGCCTGGTGTGCTGGTGTGTGCCTATAATCCCAGCTACTCGGGAGGCTGAGGCAGGAGAATCGCTTGAACCAGGGAGTTGGAAGTTGCAGTGAGCTGAGATCATGCCACTGCACTCCAGCCTGGTGACAGAGCAAGACTCTGTCTTATTAAAAAAAAAAAAAAAAAAAAAGGAAGTAGGGAAAAATGGGTGATTTAGCACCCAGGGTGAAGGCCTGGTCAAGTTGAAGAGAGGAAGCCAGCTTGCCCTGGGAAGTTGTTCGATCCAGTTAGAGAGTCTCTTCCCCACTGTGCGTCCTCCCCCACACCTAGCACAGGACATGCAACAGGGGCCAATTGTTTGCTGAACCTCCAAGTGGACATGAGAGGTTTCAAATCATCTGGGGCCTGCTGGGGCAATACCTGCCCTCCCCACCCCGGGGACGCCCACCTCTGGGTTGCAGGTTTTCGCAGTAAATGGGCAGGGGCTGTCATCAAAGATCTTATAGACCGCTTCGTTGGAAGTGGACAGGAAGCTGGAGGTTCGTTAAGGAAGCAGAGGTCTAGGACTGAGGACCCCAGGGACTTTTGTGGGAAAGAATCCATTCTCCCACCAGTTTCCAGCCCTATCCCTAAGCTGCAGGTCACTTCTAGGCAAAGTTGGTCTTTAGCCATCCCTGGGGTCAGAGATCAGTGTCTGGGGGCAGATACACAGCAGTGCTGGCCCAGTAGGCGATGCAGAGGCACAGCAAGAAGAAGGTGACCAGTGGGTAGAGCAAGGAGCACATGACGTATCCCACAGCCCTAGGGAAGAGCAGAGACACAGGCGTCAGGGCAAAAGACACAACTCTAGGGACAGCTCCATCCTGGCCCCTGGCACCCTGGCCCCCCACCTGCTGGCTTCTTTGATGAGTGCAATCGCGATGAGAATTCTCTTCCGGAGAAAGATGAGCAGCAAGATGATAATGACTTCAAGGATACTCAGAATGATCACTGCAAAGGGCAAAGGCTGAGCCGGCTGGGCTCCCCACTCCCTCCAAGGCCTCATGTGGGGGCAGGAATGGGAGACTGTGACTCACTAAAGGCCAACCAGGTCTGCCGTAAGTGCAGGTACACCCGGAAATCCGTCTGAAAGCCGAGGTCCACCAAAGAGACATCAGAGCCGGCCTCACCACGCAGTCGGGAGTACTCCATGTAGCAGTGAAATATTCCTGCATGGGGGAACCACAAGCTCAGTCCAGCAGTGCCTCCTGCAACTTTGCAAAGCAGCTACAACTGCCCCCATTTAACAGAAGCAAACATCGAGGCTTCTGCCTCAGGGACTTTACACTTGCAGTTCCCACCGCCCGGTGCATTCTCTCCCCATGGCTGGATCCCACACATCCTTAGGTCTCTGCTCAAGTGTCACCTTCAGAAGAGAACTTCCAGAACCCTTTCCCCCTACTTGGAATCATAATCATATGCTGCCATGGTCTAAGTTCTCTCTCTTTTTTTTTTTTTTTGAGACGGAGTTTCACTCTTGTTGCCCAGGCTGGAGTTCAATGGCACAATCTCGGCTCACCGCAACCTCCACTTCACGGGTTCAAGCGATTCTCCTGCCTCAGCTTCCCGAGCAGCTGGGATTACAGGCATGCGCCACCATGCCCGGCTAATTTTGTATTTTTAATAGAGATGGGGTTGGCCGGGCGCGGTGGCTCACGCCTGTAATCCCAGCACTTTGGGAGGCCAAGACGGGTGGATCACGAGGTCAGGAGTTCGAGACCAGCCTGACCAACATGGTGAAACCCCGTGTCTACTAAAAATACAAAAAAAAAAAAAAAAAAAAAAAATTAGCTGGGCGTGGTGGTGGGCGCCAGTAATCTCAGCTACTCAGGAGACTGAGGTAGGAGAATTGCTTGAACCCGGGAGGCGGAGGTTGCAGTGAGCTGAGATCGCGCCACTGCACTCCAGCCTGGGCGACAGTGAGAGACTCTGTCTCAAAAAAAAAAAAAAATAGAGATGGGGTTTCTACATGTTGGTCAGGCTGGTCTCGAACTCCCAACCTCAGGTGATCCGCCCACCTCTGTCTCCCAAATTGCTGGGATTACAGGCGTGCGCCACCGCACCCAGCTAGAAACCACTATTAATATGAATATTTTACTATGAGTGTCCTCAAATTGGATTGCCAAGCATTTTTCTTCCAGGAAAGTTCAAGGAATAATCAAAATATGGGCCAGGCACAGTGGCTTGCGCCTGTAATCCCAACACTTAGGGAGGCCAAGGCGGGAGGACTGCTCAAGCTCAGGAGTTCAAGACTAGCCTGGGCCACATAGGGAGAACCTGTCTCTACAAAAATATTAAAAATTTAGCCAGGCATGATGGTGCTTGCCTGTGGTTTCAGCTACTTGGGAGGCCAAGACGGGAGGATCACTTGAGCCCAGGAGGTCAAGGCTGCAGTGAGCTGTGATTGTGCCACTGAACTCCAGCCTGGGTGACAGAGTGAGACTCTGTCTCAAAAAACAAATCAAGGCTGGGCGCGGTGGCTCACGTCTGTAATCCCAGCACTTTGGGAGGTCGAGGCAGGCAGATCACGAGGAAGTCGAGACCAGCCTGGCCAATATGGTAAAACCCCATCTCTACTAAAAATACAAAAAAAATTAGCCGGGCATGGTGGTGTGCGCCTGTAATCCCAGATACTCGGGAGGCGAGGTAGGAAAATTGCTTGAACCCGGGAGGCAGAGATTGCAGTGAGCCGAGACTGCACCACTGCACGCCAGCCTGGGTGACAAAGCAAGACTCCGTCTCAACAACAACAACAAAACAACAACTCAAAAACAACAAAAATCCAAAATATGAAGCACTGTTTTGTTGAGCACGATATTGTGCCTCTGGATTCCACAGGCCTGAACTAAACAGGCCCCTACCCATATTTTATCTGCTCATTACCTCCTTGTCATTTAGTTTGCCAACTAGAAATATGAATTACCCTCATTTTATAGAGAAATAAATTGAAGCAGTCCGGGCGCGGTGGCTCCTGCCTGTAATCCTAGCACTTTGGGAGGCTGAAGCGGGCAGATCTCCTGAGGCCAGGAGGTCGAGACCAGCCTGACCAACATGGAGAAACCCCATCTCTACTAAAAATACGAAATCAGCCGGGCATGGAGGTGCATGCCTGTAATCCCAGCTACTTGGGAGGCTGAGGCAGGAGAATAGCTTGGACCCAGGAGGCGGAGGTTGCAGTGAGCCAAGATCGCGCCATGGCACTCCAGCCTGGGTGACAAGAACAGAACTCCGTCTCAAAAAAAAAAAAGAAAGAAATTGAAGCACAGTTAGGTTGAGGCACTTGCCCAAAGAATTGGCAAAGCCAGGATTTGAACCTCTGCTATTCTGATACCAGAGTATGCATCCTTAACTACGGTGCTGAGACATTTTTTCTTTTTTTTTTTTTTTTGAGATGGAGTTTCGCTCTTGTTGCCCAGGCTGGAGTGCAATGGCGTGATTTCGGCTCACCACAACCTCCGCCTCCCAGGTTCAAGCGATTCTCCTGCCTCAGCCTCCTGAGTAGCTGGGATTACAGGCATGCACCTCCATGCCCGGCTGATTTTGTATTTTTAGTAGAGACGGGGTTTCTCCATGTTGGTCAGGCTGGTCTTGAACTCCTGACCTCGGGTGATCTGCCTGCCTCGGCCTCCCAAAGTGCTGGGATTACAGGCGTGAGCCACCACGCCCGGCCTGACTTTTTTTTGTTTTCCTGATGGGCCATTTCCACGGGAAAGGGCAGGGCAGTGTGCGGATTCAGGAAAGAGAAGCCACAGGGAGGGGGTGACGCACCGTAGCCCAGCACCAGAATCACCATGATGATCATCACCCAGACCATAATACCAGCCAGGAAGCGAAGCAGGATGATGAACAGGAGGCTCATCGCCATGGCAATGACCAGGCCTCTGGGGAAAAGAAAACGGTCATGAACAGACTCCACCCTCAGCCAGGCTTAGAGGGGGCAGCCAGGGGAGAGGCCCCTTCCCTCCTGACTTACATGATAATCCAGTACCAAGAGACGGTGTAATCTTCAAATATGCGCATGGCGAGTTGCCGCGCCTCTAGGACTCCATTGGCTTTCCTGGGGGAAGGAGGACAAGGCTCGGGTCAGACCCTCTTCCATGATCAGGCCAACCACAGGGGATTGCCTGTCCCACCCAGCAAAGTGAGACCCTGGCGCGGTGCGCCAATATCCTCACTTGGCGCCCTCCACCAGGTCTGTGATGTTTTTCCGGGAGCCATGCCCATCCTCATAGGTCGTCTCATTGCCCACCATCAGGACACCCTTGTAGGCGTGGATAGCGGGGAAGCATCTCCGGGCCACTGCATGGAGCAGAGGATGGCACCAGTCAGGCTGAGCCTCTGCAGAGCCTCCCCGTCACCACCTGAGCCTCCTGGGATCCCCTGACTCACAGGGTTTGCTGGGGATGAGGACAGCAGGGCAGTCACCATCTTGAAGCACCTCAGCCACTCCCTGCCAAGAGAGATGGAGGGAGGTGAGTCCCCAAGTCTAGTACACTGCCACTGCCCATACCTGTGCTCTCAGGACAGTCTACAACTCACTTTATTGTTCTTGAAGCCAGGAACACAGAACTGCTTATAGTACTCAAAGTCCCGGGAGCTGCGAGCATTCAGGTACGTGAGGTAGCGGTCGGGGCATTTTTCCACGCAGATCTGGGAGGGGAGAAGGAAGGGATTGGGTGGAGTTGGGGCAGACTGCTCAGGACTGAGGTCGCAGCCCACATTCACAGGGGGAAAAGGATGGGAAGCGGGGAGAGGAAAAAGGGAACGGTGGGGACCAGGTTACCTGGGGAGTGGGACATTGGAATTCCAGCAGAACCAGGGGGCTGGCACATTTCACAATGTTGAAATAAAACAGATAGGGTTTGTTCCTGGAGTTAGAGAAGGGAGAATGGAAACTGTTAAGATTTTTTTTTTTTTTTGAGACAGAGTCTCGCTCTTGTTGCCCAGGATGGAGTGCAATGGTGTGATCTCGGCTCACTGCAACCTCCGCCTCCCGGGTTCAAGCAATTCTCCTGCCTCAGCCTCCCGAGTAGCTGGGATTACAGGTGCCCGCTACCAAGCCCGGCTAATTTTTGTATTTTTAGTAGAGATGGGGTTTCCACCATGTTGGCCAGGCTGGTCTCAAACTCCTGACCTCAGGTGATCCGCCTGCCTTGGCCTCCCAAAGTGTTGGTATTACAGGTGTAAGCCACCACACCCGACCTGTTAAGACTTCTTAACCACCCTATAGAAAACTTTTTTTATTTTTCTCTTTTTTTTTTTTTTAGATGGAGTCCTGCTCTGTTGCCTAGGCTGGAGTGCAATGGTGTGATGTGGGCTCACTACAACCTCCGCCTCCTGGGTTCAAGCAATTCTCCTGCCTCAGCCTCCCGAGTAGCTGGGACTACAGGTAGGTGCCCGCCACGATGCCCAGCTAATTTTTGTATTTTTAGTGGAGACGGGGTTTTGCCATGTTGGCCACACTGGTCTCGAACTCCTGACCTCAGGTGATCCACCCGCCTCAGCCTCCCAAAGTGTTGGGATTATATGCGTGAGCCACTGCGCCCGGCCTCTTTTGTTTTTTTTTCTTTTTTGAGACAAGAGTCTTTCTCTGTTGCCCAGACAGAGCGAGCAGTGGCACAATCTTGGCTCACTGCAGCCTCTACCTCCTAGGATCAAGTGATCCTCCACCTCATCCTCCTGAGCAGCTGAGACTACGGGTGTGCGCAACCACACCTGGCTAATTTTTTCTATTATTGGTAGCGACAGAATTTCACCATGTTGCCCAGGCTGGTGTCAAGCAATCCTCCAGTCTGGGCCTCCCTAAGTACTGGGATTACAGGCGTGAGCCACCGTGCCCGGCCTATTGTTTCCTTTAAGATATTTTATATGGCCGGGTGCAGTAACTCACACCTGTAATCCCAGCACTTTTGGAGGCCAAGGCAGGCGGATCACCTGAGGTCAGGAGTTCGAGACCAGCCTGGCCAACGTGGCGAAACCCCGTCTGTACTAAAAATACAAAAAATTAGCTGGGTGTGGTGGCGGGCACCTGTAATCCCAGCTACTTAGGAGGCTGAGGCAGGAGAATTGCTTGAACCTGGGTGGCGGAGGTTGCAGTGAGCCAAGATCGCACCATTGCACTCCAGCCTGGGCGACAGAGCGAGACTCTGTCTCAAAAAAAAAAAAAGATATCTTATATAGGGCCAGGCAGGGTGGCTCAGGCCTGTCTTGTGCCAGCACTTTGGAAGGCCCAGGTGGGAAGATCGCTTAAGCCCAGGAGTTCCAGGCTGTAGCGAGCTATGATCCTGCCACTGGCTGACAGAGTGAGACACTGTGTCAAAATAATAATAATAGTAATAATAATAATAGGCCGGGTGTGGTGGCTCACACCCGTAATACCAGCAGTTTGGGAAGCCAAGGCAGGCAGATAACCTGAGGTCAGGAGTTCGAGACCAGCCTGACCAATATGATGAAACCCCGTCTCTACTAAAAATACAAAAATTAGCTGGGCATGGTGGCATATGCCTGTAATCCCAGCAACTCGGGAGGCTGAGGCAGGAGAACCGCTTGAACCCGGGAGACGGAGGTTGCAGTGGGCTGAGATTGTGCCACTGCACTCTAGCCTGGGTAACAAGAGCAAAATTCCGTTTCAAAATAATAATAGTAATAATAATAATAATAATAGTTTAAAAACTGCAGCATCAGCAACTCTATGCCAGGTGCCATTCTTTTTTTTTTTTTTGAGATGGAGTCTTGCTCTGTTGCCTAGGCTGGAGTGCAGTGGCACGATCTCGGCTCATTGCAACCTCTGCCTCCCAGGTTCAAGCAATTCTCCTGCCTCAGCCTCCTGAGTAACCGGGATTACAGGAACATGCCACAATGCCCAGCTAATTTTTTTGTATTTTTAGTAGAGACGGGGTTTCACCATGTTGACTAGGCTGGTCTTGATCCTCCCACCTCAGCCTCCCAAAGTGTGCTGGGATTACAGGTGTGAGCCACCACGCCCAGCGATGCCAGGTGGCATTCTAAGCTCTGTACATGTATTGGCACATCTAACCATCAAAATAGCCCCATGAGGGTGGGACTGTTATGATCCTCATTTTAGAGATGAGGAAAACGAGGTTCAGAGAGATTGAGACACCTGCCCTAGGTCACAGAGCCAGGAAGTGACGCCACTCAGGCTATGCTTGCTCTGTTGTCTCACCTGTTCATCACCACCTGACGCGTAATCCAGGACTGTCCCCTCTCAGTCTCTCCCGCCCTTAAAATGTGTGCTGCCAGAGAACAGGATGCTTACTATCTCATTTAGAGCTGTGTGTCCCCAAGGACTAGACTAGTGGCTGAGGGTAGTGGGACGTTTATCAGTACTTGTTTTCTTTTCTTGTTGTTTTGTTGAGACCAGGTCTCGCTCTGTCGTCCAGGCTGGAGTGCAATGGTACAATCATACCTTACTGCAGCCTTGGCCTCCCAGCTCAAGCTATCCTCCCACCTCAGCCTGCTGGGTAGCTGGGACTAGAGGTGTGCCCCACCACGTCCACTTAATTTTTGCTTGTTTGTTTTGAGACAGAGTCTCACTCTGTGCCCCAGGCTAAAGTGCAGTGGCACGATCTCGGCTCATTGCAACTTCTGCCTCCTGTGGTTCAAGTGATTCTCCTGCCTCAGCCTCCTGAGTAGCTGGGATTACAGGCATGTGCCACCATGCCTGGCTAATTTGTGTATTTTTAGTGGAGACGGGGTTTTGCCATGTTGGCCAGGCTGGTCTCGAACTCCTAGCCTAAAGCAATATTCCTGCCTCGGCCTCCCAAAGTGTTGGAATTTCGGGCGTGAGTCACCGCGCCCAGCCTATAAGCACTTGTTAACTGGACTTAGAGAGATGGGGAATGCCTAGAATCTTCTGCCCCCTCTTCCCCAGCCCCACCAGGCCGCAAGGAGTCAACTCACTCGTTTTTTGTGCCCTTCTGCCCGCAGAACTCGCCCCGGCTGTCAGTGGGGTAGATCACCTTTCGAGGGTCTCCATGAGTCCAGGCTGTGGAAAGATCCAGGGATACTGAGACACTGCCACTCCTCAGATCCAGCCCTGTTCCCACTCCAGAGGCCATGGCTGCCTCCGCCTACCCTGCAACTCCAAGTCCTGCTCATTCTCTACTCACCTATGATGCCTACAGCCACGTAGCCCACAATGGCCAGGAGCAGGAACACACAGCATATGATATCCGTGCAGCCCCTGGGGAGCAGAGGGGCAGTGTTTGGAGGAGGCTTGGTGCTGTGTGCACCATGGGCCCATCTGCCCTCTGCAAACACCCTCATCCATGTGTTATTTGGACAAATTTTCCTGAGTCGTTTGAATGCCGTACCAAAGGGCACATGCATTTTAATTTTTATTTCATTTCATTTTTTAATTTTGTGCAACAGAGTCTCACTCCGTCATCCAGGCTGGAGTACAGTGGCATGATCATAGCTCACTACAGCCTCGAACTCCTGGGCTCAAGTGATCCTCCTGCCTCAGCTTCCCAAGTAGTTGAGACTACAGGTGCACACCACCACACATTTTTTTTTTAATTTATATACATTCTGTAGAGACAAGGTCTCGCTATGTTGCCCAAGCTAGACTTTTTTTTTTTTTTTGAGAGGGAATCTCACTCTGTCGCCCAGGCTGGAGTGCAGTGGAACGATCTCAGCTTACTGCAACCTCTACCTCCCAGGTTCAAGCGATTCTCCTGCCTCAGTCTCCCAAGTAGCTGGGATTATAGGTGCCCGCCACCATGCCCAGCTAATTCTTGTATTTTTAGTAGAGACAGGGTTTCACCATGTTAGCCAGGCTGGTCTCGAACTCCTAACCTCAAGTGATCCACCTGCCTTGGCCTCCCAAAGTGCTGGGATTATAGGTGTGAGCCACCGTGCCTGGCTGTATTTTATTTTTTTGTTATTTTTTTTTGAGACAGAGTCTCGCTCTTGTCCTCCAGGCTGGAGTGCAGTGGCGCAATCTCAGCTTACTGCAACCTCCACCTCCCAGATTCAAGCAATTCTCCTGCCTCAGCCTTCTGAGTAGCCTCTGAGTAGTCACAGCTACTGGAGAGGCTGAGACAGAAGACGTGCTTGAACCAGGAGGGGAAGGTTGCAGTGAGCTGAGATTGCACCACTCCAGCCTGGGTGACAGAGTGAGACTCCATCTCAAAAATAAATAAATAAATAAATAAATATAAACATGGTAAAAATTAAGTCCAGGCCAGGTGTGGTAACTCACACCTGTAATCCCAGCACTTTGGGAGGCCAAGGCAGGTGGATCGCTTTGAGCTCACGAGGTCGAGACCAGCATGGGCAACACAGCGAAACATCTCTGCTAAAAGTACAAAAAAAAAAAAAAATTAGCCAGGTGTGGTGGTGCAAGCCTGTAATCCCAGCTACTTGGGAGACTGAGGTGGGAGAATTGCTCGAACCCGGGAGGCGAAGGTTGCAGTGAGCCGAGATTGAGATCGCGCCACGGCACTCCAGCCTGGTGACAGAGCAAGACTCCATCTCAAAAAAAAAAAAAAGTTTCAAATATTTGTCACCAGTTTGTTGGAGAACAGATGGGAGGGGGTGTGAAGAGACAGGGATTGGGGTAGTATTAGCGGGGAGAACCCCCCAAAACCCAGAGCTCTTACCTATTGTAAATGGGTCCTTTGAAAGTGGGATCATACTTCTGTGGCGTTCCTGAAAGTCAAGAAGATTAAGATGGATGGGATTGGAGACCTGAACCAAGACAGGGCTGGGAGAGCCCCCTCCCAAAAGCCCCTAGGGGTGTCTTTGCCTTGGCAAGAATAAAATTCAGAGACCTGTGGAATTTTCTGCCTCACCCACCTCCAGGTGACCACACCCAAGCCCCCAGTTCTGGCAGGCCAGGACAGGGGAGGAAGGAGGGATCACTAACTGTGAACAAACTTATTAACTGGCGGCCACCCACTGGGAAGAGGGCTGAAATGGTGACCACCACGGAACCAGGTGGAGATGGGGAAGATCTGAGGTGGGATAGGGGGAAGGAGGCGCCGGCAGCAGTGCCAGGCAGAGGGGTACAGGGGCAGGTCCTTCGGGTAGGGGAGAGTAAGGAGGGTCGTCTGCGAGGCTGCGGGGGATAAGTGGGGTGAAGGGGCCTGGCTGATGGTGGGGAGGCTCCAGGCGCAGATTTGCAATTGCGCTCCCCCTCCAGCCCCCTTCCCTGCGCCCCATGTTCTCTCAAGGCCCCCTCCGAGGGACCGAGGGGTCGGCCCGGGGCTACGGGCGGGGGTCGCTGCCTACCGTGTTTCCCGTAGTAGTGGGGCCGCTCGTCCCCCATCCCTGCAGGCGACCAGCCCCGGCGGCCGCCCGCGCTCTCTCCCGCGCCCCCTCGACCCTCCCGAGTCTGGAGGGAGGCACTGACCGCGCGACTGGCGGCGGCTCCTCCCAGCACAGCGCCAGGCGGGGCGGCCCAAACCGGTCAGACCGGCCCGAGCTGGGCAGCTGCCCAGACTAAGGGACCCGGGAGGGCGCGGGCGGGGCTGCAGCTGCTCCCGCCACTCACCGGCCGGCCGCATTTAGCCTTCCCCGCCCCCACCCGGGAACCCTGCGGCTTCACCCTGGGAACACCCTGCCACCGGGCGATGCCGCCTAGAACCCCTGGCCACCCTGAAAGGGCGTTTCCGTGGCTTCGTTTTGCAGGTGTGGAAACTGAGGCACTGGGAGGGAAAACGGCCTACTGCCCAAACCCAGACAACCAACTGTGGAATGTTGGTGCTGAAAACTTCTCCAAGCTGTGCAGGAAATTAGTTTTCTTTCTGTCTGCTGCTTTTTTTTTTTGAGACAGGATCTCCCTCTGTTGCCCAGGCTGGAGTGCAGTGGTGCAATCACAGCTCATCGCAGTCTCGACCTCCCTGCCTCAAGCCATCCTCCTGACTAAGCCTCCTGAGTAGCTGGGACTACAGGTGCTCTACTGCACTCGGCTAATTTTTAATTTTTTTTGTAGAGATGGGATGTTGCTATGTTGCCCAGGCTCATCTTTAACTCCTGGACTCGTGGGCTCCTCCCACCGTGGCCCCCCAAAGTGCTGGGATTACCTGCGTGCACTACTGGGCCTGGTCTTAGAACAAGTATTTATTCAGCCCTTAGTGGGTGCAGGCCTTGGGCGGGGCACCGCATACAGTGAGGAACCAGAGAGACCCAATCTCCACCCTTGTGGAGCCCACATCCTCCTGGGTCGCCCTGAATTCAAATGCTCCTTCTGCACCCTCTGAACTAGAGGATACTTAACAAAGGGCTTATCTTCCTTAAGCCTCAGTTTCCTCAACTGCAAAATGAGGCTAAAGTATGAAACCAAAACTGACCTCAAAGAGCAGGCATAGGCCAGGTGCAGTGGCTCATGCCTGTAATCCCAGCACTCTGGGAGGCTGAGGCAGGTCGATCAGGATTTCTAAGCCAGCCTGGCCAACATGGTGAAACCCCTTCTCTACTAAAAATACAAACATTAGCCAGTGTGGTGGCACATGCCTGTAATCCCAGCTACTTGGGAAGCTGAGGCAGGAGAATCGCTTAAACCCAGGAGGTGGAGGTTGCAGTGAGCCAAGATTGCCTCACTGCACTCCAACCTGGGGGACAGAGTGAGACTCTGTCTCCAAAAAGAAAAAGAAAAAAGAAAATAGGCTGGGTGTGGTGGCTAACACCTATAATCCCAGCACTTTGGGAGGCCGAGGTGGGCGGATCATGAGGTCAAGAGATCGAGACCATCCTGGCCAACTTGGTGAAACCCCGTCTGTACTAAAAATACAAAAATTAGCTGGATGTTGTGGTGTGCACCTGTAGTCCCAGCTACTTGGGAGGCTGAGGCAGGAGAATCACTTCAACCCGAGAGGCGGAGGTTGCAATGAGCCGAGATCGTGCCACTGCACTCCAGCCTGGGTGACAGAGCGAGTGTCTCAAAAAATCAATCAATCAATAAATCAAAAATTAGCCGGGTGTGGTGGTTCATGCCTGTAATCCCAGCACTGTGGGAGGCCGAGGCGGGCAGATCACTGAGGTCAGGAGTTCAAGACCAGCCTGGCCAACAAGGCAAAACCCTGTCTGTACTAAAAATACAAAAATTAGCCAGGTGTGGTGGTGGGCACCTGTAATCCCAGCTACTGGGGAGGCTGAAGTAGGAGAATCGTTTGAACCTGGGAGGTAGAGGTTGCAGTGAGCCGAGATTATGCCACTGTACTCCAGCCTGGGCGACAGAGCGAGACTCCGCCTCAAAAAAAAAAAAAAATACAATACAATAAAAATAGAGACAGGATCTCACTGTGTTACCCAGGCTGGGCTCAAACTCCTGGCCTTAAGCAATCCTCCCACCTCAACCTCCCAAAGTGCTGGGATTGCAGGCACGAGTCACCACGCCACAACCTGCCTCTACTTGAATATTTATAGATATTTATAGTGCAGCCAATTATTTGGTTAACATGGCATTATACAGGTGGTGTGGAGGTATCCTCAGCAGGAATATACATTTAGTGCTGGGTGTACACAGACAGCATGAGGTTATACAGTCAGCGTGATCATATACATTTGGTGTCCAATAATTGTAGCTGCTGCCTTAGACTCTAGGACTCGCAGGCAGGGCTCTGGTCACTAACTCAACTTATCCTTAAAAAGGCGCCCTCTCCTCCTAGTAGCCACCAGCAGAGGGGCCCTGTCTAAACACCTGGACCACAGGCAAGGCCTGAGGCGCCAGGTCATGCCCTGGGGTGACCCAGACTCCTAAAGAAGCCCTGTGGTTCTCGAAGTCTCTGCCAGCCCAAAGGCTGGCTGGTCCCACCCTACCCATTCCAAGCAGTGGACAAAGAGAGCGAGCCACAGGCCTCTTCTCTTCCCAACTACACAGGGTGCCCTGGGGACAATTTATTCAGGCCCCACCCACCAGCTCCACACTGAGGAGTCCCAAAAGTTAAGCCCTCTGGAAACCCTTGTCTCTGAGCTGCACACCTATGTGACATCTGTCTCCCCCCAACACACGTGAGCATCTCATACTCAGTGCGGCGGCATCTAAGCTTTTTTGTTTTTGAGACAGGGTCTCACTCTGTCGCCCAGGCTGGAATGCAGTGGCATAATCACAGCTCACTGTAGCTTTGACCTCCTGGGCTCAGGCGATCCTCCCACCTCAGCCTCCTGAGTAGCTGGGATCACAGGCACGCGCCACCACACTCAGGTAATTTTTTGTATTTTTAGTAGAGACAGGGTCTCGCAATGTTGCCCAGGCTGGTCTGGAACTCCTGGCCTCAGGGATCCTCCCACCTCAGCCTCCCAAAGTGCTGTAATTATAGGTGTGAGCCACCGTGCCTGGCCTGTCCAAGCTTCTGATTATCCCATGACTCCGCTCCATCCTCCCACGTGCTCTGGCCAGGAACCTGGGCTGCCTCTCTGCTTGAGATCAGTTTTGCCTTCAGAGCTATCCAGAATCCAACCTCTTCTCACCTGCTCCTCAAGCACCCACCCTTTCACACAGCCCTGTCATCTCCTGCCTGGACCAACACAGACACTTTCTATCCTCACTATAGCGGCCAGAGACATCTGTGCACACCTAAGTCAGGACACATCCCTGCTCTGCTCAGAAACCTCCATGGTTCCCACCTCATTCCGAGGAAAAAGCCCAGCTCTTCGCCACAGCCCACAAAGCCTTGCATGACCTGCCCTGTCACCTCCCTGCCCTCACCTCCTCCCTCTCTCTCTCCATGGCTTACTCTGTTCAGCCTCACTGGCCTCCTGGGTACGTCCCACGCTCAGCAGGCATGGTCTGACCTCAGGGCCTTTGCACTAGCTGCTCGGTCCCTCTGCTTAGAATGCTCTTCTCTCAGACATCCATACAGCTCCGTTGCCTTCAGGCCTTGCCTGAAATATCACCTTGGCAAGGCGTGGTGGCTCAAGCCTGTCATCTTAGCACTTGGGGAGGCTGAGACAGGCAGATCACTGGAGGCCAGTAGTTCGAGACCAGCCTGGGCAACACTGTGAAACCCCATCTCTACTAAAAGTACAAAAATTAGCCAGGTGAGGCCAGGCGCAGTGGCTCACGCCTATAATCCCAGCACTTTGGGAGGCCAAGGTGGGCAGATCACCTGAGGTCGGGAGTTCCAGACCAGCCTGACCAACATGGAGAAACCCTGTTTCTATTACTACAAAAATTAGCCGGGGCGAGGTGGTGCATGCCTGTAGTCCCAGCTACTTGGGAGGCTGAGGCACGAGAATCGCTTGAACCTGGGAAGCGGAGGTTGCAGCAAGCTGAGATCATGCCATTGCACTCCAGTCTGGGCAACAAGAGTGAAACTCCGTCTCAAAAATAAATAAATTAAATTAAAAATTAGCCAGGTGTGGTGACACATACCTGTAGTCCCAGCAACTTGGGAGGTGGAGGTGGGAGGATCACCTGAGACCAAGAGGTCGAGGCTGCAATGAGCCAAGATCCTGGCACTGTACTCCAGCCTGGGTGACAGAGCAAGACTCCATCTAAAAGAAAACCCACAAAAACCAAAAAAAAAAAAAAAAAAACACCCAACCATCCCTTTCCTCTCTGTCCTATGACCTTTTCTTTTCTTTCTTTCATTTTTTTTTTCTTTTTTGAGGCAGAGTCTCGCTCTGTCGCCCAGGCTGGAGTGCAGTGGTGCCATCTAGGCTCACTGCAACCTCCACCTCCCGGGTTCAAGTAGTTCTCCTGCCTCAGGCTCCCAAGTAGCTGGGACTACAGGCACACACCAACGTGCCTGGCTGATTTTTGTATTTTTAGTAGCAGAGACTGGCTTTTACCATGTCTCTACTACTGGTCTCGAACTCCTGACCTCAAGTGATCTGCCCACCTTGGCCTCCCAAAGTGCTGGGATTATAGGCATGAGCCACTATACCTGACCCCTATGACTTTCTCTTTGTTGTTATTATCAAATAGAGTCTTGCTTTGTCACTCAGCCTGGAATGCAGTGGAGCAATCATAGCTCACTGCAGCCTAAACCTCCTAGGCTCAAATGATCTTCTCGCCTCAGCCTCCCAAGTAGCTGTGACTATAGGCACACACCACCATGCCTGCCTAATTTTAAAATTTTTTGTAGACCAGTGTCTCGCTATGTTGCCCAAGGCTGGTCTCAAACTCCTGTGCTCAATGGGCTCAAGCCTTCCTCCCACCTCGGCCTCCCAAAACCCTGGGATTACAGATGTGATACATTTTGCTTCTTATCACCATCTGACATGTTAGACATTTGCTTATTGGTTGTTAATTATCTGCCCTCTTGCCTATTGCCTGCATAAGGACAGGGATTTGTGTGTCTTTCATTCCGGCTGCGTCCCCAGTATACAGCATAGCCCCTGGCATAAAACAAACATTTAATAAGTATTTGTTGAATGAATAGCCACAATATATAATACATGTATGTAGAGTGAACACTGAAAATAAAAACGAGCTTAGAATTTTCTAAGGGTACATATTTTAAAAATTAATTTGCGTTTTTTGTTTGTTTGTTTGTTTTTTGGAGATGGAGTCTTGCTCTGTTGCCCGATCTTGGCTCACTGCAACATCCAGGTTCAAGTGATTCTTCTGCCTCAGCACCCCCGGGTAACTGGAATTACAGGCGCACACCACTATGCCAGGCTAATTTTTGTATTTTCAGTAGAGATGGGGTTTCACTATGTTTGCTAGGCTGGTCTCGAACTGCTGACCTCAGGCGATCCGCCCACCTCAGCCTCCCAAGGTGCTGGGATTACAGGCATGAGCCACAGCGCCCAGTAATTTTTTTTTTGTTTTTGTTTTTGAGACAAAGCCTCACTCTGTTGCCCAGTCTGGAGTGTGGTGAAACAATCTTGGCTCACTGCAACCTCCACCTGCTGGGCTCGAGTGATCCTCCCACCTCAGCCTCTCGAGTAGCTGGGACTACCCACACACCATTGCACCCAGCTAATTATTTTTGGATTTTTTTTTGTAGAGACAGGATTTCACCATGTTGCCCAGGTTGGAGATTTGCAGATTTTTTTTGAGACGGAGTCTCGCTCTGTCACCCAGGCTGGAGTGCAGTGGCATGATCTTGGCTCACTGCAACCTCAGCCTCCCAGGTTCAAGCGATTCTCCTGCCTCAGCCTCCCAAGTAGCTGGGACTACAGGTGCACGCCACCACGCCTGGCTAATTTTTTGTATTTTAGTAGAGATGGGGGTTTCACTGTGTTGCCCAGGCTAGTCGCGAACTCCTGAGCTCAGGCAATCCGCCTGCCTCGGCCTCTGGAAGTGCTGGGATTACAGGTGTGAGCCACTGCGTCCGGCGGAGATTTGCTAATTTTATACTTAAATGAATCTCAGGCCAGGCGTAGTGGCTGACGCCTGTAATCCCAACATTTGGCAAGAGAATTGCTTGACTCCAGGAGTTCAACACTAGCCTGGGCAATATATTGAGACCTCGTCTCTACAAAAATATTTTTTCTTTTTTGTATTGCAAATCGAGCAGCCTCCTGAGCCAAAGTAGGCTCTGAGGCTTAAAAAAAAAAAAAACACTTTTTTTTTTTTTTTCTGAAACATGGTCTGGCTGTATTGCCCAGGCTGGAGTACAGTGTCATGATCTCGGCTCACTGCAACCTCTACCCCCTGAGCTCAAGCCCATCTCCCTCAGCCTCCCAAGTGGCTGAGACTACAGACACACAACACCACGCCCGGCTAATTTTTTATATTTTTTTGTAGGGACTGGGCTTTGCCATGTTGCCCAGCTGGTCTCGAACTCTTGAGTTCCAGCGACGCACCTGCCTCGGCTTCTCAAAGTGCTGGGATTACAGATGTGAGCCACTGTGCCCGGCCAAAATTTTTAAAAACTAGCCGGGCATGATGTGCCTGTAGTCCCAGCTACTGGGGAAGCCTAGGGTGGGAGGATCACGTCAGCCCAGGAGGTTCAGGTTCAGGTTTCAGGGAGCTGTGATTGCGCCACTGCCCTACAGCCTGGGTGACATAGTGTGACCCTGTATCCAAAAAAAAAAAAAAAAAAAAAAAGAATTGTATACATGATACATGTAGAATTTACAGGGAAAGGATAAATTCTTTATTCAGTAGCCCTGAATGTATATTAGGAAGAAAAGGCCAGGCATGGTGGCTCATGCCTGTAATCCTAGCACTTTGGGAGGCTGAAGCAGGCGGATTGCCTGAGCTCAGGAGTTTGAGACCAGCCTGGGCAACACGGCGAAACCCTGCCTCTACTAAAATACACAAAAAAATTAGGCGAGCATGGCCGGAACACGAGGTCAGGAGATCGAGACCATTCTGGCTAACACGGTGAAACCCCGTCTCTACTAAAAATACAAAAAATTAGCCGGGCGTGGTGGCAGACACCTGTAGTCTCAGCTACTCGGGAGGCTGAGGCAGGAGAATGGCGTGAACCAGGGAGGCGGAGCTTGCAGTGAGCCGAGATGGCGCCACTGCACTCCAGCCTGGGCAACAGAGCACGACTCCGTCTCAAAAAAAAAAAAAAAAAAAAAAAGGCCGGGCGCAGTGGCTTACACCTGTAAACCCAGCACTTTTGGGAGGCGAAGGCGGGGAGATCACAAGGTCAGGAGATCGAGACCATCCTGGCTAACATGGTGAAACCCCATCTCTACTAAAAATACAAAAAAGTAGCCGGGTGTGGCAGCATGTGTCTGTAGTCCCAGCTACTCGGGAGGCTGAGGCAGAAGAATGGCGTGAACCCGGGAGGTGGAGCTTGAAGTAAACCGAGACTACGACACTGCACTCCAGCCTGGGCAACAGAGCGAGACTCCGTCTCAAAAAAAAAAAAAAAAAAAAATTAGCCAGGCATGGTGGCAGGCGCCTGTAGTCCCAGCTACTCGGGAGTTTGAGGCAGGAGAATGGCATGAACCCGGGAGGCGGAGGTTGCAGTGAGCCGAGATCACGCCACTGCACTTCCAGCCTGGATGAGAAGAGTGAAACTGTCTAAAAGAAAAAAAATTCCACATGGATTAATCACGCAAACACAGAAAACTCAAAACTATTACAAGTATGAAGGGAAAGCATAAGAGAATACTTCTACCATCAGATAGGCAGTAAGACCGGTAAAGCCAGAAGGCAGAGAGACAAGGGAGTACCGGAAGTTTCTGGTGTCAGCTAGAATGGCAGAGGGTGAGCGGCTGCATAGAGACAGCCAGTGGTGAGCAAAGCGAACTCACTACCTTTCAGATCCTCTCCACCATACTGGAGGCCATTTCATCAACCCATTTTATAGGAGAGAGAACCGAGGCTCAGAAAAGGGAAGGGCTTTGCTAGTCACTTGAGCGGTCCGTTCCCAGTCTAGGTTTGATGAGTACGTGGGAGCCATGGAGGGTGTTTGAGCAGGAGCATGACAGGGCCGCACCGGGGAGGGAACACATGAGGGAGTCTCAGCTGTCTCAGGAAAAGATTGGGGAGCCTGAGGGTTTGGTGCCATGAATGGTAAAGCTGGGACATGCCTAGCTGTGTGAACTTGAGTTACTCCTCTGTGAGATGGAGCTGAAAATGCAGAGAGAGGTGCCTGGCATACACTTGGCTCAAGGCCTGGCTTTGTGGGCTCTCTGTAAAGAGGGAACATTGGTAATATCTTGTGATGGGTTCCATTAGCTCTTATTAACCTTAGCTGGGTGGGGACGAAGGGAGGGGAACAGCAAATACTAATGGTTTCTGCCCTGAGAGCCTAATCTAAACCCCGCAGGATGGGAACTCGCTATATCTTTGCAACAATGCTGCAAGATAAGAAGAAGAACAAGGGCTGGGCGTGGTTGCTCATGCCTGTAATCCTAGCACTTTGGGAGCCCCAGGCGGGCGGATCACGAGGTCAGGAGATCAAGACCATCCTGGCTAACACGATGAAACCCCGTCTCTACTAAAAATACAAAAATTAGCCGGGCGTGGTGGCGAGAGCCTGTAGTCTCAGCTACTAAGGAGGCTGAGCCAGGAGAATGGCATGAACCCGGGAGGCGGAGCTTGCAGTGAGCCGAGATCGCGCCACTGCACTCCAGCCTGGGCGACAGAGCAAGACTCCATCTCAAAAAAATAAAAAATAAAAGATAAGAAGAACAAGCTGGGCGTGGTGGTCCGTGCCTGTAGTCCCAGCTACCAGGGAGACTGAGGTGGGAGGATGACTGGAGCCCAGGAGTTACAGGCGGCAGTGAGCTGTGATAGCACCATTGTACTACAGCCTTGGCAACAGAGCAAGACCCAGTCTCTATTTTTTTTTTTTGAGACAGGCGCCCACCACCATGCCCAGCTAGTTTTTGTATTTTTAGTAGAGACAGGGTTTCACCATATTGGCCAGGCTGGTCTTGAACTCCTGACCTCAGGTGATCCGCCCACCTCAGCCTCCGAAAGTGCTGGGATTACAGGCGTGAGCCACTATGCCAGGTCCCGGTCTCTAAAAATAAAAGTGAAAATAGAGACAGGACATGGTGGCTCAATCCTGTAATCCTAGCACTTTGGGAGGCCAAGGTGGGTGGATCACTTGAGTCCAGGAGATCAAGAGCAGACTAAGCAACAGGCAAGACCTCGTCTCTAAAAAAACAACAAAACAAAACAAAACAAAAAAACAAAAATTAACTGGGCGTGGTGACATGCCTTTGTAGTCCCAGCTACTTGCGAGCCTGAGGTGAGAGAATCTTTGAGCCGGGGGAGACGGAGGTTGCAGAGGGCTCAGATTGCCCCACTGCACTCCAGCCTGGGAAACAGAATGAGACCCTGTCTTTCTCACTGTGTATATTGAACACAGTTTCACTCTGTTTCAATAAATAAATAAACATAATAATAAAATGTTACATGGTTCACCTCATTTCATCCTTTTTTTTTTTTTTCTTTGGAGACAGGGTCTCACTGTCACCCAGGCTGGAAAGCAGTGGCACCATCTTGGCTCACTGCAGCCACGACCTCCAGGGCTCAAGTGATCTTCCACCTCAGCTGGCACATGTCACCATGCCCGGCTAATTTTTGTATTTTTGGTAGAGACAGGGTTTCGCTATGTTGCCCAGGCTGGTCTCTAAATCCTTGGCTCAGGCAATCCCGCTTTGGCCGCCCAAAGTGCTGGGATCACAGGTGTGAGCCACCATGTCCAGCCCGCCTCATTTCATCTTTACAGCACCTCCTATCATTATCCCCATTTGACAGACAGATCAACTGAGGCCTAGAGAGAAAGAAGGTGCCCATGGTGTGAAAGATTTCAATCAGCAGACCCAAGCTGTCCAGCTCCCAAGTCAATGTTTGGACAGTTAACCTTCCAACAACACAGGTTTGAGCTTCATGGTTCCCCTTAAACACAATTTTTCTTCTGCCTCTGTTACCCCTGAGACAGCAAGACCAACCCCTCCCCTTCCTCTTCCTCTTCCTCCTCAGCTCACTCAATGTGAAGACCATTTTTTTTTTTTTTGAGACGGAGTCTCCCTCTGTTGCCCAGGCTGGAGCGCACTGGTGTGATCTCGGCTCACGGCAACTTCCGCCTCCCGGGTTTAAGCGACTCTTGTGCCTCAGCCTCCCGAGTAGCGGGGACTTCAGGTGTGAGCCACCATGCCTGGCTAATTTTTGTATTTTTAGTAGAAATGGGGTTTCACCATGTTGGCCAGGCTGGTCTCAAACTCCTGACCTCAAGTGATCCTCCCACCTTGGCCTCCCAAAGTGCTGGGATTACAGGCATGAGCCACTGCACCTGGCCCCTAATTTTTTTTTTTATTTTTGGTAGAGACAGGATTTTCACCATGTTGGCCAGGCTTGTCTTGAAGTCCTGACCTCAAATGATCCACCTGCCTTGGCCTCCCAAAGTGCTATGATTACAGGTGTGAGCCACCACGCCCAGCCTCTGAAAACCTTTTTGATGATCCACTTCCACTTAATAAATAATAAATGTATTTTCTTTTCCTTACATTTTAATATTTTTTCCCTTAAAAGGAATGGCAAAAAAAAAAAACGCAATTACTTTTGCACCAACTTAATAACATTTTCTTTTCTTTTCTTCTTCTTTTTTTTTTTTTTTTTTGAGACGGAGTCTCATTCTGTCACCCAGGCTGGAGTGCAGTGGCGCAATCTTGGCTCACTGTGACCTCTACCTCCCGGGTTCAAGAGATTCTCCTGCCTCAGCCTCCCAAGTACCTGGGATTACAGGCACGCACCACCATGTCCGGCTAATTTTTGTATTTTTAATAGAGACGTGGTTTCACCATGTTGGCCAGGTTGGTCTCAAACTCCTGACCTCGGGTGATCCGCCCGCCTCAGCCTCCCAAAGTGCTGGGATTATCGGCGTGAGCCACCGCGCCCAGCCACATTTTCTTTTCTTCAGCTTACTTTATTGTAAGAATACGATATATATAATACAGAGACACAATATGTGTATGTTGATATGTTGTCCGTAAGGCTAAGAGTCAACAGTAGGCTATCACTAATTAAGTTTTGGGGGACTTATATGCAGTTATATGCAGGCCGGGCATGGTGACTCATGCCTGCAATCCCAGCATTTTGGGAGGCTGAGGTGGGAGGATCTCTTGAGGCCAGGAGTTGGAGACCAGCCTGATCAACAGATCACAACCCTGTCTCTACAAAAACTTAAGGCATACACAGATTTCTAATTTCACAGGGGGTTGGTGCCCCTCACACCCATGTGGTTTGAGGGTCAAATGCATTATTTCCTTTCGTTGCTGTAACAAGACACCAATGCCTTGGTGGCTTAAAAAAACACAAATTTATGGACGGGTGCGGTGGCTCATGCCTGTAATCCCTGCACTTTGGGAGGCCGAGGCAGGTGGATCACCTGAGGTCAGGAGCTTCAGACCAGCGTGGCCAACGTGGTGAAACCCCATCTCTACTAAAAATACAAAAAATTAGCTGGGCGTGGTGGTGTGCACCTGTAATTCCAGCTACTCAGGAGGCTGAGGCAGTAGAATTGCTTGAAACCAGGAAGCAGAGGTTGCAGTGAGCCAAGATCGCATCACTGCACTCCAGCCTGGGCAACAAGAGCAAAACTCGTCTCAAAAATAATAATAATAATAATAAATAAAAACCACAAATTTATTATCTCACAGCTCAGGAGGACAGAAGCACAAAATGCATCTCACTGGGCTACAATCGATGTGTAGGCAGGGCTGTTTCTTTCGGAGATTTTAGGGGAAAATCTGTTTCCTTGTCTGTTTCACCTTCTAGAGGCCGCCCACATTCCTTGGCTCCTGGCCACTTCTTCCATTTTTAAAGACAGCAATCACATCAAACCCACCTCGCTTCCGTCGTTCCATGTCCTCCTCTGACTCTGCTACCACCCTCTTCCATTTTTCTTAAAGAGACGGGGTCTCACTATGTTGCCCAGGCTGGTCTCAAAGTCCTGGGTTCAAGCAGTCCTCCTGCCTTAGCCTCCCAAAGTGCTTGAACTACAGGCATGAGCCACTACACCCAGCCAAAGTCTTCAACTTGGCCAGGCGCAGTGGCTTACACCTGTAATCCCAGCACTTTGGGAAGTCAAGGCAGGCAGATTACTTGAGGTCAGGAGTTTGAGACCAGCCTGTCCAACGTGGTGAAACCCCATGTCTACTAAAAATACAAAAAATTAGCCGGGCATAGTGGTGGGCGCCTGTAGTCCCAGCTACTCGGGAGGCTGAGGCAGGAGAATCACTTGAACCCAGGAGGCAGAGGTTGTGGCAAGCCAAGATTGCGCCACTGCACTCTAGCCTGGGTGACAGAGCAAGACTCCATCTCAAAAAAAAAAAAGAAAGAAAATAAAAAGTAAAAAATAACTATATTATCTGGGTGTGGTGGTGCATGCCTGTGGTCCCAGCTACTCAGGAGGCTGAGGTGGGAGAATCGCTTGAGCCCGGGAGGCAGAGGCTGCAGTGAGCTGTGATCACGCCACTGCACTCCAGCCTGGATGACAGAAAACACTGTCTCTAAAAAACCAAAACCAAACAAATAAAAATAACAAAACAAAAACTTCTCCAATCCCCACTAACCATTAGTGTGATCCCATTTCACGACGGGCACACTGAGGTTGCTTGCTCGGGCCACACAGCTGGTGAGGAGCACAGCCAGGAGTCAAACCAACGCCCTGCTGGAGCCAACCCAGGCCTTTTCCTTGGCAGGTACTGGGAGAAGCAGAGATAACGTTGCGGCAATGGTGTGGAAGAAAAATTGGGAAAATTGAGCTGTTGGACAAGGCCAGGATTGGGAGAGGCAGCCTTCGGGTGCCAGCCTTGCTGGCTGTGACGGCTGACCCACCCAAGTGCAGTGGGCGTGGGCGATAAGAGAACTGCCACAGCCTGCCCAGTCACAGTGCTGGTGCCAGGACATCAAATGCCACCCAGCCCCCACAGCTTCCGGACACTGGCCAAGTCCCCAAGGGCTGCAGCGGCCCAAGGCCTCACCCGTACAGCCAGCCACTGGCCTCTGCCTTCCCAGAAGTCTGTGCCTGGGGAATGAGCATCGCCAGCTGCCCAGACACCTCTTTTGACAAAGGGTTTGAGGACAGCATCTGGGTGGGGAGGCTCAGAAGGGTTAAGGGCAAAAGATAGAGCGCCTACTGTATGCTGGACTATGTTAGGCACCAAACCAGAGATTTGCTTCTAGAAACATTTAACCTTTTTTTATTTTTTATTTTTTGAGACAGGGTCTCCTTTTTTGCCCAGGATGAAGTGCAGGGGCGCAATCATAGCTCACTGCAGCCTTGACCTCCTGGGCTCAAGTGATCCTCCCGCCTCAGACTCCCTAGTGGATGGGACCACAGGCATGCACCACCACGCCCCGCTAATTTTTAATTTTTTGTTTTGCAGAAACAGGGTCTCACTATGTTGCCCAGGCTGGTATAAAATTCCTGGGCTCAAGTGATCCTTCCGCCCTGGCATCCCAAAGTGCTGGGATTATAGGAGTGAGCCACCACACCCGGCTCAGCCTAAGAAGCTTTAAAAAGATCCAGATGCCACACACACACAGAAATTAATAGGTCACAATCTGGAAGGAGACTTCTTGGCTGAGCTACCTCTGAGGTGAAAACAGCTAGCCAAAGATTTGTAGAAGATTCTTTCACATGGAAAGCTAAAATCTTCCATGGACTTGAGGACTTACTTATAATTAGCTTTTAGTCCCCCTGCCAGAACAGAGGGAATTTATTAATTTTATTATGTAAGAGTTTATTTGTTTACTTGTATATTTGAGATGGGGTCTCATTCTGTTACCTAGGTTGGAGTGCAGTGGCACAATGTCGGCTCACTGCAACCTCTGCCTCCTAGGCTCAAGCAATCCTCCCACCTCACCCTCCAGAGTGGCTCGGACCACAGGCATAAGCCACCATGACCAGCTAATTTTTTTGCATATTTTTGGGAAGAAGGGGTTTTGCAATGTTGCCCAGGCTAGTCTCAAACTCCTGGACTCAAGCGATCCACCCACCTTGGCCTCACAAACAGCTGGGATTATAGGAGTGAACCACGATCCACCCACCTTGGCCTCACAAACAGCTGGGATTACAGGAGTGAACCACTGCACCGGGTCTCTTGTTTGTTTATTTATTTATTTATTATTTTTTGAAATAGTGTCTCACTCTCTTGCCCAGGCTGGAGTGCAGTGGCGCAATCTTGGCTAACTGCAACCTCTGCTGCCCAGGTTCAAGCAATTCTCCTGCCTCAGCCCCCTGAGTAGCTGAGATTACAGGTACCTGCCACCACGCCTGGCTAAATTTTGTAGTGTTAGCAGAGATGGGGTTTCACCATCTTGGTCAGGCTGGTCTCGAACTCCTGACCTCAAGTGACCTACCCGCCTGGGCCTCACAAAGTGCTGGGATTACAGGCGTGAGGCACTGCACGCAGCCTAAAATAATATTTTAAAATAATGCTCTCTAGCCCGGCACAGAGGCACATGCCTATAGTCCCCTACTTAGGAGGTTGAAGGGGAAGGATCGCTTCAGCCGGGGAATTCAACCAGCCTGGGGAACATCATAAGACTCCCTCTCAAAAAAAATTTTTTTTTAAATTAAAAATAAATAAATAAATATCATGTTCACCTTGGGGATCGATTGGGAAATGGCAAAAGAAAAGTCTTGGCGGGGCGCGGTGGCTCACAACTGTAATCCCAGCACTTTGGGAGGCCGAGGCGAGCGGATCACTTGAGGTCAGGAGTTCCAGACCAGCCTGGCCAACATGGTGAAACCCCGTCTCTACTAAAAATACAAAAATGAGCCAGGCATGGTGGCACATGCCTGTAATCCCAGCTACTCGGGAGGCTGAGGCCAGAGAATCACTTGAACCCGGGAGGCAAAGGTTGCAGTGAGCCAAGATCACGCCATTGCACTCCAGCCTGGGCAACAAGAGTGAAACTCCATCTCAAAAAAAAAAAAAAAAAAAAAAAAAGCCAGGCGCGGTGGCTCACGACTGTAATCCCAGCACTTTGGGAGGCCGAGGCGGGCAGATCACGAGGTCAGGAGATCAAGACCATCTGGCTAACACAGTGAAACCCCGTTTCTACTAAAAAAATACAAAAAAATCAGCCGGGCATGGTGGCGGGCGCCTGTAATCCCAGCTACTCGGGAGGCTGAGGCAGGAGAATGGCGTGAACCCGGGAGGCGGAGCTTGCAGTGAGCCGAGATCACGTCACTGCACTCCAGCCTGGGTGACTGAGTGAGACTCAGTCTCAAAAAAAAAAAAAAAAAAGGAAAAGAAAAGTCTCTAGGGAGAATTCTCTACCAGGGCTCTGCAAATGTTTTCTGTTAAGGACAAGATATTAAAGATTTTAAGCTTTGTGGTTCACATATCATCTGTCATATATATATATTTTTTTTTCTTTTTTCACAACCATTTAAAAATATAAGAGCCATTCTTAGCCCACTAGCCTTACAAAAACAGGCCACCACCCAACAATCTAAATATAAGTAACATTAGCCAGGCTCGGTGGCTCACGCCTGTAATCCCAGCACTTTGGGAGGCCAAAGTGGGAGAATCATTTGAGGTCACGAGTTTGAGACCAGCCTGGTCAACATAGTGAAACCCTGTCTCTACTAAAAATACAAAAATTAGCCGGGCATGGTTGTGCATGCCTATAATCCCAGCTATTCGGGAGGCTGAGGCAGGAGAATAACTTGAACCCAGGAGGCAGAGGCTGCAGTCAGCCGAGATTGTGCCCTGCCCTTCAGCCTGGGCAACAGAGACAGATTCTGTCTCAAAAAATAAATAAATAAATAAGAGTAACATCATAGATCTGTACATTTAAAAAGAGTTATGGGCTGGGCATGGTGGCTTACACCTGTAATCTCAGTACCTTGAGAGGCTGAGGTGGGAGGATCACTTGAGCCCAGGAGTTCAAGACCAGCCTGGACAACATAGCAAGACTCTATCTCTACAAAAAAACTAATAATGTGTGGTTTTTTTAGTATGTAAATTATACTTCGCCAGGCACAGTGGCTCTTGCCTTTAATCCCAGTATTTTGGGAGACTGAGGCGGGTGGATCACTTGAGGTCAGGAGTTTGAGACCAGCCTGACAAACATGGCAAAACCCAGTCTCTACTAAAAATACAAAAAGTAGCTGGACGTGGTGAGGTGCACCTGTAATCCCAGCTACTCAGGAGCCTGAGGCAGGAGAATCACTTGAACCCAGGAGGCGGAGGTTGCAGTGAGCTGAGATCATGCCACTACACTCCAGCCTGGGCGACAGAGCAAGATTCTGTCTTGAAAAAAAAGAAAAAAGCAACAAAAACAAACCAAATTATACTTCAATTTAAAATGTAGGCTGGGCCGGGCATGGTTGCTCACGCTTGTAATCTCAGCACTTTGGGAGGCCAAGGTGGGCAGATCACAAGGTCAGGAGTTCAAGACCAGCCTGGCCAATATGGTGAAACCCCGTCTCTACCAAAAATACAAAAATTAGCTGGGCGTGGTGGCACATGCCTGTAATCCCAGCTACTGGGGAGGCTGAGGCAGAAGAATCGCTTGAACCCAGGAGGTGGAGTTTGCAGTGAGCTGAGATGGCGCCACTGCTCTCCAGCCTGGGCAACAGAGCAAGACTCCATCTCAAAAAAAAAAAAAAAAAAAAAGGTAGGCTGGGTGCAGTGGCTCACGACTCTAGCCCCAGCACTCTGGCAGGCTGAAGCACGTGGATAGCTTGAGCCCAGGAGTTCCAGACCAGCCTGGGCAACATGACAAAACCCAATCTCTACAAAAAATACAAAAATTAATCGGGCACGGTAACTCGAATCTTGTAGTCCCAGGTCCTTGGGAGGCTGAGGCAGGAGAATTGCTTAAACCCAGGAGGCAGAGGTTGCAGTGAGCCGAGATTGTACCACTGCACTTAACCCTGGGTGACAGAGTGAGACCCTGTCTCAAATTAAAAAAATAAATAAATAAATAAAATATATATATACTAATAAAATAATAATACAAATAGGCCCTCCTTGCACATGACAGGGCCCTGGAAATGTTCTTTTTTCCTCATCTGGTTGCTGGCCAGATAAGGTGTTCACCTTGTGAAAGCTCCTTCAGCCTCATATATTTAGGATCTATGCCCTTTTATGTATGTATTTCCAACTTCGAAAAAAAGTTTAAAATAAATATTCCCTTTGATTGGCTAAATAAAAGACAGCCCATCCACAAATGTACTATTCTATGCTACCGTGAAAAAAGATTGTGCTGGGCGCCATGGCACACACCTGTGATCAGTCCCAGCTACTCGGGAGGCTGAGGCGGGAGGATCCCTTCAACTCAGGAGTTCTAGGCTAGCCAAGGCAACATAGCAAGACCCTGTCTCTCCTTTTTTTTTTTTTTTCTTTGAGACGGAGTCTCGCTCTGTTGCCCAGGCTGGAGTGCAGTGGCGCGATCTCGGCTCACTACAACCTCCACCTCCTGGGTTCAAGCGATTCTCCTGCCTCAGCCTCCCAAGTATCTGAGACTACAGGTGCATGCCACCATGCCCAGCTAATTTTTTTATTTTTAGTAGAAACGGGGTGGCTGGGCGCAGTGGCTCACACCTGTAATCCCAGCACTTTGGGAGGCCGAGGCGGGGGCGGATCACGAGGTCAGGAGATCGAGACCACGGTGAAATCCCGTCTCTACTAAAAATACAAAAAATTAGCCGGGGGCAGTGGCAGGCACAGTGGCGGGCGCCTGTAGTCCCAGCTACTCGGGAGGCTGAGGCAGGAGAATGGCATGAACCCGGGAGGCGGTGCTTGCAGTGAGCCGAGATCACGCCACTGCACTCCAGCCTGAGCGACAGAGTGAGACTCCGTCTCAAAAAAAAAAAAATAATAATAATAATAATAAATGATTGAGGAAGCTTTGGAGGTGTTGACAAGAGATCCTCTCCAATGTATATTAGGCAAAACAAATAAACAAAAAAAAGCTGGGTGTGGTGGCCCACGCCTATAATCCTAGCACTTTGGGAGGCCAGTACAGGAGGATTGCTTTAGCCCAGGACTTCATGACCAGCCTGGGCAACATGGTGAGACCCTGCCTCTAAAAAAAAAAAAAAAAAAAAATTAGTTGAGTATCACGGCACACACCCGTAGTCTCAACTACACAGGAGGCAGAAGCAGGAGGATCACTTGAGCCCAGGAATTTGAGGCTGCGGTGAGCTATGATCGCACCACTGCACTCTAGCCCAGCCTGGGTGACAGAGTGAGACCCTGTGTATAAACAACAACAACAACAACAAAGAATAAAGTATGGTCCGGGGTGGGAGAGCAAGAGGGAAACTTTCATCTCAAAGCCGTAACATCTTTTGTATCTTTTGTATTTAAAGCATGTGAATGTATTATCCCTTTCAAAGAAAATAGCCCCAAGAGGCCGGGCGAGGTGGCTCACGCCTGTAATCTCAGCACTTTGGGAGGCCAAGGCAGGCTGATCACAAGGTCAGGAGATCGAGACCATCCTGGCTAACATGGCGAAACCCGGTCTCTACTAAAAAATACAAAAAAATTAGCCAGGCGTGGTGGCGGGCGCCTGTAGTCCCAGCTACTCGGGAGGCTGAGGCAGGAGAATGGCGTGAACCCGGGAGGCGGAGCTTGCAGTGAGCCGAGACCGTGTCACTGCACTCCAGCCTGGGCGACAGAGCGAGACTCCGTCTCAAAAAAAAAAAAAAAAAATAGCCGTAAGTAACTACCTTTTCATACATACATACATACATACATATATATGTGTATGTGTATATATATATTTTAATATATATGTATATAATTATTTTTTGAGATGGAGTTTTGCCCTTGTTACCCAGGCTGGAGAGAAATGGCACGATCTCAGCTCACTGCAACCTCTGCCTCCTGGGTTCAAGCAATTCTCCTGTCTCAGCCTCCCACATAGCTGGGACTACAGGTGCACGTCACTATTCCAAGAACATTTTTGTATTTTTAGTAGAGACAGGGTTTCACGATATTGGTAAGGTTGGTCTCAAACTCCAGACCCCAGGTGATCCACTTGCCTCGGCCTCCCAAAGTGCTGATATTAGAGGCGTGAGCCACTGTGCCCAGCCAATTTTTGTATTTTTAGTAGAGACAGGGTTTCGCCATGTTGGTCAGGCTGGTCTCGAACTCCTGACTTCAGGTGATCCACCTGCCTCGGCCTCCCAAAGTGCTGGGATTACAGGCGTGAGCCACCACACCCGGCCACATGTATATATATATATTTAAATCAGGTGCCAGGGCCTCACTGCAGGCTGAATTGTATTCTAGCAAATGGGACCAGGGAATCTGCTTTTTATTTTGAGACAGGGTCTTCCTCTGTCATCCAGGCTGGAGTGCAGTGGCGCTATCTTTGCTCACTGCAACCTCTGCCTCCTGGGCTCAAGCAATCCTCCCACCTCAGCCTCCCAAGTAGCTGGAATACAGTTGAGCACCACCATGCTCAGTTAATTTTTAAATTTTTTTGTAGAGACAGGGTCTCACTATATTGCCCAGGCTGGTCTCAAACTCATGGGCTCAAGCGATCCTCCCACCTGGGACTCCCAAAGTGCTGGAATTATAGGCATCAGCGACTGCCCAGCCAGAGTCTGGTTTTTGTTGTTTTTTGAGATGGAGTCTCGCTCCATAGCCCAGGTTGGAGTGCAGTGGCACCATCTCAGCTCACTGCAACCTCTGCCTCCCAGGTTCAATCAGTTCTCCTGTCTCAGCCTCCCAAGTAGCTGGGATTACAGATGTGCACCACCATGCTTGGCTAATTTTTATATTTTTAATAGAGACGGGGTTTCACCATGTTGGCCAGGCTGGCCTCGATCTCCTGACCTCAAGTGACCCACCCACCTCAGCCTCTCAAAGTGCTGGGATTACAGGTGTGAACCTGTAATCCTTGCCTGGCCAAGAGTCCTTTTTTTTTTTTGAGACGGAGTCTCACTCTGTCACCTAAGCTGGAGTGCAGTGGCGCCACCTTGGCTCACTGTAACCTCTGCCTCCCAGGTTGAAGCGATTCTCCGGCCTCAGCCTCCCGAGTAGCTGGGACTATAGGTACACTAATTTTTTGTATTTTTATTATTTATTTATTTATTTATTTCGAGACTGAATTTCACTCTTTTTGCCCAGGCTGGAGTGCAGTGGCACAAACTCGGCTCACCGCAACCTCTGCCTCCCAAGTTCAAGCGATTCTCCTGCCTCAGCCTCTGGAGTAGCTGGGATTACAGGCATGCACCACCATGCCTGGCTAATTTTGTATTTTTAATAGAGATGGGAATTCACCATGTTGGTCAGGCTGGTCTCGAACTCCCGACCTCAGGTGATCCACCTGCCTTGGCTCCCAAAGTGCTGGGATTACAGGCATGAACCACTGTGGCTGGCATTTTTTGTTATTTTTTGTAGAGATGGGGTTTCACTGTGGTAGCCAGGATTGTCTCGATCTCCTGACCTCGTGATCCCCCAGCCTTGGCCTCCTAAAGTGCTGGGATTACAGGTGTCAGCCACAATACCTGGCAAGAGTCCGTTTTTTAAATAAGCATCACTACTGTCCCCCCGACCCCAGTTTTATTTCTCCATGGTCAGAGTTTATTGTTTTGGATTGCAGAATCTTTTTCTGCACTGCTCTTGCCAAGGGTGGGCTGGCTGGGAAGGATGGCAATGCCCATTGCTGACATCCGCCGGGGCCCAGAGCCATTTCCCCATTTCCCTTGGAACTGCTGCCTTCCTTTAGATATGATCTCTGCTGAGGAATGCACTTCCTGCCCAACCTGGTCTCACCCAAGTCAATGCCTTGGGTTGCTTCTCTATCAGCTCACGGGAAAGCCATGTCCCCAGTACTACCAGCCCCAGAGGCCTCCTGAGCACATCGAGCTTGACAGCCTATGCAAAATTCTTCCCCCACCAGTGAGTGTGGTCCACCGAGTCCTATAGACAAAGACACAGAGCTTCAGAGAGGTCACGGACTCACCCAGGGCCACACGGCTCCTAAGTGTCAGAGCCAGGATTTGAGCCTAGGTTTGTCTGATGTCAGCCCCTAAACTCATGACGGATGGGAAGCCACTGGGGCAGGAGGGTAGGATAAGTGAGCCCCTCTTCCACACCATCCCCAGGGGAAAGCTCCCTTCATCTATCAGGGACGTCATGGGCCAGTCCAAGGCCCCCAGGTTTTTGGTTCTGATGTGAAGGAACTACTTCCAAGCTAAGCAAAACCCCTACTTCAAGCAATCAAACCAGATGCCCCCTTTGGCCCCAAGGCAAAATGTAATTAAGTAACTACGTGGTTTGTTTGCTGTTCTTTCTGTGTGAAACACACTTCCCCTAAATCTTCCCACGGCTGGCTCAACCTCCAGCCCTTAGTAACCTAAAATAATCGCTGCTGTTTCTGCCACACAAGATCACACGACGTCTTGTTCTTTGCTTCACAACTTACAACAACCTAAAATTACACATTCCTTCCCTTGACTACTCCCTGCGGTCAAGGATTTCACTGGTCTATTCACTGCTGGGTTTCCAGTGTCTAGACCCCTGCCTAAATCGTGCTCAATAAATATTTGTTGATTGAAGGTACTCCCTTAAGCCCAGCAAAGGCTCTGTCTGGCAGGGTCCCCTGTCTCATGTGTGGGCCTGGGAGGTCTGCCTAGCTCCGACCACAGCTCAATTCCATCCTTTGGCCAAATTCAAGGCTGGGTGAATCATATCATTGTCCATTCTGCCCCTCGTCCCTGTCCCAGCCAAACTTCATAGAGACCCAAGACCCCCTCAGATGCTGCCCACAAGCGGGCAAGACCTGGCTAGAACCTCAGGCTGAGACTCTCAGGTCAGAGACAGCCTGCCACACCCAAGGGACACACAGCACCCACAGCCACTGGGGCTGGAATTTGAGCCCAAATGAAGACCAAGGGGGTCCCTCCAGGGGACTGGGCTGGAAGCTTCAATTGGGGAGGGGGTGCTGGGAGGTGGCCAGGTCCTGCTGCCTCCCCTTGGCTGGGCTCTGCAGGGAAGGTCCCAGCCTCCCTGATCTGTCTCTCCTGGCAGCCTCCTGAGGCCATACAGTCCCTGGGGGCAGGGAGGCACAGCTCTACCCAACTTGTTTTTCTTGAATATTTTCGAGCCGTTTCCGGCCCCCTCCCCAGGGCCCTTCAGTGTCACAGTTTCCAGGAAGTTCTTGTCACACAAAGAGGGGCGCGACAGTGCTTCTTTGCCCCCAGGGTAGTATCACGTGGGGCTGGGGCTCCGTTGGGTCTTGGGGACCCAAAATGGAGAAGAGAAAGGAGAAACTGAGGATGGCAACTCCTCCCACCGTGGGAATTCAGGGGAGGGCGGCACCACAGGGCGCTGGTGATGGAGAAGCCCACATCCTGGGCCCATCCCCGGGGCCAAATGCCTGAGGTCGCCCCAAGAGGTTCGCCGGAGGAAGTTCCAGTCGCCAGCACCTCTCGAAATGGGAGGTGGGAGCCGCCAGCCCCTTGCACAGGGAGGGGAAAGTTTCTCAATTTTTTCCTGCTTCCTTCCTGCCCCCTCACCAAAGGCGCCCTTCTTTCCGCCGTTTCCAGGCGGCTGGCCAGACTCGGTGGGCTCTCAGCTGGGTATTCGGTCTGCCCAGTCTTGCCTCAGTTTCCCCATCTGGCCAAAAGCCCCGGACGGCTACTTCTGGCGGAAAAGGGAAGGAGGAAGAAATGGACAAAGGGGATTGGAAGAGGAGGGGGATTTGAGGAGGTCAGGGCCCTGTCTCTTTTCCGAGCCCAGATCGCCGCGCCTCCCCTCCCCCGCCCGCCATCCGAGCCGCCCAGATAACGGGACCTCCCCGGGCGGAGCATGCGCCGTGAGCCCCGGCCCATCAGCCGGAGGGGGAGCTGGGGCTCCCGGGGAGGGGACGCGGGGCGACCCGGTTAGAGCAGGGGGCGTGGGATCCGCGCAGTGTCGGATGCGGGGGCCCGAGCGCGGAGGGCCATCCAGCCGCAGCGCCGGTGCCTAGGGTCTCAGATGTCCCCCTGGCTCAAGGTCCTCCCACCCGCAGGTCAGCAGAGGCGGCCCCTGACCGGAGGCGGCTCCTACCGTAGGCTCCGTTTTTCCGCTCGTCCTCCATGGCCGCGGCGGGGCGGGGAGCGGAGTCCGAGCCAGCGCGACCCCAGCCCGGGCGGGCGGGAGGCTCCGCGGGCTGCAGCGCCCCGCCCCGGGCCCCGGCCCCGCCCCTCCCGCCGGGCCAGCCCCCGCGCGCCTCCTCCAATGGGAGCCTCGAGAGGGCGAGGGCGGGGACCGGGGGCGGGGCCTGGCCCGGGAGGGGTGGGGCCCCAACCTTTGTTTCCAGTCTTAGCTCTCAAGTAACCCTCTTGAGGGTGTGCATGGTGAGCAAACAGAGGTCATTCATTCATTCATTCATCTATGCATTTCATCGTCAAGGAGATATTGAGGCTGGGCGTGGTGGCGCGGGCCTGTAATCCCAGCCACTCCGGAGGCTGAGGCGGGAGGATAGCTTGGGCCAAATAGTTCCAGACCAGCCTGGGCAACATAGGAAGACCCTCATCTGTACAAAAAATTTAAAAAATTAGCTGGGCTTGGTGAGGCACACTTGTAATTCAGCTACTCGGGAGCCTGAGGTAGGAGGATCACTTGAGTCCAAGAGTTTGAGGCTGCAGTGAGCTATGATTGTGCCACTGCCTGGGCAACCCTGTCTCAAAATAATAATAAGAATTAATAATAATAATAGGCCGGGCGCAGTGGCTCACGCCTGTAATCCCAGCACTTTGGGAGGCCGAGGCGGGAAGATGGTCAGGAGATCGAGACCATCCTGGCTAACACGGTGAAACCCCGTCTCTACTAAAAATACAAAACATTAGCCGGGAGTGGTGGCGGGCACCTGTAATCTCAGCTACTCGGGAGGCTGAGGCAGGAGAATGGCGTGAACCCGGGAGGCGGAGCTTGCAGTGAGCCGAGACCGTGTCACTGCACTCCAGCCTGGGCGACAGAGCGACACTCCGTCTCCGTCTCAAAAAATAAAATAAAATAAAATAAAATAAAAATAATAATAGAAGATGGATAGATAAATAATTGATAGGTAAATATTGATCACCGTGTACCACTGAACATACCAAAAGATGCCATTTTCATTCATCAGATTGGTAAGAATTTTAGAGTTTAATAACATAAAATCAGGTGAGTGAATACTTTGAAGCAGAATGTTTCCTGGCAGAAAGAGTATATCCAAGTCATGTTCACCTGGTGCGATTCCTGTCTGGCACTGACCCTGGACAAACCACTGCAGGTGTGTGTGCATGGGATGTAGTAACCAAGGGGTGTTCCCTGCAGCCTTGACAGTTATTGTGGAAAAAATGGGTGAAAACAGGCCGGGTGCGGAGGCTCACGCCTGTAATCCCAGCACTTTGGGAGGCCGAGGCGGGCGGATCACTTGAAGTCGGGAGTTCGAGACCAGCCTGACCAACATGGAGAATCCCTGTCTTTACTAAAAATACAAAAAATTAGCCTGGTGTGGTGGCACATGCCTGTAATCCCAGCTACTCTGGAGGCTGAGGAGGAGAATCGCTTGAACCCAGGAGGTGGAGGTTGCGGTGAGCTGAGATGACGCTATTGCACTCCAAACTGGGCAACAGAACTGGGCAAAAAGCGAAACTCTGTCTCAAAAAGAAAAAAAAAAAGAAAGAAAAATGGGTGAAAACATCACTGCACTCCAGCCTGGGTGACAGAGTGAGACCCTGTCTCAAAAAAAAAAAAAAAAAGAAAGAAAGAAAGAAAAAAGAATAAAGCACGAAGTCATCAGGGAAATGTAAATCAAAACCTCGATGAGATATCATTGCACACCCACCTGAATAGCTAAAATTAAAAAGACTGGTCGAACCAAGTGTTGAGGAAGATGGGAAGCATATGGGGGCTCTCCTACACTGTTGGTGAGAATGTAAAATGCCACAACCAGTTGGAAAACGATCTGGCAGTTTCTTGCAAAGTTAATACCCTAGAAATTGCACTTCTAGGTATATACCCAAGAAAAAGTATAAGTGAAGAAAAGAAAAACCCACAGACACATTCATATAAATGTTCATGATAGCCTTATAGTATCCTTATTCGTAGTGGGCAAAAAAACTAGGAGCAGCCCAAATGCCCATTAACAGATCATTGGTGAAGCAAACCATGGTGGGTTTCACCCATACCATGGGATTCTCCTTAGTGATGAGGAATGAATGTTTTCTTCTTTCTTTTTTTAGGGACAGGATCTTGCTGTATTGCCCAGGCTGGATTGCGATGGTGCAGTCATAGCTGACTGAAGCCCTGACCTCCTCAGCTCAAGTGATCCTCCTGCCTCAGCCTCCCGTTGCTGGGACTACAGGCACACACTATCATGCCTGGCTAATTTCTTTCTTTCTTTCTTTTTTTGACAAAGTTTCACTCTTGTTGCTCAGGCTGGAGTGCAATGGTGCAATGGTGTGATCTCAGCTCACCGCAACCTCCGTCTCCCAAGTTCAAGTGATTCTCCTGCCTTAGTCTCTGAGTAGCCGGGATTACAGGCATGCACCACCACGCCTGGCTAATTTTGTATTTTTAGTAGAGACGGGGTTTCTCTATGTTGGTCGGGCTGGTCTGGAACTCCCGACCTCAGGTGATCCGCCCCCCTCAGCCTCCAAAAGTGCTGGGATTATAGGCATGAGCCACCGCACCTGGACATACTCGGCTAATTTTTTAAATTTTTGTGGAGATGAGGGTCTCCCTATGGGTGCCCAGGCTGGTCTCAAGTGATCCTTCTGCCTCAGCCTCCTAGAGTGCTGAGATTACAGGTGTGAGCCACAGCGCCTGGTCCAGGAATAAACTATTGATACAGGCAAAAATATGGATGAATCTCTCCCCAAAAAGCATAATGTTGTGTGAAAGAAACCACACACTTTTTTCTGAAGTTCAAGAACAGGCATAGCTAATCAACCTATAGTAACAGAACATATATCAGTGGTTGACTTTTGGGGTAGTAATAACTACTGGGATGATAGGAGCAGCTTCTGGGCACTGGAAACAGAATTGTAGTTACATAGCTTAGTTTAGTTTGTGAATACTTGACCTTCTCCCCCGTACTCTGCCTGCCTTTTTTTTCTGAGACAGAATCTTGCTCTGTTGCCCAAGCTGGAGTACAGTGGCAATTTTTGTATTTTAGTAGAGACGGGGTTTCGCCATGTTGCCCAGGCTGGTCTCGAACTCCTGATCTCAGGTGATCCACCAACCTCAGCCTCCCAAAGTGCAGGGATTACAGGTGTAAGCCGCTGTGCCCAACCGACTTCTGCCCTTTTAAAATATGTGTTGCTGGCCCGGCACGGTGGCTCACGCCTGTAATCCCAGCACTTTGGGAAGCTGAGTTGAGTGGATCACAAGGTCAGGAGTTCAAGACCAGCTTGACTAACTTGGTGAAACCTGGTCCCTACTAAAAATACAAAAAAAAAAAAAAATTAGACGGGCGTGGCGGCGGGCGCCTGTAATCCCAGCTCCTCAGGAGGCTGAGGCAGAGAATTGCTTGACCCCGGGAGGCAGAGGTCGCAGTGAGCCAAGATTGCACCACTGCACTCCGGCCTGGGTGAAAGAGTGAGACAGCATCTCAAATAAATAAATAAATAAAATAAAATATGTGTTGCTCTTCCTGGTCAGGTCGCCAGCATCATGCTCTTCTATTCCTTTTTTCAAGTCCCTTGTGGGCATGAATGTGGTCATGGAACTCAAGAAAGACCTGAACATCTGTGGCACCCTCCATTCGGTGGATCAGTATCTCAACATCAAATGAGCTGACATCAGTATCACACACCTTGAGAAATATCCTCACATTTTATCAGTGAAGAACTTCTAGGCTGGGTGCAGTGGCTCACACCTGTAACCCCAGCACTTTGGGAGGCCAAGGCAGGTGGATCACCTGAGGTCAGGAGTTTGAGACCAGCCTGGCCAACATGGCAAAACCCCATCTCTACTAAAATACAAAACTTAGCCGGATGTGGTGGCGGGCGCCTGTATTCACAGCTACTCGGGAAGCTGAGGCAGGAGAGTTGCTGGAACCCGGGAGGTGGAGGCTGCAGTGAGCTGAAATCATGCCACTGCACTCCAGCCTGGGTGACAGAGCGAGACTCTGTCTCAAAAAAAGTTTTTTAAAAAGGACTGTTTCATTCCGGGCTCAGTGGTCCCATACGTGCAGTTGCCAGCAAAGGAGGTCGACACACAGTTGCCATAGCATGCAGCAAGGAAGAAAGCCAGCAGTAGTAAGTGACAGCCCCTCCTTCTCTTCCCTTCCCTCTTCCTTGGTGACCTGTAACTCCAAGTCCCAGCCCAGGACCCCTAACTCCCAATACTTGAAGGGGTTTTGTTTGTTTTTTTACTAATGATGGTTTTGTGGGTTTTTTTTAAAAAAGGGAAGAGTGGATAAGGGGAATAATAGGGAACAGGTATCCTTTGTTGAGAAAGGGAGAAGAGGTAGGCTGGGAAACTCCAAAGCCTTCCCAGTCCCCAGCACCTGCCGTTCTCACTACCTCCCTGGAGATGGTGGGAGGGAGGGCTTCCTAGGTCTTTCCAGGGTACCATGTGATTCACCTGGGGGTTGAAAGGAATCTGTCCCATATTGGGAATAACATTTATGATGCAAATATATATGTGTGTTTGTATACATAATAAATAAAAAAGTTACATTTCAAAATGAGAATTTTTAAAATAGTTTAAGAAAAAAGGTGGTGGTCCTGCAGATTATAATAAGAGTGACTGTTTACAGCCAGGAGTGGTGGCTCACATCTGTGATCCCAGCACTCTGGGAGGCAGGAGGGTCACTTGAGGACAGGAGTTCAAGATTAGCCTGGACAACACGATGAAAATCTGTCTCTAAGGCCAGACGCAGTGGCTCTCACCTGTAATCCCAGCACTTTGGGAGGCCGAGGCGGGCGGATCACCTGAGGTCGGGAGTTCGAGACCAGCCCGACCAACATGGAGAAATCCCGTCTTTACTAAAAATACAAAATTAGCCGAGTGTGGTGGCACATGCATGTAATCCCAGCTACTTGGGAGGCTGAAGCAGGAGAATCACTTGAACCTGGGAGTCAGAGGTTGCAGTGATCCAAGAGTGCACCATTGCACACCAGCCTGGGTGACAGAACGAGACTCGGTCTCAAAAAAAAAAAAAAGGAAAGAAAGAGTGAATGTTTATAGAAAGCTTAGTCAGTGTCAGACAAGGTATTAAATGCTTTATATATTTTTTTAACTCTTTTTCTTTTTTTTGAAATAGAGACCAGGTCTCATTAGCCTCAATCGATCTGCCCATCTTGGCCTCTTGAAGTGCTGGGATTACAAGCATGAGCCACCATGCTGGCCAAGCACCTTTTTTTTTTGAACCAAGGCTGCTGGAGGGCAGTGGCGCGATCTTGGCTCACCCAGTAAAGTGCTCTCTGTGTGTGTATGTGTGTGTGTGTGTGTGTATATAGTTGTTGTTGTTTGTTTTAGTTTTTGAGATGGAGTCTCACTCTGTCGCCAAGCTGGAGTGCAGTGGCGTGATCTCAGCTCACTGCACCATCTGCCTCCCGGGTTCAAGCAATTCTCCTGCCTCAGCCTTCTGAGTAGCTGGGATTACAGCACCCACCACCACGCTCAGCTAGTTTTTTGTATTTTTAGTGAAGAACGGGTTTCACTGTCTTAGCCATGATGGTGTCAATCTCCTGACCTCATGATCCACCGCCTCGGCCTCCCAAAGTGCTGGGATTACAGGCGTGAGACACCGCGTCTGGCCCAAGCACTCTGTATTAAATCATTATAATCATTTTCCAATTGGGGAAAGTGACCCAGAGAGGTGAAGTAATTTACCCACAGTAACATAATGAGCCCGTGGCTCTGCAAGGATCTGAACCCAGGGAGTCCGACTTTACACCCAAGACACACTTCCTTCCCCTTCAACCACATGCTTTCCGGAGTAGCGTCCAGGTCATATTGTTGAGTGATAATAGCAAGTTGTATTTTTTTTTTTTTATTTAAGACAGAGTCTCTCTCTGTCGCCCAGGCTGGAGTGCAGTGGTGCGAGCTCAGCTCACTGAAACCTCCTTCTCTTGGGTTCAAGTGATTTGTGTGCCTCAGCCTCTGGAGTAGCTGGGATTTCAGGTACGCACCACCATGCCCAGCTTAGTCTATATACATATATATATATATATATATAGTTGTTGTTGCTTGTTTGTTTTGTTTTGTTTTGTTTTTGAGACAGATTCTTGTTCTGTCACCCAGGCTCGAGTGCAGTGGCATGATCTCGGCTCACTGCAACCTCTGCCTCCTGGGTTCAAGCAATTCTCCTGCCTCAGCCTCCCGAGTAGCTGGGATTACAGGTGTCCGCCAGCATACCTGGCTAATTTTTTGTATTTTTAGTAGAGACAGGATTTTATCATGTTGGCCAGGCTTGTCTCAAACTCCTGACCTCAGGTGATTCACCTGCCTTAGCCTCCAAAGTGCAGGGATTACAGGCGTGAGCCACCACACCTGGCCAGTTTTTATATTTTTAGTAGAGACAGATTTTTTGCCATGTTGCCCAGGCTGCTCTTGAACTCTTGGCCTCAAGTGCCCCACCCGCCTCTGCCTCCCAAAGTTCTGGGATTACAGGTGAGAGCCACTGTGCCCATCCACAAGTTGTATAGTCTTATATGGTATGGGAGAAAGAGAGAGAAAGAGGGCAACACGCGCACACACACACACACACACACACACACACACAAACACACACACACACCCCCCTGCATGTAACCCAGCTGAAAAAGATCTGAATCAGCCAGTGGTTATGAGAGGGACGAAGATTGGGGTATGGGGGTGTCACAGGGGACTTTTTTTTTCTTTTTCTCTCACATCTCTGCTGGGAGGAACTTTTGCCTTTTCTTTAGTTTTGTTTTCTATTTTGTTTTCTCAGGAACTGGCTCAGCACAGTATTTTCTTAAGATAGGTTCTTGCTTTGTCACCGAGGCTGGAGTGCAGTGGTGCAACCATAGCTCACTGCAGCCTCAATCTTCTGGGCTCCAGTGATCCTCCCACCTCAGACTCCTGAGTAGCTGGGCATGGTGGCTTACACTTGTAATCCCAGCACATTGGGAGGCTGAGATGGGTGGATCACTTGAGGTCAGGAGTTTGAGACCAGCCTAGTCAACATGGCGAAACCCAGTCTCTACCAAAAATACAAAAATTAGCCCAGCGTGGTGGCAGATGCCTGTAATCCCAGCTACTTGGGAGGCTGAGGCAGGAGAATCACTTGAACTAGGAGAAGGAGGAGGTTGCAATTAGCTGAGATTGCGCCACTGCACTCCAGCCCCTGGGCGACAAAGTGAGAATCCGTCTCAAAAAAAAAAGAAAAAAAAGCTGGGCGCGGCGGCTCACGCCTATAATCCCAGCACTTTGGGAGGCTGAGGCAGGCACATCTCCAGGTCAGGAGTTCCAGACCAGCTTGGCCAAGAGACCAGCCTGGCCAATATGGCGAAACCCTGCCTCTACTAAAAATACAAAAATTAGCCGGGTGTGGTGGCAGGCACCTGTAGTCCCAGCTACTCGGGAGGCTGAGGCAGGAGAATGGCATGAACCCGGGAGGCAGAGCTTGCAGGGAGCTGAGATCGTGCCACTGCACTCCAGCCTGGGCAACAGAGCGAGACTCTGTCTCAAAAAAAAATAATAATAAAATAATAAAAGTAAATGAATAAATAAAATATAAAAAAATAAAATTAGCTGGGCGTGGTGGGGGGCGCCTGTAATCCCAGCTACTCAGGAGGCTGAGGCAGGAGAACTGCTTGAACCTAGGAGATGGAGGCTGCAGTGAGCCGAGATTGTGCCACTGCACTCAAGCCTCGGTGACGGTGAGACTCCATCTCAAAATAAATAAAAAAAAGAAAAGAAGAAGAAGAAGGAGGAGGAGGAGAAGGAAAAGGAGAAGAAGAAGAAGAAGAAGAGTGGGTGCCAGGGGTTGGGAGAGGGAGAAGGAGTGTTTCATAGGGAGAAGTTTTCCTTTGGGAAGATGAGAAAGTTCTGGAGATGGATGGTGGTGACGGTTGCATGGCCATTAATGTGCTTAATGCCACCGAACTGTGCACTTCAAAATGGCTAAGGTGGCCAGCTGTGGTGGCACGTGTCTATAGTCTCAGCTACTTGGGAGGCTGAGGTGGGAGGATGGCTTGAGACAGCAGGAGAGGAACTGAAATTCGGGCAGTTAGGGTGTCTGGGACAGCAGGTTCAGGTGGTGTCCTGTGGCAGAGGTCAGCAGGTGTCTGACTGTGCCAGGTGGGGGTGGTTGGAGGGCAATGGGGGGCCATAGAGGATGTGAGAGTGAGAGTCAAAAAATAATTGTGAGTTTCAGAGAGATCTCTTTAGTGGTGTGGAGAAGGGATTGTGGACAGGGCCTAGAGGCGTGGTCCCTGGGAGAGGCTGGAGGAGGCTCCAGGCATCCAGAAGGAACTAGGACAAGGCCACAGCCTCAGGGGGATGGGGGAGGCCGCCACTGAGGTGGGGCAGGCGGGGCAGGCAGAGCCAGCACACAGAGCTGCTCTGTTCTCTGACCCCAAGTAAGCTTTTGGGCTCATGAATTTTTCATGCCAAACAAGCCTGGAGTTTCAGATTCCAGGGCACTGGGCCCAGGCTTTCGGGTTCTGCTTACTGCCTGAAAACATCTCAGGGCCCCAGGAGATGAGTTCTTCATTTTGTTGTTGTTGTTGTTTTTGAGACAGAGTCTCACTCTATTGCCCCAGGCTGGAGTGCAATGGCGCAATCTTGGCTCACTGCAACCTCTGCCTCCCAGTTTCAAGTGATTCTCCTGCCTCAGTCTCCTGAGTAGGTGGGATTACAGGCATGTGCTACCACCCCCGGCTAATTCTGTATTTTTAGTCCAGACAGGGTTTCACCATTTTGGCCAGGCTGGTCTCAAACTCCTGACCTCAGGTGATCCACCCACCTCAGCCTCCCGAAGTGCTAGGATTACAGGCGTGAGCCACCACGCCCGGCTGCCAGGAGACGAGTTATTTTGAGGTTCAGCAATGTCTAGGCTGGGGTGAGGGCCTAGCAGTGACTGCATCCCCCTAGGTGACCTTCTCAGCAGGCAGTTGCTGGGAGCATGAAGGACCACCCCCCTCCTTTGGGCAGAAGCAACATAAAGTCTTGGGCTTTAGGCTGGGCGAGATGGCTCACGCCTATAATCCCAGCACTGTGGGAGGCCGAGGCGGGTGGACCACTTAAGTCCACAAGTTGGAGACCAGCCTGGGCGACATTGTGAAACCTGTCTGTACCAAAAAGTATAAAAATTAGCTGGATGTGGTGGTCACGCACCTGTGGTCCCAGCTGTGCAGGAGGCTGGGGTGGGAGAATTGCTTGATTGCTTGAACCTGGGGAGGTGGAGGTTGCAGTGAGCTGAGATCACACCACTGCACTCCAGCCTGGGTGACAGAGACCCTGCCTCAAAAATAATAATAATAATAATAATAATAATCAGGGCCAGGTGCGATGGCTCACCCCTGTAATCCCAGCACTTTGGGAGGCTGAGGTGGGTGGATCACCTGAGGTCGGGAGTTTGAGACCAGCCTGACCAACATGGAGAAACCTTGTCTGTACTAAAAATACAAAATTAGCCAGGCATGGTGGTGCATGCCTGTAATCCCAGCTACTTGGGAGGCTGAGGCAGGAGAATCACTTGAACCTGGGAGGCGGAGGGTATGGTGAGCCAAGGTTGCACCATTGCCCTCCAGCCTGGGCAACAAGAGTGAAATTCCATCTCAAAAAACAAAAAAGTCCGGGTGCAGTGGCTCAAACCTGTAATCCCAGCACTTTGGGAGGCCAACGTGCAATGCGGGCGGATCACAAGGTCAGGAGTTTGAGACCGTCCTGGCCAAAATGGCGAACCCCCATCTCTACTAAAAATACAAAAATTAGCCAGGCATAGTGGCACAAACCTGTGGTCCCAGCTACTTGGGAAGCTGAGACAGAAGAATCACTCGAACCCGTGAGGCGGAGGTTGCAGTGAGTCAAGATCACACCACTCCACTCCAGCCTGGGCGACAGAGCGAGACTCTGTCTCAAAACAAAAAACAAAACAAAACAAAAAAACCTTGTGCTTTCCAGAGCTCAAATCCCAGCTCTGCTTCTTCTGACTGGATGACATTGTACAAATCACTTACTCTCTCAAGGCCTCAGTTTCCCTATCTGTCAAATGAAGATAATAGAGTTGGGGGAGGTGACTCGTGTCTGTAATCTCAGTGTTTTGGAAGGCTGAGGTGGGAGGACAGCTTGAGGCCAGAAGCTCAAGACCAGCTTGAGCAACGTAGCGAGACCCCATCTCTACAAAAAATTTAAAAATTGGGCAGGCACGGTGGCTCACGCCTGTAATCCCAGCACTTTGAGAGGCTGAGGTGTGCGGATCACGAGGTCAGGAGATCGAGACCATCTTGGCTAACACGGTGAAACCCCGTCTCTACTAAAAATACAAAAAAATTAGCCGGGCTTGATGGCGGATGCCTGTAGTCCCAGCTACTCCGGAGGCTGAGGCAGGAGAAGGGTGTGAACCTGTGAGGCGGAAGTTGCAGTGAGCCGAGATTGCGCCACTGCACTCCAGCCTGGGCGACAGAGCAAGACTCTGTCTCAAAAAAAAAAAAAAAAAAAATTTAAAAATTAGCTGGGAGTGGTGTTGCTCACCTGTAGTCCCAGCTACTGGAGAGGCCTAGGTGAGAGGATCTCTTGAGTTCAGAAGGTTGAGGCTGCAGTGAGCCGTGTTTGCACCACTGCACCGCAGCCTGGGCGACAAAGCAAGTCCTTGTCTCAAATAAATAAAAAAAAAAAATAGGCTTCTGTAATTCAAGGGGCTGTCTTGAGGATTCCTGCATGGGCGACATTTAGGGCCACCCTCACTTATGGTGAGCACCATTTAAGCCAGAGTTAGTGTTACTAATAGTAATATTTGCATCCAGCAATATAGCAAAGCAGGCGGAAGCAGGCTGGGACCAGATTCTTAAATCCCGGGACTCAGATTCGAATTCTGGGTCAACTGCCTCCTGGCTCTGGGGCCGTGGGCTTGGGCAGGTGCCTTCACTTCTCTGTGTCCCTGCTTCTACCTTTATAAGATGGCACGAAGGAGACTTGTGCCAGATGATAACTTTTTATTTTTCATTCTATTTATTTATTTTCTTGAGACGGAGTCTCACTCTGTCACCCAGGCTGGAGTGCAGTGGTGCCATCTCGGCTCACTATAACCTCCGCCTCCCCAGTTCAAGTGATTCTTCTGCCTCAGCCTCCCAAGTAGCTGGAATTACAGGCATGCGTCACCACGCCCGGCTAATTTTTGTATTTTTAGTGGAGACAGGGTTTCGCCATGTTGGCCAGGCTGGTCTCAAACTCCTGGCCTCAGGTGCTCTGTCCACCTTGGCCTCCCAAAGTGCTGGGATACAGGCATGAAACATTGCTCCTGGCCCAGATGATAATGTTTTAATTAAAGTGCAGTGCTGCTGTCAATGTTGATGTTAATTTCAGGTGGAGAGGCAAGTGGATGATCCTGATAGCTGCTGTTCTCTAAGTCCCCACCTACAGGGGCTGATAAAGGGCTGGGCAGGGTTTGGGGAAAGGACAAGTGAGGTCTGGGTAGGCTGAGTCTTGTTCCCTGCAGGCCCTGCAGGACATCTCCCTCCCTCAGCCAAGCAAGGTGGTTCTAAGCAAGGCTGAGGTTTACTTTCCCTTTCCTTCTGCCCTGTCCTCAAAACTACCGCACTTTGGGAGGCTGAGGTGGGCGGATCACGAGGTCAAGAGTTCGACAGCATCCTGGTCAACATGGTGAAACCCCATCTCTAATAAAAATACAAAAATTAGCTGGGCATGGTGGAGTGCACCTGTAGTCCCAGCTACTTGGGAGGCTGAGGCAGGAGAATCGCTTGAACCCAGGAGACAGAGGTTGCAGTGAGCTGAGATCGCACCACTGCACTCCAGCCTGGCGACAGACTGAGACTCCATTTCAAAAGAAAAAAAAAAGGAAAGTCCAGGGGTGGAATCTGGGTCTGCAGCAGCTGGTGTGCACGAAACATGCATGGAGCCAGGGGCCATGCCAGGTATTTGGCTATGCAACTGCAGGAGAGGGCACCATGGCTGTTATACCCATTTAACATAAGAGGAGACTGAGGCACAGCAGGTGCATTCACCAGCCCATGCCTTATAGCCAGTGTGTGGTGGTATCAAAAATCAAACCCAGCATCTGTGCTCTCAACTGCTACATCATCATCCAGATCATCATCTTCATCCTCCTCCTTCTCAGCGACATGGTTGACAGTCAGCTACATCCAAGTTCCCTTCCAACACCACGTTGCACAGAATAACTCATTTAATCTGCACAAACCAGGCACAGTGGCTCAGACTACGCCTGTAATCCCAGTACTTTGGAGGGCCAAGGGGGGAGGATCGCTTGAGCCCAGGAGTTTGAGACCAGCCTGGGCAACATACCGATACACCATCTCTACAAAAAATGTAAAAATTAGCTAGGTCGGGCCGGGTGCGGTGGCTTACACCTGTAGTCCCAGCACTTTGGGAGGCCGAAGCGGGCGGATCACGAGGTCAGGAGATCCAGACCATCCTGGCTAACATGGTGAAACCCTGTCTTTACTAAAAGTACAAAAAGTTAGCCAGGCGTGTTGGCAGGCGCCTGTAGTCCCAGCCACTCGGGAGGCTGAGGCAGGAGAATGGTGTGAACCTGGGAGGCGGAGCTTGCAGTGAGTTGAGATCGCGCCATTGCACTCCAGCCTGGGTAACAGAGCGAGACTCCATCTCAAAGAAAAAAAAAAATTAGCTAGGTGGGCCTGGCCTGGCGCGGTGGCTCACACCTGTCATCCCAGCATTTTGGGAGGCTGAGGCGGGTGGATCACGAGGTCAGGAGTTCAAGACCAGCCTGGCCAAGATGGTGAAACCCCCGTCTCTACTAAAAATACAAAAAAAAAATTAGCCGGGCGTGGTGGCAGGCGCCTGTAATCCCAGCTACTTGGGAGTCTGAGGCAGAGAATTGCTTGAAGCTGGGAGGCAGAGGTTGCAGTGAGCAGAGATTGCGCCACTGCACTCCATCCTGGGCGACAAAGCCAGACTCTGTCTCAAAAAAAAAAAAAAAAATCAGCTAGGTGTGGGCCAGGCGCAGTGGCTCACGCCTGTAATCCCAGCATTTTGGGAGGCCAAGGCAGATGGATCACGAGGTCAGGAGTTCGAGACCAGCCTGGCCAACATGGTGAAACCCCATCTCTACTAAAGATACAAAAAATTAGCTGGGCTTGGTGGTGCACGCCTGTAATCCCAGTTACTTGGGAGGCTGAGGCAGCAGAATCGCTTGAGCCTGGGAGGCAGAGGTTGCAGTGAGCCGAGATTGTGCCATTGCACTCCAGCCTGGGCAACAGGACGAGACTCCAAATTAAAAAAAAAAAAAAAAATTAGCTAGTTGTGGCCAGGCGCAGTGGCTCACATCTGTCATCCTAGCAATTTGGGAGGCCAAGGCGGGTGGATCACCTGAGGTCGTGAGTTCAAGACCAGCCTGACCAACATGGAGAAACCCTGTCTCTACTAAAAATACAAAAAAAGTAGCCGGGCATGGTGGCGCATGCCTGTAATCTCAGCTACTCGGGAGGCTGAGGCAGGAGAATTGCTTGAACCTAGGAGGCATAGGTTTCAGCGAGCCGAGATCACATCACTGCACTCTAGCCTGGTAAACTAGAGCAAAATTCTGTCTCAAAAAAAATTAGCTGGGTGTGGCGGTTTGTGCCTGTAGTTCCAGTTACTAGGGAGGCTGAGGCAGGAGGATGGCTTGAGCCCAGGAAGTTGAGGCTGTAGTGAGCCATGATTGCATCACTGCAGTCCAGTCTAGGGTACAGAGTGAGACCCTGTCTCTACAAAAAAAGTTTTTTGGCTGGGTGCGGTGGCTCACGCCTGTAATCTCAGCCCTTTGGGACGCTGAGGCGGGTGGATCACCTGAGGTCGGGAGTTCGAGACCAGCCTGGCCAACATGGTGAAACCCCATCTCTATTAAAAATACAAAATTAGCCAGGCGTGATGGCGCATACCTGTAATCCCAGCTACTTGGGAGGCTGAGGCAGCAGAATCCCTTGAACCCGGGAAGCGGAGGTTGTAGTGAGTAGAGATCATGCCACTGCACTCCAGCCTGGAGTCTAAAAAAAAAAAAAAATTAGCTGGGCATGGTGGCGCTTGCCTGTAATCCCAGCTACTAGGGGTGCTGAGGCAGGAGGATTGCTTGAACCTGGGAGGTGGAGGTTGCAGTGAGCCAAAATCATTCCACTGCACTCCAGCATGGGCAACAGAGTGAGACTCCATTTCAAAAAACAAAAAAAAATAAATTTTTTATTTGAAATGAATAAGAGTAAATTTGTAAGAATAATAAAAGCAAGTACATTTGTCCTGCTCGGAATTATATCCACAGTTCCTGTTACTGAGTGAATGAATATTTCAAATTCAGTCAGTAAAATTCACCAGTGAAAATTATTATATGAATGAGTGAATGAATGAATTGGGCAAATTTTGAGCACCCAGTGCTGAGCACTAGGGACATAAACATGAACAAGACAAAGTCCCTGCTGTATGGGGGCTGACGTGTGTGGGTGAGACAGAGGAGAAAGAAGGTGAATGGATGGATGAATCAATGAGAGGATGAATGAATGGATAGATGGGTGGATGAATGGATAGATGAATAAATTAATGAATGCAAGAATGGATGGATGGATGGATTGATGAATGGATAGATGAATAAATTAATGATGCAAGAATGGATGAACGGATGGATGGATGGATGGATAGATGAATAAATTGATGAATGTTAGAATGGATGAATGGATGGATGAATGGAAAGATGAATAAATGAATGAATGCAAGAAGGGATGAATGAATGGATGAATAAATGGATGGATGAATGGATAATGGATAGACGAACAAATAAATGAATGCAAAAATGGATGAAGAAATGGATGACGAATGGAAGGATGGATCAATGAATCGATGGAAGATGGATTAATGAATGGCTAAATGAGTGGATGCGTGGATGGATTAATGAATGCAAGAATGAATGGATGGATGGACGAATGGATGGATAGATGAATGAAAGGAAGGATGAATGAATGGATGGAAGGATGGTTGATTGGTTTGGGGTCTCCACCCGTCATTACTCCTGGGTGGCTAGGGAAAGTGAAGGGGGGCAGCAGACCCATCTGAAGTCGCAGTACCTCTCCCGGCCCCGCAGCCATCTTCAAGTTGGCCGACAGCGCTGCTCACCTGGCCGCCTCCCCTTTAAGACGCACACACCTGGGCTCTCACCTGGGCGCAGGCGCTTCCGCAGGAAGAAGGAAGCGGCGCCGCCATCGCCTCCCGGCGCTCCCTCCCCGACTCCTAAGTCCTTCGGCCGCCACCATGTCCGCCTCGGCTGTCTTCATTCTGGACGTTAAGGGCAAGGTGAGGCTGGGCATGAGGAGTTGGGAGACGGACAGGTGAGGTCTCGCTCCCAGGGATTCAGGGGCGACCCCTCCGCGCGGGCCAGGAAGAGGTCTGGGAACACCCCCTCCCCCTGCAATCCCTGGGAATCCCACCTCCAGCATCCACTCGCCTTGTGCCTGAGGCCAAGGGGTTCGCCTCCTAGGGCCTCAGTTTCTCTGTATGTAAAAATGGGAGCAACAGAGGTCCCCACCCAATGAGAATTAATACAACTCGCTGCGTGTAAACTACTTAGCATAGTGGCCTTTCTGGAAATATTAGGGACTCAGCAAATTGAAATTATCTCCATCACTGTCGGCATCCACAGTGTTAATACCTGGGGAAGGCAACTGGAACAGGGGCCTCTAACTCCCCCCATCTGTGGCTGCCTTGCCTCTTCCTGAAGTCCTTTTATTCCTCTTGTCTTTTTTTATTTTGGAGACAGGGTCTCTTGCTGTCTCCCAGGCTTGAGTGCAGTGGTGCGATCATAGCTCACTGCAGCCTGGAATTCCTGGGCTCAAGCGATCCTCCTGCCTCAGTCTCCGGAGTAGCTGTGACTACACAGGTGCAGGCCACCATGCCTGGCTAATTCTTGACATTTTTTTGTAGAGGGATCCCGCTATGTTGCCAAAGCTGCTCTCAAACTCCTGAATATCTGGGGCTGCGGGCTGACCCCTCCATGCCCGGCTATTTTTAATTTTTTTTTTTTTTTTTTTTTAAATAGAGTCTTGCTCTGTCACCCAGGCTGGAGTGCAGTGGCTCCATCTTGGCTCACTGCAACCTCCACCTCCCGGGTTGAAGCAATTCTCCTGCCTCAGCCTCCCGAGTAGCTGGGACTACAGGTGCATGCCACCATGCCTGGCTAATTTTTGTATTTTTTTTTTTTTTCAAGACAGAGTCTCGCCTTGTCACCCAGGCTGGAGTGCAATGGCATGATCTTGGCTCACTGCAACCTCCACCTCCCAGGTTCAAGTGATTCTCCTTCCTCAGCCTCCTGAGTAGCTGGGATTACAGGCGCGCACCATCACGCCCGGCTAATTTTTTGTATCTTTAGTAGAGATGGGGTTTCACCATGTTGGGCAGGATGGTCTCAATCTCTTGACCTCGTGATCCGCCCACCTCGGCCTCCCAAAGTGCTGGGATTACAGACATGAGCCACTGCGCCCGGCCGCACCCGGCCTATTTTTTATTTTTATTTTTTTGTACAGATGGAGTCTTGCTATGTTGTCCAGGATGGTCTTGAACTCCTGGTCCCCAGCTATCCCCCTGCTTCAGCCTCCCAAAGTGTTCGGATGACAGGTGTGAGCCACTGCAGTCAGCCTGTCTTGTCATTTAATAGCCAAAATAAGAGTGGTGGTGAAAATAATATTCCCATTAATATTAATAGTGAGAGCTAAGATGTTTGAGAACCTGCCATGGGTCCTCCCTGTTCAGACACTGGACAAAACAACCTTAGGAAGTGGTTAACTAATTTTTTTTTTTTTTGGAGATGGAGTCTCGCTCTGTCACCAGGCTGGTGTGATCTCAGCTCACAGCAACCTTCACCTCCTGGGTTCAAGTGATTCTCATGCCTTAGCCTCCTGAGTAGCTGGGATTACGGTCATGCGCCAGCACACCAAGCTAATTTTTGTATTTTTAGTAGAGACGGGGTTTCATCATGTTGGCCTGGATGGTCTCGAACTCTTGACCTCATGATCCACCCGCCTTAGCCTCCCAAAGTGCTGGGATTAAAGGCGTGAGCCACCGTGTCCAGACAGAAGTGTTTACTATTATGGGTGTCTTCCTGACTACCAGGCACAATCATATGAACTGTCATCTTTCTTTCTTTCTTTCTTTCTTTCTTTCTTTCTTTCTTTCTTTCTTTCTTTCTTTCTTTCTTTCTTTCTTTTTTTCTTCTTTCTTTCTTTCCTTCTTTCCTTCTTTCCTTCTTTCTTTCTTTCTTTTCTTCTTTCTTTTTTTGACAGGGTCTCACTCTGTTGCTCGGGCTGGAGTGCAGTAGTATGACCACAGCTCACTGTAGTCTCGACCTCCTAGGCTCAATTGATTCTTCTGCCTTAGCCTCCAGAGTAGCTGTGACTACAGAGGTGCAGGCCACCATGCTCAGCTAATTCTTGAAATTTTTTGTAGAGGGATCCCGCTATGTTGCCAAAGCTGGTCTCAAACTCCTGGCCTCAAGGGATCCTCCTGCCTTGGTCTTCATGAGTGAGTCATTGCACCTGGCCTCTTCTTTGTTTTTTTTTTTTGTTGTTGTTGTTTTTTTAAATAATCCCACTTTGGTGCAAATGAAGTCTGGGGCAACAGCAGGGATTCTGGACCCAGGATGCCTTAGATCAATCCCCAGTTTCCATATGCTTCCAGTGGACATGGTTTCTAACCTCACTTCTCCTGTGTGAAATGGAGATGATGATAACATCTACCCCACAGGGTTGTGGCAAGAACTAATAAGTTAGTAAACATCTACTCTTTTTTTAGTAGCCAGCCTGCCTGCCTACCTTCCTTCCTTCCTTCCTTCCTTCCCTCCTACCCTCCCTCCTTCCCTTCCTCCCTTCCTTCTTTACTTTCTTTCTTTCTTTCTTTCTCTCTTTCTTCTTTTGAGATGGAGTCTTGCTCTGTCGCCAGGCTGGAGTGCAGTGGCACGATCTCGGCTCACTGCAATCTCCGCCTCCCAGGTTCAAGTGATCCTCCTGCCTCAGCACCCCGAGTAGCTGGGACTATAGATACACGCCATCACGCCCGGCTAATTTTTTGTATTTTTAGTAAAGACGGGGTTTCACCATGTTGGCCAGGATGGTCTCGATCTCTTGACCTCATGATCCACCCGCCTCGGCCTCCCAAAATGCTGGGATCACAGGCGTGAGCCACTGCGTCCAGCCATCGCCTACCCTTTAATAAAACACAGCCTGGCACTTAGTGAGGGCCCTAGACCCATTAGCTGTTGTCATCACACTCCCATTTTACAGAGCAGGAAACAGGCACAAGGAGGCAGAGCCTTGCCCAAGCCCCTCAGCTAGGAAGTAGGGTCAGAACCGGGCACTGTGCCTCCTCAGCGTGGTAGGTTCTTGGATGCTGGTGGTGACCAGGTCCTTTCCTTCCACCCTCAGCCATTGATCAGCCGCAACTACAAGGGCGATGTGGCCATGAGCAAGATTGAGCACTTCATGCCTTTGCTGGTACAGCGGGAGGAGGAAGGCGCCCTGGCCCCGCTGCTGAGCCACGGCCAGGTCCACTTCCTATGGATCAAACACAGCAACCTCTACTGTATCCACCCCACGTGGTGTCCCTGGAGGTGGGTGTGGGGGCTGTCGGCGATGGTGGCAGCTCAGGCCAAGAGAGGGTGGGCTGAGGACAGGAGTTGCACCGCACATCTCTGTGGCTTAGGCTGGGGGGCAGGGGCAGGTAGAGATGAGGGTGGTGGCAAGGGACAGGGTGGAGGTTCGGGGTCTGTATTCCATTTACTTCTCCATAAATGGCACCTTTTCCTTAACCTTGCTGCCCCAGTGGTGGCCACCACATCGAAGAATGCCAATGCCTCCCTGGTGTACTCCTTCCTGTATAAGACAATAGAGGTAGGTACTAGCCTCCCATTGGCTAACTGGTCTATCCGTCTATCCCTCTTGCCCGCCTCTTTCAAGATTCAAGATCCTTTTCTGATAGGAAGCCTTCCCAGATCTCCCTGGGTCTTCCCTTTTTTTTTTTTCTGGTAGAGATGGGGTCTTGCTATATTGCCCAGGCTGGTCTAGAACTTCTGGATTGAAGCAATCCTACTGCCTTGGCCTCCCAAAGCATGGGAGCCACCACGCTCACCCCTTCCCTGGGGCCTTGTTTGAGTCTCTGTGCATCCGCCATCAAAGCCCCATCACTCTGCATCTCATCAGCTGCTTATGAAGTCATCTCTCCCTAAAGGACAGGGACCAAGAATGTCTCAGAGAGCATACGGCTCAGCTAAGCCCAAGGACTTGGCATCCAATCCCAGCTTCCCTGCTTCCTCACTGTGTGACCTTGAGCAAGTGACTTCTTGTCTCTGTGCTTAAAAAAAAAAAGAAAAAGGCCAGGCACAGTGGCTCATGCCTGTAATCCCAGTACTTTGGGAGGCTAAGGTGGGCGGATTGCTTGAGGCCAGGAGTTCGAGACCAGGCTGGCCAACATGCAGAAACCCCTTCTCTACTAAAAATACAAAAATTAGCCGGGTATGGTGGCACCTGCCTGTAATCCCAGCTACGGGGAAGGTTGAGGCAGGAGAATCACCTGAACCTGGAAGGCAGAGGTTGTGGTGAGCCAAGATCTCGCCACTGCACTCCAGCCTGGGCAACACTGTGAGACTTAGTCTCAAAAAAAAAAAAAGAAGCCACCATACCTGCCCTTTTTTGCCTAATTTTTCAAGCATTCAGTACACTTTTTCTTTTTTCTTTTTTGTTTTTTCTTTTGAGACAGGGTCTCACTTTGTTGCCCAGGCTGGAGTGCAGTGGCACAATCTCAGCTCACTGCAACCTCTACCTCCTGGGTTCAAGTGATTCTCCTGCTTCAGCCTCCCTAGTAGCTGCAATTACAGGCAGGTGCCACCATGCCTGGCTAATTTTTGTATTTTTAGTATAGACGGGGTTTTGCCATGTTGGCCAGCTGGTCTCAAACTCCTGACCTCAAGTGAGCTGCCTCCCTTGGCCTCCCATTGTTGGGATTACAGGCATGAGCCACCATGCCCGGCCTTTTTTCTTTTTGAGACAGGGGCTTATTCTGTTACGCAGGCTGGAGTGCAGTAGCATCCTCATGGCTCACTGCAGCCTCGAACTCCTATTAAAATTTTTGTTGTTGTTGTTAGAGATAGGGGCTCATGGCCGGGCACCGGTGGCTCATGCCATAATCCCAGCACTTTGGGAAGCCAAAGTGGGCGGATTACGAGATCAAGAGATCGAGATCATCCTGGCCAACATTGTGAAACCCCGTCTCTACTAAAAATACAAATATTAGCTGGCCCTGGTAGTGCGTGCCTGTAGTCCCAGCTACTCAGAAGGCTGAGGCAGGAGAATCGCTTGAACCCCGGAGGCAGGAGTTGCAGTGAGCCGAGATAGTGCCACTGCACTCCAGCCTGGGTGACAGTGCGAGACTGTCTCGAAAAAAAAAAGAAAAAAGAAAAAACGAGATAGGGGTTCACTATATTGCCCAGGCTGGTCTTGAACTCATGACCTTAAGTGATCCTCGTGCCTTGGCCTCCCAAGGTGCTGGGGTTACAGGCATGAGCTACTATGCCCAACCCATAGCCACACTTTTGTGGGTCTCTCTCTCCTCCAACCCCCAGGTATTCTGCGAATACTTCAAGGAGCTGGAGGAGGAGAGCATCCGGGACAACTTTGTCATCGTCTACGAGTTGCTGGACGAGCTCATGGACTTTGGCTTCCCGCAGACCACCGACAGCAAGATCCTGCAGGAGTGAGTGGACCCCTGGAGGCAGCCATGGGCTGGACTGTGGGTGTAAGGAACTGGAGGAGGTCCACGGAGGTGTCCCTGGGTCCAGCTGCTTGTCCCTGCCGCCCTCCCTCCAGGTACATCACTCAGCAGAGCAACAAGCTGGAGACGGGCAAGTCACGGGTGCCACCCACTGTCACCAACGCTGTGTCCTGGCGCTCCGAGGGTATCAAGTATAAGAAGAACGAGGTCTTCATTGATGTCATAGAGTCTGTCAACCTGCTGGTGAGCCTGCACACCTCCCCGGCACCCCTTCCACGGCCTGGCTGCAGGAGACGGAGTTTGATGCCTGCTAACTATACCCAACGTCCTCCCTCAGGTCAATGCCAACGGCAGCGTCCTTCTGAGCGAAATCGTCGGTACCATCAAGCTCAAGGTGTTTCTGTCAGGAATGCCAGAGCTGCGGCTGGGCCTCAATGACCGCGTGCTCTTCGAGCTCACTGGCCGTAAGCATTTAGGGGACCTTTCTTCTGAGAAATGCACAGGGGAGTCGCAAACCCGCCCCACGTGGGGACTTAAGAGAATCGCAGCCCGTTTTGAAATAAGCGCTCGCTCACCATCTGCTGATCACGGCCAGTATTGCAGCCATTGGCTGACTGCAAAGGCTGTTTCATGATTGAGCGACTATTGGGTGCCAGGTGCAGTTTTAGGCTCTGAGGACACAGCAGTGAAGAAAAAGACAAACCCGCGTTCTTACAGAGATGACATCCTACTGGGAGGAGGAGACAGAATAGCATCTTATTTATTTATTTATTTTGGGATGGGGTCTCGCTCTGTCACCCAGGCTGGAGTGCAGTGGTGTGATCATAGCTCATTGCAGCCTTGACCTCCGAGGCTCAACTGATCCTCCCACCTCAGCCTCTCGAGTAGCTGGGACTACAGGCATGGACCACCTACTTTTTAAATTTTTTATAGAGACGGGGGTCTCGCTATGTTGCCCAGTCTGGTCTAAACTCCTGGCCTCAAGCAATCCTCCCAAAGTGCTAGGATTACAGGTGTGAACTACTGTGCCTGGCTCAGCATCTTATTTATTGACTGATTGATTGATTTAAGATGGAGTCTCGCTCCGTCACCCGGCTGGAGTGCAGTGGCATGATCTCAGCTCACTGCAACCTCCGCCTCCTGGGTTCAAGCTATTCTCCTGCCTCAGCCTCCTGAGTAGCTGGGACTATAGGCACCAGCCACCACGCCCAGCTAATTTTTTTTGTATTTTTAGTGGAGACGAGGTTTCACCATGTTGGCCAGGATGGTCTCGATCTCTTTACCTTGTGATCCGCCCATCTCAGCCTCCCATAGTTCGGGGATTACAGGCGTGAGCCACCACGCCAGGCCTCAGCATCATATTTAAAAGCCAGACACTGCCGGGTATACAGTGGCTCACGCCTGTAATCCCAGCACTTTGGGAGGCCGAGGAGGGAGGATCACCTGAGGTTGGGAATTTGAGACCAGCCTGACCAACATGGAGAAACCCCGTCTCTACTAAAAATACAAAATTAGCCGGGGGTGGTAGCACATTCCTGTAATCCTATCTACTCAGTAGGCTGAGGCAGGAGAATGGCTTGAACTCGGGAGGTGGAGGTTGCGGTGAGCCAAGACGTGCCATCGCACTCCAGTCTGGGCAACAAGAGTGAAACTCTGTCTCAAAAAAAAAAAAAAAAAAAAAAAAACCAAGCCAGATCCTGTACAGATACTAGGTTCAGATTCCAGCTCTACTGTGCCAGTTTTTGCTCATTCTCTCTGGGCCCCAGTTTCCCCATATGTGAAATAGGTGACAGTGGTCGGCAGGAAAGGTGGGGATAGGGATCCTTTCCTGGTTCCCAGGGTCACTCTCCACTCTCCACTCTGAGTTTCAGGCAGCAAGAACAAATCAGTAGAGCTGGAGGATGTAAAATTCCACCAGTGCGTGCGGCTCTCTCGCTTTGACAACGACCGCACCATCTCCTTCATCCCGCCTGATGGTGACTTTGAGCTCATGTCATACCGCCTCAGCACCCAGGTGAGGCAGGGTCCAGCCCCATCTGGGTGGAGTAGGTTGGGGTAGGCTGAAGAGCGACCCTGGGCCCAGCGCAGTGGCTCACGCCTGTAATCCCAACAATTTTGGAGGCTGAGTCGGGTGGATCACTTGAGGACAGGAGTTCGAGACCAGCCTGGCCAACAGGGTGAAGCCCTGTCTCTACTAAAAATACAAAAATTAGCTGGGCATGGTGGCACATGCTGTAATCCCAGGTACTGGGGAGGCTGAGGCAGGAGAATTGCTTTATTTGTTTTTTTTAATTTTTATTATTATTATTTTTTTGAGACGGAGTCTGGCTCTTTCACCCAGGCTGGAGTGCAGTAGCGCTATCTCGGCTCACTGCAAGCTCCGCCTCCCAGGTTCACGCCATTCTCCTGCCTCAGCGTCCCGAGTAGCTGGGACTATAGGCGCATGCCACCGTGTCCAGCTAATTTTTTGCATTTTTAGTAGAGACGGGGTTTCGCCGTGTTAGCCAGGATGGTCTCGATCTCCTGACCTCGTGATCCGCCCACCTTGGCCTCCCAAAGTGCTGGGATTACAGGCGTGAGCCACCGCTCCCGGCCGAGAATTGCTTTAGTCCAGGAGGTGCAGGTTGCAGTGAGCCAAGATCACGCCATGGCACTTCAGCCTGGGCGAAGAAGCGAGACTCTGTCTCAAAGAAAGAAAAAAAAAAAAAAAAAAAGAAGAGAGTCAACATGGAGTCTCCAAGAACTCTCCCCTTCTTCTTCCCACAGGTCAAGCCACTGATCTGGATTGAGTCTGTCATTGAGAAGTTCTCCCACAGCCGCGTGGAGATCATGGTCAAGGTGGGCCTTGGGGGAATGCTTATTAACAATGCATGATCTCGGGTGGGTGCGGTGGCTCACACCTGTAATCCCAGCACTTTGGGAGGCCGGGGTGGTTAGATCACTTAAGCCCAGGACTTTGAGACCAGCCTGGGCAACAGGGCGAAACCCTGTTTCTACAAAAAATACAAAAATTAGCCTGGTAAAGTGGTGAGTGCCTGTAGTGCCAGTTAGTTGGGAGGCTGAGGTGGGAGGATTGCTTGAGTCCAGGAGGAGGAGGTTGTAGTGAGACAAGGACTCTAGCCTGGATGACAGAGCTAGACCCCATCTCCAAAAAGAAAAAAGAAAAAAAAAATCTGTTATCAAATAAAATAATAACTCTCCTGTGATGGACTGAAGGGTTTTTTTGTTTGTTTGTTCGTTTGTTTTTTGAGAAAGAGTCTCCCTCTGTCACTCGGGCTGGAGTGCAGTGGTGTGATCTCAGCTCACCGCAACCTCTGCCTCCTGGGTTCATGCCATTCTCCTACCTCAGCCTCCCGAGCAGCTGGGATTACAGGCTCCTGCCGCCACGCCTGCCTCCATCTCCCCAAGTGCTGGGATTACAGGTGTGGCCCACCACCCCCGGCTTTTTTCAACAAGCCTTTCATATGCCCTCTCAGCCCAGGCCTCCACAATCCTAAGGTGGGGACCCTTATCCTGTCCATTTTACAGATGAGGAAACTGAGGCACACAGAAGTTAAGGCATTTGCCTGCAGATACACAGCCAACAACTGTTAGAACTCAGGCCCACACCCATGAGGCTCGAGAAGCCCTGTTCTTGGTGCCTTCCATGTGGACAGCACCATACACCTTTGCCTGATTCAAAATGACCCCTTCAGGCTGGGTGCAGTGGTTCATACCTGTAATCCCAGCATGTTGGGAGGCGGAGGCAGTAGGATCACCTGAGGTCAGGCGTTCCAGACCAGCCTGACCAACATGGAGAAACGCTGTCTCTACTAAAAATACAAAATTAGCAGGGCGTGGTGGCACATGCCTGTAATCCCACCTACTTGGGAGGCTGAGGCAGGAGAATTGCTTGAACCCAGGAGGCGGAGGTTGCCGTGAGCGGAGATTGTGCCACTGCACTCCAGCCTGGGTGACAGAGAGAGACTCCGTCTAAAAAAAAAAAAAAAAAAAAAGGCCAAGCATGGTGGCTCACGCCTGTAATCCCAGCACTTTGAGAGGCCGGGGTGGGCGGATCACGAGGTCAGGAGATCGAGAACATCCTGGCTAACATGCTGAAACCCCGTCTCTACTAAGAATACAAAAAAAATTAGCTGGGCGTGCTGGCGGGTGCCTGTAGTCCCAGCTGCTCAGGAGGCTGAGGTAGGAGAATGGCGTGAACCTGGGAGGCGGAGCTTACAGCCAGCCGAGATCGCGCCACTGCACTCCAGCCTGGGCGACAGAGTGAGACTCCGTCTCAAAAAAAAAAAAAAAAAAAAAAAAAAAAGGGCTTGGTAAATATTTGAAGGATGAGCAAGCGAATTCTTCGTGCCCCATGCTCGCTCCCCTGACAGGCCAAGGGGCAGTTTAAGAAACAGTCAGTGGCCAACGGTGTGGAGATATCTGTGCCTGTACCCAGCGATGCCGACTCCCCCAGATTCAAGACCAGTGTGGGCAGCGCCAAGTATGTGCCGGAGAGAAACGTCGTGATTTGGAGTATTAAGTCTTTCCCGGTAAGTACCAGGGACTGGCGGGGGATCTGGGGGTGGAGGGGACTGGAGTAGTGTGGGGGCTGCCCAGGAGCCATGAGAACAAGGCAGAGAACAAATCAGAGACCCAGTCAGGTGTGATGGCTCATGACTGGAATGCCAGTACTTTGAGAGGCTGACACGGGCAGATCGCTTGAACCCAGGAGCTGGAGACCAGCCTGGGGAACACAGTGAGACCCTGCCTCTATAAAAATATTAAGAGGAGCTGGGCGCAGTGGCTCACGCCTGAAATCCCAGCCTGGCTAACATAGAGACGGCTAACATCCGTCTCTAGTAAAAGTACAAAAATTAGCTGGGTGTGGTGGCGCATGCCTGTAATCCCAGCCACTCGGGACACTGAGGCAGGAGAATTGCTTGAACCCGGGAGGCAGAGGTTGCAGTGAGCTGAGATTGTGCCACTGCACACTCCAGCCTGGGCAACAGAACGAGACTCCGTCTCAAAAAAAAAAAAAAAAGATTAAAAGGCCAGACATGGTGGCTCATACCTGTAATCCCAGCACTTTGGGAGGCTGAAGCGGGCAGATCACCTGAGGTCAGAAGTTCAAGACCAGCCTGGCCAACATGGTGAAAACCCGTCTCTACTAAAAATACAAAAATTAGGGCAGGGCACGGTGGCTCACGCCTGTAATCCCAGCACTTTGGGAGGCCGAGGTGGGCGGATCACGAGGTCAGGAGATCGAGACCATCCTGGCTAACATGGTGAAACCCCATCTCTACTAAAAATACAAAAAATTAGCCGGGCGTGGTTGCAGGCGCCTGTAGTCCCAGCTATTTGGGAGGCTGAGGCAGGAGAATGGCCTGAACTCGGGAGGTGGAGCTTGCAGTGAGCAGAGATCACGCCACTGCACTCCAGCCTGGGTGACAGAGCGAGACTCCATTTCAAAAAAAAAAAAAAAAAAAAAATTAGCCGGGCATGGGGGTGTGCGCCTGTAGTACCAGCTACTCAGGAGGCTGAGGCAGGAGAATCACTTGAACCCGGGAGGCGGAGGTTGCAGTGAGTTGAGATCACGCCACCGCACTCCAGCCTGGGTGACAGAGTGAAACTCTGTCTCAAGAAAAAAAAAAAAACTTAGAAAAAAGAAATACAAGGCCAGGCGCAGTGGCTCACGCCTGTAATTCCCAGCACTTTGGGAGGCTGAGGCGGGCAGATTACGAGGTCAGGAGATCGAGACCATCCTGGCTAACACTGTGAAACCCCGTCTCTACTAAAAATACAAAAAAAAAAAAAATTAGCTGGGCGTGGTGGCGGGCGCCTGTAGTCCCAGCTACCGGGAGGCTGAGGCAGGAGAATGGCGTGAACCTGGGAGGCGGAGCTTGCAGTGAGCCAAGACCGCACCACTACACTCCAGCCTGGGCGACAGAGTAAGACTCCATCTCAAAAAAAAAAAAAAAGAAAAAAAAAGAAAAAAAAAGAAAAAAGAAATACAAGTAAATCAGAGAGGTACGTATGTATGCAAGTGATCAAGCTTGAAACCAGGCCAGTCTATTTCACAGACGTGTAAACTTCCATGACGGGAAGTGTGTGGATTTAAATATCCCCCTGCCAATGTCTTGAGGAAACCAGCCCTGGGTTCACCTTCCTCACTATTGCTTTGCTGAGCTGGGTGGGTTTGGGAAACCCATTTCCACTTAAGGAGGCTCAGTTTGCCTGTCTGTGAAATGGGCAGGATGAGGTGACCCACATCCCTTGGCTACTAGAGGTTTTGGTTTGTCCCCATGATCTTGGGAGAGGTGGATCATCAGTGCCTGTAAAACAGGACATGGTAGTTAAAAAAAGAAAAAAACCCTGATTGGGTTTTGCAGTCAGAATCTTCCCTGGTGAGTCTCTGTCACCCAGGTTGGGGTGCAGTGGTGAGATCATGGCTCACTGCAGCCTCAAACTCCCAGACTCAAGGGATCTTCCTGCCTCAGCCTCCCAAGTAGCTGAAACTGCAGGCATGTTCCACCGCACCCAGCTAATTTTTAAACTTTTTGTAGACATGGTATCTCAATATGTTGCCCAGGCTAAGGAGCCTTTATTTTCCTGTCTGTGAAATGGGCTGTGAGCAGATCTGACTCCAGGGGTTGCTGAAAGGAAGGTCTCGGGAGGGTAGGCGGACCCTCGTGTACCTGATGCCCCCATGTTCCCTCAGGGGGGCAAGGAGTACTTGATGCGAGCCCACTTTGGCCTCCCCAGTGTGGAAAAGGAAGAGGTGGAGGGCCGGCCCCCCATCGGGGTCAAGTTTGAGATCCCCTACTTCACCGTCTCTGGGATCCAGGTGAGAGAAGCAGGCAGGGAGGATCCTCCCCTTGACTTCGGTGGGTTCCCCTCTCTCCTGTCCCTTGGCTCGAGTCACCTCAGTCCCCTGGCCTGTGTCAACACTCCTCTGAAGGCTGCCTGGTCTTTCCCAGAGCAATGTTACCTTTATCTGCCCACAGCCTGTGCTCCCTCTCCCCCGGCCTGTGCCACCTTGTTCCCCACCGGCTTGTTCACTTCTGTCCCTTCTCCACCTCCAAAGCCATTCACCATTCCGTTGCCTGTGCCACCTCATCCCCCTAAGACCATGTGATATCCCCTCATCGATCCCAGCCTGTGCCACATAGCCGCTTGGCCTAAGCCGTCTCTTTCTCCCTGGCCCTGGCCTCCTCCCTCCTGCAATCCTGGACCACCTCTTTTCATTCCCTTCCAGGTCCGATACATGAAGATCATTGAGAAAAGTGGTTACCAGGCCCTGCCCTGGGTTCGCTACATCACCCAGAGTGGCGGTAAGGCAGCCCAGCTCCTGGGGACAATGGGGTGAGGGAAAGGCAGTGGGTAGGGACTCGAGGCTTTCACCACATTCTGGCTCAGAAAACCAACAAGGGTCAGGTGTGATGGTTCAGGTGTGTAATCCTAGCACTTTGGGAGGCCAAGGCGGGTGGATCTCTTGAGGCCGGGAGTTCGAGACCAACCTGGCCAACATGGTGAAACCCTGTTTCTACTAAAAATACAAAAATTAGCCGGGTGTGGTGGTGTATGCCTATAATCCAAGCTACTCAGGAAGCTGAGGCAGAATTGCTTGAACCCGGGAGGTGGAGGTTGCAGTGAGCTGAGATCGTGCCACTGCACTCCTGCCTGGTCGACAGAAACCCTGTCTCAAAAAATGAAAAAGAAAGCAAACTGCCCCTTCTTGTCATGGCACCCTGGGCCTTGGTTTGCACGTCTTTAAAATGGGGGCAGTTGGCTGGGTGTGGTGGCTCACATCTGTAATTCCAGCACTTTGGGAGGCTGAGGTGGGAGGACCGCTTGAGCTCAGGAGTTCCAGACCAGCCTTGGCAACACAGCAAAACCCCTTCACTACAAAAAATATAAAAATTAGCCAGGTGTGATGTGCACACCTGTAGTCCCAGCAACTCAGGAGGCTGAGGTGGGAGGATCGCCTGAGCCCAGGAGGTCGAGGCTGTAGTGAGCTGTGATTGCACCACTGCACTCCATCCTGGGCAAGAGTGAGACCCTGGCTCAAAAAAAAAAAAAAAAAAAAAGGAAAAAAAAGCAGGGACAGTTGTCAGCGTCAGTTCTAGGGTGGTCGCGAGTTTGGAGAAGGGGCTGAACATATAGCACCTCCATCTGCTGCCTGGAAACTGCCTTGTTTCTATGGTTACAGTACCTGTGTTTAGCCCCATTCTTAGCCTTGTTGATCATGAGTGCTGGGATAGGGGATGAATTGAGGGGCTGTGGGAGGCTGTCCCTCTTCCTTCACCCCTCCCCATTTCTTTTCTTTTTTGAGATGGAATCTCACTCTGTCGCCCAGGCTGGAGTGCAGTGGCGCAATCTCAGCTCACTGCAACCTCCACCTCCTGGGTTCAAGCAATTCTTCTGCCTCAGCCTCCCTAGTAGCTGGGATTACAGGTGTGCACCATCATACCCAGCTAATTTTTGTATTTTTAATAGACATGGGGTTTCACCATGTTGGCCAGGCTGGTCTCGAACCCCTGACCTCAAGTGATCCACCTGCCTCGACCTCCCAAAGTGCTGGGATTATAAGCGTGAGTCACCGTGCCCGGCCCCCCTCTCCCCATTTCTGAGATGGCCCCTCCTCATTCTTTCTCTGCAGATTACCAACTTCGTACCAGCTAGAAGGGAGAAGAGATGGGGGCTTGAACACGGGGCTTCCTTACAGCCCCGGATGCAGATTTTAGAGGGAGGGCAGGTGCGGGCTGTGTGTGTCTGTGTGAGGGCAGGTCCTGGACTTGGCAGTTTCTTGCTCCCAGCACCCGCCCCTTCCTCACCTCTTCCTTATTCCATAGGCTGGGAGAGAAACTCTCTCTGCTTCCCTCGCCCTTGGAGCTTTCCCCATCCCCCTGATTTTATATGAAGAAATAGAAGAGGGGCTTGAAGTCCTCCTCGCGAGTGCCTTCTTGCAATTACCTGCCTTAGCGGGTGTTGCGGGTCCCTCCTTCACAGCCGCTGAGCCCAGAGGTCCCGCTGGCCCCTCCTCTGAATTTTAGGATGTCATTAAAAAGATGAATCTAGCCGCTGCCTATGTGCTTGTTTGGGGACATTACTGAAGTGCTGCAATGGGAGTGGGTAACACGTGTCAGTCCATTCCTCAGTCCCGGGTCATGGCCCTGGTCCTCTGCTGTTGCCTTTGCTTCCCACCTCCACGGTCTGTTCCCCCAGTAGCCGCTAGAGGGCGCGTGTTAGCATCGCTTCTTTTTTCCTTTTTTCTTTTTTCTTTTTTTTTTTTTGAGACAGTCTCACTGTAGCCCAGGCTGGAGTGCAGTGTCGCGATCTCGGCTCACTGCAACCTCCGCCTCCCAGGTTCAGGCAATTCTCCTGCCTCAGCCTCCCGAGTAGCTGGGATTATAGTCGTAGTCGCCCACCATCACGCCTGGCTTTTTTTGTCTGTTTGTTTGTTTGTTTTGTTTGAGACGGAGTCTCAGTCTGTCGCCAAGGCTGGAGTAGTGCAGTGGTGCGATCTCGGCTCACTGCAGCCTCCGCCTCCCGGGTTCAAGCGATTCTTCTGCCTCAGCCTCCCGAGTAGCTGGGATTACAGGCGCCCATCACCACACCTAGCTAATTTTTGTATTTTTAGTAGAGACCGGTTTCACCATGTTGGCCAGGCTGGTCTCGAACTCCTGACCTCATGATCTGCCCGCCTCGGCTTCCCAAAGTGCTGGGATTACAGGCATGAGCCACTGCGCCTGGCTTAATTTTTGTTTTTGTTTTTGTTTTTTTGAGACGGAGTCTCGCTCTGTCGCCCAGGCTGGAGTGCAGTGGCGCGATTTCGGCTCACTGCAACCTCCACCTCCCAGGTTCAAGCGATTCTCCTGCCTCAGCCTGCTGAGTAGCTGGGATTACAGGCGTGCGCCACCATGCCCCACTAATTATTGTTATTTTTAGTAGAGACGGGGTTTCACCATGTTGGTCAGGCTGGTCTCAAACTCCTGACCTCATTATCCGCCCGCCTTGGCCTCCCAAAGTGCTAGGATTACCGGCGTGAGCCACCGCGCCTGGCTTAATTTTTTTTTTTTTTTGAGACAAGAGTCTTGCTCTGTCGCCCAGGCTGGAGTGCAGTGGCGTGATCTCGGCTCACTGCAAGCTCCGCCTCCCGGGTTCATACCATTCTCCTGCCTCAGCCTCCCAAGTAGCTGGGACTACAGGCGCCCGCCACCACGCCTGGCTAATTTTTTGTATTTTTAGTAGAGACGGTGTTTCACCGTATTAGCCAGGATGGTCTCAATCTCCTGACCTCGTGATCCGCCCGCCACGGCCTCCCAAAATGCTGGGATTACAGGCGTGAGCCACTGCGCCCGGCCTGTATTTTTTAATAGAGATGGGATTTCACCATGTTGGCTAGTCTGGTCTCGAACTCCCCACCTCAGGTGATCCACCCGCCTCAGCTTCCCAAAATGTTGGAATTACAGGTGTGAGCCACTTCGCTCGGCATTCCTATCTTATTAAAGCCATGGCCTGGTCGGGCGTGGGCGACAGAGCAAGACTCTGTCTCAAAAAAAAAAAAAAAAAAAAAAAAAGGCCGGGCACGGTGGCGGGCGCCTGTAGTCCCAGCTACTCGGGAGGCTGAGGCAGGAGAATGGCGTGAACCCGGGAGGCGGGGCTTGCAGTGAGCCGCGATAGCGCCACTGCACTCTGGCCTGGGCGAGTGAGACTCCGTCTCAAAAAAAAAATTAAAAAAAAATTAAAATAAATAAATAAATAAAAAAGCCATGGCTTGATTTGCACAATTGCCATCCTGATACCCCACCTACCTGCTCTCCCCTGCTCTGTACCACACCAGGCACGCTCTCACCTCTGGGCCTTAGCATCTGCTGTGCCTCCCAGCTGGTGTGCTTTTCCCCATATAACCACAAGTCTCCCTCCCTCACCTTTAGGTCTCAAATCAAATGTCACCTCTTCAGGGAGGCCCTCCCTGCCTTTGCGTTTCTTTTTCTTTTCTTTTCTTTTCTTTTTTTTTTTTTTTTGAGACAGAGTCTCACTCTGTTGCCCAGGCTGGAGTACAATGGCGCGATCTCGGCTCCTGCGACCTCCGCCTCCTGGGTTCAAGCGATTCTCCTGTCTCAGCCTCCTGAGTAGCTGGGATTACAGGTGCGTGCCACCAGGCGCAGCTAATTTTTTTTTTTTTTTTTTTTTTTTTGAGACGGAGTCTCGCTGTCGCCCAGGCTGGAGTGCAGTGGCGCAATCTCGGCTCACTGCAGGCTCCGCCCCCTGGGGTTCACGCCATTCTCCTGCCTCAGCCTCCCGAGTAGCTGGGACTACAGGCGCCCGCCACCTCGCCCGGCTAATTTTTTATATTTTTGGTAGAGACGGGGTTTCACCATGTTGGTCAGGCTGGTCTTGAACTCCTGACCTCGTGATCCGCCCACCTCAGCCTCCCAGAGTGCTGGGATTACAGGTGTGAGCCACCGCGCCCGGCTTTTTGCCTTTCCGTTTCAATGGCTCATCTGGTCAGTCCTCTACCACTCTAAAAAGATTTAACTATTGGCGGAGAGCAGGAGCTCACGCCTGTAATCCCAGCACTTTTGGAGGCCAAGGCAGAAGGATCCGTTGAGCCCAGGAATTCGGGACCAGCCTGGGCAACAAAGCAAGAACCCCAACATAAAAAAAAAAATCTGTATTTAAAAGCCAAACACAAATAACAAACAAAAAACACCAGCCTGGGCAACATAGTGAAACCTCATATCTACTAAAAACACAAATTAGCCGGGCGTGGTGGTGCGCCCTGTAGTCCCAGCTACTCGGGAGGCTGAGGCAGGAGGATCACTTGAGCCCGGGAAGTCGAGGCTGCAGTGAGCTGTGATCGCGCCACTGCACGCCGGCCCGGGTGACAGGAGTGAGACCCTGACTCAAAAATAAATACATATATAAATAAAAATTAACTATTGTCTCTGGCCCCAGACCATAGGTGTCCCTGCAGCAGGGGCCGACTGGCGTGCTCTCCACTCGGGCCCCTCTAGGAGGTGCTAAGTAAATATTTGAACGAAGACCTCTGAGTCCCTGTCTGGCTGCGACTATGTCCTCTCAGGCCTTCCCACGTGGCAGCTGCAGGCTCCTTTCCTGCTGGCTCAGTCTGAGCCCGGCAGGGTGATCCCTTCCTCATCCACTCCGTCTCTCCGTTTCCCTTTCTTCACGGTGCTTGACACTATCTAATATTATTTGGTTGTTTGAATGTGCGCGTCCAGCTCCCAGGACGCTCCCTGCACACAGTGAATGAATAAATGAATGAAATAAAGCGCCCAGCTCGTAGTAAGGGCCAATGAATGTCTATTAGTAGTGGAACCTCGGATTGGGTGGCTCCAGCCCTGCCTCCCTTCCCTCAGGAGGCGCCGAGGTCCCAGAGCAGCCCGCGCGACCCTGCCCCTGACCTTTCTCCCTGGGTCAGTTAAACCAGCCTTCTTTCCCGCCTGCCGGGTTCATTTGAAAACCGAAAACCCCGCCATTGCCGGCGGTCCACCGGTTGCCACACTCTGACCAATCAGGAGCGACGCGTTTCACGCCGAGCCCGAAGTTTCCCCGGCGACGCGCAGCCACTGGTTATGCAGGCCCTGTGGGCGGAACGCCGTAAGGTCGCGCGCCGGGCAACGCGGTGCCGCTACACAGTAGCGAGTTTGTAAGAAAACAAATCAGTTGCGTTCGGGGCGTGGCCGGGAGCACGTTGGCTCCGCCCCCTGGCGGCTGCCTCAGCGGCGGCGGCGGCGCAGGCTCAGAGCAGACCCCGCCCGGCGAGGAGGAGGGAGGGTGAGTTAGGGGGAGACCCGGCCCCCAAGGGGCGGGCGCCGGGCAGGGCCCCGCGGGCGGCCGAGGGTTGGGCCCGGCTCCCAGCCCCTCGCCGTCCTCCGGCTGACAGGGGGAGGAGCCCGCCGGGAGGGCCGGGGTCTCGGGCTGGGGAGCCGGGACGGGAGAGCAGCGCAGCCGGGTGCACCGCGGCCGCGCCCCGGGAGGGCTGTTCGGGCCAGCGCCCGCCGGCTGCTCCGCGCTGACAGCGCCGGGCTGGGGCGGGGCGGGGGGCTTTGCAGGCCGCCAGTGTCGACATGCTGCTGGAGGAGGTTCGCGCCGGCGACCGGCTGAGTGGGGCGGCGGCCCGGGGCGACGTGCAGGAGGTGCGCCGCCTTCTGCACCGGGAGCTGGTGCATCCCGACGCCCTCAACCGCTTCGGCAAGACGGCGCTGCAGGTGAGGCCGGGCCGGTCCAGGTTGGGGCGGGGCGGCTAAGCGGGATGAGGATCGAGACCCCAGAGCTCCTCTCTGGTCTCCTGGCCCTGGTGGTGACCCACTGGGAACCGGTCCTTCTTCTCTAGGCTTTCATTGTTCCCCCACAGTCCCCCTTCGAAGGTGGGTGGTGGGTGAGGCTAGGTTGTGGGGGGAGGGGAGAGCTTTTTAGCATCTTCTCTGGGAGGATTCCTGGTTCTCTGAGTGCCGGGGATTCACTTTCCCTGGGGAGGTTCTTATTCCGTGGGTGCGGGTTCAGCTCCTTTGGATGCCGTTTCCATGGGGACGGCTCACGTTTCTTGGGGCTTCTATGGGGAGATCCGATCTCTGGAAGGAGAGGTCCTGTCTCTAGGGGTTCCTCATTTTGTAGGGGGCTCTCTGAGACAAATCTGGTTACTTGGGGGTGGGGTCTTCATTCCTAAAGGTTATGCGGATCCTTGATATAGTATGGGGGCCCCAATGGAGGAACAATGTCAGATTGCAAGACATCCCTATATTCCCTGGGAGACATTTTACAGGGAAGTCTCGTTTCTCTTTTATTATTACTTTTGGAATCCCGCTTCTTGAAAGGAGCTCTCAGGTACTCTGAGGTGACATCACCATTATGTAGGAGGAGGCTATTTCCTGGAGAAGGGGTTCGCTTTCCTTTGACATCTTTTTTCCCTTATGAGGACTATCAATTCTTTGGGGGTAGTTCTCCATCTCTGGGGGCCCATTTCCTGGAGGGGATTTTCTGTTTCCTGGTGATTGCCCATATCTGGGGGCGTCTTTGGTCCCTTGGGGGAGAGTCTTAGGTTCCTTGAAAGTTTCCATGGGGGGCTGTTCTCTGGGTTGGGGGGTCTCATTCTTAAGGGAGTGACCAGCTTTTGGGGGGGGTCCCTATTCCCAGAAGAACTTTCCTGGGGGCTTATGCAGCTTCTCCGTTCACTAGAGGACCCCTCCTCTAGCATTTCCTGTTTCTGGGAGATGCCTCTTTCTGGATGACCCTTCTCTTTCCAGTGACCCCTTTTGTGGAACCTCCTCCCTTGAGGACCTCCTGATCCTCTGTCCCTCACACAGGTCATGATGTTTGGCAGCACCGCCATCGCCCTGGAGCTGCTGAAGCAAGGTGCCAGCCCCAATGTCCAGGACACCTCCGGTACCAGTCCAGTCCATGACGCAGCCCGCACTGGATTCCTGGACACCCTGAAGGTCCTAGTGGAGCACGGGGCTGATGTCAACGTGCCTGATGGCACCGGGGCACTTCCAATCCATCTGGCAGTTCAAGAGGGTCACACTGCTGTGGTCAGCTTTCTGGCAGCTGAATCTGATCTCCATCGCAGGGACGCCAGGGGTCTCACACCCTTGGAGCTGGCACTGCAGAGAGGGGCTCAGGACCTCGTGGACATCCTGCAGGGCCACATGGTGGCCCCGCTGTGATCTGGGGTCACCCTCTCCAGCAAGAGAACCCCGTGGGGTTATGTATCAGAAGAGAGGGGAAGAAACACTTTCTCTTCTTGTTTCTCCTGCCCACTGCTGCAGTAGGGGAGGAGCACAGTTTGTGGCTTATAGGTGTTGGTTTTGGGGGTGTGAGTGTTTGGGGGACGTTTCTCATTTGTTTTTCTCACTCCTTTTGGTGTGTTGGACAGAGAAGGGCTCCTGCAGGCCACAGCCACCTAAACGGTTCAGTTTCTTCTGCGCCTCAGGCTGCTGGGGCCTCAGACGAGACCCAAGGGCAGAGCATTTAAGAGTGAAGTCATGACCTCCAGGGAGCCTAGAAGCTGGTGGCCTTGGCCGGCTGTGCTCAGAGACCTGAAGTGTGCACGTTGCTTCAGGCATGGGGGGTGGGGGGAGCGTCCCAAATCAATAAGAAGGTAGAATGAGTTATGAGTTATTCATATTCTGTTGGAAGCTTGTTTTCCAGTCTCTTGTACAGCGTTTTAAAAGAAATGGATTCTATTTATTATGCTTTATTGGAAAAAATGTTGTAATAATTTAATGTTTTTACCCATTAAATTAAGACTTGTGCATGATCACAGCACGGGTGGCTTCTGATTTTTGAGTCTGGGATGGAGAGTTACACATCCCGGATGTTGATGGGGATGAGGACGGGGGTCGCGGATCGTGGATGTGGTGGGTGAGGGGAGAGAATAGTAATTCCCAGGGCGCCAGGGTGAGTGAGCTGGGTGGGGCAGCGGTTTTCGCTGTCGGAACGGAAGGGAAGCAGGAAACCGCGAGTGGAGAAAGGGCCCCCAGATGTCAGCTGGGTGCCCGGAGCACAGGGGGTGGGGCGGGTGGGCGGTGGCCGCGGCCTTCCCCGCAGGGGCGTAGCCGTGGGCGGTGACTGCGGTGATGAGGCGAAAGGGATCCCGGAAAAGCCAGGGGCGGGGTTAGCAGCGGTACGCCTCGTTTACAAGTGGATGCGGGCGGGACTGAGGGCGGCCCCGCCCCGTCCAGGGCTTCCTCAATGCGCGTGCGCAATGGGCCACAGAACCGCCATGCCGGAACCGCGCGGGTCGTCGCAGCTGCGGGTGAACGCGGCGTTTGCCGCGCGGTACAACCGCTACCGGGAGCGCGAGGAACTGCAGCGGCGTGAGTGCGGGGCGCATGCGCGCGGGAGCCTGCGCGCGCCGGCCGGTTGGGAAGTGGGGAGTCGAGTGGCCCCGCCGGCTGACCTGGGGGGGGGCATCCCGTCTGTGTCCCGCAGTGAAGGATCGCTACGGGGACCGAGACAGCAGCAGCGACTCCAGCTCCGAGTCGGACTCAAGCGACGAGCGCGTGGTGCGCGTCCCCGCCCCGTCCTGGACGTGCGGAGGCGTCCAAGCCCCCCTCTGCACCCCGACCCCGATGTAGACGGGGGGGAACCCCCAACCCCAGAGCGCCCTGCGGGAGCGTCCCATCCTCCGCTCCCCATCCCATGAGGGACAGACAGTGCCCCCCCTCTCCCCAGGGGAGCCAAATCCCCGTTATTTTCTCTCCCCTGCCACGATCCCCACCTGCCCACTCTGATGTGTGGGGCGACTCTGTCCCCCAAGAACCCCCCCTTTCCTCTTTCATCCTCAAGAGTCTAGCCATTTTTTAGTGTACTCCTTGCGCCACGTGGGGCGCCCAACTTCTCACATCAGCCCTGATCCTGGCCCCACTGTGCGGCCTGGCCCAGCCCCTCCCCGCTGTCTCTCTTGTGCCCTCAGCCCACCTGCCCCTTGTCAAGTCTTTGTCTTCCCCAGGAATTACCTTCTCCTTGCCCCTCACCTTCCTCTACCCATATCCTGTACCTACCTGTGGCCTGCCCCTGCCCACCCCAAGAGGGCCCCTCTCCCTCCTGCTGTTTGACCACCTGTTTGACCTCCCCAGCCAGATCCACCCCCCTCCATCCTAATCCCTACGCTGAGCTCACCTGCTGGCGCCAGGGCTCTTATTATCTCCCTTCTGAAATCTATCCCCAACCCTTTTCCTGCCCTAGGAATTTGATCCCCAGCAGGAGCGGGACTTTTACAAAACGCTCTCCTTGTTGAAGAAGAAGGACCCCCGCATTTATCAGAAAGATGCCACCTTCTATAACAGAACAGGTCCGGGGCCACTCCTGTCTAAACCTCTCCTTCCTCTGGAGCAGAATCCGGGGTCCTTTCCTGACTGTGGATTCAGAGAAGTGACTTGACTTCTCTGAGCCTCTTTTCCTGTCTGTAAAGTATATCTAACGGTAGCATCTCCCCTCAGGGCTGTTTTAAGGATAGATTGGGATTTACCCAGTTTACACAGTTCATCTGTTTTGACTATTGAATGAATTGCTTCACAAGTCACAAGTCCTTAGCAGAGCCTAGGTTATTACCTGGTGGTGGAGTTAATGACTGTGTCCTTGGCACTATTCAAGGTGGGAATTGCTGACTGAATGATTCCAACTCCACCAGGCTGGGCAGGTGGTTCAAGCATCTAATCCCAGCACTTTGGGAGGCTGAGGTGGGAGGGTCAATTGAGGCCAGGAGTTTGAGACCAGTTTGGCCAACATAGCAAGACCCCATTTCTCTTTTTTTTTTTTTGAAATGGAGTTTCACTCTTGTTGCCCAGGCTGGGTTGCAATGGGACGATCTCAGCTCACTGCAACCTCCGTCTCCCAGGTTCAAGCGATTCTCCTGCCTCAGCCTCCTGAGTAGCTGGAATTACAGGCACGCGCCACCACGCCCAGCTAATTTGGGATTTTTAGTAGAGACAGGGTTTCTCCATGTTGGCCAGGCTGGTCTCGAACTCCCAACTTCAGGTGATCCGCCCACCCTGGCCTCCCAAAGTGCTGGGATTACAGGCGTGAGCCACTGCGCCCAGCCAGCCTTTCTTTCTTTTTTCTTTTTTTTTTTTTGAGACGGAGTTTTGCTCTTGTTGCCCAAGCTGGAGTGCAATGGCATGATCTGGGCTCACTGCAACCTCCGCCTCCCCGGTTCAACCGATTCTCCTGCCTCAGCCTCCGGAGTAGCTGGGATTACAGGTGCGTGCCACCACGCCCAGCTATTTTTTTGTTATTTTTAGTAGAGATGGGGTTTCACCATGTTAGCCAGGCTGGTCTCGAACTCCTGACCTCAGGTAATCCATCCGCCTTGGCCTCCCAAAGTGCTAGGATTACAGGCGTGAGCCACTGTGCCTGGCGGCAAGACCCCATCTCTACAAAAGATTCAGAACTCAGCTGAGCATGCTGGTGTGCGCTTATAGTCCCAGGTATTTGGGAGGCTGAAGTGGGAGGATTGCTTAAGCCCATGAGTTCAAGGCTGCAGTGAGCTGTGGGCTAGGATGTTGACACTGCACTCCAGCCTGAGCAAGAGTAAGACTCCAACTCTCAAAAAAATTAATTATAATAATTAATCAGGCTGGGCATGGTGGCTCATGCCTGTAATCCTAGCACTTTGGGAGGTTGAGGCGGGAGGATCACTTGAGGTCAGGAGTTCGAGACCAGCCTGGCCAACATGGTGAAACCCCATCTCTACTAAAAATAACAAAAATTAGCTGGGCGTGGTGGTGCACACCCGTAATCCCAGCTACTCAGGAGGCTGAGGCAGGGGAATCGCTTGAACCTGGGAGGCGGAGGTTGCAGTAAGCCAAGTCACGCCATGCACTGGGCAACGGAGTGAGACTCTGTCTCAAAAAAATAATAATAATGGCCGGGTGCGGTGGCTCACGCCTGTAATCTCAGCACTTTGGGAGGCCGATGCAGGCAAATCACCTGAGGTCAGGAGTTCGAGACCAACCTGACCAACATGGAGAAACCCCATCTCTACTAAAAATATAAAAATTAGCCGGGCGCGGTGGTGGGCACCTGTAATCCCAGCTGCTTGGGAGGCTGAGACATGAGAACAGCTTGAACCCGGGAGGCAGAGGTTGCAGTGAGCCGAGATCATGCCATTGCACTCCAGCCTGGGCAACAGAATGAGACTCCACCTCAAAAAAAAATAAGTAAATAAATAATAACAACAATAATAATAATCAAAGCAGGAATTACTGACTGAATGACCCCAACCCCACCAGATGGTGACAAGCACAATACTCTTGGACAGCTGGGAATTGGTGGATTTGGGATTTGAATCCTCTGTCTAACCCTGGCCCTGCCCTGTGGGATTCTCTGCCACGGCAAAGAAGGGGGTTGTGGGTGATGGCAGGTGTCTTTGGTGGGTTAACAGCATCGTCATCAGACAGTGAGGAGGACCCAGAAGCCTTGGAGAAGCAGAAGAAAGTGCGGCCCATGTACCTGAAGGACTACGAGAGGAAGGTTATCTTGGAGAAGGCAGGGTATGGAGAAGGCCTACATCCCCACCCCCTGGTTCCCAGCCCTGTCAGGTCTATGGGGGTCTTAGGGGCAGGAGAGGGAAAAAAGCTGGCAGCCTGGGCCGGGCATGGTGGCTCATGCCCATAATCCCAGCACTTTGGTAGGCTGAGGCAATAGGATCGCTTGAGGACAGAAGTTTGAGACCAGGCTGGGCAACATACCCCGCCTCTACAAAAAAATTAAAAATTAGCTGGGCATGATGATGTGTACCTGTAGTCCCAGCTACTCAGGAGGCTGAGGCAGGAGGATTGAGCCAGGAGATGGAGGCTGCAGTGAGCTATGATCAGGCCACTGCACTCCAGCCTGGGCAACAGAATAAGACCCTGTCTCAAAAAGAAAAAAGGCCGGGCATGGTGGCTCATGCCTGTAATACCAGCACCTTGGGAGGCTGAGGCGGGCAGATCACCTGAGGTCAAGAGTTTGAGACCACCCTGGCCAACATGGTGAAACCCCGTCTCTACTAAAAATACAAAAATTAGCCAGATGTGGTGGTGGGCGCCTGTAGTCCCAGCTACGTGGGGAGGCTGAGGCAGGAGAATCGCTTGAATCTGGGAGGTGGAGGTTGCAGTTTTCCGAGATCATGCCACTGCCCTCCAGCCTGAGGGATAGAGCGAGACCCTGGCTCCAAAAAAGAAATGCTGTCACCCATGATTGGAAAAGAAAAAAAAAAAAAAAACGCTGGAAACTCACCAGAATCGCAGATAGCCCTGAGAGCAGGAGTCTCAGTGATTCCATAGCCCTCCGATGACCCCCGCCAGCTGTTGCTTGGAATAGCTGCTCCGCATGGGCATGGGGACAGGCGGGCCCTGGAAGATATATTCTGAAGACCCCACTTTTCCTTTACAGCAAATATGTTGATGAGGAGAACTCAGACGGGGAGACTTCCAATCACAGACTCCAGGTGGGTGGGGTGAAGGCTGGGTCGGGGGGCTGAGGGGCCTGGGGCTGGCCTGAGACCTATGGCCCTCTCTGCAGGAGACATCGTCGCAAAGTTATGTGGAGGAACAGAAACAGCTCAAGGAAAGGTGAGGCTGGGTGGGCGGGAATGGCCCAATGGAGGAAAGTTGAGGCTCGGGGGTTGGATAGGCACGGGTTCAAATTGAGCTCTGTCACTTTCTATGTGCTTCAGTTTCCTCATCAGTTAAACGGGGTTAATAACATCACAGCACTGCTCTGAGCTTGTTGAGAGGAGAGCTCAGGGCTTAGTAAATGGGGTTAATCTTGGGGCAGCCAGCCAGGTGAGGTGGCTCATGCCTGTAATCTCAGGGCTTTGGTGGGCAGAGGAGGGAGGATCACTTGAGCCCAGGAGTTCAAGATCAGCCTGGGCAACATAGTGAGACCCCAGCTCTACAAAATAAAATAAATACTGGGGCAGCAGACAGGGGCCAGCCTGCCTGTCCTGAGGCTTGTTTTCTCTCGTGGGCAGCTTCCGGGCATTTGTGGAGGACAGTGAGGACGAGGACGGCGCTGGGGAGGGCGGCTCCAGTTTGCTGCAGAAACGTGCCAAAACCAGGCAGGAGAAGGTGGGTACTGGGGCCTGACTGGACTGCTGGGGGACAGGGTGGCGGGTGGCTGGGCATCTGCGGATGCTCAGTGCTAGCTTTCCCCCAGGCCCAGGAGGAGGCCGACTACATCGAGTGGCTGAAGGGACAGAAAGAGATTCGGAACCCAGATTCCCTGAAGGAACTGGTGAGTTCTCACGCATGGTCGCTGATGGAGTAGACCGCGTGTTCCGCGTCCATCCAACCTATTTACAGAAAGTAACCCTCTGAAGATGGGATATGTACATCTCTGGGCCTCAGCTCCTACATCTCTTTAAATGGGGATAGGCTGGGTGCCGTGGTTCACACCTGTAATCCCAGTGCTTTGGGTGGTCAAGGCAGGAGGATTGCTTGAGGCCAGGAGTTTGAGACTGGCCTGGGCAACATAGCAAAATGGCTCTACAAAAAAATGAAAAAATTAGCCAGGCATGGTGGCATGCACCTGTAGTCTCAAATACTTGGGAGGCTAAGGTGGGAGGATCTTGTGAGCCCGGGAGGTTGGGTCTGCAGTGAGCTATGATCACACGACTGTACTGTCACCTGGATGGCAGAGTAAGACCCTGTCTCGAAATAAAAATAAGAAACCAAAATGGGGCTAATGTCACCTACTCCAGAGGCTGGCTGTGAGGTCCATGTGGTGAGCATGCCTGCCCTCCTTCCCTGTCCTCCATTGACCAGAGTCCTGTCTCCTGTCACCCCCAGACGCATCTCAAGGAATACTGGAACGACCCTGAGTTGGATGAAGGGGAGCGGTTCCTGCGGGATTACATCCTCAACAAACGCTATGAGGAGGAGGAAGAGGAGGAGGAAGATGAAGAGGAAATGGAGGAAGAGGAGGGGTGAGCCACTGCATCTCCCCAGGACCTAGATTTTGGGTGCGCTTCATGAAGTATTCCCAGGCGGCACTGGCCAGGAGGCAGAGGGCACCATGTGTGTATTTTTTTCACAGATGGTGGCAGAGTTAGTCTTCTGTAAGGCAGAGCCACAGAGTATAGGCTCTGGAGCCAGGTGGCACTGCCTCAAATCCTGGTTCGGCTTCAAGACTTTCATGCCTCAGTTTCCCCATCTGTAAAATGAGGACAATAGCAGCGTGCACCTTGTAGGGTTCTTGTGAGGATTAAATGAGTTCATACGCTTCGTACCCAGGCGTGCAGGAAAGGGGGGCTCGACCTCACTTGGCTGGCCCCCTGGCATCACCACATCTTGCCCCTCAGGGTCCACGGTCCCCCAGTCCAGCTGGCTGTGGACGACTCCTCAGACGAAGGGGAGCTGTTTCTGAAGAAACAGGAGGACTTTGAACAGAAGTACAATTTCCGTTTCGAGGAGCCGGACTCAGCATCGGTGTGTGGCTGGGGCTGGGGAGGACTCAGCCCCCAGGGTTCAGGCCCAGGGAACCCCACATCATCTCTGCGGCCCTTGTGGGCTTTTCTGATTGCGCCTAGGTCAAGACCTACCCACGCAGCATCGCGTCCTCCGTGCGCCGTAAGGATGAGCGCAGAAAGGAGAAGAGGGAAGAGACTCGGGAGCGAAAGAAGAGGGTGAGTGTGGGGGGTGAGCTGGGGAGGACCCCCCAGCCCTGGAGGAAAGCCCATGCCCTCCCCCTCTCTGCCTGGGCCTGCAGGAGAAAGCAAAGAAGCAGGAAGAGCTCAAGCAGCTGAAGAACCTGAAGAGGAAGGAGATTCTGGCCAAGCTGGAGAAGCTGCGGAAAGTAACAGGCAACGAGATGCTGGGCCTCGAGGAGGGGGACCTTGAAGACGACTTCGACCCTGCCCAGCACGACCAGCTCATGCAGGTGCGGCCCTCATCCCGGCCCAACATGACGCTGAGTTCACACAAACATGGCTCTCACTGGCCACGGTGGCTCACGCCTGTAATCCCAGCACTTTGGGAGGCTAAGGCAGGCAGATCACCTGAGGTCAGGAGTTCGAGATCAGCCTGGCCAACATGGTAAAACCTCATCTCTACTAAAAATACAAAAATTAGCCAGGTGTGGTGGTGTATGCTTGTAATCTCAGCTACTTGAGAGGCTGAGGCAGGAGAATTGCTTGAACCCGGGAGGCAGAGGTTGCAGTAAGCCGAGATCATGCCACTGCATTCCAGCCTGGGCGACAGAGGGAGCCTCTGTTTTAAAAAAAAAAAAAGACCTGGCCGGGTGCAGTGGCTCACACCTGTAATCCCAGCACTTTGGGAGGCCGAGGCAGGCGGATCACGAGGTCAGGAGATTGAGACCATCCTGGCCAACATGGAGAATCCCCATCTCTACTAAAGATACAAAAAATTAGCCAGGGTGTAGTGGCGTGCACCTCTAATCCTAGCTACTCGGGAGGCTGAGGCAGGGAATCGCTTGAACCCGGGAGGTGGAGGTTGTAGTGAGCCAAGATCTCGCCATTGTACTCCAGCATGGGCTACTGGGTGAGACGCTGTCTCAAAAAAAAAAGATCTTAGCCGGGCGTGGTGGCACATGCCTGTAATCCCAGCTATTCCGGAGGCTGAGGCAGGAGAATCGCTTGAAACCGGGAGGCAAGGGTTGCAGTGAGCCGAGATAGTGCCATTGCACTCCTGCTTGGGCAACAAGAGCGAAATTCTGTTTCAAAAAAAAAAAAGACCTGGGGCCTGAGTAGTGCACCAGGTGGTGGGCACCACAGGGGCGAAGGTGGGTAGGACGGCGAAGAACTGTGGATATGTGGAACTGAATGGCGGCCAGTACATCACAGGGTAGACAGCAGGGGAGTTGGCGGAGGATCCTGGACATGCAGGGCCTCCCACCTCAGGAGCTAGGTGCTGGGAGGGCTGTAGGGAGCCCTAGCTGTAGGAGTAAAGTTGCCAAGGAGGGGGTCATTGGCGGCATCGTAGGGGGCTCAGCTCCTATGTCTCGAGTGGGCTCTGGTAACCGCCAGCCCTGACCCTGCAGAAGTGCTTTGGGGACGAGTACTACGGGGCCGTGGAGGAGGAGAAGCCACAATTTGAGGAAGAAGAAGGGCTTGAAGGTGAGATCAGCTGGGGCACTGGGCTGGGGATTGGGGACTGGGGACTGGGACTGAAGCCCAAGGTCCCACCCTGGCCCCACCTGTCTGTTCTCCCTGCATCCAGACGACTGGAACTGGGACACGTGGGACGGGCCTGAGCAGGAGGGAGACTGGAGCCAGCAGGAGCTGCACTGTGAGGACCCCAACTTCAACGTAGGTATCACGGGTTGAGGGAGTCCCAGGGGCCCTGACGGGGGGCTGGTGGGATCTGACCTGTGCGTCCTGGCAGATGGACGCCGACTACGACCCCAGCCAGCCGAGGAAGAAAAAGCGCGAGGCCCCCTTGACGGGCAAGAAGAAGCGCAAGTCGCCCTTCGCCGCGGCCGTGGGGCAGGAGAAGCCCGTGTTTGAACCCGGTGAGGCCCAGGTGGGCAGGCCGTGGGTAGGCAGGGGGCACCGCGGGGCCTGGCATAGCCCAGCAGCCTGGCTCTGTCTCGAGCAGGGGACAAGACGTTCGAGGAGTACCTGGATGAGTATTACCGGCTGGACTACGAGGACATCATCGACGACCTGCCCTGTCGCTTCAAGTACCGCACAGTGGTGCCCTGTGACTTTGGCCTCAGCACTGAGGAGGTAGGGGCCCCGGGCAGGCAGGGACACTGCAGGGGGCACCAGGTATGCCGAAGGGGTAGAAAGCTGGCCCTGAGTCCCAATCTCTGTTGCTCAGAAATGCCACAACATGGCAGGCTGTTTCTTCATCTTGAAAATGATAATATTCGGTTGGGCGCAGTGGCTCATGCCTGTAATCGCAGCACTTTGGGAGACCGAGGCAAGTGGATCACCTGAGGTCAGGAGTTCGAGACCAGCCTGGCCAACGTGGTGAAACTCCGTCTCTACTAAAAATACAAAAAAATTAGCCAGGCATGGTGGCAGGCGCCTGTAGTCCCAGCTACTTGGGAGGCTGAGGCAGGAGAATCGCTTGAACCCAGGAGGCAGAGGTTGCAATGAGCCGAGATTGCACCACTGCACTCCAGCCTAGGTGACAGAGCGCCAAAAAAAAAAAAAAAGAAATGCTAATAGTCCTAATGACAGTGCTAATAACATTACCTCACCTCAAAGGTAATATTACTACCTTCTACAAGGTGGGGGCTTAAAACAGTGCCTCACCTATGGCACGCCCCGTAAATATTACTTCTTTTTTTTGAGACATAGTCTCGCTCTGTCACCCAGGCTGGAGTGCAGTGGTGCCAACCTCCTGGGCTCAATTGATCCTCCTACCTCAGCCTCCCAAGTAGCTGGGACTACAGGCATGTGCCACCATGCCCAATTAATTTTTTTTAATTAAAAATATTTTTTGTACAGATGATGTTTTACTGTGTTGTGCAGGCTGGTCTCGAACTCCCTGGGCCTAAACAAGCTTCCTGCTTTGGCCTCCCAAAGTGCTGGGATTCTGCGTGTGAGCCACCACACCCAGCCAATATTACTTTTTATTTTTGTTTATTTTTTGATTGGTTGATTGGGACAGTGTCTTGCTCTGTCACCCAGGCCGGCATGCGGTGGTGCAAACTCAGCTCACTGCAAACTCCGCCTCCCAGGTTCAAATGATTCTCCTGCCTTAGCCTCCCAAGTAGCTGGAACTACAGGCATGTGCCATCATGCCCAATTAATTTTTGTATTTTTAGTAGAGATAAGTTTTACCATATTGGCCAGGCTGATCCCAAATTCCTGGCCTCATGTGATCTGCCTGCCTCAGCCTCCCAAAGTGCTGGGATTACAGGTGTGAGCCACCAGGCCCAGCCAATATTATTTTATTCCTGTCAGTATGTATTAGCAGCAGTCTGGCTGGTAAGACTTGGTAGCAGGGCTGGTCACACTGGCTCACACCTGTAATCCCAGTACTCTGGGAGGCTGAAGCAGGAGGATCACTTGAGCCCAGTAGTTCTGAGACTAACCTGAGCAACATAGGGAGATCTAGTCCTAGCTACTTGGGAGGCTGAGGTAGGAGGGTTGCTTGAGTCCAGGAGGTTGAGGCTGCTGTGAGCTGTGAGCCTGCCACTGCACTCCAGCCTGGGTGACATAGTGAGACCCTGTCTCAACAAAAGACTTGGTGTCCTCTGGAACCAGGGGGCCTAGGTGGGTTCAAGCCCTGGCTTGGCTGCTCACCAGCTGAGTCTTTGGACAAATGATTCCCCTATCTGTGCCTCAACTCCCCATCTGTAAAGTGAGACAATAATTGATAGCACCCCAACTTTGGTGACTATGGAAGGAACAGAAATGAGACCAAAGTGTGTGGCACCTGGCAGGCTGTGGGTACCTACTATGCCTGACTGATGACGGCTGAAGGTGCACGACCATTTTCATGGTCAGTAAAAATAGCCGATGTGTACTAAGCTTATACCATCGGCATTCAATCACTTCCTCTTTCTGATGGCCTTCCAGTAGGTTTGGAAACAGGCCTAGAGGCTGGGAATGACAGTTTCATATGTAATTAGGAAGCCTGGTGGTTGGCAGCGACCCCTGCCCGTTCTGAGGCTTTGGGGATGGCCGGGTATGGGTGACAGCTCAAGGGCCCTGAGGCTCAAACTGGAATCAATTCAGCCAACTTCCCAGCCATCTGGCCTAGGGCAAGGATCCGTTCTCTGAGCCTCAGTTACCCCATCTGCTGACCTCTACAAAAATCATTGGCCTCTGTAGAGATCAGCTGTCTCTGGCCATCATGGCAACCCTGCTGGGTGGTAGCGGCATTACCGTTTTGACTAATGACATGACTTAGGCTCAGGGAAGGCCCCGCCTGGGCAATATCACAGCAGGTCCCCACTCTCCCTTCCCACGCAGATCCTCGCTGCTGACGATAAGGAGCTGAACCGGTGGTGCTCCCTAAAGAAGACCTGCATGTACAGGTGATGGGGCGGGGCGCGGCGGGGCCACATGCGCAGGGGGCAGGGCGGGCAGCCTCGGGCACTTCCCAGAGCACCCAACACAGGGGCATCTGTCTGCAGGTCAGAGCAGGAGGAGCTGCGGGACAAGCGGGCGTACAGCCAGAAGGCCCAGAACTCATGGAAAAAGCGGCAGGTCTTCAAGTCACTCTGCCGAGAAGAGTAAGCAGTGCTGGCTGGGGAAGCGTGGGTGGGGAGCCTGTCAGGCCCAGGCTTGAGTCTTGGCTCCGTCAACCTCTTGTTGCATGACTTTGGGAATGCAGCGCCCCCCGCTCTGAGACCTGGGTTCGAATCCTATATGGGCACCAACGTTGTGTGACCTTGGGCAAGTCGCTACCCCTCTCTGGGCCTCTTTCTCATAAGATGGAGATAGAGACGGTTCTGCCTTATCAAGTTGCAGAGGATGAAATGAGTTAATTCTCGTAAAGTGATTAAGATATGGTAAATGCCCCATAGGTCTTAGCTGTTATTAGGATTGCTTTCGCCCAGTCTAGAAGGCAGGGGTGATAGATGCACACAGTTTATTTAGAGCTAAAATGAGGCCAGGTGTGTGCTCCAACCTATAATCCCAGCACTTTGGGAGACTCAAGCGAGAAGATCGCTTGAGCCCAGGAGTTGGAGGCTGCAGTGACCTATGGTAACGCGACTGCACTCCAGCCTGGGCGACACAGCAAGACCTTGTCTCTAAGGAAGAAAAAGGCTAAAATGAGTTAATTGATGTGACTAGCTTAGGGCAGGCCCAGGCACAAATACCAGAATCCTCAGCCTCACAATCTAGTCTTTGGGTTCCGTAGAAAAGCGCTGGCTTTGGCCTGAAACCCAGGTCTGAATCCCAGGCAGGCCCTCGGTCGCTGTGCGGCTGCTTCACTATGCCCCTCCTTTCCCTGTCTGTAAAATGGGGCATGCGTGCTCAAGAATGGGCCTGATCTTGACAGGCCTGGGCTGAGCCCTGACTTTTCTCCCTCAGGGCAGAGACACCTGCGGAAGCCACAGGGAAGCCACAGAGAGATGAAGCCGGCCCACAGAGGCAGCTGCCAGCCCTTGATGGCAGCTTGATGGGGCCGGAGAGTCCCCCAGCACAGGAAGAGGAAGCCCCTGTATCACCCCACAAGAAGCCAGCCCCCCAGAAGCGGAGGAGGGCCAAGAAGGCACGGCTGCTGGGCCCCACTGTGATGCTTGGTGGATGCGAGTTCAGCCGCCAGAGACTGCAGGCCTTTGGCCTCAACCCCAAACGGCTGCACTTCCGCCAGCTGGGCCGGCAGCGGAGGAAACAACAGGGGCCCAAGAACAGCTCCTGAGCACCAGGGAGCAGGCAGGGGCCTCAGGCTCCTCTCCTCAAATCAAGCCCTGGACAGGTCTCGCACCCACAAGTACTATCTGCTGCAGAGATCCTCTCATCTGTGGCCAGGCACGCCTGTAATCCCAGCACTTTGGGAGGCCGAGGTGAAAGGATCACTTGAGCCCAGGAATTGGAGACCAGCGTGGGCAACTTAGCGAGACTCCATCTCTACAAAATGTGGTGACACATGCCTGTAGTCCCAGCTACTCAGGAGGCTGGGGAAGGAAGATCACTTAAGGCCATGAGTTTGAGGCTACAGAGAGCTATGATTGCACCACTGCACTCCAGCCTGGGCAACAAAGCAAGACCCTGTCTCTTGAAAAAAAAAAAAAAATTAAAAAACACGTGTAGCTGTGGGTAAGGAAGTCGTCCCATTTTATGGATGTGGAAACTGAGGCTGACTTAAACTTCCCGTGACTTGGAGCTCTCACCTCGAGACACCTCCCAGACCCCACATCCCCTCAGAACGCTGCGCCCAGCCACACCCACGATCAAGTTACACAGCTTTATTGGCCCCCAGCAGCCACAGTTCCCCCAAGGGGGCTTTGGGACAGGGAGGGCCCGGGCGTCCAGTGCAAACTACAGTACGTGAGTCAGGCCCTGAGGGGGGTGCCCGGGGTCCTCCTTCCCTACCCTGCCAGGAGGGCCCCGCTGGTGGGAGACAGGTGTATGGGCTCTGTGGGCTCTGTCCCTGGCTGAATGGCCCCAGACTGGTTGCAGCTGGGCTTGAGGGGCTGACAACAGGAAGTACCATCATCACTGCCAGAGCTCAAGATCCCACACCCGACATGACATAAATAAAAAAATAAATAGTGTTGTATCTTTCCCCTCATCCCCTCCCTTTATAAAAACACAAAGTCCTCAGAGCTGGGGCGTTTGGCCCTGAGGAGCCGCCCTGTGCGAGGGAGCCGGAGTGTGGGCTGGGCGAGCTGGGAGCAGAGGTCGTCCAGGCTGTGGTCCTGAGCATGGCCCTCGGCCAGGGTGAACATGGGGTACCGCTCTGTGGCTGAGGAGGAGCTGAGGACCTGGCGGGAAGAGGGAGACAGGGTCAGCCACAAACAGTGCCAAGCCATATTCCTTAGCCCAGGTTTATTTAGTAGGTGCTTCTCAGGACCACCTCTCCAGGAGAGAGCAGCCAATCAGCACCTTCCATCCCCTGGCCACAGTGATTGGCTCAGCCATGAGCATGTGACCCAGCTCAGCCAAAGACTGACAGTCCTGGGATTTTTGCTGCAAAACCTGCGTTTCCCTTCCAGTGACCACAGGGTGGGTGCCCAGAATGGCTGGTGGCCATCTCTCGCCCCCATAAGGGTAGAGTCCTGGTCGGACAGCAGGGCCAAGAGACAGGGAGGGTTCCCACCACTTGAGCCCCTGGATACAGCTGCCTCCAAGGGATGATGCCTTAACAGTGGGCTTTGGCGTTCCCACCTTTTCAGGGGTGGACATTCTTCACATTTCCCAGGTTAGGACCCCTAGCCTGGAAGCAGCACCCCAGCTCTGCTGGACTCGAGGCCTCTGTTCCTCTTTCACCCCCAGCCCTGCCCAACCGCCCCCCTCACCCCACTCCAGCTTTCCTCTTGCTCACCCTGGTCAGCTCTGAGCAGAGTGTCTCAAACTCCTTCCTGTCTCCAGCATAGAAGCCCACGGTACAGCTTGGGTCCATCTTGGCAAAGGCCATCTTGCGGGGCGAGGTGCAGTGGAAGGACTGGGGCAGACAGACGAGGAAGGCTCAGAGGCTGGGCTGCCCACCCGCCATGGCCCCAACCACACACTGGGGCTCCCACTCACCTCCAGGGGGAAGTCGGCCTGGCTGACATCCACAGTGGGCTGGCAGTAGTGAGGGTCCAGGTACAGCAGGAAGTCATCTGCAGGGGGTGCAGGTGTGAGTGGGGGTGCGGTGGGGGGTGGGAGGAGTGAGGAGGGGGTGGGCCTACCTTGGTAGCCAATGAAGTACAGTGAGTGTCGCGGTTTCCCACCCATGATGCCCAGGCACAGCTCGCAACGCAGGAGTTCCTGCAGGGAGGAGGGTAGGCAGGTGCTGTCAGGCAGCCACTCAACAAACGCTTGGCAAACACCTCCTCTGTGAGAACCCAGCCTCTGGAGGGCAGCAGTGATCAAGACCACAAAACCCTTGCCCTCAGGAGCTGACATCCTAGTGTGAGAGACTAACAAGGAAGATGATTACATGAATTTTTTTTTTTTTTTTTTTTTTGAGACGGAGTCTCACTCTGTCACCCAGCCTGGAGTGCAGTGGCCCAATTGGCTCACCGCAACCTCCGCCTCCTAAGTTCAAGCGATTCTCCTGCCTCAGCTTCTCAAGTAGCTGGGATTACAGGCACCCGCCACCACACCCGGGTTAATTTTTTGTATTTTTAGTAAAAATGGGGTTTCACCATGTTAGCCAGGCTGGTCTGGAACTCCTCCTAACCTCAGGTGATCTGCCCGTCTCGGCCTCCTAAAGTGCTGGGATTACAGGCTGGAGTGCAGTAGCACGATCTTGGCTCACCGAAACCTCCATCTCCTGGGTTCAAGCAGTTCTCCTGCCTCAGCCTCCCGAGCAGCTGGGATTACAGGCGCCCGCCACCACGCCCAGCTAATTTTTGTATTTTTAGTAGAGACGAGGTTTCACCATGTTGGCCAGACTGGTCTTGGACTCCTGACCTCAGGTGATCCACCTGCCTCCCAAAGTGCTGGGATTACAGGCGTGGGCCACCACGCCCAGCCAATTACATGATTTATCTCATGTGTTAGAGGTGATAACTATATGGAAAAGAATAAAAGAGGGAAGGGAGCCTTGTGATTTTAAGTAAAGAGGTCAAACATTACAGCTCTTTTAGAATTTGTCTCAGGTTTTCTGGTTCTCACTGGAAAACCCCCCACGCAAAAAATATTTTAAAACAGGAGCCAAGCAGTGGCTCATGTCCATAATCTCAGTACTTTGGGAGGCCGAAGCGGGAGGATCACGAGGTCAGGAGATCGAGACCATCCTGATTAACACAATGAAACCCCATCTCCATTAAAAATACAAAAATTAGCCAGGAGTGGTGGCGGACGCCTGTAGTCCCAGCTACTCGGGAGGCTGAGGCAGGAGAATGGCATGAACCCAGGAGGTGGAGCTTGCAGTGAGCTGAGATCATGCCACTGCACTCCAGCCTGAGTGACAGAGCAAGACTCCGTCTCAAAAAAAAAAAAAAAAAAAAAGCCACATGCATCACTGCTGAAAGAGTGCTCCAAGCAGCAGGGGCAGCAAGCGCAAAGGCCCTGAGGTGGGAGTGTCTGAAATAGGTGAGGAGGCCCCTGTGGCTGCAGCAGAGTGTGGGAGGAGGATATGAGGTCAAGGTGGGGGATATCCCGACATCAAGAAGGTGGTGTGGACAAATAGTGCCGGGCTCTGTGGGTCACTGGGAAAACTGGCTTTTATTCGGATGCAAATACATAGGGGACTTTCCAGCCTCAGGGTCTCTGTCTTGCTGTTCCTTTTGCCTGGAGCACTTCTCCTCTGGCTCCTCATTTGCCTGGTGGCTGCAGAGGCGCTTTTCTAGGCTCTGCTGCTACCCTCATCTGCCCTTCATTGGGTTACTGTTTTTTTAAAGTTGTGTAGAGGCTGGGTGCAGTGGCTCATGCCTGTAATCCCAACGCTTTGGGAGACCGAGGTGGGTGGATCACCTGAGGTCGGGAGTTCAAGACCAGCCTGGCCAACATGGGAAAACCCCATCTCTGCTAAAAATACAAAAATTAGCCGGGCGTGGTGGCATACACCTGTAATCCCAGCTACTTGGGTGGCTGAGGCAGGAAATTTGCTTGAACCTGGGAAGCGGAGGTTGCAGTGAGCCAAGACGGTGTCACTGCACTCCAGCGTGGGCAAGAGAGTGAGACTCGAATATTTTCAAAAAAAATTGTGTAGAGATGGGGGTCTCACTATGTTGCCCAGACTGGTCTCAAATGATCCTCCTGCCTCGGCCTCCCAAAGTGCTGGGATTATAGGCCTGAGCCACTGTGCCTGGCTTCATTCCAAACAGTGATGCTACTTTGGTTACATAGCCACTGCTGAGCATCCTCCCATCAGAACGTCTGCTCCCAGCAGGCACACTCAGAACTCCTGCCTATTCTGTTCCCCTCTGAATCCCCAGCAGTCGGGACAGTGGGGAGCACACATAGCAGGTGCTGCATAGTATAAAAAAAGAAGGGATGGGCCGGGCGTGGTGGCTCACACCTGTAATCCCAGCACTTTGGGAGGCTGAGGTGGGTGGATCACCTGAGGTCAGGAGTTTGAGAACCAGCCTGGCCAACATGGCGAAACCCCGTCTCTACTAAAAATACAAAAGTTAGCCGGGCGTGGTGGCACACGCCTGTAGTCCCAGCTACCTGGGAGACTGAGGCAGGAGAATTGCTTGAACTCGGGAGGCGGAGGTTGCAATGAGCCAAGACTGTGCCACTGCACTCCAGCCTGGGCAAAAGAGCAAGACTCTGTCTCAAAAAAAAAGGGATGGCCCGTGTGGTGGCTCACGCCTGTTATCCCAGCACTTTGGGAGGCCGAGGTGGGCAGATGACCTGAGGTTAGGAGTTCAAGATCAGCCTGACCAAAATGGTGAAACCCTGTCTCTACTAAAAGTACAAAATTAGGTGGTCGTGGTGGCGCATGCCTGTAATCCTAACTACTTGGGAGGCTGAGGCAAGAAAATCGCTTGAACCCAGGAGGCGGAGGTTGCAGCGAGCCGAGATCACGTTATTGACCTCCAGCCTGGGCAACAAGAGCGAAACTCCATCTCAAAAAAAAAAAAGTGATGAGGGCTGCACAAACAGCAGCCCTAACACAAACTAAACAAGTCTGGAGGGCTCCCAGGTGGAGGTGTCCTAGAATTCAGCTGAACCTACCTTCACGCAGGGCACATACACGGGGTTGAGAGTCTCGCCACCCAGTCGCACGGGCACCAGGATGACCACAGACTTCCACTCGGCTGTGGGGTCTGGCCTGGCCACCAGGCGTGCCACATCCGCCTTGTACACTGGAGGGACGGGACAGCAGCAGGTCACCTTCTTGCCACCCTTCAAGCCCCAGCGTAGCCCTCTAACCCCAGGGGCTCAACCTCAACCGTGCAATTTCTCAGAGGGCAACACTGTCATCACTAACCAAAATCATCATTCTAGTGCCCCCCAAACACCCCCAGAAAATCCCAGGACCTCCAGGCAGGTGTGGACATCCCCATTTTACAGAGTGGGCAACTGAGGCCCTGGGATGTAGACCAAAAGTATATACAGAAGGGAGAGGTAGAGACTGTTCTCTCAAGCTCCTCCCCAGCCCCATGCCTGACAGGTCCTCAGTGACTCCATGCCTCGGTTTGCCAATACAGAAGCTGGAGCACTGGGCACTCAGCCCCTAAACCAAATATCCTGGTATGTCCCTCCTCCTCCAGTCCCATTTACTTGGGCCCATTCTCCTGCCCCCTGCCTTGCAGCTACGTAAGCCCATTTTGTGCTCCTAGAGAAGTAGATTAGACCCATTTTGGAGATAAGGTTCTCTGAAAATCGAATCTTTTCCCAAACACCTACAATTTTGCATAAAAAATTTACAGAGGTAGCCGGGCACGGTGGCTCCAGCTTGTAATCCCAGCACTTTGGGAGGCCGAGGAGGGGGGATCATGAGGTCAGGAGATCGAGAGACCATACTGGCAAAGACAGTGAAACCCCAACTCTACTAAAAATACAAAAAAAATTAGCTGGGCGTGATGGCACGCGCCTGTAGTCCCAGCTATTGGGAGGCTGAGGCAGGAGAATCACTCGAACTCAGGAGGCGGAGGTTGCAGTGAGCCAAGACTGTGCCACTGCACTCCAGCCTGGGTGACAGAGTGAGACTCTGTCTCAAAAAAAAAAAAAAAAAAAAAAAAAAAAAAAAAAAAAAAAAAAAATTACAGGGGCTGGGCACAGTGGCTCAAGCTTGTAATCCCAGCACTTTGGGAGGCCAAAGTGGGCGAATCACCTGAGGTCAGGAGTTCAAGACCGGCCTTGTCAACATGGTGAAACCCCATCTCTACTAAAAATAGAAAAATTAGCCTGGTATGGTGGTGCGTGCCTGTAATCCCAGCTATTTGAGAGGCTGAGGCAGGAGAATCGCTTGAACCCAGGAGGCAGAGGTTGCAGTGAGCCGAGATCGTGCCTCTGCACTGAAGCCTGGGTGACAGAGTGACCTGACCTCAGGTGATCCACCCACCTTGGCCTCCCAAAGTGCTGGGATTACAGGCGTGAGCCACTGCGCCTGGCCTCTTTTTTTTTTTTTTTTTTTTTTCGACAGGATCCTACTCTGTCGCCCAGGCTGGAGTGCAATGGCATAATGACAGCTCACTGTAACCTCGAACTCCTGGGTTCAAGCAATCCTCCCACCTCAGCCTCCCAAGTAGCTGAGACTACAGTATGTGCCACCACACCTGGCCTTATGTCTCTATTCTATCACTCAAGGAGAAGCCCCTGAAGTTTCTTGTTCCAGAGGGAGAGACGGAGAAGAGGGACTATCTCCCACTGCACAGGCCTTGCATCCTTCCCCAGTGTCCCTCTGCCCCACAACTTGTTCCAGCCTCTGAGGAAGATGCACTCTAAGAATCGGGTAAGGCAGAGTCTGGCTCAGGGTGGGGCCCCTGTGATCTTGGCTCCCAGCCCCTTACCTGTGCAGTCCTGAGAAACGTACACCACCAGGCGGGTGACGTCGGAGCAGCTCTCCACGGCTTTCCTGGGGGCAGGAGGGAAGGCCTGAGTGCCTGCGGGTACCCAGCAACTCCCGTGATCCCTGCAGCAGCCCTCACCTGAGGATGTGTGCCACTAGCGATGGCCCATACCAGTCACCTGCCTTCTTGCCTGAGCTCTGCCCAAGCTCCACCAGCCGGTGTAGGCCAAAGGGGGCCCGGGGGTGGTCGGCGAACCAGGACACAATCTGCCGGTGCCGGCGTTCCTGCTCCAGCTCAGGGGCACCCTGGGCCCAGCGTGGGGGCATCCAGCGGGCAGGCCCATGGTACCGGCTGGGAGAGGCTGACCCTGACAGCTCAGGGGGGCCCAGGCCCATGCCCTCGGCCCATGTCCAGTCTGGTGGAATGGAGCACATAGTCAAACAGTGCTAGTGTGTGGGGGGCAGAGGTCCCATCTACACATGCACCGCACACAATGCGAATGCTCCTGAACCCCGTAATTCAACAGAATTTACATATTCCTGAAACATATACTTATCCTTATTTATTTATTTATTTTTTGTTACTTAAAGACAGGATCTCAGCCAGACGCGGTGGCTCATGCCTGTAATCTCAGCACTTTGGGAGACCAAGGCAGGTGGATCACTTGAGGCCTGGAGTTCGAGACCAGCCTGGCCAACATGGTGAAACCCCTTCTCTGATAAAAAAAAAAATATACAAAAAGTAGACAAGCGTGGTGGCGGGCACCTGTAATCCCAGCTACTCAGGAGGCTGAGGCAGGAGAATCGCTTGAACCTGGGAGGCAGAGGTTGCAGTGAGCCAAGATCTCTCCACTGCACTTCAGCCAGGATGATAGAGGAAGACTCAGTCTCAAAAAAAAAAATAATAATAATAATAAATAAAATAAATAAATAAAGACAGGATCTCACTGTCATCCAGACTGGAGTGCAGTGGCACAATCACGTCTCACTACAGCCTCTAAATCCTGAGCTCAACAGATTCTCCCGCCTCAGCCTCCTGAGTAGTTGGGATCACAGGCACATGCCACCACACTCAGCTAATTTTTAAAATTTTTTTGTAGAGACAGGAGCCTTGTCATGTGGCCTAGGCTGGTGTCGAATGCCTATGCTCAAGCGATCCTCCTGCCTCAGCCTCCTAATGTGCTGGGATTACAGGCATGAGCCACCACACTCGACCTGTTATTGTTGGAGTCTCATTCTGTCACTCGGGTTGGAGTGCAGTGGCAGGATCATAGTTCACTGCAGACTTGAACACCTGGGCACGAGCAATCTTCCCACCTCAGCCTCCCAGGTAGCTGGGATTACAAGCATGCAGCACAGTGCCCAGCCAAAACTCTTTTTTTTTTTTTGAGACTGAGTCTCGCTCTGCCACCCAGGCTGGAGTGCAGTGGCACGGATCTCGGCTCACTGCAACCTCCGCCTCCCCGGTTCAAGCAATTCTCTGCTTTACCTTGCCAAATTACAGGTGCCTGCCACCACACCCAGCTAATTTTTGTATTTTTAGTAGAGATGGGGTTTCACCATCTTGGCCAGGCTGGTCTTGAACTCCTGACCTCATGATCCACCAGCCTCAGCCTCCCAAAGTGCTGGGATTACAGGCATGAGCCACCGTGCCTGGTGAAACTTTTTTTTATTTTTATTTTTGACACAGAGTCTCCCTCTGTTGCCCAGGCTGGAGTGCAGTGGTGCGATCTTGGCTTGCTGTAACCTCCGCCTCCTGGGTTCAAGAGATTCTCCCACCTCAGCCTCGGGAGTAGCTGGGATTACAGGCGTGTGCCACCACAACCGGCTAATTTTTGTATTTTTAGTAGAGATGGGGTTTCATCATATTGGCCAGGCTGGTCTTGAACTCCTGACCGCAAGGGATCCATCCGCCTCAGCCTCCCAAAGTGCTAGGATTACAGGCATGAGCCACCGTTTCCAACCCCGGCTGAAACTCTTATAAACAACTCTCATCTCTCCAAAACTTACTTGACACACAATTCTAACGTGACTTTGAACTCTTAGTTGGTAAGTAATTCTAATACTGCTGATATGGCAGTTGACCCTGTACTCCTAGTGCACCCCTTCCCCCCTATGGCTCACCTCTGGGCAGGAAATGCAGCAGAAGGCCCTGTGCCAGCATCATCTGGCCGCTGCGTAACATGCACCCCCAGCCACAGTCCGAGGTCAGGCAGCCCCCAGGAAGGGGCGGGAAGTCCCGGCGGTATGTGAGCCACAGGCGGGACACAAAGTCCCGCTGGAAACGCTGTATGTCACCTACAAGAGCGGGTCTGTCAGCTGCCACCAGGGACACTCCGGCGGGCGTGGAGAGGCCTCCCCCAGCCCTGGTCCCAACCACCAGCTCACCCTCGCCCTCGAAACGGTAGCGGCGGCCACAGAGGTGGATGCTGGAGATCTTGCTAAAGCTGGTCCGGCTTTTAACCACCCAACCTGGGGAGACGTAGGGGCAGCGCCCAGCGAGATGAAGCACTTGCATGACAGCAACAGCGCTTCCATTCCCCCATCTGTGAAATGGGCACGATCCTAGTTCCTATCTCCGGGGTGGCTCCGGGGATTCCGTCGGAGGTGGGGCCCCCAGTGACAGCTACAGGAGTGTCCACCATCAATTCAGGATGAAGGAAGGTAGTTCTGATTATTGTACCCATTTTACAGAGAGGGGCAAAAACGGAGGCGCCAGGAAGCAAAGGATCTTGCCCAAGGTCACACAGGGGAATGGGCGGGGCTTGAAAACACTATTGGACCTGCCACAGGTCCACCCTGGGCCGGGCAGGGAGGGGACCCACAGGTGACTCAGGACGGGAACAAGGGTGGGATAACTGGCAGGACCGGGGTCTGGTTTTCCTCAACGGCCCCCGACACCCCCACGATCTCCGGGCCCCCTCCTCACCGTACTTGACGTTGTTCCAGGCTGTCAGGAACTTGGCCTTGAACTTGTCCACTTCGTCCGGCTCACTCGGGCCAGCCCCGGGAGAGCCAAGAGCGGGGCCGCTGGCTCCGGAAGGCCCCAGGCCGTTGGGGTCTGGGCCTCTGGGACCCCGCGGCCTGCGGGCCTCGGGCCGGCGGCGCGCGTCCTCCGGGCTGCTGCTCCGGTACTGCGCGGCGGCCGGCGACACTGAGTTCATGGACGCGCCGGGAGGGCGGACCGAGGGCCCAGGTGGGGGGCTGCGGCCGCTGCCCCCCAAGGGCGACCCGCAGCCGGTTCACGGGGCCCGGGGAAGGCGCTACTCGGCCCCCGTCCCCAGGGTACCGGGCCAGGCAACAGCCGCCGCCGCTGCTACCGCAGCCATCGCCATCTTAGCGGGCCAGGACCCCGGATGACGGTGGGCGTGGCCAAGCCAGACGCCCCGCCCCGCCCTCTCCCCGCCCAGCCGCCTTTCCTGCCCCGATCCCGGGTCGCCAGGCGGGGACCTCAAACCCCGACGCCTTCCCGCGGCCTCCCCCCGCCCTCCTTATCACACCGCCAGGAGCGCGACAGCCCCTTCAGGCCCTTATCGGAGGCAGCAGAGCTGGGGAACCCCTGCCCCTGGCCCCGCCCCTAGTCCTGCCCCCCAGGGCCCAGGACTGACCTCCTGGCAGGCGCCCAGGTGAGACTGACTGCGCACCTGCAGCGCCCGCCCCGCCTCCCGAGTGCACCTGCGCGGGCTGCCGACCCAGAACCCGCCCTGGCCTGGGACCAAATCGACTAGTGTGACCTCCGGGGCAAGCCACGCCTCTCTGTGCCTCAGTTTCCTCATGTGCAAAATAGGGCTGGAATACACGCAACAACATAGACGAATCTTCATGAGAATTATGCTCAGGGAAAAAAAATCCAGGGGTAGGCAGGCGCGGGAGGGAGGGATGAATGAAGTGCTCCAGGAAAGTTTTTTTCAGTGTTTGTTTTGTCGAGACAGCATCTGGCTCTGTTGTCCAGACTGGAGTGCAGTGGCGCTTTCATAGCTCACTGCAGCCTCCAACTCTGATCCTCCAACCTCAGCCTCCAGAGTAGCTGAGACCGCAGACAGGAGCCACCATGCCTGGTTAATTTTTTAAATTTTATTTGTAGATAAGGGGTCTCGCTATGTTGTCTAGGCTGGTCTCAAACTCCTGGCTTCATGAGATCCTCCCGCCTCAGCCTCCCAAATGCTGGGATTACAGGCGTGAGCCACCACCTCAGGCAGGAAGACATTTTTTGGAGCTGTGGATAAATTCAGTATCTTAACTGTAATAGTGGCTTCACAGGTGTGAAAACTCATCAGATTGTACGCTTAAAATTTGCATGGTTTTGTATATGTCTATTATACCTCAATAAGGCTGAAAAAAAACCTCTTTGTTTTAAAAAGTAATCAGTTAACTTTTTATAGAGACAAGTTCTCTCTATGTTGCCCAGGCTGGCCTGAAACTCCTTAGCTCAAGTGATCCTCCTGCCTCAGCCTCCCAAGTAGCTGAGACTACAGGAAAATATTTTATTTTATTTTATTTTTTAATTTTTTTTCTCTAACCTTGCGAGGCCCAAACAGATTTTGGTTGTTGTTGTTGAGACAGGGTCTTGCTCTGTCATCCAGACTACAGTGCAGTGGCCTGATCATGGCTCACTGCAGTCTCAACTGCCGAGGCTTAAGCAAGTCTCCTGCCTCAGCCACCTGAGTAGCTAGGACTATAGGCACATGCCACCACCCCTGGCTAATTTTTTTTTTTTTTTTTGAGACGGAGTCTCGTTCTGTTGCCCAGGTTGGAGTGCAATGGCGCGATCTCGACTCACTGCAAGCTCTGTCTCCCAGGTTCACACCATTCTCTTGCCTCAGCCTCCCGAGTAGCTGGGACTACAGGCGCCCGCCACCACGCCTGGCTGATTTTTTGTATTTTTAGTAGAGACGAGGTTTCATCGTGTTAGCCAGGATGGTCTCGATCTCCTGACCTCGTGATCCGCCCACCTCGGCCTCCCAAAGTGCTGGGATTACAGGCGTGGGCCACCGTGCCTGGCCACCCCTGGCTAATTTTTAAAAATTTTTCTGTAGAGATAGAGTCTCCCAGTGTTGCTCAGGCTAGTCTTGAACTCCTGGGCTGAAACGATTAGCCTCAGCCTCCCAAAGTTCTAGGATGACAGACATGAGCCACTGCACCTGGCCAGGGACAATTTTTATTTTTTATTTTATTTTCATTTATTTATGTATTTATTTTGAGATGGAGTTTCGCTCTTGTTGCCCAGGCTGGAGTGCACTAGTGCGATCTTGGCTCACTGCAACCACCACCTCTCAGGTTCAAGCAATTCTGCTGCCTCAGCCTCCTGAGTAGCTGGGATTACGGGCGCACACCACCACGCCCAGCTAATTTTTGTATTTTTAGTAGAGATAGGATTCCACCACGTTGGCCAGGCTGGTCTCGAACTCCTGACTGAGGTGATCCGCCAGCCTCGGCCTCCCAAAGTGCTGGGATTACAGGCATGAGCGATTGCACCCAGCCAGGAAAAAGTTTTAAATGTGTCTAACTCATAAAGATGTATGGGAATGAGCTGAACTTACCAATGTAAAGTGCTTAGAGTGGTATTTGAGGAACAGTTGGGGCTCAGTGAGAGCCAACTGCATGATGACAATGCAGTGACCCTGTGAGCCATGGAGAGGGTGGCCTCTAGTGGCCAGCCCCGGGGCTCTGTCCTCAGCTCTCTGAAGGAGGTAAGAAAGATTTGAATGAGGGTGTGATCCAAGAAGGAGAAGGCACAAAAGGGGCAGTCACCTCCCTGACTTTCCTTTTTTCCCCTCTCCTCCCAGTCGCCTTCAATCACAATTGACCCCTTTCTCTTTCATTAATTTATTAATTTATTGATTTATTTTATTTTATTTTTTTGAGACAGAGTCTTGCTCTGTAGCCCAGGCTGGAGTGCACTGGCACAATCTCAGCTCACTGCAACCTCCGCCTCCCAGGTTCAAGCAATTCTCCTGCCTCAGCCTCTGGAGTAGCTGGGATTACAGGTGTGAGCCACCACACCCGGCTAATTTTATATTTTTAGTAGAGACAGAGTTTCACCATGTTGACCAGGCTGGTCTTGAACTCCTGACCTCAGGTGATCTGCCCGCCTGGGCCTCCCAAAGTGCTGGGATTACAGGCTTGAGCCACTGCAACCAGCCAAGTGCACCCTTTCTCAAACTCAACAGAGCCAATGCCACCTCAGAGTCTTTGCACTTGCTGTTCCCTCTGCCCAGACCACGTTTCTTACCATGGCTCTCCGTCACCTCCTTCAGGTCTTTTTTTTTTTTTTTGGCAGGGTCTCACTTTGTTGCCCAGGCTGGAGTGCAGTGGCACGATCATAACTCACTGCAACCACGACCTTCTGGGCACCAGTGATCCTCCTGCCTCCTGAGTAGCTGGGATTACAGGCATGTGCCACCACACCCAGCTAATTTTTATATTTTTAGTAGAAATGGGGTTTCACCATGTTGGCCAGGCTGGTCTCGAACTCCTGACCTCAAGTAATCCACCCACCTCAGCCTCCCAAAGTACTGGGATTACAGACGTGAGACACTGTGCCCGGCCGCAAGTCTTTATTCAAATATCACCCCTACACGAAGATTACCACTCTCAAAATTCTCCCCCATCTCCATCCTTGGTCTCCTTCTCTTCCCTGCCTTTTTCCCCCTCCCCGCCGCATGGGAGTAGTTATCACAACCTTACTGTCTTTATCCCCTTGGGCTGCTGTGACAAATACCATAGCCTTGGGGGCTAAAACAACACACCTTTGCTTCTCACAGTTCTAGAGGCTAGAAAGTCCCAGATCAGGGTGCCAGCATGGTTCTTGGTGGGATTCTCTTCTATTTTTTGTTTTGTTTTGTTTTTTTGTTTTAGATGGAGTTTTTGCCCAGGCTGGAGTGCAATGGCAATCTCGGCTCACCACAACCTCTGCCTCCCGGGTTCAAGCGATTCTCCTGCCTCAGCCTCCCGAGTAACTGGGATTACAGGCGCCCACCACCACACCTGGCTAATTTTTTGTATTTTTGGTAGAGACAGGGTTTCTCCATGTTGCTCAGGCTGGTCTCGAACTCCCGACCTCAGGTGATCTGCCTGCCTTGGCCTCCCAAAGTGCTGGGATTACAGGCGTGAGCCACCGCGCCCAGCTGAGATTCTCTTCTTATCTTATATCCTCTCACCTGCCTTCCTTTCTTTTTTTTTTTTTTTTCTCACAGTCTCACTCTGTTGCCAGTACTGGAGTGCAGTGGCATCATGATCTTGGCTCACTGAAGCCTTGACATCCTGGTCTCAGCCGGGCTCGGTGGCTCATGCCTGTAATCCCAGCACTTTGGGAGGCCGAGGCAGGCAGATCACGAGGTCAGGAGATAAAGACCATCCTGGCTAACACAGTGAAACACAAAAAATTAGCCAGGTATGGTGGCGGGCGCCTGTAGTCCCAGCTACTCAGGAGACTGAGGCAGGAGAATGGTGTGAGGGCCCCACCCTCAAGATTGCGTCCAACCCCAATTCCCTTTTTTTTTTTTTTTGAGACAGAGTCTCACTCTGTTGCCCAGGCTGGAGTACAGTGGCGCGATCTTGGCCCACTGCAACCTCGACCTCATGGATTCAAGTGATTCTCCTGCCTCAGCCTCCCGAGTAGCTGGGATTACAGGCACGCGCCACCACACCCAGCTAATTTTTTGTATTTTTAGTAGAGACAGGTTTCGCCACGTCGGCCAGGCTAGTCTTGAACGCCTGACCTCAGGGTATCTGCCCTCCTCAGCCTCTCAAAGTGCTGGGATTACAGGCATGAACCACTGTGCCCAAGTGTATTATTTTCGAGACAGAGTCTCACTCTGTCACCCAGGCTGGAGTTCAGTGGTTCAATCAGGACTCATGGCAGCCTTGACCTCCTGGGCTCAAGTGATCCTGCCTGAGCCTCCTGAGTAGCTGGCACCGTGGGCACACACAACCGCATTCCATTGGAGTTGACCACTTTGAGCCCAGTGTAGGCCCAGGGGTCTTTGGATTCTGCACTCAGTACAGACTGTGCAGCCAGATGGCTCAGATAAGGGACCTCGCCACTCTCTGCCTCAGTTCCTTTTTCTTTGAGAGATGGGGTTGGGCAACTCGCTCGGGTCCCCTTCCACACTGTGGAAGCTTTGTTCTTTCGCTCTTTGCAATAAATCTTGCTACTGCTCACTCTTTGGGTCCACACTGCCTTTAAGAGCTGTAACACTCACCGCAAAGGTCTGTAGCTTCACTCCCGAGCCAGCGAGACCACGAACCCACCAGAAGGAAGAAACTCCGAACACATCTGAACACCAGAAGGAACAAACTCTGGACACGCCACCTTTAAGAACTGTAACACTCACCGCGAGGGTCCGCGGCTTCATTCTTGAAGTCAGTGAGACCAAGAACCCACCAATTCCGGACACATTTTGGCGACCCAGATGGGACCTTCGCCAATTGCCGAGCGGTGAGACCATCGCCTATCGCTGAGCGGTGAGACAATCACCTATCGCCAAGCAATGAGCAAATGGAGACACAAAGAGATGACATAATGTGGCCAAGGTTTCATTCTAGTAAGTTGCTGATCTGGAATTCTAACCCAGGAAGTCCTGTCTCCGGCGTCTATGATTTCACCCACTACACTATACTTCTTAAGCATGTCAAGAAAGTGAGAACTTTAAATTGATTTAATTAGACTAACTATGAAAGTCTGAAAATAAAATTGATTCATTGGAAAAAAAAAAAAAGAGAGAGAGACGGGGTCTCACTCTGTTGCCCAGGCTGAAGTGTGATGGTGCAATCATTGCTTCCTGCAGCCTTGAATCCCTGGGCACAAGTGATCCTCCTGCCTCAGCCTCTCAAAGTGTTAGGATTACAGGGGTGAGTCACGGTGCCCGGCCACTGTCTTAGTTTCTTTATCTGCCAAATGGGGTAGTGATACTGCCTCCCTTCTAGTGTTTGGGAGAAGGATGAAGTGAATATGCACAATGCTTTGAACAGTGCCAGGCACATGGTCTCCACCACGTCAGTGTGAATTATGACTGTTCTTGTTATTCTTATTCCCACCACTGCCCTCCTGGGTCCAGCATCCATCATCCTAGTCCCTGGTCTCTTAGCTGCTATGTCTGACCCCTCAAATCCACAAACAGCTAGAAGGACCTAGCTGTTTTTTAATTTTAATGTTTTTTTTTTTTTTTTGAGACAGGGTCTTGCTGTGTTGCCCTAGCTAGCTGGTCTCCAACTCCTGAGCTCAAAGAATCCTCCGACTTCAGCTTCCCGAGTAGCTGGGAATACAGGTACACACCACCCCACTCAGCTTAGAACGGTATTTTTATAAACAAATTCCATCATGCCAAAAAAATCTGGAAAAGAATCCGGCGGCTGTGGCTCACACCTGTAATCCTAGCACTTTGGGAGGCCGAGGCGGGCAGATCACTTGAGGTCAGGAATTCGAGACCAGCCTAGACAGTGTGATGAAACCCTGTCTCTATTAAAAATACATAAATTAGCTGGGTATAGTGGCAGGCACCTGTAGTTCCAGCTATTCGGGGGGCTAAGGCAGTAGAATCGCTTGAGCCCGGGAGGTGGAGGTTGCAATGAGCTGAGATTGCTCCACTGCAGTCCAGCCTGGGCGACGGGATTGAGACTCCGTTTAAAAAAACAAAACAAAACAAAAACAAACAAACCAAAAAAAAAAAACCAACCCAAAATTGGAGAAGTACAATCCAGTAGAAAAATAACATGAAATATAATTTTCAATATTCTATTAGCCACATTTTTTAAAAGTAAAAAGAAACAGGTGATATCAATTTTAATAATTCTTTTTATTTATCCCAACGCATCCAAAATGTTATCATCTCAACATGTAATGAAATAGAGACAAGGTCTCTGTCACCCAGGCTGGAGTGCAGTAGTGCAATCAGTACTCACTGCAGCCTTGACCTCCTGGGTTCAAACGATCCTGCCTCAACCTCCCGAGTAGGGGGGACCATGGGCACACACCACTACATTCTGTTGGAGTTGACCACCTTTTTTTTTTTTTTGAGTTGGAGTTTCCGTCTTGTTGCCCAGGCTGGATTGCAGTGGCATAATCTCGGCTCATTGCAACCTCCGCCTCCTGGGTTCAAGCGATTCTCCTGCCTCAGCCTCCCTAGTAGCTGGGATTACAGGCGCGTGCCACCATGCCCGGCTAATTTTTGTATTTTTAGTAGAGACAGTGTTTCACCACGTTGGCCAGGCTGGTCTCAAACTCCTAACCTCATGTGATCCACCTGCCTCAGCCTCCCAAAGTGCTAGGATTACAGGTGTGAGCCATTGCCCCTGGCCGTGGAGTTGACCACTTTGAGCCCAGTGTAGAGGCCAGGGGTCTTCGGCTTCTGCACTCAGTCTGGTGAGACTGACCCAGGTCTCTCAACAATTTCTTCCCTTCCTCCTGTCTTCCTCCTTCTGCTCCCAAAAGATTCGTGCCCTTAAAAAAGCCAGTCACCACGCACCTACACCTCAGGAACCCCCTGGCTGGGCTGTCCCAGGCTTTCCAAGATTGAACTCGTAGCCACACTTTGGATGCCAAATAACTGTCACTGTCACAGGTCAGCCTGGATTGTGGGTTGAATTCTCTGTCCTCCAAATATTCATGTGGAAGTCTTAACCCTGGGTATCTGTGAATGTGCCTTTATTTGGAAATAGAGTCTTTGCAGATTGATTGATTAATTTTTAGAGACTCGATCTTGCTCTATGGCCCAGGAGTGCAGTGGTGTAATCATAGCTCACTGTAGCCTCCAACTACAAGAATCAAGCTGTCCTCCTGCCTCAGCCTCCCGAGTAGCTGGGACTACAGGAGCACACCACCACGCCTGGCTAATTTTAAAAAATTTTTGTCAAATGGGTGGGGCACAGTGGCTCACGCCTGTAATCCCAGTACTTTGGCAGGCTGAGGTGGGCGGATCACTTGAGGCCAGGAGTTCGAGACCAGCCTGGCCAACACGGCAAAACCCTGTCTCCACTAAAAATACAAAAATTAGCTGAGCGTGGTGGCAGGCACCTGCACTAAGGAGGCTGAGGCAGGAGAATCGCTTGAACCTGGGAGGTGGAGGTTGCAGTGAGCCAAGATTGTGCCACCGCACTCCAGCATGGGCAACAAGAGCGAAACTCCATCTCAAAAACAAACAAACAAACAAACAAACAAAAAGACCATGGGAAGCTAGGAAGGACCCAGCTATGAATTCCCCTCTAGAGCCTTCAGACAGGGCATAGCTCTACCACCAACCTTGACTTTGGACTTCTAGCTTCCAGAGCTGTGAGAGAATACACGTCTGTTTTAAACCACCTAGTTTGTGCGAATTAATTACTGCAAGCCTGGAAATGAATGGAGTCGGTTTCTCCCTCTTCTCCAGCAGGCCTCAGCTTGCCCACCCACAGCTCAGAGGCCTGTCCTGACCTCCAGCTTGGGCAAGTCGCCCTGTGTGTGTTCTCAGGTCCACCTGATCACACTTGCCATCATTCCTAATCAGCTGTGTCATTGCTTGTGAATCTGTAAGTCGGCTGTAAGAACAAAACTCTCAGCCGAGTGCAGTGTCTCACACTTGTAATCCCAGGACTTTGGAAGGCCAGGGCAGGAGGATCACTTGAGCCAAGGAGATTGAGACCAGCCTGGGCAACATAGTGAGACCATGGTCTCTACAAAAAAAAAAAAAAAAAAAAAAAAAAAAAAGCTGGGCAGGGTAGCACTCATCTGTAGTCCCAGCTACTTCAGAGGCTGAGGTGGGAGCATTGAGCCCAGGAGGTGGAGGCTGCAGTGAGCTGTGAGTGCGCCACTGCACTCCACTCCAGCCTGGTTACCAGAGAGAGACAGACCCTGTCTCAAAAAAAAGAATATCCATTATGGCCAGGCACGGTGGCTCATGACTGTAATCCCAGCACTTGCGATGCTGAGGCAGGAGGATTGCTTGAGCCCAGGAGTTCAAGTTTGAGACCAACCTGGGCAACATGGGGAGACCCTGTCTCTACAAAAAAAAAAAAAAAAAATAGGCAGGCTTGATGGCACATGTCTCTGGTCTTAGCTACTTGTGAGGCTGAGGTGGGAAGATAGCTTCAGCCCAGGAGCCGGAGGTTGTGACGAGCTGAGATCGTGCCACTAACTCCAGCCTGGGTGACAGAGTGAGAACTGGTCTCTATAAAGAAAAAAAAAAAGACTGGCATGGTAGCTCACACATGTAATCCCAGCACTTTGGGAGGCTGAGGTGGGAGGATTGCTTGAGGCCAGGAGTTGAAGACCAGCCTGCGCAACATAGTGAAACTCCGTCTCTATAAAAAGAAAAAAAAAGTTACACTTGAATGGTTCTGTGGGAAAAAAAAAAAAAGAATCTGAACATCATTAGCCATCGGGAAAATTCAAAATAACATAGAAATCAGATACCCCCCAAAATCCTCTAGAACCTCTAAAATGAGAAACACTGACCTTAATGAGTGTTGGAGAAGATGTACAGGAACTAGACTATTTTATTTTATTCATTTATTTTGAGGCGGAGACTTGCTCTGCCACCCAGGCTGGAGTGCAGTGCTGCGATCTCGGCTCACTGCAATCTCCGCCTCCCGGTTCAAGCGATTCTCCCGATTCTCCTGCCTCAGCCTCCCCCAGTAGCTGGGATTATAGTCATGCGCCACCACACCCAGCTAATTTATTTTATTTTTTATTTTTATTTTTTGAGACGGAATCTCACTCTGTTGTCCAGGCTGGAGTGCAGTGGTGTGTTCTCCGCTCACTGCAACCTCTGCCTCCTGGGTTCAAGTAATTCTCTTGCCTCAGCCTCCCAAGTAGCTGGGACTACAGGTGCACACTGCCACGCCTGGCTAATTTTTTGTATTTTTAGTAGAGATGGGGTTTCACTGTGTTGCCCAGGCTAGTCTCGAACTCCTGAGCTCAGGCAATCCACCCGCCTTGGCCTCCCAAAGAGCTGGGATTACAGGTGTGGATTACAGGCATGAGCCACCGCGCCTGGCCAGCTAATTTATTTTATTTTTGTTATCGTCTCACTCTGTCTCCCAGGCTGGAGTGCAGTGGCGCCACCACAGCTCATTGCAGCCTCAAACTCCTGGGCTCAAGTGATCCTCCCTCCTCAGCCTCCTGAGCAGCAAGGATTACAGGCATGTGCCCCCATGTTCTGCTATGGAATATTTTAAGTATGTGCAGCTTATTACATGTCAAGTATTCCTTAATAGAGTTGAGAAAACAAATCAGTATGGTGGCATTAGAGCACTGACTCAAAACTGCCCTTGAGTAGAACCCAATAAGATAACATTTCCTTCTACTGACTGCATTGTGGCGTCTGTGCATGAATTTTATCCTGGGCCTCTCAACTATTCAAAAAATGTTTCCATGCATCTCCACCCAGTTCCCATGCCTCTTAGTGAAATAAATCATGCCCGGAAATCCCTCCCAGGCAGAGCAGTTGTTGGAACAAATTACAGTCTTGAAGAAAACGTTAACTATGTGGATAGGTACTTTCTCACAATAGATCATGTTCCTTGTCAAACTTCCCCTGTTTCTTGGGGCCATCCAGTCCCGCCTCTCATGCATCCATTACCCTGTGGGTTACATGAATGATGTTCTATAAAAGAGTCCTGCTAATTGCTGCCTTTTTTTTTTTTTTTGAGACAGAGTCTCACTGTTGCCTAGGCCAGAGTACAGTGGCGCAATCTTGGCTCACTGCGACCTCCACCTCCAGGGTTCAAGTGATTCCCCTGCCTCAGCCTCCTGAGTAGCTGGGATTACAGGCTTGCACCACCATGCCCAGGCTAATTTTTTTACTATTAGTAGAGACGGGGTTTCACCATGTTGGCCAGGCTGGTCTTGAACTCCTGACCTCAGAAGATCGGCCCGCCTTGGCCTCCCAAAGTGCTGGGATTACAGGCATGAGCCACTGTGCCTGGTCTTGCTGCCTTTGGCTGAAAGGATGAAAAACTCTCTCTCTTTTCTTTTCTTTTTTTTTTTTTTTTTTGAGACGGAGTCTCACTCTGTTGCCCAGGCTGGAGTGCAGTTGCATGATCTCGGCTCACTGCAACCTCCATCTCCCGGGATCAAGCGATTCTCCTGCCTCAGCCTCCCGAGTAGCTGGGACTACAGGCACGTGCCACCATGCCCAGCTAACTTTGTATTTTTAGTAGAGACAGGGTTTCACCATATTGGCCAGGCTGGTCTCGAACTCCTGACCTCGTGATCAGCCTGCCTCGGCCTCCCAAAGTTCTGGGATTACAGGCATGAGCCACCGCGCCCTGCCACAAAACTCTTTCATTCAACAAATGTATCCAGGGTACCTACTATGCATCAGACACTATTTTGAGTCCAGGCTGCAGCAATGGAAAATCCACACTGTTGTCTCCCCTTGGGGTTTTGGAGATGGGGTGGAGCAGAGAGATGATGAACTCATTACACAAATAATTATACAGTTATGTTTGCAGTAATGATCAAGTAAGAACATACAAGCTTACAAAAGGGGAAGAAACTGATTCTGGGGGCTGTGATCCAGGAGGACTTCTCTGGGGAAGCCACATTTAAGTTGGGTTCTGTATTAGTCAGAGTAGGTCAAGATTTGCTGCAGTAACAAACCAGCCCAAAGCTCAGTGGTTTAACACAATCAAAGTTGATTTCTCCCTCAGGCTATTCATCCTATATGGACTGGCAGGGGCTCAGCTCCACACAGTCATTCAGGAGCCCAGGATGACAAGTCTCCCGTCATCTTGTGGCTGCACTATCTGAAACTCTCTGCTTCAGTTATCACAGAGGAGCAAGAGGCAGACAGGAGAGCCATGCATAAGTTTTTGGATGCCTCTGTTCAGAACTGAAAGACATATAGAATAATGTATGCCACCTCACTCCCACTTCAATGGTCAGAATTAGTCAGGAGAGCCAGCTATCTGCAAATGGCAGTTTTTCATTCAATGGATTGTTGTCTATGCTAGAAATGTCTATCATGGAATCTAATGGATGAGTAGGAGTTAGCAAAAAAAAAAAAGGGGGGGAAGGAAATGTATTCCTGGTAAGACAAACGGCACATTCCCAGACACTGGAGGCTGGGTGCAGTGGCTCATGCCTGTAATCCCAGCACTTTGGGAGGCCAAGGCAGGCAGATCACTTGAAGTCAAGAGTTTGAGACCAGCCTGGCCAACATGGTGAAACCTGTTCTCTACTGAAAATACAAAATTAGGGCCCGGTGCAGTGGCCCACATCTGTAATCCCAGCACTTTGGGAGGCCAAGGTGGGCGGATCACGAGGTCAGGAGTTCGAGACCAGCCTGGCCAATATGGTGAAACCCCATCTCTGCTAAAAATACAAAAATTAGCCAGGCGTGGCAGTACACGCCTGTAATCCCAGCTACTGGGGAGGCTGAGGCAGGAGAATGGCTTGAATCCAGGAGGCAGGGGTTGCAGTGAGCCTAGATTGTGCCACTGCACCCAGCCTGGGTGACAGAGCAAGAATCTGTCTCAAAAAAAAAAAAAGAAAGAAAGAAAAGAAAATTAGGCTGGCCTGGTGGCAGATGCCTGTAGTCCCAGCTACTCGGGAGGCCGAGGCAGGAGGATCACTTGAGCCCAGGAGGAGGAGGTTGCAGTGAGGCAAGATTGCGCCACTGCACTTCAGCCTGGGCAAAAGAGTGAAACTCTGCCTCAAAAAAAACAAAGAGTCAAGTAAAGAAAAAAAAAGCAAGTACCCCTACGTGGACAAATTATACATCATAGTAATTACACTTCTCAACAGTATCCTTCAAAGAGAAACAAAATTACATTTTTATTAAAGCAATAAAAAGAATGTATGCTGTTTGCCAGGCATGTTAGCTCACACCTGTAATCCCAACATTCTGGGAGGGCGAGGTTGGAGGATCCCTTGAAGCCAGGAGTTCAAGACCAGCTTGGGTAAAACAGTGAGCTCATGCCTATAATCCCAACACTTTGGTAGGCCAAGGTGGGTAAATTACTTGAGCCCAGGAGATCCAGACCAGCCTGGGTAACATGTGGAGACCCCATTTCTACAAAAACTAAAAATGAAAAAATTAGCTGGCCATGGTGTTGCATGCCTGTGATCCCAGCTACTTGGGAGGCTAACGGAAGAGGATCATTCGAGCCCAGAAGGTCAAGGCTGCAATAAACTGTGTTCCACTGCACTCTAGCCTGGGTGACAGAGTGAGACCTTAACCCCCACAGCCCCCCCCAAAAAAAAAGAAAGAAAAGAAGGATGGACTGCACTGTGAGTGTCGTGATCAATAGAGACGGAGTTTCGCTCTTGTCGCCCAGGCTGGAGTGCAGTGGCGTGATCTCGGCTCACTGCAACCTCTGTCTCCCGGGTTCAAGTGATTCTCTTGCCTCAGCCTCCAAAGTATCTAGGATTACAGCATGTGCCACCACGCCCAGCTAATTTTGTATTTTTAGTAGAGACAGGGTTTCACCATGTTGGCCAGGCTGGTCTTGAACTCCTCACCTCAGGTGATCCACCCACCTTGGCCTCCCAAATTGTTGGGATTACAGGTATGAGCCACTGTGCCCGGCCTGTTTCTAATTTTTTTTTTTTTTTTTTGAGACAGAGTCTCGCTCTGTCACCCAGGCTGGAGTGCAGTGGGGTGATCTCCGCTCACTGCAAGCTCCGCCTCCCGGGTTCACACCATTCTCCTGCCTCAGCTCCGGAGTAGCTGGGACGACAGGCGCCCGCCACTGCACCCGGCTAATTTTTTGTATTTTTAGTAGAGACAGGTTTTCACCGTGTTAGCCAGGATGGTCTTGATCTCCTGACCTCGTGATCCACCTGCCTCGGCCTCCCAAAGTGCTGGGATTACAGGCATGAGCCACCATGCCCAGCCTGTTTCTATTTTTTTTTAGATAGGATCTTGCTCTGTCGCCCATGCTGGAATGCAGTAACGTGAACATGGCTCACCGCAGCCTTGAACTCCTGGGCTCAAGCGATCCTCCCTGCCTCAGCCTTATGAGTAGCTGAGACTGCAGAGGCCCACCACTACACCACCAGGCCTGGCTAATGTTTTCTTTTTCTTTTTAGAAATGAGGTCTCACTTTGTTGCCCAGGCTAGTCTTGAACTCCTGGCTTCAAGCAATTCTCCCCCCTGTGCCTCCCAAAGTGCTGGGATTACAGATGTGAGCCACCACACCCAGCTAGTAATAACTATCCAAACCACAATTAGACACCACTTCACGTCTTCTAGTATGGCCACAATAAAAATCAGAAAATAGGTCTGGGGGCAGTGGCTCATATCTCTAATCCCAGCACTTTGGGACGCTGAGGCAGGCAGATCACCTGAGGTCAGGAGTTCGAGACCAGCCTGGCCTACATGGCAAAACCCCATCTCTACTAAAAATACAAAAAGTAGCTGGGCATGGTGGCGTGCGCCTGTAATCCTAGCTACTCGGGAGACTGAGGCAGGAAAATCACTTGAACCTAGGAAGTGGAGGTTTCAGCGAGCCGATATCGCGCCACTGCACCCCAGCCTGGGTGACAGAGTGAAACTCCGTCTCAAAAAAACAAAAAACAAAAAACAAACAACAACAAAAACAAACAAAGAAGAAATTAACGAGTGTTGTTGAAGATTCAGAGACATTGTAATCCTTATACATTGCCGGTGGGAAGGTAAAATATTGTCATTGTTTTATTATTATTATTATTATTATTATTATTATTTTGAGACAGACTTTCACTCTTATTGCCCAGGCTGGAGTGCAATGGCATGGTCTTGGCTCACCACAACCTCCACCTCCTGGGTTCAAGCGATTCTCCTGCCTCAGCCTCCCAAGTAGCTGGGATTACTGGCATGCACCACCACACCTGGCTAATTTTGTATTTTTAGTAGAGATAGGGTTTCTCCATGTTGGTCAGGCTGGTCTTGAGCTCCCAACCTCAGGTGATCCGCCCGCCTCTGGCTCCCAAAATGCTAGGATTATAGGCGTGAGCCACCACTCCCGGTCTTATTATTATTTTTTTAAATGCATTTCTTCCTTCTTTTTCTTTTGTGTTTTTTTTAGGGACAAGGTCTCATTTTGTTGCACAGACTGGAGTGCAGTGGTGTGATCATGGCTCGCTGTAACCTGGAACTCCTGGGTTTAAGTGATTCTTCCACATCAGCTTCCTGAGTAGCTGTGACTACAGGTGCACATTACCATGGCTAACTTTTTATTTTTTGTAGAGATGGGAGTCTCGTTATGTTGCTCAGGCTGTTCTAGAACTCCTGGGGGCAAATGATCCTCCCACACCAGCCTCGGAAAGTTCTAGGTTATAGGCATGGGCCACTATGCCTGGCCAGTGGTGCCATTGCTTTAGAAAATGGTCTAGGCTGGGTGCAGTGGTTCATGCCTACAATCTCAGCACTTTGGGAGCCTGGGGAAGGTGGATCACCTGAGCCCAGGTGTTCGAGACCAGCCTGGCCAACATGGCAAAACCTTGTCTCTACAAAAAATACAAAAAAATTAGCCAGGTGTAGGCCGGGCGCGGTGGCTCACGCCTGTAATCCCAGCACTTTGGGAGGCCTAGGTGGGCGAATCACAAGGTCAGGAGATTGAGACCATACTGGCTAACACGGTGAAACCCCATCTCTACTAAAAAGTACAAAAAAATTAGCCAGGCGTGGTGGCAGGCGCCTGTAGTCCCAGCTACTCGGGAGGCTGAGGCAGCAGAATGGCGTGAACTCGGGAGGTGGAGCTTGCAGTGAGCCGAGATCATGCCACTGCACTCCAGCCTGGGTAACAGAGCGAGACTCCGTCTCAAAAAAAAAAAAAATTAGCCAGGTGTGGTGGCACATGCCTGTAGTTCCAGCTACTCGGGAGGCTGAGGTGGGAGGATCACTCAAACCGAGGAGTTTGGAGTTACAGTGAGCCATGATAACAACAACACTGCACTCCAATCTGTGCAACAGAATGAGACCCTGTCTCAAAAAAAAAAGAGAGAGAGAGGAAGGAAGGAAGGAAGGAAAGGGAAAGGAAAGGAAAGGAAAAGAAAGGAAAGGAAAGGAAATAAAAAAGAAAAGAAAAGAGTCTAGTTGTTTGCTTTGGAAAACAATTCCTCAGGTTCTAATATGAGCCAACAATTGCATGCCTAGGTATATATTCAACAGATAAGAAAACATACAAACATATAAAATGCACGTATGGAAATGTTCATAGCAGCATTATTCTTGCCAGGTAAAAAGTAGAGAAAACTCAAATGTCCATCAGCTGATGAATAGAAAATTAAAATGTCCTATATTTGTCCATGCAATGGAATATTACTCAGCCATAAAAAGGAATTAAGTTGGGCTGGGCACGATGGTTCATGCCTGTAATCCCAGCACTTTGGGAGGCCGAGGTGGGAGAATCACTTGGGCCCATGAGATCAGGACAACATAGCAAGACCCCATCTCTATTTCAAAAAAAAAAAAAAAGGCCAGACGCAGTGGCTCATGCCTGTAATCCCAGCACTTTGGGAGGCCAAGACGGGTGGATCAGGTCAGGAGTTTGAGACCATCCTGACCAACATGGTGAAACCCAGTCTCAACTAAAAATACAAAAATTAGCTGGGTGTGGTGCTGCGTGCCTATAGTCCCAGCTACTTGGGAGACCGGGGCAGGGAGAATCACCTGAAGCCAGGAGGCAGAGGTTGCAGTGAGCTGAGATCCCACCGTGCCACTGCACTCCAGCCTGGGCAACAAGAGCGAGACTCCATCTCAAAAAAAAAAAAAAAAAAGAAAAAGGAATGAAGTACCGATTCATTCTAAAATGTGAGTTGACCTTCAATCATTATGCTTAGTGCAAGAAGCTAGTCACAGAATACAATAAATTATATGATTCCACTGATATAAAATGTCCAAAATAGGCAAATCCTTGGCGGGGCTCAGTGGTTCACCCCTGTCATCCCAGTACTTTGGAAGGCTGAGGCGGGCAGATCACTTGAGGCCAGGCCTTGGAGACCAGCCTGGCCAACTTGGTGAAACCCCACCTTCACTAAAAATACAAAAATTAGCCACGCATGGTGGCGCGTGCCTGTAATCCCAGCTACTCGGGAGGCTGGGGCAGGAGAATTGCTTGAACCTGGGAAGCGGAGGTTGCAGTGAGCCAAGATCACACCACTGCACTCCAGCCTGGGGGACAGAGTAAGACTCTGTCTCAAAAAAAAAAAAAAAAAGGCAAATCCATAGACACAGAAAGCAGATTCGCGCTTGCCATGGGTTGGGAGGCGGGGGAATGGGAGTGATTGCTAAATGAGTATGGAGTTTATTTTTTCGTTTGTTTGTTTGTTTATTTATTTATTTTGAGACATGGTCTTGTTCAGTCAGCCACTCTGGAGTACAGTGGTATGATCTTGGCTCACTGCAATCTCTACCTCCTGGGCTCAAGCAATTCTCCCACCTTATCCCCCTGAGTAACTGGGTCCACAGGTGCACCCCACCACACTTGGCTAATTCTTTAATATTTTTGTAGAAATGAGGTCCCACTATGTTGCCCAGGCTAGTCTCCAATTCCTGGGCTCCAGTGATCCTCTCACCTGGCTTCCCAAAGTGGTGGGATTACAGGCATGAGCCGCTGTGCCTGGCCAAGCATAAGGAGTAGTCCCAACTACTCAGGGGGCTGAGGAAGGAAGATTGCTTGAGCCCAGGAATTGGAGGCTGTAGTGAGCTAGGATCACACTGCTGTACTCCAGCCTGGTCGCCAAGGCAAGGCCCTGTCTCTAAAAATTAATAATAATAGCAGGGCGCTCTGGCTCACGCCTGTAATCCCAGCACTTTGGGAGACTGAGGCAGGTGGATCACCAGGTCAGGAGTTCAAGACCAGCCTGGACAAGATGGCGAAACCCAGTCTCTACTAAAAACACAAAAAAAGGCTGGGCGCGGTGGCTCGTGCCTGTAATCCCAACACTTTGGGAGGCCGAGGTGGGCAGATCATGAGGTCAGCAGATCGAGACCATCCTGGCTAACACGGTGAAACCCCATCTCTACTAAAAATACGAAAAATCAGCTGGGTGTGGTGGCGGGTGCCTGTAGTCCCAGCTACTCAGGAGGCTGAGGCAGGAGAATGGAGTGAACCCGGGAGACGGAGCTTGCAGTGAGCCGAGATCACACCACTGCACTCCAGCCTGGGCAACAGAGTGAGACTCCGTTTCAAATATATATATATATATATGTGTGTGTATATATATATGTATATGTATATGTATATATATATGTATATGTATATGTATATATATATATGTATATGTATATGTATATGTATATGTATATGTGTATATGTATATGTATATGTATATGTATATGTATATATATATGTATGTAAAAAAACATAAAATAAAATAAATCAGCTATCAAGCCTTGAAAAGACATGGCGGAAGCTTAACTGCCTATCACTAAGTGAAAGAAGCTAATCTGAAAAGGCTACATGTTGTGTGATTCCAGTTGTATGACATTCCAGAAAAGACAAAGCTATGAAGACAGTTAAAAGATCAGAGGTTGCCGGGGGTTAGGGAAGAGGTGGGGATGAATACACAGAGGACAGATAATTTTTTTTTTTTTGAGACGGAGTTTTGCTCTTGTTGCCCAGGCTGGAGTGCAATGGCGCGATCTCGGCTCACCACAACTTCCACCTCCCGGGTTCAAGTGGTTCTCCTGCCTCAGCCTCCCTTGTAGCTGGGATTACAGGCATGCGCCACCACATCGGGCTATTTTGTATTTTTAGTAGAGACGGGTTTCTCCATACTGGTCAGGCTGGTCTCGAACTCCCTACCTCAGGTGACTCACCCGCCTCAGCCTCCCAAAGTGCTGGGATTACAGGCGTGAGCCACCACGCCCTGCATATATATATATATACACACACACACACACACACACATATACATATACACACACACATATACACACATATATATGTGTGCGTATATATATGTGTGTGTACGTGTGTGTGTGTGTGTGTGTGTGTGTGTGTGTATATATTTTTTTTTTTTTCTTTTTTTTAAATAGAGACAGGGACTTCCTATTTTGCTCAGGCTGATCTCGAACTTCTGGATTCAAGTGATCCACCGGCCTTGGCCTCCCAAAGTGCTAGGATTACAGGTGTGAGCCACTGTGCCTGCCCTGGAGGGTTTTTTTCTGTTTGTTTTTTTGAGACCGGATCTCACTCTTTTGCCCAGGCTGGAGTGCAGTGGTGAAATCTCAGTTCACTGCAGCCTCCAACTCCTGTGCTCAAGTGATCCTCCTGTCTCAGCCTCCCAAGTAGCTGGGACTACAGTCATGAGCCACTGCGCATGAGTGAATATATATATATATATATAATCTTTATTATTATTTTGTAGAGACAGGGTCTTGCTATGTTGCCCAGGCTGGCCTTGAACTCCTGGCCTCAAGCGATCCACCCACCTTGGCCTCCCAAAGTGATAGAATTACGGGGTGTGAGCCACTGCACCCACCCCCTAGTGTACATTTTATCAGAGATTCTTTTTTTTTTTTTTTTTTTGAGACAGAGTTTTGATCTTTTTGCCCAGGATGGAGTGCAATGGCGTGATCTCGGCTCACGGCAACCTCCGCCTCCTGGGTTCAAGCAATTCTCCTGCCTCAGCCTCCCGAGTAGCTGGGATTACAGGCATGTGCCACCACGCCTGGCTGATTTTGTATTTTTTAGTAGAGACAGGGTTTCTCCATGTTGGCCAGGCTGGTTTCAAACTCCCGACCTCAGGTGATCCGCCCACCTCAGCCTCCCAAAGTTGCTGGGCTTACAGGTGTGAGCCACCGTGCCCGGTCTATCAGAGATTCTAAAAGGCTCTGAGATGAGGCTTTGAGTTGGGAAGGAGAAGGGAAGAGAAAGCAGCACAGTAGTGAGGGGAGGGGAACACCTTGTCCCAAGGTGCTGGGAGGACTCTGGCAGGGCCATGCCTCTCTCCTGCCACCTGCTCACCCCCAGGCCTGGTGAATTCTCCTGGGGAAAATCTGACCTCATCCTCTTAGGAGTGTCCTGAATTATAGCTTGGCTTAAACTCCAGGCCAAGGAAGAGAGATGGCTTTAAACGCTATAGATGGAGGTCGGTGGCCAAGCATTTCCTGGATAGTTCCCTCCAAGCAACCCTTCCAGGTGCCCCTGGCACCCCTCACCTCCCAGGCCGAGATGTGGAGCTCTGGACTCGGCACCTTTCCTCTATCTCTGTCTCTCTCTACATCTGTCTCTCGTGCCCTCACACTTAGACATTCATTTCACAGGCTATGTGGAAAGAAAAGGGGAAACAGGCCAGGTGTGGTGGCTCACGCCTGTAATCCCAGCACTTTGGGAGGCTGAGGCTGGTGGATCACCTGAGGTCAGGAGTTCGAGAGGAGCCTGACCAACATGGTGGAACCCTGCCTTTACTAAAAATACAAAATTTAGCCAGGCATGATGGCACGCGCCTGTAATCCCAGCTACTTGGGAGGCTGAGGCAGGAGAATTGCTTGAACCTGGGAGGCAGAGGGAGGTTGCGGTGAGCCAAGATTGCGCCATTGCACCACTCCAGTCTGGGCAAGAGCGAAACTCCCTCAAAAAAAAAAAAAAAAAAAGAAAAAGAAAAGGGAAAACAGCCAGGCAGAAGGATTGAACCAGCAAATCCAGGTACCTGGAGGCTGGAAAGAATGTGTGTGTGGCAGAAACTAAAATCATTGCAGTATGCCATGAGCTCAGCTTAGAACAAGTAAGGAGCAGGGGACCGGAGGGGAAGCCCAGGGTTGCCAGGCCTCCAATGCCAGACCTCTGTAGTTTGTTCACCCCATTTCTGTGTGACTGTGGACAGCTTGCTTAACCTCTCAGATCTCAATCTGGGACACCTATAAAGTGGAGACATAAAAGTCCCTTTCCTTCTCACATGATGTTCTGGGTGGGAATGTAACATGGTGTAGAAAGTTCAGCACATTGCCCCGCTTTGAACTAACCACTTGATAAATGTCAAATATAATTTTTAACAGCTTTATTGAGGTATAATTCAGATGTCATCAAATTCACACACTTGAAATATACAACTGTGGTTTTTAGTGTATTTTACAGAGTGGTGCAACCTTCACCACATTCTAATTAAAAAAAAATTTTTTTTTTTTTGAGACGGAGTCTTACCCTGTTGCCCAGGCTGGAGTCAGTGGCATGATCTCAGCTTACTGCAACCTCTGCCTCCTAGGTTCAAGCGATTCTCCTGCCTCAACCTCCTGAGTAGCTGGGATTACAGGCATGCACCCCCATGCCTGGCTAATTTTTTTCTATTTTTAGTAGAGACGGGGTTTCACCTTGTTGGTCAGGCTTGTCTCGAACTCCTGACCTCGTGATCCACCCACCTTGACCTCCCAAAGTGCTGGAATTGTGGGCGTGAGCCATAGCGTCCAGCTTTTTTTTTTTTTTTTGAGACAGAGTCTCGCTCTGTTGCCAGGCTGGAGTACAGTGGCATGATCTCGGCTCACTGCAACCTCTGACTCCCTGGTTCAAACGATTCTCCTGCCTCAGCTTCCGAGTAGCTGGGATTACAGGCACGTGCCACCAAGCCCAGCTAATTTTTGTATTTTTAGTAGAGATGGCATTTCACCATGTTGGCCAGGATGGTCTCGATCTCCTGACCTCATGATCCACCCGCCTTGGCCTCCCAAAGTGCTGAGATTATGGGTGTGAGCCACAGCACCTGGTCACATATCTATATTTATTTTCTTATCCATTTATTAAAATAAACTTGAGCTCATACTGATAACCTCAATGCAGCAGTACCTGGCTTATTTGTCATTTTTTTTCCCCAACAGTATGAAACCTGGTTATTCATATCTACAACACGTGTACTTATTTGTTCAATGTTAGCATGAAAGCATTTTCAGAATTGTTGCCTTGTACTTCTTTTTCTTTTTGTTTTTTGAGACGGAGTCTCGCTCTGTCACCCAGGCTGGAGTGCAGTGGCGCGATCTCGGCTCACTGCAACCTCTGCCTCCCCGGTTCAAGCAATTCTCCTGCCTCAGTCTTCGGAGTAGCTGGGATTACAGGCGTGCACCACCATGCCCGGCTAATTTTTGTATTTTTAGTAGAGATTGGGATTTCACCATGTTAGTCAGGCTTGTCTCGAACTCCTGATCTCAGGTGATCCACCCCCCTCGGCCTCCTAAAGTGCTGGGATTAGAGGTGTGAGCCACTGCGCCCAGCCTGTTGCCTTGTACTTCTAAGAGAAACAAATTTACTGGCTAGAGTGCAGCATTTCTGTCCAGTTCGGATAGCTGTTTGAGTGTGAAACCTCACTGAGCTGCACAAACAAGCCTTGTGCATGTGAGTTGGAGTTGGCCCTCGGGCCTCCCGTTTGAGACCCCCAAACCCTGCCTCTCTGTTCTCTGGCTGTGGGAAAGTTGTCAGTTCACACCTCCCTGCAGCCACATTTAAGTTTCAGGGCTGTGAAAAAGGGAATGTGGGCCGGGTGCAGTGGCTCATGCCTGTAATCCCAGCCCTTTGGGAGGTCGAGGCAGCAGGATCACTTGAGCCCAGTAGTTTGAGACCAGTCTGGGCAACATGGCGAAACTCTGTCTCTACAAAAATACAAAAAAAGTAGCTGGGCATGGTGGCGCATGCTACTTGGGAGGCTGTAGTGGCAGGATCCCTTGAACTCGGGGTGGAGGTTGCACTGAGCCAAGATCACTGCGCACTGCACTCCAGCCTGGGTGGCAGAGCCAGACCCTATCTCAAGAAAAAAAAAAAAAAAAAGACCGGGCAGGGTGGCTCACGCCTATAATCCTAGCACTTTGTGAGGCCAAGGCAGGTGGAACACAAGGTCAGGAGTTCGAGACAAGCCTGACCCATATGGTGAAACCATGTCTCTACTAAAAATACAAAAATTATCCGGGTGTGGTGGCGCGTGCCTGTAATCCCAACTACTCAGGAGGCTGAGGCAGGAGAATTGCTTGAACCCAGGAGGTGGAGGTTGCAGTGAGCCCAGATAGTGCCATTGCACTCCAGCCCAGGTGACAGAGTAAGACTCCGTCTCAAAAAAAAAAAAAAAAAAAAAAAGGGCAGGGGGAGTGAGGAGGGTGGGAATGGGAGTGGGTGAAGGGGATCTGAGGGTACCATGGGAGGCAGTTTGCCCTCTCGAAGGTGCAGACCCAGCTCTGCAAGAGCGGGCGCTGGGTGGAGCTGCCTCTGTGGGCGAGGGTGCTGGCAGCAGAACTGGCCCAGCGGGTGTGCTGGCCTAGGCATGCTTCAGGCGGGAGGGCTGCTGCAAGACACAGCAGGAACATAGAGGCCAGGGGTGCCCTGAACCCGGGAAGAGACAGTTTGGCCTGTGGGGTGTGGGAGGAGGTATGGGGTGGGGGCGGGTGGTGGCAATGTCTGGGGCTGATTCCTTATGAGCCCATTGCCCTAATTCTTCTTTGGGGATACAGTGGTGACCAATAATAGCTGCACTGACATTTGTGGAGCTCTCATTGTATACCTTGGCTCTGTTCCAACTGTTCATTTCATCTTCAACAACAGCCTTGGAGTGGGTGCGGTTATCTCAATTTTATTTTTATTTTTTTTTTGAGATGGAGTCTCACTGCATTGCTCAGGCTGGAGTGTAGTGGCGCGATCTTGACTCACTACAACTTCCGCCTGCCAGGTTCAGGTGATTCTCCTGCCTCAGCCTCCGGAGTAGCTGGGACTACAGGTGCGCGCCACCACGCCCGGCTAAGTTTTATATTTTTAGTGGAGATGGGGTTTCACCATGTTGGCCAGTCTGGTCTTGAACTCCTGACTTCAGGTGATCTGCCCACCTCGGCCTCTCAAAGTGCTGGGATTACAGGCATGAGCCACTGCACCTGGCTATTATCTCAATTTTACAGATAAGTCCACTGAGGCTCACAGTGGGTATCACTTGCCTGCCTCAAGACCTTGAGTCCTGTCTCACTCCTGTAATCCCAGCACTTTGGGAGGCTGAGGCAGAAGAATTGCTTGAGTCCAGGAGTTCAAGGCCAGCTTAGGTAACCTGGCGAGACCCTGTCTCTACAAAAAATTTTAAAAAGTAGCCAGGTGCAGTGGCTGGCACCTACGGTCCCAGCTACTCTGGAGGTTGGGCAGAGGATTGCTTGAAGCCTGGAAAGTCGAGGCTGCAGGGAGCTGTGATCACGGCACTGTGCCCCAGCCTGGATGACAGAGTGAGGCGCTGTCTCACAAAAGAAAGAAAAATCAAAAAACTGTGAGCCCTTAACCTTTAGGAATCTGGGCAGAGGGACAGACCTGCCTTCCTGGAGCTGAGGCTCTAGGTCAGAGATACACATTAGGAAAGATGAATAAATAAATGAAATGAACAAGGTGGCCGGGCACGGTGGCTCACGCCTGTAATCCCAGCACTTTGGGAGGGGGAGGCGGGCGATTCATCTGAAGTCAGGAGTTGGAGACCAGCCTGGCCAACATGGTGAAACCCCGCCTCTACTAAAAATACAAAAATTAGCTGGGCGGGGTGGTGCATTCCTGTAATCCCAGCTACTCTGGAGGCTGAGGCAGGAGAATTGCTTGAAGCCAGGAGGCGGAGGTTGCAGAGGCGAAGTTTGCAGTGAGCCCAAATCGCACCACTGCACTCCAGCCTGGGCAATAAAGGGAGATTACAAAAAAAAAAAAAAAGCAAAAGCAAGGTGATTTCAGATAATGCCAACTGCCATTTGAGATGAGGGACAGATCAGGGAAGGTCTCTCTGAGGAGGTGACCAGCTGACCAGCTGGGAAGGGGTGGGGAGAAGGGTGCTCCAGGCCACCTGGCCCCCAAGTTCAAAAGTCTTGAAGTGTGTGTGGAACTCGGAGGAGCCCGGGAGGCAGAAGCAGAGTGGAGCAGAGAGAGGCACAGAAGTAACAGAAAGAGACAAATCAGGACGGCATATGGCCTTGTCCTTGCGGGGTCCTCACTGAGGACTTGATCACTTACTCTGAGAAACACAGGGAGCCACGGGAGGGTTTGGAGCAGAAAAGAAATGTGATCTGAGTTTTAAGAACTGTGGCCAGGAGTGTGGAGTGGCAGCTAGGGATGGGACTCCCAACATCTGTCGAGATCCTGGAGCCTGAGTCCCCAGGGTCCCAATTCGTGGGAAAGAAGTTCAGGGAGGCAGCTGGAGAGGCAGGTTGCTGAGCCCGGGACCCGCAGCCGGAAGAGCCCCATTTTCGAGAGAAGTGAGATTGGCGCCTGGGAGGTGTGAAGCAGCCACCTCCCCACCCTGGGGCGCGGCTTCCCCTTTACAGAAGGAGGTCATTTATTGAGCACCTACTGGGTGCCAGCCACAGCCATGCTGGGAGATCTTCAGGGGTCATCCCAGTGGGCACCATTGGAGTTGGCTTGGTCCACAGGACTGGGGAACCTGGCACTGAAGGGTTAACACCGTCCCACCCTGCGGGTCCCATTGGCTGTGTCTTTGAGCAGAGCAGGCAGGAAAGGTTCTGCCCACCGAGGGAACAGCGGGGGCAGGAGGGCTGGGATCCCCAAGGGGCTACATGGGGGCCTGACCCGGCCTGAGTGCCCCCTGAGTTTCCTCCCACGAGGGTATCCCGGATCCACACTTATTCTCAGCCTCTGGCTCATCTCTCCTGGGGCGCCCTCACCCCACCCGCGGCCAGCAGGGCCTGAAGCATCAGGGGCAAAGGGCACGGTCCTGGAGAAGGTCGCAGCAGCGGGACCCAGCCTCCCTTCCTGAATCTGAGGGTGGAAGAGCTGGGACCGTCTGGAAGTTCCTGGGAAGTCGGGGTGGGGGCGTTTCGGGGCCAGCGGGACTGGTCGTTGGAGGAGCAGTGGCCTGGGAGAGGCGTGGGAGAGCATCACAGACAGCAACAAAGAGACACGCAGAGGCAAAGAGACACGCAGAGACAAAGAGACACGCAGGCGAGAGACTCTGAGATCCTCCTGAGAGAGATACAGAGGAAGTGAGGGAGACACTCATTCATTATCTGGGCATGGTTGCAAGCGACTGGAGTCCCAGCAGCTACGTTCAGCCGGCTGAGATGGGAGGATGGCTTGAGCCGCGGAGGTCGAGACTGCAGTGACTTATGATGTTGCCACTGCACTCCACTCTGGGCCACAGAGCAAGATCTTGTCTCAAAAAAAAAAAAAAAAAAGAAATTCTTACATTGCTGGGGTTTACTGTCTGCTAAGGACACAGCCCAGAAACACCATTAATGAGTAAATCACTTTGTCGTCAGCGATAAGGGTGGGAGAGAATCGGTCGGGGGAACACGGAATCCAGGGGGTGGGACAGGAGAGACCCTCCTTATCTGAGGAGCGGCAAGTTCCCATCACAATCCTGCCCGGGCCCGCCCCACCCCCACTCGCCCTGAGCCGGGGGCGGGAGCGGGAAATTGGGAGGGGCCTGTGCCCGGGAGCAGCGGGAACCTATCTGCTGGTGGGAGAGGACTCAGGCTAAGGTGGCCCCCACTGAAGACTCCTGCTAAGCAACCCACTGAAGACCCCTCCGAATCATCGACGGGGCGTCCTTGGGGTGCAGCCCAGGAAGCTCAGTTCACAGGTGGGTGGGCAATGGGAGGGCGCAGTGCCCGGACACCCAGGACAGAGGAGACCCCTCCGCTGGGGAGAAGAGGCTCAGGCTGCGACCGCCCTGCTGCAGAACCCTCCCTTTCCCGCCTCTCCGAGTCCTCCCACCGCGATGGAGCGTCCCTGGGAGGACAGCCCAGGCCCGGAGGGGGCAGCTGAGGGCTCGCCTGTGCCAGTCGCCGCCGGGGCGCGCTCCGGTGCCGCGGCGAGTGGCACAGGCTGGCAGCCATGGGCTGAGTGCCCGGGACCCAAGGGGAGGGGGCAACTGCTGGCGACCGCCGGCCCTTTGCGTCGCTGGCCCGCCCCCTCGCCTGCCAGCTCCAGCCCCGCCCCCGGAGCGGCGTCCGCTCACTCGGTTCAAGGCAGCGCGACTGCGGGTGGCGCACGACCAGGGCGCAGAGTGAGTGGACTGCACTGGACCTTTGGGGGCGCTGGGCTGGGCCTGACCCGGAGGGGGTCGCCCTGGCGGCCACTTTCCCGGTCTAAAAAGGCGCACCACTCCTTGCAGGGAGTTCTCCGAACTTTTCCTGGAGGCCTCTGGGGAGGGGGAAGCTGGGGGCTCCCCAGCTGGGTGCAGGACCTGGGATACGGGGTGAAGGTGGCTGGAATCCCCTGGCCACCCCCTCCTGGCCGGGCCACTGCAAGTTTCCATACTTCAGTCCTGCTGCCGGGCAAGCTGGGCGGATGGGGTTGGCCTCCCCCTCAGAGCATGTGTAACCCTGTCTCCCTGTATTTGGGCTCCCCACCTCCAGCATGGGTGAGCCAGCGACTTCCTGTCTATGTTTGCCTGCCTTGATTCTCTGTGTGTGACTGAAGCTCTCTGGGATGTCCGCATCCCTGCCTTGTGCAAAAGAGATCCATTCCCCTCCCCAGGCCTTGGCTTTCTCATCTGGACTTGCATGGGGACTATTTGTGCATGGATGTTTGTGTGGGAGCATGGAAACCTTTGCGCCTGCTTCGATACGAAGCATTTCTTTTGAGCTTCAGTTTTCTCATCTGTAAATTAGGACTAAAGGAAGTGGGGATTAATAAGGTCACAGAGGCAGGTGAGGAGTGTTATTACAGTTTAATGACATGTGTGCCCCTCTGTAAGAGTCTGTTTGCCTCTTGTGGATTCTCTCTCCTGTCCTCAGGCTCTGCCTTAGTAAAATGAGTGAATAGGATCAACTTTTTTTTTTTTTTTTTTTTTTGAGACGGAGTTTCTCTCTTGTCACCCAGGCTGGAGAGCAGGGGTGCGATCATGGCTCACTGCAGCCTCGGCCTCCCAGGCTCAAGTGATCCTCCCGCCTCAGTCTCTTGAGTAGCTGGGACTATAGGGGCATAACACCACACCTGGCTAATTTTTAAATTTTTTTGTAGAGATGAAGTCTTAGTATGTTGCCCAAGCTGGTGTCGAACTCCTGGGCTCAAGTGATACTCCCACCTCGGCCTCCCAAAGTGCTGGGATTACAGGCGAAAGCCACTGTGCCTGGCCAAGGAGCAACTTTCTCATGGGGTTTTGGGTGGATGAGGGGGTTTTGGCAGGAAAAAGCTTTGTATGCAGTGAGACAAGAGTGTGGAGTGTGGTGCACTGGGCCCCAGGCTAGTGTGAGTGGAGGTTGTGAAATTGTGGCCTGTGCCACTGGGTGGGAGACCCTGTATTCGTGTGACTGAATTTTGGTCGCTGTGTTTTTCTGCCTGCGTCACTCTGTTCCTGTATGATGTATTTTTTAGTTTCCCTGATAGTGTGTGACTGTGTGTTTTGCCCTTGTAGTGTGTCGCTGTATTTGTGTGTCTCTTTCTGTGTGTGTTGCGTTTGTGTGCGTTCTGTGTGTTTACTGTTACGTCTCTGGAACTCCCTGCTTGTGTGTTTGTGTGTGTGTGTTTGAGACAAAGTCTTGCTCTGTTGTCCTGGCTGGAGTACAGTGGCACAATCAATGCTCACTGACTGCAGCCTTGACCCCGCGGGCTCAAGTGATCCTCTCACCTCAGCTGGGACTCCACTGAGTAGCTTGGACTATAGGCATACACCAACACGTCCCGGCTAATTTTTGTAGAAACGGGGTTCTCCTATGTTGTCCAGGCTAATCTCGAACTCCTGGGCCTCAAACAATCCTCCCGCCTCAGCCTCCCAAAGTGCTGGAATTACAGGAGTGAGCCACCACACCCAGCCGTGTGTGTGTTTGGTGGGGAGGGGGGGTGTTTTGAGACAGAGTCTCGCTCTGCCACCTAGGTTGGAGTGCAGTGATGCGATCTCGGCTCACTGCAACCTCCGCCTCCTGGGTTCAAATGATTCTTCTGCCTCAGCCTCTGGAGTAGCTGGGACTACAGGCACGTGCCACCATGCCTGGCTAATTTTTTGTGTTTTTAGCAGAGACGGAGGGGTTCACCGTGTTAGCCAGGATGGTCTCGATCTCCTGACCTCGTGATCTGCCCCCCTTGGCCTCCCAGGCCTGAGCCACTGCCTCAGGCCTGAGCCTGGGGGGATTACAGGCGGGGATTACAGGCCTGAGCCACCGCGCCCAGCCATGTGTGAACCACCGCGCCCAGCCATTCATGTGTTATTAATGTCCCTTTTTTTGGGACTATGTCACCTTGTTCCCTCGTGATATTATTTGTGTGTATGTCTGTCTCCACGGACTCTATCCCTCCATCCTGAACTCCCCCTTGGACACCATGTATAGGGGGTGATGGTCAGTGGGTAGGGCCCCTTTCCCACGACTTAGCCGGCTGCTGCGAGCGTGCTTACGGGGACCGCGGCCTGACACCGTATCTTGCCTCTCCAACAGCCTTGGGGCGCGCGGCCCATGGAGTCGGGGCTGCTGCGGCCGGCGCCGGTGAGCGAGGTCATCGTCCTGCATTACAACTACACCGGCAAGCTCCGCGGTGCGCGCTACCAGCCGGGTGCCGGCCTGCGCGCCGACGCCGTGGTGTGCCTGGCGGTGTGCGCCTTCATCGTGCTAGAGAATCTAGCCGTGTTGTTGGTGCTCGGACGCCACCCGCGCTTCCACGCTCCCATGTTCCTGCTCCTGGGCAGCCTCACGTTGTCGGATCTGCTGGCAGGCGCCGCCTACGCCGCCAACATCCTACTGTCGGGGCCGCTCACGCTGAAACTGTCCCCCGCGCTCTGGTTCGCACGGGAGGGAGGCGTCTTCGTGGCACTCACTGCGTCCGTGCTGAGCCTCCTGGCCATCGCGCTGGAGCGCAGCCTCACCATGGCGCGCAGGGGGCCCGCGCCCGTCTCCAGTCGGGGGCGCACGCTGGCGATGGCAGCCGCGGCCTGGGGCGTGTCGCTGCTCCTCGGGCTCCTGCCAGCGCTGGGCTGGAATTGCCTGGGTCGCCTGGACGCTTGCTCCACTGTCTTGCCGCTCTACGCCAAGGCCTACGTGCTCTTCTGCGTGCTCGCCTTCGTGGGCATCCTGGCCGCTATCTGTGCACTCTACGCGCGCATCTACTGCCAGGTACGCGCCAACGCGCGGCGCCTGCCGGCACGGCCCGGGACTGCGGGGACCACCTCGACCCGGGCGCGTCGCAAGCCGCGCTCGCTGGCCTTGCTGCGCACGCTCAGCGTGGTGCTCCTGGCCTTTGTGGCATGTTGGGGCCCCCTCTTCCTGCTGCTGTTGCTCGACGTGGCGTGCCCGGCGCGCACCTGTCCTGTACTCCTGCAGGCCGATCCCTTCCTGGGACTGGCCATGGCCAACTCACTTCTGAACCCCATCATCTACACGCTCACCAACCGCGACCTGCGCCACGCGCTCCTGCGCCTGGTCTGCTGCGGACGCCACTCCTGCGGCAGAGACCCGAGTGGCTCCCAGCAGTCGGCGAGCGCGGCTGAGGCTTCCGGGGGCCTGCGCCGCTGCCTGCCCCCGGGCCTTGATGGGAGCTTCAGCGGCTCGGAGCGCTCATCGCCCCAGCGCGACGGGCTGGACACCAGCGGCTCCACAGGCAGCCCCGGTGCACCCACAGCCGCCCGGACTCTGGTATCAGAACCGGCTGCAGACTGACACCCTCGGCCCACGACTGTCTTCCCAAGTTTTACAGACTTGTTCTTTTTACATAAAGGAATTTGTAGGAAATGCAGCCAAAGGTGCAGTCGGAAAAGATGCAGGGGAAATGTATTTATGCAGCGACACCCCACAATGTGAACAAACAGACAAAAAATCTGTGCCCTCGTGGAATTGACGTTCTGCTTGGGAACACAGAAAAGAACTCGGTGATGAAATAATGGAGATGATTCCAGTGACAAACGACAGAGATGGTGATGGTGGTCAGGGAAGACCTCTCTGCAGAGGTAGTGACTTGTGATGTGAGCTGAGACCTCTGTCCTGGGAAGACCAAAAGAAAAGCATTTCAGGATGAGGGAATGGCATGCGCAAAGGCCCTGAGGCTGAAATGTGCCCATGTGTTCTAAGAAATGCAGCGATGCTGGTGTGCCTGGAGCAGGGACGGAGGGGGAGAATGGGAGGAGACAAGGAGCTGAAGGAGTAGTTCCCGAAGGACCTTGTGGGTGATATAGAGGACTTCGCTTTTGCTCTGAGTGAGGTGGGAGCCATAGAAGCTTCTAAGCAGAAGAGGGACTTGCCCTAATTCAGGTGATCACAGGTGTCTTGTGGCCTCCATGGGAGGTTGAAAACCAGAGAAGGTGAAGGGGGGCTGCACTGAGCCACAGGAACAATGATGGAGATTCCAGCTAAGCCCAGACCCCGTGGATTCTAGATAGATTTTAGAGGCAGCAGACAGAATTACTGAGGAATTGAGTGTAAGAGTGGAATAAAGTTATCAAGGACAATGCCAAGGGTGGGGCACCCCCAAATTTGACTCTGGGAGACTCAGCCAAATCCTATCTGGTAATAAAATTTCTTTTTTATTTTTCTTTTCTTTCTTTCTTTCTTTTTTTTTTTTTTGAGTTGGGATCTTGTGCTCTGTCACCCAGGCTGGAGTGCAATGGGCACAATTATAGCTCACTGCAGCCTGGAACTCCTGGGATCAAGCCTGGAGTTCCTGCTTCAGCCTCCCTAGTAGCTGGGACTACAGGCATGCACCACCATGCCCAGTTAATAAAATTTCTTCAAATGCAGTTTCAGATCCTTCATTAAAAGAAATAATAATAATAGGCTGGGTGCCGTGACTCATGCCTCTAACCCCAGCACTTTGGGAGGCAGAGGTGGGCAGATCACCTGATGTCAGGAGTTTGAGACCAGTTTGGCCAACATGGTGAAACCCCATCTCTACTAAAAATACCAAAATTAGCCAAGTGTGATGGCTTACGCATATAGTTCCAGCTACTCGGGAGGCTGAGGCAGGAGAATCCCTTGAAACTGGGAGGCGGAGGTTGCAAAGAGCTGCACTCCAGCCTGGGTAACAAAGTGAGACTCGGTCTAAAAAAAAAAAAAAAAAAAAAAGGATAACAAAATAAGGCCAGACACAGTGGCTCATGCCTGTAATCCCAACACTTTGGGAGGCTGAGGCAGAAGGATCGATTGAGGCTGGGAGTTTGAGACCAGCCTGGTCAACATAGTGAGACCCCATCTCTACAAAAAATTTTAAAAATTAGGCAGTTGTGGTTACGCATGCCTATAGTCACAGCTACTGGGGAGGCTGAAGAAGGAGGATTTCCAGAACCCAGGAGCTCAGGGGCTGCAGTGAGCTATTTTTGCATAACTGAACTCCAGCCTGTGTGATGAAATCATGTCTTTTAGGAAAACATAAGAGGTTTTTTGGTTTCTCTTTTTTTTTTTTTTTTGAGATGGAGGCTCACTCTATCACCCAGGCTGGAGTGCAGTGGCGCAATCTCGGCTCACTGTAAGCTCCACCTCCCAGGTTCACGCCATTCTCCTGCCTCAGCTTCCCAAGTAGCTGGGACTACAGGTGCCCGCCACCAAGCATGGCTAATTTTTTTGTATTTTTAGTAGAGATGGGGTTTCACAGTGTTAGCCAGGATGGTCTTGATCTCCTGACCTTGTGATCCGCCCACCTCGGCCTCCCAAAGTGCTGGGATAACAGGTGTGAGCCACTGCGCCTGGCCTTTTTTTTTTTTTTGAGATGAAGTCTCACTCCGTCACCAGGCTGGAGTGCAGTGCTGCAATCTTGGCTCACTACAACCTCCGCCTCCTGGGTTCAGGCGATTCTCCTGCCTCAGCCTCCCGAGTAGCTGGGATTACAGGCACCGCCACCACACCTGGCTAGTTTTTGTATTTTTAGTAGAGATGGGGTTTCACATATTGATCAGGCTGGTCTTAAACTCCTGACCTCGTGATCTGCCCGCCTCAGCCTCCCAAAGTGCTGGGATTACAGGTAGAGCCACTGTGCCCGGCCGTTTTTTGGTTTCTTTTTGAGATAGGATCTTGCTCTGTCGCCCAGCCTGGAGTACACTGGCATAATCCCAGCTCACTGCAGCCTCAAGTGATCCTCCTGAACTCCTGTGCTCAAGTGATCCTCTTGCCTCAGCCCCCAACCCGAGTAGCTGGGGCTACTGGAGCACCACACCAAACATGTTTTGAATTTTTTTTTAGAGATGATTTCTCACCACGTTGCCCAGGCTGGTCTCAAACTCCTGGGCTCAAGCAACCCACCTTGGCCTCCCAAAGTGCTGGGATAAAGGCCAGGCACGGTGACTCACACCTGTAATCCCAGCACTTTGGGAAGCCGAGGCAGGCGGATCTCTAGAGGTCAGGAGCTCGAGACCAGCCTGGCCAACATGGTGAAACTCCGCCTCTAATAAAAATACAAAAAAAAAAAAAAAAATTAGCCGGGCATGGTGCCGCGCGCCTGTAGTCCGAGCTACTCGGGAGGCTGAGGAGGGAGAATCACTTGAACCCAGGAGGCTGGAGGTTGCAGTAAGTTGAGATCGCGCCACTGCACTCCAGCCTGGGCGACCGAGCAAGACTCCATCTCAGAAAACAAAATAACAATAACAACAACAACAACAACAACGAAGTGCTGGGATACAGGTGTGAGCCTCCACACCCGGCCTAAAGTAAGAGTTCATTTTGTCTGGCTAGTTTTCTGCACAGTTCTGGGACACACCTATTTTTCAGCCTTATAGCAACTTTGCAAGGTAGGTTTCCTAATCCCCATTAGACAGATGAGGAAATTCCAGACAGTGACTACCTTGTCTCAGTGTCTGAGCCAGGACATTAGCTTAAGCTTCAGGCCCCAGGAGGCACTGGCTTGGTATCTGACCCCTCCAGATGGGTCTGGCAAGGCTATGCCAACAGTCCCTCCCACGGGGGTCTGCATTCATGGTTGGAACGATGCCAGGGCGCCGTTTGTGCCCATAAAAGGCTCCAGACGTGCTGGCCCCTGCCCCCGGCATGTCCCCAGGCGCATTCTTGACCCCTGAACGGCTGGATGGGCCCTGGGGCCGGGTTGGGGGGCGTCTGGCTTCGGGTTCAGACTGCAGCGCTCCACCTTCCGGGAAACCTTGGAACTGCAGGCAACCTCAAAAAAAGCGGTGTTTTGGGGACAGGTGTCCCAGACTGGGGGGACCCCAAGTCCCTGCTGGCCACGTTCAGAGTGCCCCTGGAGGCCACACACACGGGAAACCAACCAGTTGGAACACAGGCACACTTGCTTATGAGTTTTCTAGAAAATTTAAAAAGCATCCAGTTCAGCCAGGCGCAGTGGACTCATACCTGTAATCCCAGCACTTTGGGAGGCCGAGGCGGGCGGATCACCTGAGGTCAGGAGTTTGAGACCAGTCTGGCCATCATGGGGAAACCCCGTCTCTACTTAAAATACAAAATTAGCCGGGCATGGTGGCGTGCACCCGTAATCCCAGCTACTTGGGAGGCCAAGGCAGGAGAATCACGTGAACCCAAGAGGCAGAGGTTGCAGTGAGCCGAGCTCATGCCATTGCTCTTCAGCCTCGGCAAAAAGAATGAAACTCCATCTCAAGAAAAAAAAAAAAGCACGCAGTTCCCCTTCCTTGTGGCGATCACAGTGGGACTCCTGGGGACCTTCCAGAGCTAGTCTGTGGATTCACCTTGCCAAAATGAAATGTAAATACACCTCCTGTCTTTTTGTACAAATTTATCACTGTTCTGCATGTTGCTTTGTTGACTTAACAGTATATCTTGGCAGGGCATGTTGGCTCACGCCTGTAATCCTAGCATTTTGGGAGGCTGAGGCAGAAGGATCATTTGAGCCCAGTAGTTGGAGATAGGCCCACACAACATAGGGAGACCCAGTTTCTAGAAATGATTCAAAAATCACCCAGGTGGGCCGGGCATGGTGGCTCATGCCTGTAATCCCAGCACTTTGGGAGGCCAAGGCGGGAGGATTACTTGAGGCCAGGAGTTAGATACAAGCCTAGCCAACATGGTGAAACCCCGTCTCTACTAAAAATGCAAAAAATAGCCAGGCGTTGTGGCAGGTTCCTGTAATCCCAGCTACTCAGGAGGCTGAGGCATGAGAATTGCTTGAACCCAGGAAGTAGAGGTTGCAGGGAGCCGAGATCATGCCACTGCACTCCAATCTGAGTAACAGAGTGAGACACTATCTAAAAAAAAAAAAAAAATCACCCGGGCACAGTGGCACATGCCTATGGTCCCAGACACTGGGGAGGCTGGAGTGGGAGGATCGCCTGAGCCTGGGAGGTCAAGGCTGCAGTGAGCTATGATTGTACAATTGCACTCCAGCCTGGGTGATACAGCAAGACCTGTCTAAAAAATTTTTTTGAAAAGTATATCTTGCAAAAATATTGCACACCCACACATTTTCTTGTTTGTTTGGTTTTTGAGATAGGGTCTTGCTGTGTTGCCCAGGCTGGAGTGCATTTGACACAATTATGGCCCACTGCAGCCTCCACCTCTCAGGCTCAAGCAATACTACTCCTGCCTCAGCCTCCCGTGTAGTAGCTGGGACCAAATATCCCCACACCACACCTGGCTCACAACCACAGAGCTCAAAACCACAACACAGCTCACAACCACACACAGCTAATTTTTTTTTTTTTGAGGCTGGTCTCAAACTCCTGAGCTCAAGTGATTCACCTGCCTCGGCCTCCCAAGTGCTGGGATTACAGACATGAGCCACAGCGCCTGGCAATACCCACACATTTTGTAATGTCTTGCTCTTAGTCAGCTTGGACTGCATAACAAATACCCTAGATGGGGTGGCTTAAGTCCCAGTAATTACTTTTGCATCGTTCTGGAGGGTAGGAAGTCCAATATCAGAATGGCAGCCTGGGGCCGGACACTGTGGCTCACGCCTGTAATCCCAGCACTTTGGGAGGCCCAGGCAGGCGGATCACCTGAGATCAGGAGTTCGAGAACAGCCTGGCCAACACGGTGAAACAGCTGTCTCTACCAAAAATACAAAAAAAAAATTAGCTAGGCGTGGTGGCAGGTGCCTGTAATCCCAGCTACTGGGGAGGCTAAGGCAGGAGAACTGCTTGAACTCAGAAGGTGGAGGTTGCAGTGAGCTGAGATCGCGACATTGCACTTCAGCCTGGATTACAGAGCGAGACTCTGTCTCGGAAAAAAAAAAAAAAAAAAAAAAAAAAAAAGGCCAGGAGCAGTGGCTCGCGCCTGTAATCTCAGCACTGAGGCCGAAGCAGGTGGATCACGAGGTCAGGAATCTGAGACCAGCATGGCCAACATGGTGAAACCCCGTTGCTACTAAAGATACAAAAAATTACCTGGGTGTGGCGGCATGCGCATGTAATCCCAGCTACTCCGGAGGCTGGGGCAGAAGAATCGCTTGAACCCAGGAGTCAGGGGTTGCAGTGAGCGGAGATCACTCCACTGCACTCCAGCCTGGGCGACAGGGCGAGACATGGTCTCAAAAAAAGAGAATGTCAGCATGGTTGTGTTCTAGTGAGGACTCTCTTCTGAGCTTGCAGACAGCCGCTTTCTCACTGTGTTCCCACATGTTGGGGAAAGAAACAGAGAGCAGGTCGGGCGAGGTAGCTCATGACTATAATCCCAACACTTTGGGAGACTGAGGCAGGTGGATCAACTGAGGCCAGGAGTTCAAGATCAGCCTGGCCAACATGGTGAAACCCCATCTCTACTAAAAATACAAAAATCAGCTGGGTGTGGTGGCACACATCTGTAACTCCAGCTACTCAGGAGGCTGAGGCAGGAGAATTGCTTGAACCTGTAAGGCGGAGGTTGTAGTGAGTGGAGATGGCACCACTGCATTCCAGCCTGTCTCAAAAAAAAAAAAAAAAAAAAAAAAGAAAAGAAAAAAGAAAGAGAGAACACTTTCTGGTGTGCTCTTCCTATAAAGACACTAATCCCATCATGAGGTTCCCACCTTCATGACCTCATCTAGACCTAATCGCTTCCCAAAGGCCCCATCTCCAAATACCATTCCATTGAGGGTTAGGGCTGCAACACACGAAAAGGGGGTACGGGTGCATAATTTGGTCCATAGCACTTCTTTTTTTGAGATGCAGTTTTGCTCTTGTTGCACAGGCTGGAGTGCAGTGGCACGATCTCAGCTCACCACAACCTCCACCTCCGGGGTTCAAGTGATTCTCCTGCCTCAGCCTCCTGAGTAGCTGGGATTACAGGTATGCGCCACTACACCTGGCTTATTTTGTATTTTTAGTAGAGACGAGGTTTCACTGTGTTGGTCAGGCTGGTCTCGAACACCTGACCTCAGGTGATCTGCCCGCCTCGGCCCCCCAAAGTGCTGGGATGACAGGCGTAAGCCACTGGGCCTGGCTCTTTTTTTACATTAAAAAAATAGAGGCCTGGTCAGGTACAGTGACTTATGCCTGTAATCTCAGCACTTTGCAGGGCTGAAGCAGGAGGATCACTTGAGCCCAGGAGTTTGAGACCAACCTGGGCAACATAGTGAGACACCATCTCTACAAAAAAGAAATAACTTAGCCAAGTGTGGTGGCATACACCTGTGGTCCCAGCTACTTGGGAGGCTGAGGCAGGAGGATGGCTTGAGCCAGGAGTTCGAGGCTGCAGTGAGCCATGATTGCACTGCTGCACGCCATCCTGGGTGACAGCAAGACCCTGTTAAAAAAAAAAAAAAAAAAAAAGAGGTGGGGCGTGGTGGCTTACACCTGTAATCCCAGAACTCTGGGAGACCAAGTAGGGAGGATCCGTCGAGCCCAGGAGTTCGAGATCAGCCTGGGCAACATGGTGAAGCCCCAGCTCTACAAAAGAAAGAAAAAAAGGGTGGGGGGAAGTTAGCTGGGTGTGGTAGTGAGTGACTGTAGTCCCAGCTACTTGGGAGGCTGGGGCAGCAGGATCACTTGATCTCAGGAGGTCAAGGCTGAAGTGAGCTATGATTGTGCCACCGCACTCCAGCCTGGGTGACAGAGCAAGACCTTGTCTCAAAAAAAGAAAAATAAATAAATAAAATAAAAAAAGAGTCTGGGTGCAGTGGCTCACGTCGGTAATCCCAGCACTTTGGGAAGACGAGGCGGGAGGATCACGAGGTCAGGAGTTCAAGACCAGCCTGACCAACATGATGAAACGCTGTCTGTACTAAAAATACAAAAAATTAGCTGGGTATGGTGGCAGGCACCTGTAATCCTAGCTACTTGGGAGGCTGAGGTAGAAGAATCGCTTGAACCCGGGATGCAGAGGTTGCAGCAAGCCAAGATCACACCACTGCACACCAACCCGGGTGACAGTGCGAGACTCCGTCTCAAAAATAAATAAATAAATAAATAAATAAATAAATGAAAATCGAAAAAGAAAAAGAGAAAAGAAAAAATAGAAGATCTAGGTACATATCCATACAGTAAATGTACTGCTCCTTTTAACTGGCTGCATAGTATTTCTTAGCAAGGATGTGCCACCACTGATTAAGCCAGGGCTCTACAGAGGGACATGTGAATGGGATCCAGTCCTTTTGCCATGATATGCATTATAATGCAATGAATGTGTGCACATGCTTCCTCCTGTATGTGTGCGAGTGCACCTTGGATAAATCTCTACAAGCACCTGGCTCACTGGACCTGTAGGTTTGATTTTGAGAGATATTAGAGAGGTTGTTTTCTGCAACGTGCCAGGAAGGCGCTGGTTACAACCTCGGCCACTCAGCGTGTTCACGGACTATCTAGGCCGCCCCCCTGAGGAGCTGTCTGGAACTGCATCTACACGCAACAAGGATTTGGGGTAGCGGGGTAACTCCAACGTAGCCCTACACGTGATTCCTTCCAGACCCTGAGCCAGGACGTTCAATCTTTCAAATTCACCCTGGAGGCTCCAGGGGCCTAGAGTTTCCATTTATTATTCACTTACATGGCGAAATCCCATCTATCTTTTTTTTTTTTCTTTTCCTTTCGAGACGTAGTCTCGCGCTGTTGCTCAGGCTGGAGTGCAATGGCAGGATTTCGGCTCACTGCAACCTTCACTTACCCACCACCACACCCGGTTAATTTTTTGTATTTAGTAGAGACGGCGGTCTCACCATATTGGTCAGGCCGGTCTCGAACTCCTAACCTCAGGTGATCCACCCGTCTTGGCCTACCAAAGTGCTAGGATTACAAGCATGAGCCACTGCGCCTGGCCTCTCTATCTTTTAAAAATAATTATAATTTGGATGAAATTTAGATGAATTCTTTTTTTTTCTTTTTTTTTTTTTTTTTTTGAGACAGAGTCTCACTCTGTTGCACAGGCTGGAGTGTGGTGGCGCGATCTCTGCTCACTGCAACCTCTGCCTCCCGGGTTCAAGCAATTCTCTGCCTCAGCCTCCCGAGTAGCTGGGGATTACAGGCGCCCGCCACCACGCCCGGTTAATTTTTGTATTTTTAGTAGAGATGGGGGTTTCACCATGTTGGCCAGGCTGGTCTTGAACTCCTGATCTCGTGATCCACCCACCTCGGCTCCCAAAGTGCTGGGATTACAGATGTGAGCCACCGCACCCAGCCTAGATGAATTCTTTAAAATAAACTTACATACATTTATTTAAAAGTTAACGTTACATGATAAACGGTGTGCATGACAAATCAGTATCCCCAGTCATGAAAAATAGCAATGGTTTCTGTCTCTTGGGAGCCAGCATTCGCATTTAATATTTTTATTTTTTATTTACTTATTTATTTTTTTGAGTCAGAGCCTCGCTCTGTGGCGCAGGCTGGAGTGCAGTGCGGTGATCTTGGCTCACTGCACGCTCCGCCTCCCGGGTTCACGCCATTCTCCTGCCTCAGCCTCCTGTGTACCTGGGACTACAGGCGCCCGCCACCACGCCCGGCTAATTTTTTGTATTTTTAGTAGAGACGGGGTTTTATCATGTTAGCCAGGATGGTCTCGATCTCCCGACCTCGTGATCCGCCTGCCTCGGCCTCCCAAAATGCTGGGATTACAGGTGTGAGTCACCGCGCCCGGCCCCGCATTTAGTCTTAATGATAATCTGGTAGGTAGGTGCTATTATATTATTACTTTTTATAGAGAGGAAACTGAACCATAGAGAACTAAGTAAGCGCCCACGGGCACTGAGCTGGTAAGAGGCAGATCCAGGGTTTGAACCCCCCAAAGACGGGTGCCACACGCCTCTTGATAGGAAGTAAATCAAAAATAAAGACAAGGAAGGCCGGGCGCGGTGGCTCACGCCTGTAATCCCAACACTTTGGGAGGCCGAGGCGGGCGGATCATGAGGTCAGGGGTTTGAGACCATCCTGGCCAACATGGTGAAACCCCATCTGTACTAAAAATACAAAAAATTAGCTGGGTATGATGGCGGGCGCCTGTAATCCCAGCTACTCGGGAGGCTGAGGCAGAATTTTTTGAACCCGGGAGGCGGAGGTTGCAGTGAGCCAAGATCGAGCTACTGCACTCCAGCCCAGGTGACAGTGAGAGACTCTGTCTCAATTAAAAAAAAAAAAAAAAAAAAAAGACAAGGAAAACCTGAGGCCTGGGCACAGCGCCTCACACCTATAATCCCAGAACTTTGGGAGGCCAATGGAGTCAGGATCTCTTAAACCCAGGTGTTCAAGACCAGCCTGGGCAACATTGCGAGACCCCATCTCTACAGAAAAACAAACAAACAAACAAAAACTAAAAATTAGCCGGGTGTGGTGGCGCCTGTCTGTGGTCCCAGCTACTCAGGAGGCTGAGGTGGGAGGATCGCTTGAGGCCAGGAGCTCAAGGCTGCAGTGAGCCGCGATTGCGCCACTGCACTCCAGCCTGGGCGTGCAGATCAGAGCGAGACCTTGTCTCTAAAGGAAAAAAAAAAAGAAAGAAAGAAAGAAAAGAAAAGAAAAGAAAACCTAGCGAGGTAGATAATTTTCCCTAGATCCTGCGGCCGCCGGACCACGAGGCCGGCGCTGTGCGTTGTTAAAAGGAGAATAGCAGATGGTGGCGCGCAGCCCCGCGAGGAGACATCCAGCAACGAAATCGGGAGATGGAAGGGACAGTGAGAAGGGGGGCCTGGCTGTGCGCCCCCGCCCGATGCCCCACTCCTCGCCGACGGGCGCCGGGCACCTGCGGGAAGGGCGGGAGAATCGCCGCTCCTTTCCCGCCGCGCCCTTTCCGCCCTCTCCCCGCCTCCTTTTCGGGCGTCCCGAGGCCGCTCCCCAACCGACAACCAAGACCCCGCAGGCCACGCAGCCCTGGAGCCGAGGCCCCCCGACGGCGGAGGCGCCCGCGGGTCCCCTACAGCCAAGGTAAGGCAGGAATCTCCTGGACTGGGTCGCGGTCCCCCGGCTTCCCGGAAGCGCAGTGCGCGGGTGGCATCACTGTGCCCGGAGCCCCTGCGCGCCCCGGCCATCCCCACCCCGAGGGACCCCCTACGGAGGCGACCTGGGGGCTGAGGTGAGCGCTTGGGCAGCAGCGACGGGGAGGGGTGTCCACCCCACCCCTGGTGCGGGCCGGGGCGCGCAGGCCTGGAACTCGGGGTTCAGACTCCCCGCGACTCGGACCACGCGGCTAAGCGCGCTCAGGGTCGCGTGCCCCCGCCCCGCCGCCATGCTGGGCGCCGTGGTGGCCGCGCAGCTGGGCGACAGCAGGCGTGGGCGGGGGTGGGGAGCGGCCCCTCAGCGGTCCCTACCGCCTGAGGCCAGGGCCCGGGGACTTTTATTGTGACACGGCGGGCGCCCGGCTCTGCTTAGTCATGGTGACCTGCGCGCGCTCCGCGCCTCCCCCACGCGCAGCGATGGAGGCGCCGGGGCTCGGGCGGTGGAGGCGGAGCCGGAGCGCGGCCATGGCGGGGTGAGTGAGGCGGGATGTGCCCGGGCTGCGGGCATCGCGGGCCGCGAGCGCCCCTGCGGCCGTGCCCGGAGACCAGGAAAACGGGCGCCACGGCCCAGGGCGCCTCCGAGTTCCCCGCCAGGACTCGGAGGGCCAGGAGGGCGCGACCTGGGTGGATATTTTTGTTGGACGGCGCAACTCTTGGGGTGGCCCGGGAGCGGCGGAAACCGAGCGAGAGAACCAGGAGGCGCTGCGCAGAAGGAGGCCCGGGGGCTCCGAGGCGTTGAGGGGCTCGATCTGCGTTCTGGGGTTGGCAGCCGAGAGGCCGCGGTGGGGTCACTTCCTCGCCTCACTGGGCCTGGTGGAGGCTCAGGAGGGGCATGCGCAGTCGCCCACTTGCCGCTTTGTAGGGTGGGGGAAGTGCCCGGTGCCCAAGGGGCATTGTTGACCGATTGGCCAAAGACCAAGAGGCAAACCCAGGGCCTTGGCACCAGAGTGGGGGCCGAGTGGCACCCAGGGAGGGTGGAGGAGGCCGCTCTGGCAGGCACGGTGGCAGGGCAGTTAGCCAACCACCCGTTTATTGACCCCTGCGCAGTGCCAGGCCCCAGGCGAGAGGCACAGGAGAGGGTTGGCCCGACGCCGACCTACATAGGTCTCCCTGCCATTTGAGGCGCTGGGGCCGGGGACGAGAGACAGTCGATCAACAGACAAGCAAAGGAGGTCATTTCAGTTCCTGACAAGCGCAGTGATGACAATAAAACAGGGAAGAGGAGACTTTGAGTTGAGTCCCAGAAAGAGGGGAGTGAGAACTTGCAGATCCACTTGTGGGGAGCCACTTGGAGATCCCCCACTCCTTTTGAAACGTAACTCACGTCTGGGCACAGCAGCCTATGCCTGTAATCCCAGCATTTTGGGAGGTCGAGGAGGGGGATCACTTGAGGCCAGGAGGTTGAGACCACCCTGGCCAACATGGTGAAATCCCATCTCTACTAAAAATACAAAAAATTAGCCCATCGTGGTGGCTGGTGCCTGTAATCCCAGCTACTCAGGAGGCCGAAGTATGAGAATATCTTTTTTTTGTTTTATTTGAGATGGAGTCTTGTTCTGTCACCCAGGCTGGAATGCAGTGGTGCGATCTCGGCTCACTGCAAGCTCTGCTTCCTGGGTTCACGCCTTTCTCCCGCCTCAGCCTCCCATGTAGCTGGGACTACAGGCGCCCGCCGCCACACCCGGCTAATTTTTTTGTATTTTTAGTAGAGATGGGGTTTCACCATGTTAGCCAGGATGGTCTCGATCTTCTGACCTTGTGATCCGCCTGCCTCGGCCTCCCAAAGTGCTGGGATTACAGGCGTGAGCCACCACGCCCGGTCGAGAATATCTTGAACTCGGGAGGCAGAGGTTGCAGTGAGCCAAGATCGCACCACTGTACTCCAGCCTGGGCAACAGAGCGAGACTCTGTCTCGAAAAACAAAACACAAAACACATAACTCATCTCCTGGCCCTCCAGGATCCAGGGGTTTCCATGAAACCCTTCCTTAAGTCCTTAGCTCTCACTGCACTCCTTCCCAATTCTCCAGATTGACTGTCTCAGCCTCTGAGCCACTGCACTTACTGTTTCCTCTGCCTGGAAAACTACTCCCCAGCCTCCCACTTTATAATAATTTTCATCCTTGTCTCAGCTCCAACCTCACCTTCTCAAAGAGGCTTGGTCTGCCAGATTTTAAAAAACTGCACCCCGGGTCAGGCATGGTGGCTTACGCCTGTAATCCCAGCACTTCGGGATGCCAAGGCGGGCGGCTCACTTGAGGTCAGGAGTTTGAGACCAGCCTGGCCAACATGGCGAAACCCAGTCTCTGCTAAAAATACAAAAACTAGCCGGGTGTGGTGGCGGACGCCTGTAGTCCCAGCTACTCGGGAGGCTGAGGCAGGAGGATCGCTTGAACCCGGGAGGCGGAGGTTGCAGTGAGCCAAGATCGAGCCATTGCACTCCAGCCTGGGTGACAGAGAGACTCCATCTGAAAAAAAAAAAAAAAAAAGCAAACAAACTGCACCCGATTCTCACGTTGTCACAATGCTGTTGTAATTTTCTTCATGAAGCTGTTTTTCCAGGTCTTGCTTATTTTAGTTTATGATTGCTCCTCCCTGCAGTTGTCAGCTCTGGCAGGGTAGGATTTTTGTATTTTGCTCACTGCTGTGTCTTCAGCACCCAGATCAGTGCCTGGCATACAGTAGGTGCCCAGTAAATGGTGAGGCAAATGAAGGAATGAGCTCAACATGCTCTAGAAAGGGAAAGGCCGCCAGATTGCTGAAGCAGAGTGATCAAAGGGAAGAGGTGGCAGGGGCTAATTGCGTAGGGCTTTGCAGGCTGTTGAGGAGTTCAGTTTTACTAGGTACTGTGGGAGGCATTGGAGGATCCAGAGCAGGGGAGAGACATGACTTCATGTATGTTTTAAGATGGGCTCTTGGGCCAATCAGGTTGATCAGGTCGGGGAAGTTTGCAAGTTTGCAAATGGATTCTGCTTCACCTACTTTGCAGGAAAACTGACCTAGGAATTGCTTTATCTTGCAAAACGAGGCCCGGCAGGTGCTGGCCCAGTCCCAACCCCTGCCCTCTGCCCTGTGCTCTCTCCCCTCCAGGTCCCTGAGTGCCAGAGGTGGTGGTGTTGCTTATCTTCTGGAACCCCATGCAGCCAGATCCCAGGCCTAGCGGGGCTGGGGCCTGCTGCCGATTCCTGCCCCTGCAGTCACAGTGCCCTGAGGGGGCAGGGGACGCGGTGATGTACGCCTCCACTGAGTGCAAGGCGGAGGTGACGCCCTCCCAGCATGGCAACCGCACCTTCAGCTACACCCTGGAGGATCATACCAAGCAGGCCTTTGGCATCATGAACGAGCTGCGGCTCAGCCAGCAGCTGTGTGACGTCACACTGCAGGTCAAGTACCAGGATGCACCGGCCGCCCAGTTCATGGCCCACAAGGTGGTGCTGGCCTCATCCAGCCCTGTCTTCAAGGCCATGTTCACCAACGGGCTGCGGGAGCAGGGCATGGAGGTGGTGTCCATTGAGGGTATCCACCCCAAGGTCATGGAGCGCCTCATTGAATTCGCCTACACGGCCTCCATCTCCATGGGCGAGAAGTGTGTCCTCCACGTCATGAACGGTGCTGTCATGTACCAGATCGACAGCGTTGTCCGTGCCTGCAGTGACTTCCTGGTGCAGCAGCTGGACCCCAGCAATGCCATCGGCATCGCCAACTTCGCTGAGCAGATTGGCTGTGTGGAGTTGCACCAGCGTGCCCGGGAGTACATCTACATGCATTTTGGGGAGGTGAGCGGGGAAGTGGGGCTGGGGGCAGTGTCAGGAGAAGGACCAGGGATGGACGAGTGCTCATCACTGTCTCCCCTTGAGATGTCAAGGCAGGAAACTGGAGAAAAAGGAGGTTCTGGGCTGGGTATGGTGGTGTAGTCTCCACAGTTTGAGGGGCTGAGGCGGGGGGATTGCTTCAGGCCAAGAGTTCAAGACCAGCCCAGGCAACATAATGACACCCTGTCTCTAAACAAACAAACACACAAACAAAAAACAACTGGGGCCGGGCGTGGTGGCTCATGCCTGTAATCCCAACACTTTGGGAGGCCGAGGCAGGTGGATCACCTGAGGTAAGGAGTTCAAGACCAGCCTGGCCCACATAGCTAAAACCCATCTCTACTAAAAATATAAAAATTAGCCAGGCCTGGTGGCGGGCGCCTGTAGTCCCAGCTGCTCAGGAGGCTGAGGCAGGAGAATCGCTTGAACCAAGAGGTGGAGGTTGCAGTGAGTGGAGATCGAGCCACTGCACTCCAGCTTGCGCAACAGAGCAAGACTCAGTTTCAAAAAAAAAAAAAATTAAAAAACAACTGGGGTTCTGAGTTCCTTGTCTACACATGTGGGGAGACTGGTGAACAGCTGGGGAAGGTGAGGTCTTCATATGTCTCTGGGCTCCCTGGTTTCTCTGGGGTCAAAGTGGGGCAGAGTGCAGTGAACAGCAGCCAAATCCTAGGGTAGCCCAGCCTTTCGGGCAGTCAGCAAATGTTTATTGGACACCCGTGACAGGCTGCAAGCTGTAAGTCTGAACCTTAGTCATGTTTTCTTTGGTCCACACAATGTCCTTATACTGTTTTTGGTTTCGTTTTCACATTTCTCAGTGAAGGAAATTATCTATAGAAATTGACAAGAGAGGGCAGGGCCCAGTGGCTCACGCCTGTAATCCCAGCACTTTGGGAGGCTGAGGCGGGTGGCTCACCTGAGGTCAGGAGTTTGAGACCAGCCTGACCAATATGGTGAAACCCCATCTCTAATAAAAATACAAAAAAAGAAAACTAGCCGGGTGTAGTGGCATGTGACTATAGTCCCTGCTACTCGAGAGGCTGAGACAGGAGAATCGCTTGAACCGGGGAGGTGGAGGTTGCAGTGAGCCGAGATCGCACCATTGCACTCCAGCCTGGGCGACAGAGCAAGACTCTGTCTCAAAAAAAAAAAAAAAAAAGCCTGGGCGCGGTGGCTCATGCCTATAATCCCAGCACTTTGGAAGGCCAAGGTGGGCAGATCACCTGCGGTCGGGAGTTCAAGACCAGCCTGACCAACATGGAGAAACCACGTCTCTATTAAAAATGCAAAATTAGCCTGGCATGGTGGCTCATGCTTGTAATCCCAGCTACTCAGGAGGCTGAGGCAGGAGAATCGCTTGAACCCGGGAGGCGGAGGTTGCAGTGAGCTGAGATTGCGCCATTGCACTCCAGCCTGGGCAATAAGAGCGAAACTCTGTCTCAAAAAAAAAAGAAAAAGTTTTTGAAGAGATGAGGTCTTGCTCTGTCCCCAGGCTGGAATACAGTGGTGCCATCATAGCTCACTGTAGCCTCCAACTCTTGGGCTCAAGGAGGCCTCCTATCTCAGCCTCCTGAGTAGCTGGGACTATAGGTATGCAGCACCACGCATGGCTAATTTTTTAGTTTTTAAATTTTTTTGTAGAGACAGGGTCTTGCTATGTTGCTGAGACTGGTCTCGAACCTCCTGGCTTTGAACAATCCTCTGGCTTTGGCCTCCCGTAGTGTTGGGATTACAGGTATGAAGCACCATACCAACACCAGGCCAAGAAGTGTTTATTGAGCACTTGCTGTGGGCCAGCCCCTGTTCTAAGTGATTTATGTCCTTTGCATCATTGACTGTTCCCAACTGTCCTATGAGGCAGTACTACCCTTCAGCCTAGGCAAGCAGGGCAGTGCCCCAGGCCCTAAGCCTTCGGGAGTCCCATGTCTTGGTGTTCCTTCCTGGAAATTTTCTAAGTCCCCCACTGGCTGGTACCAGCTGGGATGGATGTTACACTGATCTCTATTTCTCTCCTTCAGGGATAGATTCTTTCCTACCCTCTATGTTACATGTGGGGTTGATCAGACGCCCCAGGGTTCTCTGGCGTTAGTCCTAGGGCCTGCAGCTTCTAGGAAAGTGGTCTATACAGTAGGAGAAACATATACAGTGTTTCTTTCTTGTGTTTGTATGAACATGGGGTACTAGATTAAAACTGATTACATAGACGAGTGCCTGACAACTTTTTTTTTTTTTTTTGAGACGGAGTCTCACTCTGTCACCCAGGCTGGCATGCAGTGGCACTGTATCGGCTCACTGCAACCTCCATCTCCTGGGTTCAAGCAATTCTCCTGCCTCAGCCTCCCAAGTAGCTGGGATTACAGGTGCCTACCACTATGCCCAGCTAATTTTTAAAAAATATTTTTAGTACAGATGGGGTTTCACCATGTTGGCCAGGCTGGTCTCGAACCCCTGAGCTCAGGTGATCTGCCTGCCTTGGCCTCCCTAACTGTGCTGGGATTACAGGCATGAGACACTGCGCCCACGCCCGCCCCCCACCGCCCAGTCCTTTTTTGTTTTTGAGACTGAGTCTGGCTCTATCGCCCAGGCTGAAGTGCAGTGGCAAGATTTCGGCTCACTGCAAGCCTCCATGTCCTGGGTTCAAGCGATTCTCATGCCTCAGCCTCCGAAGTAGCTGGGATTACAGGGGTGCACCACCACGCTGGCTAATTTTTGTATTTTTAGTAGAGACAGGGTTTCACCATGTTGGCCAGGCTGGTCTGGAACTCCTTACCTCACGTGATCCGCCCACCTCAGCCTCCCAAAGTGTTGGGATTACAGGCTTGAGCCACCACGCCAAGCCCCCTTTTTTTTTTTTTTGGGGGTGGGGGACAGAGTCTCACTCTGTCATCAGGCTGGAGTATAGTGGCATGATCTCGGCTCACTGCAACCTCCGCCTCTCGGGTTCAAGTGATTCTCATTCCTCAGCCTCCCAAGTAGCTGGGATTATAGGCATGTGTCACCATGCCCAGATAATTTTTGTATTTTTTGTAGAGATGGGGTTTCACCATGTTGGTCAGGCTGGTCTTGAACTCCTGACCTCAAGTGATCCGCCCGACTTGGCATCCCAAAGTGCTGGGATTACGTGTGTGAGCCACCGCACCTGGCCTTTTTTTTTTTTTTTTCTTTTTTTAGAGACAGGGTCTCACTCTGTCACCCAGGCTGGACTTCAGTGGCACGATCTCTGCTTATCACAAACTCCAGCTCCTGGGCTCAAGTGATCCTCCCACCTCAGTCTCCTGAGTAGCTGAGACTACAGGCGTGAGCTACCATGCTTGGCTAATTTTTATATCTTTTCTTGGTAGAGATGAGGTCTCGCTATGTTGCCCAGGCTGGTCTTAAACTCCTGGGCTCAAGCAATCTTCCCGCCTTGGTCTCCCAAAGTACCAGGATTACAGGCGTGAGCCACCACACCTGGCTACAAGAAATATTTATCCAGGGCTCTGTATACCCTAGAAGTAGCCTTACTTTGAGGTGGCCATTAATATAATCCCATTTTACAGAGGAGGAAAACCAAGACATGGAGCATTTCAGAGATTTGCCCAAGTTACACACCTACGAAGTGGTCGGATCAAAATTCCAACTCATGCTGGTTTCTTCGGAGCTTCCACTTTTTTTTTTTTTGGAGATGGAGTCTCACTCTGTTGCTCAGGCTGGAGTACAGTGGCACAATCTCAGCTCACTGCAATCTCTGCCTCCTGGATTCAAGCGATTTTCCTGCCTCAGCCTCCTCAGTAACTGGGATTACAGGTGCCCACCACCACAGCTGGCTAATTTTTTTGTTTTTAGTAGAGACGGGGTTTCACCGTGTTGGCCAGGCTGGTCTCGGACTTCTGACCTCAGGTGATCCGCCTGCTTTGGCCTCCCAAAGTGCTGGGATTACAGGTGGGAACCACTGTGCTGGCCCAGAGCTGTCACTTGTTTTTTTCCACAACATTCTATTGTGATTGCTTATTTTTTCCTTTTTTAGTCTATTTGCCATTTTAGAAAATGATTTCATTTTAAAAAACAAGATGGGTGAGTTGGCTCGTGCGTATAATCTCAGTGCTTTGGGAGGCTGAGGCAGGAGAATCACATGAGCCCAGGAATTTGAGGTTACAGTGGCACCTCTGCACTCCACCATAGGTGACAGAGCAAGACCCTGTCTCTTAAAAAATAAACTCAGACATCCCATCTCTACTAAAAATACAAAAATTAGCCGGGTGTGGTTGTGCGTGCCTGTAGTCCCAGCTACTCAGGAGGCTGAGGCTGAGGCAGAAGAATCATTTGAACCCGGAGACAGAGGTTGCAGTGAGCCGAGATCACGCCACTGTATCCAGCCTGACGACAGAGTGAGACTCTGTCTCAAAAAAAAAAAAGAAACAAAAGAGGCCGGGCGCGTTGGCTCACGCCTGTAATCCCAGCACTTTGGGAGGCTGAGGCAGGCGGATCACGAGGTCAGGAGATCGAGACCATCCTAGCTAACATGGTGAAACCCCGTCTCTACTAAAAATACAAAAAATTAGCTGGATATGGTGGTGGGCACCTGTAGTCCCAGCTACTCGGAGGCTGAGGCAGGAGAATCGCATGAACCTGGATGGCAGAGCTTGCAGTGAGGCAAGATCGTGCCACTGCACTCCAGCCTGGGCGACAGAGCGAGACTCCATCTCAAAAAAAAAAAAAAAAGAAACAAACAGAAAACTCAGAGGCCAGGCGCGGTGGCTCAGGCCTGTAATCCCAGCACTTTGGGAGGCCGAGGCAGGCAGATCACCTGAGGTCAGGAGTTCAAGACCAGCCTGGTTAACACGGTGAAATCCCGTCTCTACTAAAAATACAAAAACAAAAATTAGCCGGGTGTGGTGGTGGGCGCCTGTAGTCCCAGCTACTCGGGAGGCTGAGGCAGGAGAATGGCGTGAACCCGGGAGGTGGAGCTTGCAGTGAGCCGAGATTGCACCCCTGCACTCCAGCCTGGGCGACAGAGCGAGACTCCATCTCAAAAAAAAAAAAAAAAAAAAAGCCAAGCCAGGTATGGTGATGCACACCTGTAATCCTCAGGAGGCTGAAGTAGGAGAATCATTTGAGCTCAAGAGTTTAAGACCAACGGCCGGACACGGTGGCTCATGCCTGTAATCCCAGCACTTTGGAAGGCAAGGGGGTGGGCCACTTGAGGTCAGGAGTTCCAGACCAACCTGGCCAACATGGTGAAACCCCGTCTCTACCATAAAAATATGAAAATTAGCTGTGCGTGGTGGCACACACCTGTAGTCCCAGCGACTCAGGAGGCTGAGGTGGGAAGATCGTTTGAGCCCAGGAGTTCAAGGCTACAGTGAGCTATGATTGTGCCACTGCACTACAGCCTAGGTGACAGAGCAAAACTGTGTCTCAAAAGCAAAAACAGGCCAGGTCCGGTGGCTCACGCCTGTAATCCTAGCACTTAGGGAGGCTGAGATGGGCAGATCACCTAAGGTCAAGAGTTCAAGACTGGCCAGGCGAGGTGGCTCACGCTTGTAATCCCAGCACTTTGGGAGGCCGAGGCGGGCGGATCACGAGGTCAGGAGATCAAGATCATCCTGGCTAACACAGTCACCCCGTCTCTACTAAAAATACAAAAAATATTAGCCAGGCACGGTGGTGGGCCCCTGTAGTCCCAGCTACTCGGGAGGCTGAGGCAGGAGAATGGCGTGAACCCGGGAGGTGGAGCTTGCAGTGAGCCGAGATAGCGCCACTGCAGTCCGGCCTGGGCAAAAGAGCGAGACTCCATCTCAAAAAAAAAAAAAAAAAAAAAAGAGTTTGAGACCAGCCTGGCCAACATGAAGAAATGCCATCTCTACTAAAAATACATAGTGAAACTCCGTCTCTACTAAAAATAAATACAAAAAAATGGCCGGGCGCGGTGGCTCACGCCTGTAATCCCAGCACTTTGGGAGGCTAAGGCGGGTGGATCACAAGGTCAGGAGATCGAGACCATCCTGGCTAACACGGTGAAACCCCATCTCTACTAAAAAAATACAAAAAAACTTAGCTGGGCGTGGTCGCGGGCGCCTGTAGTCCCAGCTAATCGGGAGGCTGAGGCAGGAGAATGGCGTGAACCCAGGAGGCGGAGGTTGCAGCAAGCGGAGATCGCTCCACTGCACTCCAGCCTGGGCGACAGAGCAAGACTGTCTCCAAAAAAAAAAAAAAAATTAGCTGCTCTGGAGGCACACTCCTGTAATCCTAGCTACTTGGGAGGCTGAGGCAGGAGAATCACTTGAACCTGGGTGGCGGAGGTTGCAGTGAAGCAAGATCACACCACTGCACTCCAGCTTGGGCAACAGAGTAAGAATCCATATCAAAATAAAATAAAATAAAATAAAAATTAACGGGGCATGGTGGTAGGTGCCTGTAATGTCAGCTACTTGAGAGGCTGAGGCAGGAGAATTGCTTGAACCTGGGAGGCAGAGGTTGCAGTGAGCCTAGATCATGCCACTGCACTCCAGCCTGGGTGACAGAGTGAGACTCTGTCTCAAAAACCAAAGCCAAATGATACCCCAGGGTACACGATCTACTGAGTCTTTGCCCATTTTCCTGAGTCCTGATGACATACTTGGCACATAGTATTAACTCTTTTTTTTTTTTCTTTGAGACAGAGTCTTGCTCTGTCGCCCAGGCTGGAGTGCAGTGGCGCAATATCGGCTCACTGCAACCTCCGCCTCCCGCCTCCCGGGTTCAAGCGATTCTTCTGCTTCAGCCTCCCGAGTAGCTGGGACTAGAGGCGTGTGCCACCACACCCGGGTAATTTTTGTATTTTTAGTAGAGATGGGGTTTCACCATATTGGCCAGGCTTGTCTCTCAACTCCTGACCTCGTGATCCGCCAGCCTCGGCCTCCCAAAGTGCTGGCATTACAGGCGTGAGCCACCGCGCCCGGCAGGATTAACTCATTTAGTCATCACAATGTACGCGGTTCCTATTATTTGAATCCCCATTTAGCAGATAAGGAAGCTGAGACTGTCAGCGGCAGTGATAAGTTACTTGTCCCGGTCCTGCTTGGTGAGGTGTGGGGGTGACTGGAGAGTCAGCCCGTCCCACTGTCGCCCTCTGCAGGTGGCCAAGCAAGAGGAGTTCTTCAACCTGTCCCACTGCCAACTGGTGACCCTCATCAGCCGGGACGACCTGAACGTGCGCTGCGAGTCCGAGGTCTTCCACGCCTGCATCAACTGGGTCAAGTACGACTGCGAACAGCGACGGTTCTACGTCCAGGCGCTGCTGCGGGCCGTGCGCTGCCACTCGTTGACGCCGAACTTCCTGCAGATGCAGCTGCAGAAGTGCGAGATCCTGCAGTCCGACTCCCGCTGCAAGGACTACCTGGTCAAGATCTTCGAGGAGCTCACCCTGCACAAGCCCACGCAGGTGATGCCCTGCCGGGCGCCCAAGGTGGGCCGCCTGATCTACACCGCGGGCGGCTACTTCCGACAGTCGCTCAGCTACCTGGAGGCTTACAACCCCAGTGACGGCACCTGGCTCCGGTTGGCGGACCTGCAGGTGCCGCGGAGCGGCCTGGCCGGCTGCGTGGTGGGCGGGCTGTTGTACGCCGTGGGCGGCAGGAACAACTCGCCCGACGGCAACACCGACTCCAGCGCCCTGGACTGTTACAACCCCATGACCAATCAGTGGTCGCCCTGCGCCCCCATGAGCGTGCCCCGTAACCGCATCGGGGTGGGGGTCATCGATGGCCACATCTATGCCGTCGGCGGCTCCCACGGCTGCATCCACCACAACAGTGTGGAGAGGTGAGTGGCAGGGCCTGGGGGTGGGCTCGGAGGGTCCTGCTCCTGGCAAGTCCCAAGACACTGAGATCCGGGTATTCTTCCTGAGGCTGTTTCCTCTTCCTGTCTTCAGGGAGTGGAGGCCTCAGGATGAAGCTAAGCTCCTTGGAGAGTTCTAGTCAGTGACCTTTGATTCTGTGCCTGGGGCTGGGAAATGCTTAGGGGACTGTCACAAACCCATATGGTTCCTTTGTGCGGAGTTGGAAAATGTTCCATCAGTTTGAAATTGTTGGGCTAGGCACTGTGGCCCATACCTATAATCAGGGACTTTGGGAGGCTGAGGTGGGAGGATTGCTTGAGTCCAGGAGACTAGCCTGGGCAATAGAGTAAGACCCTGTCTCTCTTGCTCTGTTGCCCAGGCTGGAGTGCATCTTGGGTCACTGCAACCTCGCCTCCCAGGTTCAAGTGATTCTCCTGCCTCAGACCCTGGGGTAGCTGGGACTACAAGTACCCACCACCACGCCTGGTTAATTTTTGTATTTTTTGTAGAGATGGGGTTTCACCATGTTGGCCAGGCTGGTCTTGAACTCCTGTCCTCAAGGGATTCTCCCACCTCAACCTCCCAAAGTGCTGCGATTACAGGTGTGAGCCACTGTGCCGGACCTAAAGGACTCTTTGAGCATCAAAGAGTGATGCTGAATGTGTGATTTCTCCTTTCTGAGATGTTATCTTGTTATCTGTGAAGTGGGGGATCTGGCTGAGCCACTAGGGGTTTATCAGATGTGTTTTTGAACTTGAGCAATTGATGGCTAGGAGGCTCAGTTTTGTCATTTGGAAAATGGAGTTGCTGATACCTCAATCCTTGGAGAACAACTGCAAGCACTAGAGTTCGAGTGGAGGTGGGCACGGTGGTGTGCACCTGTAGTCCCAGCTACTCAGGAGGCTGAGCCAGGAGGGTTCCTTGAGCCCAAGAGTTGATAGCTGCAGGCTGGGTGTGGTGGCTCATGCCTATAATCCCAGCCCTTTGGAAAGCTGAGGCAGGCAGATCACTTGAGGTCAGGTGTTTGAGACCAGCCTGGCCAACATGGCGAAACCCAATTTCTACTAAAAATACAAAAATTAGCCGGGCGTGGTGGTGGGTGCCTGTTATCCCAGCTACTTGTGAGGCTGAGGCTGAATAACTGCTTGAACCCAGGAGGTGGAGGTTGCAGTGAGCCATGCTCTCACCATTGCACTCCATCTCAAAAAAAAAAAAAAAAAAAAAGTTTGAAGCTTCAGTGATTGCACCACTGCACTCCAGCCTGGACAACGGAGCAAGACCCTGTCTCTTTTTTTCTTTTTTTTTTTTTGAGATGGAGTCTCGCTCTGTTGCCCAGGTTGGAGTGCAGTGGCATGATCTCAGCTCGCTGCAACCTCCGCCTCCCAGGTTCAAGTGATTATCTCGCCTCAGCCTCCCGAGTAGCTGGGATTACAGGCATCTGCCATCACACCCAGCTAATTTTTGTACTTTTAGTAGAGACAGGTTTTTACCATGTTGGCCAGGCTGGTCTCAAACTCCTGAGCTCAGGTGATCCGCCCTCCTCGGCCTCCCAAAGTGCTGGGATTACAGGCATGAGCCATCGCGCCGGATGAACCTGTCTCTTTAAGGGGGAAAAAAAAAAGGAAAAAAAAGAGTATCTGGCCCTTAAGTATTCCACGAAGGTCAGCTATAATGGCCATTGTCCCCATTTTTCTTACGCCCTTGCAGGTATGAGCCAGAGCGGGATGAGTGGCACTTGGTGGCCCCAATGCTGACACGAAGGATCGGGGTGGGCGTGGCTGTCCTCAATCGTCTCCTTTATGCCGTGGGGGGCTTTGACGGGACAAACCGCCTTAATTCAGCTGAGTGTTACTACCCAGAGAGGAACGAGTGGCGAATGATCACAGCAATGAACACCATCCGAAGCGGGGCAGGTGGGTGGGGACGGTAGGGAGGGGAGCACCCAGGAACACCCCCTACCATCCTGGGGTGAAACTGAGCCAGGCCTGGGAGAGACCCCCTGTTGCAACCCTCATGCTGGGGTAACCACAGAAGCCCTGGATTCTGATAGAGTCCAAGCTTCTCTCTCTCCCCGCTTCATTTCTGAGGGTGAGAAGGGAGAGGAGAGAGGAAAGGTCTCCCTCAAGGAGGTGATGGCTGGGGTTCCCAAAGCCAGACCCCCAGAGTCACCTTCTCTGCATGGTGCCCTTTAGGCGTCTGCGTCCTGCACAACTGTATCTATGCTGCTGGGGGCTATGATGGTCAGGACCAGCTGAACAGCGTGGAGCGCTACGATGTGGAAACAGAGACGTGGACTTTCGTAGCCCCCATGAAGCACCGGCGAAGTGCCCTGGGGATCACTGTCCACCAGGGGAGAATCTACGTCCTTGGTGAGGCCCTGGGGGCGGGGAAGAGTCCTGACTAGCCCATCTTTTGTGGACTGCTTTTGCTTTTGCTTTCCTTTTTTTTTTTTTTTTTTTTTTTTTTAGAAACAAGGTCTCGCTCTGTTGCCCAGCTGGAGTGCAGTGGTGTGATCACAGCTCGCTGGAGCCTCAACAGCCTGGGCTCCAGCCATCCTCCTGCCTCAGCCTCCCAAGTAGCAGGGACCACAGGCGCGCACCACCACACCCGGCTAATGTTTTTTTTCTTTTGAGATGGTGTCTCACAGTGTTGCCCAGGCTGGAGTGCAATGGCATGATCTCAGCTCACTGCAACCTCCACCTCCTGGGTTCAAGCGATTCTCCTGTCTCAGCCTCCTGAGTAGCTGCGACTACAGGCACATGCCACCACACCAGGCTAATTTTTTGTATTTTAGTAGAGACAGGGTTTCACCATGTTGGCCAGGATGGTCTCGAACTCCTGACCTCGTGATCCACCTGCCTCGGCCTCCCAAAGTGCTAGGATTAGAGGCATGAGCCACCGCGCCCGGCCTGTTTTGTTTTTTGTTTTGTTTTGTTTTGTTTTGTTTTTTGAGACAGAGTCTCAGTCTGTTGCCAGGCTGGAGTGCAATGGCACGATCTCAGCTCACTGCAACCTCCGCCTCCTGGTTTCAAGTGATTCTCCCCCATCAGCCTCCCAAGTAGCTGAGATTACAGGCGCCTGCCACTATGCCCAGCTAATTTTTGTATTTTAGTAGAGATGGGGTTTCACCATGTTGGTCAGGCTGGTCTTGAACGCCTGACCTCAGGTGATCTGCCCACCTCAGCCTCCCAAAGTGCTGGGATTACAGGTGTGAGCCACCGCGCCCAGCTTAATGTTTTTGTTTATTTTTATTTTATTTTATTTTATTTTTTTGAGACAGAGTTTTGCTCATGTTGCCCAGGCTGGAGTGCAATGGCGCAATCTTGGCTCACTGCAACCTCTGCTTCCCAGGTTCAAGTGATTCTCCTGTCTCAGCCTCCTGAGTAGCTGGGAATACAGGCACGTGCCACCACGCCTAGCTAATTTTTTTTTGAGATGGAGTTTCACTTTCGTTGCCCATGCTGGAGTGCAATGGCTCGATCTCGGCTCACTGCAACCTCCACCTGGCAGGTTCAAGCGATTTTCCTCCCTCAGCCTCCCGAGTAGCTGAGGTTACAGGCATGCGCCACCACGCCCGGCTAATTTTGTATTTTTAGTAGAGAAGGGTTTTCTCCATGTTGGTCAGGCTGGTCTCGAACTCCTGACCTCAGGTGATCTGCCCGCCTCGGCCTCCCAGAGGGATGGGATTACAGGTGTGAGCCACCATGCCCGGCCAATTTTGATTTTTAGTAGAGACGGGGTTTCACAATGTTAGCCAGGCTGGTCTTGAACTCCTGACCTCAGGTGATCCACCTGCCTCAGCCTCCGAAAGTCCTGGGATTACAGGCATGAGCCACTGTGCCCGGCCTTTATTTTATTTTATTTTTATTTTTTTATTTTTTGTTTATTTATTTATTTATTTATTTTGAGGTGGAGTCTTGCTCTGTCACCAGGCTGGAGTGCAGTGGCACAATCTCAGCTCACTGCAACCTCCGCCTCCCGGGTTCAAGCGATTCTCCTACCTCAGTCTCCCAGGTAGCTGAGATTACAGGCGTGCATCACCAATCGCATCTAATTTTGTATTTTTAGTAGATACAGGGTTTCACTCTGTTGGCGAGGCTGGCCTCGAACTCCTGATCTCAGGTGATCTGCCCGCCTCGGCCTCCCAAAGTGCTGGGATTGCAGGCATGAGCCACCGCGAGTGGCCTATTTTCCTATTTTTATTTATTTATTTTGAGATAGGGTCTCACTCTGTTGCCTAGGCTAGAGTACAGTGGTGCAGCCTCTGCTCACTGCAACCTCTGCCTCCCAGACTCAACTGATCCTCCCCACCTCAGCCTCCCTAATAGCTAGGACTACAGGCGCGCACCACCAAGCCTGGCTAAATTTTTATGTTTTTTTGTAGAGATGGGGCTTCACCATGTTGCCCAGGCTGGTCTCAAACTCCTGGACTCAAGTGATCCACCCACCTCAGTCTCCCAAAGTGCTGGGATTATAGGCGTGAGCTACCAAGCCTGGCCATTTTTTTTTTTTTTTTTTTTTTTTAGTAAGAGACTAAGGTTTTGCTATGTTGCCCAGGCTGGCTTCGAACTCCTGGCCTCAAGCAATCCTCCTGCCTCAGCCCTGCAAAGTGCTAGGATTATAGGCGTGAGCCACCACGCCCGGCCTGCTTTTGCATCTCACAGCTGCATCTCTCTCTTTCTGTCCCCTGCTCTTGGATGTGGTGTGACAGGTGGTGACCATCCCTTCTGTTCTTCCCGCAGGAGGCTATGATGGTCACACGTTCCTGGACAGTGTGGAGTGTTACGACCCAGATACAGACACCTGGAGCGAGGTGACCCGAATGACATCGGGCCGGAGTGGGGTGGGCGTGGCTGTCACCATGGAGCCCTGCCGGAAGCAGATTGACCAGCAGAACTGTACCTGTTGAGGCACTTTTGTTTCTTGGGCAAAAATACAGTCCAATGGGGAGTATCATTGTTTTTGTACAAAAACCGGGACTAAAAGAAAAGACAGCACTGCAAATAACCCATCTTCCGGGAAGGGAGGCCAGGATGCCTCAGTGTTAAAATGACATCTCAAAAGAAGTCCAAAGCGGGAATCATGTGCCCCTCAGCGGAGCCCCGGGAGTGTCCAAGACAGCCTGGCTGGGAAAGGGGGTGTGGAAAGAGCAGGCTTCCAGGAGAGAGGCCCCCAAACCCTCTGGCCGGGTAATAGGCCTGGGTCCCACTCACCCATGCCGGCAGCTGTCACCATGTGATTTATTCTTGGATACCTGGGAGGGGGCCAATGGGGGCCTCAGGGGGAGGCCCCCTCTGGAAATGTGGTTCCCAGGGATGGGCCTGTACATAGAAGCCACCGGATGGCACTTCCCCACCGGATGGACAGTTATTTTGTTGATAAGTAACCCTGTAATTTTCCAAGGAAAATAAAGAACAGACTAACTAGTGTCTTTCACCCTGGCTCTGGGCTGGAGGCCTGAAACCGGGGGCCAGAAAGGGCTCTTCTTCTGAAACACACTCCTCTTTGACTTAGGGCTGGTATTTGAAACCAGTTTGTAATCTTTGCCCATCGCATTTTTATATGTAGGGCATCTTTCTCCCCGTAGGCAAGCCACACAGTTGTCCTTCAGTTTCAGCTGCCTTGGAAGACAAGCAGCTAATTCCTAGTCACATCTCCTAGGGCTCCCCAAGGTCATTTTTTTTTTTTTTTGAGATGGAGTTTTGCCCTTGTGGCCCAGGCTGAAGTGCGATGGCGGGATCTCAGCTCACTGCGACCTCTGCCTCCTAGGTTCAAGTGATTCTCCTGCCTCAGCCTCCCGAGTAGCTGGGATTACAGGCATGTGCCACCACGCCTGGCTAGTTTTGTATTTCAGTAGGATTTCTCCATGTTGGTGAGGCTGATCTCAACTCCTGACCTCAGGTGATCCGCCCACCTCGGCCTCCCAAAGTGCTGGGATTACAGGCGTGAGCCACCATGCCCGGCCTACTTTTTTTTTTCAAGACGGAGTTTTGCAACCTCCTCCTCCAGGGTTCAAGCGATTCTCCTGCCTCAGCCTCTCGAGTCTCTAGGATTACAGCTGCGCACCACCACACCCAGCTAATTTTTGTATTTTTAGTAGAAACAGTGTTTCACCATATTGGCCAGGCTGGTCTCGAACTCCTGACCTCAAGTGATCCACCCACCTTGGCCTCCCACAGTGCTGGGATTATAGGCATGAGCCACCACGTGCAGCCTGGTAAATTTAGACACAACCAAAGGTATCACCCTTTTCCTTCCTCAATAGTTCTTCTCTTTCAAGTTTTTCTTTTTTTTTCCCAGAGACAAGGTCTTGCTCTGTTGCCCCGGCTGAAGTGGAGGGATAGTAGCTCACTTCAGCGTTGAATTCCTGGGCTCAAGTGATCCTCCCACCTCAGCCTCCTCAGTAACTGGGACTACAGACATGTGCCACTATGCCCAGCTAATTTTTGTATTTTTTATAGAAATGAGGTTTTGCCTTATTGCCCAGGCTGGTCTTGAACTCCTGGGCTCAAGGGATCCCCTGACTCGGCCTCCCAAAGTGCTGGGATTACAGGTGTGTGTCACCTTGCCTTGTAATGTAGTATTATTTACTTAGGAATGAGTTAAGTACTGGAAACCTGAAATGCTGAAATTGGGCAGAATTGTCAAGACTGTTGACGTTAGAATGATCATGATAACATTTCACAGCAGACCACTTTAGTTGTATAATTTAAAATTCATGGCTGGGCGCAGTGGCTCACGCCTGTAATCCCAGCTCTTTGGGAGGCCGAGACGGGCGGATCACAAGGTCAGGAGATCGAGACCATCCTGGCTAACACGGTGAAACCCCGTCTCTACTAAAAATACAAAAAAAAAAAAAAATTAGCCGGGCGCAGTGGCTGGCGCCTGTAGTCCCAGCTACTTGGGAGACTGAGGCAGGAAAATGGCGTAAACCCAGGAGGCAGAGCTTGCAGTGAGCCAAGATCGCGCCACTGCACCCCAGCCTGGGCTACTGAGCGAGACACCGTCTCAAAAAATAATAATAATAAATAAATAAATAGATAAAATTCATAGGCTGGGCCAGGTGTGGTGGCTCCTGCCTATAATCCCAACAGTTTGGGAGGCCAAGGTAGGTGGATTGTTTAAGCTCAGGAGTTGGGAGGCCAGCCTGGACAGCGTAGTGTGACCCTGTCTCTACTAAAAAATACAAAAATTATCTGGGGGTGCTGGTGCACGCCTGTAATCCCAGCTACTCAGGAGGCTGAGGCACGAGAATCACTTGAACTCGAGAGGCAGAGGTTGTGGTGAGCCAAGATCGCGCCGCTGCACTCCAGCCTGGGCAGCAGAGTAAGACTCTGTCTCAAAAATAAAAATAATAAATAAGTAAAATTCACAGGCTGTCCAGGTACAATGGCTCATGCCAGTAATCACAACTCTTTGGGAGGCTGAGGCGGGAGGTGACTTGAGCCCAGGAGTTTGAGGCTGCACTGAGCTATGACTGCACCACTGCACTCTAGCCTGGGTGACACAGCAATACCCCTGACTCTAAAATAAAATAAGGCTGGGTGTGGTGGCTCACGCCTGTAATCCCAGCACTTTGGGAGGCTGAGGCAGGCGGATCACCTGAGGTCAGGAGTTCAAGACCAGCCTGGCCAACATGGTGAAACACTGTCTCTACTAAAAATACAAAAATTAGCTGCCCGTGGTGGCATGTGCCTGTAATCCCAGCTACTCGGGAGGCTGAGGCAGGAGAATCGCTTGAACCCGGGAGGTATAGCTCTGGGATGAATACCCTCAGGGCAGAGTCAGGAAGTTCCATCTAAAAGGCAGACAGCACCCTCTTGTGGGCCTCTGGGTGAAAGAGGCCCAGAGAAAGAAAGTTAGAAAAGGAACTATTTCCAGAGAAAGAAAGTTAGAAAAGGAACAAGATTGGATGAGCTCCTGGCTTGTTCCTATTTTTAAAAGTAGCATTCTCCGGGCCAGGTGGGGTGGCTCACGCCTGTAATCGCAGCAATTTGGGAGGCCCAGATGGGTAGATCACCTAAGCTCGGGAGTTCTAGACTAGCCTGACTAACATGGAGAAACCCTGTCTCTACTAAAAATACAAAATTAGCCGGGCGTGGTGGCACATGCCTGTAATCCTAGCTACTCGGGAGGCTGAGGAAGGAGAACCGCTTGAACCCGGGAGGTGGAGGTTGTGGTAAGCCGAGATCTTAACCACTGCACTCCAGCATGGGCAACAAGAGCAAACATCTGTTTCATTCTTCAAAACTTTGGACCAAATGATATTTCTTATAAATCAAATAAAAGTGCACATGCTTTGAGGGAGTTCCCTATTTAAAGGACTCGCCCTCCTGCAAGCACCAGCACCCTATCCACTGCTCAGGGTTGTAACTAATTTTATGGCGCAAACTTTTTTTTTTTTTTTTTTGAGACAGAGTCTCGCTTTGTTGCCCAGGCTGGAGCGCAGTGGTGTGATCTTGGCTCACTGCAACCTCTGCCTCCTGGGTTCGAGCGATTCTCCTGCCTCAGCCTTCCAAGTAGCTGGGACTACAGGCATGTGCCACCATGTCCCGCTAATTTTTGTATATTTAAGTAGTGGCAAGATTTCACCATATTGGTCAGGGTGGTCTTGAACTCCTGACCTCGTGATCTGCCCGCCTCAGCCTCCCAAAGTGCTGAGATTACAGGCGTGAGCCACCGCGCCCGGCCTGTGGTGCCACCTTTTATTTATTTATATTTATTTTATTTATTTTATTTTTTTTGAGACGGAGTCTGGCTCTGTCACCCAGTTTGGGGTGCAGTGGCGCAATCTCGGCTCACTGCAAACTCCGCCTCCCGGGTTCACGCCATTCTCCTGCCTCAGCCTCCCGAGTAGCTGGGACTACAGGCGCCTGCCACTACGCCGGGCTAATTTTTTGTATTTTTAGTAGAGTTGGGGTTTCACCGTGTTAGCCAAGATGGTCTTGATCTCCTGACCTCGTGATCCGCCCGCCTCGGCCTCTCAAAGCGCTGGGATTACAGGCGTGAGCCACCGCGCCCGGCCGGTGCCACCTTTTAAAGCAGGAACACTCTTTTTAGACTACATGTCCCAGGATCCTCCGGGATTAAGCAATTATCTTGATAAGGGTGGTAAGAAAAGGAAACCGAATCTCCTAGTGCCAACTTCAGTTGCCTCAGCCTTCATTTACGCTCAGCTTCAGGGGCCTGAAAGACTAATAATTACATTACCCAAGAAGTTGGTTTATTTTTCCCTCAAGTCTCAACTATCCTACATGGGGTCTCTTTTATTTCTACCCTACATCCGTCTACTCCTCACATGTCATCCTACCTGGCCGTCTCTCAGTTTATTTTTTTATTTTTATTTATTTTTTCGAGACAGAGTGACTCTGTTGTCCAGGCTGGAGGGCTATGGCCAGATCAAGGCTCACTACTACAGGCATGACCTCCCAGTTTTAAGTGATCCTCCCACCTCAGTCTTTCAAGTAGCTGGGACCACAGGTGTACGCCACCAAGCAGGCTATGTTGCCCAGGCTGGTCTTGAACTCCTGACCTCAAGAGTTTCTCCTGCCTCAGCCTCCCAAAGGGCTGGGATTATAGGCATAAGCCAAAGCACCTGTCCCCCTTCACTCAGTTATTTTATTTTTTATTTTTTTTGAGATGGAGTCTCGCTCTTTCTCCCAGGCCGGATTGCAGTGCCGCTATCTCGGCTCACTGCAAGCTCCGCCTCCCAGGTTCATGCCAGTCTCCTGCCTCAGCCTCCCGAGTAGCTGGGACTACAGGTGCCCGCCACCGCGCCCGGCTAATTTTTTGTATTTTTAGTAGAGACGGGGTTTCACCGTGTTAGCCAGGATGGTCTCGATCTCCTGACCTCATGATCCGCCCTCCTCGGCCTCCCAAAGTGCTGGGATTACAGGCGTGAGCCACGGCACCTGGCCTTTCACTCGATTAATCTTTATGAATATTTTAAGTTTCCCTTTCTTTTTTTTGAGACGGAGTCTCGCTCTGTCGCCCAGGCTGGAGTGCAGTGGCGCGATCTCAGCTCACTGCAAGCTCCGCCTCCCAGGTTCACGCCATTCTGCTTCAGCCTCCCGAGTAGCTGGGACTACAGGCATCAGCCACCTCGCTCAGCTAATTTTTTGTATTTTTTTTTTAGTAGAGACGGGGTTTCACCATGTTGGCCAGGATGGTTTCGATCTCCTGACCTCCTGATCTGCCCTCCTTGGCCTCCCAAAGTGCTGGGATTACAGGCATGAGCCACCCCCCAGCCTCTTTTTTTTTTTTTTTTTTTTTTTTTTTTTTTTGAGACAGAGTTTCGCTCTTGTTACCCAGGCTGGAGTGCAATGGTGTGATCTTGGCTCACTGCAACCTCTGCCTCCCCGGTTCAAGCAATTCTCCTGCCTCAGCCTCCCGAGTAGCTGGGATTACAGGCATGCACCACCACGCCTGGCTAATTTTGTATTTTTAGTAGTGACGGGGTTTCTCCATGTTGGTCAGGTTGGTCTCGAACTTCTGACCTCAGGTGATCTGCCCACCTCGGCCTCCCAAAGTGCTGGGATTACAGGCGTGAACCACCGTGCCTGGCCCTTAAGTTTCCTTTTTTTTTTTTTTTTTTTTTTTTGAGACGGAGTCTCGCTCTGTCGCCCAGGCTGGAGTGCAGTGGCGCGATCTCGGCTCACTGCAAGCTCCGCCTCCCGGGTTCACGCCATTCTCCTGCCTCAGCCTCCCAAGTAGCTGGGACTACAGGCGCCCGCCACTACGCCCGGCTAATTTTTTGTATTTTTAGTAGAGACGGGGTTTCACCATTTTAGCCGGGATGGTCTCGATCTCCTGACCTCGTGATCCGCCCGCCTCAGCCTCCCAAAGTGCTGGGATTACAGGTGTGAGTGAGCCACCGCACCTGACATTTTTTTTAAAATGTAAATCTGTGTGGAAGTGTCTCAAAAATTAATATTGCCTCAGTGAATGAAATAATCAGAGACTTGTTTTGTCTGCCTTAACTGAGTATATATAAAAGTTGTTTTAAAATTTTGTATTTGACCGGGCGCGGTGGCTCACACCTGTAATCCCAGCACTTTGGTAGGCCGAGGTGGGCGGATCACGAGGTCAGGAGATCGAGACCATCCTGGCTAACACGGTGAAACCCCGTCTCTACTAAAAATACAAAAAATTAGCCGGGCGTGGTGGCAGGCACCCATAGTCCCAGCTACTCGGGAGGCTGAGGCAGGAGAATGGCGTGAACCCGGGAGGCAAGAAAAAAAAATTGTTGTTGACTGGCAAATTCTTTTTATTTATTTATTCTTTTTGAGATGGAGTCTCACTCTGTTGCCCAGGCTGGAATGCAGTGGTGTGATCTCGGCTCACTGCAACCTCCACCTGCTGGGTTCAAGCGATTCTCCTACCTCAGCCTCCTGAGTATCTGGGATTACAGGCCCATACCGCCACTCCCGGCTAATTTTTGTATTTTTTAGTAGAGGCGGGTTTTCACCATGTTGGCCAGGCTGGTCTCGAACTCCTGATCTTATATGATAACCTCGGCCTCCCAAAGTTCTGGGATTATGGGCGTGAGCCACTGCGCCCGGCCCTAAATGATTTCTCATGTGGCATAGTGAGTTCCTTCATCAGCTAGTTTCGGTTTCTTCCCATCTTCATGGGGTGAGCTGAGTCTTTTGCCTTCCCGTCTGCTCAATTGGGGGCAAGGGAGCACAGGGGGGTCTTTGGGCCTTCTATCTATGGGTGCCACAGAAGCGTTTGCAGGGGTCGGCCTTAAACTGGAAAGGAGGAAGGGACTGATCTCAGAAAAAGGGGGGATGACAGATGCCTTCTGAGTGTGGGGAGGACAACGATAGGAAACACTCTGGAAACGGGGAACAGCACCAGGCCCCTTCTCGGGAAGAAGAAACAACGCTGGGGAGCCTTGAGGAAGGGGGGACGGCTCTGGCTCTGGGGTCTCCTCAGGAGGGGATAATGGCATGGGGGTCCCCGCCAGAAAGAGGGGATGATGTCCGGGTTTCCCGCGGGAAGAAAGGACAATGCGGTGCTGGCCATCAGGACAGGGTAGTGACAGCAGGGTCCCCTCAAGAAGGGCGGATGACGCCAGGATCCCCCTCAGGAAGTGAGGACGACTCTGGGGTCACTCAGAAAAAAAGGGATGACGCCAAGTGTCCCCTTCTGGAACGGGCGACTGGTGTCAGGATATTCTCAGGAAAAGAAGGACGACGCTGGGGTCTGCCGAAGAGACTAGGAACGACGCTGGGGCCACTCTCAAGACGTTGTGAGGCCTGGATCCCCTCAACCGCTTCGGGGTCCGGGGCTCCCGCTATCGCTCTAGCGCCTTTGGCTCCGCACGCCTCACTTCGCTCAGCTCTCGGCTTCCACCAGCGAGGCGACCGCGCCTCTCATTGGCTGCCTTTTCAAGTGATGACAATTACACCAGCCAATCGTAGTCGGGAAAAAAACTCCCGCTCGTTCTCGCCTCGCCTCCCCCCTCGTTCTGCGAGTGCGCTGGGTCCCTATTCTGCTGTAGCCCGCCCCCCCGCCCCTTAGCCCTACTCTAGGGGGCGCTCACGGGCTCCGACTCCCAGCCCTACCTCCTTCCCTGCCTATGCCTGTGACCCTTTTTATAATAATAGTACTTACTTAATAGGGCTGTTGTGAGCATTTACCTCGATGATTTACGTAAAACAAACAGTGCTTGTCACATAACAACCTCTCGGTAAACCTAAGCTATTGTTATTTGGATTTTACAATGGGGGAAACTGAGGCATGGTTTCCCCCCTTGGCCAGTAACCTGCCCAGACTAACCCAGCCATTAACTTGGCTGAGTTGGAGCCAAAATCCAGGAAAGCTGAATCTAGAATCTGTGTGCTTATCCACCACGTTTTTGTGCCTCCCAGATAATAAATACCAGATGTTTTTCATTTCCCCTGATTATAAAATAACTTTCTGATTATAAAAGTAATATAGACTGGGTGCAGTGACTCACGCCTGTAATCCCAACACTGAGGCAGGAGGATCGCTTGAGCCCAGGAGTTTGAGACCAGCTTGGGCGACATAGTGAGAACCCATCTTTACAAAAAGTTTTTTTAAGTAGCTGGGGGCAGGGGCAGGTGCCTGTCAGCTATTTGGGAGGCTGAGGCAGGAGGATTGCTTGAGCCTGAGAGGTCGAGACTGCAGTCAGCTGTGATTGCACCACTACACTCCAGTCTGGGTGACAAATGAGACCCTGTCCCAATCAATCGATCATCAATGAATGTAATATATGCTCATTGCAAAATGTTCAGAAAATGTCAAAGACTACACAAGACACAGATCTTTCTTTTTTAAAAAATTATTTTAGTATTTATTGATCATTCTTGGGTGTTTCTCGGAGAGGGGGATTTGGCAGGGTCATAGGACAATAGTGGAGAGAAGGTTAGCAGATAAACATATGAACAAAGGTCTCTGGTTTTCCTAGGCAGAGGACCCTGCGGCCTTCCGCAGTGTTTGAAGACACAGATCTTTCTTAATCCCACCACTGGAGACACTGTGAATATCTGGATGGGTAACTGCCTTTTCTCTGCATGTTACTTTTCAGTAGGATCATATAATACAGAATATTTTGAAACCTGCTGTTCTGACTGTGAATATCTCTGGCCATTTCAATAAACATAGATCCACCTGATTTTTTTTTTTTTTTTTTTTTTTTGGAGACGGAGTCTTGCTCTGTTGCCCAGGCTGGAGTGCAGTGGCACAATCTCGGCTCACTGCAACCTCGGCCTCCTGGGTTCAAGCAGTTCTCCTGCTTCAGCCTCCCGGGTAGCTGGGACTATAGGCGCATACTGCCACGCCCGTCTAATTTTTTGTATTTTAGTAGAGACAGGGTTTCACTGTGTTGCCCAGGCTGGTCTCGAACTCCTGAGCTCAGGCAATCCACGAGCCTCGGTCTCCAAAAGTGCTAGGATTACAGGCGTAAGTCACTGCGCCCAGCCCACTTGATCATTTTTAATGGTTGCATATTATTCCATCATATAGGTGAAAAGTAATTTAATAACTCCTTAATAGTGGTCACCTGGATTATTAATAATTCTTCACTATTCTGACCAAGGAGAATAGAGACATTTTTTACTTTAGATATTTGAGCATTTGCATCTTTGCATCTTTTTTTTTTTTTTTTTTTTAGACAGTCTCACTCTGTCACCCAGGCTGGAGGGCAACGGCACGATCTCGGCTCACTGCACCCTCCACCTCATGGGTTCAAGCGATTCTCCCACCTCAGCCTCTGGAGTAGCTGGGATTACAGGCACCCACCATCATGCCTGGCTAATTTTGTTATTTTTGTGGAGATGAGGTTGGTTTCACCATGTTGGCCAGGCTGGTCTTGAACTCCTGACCTCAGGTGATCCTCCCACCTTGGCCTCCCAAAGTACTGGGATTACACGCATGAGCCACCGTGCCTGGCCAAGCAGTTGCATCTTTAAAAAAATATTTTTTGGCCAGGCACGGTGGCTCATGCCTGTAATTCCAGCACTTTGGGAGGTCGAGGCGGGTGGATCATGAGGTCAGCAGCTCGAGACCAGCCTGGCCAAGATGGTGAAACCCTGTTTCTACTAAAAATACAAAAATTAGTCGGGCGTCATGGCGCATCCCTGTAGTCCCAGCTACCTGGGAGGCTGAGGCAGGGGAATTGCTTGAACCCGGAAGGCAGAGGTTGCGGTGAGCTGAGATCGTGCCATTGCACTCCAGCCTGGGCGACAAGAGCGAAACTCCGTCTAAAAAAAAAAAAAAATTTTTGGCCGGGCACTGTGGCTAACGCCTGTAATCCCAGCACTTTAGGAGGCCAAGGCGGGCGGATCACCTGGGGTCAGGAGTTCAAGACCAGCCAGGACAACATGGTGAAACCCCATCTCTACTAAAAATAAAAAAATTAGCCGGGCGTGGTGGTGGGTGCCTGCAGTCCCAGCTACTTGGGAGGCTGAGGCAGGAGAATCGCTTGAACCCGGGAGGCCGAGGTTGCAGTGAGCCAAGATCACACCATTGCACTCCAGCCTGGGCAACAAGAGTGAAACATTGTCTCAAAAAAAAAATTTTTTTTAGAAACATGTCTCAGGTCTAGGTGCGATGGTTGACACCTGTAATCCCAGCACTTTGGGGGGGCGAGGCAGGAGGATCGCTTGAGTCCAGGAGTTTGAGAACAGCCTGGGCAACATGGCGAGACTCCATCTCTACAAAAGAGCAAAAAAAAAAAAAAAAAAAAATTTAGCCTGGCATGGTGGCAGATGCTTCTAATACCAGCTACTTGGGAGGCTGAGTTGGGAGGATCACCTGAGCCTAAGGAGGTTGAGTCTGCAATTAGCCACTGCAGCCTGGAGCCTGGATAACAGAGTGAGATCTTGTCTCGAAAGAAAGAAAAGAAAGAAGGAAGGAAGGAAGGAAGGAAAGAAGGAAGGAAGGAAGGAGAGAAAGAAAGAAAGAAAGAAAAAGAAAGAAAGAAAGAAAGAAAGAAAGAAAGAAAGAAAGAAAGAAAGAAAGAAAGACAGACAGACATGTCTCACTATGTCACCCAGGCTGGTTTTGAATTCCTAGGCTTAAATGATCCTCCCACCTCAGCCTCCAAAAGTGCTGAGATTCCAGGCAAGAGCCACTGCGCCCAGCTGGTTATGTTTTTGATAAATATTGTCAGACCATTCCTGGAAAGCTGTATGTTCTAGCTTGCACGAACAGAAATGAGCTGTGAAAATGCTTTGCAAAAGAAAATAAAAAATAAATGTCTTATTTTGATTTGCATTGACTTTTTTTTGTTGTTGTTTGAGATGGAATTTCACTCTTGTTGCCCAGGCTGGAGTGCAGTGGCATGATCTCAGCTCACTGCAACCTCCACCTTCCAGGTTCAAGGGACTATCCTGCCTCAGCCTCCCGAGTAGCTGGGATTACAGGTGCCCGCCACCACGTCCAAAGTGCTGGGATTACAGGCGTGAGCCACCACACCTGGCCGGCACTGACACGTTTTTATGCTGTTAGAGAGGGAGAAATACTACCTACATCTCAAGATTTCGTGCACCTGAAATAACATAAAAGTATGGGGACAGCTATCACTGTTGAACAGGCACTGGGTGAAGCGAGGTCCTCGTCTTATTTCCTCGAATTTTCTCCATATTGTGCGATCTCATCCCAGCCCTCAGTTTCTTCAATTGCAAAATGGAACCAATGCTAGTCCATATCTCAAGAACAGCTGGAGAGTCAATGAGATAATCTTAAAAAGTTTAGCACAGGATAGAGCCCTCTAAAGTCTGGGAGAGGCGGAGCCATTTGCTCAAGACCAGTACCAGGAAGCCTGCAAGCCTTGATGTCAATTTCAGATAATGAACCGACTCCACTCCTTCCCCAGGTTCCCCTGGCCTCCTTCAGATTACGTGGCCTCCCTGCTGTGCCCCACTGCCCTTGTTCACCTTTGCTGGAAAAAAGGTGAATTCCCCACCCTGGAGAGCCAGCTGATGGTCATGTGTCATTGCCATTTTTTTTTTTTTTTTTTTTTTTGAGACAGAGTTTCACTCTTGTTGCCCAGGCTTGAGTGCAATGGCACAATCTCCACTCACTGCAACCTCTGCCTCCCGGGTTCAAGCGATTCTCCTGCCTCAGCTTCCTGAGTAGCTGGGACTACAGGTGTGTGCCACCATGCCTGGATAAGTTTTGGGGTTTTAGAGAGACGGGGTTTCTCCATGTTGGCCAGGTTGGTCTCGAACTCCTGACCTCAGGTGATCCACCGGCCTCGGCCTTCCAAAGTGCTGGGATTACAGGCGTGGGCCACCGCACCCGGCCATCACTGCCATTTTTGACCCATATTTTCAGTCTGTCCCAATACAGGAGGTGTTCCGAACATCACATCTGCCCTTTTTTTAAAAAAATTTTTTTTTTTTGAGACGGAGTCTTGCTGTCGCCCAGGCTGGAGTGCAGTGGCATGATCTCGGCTCACTGCAGGCTCCACCCCCCGGGGTTCACGCCACTCTCCTGCCTCAGCCTCCCGCGTAGCTGGGACTACAGGCGCCTGCCACCTTGCCTGGCTAATTTTTTGTATTTTTAGTAGAGATGGGGTTTCACCGTGTTAGCCAGGATGGTCTCGATCTCCTGACCTTGTGATCCGCCCGCCTCGGCCTCCCAAAGTGCTGGGATTACAGGTGTGAGCCACCGCGCCCGGCCTAAAAAAATTTTTTTATTTTCTTGAGACAAAGTCTCACTCTGTCACCCAGGCTGAAGTACAGGGGCATGATATCAGCTCATTGCAACCTCCACCTCCCGGGTTCAAGCGATTCTCCTGCCTCAGCCTCCCGAGTAGCTGGGATTACAGGTGCCCTCCGCCACGTCCAGCTAATTTTTGTATTTTCAGTAGAGACGGGGTTTCACCATATTGGTCAGGCTGGTCTTGATCTCCTGACCTCAGGTGATCCACCCGCCTCGGCCTCCCACAGTGCTGGGATTACAGGTGTGAGCCACCACACCTGGTCTTTTTTTTTTTTTTTTTTAGACGGAGTCTCGCTCTTTCGCCCAGGCTGGAGTGCAGTGGCTTGACCTCAGCTCACTGCAAGCTCCACCTCCCAGGTTCAAGCAATTCTCCTGCCTCAGCCTTCTGAGTAGCTGGTACAGGCATGTGCCACCACATTTGGCTAATCTTTTTGTATTTTTAGTTGAGACGCGGGTTTCACCATGTTGGTTGGGCTGGTCTCCAACTCCTGACCTCAAGTGATCTGCCTGCCTCGGCCTCCCAAAGTGTTGGGATTACAGGTGTGAGCCACCGCACCCAGCCCACCCTTTTACACTTGGGGAAACTGAGGCCTGGAAGGAGAAATCTCGTCTAAGGTCACCCACAGTCCACTGCAGGCTAGAATTAGTGCTGTCACCTCCTGACCCCCAGCCCAAAGCCCTTTTCCCGACTCTGCCTCCATTTGAAAGTCCCTGGGGAAAATGTCTGTGTCTCCTTTTCACTTCTTGCAAAGTTCAGATTCCCTGAAAACTTCTACCTATTTTTCGAGCTCTGCTTCTCTCCTCCCACTTTTCTAGGTTCTATCTTCTGTGAATCTTTACAGCTGTTGTCAAACAACTCTTTGTATAGCCTAAATATTTTCCATTAACTCTGGCTGAATTTTTAGAATTTAAGTCCAATACAGTAGCTTCTGGCCACCACTGTGGCCGGAAATTAAAACTGGCCACATTTCAAGGGCGCAATAGCCACATGTGACTAGTTGCTGACTTGTTGGATAGCACAGATAAAGAATATTCCTATTACCACAGAAAGTTTTACTGAGGCCGGGAACAGTGGCTCACACCTGATTTTAGGGTCAAAGTGCTAGTAATCCTAGCACTTTGGGAGGCTGGGGCAGGAGGATTGCTTGAGCCCAGGACTTCGAGGAGATCAGCTTGGGCATGTAACATGGTGAGACCCCATCTCTACACCTTTTTTTTTTTAAAGAAAGTTTTACTAGCCAAACCGTACTATAGAGCAACTGTTTAACTCTGTAACTGTCATTATCCCATTTTATTTAAATAATTAATTCTTTTTTTTTGAGATGGAGTTTCACTCTTGTTGCCCAGGCTGGAGTGCAATGTTGCGATCTTGGCTCACTGCAACCTCTGCCTCCCAGGTTCAAGTGATTCTCCTGCCTCAGACTCCCCAGTAGCTGGGATTATAGATCCCCGCCAGCACGCCTGGCTAATTTTTGTATTTTTAGTACAGACAAGGTTTCACCAAGTTGGCCAGGCTGGTCTCTAACTCCTGACCTCAGGTGATCCGCCTGCCTCAGCCTCCCAAAGTGCTGGGATTACAGGTGTGAGCCACCACACCTGGCCCCATTTTATTTATTTACTTTTTTTTTTTTTTTTTGAGGCAGTGTCTCACTCTGTCACCCAGACTAGAGTGCACTGGCACAATCACAGTTCACTGTAGCCTCGACCTCCTGGGCTCAAGTGATCCTCTTGCCTCAGCCTCCGGAGTAGCTGGGACTACAGGTGCGCACAACTACACTCAGCTAATATATCCCCATTTAGTAGAAGAAACAAGTGAAGCTCAGAGAGATCGCCCCCAAGATCACCAATCAGATTCCCTCTCGAGCCCAGGAGTTCAAGACCAGCCTGATCAGCATAAGGAGATCCCCATCTCTACCAAAAAAAAAAAAAAAAAAAAAAAGCTGGGCTTGGTGGTGCACACCTATCATTCCAGCTACTCAGGAGGCTAAGGTGGGAGTATCACTTGGGCCCAGAGGGTCTAGGCTACAGTGAGCCCTGATCATGCCACTGCACTCCAGCCTGGGTGACAGAACCAATCCGCGTCTAAAAAAAAAAGAAAAGAAAAGAAAAATAGAAAAAAATCTCAGAGTCCCTGGACTAGAAACAAATGGCAGAGTAGGCAGGTGGACTTTTCCTTGGACCCACGCAAGATGCTCTCATGTTTCAGAACATGCATTGTATAAAAATATATGTCTAGTGCCCCCTTGTGTCTACCTACTCAAGCACTGTATGTATTCATGTGCATCCTGGTTTATTAAGCCCCAGAGGCAGCCAGTATTCTTTTTTTTTTTTCCTTCTTTTTTTGAGACGGAGTCTCGATCTGTCGCCCAGGCTGAAGTGCAGTGGTATAATCTGGGCTCACTGCAACCTGCAGCTCCCAGGTTCAAGCAATTCTCCTGTCTCAGCTTCCCAGGTAGCTGGGACTACAGGCACGTGCCACCACGCTCAGGTAATTTTTGTATTTTTAGTAGAGACAGGGTTTCACCATGTTGGTCAGGCTGGTCTCAAACTCCTGACCTCAGGTGATCCACCTGCCTCGGCCTCCCAAAGTGCTGGGATTACAGGAGTGAGCCACCACGCCCAGCCGAGGCAGCCAGTATTCTAATCAAGGTCCAAATCACAAACATTTCCACTATCCATATCTTTATCTATATTCAGAAGTTTTGCTCATTAGTATAATGAATGTCAGAAACCTATTGGTAAAACCAGGGGCTTGTTAATCAGCCTAACAGGGCTGGGTGTGGTGGCTCACGCCTGTAATCCCAGCACTTTGGGAGGCCAAGGTGGGAAGATTGCTTGAGCCCAGGAGTTTGAGACCAGCCTGGGCAACAAACCGAGACCCTGTCTCTACAAAATAAAAAATAAATTAGCCGGGCGTGGTGGCACCCGCCTATGGTCCTGCCTACATGGGAGGCTGAGGCAGGAAGATCACTGAAGTCCAGGAGGTTGAGGCTGCAGTGAACTATGATCATGTCATACCACTGCACTATAGACTGGGTGATAGAGTCTCACTCTGCCACCAAAAAAAAAAAAAAAAAAAAAAAGCCTAATAAATGTGGGAAAATTAGGCTCTGTGAGTGGAATTAACAGCATTCAAGTATGTGGGTTAGGCCAGGTGTGGTGGCATCCACCTGTAATCCCAGCTACTAGGTAGGGTGAGGCAGGAGGATCTCTAGAACCCAGAAGTTCAAGGCTGTAGGGAGCTGATTGTGCCACAGCACTTCAGCCTGGAAAACAGAGAGAGACCATGCCATTAATTTTTTTTTTTTTTTTTTGGTAGAGAGTTTTTGCTCTTGTTGTCCAGGCTGGAGTGCAGTGGCATGGGCACGTCTCACTGCAACCTCTACTTCCCAGGCTCAAGCAATCCTCCTGCCTCAGCCTTCCAAGTACCTGGGACCACAGGGATGGTCCACCACCACTGGCTAACTTTTTAAAATTTTTTTTTTATTTTTTGAGACAGAGTCTCACTCTGTCACCCAGGCTGGAGTACAAGTGGCACAATCTCGGCTCACTGCAACCTCTGCCTCCCGGGTTCAAGCAATTCTCCTGTATCAGCCTCCTGAGTAGCTGGGATTACAGGAATGCGCCACCATGCCCAGCTAATTTTTGTATTTTTAGTAGAGACAGGGTTTCACCATGTTGGTCAGGCTGGTCTCGAACCCCTGACCTCAGGTGATCCAGCCGCCTCAGCCTCCCAAAGTGCCGGGATTACAGGCATGAGCCACCGTGCCTGACCAATTTTTAAAATTTTTAATAGAGACAGGGTCTCACTATGTTGCCCAGGCTTGTCCTGAACTCCTGCGCTGATCTCGGCCTCCCAAAACACTGGGATTACAGGCATGAGCCTTTGCACTGGGTAGTCTTTTGCCTTTTTTTTTTTCTTTTCGAGACAAAGTCTCGTTCTGTCACCCAGGCTGGAGTGCAGTGGCATGATCTCAGCTCACTGAAACCTCCGCCTCCTGGGTTCAAGCTATTCTGCCTCAGCCTCCCAAGTAGCTGGGACTACAGGCACACACCACCACGCCCGGCTAATTTTTCTATTTTTCAGTAGAGACGGGGTTTCACTATATTGGCCAGGTTGGTCTCAAACTCCTGACCTCATGATCCGCCCGCCTCGGCCTCCCAAGGTGCTGGGATTACAGGCGTGAGCCACCGCGCCCAGCCACATCTTTTCCCTTTTAAATACTGCATGGGGCTGGGTGCAATGGCTCATGCCTGTAATCCCAGCACTTTGGGAGGTTGAGGCGGGTGGATCTCCCAAAGTCAGGAGTTTGAGACCAGCCTGACCAACATGGTGAAACTCCATCTCTACGACAAATACAAAGAATTAGCCAGACATGGTGGCGGGCGCCTGTAATCCCAGCTACGCGGGAGGCTGAGCCAGGAGAATCGCTTGAACCCGGGAGGCGGAGGTTGCAGTGAGCCGAGATGGCGCCATTGCACTCCATCCTGGGCAACAAGAGGGAAGCTCCATCTCAAAAACAAAACAAAACAAAACAAACCCTGCATGGCTTGAATTTCCATTTTATAACCTGACTCAGGCTGGGGAATGTCTCTGTCCAAGCTCTACTTCACAATTCCGTCTGCTGGGGAACAAGTAGGGACAGAAACTCCCTCCCCAACCCAAGCAGACGGTGCAGCGGGGAGACACCTCAACAAACAACATGGGGAATGAAGCCACATCAGCCAGGAAAATCGGTGAAAGCCTCGGTTTAATTGGAGACAAGATCGAAGGATTATTGATCAACGGACCGAATGACTGATCGTCAAAGTGGACAATACACAAGCAGCTTACAGAGGTCCTGTGCTCACCCTGGGGAGAGGAGCCCTGCTTGGGGGTGGGTCTGTCTCTCCAGTCACCCCCTGGCTCCTGGAGAAGGGGGGAGGGGACAGGCTCTGCCCAGCCCCAACCCCTAGGATGACACGACTTCCCATAAAACAACAGCGGTGAGTCCACCCTTTTCCCAGGACTATGGTACAGTTTGTATAATACAGCAGGAACAGAGACTCTCCCAACGGGAGACCTCCTTCCCTACCTTCCCGACTGGGTCAGCCAGGGAAGGGCAAGTTTTTATTTTCCCTTTTTGCCTCCGTAGAATAATTTACAAACCAACCTTACAGTATGTACAAAAAAGAAAGAAAGAAAAGAAAAAAAGGTAAAGAATGAACAAAAAGAAAGAAAAGGCCCACTCCGATCGCCGGCTGGGACAAAAACGACTTTCGCTACAAAATATGAACCCTGTACAGACAGCATCAAGGGAGTGTGAGTGCGGGGTTACCTCCCCCTGGGGTGGACAGAGGGATGGAAGGCTAGGGAGGAACTGGGGGCTACAGTACCGTGTGCTCAGAATTGGGTAGGGGGCAGGCGATGAATGAGGTCGGTCCAGCTGCAGAACCAGGCCGAGGGCGAGGGGAGGAGGGAGAGAGGGGGCTTTCCTTCCAAACAGTCCCCCATGGCTTGGAGAAAAATGGTCTTGCATCTGTCTGCCGTATTGCTCAGGGACTAGCTGGGGGAGAGGGAGAGGCTAGGCAAGGTACGGATGGAGGAGAAATTATTTTGGTGCCAGGGTGGAAGGAAGGGCTGCCCAGGAATGAGAATGAGGGTATACACCATTATTGCTTCCTCCTAGGGCAAAAGGTAGGGGGGCTGTGATCAGAGTGTGGAAGGTGGGGTCCGGAGGACCCTGGAAAGGGGGGTGCGGCCAGGATGGGGGTTCTGGGCGCCTGGCCCTGCCTCATCCAAGGTGCAGGCGGCCACTGCAACCCCCTTGCCTGTGGCCGTGGGAATTATTAAGGCAGAAACAAGAGGAGAAGCAGCTAGAAGTGGGGCGGGGGGCGGGGGGGTGAGTGGATCAGAGCCACTGCCCCAAAAAACGGAGAAAATTCAAAGTGAACCCAAAGTGGAAGGGAAAGGGGATGGAGAGTGGAGGAGGTCTAGGGCCCTCCTCAAATCCCAGGCCCGAGGCTGGCGGTGTGAACGCTCCCTTCCATACCACCCCCGTATCCTAAAGTGAACAGCTCCCCCAGCTCCCTGACTTTCTAGTCAGTATCGCCAGGAGTATCGCCGGGATTGTGCAAAATCAAGCGGAAGACTTTTTTAGAGGGGAGAGGAGGCAGCAAACCAGAGGGGGGCTGGAGCTGGGACCTCCCACAGTGACTGCCCCCCACCCTGGCCCCAGCCCCGCCTAGAATGGCTATTCCTGACCACGTTCTAGAAATCCTCTAAATTCAGAAGAAAAGCCCAGAAGGAGGCCCCACACCTGCTTGGGCCCAGGTAGAGACTCCCCAGGCGGCTGGAAGACTGAGCCTGGAACTTGGGGGGCAGTGGGGGAAGGTGAGGGGAGGGATTTGGAAGTGGAAAGCGGGAACCAGGAACAGGAGCATCTACAGTTGCTGTGTTTCTTTCTTTTTTTTTTCTTTTTTTGTTCTTTTTCTAAAAATGTTACAATTAAAATTCAAAAAAATAAAATCCCTTCCGGGACCTCAGCCCCTCATTCCCCAGCCCCCACCTCCAAAAAAAGGCCCCGTGGGTGGGGGCAGGGGGAAAGGGGAAAAAAAGAAAACAGAAAAAAACCCCACTTTTCGTTTTCTTTTTTCTCAGGAGGGACAAGAGGACAAGAGTCTTTGAGGCAGAGGAGGAGGTGGTCGGGGGAGCAGGGGAGTGAGGGGAGGAGTGGAGGGGAACAGGGACAGAGGTCTGGGGATCAGGTAGGGTCTCCACCTGACCCCCCGCCACCAGGAGCTGGGAGTGCGGATGTGTCCTCCCCAAATGTCCCTGCGCAGGCACTGCAAGCCCTCTTGGCAGCCTGGTGCTCTCGTTGGGCCTCCACCTCGGCCGCCGTGGAGGGGAGGCCCGGGAGGCCCGGGGCATGCTCTGAAACAGACAGGGTCCTCCAAGCAGGGAGAAGGGGGCTTTGAAGAGCCAGGGCAGAGGGGCTGCTGTGGCTTACAGCAACCACGAATTCCTCCCGGGACGAGAACTCATCCGGAGCCACAGGTGCACTGCCTGTGGACTGTGCCTGCTGTGTCAAATACACTGCCTCCAGCTCGGCCTCCAGGGATGCTTCCTGTGCCATAACTTCCAACGACTCCTGGGCCGGGGATGCCTCCCAGGCTATGGTTGCATCCAGAGCTTCCTCGACTCCTGACAATCCCTGCGCAGTCAATGCCTCTTGGGCTGTGCACGGTATCTGGGCCATTGATATTTCTTCCTCCTCTTCCTCCTCCAGCGTCAGCTCAAACTGGAACTTGTCAGGCAGGGGTGGGTGGCCTGGCCCCCTTGACTCCTCCTCGGGTGGCGGAGATGGGCTCTGCCGGATGGCGCTGTAGTACCAGTCCCGGTTGTCCTCCAAAGTGTCCAAGATCTCCTGGGCATCTGGGTGGACAAGGTCCGCCCAGGTCTCCCACAATGGGTGCACAATGTAGTCAATAAAACCCACCTGGTGGAGGGGAAGAAAGTATAAATGGGCGGCCTATGGGGTGGATGATACCACCACATTATGGGAGCTAATGAAATGAAAAACATGCTTATGGGCCGGGCATGGTGGCTCATGTCTATAATCCCAGCACTTTGGGAGGCTGAGGCAGTCGGATCATTTGAGGTCAGGAGTTCGAGACCAGCCTGGCCAGCATGGTGAAACCGCATCTCTACCAAAAATACAAAAATTAGCTGGTTGTGGTGGTGCATGCCTGTAGTTCAGCTACTTGGGAGGCTGAGACAGAATCGCTTGAACCTGGGAGGCGGAGATTGCAATGAGCTGCGATCGCACCACTGCACTCCAGCCTGGGTGACAGAGCAAGACTCCGTCTCAAAAACAAAAACAAAAAAATGTATACATTGATGCAGTTTACACACACACACACTTTTTTTTTTTTTTTTTTGAGACGGAGTCTTGCTCTGTCACCCAGGCTGGAGTGCAGTGGCTCGATCTCGGCTCACTGCAACCTCTGCCTCCCGGGCTCACGCCATTCTCCTGCCTCAGCCTCCCGAGTAGCTGGGACTACAGGCGCCCGCCATCGTGCCTGGCTAATTTTTCTATTTTTAGTAGAGACGGGGTTTCACTGTGTTAGCCAGGATGGTCTAGATCTCCTGATCTTGTGATCAGCCCACCTCGGCCTCCCAAAGTGCTGGGATTACAGGCGTGAGCCACTGCACCTGGCCTATTTTTTAAAAAGCTAAATGCAATTCCAGCTACTCGGGAGGCTGAGGCAGGGAGAATTGCTTGAACCTGGGAGGTGGAAGTTGCAGTGAGCCGAGATTGTGCCATTGCACTCCAGCCTAGGCATCAGAGCGAGACTCCGTCTCAGGAAAAAAAAAAAAAAGTAGGCCGGATGCAGTGGCTCACGCCTGTAATCCCAGCACTTTGGGAGGCTGAGGTGGGTGGATCACCTGATGTCTGGAGTTCAAGACCAGCCTGGCCAACATGGTGAAACCCTGTCTCTACTAAAAATACAAAAATTAGCAGGGCATGGTGGTGGGCACATGTAATCCCACCTACTCAGGAGGCTGAGGCAGGACAATGGCTCGAACCCGGGAGGCAGAGGTTGCAGTGAGCCAAGATCGCGCCATTGCACTCCAGCCTGGGGAACGAGAGTGAGACTTCATCTCAAAAAAAAAAAAAAAAAAAAAAAAAAAAAAAAAAGCTAAAGCCACAAACTATTGCTATGAAGTTGCCTATGAACATAACTACGTTATAAAGTGTATAAAATTAGTTTTCCATGGGGTGTGTGTGAGTGATTTTGCACACCTAGGGGACATTTGGCAATGTCTGGAGGCATTTTTGGTCTTTACAAATGAGCAGGGGGAGGCTGGGCGCGGTGGCTTATGCCTGTAATCCCAGCACTTTGGGAGGCCGAGGTGGGCGGATCACCTGAGGTCGGGAGTTCGAGACCAGCCTGACCAACATGGAGAAACACCATCTTTACTAAAAATACAAAATTAGCTGGGCGTGGTGGCGCATGCCTGTAATTCCAGCTTCTCGGGAGGCTGAGGCAGGAGAATCGCTTGAACCCGAGAGGCGGAGGTTGCAGTGAGCTGAGACTGCACCACTGTACTCCAGCCTGGGTGACAAGAAGGAAACTCTGTCTCAAAAAAAAAAAAAATGAGGAGGGGGATACTTCTGGCATCTAGTGGGTAGAGAGAGACCAGGGATTCTGCTAAGAATCCTGTAATACCCACGGCAGCTCCTAGCACAAAAAATGATCACCCAAATGTCAACAGTGCTGAGGCCTAGAAACTCAGGTCTGGACGGGTAGAGACATCAAACTCAGATGGTTGGGTTTCACCAGGGAGGATATAAAGTGGGGAGGGGCCAGGCAGGGTGGCTCACCCCTGTAATCCCAGCACTTTGGGAGGCTGAGGGAGGCAGACTGAGTGAGCCCAGGAGTTCGAGACCAGCCTGGGCAACATGACAGAACCCCATCTCCATGAAAAATACAAAAATTAGCCGAGTGTGGTGGTGCACGCCTATAGTCCCAGCCACTCTGGAGGCGGGGGTGGAGGATCATTTTAGCCCAGGAGGTGGAGGTTGCAGTGAGCCAAGATCACGCCCCTGCACTCCAGCCTGGGTGGCACAATGAGACCCTGTCTCAGAAAAAAAAGAAAAAGAAAAATGAAAACAAGGCCGGGTATGGTGACTCACCCCATATCCCAGCACTTTGGGAGGCCAAGGTTTGAGCCCAGGAGTTCAAGACAAGTCTGGCAACATAGCAAATCCCTGTCTCGACAAAAAATTTTAAAAAATTAGCTAGGTGTGGTGGTGTGCACCTGTATTCTCAGCTACTCTGGAGGCTGAGGCAGGAAGATCGCTTGAGCCCAGGAATTCAAGGCTGCAGTGAGCTATGATCACACCACTGCATGCTACCCTGGGCAACAGTGCAAGACCCGGTCTCAAAATAAATAAATAAAACCTAAATAAAAGAAAAACAGGAGGCTGGGCGCAGTGGCTCACACTTGTAATCCTGGCATTTTGGGAGGCCAAGGCGGGTAGATCACAAGGTCAGGAGTTCAAGACCAGCCTGGCCAACACGGTGAAACCCCATCTCTACTAAAAATACAAAAATTAGCCAGGCATGGTGGTGCACGCCTGTAATCCCAGATACTTGGGAGGCTGAGGCAGGAGAATCACTTGAACCTGGGAGGCGGAGGTTGCAGTGAGCCAAGATCGTGCCATTGTACTCCAGCCTGGGCAATAGAATGAGACTCCGTCTCAAAAACAAAACAAAACCAAAAACAGGACAACTTGGCATTGTGGAAAGGCAGGGGAGGAGCTCCTGGGCCTCAGAACTTCAGGCCAAGATGGGCTGGGGAGACTCACCCTGTGCCCGTCCATCAATGCCCCGAGCCTGTACCTGAGACTTCTCCACGGAGGCAGTGTGCTTGTCACACATGGGGCTGATTTCCATGCCACGCTCGCGCTCTCGGTCACCCTGCTGGAAGAACTCGGCCATGATGCGGTCTGTCCACTGGCGGTACAGCTCCAGCGGCTTGGTGGGGTTGCTGAGGTCGGCACAGTGCACCATGTTCCGGAGGACCTGCATGGGGTTGGGGCACAGGGGAAACTTCAGAGGCTATGCCTGTGTCCCAGTCTGAGACCTCAGGCATTCCTTCTTTTTTAAGAAATGGGGGCCAGGCACTGTGGCTCACGCCTGTAATTCCAGTACTTTGGGATGCTGAGGCGGGTGGATCATGAGGTCAGGAGTTCAAGACCAGCCTGGCCAACATGGTGAAACCCTGTCTCTACTAAAAATACAAAAAAATTAGCCAGGCACGGTGGCACATGCCTGTAATCCCAGCTATAGTGGGGCTGAGGCAGGAGAATTGCTTGAACCCAGGAGGCGGAGGTTGCCGTGAGCCGAGATCAAGCCACTGCCCTCCAGCCTGGGCGACAGAGTGAGACTCCATCTCAGAAAAAAAAAAAAAAAAAAAAAAGAATGGGGCTGGGCGCGGTGGCTCACATCTGTAATCACAGCACTTTGGGAGGCCAAGGTGGGCAGATCACTTGAGGTCATGAATTTGAGATCGGCCTGGCCAAGATGGCGAAACCCCATCTCTACTAAAAATACAAAAATTAGCCAGGTCTGGTGGTAGGCACCTGTAATCCCAGCTACGCTAGAGGCTGAGGCAGGAGAATTGCTGCAGCCCAGGAGGCGGAGTTTGCAGGGAACCAAGATCCGTGCCCTCTAGCCTGGGTGACAGAGAGACCCGATCTCAAAAAAAAAAAACCAAAAACAGAAAAGAAGAAAGAGAAAGAAGAAGGAAAGGAAAGGACAGGACAGGACAGGACAGGAAAGGAAAGGAAAAGAGGATCTTGCAATGTTGCTCTGGCTGGTCTCAAACTCCTGGCCTCAAACAGTCCTCCTGCCTCAGCCTCTGGAGTAGTTGAGATTATAGGCGTGAGCCACCACACCCAGCTTTCAGGCTTTCTTATCTCCCACCTGGGGAGGGAGGGAGTAGGGAGAGAAGGTGGGGAGAACAGAGAACAGAGGAGGTAACGGGGAGAGGTGTGTGGGAGATGGAGAAAATATGGGAGGAGTCGGAAGGGGGGTGAGGGAAGAGAAGATGGTTAGGGAGAGGGACAGGGGACCTGGAAGGAGTTGATGAGAAGAAAGGAGGAATTGGGGGAAATGGGAGGAAATGGTGGGAGAGATGGGAAGGAGAGATGGGATTGGAAAGTGAAGATGGAGAAGGGGACAGACAGAAAGAGGTCAGGTGTGGTGGCTCACGCCAGCTATCCCAGCACTTTGGCAGGCCAAGACAGGAGGATAACTTCAGCTCAGGAGTTTGAGACCAGACTGGGTGACATAGTGAGACCCCAACTCTCCTTTAAACATACAAAGTAAATAAAAATAAATTTAAAAAAAGAGGGCTGAGCGCGGTGGCTCACGCCTGTAATCCCAGCACTTTGGGAGGCCAAGGCGGGGGGCGGGGGGGGATCACCTGAGGTCGGGAGTTCGAGACCAGCCTGACAGACATGGAGAAACCCTCTCTACTAAAAGTACAAAATTAGCTGGGCATGGTGGCGCATGCCTGTGATCCCAGCTACTCGGCAGGCTGAGACAGGAGAATCGCTTGAACCCGGGAGGCGGGAGGCGGGAGGCGGGAGGCGGAGGTTGTGGTGAGCCAAGATGGCGCCATTGCATTCCAGCCTGGGCAACAAGAGCAAGACTCCGTCTCAAAAACAAACAAACAAAAAAAAAGAAAGAAGGACACAGGAAGATGGGCCACTTGGGAGAAAGAGGCTGAGGAAGGGGCAGTTAGCTACCCAGACCTAAAGGTGTGGCTGGGGGAGTGTCCTCCCTCCTTAGATGATGGGGCGTGGGGGCACCTGGATGCGGTCGGAGTAGTTATCTAGCAGGAGGACCCCTGAGCTGGTCACTTTCTTGGTCTCCACCATGGTCTTCAGGTCAGCCAGGAGGGTCATGTGCTTGGACATGTCCGTGGCCAGCACCTGCGGGCAAGGGGGCGTCACTGGGGCCGCTGACACCCGCCCCCCAGACTGACCCGGGCCTCTGAAGTTTTCACCAGGTAGAAGCCGCCCGCTCTGTCCAGGTTGAGGGTTCCTCTGGGACTCAGACCCACTCCTCCCCAAAGCCCTCGACTCCTAGGCTTCCTTTCCCGCTCCGTCCCGCCCCAGCCCCGCCCACCATGTCGATGACCATCTTGCGTAGGCTCTGCCGCTGGCGCTTGCTGAGGTTCTGGAAGATGTCGCAGTTGTCCTCCTGCAGCAGCTTGAAGCCCACGGCCAGGTGGTGATTCTCGAGCACCGACTCATCGTTGTACATGAGCGCCAGCTCCGAATCTGCAGCCCAGCCCGGAGGTCAGGGGAGGGCCCACGTGTGCAGCTCCAACCGCAGGAGGGCCAGCTCCGCCCCCAACTAGCTAACCCCTCCCCAGCCCGGCCAGCCTCGCCTCCAGCCCAGTCAGCTCTACCCCAGCCCGGCCATCCCCTTTCCAGCCCAGCCAGCCCCGCCCCCAGCCCCGCCTCCTGCCCGTTCATCCCCTTTCCAGCCCAGCCAGCCCCGCCTCCTGCCCGGCCATCCCCTTTCCAGCCCAGCCAGCCCCGCCCCCAGCCCCGCCTCCTGCCCGGCCATCCCCTTTCCAGGCCAGCCAGCCCCGCCCCCAGGCCAGCCAGCCCCTCCTCCAGCCTAGTTAGTTCCGCCCCCAGCCTGGCCAACACCGCCTCCAACTCAGCAAACCCCGCCCCTGGCGAGGGCCACTCACTGGTGTTGATGAGGAACTGGTTGGAGACCCCAGGGTGATCCACATCGTGGATGGCAGCCGCGAAGAGGGCGGCGAGAATCTCCAGGTCCGTGAACACTGCCTGGGAGCAGAGACACGGATGTTAGAATAACAGAGTTGAAGCCATGCATGGTGGTGAGCACCTGTTTGTCTCACCTACTTAGGAGGCTGAGATGGGAGGATCACTTGAGCCTAGGACTTCAAGGCCAGAAGTTCGAGGCCATCCTGGGCAACATAGCAAGGCCCTGTCTCAAATTTAATTTTCTTTCTTTTTTTTTTTTTTTTTTGAGACAGAGTTCTGCTCTTGTTGCCCAGGTTGGAATGCAGTGGCACGATCTTGGCTCACTGCAACTTCCCCATCCTGGGTTCAAGCAACTCTCCTGGTTCAGCCTCTCTAGTAGCTGGGATTACAGGCTCCCACCACCACGCCCGGCTAATTTTTAAAATATTTTTGGTAGAGACAGGGTTTCGCCATGTTGGCCATTTCTGACCTCAGGTGATTCACCTGCCTCAGCCTCCCAAAGTACTGGGATTACAAGTGTGAGCCACCGTGCCTAGCCCCCCGCAATTTTTATTTTATTTTTTTTGAGATGAAGTCTCACTTTGTTGCCCAGGCTGGAGTGCAGTGGCGCAATCCTGGCTCACTGCAACCTCCACCTACTGGGTTCCAGCGATTCTCCTGCCTCAGCCTCTGGAGTAGCTGGGATTACAGGCGTGCCCCACCACGCCCGGCTAATTTTTGTATTTTTAGTAAAGACAGTGTTTCACCACGTTGGTCAGGCTGGTCTCAAACTCCCGACCTCAGGTGATCCACCCATCTTGGCCTTCCAAAGTGCTGGGATTACAGGTGTGAGCCACCGCACCTGGACTAAAACTTTTTTTTTTTTAAGAAATAAGATTTTTGACCGGGCACAGTGGCTCACGCCTCTACTCCCAGCACTTTGGGAGGCCAAGGCGGGCTGATCACGAGGTTGGGAGTTTGAGACCAGCCTGTCCAACTTGGCGAAACGCCATCTCTACTAAAAATATTATAAAAACTTAGCCAGGCGTGGTGGTGGGCACCTGTAGTCCCAGCTACTCAGGAGGCTGAGGCAGGAGAATCACTTGAACCCGGGAGGCAGAGGTTGCAGTGAGCTGAGATCGTGCCACTGCACTCTAGCCTGGGTGGCAGAGCAAGACTCCGTCTCAAAAAGAAAAAAAAAAGAGAGAGAAATGGCGTCAAAGAGAGATGGAGGTCAGAGACACAGGGTCAGAGAGACACACAGGAGGCTGAAGAGGCAGTCACAAAGAGAGATGGGGACGGTCACTCACAGGGCAGTCACTCACATCTAGTGCAGGCGTGGCCAGCAGTACGTGGGTGGACTGCAGCACGTCAGCTGCGTGCAGGCTGTTATGGTAGGCCACGTCAGCGTGGTAGTGATCCTCCAGCGTCAGCATGTATGTCACCATCGTGTCCACAGGGATGCGGAATTTCTTCAGCAGGTCCCGCTCCTGAGAGCAGGCAGGGGCAGGGTGGTGACCTCCACCGGCCTCCAGCGCCCCGCTATGAGCCCCTCACCCGGGCCCACTCCCAGCTGTCCCCATCACCTGGAATATCATGTACATGATGCAGGTGAGTGAGCGGCCTCCAGCGTAATCCGACACGCAAAAGATGTTCAGGCCCCACTTGTTCAGGTTCTCCAGTTCCTGGTGGAGACGGAGGCCAGAGGTCAGAAGCCTGTAAGGCTCAGGGCCCTGGAGAACATTTCCTAGGAGTTTGAAGCCTTGGTCTGAAGGAAGCACCATTATTGCTCACCCAGTGGGTGACAGGTTCAACAGCACAGAATGTACTGCCCTCGTCCTACTGGGCTGCAAAATAGCGAAAGCAATCACAGCCACTGTCTTTTGAGTACTTATGATCTGCCAAGTATTGCTCTAAGCACTTGATCTCGTTTGGCAGGTGAAGGCACCAAGGCTCAGAGAGGCGATGTGACTTCTCCAAGATCATGCAGCTCATAAGTGGCAAAGCTAGGATAGGAACCCAGCACGACTGGCCCCAGCACAGCTCAGCCTCTTAGCTAAGCTGTTCACGAGCCCCAGGGGAGAAAGGAAGAAGGGCTTATTTTCCATGTCTCTCCAAAATTCAGAAAAGGGCCAGCACATAGTAGCTGCTTAATAAACACCAGTTGGCCAGGTGCAGTGGCTCACGCCTGCAATCCCAGCACTTTGTGAGGCTAAGGCGGGTGGATCACTTGAGGCCAGGAGTTCGAGACCAGCCTGGTCAACATGGTGAAACCCCATTTCTACTAAAAATACAAAAATTAGCCAGGTGTGCTGGCACAGGCCTTTAGTCCCGGCTAGTCAGGAGGGTGAGGCAGGAGTATTGCTTGAACCCAGGAGGTGGAGGTTGCCTTGAGCCGAGATCACACTACTGCACTCCAACCTGGGCAACAGAGCGAGTCTCCATCTCAAAATAAATAAATAAATAAAAATAAATAACTAAAGGCCAGGTGACTGAATGGAAGATTCACTGGAGGAGGTGGCTCAAAGAGGGTTACAATAAGCCTCAGCTGAGTGAGCCACCAAAGATGGATCACTTCCACTGCCGCTGTCCCCTGGAAGAGCTAGGAGTGAAACACCGGTCTGGACTGTTGGGGACACTATGGGGGCACAGTCTGGATTAGCGTCACTGCTGTGTACACCAATCCCTCTGCAGCTGGGAGTGTTGCCTGCTAAGGCTCACAGCTGCCTGCATTTCCAGAAGACTAGTCCCAACAGGAGCTACATGCAAGAGGTGATACGTCCAGCCCTGGGGACGGCCCCCAAGCAATGAATGATACAGAGGTACAAAGAGCCAGCATGCTTGCCTCAAGATGGGCTCAAACCCTCATCTCAAGCTCTGCTTCTGGGAAACCTGGCCTAAGACATAACCCAATGCCCAGTCCTTCTCAGGGTCCCAGGAGACCACCCCCTCCAGCCCTGCCCCTACTGAGCCCCCACCCACTTGGGCCAGGAGCTCTTCTTGATCGGTCTTCACCCCAAATCGGGGAATGTTAGAGTTGTTCAGGCTGTTACTATGCATCAACTTTTTCAACCCTGTGATTTGGGACATGGGCTGTAAGTGTGGTACAGGGGGCGGGGGCGGCTGGGAGGGTCTTGGTCGCGGCGCTTGCTGTTTTTCTCGTTCCTTCATCGTGGGTGATGGGATCTCCACTTCATTCTGTTTGTCTGCAGAAGATGGGGAGCAGGAACAAGTGTGAACAACCCTTCCACCCCTGGAGGCTCCCTTATTCTTCAGCCCACTACCACGTACGGGGAAGGCTCACCCGAAACGGCAGAACCCTTTCAGCTGTGATGCCGCTGGCTACTCAGAGTCAGGAAACCAGAGGGGATGTGGGAAATCTTCCAGGAGGTGGTGGGCTGGAGTGGGGGCCCAGGGCTCTGGGATGGCCCCGGTCTGATCATCAGATATGGATGGAGAGTGGTGTGGGAAGTCAGAAAGCGAGGTGGGGATGCCAGGGAGAGCCGCTGCCTACCCCGAACACCCAGGGAACCTTTCTGGGTGGGGAAGATCCCAGCATGGGGGCCAAGAGTGCTGGTGTGGGGGGTGGCATCACTGGGAAGAGAGAGGGAAGGGTGGTCTCTGGCTCCATGTCCCTGCCCCCCCCCCCCCCCGCCCACCTTGGCACCAGCCTGCCTGGGGGACAGCCCCAGGAACCCTTTTCCTGAGCTTTCAGGGGCTTCCAGAGCTGAGCCAAGGTCACCCATTGTGACCTGGAGCTAGCTAGTCAATGAAAAGGCCTAATACGGGTCATTTACATGTTATGCTCCCATTGGGTGGATCCTCAGAACTCAGAGACACACCCTCACTGGTGGGAGTACTGGAAACACCGAACACTTTTTTTCTTGAGACAGAGTCTCGCTCTGTCGCCCAGGCTGGAGTGCAGTGGCACGATCTCTGGCTCACTGTAGCCTCCACCTCCCGGGTTCAAGCGATTTTCCTACCTCAGCCTCCCGAGTAGCTGAGATTACAGGCACCCGCCACCGCGCCCGGCTAATTTTTACATTTTTAGTAGAGATGGAGTTTCATCATGTTGGCCAGGCTGGTCTTGAACTCCTGACCTCAAGTGATCCGCCTGCCTCGGCCTCCCAAAGTGCTGGGATTACAGGCGTGAGCCACCGCACCCAGCCCCAACACTTTTCTTGAGCTTGTCTGGGCGGTTCCCGAATTTGGGGGCCTTTGGAGTGTAGTGATAAACTGCGAGGATTAAATTATCCTGAGTTTGGGGGAATATCTCTAGCTTGAGGGTTTTGAGGTACCCATGAACTTAAGGGTTCCAGTGAAATCGGGGTATTCTGGTGCATTTGGGGTTCCATTGAATTAGGAATCTTACAGGTGTTAGTTTTTTTGAGACAAGCTGGAGTGCAGTGGCGCAATCATGTCTCACTGCAGCCTCGAACTCCTGGGCTCAAGTGATCCTCCTGCCTCAGCCTCCCAGGTAGCTGGGACCACAGGCACACGCCACCATGCCCGACTAGTTTTTTATTCTATTTATTTATTTATTTATTTATTTTTTTTTTGAGATGGAGTCTCACTCTGTCACCCAGGCTGGAGTGCAGTGACGCTATCTCAGCTCACTGCAACCTCCATCTCCCAGGTTGAAGCAATTCTCCTGCCTCAGCCTCCTGAGTAGCTGAGATTACAGGTGTGTGCCAACACGCGCAGCTAATTTTTGTATTTTTAGTAGAGATGGCGTTTCACCATGTTGGTCAGGCTGGTCTTGAACTCCTGACCTCATGATCTGCCCACCTCGGCCTTCCAAAATGCTGGGATTACAGGCGTGAGCCACTGCGCCCGGCCTAGTTTTTAATTTTTTTTGTAGAGACAGATTCTCACTATGTTGCCCAGGCTGGTCTTGAACTCCTGGGCTCAAGCGATCCTCTTTTCTCAGCCTCCCAAAGTCCTGGGATTATAGGCAAGAGCTGCCTCTTCCTGCCTCTTACAGGTTCTTAAGCTTGATAATCTTCTAGAGATTAGGGTTCTAACATTTTGGGAGTCTACTGAATTGGGGGGGGGTCATACCAAGTTTGGAGATCCTATTGAATTTGGGGGTTTTTCAGTTTGGAGGTTGCTAAAGTTGGGGGGCCTTTTGTGGACTCGGAAGCACAGAACTTCCCTTAAGTTTGAGAACTCTACTGAGTTTGGGCATCTCTCTTGAGTTTGGGTGTGTCTACTGAGTTTGGAAGGGAGTCAATCCAAGTTTGGAAATTCTATTGAATTTGGGGTTCTACTCAGTTCAGGAGGCTTTTCAGCTTGGAGGCTTTTTTTTTTTGTTTATTTTTTGAGACAGAGTCTCACTCTGTTGCCCAGGCTGGAGTGCAGCAGTGGCGTGATCTCAGCTCACTGCAACCTCTGCCTCCCGGGTTCAAGTGAGTGCTAAAACAAAGAGGTGTTTGTTTGTTTGTTTGTTTTGAGACGGAGTCTCACTCTATTGCCCAGGCTGGAACGCAGTGGTGTGATCTTGGCTCACTGCAACCTCTGTCTCCTGAGTTCAAGAGATTCTCTTGCCTCAGCCTCCCAAGTAGCTGAGATTACAAGCACACACCACCATGCCCGGCTAATATTTTTTTTTTTTTTTTTGAGACAAGAGTTTCACTCTTGTTGCCTAGGCTGGAGTGCAATGGAGCGATCTCGGCTCACTGCAACCTCCACCCCCTGGGTTCAAGCGATTCTCCTGCCTGAGCCTCCTGAGTTGCTGGGATTACAGGCACCCACCACCATGCCTGGCTAATTTTTTGTATTTTTAGTAGAGATGGGGTTTCACCATGTTGGCCAGGCAGGTCTCAAACTGCTGATGTCAAGTGATCCGCCTGCCTCAGCCTCCCAAAGTGTTGGGATTACAGGCGTGAGCCACCGCGCCCGGCGCTTGGAGGCTTTTTAAAGTTTAGAAGGGTTTTAAGCTCACAGATGATTTCAGATGTTGGGCTCTATAGAAGCTGGGGGTCCCACAGAGTTTGGAGGCATCAGGAACATGAGGGTTCCTGGATAGGGTGACTGTGACCTTTGGGGAGTTGAGAGTCAGAGTCCCTGGGAAGATGTGAGCAACAGGACCCACGGTCAGGGGCAGCCCCCTCTCTACCCCAAATGTCCCCCCTCCAATCCCACGTGCTTCCCCTCACTCACCCAGGAATGTTGTGGAAATGTACTCTGAGACCTGGTTTCCGGACCTGCTCATTTCTGACAGGTGTGTGAGCTCACGGTTCAACATCCTTTTGAACTAAGGTAAAGGAGTCAACAAGGAAGAAATGATGGGGGAAGCACAGTGGTGAGGAGGGTGTCAGTCCTTCCCAAGAACGCCTGAAGACCCCATGAGTCCCTCCTATTTTTCTGCTCAGCCAACAGAGCCCCTATAAGACTGCTGGGGGGTTGGGGTCAGCCTTTCCTGTCCTCCCAGCTCTGGATGGAGGTCCCCAGGTTTGGGGAGTCATGGTCAGCATAACCCTCCCTGCCTGAGGAAAGAGGGGCTTCCCTCCTCATCTCCCCCAAGGAGGAGCTAGAGGGGCACCTGTGGAAGGGAGGGGCTCCTGCCTAACAGGGAGCCAATAGGGAAGCAGGAGAATCCCGTCGCCATGGCGATGGGAGTCTCCTTAGCAACTCCCCCTCCAACCAGCTGCTGAGCTGGGGAAAAGGGGGGCAAGCCGGAGGCCCCTTAACCCTTGCCTTCCTAGAGCTGCCCCTGACCCAAGTGTTCCCAGACATGGACCCCAATCCTGGGGGTCCTGGCTCCTGGCCTCCAGCTCAGTTTGGAAAAAGGGAACGTGGTAGCCAAGCTCTGGGGGACAAAAAGGTTTGGCCGGGGTAGGGGAGAATGGTGAGCTGAGGAAATCCCAGTTTGATCACCCAGGGGAGGGGGAGGGGGGTTCTCATCATAGCCCACTCTCCCCCAACCCCAGAAGGGTGGACAGATGCACAGATGAACAGAGTATACCCAAAACCGGGCTTGGAGGCCCCTCCTGGTCCCCCCATGCCACTCTGCACAGGCCTCTGCTGTGACATTGTACACAGAGGAGAAAGGGCATTGGCTCCCCACCCCCAAGCTCTGCCACAGCACCCCAAAAGCAGGAGCAGACTCTGTCCAGGGAAGCAGGAGGGACACTTGGCAGGAGGGGTGAGCCTGCATGGCCCAGGCTTGGACGGGGTGCTCCCTCCTCCCGGTGCCACCCAGAGACCCTGGGTACAGAGACACACACATCCACACAAGATGGACCCACAAAATCTCACACAACCACACACACAATCACAGGCTCTCAGTCCTACACAGCGTCACACAGCCCAGACACACAGATCAAAGGGCATGCAAAATAAGGCGGTCACTGACATTTGGGGTCACATGTCCCCAAAATATCAGGCAGCTCTGGGCTCAGACACACAACCCAACACACAACACCATGGTCAGAGCCAGATGATCTCAGACAGGGCCACACAGTGACCCAGGCAAACAAGCCTATACTCAGGCAGACACACACCATCGCAGACACACACACACACATCCAGGCACTGACACAGTCACACCCAGTGAGGGACCCGCAGTCCACCCCCAGGGAGAGTCACACACCCCCAGCTGCCCGCCATCCACGCCCAGCCCTGGGCCACACACAGAGACAGTCACAAGGCTTCATCTCCAGGCCACACACGTGCACAGCTGCACACACAAGCCCACACCGGGGGCCCAGCTCACCAGGATGCCCGCCCACCCCCTACCCTGCACTCTCCTACCTGGTCCCACCAGCCCACCAGCCAAGGCTTAGAGCAGGTCTCGCAGAAGAAATCCACCAAGGGCATCTTGGAGACTTAGCCCGCCTGGGGCTGCTGCACACAGAGGCTGGGCTTGGGGAGTCCCGGGGTTAACAACCACTGGGGAGGGGGTGCCGGGCAGGTGGGTAGTGGAAGGGGGAGCCGCGGAGGGGCCTGGGCCGGCCCAGCAGGGCTGGGGGCTCCCTTCCCCTCCGCGCTCCCAGCAGCAGCCCTGGTTACATGGCCCGCCAGCCCTGGGCCCCAACGGGCCCCCCCGCGGCAGTGGGTGGAGGCGGTGGGGGGTCCGTGCCCATGGGAGGGGGGCAGGGCAAGGGTCCCAGGAGGAGGCTGCGGAGCTCTGTGTGTGCACCCGTGTGTGTGCGTGTGTGCTCACTGCAGCACTGGCAGGCTGCATGGGATGTCAGGTGGTGCTGGGGGTGGGGGGGTATTAAAGGGGCATCAGAGCCCATGGGCCTCAGCCAGAACCTAGGTGGGCTGTCCCCATCAGGACCCATCCCCTCCATGGACACACCCAGAGACAGAAACACACATCCACTTTACACTCACAGATGTACAAACACCCTGAGACACACCTTCCAGGGACACCCACACACATCCAGGCACTTGACACTTGAATATACACAGATACTCAAATGCTTTCTGTTGTACACTTACAGCACACACACACACACACACACCCGGAGACAGTCACAACTCTGATGTCCAACACACTTATAGGTCCACAGCTGAGCATATAGCAAATGCCTTCAGACACGCCCCATCCAAGGGCACAGACCCACATCCAGACCCACATCCAGACCCACACCTATAGACAGACACCGAGATACCAGCCACATTTCTTTTTTTTTTTTTGAGACGGAGTTTTCACTCTTGTCGCCCAGGCTGGAGTGCAATGGCACGATCTCGGCTCACCACAACCTCCGCCTTCCAGGTTCAAGCAATTCTCCCGCCTCAGCCTCCAGAGTAGTTGGGATTACAGGCACCCTCCAGCACACCCGACTAATTTTGTATGTTTAGTAGAGACGGGGTTTCTCCATGCTGGTCAGGCTGCTCGAACTCCCGACCTCAGGTGATCCGCCCGCCTTGGCCTCCCCAGCCAGCCACACTTACAGACACACACTAAACACACCCACAGACACACTTTCCAACCATTGCAAATATCCACTGCCCTTGGACACAAACATATCCCGACAAATCCATAAGGAAATATACTCACAGATGCAAAAATACACACACACACACACACACACACACACACACACACACACACCATTGCAGAAACATCCTCAGACCCATATCCAAAGACACAGCTACATTTCAGATGCTTGATCCACCCTCAGGGACACAATCGCCCTCAGACTGCTATGTTCCTATACAAGCCTCCACCCACTGCTGTAAGCACCCCCCAACAAAGACACTCCCACCTACAGATCATTTCTTGATAGGCACCCGCCCACAAGGGCTGTTACCACTCTCTCCAACTCCAGGAAGCATCATTCACACATACTGCCTGCTTCCTGAATGGTGTCCCCTGGAGTTGTGCAGTGCACCGTCTGCACAACTGTACATGGGAGCATTGCAGTCACCCCTACGGCCCTGCAAACACACACATTCACAAACACATAGAGCTACACATTCAGTTTCCCATCTGGTCCAACTCTCCCCTGCAGACATGCGCACCCCTCTGGCACAGCCCCACACACCTATAACCCTGCATAATTACCCGTGCAAACCTATACACCTACACAAGTACACACTGGCGTGCCACTCTTCAGAATCTATTCCCAACACCCCAGCGCTGCAAATGCGTAGCCAATAAACCAGCGGCTACGCAGACCTATAGCCGCAGATACACCCCCGCAGACCATAAAAGCATAAAACCCCCCAACGGAAACGGTCACCTATTGACACATGTACAACCAGACAGACACACCCCACCCCACAACACACACCAGGCTCCTCCAGCCCTGGGGAAAGTCATAATCTACAGGAGCTTCAAGCCTTGAAGCTGCCGCCCAGGGGTTGGCCCCACCCAGGGACTGACCCCATACCATAGACCCTACCCAGAGATTGGCCCCACCCTCATGAGCCACGCCCAATAGTTGGCCTCGGCTACAGGCCTAACCTAGTGGTTGGCTCCATCCATAGGGCCCAGCTCCACCAGCCCCCGCCCAGGGATTGGCCCTGCCCTAATCAGCCACACCCAGTAGCTATCTCCGCCCACAGGAACAACCTAATGGCTGGCTCCATCCGCAGGCCGCGCCCACTGGTCCCATCCAGCGGTTGGCTCTACCCACTGGCCCCGCCCCCGCCTGCCCCGCCCAGGGGTTCTGCCCACCACCTGCACACCTTGTGCGAGGCCATCTCGCTGACAGAGCGATAGGTCTGCATGGTCTCCAGCTGCTCCAGACACCAGTCCAGCTCCTCCAGAGTCTCCCGGGCCAACTGCTGACACGTTTCTTCTAAGGAAGGGGCAGCCAGGGTAGTGACTGAGAAGGTCTGTAGGCAGAAGCCCAGAGGCTCCAGACCGCCGTGACGGGGTTCGCCAGGTGAGTGGACTGCTGGGTGGGGAAGGGGCTGAGGGACCCCCACTGGGGCAGCAAGGGGGGCCCCTTCCCACCCCTCTGGGCTTAGCTACCTGACAGCGTGGCCTTGCAGACAGGGGTGGGGCCGCCCAGCGGGGACCGCCTGCAGAAAAAAAAAAATGGGGCTGCAATGTCAGCCTGGGTCCCCCCACCAGGTCCCTGCCTCCCGCTTTCATGAACAGTGCCAATTTTCATTTGTCTGAAAACTCACCGTGTCCTAAGGACGCTGCCATGTACTCTGCCTGCAGCCTCAATGAGTCCCAGAAAAATCCATTTTATAGATGTGGAAACTGAGGCTCAAGGAGGTGAAACAGCTTCTTCAAGACCACATGGCTGATCCGCCTTAAGGTCAGGTCCTGGGCTTCCAAGATCTCTGCTCTCTTGCCTAACTCTCCACAAATCCTCCAAGCCCCTAAGGATGTCTCTATCCCCCACCCCCAGAAGGACTGGCAGCTCTCAGCCACATCTCTTGCACTGAAACAATTAAGATCCACTCCTATGTACGCAGGGCAATATTCTAGCACTTTCTAGACATCATCTCCTCTCCTCACAGCAGTTATCTAAGGGAGGCATTATTGTAATCCTCACTTTATTTATCTATTTATTTTTTGAACCAGGGTCTTGCTCTGTCACCCAGGCTGGAGTGCAGTGGTGGGAACACAGCTCACTGCAGCCTCAACCTCCTGGGCTCAAAACTATCCTCCTGCCTTAGCCTTCTGTGTAGGTGGGAACCACAGACACATGCCACCATGCTGGGCTAATTTTTTTTTTTTTTAGAGACAGGGTCTCATTTTGTTTCCCCTGGGCTGGTCCTGAACTCCTGAATTCAAGTGACCTCCTGCCTTGGCCTCCCAAAGTGCTGGATTACAGGCATGAGCCAGCACGCTTGGCTGTGATCATCACTTTGCAGAAGGGCAACAGAAGCACCATGGAATGCCATTTGCCCAGCAACTTGGTGTCAAGACCCAGGGTGGGCCTGGGGACTGTGGCTGTGGCCTCACCACCATGCATCCAGACCCCTAAATCTTTATTTATAAAAACCTCTGGGCCGGGCGCAGAGGCTCACACCTGTAATCCTAGCACTTTGGGAGGCTGAGGCGGGTGGATCACCAAAGGTCAGGAGTTTGAGACCAGCCTGGCCAACATGGTGAAACCCCATCTCTACTAAAAATACAAAAATTAGCCCGGTGTGGTGGTGCATGCCTGTAATCCCAGCTACCCGGGAGGCTGAGGCAGGAGAATTGCTTGAACCCGGGAGGCAGAGGTTGCAGTGAGCCAAGATCGCACTACTGCACTCCAGCCTGTGTGACAGAGTGAGACTTGATCTCAAAACAAACAAACAAACAAAAAACAAAAAACAAACAAACAAACAAAAAACACCTCTGTGTCTTAGGCACTTGACCTGCAATGGCTCTCTGGCTTTCTGGGAGCTGTTGTCTGAACAGAGGTTCAGAGAGGTCACCTGCCTGCCAGAGGTCACACAGCAGGGCTGAGAGCAGAACCCGCATATGCTTCACCTTATGATCACAGCTGTTGCAGCCCAGCCTTCACTTACTTGTTACTGGGAACGGGCACATTGGTCAGGAGTGAGAAGTTGCTACGGACGCTCCGGAGGCTGGCCAGCACCTGGGATGGGGAGCGGCAGTGAGGAGTGGGGTTCCCCTAGAGAGGCAGCGGGGCTGGGCCCTGTCCCCAAGTGTGGCGGAGCATTGGAGCCCCTTCTCTCCTTAACCATTTGGGAAGAGGTCTCACCTGAGCAAATGGTGTTACGATGAGGTCTTCAGCGTGCCTGTGATTGAGGACAGAGGCAGGTCAGGGGTCCGCAGAGAAGCAACTGTCTGGGGTAGATGCCCTGTGAGGCTGGACCCAGGGAGGCTGAGAGGGAGGGAGGGGACTCTGTGGGACCTAGGGAAAGAACACTTGTACTGCATAAGGGTGGATATGTGTCCAGGGCTGATCGTGGAAGAAATGGCAGTCAAGGAGTGTGGCTCAGGTAGGTCCGGGGAGAAGAGACAAAGTGGAAAAGGGGAGAGGGGAGAGGTGAATATGGTTGGGTGTTTTTTTTTTTTTTAGACAGAGTCTCACTCTGTCACCCAGGCTGGAGTGTGGTGGCATGATCTCAGCTCACTGCAACCTCCGCCTCCCAGGTTCAAGCGATTCTCCTGTCTCAGCCTCCCAAGAAGCTGGGATTACAGGCATGTGCCTCTCGCCCCACTAATTTTTGTATTTTTAGTAGAGACTGGGTTTCATCATGTTGGCCAGGATGGTCTCAAACTCCTGGCCTGGAACAATCTACCCACTTTGGCCTCTCAAAGTGCTGGGATTATAGGCGTGAGCCACCGTGCCTGACCTTTTTATTTATTTATTTTTTCTTTTAAAGAGATGACATCTTATCCTGGCCAGCATGGTGAAACCTTGTCTCTACTAAAAATACAAAAATTAGCTGGGTGTGGTGACGCACGCCTGTAGTCTCAGCTACTTGGGAGGCTGAGGCAGGAGAATCCCTTGAACCCGGGAGGCAGAGGTTGCAGTGAGCCAAGATCGCGCCACTGCACTCCAGCCTGGTGACAGAGCAAGATTCCATCTCAAAAAAAAAAAAAAGAGAGAGATAAAAAAGAGATGAAGTCTTGCTATGTTGGCCAGGCTGGTCTCAGAATCCTGAGCTCAAGCAATCCTTCTGCCTCAGCCTCCAAATGTGCTAGGATTATGAGTGTGAGCTTCCAAGCCTGACCCGAGGTGAATATGTTGCAAGGGCGGGGCTTGATGAGGGGAGCAGTGAACAGGAAGGGGACCAAGTGGGTTGAGGTGTGTACAGCAATGGCTGGTGGAAAGGCCTGGAGGAACCCAGTGAGAGAGGAAGAGGCTGAGCAGGTTCAGGGGGAACTCACACCTCAACAAGTGTCACGATAAGGGAGGTTAGCTTAGGAAAACCTGGAGGAAGGGCAGAGGGTGGGTCAGGTGAGATGTACACACTGTGGGAGGATACAGTGGGTGGGCACTCACACCTTTCTGGCTGGACATGCTATAAAGTAACTGAGGGCGGGCAGGGTGGCTCATGCCTGCAATCCCAGCACTTTGGGAGGCTGAGGTGGGAGGATCGCTTGAGCCCAGGAGTTTGAGACCAGTCTAGGCAACATAGTGAGACCCGATCACTATTATATTTTTTAAAAAAGGAACTGAGGGCCGGGCGCGGTGGCTCACACCTGTAATCCCAGCACTTTGGGAGGCCGAGGTAGGCGGATCATGAGGTCAGGAGATCGAGACCATCCTGGCTAACAAGGTGAAACCCCGTCTCTACTAAAAATAGAAAAAATTAGCCGGGTGTGGTGGCAGGCACCTGTAGTCCCAGCTACTCAGGAGGCTGAGGCAGGAGAATGGCATGAACCCGGGAGGTGGAGCTTGCAGTGAGCCGAGATTGCACCATTGCACTCCAGCCTGGGCGACAGTGTGAGATTCTGTCTCAAAAAAAAAAAAAAAAAAAAAAAAAAGAGAAAAAAAGGAACTGAGGCCAGGCGCGGTGGCTCATGCCTGTAATCCCAGCAATCTGGGAGGCTGAGGTGGGCAGATCATGAGGTCAGGAGATCGAGACCATCCTGGCTAACACGGTGAAACCCCGTCTCCACTAAAAAATGCAAAAAAATTAGCCAGGCATGGTGGCGGGTGCCTGTAGTCCCAACTACTCGGGAAGCTGAGGTAGGAGAATGGCGTGAACCTGGGAGGAGGAGCTTGCAGTGAGCCGCGATCGCACCACTGCACTCCAGCCTGGGCAACACAACAGAGAGACACTCCGTCTCAAAAAAAAAAGGAACTGAGGCCAGGCGCGGTGGCTCACGCCTGTAATCCCAGCACTCTGGGAGGCCAAGGCAGGCGGATCACCTGAGGTCAGGAGTTTGAGACCAGCCTGGCCAACATGGTGAAACCCTGTCTCTACTAAAAATACACAATTAGCCAGGCATGATGGCTGGTGCCTGTAGTCCCAGCTACTCGGGAGGCTGAGGCAGGAGAATTGCTTGAACCCAGGAGGCGGAGGTTGCAGTGAGCTGAGATGGCACCTCTACACTCCAGCCTGGACGACAGAGCGAGACTCCGTCTCAAAAAAGAAAAAAAGAAAAAAAAAAAAAAAGGAACTGAGCCCTTTATAGGAGGGGCAGGGTGCTGCTTACCCTTCACTGGGGAGGACAGGTTGGGAGTGCTGAGGAGGATAGGGGTGGGTGCCCCCCGACTCCCTGCTGGGAAGGGCAGCTTCCAGCAGGACCAGGCCTGGGGGAACTGGCATGTGGGGAGAAGGATGCTCACGCCTCGCTGGTGACCGATGAGTTCCGGGACATGGTCTTGGGTGACATGTCATAGTCGCTGTCTGAGCGGTACAGGAAGGACTCCCGGCGCTGGCTGGTGGCCGCCCCGGCGTGCAGCACGAGTCCTGGGCTCGCCTGCGAGTCCAGGGGGCTGCGGCCAGGAGATGGTGTCGGCCCATTCTCTGCCTCGAAGCTGCAGGGGATGGGCGAGAAGAGGGGTCAGGAGGCTGAAACGCTATTAGGGAGGTCAAGAGGAATGAGGAGGCCGGGTGCGGTGGCTCACGCCTGTAATGCCTGTAATCCCAGCACTTTGGGAGGCCAAGTGGGGGTGAATCACTTGAGGTCAGGAGTTCGAGACCAGCCTGGCCAACATGATGAAACCCTGTCTCCACTAAAAATACAAAAATTAGCCGGGCATGGTGGCAGGTGTCTGTAATCCCAGCTATTCGGGAGGCTGAGGCATGAGAATCACTTGAACCCAGGAAGCGGAGGTTGCAGTGAGCCAAGATCGTGCCACTGCACTCCAGCCTGGGTGACAGAGCAAGACAATGTCTCAAAAAAAAAAAGGTGGGGGTGGGATGAGGAGCCTAAGGGAATTCCTGGCAGACATTCAGGTGGAGAATTTTTTTTTTTTTTTTTTGAGGTATGGTCTCGCTCTGTGGCCCAGGCTGGAGTAGTGCAGTGGTGTGATCTTGGCTCACTGCAACCTCCACCTCCCGGATTCAAGTGATTTTTCTGCCTCAGCCTCCTGCGTAGCTGGGATTACAGACATGCACCACCGCACCTGGCTAATTTTTGTATTTTTAGTAGAGATGGGGTTCCACCATGTTGGCCAGGCTGGTCTCAAACACCTGGCCTCATGTGATCCTCCCTCTTTGGCCTCCCAAAGTGCTGGGATTACAGGCCTGAGCCACTGCGCCCAACCAAGTGGAGGATGTTAAAGAAAGACAGATGCCCTAAAAGAGACGGGAGACACAGAATTGCAAAGATGGAACTTGAGCACCGGTGTGCATCCATCCCCACTGCTGTGCTGGGGACACCCCAAGGCCAAAATTTATGGGATCATTCACTCTTTCCTTCGTACCTCAAATCAGCCTTGGTGCCAAAATCTATCCAGAATCTGTCTACTTCTCACCCACTCCTTGGTCAGCTTCCCTCAGCCAGGACTGGTTGCATTCACCTCTGCCCTAGTACCCACCTCCTGTTTTCAACCCCCAGTCTTTCTTCAGTGGCCACCAGGGCGAGCTTGGAAACACCTGAATGAGGTCAAGTCCTCCCTCTGCTCAGAACCTTCGATGGATCCCACCTTACTCTGGGCAAAATCCAAAGTCCTCACTGCAGCTCACAGGTCCTGTCCCACGACTTTCCCTTCCCCCCTCACTCATTCTGCTCCAGCCACAATGGCCTCCTCACTGTTCCCTAAAAATCTCAGACACAGGCCGGGGTGAGGTGGCTCATGCCTGTAATCCCAGCACTTTGGGAGGCCAAGGTGGGCAGATCACTGAAGGTCAGGAGTTCTCTACCAGCCTGGCCAACATGGCAAAACCCCATCTCTAATAAAAATACAAAAATTAGCCAGGCGTGGTGGTGGATGCCTGTAATCCCAGCTACTTGGGAGGCTGAGGCAGGAGAATCACTTGAACCCAGGAAACGGAGGTTGCAGTGAGGGCCAAGATCTTGCCACTGCGCTCCAGTCTGGGCAACAGAGCAAGACTCCATCTCAAAAAAAAAAAAAAAAAATCTCAGACACAGTCCTGCCTCAGGGCCTTTGCACAGGCTGTTTCTCCAGCCCAGATTTGCAGCGGCTCCTCTTTCCCTCCTTCAGGCCTCTGCTCAAATGTCACTGCCACAAAGAAGCCTCCCCTGACCAACCCAGCTAAAATTTCAACCATAATACTTTTTTTTTTTTTTTGAGATGGAGTTTCACTCTTGTTGCCCAGGCTGGAATGCAATGGCGCGATCTCAGCTCACCGCAACCTCCGCCTCCTGGGTTCAAGCGATTTTCCTGCCTTAGTCTCCCGAGTAGCTGGGATTACAGGCATGCACCACCACGCCTGGCAAATTTTGTATTTTCAGTAGACACAGTCAGGCTGGTCTGGAACTTCCAACCTCAGGTGATCCACCTGCCTCAGGCTCCCAAAGTGCTGGGATTACAGGTGTGGGCCACCATGCCCAGCCCATTTTGTATTTTTAGTAGAGATGGGGTTTCTCCATGTTGGTCAGGCTGGTCTCAAACTCCCAGCCTCAGGTGATCTGCCCACCTCTACCTCCCAAAGTGCTGTGATTACAGGCGTGAGCCACCGTGCCCAGCCCAATACTATTTCTCTTCCTTAAAACACACACACACAAACTAAAATCCCACTACTTACTTGACATAATCTATATTTATCTTTTTTTTTTTTTTTTGAGACAGTCTTGCTCTGTCACCTAGACTGGAGTCCAGTGATGCGATCTTGGCTCATTGCAACCTCTGCCTCCTGGGCTCAATCAATTCTCCTGCCTCAGCCTCCCGAGTAGCTGGGATTACAGGCACCTGCCACCACACCTGGCTAATTTTTGTATTTTTAGTAGAGATGGGATTTTACCATGTTGGCCAGGCTGGTTTCGAACTCCAGACCTCAAGTAATCCACCCACCTCGGCCTCCCAAAGTGCTGGGATTACAGGCATGAGCCACTGCGCCTGGCCTGGTGTTTTTTTGAGATGAAATCTCGCTCTATCGCCCAGGCTGGAGTCCTGTAGGGCAATCCCAGCTCACTGCAGCCTCAACTTCCTGGGCTCAAGCTATCCTCCACCTCCACCTCCCAAGTAGGTGGGACTACAGGTGTACGCCAGCAAGCTCAGCTAATTTTTTTTTTTTTTTTTTTTGAGACAGGGTCTCACTCTCTTACCCAGACTGAAGTGCAATGGCACAATCTCAGCTCAATGCAACCTCCACCTCCCTGGCTTAAGAAATCCTCCCACCTCAGCCTCCCAAGCAGCTGGGTCTACAGGCACATGCCACCACCCCCAGATAAATTTTGTATTTTTTGTAGAGATGGGGTCTCGCCATGTTGTCCAGGTTGGTCTGGAACACCTGGGCTCAAGCAATGCCCTCACCTTGGCCTCAAGTGATCCACCTGCCTTGGGCTCCCAAAACACTGGGATTACAGGCGTGAGCCACCATGGCTGGCCCATTATATATTCTGGATACAAATCCCTTATCATGTATTTTTCTCCAAGTTTGCAGCTTATCATTTAGTGATGGGGTCTCACTCTGTTGCCCAGGCTGGAGTGCAGTGGAACCATCATAGCTCACTGCAGCCTCCTGGACTCTAGCGATCCCCCCACCTAAGCCTCGGGAGTGGCTGGGACTATAGGCACGTGCCACCACACCCAGATAATTTTTGAATTTTTTGTAGTAATAGGTAATATGTAATATTGGTAATATGTAATATGTAATATTACTAATATTACATACACATGCATATGCAATATTGCTAGTATTATATATGCATATGCAATATTGCTAATATTGCATACATGTATATGCACTATTACTAATATTACATGCATGTATATAATATTACTATATATAATATTACTGATATTATATATGTAATATTAGTAATATTACATATATTAGTAGTATGTGATAATAGTAATATGGTAATATGTAATAATAGTAATAAGGTAATATGTAATAATAGTAATAAGGTAATATGTAATAAGTAATTATAATAATAAGGTAATAATAGTAATAGTAATATGTTGCCCAGGATAGTCTGTAACTCCTGGGCTCAAGAGATCCTCCCGCTTTGGCCTCCCACAGTGCTGGGATTACAGACATGAAACGCTATGCCTAAAGCGTGTCTTCTTATACATTTTTGTTTTGCTTTGTTTTGTTTTTGAGACAGGATTTCACTCTGTCGCCCAGTCTGGAGTGCAGTGGCGCGATCTCGGTTCACTGCAACCTCTGCCTCCCGGGTTCAAGCAATTCTCCTGCCTCAGCCTCCCGGATAGCTGGGATTACAGGCATGCACCAGCACATCTGGCTAATTTTTGAATTTTTAGTACAGTCAGGGTTTCACCACGTTGGCCAGGCTGGTTTCAAACACCTGGCCTCAAGTGATCTGCCCACCTCAGCCTCCCAAAGTGCTGGGATTATAGGTGCCTGGCAGGCCTAGGAGATTTCAAACTTATTTCTTAGTAGAGAGACCATTCCAGTAAAGTCTTATGGTGACTCTCTATAGGCTGACCTAGAAAGGGGAAGCGGGGGGTTCCTATCCTCTCTCCCTCTCCACTTGCACCCACTCAGAGCATAGCCTGAAATCTACCTACTAGTCTAACCCCAGAGACTACTCAATGGGGAAAGAACTGTCTTTTCAAAACGATGGTGCTGGGAAAACTGAAGAGGTGGACCACATACAGAAATTAACTCAAGGCAGGGCGTGGTGGCTCATGCCTGTAATCCCAGCACTTTGGGAGGCCTGAAGCGGGCAGATCACCTGAGGTCGGGAGTTCGAGACCAGCCTGGCCAACATGGTGAAACCCCGTCTCTACTAAAAATTCAAAAATTAGCCGGGCGTAGTGGTGGGTGCCTGTAATCCCAGCTATTCCGGAGGCTGAGGCAGAAGAATCCCTTGAACCCAGGAGGCGGAGGTTGCAGTGAGCCGAGATCACACTACTGCACTCCAGCCTGGATGACAGAGCGAGACTCCATCTCAAAAAAAAAAAAAAAAAAAAAAATAACTCAAAATGACCAAATACCTAAACATAAGAGCCAAAACTATAAAACTCTTAGCAGCTTCATGACATTAGATCTGGCAATGATTTCTTGAATTTGACACCAAAGCACAGGCAACAACAATAACAAACAAGTGGACTTCAACAAAATGAAAGACTTTTGTGTATCAACAGAGGCTGAGGTGGAAGGATGGCTTGAGACCAGGAGCTTGTGGCCAGCCTGGGCAATATAGTGAGACCCCATCTCTTAAAAAAAAAAAGGGCTGGGCACGGTGGCTCACGCCTGTAATCCCAGCACTCTGGGAGGCCTAGGCGGGCAGATCACTTGAGGTCAGGAGTTCGAGACCAGCCCAGACAACATGGCGAAACCGTCTCTACTAAAAATACAAAAATTAGCCGGGCATGGTGGTGTGCACCTATAGTCCCAGCTACTCAAAAACAAAGAAACAAAGAAACAAAAAACACAAAAAAACAAAACTTGTTTAATTAGCCAGGCATGGCAGTGTGTGCCTGCAGTCCCAGCTACTGGGAGGCTAAGACTGGAGGATCACTTGAGCCTGGGATGTTTGAGGCTGTAGTGAGTGAGCTGTGATCGCACCACTGCACTCCAGCCTGGACGACAGAGGGAGACTTTGTTTCAAAAATAAATAGGCCAGGCCTGGTGGCTCAGACCAGTAATCCCAGCACTTTGGGAGGCCGAGGTGGGCGGATCACTTGAGTCTAGGAGTTTGAAACCAGCCAGGGCAGCATGGTGAAACCCCGTCTCAACCAAAAAAAAAAAAAAAAAATTGGCTGGGCGTGGTGGCTCACGCCTGTAATCCCAGCACTTTGGGAGGCCGAGGTGGGTGGATCACGAGGTCAGGAGATCGAGCCCATCCTGGCTAACACAGTGAAAACCCTGTCTCTACTAAACATACAAAAATTAGCCGGGCGTGGTGCCATGTGCCTGTAATCCCAGCTACTGGGGAGGCTAAAACACGAGAACTGCTTGAACCCGGAAGGTGGAGGTTGCAGTGAGCTGAGATCGCGACATTGCACTTCAGCCTGGATGACAGAGCGAGACTCTGTCTCAAAAAATACATAAATAAATAAAATAATTAGCCAGGCATGGCGGCTCTCACCTGTAATCCCAGCTACTAGAGAGACTGAGGTGGGAGAATCACTTAAACCCGGGAGGCAGAGATTGCAGTGAGCTGACATCGTGCCACTGCACACCAGCCTGGGCAACAGAGTGAGACCCTGTCTCAAAATAATAAATAATAAATTGTAAATAATTTGACTTAATAGGCAAATGACTTGAATAGGCATATCTGCAGAAAAGATATTAAAACAGCCAATAAACATATGAAAAAAAATCCTTAACATCACTCATCAGGGAAACGCAAATCAAAAGAAAGAGATACAGGTCTGGTGAGGTGGCTCATGCCTGTAATCCCAGCGCTTTGGGAGGCAAGGTGGGTGAATCACTTGAGGTCAGGAGTTTGAGACCAGCCTGGCCAACATACCGAAACCCTGTCTCTACTAGAAATACAAAAATTAGCTAGGTGTGGTGGTGGGTGCCTATAATCCCAGGTACTTGGGAGGCTGAGGCAGGAGAATTGCTTGAACCCGGGTGGCAGAGGCTGCAGTGAACCAAGATCACGCCACTGCACTCCAGCCTGGGTGACAAAGCAAGACTCCGTCTCAAAAAAAAAAAAAAAAAAAAGGAGATACCATGTCACGCCTATTAGGATGGTTCCTGAAGGGCCTTTTACTTTTGAAGATCTTAGGGTTCCTCCATCCCCTGCATGCAATGCCAAGGAGGGTATTTTGGGGACAGCTGTGTCCTGAGCCACCTTCTCTCCAGGATGCCACTTGTAACTGGCCTTTACCCGTGTCCTGTTTCCCAGTTGCTCTCCCCTCCAGACAGCTGGTCTCTTCACTCCAAGAGAAGGGACTGTGGAGCCAGGAGGCACTCCTACCTCCATCCACCCCGTCTCTCAGCCTCTGACCCGCCTCCTGGGCCTCAGATTTGAGTTCCAGAGACAGACCTTATTGAAGGCCTGGACTCTTCGCATCCCTGAGGTCACAACACCTCCTCTCTCACCTGCTGCACTCTCCATTCCAACCAGGTCTCTCTGCTGCTCCGATTCCTCCCCACTCACAAACAATCCATTCCTACCTGCTGTTGAGAGAACCACTGTAACCCCAATCAAAAATGTTTGTAGGCCAGGTGCGGTGGCTCACGCCTGTAATCCCAGCATTTTGGGAGGCCGAGGCGGGCAGATTACCTGAGGTCCAGAGTTCGAGACCAGCCTGGCCAACACGGTGAAACCCAATCTCTACTAAAAATACAAAAATCAGGTGGGCGTGGTGGCAGGCACCTGTAGTCCCAGCTACTCGGGAGGCTGCAGCCAGATAATTGCTTGAACCCGGGAGACGGAGGTTGCAGTGAACCGAGATCACACCACTGTACTCCAGCCTGGCCGACAGAATGAGACTCTGTCAGAAACCAACCAAACAAACAAACAAAAAACCCTCAAAACAAACAAACACGTAGAATCACCACACAACCGCGCAATCCCACTCCTAGGTCTATCCCCAAAAGAATTGAAAGTGGGGATCTCAAACAGATACATGTACACCCATGTTCACAGCAGCGTAATTCACGATGGCCAAAAGGTAGAAGTGACTGACGTGTCCATCAACAGATGAATGGATCAACAAAATGTGTTATATCCATTGAATGGAATAGAATTCAGCCTTAAAAAGGAAAGGAATTCTGACACAGGCTACAACATGGATGAACCCTGAAAACATTATGCTCAGTGACCCAGCACTTTGGTAGGATGAGGTGGGCGGATCACCTGAGGTTGGGAGTTCGAGACCAGCCTGACCAACATGGAGAAACCCTGTCTCTACTAAAAATACAAAATTAGCCGGGCGTGGTGGCACATGCCTGTAATCCCAGCTACTCGGAGGCTGAGGCAGGAGAATCACTTGAACCTGGGAGGTGGAGGTTGCAGTGAGCCGAGATTGGGACATTGCATTCCAGCTTGGGCAATAAGAGTGAAACTCTGTCTCAAAAACAAACAAACAAACAAAAAAACATTATGCTCAGTAAAATAAGCCAGTCAGAAAAAGACAAATAGTGCACAGGAAATTCCACTTATATGAGGTCCCTGGAGTACTCAAACTCAGAGACAGAAAGTAGAAGAGTGGGTGCCAGCGGCTGGGGGAGATAGGGAAATGGTGTGTTTGTGCTTAAAGTTTCAGTCTGAGAACATTAAAAAGTCCTGGCCAGGTGTGGTGGCTCACGCCTGTAATCCCAGCACTTTGGCAGGCGGAGGCGGGCGGATCACAAGGTCAGGAGAGCGAGACCATCCCGGCCAACATGATGAAACCCCGTCTCTAATAAAAATACAAAAATTAGCTGGGTGTGGTGGTGCGTGCCTGTAATCCAAGCTACTCAGGAGGCTGAGGCACGAGAATCGCTTGAACCCGGGAGGCGAAGGTTGCAGTGAGCCGAGATTGCGCCACTGCACTCCAGCCTGGCGACAGAGCGAGACTCCGTCTCAAAAAAAAAAAAAAAGTCTTGGAGGCTGGGTGAAGTGGCTCACATCTGTAATCCCAGCACTTTGGGAGGCCCACGCGGGAGGATTGCTTGAGCCCAGGAGTTCAACACCAGCCTGGGAAACATGGCAAGGCCCTATCTCTACAAAAAATGAAAAAAATTAGCAAGGCATGATGATGGTGTGCGCCTGTGGTCCCAGCTACTCAGGAGGCTGAGGTGGGAGGATCACCTGAGCCCTGGAGGTATAGACTGCAGTGAGCAGTGATGATGCCACTGCACTCCAGCCTGGGTGATAGAGTGAGACCCTGTCTCAAAAAAAAAAAAAAACAGTCCTGGAGATGGATGGTGGTGATGGTTGCACAACAATGTGAATGTACTTAATGCCACTGAACTATACACTCGAAAATGGATAAAATGGGCCAAGCAGAATGGCTCATTCCTATAATCACAGCACTTTGAGAAGCTGAGGTGGGAGGATCACTTAAGTCCAGGAGTTTGAGACCAGCCTGGGCAACATAGCAAGACCCTGTCTCTACAAAAAATTTAAGTTAGCTGAGCATGGTGGTGCATGTGTATAGTCCCAGCTACTCAAGAGGCTGATGCAAGATGATTGCTTGAGACCAGGATTTGGAGGCTGCAGTGAGCTGTGATCATGCCACTGCACTCCAGACTGGGTGATACAGTGAGACCCTATCTCAAAAAAAAAAGAAAAAGGCCGGGCACGGTGGCTTACGCCTGTAATCCCAACACTTTGGGAGGCCAAGGCGGGCAGATCATGAGATCAGGAGTTCGAGACCAGCCTGACCAACATGGTGAAACCCCGTCTCTACTAAAAATACAAAAATTAGCTTGGCGTGCTGGTGTGCGCCTGTGATCTCAGCTACTCAGGAGGCTGAGGCAGGAGAATCACTTGATCCTGGGAGGTGGAGATTGCAGTGAGCCAAGATCGAGCCACTGCACTGCAGCCTAGGGGATAGTCTCAAAAAACAAACAAACAAAAAAAGCCACTCTTAAGGTTCTTAAGGTGAGATAATCATAGATCATCAGCTTGGACCTTTGATGATAATGTCCATTTATTTATTTATTTATTTATTTTTGAGATGGAGTCTCACTCTGTCACCCAGGCTGGAGTGTAGTGATGTGATCTCAGCTCACTGCAACCTCTGCTGCCGGGCTCAAGCAATTCTCCTGACTCAGTCTCTCGAGTAGCTGGGACTACAGGTGTGCGCCACTACACCTGGCTAATTTTTGTATTTTTAGTAGAGACGGGTTTCACCATGTTGGCCAGGCCAGTCTCGAACTCCTGACCTCAGGTGATCCACCCGCCTCAGCCTCCCAGTGTGCTGGGATTACAGGCGTGAGCCACTGCACCCAGCCAATAGTGTCCATTTGTTGAGCACCTGCTGTGTCCTGGGTGCCAGGTTAGATCCTTTCAGGCATACAGTAATAATAACAAGACATTTATTGAATGCTTGCTGTGTGCCTGGCATTATGAAAGTGCTTTATACACATTAACCGACAGAGGGCTCCAACCCACTCTATAAGTTAACATATAGGTCCTGGTTTTTGTTGTTTTTTTGAGACGGAGTTTCGCTCTTATTGCCTAGGCTGTAGTGCAGTGGCGCCATCTCGGCTCACTGCAACCTCCGCCTCTCAGGTTCAAGAGATTCTCTTGCCTCAGCCTCCCGAGTAGCTGGGATTACAGGCATGTATCACCATGCCCGGCTAATTTTGTATTTTTAGTAGAGACGGGGTTTCTCCATGTTGGTCAGGCTGGTCTTGAACTCCCGATCTCAGGTGATCCACCTGCCTCGGCCTCCCAAAGTGCTGGGATTACAGGTGTGAGCTACTGCGCCTGGCAACATATAAGTCCTGTTAACATTCCCATGGCATAAGGAGACAAGGGGTTGGTGGCTTCATTGTCTGAGAACTGTGTCCTGTCTCCTAAGGTGGATTTTTTTTCAGCTCCAGAGAAGGCGAGAGGAACATAGCTACACACCTCCAACTCCCCGGCCTAGGATTTAAGCTGCAGTTTAGGATGGTGAGACTCTGTTCCCAAGCAGGTGCCCAGCTAGCACATCCTGGCACATCCACCAGCCCCAAGGGACTCAGCTCACGTCAGCAGGAGCCCAGAGGCCTGGATGGGAAGAGGACACTCCCTGGGGCCCTGCTGTTTCTGTTTCAAGACCCGATGTCCCCTGGGCTGAGGGAGGACAGAGGGGAGGGGACAGGGCTATAGAACTGCTGCCTGGGAGCTGGTGGGGATAGGGGAGAGTCAGGGCCAGTGATGCCCCAGAATCAGATCCCTGAGCCATGGAGAGTCACCCCTCCCTGGCTTGCCACTGACTGCTCAGGGTGGCCCAAAGTTAGGCCAGAGGCCACTCCAGCAACATCCCCATGGGACCCAAGGTTGCAACCCAGACACAGGGGTAGCTGCCAGCCTTACATCACAGCCACATGCCCAGACGCTCCATTGGAGGTGAAGTGACCCGCCCAAGACTCCCTCTTAGGCAGGCTAATCATTGTTTTTTGTTTGTTTGTTTGTGTGTGTGTGTGTGTGTGTGTGTGTGTGTTGATACAGGGTCTTGCTCTGTCACCCAGACTGCAGTGCAGTGGGGCGATCATGGTTCACTGCAGCCTCAGCCTCCCAGGCTCAAGCGATCCTCCCACCTCAGCCTCCTGAGTAGCTGGAACCACAGGCGCACACCACCACACCCAGCTAATTTTTTTTTTTAAGCAGAAATGGGGTTTCACCATGTTGCCCAGGCTGGTCTTGAACTCCTAGACTCAAGCAATCTGCTTCCCAAAGTCTCGCCCTCTCAAAATGCTGGGTTTATAGGCATGACCACTGCATCTGGCCTCAGGCTGATCATTTGGTGACACTTTCAGATGAAGTTGCTACCTGTTTCCCCCTCCACGTGGCCCCTAGGCCTTCCCACCAGGGCTTTTGGGAGCATGAAATTGGGCTTGTTGAGGGCTATGCAGCCCAGGGAGAGTCTAGGCCTTGGGGGATGACTACTGCAGGGACTGACGGGACACAAACAAGCTAGGGAGCGGGGGCGGGGGAAACGAACACATTGGTAAAGATTATAATAACAAGAACTATGGCCAGGCGCCGTGGCTCATGCCTGTTGGAGCATCGCTTGAGCCTGGGAAGCAGAGGTTGCAGAGAGCAGAGATGATACCACTGCATCCCAGCCTGGATGATAGAGATGCTGTCTCAAAAAAAAAAAAAAAAAAAAAAAGCTGGGCACAGTGGCTCATGCCTGTAATCCCAGCACTTTGGGAGGCCAAGGCGGGCAGATCACTTGAGGTCAGCAGTTCGAGACCAGCCTGGCCAACATGGGGAAACCTGTCTCTACTAAAAATATAAAAATTAGCCAGGCGTGGTGGCGGGGCGCTTGTAATCCTAGCTACTTGGGAGTCTGAGGCAGGAGAATTGGTTGAACCCAGGAGGCACAGATTGCAGTGAGGCAAGATCGCACCACTGCACTCCAGCCTGGGTGACAGAGTGAGACTCCATCTCAAGAAAGAAAAAAAAAACAAACTTATGTGAAGACCACATGCTAGGCATTGTGCTATACTGTAACATGCATTAATGCTCCATTTTCCAGACAAAGAAACTGAGGCCAGGCACGGTGGCTCACGTCTGTAATCCCAGCACTTTGGGAGGCCAAGGTGGATGGATCACTTAGGGCCAGGAGTTTGAGATCAGCCTGGCCACCATAGAGAAACCCCATCTAAACTAAAAATACAAAAAAATTAGCTGGGCTATGGTGGCATACACCTGTAATGCCAGCTACTTGGGAGGCTGAGGCACAAGAATTGCTTGAACCCGGGAGGCAGAGGTTGCATTGAGCCAAGATCACTCCACTGCACTCCAGCCTGGGTGACAGAGCGAGACCCTGAAAAAAAAAAAAAGGAAGAAAGAGAGAAAGAAGGAAAGAAGGAAAGGAAGAAAGAAAGGAAGGAAGGAAGGAAGAAAGAAAGAAACTGAGGCACATAAAGGATAAATACTATGGTTATTAGTAGCAGAGCATGGATTTCTTTTAAAATTTATTTATTTTGTAGAGATGAGGTTTTACTATGTTGCCCAGGCTGGTCTCAAACTCCTGGGCTCAAGCCATCCTCCCACCTCAGCCTCCCAAAGTGCTGGGATTACAGGCATGAGCCACCACGCCCGGCCTAGAATGTGGATTTGAACCCAGGCAGCTGAGCTACAAAGCTGCGACGAGTGTCTTCCCCCGGGGCGCACAGGGCAGGCAGGCCTGGTGTCTCCCCCGGCTCCCCGTGCTTTTCCACCTGACTCACTTGTAGGTGGTGCCAGGCAGCCTTTATGGAAAGGCCTGGCATTTGCTTTGTGAAGGTCACATGGAGGTTGAAGGCGGGTGCTGGTGTGTGTCTCCCAGGCAGGCGCGTAGTGCCAGGTGACACAGCTCTTTGGGGGGCTGAGTATGTAAGAGACTGGGGGAGAGGGAGGTCTGTGTGCCCCCGGGCATCACACATAGACATCTCTGTGGCATCGCACATCTGCCTGTGTGAGCAGGGGCTGGGTGCTCATGGGTGCCTGTGTGCATCTCTGTGTCTTTATCTGTGTATTTCTGAGTCTGGGTGACTTTATGAGACCGTGTCGCACTGATACTGTGACAGTCCCTGACCCCTGTGTGGGCACGGGGTGCGTTCCTGTGTGTATCTGGTGCAGGTGGGAGTACAGCATACAGGAACATGTGTGGGCCCTGGGTGTGTATTTTTGTGAGAATGTGTCTCACCAAAATACAGTGTCCCCCACTGTGGAGGAACGCAGTGTAGACGAGGATGTGCGAGGGCTGGGCCAGGGTTGCTGTGGTCTGTGTGTCACCTGTGTGTGGCCATGAGTCAACTGCAGGGTCCTCTTGGTGCAGCCAGGAGACCCATACCTAGTACGGTAAACACCAGGTGACCCGGATTGCCCTGTGTGCGGCCCTGTGTGTGTGTCTGTGTTAGAGACCATGGAGCAGGAAAGCAAGAACAAGGCTAGAAACCCCTGAGAATTCTGAGAACTTAAAGGCCACTCACAGCCCCAGCTCAGTCCAGCCTATTCTAAACACCCTCCATGAGACCCAGAATCTCCCCTCCCCACCCCCAACCCAGCTTGGTTTTCAGCCTGGCAGCTCCAGCATGAGAGGGGGTGGGGAAGGTAAGGCTGGAGACACTGAGCCAGGCAGGGACTTAGGGATCTGGTTCTAGGCCAGTGGCCTGGGAGTGGAGCCCAGGTGACGCTGGACACCCATATTTGCAGCCAAAGTGAATGCCAGAAGCTCAGGTTTAAGGACACAAAGAGGGTGACGGGTCCTACCTTGGATAGGCAGGAATGGACCCAGCACCCACTTTGAGGGCTGCCACCTTCAAGAAGCCCTCAGCAGCACCCCAGGCCTTTAGAGCCAGGAAAGGGGGTGGGGCCCCAGCCAGATCCTGGAAGCCACTTAGGGGACTCACCCAGGTAGACTCAGCACCCCCACCCCCCCAGCACAGCCAGTGCCCTTCAGTATTAAAAGAGAGGACTGACTGGCCACGGGCCACCCACCTGACAGATCTGCCCGGAGGGTGCCGACGGGTGTCCTCATCGCTGAAGGGGAAGTGGGTCAGGGACTCGGGGCCCGTGGGGGGCAGTGCCAGGGCAGGGGGCCGGGGCCGGGCCCGGGGCGCTGCACCGGAGCGCATGGGAGCCAAGCGCCGTCGTCGGGGCGCGCATGGGGACGGCGGCAGGGCGGTGTGGCGCGCGCTGCTGGCCAGGCCCAAGGTGTCTGCGGCCTCCACTGCCGGCACCGCCTCCACGCCTCTGGTGACCCCCCCAGGGACAGCCCCGGGCGGTCGAGCGTTCCCGGGTCTGCACGGGGGAGGGGAGCGCACGGGCGCTCTGTCTGCCTCCCCCTGCAGGGGTCCTGCGGAGTCGGACGCACACTTCCCCCCCCCCCCCCCGTCTCCTCCCTCCTAGGCCTCTGGGGTGCCCCGGGGCTCCGGTTTCCCGGCTCCGGGCCCGCCCTCCTGCCACCGCCTCCGGCCCCGCCTTTCCCCCCTCCCCGCCCTGACGTCGAGCTGGGCCCGCTCGAGGTCTCTGATCGCTGATCGCCGTGCGCCCCCGGGGAAACGGGACTCGAGTGTGGGGCCGGGTGACATAAACCCAGGGGAGGGGAAGGTGCAGCTCAGCGGTGGGAAGGAGAAACAAAACAGAGACAGAAGAGACAGAAGTGGAGACAGAGACGCAGGACGCAGAGAGAGAGACCCGGAGAGAAGCAACGATTTCCCTACACACACCCTGCGGACCCCACGCGGGGCTCCCAAAGGCCCTGGCCCCTCTTCCTCTTCTGTCCCCGCCCCATTTCGTTCCTGGGGCCAGTCGCTGGGCCCGGTCCTGCCCCGCCGTGCCCTCCTTCAGTCTGTGCCTCAATTGCACGTGGAAAGTAGGTGGAAGAGGGGGAGGCTGAGGACCCGGAGAAGCCCCCAGGGCCAGCCAGTGCCCAACTCCGGGCTGCCAACTTCTGCCTCCAGGATATAAGGACATTAGAAAGCCAGACTGGATGTGGCCTCGGGGCCTGTCACTCCCAGACTTCAAGCCCCCGCAGCCCACCCCGTCTGGCCAGAAAGGGAACTTCCATTTGCCCTCTGTGGCCCGGTACTAGGAGTGACACCAAGCCTCACCGCAAGGCCACCCACAGAAGGCATGACTGGCCCCATTTCACAGGCCAGTAGACTGAGGCTGACAGAACTGAACACATACCCCAGGATGAACACATGACCTGGATGGCAGGTCGCCCTCACTCCTCCAAAGCGTGACCGCAGCTTCAGGTTTGCACAGGAAGTGGGAAGGATGCAACATTTATTAAACGTCTACTGCATGCCCTATCAGAGGTCTCCAGGGCAACCCTGGCGGTCAGGGATGATTTTGATCGCTGCTATGTGACAGAAGAGGAAAGTGAGGCTGGAGAGAGTGAGCCACGAACCCTAGACCCTGGAGTGCGCCAGGTGGCCAGGGGCGACTTGAACCCACGGCCACCAGCGCTGCACTTACCCAGCCCCAGCCCAAGCCTGGCGGCCCAAATCCTGGCAGCTGCGGAGAAGCCGAAGGCGTCTGCGGAAAGTTGGGGACGGGCTGGCGAAGAAGACGGGCGAGGAGGGCGGCGAACGCGGGCGGCGGGGCGCGCGCGGGGCCAGGGGCTCGGGCAGGAACGCCTCGTCCTCAGCCGCCACCGCCACCGGGAAGGCCACCAGTTGCAGCTCCGGGATGCGGCCTAGGCCGCGCGGCCGCGCCATGGCCGCGGGGCGGCCCCGCCTCGGCGGGCGCTGGGGAGCTGCGCCGCCCACCCCGCCAGGCCCACGCAGGCCGCCTGCCCAGCCCCGGGCCCGCGGGCCCCACCCCGCCCTGTCGCCTCGGCCCTTCCGGCTTCGCGCTGGAGCCGCCCCCAGGGCGGGGCGGGTCTGGGGCGCCCGCACGGCTCTGGTGGGGACTCTCCCGCAGACCCCAAAGCCGCCCGCGTTGGCTCTAATGTCCTCACAATCGCCGGACGCGTCCCCACAAACACCAGGGACACCCCCAAATCTGTGGGGACACTCCTGCAAACTCCCCGTGGTGTTGACAGGCCCCACAAGCCCCAGGAGCCACCCCACAGTCTCTCAGAATCCCAAGGAGCACCCTCATTGTCCCTGAGACAACCCCACACAAGAAGTCCAGGGGTACCCCCCCAAATCCCGGGGCTTCTCAGCACAACTTAGAGGTGTTCTGAGACACCCTCATAAACCCTAGGGCACTCTCATAGCTCTCCAGATGCCCCCATAATCCTAGCAGTATTCTCACTGTTTCTGGGACATGCCACAAGCCCCAGGAGTGCCCTGAGAATCCCAGGGTGCATCCACAAATGCCAGGGATGCCCCCAAATCTCTGGGGGCACTCCCACAAACTCCCTGCCAGTGGTGCTCTGAGAGCCCAGGGAAAACCCTTCAGATCCCAGAACCCCCACCACAGTTCCTCAGATGTCCCAAAATTCCTCCAGAGCTCCCCATCATCCCCAACTCTCATCATCCCATCATGCATAGACCCTCCCTCAGTACCCCCAGAATCCCCCACACCCACAGAGCCATTTTCATAGACCGAATATAGGTTCCCACCAAATCCTAGAGTTCTCCACAGACCCCAGGAACACCTCCACAGTCCCTCAGATGTCCCTTAATCCCTGAATGGTTCTACAGCATCTCTGAGATGCCCCCACAAGTGCTGAGACCCCAAGACAACCTCGGGAATGCCTTCAGACTCAGGGGATGCCCTAGTAACCATGGAGATGCCAGCAAAATCTGGGGTGCCCCAATAGACCCCAGGGACACAACTAGATTCCTCTCCAGCTCCTAAGACAGTCTCACACCCTAGAACAGAATCCCAAGATGCACCCCACAGTCCTTGGGGACAACCTAGAATGCCACCCACAGCTTCTGAGATGTGTCTTACAACTCTTAAGACACCCCTAGAAGGCAGGTGTGGTGGCTCATGCCTGTAATCCCAGCACTTTGGGAGGTGAAGGTGGGCGGATCACTTGAGCCCAGGAGTTCGAGACCAGCCCAGGTGACATGGCGAGATCCCATCTCTACAAAAGATGACAAAAATTAGCAGGGCATAGTGGGATGAGCCTGTGGTCCCAGCTACTTTGGAGGCTGAGGTGGGAAGATCACCTGAGCCAAGAGGTTGAGGTTGCAGTGAGTTATGAAGGTGCCACTAAACCATCTTGAGACAGTGAGACCCTGTCTCACGAAAAAAAAGAGAAAAGAGGGTGAATCTCTATTTTCTTTTCTTTCTTTCCTTCCTCTCTTTCTTTCTTTCTTTCTTTCTTCCTTCCTTCCTTCTTTCCTTTCCTTTCCTTTCCCCTCCGTCCCTCTCTTTCTTTCTTTTCCTTTTCTCCTTCCTTTCCTTATTTTCCTTCCTTCCTTCCTTCATTTCTTCCTTCCTTTCCTTTCCTTTCCTTTCTCCTTCCTCCCTTTCCCCCTTTCTCTCTTTCTTTCTTTCTTTTTCATCAGTCTCTCACTGTCACCCAGACTGGAGTGCAGTGGCACGATCTTGGCTCACCGCAACCTCTGCTTGCTAGGTTCAAAGGATTCTCGTGCCTCAGCCTCCCAAGTAGCTGGGATTACAGGCATGTGCCACAATACCTGGCAAATTTTTCTTGTATTTTTAGTAGAAATGGGGTTTCACCATGTTGGCCAGGTTGGTCTCGAATTCCTGGCCTCAAGTGATCCACCCGTGTGAGCCACTGCGCCCAACAGTGAATCTCTATTTTCGAGTCCACCTCTGTGAAATATCCTTCCTTCTCTAGTGTTGGCTCTGATGCCATGGGGCCCAGAGTGAGGAAGCCTGGGCTTGCGTGTGGCCTCTGGCACTTCTTAGCCATTTGATCTCGGGCTAGTCACTTCATTTCATTGAGCCTCAGTTTCCCCAGTTGTAAAATGGGTATAATACTACCACTCACCCCATGGATGGACACATAAAAAGCTCAGAAAAGTGTCTGAACCTAGTAAGCACTCAATATGAGCTACAGTTATTATCAGTATTTGACAAATATTTACTGAAGGCTTATAATATGCAAATCACTATACTAGCTAGAGGGTATAGATGATGATGATAATGACGATGATGGTGATGATAGCAACTAACCCTTTAGAAAGCTTCCTGTGCATCCAGTGCCTCTAGCTATGATCTCTCTCTCTCTCTCTCTCTCAATATCTCTCTCTCTCTCTCTCTCTCTCTCTCTCTCTCTCGAGACAGGATCTCACTCTGTCATCGAGGCTGGAGTACAGTGGCACGATCATAGCTCACTGCAGTCTCAACTTCCTGCGGTCAAGTGATCCTTCAACCTCAGCTTCCTGAGCAGCTAAGTAGCTGAGTAGCATGTGCGCCACCATGCCTGACTAATTTTTTGTACTTTTTCTAGAGATGGGGTTTTCCTATGTTGCCCAGGCTGGTCTTGAGCTCCTGGACTCAAGTGATCTGCCCGCCTTGGCCTCCCAAAGTGCTGGGATTACAGGCGTGAGCCACCACACTTGGTCTTATGATCTCATTTAATCCTCACAAAGTACCCACCAGACACCCACCAGGTGATATTCTTTTTTTTTTTTTTTTTTTGACAGGGTCTCACTCTGTCACCCAGACTGCAGTGCAAGTGACATGATATTGGCTCACTGCAACCTCCACCTCCCAGGCTCAAGTGATCCGCCTCCCTCTCAGCCTCCCAAAGTGTGTTGGGCATGAGCCACTATACCTGTCCCAGAAATGCATTTTTGTTCACCGACCAAGGTTTCAATGCCCTTAGCTTCCCTGAATTGTTTTGCCAGTTCGTCAGATCAGCCCTTGGGAATACGGTTTTTACTAGGCCCATTTCAGAGACGGGGAAGCCAAGGCCCAGAGAGGAGTGACTTGGCTAGGGTCTCCCAATCTAGAAAGATCAGAGCTGGATTATGGACCCAGCTGTCTGGCTTCAGAGACAGGAATTTTAGCCATGAGGCTACACAAGCCCTTTATGGATGAGTTTCCTTCCAGCCCAATGATGCTTGTCCCGTCCTAGGAAGCCAGATGTAAACTGAGGCCTAAAGCCAACCTTGATCATGGCCTAATGGTCTATGAGCCCTTACATGAGCTGCCTGTCACCTCGCTCCCTCCTTTTTTTCCACTGCCTCCTCGCTCACTCTGCCTCAGACACACTTGCCTCCAACGTATCAGACACACTCCCACCACAGGACCTCTGCACTGGCTCTTCCCTCTGGTTGGCACCCTCTTCCATCAGACACCCATGTAGCAACCTCCCTCTTTTGTTTTTTGTTAGACGGAGTCTTGCTCTGTCACCCAGGCTGAAGTGCACTGGCACGGTCTTGGCTCACTGCAACCTCCACTTCCTGGGTTCAAGCAGTTCTCCTGCCTCAGCCTCCTGAGTAGCTGGGATTACAGGCACTTGCCACTGCGCCCAGCTAATTTTTGTATTTTTAGTAGAGATGGAGTTTCAACATCCTGGCCAGACTGGTCTTGAACTCGTGACCTCGTGATCCACCTGCCTCGGCCTCCCAAAGTGCTGGGATTACAGGTGTGAGCCACTGCGCCCGGCCCTTACCTCCCTCATTTTATTTGGGTCTTTGTTCAAATGTCACCTCCTCAGAGAGGCCTTCCCTGACCTCAGGATCCCTCTTTTTTTCATATCCTATGTGTGACCATCTTGAATTATCATACAGCTTTACTTGCTATTTCTTTTTTTTTTTTTGAGACGGAGTCTGGCTTTGTCACCCAGGCTGGAGTGAAGTGGCGCAATCTCGGCTCACTGCAACCTCCGCCTCCTGGGTTCATGCAATCCTCCTCCCACCTCAGCCTCCCAAGTAGCTGGGATTGCAGGCGTGCGCCCAGCTAATTTTTGTATTTTTAGTAGAGACAGGGTTTTGCCAGGTTTTGGCCAGGCTGGTCTCGAACTCCTGGCCTCAAGTAATCCACCTGCCTTGGCCTCCCAAAGTGCTGGGATTACAGGCCTGAGCCACCGCACCCAGCCCTTTACTTGCTATTTCTGCTTCACCCTCTAGTCTGACAATTTCAGGGCAGCAGGGAATGTGTCTATGGCAAGGGTGTGCAATCTTTTGGCATCCCTGGGCCACACTGAAAGGCGAAGAATTGTCTTGGGCCACACATAAAATACACTAACACTAACAATAGCTAATGAGAGGGAAAAAAAAAAGAATCTCATTGTTTTAAGAAAGTTTACGAATTTGTGTTGGGCCGAATTCAATGCCATCCTGGGCCACGGGTTGGACAAACTTGGTCTACAGCATTCTCAGCCACAGTTCTGAAGGCGCTCAGTGTTTGTGGAATGAACGAATCTGCTAGAAATGAGGAGACTGAGGCTCTGACAGGTGAAGGTCACACAGCGAGTCCAGGACAAAAGCTGGATTTACTTCTTTTATTTTTTTCTTTTTGTAGAGATAGGGTCTCACCATGCTGCCCAGGCTGGTCTCAAACTCCAGCCTCAGGCAATCCTCCCACATCAGCCTCCCAAAGTGCTGGGTGTGAGCCACCTCGCCTGGCCAAAAGTGGATTTGAACTCTTTTCTTTCCTTCCTTCCCTCCTTCCTTTTTTTTTTTTTTTTTTTTTTTTTTTTTGACAGGGTCTCAGTCTCTCGCCCAGACTGGAGTGCAGTGGCCCAATCTCGGCTCACCGCAACCTCCGCCTTCCAGGCTCAACCAATTCTCCTGCCTCAGCCTCACCAGTAGCTGGGATTACAGGCATGCACCACTACCACCTGGCTAATTTTTGTATTTTTAGTAGAGACGGGGTTTCACCATGTTGGCCAGACTGGTCTCAATTTCCTGACCTCAAATAATCCACCCGCCTCAGCCTCCCAAAGTGCTGGGATTACAGGCATGAGCCACCGCGCCCAGCCAGATTTGAACTCTTTCATACTCCACAATGAAAAGAGTGGGCTCAGATGCCCTCACAATTCTGTTCTCACCCTGCCAGACTGTGGCTCTCCCAGGTCCAAAGCCCCAGTTTTCCTAAAGTCATAAGAGCCTGCAGTCAATCTGTTACCAATGAAATATGGGGCACCTTCCCCACCAGCCGGGTTTGCGGTTTGGGGGACGCCCCCTTTCTCTCTGCTGATGTCATTTGAGGAAGTACTTTCTCAGAACACCAGCTCCTGGCTGCCCAGCACCTACGTCAAACATATCAGCCTCACCACAGCCCTGGGGGTGGACAGTTCTTATTTTTCAGCCCCGTTTGACTGATGAGGAAACTGAGGCTCCGAGAGGCACAAGCACTGACCCCAAGTCACACAGCGAGTCAGCGGGCAGGGCTGCCATGTGAATGTTACCCAGCGGTCTGCAGTGGAGCAGATCTGTTTTTTGTTTTTTGTTTTTTTTTTTGAGACAGGGTCTCGCTCTGCTGCCAGGCTGGAGTGCAGTGGTGCCATCTCGACTCACTGCAACCTCTGCCTCCCGGGTTCAAGCGATTCTCCTGCCTCAGCCTCCCGAGTAGCTAGGATTACAGACGTGTGCCACCATACCCGGCTAATTTTTGTATTTTTAGTAGAAACGGGGTTTCACCATGTTGGCCAGGATGATCTTGAACTCCTGACCTCATTCGTGATCCGCCCACCTCGGTCTCCCAAAGTGCTCAGATTACAGAGCCACCGCGCCTGGCCGAGATCTGGTTTTTAACTCCTATTCTCACCTTCCTCGCTGTGTGACCTTGGGCAAGTCCCATGGTCTCTGTTTCCCGGGCAGGAAGCGCAGAGCCAAGGATGCTGGGGTTCACCGGCCTGCCGGGCAAGCGCGCAGAGGCGGGACGGGAACTCCACGGCTGCAACTTTTCGGCCAGGTTCCTCCCTGTCCTCCAGACGACAGTCCCCGCAGCGTGTGGCAGGGGCTGGCGCATGGGGAAAGCGGCCTGGTCCCAAGCCCGGGAGGGCGAGGACCCCACACGCAGCCTGCGGTCAGCCGGCCTGGCGCCCGCTCTCCAGGACGCTCAATAAGCATAAAATAATAATACCGGGCGCCGCGACGGTGGCGGCGACTTTGCTTTGCTCCGGGACTGGCGGCGTCCCTGGAGCAGGTCCGCGCTCGGAGCGCACACCCAGGCTGTGCCTTCCTCGTCGTCCAGCAGAGGGCGCGCGGGGAGACCCGCTCCCAACCCACATCCAGGGACTTGGGAGCGCCAGGGACAAGGGGGAGGCGAGGACCCAAGTGGAGACAGAGACCAGCGACCAGACGGATACCCCAGCTCGGCTGCCTCCACCTGCTCCTGGGGCCACACTGTGCCCCCACCTCGATGGGGAAGTTTTAGGGCCCAGGGAGGGGGGACGCAGGGTCCGTATGTTGGCCCCGTCCCCAGTTCAGACAGCTCCCCACCCCCACCACCAAAGTCCTCCTCTTCCTCCCTCTCCATCTGCCTCTTGACAGATCGTGGCTGTGCCGTGACTCAGCCGTCTCATACATCTTCAGGTCTGGAGGGGAGGTTTGGATGACATCTCCGGTTGGGGGTGGGCAGTGCCCTCTCTCTGGGGATTCCTTTGACCCAAATCGGGGGAGCTCGCTGGACTCCTTTTGCGGTAGCTGGATGAACTCCAGTGTGGGGAGCACTGAATCCTGTATGTGCCCTGGTAAAAACCCCCTTTTTGAAGAAATGCCTGTTCTAAGCATTGAGGTTGCCATCAGACACCTTCCTCCTTTTCCCTGGGAATGGGGGAGGACCCTGGCACTGATGCCAGCTACAGCCCACCCATCAGTCCCAGCTTTGGACCTCAGCACAGACACTGAAGGGTGCACAGGCCCACAGTGAAACAGAAACCCGAGTCTACGTGGGGATGTGGTTAAGGTTCCTGTTTTTTTCTACTCACCCTGGAGAAATGGGATCCACCCAGGTCCCCCCTCCTTAGTCCAGGTCCCTGAATGGAGATCTACTGATTATGTTAAGTCCTTTACACACATCTCCAAGCTCACAGAACCCTCAAAGTGACCCCCACATGGCAGTGCCAACAAAAGCCCCACTCTACAGACTGGAAAATTAAGGCTCAGAGAGGGCAAGACACTTATACAAAGATGCACAGGAATTGGGCGGACCTGCGTTGCAATTCCAGCTCCCCCATCTCCTGGTTGTGTGAGTTTGGGTGAGAAAGAGAAAAGGTTTAGCTGGGTGCAGTGGCTCATGCCTGTAATCCCAGCACTTTGGGAGGCTAAGGGGTGGGCAGATCACCTGAGGTCAGGAGTTCGAGACCAGCCTGGCCAACATGGTGAAACCCCATCTCTACTAAAAATTCAAAAATTAGTCAGGTGTGGTGGTGGGCGCCTGTAATCCCAGCTACTCCGGAGGCTGAGGCAGGAGAATCACTTGAATCCGGAAGGCAGAGGTTGCAGTGAGCTGAGATCACGCCACTGCACTCCAGCCTGGGTGACAGAGGAGACTCTGTCAAAAAAAAAAAAAAAAAAAAAAGAGAAAGGGTTTTGTCTCTGGGCTCCAGTTTCTCCATATGCCAGCAGGAATACCCTGCTGGAATACCCAGGGCACTGGGGATGAGGATGCATATGGAAAAGTCCCTGGCATGGAGCCGGAGGGTGAGCCATTGCGAGATGGATACCCACCAAAATAATGATGATTATTACCACTCAGCCACTGTCCCCTAAGACTCAGTGCCCCAGAGACCAGGCTAGGAGGAGTCCCTGGAGCCTTGCAAAGAAATGGGGCCTGGAACCTACTTCACTTCACCCACCCCTTGGTGTCTTAGGACAGTGACCTGTGCCAGTTTGGCCCCCTGCCCCAGTTTTAGCATTTTCTGTTGATTCCAACTTTCTCTTCCTTCAGCCTCTCTCCAGTTCCCTTTGGGAAATGTCAGCCCATGTATGCTGGGCCCGTGACACTTGCTTCCTGGTGGGTAGAAGGGTGCAGGGGGACTGGGGCTGGGGGGTGATCAGAACAGAGGTGGGGGTGGCCTGGAGGGCTGCAATGACTGCTGAAGACCCCCAAAGAGACTTAGGAAGAGTAGGGCTACATCTTAGAGAGGCCTCACTCAGGAGCTCCAGGGATAAGGAGCCCAAATCTGACCGTCTTGGTGATATCCCCAGCAGTGGGGCATCCAGGTAGAGCACACGGGCAAAGCTGTCAGTTGCACACATCGCTGGAGCACAAGCAATCAGACCCTGGAGCACCATCAGAGGAGGAACAATAACTAAGAACACCAGGTGGTTAGAGGACACCAGTTCTTAGGATACACCAGGCAGAGGGAACACAGACCACATGTCAGAGCACCGACGCTCAGACGTGAGCACCTGGTGAAGACTAACACACAGCCACTGTGTTTCAATCACAGTGTCCAAGGAGCACAGACTGTTCCACGAACTCAATCACATTGTTCCCCAAGTGTAAACACCCCAGTGCCACAATCACTGCATGCCAGAAATGACACTGTCACAATCACATTGTCCCTAGACCACCAACACCATTGCACAATCACTGTCCTAGGAGCAGAAACAGTCACTCTATCCCAATCACTGCATCCCATGAGGCCACAGTCACCCTGTGACAGTCACAGCATTCTTGGAGCACACACAGTCACTGTCGCAAACCCTGTCCCAGAAACACACAGTCACACTACCCTGGAAATACACAGTCACACTGTCACAATTACACTGTCCCTGGAGGACACAGAGTCATCGTGTCACCATCACAAGACCCCAGAAGCTCACACAGAGCACACAACTGAGGTAGCCACAGCTGGTCATACCCGGACAGCTGGAGCAAACGGAGGTCAATCGGAGAATACCCTCAGAGGAGACCAAGCTCAACACACATGCACCCTCACTATGCTGTCACCTCTGCAGTCAGGGACTCCTTCCCTCTGTGCTGGGACTGCGCCCCCCCTCCACTGTTTCCTGCCTCTGAACAGCTACTTAACGCTAACACTCTTGCCCTGAGAGGGGAACTCCAATCTAACGCAAGGCTCCCAAAACAGTGCTCCCCCAAGAGGCACCCTCTGGATTTCTGACCCCAGCTGCTGCAGGAGGAGTCCACTAACATCCCCGCAATAGAGTCCTCCATCCCCTAGAAGGACCCTGAGAGCACCCCACCCTGAAGTAAAGATCCTGGTCCTAGCAGGCACCCCCTTATGGAGTGCTCCAAGAGTACCCCAAACACTGCGAATCTAGCCCTCAGTATAGTGCCCCCAGGAAGGTCCCTCCAAGTGGTTCCCAGCTTAGCAGCTGTTCTGCACTGTCACCAAGAATACAGACCCCTAAGTGTGCAGCCCCCTTCCCCAACCCAGACCTCGTTAACACCACGCGCAGCGTGGCGCCCCCTAAATGGACCCCAGGATGGGCTTCAGCAGGAAGCCTCCCGTAGAGCGCACAACCAGGGGCCAGGTCCCAGACGCCCCCGCAGCCGAATTCCCTCCGCCCCCGCCAGCCAAACCGACCCCACCCGCATCCTAGCGCCCCCTGCGGCCGGCAGCTCGAGTTGCCTCCTCCCTGCGCGCCCATCCGTTCCGCGCGCATCCGCCGCGGGGAGTCTTACCGCCTGCTGCTGCCTCCGCCCGCGCCGCCGCTGCCGGTGCCAGTGCCATGGAAGGACGAGGGCCAGGACATGCGGGTCGTGCGCAGGCCGGGCCGGTCGCTGGTGTCCATGGCATCGGCGCGCTCTATGGGCCGGTGCGGCTGCCGCTCCCGCTCGGCGCGCTCCGCGCTGTCGGAGTAGCCGCGCTGCTGGATACGGATGGGGGTCCGAGGCTGCCGCCACAGGTGCTGCGGGGGAGGCTTCAGGGTGGCCTGGCCCTCCCGGGGCCCGGGCAGTGACAGAGACAGGCTCCTTTCCGAGGGGACGGTCGGGGGTTCCATGGCGCCGGCCCCCACTTGCGCCCCAGGGGGCCCTGGCCCTTCCAACCTACACCCCGCTCAGCTGCGCGCAAGCCAGCGAGCCCAGGGCCCCGCGGGTGCGCCCGGCCGCGGTAGGGCCATGGCGCCCCGGGGACAGACCCGGGGGCGCTGCGGGCCAATCGCCCCCGGGCCGGGCTCTGCAGCTTCCTTTCGGCGCCTGGAGCTCTGCTCAGTGCCCGGCGGCGCTCTCCGCGCTCCGCGCTCCGCGTTCCGCGGCCCGCTCGGCGCCAGCCCCGGCTCCTCCGCCCCGTCCCGCCCCTCCCCGCCCCCCGCCCGCCGCGGCTGTCAGCGCCGCCCCCCTCCTCCTCCGTCCGGGCCAGCGGGGGGCAGCTACCTAAGGAGGGGGGCCCTTCCCGCCCACGCAGATCCCCGCTCCGGGCTGGGAGGGGGCGCTGGAACTCGTCTGTCTTCAAAGCACCCTGCTTGGCCGCGGCGCGCACAGGCACGAAGGAGTTAAACGGTTAATCCGATCTGGAAGCAGACACCGGACTGGTTGCCAGAGTGTCAGTCAGTCGGTCCATCATGGCGAGGGCGGAGTCCGGTGTTGGCGTGTCCTCGCCGCTACCCCTGGCGGGGGGCAGTTTTTGAGGAGTGGTCCTAGTGCCACCGGCGCGGTACCTGCAGCGGGCGGCGGCAGAGTGTGTGGGATCTCCTGTCTGTGCGTCGGAGGATAGTGATGGTGCGGGCCCGGGGCGGGATGTGCGCGCACGTGGCCTCTTCCGAGGGTTGTCTGTGTTTTCAGTGTCGGCTGGAAGTGTGTGTGCGCACGTGGTTGGCTGCTGTTGTCTGCCCGTTTCTCTGGATTTGGCTGTGTGTATAACTGTGTGTGTCTGTGGGTGAAGGATGTGTGCGCACATGTGCTACCTATTTGGAGGATGTGCATCCCTACGTGGTCTTTTTTCAGGTGGCCTGGGGACTGTGAATGTGTTCTCAAGCGCTTGGATGCGTTTGTGGTCGGTGTGTGCTTGCGGAGTTGTGCACGCGATTCGGCCTCTGTCGTCTGACTGTAGTGTCGGAGGACGTCTATGTATGTTAGTGTGTGCGTGTGCGTGAGTGTATGTGTGTGGTCGGCCTGGGGCCTCTGGGGTGTTTCTGGGGTGTGTCCCATTGGTTCCCTTGTGGCTCCAGGAAGACACCCTGTGGCGGATACCGCAGCTGCCGGCCCACCGCTCTATACATCGCTGCCTCTTCTAAAGCGCTTCTGCCAGAGGTAAACTGAGGAAGGTCCCAGGTAGCCGCGGAGCGCACCCCCGTGCCCTTTTCAGGCGAGTAAACAGGCGAGCCTCCTCCCTGCGGCCCCCGCCAGCAGAGCCCCCCTTCCGGCACCTAAATCGGGAGTCGCCGTGACTCACGCTCCCGCCTCCCCCAGCGCCGCGCCGAGCGAGCAAGCAGAGAGCGAGCGGGATCCGAGTGCGCCCCCATCCCCCTCAACCCCCCCAAGGATGGCTGCTGGGCGGGGGGAGTGCACGCGCCCGCGTGTCCCACCGCCCCCCCCCCCCACGCCGATAAGAGCTCGAACGCGAAACTGCTCTGCTGCGGGACCCGGGGACCAGACCCCTGCCCCCGTGCGCCCCCTGTCACGGGCTCCCCAGGGCACGCGATGCCGTTTGCCACCGCCCTCCCCCCGCGCCCTTCTCCTTATTTGAAAAAAAAAAAAAAAAAAAAAAAAGACTGCCGGTCTTCAACCCCCACAGCCACTTTTCTCCCCGCCAGAGGGGGCTCCCGGCGTGGGCGAACGCCGAGCAAAAACCGGCCCCCCCATCAGCAGCCGCCGGGTATTCCAAGGGCCAAAACTGTGTTCCCCACTTCTCTCAGGAACACCCCCCCCATTACACACTCAAAACGGCTTCTAGGGAATTTGCAGGGGCTGTGAGTTCTCCCCAGATCATATTTGAGAGTCCTGGGCTGGGCCAAATTCTTGGCGGGGTATGCTGTAACGTTGGTTAGAGATCTGGAAGCGGGTGGGAGTGCGTAATGTGAGGTGGGTGGGGGTGTCAGGACACAGCTGGGGTTGCAGAAGAAGGAGGAAACGAGGAGCGGTGGCCTGAGCTGGGGGATAAACTGATCTGGACCTGAGGCTAGTGGGATGGGCGTGGAGAGGTATAATTAAGCAGCTCCAGGGGCGAGAGACAGTCACTTGCTCTCCCTATCTGGAAATGAACCATTGGACCATGACGGAAACAGAGACCCTGGAACCCTCCAATTGAGTAGATGGGGGTGGGGGTGGATTGGAACTGCCGAAAGCGGTGACCAGAGGAGGGCATGGGGGCAGGGGCCGGCCAGAAGCCAGGACCAGCTCAGCTGTCTGACTTTCCAGCTCATTCTTGAGCCAAGAGGGGGGTTGAGTACTCTGGGAAACTGGTTGGGTACCTGGAAGGTCCCCAGATGAGAATCAGCAGGAGGTGCTGTGTGAACCCAGAGCTCGCAGATATTTCTCACATCTCCCCAGGAGAAAGAAAAATACTAGTCCAGACCCCTTCCAAGACTCCACCATCCCCTTCAAGGCGGAGAAGAAACCTGATCCTCCCAGGCGGGGACATGAAAGCCGGTGCACAGCCGCCTGATCAACCTGCCCCAGCTCTGTGAATATGGGAGCATCTTGGGGGCTGGAGACATGACACCCCTTTCCTCAGTCCTGCCCCTTGCTGACTCAGGCAGCTGGAAAATGAAATAAGGGGTTCCTAGAGCCTGCGAAGGGTGCCTTGGGGTAGGGGTGTCACAGCCCGCCACAGGACAAGTTGCAGCTAGTTTTGCAAACGGCAGGGAGCATGGAGATCGGGAAGGGCTGGTGGCTGGACCTAGCCCAGTTGGCACTGTGCCTCCCCAACCCACCTCCCACTCTGCTCCCTCTCCTACCTACCTGTCGTTCTCGGCCCTGGTGATGGAAATCCGCGGTGGGATCAGCAGCGGCAGGGTGGTGGGCCGTGGCGGCAGAGGGACCCCAGGGTCCGAGGGCTCAGGCTGGGCCCAGCCCAGGCCAGGACCGGACGAGAGGCGGCGGCGAGGGCGACGCAGGTCGGCCCCCAGCATGTTGGCACGGTCGGATTCGGGGGTCTCCCTCGACCTCTGGGGAGGGACAAAGTGGAATAGGGGCGTGGCCTGGCTGGGAAGCTCTGAGCCCCTCTCCCCAAGAACACCCCTACCTAGCTGTCTAAGGGAGTAGTTAATGGCGGTATAGGCTCCCCTTCACGTGTGAGCCACTCGCTGACCCCTCACACAGAGGGTGCCCTGCCATCCCTTAGGTCTGAGAGTGCCCCTTCTCAGCCATAATTTTTGTGGGGTCCCCTCTCGATGCCCCAGCCTTGGGGTCTGTCACATCTAGACATTCTGTCTCAAGTGTGAGACCTCTCTAACACATCACCTTTTTAGGGTCTCTTCCCAACCTCCACGTCTAAGAGGGCCCCTCTTGGTCTTAATGTCAATGCCCCCCTCCCATCCCTCACATCTGAGACTCTCAAGACCTCACCACCCCTAGCGCCCCCTCCCACCTCCTCGCCAAAATCCTCTCCTCATTTGAGAAGCCTTTGCCTGCTGTCCCTGGGCCGGCTGAGAGCCTCTTAGGGCAGCAGGAGAAAAAATGGAATCAAGGGGGTAAACTGAGGCACGAGGGGACCAAACTCCTCACAGCTTGGAGGTAGTGAAGCCACGTTCAGGAAATAGCCGTGGTCACTAGAGGGCGCTAGTCTCCCCCAAGGGGCGAAGCCCCGCCCCTAGCCCAAGCCCCTCCTCTCGCACCTCGTCCCCGGTCCCTGCCACGGACAGGGCACTGCGACTCCTCTTCATCTCGCCAACCTAGCGCGCCGTTGGGACTGCGGTGGCCATGTCGGCAGGGCCAGGGCCTCCTACAAGACCAAGCCAAACGCATCTGCCATCAGTGCCCCAGGGCTCCCCCTGCCGGTCGGGCCTAGAACCCGCCCCCGCCACTTGCCTATTGCCTCTCCTGGGGCGTGACGTCAGCGGACTGACGCACCACCAATGTGGTGACGTCGCCCCCGTTGCCAGGGCGACAGCTGACGCACGGCTGGGCTCCTGACGGCGTCAATGCCGGGGTTGGCCACTGGGGGGCCGAGAGCCTCCGGGCCCGGGTCGCCCCAGCCCCCACCCTTCCTCCCGCGGGGGCTTCCCCGGCTCGGGGATCCCGCAGAAAAAACTGGGAGCTCCCAGAGCTGGCCGCGTGCGGCGCGTGGTCCGAGCCGGGGGCCGGAGGAAGCGTCTCCTCCGAGCTGTTGGGCTTTTAAGCCTTAAACCCGAAATAGCTCCGATGTGCGGGGGCCGGGCGCAGAGAGACGGCGGCTTGGGCACAGATGGGGGACGCACAGGCAGAGGCGCGTGGAGACAGACAGGGACGTGTGGAAATAGAAACAGACAGACAGGGACACAGACGCCGTTCCCGAAGACGGGTGCGCTCTGCAGCCACCGATCCTTGTCTGAAATGCTTGGGGGAGGGAGAGGCTGGCTTACTTTACCTTGGCACCCAGGCGCTGAAGATTATTGCTGTGCGGCCATGGGTCAGTGTCTTAAACTCTGTGAGCCTCAGTTTCTTTTCTGTGAAATGGAATGATATTCCCTACAGGGTCCATGTGAGAATGAAATGAGATCAAACCATATTGAACAGAATAGTGTCTGGCACTCAGTAAATATTTAATAAATGGTAACATCTGACCCTGTGGGAGCCTGTTAGAACTCGATTCAGATCATGATCTTCCTCTACTCAGAGCCCTAATAGCTCTTACCTCACTCAGAGGAAACGTCAAAGTCCTCGCGTGGCCCACACAGTCCTGCTAGATAACGCCCAGTCACCTTCCTGCCCTCAGCTCCAGCCACACTGGTCTAGCTGTTTCTGGACACAGCAAGCATGCTGGTGCCTCAGGCCCTTTGCACTTTCAGTTCTGTCCACCTGGAACTCTTCCCCCAAATATCCGCAGGTTGGCCAGATGCGGTGGCTCAGGCCTGTAATCCCAGCACTATGGAAGGCCAAAGCAGGTGGATCACTTGAGGTCAGGAGTTCGAGACCAGCCTGGCCAACATGGTGAAACCCCATTTCTACTAAAAATACAAAAATCAGCCGTGCGTGGTGGCAGGCGCCTGTAGTTCCACCTACTTGGGAGGGTGAGGCAGGAGACTGGCTTGAGCCTGGGAGGTGGAGGTTGCAGTGAGCCGAGATCGGGCCACTGCACTCCAGCCTGGGCAACAGATCGAGACTCCATCTCAAAAAAAAAAAAAAAAAAAATCCGCAGGTCCCTTACCTCTTTTAGGTCTTTGCTTATATCTCATCCTTTCAGGCATTTCTTTCTTTCTTACCCCACCCCCACTTAAAATTATAATACAACCTCCTAGGACTTCTGGTCCCCCTTTTCCCGCTCTTCCCCCCTCATACCACACTATGTAATTTGTTTATTACATTTATTGTCTGTGTCTCCTCACACTGGAATATTAGCTGCAGGAGGGCACGAAAACTTTGTTTAATTATTATGTTAACAATAATGTAGTATTATTCTTTACTATCTCCTGAGCGTCCTGAACAGAATCCGGAACATAATAGGCTTTTAATAACCTGTTCAATGTCAGGTTATTATTGAGAGCCTGATAGTGTAATGTTCCTAACAGTTCTACTGTGTACTAGCTGGTTTATCCCCTACTTTGGTTCTTTTGTTTCTACTTTTTAAATAGAGACTGGGGTCTCACTATGTTACCCAGGCTGGTCTCAAACTCCTGAGCTCAAACTAAAGCTCAAACTCAAAGTGCTGGAATTACAGGTGTGAGCCATCACACCCAGCCTAGTTCTCATTTCTTTATTTTTTTTAATATTTATTTATTTATTTATTTATTTGAGACAGGGTCTCACTCTGTTGCCCAGGCTGGAGTGCAGTGGCACCATTGCACAGCTCACTGCAGCCTCGACCTCCCAGGCTCAGGCTATCCTCCCACCTCAGCCTCCAGAGTAGCAGCTGGTACTACAGGCACGCGCCATCATGCCTGGCTAATTTTTGTTTTTGTTGTTTTGTAGAGATGGGGTCTTGCCATGTTGCCCAGGCTGGTCTCAAACTCCTGGACTAAAGTGCTCCTCACACCTCAGCCTCCCAAAGTGCTGGGATTACATGAACCCATGTTCATGCTGGGCATGAACCACTATGCTCAGTCTGGTTCTTATTTCTTTTTCTTGCCTTATTGCCTTAGCTAGCACTTCAGTTCAATGTAAATTAATGGAAACTAATGTAAACATCATTTCTTCAACCTAGCCTTTAGCACCTGGTGGGCCCTCAACAGACATTTGTTGAACAAATGGATGAATGTATAAAGATAGCTTAGGCCAGGCACGGTGGCTCACGCCTGTAATCCCAGCACTTTGGGAGGCCGAGACAGGCGGATCACGAGGTCAGGAGATCGAGACCATCCTGGCTAACACGGTGAAACCCCACCTCTAGTAAAAATACAAAAAATTAGCCGGGCCCGGGGGCGGGCGCCTGTAGTCCCAGCTGCTCGGGAGGCTGAGGCAGGAGAATGGCGTGAACCCGGGAGGCAGAGCTTGCAGTGAGCTGAGATCATGCTACTGCACTGCAGCCTGGGTGACCTGGGTGACAGAGCGAGACTCCATCTCAAAAAAAAAAAAAGATAGCTTAAAGGTCACCTCCATTTTTCAGCCAGACTGCCCCAGTCCATGTTCTGGGCCCCCACTGCAGGTTTTTCTACCCCCATTAAAGCACTCACCACTCTGATTGTAACCTGTATTCTCCAGCAAACAGAGCAAGAAATGGTACCCATTCATTGTGGCCCTCAGCCTCGACCTCCTGGGCTAAAGCAGTCCTCCCATCTCAGCCTCCTGAGTAGCTGGGATTACAGGCACACACCACCATGCCCAGCTAATTTTTGTTTTTTGGGTTTTTGTTTGTTTGTTGTTTTGTTTGTTTTTTTGAGACAGAATCTTGCACTGTCGCCCGAGCTGAAGTGCAATGGCACAATCTCGGCTCACTGCAACCTCTGCCTCCCGGGTTCAAGTGATTCTCCTGCCTCAGCCTCCTGAGTAGCTGGGATTACAGGCACCTGCCACCACGCCTGGCTAATTTTTTGTATTTTTAATAGAGACGGGGTTTCACTATGTTGGTCAGGCTGATCTCAAATTCCTGACCTCATGATCCACCTGCCTTGGCCTCCCAAAGTGCTAGAATTACAGGCGTGAGCCACCATGCCTGGCCTTAATTTTTGTATTTTTTGTAGTGATAGAGTTTCACCATGTTGCCTAGGCTGGTCTGGAACTCCTGGGCTCAAGCAAACCTCCCACCTCGACCTCCCAAAGTGCTGGGATTACAAGCATGGGCCACCATGCCTGGCCTAAAAAGTAAACATGTTTTAATAAAAAAAAAAAGAGAGAGAAAGAAGCTGCAGCAAGTTACCCAGAAGAAATCTAGCTAAAATTATTGATGAAGGTGGCTACAATCAACAACAAATTGTTCAGTGTAGACAAAATAGTCTTTTTTTTTTTTTTTGAGATGGAGTGTCGCTCTGTTGCCCAGGCTGGAGTGCAGTGGCGCGATCTTGGCTCACTGCAAGCTCCACCTCCTGGGTTCACGCCATTCTCCTGCCTCAGCCTCCCAAGTAGCTGGGACTACAGGCACCTGCCACCATGCCCGGCTAATTTTTTTTTTTTTTTGTATTTTTAGTAAAGATAGGGTTTCACTGTGTTAGCCAGGATGGTCTCGATCTCCTGACCTCATGATCCGCCCACCTCAGCCCCCCGAAGTGCTGGGATTACAAGCGTGAGCCACAGCTCCTGGTCTATTTTTTTTTTTTTTTTTTCTGAGTCAGAGTCAGGGGGATGGGAAGAGCCTGTTGCTCAGACTGGAGTGCAATGGCAAGATTGCAGCTTACTGCAACCTCCGCCTCCCAGGTCAAGCGATTCTCATGCCTCAGCCTCCGGAGTAGCTGGGATTACAGGTGCGTGCCACCACGCCTACCTAATTTTTTGTATTTTTATAGAGACGGGGTTTCACCATGTTGCCCCGTCTGGTTTCTAATTCCTAGGATTATAGGCGTGAACCACGGCGCCTGCCCAACAAAATAGTCTTCTATTGGAAGTAGATGCCAACTAGGACTTTCACCCTAGAGAGAAGTGAAGTCAATGACTGGCTTCAAAGGACAGCCTGACTCTTGTTAAGGGCTAATGCAGCTGGTGGCTTTCGGTTGAAACCAATTCTCATTTACTATTCTGAAAATCCTGGGGACCTTTAGAATGATGTTAAGTGTACTTGGCCTCTGAGCTATAAATAGAACAACAAAGCCTGGGTGACAGCACATCTGTTTACTGAATATTTTAAGCCAACAGTTGAGACTTCCTGTGCAGAAAAAAGTTTCATTTCAAAATATGACTGCTCATTGTCAATGCAACTGGTCACCCAAGAGCTCTGATGGAGATGTACAAGGAGATGTTTTCATGCCTGCTAACACAGCGTCCATTCTGCAGCCCACTGATCAAGGAGTACATTTGACTTTCAAGTATTATTATTATTATCTTATTTATTTATTTATTTTGAGACTGAGTCTTGCTCTGTCACTCAGGCTAGAGTGCAATGGTGCCATCTCAGCTCACTGCAACCTCTGCCTCCTGGGTTCAAGAGATTCTCCTGCTTCAGCCTCTCAAGTAGCTGGGATTACAGGTGCCCACCACCACGCTAGGCTAATTTTTGTATATTTAGTAGAGACGGGGTTGTACCATGTTGGCCAGGCTGGTCTTGAACTCCTGACCTCAAGTGATCCACCTGCCTCGGCCTCCCAAAGTGTTGGGATTACAGGCATGAGCCACCACCGCCCGACCTGTTCTCCTATTTTTAAAAATTGCCACAACCACCCCAACCTTCAGCAACCACCACCCTCATCAGTCAGAAGCCATCAACATTGAGGCAGGACCCTCCACCAGGAAAAAGATTATGACTTGCCGAAGGCTCAGATGATGGTTAGCTTTTCTTAGCAAGAAAGGTTTTTTTGTTTTTGTTTTTGGTTTTTTTTCAAACAGGGTCTCACTCTATCGCTCAGGCTGGAGTACAGTGGCGTGATCTTGGCTCACTGCAATCTCCGCCTCCGGGGTTTAAGCGATTCTCCTGCCTCGGCCTCTGGAGTAGCTGGGACTACAGGCGTGCACCACCATGCCCAGCTAATTTTTGTATTTTTTGGTAGAGATGGGGTTTCACCATGTTGGCCAGGCTGGTGTCAAACCCTTGGGCTCAAGTGATCTGCCCGCCTCAGCCAAAGTGCTGGGATTATAAGCATGAGCCACCACACCCGGGCAGCAATAAAGTTTTTAAGGTTTTTCTGTTTTGTTTTTGAGACAGGGTCTCACTCCGTTGCACAGGCTGGAGTGCAGTGCTGTGATCATAGCACACTGCAGCCTTGTCCTCCTGGGCTCAAGCTATCCTCTCACCTCAGCCTCCCAAGTAGCTGGGACCACAGGTGAGCACCAACATGCCCAGCTAATTTTTAAATTTTTTTCGTAGAAATGAGGTCTCACTATGTTGACCAGGCTAATAAAGTATTTTAAAATTAAGGTATATGCATTGTTGTTTTAGACATAATGCTATTGCATACTTAATATACATATGGTATAGTGTCAGCATAATTTTTACATGCACTAGGAAACCAAAAATTTTTTGTATCACTTTATTGTGATACTCGCTTTATTGTGGTAGTCTAGAACTCAACTCACAGTATCTCTCAGCTCTGTCTGTATACTTTAGAGCAAATTACTCAGCCTCTCTGGCCCTCAGTTTTGTCATCTGTAAAATAGGAATAATATTCACACCCATCTGATGGGGTTGTTGTGAGGATGAAGTGAAGTAATGCACGTGAATTTATTTCTGTTCCCCTTTTTTTTTTTAAATTGAGACAGTCTCGTTCTGTTGCCAGGCTAGAGTGCAGTGGCACAATCTCAGCTCACTGCAACCTCTGCCTCCTGAGTTCAAGTGATTCTCCTGCCTCAGCCTCCCAAGTAGCTGGGACTACAGGTGCACACCACCACACCCAGCTAATTTTTGTACTTTTAGTAGAGACGGGGTTTCACCATGTTGGCCAGGATAGTCTCAATCTCTTGACCTCATGATCTGCCCGCCTCAGCCTCCCAAAGTGCTGGGATTACAGGAGTAAGCCACCGTGCTCGGCCTATTTTCATTTTGTTAAGAGACAAGGGTCTTACTCTGTTGCCCAGGCTGGAGTGCAGTGATGTTATCACACCTCACTGTAGCCTTAAACGCCTGGGCTCAAGTGATCCTCTCGCCTCGGCTTCTCAAGTAGCTGGGACTACAGGTGAGCACCACAACGCCCAGTTAATTTTTAAATTTTTTGTAGAGAGGGTGTCTTGCCATGTTGCCCAGGCAGGTCTGGAATTCCTTGGCTCAGGTGATCCTCCTGCCTCAGCCTCCCAAAGTGCTGGGATTACAGGCGTGAGCCACCATGTCTGGCCAACCCACCAGCCCCTTTGTTGTTCTTCAAACACCTAGAACATATTCAGACCTCAGATATCCTGTTGCTTTTCCCATCCCCCTGACTCTGCTTGTGTTTTCTTTTTCTTTTTCTTTCTTTTTTTTTTTCCTTGAGACGGAGTCTCGCTTTGTTGCCCAGGCTGGAGTGCAGTGGCGCGATCTCAGCTCACTGCAACCTCCGCCTCCCAGGTTCACGCCATTCTGCTGCCTCAACCTCCCGGGTTCATACCATTCTCCTGCCTCAGCCTCCCGAGTAGCTGGGACTACAGGCGCCTGCCACCACTCCCAGCTAATTTTTTGGTTTTTTTTTTAGTAGAGACGGGGTTTCAGCATGTTAGCCAGGATGGTCTCGATTTCCTGACCTCGTGATCCACCCACCTCGGCCTCCCAAAGTGCTGGGATTACAGGCGTGAGTCACCGCTCCCAGCCCTGCTTGTGTTTTCTTTGCCTTAGACTTATAATTTTTTTCTTTTTTTGAGACAGAGTTTAGCTCTTGTCATCCAGGCTGGAGTGCAATGGTGTGATCTCGACTCACTGCAACCTCCGCCTCCAGGGTTCAAATGATTCTCCTGCCTCAGCCTCCTGAGTAGCTGGGATTACAGGCGCCTGCCACCACGCGCAGTTAATTTTTGCATTTTCAGTAGAGACGGGGTTTCGCCATGTTGGCCAGGCTGGTCTCAAACTCCTGGCCTCAAGCAATTCCCCTGCCTTAGCTTCTCAAAGTGTTGGGATTACAGGCGTGAGCCACTGCGCCCGGCCTATTGTTTGTAATCTTGAAGAGGAACCCTGCGTGTGCATTTTCCCTAGGCTCTGCAAATTCTGTTGCTCAAAGTCTCAAGGATTTGTGAAATGAAGAAAGCAATGAAGAAGACGATGTTGGAGGGGTCCAGCCGGCCAGGCGAGAGAGGCAGAGACATGCCCCTTACTGCTGTCAGGACACAAGTGCACATTTGCGGCAATCAGCCCTGGCTGCAGCCCAGGCGAGGGAGGCAGGGCCCGGGAGTGCTCAGGGTGGAGGGATGCCTCTAGGCCTGCCTTCTCCTTCCCTGGACAGCAGGCCGCTGGAGATGGGGGTCCAGATGGCAGCACAGGCTGCTCTGGACAGCTGGCATCAGGCTCAGGCCACGAGAGTCCTTTTCCCCCACCCATGTTGTCAGCACCGTCAGCTACCAGCCCAGCCTGGGAGCCACTGGCCTGGCCTGGCAGAGGAGAGCTGATGTCACCCAGCCCGACATCCCGCCCACTCCCCACTTCCTTCAACAGAAGGATGTGGCGATGTGCAGCAAATAACAGGGAAGTGAGAATAAAAGCCCCTGCCCACACCATGGCCCTGAATATTCACGGCTGCCCAAGCTCCATGCTCAAAGCTGACGCAGGTCTCGGAAGGATTGTGAAGGACTCCAGGCATGTGTGTGCAAATACATGCATATATGTGCATGAACTTCATACCTGGCTGTGCATGTGCCAATGGGCTGGTGGAACCTTCTGTGAGTCTAAGTGTTGCATAGTTGAAACCGAATTGTACCCGCAGGAATCTATGTGTCAGGGCAATACCACATCGGTCTATGTGAATAAGAGGTTGGCTGTGCCTGTGTGACTGTAATATGAATGTGTAGGTGTGTGGGGGTGTCACTGTGTGAAGATGCAGCGGAAAACAGTATTTCACAGTGCCTAGAAATGCAGGTTCCGGGGGCTGGGCGCAGTAGCTCACGCCTATATTCCCAGCACTTTGGGAGGCCAAGGCAGGGGAATCGCTTGAGGCCAGCAGTTTGAGACCAGTGAGGGCAACATAGCGACACCCCATCTCTTTTCTTTTCTTTTTTGAGGCAGGTCTCCTGCTGTTGCCTGGGTTGGTATGCAGCGGTGCGATCATAGCTCACTGCAGCCTCCAACTCTTGGAGACCCCGTCTTTAAAATGAAATGAAAAAAAAAATTAGCCATGTGTGGTGCTGTGCACCTGTAATCCCAGCTACTCAGGAGGCTGAGGCAGGAGGGTTGCTTGAGCCCAGGAGTTTGAGGCTGCAAGTGAGCTGCGATTGCCACTGCACTCCAGCCTGGGTGACAGAGTAAGATCCTGTCTTTAAAAAGAAAGGAGGGCTGGGCGCAGTGGCTCATTGGGAGCACTTTGGGAGGCCAAGACGGTCGGATCACCTGAGGTTGGGAGTTTTCAACCAGCCTAGCCAATATGGTGAAACCCCATCTCTACTAAGAATACAAAAAATTCGCTGGGTGTGGTGGCGCGTGCCTGTAATCCCAGCTACTCGGGAGACTGAGGCAGGAGAATCACTTGAATCCGGGAGGCAGAGGTTGCAGTTAGCCAAGATCGAGCCACTGCATTCTAGCCTGGGCGTGACAGAGTGAGACTCTGTCTCAATTAAAGAAAGAAAGAAAGAAAGGAAGGAAGGAAGGAAGGAAGGAAGGAAGGAAGGAAGGAAGGAAAAAGAGTTCATGTCCTTTGCAGGGACATAGATGAAGCTGGAAACCATCATTCTCAGCAAACTAACACAAGAACAGAAAACCAAACACCGCATGTTCTCACTCATAGGTGGGAGCTGAACAATGAGAATACATGGACACCAGGAGGGGAACATCACACACTGGGGCCTGTTGGGGGGTGGGGGGCTAGGGGAGGTATAACATTAGGAGAAATACCTAATGTAGATGACAGGTTGATGGGTGCAGCAAACCACCATGGCACGTGTATACCTGTGTAACAAACCTGCACGTTCTGTACATGTATCCCAGAACTTAAAGTATAATAAATAAATTAATTAGTTAAAAAAAGGAGAAAGAAAAAAGAAATGCAGGTTCCAGGTTTAAATCTCTGCTCAGCCACTCAGTCCCCATGGCCACTTTTCTGTGATGTGTATTAGTGGGATTATGTTTGGGTTTGAGTGTGTGTGTGCTGAATTCAGCTTCTGCAGGAAGTCTTTCTAAACACCCAGCCACACCCTCTATTTCTATCAGTATCCTAATAACAATGTGTCATTATATCTTTTTGATCATGTTATTTCATTTCAGTTTCCTCCACTAAATGTCAGCTCCACTGGGGCAGGGAGTTTTGTTCTGTTAATTGCTGTGTCCCTGGCACCTGGTACATAGTAGGTGCTGAATAAATATTGAATAGATGAAAGCAGTGCTGTGTCTATATGCTATGTGGGGAAGAGTGGGCACTGGCTGGACACCATGAGTTCCTGGGCACACAGTGCTCAGTTCTGGTCTCTGTCCACAGCTGTTCACAACCCTTGCTTTAACCACCTTCTTTTTTTTTTTTTTTTTTTTTTTTGGTGAGGCAGAGTCTCACTCTGTCTCCCAGGCTGAAGTGCAGTGACGTGATCATGGCTCACTACAGCCTCGACCTCCTGGGCTCAAGTGATCCTCCCACCTCAGCCTCCCAATTATCGGGATTACAGATGTGAGCCATCGTGCTGGGCCCATCTTCAATTTTGTAGAAATGTTGACATTCTGGGATTCACTGTCTCCTGTATCAAATTCAAGGGAGTGGGGTGGATTGGTTTATGCTAAGCCTTCTTCCTAATCTACAGTTCTAGAATCTAGTCTTAAACTAATCCCCTCTTTAATTCATTTAAGATTTTCTTTTTTTTGAGTTTTGCTCTTGTCACCCAGGCTGGAGTGCAATGGCACTATCTCAGCTCACTGCAACCTCTGCCTCCCGGGTTCAAGCCATTCTCCTGCCTCAGCATCCTGAATAGCTGGGACTACAGGCGTGTGCCACCATGCCCAGCTAAGGATTTATTTTTTGTTTTTATTTTTTTTTAGAGATGGGTGTCGCTGGGATCCTCCAGCCAGCCTCCCGAGTAGCTGGGACTACAGGCTCACACCAGGGTGCCACGCTCATTCAACATTTATTGAGCACCTACTGTGTGCCAGGCACTGTTCTAGACCTGATCCTGCCCTCATGAGCTCAGACCCAAGGAGGAAGGCAGGCAGGATCCAGAAGTCTTACTTAATCTGTTTTTTGTTTTTTGTTTTTTTTTCTGACAGAGTCTTGCTCTGTCACCCAAACTGGAGTGCAGTGGTGTGATCTTGGCTCACTGCAACCACCGCCTCCCGGGTTTAAGCAATTCTTCTGCCTCAGCCTCCCGGGTAGCTGGGATTACAGGCGCCTGCCACCACGCCCGACTAATTTTTGTATTTTTAGTAGACATGGGGTTTCACCATGTTGGCCAGGCTGGTCTCGAACTCCTGACCTCAAGTGATCCGCCTGCCTCGGCCTCCCAAAGTGCTAGGATTACAGGCGTGAGCCACTGTGCCCAGCTTCTCCTTTAATCTTGAGTGCCTTTCCCTAGTCTCTCTCTGTCCGAGGACAGAATTTTAGTCTTCACAGTCTGAAATCACCCGCGGGGATTTGTATGTTTATACAGGGATCCTGCTCCCTCACTAGCCAGGAGCAGGGACCCCTACTGGGTTTGTTGGTTGCTGCTGCCCCAAAGCCTGGTCACAGTGCCCAGTACATCGTAAGTAGACACTTGGGAAAGAGATGTGAAATGAGCTAATAAATAAAATGATGGCGCAAAAGCAGGCTCCGCGAGCACGATTTCGCGGAATCCTAGGTGTGTGTCATTACCCACTTTGCAGAGGAGGAAATTGAGACTCAGGAAGGCAAAGCCGCCTGCCGGGCCCCACCGCAGCTCAGTGGTATGTGGCTATGGGATGTAGCAGAAGAAGCAAAGGTAGCCCCAAAAAGCGTTCCCAATTCCCGCAAACCTCCCCCCCACACACACACACAGGCAGGAGAGACATAGCAGGGTTTGCACCGATGGGGGTGGGATGGGGACCGGGGACAGAGGGACAGTGCAAAGCAACTTAGGGGTCTCTCTCCTCAGTCCCCAGGGCTGGAGGTGCTGTGCTGGCAGATTAGGAAATGCTTGGGGTTGATGGGGAAGCTTCCGGCGCTCTATCCCCAGTTCTGGAAGCTGAGGCTCCGGGAACCCTGTTTTGCTGAAGCTGGGCAGCTCCAGTCTCCAGAGCCAGGAAGAGACCCCCGCGCCTATCCGGGAATCCCCGACATCTGGGATTCTCTCCAAACACCCCCAGGCTGATGACGGGGCCGAATCCCTAAAGGGCATACGGTGGGGGTGGGGGTACGACTTTCCTGGGGAGCCGGGGAACCCCCTACCTTCCTGGCCCCCTCCCACTGTGGCACCGTGTCCCCCTCCCCACCGCAGCTCGCAGCCCCAAGCTTACCTTGCGGGGGGCCTGGGGAGGGGATGCCCCGCCCTCCCTGGCCTGGGGGGCGGGAGGGGACGGGGGTGTCCAGACCCTTTGTTTGCTGGTGTGTGTGTGTATGTGTGTGTGCGATTGTGAGAGCCGCCGGGGTGTGGGTCCGTGCGCGCGCGTGCCCGGGCCGTGACGGCCACTGATGTGCTGGACTGCCAGGGTGGAGGGGAAGAGGGAGGGGTAGGAGATGGGGACTCCCCCGCCCCTGCCCGCCCACTCGCGGGTTTGAATGAAGCGCGAGGGGGAAGGGCGGCAGCGGGAGGACGTTTTTGTCCGATGGCCCTTCCCGCTCCATGCACCGGGGAATCCTCCCCCTTCTGGAGAACTTCGCTCGCTCTCTCCAGGCACTGCCTCCAACGTCGGCTCCAGGGGAGACTAGGAAGAGGCGCCCCTCACCGGAGTGGCTGGAGCTCCTCCTATCCAGCCTGACCCCCGAGGGAGCACCCTTTAATCTGAGATAATCCTGGCCCAAGGCTGCAACACGGCCTATTATCCTGGTATCAAAGCGTGGATTGGGATGCATGGAAGTGTGAGGTGGTCGAGGCCCTGCATGCTTAGAGTAATGGAGTCCTTAGAGCCCCGGCGGAGGAAGCGTACCCCAAGACGAACGGGGAGGGGCTATGCGTGGCCCCAGACTGTGACGACAAGGAAAGCCCCCTTCCACCCCTCCACGATTCCCCCCACCAAGCGCGGGGCCAGGAATACGCGCCGTGGGCTAGACTCTAGCGACACCCAGCGGCCAGCGGGGTGGGGAGCCGAGACCCGTTTTGAGGGGGTCCGGGTGATTCCAAAGTGTGTGTGTGTGTGTGTGTGCGTGTGTGTGTGTGTGTGTGTGTGTGTGCGCGCGCGCGCTCGCGCGAGTCCTCGCTGCGAATGGCAGGAGGTGGAAGACAAGGAGAAGGCTGTTGCCGAGGCGGGGAAACCCCAGCTCCCAAGGCAGGGCCACAGTCTCCCCTCCACGTTTAACCCTGCAAGGGGAGGGCCATACCACCCCCGATTTAGACACCCCCAGGGCAGGTCCAGTCCTCCTCGGGCTGAGAAAGTCCGAGGAGTCATCAGGCGCCCCTCTCCAGCGCAGGCTTAGGTCCCCGTTTACGAAGGGCAGGGGGAGGGCCTTCCCGCCGTGTCCCTACCCCTTGCAGACGTCACTGCGGCGTGGCTGAGGGGACAGTCCTCTCAGTCTCATCAACCGTCCCCTCCCTGCCACCCCAAACGCCCACCGTGGAGCGGCGGGAGATGAGGGGGGCTCGGAGTTGAAGCGCGCACTCATATGCCCCCAGGAGACCTAGCGGAGCCCCAGCGCCCGATGACGCGGAGTCTCTGCGGGAACTCCAGGGGGCCGGAACACTTACGCAGGGCCCTTTAAGGCTGGCTGGGTAGCTAGTGCCGCTGCCGCGGTTACTAGGGATGTGACGTCACACAGGGCGGGGTTTCCCGCGCTCGGCGGAAGCGGAAGGGGCGGGGCTCCGCGCTCCTAGTCTCCACTGCTGCCGCCGTCGCCGCCACCCGAGCCGGAGCGGGCTGGGCCGCCAAGGCAAGATGGTGGACTACAGCGTGTGGGACCACATTGAGGTGTCTGATGATGAAGACGAGACGCACCCCAACATCGACACGGCCAGTCTCTTCCGCTGGCGGCATCAGGTAAGGCGCGCGCGCCCATCCCTTTCCCCACTCCCGGACCCCGCTTCGGAGTTGTGATCCCCGATACTGCCCAGGGACCCCGCTGTTCACACCTAGGATTCTCACCCCCCCAGTCTGGATTTTCAGGAGCTTCGATTCAACTCCGGGACCCCAGTACCATTGGGACCCTGAGTCCCTGCCCTGGATCTCCGCTCCCCCACTCCCTGCTCCGATTTTTGCGTGGGATTCCCTATTCACCCCCTAGAACTTCTTCATAGTCTGGAGTCCCCTAGACGAGTCTTGGGGGTTCTCCCTAATTCTGTTCGGCAGTTAACATTTATACCCAGAACTCTGCCTCAAAGTTTGGACCCCAAATTCTTCTAGATGATCCCTCATCCTATTCGGGTATTCACTTCCTATCTGGGATCTCCCATCGCCCCCCCACCTCCGTAGTCTGGACCCCCAATACTTTGGTCTGTCCCGGGATCTACTTTCCGGGATCTTGATCCGGGGTTCCCATTCAGATCCGGAGTCGCCACTCCTTTTCTAAACGGAACAAGGAACTCTGTGCTACTCTGATATTCCTGTCCCTGCCCACACCCAGGACCCCCTTCCTAGAGTGTAGAACCGTCCCCCTTCAGGATCCTTAGTCTCACCGAGTACTTGGGTTTTGGAATCTGGTTCCCCTCTGGATCTAACTACCAGCTCCAACCCGATAGAGCCTCACATTCCAGCCTCTCCTTTGGCCTCCGGTAGACCCATTTCCCATTATACCAGGAAATCCTGCCCACGTGGCTTCCGGCCTAGCCAGAGCCCCTGCTCCTACTTGGTATTGCAGACCCTGTCACCACCCACTTCCCAGACTGGCTTCCTGTATGAGCCTCAGCCAGCATTGGAAACTCTCCCCTAACTCAAGCCCAGAACCCCAAACCCACCCCACCTTTTGTCCCCAGCCTGTTAGCTACTCTGTGACCCAAATTGTCCCTGCTCTTATCCAGGGACTCTCCTGGTCTGATTCTAAATTCACCACCCCTTCTTCTATCTGACCACAACAGAGGTCCCGAATCCAGACCCCAGAATCCCAAGCCTGGGTGATCCATGTCCCACCACCCTCTCAGTGCTCACGAGCCAATGGGATGACTAAGACTTAAAGGTTTAACCTCCTGCTACCCCAAATGAGTGTGCCTGCATTACATACCAGTGTCTGTTGTATTCCTTTTTTTTTTTTTTTTTTTTTTTTTGAGACGAAGTTTCCTTCTTGTCGCCCAGGCTGGAGTGCAGTGGCACAATCTTGGCTCACTGCAACCTCTGCCTCCCGGGTTCAAGTGATTCTCCTGCCTCAGCCTCCTGAGTAGCTGGGATTACAGGCATGATGCACCACCATGCCTGGCTAATTTTGTATTTTTGGTAGAGACAGGGTTTCTCCATGTTGGTCAGGCTGGTCTTGAACTTCCGACCTCAGTTGATCCACCCACCTCGGCCTCCCAAAGTGCTGGGATTACAGGCGTGAGCCACCGCACCCAGCCATGTTGTGCTCTTAAACGAAGGGCATATACCTCTCAGAACCTTCTAGTGAGGATCTCTTACCCCACCCTCCCATAGGGCAATTCCCCATCATTTATCCAGAAACAACTAGAAGGTCCCTTTCCCATCCTTCCAGAATACTCTGGAATACGGCATTAGTCTCTTCATCTAGCTCCCAGTCCCACTTCCAGACCTATTCCTTAAATCCTGAGTCTCCTGGGTAGTGTACCTGCCAAGCAAGCCACTGGAGTGTGGGAAGAAAGTTCTAGCGCTTCTATTTCTTGCCGTGTGTAACATTTTATTATGAAATATTTAAGACTTCCTCAAAGCTCCAAAGACTATTCTTGGGAAGACCTATTTCTGTCACATAAAGAGGTTAATCTTTACTACTGTGGAGAATGGTTTGGTCCTGCCGGGTGGGAGGGCCCCCCTCCTGCAGCGTAGTGTACCTGCCACACCCTCCTCCCTCTGGCACAGAGCTTTTCCTGTCCTGCCGCTGAGAACCCCGGTGGTTGTAGTGGCATGTAAGGGAGGCAGGGGGCTTCAGCGTCTCCAGCACAGGTTCAAGGACAGGCAAGCTTGGGTTCCAATCCTAGCCCCACCTCTTGCTGCTTCTTTCTTTCTTTGATGTGGCAAGACTCACAAGAAGCCTCCCTGAGCCCATGTGAAACCTGGGATAATATGGCCCCACCTCCCTGAGACCTTTGTAAGAATGAATTAAGACTGGGTCAGGAAAACTTGGGGCAGGTTTGGAAGGAAGCATTGTGGAGGGGAAGGAGAGATTGCTGTCGTTCAGAGCACAGGCCTGACTAGGTTCAAATCTCAGCTCTGTCTGTATCACTCACGTGCTGCGTGACTGCCAGGGAGCTGTTTGATCGCTCTGTGCCTCAGTTTCCCTACCTGAGAATCTGAATGATGTCCACCCCATAAGGTTGTTGTAAGGCTTACCTTATTCATTTAATATTTGTAATCCTTTTGGGGCAGTGGCTATTATCATCATCATCATTTAAATAATTTCTGTTCATGGTTAAAAAAAAAAAAATCTGTAGCCACATGTGGTGGCACATGCCTATAGTCCTAGCTACTCAGGAGACTGAGGCAGAAGGATCATTTGAGCCCAGAAGTTCAAGTCCAGCCTGAGCAACATAGCAAGACCTTGTCTCTCTCTTTTTTTTTTCGAGACAGGGCCTTGCTTTGTCACCCTGAGATGGCAGTGGCGCCATCTCAGCTCACTGCAACTTCCACCTTCCGGGCTCAAGTGATCCTCCTACTTCTGCCTCCTGAGTAGCTGGGACCACAGGTACACACCACCATGCCTGGTTGATTTTTGTACTTTTTGGTAGAGACAGGGTTTCACCATGTTGCCCAGGCTGGTCTCAAACTGCTGAGCTCAGGCAATCCACCTGCCTCAGCCTCACAAAGTGCTGGGATTGTAGGTGTGAGCCACCAAGCCTGGCCTAAGACCTTGTCTCTTAAAAAAAAAAATTTCAAAGTTTCCAGAAGCGGACAAATGAATCCCTTTTCTCAGCCCCAGCTCGCCGGCTCTCCTGCCCAGAGACAGCTGCTGTTAGTGGTTTCTTCTAATGAGTTGTATGACATTGAGATTCTGTGAGCCTCAGTTTCCCTAACTGTAAGGCAGGAGGGTAGTGACATCTGTGGGCCCTGCTTGCTGGGGTGGCTTCTCCCCTGCCCAGCCTGCTACAGCCCCTCCCCGATAGGAGGTGTAAAGCCCAGGCTGGGCAGGCTGCCGCCCCCGCCAACTCCAAGAGGCCTTTTTTAGCTGCGGCCTCCCTGGCAGTTGTTCAGAGGACACAGGGGAGACTGGTGGCAGCCCAGCAGCGGATTGCAGGGTGGTGGGCAGGCTCCAGGGTGACACAGGCCCATCGTGGAGAAAGGGAGTTGGAGAGGCCACAGCTGCTTTTTTTTTTTTTTTTTTTTTTTTTAAGACGGAGTCTCACTCTGTTGCCCAGACAGGAGTGCAGTGGTGCCATCTCGGCTCACTGTAACCTCCACCTCCCAGGTTCAAGCAATTCTCCTGCCTCAGCCTCCCGAGTAGCTGGGACTACAGGTGCGCGCCACCATGCCCGGCTAATTTTTGTATTTTTTAAGTAGAGATGGGGTTTCACCATGTTGGCCAGGCTGGTCCCGAACTCCTGACCTCATGATCTGCCCGCCTGGCCTCCCAAAGTGTTGGGATTACAGGCATGAGCCACCACACCCAGCAACTTTTTTTTTTTAAGAGATGGAATCTCACTATGTTGCCTAGGCTGGTCTCAAATTCCTGAGCTCAAGTGATCCTCCCACCTCGGCCTCCCAAAGTGCTAGGATTATAGGCATGGGTCACTGTGCCCAGCCTGCAGCTGCTGTTTATCTCATGAGGTATAGCTTTTTTTTTTTTTTTTTTTTTTTTTCAGACAGGGTCATGCTCTGTCGCCCAGGCTGGAGTGCAGTGGGGCGATCTCAGCTCACTACAACTTCTGCCTCGGGTTCAAGCGATTCTGCCTCAGCCTCTGGAGTAGCTGGGATTGCAGGCGCCTGCCACCACGCCTGGCTAATTTTTGTGTTCTTAGGAGAGACGGGGTTTCACCATGTTGGCCAGGCTGGTTTCAAACTCCTGACCTCAGGTGATCCACCCGCTTCGGCCTCCCAAAGTGTTGGGATTACAGGAGTGAGCCACCACGCTCGACCACGTAGGCCTTCTTGACCCCTTATACATATAGGGGAATCCGAGGCTCAGGCTGGCTGTGTCAGTCCCCTGGGGTATTAGAGTAGGGGCCAGCTCTGCCTGGCCCTGCCTTAGAACCTGGGGACACAGCCTCAGATAAGGCACAGGAATGAGTCAGCAGACCATTCAGGTGGCAGTGACAAGGACGGAGATGGTAACAGTGGGACACACCTACTGAGGGCTGTTTTGGAAGCATTTTCCATAGAGTTAGTCATTCAGTTCTCACGGCGATCCTGTGAGACTCCATTTCACAGAGGGGAAGACCAAGGCTGGGAAAGGTTTCAGTGACATGGCCAAAGTTCCATCTCCCGTCAGTGGCACAGCCGGGTGCTGTGACCATGTAGTAACAACCACTCCCAGTTATTGAGCGTGTACTCTGGGCCAGAAATTAAACTAAGCATTTGAAGGACATTTCCTTTTTGAGGCCCCAGAGTGGTCCCCAGAGAGAGAGAGAGATTGTTCTCTTGCACAGATGGTAATGACCCTGGCCAGTACAGGAAGGGTGCGTGCTGAGGGCCCACATGGCTCGGGACATTTTACTCTAATCATCTCCTTAGTTTCTTCCAATATGAGCTTGTGCAGTCAGCATTGTTGACTGTTTGACAGATGAGGAAACTGAGGTTACAGGAGGTTAGGGGATGGCCCGGGATACCCAGCCGGTACATGGTGGCTGTGGGCTAGGACCCAGGGGCCGTTGCCCCAAGGCTGTCCTCCAGCACCCTCACCACATCGTCAGATGGTCACAGGAGGTCCTTTAGGGATCAGTGGTGCCTCAGGCAGGGAGCATTTGGGGAAGGCTCTGTTGAAGCTGAGTTTTGGGTGCAAAAGCAGGTAAGGGAACCGCACATGCAGAGGCCAAGAGGCAAGACAGAGCCCGTACTTTCGGGGAACGATGAGGGCCAGTATCTGCCTGGGACCCAGGACCAGGATGCCAGGATCAGAAGTCCCATCTGAATTCAGACCCCCCAAGATGTAGTGGGGAGGACTCTGGTCACGTGGTCAAATGCATGGGCTTCACAGGCCTCCCTGGTGGCAGCTGTGCCTGGATTGGAGAGGGTCAGCAATTGAAGGTGGTGGCACGTTTCAGGGTTTCAGGGTTTGATTAGTGGCTCTGGATAGAGCAGCCTCCACTGAGGTTCAGGAGAGGTGATGGTGGAGCCACGCAGGGGTCTCAGGAGAGGCCTGTACAATCCGATGGGGCCCAGATGGAGGTCTGAGGGAGACAGGGAGTGAGGCGGGGACCAGGAGCCTGAGGAGATGAGGCACTGTTATAAGGAGAAAGAGGAGTGCCTGGGGAGTGACATCTGGGGCTGGGGTGAGCGGGAAGCAGGTAGACACCAAGCTGGGGCTCAGGAGGGCATGCTGGGCTGGAGACAGAGCTAAGAGGGCCTTGGCAGTGATCCTGGGGCAAGGTTATGGGTGGAACAAAGAAACATCTAGAAGGGGCCCTGGTGCAGTGGCTCATGCCTGTAATCCCAGCACTTTGGGAGGCCAAGGTGGGTGGATCACTTGAGGTCAGGAGTTCAAGACCAGCCAACATGGAGAAACCCCGTCTCTATTAAAAATACAAAATTACCCAGGCGTGGTGGCGCGTGCCTGTAATCCCAGCTACTAAGGAGGCTGAGGCAGGAAAATTGCTTGAACACGGGAGGCAGAGGTTGCAGTGAGCCAAGATCACGCCACTGCACTCCAGCCTGGGCGACTCCGTCTCAAAAAAAAAAAAAAAAAAAAAAAGCCAGGCTTGGTGGTTTGTGTGCACCTGTAGTCCCAGCTACTTGGGGTTGAGGCAGGTTGAGCCTGGGAGATCAAGGCTGCAGTGAGCCATTATCACACCACTGCACTCTAGTCTGCATGACAACAAGACCTTGTTCAAACAAAACTGAACAAAATAAAAACAAAAAAAAAAACAAGCATTTGCTGAGCCCGTGCTTTGCACCAGGCCACGTTCCTGGTTCTGGGAACAAAATGGCGAACACGTTCCCATATTTAGAGAGCAGGGCTTCATTCATTGGAGGGGGGCAGTACCCAAAACGTGATAAATAATTGTCATATGATGTTAGTGGTTGCTGATGTTGAGGAGGCAGGGAATTCCAGACAGGGGCAGCGGGAAGTTGCCATCATCAGGAAGGTGGTTGGGGAAGGGGTCCTCGCTAAGGCAACATGGAGCCCAGATGGCACGGGTGCCATGGAGTCAGCTGTGGGGGGCTCTGAAGGAAAAGCATTCCAAGTAGTTGGAACAGCCAGTGCGAAGGCCTTGAGGTTCAAGAAAAAAGTGGGCTCCGCAGAGTGCAGTAGCTCCCGCCTGTAGTCCCAGCACTTTGGGAGGCCGAGAGGGAAGGATCGCTTGAACCCAGGACTTCAAGACCAGCCTGGGCAACATGGCAAACCCCATCTTTACTGAAAATACAAAAATTAGCTGGGCGTGCTGGTGCACACCTGTAGTCCCAGCTACTTGGGAGACTGAGGTGGGAGGATCGCCTGAGCCCAGGGAGGTCGAGGCTGCAGTATGTCATCATTGGGCCACTGCACTCTGACCTGGACGACAGAGTGAGACCCTGTTTTTTGTTTTGTTTTGTTTTGTTTTCTTAAACAAAAAAAATGGCCTCAAGAAAAGGTGAGAAAAGTGAGGGGCTGGTGTAGCTGGAAGGAAGAGTTACCAGGGGAGGTGCCGAGGCAGATTGTGTAGGGCCCATGTAGGCTGTGGTGACAACTTGGGTTCTGCTGTGAGATGGGAGCCGCCAGGGTTCTGAGCAGAGGACGGAGGGACCTGACCCCACTTGGGTGTGCGCTGGCACCTGTGGGCGCAGGGGCGGAAGCTGGGAGACCAGGGCACGGGAGGTGGACGCGTACTTTTTCCTGGGGCCATCTCCGGTGCAGGGATTGGGTATGGGGCGGGGGTAAGGGACAGACGACTCCCCAGAGTTGATAGGCCGTCCCTGCCCGCAGGCCCGGGTGGAACGCATGGAGCAGTTCCAGAAGGAGAAGGAGGAACTGGACAGGGGCTGCCGCGAGTGCAAGCGCAAGGTGGCCGAGTGCCAGAGGAAACTGAAGGAGCTGGAGGTGGCCGAGGGCGGCAAGGCAGAGCTGGAGCGCCTGCAGGCCGAGGCACAGCAGCTGCGCAAGGAGGAGCGGAGCTGGGAGCAGAAGCTGGAGGAGATGCGCAAGAAGGAGAAGAGCATGCCCTGGAACGTGGACACGCTCAGCAAAGACGGCTTCAGCAAGGTGTGCGGGGCGGGCGGGGCGGGCAGTGCGCATGCGCAGCCAGAGAGCCTGCAACCAGGACGCATGCGCACCCAATGCCTGGTCAGGGGAGGACCCCGGTGGTGTAGTTGAAGAGTGTGGTGGGGGGCGGGGAGCTGAGGGATGGACGGGGGCCACGTGGGAGGGGGGACAGGCTTGGGGGGCCGGGCGGATGAAACACCCCACCGGTCCCCTCCTCTGATCTGCCCCAAGGCCCATGCCCACGCTCCCGCCACCTTGATGCTCATGGCTTCGTCACCACCTCCGCCGTGGATGGGATGGGCGCTGCGACCACGGCCCGCCCGGCCGCGCTCGAGGCGCTCCGCAGCCTTGCCCCAGCCCACTCCCCCTCTCACCCTACCACAGAGCATGGTAAATACCAAGCCCGAGAAGACGGAGGAGGACTCAGAGGAGGTGAGGGAGCAGAAACACAAGACCTTCGTGGAAAAATACGAGAAACAGATCAAGCACTTTGGTGAGTGGGGCTTGTGGGTTATGGGGGGCAAGGTCGAGGCAGGCCCTTTGCCTCCAGGGCCCTCCAGCACCTTGCCAGCATCTTCCCACAGGCATGCTTCGCCGCTGGGATGACAGCCAAAAGTACCTGTCAGACAACGTCCACCTGGTGTGCGAGGAGACAGCCAATTACCTGGTCATTTGGTGCATTGACCTAGAGGTGGAGGAGGTGAGTGGAGCTTTCCCCGGGACTGTGAAAAGGCGCTGCCATGAGGCCGCCACTTGGTGACGCTGTGCCTGTTCTTCCTGGCAGAAATGTGCACTCATGGAGCAGGTGGCCCACCAGACAATCGTCATGCAATTTATCCTGGAGCTGGCCAAGAGCCTAAAGGTGGACCCCCGGGCCTGCTTCCGGCAGTTCTTCACTAAGATTAAGGTAGGGTCCCTGAGCTGCCAGGTGGCTGGAGGCCCCCTCCCCAGGGAACCAGCCCACAATGCTCTAGGTAAGGCCGACTCCTCTCCACTGGGACTCAAGCCCCTCCAGTCACCGCATCCTAGATCAGGAGAGGGTGGGGCCAGGGAGGAGGAGAGAAGTGGGCAGATTCTGCCAGACTTTAAAAGTGGAGGCCGGGCGCAGTGGCTCACGCCTGTAATCCCAGCACTTTGGGAGGCTGAGGTGGGCAGATCACCTGAGGTTGGAAGTTTGAGACCAGCCTAACATGGAGAAACCTCATCTCTACTGAAAATACAAAATTAGCCGGGCATGGTGGTGTGTGCCTGTAATCCCAGCTACTCGGGGGGCTGAGGCAGGAGAATCGCTTGAACCTGGGAGGCAGAGGTTGCTGTGAGCCGAGATCGTGCCATTGCACTTCAGCCTAGGCAACAAGAGCGAAATTCCATCTCAAAAATAAATAAATAAATAAATTAATTAATTAAATAAAAGTGGAGGTCAGGCCAGGCTTGGTGACTGAGTACTATAGTCCCAACTATTTGGGAGGCTGAGGCAGGAGGATCACTTGAGCTCAGGAGTTTGAGCTGTGGTTTGCCACTGCACTGCAGCCTGGGTGACAGAGCAAAACTGCATTACAAAAAAATGTGGGAGCAGTAGGATGTGCTGAAGGTACCCAGGTGAATATGTGGGTAAAGGACAAAGGTGAGGGTGCCTCTAGGGTTTTGGGTTTTAGTTCATTTTTGAGACAGAGTCTTGCTCTGTCACCAAGGCTGGAATGCAGTGGCGTGATCTCAGCTCACTGCAACCCCTGCCTCCCGGGTTCAAGCAATTCTAGTGCTTCAGCCTCCCAAGTAGCTGGGATTACAGGTGCCTGCCAGCCTCAGGGTTTTTTTGTTGTTGTTGTTTTGTTTTTTTTGAGATGGAGTCTCACTCTGTTGCCCAGGCTGGAGTGCAGTAGCACGATCTCGGCTCACTGCAACCTCCGCCTCCTGGGTTCAAGCGATCCTCCAGCCTCAACCTCCTGAGTAGCTGGGACTACAGGCATGTGCCACCATGCCCGGTTAATTTTTTGTATTTTAGTAGAGACGGGGTTTCACCGTGTTAGCCAGGATGTTTTCGAACTCCTGACCTCGTGATCCGCCCGCCTCGGCCTCCCAAAGTGCTGGGATTACAGGCGTGAGCCACCGCGCCCGGCCTAGCCTCTAGGATTTTTAACCTGCGTACCTGGAGGAACAGGGCTATCCTTACCGAGATTAGGGAGACCAAGGACAAGGCAGGCTGGGAGGTGGCCATGTTGAGTTAGAGGTGCCCATGCAGGGACACTGAGGACATGAGTGTCTCAGATCTGCAGTAGAGCAGGGCTCCCAAGCAGGTGGTCTTTGGCAAATGCCAGATGAGGTCCCCGGCGGGGGAGCCCAGGCCTTGGGGAGCCCTTCATGTAGGTCAGGAATAGACTTGGGGAACCGTGGGGCGCCTCTGAGGAGCTGTGGCTGGAGGGTCCTGGGCCCCCCAGTCCCTCCTGAGCGTTGGGCCAGGTCCAGTGAGCACTGCCCAACCCCCATAGACAGCCGATCGCCAGTACATGGAGGGCTTCAACGACGAGCTGGAAGCCTTCAAGGAGCGTGTGCGGGGCCGTGCCAAGCTGCGCATCGAGAAGGCCATGAAGGAGTACGAGGAGGAGGAGCGCAAGAAGCGGCTCGGCCCCGGCGGCCTGGACCCCGTCGAGGTCTACGAGTCCCTCCCTGAGGTGGGGCTCCCCGGCCCAGGCGGGCAGCAGGAAGACCCTGAGCGGGACCCCCCAGGGCCACAGGGACCCAGCCCCTGACCCCAGCCCCTCTGTACCCCCAGGAACTCCAGAAGTGCTTCGATGTGAAGGACGTGCAGATGCTGCAGGACGCCATCAGCAAGATGGACCCCACCGTGAGTAACCCCCGCGCCCCATGCCTTCCCGGCGGGCCGTGTGTCTCCCCCAGCCCTGTGTCCCAAGTCTCTGAAGCCGGCTGGTGAAAGTGCCCCTCCAAGGCTTCTCCAAGGAGTAAGGGGGGTCGTGTCACCTTGGCACACACCCACATATATTGAGCACCTACTGTATCCCAGTATCCAGCAGATAAATGCTGAGCTTTGAGCGCATGTCCTTCGTGACTGTCACTGTTACTGTGACTGAGTCCAGCCTCAGTTTCCTTATCCAAACCACATTTTCTCTCAATATCAGCTCACAAAATGCGTGGGAAAGGGAGGTGAGCACATGGCAGGGGCTGGTAAACGCTGGCTGTTAATTGGATTTTGTCTACTTGTTTTTGAGAGACAGGGTCTTCCTCTCTCACCCAGGCTGCAGTCTCGACCTCCCAGGCTCAAGTGATCCTCCCACCTCAGCCTCCCCAAGTAGCTGGGGTTACAGGCTGACACCATGACATCTAGCTAATTTTTTTTTAAATTATGTTTTTATAAAGACAAGGTCTCACTGGCTATATTTTTGGAAGTGGTAATAGACGTTGAATCTAAGTAGGACACTGTTTGATCCTATTCCTACCACTTGGCTCACTGGTTGATCACACTGGTTTTCTCGTCTGTAAAATGGGTCTAGCTGCAGGACTGGCCCTGAGTTTCTAGAAGCTTCTATGGGCATAGCCATCTAGACCAGGTTCTGCAAACCGCAGCTCCCAGACTCACTGCCTGTCTTTATAATAAAGTTTTATTAGAACAAAGAAGCCACACTCAATTGTTTCCCTATCATCTACAACCGATCTTGCTCTACCACAGCAGAGTTGAGTCGTGATGGAGACCATATGGCTCACGGAACCAGAAATATTTAGTCTGTCCCTTTACCAAAAAAAAATTTGCTGGCTTTTGTTCTAGATTGCACTATCTAAATTTAAATTAAAGTTAAATAAAATTTAAATTTCCAGCTGGGTACGGTGGCTCACGCCTGTAATCTCAGTGCTTTGGGAGGCCAAGGCAGGCAGATCACCTAAGGGCAGGAGTTCAAGACCAGCCTGGCCAACATGGCAAAACCCCATCTCTACTAAAAGTAAAATTAGCCAGGCATGGTGACAGGCGTCGGTAACCCCAGCTACTTGGGAGGCTGAGGCAGGAGAATCACTTGAACCTGGGAGGTGGAGGTTGCAGTGAACCGAGATTGCACCACTGCACTCCAGCCTGGGTGACAGAGTGAGACTCCGTCTCAAATAGGTAAAATATCAATAGGCAGGAAGCCAGCTTGGGGATGTGCAAGGGACAACGGGGACAACGGGGACCACCGGCTGGCGGCCCCACCTCATCTGCCTGCCTTCTCCTCACAGGACGCAAAGTACCACATGCAGCGCTGCATTGACTCTGGCCTCTGGGTCCCCAACTCTAAGGCCAGCGAGGCCAAGGAGGGAGAGGAGGCAGGTCCTGGGGACCCATTACTGGAAGCTGTTCCCAAGACGGGCGATGAGAAGGATGTCAGTGTGTGACCTGCCCCAGCTACCACCGCCACCTGCTTCCAGGCCCCTATGTGCCCCTTTTCAGAAAACAGATAGATGCCATCTCGCCCGCTCCTGACTTCCTCTACTTGCGCTGCTCGGCCCAGCCTGGGGGGCCCGCCCAGCCCTCCCTGGCCTCTCCACTGTCTCCACTCTCCAGCGCCCATTCAAGTCTCTGCTTTGAGTCAAGGGGCTTCACTGCCTGCAGCCCCCCATCAGCATTATGCCAAAGGCCCGGGGGTCCGGGGAAGGGCAGAGGTCACCAGGCTGGTCTACCAGGTAGTTGGGGAGGGTCCCCAGCCAAGGGGCCGGCTCTCGTCACTGGGCTCTGTTTTCACTGTTCGTCTGCTGTCTGTGTCTTCTATTTGGCAAACAGCAATGATCTTCCAATAAAAGATTTCAGATGCTCTCTGGGCTGCTGGGAGGGCCGTTCAGGCAGCCCATCTCTTGTAGGTGGGAGGGAAACTTGGTGGGATATTGGGGGCTGAGCTGTGCTTCTCTGGTCCTTTGCCCACCAGCCATCGTGGGTCCTCGCCTCACACATGCTGTTCCACAACTTGGAACAGTCTTCTTCCAGAGGCCTCAAAAGCCCCCAACCTTCAGTCTCACCCACCCACTCCCTTGTCCCTACTTGGACCTCCAGAATGCAGGGTGGCCCAAGCTGATCACCACCAGAGGGCAGTAGTGATCTGCAAACCAAGTCACATTCCCTAGGGTTTTGTGGATCTGGCGCACCTGCCCGCACCCCACACCTTTCCAGCTTCCTACAACCTTTTGGAGCAGCATCCTGGATGGACTATATCTCCCCACCCTATGGCCAGCGCTGCCCCCAAACAGATTTTTTTTTTTTTTTTTTTTTGAGAGTCCAGCTATCACCCAGGCTGGAGTGCGGTGGTGGAATCTCGGATCACTACAACCTCCACCTCCCAGGTTCAAGTGATTCTCCTGCCTCAGCCTCCTGCTGGGATTATAGGCACCCGCCACCACACTCGGCTAATTTTTTGTGTTTTTAGTAGACATGGGGTTTCACCATATTGGCCACACTAGTCTTGAACTCCTGACCTCAGGTGATCCTCCCACTTTGGCCTCCCAAAGTGCTGGGATTACAGGTGTGAGCCGCTGCACTTGGCCCCACCCCCCCAAACATTCTTGATTCTGACCACTGCCTTTTGTCCCTATGGCCTTCAGGTCCCCATCGCCTCTGGCTCTAATTCCTGCCCCAGCCTCCTCCTCATTCCCCACTACAAGTCAGCCCCTGAACAGGCAGCAGCCAGAGGGTACCTGTGAACACCCAGGTCAGGGCATGTCCCACCTCTGCTCAAAAGCCTCGCAGGACTCCCCTCCCTGGGAGCAGAAGCCGAAGTCCTCCCTGCAACTGACCAGGCCCCCAGCACCATCTGCCTGTTGCCTCGCTGCCCTGTTGTCCCCAACTCCATGCTGGCCCTTGAGCACTTGAAATTTCTCTTCGTGTGGCTTTGGGTGATGCGCTGAGCCTCAGTGTCCCTGCTCTTAGGGCTAACGTCGTCGCGCTAGTGCCCTCCTCAGGCCGTAGTGAGGGGGACAAGTGAGGTAATGGTTCAGACAACTGGCACCTGGCACTCAGATTCTCTGAACGGGGACCTTGGCACTTGCTGGCCGTCTTCAAAAGTCACAAAATATTTCTGCCACAGGAAAAGTCTTAAAGAAGAGTGCACGGCCAGGCGTGGCTCACACCTGTAATCCCAACACTTTGGGAGACTGAGGCAGGAGGATCACTTGAGCCCAGGAGTTCAAGACCAGCCTGGCTAACATGGTGAAACCCAGTCTGCACTAAAAACACAAAAATTAGCCAGGTATGGTGGCACGTGCCTGTAGTCCCAGCTACTCAGGAAGCTGAGGCAGGAGAACTGCTTGAACCTGAGAGGTGGAGGTTGCAGTGAGCCAGGATCACGCCACTGCGCTCCAACCTGGGTGACAAAGACTTATCTCAAAAACAACAACAACAACAAAAAAAAAAAACAGTGCTGGGCGCAGTGGGGCGCACCTGTAGTTACAGATACTTGGGAGGCTAAGGCAGGAGGATTGCTTGAGCCCGGGAGGTCAAGGCTGCAGTGAGCTAAGATCAAAGTACAATAAATACCCAGGTTCACATCAGTTTAAGACATGAAATACCTCCGATCCAGTAGACTTATGCCTACCTCTCCTGGGGGACATCATCTCTGAGGGGACTGCTTGTCACTCAGACCACAGATCAATGCCACTTCTCTGAGGCCCTCCTTGACCTACTTTAATTCCCCTCATGCTCAGCCACCAAACCTGCCTCACATGCCTTTCTTCACACAGACCTGTGTATTGTCACCTCCCATGTACTGTGGGTGCCACCAGAGCACGGACTTTTTCTTGCAACATACACAGTGCCAGAAAGGGGACCTTCAGGAAACATTTGCAAAAGCATTGGATAAAAACCCCTGGAATGCTGTTGTGCCCAAGCCGATCACCACCAGGGGGCAGGAGTGAGCTGCAAATCTAGTAACTTTCCTTAGTGTTTTGTATGAGTGAGAACGACAGGTAGGAGCTGCAGGGGGACTCCTGGAACCCTGATTGAGCCTCAGACACCTTCCAAGATCTTTTTATTTATTTATTTTTCAGAGACAGGGTTCTCTCCATGTTGTTCAGGCTGGATTTGAACAGAGCTGAAGCAGTCTGCTCGCCTCAGCTTCCCAAAGTGTTGGGACTACAGGCCAGTGTGCCCTGCCGAGTAAAAATTTTAATTTTTGAGCGGGGCGCGGTGGCTTACGCCTGTAATCCCAGCACTTTGGGAGGCCGAGGAGGGCGGGTCACAAGGTCAGGAGTCCGCGACCAGCCTGACCAACATGGTGGAACCCCGTCTGTACAAAAAATACAAAACTTAGCCAGGCGTGGTGGCACGTGCCTGTAATCCCAGCTACTCGGGAAGCTGAGGCAGGAGAATCGCTTGAACCCGGGAGGCAGAGGTTGCAGTGAGCCAAGATCGCGCCACTGCACTCCAGCCTGGACAACAGAGTGAGACTCCGTCTCAAAAATAATAATAATAATAATAATTTTTGTTCATCATACACATTTTGGTGTTAATTTCAGTTTTTCAAAATACTGCATTCCTTGTTATTGAAGATTTTGTTTGTATTTTGTGAGACTGAGTCTCACTCTGTCGCCCAGGCTGGAGTGCAGTCGCATGATCTCGGGCTCACTGCAACCTCTGCCTCCCAGTTTCAAGGGATTCTCCCTCCTCAGCCTCCCAAGTAGCTGGGATTACAGGCGCACTCCACCACACCTGGCTTTTTTTTTTTTTTTTTTTTGAGACAGAGTCTCACTCTGTCGCCCAGGCTGGAGTGCAGTGGCATGATCTCGGCTCACTGCAAGCTCCACCTCCGGGGTTCACGCCATTCTCCTGCCTCAGCCTCCCGAGTAGCTGGGACTACAGGCGCCCGCCACCACACCCGGCTAATTTTTTGTATTTTTAGTAGACACGGGGTTTCACCGTGGTCTCGATCTCCTGATCTCGTGATCTGCCCTCCTCGGCCTCCCAAAGTGCTGGGATTACAGGTGTGAGCCACTGTGCCCGGCCCTTTTTTTTTTTTTTTTTTTTTTTTTTTGTGAGATGGAGTCTTGCTCTGTCGCCCAGGCTGGAGTGCAGTGGCCTGATCTCAGCTCACTGCAAGCTCTGCCTCCCGAGCTCACGCCATTCTCCTGCCTCAGCCTCCTGAGTAGCTGGGACTACAGGCGTCTGGCACCACGCCCGGCTAATTTTTATGTATTTTTAGTAGAGACGGGGTTTCGCTGTGTTAGCCAGGATGGGTTTGATTTCCTGACCTCATGATCCACCTGCCTCAGCCTCCCAAAGTACTGGGATTACAGGCGTGAGCTACCGCACCCGGCCTAATTTTTGTATTTTTTGTAGACACAGGGTTTCACTATGTTGGCCAGGTTGGTCTCAAACTCCTGACCTCAAGAGGACTGCCCGCCTTGGCCTTCCGAAGTGCTGGGATTACACACATGAGCCACCATGTGTGGCCCCCCCCTTTTTTTTTTTTAAGAGATGGGATCTGGCTCTGTCACCCAGGCTGGAGTGCAGTGGCACAATCATAGCTCACTGCAGCCTCTAACCTCTGGGCTCAAGTGATTCTCCTGCCTCAACCTCCTGAGTAGCTCAAATTACAGCCAAGAGACACACACTGCATCTGGCTATCCACCACCAGTCCTTTTATTTATTTTTTTTTTGAGACCGAGTCTTGCTCTGTTGCCCAAGCTTAAATGCAGTGGCACGATCTCGGCTCACTGCAACCTCCATCTCCCAGGTTCAAGCGATTCTCCTGCCTCAGCCTCCTGTACAGGCATGCACCACCACACCTGGCTAATGAAGTGTATTAACTCATTTGATGTCCCTGACATGCCTCTGGGTTTGGGACTAAATAGTCACATCTTGCAGAGGAGGAAACTGAGGCACAGTGGGGTTAAGGGGCCGCCCAGGATCACACAGTGATGGAGCTGGGGCTTGAACTCAGCCCGTCTGGTGCCAGCCTTCATGTGTGTAAGTTACTCCTCTGTATCCTCTCAGGCCAGCACCGAGTGTCCCATTTGGGGCTGCTCCTGAGAATTTTCTAGAGAACACAGGTTCACACACGTGCCCAAAGGAGCGTAGAATTTTTGTGGAAAGATTCCCAGGAGGCTGAGTGCGGTAGCCTCATGCCTGTAATCCCAGCACTTTGGGAGGCCAAGGCGGGTGGATCACCTGAGGTCAGGAGTTCGAGACCAGCCTGGCCAAGATGGTGAAACCCCGTGTCTACAAAAAATACAAAAATTAGCTGGGCGTGGTGGCAGGCGCCTCTAATCCCAGCTACTCGGGAGGCTGAGGCAGGAGAATCCCTTGAACCCAGGAGGCAGAGGTTGCAGTGAGCCAAGATCGTGCCATTGTACTCCAGCCTGGGCGACAAGAGGAAAAACTCTGTCTCAAAAAAAAAAGATTTCCCAGGAAATCCATCTCATGGTTGTTTTGAGGAGGAGACTGGCTGTTCCCTGAACTTTCTCACTCATGAAAACACAAAGGTATTTTACTTTTAATCCATCAACTCTTGGCTTTTCCCAGGTCCCAGGGGGCTCTGAGGAGGCCCCTCCCTGCAGCCCTTGCAGAGCCAGGGGAAGCCCCCAGCTTTTGTTCCTTCTGAGAAACCCGCCGTAGTGGCGTGGCCAACTGTCCTGGCCTGCCCAGGACTGTCCCAATTTTAGCATGGAAAGCCCCCCATTGGGGAACCCCCTCAGTCCTGGGAAACCCCCTCCTGTTAGTCACATGTGGGGTCTGGGGCCTCCCTTATGGACCAGGTCTGAGTTTGGGCAGGAGGCGCCAGGCCTTGGCAAAACAGCCTCCTTAGCCTCTTTTCTTCAATTGTCAAGTGGGGGTGCTGATACCACTTGCAAAGAAACTGAGAAGAGGCCAGGTGCAGTGGCTGGTGCCTGGAATCCCAGCACTGTGGGAGGCCGAGGCGGGCGGATCACGAGGTCAGGAGATCGAGACCATCCTGGCTAACCCTGGTGAAACCCCGTCTCTACTAAAAATACAAAAAATTAGCCGGGTGTGGTGGCGGGCACCTGTAGTCCCAGCTACTCGGGAGGCTGAAGCAGGAGAATGGCATGAACCTGGGAGGTGGAGCTTGCAATGAGCCGAGATCACGCCGCTGCACTCCAGCCTGGGCAACAGAGTGAGACTCCATCTCAAAAAAAAAAAAAAAAGAAAGAAACTGAGAAGACCCAGAGATGGCTAAATACCCACGCTCGGCCCCAGTGTGCAGGCTGGGAAAATGTCAGCTTTATTTATTTATTTATTTATTTATTTATTTATTTATTTATTTGATAGGGTCTTGCTCGGTTGCCCAGGCTGGAGTGCAGTGGTGCGATCACAGCTCACTGCAACCTCAACCTGTGGACTCAAGCGATCCTCCCACCCCAGCCTCCCTAGTAGCTGGGACTACAGGCGTGTATCACCATGCCCAGCTAATTTTTAAATTTTTTTTGTAGACACGAGGTTTCACTATGTTGCCCAGGCTGGTCTGGGACTCCTGGGTTCAAGCGATCCTCCTGCCTCTGTCTCTCAAAGTGCTGGGATTACAGGTGCCAGCCACCGCACCAGCTCATTGTTAGAATTGATATCGTTACTGGGAGTATGACTAGCATTGTTATTATTAATCGCCTCATGTGGCATTTCCTTCTAGTTCCTTTGGGAGCGGGGAATACCGGGTCCCAGGCCCACTCGGCCCACTGTGTTCTAGCATCTAATCACGGAGCATTGCCCCAATGGCTGTTGAAAAATCTGGCACTCTCTAGGCCGGGCACGGTGTCTCACACCAGTATTACCCAGCACTTTGGGAGGCCGAGGTGGGTGGATCACCTGAGGTCGGCAGTTCAAGACCAGCCTGACCAACATGGAGAAACCCCATCTCTACTAAAAATACAAAAAAGTAGCCGGGCGTGGTGGCGCATGCCTGTAATCCCAGCTACTTGGGAGGCTGAGGCAGGAGAATCGCTTTAACCCAGGAGGCAGAGGTTGTGGTGAGCCGAGATTGTGCCATTGCACTCCAGCCTGGGCAACAAGAGCGAAACTCCCTCTCTCAATAAAAGAAAAAAGGAAAAAGAAAAATCTGGCACTCTTGGCTTCTAGGTACTGTACTCTAAGCGGCGACAGAGAGGAAGCTCACAGCCAGCCCTCCCGCAGCAGGCAGGACAACAGCCAGGGATTCCTGGCTCCCAGGCCATTCATTCCCCTCCAGCTGTGGCTTCTTAAGCCACCTACTGGGCTGGATGCACAATCTCAGGCACTGAGGGCTTAGCAGACAACCAGACGGACCTCTTTCTGGTGCGGTCCTAGAACCGCAGACAGGCAATAGAACTTGTGCTCAAAGAAACTTCCCAGGGGCTGGGCACGGTGGCTCATGCCTGTAATCCCAGCAGTTTGGGAGGTCAAGGCCAGAGGTCCACTTGAGCCCAGCAGTTTGAGCCCAGTAGTTTGAGACCAGCCTGGGCAACATAGTGAAAACCCATTTCTAAAAAAATTACACACACACAAAAGTTAGCCAGCCGGCCAGGCGAGGTGGCTCACACCGGTATTCCCAGCACTTTGGGAGGCCAAGGCGGGAGGATCACGAGGTCAGGAGATCAAGGCCATCCTGGCCCACATGGTGAAACCTCGTCCCTACTAAAAAATACTAAAAAATTAGCCGGGTGTGGTGGCATGCGCCTGTAATCCCAGCAGTTTGGGAGGTCAAGGCGGGAGGACCACTTGAGCCCAGTAGTTTGAGACCAGCCTGGGCAACATGGTGAAAACCCATTTCTTTTCCTTTTTTTTTTTTTGAGATAGAGTCTCACTCTGTCGCCCAGGCTAGAGTGCAGTGGCGCGATCTCAGCTCACTGCAAACTCCGCCTCCCAGGTTCAAGTGATTCACCTGCCTCAGCTTCCCAAGTAGCTGGGATTATAGGCACCCACCAACACACCCGGCTAATTTTTGTATTTTTAGTAGAGACGGGGTTGGTGGAAGCCCATTTCTATAAAAAATACACACACACAAAAGTTAGCCAGGCGGCTGGGCGCGGTGGCTCACTTCTGTAATCCCAGCACTTTGGGAGGCCGAGGCGTGAGGATCATGAGGTCAGGAGATTGAGGCCATCCTGGCCAACATGGTGAAACCCCATCTCTACTAAAAAATACAAAAAAATTAGCTGGGTGTGGTGGCACACGCCTGTAATCCCAGCTTCTCTGGAGGCTGAGGCAGAAGAATCGCTAGAACCTGGGAGGCAGGGATTACAGTGAGCCGAGATCGTGCCACTGCACTTCAGCCTAGCAACAGAGCAAGACTCCGCCTCAAAAAAAAAAAAGTTACCCAGGCATCGTGATGCACATCTGTAGTCCCAGCTACTCAGGAGGCTGAGGTGGAAGATTGTGAATGGTGAATCTGGGAAGTTGAGACTGCAGTGAATTGAGATCACAGCACTGCACTCCAGCCTGGGCAACAGAGCGAGATTCTTGTCTCAAAAAAAAAAAAAAAAAAAAAAAAAAGAAAGAAAGAAAGAAGAGAAACCCAGCTGGGCGCGGTGGCTCACATCTGTAATCCCAGCACTTTGGGAGGCCAAGGCGGGTGGATCACCTGAGGTCAGGAGCTCGAGACCAGTATGGCCAACCTGGCCAAACCCTGTCTCTATTAAAAATACAAAAATTAGCCAGGCGTGGTGGTGCACGCCTGTAATCCCAGCTACCGGGGATGCTGACGCAGGAGAATTGCTTGAACCTGAGAGGCAGAGGTTGCAGTGAGCCAAGATTGCGCCACTGCACTCCAGCCTGGGCAACAGAGCAAGACTCTGTCTCTTTAAAAAAAAAAAAAAAGAAAGAAACTTCCCATGAAATGTCAGGTTGCAATAAGGACTCTGAAGAAAATACAGCAGAGCCCAGGAGGTCAAGTTGCCCAGGCTGGAGTGCAGTGGTGTGATCACGGCTCACTGTAGCCTCAACCTCCTGGGCTCAAGCAATCCTCCCACCTCAGCCTTCGGAGTAGCTGGGACTAACTAATTTTTTTTCCCCCCGAGATGGAGTCTCACTCTGTAGCCCAAGCTGGAGTGCAGTGGTGGGATCTCAGCCCACTGCAACCTCCACCTCCTGGGCTCAAGCGATTCTCATACTTCAGCCTTAGACTAATTTTTTTTATTTTGGGTAGAGATGGGGTCTTGCTATATTGCCCAGGTTGGTCTTGAACTGGGCCCAGACAGTACTCCTTCTTTAGCTCCCTGAAGTGCTAGGTTTATAGGGATGAGCCACTGCATCCAGCCAGGACAAGTCTCTATCAGCATTTTATTTTATTTTATTTTATTTTATTTTTGAGACAGAGTCTCACTCTGGCGCCCAGGCTGGAGTGCAGTGGCGCAATCTCGGCTCACTGCAAGCTCCGCCTCCCCGGTTCACGCCATTCTCCTGCCTCAGGCTGCCACTACGCCCAGCTAATTGTTTGTATTTTTAGTAGAGACGGGGTTTCACCGCCTTAGCCAGGATGGTCTCGATTTCCTGACCTCATGATCCGCCCACCTCGGCCTCCCAAAGTGCTGGGATTACAGGCGTGAGCCACTGTGCCCGGCCTCTATCAGCATTTTCTTTCTTTTTCTTTTTCTTTTTTTTTTTTTGAGACAGAGTTTAGCTCTTGTTGCCCAGGCTGAAGGGCAATGGTGTGATCTCGGCTCACTGCAACTTCTGCCTCCCAAGTTCAAGCGATTCTCCTGCCTCAGCCTCCTGAATAGCTGGGATTACAGGTGCCCACCACCATGCCCAGCTAATTTTTGCATTTTTAGTAGAGACAGGGTTTCACCATGTTGGCCAGTCTGGTCTTGAACTCCTGACCTCAGGTGATCCGCCCGCCTCCACCTCCCAAAGTGCTGGGATTACAGGTGTGAAAGAGACCATTCCCGATCTCTTTCAGCATTTTCATACTGAATGTCCACAGCTGCCCTGTGAGGAGGCTTTTTACCCATATTTTCTGACTCAGAGAGAAGCAGCCACATGTCCCTTGGCCATGGCAGTTAAGACCAACTCCATGGAGCTGGGTGTCTTAGCTCACATCTGTAATCCCAGCACTTTGGAAAGCCAAGGCAGGATGATTGCTTGAGGCCAGAAGTTCAAGACCAGCCTGGGCAACATAGCCAGACCCCATCTCTACAAAAATTTAAAAATTAGCCACAAAATTTAAAAATTAACAACAAAAGGGCCGGGTGCGGTGGCTCACGCCTGTAATCCCAGCGCTTTGGGAGGGTGGATCACGAGGTCAGGAGTTCGAGACCAGCCTGGCCAAGATGGTGAAATCCCATCTCTACTAAAAATACAAAAATTAGCCGGGCGTGGTGGCGGGCGCCTGTTGTCCCAGCTACCCAGGAGGCTGAGGCAGGAGAATCGCTTGAATCCGGGAGTCTGAGGTTGCAGTGAGCCGAGATCGCAGCATTGCACTCCAGCCTGGGCGACAAGAGCGAAACTCCATCTTAAAAAAAAAAAAAAAAAAAAGTGGAAGATGAGGAAGTTGATCAGACATCAAGGATGAGCGGATGACTTAATAGGCTTCTTTGCTAAGACTTGGCTGGGCAGGTGAAAGACAAAGTCGAGGAGTGGTTATGGTGTGGCACAGAAGAAGGGTCAGAGGACGGTCTTTGTTACCTCTTCATGCCTGAGTTTCTTCCTCTGTGAAATGGGGATAATAAGAGCCGCCATACAGGGAATTGCTGCTAGGATCAAATGAGATAATGTATGTGAAACGCTCTGGCTGTAGGCTTCTCAGCAAATGGGCACGACTTGCGGAGTGGGGATTTGAATTCACGTCTGGCGGGATGTCCAAGCTGCTACCCTGACCGCTAGGGAGCTTCAGAGGACAGGGCTGCAGGTGATCAGGAAGAGGACTGGGGCAGGTGGGCGAGGAATGCCTCCCAGGAGTGAAGGAGGGGGAATTCTAGTCAGCAGGATGGAGTCGGCCAGGTAGAAACGAGGGAAAGGAGACAGGACCGGATGGAACGGGGAAGCCAAAGGGCAGGGCGTCGGAGGGTTGAATGGTGGCCGGTGCAGCTTTGAACACCGAGGTGAGGACATGCAGCTGTGTCCTAGGGTCAGGACCGTACACGCCTGACCCAATTCCACAGCACGGAGGGGAACTCCAGGATCCGGCCGCGTTGCCCACACACTTCGCTCTCCCTCCCGCCTCTCGCAAGCCCCTCCCCCGTCTCCGTCCACCGAGTGCCAGCCAATAGCAGAAGCGACAGCGCATCTGGGTGCCGACTCAGCCAATCGCGGCTGAGTGACGAATGAGCCCCAGGACCAATGAGAGTGCCGCCACCATGGCAAAAAAAAAAAAATCCAATGGTGACGAGCAGGGAGAACAGAGCAGCTGCCAATGGGCGTGTGCGTTTCAGGCGGCCAATGGGAGGAGGCGTCTCGGCGGGGGACAAGCAGTAGCTACCCGCGGGAGCGGGGAGGGGTCCGGGTTCGAGCTTGTGTTCCCCCGGAAGGGTGAGTCTGGACGCGGGCGCGGAAGGAGCGCGGCCGGAGGTCCTCAGGAAGAAGCCGCGGGGACTGGCTGCGCTTGACAGGCTGCACTTGGATGGGAGCACCTGGTGCCTCGGGACTGCTCCGATGCCCGGTGGGTGCACATCCCAGTTCCCGCCGTTGCCGGCCGGGTTTAGAGGTTTTGGGGGGAGGACATGGGGGCGTGCAGCCTTCCCAGTTGCAAACTTCACTCCGACCCTGTCTTCAAAGCTGGGTCTGGGTCCAGTGGGGACGAGAAAGGAGGAAGGAGGAAGTAGGCTCCGCGAAAGCCCCATCCCCGGGATCTCATCTATAACATGAATAGGTATTAATGGCAAAGGCTAATTAAGCGCTTACTGTATACCAGGCACTTTCTCTGCCTCCTCGCGTTAAATCCTCCCAGCAGCCTTTTGAGGTAGACACTGTTACATGCCCATTTTCCAGATGAGGAAACCAGCAACATGGGTGGAAGTGACAGCCCCTCCACTTCCATACTGGCGCCCTCAGGAGGCTCAGGCCCTGGATTGGGGGGATGGAGCTGGACATAAACTCTCCTAGGCTTTGGGGAGTCAACAGGGACTGAGGTCACTCATGGGGGTAAATGTGGGAGAGGAGAATTGTGGCCTGAAAGAGGCCATCACCACGATGAAACTAATAACAATTATGTTATTCTTGTTTTGGTCATATTTGTTCTTTTTGTGTGTGCCTGAATCAGGGTCTGTGCTGAATGTGTAATATGCGGAACTATATTGAAACATTACAACCATCTTTTGATGGCAACACCCTGAGGACCTCCCTTTTCCAGATGGGGAAACTGAGGCCCAGAATTGCTAAGTGGCTTGCTTGAGTTGACACAGGGAGCTCCAGGACTCACCCTCAGGTATGTTTGACCACATCTGCCTGTCTGGTTATTTTGGGGAGGTGTGTTAAGAGCAGATTTTTATTTTACTTTTTATTTATTTATTTATTTATTTATTTATTTATTTATTGTATTTTAGTAGAGATGGGGTTTCACCATGTTGGTCAAGATGGTCTCAATCTCCAGACCTCGTGATCTGTCCGCCTTGGCCTCCCAAAGTGCTGGGATTACAGTCATGAGCCACCGCGCCTGGCCCTTTTTATATATTTTTATTACTTATTTATTTATTTATTTATTTATATTTTTAGAGTCAGGGTCTCACTCTGTCACCCAGGCTGGAATGCAGTGGTGCGATCACTGCTCACTGCAGCCTCCAACTCCTGGGCTCAGGAGATCCTCCCACTTCAGCCTCCCGAGTAGCTTGGAGTACAGATGTGCACCCCCACGCCTGGCTAAATTTTAAAAATTTCTTGTAGAGGCCGGGCACAGTGGCTCACGCCTGTAATCCCAGCACTTTGGGAGGCCGAGGCGGGTGGATCACCTGAGGTCAGAGGTTCAAGACCAGCCTGGCCAACATGGCAAAACCCTGTCTCTACTAAAAATACAAAAATTAGCCCGGTGTGGTGGCAGGCGCCAGCTACTCAGGAGGCTGAGGCAGGAGAATCACTTAAACCCAGGAGGCAGAGGTTGTGGTGAGCAAGATTGTACCATTGCACTCCAGCCTGGGCAACAAGAGTGAAACTCTGTCTCAAAAATAAGATAAGATAAGATAAGATAAGATAAGATAAGATAAGATAAGATATAAAATAAAACGTCTTGTAGAAACAGGGTCTTGCTATATGGCCTAGGCTGGTCTCGAGCTCCTGGGCTCAAGCAATCCTCTTGCCTCAACATCCCAAAGTCCTGGGATTAGAGGCGTGAGCCACTGTACCTGGCCAGAGCAGATTTTTATATCTGTGTCAATTTGTGGAAAGAGAGGAGGGTTCAGTGTTATTGTTGATGAGAGATCTAGGTGGGGATGCATACCCCAACCCTGTCCAATAAATGTGGAAAACGAGACTCAGAGAGGGAATCGGGTCTCTAATGTCATGCCAAGATGGGAGCCCAGAATCTTCCCCTCAGGCCTTAGCTGGGGTGGGTGGAAGGTTGAAGAGCTAACAGGGGTCTCTGGGCTGAGACTTGGGAGCTGACAGATTGTCCCCTTTCCAGCTGAGCCACCTGCCGGGAGCATGCCTCTGCGCCACTGGGGGATGGCCAGGGGCAGTAAGCCCGTTGGGGATGGAGCCCAGCCCATGGCTGCCATGGGAGGCCTGAAGGTGCTTCTGCACTGGGCTGGTCCAGGCGGCGGGGAGCCCTGGGTCACTTTCAGTGAGTCATCGCTGACAGCTGAGGAAGTCTGCATCCACATTGCACATAAAGTTGGTGAGTCTGGGGCGTTGGCACCATGGGGACTGGGGTGGGTGTGCAAGCAGCAGCTGGGCCCCATCCATCCGTCTATCCACCCACCCACCCATCCACCCACCCATCCACCCACTCATCCATCCATCCATCCATCCACCCATCCACCCACCCATCCACCCTCCCAACCACCCATCCATCCACCCACCCACCCATCCATCCACCCATGCATCCATCCATCCTCCCATCCACCCATCCACCCACCCATTCACCCACCCATTCACCCATCCACCCACCCTTTCACCCATCCACCCATCCACCCATTCATCCACCCACCCACCCACCCATCCATCCACCCACGCATCCATCCACCCACCCACCCACCCATCCATCCACCCACGCATCCATCCATACATCCACCCACCCACTCATCCATCCACCCACCTATCCACCTATCCATCCACCTACTCACCCACCCATCCACCCACCTATCCACCCACCCACCCATCCACCCATCCATCCACCCACCCATTCATCCATCTATCCATCCATCCACCCATCGATCCATCCATACCCACCCATTCATCCATCCACCCATCCATCCACCCACCCATCCACCCATCCATCCACCCATCCATCCATTCATCCATCCATCCATCCACCCACCCACCCATCCATCCACCCACCCACCCATCCATCCATCCATCCATCCACCCACCCACTCACCCACTCACCCACCTATCCATGCATCCATCCATCCACCCACCCATCCATCCTCCCACCCATTCATCCATCTATCCATCCATCCATCCATCCATCCATCCATCCATCCATCCACCCACCCACCCACCTATTCATCCATCTATCCATCCATCCATCCATCCATCCATCCATCCATCCATCCATCCATCCACCCGTTCATTCGGTGAACATTTTGTAAGCATCTACTGTGTGGCAGCTGCAAATCACTGCCTTTGTAGAGCTGAAATTTTAGTAGGGAGGACAGCAAGAAATATAATAAATCAGAAAACTTGGCCAGGTGCAGTAGCTGACACTTGTAATCCCAGTACTTGAGGAGGCCCAGGCAGGAGGATTGCTTGAGGCCAGTAGTTGGAGACCAGCCTGGGCAACATAGGGAGACCTTGTCTCAACAAAATAATTTTTAGAAATTAGCCAGGCATGGTGGTACATGCCTGTAGTCCCAGCAACTTGAGAGCCTGAGGCAAGAGGATCGCTTGAGCCCAGGAGTTCAAGCCTGCAATGAGGTATGGTTTCGTCACTGCACTCCAGCCTGGGTGACAGAGTGAGACCCAGTGTCATTAAAAAAAGAAAGTCAGGCCGGGCGCGGTGGCTCATGCCTGTAATCCCAGCACTTTGGGAGGCTGAGGCTGGTGGATCACTTGAGGTCAGAAGTTTGAGAGCAGCCTGGCCAACATGGCAAAACTCCAGCTCTACTAAAAATACAAAAACTAGCCGGGCGTGGGGTGCGCACCTGTAATTCCAGCTACTCAGGAGGCTGAGGCAGGAGAATAGCTTGAACCTGGGACATGGAGGTTGCAGTGAGCCGAGATCACAGCACTGCACTCCAGGCTGGGTGACAGAGCTAGACTCCGTTTCAAAAATAAAAAAAGGCCAGGTGCGGTGGCTCATGCCTGTAATCCCAACACTTTCAGAGGCTGAGGCGGGCAGATCACCTGAGATCAGGAGTTCAAGACCAGCCTGGCCAATGTAGTGAAACCGCATCTCTACTAAAAATACAAAATGTAGCCAGGCATGGTGGCAGGTGCCTGCAATCCCAGCTACTCAGAAGGCTGAGGCAGGAGAATAGCTTGAACCTGGGACATGGAGGTTGCAGTGAGCCGAGATCACAGCACTGCACTCCAGGCTGGGTGACAGAGCTAGACTCCGTTTCAAAAATAAAAAAAGGCCAGGTGCGGTGGCTCATGCCTGTAATCCCAACACTTTCAGAGGCTGAGGCGGGCAGATCACCTGAGATCAGGAGTTCAAGACCAGCCTGGCCAATGTAGTGAAACCGCATCTCTACTAAAAATACAAAATGTAGCCAGGCATGGTGGCAGGTGCCTGCAATCCTAGCTACTCAGGAGGCTGAGGCAGGAGAATTGCTTGAACTTGGGAGGTGGAGGCTGCAGTGAGCTGAGATCGTGCCATTGTACTCCAGCCTGGGCAACAAGAGCGAAACTCCATCTCAAAGAAAAAAAAAAAAAAAAAAGAAAGAAAGGCTTTCCCTCCTCCTGCACAGGAAATTGCACTTCCAAATATATCTACTACAGTCTTTCTTTTTTTCTTTTTTTTGAGATGGAGTCTCGCTCTGTCCCAGGCTGAAGTGCAATGGCGCAATCTCAGCTAACTGCAACCTCCGCCTCCCGGGTTCAAGCGATTCTCCGGCCTCAGCCTCCCGAGTAGCTGGGACTACAGGTGTGTGCCACCATGCCCGGCTAGATTTTTTTTTTTTTTTTGTATTTTTAGTAGAGGTGGGGTTTCACCGTGTTAGCCAGGATGGTCTTGATCTCCTGACCTCGTGATCTGCCCGCCTCGGCCCTCCAAAGTGCTGGGATTACAGGTGTGAGCCACCATGCCCGGCCCAATTTTCTTTTTTTAATGACATAGGGTCTCACTCTGTCACCCAGGCTGGAGTGCAGTGGTGTGACCTCAGCTCACTGCAACCTCCATGTCCCAGGTTCAAGCCATTCTCCTGCCTCAGCCGCCTGAGTAGCTGGAATTACAGGTGCACACCCCACGCCCGGCTAGTTTTTATATTTTTAGTAGAGCTGGAGTTTTGCCATGTTGGCCAGGCTGGTCTCGAACTTCTGACCTCAAGTGATCCACCTGCCTCAGCCTCCCAAAGTGCTGGGATTACAGGCGTGAGCCACCATGCCCAACCAAGGAAAGGCCTTTCTAAGGCGGCTTTGGTTACATATACCTTCCTCCAGAAACTCCTCTTACCTCCCCCATTCCCAGCTTTCCATGACTGGATGGGGGCATTGTAATCAATTTTTATAACACTTCCTACTTCCCCATTGATGGCTGAGTCTTTTTTTTTTTTTCTTTCGTAGAGACAGTCTCTCTCTTGCCCAGGCTGAAATGCAGTGGTGCAATCATGACGCATTGCAGCCTCTAACTGCCCAGGCTCAAGTGATTTTCCTGCCTCAGTCTCCCAAATAGCTGGGGCTACAGGCACATGTCACCACACCCGGATAATTTTTGTATTTTTTGCATGTTGCCTCATGCTGGTCTCAAACTCCTGGGCTCAAGCCATCCACCCGCCTTGGCTTCCCAAAGTGTTGGGAGGCATGAGCCATCGCGCCTGGCCATGACTGATTTTTTTTTTTTTTTTGAAACGAAGTCTCGCTCAGTCCTCAAAGCTGGAGTGCAATGGCACAATCTTGGCTCACTGCAACCTCCGCCTCCCGGGTTCTAGCGATCCTCCTGCCTCAGCCTCCTGAGTAGCTGGGATTACAGGCGCCTGCCACCACGCCCAGCTAATTTTTGTATTTTTAGTAGAGACGGGGTTTCACCATGTTGGTCAGGCTGGTCTTGAACATGCATGCTGTTCCCCCTGCCTCGGCCTCTCAAAGTGCTGGGATGACAGGTGTGAGCCACCGTGCCCGGCTTTTTTTTTTTTTTTTTTTTTTGAGACGGAGTCTCGCTCTGTCACCCAGGCTGGAGTGCAGTGGTGTGATCTCGGCTCACTGCAACCTCCGCCTCCCGGGTTCAAGTGATTCTCCTGCCTCAGCCTCCTGAGTAGCTGGGATTACAGGCGCCCACCACCACACCTGGCTAATTTTTGTATTTTCAGTAGAGACGGGGGTTTCACCATGTTGGCCAGGCTGGTCTCGAACTCCTGACCTCAAGTGATCCACCTGCCTCAGACTCCCAAAGTGTTGGGATTACAAGTGTGCACCCTCGAGCCTGGCCATGGCTGATTCTTTGTTTTGTTTTGTTGTGTTGTTTGAGACAGAGTCTCGCTCTGTCGCCCAGGCTGGAGTGCAGTGGCGCGATCTCAGCTCACTGCAAGCTCCGCCTTCCGGGTTCACGCCATTCTCCTGCCTCAGCCTCCCGAGGAGCTGGGACTATAGGCACCCACCACCACGCCTGGCTAATTTTTTGTATTTTTAGTAGAGACAGGGTTTCACTGTGCTAGCCAGGATGGTCTCGATCTCCTGACCTCGTGATCCGCCCACCTCAGCCTCCCAAAGTGCTGGGATTACAGGTGTGAGCCACTGTGCCCGCCCCCATGACTGATTATTAAAGGATTCAGACAGGTGTGCGGGTGATGTGAAACACGCTCAGCAGAGGGAACAGCATGCATGGAGGCCCGGAGAGCTTGATCTGTTTGAGGAAGCGAAAGACCTTCAGGGTGACTGGGGTATCAATTTTGAGAGTTTGGAAGGGGAAGTAACAATTGAAATTGGGGCATAGCAGGCAAAAGCCAGGGTGGGGGTACTCAGAATCAAGGGTCAAGGGGTTGGGCATTCTCCGGGAGCAATGGGGAGCCATGGAAGGTTTAAGCCAGAGAGTGAAGCAGTCTGACTAGTTCTTTTATTTTTATTTTTTATTTTTGACTGGTTCTTTAAGAAGTTGTCTCAAGCCAGGCACAGTGGGTCACGCCTGTAATCCCAGCACTTTGGGAGGCTGAGGCGGGCAGATCACTTGAGGTTAGGAGTTTGAGACCAGCATGGCCAACATGGTGAAACCCCGTCTCTACTAAAAATATAAAAATTAGCTGGGCGTGGTGACGCACATCCCAGCTACTTGGGAGGCTGAGGCAGGAGAATCACTTAAACCTGGGAGGCGGAGTTGCAGTGAGCCGAGATCGCACCACTGCACTCCAGCCTGGGTGACAGAGACTCGGTCTCAAAAAACAAAAATATGAAACATTGGCCAGGTGCCGTAGCTCACACTTGTAATCCTTGCGCTTAGGGAGGCCAAGGCGGGTGGATCACTTGAGGTCAGGAGTTGGAGACCAGTCTGGTCAACATGATGAAACCCCATCTCTACTGAAAATACAAAAAATTAGCCGGGCGTGGTGGCGGGCGCCTGTAATCCCAGCTACTCAGGAGGCTGAGGCAGGAGAATCGCTTGAACCCAGGGGGTGGAGGTTACAGTGAGCCGAGATCACGCCACTGCACTCCAGCCTGGGCAACAAGAGCAAAAACTCTATCCAAAAAAAAAAAAAATACAAAAAATTAGCTGGGCATGGTGGCACATGCCTGTAGTCCCAGCTACTCAGGAGGCTGAGACAGGAGAATGACTTGAACCTGAAAGGCAGAAGTTGCGGTGAACCAAGATTGCAACATTGCACTCCAGTCTGGGTGACTCCATCTAAAAAAAATATATATTGTTTCACAGGGAGGTATCCTCCCTTCACAGAGGGGCAGTATAATTCCATGGTGTGACTTTGGAGAGTGATTTGATAACACAGTCAAAGCTGGATGCAGTGGCTCACGCCTGCAATCCCAGCAGTTTTGGAGGCTAAGCGTGGAGGATCACTTGAGCCCAGGAGTTCAAGATCAGCCTGGGCAACATCGCGAAACCCCGTCTCTACTAAAAATACAAAAAATTAGCCAGGTGTGCTGTGTGCTGGTGTGCACCTGTAGTCCCAGCTACTCAGGAGGCTGAGGTGGGAGGATCACTTGAGCCCGGGAGGTTGAAGCTACAGTGATCATGCCACTGCCCTTCAGCCTAGGTGACAGAGCAAGATGCTGTCTCAAAAAAAAAAAAAAAAAAAAAAATATATATATATATATATATATATATAGCTGTGTGTGGTGGCGTGTTCCTGTATTTCCCAGCTACTCAGGAGACTGAGGCAGGAGGACTGCTTGAGCCAGGGAGGTCATGGCTGCACTGAGCCATGATTGCACCACTGTATTCCAGCCTATATGTCAGAGCAAGATCCTGCTTCAAAAAAAAAAAAAAACCCAGGCCGGGCGCCGTGGCTCACGCCTGTAATCCCAGCACTTTGGGAGGCTGAGGTGGGCGAATCATGAGGTCAGGAGATTGCGACCGTCCTGGCTAACACGGTGAAACCCCGTCTCTACTAAAAAAATACAAAAAAATTAGCTGGGCATGGTGGCGGGCGCCTGTAGTCCCAGCTACTCGGGAGGCTGAGGCAGGAGAATGGCGTGAACCCAGGAGGCAGAGCTTGCAGTGAGCGGAGATTGAGCCACCACACTCCAGCCTGGGCGACAGATCGAGACTCCGTCTCAAAAAAAAAAACAAAAACTCAGAAACATCTTCCCTGAGGCCATATAGTTCCACTCCTGGACAGTGACAGTCACTCTATAAACAGTCAGCTCATGTGCTCCCAGGGACACTTATGAGAATGTTTAGAGCCGCCTTGTTTATCATATGGAAAAGGGGAGACCATTGCAAAGTCCCTCAATAAGAGACTGCCTAAGTAAATTGCAATCTGGTTGAATACTGGACTACTGCGCAGCCGGGAGAAGGAATTTAACCAGAATTACTCATGTCATTCTGCATGAAGCTTTATAACCTCTCGTAGCCTGAAAAAGCACATTGCAGAGGGACGTCTGCAGTATAATACCACACATTTACAGTTCATAACTTTTTTTTTTTTGAGACAGAGTTTCGCTCCTGTTGCCCAGGTTGGAGTGCAATAGCACGATCTCAGCTCACCGCAACCTCCACCTCCCAGGTTCAATTCTCCTGCCTCAGCCTCCCGAGTAGCTGGGATTACAGGCATGCGCCACCACGCCCAGCTAATTTTGTATTTTTAGTAGAGACGGGGTTTCTCCATTTTGGTCAGGCTGGTCTCGAACTCCCGACCTCAGGTGATCCGCCTCCCTCAGCCTCCCAAAGTGCTGGGATTACAGGCGTGAGCCACTGTGCCCAGCCACAGTTCATAACATTTAAGGCTAGATTGTAGAGGATATGAAAATTATAAACACTACTTCAGGGCAGAGCACACTGGCTTATGCCTGTAATCCCAGCACTTTGGAGGCTGAGTAGCTCAGCCTCCCAGCTACTCAGGAGGCTGAGGTGGGAGGATCACTTGAGCCTAGGAGTTTGAGACCAGCCTGGACAACATGGTGAGACCCCTTCTCTACAAAAACTACAAAAATCAGCTGGGCATGGTGGCGTGCGCCTGTAGTCCCAGCTCCTTGGGAGGCTGAGGCAGGAGGATTGCTTTAGCCCAGTAAGTCGAGGGTGCAGTGAGCCATGATCACACCACTGCACTCCAGCCACACCTGGCTAATTTATTTTATTTTTAGTTTTTTTAGAGATGAGGGGTCTCACTATGTTGCTTAGGCTGGTCTTGAACTCCTAGGTTCAAGTGATTCTCCCGCCTTAGCCTCCCAAAGTGCTGGGATTACAGATGTGAGCCACCATACCCAGCTTTAGATAAAATTATTTATTTCATTTTATTATTATTTTTTTAGACAGAGCCTCACTCTTTCACCCAGGCTGGAGCGCAGTGGCGTGATCTCGGCTCACTGCAACCTCTGCCTCCAGGTTCAAGCAATTCTCTTGCCTCAGCCTGCTGAGTAGCTGCGATTACAGGTGCTCACCCCCACACCCAGCTAATTTTTGTATTTTTAGTAGAGACGAGGTTTTGCTCTGGTGGCCAGGCTGGTCTCAAACTCCTGCCCTCAAGTGCTTCACCTGCCTCAGCTTCCGAAAGTGCTGGGACTATAGGCATGGGCCACTGCACCCAGCCAGATACCATTTTTTTTTTTTTTTTTGAGACAGTCTTGCTGTGTCGCCAGGCTGGAGTGCAGTGGCACAATCTCGGCTCACTGCACCCTCCACCTCCCGGGTTCAAGCGATTGTCCTGCGTCAACCTCCGGAGTAGCTGGGACTAAAGGTGCACCCCACCATGGCCAGCCAATTTTTTTTTTTCAGATCTCACTCTGCCGCCCAGGCTGGAGCTCAGTGGCACGATCTTGGCTCACTGCAACCTCCGCCTCCCGGGTTCAAGCAGTCCTCCTGCCTCAGCCTCCCAAGTAGCTGGAATTACAGGCACATGCCACCAGGTCCAGCTATTTTTTTTTTTAATAGAGATGGGATTTCACCATGCTGGCCACGCTGGTCTCGAACTCCTGACCTCAAGTGATCCACCTGCCTCAGACTCCCAAAGTGTTGGGATTACAAGTGTGCACCCTCGAGCCTGGCCATGGCTGATTCTTTGTTTTGTTTTGTTGTGTTGTTTGAGACAGAGTCTCGCTCTGTCGCCCAGGCTGGAGTGCAGTGGCGCAATCTCGGCTCACTGCAAGTTCCACCTCCTGAATTCACACCATTCTCTTGCCTCAGCCTCCCAAGTAGCTGGGACTACAGGCATCCGCCACCATGCCTGGCTAATTTTTTGTATTTTTTAGTAGAGACGGGGTTTCACCATGTTAGCCAAGATGGTCTTGATCTCCTGACCTCGTGGTCTGCCCACCTCAGCCTCCCAAAGTGCTGGGATTATAGGCGTGAGCCACTGCGCCCGGCCGACAGGTACAATTTTTAAATGACATCAGTAGAAGAAAGATACCCTGGGTAGCTGGTGTGGGAAATTACAGCAAGTCTGGAGACTGGATTGGGGTTGAGGTTTGCATTTGAAGGTGGTGGATGGAGCCCCAGGACATGGAGGGTGCAGGAAGAGCAGGTCTTGGTGACCGATCTGTTTTGGAGCAGGTGGGAGAGGTTGAAGATAAGGACCAAGTTCCTGGTTTGAAGAACTGGGCAGAAGCCACACACCCTGGCTCATAGCCATAATCCCATCAACTCCAGAGATTGAGGTGGGAGGATCGCTTGAGCCCTGGAGGTTGAGGCTGCAGTGAGCTAGGATTGCACCACTGCACTGCAACCTGGGTGGCAAAGAAAGACCCTGACCCTTAAAAAAAAAAGGGCAGAGGAAGGGAAGGTTGGAGTTTGCCAACCACAGATAAGATATGTTGTTTGGAACAAGCCATATCTAAGGGGGGGCCTGTGATGTCCAGGGGGAGACAGCCAGGAGGTGACTGGATGTTTCTTTGGGGCTGGAGTTCAGGGAGACGCCAGACAATTGCAGCAGTTTGTAGAGTTATGTGGGTCAGGCTAGGATTAGTTTTGCTGCAGGAATAAGCAATCCCCCCAAATCTTAATCAAGGTTTACCTAAAATCGGCCGAGCACAGTGGCTCATGCCTGTAATCTCAGCACTTTGGGGGGCCAAGGTGGGCAGATCACCTGAGGTCAGGAGTTTGAGACCAGCCTGGCCAACATGGCGAAACCTCGTCTCTTCTAAAAATACAAAAACTAGCCGGGGTTGGTGGCGCACACCTGTAATCCCAGCAACTCAGGAGGCTGAGACAGGAGAATCACTTGAACCCAGGAGGCGGAAGTTGCAGCGAGCCAAGATCGTGTCACTGCTCTCCAGCCTGGGCAACAGCAAGACTCCATCTCAAAAAAAAAAAAAAAGTTTTACTTAAAATCAAGTACAGGTTGGATGGTTCACCTCTGTCTTACAGCTTCACCATCTGTCACAAGAAGCCTTCATCATACCTCGGGTGGTGAAGGTGGCAAGAGAATTTATTTCCAGGCTTGGAAATGTACCCAGCCCTTTGGCCAGAAACCAGCAGTGCAATTGGCTCCATCCTAGCTGCAAGGGAGGCTGGGAAATGTAGTCCTCCTGTGAGGCCACAGCATGGGCAACATACGCACTGTCCTCTGCCCAGGGGCAACGTGAGACTGAAGCTGCAGGTGGGGGAGGGGGCCTCAGAGGGAGTGTGAAGGCAGACATTGGGTCTGGGGGGTCTTTGGGGCTGACGGTAGCAAATGACGTGACTCCTGACCTCGTTTCTCACCTGATCCAGGTATCACTCCTCCTTGCTTCAATCTCTTTGCCCTCTTCGATGCTCAGGCCCAAGTCTGGTTGCCCCCAAACCACATCCTAGAGATCCCCAGAGATGCAAGCCTGATGCTATATTTCCGCATAAGGTGGGTGGAGACCTTTGCAAAGCTCGTCCCCTCCTGTGCTGAAGCTGGTCTGACTCTGTGCTAAGCCCCAGCTGCGTCCCTCCTTCCTGCAGGTTTTATTTCCGGAACTGGCATGGCATGAATCCTCGGGAACCGGCTGTGTACCGTTGTGGGCCCCCAGGAACCGAGGCATCCTCAGATCAGACAGCACAGGGGATGCAACTCCTGGACCCAGCCTCATTTGAGTACCTCTTTGAGCAGGTATGAGCAGGGCTGGGGTGGCAAGACTATTTGTGGGAGACTTAGGGGCAGTTGAGGAGCCCCCATTTCCCTCCCTGATTCAATATAGCTAATAGGTTTCAACTCATGCTATCTGGGGATCTTTTTTTTTTTTTTGAGACGGAGTCTTGCTCTGTCGCCCAGGCTGAAGTGCAGTGATGTGATCTCGGCTCACTGCAAGCTCCGCCTCCCAGGTTCCCGTCATTTTCCTGCCTCAGCCTCCCAAGTAGCTGGGACTACAGGCGCCCGCCACCATGCCCAGCTAATTTTTTGTATTTTTAGTGGAGACGGGGTTTCACAGTGTTAGCTAGGATGGTCTCCATCTCCTGACCTCGTGATCTGCCCGCCTCGGCCTCCCAAAGTGCTGGGATTACAGGCGTGAGCCACCGCTCCCAGCCGATCTTTTTTTTTTGAAATGGAGTCTTGCTCTGTGGCCCAGGCTGGAGTGCAGTGGCGTGATCTCAGCTCACTGCAACTTCCACCTCCCAGGTTGAAGCGATTCTTCCACCTCAGCCTCCCAAGTAACTGAGATTACAGAAGCCCGCCACCACCCCAGGCTAATTTTTCTATTTTTAGTAAAGACGGGGTTTCACCATGTTGGCCAGGCTGGTCTCAAACTCCTGACCTCAAGTGATTCACCTGCCTCAGCCTCCTAAATTGTGGGATTATAGGTGTGAGCCACCATGCCCAGCCAAGAGTTCAGGTTGAAGGGGATAGAGTGCTGTGATTGATTAGTAATGTCTGCCACAGGCACAAGATTGACAAGAGGAGGGGTGTATGCTGTGTATTTGGCCTTTCCAGTAAATGGTGGTCTCTCCCCTCCTCAAGGTGGTAAGACGCAGGAAATTAGAGTTCTCTGGCTAGAGTAAGCTTGTCCAACCCCTGGCCTGCGGACTGCATGCTGCCCAGGACAGCTTTGAATGAAGCCCAACACAAATTCATAAACTATCTTAAAATATTCTGAGATTTTGCTGTGATTTTTTTTTTTTTTTGAGACAGAGTTTCATTCTTGTTGCTCAGGCTGGAGTGCAATGTCATGATCTCAGCTCACTGCAACCTCTGCCTCCCAGGTTCAAGTGATTCTCCTGCCTCAGCCTCCGGAGTAGCTGGGATTACAGACATGCGCCACCACACCTGGCTAATTTTGTATTTTTAGTATAGGCGAGTTTTCTCCATGTTGGTCAGGCTGGTCTCAAACTCCTGACCTCAGGTGACCCGCCCGCCTTGGCCTCCCAAAGTGCTGGGATTATAGGCGTGAGCCACCATGCCCGGCTTGCGATATTCTTTTTTTTTTTTTTTTTTTAGCTCATCAGCTATCATTAGTGTTAGTGTATTTTATGTAGGGCCCAAGACACTTCTTCCAGTGTGGTCCAGGGTAGCCAGAAGATTGGATACCTCTGGGCTAGAGAGGAACGCATTCTCACACCTCCCTTTCTGCTCAATTTCCTGTTCCCAGGGCAAGCATGAGTTTGTGAATGACGTGGCATCACTGTGGGAGCTGTCGACCGAGGAGGAGATCCACCACTTTAAGAATGAGAGCCTGGGCATGGCCTTTCTGCACCTCTGTCACCTCGCTCTCCGCCATGGCATCCCCCTGGAGGAGGTGGCCAAGAAGACCAGGTGTCTGGGAATGGGGTGGGGACGCTGTGTAGGCAGGGGGAAATGTCCTGAGCATCTGGGAGCCAGGGTAGACTTTGCATATTGCCGTGCCTCTACTTTTTTTTTTTTCTGAGCCGGAGTCTCTCTCTGTCACCTAGGCTGGAGTACAGTGGCGCAATCTTGGCTCACTGCAACCTCTGCGTCCCAGGTTCAAGAGATTCTCCTTCCTCAGCCTCCTGAGTAGCTGGGATTACAGGTGCCCACCATCAAGCCCAGCTAATTTTTGTATTTTTAGTAGAGACAGACTGAGTTTCATCATGTTGGCCAGGCTGGTCTCGAACTCCTGACCTCAAGCGATCCTTCCGCCTTGGCTTCCCAAGTAGCTGAGACTACAGGCTCAAGTCACCACACCTGGCTAGTGTGCCTGTTTTCCAGATGAGGCAGCTGAGGCTCAAAGAGGTTAAGCCACTTGCCCTGTGTCACCCAGCTGGGCCTGCAACCCAGGTCCCTGACCAGCCCCTCACTGTGTTTCCCCCCAGCTTCAAGGACTGCATCCCGCGCTCCTTCCGCCGGCATATCCGGCAGCACAGCGCCCTGACCCGGCTGCGCCTTCGGAACGTCTTCCGCAGGTTCCTGCGGGACTTCCAGCCGGGCCGACTCTCCCAGCAGATGGTCATGGTCAAATACCTAGCCACACTCGAGCGGCTGGCACCCCGCTTCGGCACAGAGCGTGTGCCCGTGTGCCACCTGAGGCTGCTGGCCCAGGCCGAGGGGGAGCCCTGCTACATCCGGGACAGTGGGGTGGCCCCTACAGACCCTGGCCCTGAGTCTGCTGCTGGGCCCCCAACCCACGAGGTGCTGGTGACAGGCACTGGTGGCATCCAGTGGTGGCCAGTAGAGGAGGAGGTGAACAAGGAGGAGGTGAGCAAGGCGCCCCTTCCGCCCTGGGGGTTCAGGTTGGGCTGGGGTGGGTTTCTGTGTTCATCCTTGACCCTAGCCTCTGAGGGTGGCTGACCTGAGCCCTCTCCCCACATGGCTCTGGGGCACCTGTCCGCTAGGGCCAGTTTCTTGGAGAAGGTCCTCCATCTGCTTACCCCCTGGGGACCTTATTTCTGGGGTCTGCACCTCCAGGGAACCCCTTCATCTGGGGACTGGCACCTGGGTGTGAGGGGGTCAGGATTCTTCTCTCTGCCTTCCCTAAGGGTCCGGCTTCCAGCATGTGTATGATTTTGGGGTGGGTCCCCATCCCACCTGTGACACTGGGACTTGGGAGGTCAACCTAGGTTGGTGCCTGGCCCTTCTGGCTCCAGTCTCTCCCCAGGGGAAAGTGCAGGAGGTATAAACGGGCATTGCCCTCTCCATCCTCTGCCCCACTTGCTGGGTGTTCAGGGTTCTAGTGGCAGCAGTGGCAGGAACCCCCAAGCCAGCCTGTTTGGGAAGAAGGCCAAGGCTCACAAGGCAGTCGGCCAGCCGGCAGACAGGCCGCGGGAGCCACTGTGGGCCTACTTCTGTGACTTCCGGGACATCACCCACGTGGTGCTGAAAGAGCACTGTGTCAGCATCCACCGGCAGGACAACAAGTGCCTGGTGAGGCCCAGGGTAGGGGCTGGGCTAGGGCCCATCATGGCCTGGGAGGACACCCACCTGATGCGCCCCTGGCTGGCAGGAGCTGAGCTTGCCTTCCCGGGCTGCGGCGCTGTCCTTCGTGTCGCTGGTGGACGGCTATTTCCGCCTGACGGCCGACTCCAGCCACTACCTGTGCCACGAGGTGGCTCCCCCACGGCTGGTGATGAGCATCCGGGATGGGATCCACGGACCCCTGCTGTGAGTGCTGGGTGGGGGGCGCTGGGGGCCACCGCCAAGGGTGCCAACTAGACTGTGAGCCCTAGGGGCTGTGCAGGGTGTGTGTGTAGGTGCACGTCTTATTTTTTTTTTATTTTTTGTCGCCCAAACTGGAGTGCAGTGGCATGATCTCAGCTCACTGCAGCCTCCGCCTCCCGGGTTCAAGCGATTCTCCTGCCTCAGCCTCCCAACTGACTACCTGGGACTACAGGCACTCGCCACCATGCCAGGCTAATTTTTGTATTTTTGTAGAGATGGGGTTTCATCAGATTGGCCAACCTAGTCTTGAACTCCTGACCTCAGGTGATCCACCCGCCTCGGCCTCCCAAAGTGCTGGTATTACAGGCATGAGCCACCACGCCCGGCCATGACTGTCATTGTGTGTTGAGGTTGTCATTGCACAGAACTGGTGATTTTCATGGGACTGTGTGTTACCCTGACGCTGGTGACCATTCAGGCGTATGTTGGATGCTTCCACCTCTGCAGGCGGCTGCCTGTGCTGGTAACTTGTGAGTCACCATCTCAGCGGGGTCCTGTGTGTGACTTGTGGGCCTGAGGGCGTGAAGTTGTCGGTACTTATGTCATCATCAGGTGCAGGGGAGTGTGTGGCTGTCCTGTGTGCTGCCAAGTCGTGATTTGTGACTGTCTCTTTGTCTGGTCACTGGCCCTGTGACTCTCTGTCCCTTGTCCTACCTGTGATGCCAGGGGAGGGGGAAGTGGCCATTTCACCTTGTGAGGCCTGTGGCCGTGCCTGCTGTCAAGGCTATATGTGTGCTGCCCCCGTACAGACAGGTGTTTGGGGACCACGTGTGTCAGCCACTGCACATGTAGGTGTCTGGACCTATGTGACCATGACACTTTATAGTGCATGTTTGTGTCACCTCTGTGTCTGGGATGCCCTGGCCCCTATGTTGCCCTGTCATATTGGGTGATTAGTTGTGTCTGGGATCGTTGTCCTTTGCTTGTGTGATTGGCCATCCACCGTGTGTCACCCTTGTGAGTGGCGATGGTCATGGCTGGGTGTGTGCCCATCCGGCTCCTGATGGCTGTTTCCAATCTTGGAGTGTGTGTCACCTTGTCAGGGCCCGTCTGGCGTCAAGTACAAGAGTAGGAGTAGGCTGGGTGTGGTGGCTCACACCTGTAATCCCAGCGCTTTAGGAGGCCGAGGTGGGAGAATCACTTGAGCCCAGGAGTTCAAGAGCAGCCTGGGCAATGTAGCAAGGTCTTTTAACTACAGAAAACACAAAAATTAGCTGGGCACACCTGTAATCCTGGCTCCTCAGGAGGCTGAGGTGGGAGAATCTCTTGAGCCTGGGAGGTCCAGGCTGAAGTGAGCCAAGATTGCACCGCTGCACTCCAGCCTGGGCAACAGAGCAAGACCCTGTCTCAAAAAAAAAAAAAAAAAAAAGAGAGATCAGGTAGCCGGGCACAGTGGCTCATGCCTGTAATCCCAGCACTTTGGGAGGCTGAGGCTGGCAGATCAGCTGAGGTCAGGAATTTGAGACCAGGCTGGCTAACATGGTGAAACCCCCTCTGTACTAAAAATATAAAAATTAGCTGGGCATGGTGGCAGGGACCTGTAATCCCAGCTACTCGGGAGGTTGAGGTGTTGAGGCAAGAGAATTGCTTGAACCCAGGTGGGCAGAGGTTGCAATAAGCTGAGATCACGCCATTGCATTCCAGCCTGGGTGACGAGGGAAAATCCGTCTAAAAAATACAAACAAATAAACAAAAAAGCAGGTGTGTGCCTGCTGCTGCATTGTGTCTCCATGTAAGTGGCTGTGTGTCCAGAGTTAGTGTCCCCACAAGAGTGGCTGTGTCTGACACTTGTCCTAGCTGTGTGTGTGCCCTCTAAGTAGGTAATGAGTGTCATTGTTCCCGGGTATGGGTCCAGAGTGGCCCCAGGTGGCCTGATAGTCCCCCTGGACCACCTTCCAGGGAGCCATTTGTGCAGGCCAAGCTGCGGCCCGAGGACGGCCTGTACCTCATTCACTGGAGCACCAGCCACCCCTACCGCCTGATCCTCACAGTGGCCCAGCGTAGCCAGGTGAGCCCAGGGCTGGGGGCTGGGGCTGGGGCTGGACACGTTCCCTGCCTGGTCCCCTGCTTACTGCTCCCACCTCTGCCACCTCCTGCCAGGCACCAGACGGCATGCAGAGCTTGCGGCTCCGAAAGTTCCCCATTGAGCAGCAGGACGGGGCCTTCGTGCTGGAGGGCTGGGGCCGGTCCTTCCCCAGCGTTCGGGAACTTGGGGCTGCCTTGCAGGGCTGCTTGCTGAGGGCCGGGGATGACTGCTTCTCTCTGCGTCGCTGTTGCCTGCCCCAACCAGGAGGTACGATGATAGGGGGACCTCTGGGTGGGATGTGGCATCTCTCCCCCAGGCCCGCCCTCCATGACTTGATGCCTGCCCCCAGAAACCTCCAATCTCATCATCATGCGGGGGGCTCGGGCCAGCCCCAGGACACTCAACCTCAGCCAGCTCAGCTTCCACCGGGTTGACCAGAAGGAGATCACCCAGGTGGGTGCAGGGAAGGGGCCCGGGGCAAGGGCAGGGCCCCTGGGGATGTGGGTGCTGGGGGCCCTGGGAGATCAGCTGCTAACTTTCACCATGGCGGTATTCTGTGCCACATGATCCCGCAGCTGTCCCACTTGGGCCAGGGCACAAGGACCAACGTGTATGAGGGCCGCCTGCGAGTGGAGGGCAGCGGGGACCCTGAGGAGGGCAAGATGGATGACGAGGACCCCCTCGTGCCTGGCAGGGACCGTGGGCAGGAGCTACGAGTGGTGCTCAAAGTGCTGGACCCTAGTCACCATGACATCGCCCTGGTGAGTGGGCAGGGCCAGGCCTGGGGGTGTGTCTGTGGAGGAGGTGGCCGGAGGAGGTGGGATGGGAGGGGTGTGTCTGTGGAGGAGGTGGGATGGGAGGGGTGTGTCCGTGGAGGAGGTGGGATGGGAGGGGTCGGCTTTGCAGCCACCTGACCTGCCCGGTCCCCACAGGCCTTCTACGAGACAGCCAGCCTCATGAGCCAGGTCTCCCACACGCACCTGGCCTTCGTGCATGGCGTCTGTGTGCGCGGCCCTGAAAGTGAGTGGGTCCCGCCATACCCATCCCCCTTTGGCAGGCCACCCCTGACTTATACCCACTCCCTGATCTGTACCCCAACCCTCGACCTACACCCCAACCTATGCCTATTTCTCAACTCTCACCTGTACTCTGATCCCGGGCTACACCTTGACCTTCAACCTAGACCCCAACCCCTAACGATATTCCAGCCCATAACTTACATCCCAACACGTCGACCCTCACCTGCCCTCAGTCTCAACCCCCACCCTGATTCCCAACTACATCCCCACTTCCATCAACCTCCCAAACAACCTCTACAGTCCAGCCCCCATCTGCTCCTGGCCCCATCAGCACTATGGCCTCAGGCAGACTCCAGTGCTGATGTGTGCTGATTCTCCTAGGCCTCAGCCCCTGCACATCCAACCCTGCCTAACCCCACCTCTTCCTTTCCTCTGCAGGTAGCTCAAAACTCCTTGTATAGGCTAGGTGTGGTGGCTCACACCTATCCCAGCACTTTGGGAGGCAGAGGTGGGAGGATCGCTTAAACCCAGGAGTTCAAGACCAGCCTGGGTAACATGTCCAGACCCTATCTTTACAAAAAATTTAAAAATCAGGGCCAGGCATGGTGACCTATGCCTGTAGTCCTAGCTACTTGTGAGGCTGGAATGGAAGGATCACTTGAGCCCAGGAGTTCAAGGCTGCAGTGAGCCATGATTGTACCACTGCACTCCAGCCTGGGCGACAGGGCGAGACTCTGTCTCAAAAAATATAATAAATAAATAAAAAATAAAGCCCTTGTACAGAACAACCCTAGACCCACCCATCCCTCAACCCCCCTGTGTGTGTGTGTGTGTGCATCTCCCCCACTTTCCCCTGGACCCTGGCCGACACCCTGACCCACATCCCTCTGACTACTCTGGTACCCAAACATCTCCTACACCCCAACCTCAAGCCCCTAGCCTCTGCTTATCCATGCCCATCCCCCCCATCCCTAGTTGCTTACTTTGTAGGCTCACCTTTATCTCTTTTTTTGTGAGACTAGGGTCTCCCTCTGTTGCCCCGGCTGCAATGCAGTGGTGCCATCATGGCTCACTGAAGCCTCGACCTCCCGGGCTCAAGCGATCCTTCCGCCTCAGCCTCTTGAGCACCTGGGATGACAGGCGTGTGCTATCACACCCGGCTGATTTTTAAAAATTTTTTGTAGAGATGGGGTCTCACTATGTTGCTTAGGCTGATCTCAAACTCCTGGGCTCAAGGGATCTTCCTGCCTCAGCCTCCCAAAGTGACAGGATTGCAGGCATGAGCCACTGTACCCTGCCACCTTTATCTCTTTTTTTTTTTAATTTTTTTGAGACGGAGTCTCACTGTGTCACCCAGGCTGGAATACAGTGGCGTGATCTCGGCTCACTGCAACCTCCGCCTCCCGGGTTCAAGCAATTCTCCTGCCTCAGCCTCCCGAATAGCTGGGATTACAGGCATGTGCCACCATGCCCAGCTAATTTTTTTTTTTTTCTTCTTTTTGAGATGGAGTCTTGCTCTATCGCCCAGGCTGGAGTGCAATGACGTGATCTCGGCTCACTGCAAGCTCCGTCTCCCACCATTCTTCTGCCTCAGCCTCCCAAGTAGCTGGGACTACCGGCGCCCACCACCATGCCTGGCTAATTTTTTTGTCTTTTTAGTAGAGATGGGGTTTCACTGTAATTTTTTTGTATTTTTAGTAGAGTTGGGGTTTCACCATATTGACCAGGCTGGTCTCGAACTCCTGAACTTGTGATCCGCCCGCCTCAGCCTCCCAAAGTGCTGGGATTACAGGCGTGAGCCACCGCGCCCGGCTGTATTTTTTTTTTTAGTAGTGATGGAGTTTCATCATGTTGGGCAGGCTGCCCTTGAACTCCTGACCTCAGGTGATCCACCTGCCTCAGCCTCCCAAAGTGCTGGGATTACAGGCGTGAGCCACTACGCCCAGCCCACCTTTCTCTCTTGAACTTCAACTTCTTCCGTGCCCCATCCCACTTGGACCCCAATGCCCTCATCCACCGCTGCCTCTGCTGCATTCCGCATTTCTTCTCTCCCCAAACTCACTTTCAACCCAGACCAAACTCCACCCACACCTCTGCCCTGACACCTCCCCAGCCACATGCCAAGTCCCTCCCTGGCGTCTCCCCCAATTCCCCGCCATCCAGAGGGCAGAAGCAGGCAGGTTGCCCCAGAGCAGCTGTGTCTTTACAGATATCATGGTGACAGAGTACGTGGAGCACGGACCCCTGGATGTGTGGCTGCGGAGGGAGCGGGGCCATGTGCCCATGGCTTGGAAGATGGTGGTGGCCCAGCAGCTGGCCAGCGCCCTCAGCTACCTGGTGTGTGGCCTGTGTGTGGGGCCTGGGTCGGTCAGGGAGGGCCAGGAGCCCAGGAGTTCGAGACCAGCCTGGGCAACAGGGCGAGACCCCATCTTTTTTGTTTGTTTTGTTTTAGGTGGAGTTTCGCCCTGTCACCCAGGCTGGAGTGCAATGGCATGATCTCGGCTCACTGCAACCTTCGCCTCCCGGGTTCAAATGATTCTCCCGCCTCAGCCTCCCAAGTAGCTGGGATTATAGGCTCCTGCCATCACGCCCAGCTAATTTTTGTATTTTTAGTAGAGATGGGGTTTCACCATGTTGGTCAGGCTGGTCTCGAACTTCTGACCTCGTGATCCATCCGCCTCAGCCTCCCAAAGTGCTGGGATTCCAGGCGTGAGCCACCACGCCCAGCTGGCCCCATCTTTTAAAAATAAACAAATAGCCAGGTGTGGTGGCTCATACCTGTAATCCCAGCAGTTTGGGAGGCCAAGGCGGGTGGATCACCTGAGGTCAGGAGTTTGAGACCAGCCTGGCCAGTATGGCAAAACCTTGCCTCTACTAAAAATACAAAAAAAATTAGCCAATGTGGTAACTTGCACCTGTAGGCCGAGGTACTCAGGAAGTTGAGGTGGGAGGATCACCTGAGCTCAGGAATTTGAGGCCGTAGTAAGCTATGATCACACCACTGCACCCCAGCCTGGGCAGCAGCATAGCTAGACCCCATCTCCACCAAAAATTTAAGAATCAGCTAGGCTGTGGTGATGTGCACCTGTAATTCTCGCTACTTGGAAGGCTTGAGCCCAGGAGTTTGAAGCTGCAGTGAGCTATGTTCGTGCCACTATACTCCAACCTGAGAGACAGAGTGAGACCCTGTCTTAAAAAAAAAAAAAAAAAAAAAAAACAAGAAAAAAATAACCCCCCAAAAAACAAAACAGAAAGAAACCCAGTGATAGTCACAGTTGTCCTTTTCACATTGGCTGTCCCTATGGGGACCAGGTTTGGGGTTGGCGTCTGTGCCTCTCCTGAGTGGCCACACCCCCTCTCCTGCCCACCTCAGGAGAACAAGAACCTGGTTCATGGTAATGTGTGTGGCCGGAACATCCTGCTGGCCCGGCTGGGGTTGGCAGAGGGCACCAGCCCCTTCATCAAGCTGAGTGATCCTGGCGTGGGCCTGGGCGCCCTCTCCAGGGAGGGTGAGTACCTGAGGGGACCTGGGCACAGTGGGGGGCTTCCCCTGCTCCTTTCACCCTTGGTGACCTCTGACCTTGGCCTCCCAGAGCGGGTGGAGAGGATCCCCTGGCTGGCCCCCGAATGCCTACCAGGTGGGGCCAACAGCCTAAGCACCGCCATGGACAAGTGGGGGTTTGGCGCCACCCTCCTGGAGATCTGCTTTGACGGAGAGGCCCCTCTGCAGAGCCGCAGTCCCTCCGAGGTATGTCTAGGAGACCCTTGGGCCCTCCCCGCAGTGGGGGCCCCTCCAAGAAATCCAGAGGACAGAATCAGAGCTCAAAGCTGCATCCCTTCTGGCCTCGTGACTTCAAGTCTCTCTGGGCTACCAGCAGGTGGGCCACTCGCTGGGGCTCAATGTAGTCCCAGCCTTTTTAGGTCCTTGTGGAAGTCACTTGTGCCTGGCACACAGAAGGCAAGTAAGAGACTTGATTTCAGTTTTAGGCAGAGTGACCAGGGCAGCGATGGGAGACGCCCAGGCTGCAGAGTGGGGAAGAAGGGCTGAGGATGCGCCTCACCCAGCAGTGGGGTCAGACAAGGCTTCCCAAAGGAGGTTCATGAGTGTGGTGGTTTTATTTTGAGACGAAGTTCCACTCTAATTGCCCAGGCTGGAATGCAATGGCGTGATCTCAGCTCACTGCAACCTCTGCCTCCTGGGTTCAAGCGATTCTCCTGTCTCAGCCTCCCGAGTAGGGGGGATTACAGGCACATGCCACCACACCCGGCTAATTTTTGTATTTTTTGTAGAGATGGGGTTTCATTATATTGGTCAGGCTGGTCTCAAACTCCTGACCTCAGGTGATCCGCCCACCTCGGCCTCCCAAAGTGCTGGGATTACAGGCATGAGCCACAGTGCCCGGCCCCAGAAGAGGTTTTATCTAAGTGTAGAATTATGCCAACAAGCCTGGCTAGGAAGGGCAGCCTAGGCAGAGTGCATGGCCTGTGCAAAGGCTGAGGCTTCAGTGTATTAAGGAGCTGTGGTCTACAGGAGGGGCAGGAGGGAAGCTTGGGGCAGGAGGCTGACTGTGACACTCCAGCTCTGCATAATCACTGGACCTGGGTCCCAGTCCTGGTTCTACGGCTGTGAGCACGTCCTCCCACTTTGTGGAGCCTCAGTTGCCTCATCTGTATAATGGAACTGATAAGAGCGGGCACCTGGCGGTCCACTCTGGGGACTTGACTCTGCCTCTTGGGGAACGGGTTGGGGGCGAGGGGAGGATGTTGACTCCTCTGGGTCCCTTTCCCAACAGAAGGAGCATTTCTACCAGAGGCAGCACCGGCTGCCCGAGCCCTCCTGCCCACAGCTGGCCACACTCACCAGCCAGTGTCTGACCTATGAGCCAACCCAGAGGCCATCATTCCGCACCATCCTGCGTGACCTCACCCGGCTGCAGCCCCACAGTGAGCTCCATCCCAGTGCTGGGACCCTGGGGAAGTGGGACGGGGCTGGGATCCCTGCTGTATGCCTATAGCGCACGAGAGGTCTCTGCACAGTGGTTCAGGGTGTGTGCCAATTTCTTGCAGTGGCATTCATAAGCATGCCCTGCCTGGCTGCCCTGAGCTCTCATTAATGTATTTATTTATTTATTTGCAATGGAATCTTGCTCTGTCACCCAGCCTGGAGCGCAGTGACGTGATCTTGGCTCACTGCAACCTCCACCTCCCAGGTTCAAGCAATCCTCCCACCTCAGCCTCCCAAGTAGCTGGGATTACAAGCGTGTGCCACCATGCCCGGCTAATTTTTGTATTTTTAGTAGAGGTGGGGTTTTGCCATGTTGGCCAGGCTGGTCTCAAACTCTAGACCTCAAATGATCTATCTGCTTCAGCCTCCCAAATTGCTGGGATTACAGGCGTGAGCCACTGCGCCTGGCCTCCTTAATGTTTTGTCTGGGGAGAGACACAACTTCTTTGGATTAGAGAATTAGACCACTGCAGTTTTTTTTTTCTTTTTAAAAAAGTTTTGTATTGTTCTCTTTAAAAAATTAATATGCTCTTTTTTCTTTTTTTTGAGACGGAGTCTCACTCTGTTGCCAGGCTGGAGTGCAGTGGTGCAATCTTGGCTCACTGCAACCTCCGTCTCCCAGGTTCAAGTAATTGTCCTGCCTCAGCCTCCTGGGTAGCTGGGACTACAGGCGCCCACCACCACGCCGGGCTAATTTTTGTATTTTTAGTAGAGACGGGAATTCACCATGTTGGCCAGGATGGTCTCAGTCTCTTGACCTCGTGATCCACCCGCCTCGGCCTCCCAAAGTGCTGGGATTACAGGCATGAGCCACTGCGCCTGACCTATTTTCTTTTTTTTTTTCTTTCTTTCTTTTTTTTTTTTTTGAGATGGAGTTTTGCTCTTGTTGCACAGGCTGGAGTGCAATGGCACGATCTCGGCCCACTGCAACCTCCGCCTCCTGGGTTCGAGCAATTCTCCTGCCTCAGCCTCCCGAGTAGCTGGGATTACAGGCGTCCACCACCACACCCAGCTAATTTTTGTATTTTTAGTAGAGACGGGGTTTCACTGTGTTGGCTAGGCTGGTCTCAAACTCCTGACCTCAGGTGATCCACCCTCCTCAGCCTCCCAAAGTGTTGGGATTACAGGCGTGAGCCACCACGCCCGGCCTAATATGCCATTTTCAACTGGTCATATCACATTTTTCTTTCTCTTTTTTGTTTTAAAGACTAGGTCTTGCTGTGTTGCCCAGGCAGGAGTGTGGTGGTTATTCAGAGGCACGATCATGGCTCACTGCAGCCTGAGACTCCTGGGCTCTAGGGATCCTCCTGCCTCGGCCTCCCAAAGTGCTGGGATTACAGGTGTGAGCCACCACGCCTGGCCAGTTTTTCTCTTTTCTCTATGAAATATCTGTGCCCTCTACCCAATCTCGGAACTTCCAGATGTCAGGTTTTTCTGTTTTTTCTTTTTCTTTCTTTCTTTCTTTTTTTTTTTTTTAAAGACAGTGTCTCTCTGTGGCCCAGACTCACTGCAGCCTCAAAACTCCTGGGCTCAAACGATCCTCCTACCTCAGCCTCCTGAGTAGCTGGGACCACAGGCATGCACCACCACACCTGGCTAATTTTTTTTTTTAACTTTTTTGTAGAGAGGGGGTTTCACCATGTTGTCCAGGCTGGTCTTGAACTCCCGGGCTCAAGTGATCTTCCCGCCTCGGCCTCCCAAACAGGTGTCAGTTTTGATGCAGCCAACTCTGCATCATTTTGTACAATAAGTGGACTCTTTCAGCTGTTGCAGGAAAAAGTTTTCTTACCTCTAGAATCGGATCCTGGGGTAGCTGTGGCTGGCTTTGTGACTCCCAAGTGTGGGCCTGCTGGGGAAAGGATCGGGGTCAGGCCTTTACCCACCGCAACTCTTCCAGATCTTGCTGACGTCTTGACTGTGAACCCGGACTCACCGGCGTCGGACCCTACGGTTTTCCACAAGCGCTATTTGAAAAAGATCCGAGATCTGGGCGAGGTGAGGGACGGGCCTGAGCTGCTAAAAGGCCCGCCTGGTCGGGAAGGAGTTTGGGGGTTGAGGATAAATTCCTACCTAAGGTGATTCTCAGGAGATGTGGGTGGGACCCTCTGCTTTGAGGGAGGCCTAGGTGCCAAGGAGTCTTAATAGAGCGGAGTAGGCGGGGCCTGGGGTATTCCGAAAGGATCTGCCTGGAGGAGTGGCCCGGGAAATCGGGGGTTGGGGAGTGGTGCAGGGATTGGGGAGGTGGAGCTGACCCTCGTGCGCTCCCGACCAGGGTCACTTCGGCAAGGTCAGCTTGTACTGCTACGATCCGACCAACGACGGCACTGGCGAGATGGTGGCGGTGAAAGCCCTCAAGGCAGACTGCGGCCCCCAGCACCGCTCGGGCTGGAAGCAGGAGATTGACATTCTGCGCACGCTCTACCACGAGCACATCATCAAGTACAAGGGCTGCTGCGAGGACCAAGGTGGGCGGGACCCGGCGAGTCCTAGAGACTTGAGGGGGCGTGGTTAGAGCGTGGGTGTGGCCTTGTGGGCGGGGCCAGTCTGGCCTAGCCAATTAGAGACTCTCAACCCCAGGCTGCAGTACGCGGTTCTTGGCATCTGGGTGAGCGTGGCTGGGCTGCCTCCTTCCCATCTGGGGGGTGCTACCTGCTGGGGCCAGGATGGACGGGAGCCACCAGCAGCTCCCTCAAGTGAGAATGGGGTTCTGGATGGGTCCATCCCACCTGAGAACTGGGTCTAGTGTGCGCGGGTCTTGGCCTTCCCTCCCGACCTTGGAGGGGCTCTGCTGGGCTCAAGGTAGGCGGTCCCCGGCCCGCCCTCTATCGTCCCCCACCGGGGCCGCCCCTCTCCGCGGCAGGCGAGAAGTCGCTGCAGCTGGTCATGGAGTACGTGCCCCTGGGCAGCCTCCGAGACTACCTGCCCCGGCACAGCATCGGGCTGGCCCAGCTGCTGCTCTTCGCCCAGCAGATCTGCGAGGTTGGTCGGCCCCGCCCCTGCTTCTGGAGCTTGCCCCTTCCTCTTCAGCTTGGGCTGGCCTGAGCGATCCGGTGCAGTCTGCTCTCACGCTCCGCCCCTGCTCGTTTGCCCAGGCTGTCTTGTCCTTGCACTGACCTCCGAACTGTTTGGCTTGCTTGGCCACACCCCCTCCTCCCAAGGGACCACGCACAGCCGGCTCGGCCCCTCCCAACTCGCCCTCCTGCCCAGCTTTGCTCGTCTAGCCCCGTCCCTGCTTTCTGGCTCAGCCTCCTTTTGCTTGGTGCCACGTGCCATCCGGCCCTCTCCAGCGGCCGGGTAGCCACCGGCCTGACCTGACTGTCCCCCAGCCCTCCTGGCTGCTCAGGTCCTGCCGCCGCCCCCGGCCGAACCCCGCCCCACTGAAACTCACGAGCCCTGCCCCGTCCCCAGGGCATGGCCTATCTGCACGCGCAGCACTACATCCACCGAGACCTAGCCGCGCGCAACGTGCTGCTGGACAACGACAGGCTGGTCAAGATCGGGGACTTTGGCCTAGCCAAGGCCGTGCCCGAAGGCCACGAGTACTACCGCGTGCGCGAGGATGGGGACAGCCCCGTGTTCTGGTGACCAGGCGGGGTGCAGTCTGAGGGGGTGCTGGGGTCACTTGGAACAGGCAGGGTGGAGTAGACGGATGCTGGGTATCATGATAGGGCATGATCCCAGTGAAGCGCGGCGGGGCCTAGCGGTGCGGGGGTGGGGCCTATGGAGGCAAGGGGCGGTGTATAGAGTGCGGCTTGGCCTGGTGGGCGGGGTTAACCCGGCCTAGCCAATGAGCGGCCTAGCCAATGAGCATATCACCCCGCTCAGGCTGCGCTCTTAAGGGTGGGTCCCAACTGAGCCCAGAGGGTCCTTCAGTCTCAGGTGAGGGCTTCAGCCTGGTCTGATCCCCAAGCCCTCAGTGCAGCCCCCCGTGGCCTGAGTGCCCCCCTCCCCCTAGGTATGCCCCAGAGTGCCTGAAGGAGTATAAGTTCTACTATGCGTCAGATGTCTGGTCCTTCGGGGTGACCCTGTATGAGCTGCTGACGCACTGTGACTCCAGCCAGAGCCCCCCCACGGTGAGAGCCAGGCCCGCAGCCCCACCGGGAGTTTGCTAGAGCAATTAGAAAGGCATAGGCTGGGCCAGGCGCGGTGGCTCAAGCCTGTAATCCCAGCACTTTGGGAGGCCGAGGCGGGCGGATCACGAGGTCAGGAGATCGAGACCAACCTGGCTAACACGGTGAAACCCGTCTCTACTAAAAATACAAAAAAAATTAGCCAGGCGTGGTGGCGGGCGCCTGTAGTCCCAGCTACTCAGGAGACTGAGGCAGGAGAATGGCATGAACCCGGGAGGCGGAGCTTGCAGTGAGCCGAGATCTCCCGACTGCACTCCAGCTGGGTGACAGAGCGAGACTCCGTCTAAGACAGGACAGGACGGAGAGAGAGAGAAAGAAAAGAAAGGAAAGAAAGGCATAGGCCGGGCGCGGTGGCTGACACCTGTAATCGCAGCACTTTGGGAGGCCGAGGCGGGCAGATCACGAGGTCAGGAGATCGAGACCAGCCTGGCCAACATGGTGAAACCCCGTCTCTACTAAAAATACAAAAATTAGCCGGGCGTGGTGGCAGGTGCCTGTAATCCCAGCTACTCAGGCGGCTGAGGCAGGGAGAATTGCTTGAACCCGGTAGGCGAAGGTTGCAGTGAGCCGAGATCATGCCACTGCACTCCAGCCTGGGTGAAAGAGCGAGAGACTGTCTCAAAAAAAAAATTCTGGACGGTAAGAACAATCTGCTGTGAGGCTTAATAATAACGGCAAACACCTGACTCACGCTTACTCTATGAATATTAGTTTAACGTTCACAGTAATCCCAGGTGGCAGATGTTATTACCCTATTTTACGGATGAGAAAACAGGCCCAGAGAAGTGAACTCAAATTCAAAGTCACACAGCTGAGAAGTGTAAGAGGTGGGATTGGAACCCATGCAGTCGATTTCATGAAGTTGCAGAGTGATTTCTTTTTCTTTTTTGAGATGGAGTTTCACACTTGTATCCCAGGCTGGAGTGCAATGGCACAATCTCGGCTCACTGCAACCTCCGCCTCCCAGGTTCAGACGATCCTCCTGCCTCAGCCTCCCAAGTAGCTGGGATTACGGGCGCCTGCCATTATGCCCAGCTAATTTTTGTATTTTTAGTAGAGATGGGGTTTCACCATGTTGGCCAGGCTGGTCTCGAACTCCTGACCTCAGGTGATCCACCCACCTCAGCCTTCCAAAGTGCTGGGATTACAGGCATGAGCCACCGTGCCTGCCTTTCATTGCCTCTTGAAAAGAGCTTGTCTTGTTTATACTGTAGAAATTCCTTGAGCTCATAGGCATTGCTCAGGGTCAGATGACAGTTCTGAGACTCACTGAGTTGCTGGAACGAGGGGAGAGGCTGCCACGGCCCGACAAATGTCCCTGTGAGGTGAGACTTCCTTTGTCTTTCCCTGACCCCACTATCCTGCTGTGGAGAGGGCAGCCCCCACCAGCCCTGGTTTTTCCTTCTAGGTCTATCATCTCATGAAGAACTGCTGGGAGACAGAGGCGTCCTTTCGCCCAACCTTCGAGAACCTCATACCCATTCTGAAGACAGTCCATGAGAAGTACCAAGGCCAGGCCCCTTCAGTGTTCAGCGTGTGCTGAGGCACAATGGCAGCCCTGCCTGGGAGGACTGGACCAGGCAGTGGCTGCAGAGGGAGCCTCCTGCTCCCTGCTCCAGGATGAAACCAAGAGGGGGATGTCAGCCTCACCCACACCGTGTGCCTTACTCCTGTCTAGAGACCCCACCTCTGTGAACTTATTTTTCTTTCTTGGCCGTGAGCCTAACCATGATCTTGAGGGACCCAACATTTGTAGGGGCACTAATCCAGCCCTTAAATCCCCCAGCTTCCAAACTTGAGGCCCACCATCTCCACCATCTGGTAATAAACTCATGTTTTCTCTGCTGGAGCCTGTGATTTTTGGAGCCCTCTTCAAGAAAGCTGGGTTAGCTGGGAGTCTGGTCTCCTGTGGACAGCAGCTAGCATGAGACAGCGCAGAGGTGGCTGGATTCAACTGTTTAACTTTTTTTTTTTTTTCTTTTTGAGACAGAGTCTTGCTCTGTCGCCCAGGCTGGAGTGCAGTGGCGTGATCTAGGCTCACTGCAAGCTCCGCCTCCTGGGTTCACACCATTCTCCTGCCTCAGCCTCCCGAGTAGCTGGGACTACAGGTGACCGCCTCCATGCCTGGCTAATTTTTTGTATTTTTAGTAGAGTTGAGGTTTCACCTTATTGGCCAGGCTGGTCTTGAACTCCTGACCTCAGGTGATCCACCTGCCTCCGCCTCCCAAAGTGCTGGGATTACAGGTGTGAGCCATTGCGCCTGGCCAATAACTACTTGTTGAATACACAAAGTATTTGGTCGGGGCGGTCACAAGCCACATAGATTAGACTGCCAGTTTCACCCTTTCACATTTGTGTGACCTCAGGCTAATGGCTTCACCTCTCTGGGCCTTAGTCCTCCATTATGGGAGCTTCACACTTGCTATCTCATAGGACTCATGTAAAGAGCTCATGAGGTGGTGTCTGTGAAATGCTGAGCAGAAAGACATGCAAACAAGTGCTTAATAAATATACAATATTGGCCGGGCACGGCAGCTCACGCCTGTAATCCCAGCACTTTGGGAGGCCACGAGGATCACAAGGTCAGGAGATTGAGACCATCCTGGCTAACACGGTGAAACCCCGTCTACTAAAAATACAAAAAAATTAGCCGGGCGTGGTGGCGGGTGCCTGTAGTCCCAGCTACTCGGGAGGCTGAGGCAGGAGAATGTCATGAACCCAGGAGGCGGAGATTGCAGTGAGCCGAGATTGCACCACTGCACTCCAGCCTGGGTGACAGAGAAAGACTCTGTCTCAAAAAAATAATAATTAAATAAATAAATATACAATATTATTGTTGACTGGATGCAGTGGCTCATTGCTTGTAACCCCAGCACTTTGGGAGGCTGAGGCAGGAGGATCCCTTGAGTCCAGGAGTTCGAGACCAGCCTGGGCAACATAGGGAGATCCTGTCCGTATTTTTATTTATTTATTTATTTGTTTATTTATTTTTGAGGCAGTTTCACTGTTCTCCAGGCTGGAGTGCAATGGTGCTATCTCGGCTCACTGCAACCTCCCCCTCCTGAGTTCAAGCGATTATCCTGCCTCAGCCTCCGGAGTAGCTGGGATTACAGGCGCACGCCACCACACTCGGCTAATTTTGTATTTTTAGTAGAGACGGGGTTACATCTTGTTGGTCAGGCTGCTCTCAAACTCCTGACCTCAGGTGATCTGCCCGCCTCGGCCTCCCAAAGTGTTGGGATTACAGGCGTGAGCCACTACACCTAGCCTATATTATTTTAAAATAAAAATTTTAAAAATGAAGTTGGCTGGATAGAGTGGCTCACGCCTGTAATCCCAGCACAGCACTTTGAAAGGCCAAGGCGGGCGGATCAGTTGAGGTCAGGAGTTTGAGACCAGCCTGCCCAACATGGCAAAACCCTTGTCTACTAAAAATACAAAAATTAGCTGGGCATTGTGGTAGGCGTCTGTAATCCCAGCTACTTGGGAGGCTGAGGCAGGAGAATCACTTGAACCCAGGAGGCAGAGGTTGCCATGAGCCAAGATCAAGCCATTGCACTCCAGCCTGGGTGACAAGAGCAAAACTCTGTCTCAAAAAAAAATAAAAAAAGACACATGCACACGTATGTTTATTGCGGCACTATTCACAATAGCAAAGACTTGGAACCAACCCAAATGTCCATCAATGATAGACTGGATTAAGAAAATGTGGCACATATACACCATGGAATACTATGCAGCTATAAAATAGGATGAGTTCATATCTTTTGCAGGGACACGAATGAAGCTGGAAACCATCATTCTCAGCAAACTATCACAAGGACAGAAAACCAAACACCGCATGTTCTCATTCATAGGTGGGAACTGAACAATGAGAACACTTGGACACATGGCAGGGAACAACACACACCCACACCGGGGTCTGTTGTGGGGTAGGGGCCTGCGGGAGGGATAGCATTAGGAGAAATACCTAATGTAGATGATGAGTTAATGGGTGCAGCAAACCAACATGGCACATGTATACCTATGTAACAAACCACATTGTGCACATGTACCCTGGAACTTAAAAAAAAAAAAAAAAAAAAGGAGTCTGAAACCATGAACAATCATCGTTATTTACCAAGTTTGTTCTTGTTGAGGAAAAAAATACAAAAATTAGCCAGGTGTGGTGGCACACACCTGTAATCTCAGCTACTCTAGAGGCTGAGGCAGGAGAATTGCTTGAACTGGAAGGCAGAGTGCATTGAGCTGAGATCGCACCACTGCACTCCAGCCTGGGCGATAGAGCAAGACTGTCTGAAAAAAGAAAAGAAAAAGGTATTATTGTTATTCTGGTGTTTGGCAAAGCGTTTCTACTTAGCCTGTGTGACTTGAGATGGTGGGTCAGACACATTTGTGAAAGGCAGTTAAATATCCCCAGAAGGACTTCTTTTGTGGGGCTGGGGACTGGGTCTCGCTCTGTCACCCACACTGGAGTACAGTGGTGCTATTATAGCCCATGGCAACCTTGACCTCCCAGGCGCAAGTGATCCTCCCACCTCAGCCTCTGTAGGAGCTGGGACTATAGGCTCCTGCCACGTCACCTGGCTAATTTTTTTTTTTTTTTTTTTTTTTTTTTGAGAGGGAGTCTCACTATGTCACCCAGGCTGGAGTGCAATGGTACGGTCTAGGCTCAGTGCGACCTCCACCTCCAGGGTTCAAGCGATTCTCCTGCTTCAGCCTCCCCAGTAGCTGGGATTACAGGCGCCCGCCACCACGCCTGGCTGATTTTTGTATTTTTAGTTGAGACAGGATTTCACCATGTTGGCCAGGCTGGTCTCGAACTCCTGACCTCAGGTGATCCACCCACCTCAGCCTCCGAAAGTGCTGGGATTACAGGTGTGAGCCACCATGCCTGGCCATCTGGCTAATTTTAAAATTTTTTGTAGACACAGCGTCTTACTCTGCTGCCCAGCCTGGTCTCAAACTCCTGGGCTCAAGTGATCCTCCCACCTTAGCCTCTTGAGTAGTAGGATAACCACTCAATTTGTTTAGAGCAGTTTTAGGTTTACAGCAAAGTTGAGTGGAAAATACAGAGTTCTCCTATATCCCCTCCCTCCCATCCCCCTGCACAACCTCCCTTGCTGACCTATCCTGTACCACAGTGATACATGTGTTAGAATCTATGAACCTCGGTGACTCATGCCTGTAATTCCAGCACTTTGGGAGGTCAGGAGTTCGAGACCAGCCTGGGCAACATGGTGAAACCCCATCTCTACTAAAAATACAAAAACTAGCCAGGCATGGTGGCAGGCACCTGTACTCCCAGCTACTTAGGAGGCTGAGGCAAGAGAATTGCTTGAACCCAGGAGGTGGTGGTGGAGGTTGCAGTGAGCCAAGATCATGCCACTGCACTCCAGCCTGAGCGGCAGAGCAAGACTCTGTCTGAAAAAAAAAATCTATGAACCTCCACTGACATATCATTTTCTCCTGAGGTCTGTACTTTACATGAGGGTTCACTCTTGCTGTTGTACGTTCTGTGGGGCTGGACAAACGTATAAGGCATGAACCCACCAATATAGTATCACATGGAGTAGTTTCACTGCGCTAAACGTCATTCATGCGCTGCCTGTTCATCCCTCTCTTCTCACTAACCCCTGGCAACTGCTGATCTGTTATTTACTGTCCCCATAGTTTTGAAACAGAGTCTTGCTCTGTCATCCAGGCTGGAGTGCAGTGGCGCAATCTCTGCTCACTACAACCTCCGCCTCCCACGCTTAAGCTAATTTCTGTATTTTTTGTAGAGGCGAAGTTTCTCCATGTTACCCAGGTTGATGAAGTCCCGGGCTTAAATGATCCCTCTACCTCAGCCTCCCAAAGTGCTGGGCTTTCAGGTATGAGCCACCACACCCGCCCAATAGATCATTTATTTTTAGTTCTGAATAAAAAAATAAAAATACAAACAAGGTCCCCAATTGCGTTTGGTTGAGGCCAGTTTTCTGTAAGTCTCTTTTAGTTCTGAAAAAATAAAATAAATAAAAATACAGGGCCGGGCACAGTGACTCACGCCTGTAATCCCAGCACTTTGGGAGGCCAAGGCAGGCGGATCACCTGAGGTCAGGAGTTCAAGACCAACATGGCCAACATGGCAAAACCCCATCTCTACTAAAAATACAAAAATTAGCCGGATGCGGTGGCGTGTGCCTGTAATCCCAGCTACTCAGGAGGCTGAGGCAGGAGAATCACTTAAACCCAGGAGGCGGAGGTTGCAGTGAGCTGAGATTGTGCCATTGCACTCCAGTCTGGGCAACAAGAGTGAAACTCCATCTCAAAAAATAAAATAAAATAAAAAATAAAAATAAATAAAAATACAAACAAAGTCCCCAATTGCATTTGCTCGAGGCCAGTTTTCTTACGTCTCTTTTGGTCTGTGGGTTCCTCTTTCTGTCTTTTGCCCCCTTGCAACATATTTGTGGATGAAACTAGGTTGTTTGTCTTGTTGACTTTTTTTTTTGAGATGGAGCCTTGCTCTGTCGCCCAGGCTGGAGTGCAGTGGCACGATGTCGGCTCACTGCAACCTCTGCCTCCTGGGTCCAAGTGATTCTCCTGCCTCAGCCTCCTGAGTAGCTGGGATTACAGGCGTGGGGCCAGTACGCCTGGCTAATTTTTGTATTTTTAGTAGAGATGGGGTTTCGCCATGTTGGCCAGGCTGGTCTCGAACTCCTAACCTCAGGTGATCTGCTCGCCTCAGCCTCCCAAAGTGCTGGAATTACAGTCATGAGCCACTGCGCCTGTCATGTTTTCTTCTTTTTCTGCATTGCTATTAAAAATTTTGGCTGGGGCCGGGCGCAGTAGCTCATGCCTGTAATCCCAACTCTTTGGGAGGCCAAGGTGGGTGAATCACCTGAGGTCAGGAGTTAAAGACCAGCCTGGCCAACATGGTGAAACCCCTGTCTCTACTAAAAATACAAAAATTAGCTGGGTGTGGTGGCGGGCGCCTGTTATCTCAGCTACTTGGGTGGCTGAGGCAGGAGAATCACTTGAACCTGGGAGGTGGAGGTTGTAGTGAGCCGAGATCGTGCCACCGCACTCCAGCCTGGGCGACAGAGCAAGACTTAATCTCAAAAAAAAAAAAAGAAAAGAAAAAATTGTTTCCTCATAATCGTAAAGCTGTTATACTCACTGCAGGCACAGCTAGTACATTTTGCTCAACCCCACAGGCTCCGTTCCCTTTACGAGGTATTTATTTATTTATTTATTTTTATTTTTGCGACGGAGTCTCTCTCCTCTGTCATCCTGGCTGGAGTGCAGTGGCATGATCTCGGCTCACTGCAACCTCGGCCTCCAGGGCTCAGTCGGTTCTTGGGCCTCAGTCTTCCAAGTAGCTGTAAGTACAGGCATGCGCCACCACGTCCGGTGAATTTTTTGTATTTTTAGTTGCCATGTTGGCCAGGCTTTTACTAGCTATTTATAATATGCTTGAGTCACTCACAGGAATGAAATACTGTCAGCATCAATAGTTAGCAGCTCTTTCAAAATACATTTTATTGCCTCTATAAGAAACCTTAACTATTCTATTAGTCCAGTAATTCCAAATGGTCTTATTATTTCTTGGGTTTTGTTTGTTTGTTTGTTTGTTTTTGAGACGTTGTTTCTCTCTTGTTGCCCAAGCTGGAGTGCAATGGTGTGACCTCGGCTCACTGCAAACTCCTCCAAGGTTCAAGTGATTCTCCGGCCTCAGCCTCCTGAGTAGCTGGGATTACAGGCACGAGCCACCATGTCTGGCTAATTTTTTGTATTTTTAGTAGAGACTGGGTTTCCTCATGTTAGTCAGGCTGGTCTCGAACTCCTGACCTCAGGTGATCCATCCGCTTCAGCCTCCCAAAGTCCTGGGATTATAGGCATGAGCCACCGCACCTGGCTCGTCTTATTATTTCTATACATAATATATGCTCTTTTGGCTGGGCGTGGTAGCTCAAGCCTGGTGGCAGACGCCTGTAATCCCAGCTACTTGGGAGGCTGAGGCAGGAGAATCGCTTGGACCTGGAAGGCAGAGGTTGCAGTGAGCCAAGACTGAACCACCTCACTCCAGCCTGGGCAACAGAGTGAGAACCCATCTCAAAAAATACTGATAATAATAAGATCATCTTCAGAACTCAGTTCCTGGTGCATGAAGAGATTCAATACAGCCCCCTCACTCTCAGTTCTTAGAAAGAAGAATATGCCAGCCTGACCAACATGGTGAAACCCCCGTCTCTAATAAAAATACAAAAATTAGCTGGGTGTGGTGGCGCACGCCTGTGATCCCAGCTACTCAGGAGGCTGAGGCAGGAGAATCGCTTGAACCTGGGAGGTGGAGATTGCAGTGAGCCCAGCCTGGGAGACAGAGCAAGACTCATTCTCAAAAAAAAAAAAAGAAGAAGAATATGAAAGAGATAGGATCAATAACTACCTTCATTGTTTAATAGCCTAAGAGTGAAAGCCCAGCACAGTGGCTCACCCCTGTAATAATCCCAGCACTTTGGGAGGTTGAGTTGGGAGGATCACTTGAGCCCAGGGGTTCGAGAACAGCCTGGGCAATATGTCAAAAGCTCCTCTGTAGAAAAAATACAAAAATTAGCCGAGTGTAGTGGCACACACCTATAGTCCCAGCTACTAGGGAGGCTGAGGTGGGAGGATCACCTGAGCCTGGGAGGTCAAGGTTGCAGTGAGCCATGATTATGTCACTGCATTCCAGCCTGGGAGACAGAGCCAGACCCTGTCTCAGGAAGAAGAAGAAAAAAAAAAAAGCCAAATCTTTTTATCCCAGGATGTCTGAAAAGGACAGAGTCTATGGAGCATGGATGCAGAAAAGTAGTTATTCCTACCAGAAAAAAAAAAAATGAAATGTGGACACAGCCACTCAAGATCAGAGACTCAACCAGTGAAAGCAATTAGCTTCAATTTCATTGTCACCAGGAGGGCGCACACCAGAGAACCTGGGAGAAAGCCTGGGCTAGAGCCCTTAGCATTCTCAGTGTTACTGGTGCTGTGGTTCAACAACCTTTGTGGGAATGAGGAGAACCAGAGACCATCACCATCACACGTAAAAAGGATCCTATAGCAACAATGTGGCTGTCAAAAATCAGCTGGAGGCCAGGCGCGGTGGCTCACGCCTGTAATCCTAGCACTTTGGGAGGCCGAGGCGGGCGGATCACCTGAGGTCAGGAGTTTGAGACTAGCCTGGTCAACATGGTGAAACCCCGTCTCTACTAAAAATGCAAAAAATTAGCTGGGTGTGGTGGTGCATGCCTGTAATCCCAGCTACTTGGGAAGTTGAGGCGGGAGAATCACTTGAACCTGGGAGGCAGAGGTTGCAGTGAGCCCAGACTATGCCACTGCACTCCAGCCTGGGTGACAGACTGAGACCCTGTCTCAAAAAAAAAAAAAAAATCAGCTGGAGCTTAAATTATACATTGTTTGCAATCCAGACTGTACTTGCTTTCTTGTCAATGGCTTGAGATATGTGCAGAGGCCCCTTAAACATGTGTAGGTGACCTTTCTCTGTCGCCCAGGCTGGAGTGCAGGGGCACAATCTCAGCTAACTGCAACCTCCACTTCCCGGGCTCAAGCAATCCTCCCGCTGCAGCCTCCTGAGTAGCTGGGACTACAGGTGTGTGCCATCAAGCTTGGCTGATTTTTTTGTACTTTTTTTTTTTTTTTCGAGATGGAGTCTCGCTCTGTCGCCCAGGCTGGAGTGCAGTGGCGCAATCTCAGCTCACTGCAAGCTCTGCCTCCCGGGTTCACACTATTCTCCTGCCTCAGCCTCCCAAGTAGCTGGTACTACAGGCGCCCGCCACCATGCCCAGCTAATTTTTGTATTTTTTTTAGTAGAGACGGGGTTTCACCGTGTTAGCCAGGATGGTCTCGATCTCCTGACCTCGTGATCCGCCCGCCTCGGCCTCCCAAAGTGCTGGGATTACAGGCGTGAGCCACTGCACCTGGCCGATTTTTTGTATTTTTAGTAGAGACAGGGTTTTGGCATGCTGCCCAGGCTGGTCTGGAACTCCCGACCTCAAGGGATCCGCCTGTCTAGGCCTCCCAAAGTGTTAAGATTACAGGTGTGAGCCACCACGCCTGGCCCAGAAATACTCTTTTTTTTTTTTTTTGAGATGGAGTCTCACTCTGTTGCCCAGCCTGGATGGAGTGCAGTGGCGCGATCTCGGCTCACTGCAAGCTCCGCCTTCTGGGTTCACGCCATTCTCCTGCCTCAGCCTCCCGAGTAGCTGGGACTACAGGCACCTGCCACCATTTTTTTTTGTATTTTTAGTAGAGACGGGGCTAATTTTTTTTTGTATTTTTAGTAGAGATGGGGTTTCACCGTGTTAACCAGGATGGTCTCGATCTCCTTACCTCGTGATCTGCCCGCCTCAGCCTCCCAAAGTGCTAGGATTACAGGCGTGAGCTACCACACCTGGCCCAGAAATACTTCTTTATCAGAAATATTACTGGCGGGTGTAGCAGGGCACGCCTATAATCCCAGCACTTTGGGAGGTCGAGGCAGGCAGATCCCTTAAGCTTAGGAGTTCAAGACCAACCTGGGCAATATGGTGAAAGCCGTCTCTACAGAAAATTAGCCAGGCACAGTGGTGTGTACCTGTGGTCTCAGCTCCTAGGGAGGCTGAGGTGGGAGGATCACTTGAACCCAGGAGGCTGAGATTGCAGTTAGCTGAGATTGTGCCCCTGCACTCCAGCCTAGGCGACACGGTGAGACTCTGTTTCAAAAAACAAAAAAGAAATATGACTTATTTACAAATATTTCTTTCTTTTTTATTTTTAGAGACAGGGTCTCACTATTACGTAAGTATTATAAATTATATATATATGTTTGTTTGTTTGTTTGTTTTTCTGAGACAGAGTCTTGCTCTGTCACCCAGGCTGGAGTGCAGCGGCACAATCTCCACTCACTGCAACCTCCGCCTCTTGGGTTCAAGTGATTCTCCTGCCTCAGCCTCCTGAGTAACTGGGACTACAGGTGCCCGCCACAATGCCCAGCTAATTTTTTATATTTTTGGTGGAGATGGGGTTTCACTGTGTTAGCCAGGATGGTCTCGATTTCCTGACCTCGTCATCCACCTACCTCAGCCTCCCAAAGTGCTGCTAGGATTACAGACGTGAGCCAGTAAGTCCGACATCTTTTTTTTTTTTTTTTTTTTTTGTGGAAACAGGGTCTCACTGTGTCTCCCAGGCTGGAGTGCAGGGGCACAATCTCGACTCACTGCAGCTTTGACCTCCCAGGCTCAAGCGATCCTCTCACCTCAGCCTTCCAAGGAGCTGGGACTACAGGCACCAGGCCCATGCTACTGGTCCCTGCTGTTTACAAATACACTAGACTTGGGTTTTAGCTGCTCTCTCAACACCAGGTGGGAAATGGATTGTTCGGAAGGTAGAGGAATAGAGGAGGGACCTGCTTAGGAAGGTGGGGGTGCTCTAGATGAGAGAGGAGGTGCTGTGACCTCAAGGTCTGGGGAAAGTGGGTGAGTGCAGGGCCCCATCAAGGCTCTCAACAAGGCCTCTCTCTCTGGAGCTCAGATGTGAAGCCCAGAAGGCAGGTCAGAGGCCTGAGGTCAGAGGCAGGTCAAAGGTGGGGGTCCCACCTGGTCCCCTTGGCGCCTTCCCTTGGAATGCAGTGACCAGCTGCCTGGAAGGGTGGGCAAGGGGACAACAGGATGGGGTAAAGGCCAGTTACAAGTAGAATCCTGGAAGGCCGGGCGCAGTGGCTCACGCCTGTAATCCCAACACTTTGGGAGGCCAAGGCGGGCAGCTCACTTGAGGTCAGAAGTTTGAGACCAGCTTGGCCAACATGGTGAAACCCCGTCTCTACCAAAAAGTACAAAAATTAGCCGGGCGTGGTGGCACATGCCTGTAATCCCAGCTACTCGGGAGGCTGAGGCAGGAAAATCGTTTGAACCCGGGAGGCAGAGGCTGCAGTGAGCCGAGATCCCGCCACTGCACTCCAACCTGGGTGACAGAGTGAGACTCTGTCTCAAAACAAACAAACAAAAACCAAGTAGAATCCTGGATAGACAGTGGCTCAGGGACTCAGCTGTCCCCAAATCACCTACCTTAGCTCTTTGTGCAGGGGATGGGGGATCCCCAAGATCTTCAAAGATAGGGAGGTATCCTCAAGATCTTCAAAGGTGGCCAGGCGTGGTGGCTCACGCCTGTAATCGCAACACTTTGGGAGGTCAAGATGAGAGGAGGCCATCTTAAGGCCAGGAGTTCAAGACCAGTCGGGGCAACATAGCAAGACTCTGCTTCTGTTTCTGTTTTTGTTTTTGTTTTTTAATGTTTCCTCGAAATCCCACCTTAACATCTACACAATGGTGCCTACAGTTTTCCCCATTAACTTCCTCTCTGGGGACAGAATATTCCCCTACCCACCTAAGTTCAGCCAGAAGGAGATGCCTCATCCCCCCCACCCAGGCTTCCCAGTGCTGAGAACAAAAGAAACCAGTTTAGTTAGCATTTCCTGTGAATTCAAATGGGGGCCAGCAGTGCAACTGGGACCAGCCCATTCCCTGGGGGAGACTCAGCAGTGCTGGCCACTTTGCAGAGCCCCGTCTGGGTCCCCCACCCTGGCCCCCAAGGGCCACAGCATCCCCTTCCACCCACAGGCCTGGGCAAGGTGCAGTCCCCAGACTTCTGCAATCTTAACCGCTGTGCTTCCGTCGCAGTGGGAGGCCCCGCCTTTTCCCCTGCCTGCCCTTCGGGCACCTCAGGAAGGCACCTTCCTCTGTCAGAATGGCCACCATGGTACCATCCGTGTTGTGGCCCAGGGCCTGCTGGACTCTGCTGGTCTGCTGTCTGCTGACCCCAGGTGAGACCAGTCAAGCCGGGGAGGGCTGGAGAGGGCTGCGTTTTGGGGATCAGTAGAGGGTAGAGGAATAGAACGCAACGCTGTTCACATCCTGCCACACTGCGACCTGGCCGCTGACTCTGTATCCTCGGGAGAAAGTTCTGGTTCCTTAGTTCAGCCTTCAGGTGGTCAGGCCCCAGCATAGGCTTGTACGCCATCCCTCTCCCCTAACACACACACACACACCCCTCATGCTTCCTGCTCCATCTGAACTCCTGAAATTTGCCCTTTGCGTATGTGCTTCCCTCTGCCAGGATCACCTGTCCCTTTCACTTGCTAACTCCTACTTAGCCTTCAGTTTCGGGCTGCAATGGTCCCCGCTTCCAGGAAGCCTTCCCTGACTCACCTCCTCCTATGCTGGATCAGAGCCTCTTCTGGCCTCCTTCTGAGTTCTCCCCGGTCTCTGATGGATTCTACCTTTCCCACTGGACCATGAAGGCAGGAACCCTTCTGTCTCGGCACAAGGAGAGAGGTGTTAAATGGTGGGGCCTGTTGATGCGTGGGTTGGGGGACAAGGAAACAAACACCAGGACTTCTTCATGTTCCTGAAGGTGTCCAGGGGCAGGAGTTCCTTTTGCGGGTGGAGCCCCAGAACCCTGTGCTCTCTGCTGGAGGGTCCCTGTTTGTGAACTGCAGTACTGATTGTCCCAGCTCTGAGAAAATCGCCTTGGAGACGTCCCTATCAAAGGAGCTGGTGGCCAGTGGCATGGGCTGGGCAGCCTTCAATCTCAGCAACGTGACTGGCAACAGTCGGATCCTCTGCTCAGTGTACTGCAATGGCTCTCAGATAACAGGCTCCTCTAACATCACCGTGTACAGTGAGTCGACGTGTCCGGAGGTGGGACTGGTCTTGGGTAGTGGTGTGGGCAAGTGGCCAATGGCTCAGGAGAGTGGGGACCCTCAGTTTGCAAAGAATGGACCACAGTTCTGACCCAGAGCTCAGACCTGGACATTTGTGTGTGAGATACAAAGATAGACAGAGACAGAGACACAGAGACAGAGACAGAGATATAGAGACGCATCTCAATCTCATGCCAAGGCAGCAGTTGTGAAATCAATTAACTTGGGCCCCAACAAGCATTTTTTTTTTTTTTTTGAGACAGAGTTTCGCTCTTTTTGCCTAGGCTGGAGTGCAGTGGCACGATGTCGGCTCACTGCAACCTTCGCCTCCTGGGTTCAAGTGATTCTCCTGCCTCAGCCTCCCGAGTGGCTGAGATTACACATGCACGCCACCACACCCAGCAAATTTTGTATTTTTAGTTGAGATGGCATTTCACCATGTTGGCCAGTCTGGTCTTGAACTCCTGACCTCAGGCGATCCGCCCACCTCAGCCTCCCAAAGTGCTGGGATTACAGGCATGGGCCACTGCGCCCGGCCCCAACAAGCTTTTTTTTTTTTTTGAGATGGCGTCTCTTACTCTGTAGCCCAGGCTGGAGTGCAGTGGTGCAATCTCGGCTCACTGCGACCTCTGCCTCCCAGGTCCAGCTAATGCCCAGCTAAGTTTTGTATTTTTAGTAGAGACGGGGTGTTCCGCCCACATCAGCCTCTCAAAGTGCTGGGATTACAAGTGTGAGCCACTGCGCCTGGCCCCAACAATAATCCCAACACTTTGGGAGGCCAAGGCAGGAGGATTGCTTGAGTCCGGAAATTTAAGACCAGGCAGAGCAATATAGGGACACCCCGTCTCTACAAAAATAAATAAAAAATATTAGCTGGGCATGGTGGCACATGCCTGAAGTCCCAGCTACTTGGGGGACCAAGGTGGGAGAATCGCTTGAGCCCAGGAGTTCAAGGCTGTAGTGAGCTATAATTGCACCACTGCACTCCAGCCTGTGCAAAAAAGCAAGACCCTTGTCTCTTAAGCAAAAAAGGGGGTACCCCTTTCAGTCAGCAGTAGGCAAATGGAGGTTTTACATTTACACTTTTTTATACCTTTATTTTAGAGACAGGATCTCCCTATGTTGCCTAGGTTGGTCTCAAACTCCTGGGCTCAGGCAATCCTCCCACTTCAGTCTCTCCAGTAGCTGGGATTGCAGGCCTGGCTACTTTTTTTTTTCTTTTCTTTTCTTTTTTTTTTTTTTTGAGACAGAGTCTCACTCTGTCCCCCAGGCTAGAGTGCAGTGGCGCAATCTTGGCTCACTGCAACCTCTGCCTTCCGGGTTCAAGCGATTCTCCTGCCTCAGCCTCCTGAGTAGCTGGGATTACAGGCGCATGCCAACACGCCCAGCTAATTTTTGTATTTTTAGTAGGGACAGGATTTCACCATGTTGCCCAGGCTGGTCTCAAACTCCTGGCCTCAAATGATCTGCCCGCCTTGGCCTCCCAAAGTGCTGGGATTATAAGCGTGAGCCACCATGCCTGGCCTACTTTTTGACTTTTCTTTTCTTTGAGACGCAGTCTTGCTATTGTCCCCCATGCTGGAGTACAATGGCGCGATGTCAGCTCATTGCAACCTCCGCCTCCTGGGTTCAAGTGATTCTCCTGTCTTAGCCTCCTTAGTAGCTGGGATTACAGGCGTGTGACACCATGCCCGGCTAATTTTTGTATTTTTAGTAGAGACAGGGTTTTGCCATATGGGCCAGGTTGGTCTCAAACTCCTGACCTCAAGTGATCCGCCTCCCTCGGCCTCCCAAAGTGGTGGGATTACAGGCATGAGTCACCTTGCCCAGCCTTTTTTTTTTTTTTTTTTTTTTTGACATAGAGTCTCTCTCTGTCGCCAGGCTGGAGTGCAGTGGCACTATCTCAGCTCACTGCAAATTTTGCCTCCTGGGTTCAAGCGATTCTTGTGCCTCAGCCTCCTGAGTAGCTGGGATTACAGGCACGTGCTACCATGCCTGGCTAATTTTTGTATTTTTAGTAGAGATGGGGTTTCACCATGTTGGCAAGGCTGGTCTTGAACTCCTGGTCTCAGGTGATCCGTCCACCTTGGCCTCCCAAAGTGCTGGGATTACAGGCATGAGCCACAGTGCCCGGCCTGAGGCCCAGCGTTTTGTAGGTGTACTGGGGAGGGCACCCAGCCTGGGAGTGTCAAGTCTCCTGTGACTGTGCCGGAGTATCTTGAGAGGCTGCCACAGGGCTGGTGAACCAGGAAAGCCCTGAGTGTCTGAACCTGATTGGAGAGAACTGAATAATCCTGACCTTTTGATCCACCCACCCCGGCCTCCCAAAGCTCTGGGATTACAGGCGTGAGCCACCACGTCTGGCCATAAACAGGAATTTTTAATATTCATATCATAGTCATAAACGTTCATCCCTTCCATCCTCATTTTTTTTTATTGTGCCATCTTTGAGAACAGAAAGTTTTGTTTAGCGCCTTGCAAGGTATCTGACAACACAGGAAATGATAATCACTGCGCTAATGATAATAGCAAACGCTTCGACTGGCCCAGCTCTAAGCCCTCTAAGTTTATTAACTCAAAGCTCACAGTTCTCGGCAGGACCACCCTGTCTCCTCCCCAGTCCCTGGGGTGAGTGGGTGGGTTTGCAGGACCCGCTAAGTGCCATCCTCCCCTCCTCTCTCAGGGCTCCCGGAGCGTGTGGAGCTGGCACCCCTGCCTCCTTGGCAGCCGGTGGGCCAGAACTTCACCCTGCGCTGCCAAGTGGAGGATGGGTCGCCCCGGACCAGCCTCACGGTGGTGCTGCTTCGCTGGGAGGAGGAGCTGAGCCGGCAGCCCGCAGTGGAGGAGCCAGCGGAGGTCACTGCCACTGTGCTGGCCAGCAGAGACGACCACGGAGCCCCTTTCTCATGCCGCACAGAACTGGACATGCAGCCCCAGGGGCTGGGACTGTTCGTGAACACCTCAGCCCCCCGCCAGCTCCGAACCTTTGGTGAGAGAAGGGGCTTCAGACGGTGGGTGACGAGCTGAGCCAGGGTAGACGGTGCCCTGACCTTGGGGTTCCTGAGAGTGGGGTACCCCGGACCTCACAGGCTTCTGGGAAGGAAAGCCCCCGGCCACTGGGCAAGGTGGCCCCGGAAGGGAGGCCCGAGCCGTGGGATCTTTGAAGAAGGCCGTTTTCATGGCCCTGTGTGTGTGTCCTGTGAAGAAGGGTGACCCAGTCAGCAAGATATCCTGACTGGGGGGGATGAGGGTGTCCTGGGGAAGGCACAGTCCTGGGGGTTGTACTATGCCCACCTTTCTCCCCAGTCCTGCCCGTGACCCCCCCGCGCCTCGTGGCCCCCCGGTTCTTGGAGGTGGAAACGTCGTGGCCGGTGGACTGCACCCTAGACGGGCTTTTTCCAGCCTCAGAGGCCCAGGTCTACCTGGCGCTGGGGGACCAGATGCTGAATGCGACAGTCATGAACCACGGGGACACGCTAACGGCCACAGCCACAGCCACGGCGCGCGCGGATCAGGAGGGTGCCCGGGAGATCGTCTGCAACGTGACCCTAGGGGGCGAGAGACGGGAGGCCCGGGAGAACTTGACGGTCTTTAGTAAGAGGAGGCGTGGGAAGGGGGCGCGGCCTCAGCAGTCTGGGGGCGTGGCAGAGGGGGCGGAGACTAGCCGAAAAGGTGGGGCCTGGCTTGCCCCAATAGCAGTTGCAACGTGGGTTGGGCCTGAGTGCCCGAAGCTGGACACAGCGCGGAAAGAGGGCGAGGCTTGAACGGCCGAAAGCGTGGCCCGGATATCCCGAGAGGAAAGGGGAGGGCGGAGGGAGCGGCTTGACCCACAGGAAGGTCCTGTTCATTAAGCTCCTGGGCAATGCCCCGCCTTTAGGCTTCCTAGGACCCATTGTGAACCTCAGCGAGCCCACCGCCCATGAGGGGTCCACAGTGACCGTGAGTTGCATGGCTGGGGCTCGAGTCCAGGTCACGCTGGACGGAGTTCCGGCCGCGGCCCCGGGGCAGCCAGCTCAACTTCAGCTAAATGCTACCGAGAGTGACGACGGACGCAGCTTCTTCTGCAGTGCCACTCTCGAGGTGGACGGCGAGTTCTTGCACAGGAACAGTAGCGTCCAGCTGCGAGTCCTGTGTGAGTCGGTCACCCTGACCTTTAATCCCTCCACCCCTGCCCTGGAAAGATTAGACGCTCCTCTGCACCACTGTGCCTCGGGTGTGTTGGGTGTCTGATCACACATGGTGGTTCCACAGATGGTCCCAAAATTGACCGAGCCACATGCCCCCAGCACTTGAAATGGAAAGATAAAACGAGACACGTCCTGCAGTGCCAAGCCAGGGGCAACCCGTACCCCGAGCTGCGGTGTTTGAAGGAAGGCTCCAGCCGGGAGGTGCCGGTGGGGATCCCGTTCTTCGTCAACGTAACACATAATGGTACTTATCAGTGCCAAGCGTCCAGCTCACGAGGCAAATACACCCTGGTCGTGGTGATGGACATTGAGGGTGAGCTAACACGGGGCTGCGGGTCTGGACCGGTAAGCCGGGGGGCGGGGGGGTTGGAGACAGAAGGGACGCATATTGACTTAGCGCTTTCTCTGCACAGCTGGGAGCTCCCACTTTGTCCCCGTCTTCGTGGCGGTGTTACTGACCCTGGGCGTGGTGACTATCGTACTGGCCTTAATGTACGTCTTCAGGGAGCACCAACGGAGCGGCAGTTACCATGTTAGGGAGGAGAGCACCTATCTGCCCCTCACGTCTATGCAGCCGACAGAAGCAATGGGGGAAGAACCGTCCAGAGCTGAGTGACGCTGGGATCCGGGATCAAAGTTGGCGGGGGCTTGGCTGTGCCCTCAGATTCCGCACCAATAAAGCCTTCAAACTCCCTAATCTGTGGTTTGATTCCACCCGCGCTGCAAGTCTCTCCCACCCAGGTGCACATCCACTGAGTAGCGTCGCTGCGACGGAAGGGGGCGGGGCCTGTGGCGCGCAGACGCAGCTTGAACTCTTGAGAGGTGGGCTGGGGCTTAGCCAACGGGGCAAGGGGGGCGGGAAGGAGGTGGGGTTTCTCCCAGCCAATCGACGGGCGCGCCCTCGTTGCCGCTCTATGCCGCTCCGCCCCGGCTCGCTGGTCCCAGAAGGCGCCGGGTTTCCCAAGATGGCGGCGGACGTGTCCGTTACTCACCGGCCCCCGCTGAGCCCTAAGTCTGGGGCCGAAGTCGAAGCCGGCGATGCCGCGGAGCGCCGGGCGCCGGAAGAAGAGCTGCCGCCTCTAGATCCAGAAGAGATCCGGAAACGCCTGGAACACACCGAGCGCCAGTTCCGTAACCGCCGCAAGATACTGATCCGGGGCCTCCCGGGGGACGTGACCAACCAGGTATTGGGGGGGGCGGTGTAGGAGCGTGGCGGGAAATACCACGGTGCGCGTGCGCGGGGGGAACCGGGCGACACCAACGCTGAGGTGCGCGGGGGTCGTTGGCGGGGGCGCCCAAGCACCGGATCCACGCGGGATCGGGAGAGACCAAGAGCGGGACGTGGGGGGGCGATGATGAAAGGGGAAACCGACTGCGAAGTGAGGGAGGGCGTTGCTAGGGGCGACCACAGGCTTGGGCGACACCAAGTGATGGAAGCGGGCGGGGAATGGAAGGGGGCGGACAGCTTTGGTCCTGTTGGGGAATTGTGAATGGGCTGGTACATTGGACCACCAGTTGCCCCCTGCTTGGATGATGCTTTTCTCCACCCACTCTACCACAGGGTGGCGGGACCTCACATCCAGAAGTTTCAGGACTGCGGAGAGTACGCCCCTCCATATCACGCGTTTATTCACTGCTCTCAGAGATAAATCCGGAAGTTAACAGCAGCCCCTGGGTCTCAGCCCCCAAAACCTCAGGATTAATTTGGGAAAATGGGGTCTTCTGCCACCAGCCTACAGACCTACAGGAAGGAAGCGAGGCCTGTGTTCTATGGAGCCCCTCGTGGCTAATCTTCCTGCTAGGAGTGCCCTTCTCATGGGGCCAGCATGGGGCAGCGCTTCCCAATGCTCTTTGGACCCAGGGAAATGGCATCTATACTGCCCTGCCCTATGGCGGTGAAATAGGTTCTCGCTTCCTGCTGCTGAGATTCCCTGCTCTCCGGCCCACCAGCACACCGGGTGGGCACGTGGCTAGTGGAACCCCAGGGATGTTGGGAGGGGCTGAATTTGGGGACAGATCGGGACAGGGATCATTAAGGATGGTCAGGTTTCTTTCTGGGTCTTCCTCTCAGTGTCTGCAGTCTCTCAGCTGGGAACACATTGTCTCTCCTGCAAGATGCACAGTGTGTCTGGTCCCAGCAGGCGCCAGCACTTTGCCTTCAAAGCTGGCTTGAGAGGCTGGGCATGGTGGCTCATCCCTTTAATCCCAGCACTTTGAGAGGCTGAGGCAAGAGGCTGTATTGAGCCCAAGGGTTCGAGACTAGCCTGGGCGGTATAGTGAAACCCTCATCTCTACAAAAAATTTTTAAAAATTAGCCAGGCATGGTGGTGCGTGCCTGTAGTCCCAGCTACGCAGGAGGCTGAGGTGGGAGGATCACTTGAGCCTAGGAGGTTGAGGCTGCAGTGAGCTATGATTGTGCTACTACACTCTAGCCTAGGTGACAGAACAAGACACTATCTCTAAAAAAAAGAAAAATAAATGAGCTGGCTTGGAAGAGGGCAGCTTTATCAGCAGGAGGAAATTGGGAGGCATGTGAACCCACACAACGTGGGGCTTACTAGAAGGTGGGCTCCCCAGTCAGGTACCCATGGGTGGCTGCGCTGCCCAACTGCATGGCCTCCAGCAGATCTCTTCACTTCTCCTAGCCTAAGTTTTCTCATATACAACATGAGTTTGTTAATACTTCACTTACAGAGTTGTTGGAAACAGTGAATCTTGCAAAAGGAGGTTCATGCAGGTTAAATGGCTTCCCTAAAGGCATACTCTTTTTTTTTTTTTTTTTTTTTTTGAGACGGAGTCTCACTCTGTCGCCAGGCTAGAGTGCAGTGGCTTGATGTCTGCTCACTGCAACCTTCACCCCTCGGGTTCAAGCAATTGTCTTGCCTCAGTCTCCCGAGTAGCTAGGACTACAGGTGCACGCCACCACAGCCAGCTGATTTTTGTATTTTTAGTAGAGATGGGGTTTCACCTTCCTGGCCAGGATGGTCTCGATCTCTTGATCTTGTGACCCGCCTGCCTCAGCCTCCAAAGTGCTGGAATTACAGGCGTGAGCCCGGCCTCTTTTTTTTTTTTTTTTTTTGTTGTTGTTATTTTTTTTTTTTTTTTTTTTTTTTTTTGAGACGGAGTCTCGCTCTGTCGCCCAGGCTGGACTGCGGACTGCAGTGGCGCAATCTCGGCTCACTGCAAGCTCTGCTTCCCGGGTTCACGCCATTCTCCTGCCTCAGCCTCCCGAGTAGCTGGGAATACAGGCGCCTGCCACCGCGCCCGGCTAATTTTTTTGTATTTTTAGTAGAGACGGGGTTTCACCTTGTTAGCCAGGATGGTCTCGATCTCCTGACCTCGTGATCCACCCGCCTCGGCCTCCCAAAGTGCTGGGATTACAGGCGTGAGCCACCGCGCCCGGCCTTGTTGTTATTGTTGTTGACAGTGTCTCCCTTTGTCACCCAGGCTGGAGTGCAGTGGCACACTGCAACCTCTGCCTCCTGGGTGCAAGCAGTTCTCCTACCTCAGCCTCCCGAGTAGCTAGGATTACAGGTGTGCGCCACCACTCCTGGCTAATTTTTGTATTTTTAGTAGAGACAAGGTTTCACCATGTTGGCCAGGCTGGTCTCGAACTCCTGACCTCAGGTGATTCACCCGCCTCGGCCTCCCAAAATGCTGGGATTATAAGCGTGAGCCACCCCGCCCAGCCAGCTAAAGGTATACCCTCTAAGAGCATGTTGCCTGGGTAATAGCACAGTCTGCAGCTAGGTTCTGAATCCCATCTCTGCCAGGTATGAGCAGAATGACCTTGACAAAATTACTGCATCGAGCCTCAGTTTCCTCATTGGTAAAATGGGGGGTGGTAATTGACCTGCCTTCATAGCTGGTGGCAGCTATGAAGCGGCACTGGGTTGCCCCCTTCCATCTCCAGTAACTCCCTGTCTTTTGTCTTGTATCTCCACAGGAAGTACATGACCTGCTCAGTGACTATGAGCTCAAATACTGTTTTGTGGACAAATACAAAGGGACAGGTTTGTGGGGCCATGGGGCGGGCCAGGGCAGGGAGTGACCATCCCTGAAGATGGGAGGGCCTGGCTCACTGTCTGCTGCTCTGAGCTTCAGGCCCAGTATTGCCCCCCAGGCCAACATGGCAGGTTGCCCCAATCTGCCTGTCATCCTGTCATCTTGGGACAGCCTTCATGTTCTCCTTGGAGAACACTGGGCATCGGGCTGATTCTCTTCCTACTCCACTCGCTTGGCATTGAGCTAATTCTTGACAACGTTTGGCCGTGGGTTCATTCTCTTCTTACCCCTCTTGCCTCACTCAGCCAGTCACCCCTGCTTGTGTGGTCTTTTTTTTTTTTTTTTTGAGATGGAGTCTTGCTCTGTCGCCAGGCTGGAGTGCAGTGGCGCGAGCTCGGCTCGCTGCAACCTCCGCCTCCTGGGTTCAGCCCATTCCCCTGCTTCAGCCTCCCGAGTAGCTGGGATTACAGGCATGTGCCACCATGCCCGGCTAATTTTTGTATTTTTAGTAGAGACAGGGTTTCTACCTGGGTGGGTCCAGGTTAACCAGGTGAGGAGGTGGGGCTCAGTGTTCCATGCTCAAGAAACAGCAGCTGCAAAGGCCCCTCTGGAGTGTGCCTGGCGTGGTCCGGGTGGCAGCGGTGAGATGGGAGGGGAGGTCAGCGAGCCCGCACAGGCTGCACTGCACCCTGCAGCTAGAAGCCACAAGATGGATGTGGCGTGATCGTTTTGAACAAAGCTTCCTGCGGCCGCTGGGTGGATCGCAAATCTGGGGCAGCACGTGGCAGCAGGGTTCAGGGGCACTGGTGGCCTGGAAAGGTGGCAGGGGTGGGCAGTGTGTAGAGTGGGCCTCTGGAGTCCGGCTGCCTGGGTTCAAGTCCAGGCTCCCCTACTCGGGGCACAGGGGTGCTGCTCTGGGCCCGTTTCCTCTCTGGCAAAATGGTGATTGTGATGATTAAGTTATATCCATTTGAGAGATGAGGAAACTGATACCCCCAAAGCCACCTGGGGCTTGGGGCTTAAATCTGGGCCCCAGTGAGCATGGGCTTAACCACTGCCCTTGGTATCACCCGAGTGACCCACAGCGTTCTTAGGACAGAGCCAGGCCCACAGTTGGTGAGCGCTGCTGTGGGTGCAGGTGGACGCAGGGCTGGGAGAGGGAGTGGGCTTCGTGGAGCCTAGAGTCAATGGCAGGCGCTCTCGCCTGTGTGAGTCGCCAAGGCTGGCAACTGCTCAGATCAGCAGGCACCTGAGATGCCCAGCATTTGGAGGTCCCACCTGGTTTGCAGGGTGGCGGGGTGGAGGGGCAGGCCCTCAGGGCCCGGCTGACCTCGCACTGCCCTCCTCCCACCGCAGCCTTCGTGACCCTGCTGAATGGGGAGCAGGCCGAGGCCGCAATCAATGCTTTCCACCAGAGCCGCCTGCGGGAGCGTGAACTGTCGGTGCAGCTGCAGCCCACGGATGCCCTGCTGTGTGTGGCCAACCTGCCCCCCAGCCTCACACAGCAGCAGTTCGAGGAGCTGGTGCGGCCCTTCGGCAGCCTGGAGCGCTGCTTCCTGGTCTACAGTGAGCGCACTGGCCAATCCAAGGGCTATGGCTTTGCTGAGTACATGAAGAAGGACTCGGCTGCCCGTGCCAAGTCGGACCTGCTGGGCAAGCCGCTGGGACCACGCACCCTCTACGTGCACTGGACGGATGCCGGGCAACTGACGCCTGCCCTTCTCCACTCCCGCTGCCTCTGTGTGGACCGCCTGCCACCTGGCTTCAACGATGTGGACGCTCTGTGCCGGGCGCTGTCAGCTGTCCACAGCCCCACCTTCTGCCAGGTGAGCCCTGTGGAGAGCATTGGGGAGCAGGTGCCAGGCCCGGAGCACCTGAGAGAGTCTTTGGAGTCATCTGCCTTTTCTTTTTTTTTTTTGAGACAGTCTCACTTTGTCACCCATGCTGGAGTGCAGTGATACAATCTCAGTTCACTGCAACCTCCGCCTCTTTGGTTCAAGCAATTCTCTTGCCTTAACCTCCAGAGTAGCTGGGATTATAGGCGCCCCGCCCCCATGCCTGGATAATTTTTATATTTTTAGTAGAGATGGGGTTTTGCCATGTTGGCCAGGATAGTCTTGAACTCCTGGCCTCAGGTGATCCTCCCAAAGTGCTGGGATTACATGCGTGAGCCACCACACCTGGCCAGGGGATTTGAATCCCTCTGCAGCCTCAGGCCTCACTGTCCCTCTATCAGATGCATGCAAGGCCACTCTTGTAACTATGGATCTCGAGGCTTGCTCACCACTCACCTCCTCATTCGCTGGTACCCTCGTCAAACCTCCCATGGGGTCCCAGACCTGGACCAGGCATTGAGGAGGCTGCAGAGGAGCCCACAGTCTATTTGAGCCTTGAGGTCAGAGACTGAGGCTTTGCCAGATCCCAGCCCCGCCCTCGAGCTCGGGCCAGTCACTGGCTCTCTGATCTGCAGTTTCCCTCCTCCATAAGCAGGGACTCAATACTTGCACAATGGGTTGGCAAAACAGTCCCTTGTTCATTCAAGCCACACATGCCAGGCACTTCTGTGTGTGTGCCTCGCCCTGTAACAGGTGCAGTGGGGCGAGAACAGGCCAGACTCACTCTCTAAGAGCCCCCAGAAGGTCTTGATCCCCAGAGATCCCAAAGGGGACATTCCCCCAGCACTCGCTGTGGACTCTGAGTACGTAACCTTCAGTTGCTTCATCCTGTAGCAACCCTGAGAGGCAGGTATCACTCCCATTTTCAGGTGAGGATACCAAGGCACAGAGGGGTCAAGTAACTTGCCTAGAGTTAAACAGCCAGGGTCTGGCAGAGCTGGGATCAGAACACCGCAGCCTAGCTCCAGAGCTTGGGCCAGTGAGCGGAGGCCAGTGCAGAGGCTTAAAAGGGGTAGGCCTGGCCAGGTGCAGTGACTCACACCTGTAACCCTAACACTTTGGGAGGCTGAGGCGGGCGGATCCCTCGAGCCCAGGAGTTCGAGACCAGCCTGGGCAATATGGTGAAATCCTCTCTATACAAAAATTAGATAGGTATGATGGTGTGCCTGTAGTCCCAGCTACTCAGGAGGCTGAGGTGGGAGGATTGCCTGATTCTGGGAGTCCGAGGCTGCAGTGAGCCATGATCGCACCACAGCACCATGACACTACAGCCTGAGCAACAGAGCTAGACCCTTATCTCAAAAACAGAGAGACAGTCCTGGGCTCGGACCCCCAGCTCTGTGGGCTTGAGTGGGTCCCTCTCGTGTAAGTGGGGTATTGGTGCCCCATTTAAACTAGGTGTCTGTTGGGAGGCAGAGGCAGGAGGATCACTCGAGACCAGGAGTTCAAGACTAGCCTGGGCAAGATAGTGGGACACCATCTCTATATTTAAAACAAGAAACAGGCTGGGTGAGGTGGCTCATGCATGTAATCCCAGCACTTTGAGAGGCCGAGGCAGGTGGATCACTTGAGGTCAAGAGTTCAAGACCAGCCTGGCCAACATGGTGAAACCCTGTCTCTACTAAAAATACAAAAAAAATTAGCCAGGTGTGGTGGTGCAGGCCTGTAATCCCAGCTACTCAGGAGGCTGAGGCAGGAGAATCGCTTGTACCTGGGAGGTGGAGGTTGCAGTGAGCTGAGATCACGCCACTGTACTCCAGCCTGGGTGACAAAGCAACACTGCATCTCAAAAACAGAAAAAAAAAAAAAAAAAAAAACAGGCCAGGCGCAGTGGCTCACGCTTGTAATGCCAGCTCTTTGGAGGCCGAGACGGACGGATCACCTGAGGTCAGGAGTTTGAGACCAGCCTGACAAACATGGAGAAATCCCGTCTCTACTAAAAATACAACAAAAAAAAAAAGGTAGCCAGGCATGGCGCCACGCGCCTGTAATCTCAGCTACTCAGGAGGCTGAGACAGGAGAATTGCTTGAACCCAGAAGACTGCGGTTGCGGTTAGTGGAGATCGTGCCGCTGCACTCCAGCCTGGGCGACAGAGCGAGACTCCGTCTCAAAGAAACAAAAAAAACAAAAACTGAGTATCCATGAGCCACGGGAACCCCCTCTCTGTTTACTTATCATTCATCCATTCTGCTGCTTTCTCTTGGACACCTGCTACGTACCAGGCCTGCTATGTACCAGGCCGCCTGTGCGGGCTCAGGACAGAAGATGAGTTAGCACAATGGCCTCACCTTTCTTTTATTTTATTTTATATTTTTTTAAGACAGAGTCTTGCTCTGTCACCCAGTCTGGAGTGCAGGGGCGCGATCTTGGCTCACTGCATCCTCCGCCTCCTGGGTTCAAGTGATTCTCCAGCTTCAGCCTCCCGAGTAGCTGGGATGACAGCGCCTGACACCACACCCAGCTAATTTTTGTGTTTTTAATAGAGATGGGGTTTCGCCGTGTTGGCCAGGCTGGTCTTGAACTCCTGACTTCAGGTGATACACCTGCCTCGGCCTCCCCAAGTGCTGAGATTACAGGTGTGAGCCACTGCGCTGGCCTGGCCTTACCTTCTTATGTGGAGATCAAAGGTCACAGGGTCATGACCAGCTACAGGTACTCTCCTAGCCTGTTTCCACATCTCAAAATGGGGCTGGCAGTGCTTCATGATCAGGTTGTTGTGAACAGCTGCCCATTCATTCCTCCACTCGAACATTCACTAAACTTAATTTTTTTTTTTTTTGAGACAGGTTCTCAATCACCCAGGCTGGAGGAGTACACTCCGGCCTCGACCTCCTGGGTTCAAGAAATCCTCCTACCTTGGCCTCCCATGTAGCTGGGGAACTACAGGAATGCATCACCATGCCCAGCTGATTTTTAAAATTTTATGTAGAGGCCGGGCACAGTGGCTCATGCCTGTAATCCCAGCACTTTGGGAGGCTGCGGCGGGCAGATCACTTGAGGTCAGGAGTTCGAAACCAGCCTGGCCAACATGGTAAAACCCTGTCTCATGGCACGGTGGCTCACGCCTGTAATCCCAGCACTTTGGGAGGCCGAGGTGGGTGCATCACGAGGTCTGGAGATCGAGGCCATCCTGGCTAACATGGTGAAACCCTATCTCCATTAAAAATACAAAAAAAAAAATTAGCTGGGTGTGGTGGCATGTGCCTGTGGTCCCAGCTATTTGGGAGGCTGAGGCAGAAGAATCACCTGAACCTGGGAGACAGAGGTTGTGGTGAGCCAAGATCCCACTACTGCATTCCAGTCTGGGTGGCAGAGCGAGACTCCGTCTCAAAAAAAACAAAACAAAAAACAAAAACCCTGTCTCTATTAAAAATAGAAAAAAAATTAGCCAGGCGTGGTGGTAGGTGCCTTTAATCCCAGCTACTCGGGAAGCTGAGGCAGGAGAATTGATTGAACCAGGGAGGTGGAGGTTGCAGTGAGCCAAGATCATGCCACCGCACTCCAGCCTGGGCAACAGAGCGAGACTCCCTCAAAAAAAAAAAAAATTATGTGAAGATGGGGTCTCCCTATGTTGCCCAGGCTGGTCTGAAACTCCTGTGCTCAAACGATCCTCCTGCCTTTGCCTCCCAAAGAGCTGGGATTATAGATTCGAGCCACTGGGCCTGGTCTCACCAAACATTTGTTGAGCATCTGATGAGTAGCAGGCGTTGAAGTGATGTCCTCCGAGGAGCCCACCTTTAATGTTAGGTGACCCAGCTGAATGGAGGGTGGGCTTGACAGTGAAGCAGCTTGAGGTTCACACATCAGTCCCTCGACTTAGGAATTGTGTGGCCTTGATCACTCTGTGACCCCTCTGAGTCTCTCTCTGTTCATCCCTAAGATGGGTGTGTTTATGGCCGGGCACAGTGGCTCACGCCTGTAATCCAGCACTTTGGGAGGCCAAGGCAGGCGGATCGCTTGAGGTCAGGAGTTCAAGACCAGCCTTGCCGACATGGTGAAACCTCATTTCTACTAAAAATACAAAAATTAGCTGGGCGTGGTGGTGCACACCTGTAATCCCAGCTACCAGGAGGCTGAGGCAGGAGAATCACTTGAACCCAGGAGGTGGAGGTTACGGTAAGCTAAGTTCACATCACTGCACTCCGGGGTGACAGAGCAAGACTCTGTCTCAAAAAAAACAAAACAAAACAAAAGCCGACAGGTTTGGTTATGGGAGATCTGTGCCCAGACCTTGGCACAGGGCGTGGGCAGAGGTGAAGGGCTGCTACCTGCACCTTTGCTGCCCGGGCATTCAGCAAGTGCCGGTGCCCAGCCCAACCACTTCCCTTAGCACTGCTACCTGGCTTGGCCACTGTCTGGAACGAGAGCCCTTCCTTCCCCACCCGTTGCTGATTATCTCTTTTTTTTTTTTTTTTTTGAGATGGAGTTTTGCTCTTGTTGCCCAGGCTGGAGTGCAGTGGCGCGATCTCGGCCCACCGCAACCTCTGCCTCACAGGTTCAAGTGACTCTCTTGCCTCTGCCTCAGCCTCCCAAGTAGCTGGGAATACAGGCATGTGCCACCACGCCTGGCTAATTTTGTATTTTTAGTAGAGACGGGGTTTCTCCATGTTGGTCAGGCTGGTCTCGAACTCCCGACCTCAGGTTATCTGCCCGCCTCGGCCTCCCAAAGTGCTGGGATTACAGGTGTGAGCCACCGCATCCGCCCGTGGCCTTGGCTTTGTTGGTGAGGTGGCTCCCAGCTCCGCCCTCCCTCCAGCTGTGTGGCCTTGGGTGCGCTGACCTCTCCGTGCCTCAGTTGCCTTCTCTGAGAAATGGGTATGATGCAGCCTCCCAGGGTCATTGGGAAAATCAGATGAGCTGATGCAGGAATGAGGCACAGGGCAGTGGAGGCCTGGCGTGGAGTTCACCCTTATGGGGCAGCTGAGTCTGGTTACGGTTGTCACTTCCCGGGGTGGTGCAGTCACTGCTGCCCAGATGCTCATGACTGCCTGCCTTCCTCCGGCAGCTGGCGTGCGGCCAGGATGGGCAGCTGAAGGGCTTCGCGGTGCTGGAGTATGAGACGGCTGAGATGGCGGAGGAGGCACAGCAGCAGGCGGACGGCCTGTCCCTGGGGGGCAGCCACCTGCGAGTCTCCTTCTGCGCCCCTGGGCCCCCCGGCCGCAGTATGCTGGCCGCTCTCATCGCTGCCCAGGCCACGGTGAGCCTGTGCGGGCAGAGGTGGCGGGGTGGGGATGGGAGCCCCATGGGGATGTCAGGGCCCCAGCGGCACTCTGAGCTGCTTCTGTTCCTTCCTGCAGGCCCTCAATCGGGGGAAGGGACTCCTCCCCGAGCCCAACATCCTGCAGCTGCTCAACAACCTGGGCCCATCCGCGTCCCTCCAGCTGCTGCTCAACCCCCTGCTCCATGGCAGTGCGGGGGGGAAGCAGGGTAAGGTGGGGCTGGACAGGGGCCCCACTGTGCAGAACAGGGGCTGCAGCGCTGCCCCCGGCACTTCCCGAAACTGCTCATCTTGGCTGCAGTGACAGGAGCCCCAGGAGTAGGGCCGAGGGGGAGTATGGAGTCATAGCGGGGGCTGCTGCTGTCCACAACTGGGGGCCGGGACCAGGGCCACACAGCAGCCTGCAGTGAGGTGGGGTGCTGACAAGAGGGGGCTGACCTTCACTGGAGTAGCCTCTGCCCCTTCTAGGCCCTTCCTTTGGGCAAGTCCACTGCCCACCCCCCGGCCCCAGAGTGTCAGTTTCCTGCCCCATCAATGGGTTCAGGGCTGTGTTTCGTGAGGTGGGGCAGGGAGGACACAGGGACCCCCACACATCCTCCTATGTCTCCCTCCAGGCCTCCTGGGTGCCCCCCCAGCCATGCCGCTGCTCAATGGGCCAGCCCTGTCCACGGCGCTGTTGCAGCTCGCCCTGCAGACCCAGGGCCAGAAGGTAACACACGCATCCCCCTCACCCACTGCTCTACAGCCCCTACAGGCTCTTTTCAACACAGCTGGTGCGATCGGTGGGGTGGGGGGACCTCTGGCTGTGCCCTGGGGGCGCAGAACCAGGGTGAGGGCGACTCCCCCAAACCCCTGCCTTTCCCACCCACATCCCCATCCCCCTCTGGCAATTGCTCATGATGGTTCGCCATCTTTCCCTCCATTCTGAGAGCGCCCCTGGACTTGGTGCCTGGGGTGGGGTCAGGGGACCTGGACACGCCCATTTACAGCCTGAAACTGGGTGTGGGCTGGGAGCGCCGCTGCTGGGCACCAGTTTGTGAATAGACTCTGCTCGGAAGCTCTATAGACATGCCTGGGAAAAAACTCCAGGTCTATCCCCTCAGTGTGTGCACACACACACACGCACACCTAGAAACACAGGTATACATATAGACTCACACATACAAAGATGCAAATATACACACAGAGACATAGACACACAAAGACATAAGACAAAGACACACACATAGACACAGACACACATATAGACACAAGACAGACTCATGCACACAGAAACAAAGACACAGATATACACGCACACACACACACAGACACACACACACATAGACATACACCCATGCTCCGTCCTGTCTGGTGTGGTTCCCTGGATTCTAAGTCAGGTGTGTCTGTCTGGTGGTAACTGACAGAATATGTGAGCCTGTGGGTCTGGCCTTCTGTGACTAAAAGTGGCTGAAACACTGTGTGGCTGTCCCATTCCATGTGGCTGCAGTTGATACTGTGCTGCAATCATTGGCCAGGGAACTGGGGCCTGGAGCTCAGGAGACCCTCGGTCACCATGGCTGATGGGACAGTGATAGAGTTGGAGTGTGGCGGGCACTGGGGAACCCTGTGCCTGTCTGCCCAGGATCGGCCGTGCCCTGGAGTTGGGGTGTGTCTGCCAAGACTCTGGGCCACACCTGTCTGCTTCCCTGGGCCACCCTGCCCCCATCTGCAACTGTCTGTGCTCTGTCCCTAGAAGCCCGGCATCCTGGGAGACTCACCCCTGGGCGCCCTCCAGCCTGGGGCCCAGCCAGCCAACCCCCTCCTCGGGGAGCTGCCTGCAGGTAACGCAGACCCTGCCCACACGGTGTCCCCCAGCCACTTCCCCTTCCTTCCCTGCTACGTGGCCTCGGGTGAGTGACCCAACCTCTGGGTCCCAGCGCCCTTGTCCATCAGTTGGGTGCCCTCCACTCAGGGCCCAGGGATGAGCTCTGCTCAGTGGCCAGCATGGATTTGTCTCTTGACCCCTGGGCCCTGGTCCAGGTGGGAGCTGGAGGGCCCTGGGGAGAGGGGTCCTGTGAGCCTGGGCCCCTGAAATCCTCCTTCCCTCCCTAGGAGGGGGCCTGCCCCCGGAGCTGCCGCCCCGGCGAGGGAAGCCACCACCCCTGCTGCCATCCGTGCTTGGCCCTGCTGGGGGTGACCGGGAGGCCCTGGGCTTGGGTCCCCCAGCGGCCCAGCTCACTCCTCCCCCCGCCCCTGTGGGGCTCCGAGGCTCTGGCCTCAGAGGCCTCCAGAAAGACAGTGGGCCTCTGCCGACGCCCCCTGGGGTAAGGCCCTGCCCTGCGCGCGGCACCACACCAGCCTCCTGTTCCGCAGGGTTCCCTCTCCCGGGGGCCCTCTCGAATCCTGCCTTCCCGCCACAGGTCTCACTGCTGGGGGAGCCCCCCAAGGACTACCGGATTCCCCTGAATCCCTACCTGAACCTACACAGCCTGCTCCCGGCCAGCAACCTGGCGGGTAAGGAGGCCCGGGGCTGGGGAGGCGCCGGGAGAAGCCGCCGCCCAGCTGAGGGCCCCCCAACTAACCCCCCAGCCCCTGGAGGTGGCAGCAGCAGCAGCAAAGCCTTCCAGCTCAAGTCCCGCCTGCTCAGCCCCCTCAGCAGCGCCCGCCTGCCCCCCGAACCAGGACTGTCTGACAGCTACAGCTTCGACTACCCCTCGGTGAGTGCCTGGCTGCAGCTCTCTGTCCCCTAAGGCCAAATCATTCTCCAAACTGATATTTCTCTAGGATTGACTATGCCAGGCCATGTGCTAGGGAGGCGGCAGGGAACGTGCCAGATATGGTCTCTGCTTTTTTTTTTTTTTTTTTTTAGAGACAGGGTCTCCCTCTGCTGCCCTGGCTGGAGTGCAGTGGTGCGATCATAGCTCACTGCAGCCTCAACCTCTTGGGCTCAAGCGATCCTCACACCTCAGTCTCCTGAGGAGCTGGGACCACAGGCACGCACCTCCATGCCCAGCTAATTTTTAAATTTGTGGTAGAGACGGAGTCTCATTGTGTTGTCCAGGCTGGTCTCAAACTCCTGACCTCAAGTGAGCCACCCGCCTCAGCCTCCCAAAGTACTGGGATTACAGGCAAGAGCCACCGCGCCCAGCCTCATGCCCTTAAAGTTTCCCGTCTGTCTGCACATCACCCCCTGCTTCCGGTCCACCTGCCTGTCTGTCCATTCTCGAGCCCTGGAGGATCTTGGGTCTCAGTCTGTCTGTCATCCTGCGTCTGTCTTTCTCTCCCAAGAGGACTTAGGCCACACTGTCTCTCCCCAGAGACAGGGCTTGCCCTTTCTATCCCTCTCTCCCACCTTTGATTCCTGTCTGTGCCCCTGGAGATTTGGTCCTTCTATGATGCCAACCTCCTTGGCAGGTCAGAAATTGCAAACTGGGCCAGGCACGGTGGCTCATGCCTATAATCCCAGCACTTTGGGAGGCCGAGGCGGGCAGATCACCTGAGGTCAAGAGTTCAAGACCAGCCTGACCAACATGGAGAAATTATATATTATAAAATATATAATAAAATATATATTTCATATATAATATAAAATATAATTTATGTTTTATACTAAAAATACAAAATTAGCCAGGTGTGGTAGACATGCCTGTAATCCCAGTTACTAGGGAGGCTGAGGCAGGAGAATCACTTGAACCTGGGAGGCGGAGGTTGTGGTGAGCCAAGATTGTGCCATTACACTCCAGCCTGGGCAACAAGAGCAAAACTCCGTTTAAAAAAAAAAAAGAAAGAAATTGCAAACTGGCCGCCCACAGGTCACCTGGGTGATGTTTGGCCCCCTCTGTGTTTCAAACAAATAACAACAGGAACTAACGCCAACACAGGAAAACTGCAAGAGTCCACACAGCTCGAATTCCCAGCTTGCCTGGGAAACTCCAAACACTTAGGCCCATGGGGGGCACCCCCCTTCACAGCAGCCATCCCTGCCAAGCTGCATCCAGCCCCAAATTTGCCTCTTCCTGGTCCCAGAGTGGTGGGGACTGTCTTCCCTGATGACAGCTCTGCCATGGAGTTCAGCCAGGGGTGAGGCTGGGACAGACTCCAACCCAATGTGCTTCTCCCGCTTTCATTCAGGACATGGGACCTCGGCGGCTCTTCTCCCACCCACGGGAACCAGCCCTTGGGCCTCACGGACCCAGCCGACACAAGGTAAGAGCCACCTGGTATGGCATGTGTAGCAATCAGCTTTTACTACATGACAGGCTGTGCCATGACTTAGTAGCCTGGAACAGCAGACCTTGTATTTTGTGTGTTCTTTGTGGGTTTTTTTAAGACAGGATCTCACTGTGTTGCCCAGGCTGGAGTGCAGTGGCTCCATGATAGCTCACTGTGGCCTCAAACTCCTGGGCTCAAGCAATCCTCCCACTTTGGCCTCCCAAAGTGCTAGGATCACAGGCATGAGCCACCATACCATGCCAGGCATTGTATTACTTCTTGCCACTCTATGGGGCAGTGGGCGGTCCCCGGCACTCACCTGGGTCTCAGTGAGCTATGTGGCCTCACATATTTGGCGTCCACAGGCTGGAACAGTTTCTGTGTGCCCATTCGTGCGGTGATGATCCCTGGGTTCCTGGAGGAGGAAGAGGAGGCGGGTACCCACGTGCCAGCTCTCCTCAGTCCTATTAGCCAAAGCTAGTCTTTGCAAAGCCCAGAACTGCCGGGCATGGTGGCTCACGCCTGTAATCCCAGCACTTTGGGAGGCCGAGGTGGGCGGATCACCTGAGGTCGTGAGTGTGAGACCAGTCTGACCAACATGGAGAAACCCCGTCTCTACTAAAAATACAAAAAATTAGCTGGGCATGGTGGCGCATGCCTGTAATCCCAGCTACTCGGGAGGCTGAGGCAGGAGAATCGCTTGAACCTGGGAGGCAGAGGGAAGATTGTATACAAAGGGCTGGGTACTACAATTGTCTGCTTCACTCCACCGGCCCTTCTTCTACAGATGTCCCCCCCGCCCAGTGGCTTCGGCGAACGGAGCAGCGGTGGGAGTGGCGGGGGCCCCCTGTCTCACTTCTATTCAGGCTCGCCCACTTCCTACTTCACCAGCGGCCTGCAGGCTGGCCTCAAGCAGAGCCACCTCAGTAAGGTGAGGAACCTCTCTGGCCAAGCACAGGCCCCCTGGGACAGCTAGGATTTGGGGGTGCCTGCCACCGGGGCTCTGTAACCCTCGGTGCCCAGGCCAAAGCTGGGGTGGTGGCAGGGGTTGGTCTTGCTCAGGGTGGAGTAGCAACAGCCTATTGTCCTCCATCCACTCTGCATCAAGCACCTAGCACTGCCAGCATTCCGGGCTTTCTGTCACTTCCTCTCTCTACAGCCCAGGCTGTGGGTGCTACTGGCCCCATCTGACAGATGAGAAAACCGAGGCTCAAATAAAATGGAGCAATTGGCCCTAGGTCTTATAGCTAGAAAGTAGCAGAAGCAAGATTTGAACCTGAAACTGTTCGCTTTCCCTCAGGGCTGGGGGGCAGTGGCAGGGGGGCGGGGTGGGTGCTTCCTCTGGCCCCCAGGGAGTGACCTGTTCCACCTCTCCATTTCTCCCAGGCAATCGGCTCTTCCCCGCTGGGGTCCGGAGAAGGGCTCCTGGGCCTCAGCCCCGGGCCTAATGGTCACAGCCACCTGCTGAAGGTACGGGCAGGGGGTGGGGACATGCAGGGCTGGGAAGCCCCGGCCCCCCAGCGGCCCCTGACCCGCCCCGCCCTGCCCTCTGTCTCCAGACCCCACTGGGCGGCCAGAAACGCAGCTTTGCCCACCTGCTGCCCTCGCCCGAGCCCAGCCCAGAAGGCAGCTATGTGGGCCAGCACTCCCAGGGCCTCGGCGGCCACTACGCGGACTCCTACCTGAAGCGGAAGAGGATTTTCTAAGTGGCTGGCACCAGAGATAACTCAAGGGCCTGCACCAAATCGCTTTTGGGTTTTCTGATGTTTTGTTTTGTGTTTTTTTTAAACCATTTTCTCTCTTTCGGTAATAGAAAAATCTCTGAAAGACTTTACTGACCAATCAGCCGGAGCCCCAGGAGCCCAAGGGGTGTGGGGGAGTCTGGAGGCCTCATTATGTCTCTGGCTTGCTCCCCACGCTGAAACCCTGCAGCCTTAAGAGAGAGGGGCCCCGGCCTGCTCTCCCTCCCTCCCCCCATCTCCTCCTCCGCTGTGCCCGTCTCTCCGGAGCCCTCCTGCCTCATTGCTCCTGTAATTTTGGCCTTTCGAGTGCCTTGGAGGTTTCCCTGACCTCCCGTGAAGATACAGAGACTGTCTCCTTTTTTTTTAACTTTGACAACTGACTTCTGTTTCCTTTTCTAAGTTTTATTTTTCAAACCACCCCGGACAGCCCCCAGCTCTGATTCCTTCAAGGCCCGGCCTGTCCGGGCCACCATTCCACACCTTGCGGTTTGAAACAGCTGTTTTTCCCACATTTGCTGCAGGCATGGCTGTCTCCTGCCCCTGCCTGCCCATCTGGCCTATACCCCAGCCGTGGGGCCCGGGGTCCCTGCCGCAGCCCCCTCCCCTTCTGATGCCTTAAAAGCTGGGCCCCAGGCCCTGCTGGCCAGAGCCACAGATGCCAAGCTCTGGGAGCTTGACTATGGACCAAACAGCTCTGGCCTAGGGATTGGGCCACCCTACCCAGGATCTCCACCCTGGGGACAGTAGAAGGGGAAAGCCTTCATCTTGGCGAACCGGCCCCACCACCCCCTCCTACCCGGGCCTCCGTGCAGAGATGGGCTTTCTCTGCCAGTCCCCTGCTGTCTGTCTGTGGGAGTCGGACATTGTGCCCATCTCCCGGAGCCTCTGCTGTCACTCGCTTGTTGAAGATGAATTCTTGAATTCTGCCTGCCCACCCCCGGCCAGATCCCTGGAGCTGGCCTCCTTCCAGCCCAGTGCCAGAAACCAGCACTCCATGAAGATAAACTCTGGGCCCGCCCACCAGCAGGACCTGTCGACCTGAGGTGACCCTGGGCCTTGCCCCCAGCCAACTGGGCCACCAGCTTCCCTCCCTTGACTCTGGGGGTCCACATCCACTCCAAGGGGACTATTCCCCCGACCCCACCCCAGTCTCCCCACACGGACCTTTGCTGAATTAAAGTTTGTAAGTAAATGGTTTTAAAGAAATCAGAGTTGGCTGGTTCTTGGGACAAACAGTGGGCTTGAGTGGGAGGTCTGGGATGGCCCCGCGGGTTTACCTGAGATGGATTCCGCCCTGCTCTTCCCACCTGGTCACCGCAGGCCCTAAGCAAACATCTGCGCTTATGTTCCATTGATTATGGGCTTTCCCTCGCCTCCCTGGCGCGGCGCATGCTCAGTCGGTGAGTCACGTGATGCATGTCATGGCCGCCTCCATGGCCCGGGGAGGCGTGAGTGCCAGGGTTCTACTGCAGGCTGCCAGGGGCACCTGGTGGAACAGACCTGGGGGCACTTCCGGGTCGGGGGAGGGGGTGGCGCTGGGGACAACCAGAAAGTTTCAAGCGACAGGTACCTGGGGCGCCCGGGGCGGGCAGCGTTAATCCGTCAGATGCCGGCGGGGCGGGGCTCGGCGCAGCCGCTCACCGAACCGTGTTTTCCAGGCTCGCGCCCGGCTGGAGAGGAGGACGCGGGCGGCCCGGAGCGGCCCGGGGACGTGTGAGTGCAGGGGGCCAAGTCCCCCATTCCTCATCCCACGGAATTCCTCTGGTCCCCATCTTGCCCTGTAGCTTCATCTCGAGGTCCCCCTTCTGCTTTGCCCTATTCAGTACCTGTGCGTCAAGCCTCAATTCCTACTTCCTAACCCTAGATTCTACCCGGGCCCTGAGCCCATCATCCAGTTCGGCATTCGCACTTCCATCTGTCCCCAGGGTGAACGTGGTGTTCGTAGACCGCTCAGGCCAGCGGATCCCAGTGAGTGGCAGAGTCGGGGACAATGTTCTTCACCTGGCCCAGCGCCACGGGGTGGACCTGGAAGGTAGGAACCGGGCAGAGGGAATTAAGGAGGTCCTTATACATTTGTCCAAAAAAAAAAAAAAAAAAACCCACAAATTAGGTGTGTCTCTTCACGTCTTTTTCCCACCAAATATGGACTAAAATCCAAACCCCTCACCATGGCCTCATCTGTTGCCAAGCTCTTATTTGTTAAGCATTTATTAGAGATCACTAGGACTCCTGGCTCCCAGGATTTTGTGTTCTCTTCCCCCTTCCTCCCTGTATTCTAGCCACATTGGCTTTCTTTTTGTTGTTGTTGTTTTGAGATGGAGTTTCACTCTTGTTGCCCAGGCTGGAGTGCAATGGCTTACTGCACCTCAGCTCACTGCAACCTCCACCTCCCGGGTTCAAGCGTTTCTCCTGCCCCAGCCTCCAGACTAGCTGGGATTACAGGCGCCCACCACCAAGCCCAGCTAATTTTTGTATTTTTAGTAGAGACGGGGTTTCACCACATTGGCCAGGCTGGTCTCAAACTCCTGAAAGGTGATCCACCCGCCTCAGCCTCCCAAAATGCTGGGATTACAGGCATGAGCCACCGCGCCCAGCCCACACTGGCTTTCTTGTGGTTCCTCAAACAACCAAGCTCATTCCTGCTTCGGGGCCTTTACATTTGCTGTTCCCTCTGTCTGAAGTGCTTTCCCAGCAAACATTCTGGCTCTTTCTCATCCTTCAGACCTCAGTGTAAATGTCATGTCCCTAACAATCCCATTCCCCTCAGCCCAGCTGAAGTACCCATGCCCTAGTTACTCTGTCTTATCAGTGTGATATGATATATAGCACTTCTCACTTTTTTTTTTTCAAGAGACGGAGCCTTGCTGTGTCGCCAATGCTGGAGTGCCATGATGCAATCATACCTCACTGCAGCCTTGAACTCCTGGGTTCAAGTGATCCTCCCACCTCAGCCTCCCAAGTAGCTGGGATTATAGGCACAAGCCACAATGCCAGGCTGTTTTGTTTCCTACTTTGTCATCTGTCCCCCAGTGAGATTGGTGACCCATGTCCTTATTCATGCTTATCTGTTGCCTGTCAAGATGTAACAGATGTTTGATAATTTGTTGAGAGAAAAATAATAATAGAAATTTCTTGTCCAGGCACAGTGGCTCATGCCTGTAATCCCAACACTTTGGGAGGCCGAGGCAGGCGACTCACTTGAGGACAGGAGTTTGAGACTAGTCTGGCCAACATGGCGAAACCCTGTCTCTACAAGAAACACAAAAATTAGCTGGGCGTGGTGGCACATGCATATAATCCCAGCTACTTGGGAGGCTGAGGCACAAGAATCACTTGAACTTGGGAGGCAGAGGTTGCAGTGAGCCAAGATGGCACCACTGCACTCCAGGCTGCATGACAGAGCGGGACTCTGTCTCAAACAAACAAAAAAAAAAGGCCAGGCGCGGTGGCTCACGCCTGTAATCCCAGCACTTTGGGAGGCCGAGGCGGGCGGATCACGAGGTCAGGAGATAGAGACCATCCTGGCTAAAATGGTGAAACCCCGTCTCTAATAAAAATACAAAAAATTAGGTGGGCGTGGTGGTGGGCGCCTGTAGTCCCAGCTACTCGGGAGGCTGAGGCAGGAGAATGGCATGAACCCGGGAGGTGGAGCTTGCAGTGAGCCAAGATCACGCCACTGCACTCCAGCCTGGGCGACAGAGTGAGACTGTCTCAAAAAAAAAAAAAAAAAAAAAAAAAAAAAAAAATATATATATATATATATATATGTCTTTAACCATGTTAATAAATATTCACTGACTGAATCTTCATGACAACTTGAGTAGTAGAGACTGTTATTCCCTATTATAGATGAGGCAACTAAACCCCAGGTTAAGTAGACCTGGTCTAAGGGCAAGTGAGTGACAATACTAGACTCACCAGTCCATTGTAGCCACTAATCTGTGCTGCCTTTCTATGAATACCTACTGCGCGTCAGGCAGCAATATACAAAACAAATAAGGCCTCTGTCATCTCACATCCATTTCGGTCTAATAGGGACAATAATCCCACAGGTAAATACATAATTATGACCAACTTGGGAAGGGTTGTCTGGAAGAAAATATATAGGGTTTGCTTTTGGGATGAATATATCAGGGATCCTGATTTTATCATTAAAGGGGAAGATATGTTGGGAGGGGTTATGAAAGGCCTACCTAAAGTTCTGTTCTGGAATCCAGCAGCCAATAGTCTAGGACAGGGATTGGAATGTGAGATAGATTTATTTGTTCATTTATTTATCTGAGACAGAGTCTCGCTCTATCACCCAGGCTGGACTGCAATGGCATGATCTTGGCTTACTGCAACCTCTACCTCCAGGGTTCAAGTGATTCTCCTGCCTTAGCCTCCCGAGTAGCTGGGATTACAGGCAACTGCCACCATGCCCGGCTAAGTTTTTGTATTTTTAATAGAGATGGGGTTTCGCCATGTTGGCCAGGGTGGTCTCAAACTCCTGACCACAGTTGATCTGCCTGCCTTGGCCTCCCAAAGTGCTGGGATTACAGACATGAGCCACTGTGCCGGGCTAGTAGAGGTAAGTGGCCTGGCAAGGTGTGGTGGCTCACGCCTGTAATCCCAGCACTTTGGGAGGCTGAGGCGAGCGGATCACGAGGTCAGGAGATCAAGACCATCCTGGCTAACATGGTGAAACCCTGTCTCTACTAAAAATACAAAAACAAAATTAGCCAGGCATGGTGGCAGGCGCCTGTAGTCCCAGCTGCTCTGGGAGGCGGAGGCAGGAGAATGGCGTGAATCCGGGAAGCGGAGCTTGTAGTGAGCCGAGATCACGCCACTGCAGTCCAGCCTGGGCAACAGAGCGGGACTCCATCTCTAAGAAAAAAATTACAAAGGAAAACAAAGGAATGAATGAGGGGGATGGGGGAACTGCAAGACTAAGTGAAGGAGTTTGGATTTTATTCTGAGTGTGAAAACCCTTTGGAAAGTTTTAGGCCAGGAGGGACATGATCCCCAAGCACCGGTCTCTGTGATCAGAGGATGTGGGGGTGTGACCAAGGGCAGGTGGTCAGCAGAAAACTTCAGGTTCTGTCTCTTTCAACCCTAATTCCTGGTCTGGTGCAGTGGCATATGCCTGTAGTCCCAGCATTTTGGGAAGCCAAGGCAGGCAGATTGCTTGAGCTTAGGAGTTTGAGACCAGCCTGGGCCACATGGTGAACCTCGTCTCTACAAAAAAAAAAAAAAAAAAAAAAAATATGGCCAGGTGCGGTGGCTCACACCTGTAATCCCAGCACTTAGGGAGGCCGAGATAGGTGGATCACCTGAGGTCAGGAGTTCAAGACCAGCCTGGCCAGCATGGCAAAACCCCATCTCTACTAAAAATACAAAATTAGCTGGGCGTGATGGTGGGCACCTGTAATCCCAGCTACTTGGGAGGCTGAGGCAGGAGAATCACTTGAACCTGGGAGGCAGAGGTTGCATTGAGCCGAGATCATACCATTGCACTCCAGCCTGGGCAAAGAGAGCGAAACTCCACCTCAAAAAAAAAAAAAAAAAAAAATTAGCCAGGTGTGGTGGTGCGCACATGTAGTCCCAGCTACTCGGGAGGCTGGGGTGGGAGGATCGCTTGAGCCGGGAGGTTGAGGCAGTAAGCTATGACTGAGCCATGGCACTCCAGGCTGGGCAACAGAGTGAGACCCTGTCTCAAAAAAAAAAAAAAAAAATCCTGGCCGGGTGCAGTGGCTTACGCCTGTAATCCCAGCACTTTGGGAAGCTGAGGCGGGCAGATCATGAGGTCAGGAGATCAAGACCATCCTGGCTAACATGGTGAAACCCCAGCTCTACTAAAAAAATATAAAAAAATTAGCCAGGCGTGGTGGCAGGCACCTGTAGTCCCAGCTACTTGGGAGGCTGAGGCAGGAGAATGGCGTGAACCCGGGAGGCAGAGCTTGCAGTGAGCCGAGATCGTGCCACTGCACTCCAGCCTGGGCAACAGAACAAGACTCCATCTCAAAAAAAAAAAAAACAAAATCCTAATGCCTGATTCCTTCCCCCACCACACTGACTGCTGAGTCAGCCGGTCCATCCTCCAAGAGCAGTGGAGAGGTGGGGACACATTAGCCCAGCACAGTGATAGGGTCACAGCAAGGGCTCACAGACTGCGGGGAGCCTGCCTGGCCTTTCCCCTCTCAGCTACCTGGCAGCCAAGTCCCTGCTCCTTAATGGTTCTGCATCTCAGCCTGCTAGGGAGTCCCTGGGAAATGGGGCCTCCCAGATGTCCGTTTGTAAACCCTACACACTGGGGAACAGCTAGCTGAGGACATTGAGGACATGACACAGTGCCTGGTACACACAGTGGAGCTGCAGGCCCAGGAGGGAGACGTGAGGCACGTGGTGGAAGAGAGGTCTACTCCTCTACGCCATTCGCATAGCAGCCCCTTCCTGACTCTGCCACTCACCTGCGCCCCCTTCACTTCCCACCCCTAGGGGCCTGTGAAGCCTCCCTGGCCTGCTCCACCTGCCATGTGTATGTGAGTGAAGACCACCTGGATCTCCTGCCTCCTCCCGAGGAGAGGTGAGTGGGTCAGCCCTGTCTAGCTGGCAGCTTCACCCTGGAGCATTCAGCAGCCCCCACCATCCTCCCCACTTCCAGTTCCTGGAATGGGAGCTGCCTCCCCCACCACTACCCCCTGCGCTCAGTCAGCTTCCTCCCTCCCCCACCTCTGGCCCCCCACCCACCCAGCTAGCTTGCCCTCGGCTAACACTGCCCGTGTCACCACCCTAGGGAAGACGACATGCTAGACATGGCCCCCCTCCTCCAGGAGAACTCGCGGCTGGGCTGCCAGATTGTGCTGACACCGGAGCTGGAAGGAGCGGAATTCACCCTGCCCAAGATCACCAGGAACTTCTACGTGGATGGCCATGTCCCCAAGCCCCACTGACATGAACACCTGGACCATTCCACATTGCCATGGCCCCAGGGCCCAGATTGAGGGAATAGCCAGGTGCCAGCCCTGCCCAGAGTGCGGACAGGCCCGGGAGAGACGTGGAAGCCCCTGTGAAGGACAACACCCCTGCTTGGGAGAGAGTCCCATGTCCAGGCTCTGGTGGGGACAGGGCCCCTAGTGGGGTGGCCTTCCCCAGGCCCCTGAGAATCAGGGTTTGAGTAGGAGTGGACTCATATTGGAGCTGCAATAAATCGATAACACAGGCCCCAGCATGTTGAGTGTCCTTGGGGGACAGATCTGGGGTCTACAGGTGGCTCACACCTGTAATCCTAGCACTTTGGGAAGCCAAGATGGGAGGATCACTTGAGGCCAGGAGCTTAAGACCATCCTGGGCAACATGGCGAGACCTCGTCTCTATAAAAACAGTAAAAATTAGCGTGGAGTGGTGGTAAGTGCCTGTAGTCCCAGCTACTCGGGAGACTGAGGTGGGAGGATCACTTGAGCCCAGGGGATTTAGGCTGCAGTGGAGCGGTGATCAGGCCATTCCACTCCAGCCTGGGTGACAGAGTGAGGCCCTGTCTCAAAAAAAAAAAAAACAAAAACAAAAACAAACCACACCTGCATCTGCTGTGCTGGGCCCCCGGTTCTCTTTTCCCTCTGGGATCTAAGATGCCGCTGGGGATCCAAGGCAGAGGCCTGGGAGCCCCCATTTCCGAGGGGGAGGGCTAGCGTGGAAGGCCCCGCCCCGGCAGCTGCGGAGGGATTTGGTGGGGTCCAGGCCGCCCTTGCCACGCAGGGGTGCGCGGATGACCTGAAAAAAGCCAGAAAGAGGAAAGGTGCCGCCGAGGCTGGTCGCTCTCAGCTGGGGCTCATCGCATCCTCTACCAAGAGCGCTCCCACCACACAGGTCCCGCCCCTCCCAGGTGGGTTTCATCGGGTGGGCCCAGCGGGACAGGGCCGGGTGAAATTAGGGAGGGGGCTGGGCTGGGGCGCAATGGAGGCCGAGCCAATCCCGGACTCCTCAATGCCAGCAAAGCTTCTGGCGCCGCCCTGTCTGAACCTGGAGCGGCTGGGAGGATCCCCCTCCCAGGAGAAGCCGAGGACCCCAGGATGCTGCAGAATCAGTGAGAGGTGCGTAAGGCCAAACCCCATTCCCCGGACCCCGCTAGCACTTCACCACCTGGCTCAGTGATCAAGGGGTCATGACCTCTCTTTGCTGGGGTTATCGAGAAGTGGCAATTTTATAATAGTTACTGAAACTTACAAAGAGGTTCTGGTGCCCAGAGACACTTGGGGTCATCTAGGGATCAGAGGCCATGCAATTCCATGTCTCTGGGGCTGATGTAGGCACTCCCCAGGGATCATCCAGGGGTTATGGAGGGCAACTCAATAATAATGAAAATGATAAAAATCGTAATCATATTATGGCAAGCCAGCGGCGTGGTGGCGCGTGCCTGTAAGTCCCAGCTACTCGGGAGGCTGAGGCGGAAGGATCGGTCGAGCCCAGGAGTTCTAGGCTGCACTGAGTCCTGATCACGCCCCTGCACTCCAGGCGGGGGTACAGAGTGAGGCTCGGTCTCTAAAAGAAACACAAAGAAAAAAAGTAACCTTTTTCTCGATCCTGCAGCCAGAGGCTTGATATCCTGCCTCGGTCACCTAGGGCGGTCCCTGCCTGGGTGATCTACGGGTGCCGTAAGGGGTTGATTGATGTGGAGGGCTGGGCGTGCCTGGGAGGCCCACAGTGGGCGAGGTGAGTTGCAATTACTGCAACTCTTAAACCTTCCACCCAGAGTTAGAAATGACTGAACCTCAGGTGGGGTGTGTAGCCTGTCCAAGGGTACACAAAGAGCCGGCCCAAGTTGGAACCCCCTGGCCGGCTAAACCCAGGAGTCACCCAAGAAAACGTGACCCCACTGCCCTTCTCCCCAGGTCCCTCTGGCCTGCATGCCAGGAGTCGGTCACCGCCCTGTGCTTCCTCCAAGAGACAGTGGAGAGGCTGGGTCAGTCCCCTGCCCAGGACACCCCGGTCCTGGGGCCTTGCTGGGACCCGATGGCTCTGGGGACTCAGGGCCGCCTGCTGCTGGACAGGGATTCCAAGGACACACAGACCAGGATCAGCCAAAAGGGCCGCCGTCTGCAGCCCCCGGGGACTCCCTCGGCCCCACCCCAGAGAAGGCCCCGGAAACAGCTGAACCCCTGCCGGGGCACCGAGAGAGTGGACCCTGGGTTCGAGGGGGTGACTCTGAAGTTTCAGATAAAGCCGGACTCCAGCCTGCAGATCATCCCCACGTACAGGTAGGGGCCGGCTGGGGCCAGGCCGCCCTTTCTCCCAGTTACAACGCAAACACCAGTGTGGGAGGTAGGGGTGCTCTCTGGCGTCGGTGTGGACCCTCACCTGTGCTCTACGTTACACGTGGCCCAGTCTCTGGTTGACAACTTGAGCTGGTGCCAGATACAGTCCTGCCGCTCCTGACTCAGTGGCTCCCCACTCCCAATGTGAGACCTGGTCTCTTTAGGAATCAGGCCTGGCCTTGCTTAGGCTGCAGCTGCGGCTGCGGTGATTTTTCCCAATAATGCTAACAGCTACTATTTGTTGGTAGTGACAACAATAAGAGGTTAACAGGCAGTATTTTATGTGTATGGGCTCATTCAAAAGCCTGGGGAGGCCGGGCACAGTGGCTCACGCCTATAATCCCATCACTTTGGGAGGCCAAGGCGAGCAGATCACCTGAAGTCAGGAGTTTGAGATCAGCCTGGCCAACATAGTGAAACCCCATGTCTACTAAAAATACAAAAAATTAGCTGGGCGTTGTAGTGGGTGCCTGTAATCCCAGCTGCTCAGGAGGCTGAGGCAGGAGAATCGCTTGAACTCAGGAGGTGAAGTCTTCAGTAAGCAGAGATAGCGCCACCTCACTCCAGCCTGAGCCACAGAGTGGGACTCAGTCTCAAAAAAAAAAAAAAAACTAGCTGGGAATGGTAATGGGCACCTGTAATCCCAGCTACTTGGGAGGCTGAGGCAGGAGAATCGCTTGAACCCAGGAGGTGGAGGTTGCACTGAGCAGAGATGGCACCACTGCACTCCAGCCTGGGTGACAGAGCAAGACTCCATCCCCTTAAAAAAAAAAAAAAAAAAGCTTTGGGAAGCTGGGCCTGGTGGCTCACACCTGTAATCCCAGCACTTTGGGAGGCCAAGGTGGGAGGATTGCATGAGCCCAGGAGTTCAAGACCAGCCTGGGCAACATAGTATGACCCCCAGCTCTAATTTTTACCTATTTATTGTTATTATAAAAATTATAATTATGACTTTTTTAATCATGCCGCCAAAACAATATTTTTTTTTTTTTTTGAGATGGAGTTGCACTCTGTCGTTCAGGCTGGAGTGCAATGACACAATCTCGGCTCACTGCAACCTCTGCCTCCCGGATTCAAACGATTCTCCTGCCTCAGCCTCTGGAGTAGCTGGGATTACAGGTGCCTGCTACCACGCCTGGCTAATTTTTGTATTTTTAGTAGAGATGGGGTTTTGCCATGTTGGCCGGGATGGTCTCGATCTCTTGACCTCAGGTGATCCATCTGCCTTGCCCTCCCAAAGTGTTGGGATTACAGGAGTGAGCCGCCACCATGCCTGGCTGCTTTTTTTTGCTTTTGTTTGTTTGTTTGTTTTTGAGACAGGGTCTTGCTCTGTCACCCAGGGTGGAGTGCAGTGGCGCAATCATGGCTCACTGCAGCCTGGACCTCCCAGGCCCAAGCCATCCTCCCTCCTCAGCCTCCCAACTAGCTGGGAGTGCAGGCCTGTACCACCACTCCTGGCTATTTTTTTTGTTTGTAGAGACGGGGTCTCCCTATATTGCCCAGACTCCCATCTCTTTTTAAAAATCAATAAATCAAATTTTCAAAGAAAAAAAAACTGTTGTATTGGGAAGCCCATTTTACAGATGAGGAAACTGAGGCACAGAGTAGGAGATAATGTGTCCAGGCTCACACAGCAAGGACATGGAGAACTGGGATTGGAACCTGGCAGGCTGTCCCTGTGCTTACTATTTTTCAAATAATAATAATAATAATTAGGTCGGGCACGGTAGCTCATGCCTGTAATCCCTGCACTTTGGGAGGCCGAGGTGGGTGGATCACTTGAGGTCAGGAGTTCGAGACCAGCCTGGCCAACATGGTGAAACCCCGTCTGTACTAAAAATACAAAAATTAGCTGGGCGTGGTGTCGCGCGCCTGTAGTCCCAGCTGCTTGGGAGGCTGAGGCTCAAGAATTGCTTGAACCCGGGAGGTGGAGGTTGTAGTGAGCTGAGATGACACCACTACACTCCAGCCTGGGCAACAGAGCGAGACTCCATCTGCAAAAATAATAATAATAATAATAATAATATTACTAATGAGAGGCAAAGCCAGGCCATTCAGATATTAGTTGCCTCCTCGGGGGATGGCTGATACCTTGATACTAAATCTTCATTTCGGAGGGCTGTTGGGGACAAGCTACAGATCCCCCCCAGTGCTAATACCTTGTCTGCCCCACAGCCTGCCCTGCAGTAGCCGTTCTCAGGAATCCCCTGCAGATGCTGTTGGGGGCCCTGCAGCCCACCCAGGAGGCACCGAGGCCCACTCAGCAGGCAGCGAGGCCCTGGGTGAGTCCTGAAAACCCAAGAGCTATAAATATTTTGGGGGCCAATTTCCTGTCTTCCCTGCCTTTCTCCCTGCCCCCCCCTTCTCCATCTTGCTTCCCCATTTAGAGCCCTCAGGGAGGAGTCGCAGCACCCCCCTCCACTTGGGCTGAGTCACCCCCACCCCCAGCTTCCTCCTCTGCGGAATGCTGCCATCTGTCTCCCTTCCTGGCTTTGCTGTGGCTTAGAGCTGGCAACTCCCAGGGCTGATCCAGAGCTAGGTGGGGCCTTTACTGAGACCCCCACAAAATGCCCGACTCCGCACAGGCATCCCGAGCTCACATGCTTGGCCTCTGACCCCTGCCCTTTGACCTCTGACCCTTCAGAGCCCCGGCGCTGTGCTTCCTGTCGGACCCAGAGGACCCCGCTCTGGAGAGACGCTGAAGATGGGACCCCTCTCTGCAACGCCTGTGGGATCAGGTCCTTAGAATGGAGGAGGGAGTTGGGGCGGGGGTCCCCAAATCAGTCCACGTGTAACCAGGATGGCCTGTGGGGAAAGCAAAAAGCAAAACACCTACCTCTTGGGAAAAGTGGTTTCCTTGTGGCGGTTTCCGGGCCCCCACTGCATCCTAAATGGCAGTTTCTTGTCCCCCAACCCTAGGTACAAGAAATACGGCACTCGCTGCTCCAGCTGCTGGCTGGTGCCCAGGAAAAATGTCCAGCCCAAGAGGCTATGTGGCAGATGTGGAGTGTCCCTGGACCCCATTCAGGAAGGTTAAACCCAGCTTCACCCTGCTGAGCTGCTGCTTCTGCCTCCGTTTCACCAGTGGGAGAATGGGCAGAAGCAGCTCTCCTAGGAGGATTGGGGAAAGAGCCGGCCTGCCTCCTCTCTGCCATCTCCAGATTCAAGGATCCCGGGGGAAGACCCAGGCCTCAGGTGGCAGAGCCTGCTAGGGGTCACCAGCCCCTTCTCCAGTCAGCCTTGGCCGAGGCCCCCTCAGGAGACGCTCTCAGGAAGGATGAGCATTGTTACAGCAGGGACAATAAAGTACAGAGATATGCCGAGAGAAAAAGCCTGTGATTTGGGATCCCGCCTCCTGTGCCCCTGTGCCAGCCCAGGAAGGTGGACAGGTGTTTTCTCGTTGGGGTTGTGAGGGGCGTGCACACACGTGCGCATGCACAGAGACACAGTCTTATCCACAGGCAGCAGCCCCCACACAGGGAATTAGCCACATTTACCACAATGTCCCATGCAGGGAAACAGCCACTACCCACAGACACACACAACAGATACAGAAAGACACACACAAGCCGGGTGCAGTGGCTCACGCCTGTAATCCCAACACTTTGGGAGGCTGAGGCAGGAGGATTGCTTGAGGCCACGAGTTTGAGACCAGCCTGGGCAACATAGTGAGACCCTGTTATATACAGAAGGGAAAAAAAAAGACACATGTCTAGCCAGGCACAGTGGCTCATTTCTGTAATCCCAGCACTTTGGGAGGCTGATGCAGGTGGATCACCTGAGGTCAGGAGATCGAGACCAGCCTGGCCAACATGATGAAACCCCGTCTCTACTAAATATGCAAAAATTAGCCAGGCGTGGTAGCATGTGCCTGTAATCCGAGCTACTTGGGAGGCTCAGGCAGGAGAATCGCTTGAACCTGGGAGGTTGAGGTTGCAATGAGCCAAGATCGTGCCACTGCACTCCAGCCTGGGTGACAGAGCGAGACTCTATCTCAAAAAAGACACATGCAAGACAGCCGTGCGTGCTGACAGACACATCAGCAGAGACACACGTCGACAGGGATATGCTGACACGTAGCTGAGTCACACACAGATACAGCCCACACAGGACACATGCACCAGACACACGTAAAACACACAAGTAGATGGCACACACTGGCAGCATATACCAGTGGATCCTTCATCTGTCACCCAACCCCTGCCTGCAGTGTGTCACTCTCCTTAGCCCCTGCTGTGTCCCCTACCCCCTTTTAAGATCTCCCTAATCCAGCCAAAATGTGTCTCCCGGGCCTGAAGTCAAAAGCCCCAAGTCAGAGGCATCTTTCAGCAGGCGGGACACACAGGCCACCAGCACTCACAGGGAGGGAGGGAGGATGGAGAGTCAAGACTGGTGGCGGGCTGGGCATGGTGGCTCACACCTGTAATCCCAACACTTCAGAAGGCAGAGGTGGGAGGATCGCTTGAGCCCAGGAGTTTGAGACCAGCCTGGGTAACACAGTGAGACCCCGTCTCTACCAAAAAATCAAAAAATGAGCCAGGGGTGGTGGTGCATGCCTGTAGTGCCAGCTACTCAGGACACTGAGGTGGGAGGATCACTTGAGCCCTGGAGGTCAAGACTGCAGTGAACCGTGATCGTACCACTGTACTCCAGCCTGGGTAATAGAGGGAGACTTGGGGAAAAAAAAAAAAGTAGGGTGGGCATGGTCCTTGCTGTGGGCGTGAGTGAGCCACAAAGCCACACACCCTTATGAGATCCTCTTTGTCTCTCCTGGGCAGCCCTGAATGGGAGAACTGGAGTCCAGATTCCTCTGCCCTCAGATCCCTGAATTATTTGATCTTACCCTTCCTTGGCCTGAAACACCCTCCCTCCACATCTCCCCATGGCTGACACCTTCTAATCGCTTGAGGAGGCCTGGCCCCAACATCAGCTCTTCAGAGAAGCCTTCCTTGACCACTCAGACTAAAATAGACACCTCCCCCGACTCAGGCCGGGTGTGGTGGCTCACACCTGTAATCCCAGCACTCAGGGAGGCTGAGGTGTGAGGATCACTTAAACTCAGGAGTTTGAGGCTGGGCTTGGTGGCTCACACCTGTAATTCCAGCACTTTGGGAGGCCAAGGCAGGAGGATCACCTGAGGTCAGGAGTTAGAGACTGGTTAACATGGTGAAACCCCACCTCTGCTAAAACTACAAAAAATAGCCGGGCGTAGTGGCAGGCGCCTGTAGTACCAGCTACTTGGGAGGCTGAGGGAGGACAATTGCTTGTTATCTACAGAATGAAAAAAACAAGACACATGCCCAGCCAGGCAGAGTGGCTCATTCCTATAATCCCAGCACTTTGGGAAACTGAGGCAGGTGGATCACCGGAGGTCAGGAGTTCGAGACCAGCCTGGCCAACATGGGGAAACCCTGTCTCTACTAAAGATACAAAAATTAGCCAGGCGTGGTGGCATGTGCCTGTAATCCCAGCTACTTGGGAGGTGGAGGTTACAGTGAGCCGAGATCGTGCCACTGCACTCCAGCCTTGGAGACAGAGACTCCATCTCAAAACAAAAACAAAAACAAAAAACTAATTAAAAAATAAAATAGGCCAGATGTGGCTCACAGGCTCACACCTGTAATCCAAGCACTTTGGGAGCCCAAGGCAGCAAGATCACTTGAACCCAGGAGTTCAAGACCAGCCTGGGCAACATGGTGAAACCCCGTTTCTACCAAAAATACAAAAATTAGCCGGATGTGGTGGCATGCACCTATATTCCCAGCTGCTTGGGAGGCTGAGGTGGGAGGATCACTTGAGTCTGGGAAGTTGAAGCTGCAGTGAGCCACGATCGTGCCACTGCACTGCTGCCTGAGCAACAGAGTGAGACCCTGTCTCCAAAAAAAAAATAAAATAGACATTCCCACTCTCACCCTGTGTCAGCCTCCGGTTCAGCTCCTTGCTGGTCTCCCTCTTAGAACCTATCAGAATTTCCATTGTCTGGAAGCCTTCCTTGACCACTCAGTCTAAAATAGAAAGGAAGGCTTATGGTTACATTATCCACATCCATCTCCCCTACTGCCCCAGGAGTTCTCAAGTCTGAGGTCGCCACATCTATGTCCTTGCCCACGACAGGCCTCTCCAGTGCCAAGTATAGAGAAGCTCTCTGCAAGGACACACCTTGAACACATATCTGCAAGCTCGTGGCTGTCTTTACCCACTTATTCAACATTTATTGAGCAACTGTGTGTGCTAGGACCCAATGAGGACCCTCAGTGGTGAACAGAACAAAGATCCCTGCTCTACTGGGGCTGATGTTCTAGGAGACAGTAAAAAAAAAAAAAAAAAAAAAACTCAGAGGCAGGACGCGGTGCCTCATGCCTGTAATCCCAGCATTTTGGAAGGCTAAGGCAGGCGGACTGCCTGAACTCAGGAGTTTGAGACCAGCCTGGGCAACACGGTGAAACCCTGTCTCTACTAAAAAACAAAAAATCAGCCAGGTGTGGCGGCATGTGTCTGTAGTCCCAGCTACTCGGGAGGCTGAGGCAGGAGAATTGCTTGAACCTGGGAGGCAGTGGTTGCAAGGTTGCAGTGAGCTGAGAGCACACCACTGCATTCCATCCTGGGTGACAGAGAGAGACTCCCTCTCAAAAAAAAAAAAAAAAAAAACCTCAGGTGTATGTCTAAGAGGATGTTAAGTTGTGAGCTGGGCTACAGAGAAAAAGTGTGCAAGGAAATAAAAGAGTTAAGGAGGTCGGGCGTGGTGGCTCATGCCTGTAATCCCAGCACTTTGGGAGGCTGAGGTGGGCGAATCCCTTGAGGTCAGGAGTTCGAGACCAGCGTGGACAAAATGGTGAAACCCCCTCTCTATTAAAAATACAAAAATTAGGCAGGTGTGGTGGCATGTGCCTGTAATCTCACCTACTCAGGGGGCTAAGGTGGGAGAATCGCTTTAACCCAGGAGGCAGAGGCTGCAGTGAGATCTTGCCTTTGCACTCCAGCCTGGGTGACAAAGTGAGACTCTGTCTCAAAAAAAAAAAGAAAAAAAAAAAAAAATGTCGGGCACCATGGCTCATGCCTGCCTGTAATCCCAGCACTTTGGGAAGCTGAGGTGGGTGGATCAGGAGTTCGAGACCAGCCTGGCAAACATGGTGAAACCCCATCTCTGCTAAAGATACAAAAATTAGCCAGGCATAGTGGTGGGTGCCTGTAATCCTATTGGGAGGCTGAGGCAGGAGAGAATCACTTGAACCTGGGAGGCGGAGGCTGCAGTAAGCCAAGATTGCGCCACTGCACTCCAGCCTGGGCCACACAGTGAGACTCCGTCTCAAACAAACAAACAAACAAACAAACAAACAAAAAAAAAAACAGAAAGAAAAAGAAAAAGTAATTGCAGTTTTTGCCATTACTTTTTTTTTTTTTTTTTCCTCTGAGACAGTCTCACTCTGTGGCCCAGGCTGGAGTGCAGTGGCGTGATTTCAGCTCACTGCAGCCTCCGCTTCAGGGTTCAAGCAGTTCTCCTGCCTCAGCCTCCCAAGTAGCTGAGACTACAGGGGTGTGCCACCATGTCCGGCTAATTTTTTTTGTATTGTTAGTAGAGACAGGGTTTCACCATGTTAGCCAGGCTGGTCTTGAACTCCTGACCTCGTGATCTGCCCACCTCGGCCTCCCAAAGTGCTGGGATTACAGGCGTGAGCCACCATGCCCTGCCTGCCATTACTTTCAATGGCAAAAACAGCAATTACTTTTGCACCAACCTACTAAAATAAATATCTCATCTGAAGGCTCTGAAAGAGACCTTGAGGTCAGTAGGAGCGGAGAGAGATCATTAAGTAGGGAGGGCACAGGCAGAAAAGGTGAGGTGCTGTTAGTGGCAGGGACTGCACCTGGCTGGTGCCTTTTTGGGTGTTATACCTGGCCCCTGGCTCCAGCACCGAGCACTGGCCTGCCCTCTTGTGCCATTTCCCCGTCTCATCTTTGCTCATTACATGTTTGCATGGGACTGGCTTCCTTCTCTAGGGCTCCGTGTTCCTGCTTTTGAGGGAGGAGGGGCAGAGGAGGAGGCTGTGGGGAGGAGGCCCAGCTGCTGTGCCTTATGCTGTTGGGGATGAGGGGGGAAGGTGCCGTGTAGTGGGGGTTGCAGCGGATACCCTGTGTGTGTCTGTTCTGAATCATGATGGGCTGAGTGGAAAGGCAGGGTGGGGGTAAACTGAAGCACTGTGGGTGGACACAGGACAAAGGAGGCATTGAGGGCGGGGCAGGGGTGCCCCCTTTAACAGGGAGGACATGCTAAGGGCTGACACCCATAGCATCAGCCAGTGCCTGCCCAGGAAGGTCTCACCGAAGTCTCAGGGCAGGGGCACAACGGAGAGGGCCTCCACCCACCCTGGCAAGGCGGCCTCAGCTCTGCCGGTAACCAGGCCTGGGGGAAGCACCTAGCCCCCACCTCCAAGAGTGACCCGGATCAGAGGGCAGTGCTGGGTGGAAGAGATAAGTAGGAGGAAGGAGTGAGGCCCCCACCCCTGCCCAAGGGTGTGAAGAGAGCAGAAAACAGGCACTGAGAGAGGACGAGCTCTAGGTCACACTGAGAAAAGACAGCCAGCCGGGCCAGGCACAGTGGCTCAGGCTTGTAATTCCAGCACGTTGGGAGACCGAGGCAGGTGAATCACGAGGTCAGTAGTTCCAGACTAGCCTGACCAACATGGTGAAACCCTGTCTCTACTAAAAATACAAAAATTAGCCGGGCGTAGTGGTGGCGCGCGCCTGTAATCCCAGCTACTCAGGAGGCTGAGGCAGGAAAATCGCTTGAACGTGGGAGGCAGAGCTTGCAGTGAGCTGAGATTACACCACTGCACTCCAGCCTGGGCGACAGAGAGACTCCGTCTCAAAAAAAAAAAAAAAAGAAAAAGAAAAAGACAGCTTAGATTGTGCCTGATGCATAGTAGGTGTTCAAAAAAAGTTTTTGGATTTTTTCGTTGTTTGTTTTTAGAGACAGGGTCTGGTTCTGTCACCTGGGCTGGAGCACAATGACGATATCATAGCTGGAAGTGGCTTTGACCTCCTAGGCTCAAAGGATCCTCCTGCCTCAGCCTCCCAAGTAGCTGGGACTACAGGCATGCACCACCATGTCTGGCTAATTTTTGAAAAATACACCAGGCATGGTGGCTTACAGCTGTAATCCCAGCACTTTGGGAGACCGAGGCAGGTGGATCACCTTAGGTCAGGAGTTCGAGACCAGCCTGGCCAACATGGTGAAACCCTGTCTCTACTAAAAATACAAAAATTAGCTGGGTGTGGTGGTGCATGCCTATAGTCCCAGCTATTTGGGAAGCCAAGGCAGGGGAATTGCTTGAACCCAGGAGGCAGAGGTTGCAGTGAGCCAAGATCACACCACAGCACTCCAGCCTGGGTGACAGAGCAAGACTCCATCTCAAAAAAAAAATTTTTTTTTTGAGGCCGGGCGCGGTGGCTCACGCCTGTAATCCCAGCACTTTGGGAGGCTGAGGCGGGTGGATCTCGAGGTCAGGAATAGAGACCATCCTGGCGAACACGGTGAAATCCCATCTCTACTAAAAATACAAAAAAAAATTAGCTGGGTGTGGTGGCAGGCGCCTGTAATCCCAGCTACTTGGGAGGCTGAGGCAGGAGAATGGCATGAACCCGGGAGACGGAGCTTGCAGTGAGCAGAGATAGTGCCACTGCTGTCCAGCCTGGGCGACAGAGCGAGACTCCATCTCAAAAAAAAAAATTTTTTTTTGAAACATGTTTTTTTGTAGGGTCTCGCTATGTTGCCCAGGCTGGTCTGAAACTCGTGGGCACAAGGGATCCTCCCACCTGGGCCTCCCAAAAGTCCTGGGATTACAGGCTTGAGCCACCATGCCCAGCCCCCTCAAAAAACACTTTTTTTTTTTTTTTTTTTTTTTTGAGACAGAGTCTAGTTCTGTTGCCCAGGCTGGAGTGCAATGGCAAGATCTCTACCTCCCGGGTTCTAGCAATTCTCCTGCCTCAGCCTCACGAGTAGCTGGGATTACAGGGCGTGTGCCACTACAGCCCAGCTAAATTTTTGTATTTTTTTGTTTTTGTTTTTGGTTTTTTTTTGAGACAGAGTCTCGCTCTATTGCCCAGGCTGGAGTGCAGTGGTGCGATCTTGGCTCACTGCAACCTCTGCCTCCGGGGTTAAAGCGATTCTCCTGCCTCAGCCTCTTGAGTAGCTGGGACTACAGGCATGTGCCACCACGCCCGGCTAATTTTTGTGTTTTTAGTAGTGACGGGGTTTCACCATGTTAGCCAGGACAGTCTTGATCTTCTAACCCCATGATCCGCCCGCCTCAGCCTCGCAAAGTGCTGGGATTACAGACGTGAGCCACTTCACCCGGCCTTAATTTTTTTGTATTTTTGGTAGAGAAGGTGTTTCACCACGTTGGCCAGGGTGGTCTCGAACTCCTGACCTCAAGTGACCCCCCCCCCCCGCCTTAGTTTCCCAAAGTTCTGGGATTCAAGCGAGAGTACTGTGCTCGGCCCTGGCTAATTTTTTTTTTTTTTTTTGAGACGGAGTCTTGCTGTCTGCCAGGGTGGAGTGCAGTGGCGCGATCTCGGCTCACTGCAAGCTCTGCTCCCCGGGTTCATGCCATTCTCCTGCCTCAGCCTCCTGAGTAGCTGGGACTACAGGCGCCCGCCACCACGCTCGGCTAATTTTTTTTTTTTTTTTTTTTTTGTATTTTTAGTAGAGACGGGGTTTCACCGTGTTAGCGAGGATGGTCTCGATCTCCCGACCTCGTGATCCGCCCGCCTCGGCCTCCCAAAGTGCTGGGATTACAGGCGTGAGCCACCACGCCTGGTTTTTTTTTTAAGACGGAATCTCGCTCTGTCGCCAGGCTGGAGTTCAGTGGCACGATCTCGGCTCACTGCAACCTCTGCCTCCGGGGTTAAAGCGATTCTCCTGCCTCAGCCTCCCGAATAGCTGGGACTACAGGCGCGCACCACCATGCCCAGCTAATTTTTGTATTTTTAGTAGAGACAGGGTTTCACCATATTGGCCAGGATGGTCTCGATCTCATGACCTCGACCTCGTGATCTGGCCGCCTCGGCCTTCCAAAGTCCTGGGATTACACGCATGAGCCACCGCGACCGGCCTTGGCTAATTTTTGAAAAATATTTTTTGTAGGGTCTCCCTATGTTGCCCAGGCTGGTCTGAAACTCTTGGGTGCAAGGGATCCTCCCACCTGGGCCTCCCACAAGTCCTGGGATTACAGGCCTAAGCCACCACCCCAGGCCCTCTCAAAAATCGCTTTTTGAATGAATAACTCGGGAGGTCACGACTGGAACCCTGGGCTTGTTCCACCTTGCAGAAACAGAAGCGGAGACAGGGAGTTCCTTTATAAAAACTTTATTGAGGGGATGGGTAGAAAATGGGGGTGACGCCCTTGGAGTTGAATACATAAATAAATGAATAAGTAAATAAATAAAGCAATAAATAAGCCCCCGTGTGAGTCTGGGGGGCGTCCCCCGGCCCGCGGGGAGAGGGGAGCGGGCTCACGCCGATGTCAGCTGTATGGCGAAGACCTCGCCCTCCGCCGGCGACTCGGCCGCGCCCCCCGCCGCCTCGGGTCCGCCCTCCGCGCCTGCCGCCCCGCCAGCGCCGCCGCCCGCTCCGTTCAGACACACGGCCTCGCCTGAGCTCTCGGCCTCCTGCACGTTGTACTCGCCCTTCTTGCAGGCGGTGGACTGCACGTAGAAGGCCAGGCCGGCCCCCGCGGCCAGCAGCGCCGCGCCCCCCGCCGCGCCGCCCACGGCGACCCATAGCCACGGACCTGCGGGGTGGAGACCCTCGCGGAGGGTGGCCAAGCTCCGGGGGGCTTCTCCCACCGCCCCCCGCACTCCCACAGGCACGAAGTCAGTCCTCATGCCCCGGGGAGCTCACTGTCTGGCCTTGGGAGAAGGGAGACAACCCATGCAATAAGGCCACTCCCAGTGCCAGGGCGACCCGAGTCCCGATTTATATCGCACTTCAGCCCATGGGGATATAAACCCGTGACCACACTTAGCCCCCTGGCGACAAGTCAACTCTCCCCATCCCCCAAAAAATGAGGACCGGCAGGACCAGGTCAGGTTCCCCCGACCCCAGAGAGAACCCAGCCCCAGGAGCTTCAGGAAGTGAGAGAAGGCGATCTTGACCCCTCTCTCCCTCCAACATCCAATGACTTTGGTCCCTCCCCAATCTTCCCCACAGTGGATTGTGAATTGGGTCAAGTTTCCACCACGCAGAATCCAGCCCAAGTTTTAAAGTCCTTTCCTGCAGCAGTGACAGCCCCGGAGGGTCCCTCCCCTTGAATTCAGTCCCCCTGCCACCTCCATCTCCCACCCCTCAAAGTGCGATCAACAGCCCCACCCGCTAAGGCACCTTTGACTTCTACTCTGTCCCACTTCCGTCTAGTCTACCGGGACCGAGAGGGAGGCAGGCGGGGCCGGCCGCCCCAAGACCCAGGTCACGCCCCCTCTCAGATACCTCGCCCCGCCTCTCCCCAGCTGCCACTTACCGGCCACGCGCACCGTGATGCGCCGCGCGTGGCGCCCGTGCGCGTTGGTGGCTGCGCACTCGTACTCGCCGCCGTGGCTTCCCATGGCGCCTGCCACGCTCAGTGTGCTGTTGTTGCTCGACAGGCCGATGTTGAGGGCCCCCGGGGGCGCGCGCCAGCTGATCTGGGCTGGAGGCCAGGCCTCCGCGCGGCAGGTCAACGTGAAGTTTCCTCCTGGGCGCACGCCTCCAGGGGGCGAGGCAGCAAGTTCGGCCACCACTGGCCGGTCTGAAGGGCACAGAAGGTGAAGTGGGGCTTAGCGCCGGCCCAGCCACTGATCAAATGCCCTGCTCCGGCCCACAACGATCGATGGGAGACCACCGCGCCTCTGATGGGCAGAAGAGGATCCTGCCTCCTATCAGAGCCTCCTTCCCCGACAATCAGGCTGCTGTTGCGGCTAAAATTCCTCGCCCTTCTTCACCGAATGGAAGGAGGTGAAGCCCAGGTCAGTGTTCTAATCCAGGATTTGAGGAGGGCCGTGCTCCTATTCCCTATAATTTTCTTTTTCTGTTTTTCTAAGAAAGAGTCTCACTCTGTTGCCCAGGCTGGAGTGCAGTGGCGGGATCTCGGCTCCCTGCAACCTCTGCCTCCCAGGCTCAAGCGATTCTCCTGCCTCAGCCTCCCAAGTAGCTGGGACCACAGGCGCCCACCACCACGACCGGCTAATTTTTGTAGAGACGGGTTTTCGCCATGTTGGCCGGGCTGGTCTCGAACTCCTGGCCTCAAGTGATTCATCCGCCTCAACCTTCCAAAGTGTTGGGATTACAGACCTGAGCCACTGCGCCTGGCTAGAATTTTCATTACCCCCTGGTTTAGGCTGGAATTCCCTGTCCCCGAGAATGGGATTGGGAGAGGTGCCCTTGAATGCTCCCACCGCTGCGAGTCATTCTTCCGAGGACCGTGTCCCCTCCATCCGGTGCTGCCCCCACTCACATTCCACGCCCACAGTGACGGTCCGGGAGTCCGTGCCATGCGCATTGGTGGCCACACAGTGGTAAGTGCCCGCGTCCTCTCGGGACACGCGCTGCTGCTCAGGCCATGGGATGCCTTCCCGAGAGCAGCGCACTCCTGGGGAAGGGCGACCCCGGGCGGCGCAGGCCAGCGCGGAAGCCTCAGCCCCTTCCAGCCACGTCTGGTGACTTGGGCAGGTAGATTCATCCATCTCCGGTGGCGCTGCAAAGCAGCCATGGGGGATGTCAGGGAGTGCCTGGACCGTGGGGCACCCCTGCTCCCTACCCGCCTGGGCCTCGCTCACACTCCGCGCTCACGACGACTGTTTTGGCCACGGAGCCGTGGCGGTTGGTGGCGTTGCAGACGTAGATACCGGGTGCCAGGACTCTAGGGATTCTGGGAGCTCTGGGACTAGGGTCTGGGGGTGCCAGCGGCAGCAGCACCCCCTCAGTGGCGCCCCCGGAGCCCACGCACTTCACGCTTGGCTGTGGCTTCCCATCGACCTCACAGGAAAACAGGCGCCCAGATCCTTCCACCCATGTCCAATTGCTGGGGCAGCTCGGCTCCTCAAACCTGGGGCCATCTGGGAAACAGGATTGCAGGGGCTCACACGGGGGCCAGGAAGTCCAGCCGGGGTTGTCCCACAGATCCTGCCTAACTCCGCGGTGCCCCTACTCACATTCCACCGTGACGGCCACATTTTTGGCCGCAGAGCCCCGAGGGTTGGTGGCTTCGCAGCGGTAAGTGCCCGCATGCTCCCGGGCCACACGCAACAGCCCCTCGATGACGGCCCCGAGTTCTCCAGAGCGCACGCAGATCACATCAGGCGGCGGTACCCCGTGCGCCACACAGCTCAGCGAGGCTTCTGTTCCCTCCAGCCAAGTAATGCGTTCTGGGCAGCCCACGCTGTCCAGCGCTGGTGCGTCTGGAGGAGGGAGTGTATTGTTGGCTTTGGGGTTTGGGGGCAAATCTGACGTCCCTAGACCCTCCTTGGCGCGGCAAGGCTTCCACGAAGTGTTGTCCCTGCATAACCCTTGGACGCCGATCCAAGGAGGTGTCACGCTAGTCGAGGCATGCACTCTGTCTGGGAGCTTCCTGAGCCACCAGTGGCGCCTTTTTCGTCTAAAAACTTAAACACTCTGGACTGCCCGCCTTTCCACGACTCCGCCCAAATACCACGCCCTAGGCTAGGGGCACGCCCACCCGGTCCCTTCCATCCTCCAAGATCTTTCTCCAACCCCACTAACCAGCCTCTTCCCTTTCCCAAAACCTCACCCAAAGGGACACCTCATACCCTACTCCTACTCTTCCCTGGAGGCTGGCCACCCTCCAGACCTTGAACCAGATAGAAATGCACCCTGCGCACCCCCACTCACACTCCACCGTTAGCGTTACGTCCTTGACCGCCTCGCCTTGATCATTGGCCGCCTTGCAGCGGTAAGTGCCTGAGAGCGCCCGAGTGACTGGACCCAGCAGGCCCAGAGCCAGCACGGCCCCGCCGTCGGAGCGCGCACAGTGCACTGAGGGTTCTGGGTTCCCGCGGGCCTCGCAGCGCAGCGTCTGCTCTGGGCCCTCGGGCCACGTCCAACTCCTGGGGCAGTCCGAATCGTCTAGCCGGGGAGCGTCTGCGGGCAGGGCGTGGGGTTACAGAGGCTTAGACGTAAGAAATGGCTCCGCCTCCACGACACGGTGAGGGAGCAGGCGGGTCCTTGGAAGTCACCAGAAGGTGGGGGGCGAGGGGTTATCACCAACTCACATAGGACACGAAGCTCTGCGCTCCTGTTCTTGATCAGGGTCTCCCCGTCCACATCGAGGGTGGCGTCGCAGAAGAAGCTGCGTCTGTCGTCGTTCTCGGTGGCATTTAGCTGAAGCTGGGCGGGCTGCCCCGGGACCGCGGCTGGAACTCCCTCCAGTGTGACCAGAGCTTGGGCCCCAGCTGCGCAGGTTACTGTCACCATCTGCCCCTCGGAGACGCTGGGTTCGCTCAGGGTCAGGAGTGGTGCCGGGAAGCCTGGGGGCGGAGCATTTGGTCGTAGTATACTGACCATACCCCTCCCTCCGGTCAAGGCCCGCCCCTTATCTGCCCGAATCCTCGGGGTGCTGAGAACGAACTAGGGTACGGCGCCCCGCCTCTCAGGCTGTACAGGCTCCTCCTCCCCAGCGATTACGTCTCCGCCCCCACCTGCCCCGCCCCTCGGGCCACGCCTGTTCCGGTACTGAGGTCCCGCCCACTCTTCGCCCCGCCTTCGCATTCCTCTGGTCCCACCTCGGAGCCGCGGAGACCCCGCCTCCTTCCTTACTGTAGATGGTCACGTTCTCCCGGGTCTCCCGGTTTTCGCCCCCCAGGGTGACGTTGCAGACCAGCTGCCTGGCACCCTCCTGCTCTGCGCTAGCTGTGGCTGTGGCAGTGGCCACGAATGCGTCCCCTTCGAGGGTGACATCAGGACTCAGATTCTGGTCCCCCAGTGCGAGGTAGACCCTGGCCTCTGAGGCTGGAAACAGTCCGTCCAGAGTGCAGCTCACGGGCCTTTCCGAGCCAACTTCCAAGAGCCGGGGAGCAGCGAGGCGCGGGGCATCCGGAGACAGGGCTAGGGGTCGAAGAACCAAGTTTGAACTAACTCCGAGCGCTCAATATGTCCTAAGCACTTGACATGCACTATCTTATCGTATTATCATCCTCAAGGCACGGAGGGGGAAACAGCTCAGCCGGCGAGGGTTGAAGTCGGGGTCAGCATTCAGATGTATCTACCTCTAAACCTCCTAAACACCGACCGACCCCACTGGGTCCCCATCTCCTCCCCACACCCACTCACAGAAGGTTCGGAGCTCTCTGGGGGCCGAGCTGTTTTCAAACAGTCCCAGTCCGTGCGGCCGCAGGTCCAGCTCGGCGCGACACGAGAAATTGGCTCCATGGTCCTCCCTCCGAGCCAGTACCGTGGCTGTGAGCACCGCGCCCCGCGCTCGGGGTGGTTCACCGGCGAAGCTGCGGCGGATCAGCTCCTGGGCGCCCCGCAGCAGGGTCAGCGTGAGGCTCGCACGGGGCCCGGCGCCGGGGACCCTACAGCTCAGGGTGAAGTTCTCGCCCACCGGCTGCCAGGGAGGCAGCGGCATCAGCTCTACGCGATCTGGTCGCTCTGCAAGGGGGAAGAGTCCGCAGCTCTTTGAACACCGGGACTTGGAACAGAAGGTGGGGCCTGAAGGGGAGGACCCTGGGACCCAGGGGGCGGGGCCTGGGAGGGAGGGAGAGTAGTGGAGTACGCGCGTGGCCACCCAGAACTCACGGAAAGTGCGAATGAGCCCACGCGCCTGTAGTGTGCGCCGCGCGCAGCGGAAGAAGCAGACGGGCTGAGTCTCCGGCTCGCGAATGTCCACCAGCTGCCGCGCCAACCAACGCAAACCCCTCTGGGTCCCGTTTCGGCGCAGCGAGGTCTCCAGGCCACCGCGCTCCGGCCGAGGGCAGTTGGTGCTGCAATTCAGCCACAGCGAGCCCCCGCGCTCCACGAACGCCACGCGAGGCTGCAGGTCCGCCCAGAAGGGCTCCTGCGAGACCGCTGCCCAGGGAAACGCGGGCTGAGCCTGGGGAGCCAACTCCCTGACATCTTAGCGCCCCTATGTCGAGTCAAGGGTTCTCAGAGGGCGGGGAGGAGGAGGAGAGGCTGCAGCCAGGGAAAGAACCCAGGCGTCCCGCGTCCTGCCCAGGCCTCCGGTTTAAAGGCGCACTCCCAGAGTCTAAACCTCGAGGGTGTCTCTGGGACGTGGTAGCAGAGAGCCATGGTCTCCAAAGCGCCGATGGAGCGGCGGGAAAGCATGGGGGGAGGGCGTAGAGGAGAGGAAAGGTGGGTTCTTGGATGAACACAGCAAGGCTGAGAGAAGGGGACCCGGGATGGGGGATGGGGGATGAACCAGTTCTCAGGGTCCTGGCAGAATGCCGGGATACGAGGAGAGTGCGTTTGCGGCAAGGGCAAAGGAGAGACGAGGCTGGGTCAAGGATCAGGAAGGACCCTACACCCGGTGAAGAACACGGAGCCGGGACGCAAGGCTGGGCTCATGGAAGGAACCGCGGGAACAGCTGAGGGACCCGGTTGCCAGGGCTCTGGGTGGAGCGGGAACAGCGCCTCTGAGTCAGGGTAGTTGGAGAGATGGAGTCTTCGCGGACCGCGAGTGGGGAAGATGCCAGTCCGTGGACCATGGTGCACAGCACAGCGTAAGGAGGTACCCGGGGAGCGGACAGGAGAGACACTGGGTCTCCAGGGCGAAGGGTTGGGTGCGGAAGAACACCTAGGATCTCGAAGCGGGTAGGGGCTATCGAGGAGTCAGGAAGCTGGGGCTCGGGTGTGTGTTGGGGAGGAGGGGGAAGGGGAGAAGACTCAGGCTCGAGGTGGGGGCAGAGGCGTGGGAGCGAGGCGAGGGCAGAGCTGGGAGGGACAGGAGGCCGTTTCTCAGGTCCAGGGACTCCGCCCCCGCCCTGTCCACCCCGAACCAGAGCGGGGCTCTTACCTGAGAGGCCGAAGAGCCCCAGGCCCAGAGCAGCCCAGAGGCCGAGTAGCGCCCGGCGCAGCCCTGGCGAAGGCCCTGGCATCGCCGCGGCGGGGAAAGCACAGGAGGCGAGGAGAGCGCGAGCCGAGGAGCTGGGCTAGAGGACGGCTCCGCGCGGCGCGGCGGGTGGGGTGTGGGGGAGGCAGAGTTGCGCTTGGGGATTGGTTTAACGTTGGTAACTTGGTTTCCAAGGAGGGGGCGGCGGCAGAGGCGGCGGGGGGGCGGGAGGCGAGCGTGCGCTAAGCTCCTGGCCTTGGTGAAGGCGAGCTGGCAGGAGTGAGCGACCCCTGGGGTCTACGTGGAGGCCGGCATGATGGCCCAGGGCCTTCTGGGGGCGACCACGCTCTCTCGCGTCATCCCCGGCCGCGACTCTGGGATCGGGGGATGCTGGGTTGCCCTTCCCAAACCCCTACCCCAGCCCTGGCTGAGATGCCATGATAATAAGCTGGACTCCGAGCCCCGCCCCCACATTTAGCTCCTCCCACCAGCGCCCCTTAGGGCGGGGATACATTTGGGGACTAAGAGAGATTTGGGAGGCACTGGATGGGGAAAGGACAGTTCTAGGGGAGGGTGTGGGGATGCCTCTCTCACTGATCCTTCTCCTTTTGACCCCGCGGAGCCATACCTCTAAGCACCCCTCCGGGTCAGCTCCCGCACGCGACGGAGGGGGCGGGACGAAAGTGCCAGCGAGCCGAGGACACGTGTGCGTGCGCGCAGCGTTCGCGGGCGTCTAAATTAGAATCCGCTCGGCTCCGGGTCTGTATTTACCCAGGGTGCAGCGGGCACGTGTCTACTCAGCGTGTGTGAGCTCGAGCCACCCTGGAGCGCCCCTGAGTCCGCCTTCTGCTCGGTGGGTGGGGGCCCTGACATCCACGCGAGAACAAGGGACCGAGGGTGATGCTTTTGACTCCGCTTCCGGGCCCCAAGCTTTGACACCCCCCACCCCCAACTCCATGCGCTCATCTGGCTGGGTGACTACCAGAACATCGTCAGAATTCGAGTTTGTGATATTCCCTGTGGACCATCTGATCACCCCTTCCCGGCTGCCACCACATGGATACCTCTTCTGCGTATCCACGTCCCTCAATATGTCCGTGGGACCCTCCCCTCCCCACCATTCGTGGTCTCACTCCAGCGTGGTAAGTTATTTTGGAGATGAGTTCTCGCTCCACAGTTGTTTGGCCTCCAGGAAAGCACAGGGTCTGAAGGTGGGGCTGGGATAGGAAACTTAACATCCAATCAGAGCTGCCGCGTGGTGGCGGCGGCGCCAATCAGGAAAGCCATACCATGAACCCCACCCCGCCCCTGCCCGTGGCTCTCCCCGGCCCGCGCTGATCCCACTCGATAAGGCCAGCAGAAGGAGAGGTTTCTGTGACACCCGCTGGGGATACACAGAGTCTGGGGCTTCGGGACCCCAGGTGGGCCCTGAGTGAGGAAACCTCAGGTGCCCTCAGGGAGACAAGGAACTTGGAGAAAGTGATCGCAAAAACAACAACAACAACAAAAACAAACCAGTTCCTCCGAAGAAGGGCAGTAATGCGGACCCTTAGGTCACAGGACAGAGGCTGGTTAAGGAAGCCTTTATTGATTCCAGAGGGTTCCCCCGCCAATATTTATTTTTATTTTTATTTTATTTTTGGAGACAGGGTCGTGCTCTGTCCCCCAGGCTGGAGTGCAGTGGCACGATCAAGGCTCACTGCAACCTCGACTTTCAGGGCTCAAAGGATCCTCCCAACTCAGCCTCCCGGGTAGCTGGGACCACAGGTGCGGGCCACCACACCAGGCTAATTTGTGTATTTTTTGCATAGACGGGGTCTCACTATGTTGTCCAGGCTGGTCTCGAACTCCTGGGCTCAAGCGATTCTCCTGCCTCGGCCTCCCAAAGTGCTGGGATTACAGGCGTCAGCCACCATGTATGGCCATTTCCCCAGATTGTTTCATATTCCTCTTTTTCTCGCTCAGCCGGCATAGAACATCCCCCTTTACGCCTGGGACTTCATAGCTAGGCACTTGCATAGGTACGCAGCGCCCACAGTGAGGAGGATCCCTACAAGGGCAGCGATGGAACCGGAGGCCAAAGCTGTGGGCGCGGGGCTCCAAGCTGGGAGCAGAAGGCGAGAATTAGGAACGGAACACAGGGAGGTCTGTCGACCCGCGTGGAGCTCACGCTTGGTCTGTGCGCCCTCTCGGGGTCATAACTCTCTCTGCCCCCTTCCTCCTAGTCCCCAGGGTTACAGGGGTGCCTCACCGAGCATCAGTGTAATGGGTGCCGAGCTGTTGCGGACCACCAGGCCGTCGAGATTGAGGCGCGCGTGGCAGATCACGGGCTGCCAGAAGTCGCGGGGTCCAGCAGCAAACTCGTAGGTCAAGGTCACGTTGGCCAGATCCAGGCCGGTGAAGCGCTCCAGGCTTTCGGAATAGATGACCCGGCTTCCATGCCTCAGGGTCACCACCAAGTAGCCCACCGGGAACACCTGCGTCACGTGGCAGCGCAAAGTGTATTTCCTGCCCTTTAAGACCGGAGGCTCCAAAATCACGCTGTGGGGCGGTTCTAAGGCAAGGGGGAGCCTCTGAGTGAGGTCCGCGGGCGCTCCCTATAGAGCGACTGTCAACTACCCTTCCCCCACCTCTTCCAGCCCCCTCCCCTCACCCCAGCCGGGACCGAGCCCCTGTCCCTCACTGTAGGCGGTGATCCTGGAGGTGGCCCAGCGTGTTTTTCCTGCGCAGGTCACGAGGCAGTGCGCGAGGGAGCTCCAGGCCCTCACGTCGAGCAGCTGGTAAGACACCCAACCCGGCCCTCTGAGCGTCTTGCCTTGCCGCAGCGGGGTGCGGAGGCTGGAATTCTGCGGCTGGGGACAGCTGTTGCTGCAATTGAGCTGCACTGACTTCCCCGGCTGCACAGCCACGAACTCCGGGCTCATGCGCACCCAGAAGGGCACTGAGGTCCCGGAGGGCGCGAGAGGGCTACCCTTGGGGCTTTGCGCCCGCTTAGTCCGGCGTCCCAGCGCGCTCCCAACTCCCGGGTAGGCGGCCGCCAAAAAAAACAGCAGCGACAGAGGGAACAGAGACCCCATGGCAAAAAGCCCGGACTAAGGGGCCCCGCGCCAGAGAGCCAGGGCCGGCTCTAGAGATAAGGAGGCCCGCAGCCCCGCCTCCTCGACTCCACCCTGGAGAGGAAGGGGAGGCCCCAACAGAGGGCCCGGGAGTACTGCAAAAAGGGATTCCGCTCCCCAGGTCAAGAATAAGATTCCAGGCCTCATTAGAAACCAAATGTTTTTTTCTGGAGAGGAGTCTTTAGTTTTCACTAGAGACCCAGAAGGTCATAGAAAGTCCGATTTGGACCAGAACCTCAGGGTATGGCCATCAACCCACAATGTTTTCTTGGGGGAGGAAGTGGGAGGATCAGGCTGTGGCTGCTTAGAAAGGACTCCAGCTGGATGTGACACCTCCCCTCAACTCACACAAGGCTGAGGCAGTTGAGAAAGCTTTATTAACTAACACAAAGGAAGTCTGGGCAATGTTGCGAGACCCCGTCTCTGGAAAAAAAAAAAAAATCAAATTTGCCAGGTGTGGTGTTGTGAGCCTATGGTCCCAGCTACTCAGGAGGCTGAGGTGGGAGGATCACTTGAGCCCAAAAGGTCAAGACTGCAGTGAACCATGATTGCACCACTGCACTCCAGCCTGGGTGACAGAGCGAGAGCTTGTCTACACATACACACACACACACACGCGGATGAGGCTTCCAAAGCTGGGAGGGAGTCCTCCAATACCTTGGCCCCCTTCCCCACTGCTTGCAGGACCCTGATCACTGCAGGAAACTGGAGCTGCATAGTGCAAGCTCCCAGTGAAATGCAAACAGGACAAGAGGACAAGGCATAGCTTGGGCATATTCCCTGGGCACTCATGTCCAGACATGACCGCTGAGTGTCATTGTGAACACTGGCAGAAATGTATGTGGGTGGGGAGGTGGCTAACAAAGGTGTCAGTTTTGGGGGGAAGGGAGGAATAAGGCCTCACTGGGTAATCTCTGAACCTGTAACCATTACCAGTCCATATAGTGCTTTTGTGCCGATAGAAAAATCACTCCTTCTGGGGAAAGGCAGGTTGGCCAATGAGAAGTCCCAGCCCCATTTGATCTTTTTGCCAGGCACTCTCCTGCAGTGTACAACCTGTACAACTGTACCTGGTGACCTTGAATGTGATTAGGACTGGGAGCTCCGTGAGGCCAGAGACCTATGTTCATTTAGCCTACATAAAAGACACTCAATAAATAGCTGGTAAAATAACAAATGAATAAATACATATCATCAAGGGTTGGGGTCAGTAGACAGCAGTGCCCAAGCTGGCATCCGTCAGGAAGTGTGGGCCTTTGTGTTTTGATGCTACACATGTCTATGGAGGGCCACTTCTTCTGTAAGTCTGTGGGGCCTCAGCATACCCAATAGGCAGCAAGTTTCAGTATTTCCCAGTTGTATGTCCTCATGGTGGGGCTATGTCTCCCCCACCACTTCCCCTCTCATCAGGCTAGACTTTAACATCCATCAATCATGTCTTGAGTCTTGCTCCTTCCTCTTGGCTTAGTCATGTGACTACAGATCAGATGCGTGGCCTAGTGTTTTAGGTGTGCAGGTACCATGGCCCCAAATGCTGTTGTATCTGACTGAGGACAATGCCCTGTCCTCCGGCGTCCCAGGGCCGGTAGGTGTAGCTGCATGGCATATGTCTTCCACTCTGTTCAGTGTGGCACCACTGCCACCAATATGGGAAGGCCGAGGAAGAGGCCCTGTCCCGGGATAGGTTCAGGGAGGCGTGGCTTGTGTGTTCGGTTTCATGGGGGTCCCTTTTTGGGCCTGTTGTAGTCTGTATTTCTTGATCTTCCGCTGGCGGTTATAGAGGTACGTGCTGAGGCCTGCAGTGCCCATTATGACTGCGGCTGCTACCACAGTGATGATGACAATCTCATACCGGGGGGCTGTGGGGAGGATACAACAGGCGGTGAGGATTGCATTAGGTCCATGGCCCCTGCCCCCACCCAGCTCTGCCCGCCGGCTCACTCACAGAGCACATTCACGGTCACCTTGCGGGTGACCTCCCCTTGAGTGCTCCTGGCCCGACAGAGGTAGGTGCCCTCAAGATCTCGAGTGACAGTCACTGATTCCCCGATGGGCAGTGGGAAAGTGCCATCCTTTAGACACTTGAGCTCGGGCAATGGGTTCCCCCAAGCCTGGCACATTGGAGTCTGCTGGGAATTTTCTGGCCACGTCCAGTTTCCCGGACAATCCCTCTCGTCCAGTCGGGGGCCATCTGGAAAAACACGATGAGATGACATGGAGGTGGGTGGGGGCAGGACTTGGAGGCAAGACCTTATGGGACCTTCAGGGAGATTGGGCCTTGGGGGATAGGGGCCATTGACCAGCAGCCCCACTCACACAGGACACGAAGCTCCCGGGTCTGGTTCTTGTGTATAAGCTGGCCGGCCACCTCCAGGGTTGCAGAGCAGGAGAAGCTGCGCCCGTTGTCCTCTGGGGTGGCCTTCAGCAGGAGCTGGGCCCTCGGGCCCAGTGGCTGGGCTGGAACCCCATTCAGCGTCACCTTGGCTCTAGGGTGGGCCTCACACTTCACTGTCACCTCGGTCCCTTCTGAGACCTCTGGCTTCGTCAGAATCACGTTGGGCGCCGGAAAGCCTGGAATAGGCACACAGTGAGCCCCGCCCCGGGTTCAGGTCACACCCCCAAGAAGCCCCACTCCGCCCCTGCCCCTTCTTACTGTAGATGGTCACTGTCTGCAGTGTCTCCTGGCTCTGGTTCCCCAGTATTACTGCACACGTCAGCCGCTGGGTGCCCTCGTCCTCTGCGGTCACACTGACTGAGGCCTTGGCCGAGAAGGAGTCGTTGCCATAGGTGACTGTGGGGTTCAACCTCTGGTCCCCCAGTGCCAGGTGGACCTGGGCCTCCGAGACTGGGAACAGCCCGTCCAGGGAACAGACCACGGTCCCCTGCGTGTCCACCTCTAGGACCCGGGGGCTGACAAGTTGTGGGGGAGTCGCTGGCAGGACTAGGGAGAGAAGAAAGGTGTGAGCAGACAGGGATGGACGTCCCGAAGCCCTTCTCTGGGGCATTTCATTCCCCCTCCTGCGAGATCCTCTTCCAGGGCCACTCAGCAGCCTAGGTCACATACGCCTAGAACACATGCACCCCTTAGCCGGGGCCACACCCATCTCAAAAGATCCTGTGGCCACAGGCACCGCATTGCAGGATACCCCACCCCCACCTTCTCCCTGCTGGCTTCTTCAATCCTCACCAAAGGTCTGGAGCTGGTAGGGGGCCGAGGTGTTCTCAAACAGCTCCAGCCCTTGGGGCCGCAGGTCCAGTTCAGTGCGGCACGAGAAATTGGCTCCATGGTGATCTCTCCTCACCAGCACCGTGGTCGTGACCTCAGCGGGCTCCCCCACAGCTGGCTCCCGTTTCAGCTCCTTCTCCCCACGGAGCAGCACCACGGTGAGGTTGGCCCGGGGTGCCCCACCCTCCACCTGGCAGCGTAGGGTAAGGTTCTTGCCCACTGGCTGCCAAGAGGGGAGGGGTGCCAGTTCCACCCGTTCTGGAGTCCCTGCAGGAAAACAGAGGTGGGGGTGTCTGGTGAAGTGGACCTTGCTGCCTGCCTAACAGACGAACTGCACCTGCCTGGGAGCCCTACCTCTTCAGTATCTCCCCCAAACACGCCCAGACACCTAAGCAGATAGGAATGTCAAGATCTTCAGTGAAAACTGGTAAGAGGGCCCCGAGTGTTTGTGAAGGGGATCAAAATATTCCTTATTCATGACAGCAGCATCTTAGAGTGAAAAGTGGAAAAGAACTTCAAAGTCTATTGCTAGGTGTCTGGTCAAATAAATTCAGCAGCCCAGTGCACTAGACTGGGCAAACAGTGGCTCGATCTTGGCTCACTGCAACCTCTGCCTCTGGGATTCAGGGGATTCTCCTGCCTCAGCCTCCTGAGTAGCTTAGATTACAGGCACACACCACCACACCAGGTTAATTTTTGTATTTTTATTTTTAATTAATTAATTAATTAAGTTTTTAGACTGAGTCTCCTTCTGTCGCCCAGGCTGGAGGGTGATGGCATGATCTTGGCTCACTGCAACCTCTGCCTCCTGGGTTCAAGCAATTCTCCTGCCTCAACCTCCTGAGTAGCTGGGATTACAGGCACGTGTCACCACACCCAGCTAATTTTTGTATTTTTAGTAGAAACGGGGTTTCAGCATGTTGCCCAGGCTGGTCTCGAATTCCTGACCTCAAGTGATCTGCCCACCCCGGCCTCCCAAAGTGCTGGGATTACAGGTGAAAGTAAATGAGCCTGGCCTAGACATTCTTTAAAAAACAAAACAAAACAAAAAAAAAAACCTGTTGGCCAGGTGTGATGGCTCAGGCTGTAATCCTAGCACTTTGTGAGGCCAAGGCAAGAGGGTCACTTGAGGCCAGGAGTTCAAGACAAGCCTGGGCAACATAGGGAGACCCCCATCTCTAAGAAAAATTAAAAAAAGGTTGGCAGGGCGCGGTGGCTCACGCCTTTAATCCCAGCACTTTGGGAGGCCAAGGAGGGTGGATCCACGAAGTCAGGAGTTCGAGATAAGCCTGACCAACAGAGTGAAACCCCGTCTCTATTAAAAATACAAAAATTAGTCTGGCATGGTGGTGCACGCCTGTAGTCTCAGCTACTCGGGAGGCTGAGGCAGGAGAATCTCTTGAACCTGGGAGGTGGAGGTTGCAGTGAGCTGAGATCGTGCCACTGCACTCCAGCCTAGGTGACAGAGCGAGACTCCATCTCAAAATAAATGAATGAATGAATGAATGAATGGTTAACTGGGTGTGGTGGTGCACACCTGTAGTCCCTGCTACTTGGGAGGCTGAGGCAGGAGGATCACTTGAGCCCAGGAGTTTAAGGCTATAGTGAACTGTGATCATGCCACTGTACTTTAGCCTGGGAAAGAAAGACCCTGTTTCTATTAAAAAAAAAAAAAAGTCAGTAATGACAGAGTCTAATAACAAAAAGGCTGCGTGTGGTGGCTCACGCCTGTAATCCCAACACTTTGGGGGGCCGAGGCAGGCGGATCACCTGAGGTCAGGAGTTCAAGACCAGCCTGGCCAATATAGTGAAACCCCGTCTCTACCTAAAAATACAAAAATTAGCCAGGCGTGGTGTTGTGTGCCTGTAGTCCCAGCTACTTGAGAGGCTGAGGTTTACTTGTGAGGAAAGGATTACTTCAGCCCAGGAGGCAGAGATTGCAGTGAACTGAGATCGCGCCACTGTACTCTAGACTGAGTGACAGAGTGAGAGTCTCTCTCAGAGGAAAAAAAAAAAAAAAAAAAAAGCATCAGGACCGGGGGGGTCCTGCATTTGATACCCAGCCTTGCTTCTTTGCTGTGGGTAAGTGACTTTGTCTCTCTGAACCTCAGTTTCCTGAACTGTAAAATAGGGCTATTAAAGGTAGGAGAATTCACTTAAGAGGTAGACAGAGTCGCTGTACATAAGCAGGAGGTTTCTTTTTTAGAGTGATTGAAATATTTTAAAATTAGATTGTAGTCATGGTTGTTTGTACAGAAGTCATTGAATTATGTGCTTAAAAGGGATGAATCTTATGGTATTCTAAATCGTATCTCAAGAAAGCAAGGCTGGGGCATGGTGGCTCACATCTGTAATCCCAGTACTTTGGGATGCCAAGGCGGGGTCATTTGAGGCCAGGAGTTCAAGGCTAGCTTGGGCAACATTGCAAGACCTCATTTCTCCAAAAAAAAAAAAAAAAATTAAAAACAAGCTGGGCTTCGGCATGGCGTGGTGGCTTATGCCTGTAATCCCAGCACTTTGGGAGGCCAGAACAGATGGATCACCGGAAGTCAGGAGTTCAAGACCAGCCTGGCCAGGCCAGACATGGTGGCTCACGCCTGTAATCCCAGCACTTTGGGAGGCCAAGGCGGGCGGATCACGAGGTCAGGAGATCAAGACCATCCTGGCTAACACGGTGAAACCCCGTCTCTACTAAAAATACAAAAAATTAGCCAGGCGTGGTGGTGGGCGCCTGTAGTCCCAGCTACTCAGGAGGCTAAGGCAGGAGGATGGAGTGAACCCGGGAGGCGGAGCTTGCAGTGAGCCCAGATCGAACCACTGCACTCCTGCCTGGGCGACAGAGTGAGACTCTGTCTCAAAAAAAAAAAAAAAAAAAAAAAGGCCGGGCACGGTGGCTCATGCCTGTAATCTCAGCACTTTGGGAGGCCGAGGCAGGTGGATCATCTGAGGTTGGGAGTTCGAGACCAGCCTGACCAACATGGAGAAACCCTGTCTTTACTAAAAATACAAAATTAGCCTTGTGTGGTGTCGCATGCCTGTAATCCCAGCTACTCAGGTGGCTGAGGCAAGAGAATAGCTTGATCCTGGGGGTCGGAGGTTGTGGTGAGCTAAGATCCTGCCATTGCACTTCAGCCTGGGCAATAAGAGCGAAACTCCGGTCTCAAACAAACAAACAAAAAACACCAAAGAAAAAAAAAAAACCAGCTGGGCTTCCTGCTGGCTCACACCTGTAGTCCCTGCTACTCAGGAGGCTAAGGGTGGGAGGAGGATTTCTTGAGCCTGGGAGTTTGAGGCTGCAGTCAGCTACGATTGTACCACTGCACTCCAGCCTGGGTGACAAAGTGAGACCCTGAGACCCTGTCTCTAAAAATAAAACAGAAAGCTGTTAAGCTGTTAAAAACAAAAACAAAAAAATATATATATATATAGTCAAGAAAACTCTGACCTCCAGCTCTTCTCTCTTACCACCTCCTATAGACTCTTGCAGAACTTGAGGTACCCTCAAACCTCAGCCCCTAGAGGAAACCCAGCTCAGCTGCCTGGTGCAGCGGGGAGGAAGTCTGTCCTGCTCTCACCTCTTCTTGACCCTGACCTGCAGTCCTTTACCAAATCCTGGTCACTGAAGTATTCAAATACTTGTCTGTCCTTCCCTTCTTGAATACGGTCACTGCCCACAACATGGGCCGCGTGGACAAGGACCATAGCCAACTGCTCATTGGCTTCCAGTAAATCCAGCCTTCAGCTATCTAATCCCTGGCCTGCTCAGAAACCCTCCATGACTCCCTATCACCCCAAGAAGGAAAGTCCCAGCTCCTCCACCTGGCATTCAAGGCTCTGCCAACCTCACCCTTCCTCCCATCAATCAATTTTTTTTTTTTTTTTAGGGGCAGTGTCTCTCTCTGTCACCTGGGCTGGAATGCAGTGGTGCAATCATAGCTGACTGTAACCTCAAATTCCTGGGCTTGACCAGGCTCAGTGGCTCACACCTATAATCCCAGCACTTTGGGAAACTGAGGCAGGAGGATCTCTTGCGGTCAGGCGTTCAAGACCAGCCTGGCTAACATGGTAAACCCTATCTCTACTAAAAATACAAAAAAATTAGCTGGGCATGATGGTGGGCACCTTAATCCCAGCAACTCGGGAGGCTCAGGCAGCAGAATCGGTTGAACCCAGGAGGTGGAGGAGGCTGCAGTGAGCCAAGATGGCACCACTGCACTCCAGCCTGGGCCACAGAGTGAGACTCCATCTCAAAAAAACAAAAACAAAAACAAAAAAATTCCTGGGTTCAAGTGATCCTCCCACTTGAGCCTCCAGAGTAGTTGAGAATACAAGCATATGCCACTGTACCCTAATTTTTTTATTTTTTCTTAGAGACAGGGTCTCGCTATGTTGCCCAGGCTGGTCTCGAACTCCTGGGCTCAAACAATCCTCTTGCTTTGGCCTCCCAAAGCACTGGGATTACAGGTGTGAGCCACTGCACCTGGCCTACACCAACCTACCTCCTCCTCCTCCTGCCTCCATCAAGATTTCTCCCTGCTCCCAACTTTTGCCCAGGCTGTTCCTCCTGCCCAGAATGCCTGTCCTTATGAACTCCTACACATCCTTCAAAGCCCAGCTAGTGGTCGCCTCCTCTAGGAATTACACCTCTAACCTTTTTGGAGAAGATTGAGCCATCCAGGGAGGCTTCTTTATGTTTACACCAGGGGTGGGGCAAGACCAAGCTAGAGTCTCTCTCAGGTACCACCCTCCCACATAACTTTTACTCCTTTGCTACCTGTGCCAGCCATCTGCTCCATTTCACAGAGGTAAAAACTAAGGCAAAGTGGGGCACCCACAGTCATAGAGGGAGAAATGTGGCAGAGCCAGGTCTCAAACCTGGAGTTCTATGCTCTCAGCTATCAGGCAGAGCCGCGCGTGGTGGCTCAAGCCTGTAATCCCAGCACTTCGGGAGGCTGAGGCGGGTGGATCACCAGAGGTCTAGAGTTCGAGACCAGCCTGGCCAACTTGGCGAAACCCTGTCTCTACTAAAAATACAAAAATTAGCCAGGCGTGGTGCCAGGTGCCTGTAATCCCAGCTACTGGAGAGGATGAGGCAGGAGAACTGCTTGAACCCGGGAGATGGAGGTTGCAGTGATCCAGCCTGGGCGACAGAGCAAGACTGTGTGTCAAAAAAAAGAAAAAAAAAAAAAAAAAAAAAAAGACCTATCAGGCAGAGATGCAGAAAAGACCTTCAAAGAGGTTTCCCTGGGGTTTCCAGAAGCTGCTGGGAATGTTCGGGGACTTCCCTCACCTGGGAAGGTCAGCATCTGCTCACCCACCCTCCAAATCAGAAGCAAAGCTGATCATTTGATCATTTACCCAGAGGCTTCCTTGCCCTGACACAATGATAGGAGAACATCCTTTGTCACTCACCGTGTCATTTTCCCCATCAGAGGAGGTCTCACCTGATTGCAAAGTAAATGCAGAAGTCATGTCCCAAGCTATTAAAGGCCTTGCTGGGACTGGAACCCAAGGCTAATCCCAAAGCTACTTGGCCAGTTTTTATTTTTTAGAGACAGGGTCTTTCTCTGTCACCCAGGCTGGAGTGCAGTGGTGTCATCACGGCTCACTACAGCCTGGACCTCCCAGGCTCAGGTGATCCTCCCACCTCAGCCTCCTGAGTAGCTGGGACTACTAGTATGCCAGCACGCTTGGTTAGGTTTTTTATTTTTTGTAGATATGGGGTCTTGCTATGTTGCCCAGGCTGGTGTCCAACTCCTGGCCTCCAAGCGATCCTTCTACTTCGGCCTTCTAAATCACTGGGATTATAGGCATGAGCCACGTGCCTAGCCTGCCCAGTGCTCTTCTGTTTTTTCTTCTTTGATTTTGTTTTGTTTTCATTTGAATTCCTTATTTTGGCCTTGATAACTCTTTCCCACCATTCGAAGTCCCCAAAGTAGGAAGGACGCAAAGAGAAATTCTCGGCTGGGGGCAGTGGCTCACGCCTGTAATCCCAGCACTTTGGGAGGCCGAGGCGGGCAGATCACAAGGTCAGGAGATCAAGACCAGCCTGGCCAACATGATGAAATCCCGTCTCTACTAAAAATACAAAAATTAGCCGGGCGTGGTGCTGGGCGCCTGTAATTCCAGCTACTTGGGAGGCTGAGGCAGGAGAATTGCTTGAACCCGGGAGGGAGAGGTTGCAGTGAGCTGAGATTACACCATTGCACTCCAGGCTGGGGACACAGCAAAACTCCATCTCAAAAAGACAACAACAAAAAAAGAATTCTCAGCCAGGCAAAGTGGCTCACGTTGTAATCCCAGCACTTTGGGAGGCCGAGGCGGGCGGATCACCTGAGGTCAGAGTTCAAGACCAGCCTGACCAACATGGAGAAACCCTGTCTCTACTAAAAATACAAAATTTGCCAGGCGTAGTGGCCCATGCCTGTAATCCCAGCTAGTCGGGAGGCTGAGGCCGGAGAATCACTTAAACTCAGGAGGTGAAGGTTGCGGTGAGCTGAGATCGTGCCATTGCACTCCAGCCTGGGCAACAAGAGTGAAACTCTGTCTCAAAAAAAGGAAAAAACAAAAAGAATTCTCCACACCCAAGCCCTCTCCCACAGCCTCCCAGCCTCTCTTCTCATAGCCAGCTAATATTGTCATTTCTCCCACTTCCTTTTAGGGCTATTTTATACATAAATACAGCCTCCCCGAAACTGCCCTTCCCTAATGTGAGGGTGGCATACCACTCATATTCAACATACCTTCTTTTATTTCTTTTTTTTTTTTTTTTGAGATGGAGTTTTGCTCTTGTTGCCCAAGCTGGAGTGCAGTGGCGCAATCTCAGCTCACCGCAACCTCTGCCTCCCAGTTTCAAGAGATTCTCCTGCCTCAGCCTCCCGAGTAGCTGGGATTACAGGTATGTGCCACTATGCCTGGCTAGTTTTTTTTGTATTTTTAATAGAGACGGGGTTTCTCCATGGTGGTCAGGCTGGTCTCGAACTCCTGACCTCAAGTGATCCGCCTCCCTCAGCCTCCCAAAGTGCTGGGATTACAGGCGTGAGCCACCGTGCCCAGCCCATGACATTTTGAGAACTGATGCCCAATTTCCCGCCACAGGGTTGGGCTTATTTATGCTCCCAACAGCACTGTCCTAGGACCTCCTACGTTCCAATAGCCTTGGCAGCACAGCTGTTATCAATTCTTTTTTTTTTTTTTTTTTTTGAGATGGAGTCTTGCTCTGTCGCCCAGGCTGGAGTGCAGTGGCACGATCTTGGCTCACTGCAAGCTCTGCCTCCCGGGTTCATGCCATTCTCCTGCCTCAGCCTCCTGAGTAGCTGGGACCACAGGCGCCTGCCACCATGCCCGGCTAATTTTTTGTAGTTTTAGTAGAGACGGGGTTTCACCATGTTAGCCAGGATGGTCTCGATCTCCTGACCTTGTGATCCGCCCGCCTCGGCCTCCCAAAGTGCTGGGATTACAGGCGTGAGCCACTGCGCCCGGCCATCAATTCTTTTGTTTGTTACCAATATGTGAAAAATGCCATCCCAGGGCTAGTTTTAACTCATATCTTTTTTTTTTTTTTTAAATAAAAATGGGGTTTTGCTATGTTGCCTAGGATGGATTCGAACTCCTAGGATTCGAACCCCTGGGTTAAAGCAATCCTCCCATCACAGCCTCAGGAGCAGCTGGGATTACAGGTGCACACCACGATGCCCAGCTAAATTATTTACTTTTTTTTTCCGGTAGAAACAGGGTCTTGGATGGGCACAGTGGCTTACACCTGTAATCCCAGCACTTTGGGAGGCCGAGGCGGGCGGACCACTAGGTCAGGAGATTGAGACCATCCTGGCTAACACAGTGAAACCCCGTCTCTACTAAAAATACAAAAAAATGAGCCGGGCATGGTGGCAGGCGCCTGTAGTCCCAGCTACTCGGGAGGCTGAGGCAGGAGAATGGCGTGAACCCGGGAGGCGGAGCTTGCAGTGAGCCGAGATCACACCACTGCACTCCAGCCTGGGCGACAGAGTGAGACTCCGTCTCAAAAAAAAAAAAAAAAAAAAGAAAGAAACAGGGTCTCACTCTGTTGCCCAGGCTGGTCTCAAACTCCTGGGCTCAAACCATCCTTCTGCCTCAGCCTCTGGAGTAGTTGGGATTATAGGTACAAGCCACCACACTTGGCTTAATTTGCATCTTTTATTAAAGTGTCTGAAGCAGGACCGTGTCATATGTTCAAAGAGTGAGGCATAGAGAGATGGCATTTTTTTTTTCTTGAGATGGAATCTTGCTCTGTTATCCAGACTGGAGTGCACTGGCACGATCGCGGCTCACTGCAATCTCTGCCTCTCAGGTTCAAGCGTTCTCCTGCCTCAGCCTTCCAAGTAGCTGGGATTACAGGCGCTTGACACCATGCCCGGCTGATTTTTGTATTTTCAGCAGAGACAGGGTTTCGCCATGTTGGCGAAACTTAAACTCCTGATCTCAGGTGATCCGCCAGCCTCAGCCTCTCAAAGTGCTGGGATTACAGGCATGAGCCACCGCACCCAGCCTGTAAATACTTTAATTGTACCCAAAGAAATTCACAAAGGGACTTTCCAAGGATGTCCCCACCTGCCCTGCAAGGAGCCCCTCCTTGACCCTACGAGCAAGTGGCAAAGATTCCCCCAGGCCTCTGCAGGTGCCCCTGCACGTCTCTCCCACCGGGTCTGCCTAGTCCAGCCCTCCGGGCTCAGTTACTCACAGTACACGGTGAGGAAGGTTTTAGCTGTTGACTGCCCATCAGGGCAGTTTGAATAGCACATTGGTTGGCTATCTTCTTGCACATTGCTCAGTTCATACACCTTCCGGTTGTTCCCAGGCAGGAGCAACTCCTTTTTAGGCAACGGGGTCTCTATGCCCAACAACTTGGGCTGGTCACAGGAGGTGCTGCATGTCACCAGCACGGAGCCTCCCCGGGGCAGGATGACTTTTGAGGGGGACACAGATGTCTGGGCATTGCCAGGTCCTAGAAGAAACGAGGGAAGAGGCGACAGGCATTACAAATCAGGTTCATCAAGGGAATGTGCGCCCAGCCTGTGCTGGGTGCTGGAGGCACAGCCTTAACAAGACAATACTTTGCCTTCGATGTGGAAGTTAAAGAGAAAATTCATGAGCAGGCCGGGTGTGGTGGCTCACGCCTGTAATCCCAGCACTTTGGGAGGCCAAGGCGGGCAGATCACTTGAGGTCAGGAATTTGAGATCAGCCTGGCCAACATGACAAAGCCCCGTCTCCACTAAAAATACAAAAATTAGCTGGGCATGGTGGGACGTGCCTGTAGTCCTAGCTATTTGGGAGGCTGAGGCACAAGAATCACTTGAACCTGGGAGGTGGAGGTTACAGTGAGCCAAGATTGTGCCACTGCACTCCAGCCTGAGCAACAGAACGAGACTCTGTCTCCAAAAAAAAAAAAAAAAAAATTATGAGCAAACAAGATAATTAATAACTGATGTTAATATGAGCTTTGACAAAAACAAAACAGGGTGATAGAATAGACAGTGCTTTGGTGACAGGGTAATGTTTCAGCAGAGATCTAAATGACGAGAAAGGGCTGGCTGTCCGGAGAAAAGGGAAATAAGTTCCAGGCAAGTACAGATGTCCCGGGGCAGGGTGGCTGGAGCTGAGTGAGCAAGGATGAAGAGGGGGAGATTAATTCAGGAAGATCCCGTGAGCACTGAAGGCCATGCTAAAGATGTGTTCTTTTATTTTTTTTTTTTTTGAGATGGAGTCTCGCTTTGTCACTCAGACTGGAGTGCAGTGGCGCAATCTCAGCTCACTGCAACCTTTGCCTCCCGGGTTCAAGTGATTCTCCTGCCTCAGCCTCCAGAGTATCTGGGATTACAGGCAAGCACCACCACGCCCAGCTAATTTTTGTATTTTTAATAGAGACGGGGTTTCGCCACGTCGGCCAGCCTGCTCTCAAACTCCTGGCCTCAAGTGATCCGCCCGCCTCAGCCTCCCAAAGTGCTGGGATTACAGGCGTGAACCACCACGCCCAGCCACATGTGTTCTTTATACTGAGGGCAATAGGGAGCCATGGAAGGACTTTAGCCATCACTTTTTTTTTTTTAAACGGGTCTCCCTCTGTTACCCAGGCTGGAATACAGTGGCACAATCATAGCTCACTGTAACCTTGAACTCCTGGGCTCAAGTGATCCTCCCATCTCAGCCTCCCAAGTAGCTGGGACTACAGGACACCACCATACCCGGCTAATATTTGAAAAACATTTTTTTTTTTTTGAGACGGAGTTTAGCTCTTGTTGCCCAGGCTGGAGTGCAATGGCACGATCTCAGTTCACCGCAACCTCCGCCTCCCAGGTTCAAGCGATTCTCCTGCCTCAGCCTCCCGAGTAGCTGGGATTACAGGCATGCGCCACCACGCCCGGGTAATTTTGTACTTTTAGTAGAGACGGGGTTTCTCCATGTTGGTCAGGCTGGTCTCAAACTCCTGACCTCAGGTAATCCGCCCGCCTCAGCCTCCCAAAGTGCTGGGATTATAGGTGTGAGCCACCGCGCCTGGCCCTGAAAAACATTTTTGTAGAGATGGGGTCTCACTATGTTGCTAAGGCTGGTCTCAAACTCCTGGCCTCAAGTGATCCTCCCGCCTAAGCCTCCCAAAATGCCAGGATTACAGGTGTGAGCCACTGTGTCCAACCAGATTTTAATGTGAAGTTGGTGCCCTCCTCCCTCCTAAGAAGTCAGGTGGAGACAGTCAGCCCTCCAGGAATCAGACTGGCTCCTCACTCCCTGAGACACGTAGTTTCCCCCTCTTTGGGCCTCAATTTCCCCATCTGTAAGGTGGGTGAGTATAGCCACCCCATCCCTTGCTAATACAAGTAACTCAGCACAGGATGGGTAGCAACTGGCTACCTTGCAGGTAAGAAAGAAGGGGCTTACGGGGTGGGCACTGTGGCTCACGCATGTAATCCCAGCACTTTGGGAGGCAGGGTGGGCAGATCATGAGGTCAGGAAATCGAGACCATCCTGGCTAACACAGTGATTAGCCGGGTGTGATGGCACATGCCTGTAGTCCCAGCTACTCAGGGAGGCTGAGGCAGGAGAATCGTTTGAACCTGGGAGGCAGAGGTTGCAGTGAGCCGAGATCACGCCACTGCACTCCAGCCTGGGCGACAGAGTGAGACTCCGTCTCAAAAAAAAAAAAAAAAAAAAAAGAAAAGAAAAGAAAGAAAGAAGGGGCTTATTTGGATCAGGTCCCTCAGATTCTGCTGCCTCCGAAGGTGGGAAAAAATGTCTGAGCCCAGCACTGCCTCACTCAAAGATTCCTGTCTCAGATTTGTTCTATCTTGGATGGGGGTGTGAGGACACTGGCTCCATACATTCTCCAAGGGAGATTCTGGGACCATTCCCATTTCATAGAGAGAAATGGTTACTCAGCTAGAAAGCAGTGCGATCTGGGTCTGAGTCCGGATCAGAACGCTTTGTTTTTTGAGACAGAATCTCGCTATGTCTCCCAGGCTGGAGTGCAGTGGCACAATCTTGGTTCACTGCAACCTCAGCCTCGTGGGCTTAAGGGATTTTCCTCCCTCAGCCTCCCGAGCAGCTGGGATCACAGGCGCCCACCACCATGCCAGCTAATTTTTGTATTTTTAGTAGAGACGGGATGTTGCCATGTTGGCCAGGCTGGTCTCAAACTCCTGACCTTAAGTGATTCGCCCGCCTGGGGCTCCTAAAGTGTTGGGATTACTGGCATGAACTACCGTGCTGGCCTGGATCTCAGGCTTTGTTGAGCTGTTAACCAAGCTGTCAATCTCCCACCCTCCTGGTTCCCCAAACTTACACCACCATGAAAGACCCTCTGACCCCTTCCCTCTTCCCTAGCTGGGCTGGAGCTGGGGGAGGGTGTGCTGGGGCGTCCCACTTCTCAGCTTTGGGCCACGGATAAGTCAGCTCTGGAATTCCCCCAAGTAGAAGCAGCCCTGGACTTCCCCAGGGGCAGAGAGGATGAGGAACAGAATATACATCTTGAGGGGGGTGGGGGTCCCTTAAGCCTTGTTGGGTTGGCACAGAGCCAAGTTCCCAAACCATCATGATCGAGTCCTGGGGCCAGGTGCTGCGCTGGGCCAAGATACCCTGCCAGGTGGCCGCTATAACGTTTCCCGTTTTACAGCTGAGAAACTGTAAGAGACGCAATCTAGCCAAGCAAGGCGGTGGTTCACACCTCTCATCCCAGCTACTCGGGAGGCTGAGGCAGGAGGTAAGGCTAGACCCCCGGAGTTCAAGACCGGCCTGGGCAACAAAACGAGGCCCGCCCCTCCCCTCCATCTCCAACCCCCTACCCTTTTTTAAAGCTGCAATCTATAGCCCAAGGCCACACGTGGAGGTATGCAGGGTCTGGATTCGAACCTACTGGCTGTTGCCTTTCAATCGCTGTCTCTAGCCCCTCCTTCCCATAAACAGCTACCTAAGCATGCATGACCTGACCCGGGAGCCGGTCCTCCCGGGGCTTCGGAGAACTGGCCCGACGGCAATCCCCACCCCGACTCACCTGGGAACAGAGCCCCGAGCAGGACCAGGAGTGCGGGCAGCGCGGGCCGGGGGCTGCTGGGAGCCATAGCGAGGCTGAGGTTGCAACTCTGAGTAGCAGAGGAGCTCAGCGTCGACTGGGGCGCGTGATCCTTTATAGCGCTAGCCACCTGGGGGCCAAGGGGCGGTGCTGCTTTCCCGGAAACCTCGCGCCTTCCCCTCCGGAACAAATGCTGCAGTTATTTCCGGACTGACAGGGTGCCCGGGCCGAGAGGGTCATCCTCCCTCGCTGGCCGCTTCAGCTCCGGAATTTCCAAGCTAAAGCAATCGGGCGGCGGTGGCAGGGCGATGACCCCGGGGGCTGCTCCCGGCCTCCACGCCTCCCGTTTCCCGGCCAGGCTAAGCTTGAATCACGGTCTACACCGCGCTAAGCGGTTTATTAAGTACTTTTAAATACTGCCAACTTCCCCGGAGAGTGGAGACTGTTATTGTGTCCATTTCACAAAGCGGTAAACTGAGACTCCAGGCTGCGAGGGGGTCCGAACTCAAGTCCTCCCTCTCCAGCTTACGCAGGCCTCTTTAATCGAGTGGATGAGCCCCCTGCCTGGGTGGGGGCCCAGGAATCCTCCCCGGGCTCCCTCCACTGAGGGATGCCCCTCCCCCTAGGTCACGTCCACACCTAGCTGACACGGGCATTTCTCGAGAAGCGGCCAGAGCAGAGCCAGGCACCTCCCGGCGACCGCTAACCGTGGGAGTGACGAAGCGCGGTCTCACCACGTCCGGGGAAATCGGCGTCCTCTCTCTACACCCGAGGGCACTCACCCCGGCGGCCTCCTCGCTTCCCCTTTCGGCCTTGGCCGCGGAGGCGTCTTTACAGCTCCCAGAAAAAGGAAGGAAGCTGCGTGATCCCTACGCGCCGAGCCCCTCCGCTGGCGTCCCAGGCTCCGCGGGGAAACTGAGGCAGCTAGCTTGGATCTTGACGAGGGAGGGGAGGGGGACGCTCGAAATCCCTGCCTGTCGCTGGGAAACTGAGGCAGCAGCCCCCAGGCGCAGAGGCGAGGCAGGGAGAAGGGGCGCTCGAACCCCTGCCCTACGCGCGAGGCTCCGGCAACTCGAACCCAGGCTCATGCACTAAATATGAGCGGGTGTTTGCTTGGCCACCGCCTGTGCGTGTGACCCCAAGACTCGACATCCACCACGTCGAGGCTGGGTACTCTTAAGTCTCCGAGCACCAAGCCGCGCCGCCTAAGGCTTTCCTGTTGTGGGGCGCGCGCGGCGTCGCCATGGAGATCTCCGAGGGGCCAGGGAGGTCGCGCAGCAGAAGGGGAAGCGAAGGGTCCCCGGACGCGCAGGCCCTTCCTATCGGGGAAGGGGGCTGCGAGTCACTGGCCATCCAGAGACGCATATTTCCCCCGCCTCGGTCATTCCCAAGGAATTTCCACGGGGATATTTTTTTCTTGGGGGGCTGAGGAGTTCTGAATTCCCGCCCCGGAACGGCCTGAGCAAAGTCACAGGGTGGGACGGGGGACGCCCCTGGTCCTCAGAAGGCCTGGGAAAATCCTGCGCCACGGGTTCTTCCTCGGGCGGGTTCCACTGAGCTCTTGCCCCGGCCCGAGGTGCGCGAGCTCCCCCGCGCGGCCCAAGTCCCACTTGCAGCCACAATGGTGCCGTTCTTTTCTCAACATGTGGCTCAATGTTTTTTAAGCGCCTACTGTGTGCTTGGCGTCCTTCCAGGTACTGGGGACACAGGAATGAACAGAGTCAGACAAAAATCCACCTGGGCGCGGCTCCCACCTGTAATCCCAGCATTTTGGGAGGCCGAGATGGGAGGATCACTTGAGCCCAGGAGTTCAAGACCAGCCTGGGCAACATAGGGAGACCCCCATCTCTATGCAAAATACAAAAATTAGCCGGGTGTGGTGGTGCACACCTGTAATTCCACCTACTTGGGAGGCTGATGCAGGAGAATCTCTTGAACCCGGCAGGCGGAGGTTGCAGTGAGCCAAGATAGAGGCACTGCACTCCAGCCTGGGTGAGAGTGAGACTCAAAAAAAAAAAAAAAAAAAAAAAAAAAGGAACAGCCAGGAGAACAGTGTGGCTGGAGCAGGCTTAGCAAAGGAGAGATTCGAGGAGAGGAGCGGGCAGGGAGATGACAGGGCAGATAGGTGCAAGTTCCTGTCACCTGAGGAGGACTTTGTTGTTTTGTTTGTTTGTTTCTGAACCCCAGTCTCGTTCTGTCACCCAGGCTGGAGCACAGTGGTGTGATCTCGGCTCACTGCAAACTCTGCCTCCCAGGTTCAAGCGATTCTCCCACCTCAGCCTACCGAGTAGCTGGTACTACAGGGGTGCGTCACCACGCCTAGCTAATTTTTGTATTTTTAGTAGAGATGGGGTTTCACCATGTTGGTCTCTAACTCCTGACCTCTAGTGATCCGCCCCCCTTGGCCTCCCAAAGTGCTGGGATAACAGATGTGAGCCACCGTGCCTGGCCAGGACTTTGGCTTTTATGCCCAGCGAGGTGGGAGGTATAGAGGGTTCTGAGCAGAGGAAGGACCTTGCCCTAACTCAAGTGTTCACAGGGGCCCAGTTGAGGCTTCAAGAGCTGCAGCCAGGAGATGGGAGAGGAGGTGACTGTTCTAGTCCAGATGAATGATAGTGGGGCCTGGACTGGGCAGTGTCCTTGGAGAAAGGGCTGAATTTGACATCCGTTTTGGAGGCTGGGCCAACTGGAGGTGCTGGGACAAGGGGGATGACTCCTTGATCAGGGTCCGAGCCTTTTGGAGGATGGCGGGTCACTTTCTGAGATGGGAGTGGGATGGCTATGGTAGGGGGCAGGCTGGCAGAGAGAGACGGCACCTCCCAGTCCTCCGTTCCCTTAAGCGTTTTTCAAGGAAAAGGGAAGCAGATATTTCCTAGACCTTTGTTTCTGTCTCCAGGAAGGGCAGGGCTTCCTCCCGGTTGCCAGACAGTCAGGCAGGCCAAAGAATGGCCTCAGACCAGAGGCTGCCCACCAAGGGCAGAAGCCATCCCATAGTGTCCCATGCAAACGCCTTGCAGTTCCCTCAGCCTGGAATGCTCTTCCCTTCAACCCCAACAAGGCTGGCTCCTCCTGTCTTGTGGCCTGAGCTTTCTCCTAAATGAGTGTCCCCCCTACTCCATCCTGGGCCACATCCTGGGCGTTCCTTGTCACTCGCCTTAATATTCGAATTCCTTAACTCATTACTTGCTGAATTTCTTTTTTAATTTTTTGAGACAGAGTTTCACTCTGTCACCCTGGCTAGAGTGCAGTGGCACGATCTCAGCTCACTGCAACCCCTGCCTCCCAGGTTTAAGTGATTCTCCTGCCTCAGCCTCCCGAGTAGCTGGGATTACAGACATACGCCACCAGACCCGGCTAATTTTTGTGTTTTTAGTAGAGACGGGGTTACACCATGTTGGCCAGCCTGGTCTCAAACTCCTGACCTCAAGTGATCCACCTGCCTTGGCCTCCCAAAGGGCTGGGATTATAGGCATGAGCCACTGCTCCCGGCCTATTTAGTTTTTTTTTTTTTTTTTTTTTTGAGACAAAGTCTCGCTCTGTTGTCCAGGCTGGAGTACAGAGGTGTGATCTCGGCTCACTGCAACCTCCGTTTCCTAGGTTCAAGAAATTCTTCTGCCTTAGCCTCCCAAATAGCTGGGATTACAGGCACCCACCAACACCCCTGGCTAACTTTTGTATTTTTTTTTTTTTTCAAGATGGAGTCTCACTCTGTGGCCCAGGCTGGAGTGCAGTGGTGCGATCTCGGCTCACTGCAACCTCCACCTCCCAGGTTCAAGTGATTCTCCTGCCTCAGCCTCCCAAATAGCTGGGACTACAGGTGCGTGTCACCACGCACAGCTAATTTTTTGTATTTTTAGTAGAGACAGGGTTTCACCGTGTTAGCCAGGATGGTCTCGATCTTCTTACCTCATTATCTGCCTGCCTCACCCTCCCAAAGTGCTGGGATTACAGGCGTGAGCAAACGCACCCGGCCAACTTTTGTATTTTTATTTTACTTTTCATTTTATTTATGTAAATTTTTGTGAGGTCGTCTCACTCCGTCGCCCAGGCTGGAGTGCAGTGGTGCAATCTCGGCTCACTGCAACCTCTACTTCCCAGGTTCAAGCGATTCTCTTGCCTCAGCCTCCCAGGTAGCTGAGACTACAGGTACCCACCACCACATCTAGCTAATTTTTGTATTTTTAGTAGAGATGAGGTTTTACCATGTTGGCCTGGCAGGTCTAGAACTCCTGACCTCAGGTGATCCGCCCGCCTTGGCCTCCAAAAGGCGTGAGCCACTGTGCCCGGCAGAGCTTATCTTTGATTACAGATTTCTTCTGGGGAATAGCTTAGTTTGTGGTTTTGTTTTTCAAAACTCTGCTTCAGCAAAGATGTGGGGAAAAAAAAAGGGCTATGGAAACTCTTCTGATTCCAGTTTTGGTGATGGAAGACAGCCACCAGGAAACCCTGCCGAAAGAATGGGTCAGATCAATAATCTGAGCGGTCCCAGTCCTCCTCCAATGGCTGATGGATGAGGAAGGTAAATATCAGTTCTAAGAAGCAGACAACTGGACATGCACATTCATAGCAGAAGGAAACCGTCAAAAAGTAGAGGGAAGGTGGGGTGCAGTGGCTCACCCCTGTAATCCCAGCCCTTTGAGAGACTGAGGTGGGAAGATCACTTGAGATCAGGAGTTCAAGACCAGCCTGGGCAACACAGTGAGAACCTGTCTCTACAAAAAACAAAATAAGTAATCCCAGCACTTTGGGAGGCCGAGGCAGGCGGATCACGAGGTCAGGAGATCGAGACTATCCTGGCTAACACAGTGAAACCCCATCTCTACTAAAAATACAAAAATTAGCCGGGAGTGGTGGTGGGCGCCTGTAGTCCCAGCTACTCGGGAGGCTGAGGCAGGAGAATGGCGTGAACCCAGGAGGTGGAGTGCAGTGAGCCGAGACCATGCCACTGCACTCCAGCCTGGGCAACAGAGTGAGACTAAGTCTCTAAATAAATAAATAAATAAATAATAAATAAAATTTAAGGCCGTGTGCAGTGGCTCACACCTGTAATCTCAGCACTTTGGGAGGCCAAGGCAGGAGAATCACCTGAGGTCAGGAGTTCGAGACCAGCCTGGCCAACATGGTGAAACCCTGTCTCTACTAAAAATACAAAAATTAGCTAGGTGTGGGGACGCGGGCCTGTAATCCCAGCTACTCGGGAAGCTGAGGCAGGAGAATTGCTCGAACCTGGGAAGTAGAGGTTGCAGTGAGCCGAAATCACGCCACTGGACTCCAACCTGGACAACAGAGTGAGACTCTGTCTCAAAAAAATAAATAAAATAAAATTTAAAAAGTGGAGGGCTGACCATGCTGGACGAGCAGATAAAATGTGTATGTCTAAACAACAGTTGCTGACCAGGCACCTGTCATCCCAGCACTTCGGGAGGCCGAGGTGGGTGGATCACTTGAGGTCAGGAGTTTGAGACCGGCCTGCCCAAACTGGTGAAACCTCATCTCTAGTAAAAATAAAAAAATTAGCTGGGCATGGAGGCACAAGCCTGTAATCTCAGCTACTCAGGAGGCTGAGGCATGAGAATCTCTTGAACCCGGAAGGTGGAGGTGGCAGAGGGCTGAGATCATGCCACTGCACTCCAGTCTGGGCAACAGAGTGAGATCCATCTTAAAAAAATAAAACACAAGGATTGCTCTGTCTTCACAAGTGAATGAGGTCATGCTGGGAATTCCCTCTGCAGGGACTGGACTGACCAACATGCAGTTCTCTAAATAAATGCATATTTATCTGATTATCATTTTTGTGTAGTTAAGCATTAACACAGTTTTTGTGTGTGTGTGTGTATTTTTTTTTTTTTTTCGAGACGGATTCTCGCTCTGTCGCCCAGGCTGGAGTGCAATGGCGCGATCTCAGCTCACTACAACCTCTGCCTCCCCGGTTCCTGCCATTCTCCTGCTTCAGCCTCCTGAGTAGCTGGGACTACAGGCACCCACCACCGCGCCCGGCTAATTTTTTGTATTTTTTAGTAGAGACGGGGTTTCACCGTGTTAGCCAGGATGGTCTCAATCTCCTGACCTCGTGTTCCACCTGCCTCGGCCTCCCAAAGTGCTGGGATTACAGGCATGAGCCACCGCACCCGGCCAGCATTAACATAGTTTTGATAAATATTTTTTGGGGCCAGGCTCGGTGGCTCACGCCTGTAATCCCAGCACTTTGGGAGGCCGAGGCAGGCAGATCACGAGGTCAGGAGTTTGAGATCAGCCTGACCAATATGGTGAAATCCCGTCTCTACTAAAAATACAAAAATTAGCCAGGCATGGGGATGCGTGCCTGTAATCCCAGCTACGCGGGAGGCTGAGGCAGGAGATTTGCTTGAACCGGGAGGCAGAGATTGCAGTGAGCCGAGGTTGCACCACTGCACTCCAGCCTGGGTGACAGAGCGAGACTCTGTCTCAAAAAAAACCAAAAAAACAAAAAACTGTGTATTCAGTACTCTCAGTGTCACCTTCTCCAAATTTTGAAATACAGCTCCTTATTTATTTATTTAGAGATGGAGTCTCGCTCTGTCCCCCAGGCTGGAGTGCAGTGGCGTGATATCGCCTCACTGCAACCTCCGCCTCCAGGGTTTAAGCGATTCTCCTACCTCAGCCTCCCATAGCTGAGATTACAGGCGCCCGGCACCATGCCCGGCTAATTCTTTTGTATTTTTAGTAGAGATGGGGTTCCACTATATTGGTCAGCCTGGTCTCGAACTCTTGACCTCAAGTGTTCCACCTGCCTTGGCCCCCCAAAATGCTGGGATTATAGGCATGAGCCACCACACCCAGCCTACGGCTCATTATTAATTCGTTCTCATTTATAAATAAATATCTCACTGTATTTATTTCAGTAGTTTTGCAAAAAACAAAAACAGAAAACTTTTTTTTTTTTTAGATGTGCCGTGATGTGGTCTCGGCTCACTGCAACCTCCACCTCCTGGGTTCAAGTGATTCTCCTGCCTCAGCCTCCCAAGTAGTTGCGACTACAGGCTTCTGACACCACGCCTGGCTAAATTTTTTTTTTTTTTTTTTGAGATGGAGTCTCACTCTGTCACCCAGGCTGGAGTGCAGTGGCGCGATCTCAGCTCACTGCAAGCTCCGCCTCCCGGGTTCACGCCATTCTCATGCCTCAGCCTCCCGAGTAGCTGGGACTACAGGCACCTGCCACCTCGCCCAGCTAATTTTTTTTTTGTATTTTTAGTAGAGACGGGGTTTCACCGTATTAACCAGGATGGTCTCGATCTCCTGACCTCGTGATCCGCCCGCCTCGGCCTCCCAAAGTGCTGGGATTACAGGCGTGAGCCACCGCGCCCGGCCATGCCTGGCTAATTTTTATATTTTTAGTAGAGATGGGGCTTCACCATATTGGCCAGGCTGGTCTCGAGTTCCTGACCTTGTGATCCACCCGCCTCGGCCTCCCAAAGTGCTGGGATTACAGGTGTGAGCCACTGCTGCCGTCCACAAAATATATTTTAAAAATAAAAAGGAGAGGGCCAGGCTCAGTGGCTCGTGTCTGTAATCTCAGCACTTTGGGAGGCTGAGGTGGGTGGATCACCTGAGGTCGGGAGTTCGAGACCAGCCTGACCAACATGGTGAAACCCCATCTCTGCTAACAAAACAGAATTAGCCAGGCATTGTGGCGTATGCCTGTAATCCCAGCTACTTGGGAGGCTGAGGCAGGAGAATCGCCTGAACCCGGGAGGCGGAGGTTGAGATTAGCCGAGATTGCGCCATTGTACTCTAGCCTGGACAAGAAGAGCAAAACTCTGTCTAAAAATAAATGAAAAAATAGGCCAGGTTCGGTGGCTCACGCTTGTAATCCCAGTACTTTGGGAGGCCAAAGCGGGTGGATCACCTGAGGTTACCAGCCTGGCCAATATGGCGAAACCCCTTCTCTACTAAAAACACAAAAATTAGCCAGGCATGGTGGTGGGCGCCTGTAATCCCAGCTACTTGGGAGGCTGAGGCAGGAGAATCGCTTGAACCCAGGAGGCAGAAGTTGCAGTGAGCCGAGATCGAGCCACTGCACTCCAGCCTGGGCAACAGAGCGCGACTCCGTCTAAAAAAAAAGATAGAGAAAAAAGAAAAAAATAAAAAGGAGAAATTTAGACACAGAAACAGACACATACCCACAGGGACAACATCATGTAAAGATGAAGGTGGAGACTGAAGCAGTGTGGCTACAAGCCAAGGAATGTCAAAGATAGTCAGCAAAGCAAACCACCAGACGCTAGGAGAGGGATCTGGAACAGATTTTCCCTTAGAAGGAGCTAACCCTGTTCTTCACCTTGGACTTCCAGCCTCCAGAAACAGGACAGAATAAATTTCTGTTGACTAACCCCCCCAACCCCTGCAGTTTGTGGCACTCCTACGGCAGCCCTAACAAACTCATATACCCCCCCTATTTAATTAATGAATTAATTCATTCATTCATTATTTTTTTTTTCGAGACCGAGTCTTGCTCTGTCACCCAGGTTTGAGGGCAGTGTCATGACCTCGGCTCACTGCAACCTCTGCCTCCCAGGTTCAAGCGATTCTCCTGCCTCAGCCTCCCAAGTAGCTGGGATTATAGGCACCCGCCACCACATCCTGCCAATTTTTGTATTTTTAGTAGAGATGGGGTTTCACCATGTTGGCCAGGCTGGTCTTGAACTCCTGTCCTCTAGTGATCCGCCTGCCTTGGCCTCCCAAAGTGCTGGGATTACAGGCGTGAGCCACTGCTCCCCGCCTATTTTTTATAGAGATGAGGTCTTGCTGTGTTGCCCAGGCTGGTCTCAAACTCCTGGCCACAGCTTTCCAAGTAGGTGAGACTGCAGGTGCATGCCACCATACCCAACTATGCCAATTATTTTAAAGCACATTCTAGTCAGTGTATCATATTTTTCTTTTGTTTTCTTTTCTTTTTTTTTTTTTTGAGACAGGGTCTTGATCTGTTGCCCAGGCTGGATTGCAGTGGGGTGATCTCCGCTCACTGCAGCCTCTACCCCTAGGGCTCAAGTGATCCTCCCACCTCAGCCTCCAGAGTAGCTGGGACCACAGCCACACCACCGTGCCTGGCTAATTGTTCTATTTTTAGTAGAGATAGGTTCTCACTGTGTTGCCCAGGCTGGTCTCAAACTCCTGTGCTCAGGCGATCCTCCCGCCTCAGCCTCCCAAAGTGCTGGGATTACAGGCATGAGCCACCAGGCCTGCCTGTATCATTTTTTTCTGATGCCTGTTTTTATCCTCAATCTGGCTGAGGGATTCCAGTGTGGGGGAATACGTTCTGACCCATTTCTTTTGAAAATCCGTCTGGGCAGCAGTTGGTCTCACCATGTTTCCTGACAGGTATGACGCAGACTGAACCACATTTATACTTCTGGCTGCAACTCTCCAGGCTGGGCCAGGCACTGTCAGGCCAACAGCTGGGTGTTACTCTAGGCCTTGGTGCCCCCACAAGACTGGCAAGAGGAAGAGTGATGAGGCGGCATTTTCTGCTGAGCTTTGGCACGCCTCTGTTTTTTTTTTTGAGACAGTCTAGCTCTGTCGCCAGGCTGGAGTGGAGTGCAGTGGCGCGATCTCGGCTCACTGCAAGCTCCACCTCCCGGGTTCACACCATTCTCCTGCCTCAGTCTCCTGAGTAGCTGGGACTACAGGCGCCCACCACCACGCCCGGCTAATTTTTTGTATTTTTGGTAGAGATGGGGTTTCACTGTGTTAGCCAGGATAGTCTCGATCTCCTGACCTCGTGATCCGCCTGCCTCGGCCTCCCAAAGTGCTGGGATTACAGGCGTGAGCCACCGCGCCCAGCCAACTGGTTTTAATAGCTTTTTCTTTTTTACTTAGTCAAATCTGCTGCTTCAAGGATCAAAGTCTATGTCCACTGAGGGTGTTTGGAGAATGTGTTGCAATCTCTGAAGGCAATCCCAAGAGAGGCATTCCAGAGAGGTTTTCAGCCAGGGGTGGCCCAGCAGGTAGGGAGGGTTGTGTGGCTGCTTAGCCTGGCCAGGCCCACACAGGCAGAAGGCAGTCCTGATTGACTTTATTTATTTATTTATTTATAGATGGAATCTTGCTCTGTCACCCAGGCTGGAGCGCAGTGGCGCTATCTTGGCTCACTGCAACCTCTGCCTCCTGGGTTCAAGCGATTCTCCCACCTCAGCCTCCTAAGTAGCTGGGATTACAGGTGCCCGCCACCACTCCCGGCTTGGCCAGGCTGGTCTCGAACTCCTGACTTCCGGTGATCCACCTGGCTCAGCCTCCTAAAATTCTGGGATTATAGGCGTGAGCCACCGCGCCCAGCTGGTTGACTTTAAATAAATCGATCACATTGTCTATATTATAGTCTGTTATGGCTGTTAAGAAAAATTAACTTGGCTGGCAACCTCAGCAAACTCAAAAATTGGGATATTGGGGTTTTAAGACAGTGTCTCACTCTGTCACCCAGGCTGGTGTGTGGTGGCTCAGTCTCAGCTCACTGCAACCTCTGCTTCCTGGGCTCAGGTGATCCTCCCACCTCAGCCTCCCAAGTAGCTGGGACCACAGGTGGACGCCAACACGCCCACTTAATTTTTATATTTTTTGCAGAGATGGGGTTTCACCATGTTGCCCAGGCTGGTCTGGAAGCTCTGAGCTCAAACGATCCTTCCACCTTGACCTCCCAAAGTGCTAGGGTTACAGGTGCGAGTCACCACGCCCAGCTGGTGTTTTTAAGCATGTGCTTATCTGCTCACTTACAGAGAGACATTTACTTTTCTGACTGTGCTTACAGGAAGTCACTCTGAAAACTCAGGTTTACACAACATCTACTTGTACAATCAAGCACACACTCTCAGGCTGCATGAAGTACTGTCGCAGACAGGACTGCAAACCCTCTCAGGGGTGAGAATGGCTGGCAGCAGTGCTCAGGAGAGGGATGTGGCAGGAGTCAGCTCCTAGGAAGTGCCAGCGCCCACGCACCTGTGAGCTCCTGGAGTCTGACTCACCGGGTAAGTGAATTCTTGTAATTTCCACAAACAGCCCTGGGGTTCCCCTAAACCAGACCGTGAGCCTCTTGAGACGGCGGATCCCCAACAGTGCCCAGAACCTGGGAAGGAGCTCATCGTTCTCAATGCAATTATCAAAAATGACACTGAGAAGTTATCTTTATCCTCCTTGATTCAAAAATACAATTTATTTTAAAAACAAAAAGAGGGAATGGATGCAGAAGCCCGTCTGGGCTTTCCGTGGAGTCGCCCCTTCCCAATGGCGATGGCCGCTCCCTGTGGCCTCAGCTTCCTCCGTGGAATGAAGGGGTCCAGGTGACACCTTCCTCGAAGGGTGGGCGTGGGCCTGAGGCTCCCAAGTCGGCCAGGGGCTCGGCCTGGCTCAGAAGAGGTGCTTCACATCAACAGTGGTACGGGGTGGCCGCTGGGCCCTGGGTAGCGTGGGGTAGGGGTCGGGGGAAGTCGCTGTAGGGCAGGCTGAAGGGGTAGAGGGGTCTGTAACGTGAGTCCTGCCAGAGCAGCTTGTCCTCCAGGAAGGCGACGGTGGGCAGCGTCAGGACCAGCGTCTGGTGCTTGAGCATGCTGTGCACATTTAGGCCTGGGGGCGGGGTGGGGGCGGGGCGGGGGGCCGGTCAGGCCGGGGCTGCCTCTCTCCTCACCCCACCCACATCGGAGTCCCTTTGTGCTTACAGAGATCGTCACTGTGGTCTAGTGTGACTTTGTGAGCCCAGCAGCCCGGGGCCAGACCCTGCCTGGCCGCTTGTTGCCTGTAAGCCTCTGGCCAAGGAGCTGCTCCCAGCTCATCACCTGCTGACCGAGAGCCAGGCTCGGTCCTGTGCCTGGCTGGGACTCCTGGCTCCCATTCTGGTGGGGGAGACCCAGGGCAAATGACGGGAGGGCAGGGAGGTGACGGGGCACATCGTGCAGGGCCTGACGTGCCACCCTGATGACTTGGGCTTTCATCCTGAGAGAGGTGGGGAAGCCAGCGAGGGGCGTGGGTTGAGGGACAGGACTTGACTTAGGCTCATGTCGCCATCTTGTGGCTGTGGAAGGAACAGACTGTGGCTTTGACAGAGGTGACTTTGGAGCTTTTTTTTTTTTTTTTTTTTTTTTTTTGAGACAAGAGTCTAGCTCTCTCCCCAGGTTTGGGTGCAGTGGTGCGATCATGACTCACTGCAGCCTTGGCCCCCTGAGCTCAAGCTATCCGCCTGGCTCAGCCCCCGAGTAGCTGGGACTACAGGTGCACATCGCCACGCCTAACTTTTTTATTTTTAGTACAGATGGGAGCCTCACTATATTGCCCAGACTGCCTTGGCCTCCCAAAGTACTGGGATTACAAGCGTGAGCCACCATCCCCAGCCAAGCACTTCTTTAGGAAAGATTATTGCTTTGGGCAAGCTGAAGGTTGGGTCCGGGAGCGTGGTCACTGCCTGAGGCCACTCAGCGACCAGATGCCGGATTTGAACCGCTGTGATTCTAACAGCGGAGCCTGCACATGCGCACTCTAGGGGCCTGGGCTCTTTGCTCACCAACAGCCGGGATCAAGTTGAAGGTCTTAAGCCTAGAGGTGGCCTCCACGATGCTCTGTGGCATCTCCTCGTGTGTTCTGTAAGAGAGGCCAGGGAGTGGGGGTTGAACCCTCAGAGTACGGAGCTCAGGGCCCCCTGCCCCTGCTCTGCCCTGTGCCCTCACAAGTCCACGAGGAGTACGGAGTCCCCCCAGCGGCGGTAGTGCGCCAGCTCTGTCAGGTACTGTGGGTCTCCGGTGGGCAGCTCTAGGGAGTCCATGATGTGCAGGTCGTCCTGGTGGAAGGAAAGGATGGTTTGAACCCTGGGTCCAGAGCAGCCCCACCTCTAGCAGCTGTCTGGGCCCCCCCATGGCTGTACCTGGGCCAGCTTGACGGTCAGTGCCACTTTGAGACCCAGCGCCCGCACCTTCATGGGCAGCATGTAGTAGTAACTTGTGGGGCCCCGGGGGCCATGGGCAACACCTCCTGCGGGGACAGAGGCATGTGAGCAGGTAGGGGCCACTGCAGAGCCTGGAGGTCAGCAATCTGCTGCAGTGGCTGGCATGGGGTGACGAGAGAGGGGGCGCTGCCAGGAACAAGGCAGAGAGGGTGGGGCCTCAGGGGAGGCTGGATCAGGGACAACATGGGACCAGTGACTTTGCTTCACTGGGCTTCAGTTTTCCCAGCTGTCACACTCTGAGACAGGGCTGGCGAAGGTGGCTCACACCAGCATTTTGGGAGGCTGAGGATGGAGGATCACTTGAGCCCAGGAGCTCAAGGCTGCAGTGAGCTATGATTGCACCACTGCACTACAGCCTGGGCAACAGAGCGAGATCTTGTCTCAAAAGCAAACAATAAAAAAAACAAACCACCTTGAGATCGGACAGTTCCTGCCCCATAGGACACCATGAGTTATGGTGTGGATTCCATAGAGTGGCTAGAGTGTGAACTTAACTCAAGCACGCTGTTAATGCTGAAGTTATCAGGAGGTTCGAACTTTCAGGTCAAGCGGGAGAGGAAGGCATCAGGCACATGCTCCGGTGGAGCAAGCAGTATGATCTGGGAGCAACAACAGTCAGGGAGACCCCTGCAAGCACCATGTGTTGGTGTCTGCCCTCGCCTGGGCCTTGGAAATGCAGCAGAGAAGACAACAGACATGGTCCCTGCCCTCATGCCATTCACATTCCGGCAGGGCAGAAAAGAGGCTCAGCTGTAGAAGAAATCAGGGTAGCTCCGGGGGATGTGGAAGGAAAGGAGATCAAGGGGGGCTTCCTGGAGGAGGTGTGGCCCAGAACCCTGAAAGGTGAGGAGAGCTGGCCAGGTAAACAGGTGATGGGGTGGCTGGCACCACCCTGAGTCATCTTGTTAGCATTCAAGAAAATAAAAAGTTAAAAACAAACACAACCGAAAAAACAAGAGAGAGTCATCTCTGCCTGGTCAGAGAGGGAAAGGAGGGGATGAGGGGGAAAGGTGTGCAGCCACCAGGGCCCACAATGACAAGGTCAGGAGTTCAGGTTCCACACAAAGGCCGAGGTCCGGAGTTCAGGTTCCACGATTTAGAAGAGCTCTCTGGGTGCTGTGGGAAGTGTGGGTCAGGAGAGGGTGACAGGAGGTGGGGTCAAGAGGGGCTGTGGCCACAGGCTGAAGAGACAGGGCATGCGAGAGGGAGGAGTGGATGGCTCCCAGATCTCTGTCCCCTTATATGGGTAGTGAGGTCCAAGGGCCTCAGTTCCGATGTCACCAGCCCAGGTGGTTCCATGAGGTGGAGGGAACAGGGCTGACATAATACCATGCCAGATGTGCGCAGCTGTGTGTGAGTAAACACCCAGGCCCTTCCCTGGCCCCCCCACCCCTCCCCGCCCCCTCCACCCTGTCCTGTTACCTCCTCGCCAGAGCGGAGAGCGGATGCTGCCATGCCGGGCCCGCCCAGTGCCTTTCTGCGGCCAAGGCTTCCGGCCACCGCCCCGCACCTCGGCTCTCGTCTTGGTCTTGGCATAGCTCTGGAGGCACAAAGAGGAGGGGGGTCAGGTCCACGAGGCAGGTGTCAGGGAGCCGGGCAGATCAGTCCTGCCACGGGGAAGTCAGACAGGAGGCACCATGATGACGGGCTCTCTCTGGCCAAGCACAGAGTACTTGGGGAGCGAGGGGGAGGGTAAAGAAGTCACAGCTCCTGCCCCATGCCAGCCTCACAAAGGCAGGGGCCCTGCCACCGGGCACGCAGGGGGTGCTCGGTATTTTCTGAACTATTGATTTTTTTTTTTGAGGCAGTCTCACTCTGTCACCCAGGCTGTGGAGTGCAAGTGGTGTGACCTTGGCTCACTGCAACCTCTGATTCCTAGATTCAAGCGATTCTCCTGCCTCAGCCTCCCTAGTAGCTGAGATTACGGGTGCCTGTCACCATGCCCGGCTAATTTTTTTTTTTGAGATGGAGTCTCGCTCTGTCGCCCACGCTGGAGTGCAGTGGCGCGATCTCGGCTCACTGCAACCTCCGCCTCCCAGGTTCAAGCAATTCTCCTGTCTCAGCCTCCAGAGTAGCTGGGACTACAGGCGCCCGCTGCCACACCCAACTAATATTTGTATTTTTAGTAGAGATGGGGTTTCACCATATTGGTCAGGCTGGTCTCGATCTCCCGACCTCGTGATCCATCCGCCTCGGCCTCCCAAAGTACTGGGATTACAGGTGTGAGCCACCGCACCTGGCCCCAGCTAATTTTTTGTATTTTCAGTAGAGATGGGGTTTTGCCACGTTGACTAGGCTGGTTTGGAACTCCTGGCCTCAAGTGATCCACCTGCCTTGGCCTCCCAAAGTGCTGAGATTACAGGTGTGAGCCACCGTGCCGGCCTATTTTTTGAACAATTTTAATGTGGTTGTAGCCACAAGGAGGGAGGGCCATGGGAAATGACACAGACAGGGAGAATCAGGAAAGAGGAGCAGGGCAAGGAAATCAGGAAGAACTCAGAATAGCAGACTGATGACTTTATTCCTAGGGTGATGGGGAGCCAGGGAAGGTGTGAGCAGGGGGAGGACTGGCCAGACCTCTGGGGTGGATGGATAAGACCCTGACTGGTAATGGATTCTTCAATGTTCTTGGCACAAAACCCAGACTCCTCCCCACTGCTCCCACTGGCCTCTGTGGCAACACTGGCTTCCTTGTGGTCCCTGCCACAGGGCCTTTGCACACCCTGTTCCTGTTATCTCCACACTAGCCCCACTGCCTCCTTGATCTGGTTAGCTTCTACAGTAGACCCAAGGTTGAACGTCCCATTCTCTGGGACATGCTCATAATTACACATTACGTATGACCATCTGACTCACCTTCACTTCTCCTCCCATGACACTGTGACCTTCATTAGAATAGGGACTTTGCCCATCTTTTTCTTGGGGTTGTGGGGGAAGGGGTAGAGACTGGGTCTTGCTGTTTCCCAGGCTGGTCTTTCCTGGCCCCAAGCAACCCACCCACCTCAGCTTCCAGTGCTGGGATTACAGGCCTGAGCCACTTGCACACAGCCGGACCTTGCCTGTTTTGTCCTCGTGGTCCCTGCTATATCCTCTCACCCACCACAATGCCCACATCAGTGAGTGATCAGAAAACAACTGAAAATGAGCTGGGCACGGTGGCTCACGCCTGTAATCCCAGCACTTTGGGAGGCCAAGGCAGGTAGGTTCCTTGAGGTCAGGAGTTTGAGACCAGCCTGACCAACATGGTGAAACTCCATCTCTACTAAAAATACAAAAATTAGCCTGCATGGTGGTGCACACCTGTAATCCCAGCTACTCAGGAGGCAGAGGCAGGAGAATCGCTTGAACCCAGGAAGCGGAGGTTGCAGTGAACCAAGATTGCGCCACTGCACTCCAGCCTGGGTGACAGAGTGAGACTCCATCTCCATCTCAAAAACAAACAAAAAAAAGAGAACCAAAAATGGACCCATCGGTGAATAGTTCAGGAGACAGATGAGGCCCCAGCCGAGCAGTCCAGAGAAAACCCAGCGATGGGCTTCCTCTGGGTCCTATCCCCAACCTCCCCAGGAAGCTCCTTCCCACCACCTTGCTCCATTTAGGCACTCACAATTCTCTTGAAGTTCTTCTGCCACATAGCAACCTGGTGCAGTATGTCCAGCCTGCGGGGAGGAAGGACACATGAGAAGCCCAACTCTGCTTCAAACGCTCCCACCCCACTATAGGAAAACCCAGGATTCTCCCTTCTGCCTCCAGGGCCCTGGGCGATTTGCCTCTGCCCCTCACTGACCCCATCTTGAAATTCTGCCTCAGGGCCTTGGCACTTGCTGTTCCCTCTGCCTGAAACACTCTTCTCCTGGATGGTTCTTTCTCAGCCTACAGGTAGCAGCTCCAATAACTGCTGAAAGGTACCTTCTAAAGAAAGAGCCACCCTGACCAGGTGCAGTGGCTCATGCCTGGAATCCTGGCACTTTGGGAGGCCAAGGCAGGTGGATCACTTGAGGCAAGGAGTAAGACCAGCCTGGGCAACATGGCAAAGTGATGTCTCTCCAAAATATACAAAGATTAGCTGGGCACGGTGGTACATGTCTGTCATTCTGGCTACTCGGGAGGCTGAGGCATGAGAATTAGTAGAACCCAGGAGGCGGAGGTTGAAGTGAGCTGAGAGCATGCCATTGCACTCCAGCCTGGGCGACAAGAGCGAAACTTCATCTCAGAAAAAAAAAGCCACCCCTTCTTCCTTGTTTTTCCTACCATTACTTTTTTCCTGCTATTACACTTCACTTATTGCCACCTTCTTCAGGGACTGGTTTTCCTCTCTAGTTCTATACCATTCCATACAGTCACATACTCAACATCTGAAACATGGCCAGTGCCCCATGCTACAATGTGATTTCGACATAGTTTTAAATACAGGTTAAATACATTATTGAAATCAATTTCACCTGTTTTTTTTTTTGAGATGGAGTCTGTCTCTGTCGCCCAGGCTGGAGTGCAGTAGTATAATCACGGCTCACTGCAACCTCCATCTCCCCAGGTGCAAGCGATTCTCATGCCTCAGCCTCCTGAGTAGCTGGGACTACAGGCTTGCACTAAGACGTCCGGCTAATTTTTGTATTTTTGGTAGAGACGGGGTTTCATCATGTTGGCCAGGCTGGTCTGCAACTCCTGGTTTCAAGTGATCCGCCCACCTCGGCCTCCCAATGTGCTGGGATTACAGATGTGAGCCACAGTAACTGGCCCCTACATTTTCTTTTCTTTCTTTTTTTTTTTTTTTTTTGAGACAGAGTGTTGCCCAGGATGGAGTGCAGTGGCGCGATCTCGGCTCACTGCAAGCTCCGCCTCCCGGGTTCACGCCATTCTCTTGCCTCAGCCTCCAGAGTACCTGGGACTACAGACGCCCGCCACCACGCCCGGCTAATTTTTTTTTGTATTTTTAGTAGAGACGGGGTTTCACCATGTTAGCCAGGATGGTCTCGATCTCCTGACCTCGTGATCCGCCCGCCTTGGCCTCCCAAAGTGCTGGGATTACAGGCGTGAGCCACTGCGCCCAGGGTGGCCCCTACATTTTCTTAGAGATGTTATGAACAGCAGGGTAACTAAAATGCAAACAGCCTCTTCCAGGCACCGAGGAATGGTTTAGTCTTTTTAGTGCTCTTATTTGCAAAAACCAGTTAACAAAGATTATCAACATTTCTATAGAACTTATTATGTGCCAGAATTAAGTCATTTATTCATCACAGCAACCTCCCGACCGCTGACAAAATAGGGACACTGAGGGACAAGAGGGGAAGGCAGGATTTGAACCTAATCAGTCGGGCTCCAGAATTCTGTCTCCCTAACCCTTAGATGATGTCACCTCTCAGGCTTCAATCTCACACAGCGCTACAGCAGGGGAAACTGTCATCATTCCCCTTTGACAGGTGGAGAAACGGAGGCTGTAGAAATACAGCACTTTCCCAAGGGTACAAGCCCAAAGTCATCGTGACTCCTGAAATCCCGCTCTTCATCCCTCTGCCACTCAGTTCACCATTACAGCCCTCGCTCACCTGGGCGCGGTGGCGAAAACATCGGGGTGCAGGTCGGCCAGGCCCACGCGCTCCTGCTCGAAGCCCCGCAAGGACTCGACCCAGGCCTGCACTGGGCGTCGATGAGTGGGTACCGGGAGCTCGACTTTGCGCAGCACGGGCTCCGGGAGACCTGGAGCGATTGCGGGGGTCAGAGGTTAGGGTCAAGGGTCAGACCTCTCTGTCGCCGCCCCTCCTGGAGCCACCCCGGTTGCCTTACCCTCGCTCGCCACCTGCTCCGGGTTCTCGGTCGCACGCGCTGCCTCTTCCGCCAGGGAACTCAGGCCCTGCAAGGGTTGGGCGAAAGTGAGAGACGACCCCTGGACACCCCCAAATTTCATCCTTCGACCACGCCTCCAGCCCCTGGCCTCACCTGGCTGCCGGTAGGCCGAAGCCAGGCCCGCGCCCCGGCCCGGACGAACTGCAGCATCGCCGCGCAGCCTCCCACGCCGCGGGAGGTCAAGGCCACTGGAGCCTCGCGAGGCGCCGCTGGATGACGTCACGCACGCGACGCCGCCCTACCCGCCGCGACTCCGCGCTGGAAAGCGGGGTGTGCAAAACCGAAGATGGAGGGGGTCCGACCCGGCGTGCCCAGACCTCCACCCCAGGACTAACCCCCAGACCCAATTTTCACTCCTGCCTCAAGGACCCTCCGTAACACTGGGGAACGCGACCTCACAGCAAGAAGACCCAGCTTCCGTAGGCCTAGCCTACTTTGGGTCCCGCCTCCGACGAGCCGGTGCAGGAATTCAGCCAATGAGACCTCTCTGGCCCAATTCAGCCAATGACTGTTAAGCCTGAAGGAGTGACCCCCGCCCATAAGTGGGCAGTTCTGGAGTGAGCAACTAAGGAATACAGCCAATAACGCTTAAACTTTTGCTGTTGGTCACGCCCACCGGGCCACGCCTTCATCCCGCCTCCAAGGCTGTCGGAGATGGTTTTTTCTTTATCCAGTTATGTGGTTTTGTTTTTTTATTTGTTTTTTTGTTTTTGTTTTTGTTTTTGTTTTTGTTTTTTTTGAGACGGAGTCTTGCTCTGTTGCCCAGGCTGGAGTGCAGTGGCGCGATCTCGGCTCACTGCAAGCTCCGCCTCCTGGGTTCACGCCATTCTCCTGCCTCAGCCTCCCGAGTAGCTGGGACTGCAGGCGCCCGCCACCACGCCTGGCTAATTTTTTGTATTTTTAGTAGAGACGGGTATCACCGCGTTAGCCAGGATGGTCTCGATCTCCTGACCTCGTGATCCTCCCGCCTCAGCCTTCCAAAGTGCTGGGATTACAGGCGTGAGCCACCGTGCCTGGCGTTTTTTCATTTGTTTAAAGGCAGGGCCTTATTGCCCTCAGAAAGCCTTCAGGATTGGGCCTGCCAGACCATGCCTCCCAGTTTAGATTCCCCAGGGCAGGGCCATGTCCCCCCGAAACCCCTCAGATTAGGTATTTGTGTCCCTTACCCCCTAGACCAGGGTCCTCTCCCCTACCCCCTTAAACCAGGTCCCGTCCCCTCTCAGACCTTCCAGGGCTCTCCAAGGACAGAACAAAGTGGGGAGTCCACAGATCCTGGAGTGCCTCCCTTGTCGCCCCCTAACAAATCCGAATGCTTATTTTTAGTTTCTTTGTTTTGGTTTTTAGAGACAAGGTCTTCCTCTGTCGCCCAGGCTGGAGTGCAATGGGCAAGATCATGGCTTACTGCAGCCTCGACCTCCAGAGCTCAAGGGATTCTCCTGCCTCTGTCTCCTGAGTAGCTGGTCTACAGGTACGCAAGCCCGGCTCATTTTTGTATTGTATTTTTTTATTTTGTATTTGTATTTTGAGATGGAGTATCGCTCTGTCGCCCAGGCCGGAGTGCAGTGGTGTGAGATCGCACATCTCGGCCTCCCGGGTTCAAGCGATTCCCTGCCTCAGCTTACCGAGTAGCTGGGACTACAGGCGCCCGCCACCACACCTGGCTAACTTTTTGTATTTTTAGTAGAGAGGGGGTTTCACCGTGTTAGCCAGGATGGTCTCAATCTCCTGACCTCGTGATCCGCCCGCCTCGGCTTCCCAAAGTGCTGGGATTACAGGCGTGAGCCACCGAGCCCGGCCCTAATTTTCGTGTTTTTATTAGAGACAGTGTGGCACCACGTTGGCCAGGCTGGTCTTGAACTCCTGACCTCAGGTGATCCACCCGCCTCGGCCTCCCAAAGTGCTGGGATTACAGGCCTGAGCCACCGCGCCCGGCCTAATTTTTTTTTTGTAGAGATGGCGGGGGGTGGGTCTCCCAATGTTGCCCAGGCTGGTCTTGAACTCCTGGGCTCAAGCAATTCTCCCGCATTGGTCCCCCAAAGTGCTGGGATTACAGGCATGAGCTACTGTGGCCCACCCATTTTTAGGTTCTTTACCATGTTCCCGATAGACCTCCAGGGGGCGCCACCGGATCATAGCCGGCTTCCCTACCAGTCCAGGGCTGTCTACTTGGAGGCCAGTGCGTTCTGGACAGAGCACAGCTGACAACGTGGTCTGTGAACCAACCTCATTTTCCTCTGCTGGAAAAGGAGGTTATGAGATTCAGTGACGTAATGGAGGCAAAGCTTCCCATGCCTGGTACAAGGTGTAAAGTCAATAAATAGCATTATTATTATTTTTTTTTTGAGACAGAATCTCACTCTGTTGCCCAGGCTGGAGTGCAGTAGCGCGATCTTGGCTCACTGCAACCTCTGCCTCCTGGGTTCAAGCGATTCTCCTGCCTCAGCCTCCCGAGTAGCTGGGATTACAGGCGCCCGCCACTACGCCCAGCTAATTTTTATTTTTATTTTTTATTTTTAGTAGAGACAGGGTTTCACCATTTTGGCCAGGCTGGTCTCGAACTCCCGACCTCAGGTGATCCACCCGACTCGGCCTCCCAAAGTGCTGGGATTACAGGCGTGAGCCACCGCGCCTGGCCTCTACCAAAAATTTAAAAATTAGCTAGGTGTGATGGTATATGCCTGTGGTCCCAGCTAATGGGGAGGCTAAGGCAGAAGGATCACCTGAACCCAAGAGATTGAGGCTGCAGTGAGCCATGTTCATGCCACTGTACTCCAGCCTGGGTGACAGACTAAGATCCTGTCTCAAAAAAAAAAAAAAAAAAATGTGGCCGGGTGCGGTGGCTCACGCCTGTAATCCCAGCACTTTGGGAGGCCAAGGTGGGCGAATCACGAGTCAGGAGTTCGAGACCAGCCTGGCCAACATGGTGAAACCTTATCTCTACTAAAAATACAAAAAAATTAGCTGGGCGTAGTGGCGGGCACCTGTAATCCCAGCTACTCGGGAGGCTGACGCAGGAGAATCGCTTCAACCCAGGAGGCAGAGGTTGCAGTGAGCCGAGATCCCGCACCGCACTCCAGCCCATGCGACGAGTGAGACTCTGTCTCAAAAAAAAAAAAAAAAAAGAAAGAAAGAAAACAAAAAGTATAGTGTATTTCATTGTGTATTTTATCCCTGCAAGAATAACTGAATGCGGCCGGGCGTGGTGGCTCATGCCTATAATCCTAGCACTTTGGGAGTCCGAGGCGGGTGGATCACCTGAGGTCAGGGGTTCGAAACCATCCTGGCCAATATGCCAAAACCCCATCTTTACTAAAAATACAAAATTAGCCGAGCATGGTGGCGCATGCCTGTAATTCCAGCTACTTGGAAGGCTGAGGCAGAATTCCTTTAACTTGGGAGGCGGAGGTTGCAGTGAGCTGATACCGCACCATTGCACTCCAGCCTGGGCAACAAGAGTGAAACTCCGTTTCTAAATAAATAAATAAATAACTGTGGATGCATGTTTAAGACTCTATGTATTTTGCAACTTTAAAAGGTCTTTTAATCGTTTATTTTGTTGCTGTTGTTTTTGAGACAGGATCTCACCCTGTTACCAGTCTGTAGTGCAGTGTAACGATTATAGTTCACTGTAGTCTTGAATTCCTGGCCTCAGATGATCCTCTGCTGCAGCCACCTAAGTAGCTGAGGCCACAGGCATGTTCCACCATGCCCAGCAATTTTTTTTTTTTTTTTTTTTTTTTGTAGAGGCAGAGGTCTTGCTTTGTTGTCCAGGCTGGTCTTGAACTCCTGTTCTCAAGTGATGCTCCCTACCTGACTAATGTTTGTATTTTTCGTAGAGACAAGGTTTCACCATGTTGGTCAGGCTGGCCTCGGACTCCTGACCTCATGTGATCCACCCGCCTCAGCCTCCCAAAGTGCTGGGATTATAGGCGTGAGCCACTGCGCCTGGCCTATTGTATATTTTCATTGGTCATTCATACACCTGGTAGAGAGAATTTCAAAAATTACAAAGATTACTAGAGTGAAAATTCTGTCTACTCTTATCTGTGCCCCCTACCCCCCAGTTCTTCTCCCAGAAGCCACCACTACAATCAGCCTCCTGTGTGTCTACTCCAAAATCCGGTGTATGATTTTACAGGCAGATTTGCAAGTCTGTTCTGCACCAGAGAGTTTAGATTTTATGTGGCAAATGATGGAACAGTATTTCGTTTCTTTCTTTTTTCTTGTTTCATAGAGACAGGGTCTCGCCGTGTTGCCCAGGCAGATCTCAAACTTCTGGGCTCAAGCGATCTGCCCGCCTTGGCCTCCCAAAGTGCTGCGATTATGGGTGTGAGTCACCTCGCCTGGCTTTTTTTTTTTTTTTTTTTTTTTTGAGACGGAGTCTCGCTCTGTCGCCCAGGCTGGAGTGCAGTGGCGTGATCTTGGCTCACTGCAAGCTCCGCCTCCCAGGTTCACGCCATTCTCCCACCTCAGCCTCCTGAGTAGCTGGGACTACAGGTGCCCGCCACCACGCCTGGCTAATTTTTGTATTTTTAGTAGAGACGGTTTCACCATGTTAGCCAGGATGGTCTCAAACTCCTGACCTTGTGATTCCACCCCTCATCCCCCACAACAGATCTGTATCATCCATCCATGCCCTGTGCCTTTTGTTTTTTTTTTTTTTTTTTGAGACACAGTCTCATTCTGTCACCCAGGCTAGAATGCAGTGGTGCGATCCCGGCTCACTGTAACCTCCTCCACCTCCTGGGTTCAAGTAATTCTCCTGCCTCAACCTCCTGAGTAGCTGGGATTACAGGCAGACACCACCACGCCCAGCTAATTTTTGTATTTTTAGTAGAGATGGGGTTTTGCCATATTGGCCAGGCTGGTCTCGAACTCCTGACCTCAAATGATCCGCCTGCCTCAGCCTCCCAAAGTGCTGGGATTACAGGCGTGAGCCACCACACTAGGCCGCCTGGCTTAGTTTCTTAGTGATTTATTAGGCACCTACTGTGCACCACTGGTACACCAGTAAATCCAGCAAACACTTTTGAAATATTCACAGTCCAATGCAGAGGCCTGAAGGATCAGAGTTCAGGAGGGGAGTCTACAGGGTCTGTGGGCGTCCACAGGAGGAATTCCCAACCACGGGGGCAGGGTCTTGGGGTGGTCTTATGAAGCTGTAGCCTGAGAGCTAAGGCTTGAGGACTTTGTCCAGAGGAGAAAGTCTGTTTCAGGTTGAGAGAACAGCAGTCGCAGAGGCCAGGAGTGAGGAAAGACTGACAGGGGGCAGAGGTGGCTGAACCTTTCGGACTACCCACTGCATGCTTCCTTTGTTTTTGTTGTTGTTGTTTGAGACAGGGTCTCACTCTGTCACCCAGGCTGGAGTGCAGTGGTGTGATTTCAGCTCACTGAAACCTCTGTGCTGGTGTGCGACTGTAGTCCCAGCTTCTCAGGAGGCTAAGATGGGAGGATCACTTGAACCCGGGAGGCGGAGGTTGCAGTGAGCTGAGATTGCGCCACTGCACTCCAGCCCAGGTGACAGATCGAGACTTTGTCTCAAAAAAATAAAAAAGCAAATCTTCACCTCTGACCTTTCTGACCCTCTTCTCTTGCCCTATATTAATATTTATCTTCTTTTTTTTGAGACAGTGTTCCACTCTGCCACCCAGGCTGGAGTGCAATGTCGAGATCTTGGTTCACTGCAACCTCTGTCTCTGGGGCTCAAGTGATCCTCCCACCTTGGTCTTTTGAGTAGCTGGGACTACACGTGTGTGCTACCACACCTGGCTATTTAAAAATATATATATATTTGTAGACACGAGGTCTCACCACATTGCCCAGGCTAGTCTTAGACTCCTCGGCTCCAGCAGTTCTCCTGCCTTAGCCTCCCAAAGTGCTGGGATTACAGATGTTAGCCACCACATCTGGCCTAATGGTTATCTTCTTCTTCTTCTTTTTTTTTTTTTTTTGAGACAGAGTTTTGCTCTTGTTGCCCAGGCTAGAGTGCAATGGCACAGTCTCAGCTTACTGCAACCTCCATCTCCCAGGTTCAAGCGATTCTCCTGCCTTAGCCTCCCAAGTAGCTGGGATTACAGGCGCCTGCCACCACACTCGGCTAATTTTTTTGTATTTTGAATAGAGATGGGGTTTCACCATGTTGGCCAGGCTGGTCTCAAACTCCTGACCTTGTGATCTGCCCACCTCGGCCTCCCAAAGTGCTGGGATTACAGGCGTGAGCCACTGCACCTGGCTAAAAATGCTTTTTGTCTGCCTCTCCCATTAGAATGTAAACTCACCCAAGGCTGGAATTTTCCTCTATCCTATTACCTGCTGTAGCTTCAGCACTCAGCATAGTGTCTGGACCACAGTACATGCTCAATAAATGTTTCTTTAGTTCTTTTGTTTTTCTTTTTAGAGACAGAGTCTCACTCTGTCACTTAGGCTGGAGTGCAGTGGCATGATCATAGTTCACTGCAGCCTGCAACTCCCGGGCTCAAGTAATCCTCCTGCCTCAGCCTCCCGAGTAGCTGGGACCACAGGCATGCACCACCACACCCAGCTAATAAATGTTTCCTGAGTGAATTCCTTTGTTCATCCTGTTGCAGGGGTATTGCTAACAACAGAGGACTTTCTCCCTATGTCCCTGGGTCTCAAATCTCTGTCCACCTGAGGTCACTGGGCACGTAAGGTGCCCATACATGATTATTCATTCAGTAACACTGGTTTGAATCCAGGCACTGCCACTAATTGGCTGGATGGCCTTGGGCAAGTGGGAGCTGTGGCCTCCTAATCTGTAAGTGAAATACACACAAACCCTCCCCTACGGGGCTGTGTTGAGAATGAATTCTTCCTTCCACCCTCACTCCTCATCATCTGTTACCCATCCCCTAGAGGTAGGCTGTAAACATCTGAGTCAGGTCACTTCCCTCTTCTGCTTAGAACCCTCAGTGCCTTCATTTCACTTAGCACTAAAACCAAAGTCCTCATGCAACCCTCAAGTCCCCGCAGGACCTGCCCTAACCTTCCATTCTCCTGTTCCCCTTCCTCCATGGCTTTAGCCGCCCTGGCCTCCTCACCAGAACCCAGAACCCACCAATCACATTCCATTTCCCCGTTAATATCTATTTTTGTTTCTTTTATTATTTTATTCTTTTAAAAAACATGCTGAGGGCCAGGCGTGGTGGCTCACACCTGTAATCCCAGCACTTAGAGAGGCCGAGGTGGGCAGATGACTTGAGGTCAGGAGTTCGAGGCCAGCCTGGCCAACGTGGTGAAACCTTGTCTCTCTAAAAATACAAAAATTAGCCAGGTGTGGTGGCAGGCGCCTATAATCCCAGCTACTTGGGAGGCTGAGGCAGGAGAATTGTTTGAACCTGGGAGGCGGAGGTTGTAGTGAGCTGTGATTATGCCACTGCATTCCAGCCTGGGTGACAGTGAGACACTGTCTCAAATAAAACAGAACAAAACAAAACAAAACAAAACAAAACATGATGGAGTCTCACTATGCTGCCCAGGCTGGTCTCCAACTCCTGGCCTCTAGTGATTCACCACTTTAGCCTCTCAAAATTCTGGGATTACAAGCTTCAGACACCATGCCCAGCCTCCCCTGAATATCTGTATGTCTCACTCTTTCATCTCCTTTGGCTCTTTACTGAAATGCCACCTTCTTAGGTGACAATGCATCTAAACTTATCCTTCCCTTCCTACTCCAGCTTTTATTTTTTATCTTTTAGAGGCAGAGTCTCCGTCTGTCGCCCAGGCTGGAGTGCAGTGGCAGGATCATAGGTCATTGCAAGCTTTACCTCCTGGGCTCAAGCCATCCTCACACTCAGCCTCCTGAGTAGCTGGGACTACAGGCACATGCCACCACACTGGGCTGACTTGTTTTATTTTTGGTAGAGACAGAGACCCACTGTGCTGGCCAGGCTGGTCTCAAATTCCTGGCCTCAAGCTGTCCTCCAGCCTCGGCTTCCCAAAGTGCTGGAATTACAGGCATGAGCCACTGCACCTGGTCCCTACCCCAGTTTACACAGCATTCCCCAACTGGCATATTGATTATGAGTCTTTTTTTTTTTTTTTGAGACGGAGTTTCACTCTTGTTGTCCAGGCTGGAGTGCAATGGCATGATCTCTGCTCACTGCAACCTCCGCCTCCTGGGTTCAAGTGATTCTCCTACCTCAGTCTCCTGAGCAGCTGGGACTACAGACACACGCCACCACGCCCAGCTAATTTTCGTATTTTTAGTAGAGACGAGGTTTCACCATGTTGGCCAGGATGGTATCGATCTCTTGACCTCGTGATCCGCCTGCCTCAGCCTCCCAAAGTGCTGAGATTACAGGCGTGAGCCACTGCACCCTGCCTTTTTGTATTTTTAGTAGAGACACGGTTTCACCATGTTGTCCAGGCTGGTCTCAAACACCTGGCCTCAAGTGATCTGCCCGCCTTGGCCTCCCAAAGTGCTGGGATTACAAGCGTGAGCCACCGCGTCCGGCCCCCAGTTATGAGTCTTAATAAAAGGGCAGTAACGACCAGGGGACCTTCACACCAAAAGGCTCAAAGTTTGACCATTTTGAGCCAAGCCTGGGGAGAGGTCAAAGGCCAATGCAACCAGCCCTCTCCTGTGGATCAAAGGCTCAATTGCAGGTGACCTCTGTCCTTGGTAGTGTGGGACCAGCATCAACCCTGTAATCCAGAGAGGGTCTTTGCTGGCTGTGGGTATCACACCAATTTAGGGGGCACATATCAGATGCGGGAAGGCCCCTCAACATCTGGCCTCAGCTTTTCCTCCATTACTGAACAAGGGTTCTCACAAAGGCCAGGGGTCAGGCCTGCAATACTGGGGGGCAGCCCCCCAAAAAGAAGGTACAGAGCATGAGGTCGGTGGCTAAAGTGATCCGCCCAACTCAGCCTCCCAAAATGTAGGGATTACAGGCTTGAGCCACCTCACCCAGTCAATTTTCTTCATCTTTAAAATGGGATTGGCTGGGTGTAATGGCTCACGCCTGTAATCAGCACTTTGGGAAGCCGAGGAGGGTGGATCATTTAAGGTCAGGAGTTTGAGACCAACCTGACCAACATGATGAAACCCCGTCTCTACTAAAAATACAAAAATTAGCCCGGCATGGTGGCGGGCGCCTGTAATTCCAGCTACTCAGGAGGCTGAGTGACGAGAATTGCTTGAGCCCGGGAGGCAGAGGTTGCAGTGAGCCAAGATTGCGCCACTGCACTTCAGCCTGGGTGACAGAGCAAGACTCCATCTCAAAAAAAAAAAAAAAAAAAGTACAGGGCATGGATGGATGACACAGATCTGTTGGTGGGGGGTGAGGGGTGGTCTCCTATACTAGGGAGAGCTGCCTAAAGCGCCCCTCCCCCATCAACTGTCCAAACATCTGCTGTTTGTTTGTTTTCAGCTCAGCTTGTGTGTAACTGCCAAGCTCCGTGAGGGGGCAAAGCCTCCCACGGAGGGCCTCCCCGCAGTGGGGCTGATTTGCATGGATATTTTCATTCCCTACAGTTCCCTGAGCAACCAGGACAGGCGTGAAGGGTAGAAAAAAAGCCACAGAACTAGCCCTCCAGGCAGGTGTTGGCGAGAACCAGAGAGTCCAACCTCCTTGAGGGCCTGAGACCCTGGGCATGTCACATTGGCTCTCCAGGCCTCAGTTTCCTCCTCTGTAAAATGGGGGTATAGTTGCCCCTACCCACATGGTTCTTGCAGGGCTTAAGCCTGCGAGCCCTGGCATCATCTAGTCCCTGTGCTGTTCTCCCTGCATGGCTCGGGGCTGACCTCTGCACGGGACATCTCCCCTGCCAACTGGCTTCTGGCCACATTTAGCCAATGGGAGGCACTGGGGGCAGATTTTCCGAGAGGAAGGTAGGAGAAGCCAAGATATTTCTTTTCTCTTCTTTTCTTTTTTGAGACGGAGTTTCGCTCTTGTCGCCCAGGCTGGAGTGCAATGGCACGATCTCAGCTCACTGCAACCTCCACCTCCTGGGTTCAAGTGATTCTCCCGCCTCAGCCTCCCAAGTAGCTGGGATTACAGGCACGCACCACCATGCCCGGCTAATTTGGTATTTTTAGTAGAGACGGGGTTTCACCATGTTGGTCAGACTGGTCTTGAACTCCTGACCTCAGGTGATTCACCTGCCTCAGCCGCCCAAAGTGCTGGGATTACAAGCGTGAGTCACCGCACCCGGCCTCTTTTTGCTTTTTTTCTAGGGATAGGGTCTTACTCTGTCACCCAGGCTGTAGTGCAGTGGCACAATCATAGCTCACTGCAGCCTCGACCTCCTGGGCTGACGTGATCCTTCTGCCTCAACCTCCTGAGTAGCTGGAACCACAGGTGCGTGCAACCATACATGGATTTTTTTTTTAAAGATTTTTAAAATAGAGATGGGGGTCTCCTATATTACCCAGGCTGGTCTCAAACCCCTGGCTTCAAGTGATCCTCCCACCTTGGCCTCTCAAAGTGCTGGGATTACAGTCATGAACCACTGCACCCAGCCCAAGATATTTCTCCCCATATGCCTCTGGTAGCACCTCCCATTAGATATCATCTTCCTATATGGTAATTTCTATTTAAATTTTTTACATGGTCTGCCATATCCTTTATTTTTATTATATTTTTTAAGAGATGAGGTTTGGCTATGTTGCCCAGGCCGGAGTCCAACTCCTGGGCTCAAGTGATCCTCCTGCCTCAGCCTCCCGAGTGGCTGGGACTACAGGCCTACACCACCATGCTTGGTTTATGCTAATTTTTTTTTTTTTTTTTGAGATGGAGTTTCGCTCTTATTGCCCAGGCTAGAGTGCAATGGTGCGATCTCGGCTCACCGCAGCCTCCGCCTCCTGGGTTCAAGCGATTCTCCTGCCTCAGCCTCCCTAGTAGCTGGGATCACAGGCATGTGCCAGCATGCCCGGCTACTTTTTTTTTTTTTTTTTTTTTGAGACGGAGTCTCACTCTGTCGCCCAGGCTGGAGTGCAGTGGTGTGATCTCGGCTCACTGCAAGCTCCGCCTCCCGGGTTCACGCCATTCTCCTGCCTCAGCCTTCCGAGTAGCTGGGACTACAGGTGCCTGCCACCACGCCCGGCTAATTCTTTGTATTTTTAGTAGTGACGGGTTTCACCGTGTTAGCCAGGATGGTCTCGATCTCCTGACCTCATGATCCACCTGCCTTGGCCTCCCAGAGTGCTGGGATTACAGGCATGAGCCACTGCGCCCAGCCACATCAGGCTAATTTTGTATTTTTAGTAGAGACACGGTTTCTCCATGTTGGTCAGCCTGGTCTCGAATTCCCGACCTCAGGTGATCCGCCCGCCTCGGCCTTCCAAAGTGCTGGGATTACAGGCATGAGCCACTGTGCCCGGCCTATGCTAATTTTAAAATAATCTCTCCATCCATTTTGTTTTGTTTTGTTTTGTTTTAGACAAAGTCTTACTCTTTCACCCAGGCTGGAGTGCAGTGGTGCAATCTCCGCTCACTGCAACCTCCGCCTCCCGGGTTCAAGCGATTCTCCTGCCTCAGCCTCCCAAGTAGCTGGGATTACAGGCTCCTGCCACTATGCCCAGCTAATTTTTTGTATTTTTAGTAGAGACCGGGTTTCACCATGTTGGCCAGGCTGGTCTCGAACTCCTGACCTCGTGATTTGTCCACCTTAGCCTCCCAAAGTGCTGGGATTACAGGCATGAGACACCGCGCCTGGCCATCGTTTGATTTTTTATCTACGTATTAAATTGACCCATATATTAAATCCCCTCTATTGGAGATACTTCTGTTTTCCTGATTAGACCCTCACTGATGTAAAGCTACTGTCCGGAGGCCAGGCAGAGTGGTTCACTCTTGTAATCTCAGTGCCCTTGGGAGACCAAGGTGGGAGGATCGCTTGAGCCCAGGAGTTCAGGTCCAGCCTGGGCAACATAGTGAGACCAACCTAACCCTCTACAAAAAATGTAAAAGTTAGCTGGGCTTGGTGTCTTGGGCCTGTAGTCCCAGCTACTGGGTAGGCTGAAGTAGGCAGATTGCTTGAACTCACCAGCTTGAGACTACAGTGAGCTATGATTGCGCCACTGCACTCCAGCCTGGGTGACAGAGCAAGACCTTATCTCTAAAAAGATAAAAACTAGGCCGGGCACGGTGGCTCACGCCTGTTATCCCAGCACTTTGGGAGGCCGAGGCGGGTGGATCACGAGGTCAGGAGATCAAGACCATCCTGGCTAACACGGTGAAACCCCGTCTCTACTAAAAATACAAAAAATTAGCCCGGCGTACTGGCGGGTGCCTGTAGTCCCAGCTACTCGGGAGGCTGAGGTAGGAGAATGGCGTGAACCTGGGAGGCGGAGCTTGCAGTGAGCCAAGATTGCGCCACTGCACTCCAGCCTGGGCGACAGAGCCAGATTCCGTCTCGAAAAAAAAAAAAAAAAAGATAAAAAATAAAAATAAATAAATCGCTTCTCGGCCTTTTGGCTAAGATCAAGAAAACAAATAAACAAACACACAAATAATAAGGCTGCTGTGAGAATTTTTTAAACAAAAGTATTGCTTTTTTTGCACAATTTAGATACAATAAAAATCTTCCTGGCCGGGCGTGGTGGCTCACGCCTGTAATCCCAGCACTTTAGGAGGCCGAGGCGGGTGAATCACAAGGTCAGGAGTTCGAGACCAGCCTGGCCAAGATGGTAACACCCCATCTCTACTAAAAATACAAAAATTAGCCAGGCGTGGTGGTGGACACCTGTAAGGTGAGGCAGGAGAATCGCTTGAACCCAGGAGGCAGAGGTTGCAGTGGATCGCGCCACTGCATACTAGCCTGGGCGACAGAGCAAGACTCTGTCTCAAAAGAAAGAAAATCTTCCCTTTTTTGCATACAGTTGTTCACATTTCAAGAAACATATATAGTCACGTAACCAAAACCACAATCAAGATGCAGAATGGTTCCATCGCCAAAAAAAAAAAAATTCCCCCCATGCCCCCCAACTTTTTTTTTTTTTTTAAGACATTGGTCTTACTCTGTTGCTCAGGCTGGAGTGCAGTGGTGCGATCATAGGTGACAGTGGTGTCAAACTGCTGGGCTCAGGCAATCCTCCTGCCTCAGCCTCCGGAATAGCTAGTACAGGCACGTGCCACTGTACCTGACTCATTTTTTTTTTTTTTTTTTTGTAGAGACTGGGTCTCGCTCTGTCGCTCAGGATGGTGTCGAACTCCTGGGTTCCAGCAATTCTCTCACCTCAGCCTCTGAAAGTGCTGGGATTACAGGGGTGAGCCACTGTACCCGGTCCCACCGTGCCCTTTTGCAGTCAACCTCTCCTGTCCCAATATTTCACCGTCCCTATAGTTTTTTTTCTCCTAGAACATTATAGAAATAGAGTCATACAATATGCAACCTTTGCGTTGAACTTCTTTCCCTCATCCTAATACATTTGAGAGTTCTCCATGTGGCTAGGTATCACCAATTCCTTCTTTTTGATTTTTTTTTTTTTTGAGATGGAGTTTCATTTGTTCTTGTCACCTAGTCTGGAGTGCAATGGTGCAATCTCGGCTCACTGCAACCTCCACCTCCTGGGTTCAAGCAATTCTCCTGCCTCAGCCTCCTGAGTAGCTGGGATTACAGGTGCGTACCACCAAACTCAGCTAATTTTTTCGTTTTTAGTAGAGATGGGGTTTCGCCATGTTGTCCAGGCTAGTCTCGAACTCCTGACCTCAGGCGATCCGCCCGCCTCAGCCTCCCAAAGTGCTGAGATTACAGGCATGGTCTTCCATTGTGAGGATGGACTGCAGTTTATCTCTCCTTTCTCTAGCTGAGGGAGCTGCTGTGAGCTATTGAGAGTGAGTCAATATTTGTAAAACACTTAGGGCAGTAACTGGCACGTTATACACATGTCAGCTGTCATGAGCATGCTGGGGTGGGAGGGGCTTGCTGAGAAGTTAGCCTTTTTGAGGTTCCCCTTTCCCCTAATTGTTCATCCTGCTTTTGGCGGGAAGAGAGCCCACCCCTTCCCCAGCTCGAAGGGCCAAGACTGCTTCTGGTGCAGATGTGGCAGAGGCTGGCCTCCAGTGGGAGCCTCCCCACCCCGTCACTGAAGCTGAAAGTGGGCCCTGAGCCCATGGAGGAGATGAGGCTGCCGCAGTTCCCTGATGCCTGCCAAGATCAGCATCTGGGAAGCTTCTCTGTAGCCTGGGGCCCCTTCCCCCAGCGCTGGGGCGATGATGAGAAAGTTGGGATCCATCTCAGACACTTCCCAGGCAGTTCCTCCTGCCAGAGACGAGAGCCAGGGGGGTGGGGGGACAGTGGAGGCCCAGGGAGGATGGAGAACAGGCCTGCGTCTCATGGATTTCAGGGCCATGGTGGGCAACCACAGGATCTGGTGTGAAGGGCCTGGGCCTCCTGGATTTGGGGGAGTTCACAATATCCGGGGTGAAGGTAGGAATGGGGGTCAGAGGGCGTCCCTTCTCCTGGATTATGGAGAACATTCCACATCTCACTGTTGACCAATGTAGTCCTGGCTGGTAACCACTGCCTGTCTGTTCCTACCTGCTGGGGCAGAGATGGGGGTGGTGGCACAGGAATGGGGTGGAGACTCCGAATGAATAAGAAGACAGACAGCCAGGGCTGCTGGATTGAGAGGAGCCGGATGGCTCTAGTTCGAATCTCACCTCTCCTGTATGCCTCAATTTTCCTCCTTCTTTTTTTTTTTTTTTTTTTTTTTGAGATAGAGTCTCGCTCTGTCACCTAGGCTGGAGTGCAATGGCATGATCTTGGCTCACTGCAACCTCCGCCTCCCGGGTGCAAGCAATTCTTGTGCCTCAGCCTCTCGAGTAGCTGGGGTTACAGGTGCGCATCACCATACCTGGCTAATTTTTATCTTTTTAGTAGAGATGGGGTTTCGCCATGTCGGCCAGACTGGTCTCTAACTCCTGATCTCAGGTGATCCGCCTACCTTGATCTCCCAAAGTGCTGGGATTACAGGCGTGAGCCACCGCGCCTGGTCAATTTTCCTCTTCTTTAAAATGGGATTGGCCGGGCACAGTGGCTCACACCTGTAAGAGTGTGAGCCACTTTGGGAGGCCAAGACCAAGGTACATGGAATGGATTACTTCAGGTCAGGAGTTTGAGATCAGCCTGGCCAACATGGTGAAGCCCTGTCTCCACTAAAAATATAAAGATTAGCCAGGCATGGTGGCGCGGGCCTATAATCCCAGCTACTTGGGAGGCTGAGGCAGGAGAATCGCTTGAACCCAGGAGGCGGAGGTTGCAGTGAGCCAAGATCATGCCACTGCCACTCCAGCCTGGGAGACAGAACGAGACTCCATCTCAAAAAAAAAAAAAAAAAAAAAAGGCCAGGCACGGTGGCTCACGCCTGTAATCCCAGCACTTTGGGAGGCCGAGGTGGGCAGATCAGCTTAGGTCAGGAGTTCTAGACCAGCCTGGCTAACACAGTGAAACCCCGTTTCTACTAAAAATACAAAAAATTACCCAGGTGTGGTGGCGGGCGCCTGTAATCCCAGCTACTCGGGAGGCTGAGGCAGGGGAATCCCTTGAACCTGGAAGGCGGAGGTTGCAGTGAGCTGAGATCGCGCCACTGCCCTCCAGCCTGAGTGACAGAGCGAGACTCCATCTCAAAAAAAAAAAAAAAAAAGATGATGATTATCATAATACCCACTTCCTCGGGTTGTGAGGACTCACAGCGCCACATCTAGCACACAGTCGGTGGCTGTGAGTGTTAGCCATTATTGTCACTGACCCTATAATTAGTGGAAGCTAGTTCAAGCCTCTTCCTTCTCCTCTATTTCCCCTGCTGGGAGTTCTCCAAGAAAAGGGCCCTGTTTCCTTCCTCCTCCACTGTTCTCTCACTCAGCCCCCCGCCCCCCGCCACCGGGGTAGGCCAAGCTCTCCTCCTGACCCCCACCAAGACCATCAGGAAGTCCAGGCCTCCAGCGTTTTCCAGTCCTCTGTAGCGCTCCCTTGGCTGACCTGGCGAAGACATTGTGTTGCCTCAGAAGTGGGAGGGAGGCGGAAGTTGCATGTCGGTGTGTCTGTGTGTCCCCGGGGACATCACCTTTGTCTGGGAGCCACGGTTCCCCTGGCAGACGGCCACATATGTCTGCAGCCTTGACATCACCCCTCTGCCCCAACCCCCCAGGTCCCAGGAGAGACTGCAAATTGCTGAGCCAGCCCAGGCATATGAGGGCGGTCACTTCCTCCCCAGCCTTCAGGTCCCCACACAAGACTGAGATTTCCGCTCTGATAGCTCTCAGACGAGGAGAAAACCTAATTTTCTTCGTGCTTCCTCCTCTGCGGATTAAACACCTGGTTTCTAGAGTGTCCAGGCAACACTTCTCACTTGGTAGAAGAGGCAGTGAGGTTTTGCCAAGGTCCAAGTGCGCCCCAAGATCTGGCCCAGAACCCAGCAGACCCTGAAATCGAGCTCAGGAAAAGGGGCAAAGTGTAGAATTGACTAGTCACTTTCTGACTTTCTTTGTATCCCCCCTTCAAAGCCCCATCACCCTGTGTTAGAATTGTCTGGTTTCGGCCGGGCACGGTGGCTCACGCCTATAATCCCAGCACTTTGGGAGGCTGAGGCAGGTGGATCGCCTGAAGTCAGGAGTTCAAGACCAGCCTGGCCAACATGGTGAAACCCCATCTCTACTGAAAATACAAAAATTAGCCGGGTGTGGTGGTGTGCGCCTGTAATCCCAGATACTTGGGAGGCTGAGGCAGGAGAATTGCTTGAACCTGGGAGGTGGAGGTTGCAGCGAGCCGAGATCTTGCCAGTGCACTCCAGCCTTGGCGACAGAGCGAGACTCTGTCTCAAAATAAATAAATAAATAAATAAATAAATAAAAATAATTGTCTGGTTTCTTCTCTGTCTCCTCCATCAGACTGTCAGCTTTGGATGGCAGCAACCAATTAGGCATCACCAGGCTTAGCACAGAGCATTACATGTTGTGTTACATACACACATATATTGCATGCCTATATGTAGCATTAACGTGTTGATTTTTTTTTTTTTTTTGAGATGGGCTCTTACTATATTGCCTGGGCTGGTCTCAGATTCCTGGCCTCAAGCAATCCTCCCGCCTCTGCCTCCCAAAGTGCTAGGATTACAGTTGTGAGTTATCGTGCTTGGCCTGTTGATTTTTTTTTTTTCCAGACAGTGTCTTGCTCTGTCAACTAGGCTGGAGTGCAGCAGTGTGATTTCAGCTAACTTCAACCTCCACCTCTCAGGCTCAAGTGATCCTCCCACCCCAGCCTCATGAGTAGCTGGAACTACAGGCACACACAACCATGCTTGGCTAATGTTTAATTTTTTGTTTTTTCTTTTGTAGAGACGAAGTCTCACTATATTGCGCAGGCTGATCTCAAGCTCCTGGGCACAACTGGTCTTCCCACCTTGGCCTCTCAAAGTGCTGGGATTACAGACATGAGCCACTATCCATGACCAATTTTTTAAAATTTTTAATATATTTTTTGAGATGGAGTTTCACTCTGTCGCCTAGGCTGGAGTGCAGTGGCACGATCTTGGCTCACTGCAACCTCCACCTCCCGGGTTCAAGCAGTTCTCCTGCCCCAGCCTCCAGAGTGGCTGTGACTACAGGCACCTGCTACCACGCCTGGCTAGTTTTTTGTGTTTTTTTTTGTTTGTTTTTTTGTTTTTTTGAGATGCAGTCTCACTCTGTTGCCCAGGCTGGAATGCAGTGGCGGGATCTCGGCTCAGTGCAACCTCCGCCTCCTGGGTTCAAGTGATTCTACTGCCTCAGCCTCCCAAGTAGTTGGGACTACAGGTGTGCACCACTGTGCCCAGCTAATTTTTGTATTTTTAATAGACACCGGGTTTCACCATGTTGGCCAGACTGGTCTTGAACTCCTGACCTCGTGATCTGCCTGCCTCAGCCTCCCAATAATTTTGGTATTTTTAATAGAGATGGGGTTTCACCATATTGGTCAGGCTAGTCTCGAACTGCTGAATTCAGGTGATCCCCTTGCCTCGACCTCTTTGTACATTTTTTTGAATTGGTAATAGAAGCTAAAGATTTCAAACAGCAGGCTGGGCGCAGTGGCTTATGCCTGTAATCCCAGCACTTTGGGAGGCTGAGGCAGGCGGATCACCTGAGGTCAGGAATTCGAGACCAGCCTGGCCAATATGGAGATACCTCGTCTCAAAAAAAAAAAAAAAAAAAAAAAAAAGATTTCAAACAGCCCTCCAGGGTATACCATGAAAAGCTGTTTCTTCTTACCTCGTTTCCCTGCCCCCTGGTTCCTCTCCCTAAGAGTAACTGTTGTGACTAGGGTCTGGTGCCTTCTCCCAGAGACAGACTGTGTGTCACAGGCAAATGTGTGTGTATTTATATAGTTCTTATAAATACACCCAGAAATGCAATGCATACTGGTCTACACTGTACTTTTTCAACTTAATATGTTGAAGACCATTTCCCATCAGTACACACAAGACTACTCCATTTATTTATTTAGTTTTATTTATTTATTTATTTAAAATGGAGTATTGCTGTGTCACCCAGGCTGGAGTGCAATGGCATGATCTCGGCTCACTGGAACCTCTACCTCCAGGGTTCAAGCAATTCTCCTGCCTTAGCCTCCCGAGTAGCTGGGACTCCAGGCACACACTACCATTCCCGGCTAATTTTTGTACTTTTAGTACAGATGGGGTTCGCCATGTTGGCCAGCCTGGTCTTGAACTCCTGACCTCAGGTGATCCACCTGCCTTTGCCTCCCAAAGTGCTGGGGTTACAGGTGTGAGCCATTGCACCCAGCCTCTTTATTTTTATTTTATTTTTTGAGACGGAGTCTTGCTCTGTTGCCCAGGCTGAAGTCCAATAGCACCATGTTGGCTCACTGCAACGCCCGCCTCCCCGGGTTCAAGCGATTCTCCTAACTCAGCCTCCCGAGTAGCTGGGATTACAGGCGCCCGCCACCACGCCCGGCTAATTTTTTGTATTTTTAGTAAAGAAAGGGTTTTGCCATATTGGCCAGACTGGTCTCGAACTCCTGACCTCAAGTGATCCACCCACCTTGGAGTCCTAGAGTGCTGGGATTACAGGCGTGAGCCACCATGCCCAGCCAATTTTTATATTTTTTGTAGAGATGGAGTTACACCATGTTGCCCAGGCTAATCTAGAACTCCTAGGGTCAAGCAATCCACCCACCTTGGCTTCCCAAACTGTTGGGATTACAGTCGTGAGCCACCGTGCCTGGCCAGATTATGTTTATAACATATAATGTCTACATTTTCACAAATGGTACCCTCATAAAAAGCCATATTTCCCACCTGAACATAAGATCCACTGGGTTGGCCAGGCACGGTTGTTCATGCCTGTAATCCCAGCACTTTGGGAGGCCAAGGCGGGCAGATCATGAGGTCAGGAGATCGAAACCATCCTGGCCAACATGGTGAAACCTCCATCTCTACTAAAACTACAAAAATTAGCTGGGCATGGTGGCGCATGCCTGTAATCCCAGCTACTCAGGAGGCTGAGGCAGAAGAATCGCTTGAACCCGGGAGGCAGAGGTTGCAGTGAGCCGAGATAGTGCCACTACATTCCAGCCTGGCGACAGAGCTAGACTCTGTCTCAAAAAAAAAAAAAAATCCATCTGGTCAAGGAGTTTTTCCTTTTTGTTGCTGTTGTTGTTGTTCACTGCTGTGCCCAGTAGGTGCATAAAAAATATTTGTTGCCAGGTGCTGTGGTTTACATTTGTAATCCCAGCACTTGGGGAGGCCGAGGCAGGCGGATCACTTGAGGTCACGAGTTCGAGACCAGCCTGGCCAACATGGTGAAACCCTGTCTTTACTAAAAATACAAAAAAATCAGCCAGGCGTGGTGGCACGCGCCTGTATTTCCAGCTACTTGTGAAGCTGAGGCACAGGAATAGCTTGAACCTGGGAGGCAGAGGTTGCAGTGAGCTGAGATGGCACCACTGCACCCCAGCCTGGGAGATAAAGGAAGACTCTGTCTCAAACAAAAAAATTTTGTTGCTGGAATGAGGGGCTTTCCTATCCTGTTGTCGAACTGCTGGTTACACACACACACACACACACACACACACACACACACACACACATCATTCGATGAAGGTGTAGTGTCCATCATTTCCGCAGGCAGGCACACAGAAATGCCCAGGAATTAGTGAAAATTGGAAATCTGGATAGAAGACTGGGCCCGACGCTGGAAGGCAGGCACAAACTGGGCCCCGCCAGAGGGGACAGTGATCTACAGAGGCAGGAAAGAGTGTGGAGTGTCCCCAGTCCCCCAAGGGAAACAGGGCAGCACCTGAATTCTGGAGGTCCTATCAAGGGAGAGACTGGTCAGGCACAGTGGCTCACGCCTGTCATTCCAGCACTTTGGGAGGCTGAGGCAGTAGGATTGCTTGAATGCAGCAGTTCAAGACCAGCCTGGGCAACACAGCGAGACCCCATCTCTACAAAAAACTGCAAAAAATTAGCCAGGCATGATGGCGCACCTGTAGTCCCAGCTACTCTGGAGGCTGAGGCAGGAGGCTGAGGCTCCCGTGAGCTATGATTGAGCCACCACACTCTGGCCTGGATGACAGAGCAAGACCATGTCTCAAAAAAAGAAAAAAAAAAAGAGATCAATTTTGTCTTTGGGACAGGACATCGCACTTAGTAGGAATTTATTTGTTGGGTGGACACACAGTAGGCACTTAATGCCTATTTGCTGCGTTGACACCTAGTAGGTACTTCCAAGGCTCTTTGTTGAGTCAATAAATGTGACCTCGTGTTTTCTTCCAAGTCCAGGGTCCCAGGGGTAAGCCCAGAGGTAACCTGGGGTTGAAGACAGTTGTTTCAGGTTGAGGCCACCTGGCCAGGAGTACTGTGACGTCACCAGGCTGCGTGACGTTTCGCGCCGGCCGGTTCTCACGGGTGGGGGCTGGGAGGGGCAGAGTGAGAGATCGGGTGGGGGGGGCGGACAAAGGGCCCTCCGTGCAGCTCCTGTCGGCCCCCGCGTGCGCCCCGGCCAGCCGGCCGGTCACATCTGGAATTCATTGCAGCCGCCGCCGGAAAGGGGAGGAGAGGAGGGCGGGGCGAGCGGGGGGCAGAGGCGGCGGCTCTCCGCCCCCCCCTCTGTCCCTCGTCCCAGCCCCGGGACTTAGCCGAGCCCGGCTGGCAACCCCAGCCCCAGCCGCGGCCGCCCTGGGGACGCAGACGCCAAGGCCCCTCCGGCCAGGGCCGGGAGCCGGGCCGGCCTAGCCAGGTGAGCGCGCGTGGCGACAAGGAGGCAGAAAAGGCGGGCCTGGTCCCCTGAGGTCTCGGGATCCGAGCTGAGGGGCCCCAATCGGGGGGCTGGGGCGCGCACGCGCCGCCTGGGTTCCTGCTGCACGGAGCGGGTGGTCACAGTGCGCCCTCTCCAAGAATCCGGGCGGCCCCCACTGCCTCGGCCGCGAACCCGCAGACTGTGCTCCCCGCCTTTCTCAGCGGCAGGAAGTTGGCGCCGGGGAGAAGGCTGAATCCGAGCGCTTTCGACTGGAGTCTTTGGGAGGCAGGACGCCGTGCTCGGGGACCGGGGTCTTGGGGAGTGTGTTTGGGGGGGGGCAACACCCCTCCTGGCTGACTCCGGCTGAGCGAGGGCAAAAGGATGTGCGCGCCGTGGAGCCTCCAAGCCAAGGGGCGGCACCCACGGGGAGGGCGGTCGGACGTCGGGCTTTCTGCCTCGGTTTCCCCAAGTTGTTTGCCTCCTCCGGTCCCCCGGCGGGGGGCGTGGCTTTGTTTTGTAAGGAAAGAGAAAGTGACTGCGTGGCTCAGACGCCTCCTCTTTCAACTCCGGCTCAGGGATGGGTCGTGGGTGAAGGCGCGCGTGGCGCGGACCTCGCGTGGCCCCGAGCCGGGCGGAGCGTCGGAACTCGCCCCCTTCTCAGGCACGGGTTGACTCACCCGGGGATTTCCACCCCCTCCTCTGTCTCTGTCCTTGTCAGATGCTCCGGGCCCCACGCGCTGAGCCCACAGTCCCCCTCGTGGGGCGACACGGCCAGGCGCGGAACTCGCGGTGCAGCTGCTGCTGCGATCTGGTCCCCCACCCCCAGTCTTCCCAGAATCTCGAGGCGGGACCCCTGGCGGGACGGAGAGGAATCCTTCCAGTGCCGCTTGGAGACGTGGGGGCCCCGCGCGTGTGGCGGTCTCGGGGGCGGGGGGGAGAGGAGGCGTGGCTCCCGCGCGAGCGAGCGTGGATACCGCGCATTCCTAAACCAGATAAGGAGGCCGAGAGTGCGGGCCAGCACGGGGTCGGGTCCTGCTGCCATCTCCATGGAGACACGCTGGGCTTTGCCTGGTTGATGGTGGGCGATGGGGGCGCTGCCCGCGGACCAGAGGTGTCTCCAGGCTCCTTTGTTGCTGTTTGGGTCTGGGCTGAGCTTAGGAGTTTCCACCCTTGGGAACCCACTAGGGTCTCCTTTGTTCATTGGTTCATTCATTCATTCATTCATTTGCCCATTCCACACGTTTTCTGAGTGTTTTATTTGTGCCAGGCATCCCTGTAGGGGCTGATAACTGACTTGCTCCCTGGCCTTAGGCATTGACTGTCTAGGTGGAAGCCAGACAGAAAAGGAAAGATATCATGATAGTTTCCCATAGTGGCAAGCGCTGTGCAGATAATAAAACGAGATTCTGTGATTAGAAAAGGCTTGGAGATGGCTGCTATTGTAGACTGGGGGTCAGGGGAGTCCCCTCTGAGGAAGTGACCTTTAAATAGAAAGGTCACTTTCTATAAGGTAGGGTGGCTACCACGGGCTCCATGGGTGACCAGGGGGAACTGTAACCACAGGGCCTGCCTTTCTGAAAGATGGGGAGACAGTCATTCAAAGATTTGAGGAAAGGCCAGGCGTGGTGGCTCACGCCTGTAATCCCAGCACTTTCCTAGGCTTAGGCAGGTGAATCACCTGAAGTCAGGAGTTCCAGACCAGCCTGGCCAACATGGTGAAACCCCATCTCTACTAAAAATACAAAAATTAGCCAGGTGTGGTGGTAGGCACCTATAATCCCAGCTACTCAGGAGGCTGAGGCAGGAGAATCGCTTGAACTCAGGAGGCAGAGGTTGTGGTGAGCCGAGATCACACCACTGCACTCTAGCCTGGGCAACAGAGTGAGACTCTGTCTCAAAAAAAAAAAATTTTTTTTTTGAGAAAAAGAGTGTGCCCCAAGAAGAACAGCAGGGGTAAAGGCTTGGAGGTAGGGGTAGGGGTAGCATGGAGGAGGTTTAGTGTGGTTGGAGTGGAATGGCCCTGGGGGAAGAGTGGGAGGAGGCTTCATCGGCAGGGGCCATCCTACTTGGGCTATAGGGAGCCATGGAAGAATTTGGAGTTGGGGAGTGACATGGAGTTACAAGTTTAAAAGCTCCCCCTGGCTGCTTGGTAGAGAATGGCAGGGTAGGGGGTCCTGACAACCACAGAGAAACCAAAAGGTAGGGTGGCTACCACGGGCTCCATGGGTGACCAGGGGGAACTGTAACCACAGGGCCTGCCTTTCTGGAACTGGGAGTGGGTGGAGAGGACCTTGGAAGCCACTGAGGCTTCCTCCATCCTTCCCCTCTCCTAATCTCCAGACAAACAGTCGTCTGAGTCTATCTCTCTTCCCTTCCTTCCAAACCCCATCACTTGTCCCTCCTGTTCCATTTCAGGCCTGGACATTCTATGTGAGCCCAGTGGCCTCTTTCTGAGCTTCTGAGAGGGAGTCAGGGCAGACTTGGTGAAGGTGACCGGGAGACAGGCTCTGTGTCCTTCTCAAAACCTGGTAACCTTACACAGGGAGGGGACATGGGCTAGGCCACGCCATCCACCTAGGGGGTGACTCTTCTGCCAGCTCCAACCTCAGTGCCCTGCTTCCTCTTTCTGGGAGGCGTCAACCGCCCAAGTGCTTGCCTCAGTAAAGTCCTAGTGGTTAAGATGAGTCTTGGATAGAATGTGGGCCTCAGTTTCCCCTTCTCTAGGAGAGCTGCTTCTCCCTCTGTGAATGCCTTAGCCTCCCCGGGCTGCAGAAGGTGAGAGTGCAGCACCCCCAGTCTTCCTCTCAGGGAAAAAGACAGACTGCTTAGTTAGTCCCTGGGGTGCAAGGGCTGAACACATTTCATTTTGTTTTGTTTTGTTTTGTTTTGTTTTGAGACAGTCTCGCTCTGTCACCCAGGCTGGAGTGCAATGGCTGCGATCTTGGCTCACTGCAACCTCTGCCTCCCGGGTTCAAGCGATTCTCCTGCTTCAGTCTCCCAAGTAGCTGGGATCACAGGCGCACACCACCATGCCCGGCTAATTTTTTTTTTTTTTTTTTTTTTTTGAGTAGAGGGGGGTTTTACCATGTTGGCCAGGCTGGTCTTGAACTCATGATCTCAGGTGATAGGCCCGCCTCGGCTTCCCAGAGTGCTGGGATTACAGGCATGAGCCACTGCGCCCGGCCTAAACACATTTCTTATTTATCCAGGAAGCCACAGCAAATCTCTTGGTGAGCAGCAGAGGGGGCGGCTGCACTGCACAGCGTGCTCCCCAGGCCTGGAAAGGGACCTTGATTCTCACTTATGAACCCCAGGAGGGGCCCAGCAGGCCAGGGCAGCCTGGGGGTGTCTGGTCGGGGTGACCCAGAGGTCAGGCTGCGGTTCAAACTCCCCCTAGGGACGTCCACATAGCATTAACTCTATCCTCAGAAAGCCTGAGCTCCCGTCGCCTATAAAGGACCCCATCGGTAGGGCTGGCCGTAGAGCGCCCCCAACTGGACCAATCAGAGGCAGAAGATGGAAAGCCCGGGCCAATAGGCAAATTGCTCAGTGCCCTTGGATTGAAAATGAGCCAATCAGAGCATGGGCTGTTTCCGGCCCATCAGCTGTGTCTGATCCAGCCGCAGCCTGGGCCCAAGCCTGCCTGGGACTGGCTGCAGCGTGCAGAGGGCATCAAGATGCCCGGGGCTGCGTCCAGCAAGGGAACAAGGGGCCTCTGTGTGGCTATCTGGGAGGGGCAGCAGTCCCCGGGGACGTGCACAAGCCCTTGTCTGTTCCCAAACTAGGACGGATGTCCCTCCGCCCTGGGGGAGCAGCTGCCTCTATCCAGCCAGGGGCCAGGATGCCCCTTGGAGGGGGCGGCCAGGGACTGAGATGGCTGGGTGACTCCGGAAACCTCCATCACTCCTGGGCTCAGGAGAACTGGCCTAACCAGACTTTTCTGGAACGGTGCACACAGTCCTTGCCAGACGTGTTTCTAGGGACCTGAGGAGGACTCCCCCTACTCTCCCCCCTCCCTCCCATTTAGCTAAGGCTGGAACTTCCTCTCCCTTCATGAAAGGCATACACTGCACTGGCGCCTCTGACAACCCCTAACCCTACCCCCAAGCTGGGGGAAGGCCATGGTGTCTGCCTCTCATCCTCTCTGCCGAGGAGCGCCTCTCCCCGCCCCCTCCCACCACGGCTCAGTTTTCCTTGGTGGGTGGCGATGGGGGGGGATGGGAGGGGGTAGAGGGAGGGATGGAAGAGGGTGGAGGGGAGGGATGGGAGGGGGTTGGGGGGGTGACTCAGGTTTTCATGGAACAAATGCCTTACCCCCTCCCGGCGGGGCTGCACACCCCTTCACGGCTCACATGACTTCAGCAAAGCTGCCCCATCCTCCCAGCCAGGACCTCCCAGATGGGGTCTCTCCCATCCTGACTCCCCCTACATCCCGCCTTCCTCACACCGGATGTGACTGCAGAGTGAGGACTCCACCCTGTTTGTTCCAGGGGCCTCACATCTGGATTTCATCCTGGCTGGGGAGGGGGTGCCAGCGCCCTGCCCATCCCGGCAGGACCTTCTGTCCCAGGGCAGAGCTAGATGGTGCTGATGAGAACAGGCTGTTGGAGATCTCGTCTGGTTGGCTTACATCCCTTCCCTTCCCAAAGGACTGGAGGAAAGAGGGGAGCTAATAACATTTGGCAGTATTTGTTGAGTGCTTACTATGAGCTAAACGTGCCTCATGCGTCATTTAAAAGGATTTTCCCATCACCCCCATGAAGTGGGCTTTCTTCTCTCTATTGCACAGATAAGGAGGTTCAGGCTGAGACAGCGTCTAGGGACTTGCCCAGTGTTTCAGAGGTGGAATGGGAGCAAATTCTGGATTGCCTTCAAGGTCTGTGTCCTTGAAGATGGTGTGACCTCTGGGATGTTTGAATCTCAGGGCCGCCCTGGTGTCTCCCCAAGACCTTATCTTGGGAGCACCCGTGGCCTCAAGGCTTAGACCCAGCCTGAAATCCAGCGTTAGTGGGTGGTAATGAATGAGCAGGGCACGGAGCTATCAGTGGTGAGACTCTCCCTGACCCAGGTCAGCATGAGGGCGCAGGCGCCTGTGTGTTCCAGAAAAGAGACAAACCCTCCAGGACCTGCCTAGGGCTTGCTCTCTGGGTAGGTGGGCAAGGTTTCTGGAAGTCCACATTATATTTTTCATGCCATTTGGGGGAGCTTCTTTCCCTTTGAAAGCGTGTAGCTACTCAGGAGACTGAGGCAGGAGGATCACTTGAGCCCAGGAGTAGAGACAACTGTGAGCTATGATCATGCCACTGCACTCCAGCCTGGGTGACAGAGCAAGACCCTATCTCTAGAAAATAATAATGAAAATTAAAAGAGGCAAGATGTCATGGTTCATACCTGTAATCTCATTGCTTTGAGAGGCCGAGGAGAATTGCTTGAAGCCAGGAGTTCAGGACCAGCCTGGACAACACAGTGAGACCCAATCTCTAAAAAACAAAAAAACTAGCCAGGCGGCTGGGCCCGGTGGCTCACACTGGTAATCCCAGCGCTTTGAGAGGCCGAGGCAGGCGGATCATGAGGTCAGAAGTTCGAGACCATGCTGGCCAACATGGTGAAACCCTGTCTCTACTAAAAATAAAAAAAAAATTAGCTGGGCCTGGTGGCAGGTGCCCGTAATCCCAGCTACTCAGGAAGCTGAGGCAGGAGAATCACTTGAACCCAGGAGGAGGAGGTTGCAGTGAGCCAAGACCGTGCCGCAGCACTCCAGCCTTGGCAACAGAGGGAGACTCCATCTCAAAAAAAAAAAAAAAAAAAAAAAATTAGCCAGGCGTGGTGGCATGTGCTTGTAGCTGAAGCTGAGGTGGGAGGCTGAGGTGGGAGGATCACTTGAGCCCAGGAGTTCAAGGCTGCAGGGAGCTATGATTGCGCCACTGCACTCCAGCCTGAATGACAGAGCAAGACCTTGTCTTTAAAATATAGATAAATAAAATAAATAAGAAAGAGCGTAGCCTAGGGCTTATAGAGGCCGCAGAGCCAGTCTCTCTGGCCCTGCCGCTGGTTAAATTTGAGACTTTAGGAAAGTGAATTAATCTCTCTGGGTTTCCCGTCTGTAAGTGGGGATGATGATGATTCTGAATTCATGTGGCCCTTCCTCGAAGAGTAACAGAGCAGGAAATTGAATCTCAGCCCATCCGAGGCCAGAGCCCAGGTAGCAGCCACAGCTCTGACCTATTGTCTGTCTGTCTGTCTGTCTTCTCTGCAGTTCTGAAAGCCCCATGGCCCCAGCAGGCCTCTGAGCCCCACCATGGGCAGCTTGTACTCGGAGTACCTGAACCCCAACAAGGTCCAGGAACACTATAATTATACCAAGGAGACGCTGGAAACGCAGGAGACGACCTCCCGCCAGGTGGCCTCGGCCTTCATCGTCATCCTCTGTTGCGCCATTGTGGTGGAAAACCTTCTGGTGCTCATTGCGGTGGCCCGAAACAGCAAGTTCCACTCGGCAATGTACCTGTTTCTGGGCAACCTGGCCGCCTCCGATCTACTGGCAGGCGTGGCCTTCGTAGCCAATACCTTGCTCTCTGGCTCTGTCACGCTGAGGCTGACGCCTGTGCAGTGGTTTGCCCGGGAGGGCTCTGCCTTCATCACGCTCTCGGCCTCTGTCTTCAGCCTCCTGGCCATCGCCATTGAGCGCCACGTGGCCATTGCCAAGGTCAAGCTGTATGGCAGCGACAAGAGCTGCCGCATGCTTCTGCTCATCGGGGCCTCGTGGCTCATCTCGCTGGTCCTCGGTGGCCTGCCCATCCTTGGCTGGAACTGCCTGGGCCACCTCGAGGCCTGCTCCACTGTCCTGCCTCTCTACGCCAAGCATTATGTGCTGTGCGTGGTGACCATCTTCTCCATCATCCTGTTGGCCATCGTGGCCCTGTACGTGCGCATCTACTGCGTGGTCCGCTCAAGCCACGCTGACATGGCCGCCCCGCAGACGCTAGCCCTGCTCAAGACGGTCACCATCGTGCTAGGCGTCTTTATCGTCTGCTGGCTGCCCGCCTTCAGCATCCTCCTTCTGGACTATGCCTGTCCCGTCCACTCCTGCCCGATCCTCTACAAAGCCCACTACTTTTTCGCCGTCTCCACCCTGAATTCCCTGCTCAACCCCGTCATCTACACGTGGCGCAGCCGGGACCTGCGGCGGGAGGTGCTTCGGCCGCTGCAGTGCTGGAGGCCGGGGGTGGGGGTGCAAGGACGGAGGCGGGGCGGGACCCCGGGCCACCACCTCCTGCCACTCCGCAGCTCCAGCTCCCTGGAGAGGGGCATGCACATGCCCACGTCACCCACGTTTCTGGAGGGCAACACGGTGGTCTGAGGGTGGGGGTGGACCAACAACCAGGCCAGGGCAGAGGGGTTCATGGAGAGGCCACTGGGTGACCCCAGATAGAGACTTGGGGCTACTGAGCCAGATGCCCCCGCCCCACAGACCTGGGTGATGTTGCAAATATTTCACACCTGGAAAGGCCAGATAAGGCACTGACTAGTCACATAGCAGTGTTGCAGTGCGGTCCTGAGGGCCAGTCCAGTGGCTAGTGTGACCCCTTTAGAACTGGATCCTGGGGAGGCCAGGGCAGGGGACCTGTGAAGAGCCAGGGTGAGGGCAGGCAGCATTTAAGGGGAGCTCAGGGCAGGAGCACTTTACCACCTGGTACAAAGGATTTTTTTTTTTTTTTGAGACGGAATCTTGCACTGCTGCCCAGGCTGGAGTGCAGTGGCGTGATCTCGGCTCACCGCAAGCTCCGCCTCCTGGGTTCATGTCGTTCTCCTGCCTCAGCCTCCCAAGTAGCTGGGACTATAGGCGCCTGCCACCACACCTGGCTAATTTTTTGTACCTTTAGTAGAGATGGGGTTTCACCGTGTTAGCCAGGATGGTCTTGATCTCCTGACCTCGTGATCCGCCCGCCTCGGCCTCCCAAAGTGCTGGGATTACAGGCGTGAGCCACCGTGCCCGGCTTTTTTTTTTTTTTTTTTTTTTTTTTTTTTTTTTTTTGAGATGAAGTCTCGCTCTGTTGCCCAGGCTGGAGAGTGCAGTGGTACGGTCTCAGCTCACTGCAACCTCCACCTCCCAGGTTCAAGCGATTCTCCAGCCTGAGCCTCCTGAGTAGCTGGGATTACAGGTGCCTACCACCACGCCCAGGTAATTTTTTTTTTTTTTGTATTTTTAGTAGAGACGGGGTTTCACCATGTTGGCCAGGCTGGTCTCGAACTCCTGACCTCATGATCCGCCCGTGTTGGCCTCCCAAAGTGTGGGATTACAGGCGTAAGCCACCTCACCTGGCGGTACAAAGAATTTCTGCATTTTCTTCCCTGGCCCCTAGTCCTGCACCGATTTCTCCTTTTCGAATGTATTCCTCCTGCCACCTTCTCTGGGCAACTTCGTGCGACTACAGAACCACTGTCCTGAGGAGCTAGAGGCCTCCTCTCTGACCATCCAGAGCCCAAATCCACAGCTTCCCCAAATTTCATCAGCTGCCACTTGACGACTTCTCCCCGTCTCTCTGAGGCCCGGAAACCACGGCTGGAGGTGGGGAGGGGATGGCGGCTGAGGTCCATTCCTCATTCTCAGACCTCATTGCTCAGTTGCACTATTTGGGGCACAGAATAATCACCAAAAGTGAGAAAAACGAGTTTGGGTGGCTGGGGAGGACTTTGGGACTCTTGATGCAAGGCGCAACTTGAGAAAATTCTGGGTGTGATATTTGCACAGACACCCTCCTTTCAAAAACAGCCACCCCCCAAGCTATTCTCAGCTCCACACCTGCAGCCCCAGCTAAGGTACCAGGTCTCCTGAGCAAGGCAGAGAGAAGCCTTGAGCCTTCTCTGTGTCTTCTTTCAAGAACCCCGCTGTGTCTTCTTTCAAGATTTTTTTTTTGAGACAGTTTCAAGATTTTTGTTTTGTTTTTGAGATGGAGTCTCACTGTGTCACCCAGGCTGAGGTGGCAGTGGTTCAATCTCCGTTCACTGCCACCTCCACCTCCCGGGTTCAAGCGATTCTCCTGCTTCAGCCTCTCGAGTAGCTGGGACTACAGGCACCTGCCACCATGTCTGGCTAATTTTTGTATTTTTAGTAGAGACAGGGTTTCACTACGTTGGCCAGGCTGGTCTCAAACTCCTGACCTCAAGTGATCCGCCCGCCTCGGCCTCCCCAATTGCTGGGATTACAGGCGTGAGCCACTGTGCCCGGCCTTCTTCTTTCAAGTTATATAGAATGGAGCATGGGGGTGGCAGTGGCTAGGGACATTTCCTGGGGACACTCTCCCCTAACCCCCCAGAAGGACTTCACAAAAACCTGTGGATAATGGAAGGGATGTTACGGTACAAACGTATATTTATGTGTGTGTGTGTGTATGTGTGTGCGCGCGCGCGTGTGCACATAGGCGTGATGTCTGTGACCCTCCTCTCCTCGTCACATTTCCCCCAGAATGAATGCTGTCCTGTCTGCTCATGTTTGTGTTGAAGCTGCCAAAGTCGGGGAGCTCTGGTCCTGCCCAGACCCCTTTGGAATTGCTGGCCCATCCTCCCACTGGAGAGCTGGGGTGCAGCTCACCTTGGGGAAGGAAACCTCATGCCTCAGAGTAATTTCTTGTGAATGCAAAGCCTGGGGGAGCGGGTCTTTGGGGGGCAAGGAGCCAGTCAGGGGCTTGTTTCCCCTCATAGAGCTCCCCAGACGTGCCTCCGCAATGCCTGAAACCCAGACCTAGGCTAATAAACGGTTCAATTTCTGTTTCCTGTGGTTGGTGTGTCTTTTCGGGGAGCAATTTCCCCCAGGAGCGCCCCATGGCTGGGCTGGATGGAACAGGAGGGGGGCTGCTGCCTGAGTAACTCATCCTTTGCCAACCTTCCCATTCTGTGCTCCTGACACCCTTAACCCGGCCTGAGCCAGGAGAAAACAGAGGTCAACCGGGATCTTTCCCAGGGGCAACTCACCTGCACCTCCCAGGGATTAACTCGGTCTGGGATCTCCCTGCTTTCTCTGAAGGAGACAGCCTGGCAGGTGGTGGGAGGCTCCTACATCCTCCCAATTGTATGTGCCTCCCGGGGAGCTGGAGAGATGGTTTGAGGGGGCTACAAAGAACCCAGATACCCACCCTTAGACACGGTGTTCCCAAAAGTAATGGCTGATCTTCACCGAGCACTTTCCAGGCATAAAGACTTGACTGCTCAGGAGGTGGAAGTTACTATAAACTCTTATGGAGGTGTGAGTTCAGAGAGATCAAGCAAACTGCTCAGAGTCACACAGCGCTAGTCGGGGTAGCGCCTGTCTGGATTTGAACCCAAGCAGGCTGACTCCAGACCATACTGGATCCACCACTGGGCTAGAGAAAGGCCACTCAGCTGAGTGCAGTGGCTCACTCCTATAATTCCAGCACTTTGGGAGGCTGAGGTGGGTGGGTCACTTGAGATCAGGAGTTCGAGACCAGCCTGCCAACATAGGGAAACCCCGTCTCTGCAAAAAATACAAAAATTAGCTGGGTGTGGTGGCGGGTGCCTGTAGTCCCAGCTACTCAGGAAGCTGAGGCAAGAGAATTGCTTGAATCCGGGAGGTGGAGAATGCAGTGAGCCAAGATCACGGCACTGCACTCCAGCCTGCGCGACAGAGCAGAGCAAAAAAAAAGACAGAGAGAGGCCACTTAGCTCCCTCTTTGCCATGGAAGGAGGAGCCACGAAGTTCATCAAGAACCAGGAGAAGCCAAGATAGGATGCAGCCTCGGGTGGGTCCCTCGGTGGGTTCCCTGGTGATACTCTTCTCTTTTGTCTGCAGGCAGCCGGCTCAGTGGCTCCTTTGAAGAAAAGTCTAGAGTTTTTTTGTTTGTTTGTTTTTTAAGACAGGGTCTTGCTCTGTTGCCTAGGCTGTAGTGCAGTTGGTGCCATCATGGTTCACTTCAGCCTCCCAAGTAGCTGGGACCACAGACATGCACCACCATGCCTGGCTAATTTTTTTTTTTTTTTTTTTTGTAGAGATGGGGGGTCTCCCTATGTTGCCCAGGCTGGTCTCGAACTCCTGGGCTCAAGCGATCCTCCTGCCTCCACCTTGGCCTCCCAAAGTGCTGGGATTTCAGGCATGAACCCTTTGATGGGGGACCCTAGGCACCCAAGCTGGAGCCCCACACAGCAACACCAGCTCAAAGACTAGGACAGCCAGTGGGAGAGAAGGCAGACCGCAGAGGCTGAGGGCCTGCAACCCCCATCGGAATTCCCCTTCTCTAGCAGTTGAGACAACAACCTCTGTTTGGAAACCTGAACCCTAGATGGGATGGGGGGTGGGGTGGGGGAAAAAGGCACAGGCCAGGCTGGAGTCAATAGATTTTCCCCAAGTACCCACAGGGTTCTCTATCTCCCCCTTCAGGACTCTGCTCAAATGCCACCTCCTCAGAAAGGAGTCACTTGCTTATTACCTGGCAGTATATATTATTAAGTTGGTGCAAAAGTCATTGCGGTTTTTGCCATTACCTTTAATAGCAAAAATTGCAATGACTTTTGCTATTTCTTTTAATGGCAAAAACCGCAATGACTTTTTTTTTTTTTTGAGATGGAGTCTCGCTCTGTCACCCAGGCTAGAGTGTATGGCCCGATCTCGGCTCACTGCAAACTCCGCCTCCTGGGTTCACGCCATTCTCCTGCCTCAGCCTCCTGAGTAGCTGGGACTACTAGTGCCCGCCACCATACCAGGCTAATTTTTTGTATTTTTTTTTTTTAGTAGAGACAGGGTTTCACCGTGTTAGCCAGGATGGTCTCAATCTCCTGACCTTGTGATCCACCCACCTCGGCCCCCCAAAGTGCTGGGATTACAGGCGTGAGCTACCGTGCCCAGCCTACAATGACTTTTAATGGCAAAAACCGCAATGATTTTAGCACCAACCTAATATGTATCAATTTATCTGTCTCTACCCCCATTAAAATACAAGCACTGTGAATATAGGACTGCACCTGCCTTATTTACTAATGTATCTCCAGTGTTGTTTTTTTGTTTTTTTTTGAGACAAGGTCTTACTCTGTTACCCAGGCTCAAGTGCAGTGGTGCAATCACAGCTCACTACAGCCTCAACCTCCTGGGCTCATGGGCTCAGGTGATACTTCCACCTCAGGCTTCCTAGTAACTGGGATTATAAGCCTGCTAATTTTCTTTTTTTGTAGAGACATGATTCTTCCATGTTGCCCAGGCTGGTCTTGAACTCCTAGGCTTAAGAGATCTGCCTGCCTCAACCTCCCAAAGTGCTGAGATTACAGGTGTGAGCCAACTTGCCTGGCTATTTATGGCTCTCTAACTTTTTTTTTTTTTTTGATACAGGGTCTGACTCTGTCACCCAGGCTGGAGTGCAGTGACGTAATCACAGCTCACCGCAGCCTTGACCTCCTGGGCTCAAGCCATCCTCCCACCTCAATCTCCCAAGTAGGTGGAACTACAGGTATGTGCCAACACACTGGCCTGCTTTTTTGTATTGTTTGTAGAGACAGGGTTTCACCATGTTGCCCAGGCTGCTCTCAAACTCCTGGGCTCAGTGCTCCTCCCACCTCAGCCTCCCAAAGTGCTGGGATTACAGGCATGAGCCACCATGCCTGGCTATCTCTAACATCTTAAACACTACTTGGCATGTTCCCACCCCAGGGCCTTTGCACCTGCTGTTCCCTCTGCCTGGAATGCCTACACACAGTAGGTCCTCAGTAAATACTTGTTGAATAAATAAAACAAAAGCAAATGATGGTCATTTCAGTGAGTGTTAAGTGCTAGGAAGAAAATAAAATAGGGCCGGGCACGGTGGCTCATGCCTGTAATCCCACCACTTTGGGAGGCCGAGGTGGGCAGATCACCTGAGGTCAGGAGTTTTTTTGTTTTGTTTTGTTTTGTTTTTGAGACGGAGTCTTATTCTGATGCCCAGGCTGGAGTGCAATGATGTGATCTCGACTCACTACAACCTCCACCTCCTGAGTTCAAGTGATTCTCCTGCCTCAGCCTCCCGAGTAGCTGGCATTACAGGCATGTGCCACCAAGCCTGGCTAATTTTTGTATTTATAGTAGAGACGGGGGTTTCATCATGTTGGTCAGGCTGGTGTCGAACTCCTGGCCTCAAGTGATCTGCTTGCCTAGGCCTCCCAAAGTGCTGGGATTACAGGCGTGAGCCACTGTGCCCAGCCAAGGTCAAGAGTTTGAAACCAGCCTGGCCAGCATGGTGAAACCCTATCTCTACTAAAAATACAAAATTAGGCCATGTGCCTAATTTTGGGATTACACCTGGGATCATGCCTGCAATCCCAGCACTTTGGGAGGCCAAGACGGGTGGATCATGAAGTCAGGAGTTCAAGACCAGCCTGGCCAACATGGTGAAACCCTGTCTCTACTAAAAATACAAAAGCTAGCTGGGCGTGGTGGCACGCACCTGTAGTCGCAGCTACTAGGGAGGCTGAGGCAGGAGAATTCTTGAACCCGGGGGATGGAGGTTGCAGTGAGCCGAGATTGCGCCACTGCACTCCAGCCTGGGCAACAGAGTGAGACTCTGTCTCAAAAAAAAAAATTAGCTGGGCGTGGTGGCGAGCGCCTGTAATCATAGCTACCGGGGAGGCTGAGGCTGGAGAATTGCTTGAACCCGGGAGGCAGAGGTTGCAGTGAGCCAAGATCGCGCCTTTGCACTCCAGCCTGGGCAACAGGAGCGAAACTGCATCTCAAAAAAAAAAAAAAGGGGGGGCGGCATTTGTCCCTGCGACAGAACTGCTGCCGCCATTGCCGTCTCTAATATCTAATATAATAATATCTAATATCTAATATAATAAGGTCTCACCACAGCCACCAGGCCTTGGGGAAGCCACAGTGTGGCCGACTGGCCAGTCAGACCCCCACCGGTGCTGCCTCCCAGCCCCTACAGATGGGGCTCTGCACCTACAAGATCAGGCAGTTCCTGGACTGTTCGACCACTGAGAATGACCTGTCCCTGTGTGAGGGCTTCAATGAGGCCCCAAAGCAGTGCAAGTACAACCATGGTCTGAGCTCCCTGCCTTGAAGACGTTGGTGCAGACTCGAGGGCCAGCTCTGCACCCACCTGTACCCCTTGCCCACAGCCAGACCACAACACCAGATTGTACCTGGATAGCTGGGATTGGAAGTGAGGAATAGGTTTCTCACCCCACAGATAACCCAAGACACAAATGTGCAATTAAAAAATTTATTTTAGACCACCAAAACAAACAAAACAAAACAGAAACAAATAAAAAAAAGAAAAGAAAATAGTGCCAGGTGTGGGAGCTCACTCCTGTAATCCCAGCACTTTGGAATGCCGAGGCGAGTGGATCACCTGAGGTCAGGAGTTTGAAACCAGCCTGGCCAGCATGGTGAAACCCCATCTCTACTAAAAATACAAAATTAAGCAGGCGTGGTGGTGGGCACCTGTAATCCCAGCTACTTGGGAGGCTGAGGCAGGAGAATGGCGTGAACCTGGGAGGCGGAGCTTGCAGTGAGCCGAGATCGCGCCACCGCACTCCAGCCTGGGTGATGGAGCAAGACTCTGTCTCAAAAAAAAAAAAAAAAAGGAAAGAAAAGAAAATAGGGCCAGGCATGGTGGCTCATGCCTGTAATCCCAGCCCTTTGGGAGACCAATGCGGGAGGATCACTTGGGGCCAGGAGTTTGAGATGAGCCTGGGCAACATAGTGAGACCTCATCTGTAAAAGTAAGTAAATAAATACATATATACCCTGGTGTGGTGGAACGTGTCTATAGTCCTGGCCACTCTGGAGGCTGAGGTGGGAGGATTCTTTGAGCCTAGGTGACCGAGGCTGCAATGAACTGTGGTCATGCCACTGCATTCCAGCCTGGGCAACAGAGTGAGACCCTGTCTCAAAAAATAAAAAGTCTAATGTGTGCTCGTGTGCTGGGCACTGTGAGAATCATTTGACATCTGCAAACTTCTGGAATCCTCACAATAATCCTATAGAGTAGGTGCTATTATTGGCTTTTTGACAGATAAAGAAACCGAGGCACAGAGAGGTTAAGTAATTCACCCAAGGTCAAGTAGCATGGGAGTCAAGGGGCCAGGATTGGAACCCAGTGAGTCACTGAAGACCACACTTATATCTTTTTAAAATGTTTTTCAGCTGGGCGCGGTGGCTCACGTCTGTAATCCCAGCACTTTGGGAGGCCGAGGCGGGCGGATCACCTGAGGTTGGGAGTTCAAGACCATCCTGACCAACATAGAGAAATCCTGTCTTTACTAAAAATACAAAATTAGCCGGGTGTGGTGGCACATGCCTGTAATCCCAGCTACTCGGGAGGCTGAGGCAGGAGAATTGCCTGAACCCAGGAGGCAGAGGTTGTGGTAAGCCGGAGATCGCACCATTGCACTCCAGCCTGGGCAAGAAGAGCGAAACCCCGTCTCAAAAAAATGATTATTTATTTATTTATTTTTGGAGATAGAGTCTCACTCTATCGCCCAGGCTGGAGTGCAGTGGCACAGTCTCGGCTCACTGCAACCTCCACCTCCCAGGTTCGAGAGTTTCTTCCGCCTCAGCTTCTCTAGTAGCGGTGATTACAGGCACGCACCACCACGCCTAGCTAATTTTTTTTTTTTTGAGACAGAGTTTCTCTCTTGTCACCCAGGCTGGAGTGCAATGGCGCAGTCTTGGCTCACTGCAACCTCTGCCTCCCAGGTTCAAGCGCTTCTCCCGCCTCAGCCTTCCAAGTAGCTGGGATTACAGGCGTGCACCATCATACCCAGCTAATTTTTTTGAGATGGAGTCTTGCACTGTCGCCCAGGCTGTAGTGCAATGGTGCGATCTCGGCTCACTGCAACCTCCGCCTCCCAGGTTCAAGAGATTCTCCTTGCCTCAGCCTCTCAAGTAGCTGGGATGACAGGTGCCCGCCACCATGCCTGGCTAATTTTTTTGTATTTTTAGTAGAGACAGGGTTTCACCATGTTAGCCAGGCTGGTCTTGAACTCCTGACCTCATGATCCACCCACCTTGGCCTCCCAAAGTGCTGGGATTACAGGCATGAGCCACTGCGCCGGGCCCACAATCATATCTGATCCTCCTCAATATCTGGATCTGAAGATCCCATTTGTTGATAGCTCTCAAATCTTGGAGCCCAAATTAAAGTGGTCCTTCCAGCAGGAAACACAAGATGACTTTCACCTCCTTTTTCCCCTAGGGAGGCTGTTGCCTAATAGGGACCAACAAAGGAATGACCTGGAAGAACCTGCTTAAATGCAAATTCTCAAGCTCTATGGTCAGAGATTCTGACTAAACAGGTCTGGAATGAACCTAGAAATGTGTGTTTCTTACCAGGAACCCCTAATAATTTAAAAATATGTAGTCCTTGGCCGGGGAACAGTGGCTCACGCCTGTAATCCCAGCACTTTGGGAAGCTGAGGCGGGTGGACCATCTGAGGTCAGGAGTTTGAGACCAGCTTGATCAACATGGAGAAACCCTGTCTCTACTAAAAATACAGAATTAGCCGGGCATGGTGGCGCATGCCTGTAATCCCAGCTACTTGGGAGGCTGAGGCAGGAGAATCGCTTGAACCCTGGAGGCAGAGGTTGCGGTGAGTCAAGGCTGCACCATTGCACTCCAGCCTGGGCAACAAGAGCGAAACTCTGTCTCAAAAAAAAAAAAAAAATATATATATATATATATATATATATATAGTCTTTGCACTATATTCTGTTTTGTTGTTGTTTTGGAGACAGGGTCTCACTCTGTCACCCAGGCTGGAGTGCAGTGGTGCCAATTCGGCTCACCGCAGCCTCAACCTCCCAGGCTCAAGTGATTCTCTTGCCTCAGCCTCCCGAGAAGCTGGGACTGTAGGCGCTTGCCACCAAGCCTGGCTACTTTTTAAATTTTTTATTTGTAGAGATGGGCTTTTGCCATGTTCCCTAAGCTGGCCTCAAACTCCTGGGCTCAAGTGATCCTCCCATCTCGGCTTCCGAAAGTGCTGGGATTACAGGTGTGAGCCACTGTGCCTGGCCCTTGCACCATATTCTAAGAAGCATTCTCGGCTCCATAATTCAGAGCAGCACTGTCATGAGCATTACAAATACGACTAATGTGAGGCAGGCAGGGGCTGAATTTTACATATTATTGAATTTTAATTAACAAATCATTAGCTACAATATTGGGCAGTGCAATTCTAGATTTCATATTTCTAGTTTCTGCAGCCTCTGAGTAACTGAGCTCTTTTGATTACTATCTCAACAATTTTTCTTTTCTTTCTTTTTTTTTTTTTTTTTTGAGACAGAGTCTCACACTGTCGCCTGGGCTGGAGTGCAATGGCGGCTCTCGGCTCACTGCAACCTCTGCCTCCCAGGTTCAAGTGATTCTCCTGCCTCAGCCTCCCGAGTAGCTGGGATTACAGGTGCCCACCATGCCTGGCTAATTTTTTTTTTTTTGTATTTTTTTGTAGAGACAGGGTTTCACTATGTTGGCCAGACTGGTCTCAAACTCCTGAACTTGTGATCCGCCCGTCTCGGCCTCCCAAAGTGCTGGGATTACAGGCATGAGCCACCGTGCCCGGCCCATCTCAACAATTTTTTTTTTTTTTTTTTGAGACAGCGTTTTGCTCTTGTTGCCCAGGCTGGAGTGCAATGGTGCAGCCTTGGCTCACTGCAGCCTCCACCTCCCAGGTTCAAGTGATTCTCCTGCCTCAGCCTCCCAAGTAGCTGGGATTATAGGCGCATGCCACCACGCCCGGCTAATTTTTGTATTTCTAGTAGAGACAGGGTTTCACCATGTTGGCTAGACTGGTCTCAAACTCCTGACCTCAGGTGATCCGCCTGCCTCAGCCTCCCAAAGTGCTAGAATTACAGGCGTGAGCCACCGCACCTGGCCAGAACAAGGCGTTCTCTAACATAACCTCAGTAAAATGATCAAAAGCAGAAAATCTGCAAACCTAATTAGATTTCACCCATTGTCACATCACTGACCTTTATAGCAAAAGAAAATCCCAGATCAGTTGTTGTTTCCAGTTGTCTTTTTAGTTTCTTTCACGGAGATCAATTTCTGAGCCTTTTTGTGTTTTGCGACCTTGACGTTTTAACAAAATGTAGGTTAGTTATTAGGCAGAATGTCTTTCAACTTGGGTTTGTCTGCTGTTTCCTTATGATTAGATTCAGGTTGTGCCTTTTTGGCAGGAAGACCCCAGCGTGTCTCTGCTATAAAGTTACTGCTTTCCGGTTTGTAATTATTAAGTTTCTTGTGGGGAGGTATGTGGAGACTCTATAAATATCCTATTATTCATCAGACTTTCACTCTTTCAGCATTCATTCTTGCCTGAATCAATTATTATTCAAAGGATTTTTTTTTTTGAGACAGTGTCTCACTCTGTTGCCCAGGCTGGAGTGCAATGGTGTGATCACAACTCACTACAGCCTTGACCTCCCAGGCCCAAGCGATCCTCCTGCCTCAGCCTCTCAAGTAGCTGGGGCTACAGGTGCAAGCCACCATGTCTGGCTAATTTTTGTAAAGAAGGGTTTCGCTGTGTTGCCTAGGCTGGTCTCCAACTCTTGGGCTCAAGCAATCCACCCACCTTGGCCTCCCCAAATTATGGGATTACAGGTGTCAGCCACCACACCCAGCCAGCCTCACTGGATATTTTGAAGCAAATCTGAGGCCTCAAATAATTTCATTTGTAAATACTCCATTTTTTTATCTCTAAAAGGTAGCAACACTTAAAAAAATGCTACAATACCTTTTTTGGGCAGGGTGTGGTGGCTGACTCCTGTAATCCCAGCACTTTGGGTGGCTGAGGTGGGAAAATAGCTTGAGCACAGAGGTTGGAGGCCATCCTGGGCAACATGGTGAAACTCTGTGTCTACCAAAACAAAAAAAAAAAAAAAAAAGCTGGGCATGGTGGCATGCACCTGTAGTCCCAGCTACTCAGGAGGCTGAGCAGGGAGGATTGCTTGAGCCCAGGAGGCAGAGGCTGCAGTGAGCAGAGACTGCCCACCTGCGCTCCAGCCTGGGTGACAGAGTGAGACCCCCCATCTCAAAAGCAAAACAAAACAAAAACCGAAAAACCTTTCTGTAGAACCAAGGTCTCACTATGTTGCCCAGGCTAGTCTGGAACTCCTGGGCTCAAGTGATCCTTCTGCCTCAGCCTCCCAAAGTGCTAGGATTACAGTCATGAGCCACTGTGCCTGGCCTTTCTTTCCACTTTTCACTGATAACTAAGAATGATCCAGGGATTCGGATGCCATCCGCCTGACCATGCCTTTGTAAATTCCCCACTTGGCGTTTCCCTAAAGGTTTGATCATCCATGGATAACCATTGCCTGGAACTGTTGTTTCATTAGCAGTCTTCAAAGGGTTTCTGGATGGGCGTGGTGTGGCCCATGTCTGTAATTCCAGTGCTCTAGGAGGCTCAGGCGGGAAGATTGCTTGAGGCCAGGAATTCGAGACTAGCCTGGGCAACACAGTGAGACACCCCCAGCTCTACAAAAAATCTTAAAAATTAGTTGGGCATGGTAGCAGGAACCTATAGTCCCAGCTATTCAGGAGGGCAAAGCAGGAGGATCACTTGAACCCAGGAGTTGGAGGATGCAGTGAGCTATGATGGCACCACTGCACTCCAGCCTGGGCAGTAGAGTGAGACTGCCTCTCTAAAAACAAACAAACAAACAAACAAACAAAAAACCTACAAACGGTTTCTAAACCGTCTCTCCATCCTCATATCTAGCCATTTTTTCCCATTTGTCTACAAAGCTGACATACTTGCCCAAAATTCAGACACCCAATACCACCACCTTCCCCCTTTTTTTGGACAGATTTAACTATTCTCGGATAAGAAATTCAAAGAAAGCAATACCACCACCCTTCCTTGAATGTCTTATCCAAGAATAGACAAATCTGTCCAAAAAAAGGGAAATGAAGTGGGTCGGATGTGATTCATTGTTGTCGGCAATTGTGGTGGCATAACTGTTAAAAGTGCATACTATCAAGTTAGGAAAAGCAGATTTGAATCTCACATCCCACACTCAACAACCCAAGTAGCTTTTGGGGATGGCACATGACAACTGTCAGCTGGCCTCATCTATAAAATGAGTATGTTACTTTATTTTTTTTGAGATGGAGTCTCACTCTGTCTCCCAGGCTGGAGTGCAGTGGCACGATCTTGGCTCACTGCAACCTCCGCCTCCCAGGTTCAAGTGATTCTCCTGCCTCAGCCTCCCCAGGAGCTGCGATTACAGGTGCCCACCACCACGTCCAGCTAATTTTTGTATCTTTAGTAGAGACGGGGTTTCATCATGTAGCCAGGCTGGTCTCAAACTCCTGGCTTCAAGTGATCTACCTGCCTCGTGATCCACCCGCCTTGGCCTCCCAAAGTGCTGAGATTACAGGCGTGAGCCACTGCACTCAGCTCATTACTTTTAATAGCAAAGATCGCAATTACCTTTGCACCAACTAATGATCCCCAACTTGCAGATTGCTTTTGGAGAATCAGCTGTGGTTAATTGGTGGTCTTTTCCAGGAAGGAGTCTCCTCACGTGACATCCCTCTGGCTTAATTTAAGGCCAGGGCAGGCCTAGCTTTTATTCCTGCTCACCGCAGTGTAGACAGGGAAACTTTCTTTGCAGTTCAGGAGCAGACGCTGTGTATTTTCACGTCATTCTCCAGGAGGTGGGCAAGTCTCTGGCCTGTAACTGGCATTTTTTCTCTAGGGCTTGTGGCTTTCATGGACAATGGCCATGTCATGGACCCTGGCAGGCAGAAGGAGGCTGGGAAGAGTTGAGGGAGGAAGGCAGGGTGTAAGTGGCCTGGAAGGAAAAAAGGAAGCCTAAGTTTGAAGTGGGTGAGAAAAATGAAGATAAGTGCCTTGGTAATTTCTATAATCAGAATTACACAGTATGTACCCTCCTATGACTGGTTTCTTTCATACAGCATAAGGTTTTTGAAATTCACTTTTTTTGTTTGTCTGTTTTTTCTAAGATAGGGTCTTGCTCTGTTGCCCAGGCTGGAGTACAGTGGCATAATCATAGCTCACTGCAGCCTTTATCTCCAGGGCTCAAGCGATCCTCCCACCTCAGCTTCCCGAGTAGCTGAGACCACAGGCTTGTGCCACCATGCCCAGCTAACTTAAATTTTGATTTTTTTTATTTTTTGCTGGGCGCAGTGGCTCATGTCTGTAATCTCAACTCTTTGGGATTACAAAAAAAGAAAAAAATTAGCTGGGTGTGGTGGTGCATGCCTGTAGTCTCAGCTACTACTTGGGAGCCTGAGGCAGGGGGATTGCTTGAGCCTGGGAGGTTGAGGCTGCAGTGAGCTATGATCACATCACTACACACCAGCCTGGGTGACACAGCAAGACCCTGCCTCTAAAAAAGAAAGTTTATGACCCTTGTGTATAATATTCCATGTGAATAAGTAACTATTTATCTGTTCTATTATTGTTCATGTAGTCTTCAGCTTTTGGCTATTGTGAGTAAACTATTATGAACATTCCTTGTTCATGTCAATTGGTAGATATATACACTCATTCCAGGCATGGGATTGGTGGGTCCTGGGCAGCAGTAGACTTGGCTTTAGCAAATGTTGCCAAATCATTTTCCAAAGCGGCTATACCATTTGAGACTTCCTCCAGCAGCATAGAAGAGTTCTGGTTTTGCCAATACTTGAAAAAAATTTTTTTTTCATTTGTGTGTGTGCGTGTGAGGGTGATATTGTATTGCAGATTGAGTTTGCATTTCCCTGATGACTAATGAAGTTGAGCAGCTTCCCACGTTAGCCTTGGCCATCTGGGCATCCTCTTTTGTGAAGTGCCTATTTAGCTCTTTTAGCCACTTGGTAAAAAAGTGATTGTCATTAAGTTGAAGGAGTTCTATATGTATTATAGGTATGAGTCTTTTGTCAGACGTATGTCTGTGGCTTTTATTTTTTTGTTTGAGATGGAGTCTTGCTCTCTCACCCAGGCTGGAGTGCAGTGGCGCGATCTCGGCTCACTGCAACCTCCGCCTCCTGGGTTAAGCAATTCTGCCTCAGCCTCCCAAGTATCTGGGATTACTGGTGCCCACTACTGCGCCTGGCTAACTTTTGTATTTTTAGTAGAGGCAGGGTTTCACCATGTTGGCCAGGATGGTCTCAAGCTCTTGACATCATGATCCACCCGCCTCGACCTCCCAAAGTGCTGTGATTACAGGCGTGAGCCACCGTGCCCGGCTGTCTGTGGCTTCCTTTTTAATGGCATCTTTTGATGAACCAAAACTCATTTTCAGCTGGGCATGGTGGCTCACACTTGTTATCCCAGCACTTTGGAAGGCCAAGGTGGAAGGGTCACTTGAGGCCAGGAGGTCAAGACCTGCCTGGGCAACATAGTAAGACCCTGTGTCGACCAAAAAAAAAAAAAAATTAGCCAGGTGTGGTGGTGCATACCTATAGCCCCAGCTACTAGCTACTCTGGAGGCTGAGGTGAGAGGATCACTTGAGCCCAGGAGTCCAACATTGCAGTAAGCTGTGATTGCACCACTACACTCCAACCTGGGAGACAGACCCTGTCTCAAAAAAAAAAAAAAAAACCCAAAAACTCATTTTCATAGAGTCCAGCATATTTTCTTTTATTAATGTGCTTTGTGTCCTGCCGAAGAAACACTTGCTTGTCCACAAGTCACATAGATGTTCTGTGTTTTATTTCAAAAGCTTTCCTGACTTTGCTTTCGTATTTAGATATGTGATGTGTCTGAGTTGTCTTTTTTTTTTTGAGACAGGGTCTTACTCTGTCACCCAGGTGGGAGCACAGTGGTGTGATCATGGCTCATTGCAGCCTCAACCTCTTTGGGCTCAGGTGATCCTTCCACCTCAGCCTCCAGAGTAGCTGGGACTACAGGTGCCTGCCATCATGTCCAGCTAATTTTTTTTTTTGAGAGGGAGTTTTGCTTTTGTTGCCCAGGCTGGAGTGCAATGGCGTGATCTCAGCTCACTGCAACCTCTGCCTCCCAGGTTCAAGCGATTCTCTTACCTCAGCCTCCCAAGTAGCTGGGATTACAGGCATGTGCCACCATGCCTGGCTGATTTTGTATTTTTAGTAGAGAAGGGGTTTCACCATGTTGGTCAGGCTGGTCTTGAACTCCTGACCTCAGGCGATCCACCCAGCCTAATTTTTGTATTTTTTTTTGCAGAGATGAGTCTTGTCATGTTGCTCAGGCTGGCCTTGAATTCCTATACTCAAGCAAATCCACCTGCCTCGGCCTCCCAGATTGCTGGGATTACAGGTGTGAGCCACTGCCCAGCCTGTTGGTAATTTTGATGGATATTTGTAAACTGAGCATTTAATGTGGGAAGAACAGGCTTCGTACCCTCTCTCATCTGTGTAGGGCTCCATAACACTTTATTGGGTGCTAACTACATCCTGGGTGCTTTGCTACACACTGGGCATCGGTGGGGGTATGGCTGATGTAAATCTCAAAATATATGATCAACAGCTGGGGTAAAGGCTCTGAAAGAAAGGGCCTGACTTCTAAAAGACCATGGAACAAAGACCTGAAAGGGCTAGGGGAGGTCAGGAAAGGCTCCTTGAAGGAGGTCATGGTTGAGCCACAATAGGGAGAATAATTGTAGATTATCCAAGCAGGAGAACTGGGCGTGTAGAATAGGACTTTCCAAGCTAAGGAAACAGCACATGCAGAAGCCTTGCAATACATATCTATGGCTGCATTAACAACAAGCCTCAAACCCCAGTGGCTCAGAACAACACCCATGCATTATATCCTGTGGTTTCTGTGGGCTGGGAATTTGGGAGCAGCTCTGTTAGGCGTCTCTCATGAGGTTACAGTCACATATCATCTGTGGTTCCACCCATCTGCAGGTCTGATGGGGGCTGGAGTGCAGCTACTTCCAATATGGCTCACTCACCTGGCTGATAAATTGGTTTCTCTTCCTATGGGCCTCCCTGCAGGGCTGTTTGAGCATCCTTACAATATGGCGGCTGGTTTCCTGGGGAACACAAGGTGGTGCTGCAATGCCTTTTATGATCTAGCCTTGGAAGTCACTCACCTTCTCTTGGCCACATAAACTGGCCCTGACTATGGAAGAAGGCTTGGCAGGGCATGAATACCAAGAGGCAAGAGACATTGAGGGCCTTCTTGGAGGCTGGCCACCACATGTCTTAGGCAGAAAGAGGCTGGAACTGTCCATGATGTGGCTCAAGTGGAGTGGGTTAATAGGTGGGCAGCAGGAGCTGAAAGGACAAGACAGGGCTGGGCACTGAGGCCTTGTGGGCTGCAGCGGAGAAGGTAGGGTTGGGTTTACCCTAAGAGCCCTGAGAAGCCATTCAGGGGATTCGGTGAGGTAGGGAGGAGCTAACATGATCAGATTTGGGTTCTGATGAACTTCTTCCGTGGTGAATGGATGGTGAGGGGGCCAAGTAGCAGCCCAGGAATGAGGCTGGGCAGGCATCCAGCAGAAAGGTGAGGGTGACCTGGGCCAGGGGCCCAGGAGGGGCAGATCAGCTGACTCAAGGGCTCTTTGAAGGAAAAACCCACAGGGCTTGGCAGCAAGCCTCTTGTGATCCCCAACAGAGAGCTGTCTGCCTGCTCAAAGGCCCCACGAGGAGTAGGCGGCTCTACCCAGCACACGCTATGGGACTTGGGTTTCTGCAGATCTGATTCCTAGCTTAGGCAAGTCGAGCCTGGAGAGAGTGCTTCTGAGGCCCTTCCAGGGTAAGGGTGGTAAAGTGTCCCCATTGTTACTGAGTGCTGCTGTTCCTGCCCAGGGCCTCTGATGGGCCTGGCACTGAGCACGGTGTCTGGGATGACTCACCTTCAGCCTTCTGACTGACCGTAGCTCAGGACACGTGGCCAGCTCTCCACCAGCCTTCGTGCTCTGGGCTGCCTGGACCTCGGTTAGACTGGTCTCTGGGCCTCTCCTGGCCTCCCTGGAATGTGGCCTGGGAAGCAAGGAGCTATGGCCTGGCAGATCTTTCCTTTTCATTTACATTTTTTCTTTTTGGTGGGGACAGAGTCTTGTTCTGTCACCCAGGGTGGAGTGCAGTGGCATGATCTTGGCTCACTGCAACCTCCACCTCCCAGGTTCAAGTGATTCTTGTGCCTCAGCCTCCCGAGTAGCTGGAATTACAGGCGCCTGCTACCATGCCCAGCTAATTTTTGTATTTTTAGTAGAGATGAGGTTTCGCCATGGTGGCCAGTCTCGGACACCTGACCTCAAGTGATTCACTTGCCTTGGCCTCCCAGTGTGCTGGGATTACAGGCATGAGCCACCGTGCCCGGCCTAAATTTATTTTTTGTTTTTTAGAGATGTGGACTTACTCTGTTGCCCAGGCTAGAGTGCAGTAGCATGATTATAGCTCACTGCAGCCTCAAATTCCTGTCCTTAAGCAATCCTGCCCCAGCTTCCCAAAGCGCTGGGATCACAGGCATGAACCACCATGCCTGGCCTGGCAAGTCTGTCTTGTGGCATATTAGGAAATGTGACTTTGGAGGCTGAGAGGTGGAGGCAGAGTGAATGCCCATGAAATCTGTACCTGTTTTCTTTTAGAGGCTCCACTTCCTTCTCTCAGGTAAGGCATGAGCCACTGTACTCGACCTTTGTTTGGTCTTTCTTTTCTCCTTTCATTTTTTTTTTTTTTGAGACAGAGTCTCACACTTTCACCCAGGCTGGAGTGCAATGGTGCAATCTCGGCTCACTGCAAGCTCCGCCTCCCGGGTTCACGCCATTCTCCCGCCTCAGCCTCCCGAGTAGCTGGGATTACAGGTGCTCACCACCACGCCCAGCTATTTTTTTTGTATTTTTAGTAGAGACGGGGTTTCACTGTGTTAGCCAGGATAGTCTCGATCTCCTGACCTCGTGATCCGCCCGCCTTGGCCTCCCAAAGTGCTGGGATTACAGGCGTGAGCCACCGCGCCAGGCCTTCTCCTTTCTTTTCTTTTCTCTTTCCTTTCTCTCTCTCTTTCTCTCTCTCTCTTCCTCTCTTTCTCTCTCTTCCTCTTTTTCTCTCTTTCTCTCTCTCTTTCTTTCTCTCTCTTTTTCTCTTTCTCTCTTTCTCTCTCTGTCTCTTTCTCTCTTTCTCTCTCTTTTTCTCTTTCTCTCTTTCTCTCTCTTTCTCTCTCTCTCTTTCTCTCTCTCTCTTTCTCTCTCTCTGTCTCTCTCTCTCTTTCTCTTGCTTTCTCTCTCTCTGTGTGTCTTTCTCTCTCTCTCTTTCTTGATGGAGTCTCACTCTGTTGCCCAGGCTGGAGTGCAGTGGCACAATCTCAGCTCACTACAACCTCAAACTCCCGGGTTCAAGCGATTCTCCTGCCTCAGCCTCCCAAGTAGCTGGGATTATAGGTGTGAGCCACTGCACCCAGCTAATTTTCATATTTTTAGCATAGATGAGGTTTAACCATTTTGGCCAGGCTGGTCTCAAATTCTTGACCTCAAGCGATCCACCTGCCTCGGCCTCCCAAAGTGCTGGGATTACAGGTGTGAGTCACTGTGCCTGGCCCTTTGTTTGAGATTTCTAGTGGTCAAGTGAACAAAGCAAATGACCCAGGAACTGGAGACAAAACTAGGTTTGTAACCTGATCTGGTTTGGGTTTCTGTTTGTGAAATGGAAATGACACTGTTGTTGGGGGAAAAACAACTTTACTTTTATTTATTTTGAGACAGGGTCTCGCTCTGTCGCCCAGGTTGGAGTGCAGTGTTGTGATCTTGGCTCACTGCAACCTCCGCCTCCCGGGTTCAAGCAATTCTCCTGTCTCAGCCTCCTGAGTAGCTGGAACTACAGGTGCATGACACCACACACGGCTAATTTTTGAGGGTTTTTTTTGAGACAGAGTCTTGTTCTGTTGCCCAGGCTTGAGTGCAATGGCACGATCTTGGCTCACTGCAACCTCCGCCTCCTGGGTTCAAGCAATTCTCCTGCCTCAGCCTTCTGGGTAGCCGGGACTACAGGTGCACGCCACCATGCCCAGCTAATTTTTGTATTTTTAGTAGAGACAGGGTTTCACCATGTTGGCCAGGCTGGTCTCGACTCCTGACCTCAGGTGATCTGCCTGCCTTGGCCTCCCAAAGTGCTGGGATTACAGGTGTGAACCATCGTGTCTGGCCTAATTTTTGTGTTTTTAGTAGAGATGGAGTTTCACAATGTTAGCCAGGCTGGTCTCGAACTCCTGACCTCAGGTGATCTACCTGACTTGGCCTCGCAAAGTGCTGGGATTACAGGTGTGAGCCACCATGCCTGGCCTCATGTCCTATATGTTAATTCAACCTATATTTGCATTCCTCTGAAGCTTGTAGTCTGTGGAGGAGTCAGCACACTAAGGCCTGAAGGCCAAATCTGGCTGGCCATCTGTTTTTATAAATAAAGTTTTACTGGAACACAGTCATACCTACTCATTTACATATTGGTGATGGCTATTTCTGCACTTTGATGATGGCAGGTTTGAGTAGTTGGGGCATAGAATGTGTGGCTCATGAAACCCGAAATATTTATCTGGTTCTTTAGAGAAAATGTGTGCCAATCCCTGCTTTGTTCTTGTGGGACAGACAGATTACGATAGATAGTAAATAAGAAAATCTCAGGCTGGGTGCAGTGGCTTACACCTGTAATCCTAGCACTTTGGGAGGCGGAGGCAGGCAGATCACCTGAGTTCAGGAGTTCGAGACCAGCCTGGCCAACATGGTGAAACCCCCGTCTCTACTAAAAAAATACAAAAAATTAGCCAGGTGGTGGGTGCCTGGAATCCCAGCCACTCAGGAAGCTGAGGCAGGATAATTGCCTGAACCTGGAAGATAGAGGTTGCAGTGAGTTGAGATTGCACCACTGCACTCCAGCCTGGGTGACAGAGCAAGACTCTAAGAAAGAAAAAAAAAAAAAAAAAGAATCTTTGACAGTGGTAAATGCTACGAAAAAACAGTAATAGTAAAGCATGACTAGGTGGGTAAAGGGTTGCTTCCCAGTGGTCTGGGGAAGCCTCTGTTTTGAGGCAACGTTGAGCTGTGTGAATCTTCCAGAAGGTTGATTTGGGCAGAAGTGGCAGCAAAAACAAAGGCTTTGGGGCACTTAAGAACTTGAGAGGCCAGGGGCAGTGGCTCATACTTGTAATCCCAGTACTTTGGGAGGCTGAGGCAGGAGAATCGCTTGAGCCCAGGAGTTCAAGACCAGCCTGGGCAACATAGCAAGACCCTGTCTCTACCAAAACAAAACAAAACTAGTCAGACGTGGTGATGTGTACCTGTAGTCCCAGCTACTTGGGAGGCTGAGGCAGGGTGATTGCTTGAGCCCAGGAGTTGGAGGCTGCAGTGAGCTGTGATTGCACCACGACACTCCAGCCTGGGCGACAGAGTGAGACTCTGTCTCAAAAACACAAAATGTAAATAAAGCTAGGCCGGGTGCAGTGGCTCATGCCTGTAATCCTAGTACTTTGGGAGGCTGAGGTGGGCAGATCACTTGAGGTCAGGAGTTCGAGACTAGCCTGGCCAACATGGTGAAACTCTGTCTCCACTAAAAATACAAAAATTAACCGGGCGTGGTGGTGCGTGCCTATAATCCCAGCTACTCGGGAGGCTGAGGCAGGAGAATCACTGGAACCCAGGAGGCAGAGGCTGCAGTGAGCTGAGATGACACCACTGCATTCCAGCTTGGGGAACAAGAGTGAAACTCCGTCTCAAAAAAAAAAAAAAAAACACCCCAAAACTGGTGCTCAGTGAAGGGAGGAATAAGACTCACCCAAACAGGACCCTGTAAAAATAGTAAAATGCTTAGATTTTATTTCAAGAACAATGGGAAGTTCTGGAAGGTTTTAGTGGTGAAGAAGGGGATGGCATGTTCCAATTTATTTTTGTAAACATTTCTCAGGGCCAGGTGCAGTGGCTCGTGCCTGTAATCCCAGTGCTTTGGGAGGCTAAGGTAGGAGGATTGCTTGAGCCCAGGAGTTTGAGGCTGTAGTGAGCTATGATCATGTCACTGTACTCCAGCCTGTGGTGACAGTGAGACCCTAGCTGGGTTGCTGTTGTTGTTGTTTAAAAAAAGGCCGGACACGTAGCTCACACCTATAATCCCAGTACTTTGGGAGGCTGAGGCGAGTGGATCACTTGAGGTCAGGTGTTTGAGACCAGCCTGGCCAACATGGTGAAACCCCATCTCTACTAAAAATACAAAAAATTAGCTGGACATGGTGGCTCGTTCCTGTAGTCCCAGCTACTTGGAAGGCTAAGGCAAGAGAATTGCTTGAACCTGGGAGATGGAGGTAGCAGTGAGCCAAGATCACACCATTGCACTCCAGCCTGGGCATCAGAGTGAGACTCTATCTCAAAAAAAAAAAAAAAAAAAAAAAAAAAGGCCTGGTGCGGTGGCTTACACCTGTGATCCCAGCACTTTGAGAGGCCGAGGTGGGTGTATCACAGGTCAGGAGTTGGCCTGGCTAACATGGTGAAGCCTTGTATTTACTAAAAATACAAAAATTAGCCGGGCATGGTGGCAAGTGCCTGTAATTCCAGCTACTTGGGAGGCTGAGGCAGGTGAACTGCTTGAATCCGGGAGGCAGAGGTTGCAGTGGGCTGAGATTGTGCCACTGCACTCCAGCCTGGGTGACAGAGTAAGACTCTGTCTCTAAATAAATAAATAAATAAATAAATAAATAAAATAAAGCTTTCTAGCCGAAGCGTTTGGAAGGGACTCTCCAGGGCAGCTGGGAGGTCAGGGAGGAGGCTTCTAGAATGAAGTCCAGGTGAGTGATGATGGCAGTTTGGGCTGGGGTAGCAGGAGCGTGGATAAGTAGAAAGACTTGGCTTATATTTTAGAGGAAGAACCAGCAGAGCTTGCTCATGTTTTGCATGTGAGGCAAGGAGAGGCATGAAAGGAGATGCCTGGATTTTTTGCCCAGACAACTTGGAAGCAAATTCCAACTTGCAGGGTACCCTTAAGGCAAATCGTTTCCATATCTGAGTTTTTTCCCCATATCTGGAAGATGGGTCAAGCTATCTCTTCCTGACAAGGTTGACAATGCTGTTACAAAGGAAATCTAGCTTAGAGGAAGTCTCCAATAAATGCAGCTGGTCTCCTTGCGTTGAAGTCCCTGAGTAGGAGGTCTGTTCATCTGTCCCCTCTTCTTATTTCCTCCCCTGGCTCTAAGGTGGGTTAGGGGCCCTGATCATGGGTTCTGACAGGTTTATGGGCCTAAGGTTCACTCTGGTGAGACTGTCTTCTGTCATTCCCTTTCTGTTCCTACCCTAGTCCAGCTTCCTTCAAGTGCTATCCCTTTGGTCTCCCATGGCCTGGACAACTGGCCATCCCTGGGGCCACTGTTTTGCCCTCAGGTTCTGGATGAAAGACAGCTGGATTCATGGTCCGTACTGCTGAGTGAGTCTATGATCTTGGGTAAGTGGCCTCTGAGAGTCCTATGTGATGAATATTTCAGGCCATGGCAAACAGGGTCCTGCTACCTACCTTTTATGGTTAAGGATTAAATTAAATAATTCCCAGGCTGGGCAACATGGGACACCCTGTCTCTACAAAAATATATAAAAAATTAGTCAAGCCTGGTGGTGTGTGCCTGTGGGTCCCAGCTACTTGGGAGGCTGAGATGGGAGGATTGCTTGAGCTTGGGAGGCTGAGGTTACAGTGAATGGTGATCGTGCCACTGCATTCCAGCCTGGGTGACAGAGTGAGACCCTGTCTCAAAATAGAAGAAGGCTGGGCACAGTAGCTCAAGCCTGTAATTATAGCACTTTGGGAGGCTGAGGCAGGAGGATCACTTGAGTTCAGGAGTTTGAGACCAGCCTGGGCAACACGGCAAAACCTTGTCTCTACAAAAATTAACCAGGCGTGCTGGCGCATGCCTGTATTCCTAGCCACTCGGGAGGCCGAGGCAAGATAATTGCTTGAGCCTGGAAGGTGGAGGTTGCAGTGAGCCGAGATTGCACACCATTCCATTCCAGCCTGAGAGACGGGAGTGAAACCCTGTCTCAAAAAACAAAACAAAACAAAACAGCCAGGCGCGGTGGCTCACGCCTGTAATCCCAGCAATTTGGGAGGCCGAGGCAGGCAGATCACGAGGTCAGGAGTTAGACGCCAGTCTGGCCAACATAGTGAAACCTCGTCTCTACTAAAAATAAACAAAAAATTAGCTGGGCTTGGTGGCGGGCACCTGTAATCCCAGCTACTCAGGAGACTGAGGCAGGAGAATTGCGTGAACCCGGGAGGCGGAGCTTGCAGTCAGCCGAGATCGCACCACTGCACTCCAACCTGGGCTACAGAGCGAGACTCAGTCTCAAAAACAAAAAACAAACAACAAAAACAAAAAGCCCCAGGCACAGTGGCTCATGCCTGTAATTGCTTGAGCTCAAGAGTTCAAGACCAGCCTGGGCAACATAGTAAGACCCTGTCTCTATTAAAAAAAAAAAATTGAAAAAGAAAAAGTTATCTAAAGAGCCTGGTAGACTACGTAAGTGCTGATTCAATATTAATCGCTGGGAATTTTAGTCTTATTATTCAGTCTTCCTGGGTCCTGCCAAGTGTGAGCAATTCATAGCAAATGGAGGGTCTGTGTGAAGGTTCACTTCTGGCCAGGATGACCCTTCCCTACCAGCTGTTGGGGGAACTGTGTGTGCATGTATATGTACATGCATATAAACACATTCACTTGTGAATTTTATAATACAAATATTTTGCAATACAAAAATGTAAAAGTATGCCCTAATTTTAAACTCCTTTCTGGTGCTTCTTGTGGTTGAAGGTAAAGTACTTTTTAGGGCTAGGTGCCGTGGCTCATGCCTGTAATCCCAGCCCTTTGGGAGGCCGAGGTGGGCGGATCACTTGAGGTCAGGAGTTCAAGACAAGCCTGGCCAACATGGCAAAACACTGTCTCTGCTAAAAATACAAAAATTAGCTGGGCGTAGTGGCGCGTGCCTGTAATCCCAGCTACTCGGGAGGCTGAGGGAGGAGAATTGCTGGAACCCAGGAGGCAGAGGTTACAGTGAACCGAGATCGTGCCACTGCACTCCAGCTTGGGCAACAGAGTGAGACTCTGTCAAAAAAAAAAAAAAAAGAAAAAAAAAAAGAAAAAAACTTAGCCCCATTTACTAATAGTATTTTATTTACCATCTTATCAATTTTTCAGTGTACAGTTCAGTATATACACATTGTTGTGCAACAGATCTCTGGAATCATTTTGTAAAACTGAAACTCTTGAACAATAACTCCTTTTCCTCCTTCCCCCCCGGCCTTGGTAACCACTATTCTACTTTCTGTTTCTAAGATTTTGATTACTTTAGATACTTCATAAGTGGAATTGTATGGTATTTGTCTTTGTGTGATTAGGTTCTCTCACTGTGCGTAATGTCCTCAAGGTTCATCCATGTTGTAGCATATAATAAGATATTTTTTCTTTTCTTTTGTTTTTTGGAGACGGAGTTTCACTCTTGTCACCCAGGCTGGAGTGCAATGGTGTGATCTCAGCTCACTGCAACCTCCACCTCTCGGGTTCAAGCAGTACTCTTGCCTTAACCTCCTAAGTAGCTGGGATTACAGGTGCATGCCACCATACCCAGCTAATTTTGTATTTTTACTTTTATATTATTTATTTATTTATTTATTTATTTATTTTGAGATGGAGTTTCCCTCTTGTTGCCCAGGCTGGAGTACAATGGTGTAATCTCAGCTTACCTCAACCTCCACCTCCAGGGTTCAAGCAATTCTCCTGCCTCAGCCTCCGGAGTAGCTGGGGTTATAGGCATGAGCCACTATGTCCAGCTAATTTTGTATTTTTAGTAGAGATGGGGTTTCTCCATGTTGGCCAGGCTGGTCTCGAACTCCTGACCTCAGGTGATCCACCCGCCTTGGCTTCCCAAAGTGTTGGGATTACAGGTGTGAGCCACTGCACCTGGCCATTTTTTCTTTTTTAAAGACTGAATTAGGCTGGGTGCAGTGGCTTACACCTGTAATCCCAGCGCTTTGGGAGGCCAAGGCCAGCAGATCGCTTGAGCTCAGGAGTTTGAGACCAGCCTGGGCAACATGGAGAAATCCTGTCTCTACAAAAAATATAAAAAGTTAGCCCATTGTGGTGGCACATACCTGTAGTCCCAGCTACTTAAGAAGCTGAGGTAGGAGTATGCCTTGAGCCCAGGAGTTTGACACCTGCCTGGGCAACACAGCAAGACCCCATCTCTTAGCAGCAATATGATCTTTTTTTTTTTTTTTCCTGTCTCTTGGCTGTTGTGACTAATGCTGCAATGAAGACGGGTATGCAAATATCTCTTTAAGATCCTCTTTTCAATTCTTTTGAATTTATATCCAGAAATGGGATTGCTGGATCATATGATAATTCTATTTTTAATTTTTTTGAGGAACTTCCATGCTGTTTCTCATAGCAGCTCCACCATTTTATTCGACTCTCAACCGTGCACAAGGGTTCCAGTTTCTCCACATCTTCACCAACACTTATTATTTGACAGTGGCCATTCTAAGGGGTCTTAGGGATATTTCATTGTGGTTTTGATTTGCATTTCCCTGATGACCAGTGATGTTGAGCATCTTTTCATATGCCTGTTTTCTATTTGCATATCTCCTTTGGGAAAGTATGTATTCAAATCATTTGCTCTTTTTGTTTGTTTTTGAGACGGAGTCTCGCTCTGTTGCCCAGGCTGGATGGAGTGCAGTGGTGCAATCTCGGCTTGCTGCAAGCTCCACCTCCTGGGTTCACACCATTCTCCTGCCTCAGCCTCCTGATTAGCTGAGACTACAGGCGACTGCCACCACGCCTGGCTAATTTTTTGTATTTTTAGTAGAGATGGGGTTTCACCACGTTAGCCAGGATGGTCTCGATCTCCTGACCGCGTGATCCGCCTGCCGCCTGGGCCTCCCAAAGTGCTGGGATCACAGGTGTGAGCCACCGCACCCAGCCCATTTGCTCATTTGTAAATCGAGTTTTTGTTGTTGCATTGTAGAAATTTATTATTTTTTAAATTTTTATTTGAGACAGAGTTTCTCTCTTGTTGCGCAGGCTGGAGCGCAATGGTGCAATCTCGGCTCACTGCAACCTCCGCATCCCAGGTTCAAGTGATTCTCCTGCCTCAGCCTTCCGAGTAGCTGGGATTACAGGCACACCACCATGCCCAGCAAATTTTTATATTTTGAGGAGAGACAGGGTTTCACCATGTTGGCCAGGCTGGTCTCAAACTCTTGACCTCAGGTGATCCACCCGCCTTGGCCTCTCAAAGTGCTGGGATTACAGGCGTGAGCCACCAAGCCTGACGGGTAGTAATTTATTTTTTATATAATTTTTTTCTTCTTTTTTTGGTAGAGACGAGGTTTTGCCATGTTGCTCAGGCTGGTCTAAAACTACCGGGCTCAAGTGATCTGCCTACCCGGGCCTCCCAAAGTGCAGGGATCACAAGCATGAACCACCATGCCTGGCTGTAATTTTTCATATATTCCGGATATTAACCCTTTACCAGATAATACAGTTTGCAAACTTTTTTTTTCCCCATTCTGTAGGTTGCCTTTTCACTGTTGGTCATTTCTTTTGCTGTATAGCTATCCTTAAGTTTGTTGCAAACCCATTTGTCTATCTTTTGTCTTGTTGCCTGTGTTTTGCTGTCATATCCAAGAAATCATTGCCAAATCCATTGTCATGAAGCTTTTCCCCATGTTTTCTTCTAGGAGCACTATAGTTTCAGGTCTTATGTTTAATCTTTAATAAGTTTTGTGTTTTTGTATATGGTGTAAGGTAAGGGTCCAACTTCATTCTTTTGTATGTGGTTATACAGTTTTCTCAGCACCATTTGTTAAAGACACAATCTTTCCCCCATGTTCTGGTGCTTTAAAAAAAAAAAAAATTCTGGCTGGTTACGGTGGCTTAGGCCTATAATCCCAGCACTTTGGGAGGCTGAGGCAAGTGGACTGCTTGAGGCTAGGAGTCCCAGACTAGCCTGGCCAACATGGTGAAACCCTGTCTCTACCACCGAAGATACAAAAATTAGCCAGGCGTGGTGGAGTACGCCTGTAATCCCAGCCTACTAGGGAGGCTGAGGCATGAGAATCGCTTGAACCTGGGAGGCAGAGGTTGCAGTGAGCCAAGATCTCACCACTGCACGCCAGCCGGGGTGACAGAGTGAGGCAGGGTCTTACCCTGTCGCCCAGGCAGGAGTCCAGTGGCCCAATCATGGCTCATTGCAGCCTACACTGCCAGGGTTCAAGCCATCCTCCCACCTCAGCCTCCCAAGTAGCTAGGATTACAGGTGTGTGTCACCATGCCCAGCAAATCTTTGTATTTTTTGTAGAGATGGGGTATCCCTATGTTGCTCAGGCTGGTCTTGAACTCCTAACCTCAAGCGATCCTCCCACCTGGGCCTCTCAAAGCACTGGGATTACAGGCGTGAGCCACTGCGCCTGACATGGTGCTTCTTAATTTATTCTTACTTTTTATTTTTATTTTTTTGAGACAAGGTCTTGCTCTGTCTCCCAGGCTGGAATGTAGTGGTACAATCATGGCTCACTGCAACCTCTGCCTCTCCGGTTCAAGTGATCTTCCTGCCTCAACCTCTGGAGTAGTTTGGACTATGGGCACATGCCACAACGACTAGCTAATTTTTGTTTTTCTTTTTTTCTTTCTTTCTTTCTTTCTTTTTTTTTTTTTTTGAGATGCAGTTTCTCTATGTTACCTAGGCTGGTCTAAAACTCCTGGGCTCAAGCGATCCTCCCACCCTGGCCTCCCAAAGTGCTGGGATGACAGGCGTGAGCCACGTGGTGCTTAAAAAAGGCAACAAAAAACCCCCCACACACTGGGTATAGAAGTGGCATGGGCCTCTATACACTGTGAGATTCTTGGTACTAGCTACAAATTCTGTGTATACTCAAGATTTTCTAGAGTAGGTGCAATTACCCCGTTTTACAGATGAGGACACAGAGGCTGAGCCGTAGTGACCCACCTAAGGTCGTATAGCCAGCAAATAGATGGAGGTTGGATTGGAACTGAGGACTTTACTCAAGGGCTCTCACAAACCCTTGGGGGCTTCTCGCTGCTTTATCCCCATCACACCTGAAAGAATGAATGAATGAATGCCTCGGGCACCGTGCCCACCTCCCAGCAAACCGTGGAGCTTGGACGAGCCCACTGCTCCGCGTGGGGGGGGTGTGTGCCCGCCTTGCGCATGCGTGTTCCCTGGGCATGGCCGGCTCCGTTCCATCCTTCTGCACAGGGTATCGCCTCTCTCCGTTTGGTACATCCCCTCCTCCCCCACGCCCGGACTGGGGTGGTAGACGCCGCCTCCGCTCATCGCCCCTCCCCATCGGTTTCCGCGCGAAAAGCCGGGGCGCCTGCGCTGCCGCCGCCGCGTCTGCTGAAGCCTCCGAGATGCCGGCGCGTACCGCCCCAGCCCGGGTGCCCACACTGGCCGTCCCGGCCATCTCGCTGCCCGACGATGTCCGCAGGCGGTAGGTACCATGGGGGGGAACACGGACTCAGGGGGACAGGCAGGGCGCTGGGTGGGGGGTCGCTTCCCCTCGGGGTGGCCGGTGGCCGCTGCTGACAGACGGGCGCGCATGCGTGGGGTGGTGCGGCGCGCAGCGGCAGTTGGCGCGGGCAGGGTGGCACTTCCGGTCGCGCGTGCCCGGGCTGTTTGGCGCCAAAATGGACCGTGGATTCCCCCGTAGCTCCCTGGTGGCTAGAAACTAGGCGGGGTGGGGGTTCTCTTTTGATCCCCAAATACAGCAAGCTTTGGGTTCGTTTCCGGGGTCCCCTTCTTCAAGCAGCGGTGGGCCGGGCTCTTGACTCCAGCTTGGTCGCACAGGAAGTGGGCAGCCCGCGGCCAACGGACACCCCTCGGGCACCGGCACTTCGGCCTCCACTTCCGGTGTCCGGCCCGGTCCCCGGGGGCGCTTCTGTGGTGGGGGGTCCCTCAGTGCCTTTCCCCCAAAGCTGTGCATCTCGATGGCGGCCTCCAGAGACGGATGTCACCCGTCGGGGCCTGGGCTGGGCTGGCTCATGTTCGAGAGCCCAGCCTTCCGTGGGGTACTCATTCTGTCAGTTGGGACTGTGTGGTTCTTGCTCCTTGGGAAAGTCCATGTTTTGGCAGGAACTTTAACCGTGCATTGCAGCGCAGGGCCCGGGAAGCGTGAAGGCTGCATGGTTGGTCTTTTCCTGTAAATCTGTGCCTGTGAGCCGTGGGCATCAGGGAAGTCTTGCTAATGAGAACTGGCTACACTTTCGTGTGTGTTTGTGTGTGTTCATGGGTGTGTTCTTTAGTGTGTGTCTAATGTTGGAGGCCCTGGCTTTAGCAGTTCATGCCTCTGTCCAACTTCCGTGCACAAGGATCAGTGGGAGCACTGGTCCCAGCCCCTTGTTCATGAACGCCATCAGTTCATTCCTGAAAACTTGTTCAAGTGAGGTGTGCGTGAGTCAGAGGAACCCTCACCAGGCGTGGACACTTCCAGCTGGATTTGTGAAAGCACTCTTTGCCATTTTTCTATTTCCTTAGGCTTGTTAACTGACCTGGTTGGGCCAGTCCGGTTCTGATTTGGGTCTTTGGGGAGGGATGGATATTTGGTTCAACCCCCGCTTTTTTTCTTTTCTTTTTTTTTTTTTTTTTGAAGGCTGGGTGCTGTGGCTTATGCCTGTAATCCCAGCAATTTGGGAGGCAGTGGCGGACGAATCTCTTGAGCCAGGAGTTTGAGACCAGCCTGGGCAACAAGGCAAAACCCCATGTCTACTAAAAATACAAAAATTAGCCTGGAGTAGTGCCGTGCGCCTGTGGTCCCAACTACTCAACAGACTAAGGTGGGAGTATCACTTGAGCCCCAGAGGTTGAGGCTGTGTGTAGCGAGCTGAGATCGCGCTATTGCACTCCAGCCTGGGTGACAGAGTGAGACCCTGTCTCAAAAAAAGAAACACTTTTTATTTTTAGAGATGGGTCTCACTCTGTTGTCCAGGCTGGAGTGCCCTGGCACAATTATAACTCACTGTAGCCTTGAACTCCTGGGCTTAAGGGATCCTCAGCCTCCTGAGTAGCTGGGACCACAGGCGCCCACCACCATGCCCAGATGACTTTCTTAGTTTTTGTTTCTGTATACGTGAGGTTTCACCATATTGCCCAGGCTGGTCTTAAACCCCTGCCCTCAAGCAGTCCTCCTGCCTTTGTGTCCCAAAGGTTAGGATTACAAGTATGAGCCATCATGCCTTAACTACTACTTTTTTTTGTTTGTTTGTTTGAGATGGAGTCTCATTCTTTCACCCAGGCTGGAATGCGGTGGCGTGATCTCGGCTCACTGCAACCTCCACTTTCAGGGTTCAAGTGATTCTCCTGCCTCAGCCTCCGAAGTAGCTGGGATTACAGGTGCACACCACCACGCCTGGCTAATTTTTGTGTTTTCAGTGGAGTCGGGGTTTCTCCATGTTGGTCAGGCTGGTCTCGAACTCCTGACCTCGTGATCCACCTGCCTCAGCCTCCCAAAGTGCTGGGATTATAGTCAAACCACTTCTTAACCAGTTAGTGGGTATATATCTTCTTGAATCATCTGTGCCAGTATTCTCCCAAAATAAAACTTGATTTAAAATGGAATGGAAGTGAAATTATGAAAGTGCCTGGCTTCATGATGTTACACCCAATTCAGAGAAGTTTGGGCCCGGCCTTCCTTTTTTATTCCTTTTTTTTATTTTGTAGAGATGGGGTCTTGCCATGTTGCTCAGGCTGGTCTTCGATTCCTGGCCTCAAGCGATCCTCCTGCCTCAGCTTCCCAAAGTGTTGGGATTACGGGTGTGAGCCACCATGCCCAGCCTGCCCAGCCTTCTTGAAAACATGACCTCCACTGGCTCAATGACCTTAAACAAGCGTATGCCACCTCTATATCCATAGTCTAGGAATAATGACATGGGTTTTCAGCTGGTATTGGGTTAAATGAGAATATGCATGGCACATAAAGGTTCACATGCTAGTGGCTAACTTAGCTTGTTTTTTTCAGTTTTTTTTTAAGAGACAGGATCTCACTGTGTCACCCAGGCTGGAATGCAGTGGCACAGTCATGGCTTACTGCAGCCTTGAACCCCTGAGCTCAAGCAATCCTCCTGCCTTAGCCTCCTGAGTGGCTGGCACATGCCACCATGCCCAAGTTAATCCTTAAAAAATTTTTTAGAAGGCTGGGCGCGGTGGCTCACGTCTGTAATCCCAGCACTTTGGGAGGCTGAGATGGGCAGATCACCTGAGGTCAGGAGTTTGAGACCAGCCTGGCCAACGTGGCGAAACCCCATCTCTACTAAAAATACAAAAAAATTAGCCAGGTATGGTGGCAGGTGCCTGTAATCGCAGCTACTCGGGAGGCTGAGGCAGGATAATCGCTTGAACCCAGGAGCCGAGATTGCACCGTTGCACTCCAGCCTGGGCAACAGGAGCGAAACTCTGTCTCAGAAAAAAAAAAAATTTTTTTTTTTAGAGATGAGGGTCTTGCTTTGTTGCCCAGGCTGGTCTTGAACTCCTGGACTGAAGCAATCCTCTGCGTTGGCCTCCCAAAGGGCTGAGATTACAGGCGTGAGCCACAGGGCCCGGCCATTATTCCTCAAGAGTTCTTAAAAGTGGATGCTGCAGGAGTTAACTGCCAGGAAGCAGGAATTCCTGCTAAGGTCTGCTGCTTGCCAAAGCCTTTCCCTTCAACAGGGGTTGCCAGTAGGCCACTGGCTCAGGGGCTCTGTTGGCCCTGTGCAAATATTTTGTTTGGCTGAATTGGAATACCATTAGGTGAGCCTTACAATCCACCACTGACCCTGGGTTCCACATTTCTTTACACTCAGATTGCTTCACTGTAGGCATTGGAGTTTTGGAGGACTGCTTTTGACCATGTGGTAGACATTGAAATTGTAGTTTATATGACTCACTCCACAGACTTTTTTTTTTTTTTTTACATTTTGAAAATATTTCATTAAATGAAAAATAAACATGGTATCCAACAGTACTTGAAACTTAGATTTTTTTTTTTTTTTAATTGAGGCAGGGTCTTGCTCTGTGGCCCAGGCTAGAGTGCAATGGTGTGATCTCAGCTCACTGCAGCCTCCGCTTCCCGGGTTTAAGCAATTCTCCTGTCTCAGCTTCCCAAGTAGCTGGGATTACAGGTGTGCACCACCACGCCCAGCTAATTTTTCTTTTTCCCCCTCGAGGCTGAGCCTTGCTCTGTCGCCCAGGCTGGAGTGCAGTGGCCGTGATCTCGGCTCACTGCAACCTCCACCTCCCGAGTTCAAGCAATTCTCCTACTTCAGTGTCCCAAGTAGCTGGGATTACAGGCGCCCGCCACCAAGCCCAGGTAATTTTTGTATTTTTATTAGAGACTGGGTTTTGCCATGTTGACCAGGCTGGTTTCAAACTCTTGATCTCAAGTGATCCACTTATCTTAGCCTCCCAAAATGCTGGGATTACAGGTATGATGGTGTCCAGCCGGTTCATTGTTTTTATTTTATTTTATTTTATTTTATTTTATTTTATTTTATTTTATTTTATTTTATTTTTGAGACAGAGTCTTGTGCTGTCGCCCAGGCTGGAGTGCAGTGGTGCGAACTTGGCTCACTGCAACCTCCCCCTCCCGGGTTCAAGTGATTCTCCTGCCTTAGCCTCCTGAGTAGCTGGGATTACAGGCATGTGCCACCACGCCCGGCTAACTTTTTCTTATTTTTAGTAGAAACCGGGGTTTACCGTGTTGGCCAGGCTGGTGTTGAACTCCTGGACTCAAGTGATTCGCCTGCCTCAGCCCCGCAAAGTGTTGGGATTACAGGCATGAGCCACCGTGCCTGGCCTTTTAATTCATTCTTAAGCCTGCTCTCAGACAGCTAGGCTTGCTTCTCCACAATAAAGAGTGTTGAATTTTGTCGGTGTATCCCGCATGGTGCCATTATAACACTGAAATTAGTGATTATTTCAGGGTCTGTTACCAGAGCGTGTCTGCCGTATTCACTGTATCTGCAGCTTGGAGCACAGTAGACTCAAATGCTTGCATGCCAGCTCTTCCCCTGTACAGCCTGGATTAACACTGATGCTAGCAGACTCCTTTGCACAACTGATTAGCTTTCGTAACTACCACAGCTTTCTTACTGCTAGTCATTCTGTGATGGGATTAAGCTAGGTCTTGAACTCCTTAACTCCAGTTCCTTGGCTACTACTGAGTACATACTGAATAAGGCAAAATTGACTTACCTCTTTTGTTTTGCTCCCCTGTGGTAGAATTCTAGGGGTACAGACTGCTGGGTTTCAAATGCCGCCCTACTTGCCAGCCGTATGGCTAAGTTATTGAACTTCTTGGTGCCTTGGTGTTTCATCTATAAAAAGGGGGTGGGGCTGCCTGCTCGACAGGGGTGTTAGGAAGACTGAGCTTATCAGTACAGATATGTTGAGAGCAGCACCTGTCCAAAGCCCTTCATCACTGGTTATTACGTGGTACTGTGTGTACAGTGGGGATGCTGTGGGTTTGGTTCCAGACCACTGCAGTAAAGTGAATCTAGCAAGAAAGTGAGTCACACACACATTTTGGTTTCCTAGTATGTGTAAAAGTTATTAGACTAGGCCGTGTGCAGTGGCTCATGCCTGTAATCCCAGCAGTTTGGGAGGCCAAGGCAGGAGGATCGCTTGAGCCAAGGAGTTCAAGACTAGTCTGGGCAACATAGGAAGACCCCCCCCATCTCAAAAAAAAAAATAAAGCCAAAAGTGGTGGCATGCACCTGGGGTCCCAGCTACTCGGGAGGCAGAGGTGGGAGGATCACTTGAACCCATGAGGTCGAGGCTGCAGTTTGCCATGATTGTGCCACTGCACTCCAGCCTGGGTGAAGGAGTGAGACTCTGTCTCAAAAAAAAAAAAAAATCAGCTGGGCGTGGTGGCTCACGCCTGTAATCCCAGCACTTTGGGAGGCCAAGGTGGGCAGATCACGAGGTCAGGAGATCGAGACCATCCTGGCTAACACGGTGAAACCCCGTCTCTACTAAAAATACAAAAAAAATTAGCCAGGCATGGTGGCACACGCCTATAGTCCCAGCTCCATGGGAGGCTGAGGCAGGAAAATTGCTTGAACTTGGGAGGCGGAGGTTGCAGTGAGCCGAGATCATGCCACTGAACTCCAGCCTGGGCAACAGAGCGAGACTCCGTCTCAAAAAAAAAAAAAAAATCATCTGAGTCTTCAGCGATTCATAATCTTTTTGCAGGTGGAGGGTCTTGCCTCAAACTTGCCGGCTTAAAGGACATACATTTATTACCTTATGCAGGTCAGAAATCTGATGTGGGTTTCACCGGATGAAAATCAAGGTGTAAGCAGGCTGCATTCCTTTCTGGGGGCTCCAGGGGAGAATCTGTTTCCTATTTTGGGGTGTTGGCAGAAGGTGGTAGTTGTAAGACTCAGGTCCCATTTTCTTCACTGGTTCTAAACTGAGGGTCGTTGCCCGCTTCTGGAGGCGGTCTCATCCCTCGGCTCATGCCCCCTTCCTCTACCTTTAAAGTCAGCATTTGCGGGTTGCATCTCTCTCTGACCCGTCCTCCAACGTTGCCCGCTCTCTGCAGCTAGAAAGGTTCTGTGTTCTTAAGGGCTGAAGTGATTAGATTGGGCCCACCCCAGATAATCCAGGATAATCTCCCCATCTCAAGGTCTGTATTCTTAGTTACATCTGCAAAATCGCTTTGGCCACGTAAAGTAATATATTCACAGGTTCCAGGGATTAGGGCATGAACATTTTTCGGTGGGTCCACTCTTTTTGAGATGGAGTCTCGCTCTGTCACCCAGGCTGGAGTGCAGTGGCATGATCTCGGCTCACTGCAACTTCTGCTTCCTGGGTTCAAATGATTCTTGTGCCTCAGCCTCTTGAGTAGCTGGGATTACAGGCGTGAGCCACCAAGCCCGGTTAATTTTTGTATTTTTAGTAGAGATGGGGTTTTGCCATGTTTCCCAGGCTGGTCTTGAACTCCTGAGCTCAGGTGATCTACCCGCTTCAGCCTCCCAAAGTGCTGGGATTACAGGCATGAGCCACTGTGCCCAGTGGGTCTACTCTTTTGCCTACTGCGGATGCCTTCTTGGGCAGCCCTGCTCCAGCTGCCATGCAGCCGGCCTGAAGAAGCTGGTTTGACAGAGACTTGTAACTTGTCTTGCATGGTCCACTATATTTTATTTTTAGAGACAAGGTCTTGCTGTGTCACCCAGGCTGGAATGCAGCGGCACAATTATAGCTCACTGGGCTCTAGTGATCCTCCTGCCTCAGTCTCCTGAGTAGCTAGGACCACAGGTGCATGCTGCCACACCAAGCTAATTACTATTTTTTGTTTAGGCAGGGTCTCTGCTGTGTTGCCCAGGCTGGTCTTGAATTCCTGAGCTCTATTGATCCTCCCGCTTTGGCTTCCCGAGTAGCTAGGCCTATAGGCACATGCTAGCACACCCAGCTAATTACTAATTACTATTTTTTGTAGAGACAGGGTCTCGCTGTGTTGCTCAGGCTGGTCTTGAATTCCTGGGCTCTAGTGATCCTCCCGCCTCAGCCTCCTGAGTAGCTAAGACTATAGGTGCATGCCACCACACCCAGCTAATTACTATTTTTTGTAGAGACAGGTTCTCGCTGTGTTGCCCAGGCTGGTCTCAAATTCCTGGGCTCTAGTGATCCTTCCGCCTCGGCCTCCTGAGCAGCTAGGAGTACAGGTGCGTGCTGTCATACCCAGCTAATTACTGTTTTCTCGTAGAGACAGGGTCTCACTGTATTGCCCAGGCTGGTCACAAATTCCTGAGCTCTAGTGATCCTCCCGCCTCTGCCTCCCGAGTAGCTAAGACTATAGGTGCATGCTACCACAGCCAGCTAATTATTCTTTCTTGTAGAGACAGGGTCTCGCTCTGTTGCCCAGGCTAGTCTCGAATTCCTGGGCTCAAGTGATCTTCCTGTCCTGGCTTCCCGAGTGTAGAGATTACAGGCATGAGCCACTGCGCCCAGCCATGGTCTGCTGTATTTCAGACGAGCATTTCTGGCGTAGAGGTGTTAGAGTAATCTAACATTTTATAATTTCTTCCTATCCAATCTATACTAGATACCTCTGCTGGGTTAGTTTTCTTAACACGGCTCTGATGTCATTGGTTCTACTTCCCCTTGACTGCTTTGGTGTTTGTTAACTATGGAACAAGATGGATAAGTGTGATGCTTTTGCCCTCCCTCCGACTGTCCCCAGCCACCTCTCTGGAGGTGCCTTTCCCTCCCTGTATGTGGCCAGTCTCACGTTTGTTTCTTGTGTGTTTCCAGAACCAGCCACTTCTCAATGGTGCCCCTGTTTGAGCAGCTTCCTGTGCCCGGTTCACACAGAGCTGTCAACTTCTTCCTGAGGCTGTTATACCCTTTCTCTTGGGAATCCCGCAGGCGTGAGCTGTATTTGCCTTATTCCTCTGTGGTTGTTTATATATATCTTTTTTTTTTTTTTTTTTTTTGAGACGGAGTTTCACTCTTGTTGTCCAGGCTGGAGTGCAATGACGTGACCTTGGCTCACCGCAGCCTCCACCTCCCGGGTTCAAGCGATTCTCCTGCCTCAGCCTCCTGAGTAGCTGGGATTATAGGCATGTGCCACCATGCCTGGCTGATTCTGGATTTTTAGTAAAGACGAAGTTTCTTCATGTTGGTCAGGCTGGTCTCGAACTCCTGACCTCAGGTGATCCGCCCGCCTCGGCCTCCCAAAGTGCTGGGATTACAGGCATGAGCCACCGTGCCTGGCCAGCTGTTTATATATATCTTATCTCCCCTCTGCAGAGGGTTCATCTCTGAGGGAAGCACTAGGAAGGAATCATAGGGTCTCAGGCTGGGCACTAAGCCGGCATTCTGAGTCCTCTGCTCCGTCCTTCACGGCTGTCTGCGACCCTCCTGGCTTCAGCAGGTGTGATCGGTGTCATCACAGTTTTACCAGGGAAGGGATGTCGCTAAAGTTACCCTCCCGCCAGCTCCTCACTGCCTGCCTGGGATCCCACCTGCCACTCTGGGGCCAGGCAGGTTAAATCCAGTTTCTACTGGATGAAACATTCTAGGGGTTTTGAAGGTTTCTCTATTCTCTTTGCCAGGCTAAATATCCCAGTTCATATGAGGGGTTGAAAGAAAGCAGACCCATTCTGCAAGGACACCTTGGTCTCCGCAATCAGTTGAACCTTGTCCTTCACACCCCAGGCAACCTCGGGATCAGGGGACTGGCTGGCTTGGTCGAGGTAGAAGCCATGTCCTTCCAGTTTTCTCAGCGGCGTGACTGAGAAGTCAAGTGTAACGCTATTACCACAGCGTGTGTGCCTCTGGCTGGAAGTACCAGTTTCTGTAGCCCTCCTGACTTAAGGCTCTCCTTGGACCCCAGTTGCTACAAGGGTAGAATGACTTTTGCCTGGAAGAGGTTCCTTGTGCTCCTGGAAATCCTGATGTCAAAGCATCTTTTTTTTTTTTTTTTTTTCTTTTGAGACAGGGTCTTGTTCTGTTGCCCAGGCTGAACAGGCTGGATTGCAGTGGTACCATCATAACTCACTGCAGCCTCAACCTCCCAGGCTCAAGCGATCCTCCCACCTCAGCCTCCCAAGTAGCTGGTACCACAGGTGCACACTAACCACACCCAGCTAATTTTTACATTTTTTTTGTAGAGATGGGATCTCTCAGTGTAGCCCAGGCTGGTCTCAAACTCCTGACCTCAAGTGATCCTCCTGCCTTGGCCTCCCAAGGTGCTGGGATTACAGGCATGAGCCACTGCGTCTTGCCTGGCCTTGTAGCACCTTGAGTCCAAGTGATACAGTATATATAATATACAGTCTATATTACCACTGTGTTTGTAGGGTGCTAAGTGTCTCTTCTACAGAGCAGTCTTTTTTTTTTTTTTTTGAGACAGAGTTTTGCTCTGTTGCCCAGGCTGGAGTGCAGTGGCATGATCTTGGCTCACTGCAAGCTTCACCTCCCGGGTTCACGCCATTCTTCTGCCTCAGCCTCCTGAGTAGCTGGGACTACAGGCGCCCACCACCACGCCTGGCTAATTTTTTGTATTTTTAGTAGAGGCGGGGTTTCACTGTGTTAGCCAGGATGGTCTCCATCTCCTGACCTCATGATCCGCCCACCTCAGCCTTCCAAAGTGCTGGGATTACAGGCGTGAGCCACCGTGCCCGGCCCTACAGAATGGTCTTTCCTAACCACACAGCAAGTCAGGAAGTCCCTGCCTAGTGACACCTACATCTAATCACTTAGCTCTTTGCCTGGAGCAGGGCCTGGCATTCAGCAGGTGCTCATATGTGAGCGGCGCTGGTGGGGAATCAGGGCCCGCATGACCCAGAGCAGCTGTTGTAAGACATGGGTCCAGCAAAGCATTCCTCATGCTGCTGCCTGCACTTACCCTCTAGGAAGGCCAGCCTGGAGGAGCCACTTCTGCCCTTCAGGCAAATGATAACTGAGCACCTGTCTGTGCGGGTGCTAGGTGGAAAGGTCCAGAGATGGCAGTGGCCTGGTCCCTGCCTGGGGCACCTTCTCTCCACCAACAGACACTTACCCAGCTGGTTAGGCCTGTTCTCACCCCGCAGTCTGTAGTTAGCACCCAGGCTGGGAACAACAGCCTGTGTTCCTCTCCCTTTCCTTGGTACCTTCTCTTCTTGTTCCTTTATTTTTTTCTGAAGAGATAGGATCGCCCTATGTTGTCCAGGCTGGACTCGAACTCCTGCCCACAAGCCATCCTCCCACCACAGCCTCCTGAGTAGCTGGGGTTACAGGCACGCAGCACCGCGGCACTGCACCGGCTATTGTTCTTTTATTTTTTTCCCTCTTTGTCCCTGAAAGAGTCAAGCTACTAATTGTCAGTAATCAAATCAGACCACGATTTCCCAGGCAAACTCCTGGCAGTTCTACATTTAGGAATGACTAGCTAGAGACATCCTGAAGAATGAGTTATTCGGGGAGGCGCCAGCCACCTCCTCTAACTTCACCTCTATCTGCCCTCTGTGTGGGTACCCCTTGCTTCCCTGGATGCTTGACTCCCCCATTTCATCCTCAAAATGCCACCACCCCCCACCAGGCCTTTAGGAACATCAGCTGGCTGTTCCCCACAGTGTCCTGTGGCCCTGGGCTACTCATTCTGACACTGGCCATACTGTGGCACACCTTGTTATGGGCTGTTGTCAGACCCAACTGGAGAAAGACCAGCTGTAGGTCATTTCCCTTACGGGAGTGCCCCAACTATATGACCTGCCCCCTCTTTCCTGGTATCTTTTTGAGTCAGGGTCTCACTCTGTCTCCTAGATTGGAGTGCAGTGATGCAATCACGGCTCACTGTGGCCTCGACCTCCCAGGCTCAGGTGATCTTCCTTCCTCAGCCTCCCAAGTAACTGGGACCACAAGCACATGCCACCAAACCCAGTTATTTTTATTTTATTTTATTTTATTTTATTTTGAGACAGAGTTTCACTCTTGTTGCCCAGGCTAGAGTGCAATGGTGTGACCAGCTCACTGCAACCTCTGCCTCCCGGGTTCAAGTGATTCTCCTGCCTCAGCCTCCCAAGTTGCTGGGATTACAGCCACCCACCACCACGCCTGGCTAATTTTTGTATTTTTAGTAGAGATGGGGTTTCGCCATGTTGGCCAGGCTGGTCTCAAACCCTTGACCTCAGGTAATCCACCCACCTTGGCCCTCAGGTAATCCACCCAACTGCTGCTGTATGTTGGGATTCCAGGCATCAGCCACCACGCCCAGCCACTAATTTTTGTATTTTTGTAGAGATGGAGTTTCGCCATGTTTCCCAGGCTGGTCTGAACGCCTGGGCTCAAGTGATCCGCTCGCCTTGGCCTCCCAAAGTGCTGGGATTATAAGCGTGAGCCACCATGCCTGGTCTCTGGTACCTTTTAAAATATACAGGCTGGGCATGATGGCTCATGCCTGTAATCCCAGCACTTTGGGAGGCTGAGGCAGGTGGATCGCCTGAGGTCGGGAGTTCGAAACCAGCCTGACCAACACGGAGAAACCCTGTCTCTGCTAAAAATATAAAATTAGCTGGGTGTGGTGGTGCATGCCTGTAATCCCAGCTACTCGGGAGGCTGAGCCAGGAGAATCGCTTGAACCTGGGAGTCGGAGGTTGAGCTGAGATCACACCATTGCACTCCAGCCTGGGCAACAAGAGCAAAACCCTATCTCAAAAAAAAAAAATATATATATATATACACACGTATATATACGTGTATATATATATACACACACATATGTATACATATATACGTATGTATACACATATATACGTATATATACACATATATATGTATATATACACACATATACGTGTATATATATACGTGTATATATATATGCATGCCAGACATGGTGACTCATGCCTGTAATCCTAGCACTTCAGGAGACTGAGGCAGGCGGATCACTTGAGGTCAGGAATCTAAGACCAGCTTAACCAACATGGTGAAACCCTGTCTCTACTCAAAATACAAAAAATTAACGAGGCTGGTGGCACCTATAATCCCAGCTACTTGGGAGGCTGAGGTGAGAGAATCACTTGAACCCAGAAGGTGAGGGTTGCAGTGAGCTGAGATCGCACCACTGCACTCCAGCCTGGGCAACAGAGCGAGACTCCATGTCTGTCTGTCTGTCTATCTATCTGTATAATGTATATGTATGTATGTATATATGTGTGTGTATATATATACACATATATACATACATATATACACACATACTCTGTTACAGAGCTGCTGTGTGTGTGTGTATATATATATACACATATGTATATATACACATATACACATATATATGTATATATATACACACATATATATACACATATATATGTATATATATACACACATATATATACACATATATATGTATATATATACACACATATATATACACATATATATGTATATATATACACATATATATGTATATATATACACACACACACACATACACATAATTGTGTTACAGAGCTGCTATGTAATCTCACAATCATCAGAAAAATGACCCCCAAAAGGGGAACCTTGTTCAGATCAGATGACTTCTTAGCATTAGGCATTCCAGTAGGACACTCTAGACTCTTGCGGGGAGACAAAAGCCAGCTTAGTTTTTTCTAACACTCATATGTTAAACTTGTTTGTGTCCAAAACTTCTTTAGAACTGTGATATTCTTACAGGCAAATGAAGTTGCTTAACAAGTGTTTGTATTTTCTCCCCTATTTCTTCCTCCCAGGCTCAAAGATTTGGAAAGAGACAGCTTAACAGAAAAGGTAATCTCCACCTTAAAATTTTTCTTATTACCAAATCTGACTGACACACTTTGTGGCTCATAAAAAGAAATTTGTTTTCTTTAAATGGATTTTGCATTTTTTCCCATGGAGTTTCAAAGATAATTTGGATATTCTTGTTAAATGTCAGCACTAATTTGCTGCTAATAGTTGGGTGGTGGTGGTGTTTTTTTTTGTTGTTGTTTTTGTTTTTTGAGACAGAGTCTCACTCTGTCACCCAGGCTAGAGTGCAATGGCATGATCTCGGCTCACTGTGACCTCTGCCTCCCGGATTCAAGCTGTTCTCCTGCCTCAGCCTCCCAAGTAGCTGGGACTACAGGCACGCACCACCATGCCCAGCTAATTTTTATATTATTAGTAGAGATGGGGTTTCACCATGTTGGCCAGACTGGTCTTGAACGCCTGCTCGTGATCTGCCCACCTTGGCCTCCCAAAGTGCTGGAATTACAGGCGTGAGCCACCATGCCTGGCCCAGGTTTTTTTTTTTTTTAACCAATCTCAGTTCCTAAACAATCTACTCTGGATTGTAACTTGTCCTGGTAACACTGTTTTATTGTGTTTTTGTTATTGTTTTGAGATAGGGTCTCATTCTGTAGCCCAGGCTGGAGTGCAGTGGCACAATTTTGGCTCACTGCAACCTTCGCCTCCCAGGCTCAAGTGATTTTCCCACTCAGCCTCCTGAGTAGCTCTAACTACAGGCTCAAGCCACCATGCCCAGCTAATTTTTAAATATTTTTTGTAAAGATGGGATTTTGTCATGTTGCCCCAGGCTGGTCTTGAACTCTGGGGCTCAAAGCAATCCACTTGCCTCGGCCTCCCAAAGTGCTGGGATTATAGGTGTGAGCCACTGTGCCTGGCCGACACTTTACAGAAGCACAGTATTATTCTTATAAACCATGATATGTCTCCATCTCACCTCCAGCTTTCCCATTTTTCACCACTTTGGAGACAGGAGTGAAGTGATCCTAATGGAAATTCCCTGAACACATTTCATGACTGTTTAGTGTTTTGACTGAGACAGCATTGCCTGCCATTCACTCATTGTGATGTGATCAGGCAGCTCAATAATTTGTGTATTAGTCCACTAGTGAATAGCTTGGGAATGTGGGTACTGCTAAACCTATATCCTTCCCTTAGGAATGTGTGAAGGAGAAATTGAATCTCTTGCACGAATTTCTGCAAACAGAAATAAAGAATCAGTTATGTGACTTGGAAACCAAATTACGTAAAGAAGAATTATCCGAGGTAAGTCAGTTCTCAGCATCCTAGCCTCTAGAAAAATGTCTCCTCCTAGTAACTTGTCTGTGACCAGGGAGGCAGCAAGATCCCCAGCTGTCCTCATTGCCTGATGATGATGATGATGATGATGATGATGAAGGAAACACATGTGTTTCCTTGTTCTCTGACACTTGTTTACATTCACTGCTACTTAAATTATCCTTTCCTGCTGTAGGAGGGCTACCTGGCTAAAGTCAAATCCCTTTTAAATAAAGATTTGTCCTTGGAGAACGGTGCTCATGCTTACAACCGGGAAGTGAATGGACGTCTAGAAAACGGGAACCAAGCAAGAAGTGAAGCCCGTAGAGTGGGAATGGCAGATGCCAACAGCCCCCCCAAACCCCTTTCCAAACCTCGCACGCCCAGGAGGAGCAAGTCCGATGGAGAGGCTAAGCGTAAGAGCAGATGATTCCTTTTATTTTTAATTGTTTTTGAGATGGAGTCTCACTGTGTTGCCCAGTCTGGAGCACAGTGGTGTAACCTCGGCTCACTGTAACCTCTGCCTCCCAGGTTCAAGAGACCCTCCTGCCTCAGCCTCCCAAGTAACTGGGATTAGAGGTATGTGCCACCACACCCAGCTAATTTTTGTATTTAGTAGAGATGGGGTCTTACCATGTTGGCCAGGCTGGTCCAGAACTCCTGACCTCAAGTAATCCACCTGCCTTGGCCTCCCAAAGTGCTGGGATTACAGGCATAAGCCACCACGCCTGGCCCTGCTTAACTCTCTTTCTTTCTTTCTTTTTTTTTTTTTTTTAATGACAGAGTCTTGCTCTATCGCCCAGGATAGAGTGCAATGGCGCGATCTCGGCTCACTGCAACCTCCGCCTCCCAGTTTCAAGCGATTCTCCTGCCTCAGCCTCCCAAGTAGCTAGTATTACAGGCGGGCACCACCATGCCCAGCTAATCTTTGTATTTTTAGTAGAGATGGGGTTTCACCATGTTGGCCAGACTGGTCTGGAACTCCTGACCTCAAGTGGTCCTCCCGCCTTAGCTTCCCAAAGTGCTGGGATTACAGGTGTGAGCCACCGTGCCCGGCCCCACTTGGCTCATTTTCAACCTAGAAGCAGGCTTTGGTAGCATATAAGGGGGCAGTTAAACTTGGACCCCAGGTCAGTGTGTCCAGGTTCCTTTCTTTTGTACGCATCCTCACTAGTAATTACTGGACACTTCCTAACTAGCTTAGATGTGTACGTCTTTAAATTTTGTCTTAGCTGGGGGTGTGGTGGCTCATGCCTGTAATCCCTGCACTTTGGGTGGCCAAGGTGGCTGGATCACCTGAGGTCAGGAGTTCGAGACCACCCTGCCCAACATGGCAAAACCCTGTCTCTACTGAAAATACAAAAAATTTGCCAGACGTGGTGGCGGGTGTCTGTAATTCCAGCCTGGGCAACAAGAGTAAGACACTGTCTCAAAAAAAAAAAAATGTTGTTTTCGACCAAGTTGCAGCATTAGATCCCAAAACATGGCTATGAGTGTGACAGGTTGCAGATGACAAGTGCTACAAATACTTACTCCTTCTAAGACCTTATATGCCTGGTTAAACATTTATTCTCAGACTCTTGCCCAGTTTTAGGCAAAGGAACTCTAATGGAAATTTTTTTTTTTTTTTTTTTTTTTTGAGATGGAGTCTTGTTGTCTCCCAGGCTGAAGTGCAGTGGCGCAATCTCGGCTCACTGCAAGCTCTGCCTCCCAGGTTCATGCCATTCTTTTGCCTCAGCCTCCCGAGTAGCTGGGACTACAGGCGCCCGCCACCATGCCCGGCTAATTTTTTTTGTATTTTTTAGTAGAGACGGGATTTCACCATATTAGCCAGGATGATTTCGATCTCCTGACCTCATGATCCGCCCGCCTCGGCCTCCCAAAGTGCTGGGATTACAGGCGTGAGCCACCGCGCCCAGCCTCTTCTGGAATTTTTTAAAAAACAAACAATAGGATAGTACTTGAGCTCAGGTCTGGTTCTCAGCTACTTCATTTTTATTTTGTTTTATTTTATTATTATTTTTGAGAGAGAATCTCGCTCTGTTGCCCAGTGGCACGATCTCGGCTCACTGCAAGCTCCACCTCCCAGGTTCATGCCATTCTCCTGCCTCAGCCTCCCAAGTAGCTGGGACTACAGGCGCACACCACGCCTGGATAATTTTTTGTATTTTTAGTAGGATGGGGTTTCACTGTGTTAGCCAGGATGGTCTCAATATCCCGACCTCGTGATCCACCTGCCTCGGCCTCCCAAAGTGTTGGGATTACAGGCGTGAGCCACCATGCCCAGCCTTATTTTATTTTCTTTTAATTTTTATTTTATTTTTTGAGATGGAGGCATGCGCCACCACGCCCAGTTAATTTTTGTATTTTTAGTAGAGACAGGGTTTCACCATGTTGGCCAAGGTGGTCTCGAACTCCTGACCTCAGGTGATCCACCTGCCTTGGCCTCCCAAAGTGCTGAGATTACAGGTGTAAGCCACCTCACCTGGCCCTTTATTTTATTTTTTTTTGAGATGGAGTCTTACTCTGTTGCCAGGCTGGAGTGCAGTGGCACAATCTCGGCTCACCACAACCTCCACCTCCTGGGTTCAAGTGATTTTTTTGCCTCAGCCTCCTGAGGAGCTGGGACTACAGGCACGTGCCACCACGCCCAGCTAATTTTTGTATTTTTAATAGAGACGGGGTTTCACCATGTTGGCCAGGATGGTCTCGATCTCTTGACCTTGTGATCTGCCCGTCTTGCCTCCCAAAGTGCTGGGATTACAGGCATGAGCCACTGCACCTGGCCTATTTCTTTTTTTTCTTTCTTTCTTTTCTTTTTTTTTTTTTTTTAAGAGACAGGGTCTTGCTCTGTCGCCAAGGCTGTGTACAGTGGCGCGATCTTGGCTCACGGCAACCCCCATCTCCTGGGTTCAAGTGATTCTTGTGCCTCAGCCTCTTGAATAGCTGGGATTATAGGTGTGTACCACCACGCCCAGCTAATTTTTTTGTATTTTTAGTAGAGATGGGGGTTTGCCATGTTGTCCAGGCTGTTCTCGAATACCTGAGCTTGGATTATTTTCCCACCTCAGCCTCTCAAAGTTTTGGTATTATAGATGTGAGCCACTGTGCCTGGCCCACTTCATCTTTTGATATTTTAACAAGAGGCTCTGTTTCCTGGCCTTCTTTAGCATTTGGCCCCTCAAATAACTGACATGATATGGCTCAACAAACTGGCAGGTGCTAACTGCCAACATTAGCAAGCTGGTTGTTGACTAGAATAAAAATGCAAAGATGCTTAGTCCTTAGAACCTGGCTTCCTGCAATAGCTTAGTAATGTTGAACTGCATTATTGCTGTGGGCTTTCTATTGATAGTGGCTTTTTTTTTTCTTTTTAATGCTTTTTCTTCTTTAAACAGCTGAACCTTCACCTAGCCCCAGGATTACAAGGAAAAGCACCAGGCAAACCACCATCACATCTCATTTTGCAAAGGGGTCAGTATACGATAAATTGGCGGCTGCCTTTTTTAGGGGCCGGCTGTTTTGGGATGGAATTGGTAGGGCGTCACGTGGCAATTCTGTCTTCCGTGTTGTATAGGTTTTCATCTTGCGGTTCTGTTCTCTAGACATTTATGAATAGCATTTCTGAAAACGTTACCTGTTTTTACTCATATAGGAAAGTTCAAATGTACACAAAATCATGAGTTTTGTATAATGAACCCTGAAATACCCATCATCTAGTGCCAACAGTTATCAAGTTACAGCCGTTGTTTCATCTATACCCCCATATTGTGTGTCCCTGCCCCACCTGGATTACTTTGTCCATATATAGTTTAGTATATTTCTAGACAATGAGATCTCTTTTGACAACTTTTTAAAAAATTACTCATATTTTACAATAATTGCTAACATTTAGCAGTCTTTTTTTTTTGAGACAGCATCTGGCTGTCACCCAGGCTGGAGTGCAGTGGCACGATCTCGGCTCACTGCAACCTCTGCCTCCCGGGTTCAAGTGATTCTCCTGCCTCAGCCTCCTGAGTATCTGGGATTACAGGCGCGCGCCGCCACGCCTGGCTAATTTTTGTATTTTTAGTAGAGGTGGGGTTTCACTATGTTGGCCAGACTGGTCTCAAACTCCTGACCTCAGGTGATCTGCCCACTTCAACCTCCCAAAGTGCTGGGGTTACAGGCGTGAGCCACCGTGCCCAGCCAAAACAGTCTTTTTAACAAACCAAAGTATAATACTGTTCTGATGTCTTTATAAAAATGTAAGAATTCCCTGCTATCAGATATATAGTTGGTATTTACGTTTTTCCCTTTGTGGTGAACAAGCCGTGTGGCAAACAGACAGCGTTTGGTTGACTTGTTCCTTAAAGTTATAGATTCCTTCCCTCCTATTTTACTTAAAATTCCTCACAGATTTTAAATTCCTTCATCTCTTATCTTCTTGCCATTTACTTGAAGAAATTCATTTGTCCAATAGTTCCTAGATTGGGCCGATTGCATCCTTGTGGTGTTCCACAGGTCCCCTTGCCTTCTGTTCCCTATAAACTGATAGGATTACAGGACTGATCAGATTCCAGCTTTTTATTTTTTGAGACTGACTTTTTTTTTTTTTTGATACGGAGTCTTGCTCTGTAGCCCAGGCTGGAGTGCAGTGGCATGATTTCGGCTCACTGCAACCTCCACCTCCCAGGTTCAAGCGATTCTCCTGCCTCAGCCTCCTGAGTAGCTGGGATTACAAGTGCCCGCCACAACCCCTGGCTAATGTTTGTATTTTTGGTAGAGACAGGGTTTTACCACGTTGGCCAGGCTGGTCTGAAACTCCTGAACTCAGGTGATCCTCATGCCTTGGACTCCCAAAGTGCTGGGATTATAGGCGTGAGCCACTGCACCTGGTCTGAGGCTGACTTTATGGATGGTGCTGTGTCCCTCCATCAGAAAGGTGTGTGAGGTCTCTTCTCTGACACTAGCAGCTGTTGATCGGTGTTTAGACCCGTGATTTCTTAGGACTTACAAGATGGCAAGACAACATTCTAAACCCGTCATTCAGAGAAACATTAAACTTGAAGCCTCTTTCAACATCCTGGTGAATGAGGGTCCACTTCAGGCCAGCTGGAGGCCTAGGGTCTTGTTCCACTAATGGTTGGCCTCACTGTGTGTGACAGCCCTGCCAAACGGAAACCTCAGGAAGAGTCTGAAAGAGCCAAATCGGATGAGTCCATCAAGGAAGAAGACAAAGACCAGGTAGGGCCAGTGCTTTCATTTCCTGACTCTACCTTAACTTGGTGTATTTGATGATTGTGACTTCATATGTGTTCTGTCCAAGTAAATAAAAACCCTGTCTAGGGCTCTATTTAGGGCTCTCCAGAGAGACAGGACCAATAGAATGTATATGTGTGTATACAGCTATAGGTACATATATACATATGCACGTGTATGTATATATATATAATTCGTTTGATTTTTTTCTTGTTTTTATGGGTACATAGTTGGAATATATATTTATGGGGAGAGACTTTATTTTGAGAAATTGGCTCACAAGATTGTGAAAGCCAGCAAATTTGAAATCTGCAGGGCAGGCTGGAGGTCCAGGGGAGAAATGATGTCATAGCTCAAGTGGCAAGGCAGTCTTACATACATACATGTTATATATATGTGTGTGTGTGTGTGTGTGTGTGTGTGTGTGTGTGTGTGTGTGTATGTATGTATGTATTTAGACTTCTTTTTTTGAGACTTTTTTTTTTTTTTGAGACAGGGTTTTGCTCTTGTGGCACAATCTTGGTTCATTGCAACCTCAGCCTCCCGGGTTCAAGTGATTCTCCTGCTTCAGCCTCCCGAGTAGCTGGGACTACAGGCGCGTGCCACCACGCCCGGCTAATTTTTGTATTTTAGTAGGGATGGGGTTTCACCATGTTGCCCAGGCTGGTCTCCCATGTTGCCCAGGCTGGTCTCGAACTCCTTGAGCTTAGGCAATCTGCCCGCCTCAGCCTCCCAAAGTGCCAGGATTATAGGTGTGAGCCACCGTGCCCAGCCAATTTGTTTTTTTTGTTGTTGTTGTTGTTGTTTTTAATTTTTTTTAGATGGAGTCTCACTCTTTCACTCAGGATGGAGTGCAGTGGCACGATCTCAGCTCACTGCAACCTCCGCCTCCTGGGTTCAAGTGACTCTCCATCCTCAGCTTCCTGAGTAGCTGAGACTACAAGGCATGTGCCATCATACCCAGCTAATTTTTATATTTTTAGTAGAGATGGGATTTCACTGTGTTGGCCAGGCTGGTCTTGAACTCCTGACCTCAAGTGATCCACCCGCTTCAGCCTCCCAAAGTGTTGGGATTACAGTTCTGTCTTTTTTCTTTTCTTTTCTTTTCTTTGAGACAGGTCTCATTCTGTCACCAGGCTGGGGTGCAGTGGCGCAGTCATGGCTCACTGCAGCCTCAACCTCCTGGGCTTAAGCGATCCTCCCACCTCACCCTCCCAAGCAGCTGGGACTACAGGCGCATGCCAATGAGCTAAGTTTTGTATTTTTTGTAGAGATGAGGTTTCCCATGTTGCCCAGACTGGTCTCTAACAAATAAATTAAACAAATTCCTGACACAAGATGGAGAATCTTTGATTCTTTTACATAGTATCACCAGGCGATCTCTAGTGATGGGCAGTGTGCCTGCCTACTTCTCGGACCTGCTTTTGTTTTGGGGTTGGTGGGGATTAATACCAGAGTAAGAGTTTCTCAGATCTTCTCCCCAAAACCCAGGCCCCTTCTTTTCCCACTCTTGCTCTAACCATGTCAAATGTGTTAATATTTCAACTCACACTTTTGGTGTTGACCTTCCCTTGAAACCAGTATTCTAATCTTTTTTGTTCTTCCTTCCCTCCACACAGGATGAGAAGAGACGTAGAGTTACATCCAGAGAACGGTAAGAATAGTTACTATACCTTTCTTTTTGTTCTACGAGTTGTGTAATCTTGATCACAAAACTTTTTCAGAAAGTTTAAGGCCGGGCACGGTGACTCATGCCTGTAATCTCAGCACTTTGGGAGGCCAAGATGGGCGAATCACTTGAGGTCAGGAGTTCAAGACCAGCCTGACCAACATGGCGAAACCCCGTCTCTACTAAAAATTCAAAACTTAGCTGGGCGTGGTGGAATGTGCCTTTAATCCCAGCTACTCAGGAGGCTGAGTCAGAAGGATTGCTTGAACCCAGGAGGTAGAGGCTGCAGTGATCTGAGATCATTCCACTGCACTCCAGCCTGAGTGACAGAGCAAGACTCCATCTCAAAAAAAAAAAAAAAAGTTTAAAAAGAAGAACTTTATCGTGTGTTTCCATGGCAACCATATCGTTATGAAGTATCTGAATTTGGGGTCAGATCATTAGCGTTTAGATTCAAGTAGAATTCTCCTGTTTTCTTGGAAGGAATGAATCGAGGGCAGCTGGCATTCGAACCAGGTGTAAAAGTCATATCAAATACTAAATGTTAAATGAGTATGTGTCTGTCAGGGCTCCTGAGATAATGAAGATTGCTTTTGGGGGAAAGAGGAGCTTTATGAAAACTGCTTCTTTGGGGAAGCTCCTGGCACTCACACTTGGGGTCTGTGTTATTTTGCTTGACAGAGTTGCTAGACCGCTTCCTGCAGAAGAACCTGAAAGAGCAAAATCAGGAACGCGCACTGAAAAGGAAGAAGAAAGAGATGAAAAAGTAAAGCTCTATCACCTCTAAGTTTGTTAATTCTCCCTTAATCCTATATGGTCCCAATTTCCTTCCAGGACGTGGGGACAGGGGGTGGGGAACGTGGAAGAACAAGATGGGTTTTGCTAGTGATCGAAATGCCTTTGACTTTGGCTAAACACCTTTCAAACTTGTTTTCTCGTGGTCTCTACATGAAAGGTGGGTTATGAGATTGTGATAGTGAGGACCCTTGCTACTTATTTGTGATATTTTATTTTATTTTATTTATTTATTTATTTTTGAGACAGTCTCCCACTCTGTCACCCAGGCTGGAATGAGTACAGAGGTGCGATCTCGGCTCGTTGCAACCTCTGCCTCCCAGGTTCAAGTGATTCTCATGTCCCAGCCTCTTGAGTCACTGGGACTACAGGCGCCCGCCGCCATACTCGGCTAATTTTAGTGGAGATGGGGTTTCACTGTGTTGGCCAGGCTGATCTTGAACTCCTGACCTCGAGTGATCCACCTGCCTCAGCCACCAAAGTGCTAGGATTACAGGCATGAGCCACCACACCGGCCAACCTATGCCACTTAATCAACTAGTCACAGAGCTTCAGTTTGTCACCTCGCCTTCTTGCTTCTCTGGCTGATGAGATCTTTGTGAAGATCTAATTTTCAGACGTACGAGGTGCTAAAACTTTTTTTTTTTTTTTTTTTGAGATGGAGTCTTGCTCTGTTGCCCAGGCTGGAATGCAGTGGTGTGATCTTGTCTCACCGCAACCTCTGCCTCCCGGGTTCTTGTGCCTCAGCCTCCTGAGTAGCTGGGATTACAGGTGCCTGCCACCACAGCCAGATAATTTTGTATTTTTAGTAAAGATGGGGTTTCTCCATGTTGATCAGGCTGGTCTTGAACTCCCAATCTCAGGTGATCCACCTGCCTTGGCCTCCCAAAGTGCTGGGATTATAGGCGTGAGCCACCACACCCGGCCTAAAATACTTTTCAAACTTATTTTTTTGTAGTTCTCTACATGGAAGGTGGGTTATGAGGTTGTCATAGCGAGGATCTTTGCTACTTATTTGTGGTATTTATTTAATTTAATTTAATTTTTTTTTTTTGAGACAGTCTCCCGCTCTATCACCCAGGCTGGAGTGCAGAGGTGCGATCTTGGCTCATTGCAACCTCCGCCTCCCAGGTTCAAGTAATTCTCATGTCCCAGCCTCCCAACTAGCTGGGGCTACAGGCGCCTGCCACCACACCTGGCTAATTTTTGTGTTTTTATTTATTTATTTATTTATTTATTTATTTATTTATTTATTTGAGACGGAGTCTCGCTCTGTCGCCCAGGCTGAAGTGCAGTGGCTTGATCTCCGCTCACTGCAAGCTCCACCTCCTGGGTTCACACCATTCTCCTGCCTCAGCCTCCCGAGTAGCTGGGACCACAGGCGCCTGCCACCATGCCCGGCTAATTTTTTGTATTTTTAGTAGAGAAGGGGTTTCACCACGTTAGCCAGGATGGTCTTGATCTCCTGACCTCGTGATCCTCCCATCTCGGCCTCCCAAAGTGCTGGGATTACAGGCGTGAACCACCGCGCCTAGCCAATTTTTGTGTTTTTAGTAGAGACGGGGTTTCACCATGTTGGCCAGGCTGGTCTCAAACTGCTGACCTCGAACGGTCCACCTGCCTCAGCCATCAAAGTGCTGGGATTACAGGCACGAGCCACCACACCGGCCAACCTATGCTACTTAAATCAACTAGTCAGTTTCAGTCTGTCACCTCAGCCACCTTCTCTGGCTGACGAGATCTTGGTGAAGATCTAATTTTCAGATGTAGGAGGTGCTAAAATTCTTTAGCATCATCCAGACATAAAGTTGTATTCTCCTCTCTGAAGTCAGACCAGCTCTTTCCCCAGTCCCTCATCTTCTTTGTAAAATCTGAGTCTAAGGTTCTATGCAATACAGATGCTGGGTCCTGTTTTTTTTTCTGTTTGTTTTGTTTTTTAATAAGATGACTGAGGGCCGGGTGTGGTGGCTCATGCCTGTAATTCTAGCATTTTGGGAGGCCGAGGTGGGTGGATCGCTTGAGCTCAGGAGTTCAGGGCCAGCCTGGGCAATGTAGTGAGACCCCGTCTCTGCAAAAAATACAAAAATCAGCTGGATGTGGTGGAGCTTACAACAGGCAGTGTGCCTGTAGTTCCAGCTTCTCAGGAGGCTGAGGCAGGAAGATCACTTGAGCTCAGGAGGCTGAGGATACAGTGAGCCATGATTGTCCCACTGCAATCCAGCCTGGATGATAAAGTGAGACTGGTCTTAAAACAAACAAACAAACAAACAAAACAAACAAACAAAAAAAAACCAAGATGACTAGAAGTTTCTTACCAACTTAGGTAGGTGACGAGTGCCTTACTTGGGAGCTTAGTAAAGGATGGCTGTCCATTGGGGAATCAACTAAAATGTACAGTAATTTTTTTTGTTTTTTGAGACGGAGTTTTGTTCTACTTGCCCAGGCTGCAGTGCAGTGGTGTGATCTCGGCTCACTGCAACCTCTGTCTCCTGCGTTCAAACAAATTCTCCTGCCTTAGCCTCCCGAGTAGCTGGGATTACAGGCTTCCGCTACCACGCCCAGCTAATTAACTTTTTGTACTTTTAGTAGAGACAGGGGTTCACCATGTTGGCTAGGCTGGTCTCGAACTCCTGACCCCAGGTGATCCACCCGCCTCGGCCTCCCAAAGTGCTGGGATTACAGGCGTGAGCCACTGCATCCGGCCGCTGTACAATAATTTTTGAACCATTCAGTACTTGAGGTTGGTCTTTCTTGCTTTTTTTCTTTTTTTTTAATTGAGATGGAATTTTGCTCTTTCGCTCAGGCTGGAGTGAAGTGGCGCAATTTTAGCTCACTACAACCTCCACCCCCTGGGTTCCAGCGATTCTCCTGCCTCAGCCTCTCCAGTAGCTGGGATTATAGGCGCCCGCCACCCCGTCCGCCTAATTTTTGTATTTTTAGTAGAGACAGGGTTTTGCCGTGTTGGCCAGGTTGGTCTGGAACTCCTGACCTCAGGTGATCCACCCACCTCAGCCTCCCAAAGTCCAGGATTACAGGGGTGAAACACCACGCCCGGCCGAGGCTGGTCTTTCATTGATCACCTTTCCTACCCTGATCCTAGTTAAATTAGACAGCAGTTGCAGTCAGTGCATACCTCGAATTTGTTTCAGAACAAGCAGTCCTAACGGGCTAGTTCAACCACCACCTTCCAAAGAAGGAACCTGGGGCAAGATCGAAATCCCTCACCTGTAAGCATACTCTCAGGATTTCTTCTTGTAGTAGGAAGATTTGCTAAGCGTTTTTTTTATTTTTATTTGAGACGGAGTCTCACTCTGTCGCCCAGGCTGGAGTGCAGTGGTGCGATCTCCGCTCACTTCAAGCTCCGCTTCCCAGGTTCACGCCATTCTCCTGCCTCAGCCTCCCGAGTAACTGGGACTACAGGCACCTGCTACCACGCCAGGCTAATTTTTTTTTGTATTTTTAGTAGAGACGGGGTTATTTATTTATTTACTTATTTATTTTTTGAGACGGAATCTCGCTCTTGTCGCCCAGGCTGGAGTGCAGTGGCACGATCTCGGTTCACTGCAAGCTCTGCCTCCCAAGTTCACGCCATTCTCCTGCCTCCACCTCCCCAGTAGCTGGGACTGCAGGCGCCCGCCAACACGCCCGGCTAATTTTTTTTTTTTTTTTTTTTTGTATTTTTAGTAGAGACGGGGTTTCACTGTGTTAGCCAGGATGGTCTCGATCTCCTGACCTCGTGATCTGCCCATCTCGGCCTCCCAAAGTGCTGGGATTACAGTAGTGAGCCACTGTGCCCAGCTGCAAAGTGTTTCTTAATATTCCTGACCTTTGCGATCTCTTCACAGACTACCACATGTGGAGTTTCTGAGGGTTGGATTTGACTTGCCTGATTCTCTGGCAAGATGTGTCTGGTTCTTTAAATGCAGCCTCAGGCTGGGCATGGTGGCTCACGCCTGTAATGCCAGCACTTTGGGAGACCAAGGCAGACGGATCACTTGAATTCAAGACCAGTCTGGCCAACGTGATGAAACCCTGTCTCTACTAAAAATACAAAAATTAGCTGGTCATGGTGGTGTGTGCCTGTAAACTCAGCTACTTGGGAGGCTGAAGCAGGAGAATTGTTTGAACCTGGGAGTTGGAGGTTACAGTGAGCCAAGAGTACACCACTGCACTCCAGCCTGGGTAACAGAGTGAGACTCCGTCTCATAAATAAATAAATGAATAAATGCAGTCTCAGAGGATGTGTTGTTGTGTCTCAGTTGGAGCTACTTTTCAGATTGGGCCATCCTATTTCATTCCTTTAATATCGGAAGTAGAGATTTATAATAAAGTTACTTTCTGTGAGGCTATCAACACTTAACTGATGACAAGTAGTAGAGGAATTTTGAAGTAAAAATACTGAAACTGCAGTGTTGTAGTATCTCCTTTCTAAGAGTTTCATTTCCTGTCTACTTACCCCACTGAAGAAGAAAAGAAAATTGCTGTCTTGAACACCTGGCACAAGTGATCCTCTCACCTCAGCCTTCCAAAGTTCTGAGATTACAGGCATGAGCTACTGTGCCCACTGGTAGACAGTCTTTACTCCCACCAGTGGACTCTAGAATCAGTTCAGGTGTTTTATTTCCATAGGACACTTTAATAGAAAGATCCAAACCAAATGGAAAAAATTAACTTGTCTTTTTTCCCTGCAACTTAGGAAGAAAAGAGACTCCGAAGTCAAACCAAAGAACCGTAAGTGCAGCGAACCTGCCTTTGTGCTTTGTTGTGAAACTGAATTGCTAACATAAGTATCTTGGTAAAATAACGGGTTGGTGTGGAACAGTGGGCACTAATCATATGTCTCTTATGTGGGCAAGTTCTGCTTGTGAAAGGTGAGACCACCCTGAAGTGAAGGCTGAAGTTAACTTTTTTAACTTTAATTTAATTTAATTTAATTTTGAGACGGAGTCTTGCTGTGTCACCCAGGCTGGAGTACAGTGGTGCAATCCTGGCTCACTGCAACCCCCACCTCCCGGGCTCAAGCAATTCTCCTGTCTCAGCCTCCCGAGTAGCTGGGAGTATGGGCCTGTACCACCATGCCCAACTAATTTTCGTATTTTTAGTAGAGACAGGGTTTCACCATATTGGTCAGGCTGGTCTTGAACTCCTGACCTCCGTGACCCACCTGCCTCGCCTCCCAAAGTGCTGGGATTACGGGGTGAAGTTAGCTTCGATTTCTCCTCCCAACCCCAGGGCCCTTCTCAGGGTTGGTCACACAGCTGTGTGTCATGTGGTAGTGAAAGGCCATCAGGTGAGCAGCTGTGTCACTTACCTTTCACTGTGAAAATGCTGTGTGACAAATGGCTCCAAGGCCAGAGGCCTAGAACAGTGAGCATTTTTCAAGCTCACTTGTCTACAGCTTGGTGGCTGTCGGCTGATCTTGAGGTGGCTTAGTGGGGATGGCTGGGCTGACCCAGCTCTGCCTCCGCAATTTGGCCAGGCTGGGTACACGCTTGTGGCTGTGCCAGACCACAAGGGCAGAAATGAAAAGTAGCACTTTTTCAAACCTCTGTTGAAAAAAGTTGGGCCAGGTGCAGTAGCTCGCGCCTATAATCTCAGCACTTTGAGAGGCTGAGGCGGGTGGATCACTTGAGGTCAGGAGTTCAAGATCAGCCTGGCCAACATGGTGAAACCCCGTCTCTAATAAAAATACAAAAAATTAGCTGGGTGTGGTGGTGCATGCCTGTGGTCCCAGCTACTTGGGAGACTGAGGCAGGAGAATCACTTGAACCCGGGAGGCGGTGGTTGCAGTGAGCTGAGATCACATCACTGCACTCCAGGGTAGGTGATAGAGCGAGACTCTGCCTCAAGAAAAAAAAAAAGGAAAAAAGAAAAAGAAAACAATTAGCTGAAGCAAATTTTGAGACTGAGCCTGAATCCAGAGGTGGGCAGAATACCCCACCTGAGCGGCAGGGCCCTGGCAGAGTGGGAGGTGAAGACTCGGACCCCTGTGTGCAGTCAGCTGTCCACGGTCACTGACTGACGCTGATCGCACATCAGCCCAGCTCTCAACCTAGGCAGGCCAGACATGGGTCTTCCTCCACCGCAGGCTGGATTCCCATCAGGCCACGGAAATCATGACATCCCTTTGTCTGCTTTTTGTATTAAACCACTGGCATCTCTGACCAACATTCAGATGGGGTATTGATGGTGTTCCTGAAGACCTTGAGTCCTGGAGTAGTAAATGCCCTCTGGGCTTCCTGCAGTGAAGACAGGAGAGGCAGCCTGTCCTCTGAACCTGGGGAGGAGCTTGTGTCAGCCCTTAGGAGCTGTTGGCCCCGGTGCAGGGCCCCCCCCGAGCTGACCAGCCTGTGTGTGTGTTGTCTTCTGTGACAGAACACCCAAACAGAAACTGAAGGAGGAGCCGGACAGAGAAGCCAGGGCAGGCGTGCAGGCTGACGAGGACGAAGATGGAGACGAGAAAGTAAAGGCGGGTTATTTGTTTCTGAACTCCCCCTCATTCTTCTGCTCCTGTTTGCTTGGGCGGGAGTGCGCAGGGTGGGGCTCTGGGTTCAAGTCCAGCCCCATCCACCCAGGCTCCATGGGGCCATCCAGACTCTGGGAAGGTCACCTTTTCCTCCTTTTGGGGGCCGGGATTTGTGGCTGGATGCCTGTGCTGGATGCCTAGTGAACACTCAGTTGTCCTCTGTCTTTCACACTAGAGAGGGTCTGTGTGAGCCTGGGCTGAGATGTGCATGAAGCATCCTCTCCTGAGGCCTCACTGCTGAGAAGCCTTGACACACAGTCAGCTCTGACGCACATGTCAGCCACACCTTTGATTCTTTCCCAGCCTCCTACGTTCTGAGTCTAGCTCTCCCCCTGCCAGCCTCCCCAGTCTAGTTTAGCCAAGTGCATGCGTTTAAACCCTAAAGCATCATGTGGAACACTGCTGGGCCTCTGTCAAAGTACAGGATGGCCAGGTTGCCTGCAGGCCCTCCTGCATGAACTCTAGGGAAGGGAGCTAGGTCATCGGTGGGGGGCGGCGGGTCCCTATCTAAGAGATGCCGAAGACCCCAAGAGGGTCTCTGGGTTTCTGCCTGTTACAATCTAGAGAGTGGAGCCCAAGGTCACGGGCTTGCTGGGTGACAAGCACCCTCACTTCTGACCCGGTCGCCAGTGGGCTTCCATCCCCACCCCATAGCAGGGGAGCCTTTGGTATTGCCTCCAGCCTCCCATCCCTCACCTCTTCTGTCCAAATGTTGGTCACCTTACTGTCAGCACTCCTTCAGACTGGAGTAGTCACATTACTCCCTGCCCTCTATTGGAAACTGGCAGGGGCCTGAGCTCACACTGCCAGCACTTTTGCCTCATGGTAGAAAGGGATGTGAGGGCTGGGCATGGTGGCTCACTACTGTAATCCCAGCACTTTGGGAGGCTGAGGTGGGTGGATCACTTGAGGTCAGGAGTCTGAGACCAGCCAGGCCAACATGGTGAAATCCGGTGTCACCTAAAAATATAAAAATTAGCCGGGCATGGTGGCATGTGCCTCTAATCCCAGCTACTTGGGAGGCTGAGGTAGGAGAATCACTTGAACCCAGGAGGCAGAGGTTGCAGTGAGCCAAGATTATGCCGCTGCACTCCAGCCTGGGCAACAGAGCGAGACTCTGTCTCAAAAAAATAATATGGTAATAATAATAAAAGCAGTGCCCAGAGAACAAGGATTGTTGGCTGTTCCACCCCAGGGGGCCCCTTGCACAGGAGGTGCCATCTCTGCCTCCCAAAGCTCTAAGAGCCACTGTCCCCCATCCCAAGAGACAGGGTCTTGCTTTGTCACCCAGGCTGGAATGCAGTGGTGCAATCACGGTTCACTGTAGCCTCGACCTCCCAGGCTCAGGTGATCTTCCCGCCTCAGCCTCCCAAGTAGCTGGGACTATAGGCAGGCACCACCATGTCCAGCTAATTTTTTTTTTTAATTTTTTGTAGAGATAGGGTTTTGCCATGTTGCCCAGGCTGGTCTCAGTCAAACTCCTAGACTCGAGTTATCCACCTATCTCAGTCCCCCAAAGTGGCGGAGTGGTAGGATTACAGGCATGAACCGTTGCATTCAGTCTGTTTGGTTTGTTCTTTTTTTTTTTTTTTTTTTTTTTTTTTTTTTTTTTTTTTTTTTTAAGATAGTCTCTCTCTGTCATGCAATGGTGTGATCTCGAGTCACTGCAACCTCCACCTCCCAGGTTCAAGTGATTCTCCTGTCTCAGCCTCCTGAGTAGCTGGGATTACAGGCGTGTGCTACTATGCCTAGCTAATTTTTATATTTTTAGTAGAGACAGGGATTCACCATGTTGGCCAGGCTGGTCTCTAACTCCTGATCTCAAACAATCCACCTGCCTCAGCCTCCCAAGGTGCTGGGATTATGTGTGTGAGGCACCACGCCCGGCGTGTTTGTTTGTTTGTTTGTTTGTTTGTTTTTGAGACAGGATCTTGCTCTGTTTCCCAGGCTAGAGTGCAGGAGTGCAGTGGTGCTATCATAGCTCACTGCAGTCTCCTGGGTTCAAGTGATCCTCCCACCTCAGCCTCCCAAGTAGCTGGCACTACAGGCATGCACCACCATGGATGTCTACTTTTTAAACTTATTTTTTGTAAGCCAGGCGCGGTGTCTCACGCCTATAATCCCAGCATTTTGGGACACTGAGGTGGGCGGATCACCTGAAGTCAGGAGTTTGAAATCAGCCTGACCAACATGGTGAAACCCCAGCTCTACTAAAAATACAGAATTAGCTGGGTGTGGTGGCGAATGCCTGTAATCCCAGCTACTAGAGAGGCCGAGGCAGGAGAATCGTTTGAACCTGAGAGGCAGAGGTGAGCCAAGATCATACCATTGCACTCCAGCCTGGGCAACAAGAGTGAATCAATCTCTCTCTCTCTCTCCATATATATGTATATATTAACCATATATATATGCTGCTTTTTGTATTAAACCACTGGCATCTCTGACCAACATTCAGATGGGGTATTGATGGTGTTCCTGAAGACCTTGAGTCCTGGAGTAGTAAATGCCCTCTGGGCTTCCTGCAGTGAAGACAGGAGAGGCAGCCTGTCCTCTGAACCTGGGGAGGAGCTTGTGTCAGCCCTTAGGAGCTGTTGGCCCCGGTGCAGGGCCCCCCGAGCTGACCAGCCTGTGTCATATATATATATAGTATATTTTGCAGAGATGGGGTCTCAGCATGTTGCCCAGGCTGGCCTCGAACTCCTGGCATCAAGCAATCCTCCTGCCTTAGCTTCCCAAAGTGCTGGGTTTACAGGCACATGCCACTGCACACAGCCTGTAAATAAAGTTTTATTGGAACAGAGCCACACTTTCTCATTTACATTTTGCCTGTGGGTGCTTTTGTGCTACCATAGCAGAGATGATCATCCTGACACAGACCACGTGGTCAGCAAAGCTGAAAATACTGATCCTCTGGCTCTTACAAAAACAGTTTGCCAAGCCCTGGTCTAGGAGGTTCTTTAGTGCCCTCTTGTTAGTTTCAGGTGGGGAATTAAGTGAGGGAAAGTGAAGCCTCGTGTCTACCCGGTAGATCTGCCCAGGCCTGCCTGTCTTCCAGCTCCACAGTGCTGGGATCCCTAACCTGTAACTTCAGTGTTTGCATTTTATCTCACTCTGGCTCAGAAACTAATTTTTTCCCTTCTTTATCTCTCTACCTCCCCCTTATTTTTCTGTCAGGATGAGAAGAAGCACAGAAGTCAACCCAAAGATCTGTAAGTGTTTAAAATGCTTGTGCTTTTGTGTCATCTGGATCAGTAGAAAGCCTGTTCTAGGCCAGGTGTGGTGGCTTGCACCTGTAATCCCAGCACTTTGGGAGGCTGAGGTGGGTGAATCACCTGAGGTCAGGAGTTCGAGACCAGCCTAGCCTGGCCAACATGGTGGAACCCTGTCTGTACTAAAAATACAAAAATTAGCTGGGTGTGGTGGCGGGTGCCTATAATCCCAGCTACTCGGAAGGCTGAGGCAGAACTGCTAGAAGCCAGGAGGTGGAGGTTGCAGTGAGCCAAGATTGCGCCACTGCACTCCAGCCTGGACAAGAGTGAAACTCTGTCTCAAAAAAAAAAAAAAAAAAAAGCCTGTTCTAGAAACCTGTGGTGATGTAGATGTGTGGGGACCCTGGGGCCTCTGAAGGCCTCGTCTCGGGATGACAAGCTGGCAGTGTGCCTATAGAGCTCCCATGGGTATCTTGCTTTCCCATGGGGAGGCATTAGTTTGTCACTTTCCGTGCGAGTTGGCGATGTGGTTAGTGTTTCTAAGCTGCTACTTGCTGTGTATCTGTTCACCCTGCAGAGCTGCCAAACGGAGGCCCGAAGAAAAAGAACCTGAAAAAGTAAATCCACAGATTTCTGATGAAAAAGACGAGGATGAAAAGGTAAAGGTCTCACTTTTCTTTCTTTCTTTTTTTTTTTTTTTTTTTTCCCCAAGACGGGGTTTCGCCATGTTGCCCAGGCTGGTCTTAGGAAAAAGAAGACTGGGCGTGGTGGCGCACGCCTGTAATCCCAGCACTTTGAGAGGCTGAAGCGGGTGAATCACATGAGGTCAGGAGTTCAAGACCAGCCTGACCAATATGGTGAAACCCTGTCTCTACTAAAAATACAAAAATTATCTGGGCATGGTGGTGCACGCCCGTAGTCCCAGCTACTCGAGAGGCTGAGATAGGAGAATCGCTTGAGCCTGGGAGGTGGAGGTTGCAGTGAGCCGAGATCGCACTCCAGGCTGGGGACACAGCAAAATTAGCTGGGCGTGGTGGCATATGCCTGTAGTCCCAGCTGCTTGGAAGCCTGAGGCATGAGAATTGCTTGAACCCAGGAGGCGGAGATTGCTGTGAGCTGAGATCGTGCCACTGTACTCCTGCCTGGACAACAGAGCAAGACTCTGTCTCAAAAAAAAAAAAAAATGCTGGGCACAGCGGCTCACGCCTGTCTTTTCAGCACTTTGGGAGGCCAAGGCAGGCGCATCACCTGAGGTCAGGAGTTTGAAACCAGCCTGGACAACATGGTGAAACCCTGTCTCTACTAAAAATACAAAAATTAGCCAGTTGTGGTGATAGGGGCCTGTAATCCCAGCTGCTTGGGAAGCTGAGGCAGGAGAGTCACTTGAACCCAGGAGGTAGAGGTTGCAGTGAGCCGAGATCACACCATTGCACTCCAGGCTGGGGACACAGCAAGACTCTGTCTCAAAACCAACAACAAAAAATACAAGGACATTGGTCTTATTGGATGGGGCCCCACCTTTATTACCTCATTTAACCATAATTGTCTCTTAAAGACTCTACATCCAAATACAGTCACATAGCAGGTTAGTCTTAACATATGAATTTTGCAGGGGACATGACTCGGTCTGTATACCCCCTCATCAATTGTTTGCTTACCTTTACATTTTAGTATTTATTTTTGAGACAGGGTCTCACTCTTGTCGAGGCTGGAGTGCAGTGGTACAGTCATAGCTACCATAGCCGCAAACTCCTGGGCTGAAGCAATCCTCCCACCTGGGCCTTCAAGGTAGCTGGGACTACAGGCAGATGGCACTACACCCAGTTAACTTTCTATTTTTGTAGAGACAGGGTTTTACTGTGTTGCCCAGGCTGGTCTTGAGCTCCTGTGCTCAAGCAGTCCTCCCACCTGGGCTTCTTCAAGTGCTGGAATTACAGGCATGGGCCACTGTGCCTGGCCAGTTATTTATTTATTTATTTATTTATTTATTTATTTATTTATTTACTTATGTATTTGTTTTTTGAGACAGAGTCTCGCTCTGCCGCCAGGCTGGAGTACAGTGGTGCGACATCGGCTCACTGCAACCTCTGTCTCCCTGGTTCAAGCTATTCTCCTGCCTCAGCCTCCTGAGTAGCTGGGACTACAGGCATGCGCCACCGCGCCCAACTAATTTTTGTATTTTTAGTAGAGACAGGGTTTCACCATCTTGGCGAGGATGGTCTCAATCTCTTGATCTCGTGATCCATCCGCCTCGGTCTCCCAAAGTGCTGGGATTACAGGCGTGAGCCATCGCGCCCGGCCCTGTGCCTGGCCAATTATTTGTTTACCTTGAGGTGTCCACTTACACAGGAAAGCTAAGGTTTTAAAAAATTGGCTTTTCCTCTAAATCTTTTCAGGAAGTCTTTGGTTATGAGATTTATTTATTCATTTATTTTGAGATGGAGTCTCACTCACTCTGTCGCCCAGGCTGGAATGCAGTGGCATGATCTCTGCTTACTGCAACCTCTACGTCTCGGGTTCAAGCAATTCTTCTGCCTCAGCCTTCTGAGTATCTGAGATTACAAGTGCCCGCCTGGCTAATCTTTGTATTTTTGGTAGAGACGTGATTTCGCCATGTTGGCCAGGCTGGTCTGGAACTCCTGACCTCCAGTCATCTGTGTGCCTTGGCCTCCCAAAGTGCTGGGATTACAGGCATGAGCCACTGTGCTGGGCCTGACTATAAGATTTTGTATTCTATGACTTTAGATGGTAGAGTGAGTCAGAGCTCACCTGCTGGCCCTCTCACTGCCTCCCTCCCCTTCTCTCTGTTTTATGATAATCACTTATACAAAGTTCTTAACACCGAAGCACTATCTGGGTGTAAAACACTCTCTTAGCCTTTAATCCTCTTTTGTTTTCCCTGTGTAGGAGGAGAAGAGACGCAAAACGACCCCCAAAGAACCGTAAGAATTTATTCTTGACATTATCGAAAGCAGATGGTAATGTTAAAATGATGGTTCTAGAACAAAAGGGAAGGGGTTTCAGTAATTGCCAGAGCAACCTTAGGCTCATTTTGGATCGGGTTGGTGAACATAGGACCAAGGTGCGTCAGGCAGGATGCCCCTGCGGTGAAGAGCCACTGTGACCACGCGCCTGGGCCTCACTGCCACAGCCGGTGCCTCCCTGTGCCACAGGCACCTCAGGCAGAAACCTCACAGGGGCGATTTTGATATTTTCTGAAACAATTAAACAAACGATCTTGTGATTTTTTTTTTTCCCCCAGAACGGAGAAAAAAATGGCTCGCGCCAAAACAGTCATGAACTCCAAGGTAAACATCTGCCGGGAATAAAGCCGGTGGCGGCGCTCACGAGGCGGCTGGGAGCTGCTCTCTGAGTGCCATCATCTGTGTTCCTGCTCCCACAGACCCACCCTCCCAAGTGCATTCAGTGCGGGCAGTACCTGGACGACCCTGACCTCAAATATGGGCAGCACCCACCAGACGCGGTACGTACAGCTCTCTTCCCAGCCTTCCTCTGCCTGTCCCTTGTCCCACTGCTCACCAGCCCCGTGTCCTTCAGGTGGATGAGCCACAGATGCTGACAAATGAGAAGCTGTCCATCTTTGATGCCAACGAGTCTGGCTTTGAGAGTTATGAGGCGCTTCCCCAGCACAAACTGACCTGCTTCAGGTAAGTGCACTTTCGTGTGCATGTTTGCTTCGTGGAAGGAGGCACATCCCCAGAGGTGCCTGCGGGCTCACGATTCTGGTGATGTTTTTTAGTGCCTGACCTGCAACATGTCTTAAGCTAACACTTCGTGGATAAGAGCCACCGTGGAGGGCTGGGCGCGGTGGCTCATGCCTGTAATCCTAGCACTTTGGGAGGCCGAGGTGAGCAGATCACTTCAGGTCAGGAGTTCGAGACCAGCCTGGCCAACATGGCGAAACCTACCGAAAATACAAAAAGTAGCCAGGTGTGGTGGTACGCGACTGTAATCCCAACTACTCGAGAGGCTTAGGCAGGAGAATTTCTTGAACTCTGGAGGCGGAGGCTGCAGTGAGCCGAGGTGGTGCCACTGCATTCCAGCCTGGGCGACAGAGCAAGACTCCGTCTCAAAGAGCCACGTGGAAAGCTGATGAAGGGACAATAGAGCTTTGCTGATTTTTGGTTTGGTTTTTGGGTTTTTACACTACACATATTACCCCTCCATTCTGCCCACATCCTGAGGGTCACACGCTCAGATGAAGGCCTACTCTGTGCTAGGTACCAGTGATCTAGGTGTCGTGGATGTAGCTGCTCAGGTCCTGCCTTCACGGAGCCAGAAATGGGTGATACCTGTCGGGTAGTGACAGCCACGACAGATTTTAAAAGCCTGGTGACATGCAGAGAGAATAAGTGGGAGGAGGAAGTTCTGTGAAGACGGGAGAGGTAATGATTTTCAGTAAAGACCTTGATGGCCTGTGAGAGAAGAGGCCGAGGGGATGGCCGGGGTGGGGCACCCTAGGTAGAAGGGGACACCATTACCAGGGCTCGGAGGGGCCTGTGCCAGCTGTGGAAGGTGAATGGTGAGTCTGGTGTGGTGGTTGCTGGGTTGGGGCTGGGCCACACAGGGCCTTGCAGGCCTCAGCACTGACTCTCCTGTCCTCTGAGGGAAGGTGCCTGGCGTCCGGCCCGTACCTTCACCGAGGCTCACGTCAGCTCTTGAGTGGGCAGAGGCCCTGTGCTCTCAGGCATCCCCAGCCCCATTTTGCTCCCTCTCCCTGCGGGTGCAGTTACCCTCCAGGGCTTCACCTTGTTCTTCGTGGGAAATGCCTCAGCTCCAGGAACGGCCCTGCCTCCTTTTAGGCCTGGGTGGTATTTTCCCTCTCTGTGAAGAGGAGGGGGAAGTGCCTTGGGGACCCCTGTTGGAAGCACCCCCAGGCAGCGGTTCCTGTACCCACTGGGAGGGCACCCACACGTTCCCCGTGCTTGGCTGATGGTTGTTCCCCTCCCTCTCCTTCTATGGGATCCTTCTATCTAGATCAAGATGCTGTTGCGTCCACCAGCAACCGCTAGCCCCCCGAGGCCTGGCCCAAAGCAGGGCCACACACCTCTGCCTGCTGGTGTGAGTGAGGTGTGCTGTGGTGGGCAGAGCTGGCAACCATGCCCGAGGGCCTCACTCTGGCCTTCACCAGGGACAAAGGCTTGGGGGAGCCTGGGGCTGGGGCTGCCAGAGTCCTGAGTGTCTCAGCTTCCTCCCTAAGTTGAGATCTATCATAGATTCGTTCCTGGAGGGTGGATGGTGGCCTGGAGGACACTTTCCAGAAGTCACATGCCTTCTGTCCACTGGAGCTGGACTGCCTGAGTTATTTAGGGGCTCTCCATACTGCTGTACTTGGCTTGAAACTGGCGATAGAAGCCAGTCATGGGTGGGGTCTGGCCTACCAACCAGTGGGTCCTGCCCCTGCCTGGGGCTTAGAGCTTCTCTCCCATGTCTCCCCTATGGAGAGAGCCTCCAGCCCACCTGTGCAGCGGGGAGCGGGACCCCCTCTTCTGTAGGCCCTCCCTTGATCCACGCTGGCTTCATCTCTCTGTCTCTTCTTCTGGGCCTTACATCCTGAGGCAGGGCTGCAACCTATTCTGTCTGCCATGCCTGGTACGCAGTAGGGGAGCTCCGCAGGAGGTATGCAGTGTTTTGTTTGAGCCTTTCTGGCTTCCAAGGCACTAAGCTGGGTGAGTGTGGTGGAGGGTGCTCTCCAGAGACCTGTGCAGACTTCATATGGGGGCTCTGAGGATAGCCCAGCATCTTTGGCCGGGAAAGGGTGGTCCTTGTCTAGATGAGCAGGTTTGTAAGCAGAACACCCAGTTCATGTCTTTTTCCTTGAGTTTGACATCTTGCCTCTCTGTCTTCACTAAAGAACGTGCTCCCGAATGTCAAGGGGCATCTGGACAGTGGGGCCGCAGGTGTTTGAGATTTATGCCCAAAAGGAGGCAGAAGTCCTTCCTTCCCACATCCCTTTTCACACTGTTCTATAACCTGCTTTATTTTCTAAATTGAGGTCTAACTCGTATAATATAAAATTAACCATATGAGGTATCTTGAATAGGTGAATTCATAGGTATAGAAAGCAGATTGGTGGTTGCCGGGGGCTGGGGGCTGAGGGCCGGTTGGGAGGAGACTGGAGAGTGACTGCTACTTGATGGGAATGAGGCTTTATTAACATTTGAGTGACAGAAATGTTCTGCAGCTGAATAGAGCTAGTGGCTGCACTGCATAGTAGAAGGTGTTCTAGAAACCGGTATTTCCCGCACTGTAAGTCTGACTGATCTTTTGGTGTTGCTGTTGCAGACACACATACACTTGATGCTTAGGTGGGAGAATAAGGTAGAAACTCTGGGTGATAGAACGCTGTCTTAATCCAGTGTTCCCGCAACCAAAAAATGAGTGTCGGGGCCAGGCATGGTGGTTCAGCCTGTAATCCCAGCACTTTGGGAGGCTGAGGTGGGTAGATCACTGGAGATAAAGAGTTTGAGACCAGCCTGCTACACATAGTGAAACCCCGTCCCTACTAAAAATACAACAATTAGCCGGGCATGGTGGTTCAGGCCTGTAATCCCAGCTACTCGGGAGGCTGAGGCAGGAGAATTACTTGAACCCGGGAGGTGGAGGCTGCAGTGAGCCAAGATTATGCCATCGCGCTCCAGCCTGAGGGATAGAGCAAGACTCTGTCTCAAAAACAAACAAAAAAAGAGTGTCAGACTTGTACATTCTCTCATTGCCTCGTGCCTGATCTGAAGTCTGCACGAAGACCCGCCTTCACGGCTTAGCTGGTAAGCATGTGCTTTGTTTCCTGTCTAGTGTGTACTGTAAGCACGGTCACCTGTGTCCCATCGACACCGGCCTCATCGAGAAGAATATCGAACTCTTCTTTTCTGGTTCAGCAAAACCAATCTATGATGATGACCCATCTCTTGAAGGTAAGGAATAGTCCGGGATTATGTTTGGGGCACACTTTAAAAACAGCCAGGCAGGGTGGCTCACATCTGTAATCCTAGCACTTTGGGGGTCTGAGGCCAGAGGATCACTTGAGCCCGGGAGTTTGAGACGAGCCTGGACAACATAGCAAGAGCCTGCCTCTATTAAAAAAAAATATATAGCATATATATATAGTATACATATATACTTATATATATGTATAAATAAAAAACATACTTATGAAGCAATAGTCAGCTGGAGTTGCTGCTGCCTCTTAAAGTTAGGGTGTGAGACTTTGTGCCAGGAGCAGCTGTAGGCCAAGTCATTGTGATGACTGAGGAGCACCCGACCTGGCTGATGGGATGTCTGCTGAGTGGGCGCTTAGAGCGCCTCCTGGGTTTGGGATGTGAGTCAGAGCCTTTAGTCCATTTCCTTTTTCTGCTCTAGGTGGTGTTAATGGCAAAAATCTTGGCCCCATAAATGAATGGTGGATCACTGGCTTTGATGGAGGTGAAAAGGCCCTCATCGGCTTCAGCACCTGTAAGTGTGTGGCCCATCATAGGCTGGCCGGGGTCTGAAAGGGGCCTTCATGTTCTCCTTCCTGGGGGCTGACGGGGCTCTGGTGGGAATTCTCAGCAGGCTTGCAGAAGGCCATGTGACTGGGAACCTTAGCAGGTTCAGTTGGGGTAGCCTCTTGTGTTAGTTATGACTGGCTCTGGAACTGACTCTCCAGTTGTAAGAGCAGGTCTTGGCCGGATATGGTGGCTCACACCTGTAATCCCAGCACTTTGGGAGGCCGAGTTGGGGGGATCATTTGAGGCCAGGAATTCGAGACCAGCCTAGCCTGGCCAACATGGTGAAACCCCCTCTCTACCAAAAATACAAAAATTAGCCACGCATGGTGGTGCATACCTGTAATCCCAGCTACTTGGGAGGCTATGGCAGGAGAATCACGTGAACCCAGCAGACAGAGGTTGCAGTGAGCCGAGATCACGCCACTGCCCTCCAGCCTGGGTGACGGAGCAAGACTCTGTCCTCCCCTGAAAAAAAAAAAAGAGCAGGTCTTATTCTTGCAACCCAAACCCAGACTGAATTCCAAACACCAGAGATGAGCTCAATGAAGGCCTACTCAGCTAGTCTTCGCTCTCTGGCTGGCTCAGACAGGCTTCTTCAGAACAAGCCAGCTATGATGTGTTGTGCCCTATGTTTCTGACATTTGGGTACGGGATGACTTTTAGACTGTTGGGTGAGTTTGGTAGACTCCTCCATGCCCTGTGGCCACTGTAGGCGCCATCAGATTCCAGCCCCTTTTCCACACCTCCTCTGTTCACCCCAGCATTTGCCGAATACATTCTGATGGATCCCAGTCCCGAGTATGCGCCCATATTTGGGCTGATGCAGGAGAAGATCTACATCAGCAAGATTGTGGTGGAGTTCCTGCAGAGCAATTCCGACTCGACCTATGAGGACCTGATCAACAAGATCGAGGTAAGAGATCGAGGGTCCTCAGCATCCGGGATTCCCACTGGAAACTTGCCTTCAGAACCAGCAGACACTGTTCTTCAGTTGGATTTAGGCCAGTTTGGCTTAAGCATGAGAGAAACCTGTTCTCTTTCAAGACCACGGTTCCTCCTTCTGGCCTCAACTTGAACCGCTTCACAGAGGACTCCCTCCTGCGACACGCGCAGTTTGTGGTGGAGCAGGTGGAGAGTTATGACGAGGCCGGGGACAGTGATGAGCAGCCCATCTTCCTGACACCCTGCATGCGGGACCTGATCAAGCTGGCTGGGGTCACGCTGGGACAGAGGTAAGGATGCGGCAGGGACCAGAGTGAAGACTGGAGACCGGGGAGGGTAGAGCATGGCCCACATCCTCTGTCCCAGTCCTCTGAGATGCTGGAACCTCTCCCGTAGGCGAGCCCAGGCGAGGCGGCAGACCATCAGGCATTCTACCAGGGAGAAGGACAGGGGACCCACGAAAGCCACCACCACCAAGCTGGTCTACCAGATCTTCGATACTTTCTTCGCAGAGCAAATTGAAAAGGATGACAGAGAAGACAAGGAGAACGCCTTTAAGCGCCGGCGATGTGGCGTCTGTGAGGTAACCTCACCTGTGGGTGCTCCCGCTCCCCTAAGGTGGCCCAGCCTCTGGCCTGATCTGAGGACTGCTCCATCTTTCTCTCTGTGGCTTGAGACTCTGGCTGCTCAAATGTGACCCCTGAGACAGAAATTAGTTAGTGGTCTGGGAGGACCCTGCATACTTCATTGAACGTCAATAGGACAGATGTCCACAGAGGCATGCTTGGGTGCTTTGCTGATAATGCCACTGTCCTTAATTGAAGAGCCTGGCTTCTGGGTGGCTCTGCTGTGCCTGCATCTCACAGTCTGAAGGCCCCTGTTGGACTGCTAAAGGGGTATTCACATCTAAGTGGGCACTTTGTCCAGCTTAGATTTGAGGCCCTCAGGAGGCGTCCCTTTCTGTGAGTTTTTAAAATATATGTTTACTTCACTCAGGAGGAACTAACTTCCTAGTCCTATGACCCAAAGACCAGGACTATTTTGATACCTATTACCTGACTTTCTTTTGGATAAAGACTGGCTTCAGGGCTTTGCTTTTGATCCCCGCTGGCATCTCTTAACAGGAGCCTGCATGTCCTCACCATTGTTATTTTGGTTTTATTTTATTTTTCTTGGTTAACACACGTGTGTCCAATGTTTTATAACTTCTAAAATCTTTTTTTTTTTTTTTTAATTTTTTTGAGACAGTCTCTCTCTGTCACCCAGGCTAGAGTGCAGTGGCACCATCTCAGCTCACCGTAACCTCCGCCTCCCGGGTTCAATCAGTTCTCCCACCTCAGCCTCCCGAGTGGCTGGGATTATAGGCACCCGCCACCATACCCGGCTAATTTTTTTTGTATTTTTAGTAGAGATGGGGTTTCACCATGTTGGCCAGGCTGGTCTTAAACTCCTGACCTTAAGTGATCTACCTACCTCGGCCTCCCAAAGTGCTGGGATTACAGGTGTGAGCCACTGTGCCCAGCCCTAAAATCATTTGTTTTTATTTGTGTAACTGTTACGTGTTGATACTGGTAGATCTAGTTATTTCATTTTAAATATTCTGTAGTATTTTGTTAAATGAATATCCTAACTTACTCCTCAATGATAGGCACCTCTTCAGTATTGTAAATATGTGGCAGCATCCTTGAGCAAAGCTTCTCGCGAGTGTATCTGCTTAGAAGTAGCGTTGCTGGGTTGTGGGTGTGTATTCTTAACTTTGATCTAGAAGATTGCTCTCCAAAATGGTTCTACCAACTTACCATTTGAGCAGTGTGCGTTCTTCTTTCCTCACACCACCTATCTGGCTTCTTAACCCATCTGGAGAATGGGAAGGGAATTTTATTTCTCTCACTTACCATATTTCTAATGAGGTTGAATATTGCTTTTTTTTTTTTTTTTTGTAGAGACAGGGTCCTGCTGTGTTGCCTTGCCTGGTCTCAAACTCCTGGCTTCAAGTGGTCCTCCTGTCTTGGCCTCCCAAACTGCCGGGATTAGAGGCATGAGGCACTGCACCCAGCCAAATAGGCACATTTTTAAAAGTCTTGGTTTTGTTGTTGTTGTTGTTGTTGTTGTTGTTGAGATGGGTCTCGTTCTGTCACCCAGTCTGGAATGCAGTGGCATGATTGTAGCTCACTGCATTCTCAACCTACTGGGCTCAAGTGATCTTCCCACCTTAGCCTCCCAAGTAGCTGGGACCACAGGTGCACGCCACCATGCCCAGCTAATTAAAAAAAAACATTTTGTAGATGGGATTTTGCCATGTTGCCTAGGCTGGTCTTGAATGCCTGAACTCAAGCAGTCCTCCCGCCTTAGCATCCTGAGTTGCCGGGACTGCAGGAATTTGTCACACGCCTGGCTAATTTTAATTTTTTGTAGAGTTGGGGGTCTTAATATGTTGCCCAGGCTGGTCTTGAACTCTTGGACTCAAGTGATCCATCTACCTCTGCTTCAGCCTCCCAATGTACTGGTTCAGGTATGAGCCACCATGCCCAGCCTAAAAGTCTTAATTCACCGTTTGTTTCATTGTTGCTAAGGGCTGTGTGACTCACTTTTTTTTTTTTTTTTTAATTTTTTGAGACCTAAAAGTCTTAATGCATCATTTGTCTCATTGTTAGTAAGGGCTGTGTGATTTGCCCTTTTTTTTTCCTTTTTTTTTTTTTTTTTTTTTTTTTTTTTGAGATGGAGTTTTACTCTTGTCGTCCAGGCTGGAATATGGTGGTGTGATCTTGGCTAACTGTAATCTCCACCTCCCAGGTTCAGGCAATTCTCCTGCCTCAGCCTCCCAAGTAGCTGGGATTACAGGCACACCCTACCATGCCTGGCTAATCTTTGTATTTTTAGTAGAGATGGGGTTTCACCACGTTGGCCAGGCTGGTCTGCAATTCCTGACCTTAAGTGATCTGCCTGCCTCGGCCTTCTGAAATACTGGGATTACAGGCATGAACCACTGTGCCCAGCCCTGATTTGCCTTTTTAATGCCATTTTTTAGGTGTGTCAGCAGCCTGAGTGTGGGAAATGTAAAGCCTGCAAGGACATGGTTAAATTTGGTGGCAGTGGACGGAGCAAGCAGGCTTGCCAAGAGCGGAGGTAGGTCAGGCCGAGTCTTCCTCCTGTGGCAGAGGACTTGCCAGCTGGTGGCAGATGCACTGTGGAGAAGGGCCTGCATGTGTGGGACAGCACCAGGATTCCTTCGTTAGGCATTGTCTCAGGACCTGTCCCTGTTATGAAGAAAACAGCCCCGGTTGGTCTTACTTAGAAAAGGGGCCTTAGGTATAACCAGTGACATTGCAGGTGTCCCAATATGGCCATGAAGGAGGCAGATGACGATGAGGAAGTCGATGATAACATCCCAGAGATGCCGTCACCCAAAAAAATGCACCAGGGGAAGAAGAAGAAACAGAACAAGAATCGCATCTCTTGGGTCGGAGAAGCCGTCAAGGTAACCCTTGGAGCCCCTTGGTCAGCTCACTGCCATGTTCCCAATAAGCAGGTTGCCCTCTAGTATCTCGCCAACCTGACCTCTCAGGCAGCCTGAGCCCCGGCACTAAGAAACCTGTCTGTTTGCCCCTGAGAAGAGCGGGACTGGCCAAGAGACCATGTTCCATGGCTCAGTACCAGCAAGGCATTTTTGTGTGGCCACAAGGCTCAGTTCTCCTAATGTCCCAAAATGGGCATTTGACACAGTTCTAGGGGCATCAGGCAGGTGAGCCCTCATAGCTTGTTTTTCTGTTTTGTTTTGTTTAAGATGGAATCTTGCTCTGTCACCCAGGCTGGAGTGCAGTGGCACGATCTCAGCTCGCTGCAACCTCTGCCTCCCAGGTTCAAGCGATTCTCCTGCCCCACCCTCCTGAATAGCTGAGATTACAGGCGTGCACCACCATGCCAGGCTAACTTTTTTTGTATTTTTAGTAGAGACGGGGTTTCATCATGTTGCCCAGGCCATTCTCGAACTCCGGCCTCAAGTGATCCACCCACCTCAGCCTCCCAAAGTGCTGGGATTACAGGCAGGAGCCACTGTGCCTGGCCCCTCATAGCTTGTTTCCAAGAGAGCTGTCACAGCCCCCTCTGGTGTGGGGTGGGTCTTTTTGGGGCACCAACAGATGGCCTCCCATCCGTTCTGTGGTCATTGGCTTCACTGAAGGTCAGTTCCTTTACCACAGTGTGAGAGAGAGGAGTGAGTATCCTCTGTGTTGCTTCTCTGACGTCCATAAATTAAAGATGCAATCAGTTCACTTAATTATGAGGCTTGCCACCTGCTGGCTGCCTGGGCCGTGGCTGAGCCCCTGCAGGAGGACAGACATGGGTACTGCTGCATGGCATGAGTGCCTCTGCAGGGTAGGGGGCTGGGAGGAGGCTGGGGCCACGAGGCCTTGCAGAGGTGACACCTGGGCTGAGATGGAGAAGGTCAGGTAGGACCTAGCCACACGACCTGGGGGAGAGCTGCACTGAGGTGGCAGTCAGCTTACTTTGTTGGAGAAAAGGAAGGAGGCCCCTGCAGCTGGAGTGGCTTGAGCCAGGGGATGATGGGCAGGACAGGGGTCAGGGTTCAGGCTGTGGCCTTACAGACCATGGTGAGGTATTGTGGGCTGTGCTGTTAAAATCAAATCCTGGGACCCGAGTGGCAGAGCAGAAGTGGGAGGGACATGGATGCCCTTGGCCACAGCATCTGGCCAAGGAAGGTGGATGTTCTTCTTTTTTCTTATTATTGAAGCCCTTGTAGAACAGGATGTTCTCTTTAGCAGCAACTCTTCATTGACTTCTTAATGAAATCGAGTCATGTCTTACTTTAAGTAACAGAGGACCATGCAAGTCAAGGCCAGCAAAGACCCTCAGAATGATCCTCCATGAACTTATGCTCTCATTTTCAGACTGATGGGAAGAAGAGTTACTATAAGAAGGTGTGCATTGATGCGGAAACCCTGGAAGTGGGGGACTGTGTCTCTGTTATTCCAGATGATTCCTCAAAACCGCTGTATCTAGCAAGGTTTGCATCTTTCTTTTTGCTTGACTTCTGCATGCACTTTCTCATCAAGTAGGAGATGCCTGTTTTGCCAAAATAGCACCAGCAGCTTTTTGCCCTAGATGAAAACTGAAAAGGACGAGTGCTCCTGCATAGACTTGGTCACATATCTGCTGGCCAAGTCAGAACTTTCTCCCCATGCCCGTCTTCTGATTCCAGGGTCACGGCGCTGTGGGAGGACAGCAGCAACGGGCAGATGTTTCACGCCCACTGGTTCTGCGCTGGGACAGACACAGTCCTCGGGGCCACGTCGGACCCTCTGGAGCTGTTCTTGGTGGATGAATGTGAGGACATGCAGCTTTCATATATCCACAGCAAAGTGAAAGTCATCTACAAAGCCCCCTCCGAAAACTGGGCCATGGAGGTGAGTGCCTGGTGTCCCTCGTGAGCCCCTGCCTTATCGTGGAGGGTCACTGCTGACGTGCGTTCTGTTTTGTTTTGATTTGTATTTTTTTTTAATTTGGTTTTTTTTTTGTTTTTTTTTTTGTTTTGAGACTGAGTTTCGCTCTTGTTGCCCAGGCTGGAGTGCAATGGCATGATCTCAGCTCACTGCAACCTCCACCTCCTGGGTTCAAGTGATTCTCCTGCCTCAGCCTCCCGAGTAGTTGGGATTACAGGCACCCACCATCACGTCCAGCTAATTTTTTGTATTTTTAGTAGAGACGGGGTTTCACCATGTTGGCCAGGCTGGTCTCGAACTCCTGACCTTAGGTGATCCACCCGCCTCGGCCTCCCATAGTGCTGGGAATACAGGCATGAGCCACTGCGCCTGGCCTGACACGCATTCTTATCTCCCAAGGGAGGCATGGATCCCGAGTCCCTGCTGGAGGGGGACGACGGGAAGACCTACTTCTACCAGCTGTGGTATGATCAAGACTACGCGAGATTCGAGTCCCCTCCAAAAACCCAGCCAACAGAGGACAACAAGTTCAAGTGAGCACTGGGGCTGGACTCGGGGTCAGCAGGCACTTTCAGCCCACATCACTCCCTTTTCCCGTGTGCTTCCGTCTGGTTGGCTTCCGCCAACGGCCCCCCAGTTTGTGTCTCTTGCTCGTCAAAGGCCAGCCTGACTATGAATGATGCTCAAGTGTGTAGATGGCCTGGAGTTGCTTTAAGTGTGTGGATGACCTGGCGTTGTCTTTGTAAGAGGGTTCCCTACCCAGGAACAGGGTTCGTCTTGCCATTTCAAGACTTCCCGTGTGTTCTTCAGTGTGTGCCCAGCTCTTGCATGTTTTTGGCTGTTTCTTAGATATTTTCTCCTGTAAATGAGACCTCTTATTTGATTCTTTTCTTTCCTTTTTTTTTTTCTTTTTTTTTTTTTGAGACGGAGTCTCGCTCTGTTGCCCAGGCTGGAGTGCAGTGGTGCGATCTTGGCTTACTGCAAACTCAGCTTCCTGGGTTCATGCCATTCTCCTGCCTCAGCCTCCTGAGTTGCTGGGACTACAGGCGCCTGCCACCACACCCGGCTAGTTTTTTGTATTTTTAGTAGAGACGAGGTTTCACTGTGTTAGCCAGGATGGTCTCGATCTCCTGACCTTGTGATCTGCCCGCCTTGGCCTCCCAAAGTGCTGGGATTACAGGCGTGAGCCACCACACCTGTCCTCGATTCTTTTGTAACTGGGTGACTGCTTTGAGGGAAGCTTTTATTTTTTATTTTATTTTATTATTATTTTTTTAATTTTTTTTTTTTTTTTTTTTTTGAGACAGAGTTTCGCTTTTGTTGCCCAGGCTGGAGTGCAGTGGCTCAATCTTGGCCCACCGCAACCTCTACTTCCTGGGTTCAAGCGATTCTCCTGCCTCAGCCTCCTGAGTAGCTGGGATTACAAGCATGGGCCACCATGCCCGGCTACTTTTTTTGTATTTTTAGTAGAGATGGGGTTTCTCCATGTTGGTCAGGCTGGTCTCGAACTCCCGACCTCAGGTGATCTACCCGCTTCGGCTTCCCAAAGTGCTGGGATTACAGGTGTGAGCCACCGCGCCCGGCGAGCTTTTATTTTTTAATGTCCAATGCCCCATGCCTTCTTTTTAACCTCCGTACCTCACTTGTTTCAACTAAAAGCAGCAGCCAGCACCCCCAGAGGAGCAGGTGGCAACCAGGGAAACCCAGGAGGCCAAGAGGGCTCCCCGGGGGCATCTGTGCTTCTCCCATAAGTCTCGTGCTAGCTTTGGCTTGATCTCTATTTTCATTTTATTTTTTACTTTTTTGTGATGGAGTTTCACTCTTGTCACCCAGGCTGGAGTGCAGTGGCACGATCTCGGCTCACTGCAACCTCCACCTCCTGGGTTCAAGTGATTCTCCTGCCTCAGCTTCCCAAGTAGCTGGGACTACAGGCGCCTGCCACCATGCCCGGCTAATTTTTGTATTTTTAGTAGAGACAGGGCTTCACCGTGTTGGCCAGGCTGGTCTGGAACTCCTGACCTTGGGTCATCTGCTCCCTTCAGGCTCCTAAAGTGCTGGGATTACAGGCATGAACTACTGCACCCAACCTCATTTACTTATTTATTTATCACCCAACCTCTTTTATTTATTTATTTATTTATTTATTTATTTATCTGAGACAGGGTCTCCCTCTGTCACCCAGGCTGGAATGCAGTGGTGTGGTCACAGCTCACTGTAGCCTCGACCTGCTGGGCTCAAGTGATCTTCCTGCCTCAGCCTCCTGAGTAGCTGGGACTGCAGGCATGCACCACCCTGCCTGGTTAATGTTTTAAAAATTTTTTGTAGAGACGGGGTCTCACTGTGTTGGCCAGGCTAGTCTCAAACTTCTGGGCTCAAGCGACCCTCCTGCCTTGGCCTCCCAAAGGGCTGGGATTACAGACATGAGCCACCATGCTGGGCCTTGATCTCTATTTTTAAGGCCATCTTCAAGTCTCCTTTAAGGGCTTACTAGTCAAGAATAATGTTGAATTTCCTCAAATACCTGTTGAGCCTTTATGGAGAGAACAGTAGGAGTCTCTGCTGGATTGAGTTCCTCACTGAGCCACTCGGGACTGTTGCTCGTGGTGTGTTCTTAACCATATTCTAGACCCTGTTCATTGATATCTTAGGGTTTTTGTCTCAATGACTCAAAAGTTGCCTGATTTTCTTGCTATGTTCTCTCTGGGCTTTGGTCTCAAATAAGTGCCTTCAAAATGTCAACACAAAGCACAAGAAAGCCACCTCTTCCTTCTAGCATCTGCAAATGTTTTTTCCTCTTGGTTACCAGAGTCTCTGGATTAAGCTGGCAGTAGCTGCTGCGGCCACTGCCGGCCACCTCAGGGCCTTATGTTTCTGTCCCTTTGTTTCCTTCAGATTCTGTGTGAGCTGTGCCCGTCTGGCTGAGATGAGGCAAAAAGAAATCCCCAGGGTCCTGGAGCAGCTCGAGGACCTGGATAGCCGGGTCCTCTACTACTCAGCCACCAAGAACGGCATCCTGTACCGAGTTGGTGATGGTGTGTACCTGCCCCCTGAGGCCTTCACGTTCAAGTAAGTGCCCCCTCGGAGCAGCCGGGGCCAGGGCGCTCCAGGCTGAGCCAGGCTGGCTTTGTGGTGTCCCCCTCCTTACAGACATTGCCAATCCCTCCGCACCAGCTGTTGTCCTAGCCGTCACGTTGGCATAGGTGGCAAACAGACAACATAAATCGTGTAGACTGACCATGATGCTATTGCAGAGCAAAGCTGAGCGTAAAAGTCAACTCGCTGGTTTGGCTGGGTGTGGTTTCTCACGCCTGTAATCCCAGCGCTTTGGGAGGCCGAGGCAGTGGGGAATCATCTGAGGTCAGGAGTCTGAGACCAGCCTGGCCAACATGGTGAAACCTCGTCTCTACTAAAAATACAAAAATTAGCCGGGTGTGGTGGTGCGCGCCTGTAGTCCCAGCTACTCGAGAGGCAGAGACAGGAGAATCACTTGAACCTGGGAGGCAGAGGTTGCAGTGAGCCAAGATCATGCCACTGCACTCCATCCTGGGCAACAGAGTGTGACTCCGTCTCAAAATAAAAAAAGAAAAAAAAAGAACTTACTGGATAAAGCGCGAGGGACAGCTGGGGGCCCACCCCCAAGTTCTGCCTCTGCCCAAGGACACCTCCTCTCCGTCCCCTACTGTGAAGTGGGAGAGTGGGATCTTGCCTGCTGGGGCTCGAAGGGTTGAGTGAGTTGAAAGTGCTCCATACAGTACCTGGCTTAAAGTAAAGGTTTAACGGACATGAGTTACTTCTTGGTTAGAGGGAATCACATCAGATGACTTCTCTGTGTCAGAGGATCGAGGCTCTTCCAGGAAAAACCTAAAGCCACAGATCGTTTCCACACTGATCCATTCTGTGTTTTTTCTAAGAATCAGCGTGTGGTTGGAATTACAGCCAACGTTTTCCAGATGCCTTCCCGGCTCACAATTCCATTTCCTTAGAGCCCCAGCTCCCTTGCCTTAGTTCAGTTACTGTGAATTATGAGAACTGGAGAAGCAGGTTCCCTCCAGCCTTGGCACAGTTGGGGCGCGTTACCCCCTCTGGTTGTCCTTGGTGGGAAGGGGACACCTCCCCGTAGTGTTTTCTGCCAGTTGCTCCTGGCAAAGTGGGAGAGTCAGCACAGAGACGCCTTTGGGGCCCGTCAGACTCCTGGGGGGCCTAGTGGGGAGAACGTGACAGCTGACTTCCCTAACGGCAGGCCTTCTTCAAAGAACAGCTTTTCCACACTAGTCAGACCACACTCCCATTGTCCCAGGCCCTGTGGCGCCTTACATTGGCCTCCAGTGTCGCTTCTAGATCAGAGCCTTAGTCAGGGTAGCGTAGGTTGTATCATAGCAACAACCCCAAATCACAGTGACTTAAAACCACAGAAGCTGGACTGGGTGCGGTGGCTCATGCCTGTCAGGAGTTCAAGACCAAGACCAGCCTGGCCGACATACCTGTCTCTACTAAAAATAAATTAGCCAGGGTTAGCTGGGTGTGGTGGTGGGCACCTGTAATCCCAGCTACTTGGGAGGCCGAGGCACGAGAATCGCTTGAACCTGGGAGGAGGAGTTGCAGTGAGCCGAGATTGTGCCACTGCACTCTAACCTGGGTGACAGAGTGAAACTCTCTCAACAAAAACCACGGTAGCCGCTGTCTCGCTCATACGAGGTGCCCATCACAGGTCAGCAGAGGACTCCACCTGTTGTGTCCCTTGGATATCTGGGCCGCTGGAGTCAGAAGTTGCCAGTGTTTGAGCCCAAGGGAAAGCACACAGGACATTCCCCAGGCAGTGACATCCTCTTTGGTCACTTCTGCCCACGTCACATGCCAGGAAACACAAGATGCCAAGTAGTCGGGAGGCAGGAGCCTGGGGTATTTGAGCAGTGTCAGCCACCACCGTAGCCAGTAATGCGCAGAGGGTGAATGCGTGCTTCAAACTGTGAGACTAAATCTGCAGCTAAATCTTTTTTTTTTTTTTCTGTGAGATGGAGTCTTGCTCTGTCACACAGGCTGGAGTGCAGTGGCACAATCTCAGCTCACTGCAACCTCTGCCTCCTGGGTTCAAGCAATTCTCCTGCCTCAGCCTCCCAAGTAGCTGGAATTATAGGCATGTACCACCACACCCGGCTAATTTTTGTATTTTTAGTAGAGACAGGGTTTTACCGTGTTGGCCAGGGTGGTCTCGAACTTCTGACCTTGTGGTCCACCTGCCTTGGTCTCCCAAAGTGCTGGGATTACAGGCGTGAGCCACAATGCCCAGCCTAAATCATTTCTTAGGGTACACACCTACCTTAATTCATCAGGTGCTTGACTTTAAATGGTTATTTTCACTGGTCAGTCATGCCTGACTGACCACTGCAAGGTGGAAGGTTCATTGATGTCAAGTGGGTGCTTCTCTGCAGCATCAAGCTGTCCAGTCCCGTGAAACGCCCACGGAAGGAGCCCGTGGATGAGGACCTGTACCCAGAGCACTACCGGAAATACTCCGACTACATCAAAGGCAGCAACCTGGATGCCCCTGAGCCCTACCGAATTGGCCGGATCAAAGAGATCTTCTGTCCCAAGAAGAGCAACGGCAGGCCCAATGAGACTGACATCAAAATCCGGGTCAACAAGTTCTACAGGTCAGCAGAGGCCTCTGTTCTTCCACGAGGCCACAGACTCTTCTAGAAGGCTCTGCCTGAAACAAGGTTGTGGCATAGCACCCACAGTTGTTCTAAGAGTTAGGTTGAAGTAGCTGTTTTTCCAAGTGTTTCTGATTATCGGTGGGCACTGATAATGACTAGAATTCTAGTTCCCAGCCCTCACTTTTAGGTCCTTATTTTAATGTTGCAGAGCCCTTTTTCCAAAAGAAATCCTTAAGCTGGCTGGGCACTGTAGCTCACGCCTCTAATCCTAGCACTTTGGGAGGCTGAGGCAGGAAGATCACTTGAGTCTAGGAGTTCAAGACCAGCTTGAGGAAACGTAGTGAGACCCCGGCCCTACCAAAAAAAAAAAAAAAAAAAGACTAGCTGGGCGTGGTGGCACACGCCTGTAATCCCAGCTACTTGGGAGGCTGAGGCTGAAGGGATCACTGAAACCCAGGAATTTGAGGCTGTAGTGAGCCATGATCCCACCACTGCACTCCGGCCTGGGTGACAGCCAGACCCCGTCTCAAAAGAAAAAACGGGTAGAGTGCCTGGGCACCCCCAGAGAACCTCCCAAGCTCCATCTATGACTGTCCAGGTTCTGTCCCGCTGTCCCCACCTCTTCCCAGGTCCTCCTTTCTGTCTCTGGGATTTTTTCTCTTTCCTAAGCTTTTGGCCTATTACGTTTTCTTTTTCTAAGACCCGAGTAACTTGCGGTGATTAGGCATTAACCTGAAACTAGCCTGTACAGGAAGCTATACACTTGCCTCACCTCTTAGCTAACATAGATCAAAGATTTCCTGAAGCCTTTGTAATAACAGGAAATAAAACAAGGGCTGTGAGTGGTACAGGTGAGAGAAACACACTCGAGAGGCTGCTACCGGCAGGCGGACACAGCAGGGCAGGGCCAGGCGTGCAGAGCAAGCAGCCAAGCTGACCTAATGGTTGGGGGGTCTCTACCCTGTGGTTCCCTAATTGGGGGCGAATCTACCTTGCAGTTCCCTCATTTGGGGAGGGGTTATCTTTACCTGCGGTTCCCTAAGTAGGGGGGTCTTTACCCTATGACTCCCTAACTGGGGAGGTCTTTACCCTGCGGTTCCATAACTGGGGGGTCTTTACCCTGCGGTTCCCAACTGGGTCGGGGGTCATTACCTGGCGGTTCCCTAATTGTGGGGGAATCTACCTTGCAGTTCCCTAATGTGAGGAGGGGATATCTTTACCCTGTGATTCCCTTACTGGGAGGGGTCTTTACCCTGCGATTCCCTAACTTGGGGGATCTTTACCCTGTGGTTCCCTAACTAGGGGGGGTCTTTACCCTGCAGTTCCCTAAATGGGGGGGAGTCTACCTTGCAGTTCCCCAGTGTGGGGAGGAGATATCTTTACCCTGCAGTTCCCTAACTGAGGGGGTCTTTACCCTGCGGTTCTCGAACTAGGGGGTCTTTACCCTGCAGTTCCCTGAGCACCCCAGGAACATGGTACTGTTTAATTCAGCATAAGCTCACCACAAAGGAGAGCTCCTAACGAGGCCTCTCCCGCTCGCAGGCCTGAGAACACCCACAAGTCCACTCCAGCGAGCTACCACGCAGACATCAACCTGCTCTACTGGAGCGACGAGGAGGCCGTGGTGGACTTCAAGGCTGTGCAGGGCCGCTGCACCGTGGAGTATGGGGAGGACCTGCCCGAGTGCGTCCAGGTGTACTCCATGGGCGGCCCCAACCGCTTCTACTTCCTCGAGGTGGTGCCCCTGCTTGCTAGAGGGAAGGCTTCGGGGTCAAAGTTGGCCAGAAGGAGTCTGATGTCGGGTTATACACAAGGCGGCTTGGCTGCAGGGTTTCAGCTTTTGTAAGAAGTGGGTGGTTGGCTGACGTGAAGCTGTTCTGCAGGAGCTTTACGGGGGTCTGAGCAGGGTTCTCCAGAGCACAAGTTGTATGAGATTCAAGTGGTCCCGGAGTTTAACACTCCTGGTTTTTAAAAAGTACGTCATTAGAGAACCTAACGTTTTAGTGTCTTGGTGCAACTGAACGTTGAGGACCATGAGGCAGCTTCCACCAGCCTGACTGGTGTCTTAGTATGAGTTGGAGAAGGTGCCCCTGCTCCTGGGTCCCTTGGGCCAGGCGCCTACGTCCAGGCCCAGCCCACATGCCTGTGCGGGTGGCCCTCGTTATGGAGAGGGCCCACGAGTCAGCTGATCAAGCTCATGACTTGTAAATTGTTGGGGCTTGGCCTTTCCGTGTTGTTACCTTAAAACGATACATCCACGTTCTCCCAGGCATGGATGAGGTAGCCCAATTGGACAGCAGATTCTGCATAGCACTTTTTCCTGTTCTAGAAGGTACTCTCAAGTGCTTGTAATAGGCATTTCAGTGTCAGCCAGATCAAATGTTAGTATTAATAAAATGGATTGTTTTAAGTTTCTATTGTAGCAAAGTCAAACTACTCTTATTGGTGGCTAATTGGTCATGGCCCCACTGAGGGAGAAATTAAGTGACTATCAAATTGCCTTCTTACTAGTCTGCGTTAGAGAGGGGACAGTGCGTTTCTCTCCCAAACGATTGCAGTTCTCTCCTTTTCAGGCCTATAATGCAAAGAGCAAAAGCTTTGAAGATCCTCCCAACCATGCCCGTAGCCCTGGAAACAAAGGGAAGGGCAAGGGAAAAGGTACGTCATTGTATGAGTTTCTTTTCAAGTTATTCTTCTGTAACTTGGAGGCTGCCTGTGAATCCCTCAGTGTAAAACCACCTCTGGTGTTACTGACTCTGGGACAGCGAGGCCGCCTGAGTTAACAAGGCGCTTGAGAGCAAGGTGGACTTGGACTCTGAGGATCGGGTTTAGCCTCTGGCCTCTCTCCCCCAGGGAAGGGCAAGCCCAAGTCCCAAGCCTGTGAGCCGAGCGAGCCAGAGATAGAGATCAAGCTGCCCAAGCTGCGGACCCTGGATGTGTTTTCTGGCTGCGGGGGGTTGTCGGAGGGATTCCACCAAGCAGGTGAGCGCCCGTAGGCTCCATCTCTGAATACCTGGTGAGCCCAGACCGGGCAGGTGCTACCTGAAACGACTTCCAACCCCGGTCACCTTCCTGACTCAAGAATCTCCTTCCGAGGCCAGGCACGGTGGCGCACGCCTGTAATCCCAGCACTTTGGGAGGCCGAGGTGGGTGGATCATGAGGTCAGGAGTTTGAGACCATCCTGGCCAACATGGTGAAACCCCGTCTCTAATAAGAATACAAAAATTAGCTGGGCGTGGTGGTGTGTGCCTGTAGTCCCAGCTACTCAGGAGGCTGAGGTGGGAGAATCGCTTGAACCTGGGAGGCAGAGCTTGCAGTGAGCCAAGATCACACCACTGCACTCCAGCCTGGGTGACAGAGCGAGACTCCATCTCAAAAAAAAAAAAAAATCTTCTGGAGAGTTGAAAGCATGGCTTCGTGCTTGATCTGCCAGGCATCTCTGACACGCTGTGGGCCATCGAGATGTGGGACCCTGCGGCCCAGGCGTTCCGGCTGAACAACCCCGGCTCCACAGTGTTCACAGAGGACTGCAACATCCTGCTGAAGCTGGTCATGGCTGGGGAGACCACCAACTCCCGCGGCCAGCGGCTGCCCCAGAAGGGAGACGTGGAGATGCTGTGCGGCGGGCCGCCCTGCCAGGGCTTCAGCGGCATGAACCGCTTCAATTCGCGCACCTACTCCAAGTTCAAAAACTCTCTGGTGGTTTCCTTCCTCAGGTAAACGGGTAGAAGCCCCCCAGTGTTGCCAGACGGCCCGGGGCTGTGCCGCATGTCAGCAGTGGTCATTTTCGCCCTGCACTGAGGCCTCTGCCCCCCGGAAGCTCACAGCTCAGCTCTCACCAGGGAGAGACTTTGATAACATTCGTGAGGGGCTTCCGGCACAGTGGGTCGTTTCTTCCCTCTGTCTGTGGAGGTGACTCCTGCAGTCTCTCCTGCCCCCTACAGCTACTGCGACTACTACCGGCCCCGGTTCTTCCTCCTGGAGAATGTCAGGAACTTTGTCTCCTTCAAGCGCTCCATGGTCCTGAAGCTCACCCTCCGCTGCCTGGTCCGCATGGGCTATCAGTGCACCTTCGGCGTGCTGCAGGTGGGCCCTGGGGCTGGGGCGGGCAGACAGATGTGGCCAGCACGTGACCCGGCCAGCAGCCAGCCATCCCTTACTGAAGGCAGGGTTCAATGGCATAGGCCTGCCATCCAGGCAGCAGAGGCTGGCATGGTGCTCTGTCCCACTGGCGGAGTCAGGGGAGATGCGTGCTCAGCCGGCCCCCAGCAAGTCCACCGCTAGTGTCTCTTGAGCTGTGTTCTCGAACATGCCTGGGAGGGCTGGCTACAATGGGCTTCTCGCCATGCAGCTCCTGGCTCCTTTCCCTCGATGGGGAAGGGTGAGCAGCCCACCATGGAGCACTGTGGAATGGCTGAGTCTGCACAGAGCGGGAGGGGAAGTGAGGTGCGCAGAGCCATGTGTAGGCGGCAGCTGTTCGATTGGTTTAAAAGACAGTTTTGCTCTGGGTAACTGCGCACACAAACCCCCACAGATGGCCGAGGGTTGCACTCCAGGTGGCTGTGTCTGCAGGGACAGGGATGGACATAGTCTGTGGGGCCCAGGCCTTATCTGAAAAGCATCCCCCATCCTCTCTGTATCAGCTCAGCAATTGAGGGCATAATTAAAAATGAAACAGCTATCCAGATGCTAGCACAGGATGTCTGCCTAAGTGGGCAAGCACTTGGCTACCCGGTCCCCTAGCTCAGCCTCAGGGCGACTCAGGCTCACCAGACAAGACTTGTTGCAGCCACGTTCTCTGTCCTTGTGACCACAGCCATCAGGGAAGCGACAGGGCTCCTGGTCTCCAGTGTTCTCCCCGAGTGCTAAGACCTTGGGGCCCTTGCAGTGCTTTCAGAGCTGGCCGGACTTCCCCGCAGGGTTTGCTCCCACCTTCCCCAGTGGCTGTCCCCTGGGCTCAGCTGCTTTTGTTCTTTATCTGCTCCAAACTCCTCTGACCAGGAGCACGCCTGCTGAGGTAACTGGGGATTTCTGCAAGTGCACTCCGCATTGGCCAGCCACTCCCGACTCAGGCTGCTGACCCTGGGCCTGGGTCTGGCCAGTCCAGTTGGGAGTGTCCCACTGACGGTGGGGTTGTCCGTCCTTCTCCCCCACAGGCCGGTCAGTACGGCGTGGCCCAGACTAGGAGGCGGGCCATCATCCTGGCCGCGGCCCCTGGAGAGAAGCTCCCTCTGTTCCCGGAGCCACTGCACGTGTTTGCTCCCCGGGCCTGCCAGCTGAGCGTGGTGGTGGATGACAAGAAGTTTGTGAGCAACATAACCAGGTAGGTGGCCCCCGTCGCTCCTCCACACACTGCCGAGCAGGCCTCAGTAGCTCATGGGGCCCGTGAGTACTCCCTGGTGAGGCTTGGGGAGGAGAGGATGGTACAGCATCTGCCCTGCCACACGGTGCTCTGCCACATGGCACTCTGCCACCTGTGGTCTCCAGTTCTGACCCTGCATCATCTGCTTCCCTAGTAGATAGCATGTGCAGAGCGGCCAGCCGCATGCTTGGCTGTGGTCATCCACAAAGCCCACGCCATAGCCCCATCCCCCCTTCCAGATGGCATCCAGGCACACTGCCACCCATGTGACCTCGGGCAGTGCTGTGATCTCGGGAGAAGGCCATCTGAGCAGGCAGGGGGTGGCACCTGTGATGAGGGGACAGCTGCTGCGTGCATCTCCAGAGGTGTTGACCTCCTCCTCTGTTGCAGGTTGAGCTCGGGTCCTTTCCGGACCATCACGGTGCGAGACACGATGTCCGACCTGCCGGAGGTGCGGAATGGAGCCTCGGCACTGGAGATCTCCTACAACGGGGAGCCTCAGTCCTGGTTCCAGAGGCAGCTCCGGGGCGCACAGTACCAGCCCATCCTCAGGGACCACATCTGTAAGGTAATGGCACCCTGACAGAGCGGCTCCTCCTCGAGGCCCAGCCCAGCAGCCTCGTGGGAACAGTCAGCCTGCCCAAGACTCAGGGGAGACATGGAATCTGATCCCAGGCTCCTCCTCCCGAGTCCTCAGCCTTTGTGTGACCCCTGGTCTCTCTTGCATGGTCATGGGAAGTGTCAGAGCTCCCGCAGTCCTGGACTTGGTCTGGAATGGTGTCAAGCCACTGCCCACCCACCACTGCCTTCCCCCTTGCTGCCTCTCCCCGCATGTTTTCCCAGGATGCCAAGACCAGCCCTTTCACCATCCCCTGGCACCACTCCCCTTCCCCCACCCTAAAGGCTCAGCTTAGATTCCCACGCTCTCCTACACCTGCGCTGCCTCAGGTCCCTGCCGTGGCCTCGAGCCAAGTGCGATATCCCTGACTGTCTCTTTCCCGATGGGCGTGAGCCCCAGGGGGCTTCCTGGTCACCATGGTGTTCCCAGCTCCCAGCCCACCATGGATGCTCGGATGCTGCTCACATGAGGTGACAGCTGGGCCCCCCACACTCTTTCAGGACATGAGTGCATTGGTGGCTGCCCGCATGCGGCACATCCCCTTGGCCCCAGGGTCAGACTGGCGCGATCTGCCCAACATCGAGGTGCGGCTCTCAGACGGCACCATGGCCAGGAAGCTGCGGTATACCCACCATGACAGGAAGAACGGCCGCAGCAGCTCTGGGGCCCTCCGTGGGGTCTGCTCCTGCGTGGAAGGTGGGTCCTGTAAGTTGTGGTTCCCGGTGGGCTGAGGGGAAGGAAGGCAGAGCCCTGGGCCTTTGGCCTGTGAACCTGGAGGCCAGGGCAGGGCACAGACACACCAAGCCTGGGTGTCCCAGAGAAGGTAGCTGCTGACCATGTTGAGTAGTAAAAGCAGGCTGGGTTCATGGCCCACACCTATAATCCCAGCACTTTGGGAAACCAAGGCGGGAGGATCACTTGAGCCTGGGAGGTTGAGGAGGCTACAGTGAGCTGTGATTGTGCCATTGCACTCCAGCCTGGGAGACAGAGTGAGACCCTGTCTCTAAAAAGAAAAAAAAAAAACAATAAATAAATAATAAAAGCAGGTCAGGCACGATGGCTCACCTCTGTAATCCCAGCACTTTGGGAGGCCAAGGCAGGCAGATCACTTGAGATCAGGAGCTCGAGATCAGCCTGCCCAACATGGTGAAACCCCATCTCTATTAAAACTACAAAAATTAGCCGGGCGTGGTGTCGCACGCCTATAATCCCAGCTATTTGGGAGGCTGAGGCAGGAGAATCGCTTGAACCCCATAGGCAGAGGTTGCAGTGAGCCAAGATCATGCCATTGCACTCCAGCCTGGGCAACAGAGCGAGACATATAATACTAATAATAAAAACAGTGCCCAGAGAACGAGGATTGTTGGCTGCTCCACCCCAGGGGGCCCCTTGCACAGGAGGTGCCATCTCTGCCTCCCAAAGCTCTAAGAGCCACTGTCCCAAGCCTATACCCCATCCCACAACTGCAGCCTCATCACTGTCCTGTCTTCCAGCCGGCAAAGCCTGCGACCCCGCAGCCAGGCAGTTCAACACCCTCATCCCCTGGTGCCTGCCCCACACCGGGAACCGGCACAACCACTGGGCTGGCCTCTATGGAAGGCTCGAGTGGGACGGCTTCTTCAGCACAACCGTCACCAACCCCGAGCCCATGGGCAAGCAGGTAGGTGGGGAGGGGGCATCCGAGGGCCTGGGTCAGGCCCTGTACTTGGCGGCCTAACTAGGTGGAAGTGTGGGTTTAGCCAAGTGGGGGACAGCACCCCAGGACCCCAGGCACCTGGCCTCTGCCTCCTGCCCCTCCACGTCCACGGGACAAGCTCATAGGCCAAGGCCATGGCCGTATGCTGTCACAGTGCCATTTCCCTCCCTGTCCCCGACGGTGACCCGGCCTGGGTGCTACTGCCCTCGCCCACCGCGCCTCTTTCCCCCAGGGCCGCGTGCTCCACCCAGAGCAGCACCGTGTGGTGAGCGTGCGGGAGTGTGCCCGCTCCCAGGGCTTCCCTGACACCTACCGGCTCTTCGGCAACATCCTGGACAAGCACCGGCAGGTCAGTGGGGCGGCGCCCGCTGGGTCTGGACAGGAAGGAGGCTTCTGTGCCTGTCACCAGGTGGGGCTGGGGCCAGCGCAGTCACTTCCGGGAGGACGCCTGCTGGCTGCCGGGTAGCCCCATCACTCTCAGTGGGAAGACGGCCCACAGGAGGGACAGTGCTGAGACATCCGAGTCAGGCTGCGTCCCTATGCTGGTTCCTTACTGTTTGTTTTTGAGGCAGAGATTGAGCCAGAAGGACAGTCCGTCGCGCTAAAGGAGCAGGCTAAAACCCATGGTGGCGACAGCTCACTCGCTGTAGGTTCAAATGAACTAGCACCTTAATTCCTACCTGCTTCTCAGGTGTCGGGTTGGCTTAACAAGTTAGTCTATGAGTTAGTCTCAGTTAAGTGTATTTTCATCATAGGGCACGCGCATTGCTTAAAAACCAGTGTCCACGGTTCTTGTGAAAACCACATTTCACCCCTCCCCCCGAATCTGGTTCTCGGGAAGCAGCCACTCTCTCTTTTTTTTTTTTTTTTTTGAGATGGAGCTTTGTTCTTTCGCCCAGGCTGGAGTGAAGTGGCGTGATCTCAGCTCACCGCAACTTCCACCCCCCTGGTTTTAAGTGATTCTCCTGCCTCAGCCTCTTGAGTAGCTGGGATTACAGTCATGTGCTACCACACCCGGCTAATTTTTGTATTTTTAGTAGAGATGGGGTTTCACCATGTTGGCCAGGCTGGTCCCGAACTCTTGACCTCAGGTGATCCGCCTGCCTCGGCCTCCCAAAGTGCTGGGATTACAGGCATGAGCCACTGCGCCGGCCAGGGAAGCAGCCACTCTTAACTGGGAGCGAAACGTGTCTAGGTGGCCCATTTGTCTTTTTTTTTTTTTTTTCTGAGACAGGGTCTCACTCTGTCCCCTAGGCTGGAGTGCAGTGACATGATCTCTGCCCACTGCAACCTCCACCTCCAGGGTTCAAGTGATTCTCCTGCCTCAGCCTCCTGAGGTGCTGGGATTACAGGCATGTGCCACCATGCCCAGCTAATTAGTTTTTGTACTTTTAGTAGAGACGGGGTTTCACCATGTTGGCGAGGCTGCTCTCGAACTCCTGGCCTCAACTAATCCACCTGCCTTGGCCTCCCAAAGTGCTGGGATTACAGGCGTGAGCCACTGCTCCCAGCCCCACGTGTCTTTGTCTCAAGTCTTTCTGAAGCTCTTCAAAGGCCCAGTGACTTGTGGCTGTGGGGCGGGATGATGGGCCAGTTGGAGGGTCCAAGGATCTTGTGCTGGAAGGGTTTTGGGCCCATGTGAGCAGGACCAGAACCCTTCCCCAAGGGGTGCAATGCCCAGGTTGTCCTCCATCTGAGCAGGGGCTGGCAGTACACCTGCCCCCGGGCCTTGGGCCTGGGTGTCCACATCAGGCATTGCCCTTCTCCCCTCCTGCAGGTGGGCAATGCCGTGCCACCGCCCCTGGCCAAAGCCATTGGCTTGGAGATCAAGCTTTGTATGTTGGCCAAAGCCCGAGAGAGTGCCTCAGGTATGGTGGGGTGGGCCAGGCTTCCTCTGGGGCCTGACTGCCCTCTGGGGGTACATGTGGGGGCAGTTGCTGGCCACCGTTTTGGGCTCTGGGACTCAGGCGGGTCACCTACCCACGTTCGTGGCCCCATCTTTCTCAAGGGGCTGCTGTGAGGATTGAGTGAGTTGCACGTGTCAAGTGCTTAGAGCAGGCGTGCTGCACACAGCAGGCCTTTGGTCAGGTTGGCTGCTGGGCTGGCCCTGGGGCCGTTTCCCTCACTCCTGCTCGGTGAATTTGGCTCAGCAGGCACCTGCCTCAGCTGCTCACTTGAGCCTCTGGGTCTAGAACCCTCTGGGGACCGTTTGAGGAGTGTTCAGTCTCCGTGAACGTTCCCTTAGCACTCTGCCACTTATTGGGTCAGCTGTTAACATCAGTACGTTAATGTTTCCTGATGGTCCATGTCTGTTACTCGCCTGTCAAGTGGCGTGACACCGGGCGTGTTCCCCAGAGTGACTTTTCCTTTTATTTCCCTTCAGCTAAAATAAAGGAGGAGGAAGCTGCTAAGGACTAGTTCTGCCCTCCCGTCACCCCTGTTTCTGGCACCAGGAATCCCCAACATGCACTGATGTTGTGTTTTTAACATGTCAATCTGTCCGTTCACATGTGTGGTACATGGTGTTTGTGGCCTTGGCTGACATGAAGCTGTTGTGTGAGGTTCGCTTATCAACTAATGATTTAGTGATCAAATTGTGCAGTACTTTGTGCATTCTGGATTTTAAAAGTTTTTTATTATGCATTATATCAAATCTACCACTGTATGAGTGGAAATTAAGACTTTATGTAGTTTTTATATGTTGTAATATTTCTTCAAATAAATCTCTCCTATAAACCACCCTGGGTGGGTATTCGTGATTTGCACGGGACTTCTGGCTGAGGTCAGACAGGAACAAGCTCTTCCATGCTGAAGGCGACCCACGTGGAGTTTGAAGCTAGCACGTTTGAAGCTAGACACTCCGTGTGTCTGTCTGTGTTTGTTCAGAACTGAGTCACGTGAGTTGATCCCCATGACATGCAAATGGAACTTGCTAGTGTAGCTTCCAGGAAAGCCTTTTAAAGGAAGTCTTGGCTGGCCTTCCCCGTGGCTGGTAGGCCTTCTTTGGTCTGAAGTGGGTTGTGATGCCTGGCAGTGGAGCAGCCATCCTGTGACCATGAGGCAGAGCTCTGTGCTGCAACTGGTGGAATAAGGAGAGAGAAGTCACCACTGAGCTGCCCTTGGAGCCCCGGCCACCCCATCCCCAAGCAAAACCTCTTTAGTTGGGTTTTTTTTCTTTCCAAAGAATTTTTTTTTTTTTTTGAGACAGTCTTGCTCTGTTGCTCAGGCTGTAGTGCAGTGGGGCAGTCTCCGTTCAATGCAGCCTCTGCCTCCTGGGTTCAAGAAATTCTGCCTCAGCCTCCCGAGTAGCTGGGATTGTAGGCGCCCATCACCACGCCCAGCTAATTTTTGTATTTTTAGTAGAGACGATGTTTCACCATGTTGGCCAGGCTGGTCTTGAAATCCTGACATGATCCGCCCACCTGGACCTCCCAAAGTGCTGGGTTACAGGTGTGATCCACTGCACCCAGCCTCCCATTAGCTTTTTTTTTTTTTTTTTTGAGACAGTTTCGTTCTTGTTGCCCAGGCTGGAGTGCGGTGGCACGATCTCTGCTCACTGCAACCTCCGCCTCCCAGGTTCAAGTGATTTTCCTGCCTCAGCCTCCCAAGTAGCTGGGATTACAGGCATGCGCCATCACACCCAACTAATTTTGTATTTTTAGTAGAGACGGGGTTTCTCCATGTTGGTCAGGGTGGTCTCAAACTCCCGACCTCAGGTTATCCGCCTGCCTCGGCCTCCCAAAGTGCTGGGATTATAGGTGTGAGCCACCATGCCTGGCCAGCATTTTTTAATAGTGACATAACACTTCTGTGTGTCCTTTGGCCACTGGATGTACCGTTTCTCTGTGATGGCCACATGACTGTCTTTGCTGGGAGCTCCCTGGGCATTTGGGATGACTGCCCCTGCTCAGTCATCCTGGCTTATCATGTCTGTGCCATACAGAGACCTCCCATTTTTAGGAAGTCAATTTATATTTGTCACTCTTAGTTTTTTGTAGCCTGTTTATTTTTGAGACGGATTCTCACTCTGTCGCCCAGGCTGGAGTGCAGTGGTGTGATCTCTGCTCACCACAACCTCCGCCTCCCGGGTTTAAGCAATTCTCCTGCCTCAGCCTCCCAAGTAGCAGGGATTGAGTAGCTGGGATTACAGGCGCCTGCCAGTACATCTGGCCAATTTTTGTTAATTTAGTAGAGACAGGGTTTTGCCATGTTGGCCAGGATGGTCTTGAACTCCTGACCTCAAGTGATCCTCCCAAAGTGCTGGCATTACAAGCATGAGTCACCGTGCCCGGCCTTTGTAGCCTATTTAGAAACGCCTTTCCTCCCCCCAGCAAGAGATCTTAAACATGTATCTTCTTCCACATTTCTGACATTCCCATTTTAACACATGAATCACTTTTGTAAGGACTAAAAATGGGGATCTCAGCTTATTTTTTGAATAAGACTGATAGCAAATGCACACAGCAAAGTACAACAGCTCAGCTTGACATATGGTAAAGTTCCCCCATCCGAGATTTTTTTTTAAATATACTTTCTGCTGCTATTTTAAGCTAAAAAATTCATTTTAAAGTATATAATGAGTATAATGAGTTTTCTTTTTCTGGATTCCAAGGCACCTTGATCAAGACAACTGAATCTTTGTACTAATGCATAGTGTGACCTTGTGAGAAAACAATCACCCATGTACCTATTATCTTTTTTTATTTTCTATTTTTTTGAGACAGGGTCTCAGTCTGTCACCCAGGCTGGAGTGCAGTGGCCTGATCTCGGCTCATGGCAACCTCCACCTCCTGGGTTCAAGTGATCCCCTGCCTCCGTGTAACTGGGACTACAGGACTGTACCATCATATGTAGCTAATTCTTGTTTTGTTTTTTGAGATGGAGTTTCACTCTTGTTGCCCAGGCTGGAGTGCAATGGCGCAATCTCGGCTCACTGCAGCCTCTACCTCCCGGGTTCAAGGGATCCTCCTGCCCCAGCCTCCCAAGTAGCTGGGATTACAGGCGTGTGCCTGGCGAATTTTTGTATTTTTGGTAGAGACGGGCTTTCACCATGTTGCCCAGGCTGTTCTCGAGCTCCTGACCCCAAGTGATCAGCCCACCTCAGCCTCCCAAAGTGTTGGGATTACAGGCATGAGCCACCACACCAGGCCTAATTTTTACTTACGTAGAGATGCAGTCTCACTATATTGCCTAGGCTGGTCTCAAACTCCTGGCCTCAAGCGATCCTCCCGCTTGGCTTCCTAAAGTGCTAGATTACAGGTATCTGCCACCATACCCAGCCAATAGTGTCAATTTTTTTTTTTTTTTAAATGAGATGGAGTTGTGGTCTTGTTGCCCAGGCTGGAGTGCAATGGCATGATCTTGGCTCACTGCAACCTCCGCCTCCTGGGTTCAAGCGATTCTCCTGCCTCAGCCTCCCGAGTAGCTGAGATTACAGGCGCCTACCACCACGCCCAGCTAATTTTAGTAGAGATGGGGTTTCACCATGTTGGCCAGGCTGGTCTCAAACTCCTGACAACAGGTGATCCACCCACCTTGGCCTCCAAAAGTGCTGGGATTACAGGCGTGAGCCACCACGCCTGGTGATAGTGTCTATTAAGATTGCCTTTACAAAACTTAGTGGGACATGGTGGCACGTGCCTGTAGTCCCAGCTACTCAGGAGCATGAAGTGGGAGAATCGCTTGAGCCCAGGAGGTGGAGGTTGCAGTAGCAATCTCGGCTCACTGCAACCGAGATTGTGCCACTGCACTCCAGCCTGGGTAACACAGCGAGACCCTGTCTCAAAAATAAACTGCTTTGGGCCGGGCACGGTGGCTCACGCCTGTAATTCCAACACTTTGGGAGGCCCAGGCAGGTGGATCACCTGAGGTCAGGAGTTTAAGACCACCCTGGCCAACAGGGTGAAACCCCATCTCTAGTATAAATACAAAAATCAGCCAGGTGTGGTACATGCCTGTAATCCCAGCTACTTGGGAGATTGAGGCAGAATTGCTTGAACCTGGGAGGCGGCGGCTGCAGTGAGCCACGATCACACCACCACACTCCAGCCTGGGCAACAAAGCGAGACTGTCTCGAAAAAAAAATAAACTGTCTTGCACCTCGAAGGTTGTCTTACCTAGGAATCTCTCTTGTTCCTCTATTTTTGAAAATTGGGGTAGAATATGAAATATGCGAGTCCTAAATGTTCAGCTTAAATTTCGAGAAGTGAACATAGCACTGTAGCCTATATCCTTATCAAGATAGAGAATGTCTCTGTCACCTCAGGTCACCTTGTGCCTCTTCCCACTTGATCTCCCCCTTCCCAGTCCCTGGGCAGCCTCCCATCCAGTTTTGTCTCCATAGATGACACCTGCCTGTTCAGGCCAGCATGGGCTCTTGTGTTTCAGATCTTTCAGCATAAATGCCTTTGGGATTCATCCATGTCATTAATATGTGTATCAGTTTTGTCCTTTTTAAAAAAAATATATATATATTTTAGAGGCAGGATCTTGCTCTGTTGCCCAGGCTGGAGTGCAGCGATGTTCTACTGCAGCCTTGATCTCCTGGGCTTAAGTGATCCTCCTGCCTCAGCCTCCTGAGTAGCTGGAACTACAGGCGCATGCCACCATGCCCAGCTAAGTTTTACATTTTTTTTGTGGAGATGGGGTCTCACTGTGTTGCTCAGGGTGGTCTCAAACTCCTGGCCTCACGTGATCCTCCCACCTCAGCTTCTGTAGTAGCTGGGACCACAGGCATGTGCCGCCATACCCAGCTAATCATTATTTTTATTTTTATTTATTTTTGAGACGGAATCTCACTCTGTCACCAGGCTGGAGTACGGTGGTGCGATCTTGGCTCACTGCAACCTCTGCCTCCTGGGTTCAAGCTATTCTCATGCCTCAGTCTCCCGAGTAGCTGGGATTACAGGCCTGCCACCAGGCCTGGCTAATTTCTATGTTTTTAGTAGAGATGGGGTTTCGCCATGTTGGCCAGGCTGGTCTCAGACTCCTGGGCTCAAGCGATCTGCCTGCCTCGGCCTCCCAAAGTGCTGGGATTACAGACATGAGCTACCATGCCTGGTAGCTGATTTTTATATTTTTTTATAGACAGGATCTCGCTTTGTTGCCCAGGCTGGTCTCAGAATCCTGGGCTCAAGCGATCTACCTGCCTTGGCATCCCCAAATGCTGGGATTATAGGCATGAACCACTGCGCCTGGACAAGAATATATTAACTATACTCACTATGTTATACAATAAATCTCTTAGAAAGCCTTTATTTGAACTTTTTTTCTTTATATTGTTTGGAAACAACTACAGTCTCAAGAGCAGTAGATTGAATTGTGATGCAGGTCAGGCCTTTGTATCCAAGGGTTCCACCTCTGGCATTCAACCAACCACAGATTTAAAATATTCAGAAAAATTCCACAAAGTTCCAAAAAGCAAAACTTGTATTTGCCACTTACCAAGTACTACATGGAATCCATGAGAATAAAGCAACGTGTAGACGTTATGTCAGGTATTACAAATAATCTAGAGACGACATAAAGTACACAGGAGAGGCCGGGCGCAGTGGGTCATGCCTGTAATCCCAGCACTTTGGGAGGCCAAGGTAGGAGGAACACTTGAGGCCAGGAGTTCAAGACCAGCCTGGCCAACATGGCGAAACACCTTCTCTACAAAAAATAACAAAAATTTGCTGAGCATGGTGGCACACACCTGTAGTCCCAGCTACTCCAGAGGCTGAGATGGGAGGATCACTTGAGCCCAGCAGGTGGAGGTTGCATTAAGCCGAGATTGCACTAGCCTGGGTGACAAAGCAAGACTCTGTCAAAAAGTAGTGTACACAGGAGAATATGTGTAGCGTATATGCAAATACTATGCCATTTTATTTTATTTTATTTTATTTTATATTTGAGACAGAGTCTCACTCTGTCGCCCAGGCTGGAGTGCAGTAGCACAATCTTGGCTCACTGCAACCTCTGCTTCCCGGGTTCAAGTGATTCTCCTGCCTCAGCCTCCCAAGTAACTGAGATTACAGGCATGTGCCGCCACGCCCGGCTAATTTTTTTGTATTTTTAGTAGAGACGGGGTTTCACCATGTTGGTCAAGCTGGTCTTGAACTCCTGACCTCAAATGATCCACCCGCCTCAGCCTCCCAAAGTGCTGGAACTACAGGTGTGAGCCACCATGCCCGGCCTATGACATTTTATATTAGGGATTTGAGCACATTCTGATTTTGGTACCACATGGGGTCCTAGAACCAATCCCCTGGGGATACCGAGGGATGGCTGGACATAGATTTGTATACACATGTGTATCCACGTCTAGGCTACTTTTCTAGGAGTTGAATGACTGGATTGAAACTTTAGAACTGGCACAGCCGCTAAAAGTCAAGCAGGTGTTTTATAGGGATTTCATTAACTTTGCAGACTTCTGGAAGAATTGACATGTTAATGACAAGCCTTCCTTTCTAAGAACAGGGTTTGTCCTGTTTGTTCAGGAATTCCTTTGTGTCCACAGCTTTTCATCCAGATCTTGCAGACTTCATAACTTGATTCCTAAGTATTTAGTCCCTTCATTACTAATATAAATGGGATGTTTTCTTGATTTCTAAACCATGGTCCTTTGCCTATGGAGAGATGCTCCATTTGTATTGGCTGTGATTTTGTAAACTGTGTTTTTTGAATCTAACCAACTTGTTGAATTCCTTTTTTTTTTTTTTTTTGGAGATGGAGTCTCACTCTGTCACCCAAGCTGCAGTGCAGTGGCGCGATCTCTGCTCACTGCAACCTCCATCTTTGGGTTCAAGGGATTCTCTTGCCTCAGCCTCCTGAGTAGCTGAGATTACAGGCATGGGCCATCACACCCAGCTAATGTTTGTATTTTTAGTAGAGATGGGGTTTCACCATGTTGGCCAGGCTGGTCTTGAACTCCTGACCTCGGGTGATCCGCTTGCCTCAGCCTCCCAAAGTGCTAGGATTACAGGTGTGAACCACCGCGCCTGGCCTGAATTTCCTTGTTTTTAATCCCACTTTTTCAGTGGTCACATTTTCAGGTATACGATCCTTCACCAAGAACAACTTGAGGATGTATTTTGGTGTAAGAATTAGAAACCTTGTCTTTTCTTTTTAGAGACAGGGTCTTGTTCTTTCACCCAGACTGGACTGCAGTGATGCGATCATAGCTCACTGCAGCCTCGAACTCCTTCGCTCCAGAGATCCCCCAACCTCAGTCTCTGGAGTAGCTGGGACTACAAGTATGTACCATCACGCCTAACTAATTTTTATTTTTATTTTTAGTAAAGATGAGTTCTTGCTATGTTGCCCAGGCTGGTCTCAAACTCCTGGGCTCCAATGATCGTCCCTCCTCATCCTTCCAAAGTGCTGGGATTACAGGTGTAAGCCACCGTGCCTGGCTTCTTTTTTTTTCCTTTTAATATATGATTATTTTTTGTAAAGATGGCGTCTCACTCTGTTGCCCAGGCTGGTCTCCAGTGATTTCAATTCTTGTAAGTATAAAGCAGATGTGGAAGTGCTGGGTCATTTGGTGGTTCTATTTTTAATGTTTTGAGGAACCACCATACCATAGTTCATAGTGGAAGGCTGTTTTTTAAATGAAATAAACATGTAAGGCTGAGGTGCCCATCTACTTCCCTAGAAAAACCACAGTAAGGACATTGCCACGTCTCCTTTCTGCCCCTGTTTTTTGGCTGTTACCACATCTGCATGTCCATCAATTTAGTATTTCTTTCTTTTTATCTCTATTTACTTTTTTTTTTTTTTTGAGATGGAGTCTCTGTTGCCTAGGCTGGAGTGCAATGGCGCAATCTTGGTTCGCTGCAACCTCCGCCTCCTGGGTTCAAGTGATTCTCCTGCCTCAGCCTCCTTAGTAGCTGGGATTACAGGCACGCACCACCACGCCCAGCTGTTTTTTTTTTTTTTCTTTTGAAACAGAGTTACCTTCTCGTTGCCCAGGCTGGACTGCAATGGCAGGATCTCGGCTCACCACAACCTCTGCCTCCTGGGTTCAAGCGATTCTCCTGCCTCAGCCTCCTGAGTAGCTGGGATTACAGGCATGCGCCACCACGCCCAGCTAATTTTGTATTTTTAGGAGAGACAGGGTTTCTCCATGTTGGTCAGGCTGGTCTCGAACTCCCAACCTCAGGTGATCCACCTACCTTGGCCTCCCAAAGTGCTGGGATTACAGGCGTGAGCCACCATGCCTGGCCACACCCAGCTGATTTTTGTATTTTTAGTAGAGATGGGGTATCATCATGTTGGCCAGGCTCGTCTCGAACTCCTGACCTCAAGTGATCCTCCCACCTCGGCCTCCCAAAGTGCTGGGATTACAGGTGTGAGCCACCGCGCATGGCCTATTTTTATTTTTTTTTACAAAGTCTTGGCCGGGTGCGGCGGCTCACACCTATAATCCTAGCACTTTGGGAGGCCAAGACAGGCGAATCACCTGAGTTTGGAGTTCAAGACTAGCCTGGCCAACATGGAGAAACCCCGTCTCTACTAAAAATACAAAATTAGCTGGGCATGGTGGCACATGCCTGTAATTCCAGCTACTAGGGAAGCTGAGGCAGGAGAATCACTTGAACCCGGGAGGTGGAGGTTGCGGTGAGCTAAGATCATGCCACTGCACTCCAGCCTGGGCAACAAGAGCAAAACTCCATCTCAAAAAAAAAAAAGGAGTCTCACTCCATCGCCCAGGCTGGAGTTCAGTGGCGCAGTATTGGTTCATGGCAACCTCTGCCTCCCGGGTTCAAGGGATTGCCATGCCTCAGCCTCCCGAGCAGCTGGGATTACAGATGCCTGCCACCACACCTGGCTAATTTTTGTATTTGTAGTAGACAACAGGGGTTTCGCTATGTTGGCCAGGCTGGTCTCGAACTCCTGACCTCAAGGGATCCGCCCACCTTGGCCTCCCAATGTGCTGGGATTACAGACGTGATCCACTGTGCCCAGCAGAAACAGGACCTTTAGAGAGAAAATTAAACCCAGGTGTGGTGGCTTATGCCTGTAATCCCAGCACGTTGGGAGGCCGTGGCAGGCAAACCACTTGAGATCAGGAGTTTGAGACCAGCCTGGCCAACTTGGTGAAACCCCGTCTCTACTAGAAATACAAAAATACAAAAATTAGCCAGGTGTGGTGGCACATGCCTGTAGACCCAGCTACTCGGGAGGCTGAGGCAGGAGAATCACTGGAACCCAGGAGGTGGAGGTTGCCATTAGCTGAGATTGCACCACTGCACTCCAGCCTGGACTACAGAGTGAGACTTCACCTTTAAAAAAAATAATTAAAAAAAAAAAGTTTAAATGAGGTCATTAGGGTGGGCCCTAATCCAATATGACTGATGTCCTTAGAAGAAGAGATTGGGACATAGACACACACAGAGGAGGCCACGTGAGGACCGAGGGAGAAGGTGCCCCCACCTCAGAAGAAACCAACCCTGCCGACACTGTGATCTTGGACTTCCAGCCTCCAGAACTGAGAAAATAAATGTGTGCTGTTTAAGCCTCCTAGTCTGTGATATTTTGTTGTGAAAATGTGAGAAAAAGTAACTAATGTTAAGCTGGGTTTGCTCAATTCTGCTTTCCAGCGTAATTTCACAAAGCCCCTGACTCTGAGACACGTGAGACACGTCTGCGCAGCTCTACAGAACAAGGCTTTGAAGACAAAACAGGACAGAGCACAGGGCACACCATGTCCCTTGCCCGAGTCACTATATTCCTTAAATGAGTCTGGGCACGGTGGTTCATGCCTGTGATCCCAGCATTTTGGGAGACCAGGGCAAGGGCATCACCTTAGCCTGGGGAGGTTGAGGCTGCAGTGAGCTGTGATCGTGCCACTGCACTCCAGCCTGGGTGACAGAGAAAGACCCTGTCTCAAAAAAAAAAAAAAAAAAAAAAAGGCGTGCCAGGTGCGGTGGCTCATGCCTGTAATCCCAGCACTTTGGGAGGCCCAGGCAGGCGGATCACCTGAGGTCGGGAGTTCGAGACTACCCTGACCAATATGGAGAAACCCCCGTCTCTACTAAAAATACAAAATTAGCCGGGTGTGGTGGTGTGCATGCCTGTAATCCCAGCTACTCAGGAGGCTGAGGCGGGAGAACCGCTTGAACCCAGGAGGCGGAGGTTGCAGTGAGCTGAGATCGCACCACTGCACTCCAGCCTGGGCAATAGAGCAAGACTCCGTCCCCCAAAAAAAAAAGAAAAAAGAAAAAAAGGACCTGGGCCGGGCACGGGTGGGTCACACCTGTAATCCCAGCACTTTGGGAGGCCAAGGTGGGCGGATCACAAGGTCGGGAGATCAAGACCATCCTGGCTAACACGGTGAAACCCCATCTCGACTAAACATACAAAAATTAGCTGGGCGTGGTGGCGGGTGCCTGTAGTCCCAGCTACTCAGGAGGCTGAGGCAGGAGAATGGCGTGAACCCAGGAGGCGGAGCTTGCAGTGAGCCGAGATTGTGCCACTGCCCTCCAGCCTGGGCAACAGAGTGAGACTCCATCTCAAAAAAAAAAAAAAAAAAAAGGACCTGGTTCAAACCTTTTCCTACACATAAAATAACATCTAATGGGGTCAGGGTATTATGCTTCTGTAATCTATAACCAGATGTACTCTTGCACCCAAACCTTGATGTGGCTCACACCTGTGTAATCCCAGCACTTGGCTCATGGCAGCCTCACCTCCTGGGCTCCAGCGATTCTCCTGCCTCAGCCTCCTGAGTAGCTGGGATTACAGACATGCACCAACATGCTCAGGTAATTTTTGTATTTTTAATAGAGATGGGTTTTCACCACGTTTTCCAGGCTGGTCTTGATCTCCTGACCTCAGGTCATCTGCCTGCCTTGGCCTCCCAAAGTGCTGGGATTACAGACGTGAGCCACTGTGCTCAGCCTCTTTCTTTTTTAGAGACAGGGTTTTTGCTCTGTCACCCAGGCCAGAGTGTAATGGCACAATCATAGCTCACTGCAGCCTTGACCTCCTGGGCTCAAGCAATCCTCCTACCTCAGCCTCCCAGGTAGCTGGGACTACAGGCGTGCATTACCACACCCAGCAATTTTTTGTGTGTAGTGATGGGGTCTCAATGATGTTGCCTAGTCTGGTCTTGAACTCCTGGGCTCAAGAAATCTTTCTGCCTTGGCCTCCAAAACTGCTGGGATTATAGGCACGAACCACAGTGCCCAGCCAAGAAATATATTTATATGTTACATCTCACATATATTACATAAATGCATATTATATATTAATACATGTCCAAAAATAATATTTCCTTTCTTGGTGCCTTCTTTCCAAAGCATTCCTCATTAACAGGTTCTGATTCTTTCTTTCCAGGAAATGATTTGCATATATCTGCATATCTATGTGCTGTTGAAGATTTACACAAATTGGTTCCTGTAATATATGCCATTTTATATATCGCTTCCTCTTTTTTTTTTTTTTTTTTTTGAGATGGAGTCTTGCTCTGTCGCCCAGGCTGGAGTGCAATGGCGATTCTCCTGCCTCAGCCTCCCAAGTAGCTGGGATTACAGGCACCCACCACCATGGCCAGATTTTTTTTTTTTTTTTTTTGTATTTTTAGTAGAGACGGCATCTCACCATGTTGGCCAGGGGCTGGTCTTGAACTCCTAACCTCAGGTGATCCACCCACCTCGGCCTCCCGATTACAGGTGCCCAGCCTGTTTCCCTATAACATCTTTACTACCACGGGGTGATATCGAATTTTTGAAGCTTTGCCCAATCTGCTGGGTTGTTTGGATTTTGTGTTGCTCAGAGTACATTTGAGTAAGCTTGTAAAAATGTTTATCAGTCCTTTGGACCAGCTTCATATTTTCACCAATATAGCCAGGCCACCCTCCTGAAAGGCCACAGCGGCGTGCCTCTCTTTCCTGCTCTCCAGCTAATGTTTTCCCTTCCACTTGGCTCTCTACAGGCTTCTAGAATAATTTTTTCCACAAGAAAAGTTGGTGATATTCCAAACACTTGAGTGGCCTCCTCACTCACAACTCAGAGGATAAAAAAGCATAAACTTTTTTTTCCTGTCTTCTTATTTATTTTTCTCAGGGCATTCTCCCTTACAAGTTATTTTTTGTTTTGTTGCGTGTGTGTGTGTGCGTGTGTGTGTTTTTGAGACAGGGTCTCTCTCTGTTACCCAGGCTGAAGTACAGTCGCATGATCATGGCTCAACCTCCTGGGCTGAAGCTGTTCTCCCACCTCAGCCTCCTGAGTATCTGGGACTACAGGCACACAGAACTATGCCCAGCTGATTAAAAAAAAAAAATTTTTTTAAGGGCCGGGCGCAGTGGCTCACACCTGTAATCCCAGCACCTTGGGAGGCCGAGGTGGGCCCCCGTCTCTACTAAACCGTCTACTAAAAACACAAAAATTAGCACGGCGTGGTGGTGGTCATCTGTAATCCCAGCTACTCGGGAGGCTGAGGCAGGAGAATCACTAGAACCCGGAAGGCAGAGGTTGCAGTGAGCCGCGATTGCGCCGCTGCACTCCAGCCTGGGCGACAGAGTGAGACTCCATCTCAAAAAAAAAAAAAAAAGTTGTTTTTTAGAGATGGGGGGTCTCACTATGTGTTGCCCAGGCTGGTCGAATTCCAGGGCTGAAGTGATCCTTCTGCCTCAGTCTCCCAAAGTTCTGGGATTACAGGCGCGGGCCACCACACCCAGCTAATTTTTGTATTTTTAGTAAAGACGGGGTTTCGCCATATTGCCCAGGCTGGTCTCGAACTCCTGACTTCAAGAGATCTGCCCATCTTGGCCTCTCAAAGTGCTGGGATTACAGGCGTGAGCCACTGCGTCCGACATTGTCAAACGTTTTTTGTTCATTATCACCCTTCTTAGGAGAAAACCCGAATTATCCTAAAATTGAATTTACATCAACTAAATTAATTTCAATTTAATTACATTTAATATCTCCCTAAAGGCAGAAACTAAATACTTAGGGATAAATGCTGTCTGATAGAGCTGGCTTTGGAAGACCACAATATCTAAGATTTTTTTCCTCCCTGAGGACCAGTTTTTTCCCCTGGGGAGTCATCATGAATCACTTCGACTGAGGACGGTTGTGCTTAGAGCAAGGAGCTGAGCAATAAACAAGTAAATGCACAAAATTATACCGGAAAGCCAAGAATGCTACAAAGAAAAGAAGAGGGAGTGGCTGAGGGGAGGCCACTTGGCATCTGAATCATTGGGATCGGGAAAGAAGACAAGGAACAGTTTAAGCAAAAGGATTGTTTTCCCCGAACTTTGGTTTCTTTTTTCTTTCTTTTTCTTTTTTTCTTTTTTAGAGACAGGGGTCTCACTATGTTGCCCAGGCTTGTCTCAAACTCCTGGCCTCAAGCCATCCCCACGCCTTGGTCTCCCAAAGTGCGGGATTACAGGCAGGCGCCACTGCACCCAGTCTGAGCCTCAGTTTCTTCAGCTGTAAAATGGAAGTAATATCCTCCTCACCATGCTTCATATACAATAAGCACTCAATAAGTGAGCTTTATGATTATTATTATTTATTTTAATTTTACTTATTTTTCTGAGACGGAGTCTCACTCTGCAGCCCCAGGCTGGAGTGCAGTGGTGCGATCTCGGCTCACTGCAGCCTCCGCCTCCTGGGTTCAAGCGATTCTCCCGCCTCAGCCTCCCGAGTAGCTGGGATTACAGGTGCCCACCACCACGCCTGGCTAATTTTTTTTTTTTTTTTTTTTTTGAGACGGTGTCTCGCTCTGTCGCCAGGCTGGAGTGCAGTGGCGCGATCTCGGCTCACTGCAACCTCCGCCTCCCGGGTTCAAGCGATTCTCCTGCCTCAGCCTCCCGAGTAGCTGGAACTGCAGGCACGCACTACCACGCCCAGTTAATTTTTGTGTTTTTAGTAGTGACGGGGTTTCGCCACGTTGGCCAAGCTGGTCTCGAACTCCTTACCTCAGGTGATCCGCCCGCCTCGACCTCCCAAAGTGCGAGGATTACAGGCTTGAGCCACCTCGCCTGGCCTATTTTAATTTTAAAGGTTAATAGGACCAGCCCTGAAATCAGCCTCTGCCCCCGCTGGCCCTACTCTGGTACCAGCAGCGCCCAGTAGCATACACAGCCGCGTGCGCCTCCACCTCCGTCCGCAGGTGTCGCTGTGGGTGCCGCGGCTGGGCCCCTCTAGGCGGCGACGGCGGCACCGGAAGTCTCGTTTTCGCCCGCTTCCGCTCTCTGGCCGGGCTTGGGCTGCGTGGAGAATACTTTTTGCGATGCCTACTGGAGACTTTGAGTGAGTCGGCGATCGCGGAAAGGGGCACGGGAAGCGGTTGGGGTGCTCTGGGAAGTATTATGGGGCCTGGGTACGCCGAGGCTGCGGGAGCCGGGCCTGGCTGACTTAATCTTCGTTCCCCACACATTTGTTTCCGCAGTTCGAAGCCCAGTTGGGCCGACCAGGTGGAGGAGGAGGGGGAGGACGGTAAGTGTACACGGTCGCCCGGGGTATTCGCGGCCAGGCCCAAGCCGTGTGACTGCCGCCTGCTTCCATCTCCCAGTCTGGCACCGTGTACCCCGTCACGGTCTGCCCCTGCCCCGCGCCATCCTCCTTGGGACCCGCCTGTTGCCAACTCCAGGTGTTCCCCGGCGGGTCCCTCTTCCTCCCATGCCACTGCCTCCCAGCTGTTCCCCTCCAGGGAGGAAGTTGTAATCTCCCGTCTCCTGTTTCTCTACTGGCGCCTGGTTGGCTTCATGGCCTGGCACCCACCTTCCTACGAGGGATCTCCCATCCTTGCCACTCCGAGTCCCCACAGGGCCATCCCAGTGCGTTGCCTGGCCAGCCCTCTGCCCTTGGCCTGCCTTTCTCCGCTTTTGCTGTAGGCGTCATCCCAAAAGCCCTTCCATCGCAGCTGGGGAGCTCCTGCCCCTGGAGCTGACTCCTCCTTCCTACGCTGCCTTTTGCAGACAAATGTGTCACCAGCGAGCTCCTCAAGGGGATCCCTCTGGCCACAGGTGACACCAGCCCAGAGCCAGAGCTACTGCCGGGAGGTGAGTGAGGACTGCCGGGAGGTGAGTGAGGACTGCCACTCGGTGTCCGGGCTGCCTCTCCCTCCAGCCCTGCCGCTCCTGATCCCCATGACCCAGGGCTCAGTCTTTCTCTGTTTTTCCCCTTCTGCCAGCTCCACTGCCGCCTCCCAAGGAGGTCATCAACGGAAACATAAAGACAGTGACAGAGTACAAGATAGATGAGGATGGCAAGAAGTTCAAGGTGAGGGTGGGGGGTGCAGGGAGTGGGGACCCTTGTGCTTGGGGGCCCATAGACCGGAATGGGGTGGGGTGTGTTGAGGAGGTTGATAAAGGAGATCCCTTGGTCCCAGGAGCCTGACCCTTCTCCCCTCCCATCCTCAGATTGTCCGCACCTTCAGGATTGAGACCCGGAAGGCTTCAAAGGCTGTCGCAAGGAGGAAGGTGAGGCTCTTCTTCCCCAGGGCTAACCTAGAGGAATTGGAAAACCGTGCTCCCGGACTTTGTGTTTAGAGATGGGGCTTAACTCTTTTTTTTTTTTTTTTTTGAGACAGAGTGTTGCTCTGTCCCCCAGGCTGAAGTGCAGTGGCACGATCTCGACTCACTGCAACCTCCGCCTCCTGGGTTCAAGTGATTCTCCTGCCTCAGCCTCCCGAGTAGCTGGGGTTACAGGCATGTGCCACCACGCCAGCTAATTTTTGTACTTTTAGTAGAGACGGGGTTTTGCCATGTTGGCCAGGCTGGTCTCGAACTCCTGACCTCACATGATCTGCGCACCTAGGCCTCCCAAAGTGTTGGGATTACAGGTGTGAGCCATCGCACCCGGCCAGGCTTACCTCTTTGTACCTATTTTGTTGAAGCTGAACTGAGGCCTGGGGTGCTTGCACTGTCTTGGGGCCCTGAAAAGTCCAAGGCACAGCAGTCGATAAATAGCAACTAAATAAATGATGATAAATATCTAATCAAAGTTCGATGATAGATATCAAATTATATTAATAAATATCAAATAACATCGATTGTAAATATCGAATAAAAATTAGATTCTTTTAATTTTTTTAAAGACACAGTGTCCAGTTCTGTTGCCCAGGCTGGAGTACAGTGGCACGATCATAGCTTACTGCAGCCTTGAACTCCCAGGCTCAAGCCATCCTCCCACCCCACCCTCCTGAGTAGCTGAGATTACAGGTGTGCACTGCCACACCGGCTAATTTTAATTGTTTGTAGAGATGGGGTTTCACTATGTTGCCCAGGCTGGTCTCCAGCTCCTGGGCTTGAGAGATCTCCCACCTTCGCCTCTCAAAGTGCTGGGATTACAGGAGGGAGCCACTGCGCCCAGCCACGGTTAGATTCTTATTCCTCTTGGCCTGTCAACCTGCAGGAACGGAAGCAGGAGGTGGTCGCAGCAGTTTTTGGAAGAAGCGTTAGCAATAAGTATACTTAGAACAGCTTGCTGTGCACTTAATTGTAACATACCCCATGCCAAGCACCTTGCACGAAGTGTTTCTCATTCAGTCTCCTTAGGAGCCCAGGGAGGCAGGAAGCTTTTGTGGTTCCCGTTTTATAAGGGAGGAAGCTGAGGCTCAGGTTGTCTAGCTCAAGGGCCCGGAGGTCTAGGTGGACCCCTGCACATCCCTGAGTATTGCGCCCTGGTGGGAGCTGGTCCGCCAGACTGCGCAGGCCCCACGCTGTGTAGCTGTCACCTGGACCCGGAGGCTGACAGCTGCCCTGCCTCCTGGAGCTCAGGCCTGGCGTGTACTCAGGAAACAACTGTCGCCAGGACTGTTCAGGGAGTGCTTGAGGAGGATGAAGATGGGGTTTGAGGCCCAGACACTCTGGGGGTGGCTGTTGTAGGTCTAGGGCACCCCACTGTGGAACCCAGCCTGCCCCTGCCCTCAACTGTCCCCCATCCCTCCCTGAGCCCAGAACTGGAAGAAGTTCGGGAACTCAGAGTTTGACCCCCCCGGACCCAATGTGGCCACCACCACTGTCAGTGACGATGTCTCTATGACGTTCATCACCAGCAAAGAGGTAAGCGGGGCAATCAGGTGGGGCTGGCATCCTGGGGTGGGGCAAAGGGGGTGCCTTAGCCGCCTCTGAGCTCCCCCCAACCCGCCCCTGCCAGGACCTGAACTGCCAGGAGGAGGAGGACCCTATGAACAAACTCAAGGGCCAGAAGATCGTGTCCTGCCGCATCTGCAAGGGCGACCACTGGACCACCCGCTGCCCCTACAAGGATACGCTGGGGCCCATGCAGAAGGAGCTGGCCGAGCAGCTGGGCCTGTCTACTGGCGAGAAGGAGAAGCTGCCGGGAGGTGTGGGGGTGGGAGGGTCCTGCTGTCAGTGCACGGGTTCTGTCCCCACTGCTGCCTTCGTGCTGTCATCTCCCGCACGACAGTGCAGCGGGTTTGATGGTGCCAGACTCTCCTCGGGGCGTCTGTGCCTTCCTAATTGGCTGTACCTCCTATGGTTGGGAGACGGGCGTCTCCCATATATGTGCGACTTGGCAGCTGTGACTTTGCTGGTGGCCCTGTGACTGTCCTGATGAGCTGCTGTCTGTCGGCCCCAGGGTGCTGACCACCCCACATCGTGTGTGCGCACTGTGTGTATAGTGTCTCCGTTGCATGCCTGTGGCTGTACCGTCCGAATTCTTTGGTGGGATTTGCTGGTGGCGAGTGTGAGAGTGCAGACGTGCACTTGTCGCCTGCCACGCGAGGGGGACCTGGGCGCTGTTCCTGTTGTGTGTCCCATGTCTGCCGTTGCTGTGCATGTGAGGCTGCTGCCCCTGTTGTCCTCCCGCCCTCTCTGGGGTGGGGTCGGGGCTCCTCCTCCTCCTCCTCCACCAGTGTCGCTGGCTGGGAGCTCAAATGGTGTCAGCTTCTCAGGTGTCACCTTGGTGTCCTCGTGGCCAACTGGCTGCCTGTGGTTTGGCACACAGTGCCTGCGCTGGCTCAACACTGAAGCCCGAGCTTCCTGGGGCGGCTCTGTCCCCACGCCTGCGCCACAGTGAGGTTGAACTTGACTGTCTTTTGGTCCCCAGAGCTAGAGCCGGTGCAGGCCACGCAGAACAAGACAGGGAAGTATGTGCCGCCGAGCCTGCGCGACGGGGCCAGCCGCCGCGGGGAGTCCATGCAGCCCAACCGCAGAGGTGAGGGGCACCCCGACGCCAGGCTGGTGGGTGGGCACCTCCCGGCACCTCGTAATTATCCCCGAAGCGTGCACACGAGGGCTGGGCAGCACACGAGGGCTGGGCAGTGTCCTCCCCCTCACAGCCACCTCCCCTCTCCCACACAGCCGACGACAACGCCACCATCCGTGTCACCAACTTGTCAGAGGACACGCGTGAGACCGACCTGCAGGAGCTCTTCCGGCCTTTCGGCTCCATCTCCCGCATCTACCTGGCTAAGGACAAGACCACTGGCCAATCCAAGGTGGGCAGGCAGGCAGGCACGGTGGGGCTGTGTGAGGGTCACTTGTCCTAGGGTCGCCTGTCCTAGCTCGTGCCCGACCCCATCCCGCCCCTCCACAGGGCTTTGCCTTCATCAGCTTCCACCGCCGCGAGGATGCTGCGCGTGCCATTGCCGGGGTGTCCGGCTTTGGCTACGACCACCTCATCCTCAACGTCGAGTGGGCCAAGTAAGACTCCATCCCTGCCCCAGCCCCTGCTCCCTGCCTTGTCCCAGCACCTTCACGGAGTGTTGGGCCAACCAATAGCCCTGAGCCAATTTAACAGTCCCCCGGCTGGTTTTGAGGGGACAGTCCTTTATTGTTTTTTTCCAAAACCGGGCAGAGGGGTGGCAGCTCTTGTGCCTGGGGTCCCTGCCAGTCCGTGGACCAGGCCTGGAGACTGGCCATCTGGCTCCGTGCCCGCTTCGTCCTCACATTACCCCGTCCTCTGCCCACCCACCCCCAAGATGCCACTTGGGTGTCTGGGGTCTTGGGGTGCCCCCAGAAGTCTTATACCTGCCACCCTCCCCTACCCCAGGCCGTCCACCAACTAAGCCAGCTGCCACTGTGTACTCGGTCCGGGACCCTTGGCGACAGAAGACAGCCTCCGAGAGCGCGGGCTCCAAGGGCAATAAAGCAGCTCCACTCTCTCTACTTGGTTCTTTTTGTTCTTGCGTCTCCAGTCCTGTGGCGGGGGCCAGTGCCTCCCCTCCTCTGGGCGTGGTCTGGTCCCTGACCCTGCAGGGAGCCCTGTGGCCAGCGCTGTGGGTGGGAAAGGCGACTGCTCCTGCCTGGGCTGCAGCTGGGCCTGACCTGGCTGCAAGCACAGGTGTTGCTTTTTGGGGGAAGGGATGTGTCGGGGCTCGGGCCCTGCCCTCAGGGTTCTCCAGCAACACCTAGGGTGAGGAGGCAGCTTCCGCTAGGCCACATCATTGGCTCAGCTCACGGGACTGGGGCTCTGACGGTTTAGGGGCGGCTGTGGCATTGAGGGGCAGGGCTTGGCCAGTGCTCTTGGCGTCCTCTGGGTTCCAGCTGTCCCTGTAGCCGGGGCAGTGTCGGCAGCAGCAGCCCAGGCTGGGCACTGCGGCCATGTAGAGTAGAGGGTGGACACAGAAGGCCAGGGGCATGAGGCCCCGCATCACCTGGTAGCCCACGTAGGGCCCCAGCTCCAGGGCTGCTGTGGCCTGGGCTATGTCTGCAAAGCTCGGGCAGCGGGTGCTCCAGCGCCGCCGAGCATCCACGTTGAGCACCCGCATGATGTGGTAGGGCACATAGGAGCTGGCGTAGAGGGCCACACCACTGGCCACCAACGCTGCCACACGCAGCTTCTCGGCCACAGTCATGCCTGGGCTGCGTAGCACGGCCCGCCCGAGGGCGCCGTAGGCTGCCAGCGTGAGCAGCAGCGGCAGGCCGCAGCCCAACCCCGCCAGCACCAGGCTATACGCTCTGTAGGCCGCCAGCCCGTGGTCTGCTGTCCCCAGACACTTGATGCAGGCCTCGGGCCTGGCCACGCTGCAGTTGCCCGCCCCCTGCTGCGGCCTCTTCAGGTGGGAGAAGCTGAGTGTGGGCATGGCCAGCAGGGCGGCCAGGACCCAGCCGGCAGCGCTCACGGCCCAGGCGTGCTTGGGTCGCAGGTGGCTTCGGGCGAAGAAGGGGTGCACGATGCCCAGGTAGCGGTTGAGGCTGATGCAGGTGATGAAGATGACGCTGCCCAGCAGGTTGCAGGTGAAGAGGAAGCGCTCCAGGCGGCACGCGGCCTCCCCATAGCGCCAGTGCTTGGGGGGATAGAGGTAGGCGGCCAGCGGGGGCAGCGTCAGGGCGCAGAGCAGGTCGCTGACTGCCAGCTGGACAGAGAAGACCACGGCGGGGTGCCATGGGCGCTGCTTCCGGATGCTGAAGCGGTACAGGGCCAGGCCATTGCTGGCCACGGCCACCAGGAACTCAACCACCAGTATGGGCCACAGGAAGTCCCCCTGGAACCCACTGAGTTTGTCGTCGGCAGCTGCCAAGAAGTTGGCAGGGCAGGACTTGGCACCTGTGGGCAGAAGGTGTCACCAGCTGAGCCCTATTCCCCCATAAGGCGGCTCCTGCTACCCCAAGAGCCCACGTCTGCCATGGCGTGGATCCCTGGACACGAGTTCTTTCCCCTCCCTGGAGGGGGACCGGGCTCCACTCCTTTATGTGGACAGGATTGAGGCTCAGAGCCAGGGTTATGCATTGGGCCCCAATGGACCAGCTTAGGCGGGCCAGGCAGTCTTGGAGCTCAAGGTCCACTGGTAACACAGACAGCGGCCACCCTACTCCCCCACCACACCTGGCCCCACTAGAGGCCTCCTCCCCAAAGTCCAGCCCCAGCAAGGCCTGCCGGCTCCACTTCAGATCTGTGCCGTCCAAAGCCCCGTGGGGGTCCAGCCCCCACTCTGCCCTGACCTTGGCACCCGCCGCCGCCCAAAGCCTCTTCTCCCCGTGGCCACCAGAGAGCACCCGCGAGCGCTGGAGTCCTGCCCCATCCTTTTGCTTCCAGGTGCTCACACTTGGCCAGGGAGTTGCCGCCAAAAAGCCAGACTCACCCCACAAGGTCCCCCAAGAGCGCTCCCGCCCGCCATACCCCCCAGTGCCACCCTCTGTGCTCCGCGACTCACTCCCTCGCACCAGCCCACCCAGGCTTCCTGGCTGCTCTTGCAGACTTGTGCCTTGGTACCTTCGCACCCAGACTTTTTTTTTTGAGACAGAGTCTCACTCTCATCACCCAGGCTGGAGTGCAATGATGTGACTTCAGCTCACTGCAACCTCTGCCTCCCGGGTTCAAGTGATTCTCCTGCCTCAGCTTCCTGAGTATTTGGGACTACAGGCACCCACCACCACGCCTGGTTTAATTTTAAATTTTGCATTTTTAGTAGAGATGGGGTTTCCCCATGTTGGCCAAGAGGTCTCGAATTCCTGACCTCAGATCTGCCCGCCTCAGCCTCCCAAAGTGCTGAGATTACAAGTGTGAGCCACCGTGCCCAGCCACACCCAGACATTCTTGAGGCTCCTCTTCCCACGTCCGTGGTCCTGCCTGCGAGAGGCCCCAAGGCCACCCTAACCACTGTTGACAGCAGCCCTCGTGCCTCCACTCTCCCTTCCCTGCGTTATTTTCCCCCATACCCTGCGCCACCTGATGACGGTGAGAAAAATCTCCCTCCTTCGGGAGGATGGGGGGGCCTGCTTACCCATTACTGGTGCCAGTGCTCACCACAGTGCCCAGGGCACAGCAGCACAGGGGCACTCACTCCTTGTGCACCCCACCCCTGCCTCTGCAGGCTGGGGACAGGCTTCTCCGGAGGCGCCTCCCTGCTCCCAACGCCAGCCTGCTTAAGGAGGAAGTGTCGTCTAGACGTGGCTTTTTTTTGGAGACAGGATTTCACTGTCACCGAGGCTGAGGTGCAGTGGTGCAATCACAGCTCAGTGCAGTCTCGACCTCCTGGGGTCAAGTGATCCCCCTGCCTCAGCCTCCCGAGTAGCTGGAATCACAGGCTCGCATCACCACACCCAGCCTTGACCTAGGCTTTTTTTTTTTGAGATGGAGTTTCGCTCATTGCCCAAGCTGGAGTGCAATGGTGCAATCTCGGCTCATGGCAACCTCCGCCTCCCGGGTTTAAGTGATTCTCTTGTCTCAGCCTCCCGAGTAGCTGGGATTACAGGCATGTGCCACCAGGCCCAGCTAATTTTTTTATTTTTAGTAGAGACGGGGTTTCTCCTTGTTGGTCAGGGTGGTCTCGAACCCCTGACCTCGTGTTCCACCCCCCTCGACCTCCCAAAGTGCTGGGATTACAGGCGTGAGCCACCGTGCCCAGCCCCAGACCTAGGTGTTTTACCAATACCCACTACCCCCACCTCCTGACAATCTGCAGACCCCCAGAGACAGCCAACATGCCTTCTCCTTACCCGAGACGTTGGCTGCCATGCTCCCGTGCCGATCCTCAGCCTGTGTCTGCTACCCAGTTCCCCAGCCCCTCCCCCAGTCACCAGTGGCTTAGTGGGCCCTGCCCCAGCCCCATCCCCAGTTACTGGCCCAGCCAGCAGAGCAGGCCAGCGTGCCTTTCCACCCACGTTTCCTTCCTCATTGTGCCACAACCCTCCTGAGGTTCAAGCTCATCTGCTGAAAGTGTGACCTGTCTGCTTGCACGGCTCTTTGGTGGGACTGGGGGGAGGGGCCACTCATGGCTGCTGCTGCCACCAATGAAACCAACCCCGTGCAGGGTAGGGGAGAGACCCAGCTTCCAGGAAGAAACCAGGTGGGAGGGACTCTCGGGTGTGGCCGGCCCAGGACTCTCTGGGTTGCTTTGTATGGCTCCAGAATCCCCCATCCCAAACGCTGACGTGGACCCCTGGCCAATTCAGTTCTTTACTGGAGTGGAAGGGCTGGGGACACAACTCCTTTATGAAAGGAAACCGAGGGCCACATCTCGGGCCCCAATCTGGGGCGTTCAATCCAGCCGCTGCTCCGGTGCGGCTTGGGCTCAGGCCACTCTCTTCCCTGGGCGGCCCCGGCCCCGGCCTCGCCCACCATCCCGGGAAGCCCCTCTGGGCCCCCGCCTGGCCTGGGCTCCCTGGGACTTGTCCTTGGTCTTGGGAAACTTCTGGTCACAAAGGCGACCCCTGCCTCGATCCATTTCCCACCGCTTCCGCTTCCGCCCTGGAGACTTGGCAAGCCGTTTCTGCTTGGCCTCGGGGAACAGGTCTGTGGGGAGAGACAGTGTCAGGGCCCCCAGAGACAAGGACAGGCTCTGGGTGCCCTGCTGCAGACCCCACTCCATACCCTCACTGGGCGCCTCGCCCACCGCCTGGCAGAAATACTCGATGTCATCATCTTCCTGTTCATCATCGTCCTCACCCAACTCCAGGCTCGCCGTCCTTGAAGGGATCCCAGAGGCCTCTTCATCACTACCCCCGACCCGTGCCTTCTTCATGCCCTCCAGGCTCTTCTTTCTGGAGGAGGGCGTGGGGGTCAACATAGCCGCCCATCCCAGGGACCCCCCCTTGGCCCTGCCCTTCCCAGCTCTGCCTGGACCTGTGGGCCTCCCGCTGCTCCTGCTTGCGCTGCACATTCTGGGCCTGCTGGGCCTGCCTCTGCGCCTTCAGCCGCAGCTTCTTCTCCTTGGCTTCCAGGATGGCCTGCAGCTCCTCCTCCGTCTTGCTCACTGAGCCAAGAGACGCGGGTCACCAAGATCCGGGTGCAGCTCCACACCCATGACCCCCCACCCCCGGCGGCCCCGGCCTCACCAAAACTGTGGAACATCACTTTGCCCTCCCCGACGCCCTCCTGGACCTTGATGAGCTGCAGTGTCATCCGCGGGCCGATCTGAGGGGACGAGGAAGAAGCGTCAGCCCACCGTTGGGACTGGTGGAGCCCGGGGGTCCCCCTGCCCTGGGCCTCACCTCGGTGAGCCGCACTGCACTCTGCTGGGCCCGCATGTTGCCACGGCCAGCGACAGCCTGAGGCAGCTCTGTGATGTTGTGGTCGCCGTCAGGCTCTGCCTCGCTCTCCGACAGCCCCGCGCCCCTGTGTGTAGGACATAACAGGGCTCAGTGGGGGAGCTCAGGCTCCCGGTCCTGTTCTGGGGTCCCCGGGCCGCAGTGGCCTCCCGCCCTATGCCCTCCTCACGTGGCCAGCAGCTCGCTGATGTCCTGCAGGCGGCTCATGTTGGGGAACTTCTCCTGGAGCAGCTTCTTCATCCCGCGACTCGCGCCCACAGGAACAACTTTGATGCTACTGCAGGAACATGAGTGGACGGCAAGGGGGTGGTCAGGGGGCACGTGATGGGGCTGGCGGTGCCCATCTCACCCTTCCCACAGTGCGTCAGGGCGTTTACTTTGGACAGAGCAATCACAGCGTCTCAGCAGAAGTGCTGTCATCAGCCGCATGTGGAGGCCCCCACCCGGCACCCCCTCGTCTCCCATCCTGCTGGGACACTCACTAGTGGCGGAAGTCCAGCTCCTGGGAGTCGGGGTTGTAGTCGATGAGGAGGCAGCGCTTGATGGTGTTCAGGTTCACCTGGAAGGGGAGGAAGAGAGCATAGTCCAGTAGACTCATGGCAAAGTTTGGGGAAGTGGGGGCTTTGGGGGATACACACACTGTTCGTGGACTGTGGCACTGGCTAGAAATGCTGCTTCCAGCTCGCACCTGCAGTTTTAGCTACTCCAGAGGCTGAAGTGGTGGGACTGCCTGAGCCCAGGAGTTCAAAACCAGCCTGGGCAACACGGCGAGTCTCCATGTCTACAAAAAGTAGATGGAAAAATGAGTTGGATGTGGTGGTGCACGCCTGTAGTCTCAGCTACTCGGGAAGCGGAGGCTGCAGGATTGCTTGTGCCCAGGAGTTCAAGACCAACGTACGGAGACCCCGTCTCTTAAAAAAAAAGTAAAGAAGGCCGGGCACGGTGGCTCACGCCTGTAATCCCAGCACTTTGGGAGGCCGAGGCGGGCAGCTCACGAGGTCAGATCAAGACCACCCTGGCTAACACGGTGAAATCCTGTCTCTACTAAAAATACAAAAAATTAGCCGGGGTGTGGTGGCGGGCACCTGTAGTCCCAGCTACTCGGGAGGCTGAGGCAGGAGAATGGCGTGAACCTGGGAGGCGGAGCTTGCAATGAGATGAGATTGTGCCACCGCACTCCAGCCTGGGAGACAGAGCAAGACTCCGTCTCAAAAAAAAAAAAAAAAGGTAAACAAGAAATTCTGGTCCCAGAGCCGTATTAGCCTCCCTGATGACTGATATCTTATATATAATTTATAAGTCCCATCTGAGAGTCACTAGTGACAAGGATTAGGAGCTAGGACTCAGGAGCCAGATGAAATTAAAAATCCAGTCCTGCCCCCTGGAATCTAAACTTAGCATCTCTGCCAGCCTCAGATTTGCTTTTTTTTTTTTTTTTGAGACAGTGTCTCGCTTTGTCACCCAGGATGGAGTAGAGTGGCGTGAACACAACTCACTGCAGCCTTGACCTCCTGGGCTCAGGTGATCCTCCCACCTCAGCCTCCCCAGTAGCTGGTACTACAGGCATGCACCGCCACACCGGGCTTTTTAAAAATCTACTTTTTGTAGACATGGGGTCTCGCTATGTTGCACAGGCTGATCTCAAAGTCTTGGCTTCAAGCGATCCTCCCACCTCGCCCTCCCAAAGTACTGGGATTACAGGCCGAAGCCATAGCACTGGGCCCGCAGCTTCCCTCTGTAAAACAGGGCCCTAAGAAGAGATGCTACGATCCTGCTCAGCCCAGCACTCAACACACGTGGGAAACAGAGCTCCATCAGTATTTCTTTCCACCGGCTGGAAAAGGTGCAGCTCACGGGGTGTGGACCGCTGGGGGAATCTCTGGACACTTTTGCCCAGCATCATCAGACACAGGAGTGGGATTTGACCTCAGGACTCAGCAGACCCAGGAGCTCCCAGTCTCAGCGCTGGGAGGAGTGAGCAATCCATCTGAGGGCCTGTGGCACCTCTATCCGCTGCACCCCCCCATACCTGCCACCTCGCCAGGCCAGACCCACCTTGTGCACGTTGATGGAGGGGAACAGGTTCTGGAACATGGTGGCCATGAGCTTCACATGCATACCATGGGGGCCAAAGCTGTTGAGTACCAGGAGGGGTGGGTGGGCAAACTGCTGCTCGTGCATGCGGTGCCGGCGCAGTGAGGAGACCACATCACGCACCAGCGAGTACTGTAGGACAGGAGAGAGGAGGGGGTGACCACCAACCACACATGGCTGCGGACAACCCCAAGTCCAGCTCCCACCCCACATGGCTTTGTACCACCTCCACCCCTCTCACCTTCTTGACCTGGAAGGTCAAGGTGGGGCCTCCTGGGAGGCGCATCAGCTTCTGCAGGAGAAGAAAAGATCAGTGACTCTGGAGGGGTCTAGCAGAGGTGCCCGGAGTAGGCACCTTTGCCCCATCTCTTCTTCAGAGCGTTTACTTTGAAGCCAGAAATCACAGCAGCTCAGAGGCATATGTGTTCATCATGAGAGATAGGGGAAGGGGGGGTCTGGGGGAGATGAAGGGTGAGGGCGTCTACTCACAAAGTAGACATTGGTCTCTGTTTTGCTCAGGATCAGAAAGTGTGTGACCCCGAGGGGCCCAGCCACTGCCACGCAGTCCTTCAGCGAGTTCTTCTTACGAACCTGGAAATGACAAAAAGAAAAAAAGAAAACATAGCTTATCCCTTGTTGTGACAACTATAAGCTGACGGTGCAGATCCTGTTATGGTCTGTCTTGCATCTGACCCTTTCAACAAGCCCAGAGGAGCAAAAGGATCTTAGCCTTTAGAGTCAGTCGGACGCAGATTTGAGTTCTAACTCTGTCTCTTGCTCACAGCGCATCTTCCCATTGACAAATGAGCGAACTCAGGCCCAGAGAGGTTAAGTAACTTGCATCAGATACTGGGGAGAAGTCAGTTTCCAACCCTGCTTTGCTGCCTCCAGATTCTAGTCTTTTTTTTTCTAACACGGTCTCCTCCGGTCGCCCAGACTGGAGTGAAGTGGCACGATCCCGATTCACTACAGCCTTAATTTCCTGGGCTCAAGGAATCCTCCCACCTCAGCCTCCCGAGTAGCCGGGACTACAGGCACGCAACACCATATCCGACTAATTTTTCTATTTTTTGTAAAGACGGGGTTTCACCATGCTGCTCAGGCTGGTCTCGAATTCCTGGGCTCAAGTGATCCTCCCGCATCAGCATCCCCAAATGCTGGGAATACAGGCATGAGCCACCACGCCCGGCTCCAGATTCCAGTCTTAACTGTCAGGCTTAGGCGACTATCTATCTCCCAAGCTGCGCGCCCTCACTCCAGCCCAGCAAAAGCCCTGAAAGGCAGAAATGATGCTCCCCATGAGGGTCTTTTTTTCCAGCTGGGGAGACTTAAGTCCTCCCACAGTTTTACAGCGGGAGCCATTACTGCAGCTACGAAGACTAGGCCGAGGGTGGGTGGAGGCGGGCTGGGGGTGGGGTACAAACCTGCAGACGGCTGGCAGTGAGCGGCTCCATGACCCGCCGCACGTCCAGGCTGAGCTGCCGGATGTTGCGACCCGTGCAGCCTCGCGTGAACACGAACGAGTGCGGGTTCGCGGCATAGGCCTCGAGGTTGCGGAGCTGCGCCTGGGCGCGGGCGCGCTTCTGGTGCCGGGACTGCGGCGACGAGAGACAAAGGGTCAGCGCCGCGACCTCGGCCGGGACCCCACCTGCGCCACCTGCCTCCCAAGCTGCCGGGCCTTACCCTCCCTGACTGTCCCATGCTGCTGTGTCCTCCACGAGGCCTCCTGCGTCCGCCGCTTCCGGCGCTGCGCAGCTCACTTCCGGCGCCTGAGAGCCGGCACGGCGTGGGACGACATCAGGCGGGCCTGCGCACTAGGTGGCCTCTGGGAGCGGGGAGGGGCAATCAGATGGAGCGGTTGCTATGGAGACACGGGTGCCTGTTTCTAGGGAGACCGGGGCGGGGCTACGCGGCTCCGGGCTGCAGAGAAACGAATCCGCCGGTTCGAATCCCGCTTCGGCCCATTTCCTCCAGCTGGGCTAAAACCACTTTCTGCATTCCGAGGCTCCTAAAATATCCCAAAGTAAGGCTGATAATGTCCCCCGGGCCCACGAATTAGGAGCGACCATGTATGCACAATGTTGGGCGCTCTGGCGCCAAGTACTTGGGGAGAAGCCACCGGAGGGAATGACTGTGGCAATCATTCACTTTAGTCTCGCAACTCCTCTGGGCCAGCTGTCCTCCCCGGGTACCCCTGTCTGCAGACAGGCTGAGGGATGGAAACTCCACATCACCTTCTGGAAACTCAGGGCAAGGCGGGCGTTTCGTGAATAACTCGCCCCCTCCTTCTTTCCGCTCAAAGCCTCAGTCTTGGCCTCAGGCCTCTGGCTTCTTCCCCAAAACCTTGCAGTGGGGGAAAGGGACACCCCCTCACTGGGCTGAACATTACTCTCTCCTCCCCCATCGGCCTCCTCTCCCTCCTTGCTCTCTCTGGCACCCCAATTCTTCCTCCTCTCCCCCAGATGTGTCTCCCCTCCCCCTCGTCTTCCCCCTGTCTCTTTCTCCCTCTTGTAACTTTGTCTCTGTCATCAGTTGTCTCTTTCATCATTTATAACTGAAGATGGAAACTAAAGAAGTTTCCTTTCTCTGTGTCTGGCCCCATCCCTGTTTCTTTCTTCTCATCTGCCTCCCTGTGGTCTCTCCCCATCTTCCCATCTCTCTCTGTCTCTCCCCATCTCCCCGTCTCTCCCTTTCTCTGCCATCTCCCTATGTCTCTCCCATCTCCCTATGCCTCTCCCATCTCCATCTGTCTGACTCTCTGTATTCTTCAGCCCCTCTCTGTGACTTATGAAGTTCCCTCCCTCTCTACTGCCAATGGGGAAGCCAGAGGGGGCTGAGGGTGGGGGGCCGAGGGGCCCAGTGTGGGGGCCCCAACCCAGGCCCAGAGCCCAGCCTGGCAGCCTCTCTCAGATCTGGGACGACCATTTCCTTTTTCAACCCTGGAGTCCACTCGAGTTACTCGGGAGCTCAGGATGGTGCAGACCAGGGGAAGGAGGTGACTCTCCCGGCGTGTGGCTGGTCGTCGGTGGGGCCTTTGGACAGGTCTCAGACCCTGGGCCTGGGCTCTGTGGGGCTCTATGTGAGTTTCTTTGTACCCCTGGGAAATGACTGCATGGTTACTTCCCCCAGTTCCGTCCTCGTGTGATTTGACTTGTGTGAAAATGTGACCGAGTGTGTGGGAGACAGACGGTGACCTCTGTGGTGCGGTGGATAGGTTTCCGGGTGTCAACTGTGTGTACCTGTTTTGTATCTGTGCACTACTGTGTGATCACAAGAACCAGGATGTGGACAAGCCTGACACACAGATAAAGACCCACTCAGCCCACCCCATTTCCCTTTAAGTTGTGATGTGTGTGTGACCATATTTGGAACATACAGTTGTTGCCTGAAACTGTTATGTTTCCAGCTGTGTCTTTTTAAAAATTTTTTTTAATCAATGAGATATCCTTTATTTATGAAAGCATAGTTCCAATGCAGAAGTCAAGCTTTATGGTTATATATTAGGATAGGTTCAGATCCAATATGACAATGTTTAGCACTAACTTTAACATGTTAAAGCTCTGATTCCTGAATGTTTTTCTCACTTAATATATTCTCTCCAATGACAAGCTGGTGTGCTTGGCTTCTTATGCTGAAAAATATATGCCTGAATTCTATAACAAGCTATTAACAAAATCATGAATAGTTAATTAAATAAGTGCCAACACTACATGGAACTTACTGGCCACCAACTCAGAACCATAAAACTACACACACACACACACACACACACACACACCACACACACAAACAAAACAAAAAAAACACCAAAGAAAGATAGCTATCACTGTACATATGAATACTGTCCAGGATATCAGATCAATTATCAAATCCAAGGTCTCTGGTGTTTTGTCTCACAGTGTTGAATATATGAATGCTTCTCTATTATACTGACTTGTATTATTTTCAACAAATAATTATGTGGACTCAAAATCTTACATTTTTATTTCTTTTCTTTTTTTTTTTTTTTTTTTTGAGACAGAGTCTTACTCTGTCGCCCAGGCTGGAGTGCAGTGGCTCACTGCAACCTCCGCCCCCCGGGTTCAAGCGATTCTCCTGCCTCAGCCTCCTGAGTAGCTGGGATTACAGGCATGGGCCACCACACCCGGCAAATTTTTGTATTTTTAGTAGAGACGGGGTTTCACCATCTTGGCCAGGCTGGTCTCGAATTGCTGACCTCGTGATCTGCCCACCTTGGCCTCCCAAAGTGCTGGGATTACAGGCGTGAGCCACCGCGCCCAGCCTTACATTTTTATTTCTAATTATAAAATCCAGATTAATCCAAAAAACATAAATCACATGTAACTGAGGTAGGGTTTTCACTTTAAGAATATATTGTTTCTATCACAATTTAAAAATTTACAGCTGTGTCTTTTATATTTATTTTTTATTTTAATTAATTAATTCCTCACTTTATTATTATTTATTTATTATTTATTTATTTATTTATTTATTTATTTTTGAGATGGAATTTCAGTCTTGTCGCCCAGGCTGGAGTGCATGCGGTTGCTCGATCTCGGCTTACTGCAACCTCCACCTCCTGGCTTCAAGCAATTCTCCTGCCTCAGCCTCCCGCGTAGCTGGGATTACTGGCGCATGCCACCATGCCCAGCTAATTTTTGTATTGTTAGTAGAGACGGGGTTTTAGCATGTTGGCAAGGATGGTTTCGAACTCCTGACCTCAGGTAATCCACCTGCCCCGGCCTCCCAAAGTGCTGGCTTTCAGGCATGAGCCACTGCACCCAGACTTTCGCTGGGTGTTAATGTGTGCGTGCGTGCAAATGTGTGTGTGTGTGTTTGTGTCCACTCTGTTATGTGCCCATATGTGTGTGACAGCTGTGGTGTACATGTGTGAGTTTCTGAGTCAAGCTACCTTGGCTGGCTCCCATCCTGGTCTCTTTTTGGCTGTGTGACCGCAGGCAAGTTGCTTACCCTCTCTGAGCCTCAGTTTTCCCTGCTGTAAAATGAGGGTACATACAGAATCCAGCTCAGGTTGTAAGGATCAAATACGTAAAAGGTGTGGAGAGTTTAGAGCCAAGCCCTACACACGGTAAGTCCCCAGTGATGTTCCTCTTTCTATGTGTGGTGTGTGCGTGTCTGGGGCTGGGATCACGCCTGGCTGCCCCAGGGCCTGCAGCCTCCCACGCTCTGGGCTCTGCAGTGGAGGGTGTGGGGGAAAGGGAGGGATGTCCAGGACACTGACCTGTGTTATCAGGCTCTGGTGGCCTGGGCAGGGGGGTCTGGCAATTCTGTCTCATTTCTCATTCGGGAAATGCTAAATATTTATAGTTTGGGCTCCTGGGCCCAGCATCCCAGCTCCACTCCCAGGCTCTGGGGGCTGGGGAGTGGTTACCAAGCCTCCTCTCTCCTTCTGTCCCACTGCCCTCTCCCCGTCTCTAGCTCAGAGGCCCCACTGGACCCTCGGCTCTTCCTTGGACTTCTTGTGTGTTCTGTGAGCTTCGCTGGATTCAGGGTCTTGGGCATCAGAGGTGAGAGGGTGGGAAGGTAGGTGGAGGTTGATTCTCACTGTGGGGAAACTCCGACCACAGCTTGGCTTGGGGGCCCCCAGGCCACCCCGCCACCCCAGGCTGAGAGTGTAAAAGGCAGCGGGTGTTATACACACGTCCCAGTTCTGGGGGGTTGCTCAATCTCTGTTGTGGGGGGTGGGGCATGTCAGTGATCGGGGACAAAGAGAGGACCCTACCCCCGGATCCTTGTGAGCCCCTGCTTGGTGTCTGAGTCCAGAAGTAAATGTGGCCATCTCCAGCCCAGAACCCTCCATGGCTCCTGCCTGACTCAGAGTAAAACCCAAGTCCTCCTCCGGGCCCACAGGACCCTTCACACTTTGCCCTGACACTTCTTACCTCCTCCTGCTTCCCCCTTCTCTCTTCCGGCCTCATAGACATTTCTGCCATTTCTTTTTTTTTTTTTTTTTTTTTTTGAGACAGAGTCTCGCTCTGTCACCCAGGCTGGAGTGCAGTGGCGCGATCTCAGCTCACTGCAAGCTCCGCCTTCCGGGTTCACGCCATTCTCCTGCCTCAGTCTCTGGAGTGGCTGGGGCTACAGGCGCTCGCCACCATGCCCGGCTAATTTTTTTTTTTTTTTTTGTATTTTTAGTAGAGACGGAATTTCACTGTGTTAGCCAGGATGGTCTCGATCTCCTGACCCCGTGATCCACCTGCCTTGGCCTCCCAAGTGCTGGGATTACAGGCGTGAGCCACCGCACCTGGCCTTTTTTTTTTTTTTTTTTTTGAGCCTTGCTCTGTCGCCCAGGTTGGAGTGCAATGGCGCAATCTCTGCTCACTGCAACATCGGCCTCCTGAGTTCAAGTGACTCTCCCACCTCAGCCTCCTGAGTAGTAGCTGGGATTACAGGCATGCATTACCATGCCCAGCTAATTTTTGTATTTTTAGTAGAGACGGGGTTTCACCATGTTGGCCAGGCTGGTCTTGAACTCTCGACCTCAGGTGATCCTCCCGCCTCGGCCTCCCAAAGTGCTGGGATTACAGGCGTGAGCCACCGTGCCTGGCCCCTTTCTGCCATTTCTTGGGTGCAATCTCCGGGCCTTTGCACCTGCTGTTCTCTCTGCCTGGAATGCTCTTCCTCTTCTCTCTCTTCCATCAGGTCTTTGTGAAAGTGTCCCTTATTCTTTATTTTATTTTTATTTTTATATTTAGTAGAAATGGACTTTCACCATATTGGCCAGGCTGGTCTCAAACTCCTAGGCTCAAGCAATCCTCCTGCCTTGGCCTCCCAAAGTGCTGAAATTACAGGCATGAGGCACTGTTCCAGTCAAGTGTCACTTCTTCTGTGAGGCCTTTCCTGACTCCTCTATTTTATTTTTTTTTGAGACAGAGTCTCGCTCTATTGCCCAGGCTGGAGTGCAGTGGTGCAATCATGGCTCACTGCAACCTCTGCCTTCCGGGTTCAAGTGATTCTTGTGTCTCAGCCTCCTGAGTAGCTGAGACTACAGGCGCGTGCCACTACGCCTGGCTAATTTTTGTATTTTCAGTAGAGACAGGGTTTCGCCACGTTAGCCAAGCTGGTCTCAAACTCCTGGCCTCAAGTGATCCTCCCACCTCAGCCTCCCAAAGTGCTGGGATTACAGGCACCTCGGCCTCCCAAAGTGCTGGGATTACAGGCACCTCGGCCTCCCAAAGTGCTGGGATTACAGGCGTGAGTCAGCACACCCAGTCCTGACTCCTCTATTAAATGTCCCCCACCTCCGGGACTGTCACCCCCTTGCCTGTTCCATTTTTCTCCTAAGCACGATTACCCTCTGACCTACCTAGCGGCTGTTTGACTTATTTCTCTGTTCTCCCAACTTGAATGTCAGCTCTGCAAGGGCAGGAATTTTGTCTGTTTGGGTTAAGGCTGTGTCCTCATTGCCTAAAACAGCATCCCTGGCACACAATAGGCACTCAAGGTGTCTGTGGTTGAATGCATGAATGAGGCAATGTGTGTGTGAGATGGAGACCCTCGGGATATGTGCTTGTGCAGGCATCAGGAAGCATAGGTTTAGGGCCAGTGTGGTTGCTCACATCTGTAATTTCAGCACTTTGGGAGTCCAAGGTGGGAGGATCACTTGAGCCTGGGAGTTTGAGACTAGCCTGGGCAACACAGTGAGACCCCCTCCCTACAAAAAAGTAGCTGGGCATGGTGGTGCGCACCTGTAGTTCCAACCACTCAGGAGGCTGAGGCAGGAGGACCACTTGTGTGCAGGAATTGGAGGCTACAGTGAGCTATGATTGCTCCACTGCACTCCAGCCTGGGCAACAGAGCACGACTCTCTCTTTTTTTTCTTTTTTTTTGAGATGGAGTCTCACCCAGGTTGCCTAGGCTAGAAGGCAGTGGTGCGGTCTCAGCTCACTGCAACCTCTGCCAGGTTCAAGCCGTTCTTCTGCCTCAGCCTCCCGAGTAGCTGGGATTACAGGCATGCGCCACCACGCCCAGCTAATTTTTTGTACTTTTAGTAGAGACGGGATTTCACCTGTTGATCAGGCACCCTGTCTCTACTAAAAATACAAAAATTAGCTGGGTGTGGTGGCGCATGCCTGTAATCCCAGCTTCTTGGGAGGCTGAGGCACAAGAATCACTTGAACCCGGGAGGTGGAGGTTGCAGTGAGCTGAGATTGCAGAGCGAGACTCCGTCTAAAAAAAAAAAAAAGAGGGCGTGGGGGAGAGAGAGAGAGAGAGAGAGAGAAAGAGAGAAAGAGAGAGAGAGAGAGGGAGAGACAGAGAGAGAGAGAGCTTGTATATGGAGGTACAACCCTAAATCTGCTGTTCAAGGAGCGCTGCTGAGACTTGAATAAGGATAGGAAGGGAATGATGTTAAGTTGTGAACAATGTTCCAGGCTGCAAAAACAGCAGGTACAAAGGACCTGAGGCTGGAACTTGCTTCGTGTGAGGAAGGGCCTGGGAGGAGGGCAGAAGGGGATATGGCAGATAGCACAAGTTTTTTTTTTTTTTTTTTTTTTTTTGAGATGGAGTCTTGCTCTGTTGCCCAGGCTAGAGTGCAGTGGCACAGTCTCGGCTCACTGCAAGCTCTGCCTCCCGGGTTCAAGCCATTCTCCTGCCTCAGCCTCCCGAGTAGCTGGGACTACAGGCAGCCGCCACCACGCCTGGCTACTTTTTTTGTATTTTCAGTAGAGACGGGGTTTCACTGTGTTAGCCAGGATGGTCTCGATCTCCTGACCTCGTGATCCGCCCGCCTCCGCCTCCCAAAGTGCTGGGATTACAGGCGTGAGTCACCAAGATAGCGCAACTTTTTATGGATCATGGGTGGATTTGGGCTTTTCCTCTAAAGGAGGTGGGAGCCAAGAAGGATTCAGGGCAGAGGAGGGAGGGAGGGACGTGAACTGACTCAGATGTTCACAGGCGCCCTCTGGCTGCTGTCAGAGAGACTAGACCTGGGGTTGAGGATGGAAATCCAGAGAGCAGGGAGGCAGCTGCTGTCATCCAGATGGTGTCTTGAGCTGGGAATTCAGGGAGGGTCTGGGGGCAGTGGGGAGTAGCGGAGACGTGGAGGAATTCAGGATCTAAGCAGAAGAGCAGACGGGTCTGGCTGATGGATTAGATCTGCTGAGATGGGTTGGATCTGCTGGGGTTTTGGTCTGAGGACGTGGAAGATGGGGTTTCCAATATCCGACGGATGGGAAGGCAGTTAGTGAGACGTTTCCCTCACCCCACCTCACCTCCTTGCACCCTGCTCCCTTTGCTATTTTTTTTTTTTGAGACAGTGTTTTGCTTTTGTTGTCCAGGCTGGAGTGCGGTGGTGCGATCTCGGCTCACTGCAACCTCCACCTCCCAGGTTCAAGTGATTCTCCTGCCTCAGCCTCCCAAGTAGCTGAGATTTCAGGCCTGTACCACCACACCCGGCTAATTTTGCACTTTCAGTAGAGATGGGGTTTCACTATGTTGGTCATGCTAGTCTCGAATTCCTGACCTCAGGTGATCCACCCACCTTGGCCTCCCAAACTGCTGGGATTACAGACATGAGCCACAGCACCCAGCCTCCCTTCGCTTTTGCTTTAACCTCTCCCAGGTTGCTTTAATACATCAGGCAGGGTCCAGTCTCAGAGCTTTTGCACTTAGATCTGCTCCTCCACCAGGCCTTCCCTTTAGGCAACCCCCTCTCAAGCTGCCCCTGCACAGACCTGCGTATTCTTTACCTAGTTTGCTGTTTTTTGTTATTGTTTTGTTTTAAGAGACAGGGTTTGCTCTCGTCCCCAGGCTGGAGTGCAATGCTGCGATCATAGCTCACTGCAGCTTCAAACTCCTGGCCTCAATCGATCCTCCCGCCTCTGCCTCCCAAAGAGCTGGGATTACAGGTGTGAGCCACTGAGCCCAGATTTACAAAATAGTTTAAAAATTAGCAGGGCATGGTGGGTCACACCTGTAATCTCAGCATTTTGGGAGGCAGAGGTGGATCACTTGAGGCCAGGGGAGACCAGCCTAGGCAACATAGCAAGACCCTGACTATACAGAAAATTTAAACATTAGCCAGATGTGGTTCTGTGCACTTGCAGTTCCTTTTTTTTTTTTTTTTTTTGGTAGAGACAGGGTCTGGATACGTTGCCCAGTCTGGAGTCTGGTCTTGAATTCCTGGCCTCAAGCAGTCTTCCCGCCTTAACACAGGCCTGAGCCGCCTCACCAGTCCTACTGTTATTTTTATATTTATTATTTTATTTTATTTTATTTTTTTGAGATGGAGTCTCGCTCAGTCACCCAGGCTGGGCTGCAGTGGCACAATCTCGGCTCACCGCAAGCTCTGCCTCCCAGGTTCACGCCATTCTCCTGCCTCAGCCTCCCAAGTAGCTGGGACTACAAGTGCCCGCCACCACGCCCAGCTAACTTTTTGTATTTTTAGTAGAGATGGGGTTTCACCGTGTTAGCCAGGATGGTCTCGATCTCTTGACCTCGTGATCCACCTGCCTCAGCCTCCCAAAGTGCTGGGATTACAGGAGTGAGCCACCGCGCCTGGCCCTACTGTTATTTTTAGCATTTAACATTGTCTAATATGCTCTATTTATTCATCCTATACAGTACATATTTATTTTTTTGCCCACTAGGGGAGGGATTTTTGTCTGTTTTGTTCCTAAATGTATTCCCAGTGCCTAGAAAGGGGGCTGGCACACATTTGTGCCTAGTGACTGCTTTTTTTTTTTTTTCTTTTGAGACAGAGTCTTGCTCTGTCGCCCAGGCTTGAGTGCAGTGGCGTGATCGCAGCTCACTGCAGCCTGGAACTGCTGGGCTCAGGCGATCTTGGGATGACAAGCCCTTGCCACCATGCCCAGCTAATTTTTGTATTTTTTGTATAGACAGGGTCTCTCTGTGTTGTCTAGGCTGGTCTCCAACTCCTAGGCTCAAGTGATCAGCCCACCTCGGCCTCCCAAAGTGCTGGAATTACCGGCCTGAACGGCCCCATAAGCCTTGTTTTTATTTATTTATTTATTTTTGAGATGGGCTATCACTTTGTTGCCCGGGCTGGAGTGCAGGGGAGCGATCATGGCTCACTGAAGCCTTGAACTCCTGGGCTCAAGTGATCCTCCTGCCTCAGCCTCCCGAATAGCTGGGACCAGAGGTGTGCACCACCACGTCTGTCTAATTTTTTTTTTTTTTTTTTGTAGAGACAGGGGTCTCCCCATGTTGCCCAGGCTGGTCTCGAACTCCTGGTCTCAAGCGATCCTCTCGCCTCGGCCTCCCAAAGTGCTGAGCTTGCAGGCGTGAGCTACGGCGCCCGGCCTCGCTTGTCGAATGAATGAATGCTTGAGATGCGTTATCCGGCCTGGCGCCAAGAGCTCGGTGTTGAAGCCAGAGTGGGATCACCCTGGGGCCCTCCAGCCGTGGGGGGAATGAGATGGGGACTGAAATTATGGGCCCGGGACATCGCGGGTGTAGACGCGCGCATCCCCGCGTGGAAGCGGAGGGGTCTCGCTGGGCCCCAGCACCCCGTCTTCCTTCCGTTCCTCCTCTGCCTGCAGGTCCGCCGCGATGGGGAAGCCCTGGCTGCGTGCGCTACAGCTGCTGCTCCTGCTGGGCGCGTCGTGGGCGCGGGCGGGCGCCCCGCGCTGCACCTACACCTTCGTGCTGCCCCCGCAGAAGTTCACGGGCGCTGTGTGCTGGAGCGGCCCCGCATCCACGCGGGCGACGCCCGAGGCCGCCAACGCCAGCGAGCTGGCGGCGCTGCGCATGCGCGTCGGCCGCCACGAGGAGCTGTTACGCGAGCTGCAGAGGCTGGCGGCGGCCGACGGCGCCGTGGCCGGCGAGGTGCGCGCGCTGCGCAAGGAGAGCCGCGGCCTGAGCGCGCGCCTGGGCCAGTTGCGCGCGCAGCTGCAGCACGAGGCGGGGCCCGGGGCGGGCCCGGGGGCGGATCTGGGGGCGGAGCCTGCCGCGGCGCTGGCGCTGCTCGGGGAGCGCGTGCTCAACGCGTCCGCCGAGGCTCAGCGCGCAGCCGCCCGGTTCCACCAGCTGGACGTCAAGTTCCGCGAGCTGGCGCAGCTCGTCACCCAGCAGAGCAGTCTCATCGCCCGCCTGGAGCGCCTGTGCCCGGGAGGCGCGGGCGGGCAGCAGCAGGTAACCTCGCAGCCTCCCCGGAGAGCAGCATCGTCTGTGAAATGGGGGTTTTGCAACCCCACGATCTCTTATCCACAGTTCTGAAATCCGCAAAACCCTGAAAACCGGATTCCTACTCGCCCCTTCTGGTAACTTATTTGGGTCAAAAAGTGACTGGTGGCTATTTATAGCCTTCACTTAACCACTTAATGTGAATAGTCATAGGATCCTATAATTAAACATATCATTATCACGTAAAGACCAAAAACCCCTTTAGGAGTGTTATGTATATTCTATACACACATGCATATACATAACCCTCCCTGTGTCACTGTGTCTAAATCCAGCCGTGTTATTCTGAATTCTGGAACGTGTCCTGGTCTGGGTTTGGGATAAGAGAATGTTGCTCTGTGACAGTCCCTACGTTACAGGGTTGGTGAGAGGAGTCAGTAAGTTAGATACTGTTGGATGTGTTGTTATTATCCCTACTCTACAGAGGAGGCTGGGGCACAGATCAATTAAACCATGAGCACCAAGAGCCGGTATTTAAGCCCAGCTCTGTCTGCACTTTATTTTTTTAATTTTATTTTTGAGATGGAGTCTCGCTCTGTCTCCCAGGCTGGAGTGCAGTGGTGCAATCTTGGCTCACTGCAACCTCCACCTCCCAGGTTCAAGCGATCCTCCTACCTCAACCTTCCGAGTAGCTGGCATTACAGGCGTGAGCCAACACACTCAGTTAATTTTTTTTGTATTTTTAGTAGAGACGGAGGTTTCACCATGTTGGTCAGGCTGGTCTCGAACTCCTGACCTCAGGTGATCCGCCCGCCTCGGCCTCCCAAAGTGCTGGGATTACAGGCACGGGCCATAGCGCCCAGCCTGTCTGCACTTTAAAGCCAAGTTGTTTAGCTTTTGGGGAGGATCATTCCTAGGGCTGGGACACCCCCACTGCCAGATGTCCAGGTCATTTGGGAGCTGGGAGATTTATCCACCATTTCTGCCCCTGAGACCAGGCCTCCTGGCCTGAGGGTTAGTGCAATTACACCTGACTTTCTCCGTCACCCCAGGTCCTGCCGCCACCCCCACTGGTGCCTGTGGTTCCGGTCCGTCTTGTGGGTAGCACCAGTGACACCAGTAGGATGCTGGACCCAGCCCCAGAGCCCCAGAGAGACCAGACCCAGAGACAGCAGGAGCCCATGGCTTCTCCCATGCCTGCAGGTCACCCTGCGGTCCCCACCAAGCCTGTGGGTAAGTCGACATTAGGGCTGAGGAATTGTGGGTAGAGGAAAATTGAGGAGTCAGGATTTTAGTGGCAGATTTCTCTCATTGTGAGAAGACCAGAAGAAATGATACTCCTATTCTGATTAAAAATAAGACCAAACTTCTAAGGTGTGAAAATAGGAGAAACAAGAAATAGAAGAGGAGGGACTCTTACTTTAGTGAGGCGATGTTTGGGACTGCTACTTTGGTAAGAGTTTGAACTGGTTCAGAGTATCATATTCAGGACTTATATTATGGTGAGGAGACCATAAAAAACCAGGGTTTAAGAACCCCAGAGTTGGCCGGGCGCGATGGCTCATGCCTGTAATCCCAGCACTTTGGGAGGCCGAGGCGGGTGGATCACGAGGTCAGGAGATCAAGACCATCCTGGCTAACACGGTGAAACCCCATTTCTACTAAAAATACAAAAAATTAGCTGGGCGTGGTGGCGGGCGCCTGTAGTCCCAGCTGCTCGGGAGGCTGAGGCAGGAGAAAGGCGTGAACCTGGGAGGATGAGGTTGCAGTGAGCCGAGATCGCACCACTGCACTCCAGCCTGAGTGACAGAGCGAGACTCCATCTCAAAAAAAAAAAGAACCCCAGACTTGACATTTCCTTTGATTAGAGACAAGGGACCCAGATTCTTAGGTAAAGAAATGGCTATTGGAGCTCGGATTCTGGTGAGGAAATGGGAGAGGCAGGCCTCTTATTCTGGTGAGGAAATGGGAGAGGCAGGACTCTTTGGTAGAAAAGTGGGAGAGGCAGAACTCTTATTCTGGTGAGAGGACCTGTGAGAATCTTGACTCTTGCTCCAGTAAGGGATTGGTCAGCCCAGGCTGTGCCTCCCCCCTATCCCTGTGCCCACAGGCCCGTGGCAGGATTGTGCAGAGGCCCGCCAGGCAGGCCATGAACAGAGTGGAGTGTATGAACTGCGAGTGGGCCGTCACGTAGTGTCAGTATGGTGTGAGCAGCAACTGGAGGGTGGAGGCTGGACTGTGATCCAGCGGAGGCAAGATGGTTCAGTCAACTTCTTCACTACCTGGCAGCACTATAAGGTGGGCACAGGTGGGCAGAGGCAGGGAAGGGGAGGGAGCCTGTTCTGGCTTCCTGACTTTCCTGCCCTGCCAGGCGGGCTTTGGGCGGCCAGACGGAGAATACTGGCTGGGCCTTGAACCCGTGTATCAGCTGACCAGCCGTGGGGACCATGAGCTGCTGGTTCTCCTGGAGGACTGGGGGGGCCGTGGAGCACGTGCCCACTATGATGGCTTCTCCCTGGAACCCGAGAGCGACCACTACCGCCTGCGGCTTGGCCAGTACCATGGTGATGCTGGAGACTCTCTTTCCTGGCACAATGACAAGCCCTTCAGCACCGTGGATAGGGACCGAGACTCCTATTCTGGTAAGGAGAACTCCTATTCTGGTGAGAGGATAGGGGAGGCGGGACTCCTGTTCTGGTGAGGGAATGAAAGGAGGTAGGGTAGGTAAGACGCCCCTCTGGTAAGTATAAGGATAAGCAAGCTTTTATTCCGTCAAGAGAACAAAGGTCAGGACTTTTATCCTGGTGGGGGGATGGGGAGTCCAGATTCCTTCTCTGATGAGGCAAAAAAAGAATCAAGACTCCTGTTCAAGTAAAGGGCAGAGGGTGAGAGCTAGTACTCTTATTCTAGAAAGGAAGTAGATACTTTTCTTTGATAAAGGAATGAACGGTAGACTCCTAGTTTGCAGAAAAGGTGGGAAAGATGTGACTTGTACTTTGGTAAGGAGATAGGGAAGGAATTAAGGCTATTACTCTGAAGAAAGTTGGGGGGCCAGGGCTCCTATTTTTTTGCTGAGGAGATGGAAGATCAGGGCTTGTATTCAATAAGAATGGGAGGGGCCAGGGGATGCCTGGCAAAAGCCTTGCACTGTGAGGTGCAGGTAGAGGCTTTTATTCTGGTGAGAGGACATGGACTCTCTCTCTCCCCTCAGGTAACTGTGCCCTGTACCAGCGGGGAGGCTGGTGGTACCATGCCTGTGCCCACTCCAACCTCAACGGTGTGTGGCACCACGGCGGCCACTACCGAAGCCGCTACCAGGATGGTGTCTACTGGGCTGAGTTTCGTGGTGGGGCATATTCTCTCAGGAAGGCCGCCATGCTCATTCGGCCCCTGAAGCTGTGACTCTGTGTTCCTCTGTCCCCTAGGCCCTAGAGGACATTGGTCAGCAGGAGCCCAAGTTGTTCTGGCCACACCTTCTTTGTGGCTCAGTGCCAATGTGTCCCACAGAACTTCCCACTGTGGATCTGTGACCCTGGGCGCTGAAAATGGGACCCAGGAATCCCCCCCGTCAATATCTTGGCCTCAGATGGCTCCCCAAGGTCATTCATATCTCGGTTTGAGCTCATATCTTATAATAACACAAAGTAGCCACAGACCGTGTCTGGTTTGTATCTGCACCTGGCAGGGGTCACTCCCTGGGCCCGCCCTCCTCGTCCTCCACCTCCTCCTCTTCCTCCTCCTCCTCCTTCAGGTCCTCCAGGATGAGGTTGTCCAGGTCTTCCAGGAGGCCACCCTGGCTCAAGCAGGTGGCCACAGTGGAGCCACTGCTAATGTGAGGGTTGCTGGGGTGGAGCACTTTGGGCAGGTGGTTCTGCTTCCGGCTCTTGGGGTGAGCACAGGATGTCCCAGGCACGTGGGGCTCTAGGGAGGGAGAGGTGCTGCAGACATGGGGCTGGAGGTCCCATGAGAGTCTGGGGAGGAGGGGACTTAGGCCACGCGGGGCTCTAGGGAGGAGCTGAGACCACCAGATACGGGGACCAGCACAACTGGACATTCAGGGGTGTTGAAGATACAGGAGACCTGGGGACATGGGGGTCACCTGAGATTACAGGGGACAAAACAGGGGCCCCAAACCCAGAGACCATGGGGGCAGAGGCCATGGGGACCCTCAGGCACGGGCCACTGGGGTGAAACCTCAGAGCCTCCTGGGCAAGACCACGGAGACTGGGGGGTCATGGAGGCCATGTGGAAGCAGTGGCTGCTGCTGTGGGAGACAAAGTGGACTGAGTGGAGATTTGGGGACTTAAAGGCACAGAAGGGGACAAAGACTGTCCAGGCTGTTGGGGGAGAAGAGCCTCACCTCGCCGGTTGTAGCAGTCGGCAGCTGAGCAGGAGTGAGTGTGGGTGCTGCGGCGATCCGGGTCCCGGTCCCAGCGCGGGGGGAGGATCCGTGTTGGATACACGGGGAAGCCGCACCCGTAGCAGGGGGACGGGGACCCCATCTGTGCCCAGCCCCTGGGGGCGGGCAGGGCTGTGAGGGTCCGAGGGCGAGGCTGGGCCAGGGTGGGGCCAGGGCAGGGAGGGGCAGGGCTGGGGTAGGGCAGGGCTGAGGGGGAGCTGGGGGTCAGCGCCCTCACCGGAAGTTGTGCCGACACTTCGGGCAGTGGAACTCAGCCAGGCCCCACATCTTGTCAGCTGGCACTGGCTCGTAGCGCTTCCGGCATTTCCGGCACCGGGATACCTGGTGGTGGTGGGCAGGAAGGTACAGAGAGGGGACCAAGGATTGTCAGAGGTGTCTGAGGTTGGGGTCAGGGCTAGCAGTGTGCTGCAGCGGCTGGCCTCAGCTTGAGCAACCCAACTCAATCAGTGACTTCACGTGGGTAGCCTGATATTGACCATGGTGGGAATATTTACACCACAGAAATTGGCAAACACTACACATCTTGGCTTCCTGCCTCTTTTGCAAGAACTAGTTAAGCATTGACCAGAAGTGAACTACTAGTCAGGAGGTTCAGAAGCCAGATTTGGGGCTGTGTTTTTGAGGTCAGATTTGGTTTCTTTTCTTTCTTTCTTTTTTTTTTTAGAGACAGAGTCTTGCTCTGTCACCCAGGCTGGAATGCAGTGTTGTGATCATGGCTTACTGCAGCCTCGACCTCCCAGGCTCAAACGATCCTCCCACCTCAGCCTCCTGAGTAGTTGGGACCACAGGCACACACCACCACTCCCAGCTAATTAAAAAAATTTTTTTTTGCCAGGCACAGTGGCTCATGCCTGTAATCCCAGCACTTTGGGAGGCTGAGGTGGTAGATTGCTTGAGCCCAGGAGTTTGAGACCAGCTTGGGCAACATGGCAAAACCCCATCTCCACACACACACACAAAATACAAAAATTAGCCAAGTGTGGTGGCGCAGGCCTGTAGTCCCAGCTGCTTGGGAGGTTGAGGTGGGAGGATCACCTGAGGCCAGGAGGTGGAGGCTGCAGTGAGCTATGATCCCGCCACTGCACTCCAGCCTGGGTGACAGGGCGAGACCCCCTGTCTTCAAAACACATTTTTTTTTGGAGACAGGGTCTCACCCTGTCACCCAGGCTGGTCTCAAACTCCTAAATTCAAGCGATCCTCCCTACTTAGCCTCCCAAAACACTGAGATTGCAGCCATGAGCCACTGCGCCTGGCCAGGTTTGATTTCTGTAGTAGCTGTTCAATTGTGGGTCAAGGGTCAGGTTCTGGGGTAAGGAGGTATTGGGCTTCTCACATTTAAGGTCAGAAGTCCAGTCCTGGGTCAGGGGTTGGGATCAGAGATCAAGGCTGAGCTCTGAGTTTGGAGGTCAGGGATTGGACTCTCAGTGATTGAAATCCTTAGGTCAGAGGTACAGTCACTGAGGATAGGAGTCAGGAGTGGAGTTCGGGACAGTCAAAGTCGAGGTTAAGTTTTAGGTCATCACCTCCTTCCGCTGGGGCACGCGGCGCCACCAGACGTGGTCGCAGGAGGAGCAGGCAAACTGCCGGTCCACAGCAGGGATAAGGTCGTCCTGGGCACGTTGAAACATGCGTAGGTTGGCTTCTGTCAGTGGCAGGAGGGAGGTCGCCACTGCCTGTGGAATGGGGCAGGTGGGGATGAGGTGGGGGGGTGTCACCCCTTCTGCACCAACATAAGCATCAGCCCTCCTCTCCCTACAGACGAGTCCTCTTCCTGCCCCAGTGAATATCTCCCCTCCTGCCCTAATGGACATCCTTCTGTGCCTGCAGATGTCCCCCTCCCAACTCCCCCATCCCAAGCCCTAGCCACCAACTCACCTGAATGTCCCGGTCCTGCTTCATATCTTCTGGTGGATCCTGGGTGGAGATAGCAGGGGCAGAAACTGGGGATGGGGCTCAGGCCTCTTTCCACCCGTTTGCTGGGGGAGGCCCCCGGCCGCAATGAGTAGGGTGCCCCTAACTCGCCAGAAGCTCACAGAGCACCACTCACTTATTGAGAGCCAGGTGTGTGGCCTCAGTTGTCCTCATAGCAGCCCTGAGAGGTGGGCACACCTGTTACCTTATTGCTCAGATGGGGAAACTGAGGCTTAGGGGAGGGCTTGCCTGAGTGAGGCTAGCCTGACCCCCATACTCACTTCCTGCCTGCAAATGCCACATGCTTGTTGATGTTGTGACATATCGCCCCTTTGAGGCCACGTTGTGCTCGGCTAAGTGGGAGAGAGATGTGGGTTCAAATCCCAGCTGTATCACTTCCAGCTGTGGGGACTTGGGCAAGCCACTCCCTGCCCCCTGGGTTCCCACTGACAGGCATGTTAGAGCCCAGGCTCTGACTCCAGGTGGCCAGGGTTCAAATCGCAGCTGCCCCTGCTTGCTGGCAAGTGACTTCGGCCTCAGTTTCTTTGTCTGTGAAATGGGGATAAATAATAGGACCTGTCTCCTGGGGTCACTGCAGTGATGAAATAAATAAATTCCTGGAATCTTGCCATGTGGGAAGTACTCAATGAATGCTACTCTCTGCTAATATTATTATTATTATTATTATTATTATTATTATTATTATATTTTTGAGACGGAGTTTCGCTCTTGTCTCCCAGGCTAGAGTGCAATGGCACAATCTTGGCTGACTGCAACCTCTGCCTCCCAGGTTCAAGTGATTCTTCTGCCTTAGCCTGCCAAGTAGCTGGGATTACAAGCATGCACTGCCACGCCCAGCTAATTTTTTGTATTTTTAATAGAGAAGGGGTTTCACCGTGTTGGCCAGGCTAATCTCGAACTCCTGACCTCAAGTGATCTGCCCGCCTCAACCTCCCAAAGTGCTGGAATTACAGGCGTGAGCCACCACACCTGGCCCCTCTGCTATCATTTTTATCATACTTTTATATGTATAAATGTAGACTATGATACATGTTTTGTTATACTCTGGTTTTGTTTGTTTTTGTTTGTTTGAGACGGAGAATCGCTCTGTTGCCCAGGCTGGAGTGCAGTGGTGCGATCTCGGCTCACTGCAAGCTCCGCCTCCCGGGTTCACGCCATTCTCCTGCCTCAGCCTCCTGAGTAGCTGGGACTACAGGGGCCTGCCAGCACAACTGGCTAATTTTTTTTTTCGTATTTTTAGTATAGATGGGGTTTCACCATGTTAGCCAGGATGGTCTCGATCTCCTGACCTCATGATCCGCCCGCCTTGGCCTCCCAAAGTGCTGGGATTACAGGCGTGAGCCACCGCGCCCGGCATTTTTTTTTTTTTTTTTTTTTTGAGACAGAGTTTCGCTCTTGTTGCCCAGGCTGGAGTGCAATGGTGTGATCTCAGCTCACTGCAACCTCCGCCTCCTGGGTTCAAGTGATTCTCCTGCCTCAGCCTCCCGAGTAGCTGGGATTACAGGCATGCGCCACCATGCCCAGCTAATTTTGTATTTTTTAGTAGAGACGGGTTTCTCCATGTTGGTCAGGCTGGTCTCAAACTCCCGACCTCAGGTGATCCGCCCGCCTCGGCCTCCCAAAATGTTGGGATTGCAGGCGTGAGCCACCGCGCCTGGCCTATTATACTCTTTAACAGCCCTACACTAAGCCTTTCAGGCAGGCTAAATCCACAGCGTTCCCATCACCAAAGCTGTCAAAGAAGCAAAGTAGCCATGATGCACCTGTGCTTCAAAGCCATTCATTCATTCATTCATTCATTCATTCATTCATTCATTCAACACAAGGGTTCCATTCCCCTGCCTCTCTCTCCTCCCCAATCCTCTGCTCATCCTAGCCTTTCTAGAGACTGCCACTAACAACCCTTCCCCACCTCCCAGCCTTTGCTTATGCCATTCCCTCCCCCACCCCAAGACCCCTGCCTTTCTTTCCCTTTCCCCTCCCAGGGCTCACTCCTCCCCATCCTTTAAGACTTGGTACCTCCTCCTCCAGTAAGCCTTCTCTGACCTCTGCGCCCCCGCTATGATGGCAATAATCCTGGCTCCTTTCATTGCTTAGTTTCATGGCTCTCTCCCCCATTGAATACAATCAGCACATAATGAGCGCCTACTGTTTGCAGGCTCCCTGGCCGGACAAATGATGGAGAGGTGAAAAAGTGAGATTGGGTGATGAGTTATGGACCGACAATGCCTGGTCCCTCCTGTTTCAGAGGGGGGTCAGTCACCATGAACGGGTCGGGTCCCCCCTCTTGCTCTCCCTCCCGTGACCCGGTCCTTTGCGAGGGGAGGGGATAGGTTACCTGGGCATCCAGATCGTTACTTAGTTCTTGGCCATCTTTTTGCTTTACCCCTGCGGGGGAGAGTGCATATAAGGGAAGGGCCCTTGAAGGGTCTGTGGGAGTTCCAGGCCACCCAGAGCCGCGACGCAGAGCCTCCCCAAGGCTGGGACCTCCGGGGGAGGTGATCTCAACGCCTCTCCCTAGACCACGCCCCCTCGGCGCTCCCACGCGCGGTCCCCGCACCAGGCCCGGGACCCCTGCAGCCTCACCGTACACGATGGAGCGCCCCACTCCCGTGTGGTCGCTGCCGAATTTCCTCATCAGAGCCCCCGCCTTCTTGGAGGATACCTTCCCATGAAACTTCTCCCGGAGGCGCCGGACGCTCTTCTCCAGCTGGGATGGAGACAGGGGGGTTCCGGTGGGGGAAGGGGAAACGGGATCATCCCTCCCCCATCTCTAGGCACCGTTCTCCCGGCCCGAACTTGACCCTTGGTTTTGGCCTCCGCCGCCCCCCCCCCGCCTTTCATCCCTTTACGGCATTTCCTGGAAAAAGCCAAAGTCCCCACAGGGCGTTGGGGGAAGGCGCGGACTGGGGCGAGCGTCCCAGCCTAAGGTGTGGGGGGGCGGCCAGGTTATCTCTGGCCTCTGACCTTTGACCCTGCAGCCCCCGCTTTTCCTCGGGGAGGCCTCATTTCGCTCTGGGGAAACGTGGGAGTCACTTTCCTTTTCAAGGGGGGCGAGCGCCAGGCAGGGGTAAGGATCTGGGGTTCTAGGATGGGGGTCCCCAGGAACTGCGAAGCCCCCTCCGCGCCTCCCGGCCGCTCCTCGGGGTCTGTCGCGGCTGACCCCGGCCCAGCCGTAGCCATCGCTTACCTCCACACCTTCCTGAGACATGGTGGCGGCGGCGCAGTTCCCCGCGAGGGTCCGCACTGCGCGGCTCAGCCGCCCCCCTACCTGGGTGCGCCCGTCGGTCCAGCAGCCGCGCAGGGCAGGGGGCGGTGCCTCGGGGCCGGCTCCGCCCTTCCTCCCCGGCCCCTGTTTCGCTTTCGATTCAGGGGGGACCCGGCGCGCTGGCTCCGCCCTGGCTCCGCCTCTGCTCTTGCGCCCCAAACCCAGGCGGGCGCCCCGGGTCTGCACCCTGCGGCGGAGCGCGCAGACCTCGGACGGGGGAGGCGGCGCGGCCTCTGCAGTCGGTCACATGTCCCCACGCTGCGCGGGGTCCGCGTCTTCACGTCCCTCGTGGGGGCGGGGCCGCATCAGAAGGCCGCGGCGAGGCCCCGCGCCCCCCCACCCAGCGCGCGCTCCCCCAGTTCATCACCCTCCTCTCTGTTCTCCCTCCTTCCCCGGGAATCTGGCGCTCATGAGGACCTGGGCCCTTTTCCTGCCCTGAGTCTCTGTCCTAGCTACGGTCACCTCTCTCAACCTCAGTTTACCCCTCTGTGAAATGGGGAGAATCCTGGTGTCTACACCATGGAGTGGAGTATGTGCCAAGATTCCCGAGTGGATCGCGTAATAGCGCCTGGCTTGCAGTAGGCGTTCAACTAGTCACTGGGCCACCTGCTGTGTGCCCTTGATAGGGGCAGGCAGTGTGTGTGTGGTTGGGGGGAGCGGTGCTTGAGAAAAATACAGATTCTTGGTCTCTAGTAGCCCGGTAGAATCCGGCTGTCTCAGGGATCCAGGGAATCTGCAATGGTTAAGAACCCCGTGGGACGGACAATTCTAACCCAGTACAGGGCACATCAGGGAGCCCTTAGGTGGTGGGGCTCTGGCCCAGCCTGGGGACACAGAGATGGCAACTTCATTGGAGGAGGGGATGCTTTGTAGAGTCACTGAAATTGGAGGTCTTAGCTAGGGGAGGAATAGAGTGGGGAGATGAGGCAGCCGTGCAGAGCCCCCAAAGCAAGACTAAGTCTGGGGTTTTTGGGCAATGGCTTCTCAAGCCCAGCACTCTTGACACTTTGGGCGGCCTAGTTCTTTGTGTGGGGGACTGTCCTGTGTATTGGGGGACATTTAACACCATCCCTGGCCTCCACCCACTAGATGCCAGTGGTTCCCTACTCTCCCTGTTGTGACTACCAAAAACGTCTCCAGAGACTGCCGGATACTCTCTGAGGAGCAAAATAGCATTGTGTTCAACGACTCCAAATTTTTTTCTCCATTGCACACCCCTATAGGTAAAAGTGTTAAAGTTACACCCCCAGATGGATATTTATTCATTTATTTATTTTTTGAGACAAGATCTTGCTCTGTTGCCCAGGCTGGAGTGCAGTGGTTTGATGGTGGCTCACTGCAGCCTCTAACTCCTGGGCTCAAACGATCCTCCTGCCTCAGCCTGCTAAGTAGCTGGGACTACTGGCATATGCCACTATGCCTGGTTAATTTTCTATTTTTTTTGTAGAGACGGGGTCTCACTATGTTGCCCAGGCTGGTCTCAAACTCCTGGCCTCAAAGATGGATATTATTTATAAATTATATACAAATACAATTATATCAATATATTCTGTTAACTGTTATATAAAATATTGATAGATAAATGGAGCTGGGCATGATGGTTCACACCTGTAATGCTAGCACTTTGGGAGGTCAAGGTGGGAGAATCACTGGAGGTCAGGAGTTCAAAACCAGCCTGGGCAACATAGCAAGACCTTGTCTTTAAAAAAAGAAAAAAGAAAAGGAAAAAGTTATTTTTAAAAGACTAAAAAACAAACAATAAAACCCCCCAAATCTAGATATTCTAAAGTTTTTCCAGTTGAACCCCAAAGCTTTGTTTATAGGGTGTATGTACTCCACTCTGGAGACTACTGTATTTGCAAACTACAAGCAGTTCATGATTCCTTGTGGCTGAATGGTGGAATCCTAGGCAGGATGGGGGCTGGAAACTGCACAGAAGACCTGGGATTTTATCCTGAGGGAAGTGGCGAGGTTTGGAGTGGATCGCCTGTCATAGTTGCCAGTTACTAATCTATTTGCCCAGTGCAGAGGGAGGTCATAGCTATGTCCCATTCACTGGCCGAGATGGGCACTGAGTGGGCAGGAAACAGGTAAGAGTCTGAGCTAGCCCTGACATAAATCAGATCTGGTAGGTTTTTTGTTTTTTGATTTTTTTTTTTAGCGCAGAATATGCAGACCAAAGGTCTGTTAGGTTATAATCACCGTGGCAACCACATAGAGCGTGTACTCTGTTCCCAATGCTGTTCCAGGCACTGTGGACATGACAGCAAACAAAACAAAGATCCCTGCCCTCGTAGAGCTAGCATTTTTTTAAATTTGTTTTAAGAGACGGGGTCTCACTCTGTCACCCAGGCTGGCGTGCAGTGGCACAATCATAGCTCCGCTGCAGCCTCAACCTCCTGAGCTCAAGCAATCCTCCGGCCTTGGCCTTCTGAGTAGCTGGGACTGCAGGTATGTGCCACCACATCCGGCTAATTTGTTTGTTATTTTGTTGTTGTTTTGTTTGGGTTTTGTTTTTGTTTTGAGACAGAGTCTTGCTCTGTCACCCAGGTTGCAGTGCAGTGGCACGATCTCGGCTCGCTGCAACCTCTGCCTCCCGGGTTCAGGCAATTCTCCTGCCTCAGCCTCCCGAGTAGTTGGGACTACATGCATGTGCCACCACTCCCGGCTAATTTTTATACTTTTTTGTAGAGCTGGGGGCGGGGGGGTCTCACTATGTTGCCCAGGCTGGTCTTGAACCCCTGGGCTTAAGTGATCCTGTTGCCTTGGCCTCCCAAAATGCTGGGATTTCAGGTGTGAGTCACTGCACCTGGTCCATCCTTATGATTTCATGTGGTCTTTGTAGCTTAGGACTTGAGAAATGGCTTTGCTGCTGGGCTGTTCTGGCTCAGGGCCTCTCAGAAGGTTGCAGTTAAGGAGTTGGTCAGGGCTTCAGTCATCTGAAGGTTTGACGGGGGCTGGCGAATCTGCTTCCAAGGTGGCTCACTCTCAGGGCATGCAGATGGGTGCTATGATTGGCGGGATGCCTCGATTCCTCCCAGTATACTTGAGTGGCATGAGTGTACTCCCAGCATGGGAGCTGGCCTCCCGAGCACCTTCCAAGAGCTGAGAGCCAGGTGGAAGTTGTATCTTTTTATGATCTAGCCTGAAAGTCCCACATCACTTCAGCCACATTATGTACATTAAAAGCTCATTGACTGGGCACAGTGGCTCATGCCTGTAATCTCGGCACTTGGGAAGCCAAGGCAGGAGGATCACTTGAGGCCAGGATTTCGAGGCCATGCTGGGCAACATAGTGAGACCCCATCAGCCAGGCGCGGTGGCTCACTCTTGTAACCCCAGCACTTTACGAGACCAAAGTAGGTGGATCACCTGAGGTCAGGAATTCGAGACCAGCCTGGCTAACATGGAAACCTCATCTCTACTAAAAATACAAAAATTAGCTGGGCGTGGTGGCGGGTACCTGTAATCCCAGCTATTTGGGAGGCTGAGGCAGGAAAATCACTTGAACCCAGGAGGCAGAGGTTGCAGTGAGCCAAGATTATGCCACTGCACTCCAGCCTGGGTGACAGAGCAAGACTCTGTCTCAAAACCAAAACGAAACAAAACAAAACAAAACAAAAAAAGCAGCAAATCTTGACCTGGAACTGGACCCTTGGAGGCTTAAGCTGGGCGACTGTGTTCAATTATGGAGGAAGGCCGGGTGCAGTGGCTCACACCTGTAATCCCAGCACTTTGGGAGGCCCAGGAGGGCAGATCACTTGAGGCCAAGAGTTCGAAACCAGCCTGGCCAACATGGCAAAATCCTGTCTACTAAAAATACAAAAAATAGCCAGGCATGGTGGTGTGTGCCTGTAGTCCCAGCTACTCGGGAGGCTGAGGTGGGGGAATCACTTGAACCCGGGAGGCAGAGGTTGCCGTGAGCCGAGATCGCACAACTACACTCCAGCCTGGGCAATAGAGTGAGACTCCATCTCAAAAAAAAAAAAAAATTGCTGGGCACGGTGGCTCACGCCTGTAATCCCAGCACCTTGGGAGGCTGAGAGCCCAAGGTGGGGATCACCTGAGGTCGGGAGTTCCAGACCAGCCTGACCAACATGGAGAAACCCTGTCTCTACTAAAAATACAAAATTAGCCAGGCATGGTGGCGCATGCCTGTAATCCTAGCTACTCGGGAGGCTGAGGCAGGAGAATTGCTTGAACCCAGGAGGCGGAGGTTGCGGTGAGCCGAGATCGTGCCATTGTACTCCAGCCTGGGCAACAAGAGCAAAACTCCATCTCAAAAAAAAAAAAAAAAAGAAAAGAAAAAAAATATTGTGGAGGAGATGGAGACCATTGGAGCATGTGCATGCTTTTCACAATCTAGTCAATTTCCCACTCCAGTTGAGTCAAATGAAAAATTGATCGGGAATGCTCAGAGCTGGAGAAGCTGTAGGGAAATGAGAAATCTCCCAAATCATTAGAGACAGCATCCGTTGGTGAAACCTTTTGGGAAGGACACCATGGAAAAATCTACTACTAAACTATTAAGCATGCTGGATTAATCATGTCTCTCATTTTCTGTTGCTGTCTTCTTCTTCTCTTTGTCCTTCTCCTTCCTCCTCCTCCTTCCTCCTCCTCCCTCCTCCTCCTTCTCTTCCTCCTCCTCCTCCTCTTATTCTTCTTCCTTTTTTTTGTTTTTGAGATGGAGTCTCGCTCTGTCGCCCAGGCTGGAGTGCAGTGGTGCGATCTCGGCTCACTGCAAGATCCGCCTCCCGGGTTCATGCCATTCTCCTGCCTCAGCCTCCCAAGTAGCTGGAACTACAGGCGCCCACCACCACGCCCAGTTAATTTTTTGTATTTTTAGTAGAGACGGGGTTTCACCGTGTTAACCAGGATGGTCTTGATCTCCTGACCTCATGATCTGCCTGCCTCAGCCTCCCAAAGTGCTGGGATTACAAGCGTGAGCTACTGCGCCTGGCCTTTTTTTTTTTTTTTTTTTTTTTGAGACAGAGTCTTGCTCTGCCACCCAGACTGGAGTGCCGTGTCATCATCATAGCTCACTGCAGCCTTGAATTCCTGGGCTCGAGCGATCCTCCTGCCTCAGCCTCCCAAGTAGCTGTGACGATAGGTGTGCACCATCATGTCAGCTAATTTTATTATTTGTGTAGAGACGGGGTCTCACTATGTTGCCTGGGCTGATCTTGACCTCCTGGGCTCAAGTGATCCTCCCTCCTCGGCCCCCCAAAGCCCTGAGATTACAGGCATGAGCCACTGCACCTGGTTTGAATTTTTCTTGCAACAAGCATCTAATCTATCATTTTGTAGTGAGAAAAAAAAATACCCAATAAGATAAATCCAATTAATTTTCTTTTCTTTTTTCTTTTTTTCTTTTTTTAAGACAGTGTCTTGCTCTGTCGCCCAGGCTGGAGTGCAATGGCGTGCTCTCTGCTCACTGCAACCTCGACCTCCCGGGTTCAAGCGATTCTCCTGGCTTAGCCCCTTGTGAAGCTGGGATTACAGGCACGTGCTGCCACGCCCAGCTAATATTTTGTATCTTTAGTAGAGACAGAGTTTCACCATGTTGGCCAGGTTGGTCTCGAACTCCTGACCTCGTGATCTGCCCACCTCAGCCTCCCAAAGTGCCGGGATTACAGGTATGAGCCATCACGCCCAGCCAATCCAATTAATTTTTAAAAATAACATGTATGAAACCCTGGACACTATCTTTGACAATGATGCCTAACAGGTGAGAAGTAATTTGGGATTTTATAATTTGAGTAGTTCTCAGTAAATGGAACATCCTTTGTAGCACAGAAATCTGTTGTTCGACTTTTGTGAAATCAGTTTCATACATTTTTCCAGGAATACATTATGTGCAAAAGTTGAGGAACCTGTTTAATGGGGCTCTGCTCAAATGAATTTGGTGAGTGGTGAGTGGAGAAATTATAATGGCTAAAATAAATTCCCTGAGTGTATCTGGAGCTCACTGAGTGTCAGGCTGTCTGCAGGTTATGCCCTAGGCCTTAGGATCTTCTGGCTTAGGCATGATTGGCCCTTACAGATGAAGAAACTGAGCCTCCAAGAGATTAAGCAAATCACATGGATACCCAGTTTATAAGTGGTATAGCCAGGATTTGAACTCAGGCCAACTGACTGCAAACTCCTTCAAGCTGGAATTTAGGTTAAGAATTGTAGAGATGAAGGGGGCATGCTTTGGAACCAGACAGTCCTTAACCAACCTTCCTTCCTTCTCTCCTTCCTTCTTTCCTTCCTTCTCCCCTTCCTTCCTTCCTTCCTTCCTTCCTTCCTTCCTTCCTTCCTCCCTCCTTCCCTCCCTCCCTCCCTTCCTCCCTCCCTCCATTCCTTCTTTCCTTCTTTTCTTTCTTTCTTTCTTTTTTTTTTTGAGACAGAGTCTTGCTCTGTCACCCAGGCTGCAGTGCAGTGGTGCAATCTTGGCTCACTGCAACCCCCACCCCATTGGTTCAAGCAATTCCCTGCCCCAGCCTCCTGAGTAGCTGGGATTATAGGCACCCGCCACCATGCCTGGCTAGTTTTTTATATTTTTAATAGAGATAGGGTTTCACCATGTTGGCCAGACTGGTCTCAAACTCCTGACTTCAGGTAATCCTCCCACCTTGGCCTCCCAAAGTGCTGGGATTACAGACGTGAGCCACTGAGCGCAGCCTCTTTTCTTTCCGGTGTTTTTTTTTGTTTTTTTCTTTTTTTTTGACACAGAGTCTTGCTCTGTCGCCTAGGCTGGAGCACAATGGCGTGATCTCACATCACTGCTACTTCCGCCTCCTGGATTCAAGGGATTCTCGTACCTCAGCCTCCCAAGTAGTAGCTGGGATTACAGGCGTGTGCCTCCATGCCCAGCTAATTTTATATCTTTAGTAGAGACAGGGTTTTGCCATGTTGTCCAGGCTGATCTTGAACTCCTGGCCTCAAGGGATCTGCCTGCCTTGGCCTCCCAAAGTGCTGGGATTATAGGCATGAGCCATCACGTCTAGCTGCTTTCTTCTTTTTTTGGGGGTGGGGACTTGCCACATCACCCAGGCTGGAGTGCAGTTCAGCCTTGACCTCCTGGACTCAAGTGATCCTCCCACGTCAGCCTCCCAAAGTGCTGGGACTACAGGTGTGAGCCACCACGCCCACCACTTTGGTTTATCTTGCTTTTCCGAGGGCGTGGCCTGTGGGAAACAGTTCCTCACTCCACTCCAGGGACTGCTGCCACATCTCAGCTCCTGACAGCAGAAACATCCATCATTAATCATTGATCCTACATTCTGGAGGAGAACCAAGGCCAGAAGGCCCCGAGGGAAAGTACTGAGAAAAAGCCAGTCGGGGCCAGGTGTGATGGCTCACGCCTGTAATCCCAGCACTTTGGGAGGCTGAGGCAGGCGGATCACGAGGTCAGGAGTGTTTGAGACCAGCCTGGCCAATATGGCAAAACCCCGTTTCTACTAAAAATATAAAAATTAGCTGGGTGTGGTGGTGCAGGCCTTTAGTCCCAGCTACTCAGGAGGCTGAGGCAGAAGAATCGCTTGAACCCGGGAGGCGGAGGTTGCAGTGAGCCAAGATCAAGCCACTGTACTCCAGCCTGGGCGACAGAGCGAGACTCCATCTCAAAAAAAAAAAAAAAAAAAAAGCCAGTCGGTGCAGACACCAGACCTGTAATTCTGGGATGTGGGATGGACAGACAATGTCCTCTTTCTACTTTACATTTTGGAATTTTAAATTTGCCGATAGCATTCTCTCCCCTCTAAGCATGATACTCTGCCCTTTTTTCCTTTTCTGATTGCAAAAGCAAAGCGTGTTGGACTCCTCCTCCAAAAAGTTACACATTAAGAAGTGTTTGATCCAGAAGGAGGAAGTCCCGGTGTACACACAGTAAGAAACATTACATATTTTTGTCCTTGGCTACTCAAGTGTTTTCCATGTTGAATAGGGGATGCAGGATGTGCACGTTCTGGTTCTGCGGGGAGGAGCGTACGATAAAGGCTTGCGATGGAGTTTCCCACTTTCTTTTCTTCTCTTTCTTTTCTTCCTTTCCTTTCCTTTCCTCCCCTCCCCTCCCCTCCTCTCCCCTCCCCTCTCCTCTCATTTCCTTTCTCACAGAGTCTGGCTTTATTGTCCAGGCTGGAGTGTAGTGGTACAATCTTGGCTCACTGCAACCTCCGCCTCCCAGGTTCAAGGAATTCTCCCATCTCAGCCTCCTGAGTAGCTAGGATTACAGGCGCCCGTCACCATGCCTGGCTAATTATTTTGTATTTTTAGTAGAGTCAGTGTTTCGCCATGTTGGTCAGGCTGGTCTCGAACTCCCGACCTCAGATGATCCACCTGCCTTGGCTTCCCAAAGTGCTGGGATTAGAGGCATGAGCCATCGCGCCCAGTCCCCATTTTCTTTTCTACATGTCTGCCTTTGGGGGAATCTTTTTGTTTTCATGTATCCTAAAAAGATAATAAGGACAGGCCAGGTGTGGCGGCTTCTACCTGTAGTCCCAGCTCCTTGGGGGGCCAAGGCAGGAGGATCACTTGAGTGCAGGAGTTCAGGCTGCAGTGAGCCATGATCATGCCACTGCGCTCCAGCCTAGGTGACAGAGTGAGACCCTGTCTGTGAAAATGAATAAAAACTAAAATTAAAAAAGTAATCAGTATAGCTGGGCGTAGTGGCTCATGCTTGTAATCTCAGCACTTTGGGAGGCTGAGGAGTGGGGAATCACTTGAGTCCAGGAATTCAAGACCAGCAGCTTGGGCAACATAGCAAGAATCCATCTAAAAAAAAAAAAAAAAAGGAAGAAAGAAAGAAAAAGGAGAAACAGTGGAGAAATTTGAAGACTCAATGGGCCAGGCACGGTGGCTCACGCCTGTAATCCCAACACTTTGGGAGGCCGAGGCAGGCAGGGATCACGAGGTCAGGAGATCGAGACCATCCTGGCTAACATGGTGAAACCCCATCTCTACTAAAAATACAAAAAAATTAGTCGGGTGTGGTGGCACGCTTCTGTAGTCCCAGCTACTCTGGAGGCTGAGACAGGAGAATTGCTTGAACCTGGGAGGCAGAGGTTGCAGTGAGCTGAGATCGTGCCACTGCACTCCAGGCTGGGTGACAGAGAGAGACTCCATCTCAAAATAATAATAATAATAAATAAATAGACAAAGACTCAAGGAAACCAAAAGTTGGTTCTTCAAAAAGATAAAGAAAATTGACAAACCTTTAGCAATACTGACAAAGGAAAAAAAGGTGCAAATAACTAAAATTAGAAATGAAAATAGAGGCATTACTACTGACCTTACAGAAATTTAAAGGATTATAAGAGAATGCTATGAACAATTATTCACCAACAAATCAGATAATCTATCTGGATGAACAAATTTCTAGAAATACATAAAACTAACTCAAGAAGAAATAGAAAATCTCAACAGATCTGTAATAAGAACTAGAATTAGTAATCAAAAACCTCCAAACAAGAAAAGGTCATGACTGAATGATTTCAGTGATGAAGTCTACCAATAAGTTAAGTACACATTCTTTTCAAATGCTTCCAACAAATAGAAGAGGAAGGAACATTCCTTCCTTCCTTCCCTCCCTCCTTCCTTCCTTCCCTCCCTGCCTCCTTCCCTCCCTCCTTCTTTCCTTCCTTCCTTCCTTCCTTCCTCTCCTCCTCCTCCTTCTTCTCTTCTCTTCTCTTCTCTTTTCTCTTCTCTCTCCTTCTCCTTCTTCTTCTCCTTCTTCTTCTTCTTCTTCTCCCCTTCCCTTCCCTTCCCTTCCCGTCCCGTCCCATTCCATCCCGTCCCGTCCTGTCCTGTCCCGTCTTGTCCCATCCCTTTCCTTTTCGACAGGGTCTCAGTCTGCTGCCCAGGCTGGAGTGCAGTGGTGTGAATGATTTACTGCAGCCTTGACCTTCTGGGCTCAAGCAATCCTCCTGCCTCCCATGTAGCTGGGACTACAGGCACACACCACCACATCCAGCTAATTTCTTGATTTTTTTGTAGAGACAGGGTCTCACTTTGTTGCCCAGGTTAGTCTCGAATTCCTGGACTCAAGTTGTCCTCCTGCCTCAGCCTCCCAAAATGTTGGGATTACAGGAGTGAGCCACTCCACCTGGTCTCTCTCTCTCTCTCTCTCTCTCTCTCTCTCTCTGTCTGTCTCTCTTCTTTTCTTGGATACAGGGCTTTTCTCTGTTGCACAAGCTGGAGTGCAGTGGCCTGGTCATAGCTCATTGCAGCTGCCTGTGTCTCCTGGGCTCAAGGAATCCACACACCTCAGCCTCCTGAGTAGCTGGAACTACTGGTGTGTGCTATCATGCCCAGCTTTTTTCTTTTTGTTTCTTTCTTTTTTTTTTTTTGAGACGGGGTTTCACTCTTGTTGCCTAGGCTGGAGTGCAATGGTGCGATCTCGGCTCACCGCAACCTCCGCCTCCCGGGTTCAAGCGATTCTCCTGCCTCAGCCTCCCTAGTAGGTGGGATTACAGGCATGTGCCACCATGCCCGGCTAGTTTTTTATTTTTAGTAGAGACGGGCTCTCTCCATGTTGGTCAGGCTGGTCTCCAACTCGTGACCTCAGGTGATCCGCCTGCCTCAGCCTCCCAAAGTGCTGGGATTACAGGTGTGAGCCACTATGCCCGGCCAATATTTTTTAAAGTTTTAATTTGAGACGGGGTCATGCTGTGTTGCCCAGACTGGAAGAGGGATTTTTTTTTTTTTTGAGACAGGGTCTCATTGTCACACTGAAGCTGGAATGCTGTGGTGTGAACAGAGTTCACTGCAGCCTCAACCTTCCAGGGTCAATCCATCCTCCCACCTCAGCCTGCAAAGTAGCTGGGACTATAGGCACATACCACCAAGCCTGGCTAATTGTTGTATTTTTTGGTAGACACAGGGTTTTTCCATGTTGCCCAGGCTGGTTTGGAACTCTTGGACTCAAGCAATCTGCCTGACTCAGCCTCCCAAAGTGCTGTGACTACAGGTGTGAACCATCATGCTCAGGAAGAGGAGAAAATTCTTTCTTTCTTTCTTTCTTTTCTTTTTCTTTTTTTTTTTTTTTTGAGACGGAGTCTCGCTCTGTCGCCCAGGCTGGAGTGCAGTGGTGCGATCTCGGCTCGCTGCAAGCTCTGCCTCCTGGGTTCACACCATTCTCCTGCCTCAGCCTCCCGAGTAGTTGGGACTATAGGCACCCGCCACCACGTCTGGCTAATTTTTTTGTATTTTTAGTAGAGAAGGGGTTTCACCATGTTAGACAGGATGGTCTCGATCTCCTGACCTCGTGATCTGCCTGCCTTGGCCTCCCAAATGCTGGGATTACAGGCGTGAGCGTGAGCCACTGTGCTGGGCCTTTTGTTTTGAGACAGAATTTCGCCCTTGTTGCCCAGACTGGAGTGCAATGGCACAATCTTGGCTCGCTCCAACCTCTGCCTCCGGGGTTCAAGTGATTCTCCTGCCTCAGCCTCTCGAGTAGCTGGGATTACAGGCAAATCACCACACCTGGCTTATTTTTTTGTATTTTAAGTAGAGACAGGGTTTCTCCATGTTGGTCAGCTTGGTCTCGAATTCCCAACCTCAGGTGATCTGCCTGCCTCAGCCTCCCAAAGTGTTGGGATTACAGGCGTGAGCCACTGTGCTGGCTAGTTTTTTTATTGTTGTTGTTATATAGACGAGAGGTTTTTATATTGCCCAGGTTGGCCTCAAACTTCTAGCCTTGCCTCCTTGTGCACCAGGACAACAGGCCTGAGCCACCATGGCTCCCAAGAATATTTCTTAATTTCTTTTACACTCTATGGGGCCAGCATTCCAGACACTGATACCACAAGAAGAGAAAACTACAGACCAATATTCCTTATGAATATAGATGCAAAAATCCTCAACAAAATGTTAACAAACCAAATCCAGCAGCACATTAAATGGATTGGATACCATGGCCTGCTGAAATTTATTCCCCTAGTGAACCCTGCCTCCTAGTGGTCATGCCTTGTGTAGTCTCCACCCATGCTGAATAATACTGGCTCATGTGACCAATAGGACGTTGCAGAAATGATGGCATGTGACCCCTGAGGCTAGGTCATAAAAGGTACTATGGCTCCCTCTGCTCCTTCTCTTGGAATATTGACTCTTGGAGAGCCAGCTCCCAAGTGATCCTCCTGCCTCAGCCGCCCAAGTAGCAGGGGAAGAGGGAGGAGACAGGTCCACATTATGCCAGAGCAGGTTGTGCAGGTCCCCTGGTGAAAGCTGACACAGGGACAAATGTCCAGGGTTTGGGTGTCATATCCTGTGCTCTTTATTTGGGGTTAAACCCAGTGGCCCAGAGCTGCCTGATGACACCTCCCTGAAAGCAGAAGAGGCTCAGGACTGGCAGCCGTGGGTGCGCATATATTCCAAAAATTCCTCCAGTTGGTCCCGCAATTCTTTCTTGCTGGCATCTCCATCTGCTGGCCAAAGGATGAGGAACGTCTCCTTGCCCAGAACATAGCTGTAACTGTGGGTTACAAGAAGCAAGAAGGTGAGGAGAGCCTGGTGCCCCTGGGGATATGGGGACCTCCCTGCCCTGTCTGACAGCCTGCCAGAGCCTTAGCCTGTAGTGTCCACACCCGAGGGCCCTCTCTGATCTTCCAGCCTCTTAGTCCAAATCACTGGGAATTAGTAAATGCTTCCCTGGCCGGGTGCGGTGGCTCACGCCTGCAACCCCGTGATTTTGGGAGGCCGAGGTGGGTGGATCACTTGAGGCCAGGAGTTTTAAGACCAGCCTGGCCAACATGATGAAACCCTGTCTCTACTGAAAATACGAAAATTAGCCCAGTGTGGTGACACACGCATGTAGTCCCAGCTACTACTTGGGAGGCTGAGGCAGGAGAATTGCTTGAAATCTCCAGCAAAAATTGTGGAACTGAGGGCTGGGTTGAGGGTAGGCAAGAAGGCCCAGGCCTGAGTCCCCAGGACAGGTGGAACCCCTCACGCACTCAGATTTGATTCTCCACAGGTCTGACGTCTGGCCCATGATGAGGTACGATTCCTGTTCTTGCAACCCCAGGGAGTCATGGCAAGTGGCATGGGAGACGAATTTCTTCATGGCCAGGGGTGTGGCAGGGTCCGTACCTGGAGAAAACCCGGTGTGTGCACATACACAGGTCTGACCCTCCCACACAATGGGACCCCCAGGGTGGGCCCCCAGGGTGACCCCACACTGGGATTCCTTCTTTGTCACCTGGGACATACCACTCTTAATGATGTCTTCGAGCTGCGTGTTGTAATAGACGTAAGGGTTGGAGGCAGAGACCTCCACAGATTCCAGCTTTGTCTTGTACACTGGGGAAGGGGAGGGTGTCATGTTGGCATTCGGCCTGCAGGTGGGCTCTGCCTGTCCCCTGTGGCTCCCCACACTCACCAAAATCCACGCCTGCCTCACATGCTGTTGTCTGGAGCTCCTCCTGCCTCAATTGGCCACTGGGCTTCTGCAGGGATGGGCACTGTCCTGCAGGGTCAGGAGGGCAGCTGCTCTGGCGGTGCTGGGACAGGGCACTTCCTCCCAATCACCCCCCACCCTCCCTCCCTTCAGCCCCCAGGCCTGGGTCTCCGGATCTGGCCCTTCTGGTCTGTGGGGCTCTCTCTCTGTCTCTCTCTCTCTCTTTTTCTTTTCTTTTTCCTTCCTCCTTCCTTTCTTTTTCTTCTCTCTCTCTCTTATTATTATTATATTTTTAAGAGTTGGGGTCTCTCACTATGTTGCCCAGGCTGGTCTCAAACTCCTGGGCTGAAGCAATCCTCTCACCTCGGCCTCCCAAAGTGTTGGGACAACAGGTGTGAGCCATCATACCTGGCCTATTTATTTATTTATTTTTTGAGACAGAGTCTCGTGCTGTTGCCCTGGCTGGAATGCACTGTGATCTCAGCTCACTGCAACCTCCACCTCCCAGGTTCAAGCAATTCTCATGCCTCGGTCTCCTGAGTAGCTGGGACTACAGGCATGCACCACCACACTCAGCTAATTTTTGTATTTTCAGTAGAGATGGAGTTTCACCATGTTGGCCAAGCTGGTCTCAAACTCCTGACCTCAAGTGATCCACCCACCTTGGCCCCCAAAATGCTGGGATTACAGGTGTAAGCCACTGAGCCCGGCTTTTTAAATTTATTTTTGAGACAAGGTCTTGTTGTATCACCCTGGCTGGAGTGCAGTGGCACAAGCATAGCTCACTACAGTCTCCAACTCCTGATCCTTCCGCCTCAGCCGCCCAAGTATTTGGGACTACGGGTACTTACCACCACTCCTGGCTAATTTTTTAAAAAAATTTTTTGGTAGAGATGGGGTCTCACTGTGTTGCCCAGGCTTGTCTGGAACTTCTGGCCTCAAGCCATCCTCCCGCCTTGGCCTCCCAAAGTGCTGGGATTACAGGCATGAGCCACCATGCCCAGTGTCTGTCTCTCTTTTTGGTCACTTTCTTGTCTATTTCTCCCGTCTTCGTCTCTTTGTGTCTTTCTCTCTGTCTCCGTGTCATTTGATCTTTGGCAGTGCGAGTATGTGTGTGTGACAAGCTTTGTCTCTCTGTGCCTTCTTTCTGTCTCTCTTTGCCTCTGCCTCTGTCTCTTTCTCTTTCTGTCTAAACTCAGGCCAGACTACAGCCAGGAGGAGGCTTGAAGGGCTCCTGGATCCGCCCCCCACAACCTGGCAGCCCCAGCCTGGTGGCATGGGGCTCACCCTCGGCACATCTCACCCTCTGCACATCTGCAGATGTCTTTGTGGCAGATCTTTCTCAGGGAAGATTGCTCTGTGGGCAGGTTGTAGAAAGTGCTGCACCTCCGGGCTGTGGATGGAGGGTGCAGGGGTTGGGGGAGGGCGTTGTCTTGGGCCAGTGTTCCTGGGGGTTCGTTGCCTACCTGGCCTAGTCCTGAGAAGTCTTCACCCACTCCGGGCCCTGGCCTGCCTTCCCCATCCTCCAAAGTCCAGGCTCCCTCCTGCCCCTCCTTGTCCCTGGGCTGCGCCCTCCAGGTCCTCCCAGACCTTCCCCTCTTCCTGGCCCTGCCCCCTACAAACCTCACTTTGAAGGGCCCTGGCCAGCCACCTCTGTCAACAGGCCACGCCCACTCAAAAGAGCCTGCCCCTTCCCCATCCATTCCCAGCAGGCCACGCCCAGTCCCCCTTCAACTTTGCCCCATCTCCTTCCTGTCCCCGCCAACCTAGGTCAATCCAATAAGACCTCGCCCCTTATGTCTAGCCAGGCCCAGCCCCCTTTTCGCAATGCCCGGTCTCTCCTCGCCTGGCACCTGGCTCTGTCCTTTGCAGGCCTCATCCCCATGCACGGGGGCCCCTCCTTACAAGGCTCGTAGTAGTCGTAGATGGTGACCAGGGCGGCCTGCAGGAACTCCGCCTGCAGCATCCTGTGAACCCGAAAGCCCAGCACCGTGTTCTTCTCATGGGAGAGCTGGAGAGAACAGAGTCCTGTCTGAGCCGGCCAGGGCCACTGACTGGGGCACTGACCTTGTGGCACTGACCACGAGGCCTTGGCTGTTGGCATTGGCCATGACCACGGACCATGTGGCCTTGACCACAGGGATCGCAACTGGAGGAGCTGACCTGAGAGGGCCTGGCTCTCTGCAAAACCCACCCAGGGGACCGACCTTGGGTTCTCCAGCCCCCAGGGTACCCACACACCTCTGGCGGAGGGCACCCGGCCCCTCTCACCTTTTCCAGGTAGAGGACAACAGTGCTGTCGCTGGTACTTGTCTTGGTTTTGTACTGAAAGGCGTACCTCTCCACATCACTCGTGAGCTGGGGCAGAGGGTGGAGACTGGAGGGTGGCTGACAGTCTCCAAGGCCCGTAGCCCTAGAGCTCCAGCCTTTGTCCAATCAACCCCATGCTAGGGGAAACTGAGGCCCAACCAGGGAAAAGTTTGGTTTTGGCCATGCAGAGAAGTAACGATGGGGCATTAACCCAGAAGCCTTGCTTTGAGTAGACACTGCCCTGCACCCATGTGGGAAGTATGGGAAGGTTGCTCAGGAAGCAGGTAGGTGGGGTCTGCATTACCTGTTTGAGGTCATCCTGGTTGGGGTAGAAGCCCGTGAGCAGGGAGACCTCCATGATAGTCATTGTGGCCTCTCAATTGTTCTGGAACCTGGAAGTTCACAGCCCCAGTCTTTCCCCACTATCCTCCCGCCTCTCTCTCCATGCTCCCCACTGCTGTTGTCTCTGGCTTGGACCAGCGCAGTAGCCTCCTTCCAGGTCTCCCCATGTCCCCTTTGCCACTCACAACACAGAGCTTTAGCAAGCAGAAATCTGACTACCTTGCCTCGTTGCTTCAATTACCAAATGCCTTGCCTCAATCCTGACACCCTTCCACATCACCTCCTCCCACCTCAGCCTCCATTTGATCACTGTTAGCCTTGTTCCCTGTCCTGCCACCAGACTTTTGCACATGCTGTTCACTCAGCCTGGAATCTTCGTTTCTGCCTCTTCATCCTGAAACACCCCTCATGTTTTCCATCTCAGCGGATACATCACTCCCTCTGGGAAGCCTTCCCCAACCTACACCCCACACACCAAATCATTTTTTTTTTTTTTTTAGACAGGGTCACCCAGGCTGGAGTGCAGTGGCTCAATCATGGCTCACTGTAGCCTCAGCTTCCTGGGCTCAAGTGATCCTCCAGTCTCAGGCTCATGAGTAGCTGGGACTATAGACATGCATTACCACCCTTAGCTAATTTTTGAATTTTTTTTTTTAGAGATGAGGTCTTGCTGTGTTGCCCAGGCTGGCCTCAAACTCCTGGGCTCAAGTGATCCTCTTGGCTTCCCAAAGTGCTGGGATTACAGGCATGAGCCACCGCACCAGGCCCAGATCATTCTCTGATTTGCCTCTCATGACTCTGTAAACCTCTCCTTTGCCACATGAAATCACCACTGCCATTTCATTATTGGTTCTGTGTGATTATTTGATGATTGTGTGTGTCTCCTGATAGACTGTGGGCTTCGCCAGGGCAGGGAGAGGCTGCCTTGCTCATAGCTGGGTCCCTAGCTCCAAGAACAGGGTCTGGCACACAGTAGGTGCCCAATAATGTTTCTATCTGAAGCAGACCTGGGCAAGGGAGGTATGGGACAGGGCAGGACTGGGGTGGGGGCTGGGATGTTCGGAGAAAATGAGAACCACGGGGAGAGCTTCAGGGCTTGGAGCCAGCTCTGGGCATCTGAGTCATGGAGCATGTCAGCTGAGGTAGAGCCTGTCATATGAGGACATGCAGACATGGAAGGAGGCAGGTACAGAATGGGGGACAGGCATGGAGAGGCAAGCTTGGCTGGTTCCCACTGTCCACTCAGTACACGGGGAAGGCCGCTAAGGAATCTAGATACCGGAAAGTGAGACCCTCCTCCCTCCCAGTTCAAGATCCTGGTGCGCTGACCTTGTTTCCATCCGGAGCCGAAAAGTCTCACCTCCCTTTTTATTTTCTGCAGAGAGAAGGCAGCAGTTTAGAGGCTGGGGAGCACAGTAATCAAGTGCACAGTCTCTGGAGCTAGCATCTTGGATTCAAATCCTGACTCTGCTGTGTGACTTTGAGCAAGTTGCTTAACTTCTCTCTGCTTCAGTTTACTCATCCTTAAGGGGGGATCATAATATTCCCAACCCAACAGGATTGATGTGAGGATTAAATAAGTTAATACAAGTAAAGCCCTCAGCATGGTGCCTGATCAGTGCTTTGTAACTATTATTATTATTGTTATTATTATTAAGAGATCAAGCAAAAACCAAAACCTTGGTGAGGTTTAGTCCCTAAAATTCATGGGACTGGTGAGGGTTGTTCCTCTTACTCCCACAGTGAGCTCCCAATAGTCCTCTCTCCTTCTTGGTGCCCCAGGCTGGGAACTGTGGAATCCAACTATTTCTCTGTTTTTGTTTTTTTTTTCTTTTGAAAGAGGTTCTCACTCTGTTGCCCAGGCTACAGTGCAATGGCACAATCATGGTTCACTGCAGCCTCCACCCGGGCTCAAATGATCCTCCCGCCTCAACTTCCTGAGTAGCTGGAACCGCAAGCATGCATCACCATGCCCAGCTAATTTTTTGTAGAGATGGAGTTTCACTATGCTACCCAGGCTGGTCTTGAACTCCTGAGCTCAAGTGATCCTCCTGCCTCAGCCTCCCAAAGTGTTGGAATAACAGGCATGAGTCACTGTGCCCGGCCCACTAATATCTGATCATCTCCAGAGCCCCTAATCTGGCCCGGCCTCCATCATCTCCTGCAGGACCAGTGCAGTCACCTTCCTGGTCACCTGGCTCCCACCCTCACCCTCTAGAGTGGTCAGATCAGAGGGAGCCTGTGCAGACCTGTGCCAGGTCACACTCCTCCTCCGTTGGGAACTTTCTATGCCCCACCTGACTCAGAACAAAAGCCAAAGTCCTCACTGTGGCTAACAAGTCCCTACACCATCTTCCCCCATCACCTTTCCAACTTCTTCTCCTAAAACTCTACCCTTACTCCTCCTGTAGCCACACCAGGCTTACCTTCTAGGGCACTGTGGAGAGTCGCATTCAGGTGGTACAGGTTGCAGTTGTCCTCCCGGGACTCTGGGGACTTGTGATACATTGTCAGGATCTGCCGGGCCAGGAAAGGGGGCTGTCAGAGCCCTTCCCCACCCACTGCCTTTCCTCTGCACCCCAATCCTTGACTTCCCAGGTCTCTGGCCATGTGGGGAATTTACTGCAAGATTGCCCCCACCGACCCCATCAATTCCTAGGTGCAGTGGCCAGAGCAGTGTCTGGAGTCTAGACCAGCTCTGTGTCATAGAACTTTCTGCAGTGACGGAAATGGTCCCAATTGGCATTGTCCAGTATGGCAGCCATTAGCCACATGTGGCTACCAAACACTTGAAATGCGGCTAGCTCGACGGAGAAACTGAATTTTGAATTTTGTTTAATTTTAACCCATTTAAACTTAGATTTCACAGAGGCTTGAAGAAAGGTATGACTTGCTCAGGGTCACATAACAAAGGCAGAGATTCAGCCATGACTCCATTGTCTGGAACACGACACCAGGCCACCTTTTGGTTAACAAAAGAGCTGTCCTCCCGGGTATACGTCATGGGGCTGGAAGATGTCATGGACGTCAGGCTGGGCATGGTGGCTCATGCCTGTAATCCCAGCACTTTGGGAGGCCAAGGCGGACAGATTACTTCAGGTCAGGAGTTTGAGACCAGCCTGGCCAATGTGGTGAAACCCCGTCTCTACTAAAAATACAAAAAATTAGCTGGGCATGCTGCTGTGCACCTGTAGTCCCAGCTACTCAGGAAGCTGAGGCAGGAGAATCACGTGAACCTGGGAGGCAGAGGTTGCAGTCAGCCGAGATTGTGCCACTGCACTCCAGCCTGGGTGACAGAGCCAGATTCCATCTCAAAAAAAAAAAAAAAAAGTCATGGACGTCATCCCAGCACTCAGCCTCCCAAAGTGCTGGGATTACAGGCATGAATCACACTGACTGGCCTATATTTATTTATTTAGGTTATAAATAAATAATAATATGAGTATAATAGATTACTTATTTATTTTATTTTATTTATTTATTTATTTTGAGACAGAGTCTTGCTCTGTTGCCCAGGCTGGAGTGCAGTGGTGCGATCTCGGCTCCCTGCAAGCTCCACCTCCTGGGTTCAGGCCATTCTCCTGCCTCAGCCTCCCCAGCAGCTGGGAATACAGGCACATGCCGCCACGCCTGGCTAATTTTTTGTATTTTTAGTAGAGACAGGGTTTCACCGCGTTAGCCAGGATGGTCTGGATCTCCTGACCTTGTGATCTGCCTGCCTCGGCCTCCCAAAGTGCTGGGATTACAGGCATGAGCCACCACACCCGGCCTGAAACAGAGAGTGTACCCTGCCTTTATCTTGGACTTCCCAGCCTCCAGAACTGTGAGCAATAAATTTCTCTCTCTTTCTTTCTCCTTTCTTTCTTTCTTTCTTTTTCTTCTTTCTTTCTTTCCTCTTTCTCACTTTTTCTTTCTTTCTCCTTTCTTTCTTTCTTCTTTTCTCTCTCTCTCTCTCTCTCTCTTTCTTTTCTTTCTTCTTTCTTTCTGACAGAGTTTTGCTCTGGTCACCCACGCTAGGGTGCAATGGCTCAATCTTGGCCTCTGCCTTCTGTGTTCAAGTGATTCTCCTGTCTCAGCCTCCCATGTAGCTGGGACTACAGGTGACCGCCACCATGCCTGGTTAACTTTTGTATTTTTAGTAGAGACAGGGTTTCACCATGTTGGCCAGGCTGGTCTCGAACTCCTGACCTTAGGTGATCTTCCCTCTTCGGCCTCCCAAAGTGCTAGGATTACAGGCGTGAGCCACCATGCCCAGCCAAGCCACTGCACCGAGTCTTTGTTTCTTGCTTTCTTGCTTTCCTTTCTTTTCTTTCTTCTCTTTCTTTTCCTTCCTTCCTTTGAGATAGAGTCTCACTCTGTCATTTAGGGTAGAATGCAAGGTCTTGATCACGACTCACTGCGGCTTCCACCTCCTGGACTCAAGCAATCCTCCCACCTCAGCCTCTTGAGTAGCTGTGACTATAGACATGTGCCACCATGCCCATCTAATTTTTCAATTTTTTGTAAAGACAGAGTCTCACTCTGTTGCCCTGGTGCATCTCGAACTCCTGGACTCAAGTGATTCTCCTGCCTGGGCCTCTCAAAATGCTGGGATTGCAGGCATGAGCCACCATGCTGGGCCAATTTCTGTTGTTTATAAGCCACACAGTCTATTTTGTTGTAGCAGCCTAAACAGACTAATACAGTAGAATACAAGACCTACCGAGATGGTGCCTCTCCCGTTGCCACTGGCTTTGATCTCTAGGTCGTCCTGGGCAAGGAACTGAAGAGAACAAAGAGGAAGATTTAAGGGTGGAGGAAGCAGCAAAGTGAGGGTCAAGTGTAGGGGGATGTGGAGCCTGAACACTCACCAGGGCCTCGGTTTTCCCTAACCTGGGACCTGGTGATTCATTTTCCATCTCTCTCCACGCAGATGGTTTTGCTTTTCCCTCTTCAGAGAGCATTTGTGGTGTCTACACTATCATAGATCAACTGGAACTGCTCATCCAGCCTGTGTATTTTTTTTTTTTTTGAGACCAGGTCTCAGTCTGTAGCCCAGATTGGAGTACAGTGGTGCGATCTTGGCTCACTTTGGTGCGCTCTGCCTCCTGGGCTCAAGCAATCCTCCTGTCTTAGCCTCCCAAGTAGCTGGAACTACAAGTGTGTGCCACCATGCCTGGCTAATTTTTTTTTTTTTGTATTTTTTTGTAGTGACAAGATCTAACTATGTTCCTTATGCTGGTCTTGAACTCCTGACCTCAAGTGATCCACCCGCTTTGGACTCCCAGTGTTGGGATTACAGGCGTGAGCTGCCATGTCCAGTCTAAGGCTGTCTTTTTTTTTTTTTTTTTAGACAGAGTCTCATTTTGTTGTCCAGGCTGGAGTACAGTGGCGTGATCCTGGCTCACTGCAACTTCTGCCTCCTGGGTTCAAGCAATTCTCCTGACCTGCCTCAGTCTCCCGAGTAGTTGGGACTACAGGCTTGTGCTGTCACGCCCGTAGAGATGGGGTTTCAGCATGTTTGCCAGGCTGGTCTCGAACTCCTGACGTCAGATCATCTGCACGGCTCAGTTCAGGCTGTGTCCTAATGTGCATCCCTGGAATCTGTTCTCTTTGGAGCATTTCCAAGGTTCCCTGTGCATGGAGCTCCCATGAGCCCCTTCTCACTGGCACCTCTGCACCTCTCTTTATTTTTCTTTGCCTTTTAAAATTGATGCATAATGGGCTGGGTGCAGTAGCTCATGCCTGTAATCCCAGCACTTTGGGAGGCCGAGGCGGGTGGACCACCTAAGGTCAGGAGTTCGAGCAGCCTGGCCAACATGGTGGAACCCCGTCTCTACTAAAAAATACAAAAATTAGGTGAGCATGGAGGCAGGCGCCTGTAATCCCAGCTACTCGGGAGGCTGAGGCAGGAGAATCGCTTGACCCCAGGAAGCGGAGCCTGCAGTGAGCTGAGATTGTGCCACTGCACTCCAGCCTGGGCGACAGAGTGAGACTCCATCTCAAAAAACAAAAATTGATGCATAATGGATGTACATAGTTTCAAGGCACGTGTGATAATCTAATGCACTCATATAATGTGTAAAGATCAGATCAGTGTACCTCAGATATCCATCACCTTAAATATTTGTCTTTTCTTTATGCTAAAATCATTCTAATTCTTTTCTTCCAGCTATTATGAAATATGCAATAGATTATTGTAAACTATATTCATCCTATGAATCTATCAAACACTCGGTCTTATTTCCTCTATCGAACCGTATGCTTGTACCCATTAATCAACTTCTTTTCATCCCTCCCTTTCTTTGTACACTTCCTATCCTCTGGCAACCACCAATCTAATCTCTATCTTCATCTGCAGCTACTCTTGTTTTCCTCATTATAGTCTACTTGTATCAGCCAGAATAAAATTTTAAAAATTCACAGCCAAGCCAAACATAGTGGCTCATGCCTGTAATCCCAGCAGTGTGGGACGCCAAGTGGGGAGGATTGCTTGAGCCCAGGAGTTCAAAACATGCCTGGGCAATTTAGCTAGACCCCATCTCTACCAAAAAAATTGAAAATTAAGTCGGGCATTGCAATGCATGTCCAGTCCCAGCTACTCAGGAGGCTAAGGCAGGAGGATCGCTTGAGCCCAAGAATTCGAGTCTGCCGTGAACTATGTTTGTGCCACTGCACTCCAGCCTGGGCAACAGAGTGGGACCCTGTCTCTAAAAAACAAAAAACAACAACAACAAAAAAAGAAAGAAAGAAAGAAAAAAAGTCACAATCACTCAAATCTCATTGCCTATAGGATCAAATATTATCGCCTATAGGATAAGTCCTAATTCTTGCCATGGCCTCCCAGCCCTCACTGCTGAGCTCTGCCAGCCTGCAAGCCTCCTAATAGCCTGCTTTATTTGCTGTTCTCCCTTCTGACCATTCCTGTGCCTGACTGGCTCCGGGTCTGCACTCTATGCTGTTCCCTATGTCAGAAACACTCTTCCTTGGCTAGGCGTGGTGGCTCATGCCTGTAATCCCTGCAATTTGGGAGGCCGAGGTGGGCAGGTCACATGAGGCTAGGATTTCGAGACCAGCCTGGCCACCATGGTGAAACCCCATCTCTACTAAAACTACAAAAATTAGCTGGGCTGGTGGTGCGTGCCTGTAATCCCAGCTACTGGGGAGGCTGATGCGGGAGAATCGCTTGAACCCGGGAGATGGAGGTTTCGGTGAGGCAAGATCACGTCACTGCACTCCAGCCTGGGTGACTGAGTGAGACTCTGTCTCAACAACAACAACAACAATAAAAAGAAACACTCTTCCCCTCCCTCTGCTTTCTTCATTTTGACAACTATTTATCCAGGGACATCCACTAAACAATGCATGAGCTTAGATGAGTTGATTTACTTCTTCTTTTCTTTTTTAGTAGAGATGGAGTCTCGCTATGTTGCCCAGGGTGACATTTCTTTTCATTTATTTATTTATTGTTATTTTTATTTTGAGATGGAGTTTCACTATGTCACTCAGGTGCAATCTCAGGTAACTACAACCTCCTCCTTCTGGGTTCAAGTGAGTCTCCTGTCTCAGCCTCCCGAGTAGCTGGGATTACAGGCATGCACCACCATGCCCGAGTAATTTTTGTATTTTTAGTAGGATGGAGTTTCACTATGTTGACCAGGCTGGTCTCGAACTCCTGACCTCAGATGATCCACCCACCTCGGCCTCCCAAAGTGCTGGGATTACAGGCGTAAGCCATGGCATCTGGCCCATTTTCTTCTAGATCTTAGGGACTCTTCTAGATTCCATAAGAACAGGGACCATGGATCTTTCATAACATAACCCCAATGCCTAGGAGAGTCGCTGATACATAGTAGATGCTCAGGAAATGTTGATGGAATAGATGAATCAATACATTGACAGTATAGCCACATATCTTGAGGTATGTCTTGAGGAGGGAGATCAGCAGGGACATGATGCTTGGCCTCATCTCCAGTGCCATCTCTGCGTGGACTCTGGCCTGCCCCTCAGTGACATACCTTTGCTGACCGCTGTTGGTAGGCATTGCTGTGATCAATGTACCAATTCACATTCAGGGCTGTCTTGGGGGCTCTGATCTGGACGTGGAGATCCTGGATGCCCTTGAAGGGGACAGCTTCGCGGAAGCGGGTCAGAGCTTCAAGGGCCACCACCGTGGTCTGAGTGTTGGAATGGGGCGGGGAGGTGGGGGAACGTGGATCAGTACCACAGACAGCACTCGAGAAACCATCGGCCGGCGTGTCAGCACCACGGACAGCCCCCCCCCCCCACACACACACACACACACACTCCCCCGTCGGGCTGGGCGAGTCAGCACTTCGGCTAGTGACTCTGGCCCTCACCTCCCGGGGGTCCCCATCACCTGGGTGGACCTGAAGCCTCCTCCCAGCTCCTGCTTCTCTAGTAGCCACTTGGCTATGGCGTGTGTCTCATTGTACCGGCCCAGCTCCAGCTTCTGCATGAGCCCATAGGCTGTGGCCTCAATGGTGTACAGGGAGCCCAGATTCTGCTCATCCACTGGCCAGTGGGTTTTGTCTAGAAACAGGGACGCCCGCCTTGTCACCCAGAGCTGGGCCCACCCACCTTAACCTGCCCTCTCTTTGTGTCATCTGGCCCAGTTTTCTCATCTGCCATCTTATTGATCACCTACTTTATTTTTATTTTTTGTAGAGATGGGGGAGTGGGGGTTGGGGGGGTTCTCATTATGTTGTCGAAGCTGGTCTTGAGGCCGGGAGGCTTCAAGCCATTCTCTCACCTCGACCTCCTAAAGTGTTGGGATTACAGGCGTGAGCCACCATGCCCAGTCCTGATCACCTACTTTATGTGAAGCTCTTTGCTGAGGAAACGTGGACATCCAATTTTCAGAATGACCCTGGGAAACGGGACTCTATTTTCCGATCGGGAAATTGAGTTTCAAAAAAAAAGTTCCTGGCTGGGCGCGGTGGCTCACACCTGTAATCTCAGAACTTTGGGAGGCCAAGGCAGGCGGATCACCTGAGGTCAGGAGTTCGAGACCAGCCTGGTCAACATGGTGAAACCCTGTCTGTACTAAAAATACAAAAAAATTAGCCAGGTGTGGTGGTGGGTGCCTGTAATCCCAGCTACTCAGGAGACTGAGGCAGGAGAATCACTTGAACCTGGGAGGTGGAGGTTGCAGTGAGCTGAGATTGTGCCATTGCAGTCCAGCCTGGATGACAAAAAAAAAAAAAAAAAATTCCTTCAGGTCCCTCCAGTCCCATTGCAAGCAAATTTTCCTAGTTCCACTTTGCTTGACTTGCAGAATGGGGAAGATGGGATATGGACCCTTGGGGATGAGATAGCATCAGCCATGGGATTTTTTTTAAATTTTTATTTATTTATTTATTTATTTATTTTGAGATGGAGTCCCACTCTGTTGCCCAGGCTGGAGTGCAGTGGCGCCATCTTGGTTCACTGCAAACTCCACCTCCCGTGTTCAAGTGATTTTCCTGCCTCAGCCTCCCGAGTAGGTGGGATTACAGGCATGTGCCACCACGACCGGCTGATTTTTTTTGTATGTTTAGTAGAGACGGGTTTTCGTCATGTTGAGCAGGCTTGTCTCAAACTCCTGACATCAAGTGATCTGCCCGCCTTGGCCTCCCAAAGTGCTGGGATTACAGGCATGAGCCACCGCGCCCGGCCCATGGGAAGGTTTTATAACCTTTCCATCCTTGACAACACCAAGCACTCTTTCCACTTCAGGGTGTTTGCCTGTGCTGTTCCCTTTGCTTGAAATGTCCATGGCCTTTCATGAAGGTGTGCCTTAAAAAGGGTTTTTTTTTTTTTTTTTTTTTGGCCGGGCACGGTGGCTCAAACCTGTAGTCTCAGCCCTTAGGAGGCCGAGATGGGTGGAGATCAGGAGGTCGAGACCATCCTGGCTAACACGGTGAAACCCCGTCTCTACTAAAAATACAAAAAATTAGCCGGGCGTCATGGCGGGCGCCTGTAGTCCCAGCTACTCGGGAGGCTGAGGCAGGAGAAGGGCATGAAGCCGAGAGGCAGAGCTTCCAGTGAGCCGAGGTCGCACCACTGCACTCCAGCCTGGGGGACAGTGCGAGACTCCGTCTCAAAATAAATAAAAAAATAAATAAATAATTTTTTTTTGGCCGGGCACGGTGGCTCATGCCTGTAATCCCAGCCCTTTGGGAGGCCGAGGTGGGCAGATCACCTGAGATCAGGAGTTTGAGACCAGCCTGGCCAAAATGGTGAAACCCCGTCTCTACTAAAAATACAAAAATTAGCCAGGCGCAGCGGTGGATGCCTGCAATCTCAGCTACTTGGGAGGCTGAGGCAGAAGAATCGCTTGAACCCGGGTGATGGAGGTT